>NC_000008.11:75927265-80795743 GCF_000001405.40 Homo sapiens
GAAGAAATGGATAAATTCCTGGACACACCCACCCAAGATTGAACCAGGAAAAAGTTGAATTCCTGAATAGAACATTAACAAGTTCTGAAATTGAGGCAGTAATAAATAGCCTACTGTATTATTTCTTTTTCATGCTGCTGATAAAGACACACCCAAGACTGGGCAATTTACAAAAGAAAGAAGTTTAATGGACACACACAGTTGCACTGGTTGGGGAGGCCTCACTATCATGGCAGAAGACAAAGAGGAGCAAGTCACATCTTACACGGATGGCAGCAGGAAAAGAGAGAGTTTGTGCAGAGAATCTCTCATTATTAAAACCATCAGATCTGATGAACTCATTCACTATCACAAGAACAACACAGGAAAGACCTATCCTCATAATTGAATCACCCCTCACCATGTTCCTCCCACAACACATGGGCATTGTGGGAGTTACAATTCAAGATGAAATTTGGGTGAGGACACAGCCAAAGCATATTATTCCACCTTTGGCCCCTCCCAAATCTTATGTCCTCACATTTCAAAAATGATCCTGCCTTCCCAGCAGTGTCCCAAAGTCTTAATTCATTTCTGCATTAACTCAAAAGTCTACAGTCCAATGTCTCATCTGAGACAAGACAAGTCCTTCCCACCCATGAGCCTGTAAAGTCAAAAGCAAGTTAGTTACTCCCTAGATACAAAAGGGTTATAGGTATTGGGTAAATACAGCCACTCAAATGGGAGAAATTGGCCAAAACAAAAGGACTACAAGCCCCATGCAAGTCTGAAATCCAGCAGGGCAGTCACATCTTAAAGCTCCAAAATGATCTCCTTTGACTCCATGTCTTGCACCTCAGTCACTTTGATGCAAGACGTGGGTTTCCATGGTCTTGGGAAACTCCATCCATGTGGCTTTGCAGGGTATGGCCTCCCTCCCAGCTGCTTTCACAGGCTGTTGTTTAGTGTCTGTTGCTTTTCCAGGCACATGGTGCAAGCTGTTGGTAGATCTACCATTCTGGGGTCTGGAAGATGGTGGCTCTCTTCTCATAGCTCCACTAGGCAATGATCCAGTAGGTACTCTCTGTGGGGGGATCTGACCGCACATTTCCCTTCTGCACTTCCCTAGCAGATGTTGTCCATGAGAGCTCTGCTTCTACTGCAAACTTCTGCCTGGACATCCAGGTGTTTCCATACATCCTCTGAAATCTAAGAGGAGGTTCCCAAACCCCAATTCTTGATTTCTGTGCAGTGGCAGGCTCAACACCATGTGGAAGCAGCCAAGGCTTGAAGCTTGCACCCTCTGAAGCCACAACCTGAGCTCTACATTGTCCCTTTTCACCCATAGCTGTAGCAGCTGGGATGCAGGGCACTAAGTCCCTAGGTGGCACACAGCACAGGGACCCTGGGCTCAATCCACAAAATCAATAAAAATAACATTTTCCTCCTAGGCTTCTGAGCCTTTAATGAAAGGGGCAGCCAGGAAGGGGACATGCCCTGGAGACATTTTCCCACTGTCTTGGGGATTAACATTCAGCTTCTCATTACTTATGCAAATTTCTGCAGCCAACTTACGTTTCTCCTCAGAAAATGGGATTTTCTTTTCTATTGCAATGTCAGGCTGCAAATTTTCTGAACTTTTATGCTCTGTTTCACTTTTTAAAACTTAATGCCTTTAACAGCAATCAAGTCACCTCTTGAATGCTTTGCTGTTTAGAAATTTCTTCTGCTAGATACCCTAAATCATTTCTCTCAAGTTCAAAGCTCCACGAATCTCTAGGGCAGGGACAAAATGCCACCACTCTCTATGCAAGAGTCACCTTTACTCCAGTTCCTCATCTCCATCTGAGACCACCTCTGCCTGGATTTCATTGTCAATTTCACTATGAGCATTTTGGGCAAAGCCATTCAACAAGTCTCTAGGGAGTTCCAAACTTTCCCTCATTTTCCTGTCTTCTTCTAAGCCCACCAAGCTGTTCCAACCTATTCCTGTTACCCAGTTCCAAAGCTGCTTCCACATTTTTGGGTATCTTTTCAGCAGCACCCCACTTGACTAGTACTAATTTACTGTATTAGTCCATTTTCATGCTGCTAATAAAGATATACCCGAGACTGTGCAATTTACAAAAGAAAGAGCTTTAATGGACTTATAGTTCCAGCTGGTTGGGGAATCCTCACAATCATGACAGAAGACGATGAGGAGCAAGTCACATCTTACATGGATGTCAGCAGGCAAAGAAAGAGCTTGTACAGGAAAACTCCCATTTTTAAAACCATCAGATCTTGTGAACTCATTCACTGTCATGAGAATAGCACAGGAAAGACCTGCCCCCATAATTTAATCACCTCCCACCGGGTTTCTCCCACAAGTGGGCATTGTGGGAGTTACAATTCAAGATGAAATTTGACTAGGGACACAGCCAAACCATGTCACCTACCAACCAAAAACAGCCCAGGACCAGAT
Organism: Homo sapiens; assembly: GCF_000001405.40. Lineage (NCBI taxonomy): Eukaryota > Metazoa > Chordata > Mammalia > Primates > Hominidae > Homo > Homo sapiens. The sequence goes on from NC_000008.11 coordinate 75,929,709, forward strand.
GGATTTATAGCCAAATTGTACCAGAAATACAAAGAGGAACTGATACCTTTTTTTCTGAAAGTATTCAAAATAATAGAAAAGGAGGAACTCCTCCCTAACTCATTCTATGAGGACAGCATTATCCTGATTCCAAAACCTGGCAGAGATACAACAAAAAAAGAAAACTTCAGGCCAATATCCCTGACAAACATTAGTGCAAAAATTCTCACTAAAATACTGGCAAACTGAATATTGGAGCACATCAAAAAGCTTATCCACCAGGATAAAGTTGGTTTTCCCAGGATGCAAGCCTAGTTCAATATATGCAAATCAATAAAGGCAATTCATCACATAAACAGATCTAAAGACAAAAACAACATGATTATCTCAATAGATGCAGAAAAGGCCTTTGATAAAATTCACCATCCCTTCATCTTCAAAACTCTCAATAAACTAGGTATTGAAGAAACATACCTCAAAATAATAAGAGCTGTTTATGACAAACCCACAGCCAATATCATACTGAATAGGCAAAAGCTGGAAGCATTCTCCTTAAAAGCTAGCCCAAGACAAGGATGCCCTTTCTCACTACTCCTATTCAACATAGTATTGGAAGTTCTGGCCAGGGAAATCAGGCAAGAGATAGAAATAAAGGGTATTCAAATAGGAAGAGAGGAAGTCAAATTGTCTTTGTTTGCAGATGACATGATCCTATATCTAGAAAACCCCATTGACTCAGCCCAAAAGCCTCTTAAGCTGATAAGCAACTTCAGCAAAGTCTCAGGATACAAAATCAATATGCAGAAGTCACAAGCATTCTAATACACCAACATCAGGCAAGTAGAGAGCCTAATCATGAATGAACTCCTATTCACAATTGCTGCAAAGAGAATACAATACCCAGGAATACAGCTAACAAGGGAGGTGTAGGACCTCTTCTGGGAGAACTACAAACCACTGCTCAAGGAAACCAGGGAGGACACAAACAAATGGAAACATATTCTATGCTCATGAATAGGAAGAATCAATATCAGGAAAATGGCCATGCTGCCCAAAGTAATTTATAGATTCAATGATATTCCCACTAAACTACCACTGACATTCTTCACAGAATTAGAAAAAACTACTTTGAAATTCATATGGAACCAAAAAAGAGCTCGTATAGCCAAGACAATCCTAAGCAAAAAGAGCTAAGCTGGAGGAATCATGCTACTTGACTTCAAACTGTACTACAAAGCTACAATAACCAAAACAGCATGGTACTGTTACAAGAACAGACACATAGACCAATGGAACAGAATAGATAACTCAAAAATAAGACAGCACATCTACAATCATCTGATCTTCAATAAAACTGAGAAAAACAAGCAATGGGGAAATAATTCCTTATTTAATAAATACTGCTGGGAAAACTGGCTAGCCATATGCAGAAAATTGAAACTAGATCCTTCATTACATCTTACACAAAAGTTAACTCAAGATTGATTAAAGACTTAAATGTAAAACCCAAAACTATAAAAACTCTAGAAGAAAATCTAGGCAATACCATTTAGGACATAGGCACAGCTAAAGATTTCATGATGGAATTTCCAAAAGCAATTGCAGCAAAAGCAAAAATTGACAAATTGGATCTAATTAAACTAAGGAGCTTTGGCACAGCAAAAGAAACTATCATCAGAGCAAACAGGAAACCTACAGAGTGGGAAAAAATTTTTGCAATCTATCCACCTGACAAAGGTTTAACATCCAGAATCTAGAAGGAACTCAAACAAATTTACAAGAAAAAACAACCCCATTAAAAAGTGGGCAAATGACATGAACAGACACTTCTCAAAAGAAGACATTCATGCAGCTAACAAACATATGAAATAAAAGCTCAACATCACTGATTATTAGAGAAATGCAAATCATTGTGGAAGATGGTGTGGCAATTTCTGAAAGACCGAGAACCAGATAGGCCACTGACTCAGCAATCCCATTACAGGGTATATACCCCCAAATATATAAATCATTCTATTACAAAGATACATGCATGTGTATATTCATTGCAACACTAATCACAATAGCAAAGATGGAATCAACCCAAATGTCCATCAATGATAGACTAGATAAAGAAAATGTGGTATGTATACAACATGGAATATTATATAGCCATAAAAAGAAATGAGATCATGTTCATTGCAGGGACATGGATGAAGCTGGATGCCATTACCCTAAGCAAACTAACACAGGAACAGAAAACCAAACACCACATGTTCTCATTTATAAGTGGGAGCTGAACAGTAAGAACACATAGACACAGGGATGGAAACAACACACACTGGGGGGTGAGGTGGCAGGGAGGGAGAACATAAGGAAAAATGGCTAATGCATGCTAGGCCTAATACCTAGGTGATGAGTTGATAGGTGCAGCAAACCACTATGGCACACGTTTACCTATGTAACATACCTGCACACCCTGCACATGTACCACCAAACTAAAACTAAAAAATAAAAAGTATAGGAGATTAGGTTTTCAAAATATCAAAATTGATTCTGATGCTATAATAATTGAAAGGGTATAGCATAGGTCAGAATGGAAAATTGACCAGTGAAATAAAATAGAAAACACAGAATCAACAGACCCTTATTCATTCTGATGGAAATTGTATACAGGTCAATAAACGAGTGAAAGACTCTGCAATGAATAGTGCAAATCAACTGATTATCTATATAGAAAAAAATGAAATAGGATGCCTACTTCTCATTGTATATGTAAAGTGACCCAAGGGAATCAAGTAGTTAAGGAAAAAAGCAATACTTCAAAAATTTTGGAATAAAATATAGAATATCATTATATTCTCAAGATTAATCAAGATTTTTAAAAATAAATCTGAAAAAATCCTAAACACACACACACAAAATACTAGAGTATCTTAATACTAAGGATCTTCTATCATTTAAAACACACCATGAAGAATGTGAAAATACCATCTTTGAACAGTCCTGAGAAGATACACACACACACACACACACACACACACACACACACAAACACATAGAGTTATATATCTAAGAAAGAATTAGTGAGAATATAAAGAAATATTGCATATCAGTCATAAAAGACAAGCAAAACCAATGAGAATATGAGCAAAGGACAATAGATCCACTTTCCAGAAGAATAAGCAGAAGGCAAACCAGCATGTGAGATGCTGAACATCCTTCATTGAGTATATTACAAATGAGGACCACAATAAAGAAGATTTTGCATTCAATTTTACACAATATAAAAAGTTTAACAATATAATCATAAGGGTGTGGAATAGTATGAATTTGTATTCATTGATCAAAAGGTATATAAATTGTTTCCAGCCTTATGGGAAAAGAAAGTTTTATCTTGTAAAGTAGAACATTCATATGACCTAAATTCCATCATTCCCCATGCCTGGGAATATAACCTAGATAAATCATTTCGTATGTATAAACAGATACAAGACTTTTTTTTTCCTGAATATCATCTCTCCCTTGAGGCAAACAAAGTGACATCATCACACTTTTACCATATGTTCTGGTTAGAAGTAAGTCACCAGGTCCCACCTACAGTCAAGTGGAGAGGATTACCAATGGCTGTGGATATTAGGAGGCAGTGATCTTTGGGATCCATTTTAGAAGATGCTTACTCTAATATGTTTTTAGAATCTATACTGTTTTAAATCTAAAATACATTGACTTTTACTTTTATAATCCATTGATATTTACTTTTATACCTCATTGACTTTTTAGTATGATAAAAGGGACGGGTCAAATTTCATTCTTTTGTCTGTGAATGTCCAATTATCTTAACCACCATTTATTAAAAAGTCCTTTTCTACTTCTCTTCAATGGCATCTTTACAATGAATCAAATGTCCATAGGTGCTGGGATCCACTTCTAGATTCGGTTTCATGTATCTGTCTCCTTGACAATATCACATTGTTAGTATCCTCATTAGTTAAGTTTTATTATTAGTATTACAGTTTGATAGTTTAAATTTTTCATTGTTGTTTATCTTAAAGGATGTCTTGATCATTCTTTACATTTCTCAGTTCCTTTTATATTTTAAAATCTGTTTTTCTCAGATTTCATTAAATGAGATTGTGTTATATCTTTAGATAAGTCTGGGTGAAAATTGATGACTTTACAATATTGAATCTGACAATTCATGCTTATGGCATACGCTGCCATTTATTTAGGCTTTCTTTAATTTCTTAGAGCAATATTTTTTGATTATTTAGGTAAAAAATGCACAAATATTACATTAGATTATGTGTATAAATTGAATACATTTTCATACTATTGTAAATTATTTATTATGTGGTAAACAGGATTCTAAAGATGCTACCTCCTAGAATCCGACTTCTGATTATTCAAACACTAAATTTGCTACTGATGTAAAGGGAACTTGAGAACATAATTAAGGTTATGGACTTTAAAATAGGGATATTATCCTAAATTATCCAGGTGAGTATCGTCTAATCACATATATCCTTAAAAACAAAGAAGTTTCTCTGGCAGAAGTCAGAGAGATGTGGCAGAGAGGAAAGCAGAGATGAGATGAGGCAGAAGGGAAGATCAAAGAGATTTGAAACTTGGGAAGAAATTGACCCAGCTTTGAAGATAAAGCAAGAAGATCATGAACCAAGAAATATGAATGTCCTTTAGAACCCCAAAGCCAACAGGAAACAGGGACCTTAGTCCTACAATTATATGAAATGAATGCTGTCAATACTCTAATTTAAAAGTAGATTCATCCCTGGGGATGAGAAGGAAATGCAGACCTGCCCAAACCTTGATCTTGGCCTTGTGAAACTAGAGCATAGATCAGATGAGCCGTTCTGTGTTCTGGTTTCTAACCAATAGAATTGTGACATAATAAATGATTTTTAAGCTGCTAAATTTGTGAAAATGTGTTATGGCAGCAATAGACAACTAATACAGCTCCTTTTTACAAATTTATTTTTTAATTGCTTATGACATGGATATCCAGTTGATTTTGATTTATAGACCTTGTATTTAGTGGACTTGTTCAATTTGTTTATTAATTTAATTGGATTTTTTAGATACACAATTATTATTTGCTAAACACAACAATTTGATTTACTTTTCCTTTAATGCAAAGTTCTTTTTTTAGCATACTATTCTGTCTAAAACCTCTTCCATAATATTCAGTAGAAATGATGAAAAGGTATATTTCTTATATCTTTCCCAAATCCAAATAAAAATTCTCAATATTTCACCATTAAATGTCATACCTGATGTAAGTTTTAAAATTTTTGTTTTCAGACCAAAAACGGTGAGTGAATTCTTACAAAATTGATGTTGAATATTAGGAAATATTTTTTCTTGCATATTTGAGATGACTTTGATTTCTTTTCTTATTTTCGTCAATGTGACCAATTACGTTAACTGATTTCATGATATTAAATCAGAGTTACACTTTCAAATAAAGGATAATGAGTTAGAAATTAGAAGTTTTAATTCTAATTTAGAAAAAAATGCTTCTGTTACTATGAGTGATAATGAATTTAGAAAAAATGCTTCTGTCACTGTAAGTGATAAATATCCTGTAATTTTTTTTCTCATAATGTCTTTTTCAGGTTTTGGTGTCAAGGCCATGATGGCTTCATAAAATAAGTTGAAAGATCTTCTCCTTTTCTAGTCTCTTAAAGAGTTTGTGTCAAATGAGTATTATTCTTTCCTTTAGTAGAATTTGGTTTGGTTTCGTTTGGTTTGTTTTGGTTTGGTGATATCTTTGCCTGTGGTTTTCTTTGTGGATTTTTGAAAATAACATTTTAAAACTATTTAGCTTAATATATTTAATTGTTAATATTGCCTTTTGTAAAAGGAGGAGGATCTGTAGTAGTGTTTCCTTTTTAACTTTTGATATTGATAATTTATGTCATTTATGTGTGTGTTTAATGAATCTTGCCTGGAGCTTAAGAGTTTTCCTTGTTCTTCCTCTTTATTAGATATTTATTTTCTATTTAATTAATTTTGGTTCATTTTTATTTTTGCTTTTCTATATTCTTTGAGCTCATTATGTTATTCTTTTACTAATTTCTTGTAGTAGATGCTTGGATCATTAATATGTAACCTTTATTCTCTTCCAATATATGCATTTATGATTATAATGGCTCCACTAAACAGTTTAGGCGCATCTCACACATTTCAATATGCATTATTATTATTGTTGTTATTTAATTTAAACTATATGCTGTATCCCATAGTGATTTTTTCCTTTGACTTTTGTACAGTTTATAAATGTATTCCTGAATTTCCAAACATATTGGATTTTTTCATCTTTTAGCCACAGTTTTTACTGTTGTTTTTGGAATCTGCAATTATCATAATGAGAAAAGTTGGGCCAGATGCTAAGCTTATCTCTTTTGGCCTTTCTCAACTTTTGCATCTGGTCCTGCAAATTCTCATTGTAGGTAATACAGGTAATTCTAATTTTGGGTAATTCTCTGATATTTTCAACTTGTTTTAACTTACTATTTTTACTACTACTACTACTACTACTTCTTTATCTAAAACTAGTTAGCCGCTGCCAGAAGTGAATCTTTCTTTAAACCTTCATTTAACTAAAGAACAGAACATCTGGCAGAAAATGCTCAGATTCCTACCTTTTCCTGACTGTGTACTATTAAAGCTGTTCTTCCTGCACACAGACTTCTTAGTTCAGTCAAGGGAACATTTTTTTTGCCCTGTAGAATTGTTCTTCCTTAAGAGCTGGAAATAGGTAATGATGAATATAGAAGGAGAAACTACAGAACACTCCAGTCTTTCTTATAATAATTCAGCTTGGCATTTTGCACCTGAACCATACTGCAATCTTGCCAAATATCATTACTTTGGTGAGCTCTATGTTTTTGAGGAATTACACGTGACCTTGTCTATTAACTTTTTAAGAAACAACTATTATAAACAGTAAGAAAAGCTGAAATAAGTCTTTGATTCAGGGACTCTCTATAGCTTATCTACTACTGGGAGCCATCAGATTATAATGGCAATATCAACCTTCCTTACAGGCTTTCCACTTGGCCATTTTTTGTTTGTTTTTCTTCTGGCTTGTAATTTAGTTTCTCCAATGTGAACAGAGTAACATTTATGTATCTGAACTACTGCACATGGTAATTTTGCAGTGTAAATCCGTGCAACCATACATGACTTCTCTGGCCCTTTTTAAGGTACATATGTGGGTGATAAAAGCATTTAAAAAAAAAAAAGGCAAGGGAATGTTTAACAAAAACTTGCAGATGATGTTTACACTCAGCTGGAAAGAAGATAATGTGACTGGGGAGGGCCTCATAGTGGATTTGAAAATACACAATATTTTGGGCCGGGTGTGGTGGCTCAAGCCTGTAATCTCAGCACTTTCGGAGGCCAAGGGAGGTGGATCACCTGACGTCAGGAGTTTGAGACCAGCCTGACCAACGTGGTGAAACTCTGTCTCTACTAAAAATACAAAAGTAGCTGTACGTGATGGCGCATGCCTATAATACCAGCTACTCTGGAGGCCAAGGCAGGAGAATCGCTTGAACCTGGGAGGTGGAGGTTGCAGTGAGCCGAGATCACGCCATTGCACTCCAGCCTGGGCAATAAGAACAAAACTCCGTCCCCCCAACCCAACCCCCACAAAAAACCCCACAGTATTTTATTGATGATATGATTATTTGGGAATAAACTAATATTTACTTTGTGGCTGTTATTTGAATTTTATAGACTCTTCTATTATATTTTACACACACACACAGACACGTTCTTGCAGGATAACAGCAGCAATGGACTTATCACCTGATGTTTAGAGAAATCTAATTACTCTTCAAGACCAAACAGTTTTCTGTACTGGCCAAACCAGTAAGTGAAATGGGAATGTAATGGCCAAACCAATAAGTGAAATAGGAATGTAATGGATGCATCTTTCTAGTCTTTAATGATGGTGCTAATTTATGCTATTCCCCTAATGATGAATGGTGCCATTCTTACTAACAATTGGGTACTGATCCCTATCTTAGTGACCCCTTTCATGTTGCCTCAAGAAGTTAAGTTCTACCACCTGGACTTTGCTATTCCAGGATCCTATTGTCACTGTGAAATCTGGAAGCCGATTTTAATAATAGCCCTTATCACTCTGACCTTCATCCACTAACCTAAATAAGACAGAAATTGGAGCTCTTCCTACCGATGTATTTCTCAATTTTTCAGTGTCCTTTATGCTCTTAGGGATATAATTAAGGATAGGGGAGTGGATTGCACATCATAAATCACTTTCAACTTTCCCATCTCAAATGTCTTTTATTTCCTTCCTCTAAATTATAGTAAGGGATTTTCAACAGTACAACCTCATTCCATGGAGGCCACCATTGTCTATAGACCAGTCAGCTTTCAAAGCTAAAGTTAAAATCATTTCTAGCTATTCATTTTAATGATAAATCAAGAATCTCACATAAAATCATTGTTATTGAGAAATCCAATGTGATCTAAAACTATGTTTCTTTCTACCTAACCTAGCATTTTCAGAATTCATGCATACATATATATTTTTTGCCAGCATAAATAAAATTGTTTTAATTCTTTTGTTGTATCCTTTTTTATTTTCCTGATTTAACTTTATATTTGCCTACTGGGACTTGTAGAAACCTGATTATAGTTAACTTTGTAGGAATCAATGAGGGATGATATATGGAGTGGGCAAGATAGTTTGCATATACATAAAAAAGAAACCCTTTTAGTTACCTTACTGCAGGTAAAGTCATTATAATATTGTCAATCCAGGCAGGAACATCCTGTGAGATAGAGTGTGAGAAATTGTTTCTACCAGCAAGTGAGGTGTATGTATTTGTAATACTCAGAGCCATATAAATTCTTTCAAATGACCTCATTCCAATTTTCAGGCTTCTCTTATTCCCTGATGAAAGCCCTGATGCTGAAGTAGTAAATCCAACCTATGTTATAATTTGGAAACTCACAGGATTACATCCCATATCTGATTTTTAGCTATATTAGCTCAATAGCTGAAAGAAAATAGAAGTTATATTAGGGGAGTGATAAAAGCAGTCACAGAAAGTTATATCTTAAATGTAAGTTAAATGCAGCAATGTTCACTAGCAAATATTTGGGTTAGAACCCCAAAACATGACATACTATATTTGGTTTAATTAATATATATTTATCAATTTTCATGAGCTAAATCCAGCCGTTTGGTTGAGTTTCTCCATTCTAATTAAGATTCCAGTTTATAGAATGGACCAGTTTTCACATAGGTGACCCAGATCACCAAACTTGGAGGAAAAAAAAGAGCAATTCTTTTTTCCAAAGCTATCCCCAAACCCATGAAGATTGATGGCTTACCTAAAATTAGATTGCTGTATTAGATATTTAGGTAAGAACAGTTTGAGAAAAGGCTATCCGTCAAAATGCTGATGACATAAACAATATTGAAATAAATGGCTGATGAGGCATAGCGCAATGAAATGAATATCTATTTCAATAGCGTGTTCTTCATCAGCCATTTATTTCAATACTATATATTTATGTAGTATAAAGAATACTCACAATCTGTTGTTGTTAACCAACCTTATAAAAATGTAAATTATGTATTTGTACACTGTAGGTCTTATAAATAAGTAAATATATGAGTGTATTATGGGATTTAGGAAGTTATGATATGAAGATGCTTTAAAAATCGGAATCAAGCAACATATCAGCTAGAATAAAGAAAGTATTTATAATTAAATCTAATTAGTTTGTTTATCACTTGTTTGGATTATACAGAGTAAAGCTATGGACCCCCAAAAGTATCATATTCAGTTAGTAATTGGAAAGTGGATAAAATAACCACACAGTACAGCACCACAAGATTCTTTGTTTTATTCTTCCAACAAAAAGCCCCACATTTTAACCACAATTTTTTGAAGTCATTACATTTTGTCATCACTCAAATATCTTTACTTTTTTTCAGACTTTTGAGATATTAATGTTATAATGGAATAAACTTGGAATCCAGAGGTGTAGATTCAAGTCCCAGATCTCCAATTTGTTGACAAAAAGGGTAAGTCATTTAACTCCTGGGCTCCAATGTTCTTACATGCAAAATGATGGAGGGCAATTAGATACTTCTAAGGTTTGTGCTAAAATTAACGTAACACAGTTCTGAAGATTGGTTGTAAAAATACATATCTCACTCATTTGCCTAAGATGTCATTGTGGTGCTTTATTAAAAGCCTAAGAAAACAAACAAACAACAACAGCAACAACAAAAAAAAAAAAAACAAGGCAAAATCTTCCTATTCCTTCCCATCTCTTTCTCTCTCTTTATTCTCTCTCTCTGTATATACGTATATTCTCTCTTTCACTCTCCAATATATATATATGTGTGTATGTATATGTATATATATGTAAATAAATGCATACATGCATAAGGTTAGATAGTCAAGAATAGATAACATTAGAATAAAGATTATTCTCCACCAAATGAAAAAATCTGAAAAAAGATATATTAAAATATGTATACAATCTTAAAAATAATATTGGACAGTTGAAAGCCTCTCTAAGCATGACATAATTCTTGTCATATAATATAAAAACTGTAACTAAATTTGACTGAGAGTTGTGATACTGAACAACTCCAGGGGACACCATTCATTATTTACTTAGAACACCTTTTAGATTGTTAAAATTTTAAAAGGTTGAAAATGCATGATATTAGTGAGTGTAAAAAACCAGGCACGGTAATGTACAGAATGTAAATCCAAAAGGGAAAGAATTTGCTTAAAAAATTATATTAAAATTTAAATGTGGCTATTCTTTGATTCTTTATATTCATTACTAGGATGTTATTCACTAGATATGTAAGCATACGTACACAATGTTGTATAAACACAGAGCTCTTTCTCTTGCACTGTCAAGGCAAAGCAATCAAAAAGAAAAAGCAGAATACAGAAATAAAACAAAGGACACAAAAGAATCAGGGGAAACTGAAAATCTAGCAGTAAGGATGTTATTACATGAACCAAGCCACTTATACACATGTACTACATTCCACGATCACAAAAGACAAAGTCCAACTCTGTGTACTGAGATGGGCAGATATCCAAAATGTACCACATTTCATCAATTTTAAGATGCTGGGATTTTTTTCCCCTATATTCACGTATAGAAAAATCTGTGATTGGGGCAGTTGTGATGTAATTTTGTTGCCTGTGCAACATTACAGCAGGCTCAAACTTATAAAGTGATTGCCACCTAATTGGAAGAAAGTCCCCTGAAATCACTATTTTGTTTCTAGGGATTAAAGAGGAAAGTGCTACTCTAGTCGCTTAGGTTCACGTGGTAAATTTGGGATGTCAGAATATTAAGGAAGTGGTTCAATGACTTTTATATTTTTATATGGCTTCTTTTAAGAATTGCCAAATCACCTAAGTACTTGATTGAACAAACAACAATATTGTGAGAGAAAATACAGACTTTGGTAATTCCAAGTTGAAAAGTGATTGAGGATTTAGTTTCTGAATATAAAATTTTAGGTTATCTTAACCAGTTCATTTTTGCCTGAATTTTCCTTTTTAATACATGCACAAAATAGCGATCTTATATAAATATGTTTATATTTAATAATATAATATATAATATATTTAATAATAATAATTTGATAATATTTAATAATAATAATATTGTGTTTATTTATTTAATTAAATTAATTAATGAATTTATTTTTGAGGCAGGGTCTTGTTCTGTCACCCAGGCAATAAAATTATTGAAATGAAGGTATTTATCTATGAACAATTGAAAAAGAATTCTAATGGTCTATATTTGTAAACAGCATCACTTACACCAAAAAAGTATAATGCAATTGTACTCCCTTGATTGTTACAAAAGTCCTATGTAGCTAAATATATTTTGTTACCTTCTATCATATTTTCATTTATTAATGTGTACTGTATTTTAAATATAAAATGATTTTATAAAGCTCCAATGTCCCACATCAGTATTATTCCATCATTATAGCATAAGTTTTGTATGTTTATAAGTAATTATTCCTAATATTTACTCTAAACCTCAGCATCACTATACCACATGTTCTTAATGTAAGGTTTGGAGAGCTGGAAGACAAAGGAAAAAAGTGAAATTAACTAATGTACGTAAGAGTAAGCCTCGTTGGCCATTGCAAAGTTGTATACCTGGACATTTTCACCTACTTTCATCTGTCAGTATACCACAATTTCTATTCCTGTATGTTAATATACAAACTCACACGCTCACACATACGCACACAAAATAGCATTAGTTTCTTTGTCTTCTATTGACCAACTAGCAATAAAACCATATTCTTATTTTTTATGTACTTAAGAAGATGAATCTCAAAAATAATGTATTATATTATTTGATATGGCTAGGGATCTGAATGATAAAAAAAAATTTCCAGGAGAAATAAGATAAGATAAATGACTACTTTCATGCAACATTGTACTACCTCAAACGAAGTACAATTTTACTTTTAAAAACTTACTTATTTTTAATCTATATAGCATTGAATTTATAATTATATTGACATAGTGGCTCTTAGGTGCTCTAAATAAAAATTCAAATTAACACATATTTATTGAGTTATCTAATAAACAAAAAGTACTTTATATGCCATGGTGGGAAAAATAAAGAAAAACATTTAAAATTTAAAACAGATTTACAAATATGCTCTTTGCATCATGTGTTGTGTTCTTTTCATAGTTATAAAAATGCATAATAAATCATTAAAATATTCATTTCTTATCCTGTTATTAATAATCCAGAATATTGTGATGGAAGTTAACAAAAAATAGTTTAATTATGAAACTAAGTTTTCTCTTCTCTGTATATGCTGGACCATAGAGTGATTGAAACACAGCATTGTTTTTACATAATGTTCAAATATTAATAAAAGCTATATTAATATTTATAATAAATAAGTTTGTTGATGTAGAGACAACTCAAGAGAAAAACAAAATTCAGATGAGATATTATGAACTGCAATATTTAAGTCCCGTAATTGGAGCCCTGCAATTCAATTATTATCAAATTAAAAGAAATAATGAGCAAACAAAATGCTCTTTTCCCAACAAGTAGGGCAATTTCTGTGAATCCTAACATCTGGTTATCAGTATTGTCAAGGAAATGTCCATCTGCCTGTGGTCTTAATGTAATTAGACACATCAGCACTCTCTTTTTCATTTGGGGATATTTTCATGAGAAAATATGGCTTCTGAAAGCTGTAAAATGCCAGTAAATTTGAGTCAATTTATTAGCGTAAATACATTTTGAATTTTAATTCTTATGTAAAAGCTTTGATTGAATGACTTCTCTAGGTAGAATTTGTGATAAACATGTTTTCATGTCTTCCTGAAAGATGTAAAACTGGCCTGTTGCCTAAAGTAAACAGCCTCCACAAGCATTGTAAGTCAAAGACATCATTTGTCAAAAATGAACTTTTCAGATACTGGATTTAAAAACAGTTCTGTGATTAGTGTCATTGAGAGTACTGAACACTGTATTTCAGCTTCTGATTTATTTAAAATTAAAATAAACATAATTTTTAAAGAAAATAATAAAATAATAATCTGTGATTCTTCCATAGTTGGTTATCAAATCAAATATAATTAAAAATGCCTCTGTTATGTGCCAATAGATTGTTAAGTAGATTATTTGTTATTTCTAAGGACATTTCATCCTTAAATGTTAGTGTTAATACAATACTTCCTAATGGTTAATCAGATTTTAAAAATTCATACATTAAATTACAAATCACTTCTAAATTGTTATAAAATGACCAAATATCTTACTTAATAGCCTTAAAATAGTGTTTAGATTATATTATAAAAATCTGGGTAGGCCGTTGAGGGTGGATCACGAGGTTAGGAGTTTGAGACCAGCCTGATCGGTATGGTGAAACTCCATCTCTACTAAAAATACAAAAAAAAAAAACAAAACAAACAAACAAAAAAAAACAAATTAGCCGTGCGTGGTGGCAGGTGCCTGTAATCCCAGCTACTCAGGAGGCTGAGGCAGGAGAATCGCTTGAACTCGGGAGGCGGAGGTTGCAGTGAGCCAAGATCACACCATTGCACTCCAGCCTGGGTGACAGAGCGAGACCTGTCTCAATAAATAAATGAATAAATACAATTAATCTTCATAATTCTTTAATACTAGTCACAACTAGTATTAAACTAGTATTCTTTAATACTAGTCACAACTAGTATTAAACTAGTATTCTTTAATACTAGTCACAACTAGTATTAAACTAGTATTCTTTAATACTAGTCACAACTAGTATTAAACTAGTATTCTTTAATACTAGTGACAACTTAAAAACACGCAATGGTACTGGCATTTGTGAACTTTGAGTTTAGTTCTTATTTAAAAAAGAAACTTAATGTTGGGAAATCCGGGTCATCCTCAACGTGGTTGTTAATGCAGTAGCCACTAAATTTGTTTCTGAAAAAATAAGGTCATTTCAAGAAATGTATAATACATTATATTGAATTGAATATTGGGTTAATTATTTGGCATATGAAATGATAGATATTGAGGAGAAACCAACTTATTTCAATAAATGTTAACTAAATCTAGGTTGAATTCTCTTCTGAGTAGCTCTTCATAGCACCCTAAGATAAGCTTAATTGTGCAAAACAACTACATGGGAAATTTGATTTCAAACATTTTCATCAGGACAGTTTTCGAAGGTATTAGAATTGTCTCTAATTGAAGGACTAAACTTCTTGCATTTTTTTTTTTCTTTTCTGCACTTATGCTAAGGATATATAATTTCTGCTGATTTAGGTATCTTATGTCAGGGTAGTTAATATGCAATTAGCTTCAGTTTAAGTGATAGCAGCATGCTATAAATAAGATTCTTAATTGTGTTTGCAAGATTAAAATTCGGCCTCATTGTTTGTTCCCTTTATTTCTTTGGTGGCATTGTGGTATATTCACATTGCTACCTCTAAATGAATGTCAACTTGTTTTACCTCAACTGCAGCCGATCGATACTTCATTAGGCTGAATTGTCTTGTGCCCATGCAACCTTGAAGCTGTGGCTTAATTACCACCCGTATTATGCAGTGGCTCAGGGAGCTGTGCTCAGCTGTGTCAGTTTTGAAAAAAATTTTAAAAGCCATGGTGTTACCTACGTCTAGGAAAAATGGCCACTTGGTATAAAAATCATAATATTTGATAAATTAAGCTTTAATGATATTTTAAAAATTTATCAAAACACACAATATAATGTTTATATTTTGCAACTTTTATTATTTTACACAACTCTTTGAATGGAAATATAATTTTCATGATCAAGCCATTGTGCAGTAAAGATAATTTAAAACTAATGGCAAAATTGCATTCATATGAAAGAGAAGAGAGGGGAAAGTGCAGTCAAATGGCAATCATGACAAATGACATCTCTTGTCCAAGAGTCATTTTTCCTCACTAGACTGATTTGTCATCCTCACTTTTGACATTTTTCATCCTGCTATGAAATCACACTGACAGAATAAGATATTTCTAGACTTAACAGCAGGCCACAGAAGATGGTTTTGTGCCTCCATTTATTTTTTGGTTGGCTGTTTCAATTTTGATTTTTCAAGTTGCTAAAATCTGGACATACCAAACTTTAGTTTGAATGAAATATTATCATTCAATTGCATGGAAGAATGTTATTTTAAAATAAAATGTAAAATGATATGTAATATTACTTAATTAAAAATACATCTCTCTACAGCTCACATTTAAAATGCACTAAAATACCAAAAGTTTTGTTTGGCATATCACGTAATAAATCATTTAGCAGTTCCAGCAATATATGCCAATGTCCTGAATTTGGAACAGTCCTATGGAAAAATAGTCAAAACAAGGAGATTGTTCATCAATGTACAGAGCCATGAAATTTAGATGGGAATTTGGCCTTAGAATTTTTATTAGTTTTCTAAGGCTTTTATAACAAAGTACAGTTGACCATTGAACAGTACAGATTTGAACTGTGGGGGGTCCACTTGAATGTGGATTTTCTTCCACTTCTTCCATCCCTGAGACAGCAAGACCAACACCCCCTCTTCCTCTTCCTCAGCCTACTCAACATGAAGATGACAAGGGTGAAGACCTTTTTAATGACCCACTTCCACTGAATAAATAGTAAATATATTTTCTCTTCCTCGTGATTCTCTTAATAACATTGCCTTTTGTCTAGCTTAATTTATTGTAAGAATATATTATATAATACATGTAACATACAAAATATGTATTCATTGACTGTTTATGTCATCAGTAAGGCTTCTAGTCAACAGTAGGCTATGAGTAGTTAAGTTTTGGGGGAGTCAAAAGTTATAGAGAGATTTTCAGCTATGTGGGAGGGGAAGGTCAAGACCCCTAATCCCTGCATTGCTCAAGGGTCAACTATACCACAAAATGATCGCTTAACATAACAGAAAGGTTTTATCTTATGGTTATGGAGGATAGAAGTCTGAAATGTCAACAAAGGATATGCTCCCTCTGAAACCTGTAGAGGAAAGCTTTCTTGTCTCTTCCTATCTTCTGGTGAGTTGCCACAGTCTTTGGCATTCCTTGCTTTGCAGTTGCATAACTCCAGTGTCTTCACAGTCTATAGACAATTTTAGGCTCAAGACAACATCCTAAGCTGAAAATAAACCAACCTTCCTTCTTCCTTTCTTCCTTCCTTCCTTCCTTCCTCTATCCCTCCCTCCCTCTCTCCCTCTCTTCCTTCCTCCCTCCCTTCCTCCCTTCCTTCCTTCGTTCCTTCCTTCCTTCCTTCCTTCCTTCCTTCCTTCCTTCCTGTCTTCCGGAAGCATTCATTGAAAAACTGTATACCAGAAAACTAAGATAATATTTAGTAACATGAATAAATAACAACTTCCTCTCAAGTACATTACAGTTTCATTTAGAGGTGGGAAGTAGAGAGCAAACAGTCATGTAATCTAAAAAGTTCTCTAAGACATACTTCTGAGTGTCTATTGGGCATATAAATCACTTGAGAATCTTGCTGAAATGAAAATTTTGAGACAGAAAATCTGTACTGGAGTCCTGGATTCTGCATTTAAAATAATGCAGATGCCAATACTACTGTTCCAGAGCACACATTTAAGTAGTAAACCTCTAAGAGGCTTTAATGGTGGAGGAAGGATCAACTGAAACTGAAAAGGCAGAAAGCTCTTGAAGAAGATGGTTACATGTGATCTATATATTAAACAACCAGGAGTAGGTTGTCTTATACGGAACAGGGGCAAGGGCATTGCAAAACGCAAAGATATGTGCTAATACAATGACCTGAATTGCAATGTGTTGAAACTGAGGAGTCCAGAGTGAGTGGGAAGAGGATGATATATTAATAGATGATTGTACCTTTGCAGGCCAGGTTAAAGAGCATAAACTTAACCCTAGTCAATGGAGAACCAGAGTTGTGTTAAGCGCAGTGGCCTTGTGTCAAGGGAAGATCTATCAGTTGAACTTTGTTGAGCAAATATTCAGGGAGTGCCTGCTAGGTACTAAGTACTATTCTATTCACTCATGAAGCACTAGTAAAAAAAAAAATAAAATAAAGTCTCTATTATTCCAGCCTTGCATGGTAGTGGGAAGACAGTTTTAGGAAAGCAAATAATCTTAGTAGGAGGACAGGTACCAAAAAAGAGGGTGAATTCAATATGCTGATGGGATCAGAGTATTTAACATCATGAGAAAATATACATGGATTATTATTATATTAAATGTAAAAAGTACACTTAGAACTTTGGGTTAAATACAAAAATATTAAACACATATTGGCCACTGCTTCTCTTAACTATACTACAGTGAAAGTATCATGAAAAAAATTGAGGGGAAGTGAATAATTCCACATATACCAAAAAGCAAAATAAAATTTAACAAAGGAGAGAAGACAACAGCAGAAATATAGGCAGCTGCTAACTCTAAGCAGATGGGTGGGTACTAACTTAGCCGACCAGAGCATTGAAATCGTGGCCTACAGTGGGATCACAGAAGATCACCAAGAAGCAAGATGAATTACCCTGCACCACCTCAGTATGACTCAGGAATTTGGAAGCATAGAGCATTTCTCAAGATGGGGATGTTTAAATAAAAGACTTTGTTGAATATCTGAATAAGGAACAAATTAGACGAGTAAAGCCTTCCCCCTATCCAATTTTACCAAGTGATTACTCATTCCTATCATGGTAGAAGATGAAAAGTTGAAGACACAGTTATCTGGAAAAGACAACTGTCGATCCCTGGATGCCACATACAACTAAAGCATGAAAACCAGAAAGTTAAATGAAAGTCTACACACGAATGGTTAGACTCTTTTTCCCATCCTACTGGCCTCTATTCTCCCATTCAGCTTTGAGAACAGTAGCAGTCAGACCACATGTGAGAGTAATCATTCTTCTTTGGGAAACTAATGAGATCAAAGAAAAAGAAGAAACCCATAAACACCTACTCTATAGGTGCTCTATAGAGAGGACCTCCAAAGAAGCTGGCCCCCCCTACACACAAAATAGAACTTTCTTCCAACTATTTGGTTCCTTTCTTTTAAATACAGCTAAGTAAGGCTTAAAAAAATTTTATAAAATCAAAGGCAGAAATTGTTAACAAAGAAACAGAGGAAATTAGAGCAAAGAGAAAACAAGGTAAGATAGAAAACAAAACAATAACAACAACCAACACCCATGTCATCAGAGACTTGGGAGAAAAACATATTTCTCATAGTCAATAGAATGTTTGGAAGTTAAAATGCAATGATTTTCCAGAAAATAGGACAAAATGGCAAAGAGAGGAAAAATATTATAGGAAAGATAAGAAAGAATCTTGAAGGAATGTCAGAAACAGCAGACAAAATACAGAGGAGGAAAATTATCAGATATAATTTCACAAAGATTTTTCCAGAAGAGATAGACATAAATCTATAGATGGAAGAAGCCCATAAAATGTCCAGAGCAGTGGGAGGAAAACGACTCATGTCAACACACATATTTGTCTTTTAGAATTTCAAAATAATGGGGGCCAAACAAGAGCCAGAATGTGTCTAGAGAAAAAAACAAATACACAACCATATATCACTTGAGCCAAGAATCTGCTAGCATTAACATTTTTAATAACATTATAATAAGCTAGAAGAAAATGGAATACTGTCTCCTGAATTCTGAAGGAAAATTATCTCTGACTTGGAATTCAATTTAGACAAACTGCCATTCAATGTGAACAATGACATTTTTGGAATGGCGAGGTATTAACACCACTTCTCAACGTTGCCTTATTTCTTAGACAACTCCTGGAACGCATGCCCTAACAAAGCATGCCCTAACTAACAGCTGGCCAGACGCGGTGGTTCGCACCTATAATCTCAGCACTTTGGGAGGCTGAGGCAGGCGGATCACCTGAAGTCAGGAGTTTGAGATCAGCTTGGTCAACATGGCGAAAAGCCGTCTCTGCTAAAAATACAAAAATTATCTGGGTGTGGCTGCGCGTGCCTGTAATCCCAGCTAGTCGAGAGGCTGAGGTAGGAGAATCGCTTGAACCCTGTAGGCGGAGGTTGCAATGAGCCGAGATCGCGCCACTGCACTCCAGCCTGGGAGACAGAGTGAGACTCCATCTTTAAAAAATAAAAAAAATAATAAAAAATAAAAATAAAGATAAAAGCTAGGATCAGTTGAGGCTTGGGAACCAGGAAATCCAACATTGGAGGGAGCAAGTGTATTCCCAGAATAATGCTGAAGGAAATTTAAAAAGTGACAGCCATCCCACAGACCCACAGGCAGAGTTCTGATGGGAGCTAGAGGAAAGTAGAACACAAGGGTGAGATCTCCACAAAAAAACAAAACAGATAAATCCATTTGCACAAATCAATAAGAAGTGTACACTTCTGGTGAAGTTTGTGGATAAATCGGTCATAAATTCTTAGGATATTAAGCAAATGAAAAGACAAAGGAATCAACTCTAGGGCAAACCAGATTATTATAAAAAGTTGAATATAACCAACAGGTACAAAGTTACATTTAAACAGGAGGAATTTAGTTCTATTGCACAGTAGGGTGACTATAGTTAACAATAATGTATTGTACAATTAAAAATAGCTAGGAGAGAGGATTCTGCATCTTATTGCTACAAAGAAATGATAAATGTTTGAGGTGATATATCTGCTAATTACTCTGATTTGACTGTTACACAATGTATCAAAACGTCACATTGTATCCCATAAATATGTACAATTATTGCATCAGTGAAAAAAAAAACGTGTATAATCATTGAATACTACATGGCTGATCTCTGCATGTTATATACATAATTATAATAACAGAAACAGATTGATTTCCACCAAATATGTGAAAATACGAGTTAGAATAATGTAGGAAGTAAGAGAGCTAACTCCTTATTTTCAATTTTAAGAAATTAAATGATAACCTCTAAAGAAAAAAATAATAAGTAACACCTGTATTAGCAAACTATTTAGAAGCATGAAGTTAAACACCAAAGCAAACAGAAAAGAATGGAAAGTGGCTAATGCTGAGTAATGCAGGTGCTTTTCACCATAAGTCATTTGAAGTGTGAAATTATGGTGCATTTACTACTTTGAAAATAATAATAGTAAAATATTTTAAAAGTCAAAAGTATAATAAAAAGGGAGATATGCTAGAGTCCTTCGAGCTGGGAAGGAGGAAAGACTTCACCATTTCGATTGGGTAAGCAGAACAGCTTTCTTTAAGGGACATGGCCCTTGATCAACATAAAAGATGAGAAGGACCAGGTCTGTCAAAACTGAGACAGGGCTTGGTGTCATGGCCCGTGCCGTAGTTCCAGCTACTTGAGAGGCTGAGGCAGGACAATCGCTTGAGCCAAGGAGTTCGAGATCATCATAGGCAGCATAATAGCAAGACCCTGTGTCAAAAAAAAAAAAGAAAAAGAAAGAAAGGAAGATAAAAATTGATTAATTTTAAAAGAAAGAAAGACACTGAAGTTTGTAGTACCAGCTAAATGCAGATACCATGGCAAGAAAGAGATTGTGTTGTAGGTGGAGAAAAAAGAATGCCCAAGTGAAGCTCACTAAGGAGCAGGAAGAGTGATTCTAGATGAGTTTCGTTGCTCATTTTAAGGAATTTTATCTGAAAAGCAGAAGGAAACTATCAAAGGACTTAAAGCTAACTGGGTGATAAACCAGATTTTTTTTTTATTATTATTAAGAGAAAGATTCTGGAAGCATGAAGAGGAAGCTCTTGTTTTAGGTCAGAGAGCATGGTGTCTAGACCAGACCAGGTGGATGTTAATGTAGAAGAGTAGTCAGACTCCAGTTCTATTTTGGAGGCTGGAATTTCTGATGAAATTGCAGAGGAAGCACAATTTAAGAAAAAAAAAAAAAAAGAGGAGGGCTGAAACTGAGGGCATTATAGGAACAGCAAGAATGTCCAGATTCAAAAGACAGTTTGGAAAGAGAATTTATAGGACCTGGTGACTAATATGATACTGAGAATAAATGGAAAAGTAGTGGGTGACACAGGTTTCTAACTTGGGATCCTGGCAGGAGTGAGGCTATTGCCTTTTCTTGAAATACTGGAAATTTGAAAGGCATTTTCTTAATGTCAGTTATTTCACCAGGCATATTTTGATACCAGTAAGCACTGAAACCACACAGTGATTTTTGGAATCATTCTACAGCTTTTAAAGGAGATCTGTCAGAAACTATTTTGTCTTAAATTTGGTATCCTTAAATTAAATTAAAGTGTCCAGGTTGTTAAAATATTATTTAGTATTTGGACGGTTATTCTTTTTGTTCCTCAGGCTCATGAAATAAAAATCAGCTTTTTGCCAGCAGTGGTGGCTGATGCCTGTAATCCCAGAACGTTGGAAGGTCAAAACAGGCAGACCACCTGAGGCTAGGAGTTCGAGACCAGCCCGGCCAACATGGTGAGACCCCACCTCTCCTAAAAAAATATGCGAAAATTAGCCAGGCCCAGTGGCATGATCCTGTAGTCCCAGTTACTCGGGAGGCTGAGGCAGGAGAATGGCTTGAACCTGGGAGGTGGAGATTGCAGTGAGCTGAGATCACGCCGTTGCACTCCAGCCTGGGTGACAGAGCAAGACTCCGTCTCAAATAAAAAAAAAATCAGCTTAAAATTTTTTTTTCTTAACACACTTATTCTAGTTGTGTATACTTTCTTAGTAATTCTCTAAATCCCCTTTTTTACTCAGTTCTTCTCTGTTGCAGCCTACTTGTCCCAACACATTGCAAGATATTGCTCTCCAGTTCTTATATTCTCTTTCTTCATTTTCCTCTTTAATGGGGACTGTCTGTAATAGACAATTTACTTTACTGTTGAATCAACCATTGTTTGGCTATTGTATGCTCGTACAGAAGGCTATAATTGTTCATTAAGTTCTTGATGGTGAGTTTTAAGTAAAACATTTTTCTCTGTAACCTTGAAAAGTGTTCTTGGAAAATTGCCTCTGTGTGTAGGTATGCGTATTTTAATTTGTCTATTTTTATTGTCTGCTATATTTATTAGACACTGTTTGCAGAGTACACAAAGGCCTGTGTTTGTTAGGCATCATTGCTCTTATGCAGTGTGTCCTAAGGAGAAAAGCTAAAGACTTTCAGCTCTGAAATTCTGTTTCTCTCATGTGAACAATTTTTCTTTCTAAAACACTCTTCCACTTTTTTTTCACCAAATTGTAACACTTTTGAGAGATAAGTAGACGTTGAAAGTAAAATTTAGGTCTTGTGAAAATCAAACACTTAACTGACTGAAGCACCCAGCTGCTTCATTCAATTGTTTGTTTATTGCATCATTTATTTGTACATGGATTTATTGTGTACTTGCTCCATGCCAGATGCTGAGTTATCATCTGAATATACGACAATATGTTACATGATTTCTGCCTTGGGACACTATCCCTATTTTATTCTTAATCCTTTTTTACCTTTGAGTATTTAGGATTTAGGGTATAAAATGACTTACTTGGTTTGTCTTTTAAATTATGTTTTCAAGTTTCTCTTTCTGTTATGTGATGATTTGGCATCTGACAATTATGTGACTTTATCATCATGTCAAGTGGTTTTATTAATATAAACACAGGTAATATTTATACTGTAATTCTGTTAGATTATGGATTCTTAAGAAACAAATCCATGCCATTTAACCCTTCATAATTTGTAGAATGGCCTGCGGTTGTGGATTTATTTGCATACTGATTTTGATTTTATTTTTCTTCATCCTCTATGGCTCTACGGTTGCTATTGTTAACATTTGACTGTAGCATAAATATGCCATACATAATTTATAAATATGAAACATATAAAAGTACCACCTTTCCCTAAAAACTCCTTTTGGTGTCACTGCATGCAGCATCAAATAATTCTCTGAGCACATAGCTTATACTGCTTTTAGAATAAATGCTCTAAAATTAGAAAAAAACAATTGGTTTTTATTTAACTTCCATAGAGTCCAGTAAGAATAGAACAGAAAGAACTTGATAACAATTTCTTATAAGTATCATTTGTATCTTTAAGAAATACTTTGCTTATAAGTATTGATTTCTTTGAATAGCTTCTGAATTTTTTTTTTTTGCTATGTTGTAGAAACTTCAGTTGAAATGTTATATTTCATTGGCTTAAATAATATCGTTTTTGAATAATGTTAATTATTAGGTGAAAGTTACCACTGATTATATAGAGAAAATACTATAATTAATTCATATATTTATTATTTTATTAATGCTGATTGACATTATTTGTCTTATTAGTGGCTAAAGAGTAAACAAATTATTTTAAAATTTATTTTGTAATGGAATCATGCAAAAATTTCTTTTTCAAGTGTTCTTATCCAGGCAAGAGCGTATAGTGTTTTAGAGGCTTGCTGAAATATCTCGCAGTGGGTGGAGAAAGAATAATTATTGAATCTATATGGCGAAGAGTTGAGTTTTTAAGTTGAGTGTTGAATCCACAGCTTATAACAATGATTTAGTCAGAAATATTCTGAGTTATGTGTGCTTAGAGGAATAATGAATAGAACTGATGGCATTTAACTAGGCCATGCAGATCCACTCAGTTCTCTCACAGCAACATTTGTGTTGGAGAAATCCTAGATTCACTGAAGCTGGACATGGGTGAGGAAAGATATTATAAGAATGACAGCGTTTCAGGTTCTTGAAACTATTTTGGTGCTAGTAAAAAGTTTCAAGAAAGACAGCTGCTTTATACATTGCTGTGTCACTAGTACCTTACATATAGTAAGTGTTTGATGAATACTATTTAAATGAGTATAAAAGGAACTTTCAGAAGGCTCGTTTACCATCAGTCCCTCTTCTTACGCTCTACTATTATATTAAGACTTTTAGACAATCGAACTACATAAGTACTGTTATATACCATTCTAAACCTCAATTCTAAACTAATGCCAAATTAAAATATGAAACATAAAACTTACATTTATACTGAAGTTCAAAAAAGAACATTTATCTTTATATTTCTCACTGCAAAATTCTAGGTAAGATAATCAAAGCTTATATTTTACCGAAGTTGGTGTGTCCATAACTGGTTGTTGTTCTTCTCTTCCTGTCTGTAATTTGGAGTCTTCCAAATTTTAGAAGTAATGCTTGTTTTCAAAGTTGTGCTTTACACTTTAAAATATTTTTTCTTATTCTAAAATATTTTTAATTTTAATAAAAATTATTTCAATCTAAGCTTTAAAAATTTCTTGAATTATTTAAAGCACAGGCTTACAATTTTAAAAAAGTAGTTTAAAACATTTTAAACTTTATTTATTTTGAGATGGAGCCTCACTCTGTCACCCAGGCTGGAGTGCAGTGGTGCAATCTTGGCTCACTGCAAGCTCTGTCTCCTGGGTTCAAGCAATTCTCTTGCCTCAGCCTCCTGAGTAGCTGGGATTACAGGCATGTGCCACCATGCCCAGCTAATTTTTGTATTTTTAGTAGAGACTGGATTTCACCATGTTGGCCACTCTGGTCTTGAACTCTTGACCTCAAATGATCCGCCCACCTCGGCCTCCCAAAGTGCTGGGATTACAGGTGTGAGCCACCACGCCTGGCCCATTTTAAACTTTTCTTTCACATGTTTCAGATGATCTCTTCAAATGACTGGACAAAACCCCAGAAACCAAGTATAGCATATAAGTAAGTAAGGTTGACTTTTTAGTTAGAGAAAATTGAATTGGCCTACAAAAGACAGTGAGAAACAATGAAATTATTATATGAGAGATGTATGCATTTATGTTGGTTGCCTGCATGCTCTCCTCCATGAAACTTCTTTCAAAGAGAAGGAAAGGTAAATGCTAGGAACAGGTGGCATCACCAGATACTTTTAGGAGCCAGCTCACGTGATGTCTTGGCCTTTATGTTATAGGTAGGTAAACAAACTATATTGGAGGAAATGAGTTGAGAGAAGGAAAACAAAGATAAGTAAATCTTGATACCATATTTTTTCAGTTTCAGTGATAAATTTATGGGGATAAATATATAAGTTGAGAAGAAATCAAAACACTTCCAACTGGTTTTCAAATTAGAATTCATCATGAAGCCCAGTTCTTCAGAAGTGCTTCTGAAATGAGAAAAAAAATGACAAAATTATTCATTTTGTAGTAGAGAATGGATAAACCATGGATCATCTGTGCATATATCAAATGGTGTATATATTACATTGTCTGTATATTATAAGAACACAAAATATAAATTGATATGAGAGTTTTTCTGAAAATTGGCTAACCATGTTAATGGATCTCTGAACTCTTATTATTACTATATTTAACAATTTACCCTATATTATTATATTTGGACAAAGTAAGTTCAAAGCAGTAGAACTGACTGTCAGAATTCTAACATTTTATACAGTGTGTCACAATTGCTCTCAGGAAAGCAATGCAGGGTTTTGACAATATGACTTAAATTTACCTGCCCTTTTCCCCATCAATATCACACATGTGAAGGTCAAGGAAGCCCAGGAGCTCCAGGGGGGTTATAAAATTGTCCACAGCAACTCAAATATATGAAGATTAAAATGATGAGGAAACTAATATGATTTCCATGTGAAAGAGTAAGTGGGATAACATGAAAAATCAAAAGACCCCAAAATGTTGAGGATGAGAGTACAGGTTAAGTGTCATTTATCTGAAATGCTTGGGCTCAGAAGTGTTTCAAATTATTGATTTTTTTCTTCAGATTCTGGAATATTTGCACCTATATAATGAAATATCTTGGAGGTGGGACCCAAGTCTGAACACAAAATTTATTAGTTTTACATACACATCATACACATAGCCTGAAGGTAAAATTATACGACATTTTAAAATAATTTGGTGCATGAAACAAAGTTTTTATGCTTTAAACCACCAGAAAGCAACGGTGTCACTATCTCAGGGCCCCATGTGGACAATGTGTGTTTATTCAACACCACCATCATTCTTGACTCTAAATTTACATACTACCCATAAGAAATCATTTTCTTGCGCTTATTCACTCAAAATTACTTAACAGTGAAAAATAGGACACACCATTAAAACAGTGAAGAAATAATGTGTTTAGGGTAACCAGGCCACACAATAACATGACCAGAATACCTGGATCAACTGTTAAACTGCAGCAACAAACAATGGCAGGTTTTCAGTCTCTACCTACGGCACTGTGTTTTGATGAAAAGGTTACCATACACTGGATTTTAACTTTTAGGTGAGAAGACACATAGAAGCAATTAAAGGACCAAAAAGTGGGTCTTCTAGCAATGGGGAGGTATTCTGAATAGCTGTGAATTGTGCACCTGTGTTTCCACCAGGACCCTGCCACATGAGATGAGGTGTGGGATTTTCCACTTGTGGTGTCATGCCGGCACTTGAACATTTTCAAATTTTGAACCATTTCAGATTTCGAATGTTTGGATTAGAGATGCTCAACCTGTATACAATATTGGAGAAAAAAATAAAATTAGATTATAGATCATTAATAATGATTTTCATTATATTTTAGACCTGCTTGTAAGCCTTTACTGTCAATTAAGATGAGGTAAAAATCCACTTTAAATTGAAAACGTGCAAAATTGGTGATTTCTATTATGAAAAGTATCTGTTATAAAATTATATGTGATTCTTACAATCCTATTTAATCACATACACCTTATAGTTATTTATAATATGTGAAATATATGCCAAACTATACCTTATTATTTCAATGACACATATTAGTCATAATTCAAAGGGACAGGCATCCCCTCAAGTCTTATAGAAATAAGGATTTTGCATATAAAGATGCATATGTACACAGGTTAAACATCTTTGCCAAGCATTTTTGCATAGAAACAACTATCTAGTACTTTGTAAATAATATTGCATCATTTTACTTTATATATGTTTCCTTTTTTTTGCCTAGCATTTATGAAATGGCAAAATTTTAAAGCAAGGAAATAATTATTTGCATAAACTAAAACTCAAAACATACACTTATCAATTTAATACTAATAGAAAAGTAGTAACAAATTATCATTAAAATTTTGTAAATTAATACCGATGCTTAAATAAGTATAGCCAAATTTCCTCCACCTGCTTTACATGCTGAAAAGCACTAACTCCCTTGAGAGGCCTGTAACTAATTTACCCAACAAATATTTTTTGTATCGATTCACAAACAATTTGTCTTTACATATTTTAAATTTGTCTTTAATAGTTTAAAAGCTTACAGATTTGACGGTGAACACAGGAACATTTGTCTTTTTAAAAAGAACACTTTCCCTCTTTAATAGCTGGAGCATCATGTTGTTTAGAGATAAACATAACAATTTTAATTTTTCCATAGAGCAATTTTTATACTAGGTTCACAAGTTTCATGGCATTGTATTTTTATAATATTCGAATGCTGTAACTTAAAATAGTTTTTAAAAGAGGAAAAGATAAATCTTTTAGATTATAAAATACAGCATCTAACTGCAAAGTTGGAAATCTCCCCTAAGCTGATTTATGGAAAAGGTAAGTTTATCTTGAGGTGCACAGTCTATTACATAGGGCTATGCATACTGAGAAAAGACGTTCATCAATGGACATTGTATGAGGCTTTGTTAGCATTATAATATTTTGGAACATTGGATGTAAAGTAACTTTAATGGGTTTTCCTAGCAGATTTTTGCTTGCAACTTTGTACTTGGCTTTAAGATGATTATTTAGGCATTAATGAATGCTTACAAACAGCCAATTTCTTTTCTCCTTTGAAATACCAAAAACACATGGAGTATAATGAATGTCTAGATTGTAACCCACGTTATTCCACATACAGAAAAGGATATCAAATAGTGATCTCAGATAGTGTTCCATTGTTTTTATATACTGTGGGAAAAAATATGACTTAAACTCAGTAATTTGTAATTATAAATCACACTTCCAAATGAAAATGTTTTAATTTTATTTTTAGTTTTTCAGTTGTATAGATAAAATATGGTCTTTTATTAATAACAACTTATGTTTTATATTTTAGAATTTGCTAAAATTCAATATAATAAAACTCAATTTAGAAAAATTCAATCTTCTTGCATTCTTTTAATTCTCCATTTTAAACAGCTTTTGTAATCCAGGTTAGATAAACTCATTTGATATATAGTTACTTAGTTCCTATTTTGTTAAAGGTATGCAGAAAAATAATTGCTAACTAGAAATTTTACTAATTCTTTAAAAAATTGTATTAGCTTAGCAAAAAAATTAGAAAGTTTCATGATTCAATTCAAAAGAAGAAAACCACATTAATGGCATCCATGAGTTTTTCACTTATTTTAGAATCAAAATATATTGTGGTTATGACTTAATACTTAAAATGATACTGAAACATATTAGCATTGAAATTTTCTCAGAGTAAACCAGTGTTATTGCCTGTGAATAATGTTGTGATTTCAGGTATAAGAAGAATATGATATGACACAGACCATCTGAGCCTAACCTTTCTTGACTCATCCTTGCCAAAAAAAAAAAAAAAAAAAAAAAGTCAGGAAAACACAGAAGCTGCTTTTAAAAATCTTTTTAGTCACAATTTACCCTCCCGCTAAGCTCATCTTTTAAAATAATAGTTTCTACATCTTATTTTTGTTTTTATGTCATCTCAGCATTTTGTATTGCATAGCTTTGTCTACCTGCTTTTGACAAAAAAACAATTGAGAGGGATCGTTAATGGATTTACTCATACACAAATAGTACTAATGATTTGTATTTGAAAAATAATTTGAATTAGTCACAAAACTTAAATGTCATTATTCTTTAAAAAAGAATGGAGACAAAAGGCAAGAGATGTTCTAATTGATAATTACAATTACATTAAACTTTGTTTGTGGACAGGAACAGGAAAAAATATAAAACATAAAAGCGGATGCAAGTTTGGTAGAAGCTTGGGTAAAGTTTGTGCTTAATTTGGATTAAAAATTATATTTATGTAATAAAACATCTTACCAACATTAAAACAAACAAATAGGCTGGGCACGGTGGCTCACGCCTGTAATCCCACCGCTTTGGGAGCTTAAGGTGGATGGATCTCTTGAGGCCAGGAGTTCAAGACCAGCCTGGCCAACATGGTGAAACCCTGTCTCTACTAAAAATACAAAAACTAGTCAGGTGTGGTGCCTCTGTAATCCCAGCTACTTGGGAGGCTGAGGCAGGAGAATCACTTGAACCCAGGAGGCAGAGGCTGCAGTGAGCAGAGATTGTGCCACTGCACTCCAGCCTGGGTGACAGAGTGAGACTCTGTCTCAAAACAAAAACAACAAACGAAATGTCAGTTTTAGTATTGTCAAACATTTAAACTCTAACAATTCATAAAGGCTTGTCTTTTAAATTTTCCTTATAATTTTAGTAAGGTACATTTCACACACTATAAAATTAATCAATTTTAAGTATGTAGTTCAGCGGCTTATAGTATAGTCACAGAGTTGTGCAACCATCCCCATAATCTAATTTTAGAACGTTTTCATCACCCTAAAAGAAAATTCTATGGGCATTAGGAGTCATTCTCCGTTCCCACTCTTCTTTACCTTTCCTCCCGTGACAATAACTGATCTATTTTCTGTAGATTTGCAATTAAAATTAGGTATTTCACTTATAAAGGGAATCATATAATACATGTTTTTTTTTTTGGTGAGTGTCTTTTTTACTTAGCTTAATGCCTTATAAGTTTATCTGTGTTATAGCATGCAGCGGTACTTCTATTTATTACTAAATAATATGTCATCGTATTAATATACTATACCTTGTTTATTAATTCACCAGTAGAGAAAGCATGGGTTATCTCTACTTTTTGGCTAAAATGAACAATGCTGCTATGAAAATTCATGCACAAGTTTTCCATAGACATATGCTTTCATTTCTCTTGGGCACTTGGAGTGAAATTGCTGAGTCATATGTAACGCTATATTTAACATTTTGATGGACTAAAAAACCCTTTTCCAAAGCAGTAGCACCATTTTCTATTCCTACCAACAATGTATGTGGGCTCCAATTTCTCTGCTTTGTAAACACTTGTTATTATCTTATTTTATCCTTCTTAGTATGTGGGAAATGGTATTTCATTGTGGTTTTGATTTGCATTTCATGATGACTAATGAGTTAGGCATCCTTTCATGTATTTACTGATAATTTGTATACCTTTGTTAAAGTATAAATTCAAATTCTTTGCCTATTTTTAATTGGGTTATTTGTCTTTCCATTGTTGAGTTGGAAGTGTTGTTGACATATTCGCGTGCTAATCCTCTCTCAGATAAATGATTGACAGATATTTGTTCCCATTTTGTAGGTTGTATTTCACTATTGTTTTATTTGCCAGACAAACATTTTTAATTTTAATAAAGTCTAACTGAATGTTTAGATATTAGGATCACAGTTTAAATTGGAATGATATTTTCCAATAAATAAACTAAGATTTTAAAGAATTTTCTCTTAGTATTCTTTTGTAGGAAGTTAATTACAAATGTTAGGCCTTTGCACACACTTCTAAATTGTACCATCATAATTATTATTTTCTTCAGATTAGGAGACTTGTATTCAGAATCTAATAAAAGCCACAAAAATAAATTCCCGAAAAAATGCATGCATAATCGTGCATACAAAATGGTGCCTATGTTATGACACCCCCTAATAAGAGTTTTTAGAACAGAAGATGGAACTCTGGCTGCATGGAAGCTATTGCTGCCAGATCCCATCTTCTTCTCTATAGATGATGAAATCAATTTTGAAAAGCTTCCGGATCATTGAATAGATATATTCTGCTGAATTGCAGAGAAAGTACTTTATGCAGTGAAAATTTAGCTACTTTTACCATAGGCGCCTTGCCTTTTAGTTGTACTTCTTGTTTACACTTTCGTTTTGATTCCCTGACACTTCTGCATAATTACATTAATGCCTTTGTTTCATATAGAACTAAACGTCTTGCCATCTCAATGCCAAAAACTTGAAATTCTTCGTCTAGAGAATGTTTGTCAAAATGAGATTGGACCCTGGTAATACTTTGTTGCCTGTGCATTTTGCTGTGCCTCTTAGATTTAAAAATATTTTTTTCTTGAAAAGAGCAGTATACAAATATCAGGTTAATGGAAATTCACATCACTGGGGACCATCAGGATCAATAAAGAAGGAGAGTGACAAAAACAAAGGCCTTGGGAATCACAGTTTACCTTGGTAATAATTGCAGAGTGTTGATAGAATGATCATGATGAACTGAAACAATCATTGACATAAAAGTGAAAACTATCAATCAAATGTTAGCACGTTAGCAAGTTTTTTATCGAGTTCCTATGTTGTCAGTGTTCTCATAGGTAATTTTCCTTGATGATAGTCAGAATCTTACAGCTCTCTGAAATGTATGGAGAAATCCAAATTCTGAAGCACCATAATAATATAAACCTGCTTTTTATTAGGACTTTGCATTATAGATATAGATATTTGTAATATGAATTTTTCTCACTTTACTTAATCTTATTCTGGGACCATACTTGAATGATTAATTGAGAAACAGAGGCAGGAGATTGTAGAATTAATGAAGACAAGAACCTCAATAAATATATGTATAGTGTATATATATATATATTTATATAAATTTAAAGGCTTTCAATAATTTTTATTTTGTAATCACTGTAATGTAAGTTTTTAAACTTGAGAAGAAAGACTCAGTGAACATGAAAACAGGTCCATGTAAAGCATAGAATATAACAAACTCAACAGAATCTGAATGACCCCTGAAACAATATGCTAGCATAATTGGAGCTCCAGAGGGAAAGGGGAGAAGCAATAGGAAGGAATATAGGCCTATTTCTTAAAGAAAAGATCGACACTACCAACCCCTATTTCCAAGAAGCACAAAGCGTACCAACAGGATAAACCCAGAGAAAAATACACCTAAGCACATCATACTCAAACAGCTGGCAACAAAAAAAGAGAATATATTAAATACAGCCGGAAAGAAAACACCCATTATATGCTGGAGAAAAGATGATTCGAATGAAGGCTGACTTCTCAGAAGAGACCAGAGACAACAGAATATTGTTTAAAATACTGAAAGAAAAAAAATCAGCCTTTAAATATGTAGCCAATAAAAAAACTGAGTGAATGTATTGCAAGCAGGCATGTAATATGAAAAATACTATACTAGGAAAAGTTCTTCAAGATGGAAGAGAATGGTAGTAGCTGGAAACTGAGAATCACCCTCAAAGACCTAAAGACAGAAATACCTACTCATCCCAGCCATCTCATTACTGTATATATAACCAAAGGATATAAATTGTTCCATTATAAAGACACATGCACACGTATGTTCGTTGAAGCACTACTCACAATAGCAAAGACATGGAATCCACCTAAATGCCCATTAAAATAGATTGAATAAAGAAATTATGGTACATATACACTATGGAATACTACGCAGCCATAAAAAGGAATGAGATAATATCCTTTGCAGTGAAAATGGAGCTGGAGGCCATTATCCTTAGCAAACTTATGGAGAAACAGAAAACCAAGGACTGCATGTTCTCACTTATAAGTGAAAACTAAATAATGAAAACACATGGACACATAGAGGGGAACAGTACACACTGGGGCCTACAGGGGTGGCGAGTGGAAGGAAGGAAAGGATCAAGAAAAATAACTAATGGGTACTAGGCTTAATATTTGGGTACTAGGCTTAATATTTGGGTACTAGGCTTAATATTTGGGTGATGAAATAATCTGTACAATTAACCCCTAGGACACAAGTTTACCTATGTAACAAGCCTGCACATGACTTAAAATTAAAAAATAAAAATAAAAAAAGAAAAATCACATGAAGGAAAGAGTAGCATCAAAAATTAAAGATATGTGAGTAAATATAAAAAGCTGTTATTTTCTCTTAAATATATATATTTCTTAAAATTGAATTAACTGTTAATAGCATAAATATTAATACATTGTAAGGGTTATAACAAATGTAGAAGTGAAATATATGATAACAATTGACAAAAGATGGAGTAAATAGACCTATTCTCTTGTAAGTTTCATATATTACATGTGACTTAATAAAATATTAATTCTAAATAGTCTGCCATATGTTGTTAGCATATTTAAAGTCATTAAGAAAACAATGTAACTGAGAAGTATAGCTAAAAATACAAAAAATAGATGTAATAAGCTGCTAAAAGGTAAAAGTTAAGAAAAGAATAAGAGAACAAACAAGAAATAGAACAAATTTAAAAACAAATAGCAGGTTAGTAGATTTACATTCAATCACATTAATAGTTATATTAAATGTGAATGAATGAAACACTCAGGCTAAAACAGATTGTGTCAGACTGGATAAAGAGCAGCTTCAAATTATATACTGTCTTAAAAAGACTCATGTTAAATATAAAAACAAATCTAGACTAAATTTAAAAGATGGAAAACAATATACAATACAAAAATCTTATGGAAATCAGACACATAAAACTACAAGTCTTTATAGTTTTATTTATATGGATTTTAAAAATAAGGAAAACAAATTATTTTGATAGAACAACTGTTGTCTCTGGTAGGAGTGGGGGACTTACTGTAAAGCAACACAGGAAACTTTCTTGGACAACTCAAGGATATTCTATACATTGATGGAAGTTGTGGCTACACAGATATACACATTTGTCAAAATTCACAGAAGTGCACATTTAGGATCTGTGCTATTACTGCAGATAAATGCACTTCAATTAGTAAAAGTATAAGAGCATAAACAAGGAATTGTATGCAATGAATGCAATAAAAAGAGCAGCAATATTTTCTTAAAATCCACAATAAATTTACATGTTTCTGAAAACAGAAATATTAATAGAAAAGTGTGAGGCAATCATCAAAGGACATAAATTAAATTAGGTATGAATCAAGAATCAGAGAAGTGTCTCTTCTACCTTATTTTTTTAAGTAAATATAAGTTAGATGAAACCACAAGAAATTCATAATAGAGGAAATCTGTTAGGAAAAACCTAAAGTGAGAAAAAATATAAATAAATTCAATTACAAATTATCTGAAAATATGTTTCAATTCACATAAAATACCTGAATATTAACTACATTTAGTTGTCCAAACATGTGAAAAGCATAGCCTATAATAGAAGATCAAAAATTGATAAGGAATATCTCTTAATTCTAAAATTATTTTAAAATAGTGTCTAAGTAAATAATTACTGTAATTGGGCAGGTCACAAATTATACATTTCTAAAATAACTAGAAGTAAAAGCTAATATATTACTGAATGCTAATTACTAATATGTAGTACTAATATTTCTGATAACTGTTAGCAAGTTGCTATTCCTTTTTATATTCTTCTTTGAATAAATGAAGTACGGAAGTAATATATTTCATGAAAGACAATTTAAAAATATCAGCAATGCAAATATCATAAAACAAAATTACCCTTTATCATATCTTTTGAATGTATATTTTTTAGATTTGTAAAAGTAACAAAAATTTAATTGCAAAATAATTGCAATTAAGTTTTTAGATTTTTTCAAATCTAAAAAATATACTTTCGAAATATGCTTATATCTCACAGAATTCATCTCACACTTTTTAATCCTCGTTCTTCAGTAAATGAAAACTTAACCTCTGTATTTTTTAGAGGACAGTGATTACCCCCTTTTTACTCCACATGACTCCAGTGGATAAAATCCCATCCCTTTGGCCTCAAGGGCTGACACATGATTAAAACTATGAATTGAAAATTTCCCTAGATACTCCCTGGGGAATATTTTTAACCTTCCATGGGATATGACTCCAGGGAAGAAAATTCTTGCCTTGATGTTTGCTAAGCCAGCTGATATAAACTTGGAGTTTCTGTGAACATCCCTGGACTGCCTGGAAAAAATGCCATCTGCCAACATGCCAAGCAAAACAGCTGAGAGAAGGGCAAAGGGTAGAAAGAATCTTGATGATGTTTAGTAAGTTCTGAACTCATCCCTATGTTTTCTATTCTATGAATCCTTCATCTCATTTTTTTGTTACTGTTTAATTAGGCATATTTGAATTGGGTTCCTATCATTTGCCACTGGAAGAGTCCTGACTGCCACAATATCACTGGAAAGAATCAGGTGACCTGAGTTCAATGTCAGTCTATCTCTCCCTCCTAGCAGAGCAACAGGGGAGGACAATTCAGTCAAATTTGCTACTTCTATTTTCCTTTCTACTATAGTGGATTAATGTGAGGATTAATATAATGCTTAGCACAGTGCTGGAAAAATAGTAAATACCCAATAAATGTTCATTTATATTATTAACTTTATCATACCAGTATCTTACCATTATTTCAGGCATGATGTAGTATTTTAAAAGTTAATTCGACCATAATTTGAACAAGTGTTGTGCTTCATGATAATAAATACACATGTTTTAGACGATACATGTTACTGCCTCTTATTTTAAACTTTCCTCTCTATTCATCATATAAACATTCTAGGAATCTTGAAATCTACTATTCTAGACATGAAGAGACATCCTCTACCCTCTCCTTGTTGATATTTTGTACATTTATGTACCCACATATATCCACATATATCCATATCTGTCAATGCATCAAAACTACAAATATGAATACAGTAACTATTAACATTTAAATTAAAGCCCTTACTCTAGTCTGTAGCTCTGGAATTTTATGTTTTAAAAACTGATGTTAAAATACACAGGTTCCATTTTCTTAGATATTTGATATTGTGTAAATATCAAATTTTATATTGCATAAATATCAGATTACTGTATCTTAAAAATTAGATAAGTATTGTATAAAACAAGGCCACTACTAAAACAAATGTATCATTGGCAATTTACATGTAAT
The DNA here is from genome assembly GCF_000001405.40 of Homo sapiens. NCBI lineage: Eukaryota > Metazoa > Chordata > Mammalia > Primates > Hominidae > Homo > Homo sapiens. The sequence goes on from NC_000008.11 coordinate 75,966,022, forward strand.
TATGAAACCACAAACTCATTGTAAAAGGATATAAAATTATGATCAATGACCTAAAAACTTTGTCTTTAAAGTTATCATGCTTCTAAAACTACCTGATCTTAATTATTTAAGGCAATAAACTTGCTAGTTGACTATTGAAAGTGTACACATGTAAGTAGCACAATATATGCAACATTTATACCAAAAGAAATATGAGCAATTTCATTTAATTACAATTCTGATTTTTGCATTTCCATCTGTTGTCTTATAGTAAATAAATTACTACTTACAGTAATTTATTTTTTTAACCAATGATGTAACTTAGTACAGTCTCTTCAGTATAAATTGCAAGACTCAAATTTTGGACATATCTGTGAAATATGAAATCATTCTATGTGCTCTTAGGCACTAATGGTGCCATATTATTTGTGTGAAATGTATTTTCTAAGCATTTTGTTAAATATGATACTCTTTTGATATGCAAATGGAAGAAGTGAGAACTCCATATGGAAATTAATGATGAACAAGTGGTATTCTTGTTTGCACTGTATTCTGAGGCTATGGTAAGGCACACTTTATTTTTGGATATGGAAAAATTGTGTTTTACCAATGTCAAAATGAGATCCCATAGATCAAGACTATTACAGAATAGGGTATACTAGAAAGCAACCAGGATTAATGTAAAGATCAAATCGGAGGAAAGAATATACAATGACTGTTTGCAACATGAGAATGAATGTAGAACATTTTGCCTCATCTTTTGAAAATTCTGAGAGAACTATTTTATGGAAAAAAATGTATTGAAGGACACAGCAAGCACTTCAAGTTGTCCCCCCAAAAAAGACATAGTTGGATTTTGTAATGGTAAAAGACTACCTTCAATGACTAATTTCTGAGCTGTCTTGTTAGTTTTCTTTGTTTACTTGATCATTTATTTTTAAATAGAAACTAGCATTCAGTGAGTAGCTACTATGTGTGAGCTTCTACATGAGCAGGGATACCAGCATGCCTCACAAATTATTACATCCAATTCACTCAGGTATGGGAATACTTTTACTCCCCCTATTTTGCAGATGGACAAGTTTTGAGAAGTCAAGAAATGTGTCCAAAATCAGATATCTGGTTAAATGACAGACACATGGCAAATATGAATAACTTCAGTTTCTGTGGGCTTTTTTGTTTGTTTGAGGCAAGGTCTTCCTCTGTAGCCCAGGTTGGAGTGTAGTAACACAATCACTGCACAGTGTAGTCTCAACCTCCTGGGCTCAGGTGACCCTCCCGCTTCAGCCTCCTGACTAGCTGAGACTGCAGGCACGCGTCACCATGCCTGGCTAAGTTTTTTTTGTTTTGTTTTGTTTTGTTTTTTTATAGTGACAGGGTCTCACTATGTTGCCCAAGTTGGTCTCAAACTCCTGGTGATAAGTGATCCTCTTGCCTCAGCCTCCCAAAGTGCTGGTGTGAGCCACTGTGCCAAGCCTTCAGTATAAATTTTAACTACAAGAAGCTGTTCCTGCTTATCCAGGAATGTTTATGTATATGTGTTTATAAGAAAAGCAGTCTTTTAGATTTTTCAAAGAAACAAAAGTTGCAAATTATTTTAAGGGAGCATCCTTAATTAAATTAAATTTATATAATATGATATTAAATTGGACAAAATATCTTTAATTATCATTTTCAGCTCAGATATGTGCATAAAAATCTGGGTCTGTTGTCTACATCATTAGTTTGGATTATTCCTTTTAACCTTATATTTTCAAGTATACATGAATTTCATTTTGCATTGTCTTTCATACATTAAAAATTAATAATAAATGATTCATTTATTATTTTAAAAAAGCTCATTCAATGATATGGTTTAACTCTCATTTGATTATCAAATTTCTTAATCTAAAATTTTTATTCTGATTATTATTGGGCAGTTTCATAATTCTAATGAAATATATTATTGAACTATGCTAATAAATAATACTACTTTGAAAATGATGTCTAAAACATCAATTTGAATTGTGGAACTCTTCCTAGGCCTATAGTGAGTAGTAAGTATTATATAGCACTGAATAGTATAAATTCTGGAATCAGAAAGATTATAACATAGAAATAGGAGTGACCTTCTGTAAATGACTGAACCATCTTTGACTCTTGGTTCTTTCATCTGCAAATGGCACAATACCTTTTGCGAGGAGTAATCAAGTAGCATGAGATTGGCAGAACCTTCTTGTTTTTCAACAACTATCATATCTCAGACTTTCTAACTTAGTAATACAATGTCCAGATTTAACCAGCCACATAGACACATAGTCAATGCCTCCTTTGCAGTCATGCATGGCCACGCTACTATGGTCTACGCAATGAAATATCTATAGTTGTAATGTATACAGCTTCAGGTCTTGTCATAATAGAAAGTAGAGTGCCCTCCCCTTCTCTTGTTCCCTTTTCTGCTTGTAGGGACTGCAGGTCTTGGATCATAAAGTAGAATCTCTGGATTGGGAACAGAAGCAAAGAGCTAGTAACTTGGAGCCCTCCCTCTATAAAGACACCATATCCACACAGAGTATTATGTAAGTCAAGAAAAATTCTCAAATTTTAAATTGTGTACAACTTATCTGAGTATCTTGTAGAAATTCAAAATTTGATTCGAAAGATCTTGGTGGGAACTGAATACTGCATTTCTAAGAAGCTCTCAGAAAGTGCTTATGTTGCTGATCCAAGGACTCAACATTGAATATTAAGAATGTAAGACATTTACTCACAGTCTGTTATACATGTGAGAGAGAAAAAGCTATCTTGCCTAAATCATTTTTATTTTGGTCTTTGTTATAGTGGAGAACTTGAATACCAAACACTATAATGTGTGAATTTCTTAGTGTAATGACTTCCTGAAATGAAGCTTCCACTAAAGATTAATATTATCTGTATTAGCACTATTGAATTATTAGTAATTATTGAAAAATGCTTCCATTTAAAAAACTTGTGGAATTCTCTATGAAACAACTTAAAAAATCTTTACCAATTAGATAATGTTCTCTTTCTCTGCAGGTGTGCACATTTACACAGATGCATAAACATATTAAAATATTATATATGTGTATGTATATGTTACATGTTGGTATATTAAATAGTATCCTCAAAAGCTAGTACCACCTAGTATTTACAAGGCGATCTGTAATCACATTTATTTCTGCCATAAGTGATGTGTGAATCACAATCAGGGATTGAAAAATTCCTCAGAGATCAGATCTGAAGCATACGCGTTATGAATTGCCCATGCATTGAAATCTAACCTCTCTTCCCCATGGAAACCTCAGGGAATTAGTATTCAGTATTATTGTATCAGAATTTAAATACATGATTTAGCCATGGCTATAATGCAGTTTAGATTGTAAATTATAAGATATCATGTACCCCAATTATACTACATAAATAATGGATATGAAGAATAAAGGTAGAGAAAATTATTGTACCAGTAATTTTAAAAAATCTAATTGTATATAATCAGGGAAAGAGAAGTTCTTTGAGGCAACCTTGTCTACACAGCTAAATGGATTGCGATTAAAAAAAATTTAAGTAAAATTACTCTCTGTAGGTCCAGAAATGTTCCATAATTATTCAGAGAAATATATATTCTCTAAATGGATAATTAAGATGCAATTATATTTCATTGACTACTGCTAAGCTTGGAGAGATAAAGAAAGAGTTTAGACATTATCTAAAAGGTAAATATGTACTGAAGTATTTATTTCCACTGATTAAAAACAGTCATTTAAATTATTTAAACTTAATTTATATTATCAGTGGACACAGGGCTATAAAGCTGAGAAGCAAATCTACATAGTTTAGTAAGACATAATAAGTAAATCCTTACCTTTGACAATGCTAAGTAAATTATTTGCATAAGAGTAAATGATGTTTTCAATATTACTTTGGCAACATTAAATAACTAATGAAAATTTATGTTAAGTAACATGGTTATAAATATTAAAGTTTTAGACTAACTCACTTTAATTCTGGTCTTTATTTTCCCTGTCTCTCTTCTTTCCCTCTCCTTTTCACACATCAAGCCACTTTAATATGACTTTTGCCACACAGATTTAGAAAACTATTCATTCAGAGATCAAAATGTCTTAGTTGGCAAATCAAATGAAAAACTTTTAGTTCCATTTACTTGTCTGTATCATACTCTTCTCAAAATCCCCTCCTCCCTGAGTTTCTGCATTTCTACTCTTTCTATTTCCCGAACTACTCCAGCAGTTCTCCCTATATTCATCATCCTCTGACCATCCCTTAAATACAGCTGGTTGCCTTTCCTGTCCTCCTCTCTTGTCACCCAACTTCTATGGTTCTCAGACTTGTTTAGTTTACTGACACCTTTGAGAATCCAATGAATATGACTCTTTTTCCCAGAGGAAATTTTTAAAAAATCAAATTTTAAGGTAATGTCAGGAGATTCACGGATTCCCAAAAGCCAAACATAGGGCATCCCTGATTAAAAGACTCTGCTATATAAGCTTTTTCATACATTTGTGTGGCTTTCGTGACTATGCTTTGTTGACAGATTCCATAGCTCTTTTTTAGCTCAGTCCAAAAGCTTCCATAATGGTTCCAGTGTTCAGTTAGACAGCTACTTTGGAAGATCAGGGTTATATCTCATATGCAATATATGACCATAAGTTAATATACCATAATCCCTCATTAAAACATCTAGTCTCTATCTTGATTGATGGCCCCATACCCAGTAAGAAATATCCTCATTCTTTACCTGTTCCTCTGCTTAACTCCATATTATAGAGTCACTCAGTGTATTTTGCTGATTTTTGTTCTCCAGCATTTTGTAACTAATTCCATAATGATGCCTTTTAAGGTGGTCAGAGAGGCATAGGACTGAGTTGACGATGTTGTTATTCACCCAGGGAAGGATAACGTAGATAAGGCAGAACTTAACCTACCACTGGAGACTACACCCTACCTCTGCAAGACATTAAGCCCCTGCCAGTTCCTATTTTCTCTTTTCCAAGATTGCAAACCTCATCTCCCCAGGGTATACAATCCCTGACAGTCTGTAAATCAGCAGGTATAAATTCTGCTTCTAATTTGTAATTACTGGGTCCACATCTCAACAAGTTAGATTAAGAATTATTGAAATCGCCTTTATTTAATTAGAGAACATGTTTCTCACTAAATATAAAATAGTATGGTTTGAAATATAATGTTGTGTGCCTTGAAGTTGCTTTTTAGGTTACTTTTCTTTTTATCTTTTTGGTCAATGTTCCATGATTCATTCACCGGCTCTATATTCTACCCAAGCTTATTATAGCACTAATATTAATAATGTTCAATTTTATGCATATTTTTCAAGAATATTTGTTCCTGTTAGAAAAAAAACAAAACAAAACAAGAGCAGGTTGTAGAATGGAAACTGACTGTTGGATCTTGAATTCTTATCCATTTTCTGCGAACAGTCCCTATTATTAATGTATATTATTACTTCAAGTATGTCAGAAAAGGAGACAAACAGTCAGAGGCAGGAATTTCTCCCTAATTCACTCTGCCTAGCCAGCAAAATGTAACGCAAAATTATTCAGGGGAAAAATACAATTTTCTGTCATCTCTGTCATACACTGATAACAAAGCTACAGGCTAATATGTTTTGATATTTTTGTCACTCGTTTATCATGTGACCTTTCATGCTATCATTAATACAGCTGAGGGACAGAACAGATACACTGAAATAAGGGTGTGGGGAAGTCAGATTGCTTCTCTAACAACCAATGGTCAGTCACAGCAATTTATGCTTTTCTCCAGTATAGCCCTGACCGAAGAAGAGGAATTGTTATTAAAATTTGATATTACTGTCTAGGTTCTGCCACCTAGAATTTGCAACTTTTAGCAATGATGGGAATACTGGAGGGTTAATAAATTTCCCTTTGAATTATGATATTAATACAATACAACATGCCTGTTCAGATATTCAGAGCATATATATGAGAAAATGTATCCTAGACATTTGAACATTGACTATTAGTCATACTCTGATTTGGTAAATCCAGAGAGCACATTAAAATATTATTGCTGAAATTGCGCTGCATGTGTTCAGCAAAAACTGTTGATATTTTTAAAGTATAGATAAACCAAAATAATTTATGGTGCTGGAGATCGTGAAATGGACACCCCAAAGTTTAATTCATCTTGTATTTTCTTTAATGATAGATGATACCTGGTTTAAATTTGCATGCAGCCTAGCACCATTTCTGACAATGGCCTGGTTTTTATGTTGCCCGTAGAGGCTGGGCTGTTAAAATTCCAATATAAAACTAATTTATACTTGACATTAATGAGTTAAGAAATGTTTTATATAGTACGTCAGGGCAGGGAAAGAACTTTACAGGGTTATACTAAAATCAAATTATGTCTGAATACCACCATTAGGTACAAAAATGAAAAATTCTTCCCCAATGTTAGTTAAGTGCTAGTACAAAGCTCGATGGTTTTACTGTTTATATTAAGGCAACAATTTTGCTTTCTTTTTCACCATAAGGAAATATGATAATATAAAGGTAAAATATTAAAAATTTAAAGTATGCACATCTATAAAGGTTATGAGAAAATATAGGGTTTTGTTTTAAAATTGTTAGTATTAGCCTAAACTCCTTTATTAAACAATAACAATAAATAATAATTGTATCCCTTTCAAGAATATTTTAAAAATACAAATAAGTCAGAAAATGACCTTTCCACAAGGAAAAAAGAAGTAAGGTTGAGAGTTTTATGTAGAATTGTTAAGTAGGTGCCAGAGAGACTGTGAACATGTATAGTGAATTCTTAAATTTTATTATGATACATTTTATGAGAGTTACAGAGCATTTTTATAATCAAAATCAGCACTTACTAATTGGATAAAACTACTAGCATGATGGTTTTTAAAAATTCATTTTGTTTTGGAATTTTGCTTGTCTTGTGTGTATCTTAATATTAATGCAAAATAACACAAACTTTATACTTCAAATGAACTTTGTAAGTAAAAATAATTTGTGTAAGTATTTTATGGGAATTCTACTTGTATTTTGAACTCGTATTATCAGAAATATTTTATTGCATGTTTATTTTACTGCATAATATGATATAAGCATGTTTACATTTGTGAAGATATGCTTATATAATAAACAAATGCAGAACATTTTGATAAAACAGTGTATCAGTTATTCATGTTAATTAATGGAGGATTTCAGGAAAATATTAATTGTATAGCTCATGTAATTTATTTCATTGAATGGCATATAACAAACCTTATTAACAAATACAAACTCAGTAATATAATTATATTAAAGTTAGAGCATTTGCTTTTAGAAGATGACACATAAATGTCTTTTAATATAATGTTCAAGTCTCACTTTGTATTCTTTCATTATACTGTACTCAAGCAAGGATTTGCTAAGAAGAACTTTCATATAACTTCTCCATCACAAAAAATAACTTTGGCATGGGAGAGAAACTTCAATTGAAGGGTCAGAGTTGATTCAGTATATGCCTGGTTCATCCTCTGAATCCCAAGAACAGATTATTCACCAAAGTGAGTCTTACAAAATTCCACTTTTTATTTATGTCATGAATAGCTGGTTATGAGAAGAAAGTGGAATAGGTTGGGGAAAAGAAAATGAAGAGGAAGGTTTCTACTTTCATAAAGCAAATATCCTGCATATGAAGCAAAGACATCCAAAGAAATTTGTATTGCGTCATTCCGGAAGGGAATTCTAAATGGCTTAGCTTCTCCAGGATGCAAACTTATGTGTTACATGCTTGCCTAATTACCATTTAAGGGAGTTTCTGGAAATAGAGTGTTAGCACAATTTAAAGGAGTTTATTTTTTTCCTTACATATAAATCTTATCAAATAATGTATTTCACCGATTTTTTGAAAAATTTTTAAAAGTTACATATTGCTAAATATACATATATACACTTTTTTTCCTGTTGTTGGGGTTTGAGGATTGATAGTGGGGTGCAAAGCTAAATGGAAAAAGATCCTAAGTTAAGCTTCTACACTCAGCTTCAGTGGGATATGTGTTCTGTTTTTATTGTAATTGTAACATTATTATAAAGCTGTAAAATTAAGGGTTTTTTTTTTTAAATTTTTCAAGTCTATAATTGGATGCTTAACAGAAAAAAGTGATTTCAAGTCCGGTATTCCTGTTTGCATGTAAATAAAGCCCTAGTCACAAACAAAGCCAGCAACCTCACATACTTGCCTTCAGTGGTAAAGGATGGAGAGCCTGCCTGCTACCAATCAGCAAGTGGTTGCTATGGTTACAAGGTCAGGAAATATGCCTTTTCCCCAGTTGTCCAAGGCTTGCACATGTCACTTTTGAAACTATGGATTTTATATACAGGTCAGGAGATGCATACCAAAGAAATAAACAGTGAACTGGACCATAATGACAGCTAACTTTCAAATGTCCTCGGATTTTTTACATATCTAGGCAAACACATTTTGTTATTTTGAATGGACTGGGTTTTGTTTGTTTGTTTTAAATATTTTTTGAACAATTTTTTGTCTAATAAAATTTTATGTGTTAGCTTGAAATTGCGTTCCTGTATTGTAAGCTTACATCAATAACATATTTCAGAAAAGATTTATCTTTTCCCCTTTTAAAAACGATTTTAAATTGCAGCATTGGAATATTATAAAAATATAATGCCATGGGACTTGTGAACCTAGTATAAAAATTGCCCTATAGAAAAATTAAAATTGTCATGTTTATCTCTAAACAACATGATGCTCCAGCTATTAATGAGGTAGTGTTCTTTTTAAAAAGATAAATGTTTCTGTGTTCACAGTCAAATGTGTAAGCTTTTAAAATATCTAACAAATTATGAAAAATTAATCTTGTTTGTAAATCAATAAAAAAAAATTGTTGGGTAAATTAGTTACAGACCTCGCAACAGAATTAGTGCTTTGCAGCATATAAATCAGATTGAAGAAATTTGATATTTAAGCATTGGTATTATTTTTAAAAAGTTAATGACAATTTGATACTATTCTGTTAGTATTAAATTGATATTTATATTAAAAATATTAAATGTATGTTTTGAGTTTTTTATGGAAATAATTATTTCCTTGCTTTAACATTTGTGCCATTTCATAAATGCTAAGCAAAAAAAAATGAAGAAAATGCATGTAAAGTAAAATGATGTAATATTATTTACAAAGTGCTAGATAGTTGTTTCTATGCAAAAGTGCTTTGCAAAAATGCCTTACCTGTGTAAATATGCATCTTCATATGCAAAATCCTTATTTCTATGAGACTTGAGGGGATTCCTGTCCATTTGAAATATGACAAATATGTGTCATTAAGATAATAAGGTATAGCTTGGCATATATTTCACATATTATGAATAATTCTCAGGTATATGTGATTAAATAGGATTATAAGAATCACATAGAACTTTACAACAGATACTTTTCATAATAGAAATCACCAATTTTGCACATTTTTTCAATTTGAAGTGGATTTTTACATTGTATTAATTGACAATAAAAGCTTAAAAATAGGCATAAAGTATAATGAAAATCATTATTGGCCTGTTTTTAATTTTTTTTTCTGAATTGATGCTTTTGTTGAAATAGACATTATTTTTTTTCCTTCTCTTTATCTCTCTCTCTGTTCTCTCTCTATCTCTTTCTTTTGGGTCAGGAAAGATTAGTCCTTACCTTGATAACAATCCTTCCCATTTTTTAACTGAAAGCAGCATTCAAATGAGAAACTAAGTACATTTCTTTTCAACAGGCAATTTACCCCATGATGAGATATGCTTTCACTTATTTTTCTTTGACATTCTAGCATCTAGCAGCACAGCAGGTATCTGGAGGTTAGGCTTCAAATAAAGGATAACTACATTCTTACGTTAATAGATGCCATTGTATGACTATGTCATATTATTGTAGCATTTAGTTCCTTTAATTGTGCTTTTAAAATTATACATGATAAGCTGATACAAAGCGAGAAAAATATCAAAATCAATTCTGTTATTATTGTTCTATTTGTACACATCTGCTTACATATACAACTCACTGTTCTCCAGTCATATGATTCTTTGAAACAATTAAGAAAATGATTAGTACCATTTTATTTATACAAGAGAAGGCTCAAAGGATTTAAATTTTACTGAATTGACCCTTTATGCATTTTATTGGTCTTATGTGGAAGGAAAATACTCCAGCAAATATAAAGCATCATATTATATTTCTCAATATTAGGAATTTTGATGTCTGACATAAAAATATAAATAGATTTTTTCACCAGAAATACCATTTGATATGGATATAGTTTACACAGCGACGGTAATGCTGCTTTTTTCCTCTTCCTTCTCTTTACACAGTTTCTACAGAAGACTGCTTTATGCTATCTTATGAGCTTTTTCCCCTCTTTTTGGTGACCTTTCTGTATGGCCAAATGAGTCCAGGGTATATGTCTTGTGGCCTGTGTGCAACCTTGCCCATTAGCCAGTTCCCAAACCTTTGATGTGAACCATCAGCCCTACGATTTCTGTGGTTCATTCATTTTTGTGTTTCTCTAACGATCTCTGCCCCGGCTCTGAATCCTGCCTTTATTGTAGACAGAACTGACAACAGGCAGCCTTGTCTTTCATTTCCTTGATGTACTTTGTACTGTGGTATGGCTTTTGTTAGTATTGATGCAAACATTACCATAAACCACCACCTAGGGACTAGAAACAATTGACTAACTGTTTTCAAATCCAATACACTTAAGTTGATCAGACACAAAGTTTAAGTACAGTTAGCTATAACAGCACCAATTCTGTGTGGTCTCAGTCTCTCTAGACTACAAAATAAAGGTCAGTGGAATGCAGATGCTTATGTCAAGACAGCTTGCGATGAAATTTATTCAAGAGATGAATATTGGACCAAGAACTCATTCCTTCACTTCTTCAACATAAGAAATGCCAATTCTATTTCCTGGTCTATTTTAAATGATTTTCTCTTTATCTACTTAACAGCTCATTCTTAATAAGAAAAATGGTCTGGCATGCAGAAGAAGCAGCTCTTCTATGAACAAGTTCAAATTTTGATGAGATGTACATTTCAAATTGGCAAATGTTAAAATTTTTCACTTAGATTCTAAATTGCAAGCTCAACATCATTCAGCTTATTATAATAACTAAATGTGCCACAGCATGCAGAAGAATTACAAAGTTAACTATATTGTAAATGCAAAACTGTGTCTGACCCTTATTGTGTAAGGAGCAGAGGCAGGGTCATTTTCTTTTTGAGACTTGTGAGATCTTAGATTCAAGGCTTTGTAAAAAGGGCTATTCAGAGTCAGTTTCCCATATGATGCTTCAAAGATATCAGCTCCATCTTTGAAGTTTCTTCCTAAAATAATCAACTGAGAAATTGGGAAATTTAAAACAAAAAGATTAAGAAAATGAAGTAGATTTGAGGCATCTGCTATTTCTCTACCTCTCCAACTGTATATTAAATATACAATAATATTTTAACCAAATTCCTTATTATCTTGTTAAATATCCTAGTGCTTTTAAAATTCCATATATAAAATATGAACAGGTCTTTTAAAATATACATATTGAAATCTTAATATTTCTTCAAAATGAGATTTTGGTGAAGTGCAAAATTATACCACAAAGAGTTTTTATAAGGATATAGATTATATAAATTGCTAGTTTCAATACAACTCCCTCATCAAAGTTACACAGCTGTGTAATATATGAGCTCTATGGTTTTTATTCTATAGATATGCCTAGTTTCACATCTTTTATCTTATTTAATATCTTTTTAAAAAGCAACAATGGTTTCCAGGCATGTAAAGGTAGTTATCACACAACTATTACTAAAAGTAACTTCAAAGTATACAATGGAAAATTAAATTAGATTATAATACTGTGCCTGCCATTATTTTTCTCTACATCAAATAATTTTTGTATGCTATATATGCATTACAATTTATATTAGGTTAGTGCAAAAGTTTTAATGGCAACAACCACAGTTACTTTTGCACCAATTTAATAGTATTCCATATATTTAAAAAACATTTAATAGTTATGTGCATTTAATTTTAGTAAAATACAATATCTGAGACTTTTTTCCGTGCAATTTTTTTTATATTACAGAATAAGTGACCTGGAATTACTATTTTATGGAATTGTATTTATTGAATTTACATTATAACTAAATTGGTTGAGGCTTACTCAGCCATTCTTCAGTAGACAGCTTCACTAAGTTCCATTCATATTGCATAAATACAAGGGAGGCAAAATGATTTAAGTCATGAGTTCACTATGTCATACCCTTCTTGACATCATTTTATTTTTTAACTATCTTCCAATGGACCATATAAGATGTATAGGTGTTGATGGTTTAGGTGACTAAATTTATGTACAGAATCTCTTGCTGAGTTGCCAAATAATTGTATTCTGAAATAGATTTGGTAGGTTAAGTGCAATTGTTAACCAACTGAAAATGTTTACTTGAGTCTCATAATGTACACAAATGCTTGAACTAATTATTGCCTGCGATTAATAATCTGATGTGGCAAAGCTATTATTAAAGACCTCAGTAATAAATACCTATATAACTGCTTTACAGTTAAACATTGCAGCATAATTCATAATAAAATGTATTGTTGCCTTCTGGTGATTATAGAGACAGTGGTAAAAATCTTAACTAATTTCACAAATAGATCAAAGTAAAAATATTTTAGTCCACCTATGCACTCGAACTATCTTTTTAATATATAATTTGCAAGTGATTACCTGATTAGACTGACCCACTTACTAAATACTTATAAAATTAGGAGTGCTTCACTCAGGGAGAGAGGGAATGATCTTTACATTTTTTAAAAAATAAGAATAAATATTTGGGGTACTTGAAATAAGCACATATCTATTTTTTTCGGAAAAGCTTTTATTAAGGAGCATTTTTTTCTTCCATAAAATTTTAAGGCAATTTTATACCACAAAAGACATGACAAAAAATATTTTTTAGTTTTGTTAAATCGTGTGAATCTATGCAACAGTAATAGTACAACCACTTCTGTGGCTATTTCCTAAGACAATAAATGACCATCTATTTTAAGTAATTCCATGTTTATAAAAGATAATATTTAGTCACCATAAATTAGTTATATATTAAATAATTGGCACCAAATTTTTAGTTTATTGTTAAAGTGCTATTATCAAACCCAAAAAATAATGGAAGTACCATTTTTCTATTACTTATGTAGGCTCCATTTCCACAGGATTCTTGCTCATTTTTTATTTATAATTTTCCAAAAGTGTGGTGACATTGGTTATATGATATTTAAATAATTTTGGGTACAGTATTCTGATTTTTATTTCAGCAAATGCACCATAGATTATCTCAAGAGAATTCCGAGCCACACCACTGGAGAAAATATTGGAGAAAAGTTAAAAAAAGATGAATGGAAGACAGAAGATGCACTTAGTTGTGAAGTGGACACATACACTTTCATTCAAACCACCTTGCATCAAGTAACAATCATGGGTCAAGTTCATGACTCTGCAGAGAACTGGATGAGCTGGGAGACAGACAAACAGAGACAGGGATGTGATTCATGTTATACGAACAAGCCGGAAGTCAGTGTGTGAGATTTTTTTTGTGTAGTGATGAAGTGGTTGCTTACTTTGGAACAAAGTCTGTTTTCAGAAATATGAAGCATTACTGATATTTCAAAAACACTGAAATGCCTTCAGCTCAACTGTGACTTTTTCTTCAGAGATTTGAGATTTTCAACTACTATCTTTCCTGCTCAGAAACCAAACTCTAACTGTTCTGAGGACATACCTACCACAATAATTTAGACCTTAATTATAGTGAATAATTTTTAAATAAAAAGTGACTTGCAAACTAGTCAAGTTCAGATTCAAAATCTGTTAACAGATTGAATTAGAAAAGTTTCAAGTTAAGGCTGGGCATGGCGGTTCATGTCTGTAATCCTAGCACTTTGGAAGGCCGACCTGGGCAGATCACTTTAGGCCAGGAGTTCGAGACCAGCCTGGACAACATGGTGAAACCTTGTCTCTACAAAAAACACAAAAATTAGCCAGGTAAAGTGGTGGCAGGCATCTGTAATCTAAGCTAATTGGGAGGCCAAGGCAGGAGAATCTCTTGAACCCTGGAGGTTGTAGCGAGCTGAGATGGGGCCACTGCACTCCAGCCTGGGTGACAAAGTGAGACCCTGTCTCAAAGGAAAAAAAAAAAAGAAAAGTTACAAGTTAAGAAAGCATAATATTATCCCATATCATTGACCCTTTAATCATCCTATCTTGTACTAATAATGAAATTGAATTTGGTCTACTCTTCTTTCTCTGATAAATACATAGCAAGATTTACTATACTGATTGATAATATTGGAAACATTTTGTAGACTTTCAATTATAATTTATGAAAAAAATTAACTAAAATAAAATCTTTTTGTACAATCCTAGCTCAGATTGGGATAGGAAAATGAATCTACAGATAATTATATTTTACCAATGTAACAAAAAATATAGTTTTCATCTCTTTTAATTCAGTTTATTAATCTTTTTTTTTTTTTTTTTTTTTTTTTTTGAGACGGAGTCTCGCTCTGTCGCCCAGGCTGGAGTGCAGTGGCGGGATCTCGGCTCACTGCAAGCTCCGCCTCCCGGGTTCACGCCATTCTCCTGCCTCAGCCTCCCAAGTAGCTGGGACTACAGGCGCCCGCCACTACGCCCGGCTAATTTTTTGTATTTTTAGTAGAGACGGGGTTTCACCGTTTTAGCCGGGATGGTCTCGATCTTCTGACCTCGTGATCCGCCTGCCTCGGCCTCCCAAAGTGCTGGGATTACAGGCGTGAGCCACCGCGCCCGGCCAATTTATTAATCATTTTATGAATGAAAAAACTCAGAGAGGTGCTGAGCTGTCCATCATACAGTGGCACCAAATACTTATCCTAGGACTTCTGTCCAGAGCACATATTTTTATACTTAATCACAGAAAATAAAGAGATAAAGAAACAGATTTTAATACATGCATACTGATTCACTTTAGAATTATTAGACTGTAATCTCATGGAGGAATAAACACAACAATTAGTACAAAGTTTGCAGTTGGTAATTTTAAAGACAATCAATAAGTAATCATAGCTATCGCAAATGATTAAGTGATTTTTCACACCATAATCAGAAAAGAATTCTAATCACATTTTTAGATAAGAATTGTTCTTAATCTTATTTCCCTGGGAATATGCTATAACCTTTCAATTGTAATGTTTATAAAGAAGAGGTTTTAAAATGTTTCAGATTAGACTCAGTGATAACATTTCTCAGGATAGCCTTGGAAAGACATCTGCATTACAGTATTCCAGAAAATATTTATATTTAGTATATGACAGTATTAAAGTTCATCACAGCACTTTGGCAGCTGCTCCAGATGCTACCCAATCTAGGGTTTTAAGATTTCAAATAAGAGCTTATTGGCAGTTGTCAAGGTAATTTCTCTTCCAAGAATTTATTTGGGCAATTTCATTACTCCAGTAACTACAGCTAAGGTCTCTTCCTTAGAATGAGTATAATTTCTTTCAAATTTAGTCACAGTGTGTGACACAAACCAACTTGTGCTTTCTCTGACATCTGAAAATCTATGTGATATCAAAGATGTAGTTTGAGGAGATTTGCACTAGTCAGGATTAAAAGTAGAAAAGAACCACATATACTGGCAATTTTACATGCACAGTAATTTTTCATTGTTGGGTCATATTTATATTTTAACTTTTTTATTACTTAGAAATATACTATATCTTTTCATTTTTCTCCTGCTGCTTTTTGTTCTACTACTGTTTAATGGCCATTCTAAAGTCCCTGTAGAAAAACCTTAAAGGATGATATGTATTTGTATGTATAATTATACTTACATATATATGTGGCTGAATATTTCAGAGCTTCTAAAAATTATACAGTATTTGATTCCTTGATTAGATGTACCATAAAAAGAGGTCTTTATATTTCTTGATATTTTCCCAGTAGATTGCTCTATTGTAATAAAATATTTTAACTTTTTATTTTATGAAAAAAGTATGTCTCTTCCTGTGTTTATGGAGGAGTAAAACCTAGTGGATGTCCGCTGGTGTTTAAAGCCACACTTAGACATACTCACCATAACCCTTATCAATGTTATCATCTTAGGAAATGAAGGATGGCAATAGTGGGCTTCAATTTAAAGGAAGTAACAGTAAGACTGGGAAACCACAATTTGACAAAACCATCTCAATTACTTGGTTGCTATATCTAAAGAGCTGAGCTGAAGTGGAGAGTTGTGCAATTGCTCCAGTAATTAAGTCCCCAGGAGTTCAAAACACATTTTGCCTAGATAATCCAGGTAATTCCAACTCAAGTGCCCAAGTGCCTCACTTTAAGATTACCCAGCATACTAGAAATCCAAACTTATGAAAGGGCTAAATCAGAGAATGGTTATCATGCCAAAAAAGGATTTATCCAGGCGACTCTTTCATTGTCAAGGAGGCCAGAGGTCCTGAAAATTCTTTGCTTGTTAACTTTGTGAATTACTCATACAAGTTGATCAATCTCCTAGAAACAAACATAGAGTTAATGGGACAACAGTCCTAATTTCTGATGCCATTGTGGTGCAGAGCAGCGTTTGGGGAGTCAAATAGACCTGGTTTAGTACCCACAATGTTCATTTAATAGCTATTGAACCTTGGGAAACTTAATCTCTCCTAGCCTTTGTTTACTCATCTGTTAAATCAGTATAATATTTGTACTATATATATGATTTTTAAGAGAATAATGTGAGACAATGGAAGTAAAACATTTAACCTATAACCAGAAAAATAGTAAGGTCTCAGTCAATGTGAACTGCCAATTGCTGGACTTTAGCTGCTATGTGCTCCCCATTTAAGGGCAGCTTAAATTAGAAGTCACTCTTAATGAAATGGATTGTCATTGAAGGCACTATGCAGTGAATAGTTTTTCACATCTTATTTTTTTCCATGGTAACTCATTTCTGAAAGTGTAATGAACAAATTGAAAACATTTTTATTCATTCATTTCAAAATTATGTAATGAGTATTTACTCTGTGCTAGTGACTGTGCCAGGGTACTAGACAAGTAATGATGAGAAAGGCAGTCCCAATTCTTAAGAGTGTGAAATCTTGCAGGGAAGGCAAATATTTTATTTAAAAAATTTATAAACATCAATTTTTGAAAAGTATTAACCGTATAACATAATTGTTTTCTGGAGCTTTCTTGATAATTCTGAATGTGTAACCATCTGCAAAATTTCTAATTCCTAATTGTGACATTCATACCTAAGTTTTTAATTGACACCAAAGATATACAGAAAAGCCACAATCTAAATCACTTAAATCAACCTAAATTTCATAGCTTTAAAGAGCAAACATTGTTGTCCGGAACAGAAAGCATCTAATCCAATGTGGGGCCATGGTGACTACTTACTGAGATGCCACAATTTGTCATATTATTAAGGAGAATGACTCTCCTTTTACATACTTCACTCCTGGTGTGATTACCCACTTCTGTACATAAAAATGAAAAAGGAACCAAGATTAAATCATAAGAAAACAAACCATGTATCTCATCAGAGACACCACTGACAAATAAACATTGCAAAAGAAAAAAGAGTTTGGCTTTTTCCCTTTGCTGTTGTGACAAAAAACAATAATTCTGCCCCAAATTGCTCATGTTTCAAACCAGGAGGCTAAGGAATCAGTCTGCAGCTGCCTGGATTTCAGAAAATCTAGAAAAGTGACAGATATTTGTTTTACACCATACTTTTAGATTTTAAGTCTTGTACTTCCTGACCCTATAGGTTAGGGAATATCTGTATCTATATTTCAATAGATGTGTAGTTATAGAGATATAGAAGTAGATGTAAATACACACACACACACACACACACAAACTTAAGTGTCATAATACCCTAGAGTTTTTACTTGTGAAAATATGTGCCCTTGACCGTAACATTCACTAAGTCTATAATTAATTCATTCAGTTTTTTTTTTAAAACCAGGGGTGGAGAACATAACTAGTTCACTACCTAGTTCAATAACTGGTCAAGTAAAATGGATTCTAATTAAACAATCAGTTTATGTATTAATAATTAGTAAGCAATTCATGTATCAACTTGTGTTTTTAAAGAAAGACCAAATCTCTCTAGACTTTTACCCCATCCTCCAAAAAGTATTACAATATGGTAGATTTAGCTAGTGTAGACGACTGTCCCATCCAACACACATAAATGTTGAAGAGTATATTGTAAGAATATCTGATATTTATGAAGTACTTTCTATATGACAGGTAGGCTTCCCAATACTTTGCATGTGTTAACTCATTTGATGTTGTCAATAACCCTTTGAGGTAGTGTATTAGTAAGGGCAAAATAATCCACAACCCCCAAATCACGGTGGCTTAACATAATATTCATTTGTCACTCATGTCATGATCTATTAAATTTCAGATGGCTCTTCTCCATATAGCAAAAGAACTCAGACATCTTCCATCTTGGGAGGTCGCCATTGTCAATATGTGGCGTCAGGTCACTCGGGGATGGGGAAAGAATATGGAAGGTTGTAAATGGGATTTTTTATGGGGTAGGGATAGAAATTATATCCATAATTTCCACCCACAATTGGTTGGCTAGAGTTCAGTCTTAGCCCAACTTCAAACTGGCTGAGAAATGAATGTGCCAAGTAAGAATAACAAAAACTAAGCAGGATGAGCATAGATTTAGTCTTTACTAATATCTGACCCCCTGCTCACCACATACCGATTTTCTCTGTTTTCCCTAGAAGGAGCCGAAGTCCCATCCAGTCCTTGCCTCCAGCTCAAAGTCTATTATCTTTAGGTGATGTTCATTCTATTTCTGGATGTGGCTCCCAGTTCAGCTACTGTAACTAAAGAGGCAAAATATCTTCTCCATCACCTCTGCACTCTTCCCCCACTCCAACACATATATACCCAGGATACAATAGTGTAGCAGGGGTGGGATAACCACAATAATAAATCCCATTGAGGAAAGACAGATTGATATATACACAGTAGACTTGTCTAAAGCAATTTTGAAATCTTGCTGGGCAGCCATTGTGAAGGGTTTTAACCCCATCAGTGGGTGAAATTCCTTGATTAGGTTCTGATTCTGCTCTCCTGAAAGATTCCCTTGTTATTTTGCTTCATAGTTTCAGGCTTTGCCCTCTAAGAAGCTATTCAAGGCTATCATGCTTGAGTGAAAAGACCACATTTAACCTGGTCTTTGCTGCAAACTTGATTCTTAATGGAACTTTATTACTCAAATCCTTTTTCAGTTTTAACCCCTACTGATTGGGATCTAGAAGCAGTCCTCTTTTCAAAAGTCTGTATTTCCAGACTCCCTTTTATTACCCCTTTCATTTTTGCTGTCAAACCTGGCAATTTTCACCAGAGATCATTTTGGTTTTGGAATGCCTTGTCAAACACAGACTGATGTAGACAATTACATGCTAAAATTTTGATTCACTCTAGTTACTCCCTCTAAAACTGTCTTGCATATTATCACAGGTAACATTTTCCTAAGCTTTTTGTCACTGAATATCATGGATTAACATTTTTCTCATCCCCAATATCAGTTTCCACTTTGAGTGCTATGCCACAACCTACTGTTTTGGATATTTGCCATGGCAGCACCTGTAACAAACTATCCAACACCAATTAAAAGGTATACATTTCTCAATTGAAAGTGTAACATCCAAATCTCTAGTTTAACACCATAAATTATACTTCTTGCTCCTCTCACAATTTAATAATGATCACACAGTTCTCAAAGTAGTGATTCACAGACTAACACGCCTTCTTTCTTCTGGTGGTTAAATCTTCAACCACTGGCCTCTAATGAACTTATGGAATGGAGATTTATGTATGTGATATTTCTATGGATCAGATGTGAAGTGGCCCATATTATTTCCTCTCCTATTTCATTTGCCAGAAATCAGCCACAAAGCCATGAGCAACTCTCTACTTTTCATATCTCAATCGCTAGCATTTTTTTATATCTCTGATCTATTTCCTGATGAAGAAACTGAATCATAGGTGGGTTAAGAAATGTATCCAATTTCATCCTACTTGAAAGCAGCAATAACTCTAAATCCAGGGTATTGAACTCTGGATCCAGATTCTAATTATTCAGAAATATATTTTAAAAGGATGATTCAGAAAGGGAATCACCAGGTGTCAAAAGCAAATAAGAATCTCAAAATTCAAACATTTAAAGGAAGAAACAAAATCACAGATGCCTATCAGATCCAGATTGAGATCTTAGGGACTGGGAACTGGGGTTTCAATGTTCATATGACAAAACGGCACCATTGGGGCAACACAAAGTGAAAGAAACTGGCACTTTTATCCTTGCATAGTGGTGGAACTCTCTTAAGGTGACCACTTCTGCCACAAGAAGACTATAAAAAACCTTGGATGCTGAGCTACTAAAAAAGTAAGGTAAATTTGGTGAGAAAAATTATGATCTGTTGAAAAATGTAAGAAGGCCAAATCTGGGCCACACATGAGTGTTGGGGAAAAAAATAAACCTATCTGCAAGGTGCAGAAAGCCCAAGATAAGAAATTAATGTAAGAACTTGTCCCAGATAGTAAAACCATAGGTATCCCACCACACGGTCACATGTCAAAACCACAATATAAAAATACTTTCACAACTCAGGGCACAAGAGACTTCTTCAAGGAAAAAGAAAAAAAAAAAAAAGTAAAAGAAAATAATTGTCCACCGCATAAAATGGATTAATGTGGAGACTCAAAACACACACACACACACAAACAGTATTATTAATACCCCTAGGAACTTGAGATACTGGGACAATAAGAAGAAAATTAAAAAATATTAACGAATAAAATTTTTAAGACAAAAAATTAAATAGAAACAAATTATCAAAATATACTATACAAAAACAATCAAAATTAAAACTTTCCTAAAAATTAAAAATATTGTTCAAAATTTACTGAATTAATAAAAAAGCAAAATAAACTCAATTGAAAAGGGAATTAATGAACAAGAAGGATTATTGTGGAAATAATCTAGAATGTGATACAGAGATGAAAGATAAAAAAAAGAGAAACCGAATGAAACATATCATAAAATGATAAAAGTCTGTGATATTTCAAGGGGAAAGAAACATCAATAGAAAGAATGCAAAGGGACAATAATTGAAATGACAATATCTAGAGGGTTTTCAAAACCAAATAAAAATATACATCCTTTTTAAGAAAAACATGAACTAGTCCTAAAACAAAATCGACATTTAGAGATAAATTACTGAAACCACAGAACTATTAGACACAGAAAAATAATCTTAGAAACACCAAGTTTGAAGGGCAAATTATCCTCAAATAATAAAAAGTACATGAATGGGGAATTTCTCATCAGGGATACATAAAATATTAGGTATAAATTTAGCCAAAAAAAATACAAGCCATTTACACTGAAAACTGCAAAACATTGCTAAGACAAATTAAAGAAAACATAGAGAAGTATACCATTCCTGGATCAAACAACTTAATGGTGTTAAAAGGCAATATTTTCCAACTTGATCTATGATTCAATTAAAATGCAATCAAAAGCCATGACAGCTTTTTTTTTTTTCAAAAACAGCCAGATAGATTCCAAAATTCATATTTTTATAATTAAACTCAGTAGTCCCCAAAGATGGGATCTTTCCCTGTTTGATATTGCAGAGCCAATACATGAAACCAAAAGTGAGCATCAAGCAGAAGCTTTATTCCATGGCCAAAGAATGGAGAAGCGGGAGCATGGCTCGCAAACCAACCTCTCCACTAGAAAGGGATGAGGTGATTACAATATAGGGTTTCTCTAATAACAGGGACATTAAAAGTGAGGACATTGGAAGTGAGGGGAGAAATATTCATGTGTATTTTGGAAATGGGCAGTGAACTCAGAACCAGAGTGTCACCTTTCTTTTTGTCCATTATGGGTTCTTCTGGTCATTTTCATGGCAATTGTCAGCTGTCATGATGCTGATGGGAATGTCATTTAGCATGGAAATAAGTTTATAATAAAGCCTGAGATATTTTTGACGTCATGTGGTTGGCTCTCTTGGCTGTAACCAGTCTCAGCTGGTCTAGTTATAAAGGGAAATTTTACTGCAGGCATCTTGTTTCTTAGATAAGTAGAGTTAGAATGGGGTAGAAATTCAGCTACGTCATGGAGGCATTATAATGGGTGACAATGTAGGAATGCAAAGGAGTTATTTTGTTTATAGTGAAAATCTTTTTGTCCTCAACTGAAACTAATCTTCTAGGACAAGTCTTAGATTTCAGAGGCTTTCTAAGGGTAGTTAGTTAATCTCTGTGATTATCATTTTATTCCCATAGGAAGAACTCTGTGACTCCCCTAAAACTTCCAAGAAGTGAGCAATTGCCACAAAAGGCTGCTTACTTTATGCATCTCATTTTCTGGATGCAGTAATATGACGAGTTTCCATTGGTTGCCTGAGGGTCAGTTTCCTGAGGAAGGAATTCAGGTAAGACAAATGTAAGTTTCAAGTTTTAAGACCAGGGAGGGTCAAATTATATGTTTATTCAAAAATTTAAATGTGGGAAAATTGGGCCAATTTCAGCCCCCCTTTTCCATTGACCAGTTCCTCAATCATGAGGAATCTAGTCATCCATCCTCTGGCTCCTTTATGCTGAAGAGGGGCAACATGGGATAATGATGAAAAATGAAAATGTCACACCTGTAATTAGAAGTACTCATGAATACCTAGTTGGCCCTGGCATGTTGGAACACCATGATCTGTATACATTTATTTTGGTTTTAGAACAACCTTTTAAGCCATATTGAACTAGGGGATTAATAACACAGGCAAGCCAAATTTTAAAATACCAGAGACTATGAAGTGGATCCTCCAGGGAATCCAAGAGAACAATCCTAAGCCTACCAAAAATTATTCCTGATTCATCACATCCCAAATGGAAAAAAAAAAAAACATGGTTGTGAGGAGAACAATAACAACCTGAAAAGTGCATGTTTCTTTTATGATTTCTTATCTAGGGTCTTTTGCTGGTCTTTGAATATTAACTTAAGGTCATACGAAGGTTCACAAGACCATGACTATTTCCACTGGAAGGATGACAGAGGGACTGGTTTTGCCCAAATATGGTGAATCCACAGCTTAACATAAGCTAACTTGACAGATATAAACTATAAAAAACCTTGGATGCTAAGCTACTAAAAAAATAAGGTCAATTTGGTGAGAAAAATTATGGGTTAGGGTTAGGGTTAGGGTCAGAAAAACCTCAAAAAGGCATACTTATTGTGTTGCAGTTGATCTTCAGCAGGGTATGATTTTCAAGTCTTCATCAGGACTCAGTTCTCCAGTTCCAGTCCCCCATTTCTGACATAGACAAATCATAAAAGGACCAAATTATTTACAAAATAAGTTTCAGTCTTAGTATACTCGGCCTGGTTATTTGCATAAAGCACAACAAGAATTCTTATCCATAGAGGCTTTTTAAAATGAAATTTGTTGGGACTTTTTCCCTAAAGAATCTCAGATTTAACTTTTAAAGACCTCTTGAGCCCAGCCAAGGATTTACCTGTGTCTGCAGATACCTGTATAAATTGGGTGAACAACTTGAGATTCTTGGGCCAGTAGAAAGTAACATGTTTTTCTTATCACACTTCAGGAACCCTGCAAAGATATCTTGTAGACAAGGTAAAAGGCCAGTCTTTCCAAAGAAGCTTTTATCAGCGGTATAGAGTAAATCTAAGTTCCTCATAGCAGTCTGTTCATATGTGAAAATATGTCGTTCAGTTAAAGCCTTTGTAAAATAACTAGTGCCTCCAATTGGGTCCTGTTATAAAAGAAAACAGACTCTTATTGAACTTATGCAAATAACTATATTGCCATAAATAAAAAATACTTACAAATAGTTTCCAAATTCTGAAGAAATCAAGTAGAGAGAGAGAAATATGCTTCAAATTTTGTATACAAGAATATATACTCTACCCAATTGCTAAAGGCTGCAAGTAACTCAAAAGGAAAAAAGTGACCAGGTGGTGGCTCATGCCTGTAATCTCAGCACTTTCAGAGGCTGAAGTGGGAAGATTGCTTAAGTTCAGGAGTTTGAGACCAGCCTGAGCAACATGGTGAGACCCTGTCTCTACTAAAAGAAAGAACAAAAAATTAGCCAGGCATGGTGGCACATGCTTGTAGTCCCAGCTACTTGGTAGGCTGAGGTGGGAGGATGATGAGGTTGGGAGGTTGAGGCTGCAGTGAGCCCTGATTGTGCCACTGCACTCCAGCCTTGAAAGCAGAGTTAGATCATGTCTCAAAAAAAAAAGAAGAAGAAGAAAATAAAGAAAGAGAGAGAGAGACAGAGAGACAGAGAGAAAGAAGAAAGAAAAAGAAAGAGAGAGAGGAAGGAAGGAAGGAGAGAGAGGAAGGAAGGAAGGAGAGAGGAAGAAGGAAGGAAGGAATGGAGGGAGAAAGAAAAATATTTTCTTGACTCTGAAAAACAAAACAAAACAAAAAACTTCTATTAGTACAGCCCATGCAATTAATCCCTGTTCTGCTCAATATGGGGACTCATGAACACATTAGCTCTCTAATGACAGTCCTAGGATTTTTCTCTCTTGTCAAAATGTCACGACCTCCAAAGTTATTGGAAATCTTCATTTAATAGTCCTTTTCATGAATTCCTGTAAAGAAGCAAGTTTTGGCTGTAGCCGAATAAAAAACACTTTTTGAGAAGAATCAAAGTAAAACAGCAACACAGCCATGGTTAAAGACACAATAGACAAAGAAATTTAGTTATTTCTGGGGCATACAACAATTTAATAATCGTAATTATTTTTGATAGCATATACTAAGACATATCAGAATTTTAGGAATTTTATACAATTTTGAAACACGTATTAATAACACACACACATGCACACACACACACACACATATATATAAAATCCAAAGAAAGTTAAACATCATTTCATATTTGACAATGCTTTCCTGTATAATTTTAACATACTAAATAACACTAACATGGTACTCTTAGACTTCCAAGGCCCCTAAAGTTAATTTTAATATAACTTTCTAAAGAATCTCATCAAATTTTAATCAATTTGACCATCAGATAAAATTTCCATAAATTTTTTATAACATTTTACAATTTTCAACTAAAGAGTAGATGAATGCTTCAAGAATACCCTGTTATTCCAGCACAGGTGCCCAGATGCATCAGTGTGCTTTTGAAATTAATGTTTCATTTATAGAAAAACTCTGAATTATTCTTATCCCTAAAAATCAGCTCTTACAATCTCACATGCCCACCTCTTTTCCAATAGTCTCTGGGCCTAGAAGGATTGAATAGTTTTAATTTCTGACCCTGTGTCTCACAAAGTGATTTATTTTGATTGTAGCCTTCTTCCCATTCAGAAGATGAGGCTTTGACTGGAACCAATGTTCAAGATTTAACAGGAGTTGATTCCTTTTTCATATCCAGGAGTGAAAGCTCTGACTTAACAGCACAAAGACATTAAAAGCAATAAAAAATTACACGGATATAAAAACCCTAATTCTTTTCAATCTCAGTTTTTTGAAGCAATTAAAAAACCAATAGGAATTATCTTGATAAAATGTAAAATGTTTCTTATACCAGTTACCAAAAAGCAAAGAAATACCTTCTGTAATGTGATGATTTCTCCTTATGGCTAGCTTCTTTAGATTTGCCATAAGTCAAACCTGATGAACAACTTAGACATAAATTGAAAGTTAAACCTGATGAACATTTTAGCCATACCAAGAAAAGTCAAGAGTATAGAATCAAGTTATACCTAAGGAAAACACAGCTTTCCTAGACCTTCAAGATAGACAGTTTAGTATCAGGCCACAATAGCAGTTAGAACCAGCGGAATAAAGTTACAGGAGGTGAGAAAAAAATTGAATGACTCAGGCCTTTTCAAGGGGAGAAAAAAAAGGCCAAAGCAGCAAGACACAATAGAGATGCACTTCTGAAATATAAATCAGAGAAGTTTTCAGAAAGAGATTATAGAATCAAAATGAAAACCTTTTGTAATTTTATTAAGAACAATAAAAATTTTAGGTAAACCTTGTTTTAACATAGGGGAAGAATCTTAGAAAGACTATTATAAATAATTCCTCTTAAATTATACCCAAGTTAATCACATACAAAATTTATTTTACAAATTCTTTTTTCACCAACTTCATTATTATGTACACAGACCATCTATGACATGCTTGGACCTTCTGATTTGGCACATTTTATATGAAGAATTATATGTTAACTAGAATTCTTACTTTTAGTAACTTTAAATTTTAGTGAAAAATCTAGGAAGCAAGAAATCCTGAACTGCCTGTGAGATATTGGCATTTTATAGATGAAAGTACTTCACAAATTTTTAGAAACATGTTTTCTCATATCATAACCCATTCTTAATTGGAACTGACCGAGACATTCAATGAGCATCTGTTACTGAATTTAAAATAATTTTGAGATTTTAAATTACACAAAAAGTTTACCTACAAGCATTTAATACCATTTATATGTACTCCATTTATTCATTTTTATCAGTTTATTTAGATTACTTCTGGAAACTGAGATATTAGAAAAAGCTAGTCATCACTTCAAGTTATTTCCTTGTTAACCATTTTTTATAGTCTCTAATTATCAGATATCTATCAGATTTTTACCAATTTATCAGATTTTATCAGATATTTACCAAATTTTAACTTAAAGTTAAGCATGTGGGTATACTTATTAAAACTTAGAATATTCAGCTGTTTTCATTAAACCAACATTATTAAATTAGTTATATTTATTTTTAAAAAGTTACACATATTGGCCAGGAGTGGTGACTCATGCCTGTAATCCCAGCACTTTGGGAGGCCAAGGTGGGTGGATCACTAGGTCAGGAGTTTGAGACCAGCCTGACCAACATGGTGAAACCCCATCTCTACTAAAAATAAAAAAATTAGCCGGGTGTGTTGGCTCGTGCCTGTAATCACAGCTACTCAAGAAGCTGAGGCAGGAGAATTGCTTGAACCCAGGAGGTGGAGGTTGCTGTGAGTCGAGATCATGCCATTGAACTCCAGCCTGGGCAACAGAGCAAGACTCTATCTCAAAAAATTAAATAAATAAAGTACACATATAATGATCTCATTTTGTTCTTAGCTGAATTTATAGTCTTATAAACGTTTGCTGAACCTTGACACTTTAAAATATCCAGCAGAGGTAAATGTAAAATAATCAGTAAAGCCAGACAAAACATGCTGACAAATTCTGAAGACACTTCTATTTCTATTTTACCGGTAATATTACAGTCAGCTTGTTTATTAAAGATTTACTTAAGTCAGGTAAACCTGAAAAATGCTTGGAATTATTTAGTTAATATATGAGTGCTCTTTTATTTATGAGCCCATTTGGTACCCTGTAAACACAACACATAACATGGACACACACACACACACACACCAAGATCCAGTAGCTTTTAGCTCAGAATTTCAGCCATGAGATAATAGTTAAACTCACTGGTTTACAAACATGTTAATATGGCTGACCTTTGCCCTGATTAGTCATCCAGTGAAGGTTGTGAACTAAAATTTTGGGTAAAGCAGTTTTCATGGCAGTTCAATTTTTAGACTAAACCTTCCCAGACTCCCAAGAATGCTGGGGCCAAATAACACCACAGAAGACCATCATGTACTTAGTGGGCCCAACCCTGCTTAAAAAAGCAGCATAAAAGCCTGGACACATGAAATACCATCCTGGTTTTCCTTTCAACTGGAAAATGAATCCAATTGTAAGACAGCACTACAATTCATAAACCTTTCAAGATCAGACAAAAAAGGGCACGTCCAGAGTAGTGTGGTCATAGACTTTCCCTTGCTCCATCAGCCTACAACTACATTCAGATCAACCATGAAAAATGGATGCAAGCAGGCTGCACTCTGAGATCAAATCCCAACCCCCATGACTACATCGACATACACACAATCACCAAAACATAATGCAACCACTGCAGCAACCAACAAGCTCCAAGAATATCCAAACTGAAACAGTTGAAGGGCTTCCTCTTTCCATCAGCTGGTCTTGTTCAATCTGCAACAGAAATTCCTTCAGGATCTCTCAAATTGAGAGGAGCCAATCCCACTGTCTGGACTCACAAAGGATACTCACTTGTCTCCACACCTATAAACAATTACTAACAAGCCCCAGGAGTGTGCAAACTGAAGCATTTAGGGTGCTTCCTTCATCAGATGGGCTGATTCAACCTGCAGATGGAAATGCCTCCAGAATTTGCCAAATTGAAAAGAGTCATTCTGGCTGTCTGGTATTCACAAAAGACAATCACCTATCCAGAGCTAAATGTCACATTTCAAAGGATGTTCTTCCTAGGCACTCAGGAACACAGTTGGGGCTGGCAGTGGCAGGGCCAAATAGAGAGAGACTGAAATCCACCTCAGGCCAAAAATGGGCTGGCAGCTGCTTAGGAGGGCTTCCAAGATTGTCCTGACCCATGGGGTAGCCAAGCCATGATCAATGCATTCCTGATCAGGGTACCAAAATCTAAGGGTTTAGGTCCTGTTGTTTCCCTCACAGCCAGCCAATCACTGAGACAATGAGCACTGCCAGCAAAAAAAGGCTTTTAAGTTGGGTGATGTCAGTGAGAGAGATAGATGCCAAATCACAAATCTATCTTTCCCAACTGACTAAAATTGAGGGTTTATATAGTGGAGAAGGAATATATGTGGAAGAAAACAGAAATTTGGGGAAACTAATGTAGAAATCATGAGAGATGAGGGGTCTGGCATCTAATTGTCTGGGTGTGGAGTTTCAGTTTCTTGCCTAAGGGGGAAACTCAGGTAAGACAAATGTAAATTTCAAGTTTTAATACCAGGGAGGGTCAGTTTCTATGTTTATTCATAACACCATGAATATTAGTTCTATGGGACAATTCGGCCAGTTTCAGAAGGATCAAGTTTGCGAAGACAAAAGGAATGCTCTAAAGCAAGATTTAATAAATTATTGCTGACAAGCAAAATCCCATCTGCCATGTGTTTTTGCGTAGTTCATGAGCTAAGAATGGTTTTCATGTTTTTAAATTGTTGGGAAAAATCAGAAGAAGAACAATATGTTGTGACACACAAAAATTATATGAAATTAATATCTCAGTGTCCATAAAAAAAGTTTTATTAAAACACAGCTATACACATTTATTTACATATTATCTAGGATTGTTTTATGCTGTGATGATAGAGTTGAGTAGTTTCGACAGAGACTGTATGGCCTGCAAAACCTAAAATATGTACCATCTGGTCATTTTCAAAAATAGATTCCAACTCCTGCTTTCAGGAAAACTAACTCTGATAGGGAGACAGAATCACCAGTTTAGACTCAACTGTGTGTGTGTGTGTGTGTGTAAGTGTAATGAGGCTAGCCAGTGAGAATGCCTGAGGACACTATAGTTCTTTAGAGATGTTTTAAACATTTCTAAACATTATGCAAACAGATTAGAGTCTTGATTCCTTTCTCCAGGACATTCTAAGATTCTAGTGCAAGTTTTTTCACTATCACTCCGGTGGGTTTTTTATGTGCCATATACTAAGAAGCCCGTGATTGCTAAACTTTGTTAGGCTAAAAAAAAATTTGCAAGAAAAAAAGTTGGCCATCTGGTTGCCTTTCATAATAATAATAATTGTTAACATTTAATGAGCAATCACTATGTTAGTATCTTCCTCATAAAGACTCTCTGAAGTAATACTACTGTTTTCTTTATTTTACTGATGAAAGCACAGAGAAGTTAGGAATTTAAGCAATGTAATTTGTAAATGACTGAGCCAGGATTCGAACTCAAGCTGTCTAAATGTATGTCCACCAATGTTAATGGTCTATTTCTTGTTTTATAGTGATATCACTAAATGGGATATGCAGATGTGTCTTCCTTAATGACTATGTCTAGAGCTAGTTCTCTTTCCTTAAACGTCTGAACATGAGACTGGCCTCCTGGGCCAGACACTTGTCCCAACTCCCAACCCCTAAAGTTTTTTTTAATTCCAGTTTGGTCATGTATGGAGAGCAGTGGCTGTCAAGGACTGCACTTGAGTGCATACCAACTTTACTCATAATTATTATTTACAGATTTTCCACAATGCTCTTAAATCAGAAGTAAAACATTGTGTTTACAGACAAGAATAAGCCAAAAATTTTTAAAGAACACTTAAAATCTAAGCTTTTTTTGCTACCTTAAGGAAATAACAATACTCTTTATATTTTGTTGTATTCCATGTATTATATAGTCAAAGAAAGGACACTTTGCTTTAACAATTTAGATAGAAAATTATGAAAATACAGATAGTATGAGAGAGCTTTGAGAAAACACAAAATTTGCAAAGTAAGGATTTTGTATTTAAGTGACCCAAAAAGCAAAGTCAGAAGGAAGAGCTCAGCATGTCAGAGGAAACACCAGACTCCACACAAGTTTAGACTTGTAAACATTTTCAGAGGGCACAGTGAATAATGCCTTTTTTCCCTGCCTGAATGTAAAACCTATTGAGAGACAGAGAGAGGAGAGTCAGGCACAGACCATTTTTACGAAGGTGATATTGAAAAATAGGCTCTTTGTGTTGGCAGTATTTCCTAACAATGATTCCTAAAATTATATGAATGTACACACCCAGTTACAGTCACTACTGAACAAACACAGACCTTCCCAGGTCTCCCTGTAAAATTAACAGCATGGATTAGTGAGGACAGAACCTCTACTTTTTGGTGGTCCCTTGGCTATCTGGGGGAAACCTGCAGGGAGAAATGTGGCAGGGAGCTGGGAGGATTTTCTTTCCCCAGTTCGTGAATTACCTAACTCATTTCACCTCCTTCTGTGTGAGACACATAACTGGTGGTGAGAGGTGAAGCTGGCTGGGCTTCTGTGTGGGGTGGGGACTTGGAGAACTTTTCTGTCTAGCTAAAGGATTGTAAACGCACCAATCAGCACTCTGTGTCTAGCTAAAGGTTGGTAAATGCACCAATCAATCAGTGCTCTGTGTCTAGCTAATTGGGTGGGGACTTGGAGAACTTTTCTCTCTAGCTAAAGGATTGTAAATGCACCAATCAGTGCTCTCTGTGTCTAGCTAAAGGTTTGTAAATGCACCAATCAGTACTCTGCCAAAACAGACCAATCAGCACTCTATAAAATGGACCAATCAGCACTCTGTAAAATGGACCAATCAGCAGGATGTGGGTGGGGCCAAATAAGGGAATGAAAGCAGGCCACCAGCGCAGGCAGCAGCAACTGGCTTTGGTCACCTTCTGCAACGTGGAAGCTTTTTTCTTTTGCTCTTCACAATAAGTCTTGCTGCTGCTCACTCGTTGGGTCCGCATTGCCTTTATGAGCTGTAACCCTCACTGTGAAGGTCTGCAGCTTCACTCCTGAAGTCAGCGAGACTATGAACCCACTGGGAGGAAGGAACAACTCCAGATGTGCTGCCTGGAAGCTCTGTGACAGTCAGCGGGAAGGTCTGCAGCTTCACTCCTGAAGACAGCGAGACCACGAACCCACCAGAAAGAAGAAACTCCAGACATGTCCAGACATCAGAAGGAACAAACTCTGGACACACCATCTTTAAGAACTGGTAACACGGTGAGGGTCCGCAGCTTTATTGTTGAAGTCAGCGAGACTAAGAGCCCACCAATTCCGGACACAGTGGGACAAGATGCTAAGAATTAAAAAGAATCTCTGATAATGAGCAAAAAATAGCCCATAGTTCTCTTTCTCCCCTATTTTCAACAGCACTTATTGGAATATAGAGTTCTGAAAGAAAAATTTAAAAAAAAACGGACTGCTGCTATATATCTTTTGGAGGTTGTAGTTGAGTTAGAAATTTGAAATAATGAAAAGAAATTCACTATCGTAAAGTAAAAGAAAATAAAAATGAAGCAAAATCTATATGTTCCATAAGCTCCAAAGAAAGTCTGTTCTTCATGTAAAAGAAAAAGAGGTGATTGGTGGCTTCAGGCTTTGTTATAACAGGGCACATCTCTGTGGTCTTACTCCAGCAAGGACAAGAGTTATGTCTGTTTTCGCTATACTGTTTACACATAGTAGGAAACTGAAGAATACTTACTGGATTAATGAGTATAACCTGGGACTGTGGATATACTGCTCTAAGGCTTTGAATCAGCAAAAATCATAACATGTCAAATTAACTAAAATGTAATTGTGTGTGCTCAGTGGAATGAAAAGGCACCTAGACTTCTATTTCTATTACTTTTATTGACTAAGTATTCATAAGGTCCTTTCCACATTCAAGGTTCTACATTAGGCATTGAAAGGGATATTATTATGACCAAGACATAGTGCCCTGTTCCTCACAAAAAGACTTACTGAGTTATAGGGATTTAAGAAAAGAATACAAGGATCAACTAATTATAAGGAGGAAATCACCAAGAAAAGTATACAAAAGAAGATATTCAAAACTAGAAAAAAAAAGAGGACATCTACTTACATTTTATATTATCTATCTTTTCACAAGGGGTTAGAATAAAAGTGGATAAAAATATCTTTTTTCAAAAAGAGTCATTTCTGCTATTTGTAAAATTGTCTATCAAAATGAATTAAAGTAGTTCAAGAAGTTCTGATTTAAGGGCAATATACCGCAGTGTTATAGCAAATGGAACACAATTCATATGCATTCTTCAAAGTATGAATAAATCATACAGCTTAACTATATCTGTACTCCTATTTTCAAGTGTGTGTTGTTAAAAGTTCCTTCAAAAGCATTACTTAGGTAAGGGTATATTATCTTTTATCAGTGATCTAATACTAGATAGACAACTACCATTAAAATAACTTCTGTACAGTCATTTGACTTAAAAAAAATAAGTCCTCAGATTCACATAAATATTGGAAAGCTCGACCATTATGACTCTGACAGTCGTGAATGTTCTCCGTGATACTAAATCTAAAGGATATTTTTATAGTTTTCATGTTCCTGTGTCTCAGCAGCATTTAACATTGTAGGCTGTCCCTGCCTTACTGAAAAACTGTTTTTCCTTGATATTTTGACACCATACTCTCCTGTCCCTCTTTCTAGCAGACTACTCATGGTGCCTTCGTTGCCTTCTCATCTCCTTCCACCTTGTCTTTCCCCATTAGTGTTTTTCAACCTTGGTCCTAGGCCTGCTCTACTATCACCAATGGGCTCTCTCCCTAGAAAAACTTACTTATACTCATGACTTCAATGACCCTCTGTACCGTTGATATCTCTCCTGAGTTCGTATGTGGTCACCTCTTGATATCCATGGGGGTTTGGTTCCAAGATCTCTGTGGATACAAAAATCCAAGGATGTTCAATTATCTCATATAAAATGGTGCAGTATTTCCAAACAGCCTACCCATGTACTTAATAAATCATCTCTAGATTTCTTATAACAGCCATTCCAACCTGTTTGGCACCAAGGACCGGTTTTATGGAAGACAGATTTTTGACAGATGGAAGGGGGGGTGGTTTCTGGAAGCGGGGGTAGTTTCAGGATGATTCAAGTGCATTACATTTATTGTGCACTTTATTTCTATTGTTATTACATTGTAATATATAATTAAATAATCATACAACTCACTGTAATCTGGTATCAGTGGAAGCCTGACCTTGTTTTCCTGCAACTAGATGGTCCCATCTGCGGGTGATGGGAGACAGTGACAGATCATTAGGCATTAGATTCTCAGAAGGAGCGTGCAACCTAGATCCCTCACATGAGCAATTCACAATAGGGTTTACGCTGCTATGAGAATCTAATGCTGCTGTTGACCTGACAGGAGGCAGAGCTCAGGCAGTAATCCGAGTGGTGGGGAGAAGCTGTAAATAACAAATGAAGCCACACTCACTACCCTGCTGCTCACCTGCTGCTGTGCATCCCGGTACAGTCTGTGGCCTGGGGTTGGGGCTTCTTGTCTTATGATACCAAATACAATGCACAATGCCTACACATCAAATCACTCACATGGATTCAACATAGTAATTGGCAGCCAAAAATTCAAGTTTCGCTTTTGGTAAGTATGTGTAAGTATCTTTGCCCCCAGTACTACATTTTTGATCCACAGTTGGTTGAATCCATGAATGCAAAACTCATGGATACAGACAGCCAACTGTATGTATAATCACCTGCATAATTGAAATATCATTTGTAAATTCTAAACTCATCTCAAACCCAACATGTCAAAATTAAATGCATAGTATTCTACACTAACCTGTTTTTCTTCTAGTTGTTTCTGTCGCAGTGAATGGACCGTCCATCCACATCGGTTTATAAGTAAAAAACCTAGAAGTCATACATACCAGTTCCTCTGCATTATCTGTGATATAAAATCAGTTAAAAAGGCCTTATTCTCCTTAAAAGAGCACAAAATTAAAAGTAGTTATTTTAAAAGTTAACGAAGATAAGGATAAAACATAGGATATTCCTAGAGAAATGGCTGTATACTGAAAGTTGGTGAGAACAACATACAAGTTTTTCCCTCATTATTATTCAATTATTTTATACCCATTTGTAACAATGGATAGACAGAATCAAACATATGTGGCTCTCTGAAAGAGAAATATCCCCCCAACTCCATTTAGGGTTTCTCTGAAAAAGTGGCATAGTACTTACCAGGACGTGCCTTTAAAAAGAGACACTGTTTCTCTCAATACCAATGGATAGGTCTGCTTTGAATCATCACTTATTATCAAAAATGCATTTGGACATTAGTGTTTAGAATGCTCTTCTAACTTCAGCCTGTTCCCCAAATAGGGTGGGTGTGCTAGCTCTGGGAACAAATTAAAAGGTTTTAGCTTGTTTGTGTTCTTTTCCAGAGAACAGGCTTCTGAAAAAGATACATTTTCAATTCTTTGTAAACTACGAGATAATGCATCTAGAGTAACTATTCTGGTACTTTTAGAATTAGCTGGGCAAGCCTTGTTGGTGCCTTAAGAGATTTTTAATTATATAGTTTATTCCAGTAATTGCTTTATTTTATAGAGCACTTACTTCCTGTAAGTGCACTTTGTGTATGTGGCAACTGTTGTTCCTTTAATTATAAGGTTAAGTACCATATAATTACAGGGTAAATACACAGTTATTTCTGCCTTGTGTGCCAAAGTGTTTAGGTAACTTAGTATTTGTACAAAGGAACCAAATGGTGCTTAGGAGTCTATCCTTTGATTCCCATATAAAATAGTCTTCAGCACAAAATTCTGCCATGCACTGTATTATTTTTCCTTTTGAATCACTTGCAAGTGCCAGACCAAAGTACATTTTTATGAAATAAGTTACATTACAATGGGAGCTGACGTCACTGGCTTTTTAAAATACATACTTCAGGAAAACTTACTTCCATAATTATCAAGAAAAACATTTATTATGGTGCATTTTATTCAGTGTTTCCAAATTTCAAGTTTTATATTTTGTTGTTGCTATCAACTCTTAGCTTAAATCTAATACATTTATATGAAAAGCAGAATAAAATGAATCCACAATTTAGAGCATATTCAAATACTAGTAAGTTCCCAGATGAAAACAGTAAAATTGAAAACAATATTCAAATTTCTCTCAGCTTCTTTAACTACTACCATAATTATTAAATATTTTTGGTGATTTGTATATGTAGAAAAAATTTTAACTTTGCATTAACTTCTGTAGTGATTCTAGAATTTAAAGGTTCTTTAAAAAGATATGTTTTATACTTTAACATTTCTCATTAATCATTCCTAATAACAAAATAGACGCAATACATTAATCAATTCATTCTATAGACATTTATTTGGTGCTTACTATATTCTAGGCACAGAGTATACTGTATTCAATGAGCTCAAAATGAGCACATTATTTGGTATAAGAAGTAAACAGATACACCAATAATTCTAATTAATGTTAAAAGTTCCCCAATATTGCTATATGGAAGGTTCAAACGCTGTACAGAGGAAAGAGTCGTCAGCTATAATGAGGGCAGATGAAGGAGGGTACAGGATGGAAAATAATTAGATCTTAAAAGGTGAAAATATGTCCTCCACACAGGCAAGATGGATTTTCAGAGACGATGTGTACTTGCCTACATTTCAGAAATTACAACAGTGACCACTAGCTATTTAAGCTAAATAGAAAAAAATAATAATTCCATTTTGTAGCAAGTCAAACAGTCACATAATTTTATTAAGCGAAAGATTCTAATAGTTTAGAGCCTGATAGTTTATTATTCATAAATGATAAGATTATTAAATGGCAAAGAGAACTGAAAGTAAGATGTTCTGTTGATCAAAGACTGTGATCCTTATAGAAGTGGAATGAATTGTTCAGTGATCTTGCCATAGAACAGGGACCACAAAGGGCTAACCATAGCACATTACTCTTCAGCATGTATATGAATCCACTGCTTCCAAATAAAAGAGAAGAGCCACCTCTATGGCTAAGCTAGGACACACACTGCAACAAGCTAGGTTCACTGATGATTTGATGTTGAATAAAGAGTTGCACTGTATTATGGAGGCATTATAATAACTGTTCTGCTGTTTAATGCGTTGCCTAATATCTATTTTTTCTTCTTTTGCTTCTCAGACTAATTGCTACCTTTTCTGGTTCATACTAAATTTGAGACACTAATGCCAACTGGTAATTCATTCAGAAATCTGGCCTCTTGGACTACTCCTCTGTAGTTGTCATTGTTATTCTTTTTAAGTCATTCCTAGAAGAACAAGATCCTCCAGTGTAGATTAGCATAGGAGTAAATCTATTGAAACACGATGGTCATAAGAAATACTTTAAGGACTTTTTGAATCACAACCCAACATGTGGTATGTAGGAAGGGTTACCAGACCACAAATGTTGTGGGATGCTCATGCTGATGCGAAGCATTTACATCAAGAGAAAAGATGGCAAGTGAAAGCTACTGTACAAATGATCATGTTAGTATACACTAGAGGGACTTTGTCTTTACCCAACATTGAGAAAACATCTTTGAATCATATTTTCCCAGAAAATATTATTTCAGGTACAACTAAGCATATCTTCTAGCATAAAAACTGTAAGTTATGAAATCCTCTCATGTCTTAATATAGTAAACATCAATTACTTCTAAAAACAATTATACTTTTATTTAAAGTACCACAAGGGGCACTTTTTCTTATATAAACCACAAAATCATAGTGTAAAATGAGTTGAGAAATGGTTAAGAATAAAAAATTACTTGTCAATAAAAGAAAAAGACATATGAGCTTGTACTTATCAACATTTCAAAACTAAGCAAGATGGCTTTATGCATATATCAGCTTAAGATTCATTTCATGCTCAGTTTACTGGGGAAATGAAATATTACAAAAGGAAGAAAAAGACAGATAACTCGGTAATTTCTGCAGTAAACATGTGAATTGGAAAGCAGAGTGTTTTTTCATGACTTTCTGTGTAATAGGACTCTAGGTTAAAAATAAGGTATAGTCTCTGCAGATTTGATTTGTCAAATGGTAACTTCTGTACTTTTATTCAAAAATTTATTTTAAATAAAGTTTATTTTCTATGAAATCTCTTAAACAATTGTGTAATATTGAGGTTATGACTTGGGTCTGACAAGTTTACCTTAGTAAAACTACTACACATTCTCTAAAATTTCTTTTAATTTTAAAACTTTATTTATAATCTTTAGTCTCTTAAGAATTAAAAAATACAGACCATAACTACAACATGTATAAGGAACCAGCACATAGTATTATGAGTCTATTTCTTAGTAGCATTTTCTTAATTTTGTTTCAAATCAAACCTTCCTTTTATGTCGTTTGAATAATACTTTAATAACGAATGTAAAAATATATACACATACACTCACACACACACTCTTAGGAAAAACCTTGTTCAAAAATAAACGGGTTAAGGATGGTTCACAAATCTTTATGCTTTCCATTTGTCTAAGTGACTCCTATAGATGGCATAATCACAATAGCCTACATTTTATCATCGACCAGGAATTATGTTTGGCTATAACCTCACCCTTAAACAGATGTAAAATAATGTCCATTGTATTTTTCTGTCAATTGTGTATTCCCATAATGTTCCTGGTTTCCAACTGTGCTAGTGACAACAATATTTAATTTTAAGAACAATGGATAACCACGTTTTGCATGATGAAATCTCAGCATCTGACACAATGTTTTCCCAATATGTTTGCACATATGAATTCCATGTCCTTAAACACTGTGTTTGGTTCCTGACATAAAGGAGTTTGAAGATCAGAGATTTTTTGGGGGGCAACTGTCAACACTGTCCAGATGTTTTTCTTATGTTTGCAGTGTTACCAACATTCGCTCCTCATAATAACATCGATGTGAAGAATAGTCCTGAAAGATATACTCTAGTCATATATTTATTTTTCATGTTCACATTATTCCATATCAAATCTCATGATAACTCATTTTCAGAGTACATAAATAAACAAGATTTTTTTTTCTTGGAAAGTTAAATTAAAAAAAAAAATACTTGGAATTGGGCAAACAAAAAAGTTACAGGTTTTTTTCCTCCTAAAGCAAAGTAACTCAGGACAGGACAACACAAAGGTTTCATTTTGCTTCTCCCAAATTTTTAAGTCTTAATTACGCCATGGAGGAGATACATATTAAGAGCTTGTTTGCCTTGAAAATCTTTCCTTAATTTGCTAACCTCTTCTTTAACACATAGCTTGTATAACCAGCCTAGGACCGTTTGTATGACTATACCAGTCAAGAAAATGCAGCAAACAAATGGGGCTGAAGCAACCCAGAGGAACATCAATCAACCTAACACATGTCATGTTGATGATAAATACTGAACACTGGAAATCTTTAGTCCACAAACCCAGAGGGCTTCCTGTATTTCATTTGGTCATTGTGGTTGCACTGGCCTTTTCATCTGAATTACCTAGGCAAACATGACCTTAGCCTCAATAATTTTGTATGAAGCTCACAACAGGAAAATATCCTCATTTCATAGATACATTCCCATAGGTACATACATATTCCTTAAAAAATTTGCAAACTTTTCTACTGTGACAATTCCACTGGATGCATGCATTTCTCTACTTTATGGCAGTAAATGTAGAAAAGAGATTATACAAGCAGCACCTGATATAAATAGCTTTCTTTCTCCCCTCTATTCCTTGTGTAGACATAATTCTTGTCCTCAATACTTTCCCAAACAACAAATGGAATTTTTCTGAAACACCAGGATTTCTTGTGTAGTAAACTTGGTGAGAAACTTCAGCAGCTTTAGAATATTTGAAGCTACATTTGCTGTGAAGGAAATTCCTCTTTTAAATATTTGCTAAACTCTTAGTAGAGCTAGTTGGCACAGGGCGGTAATGGCAATATGAATAAAAAAATGGTATCTGACATCAAATAACTCAATCTAGTGGGTGAAATAGAAACTAATGTATCACCAGCACCTATGACAATGGCTGCCGCATTGTCTCCTTTCATTATATATTTGGAAGAAGTTAACACATAGTTTGAGAAGATTAAGATACAAATACATATGGGGCATAGGCACAGAGATGTGAAAGAGTAACCCTATTTCAGTGATGATGTAAGGTAGGCAGGAGATGTGGAATACCTTGCACATGGTATATAGTTATTAAGTGCCAAAACTAATATATCTAATGTCTGTCTCTAGAACTTCGTATTTTTGTAACTTTATTATGCTGTATGGTCTAGTCAAAGGGGGATAAGTCTCTATAGGCAGGACTTAATGGAGCTGAATTGTCCAGATCAATGTCCTTGGGTCTGCTAGCCACCTGTGGTTGCTATCTTGTGAGGTTTACTTGTTTAATTATTGAGCAGACTTGACTCGGGCCTGTGCCTCCATGTCTTCTTATTGCATCTGTGGTGTGGTGTTTGCAACAAACCTCTTTACAATAGTGAGTGTCATAGTCTTAATGGTTTTGTCCCCTCAAAAATCTATGTGTTGGAAACTTGATCCCCAAAGCAACAGTATTGGGAGTCAGGCGTTAGGGAGGACTGGAGCCCTCATAAATGAATTAATGCTGTTATCCCAAGGTCTTGTGGGACTGGATTGACTCTCCTTTTGCAATTCTGCCATGTGAGGATACATTGTCCTTTTTTGTCCTTTCACCTTCCCCCATGTGAGAAGGCAGAAAGAAGGCTCACATCAGATGCCAGCACTTTGATCTTGGACTTTCCAGCCTCCAGAACTGTGACAGAATAAATTTTTCTTCTTTGTAAATTGCCCTTTCTTAGGTATTTTGTTTAGCAGCACAAATAGACTAAACAGTGAGGCAAGACTCTTCTCATCTTTTGCACATTTTGAACACCCACACACTTGGATATGTTCTTTGTGGGGAGTAAAGAGGACAAAGAGGAAGAAAAGAGCGAATCTCAAGAAACTTTATTGGCTCAGTGATCTTGTGCTTTTTACTGAGATTTTCTGGTTTATATTCAACCCCTGAAAACAATAATTATGTAATTGTTTAGGGGGGTGGTTCATTAGCTTTCATTATCATAATATTCACCTGTAGCCCAGTGAATTGTGTGTTTGAAATATTTATTAAATGAATATAAACTGCAACAAAAAACACAAAATAATAGTCTCAATACACTTTTTATATTGGAATAATTTTACATTCACAGAGAAGTTGCAAATACAGATAGGAGTTTCCATAAACACTTCATCCAGCTTTCTAATGTTAACATTTTATGTGACCATGGTATACTTATCAAAACGAAGAAACTAATTTTGTTCAGGACTTTAAACACTTTACTTAAAGCCATAAAAGGTGCATAGATAACTGAGAATACATTCTGTATCGTTGTTCGGAAGACTTAGTATTTTAACGATGTCATTTCTTTCATAATTAACACGTAATTTTAATATAATCTTTATAAAATGCCAGTAAAATTTTCTCTACAACTTGATGGAATGATTTTTTTTTTTGTATTTTAGAACAGTAAAATAATAAGAAAGTTTATCCTCATAAGTATTCAAATGTTACTTACTTAAGATAACTTGGTGTTGATGTAATAGTATAGAGGCAAAATAAATGCATCAGGAAAGAAACTTCAGGAATAGATATCAGTAAATACAAAAATATAAATGCTGCCATTCAAATCTGTAGAAAAGAACAAATTATTTTATAACATTTTTTGTTAAAAATAACCAAAATATTATTTTGATTTTGAAAACCATAAATCAAAAATTTCCTAAAATAGTAAAATTGTCAAACAGAATGAGAGTACTAAAATATGCATACATATATAATTTTATGGTGAGAAAAGATGTTAAAATGTTACAGTAAAGGAAGAAATCATACATTTAAATACTAATTTGATTACATATATTTTTAATATATTTCCATATGAAACAGAAAGAAAAATTATATTCCAAACATATTAAAATTTCATATTGAAAAATTACAGATTCAACATAGATCAAAAATCCAAACATAAAGTTAATATCCCTAAACTTATGATCAAGACAAAAAAATGAGCTATGCAGAAGATATAAAATAGCTAATAACATATTAATAAACATAATGATTCAGAAAGACATTCAGTTTTCAAGAAGATATCATGTATTGTTCAGCAATTACAAATGACTACACCCCATGTTGTCTTGGAACGAGGAGACTGACTTTGAACAAGTGAATTCATTAGAATTCATAAAACCATAAAAAATGATGAGTTCATGTCCTTTGTAGGGACATGGATGAAGCTGGAAACCATCATTCTCAGCAAACTATCACAAGGACAAAAAAACAAACACCGCATGTTCTCACTCATAGCTGGGAATTGAACAATGAGAACACCCGGACACAGGAAGGGGAGCATCACACACTGGGTCCTGTTGTGGGGTGGGGGGAGGGGGGAAGGATAGCATTAGGAGATATACCTAATGTTAAATGACGAGTTATTGGGTGCAGCACACCAACATGGCACATGTATACATATGTAACTAACCTGCACGTTGTGCACATGTACCCTAAAACTTAAAGTATAATAATAATTAAAAAAATTCTCTGATTAATAGATAGATAGATAGATAAATAGATAGATGGTTACATATATAAAACCTTGAAAATTCTGCAATTCCCTTTTTAATAACCTGTTCCAAAATAACAATAAAACTGAAATATCAAGGTGAATATTTAAACAAATATAA
Organism: Homo sapiens; assembly: GCF_000001405.40. Classification (NCBI taxonomy): domain Eukaryota; kingdom Metazoa; phylum Chordata; class Mammalia; order Primates; family Hominidae; genus Homo; species Homo sapiens. Next base: position 76,008,228 of record NC_000008.11, read on the forward strand.
TTATTGTTGAATCACTTAATAAATAAATAAAGTGGTATCTAAAGGTCCTTCAGTAGAGAGTGATTGAGACAACTGTGTTTTGTTTACATTTTGAAATCTTAAAGATTAATAAAAAAGATTTTGAAGAAATGTATTGATTTGAGAAATGTTTACAATATATTGTTTAGTAAGGAAGCATACTCTAAAACATGACTGTTTAAAACATGAGTAAAAAATCTGAAAATATATACATCAATGTGCAATTTTAATATAATGACTCATTTTCTTGGTGTTGCTTATTGAAATTATTCTTTCTCTATGTCTATTTCTTACGCATTTCAAATCTTACATTAAAAGTAAAATAGATAAAAAATTGTCACTATTCTAATCAAGTAAATTAAGAAAGCAAACAAAGGCCACACAGATTTCTTTGTACTAAAAATTGCTACCAGTGGCTACTGAGCAATCATTTCCCAAAGCAGTGGTATGAAAGCACCCTGCAAATTTACAGGAAATGAGAATGTGTTCCATCATTAACATCATTGAGTTAAGCTAAAAAGTCAGATAAGGCCCTAAGGTCACATGGAGATTTTAATGGAGCATATGTTTGATTCAATAGAAATGTTATAGACAAAACATTTGCATCAATGAACTACGCATGAATTAAAGATAAGTGAATCAAAAGCCTTAATGTACTGATTTGGAGTCACAAAATCTGTATAATTGTTAAATGTTTCATTAATTTACCAAATGGTTCCTACTTCATGTCTATTTCTATTTGCAAATTAGAGATAGTACAATATATAATCAGTCTGTGTATCATACAAAATGCTAAGCTAATACTTAGAGATCTTTTGAAGAAAGTAAAATGTATTTCAATAGAAAGCATATCTAACGAGAGGTTTATTACTGCAGATAATTTTTGAAAAGGTATTAAATTTTGAATGCAACCATTCTTATAATATCAATAGTAGTACACAAAATATAGCATTGTGTAATTACAATGTTTCAACATGTAATTTCATTTGAAATTCACACTAACTGTGAAATAGATAATTAAAATCTCTATATATCTAGTGGCAGAAAATCGAAGCCCAGGGATGTTAAGATGTGAGTTATATTTCTCTGCTGGTCAGAAAAAAAGTGGTCAGTTATTAATGTCTGTCTTTAAAGAGCTAGAGACACATCTTCACAATGAAATAGCCAGACATGTGAAGAAATAATATTATTTCATATGAGCATCAGTTAAGAGAACTAAAGAAATCTAGCTTTCAGGAGAGACACTGCTGCATATAGATGAGAACTGGGTTCAAATGTTACCATGCTGGCTTGGATAACGAAATCTCAGACATATTTTGGTTGTGTTTTGAATCAAAAGAAACCTAGGTTTACAGTTTGGCTCGGCCACTTTGTAACTATGAGAGCTGAGGAGTCTTGGGTTCTTCACCTTTAAAATGAATATATTGATATTTACCTCCATCTTAATGGGTAAAATATGGATTTGTTTCTGAATCTGAGAAAGGATTACAGAAGGTCCCTCATTTAGATGAGAGAACGTTTTGGAAACAATATCAGCCAATTTGTGAAAATCAAACTCACCAGCCATAGTGTGGGGATAATTTTTTTAAAATAATTTCAGTCATTGGGACAATGCCTTCTATGTACTAGATGCTCCAACATTTAGTTAATATTAATATCATTTTGTTGCCTTTGGTGTCCTATGAAGCCACCACATCCCTGATTGTTGAGTTAGATTTTGATGAATTGGTTATTACTTCAATGCCTGTATCTTAGGTTAAGAGTCAAACCGGTCAGATGCAGTGGCTCACCCCTGTAATTCCAGCACTTTGGGAGGCTGAGGTGGACAGATCACCTGAGGTCAGGAGTTTGAGACCAGGCTGACCAACATGGTGAAACCCTATCTCTACTAAAAATACAAAAATTAGTCGGACATGGTGGTGTGCACCTGTAATCTCAGCTACTTGGAAGGCTGAGGCAGGAGAATCGCTTGAACTGGGGAGGCGGAGGTTGCAGTGAGCTAAGATCATGCCATTGCACTCCACTTTATCCTGGGCAATAGAGCACGACTCTGTCTCAAAAAAAAAAAAAAAAAAAGTCTAACAGACGAGTTCTTAGGTGGCTGGTCATCTTCTGGATGCCTGAGTTTGAGAACAAGTACTAAGTGCTCTGGGTAATTTAAAATGTTCACCTTCATTTCCAACTATTCCACACTGTTTTTCTCAATATGTTTTGAGAAACATCTTTTCTTCCTTTTTGAATTGGATAATTCTTATTTTACTCTTCAGATATTAGCATTCTAAATGCTTAAGGCTGAGATAGAATTTGGTCATGGAGCTGCAGTCTTTGGAATTTCTAGTAACCGGTTAAACTCTATAGAGTTTAATGGCAACTCTATTTCCACAAAATTTAATTCTAGGCATCACTAAGACTCCAGTGCTGCATGGGCAAACTCAAAATCTTTGGAAGCACTAGAAGACTATTAACCTAGTGGTAGCACTCACAGCCTCTAGAATGAATCATTTACATGATCCCAAGAACATAAATATTGAGGAAATGTTTGCTATTAATACTTACTAAGCTGGCTACCATAGTACACTGTAAGCACAATGCCCCTTGAAAAATTCTGGGGCAACAGAGTTTGAACATCTGTTTCAGGATTATCTTGGTTGAGGTTTTGTCCTCTCAAATAAATCCTGGAGAGCTTTGAGTACCTGTTGGGAAGTGTCTGACTGGTAGAAGTCCTACTGATGGTAGCTTTCTAAGCATCAGTTTGTTCAGGTTAGGTCAACGTTGCATTGATTTTAGATCTTTGGCATTGTGGAAAGAAGAGGCAGTCCAGTTTAATATTTAAAACATTAAAATGAACAATATTAGGGAAGGAAAGGGAATAAACTGGAAGAAAAGAATGAGAAATATGGCAGACATCGAATGCAGTGAGTATGTTGAAGTTCTCAAATCCTAGGGTGCTTTAGTTGAGAAGGATGGAGTCCAGGAGGTTTGTGGAATAGTTTCCTTGGGTTTGCAGGTAGGAATAAAAGACTCACATAGGTGAGAACTGTTAGTGGTTACATAAGCCAAACTGCACATATGACACATTCCTTCTTGGTTCTATAATTTTGTTTGTCATAGTGTCCAAAAATATAAAAAAAAATTAGAAAACACATGTAACGAGAGATGAAACAGGTGACAAAAATTATTCAAAGTATTTCTGTTTTAAAAGTAGATATAGTCATTCTTAATTTGTATATCAATTCATTGTTTGGAATGCAAAGTATTTTCCCCTAGAAAGACTTTTAAATTATGTTCACATTCTACAACAGACACTAAATATCTGTAACTCAAAATACAACTGTAGAGTCCTGTTGAAATTATCATTTATATCATTATGTAAAAGGCTCTTGATAAGATTTACCAAAATTCTTGATAAAAGAAAAATATACATTTATTAAGCCATGAATCGAAGATAATTTCCTTAAAAGATAAAGGTTATCTATCTGAACTCACTAGCAAAATAAGCATTAAGATGAAATTTGGCATTCTCACTTAATATTGAAACTAGTCGAGGATGCCTGATGTTGATATTCTGGAAGTTTTAGACATTGCAATCAGAATAAGAATAAATTATAAATATAAGAACTTAATAGGCAGAGACACATTTTATTTGTATATAATATCTGGAACATCCTAGAGAATGAACTGAAAAATTTTCAGAAATACTAACTTCTTAACAACAAACATATGAAATCCACTTTCCTATACAATGGAAAGAATCACTTGGAAAATATAATAGATGTATATTACATTCACAATAGCAACACAAATATAAAATTATTGACACTAAATACATCTTGAGAATCTATATAAAAACTATAAAATTTTATTGAGTACCATTAATAGATATAAAACTTTGCTTTATGAATATGAATTATCTCAGTTAATTTATGTAAGTTTATGTAATTTTAATCAAAATTTTAAATGGATTTTTAAGTGGTAGGATGACAATTAAGCAGTAATTCCAAATTATATTTAGAGTAATTAACAATAAAAAATAGCCTTTAAATTTGTATGAATAAATGATGAGATAAGACATTCAATCAGAGACATTGCAGACAATTCAATGCAGAAAGTCAGTTCTTTAAAAATGATGCTGAAACACAAGGACATCCGTATAGAAAAAATGAACTTCAACCTATACCTCACATTGTATGTAAAATTTAACCTAAAATAGATCAAAATGTAAAAATATATAAAATTTGAAGGAAAAAATATAAGAGAACATTTCTGTGACTTTAAGTCAGGGAAATTGTTCTTGGATATGACATCAAGACATAATCTATAAATGAAAAAATAGATAAAATACACTTTATTAAAATCTTGTGCTCTGGAAATAATATTGTTCAGAGAATTAAAAAACAGTATTTTCTCCCAAGATTGGGAGAAAATATTTTCAAATCACGTATCAGGCAATGAACTTGTTCCTCAAATGTTAAAAAAAAAAAAAAAACTCTCAAAACACAAAAATAAGAAAATAACCAAATATGTAAAAATAACTAGAAGATTGGAACAGATTCTTCGCCAAAGAAGATACACGAATGGCAAATGAGCACAGAAAAAGAAACTCAACACCATTAAACATTAGGGAAATGCAAATTAAACATACAAACGACAGCATAAGGAAATTCTTTGAAATGGAATTGTTCTCTTTCTGGCTGTGGTGGTGGCTTCCAGATATGTATGTCTATATCTCACAGAACTACAATAAAAACTCAAATTTATTTTACTTATTTTAAAGTTTTAATGATAATAAATGAATTAAATTCCATCCAAAATATTGTGGCACAGAAATAAACACATTATTTGAAAAAGCTAACCTCTGGAAACAGACCTAAATATCCATCAGAATTAAATATATAACAAAGAGAAATTTTCAAATAAGTGGGAAAATATGGATGAATGGTTGAATGAATGATGTTGAGACAATTGGCTAACAATGTGGGGAAAATATCTCATACCTAACATAAAAATGAATTCCATCTAAGCTCGATTTTTAGGCCAAAAATAATTCTAGGAGAATATTTTATATTATTAAGAAAGATAATTACTTTCTAAGCATGACACCACAGGTGTAACTCATATAATAAAATAAATTTGAATAAACATAAACAGAGAAATGATAAGCAGGGAAAAAATGTATCAGCTTGTAGACAGCATTAGTTTTCATTGCCAGCATAAAATCTGTTACCTTTCTTTTGGGAAACAATACCTCTTTTTCATTCAAAAACTTCCCTACCCAACTGCTAGCCTTAATGTTTTAGGACATGCAGACATAACTACCTCTTTCCCCACAGTTCCAAGGTGGGGCAAATCTAGCAAATTGGGAGTAATTCCCAAAAATGAATCTGGATTATCAGGAAAAAAAAAAAAAAATGAGTTCTTTCTCCTAGAATAAGTAAGCTGGTAGAATGTAAACCTAAGGCTACTGTTACCATAAAACCTCATGAGACCACATAGAGAGAGTATGAATGAGGATGTCTACTAGAGATGGGAAAACAGTGTCTGGGCTATGTCATTTGATGCCTGGATACACGTATATTTGATATCCACTCTGGACTTATCAGTTGTATGGACCAATATATCTGTACTGAGATATCAAAGATAAAGGATGAATATCCATTTTAAAAAGTGTTTACAAACGAATTAGAAAATAACAGGCACCTTAAGAGAAAATGGGCAAAAGATATATTGAAGGGTTATTCAATCAAGTACAAATAGTCAGTCTAGTGAAATAATACAAAATAAATGAAAATTGTATAGTCTGTGATTTTTTTGCATTGCATTGCTTTGGGCCTTCAATATTAACAAACATAAAAAAGAATTTTTAAGTGCAGACATGGAGAGTGTTTAGGAAAACAGCATCCTTATACTATGTTGGAGGATATGTGGGTTAATTTGCCCTTCCTTGAGTATAGTTTCTCAGCGTGTACTAAAATCTAACATGTCCATAGAATTATCCAAAGGAAATAAGTGTTTATGTATGTAAAAATGTATATACAAATGTGATTGTCACAGACAGCATAATAATAAAATATTTGAAGTACTTTTTTTGGGAGTATATTATAAGTTCTAATAGGAAGAAGAAAAATGAATATAACACCTACTTATATGTGTGTTTTAGGAACAACATACCTGGACTATTCAATATTATTTGCCTTCTTCTCTCTCCTAAAAGTCAAATATCATTTGGCCTGCTAAAACTCTCACTAATGGCTTCATTTTTGCATCTTAAGTGTATCAAAAGATAGTAAGTATTTAACCTTTATACAATAAACATCAAAATTCTGCCCTTCGCACATTATTATATTACTACAAAAGACATGTCTATAATTTTTTTAAAAGAATTTGTGCTCTTTGCTGAAGGCATTTGGAGTTAGGCTGATTGTGGTTGACACAACCATGTACAGTCCAGTCAATCCTCATTCACAGCAGTTACATTCTGTAAAGTCACCAGGAACACTGACTTAGTGAATACTGAACCACTGCTCCTAGAGGAAACACAGGGTTAGGTTCCTGCAAGCCTCTGGTCACAACATTTTCATTAAGCAATCATTACATAGCCCTGTTTTATGTGTGTTTCTGAGGAAGAACATCTCATTGATATATATTGCTAATTCATTGACATTGAACTCCTGACCAATAGCACAATAACTCATGCTACAGCAAAACTTATATAACACATATATTTTCTTCATAAGGCACATTACAGGATTGTGTTTAGGAACAATAAACAGCACTTCAGCACTGTGCTTGGGAACATTTTAAACTGTGAAATCACCAAGAAAAAGCACAAAACTGAGAAAAACATGACATTCAATACACAAAGGACACTTGTTTACAGTGTGACAGCTGATACAAGAAGGCCAAGCATGGCATTATTTGACCTTAGCTGGGAATGTGCACACTGGGGAGTTAAAATTTGTTCCTGCTCTGAGCATGTCTAAAAATGACCCCTATAGTATCTATGTATTGATTTGGCCTGACAAATTTTCACAAGTCAGTGAATTCACAAATATGGAATCCATGAATAATGTGGACAACTGTATATTTAATTTAAATGTTTTTGATGACACAGCAGGAATAATAGGTAACTTCTAAGTTTCACCATCTAGGTGAAAACCGTGGTCATGCAAATGGAGCCATGGTATTAACTAACCAAACCCAGACTCTGCAGGGACATGGGTACTTGGATACTTAGATGGTAAGTGGCTACATTTAGAGCAGGCATAAGCAAATTCACATTTTGAATAAACAAATTAATATATCTACAATATAGTTACAACAGGGCAAAAAGACCATCAGGACACACTTAAAGTCACTAGCTTTTATTACAATTTCTATTTCAAAGCAGAAATAATGTTTATCATTGATTTAAAACAAGACCTGGATGTGATTTTCTCTTCTTTGATTTACAAACAGAGCGATGATGGGCAAACAAATAACTTGTGTCTGATTGAGTATCTGTAAAATCTGAAATAATAGTAAATATTGAAAGATATAATGTATAGGAGAGGTAGTTTTAAAGTACTACACAAGTACCAGATACTATCATTATTAATCAGGTAATGAATTTATTTATACAAGTATGCCCATTTTATTGTGCTTCATTTCTTTTATGCTTTGCAATTCCTTCATTTTTTACAAATTGGAGGTTTGTGGCAAACTTACGTCTAGCAAGTCTATTGGCACCATTTTTTCAACAGCATGTGCTCACTTCATTTCTCTCTGTCACATTTTGGTAATTCTTGCAATATTTCAAACTTTTTCATTATTACTGTATCTGTTATAGGGATCTATGATCTTTGATGTTATTATTGTAATTATTTTGGGGCACCACAAACTATTCCCATATAAGAGGGCACACTTAATCAATCCATGCTGTGTGTGTTCTGACTGCTCCACCAACCGGCCATTCCCCCATCTCTCTTTCTCTCTTCAGCCTTCCCTGTTCCTTGAGACAAAATAATATTAAAGTTAGGCCAATTAGTAACCCTATAATGACCTCTAAGTATTCAAGTAAATGGAAGAATTTCACATCTCTTTAAATCAAAAGCTAGAAATGATTAAGCTGAGTGATGAAGGCATGTTAAAAGCCAAAATGGACGAAAATCTAGGCCTCTTGTGCCAAACAGTTAGCTAAGCTGTGAATGCAAAGGAAAAGTTCTTGGAGGAAATTAAAAGTGCCAATTCGGTGAACATACAAATGATAAGAAAGTAAAACAGGCTTACTGCTGATACAGAGAATGTTTTAGTGTTCTGAATGGATCAAACCAGCTACGACATCCTCTTAATCCAAGGCTTAATTCAGAGCAAATGCTCTTAACACTCTTCAATTCTATGAAGGATGAGAGAGGTGAGAAAACTGCAGAAGAAAAGTTGGAAGCTAGTAGAGGTTGGTTCATGAGGTTTGAGGAAAGAAACCATCAACAGAACAGAACAGAACAGAACAGAACATAAAGCAGAAAGTGCTGATATAGCAGCTGCAGCAAGTTATCCAAATGATCTTGCTAAGATAATTTATGAAGGTGACTACACTACACAACAGATTTTCAGTGTGGATGAAACATCCTTTTATTGGAAAAAAATGCCACCTAGGACTTGTGCAGCTAGAAAGGAGAAGTCAATGTCTGACTTCAGTGCTTCAAAGGACAGGCTGACTCTCTTGTTAGGTACTAATGTAGCTGGTGACTTTCAGTTGAAGCCAATGCTCATTTGCCATTTCCCAAATTCTAGGACCCTTAATAATTGCGCTAAATCTACTCTACCTGTGCTCTATAAAGGAATCAACAAAGCCTGGACAACAACACAACTGTATACAGTATGGTTTACTACATATTTTAAGCATACTCTTGAGACCTACTTCTCAGGAAAAAAAAAAGATTCCTTTCAAAATATTACTGCTCCTTAGCAATGAACCTGGTCACCCAGGAGCTCTGATGGAGATATGCATGGAGATTAATGTTCTTTTCTTGCTTGCTAACACAGCATCCAATCTGCAGCCCATGAATTAAGAAGTCATTTTTACTTCCAAGTTTTATTATTTAAGAAATACATTTTGTAAGGCTAAGGCTGTCATAGATACTGATTCCTCTGATGGATCTGGGCAAAGTCAACTGAAAACCCTCTAGAAAAAATTCACTTTTCTTTTTTTTTTTCTTTTCTTTGGGGAGCATGGATGGAGTTTCCCTCTGTCACCTGGGCTGGAGTGCAGAGGCGCGATCTCGGCTCCCTGCAACTTCTGCCTTCTGGGTTCAAGCAATTCTCCTGCCTCAGCCTCCTAAGTAGCTGGGACTACACGTGTGCACTGCCATATCTGCCTAATTTTTTGTATTTTTAGTAGAGATGGGATTTCACTATGTTGGCCAGGCTGGTCTTGAACTCCTGGCTTCAAGTGATCCATCCACCTCAGCCTCCCAAAGTGCTAGGATTATAGATGTGAGCCACCATGCCCGGCCACACTTTTCTAAAAGTCATTAAGAACATTTATGATTCATGAGGGGAGGTCAAAATATCAACATTAACAGGAGTTTGGAAGAAGTTGACTTTAACCTTTATGGATAACTTTGAGAGGTTCAAGACTTCAGTGGAGGGAGTTACTGAAGATGTGGTGAAATCAGGAAGAGAACTCTTAGAATTAGAAGTTAGGCCTAAAGATGCGTGACTGAATTATTTCAATCCTATGTGAAAACTTGAGTGGAAAAACAGTTACTTCTTATGGATGGGCAAAGAAAGTGGTTTCTTGACATGGAATCTACTCCTGGTGAAGACTCTGTGAACATTTTTGAAATGACAGCAAAGAATTTAGAATAGTCCCATAAATTTCATTTATAAGGCGGTGGCAGAGTTTGCGAAGATTGACTCCAATTTTGAAAGTTTTGCTGTGGGTAAAATGCTATCAAATAACATCATATGCTACAGAAAAAACTTTTGTGAAAGGAAAGAGTCAATCAATGTGGCCAAATTTACTGTTCTCTTACTTTAAGAAATTGCCACAGCCACCTCAATCTTCAGCAAGCAGCACCCTCATCAGTCAGCCACCAACATGGAGACAAGATCCTCTGCCAGCAAAAGGATTACTACTCACCGAAAGCTCAGATTGTTAGCATTTTTTTAGCAATAAAGTATTTTTAAATTAAGGTGTGTACATTGCTTTTTTTAGACATAATCCTATTGCACATTTATAGACTACAGTATAAGTAGTATATTATATGCATCTCCTGAGGCACACCTTGGAGACATTGCAGATTTGGTTCCAAACAACCACACAAAAGCAAATATAACAATAAAGCAGGTCACACAAATTTATTGTTTTCTCAGTGCATAAAAACGTTATGTTTACACTATACTGTAGTTCATTAAGTGTGTAATAGGACACACCTATACAAAAAAGTTTACTTATTTTTAATAAAATTAAAATTTTTCTGCAGATTCTATGTTTTTATTTGCTAAATATGGCAAACATAAGTTAGGCACAATAAAAAATTTCTTTTAGTGAGAATACTAGATCTGTAGGGTCATTCACTGTTTTTTGATTCTTCATGTTTTATTCACAAAACTGTGGGGATTAAGAGTCTCTGTCTTCTAGGATTGCTGTAAGAATTAGATGAGATTATGAATATAAAACACTAAGCATAGTGTTTGGCCCAGGGTGTGATTTCAGGAATGACAACTAATTATTAGTGCACTAAATACTAAATTTATTGAAATTTAAAATAAATACTTGGAGTAAAGGAATAATAGATCAATGTAAACTAATGGTTTCCTGAAAATGTGTGAAATGATTGGATTTTGAAGATGGCTGGTTTAGGAAATGAGAAAAGCAAAGAAAACTTTTTTATTTGATCCAGCTGTGGTGTAAGGAGCCACGGCAAATTTACAGACTAATCACTGGATCTGGACGAGCCGAAGAGGAGACATTTTGACAGGTTGCTGGGATAAAACCATAAAATAAGTTTGCAAGGGGAGTGAAAAGGCAGATAATAAAGCACAGTGAAAGGCAGGCAGAAGAATTTGGATTTAATGTGGTATGTAAGAGGAAGCCCTTTTCAATTTTTGACCAAGGAAGTGAAATGGTCAAATTGGCCCCTTATAAAAATTAATCTGTCAAAAGTATGCAAGATGGATTGGAAGGGAGAAAAATTTATCAGAGAGAGCAGTTATGATATTACAGTGATCTAGCTATGAAGCAATAAGGATCTAGATTAGTTGGTGACATTAGGCGGGTGGAGGAGCATGCAAATCAGGAAGATGTGTGCGAGGGAGAAATGCCAGAAACTGAGGAGGTGAAGCAAAGTCAAAGTGGTGTCAAGAATTCTTAAATATACAAATAGAAACATAAGAATGATGGGGAAAGTTAAGAAAATTGATAATACTGGAAAATAGGACTCATTGTAGGCAATCTCCAGAACAGAAACAGAGATAACTTTTCTTGGAATTACATGATTTTTCTTCAAGGTTCAACCAATATTAGATGGTTAGCTCTTTCATTTTGTGTAACACTTATTTTCAATTCAAATAATTCCCAGCAGGAGACTCTCACCTGATAGGGCTAGAAAATCAGGTACTGATTAAGAAAACAACCTGAATAGATCCTTGTAAGCCATTCCCTATGTTTACAGAATTATAGTTTAATGAAACATACTCAAATATAAGTAGACATAAGTATATTCAGCAATTTTTTTGGTATGTTGAAAGACCCTTCCTGGATTTATAAAGCATTATTGTGTGCATTAATTATAAATATTCTATATCCATATAAAAACATCAGATAATAGCATTCTAGAATATAATATTTCAAATACACTACCTTTTTAAGCCTTTTATTTTGTGTTTTACACTTGATCTTCATTTTTTACACATTACCAAGTATTCCATATTAAATTACATAATTATATATGAAAAGAATTTTTATATTTTTCATGCTCAAATGTGGTCATTATTTATAATTTCCATGTCAGTTTCCTTTAACAATTTTAATTTACTTCACACTTTTGTTAATAAGAAAAATAATTTTGGGGCATCTATCATCTAAAGCAATGAATTTGAGAAAAGAAAGTTAGGGAGAGTGATACCAGGGGAAGTAAGAAAAAATAATCAGGAGAGTGGCTAAAGAGCAGAGAAAAAAAATCCCAAACCAACAACTATTATTTTCAAGGGTGTATCTGTTTTGAGTTAATGATTACCTTTCTTACTATGTAGCATATTTTTCTAGCAGATTTTTGTTATATATGACATATTTTTTTGTGTTGCTACATGTACTTTATTAATCTAATCTTGAAGAAATTGATTTTTAAAGGTAGTAAAAATATTAATGTCCACATTTTCAGATCAGGCAAAGCAATGAATGTTAATAAAAATTGTCTACATTCTTATAACTAGTAGGCAGCCTAAATAAATCTAGATCTTCCAACTTTTCCCACTATAATAATCTTTGGCAGAAAAAAATAATCAATAAATGTTGGTCAACTCTTGGAAAAGAAGCAGCAGAAGTGTTACTGCTATTTCCTTTGGCTCTATTAAAAAGCTGTTCACAGATGCAACATTCCAGCTCCCAAAAGTCCCTAGAATGGTTTATTGCTGTTCCCCACCCCAACCCCATTGGGAATTACATTATTCCTCTTCCCCAAGGAGTCTCATTCTGACATCTAAGAAATAACCACAGCTGGGCTGCTTTTCAGCCTCTCACAGACATTTTCTATGTTTCGACTAGATGTTAAAGAAAAAATTGAAAGCAAAGAAAATAATTTATTCAGTATACATAAATCATACTTGTTTAAAGAAGAAAATTGTAAATATACCACACTGAATATGTCAAAAATCAAGATTAACAGAACTACTTTGAAAATGTAAATTTATTTAACAATCAGTTGCTTTATATGTTTCATCTAAGCTTATTAATAAGTTGCCTCATATTATTTATTCTTCAGAGATTATAGACACCAGCTGATGAAAGCTTCATCCTATGTTCTGTTGTAGGGTATGCTTTCTTTCCTCCTTGCCTTTCCCCTTCTCCTCGTCCCCCTCTTCTTCCTCTTCCTCCTGCCTCTTCTTCTTCTCTTGTTTTTCCTCATCCTCCTGTCCCAATCAACATTTTGTGACAATGATATAATCAGTGAATTGGTATATTTTAGCTATGCTGGCTAATTACTGATTATTTTCTAGTTTATAAATATATTAATATGTTTGATAAGCTTGGGCACTAAGATTTCTACTACCAGGAATGTAATCATCTTGTTTCAGTTTCTTAACATGAATGAAAGAAAAACTTTGGATTTGTTTCATGCCCTACTTTTTACGCAATGCCAACTCACTAAAATTTGAAGGTTGAGGGTTTGGAGAGAGGAAGAAAAATATATTGTTTTGAGTGGAGTATTCTGTTTTTGCATTAATGATGATCTCTGTTGCTTGTGAAGCATATTTTTCTCTGGCAGATCTTTTGATTCTCTCTCTGACAGACTGCTGTATAACATGTTTAATGAACATGACATAGTATGTAGTAAGTATTCCTGACAGTTCTGAATAAATATTAATCACACTAAAAAAGACAATGACCTACTCTATTCCCTTCATCATTAGAGGACCCAGTATACTTAATTCATTGCCCTGTGATTACAATGAACATCCAGGATCCTTTGGAAGAAATGTATGACTTATATTTTCATTTACTCCCTCTAAAATAAATTTCTTTTATACCTTCAAGTGATCAACACTATTTAAGAATATGCTTATATAAAGTCAAATAACCAAATAAGTAAGAAAGCCAGACAGTCAAACATATGTTTTAGACGCCTCTTCTGTGATGTAGATCGTACATCTGGATGAATGGTTCTCTATTTAGACTTTTATTTGGAATACTTAAAATGATCAGGAATTCTCTTCAAAGTCTTTCAAAATACAACATAAACACAGGCAAAAATGTAAGATTTAGTCCAAGAATCTTTTGGTAACCTTGACCTACTTACCACTCACTAAATTTAAAGAAAAAATTGAGATAAATTGTATTGCGTATTATTTCAAACAAACAAAAACAAAAAAAGTTAAAGAATTTAGATTAATCAATATTTTTATGAGATATAATCTTGATGAAATTAACATAAAGGACCCAAGAAAATAGAAATAAAGCTATAAAGCCAACTATTAGTAACAATTTTGGAAATGCTGACTTTTTATTCCACTTGAAATTATAGTTTGCCTGTAGATTCAGGGTGAACATATCACTTCCTTTTCAGTTAAAATAATAATTTTGACAAAGAGAAAAGCTAAATAGTCTTTTAAGACACGAATACTATACTTTAAAACACTATAAAAGAGATATAGTTCAAATTAAAACTAAATAACATTTTATTAATTTAATTTTGAAACATGGGCATAAGTAATTCACCTACCCATGATACAAAAGTTCTTGACCTTCACCTCCAACTTAACAATGGATATACAACTTTGTTGAAACTTTGAATGAATTAAATCTGTTAAAATTAACCCCCCTCCAAAAAAAAAATGTTCTCAATAGAAATTCTGCCACAACAGTATTGAATTTCTCTAGGGTCAGCATTAGAGCTGGCTACCATTCAGAGAATATTTAGCTCCAGCTAATTGGAAGACTCAGATCTATTAAAGTCCAGGTCAATCTTCAGAAGCAGAGAAAAATGAATATAGAATAGTAATAACAATAGCTAATATTTATTTAAAGTTTTCAGGTTGCCAAGAATTACATTGTATAATTTTTCATTTATTACTTCAAGAAATCCTCACAACTCAAAGAAGAAAATAGCGTTAGTTTTCATATCTTATATATGGAAAACTGGGACACAAAGAAGTTATGTAACCTGTCCAATGAGAGCCAAATTTCAGCCCCAAACAATTTGATCTCAGAACTTACAATTTTTATCACTACGCTACTCCGTATCTGGGTAATGACTTAGGGTAAGTGTAAAGCTTAAGATTGCAAAATTGTTGTATATCAGCAAATACAATAAGTATTTGGCAGAATTCACTCATTCATTCATTCATTCATTTATGTTTTCTTTCCTCACATTAGTTGAGTTTATTGGATTCCTATAAGCCAGTTCCCACATAAAATTAATTTCATATTGAAAAGCTAAGCACAACCCCATTTCAAGGAGCCAACGGACTTAACAATGGGAACAGGTTTTTTTCCCCTCATTAGGCTTTGTTTCTTAACCTGACAATTAAGGATTCATTAGTTCATTCTATTAAAAGCTTCAAATATACTTTGGACTTACAATATATCAGATACTTAAGTGAAAAATATGGGCCCTGCCTCAAGGAAAGTACAGTGTGGTTGAAAAGACAGATATTTAACCAAGCATTTGAAACAACGTATTACTAAGGGCTACTCCCATGGGAAGCCATGGGAGCAAATGTGAGTGTTGGGTAAGGCATGGATGTGGGGCCTGGCCCTGGAAATGTGGCTTCTGGGTTGCTTAATTCTAGGCGTCTTGGTTTGCATCAGAGGCTCTTAGAGAGCATCACCTGCCTGCAGCCATATGCGATGATCTGAGTTGTTCTTGAAAGTTTTGAATGAAAAACTGCGAGTAGAGGAAAATGCTTTGTAAATGGTGACATACTATACAAATATAAAATACTATATTGTTGTTGTCATGATTGTTATTAAATTACTATTAATAAATGATGTAAACAGATCCATTGTTTGCTTGGAAGATGGAGCAGCATCTTTCTAGCCCTGAATAGGAATGGAAGTTAGCAAAACAGACACTGTAGATTAGTAACATTTTGTCAACTTTTAAAATTGCACAACAAAACGACCCTAATTCACCAATCATAATTACTATATGTACTTATTTGTGGTTGGTTTGTTATCTTAATTTTCCTATTTTGAGGAATCTTTGGTTAAGCTGGCAAGGCATTGATTGTTCCTATTCTGATTTCAAAATATATTTTTGTATCTGCACAAGGATATTATACAACTTGTGTGTTTTATCCCATATGTAGAAATGTCATAGAATTTTGAGAGTTGTGTTCCAAATGTCATACATTTTAGAAAATATACCTCTGATATATTTTAATGCTTTTGCTCTTAGAGTCTATACAATTAGTATTTGCTGCTCTTCTTTATCTATATATTTTTCTTCATTGGAGTTTTAAAATAACATTTTTTTAACCTATAAAAAAGAGTGTTACTTGAAAACACTCTCCAAATGTTTCAATATGTTACTTCATGCAGAAATAAGGATAAGGAAAATTCTGATAAAATTGTTTTCATCTGTGGACATTTTCCAAATTCCACTTTTGGTAAGTATTAATATCAACAGCAGGAAAAACTGGTAATACTTAGTAGGGGTAATTTTTCAAAGTACTAGTTGGAGTTTGAAGCCACACTATTCCTATTGACCTTAATAGAAATCATATTTCTAAAATATAAGCAAATGATTTGAGTCTGTAAAATGTGCAGATTAGTCTGTAAAATGAGACTTAATATTGATATTTAATTAACGATAGATTAACTCCAAACTTTGTTCTAAACATGCCACTTAAGTGCAATGATCAGAAAATGAACAAAAAACTGCATCTAAAATTAAAGAATCAATTCATTTTGACATAAACATTTCCTCTACTTTGGGAATCTTTGCCTTTCTAATTATTCTTAAGTCCATGAAATCACTAGATGGTTTATGCCAGCATCATTAATAGGTAGAATGATGCCTGGAACATAAATGGCTCACAATATAATTTTGAATTAATTAAATAATTGAATAATCATGCTTTCCCTTCTCTTTTTCTCTTCAACTAAAAATTCTATCATGTCAGTATACATGAAAACAAATAATGAATGAAACAGAAAAGTTTGACTAAATAGTGATGTCTCCACCTCCTAGAGTAAGATTTCCCCACTGATTTGTGTGCTGTTTCTGTAATGGAAAGGGCAGCTCTTCCAGACTTCTTTAACTTTGTGCATTTGGGGTTATTTTTTCAACTCTCTCACCTCTCATCTCCCAAAATGGTTTCTATCACTCTGCCTTGTTTCAGAATTCACATGTACTTTCAATGGCTTTGTTCCAAAAGCTCGGAAAGTAAGTTTTAATTTGTCAGTTTAACCATTAACACAAGATATTGGTATTTATATTGGTAATTCTAAAAACAATTTTCTCTGCTTGACCTACATCAAACGTACAGAGAAAAATAATCTCTGCTTGACAATGCAGTCACTAATAAAGCAGGTAGAAGAGAAGGGAACCTACCATTTTTGAGTACCTACTATGTGCTACATACGATCTTGACAATTATTTATAGATATAGGTATTATCTGAATTTTAAAGATGTGGAAATGGAGACTTTTAGAAGTGAAGAAAGTGTCTGATGCCCTTCTATCTTTTAGGAATATAGTAACTTGTGTAAGCTTTCAAAAGTGAGATCTTTAAAGTCTAAGTTCTTTCTTCCTATATCATAGTAGTTAATAATATGCACATGAATATTTGTTTCTAAAACATAATGCAAAGAAAAAATTAAAAATTAAAAAAACTTATCTTTAAAAAGAAAAAAGCCTAAGACTTTAAGAAAAAAACATATGTATCTATAAGCACATATACTATATATGTGTAAATATATACACCATATATACACACATATACATGCTGTGTACACATGTATATGTGTGTGTAACTTATATTTACATATAATTTACAATGTAATAACTTTGTGTGATTTTAACAACTCTATATTACTCATCCAAAAAATTACATTTTGGTTTTATCAAAGTTTCTTCCTCTTCATATTTAAGCATATACAATGGTATTTAGTAACTCATAGGCTTCTTTTTTAAAAAAACTTCTAAAAGCTATTGATTTGTCTTTAAAATTTTAAATAAATGTTCCTATTTTTAAATTTTTTACTGATACATAGTATTTGCACATTTGGGGTACATATGACATTTTGTTACATGCATAGAATGTGTAGTGATCAAATCAGGGTATTTAGAATATCTGTCACATCAAACATTGACAATTTGTATATGTTGGGAATCTTTCCAAAACTCATTTCTAGCTACTTTCAAATGACTGCTATGTTGTTGTTATCTATAGTCATCCTATTCTGCTACTAAACATTAGAACTTCTTTCATCTAACTATCTGAGTAATCCATAGACCTCTAATCAATCCTGTCTTCCCTTCATATTCTTGTTTGAGTGGGCATTAGAATCAAAGTTTTATTATTATATGATTGCATCATCCAATAGGTAATAGATGAAAAAAAATCCGTTACATGATTTGATAGTGGTGATGGGAAGTTTCATGGGTTTGCAGAGACAGCACAGATTCTAAAGTCACACAGGACCAGTGCCAACTTACTGGGCTTATCACCATTAGCAAGGCCTCACTAAACCCGAATTTCCTCAGTTGTGAAATGGGCAAATTTATGTGCGGTTTAGAAATAACAAACTGCCTTGCAGAATGCCTCAATAAACACTTGGTAATGAACAAATAAATCCACTGACCATTTTTAGTTGAACTCCATGGTAGGCACTTGTCTAGCATCTTCATAGAGTATCAGAGATTCCTATTTTCCTCATTATTTGTGTGAGATAAGCTATATTATCTCAGACAAAACTAGAATAATCTGAACTAAAATATACTAGGACAAAATATTCAAATGACAACTTGCTCTGTTAACCACAATTGCCGTATTCCCCCTACAACTCAGTTTGGCTAAATTCCTAAAGAGCAGAGATCCACAATATCTTGACAAAAATTAATAGTTAAGAGAAATTGGGATGAGCAGAAACTGAATAAAGCAATTATCTGGAGACATTTCTCATTTGAAAGCTCATGTTAAATGGCTTCAAATAAAAGATATGTATTTATATGGTTACATGCATTGGCTATTATTGTTTTAATGACATTCTTCTTATTAGCTGTGTATTTAGTAGCTTTTTTGTGTCTATAACTCTTTTTTGAAACTTTCTGGACCTCATATGTTTCTTCAATAAAATACAGACACAAATACCATATATGCTTCAAGCCTTGGACTAGAACTGGAAATCTGAGATATTTCAGCTGCAATATCCACGAGTAAGTAAATTTGCAAACAATAAATGTGAGTCTCTAAGCCTCTGCTCGAATAAAACGTAATGAATTATTTTATTTTCTTTTAGACTATTATTCACATTGTAACTTTTCAGTTTTTGCTAAGGATGAGTTGATATTTCTGAGATGCTGGTGCTCGGTGCTACTCAGGTGCTGTCATCATATCTTCAGTTGTACTGCTTCTCATGTCCCTTTTCACTGGCTGTGTCTTGGACAGACAGATCAGGGTTTTATAATGCACTCCTTAGAGAATGTTCCTCCCAAGTTTATTAGGAAGAAATGTTTTTTAGCTTGCTAGTTCTTATCTTTTTGCTTATTTTGTAGAGAATTATTTTTTATACACTGACGAAACACCTTTTCTTTAAGCAACCTTCTGCTCTCACAAATTCTTTATTCTATATTGGGGAAATTAAAATAGCTGCACACGTAATATCTTTCTCCATACTGATTGGAAACTGCGCTCAGTGTCTCCTGATTTCTATTTCTAGTTTGTGATCAGATAAGAATCTGTCTGTGTTACGCCCATTTCACTCTGGTAGGGTAATCTGATCTTCTGAAGCTTTTGTGTTAAAATGACAAAACGTGGCTCACTGTAAATTTTCTTATTTATCGTTTTTTTCTTTTTTTGTTTACATAAATTCATCATTCTTAAAGAAGATATTATATATGATGTTTTGGTGCTTACAAAGCTTTCTTGTGGCTATATGCATGATGAAATAAAAATAAGGTTTCATTTGCATTAAGGCTTACAAGTTATTGTTATCATGGCTCAAATTGTGATTTAACGAAGGGCCTAGACCTCATGTTTAATGCTATTCTCATTAGCTAGAAGAATAAAATGTTTCCTCTCCATAAAATATTTAGTGTAGGAAATATGTAAAAAAGAAATATGTTTGCAGATACAATTAGAATGAAGGGTAAAATGTGTCAGATTTGGAGCAAAAGTGAAGGTGGGAATAGCAGTGTCATTTTAGGGCCTAATGTTGAAAGCCACTCTGTCTTGTATAATTCAATTCAGGAGACAATGACCTACATATTCAAGGAGGCTCTGGAATGTATGGTGAGAAATATATGCCCAGAAGAAAGAGAATGATAATTCTGATATGAGTTAATTATGAGAGATATCTTTCTAAGTGATGAGAGAAAAGAATCCTTTAGTATGAACACATCACTAAGTTTGCAAATATAATACGTATTTAATAACTGTCCTGTCTTTTTTGCCTGCTGAAGATACGTTTACTTGCTTTGTGTTATGTTTTCTTAATATATATTAAGAACAAAATTTATTTGTTAAAAACATTCATTTTAATTATTCTTATTTGACAAAAATTTTAAGCTCTGACTTTAAGTTTTATCTGTCTCACAGCAAAATGAAGTTAACTTACAGAAATTATTTCGAAAACAACAGAAATTTAGTTTCCATTTAAAAATGTTTTCTCAAAACTTTTAAAGAGAACATACATTCTGTTCATTTAAAACATTCATAAGTTGTCAATGGTATTTCCTTTTTACTTAAAATCTCAGATATTTTATAGGCTGAGAAGCAATTTCTAGGTGAGGAGTAATCATTGGCCTAATAAAGGTAGATTGCTGTAAGCCTCTCTTCTCCCATTTCCCTTCTTTGTGAACTTTATGCATCCACACTCTACATGCTCTTCCTACCCCCTACCATAAAATTGTCCAGCCATTTCTCACCCTCATTTGTATGATTTTCCTTAATGGCCAAATGTGTCGTGCTATTCCACATGGTCCCTTCATTCAGCTGAATCTGCTTGAAATTTTGCTCTTGATTTCCTTTGTCATTTTATACCATCTTTCTCCTCCTTTTGTTTCCTGAATTCCTAAAATATTTTTTAGTATCTAACAAATTAACTAAACAAATAGCTCACATTTTTAATGCCAAAACAACACGCTTTCTTTCCTGTATCTGAGTCAATGTGAATTTTACTAGGATTTTTTTTTTAATGAAACAAAATTACAAACTAAATCCAAGACTTCAAAGAATATTAAAACGTACCGACCAAACACCCACACCCACACACACACCCCACACATACCATCTTGTTCTATAAGTACTTTGCATCACAGAATTTTTAAAAAATTGGTTTCTAGTGTGATAACTAAAAATTTTGAACTTCCTGATCTTCGAATTTCTTAGTGCAAGCCAAATGCTTCAGGCTAAACCCATAACCATAAAACTGTATTTAGTGGAAATACAGGCTTCTTTGAAATGTGTGGTATTTTTAAACCTGGAACACTAGTTAACTTGTTATATGATAATTAGGATAAATGTGTATGTCGTTTTACTTTATGATGCTTACTTAACACCATTTTGATTATTAGCAAGAGAAATATTCAGTGTTATGCTGTCGCTACCTCAAGCATTGATTAAACTCTCTGCTATTCATGAAGGCTGACAGGGATTCAAAGGAGGAAATGTAAAACTTGAAGGTACAGCAAAATAGTGACATTTCACTCTATAAAGCTGCCAATATTTTAATCCTGCATGTAAATCATTTTTATCAGTTCAATTCTATATCTTAATCTGTATACCAAGTAAAATACTCAGTTGTATTAACTTTAATAAATAACAGTGTGATATTAATCACTATCTATTTCAAGGTCCTTGTGAGTAAGTGAGCTTTTGTTGTTGTTATTGCTGTTGCTGTTTTTCATACTGCTCCCCAATGTCCTTACCATCCTGTGAATAGATTGTTAAGGTATATTTTTCATTTTCCTGCAGTGAACAACCTACTTTTCATTATTTTGTTATTTAGAATCTTTACTTTCTCAGCTTAAATGATGTCTTTGTCAATGATAACACTGTATTCATTTAGAGTGATGATTGATATGGTAATAGATACAGTGTGATTGAAAGCAACCTTTGTCAATAAGAAGGGCAAATACTCAAACTGTGTATTGGTCTGAATTTGCTCATTATTGGAGACCTTTCATAGTCATATTGACTTGCTGTCCAAGTGTTGTTACTTACCTGATGCTTCCATTGTTTAAATGGTATAGACATTGGTATTGAACATAACATCTTCCAATATTTGTCTTAAAACACACATGGCTCAATTATGCAATGTTGTAGTATGTTATAAAAGTGTATATAACAGAGATTTTGAGTTTAAATAAGAGATTTTAAAGTATATGAAAAAAATCAGAAAAACTTACAAGTACTATGTCGTTGTACTCTTAGTTCACTATATTCTTAATTTTAAAACACTGCTTTTGTCTGCTTTTATTAGCAAAAATATGTGTAAAAATATTTGAATAGCAAATATTTCATTATTACTTGAGTATTTGATATTGTTATATTTGTCTTGGAACAGTTGTTACAAAATAGTTTGCTACAAATTCCATGACATTTTAACCTATACAGACAGAAACACATTCAAAACTACAAAATTGTCCCTGAAGAGATTCAGTGCAAGGATCACCATTATGAAAGACTATTTGATCCACTCAGGAAGACTTGTTTTCCCTTTCCTCTGGGTGCCCCACACAGCTGTCAGAATGGGGATCATCTTCTTTCCCTGTAGGTCTATGTGCAGGCTGAGAACATATTTTCTTGTCCACGTTTTATGTCCTAGTACTTCCAAATGTGCCTGGCACTTAGTAGATGACATAAACATATTTGTTGATTCTAAGAATATGAGGGATTCAGGGATCCAAAACTAAAGATGAATGGATTACTATTGCTCCCATACAGCACTTAATACAGAAAAAGACCTTTCTAAATTATCTAAGAACAAGTGCAACCCAAATATGATGCACATACATGCTCCCTGATTGTCATGCTATAGAAACAGATAGTAACATAAAAATGTATTTTTCTATCTACCCACAGATAAAATCATCCATGCTGTCAAATACTAGGATTCCTTTTATTTCTCAAAAAAAGTCAATCTAGTTTATGGCCAAATATTCTCTTCCTATTGCATTGCACACGTTCTACTTCTATGTTTGTCAATAGACTCATCATTTAGTTTTCCAGGGAATGATTTCTAAATTGTCCAAGAACATCGTTTTTTCTTCTTTTTGTCTGAGTTGTTTGAGTGTCATGGTCATTTAAATAATCTTTGTCCATGGCCTCCCATGTCTATCAATACTTCATTTGCAATGCCTTTTTTATCCAGTCCTTGTTTTCCACATTTATTGCTGTCTCTCTAATACAGGCCCTGATAACTAGTGTAGTTGTCTTACTAACTAGACATTGGGCCCCTGTATCTCCCCTCATCTTCTACTCCCATTTCACCCTGCAGCCTGCTTGCGATCATGTTACTCAAAGCCTTCCATTTGCTTACAAGGTGAAATTCAAACTCACTATACTAGCATTCATGTAATCCCTTGTTTTGATCCCAACCTGTAATTTTAACTTTATCTCCCCTGTCTACTCTACATGAACCCAATCTACACACTATATCCAGCACACGTTGCTCTTTTCTATCCCTAAGCTTATGCTCAGTTATATGCCCTTGTCTAACTGCATTTCCCCATTTCCACAATGCTAAGCCCTGCCTATCTTTCAGATACTAATTCTTTCACAAACCTCTCCTAACTCCCCAAAATAAAAACAATTATTCAGGTTTGCTTTCATGTGAGGGGTAGCATAATAAACCTCCTTATTGCCTTTCCTGATTTTGACCCGAAATAGAAATGTCACGTTATTCCTTAGGTACTGTGTATCGTCCAGCAGTCTGGCAGGCTTCACGGGTGTGTGAAGTGTACAGTCACATGGGGCTACACTCTTGGAAGGGCTCCAGGTTTGGATTCATGCTCTGTTGTCTCTATCTTCAAATTATTAAATTTTGAACAAGTGTTCTTAAAATTTCCTTTTGCACTGGGCCTAACAAATTATATAGCTAGTCCTGTCTAGCAGTGTATTTTGCACAAAGTACTTACTCAATAAATATCTGTTAAACAAAGTGTTGGCTAATTTCTGAGCTCATTTCCCTCCTCCAGTGAAACAAAACCAGGTAAAAACCTGAGATATAACTCAGTTGACGCCTTTCTTTTTTATAATCATGCAATGGAACTTGATAAAGCAATAATTAAGTAAAATATTCTGGATACATTAGTATTTATCCCAGTATGATGTCATGAATTTTAAAAAAGTTGGCAACACTTCATTAAGGTTGAATTAGGTTTTGTATGCTTAGTTACAAAATAATTATCATCCTAACATTTAGTAAAATGATGGCTTGGGATTTATATATTGCACCCTGAAATGAGTAAATATACCTTATATATTTTACCTCAACCTAGTATGTTTGCAATGATTGAATTAGTTAGAAAAAATTATCAATATATTTATCAGATAGTATGATTCACTATCCAATCAATTCAGTTGTATTAGCTAATTCATAAGACATTTCTTGAGGCTGGCAAAATGGTTGGAAGCATATTTGTATAATTATTATTTAGAAAACAGCAATAGAGTGGGGTTGTATAGAATTTTATAATGAGAGAGAAGGTTAATACAACCTTTAGATCCTGTCCTATGTGGCGTATCATGTGCAGGATTTTAAACATTTCTTCTCTGAGAGATATCGAGGAATGTTGATCTAGAAATATTTCCAGACTATTTAGTCTTTTTTATTCTCTACAGATTTTGCCTTGAGTTCATACTCAAGGCTAAATTCTCCTTGTCCAAGATTTACAATAGAAAGAATCCTTCAAGGACACTCTGTACTCTTTCTGTGTGTACTGAATGCCTCAACTCTGAATAATATGGCTAGGGTCGCATGCACAGATGAGAAATTTAAACACCAGTGTGCATGTAGCTATATCTTTCTCTTCTTGTTTTAGGAGTTATATATTTATATTTTATAATCCAATTTTCTTTATTCTATGTCTTACTATGGAAGTGGCTATAAAAAATATAATAAGTAAAAGTGACTTTTATTTAGCTGCCATGCTAGTTAATTCCCTAGCCTCAGAACACATGACTTAGAGAAATATTGTATGTTTTAAGTTATGGACAGTTTTTTGTTTACTAAATATTATGTAAATATGTATGACTCAAAAACATTAGTAGGTACATGGTGAATCTTAAATTCTTTAAGATTTAAAACTTCTGTATGTCTGAAAGCTTCAAATTAACTGATATTAAAATTCCATTCTATTAATAATATCTGGAATTTCCAAGTATGCAATGAAACAATGAATTTCATTAAACAGCAATATTTCCAATCAATACCAGTAGAAAAATGTTTTATTTTTATATTTAAGATGTGTTTAGAAAAAATATTTCTGAGACTATTAACCAATTATTTTTAGCTCCCTCCTCATAGTGAAGCATGGAAACTTATTTGGAAAAGGCCCATAATTTTTAGATGAATGATAAATAACAATGGTTTTAAATTCTTGAAACAAATATCATAAATAACTTTAGTATTTCAGTGTTTCAGTGTTATTTATACAAGTTGTTCTACTTGGCCTGAAAATGCATCATGAATAAATGTGAGAAGGAGACCCATATAGAAGTAAATAGTACACTGTGTGGCAAGTACTAAACAAAATATGAACCCTAAACCAGAGTACAGACTCTCTGATAATTTTCAATACATTGAATATATAAGACATTCATAAACATTTTCTGCAAGTCTAGTGAGTGAGAATGATTATGCTCTAATCATAGAAAGATTATGCTCTAATCATTTCCATAGAAAATTTGGTGAATTTAAACTTAATAGCATTTTAAACAGAATATATATTTGAAAAATGCCAAGTTGAAAGTAGATTATATTTTAAAACATATGAATATTCAAGAGCTGTGGGTGGAGAAAAAAGGAGGAAATGATTAAGAAGGTACTTAGAGGCAAATAACATAAAATAACATAACCTTGCTTTCATTTTGTATCTATACCCTAAGCCAAAGATGTGACAGGATGTGATTTGCTTTTATATTTAAGATCTCTGAATTAAGTATTTGCATTTTTAATAATTTATGGATAGAAGAGACATTGAATTTTCTAGCTGAAAAGGGTAGGGTTATTTGGAGAAGGGTAGGGGGAGAATATGACCTCTAAGAAAACCATCATGTTCAAGATCACTAGCCAAAAATATTTACTGATTTAAAAAAAAAATTCTCTAAGGGTTAATCAGTTTATGTTACATTTTCAGCAAGCATTTTACAATAAATATCACACTGGAAACTGTCTAAGTAATCCAGCTCCACCTGTATGCTAATAATGTTTGCTAATATCTCTCTTCTTGATGGCACATGACTTGAGTAATTCTCTGACCGTATCTCATCTATTTAGTGCTGCCCGATGTATAATGGCATGTAGATATAAATACTAATGGAGAAAGTGCACTGCCTTAGGGAACACCCATCATGACAGGTAACTAATTGCTTTATGTACATTAGTACCAAGTGAAGCGTTTCACATCTTCTGAAAGGCACCAGCAACCTCTACTTTCTAATTTACCAAAATGTCATATCCCCTCCCAAAAGACAGGATTACAAGACTTTTTTGAAGCATCTCACTAACTCCTCTCAATTCACTATTCCCTGCAAGCTGGGTTGAGAATTATTCCAAGTCAGAGATTGTCTAATAATTCACACCAAATCACTCATGGTTGGGTAATTTTATTTCCCTTAACGCCTAAGTTTTTGTTACACACACACACATATACACACACACACATATGTGTGTATGTGTGCATTCCAACTGTAGACTCTTTATTTCTGATGAACAAGGACCACTTGGATATAATTTATATGGAATCAAAAGTGTTAAAATATTACTCACTTATTGTATAAGAAATTGCTAGTCATGCAATTTGTTTCCTTTGAAAACAAAACTGAAAAATACATTTTGGAAAAAATAAGCCTCAAGCATTAATGACATTTCTAACATGGCATGGAGTGTTGTACTTTGATGTATGTGTTTTTAATCTGTGTACCTGGTGATGATAGACCATTATTACAGAGTTAACATACATGATGTGAAATGCAGAATTGCTTAGTTTGATGAATTGAAGTTTCCTGTCATGAAACCCAAAGATTTCAATGGAACAGTTTGCTGCTGCAATCACCAAAGGGGTTCTAATGATAATTATCTAAAATTAAGAAATGCAATTTCAAACAGAGAGAGGCAAGTTAGAGCAAATCTTTCCAATCTTTCTTTCTACTGTTTTTCCTATACCCTTATCATATATCTTTACCACTTTCATATTTGAAAGTAGTCCTGCCTATAAACATAAACTGTATTTGAGTGACACAATTAGCTATTTATTCTAACATCTCAGCACTGCATTTTCTTATTTTGTGGTATTTCTTTTTCATGATGAAAAAATCAGAAACTCTCCTTCTTGCACACAGCACAAACGTTTTCTTTCCATAATGAAGAAAAGTGCCACTTTGTGCATCAGAGAAGAAAAAAGCAGGGATGTAAAGGAAAATATAAAGAAGCAATTATGTGTATTACTGAAGAACCCTTATTTTATATTGAAAGATGTATATATTACATTAAATGATAGGCATTGCCCATCTGGTTTTGGGTGCCTGTGGGAAGATTGGAGGGAATTTATGACACAGATGAAAGGAGCAATATTGAAATAGGGAGGAGCAATTGCACAGTGGGCCAATCTGACAGAGGCTGCTGCAGTAGATCTGGGATAGCCAAACATGGGTTTCAATCTCAGTTCCCCACTATGACCATGGATGAGTTTAATTTTCCCACAACTCAATTACATTATTTATACCATTGTATTCATACCATTGGTCATTAAAAGATGTTTCTTATGGGGCTACAATGAGAATTATATGAAATAATGTAGCTAGTAATTATATGAAAGCTACTAGGCATAGTGCAAGTAAAGGTTTAAAAAATAGCTAATTTTCTTTTTGTAGTAATCATTGATTATAGTAAAAACAGGCTTTCTTTACACATTCTAGTTTTCATATCTGATTTGTTTAACTGACTATCAGGTTAATCACTACAAAAGCCAGCATTATCTATGTCAGGAAGCAGCCCTTATTTATACCAAAAATGATTTTTTGAATTCAAGATACTAAAAAAAAGTAAAGGATTATTTGAGCTGAATTAAATCCTCAATATAAAAGTAAATACATTATATATTAAGAACTAACATAGGCATTAATATAGATAAAGTGAATTACAAGTCATTTACAAATATTATCCACTGCAGTTTTTGCTTATTCTTCTATATTAAGCATCATTCAGTATTATTTTCCTTCTTTTAAATGTTGAACATTGATGTTTTCTTGTTTAATTATTTTATGCAAGCTACAAACTTGTTACACTTATTCATAGATGTGTATTATGAAAATTTGCTGGAATATGTAATAAAGAATGACTAGACTAGGAAATCCCTGCAGAAGTTTTGTGGATTATAAGCCTTGGCAAAATAGGTGAGAAACGTGTAATGTTAAAAAGAGAGAGAAAAAAGCTTAAAGAAGTCCCAAAAACAAATGCTGCTAGGGCATGTTTGTGTGGTCAAAAATCCTAATTTCTATTATAACGTAACATCATGCCTATAAATGTTGATATTTTAAATTCCAGTAATCAATTAATTATTTTTAGTATGTATCTGATGCCAATGTTTAGACTTTCCTAATTCTAAATTTTGGGTATTGATCTCTGTATGGTCACCCAAACAAAGATAACTAGGACCGCAAATTCAGATGTTGCCAGTGTTGGAATACTTGACTAGGAGTTTCTGGTAAAGGACCAGGAGAAATCAATTTACACAAGCCAATTTTTAAGGACGTTGAAAAAATATAAAGCTAAGAGATACATGCAATAGAGAAGGAAAGCAATGGCAAGGACAGCAAGGTGATTGTCTCAAATATCACAGAAAACAAAGAAGCTTTTTTTATAGGGTGTTATTTTATGGTGCGGAAGCAAGGCTGCAAGACACAAAATGACAAAATGTGAGATAGTTCATGAAAGTGTCTCTTTTATTTCTATGTGCAATGTTAAGGTTCCTTAGACTCGCTGTGATCCAGAATAACTAGTACCAATCTGAGGTCTTGTTTGTGGCTTTTGGATCATTGTGAGATTGCACACTTGGCACAAACATCACGCTTATTTCAGTGGGGCTTGGAAGCAAGGGAAGAACCAATAGATTCTGAAATGGCTTCTTGGATAGCCACCATCAGCCTGGAAGGCTAGAGCTTAATATCATACACAAGACTACTGTGTGCTCCTCAAAAGCTACCAGAAATAATTACTTTTTGAGCAAGCTGGAGAAAGAACCAGTGAATTGTACTAATAAATTCCCAGTTAACACTGATCCTTTGTTTTGAAAATGGTTCAAAAAAGGGGTGATCCTTTAACTTGATTGTAGAGCAAGTTTAAGCTTCCAAGCTAATTCTCCAAAATAATTTTAATTTTTTTGTTCACAAAATAATTCTAATTTTATCATATTTAACATCAAATATATTTTAAGAATACATCGGCCGGGTGCGGTGGTTCATGCCTGTAATCCCAGCACTTTGGGTGGCCGAGGCAGGCGGATCACGAGGTCAGGAGATGGAGACCATCCTGGCTAACACGGTGAAATCCAGTTTCTACTAAAAATACAAAAAAATAACCGGGCATGGTGGCGGGCGCCTGTAATCCCAGCTACTTCGGAGGCTGAGGCAGGAAAATGGCGTGAACCCGTGAAGCAGAGCTTGCAGTGAGCTGAGATCCCTCCTCTGCACTCCAGCTTGGGCGACAGAGCGAGACTCCATCTCAAAAAAAAAAAAAAAAAAAAAAAGAATATATCAAAATGTGGCAAATCTGATCTAGCTACATAAAATAGTATTCACTTTTGTTAGTGTGAGTAATGAAGCTTGGCATTGATTAAGTAGCATGTTTATTTTTCTATAAATATGAGATCTGCTTATTGTCCCAAGAAGTCTGATATTTTATACTTAGTTTTCAAAGTGATAGGAAAAGTGTAGAATTATAACATTCTGTATTATTTAGATAGATAAGACTTCTTACTGATAATACTATTTGAGAAAACGCCTGTGCCTTGCATACTTATATATATGATTTGCTGTAACACTGCTTTGTTTTGCTGTAATTAAACCTTTCTTTTTTGCACATCTCACACAGAAAAAAAAAATTTATTTCACCTTCTTCTTTCTGCATTATGTAATGAGTCACCCACATATCTCCTCTTGGAAATCCTGATACCAGGAATTTAACCCATCACATGTTAAGTTAATCATCTTCTCTTACCAACAGTCACTCTTTCCCAATTTCACCACTAACATTAAAGGTCTTTCTCCCAGTTCCCCAGGGTAAATCCTTCATAATCATTTTCATGTTCCCGGGCACTTTTTTTTTTTTTTGGTCTGTTACGTTTCTTAAGCCTCCTTTCCATCTTAATAGCCAACACTTTATTTCAGGCATCCAGGGTGTCTCATCTGCATAACTGTACTAGAGACCTAGTCATTTCCTTGCCTCCAGGGTTTCTCCACTGTACTTAATTCCCTGTATCCTCTAAAATAATTTTCCTCCAGTCCTTCTTTTTCCAAGGAGTCATTTGCTTACTTTTCATTATTCTAAATCTGGCTATCTTACGCTTTCAGTGTTCCACTGTCAATTGCGTTTCCTAGCTAACTGTTCTCGCTCTTTAGAATCTCTGCTCTTGTCAAGTTAAATATGCATGCCTTTCCTATAGTTGACTGTTTCATGTTCCAGCCTTAACGTCAGTCTTTGTTTCCCACAGTTCTCCTGTATTTCTAACCCTAAATTCCTTTCGTAACTTTTCAATAATATAGAATAGTGTGCTCATGGAATAAAAGACCATGGAGTCACTGAAAACATTTTACACATAATTTGAAATTCTGCTCTGCTAATAATAAATATTTTCAAGTGGAGGAAAACAGATTAAATAAATCACTTGAAGAGTGTGTTAGATGAAGTTTCCTGGGGAACAGACTGAGACAGAGATTCTCTTACAGGAAGTCTTTTGAGATGTGCCTTTGGAATTAACACCTTTAGGGGAATAAAAGAAGAAGGATTGGGCAGAGGGAAGTGTTGAAGATTCAGCCAAGGAAATCCCTTCAATTGAGGATAATTCCCAAAGAACCAACCACTCAGCTGAGGGCTAGTAGGTCCAACACTCCCAGTAGCTGAGGAATGAATGTCTCAGGGCTGAAGAGGGTATCTGGGTGGCATACCATAGCATCCACTCAGAGACTAAGACAATAATTACATACAATTCTGTAATTATAGATGTGAAACATGGAATCACAGAGACAAATTTATCTCTGCTTAGTAGGATTATAAGTGATGTTTACATATTATCATCCATATTTTCTAGTTTTTCTATATTGGTTCCAAAAAATAATGACGTTTTAATCAGATACAAGTAAAAAAAGCTGTTCCTTCTGGCAAAAAAAAAAGGTTCATCAGAGTTTACAAACTCAGTGTCCCCAGCTTCATCAGGGTCTTCCCACACGCCCCCATTCCAAGTTTCAGGGTCTCACTCTTTTCCAATCAATGCCCTCACTTTAACAGTAGACACCTGGTGAGGCTGTGCAGCCATCTTTCATTGCAGGTCAGCCACTCGCATGATAAGAGCTTGTGTCTGTTTTTCCACAATTTCAGCACTTTCTCTACAGGAGATAAAACTCTCTCTCAGGGCAGTCTTAGCATATTTGAGGTTCGGTATCTGCTTCTGAAGCTAGGAGACAGAATCCCTGAGTTCATCATTTTCTTTCATCACTTTGTCCACTGAACTTAGGAGCAACCAACCAGCTGCATTATGTTCCTTGGTTTTCCACATATAATCAAAGGCATTATGTATAGGGTTACTCAGCTCCTTGCCTCTCACGAGCAGTGAATCAGGAGTGCCAAATGCATTTATTTTGCATAACTATCTAAAAAGTCCACACCAAGGACTATCAGTGTTCTCCACACTATCAGAAGTAGAGTCCTTAGCAATTTTGGGTCTAATCATATTAAGCAGCCAACGCCAGAAACCCCAAAAGCAACAAAAGAACTCCGTTCTTAATATTCTGTTCCTCTAGAACCACTCCTGGTACCAAAATCTGTATTAATCAGGGTTCTCTAGAGGGACAGAACTAATAGGAGATATATATATATATATATATATATATATATATATATATATATATATATATATATATATATAGGGGAGTTTATTAAGTATTAACTTACATGATCACAAGGTCCCACAATAGCCTCTCTGCAAGCTTGAGGAGCAAGGAGAGCCAGTCCGAGTCCCAAAACTGAAGAACTTGGAGTCTGATGTTCGAGGACAGGAAGTATCCAGCATGGGAAAAAGATATAGGCTGGGAGGTTGGGCTAGTCTCTCCTTTTCACGTTTTTCTGCCTACTTTATATGTACTGGCAGCTGATTAGATTGTGCCCACCAAACCAAGGGTGGATCTGCCTTTCCCAGCCCACTGACCCAAATGTTAATCTCTTTTGGCAACACCCTCACAGACTCACCCAGGATCAATACTTTGTATCCTTCAATCCAACAAGTTGACACTCAGTATTAACCATAGGAATATGTTACCTTAAAAAAAGTACCTTTGAGGTATTTCCTTTAATTTTCTTCATTTTTATAATTTATATTAATTAATCAACTAATTACTCTGTTCTTCATAAGTACTTTTTTTGCCAAATTTTATCAATATTCATTTATTACTGTAACTACTCAGCTATCTTACATACATATTTTTCTCTCCAACTTGATAATAAACTTGATGGTAGGTGCCTTGTCTCC
Organism: Homo sapiens; assembly: GCF_000001405.40. NCBI lineage: Eukaryota > Metazoa > Chordata > Mammalia > Primates > Hominidae > Homo > Homo sapiens. Next base: position 76,041,076 of record NC_000008.11, read on the forward strand.
ATGGCCTTTTTGGATTCTCTTTTATCGTGATTTTAAAATATAGATATATTTAAATATAAATATATATATACACTTAAATATAAATACATATGTGCATGTATTTAAATATACTAAATGTTTATATTTACATATATGCATGAATGTATCTATATACCCTACTTGCAGCCACAAACATGGCATTCTGTACAAAGTAGATAGCTATGTTGTTGAGCAACTAGAGGAAAGGAAATTCAGAGCTAGAGCTAGATTAGCAATTTTTTTTTTTTTTTTTTTTGAGAGGGAATCTCGCTCTGTTACCTAGGCTGGAATGCAGTGGCGCGATACCGGCTCACTGCAACCTCCTCCTCCCGAGTTCCAGCGATTCTCCCGCCTCAGCTTCCCAGTAGCTGGGACTACAGGCGCGTGCCACCACGCCCGCCTAATTTTTTGTATTTTTAGCAGAGGCAGGGTTTCACCGTGTTAGCCAGGATGGTCTCTATTCCCTGACCTCGTGATCCACCCGCCTCGGCCTCCCAACGTGCTGGGATTACAGAGGTAAACCATTGTGCCCGGCGATTACGGCTCATTTTAATCAACAGCTGCAAGTTACTGGCCGACTCTGGCTCAGAGGCAACATTGTGTTTGAAGCTAAAGTTTTCAGGCACTGTTTATGTAATCCCCTCATTTCCTGGTGGTGGTTATGTGAGAAGTAATAGTTAAAGAAATTCCTAAGTGTCCACAACTAAAAAGGTAATTTTGGACATTCTTGGAAATGGACTGTCAAGGTTACCATAGAAGTTTTATTTCTTATTCCGGGATTTAAGCCCTAGAAAGTGGAGTCAAAAAGCTTCTGAAAGTTTGAAATGGACCCTGTTGTTTTATGAGTTTCATGGATAAAGTTTTCTGCCACTTTTAAGAGTAGCAGTTGCTCCATCAAGTAATAGTCGGTATAAGAAATTATTACAAGAGTATTTTTAAATTAAGCACAATACCGGAAACTCTAATAACCTTTTCCCCTACTTGACTGTAGAGGAGAAAAGACAGAAATGCCTATTTTTTTTTTTAGGTATCATGAAGAGTGATTAAAAAAAAGGAGTGAGAATCAACTAAACACAGCTCTTAGGCTCATTTAATGTAGCAATATCTAAGACATTACTCAGAAATAGCTACAAGTTCCAAGGTTATTTTGAGCTTGAAGTTCTTATATTCCAGAAAACTAAAAAGTCATCCACTTAACATAAGACAGTCACAACAAACTCATGCTGATCACTGAAGATTTACCAAAACTCAGCAGTTGCTTGGTGTGCCTGTTTCAGAAGAAACATGATTTCAAAATATATTTAGGAGTTCTAAGAGTGAGTTCACAGTTATTAGTGAGCTGGCAAAATAATTTTTGAAGTTTGTAGCAATAATAAAGGTAATCTGATTGACAATTTCATTTAAATGCTTGCTTAAATTTAGAATTTCATGTTTAGCAATGCATTAATATATTGTACATATTAAGTTATGATAACATTTAAAGAGGATTTATTAATGCAAACATAGGTTTTCTGGTACTTTTATCCTGCCTAGTAAAAAAAAAACAATTAGTGTCTGTCACACCAAACTACAGATACTTGTTTTAAAATGTAATTCATTATCCACTTATTTCCTTTAGCCTTCAAGTAAATCACTTTCTTTCACTTCTTGTGTTATCATTTTCTAATTATGTTGTCTCTATTAACCCAGGAGTTCATTATCCTAGAAAACTTGGTGTGATCTTATATTCTGCTTCCTCATTCAGTTGACAAAGTCTGTAGATTCCACCTCTTTTCTGACCTCAGGAATTCCTTGAGTTTTGTGTCTCCTTCTTCTCCTCTTTCCTCTCCCATTGCCCTAGTCTAGTCCATGGTGCAGTGAGCTCCAAAGCATCCTTCTCTACATTAGTCTCTAGTCTGTTCTCTGCTCTGTCACTAGTTGACCTCCCCATCTTCCATAAACTTGATTTTTTAAAACTCGTGTTGCTTTCTCATTGACTAAAGAATAAAACCTGAATTATCTCAGAAAAGCAAAAATAAGCCTTTAAGCCTTTCCAGTCTGGCTCTCCCTCCTTTTCCAGACTCACCCCTTACCACTTCTCCTCAGATATCCTCTAACCTTCTTTGACCAAAAAGGTAGATTTGGGAAGAGTGCTCATGGGTCCATGTGGAAAGATGAGGGTGCCTGTTTAGTCAGCCAGAAACTGCAAAACTCTCTGGCCATGAAGTTGATGTCGGGTATGTAGCCACAGCACCTTCTCTTCCACAGTTAATCTACATTCCCAATGTTTTAGACTTCTCACAATTTTTCAAACTATTTGAAATCTTTTGAACTCAAGGACTACCACACTGAACAAGTCAAATAAATTTAGTTGGATATCAGGCATTATTTTTGAACTGAGATATTTTCATCTTATTTGTTACTTAATTGACTTCTGTTTCTTAATGTGAATTGTTTATATGAACATGCATAAGAATAGTAGGAGTAAAGGGCTAGTGATGTCTATGAAGCAGATACTTTATAACCTGATTCAATCACCAGAATAATTCTACAAGGCAAATATCATTATCTCCATTTTAGACAATGAGAAACCAAGGTTAAGAAAATTTACATCATTTACTCAAAGACACAAATTTAGTAAGTGACCAAACCTGGATTGGAGCCCAGATCTGTCAGTCTACCAAATCTGTGTGCTTTTTAGGTCAGAAACTTGCCTCCAGGTTTCTAACTGAATGTCTGTAGCATTTTAATTTGTGCAACCATGTAATATTTAAACTAATGGATGTGATGAAAAAAGGAACATAGACAATAGTCTAGCCTTTTGACAACAATTAAAGCATACACAAAGCAATTCAAAATCCTTCCTACCCAATAACTAAGCTTTCAAGATTAGTGTATGTGGCTCACCATTTACTAGTATTTGAAAACATTTTTGATAATATAAATTGGTTTTAATTATCTCTTTTTGTCCAAAATTAAAGATTATATACTGCTGACTATGGAAATTGAGGCTGGCCTTTCTATTTTCTCAGCTGACTCAAATGAAACCAGATAATTCCATCTGTTTAATTCCCTTTGACCCAATTCGCAGTCACCCCAAATGGATTCCAGAAATACCAGCTCTGCAGCTTGCAGAATTTTCTTAAAGCAAGCCTAATGGATCAAAGTGTGTCATTCTATCTAGCATCAATTTATTCATCATACAATAAATTCACATTTTGTATAAGCTAACACAGTGCTTAAGATAAAGCCAAAGAGCCTTGAACTCAAAGACTTACACACATACACACACACACACCACATACACACATACATATATGATGCACATAAAAATATAGATATATATGCAACCATATATACACATATAAGCACATATGTATATGTAAATATATGTATATACTAGTTTCTTTAGTAACATAAAGTATCAAATTATAGCTGTAGGATTATTATAGATTAATCTATTTATGAAAATTGAGAAAAGGGAAAGGCAAGTGTGGTCCATACTATTAGCAGTTCAATTAACAGTTACCATTGTTTGGGTGCATGCTAAGTTCTTTACGTGAATTATCTCATTTAATCCTTCTACTAGTCATCTATTGCATATAACAAATTTTACCCAAAATTAGCAGCTTAAAACAGCAAACACTTATCATTTTACAGTTTCTGTGCATCAGGAATCTAGGTATGGCTTAGCTGGGTGTCATTGGCTCCATTTGTCCCATAAGGCTGTGGTCAAATTGTGAGTTGGTCCATGCAGCTATCCTGTCAAGGCTCAAGCAGGGCTGAAGAGCACACTTCCAAGCTTATTTGGTTGTTGCCAGGCCTCAGGGGATCTTCTTCCAAGTTCACTCATGTGAGCCTCTTCACAGCACTCATGATGTGGAAGCTGATTTTCTCCAGAGTGAATAATCCAAGGGAGTACTAAAGAGAACACCCAAAATGGAAGCCACAGTCATTTGTATCTTAATCTCAGAGTGGCATCCATTCAGTTCTGCCATACTCTATTCATTAGAAGGAAGTCTAAAAGTTCAGGCCATTATGAAGAGGATAACATTACACAAGGGTGTGAATATCAGAAAGCCTAGAATTACTGGAATCCGTCTTAGAGGCTGTCTACCGTAATATGAAAAAATTAATAGTCTTATGAGGTTAGCACTTTTATAGGTAGATAAGAAAATGGAGGTACACGTTGGTTAAATAACTTTCCCAATGTTATATGGCTGATAAATGAGCAGGCTAGGATTCTAACTCAGAAAACAGAGTCTAGAAAGAAATTAAAACTCAAACAGAGAAGTGAATTCTAGGAAAGTAATGGAGTATAAGTACAACCCAGAGACACAAGTGTGGAATTATATATGATATGAATAATGTAGAGCCAATGATGAAGAAGCTGGTAGGAGATCTAGCTGGAAAAAAAATGGGCTAATGTTAGTGAGTTTTTACTAAAACTGAATTTGGAAATGGATAAGTGAGAAGTCTGCAATTGTTTACAACAGGAAAATAATGTGGTCAAAGTCTGACTTTATGAAGATTTGTCTAGAAGTGTGCAAGACAGCCTGGAGTGGCATCATACAAAAGATATGGAGACCTGTTTCAACGTGTGCATATACTGCCATGAGAATCTGGCCAAAGTGAGAGTCAGTGGAAAGAACAGGCAATATCTACAAGAAAGAATCCCCAAGTATTGTTCATCAGCTGGATAAGAAATTTAAAACTGTCAGAAATTACTCCAAGGTTTGGAGAAAAGGATATTGTAACAGAGGAAGTGCGATTACAATTTCAACAGGCAGGGTTTTTGCCTGATTTGTTTACTGTTGCTTTTCAGAGCCCAGAATATGTCATCATAAGTCCTCATTGAATGAATAAATAACCGAAGCTGTCACTTATTAGATTAACACCCCAATTAACTCACACAACCACAAACAAATGTAAGAAAGATTAATATTGTAATGTTTCGTGCCATTAAAATTTAGTTGGGTTTCATGGGAACTGGAGAACATCACGAACCAGGGCACTGCTCACTTGGGTGTGCTTGTACACTAAATTTTCTATCTCTCTCTCTCTCCCCGCAAGGTGTCTTAACCTGTTTTTATAGGCACGTCTACTCCAGTCTCTGCTGTGTATTGGCAGGCTTTCCAAATGTTTTCCCACAATTTCAGCTTGCCATTAGCTTTCATTTGCATGGATAAAAACCCTAAGTTAGACTTTATAGGTTACAAGTTTTACTACAAAATACTAGTAAACTCTTCTTGTGTTCAAATAAGAGAGAGAAGAAAGTAACAGTTTCTGTCTGGCTCAAGCTTGGGTCAGATGTCTCCCCTATCTAATTAGCATTGACATTGTTAGGTAGGTAGAAGGTTATGAAGTCTATTTCTCTCAAAGCAGGTAGAGAAATATTATTTGGGAAGATAGCATAAGTAAGGTGACAATTTTATGGTCATGTGTAGTACAGGATACATTATTTCTAATTGTTGACAATAGATAGCCCTTGATGAGTTCAAAATATCAGATGAGCGAACTCAGGCTCAGATGGGTAATTTACCTAATGTTACACAGCTCATAAGTGGTTGCAGACAAGATCCCAGATCCTCTACTTTCTGCCTCTAAAACTACTGTCTTGCCCTTTTCACTTCTTACAGCACGATACCACTAAGAAAAATAAGGAAGTTAAAATTGGTCTGGCTGTTTGTTTAACTGGGAGTCAGGCAGGCCAGGCTGTAATAGGCCAGGTGCTAGTAATTGTGGACAACTAATATCCCTGACTTTTATCGCCACTCTGACCCTGTATCAACCTCACCCCATGCCTTACATAGAATGAGGCTCCAAGACTGGAGAGGTCTGTCTTAACACTTTTCTTGCGATTAAACACTCTGGAAGTTAAACGGTTTATTTTGAGCTTTTATCAACAGAGCTGGTTTTCAAAATGACATTTGCCGTTTGTGGAGGCCACAGTTATCAAACTTTGATAGCAGAACTTTGGCAATGAAAAATTGGAAGAAATTGTAGTTATATAACATTAGTGACAAATATAGGTTGGAGTGGTTAGTTAATTGGTTACTTGCTTTGCTGTAGGGGTAGGTAACCTGTTCCTGTTACAAAAAAAAAAAAAAAATTAAAAACAGTCAGTAGAAAGAAGGCAATTATAAACAGGAGAGATAAAATTAACACAGTGAGGCAAATGAAAAGGTGGGAATCTGAATAAAATAATTGCTGAGAAAGCAGGTAAAGACCTGCATCTCTTCCTATGTGACAAGAGGAAAAGATGTGGCTGAATAAGAAAAATCTCTCTCAATACTGCATTCTGAATAAATAAAGAAATGATGTATTTTGCTGTGAATAAGGAATAAAAATAAATTTGTACTTGAGGAATGCAGAGGTTAGAAATAGAATTTATCCGTAAGATTCTCTCAGCTATGTTTAAATGAAATTGCATTGACATGGATACTCAAACAATATTAATTTATACATTTGTAAAATTATTGAAGAGTACTTAAGAGCAGGAAGTAATGTTCAATTGTCTTTATATGATTCACAGATTCTGCCACAGTACTATACTCATAGTAGATGCTTAATAAAAGTTTGCTGAGTGAATAAACCAACTACTGAAAGAAGGAACAATACTTGCATTCTCTATTTAATTTAACAGGTTTCATAGTTGTATTTGGAAAATATAAATATTATGTACTTAATTGAGGAATTTTTTAATAGTGTAAAAAATCTGCTTAGGCATTTGTAAGTCAAGTATTTATGACAGCAATTCCATACAATCAGAAATGTTTATACTTTGTGATATATTACAAGGATAGGAAGAATGATTTTGCCAGGAAATGTTATTGTTGAGAAAAATTCTCAAATTTATTTTCATAAAAAGGGAGAAAATTATTGATAAACCCATCTAAATTTGCAGATTGGTGATTTTTCAGAGGTTATTTGGGGTCATAATTGTAAATCTCATTACCGTGCTTGAAGGAGGTCTCTTTCATTATTAGGGTGTGCAGGTCCGTATCCCTGAAGCTAATTGCAAGGTAGAGCTGCAGAGTTCTAATTGTTTGCCATCAAAATAGCTGTGTAAGCTTGATTAACAGTGTTCAGCAACATTCATAATAGCCCAAGCCTGGCCCTGCATAAAATAGAAACTGGGAAAAAATCAATAAGATTTAATAAGATCAGGAACAATCACTTACAATAGTACATCAATCACACAAAGTAATAGGTGCAGGATTTGATAGGGTCCTGAACTGCCTGAGAGATTCATAACCAGTACTCATTAATGATTTGTTCATTTGCATTTTATCAATCCAACTACAGCTGACAAGCAGAAGGAGTGGGAAAGAAATATGTTGACTTAAACTCATCAGCTTTGCAATTAAAAAAAATAACATATAATAGCAAATGTCTTGTCACATGAAAATCTGATGTTATTACAAAGGTGTGTGCAATCATTGGCTCTTCAGAATGAGCTGCTGTTAGACTTGCAGAATAGCTAGCATAACAGTGTCCCTGTGGTCACCAGGAAGTCTCAAAAGGTTAGAGAAAATGTACATGTGAATATAAATTTCCTCTCCATCTCTCATAAAGCTCAATTGCATAATAATATTTAATGCAAAATGTGCATATTTCCTTGTTTTTATCTCTTTGAAATAAATGAAGCTCCTGGCTTTGCCTTAGGCAAAACTTCTATCATATGCTAAAACAATCATAATGAGATGGCTTTCTGGTGATTATTGATTATCATTATATTCTCTTTTGGTTGATGCTATGACTTTACAAAGTAATCATGTGGTATTTACTATCTTTATTAAAACACATTTTGGGAAGAAAGATAAATAGATACAATAAAATTGTGTAAACAAATTTCTAATTCTAAATACATGGTAGTTAGTAATATGAAAAAAAAATCCTCCTATAAACATCAGAAGCATAATGAAAAGTCTGAGCTGTTTCTAAGAAATTCATGTGGATTCCTGCTTAGAAAATTTCATATGGGCTTTCTGTGGAGGGAATTATGTGAATGGTGGGATGCAGAGCACATTGTCAGAAACCAGCAGTGGGACCATCCAAAATGTGGATTAATTAGTCTCTGTCTATAACTTCAGTAAATAATGTGCTCCTTCAGAGAAAAACATTATGATTCAGGTCTTTGTAGAGGATGTTTAAATAGCTGATTTCTATATAGGATGTTTTAATTCAATCAAAGTACAGGTAAAATCCCATTATGATAGACTCCATGGGGCCTCTAAATTGTTTTGTTGTGGTAGAATTTGGTTAAAATGAATAAATACATTTATCACATTCTCAGTGTGTAGTACATACTAGAGAGACAGACTTGATGCCCAGTCTCTTTTCTATTGAATTAACACATGAAAAGAAATGCTTTGAATAGGCAGCAGGAACCAGGATCAAAATATAATGCTCCCACACCTTTCAAGCTTTTCCTAAATTCTGGATCACTTTCAAAATGGTTTTGGTATTAAGATAAAGTTTTTATTTTTTCCTTTGTTAAAAATAGCATTGATTAGGCAGACCAGACTTTCGGAATCTAACAGAGTGAAGAAAATAAAAAGTAGTTATTATTTGTTCTCTTGACAAAAGTAACTGTAAATAACTCAATTATGTGCAGCTTAATTTGCTTTTCCTACACAGCAAACTACACAGAATCAAGTGCTTCAATTATATAGGTTGACTCTTCTCAGGCCATTAAACAAGGAGAGCATTAGTAAATTTACTAAGAATCAATTTATCGAATACCAATTTGCCTAAAAGCAAATTGATAAATGTCCAATTTACTGAAAGATCAATTCACAATAATTTTTGACATTCAATGATTTTTATGCATGTGAATTTGTTAGTTTCAAGTATAATTATCAATTATATGGAAATTATTGCTACTAGTTTTGCTGGAGTATGGAAATGATTTTGTTATTCTGAACATTCTTACCTTTCATTTACTGAAGAAACATTTTTAGCACTGGCAGTGTAACAGGCTTAGGAGGCATAGATAGTAATAAAAGATGTATTCAAAAAGTTTACATTGTAGAAGAAACAGGAAGAAACCACACTTATCTTTTAAATATTCTAATAAAAACATAATAATGTGCTCTCAGGAGTCAGGAGAAGGTTTGATGAATTGTGGGTAGGTAGACTGTCCACTTAATTTATCATCTCCAAACTACACACTCTTGAGAGTGGAAAGTGGGCTGTTAATAGTTACGTTGAAACAATAGGAGTAAACAAGGACAAGCAAACCAGAATATATGTTCACTTTAGATATAGGAGAAGAGGATAACGTATGGGTTGTTGAGGGATCTGTTGATATTTGAGTTGAGATATTAGAAATAAAAAGAATTTCCCAACTTCAGGTAAATAAAATCCATTTCATGGACAAATATACATGAGTGATAGTACAGAGTCAGAAAATTGTCTTGTGTGTCTGTTGAATAGTGAAAGACATTGAAAAATGAAGCTATGGCTTATAGAAGATTTTGAATATACATATCATTGTGTAGAATAGAAGTATTTAGGAGGAAATAGCAAAAGAGCAAAAAAGTATATGACATTATTTAAATAGTTAACGTGTTGTTCCCTAGAAACAAAGAGGCTTAGATTGGCATCCCAGCTCCTGTACATTACCAACTGCTTGACATTGTTAAGTTGTTTCATCTCATAGCTTCATTTTCCTCATTATATATAATTCATATAAATCACCTATTATGGTGTTTGACACATAAGTGCTCACTGCTCGTTAGTTGTTATTTTTAATTTAAAAAAACTGTGTTGTAATATAACTGAAATTACTTCAAATCCTAGTGTTTGATTACAATAAAATGACAATTTATCTGAAACTTAAAATTTTTATTTTAATGTGAGTATATACATAAACAACTCTTCAGTTTATCATATATTATTCAAATGATGTACTTTGAATAAGACCTCTACTTTAAAAAAAACAAAAAAGAAACACTCTAGTAGGAACTTTGAGAATGGATCATGGAGGAGAGATCAAAGGCAAGAAAATTATTTAAAAATCTTGTGGCAGACATTTATTTTGGTGGCCCCCAATCAACTAAGCTCCCTGAAATGTATGCCTTTGTGTGTTCTCCCTCATCAATTCTGAGATTGATCATGTGACTAGATATAATTAGCTTTGACCAATGGGACATGAGAAAGCGTAATGAAAATGAAACCTCAATAAGCATTTGCACAGTAAGGCTTGTCTTGTTGGAGTACTCTTTTTTGAAGCCCAGTTAAGAAGCCTTGTGAAAGACATAAAAAGGCCATATGAAGAGAGAAACAGAGATTCCCAGACTGACTTCAGTTGCTCTATACAACCCAGGTAAGACACCAGATATATAAGAAGGCCTCATGTACCATTCAACCCTCACAGATACCATGTAAAACACAGACAAGCTTTCCCAATCAAGCCCAGAATCATGAACAAATAAATATTTATTATTTTAAGCTATTAGTTTTTAAGGTGGTTTTTATACAGCAACAGAAATTGGAACCAAGAAGTTGAGTTCTATCAAAACAAAATAGTAAAATACATGGCATTTGATTTTTGTACCAGGTAACAGGTGAAGGGCCGAAGGAGCATAGATAAAATTACTATTGTTTAGCAGTAATAAGGCTGGAGTAAAAAGTACCCAAACTATGTAGTATAGAATAATTAGTGACATTGTCACCTGCAGAAACATGAAAGTATTAATAGGTCTGGCTAAGATTTATAGAAAGAATATTGAAGGTGTCTACTAGATGCTTTTAATCTTCCTATCATAAAATATAGAAGGGCGAGGAGCTAAAGAAATAATAGTTTAGAGTTAAAGCGAAATTTAAAGGAACTACAGAGAAGATATGACTTGCTGTGTTAAAAAGCATTTTTTTCTTATGCCCAGAGTTTCCTGGAAAATTGCTCACAAAGTTAGAAGTTAACTCAGGTAATGATCAAGTTCTGGGTGCTGCCAGTAACACATGACCTCATAGTAAACATCAAGCCTAGGGGATACTGAAGGGCACTTTTTGAGGTTCCGGAAAGGCTTAAAGATGTGTCTCAGAGGAAGATAAAGAAGCTTCTAAAAATCTTAAAGATCTCAGTCACAGTACCCTCAATCACCAAGTTTTAAGAGAATTGCACTGATGAAACAACTGCCAGTTTGGACTAAAAGTTCTGAGACAGTTAAAAAAGAAAATCCTCTCCTGTGAGAAGGAAAAATATTAAGAAAGCTACTCAATCTAAAATATGCTCCATTTCTTATTGAAGAAAAAAAAAAGAAAGAAACTCATAGGGTAAATCCAAGGGCTAAAAAGACTGAATCAAAGTTCTGAAGGGAGCAAAACTGAGCCCAAAGCAGAGAGCTGGCAATATGTGCCTACCAAAATTTCAGAATTGCTAAGGACCAGTGGCTGCTATTTGACTCCCACTCTCTCCATTTTTGAGTGGTAGTATCTACTGTGGCTTTCCTATCCCTAAATTACCAATGTATTTTAGGCATATTGAATAATACAATTTATCTCTGGTTTACAATTTTTTAGATTGAAAGGAACCACACCAAAGGATTCTCTGCTACACCTGGACCCAATTTAGATGACAAAATCATTTTCTTTGAGCAAAATCCTGGTGCCAAAATTAGATGAGATTTTGCATATTTTGGTAGGAGGGGAGGAGATTATGCTTTGTATGTGGGAAGAAAATAAATCCCTAGGGGCAATAGAACACATTGTGGTATACTTTTACTTTTGTGTGCCCTCCTCTATAACAAACAACGCCTCCTGTTAGTCATGAACCTATACATCCCTCTCCTCTATTGATTCTGAGCTTGACCACATGACCAAAGAGACAATAGAAAGTGTGATGTAAATGATACCTTGATAAGTGCTTCCCATTGAACCTTGTTTTCTTGAAATGCTCCTTCTTGGTACCCAAACACCAAGCTGCATGGAAGTCTATGCTAATTCTAGTGATGTAGGGAGACCACATGTAGAAAAAAATACGCCCATCTGGGTTCTAGCTGTTTCAGCAATTCAAGCTGAAGTGTCAAGCAAGTAGAAAGGGCATTATGTACATTCTTGCCCCAACAATACCAGCTGGAGCAGAGATAAGCCCTCTCCACCACACCCTTCCTTAATCGTTTCATTTGGCAAATACCTAATCATTGTTTTAAGACATTAGAATTTGAGTTGATACATTATATAGAAAACATATAACAGTAACAAAACCATTTCAATTTTTAAGTTAGATATGGTGAAAGAGTTACATTATGAAAAAAGTAATCTGATATGTTGGATTACTACTTGTGGGAATGCCAAAGAAGAAGGTAGCAATGAGGACCACAAGCTGCTTGATTTAGAATGAGGGAATTGCTATGGTTTTAACTGAGAAAGGAACACAAAGGAAAAAAATGGATTTTAAAAGTTGAGGTGGGGGATAATTTGGTCTTACAAATAAATATTAAATGGCTTTTTAATCATTTCAGGTGCTTTAAAATAAGTCTTGACTCTCATAACCATGTCACAACTTGGCATGTGAAAGCCACCTATGAAAAACATTTATTTAGTTACTTTAAATTTTATATATTTTCTGCTTGTGTCCAGTGGGTTTTGTCCAAGGCGCTGCATGGTAGGCAGGATAGTGCCTCCTAACAATGATGTCCATGCCCTGATTTTTAGAACCCATAACAATGTCACATTATATGGCAAAAAGATTTTGCAGATATAATTAAGTTTATGAACCTTAAAATAGGGAGATTATCCTGGATGATTTGCATGGGCTCAACCTAATCATATAAATCCTTAAAAGCCAAGGACTTTTCTTCAGCTGAAGTCAGAGAGATGTGGAGGAAGAGAAAGAAAAATACATGCAGTGGAAGTGGGAGTAAGAGAGATTCCAAGTATCAAAAACATTAGATGCACTTTTTCTGGTTCTGAGATGTAGACAGAATACGTAAGGACTGGAAAAAGGCTTCTGAGAAGGTAAGGAAAACCCTTTCCTGAAAGCCATTGAGAAAACATAGACCTCAGTTCTACAAATGCAAGAAACTGAAGTCTAACAACAACCTGCCTAAGCTGGGAAGAAGATTCTTCTTTACAAGCTCTAGAAATAAAAGGCACACCTTGTTTTTCATCTTGTGAGACCCAGAATAGAGAAACTAGCTGAACCACCATGTGCCCAGTCCTCTAATCCATTCAAATAGTGAATTAATAATGGGGCTTGTGTTAAACCGCTACATTTTGTGGGAATTTTTAATAGCAGCAATAGAAACCCCATATGCTCTGTTCTGCAGGTTCTGTTATTTGCTTCTGGCTTATTTTGCACACCATTTATACATCACTTCAGAACTTGTTGGCCTTATCTGTCTTTCATTTCGTCCACTAATGTAGTGACCAGTTCTGCAAAGGCCCTGATAAACAGAATTATCTTGACATTCTGCAGAGGTAATGCTGTCATACTGGTTCACAATATTGATACTGTTATTTCAATTGGACCAGGTAAGCAAGGATTGGGAAGTATGCTTGATGCCTTATCAAACCATATTCATATGAGAGAATAGAAGATTAAGCCTCAAAAAAAGACAAGTGAATATTTTAGGCATTTAAGGGTATGAGGCATCATATGACATCCCTTTTCTCTTTTTAAACAATTTCTTGTATAACTCACAGGCAAAGAATTTGGTGGAATTATCTGCATTTAGAAGGCCATTCATACCTCACTTAGAGCTACTGATCCAACCTATTTCTTTGCTGACTATTTCAAATAGGGCCCAAGATAAAATGTAGTCTTCCCTGCATATGGGCTATGCAATCAAGCCAACCCAGTAGTGTTTCTACAAACTCTGTTGTATAGTGATGTTCTGTGGCAAGCCCCATAGTAGAGCCAAAGTATGAACTGAGTTACAGAGTAAGGATATGACCTTCTAAAATAAAGACAAAATATCTCCAATAACTCTAGACACTTTATCTTTCTCACTAATCCTTCCACATTATCTCTTTGCAGAGATTGCTTTTGGCCAATATCTGAACTGACCCTGCAATAGTTTGGCCTTGTACTTCCCCCTCACTCATAAAAATTGAGATTCCATAGAATAGAATAGTAGCCAGATATAATGAATGGCATGAGAAATCTGAATGGTCCTAGGGGTGTATTTCATTGACCACTTCTTTTAACCACTTCTGATACTCTAGACCTCATCTGTCTCATTCCAGACACTCTATGGAAACTAGTTCAGCACAGCTTTATGTAACATTCTAGATTATACCACTTCACCTCTATTCCATGCTACACACATTTAACTTTCTTTCCGAATAATTACTTGTTTAAGGTGTGGAATGAGAATAAACCCAGTCGGCTCCCATGTATATGCAACCTGGAACTATGAGACAATTATTGTCTATTAGGTAACTTAGTAAATTTTACATCGCTATAAAGGAATACCTGAGTATTCCTGGGTGATTTATAAAGAAAAGAGGTTTATTTGGCTCACAGTTCTTTAGACTTTACAAGAACATATTAATTCTCCAGTAACTGACCCCACAGTAAAGGAAATTTATAAATTGCTTGAAAAGTAATTCAAAATAATAATCTTAAGGAAGCTCAGTGAGATACAAGATAATTCAGATAGAATTCAACAAAATGAGAAAACCATTCATGATCTGAATGAGAAATTCAGCAAAGATATAGATATGATAAAAAAGTAAACATAAATCATGCTGCTAAATAATTTAATCAATGAAGTAAAAAATGTAATAAAGATCTTTAACACCAGAATAGATCAAGCAGATGATAGAATCTGTAAATCTGAAGACAGGTGTTTTGCAATTACCCAATCAGAGGAAAAAGAAGAAAAAAAAATGAAGAAAAGCAAAGATAGCTGTGAGACCTATGGGACACCATTAAGTGAACAAACATTTGCAATATAAATATTAAAGAAGGAGAAGAGGCAATGAAAAGACAGAAAGCTTATTTCATGAAATAATTGCTGAAAAGTTCCCAAGTCTTGAGAGAGATATTAATATCCAGATCCGTGAAGCTCAAAATTTCCCAAACTGATTCAACCCAAAGAGGTCCTCTCTAAGGCACATTGTAATCAAACTGTCAAAAATAAAAGGCAGAGAGAATTTTAAAAGCAGCAAAAGTATGAAGTCACACGTTAGGGAATGAGACTATCAGCAGATTTCTCATCAGAAAACTTGTACACCACAAAGGAATGGGATGACATATTCAAAGTGCTAAAAGGGGAAAAAAAGCCTCTCAAGAATACTATAGGGCCGGGCACGGTGGCTCACGCCTGTAATCCCAGCACTTTGGGAGGCCAAGGCGGGCAGATCACGAGGTCAGGAGATTGAGACCATCCTGGCTAACATGGTGAAACCCTGTCTCTACTAAAAATACAAAAAATTAGCCAAGCGTGGTGGTGGGTGCCTGTAGTCCCAGCTACTCGGGAGGCTGAGGCAGGAGAATGGCGTGAACCCAGGAGGCAGAGCTGGCAGTGAGCCAAGATCACGCCACTGCACTCTAGCCTGGGTGACAGAGCGAGACTCCGTCTCAAGAAAAAAAAAAAAAAAAAAAAAAGAATAGTATATCAAGTAAGGATGTCCTTCAGAAACGATGAAAAAAGTCTTTCCCAAAAGAAGCAAAGAGGCAATTTATCACCACTAGGTCAGCCTTTCAAGAAATGCTTAAGAGAGTTCTTAAAGCAAAAATAGAAGAATGTTAATTACTAACACGAAAGTGTAAAATACACTGGTAAAGGTAAATATATAGTCAAACTGAGAATATTCCAATGTTATAATGGTGACCTATAAAGCATTTATATATTTAATGTGAAGGTTAAAAGTCAAAAGAGCTGACAATAATTATAGCCACATTAAGTTGTTAAGAAATATGCAATATAAAAAAAATTAAATTGTGTCTTCAAAAATATAAATTATGGGAAAGAGTAAAAGTGTAGAGTTTTTGTACGTGATGAAAGTTAAGTTGTTATCAGCACAATATAGTTTGTTGTAACTATGCAGTATTTCATGTAAGCCTCATGATAACCACAAAGCAAATTAAATTTATAGCAGAAACATAAGTAAAGGAAAAGGAATCAAAACTTTGCACTACAGAAAATCAGCAAACCACAAATGTAATCATGAAGAGAGAAATAAAGGAACAAAGGATCTACAAAATTACAGAAAGCGATGAACAAAATGACAATAGTAAGTGTTAATCTATCCATAATTACTTTGAATGTAAACAGATTAAATTCTTCAATCAAAAGACATAAACTGGCTGAATGAATAACTTAGAAAAACCCATGTTTATGCTGCTATATATGTACATATATGTATATGCAGCATATAGTCGGTTAAAAAAAAAAAAACCCAACTATATGCTGCTACAAGTGACCTACTTTAGCTTTAAGGACACATAAAGGTTGAAAGTGAAAGGATAGAAGAAGACATTCCATAAAAATAATAACTGAAAGAGAGCAAAGGTGGCTATACCTATAATAGATTAAATAGATTTCAAGTCAAAAACTACCCCAAGAAACAAAAAAAGGTTATTATTTAATAATAAAGAGCTCAATTCATCAAGGAGACATAACAATCATAAATATATACGTACCCAATATCAGAGCAACTGATATAGTTTGGATATTTGTCCTTGCCCAAAGCTCATGTTGAAATGTAATTCTCAATGTTGGACGCAAGACCTGTGGGAGGTGTTTGGATCATGGGAGCAGTTCCCTCATGAATGGCTTGGTCCGTCCCCTTGGTGAAAAGTGAGCTCTCACTCTGAGTTCATATGAGATCTGGTTATTTAAAAGTATGTGGCATCCCCCCCTCAATTCTCTCTGTCTCTCTCTTGCACTTGCTTTCACCAGTTGATGTGCCTGTTTTTGCTTCATCTTCTGTCATGAGTAAAAGCTCTCTGTGGTCTCTCTAGAAGCCAATGCTGGCACTATGTTTCCTGTGCAGTCTGCAGAGCCATGAGCCATTTAACCTTTTTATAAATTACCTACCCTCAGGTATTTATTTATAGCATTCAAGAACAGCATACTACAGAAAATTGTTAACAGAAGTGGGGCATTGCTATAAAGATCCCCGAAAATGTGGAAGTGATTTTGGAACTGGGTAACGGGCAGAGGTTGAAGAGTCTGGAGAGCATAGAAGAAGACAGGAAGATGAGAGAAAATTTGCAACTTCTTAGAGACTTCTTAAATGATTGTGACCAAAAATGAACAGTGAAGTCCAGGCTGCTAAGGTCTCAGATGCAAATGAGGAACATATTTGGGAATTGGAGCAAAGGTTACCCTTGTTATGTCTTAGCAAAGAACTTGGCTGCATTATATCTATTCCCTAGGGGTCTGTGGAAGTTTGAGCTAAAAAACGATGATTTAAGGTACTTGGTGGAAAGAATTTCTAAGTAGCAATGCTTTCAAGATGTGATCTGGCTGCTTCTAACAGCCTATGCTCAGACATGGCAGCAAAGGCATGACTTAAAGTTGGAACTTATATTTAAAAGAGAAGCAGAGCATACAAGTTTGGAAAATGTGAAGCCTGGCCAAGTGGCAGAGAAAGAAAAAGCTTTTCCAGGAGAGGAATTCAAGTAGTCTGTGGAGCAATGATCTGCTAAAGATATTTTCGTAACTAAAAGGGATTCAAGTGCTAATATCCAAGAAAATGGGGAAAAGTATTTGAAGGCATCTCAGAGACCTTCACAGCAGTCCCTCTCATCACAGGCCCAGAGGCCAAGGAAGGAAGAATTGTTTGTGGGACAGGCCTAAGGCATCACTGACCTGTGCAGCCTCAGGACACTGCTCTCCTCTTCCCAGATGGCCCAGCTTCAGCCAGGGCTCAAAAGGGCCAAGGTACAGCTTGAGCTGCCATTTTGGAGAATGCGAGCTGTAAGGTTTGTCAGCTTCAACATAGTGTTAAGCCTGCCATCACACAGTGTGTAAGAGTGAATCAAGCTTGGTACCCTCCACCAAGATTTCAGAGGATATATGGAAAGGCCTGATAGTCAGTGCAGACTCATGGTTTTGCAGCCTGCACAGAAAGTGTATTGCCAGCATCAGCTTCTGGGGGACATGATAGTCTTTTTCATATATCCTCTGAAATCTTGGTGGAGTGGTGGTGCTGCAGGGGAGATGCCCTCAGTGAGAACCTCTACTAGGACAGTGTAAAGGGAAAACACGTAGTTGGAAGCTCCAAAACGCACAGGCACTGGGGCACTGCCTACTGGAGCTTGGAGAAGGGGGCCACCATCTTCAGATCACAGAATGGTAAATCCAATGGCAACTTACAACTTCAACCTAGGAAAAGCTACAGGCATTCAACTCCAACCCATGAGAGCAGTGCTGGGGCTGAACCCTGCAAAGCCCCTGGGTTGGAGTTGCTCACAACTTTGGGAGCCCACCCCTCATACTGTGTCCAGAATTGGTGGGTTCTTGGTCTCACTGACTTCAAGAATTAAGCCACGGACTCTCGCAGTGAGTGTTACAGTTCTTAAAGGCAGCGTGTCTGGAGTTTGTTCCTTCTGATGTTCGGATGTGTTCAGAGTTTCTTCCTTCTGGTGAGTTCGTGGTCTCGCTGGCTCAGGAGTGAAACTGCAGACCTTTCCAGTGAGTGTTACAGCTCTTAAGGCAGTGCGTCTGGAGTTGTTCATTCCTCCAGGTGGGTTCGTGGTCTCGCTAGCTTCAGGAGTGAAGCTGCAGACCTTCGCAGTGAGTGTTACAGCTCTTAAAGGCAGTGTGGACCCAAAGAGTGAGCAGCAGCAAGATTTATTGCAAAGAGAGAAAGAACAAAGCTTCCATACTGTGGAAGGGGACCTGAGCGGGTTGCCACTGCTGGCTGGGGCAGCCTGCTTTTATTCTCTTATCTGGCCCCACCCACATCCTGCTGATTGGTAGAGCCCAGTGGTCTGTTTTGACAGGGCGCTGATTGGTGCGTTTACAATCCCTGAGCTAGACACAAAGGTTCTCCAAGTCCCCAACAGAGTAGCTAGATACAGAGTGTCAATTAGTGCATTCACAAACCCTGAGCTAGACACAGGGTGCTGATTGGTGTGTTTACAAACCTTGAGCTAGATACAGAGTGCTGATTGGTGTATTTAGGATCCCTGAGCTAGACACAAAGGTTCTCCAAGTCCCCACCAGATTAGCTAGATACAGAGTGTCGATTGGTGCATTCACAAACCCTAAGCTAGACACAGGGTGCTGATTGGTGTGTTTACAAACCTTGAGCTAGATACAGAGTGCCTATTGGTGTATTTACAATCCCTGAGCTAGACATAAAGTTTCTCCACGTCCTCACCAGACTCAGGAGCCCAGCTGGCTTCACCCAGTGGATCCTGTGCCAGGGCTGCAGGTGGAGCTGCCTGCCAGTGGTGCGCTGTGTGCCTGCACTCCTCAGCCCTTGGGTGGTCAATGGGACTGGGCACCGTGGAGCAGAGGGCAGCGCTCGTCCGGGAGGCTCCGGCCACAAAGGAGCCCACGGAGGTGGGGAGGCTCAGACATGGTGGGCTGCAGGTCCCGAGCCCTACCCAGCAGGAAGGCAGCTAAGGCCCGGCGAGAAATTGAGCATGGCAGTTGCTGGCCCAGGTGCTAAGCTCCTCGCTGCCCGGGCTGGTGGGGCCGGCCGGCTTCTCCAAGTGTGGGGTATGCCAAGCCCATGCCCACCCGGAACTCGCACTGGCCCGCAAGCACCCCGGCAGCCACGGTTCCCACCCGCGCCCCTCCCTCCACACCTCCCCACAAGCTGAGGGAGCCGGCTGCAGCCTTGGCCAGCTCCCTTTTGGTATAGGAATGTTTACCCAACTCTATACTCGCATTATATCTTGGAAGTAAATTACTTGCCTTTGATTTTACAAGCTCATAGGTGGAAAGGACTCGCCTTGTCTCAGATGAGACTTTGGGCTTTTGAGTTAATGTGGAAAGAGTTAAGACTTTGGCTGATATGGTTTGGCTCTGTGCCCCCACCCAAATCTCATCTCTAATGGTAATCCCCACATGTCAAGGGAGGAACCTAGTGTGAAGTGACTGGATCATGGGGGCAGTTTCCCTCATGCTGTTTTCATGATAGTGAATGAGTTCTCATGAGATCTAATGGTTTAAATGTGTTTGGCAGTTCCCCTCTCACTTTCTGTCTCTCCTACCATCATGTAAGAAGGTTTTTGCTTTTCCTTCACCTTCCACCATGATTATGTTTCCTGAGGCCTCTCCAGCCATATGGAACTGTGAGTCAATTAAACCTCCTTTCTTTATAAATTGCCCAGTCTCAGGTAGTTCTTTGTAGCTGTGTGAAAACGGACTAATAAAATGTGGGGCTATTGCAAAGCATGATTGTATTTTGCAATGTGAGAAGGACATGATATTTGAGGCAGTGGTCAGGGACAGAATGATATAGTCTGGATATTTTTATCTACCCAAATCTCATGTTGAAATGTAATCCCCAATTTTGGAGGTGGACCTGGTAAGAGATGTTTGGATCATAAGAGTGGATGTCTCATTAATGCCTTGGACCATCCCTTGGGTGATAAGTGAGCTCTCGCTCTGAGTTCATGCAAGATCTAGTCATTTAAAATTGTGTGTGTGGCACCCTAAGCCCCACTCTCCCTCTTTCATGCTTCTGCTTTCACCATGTGATGGGCCTGTCTTGCTTCGCCTTCTGCCATGAGTTAAAGCTCCCTGAGGTCCCCCAGAAGCTGATGCTGGCACTACACTTCCGATATAGCCTGCAGAACCATGAGCCAATTAAACCTCTTTATAAATTACTCAGTCTCAGATACTTCTTTATAGCAATCAGCATCTAAATAGGGAAAGAATGTTTTAATGGTCATAAAGGGAGAAATAGGTAGCAACACAATAATTGTAGGCTATTTATACATCACTTTCAACAATAGACAGGACAACTACAAAGACAATTAACAGGGAAATACTGGAGTTGAACTGCACTTCAGGCAAAATAGACTTAACATACCTTCATAGAACTTTCCATCCAACAGCAGCAGAATGCACATTCTTTTCTATGCACACGAAGCACACTCCAGAATAGACCACACGTTATGCCACAAAACAAGTCTTAATACATTTAGGAAGATTTAAATAATATCAGGTATTGTTTCTGAATGCAGTGGTATAAAATTAGAAATCAAAAACGGATAAATTTTGGAAAATTCACAAATATATGGAAATTAAACAACATGCTGCTGAATAACCATGGGTCAAAAAGGAAGTCAAAAGGAAAATCTAAATATATTTTGAAACAAATCACAGCAGTTGAAACACAACATACAAAAACCTATGACATGAAGCAATAAAAATCTACATTATAAGGGAAGAAAGATTTCAAATAAATAGCCTACATTATCCTCAATGAGCTAGAAGAAGAAACTCAACTCAAGGTTAGCAGAAGAAAGGATAAAGATTAGAAAATAAATAAATCATATAGAAAATAAAAAGCCATAGACAAAATTAGCAAATTGAAGAGTTTGTTTTTTGAAAAAAAAAAAAAGAAACAAAATTGACAAACTCAGCTAAAATAACTAAGAAGAAAAGAGAGAAGACTCAAATATATAAAATGAGAAGTGAAAGTGAAGGTATTACAACAAATACCTCAGTAATTAAAAAGATCATAAAGAATATTATGATCAATTATATGCAAACAAATTCAATAAACTAGAGGAAATTGATAAGTTTCTAGAAAAATAGAGCCTACCAAGTTTGAATCAGGGAAAAGTAGAAAGTCTGAACAGACTAACAACAAAGACATTGAAGTTGTAATTAAAAGCCTCTCAACAAAGAAAAGCTACAGACCAGATGAATTTATTGCTGAATTCTACCAAACTTTCAAAGAATAATTAGTACCAATACTTCTTAAACTCTTTCAAAAAAGTAGAGATGTAGGAAATACTTTTTAACACATTTTATGAGACCAGCATCACCTTGATACCTAAGCCAGACAAAGACATCATAAGTAAACTACAAGACAATACCTCTGATAAACACTGATGCAAAATTGTTCAATAAAATATTGGCAAACAGCATTCAACAACATACCAAAAAGATCATGATCATATGGGATTTATCCATGGCATATAAGGCTGGCTTAACAGATGGAAGTGAATGAATGTGATTACATCATCTCAGCTGATGGAAGATAATAACCACATGATCATCGCACTTAATGCAGAAAAAGCATTCAACAAAGATCAACATCCTTTCTTGAGAAAAACTCTCAACAGTATAGAATGCAAGTTGCTCAACACAATAGTGGTTGTGGCTGCTTATGAAAAACCCAGAACTAGCATCACCGTCCAATGGAGAGAAGCTGAAGGCTGATTCTCTAAGGTCTGGTATAGGGCAAGGACACCCACTCTTGCCACTTCTATTCAACATAGTACTGGAAGTATTATTAAGAGCAATCAGACAAACAAAATGTATTCAAATCAGAAAGGAACAAATACGATTATCCTTATTTATTGATGACTTGATCTTATAAGTAGAAAAGTGCAAAGACTTCACCAAAAAACTGTTAGAACTGTTAGAAATAAAGTAAGTATTGAGAAAAAGGCTTGAGAGAATAAGGCTTCAGATGATCAAACTACTCTGAGCTACAGGAGGAAATTCAAACCAAAGACAAAGAAGTTGAAAACTTTGAAAAAAATTTAGAAGAATGTATAACTAGGATAACCAATATAGAGAAGTGCTTAAAGGAGCTGATGGAGCTGAAAGCCAAGGCTGGAGAACTACGTTAAGAATGCAGAAGCCTCAGTAACCGATGCAATCAACTGGAAGAAAGGGTATCAGTGATGGAAGATGAAATGAATGAAATGAAGCGAGAAGGGAAGTTTAGAGAAAAAAGAATAAAAAAAAACGAACAAAGCCTCCAAGAAATATGGGATTATGTGAAAAGACCAAATCTGAGTCTGATTGGTGTACCTGAAAGTGATGGGGAGAATGGAACCAAGTTGGAAAACACTCTGCAGGATATTATCCAGGAGAACTTCCCCAATCTAGCAAGGCAGGCCAACATTCAGATTCAGGAAATACAGAGAACGCCACAAAGATACTCCTCGAGAAGAGCAACTCCAAGACACATAATTGTCAGATTCACCAAAGTTGAAATGAAAGAAAAAATGTTAAGGGCAGCCAGAGAGAAAGGTCACATTACCCACAAAGGGAAGCCCATCAGACTAACAGCAGATCTCTCGGCAGAAACTCTACAAGCCAGAAGAGAGTGGGGGCCAATATTCAACATTCTTAAAGAAAAGAATTTTCAACCCAGAATTTCATATCCAGCCAAACTAAGCTTCATAAGTGAAGGAGAAATAAAATAATTTACAGACAAGCCAATGCTGAGAGATTTTGTCACCACCAGGCCTGCCCTAAAAGAGCTCCTGAAGGAAGCACTAAACATGGAAAGGAATAACCGGTACCAGCCACTGCAAAACCATGCCAAATAGTAAAGACCTTCGAGGCTAGGAAGAAACTGCATCAACTAACGAACAAAATAACCAGCTAACATGATAATGACAGGATCAAATTCACACATAACAATATTAACTTTAAATGTAAATGGACTAAATGCTCCAATTAAAAGACACAGACTGGCAAATTGGATAAAGAGTCAAGACCCATCAGTGTGCTGTATTCAGGAAACCCATCTCACGTGCAGAGACACACATAGGCTCAAAATAAAAGGATGGAGGAAGATCTACCAAGCAAATGGAAAACAAAAAAAGGGAGGGGTTGCAATCCTAGCCTCTGATAAAACAGACTTTAAACCAACAAAGATCAAAAGAGACAAAGAAGGCCATTACATAATGGTAAAGGGATCAATTCAACAAGAAGAGCTAACTATCCTAAATATATATGCACCCAATACAGGAGCACCCAGATTCATAAAGCAAGTCCTGAGTGACCTACAAAGAGACTTAGACTCCCACACAATAATAAGGGGAGACTTTAAACCCCACTGTCAACATTAGACAGATCAACGAGACAGAAAGTTCACAAGGATACCCAGGAATTGAACTCAACTCTGCACCGAGTGGACCTAATAGACATCTACAGAACTCTCCACCCCAAATCAACAGAATATACATTTTTTTCAGCACCACACCACACCTATTCCAAAATAGACCACATAGTTGGACGTAAAGCTCTCCTCAGCAAATGTAAAAGATCAGACATTATAACAAACTGTCTCTCAGACCACAGTGCAATCAAACTAGAACTCAGGATTAAGAATCTCACTCAAAGCGGCTCAACTACATGGAAACTGAACAACCTGCTCCTGAATGACTGCTGCGTACACAACGAAATGAAGGCAGAAATAAAGATGTTTTTTGAAACCAACAAGAACAAAGACACAACATACCAGAATCTCTGGGACACATTCAAAGCAGTGTGTAGAGGGAAATTTGTAGCACTAAATGCCCACAAGAGAAAGCAGGAAAGATCCAAAATTGACACCCTAACATCACAATTAAAAGAACTAGAAAAGCAAGAGCAAACACATTCAAAAGCTAGCAGAAGGCAAGAAATAACTAAAATCAGAGCAGAAATGAAGGAAATAGAGACACAAAAAACCCTTCAAAAAATTAATGAATCCAGGAGCTGGTTTTTTGAAACTATCAACAAAATTGATAGACCACTACCAAGACTAATAAAGAAGAAAAGAGAGAAGAATCACATAGATACAATAAAAAATGATAAAGGGGATATCACCACCGATCCCACAGAAATACAAACTACAATCAGAGAATACTACAAACACCTCTACGCAAATAAACTAGAAAATCTAGAAGAAATGGATAAATTCCTCGACACATACACCCTCCCAAGACTAAACCAGGAAGAAGTTGAATCTCTGAATAGACCAATAACAGGCTCTGAAATTGTGGCAATAATCAATAGCTTACCAACCAAAAAGAGTCCAGGACCAGATGGATTCACAGCCGAATTCTACCAGAGGTACAAGGAGGAACTGGTACCATTCCTTCTGAAACTATTCCAATCAACAGAAAAAGAGGGATTCCTCCCTAACTCATTTTATGAGGCCAGCATCATCCTGATACCAAAGCCGGGCAGACACACAACCAAAAAAGGGAATTTTAGACCAATATCCTTGATGAACATTGATGCAAAAATCCTCAATAAAATAGTGGCAAACCGAATCCAGCAGCATATCAAAAAGCTTATCCACCATGATCAAGTGGGCTTCATCCCTGGGATGCAAGGCTGGTTCAATATACGCAAATCAATAAATGTAACCCAGCATATAAACAGAACCAAAGACAAAAACCACATGATTATCTCAATAGATGCAGAAAAGGCCTTTGACAAAATTCAACAACCCTTCATGCTAAAAACTCTCAATAAATTAGGTATTGATGGGATGTATCTCAAAATAATAAGAGCTATTTATGACAAACCCACAGCCAATATCATACTGAATGGGCAAAAACTGGAAGCATTCCCTTTGAAAACTGGCACAAGACAGGGATGCCCTCTCTCACCACTCCTATTCAACATAGTGTTGGAAGTTCTGGCCAGGGCAATGAGGCAGGAGAAGGAAATAAAGGGCATTCAATTAGGAAAAGAGGAAGTCAAATTGTCCCTGTTTGCAGATGACATGATTGTATATCTAGAAAACCCCATTGTCTCAGCCCAAAATCTCCTTAAGCTGATAAGCAACTTCAGCAAAGTCTCAGGATACAAAATCAATGTACAAAAATCACAAGCATTCTTATACAGCAATAACAGACAAACAGAGAGCCAAATCATGAGTGAACTCCCATTCAAAGTTGCTTCAAAGAGAAAGAAATAAAGTCAGTAAAGTTGCAGAATACAAAATCAACATACAAATGTTTATGGCATTTCTATACACAAATAAACAACATAACCAGTAGCATTATTCACTGCAATAGAAAAAACAATTCTAAAATTTGTATGGTGTAACAAAAGACTCCAAATAGCCAAAGCAATTCTGAGAAAAAGATAAAAGTTGAAGGCATCACATCACACTTTCTGATTTAACATTATATTATTATACTTTCTGACGTAAAATTATATTACAAAGGTAGAGTGATTAATATAGTAAGGTATTGATATGAAAACAGCCACATAGCCGAGCAAAACAGAA
Organism: Homo sapiens; assembly: GCF_000001405.40. Classification (NCBI taxonomy): domain Eukaryota; kingdom Metazoa; phylum Chordata; class Mammalia; order Primates; family Hominidae; genus Homo; species Homo sapiens. The sequence goes on from NC_000008.11 coordinate 76,067,197, forward strand.
TAGAGAGCCCAGAAATGAATCCTAACTTATATGGTCAATCAATTTTTGACACAGCATCAAGAGGACACAATGGGGAAAGGATAGTCTCTTCAATAAATGTTTCTGACAAAACTATGTTGCCACATGCTAAAAAAATAAAATGGATCCTTATGGTATACCATACACAAAAATCAACTCAAAATGGATAAAATATCTGAACAGAAGACCTGAACTCACAAATCTCCTAGAAAGAGAAAAAAAACATAGGGGAAAAGCTTTTTAACATTGGCCTTGGCAAGAATTTTGTAGATATCGCCCCAAAATCTCAGGCTACAAAAGCAAAATTAAATAAATGAGATCGCATCAAACTAAAAAGTTTCTCACAGCAAAGGAAACAATTAACACAACAAAAAAGCAAACTATGTATTTGGAAAAAATATTTGCAAACCATGTATCTGATAAGCAGTTCATATCAAAAATTTATATAGAACTCATACAACTCAATAGCAAGAGAATATGTAACCTGATTTTAAAATGTCCATGGACAAAAATAGGCATGTCTCCAAGGATGACATAAAAATGGCCAATGCATAAATGAAAAGGTGCTGAAGATCACTAATCACCAGAAAACTGCAAATCAGAACAACCTTGATATATCACCTCACACTCCTTAAAACAGCTGTTATATAAATAACAAGCAATAACAAATGTTGGCAAGGGTGTGGAAAAAAAGGGAACCCTATATACTCTTGGTAGAAATAGTAGATTGGTACAGCCATTGTGGAAGACAATATGAACATACCTGAAGAAATTAAAAATAGAACTACCATATGACTAAACAAAAGGACATTAAAATCAGCACCTTGTAAAGATATCTGCACTTACATATTTATGGTAGGATTATTCACATCAGGCAAGATATGGAAACAACCTAGGTGTCTGTCAGCGGACAAATGTATAAAGAAACTATTGTATATGTGATGGAATATCATCCAATCTTTAAAAAGCAGGAGATTCTGCCATTTGCCACAACATGGATGGATCTGGAAGACATTATGCTAAATGAAATAAACCAGATAGAAAAAGAAAAATATTGCATCATCTCACTTTTATATGCAATCTAAAATTTTAAAATGTCTAATATATAGTGATAGAGAAAACAACAATTACCAGGAGGAAAATAGAGAGATTAAAGTTGAAAGATACAAAGTAGCAGATATGTAGGACGAACAAGGCTGAAGATCTAATATATAGTTTATTGCAAAAGTAATTGCAGTTTTGCCATTACCTTTAATACATGAGGCCTACAGTTAATAATAGTGTATTGTATCCAGAATTTTTGCTGAATGAAGAGAAAAAATAATTTTTACTGCATATATTAGTATCCTACTATAAGCAAAAAACTTTCTGTTCTTGACATGTGTGTTTTTAAATATATCAGTTTGGCCTCATGGAATCCTGTTTGCAAATATAAAATAATAACCTATTGTTTTATTCAATGGGTTATAATTTATTATAGCATTATGTAATTTAATGCTCAATTTATACCAGATTTTGTGAGTAGTAACACTTTAGGCTGACTTCTGTGTTTTATTGGCATGTCTCATAATTCTTTTAGCACTTTTTAAGTTTTTGGCACAAGAAGATGTTCCAGGCTCATGTTGTACTTTCACTAACAAAGAACTTCTCCCCACAAAATGGCTATTTATCATTTCTCCCAGGATAAATGGTTGCTTTTGATGAAGAATAATATTTAGGGATTAAGATCTGGGTCTAGGTGAGCTCATGGCTATTGGTATCTCACTGCTCCCAGGCCCAGCCCACTCAGTGGAAAGATACCCTCCCCACGCCCACACACAAACCTATATCGATTTCTCTGTCTCTATTTCTCTTATTTCTCTCTCCTCTAACCCTTCCTGATATATACTTATCTTTCTCTCTCTAACTACATATCTAACTGTCTATGTTGAAAACCATGAGTTCACACTGGTATCTCCAATCCCAATTCAGCAACACAGGGCAAGGTTTACATTAGTTTTCTCCCTTTGCACGAATGGAAGTCTCATATAACAGTGAGAAAACTTGCCACTATTATCATCAATACATTTATTTATAATATAAATCTTGTGTGTATCAAATCTTCCCTGGCCACCTTTGTCTCTCCCCTGTCACATGGATGCCTTCTTGGTCTCCTCTAATTTTAGTTGAGCAAGCCTCCTGGTCTCCTCTAATTTTAGTAATCATAGGCTTCCAGAGGAACAATGTCTTATCCTAAGAACCCTCAATTTAGGCCAATTGTCAGTACCTGTCACTTCCATCCCAAAAGTGGAAATAAATTTCAGAAAGAGCATACAGGAAGAGCATCCATTATCTCATTTAGACACACTCATCAGAGCCCATGAAAGATTAAGAATAGAAACATATAAAAAAAATTCAGTCCATATAAATGGTAGAGTAGTATTGTGCAATTGCTACCAGGTTACTAAAACTAAAGCTTTAGCTTTAGTAACCTGGTATGACAGCATTATTATAGATTTATAATATTATATATATGATTTATATATTACAGATTTATAATTTATTTAAATTTACAATATAGATTTATATATTATACATTATATTATATATATAATATATATTATAATATATAATATCTATTTTATATATGTTTATGGGTATATATATGCTTATATATGGGTATAGGTATGTTTACATATAAACATGTATATATACACATATATGTATCTATATACACACATACACACAATTATATACAGAGACATATATATACATACATACACAATTTTATGTATGTGTGTGTGTATATATATATACACACACACATGCAATTATATATAGAGAGAAGGAATTACACATGTGTAATTATTATGGAAGTAGCTACTGATTGCAGGAAATTAACTACATTCCAATGTGCCTTCCAGTCATTAATATACACTCACCATGCAGCTATTTTTCTTCTCACTTTGTCTCTCTCTTCCACTTTCTGCTTCTAAGAATTTCAATCAATCTTCATATTCTAGAATGTATATCCAAGTCCTCTACAACTCCAGGGAAGAGATTCATACATTTTTCACTCTAAAGGGACCCTAGTTTTTCCAAATTAAAATGTGCAAAGTATGTGTTATTCGGATTTTTAAATATACATATATTAAAATTAACACTGTTGGGTGAACAGTTCTATGAGTTTTGATTAATGCATGTACTTGTGTAAACACCACCACAATCAATATACAGTACAGTTTCATTATCCTATCCAAAAGTTCTTCGTACTGTTTATATTTAAACCTTCCCTTCACTCTTAACCCATAGTGACCAATAACCTGCTCTCCATTATTACAATGTTGCCATTTCTATAATTTCATAGAAGTTGAACTGAGAATATGCAGCCTTTAAGTCTGGCTTCTTTCTCTCATCCTAATGAATTTACTATTAATTGATGTTGTTCTGTGTTTCGATAGTCAGTTTCTTTTATTGTCAAGTAATATTTTCTTGTATGAACATTCTCCATTTTGGTTTTTCATTCCTCACTTGAGAGATATTTGTATTGCTTCCAGTTTTAGGCTATTACAAATAAAGTTTATATGCACCTTAATAGACAGGTTTTCCTGTTACTATAGATTTTATTTTTCCTGGGTAAATAAATAGAAGTGGAATAACCGGGTCATACACTAAGCGGACGCTTAAGTTTACAAAAAAAAAAAACCAAAAAACTGTCAAACAGTTTTCCATATCATACTATTTTGCATTTTCACCAGCAATATATGACAGTTCAAGTTCTTCCACATCCTTGTCAGCACTTGCAATTGTCAGTTCTAAATTTTATTTAGTTGCTATTCTATTAGGTAAATTATTCTGGATTTATTTTGCATTTCTGTAATAACTAATAATATTGTGTGTAAAGTAACATAATTTCATGCAGAGCAGAAGTTCTCCATGGTAATTATTCATACCTGGTAATTCAAGTGGGGCCTGAAAACTTCAGTCTCTTCACAGTAATTACGTGGAGTTCTGCAATGAATTCCTGGTGATTATGATTTTACCTTTCTCCAAACCCCCAAAACTGTTCCTTTCAGTTATCTCATTAAAAATTATTGACCCCTGAAGTAAGGAAGGAGCAAACAAGGGATAAATAAGCTTGGAGGTAGAATAATGAGAGTTGTAAAAGTTAAACTATCATGGCCTTTATGTATTCACTCAAGTAAAACGTTGGCTCATCTATTCAAAGTGAAGCATAAAGGAGTTACAACAGACTAATTTTATTTTAAGTAAATCCCTATCAATTCTACATCTTTTTTAAAAAAAAATAGGAGAAAGTATAAAGTATTATCAGACAGAACTAATTCACAAAAATTATATTTCCTCAGTACAGTGGCATAGCAGGTGAACCAGGGTAGCCTGCAAGCCCAACCGTAATGGTAAAAGCAAGCCAGTTGCAGTTCAGTTTCCAAGTGGAATTTGCTAATTCAGCATGCCAAGGCTTTGGCATTGGTACTGATGTAACACAGAACCTGCTGCCTATGCGTGAGGAGAACACTGTTGATATTTTCCCTAGGTAGTATGGCATAACTAATGAGACAGAGATTTTGATGGGCAAGAATAATCTCAGCAACCCTCATGACTTTCTAGGAAAACAATGTATTTCTGACAAAAGTTGTTTTCAAACTCCAGAAGAACTTTATTCTATGATTATATCTCTATATCCAGAAAAAAATTGTTAAAAAGAGTATACTTAACACTAAAGAATTTTCAGTAATATATACAGGCTTGTTGATAATGCAAATATAAAGGACTGGGAGGACTGACAGTTTTGAAATAGGGAATAGTTCTTACTTGAGCTCACAGTAAACAGTATATAGATATTGGCTTTTTAAGTTAGTTTTAGTAATAGAGATTATTTTTTCATTGCAATGTCTGGTTTCCTCTCCAAACAATTTCACCATTCTCATCAGAGCCGATAGCCACAGTAGTTTAGTTTCTTAGAACAATTTTTGAAGACTTGTTCATTTTTTCTTCTTGCCCTGTGCCATTTTTTTCCAAACTGTTACCTAATATAACTGGTAATCAGTTAATACATTCAGCTTGTGTTTTGTTAGAAGGTAAATATTGCTAATATTTTATAATTCTAGTTGACTATTTAGTAATATTGTACTTTATTCTAAAGTGATGTGCCAAGTCCCCCCAAAAATAAATAAAACAAAAAATATAGTAAGATTTTATATCAAACAACTGTAGGTCAGAAAAAAATTGTATTATACCAGAGGAAGGTGGAGTCCTGAAGAAAGCAGAAATCTAGGGGTATCATTTTTTTCTATATCAATAATCCTATAGGAATAGGGCCTTGGCCAATGGTTACTTTCTGTCTACAAAGGGAATGCAGGTTGCATACAATGCAAGTGAGAACTATGTATCTATTAGCTAAAATATCTCTTTTAAGTTCTCTCCACTATTTTTTCTTGATGCTAAGGTGTAGGTTTAAATGCACATAACATTAATAATGTACAACTCTCCCTCAGGATGTGAACCTCAAAAGAAGGAGAAACATACCAGATAGGAACAGAGCATTTCCTGATTTACTAAGTACATCTTGCTTATGAAGCATAAACCCAGTATTATGTTTATTTGTTCTTGATTTCAAGCTCTCTATCATACTGACAATCTAGTTTAATACCCCATACATTTTTTTAAAAAATTACTTAATAAGGCATTGCCATTATTTTATCATGTGTACTATGCCAAGAAGGTTTAATGTTCACAAAGATTGCATAAACCAGTTCAGCCATATCTCTTCATAGAAGTTTGTAACATGTTAACTTTATGTACAATTTACATAATGTATAAATGGTATACCTCCTTCTTTCTTATCTCAACAATAACGTGATTAGAATTGATTAAAATGCAATACTTGTCTTGTAAGTTGTGCTTTTCATTTATGCCAGCTTTATTATAAGTAGAATTATTTCTTAACCAGCAGCCCAAATATCAGTTTGTCAAAAATTTCTTCCAGAGAACAGTAAGTATAAAATACAGTATCGAATGTATTTTCAAAATATTTAAAAATATATAGCCAAAGAAGCTAATGGCAAAGTGATGCTTTTCCTGTTAAATTTAATAGGGGATGCTGACCCTCACTGGTAGGAGACTACCTCCTCTGATGTATTATGCAATTACATTGATGGATGGTTAATTGAGTCACTGTGGCAGACCATATGTTTACTCATGACCTGAATGTCATTGGTCAGGTTATGGCTTCACATCTCTGGCCTTTTAACTATACTGTTTTGAAGAATACCTGTTTTAAATTTAAACTTCTGGTTTAAAATGCCCATAGTAAAATAAATTATTAATTCCATCATCAGGAATTTGCACACAATTGCCTTTGTCACCAAGAGGACTTAGATAGTGTTTGTTACATGATTTGAAACCACTAATAAATGTACCAGAACAGTGGTGTATATAATGCAATTGTCTCAGTGTATGTGTTCTCTGAAATTAATAGACACCTCATTTGAACATTCATAAATATACATGCAGATACTTAATATTTAGTTTTCTGGTTTTTTAATAGAGAATACTAAGGAACATTTATCAACGGCTGCCCTTACCAAAATCATACAGTGAATAAACATTATATTTGGTGTTCTCAGTTTCCCACTGTCCTTCCTATGTCCAACATGGCTTCTCTGTTCCTCAGGGTGAAAGTGGTAAATACTTTAGTTAATGTTCTCTGATACTTGTAATATTGGAGAAGGGCATTTTTTAGTTCCCCTAAATACCAAGAACTAAGCAGCCATCTATTTATGAGGTCAGAATAGGTAATTGAAGTGAATGGTCTCTTGTGGCTTTTAAGAGAGGTGTATAGTAAAGAGGAATGACTAAAAGCATAGACCTGGTTTGGAATCTTCACTCTGTCACCAGTCAGTTTGAGCATGCTTTATAACATTCCCAATTAGTTTGCTTAAATACAAAATTGAGATAATAATATCTATATCATAAAGTGTTGTGATGATTCATTAAAATTCTATATTTTTGCTCCAAGTACAGTTCAGAGCAGTCATTTCACATAAAGCCTTCAGCAATCAATAAAATAATAATAAAAATAATAATAACTACCATTTTTTGAGCACTTGGTTTTATAAAGGAATTGGCGTACAGGCATTGTCCCAATTATCTTTAATACAATGATATCACATACTATTATTATGCCCATTTTACAAGTAATGAAACTGAAGATCCTAGGAGTTTGTTCTAGATCATAAGGGGAATAAGTGAAAGAATACAACACTAAATCCATGCTGTGTGACTACAACGGTGATACATAAATATTCATGACAAGTTTTCCTAACTTGACAACAAAAAATTAACTATTGTATCTTTTCCTTATGTATCCAAGTATTTAGAGCCAGCTCAATGACCACCAATAGAGAAAAATAATGATAGGAATACTTATCTGAGTTAAAATTCTTGATCAGAGTTCTTCTACAAACTTCTTGAGTCACCTTTCAGTGCCATTTGATTCTGGGTTATGATTATGGTCTCCTATGAGTGAAAATTTTGGACAGTAAGAGAGGGCTCCAATTAGCTTCTGCCCTTTGCATCATGCTGTATGAATACTAATAATTTCCCATCTCAATTCACTCATTTTTTATTTTAAGAAAATCTTACAGATTTTTTTAAATCAATATTTTTAGACAGCACTTTATTCTTGTGATTTATCTTGAGTCTGTATTGAAACAACAACTCTATCTCATGGAATAACCAATTACATTTGCATCACATGGTAGCAGAATTCAAAGATGGCCCCCAAAACATCTGCCCTGTTGTCTGTGCACCCTGCATAATCCTTGGGGCTTTGAAAATGATGGACATCTTATCTGGGGTGAGTCTGGCCTAATCAGCAGAGCCCTGGAGAAGAAATGGACTTTTCCTAATGTCAGAGATTCAGGGCATGAGAGAATTCCATACAAGAGAGATTCTCTACTGCTAGCTTTGAAGGAGGAGGGGAACATGAGACAAGAAATGCAGGCAGCCTTTAGGAATGGAGTGGCTCCCCAACTAATAACCAGCAAGAAAACAAGTACTTCAGAACTACATCCACAGGCAATTTAATTCTACCAATAATCTCAATGCACTTGAAGGTCATCCTTTCTTAGTGCCCCCAGATGAGAACTCAGTTTGGCTGACACTTTGATTTTAGCCTTAGAATGAGTGAATTATGATCAGGACCAGAAATCCTAAGCTTGTCACATTGTGTCTGGACTCATTAATAAAAAGGTATTGTTTTAAGCTACTAAATTTGTGACAATTTGTCATATAACAATAGAAAACTAATACACATCATTTATAATATAGCTTATTTAAAAGCAAGAGTTATTCTTAGGAGCTAATGAAAAAAATAATATGTATGCTTCTGATATTAAATATCCATAGGTCTTGTAGCATACAAGTGCTACGTATCTTTATAGTACAATCATGATTACAAGTATGGTAAGTAGTTTAGTGAAATACTTTGTTGAACTGTGGTTATTTTAAACTAATCACTTGGATTTTGATAGTCAAAATAAACATTTCTGCTTGTTTATAAAAATGACATGAAATACCTTCTATATTTGTACATGCTGTTTTGCATATTTTTTCTCTAACCCAATAATTTTTAAAGCTATTTCAATTCTCCAAATGTTTTAAGGTAAATACTATTACTTTTTCATGTCATTGTGGCAGAACTTGCTTCTATGTAATCCTACTTTATCCATGACATGTCTTTGATGATTCATCCAGTTGACAAGTTACTGTCTGCTTTTAAGCTCTTTAGTTTGCATCAACATTGAGATGAAATGAGACTTGAACAAGCTGTACCATCGAAACAAAATAACATACAATCATTGTATTGTTAAAAAAATAAAGCTTTGTAATGGACAAAAATAGCTAATGGAGTAGGATCTTTGATTCAATCCTTGATTTTCTCACAGAATGTTCAGAATTAACTTAAATATCCTTTGTCCAATGACTTTAGCCTATAATTAAAAACAGAGAGCTCATCTTTGTTATATAATGTTTTACAGCTATATTAAAATATATTATGATTATATGTATATAATGAAATTGTCAACAATGGTTGAGTCCTGTAATTGTGAACTAAATTCAAGAAAGCTGCCTTGAAGATGAGAACTAACAGTGTCTTCATTTTGATTAGCTTACCTTTTCAAGTGTTCTGCTAGAAACCTCTATCACACAAATAGAAGCAATAACTTTATTGTCATCACTATAGCAACTGCAGAAAAATTTATTTCAAAACAGTTGGCTACCAGAAATTTTTTTCAGGATGGAAACAAGAGTAGATGATATACAATGGTTTAATTCATTTTACAAAAATGTTCTAAACTACTACTGTGATCTAAACTACTGCACTTTCTTTTATAATGGCAATATAGTCCAGTTGCTTTGTGAATTTTTATTTAAACAATAAGAGATCAAACACATATCCATGTATGTGTTTAAGTTAATTTTAATTTTCTTTATGAATTAGTGTTCAGCATCTCTTGCATTTTTGAGGACAGCTTACAAAATTTTGTAAGAAGTAGTTTTACATTGATCATTCCAAATTTTAGTAGGTAATTATACTATTTTCTGTGAATTATAATATTTAAATAGAAAACATTTCATCATATATCAATATGCATTAAAAATTGAAAATAAATTAACACTCTCTTCTCTGCTTTTTACCAAAATAATCACAAATTTAAAGCTAGTTTATTGAATATTTTGTGCTCTCTTAAATTCCGATGCAGGAAAATGCTCTTGTTCTTCATATATATTTTGTATTTCTCTCAATTTTATCATGAACTTGCATGGTTCAAAGTTGCTGACAATCTGTATTTAAAATAAGATGATCATATAGTAGGGCTGCCTAGGCAATTTGTAACCTTTATATCTTTGCTGGAGACAGAGTTCTGAGAACTTCGTTTATAATGGCCTTTTAAAAATGCTTTTCTCGACTGATAGGACTTACTTTTTAAGTATTCTTCTCCTACTTTAACTGAAAAAGACCAAGATAAGAATTCAAGATTTCCTGAAATGCATTCTTATGCATGGACTATGCACATTTATAAGGTAGCATGGCTACCTTTAGGCTTCCCATAAAGTTTTCTACTGATGACCAACGAGATGAGTCCTCTGGAAAATGAAGGGAAATTGGGTGCTTTACCAAACCAATCACGATATGAATCTAAGCTTTTATAATCTTTGTGTGAATTCTACTCTTGTTAAGACTGAAGAATTAAATCTTTTAAATGTGTAAGATTATGCATAAAAGAACAATAAAAGATAAAGTTAATACAAGGCTTGTAGTAAACCATTACATAATTAAAATAATTCATAGATTATTTTTTAAAAAGCTCTTGGTGCTTTAAAATCTAAAGGGATTTTCGTTGTTCATTATTTTCCTTTACTGCAGAATCAGTTGAACAAAACATTTAAAACATACATATTTATATTATAGGTATAAGTTCAATATTATGTTGAGCTGCTGAGAAAGACTAATTAGATATTGTTAGCAATACATTTTGAAAACGTTTCCACAAAGAGTCTTGTTCAGTCAAAAGTATTTCTTATAAATACTTTTTCAATAAAGTTATCATATCTATGCTATGGATAATTGCCATCAATATTCTTTGGATCAAATGAGCTATAATGTAAATTGTTGACCTAATGACATATAGAACTATTAAAAATATTTTTGACCTTGAATATATTTTTTATTTAAAGAATCTTTCCCCTTCTAATTAGTAAGAATATTGTGATGATATTAGCCTTTTGATAATTATATTATTTATATTACCACATGAAAATGGTTTCCTATCATGGCAATAAAAGGTAGTGTATATATAAAAAAATCCCTCAATTTTTAAACATGTGAACATGATAACATACATATTTACCTCAAAAGTCAGATGTTTCTTCACTAAAAATATATTTTTTATTTTAAACTGATTTAACATAAATTGTTTTGTTTAAAAGTTAACAAAATTTTGGAGGCTACCAGTAGATGGCATTCTGGTTTCTGAGGAAATGTTTATTTAGGGATAGGCTCTTTTCTTTGGGAAAAGAAAAAACAAACATAGAAACTTGTGACAATAGGATTCTTATTGAAAAAGTTATTATTAGAGCTTCCTGAAAAATCTGTAGCCATTCCAAAAACAGGTAAGTCTCAAACCATGTTTCCTTTATTAATTTAGTTTACCAAACTCAGTCAGTTTGTTAACACTCGAAGTTGTGATTTGGAAGCTCTCGTGCAATTTTATTGAATAAAAATATAATGCTGTGGTAATTTTTAAAACAAACTAGAGAAATAGTGTGTTGGCTTCATTCAAAGCAGTATAATCAATAATCAACTTATACTAAGAACCATTTTATAGCCTACTGGCACAAATTTATTCATATTAGCATCATTTAGTCATGGATGAACATGTGATCCAATTTTCCTTCAAATTAACTTATTCCAAATAATAAACATAATCTAATGTAGCTTCCTGCACATAACAGATAATTGTTAGGTATTTTTTAAATTAATGAATTAATTAAAAAGTGCACCTGTCTGGGCGCAGTGGCTTATGCCTGTAATCCCAGCACTTTGGGAGGCCAAGGCGGGCGGATCACGAGGTCAGGCGTTTGAGACCAGCCTGGCCAACATGGTGAAACACCGTCTCTACTAAAAATAGAAAAATTAGCCGGGCGTGGTGGGATGCGCCTGTAATTCCAGCTACTTAGGAGGCTGAGACAGGAGAATTGCCTGAACCTGGGAGGCGGAGGTTGCAGTGAGCTGAGATCCGGCCAGTGCACTCCAGCCTGGGCGACAGAGCGAGCCTCTGTCTCAGGAAAAAAAAAAAAAAGGTGCACCTATCATTCCTTAAGATACTATTATTTCTTGATTTATTTGTAAAAGTACATAAAGTGAAGGTCCTCAAAAATTGTGTTATAAGAACCTCGAATGTCCAGTGTGGAGGATAGTCCTCTACTATTTGCCAAGAAGCCTTTCATTAATTGTTAGGTTACTTAAGAGGTCATTCAATGAATGCTAAATATATAGCTCCTCTCTATAACATTATCCTGAATAGCTGCATGTTTATTTTAATCCTGGGTTAGGAGAGGCATTAAAACCTCATGATCACTGAAAAACAAAACAAAACCAAAAAAACACAAAAAACAAGAACTGCAATAACTGTTTCTAACATTCTTACAAATAATCAAGAAGCCAAACATATTTAAAGCCACTCAGATTATCTTTTAGCAAATATGACAAAAGAATAAAAAAACTTAAACAAATTAAAAGTGCAATAAAGATCCATGTGGGTGATCATTTAGAGAGCAACCAATTTCCAAACACTGTTTTCATTACTTTCAATTTACCAACAAATAACTAACATAAAAATTATAAGTTTTCTTCTTATTAAACCCGTCCTCCTTAGGAATGTAAAATAGAGTACTTCGATAGTTTATATGTACTGGGTAATTAAAAATGAATTAAAGTCTATTTTTCCAAAAATCTAGATTTTGTATTAATTCTCACCATCTTTCCTTCATTGATCTAATAGGATAAGTTTCTATTGAAATAAGGCACAAATAATATTCCATGTGAGAAGGAATAATTAATCTTTTTTAATACTTTAGAATTTCTGGCTATGGTTTCTAAAACTATCGATTTTTCAGTTACTATTAGATTCTTCCACTACAGAAAGTTGAGAAGCATGGACATTTCTGGCTGTCTGTACAATTCAAAATGGCAGGTACCTTGCTATTATAAACAAGAAACTATATAGAACATGATTATTTTTATCTACATAGTGTCATCAAGTTTATCTATTCTTGATGGCCTTGCTTAAAAGCCATCTTCAAAAATCCCTCTCTGATATTCTCAATCAGAAATTGCATTTCTCACTTCTCAATTCTCAGCATTTTATGCCAATTTTTGATATAGTTCTGTTTCTTATTTTTTTTTTTTTGCATTTTGTTCATATATGTTTTCTATATTCCCTATGCAATAAGTTCTTTGGAGGAAAGTCCATTATTGTATCTCCCACAAGGGCTACAAAACTGTGTTTCATGTACTAGGCACTAAACAATCATTTTCAAGTTTACAATAGAGACTAGTGTAATAAGCACAATAAATGCTTTTTGAATTAAGACTATGAAATCAATATGAATAAGATGAATAAAAGAATGGATAAATCAATGATTATAATAGCTTATAAGGGAATAACAAAAAATATACTTATTTCTTGGGGAATGACAAATTTAGGCTAGTGTTTTGTATTTTGGAAATTAGCGTGATTTTTTCCAGTGGATTTTGTTTTATTCTAGATGACATTTAAAACTGTGAATGCCCATTTAGAATTACTGGGAGCATATAAACAATATTAGTTCTAATTCTAGCCAGGCGTGGTGGCTCATGCCTGTAATCCCAGCACTTTGGGAGGCCGAGGTGGGCGGATCACGAGGTCAGGAGATCGAGACCATCCTGGCTAATACGGTGAAACCCGTCTCTACTAAAAATACAAAAAAACAAAACAAAACAAAAAAAATTAGCCGGGCATGGTAGCGGGTGCCTGTAGTCCCAGCTACTCCGGAGGCTGAGGTAGGAGAATGGCATGAACCTGGGAGGCAGAGCTTGCAGTGAGCCGAGATCGCACCACTGCACTCCAGCCTGGGCAACAGAGCGAGACTCTGTCGCAAAAAAAAAAAAAAAAAAAAAAAAAAAAAGTTAATTAGTTCTAATTTTTTTACAACTTTTTAAGTGCACAATACTGTATTATTAATTATAGGCACTATGTTGTTCAGGGAATCTCTAGAACTTATTCATCTTGCATAAGTGAAACTTTATACCCATAGAGCAATAATTCTCCTTCATGTAAGTGCTCTTAAAACACACACACACACACACACACACACACACACACCACCCACAGAGGGCCACAAGGAAACTTTTGGAGTTGATAGATATTTTTACTACCCTGATTATGGTGACAACATTATGGGTGTATGTATATGACCAAACTTATCAGATTATTTACATTAAATATGGAAAAATTTTATATATCAATTATGCATCAACAAAGCTGTTTAAAAAATTACAAGTTTAATGTATACAATTTGATGAGTTTCGACATATACATATACTCATGAAAATGTCTATTACCTTGGTTGTGATAATGACTTCATGTAATTTAATTTTTTTATTTTGGTAAAATACACATAACATAAATTTACCATCTTAATAATGTTTAGATGTACACTTTAGTGGTATTTAATACATTCGTACTGTATTCGTAGTTTTGATTTGCATTTTCCCAATGATTAAGAATGTTCAGTATGTTTTAATGTGCTTGCTGACTATATTTATATATTCTGTGAAGAAAAACCTATTTATGTCCTTTGTCCATTTTTAAATTATGTTTTTAGTTTGTTTTTTGTTGTTGTTGTTGTTGTTGTTGTTATTGAGTTTTAGGCATTTCCTACAAATTCTGGACATTAATCTTTTATCAGATTTATGATTTGCAATACTTTCTCCCAATCTGTGGGTTTCCTGTTTACTGCTCGTAGTGTCTTTTAGTACCTACATTTAAAAATTGTTCAGAGTCTGGTTTATTTTTTCTTTTATTGCCTGTGTCTTAGGTGTCATATTCAAGAAATCATTGCCAAATCCAGTGTCATAAAGTTTTCTTCTAAGAGTTGTATTGCCTCAGGTCTAACAATAGGTCTTCGATTCCTTTGAGTTCCTTTTTGCATATGATGTTGGGTAACTTGTAATTTTGCATGTGGCCATTTACAAATTGTTGAAAATATTGTTCCTTCCTCATGGAATGGTCTGGCACCCTTGTCAAAATAATTTGACCATATATGCCAACATTTATTTCTGGGCTTTTCTTACTCCTTTTATTATGCTATAACAAAATATTTGACAGTGGGTAATTTATAAACAATGGAAATTTATATCTCACAGTGCTGGAGCCTGGAAGTCCAGTATCAAGGCACAGGCAGGTTCAGTGTCTGGTGAAGGCCCAGTCTGTCTGCTTCCAACGTGGTGCCTTATCGCCATATCCTTACAGGGTGGAAGGCAGAAGAGCAAGAGGGGCAAATTCTTTTTGAAGCCTCTTTTATAATAGAATTAATTTATTCATGAGAACAGAGTCCTCTTGGCTTAATCACTTCCCAAAAGGCCCCTCCTCTTAATACCACCACAGGGGAAGATTAAGTTTGAACATAAATTTTGGAGAGGACACATATTCAAACCATACTATTACTCCCCCGGCCCCCACAAATTCATGTTCTTCTCACATTAAAAATGCATTTATTCCATCCCAATAACCCCAAAAGTCTAAACTTACCTAGCATCAACTTTACAGTCTAAGTCCAAAGTTTCATCTAAATATCATTCAAGTCAGATATGGGTGAGACTCAAGGCATGAGTCATCCAGAGGTAAATTTCTCACCAGCTGTCAGCCTGTGAAATCAAACAAGTTATGTGCTTCAAAAATACAACTATGGGACAGGCAGAGGATAGACATTCTTATTCCAAACTGGAGCAATAGGAAAGTAGAAAGGAATAACAGGTCCCAAGTAAGTTTAAAACTCAATGAGGCAAATAATGTTAAATCATGAGGACTGAGAATAATGCTGTCTCCCTGTTACACCCTCTGAATACATTGAGATGGGGATTGGATCCCTAAATCTCTGAGAAACCCCCCTTTCACAGCTTTGCTGGCTGCAACTCTCATGCATTGAAGTTACATGCTTTGGTTTTCCCAGGTTAAAGTTGCACACTGGTGGGATTACCCTTCTGGGGTCTTGGGGGTGGCCATGACCCCGTAACTCTATTAGGCAATACCTTTATAGGGCTCTCTGCAGTGGCCCAAACACTACAACTCTACTGAGAATTGCTCCTGTGACGACTGTGGGTGTTAGTCCATACCCCATTTCTCCACTAGGCATTGTCCTAGTGGGGACGCTATGACAGCCTCACCCTGTGGCAGTTCTCTACCTGGGCTACAGGGATCACCAAGGCATTCTTTAAAATCTAGGTAGAAGAAGGCAGCTTCCACAGCTCTTGCACTCTGTGCACATGCTTAGTTAGCACTATGTGAATGCCACCAAGAGTTACTGCTTGTGCTCTCTGGAGAAGTAGGCTGAGCTGCACCTGGGCACTCTTGAGCTAGGATGGCCAAGGAGTGCTTCACTGGAATGTGGGAAGTAAAGACTTGTGGCACTGGACAGAAAGGCCTAAGGTCCCAATGGCACCCTGTACCACTCCCTTGAAACTCTTCTGTCCTTAGTACTCCTGGACTGTGATGAGCATAGCAGCCTCAAAGATCTCCAAAATGCTTTCAGAATTATCCTCCCATTGTCTTGATCAGTAGCATCTGGCTTCCTTGTATCCAGACTAATCTTTTTTTCACATAGTCACTTAGCTGTACCCTTGGTTTTCTCTCCTAAACATGTTTTAAAAAATTCTTATGTAGCTAGGCTGAGAATTTTCCAAATTTCCATGTTCTGTTTCTCTTCTTATTATAAATTCTATGTTTAATTTATTTATCTTTTCTCACATTCTACTATAAGCAGTTAAGAGAAGCCATGCAGCACTCTGGACACTTTGCTTAGAGATTTCTCCTGCCAAATACCCTAGTTCATCACTCTTAAATCCTGCCTTCCAGAAAGCATTAGAACACAGACAAAATTCAGCCAAGTTCTTTGCCACTTTGTAACAAGAATGGACTTCTTTCCAGTTTTCAATGAGATTTTCCTCATTTTGATCTAATACCTCATCAGAACAGCTTTTATTTTATTTTATTTAAATTTCAATAGTTTTTGGGGAACAGGTGGTGTTTGGTTCCATGACTAAGTTCTTTAGTGGTGATTTTTGAGATTTTGGTGCACTTGTCACCTGAGCAGTGTATGCTGTACCCAATGTGTAGTCTTTTATCCCTTACCCCTCCACACACCTCCCCACAAGTCCCCAAAGTCCATTGTATCGTTCTTAAGCCTTTGCATCCTCATAGCTTAGTTCCCACTTATAAGTGAGAACATATGAGTTTTGATTTTCCATTCCTGAGTTACTTCACTTAGAATAATGGTCTCCAACTCCATCCAGGTTGCTGCAAATGCCATTATTTTGTTCCTTTTTATGGCTGAATGGTATTCCATGGTATATATATTTACGAAGTTTTCTTAATCCATTTCTTGGTTTATGGACATTTAGGTGGATTCCATATATTTGCAATTGCAAATTGTGCTGTTATAAACATGCGTGTGCAAGTGTCTTTTTCATATAATGACTTCTATTCCTCTGGGTAGATACTCAGTAGTGGGACTGTTGGATCAAATAGTAGTTCTACTTTTATTAAATAATTCTTTAAGGAATCTCCATACTGTTATTCATAGTGGTTGTACTAGTTTACATTCCCAGCAGCGGTGTAAAAGTGTTCCCTTTCACCACATTATTACCACCATCTGTTATTTTTTGATTTTTTAATTATGGACATTCTTGCAGGAGTAAGGTGGTATTTCATTGTGGTTTTGACTTGCATTTTCTTGATAATTAGTCATATTGAGCATTTTAAAAATACATTTGTTGACTATTTGTATATCTTCTTTTGAGAATTATCTATTCATGTCCTTTGCCCACTTTTTGATGGGATTATTTGTTATTTTTCTGCTGATGTTTTTGAGTTCTTTGTAGATTCTGGATATTGGTCCTTTGTCAGATGCATAGTTTGTGAATATTTTGTCTCACTCTGTAGGTTGTCTGTTTACTTTGCTGATTATTTCTTTTGCTCTGCAGAAGCTTTTTAATTTAATTACGTCCCATCTATTAATCTTTGTTTTGGTTGCAGTTGCTTTTGGGTTATTGGTCATGAAGGCTTTGCCTAAGCCAATGTCTACAAGAGTTTTTCCAATGTTATATTTTAGAATTTTTGTGGTTTCAGGTCTTAGAACTAAGTCTTTCATCCATCTTGAGTTGATTTTTTGTATAAGGTGAGAGATGAGAATCCAGCTTCATTCTTCTGCATGTAGCTAGCCAGTTATCCAAGCACCATTTGTTAAATAGTTTCCTCACTTTACGTTTTTGTTTGCTTTGTCAAAGATCAGTTGGGTGTAAATATTTGGCTTTATTTCTGGGTTCTGTATTCTGTTCCATTGGTCTGCCTGCCTATTTTTATACTAGTGCCATTCTATTTTGGTAACTATTGCCTTGTAGTACACTTTGGAGTCAGGTAATGTGATGCCTCCAGATTATTTTTTTCTGCTTAGTCTTGTTTTGGCTTTGTAGGTTCTTTTTTGGATCCATATGAATTTTAGAATTGGTTTTTCTAGTTCAGTGAAGAATGATGATGGTATTTTGGTGGGAATTGCACTGAATCTTTAGATTGCTTTTGGCAATATGATCCTTTTCACAATATTGATTCTACCCATCCATGAGCATGGGATGTGTTTTCATCTGTTTGTGTTGTTTATGATTTATTTCAGCAGTGTTTTGTAGCTTTCCTTGTAGAGATATTTTACCTCCTTGGTTAGGTATTGTATTTAGTCAGTTTTCACACTGCTATTAAGAATACTACCTGAGACTGTGTAATTATAAAGGAAAGAAGTTTAATTGACTCACAGTTCCATAGGCTTAACAGGAAGCATTGCTAGGAGGCCTCAGGAAACTTACAGTTGTGGCAGAAGGTGAAAGAGAATCAGGCACCTTCTTCCATGTATTTATATAGCTTTGAGGGTTCCTTATGGAGTTAATTTACAGTTTAATTTTACTATGGTATGAGAGAGTACTTGATATAATTTCAATTTATCTTGTCTGATTGCTCTGGCTAGGACTTCCAGTACTATGTTGAATGGCAGTGGTGAAAGTTGTCATCTTTGTCTTGTTCCATTCTCAGAGAAAATGCTTTCAACTGTTCTCCATTCAGTGTAATGTTGGCTGTGGGTTTGTGATAGACGGCTTTTATTACTTTGAGTTATGTCCCTTCTATGCTGATTTTTCTGAGGGTTTTAATCATAAAGGGATGACAGATTTTGTCAAATGATTTTAATGCATCTATTGAGATGATCACATGATTTTTGTTTTTAATTCTGTTTATGTGATGTATGACAATTATTTACTCATGTATGTTAAACTATCCCTGCATTCCTGACATGAAACTCACTTGGTTATAGTTATTATCTTTTTATATGCAGTTGGATTTGGTTCACTAGTATTTTTTGAGGATTTTTACATCTATGTTCGTTAGAAATATTGGTCTGTAGTATTCTTTTTCTGTTATGTCCTGTCTTGGTTTTGGTATTAGGGTGATACTGGCTACATAGAATAATTTAGGGGACATTCTCTCTTTTTCTGTCTTTTGGAATAGATTCAGTAAGATTGGTACCAAATCTTCTTGGAATGCCTGATAGAATTAAGCTGTGAATCTGAAACCATCTGGTCCTGGACTCTTTTTTATTGTTGTTGGCATTTTTTATTTAATTACTATTTCAAGCTTGCTACTTGCAATTGGCCTGTTTAGTTTCTATTTATTTCTGATTTAATCTAGGAGGGTTGTATATATCCACGAATTTATCCATCTCTTCTAGATTTTATAGTTTGTGCATGTAAGGGAGTTCATAGGAGCCTTGAATGATTGTATTTCTGTGGTATTGGTTGTAATATCTCCTGTTCTGTTTCTAACTGAGCTTAATCAGATCTTCTCTCTTCTTTGTTAATACGGCTAATGGTCTATCAATTTTACTTATATTTTCAAAGAACCAACTTTTAATTTTATTTATATTTTGTATTTATGTCAATTTCATTTAGTTCTGCTTTGATCTTTGTTATTTCTTTTCTATTGCTGGGTTTGGGTTTGGTTTATTCTTGTTTTTCTAGTTTCTTGAGGTGTGACCTTTAATTGTCTATTTGTGCTTTTTCAGACTTTTTGATGTAGGCATTTAATGCTATGCACTTTTCTCTTAGCATTGCTTTTGCTGTATCCCAGAGGTTTTGTAAGTTGTGTCACTAATATTGTTCAGTTCAAAGAATTTTTAAATTTCCATCTTGATTTCATTGTTGACCCAATGATAACTCAGAAGCAGGTTATTTAATTTCCATGTATATATATAGATTTGAGGGTTCTTTTTGGAGTTAATTTCCAGTTTAATTTTACTGTGGTGTGATAGGATACTTGATATAATTTCAATTTTCTTAAATTTATTGAGATTTGTTTTGTGGCCTGTCATATGGTCTATCTTAGAGAATGTTCCATGTACTTACAAAAATAATGTATATTCTGCTGTTGTTGGGTAGCACGCTCTGTAAATACCTAAGTCCATTTGTTCTAAGGCATAAAGTCCATTGTTTCTTTGTTCACTTTCTGTCTTGATGGTCTGTCCAGTGCTGTCAGTGAAGTATTGAAGCCTTCCATTATTATCGTGTTGCCTTGTATCTTATTTCATAGGCCTAATAATAATTATTTTATAAATCTGGGATATCCAGTGTTAGGTGCATATATATTTATAATTGCATTTTCCTGTTGGACTGCTCTTTTTATTATTATGTAATGTCCCTCTTTGACTTTTTTTAACTGTTGTTGCTTTAAAGTCTGTTTTGTCTTATATAACAATAGCTACTCCTTCTTGCTTTTGGTTTCCATTTGCATGGAATGTTGTTATTCACCCCTTTACCTAACACTTATGTGAGTCTTAAGCGCTTGATGAGTCTTTTGAAGACAGATACTTTGAAGATACTTGATTGTTGGATTTTCTTTTTCCCCATTCTGCCATTCTGTATCTTTTAAGTGGAGCATTTAGGCCATTTACATTCGACATTAGTATTGAGATGTAAGGCACTGTTTTATTCATTATGTTAGTTGTTGCCTGAATACTTTGTGATTCTTTATTGTGTTATTGTTTTACAGGTCATGTGAGATTTATGCTTTAAGGAGATTTTGTTTTAGTATATTTTGAGGTTTTGTTTCAAGATTTAGAACTCTTTTTAGCATTTCTTGTAGTGCTGGCTTCATAGTGGTGAATTCCCTCAGAATTTGTCTAAAAAAGACTATCTCTCATTCACTAACGAAGCTTAGTTTTTCTGGATACAAAATTCTTGGCTAATAATTATTTCATTTGAGGAGGCTAAAGATAAGAACCCAATACCTTCTGGCCTGTAGTATTTCTGCTAAGAAGTCTGCTGTTAATCTGATAGGTTTTCCTTTATAGGTTACCTGATGCTTTTTCCTCACATGTCAATATTCTTTTCATCGTCTTGACTTTAGATATCCTGATGACTGCGTGCCTAGGCAATGATCTTTTTGTGATGAATTTCCCAGGTGTTCTTTGAGCTTCTCGTATTTGGATGTCTAGATCTCTAGCAAGGACAGGGACATTTTCCTCAATTATTCCCTGAAATAATATTTCCAAACGTTTAGATTTCTCTTCTTCCTCAGGAACACCAATTATTCTTAAGTGTGGCCATTTATCATAATTCCAATTTTTTTGGAGGCTTTATCTAGTTATTTAAATTCTCTTTTCTTTGCCTTTGTCTAATTGGGTTAATTCAAAAGCCTTGTCTTCAAGCTCTGAAGTTCTTTTTCCACTTTTTCTAGTCTATTGTTGACACTTTCCAGTGCATTTTGTATTTCTCTAGGTGTGTCTTTCACTTTCAGAATTTGTGATTGTTTTTTCATTATGATACCTATTTCTCTGGAGAATTTTTCATCCATATTCTCTATTATTTTTTAATTTCTTTAAGTTAATTTTCACTTCTCTCAGGTATTTCATTGAGTAGCTTAATAATCAACCTTCTGAATTCTTTATCTGGCAATTCAGAGATTTCTTTTTGGTTGGATCCATTGCCGGGAAGCTAGTGTGGTCTTTTGGGGGTGTTATAGAATCTTGTTTTGTCATATTATCAGAATTACTTTTCTGATTCCTTCTTATTTGGGTAGTCTATTTCAGTGGAAAAATCTGGAACTCAGGGGCTGCTGTTCAAATTATTTTATCCCTTGGGGTGATCCCTTGATGTGGTGCTCTCCCCCTTCCCCTAGGGATGGGGCTTCTTGAGAGCCAACTCCAGTGATTTTTATTGCTCTTCTGGGTCTAGCCACCCAGCAAGGCTACTGGCCTCTGGGTTGGTGCTGGGAAAGTCTGCGAAGAGTCCTGTAATATGATCCATCTTCAGGTCTCCCAGCCCTGGATACCAGCACCTCTTCTGGTGGAGGTGGCAGTAGACTCTGTGAGAGTCCTTAGTTGTAGATTTGTTTAGTGTGCTGGCTTTCTTGAATGCTGGTTATGCTAGCAGTGAAGTTGTTATGTGGACAGACTCAGGACTTCTGGTTAGCCAAGGAATAGCTGTTATTTTCTTCTTGCTTTGACCAGGGTTATTCTGTCATGAATTGCTGTAATGTCCTGAGTTGGTTGACCTCCAGCTAGGAGGTGGTGTTTTCAAGAGAGCACCAGCTATGATGGTAAAGGGGATAAAAGCCACCCTAAATTGACGAGGGTAGGTATTCAGGTTTCTCAGGTGATGGGCAGGGCCATGAAGTTCCCAAGAGTTTATTTCTTTTGTGATTGGCTACCGGGGCGGGTAGCAAAAAACCATTAGGTCGGGCGAGAATTAGGTAGGTCTGAGCTCAGACTTTCCTTAGGTGGGGCTTGCTGTGGCCACTATGGGTAATGGGGGTGGTTTTCAGGCCAAAAAGTTTACGTTCCAGAGGGGATTATGGCTGTCCCTGTCACCAGGGAAGTGGGAGAAAGCCGGTAGTGATAGGCCTCATCCAACGCTCACACAGCTGGTGAAGTTGGTTTCACTCCCACTGTGCCCTGTTAACAAAGCTGAATTGATCTCCAGGCAGCCTGCACATGGATCTCAGACCTTGATCCAGGCAATAAGCTTCCCCACCGAGAAAGCAAGCACAGCCATCAGATGTTGCCCCTCCCTGCCTGCCCACACTGTTGGCTGTAGCTCCTGCACGCTTTTCTGTAGCAGTTCCTGTTCACCCCCTAGATTCAAGAGAGTTTGACCTGAGTTGAAATTATTGCAAAGTTCAGTTGGAATGTTCTTTCACCCTGTGACCCATCCCAAATTCCACCAGATGCCTTATCCAAGGGACCCTGTGAAATATAGTCAGGGATGGCTTCTCTGGGCTTGAGCTGGAGAATGAGTGCCTACAAAGCTCTTCTCGCTGCTACTTCTACTTTTATATTCCTCACTAAATGTATTTCAAATCTAGGTAAGGTTAAATCCTTCTTCCATAATCTGGATGTTCAGGTTCTTCAGTGGGCATGTGTGTTCAGAGGTAAGATTTTCCCCCTTACATTTTGGGAACTCACAGTTTTTCATCTGTTTTGTGGAATTTTTTTTTTTTTTTTTTTTTTGACAGAGTCTGGCTCTGTTGCCCAGGCTGGAGTGCAGTGGTGGGATCTCGGCTCACTGCAAGCTCCGCCTCCTGGGTTCACGCCATTCTCCTGCCTCAGCCTCCCTTGTAGCTGGGACTACAGGCGCCCCCCACCACACCCGGCTAATTTTTTTTGTATTTTTAGTAGATATGGGGTTTCACCATGTTAGCCAGGATGGTCTCAATCTCCTAACCTCATGATCCACCCACCTCAGGCTTCCAAAGTGCTGGGATCACAGGTGTGAGCCACTGCACCCGGCCTGTTTTGTGGAATTTTTCTGTGGTGTACCACTTCTTTCAAAGGATCTGTGAATCCTTTAGGTTTTCCTGATACATTCCTGCAGTGGTTCTTAGAGCAAAAGTTCATGGTGTGAATCTCCACATGCTGTTCTGTCGATCAGAGTGGGAGCTGCACATTAGTCCTGTCTGCTATCCACTATCTTCCCAGGTCTCCCAGAATGGCTTTTACTAAGCATATTTCTACAAACATTCTGTTCACAACCATTTAGATAATGTCCAAGGATGAATACGGCTCCCTTGTTCTGAGCCCTCACCATAATTACCCTTAATTATTCATTCATGACAATACAAGCTTTTTCCAGCATTCATGTCAAAATTCTACCCATTACCCAGTTCCAAAGCAGCTTTCACATTTCCCAGTATTTATTATAGCAACACTCCTACTTCATTTCTTTGTCTATGTGTGATGCTGTAACAAAACACCTCCTAGAAAAAGAAGAAGAGAGGTGAACTCTCTGAAGCCTCTTTTATAAGGGCTTCAGTTCATTCAAAGGGTGAGGTTCTCAACTTATTGACTGCCCCAAAAGAAACTACCACTTTACACCACCACAATAAGGATTATGTTTCAACATAGATTTTGGAAGGGACATACATTCAAACCATAACAGAGCTCTTTGTTCTATTCTATTGGCCTATATATCTGTCCTGATGTCAGTACCATACTGTTTTGATTATTGTAGTTTTGTAATAAGTTCGGAAATCAGAAAGTGTGTATCCTTCATCTTTGTCCTTATTCAAAATTGTTTTGGCTATTTTGGGTCCCTTGAGATTCCATATAAATTTTAAGAAGGGTTTTTCTATCTCTGCAAAAATTATCACTGGGATTGCATTGATTCCATAGATTGCTTTGAGTAGTATGGTCATTTAAACAATATTAAGTCTTCCAATCTATGAACATGAAATGTGTTCCCACTTATTTGGTCTTAATTTTATTTGCAGTAATGTTTTGTAGTTTTCATTGATGTCTTTCCCTTTCTTGGTTAATTCCTAAGTGTTTTCTTATTTTGAATGCCATTTCAAATGGAACTGTTTTCTTAATTTCATTTTCAAATTGTTTACTGTTAGTATGTAGAAATGCAACAAATTTTTGTGCATTTGTTTTGTATCTTGATTCTTTGCTGAATTCAATTATTAGCTTTGATAGTATTTTTGTGGTATTTTAGGGTTTTCTATATATAAGATCATATCACCTATGAACAAAGATAGTGCTAACACTTTATTTTCAAGTTAGATCCCTTTGTGTTTTTTCACTTATCTAATTGTTTGGCTATAACTTCTAGTGCTATGTTGAGTGGAAGTGGTGAAAGAAGGCATCCAGATCTTAGATCATTTTCCTGATCTTAGAGGAATTTTTCACTGTTAAGTACAGATTATTTCTAATCCAAAAATTTAAAATCCAAAATGCTCTAAAATATGAAAATTTTTGAGTGCCAGCATGACACTCAAAGAAAATGCTCACTGGAGCATTTCAGATCTTAAGTTTTACGATTAGGGATAATCAACCTAAGTATAATGAAAATATTCTCAAATCCTAAACACTTCTTTTTCCAAGCATCTCAAATAAGGGATACTCCATCTGTATGTTTGCTGTGAATTTTTCATACATGGCTTTTATTATGCTCAGGTAGTATCCTTCTATTCCCATTTTGTTGAATGTTTTTGTCATTAAAAGGTCCTAAATTTTGTCAAGTGCTTTTTCTTCATCAATTGAGATAATCGTTTTTTTCTTTGCTCTTATAATGTGGTGTATTACATTGATTTTCAGATGATGAACCATCTTTGTATTTCAGAAATAAGTCCCACTTGGTCATAGTGTATAATTCTTTTAATATGCTGCTGAATTCAGTTTGCTAGTATCTTGTTGATAAGATATATTTGTCTGTAGTTTTCTTTTCTCATGGTGTCTTTTTCATCTTTTTCCGGCTTTGGTATCTGAGTAATGCTGGCCTTATACAATGAGGAAGTGTTCTTTCCTCTTAAAATTTGGGAAAAGTTAGTGAATTGTTGATATTAGTTCTTCTATAAATATTTGGTAGAATTTACCCATGAAGCCATAAGGCCTGGGGCCTTTATTTGTCTTGAGATATTTGGTTACCAATTCAATATCCTTACTAGTTACAGGTCTATTCAGGTTTTCCATTTCCTTGTGATTTGGTATTGGTGGGTTTTGTCTTTCTAGGAATTTGTCCATTTCATCTTGATTATCCAATTTGTTTGCGTACAATTGATCACAGTTCCCTTTTATAACTCTTTTTATTTCTGTGGAATTGGTAGTAGTGTTGCCACATTCACCTGTGATTTCAGTGAATCTTCTTTTTTCCTACTGTATTTAAATATTTGTTCATTTTATTGATCTTTTCAAAGAATTACCTTCTGGTTTCATTAAATTTTTTCTATTAGTTTTTATTCTCCTTTTTATTCCTGTCTAATTTAATCTTTATGATTTCTTTCCTTCTGCTAGCTTTGGGTTTAGTTTGTTCCTATTTTTCTAGTCCTTCAGTCACAATGTTGGGTTGTTGATTTGAGATCTTTCTTATTTATTAATGTGTAATTGTTTATATATGTAAATTTTTCCCTTAGCACTGCTTTCACTGTGTCCCATAAGTTTCAGTATGTTGTATTTTTATTCTCATTAATCTCTACATTTTTTTAAGTTTCTCATTACTTTAATTTTTAATTTATTATTATTTCTAATATGTATTTTTTATTTCAATAGCTTTTAGAGGACAAGTGGTTTTGGGTTATATGAGTGTATTTTATAGTGGTGAAGTCTGAGATTTTTTTGTGTCTGTCACTTGTGTAGTGTACATTGTACCCAATATGTAATTTTTGATTATTTATTCCCCTCACATCCTCCCCCATTCCTGAGTCTCTGATGTCTGCTCTGTATGCCTGTATACCACTTTGTATGCCTTTCAGTTCATCTCTAGTTCATCTCTAAATATTTAAAAATTTCCCTTGTGATATCTTCCTTGATGTATTGGTTGTTTAAAACATGTTGTTTAATTTCCAAAATTTTGTGAAGTTTCCAGTTTTACTTAGGTTATTGATTTCTAGTTTCATTCTATTGTGATCAGAGAAGATACTTTATGTGATATTTATCCTCAGGGTAGCCTAGTAAATAAATACAGAATACACAAAATATATAAAGAATGCAGAATATATAAAAGATATTTATCTTTTTAAACCTATTGAGACTTAATTTGTGGGCTAACATATGGGCTATTCCATAAAATGTCACATGTGCATTTGATGGTCTCTCAGTAGGTGTAAATGTTGATTATTGTTACATCTTCTTACTGTATTGAACTTCTTGTTAATATATAATATCCTCTTTGTCTCTTGTAAACATTTTAAAAGTCTATTTCGTCTATTAGTTAATATAGTTTAAATATTTTTCCCCTCCAAGTTTCATGTCAAAAATTGATTCCTAATACTGGAGGTGGGGCCTGGTCAGAGGTGTTTGGATCATGGAGGTGGATCCATCATGACTGATTTGTTGTCCTCCTGATGGTAATAAGTGAGGCCTCACTCTATTTGTTCCTGAGAGATCTGGCTGTTCAAAAGAGCCTAGCACCTCCTCCTCCTCTCTCTCTTGCCTCCTCCTCTCTCATCATGTGACACATCTGCTGTGACATCACCTTCCCCCATGAGTGGAAGCAGCCTGAGGCCCTCACCAAAAGCAGATGCTGGCACCATGCTTCCTGTACAGACTACAGAATGATGAGCCAGATAAACCTGTTTTCTTTTTAAAGTACCCAACCTCAAGTATTCCTTTATAGCAATGCAAATAAAATAATACATTAGTATAGCCACTCCTGCTCTCCTTTGGTTATTATTTGTATGAAATATTTTATTCCATTCTGTCACTTTGAGCCTGTTTGTTCTTTTACATTTAAAGTCAATTTTTTTGTAGACAGTATATAATTGGATCCATTCTGCCAATCTCTCTTTTGATTGGAGAGTTTAATTGATTAATATTTAAAGTAATCTGATAAGAAGGGACTAACTTCTGGTAATTTGTGAATTATTTTCTATATGTCTTTTTTTTTTTTGTCCCACTTTTTTTGTGTTCAGTTTTTTGTAGTGAAATGGTAGGTTTATCTATCATTTCTTTTTTGTGTATTCTGTATTTCTTATGTAGATTACCCTATGAATTACATTTAGCATCCTAAAGTTATTACACTGTAATTTAAATTTACACCAGCTTACCTTCAGTAACAGAAAAACTCTACTCCTTTACAGCTCTGCTTCTCTCTTTCAATGTCACAAAATTACGTCTTTATACATAATATGCCCCCCAAACATAAACTAATAATTC
This sequence comes from Homo sapiens, assembly GCF_000001405.40. Classification (NCBI taxonomy): domain Eukaryota; kingdom Metazoa; phylum Chordata; class Mammalia; order Primates; family Hominidae; genus Homo; species Homo sapiens. The sequence continues at coordinate 76,095,226 of NC_000008.11, forward strand.
TTTTTAATGCATTAGTCTCTTAAATCATATAGAAAACAAAAAGTGAAGTAATAAACCATAGTTATTATAATACTAACTTTTATATTTGCCCATTACTTACCCTTATTAAGATATTTATTTCTTCATGCAGCTCCTAGTTACTGTCTAGTGCTCTTTCATTTCACCTTGCAGATTCCCTTAAATATTTCCTACAGGGTAGGTCTAGTGGTAAGAAACATTTTCAGCTTTTGCTTATCTGGAAACATTTTAATTTATCCTTTACTTTTGAAGGATGGTTTTCTCATATATGGAATCCTTGGTCAATAATTTTTTACACTGGCACTGAATACATCAACTCCCTTCTGGTCTCTGAAGTTTCTGATGAGAAATCTACTGTTAATCTTATTGTGGATAACTTGTTTGTGGTGAGGTGCCTCTCTCTTGCTGCTTTCAGAATTATCTATTTGTCTTTATCTGGTGACAATTTGACTATAACGTGTCTCAGTGTGTTTCTCTTTGAGTTCATCTTACTTGGTGTTTGTTAAGTTTCTTGGATGTGTATATTCATGTCTTTCGTCAGATTTGGGAAGTTTTCAGCCATGAAACTATCAAATATCTATCTATCCCTTTTTCTCTTTTCCTTCTGGAATCCTCACAGTGCATAAGTGGGTCTGCTTAATGGTGTCCCACAGGTCATTTAGGCTTTGTTCATTTTTTTTCAGTGTTTTTCCTTTCTGATCTCAGGCTTAATAATTTTCATTGTCTTATCTTTAAGTTTGCTAGTTCTTTCTTCTGTCTTCTTCTCAAATTTACCTTTGAATTCCTCTAGAGATTCTTTTTTATTTCAACTGTTGTACTTTTCAGTTCCATATTTTTGTTTGTTTCTTTTTATGTTTTGTATCTCTTTACTGATATTTCACTAATATATTATTTTTGTGGGTTTTCCACATCTTCCTTTAGTTTACTGAGCATCTTTAAGAGATTTCTTTTAAAGACTTTTTCTAGTAAATTGGGCATTGGTCTTATGAACAGTTTCTGTTGATTTTATATTTATTTGGATGGGCCATACTTTCTTATTTTTTGAATACTTTGTGATTTTTTTGTTGAAAATTGGACATTTGAATCTAAGAATGTGGTAACTTTGGAAATCAGATTCTCGTCCTTTCCTAGGTTTTGGGGTGTGTGTGTGTGTGTTTAATTTTTACTCTTCTTTAATTTTAAAACTGTACTTTATATCTGTGTCAGGGTTCAGCCTGAGGTATGAACTTAATGTCTTTCTGGTCTTTTCTGAGCCTGTGCCTTTCCTTGGGCATGCACAGTTACTTTCTAATTTTCTCTATATATGCAGTGGTTTTTGAATGTCTAGTCTTTAAAAGCTGGCTCCCAACAGAGGAAAAATGGAATAACAAAGGTCACATAAAGGCCCTTTAAGTTTCCCCAAATTCACTTCAGCCCAAAGAGCAGGACTCACAAGAAAGGCGATAGTTGCAGCAACAACAACTGCCTACTTATTTATTTGTGTCTCTGTGATCAGAAGCAACAATCAGTAATCAGAATATACATCCTCCATATTGGAGGACATGGTCTTTTTGCCCACCCTGGCTCCACAAACTGCAGGTTGCTCCAGGAACATGTGCACAGCTGCTTGCCATGAGACTAGAGGCAGGGGATGGGTAGCTGCTACTGAGTATAAGAGATGAAATTGTCTAAAAATAATCTTAATTTACTGTCCAACAATTCTGCTAGAAGTTGCAAGCCTTCAGTAAACTTCAGAGTTCCCAAATAATTATATCAGACAGATTCTGCAAGAGCAACTGTTGTCTAGGTGGGGGGACAGATTCTTGGTGCTTCCTATTCTGTCATCTTCCCAAAGTCCCTATTTGTGTGTTTGTGTGTGTGTGTGTGAGTGTGTGTGTAAATAATTGAACAAAACAATATTGGTTCCTGGGATCCAACCCTAGAACTTCTATATTGATTTTTTTTTCACTTAGGTCCCTTTCATCAGTATTATCTAAAGTCACTCTCTATGTGATTAAAATGTTTAGTCAGTATAGCAAGCCACTGGTGGAAATGTATAGTAGACTAAGTCTAGCTGTTGGGTATGATCTTACAGATTCTGCTTTTCAACAGAAAATTAGTTAAGAAGATTTTTCAGTACTGTCATACAACTGTAACAATATTTAGTAAAAATATTTATTTATAATTTGTGATTTAACAAGTTACTTATACACTTTGAAAAATGCGTTTAAACCGTGACATGGTTTCTGATCATATATTTCTTGAAACAGACATTTCCTCATAAAAAAGATATTTATATGAGTTTTAATTGACTAAGTACTTTATTTAATTATTTTGGTTCTTACTCAAACTTTATATTTTAGCTTCAAATATTCTTTCTTGACAATATTTTGAATGTTTCCCCAATGTAGATTAGAATCACCCATCCTGTTACTTTCTGTAATCACATCCCTTTCAGCATGTATATGGTAGATTGCTTACAAAAATGGTGCAATATTCTGCCCTTGACTATGCTTACTTACTTTGCAACAGAAATGGCTATGGAGTGGAGGATAATTTCCCACTATCATAACTTTGATTTTTTTTCTCGAACTTTTTAGTTTATTTAGCAAATATAATTTGTGACAAATGTGTGAGCCAGTTCCCAGCCTAAGACTCTACAACCTTGAGACCTTCTAATTGCTCTTCAGAAATTTTCTCTACCCTGTGAGAGAGCGCCTGCACACATGGGCAGTGAAGAATCAGCAGCAAACAGAAAGTAAAACCTGGGATGACTTGGAAACTCCCTGAACTTTGAATGTATTCCCTGATTTATGAAAAAAAAAAAAAAAAAAAAAAAAGCAGAGAATAAGGTCCAAACCCTCTATAGAAAAAAGGGCCAAAGATATAAATAGATAATTTGTGAATATATGTATATATATGTGTGTATATATATATATATATATATCTTTAAGACTATGAAAATGTTCAACTTCACTTATAATTAAGAAAATGCAGACTAAAGCTAAACCCAGATTTCATTTTTCACTTATATTGTTGAAGATTTTAAAACATAGCAACACTTTCTCTTGGTGAAGCTGTAGAGAAAAAGGCACTCATTTATTGCTAGAGGAATGCAAACTGGTAGAGACACTTTAGGGGGAAACTGTATATATTTTAAAAAGCTAAGCACCTATCTTTTGGCAAAATAATTCGACTTCACATAGTTTATCTTGAAGGTATACCTCTAAAAATATGAAACACATATACCCAGATTATTCACTGCAGCATTGTTTGTAGTTTCAAAATAGTAAAAACAGAAAAATGCTTATGATTAAACTGTGGTATACCCATGTAATAAAGTTCTATTAACCTGAAAAAATTAGAACATATTTACAAAGACAGACAGAGTAATTTCCCAAATATACTGTTAATTGACGACAGAAAAATGTAAAATTATCTCTGTAATATACTAGCATTCTGTAAAAAGTTATGAGGAGGCTGAGCTCTACCCAACATTAAACATTATAAAGTCTCTGTATTTAAAACCGCAGTATTTGTGCATGAGTAGACAAATGTATCAGTGGAATGAAATAAAAAGTCCAGAAATAAACCAACTTCACCTGAAAATTTATAAATAATAATATTATCACCTCAAACATAGAATTTTTAATAAATATCTATCTGGGATATATATTCTACTCACTTATACAAACAACTAAAAAGAAAACGCAAGGCAAGATATGCAGAAATGATAGAGAGTGATTCCCTACAAGAAGTGGTAGGAATATGGTAGAAAAGATAGAGAAATGGGAATTAAGTAAAATGATAAGAGATATAACACCTCTTGGAGCATACAGTTTAATACAATTTAGAACCATGTCAGTTTCACATAGTTAAAACATAAATAAACAAAATAAAAAATGGAAGATGAAGAAGAAAAACCCCAAAGGGAATTTCAAGTGAACAATAACCACACTATAAATATGAGATGGGAATGATGCTCTGGAAGAACTAACTTAACTAGCTGTAGGACAGAGTCCTTTGACTATATAACTGAAGACTAAATGCAAAAAAGCTTATAAATAGTCAATGTACTCTAGTTAGTAGTTGTTTGTCACAGTAATATGGATTAGCAATTCTCATTTTGTGTGAATTCTAGGACTGAGCAATTAGATAAATGAATAGTAAGAAGCAGGTTTTTCTCTATTGGAAAAAGGGAGTTAGTAATAAGGAAATAGAGAAGGTGAAAATAAACCCTGTTTTGTTGAAGATATCAGCAGGAACTCATAATTTTTAACCAATATACACAGATAGAGAAATAAACATTCTTGAAGCATACTTTAAACCTTTACCCATTGTGAGTACCACAAGTGAGGATTTTACGGTTTACATGCACATTTACAATATTTGTGATAATGCTCTACTAGAATCTCATCATGCAGGAAAATGAACTAGTTTCATAAAAGGTGGGCAATTACTTACTCTTGAGTAAGACGATACTTACTGGATTCAAAGCATCACATGAAGCCAGGGTTTCTCAGATGTGTTCTCTAGTATTTTGCCACCCTATGTGCGATACATGGATTAGCAGCATCATTTTCATTCTGAGCAGGTTAGTTAGGTATAATAATTGGCTCTATCCCAAACCTCTTAAGTCACAATCTCCATTCTAACAAGATCTGCAGGCAGTTCTTGTGCACATTAAAGATTACGAGACATTGTTCCAGTAGCAAAGAAGATCAAAATCCACAGAAATGCTTCTTTGTAGTCTTAAAGAATATTGATCACCTTTCTTTTGACTAACCAGAAGTAATGATGAGGAAGTTGTGTGTGGGCAGCGGAGGGATTTTATATATTTAGTCATATGTACTCATTTAAAAGTGGTCTGAATCAATCACATTTCAATAAGTCAACAGCACCTTTATAGCAGCCATGGTGATTTTCCAAAATATTAATACTGCCAAGAAACAAAACAAAAAACTTGCTTTGCTTCTTAAAAATCAACAAATACAGAGGATCACAATCCTCTCTTCTCCTGTCTACATGAACTAGCTAAATTATAAGCTCAGATTTGGAAACTATGGTAAAATGTTTTTAAAATGTATTATATTAAAAATAATCTATCATGAGTCTTCTTTAAAAAATAAATGTTTTTATTTATATCATCATCTTCGCCTTTTGTTTTGTTTTTTTCTTTTGCTAAGAAGAAATACATGTATTTGGGCAGACAGTACAAACCAACTTAAGGATTTTTGACAGAAAATAGAGAGCTCCTGTGGTCTATTGACATTGATGGTGAAGGTTAGGTCAGAGTGTAGCTGTTGATCACTAAACTAGAACACCATTCTTCTCATTATCTCTCTGAAGGTATGGTTCCATATTGACCAGCTGGTGATGAGCCTGAGGAGGCTTAAATTAGTTATTTCATTTGTAACCGATGCTGAAAGCCCCTGCTACAAACAGCTTTTCTTGTTGCTATCTTGTTACAGCAGTAACCAATTAGTTGAGCCTGTAGAGTTGGCTATAGCTCACTCCTTTAAATATGAATTGATGAAACAAAGTTCTTCGTCGATTTGAAGAGTCGGTATTTCAGTATAGAAATGAATAAATTTCACCACAAGAAAGGTATTATTATAAAAAGTGTTACTACTTTTTAATTCATTCACATGTTTCTGATTATTTGGTAAGAATAATGACTGGAATGTAACTTTTAAAGAAACCAGAACGGATTTTTGCTTCCTACTCTCCTTTTCTAATCCTGTTAAAATCACTAACTGTCATTAGTTTGCTAACTCAAGATTATATAATATTTTTAATATTTTAATTTCCACTCTAAAATAGATGCCCCTGGCCTTTTGAATCTAGAATTCAGTTTGGCTTCTTTTGGATCTCCAGGTATATATTTTCCAATGTTCTCTAAATAAAAAGGAAGCATGCATCTTCAGTTCTGTCATTCAACATTCATAGACTTACATGAGCATACCGGATTATGAGAGAGATTATTAAAGGCCTCCTGTAGATTGCTATTTGTGTTTAACCTATGTAAAATTTCATTAGAGCCTTGAATAGTGGAAAAAATAATATCAAATGAAATGTTTAAGAAAATATTCTCATGCTTAAGAAAAAGAAAGCTAGTACAGGTATACTTTATACTTCTCCCCCACTCCCTGCCAATATTTTAAACTCTAAATTTTTCAAGTTAGTAGCAATTGTGTTGTGGCCCACATGGACTGAAATTATTATTAGGTCTTGATTCTGCATCATATCTCAGTAGTGTTGTATTTTGGGCGTGGGTATTTGTTTCCTGGGTCCACTTGAGGTAAGACAAAGTACTAGGACCCACAGTAGATGATATACACGTTTCCTGTAGGTGAAGCACTATAGGCCCCGAAATTTGTTTTATACCGGAGGATTTTTTTGTACTTATTAAACATTAAGCTTAGAGACAATTGTGCTGTTACCTAGGACTTCTTCCTCATAAGAAAAAGAATCATGTCATAGAGACACAGATATAGATGTAGATATACAGAGAGTAGAACAAGTAAGCATTCCTAATTTCAAAGACAAAAAAAAAGAGGGCATAGTTTCTTAGAATAACAGGAGCAAATGACACAGAAAACAAACAAACAAAAAAGTATTTTGATTTAATCAGTTCTTCATCTAAACCCCAGCCTCAGAGTTTGTATGCTATGCTACTTTGGATATTACCTTTCCTTTTGATCCTCAGATTCATTGTCAGTACAATGTAGATATTATCAGATGTAATATTCAAAATTTTAACCATCAGTTTAAAACAATTTGAACAGATGGACACTGAGGACCTTAGCTTCTCAAGCCACTCCTTGACCCTGGGATGGGACAAGTGTTAATCCTTCAGTTGTTGTATCAAAAGGAGATGTATGTATCCTGGGATGGTATTGGGTGTCAGAAGCTATGGGGAAATAGACTGGGGAGAAATGTTTTGAACAATAGGTATTTGCTAACCAGTAGGAGTTTAAAAAAATATTTAAACTGGTGCATAAGAATTTAATGCCATTTCAGTCGTGATGATTACATGATAATATGTATACAAAATAGTTCATTGAGGTAGATAAATAAATTTTGTTATTATTATTAAGAATACAAGGTCAAATACAATGAACAGCAGAGGAAAAAATGAGGAACCTTCATATTTAGTAGATAATTCCAGAATAAATCTTTGAAATCTTATCACTTAGACCTTATAGAGTTTCTTTAATTTACTCAGATGTAAAAACAAATCAATGTTAATATTTAAAGATAGTCAAGAACCATAAAGGTTTGAGGTTTTATCCCACTTGAGAACTAATAAGATAATCTGCTATGGTTTTTGAGAGCTGGAAAGAGGACAAGAGATCCTGTGTCAAAGAAGAAAGTTATTATTTCTCATTATCCAGCAAGCAGCATGAGCATCAACATGTTTGTGAATTCCTTTTGTCCTGACGTCATATGAGGTGGCACTGATGGGCCCAGATTAAGGCATGTATGTTTTGCCATTTGCAGATATCCTATAACATGAAGACTTTTTAGTTAGGCTTTTTTGAGTTTTGCAATGTGTGCTTAAGACATATTCATGTGTTTTCATGGCTCTATAGGTCATTACCTTTTTATCACTGATAAACTTCCAAACCATCTTCCAAAGTGGATGTACCATTTTTTATTCCCACTAGCATTAAATGAGTTTTTGGTATTGTCAGTTTTTGCAAATTTTAGCAATTCTAATTCTTGTAGGAGTTTTCATGGAATTGTTTATTCTCTTAATGTTTATGGAATCACTAGTGATGAATCCTCTTTCTTTTCTGATATTAATAATTTGTGTCTTCTCTCTTTTGCTGAGTCTGGCTTGAGGTTTACCAATTTTACTGATCTTTTCAAAAAAATTAGGTCTTGACTCTTGATTTTCTCTATTTTTTGTGTGTGATTTAAGTATCATTGATTTGTACTGTAACTTTTATTATTTATTTTCTGCTTGTTTAAGCTTACCTTCCTCTTCTTTCTGTAGGTTGTAAAGGTGAAAACTTAGGTTACTGATATTTAGATCTCTCTTCTCTTCTAATGTATACACTTAATAGTATAAATTCCCATCAAAGTATTGCTATTGCTGCATATCACATGTTTTGACATGTCACATTTTCTTTTTCAATTAGGCTGAAATATTTTAAAATTTGCCTTGAGACTTACTCTGTGATCCATATTATTTAGAAGTGTTTTATTTAATCTCCAAATATTCGTGGATTTTCTAGCTATGTTTCTTTACTTGATTTCTAGTTTAATTATAATCTATAATCTGAGAACATAATTTGTATACTTTATTTTCTTTTAAACTTAAGTGTATTTTATGGGGCAGAATATGGTCTATTTTGATGAATGTTTCATATAAACTTGAGAAGATTGTGCATTCCTCCACTGTTGAATGATTCTGTATTAGGGTTCTTTAGAGGGACAGGACTAACAGGAGATAGATAGATAGATAGATAGATAGATAGATAGATAGATAGATAAAGGGGAGTTTATTAAGTATTAACTCACATGATCACAAGGTCCCACAGTAGGCTGTCTGTAAGCTGAGGAGCAAGGAGAGCCAGTCCGAGTTTCAAAACTGTAGAACTTGGACTCCAATGTTCGAGGGCAGGAAGCATCCAGCATGGGAGAAAGATGTAGGCTGCAAGGCTAGGCCAGTCTTGTCTTTTCACATTTTTTTCTACGTGCTTTTTATATTCTGGCCATGCTGGCAGCTGATTAGATGGTGCCCACGCGGATTAAGGGTGGGTCTGCCCTTCCCAGCCCACTGACTCAAATGTTAATCTCCTTTGGCAGCACCCTCACAGACACACCCAGGATCAATACTTTGCCTCTTTCAATCCAATCAAGTTGACATTCAATATTAGGCAACCCCATGTCAACTTGAACCCATACACATCTCCTGAGATCATACATAATCTTCAAATAAAGACAATAATAAAAGTCATAATTACATCTAACATAATAAAACTATCCTTTGTACAACTGTAAATGCACCAATCCTCAACCCAAATACTATTACATAAAGTTAACTACTTAAATGCTTATGTGAAGTCAATAAATCTTATGTCACATGATAAAGGAAAAAGGAAATAAAATGAGGATAATTTCGTAATACGAGTGTATACATGCACAAACATGTTTTTAACAAAACAAGGAGAAAATACTCATGACAATTACAATCTTCATTTCTGCAGCTGATCACATGGTCATAGCTGGTGTTGAGGATTACCTTCTTCTACTATCCATTCTGTATCCCCTTCAGCAGGTGGTGTTCTTTTCCTGGTGGAGTGACCCAAACTTTCATTCCTGAAGGGTGTGGGCCATTTGTAGTCCTGTTTGGGTTGGGCTGTTGTAGTTTCCCATTGACCGTAGTCACAAGGCATGGTAATACTAAGAGATGCCCTAATGGATCTCCTTTATTCGATGCATACTCTTCCTTACCTACTCCTTGTGGTGTAGTAGACTGATTTCATCTTGATAGTCCAGGTCAGCCACCCCAGCCAACAATGTTACTCCCTTCTGAGCCTGTTGACTTACAGGTAGGAGGAACCCAAAGTGTCCAGGTGGCAATCTTAACCTCCAGTTTAATTGAATCATTATTGTGTCTCCTTGTGGCAGTTTCTTCCCTCTGAAACTAAGACCTCTAGGTCAGCAGAATGTAATGTTGTGGGAATTGGAAGCAAAAATTTTGCTAGTGGAACACTAGTGGTGATGGTGAGTGGTGCCACTTCCACTGATGCATTATATAAATGCCTCTTCCACTATTTATTTGATGTGAGTTTTTGACCTGTATTGTTTTACTTCTGCCTGGAGAACTTCTTTTAACATTTTGCAAGGATAGTGTGGATAAATTTCCTTACTTTTTAATTGCCAGAAAATGTCTATTTTTTCTTCACTTTTGTAGAATGATTTTGCTAGTTATAGAATTCTAGGTTGTTTTTTGTTTATTTGTTTGTTTTTTTACAATGTAAATATTTGATTCCACTCTCATGCTTGCATGGTTTCTGGCCAGGGGGGTCACTGTAATTCTTATCTTTTTTCCTCTATAGTTTTGATGTTTTTTCCCCCTCTGGCTTCTTTCAATATTTTCTCTTTGTCTTTGGTTTTCTACTATTTAAATATGGTATGTCTAGATGTAATATTTTTTACACTTATCCTGCTAGGTGTTCTCTGAACTTCCTGGTTTTGTCCTTGTATATCTTCTATTAATTTTGTTAAGTTCTCTAGCATTATTACTTCAAATATTTCTTCTGTTCTAATCTTGTTTCTTCTTCAGATTACATGTACGTTACACTTTTTAAAAATTGTTCTGCAATTCTTGGATATTCTGCTCTGTTTTATTTATTCCTTTTTTTCCTATTACATTTCAGTTTGTGAAATTACTGACCTATATTTAAGCTCCCTGATTTTCTTCATTTGTGGTCAGACTACAGATGAACTTATCAAAAGCATCTTTCATTTTTGTTATAATGTTTACATTTTAAACATTTCTTACTGATTATGCCTTTAAATTTCCTTTTCTCTATTTTCATTACCAAGCTATTCATATGTGTTGTCTATATTTTCCTTTAGAGACTTTAATATATTAATGATATTTATTTTAGTTATTTAAAACTCTGTCTGACAATTTTATCATCTGGGTCATATGTTAGTCTTGTTATGATGTTGTTTTTTCTCCTTAGACATTTTTTGTTTGCTTATCTTTTCACCTGCTGTGAAATTTTTGTTCTAACTTGGACATTTATATTGGATATTAGGAACCGAGTTAAGTAGGCACTTAATGTAAGAATTTATCTTACTGCAATTAGGAGTTTAACTGTGTTAATTGTTTACTATAGCCATAGGTGCCAAAGATTTTTAATTCCCCTAGTATCTTTTTGTGTGTCTCCTCTTACCTTCTCCTCCTCAGAGTTTGAATTTTGCAGTTGTTTTAGCTACAATTCACTGTTATACCAGATCCCTTTTTATGTGGTGGTCATACACGGAGAAGCGGAAGTGACCTGTAATCTTCTGAATTTCAGTCATTTAGTCATCTCATACCTCTGAGCTGTGACCTATATAAGCATTTCTCCATTGCTGTAGCCTTTTTATCCCTTTTATATTAGGCAGGAAGCAAGAAAGAGGTGGAGTTGAAGGAATGTCATTCCTTCAGGTAATAGAAGTTTCTGGAAAAGGCCTTTTTTCTAGATGTAGGCATTCATTATGGAGAATGTTGTTGGCATATTTTGCAATGATTACTCTTCCCTTCTCTCTGCCACAATCATAAGTGGATCTCTCTTAGATGTTACAGTGATCCTCTTGTTCCCAAATGGTACGATTCCTGAGTGATAAAACCCTTAAAAAAATGTGCCCCCCTACCACGATGGCAGCTCCAGGGAGTTCCAACTTTTATGTTAGTCTACATTCAGCTCCAGCAATCCATCAAAATTACCACTTAAGTGCTTCTAGCAGTATACATTTCCAGTGGGTGGCATCTGCACTAGGTAAGTATATTTTATATATATATATATATTTATATTTATATTATATTTATATTATATTATATTTATATTATATATATATATTTTATTATACTTTAAGTTCTTCGGCACATGTGCACAAGGTGCAGGTTTCTTACATATGTATACATGTGCCACGTTTGTGTGCTGCACCCATTAACTCGTCATTTACATTAAATATATCTCCTAATGCTATCCCTCCCCCCTCCCCCCACCCCACAACAGGCCCTGGTGTGTGATGTTCCCCTTCCTGTGTCCAAGTGTTCTCACTGTTCAGTTCCCACCTATGAGTGAGAACATGCAGTGTTTGGTTTTTTGTCCTTGCGATAGTTTGCTGAGAATGATGGTTTCCAGCTTCATCCATGTCCCTACAAAGGACATGAACTCATCCTTTTTCATGGCTGCATAGTATTCCATGGTATATATGTGCCACATTATCTTAATCCAGTCTATCATTGATGGACATTTCGATTGGTTCCAAGTCTTTGCTATTGTGAATAGTGCTGCAATAAACATACATGTGCATGTGTCTTTAGAGCAGCATGATTTATAATCCTTTGGGTATATACCCAGTAATGGGATGGCTGGGTCAAATATATTTCCAGTTCTAGATCCCTGAGGAATTGCCACACTGACTTCCACAATGGTTGAACCAGTTTACAGTCCCACCAACAATGTAAAAGTGTTCCTATTTCTCCACATCCTCTCCAGCACCTGTTGTTTCCTGACTTTTTAATGATTGCCATTCTACCTGGTGTGAGATGGTATCTCATTGTGGTTTTGATTTGCATTTCTCTGATGGCCAGTGATGATGAGCATTTTTTCATGTGTCTTTTGGCTGCATAAATGTCTTCTTTTGAGAAGTGTCTGTTCATATCCTTTGCCCACTTGTTGATGGGCTTGTTTGTTTTTTTCTTGTAAATTTGTTTGAGTTCTTTGTAGATTCTGGTTATTAGCCCTTTGTCAGCTGAGTAGATTGCAAAAATTTTCTCCCATTCTGTAGGTTTCCTGTTCACTCTGATGGTAGTTTCTTTTGCTGTGCAGAAGCTCTTTAGTTTAATTAGATCCCATTTGTCAATTTTGGCTTTTGTTGCCATTGCTTTTGGTGTTCTAGACGTGAAGTCCTTGCCCATGCCTATGTCCTGAATGGTATTGCCTAGGTTTTCTTCTAGGGTTTTTATAGTTTTAGGTCTAACGTTTAAGTCTTTAATCCATCTTGAATTAATTTTTGTGTAACGTGTAAGGAAGGGATCCAGTTTCAGCTTTCTACATATGGCTAGCCAGTTTTCCCAGCACCATCTGTTAAATAGAGAATCCTTTCCCCATTTCTTGTTTTTGTCAGGTTTGTCAAAGATCAGGTGGTTGTAGATGTGTGGTATTATTTCTGAGGGCTCTGTTCTGTTCTATTGGTGTATATCTCTGTTTTGGTACCAGTAAAATGCTGTTTTGGTTACTGTAGCCTTGTAGTATAGTTTGAAGTCAGGTAGCGTGATGCCTCCAGCTTTGTTCTTTTGTCTTAGGATTGTCTTGGCAATGTGGGCCCTTTTTTGGTTCCTTATGAACTTTAAAGCAGTTTTTTCCATTTAAAGCAATGTGTAGAGGGAATTTTATAGCACTAAATGCCCATGAGAGAAAGCAGGAAAAATCTAAAATTGACACCCTAACATCACAATTAAAAGAACTAGAGAAGCAAGAGCAAACACATTCAAAAGCTAGCAGAAGACAAGAAATAACTAAGATCAGAGCAGAACTGAAGGAGCTAGAGACACAAAAAACCCTTAAAAATATCAATGAATCCAGGAGCTGGTTTTTTGAAAAGATCAACAAAATTGATAGACCGCTAGCAAGACTAATAAGAAAAGAGAGAAGAATCAAATAGATGCAATAAAAAATGATAAAGGGGATATCACCACTGATCCCACAGAAATAGAAACTACCATCAGAGAATACTATAAACACATCTATGCAAATAAAATAGAAAATCTAGAAGAAATGGATAAATTGCTCGACACATACCACCCTCCCAAGACTAAACCAGGAAGAAGTTGAATCTCTGAATAGACCAGTAACAGGCTCTGAAATTGAGGCAATAATTAATAGCTTACCAACCAAAAAAAGTCCAGGATCAGACGGATTCACAGCCCAATTCTACCAGAGGTACAAGGAGGAGCTGGTACCATTCCTTCTGAAACTATTCCAATCAATAGAAAAAGAGGGAGTCCTCCGTAACTCATTTTATGAGGCCATCAGCATCCTGATACCAAAGCCTGGCAGAGACACAACAAAAAAAGATAATTTTAGACCAATATCCCTAATGAACATCGATGCAAAAATCTTCAATAAAATACTGGCAAACCGAATCCAGCAGCACATCAAAAAGCTTATCCACCATGATCAAGTGGGCTTCATCCCTAGGATGCAAGGCTGGTTCGACATACACAAATCAATAAACGTAATCCAGCATATAAACAGAACAAAGACAAAAACCACATGATTATCTCAATAGATGCAGAAAAGGCCTTTGACAAAATTCAACAGCCCTTCATGCTAAAATCTCTCAATAAATTAGGTATTGATGGGACATTTCTCAAAATAATAAGAGCTATTTATGACAAACCCACAGCAAATATCATACTGAATAGGCAAAGACGGGAAGCATTCCCTCTGAAAACTGGCACAAGACAGGGATGCCCTCTCTCATCACTCCTATTCCACATAGTGTTGGAATTTCTGTCCAGGGCAATCAGGCAGGAGAAAGAAATAAAGGGTATTCAATTAGGAAAAGAGGATGTCAAATTGTCCCTGTTTGCAGATGACATGATTGTATATCTAGAAAACCCCATTGTCTCAGTTCAAAATCTCCTTAAGCTGATAAGCAACTTCAGCAAAGTCTCATGATACAAAATCAATGTGCAAAAATCACAAGCATTCTTATACACCGATAACAGACATACAGAGAGCCAAATTGTGAGTGAACTCCCATTCACAATTGCTTCAAAGAGAATAAAATACCTAGGAATCCAACCTACAAGGGATGTGAAGGATCTCTTCAAGGAGAACCACAAACCACTGCTCAATGAAGTAAAAGAGGATACAAACAAACGGAAGAACGTTCCATGCTCATGAATAGGAAGAATCAATATCGTGAAAATGGCGTTACTGCCCAAGGTAATTTATAGGTAAGTATATCTTGGCTGTAACTGTGAATTTGCCTGTCTCTAGATTAAGTGGCAGTTTACCCTGCAATCTCAGTTCTCTGATGGGTGCTAGAAAACTTATCGATTTTCAGTAAGTTCAGTTTTTTGTCTTTGTAAGAACAGAGTGATAATTTCTAAGCTCTTTACATGTCAGAATTAAAACAGAAGCAAAGCATCTTATTTTTCAATTATTAGTAAAACATTTGCCACAGTTTGCCAATTGTGATAGTATATGATATACTGATGGCTAGAGGAAGTGGGAAAATTAGTATAATCATCATCATGGTCATTATCATTATTAAAACTTTGCAAAGGAAAGAAATCATAATATGACTCTTTTCTAAATTGCCATGGAATGATGAGATGGGGAAAATAACTTAGAATAGCTCTATTTGTATCATATCCTCTTTTCTTAAATTAGAATCCTTCACCTTCTACAAGGCTGATAAAATAAATGTCAATCAGAACCTGCATAAAAACAGTTTCCCAGCTCAAGGAATTTTATAAAATAAAAAGCATATGTATATTTTCTATGAATAATGAAATATAATTGTAACTTAAACGTATACTTTTGTAGAAAAACAGAAGTGAGAGGGACTACTGAATCTCAAGAGAGAAATGTGGGTTTGGCATGTTTGTTTTAATCATTTATGAGGAATAAGTTATTCCAGTCCAGTTTGATCCACTTTTCTTCAAAACTTGACACATATTTTTGATCTTCTCATCTTTCCTTCTCATAATCTGAATTTTTGGCTGTAATAATTTTCCCATTGTTATCATCTCTAATCACCTTTTATCAGCCTTTCTCATGTATGCCTTATTTCTTCTGCTATACTTGGTGTTCATGTATTTATTTGAAGGCTGTCTTAGCCTGTTTTGTGTTGCCCTAAAAGAATACCAGAGACTGAGCAATTTATAAAGGAAAAAGGTTTATTTAGCTCATGGTTTTGCAGGCTAATAAGTCTAAGTCCATGCCCCTGGCTTCTGGCAAGGGTCTTCATACTACTTGACAACTTGGTGGAGTAGGTCAAAGGGGAAGCAGATACATGCAAAGAAGGAGATTCCTGAGAGGAGTCCCGGCTTTATTACAACCTACCGTCTCAGGAACTAACCCATTCCCGCAAGAACTAATCCAGTCTCATGATAGTGAGAAGCCACTATTTCAAGAATAGCTCCAGGACATTCATAAGGGATTTGCCCCTATAACCAAAACACTTCCCACTGGACCCCACCTCCCAACACCACCATATGTGGAACAAATTTCAACATGAGTTTGATGGTGTAAAATAAACCATATCCTCACCATAGCACTGTCCAATTTTCTTCTTAAACTTTTAAAAGAGTAGAAACTCAGTATCTCACGTGGCATACTTTATAAACTAAGGATGGAAGACACCATTACACAAAAATTCTTTGAGAGCTCAGTAATATTCAATGTCTCAGTATTGAATATGCAATTAAAAAAAACAAGGCAAAGATCTCACAATGTATAAAAATAATTACACACCATGAACAAGGGAGATTTGTTCCAAGTATGCAGGGCTAGTTCAATAGCCAACAGTCAATCCGTGTATTCCTACGCATCAAAGGCTCAAGAAGAGAAATCATATGATTATATTAGCTGATACTTATACAGCATCACAATCCAACAGACATCCATAATGAAAAAGTCTCAGCAACCTAGGAATGAAGGAAACTTAAAAAATTTGATAAACAACATCTGCAAAAAACCTACAGCTAACATCATAATTAATGATGCAAAATTGAACACCTTCCACTAAATTGACAACAAGGCAGGGAAGTCCTCTCTCACCACTAAATTGGACTCAAAGTCCTGGTTAGGGAAATAAGACAAGAAAAGGAAATAAAGGTATTCACGCTGTAAAGCAAGAAGTAAAATATCTTTAGTCGCAGATGACATAATTGTCTATGAAGAAAATCCCAATCCATCAATTAAAAAAAACTGGAACACGTAAGCAAGTACATCAAGGTTGCAGGACACGAGGTTAATATACAAAGGCCAATTACTCTCCTACTACCATTAATTAACAATTGGACTTGCTTATTTTTAAGAAACATTTACAATGGCACCAAAATTGAAATAATTAGGTATAAACCTAACAAAATGTATGCAGGCTCTAAATGTGGGAAATTATAAAAATCTGAAGAAATAAAGAATATTTATTTGAATATTCTTTGAAATTTCAAATATTCTTTGAATATTTGAAAATCTGAATAAAAGGTGTAATATTCTGTGTTTGTAGATTAGAAGGCTCAATAACGTTAAGATGTCAGTTCTTCACAATTTAATCTATAGTTTCAATGCTATTCCAATCAAAAACTCTACAATTTTGTAGACATTAACAAACAGACTAAAATTTATATGAAAAGGCAAAACATGTAACATAGCTAACACCTAACTGATGAAGAAAAGACATTACTCAATTTTGAGACTTACAAGAAGCTATAAAAATCAATAAAATGTAGTGCTGGCAAATGAATAAACAGATAGATCAATTGAACAAAATAGAGAGCCCAGAAATGGATCCACACAAAAAGTCAACTGATATTTGACAAAGAAGCAAAAGAAATTCAATAGAGAAAAGATAGCCTCTTACTTCATTTTAAAAATAGATAGCCTTTTAAATAAATGGTGCTGGAACAATCAGATGTACACATAAAAAATAAGCTAGACAAGATAAAGACCATACACCTTTTACAAAAATTAACTTAAAATGAATCATAGACCAAACTAGAAAAAAAAACTATAAAACTTCTAGAAGAAAATACAGGAAAACATATAAGTAACCTTAGCCTTGAAATGAGTGTTTACATATAACAGCAATAGCATGATTCATGAAAGAAAAAAATTGATAAATTGGGCTCTATTAAAATTAACAGTTTCTGCTCTGTGAAAGACTCTAAGAAAATAAAAAGATGGATCATAGGCTGGAAGAAGATATTTTCAAATCACAACACTTGTATCTGAATATACAAAAAACAGTTTAAAATTCAACAATACAAAAATTAAAATGGACAAAAAAATCCGGAAAGATGCCTTGACAAAAAATATATACAAATGGAAGATAGGTATATACAAAATTCTCAACACAAATTTTTTTAGAGAACAAAGTTAAAACAACAATGAATTACCACTGCATGCCTATTAAAATGGCTAAACTCCCCCAAACATTGACAATATCAGTTACTGCTGAGGATGCAGAATAACAGGAACTCTCATTCATTATTAGTGGAAATAAAAAATCCTTCAACCACATTAGAAGACAGTTTAGCAGTTTCTTACAAAACTAGACATAATCTTACCACAGGATACAGCAATCACACAGTTAGGGTTAGGTATTTATCCCACTGATCTGCAAATTTATGCCCACAAAAAATCATTCATGCAAATGTTTATAGCAGCTTTATTTAAAATCTTCAAAAATTGGAAGCATCTGAGATGCTATTTAATAGGTGAATGAATAACCAAACTGTGGTTCATCTGTACAATAAAACATTTTCAACACCAAAAGGAAATGAGTTAGTAAGCCTTGAAAAAATAATAATGGATCTTATAATAAATACTTATTTCTAAGTGAAAGAATTCTGCCTGAGATGTTGCAGTATACAAGGATTCCAATTCTCCACGTCTTTGGAAAGACTTTTTCTTTCCCATTAAAAAAAGTATTATAATGACCATCTTAGTAATTTTTAAGTAGTATCTTACTGGGGTTTGAATTTGCATTTCTTTAATGACTCAGGATGTTGAACATCTTCTCCTGGGTTCATTGATCATTTGTGTGTCTTCTCTAGCAAAACGTCAAATCAACTCTGTCCATTTTTAAATTGAGTTAGTTTTTTCTGTTTTCGCTTTGACATGAGAAGTTTTTATATATTCTGGATACTAGAATGCTGTCAAATATGTGATTTGCAAATATTTTCTGCCTTCTATGAATTGCCTTTCTCCCTTCCTTGATAATGTTCTTTAATGCATAAAGTTTTAATTTTGATAAAGTCAAATATATATATTCATATATATATACATATATATGTGTATATCTATATATATATTTGGTTGTTTGTGCCTTCATATCTAAGTTTCATATCCAAAGTTCTTTTGCCAAATCCAAAGTCATTAAGACTTACCCTTATGTTTTCTTCTAAGAGTTTTGTGGTTTTAGCTCTATATTTAGTACACCAATTCATTTTGAATTAATTTTTATATCTGCTGTGAGGTAGCAGTTCAACTTTATTTTGCATGTAATATCTAGTTTTCCCAATATTATTTAAAAAATTTTTTTTTCATTGAATAGTCTTGGTACCTTTGTTGAAAATCAGGTTGCCAAAGACATATGCGTTTATTTCTGGACTCTCAAGTCTATTTCATTGGTGTATATGTTCATCATTCTTTTGATTACAGTAGTATTTTAGTAAGTTTTGAGATTGGGGACTCTGGGTTTTTCAAGTTTGTTCCAACTCTGTCTTGTATGTTGTATTTCTTTATAGAATATCTTTCTTTGTTCTGGCAGACAGTTAAACTCCTTGCATAACAATGAAGTTTTTTCAGCTTTTATAAGATGGCTCTAGGTTGTCTTTAGTCTAGAGATAGTTTTATTTGACTACTAAAGCCTGACCCATCTTGGTCTCTATTGAAACGTATATATATATGTGTGTGTGTGTGTATACATATGTATATACGTGTATGTATGTATATATGTGTATGTGTATGTATATATGTGTGTATATATGTATATAGTGTAAGTTCCCTTTACCCTGGCTGACAAGAAGTTGTGTTATTTCCAGATCTTTCTGAGCACTCTGGAATTGTTATGCTTATAGAGCTCCATTAGTTGTTCTTTTCATATAGTTGTTCTTTGCCAGCCTCATGAAGTTTTACGCTATACGTGACAGATTGGTATTCAGAAAAAGATACGATGATACTTTTTCTCTGTTTTGCTCCCTATTCTCTGGTATTCTACCCTATAAATTCTAGAAACTTTTGCCTCTCAAAACTCTAAGCTTTGCTTCCTCAACTAAGCTTTTAAACTCTGCTTTGTTCCACTTTCCTTGCCTATGGTTGAGAAATCACCTCCAGTCAGAAAATAAGCATTAATGTCTTTTCTGTGGGTCTACTGTTTTCATTAATAATGTCTAGTGTTATTTCTTAGACTCAAATTTA
Organism: Homo sapiens; assembly: GCF_000001405.40. Classification (NCBI taxonomy): domain Eukaryota; kingdom Metazoa; phylum Chordata; class Mammalia; order Primates; family Hominidae; genus Homo; species Homo sapiens. Next base: position 76,115,121 of record NC_000008.11, read on the forward strand.
TTTTCTATGCATTTCCACTTTTTGTTTGTATAAGGCTCCCATAAAATGGGCTTGATCTGTTGCTTTGCATACTCTGCAAAACTCTGGTGCTGCGTGACTATTCCCAGTAAGAAAACTGTTAAATGGGCCACGGTATCCATTCTTCTCTCCTCCATTATTTACCTGAAGGAAAGCACAAACGCTCTTTTTGCTTTACTGTTAAGGAACTTTACAGGGTATTTATTTTCAATGAAGTAGTTATACTGTTTAATAATTTTTTAGCCTAAACCCAGAAGCTGAGCCAGTTTCCTTTCTTATTGATTCAATGTTATAAAAGCCAGAAAGCGAAAATGCTTATTTTCTCAGACACTCTTACAGCTGTGTGTTGACTTACAGCTAGACATAGACAATGAAATGTAAGCAAAAGTCATAAAGTGGCTCTTAGGGGGAAATTTATAAAAGTAATAAAATGCACTTGGGCCTTTCAACCTTTGCTTCCTGATTTTTTTGTTTTGTTTTCTTTGTTTATTTTTTTGGATATGGGCTTAATACCTGAAGTGTGACAGTTATTTTACAACCACGAGGTAACAAGCATTAACACAACGGCTACATGCCACCAATGATGGTGCAGACAGATAGTGCATTGGGATCCTCAAACCTGGGTCATTGAGCAGCTGCACTTTGAAGGGCTGCCCTCATTTGAGCTTCTGTTAAAGTAAGATAAATAAATAATTATTTCAGTCACCATTATTTACATTTCCTTTTGCTTTCAGTAAAGTGAATTTGTATCTGATTCAAATATATTCTCTATTTTACAATTTCTGATCGACATATATAACAGAAAATTCTATTGGAATGTTTACTCTAAAAATATAAAATTTCCCAAACCCCTGCTCCCAAGAAAGGATAAGATGACTAATTCCCTTTCCTAGGAGGCATTCTGAACAAAAGAATGGGTAACCTCATTTGTCACAAAGCCTTTAACAAGCCCAAATATTGAACTCTTTAGGGTATTACTAATAGAGTATATATTTCTGAACCATTATTAAATAATACCTATCATAAATATTTTTTATCCTTTAGTTGAATATTTGCTTCCTATCTTCTTAGAGTTTTAAATATCTGAAATGGATTTGGTACCATATTGCTCTTTTACTTATCTGCGTTTCTAACTTTTTATAATTTAACAAAATTAGGAAGATTTTTTTCCTAAATTTTTTTCAATATGAAGAACTGTAAAAGGAATTGTTAAGCCACCGTCATCACTCATTACTAAGAGACTCTGGGAGCCTGGCTCTCTGATCATGCTATCTTAGATTTGAATCAACGTTGATATTTACTAGCTATGTGAGCTAGGCAAGTGACTAAATTTCACAAAGTCTCCATTTTCTTTCAAACCATGGATAAAATACAAGGTTGTGAGATGTAAATGAAACAATATTTGTTTATGTTAGTGTCTGAAATATACTAGATCTTAATATGTGATTGCTATTGTTACTTTTAGTGTCAATTATTATTCAGCAATTCAGACTGTAACATACTCTGTTAGTTCAAATTACTTTCTTAATTTGTATTAGCCATCACAATCAGTTTGGACAAAATTACATTATCCCAGGAAATGCTTGTCATTACAAACATGTAGAGTTTGTTTAGCACAATATGAAATGAATACCATCATGCAGCACTTAAAGACAAAGATGTGTTCTGAAATGCATTGTTAGTTAATTTTGTCTTGTGGGAACATCAGAGTGTAGTTACACAAACCTAACTGGTATAGCCTACTATACACCTAGGCTACAAACCTATCCAGCATGTTACTGTACTGAATACTGTAGGCAACTGTAACACAGTGTTATGTATTTGTGTACTTAATAGATATCTAAAAATAGAAATGGTACAGTAAACATACAAAGTAAAAGTTTAAAAATGGTATAACTGTATACAGCACTTACCATGAATGGAGCTTGCAGGACTGGAAGTTGCTCTGGATGAGTCAGGGAATGAGTGGTGAGTGAATGTGAAGATGAAGGACATTACCGTACACCATCATAGGCTTTATGAACACTGTACATTAGTATACACTACATTTATTTTAAAAAATATTCATTCAATTATAAATTAACTTTAGCTTACTGTAACTTTTTTACTTTATAAACTTTTTTCATTTTTTAAGCTTCTTTACTCTTTGGCAATAACCGAACTTAAAACACAAACATATTGCAAAGCTGTACAAAAATAGTTTCTGTCTCTATATCCTTATTCTATTAGTCTTTTCCTTTTTTTATTTCTAATTTTTACTTTTTATACCATTTTATTAAAAATTAAGACACAAACACACATATTAGCTTAGGCCTACCCAGGGTCAGGATTATCAATATCACTGTCTTTCATATCCATATGTTGTCCTACTGGAAAGTCTTCCGGGGCCGTAACACACATAGTATTGTTGTTTCCTACAACAATAGCAAACAGCCTTCCTCTGGAATACCTCCTGGAGGACCTGCCTGAGGCTGTTTTGCAGTTAACATCTTTTTAATAAGTAGAAGGAGTACACTCTAAAATAATAATAAAAAGTAGAACATAGTAAATTAATAAACCAGTGACACAGTTGTTTATTATCATTATCAAGTATTATGTACATACATGATCATATGTGCTATATTTTATATGACTATCAGCACCGGTTTGTTTGCACTAACATCACCACAAACATGTAAGTAATGCCTAGAACTGTGATGTTAGATGGCAACAACATCATCAGGCAATAGGAATTTTTTGGCTTCATTATAATTTTATGAGACCACCTTTGTACATGTGGTCCATCTTTGACTGAAATGTCATTATGTGGCACATGGCTTGACCAATATCCAATTAATCCCATCATTGTAAATGATATGATCAAAATAACATGTACATCACTGGATACCAACATATCTGTAGAATTTGGGCCATATAGACAACCTCTACTAATCTGACTTTGTACTTTGTTCACGATTCCATAAACTTGCTAAGAATTGAGTTTCATAAACTGAAACAGAGAACTTAAAACCAGGGTATGTGAGTAGCTTGCTAGGTAATCCTATGATGACTCCATCATTCAAAAATTCAATGGTAAATGCATTAATGTTAAGAAGAGGCTTGAACCTTGCACACCTAAAGCTTTTATGAGATGTGATGTATTAGTTTGCTAGAGCTGCCATAATAGTATCACAAACTAGGTGCTTAAATAACAGGAATTTATTTTATCAGAATTCTGGAGGCTAGAAGTCTGAGATTGAGATGTCAACAGGGCTGATTTCTTCTTATGTCTTTCTCCTGGACTTGTAGATGACTGTCTTTTGCTTGTGCCAGTTGGACTTTGCTCTGCACAGTCTGTGTCCTAATCTCCTCTGCTTATAAGGACACCAGTCATATTGGATTAGGGCCCACTCTAATGACCTCATTTTAACTTAATTACCTCTTTAAAGACCCATCTCCAAACACTGTCACATTATGAGCTATTGGATATTAGGACATCAACAAATTAATTTTAAGAGGACATAATACAGCCCATAAAATGTGGGTAGATTATATTGTGAAAGAGTGGATATAGAATGAAGCATTCCTTAACATTACACATTCAGAACTATGTTCCAACAGTAATTTTTAAATTATATACTAATTCAAATGGCTTTCTTACTGTAAAACCATTAAGGCAGTGGCTCTATACTAATTGATGGATTTCTTTTGAAAGTATCTAATAGCTTATTTTAAAAATTATTTGCAGAGTTTAATTTTTAAATTAATGCTTTAATGCTTTGAGAATATTCTATTCTCTCTGCATGGTCAGCAAACCAAAATATGGCTTAGGCGTTAGAAACACCTATTTGAAACTCATGCAAAGCATCAACATTTGATGTATTTACAGAACCTAATAGATTTATCAATTATACTTTTGGACATCAAAGGTTAACGCTTTAAAAACTAAGCCCCTAATCATAAGCCAGCTCTTGTTATATATTTTGCTTAATTATGTTTTCTCTTTTCATTGTATTTCTGAAAATGTGATTTTGGTAAATTCCTACTTACTGTAATTATTTTCATCTGAGTATTAGTAGTACAATTATTCTTTTAACTGATAATATTTATAATAATTGATTGTGTGCCAGTTCATTTATACACAGCATATAAGAAATCATTGAAAGCACAATATTTATTTTCCTTGTTTAATATGCCATAGTGTTTCAACAATTGTGATATTGGGAGAAAAAAAAAAAGAGTAATGTTTGATGGGGCACATGGAACTGTTCCCCAGAGGCTCACGAAGAATAGTATGTGATAACTTCCTGGGAATCATTTGAATAGTGGTGAGATTTTCTTTGATTTCTACACAGTTGTAATACAAATTAGGTAAAAATAAAAAAATTATATAGAAGTATTCTAGAATCATTGTATCTATTTTCCCTAGTATGTATTTTTCCTGAAAGTTACTTCCCTCTAGTGGATATTTATTATGCATAATTATGAATATATATTTATTGAATAAGTATGTTTGTCACTACAAGTTTTCACAGTAGCTGGTTATAGAACACAGCATGCGAGTTAGCTCCCTCCCTTTTTTATTTCCACTGGTTTATGTTTTCAATAGGTGAATTAGAAAATTTCAGAAAATTGGTTACTGAAAATTGAATTGGGAATGGTAGAATCTATTCTGAAACCTGCCTTTTGGTGTTTACCTCAATGTGTGCTTCTGTGTGTTTGCTTGATTTACATTTAGCAATATCTAAGTGCAAATAGTAATCATACACCAAAGTAAACGGGACTATATGCAATTGCTTCCTCCGTTTCTTCAATTGCAATTGCAATCCCATAGATTCCAATCTTGACAGGTAGCATAATTAGAAAATTCTCTTTGTCTTATTAAATGTGACTCTTGTCAATAGAATTCACTTCATTGCCAGCAAAGAACAGAAAATATACTTCAAATCTAAAATGGAAAATCAAGGGGGACTGTTTTATTTTTATCTGTCTTTGTGCAAGCGACATTATTATCAAAGGATATTGTAATGCTGAAAATGTACTTTGGGGATTTAAATCATGCATTAGCCTGGAAAGCAAAAAGTGCTGTAGGGCCCATGCAATATATTTTCTCATTAATCTGATTGAAAGATTATCCTTCCTATAGCTATGAAAAGTCTAATACTCATATATCCATCTTCTCTGCTAGTAAAATTCAGCTTTGTGCAAAGTCATTGTCTCTTGTGTCAGGGGTTCAACACTTTTTTTTCTCTCTCAGCATAAGCCCATCTGTATTAAAATAAATTCAGAACAGGCCGCCATTTCATGCACACATTTTGATTATTTCATAAGCTGCTGTGGAAATGGAAGTATCAGCAAGTCATGCAGTTTCCTGGTAATGTAATGCTGTCATTACCTCAGTGGTCATGTGAAAAAGTTTAGCTGTACCATCTTTGACAAATGTTCAGTAAGTCAAAACAGTGCATTTAAATGAAATGCAGATATGAATGAGCTATTATTGCAATCACAACTCTGGCTTCTAAATTATCTTATATGAATATATACACCTTCTCTGTAGCCTGACATTTGTAATACATAACTAGCTCTGCATTTCCTCTTTCTTCACCCACCCTGCCTCTTTTCTCCGCATCATCCTCCAGATTCAGGATGAAGGAAGGTATTGTGAGCAGAGGCTGCATGCAGTAATTGAAGATACTCTTGATGCTTTTATGCAATCAGAGTGGCACATTATTTGTGATGAAAATTAAGTAAAGAAACAAAGCAGACATATAGGTTGCCTTGCTATGGTCAATGCCTTCACAAAAGATTAGCAAATCAACGTGCACAAGCCCCATTAAAAGCAAACTCCAACTAAACTACTTACATGCTTTTCTGCATAAGAGATTCTCTAAAAATTTTGTGTACCCTTAGTAGTAACTTGAAGCACTTTGTGATTTTGATGAAACTACGGAAAATGTCTTAAACTGAATGATTTCTATTCAGCGCACTTAGAGTGCTGATACCAAGAACAGTATAGATGGCTCCAGCCATAACTGTCACACAGATAATATTTTTTTATGCCTCAAGACACTAAGATGGTGCTGCAGATAACCAAAAGAAATAAGCTGCCACCATCACTAATCTGCAGCTTTGAAACACTATAGTTTTTGCATGGTTAAGAGGAGGTAAAATCACCTGCCGGTATAATAGAGAAGACATTTTAAAAGTGAACAGGAGCTGGAAGAATTAAGGCTTTCATATTTATTTGTAATCCATATGCACCATGGATCAAATCGTCCATATCCTATTTTACATGTTTATGTATGACAATTGGAAATGCAAAATGAGCTGGGGCCTTTACATTTCCCCAGGACATCTTTGCTAATGTAGTGAAATGAAAATCTAAGGAGTATTTGGCTTTAGTGTTCCCTTCAGAGGTTAACTTTGGGGATCTTAAGTGTGTTCTTATGGCTGGATTTGTAATGTATGTAGCAGATTAGAGTGCATTATGATATTCAGATGCAACACCAGAGCAATATAAAAAAATTGCTGTCTATATTTTTCTCACCAAACAAATATTGCTTGAGGGCTTTTTACACGGATAAAATTGAATTTTGTATCCCTCTTGCATAATGTGACTTATCAGCTACTTTCTGTATGTGTGAGCCTGGGGTTTGTTGAGCATAAATCATAAGCAAAGTTTGATGAACATCTTTTGTAAAGCTAGGATACTAGATCCATAGAAAGAACATAATTAGTTTTATGTGTTTGACTATATTTTGAGGTGAAATATATCATTTCCTATCACAATGGAATGCATCCTTACTGGCAAGAAAAATAGTAATCCTTGATACTTGTTCATAAGGAAAATAAATAAATATAAGATCAAAACAAAATTTTAAATACTAAATTTATTCATATTTAATTTAAATAATTGTTTTTCATATTCAGTTTGGAAATATCTAATCAGAAATCTTTTCATTCAAGAACACAGTCTGACATTCAAGACACAGGGAAACAGAGAGAAAAAATATTGATAAACCAAATATAATATAATGGACCCTACAATGAAATCATTTTCAGATTATTTGTTTTAAGAATGTGATAGTTTTCCGGGGAAAAGAAAAGTTTGACTTGAAAATGTAGAGCAAGATACAGAATTTTTTTAATCGAACATAAGAACTATCAATACTAATCTGCTAATTTGTGCCCCAAAATGCAATCATATTGTTGGGACAAAAACACAATGCATTCAGGAAGCTATTAAATGCACAGCAGTATTTGAAATCGAACCACAGTGACTTGTTGTTATGGCATGCTGACATTATTGGTTCTTGTATATAGTTACATAATGATCTCTGAAGCCAGCTTTAAAAACTGTTCTGTTCTATAAAACCAGTTAACAGATGTCAAAATCTGACGACAGAATCAACTTTCTTAAACCCTTACCTTAAACCCACATTTAAGAGACTCTTTTCCAATTAAAAAAATAAAATAAATTGTTACTATTTGTTCCCTCTCTAAAGGGTCTCTGGTATAGTAGACTCTTTTGTCTTCTATTTCCAATTTATTATGAATGTCATCTGCCAATGATCTTTGACCCACATGTACCACTGAAATTATGTCAGTGCTTGAGGAAAAAACCACAGTATCATTATTAGTTATAATTTTTTTCTAACTGCATTACTAATATAATATACACTTTCTATTCTGTGTAAAAATTCATATTTTGCTAGAGGAAGTCTACATTAATTAAAATATACAAAAGACAATGTAAGGAGAAATCATTTTATCCATAGCACTTTCATACATTTTATGGTTATATCTTGCAACAATAGAATCTGTTGTGATTTCAGCTCACAATATCAAAGAATACAACAATGATGGCATCCAGTAGTGTTGTGAAGAATTGTTTTGGATAATTATTTTCTGACCCAAAGTAAAAAGTTTCTCAAATTAGACAGCCATGAAAGTAAAAATAAAATGGAATTATATTGAAAACGATTAAACATTCTCTTCTCCTTTCAAGCTTCTAAATAAAACAACTCAAAAATAGTACACAAAAAAGAAACTCATTTTCAGTGTTTTTGCATATTTCTCAAATAAATAAGATGACATCTAGAAAATGGAATTGCTGTAGCAAAACTGCTTTTTGTTCTGTGAAAGCCCTTGCTTTTGTAATTGTAAATGAAGCTGTTTCATCTGGTTTATATGCTGCTTTTCCCACTGTTGCAGCTTAGGGCAATACGAATGATTAGTTGCCTGATTCTGGATTCATATAGGCTCAACTATGAGAACTAGACTCAGGCATTTAAATGACTGAACTGATGTAAGACCATAAACCATTCCAGACCATTTATACAAATGGAACCGGCCAGGCATTTTATCAAATCTCCCATTACAGGGAATAGCTCTGTATTAGCTCCATGCAATTTTTTTACCTCTCCCAAAATATTGGGGAGGTGGTGCACCTCCCCAATTATTTGGGTATGGTGGTGCACACCTGTAGTTCCAGCTAGTGGGGAAGCTGAGGTTGGAGGATCACTTGAGACCAGGATGTCAAGGCTGCAGTGAGCCATGATTGTGCCACTGCACACTCCAGCCTAGTGTATAGTGTGAGGCTCTGTCTCAAAAAAAAAAAAAAAAAAAAAGAAAAGAAAAAAGAAAAGGAGGAATGGACTTGTAGACCGACACACAGTTGGCCCTTCATATCCATGAGTTCTGCATCTGTGGGTTCAACCATCTGCGGATCAAAAATATTCAGATAAAAGTGTCTGTACTGCACATGTACAGACTTTTTTTTGCCATTATTCCCTAAACACAGTATAGCAACTATTTGCATAGCATTTACATTTTATTAGGTATTGTAAGTAATCTAGAGATGATTTAAAGTATGCAGGTAGATGTGTGTAGGTTATATGTAAAAACAGCATTTTATTTCAAGGATTTGAGCATATGTGGCTTTGGATATTTGCAAGGGCTCCTGGAACCAATTCTGAGGGATGACTGTATTCACCTCATAGATAAAAAATAATAAGGCACAGAGTGAAGTAGAGAAGGGATGATTTTGGTTATAGTGATGGTGTTTTCTTGGAATGGAAAGGAAATGGTAAGAAAAGACCATATAAAGGAGAAAATGTGACATCAGAATTTGGAAAAAGAAGTTTACGTTTGCCAAGGAAATGATGGTGTTAAGGGAATCCCATGCAGAACAAACAGCATATGCAACATCATGAAGGATGGGTATGCGGTTTACTAGGAGAACATAAAGAATCGGGAGGAATATATTAAGTTCAACTCAAAATGAGCAAATATCAGGTCATAAAGGGATGTTATGTCATGGTAAGTATCTTTAATTTTTATTATTTAGGCAGCTAGTATGGGGGATTGTCACGAAAAATGTTTAGCACGGGATATGGATGCAAACGTTAAGGATATCTGGTCTAGTTTTAGGTAAGGAATATATGTGAGGGGTTTAGGAATGTTGAGGAGAGGGTACCCATGGGGTCAAGCTTTAGTAAGGAAAAGCAGAAAACTACTCCTTGAAATTTTCCTGTGCACACTGATGAAAGCCAGATGCTTCTCCTTTGTGTGTTCATACCACCACTTACTTACCATTACAACAGAAATCATCATATTTTGGTATTGCTGTACCTGCCTATGTTATAACTCATCATCTTCCCCAGCCCCAATCCATTCACTAGATAGTAAACTCATTGAATGTAAAGTTTGTGTTTTTTCTCTCCATACTCACAAACTCCAATGTGGTGCATAGTGGGGCTTGACAAGTGTTTAAATACATCATTAGGAATTTTATTGGAAATAATTAATACCTCACTGTATAACACGATGCCTGTATTTCTTCTGGCTATTGCTACAACCTGGAATCAGCTGCATTTAGGTACCTACTGAACTTGTGAAAATTAAATGAGTAATAGAATTTTTATATTTTTTCTCGTTAAGTGTCATATATAAAAGTGTGTAAACTTTATTTTTCATATAAGAAATATCTAAAAGTTGAGTTATAAAAGAGGAAGGAAACTAAAGTTGATTGAGCACTCTATTTTGTTTGTTTGTTTGTTTTTGTTTTTTAATGAAAAAACAAAAAATGGATATTTGCAAGGGCTCCTGGAACCAAAAATAATATCCATTGCATGTGGTCTTGCAATGTCGCCCAGGCTAGAACACAGTGGCTATTCACAGGTGTGATCATAGAGCACTACAGCTCCTGTCCTCAGCCTCCTGAGTAGCTGGGTCTACAGGCACACACCACTGCACCTAGTTTAAAGTTGATTGAATATTCTTCAATCCTGAAAATGCTGCAAAGCAGGTATTAGGATTTACAGGAGTTATTTTGGTGGTGTCATTATGGGGTTATGACCAGAAGCCCAAGAATGCTTGACTCACCTCCCCCTTCCAATAGAGTTCCTAATAGAGTCATAGGAAATTTTAAAATAATTTTCAAAAATTGCAAACCAGGAATGAAATAATGTCTTATGTTAAAAGTCACATACATTTCTGAAAATGTAAGCAGAGCTCAAATAAAAGTCAAGCTAATGCATGTGGTCTAGGCCCCTGTCCTAAATAGAGCTTCGTACTTCTACTTGAATAGAAACCTTTGGATCCATCGTGAGCTTACAATCAGGGGGAGATTACCAGATCTCAGGAAAGTCCTAGTTCGTTACAACTGGTGTTTAAATATACCCAGGAACCAGTAGAGAGAAAATTGCCTTTAGAACTCTTTCTTGATTCCACTACTGCATTTAGAATAGAAGAGACTCATACTGGGGTCTAAGGTAGAAATATATAAAAGGAGACATGGGATTTTTTCATTTAACACAGTGTCTCTAATCAGAGGTATCTTTGGCTCAATCTAATTGACATTCTGGCCAAAATAAGTCAGAAAAATTTTTCCCTATAGAGTAGATATTATTCCTATTATTTTATGGATGGATACAGGGATGTTTAAATAAATTGAATGGCTTGTTCAAGGGTACAGAGGTAGAGAAGCTGGAATTTGTACCACATTTTTCAGATTTTAAACCTATGCTCTGGCTGAAATCCTAGGGGAGACCCCTGGCTGACTCCTGATGGTGCACGAGATACATTCAGTTGAGACCTGTTGAGACACTTAACTGTCCAGAACTGTCATTAAAAGAGATAACTGCTGTTTAAACCACTACATTTTGGGTAGTTTTATATGCATCAATAGATAGCTGTGATACAGACATTCTCTGAGTGTAATCTTATTTAATATTGTATACTTTAATAAAACATACGTGTTCTTACTGTTTAAGAAGTTAGAGGGAAGGGAGCTCACTTAGCTTACTGTTGAAATCCATTCTAGACTCACAGTTGATTTGAGATCATTTGAAGTGGTCTGCAGAGCATCCTAGATAATCAAAAGCTATGTAAACAAAGTATAATGCCATTTTTAAAAAATTGAATCGACCGAGTGGGGTGGCTTATGCCTATAATCCCAGCAGGTTAGGAGGCTGAGGAGGGCGGATCATCTGAGGTCAGGAGTTCAAGACCAGCCTGGCCAACATGGTGAAACCCTGTCTCTACTAAAAGTACAAAAATTAGCCGGGCGTGATGGCAGGCGCCGGTAATCCCAGCTACTCAGGATGCTGAGGCAGGAGATTTGCTTGAACCTGGGAGGCGGAGGTTGCAGTGAGCCGAGATTGCACCATTGCACTCCAGTCTGGGCGACAAGAGTGAGACTTTGTCTCAGAAAAAAAAAAAAAAAAAAAAAAAGTGAATCAAGATAATACTACGTACATTGCCAGAGAATTAAGACTTGGCAAACAATGAAGAATACTCTACTGACCCAAATTTCAACAAATATGTAAACTAACAAACAGTTCTGTATCATTTATTTTTAAAAATCAGTGTTTCCAAGTTAGGACCCTATCAACAAAGGGATAAAAATATTCTTGAATATTTTGATCCTCAAAATGTAAACTAAGATATGATAGTTTGGCTTCCCCACAGCCTGCCAACAGACCTTTCTTCTTTTACCCAGCTACTTTTAAAATAATGTATTTGAACTCAAACATGTAAATGCTATATGAATTTAGCTCTTTCCACAATGCTATTACAAAATGAAAATTAATAGCAAATACAAGTGTTGAGGTTTATCTGGGTGATTATTATTGTCATCAGCATGTTCTTGTGGAATATAACATTTTTATCCTAATTATTGAAGGACACTGTATGGAATACTCCTTTCCAACATAAAATGATCGAAATAAAGAAGACTCGGATGCCTTGATTAATCAAACATTTACGTGTTAGTCAATGGAAGTCATACTTTTGAGTGTGAAGTATGCAGAAAGTTAACATTATTAAAAGGGAGCAATAACCAAGCTGATGAATAATTCATTAGCATTCTTTCACCTTCCTTTAAAATAAGCTATTACTTGCATTGTGGGAAAGCAGATAATAGATTATAATTGATCACTTTTTCAGGAACTAGAAATGGTCTTATATTTAAAATCCTTGTTTTAATTATCTAGCCCGATATTTCTTTAACCAATATTATAACATCAGGAGGTTCAGAAGATCCTGTGGAAGAGATATTTCGACATACTTAGTCTACATTTCTTGATTTCATAGTAAGATTGTAATGAGGAATTCCCATTTACTCTTGAGCTCAGCATTTAGATAACTGAATAATAAACCACAATCAATGAGGACCTTTAAAGATTGTCACTCTATGTTCAGACTGGACTTAAAAAAAAAACAACAACAAAAAACATAGCTTGCAACCATTTTTGGCTCAATCCCATTTGGTGTTCAGAATGTAAATGAGATTTGTTATCAGGAAGGAAACCTGAAACTGATTTAACCTAGAGATTAATCTTCATATTAAGGATGTATTTACATTTCTTGCACAGCACAGTAGGTTAGCACAAAGTAGGATCTGCCTTTAATTTTTAAAAATGGCTAAGCCCAATTGACACACAGTACATATTTCTCATTTTAACTATTTTGTTTATTTCATGGATTCTTTTATTTTCTTGTGGTCATGTTAAGTCTTGCTGGATAGAAAATATGCGAAAATAGAAGCCAAACCACAGTAAAATGACTCTGCCTAACCCTAAGTGTTCCAGCCATTTCCTTTTATATCTTATAATAAGATATGACAACTCAATTTAAAGAAAATACACAATAGTTGCTGACTACAGTGAAAAGTTTATATTAAAATAATGTGTTGCTGTGGGGAGGTGGATAATTGAGCATACAGTAGGTGATTTCTGGCTGGGCTCCTGAAATAAGCAAAAGTAATATCTGTTAACAAAGGATAAAGGCAGATAATGTTACTCTAGTCAGTAATTAGGATTGTAGAGATCCCTGTTTAAATGCTGATGCAAGAGAAAATTAAGAAGGCTGCATTTAGTCATTAAAGTTGAGCTGATCCAAATTCTCTCAGTAAGACCTGACCTTTCATTGGGCCCACTTCCTACTGATATTTGACTCTACCAGTTTTTCTCTGAATTTTAATGAAGACTGAGTAAACTTGAGAACTCTAAATAAAATCTGGGTGAAACTGCTAATTTTAAAAAGCAATTGGAGAGACTTAAAACCCTGAAGCCCTAGAAAGTTTCTGCTTCTTTCAAACAGAAGATTGGCCTATTTTTGTCTCCTTCAGCCTCTTATTTAATTCCAGGAGATAGACCTTTAGCTCTTTGACAGTCATTGAGTTGACCAAGTCAACTTCTGGAAGGATATCATTCTTATAAAATTCTAATTGACTACTCTTTTCTTTCCTTCAAGAGAATTTATGAAATTAATCTAAGACACAATCTTCTTGAGCTACTCTGTTCACCAAAACAGCAGTAACTTGAATGATCATGTCAGTGTTATTAACAGACAATAAGAAAGCAGGTATTTTTCCTCTAGCAGTGCTACAAAGTGATAATATTTGTGTCCTGAATGCTGACTTACAAACAAAAATCTAAAAGGCAAATTTATTCCCCAAATTATAGGCCAAAGAACTCCCCTTTTTTTCTATTCTGTTTCTAGAGATGACTCTGGGGTGCTAGCCATGGTAAGTCTTCATCCATTATAGTTTTGGGGTTTGGAAATAATTATAGGAATCTAGACATGATTAATGTAGATGACCATACTCCCCTGTGAAAGAAAAGAATTGTGGAGACTTGGGGGTTATTATCACTTATTGTGTCTGAACAATTTTTCCCACAATGCTTATTTTCTACTTGTTCCATTGAGGAAGGTTTTGTGAGCATAAGTAGGGTGGATTAAAGTGGGGAGAGAATAGAGTTAAGGAAACAATTAGAAAGGTATTTCACAATGTACTGGGGTGAAAATCTCCATTATTATTTATCAGTGTTCCTTTAGTTGGGACCTGGAGACAAGCCCCTCTAATCAAGCATTATTATAAATGACAGACACTTGAATCTCTATAATCTTCTCCATAGGCTTGGTTCATTCCATTCTCACTAAATCTCTTTTATGCGCTAGAGCAAGTGTCTTATCAACTCTTGCTCTGTTTCCTGAGGTCATCTGGCATGCGTATTGACTGCTTTCTTCCTTTGCTAGTCTATGTTTACTTCTGGTTACCATCTTCAGAATTTTCCAATAAGGTTAATTACTATGGCCCTACCTTTTTTTCACTTGAGCAGTTGGCCTCCTTGACCCCTATACTACATTAAATATCATCTCTCCATTTTATAGTTCCATAGAACCTTATATTTACTCAGTCATTCTTATATTTGATCATTCAACAAATGTGTGTCGAGTGTTTACTGCGTGCTAGGTACAACAGTTAACAAAAGAGGAGAAAATTCCAGGCTTCATAGAGCTTACATCCTTACATGTTATTTAATGTCCTCACATCTCCACTAAAATGAAAGCTCTTTGAGAGTAAGAATCATAAATGTCTTCTTCACCACTATATCCTCAGGAATTTGCAGAATGCCTGAAACACTGAAGAAGCACGGTGAATATTTATTTAATTATTAAATAAACAAAAGTTGCAACTTTACAGAAGCATAGGTGCTTTATCTGCTCATGAGAAAAGTCTAGCTGTATAAAATTAATAGTAAAAATATCTATAAAAAGTAACATAATGGAACTGTTAGACTGGAACACAGTAGTACAGAGGCATTAGCATTATGACAATATCACTACTTAAAAATTATTTTCTAGAAAAGCCTTTAGATTTATTTCATACTTTGTCTTTTCAATAGGTATCAAGGCATTGTTTAAACACTTCCTAACACATAGTTTAAGTATATATAATACAAAAAAACTCATTATGAATGATTGTTACACTGACACAAAGGACTCCATCAGCAAAATATGTGATATAAGACTAAGCACAGATTATTTTTTATCTTGTTGTATGTGTATATATCTTGTTATATGTGTATACATTTATATACACACACAAATATATATACACATATATAGTGTCTACATAAATATATGTATATATTTTCCAGTTTTTCTTAAATGCTTTGAATGAAATAAAAGAATATTGAGTTCAAACATTGCTATTGTTAATAGAGTATTTAAATATGCCCAAGTTCTTTTTTGGGGAACAAATGGATAAGTTATTTCTATTTATTTATTTTTCTTCTACTTTTATTTTAGGTTCTGGGGGTATATGTGCAGGTTTGTTACATGGGTAAATTGTGTGTCACTGAGGCTTAGTGTACAAATGATCCCATCATCAAGGTAGTGAGCATAGTAACCAATAGATAGCTTTCTAGCCTATGCCTAGTGCCTGCTGCCCCCCCCACCCCACCAAACAGTCCACAGTGTCTATTGTTCCCATCTTTGTGTCCATGCATATTCAATACTTAGCCCCTACTTACAAGTGAGAATGTGCAGTATTTGGTTTTCTGTTCCTGCAGTAGTTCACTTAGGACAATGGCCTCCAGCTATGTCCATGTTGCTGCAAAGGACATAATTTTATTCTTATTTATGGCTCTGTATTATTCCACAATGTATATGTACCATATTTTCTTTATATAGGCCACCATTGATGGACATTTTGGTTGATTCCATGTCTTTGCTATTGTGAATAGCACTGCAATGAACACATGAGTGCATGTGTCTTTTTGGTAAAATGATTCATTTTCCTTTGGGTATATACCCAATAATGGGATTGCTGGATCAAATAGTAGTTTCTTTTTTCAGTTATTTGAGAAATCTCCACACTGCTTTCCATAGTGACTGAATTAATTTACACCACCAGCAGTGTATAGGTGTTCCCTTTTCTCTGCAACCTCATCAGAATCTACTATTCTTTGACTTTTTAATAATAGCTATTATGACAGAGGTGAGATGATATTTCATTGTGGTTTTGATTTTCATTTCTCTAATGATTAGTAATGATGAGCATTTTTTAATATATTTGGTGGCCACATGTATGTCTTCTTTTGAGAAATGTCTGTTCATGTCTATTGCCCATTTTAATGGAGTTGTTTTGTTTGCTGATATGTTTAAGTTCCTTATAGATTCTGTATATTAGACCATTGTCAGATGCACAGTTTGTTAATACTTTTTTCTTGTTCTGTAGGTTCGTCTCTTTATTCTGTTGATGGTTTCTTTTGCTGTTCAGAGCTCTTTAGTTTAATTAGGTTCCACTTGTCAATTTTTGTTTTTGTCTCAATTGCTTTTGGGGACTTAGTCATAAATTCTTTGCCAAAGCTAATGTCTAGAATGGTATTTTCTAGGTTTTCTTCTAGGGTTGTTATTGCTTTAGGTCTTATCATTAAATCTTTAATCAATTGTAAGTTAATTTTTATGGTGAAATGAAGAGGTCCAGTTTCAATCTTCTGCATATGGCTAGCCAGTTATCACAGTACCATTTTATTGAATACAGGGTTCTTTCCCCATTGCTTATTATTGCTGACTTTGTCAAAGATCAGCTGGTTGTAGGTGTGTCGCTTCATTTCTGGGTTCTCTATCCTGTTCCATTTGTCTATGTGTCTGTTTTTGTACTGGTAGCACACTGATTTGTTTACTGTAGCCTTGTAGTATAGTTTGAAGTCAGGTAGTGTATGCCTCTGGCTTTGATCTTTTTACTTAGAATTGCTTTGGCTATTCAGTTGCTTTTCGGGTGCCATATGAATTTTAGAATAGTTTTTCTAATTCTGTGAAAAATGTTGTTGATAATTTGATAAGAATAGCATTGAATCTGTAAATTTGACAAGTGGACTTTGACATAAGAAAACAGTCTCTCTAGGAAGCATTGTGTGGCTATATGCATATTATATTTCTAAATACAACCTTTGTTAAGAAAAAGGCAAAATTAGTCTATCTGAACAATGTAAAATAGGGAGGGATTAAAAATGAATTTTTTAAAAAGCAAGCACTTGGAGTGGTATATGGAATCTGTTGTGTGTGGTTGGGCAAAGTACAAAATGTATTATACAGAGAGTTGTAATCTCTGAGTGAAAGTTTAGTCATCATCAACACATTTTTCCATCTTCATGAAGTCCTAATCTCTAGTTATTATTAATTTGTACAACATGGTGTTCAATATTTGACTGCAAAATAGAGGTAAGATATATCGCTTATAAAAATGAGTCTGTAACTGTTTCTGTCTTTCAAGGTGTACTAAGTATTACACAATCATATATCTACTCTTACTTTCACGTATTTGGCTGGCAGTGAGTTGGGAAGAATTTGTGGTCCTGGATAAAACAAATAAAACTTCTCAGTCATTTTGCAGTTGTATTCATTATACAACAAAAATGGAATGGAAAAAAAAATGGATGACATACACCGAAGGCCATGTAAGGAATTATAGAGTGGTGACAAAAGAGCTGGAAATATAAAATATACTGAGAGCAGAGGTCAAGAACACCAAGGAATTAAAAGCATTGTGTACGTGGTAGAATCATATTTTGAAGTCCAATTAATTAGTCTTCCCCTTTACTTCTTCTTATGTGACACATCTTTATATATCCAAATCACTCACTTCAGAAATGGATTAGCCGGGCGTGGTGGCGGGCGCCTGTAGTCCCAGCTACTCGGGAGGCTGAGGCAGAAGAATGTCGTGAACCCGGGAGGCAGAGCTTGCAGTGAGCCGAGATCGCACCACTGCACTCCAACCTGGGCAACAGAGCGAGATACTGTCTCAAAATAAATAAATAAATAAAAATAATAATAAAAAAGAAGAGTCATCATGTAGCTTATTATTTTAAAATAAACATTTAATGGCATCAAAGTCAGAGACACAGTGACGATATTAAAATAAAAATTTTTTTTGAAAAGTTAATAACTAATTCCTTGTCCTAAAGATTGCAAGAGAAAAGGATGGGCTACAAAAATAAATAAATAAATAAAAATAAAAAAGATGGGCTTCTTTACTCCCTCTTAGATAAATGTCAACTGATGTGGAGAAGAAAACATGGTTGGGCAGGTGGGAGAACACCCTCAGAAATGTACAGATTTTACAGGATGCTAAAGAAGTTTGGCACCTTGTCCTCCTGAGGAAAAGAAGCCTAGAATGAGAAGAAGAGAATCCCAGAAAATCAAAAGATGGAGGGAACGTCTGCTTTGATTTCAATATTATAGTCCTGAAGTGAGACTAAGCCTTGGGGAGAAGTGTCATTTTCTGTACATTGCTGGGCCAGTAGATTTAAAATGGCTCTGTACATTTTCTAGAAAAATGGGTCAGATCCTCTCTGCATGCTCCAAGAAAGTTGTGAAAGTTCTTTCAAAATGAGACAAAGGATTCTTTAAAAGAAGGTGCTGCACATAGATTGCCTAGTGTGAAATCAGAAAATAACCCAATTTAATTTTGCAGGTGACCTTAGAAAGGAAAATGACTGTTTTAGCACTAAGCTGGGCAGTGTGTTTCAGCAAAGGCCAAGGAAGTTTGGTGCTGATGTTTGGAGATCAGTGGATATGAAGACGGAACAGCCAATTCCAGCATGGCTGAAGACCAATAATGAATAACTTCACACTGCTTCCTCATTGACATATATACCCCTTCCGATACAGTCCTAAATGGAAGAAAAAAGAATAGAAATTATGAATTGAGTTTACAATGGAAATGACTAGGAAATGCTGGAAGTGACTAAATTTGGCCAGAAATAATCACATTACCTTTGATGACATCAGGTGGATCAGATTTTAAAAAGAGAATAAATGGTTTTTCAAAAAAAAAACTTATATTTACTTTAATTGTACATTAAACATGTACAATCCCCTCTTCTGGCAATTGCTAGCAACTGAGTATAAGATTGGGAGTGAGAAAATTTCCCAGGAAAAATCAGGGTCCTCACTTGGAAATTCAAAGCAGTAAAACTAAACAAAAGCTAAAGTTCCTCTCAGTGCAAATCAGGCAAAAAAAAAAAAAAAATCTAGAAACAGAAGAAAGGGAATGAAGATTCACAGCTAAAAGACAGCATGACCAAATGCAAAGAAGGATTAAAGTAAATGGCTATAAACAAGAAAAGAACTATAAGGTGGTAGGAAAGGGCTTGTGAGGAGGGGATTAGGAAAATGTCCAGTGGAGTTACAAGGAAGACAGATCCTGATACTGAAACCCATTAGATTCAAGATCACAGATCCATAAGTCCTCTAATACCTATAGACTAAAATGTGATTGGCAGACCAGTGCCATCATCATGTCAGCATCACCAGGAAGCTTGTTGGAAATGCCAAACCTCAGGGCCCACCCTAGGCCAACTGAATCAGACTGTGAATTTTAACAAGAACCCTACATGAGTCTTACAAACACTAAAGTTTGAGAAGGAAGCTGTAATTAATCCACAGAGGAATGCGTGAGAAAATATGAATTTAAGTTCTATGTGAATGGGAATTTTGCCTGTTTTATTTGTGGCTCTGTGAATAGCATCTATAATATTGCCTGACACATGGTGAGTACATAATAAATATTTGTTGAAAAAACAATCTATCTTAATTCCACCTTTATTATTTAAAAAATCAAATAAAAGTACCTTCAGAGTTGATAGTTTAGCTTTTGAATATGAAAGGCAGCCTTAATCATTCCCCCTAACCAATAATTAAAAAAAGAATAAATGCCAAGCCTTTGAGGATTTCCTTATATATTTCAAATTCATCAACACTTTTACTCTCTCACTATTCCTCCATATCATAATGAAAAGGGATTCAAAACTCCACAATTTTCTAATTTATTGTTGGTAGGTAAGAAAGTATTGCTTATAGAATTAACACATTCCATATTGTACTCTGTATTTCTCTTGATCCATACATAAATGGATCATTCATTCATATATTTACTCAGGACATGTTTCTTCTATATTCCATGAATTGTACTCAGTCTTCTGGAGAAAAATGCGAAACATATACAATCACTACGCTTAAATAGTTTAAATCCAGTGGGAAAATAAACATTTTAACTACTAACCACACATATTAAACAGAAGAGAATGAATTATGTAAAGTAGAATTTATATGCAAAATAATGAGAGAAGTTGTCAAGCCCACACAAGAAAAGGCCAAAAATTAAGACTGACTGATTAAACAGCTAAAAATATAATGTGTCACTTTTAGATTCAGCTTATTACTTCCCTCGACAATGAAGGGAAGGATAGCAAAAGTGGCCAGTTTCCAATGGTCCATTTTCCACACATCAAAAAGAACAATATCAAAACAAAAAGGGGCAAGATTGGCTGCAACATGAGTTGTGGGATATCCTGTTCCTGAGGAACCAGGTTTTGACTGCTCTAAATTGTTTTACAATTTGCAATACTATGGTGAGGGGACAGGAAGAAAGCCCCACACCCCATCAGAACTTGAAGGTGCTGTGAAACTCACTCCCAGCAGCCCCCCAGGGGAGATGGAGAAGGGAGTGGGAGCTGGCCTCATAGCAGCCCTTCACAGGCCCCTCATCCTCTCGTGTTCCAGGAGGATTGAAAGGCATTCTGGCAACACTCACATTAGCTTGTGTTCAAGTCCAAGTGTTTGTCTGTAGGGCCTATGTGGACATGTGCAAAGCTGTAAGGTCACCCTGGAGGAGTCATTGCCCTACAGAATTCAGAAATAGGAGTGATAAATTCTTCTTGATATTGGAAAGAATTCACCACAGAGCCTTAAGGTAAAGAGGTTTTGTTTGTGGCATCAATGTTTCTGCTCTCAAAAGCAGCATTATAAAACTGGGAAAAGATATGAGAAGTAAGTAGAGGTGAAATGCATCCCATTCTCCACTTTTTTAAGCAGCTTTGCTGAGAATGAGTCCCATGAAGTTGGTGTGTGCAGAGACGCATTGCCTGAATAACTAGAAGAGCTGATGGATGATACCCCTGCACCACGCAGGCAAGTGTCTATCTGTTTAGGCAGAGTGTGCATGTGAAAATAATCCCGAGGTAAATAAAGTTAGTAAGGAAATAAAGATATGGACATTGAAAATGAGGAGAAAATAACAAAAGGAATATAAAAATGTTATAAATAGCAATATTTGTAACTTGTTATTCTAAGAGATGGTAACATAGAAACTGTAAGAAGAATCCAGTAATGTTTCAATATCATATTAGGCATAGGTTAATGCATCCTATTGGATCTTCTTGATGCTATTACCTTACAGCACCATAGCTGCTTGTTAATCTTCAGCCATCTCATGGTATTTTCTCCCAGAAGGGCCATCCACAACCCTGCTGCCATAGCCTACTGACTCAGTGTCTGGTGCTCTCCAGGAGGGCTGAACTCACTTTTCCCTTTGGATTGAAGGCCAAACCAGTCACAAACTGTAAGAGGCAGGCTTCCCCGATCCCATCACTCCCTGGTTAGATAAAACATGTGGCACATAATATCTAGTTTACAGAACAACTACCAAAAGGACCAGAAAATACAACTCTGAGATTCAGGGCAGTTAATTACTTCCTTGATAGGCAAGGTTTGTTAAGTGGAAAACCAGAACCGTGAGAGAATAAGTTTCCTCCCTTTCTATTCTTCCATAGAGTTATCTGTAGAATGTTTAATCCATAGAGCCCATCTAAAGAGTCATGCATAACCAAACAGATGCACGTGCCGATTGATGGGCTTATTTTTGTGGTTTGTGTAAAGTAGAGGGCAGTGCTATAACACATGACTATGCATTTTTTCACATCCTTCTCTGTCTACTCCTGCTCCCCTTTTCCTTTAATCTCACTGCCTTGGGATTGCACCTTCCACATAAACAATTAGCACTAACTCTTGCTTCAATTTTCTGTTCTCTAGAGAAAAAGGGCTAGGACAGAAATATGTGTGGACGAAAGTAAAAATATCTATGCACAAAAGCAAAAAAAAAAGGATGGGTTCAGAGCTCTTCCAAACCTTTGCTAATTATGTGACATTTCCCTGGAAGAAAAAAAAATACTATCAAAATCTCTCCCCGTGCCTCATACATAGCAGGTACTTAGGCAATGTTGGTTGGGTAAAGCACACAATCAGAGTTTAATAGAACAAAGGCCATCATAACTCACTTCTTATCAGTCCTCTATAAGAAAAAGCCTTCTTGCTCAGTAATATGGCCAGAGTTAACAGAGATTTCACTGTACGAATGGAGAGAAATGTCAACTGTAAAAGTCATTATTTAAAAAACCAACAAATAAGAAACCCCAGTTGTGGTATTTGGTAACAATCAGGACAGTTTTAATTATTCATATAATTTGTTTAGATTATCACTCTTACCTTTTGGTCTTCTTTCATCTGACGCCAACTGAGGACTTTGTCTAAACACCCAAGCCTAGGCATCACCATCATTGTCTCTGTCTTTTCTTCTCTCTCTTCCCGTCCTTTCTGCATTCTCACAGTGATCTTAGCCACTTACATGACATTGAGTATAATTTGTACCCAAATAAATCTCATTGTACTATATCCATCAATGACCTCTCTTCATTTCTTCTGTATATTTTCTTTAACTTTTAAAATATTTTACCTAGAATGATTCACTGACTCATCCCATTTTATCAAAAACTGAACTCTTCAGTACATTAGCCAGTTCTTTTTCATGCCTAATTTGTGACAACGATGTTTACTCCCTAAATATGCCTATGTTCATTGAGCAAAGGTAGTTACCAGATATTGACTGAACTTATCAATGATTTTATTTTGTAAATTCCACATGGGAAAACCTGTTCCCCATCCTCAGCTTCTGTACACCAACACTGGCCTTTTAGTTACTGATTACAAGCCTATTAATCAGGTGTCATAACCAAGCCCTTTCATTGCTTTTACTTAGTTAATTTCACTCATTAAATTCTCTAAAATGCTACTCTATCTCATCTGAATTCACAATTTAGAGGGCAAAGCTTTTATTTACTCGAATTACCACTAAAAACCTATCGACTCATTGAAGGAAGAGGATGTGGAAATAGAAATATTTCCAACATGCCTGAAAACATTACAAAATGAAAATGGAATAAAGTGCAGGGGAAAGCGATAGGTGCCAGTATGCTAATATGAAAGCAAAAACCTGGGAAAGAAGACACAGATTGATTTGTTTCAAAAAGCTGAAAGCCTGCAATCTTCTCTACCACTTCTATTTATGTTTCGTAGAATAATTACAATAAATGCCTAGCAATGTTTTTTCCAAAACAGACTCACATTTGTCACGAATCCTTTCGAATTTGTTTCTGAGAGTTCTGTGAACATTCCTTGACACCAAAAGAAAACCCAGTGAAGATATCCTTAGCTTACTGTTGTTGTTTTTATATATAGAACCAGTAGATTTAAAAAAAAATCTCCATCAGTATACAATATCGAGAACAATCACTACAGCAGTTACTCAGACTTCAGGTTTTGGATTCTATCTGAATTCCAAATTGGCTGAATAACACAGGGCAATTGCTTTACATAACTTCATTGTCATTCGGTTTGCTCATAGGGATAATAATATTATAATCCTTACCTAATAGCCATTACTTTCAATGGTAAAAACCGCAATTATTTTGCGCCAACCTAATAGCACCCACCTAATTGGTTTTTTTCTAATGATTAAATGCGATAATACATATAAATTGTTTAGATGAGTGACTGGAATAATTGCTCAATAAAAAGAAGCTTTTCATTACTAAGTCCTTATTCTCTACCAGGAACTACTTTGCATCAGTCGAAGGACCGTGACTTACACATTTTGGTGTTATCCATGTTGTATTGCTGTAGCAATTCAATAAATGTTGAATAAGTGAGCTGAAATTTTCAGATACCAATGATTAAGAAATGATTCTGAAATTTTCCACTTGATTCACTACTCATAATATAGAGAAATTAGGTTGAAAAGAGGATTATAGTTATATTGCTTGTGCTGCTAGCACTTCATTTAATTTGAGAAAATTATTAATCATTTTGAAATATCAAAATAAATGAGCACAAATGAGCATGTGGTTGAATAATTGTAATTCCTACCTAATATTTATTAAACACTGATTTTCAAGCCAGGCATTACATTAGACTTTAGCGAGGCAAAGATGAGCCAGACAAGATTTCTACCTTCATGAAACTTACAGTCTTCATGTTACAGGTCAGGTAAAAGAAAGCTGCCGAGCTGGGGAAAACGGATGTTGTGCCATTAAATAAATGAGGAAAAGGTACAATGTAAGGCATTTGTCTTCAGAATGCCTCATCATTCATTGCATGTGGAAAAGTTTTTTTTTAAAATATATAAAATGACATTCACTAATTGATAATAAATGTGACATGTTAGAATGTCTAAAGATTAAAAAGTTTCATCTATCATTTTTATACTAATAAAAACAAAAAAACAGAAAGACAGGATTCCCCAAGGATCTTACATGCCCATCATTTTGCAAGCAGAGAAACTGACCGCCTGAGTTACTAAACAAGTCAGGCAGAGTTTAAACACCTCTCCCAATACCTTCTTCCCTCTAAGGACTTCAGCTGGTCACTATGTCAGCCAGTAACTGCCACTGCTTCAAACACTTTTCCTCCTTTATTGAGAGCTCACCCACAGAGACCCGGGCAGGCAAAGGCAGAGTTCACCTTTGCTTTCATCCTTGGCTGTGTCACGTACCTGTGCAAGCGGAATCCCCAGTTAGAGTGATCCCTGAGGCCAAGGAGTTCTATTACACAGCAGCAAGAATTGGTCAGCTATTTGCTCCTGGGAAAATCCTACTGCTGTGACTAATAAGTATTTCAAAAGAAATAAATGAGCATGTCATTCATTCTATGATTACAGGATGAGTTGCAAGGGAGTTGCTGGCCAGCAGGCCCTTTACCTAACCCTCAGTTACAGAGTTCTTTCCCTAAATAGTACAAATTGTCCCAAGACGGGATTAAATCCTTCTTCAGCCACTATCATGGCAAATCTGGTGGAGGATCACAGCATACGGTTAGACAAAGGGAATCTTTGTTACATTTAGTGGGAAAGAAGGTGGTATTTGTGCCACTCAAGTCAACAGAAAAAGTAGTTATATTTTATTATATTCTAATTATGTAAGCTATAATTATAATTACAATTTCATGGGCAATACATGCAATGATCGTTCTTCACAGAATTACATGCAAGAAGGCATATTGTATCATGTTCTCTCCAAATTGGGATATGCAATCATTACTTACCACCACCAGCATTGCTATCATTGCAAAACAAAAAACATAAAAATGTATGACCATAGCATTAGTGATTTCTTCTCACCAATATCTGGGACTTTGTATATCCTAGCTCTTCCTCAAAGTCAAGGTTGTCTATGACATCATC
The DNA here is from genome assembly GCF_000001405.40 of Homo sapiens. Lineage (NCBI taxonomy): Eukaryota > Metazoa > Chordata > Mammalia > Primates > Hominidae > Homo > Homo sapiens. Next base: position 76,140,766 of record NC_000008.11, read on the forward strand.
TGTGGAAATTTCCCTGGAAATGACCCCATTCTTTGAACTTTCCCAGCATGTATTTTTTGTTTTGTTTTGTTGTGACAGAGTTTAACTCTGTCTCCCAGGCTAGAGTGCAATGGCACGATCTCGGCTCACTGCAACCTCTGCCTCCTAGGATCAAGTGATCTTCCCGCCTCAGCCTCCAGAATAGGTAGGACTACAGTCCTGCACCACCATACCCGACAAATGTTTGTATTTTTTGTAGAGATGGGATTTCGCCCTGTTGGCCAGGCTGGTTTCAAACTCCTGGGCTCAAGCAATCCTCCCACCTTGACCTCCCAAAGTACTGGGATTACAGGCCTGAGTCACAGTGCCCGGACAGTATGTTTTTTGTACATCGCTTATGATATATACCACATTCACCTTGGACTCTAGATATTTACAACCTTATTTAACTTTATATAATGAATAAAATTTTCTGGAAGTTTAGATTGATGTGTAATTTACCCCAGTATAAATGATTTCTTTATGTTAGGTATTCAGTAGATACACTTTTGATGAATGAAGAAAAGGGGAAGTTTAACGACAACCAGTGTATTGTTTTCACTCTATTAGTTAAGTTGTATTTTAAAATAAGCCCCCTATTTTTAATATAATTAACGTATTATTAGTGTCTATATGTGTTCTACCAGCTTTTTCTTAGTGGAGCAAGACTGCCTAAGCATTGTGTCAGAAATAACATACAGAAGCCAGCAACAAGTAGCATGGTGTTGTCTTCAGAGTTTTTATAGACCCACCTCCTAATGGTCCATTGGGCCTCATCTTGATGTTTCCATCATTGGTTTCTTCATTCTCATTTGTTATACTCCAGTTCTCAAAATTTTGAATAGAATTGTCTAGTCTTGTCACAGTCTCTCTTTGTACTGATGATTCCTTTGTGCTTATTTACCTTTCAACCTTCAGCTCTTTTGCTTGTGACATAGCCATAGCTCTAGACAAGAGATACTCTTTCGAACAACCCTAACTCTGGGGGTGGAGGCTTGGTAAAATTTCCATGTCAACATCTTTTCTGCCAATGAAAAGGAATTAAACATACATATAAAAAGTTTGATTTATGTTATTGTTACCAAATATGTAAAATATCTATATATTTATTTCTACTTTATACACTGCCTACTTTCAAAAGTACAATTAAAATAAGAGAACGTTAGAATACACAGACAAGCAATTTAGTTTTATGCTACACTTTATGCTAGTGCAGTTATTCAGACTGATCCTTAAGATTAGTTTTGACTCCCAAGGTAAAAAGGAAAGAAAATATCGTGGTTCATATAATTAGCAGATTGAAAAAAACATAATTTTTTCATTTAGATAAACATTTTTTCTATTTCTAAATTCAAATAGGATTATAAATCTTCATGTGAGAGACGCTGATAAAAATACATTTAATAATGATTTTATAGAAGACAAAAAATTTTTCTTAATGCATTTATGACTGTAGAAGTCAATGATATTATGCTAATGCCTAACTGAATGAAGACAACTGGTAATGACCTAAAAATTATAGACATTTCTGGTGCTCAAATTCATATGGATATAGATGGAAAATCTGTAAAAACCAATGACTAGTATGTCTGGTAAATAAAATTTCTCATTACAAAATTGTATCAATCCAACATTCTTTACTTAGAAAAAAATATTCTTCACATGTGAGAGTGAAATAAAAACATCTTTAGATAAATAAAAGTTGAGTTAAGTTTCCTGTACTACAACATATACTAAAAGTAGGCCTTCAGGTATAGAGAAATGTCAACAAATGTAAAGTCAGATCTACAGAAAACAATAAAAAGCATCAAGAATGGTAGCTATGTGTAAATATTTAAAACTTACTTTCTTTTCCTTATTTTAATTATTTGAAAAAATTTTTGAACATTTAAAACTAATATATTGTGGAGTTTATAATTTAAGTATTAATAAATTATGTGAGAAAAGTACAAAAAGGCTAGAGTTAGGTCTAATTATTATCTAAGGTTTTTATACTTTATATAAAGGATAAATATTAATTCTAGTTAGAGTGTGACATGTTATGGCCAATAAGACAGATGGAGATAAAAAGAAATACTAAAATATGTAATTAATAAAAAAAAAAAACAAGAAAAGAGATGGAAAAGAACAATTAAAAGATGGGACAAACAACAAATACGTAGCAAGATGGCAAACCTAAATCAAGTCATATCAATAATTATATTAAAAATGGAGTAAACAATAGAACATATTTGATCAAATATTGGACACATATTTGATCCCCTTATAAAAATACAGGTAGGTTAAAAGGAAAATGAAGGTAAAAAGCATATCATGCAAATACAGACAATATAAGAAAGCTGGTGTGACTATATCAGTATTAGACAAATTAGACTTCTGGATGAGAAACATTACTGGAAAAAGAGAATGACTATTTATGCAATGAAAGGGCAATTGAGTAGAAGATACAAAAATTGTAAATGTTAAAACATATGAAGAAAAAAATGGGCAGATCTAAAAAGTAAAATTAGATACATTGATAATCATAGCTGAATGTTTTAATACCCACTTTTATTATTGATTGAATTAGACAAAAATCAGTAAAAATATAGAATATTTGAACAGCATGATCAAGCAAAGTAACTTAGGATTTATAAGATATTAGCCCTAAAACTACAGTATTTATATTATTTTCAAGTTCATATGTAATATTTTTTAAGATAATTAATATTCTGGGCATAAAATAAGTTTTTTAACACTTTTTAAAATTAAATTTTATAGATCTTTTTCACTATAATGAAATTAAATTATAAAACAGTAAAAATAAGATATAGGAAGACTGAAATATTTCAAAATCAAAAGCATTTTTCTAGGTAACATATGGTCCATAAAGAAAAAAATATATATATTTCAAGTGAATTTTGAGTTAAAAAAAAACACACTGAAATTTGGAGGACACAGGCCATAGAGGAAAATTGATAACTTTAAATGTCTATATTACCAAGAAGAACAACTTAAAATCAATAACATATACAACAATAAGGGGACATCTTAAAAATAATAATTATTATTATGCTATGGCAAAAAAACAGACACAAATTCACACTCTTTGATTTTGTTTACATGAAGCTTAAGACTATGAAAAGCTTAAAAAAATGTGAAATAATAGTTGCCTATAGGAGATGGAAATGCCTGGAATAGGGCATGAGGAAAGTTCCAATATTAGTGAAAAGATTCTATATCTTGGTTAAGATTTTTGTTTTTTGGGTGTGTACATTTGTAAAAGCTCATTGAATTTTATCCTTAAAGTTGGGGCACTTAACTGTGAACTTTACAAAAATGAAAAAGAAGGGACTGATAAGATGCAAACAAATCTCGAATTTCAAAAGAAACCTAATCACACTCAGAATCGCCACATCACATTTCCACTTGAATTCCAAAGATTCTAATAATCAAACAGTATCAGCTGGCTTTTAATTTAAAGTCTTCATTCTTCGGCTAATTTCAGTGATTGTGTGCTGACAAAAGGAGAAAGATTTTTTATAAAGTTATTGATGCACTTAGGGCATAGCTCTTAAAAACTATTTTTCTCGTGTTTATTTTCTAGCAGAGTTTTTAACCATAGAATATCTTCATTTCAACACCTGTCAGTCAGCTTATTTTAAAGAATTCAGCATTATGACAGGCTCACCATGCTCCCAAATAACGGCAAAACTGATGTGCAGGAGATGGTTATATAGTTCTGCCCATTTGAACACTGGACAATGTCAGCTGAAAACAATTATTTGAATTTTGACCTAGATGATATTGAGCAGTAATTGAAGAGCAATTTCCATTATTTTTTGAAACCACTTTAAGGTTTCAGTAATGTCATATATGAGCTATAGGAAGATGCTATATTCCTGAGTTCCATGACATATATAAATAAATATAAAAAATATATATATTTTTAAATAATAAATTTGTATTCCAAGTGGTGTGAAATAAAAATAAATGAAAGAAATGTAAATAAATTATATTTTCCAGATGAAAAAGTTGATTTAGTTTTAAATATGTTGTATATGTATATAACTATATATAGAAAATATATTATATATTTAATATATAGTATGTTATAGCTGCATATATACACAGCATATATATATATATAATATGTGTGTATGTGTATATATATATGCTAAAAACTAAATCCAATGTATTTAGTTTTAAATACACTGTATAAAACTAAATACAGTGTATAAAACTAAATACAGTGTATTTAAAACTCAATCAACTTTTTCACCTGGAAAATATAATTTATTTTTATTTTGTACCCGTTGGAATAAAAATTTATTCTGTCAACATACTTAAATTAAAGACACATTTTAATCATTCTTATGTGTTTCCTTTTTTCCTGTCATGAGTTGACTGCAACATTTACCTATTGAATAAGAAAACGATGACTTGAGGTTTCAATATTCAATATTCAATGAAAACAACAATAAAACAACAAAAGGAGTGCTGCCTGAATGACATTAGTCTCTCTCTTTTTATTATTATTATTATTATTATTATTATACTTTAAGTTCTGGGGTACATGTACACAACGTGCAGGTTTGTTACATAGGTATACATGTGCCATGTTGGAATGATGAGTTGATGGGTAGTCTTTTTTTAACTGCTACGGAAGCAATCATGAAAAATAAACTAGGGTTCAATAAGGCCAGGGACCTATATGGTGGTCTTGCTTTTAGTGTAGATCACAATACTTTTAACAACATATTTTTTCCTTCTCACACAGTAGCAATAACAATCTCTGTATATTATAAAGCATACATTATGTGTTTACATCTTAGAGTGTTTCTCATTTTCCAAGTAAAGTAGTCATGTTGGGCTTGATCCTCCTGCCATTTTATATAGATATAGATATAGATATAGATACAGATATATAGATATATAGATATATATTATATGATAATATATATGATAATATAATATATATATATATATAATATATTAGTTTCTTTCACATGCCAGGAACTATTCTACATGCTATAAAGAGAGTGAAGAATAAGACAGGAAAAATCCCTTTCCTCATGGGACCCTTATTCTTGTAGAAGAGATTGGCCAAGAAATAGCAAATATGTAACACAAATTTAGAGTGAAATCTCCCTTCATAAGGTGGTATTTGTAGAGAGATGTGAAGGAAATGCATAAGAAAGCAAGAGATCTGAAGGTAGAGCATTCCAGGAAGAGAAGATAAGTGCAAATATCTTGAGACAAAATATACTTGGTTTATTAGGGGAGTGGTGAATAAATTAAGAGTGTCCAGAGTGAGATGAATAAGGAGGAGAGTGGGAAGAGATGTGTTCAAAACGTAGGTACTGAACAGATCATGAATGGGTTTGTATCTTGTAGTGAAGAAGATGAAGTCAATTTTCAATGAGATGGGAGGAGATTGGAAGATGTGAAGTAGGGTAAGATGATATGATTATTCTCTCTGCTGAGTAAAGCAGTGACTTTAAGGGGTAAGAGTGGAAACAGGAATACCAATTAAAAGTTCTGTCAGTGTAGAAAATTAAAAATAAGACTAGCTATTTTAAGCTTGAAGAAATTTGATGCAAGGAATTAGCTTACAAATTCTATGGAATGATTAGAGTAGTGAGCTATAGCCTGACTTCTGACATACAGGAATCAAAAAGCTAGAGTCAAGATGTTGTTGGTTATCATTCATGATGCCACAACTGCCTTTCCATACTCAGGAAATTAGAGACAGGGCCCTAGAATACTGCTGCAGAATAAAACTCATTTTCCATAAATTTGCTAGTGCTCAAGGAAAAATAAAGCCAAAGATTCAGGAAGATATCTGGATTCAGAAAGATTCTGTCTTTCCAAGTTCGAGCCAACATATCTAACTGAAAAAGAAAAATCACATTTAAGAAGTCTTACTGCAATGAGTCTGGAAAATGTGGTTTCTAATTTCCAGAACTTCCAGAAAAGAAAAGCACTCTAGAATAAAGGCAGGATGAAGATGAAACAAGCTTGCATCCATTATACTATGCATCTGTTATGCTATCTAGGAGGGAGAAGATGGTGGTTTGGACTAAATTGGGTGCAGTGGACACAGTGAACCATAGACATGGTCAGAATCTTGATAAATTTGAAGAGAGAGCTAAAAATACTTCTTGAAAAACTTACTGAATGTGGAATGTAAGGAAAACAGTAGAGTCAGGGTTTATTCCTCCTTTTTGGTCTTATTAACTGGATGAATGTTAGTCATTTCCTGAACTGGGGATGATGGGATGAGGATGGAAATCAGAGGTTCTGCCTTGGCCACTTTTAAGTTTGAAATGCCAGTAACGAGATATAAGATGGTTGAGTAAATCTGGGTAACAAGGAAGAAATGTATTTGGGTGGCATGTGCATATGAATGGCATTTAAAACCATGGCAGGGTGAAATTGCTTTGAACGTGAGTGTGAAAAAAGAAGGAAATTAAGGGCAAACCCTGTAGTACTTCAACGCTGAGACAGCAGAAAGAGAAGTAGACCTGGCAAAAGAAGCTGAGTACAGGTAGCCACTGGAGAAGGGCAAGCCCAAGAGAATGCAGTGTCCAAGGAGGTCAAGTGAAGACATGGTTTAAAGAAGGAGGGAATGATCACCTGTTTTAAATGCTTAGAATCAAGGAAAATGAAAATCGAGAAGTGGCAGAATCTCCATTCTAGCCACGAATTCAGCTAGTGGAGAAGGCAAGGGTTGAACCCCAGAACCAGTTGGAAAATTGGAGTTTTATATAAGGCAGACTAAATTTTAGTCATGGCATATGACCCTAAGTTCAGAATTTAGGGAGCAGAAAATGGGATCACGGACTAGAGATGAAAGAAACGCCATGTAAATATTCTTCACATGGCTTAGTTGACTTCTCAATAAATCTGTTTCAGAGGTATCAGCATTTACAACAATAGTAAGATACAGTATCACATGTAATTTTATGAAGGCTGTGAATATATTCATTTAGTCAAGTATTAAATATTTGTTGAAAATTTACTAGGTGCCAGGCACTAAAAAAAAACTTAGAAATTGTATATGAAGATTACTGGATAACACAATACTGGTATTTTGGCAGATAAAGATGCGTAATTGTGGACTATAATTGTGAAAAATTTCTTACATATTGTTTTGAAGTTATAGTTCCAAATAAACTTGATTAATTAAAAGTAATAACTATTAGTATAACATATTGTTTGTAATAGAATCTCACTTTATCCCCATGATGTCTCATAACATTAAGTTTTTATCATCAATAATTTCTGGATAAAGATACACAGTTTGAAGACATTTCAAAATTTGCCCAAGGCTATATAGCTACTAAATAATAGAGCAAGTGTTAGATACTAGGTCTTCTGACTCCAAACCGAACCCCATTAATCTTTCATCCTTGTCTAATCTGGCTAGAATATTAGGGGTGTGGGGGGTAGAAGTTAAGGAGGGAAATATTTGGAAATATATTGTTTTCATATAGTTTTGTTTAAATTTATTTACTTGGACTTAGCATCTTCAGCCTTTCTCGTGTCATTGAAAAATGGCTGTCATGTAAAAGTGTGGTAATAGAAGGTTTTTGAAAAAGAAAGAAAAATGCTGATGAACATCCAATGAGGAAGGGGACTAAAGACTGTTCATTAGACTGAAGATTGTTAGTGCTTTGGAGAATATTCATTGTTGTAGCTGCCCTTCTAAAATTGGAGGTTTTATGTCCACTGTGATGCTAAGTAATTGTGTTTTTCATGTGTTAGGTAGCACCAATGCTTAGGAGCTGAATAAAATGAAACTCACATAGCTGTTATCGTAGGATTTTTACATTTTTACCCTAAATACCTTAATACATTGGTTGATGCTTTAGAAAAGATTCTTGGTACTCAGTAAGACTATGAGTTTGTGACATCTACAAGAGTAGACCTGACTCAAAATGTTGATGAAAGTTGAGTGGACAGTCTCCATTCTGATAACTTAACATACAAGTGTTTTCTCCAGTTTAATTACAAACTATGTTTTTGATATTACCTTGCAAAGCCCAGAGAGCTGAGGCTAAGCCCAATCAACTGCAATGATGTTTGTTACAGTATTAACTTATGTGGGTGACTACACAATCACATTTACCTGTACATGATCAATTGTTGAGATTAGAAGAAATAGTAGTGATTTATATTATGGTATATTTGGTGCAACTGACATTTATGAAACACATTGTATGGCATTTGTCATTTTGTAGTCACTTTGATGAAAATATGTAAGAATGAAATTTTTAACCTATTTTAAAATTATCTTTGCCATTCATGAAATCAGAACTATTGTGCTTATAGTTTGAAATCTTTCATCTTACACAATTTAGATTTTTAAACATTTGTGCTTCTCAAATAATTTTGAACTGTGTTCATTCAGTGGTGTATTTAACAAATGATTATGGTGCTGGAGTTCCTATTTTGTGTCATGTACTACATTGGGTGCTATGGATAAAGTAATAAAGACAGATATGGTCCTATAAACCAAAATCTGCATTCCAGTAGGCATGCAATTGGAATTTTTTGAGATATGGAATTTTTAAGGATACCCAGTATCCTTCTAAACCCCAGAATTACATATATTACCAGACAATGAGAAGAGATATCCACTGCACTATTGTTTAAATCATCATGGTTCCAAGCTATAGCTTTGTTGACCATAAAAAATTCAGTGTTGGATAGAATTTACTCATTGAAAAATGTCTTCCTATCTCCCCCTGCTTAATATCCACACAGTATGGCCCTGCAGTAGTCCCAGCCATTGCCTATCAGTACAGCCAGGCAAACTGGTAGTCAAGCAGCCTGTTTCCTGACATTTCAACTGACGGCCAGTTCATATACCAGGATTTCATTCCAGTCACTATTATAGTCACTATATTTCTGAAGGCCAGCCCATATTAAGGTATGGAACTGATTGACTGGGATTGCATCAATAAGACAAAGATTATTATTTTCAGGACCTTCTACATGCTTATTATTTCTTGTCATAAAAATCTATGTTCATTAAAGAAAATCTGGAAAATAAAGTGCAACAGTAGATACACAAAAAATATTGCTAGTTCCATCATCTCAACATAACCACTGCTAACATTCTGATGTATTATTTTGATTTTTTCCTACACATAAGCTTGATTTATTTATTCTTTAAATCTCTATCTTTTCTTTTTTATTCATAAAACCATGTGAGGTCCTCTCAGTGTTCACGGTTACAATTTCCTACTTAGCAATTTTCAGAGATTTTCATCAGGTTTGTCAACATATAGATGAAGAAGGAAGTGGTTACAGATATGAGACAGAAAGAGAGAGAGAGAGTGAACATTTTTTTTTCTTTCTTTCTTTCTTTTTTGTTTTTGAGATGGAGTTTTGCTGTTGTTGCCCAGGCTGGAATGCAATGGCATGATCTCGGCACACTGCAACCTCCACCTCCCGGGTTCAAGCGATTCTCCTGCCTCAGCCTTCTAATACTGGTATTATAGGGGCCCACCACCATGCCCAGCTATTTTTTTTTTATTATTTTTTAACAGAGACCGGGTTTTTATCATGTTGGCGAGTCTGGTCTCGAACTCCTGACCTCAGGTGATCCATCCACCTCAGCCTCCCACAGTGCTGGGATTTCACGTGTGAGCCACCACGCCCAGTCGAGAGAGTGACCATTCTTAGTGTCACCTTTGATGCCATATAAACACTTGTCATCTGCCCTTCAACACTGGGGCTCTTGTAAGCTCAATTCATAATAAATAAAGTCAATATTTTTTAAAAGAAAAAATTCTAACTAGAAAGTTTCTGTAAGTTCTTTTTTTAAAGTTTAACTTTTATTTTAAGTTCAGGGGTACATGTGCAGGTTTCTTATGTAGGTAAACTTGTGTCATAGGGTTTTGTTGTTTGGATTGTCACCCTGGTATTAAGTCTAGTACCCATTAGTTATTTTTACTGATCCCCTCCTTCCTACCACCCTCCACCCTGTGATAGACCCTACTGTGTGTTGCCGTCCTCTATGTGTCCATGTGTTCTCATTGTTTAGCTCCCATTTATAAGTGAGAACACGCAGTATTGGGTTTTCTGTTACTGTGTTAGTTTGCTAAGGATAATGGCCTCTAGCTCTTATTACTGCTCTTCCACAGTAAGTCAGAATGCTCCTTCTGTGTTACTCTTGGCTGTTGTATGTGTACTGTGCATTACTTAGCATTCTTACTTGTAGATAACAGACTATTCTAGCTGGTTTGATCACGAATGTATTGATTAAAATATAATAAAGTGTTTACAAAGTTACTGGAAGAGTTAAAGGAACAGACAGTAGGCTGAGCTGCCAAAATAAACTCCCCAAATCGCACCACAGATCTAGCAAAGAGACAGCTGCCATTGACAACCTCTAAACTACGCTACTTCTGTATGACCAGGATTTCATTAGAAACTCTTCCTCACCAACTCTTTCACCAGCAAAATGGATGCCCTACATTTAGAATTTCCCCTCATGTAGCTAACTTATAAATAAAAGGTTTGCATGAGTGTGTCTGACTGAGAGATGTTAAGTTCTTATATCAGTATCCTAGTATCAAAGAAGGTTGAGAAACGTAGATTTTTCCCCAGTTATTTTGACGAATTTTTATTCCCCTTGGAAAAACAGGATTCACAATGTGAGGAACTAAAAAGGTGGAGAACGTGCTTCGACCATTTCAATTGCAGATATTCACAATGGTCTGTTTCTGAAATTGAACATAAGCAGTGAGGAGATAGAAAGATAAAAATGAATGTAGTCTCTACATTCACCAAAGTGTCACTTAAGTGTCAAAGTGTTGCCAGTTCTTAAAGTCACCAAGTCCTTTCTCCCATGGCACATATGTGGTGCATAAGTACCTGTGTTAGAATTGGGTCTTTTGTCAATTGCCATACTGTTCCTGGCATCATCACAATTTTCCATTCTCCAAACCTATTGGTAATTCCCCTCCAGCAGATCAAACTCCAATTTTTTAAAAATGTTTGTTTGTTTTAGCTTTTTTTCAGAGACCCTTTTTCATGTATTCAACAAATATTTGTTGAGTCTTTAACAAGTGCCAGACCATGAACTAGCTGCTGGTGACACAGCAGTGAATAAAACATTGTCCCCATAAGGAATGTACATTCTAGCACTGGGCAAATAATAAGCAAGTCAAATGTATATCTCAGGTGGTGATGAGTATAAAGAAAAACATGGCACAGTTAAGGGTGGTTAGAATGGTATTTTACATAGTTTCATTGCAGAAGGATTTTTGTTTCTGGTAATTTAAAGAGAGTCCTGAATGAAGTAAGGGAATGAGCCATACACATGCTAAAGGAAGGAACATAACAGGCCTGGACACTGGGAAAATGGAGCATCTATTTATTGAGTTGGGGAAGGTTAGAGGAATCAAGTTGGAGGGGAATGCTGTGAAATATATTTTACATGGTTTGTGCAGAAGAGCTACTAAAGTCAAAGTGGGGATGCCATGTCAAGTGGATATTAGATATGTGAATTTGGAGTTAAAATTTTCATTATATGTAATTCTCATCTGTAATTAGATGAGATTACCCAAAACAACTGGACCCTAAAACAACTGGACCTGGACACCCCATTATTCAAAGGAGGAGAATGTAGAAAAGGAAACTGAGCTAGTAAGATGGAAGAAATAAGACTGAGTGGTGCAGATGCCCCGCCCCATATCCTTTAGTTCACCCGAAGCTTCAGCTTCAGGGTGTATTCAACTGGTAACAACTTCCAAGGTATGTGCCACACAATTTCTCAGAAGGTTCCCAGTGGGTACCAGTGTCCCATGTGGAGAATCTTGCTGGTTCATACAACTTCTGGTGACTTTTGCCACTTTTCAATTTCACTTTCTCCACTTCCATAACTGTGCTTCTGTTTACCTACAAATAAACTATCTGTACCCAGGTCCTGTCTCCTGATTTACTTTGTGAGGAACCCAAACCAAGATAATTGATAATCTTGACTACAGCTGTTTTTTTTGTGAGTGACGGGGAAAATGCTAAATATAAGATGTTCAAAGAGAGGAAGAACAAATATGTATACTGACAATTGCTTCAAATGTTTTTTATCTGATGAGGAAAAGAGGAATGGAAGGGGGAGGTTGTGGCAATGTTTTTTCCTTTTTGTTGATGGAATATATTGAAGCAAGTTTTATGATGATGAGAGCTATCTGGCAGCTAGAGAGTAGTAGATGTGAATATGGTAGCATGTGAAATTTCTTTTTTGAAATAAGTCTTCTGCAGAGAGTAAAGAATTGGGAAAATATATTCAGAGAAAGAGGCCAAGGTGTAAAATAGTTTTCTAGAAGAGTAAGAGAGTAAATGACTATTGTACTATGTAGAATTGCTAGCCACTTGAAGTTAGCAGTCAGATTTACTGTGAAACTTGTCAGGATGCTCATTTACCTTTCTTTAACAAAGATCAGTTCTCTTTGAACAGGTGTTAAGTGGGTAGAAACTTGGATTTTAGAAACTTTGCTTATTTTCCTAGGTACATGGAAAGCTATGGAGTTGTATGCATGTCAGTGATTATAAAGTCAAACAATAGATCCAGGTGAGAAAAGGAGCAAGTGGTAAGATAAATCAATTAATTGTGGGATTTAATGTGATCAAATAATAATTTGAGTACAATATTAGAAGACAATTATTTGAAAATACAGGGGATGGTGCTCATAGAACAGGATCCTTGAAAGTGCAATTCTACTGGGGAAGAGATAAAAGAGGACGCTCTTACCGGTATCATATAGAGCTGGGACCTCTCTTCCTCCCTTAAATTTAGGATCAAAATCTTCTATATTTTAATGTCACCTGACTCCTACTGGGGCTACCTACCACAGTCAATCAGACCTGTTTTCATTCATCTTCACTCCAATGGTGAACATGGTTCACATTCTTTTCTTCAGGATATCCTCAAATACCATTAAATCCTATTAGGACAGTAGATGTAAGTGGATATTTCCAGAGAAGTGTTTCATTTCTTCCTCCTTTGATACCCAACTCTTGTACAGCAGGAAGCACTATAACTGTTAGAACCTAAACCACATTGATATTAAGTGGCAATTTGCCTACCATGAAATGTGTGTTCAGTACATATTTATTAACTGTTGGCTCTTGACACACATGACATAATCACATGAAACCAGAGACAATATAAATCTTCAGATTTTCATGAGTGGAACTAATCTCTTCCTTCACATGAACTAGAAGGGAGAGAAAGGAAAGAATAATATGCTGGCATTGTCATTCCATTATGAAAGCTAGAGTTGAAGATGATTTCTGCAACTAGCTACCTGTTTTCTTCTTGGGGACACAGCACGATGCAGAGAAGGCAACAATAGCAGCAATCCTTTTTCAGGATAATTTCAATCCTTTTTGGTATAGCTACAAGATGTTAAAAAAATTAAAGTCACTAATAAAACCAATTAATGTATTGAGGAACTGTGACCAAAAAATCTAATAACTTTTATTTTTTTGCATTTTTCCATGTCCTTTGGCTATTCTTCAAAAGCATCCAAATTAATGGGAATATTCCAGTTGTTTATTGCTGGTACAATTTTTTTTTAGTCCGGTGATAAAGGAGATGGTAGCAAGAAAAGCATTTTTCACTGGTCAGAATAGAATAGAAGAAACCTTTGTATTTATGGGGGTATTAATGCAAATTTCCTGAAGAAAATGAAGTTTTTGTTACCTTAATATTTTGTCTAACTTAAACATATATATGTATACATATACACATATGTATAACATATAGGTATACACATACACATATGTATGTATACATACATATACATATATATGTTATACATACCTATACACACAAATATATATAGTCTCTTAAGAACAGACATGAGTATTAAGCACAAATTGTTCTTCAATGGTAGAAATAAAATTCAATATAAATAAGCTCTGTAGTGCAGAATGAGATTTTCTATTACCAACAATTAAACAGGAAGTTTTCAAGCAGCATATGAATAGCTCTCATGCAGATGCCACTACTTGGAATTCTTGATGAAGGAAATAAATGGTAACAAATCAACTAGGCCTAGATATATTTAAATGCATGTAAAGACTTTCTTATTTAAAACCAGATTTCTGAAGCTTTAAAATCTATGAATAACATGGAAAAAGCAAAAGCAATAATATTAGTATAAGCTATATGAAAATATGAAATGCACATTAATCTGAAATAGAGTCTTCATTCCCGAGTTAACTAGCAGTCATTCTGTATGAACACAAACTCTTAGATCTTTCTTATGAGAAATTATAATACTTCCAATATTTGAGGAGGGTGGGTAGCTAATTCAAAAGTGTATTATTATAAAGATCTTTATGTGATAATATTTCTATGATTTCTTATAATGTAAAGGGAAATGAACAGTTACGGGAAATTTAGTGACATATATGAAGACAAACAACAGTTGATGAAAAGATTTAAAATATTTTATCCTTTGCTCAGCTCCTGATATCCCATAAGGAAATGAGACCATTAGACCTAATTGTCACCAAGAGACGCAGAAGGGACCAAGCTATGATTTCAGTGAAACTGGGCCCAAGATTCAAAGAAATTATCTACCATTTTTTTAACCTTCGCATAAATCCAGAACTAATCTTTTTCACTTTTTCAAAAAGCTATATATGTACATGTCATTCCTTATCAGGCAGTATGCTTCTTGAGAAAAAGGATATTTTCTTCATAGTTTTACTTCTACAGAGCCTAGCACTATGTTTTCTTGCAAATGGGTTTTCAGCAAATGTTGTTAGAATTGGATTAAATTAAATATTGTCAAATAAAAGGCTAAAATCTGAAATAATAATGAATGCAAAGAGATTTCAATCATTAACTAATAAGTCTCAAGTGATCTCCAACTAAGTAGAAGAGAGTAATTTATAACTGACACTGAAATAAAAATTAAGATGGAAATAATTATGGATTATTTTTAGCAAAGAAATGAGAAAGTTAAGGATATAAATTTTTAGAGAACTTTACTCACAAATTGGAGGCTAATGAAAATAGTTAGTGATGAAATGGACGGTGAGTGAACAGTCTAAACCTGAAACATTTGGGGAACAGTGCCAGTTTAAAAGAGATCATTAAATATAGTTTTATGGAAGGAGAATAAGATGACCAAAAACTTGGGGAGGACAATATGTCTGTATTCTTGTATTAAAGAATGCTACCCACTGCAATGGTTGGAAGATTATACTAAATGAAAAGTAAATATAATAATATATCACAGGAAGATAGGATATAGTCTATCTAAGGACATTTAGATGACAGAAGAATTTTAAACATATTGTAATTTGGTGTTCCAACTATTTTTTCCACTTACACTTCTAAGCACATCTTTAAAAAATTAGCTACAAAACATTACAGTGAATTTTGCAGTTAAAACAACTTCTCATTGTTGCAAATTATTTTCTGTTCACCTAAATTCTAGGCATATGCTGTTCACTCAGAATGTAAGACTTTCTATATTTCTCAGTTGAGAAATTCTGATTTATTTACAAATATTTATTTATATAGTGTTTTCTTACGCTCCAAGCTTTCTAAGTGTTTTCCAAAGATTCATTCATTTAATCCTTATAATAACCTTATACTGGAAATGCAATTATTATTATTATCTCCATTTACCAAAGAGTGAACACGATGCATACAGAAGGTAATAACTTGGCCACAGCCACATAAACGGTAAGTGGTTGCTCCAGGCTCCCGGGGCAGGCAGGTTAGTTCAGAAAGAAAAGCCACCCACTTACAATGCTCTGTTGCTCAGTCACAAGTAGAATAATAATGATTTATGTATGACCTCTGTCTATAAAGCAACAAGTTTATATTTTTAATGAACACCATTGGAACTTATACCTCAGAATGAATGTTCTTTCAAAAAGCACTCAATTCAGATGCTGTACATTTACTTCAATGAAGCTGGCATTTACCACATTATTTGTGAAACATATTTCTTACCATTAGAACAAGTTTCAAATTCCAACAATAAAATCAGTAAAATATCATGTTGTATTTGACAAGCACATACATCTTATCTGTCAATTTAAAAATTTATGTTAAATAATACATTTTAAAATTTAATATTGCTATTTAAAATCTCTTCCTTTCTACCTCTGAAGCCATAAAATATCTTCTAATGAGGTTCCCATCATTGCAATCAAGGCATGATTGGCTTGAATACTTTTCGACATGACCCCAAATCAAATTAATTCTCTAATACTGAAAACTTTTTGCCATGAGAGATATTTCTCAAAAAATTGTCAAGGGTGGTGTACACAATATTGTCTGTAAAGGGCCAAGTACCGTGCCCATTACAAACTAAAAAAAAAAAAAAGTTATTCCTCAGTTGTCATCAGTTTTATTGCTTCTTTCTTTTAGAAGCTGCTTTCAGTCATCCTTTCCATTTTCTCTGCCTCTATCTTATTCTGAGAGGCTGAAAGATGATTGAACAACTTAAGCTTCAGGTCCTGTCTGAGTTTCCTATTGCTACTGTAACAAACTACCAAACATTTAGTGGCTTATAACAACACACATTCATTTTGTGTTCAAAATCAAGGTTTAGACCCCAAATCAAGGTACAGGCAGGACCGAATTCCTTCTGAAGATTCTAGAAGACAGTGTTTCTTTGCCTTTTCCAGTTTCTAGAAAGGCCTTCTGCATTCCTTGGCTTATGGCCCCTTCCTCTATCTTCAGTGAGCATCATTCCAACCTCTGCTTCCATTATCAGATTTTCTTTTTCTGACTCTGATTCTCCTGTATTCTTCTTTGTCTTAGAAAAACTCTTGTGATTCCCATAAGCCCACCTGAATAATCCAAGATGATCTCCCCATGTCAAGATCTTTTACTTAATCACAGCTGGAAAGTCTCTTTTGACATGTAAAATAACATATTCACTGATTTGAGGATTAGGAGGAAGAAACCTATGGAGGCCATTATTCTGTCTATCAGAAGGCCAGATAGCCTGAGTTAAAGCCTGGTTCTACTATTCATTTACTGCTTATTTTTTTAAGCAAATTATTTAACCTTCCCAAAAGCAAATCTTCTTATCCATGTAATAAGACTCATAATAGTATGTAATAAGATTCCAGTGAGGACTAGATAAGATTGTTCTGTGTATATAATATTTATGCCTGTCAAACTGTGATATAGTTTAGCTATGTATCCACCCAAATCTCATCTTGAATTGTAGTTCCCATAATCTCCATGCGTATGGGAGGGACACAGTGGGAGGTAATTTAATCATTGGGGTGTTCATCCTCAAGCTGGTCTCATGACAGTGAGTAAGTTTTCACCAGATCTGATGGTTTTATAACGGGCTTCTTCTGCTTTGCTCAGCACTTCTCCTTGCTGCTGCCATGTGAAGAAGGACTTGTTTGCTTTCCCCTCTACCATGACTTTAAGTTTCCTGAGGCCTCCCAAGCCCTGCAGAACTGTGTATCAATTAAACCTCTTTCCTTTATAAATTACCCAGTCTCAGTTATGTCTGTATTAGCAGCATGAGAATGAATGAATACAAAGAGTATTAAGTCTTAGCTATTATTATTTTAATAATAAGATGCAATAATAATACAAAATAAGTCTTAGCTATTATTATTTTATTAACCTCATCTGAAACAAATGCACATTAACCAACCTCACAGAAATAAATGCCTAAATGCATAAATCTGGAATGTCCACATGTTTATTCACCATAAGGGATACAATCTTGGGATTAACAATACTGCTATTTAGATAAACCAACAGAGAAGGCAAATTGTAATCTGAAGTTGGTTTAATGAGTCCAAATCAAGAAAGAGCAGAGATAAATCAAAGTATGTCCATGATTCAGGGTTTCTTTCAACTAAATCCTTGTTATTCAAAGTGGACAAGCTGTATCAGCATCACTTGGAAGCTTATTATGCAGAGGGTCAAGCCCCACTCTAGACCTTCACATGAGAATCTGAATTCTTCTGTGATTCCTCAGGTGATTTGCATGCATATTTAAGTTTGAGAAGTACTACCTTTGACAGAACTTAAAAGAATGCAAGTGCTTTGCCCAGGTGTACAAGTTTGCCTTCAGTAACAAATTTCTTTCTCTGCTTTTGTAACTGAAACACCACCATCATCTATTCATTGATACATTCTTTACATATATCAATGCCTTGTAAAAAGAATGTTTCTAGACACCGTCCCTTTGAAGTGAAATGGCATGAGTAGGCACTGATTGCCATGCGTGATTCGAAGTTTAACTCTCATTGCACATTCTTAAGTTCTTCAATGTTAAGCTGATGAAGAAAAGAGAAGGCTTTACTTACAAAGGTCTAGAAATAATTACAAAGACAGACATCCAGAAATCATGTATTCACTTCATTTCTTAGTAGCTTCACTAAATTCTATTATTAATTGAATATTTCAAAACAAACCCTATAAGAAAACTCAGACAATGAAAATTAATTAATACCATTAGTTGTAA
This sequence comes from Homo sapiens, assembly GCF_000001405.40. Lineage (NCBI taxonomy): Eukaryota > Metazoa > Chordata > Mammalia > Primates > Hominidae > Homo > Homo sapiens. The sequence continues at coordinate 76,159,254 of NC_000008.11, forward strand.
TAAAGCTAAATATCAAATTTTCTATGGGAAATAAAACGAAACCGTATGGAAAACATTTTTTCAGATGGAACAATAATCATTGGAGTATGCTTTTTGAAGGGAGACCAAATATCCAAGTATAAATTTAGCTTCTTCAATGGAAATGCACCCACTAATGTACTTAAAAATTAAGTACATTGCTATTCTATGATTGTATTCAAAGGGGGTAGAGTCAAAGACTCTAGAGAATTCCTAGAGATGCTAAGACATTAACAATAGTTCAGTGAATTAAAATATTTGAACATTATTTCAACACATACTTATTGAATAACTATTGTGGAAGGTCCTCTACTACTTGCACTTGGTCAAATGCAGGCTTCCCTAAAGAACCAACACCAGGTGAGCCTGTTCAGATGACAAAGCTAAGTTTTTAACAAATGAGAGCACTACCTTGCAGAGTCTTCTGGCCTCCTGAAAGAGGAATAGCAAAGTTAGGATATTTATGAGGTTTCAGACTCCGATTTATGGAGGGTTTTTCAATGCAGTGGTGGTAGGGGAAGGGATGACTAGAATTGAAAAAGAACTATGATATAATAGCTTATATTAGTGAGAAGGCTTTGAAGTGAGGGTTTACAGAGCTTTGAAGACTTTTCACATGATTCTATTACCCATTGGAAAGCCTAACCGTCTGATGTTCATTTAAATGGTTTTTCCAGGAAGCTTCTAAATGAACAATATAATTACTTGCAACCTGGGCAAGAGGTTCCTGGAATAGCAAACTTGGGTTGATGAAGGCAGTGGAATAGTAAAATGACATTGGTGAAGACAGCCTAATGGTGGAGTAGAGTTCTGTTAATACAGATAATAAGTTGCATGTGGCAGATGGTTTTATCTTTCATTTTAGTGATTCAAGGATGCATAGGACATAGTCACTATTCTAAGAGTATACAATAGAATGTGAAAGTTTATTAACTACTAAAATGGATTTGTATTGATTATAAAATAGATGGTTATTGATAAAAAGTAGAGAGGAATATAAACAAGAAAATAAGTCAACAAATTCCACTAATTTGACAGAGCATTCCTCGCATTTTGATGTTTCTATGTTGTATTTACATGTGTTCAGCTTATATATATTCTATATTCATATGATAAAATATACATATTTTATAATCAAAACTTGGGGCCATGTTATCGATTAACTTTGTAGCCAGTTATTTTACTTAATTCAAAAGTCTATGAACATTTTCTAATGTTATTCAATATTATTGGCAAACTTCTCTCAGATATATTTTATTTTTTGCCAAAATGATTTGAGTAGTTATCATTGGAATCAGATTTTGCACTTAATTCAGGATTCCAGTCACATAGGATAGAAGACTACAGGAAGGAGTGAATAGACTCTCAAACATATTACAAATAAAATTAAAATTTTAAAAATTTGAAAAGCTACAGAGAGATTTGATTTGTAAAGTTCTAAGTTTTGTTTATTGACATTAGCAGTTTAGAATCCAGGCTCTAGGAAAGGAATCAGTTGGCAGGGTGGTGAATTTCTCCCAAAGAAATGGAGTACCTTCCAAATAGGAACCCAGGGACTACAGTAGATTTCGAAGTTATAGCTCCCCCAATCATGTTTTAGTTCACGTAGTAAACCTTTGAAAACTGTCATGGATTACGTGAAATTCTGAAGAAACTGAGTCTTCCTTTCTCTCCCTTGTCAATCACTCCCACTTTGATTATGTTTTCCTCTAGACTAAGGCTTTGGATGCCCAGGGGACACTATTGTTGTTTTTCTTTCTGTGGGCATAAAATAGAAAACCAAGAGCAGACAATATACTGAATTGTAAGAATTGGTTAATCTCATCTTAATGAAAGATAATTTGATTATCATTAAACTGATAGGTCTTTTATAAGGAGAGAACTGAACATTGGTAGAAAAAAAAGAATAAATAACAGTAGGTTCGGCAAATGTACTCCCATATAACCAGAGCACAATTTAAAATATTCCAAGAATGTGAGTATAATTTTTGGCGAGACATTAAAATAGTTTCACTCAGATGTCTTGAACCATAGTTTGGATTTTAAAAAAAAAGAATATTTCAAAATACTTTTAGAACAGGAATAGTAAAATAAAAGTCAATAGAAATTATTAATAAGGAGCATAATTATGATGTGAGACTGATAATGCAGTAGTGTTCCCTCATCTGCAGTTTCAGTTTTTGCAGTTAACTATGGTCAAAATATTAAATGGAAAATTTCAGAAATAAGTAATCCATAAGTTTTAAATTGCACAGCATTCTGAGTAGCTTAATGAAATCTTGTACTGTCCCAATCTGTTCTACCTAGGACATGAATCAGCCCTTTGTCCAGCGTATCCACACATTACCTGGCTGTTAGTCACTTAGCAGCCCTCTCTGTATCAGAGGGGAAAAATATAGTATATGTAGAGTTTGGTACAATCTGCAGTTCCAGGCATCCCCTGGACATCTTGGAATGTATTCCCTGTGGATAAAGGGGGACTACAGTACCAGCATTCTGCCAATCTGATAAACAAATTAATAAAAATAAACTCTACAATATAGCAAATAAAAAGAAGAATGAGGAGTACTAATCCTGTGAAAGAAAGGTATATAATGAACAAGAACAAAGCCAAGAGTACAGAAAAAATTATTGCTGCTTAATCATACATAACTGTGATAAAACCTCAAGTGAATAGAAAAATAAATACGTTAAAAGAGATGGCGGTGGTAATTAGTATAATATGAATTATAACCAGTGATCAGAATTATATTTGTAGTAGAAGGTGGAAATAAAGGGGATGATTCAGAATATTCTGTGAACGGTAGAAAATAAAACAAAAACAACTAAGAATTAAGTGAACAAATCTTTTTTTTTTTTACATGTACACTAAAACTTAAAGTATAATAATAACAAAATTTTTTAAAAAGTGAAAAAATCTAAACGAAGAACAAGGAAGCTTTATTATAATGAGAAAGGATTGAAATTGATTTAAGGAAGTAGAAAGTAAAGTACTAATGTAAGAGCAAAGTGTTATATAAGATCGTCTACTGTATGCATCCTGGCATTTTTAGTTTTAAAAAAGCAAAACAATATTCTTTGGAAAAATAGCCACAGCATATGAATAGAATATGAAACATGAAAAACAAATATCTAGAATAATAAAATTTTTTCCTGCCACCATTTAAAAAATACATATTTTTGCAGTACTAATCACAACATTTCTTGCTGTATTTCTTTGCTTATTAAAATTCATTTTAGAAATGAATTCCTAAAATGTGACTGGAACATATGTTTAAAAAAGCATTGAGATTTAGATTTTTGGAAAAATAAGTGAGTTGAATTTTATTTTATGATTGATTAATAAAATTGGTTTAGAGCAATTGTCTTCTGATAGTTCAAGGCAAGTTGAAGTGTATATTATTCAAGAAACTCGTTCACATTAAACATTTGGATGTTGAATTTAACTCTAGGTGTTATCTTCACAGATCAGTAAAAGATGACAGAGTTCTCTCTAAAATGTGCTCAGTTTAAATTAAACCAACATTCTTGGTTTCCCAAAATAGCACAACTTTTATTTGACACTTCTATAAAAATTATACTCTCTAATTGTTGCATTTAATTTTGTGCTCCAAATCATACCAAGCACTATAAAACAGTAATTGTTCTCAATAAAAAACCCAAGCTACAGAGGGGCCAGAAATACTCACTGGTATATAATAGTTTATCAGTTATCTTCATCCTTAGCCAGGCTGCAGAATGATCTAAAGAAAGAACCAAAAATTATAAGAATTAAATATATTGCTTTATATTATGTTTATAATTTTTTATTATACTTTGAGGAAAATATGAATATATCTTAAAATGTAAACTTTTTGGACATTTATTGACACATTTCTCTCCAAAATGTAAAAATCAGTTTTGCAAAAATATAAAAGAGCAGATATTTACTTTTTGTAAGAATACAATTTTAAATTGCAAGCTTGTATGTGAAGAATAAAACAAAAATAACACTACATGTATCCATCCAAAAGGAGAGTAAATCAATTCATTTAAATATAACTCTAACCTGAGACTCTATGACTTTAAAATTAACTATAATTTATGTCATATTCTTTGATACTATTAAACCTAAATAAGAATTTTAAAATATGTAAATATGAATATTAATATTTATGTTTATTTTTAGAAGTAATTATCTTAAGTCAGAACACATAAACTCCTCTGTCTTCCTTGGCAATGCCCATGAAAGGGCCGTTTATCTGCTAGATTTCATCCTGTCTGTTTTCAGACCCCTTGACAAGCCTAACATCATTAAAAGAGATTGAATGTATTCATTCACTGTCAGTCAGAACACAATGGCAAACCTCAGCATAACTAGAAAAAAACTAATGTCATAAAAACAGGAGACAAAGAAGAAATTCAAGATGCCCCCAAATTGTTATGAGAGAAATTAGCATAAATACTTGGGAATAACTGGAAAAAAATAAGCAAAACTGGAGGAATCTCAGAGACACTGGTGTTAAGATGGGGAGAGAGACAAGAATGAGAAGAGACAACTAATAGATCTTGGTTTTCAACATGTATTCTGGCTAAACAGAAAAACATTGCACACATGACTCCTGGGGGCTGAATTAATTAAACTTTTATGTTATTTTATTTTTCTCCTTAATTAGTTTGCTAGTTACACATATTTTATTTTTCAGTGATTATGAAAAGAATTACAATTTAAAACTTTGATTTATCAATCTCTAATTTATATTAGTATGGTACTTTTACAACTTCCAAGATAGTGTACCATAGAACATTCTAATTCTACTTAGCCCTATTTGATTTTTATGTTGTTGAGTGTTTTTATTTTGTATAAAATTTAAACTTCACAAGCTATTATTTTCATTATGTGTTTTATTCAGTATTTATTTATTGACCCACATCTTTATGCTTTTCATTTCTTTTCTTGTTTTCAAGTTTCCATATTGTATTATTTTTCTTCTGATTAAATAACTTCCTTTACTTTTTTTCCCTAGTGCAGGTCCCCTGGAAATCAATTATTAATTTAAATATGTGTGTAATGTCTTTAATTTTCCATAATTTTTGAAAATATTTTTGGATATTTAAGTGTAAGCTAACAGTTATTTTCTTTCAGTATTTTGAAGGTTTCCATCGTCTCCTAGCTTCCTTTTCTTGTTGTTAGTCAGGAGACAGTTTTATTCTTGCTTATTTGAAAGTGCTATACGTTTTCTATGTCTGTTTTTTGTTGGTCTTTACAAGTTTTATTATTATGTGCTTTTATGGTTTTTGTTGTATTTATCATGTTTGGGTTTCCGAAGGTTTACTCATTGCATGGCTGTTTCTTTCATCAGTTTTGGAAAATTCTCCACCAAACACTGATTCTGTCCCACTCTCCTCATCTAGTACTCCAATGGGATGTATTAGATCTTTTCACTGTGTTGAATTAGTAGTCTATTAGTATTTCAGTTTGGGTATTTTCTCTAACCCATCTTGTAGTTCACTAATTCTATTTTTTTCTATGTCTAGTATGCAGTTAGCTCCAACCACTAACTTCTACATTTAGATATGTATTTTTCTCTTTAAAAATTTCTATTTTTTATGATTTTATATTCTCTGTACACATTCTTTTTGTCTTTTAATCTTTTGAACATATTTTAAAGATATATTTTAAAGGCCATGCCCGATAACTCCATTATGTAGAGCCTTTATGGATCTGTTTCCATTACCTACATTTTCTTTCCTTCTCTCTGTCTCTCTCTCCGTGTGTGTGTGTGTGTGTGTGTGTGTGTGTGTGTGTGTGTTTTGCTCAAGTCTTATATATTTATATGCCTAAGATTTTTTTATTGACTTTTGGTTCTGGTGTATAAAATATTATTGAAAAAGTATAAGGCTCAGGATCATCTTATCTTGTCCTAGAAATAATACACTTTTTATTTTGTCAGTTGGTTCAAGGCCATATTCCCTAAATCTAATTATGGATAGAGATGACTCAAAGTTGTGTTTTTTACTTGTTAGGACAAGTCCATTCACCATTTACAGACCCCAGACTCCAATTTTTGTTTATTCTACCACCATAAGATTGCTGAATATAACCTCAGTTCCTCAATCTCTTTACCACAACTTTTACTTTTTATCTGAGAGGTAAAATTAGTGACACACACTGAGTTTAACTCGCTAGACCATTTTTTCCCCTATATTGTGACCCCTCAAATTATGAATTCACAGACACATTTTACAATTGTGCATCTTTACTTAATGTACAGCTGGATGGTTAGTTGAAGATCACTATGTCTACCATTTCCAGAAATAAATCACTTTGCTCATGCATTGTGGAAACTCCTGGCAACAGATTATTAAAAACCTGAACTCATTGTCCCAAGATTTCCTACTCTGTTTCTTCTAAGATCCATAATGTCATTGTGGAAAAAGCAATGCAGCAACTCCTCAGGATCACCACAATAAATGGTAGGCTGTGAAATCCAGGAAATGAGGAGACAGCTGCATTTTATGCATACAGTTTTTCTAAAAACCAACATAAAAATTATACATACATTCAGTACTCAGAGATGAGTTTCTAGACATGACCCCTAAGCTTAGCTACTTAAATCAGATGACAGTGTCTCACAGGACAACACTAGTTACAAATATAACTTCCATTCCAAATATGTATTTCAATATATATCTACACAGAAGCTGGAGATCTTTTGCAAAGAAATACTGAATGGTTTACTTTTCAGCATCATTATTTTCTGAAAACTAGTCAGATTCCTGAGCCATATACTAGAATAGACTTACATTCGCAAAAACATATATACACACTTCAAACTACTTTTAGAGAAAAAAATATCACAAGACTGTGCCCCTGCACTCAAGGCAATTGGACCTCTAATATTTTCCTGAGTTTTTTTTTTTTCTGTATTTTCTATAACTCACTTAGAATTTTTTGTTGTTGTTATTCTTTTCTCCTGTACTTTATTTTATTCCCATTTTAGTACTGACAACATTGTTTATAATACTTTTTTTGTAACATGCCCACTCTGCAGACAGTAAGCTGGCAAACAAAGAGATTAAGTCTTTATAAAATTTTATAACACTGTGAATTTATAAAAATGTCCTTTATCAAGACGATTAGTAATACACATTTGTTAATGAAATAGATGAATGTGTGGGTTGAATTTACTTATTCACCCCACACATTCATCCATTGTGATGGATGAATGGATGAATGTGGAGGAATTCTTCCTTCTAATTTTATTGAAAGTGTGGATACATGATTTAAAAAATAAGCATTTAATGCTTTTAAAAAATCATTTCCTGGTCCTTAGATCTTTACTTCTGTTCCTGTACAAAGAAATCTTCCAGTCTTTACAGCTTCTTGCTCTCTTACTACACCATGTAGTAAGTATTTTCTTGCCTGAGATCTATGGTACAAGTTCTTGCTTTTCCATCCACTATTTGGACATGTGATGTGCTAATGACCTAGGCTGTTGGCAAATTGGGTATGACTGTTGGTAAGAGTATCAATTTGTCTTCATGCAGGAAAATTTGGCAACATCTGTTAAAATACCCAAATACACACACATTGATTTACGTTTAAGAAGGTTTGCTACAACACAATATGAAATGGCAAAAATGAAGCCACATAAGAATGTTGAAAAAATTTTGATACAACAACATTTTGTAACATTATGCAAAATTCAGTGTCCTGACATGAGGGTATCTTCACAATATACTGTTAACTAAAAAATCCAAAAGTAGAAAGTTATCTATAGTTATCATGTGTATAAATTATAAAAACCCATGCAGATAAAGTGTGCATGAATGTACACTGTCAAAAATTTTGAAAATTGAACATAAAAATGTTAACTGTGGCTGCTTTGGGGAAGAGTAGTAGGGTAGGACTTTTGAATGTAGAGTCCTTTCCTTTAAGTTAACATATGCCTGCAATATCTGAATGTTTTCAAGGATTGTGGATTGTTTTCATAACACAAAATAGATTGAGACTGTTTAGAAACTAAGCTTCAGTTTAAGTGCCATAAATATAATAGAAAGAAGACTTTTTAATATTGATGATAAATTTAGGGAGGGTTTGGGAGTTCCCGAATATCTTCAACTAGTCACAACAGTGTTTCTCCCACATCAACACAGGGAGGGGAACAACACACACCAGAGCCTGTTGAGGGGTGGGGGATGAGGGGAGGGAACTTAGAGGACAGGTCAATGGGTGCAGCAAACCACCATGGCACACGTATACCTATGTAATGAACCTCCACATTCTGCACGTGTATCTCGGAACTTAAAGTAAAAAATTTTTTTAAAAGTGTTAAAAAAAAAACAGTGTCTCTCAAATTTCAGCAAAAAAGGCTTATGACTCAAGGAAAGAAAATTATCACAGTTTTCCAGACAATTTCTGCAAAAGGAAAGATTACTCAGAATTATCTAGGCAATAACCCTATTTTTCCACTTCCTCAGACCGTGGGAAGTAGGATAGGCTGAAATTTAAGTGTCTCTAATACAGTCATAAATGTTCTGCAACTTACATTCCATGCTTAATAGGAACTCTTTCTGCCTAAGTAATTACTTATCTCTGGGTGATAGAATCATCTGTTCTTTGGAATACCATTACTGGTGCTATTACATCTCTTAAGAAGCTTTTGTTTTATAAAATCAAAATAGGCCTGGCACAGTGGCTCAGGCCTGTAATCCCAGCGCTTTGGAAGGTCAAGGGAGAAGGCAGGAGGATCACTTGATTCCAGGAGTTCAAGGCCAGCCTGGGCAATATGGTGAAACTGCATCTGTACATTTTTTTTTTTTTTAATTAGCCGGGTATGGTGGTGTGTTCCTGTAGCCTCAGCTACTCAGGAGGCTAAGGTGGGAAGATTGCTTGAGTGCTGGAGTTTGAGGATGCAGTGAACGGTGATTGCACCATTGCATTCTACCCCGGGTGAGAAAAGTGATACCCTCATTTCTAAAACAAATAATAATAACAAAAATAAATCAAATCTAATTAAAATAGACAAAAGGTAATCAATCTATTAATCAGTCAATGTTACAAAATGGAAACTATAAGACCCAAATAAGTGGTCACGGGTTCAGGATTTTTTTTGAATAAAGCAGATAACTTCATTATGAAAGGAGGAATATAAGAGTTAATCTGGATGCTTTAATGTAAGTTAAGTAATCCACCTAGTATGTCTGTTTTCTTTAACTTTTTACACTGATCATAAATTTGTCTACCATTAAAGTCTTTGTTTTAGTGATTGCATTTTTAAAATTTTCACAATTATTTGTTGCAATCATTTATAAATTGAAAATATTCAACTTTACAACTGCATTTTAAAGTATAGATATGGCTTGTTTTGCTGGAAATATAAAGCCAACATTTTCCCCCTACCTTCCCCCTGGTAATAAGTTAAAATAATTTATGTATTCACACATTAAATGAATATGTAACAAGTATCTATGCACAATGTGTAAAGTAAATTAAATATGTATCAAGCATCTATACATTGGGCAATCTTCTAGATGTTGAAAGGGATGCCAAGGGACAAACAGGAAAGCACACCATGAAAAGTGATGTAAAAGAGGCTCTGAAAATTCAACTATTAGCATCATGGAGCTTTTTTTTTTTTTTTTTTTTTTTTGAGATGGAGTCTCACTCTGTTGCCCCGACCAGAGTGCAGCGCGGCTATTTCAGCTCACTGTAACCTCTACCTTCCGGGCTCAAGTGATTTTCCTGCCTCAACCTCCTGAGTAGCTGGGATTACAGGCACGCGCCAGCATGCCTGGCTAATTTTTCTATTTTTAGTAGAGACAGGGTCTCATTGTGGTGGCCATGTTGGTCTGGAATGCCTGACCTCATGATCTGCCAGCCTTGGCCTCCCAAAGTGCTGGGATTACAAGCATGAGCCACCGCGCCCGGCCCATGGAGCTTTTTTTCCTCCCAATTCTATCAACTGTATCCTTCCAGTTAATTTTACTTTTTGATGAACTTGAAACTACTAGTAAAAAGAGGGCTGGGTAAACATTTCAGCCTCAAGAGTAGGTAGTATTAGGAGTAGATTAAGAGGGAAATGTGCCAATGCATTAAGCCAAAAATCTGGTGAACAAGAGAAAGTGTGCCTTGCCCTTCATATCACATTATAATAATATTTAACAATGAAGGTTAGAGGTGACAGCGTGCTGGCAGTCCTCAGAGCCCTCACTTGCTCTTGGCACCTCCTCTGCCTGAGCTCCCACTTTGGCGGCACTTGAGGAGCCCTTCAGCCCACCACTGCACTGTGGGAGCCCCTTTCTGGGCTGGCAAGGCTGGAGCCCACTCCCTCAGCTTGCAGGGAGGTGTGGAGGGAGAGGGGCGAGCGGGAACCGGGGCTGCGTGCGGCGCTCGCGGGCCAGCTGGAGTTCCAGGTGGGCGTGGGATTGGCGGGCCTGTCACCGCACTGAGAGCAGTGGGCCAGCAGCTGCGGAGGGTGTACTGGGTCCCCGAGCAGTGCCAGCCCACTGGCGCTGTGCTCGATTTCTCACCGAACCTTAGCTGCCTTCCCGCAGGGCAGGGCTCGGGACCTGCAGCCCGCCATGCCTGCGCCTCCCACCCATTCCGTGGGTTCCTGTGCAGCCCGAGCATCCCCGACGAGCGCAGCCCCCTGCTCCACGGTGCCCAGTCCCATCGACCACTCAAGGGCTGAGGAGTGCGGGCGCACGGCACGGGGACTGGAAGGCAGCTCCACCTGCAGCCCCAGTGCATGATCCACTGGGTGAAGCCAGCTGGGCTCCTGAGTCTGGTGGGGCCTTGGAGGACCTTTATGTCTAGCTCAGGGATTGTAAATACACCAATCAGCACTGTGTATCTAGCTCAAGGTTTGTAAACACACCAATCAGCACCCTGTGTCTAGCTCAGGGTTTGTGAGTGCACCAATCGACACTCTGTATCTAGCTGCTCTGGTGGGGCCTTGGAGAACCTTTATGTCTAGCTCAGGGATTGTAAATACACCAATTGACACTCTGTATCTAGCTCAAGGTTTGTAAACACACCAATCAGCACCTTGTGTCTAGCTCAGGGTTTGTGAGTGCACCAATCGACCCTCTGTATCTAGCTACTCTGGTGGAGCCTTGGAGAACCTTAATGTCTAGCTCAGGGATTGCAAATACACCAATCAGCACCCTGGGTTTAGCTCAAGGTTTGTGAGTGCACCAATTGACACTCTGTATCTAGCTGCTCTGGTGGGGCCTTGGAGAACCTTTATGTCTAGCTCAGGGATTGTAAATACACCAATCAGTACTCTGTATCTAGCTCAAGGTTTGTAAACACACCAATCAGCACCCTGGGTTTAGCTCAAGGTTTGTGAATGCACCAATCGACACTCTGTATCTACCTGCTCTGGTGGGGCCTTGAAGAACCTTTGTGTCCATACTCTGTATCTAACTAATCTGATGGGGACGTGGAGAACCTTTATATCTAGCTCAGGTATTGTAAACGCACCAGTCAGCACCCTGTCAAAACAGACCACTTGGCTCTACCAATCAGCAGGATGCGGGTGGGGCCAGATAAGAGAATAAAAGCAGGCTGCCCGCGCCAGCAGTGGCAACCCGCTCGGGTCCCTTTCCACACTGTGGAAGCTTTGTTCTTTTGCTCTTTGCAATAAATCTTGCTACTGCTCACTCTCTGGGTCCACGCTGCTTTTATGAGCTGTAACACTCACTGCGAAGATCTGCAGCTTCACTCCTGAGCCCAGCAAGACCACGAGCCCATCAGGAGGAACGAACAACTCCAGACGTGCTGCCTTAAGAGCTGTAACACTCACTGCGAAGGTCTGCAGCTTCACTCCCGAGCCAGCGAGACCACGAACCCACCAGAAAGAAGAAACTCTGAACACATCTGAACATCAGAAAGGACAGACTCCAGACGCACCATCTTAAGAGCTGTAACACTCACCGCGAGGGTCTGCAGCTTCATTCTTGAAGTCAGTGAGACCAAGAACCCACCAATTTCGGACACAAAGTCACCCTTATTACATGTGTTTCAGACACATTTTAAGTAGTTTATTAATTTCAACTCTTTTAACTAAGCTATGCAGAATAAGTCTTAAGTAGGCATTATCATTCCCTTTTCCAAATGAGAAAATTGAGGCACAGAAAGGTAGATAATTTGCTGCAAGTTACACAGAACAGGATCCATATTCATATCCGTATTCAGTCTAGCCTGAGTCCAGGATCTTAATCCTTATGTAACACTGTAAATGATATTCCTTTCAAAAAAGAGTAAAATAATTAGTGTATTGTGCTTTTCTCTTCCTTCTAACATTTGAAGAAATCACTTTATCAATCTTAATCCTAAATGGTAAGCTCTCAACATTAGCAATTTAGTGCTTTTGAATTATTACATCTACTATGGTGATTCTTGTAGTGTATGGCATGAAAACATATTAGCTGATTGATAAAAAATCATTACCATTTGACTTCTTACACTGAAAATTGGAAATAATCTGATAATTGTTAACACTGATTTCTCACTGGGTGACTCAGAGCCATGAAGAAACTTGGAAATTTGCATGTCTCTTGTAGGAAAACTATTCACACTAATTTTAACATGGCTCAGTGAAGTGAGCCAAGTGAAGAAGCCTTGGCTGTATAATGAGACTGCACACAAAACTCAAGGGTATTCAACTTTAAATCAAGTCAGAAAATCTCCATGCAAGAGGTAGTGAAACCAGGTAGAACATTCAGACCTGCTTCTCAGATCACCGAACTATGTCTTAGGAGAGCAGAGTCCAGGGTCTGGGATGTCTGACTCTGTGCCTCTACTGGAAATGCACTATGGAAAGATCTGCCCCTCACTTCATCTCAATTCTCACACTTACCTCCATGTCTCCATTTGTCAATATCAATGTTAAGACCTTGCTCATTTAGGATTTTTCAAAATGCGGCTGACAATATTTGCAAGATTTGTTATAGATTATTAGATTCGATATGTACCCTTCTACACCAGAATCTTCTACCAATTACTAGTGCCATACATGTATGTAACATCGTCCTTAAAGTAAGTTAGTGAATAAGACTGCCATTAGGCCTATGTAGTTGCTGGTAAGAAATCGAATCAAACAAGTCAATACATCATGTTGTTCTAAATATTTATTATGTACCTTAGGAAAAATGATATTGAGGTATTGTTATGAAATTGTTCAAGGATTATAGAACTTTTGTTAAACCCAAGTATTTTCTAAATATCTTAGGAAAAGATTATTCATGAAGTCAGTGTATGTGCACAACTTAGGATATTACTGTATACATTCAGCAGATATTACTTAAGGACACACTGTCAAATGACTGTTATCATTAGTTGGAGAGGTCTAGGGGATTAGCTATTTGACTTAGAAAAATGTGAAATTTATACTTTCAAAGTTATGGCACAAAGGCACATCAAACCAAAACAAGTACATTAGAGTATTCAAGAACCATATTCTAATGGTTTCCTTTTTAGTTTTCTTTAAATAAAAATTTCATGACAGTAGAAAGAGCTCTGGTGAATGCAAAGATGAAGACTATTATTTGCCCTCTTCTTACAGTGTCTCACCAAGGTATTTAGAAAGCCTGGTGAGTCTGTTATCCAAACACTTTGTAGTCCCAGCTCAGCGGGCTTTCACCCCCTCTGTGCCAGGTTGCCCTGCCTCTCCTGTGGCTACACTGTTTTTCGACTGTCATTTTTATTGAAAAATAAAAGCTAAATTGGAGTTTCAGAATACCTTCCATTTAACTCCTTTAATAAAACGGGAAAGATAAAAGCAACCTAGTCACAAGAGAAGTGTTTTTGAAAGCTATGCCTTGGATATCAGAGATGCAGAAATAAAAGGCTGCTTCAAAAATAGAGCCCACTGGCCTAGCGCTGGCCCTCTGCAGCTCTTCTCCTGTGCTAGACCGGCTTTTAGCTTTAATTTTTTATTCAAGAAGTTAAATGGGAGACGTGAAATAGTTTGGATCAAATATCCCAACAAATGGAAAACGGGCAGCAGATGACTCTTTTAAATGCATTATTCTTATGCACCTGAGCCAGACAACTTCGTCAAGCAATTTTGCACATGCCTGATAGAAAAGAGAATATTATTCATATTTCTGTACACAGAGAACTCTTTTTTCCACTAATCCCATGGGAAGAATAGTATTTCTCAAAGCCTGTCCCACTTAAAATAAGCATCAACACAATAAATGCTCTGAGGAGTCCCATGCTAAAGAGAAACAAAATAAACAAAACTGTATAATTTTGTATTTGCCTAATCCATTTGTCTGTTAATTCCTTTAAAACTTTATATGTATTAATATCCCAAGATTCTTATCTAGAGATTGTATGATCTTGATCCTCAGTCACACTAGAAACATAGTTAAAAAATATTTTCAAAAGAAGGCATCCCTTTAGCTGTGTAATTATAGCTCTGTTTAATGCATTTATGCTGATTATTGAATTAAGACCTACCATAGATCAAACATTTGAGGTAACAGTAGTATCTAATTGCAAATTGGCTGAGAGAGATTCGTGTTTAAGATAGCATAATTCAAATGTTAATTGATAGTAATTTTCAATAATTAAACTGACAAATGTAACTAAAGAGAATATGGAAGAGGAAGCAGTAGGATTTGGCAAAGGAAAAGATTGATAAAGTCCTTAAAGTTTAAGAAACATTTGATTTTACTATGAAATAGGTCATTTAGCTCTACACTGTTCAATAACCCCCATGCTCTATTCCATTGTCCCTATAATGTTCAGCTAATGCTTTAATGAAAGTGACTCTAAAATACCACTATTTGTCTTTTGCCCTCTTAATTAAAGCAAAAGACACAACTTGGGATTGTAATATTCCCTTCTGGCTCTTACATATCTTTAAATATAATTTTTTTCAAAGAAGAACACTTTCAGTCATTTCACATTATTCTAACCAATTAAAGAGAAATGAGAAAATGGAAGTTATAATGATGTTAAGTATATCTCCCAGGATAAGTCCGTGTTGATGAAGAACGACCTGTGAAGAGACAACTGCTCTCCACCACTGCCAGATTCTGAGGGGTATGCTAAAAGCTTTCTAGTGGCCTTCAATCAGAACTGCCTCATTATTGTGAGCATGGTATTATTTTAAATTAGCTTTTTATATTTAATTAAATAACAGCTAGTCTAAAAAGTACCTCTTATTTTCCATGCCAGCATTTTGTATGACTACCTTCAAAATAAATTTCATAGAATAGGCAAAGAATAAACAGAAAGCAATTACTTTTTCTACATAGAGAAAAAGGAAAGAATGGGGGTAAATTTGGCAGCCTGTCTTTTGATCCCATGAAACAATCTCTTTTTTCAAAAGCACCATTATGCTTAATAATTACATAATTTTCCCTAGGCTCCAATAAAAAAGCAGAGAAGAATATTTCAACAATGCTAAGATGTAAATAGCATTACTATTGTCTTATGATCTTCAATAGCATATAACTGATCTGACCCAAATTGTGATCCTTACCAAATCGTTTTGCCCATTGAAGGATTCACTTACTTTCTTGCTTTAATATTCTTCATTGTGTTCCCTGGCCAGAGACAAAAGGATAATTTTGAAGGCATTGAAGACCATATTGTCTTTCAAGTGTTCATAGAAAAGTTTCCTTGGTAGCAATAACATTGCCTTTGAAAATGCAAAGGAGGTGAGTATAAAATCATGGAAATTCTAGAGTAGCTTAATTTGATATAATGTTTTAAAATATGAAGTAATATCATTATGGTTTTTAGTTTTTGTTTTATTTTTTAAAAGAGAGCATTTTATTTTATTTTTTAAATTAATTAATTTTTTTTTTTTCCAGAAAGAGTCTCGCTCTGTTGCCCAGGTTAGAGGGCAGTGCCGTGATCTCGGCTCAGTTCAACCTCTACCTCTCAGGTTCAAGCAATTCTCATGCCTCAGCCTCCTGAGTAGCCGGGATTACAGACATGTACCACCACGCCCAGCTAATTTTTTATTTTAGTAGAGATGGGGTTTCACCATGTTGGCCAGGCTGGTCTTGAACTCCTGACCTCAGGTGATTGACCCACCTCAGCCTCCCAAAGTGCTGGGATTACAGGCATGAGCCACTGCACCTGGCCAAAAGAGGGAATTTTAGTCCAGATGTGATGGCACTTCTATTTTCAGGATTTGCTAAAATAAAATTCATTCAACATATAAAATAAAGCTTTAAAGTTCCATGTATTAGATCACAACTTGATTAAGATGGTGCCTTTCCTGAATTACTGACATTTTTATTATTTCTAAACTAAAGCACTCTAAATACAATGATTGTTTTTCTCTGTCTACACTGAATATGTACTATATGCTCCAAACCTATCTTACTAATTGAATAGGCAAGTACATATTTGCATATATACAAAGTATATGTACATTGTTATTCTGAAAACATTTTCTCCCTGAAAAGCCACAGGAAAAATGTGTATGAGCTAATTGTACGTTGATGATGCAGAATGGTTATATTTTTCTCTGGTAGCTGAACATGTTTGGTGAGAATCAAATTCTTCAGCAAAGAACACACATTAGAATTAGGCAATATTTACTTTGGCATATGTCCATGATAAATGACACTAGGCATAACTGGTGTCTAAAAATCTCACTGATTAAAAATATTCTGCCAGTTTTCTGATGATATAAGGAGGAAACAAATGCACAAGTTTAGTTTTTTAAGTTTTCTATATTTTGTGTTTTCTAAAATATGATAAAGATAACTCCCAGACTTTCAAATATTAAAAAGACTGATGTGCATTCCTAAAAATGGTAATAATTACCATATTATTTTTTATTTTTAAATTTTATTTCTTTTTTGACACAGTAATTTATGGGGTACATAGTAATGTTGTGATATATGTAATATGTAGTGATCAGATCAGGGTAACTAGCATACCTGTCATCTCAAATGTTTATCATTTCTTGTGTTAGGAACATTCAATATCCCCTTCTAACTATTTGAAAGTATATGATATGTCATTGTCAACTATAGGCATCCTACAATGCTTCAGAACACTAGAACTCTTACCTAGCTGTAATTTTGTATGCTTTAACAATTCTCTCATTACCCTCTCACTAGAAACTAGAGTCTTTAGAATCTTCTGTTCTACTTTTTACTTCTATGAGATCACTGTTTTTTTATTTTTTAGATTCCACATGTGAATGAGAACATGCTATGTTTAACCTTTCTGTTCCTGGTTTATTTCACTTAGCATAATGTCCCCCAGTATTATCCATTTTGCCTTGAATGATGGGACTTCATTAAATTTTGTCTGAATAATATTTCATTGTATATATATAGAGAGAGCACACCTTATCTGTTCAGCTGTTGTTGAACACCTACATAGCTAAGATATCATAATATCTTAGCTATTGTGCATAGTGCTATGACAAAGATGAGGGTGCTGGTGTCTCTTCTATATAATGTTTTTCTTTCCTTTGGATAAATTCCCAGTAGTGGGATTGAAGGATCACATGGTAGTTCTAGCTATAGTTTTTATTTTTTGGAAAGTCCGGACTATTCTCATAGTGGCTGTACTACTGTACTAGTTTACATTCTCTCCAATAGTGTATAAGAGTTCTTTTTTCTCTGCATGCTCACCAGCAAGTATTTTTTTTTTTTTTGTCTTTTTGATAATAGCCATCATAACTGGGGTGAGATGATACCTCATTGTAGTCTTGATTTGCACTTCTCTGATGAAAAGTGGTGTTAAGCATTTTAAAAATATATTTGTCATTTTTATGTCTTCTATTGAGAAACATTCACATTATTTGCCATTTTTTAATTGGATTTTTAAACCGTTAATTTGTTTGTGTTCCTTCTATATTAATCTCCAGTTAGGAGATTAATATACAGTTCATTGGGTAGGTGAAGTGTTTGAAAATACTTCTCCCATCCTGTAGGCTGTCTTTTCTCTTTGTTGATTGTTTTCTTTGCTATGAAGAAGATTTTTAGTTTAATAACATTCCATTTGTTCATTTTTGCTTCAGTTGCCTATGTTTTTGAGATGTTATTCATGAAATCTTTTCCTTGACCAATGTCTTGAAGCATTTCCCCCATGTTTTCTTCTAGTAGTTTTATAGTTTTAGGTCTTACATTTAGGTCTTTTATCCATTTTGTGTTAATTTTTGTACAGGGTAAGAAGTAGGGGTCTTGTTTCATTCTTTTGCAAATGGACATCCAGTTTTCCCAGCACCATTTATTAAAGAGACTATCCTTTCTCCAGTGTATATTCTTGGAGTCTCTGAAAAACATCAATTGGCTGTAGATACATGGATTAATTTCTGTAGATATATGATTAATTTCATGGAACTATTCTGTTCTATTGTTCTATGTTTCTGTTTTTATGCCATTACCATGCTGTTTTGGTTACCATAGTATTGTAGTATATTTTGAAGTCTAGTAGTGTAATGCCTCTACCTTTGTTCTTTTTGCTCAGAACTGCTTTGGCTATTCAGGGTCTCTTATTGTTTCATGCAAATTTTAGATTTTATTTCTGTGAAGGATGTCATTGATATTTTGATAGGGATTGCACTGAATCTGTACATTGCTTTGGATAGTATGGTCATTTTAATTATACTAACTCTTCTGATTCATGAGCACAAAATATTTTTCCACTTGTTTCTATCCTCTTAAATTTCTTTCATCAGAGTTTTGTGGTTTCTCTTGTGAAAGTCTTTTACCTCCTTAAAGAAATTTATTCTCAGGTATGTTATTTTTTTGTAGCTGTTGTAAATGGAATTGCCTTCTTGATTTCTTTTTCAACTAGTTTTTTGTTTAAATTAAACTTTTTTATTTTGAGATAATTTTAGATTTACATGTGGTTTTAAGAAGTAATACAGAAAGTTTTCATGTACCCTTTACCCAGTTTCCTCCAATAGTAACATCTTGTAAAATTACAGTACAGTATTTCAACCAGGATATTGAAATTGACAGTCAGGATATAGAGTATTTTCATCACCTTGGAATTCCCCCATATTGCTTTTTTATACCTATACCTACTTTCCTCCCACTGACACCCTTCCTTAACCTCTGACAACCACTCATCTGTTCTCCATTTTACAATTTTGTCATTTCAATAGTATGATATAAATAAAATCATAAAATATTTAATCTTTTGGAATGGAATTTTCACTCATAAACCTTTAGAAATGTTGCCAGGTTATAGTTCAATCCTTTTTATTGCTGATTAATATTCCATGTTATGAATACCACAGTTTTTTTGTTTTGTTTTTTTTTTGAGATGGAGTCTCACTCTGTCACCCAGGCTGGAGTGCAGTGGCACGATCTCGGTTCACTGCAAGCTCCGCCTCCTGGGTTCACACCATTCTCCTGCCTCAGCCTCCCGAGAAGCTGGGACTACAGGCGACCGCCACCTTGCCTGACTAATGTTTTGTATTTTTAGTAGAGACGGGGTTTTACCATGTTAGCCAGGATGGTCTCAATCTCCTGACCCCGTGATCCACTCGCCTCAGCCTCCCAAAGTGCTGGGATTACAGGTGTGACCCACCATGCCTGGCCGAATACCACAAATTTTTAAACATTTACCTGATGAAAAACATCTTTGTTATTCCCTTTTTTTGCTATTACCAATAAAGCCACTATACACATATTATTTTAGGCTTTTGTGTAAACCTATGGTGTTTTCTCCCCCTCTGAAATAAAAGCCCAGGAATGAAATTGTTGACTTGTATGATAATAATATATTTCATTTCTGTTTGTTTGTTTTTAATAAACTGCCAAACTCATTTTCAGAGTGGCTGTATCATTTTCCGTTCTCACCAGGAACATGAGTGATATAGTTTCTCTGCATCCTTGCCAGCAGTTAGTGTTATGCTTTTTAAAATTTTAGCCATTGTAATAGGTGTGTACTGATACATTATTATGATTTTCATTTTCATTACCTCAATGGCTAATGAAGTAGAATATCTTTTCATGTGCTTATTTTTCATCTCTATATTGTCTTTGTTGAAATATCCTTTATTTTTAGCTCACATCTTCCAATACATAAAAACAACGTTATTCCATTTTAGTATTGTATTTTTTTTGTTTTACTGTTGTTTTTAAAGTTCTTTATATTGTCTAGATATTAGTACTTTGTCAGATATGTGGCTTGCAAATGTTTTTCCCAGTATGAAATTTGTGTTTTTATTCTCTAAACAGGAACATTCACAGAGGCAAAGATTTTAATTTTGATGGCAGCCATCAAAATTATCATTTTTGTCCTTTAATTGATTATACTTTTGATGTCAACTTTAAAAGCTCCTTTCTTAGCCCTAAACCCCAAATATTTTCTTCTATTTTTTCTAAAAGTTTTATATCTTTACATTTTGCATTTAGATCCATGATCCATTTTTTTTGTTAATTTTTGTATAAGGTATGAAAGTTAAATGAAAGTTTTATTGTTGTTGTCGTTGCCTAAGGATATTCAACTGAATTGGCATCATTTGATGAATGACTATCTCTTCTTCACTAAAATGATTTTGCGTAGATCTATTTCTGGGTAGTTTATTCTGCTCCATTGATCCATGTGTCTATCACTAACACTGCACAATCTGTATTACTCCTATCATGAACTAAGTGTCAAATAGGGTAGACTCATTCTTTATGCTTTATTCTTCTTTTCAAAAATTGCTATAGCTATTCTAGTTCCTTTACTATGTTTGAGTCTTCCAATACATATATATAATATGTTTCACCATTTTTTAGACCTTCTTTGATTTTTTTATCAGTGTTTTGGCATATAAGTCTTAAAACAGGTTTTATTGGATCTACATCTAACAATTTTGATTTAAATGGTTGGAAATGATATTATATTTTTTTATTTTGGTGTCCACATGTTAATAGTTATTACATAAAAAATGTATTTTATTTGTACAGGTTTATCTTATATCCTGTGACTGCTGAGTTCACTTATCCGTTAGTTATTTTTACATTTTCTCATAGACATCTTGTGTTTTCCACTATGTATATATGTATATATATGTATATATGTATATATATGTATATATGTATATATGTATATATATGTATATATGTATATATGTATATATTTGTATATATGTATATATGTGTATATATATGTATATATGTATATATATGTGTGTATATATATATATATGTATATATATGGCACTCATTACTTCTTTTCCAATCTGTGTGCCCTTTATTTCCTTTCATATAATTGTCAACACTTGTGAATAAGAGTTTTCAGAGCAGACGTTCTTGCCTTGCTCCCAATCTTAGGGTAAAATCTTTCACCATTGGGTATAGTGTTACATATAGTTTTGGGGGGTTTTTTTCTTAGTTGCTCTTTCTCAGGTTGAGGAATTCCCCTTATATTTCTATTATTCTAATAATTTTTAGCATAAATGGGTGTTACATTTTGTCCAGTTTCTCTATATAGGCTGATACAATTTTCTAGTTTTTCTTCTTTAGTTAATTAATATAGTGGATTACATTGATTGATTTTGAATATTTAACCAGCCACGCATCCCTTGGAATAAACTCCACTGTTCATGGTGTATAATTTGTTCTTTATGTTGCTAAATTCTATTTGGTAATATTATATTAAGAGCTTTGTATCTATATACATAGTTAATATCAACCTGTTGTTTTTTGTAACATCTTTGGTTTTGATATCAAAGTAATATAAGCTTCAAAAAATAAATTGGAAAATGTTTTCACTTCTTCTAGTTTCTGGAAGAGATTGTATAGAATTGATGCTAATTCTTTAAATATCTGGTGACATTTTCTAATTAACCAATCTGGGATTGGGGATTCCTCTGGGGAGAGATTTTAAATTACGGATTCAATTTTCTTAAGAGTTATCTCTATTAAGATTGTCTATTTCTGCTTGAATCTGTTTTGATGTTTGTGTTTATAAAGGAATTTGTTCATTTTACCTAAGTTGTCATATTTATGTGTGTAGAGTTGATCATAATATTCCTTTATTATCCTTTTAATGTCTGCAAGGTCAATAGTGATATCTCCTCTTATATGCCAGATATCGGTAAGTCGTGACTTCTCTCTTGTTTTATCAGTCTTGCTAGACATTTGACAATTTTTATCAATCTCATCAAAGAACGAACTAGTTTCAACAATTTTCTCTTTTGTTGTGCTTTTTCTATTTCATAGATTTTGTTCTTATCTATCCATATCCTTCCATTTGCTGGCCTTGGGTTTACTTTGCTCTGGGTTTTTTAGATTTTTGAGGTAGGATTTTAGATTACAAGTTTTTAATACATGCATTCATTGCCATAATTTTTCCTCTAAGTATTACATTAACTTTGTCTCAAAAATGATGATATCTTGTATTTTCGTTGTCATTCAGTTCAATGTACTTTTAAAATATTTTCTTTTTCTTTGACTCAATGTATTGGTTAGTTTTTGTATGTTTGGATATTTTCTTATCATTTTGTTATCGATTTCTGGTTTGTTTCTGCTGCAGCTGAAGAATCCATTCTGTATGTTGTCAGTTCTTTTAAATGTGTTGAGATTGTTTTATCCCCAAATATATACACTATCTTGAAATATTTCCCATAGGCCCTTTTAAATAGTATGTATTGGACCATTTTTAGGGGCAACGATTAGATACTGTGCTTGATGGTGTTGTTGAGTTCTACACTGTTGCTGATTTTCTGTCTCGTTGTTTATCACTTTTTGACACAAGGGTATTGACGTCTTTAACTATAATTTTGAATTTCTTAACTTTTTTCTTTTAATTTTATTAGTTTATGCTTCACATATTTGCGGCTCTGTTATTTGGTGCATACAAATTTAGGAATACTGTCCTTCATAGTGTGGATTGACCCTTTTATCTTTAAATCAGATTCTTTCCTGTCTCTGGTAATTTTCTTTGCTCTGAAGACTCCCTTATCTAGTTAATATAGTCACTCCTGCTTTCTTTTGATTGTTTGTGTGATATAACTTTTGCCATCTCATTTTTCAACATTTCTATATAGTTATATCTAATCACTGTTTGTAGGTAGAACACAGATACATCTTTTTTTTTAAATCAATTCTGCAAATCTCTGTATTTCCATTGTTGCATTTAGATTATTTATGTCTAATTTAATTACAGGTATGTTAATGCTTAAGTTTGCCATTTTATTTTGTGTTTTCTTTGTTCTCTCTCTCTTTTTTTAATCTGCCTTCCCATGGGTTATTTGAACTTTTTAGCATTCAAGTTTGTTTATTTAGAATGTTTTTAAGTATATCTCTTTGTATAGCTTCTTTAGTCGTTTCTCAAGAAATTTTATTTTATATATATATATATATATATATATACATACATATATATATGGCAATTTACTAGTGTCATTATTTTATCACTTCAAATGAAGTGTGGAATCCTTATCTCCCTTTAAGTCACTTTACTGTACTCCATTTATAATGTAATTGTCTTAAATATTTTCTCTAAGTACACTTAGAACCACATCAGGGACTGTTACAATTTTTGATCCAAATATCCATCATAATTTAGAAAACTCAAGAGAACAAAGTCTATCTTATTTACACATATTTTTACTGAACATGTTCTTTCTTCCTTTCTGATATTCTCAGTTTACTTTGTCATTCCTTTCTACTTATAAAACTTTCTTTAGCTAATTTTTATTGTAGGTCTGCTGGCAAAAAAAAATAGTTTTTCTTCATCAAGGCATTCTCAAGGATATTTTCACTGAATATAACGTTCTGAGCTAACAGTTCTTGTCTTTCAGCACTTGAAAAATGTCACTTTCTTCAAGCCTCCATAGTTTTTAATGAGAAATCTGCTTTCATCAAAATTTGCTTGCTCCTGTTGGCAAGGTGTCATTTCTGTCTTGAGGTTTTCAAATGTTTGTTTAGTTTTCAGAAATTTGACCGTGATGTATCCAGTTTTGTATTTTGAGGGGCTTATCCTGTTAAGGTTAGTCTAGCTTATTAAATCTGTAAATGCATGACTTTTGCCAAGTTTGGGGATTTTTTTCAGCCATTATTTTCTCAACTACTTTTTCATATTAACCCTGTTTCTCTTCTTCTTCTGAGACTCTTGTGACTCAGAATTTAACAAATGACAAATGTTAAGTGTTTTTCATAATCTCACAGATTCCTGAGGCTTTGATCGTCCTTTTTCAATATATTTTTTTTCTGTTTCTTAGATTGGATAATTTCTATTGTTCTTTCATTTCTCTGATTCTTTCTTCCGTACCATCCATTCTTCTTTTGAGTCATTCTAATATGGTCCATACCAAATTCATACGTTGAATCCTAACCCCTACAGAGATGGTGGTAAGAGGCAAGGGCTTTGGGAGATGAATAGGTCCTGAGGGTTCTGCTCTCATGAATGAAATTAGTGTTCTTTTTTTAATTATTATACTTTAAGTTTTAGGGTACATGTGCACAACGTGCAAGTTAGTTACATATGTATACATGTGCCATGCTGGTGTGCTGCACCCAGTAACTCGTCATTTAACATTAGGTATATCTCCTAATGCTATCCCTCCCCCTCCCCCCACCCCCCAACAAGCCCTGGTGTGTGAGGTTCCCCTTCCTGTGTCCATGTGTTCTCATTGTTCAATTCCCACCTATGAGTGAGAACATATGGTGTTTGGTTTTTTGTCCTTGCAATAGTTTGCTGAGAATGATGGTTTACAGCTTCATCCATGTCCCTACAAAGGACATGAACTCATCATTTTTTATGGCTGCATAGTATTCCATGGTGTACATATGCCACATTTTCTTAATCCAGTCTATCATTGTTGAACATTTGGGTTGGTTCCAAGTCTTTGCTATTGTGAACAGTGCCGCAATAAACATACATGTGCTTGTGTCTTTATAGCAGCATGATTTATAATCCTTTGGGTATATACCCAGCAATGGGATGCCTGGGGCAAATGGTATTTCTAGTTCTAGATCCCTGAGGAATCGCCACACTGACTTCCACAATGGTTGAACTAGTTTACAGTCCCACCAACAGTGTAAAAGTGTTCCTATTTCTCCACATCCTCTCCAGCACCTGTTGTTTCCTGACTTTTTAATGATTGCCATTCTAACTGGTGTGAGATGGTATCTCATTGTGGTTTTGATTTGCATTTCTCTGATGGCCAGTGATGATGAGCATTTTTTCATGTGTCTTTTGGCTGCATAAATGTCTTCTTTTGAGAAGTGTCTGTTCATATCCTTCGCCCACTTTTTGATGGGGTTGTTTGTTTTTTTCTTGTAAATTAAAGAAGGCCTGAGAGAGCTTGTGAAAGCATAGCTAGAGGGCACCACATTTGAGGCAGAGAGCAAGCCCTCACCAGACATTAAATTTGCTGGAGACTTTGACCTTTCGATTTCCCAGCATCCAAAACTGTGGACAATAATTATCTGTTGTTTATGAATTATTAGTTTAAGGTATTTTGTTATAGCAGCCTGAATAGACTTAAGACATAATCCTTTGAGTTTTTCATTTTAATTATTGTGTTTGTTAGATAAAACTTTCCATTTGTTTCTTCTTTATTCAGTTGTACCTTTGAGTCCACAGTGGATTGTTTCTGGAATCCTCCATGAATAGCAAAATTTATAGATGCTCAAGTCCCTTATTGAAAATGGCATAATATTTGCATATTACCTATGCACGTCCTCTTATACACATTAAGAAATCTGGATTACTTATAATACCTAATTCAACATAAAAGTCATTCTAATAGTTTTGTACCGTATTAACTTTTCTTAAAAATTTGCATTATTTTTAATTGTTATATTATTATTTTATTGTTTTTTTCAAATATTTTTTATCTGTGGTTTGTTGAATCTGCACTATGTAAAAACCATGAAGATGGAGGGCTGATTATACCTTCTTTTTCTTTTCTGAAACCTACTATTTTTAAAAATTTGATTCAAGTATCTTTGTAATTGCTCATTGAAGAATTTTAATGATGGCTGCTTTTAAATCTTTGTCAGATAATTTTAACATCTCTATCACTTTGGTGTTGGCATCCATTGATAAACTTTTTTCACTTAGTTTGAGATCTTACTAGTTCTTGGTATGACAAACTATTTCTTATTAAACCTGAACCTTCAAGCATTATGTTAAGATATTCTTGATTTTATTTAAACTTCTGTTTTAGATGGATTCCTCTGACACTTCTCTAACAGGCAAATAAGAGGGTACCACCATATAACTGCAAGGTTAGATGGCAGTACAAATTCTTTCATGGCTTCTTTTGATACTAAAGGGAATGGGTTAGTATTACTGCAGAGTTGGTGTGGAAGTTCATGTTTCTTACTAGAATTTTCCTGATTATCTGTGTTCAAGGCTATGCAACTCAAAGCTTAGCAATACTTTGTAACTGTGTCCCATACATCTGTGGATATTGCTTAAAGGCACCCATAGCGTTTCTCGTGTCTGAAAGGGGAGTGAAGTAAGCCACCATTTCCTCAGACAGCCTCTCCTAGTTCATCCAGAATGGCTCAGATTTTACCTCTTTTCTGTTCTGGGGCTCAACATAGAATTTTATTTGAAGAAAAAATTCTGCCAATTAAAAAGTGCTTGAAAATATCTTAAATTTCAATTTTTCTCAAATGAAATTCTACAAGGGAATTAAGTTCTGTAAGATATTATCTTAGTGACTATTTTCTCAGTTCTCCCCAGAATGGTACATGGCTAGCAATACTGTAGATGCATAGATTAGTTTATTAATTACATACACTAAATATCTTAGAATGTTGGAAATTAATTCTGTTGTAGTAGTGAAGTGAGAAAGCTTGCAACCATCATATGTTGTCAAGAGTTTGCACATGGCATATTCCAAATAACTAAGACTTTAAAAAAGAATTAGCACTATTTCAGAAAAAATAATTATACCAATTAACTTGAAAAAAGAAATTTGTTTTTGTTCTAAAGGAGGAAGCACAAGTAGTTTTGAGCATTTAATCAAATTATGCTCTACCAGTTACAAAGAAGCAACAAACAGTTCTAACTATGCCAAATATCTACTTAAAATCTAAATACAAAGAATAAAGATAATATTGAGTTTGTGGATTGCATTAGTCTGTTCTCATGCTGCTGACAAAGATGTACTCAAGACTGGAGAATTTACAAAATAAAGAGATTTAAAGGACTTACAGTTACACGTGGCTGGAGAGGCCTCACAATCATGGCAGACAGAAAGGAGAAGGAAGTCACACCTTACACGGATGACAGCAGGCAAAGAGAGAGAGCTTGTGCAGGGGAAATCTCCCTCATAAAACCATCAGATCTCGTGAGACTCATTCACCAACATGAGAACAGCACAGGAAAGACCTGCCCCCATGATTTAATTACCTCCCACTGGGTCGCTCCCACAACACATGGGACTTCAAGATGAGATTTGGGTGGGGACACAGCCAAACTATACCATGGATGTTATGCAAAATTCATGAAAATATTATTGGTCAAAGCCTGAAAACCTTAATAATCAAACTCATAGAGTACCTTATTTTCTGTATGCTCACAGATGAAAAGGATATAACTTTTCATCCTTATTCTATATCTTTTTTTATTCTACATGAGCACTGTGGCTATGCCACTCAAGTTTGTCCCCACTGGGAGGCAAGAGAGTATTCCTAGTGTGCTGTGGTACAAGATTTGGTACCATAACTATTGTGATTCAGAAGACAGAAAATGCACTCCTCCTTCCATTTTATCACAAGATGGCAGATAATACAATGAAGTCAACTAGTAGGGGCTATGTGTCACAGTGAAATGAGCCATTCAGAATCGACCTTCCCAGCCTGAAACCATGGCTTTTCCATACCTCTTTTCATCAAAAAACATGGATGAACATTGAGACACAAAGAAGCAAAACATATTAAGTGCAGTGACAATGTCTACTTCAATGAGCCTATCAACATTGCCTGAATGAGGAAACACAGATATTTACTCAGAGGACTCACTAGTACCATTAGCAAGTTCTGGGGACTACTCAGTCTCTGAGTTTCAGTACTGACAACAACATTACATTCTAACAACATTTTCTACAAATCAACGGTGGTGCAATCAGAGTCTCAGGCTAGTTAAGGGCTACAAAGATGAACATATCATAATAAAAATATTTTGACATACCACCAAAAAAGTTTAATTTTAAATGCTTAAAAATTTTTCCTGCTTTCTGTCAGAGGACAAAGAGCCACCTTATTTTATTTGAGAAATGATTTTTTTTTCTTTTAAGCACCAAGAACCAGCTAAGACAAAGTATACAGGAAATCATAAAAGTCATTCTAGGACCATAGTTTTCATTGTAACCAGATCAGTATAGGACATAAGAATCCTCTTCACTAAAAAAATATAAAGAAGTTTATGTATAAAATCTGGGTTATCAAAGACCAGCTGACACTAAATGTTTTGCTCCGTATCTTAATTTGATCTCAAAGACATCTCCATCTCAAATAAATAAATAAATAAATGAAACAAAAACAATTCTTCAAGGTCCCCAACAGCAAGCGCAGAGAAGAGACCTGGTGATTCTATAGCTACTAGAACATCATAGAGAATAGCAAAACAATAGAGGATTCCCTTGTAATATAAATGGGCATAAGATAGGTTATAACCCAAACTATGTTTCTTATTTCTCTTTTGGGCTGTTTAGTGTTTGGTCTCAATTAGTGATCCTGATGACTCCATTGAATGTGGCAAAATGTAAAGGTTTTGGTTGCAATAAAAGTATGAATCAGAAGCACTTCAACCTCTACCTGCTTACTGAAACCATAAACAGGATCAGCACTAATTTTGCGCAGATCCCCGCTTGCCTAGCTTTCCATTTTCTGGGAAGACCCATATTCTTTGTATCCATACTCTATGAGTTGTTGGAAGATTCTTTGACATTTTAAAATATATTTTTAGATTATTTTTTTTCAGTTATGTTCTGGTCTATTGAATAAATATACATATTTGAAATGCATTTTGAATATTATAGTTTTACACTATGGATAAAACCACAGAAAAGTAAAAATTCATGTTGTTTGCTGAGATCTTGATCTTTTCCCTATTCCCCTCAAATGGTAATGAAAAGGTAAAAACAGATTTAGTGTTCTAGTTCTATTATGATAAAATATTTCATTGTTTTTAGAGTTACTGATTTGAGAGACACATTCATAACAAGGTTATTATTGTAATTCTACCTGGAATGTCAGTAATAATTTATAGGAAACCTATAGAATATGTAAATCAGTAGCAGAAGAAGCATTGTCAAAAATACAGGATAAATTTTCATGTCCATATGAAATTCAGCAAGACCTCTTCTGAAAATGGTGACAGGGAGGGGAATTGAAAGGAATAAATTATTGGGCTAATTTATATTATTAATTGTTATGCCAGTGTTTGGAGAAAGAGTTTAAAATGAACTGAACAATGTAAGTGTTACAGCTAATGAATCATCAAGATTTTTAAAGATAGCATTTTGTTAATAATACTAGTAAAAAATTAAATCTACATTAACAGATAAACTGAAATCAAACATATATTGTATTCGGCAAACAATCATCAGAGGCCTATAGGGATCCTACATTGAGAGTGAGAAATTTTCCTGCTTGGAGTCTACTAAAGCAAAATAGAGTTAGAAAATAAAATTAAGTAATTGTGCTGTGTTTAGGCTATGGGGAAGAAATAAATAAAAAGCTAATTGGACAGAAGAGTAGCAAGAAATCAGAGAAACCAGATTTCCTTGTTGCTAGCGGTGTTTTGCTTCAATAAATTAGAAAGGTGTAAATTACACTCCAAATTGAAATTCAATCTACTACCATAAATAGAAAAAATACATCTACGTTTGCATTTCTGTCCATGGAACATTTAGATCTCTGACGGAAGGACCACCTGATGTCAGAGCTCTTTCAAATAAAATCCTTTCAGAAGCATATAGCTTTCGATGAAATGAAAATGTGATGGAGATGGAGTCTTGATAATGTCTGTTTTAAAATTGCTGTTTAAAAGAATGTTATAAGAAGGTGAAACTTGTCCAAGGACTTGGGAAAGATTTAAGGTCACAGCCAGAGTCTATTAAAGGCTAGTTACTAAAGAGTAGGTAACATGTTGATCACAAATAAGTGGAAAAAATTATAAAACACTGGTACATAATTATATCAGCAGTGATCCTACACCCCAAACCAAAATTTCTTTATATTTTTGTTATGATTCAGAAAATTTTCCAAAATCTGGAAACTGTCCCCATTCTTAAAACCATGAGCTTTGGCTAACTGGCTAAGACTACTTTTAGCTTTAATATTTTATGATTTGAAGATTTATATCAAGAACAGTAAAGCTTAATGAAAGAACCAAAGAACCAGTAGTTCTAATTTAAGGCCTAAGGTGAATTGGGGCAATGTGTTTGTTTTTTATTTGCTTAACATGTTATTAAATTTCCATTTTCTTCTAGGTCTATAATTTAGTGAGAGGTTTAAAAAATAAATATTTAAAAAATAATCGCATGACATTATGTTCAAAATCATTGTCAATTTCTATGATTATGCAAATAAAAATGAAATATTTTACATCAATTGACTGAAAAACATTGGGAAGATAGGTAATGCCAAGTGTTAGTGGAGACATAAAGAATCAGAGACCCTCTTATATTGCTGATGGAAGCATAGACTGGTAGAATCAGCATGGGGAACACACTGGAACCAATCAGACAAATTAAGCATTATCCCATTCTATAAGCATATCATACCCTCTCAGGGTAATCATTTCCCAAAGAAATGTGACACTAGCCCAGATCACTAGCATGTTCATTAAAATATTATTTATAGTGGCAGAAATTGGAAGCAATTTCTGTGACCATCACTATATAAAAAGGTGAAAAGGCAAGAATACATACTGTTGACTAAAGCAATGTAGACTACATACAACATGGAGATATCTAAAAATACGCATTGTCATGAAAAAAGAAATAGACTATCACATTACATGAAACTCTTTAGACGGATCAAAAGTATTTGCAAAAATAAGAACAGAAAACTATTTTCTTAGATTACAAACACAAAACATATACATTAAAACTCAGTAGAATGATTTTGTGGCAATAGGAAAAGGAGATTATGATTATAAAAGAGAATAAATAGCAATAATAATAATAAATGAAACAAGAATGATAGTGTGCCATGATTTGAGGAACACAATAATCAACCCTCTAGACATCTGGGGTCTAGAAGAAATAAAATAAAGAAAATTTAACAAATATTTTATTCGAAATAAAATAAATTAATAGCCAAAATTCTGCCCTAAATTAAAAACAAAACAAAAATTTCTATGGGTATAGTGCATGCTGATTAATATATAGCCTCTATGTATCAGGCATATGCTATCCATTTTTAATGCATCATCCCTTTTCATTTTCACAATTCCATAAAATAGACATTCTTATCCTCAATTTACATTTGGTGTAACTGAGTCTTAAAAGGCTCATTTTTGCCCAAAGACCTACAGCTTTTTTGTGTTAGAAGCAAGAGTCAAACCCAGATTTGTTAACACTGAAGCTCATCTCTTTAATCTCTATAAAATGTACAGTCAAGCTTCTCAAAAAAGTAGCCCACATTTGCTATGTCTTATAAGAGGGTAAGACTTGTCCAAGGACTTGGAAAAGACTTCAGGTGGCAGCTAGAATCTATTATGGGACAGTTACTAAGGAGTAGGTAACTTGTTGATCAGAGAGAAGTGAAAAAAATTGTACAACACTGGTTCTAAACTATATCAGCAGTGATACTACACCCCAAACCAAAATTTCTTTGGTTTGGAATATTTGTATTCCCTGTGCTGCCCCCTCCCCCATTTTTTAAATTAATTTCATCCCCACTATCCCTAGACAAGTGCCCTCCGTAACTTTCCACATGATCTCATCATTACCAAATCCACTAACACTAACCTGCTGCATTGGATAATGATCAGGCTCTTGGCTCCCTTCACTTTTGTCCCACTACTCTCATCTAGTTCTCTTCATTTCTTCAAAATACCCTGACTCCTTTGTCCAACTTGTTAAATGTTGATGTTCCCCAAGAATTTAATCTCAGAATCTTTAGGGACTGGTACTCTCTCCACATGTTCACCATGTGATAATCTCAGGCAATCATAGTTCATAGATTGATGACTTCTAAATCCATTCCAAATCCACCAAACTATTGAAACCAGACAATATGTTTTTCTTTTTGTCTACCTTCTATGATCAATCACTGGACAAGTCTTGCATATTTTAGCTTTTAAATACTTTTCTAATTCATACACTTGTTTAAACCTATTAACCAACCTTGATTCAGACTTGCATTATTTCTTGACTACATTATCATAGTAGCTACTTACCTAATCTCCTTTTCTCTAATTTCGTCCTCCTTAACCTGATTAACTTGAAGTCATACTAATCCAGCTAAACTACCAGTGGGAAGCATCTCTTCCAAACTCTTCAATCATTTTTGCATTCCCTACAGGATTATCTTAATTTCCTTCACAGACCAACAAATTATCCTGTGACATGGTTCCTACACTGCTCTTGTGCATCCCATTTTATTATCTTGGGCTACTGAACTAATAATTCCTTGTACCAGGCTGTTTAGTTCACTTTTTTGTAACATGCTCTGCCCAGCAAATTCTTCCTATCTTTCTTTTCCTATTTTATACTTTTTTACCATTAAAGTATCATCTTCTCCATAAAGCCGTGTGTTAATACCTATGACCTATTATATCATCTTGGGGGACTTTGGGCAAATAATATCTAATAATACTTTTATCATATTACTAAAGTAGAAACATGTAATCTATATAGAACTTTTTTCCCACAAAGAGTTCAGCATTGTACTAAAATTCATTTAACTACATTAACCTTAATGTAGACTTGAGTGTATTATGAGCATAAAATTTCATTTTGAAGATATGGTTTCCTTTCTGCAGAGTCTATAAAATAAAATTTTGCATTTTGATTTCAATTACATGTAACATTTTGGGGGAGGTAAAATTGAAGGTGGAATATAGCTAAAATCCACAAGATCTTAACGGTTCTATAATTATAACTAAAAATTCCAATACTACTTTCCCAGAAACTGATAGAAAAAGTAGACCAAAAAAAGAGTAAGTATATAGTCAACTTCAAAAACACTATCAATCAACATACATACTTGATATTTGTAGAATTATCTACAAAAAACCTATAACTTTTTTTTTGGGTACACATGGAAAATTCACAAACATAAACCATATGCTATGTCATAAAATGTGTCTCGATCAATTTGAAAAAAATTAAATCATACATAGTATGTTCTCTGACCACAACAGAATTAGAAATCAATAATAGAAATATACAAGAAAAATTCTTAAATATTTGAAAATTAGACTACACACTTCTAAATAAGTTAGCATTTGAAGAAGAAATCATTACAGAAATTAGAAAACATTTTGAACTGAACTCTAATGGCAACTCATGAGGTCAAAACCTGTGGGATGTTGAGGAAGTAGTGTTGAGAGAGACAGAGCTTATATTAAAAAGAAAAGACAGATAACATCAGTGTTTTCAAGTATTCACTTGAATAAACTAGAAAAAAAACAACAAATTAAAACCAAAGCAAAGAAGGAAGAATTTAACTGAAAAAATAATTAAATGATCAGTTTTTATGTTTATAAAAATATTTAATTATCTCTTATCAAATATATTTAATACTGTATAAAGAATAATACATCATAACCAAATATATTAATTTCAGAGATGAAAAGTTGGTTTAACATTCAGGAATCAATCATGAATTTCACTATATTAATATAAAAAGAAAAACATAATCATTTCAAATCATGCAGAAAAATAACTCAACAAAATTCAAAACCCATTCTTGATTAGAAAAACTGTCAGTAAACATGAATGGAATGAAAATTTCAATTTAATAAAGGACATGTTAATTGTGAAAATCTGCATGATTTTCCCCTAAATTTCCAGATTAGCCAAGGATGTTCCCTCTCACTACTTTTATTCACTACTGTTCTGCACTAGTCGAATAATAGAAAAGTAATAAAGACTTACCGATTGGAATTAAGAAATAAAACATTTTTTCAACAATGACATGGTGATCTAGACAGAAAAACCTGAGTAATCAGCAAAAAACTACCAAACTGATAAGTGAGTTTAGCAAGGTAATGGTTCACAAGATCAATATAAAAAGTCAATTGCATTTCTATATACTAGCAATCAACCATGGGAAATAAAATTTTAAAATGCCAATTTCAAAGGCATAATATTTATAATATAATTAATAGTAAATTAACCAAAATATGTATATAACATATAAACTACAAATGACTGGGGGAAAGTAAAACAGACTTAAATAAATGGAGAAGTATACCATGTTGTTGGTTTAAGTGATATATTATTAAGATGTTTATTTCTCCCCAAATCTATCTACAGAGTCAAAACAATTCCAATTAAAATTCCATCATGTTTGTTTGTACTGATTGATAAGTTAATTCTAAAATTTATATGAAAATGCATAGAAGAATAGCCAACATGATTTAAACCAAACATAAAAACAGAGAACTTCTTCTACATGGCTTTAAGACTTACTATAATGCTGTATTAGTCAAGGGACTGAGTAAGAATCAATGGAATAGAATAGTGTGTCTCCAAAATCACACTGACATATGCCTGGAAAATCAGTTTTTCATAGTGATGCTAAGGCAATTTAATGGAGAAAATAAAATATTTTCCCCCCAAAAACAGTTAAATAATTAAATATCCACATGGAAACAAAACAACTTCGAACATACCACATACCACACATAAAAATTCACTCAAAATGTAGTATAGACACAAAAGTGAAACTAAAGCTACAGAATTTCTAGAAGAAAACATAGGGGAAAATCTGAATAACCTTAATCTAAGGAAAAGTTTCATGGAAAGGACACATAGATGATTAGTAATAAAAGAAAAAGATATTTTGGAATGTATAAAATGTAAAGTCTGCTTTACACCAGAGATTGCTATGTAAGTAAAAAGATAAGCCAAATACTGAGATAAAATACTTGCAATATATATCTGACAAGAGGATTTACATTAGAATATAAAACAAACTTTAAAAATAAGATGAAAAATTAAAATATGGAAAAAAGATTTGAATACACATCTTACAAAATATGCTAAAAGCTAATAAGTGTATTAAAAGATGTTCTGCATTTTTGCATAGAAATACAAATTAAAATCACAAGGAGATACAAGCAGACCCCTACAAGACTGGCAATACCATGTGTTTGTGAGGATATAGAGCAACTGGAATTCTTGTGTAATGCTTGTAAAAACATGAATAGTAAATCCATTTTGGAAAACTGTTCATCAGTTTCTTACAAAGTCAAACATCCACTTACCATATGACCTAACAGTTCCATTTCTATATATCTACCCAAGACAAATAAAAATATGTCAACAACAAAGCTTGTACAAAATTTTTAGAGCAGTTTTATTCATCACAATCCTAAACTGGAATCAATTCAAATATTCATCAACAGGTGAATGGATAAGCAAAGTTTCATACGTTCCTAAAAGGAAAGATAAGTCAGCAATTAAGCCCTCTGATACACAAAACGGCAAGGATGCATTTAAAAAAAAATGAGGTCAGATACAGAAAAGTACCTTCTGTGGTATTCCATTCCTGTGAAATTCTAGAATAAGTAAACTCATCTTCAGGGAAGTAGGGTTGTTAGGGTGTGGTGGGATTCACTGGGAAGAAGCATGAGGGAATTTGAGGGCAGGTGTTGGAATATGTTTTATATCTTGATTGAGGGGTAGTTTTTAGTATATGTATTTGTCAAAACTCATCAAACTGCACATTAAAAGTCAGCATAATATGCTTTAGGTAAATTATACCTCAGTAGTGTTGATTTTCAAAGTTAATGAAACTGTACAGTATAAAATGGTAACACACTATTTACAACAATCTGATAATCGGGAATAATTCTGAAAGAGTTGAATTGTGGTGATTTAATAAGTGTCAGTCACAAATACTTTTTGAGAATTTAAGTAAAATACTTTTGAACTATAACTTTAAGTGTTTAAAAGAGGGAAATGGAACTAATATTTACCAGTTATATATTATTCAGTGAATTATTTCATCTATTCCTGACTTTGAGCATGCAAAATGAGAGACTGAGAGATAGTAAGAAAACTAACCAACGTATACATCTTCCGCAATGGCAGATCTAGTGATAAATCCAAGTCTATCTGACTTCACAAGTTGATTATTCATGTAATTCCATGTTGAATTCCTTTGTGCAAACTTAAAATCTTTATGAATATCCCCTATATTGTGAGATGATATTTTGAGTTCTCAGAAATTCCATGAGACATTGGGCAGTGGGCACTGCTTTAGAAATATTTAACATAAAGTTTTCCTCTACTTTTCTTCACAGATTTTTCTCTGTTTGCCCAGAATTTGTGACTTATCCTAAATTTCAACATTAAACCTCACTAATTTGGATCAAGGAGATAACAGTTGGGGTAGATGAGTGAAAAGTCCAAATTATAAGATACTCTTGAAGAATCGTAGCTTCATCAGTTTTAGGTAGAGGGTGTAACTTGAACTGTCCTAATCCAGGTCACCTAACAGAAATTCTGTGGTAGATCAGATTAGAATGATTTCCAATTAACATACCAAAGCACTCTAAAATCCTATTGATTGAAGCTTGTATTGCAGATTCCTTTCATGTGAAAAACACTAAATTGTTTAAAATTTAGTTTGTATCCCTAACATAAATATTTTCATTTTATATCTCATTCTTTTAGACATCTTTTTTTTGACAATAAAAAGAATAAAATTTCTAAAAAGTCACTTCAGAATTCTCCACAAATGTTAAATTAGTAAAAGCAGAATTAGAGAGGCTTAGCTTCAGGAAAAAAAATTCAAAGGTAGTTATTAAAATGTCTAAAATCTAGACTGATGCTAAAAGGCTGATATCAAAGTTAGCCCCTCTGAGTTGAAAGAGAATTCATATGTATGACAAGTTCCAAAGATTCCTCCTGCAAGAGAAAATATTTGCAGTAGGGGACAGAGGAAAGCCTCTTTTATATTAATTTCTTGAGCTGCTTGTAGCCAGAACCATCCCCTCTGCTGTTCCCTGTCACTTTTGGAGGTCTTTGAGCCAAGCCCAAGCTGTCTGCCTGTCCCAATAGTGGTGTTTTCTCTTCAAAGAACCGTTGCCACAGCCTCGCAGTTCTGAGCAGGAATTGAAAAGCCTTTGAAATCGGTGCAGCCTCACTGCACAGCTAGTAATAAGCATTAGAGAAAAACATGCAGCTCATTTGTTTAAAAGTTCATTCGCTTCAGTGTGATTTAGACAGATGTGAGGTGGGTTTTGCTTAGTGCTGCTCAGCCTGATGGCAAAGTAGAGCTAGGTCTCCTTTCAAAGACTTCCTCAGTCCCTGCCCATTGCTGAGCTTCTGCAACAATGGGGCTTTGAAAGAGGAAAAAAAGGAAGAAGAAAAAGAAAGAAAGAAAGAGAAAAAGAGAAAGAGATGACACCAGTGGGAGAGGCTGACAGCTCAGTCCAAACTCAAACAGCCCTTCTAGTGTCCAGGACAGAAGTGCACGTCTGAAGGTGGGGATGAGGTCTGGGTTCAGAACAGCCCAAAGAATTAATTTAAAAGAATTTCCCCACCCATTTTCTGTAAAGGCAGCAGCAAGCAGCTCTGGTAAAATAGTTCCCAGATCACAGGGCAGTTAGCCATGTAGATTCTGCTGTATTCCCAAAGAATACTATTTCCCGGAAATAAATCTGAAAAACAGTAGATGCTTCAGTTATTTTCTACCAGGCACAAATAACAAATAAATGCCATCCATATTTTTCATTGAATAGAGGATCTGAACAATCAACACACATTACTAACAACAGTTTATTTCCTCTAGAAACAATGCTCTTTGGAAAGAGGCTTGTGTTTATTAGTCATGATGCATGCAGAGTAACAGTCATTTTGAGATGTGGAGCATTCAGTGCAATCAAGGTATGTTTTTGCTAACCTACACAGACATATTGATAGCATTGAGGTATGATGCTAATTCCACAAGCAAATGGATCTATTGTTATGATCTTGCTGAAAGCTTAGAAATTGCTTTTATATTTAAAACCTTATTTTGAGAGCTGTCAGGCTACAGATAATACAAATTCAGTTAAAGTGTGCCAGAGATTTTTGAAGGAAATCTGAGCAGGTACAAATGAAAAAATATAATGTATATAATATGAATATGATGTATTTAAAAAAACATTTCTCGGTTAGCCTTTTAAATTACACCAAATGTGTATACATAATTAGAACAACCATATAATTTAATAGCTTGTAAACTAAAAGAAAGCTTCAAGAAATGAGAAAGCTAATTAGAAATGGGGACATGGGAAGACAATAATTTAATTAGAACTGAAATTGCCACATGCCTATAATTAAACAGTTGTGTGATAATTTGAGTGTGGCTAAATCCAGTGAAAATTTAGTCATCCACTGGAATGCTTTGTGAATGAATAGAAGTTAGCATATCTTGAAGATCCAATGAAGCAACCTGTGAATTAGGTCTGTAGAATGAAATGACTGTAAGTAAATCTTAGGGGAGAGTCAACTTGGAGTTGAACAAGAGCGTTTGAATCCTGTCTTCATTGCCTATAGTTAAATAACCTTGAGCAATAAGTAACTGGGCTTCAGGATGGATTGCTCAGAAAGCAGATTTTGAGGTAAATTCTAGCATTCAGGAT
The DNA here is from genome assembly GCF_000001405.40 of Homo sapiens. Lineage (NCBI taxonomy): Eukaryota > Metazoa > Chordata > Mammalia > Primates > Hominidae > Homo > Homo sapiens. Next base: position 76,197,973 of record NC_000008.11, read on the forward strand.
ATTTATGAAGGTGTGCCCTTGTAACGGACATTTGTAGAAAAGAGGGGAAAGAGACAGGAGTGGGTGGAGGAAGAAGTCAAGCTGCGACGCCTGTCTTGCTGAAGCCCCAGATGAAAATCACAGAACTCGGGAGCTCAAGTGGCTCTTTAGGGATAGCCAACTTTATATTCTAGCATCTATCAGTCATTGGATGAGGAGCACTGAGAGAAGAGGTTTAACCTTGGGAAAGGAGCTCTCATCATTGAGAAAGTTCCTGAGGAGCTCATACCTGAAGGCTGTCTGCTGATAGCACTCCTAACAGTGGGGGATGTGAGTGGTACATGTTGATGTCAACCAGAGTAATGGTTCTCAGCCACAGTTAGCTTTCTATAAAATGAATATAACAATACCTACAACTCATAGGTTTGTCCTGTTGGACAGTGCCTAATGAATGGTTGCAATTATTATACATTTCAAAATGGACATCATTATTTGAAGACCGACTAGGAAATCATCCTACAATTGATTACATAAAATAACATTAAAGTAATATTTTAATTACAAAAAAAGAATATGCAACTACTAAGTGTTTATTACCATTCTCCTTATTATTTATAAATATTACAAAAGTTCTAAATAGTAGGTGAATAGCATCTCAGGACATTTAAAGGGTGCAGCTAATTCTCGGCTCTCAGTGGCTCAAATATGTAGTCTGGTGCATAATCTGTAGTAGTATTGTTTGATGTACTTAAAGTAACTGCTTTGATACTGTTGAATATGACATCATAGACAATGGCTCTTGTGCCCTAGCAGAACTGCTGTCCCTTAACTTTTATTAACTCAAATATGTAATACCACTGATCTTTTTTGAAGCCCTCTGATACTTCATGGTGTCTTCTTGTACCCAAGACCAAGTCTTAATAGGTTATTTTTTCTATTCATAGTTTAGCAATGCAGGAATATTTGCTGTTTAGCTGTAAGGAGCTGACTCATTTTTTAATGGTACTGTCATTTCATAGATAGGCTCTGTTTGTACTATTTGAGTATTAGATACGATGCTATAAAAAGAAACTATATGTACTGTATACTTTTTTCTTTTTGTTGCATTTAAATATTAAGACTAAGTTTATTAAGACAATAAAGCCAATAGAGAATACATTACCAATGTGCTTCTTCAATGTTTCAGCAGCACAGTATTTTAAAGTCTGTGGGAGTCTGAAATCTTTATGTCTCACATATTATTTTGAGCAATTATCACCTAGTTAGAAATATAAAACCAGAAAAAAAAACCATGTCACACGAATTCTTTCCTTTGCAGATTCAGAGCAAAAGACTAAAGGTTTGAAAAAAAATATTGATTGATAAATGAAAAGAGTCTTCTTGCATATTCTATTTTCTTAATCGATGATACATTTCAGTGTGTTACTTTCAGAGAAAAGCAAAATTATCACTGATACATGTGATAGTATATTTGTAGTCAACTTTATCACAAAATTTTTCATGCAGAATAAATCGTTGACAATGATAAGTTGTCTTACTGCCTTGTAGCTTCACATAAAAATAGATATTTTCAGTATTTTTAAAGTGTCAAAAGTTAATCATTCTTTTGGCTTAATCATAGATGTTCAGATTTACTTTACTCTTAGTATTTTAAGTTGCCTTGTATTAATTTATCTTGACTAACAAACAATTTTATGACTGAGTCAGAATAAAACTATTTTGATCTAGATTATTATTCAATTACATCTACCTCATAATGTTCAAAGCAACTACCATAATGAAGATGGACCTGTCTTGAATGTCAAAATTCTAAACACAGAATATTTGGGGGTGGGAGGTGGACATGATTTATCACCAGTCTGAGACAACAGATGGAAAGATAGATGATTATAATAAGGATGAAAGTATCCTGAGAAAACACACATTGAAAACAAAGTTGCATAAAAACAGCCAGGATGGTGAAAGCACGGCGAGGTGTATGGAAATCAGCAATTAGTTCCCACAAACTCATGTGGGGCATCTTCTTTGGGGCAGGCCCTGCCCCACATACTACATGTGCATTTGATAGATGGTAAAATTATAGCATTAGAAAAATAGATGCAGGATTTTTTTTTTTTTTGAGACGGAGTCTGGCTCTGTTGCCCAGGTGGGAGTGCAATGGTATGATCTCGGCTCACTGCAACCTCTGCCTTCCGGGTGCAAGCGATTCTCCTGTCTCAGCCTCCTGAGTAGCTGGTATTACAGGCATCTGCCCTCATGCCTGGTTAATTTTTATATTTTTGTAGAGACAGGGTTTCACCATGTTAGCCAGGCTGGTTTTGAACTCCTGACCTTTGGTGATCTGCCCTCCTCAGCCTCCCAGAGAGCTGGTATTACAAGTGTGAGCCACTGCACCCAGTCAGATGCAGGAATTTTAACAAGGAAAGAATCTCATTCTCTCTTTAAGATTCTAGACCAAGAGACAGAGAAAATTTAGTGATGTTTCTAAGGTAACAAAGTTACTTAGTGGAATCTGAACCAAAATTCCAATCTCTTGACATCAGTTTGGTACTCATTTTCTTCACCATTCTAGATTCTATCATTATGGATATTTCTAAAAATTATATGTGGTATTTTCCAACATTAGCTTTATGTAGGACATGATAGAAGAGTCTTTCCTGGAGCATGCTCATATTAACTTGCTCAGATCCTAAGTCAACCAAACATATTAAGATGGGATTTAAAAAATAAGGAGAGGGCCTTTGTGTTATAAGATGTTTGAGAACAGTACAAAAATCACAAAAATGAAAATGTTTGTAAGAGTAGGATTAGAAAGACACATCAATGGAACCGTTTTAAAACAGGTTTTATTAGTAAGGTATGATGAGGCCAACAGATCAGGAGATGACTGGCATTGAATGACAGTTTGTAACTCACAGTTACCAAGAGAAATGGAGATGTCATGCCAGGCGGGGCCACATGAGAAGGCACTGTGATCAGTCAGGAGACATGAGTAAGGGATAATGTGGGTGGAAGCCTTTATTGTGGTTTCCAGAGGAAGGAATGGATAAGGCAGGATAAGCGGGCATGAGATTGGCCTGTTTAAATAATTTCAGTGGGCTCTGGGGTGTAGGAATTGTCTCTAGTTTTCTGGTACTGGCACCTGGAGTGATCAGGGAAGGGAAATAGTGGCCCAGAGTGTAAGCAAAATAGAGGAAGTGATGGGGATGGGTGAGCTCTGATTTGTTTGGTTTGTATAGGAAAGGCACACTTCCGGGAAAGTCATTTACTATTCCAGGAATTGGCTAGGCCTGGGACAAACAATCCCTTCAGAGTCAGCAAGTCCCCAGATGTCAAAACATCAAAAATGGTTAATACAAGAACAAAATAGAACATCTAAAATCAGAATCAAAAATACCACACATTTACTGTAAGATTAAGAGAGCTTTAAAATTAGCATGAACAGGGCTGTGAAAAATGTAGGATTTACATGTAAACTTTACATGTTGTAATATTTATATGTATCAAAATGTAATCATAATAAATAGAATTTTATTAACACAGATTAACAAGGATAAATTCCTGCCAACTGTTGTAACAGGGGCTTTCTTGCAGGGTATATCTACTTTGAGGTGTTTCCATGGAACCAATTCTGACATCTTAAAATTCCCTAGGAAAATGGCCCAAGAATGTGGAACCAGAGTAATATGAAAATACTCTTTCAAAGGTCTTCTTGTCAAAATTTTAGAGACTATCACGTTTTCTTCTAGATTAATGTGATATCATATTTATTTTATGAAAGGTAGTCTTTCATAAACTAATCCATTACTTAATAGAAGCAATAATGTTAGTATAAGTAACATGAAGACATTCTCCATTGCATAAGCTTACATCAGACCAGAATAACCCACTGACAGTTAACAGCCTAATATTCATAAATGATATAATAAGCACCCTATTATTTACACCTTTAACCTAACACAGGTATGCTCTAAGGAAGGACTGCAAAAAGTAAAAAGAACTCGACAAATCATGCCCTGCCTGTTTACCAAAAACATCACCTCTAGCATTACCAGTATTAGAGGCACTGCCTACCCAGTGACTTATGTTCAATGGCCGTGGTATCCTGACCGTGCAAAGGTAGCATAATCACTTGTTCCTTAACTAGGGACTTCTATGAATGGCCACACGAGGGTTCAGCTGTCTCTTGTGAAAGGTAGTCATTCATAAAATAAATATGATATCACATTAATCTAGAAGAAAATGTGCTGATCTCTAACATTTCAAAAAGAAGACCTTTGAAAGATTTTGGTGGAAGATATAGTTTGTTTCCAAATAGTCTAGGATCAAGAGATGATTTACCCTGATCACTCCATTAATTTAATATAACTTTTTCTTTCACTGACACAATTGCATAGTCTAGATTGCCTAAGTTCTAGTAACAACACTGTTACAGTTTCAATTTCTGGAGATTTTCACATATTATTCTCTCAAGGTGTCCAGTGGTGATATAATATTCCCACACCCTTGAATTTATTCCTTGGACGTTAAAGAACTCTGTAAACCTAGCAGAAATTGCAATGTCTGACTAGATCCATGGGAGTTCTAGTTTAGAGAAGGTCTCAGGCACTTTGTAGTAGGTCATCACTTGCACACCATGAAGAGTATTTTCATATTAATCTGATTTCACATTCTTGGGCCATTTTCCTGGGCATTTTAAGATGTCAGAATTGGTTCCATGAAAACACCTGAAAATACTCCTGTGATATACCCTGCAAGAAAGCCCCTATTACAACAGTTGGCATGAATTTATCCCCATTAATCTGTGTTAATAAAATTTATGCAAGTAAATACTTTCATCAAATGTACACACTTTGGATGAAATGAAAGGAATAAAATATTTTAACATTTCTTGAGTAATAAACAAAGTGCATTTCTTTTCAGAATATTGTTTCTTAATTTTGGTAGTAAACTTCTGAAATGCATCTTCTAATTAGAAACCTTCTTGAATATTTCACTTCAGAAACTCTGAAACACTTCAGAAAAATTCTGAAACACCATTAATTAAGAAATTAGCTCTCAAAATAAACTGTGATTTTGAATTTTTAATGCCTTTTTCTATTCCACATAATGATTCTAGTTAAGTCACAAATGGTATTTAACAGCTGTTTTATACAATTCAATATCTTAATAGCAATTAAGGCAGATTACAACCTAAATAGAATCAGTTCAAGGTATTAAATTAGGGGCAACCCCGTGCTTCAGAATCAAGTAGATGAGGAAGTTCCTGGCTGCCTGACAAGACTCCATATGCTACTAAATATGCAAAGCTAGATTGGGAGATTTTGTGTTTTGGAACTGTAGGCAGTGGCAATTCAGGAATATTTAGCACTAATGAAGAGCATCAGATCAGTTCAAGTTAATTAGCATTTATCCTTCCTCCTTCACTGAGTCCTTCTATCATGCTTCATTCAACATTAAATCTAAGCATGTACTATTAGGAATAAAAGTGGGGCCTGAATTACCTATCCTTGGAAAAAATTGGCAGCTGAACAACAGCTTTCCACATTCATTTGTCAACATTATCAATGTATTCACTTTACAGAGGCACCATTTCTGTTCTGTTTAAAAAATATTTCCTCATTTTAAACATAACATTTAAATGTAGTAATATTTAATTCATAGAATAAAATATTAATACTTCAAAATTCCAACCAACAAAATAAGGCCTGGTCTTCTATTTTTCCACTTTTCTTCCTCAACTAATATTTTAATATATTATGAATATAAAGCAGCACTTTTAATATCACAGCTCATATAATTATTTACACTGTTATTTAAATGTCTTATTTTTATAGATTGAAAGTATCATTTGTGGTCTGAAGCATATTAGCATTTTCTGAAAGGAGAAAATAATTTCCATTTGAGTGGTGTGAGTTAGAATCTATAATGTTTGTGTACTTAAATTTGTTTCTATTTCCAAACTCTTCTATTTATTTCTATTTAAATAAACAAAGTTTTTTTTAACTAGAATATTTTTTGCTTTAGATCATACGTAATATTTCCCTTTCCGGGTCTCCCTATACTTTTATATATACAAGAAGCTCAAATCTCTAGAAACTCATCTAAGGCAGAGCTATAATAAGTAGATCATTTGATTCATTAATTCCTTAATTCATTTGTTCTTTAAATATTGCTTGGTACCTTCTATTTACTATTCAGTGTAAGAACTAATCTTCCTTGAAGCATGTAAATCCAACTAAACTATTAGCTTTACCAACAATTTTATATATTTTTCACTTTTATTCTGTTTTGGGGGCTTCTTTTTCCACTCCTTTACTTAGTAAATGTGTGACTTTGGACAAGTGAATCAATTTAGTGAGCCCTCACTTTTCTTACAGAATTTGGAGGATGTATGAAATATGCATGAGGAAGTGATTTTAAATTTAAAAACTAAACGTAAAGACTATTATGAGATTATTATGAGATTGTTTTACCCAATAAAGGGTATCTGGATTACTATTATCACAACTATCACCATGATATGCTCAACGAAAGCTTCTGTGTATTAAAAAAAAAAAAAAAAAAAAAAAAGCCTGGTAATTGTTAAGAGAGAGGGAGAGAAAGGACGGTGGGAGAGTATGAAAGTGTAGTGTGGTAGCGTTACGTTTTATCAATCCATTAATATGCTTGATTTGTCATTCTTTTTATTTTAAAAAGGTCTATTCGCAGCCAGAAGATGTCATTAAAACCCTTTTCTATAGCTGAGTTGGGTAGGTTGAAGTGATCTGTTCTAACGTACTTTAAAATATGTGTTATTGTCTAGGCCAGAGAATTTTCCCTTCATTATCACCTCATAAAACAACTATGAGAGGAGACTACACTTCTTACTCTAATGCAGTTGTAATGAAGTGAAAGTTTTCTGGTTTGCTTTTGGATTCTTCCTCACAGAATTTTGCAACCCAAGCCAGCACACACCTTGGCTCATGTATTAGCTCATTTTTCTTTCCCCAAAATTAAAGTTCAGAGACTAGAGAGATCAAACGAAAACATGGAATTCTTAAACAATGTGTGGCTAGTCATATACTGCGAAAATTACTGAATTTCACAAAAAGAAAAATTCCTGTTAAGTTGTAAGAAATCTTCATAATAATAATAACTTTTATCAGGTTAAATATAAACATTTCAAAGGATACTAATAGAAGCTCTTTTACCATCAATGTGTACCATATTCTTGAAATCAGATAAACTAATTGTAGTCTCAAAAATATGTTTAAATTGATGAACTACTTCTAAGGAACTAGAAACTATTGACAAGTAAGACCGAATATTTGTGTTGTAATGTCTACATCTGTCTTATTCTGTTATACTAATTGAAAATCATTACTAGTTTAAACTCCACTAGAGAATTATCATTGGCAATAGTGAAATTTTTGTTGGTTTTATCCTGGACTCTTACTAAAACACCTTAATCTAAAACGTTATATGAGTTAATCATAATCTCTATTAAGTGTTTAGAAAGAAAATGAAGTAACGCCTTAAAGCACCTCTTTTATGCACTAGCAATTTCTGCAGCACAGATTTTACAAACATGCCCCTTCACTGCCCTCAGAAAAATTCTACTTTCTTGATAACGATCACATTGTAAGCTGCTGAAGTATTTCTTTAAAAAACACACAACCACAAACTCATGTAGCATGAAACTGTGATTTCTACAGATATTTCACAGAACAACTTGTACAATATTAAAGATATATATATGTATATATATATATTTCCAATTTGTGAACGTTAAAGAGATGGTTGGTTGCACACAATTGTGAAACTGTTTATCCTTTATTTTGCTATTTACATTTTAGTATTTAGGTATTAATTTAGGAGACAAATGGAAAAAAGAATTAGAAGAGTAGCCAGAAAAGGTGAAATATTTTAACGTCACATTTTCTTGCTTTCTCTAAGACATATGTTTCTAGATTCATTTTCTTTTTGACTTCCCGAGTAAATGCCACTTCATCTTTGATGATCACTTATCAGTTCAATGTGAATTTACAGTGTATCTATTTTCCTAAGTTTTAAAAATACATTAAATATCTATTATGCTTTAATAACAAATAAGATCTTTATTGAATTAAGGCAATTTAAAACTTTTGTGAAGACCTCCAAGGATTATATACATTGGAAAATATTGTCATATCAGAAAAATGTATTGCATTTGTGTCAAATTCAATATAATTTCCAAATAAGTGACAGGCTTAATAGTGGATTTGAATATTCTTCCTAAATTGGAAGAAATAAAAGATACTATAAAAGGATTCTTGTTCCTGACAGTATCAGCTTTAGAAAGGAAAAACATATCCTAATTGATAAAATTGTTTATGGACTTTATCATAAGTTATACATTATATAATATTTGTGAGTGCTAGAGGATCTACCTAAATGTTATAGGAAAATGGAGCTGTCCAAGGCAAAGAACCTGGTCATGCACTCAGACGTATTCAATTGTGTTTGAAGTGCTAGCAGTGCAGTCTATTGGAGATCTAAAATATATAAAATATATTACTAAATATATGGAATAGTCATTTCATTGTAAAAATAGATGAATATTGACCATTTTTTGGCTCATACTAATGTCTTCACTTGGAGACTAAAAATCTCATGTAAAATAAATCTTCATTAGGTAAAAGAAAGTCCAGAGAGAGAATACTTTTGAATAAGTTTCAATTTGTGTTAAAACTTAGGAGTGAGAGGTCTGAGAGAAAAGAAGAGCTCTGTTTACAACAGTGTACTTAAGAAAGACCAAGGCACAAAGCAGCACTGAGTTATGGACCAAAGTTTTGTGGAAGTTATTTATCCACTTCAGTATGGGAGTTGGAGTGAAACAGTGCAGCAATATCATGAGCTAATTCCTATATTTATTTTACTTTTACGGTATGGTTAATTGCTTTGATGGTTATTCACTTAACCTTTTATTAATTTATTCATTTGTTCAGTAAATATTTACCAAGCTTCTACTATATACTAGGAAAAAAGAAAGGTGCTAGGGATATACTTGGAAACAAAGTGCTTAATTTTTTTCATATTGTGTGATAACTCAAAAAAATATAAGATTAGAATTAATGTGAAAAATACTATAATGAAGCCAGGGTAAGATACTAAAAGAGTACGAAGAAAGGGCATATAACTAAAGTGGAGCATTGAAAAGTTTCTTAGAAAAAAAGATATCTGAGAGAAGGGTTAGAATGTTTAAAAAGACAGAGCAAGAGTGTGCTGGTCAATATCTAATTTCAATGTTCGAAATAGAGAACAATAAGAAATGGTCCCAGAAAAATTCAATAATATGCATAATTTACATAGTTTTGGAAATCACATTCACAACATTTGTATTTATCTTAAGAGCAAAAAGAAAAACACCAAATTAATCCAAAGAGATTGCACTGTGGTGAACAGACTGAAAGAAAGCAAAACTAAAGCAGAAAACTGGCTAAAAGTCAGCTGTGATAACCCTCAAGTATAATGGCCCACGCCCTTTCATTAGCAGTAGGAATAAATATAAAGGAATGGATATAAAGCTCAGTGTTTAATCAAATGGGTTTGGTTACTAATTTGTTGATGATGGTAAGGGAGCTTAAAGAGTCAAAAATATATAAAGCCAGGCATCTGCTTGAAGAAACTGTGATATTTATCTCATGATGAACCAAGGATGGATTGCAATTCTTCACCCTCAAAATGATGTTCTTTAAGTTGTGTTTGTTCTGAGATATCCCTATGCTGACTCTGTCATTCAACCAAATTCTGCATTGGTTTTGCTCCACTATCTTACACTGTCCTCTATGGGGACCTATGTGAGAACATTTATGTCCTAGTACTGAGATAAAGGTCTCTCTCTTTCTCTCTCTCTCTCTTTCTCTCTCTCTCTCTCTCTCTCTATCTCTCTTTTCCTCTCCTCGCTCTTACTTTTCCCCTTTGTTGGACAATCAATTTTAAATCTCTCTCGTTCTCTATCTCCCATGGATTGCTAGTAAACTCAAAACGCTACCACTAGCAAAAAACGAGCAGGGAGAACTTATTAATCTTAGTCATGATTTTGGTTTAATTTCCTATCCTAATTCTCTCTTTGCCTCAAATTCCTTTCCTATTTGTTTTTCCTGTTTTATTATTTTGGAATGAGATCCAGATAAAGTAGGAAAAATACAAAACTTAAAGTCAAAAGATGTAAGTATTACCTTGACATTTTGTGAATCATTTATCCTTTGTGAGGAGATAAATAGTAACAACAGAAATTATGATACGGTTGAAATGAGGTGATAAGTTGCAATGTGGCCTGGCACATGATAGACTTTCAGCAAATGTTGGTTGAACCTGACTCTACGATGTCTGGATTAAGATAATTGTAGGAGGTCCTTAAGATCCTCTATTGGAATCATTATTTGGTGGCCCTGTCCTCCTCCTACTTAGATTATAATCTGCATCTCTATTTCACTCTCTAAATTAGTTACAGCCCTGAAAAAAAGTACAAAACTTCTGAACCCCCATAAAATGACTCTTTTAATCTTCTAACTAGTACATGCACTTAGGGCCTCTGATAAATATGCACTCCATAGCCATCTTGGATTTAACCAGATATGACCTACTTACTCAGTCTCAGTCTTCATTCCAAATTTCTTGGATAAAGAAACCATTTCCTTTAACTCTGGTTAAAAGACAAATTATCTGATTGGGAGATAAAGAGAAATAAGACAAAACAAAAAAGATCTAACCTAAAGGATTTTGTAATAAATGTGCATGCTAACAATTGCTAGAGAAGTTACTGTTTTATGATTATTACCATACTCTGTCTTATACTGATATATCTTAAATCTATTTTTACTTGTAGTACTAAGATATAAACCTTGGAGGTGCTTTTTCAAGGTAGCTGACCAAAAACTATCTGAAGAAATTGTGCCCAGAGTGTTATGGAGAGCTGCTGCTACTGCTGCTGAAGCACTGAGAAAATATCTGGACCCCTGTATTAGAAGTGATCCTTCACCAACCTTCCTGTCAGACACTGTTATGACCTCCACTGTAACTCCCATCCCTGTTTTACAAGGTCACTCCTGGAAGCCCATATCTCCCCTTTCCCTCCTCTTAATATTTTATTAATATTTCCCTCTCTTAATAGTTTTTCTAAACTTCAGTCTTCTCAGCCTTTGCAGAACTTCTGGATCCTCTGGAAGTTCCAATTTGTGATCAATTAACTTTTTCATGTGCCTTAGTCCATTCTGTGCTGCTATAACATAGTACCTAAGACTAGATAATTTATAATGAAATTTACTGGCTTCCAGTTCTGGAGACTGGGAAATCTGAGATCAAGGTGCTAGCACCTCATGGTGACCTTCATTTCATGGTGGCAGGAGAAGGGCAAGTAAAAGCAAGAGGGAACCAAACTTGCCCTTTTATAACAGCACCAACACCGCCCATGAGGCTGGAGCCCTCATGGCCTAATCACTTCTTCAAGGTTCCACCTTTTAATACTGCCTGGCGATTAAATTTAAACATGAGTTTTGTGGGGGAACAAACATTTAAATAATAGCAACATAGTTTTAGTTTTTTATTTGCCAACTCCTTTCTTTAACTGAAATGAGGTATTTCCTAAAATCGCTGCTTCCCTCTAAGTCTTTTCAAATGGAAGCTACTTTTCCTGTCAGCAACCTGACATTTCCTAGCAGGAAGTTGAAGTATGTGTCTGATCTGCTCCCTAGAGCTCTTTTAAAGGTATAGATTTTTCCTGTAAAACCTCTTTTGAGGCTCCTATCTTCAAGATGGAACATTCCCTCTCCATTCTTATTGCTGGTCGTTAATTTAAATCTCACTGTCATTTATTTAAATCTCGAACTCTTGACTCAAAATCTTCATAGTATCTCAGATCTTGCAGCTTTTTATCTCAGAACATTGCAGAACCTGCCAATGTTCTGGCTACTCACTTGGTTCCAGCTACTTTTCACACACACACACACACACACACACACACACACACACACACACACGCAAATAGAATGACAGCTAAAAAATTGGTATGAATAATTACATGGCATTCATGAGTCTTAAGTACTAGATATGAGCCTCTGTAAAGACATAAAACAACTTAAATAATCAAACCTTAGCTTATTGTGTCATGCTGGATTGGAGTGTTACAATGCTCTCCCAATTTACATAGATATACAAGTAGTTCCACCTCTCCTCATGACTCCTGAGCAACACATGTCCTCTTGCTTTCATCTTTACACTGCCCCATCTTTCACTCACCCTCCTGAGAGTATAACTCCACCCTTGCTTAGGTATTCTTTATACAGCAGAAGCAGCATTTTTTATCATCATGTAATTTCACAGTGAATGAGCCATTTCCTTGTTGATATTGGAACATGCCTGCACAAGAACCTTATTTTCAGGACCTTTCACCTGCCCAGTGTGCCAGTCACAGCCACTGGAGAGCTAACTTTTCGGAAAAACAACCTATATATAACAAGAGTTATAAATACTTCTCTTCTACCTAGTTTTTGGAGATGAGTTGTCAAGAAATACGTGTTGGGGTTAATGAAGACGAGCACTTTACAGCTCCTGGCAAGGGTTAATGATCCCACAGATGTTTCTTTAGTTCTAATTATTACGGCCATTTAACGTGTTGATGATGACTCCTAGATTTATATTTTTTCCACTTCAATTGCTGTCTCCATACATGAAGGCTTCAAAACATATATGAAGGACACAGCTTACACACTGATCTGTACTTCTTCATCCCAATGACTGTTTCCTCCATTCCATCTCCATTTCTCAAGGAAACAGTTTTAGATTCATCTAATTTCTAAAATCTCTGATGCTAAAACCCCACTCTCCAATTAAAACATCTTTCCTTCCTGCTTTGCAAGTGCCCCTTCCATAAGAATATTTTGTCTCAATGCAAAAATCCATTGCATTGAGATGCATCCATGTACATCCCTACCACATTCTTCTCCCAATTTCTCAATGTACTTCATTATTTTTCCCCTGCTGAAGTTGTAATAAATTCCATTATAATTACTCCTTTGCTAATATCTTCAGCTCTCTTATTCCATTTCCCTTGATGAAATATACATAATATTTATTTCTTTAGATGAAAATTGGGAAATATTTTATTTAATCTCTCTCATAGACAGACAAGCCCTTCTTATCTACTTAACCAAATAGAAACAGGAGTTTGGTAGGTTATCATTTTAAAAACTAGAGAATGGCTGCAGCATTTGCTTCCTGTTTCTCTTCATCCATCCATTTACCTTAGTGTCTCTCCTGTTGAACTTGCAAGTTCTGCTTCTCCAAGTCACAATGAGTCAGGCTTGTTTGTCATTGTTTATTGTTCCTGTCTGGCTTTAGGATCTGCCCGTATTGAATATACTATCCTTTCTTTTTTCACTTCAAGCACTTCTAAGGGCAGTTTTGATAAGAGTTCAGGCTATTCTGCTTTTTGGTAGGATTAACGTAAATATTTGCATTCAAGACATTCTTTCCATTTGCTTCTTCTTATGGGATGATACTAAATGCTGCATTGCACTGATACAGCACATACATATTTTGTTTTGTTTTATAAGGAACTTCTGATACATTTCTGAGTTGGATTTTTAGAATTCAAGTATTACTGAACAGAAAATTTTGATATGAACATAAACTTCTATAATTTCCACTACCCACAAATATTTGAAAACTTATTATTGAATTGAATCTTAAGCATCTTATCCATTTCTTTTGCTTTTGTTTTATTGTGAAATTGAATCTGTTTACTCTCTGCATTAACACAGGTTAAGGAAGTCCCTCCTCCTTGTCTCACAAGTTTTCACATTCCTCTTGTTTTTCTGTCATATTTTGATGTCTTCACTCAACGTTGGGTAGACTCAGCTGCATATTATCTATTTATCTTGATTCTTAAGTTGGAAGTATTTCTGGGGGAAAAAGCATTTAAGGTGGTAACATTCTAAATTTGTGCTAACCAATCTTAGTTGAATACTAAAAATGATTCTACAGTCTTTGGCTCAATTCTAATTTACACATCACCTGTTCCAATCATCTTGCTTCAAGCCCTCAAACATATACTATATTCCATATCTCTAAGCAGATACTTTAATCTCCTGCTATACTGAAAATTTTGATGAGAGTCAACCTCAACTCTTTTCCCTTATTATTAAATACTCCTTGTATATAATCACCATTGTGTACATCAGAGAAAGACAAACCATTCCTTTTTAAGGCAAGGCCTTCTATTTGTGATTATTGATGTCATACTAGTCTCTCAATACTTCTTCAATAGTTATTTCCTCTGGCTTTCATGTATAACTATTTTACCCAACTCTTTTCCATAAGTCTTCAAATAGTTTGACTTTTCCTTATGTTAGCACTTCTTGGGCCATGATATCTCCTGGATCTATTCTATATTCCAGTCTTCTCAATTCCTATTAGCATCGAGTGACATAGTTGAACCTCTTCTTTCTCTGACTTCTCTGCCCTGCCTTCTACCAACCTGGACTCTCTTGTCTTCCCAAATTTATGATGTTTTTCCTCAATCTACCTCCCATTCTTGCCTCCAATATTGTCTCTTTTAAAACACTTCACTTTGGTTTGTAATTTCAGACATTTGTCAACGTTTCAACTGTCATTTCCATGCAAAAGTCTATGAAAAATTTGTCTTCTTTCCTAATACTCTGATCTATGTTTTCACTGCATTCTGGAGTGCTTCTCATGAGTCATTGGAAGAACTTTCAAACTCAGTGTTTTCCTTTCAAACTGTTCCTTCTCCTGGTTTCCCAGTCTCAGGCAAGAAGACTGCCATCCTCTTTCTTTACACAATTACTTGAAACCATCAGTTCTTCCTTCTCAATGTCTTTGCATTCACCCTCAGTTTTTCAATAGCATAGATTAGATCTCCATTGTCACTTGTACATAATAGTTTACATGTTCCTCACCTAAATACCTTAAGTGATAGGCTAAAAATGAATAAAACAAGACTAAAACAAAATAGAAGGAAAAAATCGTTTAAATGAAAGACCTTTTTGTTCCTTTGTTTCGATCAGATATATTTTATTTTATTCATAAACTTCATATTTTTTTTTTTTTTTGAGATGGAGTCTCGCTCTGTCGCCCAGGCCGGACTGCGGACTGCAGTGGTGCAATCTCGGCTCACTGCAAGCTCCGCTTCCCGGGTTCACGCCATTCTCCTGCCTCAGCCTCCCGAGTAGCTGGGACTACAGGCGCCCGCCACCGCGCCCGGCTAATTTTTTGTATTTTTAGTAGAGACGGGGTTTCACCTTGTTAGCCAGGATGGTCTCGATCTCCTGACCTCATGATCCACCCGCCTCGGCCTCCCAAAGTGCTGGGATTACAGGCGTGAGCCACCGCGCCCGGCCCATAAACTTCATATTATCACTCATCATTTCAGAAAAACTTGAAAACAACCTAATTGTGAAAAAAGTGACTCTAAATATTACCCCATATAAAACACCAGTCAGTTAGCTAAGTACAATTATAATTACAAATTTTTGTAATGGCAGACAACAGAAAGTATTCTGATTAAAAATCTTCCATCATTTACCTCTTGAACAAACTCATTCCTAAAACCCCATTTTCTCTACATAAGTTGACAAAGAAAAAAAGTGTGCCCTAGCTCTTGCTCTCTTTCTCATTGCTCTCTCTTCCCTTTCATTTAGAAGAAAACATATCATTTTTGGTAAATTGCACTTATATTAAGAGGGGAAAGATTGAAGTTTGGAGAGCAGATAGATGGGATGTTTTTCAGAGACAACAAGATAGAGAAGAAGAATCTTTAAACCTCTAAACCCTCAACTTTCACATCTGTGTCCCACTACAATTCTGTGTCTGAGTGTACCTCAAAATGTGGAACTTTTAGAGGCAGAGAAGTTGCTGTAGTTCATCTGCTCAAGAGGGCTAACAACTCTGAAACTGAGAGGTAGAAGTGAGGGTAGAAGTAGAACAAAGAGACAGAGACAGAGCAAAGTAATCATCTCACACTGAAATGTCACACACATATCCCAACGTAAGTACAAAGGGAAGAGCCAACGTAAGTGAAGAGCCTCAGTTGTGACACTGAGCATTGAATCTTTCCTGAGAGATCACATGCCAGATGAACAGACAAGTATGAAGTGCAGTAAAGATGCACAGACCAAGTTTCTTTGTTTGATCAATATTGAAAAAAAAACCTAGCTATGAGAATGTTTGTAAATAAAGGGATTCCATTACTATTTCTTCCTCAAAGCTTGTTTACCAAACATAGAAAGCATCCAATCCAAGAATTGCTCCAAAATAATAGTTGAATGGCCATATTTTAATACAAATTTGCTATAGTTTCTAACACCTGGTGATGATGTAATGTCTCAGGTTCCGCTGTTGAAAGAGGATGTTACAGAAAGTCAATCCAAGTAATTTCTGTGTCTCAGCTCATAGCTCTGTTTGCATATCTCTCTCCCTTGAGACGGAATGCTTTGAAAGCAGAGATTATAACTTACTTATTCTTGTATGTAACCTATTGTGTCTGGCACAATATCTTGTATAATAAATGTGCTCATACACAATTATTAAATCTAAATATGTTTTCATAATTAAAAAGATAAGTTTTGCCGCAGAAATGAAATTCAAAATACAAAAATTTTAAATGTTGCAAAATATCTTCAAAGTCAATTTCTATGCCATTGTTTATTTTCATGGATGAGTTAGTGAATTTTACTTGTAACTTTCTTGCTGTAATATCAGAACACAGATGATGATATTGCTCTCCTTTGGTATTACCAAAAAATCATTTTAAAAGTGTAAATTATTGAATTCATAAAACAAGCCACTTCAGACTATCATTCTTATTTTGTTTATAAAATATTAGTCATTGATAGGTATAAATAATCTACTAAGCATACATTGAATAAATATAAGTGAAGTTCTAGTAGCTTTAAGTATTTAATTTAGTCTGACAGTCTACAGAACTAAAATTAACTTTTTTTTTTTTTTTTTTTTTTTAGACAGGGTCTTCTCTGTTGCCCAGGCTGGAGTGCAGTGGCATGATCTCGGCTCACTGCAGCCTCTATCTCCTGGGTTCAAGTAATTCCTCTGCCCTAGTCTCCAGAGTAGCTGGGATTATAGGCGCACACCACCACACCTGGCTAATTTTTGTATTTTTAGTAGAGATAAGGTTTCACCATGTTGGCCAGGCTGGTCTCGAACTGCTAGCCTCAAGTGATCCACTCGCCTTGGCCTCCTAAAGTGCTGGGATTACAAGTGTGAACCACTACGCCTGCCCGGCCAACTTTTCAAAACTCTAGAGATTCCAATTTTCCCAAATTTGGATCTTACATTATCATTTAAATTACTGTATTTTTCTTGTAGATATTTTTATTTTGTCTTCATTTGCTACTGGATTTATTCATTCATTTATTCAACAAATATTTACTGATTGTGTTTATACACACATATACGTGTGTGTGTGTGTGTGTGTGTGTGTGTGTGTATATATATATATATATATATATATATATGTATATGTTACTGAGTTTATAACATGGAAAATACACATTCCTTGCCCTTACAGTTTAGATTGGAGCCAGACAAACAAACAATTGGAATACGCTGTGTCAGCTGCTTCACTGGAGGATGAAAGATACACAGAGGAAGCAGATGCCCTCTGCCAGGCTGCCCAAGGCCTGGAATGTTTAATGGGGACGTTCACAATTGAATTGAGACCATGTAATAAGTGAGATTTTGTCAAGATTAATCCAAATGGGGTATCACAAGGAAGTACTCTCCAGGTGGAGTTCCATATAAAGGCTCCTAGCCAAGGGTTGAGGGAAAAAAATAAGGCTAAAATGTGACTCTGTGTCCATTTTCAAGGCCATCTTCCCTGGAGTACAGCTGATTTAAACCAAATAGAGAGGCCCTTTTTCTAATTTATTTGTTCAGAGTAAATATCTTGTAGTCCATCTGTCTGTGGGTAGGTGGGTGGTGGGCAGGAATTTTAAGGATCATATATATAAGGCAACCTACATGGCATCAGAAGACATGGACAACTCCTTGCAAAAAAAAAAAATGTACAGGCAGGGAGGCAGCAGAGACTGTGGTATTCAGGGTCAGAAAAAAGTGGCGAAGGAAGGAAAAGGAATACATGATTTGAAATACATCAAAGAGGTGAAGGAATTTTGGAATTTTAAAATATCCGTTAAATTTTGTAACAGGGCAATTATTGATGAACTTAATTAGCATGAACATGTTCACTGGAGTGGTAAGGGGCGAACCTAGTTGCAGTAGATAGTGTGGTGGTGGCAGTGAGGCAGGAAATGTGGTTAAAAAAAAAAAAGAGAGAGAGACCAAAAGCTGCAAGGGGCAGGTTTGGTGAATATTATGTTACACATGTGTATCAAATAATTCAAGATATAGAACATTTCCAGCTCCATAGAAGACCCCAATTTGTCTACTCCCAGTCAAAACCTCCCATCCCAAGAACACAACCACTATACTCACTTCTGTTACTATAGATTGCATTTGCCCTTTCTTTAACTTCACACACGCAAATGGCCTCTTTTTCTCAAATGTTGATCACAAAATTCATCCATCCAAAATGTGTTCTTTTCCATTCCATCGTATGAATATATTCAATAGTTTTTAGCCACTAGTTTCTTAGTCATTATTGATAAATAATTCTTAGTTATTACATTTATTACCCATTCTTGGTTATTACAATCAGTGCTACCATTAATTCTTATAGCCTATCTTCTGGGAGCTATGCACCCATTTCTTTGGGGTATACATCTAAGAATGAAATTGTTAGACCATAATGTAGGCATATATTTATCTTTAATAGAGAAATGCCAAAGCTTTCCAAAATGATTGCGTTCATTTACACTTCCGCCAGCAACCTATGAGGGTTGATATGTATCTTTGCCAACATTTGTGTTTTCCATCTTCTTCATTTTAGCCAGGCTAGTTGTTTCTCTATTTCATTGTTGTTTCATTCATTTTTCATTCATATCTTTCTGAAAGCTAATAATGTTAGTGTTCTTTTGTGAAATGCACATTCAAATCTTTTGACCATTTTTCTATTTGGCTTTCTCTCTTTTTATTATTTAATTTTTTTTTTTTTTTTTTTTTTTTGAGACGGAGTCTCGCTCTGTCGCCCAGGCCGGACTGCGGACTGCAGTGGCGCAATCTCGGCTCACTGCAAGCTCCGCTTCCCGGGTTCACGCCATTCTCCTGCCTCAGCCTCCCGAGTAGCTGGGACTACAGGCGCCCGCCACTGCGCCCGGCTAATTTTTTGTATTTTTAGTAGAGACGGGGTTTCACCTTGTTAGCCAGGATGGTCTCGATCTCCTGACCTCATGATCCACCCGCCTCGGCCTCCCAAAGTGCTGGGATTACAGGCGTGAGCCACCACGCCCGGCCTTATTATTTAATTTCTTGGTGTCCAGTATATATTCTGAATATGTACTTTTTCAAAATTTAAAATATAAAATATGAAAAATATATTGCAAATATATTTTGTCATATCATGACTTGCCTTTCCCAGGTCTTAATGGTGTTTCCATAAAAAGAGAAATTTTTAATTTTAACTTTAACAAAGTGCAACTAATTAATATTCTTGTGTCCTGTTTACTGTGTCTTTTTTTTTCAGCTCAAATTTATGAAAGTATTTTTCTGTTTTTCTTAAAAAAACTTATTCTTTTGCTTTTTATAGAAAAGCCTACAATCTTTCTGTGATAAATTTTGTAATATGGTATGATGTATGGGTCATGTTCTCTCGCTCCTCCATATAGATATCCAAGAGAAACAGCATCATTTATAAGAAACAAATCCTTGGACAACTGTTTTGCAGCTGTTTTTGTGGCACTATGTGGGTGGGTCTATTTCCACCTTGCCTATGCTGATTTCCTTGTCTATTTGTCTATTCTTGTATGAATACTATACTGTAACTTTAAACGTTACAGTAACTCTTTAAGTCAGGTAATATATGTCCTCCTCCGTTATTGTTTTTTTCAATATTACATTAGCTATGGTTGGCCCTTTGCATTTCTACATAAATATTGGAATTACAGTCTGCACATAGAACTTGAATAAACTGCTGAGATCCTTTTTATGCGTAGAGAATTTTAAGACAGCTTGGGTAGAACAGTAGTGAATTTTCCTATCCATCAAACTGAGTTCTTTATCCAATTTATTTCTATATAATTACTACATAATTTTATGTAAAGAATATCTTGTAATCGCATTGTTTTCTATTTATTTATTTCTTATTTTTTACTTCATCATTTCTCCTTTATCGAATTATTGTAAACTAATAATGTATTTTTATTAAATTTTTCTTATCAATTTAATACATATTCACTTACAATATCTAACCAGATATAACTAAGAGATTTTTCAAATAAATGAGTGTAGAATTTTGTCAAATGCCTTCTGTATATCTATTGGGTTGTGAATGATCTTTTTGTTTTTCTCATTAGTGAGGCAAATTACATCAGTTGATTTTCTAATGTTAAGCCAACTTTGATTTTGTGGTATAAATCTACTTTTTCATGATATATTATCCTGTTTCTATATATTGACAGATTCTATTTTTCATAGTTTCTTTAAGAATTTACATCTATACATGACATCTAGACATGAAACGGGTAGGCCCTTTTTTTTTTTTTTGAGACGGAGTCTCCCTCAGTCGCCCAGGCTGGAGTGCAGTGGCACAATCTCCGCTCACCCCAAGCTCGGCCTCCCGAATTCATGCCATTCTCCTCCCTCAGCCTCCCTCGTAGCTGGGACTACAGGCACCCGCTACCACGCCAGCTAATTTTTTTGTATATTTAGTAGAGATGGGGTTTCACCATGTTGGCCAGGATGGTCTCCATCTCTTGACCTCGTGATCCACCAGCCTCGGCCTCCCAAAGTGCTGCTTGTATCTGACACCTTATGTGATGTTTCAGTTCCTATCACTGGCCACATAGGAAGCGTTGAATACTGTGTGAAATTGATGCTTCTTCTTCTTTAAATTTTTTGAAGAGTTCACTATTAAAATCATCAAGGCCTGGATTTTCCTGTATGGGAAACATTCTAAAACCAGGTTCATTTTTCTTTCATTGGTGTAGGATTCCTCAGCTTTTCAATTCTTCTTGTATCAATCTTTTTATTTCATTTTTTTCCATTATCAGTTGATTTGTTGTTTAATATTCTTTTGCAGTTACTTTAAGATTTACAGCATGTATGTTGCAGCATGTATCAAAACTTCATTCTTTTTTTGTTCCCAAATAATATTCCATTGCATGGATATACTCAATTTTATCTATTCATTGCTCAGTTGACATTTGACTTGTTTGCACTTTTTCTTTACCTTCACCTTGAAGAATATTTTCACCGGGTATGGAAACTGGAGGTTGATAGTTTTGTTTCTTTTGTTAAGGACTCTAATATGCCATTCCACTATTTTCTTCTTTTCATTGTTTCTGTTGGGAAATCAGTCGTCAATATTTCTGGTTTAGTGTTGACGGTATTTCTGAGGTTCCTGTTGAGGATCTGGAATGTTTTTCAGTGTGGAGCTTGAACTCTAACCACTGCTACTGTAGCACCTCACAACTATTGAAACCTTTGCTTGTCACTTTGGGATCCCACCTACTGCTTTCTGTTAGTTGTTTCTCTGCTCTTAACTTCTGCCTGTGCAGTTTAAGGGTAAGCAAGCATTTTGAGGGAAATTTTTGCTTTTCTATGGTTTTCTCCTCTATAAGATTTCCCACCTCAAATATCAGTTGCTTTAGCAGCCACTAATTTTAAACTCTTTTGACTATTCCCAGAGAGTCTGCCTCTTTTTTGAAAAAACTCTACTCTCCTATAGCAAGAAGTGATGAATCACCCCTGATCAAAAGCAGGTGCTAATGCAGAGCTCAAGTCTGCATGCCCTGTTACCTGTAAAATTATAGCTCCTGAAATCCTCCTTGCATTGCTTCTTCTGTAATGTTTCCAAGTAGTTTTGTTTTGTATTTTGTTTCTCTTTTGTAGTAGTATCTGGGGGAAAATTAATCTGATACAAATAGCACTTATAAACTTGGAACTGGAAGTTAATCTACACTTTCTAAGAGCTTGGTTCTAAAGCAGAGTTATATGGAGATAAGTCTAGAGAGAACACTGAATTGGGAAGTAAATAAAAGTGGAAGATATGTCAGCATACTTATATAATAAAGGAGTCAGTGAAAAATGAAAGGCTGAGTACTCAGGAATGAAGAGCTCATATGAATAAATTAGTATCGCGTTAGAGAAGTTGCTTCTCATAGAACAATTTCTGAGATTGATGCCAGTGCTAATAGATGAACAAATGGAAGAGCAGAACATCGAGGTAGTTCATGCCTTATAATCTCTATTTTCTGTGCTAAATAACAATAAAAGCTGTTGTTCTGAATAAGAAGAGAGGGGTGGTAGAAGAAAGAAGTCTTGGAATACTAATGAAGCTTTACATGCTGCGATGATGAAGTGGAAGCTGGCCAGAGACATTTGATTGAATTGCTGAGTTTTATTGAAGGGCAAGACAAACATCATGCCATAAGTTAAAATATTATAGCTCAGCTCTGAAAGCTCTTGTAGCTCTTTGGCCACAAGAACATGACCATAACTGTCTTTTTCCCTTTGTTATCTCATCTTGTACTTAGGCTATGGTCATATAAGAATCTACCCTGAGAACTTTGGGGACTGAATCATATTAGTTTTAATTTTTTTTTTTTTTGAGACAGGGTCTTCCTCTGTCACTGCAGCCACCCTACAGTGGCACAGTCAGAGTTGACTGCAGCCTTGAACACCTGGACTCAAACAGTCCTCCCTACTCAGCCTCCCAAAACCCTAGGATTACAGTGAGCCACTGCACCAGCCCCAATTCTAATTCTTGAGAGTCACTACTGGAATTTCTGAGTTAGCTACAGATTATAGCTAGATAATATAGACAGCAGTGAATGTGATGCTAGGGTCCCACTTGACATTTTAATTTCACAAAATTGGTTCCTTGTAAATAATGTGTGCTTTATTTAGTCTTAATATGTCATCCTTAAAGGAAGAATGTTACATGTTAACCAACTAATCTATTCTAATGCCTGTTTTCTCCTACCTACTCTACTCCACCCGGGACCCAGACAGTTCTTACCCAACTCCTTTAAGATTTTGTCAGAAGTAGAGGATTAAGTGTGATCTTTAAAAAGTATGCTTTTAATGATTATGAATGCAATGGTTTTATTTTGCTTATCAATATAAACTTTAGAAATATTAAGAATTAAAACATCCTGATGGCAAGATCCAATTTTCATTATATTTTATTTACTGAAAATAGTGTATGCTGAACAATACTAATTCAATGTGATTTTTTTCTTTACACATGGTGTATTAATCATAGACCCCATTGCATAGCAAACAATCTCCAAATCTAGTGGCTTAAGGCAGCAATCATCTACTATCATTCACATGTCTGTGGGCCAGCTGTGGGGTTCAGCTGCTATGGATTGTGTCCAGCTGGGCAGCTTTGCTCTACATCCTCCTTGGACTAACAGGCTAGTAAGTGCAAATTCTTCTTATGGCAGTGGCAGTGGTGCAAGACAGCAAGCAGAAACTTGTGAGACCTCTTATGGCACAGGTCATAACTGGGATACTGTCACTTGTGCTTATTTATCATTTCCTAAAGCAAATCACATATCTAAGCTCAAAGCTCAGGGAAAGGGACATAATACCACACCTGTCATGAGGCCATGGCAAAAGAGTTGATGAATGGAGGGGTGAAAACTGGGGCCAATCATGCAATGTACTTGCCCTCCTCTCCCAATTTCTCATTCAGGTCTCAGGATCCTTCCTAGAAGTTACTCTTTCTTTGTGTAGGGAGAACCAAAATGCAGAGGCTTGTTTTATTGTCGTCATTTTTTTTTTTCAAGCATAAGGATCACCTGGAGCATAAAGGTCTTCTCTAACACAGAGTGGTATTTATGTTCCAGACTACCCTTGAGCTAAGCTTATTTATTGTCATACCTGGAACTAAAGTGAGAAACAATATAACAGAATGATGAAAGAGAATAAGCTTTACAATTAGAAAGACCTGGATTACAGTCCCAGCTCCAGGATGTTTGAACTGTCAACTGTGCCGCTTGGCCTTCATAAGTCTGTCTTCCTCATTGTTGAATAAGAATATCAATAGTGCTTACTTCTTTTTACCTCTATGGGGATCTTGAATTAAATAAAATAACAGGCACATGGCTAGCATAGAGTCAGTGATCAAGAATGATAGTTATAATTATTTCCACAGAATCAGTCCCAGAATATAGAGGACTGGTGTACAGAAGTAATAAATTACTCTCGTGATGAGAGTGAGAATGCCTTCAAAGAGGTAATGATATTTGATATGATGTTTGAAGGATTTTGCTGGTCAGTGAAATTATTAAAGGGCAATTTAAGAATTGATTATTAGATTACATTAATAAGAACGGTAAAATTTTTAAAGTAATAAGAGACTTATGAATTTCTAAAATTTTTAGGAATTTCTCCATGCCCTACACTTCTGCTCATGAAATGTAGTATTTATCATCTTATCACTCACCGAAGCCTATGTGACATCTGCATTTTCAGTTTCCTTCATGTAAACTAAAGCTGAGACGGGCATGAGGCATGGGTCCTTTGAAACCAGTAAAGCTGTTAAAGCATTCGTTTGGTTACTAGAAACTGAAATGGAAGTGTAAATAGCGTTCATTAAATTAAACTGCAAAGTAATTTTCTTCAAATGCTATTACTCTATAGGTTTATAGAAAATTATATATTCCATATAGATAAACACACTATTTTTTTCCACTGAAAACACAGTGATTTAAGTTCAAAACCATGAAAATGTTAACTTACAATCAAAGGCCACTTTCAACTTTGCCATTTAGAGGCTCACTTATTGTTCATAACTCTTATAATTGAATCTTTATTATATTATCCTGCTGCACAGCGTGATTTCCTGTTATTTGTCTAATGTTTTTTAAAGAACAGTAATTTAATAACTATAGTGATATTCATCCGCGACTTCTAACAAATGTGCTATTTCATGAGGCCTGTTTGTAAAACACTGTTGGAGTCAATGTATATTCCAGGCTAGCCATTAGGTGACTTTGAAAACAATGTGGTAAAGCAGAAAAATAACCAAAATATAATTTTGGAAAAAAAGTTTGAAGTATTTACCTATTTCAGATTCTGCAATAAAATTGTTGAGAATAAATAAATGTTTAACTTACTTAGTAGTGAATAAGTAAGGAGAAGAGAAAGAGAATATCTTGCATATACCATTCCTTTAATCTTATGTACATCCAAATATGAAGCTTTCTGATGATAGCTAAGTAGTATCAGAATATCAGAATCCTAAAATGATATAATACATATACATTTTTAAGTATCCTTTTTTATCCTGCAAAGCAAAAGATCAGACTTAGGGAGTGTTTTGTGTACCTTCCCAATAATATCTTGAATAAGCCTCACAATTAAGACACTTTTAGCTTTTACACTTATTCTGCCTTATTTAATTATGAAAATAAGTAATCTGTGGTCAAAAACTAGAAAAAAAAACCTTATTTAGTAATCAAAGTATAATATTAAGACTGTAAAGGAAAGAGGCTGTTATGCTAGCTACCCCATGCTGGAATAATAGGAATGGGTCTTCCTAGGAATTGAAGTAAACATAATTTCTCTAAAATCATAGTTTTGGTATATTTTATACTCACTTTAAAATGCCACTTTCCTTATCCATTACTTGAGGCAGAAAATATATCTTTATTTTTCCAAACACATCAAATCAGTCCTTTATTATCATGTAGTAATTTTGAAAATTTAAACAAAAAAAGCAATAGAAACTTTATTCAAATGGATTATCTATCCTAAAGCCAAGGAAAAATTATTTTCTAAAACTCTACCATAATTTTTATCTCAAAGGATTAGAACCAAAGCATTCCTTTATTAGAATATTTCATATTAGAATTCTCTTATAATTCTACTTGATTGAATCTTATTTTTTAATGAGTTTCAGAAAAGAATTCCTGACATTTAGCTGCCCAAGTTGGATTTTTTTTAAGTTTGCCATTTGTGCCTATTGTCTTTCAGTTTGTGAGTCATTTTATTTTGTGGATTTCCAATGTGACAACTGCAATTTCAGACCTTTGGAATATATTGTCTTTTTAAATATGTGGCAGCTAAAGCCTTTAAGTTGTTCTGTTGGCTTTTTAAAATCTATTAATATATGCAAAAAATTGAAAGTTACGTTATTCTGTCACGAGTGTATGTAACTAAATAGTGAAAGGATACTCATATAGATTCTTGCTATAAACACAAACAACATGCAGATATGCTGCCAACAGTTCTCACTTCTTAATGAACACTTGTTCAGTGAGCACCTCTGAAGCGATTCCAGCATTAGCTGGAGTTGTGGTTTCTGCGGCCTTCACTTGCTGGTAGTGACCAACAGCAGAACCAAAATCAATCTCTGTCAGGCTTGTAATTGAGCACTTCCCTAATTTATGAGACAGTTTTCCTATTAACAACAAAATCTTGAGAATTAAATAAAAACAGACCTTCACAAGTGCTGCTGCATAGGTGAGTGTGGAAAAAACGTTGATAAATGTACATGCCGGGTGGGAGCCTGACTTTGAAAAATTCTGTGTCAGATTTTAGGTCACATTCTGACAACAATTAGGAACACTGAAATAAATAGTTGGCAATCCTTCTTTGTTATGACAGGGGATGTAAAACCATCTTTACCAAGAAAAAGCCTATTTTGTGAATATGAAATGCAGTGCCCAGCCATCTTGCTGTGACTGAGAATCTGTAGGCACATCTATTATGAACCAGAGTAGAATCCTTTTGAAGATTTAAAAAGTTTGGTTAAGCTGTTTTCACCTCATTATTTGTAAAATTCCTGTGCCACTGCAATTCCATGCTTCCTATAGAACCCACAAAACGGTTTTAAAAAAACTTACATGTCAAGTTAAAGTTTATTTTTAGTATGAAGTATCTAACCATAATATTTCATGAAATATTCTGGCAAAATCTAAATGACTCAAGAGGGGTGGCTGAAATTCTAAGTCTTTAAAGTTTATTCTAATTTGATATAGTTTATAAACTTCAAATTCACATGTTGAGAGGTTAATCTTTAGTTAATTTCTTTGATTTTCAAATGGTATGAATCTGTATGTTTACACTGATCTAAAGAGTATAACTGATAACAGGAAATAGTGATATTTCATCAGCCGGATACAAAACTACCAGTCCATTTGGTCAGAAATTTGAACAAGTCCTGTCGAAAGCTGCTATTGATTATTTGAACTGAGTTTGTCAAATCATTGAAAAACTCATTAGTAGCTTCACATCCCATACAGTCATTGCATTAGTCAACTTACCCAGGATTTCTCTGAAAAAATAAAATAAAAGTAAAATAAAACAAAAAGCAGCTGTTACGAATATATTTTACAAAACTAAAAGTTAAAGTATTGAAAATTCTGGAAACTGAAATCTCATATACACAATCTGTAAAATTAGAGCCAGTAATTAATATGTATATAGGGCTCCATATATAGTCAAACATGCATACAATATATTGTACTCTTTTAGGTGGTCCGTACTACAGTAATCTCCCTCCAGATAAGTAGATTAAGAGTTTGTTTTCCCCTCATATAACAGTCCAAATTGGTATCCTGGTTGGTGAAGTTGTAAGCTTGGGAAGCATGGCTCTTCCCTACTTGATGATTCAGAACCTTCAAGTACCTTCCATTCTGTGGCTCCACCACCCACCAGGGCCATGTTATCTAGCCTAGAGATCAAAGAGAACATGGAAGTATACTCATATCTTAAAAGCCGTCACCTGGAAGTGGCACCTATTCCCCTCTCTTACATTTTATTGACTAGCTGGCAGTCACATGGGTACAGCTAACCACAGTCACCTCTTTCTGCTAGAAAGAGGTGAACATAGATTTGATCGGCCGCACTTATATAATGCACAACAATCCTCATTTAAATGTCAACTTTATCTACTTGAACTAAATATTTAGCACCCTTCTATAACTGGAATGCAGCGGTCATTAAGCAAAGAGGTGCTCAGAGCATCTAATATAGATATTGTAAAGTACAGGAATTAAAGTACCTGAATATCATAGATTATACAGACATTAATTAGAGAGGTACTAATTAATTTTTGCTTCTTGTTTAGTCTTTACATATGTTACTTGATTTCTGAGTCTACCATAAATTAAAAGAAATAAATGAGAATGAGAAAAAGAATAGATGTTGCCATGGTCTTACACAGAAAACAGCCTTCCATGCAAGTAAGGCTATAAGACAGGTAAATAAAGACATAGTCAATCAATCATAATAATTCAAAGCTACTTAGCATATGGTGAAACCTTCTACCATTTTTGAAAACGTATTTCCAGTGTAATGTTCTTTGTAAAGCATTCCTTGATTCTTTGTCAGAATTATCACTATGTCTTCTGAAATTTAGATTCCTCAATATTTTTTACTTACCTCCACTATGGTAATTACAACATCTTTTCCTTTTAAAAATATGAGTTTTTATAGACTGGGGACAATTTTTTTTAATTTTATTTTTTAATCTTTCTGCAATCTCTGTGCTTACCACAATGCTTTCCATAAAAATACGTAAAATGGATGAATCAAACAACATTCCAAAAATATCAGATAAAATCCAGTATTACAGCAGGAAAAAATACAAGTGCTGATATTCAAGATATTTTCATACTGAAAGTGTTAAAACTTGCTTATTACATTTTGTTTATAATGGAAAAAAAATCCAATTTAGAAATGAATTTTCAGGTTATAAGTTTGTTTTCCTTAGAGGAGTAAATTTTGATTTACCATAAAAGCTCATCTACCTACATATGTTATATAAAATGTATTATATATGGTAATTATATATAAATTTAAATGCATATTTAATACTATATAATCAATTTATTGTACTATTATTAAATATTAAAAATAGGAATAATTCTAATGCCAATGTGGCTATTATATGAATTTCATTTTTCCATAGATTAACTAGCGCTTGTATAACATACATCTAGACATGGACAATTGAAATACTATGAATTAACCTTTCCACAAATTTCACTTGGAGCCTTTAGCACCATCTTCTATCACTTTCTAGGAATGGTAAAAAAAAATACATATAATCAAGCATATAAGTTTTCATATGTTCTAGAATTCATGCTGAATTCTAAGATGCTAGGACACAAAACCACACAGTGAAATATTTAGTTATAGGTTATTACTGTTTGAAGTCTCAAATATTCATCTATGAATTGAGTGAGTCATCTATGGCTAGGAAGCTTAACTAACTCTAAATTAACTGTTGCTGGTTTAGAGACAAGACAACTTTATACTGTTTAAACGTACAAAAATACAAACCACATTTTTATTAGTCAATTGTTTAAAATCCTTTTTATATCTTAAATTTTGCTAAGTGAACAAAATTGTCCTACATGAGGTACATTTATTTCTTTACATATTATGCTATCATATTTAGAGTTTTCTATTATGAACATTTCAGTAAAAGATCATCTTGATGGTAATTTTTCTATTTCAAGAAATATTGTTTCCGTCAAATATCTATCTGTTAGGTGGATAAACATATTTCCTTAGTCTTTGGAAGCTGAAAGTCATCACACTTTTTATAGATAAAAACATAATAATATATGCTATTCATAACGTGTTTAGGGTATTAAAACCACTTCTGTTGATACCACAATTGAGCTATGTGTCAAATTAGTTACTAAGTCAAAGATCCCATAAGAATAGAAAATATCATTTGTTTTCCTGAAAATATCAAAAGTATGGCAAGGATAGAGACTTCAGTTTTATTAACTTTTAGGAGCAGAAATGTGTGGATCTTGGATGACACAAAGCCAGGGTTTCTTTTTCTTTTTTACCTTTAAATAAATTAAAACTGCTAAGGTATATACTCACTGAAAAATGGAGTTTATAATGGAAATAGAAACTGACCCTTAACTATAGCAGCACTACCGGATGCCGTTATAATAAGCTCCCCTAGATGCCATAGTGTAAATGTATTAGCTGTACTAAGAGACCCACTCCTGCTATAATTATGTTAGGAACCAATAAGACAGCTCAGAAATCAATATGCTAAGACAGATAGAGTAAAGGACCATGGCCAGCCCACTGGGAATAGATTAGTCTGGCAGGTCCCTAGCTGAGCCACGAAGAAGGGGATATCTTTGCTGTTGAAGAAAGCCATTAATTGTAAATTTTCCTGAACAAGGAACTTGAAGGGAAAGCTTAAACTGCGTTGTTCATACCACTCAAAGAAAACTGCAACTCTCATTGATCAAGAGTTAAGCTTTTTATTTTTATTTCAAAATCCAATGGTGCAAAAACCTAAACGTTCAGAGGGATTTTTGAAGCTGTTTCCACAGCGCGACTAAAATTCCTCTTTGGTTATTAATTTGTTTGAATATTTTTCAAAATTCTAGATCAATTAAATCATATTTAGGCAATGGACCTCCACACTAACAATTGACTTTACTGGTGTGATATCAATTATCTAATCAATTAATATTCCTGTGTCATAAAATATAAGAAAAAGGATATATTCTTTGCAGTCTTTTTCCCAAGTTGGCAATCATCTAACTGTTAAATATTACCAAGTTTAGTTTAATAATAACTAAATTTAATAAATAAATAATGAGGAAGGACTGCTGCAACTTATTTCAACTATTCCTAATTGTGTTTCTTCACATTATTAACGACATCTAATTTGCTTAATAGACAAAAGTGGTAAGATTTAGTAGTTTTGCTAAGAAAGAAAAAGAGAAGGCAAGAAAAGAGGAGAGAAAGAGAAATAAAGTAATGAAGGAAGAAAAAAAGAAATGAGAAGAAAACAAAACACCAACCTTTTGTGGTTACAGTTTGGCACATCTGCTCATGCCCAATCAAGCTTTCAAACACAGAGTGGTAAACAAAAGCAGCTATCAAACAAGGACAAAATCAGAGACATAAGTGGTTTGAATGAGTGTGCAATTTCTGCCCATATGACCATCCTGACACAATTGCTCTAATTTTCTTTCCAGAAATGACTGATAAAAGATTTAGGTAATTGCTATGGAGACAGACTTCCTTCCATCACTAGGTATCTTGAATAATACAGCCTCAGGGTCATAAGATGGAGTGTCAGTTTCTGCAGAGTCCTAAATTAATACTTGTCCCTGCTTTGGCTACACTTCCTGTACATCTAATGAAGTGAATGTAATTTATTTTGACAATGTATTGAAAATCACTTGATCAAATGACTATTCTGTAATGAACACAAAAGGTAATATAGACTTGCAAACTATAAACTCCAAAATAACAAATATATATCGATTTCTCAAAGCACATTCTTTCCTAAAAACTGCATATGTAGTCAGAATAAATATGAAACAAAATATATACTAAAAGCATAATAATTAATGTGAATGTGAATGTGAATTTTATTTTATTTTATTTTTTTGCTCTGATGCCTGAGATTGACCTATCTCCATTCAGCACATGACCTTGTCCCCTCTAATCACACTTAATTTGTCTGGTTGATCTTTGCATTTCTAAGTATTAAGCAGCCTGCAGAAAGAAAAGCAGACAGCCATGAATAAGCTAGTGCTTACAAGGAAATTCTGAAAACATTATAGATCAGCCTTGCCAGAAATTTTACCTTCACTTGTGAACAGTCAATTTACAGGGGAATCTTAAACACGTCCACTAAAACTTCACAGCTTGAGACAGACTATGATTTTGCTGCCTCCTGAATGTTATGACATTTCCAATAGTTAATGAAATCAGCTGTGTGCTAATGAAAACTCCCTCTACTGACATCATAAATGATTAGATTACATAATTTGTTCAAAGATTACACATGCAAGACTAATTTAAATGGCAGTTTTTTGTTTTTGTTGTTTTTTTTTTTTGTAATCAACAGGGAAACTGACTTAGGTCTTGTGATAAGATTTTTATGTTTTTTCCTAGTGGAAAACAATATCTCAGATTTCAAAATATTCAAACACTTGAATTACCATATAGTCAACTGTACCAAAAACAATTGCATAATTTTCTTTCTTTAGAAAACCAGCAGAACACCTTGGAAGCTGACAGAGGTAGTGTAATTGGAATATTTGGTTTGTACTAAAAATAAATACACTTGGCACCATTTTGGCAAGACAGCCACAGCAAGGCAAGTGTCTGTAGAGTGGCACTGTGAAAGTACAATGTAGTGTTTAAATACAGCCAGGCAGAAGCCAGTGGATAATGCTCAGTAATGGGTTAATCAATACTTATTATGGTTTTATTGGTTCACTAAAGAGAGAACAGAACCTAGTGAGCACAGAGTCGAAAAAATCACTGCATCTGATCTAGATAACATCTACTCTCCCTAAGGGATTTCCCTATTCAAGAATCCAATTTAACATGCCTGATTGACAAGGATTGGATCCTAGGGAATCACATAACTCTTTTTAGGACCCAATAAAATCCTAATGGATTTGTCTGACTGGCCAGGAGACTTCTAGTTTTACTAAACTGAGGTGGTTTGTTGCAATTAGCCTTGATTCCACTTGCAGTTGAAAAACTAGGCTATTAGGAGTCATCCCCTCTTTATAAATGCTGGAGTCATGCTGGGATGTGCCCGCTGGAAGGAGATACTGTGCTGTATAAAAGAAGACCCTTATGATAAATTGTAAACATTTGAAAGCTTCTGAAAAATCGTAATCAAAACAGGATTCAAATGAAAAAGGTGGAAAGTCCAACTAAACTGCACCTTTAAAATCCATTTATTGGTCAGTTAGCCTTTACAATTTATTTCTCATTCAGGTAACTATAGCAGAAAGGAATCTCTCTCTTTGAAAGAAGCTTTGAAATATACACCTTTTGCGATCTGAGCTTCTCCTTTAATAGCTGAAGTGTGAAAAAAATCATTCTGCAACAATAAAAATCTTGTATATGGTTGTCCCTGTCCCAGCTCTTTTTTTCCGGAGATAATGTTTTTACTAAGCAGCTAACTTGTTCAAGTACACTTGTTTTTGATCGTGTCTTGGTGCTGTTAAGAAGTCAGGAAACAGTGTGTATGATTATGATTATTTGAAGTCAGGGCTGAAATGCAGTTGAAGGAGAACTTTTAAATAATATAGATCATATTTTGAAGCAAACAATTCCTTTAATATAAAAATCACTGGTGGAACCCATATCCCTGTAGAATTGTGTCTGCTCTTTCATGAGTCATAAATGACACGTTAAATGTGTTTAAATTGAATGGACTTCTTAATCAGAAAGATATTCATTTATGAAATGTCTTCGAATAGACATCATGATTTACTCTTTTCCCCTTAGACTTGGAGGAGTCTTAGTCATATTCAGAGAGCTCACATGAGCTCACATTACCAGCACCCTAGACTATAGTTTCCAACTCCAAAATCTCCAGCTAAAAGGCTATGCTAATTGAGTGCAAAAAATACTCTTCCCCTAAGAGATGTATAACTGTGATAATAAATATTTGAAATACAAGATGAACACATGAATTTTATGTTTAAACACATAAAATTGTGTAAACATAGATGTAGAATACTTTCATATCTAACTCTATATAATAAACTTTTAAATAATGGCATTCTAGCTCAGTGCCTGTTAGGAAGACGAAAAATAAATGCTGTGTATGATCATTACAGAGGAACGCTGAAAGAAATACATAAAGGAGGAAAGGAGGAGGTAGACAAAGAAGAAAAAAGCAGTGGAATAGAAGGAAATTAATAAAATATTAGCATGTCTTTTAAAGTAAAATTGTAAGTAATTTAAATTTATTTAGTTTATTTTACTGCATATTTTTAAATAAAGTCACTTTTGTTGTGTAATAAGAAAAGTGTTAATTTGGTTAGAAATTAAAAATTGATATGTGGTTTTTCATGATGGTGTAAAAATTATCTTTTAAAAAGTGTAATCGCCAGATAGCCTCCAAAGGGTTAGAGTTCTAGTGTAGGAGATAGATCAAATTGGTCCTTCTGTCTTTATTGGCTAGATGTATGTAGGGTTCAAGATTATGCTTGTAAGTATGGTGTTCAAGTTTTCTGTGGTAAGTTCCAAGTAATCCTATAACTCTAAAAGTGAAGTATTTTTATCTGTTTCTAATGTATTTACTTTACCCTAGCATACATCGAAGTGTTCCCAGGGACTGAGGAACAAATTTAAAGATGTCAAAGAAGTTAATTTGAATCAGAATATTTAAGAAATACTATTGAAATTCAAGTGAGGATGGTTCAGGACATGATTAAAATGTCTCTCATTAGAATCTTTCACATTTGTTTATAATTATGGTCCCTGTTGTTACTATATGACTTTAAATGATTTATTGTTATTAGTTAAAAAATTAGTAAGAATTCTTTTATTTTAGATAATATCAATTTATTGTCCATATATGACTTGTTAATTCATATTATTTAAGTTTTGTTTGCTGCTAATGTTACCTAGGGCACAACTAGCAGTATTTAATTGACCCATTACTGTAATGTAATTTTCAACCTCAATATACAATTGTAATTATTAAAGGCAATTCAATTCAAGGGATTCTTATTCAAAAATATTAATATAGCTATTTACAAAAAAATGAAAGTGATGATTCGTGTTTTTTGTTTGTTTTGTTTTGTTTTGTTTTGTTTTTTGTTTTCTGCTTTTTTTTTTTTTTTTTTTTTTGAGATGGAGTCTCACTCTGTTGCCAGGCTGGAGTGCAGTGGTGTGATCTCGGTTCACTGCAACCTCCGACTCCCAGGTTCAAGCGATCCTCCTGCCTCAGTCTCCCGAGTAGCTGGGACTACAGGCGCACACCACCATGCTCAGCTAATTTTTTGTATTTTTAGTAGAGACAGGGTTTCACCATGCTGGCCAGGATGGTCTCAATCTCTTGACCTCATGATCTACCTGCCTTAGCCTCCCAAAGTGCTGGGATTACAGGCATGAGCCACCGCGCCTAGCCAATGATTCCAGTTTTAAAAAATGGTCTCAGTCATGCATTTGCTTATCTTTTCTCATGAAACACAACTGTAATGTCAGCAAAGAAATGGTTAAATACATAAACCCAGAAAAGCAAATAAAAATTAGACATAAATGAGAAAATAAGAAATTGCACAAAATTCTGAAACATGGAAAATAGGTGAAAGCATGTCAATAGATGAAAGAGAGGTGTGGAAAATTGTATTTTCCAAAGGTGACCACAGCTATATTTCCAACTCCACATGAGGTTGTTGCTACTGAAGAACCTTGCTATTCCCTCATGAAACGGTAGAATCTCTTTTTCTTCCCTTGAAATTGGGTGGACCTGTCTCACTGTATGGATGTGTATAATATGGCCAAAAAGATGATATGCGACTCCTGAGACTACGCTGTGAAGTGTGATATGGCCTTTCCCTGGCTCTCTTCTTGGGATGCTCCCCCATAGAATCCAGACCTAATGTTGTGAGGAAACCCAAGCCACCTGGAGACATCCCGTGGAGCAGATATTCTGGTCACCAACCCCATTAAGGTCTCAACTGACAGCCAGTATCAACTGGGGGATATATAAATGCAAAAGTCTTCATATGACTCTAGTTCCTAACTGTTGCCCCAGCTGATACCAAATGGTGCAGAGTGAGCTATCTCTGTAAAGCCTTCAGCAAGTTGTGACATCATAATCAAAATTAATGTTACTTTTCTTTTAAGTCACCAAGTTTTGGGGTCATTTTTAGGTAGCAATAGGTAGCTAATTTTGTTAATTGGGTAGTGTGTTGTTATAACAAATGTAAAACATGTGGTTTTGGGGTCAGCTAGCAGGTGGAAGCTGTAAGAGCTTTGAGGAAGGTATTAGACAAAGACTATGGGACCGTGAACAAGATTATTAGCAAATCGTTGATGGCCCTCTAGAAGGCTATTGGTAATGGCTTAAAGATAATGAGGAAAATATTACTGAAACCTGGAGAAAAGCAGACAAAAGGCAAAAAATGTAACCACACCTTGTCTGTGGTAATCTGGAAGATAGAAAATATACCTAATGAACTGGATGACATAGCTAAGGAGAGTTCTAGGTAGAATACTTAAATTGTCACCTGGTTTCTTCCTACTGAATTTGATAAAATGAGAGGGGAAAATAGGTTAGCTAAAATGTTTTCATTTAAGTGAAATTGAAAGGAGTTATAAAGCAGCTAGGTCTTACTGAGTTCAAAAATAAAAATGCTTCATATTATTAGTTTATCTGAGGTTCTCAAATGACAAAGAACTTCTGAGTAAATATCAAATCCAAGGTGGGAAATGGCGTTATTCTTAATACTTCAGAAGTCTTAAGGATTGCCTGAGCAATTCACTTAATCAGATAAAGCCCTCTGAAAGTCTAACAGATCTTCTCTATTAAACAGTAGGGCTAAAAATTCTAAGGGTGTTGTATATGAGAAGGCTTATAAGAAGCCAAATGTGGAGGAGGATTTACCTCAAAAAGATTGTTGAGTATAACTTGGCTAAATAACAAGATTCATGGAAAACTCACTGAATTTTTAAAAGGAATTGTGTGGTTGGAAACATCACCAGCTTAGACAAAAAGAGACAGTGACATTACAAAATGAAAATTAATTTTTAGATCCTTGAATCACTATTAACATAAAGCAAGTTGATAAAACTATTCAGCTGCAAACAATAGCCATTGTTTATGGAAAAGAAAGGGTGACTCAGAGGGTAATGCCCAGAGCCTAAAAGTCACAGTGAAGCTATGGAGAATCATTCCCAGGCAGTAGTGCTGAGCCCTAATCAGTGAGCTCAAATATGTGCCTGAATGGATCCCAGAATAATTATGAAACTTTGAATACTGTGTTCCTCCCACTTTCTCCTTTTTTGAATAGGAGTATGTACAGCAGTTATCCTATGACCCACCCATCACTGTTTGACTATATCAAAGACTATATCAAAGACAAAGAATATGTCCCTTTTAATTCACTGGTCTATAGACTGAGAACTCTATTTAACAAGTTTTACCAAGGGAAACACACATGAAAAAATTTATTCACACCTAGACCTGATTTAGTTGACAAAATCCTGGTCCTTGAGCATAAAACTGATGCTATAATGGATGAGATTTTGGATTTCCTTGGAGGAAAAGTGTGATTGTATCAATATTTTGCATGTGATGATGCAGTGAATTATGCTTAGAGTAAGGATAATAATAGATGGAACTTTATAGCAGCAACACTTACTGCAACATTTCTTTTCCAACGCACTCTTCTAGAGTCTTGCCACTACACTAATTTTTTTTTAAAAAAGAAAAGAAGAAGGTTTTTCCTCCTTCCTTTGAATTTGGAAAGGACTTTGTAGCTACTTGCATAAATAGAATGCAGCAGAAGTGACTATGCATGACCTCTAAGGCTGAATCATAAAAGGTAATATGACCTCCATCTGGCTCTCCTGGATAATTACCCTTGAAATCCAGCCACCACGTACTGAGGAATGTGTCAGGCCATATGGAGAAGATGTGGTATTTTTGCCCATAGCCTCATACAGGGTCTTAAATACCAGAAATGTGAGAAAATGAAATTTCAGATTATTTCAGCCCCCAGCCTTCAAACTGCTGCAGCTAATACTAAAAGAATTAAGGATGAGTTATCACTACTGAGCCCCACCGAAATAGGAGTTCAGCAAGCAGAATATTAATAATCATTGTTGCTTTAAGCCACTGGGTTTGGGTGGTTTGTTACACACATTAATAATAGAACAAGAATAAGGAAAGGCAGCACAGCAAATACAGGACAATGGGATGGAAGAATAGATTGAAGTAGGGAGAAATTAATTGAAAGTCGGTCTGGAGCAATGGTTATCAAAGTGTGGATCCATAACATGCAACCAGCTGAAAACTTATTAAAAGGCAAATTCCTAGACCATGCCCACACATACTGAGTCAAACACTCTGGAGTACATATGGCTACTTTGTATTAGCCACGCCAGATAACCTTCCAGATAGTTCTAATTCAAACTAAAGTTTGAGAACCAGGGGGCTGGAAATTGCCTGTGAGTTCCCTCTGCAGTTACTGGAAGATAATTCATTAAAATCCCACTAACACTCATCTGAATGTATTGTCTAGAAAGAACTAAGTCTGCTA
The DNA here is from genome assembly GCF_000001405.40 of Homo sapiens. Lineage (NCBI taxonomy): Eukaryota > Metazoa > Chordata > Mammalia > Primates > Hominidae > Homo > Homo sapiens. The sequence continues at coordinate 76,236,105 of NC_000008.11, forward strand.
GTATGTGAGTTAGTGTCACAGAGTAAAACCATTTTCATTCCTGCTCATCGATATGCTTCTATTATATGCAGACTTTCCAGGAAGCCTTCCATTTCCATTTCAGAGGAGATACTTACAGGGAATAGCCATCCCACATACACAGTAATAAAGGAAACCCACACCAGTTGCCCAGAGAAATCAATTAAAACTTGAATTCTGTAAATATGAATGGTCAGTGAAGGATAATAATTTCCCTTGATAAAAGGAAATGTAAAAAGAGCAGCTTACCCCAGATAAATGGAGATAATTCAGGAAAAGAAGAGAACTTATTAAAAACTTGGTATAGCCTCAAAGAGATTTAAGAAATAGCACACCTACAAAAGCAAGAATAAGATGCCTCAAAATAGAAAAATTCAGAGACACTAAGTGTATTTTTGAAATTTATGAAAAATAAATATCTAAAATTTCAAAACAATGAGTTAACTATAAAATTAATAATATATGGCCAAATGGGGGTAAAAATAGCAGAACGGTTAAAAAAAACAGAGAAAATATTAAAAACATAAATTCTCAATAATGGGTATCTAATATTTAATGTATAAGAATTCAAAAAGAGTAAAACATAAAATATAAGTAAAAAATATGAAAAAGTTTAAAGATACTGTATCAGCTTCATCTGAAAGAGAAAGAGACAGTCAAAAATTTTTTTAAAAATGTGTTGTATTTCCAAACTTATTTGGGCAGGGACAAGACTGAAAACACTTCTCAGCTAAAACAATCCATTTATTATGGGAAAGGTAGGACTCAGAGAGCTGAATCAAATCTTCGGAAAACACAGCCAGAAGCTAAGTAGATTCCTTCTCAGGAAGCAGATTTGGGTTTTAATCAAGACTGTGATGATACGTGTCTGGCTGGATTTCAGTTTCTATTGGCAACTGAATTCTACATGTCTCCTGGTCTTTCTCCTTTTAAAGAAAAGTGTCTGTTGTGATTATTTGATGCCTGTTTCACCATAATGTGTTCAAATGTAGGGGGCAGGAAACTTGTCTATTTACTTCACAGGTCAACAGAGAGAAAAATCGCACTCTAGGAGCACCATCTGTACCTAGACCTGGTTTAGGTGATGGTAAACTAAACTTCAGGCCAATATCATACTGTGCTAATGTATTTAGGATCTTGGGAGTGGGCAGGATTTTGTACATGAAAAGAATGTAAATAATTTGTGGTCAGAGTTTGGCCTATAGTACATTAAAGTTAATTGCAAGTCTTTTGCTCTTTTGGATTATCTCTAATTAAAAAAAGGTCTATGTTTCCTTGCCTTTAATCTGGGAAAGCTCTGTGACTACTTGACCTATAGAAGACGTTAGAACTGAAGCTTTGCCGGTTTCCAGGCCTTGACCTTGAAAGGCTGGCAGTTTCTACTTTCTGCTTCTTGGATCACATTCTTGGAGGAGGCAGCTGACACTCTGTGGGAAATCAAAGGATTCCCATGGACAGGCCTATGTGGAGACAATCAGAAGTCTCTGGCCAACAGCCCCCCACTAGGTTCACAGGTGACAACTAATACAAATTGCCAGCCATGAAGGAAGCCACTTTAGAAGTGGATCCTTAGCCCCAGTTAAGCCACTTCAGGTGATGCTGTGTACATCAGAAATTAACCATCCATGCTAAACCCTGCAAAAATGCAGATTTGTACACAAACAAATGATAGCTGTTTTTTAAGTCACTAAATTTTAGCATGATGTTTTATGCATCAGTAAGTAACCAGAACAAAATATTTGGTACTATAATTCTTTATGCAGTAATTTGGTACTGTAATTTGGTATGCAATAATAATAGGTACAATATATACTTGTGAAACTTCAGAATAAAACATTAAAATATATCATGTTTATATATATTTATATGTAATAAGAAAGTGAAAAGTCAAGAAATTTACAGAGAAATAAGATCAAATTGACATTAGACTTTTCTTCAGTAGATGATAGAACACATTAGAGTAATGCCTTTTGAGTTCTGAAGGAATAATTTTGATTCGAGAAGATAATTTTTTTAAAGTATATATACAGGAGTGTGTATGTGTGTATATGTGTGTATATATGTGTGTATATATATATACACACACACATACATATACACATACATATACACATACAGATATATGTATGTGTTCTCTTAACAGAAACTAAATGGTTATAATACATGATATATAATCAATTAAGATATCATTTTACCACATTAAAAATTTATTGTTTTGTTTTTGGTTTTTTATTAGTACAACAGGCTATGAATTTTTCAGAGCTTCCTTGTATATTTTATAGTATTTTCCTTACAGATCTATGTTCTGTAACGATAATAAATGAAATTTTACTTAAAAATTCAACTAGGGATGAAGTGAGCACAGCGGTTAGAATTGGGAAAGGATTACAATTCCCTCAAACTGTAACTATTCCTTTCCCTACTTGCCAAGTTTTTGATTATTCAGAAAATAACATGAAGTACAGCATCCCTATCAATGTTGGAGAGAGCTCATTTCTGAGCTTTCCCTTTGGTTAAGCCAAAGCACAGCTGCCTAAAATACATCTAATTACGGCAGTAATTAAAGTTCTTACCTTACCTGTGTAGTCAAGGACACAAGGACTTCTAATGGGAACAAATCTAGATATAAAGGCTTGCTGTCAATTAGCCCTGATGGTTTGAAAAAATAATGAAGGAGAATGAGGGTTGAGTTACAGCTCCGTACAAAACAAATAGAGTAATTCAGTACCTCTTTCTTTTCCTGGATCCAACGCAAAAGTTTGGGAGAAGAAAGACAAGAAGATTATCTAGGTAATATGATCTTAAGAATATCAGTGGATAATGGTGTCCTCCGTCAACTTTGTGCTAGTGCTTACCTCTAACAAAAGATGGGACTGCTACAAATACAAGCCCTTAAATCTGGAAACAACAAAACTGTTCAGGCTCTTGTCACAGATTCTGTCAATAGAATGAAGACCAAAAAAAGGAGAAAAGAAATGTAATTCGGCTGTTGGCAGTGTTTTCTGCTCCACCCTCTCTGAGCAAAACTGTCTTTCCTGATGAGCCTTTCACAAGCTGACGATATATTTGGAATATGTTTTTCCTTGGTTAAAAAAATATCGTTTTTCTGTTTTGATAAGGAAATAATTATAATAAATTGTGAGAGAGCTAAATTATGTAATGGGAATTGCTAAGGTATTCTTTAAAAAATAAGTCTTGGAAAATCTCTTTCATCCATAGCATATCTTGACTGTATTACATATTAACCTTAAAAACACAGATATCATATGTATTATTTGAAATGTTGTTGTTTCTATGCTCTCCCAAATTTGCCGCTAGATGCAGAAGGTAATCTAAACACCTGTCTTCTTATAGATTATAAAGTCTTTGAGATAATATTATGGACGAATCCCAGAGACTCTGTGACCAGTAAAATGTAAATTTTCAATCTGTATTTTGATCTTGTATCTAATGTGAACTTCAATTTTGCTTTAATTATACTAAATACCTATTCTATTAATTATAATGAATATCAAGCATGTCATTACAAATAATTATGTATGCTTTATGCATCTCATATTTAAGATTTGTTCTCAAATTGTATTTTAGGTGCAGAAGATATATCATATACAATTTTGTTACATGGGTAAATTGTGTGTTGCTGAGGTTTGATGTATAAATGATTCCATTACCCAGGTAGTGGGTATACTACCTCATAGGTAGTTTTTCAACTCTTACCCCATTCCTACCCTCTCCCTTCTAGTAGCCTCATGCCCAGTATCTATTGTTTTCATCTTTATGTTCATGTATACTCAATGCTTAGCTCCCACTTGTAAGTGAGAACATGTGGTATTTGGTTTTCCGTTCCTTATGCTATATTCATGTTTTGTTCTTTTCCTATTTTCTCACTTATTCATACAGAGGGACATGCATTTATTGTGACGGTTAGTTTCACCAATTTGGCTAGGCTATGGTATGCAGTTATTTAATCAAACACTAATATAGGTTTTGCTGTGAAGATATTTTGTACATGTGGTTGTGATTTACAATCAGTTGACTTTAAGTAAAGGAGATTGTCCTTGATAATTTGAGTGGGACCTCATCCAAACCATGGAAGACCTTAAGAACAAATATTTGGGTTTTCCAGAGAAGAAGAAATTTTGCCTCAATACTGCAGCATTAACTCCTGCCCTCTGAATTTTCTACGGATCTCAGCCTTGGCAGTTTCCACAATCTCATGAGTTGACTTTTTAAGATAAATCTATAAATATACAAGGAAGACTTCAAAAAGTTCATAGAAAAAATATAATTAAAAGACAAAATTTGAAATACAAAATTTATTTCTCAGAATCAAGGTCAAGACTTTTTAATTTTATTTTTCTGAAACAGAGTCCTGCTCTGTCACCCAGGCTGGAGTGCAATAGTGCAATGGTGCCATCTCGGCTCACTGCAACTTTCGCCTCCCAGGTTCGAGCGGTTCTCCTGCCTCAGCTTCCCAAGTAGCTGGGATTACACCACCATGCCCAGCTAATTTTTCTATTTTTAGTAGAGATGGAGTTTCACAATGTTGGTCAGGCTGGCCAGGTGCGGTGGCTCCTGCCTGTATTCTCAGCACTTTGGGAGACTGAGGCAGGTGGATCACCTGAGGTCAGGAGTTCAAGACATTTTTATAAGCCATTTAGTCTATCCATAAAGAACTAAGGGACCTGGGAATTTAACCATGTCAATGTAGTCTTTTTAAAATTATTAACTAAAGAAAAATGGGTTCTCTTTAATATCTTAATTTTTTTTAAGATTAGGAGACAAAAAGAAGTTAGAGAAAAATAAAGACTGCAAGGTGCATGCTAATGATTCCTCATAAAAACTCTCACAAAATTGCCCTTACTTGATGAGAGAAATGAATAGGAGTACTGTCGAGGTGAAGAAGGTTTCTCTTTCATGCTAAAACTTGGCTAACTTTCTTAAAACAGTCTCATAATAAGTAGATGTTATCATTCTTTGGCTCTCCAGAAAGTCAACCACTAAAATGTCTTGAGCATCCCCACAAAATGTTGCCATGACCTCTGCTCTTCACAGGTCCACTTTTGCTTTGACTGGATCACTTCCACATCATGGTAGCCACTGCTTTGATTGTGTTTTGTCTTCCGGATCATACTGATAAAGCCATGTTTCATCTGTGGTTACAATTTATTTGATAAAACACTTAAGGATCTTGATCCCAATTGTTTAAAATTTCCAGTGAAAGCTCTGATCTTGTCTGCACTGATCGGGGCCCAACTGTTTGGCATGCATTTATTGAGTGGAAAGTTTACTTTAATTTTTCAGTCAAAGTTTTGTAACCCAAGGTAACTGTGATGTGTTTGGTGTTGACTACTGTGTCTGCTGTTAATTGTTTGTCCTCTTTAATTAGGCCATGAACAAGATGAATTTTTTTCTCACAGATTGATGTGGATGGTCTGCCATGACAGGCTTCATCTTCAATATTGTCTTGTTCCTTCTGTTTCTTCTTAAAACAAGTTACCTATTTGTAAACTCTTGATTTCTTTGGTGCATTGTCCCCATAAACTTTTGGTAAAGGATCAATGATTTCATCATTTTTCCACCTCAACTTCAGCACAAATTTGAATGTTTACCACAAACATTCTTGTGTCAGTTTTAACAGAATTTAGGTTACTCTGACGGGGGCCCTTTTCAAACTAATCTTATCTTTCTTAATGCCTCCAGCTAGATTCTGTTCTGTACAGACATGTTATAATAAATTAGTATGAGTTTATATTTGTGCAAAAAATGTTGAAATTCATGATAGCTTTTTGATAATACACATTTTCCATGAACTTTTGAAGAAGCGTTGTGTGTGTTTGTGGTGTGATGTGTGTGTGTGTGTGTGCGCACACACACTTTCCTGAAGAATGATGCTAATATATAAATTTAAGACTTATGGAATATATATGAAATTTTATAATTTCAGGGAATATTATGAGTTTTTGTCTCTATGTTTGTCATTTATTGCTTTATGTTTTAATACCACATCTTTGAAGTCAGTAATAGAAATGCAAATATGTACTTTGAAACTATCTAGAAAATTATTTTAAAAGATCAATATGAAAAGCTCATAAATTATACATTTTACCATATCAGTTAGGGGAATGATTTCAATTTCTTTCACAGTATCATTAAACATTGAGTTGAGTTTACTTAGACAATGCTTTTGAAAACAGATCATCTTTATTGGTTTACAATTTAGAGCAATGAAAGGTACTAAAAGTTTAAAAGTATTCAAGCTGTTTCTTTTCTATTTCTCAAATTAATATCGGCCAGTAAACTGGAATAAACACATACAGCATCAGTATATCTAAGTACATAGATTTTCCAACCATAATTTTCAACTTGTGTGAAAGAATATTAGGGCTTTAAGTATTATCAATATATTATCTAATTTGGAAAGAGGATGCCAATTATCGTGGATTGCAAGAGAAATGGTAGATCCTCATATTGTATAAATGTTGAAGCTGAATCCAGCATCAGATGGGAATGATTAGGATGTCTGGTATAGACATAGTTTGGAAGTTTGGGTAAAGTCAGGTAATAGTACTTGTTTAAGATATTTGACAGAACTGGGCAAATCTATTCTAAAGTAATTAATCATTAAAACCATTTTATACTTTTCCTAAATAATCTAAATATGTTGAATTCTTATCCAAATAGAAGCATTTCAAAATAAGCAAATACTGTCACTTATGCAGAAAATAACTCTACATTAAAAGATAAGAAGAAAAGTATTGTATAAATTCTAAGACCTTAGAATCGGTCCTTCTATTGCTAATGTACCCTTAGTCCCAACTCACTTCTCTAATAACTTTAAAGAATAATTACACTAAACATCAGTATTGCCCTTGCATTAAAAAAAATTTAAATTCAAGACACATTATTTTGTGTTTGTATATTGCCTCATAATTGGTTGGTTATTTACGTATCTACAATGCCTACAAACTAAAACATACTTTGAGGTAAATGTCTATCCCAGTTCACCATAGTTCTTGGTATTGAAACTCATTCGATTAACAAAAACATCATAAGTATTAGAAAGATATGTATTGTAAGAACATGGAAAATATATATGTATAGTGGGAATATATGTGTATGTGTGAGCGTGTATACATAGATTTTCCAGTTATAATTTTACGATATATGGTGAAATTATATATATATTATATATTATATATATATTTATAATATATACATTTGTCCACCATATATGTAGATTATATTTTTGAATCTCCAGGTTGTTTACTATTGTCTTCAAAAATGTGTGTCTACCATACATGATATATATTATATATATGGTAGGAAATTTTTGTCTACTATCTATATTATATGTTTATATATTATGTTATAAAACATAAAGTGTATATTACAATATATATTATTACCATATATATTATGAAATTTATAATAGTAACCAACCTGAAGATTCAAAAACAAATGGAGCTTCCCAGTTAATACTTTTGATGACATTGTGGGACAGTACGTCTTCAGCAGAATACATAAAATAATGATTGTGTTATTATCATTTTAATTTCTGTTGTTTTATTTTTCTTAGAAAATAGATAATTAAGAAATATAATGGGTGACACATCTTACAAGTTTTCCTGAAATGCCAATATAATCATGTCATTTCTACCAGTATAAAAAGTTCTGATAGTTTTCTATTACACACTGGCTCAGGTTTAAACTTTTCTGATAATGTTTAAGGCTTCCCAGAGTATGCCCAACTCTATCTATCCATATTATTTCCTCATAATTCATGATATTATTTTCCCTTTGCGTTCAGCAGGTTTATCATCTTGCTTATTTCTTGGAACTTTTCACTTTTCTTCCACTTATAAAGCCTTTACTCTCTGTTCTCCTGCCACTTGTGTCTTTCCATATCCTCTTTGCTCTTCAAAGCCCAGCTTAAAATTTTGCCTAAACATAGCACTCAGTCAGCAAATAATTGTTGATTGTTTATATGAAAGAATAAAACTACACAAAAAATGACTCAGACTACAAACTATAGGCAAGTGAGTTATGAATGATGGAGGTGTTCACTGCATTGAGAAAATAATAAAATATGGCATAAAACCTATAACAAGTATTAGCTATATTATGTAATCTTTGTTGGCAAAATTTCATATCTAATGAAATAATAAAACCCATAATGGTCTAATAATTTTAAAAATAGGGAAAGCTATAATATTATAACAAAATTAATAATACAGAATGTCTATATTTAGCCAAGAATTTTCTCTTGATAGCTTCAATTATTCCACGTTTTATTCTCTACCTCCTGTCCATGATATGGACCCATTACCAAATGACCTTGTTCAGGAAAGAGACTGTACCTTATTCTTCACTGGATACCAAGCACCTAACATTGGGTCTAACCATGTTAGACACTCAACAGATATTTGTGAAATAAATAAATTATTACATTTTGTTTTCTATGCATTGCAGTGTTTTCAAATATGACTTTTTTTTTTACTTTCTTCTATTCCTCATTTGCATATCTACTTCCCTTTTACCAGTTCACAAATTGGAATTTTTCTTTGATTTTTCCCCAAGTTTGGATGATGTTGGTTGTCCTTGCCCTGCTATTTTCATTCTTTATGCTGTTTGTGCTTTCGATCTTACTATTTTCCTAAATGATAAAGCATTCATAGCTTTATTTACTTGTTCAAATCTTACACTTCCTTAAAGGCCCCACTCATTCCTTTGAGAACTTTAATAATTATACTAAACACCAATCTTACTTTATATATTTTTTAAAAATCTTAAACTCAAGACCCAATATTTTTCTTTATATATTGCTTATTTTTTGGCAATTTTACATATTATTCCTACCAAATGAAAAATAATGTCCTCCAACATTATATTATTTATTTTATTATCTACAGTGCCTACAAAACATATAGAGCCAATATTCATTACATTATCCTTGAGTAAACCTAAACAAGACCTTGGTCAATAAAAATTACTACATCCTAATTATTAGAAAATGGTGCACCATGACCTGTGTTTGGTGGCTGTAAGTACCGGCAGAAATTATGACTTATAGTGAGCATTTTTTTTTGCAATAATAATGAACAAAATGGGTTTAAGATTAGAAACAAACAAAATCATGTGATTAATTTAAAAATATTAACTAGAATTAAATACCCTTAATTGCTTGAAGAAACCTGAAAAGATTGTTAAAGTAAATATGAAACATACATATTTTTTAATAAAAATGTATGAAAAATAAAGGGACTGGTTATTATATTGAGAAGTATGTAATATAGAAGTTTTTAAATGTTTTGGTCTCAAACCCTCTGCACACTGTGAAAAAATATGGAGCGCTTCAATGAATTTTTGTTTTTGTGAGTTATATTTACTGATGGACACCATTAAAAATAAAAGCATGCATTTAAAAATATTTATTTATTTCTTAATTTGTTTTAAAATAACCATGATAAGCTCATTTTATGTTATTATAAATGATATACTTTGTTTTTAAAAGTAGCTGTAGTCTCATTTTTACAATTTTGATTACATTTTTATTTTTTACATTTTTAAATTTCTTTAATATCTGGCTTAATAGATGACAGCTGGATTCTTATATCTTTTCAGCACTCAATCTGCTGTGATATTATCACACATTACATAGGATCTGACAAACTCACTGTATATTTGCTAGAAAAATAGTGAAAAAAAGGTAAATCACCTCTAGTGTTATTATGAAAATTTTTTATAGCTGGAAAAAAAATCAAGAAAACAATCTCATCTACAATAGCCACAATAAATAAGTAAATAAACAATATACCTGGGAATTAATCAGCAGCATGATAGAGCTCTAAAAGAAAAGCTATAAAACACTGATAAGAGAAACTGAAGAGGATACCACAATACAGAAAGACACACCATGTTTAGAGATTGAAAAAAATAATATTGTTAAAATGACCCAAAGCAATCTTGCAATTAAATATAACATTCTTTACAGAAATAGAAAAAAAATTATAGAATTTGTATGAAACCACATAAGACCCTGATTAGCCAAAGTAATTTTGAGCAAAAATAACAGAGCTGGGGCATCACACTACTTGACTTCAAAACATACTACAAAACTGTAGAAACCAAAACAGCGTGGTACTGGAATAAAAACAAACAAACTAAAATGCAGTGTGTGTGTATATATATATACACTTCCATAAGAAAGGCTAAGCATCTCAGAGAAGAAAGAAAAACACAGTGTGTCTGCAGATGTTTTACCTGAAAATGTTTCTCTTTTGGTTTTGAAAGCGTGCTTCCTTGCTATTTGTTCTCCTATAAGAGAATAGGAAACTATTGCTCCTCAAAGTCTTGAAAGTTTTGCTGAATCTCACCATTGTTGCAGTATCCACTAAAAAAAAAAAAAAGTACTACTAATCTACTAAAAAAAAACTATATATATATATATATATAAACAATGAAATATTATTCATCCATAACAAAGAATGAAATTATTTTATTAATGGAAACACAGATGAATCTGGAGGAGAGTATATTAAGTGAAATAAGCCAGGACCAGAAAGACGAATACCACATATTCTCACATATATATGAATGAAAGCTAAAAAAGTTGGTCTCATAGAAGTAGAGAGTAAAATGGTGGTTACTAGAAGGTGAGAGGGATAGAAAGGAGAGAAAAATAAAGAAAAGCTGCTTAATGAATATAAAATTAGAGCGAGACAGAAGAAATAATTTCTAGGGATCTATAGTCCCATACAGTGAATATAGTTAACAACAATTTATTGGATATTTTAAAATAGCTAGAAGAAAGAATTCTGACTGTTCCCAACAGAAAGAAATTATAAATGTTTGAGGTGAGGGATATGGTAATTAATCTGATTTGATCATTATGCATTGTGTACATGTATCAAAATAGCACACTGTACCTCATAAATATGTACAGTTATTATGTCAATTCATAATAAAAAGTAAAGGTCCTAGACAACGTCCTACCTTTTAACATTAAAATTTATTTCTAATAAAAATATAATTATGCTGACAAAATAAAATTTACTAGACCACACTTTGAGAACCACCGCCTGCAACTTCTTTCCCATTTGATTATAAATTCTTTCAGCAAATGCTAAAAATAGCCAGTCATATTTACCAAATTAGGGACTGCTTCCCTCTCTGAACCAGACCATACATTAATATATTTTTTAATTGAAGGGTGAAAAACTAAAGGCAGGTTTTATCCTGCCTTTCTTTTTTTATTCAAATGATGTCAAACAAAGCCCAAATAGTAACTGCAGTGCTTCTAGCCAACTACATGAAAATGTGATCATTTAATTTTCCAAAAGTTTTTGAGCCATACAGCTGTCATTACTAATGAAAGGAGTAGGAATCCTAGTATTACCCACTCCCTGCCACTCCACCTCTGAAGGCCAAAGTGGGACACCATTTCAAGGGGCAGAGTCGCACTGAACACTTCCAGAATTTTTTTTTTTTTAGTGGATACTGCAACAATGGTGAGATTCAGCAAAACTTTCAAGACTTTGAGGGGCAATAGTTTCCTATTCTCTTATAGGAGAACAAATAGCAAGGAAGCATGGTTTCAAAACCAAAAGAGAAACATTTTCAGGTAAAACATCTGCAGATACACTGTTTTTCTTTCTTCTCTGAGATGCTTAGCCTTTCTTATGGAAGGAGCACAGACATCTTAAAATTTGCTTAAAAACCATAACCACAGTATATTATTACCATTTAACGTTATGAGAAGAAATAATCATTACAGAGCAGCATCCCAAGTGTTTCTCATAATCTTTAGGCAACTAATTTCAATTTTAATTTTTGACAGTTTTAACTCATGTTTTAACTTTCTTCCAGTGTAGCTCTTTTGTTTCAAACAAATAGTCTATAAATATGCTTAAAGAAAAAATAGAGTTTATAGTAGAACCTCATAGAATCTAGGAACCTGCTATTCCTTTTCTATCTCACAGGCCACATGAAATCTCCCTTATGGCATCCCAGCTTCCCTCTATGCCTGCCCCCTATGACATTGATTTGCCATGATCTCTTTTTGTCTCATGACTCTTCCTATAGGTATATACATCCATGTACAACTTTAACATATTAAAGAGTTTTCCAATGTATTTTAATACTTTAAGAATATGATTTCTCTATATTCTGATTTTTATTTTTTGTTATTGAGAAAACCTAACTCAAGCTTATTTTTGCTCTTTTTAAAGTAATATATTTTGTGTCAGTAAATGGTTTTAAAATGTTCCCTCTATAATTGCTTTTTTGCAATTTTGCTCTTATTTTCTTTGTATTTATTTTGCATGGGATCCACAGTGATTCTTAAATCTGAAGCTTGATGTATTTCATCAGTGTCAGAAAATTCTCAACAGCATTATCGTTTCAAACATTGATTCCACCTATTTGCTTTACTCTTTCTTTCTGAAACTCCTGTTATATCTATGCTTGGTCTTCTCAACATACTATTTATATCTTTCCTTTTCTTTTTAAATGCATTTTTCATCCTTTTATTTTTCCATGCCTCTTCTAGATACTTTTTTTCTGCTCTATACATTATGTAAGTGATTCTGTCTGCATCTGTGTCTAATATAATGTTAAACACATTCATAATTGTAAATTTGTTTACTGATTTTTTTAATTCCTGAATTTTCATCAGTCTTATTTTTGTACATTTTAGTTGCCAGTCAAAATTCTCAATCTTGTCTTGAAATCCTTAATTATATCAAGCTCAGCCATTTCAAATTCTGTGTCTCATTATTTCATTTACTGCATTACCTTAGATTGCATTTCCATTTCTATTGTTTTTCTTGGTTCTAAATCATGTAGTCTTATTACATACCTTGTTACTTTGACAGAGTGCCAGGGTTTATAATATCATAGAAATAATTTGAGGCCTGGAATGATTATACTTTCCTTCAGAGAGAATATACTTATGTACTTGCAGATGGCTACAGGCACTTGGAATTTCAGATCACATAATCCAATTCCAAGGAGATGAGCAGAAACTGTGCTTTAGTCCCTGAAATGACTAAACTATTTCTGATTAACCCTTACTCCTATCTTGTAGACCTTTATGACCTAACATAAAGCCTGAGGGCCTTGGATTCCAGTTTCTGTCCTCAGGCTCCATAAGGCTGTCAAAGCTTTGTTCAGCTTCTCAACCCTTCAGCCACCTCTGCAGTAATCAGAAAAATCCCATAAGTAAAAAATCTCCTAAGTAAGAGCATTCTAAAATGATGGGCTCACCTCTCTAGGTTTCTTTCCTCTCCAACTCTTTTATATCTTGACCTCGTATTTCCTTATTAGCTTCTTAACTTTACAGTGTCTTCAAACAGCTTTATTTTTCTAGCTTTTCTAGGTGTTTTCAATGTCAGTATTGTTCTGAATTTCCTACTGCACTATTACTACAAGTGGCCCCTCCCAAAGGACATTTTTAACTAGGCTAATTAACAAATAAATAAAATGATAAATAACAGGTCAGATGCGATAAAAATGAGAGTTAAAAATAGAAGTAAAAATCATTCCAAATCCACTACTCATTAAAGTGCATAATATTTTTTAGCTATTCAATCAATCATTGTTGCTATTTAATAAGGATTTTTCTAGAAGAGATGTTAACACTGATAATAAAAGGTTTTTAGAATATAATTAAAGGCAGGGTCTGTCAATAATTACGTTTTTAAAAAATACCACTACAAGAAAGAAATTTAATTTCCATTATTCCATAAAGATTTTATGAAGTGAGCCAAGCTCAAATTTTCTTTTGAGATAAGCAACCAATGTATTAAATTAACTGATGGTAACGTATACTTGACCCTTAAACAATATAAATTTGAATGATGTTGGTCCATTTACATGTAGATTTTCTTCTGCTTCTGCCACCCCAAAAGAACAAGACTAACCCTTCCTCTTCCTCCTTCTTCTCAATCTACTCAACATTAAGATGGCAAAGATGAATACCTTTATGGTGATCTGCTTCCACTTAATGAACAGTAAATATATTTTATCTTCCTTCTGATTTTCTCAATAACATTTTCTTTTCTCTAGCTTCCTTTATTGTAAGAATACACTGTAAAATATATATAACATACAAAATGTGTTGACTGTTTCAGTTACAAATCAGGCTTCTGATCAACATTAAACTGCTAATAATTAAGTTTTTGAAGAGTCAAAAACTTTTGGAGAGTCGAGGTTATACATGGATTTTTGACAGCATGGGGTGTTGGCATTCCTAACCCCCACATTGTTCAAGGCCCATGTACATAAACATTGTAAGTCAAATGGAAAAAATAATCAATGGAGTAATTGAAATTGGACTGAATCTACATAAGATCCTTGAAAGAACTCAAAGATGAAATAATGGAAATGACTAAAGTATATTATATGTTATCATAAGTGTTCTTTATTTTGACGTATTGGCTGATTGACTATTTAACTCCCTGTAGAGGCTTTAAAAGATGACCTGTAAGCCAAATCATCTCTATTTCATAGTTGGCAAATTTCCTAGGATTACATTCAACAATAGGGTTCTTCACTGCATAAACAACTCAACCTATTGGTATGTTATGAAGTTTATGTCAAAGGAAGTCAATATTTTCTGGAACTATTTAAAGGAAGAAAGTATGTACATAAAAAGAGGCTAATTTATCTTGGCATTCTAAAAATTAAAAATAGAATACTTGTAACAAATTTCTGTGATGGCTATCTTTGGAAACAACACTAAAGATTGGAGTTTAATAAAAAGTGTGTTTGACTATTTTCCTAAAAGTTTTATATCAAAGAAACATCTTAAAGCATCTTGATGTCATAAAGAACCTATTAAAGTCCAAAGCTATATTTAGTAGTTCAGGCATATTTGTAGACTCAAAGTAGGATAGGATAGTTTCAAATCTAAAATAGATTCAATAGAACTTTCCATTTTGAATTTTTTTTTTTTTTGGGATGAAGTCTCGCTCTTGTCCCCCAGGCTGGAGTGCAATGGCGTGATCTCAGCTCACTGCAAACTCTGCCTCCCTGGTTCAAGAGATTCTCCCGCCTCAGTCTCCCGAGTAGCTGAGATTACAGGTGCCTGCCACCACACCCGGCTAAATTTTTCATTTTTAGTAGAGTTGGGGGTTTCACCATGTTAGCCAGGCTGGTCTCGAACTCCTGACCTCAGGTGATCTGCCCACCTCAGCCTCCCAAAGTGCTGGGATTACAGGCGTGAGCTACCGCGCCTGGCCCATTTTGAATTTTTAAGAGTAGATCTTGAGATGTTTGGCATCAGCTTAAGATGAAAACTGGAAAACTTATCACTCCTTTCTATAAAATAAAATAGTGGCAAAGAATGTAAGTTCAGAGCTTTTTTTAAGCTCCTCAGAGAGTTGAGGTTAAAAGTTAACTAACTAACCCCAAATCTAAAGAAATACAGATGTATCAAAGGAGAGACATAATGTGAGCACTTGTTCACCAGTGACAGATGATGCTGGACACCATAAAATTGGGTAACATTTTACCTAATTTTTTTTAACACATTGCTAAAGTGGCTAGCATAAAAATATAGAAGCCCTAGTAGTTGCAGACACAAGAAATATTCACACTCGCTCAGAGCTCTTATCTACATACATCACTAGATACTCACAAGAAAGAACAAGGACAGGACAAGAGTTCTGAGAAAATGTTCCTCATAATACAGGCTTGGGGAAGAGAGCATCAGTCACTACAACAAAGGCAAAAAGCTCTGCCCAAATCCATGTTCTCTATCTCTCTAAAAAAGCAAAAGCCTTCAACCACCTGGAAAGAGCAGAAAACCTTGTTGCCCTTTGGACACTGTGAAGACCAACTGAAGCTAAGGGAAGGAAAAAGGGAAAAAATATATATTTTTACCCTTGCAGTGGAGCATACATTTACCCTGAAACCAGACCACTGGAAGTCTACCACTATAGTGAGCAGGATAGGACAAATGAGAATACCCTATACCCTACACCCGGGGAAACAATGGATGCCTCAGACTGACACAAACTGAAAATAGAAGAGCAGAGAACATTCTCTTCCCACTCTCACCACCAGGCAAGCAAGCACTGAATGAATGACATGTAACAGCAGGCTATCTGAGAGCAAGGAGAGACAGTCTCGGAGGCATGTCCACAAAAGGAAGACCTAGAGCTGAAAGTGGAGTAGTTATTAAAAATAATCCTCTGGCAAACTAGCCCCCATTCTAAACATAAAATAACACAGAGAAATTGAACACTTCTGATGCACTGAATGTAACCATGGCAACAACAACAGCAAAAAAAACCATACCCAACAGGAGTAGCTATGTCAATATCAGAGACTTTAAAACAAGAGATATCACCAGGGATAAAGGAAAACATGTAATAGCAAAAGGTTAACTTTCCAAGAAGATATAACAATCTTAAATGTATATGCACCTATCAAGAGAGCTTCTAAATATAAGATACAAAATCTGATAGAACTGTAAAAAGAAATAGACAACTCTACAATTATAGTCAGACACTTTTATACTTTTCACTCAGTAAGTGATAGCGCAAGTGGTCAGAAAATCACCAAGGCTACAGAAAAGCTGAATACCACTATCAACCAACTTGGCCTAATTAACATTTGGCCGGTCCAGTGGCTCATGCCTGTAATCCCAGCACTTTGGGATGCCAAGGCAGGCAGATCACCTGAAGTCAGGAATTTGAGACCAGTCTGGCCAACATGGTGAAACCCTGTCTCTACTAAAAATTCAAAAATTAGCTGGGCATGGTGGCGCACACCTGCAATCCCAGCTACTCAGCTGTCTAACTCAGAAGAATCACTTAAACCCAGGAGGCAGAGGTGGTAGTGAGCCGAGATCATGCCACTGCATTCCAGCCTAGGCAACAGAGCAAGACTCAAAGAAAAAACAAAAAACAACAACAAAAAAAAAAAAACAAAAGAAAAACATTTATAGAGCACTCCACCTAACAATAGCAGGATAGACATTTATTTCAAGTGCACATGGAACATTCACTAAGAAAGAGAATATTCTGGGGATAAAGTATACTTTAACAAAATTAAAAGAATTAAAATCATACAGACATACAACTCACACTGCAGAATTTACCTAAAAAATCAATAACAGAAATATATATTTAAAATCACCAAATATTTGTGTTATGAGTTGAATTGTGTATTCTAAAAATTCATGTGTTGAAGTCTCAACCGCCAATATATCAAAATGTGACTATATTTGGAGATAGAGTCTTTATGGAGGGAATGAAGTTAAAATGAGGTCATTAGGGTGGGTCCAATTCAATCTGATTGATGTCCTTATGAGAAGAGAATATTAAGACAGACAGAGACACCAGGCATGCATATGCATACAAAAAAGATCATGCAAGAACACAGAAAGAAGCCAGTTATCTGCAAACAAACGGGAGAAGCCACAGAAGAAACCAAACCTGCTGACACCTTTATCTTGGACTTGTAACCTCCGGAACTATAAGAAATAAACTTCCATTTTTTAAGCCACCCAAACTGTTATGGAAGCCCTAGCAAATAAATAATATTTATAAATTAGGCAACATATTTCTTTTTTTTATTATTATACTTTAAGTTTTAGGGTACATGTGCACAATGTTCAGGTTTGTTACATATGTATACATGTAAGCAACGTATTTCTAAATAGTCCATCGGTCTAAAGGAATATATTAAGGGAAATTAGAAAATATTTATATTAAATAAAAATGAAAGCACAGTATATAAAAATTAGTAGGATGCAGCTAAGGGAAATATAAAGTTTATACAGAAAAGATGAAATATGTCACATGAATAACAGAAACTCCAGTATTAAGAAGCCAGAAAAAAGAAAAAAAGGATCAAATTAAACCCAAAGCAAGGAGAAGGAAGGAAATAAAGAAAAAAGTAGAAATTGGTATAATTAAGAACAGAAAAACAATTTAAAAATTAGTGAAACCAAAACCTGGTTCATTGTAAAGATCAGAAAACACGATACATTCTTAGCCAGCCTGACAAAGGAAAAACTGAATGAAAATATATTACAGATGTAAGAAATAAAGGAGCAGGCATCACTATAGATCCTATGGGCATTTAATAGATAATCAAGGAGTAGTACGAACAGTGCTAGGCCCATAAATTCAACATCTTAGATAAAAACGCATAAAATTCTTGAAAGATACAAACTGCATTGTAACTACATTTTTCATTATAACTATTTTAAAAGGTGAATTGAGTTAAAAACGTTTTAACATAAAAAATTTCAGGTAAGACGGCTTTACCTAAAGAGGAACTTCAAGTGGCTGATTACAGGCACCTGGTACTCACTTTCTCCACAGAGAAGAGCCAAAATAGCAAGTAAATAATCACATTTCAAATAGATCATCTAAGAGAGAAAATTGGAATCCAACAGAGAAGTGACAGAGAACACCTAAGGCAGGGAAGGAGAGGTAAGTGAGGCACCCTGCTTTGCCAGGATCAGCTGGGAGTCTGGAGACTCAATGAAGGAAAATGGTAAGTAGGAGAATCCCAGAAGCCCACATGACTAATGCAGATTTCTTCAACCCTAGCCACAGGAGAGCCCCTAGAACATCACAGGCCCAAGACTAACAAAGGAAGCTGCCTGGAGACTAAAAGACAGTATTGTTCCAGAAAGGGTCCCACACACCCCTAATCCTAAGCAGCCACAGCAGGCGCCATATTGAGATCCCAGTCCCCACCATACTGCATTCTGCCTGGGGGCCCCACAGCTCCTGCATCTTCATATCCATGCAGCCCCACTGACAATCCCCATGTCCAGTCACCACCAAAGGTAGCTGCTGCTGCCAGGGCTGAAGTACAAATCACTGGCAATTACTCCACTGCCTACAGTGAGGCAGTCATGCATTTTCACATGCCCCAGGGACAAAGTCCCCTGCCTACAGACACTGCTGCTGTGGGCTGCCACCACCAGGCCAAAATGTGCATGCTACCCAGCCACTTAAATATGACTGTTGCTGTTAAAAGCAGTCTCACCCTCCTTAGTAGCAGGGCTGCAATACAGCTGTTGCTGCCTCTACCAGAACATTCCCCTGGAGGCCTGGGAGATCATCCTGCTCCTGCCTGCCACAGCCAGCACCTGTATCCACCATCAGGGGGCCAGAGGAAAGGTCAACCCAGCCCAGCATTGCCCCCAGTCAGGGCCCAAGCATGGCATCTGGGGGCCTGGGAAATACCCAGTTGAGTCTGCCACAGTTTTACCTTGGCACTCTTCCTGGGGGACTGAATTTGGGCCCACCCAACTTGCCACTACCACCACATCTGGTACACACCCTCATGTGTCACTGGTGGGCCTGGATACTGGCCTACTCAACCTATTACAGCTACCACAAACACCAGCATGGACCACTTGAGAGCCAGAGGCTTGTCCTGCCATTGCTACTGCCATCACTCATACTATGCTTGCTTCCCATTGGCCTGAAAATGTGCCCACCCACCAGGTACGCCACTGCTAGTACTGGCACCTGAGCAAGCTGCCTGGAAGACCAAGAATCAGACCACCTAGAACCAATAACACTGGTGCCAGCACACACCTCCCTGGGGACAGGCATGCTTAGCCTACTACTGCCACCACTGGGACCCAAAGATACAGTCTATGTAGATCTAGTCCCTGTCTCCATCAAAACTTTACCACAGCCTCCACTACAACAACACCCTACACCACCAAGAAAACCAAAGACACCATTGACACTGTTTAGAGCTGAAGAAATAATGCAGAGATTAAATTACTTCATGTGCCCCGAATCAAAGCCAAAGTACTCTTTCATACCAATAGCATAGATACATATTCAGGAAAAAAGTTTTCCCCCACTATAACAAATTAAAAAAAAAAATGGAAGAAGCAACTGTTACACCAGATGCACACTATCAACATGACACAAGAAATATAAAAAAGCAAGACAATATGACACCTCTAAAGGAATACAATAATTCTCCAGCAACAGATTCTAATGAAAAAGAGATTTATAAGGTCCCAGGAAAGGAACTTAAAATAATGATATTAAAGAAGCTTGGTGAGGTACAAGAGAATACAGAAAAAAGAATATAAATGAATCAGAACAATTTGGGATATAAATGAGAAATTTAACAAAGAGATAGAACCCCCCCCCCCACAAAAAATTCTGTAACTAAAGAATTTATTAAATGAAATACAAAATACATTTAAAAGCTCTAACAATAGACTAGATCAAGCAGGAAAAATAAATTCAGTAACTGAAGACAGGTCTTTTGAAATAATCCAGCCAAACAAAAATAAAGAAAAATAATTTAAAAGAATAAACAAAGCCTATACAACATATGAAACATCATAAAATTACCAAATTTTCAAATTTTTTGGTGTCCCAGAGTGTGAAGACAAAATAAAAGAAGATTTAAAAATTCCTACTTAATAAAATAAAGCTGGAAACTTCCAAAGTCTAACAAAAGATTTAGACATCCACATACAGGAAGCTTAGAGATTTCTAAACAGATACAGTTCAAAAAGGTCTTCTACATGGCACATTATAGTCTAATGATCAAAAGTCAAAGACAAATAAAGCATTCTATAAATAGCAAAATAAAAGTAACTAATCACTTATGAGAGAACCCCCATGATACTAAGAGTGGACTTCTCAGCAAAAGCCTTATAGTTTAGTAGAAACATAGGATCATATATTCAAAGTGCTGAAAGAAACAAACTGCCATAAATAATAATATACCCAGTAATGTAATCTTTTATAAATGAACAAAAAATGAAGTTTTTACCAGACAAGCAAAAGTGGAAAAAAATTATCACCAGTAGGCCAGCCCTACTAAAAGTCCTTAAGGGAGTCCTACACCTGGAAGCAAATGATGATAGCTACAATTATGAAAATACATGAATGTGTAAAATCCACTAGTAAAGCAAACACACAGATAAGGGAGAGAAAGGAATCAAATGTTACCAATACAGGAAACCACTGAGCCACAATGATAAATAATAAGAGAGAGAAAAAGGAACAGAAAATATACAAAACAACCAGAAGTCAATTAAAATAATGATATTAATTATTTTAATGTCAGAAATCAATTCCTAATAAAATAATAGGAATAAGCCCTCACATATCAATGATAATCTGAAAAGTAACAGATTAGCCTTTCTACTTGAAAGATACAGAGTGGCTGAATGGATAAGAAAACTTGACCTAACTATATGATGCCTGCAAGAAACTCACCTCACCTATAAAGACACATACAGACTGAAAGTAAAGGGATGTAAAAAGATATTCCATACAAACAAAAACCAAAAGCGAGCCAGAGTAGCTATACTTTTCTTAGATAAAACAAACTTTAAGTCAAAAACTATAAAAAGAAGCAAAGAAGGCCTTTATTTAATGATAAATGGATCAATTCAGCAAGAGGATGTAACCATTCTAAACATATGTGCTTCCAACACTGGAGCACACCTAGATATATAAAGCTAACAATATTAAATGTTAAAGGGGAGATAGACTTCAATACGATAATAGTTGCAGATGTCAACACTTCAGTCTCAGCATTAGACAGATCATCTAGTCAGAAAATTAACAAAGAAATATTGGATTTAAATTGGACATTAGACCAAATGGACCTAAGAGATATTTACAGAATGTTTAATTTAACAGCTACATAATACACATTTTTCTAATTAGCACTTGAGAATTCTCCAGGATAGACCATAGGTTAGGACACAAAACAATTCTCAACAAATTGAAAAGAAATCAAAATCATATCAAGTATCTTCTCAGACCACAATGGAATAAAACTAAAAACTGATAACAAGAGAAACTTGGGAGACTGTACACAATCATGGATATTAAATAGCATAGTCCCAAATGATCACTGGGTCAAGACAGAAATTAAGCAGGAAATCAAAAAATTTCTGGAAACAACTGAAAATCTAAACAAAACATAAAATCTATGGGATTAAAAAAAAAACAAACCGATGTCTCTAAAAGAAAAGCAACAAATGCTTACATCAAAAAGGTAGAAATATTCCAAATAGCAATATAAAAATTCACCTCAAGAAACAAGAAAAGTGAGAACAGGTCAATCCAAAAATTAGTAGAAAGTAAGAAATAACAAAGATCAGAGAACTAAACGAAATAGAAAAAAATATACAAAATATCAATAAAATGAAAAGTAGCTTTTTTGAAAACATAAAGTCAATAAAATGCTAACTAGAATAACAAAGAAAAAAAGAGAGTAGACACAAATAATCATAATCAGAAATGAAAAAGGAGACATTACAAAGGTAACAGAGAAACACAAAAGGCTGGCCGGGTGCGGTGGCTCATGCTTGTAATCCCAGGACTTTGTGAGGTGGAATCGAGCAGATCAGGAGGTGAGGAAATAAAGACCATCCTGGCTAACATGGTGAAAACCCATCTCTACTAACAATACAAAAAATTAGTCAGGTGTGGTGGCACGCACCTGTAGTCGCAGCTACTTGGGAGGCTGAGGCAGGAGAATCCGCTTGAACCCAGGAGACAGAGGTTGCAGTGAGCCGAGATTGTGCCACTGCACTCAGCCTGGGCGACAGAGCGAGACTCCATCTCAAAAAACAAAACAAAACAAAAAAAGGCAGCCAGAGATTTCTATAAACGACTATACAGTAACGAACTGGAAAACCCACTGGAAATAAATTCCTAGACACATACCACCTACCAAGATTGAATCAGGAAGAAATAGGAAACCTAAACAGACCAATAACAAGTAATTATATTGAATCAGTAATAAAAAATTATCCACAAAGAAAAGTTCAGGACTGGATGGCTTCTGTGTTAAATTCTATCTTTCAAATAACTAAGAAAAAATTCTCCTCAAAAATACTCCAAAAAACTAAACAGGGCAACATTCTCACTAGCTCATTCTATGAGTCCAACATACTTTGACACCAACACTAGCTAAAAACACAAGAAAGAAAGAAAACAGGCCAAAACACCTGATGAACTTTGATGCAATAATTCTCAACAATATACTAGCAAGCTGAATTCCACAGCATATCAAAAAGTTGATACACCATGATCAAGTTGGATTCCTCCTAGGAATGCAAGGGTGGTTCAACATATACAGATCAATAAATGTGACAAGTCATATCAATGGTATGAAGGACAAAAACCATATGATCATTTCAATAGATGTAGAAAAAGCACTTACAAAATTCAAAATTTCTTTAAGATAAAAATTCTCAACAAACTAGGCATTGAAGGAACATATCTCAGTGTAATAAAGGCCATATATGACAAACCCACAGTTAACATAATGCTGAATGGGGAAAAGCTGAAAGCCTTCCCTCTAATAATTGAAATAGGACAAGGATTTCTACTTTCATCAATCCTATTCAACGTAAGAATCCTCTGGAGGTCCTACCTAGAGCAATCAGCCAAGAGAAGGAAATAAAAGCCATCTAAATTCAAAAAGAGGAAGTCAAGTTATCTCTCTTTGCAGATGATATTCTCTTATATCTAGGAGAACATAAAGACTCCACCAAAAAGCTCTTAGATCTGATAAATAAATTCAGTAAATTGCAGGATAAAAGTAAACATGAAAATTAGTAGTGTTTATTTATAAACACCCATAATGAATTAGGTGAGAAAGAAATAAGAAGGCTAGCTCATTTATAATAGATTAAAAAATATTTTATTGCTAGGAATAAATTTAGCCAGCCAGGTTAAAGAACTCTGCAAAAAAAACTATAAAACATTGATAAAAGAAATTAAAGAGGAGACAAACAAATAAAAAGACATCCCATACTCACAGACTGAAAGAATTAATATCACTAAATTGACTGTACTGCTCAAAGTGATCTACAGAGTCAATGCAAATATTATCAAAATACCAACATATATTTTCACAGAAATAGAACAAACAATCCTAAAATTTGTATGGAATCAAAAAAGACCCCAAATAGCCAAAGCAATCCAGAGCAAAAAGAACAAAGCTGGAGGCATTAGACTGCCTGTCTTCAAAATATAGTACAAGGCTATAGTAAACAAAACATCAGGATATTGGTATAAAAACAATCATATAGACCAATGGAACAGAATAGACAATCCAGAAATAAATCCACATATTTACTGCCAACTGATTTTTGACAAAGGTGTCAAGAACATGTGTTGGGGAAATAATACCTTCTTCAATAAATAATGCTGGGAAAACTGGATATCCATATGCAGAAGAATGAAACCGGACCCCTATTTCTTACCATATGCAACAATCAACTGAAGATGGATCAAAGACTTAAATGTAAGACCTGAAACTATAAAAGAGGAAAACAATATAAACACTCCAAGACAATGGTCTAGGCAAAGATTTTATGGTTAAGACCTCAAAAGTACAGGGAGCAGAAACAGAAATAGGCAAATGGGATTATATTAAGCTAGAAAACTGCACAGCAAAAATGACAATCAACAAGGTGAAGAGACAACCTCTTTAATGCAAGGAAATGATTGCAAACTATTCGTCTGACAAGGAACTAATATCCAGAATATACAAGTAACTCAGACATCTCAATAGTAATAATAATAATAATCCCATTAAAAAGTGGGGAAAGAACATAAATATACATTCCTCAAAAGAAGACATATAAGAGGCCAACAGGTATATAAAAAATGTTCAGTATAACTAATCATCAGAGAAATCCAAATCAAAACCACAATGAAATATCATCTGACTCCAGTTAAAAGAGCTATTATTAAAAAGGCAAAATATCAGATGGCTGGTGAGGATACAGAGAAAAGGGGGCTCTCATACACTATTGGTGGGCATGTAAATTAGTTCTGCCACTATGGAAAACATATGAATAATTCTCAAAAAATAAAAATAGAATTACCATATAGTCTAGCAATCCTACTACTGGGTATTTATCCAAAGGAAAAGGAATTAGTATATCAAAGAAATGCCTACATATCTCTCTTCATTGCAGGACTATTCACAATAGCCAAGAGATGGAATCAACCCATGTTCATCAATAGATAAATGGATAAAGAAAATGTGGTATATATACACATAGTGGAATACTATTCAACCATAAAAGGAATGACATTATGTCATTTGCAGCGACATGGATGGAGCTGGTGGTCATTGTGTTAAGTGAAATAAGGCACAGAAAGACAAATACTATATGGTCTCACTCATGTGTGGGAGCTTAATTAGTTGTTCTCATGGAGGTAGAAAGTAGACTGATACATACCAGAGGCTAAGAAAGGTATATGGATTAGTGAGGAGAGTGTTTGTAAAGAGTGGGTGGTAATGGATTAATGAGTACAAACATACGTTAGATAGAAAATAAATTCTAATGTTTGATAGCAGAGTGAGTATAGTCAACAACAATGAATTGTGTATTTCAAAATAGCTATGAGAGAGCACTTGAAATGTTCCACAAATATAGAAATTATATAAATAGTCAAGGTGATGGACAACCCAAATACCCTGACTTCATTGTTACACAGTCTATAAATAATGTCACATGAACCCGATAAGTATGTACAAATATTCTGCATCAGTAAAAAAGCAAAAAAATACAAAGAGATGGCTTCCCCTTGCAAATGAGATAAGGCAAGAAATAAAAAGATATTCATAGTAAAAAAGATGAAATATAACTATCTGTATCTTCAAGCATAATTTGGAATATAGAAATTCCTTCAAATCCATTAAAAAGCTACTAACACTAATACAGAGTGTTTAGTAAGGTTGCAGGACACAAGGGTAATATTTAGAAGATACTATGTTCCCCTCAACACAGTTAATTAAATATTTTTATAATTAATATATACTATTTTCCCCTCAACACAGTTAATGAAGTATTTTTAAAATTAATACTATATAAAAAAGAACTTTTGTTGTTCTTCAAAACATTTTATGCCTCTCCTAAGCCTCTTCTATAACTGTCACCATAGCTTAATGTATCTCAGATTTAATCTTTTGGCAAGACCATGGTTCTATCTTCAAAACTTTCTGTCATTTTTCCTCCATTTCCACTGTTACCATTCTACTCAAAGCCATCATTAACTCTTTTCTTATATTACTTATGATTCCTTCTAATTTATCTCTCTCCTATTTCCCTTCTTACTCCCAAAAATATCCTTTTCCACTTAGTAGCCAAAATGGTTATTTTTAAGTCTTAAACAAGATCATATTACTCCTCTGCTTAAAATTTTTCAAAAGCTTCAAAATGCTCTAAAAATAAAATCTAAGCTTATCTCGGCCTGTGTCACAGAGCAGCACTTATCAAAATGTGCTCTGCAGACCCATGGGGATCTTCGAGACACTTTCAGGGGATCTGCAATGTCAAAACTGTTTTATTAATAATACGAAGATGTTATTTGCCTTTTTTACTTGTTCTTATTTTCACTGACAGAGCAAAAGTAATGGTGTGTAAAACTCAGCGCCTGACAGTTTCCTAATTTGTAATGACTTTTCTGATAAGACAGAGGAGATACCATTAACATTGTTTTTAAAATATCATATAAAGAAATGTGTCAACACATGAGGGATCTGCAAAACTCAGTCAACCATTATTTTCCAAATAACCAGTGCATAATAGTATAGCCTAATTCATGGGTAAAGACACATTTAAAGTTTAAGATAAACCACTGGATTTTAATGAGACAGAATAAGAAAAGTTTATTAGGACAGTTTCAGATTCCACACTGCAACTAACCTTTAAGAAACTACAACTTGGTTTTGGTGTCATGCCAAAAACGAATATCCACAGTTATCTAAAAGACTATTAAATATTACTCTCTTATCCAACTATTTATTTGTGATTTCTTTCACATATGGCAACCACACAATATATGACAATAGATCGAATATAGAAATAGATGTGAAAATTCTATTTAAAAAGATATTAAAAAGATTTGAAAATATATAAACAATGCCATTCTTCTCTGAAATGTTGTTTTGGCTTGGAAAACATACATTTTTAAAACAAAAATGTTATTTATGTTAATATATTATGAGCTTATTATTGTTGCTCCCCAAATAAATTAAGAGATATTTTTTAAATTCAGTTTTAATATATGATATAATAAGTATTTATAGATATGACTGACATACACAAAATAGTTGGAGCATTTATTTTTTAAAAGTATAAATGAGTTCTGAATTCAAGTAGTCTGACTACTCTCATAGTGAAATTCATCAGCTTGACTGACCACTGTGTATCATCTTTCATGATCTTGCTTCTATAGGCAAAATATATGAGGAATATATATTTAGTTCATAAAATGCTTGAGTTTTCTTAGTGTACTGTTTCTGATTTTAATCCCTAAATTTAGGAAAGAAAAAATATTTAAATATAAGAAGTGTTTTTTTTAATAAAAGCCATGACACTTGCTGCTATGTAGAGATATAACATATTTTTCTATAAATTTTATTAAAAAGTGATTAAAGTAATTTGCCTTATCCTAGAGGGATAAGATAATAAGGATTCAAACACACACACACACTCACATGTTCATTCAAATCAATTCAGCCTATCTCTTGTACCATTTTTTTTTATAATTTAGTTGAATCTGATTGTAATAAAAATGAGAGAAACACCTACAATTTTACATAGTTGGAAGATAGATCATTATAGTTTTCATTCCTAGTCATAAGGGATCTGATTCCATTCCAATACACTGATTAAAATTGAAGGGTCCATCCCAGCACGATTGTAGATTCCATTAAACTCTTCCCCTATATCCAACTACTCACAAGACTGCATGATCTGCCTCCTAAATGTCTTTCCAACCTTTTCTCTCTCTGCCCTATCCATTATTTATTAGAATTCAGCTTTCTTTCTATCTCTTTCTTATAGAACCAAACTCTTCCTGTAAATTACACTGGTTCAACTGTTTCCTACTTCAGAAATGTTTACCTTCCTATTTATTCTGCATAGAATAGCTTCACTCAGCACTAAAGATTGCTTTCTCCTTCTCATTCTTTATTTCTAAATTAAAATATTATTTCCATAAAGTCATCATCCTTGACAAGTGTGCCTATAAACATGTCAACCTTCCCACCTGAACCCCTCAGTCTCCATCTTGTTACTCGACTTTTTTATTTTATACTACTTCATACCACTTTGAAAACTCCTGGTTTGTTTGTTCACTTGGCTATTGTCTTGTTCCTATCCTCCAATGTATATTCTCATGAAGGAGAAACTCTGTGGGTCCTTACTGCTACACATGTCTCATTAAATAGTCATGGAATAGATTAATCAGTAAATTAATGAGTCAGGATTGAATTTGCAAATAGTATATTTAAGTTATAAGAGCAAATCTTCTATTAATTAAGTTTACCTTGTTGAAGTCACTTAAGCCTCCAGACTTTCCACTACAAACATGAGTAAAATTGCCATGATCATTAAATTAGATCACTGGACATTGTAAAGCAGTTATTGAGGCAAACTGTTATTGAAATTAGGTGAAATATAACTGTGTGTGTGTGTGTGTGTGTGTGTGTGTATAAAATAGTATGTGTTTCTATTCTATTATCTGGAATTAATAGTATTGTATTATCGGGAATTCATAAAATGTGAGGAATTTGTAGAAGACTAATAATAAAAATTCATCATAAATTCAGAAGTCATGACTTTTCCACAAGAGCAAAAATAGCAAATCGCTATAAAATAATTCATTAATATTAAACAATTTATTTTAAAAAGTAACTTTCCAGTGGCCATTGGTATTCTTTTCATTATTTTGCCTTATAAAAGGAACCATTTTCATTCTAATCTTCTTTTTGACACTAAAATAAACATTTTTTTACCTTCTCCAGAGCTCACAATCAATGGGACAATAATTACTGTATATTCATAGAAAAGTAGTCGAGCAATATTAAAATGTCAACTATCCACTATAATAGTGAAAGAGAAAATGAAAATTTCTGATTAGGGTAGCAACTGAAAGAAAAAGACCTCAAAAAAGCATTTGTTATTTACTTGGCTTTCTGTAATGCAAAAAAAAACCATGCAAAATAAATAATGTTGGCTTAATTTAACTGTTACCAGAAGAGTCCTAGGACTGTATTTCTTTCATAGTCAGGAAAACAATGTAAAATTCTTATTTCAGTGCTCAAATGAGAAAGGAGAAAGGCTCATAGGATTTCAAAAATTCAAAAGAAGTTTAACAGTCATTATTTGTGATGGATTCCTACCTGGGATTTAATGGTCTCCAAGATATCTCAACTCATCTTTGAAATACCTTAGTATAACAAATGACCAAAGAAAGGAGACTAACCCATGGTAAGCCAAGTAAAATATTGATTCTTTCCATTTAGCTAGACTGTAGTAACTAATAGTTACATTTCAGATCAAAAGGTCTAATTTAATATTATGCAGTACTTTGTTATGTTTAAAAGAAAAGTAAGTCAATAATGTATTTTTTAAAATTCCTCTTGGAGGTACCATTTCTGAGAATACTGATAGGCCAGGTCAATATATGAAGTGGATTGAGCAAGCTCCTATTCCATCTCTGAGTTCCAAAAATTCATTTAATATTGCATCCTCAAATAGAGGACATACCAAGTATTAAACTGGAAAGAACAGATGTACGCTTGATCTCAGCCAAAGGGCTGAGAAACAATCATAAATCATCTCCTAATAAACGTATTATCTTTTCATATATAGTAAATAAAGGATTTTTCAAAATATTGAGTTCATATTTTAGGCATCATAATAAATACTTCTAGGAAATCAATTGAAAACAAATGATCTAATCCAATTCTCTCTTTCTGCAAATAAAGTATGAAAAGCCTAACGTGCAAATAGCTAACCCAATGTTATTCATTTTCTTATGACCAAGTATGTAACTACAAATAGTGTAATGCTAATCTGGTGCATATTCGTGTTCATTAAAGAGAAGCATTTCCCATATTGCTATACTTGACTTGAGAAAGATATAGTTCAAATCCTACTTCTTCCAAACCACAAATAGTCATCCACCTTTAAGTGGATGACTTTTTTGCATTATATGGAAGAAGACTATATTCTTCAGAATAAAATCAAAGTATGTAAGTTGACAAAAATAAGGACAAATCAATGATATTCATGAGGTTAATATTTGATATTCAGATGTATGTTTCAAAATGTTCAAATATTCTCTATAGAAAGAGCTACAGTATTTAATTATTAAGTCCAAATTTTATTCATACTTTTATTTTAAAATCATCATTGTCTTTACATCAGTGAATCACTCTGAAATATTTTAATCTGGCACTTCAAATTACTGTAAATATCTTCCCTTTATTAGAAACATTGGTAGCTTTTTGAAGGTCATAATAAATATTTTCAAAAATAGTTTATAAATTGGAAAGAGTGTAACTTGAAAGAGATATATATATTTGAATTTGAATATAAATTATACCACTAATTAATAATAAACTCTTGTTCAAATTACTTGGCTTTATTTTTCTCATTTGTTAAGATGGGTACACTAGCACCTGGTTACTAGGAGTACTGAGAAGATTTCTTATAACTTTTTAATATTTTCTTCACCAACGGTAAGCACTGTGTGCATATAAAACCTTTCTCAGCTATTTGGCCTTGAAAAATATTTGTTGAGCAAATAAAATAAATAAATACATGAAAATAAATATACGAGAAAATAATAGCACATGTAAATTGACTGACTGAGTACCTAAAGTATAATGGGACCTCAATTAGTGGTAAACATAATTGTCATTGCAATTTATAATATAAAAATTAGATATTATTAACAACTAGGACCAGTCTTCAATATGGTTTATCTAGATTCTCAATAGAAAAATTGAACAGCTCCATAGAAAACATTTAATAGAGATTTTCCCCATCAAATACCTGATTAGACTACCAGCAGTTTTAAATGTAAGAAAACATTTTCCATGTTTCTATCATTTCTAAGGCATATATTTACTGGTGTGCTAGTTCAGGATCTTTAAAATGAAAAAGCACTGATTTGTAGTTTTTGTCTTATTCTGTGATATAAATAGCCTTTATTACATCCTAGTTTCTCAGCTTCTCAATACCACATGTGGAACAAATTTTATATTTTTTTTTAATAAATGAAAAACATAAGGAAGATGTGCTTAGGTCTATTTAGCAGCATGAAATTAGTTTCAAAACAAATTCTAAATTCTTTTTATTTGCTAAGTGAATACAGGCAACATGCTCACCCTCTCTGCTTTCTTAGTATCCTAAGATATAAAATCAGGTAGCTATATTGACCTACACACACATACACAAATGCTAATTTGTGACAATGGAACAAACACATTATTTCAACTGGTTGGAGGTAATATTATACATTACTAATCCATAATATTATGATTTTTTAGAATAATACTTGTCGAGCCCCTGGTATGCACTAGTTACTAAGGTTCAAAGATGAAGATCATCAAATCTTATCACATAAGCCATTACTTTCTGATTTCTATTGATGTTCCAAGCTCTTTTTCTCTGCTTTTACATGGTATAATTTTTAGCCCTTTTATAATTCTGCATTCTCTACTTTAAACATGG
This sequence comes from Homo sapiens, assembly GCF_000001405.40. NCBI lineage: Eukaryota > Metazoa > Chordata > Mammalia > Primates > Hominidae > Homo > Homo sapiens. The sequence continues at coordinate 76,267,645 of NC_000008.11, forward strand.
TCTAGTTATTTTCTGTAGGTCTTAATATATACTGTCTCAAAATAAATGTAATGCTCTAGATAAAATTTCACTAGAGTAGCCTAAACAGGACCAGATAACTGCCTGCTTTGTTCTTGGTGAATGATGTTCAAAATTCTAGTTCTGAAGTGATGTCCGCAAGATAGAAGACTAGCAAGCTACAGGACCTCCTTCTGCCACAGGGACGCAGAGTTAGCAATAATATACAGACCAAAATATCTTTGTGAGAACTCTGGAGAACAGTTGAGAATCACCCAGGTCATAGTAAAATAAAGAAGCAATTCAAGTGAAAGGGCAATATATATATATATATATATACACATATATATATATATATATATATATATATACATATATATATATATATATAGTAGCCTTTGGCGCATGTATTTATGCCCTCCCTTTATGAAGATAGAGTGGAGCAATTGCAAGAAAACCCTCATATTTAGGCTTCTCTCTTGGAATGGAAACAAAAGAGTGGCCCAGTTCCAACATTCCAGACCATCTGGGAACTGCCAAAACAACTGATTTCTATCTTATCTAACTTGGAGCGTTCATGGGTCCAGTATCAGATTTTGAAAGCCACTAAAAACATAGGTAAGAACAAAGAACATTAGACCTATGGCTCCAAAGGCATAGGCTAGGGGAAGCAAGAGAATAAAAAGGGTTTGAGAAGTCCTAGAAACTCTTGCTCTGCTGATTGGTAAAACTCTTCCTCTTTAGGAAATATAATGGTTAACACTGAGTGTTAATTTGATTGGATTGAAAGATACAAAGTATTGATCCTGGATGTGTCAGTGAGGATGTTGCCAAAGGAGATTAACATTTGAGTTAGTGGGCTGCGAAAGGCAGACCCATCCTTAATCTGGGTGGGCACAATCTAATTAGCTGCTAGAGTGACTAGAATATAAGCATGCAAAAAACTGTGAAAACAGAGATTGGCCTAGCCTCCCAGCCTACATCTTTCTCTCGTGCTGGATGCCTCTTGCCCTCGAACATTGGACTCCAAATTCTTCAGTTTTGGAACTCGGACTGGCTCTATCTGTTCCTCAGCCTGTAGGTGGCCTATTGTAGGACCTTGTGATCATGTGAGTTAATACTTAATAAATTCCTACATGTATGTGTGTGTGTGTGTGTGTGTGTGTGTGTGTGTGTATATATAATATATATATATATATTTTTTTGTATATATATATATATATATATATATATATATATATATATTCCATTAGTTCTGTCTCTCTAGAGAACCCTGAGTAATACAGGCAGCTGATATACAAACAATGGAAGATGTTTGTTTTTCCGAATTCCAAAATCCTAGCAAAAGACTGCAAGGCATAAAAGACATAGAAAAATGTGACCCAACCAGAGGAAAAAAATAAAATGCCATAAATGACCCATGTAGAAAGATAGATCTATGAGCTTCTTGACAAATAATTTAAAATAATTGTTCAAAAAGATGTTCAATGAGCTAAAAGAGAACATAGGCAACTGTATAAAATCAGAAAAATGACACATGAACAAAATGAGAATATCAACAAAGAGACAGAAATTGTAACATAGAACCAAACAGAAACTCTGGAGCTGAAAAAAATACAGTAAGTGAACTAAAAAATTCATAGAGAGGGTTAACAGCAGGCTTCTTCAGGCAGAAGAAAAAATTAGCAAAACTGGAAACCGTTCATTTGAAATCATTATGTCAGGGGAATAAAAGAAAAAAAAATGAAGAAAAGAGAAGAGACTTAAGAGACATTATCACATGGAGTAACATATGCATTGTGAGAATCCCAGAAGGAGAAGAGAAAGAGGAAAGAAGAGGTTATATGAAGAAATAATGACCCCAAACTTCCCAAATCTCAGAAAAGAAATGGACATACAGTTCAAGAAGCTCAGAAAATATTAACTAGGATAAATTCAAAGAGAATCACACTGAGACACACTATAGAATAAAACTGTCTGAAGTCAAGTACAGAGAATCTTGAAAGCAACAGGAGGAAAGTAGTCCATCACATAGGAAGCATTCATTATATTATCAGTGTTTTCTTGCAGCAGAAATTTTGAATGCTAGAATGAAATAGAATGACATATTCAAAGTGCTAAAAGAAAAAATATACTATCAACCAAGAATATTGTGTCTGGCAAAACCATTCTTTAAAAATGGAGAAATTAAGACTCCCAAGTAAACAAAAGCAAAGGCAGTTTGTTATCCCTAGACCTGTTCTGCAGGAATACTAAAGGGATTTTTTTCAAAATAAAATGAAAGTACAGTAGACAGCAACACAAAGCCCTACAAAAATATAAGACTCTTTGATAAAGGTAAATACATAGACACTTATCATGACATGTATTATTACAATTTTGAAACATAGAAATCAAAATAATCAAAAATATTTTTAAAATTATAAATCTATGTTAATGGGCATATAATACATAAAGATGCAATTTGTAAAATTCATAACAAAGTGGGGGATGGGCTATAAGGGAGTAGAGTTTTTGTATGCAATTGAAGCTAAGTTGTTATCAGTTTAAAATAGGATAAAATAACTTTAAGATATTTTATATAATTGCCATGGTAGCCACAAATAATATATTTATAAAATATACTCAAAAGGAAATGAGAAAGGAATAAAAGCATGTCACCACAAAATATCATTGAAAAGTAAAGAACGGCAGCAGGAGAGGAAAGAAGAGACAGAAAAACTATAAGACATACATAAAACAATTAACAAACAGGCAATAGTAAGTCCTTCCCCATTTATAATGACTTTAAATGTAACTAGATTAAATTTCTTGATCAAAAGACTGAGATTTGCCAAAAGGATTAAAAAACAGGATCCAACTATATATTGTCTGCAAGGCATTCTAAGGACAATGGAGGATGAAAATAAAAGTATAAAAAAAGATATCCCATGCAGATGACAATTAAAAGAGAGTGGGGGATGCTATATTAATATTAAAAAATAGACTTTAAGTAAAAACTGTCACAAGAGACAATTAAGCATATTATATAATGTTAAAGGGGTCAATTCACTAAAAAGATATAGCACTTGTAAACATTTATGCAGAAAACCTTAGAACTCCTAAATACATAAAGCATACTTTGATAGAATTCAATAGAGAAATAGACAGCAGCACAATAATGGTAGGAGACTTCAAAATCTTACATTAAATAATCAAATAAAAAACTAGACAAAAGATCAATAATGAAATAGAGGACTTGAACAATACTATAGGCAATTGAACCTAACAGACATATAAAGAACACTCCCCAACAACAGAATATACTTTCTTCTCAAATGCACATGAAGCATTCTATAGGATAAACCACATGGTAGGACACAAAACAACTCTTACCAATTCAAGAAGATTGAAATTAAGCAAAGTATCTTATCTGATCACAGTGATATGAAACTAAACATCAAAGCACAAGAAAACAGGAACACAAGGAAAACAGCAAGAAGAAAACAGAAAAATTCACAAGTATGTAAAAATTAATCAACACCCTCTTAAACACCAATGAGTCAAAGAAATTACAGCAGAAATTAGAAAATACCTTGAGAAAATTGGAAATTAAAATCAAAGCACAACATACTAAAACTTATGGGATATAGGAAGCTTATAGCTGTAATTGTTGTGGGAAACTGAGGACTGGAGAGACCGATATGGAGAACAGGAGGATTGTTTATTTTAGGTACGCACCAGCTCAGTGGATTCACATCCAAAAACCTGAGCATTGAGCAAAGACTAAGCAGGGTTTTTATAAGAAAACTTACAGAAGCAAAAAAGCAGTTAATCATACAGTGACAGGTCACATAATCTATAGCATAACTGTTGACTTAGCATAACTTGTGGCCTTGCGTATCTAGTGACCTTGTAGCTGCATCAAAAGAAAAACAAGAGCTGCCTAAATACAGACATTTGTAAAACATAGTTATGTTTAAGAAGCCAGGGAAAGGAGTAACAGTAAAAGAATTTGTCTCTCTCTTCTTTTTTCCCTTCAACCTTGCTCTGGAAGGGGGCAGTGTCTGGAGCTCATTCCTTTGGCCTTGGCTTCCCGGACAGTGGCAGACAGCGTTATCTTGTAACTGTCCTTGAAGTGAGCTTGCTAGGCAGAGGAAAACTTGTTCTTTTCTTTTGAACCCTTGACTTGCCTGTTAGTTTTCTTGAAGTGAATGAATGCTTATTTATTTTTAAATTTCTGCCTCATAATTACATACATGAAAAATAAGAAAAACCTCAAATCAAAGAACTAGATTTAGGAATCAAGAAACTAGGAAAAGAACAACAAACTAAACCTAAAATCTAGCAGAAGGAAAAAAAACAGATTACAGCAAAGATAAACCGAATAGACAATAAAAATAATTAAAAACTAATAATTTTTTTAAAGATGGACAAAACTGAAAAATTCTTAGATTAAGAAAAAAGAGGGAAGACTCAAATACTCAAAATCAGAAATAAAAGAATGTGTATTACTACAGATATTGCAGAAATTAAAAAGAATTATAACAGAATGCAGTGAAAAATTATATGCCAACAAACTGGATAACCTAGAAGAAATGGACAAATTCCTAGAAACACACACCTATCAAAACTAAATTATGAAGAAATAGGAAGTTTGAATAGACCAGTAATACATAAGGAGATTGGAACAGTAATCAGAAACCTCCAAATAAAAAAAAAATCAGAATGAGATATTTTTAACTGAAGAATTCTACTGAACTATTAAAGAATTAACACCAATCCTCTGAAAACTCTTCCAATAAATTGAAGAATAAAGAATACTTGCAAGCTCATTCTATGAGATCAGCATTACCTTAATACCAAAGTCATACAAAGACAATAAAAAAAAAGACAACTAAAGACCAATTGGATAAATGTTGATTCAAAAATTATCAACAAGACACTAGCAAATCAAATTCAACAGCACGTTAAAAAGATTATAAACTATCCAGGCACGGTGGGTCATGCCTGTAATCCCAGCACTTTGGGAGGCCAAGGCAGGTGGATCATGAGGTCAGGAGATTGAGACCATCCTGGCCAACGTGGTGAAACCCTGTCTCTACTAAAACACAAAAAATTAGCCTGGTGTTGTGATGTGTGCCTGTAGTCTCAGCTACTCAGGAGGCTGAGGCAGGGGAATCACTCGAACCCAGGAGGCAGAGGTTGCGGTGAGCCAAGATCATGACACTGAACTACAGCTTGGCAACAGAGCAAGACTCTGTCTCAAAAAAAAAAAAAAAGATTCTACACCACAACCAAAGGGGATTTATACCTTGAATTCAAGGATGTTGTCCAATATACAAAAAAATAGATCAAGGTAATATACTACATTAATAAAATGAAGGTGAAAACCTACATGATCATTTCAATTAATGCAGAAAGAGCATTTAACAGAATTTAAAACCCTTTCATTATAAAAACCCTGATTACACTAGAAATAGAAGAAAATTACTTTAACAAAATGAAGGGCATTTATAAAAAGCACACAGCTACCATCATACTCAATGGTGAAAGACTGAGAGGTTTTTCTCTAAGATGAGAAATGAGGCAAAGATGCCTACTCTCAGCACTTCTATTCAATAGTATTGGAAGTCGTAGCCAGAGCAGTTAGAAAGGAAAAAGATATAGTCATTCAAATTGCAAAGGAAGAAGTAAAATTATCTCTGTTTACCGATGGTATGATCTTATATATAGAAAATTGTAAAGGTTACACACATACACTCATACATGCAAAGTTGCTAGAACTAATACATGAATTTAGCAATATTGCAGAAAACAAATCAGCAGTCAAAAATTGGTTGTATTTCCATATCAAACAATAAATACAGAAATAAAATTTTAAAAATAATTCTATTCATAACAGCATTAAAAATAATAAAACACTTAGGAATTAAGTGAAAGATTTATACAATGAAAACTACAAAACTTGCTATAAAAACTTTAAGAAGACACAAACAAATGGAAACTCCCATTTTCATGGAGTGGAAGACTTAATTTTGTTTAGACGGCAATAGTACCCAAAGTAATCTACAGATTCAATACAATTTCTATTATTTTCTCAACGGCATTTTCCTTTCAGGAATAGAAAAAATATTATCCTAAAATTTATATCTAATCTCAAGAGACACTGAATAGCCTAAAACATTTTTGAAAAATAGTAAAGAAGGCTCACATTTCCTGAGTTCAGACATATTACAAAGATACTATAATAGTTCATTCTATATGTCAATTTGACTGGGTCATTGTGTGCTCAGGTTATTTGGTCAAACATTATTCATCTTATGTCTGTGAGGGTGTTTCTGGATAAGATTAACATTTGAATCAGCACACTAATGAAAGCAGATTGCCCTCCCTAATGTGGATGGGCCTCTTCCAATCAATTGCAGACTTGAATAGAACAAAAATGCTAAGAGGAAATTCTTGCTTGACTTTGGAGCTGAGACATTGGTCTTTTGTGATCTTGGAATTCAGACTGAAATATTGGCTCTTCTCGAGTCTCCAACCTGCCACTTTTAAGAATGGAGCTTATACCATTGGTCTTCCTGATTCTCAGACTTTTAGCCACAGGCTGGAACTATGCAAGACTTCCCAGCCTTCATAATCACTTTAGCCAATTTCTTATAATAATTATATACACTTATATTGCTTATTGGTTCTGTTTCTCTGGAGAACTCTGGCTAATACGGATTTAGTAAACAAAATAGTGTTGTATTTATGTTAAGACAGACATATAAACTGACGGAATAGAATAAAGAGCCCCAAAATAAACCCAAGCATGTATAATCAAATGATCATCAACAAGAGTGCCACAACCACTACATGGGAAAAAAACTGTCTCTTCAAAAATTGTGTTGTGAAAACTGAATACCCATATGCAAAAATATAAAGTTGGAACCTTATATCATACGTATATGGAAATTAATTCAAACTTTATTAGAGATCTGAAACTATAAAACTTCTAGAAGAAAACATAGGGGAAAAACTTGGTGACACTCAGCATGGCAATGATTTCTTAAATATGACACCCAAAAAGCATAGGGAATGAAAGCCAAATTAGATGAGATTATATCAAACTTTAAAACAGTCAAATGATACAGTTAATGAAAGGAAAATGCAACCTATGGATGATAGAGATATCTGCAAATCATATATCTGATAAAGAACTCCTACAAGTTAACAAAATTAAAATAAACCAATTTAAAAATGAGCAAATGGCTTGAACAGACAATTCTCCAAAGATTATATACAAATTGTCATCAAGCATTTGAAATAATGGTCAACATCACTAATCATCAGAGAAATGCAAAGCAAAACCACAGTAAAATATTGACACCCTTTAGAATACCTACTATCAAAAACACAGAAAATAACAAGAGTTGACAAGGATATGAAGAACTTAGAATCCTTGTGCCCTGCTTGTGGGATTGTAAAATGGCACAACTGTCGAAGGCGTTGGAACCCGAGTGACTTTATCTTGAATAGAGGCTGGGTAAAATAAGGCTTAGACATACTGAGCTGTGTTCCCAGGAGGTCAGGCATTCTTAGTCAGAGGATGAGATAGATAGGAGACCTTGCTGATCATAGGACATTAAAGATCATAAAACAGGTTGCAGCAAAGAAACTGGCCAAAACCCATCAAAACCAACATGGTGACAAAAGTGACCTCTGGTTGTCCTCACTGCTCATTACATGCTAATTATAATGCATTAGCATGTTAATAATAGACACTCCCACCAGCACTAAGACAGCTTACAAATGTCAAGGCAATATCAGGAAGTTACCCTATATGGTCTAAACAGGGGACAAACTCTCAACTCCAGGAATTGCCCACCCGTTTCCCAGAAAACTCATGAATAATCCACCCCTTGTTCAACATATAATCAAGAAATAACTGTAAGTATACTCAGGAGAGCAGCCAATGCCACTGCTCCCACTATGGAGTAGCCAGTCATTCTTTCTTTGCTTTATTTCTCTAATAAACTTGCTTTCACTTTACTCTATGGACTTGCCCCAAATTATTTCATGTGTGAGGTCTGAGAACCCTTTCTTGGGTTCTGGATCGGGATCCCTGTCTGGTAACACAACTGTTATGACAAACAGTATGGAGCTTCTTCAAAAAATTAAAAAGGAAAGTACCATATTATCCAACAATTTCACTTCTGGGCTATAACCAGGAGAACTGATAGCAGGATCTCAAAGAGATATTTGCACTCCCATGCTCATAGTAACACTATTCACAATAGCAAAGAGGTAGAAGTGACCCAAATGCCCATCAATAGAGGAATGTACAAACAAAATGTCATATACACATACAATGGAATATTACTAAATTTTAAAACATAGGAAATCCTGTCATATGCTACAACATGGACGAACCTTGGGGACATTTTGATAAATGAAATAGGCCAGTTGCAAGAAGACAAATACTGTATGATACTACATGTGAGATATATTTAATATAGCCTAGTTCATAGAAACAGAAAGTAGAATAGTTGTTACCAGAGGCTGGAAAGAGGAAAAAGGGAAGTTGTTGTTCAATGGATATAGAGTTTCAAATTTGCAAGATGAAAAAGTTCTAGAGGTCTGTTTTACAACAATGTGAATATACTTAACACCATTTAATTGTATGTATAAAATGGTTCAGATGGCAAATTTTATGTGTTTTTTTTAACCACGATAAATACAAAGGATAGATAGATAGATAGATAAATGGATAGAGAGAGAGAGTGATATAGATGATAGATAGGTAGGTAGATAGATAGAATATATGTATATTTCTAGCCCACCAAAGCCTGAAATTCCATATTTCAAAACAAACTCAGTTGTGGTAAAGTTTTTTCTAAGCATATTATGAATTTGGGCTTTGGGATTTTTGCAATTATATTTTGGCTCTGTACAAAGTTACAGAGATGTACAAAGATCTTCTAATTCCATCTGGATGTTTTTGGTTACAGTGCTGCCCTGGTTCTTATTTCCAACTGTCTCAAGAGTGTTTCAAGCTAAAGTGTTGTCGCCTATGATTCTAATTCTCTGCTTAATCTCTGGACTTGAACTGTAGTGACCACTTTGCATCTTTTTCATTGATGTACCAGCTGTGACATCTGAAGGTTTCCAGATTTAAAGTTCTTTCCTAGACCATAAAGCTATCCTTTGTTTCTCTCAGCTGCAGCTGTCTACCTCATAAGTAGTTGTCTTTCAAATTTATAAATGTCACATGTTCCTGGTCTACTGCTAATTCACTTCCATAGTTGTAAATATATAAAATCTTTACTGCTTGGACTAGTGATATGCAATTTAAAACACCTAACATTGCAACACCTGACATTTCTTCATGTTATTAAAACAAAAGCTAAAAAAAAAAGAGGACAGATCTATTTCTTTCTAAGACGATGCTACTTTAGTAATTAATATTCATTAGGTAAAATACCAAACTAGTGGTGAGCCTGCTTATTGCTATTATCATACAGTTCACACATTTCTATCTTGTGCAAAAGATTAAAAATGCCTCGTTAATCCAAATATGCTATTTCTATATCAGTCCTCTGGAATACCAACTTAGTCATTATGTCAAAAATAGGGAATAAAGACAGCCTACCATACCTTATTCTTAGTGAACATGTGCTCACTGCTGCTAATTATGACCTTTCCCAGTACTCAAAAATCATCCGTCCATTTCCTTCAAATATTTTACTGAGCATAAATGTCAAGATCCCTGGTCTATAGTTTTAAGACTCTGCCTAACCTTTTCGTAAACTTAGGACATTTTCCTTTCTTTACTCTCCTGGCAGCTCCCCAATTATCAATAGCTCCTCAAAGATTACTGACATCGATCTTATCTTCAAAATTACTCAGCACCCTAAATTAGATACTTCCTAAGCCAGAAAAGTAAGTCATTTGGAGAATTTGTTATACTTTTTCTGTTCATATTTCTTCAACTATTTGGAATTTTAACTTCTCTTCATCATTTTAGTTTCTTCCTTCCAACATGAGGATTATCACGTTTGAAAGAAAAGATGAAAACAAAATTGAGGTTAAAAAGATCATCTTTTCCTCTTTAGCTATTTATTATTATAGTATTTGGCCTAGGGAGAGAACTTTCACAATCTGGTTCACAACATAAGTAAAAACTTTGCTTTTTTAGAGATTTTGGAAATATTAGTGCACTTTGAGATTTAGCATTCCTGTTGCTGTTCTGAAATACACCTGCTAATGTCTTGCCATATTCTTTAATTCTCTCTTTGCTTTTTTCTTGTGTAGTTTACTTTTAATCTGTGCTTACCAGAGAACTTTATAGAAAGCACTTTGATCTTCCTAGATAACTCTCCCTGTTCTTTTTTACCAAGGTCATTCAGAATTCCATGGTCAAAACACATTTTGAAAGTTTCCTATAAAACATTTCCACATCTAGAGTTAAAGCATGGTTTCTATGAATATATTGAATTATTCTTGCCAAAGTCTGATATTCACGACATCAATGTTAACATTTTACTACTTCATTTATTCACTTAAAATAGATGTTGAGACTAGCACTTCAAACAGCACATATAACCACATATGATATAATTAATTTATCCATAAGTGACATCTTTGTCATTTCACAAAACAGATTCTCTATATTGGTTAATTTAAATCTATATTAGCATTTCTCTTTGTTTCTTTTTTTGTTAATCTTCTGAGATATAAAGTGGTTTGCAACGGGGAAAAAAAAATCACTATTTTCTCTCAGTACTTGAAAATGTCCCAAATTTACAAAAAGGTTAGAACATATAGCCACTGTCTCTCTGCACTCTAACACAGAACACTTCAGGCACCAGAAGTTTGGGCTTTTTTGATACTGACCAATTCTCTGACACTAGATGGGTGTCCTACAATTCAATTCGATCCTGACACTACCTACCTGGAGTTAGTGTCAGATATCAGAAGTTAAGGGCTTAGTTTCATAAGTCTTCCCCTGCTGAAGATACTTATCACAATTTTGACTGGCTATGAATTCAGGGTTCCCATGATCCTCTCCTTATTTTCCATAATTTGCTAGAATGGTTCATAGAATTCAGAGAAACTTTTCCTATGTCTACTGGTTTATAATGAAGTATACAACTCAGGAACAGCCAAATAAAAGAGATGCATAGGGCAAGGTATGAAGGAAGTGGGACACAGAATTTCTAGGCTGTCTCACCCTGATGTATTTATCAACCTGGAAGCTCATCAAATCTCATTGCTCAAGAGATTTTATAGAGCTTAATCTTCAGCCCTACCCTACTTTCCTGGAGGTTGTTGGTTGGGGCTTGAAGTTCCAATCTTCTAATCACTTGGTCTTTCTGGGGGACTGAACCCAGCCTGAGGCTACCTAGAGCTCCACCACAAGTCACCTCATTAGCATAAACTCAGGTATGATCAAAACAGGCTCATTATAAATAACAAAAGCTACTGCTATCACTCAGGAAATTCCAAGGATTTTTGGAACTCTGTGCCAGGAAGCCTGAAAAAAGACCAAATATATTTCTTATCATACTACAGTACTTTACTGATATTTGAAGGTCCCCATGGTATCATTGACTCTTTGCAGCTCAGTTTTATGATCTATATCTGGCCAAGTATTTATAGTAAAGGCTCCCACATGTCCATCTGCTGGCAGTTTTATAATTGTCTAAGAACTAAAGCTGGTTAAATCTATCAATTCTAGAACCTAATTTCAAACATTTAAATGCAGGAGATTGAGAACAGGGCTATGAATGACATTTTAAATAACTACCCAGATGAGTGTGAAAATAAACCATGTTTGGGAAACATTCATTTAGTCATACTCATATAAAAATGTAACTTTTATTCTGCCTAAATTATTTGCATCCATATATTCTCTTCCAGGATGTCACTATTAAATTTTGGAATTTCATATGATCTGATATTACCATCCCATTCCAATCAGTTGTCTCTCAGTATCCATAGGGGATTGGTTTCAGGACACTTCTCAAATATCAAAATCCTTGAATGCTCAAGTCAGTGATATAAAATGGCATAATATTTGCATGTAACCTACAGACATCCTTTCATAGACTGTAATCTCTAGATTACTTATAATACCTAATACAATGCAAATGCTATGTAAATAATTATTATACTATATTGGTTTTTAAATTTGAATTTTTTTATAGTTCTTTGTTTTTTCGTGAATATTTTTGATTCATGATTCACTGAACCTTCATTTGTGGAACCTGCGGATATGGAGGACTCACTGTATTAACAAATCTCCTGAGAATTATCTTATTCTCCCATCTGTTTTGTTGTTGTTTTGTTTGATAGGCAGTTAGACAGTTGGGAAAGGATAAACACAGTCCATTAATTTGGAAGATGAAAGGGGCCAGAAAGAGAGTGAAATACTCAAACAATCACAATTTCTAACTATTTTGTTAAAAAAAACTAGTATCGATATTCACAAATGTGAACAGGAAAAAACTCAAAGATTAAAAAATTACTAATTAGTATAGCTCTCTTTTCTTCCCTTATAAGTCTCCTTGTGTAACCATTGATATATACATAAAGCATAGACCAGCATTAAGTAGACAATAATTTGTCTTGAGCTATACAGATGTAAGAAAATGTATTAATCCCATTTACTAGTAGATATTTCCTTTACATATTTACCTTTCTTTTGCAAAGTGTTGGTTTTTGCCCCTAAATTTTGTTTTCTGCTCAAATTTCTTATTTTTGAAGTGTTTTCTTAAATCTTTCAAGCTGTATTATTTTTACTCTTATAAAAAGTAAAATTTTGTAAGACTTGGCAAAGTTGAGATTGAGTGAGGAGTTTTCATCATTGCATAGATAGCCCATAGCTCAGAGAAATAATATAACTTCAACCCTATATATGAGTGTGTTTATACTTAAAATTCTTTCAGAAAATTTTATTCAGCATTTTCTATCTCCTATCTACATAGTGCATATGATCTTTGGGAATTCCAACAAATGAACAAGAAGTTACTACATAGAATAATAAGTTCTATGGTGAGAAAAGGCAAGTTACCTAAGCACCAAAGAATGGACATCTAAACTGTACTAAGGGATCAAACTTCCAGCAATTCTCATCCTGAGGTCAGTCACAAAATTCCCAAGAATTCCCTTTATGTAAAAAACAAGAATTTTTTTCTTTCTTTTCTTCCCCATAAAGCTAAGATGTAATGTTTACGGGAGATAGTCTCTTTTTTGTTTCTATCTTCTCTCCAACTTTTTCCTGTGTGCTTTCTCATGTACTCATTTCATAACCCTAACCTTGATGCCTTCCACCTTTTTTACACCTTTAAGTTAATTTTTTATAATATCATAATTAATATTGAATAAATACTGAGCTGAGCATCTCACAACAAAAAAAAATTAATTTTATTTATATCTCACATGAACTTCACAATAACCTTGTGAGATTTGTATACTTATTGCAGAGATGGAAAAACTGAGGGAAAAAGTTTAGCTGGTCTGGGGTTACCCAGTCAGTAAATGTCAGAAGGAAAATAGCCTGAGAATGCTTTTATCCACTCTATTATGCTATATTCATATCTCACATGGAAAGTAAAAAACAGAAAAGATACTGTAATTGTGAAATGGCTTGACACAAAAGTAACCAAAATTAAAGACTGTGCATATGTTGAATATAGAGAAGATAAGATTGATTGGAAAGTGGTGATCAACATCAAATATGTGAAAAAAATAGCATATGGAACCTGTGGAATATGAAAGAGTATTGTTCCTAATAGAATTTTAGTTCAAATTGTAAGTCAAAATGTAGAAGAAAATTTTAAATGACATTTAATTTGCCCTGAGGGAAGTGAATAGCAAACCTATAGAATTTTCAAGTATTTGTGTGATTAAGTATGAATACGGATATGTAAAATAGACATGTTAGTTTTGGTGTTAAGAAACAACACCATTCACAAGAGAAAGAAGTCCATATAAATATATGCCTATTCCACAGTGCACCAATGTCAGGTAATAATAGCACAATTCAGAGACGACTTTCCTGATTTCTCACTTCTTCCTGCCTGGATTTACCTTCAAAACTAGAAGCCATTATTATAAATACATTTAAAAAAAATCCATTTTTTTTATGATATGGAATAATAATTTTATCAGTTGTAGAATATCTTCTGAAAGAATGCAGATTTGTTAGCTTTGAGGTTCTCCATGTGTGCAGAAGTATCAGAGAATTACTACAGCCATATTTTTTAGCAGTGATGGACTCTTCAGGTAATCACTGTTAAGAAAATCTTTATTACTACAGATAAATTATAACAAATTTATTATTTTAATGAATTGCCTACAGTCATGATATATATATAGCATATATAATCTATATATACAGCATATATAATCTATATATACCTTCATATCACTATACCACATGCTTATCACTAGATGTAGCAATGTTTGCTGAAATAATGTTCAAGTATTATGTAAATGTCCACAGACTTGGTGCTTGTGATTTCCAAGCCTGAACCAAGCATATTACATAATTTACTGATTCTTTAGAGTAATCCTATGCTGGATAGGTGTTATAATCTATCTTCATTTTACAGGTGAAGAACTTTTGCTTTGAAAAAAATTTGCAACTAGGCCACAATCATACAGTAAATACAAGATGAACTCTAGATTTAATCCAGGTCTATCTGTATTCAAAATCTTTACCCTTGTATTGTATTTACTATACAGTGTATCACACGTGCAATGTATCTAGGTCATCAAATCAGGAATTGAACATTTGCTATAAATTTAGCCGTGTCTGTTCTAATAAAGCATCATATTGTTAGTATTGCTTTATAATTTTAATTTTTATTATAAAATATATCAATATTTGAAGATAAAAATTATGTATCAGTAATTAGTTGCACATATCGTAATATTTTATTCATTGAAAAACACAGTATTATACCATTATATGATACTCTAATTATGATAAGCATATCCTTATCAAAATTGGTACTAACTTTACACCAGAGACCTTCATTTTAGAGACTAGTGATTTAAGTCTCTCTGTTTGATTATTAGAATTATATTTCTGACAATCTCACAGACTAAATCAAGATAATTATTCATGCTGTTATATCCACTAAAGTAATGATATTAATCCCCTCCCTGTGTCTATGTGTTCTCATTGTTCAACTCCCACTTATGAGTGAGAACATGAGGTGGTTGGTTTTCTGTTCCTGTGCTAGTTTGCTGAGAATGATGGTTTCCAGCTTCATCCATGTTCCTGCAAAAGACATGAATTCATCCTTTTTGATGGCTGTGTATGTGCCACATTTTCTTTATCCAGTCTATCACTGATGGGCATTTGGGTTGGTTCCAAGTCTTTGCTATTGTGAACAGTGCTGCAATAAACATACGTATGCATGTGTCTTTTTAGTAGAACGACTTATAATCCTTTGGGTATATACTCAGTAATGGGTTTGCTGGGTCAAATGGTATTTCTGGTTCTAGATCCTTGAGGAATCACCATACTGTCTTCCACAATGGTTGAACTAATTTACACTCCCATTAACAATGTAAAAGCCTTCCTATTTTTCCACATCCTCTGTAGCATCTGTTGTTTCCTGACTTTTTAATGATCACCATTCTAACTGGCGTGAGATGGTATTTTGATACCATCTCAAATGGCGTGAGATGTGGTTTTGATTGGCATTTCTCTAATGACCAGTGATGATGAGCTTTTTTGACATGCTTGTTGTCCACATAAAAGTCTTCTTTTGAGAAGTGTCTGTTAATATCCTTAGCCCACTTTTTGATGGGTTTGTTTTTTTCTATTAAATGTGTTTAAGTTCCTTGTAGATTCTGGATATTAGCCCTTTGTCAGATGGATAGATTGCAAAAATTTTCTCCTATTCTGTAGGTTGCCTGTTCACTCTGATGATAGTTTCTTTTGCTGTGCAGAAGCTCTTTAGTTTAATTAGATCCCATTTATCAATTTTGGCTTTTGTTGACATTGCTTTTGGTGTTTTAGTCATGAAGACTTTGCCCATGCCTATGTCCTGAATGTTATTGCCTAGGTTTTCTTCTAGGGTTTTTATGGTTTTAGGTCTTACGTTTAAGTCTTTAATCCATCTTGAGTTAATTTTTGTATAAGGTTTAAGGAAGGGGTCCAGTTTCAGTTTTCTGCATATGGCTAGCCAGTTTTCCCAACACCATTTATTAAATAGGGAATCCTTTCCCCATTGCTTGTTTGTGTCAGGTTTGTCAAAGATCAGATGGTTGTAGATGTGTGGTGTTATTTCTGTGGCCTCTGTTCTGTTCCATTGGTCTATATATCTGTTTTGGTATCAGTACCATGCTGTTTTGTTTACTGTAGCTTTGCAGTATAGTTTGAAGTCAGGTAGCATGATGCCTCCAGCTTTGATCTTTTTGCTTAGGATTGCCTTGGCTATATGGTCTCTTTTTTGGTTCCATATGAAATTTAAAGTAGTTTTTTTTAATTCTGTGAAGAAAGTCAATGGTAGCTTGATGGGGATAGCATTCAATCTATACATTTTTGGGCAGTATGGCCATTTTCACAAAATTAATTCTTCCTATCCATGAGCATGGAATGTTTTTCCATTTGTTTGTGTCCTAATTTTCTTGAGCAGTGGTTTATAGTTCTCCTTGAAGAAGTCCTTCACATCCCTGTAAGTTGTATTCCTAGGTATTTTATTCTCTTTGTAGCAATTGTGAATGGGAGTTCACTCATGATTTGGCTCTCTATTTGTCTATGATTGGTGTATAGGAATGTTTGTGATTTTTGCACATTGATTTTGTATCCTGTGACTTTGCTGAAGTTTCTTATCAGCTTAAGGAGATTTTGGGCTGAGACGATGCGGTTTTCTAAATATACAATCATGTCATCTGCAAACAGAGACAATTTGACTTCCTCTATTCTATTTGAATATGCTTCATTCCTTTCTCTTGCCTGATTGTCCTGGCCAGAACTTCCAATATTATGTTAAACAGGAGTGGTGAGAGGGCATCCTTGTCTTGTGCTGGTTTTCAAAGGGAATGCTTTTAGCTTTTGTCCATTCAGTGTGATATTGGCTGCGGGTTTGTCATATATAGCTCCTATTATTTTGAGATACATTCGATCAATACCTATTTTATTGAGAGTTTTTAGCATAAAGGGGTGTTGAATTTTGTCAAAGGCCTATTCTGCATCTATTGAGATAATCATGTCGTTATTGTCATTGGTTCTGTTTATGTGATGGATTAAGTTTATTGATTTTTGTATGTTGAGCTAGCCTTGCATCCCAGGAATGAAACCAACTTGATTGTGGTGGATAAGCTTTTTGATGTGCTGCTGGATTCAGTTTGCCAGTATTTTATTGAAGATTTTCACATCGATGTTCATCAGGGACATTGGCCTGAAATATTCTTTTTTTTGTTGTGTCTCTGCCAGGTTTTGGCATCAGGATGATGCTGCCCTCATAAAATGAGTTAAGGAGGAATCCTTCTTTTTCTATTGTTTGAAATATTTTTAGAAGGAATGGTACCAGCTCCTCTCTGTACCTCTGGTAGAATTTGGCTGTGAATCCTTCTGGTCCTGGACTTTTTTTGGTTGGTAGGCTATTCATCACTGCCTCAATTTTAGAAATTGTTATTGGTCTATTCAGGGATTCGACTTCTTCCTGGTTTAGTCTTGGGAGGGTGTATGTGTCCAGGAATGTATCCATTTCTTCTAGATTTTCTAGATTATTTGCATAGAGATGTTTATAGTATTCTCTGATGGTAGTTTCTATTTCTGTGGGATCATTGGTGATATCCCCTTTATCATTTTTTATTGTGTCTATTTGGTTCTTCTCTCTTTTCCTCTTTATTATTCAGGCTAGTGGTCTATCTATTTTGTTGATATTTTCAAAAAACCATCTCCTGGATTCCTTGATTTTTTGAAGGGTTTTTCATGTCTCTATCTCCTTCAGTTCTGCTCAGATCTTAGTTATTTCTTTTCCTCTGCTAGCTCTTAAATTTGTTTGCCCTTGCTTCTCTAGTTCTTTAATTATGATATTACGGTGTCAGTTTTAGTTCTTTACTGCTTTCTCTTGTGGGTATTTTGTGCTATACATTTCCCTCTAAACACTGCTTTAGCTGTGCCCCAGAGATTCTGATACTTTGTGTCTTTGTTCATATTGGTTTCAAAGAACTTATTTATTTCTGCCTTAATTTTGTTATTTACCCAGTAGTCATTCAGGAGTAGGCTGTTCAGTTTCCATGTAGTTTTGCAGTTTTGAGTGAGTTTCTTAATCCTGAGTTCTAATTTCATTGCACTGTGGTCTGAGAGACTGTTTGTTATGATTTCTGTTGTTCTACATTTGCTGAAAAGTTTTTTACTTCCAATTATGTGGTCAATTTTAGAATAAGTGCAATATGGTGCTAAAAAGAATGTATATTCTATTGATTTGGGGTGGAGAGTTCTATTGATGTCTATTAGGTTTGCTTGGTCCAGAGCTGAGTTCAAGTCCTGAATATCCTTGTTAATTTTCCATCTCATTGATCTGTCCAATATTGACACTGAGGTGTTAAAGTCTCCCACTATTATTGTGTAGGAGTCTAAGTCCCTCTGTAGGTCTCTAAGAACTTGCTTTATGAATCTGGGTGCTCCTGTATTGGGTGCATGTATATTTAGGTTAGTTAGCTCTTCTTGTTGCATTGATTCCTTTACAATTATGTAATGCCCTTCTTTGTATACTGTGAGGGGAAAACCACCTACTCAAGCCACAGTAATGGTGGATATCCTTCCCCCGACCAAGCTCGAGCATCCCAGGTCAACTTCAGACTGCTGTGCTGGCAGCGAGAATTTCAAGCCAGTGGATCTTAGCTTGCTGGGCTCCATGGGGGTGGGATCCACCGAGCTAGACCACTTGGCTCCCTGGCTTCAGCCCCCTTTCCAGGGGAGTGAACAGTTCTGTCTCGCTGGTGTTCCAGGCACCACTAAGATATGAAAAAAAACTCCTGCAGCTAGCTTGGTGTCTGCCCAAATGGCTGCCCGGTTTTGTGCTTGAAACCCAGGGCCCTGGTGGCGTAGGCACTGGAGGGAATCTCTTGGTCTGCGGGTTGCGAAGACCATGGGAAAAGCATCCTATCTGGGCCGCAGTGCACCATTCCTCATGGCACATTCCCTCAGGGCTTCCCTTGGCTAGAGGAGGGAGTTCCCCAACCCCTTGGGTTTCCAGGGTGAGGTGTTGCCCCACTCTGCTTCTGCTCATCGTCCTTGGGCTGCACCCACTGTCTAACCAGTCCCAATGAGATAGGCCAGGTACCTCAGTTGGAAATGGAGAAATCACCCACCTTCTGTGTTGATCTCACTGGGTGCTGCAGACCAGAGCTCTTCCTATTTGGCCATCTTGCCAGCCACCCTAATGAATGTCTTAAACATTCTTTTAAAACAGTGGAGTTCATTGATTATATAAATATGTAGCTCCCTTGCCTACTAACAAAAGTATTTATATTTAAGCAAAAATATTCTTCAACAGAAAATATGATTCTAAGGTTCATGTTAAAACCAAAATGTCCTTTTTTCTTGTAAGCTTATCAATAGTTTTTTGTTCATCTTAATTTTGAGGCATTTGTACCTTCTTATATTGACCTAATAGAATACTAGTTTTTAATAGATATTTTTTATCTTTTACAATATAATAATGATTACTTGGGATTTCACAGACTCTTGAAAATTTCCATGAAGCTTCAACAGTTAATATTCAAAACATGAAATCAGGGCTTGGATCCCAATTTGCTTCTAATACAATATTAAAGCAAAATATGTATAAAATATTTATGTTATATTGGTTCTGAATTTATTTTTTATTTCAGAATAAAGTCTATCTAGATAATTTCACTTTGAAGGACATTTGTAAAACACAGTTATACTTGATAACTTAATAAAAATTTTGTAATAATTAAATAGTAATTTAATGTAGCTATATTGGAAAATATCTTATACAGAATAAGGTTTTGTATTTAAACCATTATGCTATGCACGGAATAAATTATACAATATAATTTTTACTGTTGTAGCAGTATTAGGAATGAAATTGAAACACCAGTGTTTCATTCAATATCAGTAATGTTTTATCTTTAAATTTTATGTTAAAAATGCCTGCTGTATTTAGCTTTTTCAATGTTTTAAAACACCACATTAATTGTATAATAATTATATAGGGATGAATTCTTACTCTAGTACTATCCTCAATGTGTAATAGCTTCATAATGTTTTAATTCAGGTGTAAGGTTTCCCTATATCATTCTAAGAGAATGAGGAAATTCCACTGTTTATTGAAACATATCCCTTAGAATGAATTACATGATTGCATTCTTAAACTGAGTAAGATCTTTCTTGTTCTAATTTGTGCTTATACCTAATGGGAAAAAAATTTTAATTTGATTCTGTAACAGAAAATGCCTAATTTTTTATCAAGTTTTTTTGTTTGTTTGTTTCCTACTGGGCACACATGAAGACTACATTTCTTAGTATTCTTGAAGCTAGGCATAGCCATGTGCCTGAGTTCTGGCCACTGTAATATGAGTAGATGTGACCTACATCATTTTCAGGCCTGGTCCATAAAACCCTCCCATGTGTGATTTTTCATTCTCTTCATCTGTTTGTCAGTAGAATGGAGAAAATACTGAGGACTTTAGAGGATAACATAGCCACAAAATGAAAGGACCCTGAAAATCTGAATCACTGTATGGAGTAGAGCCCCTGCTGACCTACATTATATTGTTCCATGAAGAATAAATAAACATTTATTTTGCAAAGCTACTGAAGTTGTGTGTATATGTGTGTGTTTTGATTGCAGCAGTGAGTTTACTCGGGCTATTGCAGATTCTAAATTCACTTCATACGTAAAAAGCTGGACAGAGAAAATTAAAGATTTAAATGTTAAAAAGAAAATTTGGAACATTCTGGAAGAGAATATGTATTTAAGACATCAAAGTTAGTTTATTTTTGTTTGCTTGTTTTTCTTTTATTATTTTTAGAGAGGAGGGGTCTCTTTATGTTTGCCAGGCTGGTCTTGAACTCCTAGCCTCAAGCAGTCCTTCCGCTTTGGCCTCCCAAAGTGTTGGGATTACAGCCGTGAGCCACCACATCTGGCCCAGAATAACAGTATAACATACAGAGATATACATTATAACAGTCACATACATTTCAAATACTTATAGCACGCAAAACATGCATATATATGCAACACAATTATAAACAAAAGCAAAAGAGGTACAAATATAAACAAATATAAAAGGATAATAAACATGTTACCCTCGGGGATGGGGACAAATTGGGGAGAAACTCACTAGTAGCTTGTCATTTCTTAATCAAGTTAGTTGACACATTTTACTTTATCTTATAATGAATTTTTAAAACATTTGTGACATTATTTAAAATTCATATTTATTTTTGAACGGGTAAATTATTTTTACTATTATATACTTTTATTTAATTAGTCAGTAGTATTATGAGTATATTATGTACAATGCTATGTGCTAAATTCCTTAGCAGCAGAGGTGAGTAAGATATACCCCTTCTTTCATAGAAGTTGCTATTCAGGAGTTTTAAAGAAAAGTCAGAACTTTGTTCTTCCATGTTCACAGATAATGAATTTGTGCCTTGCTGCCAGTTTCCTCTCCTATACCTATGGCAGATGCACTAATCAGTCAGAGTAATCTTCTTTCTGACCCTGAATATAGGCAGGAATTTTCAACACAATACTTCAAGCAGCTATTACTACTTGGTTACAGTTGACACACAATTTTAAATGTATACTCTCCTAGCTCTTTCACATTCATAGAATTTCAAAATATATATTTCCACACTTTTAAGTAAAAGCATTGATATGCATAGAGTACAAGGTGAGAAATAGCTTACAAAAATTATTTAATTACTTTTCTATAACAACACTATTTTCCTACTACATTTGGAGCTTGGTAGAATGCATTATAAGAAATGTAATTACTTTTGTGGTACAAAAAAAAAACTATTTGAGAAAGGCCATTTTTGCAATAGAAACAATCACAATATAAAAACCATCTGCATGCACCATTTTATTTATGATTTAGGAGTTTGATTTCCATACATGTCTAATATATCATTTTACAAATGACTCTTGATGAAGGAATTTTTTTTTTTTTGAAACAGAGTCTCACTCTGTCGCCCAGGCTGGAGTGCAGTGGTATGATCTTGGCTCACTGCAACCCACCTCCTGGGTTCAAGCGATTCTCCTGTCTCAGCCTGTTGAGTAGCTGGGACTACAGGTACACACCACCACATCCAGCTAATTTTTGAATTTTTAGTAGAGATGGAGTTTCACCATGTTGGTGAGGCTGGTCTCAAATTCCTGACCTCAGGTAACCCACCTGCCTTGGCCTCCCAAAGTGCTGGGATTACAGGCGTGAGCCACCACACCCGGCCGATAAAGGAGTTTTTATAAGTGCCCTAACTCATTTGACTCACATTACAAAATATAAAGCATTATATCAGAGTCTAAACGCAAATTAAAAACAATAGTAGAAAGTACTTAATATATTTTTAATATAAGAGAAAACATTAACATATAAGAGAAAACATTAACCAGTTATTTTATAGGTACACTGGCAGAATTTACTCTGGAGTTGGAGTTAGAATGCTAGAGAAGAAGAGTAAAGACTGGCTTTATGGTTTGGGGCTAAAAAAACTCCAAATGAATGGAGTATACTTTCGCTAAGATGGGTAAGTGTAAGAGAGGACCCAGATGTTAAGAAGTCAAATATGAATCTAATATCACTGTTAAAATAGTGCTTTTGGGTGTATAGTAAAAGTATGTGCACTCTAGTTAAGATCATTGTGTAGTTAGTCTACCGTAGTATTCAAGAACATAGACCTTGTGAGGTAGATCAGGAGGACTTGTTTTCCAAGCGCTGGTCACAAGACACTGCTGAACAAAAGAGGGGCTGACCAAAACAGGATGCAGCAAAGAAACTGCCCAAAACTAGCTAAAACCAGGATGGTGACAAAAGCAACCTCAGGTTGCCCTCACTACTCCTTATATGCTAATTATAGTGTATTTGTATGCTAGGAGAAACCCCTACAGGGCCATGACAGTTTACAAATGCCATGACAACCCCCAGAAGTTACGCTATATGGTTTTAAGGGGGAGGAACCCTAGGTTCCAGAAACTCCCTGCCCCTCTTCCAGAAAATTCATGTATAACCCACCCCTTATTTAGCATATAATCAAGGAATAGCCATATGTGTGTGTGTGTGTGTGTGTGTGTGTGTGTGTGTGTGTGTGTGTGTGTGTGTGTGTGTGTGGCTAGCCAGCAATCCACGAAGACTGCTGCTGCTGCTACTACTCTGTTTCTGGAGCAGCCATTTTCCTGTATTCTGTTGCTCTAATAAACCCGCTTTTACTTTGCTTTGCTAGCTCACTCGTGAAGTATTTCTTGGCAAAGCCAAGAGCCCTCCCAAGCTGAGTCCCCTTTGGGGTTTGTTGGCAACACTTGGAAGTACACATACAAATTTAAAAGTTTCGGAACTTGACAATTTTACAGGTTAAACCACCTTCCCCAATTCACTTTGCCACCAAATCTCAATTTTCTTATTTGGAAAAATGGGATTATATCTTTGCCACAAAGATTTTTTTTTTAAACTAATGGGGTACTTCATGCCAATAATATAACACAGTACTCAATAAATAATACGAAGTGTAGTTACTGTCTAATTTTCTCTGATTGCATGGTTGGTATCATTTAATTGGATCATCAGGAAACCAATATTCAGAGACTATAGTAATGTTCATGGTAATACCTAGCAGTATATGGCAGAGCTACAATAAAGTTTACTCCATATTTTCTATGTTTCATCCATTACAACACTTTGCTTCCAAAAGTGATTGCGCTGTAAGCAGATAAATAAACACCTTTGATTAAATCTCAGTGCACACCTATCATGTATTATTATTATTATTATTTTGAAGCAGACTCTTGCTCTGTCATCCAGGCTGGAGTGCCGTGGTACCATCTTTGCTCACTGCAACCTCTGCCTCCTGGGTTCAAATGATTCTCGTGCGTCAGCCTCCCAGCTATCTGGGATTACAGGCATATGCCACCATGCCTGGCTAATTTTTTTGTATTTTTAGTAGAGACCAAGTTTTGCTATGTTTGCCAGACTGCTCTCAAACTCCTGGCCTCAAATGATCTGCCTGCCTTGGCCACCCGAAATGCTGGGATTACGGGCATGAGCCACCACACCTGGCCCAATGTATTAATTTAAAATATCCAGAACCACAAAAGGAAAGTATTTCTTTTACTCATTCCTGTTCCAGATAAAAGCAATCAGAAAGGGACTAATAACAAGGATACATAGCATGAAGAATCAGTCGTAGTCCTAGTAAGAATTACAACATAAAGGTAAGCATAGATTTATCACAATACTCAAAATGAATGATTCATGAATTTTTTTTAATATGAATGTCCTTCAGGAAAGCCACATTCATCTTATTGATGCTTAGAAGAAATGTACACAATCATAAGAGATTTGAGTCTTTAATTCTAAATTCATGCATCATAATTTTTGGGTAATTTGTGTTTAAGAATAATTTATACAATAAATTTAAATATTTCATTCCAAGTCATCAGACTAAGGAAACAGATAAAAATAGTATCTGTTATCAAATGATCAAGAAGGGTGGTGTGTGTGTGTGTGTGTGTGTGTGTATTTTAATTAATTGGGACTTTTAATAACCACGGTCAAGTCTATATTGCTATATTCTGTGCAAAAAGAGCACAAAATAAAGATGACTTTTCAGAGAATTCAGAAAAAGCAGAACTGATTTTCAAAACCATTCAGAGAATTTCAAGAAAAGCTAGAACTAACTTGATATACATGATATATACATTCATATATGTATAGATACATGCATTTGTATTAAGTTTTCTTGCATATGTATATGCATATAGTCAAAATATAAGGGACAATGAAATTTAAGAAATCTGCAAGAGTGATTCAATTAACAAATAGGCCTATTAAGTAGATATTCTTTCTAATTTTTCCTATAACATATTTGGCTCTATGCAGTCATAATGAATGAGGAGATATATTAATCATTAACATTGATTGCCTTGTATTCTATTTTTGTCTTTTTCTTGTTTGCTATAAAAGTCTGTGGTAAATTAGGAATATATCAATTTTCTTCTGAAAATAGGGAAAATTCATGTTTTCTTATTGAGCACCCCATTCTAGCACTTGGTATTTAATTGTTGTCTTTCTCAGACTTTGATTCAAAGTTAGATTGGACTGTATCAAAGTTAATAATTAAATTAACTTAAATGTGAACTATTCCAAAGTAACATTTTGGGTCCTTTCCCACTGGAAATGAATTATTTAAAATCCATTGAGGTATTATGCCTTCTCTTAGGAGAGCAAATTTACCTTTGAAGGAGCAAGTTTCTTCATACCTGAAACAGTCATAGAATTTAGAATTTCCTTAAATATTTGCATGTTTTTTTCTGTTTATATTTTGTCATCACATTACTTATGATGAAAATTAATCTAACTCTATAAAATAAAGAGGATAGGAATTTACAGTATAGACATAAATTTAAAACTAAAAGGTAGCTATAGTTTACTACAAAGCCCAGAACAAATTGCATCTGAAAATAAGGTAAAAAGGAAAAGCCCTCTGATTTTGCCAGCCAACAATACCTGTTGTTACTGTTTGGTAGTTTGAACTGAGTAACATACTGCTTTAATTTGTGGAGATACCAAAGTTTATAATAGTCCATATTTTTTCAGTTAACCAGTGAATTTAAGATACACCAGTGACTCTGTTACACATGAGTACTATTTTTCTGGAGGATATGATAAGTAGATGGTAAATACATCATTCTCTTGAGTTTGAGATATTAGTTACTAATGATCTAGGGATGAAAGGCTTTGGAACCCAATTACAATTTTTTTCCTATCCAAATCTTTTATATATAATTTTAAATAATAAACCATATTTTATATATATTATAGAATCATGAAGGAAATATAAAATGAACAAGATTACCTTACCCAAACTGCTTATATATTTTATGAGATTATTCATTGGTTTTGAGTGGATTTGTTATACGGTCTTTAGGCATCCTTAAACTTACAGCCTAAAAGAGGAAATGATCTAAACATTAAAAATGAAGTAAGAAAATAGTACACTTTTAAAGGATCTCAGCTTCATAGCCAGGATTTTACATCTTCCTTTTTGACTCAATCAGACCACAATCTCCAGTTTTTTAAATAAGCAATATAATGTGATTGGAGTAATTGCAGGAATATCATATGAAATATCTTAAAGGAAGTCTGGTCAAAGGAAGTTTTTTAATGCTATTGACGCTCTCTCACTCTTTAAAATTTGATCCCTCCCGCTAATACAATTTTTTAAAGCATATGAAAATTTATAGTCAATAAAAAAATTTCAAAACCAAAACATGCTCAGTATTTCTGTTAATGGTTTCTCCTTTCCCTCAGTTTATATAATATTATCTTATTGTTAAAAATACAGCATTGATTCCATGTGTTAAGCTCTCAGACTTTTTCTTTTGATATGTTTCTTTAAATGTGCCCATTTATGGATCTTTGAATCAGGAAAAGGAGAATGATTGTCCTAATGAATGTTTTAAATCAAGAAATATTTCAGATGATAGTATATATAATATGTGCTTATAAGATGCATGTTCTAATAAAAGATATTCCCTAAACAAGGTGGTGGATAAGACTTGATGGCAAAGATTTTTGATGTTTTAAAGAATCAGCATACTCCTCATTCTGTAAGAAGCAGTAAGTTTAATGGCACTTTAAAGTTGAACTAAAAAGAATTTGTGCCCAGCGTAATTTTTCAGTTTTGTGTTCCAAAAATAGACTCTATATGGGTACATTTAACCAGTTATTGAATTTTTAAATTACTTTTCATTTTAACGGCAAAATAGTATTACCACTTAATACTAAATGACAAAGAAAAGCCTATTTATGAAGGAATTTTGACTTTATGAAAGTGGCAGTGTCCGGGAATCACATGAATGGACTTCATTCTCCATTTCAGGTCTGAGTGGATGTGCACACTATGCTTCATGTATGGAAGAAATATCTCCCTCTGCCCATCTCCAACTCAAGAGTTCCTTGAATCAAGAGAAGCATGACTTGGCTAAATGAAGATAGTCAGTTACTAAACATATTTAGATTAATCTATGTATACAGACAGCCATATATGTCATTTTTCCTGCACTTTTGGGTAAACATTTTGTTAAGAAACATTTAAAACATATATAAAGGTAGAGATAATAATTACTCACTCCCCTCCCACCTACCTGTCATTCAACTTCTACAGCTGTGAACATATGATCCAAATGAGTTTATCTATAACTCTCACATCTCCATCCCCCAGGTTATTTAGAATAAAACTTGGATTTACATATGATTTAATTTATGTCAGTGCACATTTCTAAAATAGGACTTTTTTTAAAAAGTATTTTTAATTGACAAGATTGTATATAATTATCATGTGCAATATGCTGTTTTGAAAAAAAAAATATTTCAATCAATTATCACAACTTCACATCATTAAATATCTCATTAGTTTGTAAAGTTACCTCATTGTCACATAAATATTTTAAAGAGCTTGTATGAAACCATATCCAAATTAACTTTGTATATTGCAATGAGTTAATGTTTATTAAATCTCATTTAATTTATAGGTTTTCCTGCCTTTTTAATTATTTCCTCTTGCAACTCATGCTTAAGAAACTAGAAATTTAGTTTCCCACAGTCTAGAGTTTGCAGATTGCCTCCTTAAAGTGTTATTTAACATATTTCCTTCTCCACTGTATATCATGTAAACTGGTGATTAGAAAAAAAGACAAAAAAATCTTGATAAGGTTTAATTTTTTGGCAAATATGTTTTATAAGTGATGTTATAGTATAATTCCAGTATAAACGATATGATATCTTGTTGTCTTTTTTATTATAATCATGGCCTAAATTCATTTATTGATTGGAGGTTTAAAACTATTAAGTTAAAGAGTTTATCAAATTTGATTCATTAATTAGCTGAAATACTTCATAAGGAAAACCCTTCAACTATTATTTAGTTATCTTGATGTAAAAGATAACTATTCTGACTTTTTTCTGTAGAAAAGTCAGGCTAAAATGCTTAATTATTTACTTTTGCTTATCAAGTTTTATTTAATATATCTTCCCTCTGTCATTCTTCAAAGCTAAGTTGAACATATAATTTATTGTTCAAAGCTGGACATACTTCAAAGTGAAAGTGGACATTATTCATTATTATACTGGGACAACAAAATAATCCACACTGCCTGTTATTTGTAAACCAGGATAGTCACTCTATGCAAATGTGACCAATGAGGTTTTAGGTTGTGAAACTTATTTTGCTTATAAATAATCATCATAAACTCATGTATTCAGACATATTTGACACATTTCAACACTTGCAATTATTACATGCATTGATGCTCAGATAAAGGTTGTGGCAAAGCCCATTGGTCATGACCCTACAAATCATTAAAATCATCTTTTATTTCTGGTATGCCAAGACTTTGCAAGATTATCTCATATATTTTATGCCCAAAATATGAAATCAGCCATTTCTGCAAAACCCGTTTCCTCCCTGTTAGAACTGGTACGTAGACACCAAATTCTGGGAACCAAGTTGTTTATTGCTACTGGTTTGATTGTTTCTGAGCCTTTTGGTGGACAGAGCTAGAAAATGTATTTTAAAACATAAAATAAAATAAATTGTAAAATCTTACTTTCATATTAAATTCAAATTCAAAACTATAGGGTTTTTACTTAGCCTCTTTAATCTTACTTTTGTATCTTGTTTCCCCTAAGTTAAAATCCAGTTTCTCAATGACACTAACATAGTTATTTGTTTTATCTCATTAGATGCATGCAGTAATTTCAGAATAATAATACTAATACTACTTCCAACAATATGATTACTGACCAGAGTTTAAATTTTGTCTACTTTTGAGTTTCATTTGCAGTTCTTTTTTTTTCACAGTATATGAACTAGGAACATTTAATCTTATCATTGGGTTTTAAAGTATCTAGAAATAATTCCTCTTTGGTGGTTATGAGTTATACCATCAATTTGATCTAATATTAGATTCATTTTATTCATTTTGCTTTACATTTTTAGGGATTTTTTAAAAAGTAGTTTTAGTTATACAGAATATTTATGTGATTCCAAAGTCAAATCTATGAAATAGATATATTCAGAGATGTCTTGGCCAGGCATGGTGGCTCATGTCTGTAATCCCATCACTCTGGGTGGCTGAGGCCGGTGGATCATCTGAGGTCAGGACTTTGAGATCAGCCTGGTGAATATGGTGAAACCCCATCTCTACTAAAAATACAAAAATTATCCAGGCGTGGTGGTGCGTGCCTGTAATCGCAGCTACTTGGGAGGCTGAGGCCGGAGAATCACTTGAACCCGGGAGACGGAGGTTGTGGTGAGCCAAGATCGCACCACTGCACTCCAGCCTGGGTGACATAGCGAGACTCCATCTCCAAAAAGAAAAAAGAGATGTCTAGATTCTATTGCTTACGCATACACATACCAAAATGCACATGCATATAAACTTAAACACACACACACAATTTCCTTTTCCCATTCACATGAATGACCCTTTCTTGACTATTGTACTTCCCTTTTCCCTGTTTTTATTTGACATAAAAAAGTGACTTATGTGTTTTTATCCAACCTTTCTTAGAGAACAGTGACATACTTTATGAATTTTTCTCCTCTTGCTTTCTCTTTAATATACTCTGAAATGACTCCACAGTCGTATAGAACTACTCCTCTTTTCCCCTTTGGAACTGCTTAGTATTGTGTGACAATAGTGTTCTATATTCTAGTCCATTATAGATGGACATTAAGTGGTTTGCAGTCTTTTCTTCTTTCAAATAGTACTGCAATGATAGTTATCTGTATCACTCTCTATTTGTCTGCACAAGTTAAAAAGAGAGTTTTAGAAGTGATGTTACCATATCAAAGAATAAATGCCTATATAATATTACTAGAATTACCCAACGACTTCTCCAGTGAAGTTGTTTAATTTTTTATACCCACTAAGAATGGTAATATTACCAAAAGCTCACCCACATTTTATATTATCAAAATTTTTAATATCTGGGAGGTGGTAAATCAATGTACTTTTAACTTATATTTATCTTAAGTGAATTTATTAATGTATTTTTAGAAATGTACATTTATTTTTGTGAATGTTTTATTTTAATCAATATTATAATTATCCATATTGCTTATGGGTTTTAATAATAATTATGAAACATTTCCCTGTAATCATAGAAAAACGCACTTAGGTATTCTTCTAGAACTTTCATGCCCTCACATTTTACATTAAAGTTTCTGATGAATTGGAATTTTTAAAATTTGTCTCATGATAATGAATCCAACTTTATCTTTTAAAATATATAACTATCCTTTCATATTATCTTCACCGATTTAAGAAGCCATATTTCCATATACAATTAAGAATAATTCTAAATTTTATTTTTTCTACATTAACTTTTCAGGCTATGCATACACTAGTATTACACTGTTTTAGTTAGAGTGTCTTTACAATATGTTATAATGTCAAACAGGCTTAGTTGTCTTCCACTGCTTCTTCCCAAGTCATTTCTATATCAGGATTTTATGATTATGCTTATTTGTTATTACAGATGATCTTAATTTTAAAAAATAGTTTGTCTACCTTTTGGGAAATAGAAAAAGCCTAATTGTATATTTATTAGAATTGTGTCTATTTTACAAATTAACAAAAACCTGATCATAGACAGATAGAGATTAGATACAGATTTTCTATTCAAAACATATTGTCTTTACATTTATTCAAGTCTGTCTTTGAACCCTTCAGGAATACTTCTTCAGTTCTTTATTTATACTCCATATATCTATCTCCAACATAAAATAGATAGTATCATCCATTTTGGATTTTATTCATTTTTAAATGTATACTTGAAGATTACTGATTTTGTATATTGACTTTATAAGGTATTACTTTAATAAATTATCTTTTTTTGTAGTAATTTTCTCCATAATTTCCACTGGGCTTTCCAGATGTATTATCCTATCATGCAAACATAGAAACAGCATTTCCTCTCCCTTTTCGACTCTTTCTCATGCTGCTGATTACTTTCTTTTTTCTAATTGCCTTGTTTAATATCTACAATACAGATGCTGGGTAGTTAGTTGGCATCTTAATCTTATTTCTGACTTTACCAGGAAAACTTCTTGTGCTTCCACATTAAGTATGATGCTGTCTTTTGTTCTATGATACATATTTGATTATGTTAAGTAAGTTTCTATGCAATCCTGTTGTACTGAGAGAAGGGTATTAATTTTCTGCATCTATAGAAATGATCAAAAAACATTCTTACTTATTCTGTAAATGTGATGAATAATATTAATGGATTTCTTAATATTAAACCACTTATGCATCTATGAAATAAACCCACATGAACATGCTGTATTATTTTTTATAAAGGCTGTGTTTCTGATTAGCTATATTTTATTTGAGATATTTATATTGATAATCATAAATACGGTTTTATTTTGGGGGCCTTTGATTTTTGATAGATTTAGGAAATCAGTGGTATACAATTTATTTTAAATCAATGTAGAAATTTTATTACTTTTATAGTATAAGTGAGTTAAAGTAGAATTGCGATTACTGACCTTTAAGTGTTTGTTAGAGTTCACCTGTGAATCCATATAGGCCTGGTGTTATTTTTGCACTTTAATTCTGTGCTTCTGGTGTGGTGATTAAGCCTTTCTGTCTATTCTGAGGTAAATTGTGTTCAATTTTACTTTTTCAGAAAATGTACTCATAGCATCTTCAAAGTAGATCCATGATTTTATGTTTTAATTTTTATATTATTTTTATTAAGTATAATTTGCATAAAATAAAATGAGTAGTTTGGTAGGTTTTGACAAATGCTGCAGCTTTTTTTTTCTTTATTTTTTCAGTGTTTTTTACAAAGTGACCTTGCAGTTTATGAGGACTGCTGGGTCTGTGTCCTTCCTGCAGTTTCGTCTGAATACTTAACTTTCCTTTGCCTCTCCAGTCCTTATCCTAGAGGTGAATTAGAATCCTCACAACCTTTCCTCAGCACAGAGCTCTTGTGACAGATGGACTATTAATGTGGCTTTCATGACCTTCTCCCCTAGAGTGTAGGCAGAACCTGTATTTTTTTCACAACCAATGAAATAGAGCCAAGGTGGTTGAACATATGTAATTACATATACTACATGACTATGCTACCTAAGGCTGTAGCACTTGTTTTACTGAGTTTTTTCTTTCCCTCGTTGCCTCATATACCTCACACTCAGTTTACAACCATTACCAACATGTTAGATTACCATAGTATCATTTGTTTTTTATTATTTTTTCCATGATGTCTTTTTTCTGAACCAGAATATTCTCCAAGACTCCACATTACATTCAGTTATCATATCATTAGCCTCCTCTGGTTTGTGAAAGTTTTTCAGATTTTCTGCGGTTTCAATAACTTTGAGGGTATTGAAGATTCTTGGTCAGTTATTTTGTAGAATCTCCTTCTATTGGAACATGTTGATGTTTTTATCATGATTAGAATGGAGCATTAGGTTTTGAGAAGAAGATCACAAAGGTGAAGTGACATTCTCATCACATTGTATCAAGGATGCATATTATCAACACAACATATTACTGATTGTGGTAACTTTTATCTCCTGGCCAAGGTATCACTTGCCAGGTTTCTCCACTGTAAAATGACTATTTCCCCCATTTTCATTCTCTAATATTTGAGAACAAGTCATTTATCACACCCACACTCAAGTAGTGGGAAGTTAAGCCCCACCTCCCTAAAAGAGGGATATCCACATAAACTATTTGGAATTTTTCTCTTCAGGAGATTTGTCTTTCTCCTTCATTTACAAAATTATTCAATAATTTAACTATGTCAGTGCTGACTCATGGGTGTTTATTTTACACTTTGAGCCATAACCCAATACCACATTACCTATTTTGTTAGTCAAAATGTTCTGGTCTTTTCCAGGTTGTCTTCTCTGTCCCTTTGACATACCCCTATCATTTTGTTTTTTAGTGCTTGCTTCCTTACTTTCTGGTAGTGCAAGATGCTCTAGGCTCATTGGTGTACTCCCTGGCCCAGCCCTAGTTATAACCAGTTCTCCAAAGAACCCTAGTTCTTTCTATTGGCAAATGGCATTAGAAACTAAGATCTGAACACTGGGCTTGCTCATTGCTAGACTGAGCATTCTTGCTTCTATGCCCTCTCAGTGGGCAGAACTAGGAAATATATGCATGCATATCTACTCATGTGTACATACATATCTATAATTATTTCTGTATCTGTCCATCTGTATTTATATTAAGCTAAAAAAGCATCAATACTGATACCCTTCACTGTCACCCAGTACAATGTGATTTATTGGGACTTTTTAATAAAAAGCCTCTTGCTTACCTACACCACCCACTCCAAAAATGAGAAGTCTGGCTCCCACCCTCCACCTCCATGCATGTGTTTGTTCAACTCTCATTTACAGGTATAGCAGTTTTAGAATTGATAACCCATTCCCACCTAAGAAACAATTTTACCAACTAGAGTACAGTATGTATGTGCAGATATGTGCAGATCCTTTTGTCTTTAGTCTTACGGTTTCCAGTCAAAGCCATTTTCCAAAGTTACTCAAGTTAGCACTCATTTTCCCAAACCCTTCAGTAATATGTGTGGTGTTAAAGTGCCAAGTTTGTGGTCATTTGTTACACAGTGATAGAAAACTAATATCCTGTGATGCAGCAATGATGTTTTGGTTGACTAGTTCTGAGATCTCATAGGTTCTGGACTATTCCATAATTATTCAAATTTCCTGCAGTTTCCTTGTTCTCTCCACACATTGGAGCTTGTGAAGGCCACCTCCTACTTCAGCTATTGCTCTAACCAGTCTGCAGGACGTCTCATTGACACTATGGTAAATTTGTGATCTGCCAAATCGTGGTGACTTGTCTCTACTCAGTGGTATTTTTCCTCCTACCTTTGCTGTTAAAGTTTTGTGGGTTTTGATTTTTTTTTTCTATCTTACTTGTTTCTATGGGCTCTTAAAGAGGTACAAAAACTATACTGTCACATGCACTACCTTTCCACATTTTAGTTTTTTTTTTTTTTCAAAAGTATTCATTTTTGACTATTGAGCTTGCAAGGGACTTTTGTCATCATCTATAAGATGAGAAGAAGTAACTGAGGTCTTAAATACAAGGTATCACAGTTAATTATGGAGAAAGAATTAGAGCCAGGGATTCCAGAATAATAAGACAAATACATTTAGCATACTCTTCTGCTTCTCTTATATCATTCAGAAATGTCTTCCCATTTTTGGTGAGAGGCAGGATTTTTGCTCTCAAAATGCATCCAGTTGTTTTAGATATAGTTATCAAATATTCCAAAATGTCGAATTTTACAAGCAAAGGCAGATGAATGTGGAAAATCTGAGCATTTTATTATTCTCCTTATGTTGTATCTTAATCATTTTTTACTATGCCAATTTAATTTAATGCCTAAAGCAGTAATTCTCAAATATAAAGGTGTATGGATAATTTTGAGATTTTTAAAAAAATCTTAGTCTGAGGTGGTACTTGAGGGTCAGCATTTCTAACAAGCTTCCATGTGACATCAACATTGATGATCCACGAACCTCAGCTTGAGTGGCAAGGACCTAGAGCAATGGTCCCAACCTTTTTGGCACTAGGGATGGGTTTTGTAGAAGACAATTTTTCCATGGACCCGGGGACAAGGCATGGGGAGTCGCTTCAGGATAAGCCAAGCATATTACATTTACTGTGCTCTTTAGTCTGTTATTGTTACATTGTATTATATAATGAAATAATTATACAATTCACCATAACATAGAATCAGTGGGAGCCCTGAGCTTGTTTTTCTGAAATTAGATGGTCCCGTCTCATGGTGATGAAAGACAGTGACAGATCATCACGCATTAGATTATCCTAAGGAGCATGCAATCTAGAGCCCTCGCATGCACAGTTCACAATAGGATTTGTCCTCCTACAAAAATCTAATGCTGCTGCTGATCTGACAGGAGACGGAGCTCAGACAGTAATGAGAATGATGAGGAATGGCTTTAAATACAGATGAAGCTTTGTTCACTGGCCCACTCCTCACCTCCTGCTGTGAGGCCTGGTTCAGGCCATGATTGGTACTGGTTCATGGTCTGGGGTTTGGGGACCCCCGACCTAGAAGACCCATCAATGGGTTTCAGGTAGTTGTGCATTTTCTGATTTTATACATGCATACAGAGAGAGCAAAAGAGAATGAGATAAAGAGAGATAATGCACAGTTATCATAAAAGTTAAAAGGATTTATGTACTAAAAATGTTAAGAACAGTTACCCTACAAGATAAAGTTCATATTCCTTAAGATGAATGTAAAATCCTTATAACCATTCCATTTTGCTTTTCCTCCATTGTCCTTTAAGTATCTGATAGTCCAGCCATGCTCAGAATTTGCCATGAAGTCTAGAATCATGCAAGATTTCTAATAGCTACTACTTCAGATAGAATTAGTCATATTTTATTCTCACAAATCACCTTTTATATACTTCCATTCATTCTTTCAGCTAGCATTTACTAAATGCTTCATACATATATAATGTTTTGCGGTAAGTATTAAGCATATAAAAATAGGCCACAGTCTCTATTTGTGAATCTTTGTAGTCAAAAACTACTGTATTTATTGTTAAGGATTTTTGCTCTGGTAATTACCCTGGAACCACATGTAGGTTGGTTGAATAGGTGAGAAGGAAGGAAAGAAAGAAAGAAGGAAAAAAAGAAAGAAGAAAAGAGAGAAAGAAGAAAAAGGAAAGAAAGAATGAAAGAGAAAGAAAAAGAATGAAAGAAAGAAGGAAGGAAGAAAGGAAGGAAGGAAAAGAAGGAAAGAAAAAGAAAGAAAGAAGAACAACAGAGAGAGGCAGGGATGGAGGAAAGGAAGAAGAAAAAGAGAAATGGAGAAAGGGAGGAAGGAAGGAAGGAAGGAAGAAAGGAAAGAAGTTGTAAAAAAGAACCAGGGTGGCAGGTGTTGAATCTCAATTGGAAAGTCTGAAGAGTTGTGCTATCTGTTAAGAATAATACAATTTGTTGGAGTGGTATTTGTTAAGAATAATAAAATTTGTTGGAGTGGCATTTATCACTTTTAAAATATATAATTTAAAATAATTTTTGTAAGTGAAGATTTATAATATCAGAAATCTGTATAAGAAACTATTAATATGCCATCAAAAGCCATCACCACATTCCATTTTTTCCTTATCCTATACACAAGAAAATTATTAAGAAACAAAATTAACAATCTCTTTCCAAATTTCTGAATTGGAAGGATGCTATCCAGTAGGATGGCAGGTACTAGTCAAGAAAACATGGGGACTTGATGTTTGAGTGGGATTGCCATGTTTTACTGATACAAATTCTGATTTGGTTCTCCCAAAGGCTTCTGATCACTGTGTTTATAGGGGTGTGAGATAGGGTCTAAAAAGCCTGGCTTATAATTTTTAATAGGCTATTTTTATTCAGGGGAGTTGTTGCTACTAGACAAGTGCCTTCATTGCTAGGGACTTTATGCAGATATGGGAAATAGCAGCATAGTAGGAGACACTGGAAGGAAATTGTGCAGTTTGATCCACAAAATTGCTAACAGTGGGAAATGTCCCTTTGCTTTGATAATCTCTGTAGAATGTATTCCATGGGCTGAACTAAAAATAAATAAATCCTACAGCATGCTAAACCATTGTGAGGAAGTACAGTGAGAAGTGGATTGACAAACGAGAGCAAACAATAACAACTGAAATAATTTACCAAGACAACTTACAAAATAAGTCACTAAATGCATGTACAGGCATTTGAAGTTTCATCTGGTGGAAGGGTTGTAGAGAATATTCCTTGTCCCCCTCAGTGTGTTTAATTTTCTTCTACTCATTGTACCAAGGTCTGGCCTCATTATAAGCATGCTATTCCAGGTGAATTGAAAAGAAGTTGCATAGATACCTTGCCATTATTAATCACTGCCTCTATTGTCAAAAGCTATTTGCAGATATTTTATCTCATTCTATCTAAAAATTATTCCGATGTATTTATGGTTTGCTCTTCTTTTGTACTACAATTTGGTACATGAAAATGGTGCTCCACAAATCAGGGAGTAGTGAAAGTAATAATTTGTCCACACAAATTAGACTCTGATGTACTACTATTCTCTAATGTCTCTCATATTCGCCTTTGCATCACCAACCACTGTGGATTTTTTCAAATGTGCAAAGAAAATTGCAGCTATTTAAAATAACCTAGAGAGGGAGAATGATAGGCAATATCCTAACTACCTTAGCCCTTTACATTTCAGCAGCCTTGTTGCCAAGGAAACCACTTGGGACTTTAGGGAAATTTGTGGATATTTAAAATGGATTGTGCCCGTACATAGATAGACACTTGTACAATTCACATGGCAGAATAAAAAGCTTCCAGCCCTGCAATATTAAGCCTGGAATTTCAAGGACTGAAAAGAGGAAATAACAAAATGCAAAGGTTTATTCACTTATATGCCAACACGTATGCTGTTTACAGTATTTCAGATTATTATTAGGCTAGGCAGTTAAAAAATAAGAATCTATCGAGCAGAATAAACAATGCAATATAAACCTCATAAAACTTACACTTTTATTTGCATTTCTGATTTGCAAGTTTAACATTGCATCACCATTTTGACAATTTCCAAGGTATACTGCAGTTTTTAAAATCTCAGCAGAAATGCAGATAAATTCCTTACTGGGCTCGGCTGGAAATTGACTGAATTCTATGTAAGTGCAGACATGAATCTTTACTCATAATACTGTGAATAAAATGCAGATATTAGAAGAGAAAGAAGCTAGGCTGACATACCAAAATCCCTTGAGTGGGTTTTTCAGTTTCTATGTGTTTATGTCTGCCTTCTTATTTTTATTCCTTTACAAATTTCTGCTGAAGATGGGATATTCTTAGTGAGAAAACTGACTGCAGAATAGAAAGCAGGCATACAAACGGACTTTCATATATTATTTCCACATATATTCATGGTCAATTTTTGAACCTATTCTCAGAGTCTTGCTCTCCCTAGACATGCAGGATGACTTTTTCATATTCTCCTTACACTTCTGTCACACGGGAGATTCAGCTTCCCCCCACCAGCTCATCTTAAGGAACTCAAGAGCATCGATACAAAAGGTCTGCAAAGCGCAAGTCACTGGCCTGACAATATATATGTCTGTTTTAACAAAGATTTAGCTGACAGGTAGTTACACGGGAGCTCCTACCTTTGATGGTTCCAGAGTGTGAATAGTGAAAATTCATGAAACCAGAAGTAAAACATTGTGTAATGGTTAATTTTAATGTGCCAACTTGACTGCACCACAGGGCGCCTATATATTTAGTGAAGCATTATTCTGGTTGTGTCTATGGGGGTGTTTCTGGGGGAGATTAACATTTGAATTGGTGGTCTGAGTAAAGCAGATTGCCCTCCCCGATGTGGATGGGCATCATCCACTCAGCTGAAAGCCTCTGTAGAACAAAAAGCAAAGTAAGGGAGAGTTTACTCACTCTATCTGACTGTCTTCAAGCTTGGACGTTGGTCTTCCCTTGTCTTCAGACTCACACTTGGAGTATAACAACGTATATCATTAACTTTCCCAGGTTTCTGCTGTCTTCAGATCTTGAGACTACTCAGCCTCTATAATTTCATGAGACAATGCCATATAATAAATTTATTTACAAGCATATATATTATGTGTATATATTTACACATTTAATATTTATACATATATATAACATTGCATACATATTTATATAATTTAACATTGTGTATAAAAATATATTTCCCTTTGGTTCTGTCTCTCTCTGGGGAACCCAGACTAAGACATATGTGTAATTTAATAATATACAGTGTCTATTCTTTTAATAATTCACCATTATGAGGTGTTACAATTTCAATCACATTCATTCATGGACATGTGTTCTCAGCAAAAAATAAACATTTATATAAACATAACTTTCAGATACTAGCTGAAGATTCATAGTGAACACAGCGTGCTAACTTATCCTATTCTAAATTCCTTCTAAAATTATTTAAATGATAGAAAAATTAGAGATATCATGCCTCAGGATCCAGGATTAATAGGAAGTACAATTTACCTAAAAATAACACAGAGGAATTTCAGTTGGATATTTTCTAGATAGAGTTCAAATGAAAATTTTGAAATAACAACAACAACAAACAAAGTAAAAGCAGAAAGACAAGAGAGGAATATTTGGATGCAACAAATGGACCTGATTGCTAGAGGCAAGAGCTAGAAAGAGGGGTAATGACAGAACCCTTGCCTTGGAATCCCTTTCTCCAGTAAGAATAAGAATATTAGAAAGTAATTCATAGAGAATTCCAGAAGCATCTCCAAGTAGAAAACACAGTGGGCATCAACAGCTGCTTTCTCCCTACCTCAGCATAATTGGGCTTTTCTCTGGATCAGCAGGCCTGCTGCCGGCTACAGTGGGCACTGATACCAACTAGACTTTGAGGAGAAAAGGTTAATATACGCACTTGATTTTGGACATATTTGTTATTGATAATCATGCCACCATTTGTGTGTGGGTAAAGAGGAAAAAATCATAACACATAGCATATAAAAAGAGTACACACAATAAGATAAGGTGAGCTCAGCCCATCAGAATCAGAGAAAAAACCTACTTAAAAAGTTTTTCCAAACCTACAGAATAAAGAAGTAGATTTTAAAAAGTGCCTGCTTTGTCTTGCAGTAAAAAGAAAAGAATTGAACACCATGAAACAAGAGATGAAAGATGAGAGGATAAGACAACAGACTGAGATATAAAATGGAGCTAGCTGGGAGCCAGACAGAAGGGCAAAAGGAGCTGAACGAGATAAGGAAAAAATGAAAGGAAACTCAAGATACAATAACTAATTTTAAAACTGCTTTGAAAGCAGTAAAGAGAGGAATCCATACTGTAAAAACTGAATCAGTGATGTGAAAGCTGAACTTTTGAGCCTTTTTTTTATTATTAAGCAATAAATTGCTCAGAGTTAGACTATATTTTTAAAAAATTAAAAACATAAAATTAGCCATAGAAAAAATGAACAAATGAGAATTATGGCAGAAATTGATATATTTTTAAATAAATAAATAAATTTTAAAATAACCACATTATTAAAACAATAGGAAAGCACAACATAGTTGAGAAGCCTCTAAGTAGTATATTTAAGCAAAAAAAAGAAACAAAGAAAAATACATAAGACATATAAATTTAAAAAGGCTAAAAATAAGTAAGGGAAAATAAACAGAAATATGGAAACATAAGAAAGAAATGCCAGGAGGAGCCAAGATGGCCGAATAGGAACAGCTCCGGTCTACAGCTCACACCAATGCAGAAGACGGTGATTTCTGCATTTCCATCTGAGGTACTGGGTTCATCTCACTAGGGAGTGCCAGACAGTGGGCGCAGGTCAGTGGGTGCCCGCACCGTGCGCGAGCTGAAGCAGGGCGAGGCATTGCCTCACTTGAGAAGCCCAAGGGGTCAGGGAGTTCCCTTTCCGAGTCAAAGAAAGGGGTGACGGACAGCACCTGGAAAATCCGGTCACTCCCACCCGAATACTGCGCTTTTCCGACGGGCTTAAAAAACGGCGCACCACGAGATTATAACCCGCACCTGGCTCAGAGGGTCCTACGCCCATGGAGTCTCGCTGATTGCTAGCACAGCAGTCTGAGATCAAACTGCAAGGCGGCAGCGAGGCTGGGGCAGGGGCGCCCGCCATTGCCCAGGCTTGATTAGGTAAACAAAGCAGCCGGGAAGCTCGAACTGGGCGGAGCCCACCACAGCTCAAGGAGGCCTGCCCGCCTCTGTAGGCTCCACCTCTGGGGGCAGGGCACAGACAAACAAAAAGACAGCAGTAACCTCTGCAGACTTAAATTTCCCTGACAGCTTTGAAGAGAGGAGTGGTTCTCCCAGCACGCAGCTGGAGATCTGGGAACTGGCAGACTGCCTCCTCAAGTGAGTCCCTGACCCCTGACCCCTGAGCAGCCTAACTGGGAGGAACCCCCCAGCAGGGGCACACTGACACCTCACACGGCAGGGTATTCCAACAGACCTGCAGCTGAGGGTCCTGTCTGTTAGAAGGAAAACTAACAAACAGAAAGGACATCCACACCAAAAACCCATCTGTACATCACCATCATCAAAGACCAAAAGTAGATAAAACCACAAAGATGGGGAAAAAACAGAACAGAAAAACTGGAAACTCTAAAAAGCAGAGCGCCTCTCCTCTTCCAAAGGAACGCAGTTCCTCACCAGCAATGGAACAAAGCTGGATGGAGAATGACTTTGACGAGCTGAGAGAAGAAGGCTTCAGATGATCAAATTACTCTGAGCTACGGGAGGACATTCAAACCAAAGGCAAAGAAGTTGAAAACTTTGAAAAAATTTAGAAGAATGTATAACTAGAATAACCAATACAGAGAAGTGCTTAAAGGAGCTGATGGAGCTGAAAACCAAGGCTCGAGAACTACGTGAAGAATGCAGAAGCCTCAGGAGCTGATGCGATCAACTGGAAGAAAGGGTATCAGCGATGGAAGATGAAATGAATGGAATGAAGTGAGAAGGGAAGTTTAGAGAAAAAAGAATAAAAAGAAATGAGCAAAGCCTCCAAGAAATATGGGACTATGTGAAAAGACCAAATCTACGTCTGATTGGTGTACCTGAAAGTGATGGGGAGAATGGAACCAAGTTGGAAAACACTCTGCAAGATATTATCCAGGAGAACTTCCCCAATCTAGCAAGGCAGGCCAACGTTCAGATTCAGGAAATACAGAGAACTCCACAAAGATACTCCTCGAGAAGAGCAACTCCAAGACACATAATTGTCAGATTCACCAAAGTTGAAATGAAGGAAAAAATGTTAAGGGCAGCCAGAGAGAAAGGTGGGGTTACCCTCAAAGGGAAGCCCATCAGACTAACAGTGGATCTCTCGGCAGAAACTCTACAAGCCAGAAGAGAGTGGGGGCCAATATTCAACATTCTTAAAGAAAAGAATTTTCAACCCAGAATTTCATATCCAGCCAAATTAAGCTTCATAAGCGAAGGAGAAATAAAATACTTTACAGACAATCAAATGCTGAGAGATTTTGTCACCACCAGGCCTGCCCTAAAAGAGCTCCTGAAGGAAGCACTAAACATGGAAAGGAACAACCAGTACCAGCTGCTGCAAAATCATGCCAAAATGTAAAGACCATCGAGACTAGGAAGAAACTGCATCAACTAACGAGCAAAATAACCAGCTAACATCATAATGACAGGATCAAATTCACACATAACAATATTAACTTTAAATGTAAATGGACTAAATGCTCCAATTAAAAGACACAGACTGGCAAATTGGATAAAGAGTCAAGACCCAGCTGTATTCAGGAAACGCATCTCACGTGCAGAGACACACATAGGCTCAAAATAAAAGGATGGAGGAAGATCTACCAAGCAAATGGAAAACAAAAAAAGGCAGGGGTTGCAATCCTAGTCTTTGATAAAACAGACTTTAAACCAACAAAGATCAAAAGAGACAAAGAAGGCCATTACATAATGGTAAAGGGATCAATTCAACAAGAAGAGCTAACTATCCTAAATATATATACACCCAATACAGGAGCACCCAGATTCATAAAGCAAGTCCTGAGTGACTTACAAAGAGACTTAGACTCCCACACATTAATAATGGGAGACTTTAACACCCCACTGTCAACATTAGACAGATCAACAAGACAGAAAGTCAACAAGGATACCCAGGAATTGAACTCAGCTCCACACCAGGCAGACCTAATAGACATCTACAGAACTCTGCACCCCAAATCAACAGAATATACATTTTTTTCAGCACCACACCACACCTAT
Source organism: Homo sapiens (assembly GCF_000001405.40). NCBI lineage: Eukaryota > Metazoa > Chordata > Mammalia > Primates > Hominidae > Homo > Homo sapiens. The sequence continues at coordinate 76,310,685 of NC_000008.11, forward strand.
TCCAAAACTGACCACATACTTGGAAGTAAAGCTCTCCTCAGCGAATGTAAAAGAACAGAAATTATAACAAACTATCTCTCAGATGACAGTGCAATCAAACTAGAACTCAGGATTAAGAATCTCACTCAAAACCGCTCAACTACATGGAAACTGAACAACCTGCTCCTGGATGACTACTGGGTACATAACGAAATGAAGGCAGAAATAAAGATGTTCTTTGAAACCAATGAGAACAAAGACACAACATACCAGAATCTCTGGGACGCATTCAAAGCAGTGTGTAGAGGGAAATTTGTAGCACTAAATGCCCACAAGAGAAAGCAGGGAAGATCCAAAATTGACACCCTAACATCACAATTAAAAGAACTAGAAAAGCAAGAGCAAACACATTCAAAAGCTAGCAGAAGGCAAGAAATAACTAAAATCAGAGCAGAACTGAAGGAAATAGAGACACAAAAAACCGTTCAAAAAATTAATGAATCCAGGAGCTGGTTTTTTGAAAGGATCAACAAAATTGATAGACAGCTAGCAAGACTAATAAAGAAAAAAAGGGAGAAGAATCTAATAGACGCAATAAAAAATGATAAAGGGGATATCACCACCGATCCCACAGAAATACAAACTACCATCAGAGAATACTACAAACACCTCTATGCAAATAAACTAGAAAATCTAGAAGAAATGGATAAATTCCTGGACACATACACTCTCCCAAGACTAAACCAGGAAGAAGTTGAATCTCTGAATAGACCAATAACAGGATCTGAAATTGTGGCAATAATCAATAGCTTAACAACCAAAAAGAGTCCAGGACCAGATGGATTCACAGCCGAATTCTACCAGAGGTAAAAGGAGGAACTGATACCATTCCTTCTGAAACTATTCCAATCAATAGAAAAAGAGGGAATACTCCCTAACTCATTTTATGAGGCCAGCATCATTCTGATACCAAAGCCAGGCAGAGACACAACAAAAAAAGAATTTTAGACCAATATCCTTGATGAACATTGATGCAAAAATCCTCAATAAAACACTGGCAAAACGAATCCAGCAGCACATCAAAAAGCTTATCCACCATGATCAAGTGGGCTTCATCCCTGGGATGCAAGGCTGGTTCAATATATGCAAATCAATAAATGTAATCCAGCATATAAACAGAGGCAAAGACAAAAACCACATGATTATCTCAATAAATGCATAAAAAGCCTTTGACAAAATTCAACAACACTTCATGCTAAAAACTCTTAATAAATTAGGTATTGATGGGACGTATTTCAAAATAATAAGAGCTATCTATGACAAACCCACAGCCAATATCATACTGAATGGGCAAAAACTGGAAGCATTCACTTTGAAAACTGGCACTAGACAGGGATGCCCTCTCTCACCACTCCTATTCAACATAGTGTTGGAATTTCTGGCCAGGGCAATTAGGCAGGAGAAGGAAATAAAGGGTATTCAATTAGGAAAAGAGGAAGTCAAATTGTCCCTGTTTGCAGATGACATGATTGTATATCTAGAAAACCCCATTGTCTCAGCCCAAAAGCTGATAAGCAACTTCAGCAAAGTCTCAGGATACAAAATCAATGTACAAAAGTCACAAGCATTCTTATACACCAACAACAGACAAACAGAGAGCCAAATCATGAGTGAACTCCCATTCACAATTGCTTCAAAGAGAATAAAATACCTAGGAATCCAACTTACAAGGGATGTGAAGGACCTCTTCAAGGAGAACTACAAACCACTGCTCAAGGAAATAAAAGAGGATACAAACAAATGGAAGAACATTCCATGCTCATGGGTAGGAAGAATCAATATCGTGAAAATGGCCATACTGCCCAAGGTAATTTACAGATTCAATGCCATCCCCATCAAGCTACCAATGACTTTCTTCACAGAATTAAAAAAAACTACTTTAAATTTCATATGGAACCAAAAAAAGAGCCCACATCGCCAAGTCAGTCCTAAGCCAAAAGAACAAAGCTGGAGGCATCACACTACCTGACTTCAAACTATACTACAAGGCTACAGTAACCAAAACAGCATGGTACTGGTACCAAAACAGAGATACAGATCAATGGAACAGAACAGAGCCCTCAGAAATAATGCCGCGTATCTACAACTATCTGATCTTTGACAAACCTGAGAAAAACAAGCAATGGGGAAAGGATTCCCTGTTTAATAAATGGTGCTGGAAAAACTGGCTAGCCATATGTAGAAAGCTGAAACTGGATCCTTTCCTTACACCTTATACAAAAATTAATTCAAGATGGATTAAAGACTTAAACATTAGACCTAAAACCATAAAAACCCTAGAAGAAAACCTAGGCATTACCATTCAGGACATAGGCATGGGCAAGGACTTCATGTCTAAAACACCAAAAGCAATGGCAACAAAAGCCAAAATTGACAAATGGGATCTAATTAAACTAAAGAGCTTCTGCACAGCAAAAGAAACTACCAACAGAGTGAACAGGCAACCTACAAAATGGGAGAAAATTTTTGCAACCTACTCATCTGACAAAGGGCTAATATCCAGAATCTACAATGAACTCAAACAAATTTACAAGAAAAAAACAAACAACCCCATCAAAAAGTGGGCGAAGGACATGAACAGACACTTCTCAAAAGAAGACATTTATGCAGCCAAAAAACACATGAAAAAATGCTCATCATCACTGGCCATCAGAGAAATGCAAATCAAAACCACAATGAGATACCATCTCACACTAGTTAGAATGGCAATCATTAAAAAGTCAGGAAACAACAGGTGCTGGAGAGGACGTGGAGAAATAGGAACACTTTTACACTGTTGGTGGGACTGTAAACTAGTTCAATCATTGTGGAAGTCAGTGTGGCAATTCCTCAGGGATCTAGAACTGGAAATACCATTTGACCCAGCCATCCCATTACTGGGTATATACCCAAAGGACTATAAATCATGCTGCTATAAAGACACATGCACACATATGTTTATTGCGGCATTATTCACAATAGCAAAGACTTGGAACCAACCCAAATGTCCAACAATGATAGACTGGATTAAGAAAATGTGGCACATATACACCATGGAATGCTATGCAGCCAAAACAAATGATGAGTTCATGTCCTTTGTAGGGACATGGATGAAATTGGAAAACATCATTCTCAGTAAACTATCGCAAGAACAAAAAACCAAACATCGCATATTCTCACTCATAGGTGGGAATTGAACAATGAGATCACATGGACACAGGAAGGGGAATATCACACTCTGGGGACTGTTGTGGGGTGGGGGGAGCGGGGAGGGATAGCACTGGGAGATATACCTAATGCTAGAAGACAAGTTAGTGGGTGCAGTGCACCAGCATGGCACATGTATACATATGTAACTAACCTGCACATTGTGCCCATGTACCCTAAAACTTAAAGTATAATTTAAAAAAAACAAAAAAAAAACAAAAACAAACAAACAAAAGCAAAAGAAAAAGAAAGAAATGCCTATGCTAATACTTTTTAAAAGCTTTGTGAAATACAGTATTCTAAGAATATATAAATTAACAAAAATGATTTCCCAATGCTTAGTGGTTTAACAGAATAAATAATAATAAAATATGTTTCATAATTGATATTCCAGATTTCCCAAGGAAAGTTTTCAGATTCATTTGGTATTATAATTTCTTCTAAATCCACGAGAAACAAAAAATTGTCTCCTAGAAATGGTTCCAGAGCATAGAAAAATTAGAAAATTGTGTTAATTTGTTTTTAGAAGACAACATAACCCATTAGCAAAAACAGGCAGAAAAACCTAAAGACAGAACTCATTTAAGAATATTCGTAATGAAAAACTAGCAAAGCAAATCCGGAGTGTTGTTAGTCAAGTAATAAAAACATAACCAAGTAGGGTCTAGTCTAGTTAGATAATGAGGAAACAACATAAGAAACCCTATTAATATGTACTAATATCAGAGAAACAAAGAATAAAAATGGCACCATCATCATAGGTGCTGAAAAGACGTTTGATAATAGTAGTTAATATTTATTCAGGATAAAAGTAGTATTTGCCAACAGAAAAACAGAGTCTCTTAATAATGCAGAAACATTGCATAAAACTCTTAATACTGCAATGATGTCATCTCCTTAAAATGAGCTACAGATTCAGTTCAATCTCAGTTTAAATCTCAGCAGGTATGAAAGTGTGTGTGTGTGTGTGTGTGTGTGTGTGTGTGTATAAATCAACAAGCTTATTCTAAGATGTATATGAACAAGCCAAGAAGATAGTAAGTCAATATGAAAGAACAAATTTTGTGGATTTTTCATTAATTAGTAATCTACAGTTAAAAAAAAAAAAGACAGTGGGGTGTTTGCACAAGTATAGACACATAGAATAAAAAAACAGAACAGAGTCCAGAAAGTAGATTAAGAGTGGTAGAAGTCAGAAAGAAGTGAAAGAGTGTTTAGAGTATTTTAGGCCATTACAAGCAATTTGCCTTTACTCTGAATAAGATGAGAAGCCATTGGAGTACATTGAACATAATGATAAAATCGTGAGATGGAGTCTCACTCTGTCACCAAGCAACAGTGCAGTGATGCGATCTCAGCAAACTGCAACTTCCACCTCCTGGGTTCAAGCTATTCTCCTGCCTCAGCCTCCCGAATAGCTGGGACTACAGGCACACACCACCACACCCATCTAGTTTTTGTATTTTTAATAGAGACGGGGTTTCACCATGTTGGCCAGATGATCTCGATCCCTTGACCTTGTGATCTGCCCACCTCAGCCTCCCAAAGTGCTGGGATTACAGGTGTGAACCACCGCGACTGGCCCTTATTTATATTTTTAAACGATCACTCTGGTAGTTGTGTTACGAACAGATAGTTCAGGGGCAAGGATGAGAGCTGGGAGAACAGTAAGAAATCTACTGCAGTTACTCATTTAAGAGAGAATGATGGTGAGAAGTGGTTGGACTCTGCATATATTACAAAAGTGAAGTAAGAAGACTGCAGCTAATGGAATGTAAGGTATAAAGGAAAGAGCAGGATTAAGAACTAGGTCTAGAGTTTTGGCTTAACAACTAGAAGGATGATAGTGCTATTTAGTGAGTTTGAGGCAAGTTAAGAGGGCCAAATTTGAGGAACAAAAATCAAAATTTCTATTTTACACCTGCTCTGTTGAGATCTCATTAGTCCTCAGGCAGAAATCTACAAATCTGGAAGGTCAGGATGAGAGTTCAGGCAAATGCAATTATCAAGAGTATAAATTAAGAAGAGATAGAGTTTGAGGGCTGAGTTCTGATAAAAGAGACAGATTCAGGAAAGTAACACCAAATATGTGACACAGGAAGTAAACTGTATAGTTTACTTAAAAACTTAGTGAGCAGAAGCAAAGTAAAGAAACTTTCCTAAGAAGAAGAAAGAGATCAAACTGTCAAGTCCTGCTCAGGTCAAACTATGTGAGCCCAGCAAGATGAATATAAGATCTGGCAAGTGGATGTCATTGTTGACCTAGAAAAAAGAAGTTTCTGTAGAGCAATGGGGATGAAATTCTGATGAAAACATGTGAAAAAGAGAATGAGATACTTCCATTTCTAGTCATATGGTTGACTAGATTTTGCAGGAAAAAAAATGTTTTTTAGAGCAGAACACCTAAAAGACTGCCTAAAATATAAGAAACATCTCTTTAAAAGCATGGCTGAGCTATCAGTAAAGTAAGAGAAACAATTAAAATGGGAAACAATAAAGATTTGTCATTGCAAAAGAGTACACTCTAAAAATCCTGCTCTACTCTCAAAGCCTAAATCTGGGTTTAATGACCAACAGGCATTAGGAGACAAAAGACAAATTTGGGGCCTATTCAAGTTGGAAGTCAAGATAGAGACCAAGTATAAAGCTAAGATACTCTTAGTAGATACAGTAGTAAAACATTCACTTCAAAGACAAAGAGTTGATTATTTTGGTCTTTGTCATAGCTAAGAGGGCTGATGGAGAAAGAAACTTATGAGAATTCCTAAACAAAACCCAGCATTTATGTGACCTGAGGACCAGAATGTACATCCCCTTTGGAGCTCAAGCCAAAATTTAGTGTAACGTGGTCACAGGCTTGGAGTGTCACCAATCACCTAGCAAAAGTAAAGTCAAATTATCACTTGGTGAGTGTATTTTAATCTGCATAATCTTAGAATTTGAACAGATAAAAAAAAGCAGCATGAGTGCTCTCTCTCTCTCTCTCCCACTGTCTCTCTCTCTCTCACACACACACACACACACACACCACACTCCTCACAAGAAATCAAGCCATCAAGAACAAAAGCCAGCAGAAACAACAACCAGAAGAAACAAGGCCCATGAAAATTGCATATTTTGGTATGATCACATTCACGATGTAAAATGAATGTTTGTCAAATACTTTAAAAATAAAAGAAGGAATTCAGAAGTAAAGTACAAGATATCACCAAGAGCAACCTGGATATTTTTTAAAAAGAACTAAGTAGAGCATCTGGAAAAATATAATAATTGAAATTAAAAACCAAATTTTTATATTAGAAAACAAATTAGACACTCTTTAGGAGATTGTGATGGTCAGTTTTATGTGTCAATTTGGCTAGTCATCCCCAATTATTTAATCAAGGTATGTTGTTGTGAAGGTATTTTGCAGATGTGACAAAAGTCTATAATCAGTTGCCATGAAGTAACAGGGATTTTTCTATGTCAACTTGGCTAGTTTTACGTGTCAGCTTGGCTAGTCATCCCCAATTATTCAATCAAGTAGCAATCTAGGCGTGTTGTTACGAAGGTATTTTGTAGATGTGACTGAAGTCTGTAATCAGTTGCCATGAAGTAATGGAGATTTTTCTGGACAATCTGGATGCACCTGAGTAAGTCACATGAAAGATTTTAAGAGCAGATCTGAGGTTTCCTTGAAAGAAAAGAAATTCTGCTTGTGGGACAGAAGCTGGAGCATATGACTGGAGTTTCAACCTGACCTTCCTAAAAGCCTGCCCTGTGTACTTGAACTTTCCTTGCTAGACCCAGCATCTCATAAACCAACTCTCTGCAATAAGTCTCTTAGCACATATCTCCTACTTGTTCTGCTTCTTTGGTTGTACCATGTGACTGATGGAGAGGTGATTAACAAACTGAGAAAAGATTTGAAACCTCCCGAATGTAACACAAATATGAAAACGTTGAGAGATAAGAGATATAAAGGATAGAAAATAAAATCCAATATGCATTTTTGTTATATTCAGAAGAGAACAATAAAGAGAATAGTCAAATGAAATATAGAAATAAATATTGCCTGTATTTTTACCAGAATTGATAAAAGATACCATGAAGGTTAATTTTATGTGTCAACTTGGCTAGGCTATCATGCCCAGATGTTCTCTGAAACACCAATCTAGATGTTACCATGAAGGTATTTGTTGGATGTGCTTAATATTTAACTCGGTATACTTGGAGCAAAGCAGGTTACCGTCCGTAATGTGGATGAGCTGCATCCAATCAGTAGAAAAGCATCACAGAAAAAACTGAGGTCCACTGTGGAAGTGGAATTCTGCTTTCTGACTGCCTTTGGACTCCAGCTTCAATGACAACAGTTCCCTGGGTCTCCAGCCTGCCAGCCTGCCCTACAGAGTTTGGACTTTCCAGTCCCCAAAATTGTGTGGTCCAATTGCTTAAAATAAATCTCTCTCTAAATCCCTCTCTCCGCATGCACACACGCACACACACACACAGACATACACACACTCGCTCTTATACATCTTACTAAATGTCTTCTCTAGAGAACCCTGACTAATATAGATATTAACATTTAGATTAAAGGAGCTAAAAATTCCAAGATAAAATGATATTCACATTTTAGTGAATCTACAAACCTCCAAAGGCAAAAAATAACATTTCAAAAGTAGTCAGAAAAAAATTACCTACAAATGAACATTAATTAGAGTGAGAGTGGAATTCTCAAGGCAAAAATGGAGGAAATAAAAACTGGAAAATCTTTAAGAAAATAAATAAAATTAATAAATACATAAAATGTCTTGAAAGTCTCATAAAAACAGCAGTAAACACAGTATTATATAACTTCAAAAATTATATTTTAAGGAAAAAGTGAAGCGATTATCAAAGGGGAAAAAGCAGAATAAATTCATTAAGAACAGACATTCACTAAAAGAAAAATCTAATGGATACACTTCAGAAAAAGAAAGAAAAATGGTCCCCAAAGGAAATCTGTAAAAATGTTAGAAGAAAGGGTAAGAAAAATTAAATTATAAATTTTCTGATGAGCCCAAATTATATGGCTGATTAAGTGACAATGATTATGCCTAATTTGTAAGCTTAAATAATTATGATAGAATCTTGACAACCATAGCAAACAATTCAGAAGAGATTTAATATGAGCAAAACATTTTTTCAGAAGGAGAGTAAAGATATTGATGAGATTATATTAATTTAAATATACATGCTAAACATTCTAAGAAGAAAGTAGACTAAAGCATATAAATTTCTAACAGGTAAGGAAAAGACAAAGAAAGAGGAAGTAAAAAAGAAAGGAGGAAGAGAGAGATGGAGGAAGAAGGAGGGGAAGTAGAAAAATCAGAAAGCACAAGATAAGATAGATGAGGGAAATAAATCCAGACATATATAACAGTAATCACAATCCATTTAAAGGGACAAAAAACTTCAACTGAAAAATTAAAAAGTAAATCAAACTGAGCAATGTAGTGTGTATGAGAAACATATTTTAAAAATAAAGACTCAGAAAAGAGGAAAACTAAAAGTCTGGGTACCATTAGGAGATCGAAGTACATAGTAATTTGAATCGGGGAAGTTTAATATAAAGAAAACTAAACTTACGATAAAGCTGTAACTATAAAGATGTAATGGGAACTCTAAAGGGTATTGTGTTAGTCAGGGTTCTCCAGAGAAACAGAAAGGATAGGATATACATAGATATGTAGTAAGAGATTTATTGTAAGATATTGGCTCAGGAGCCTATGGAGGCTAGGAAGTCCCACAATCTGCCCTCTGCAAGCTGGACAGCCAGGAAAGCCAGTGGTGCAATTCCAGTTGAATTCTGAATGTCCAAGGACTGGGGGTCAATGGTGCAAGTCCCAGTCCAAGTCTGAAGGCCTGAGAACCAGGTGTGCTGATGTCTGAGGGCAGAAGATGTACTCTCCAGCTCAAGGCAAAGAGTGAATTCACCTTTCCTTCACATTTTTGTCTTATGTGGATCCTCAATGGATTGAGTGGTGCTCACCCACACCGGTGAGGGCAGATCTTCTTTACACAGTCTACTCCTTCAAATACTAATCTCTTCTAGAAACACCGTCCCAGACATCCCTGGTAGGAATATTTTTTTGTTTTGTTTTGTTTTGTTTTTTACCACTTTTCTGGGTATCCCTTAGCCCGGTCAGGTTGACACATAAAATTAACCATCACAGGTACCTTAGGGCAGAAGAATATCCAAGAGGGGACTAACTTGAGGCACCGCGGGTTATGATTTTCTGTTTCACTTATCCCTAAACACTAATGGAGTACAGGCAGTGAGACATTGTCAGAGGATGCAATAGTGAGTGTGTGGCCTGTCCTTACTCTCACGGGGTCAAATGTAATATTTGGCCCTCTGTAAAAGTAACAGTATATTATTATTTATGTGTGTATCTATTTATTTTGGAGACAAGGTTTCACTCTGACACCCAGGCTGGAGTGCTGTGACATGATCATAGCTCACTGCAGCCTTAATCTACTCAAGCGATCCTCTCACCTCCCGCCTCCCAAGTAGCTGGGAGGTGTGCACCACCATGCCTTGCTGTTTTTAGTTGAGACAGGATCTCACTGTGTTACAAAGGCTGGTCTCAAACACATGACCTCAAAAGATCCTCTTGCCTGGGCTTCCCAAAGTGGTAGGATCACAGGCATGAGCCACTGCACCCAGTCAAGAACAATACATTACACTCCAGAAATAACACTATCCCACATTAAAGACAAATAAATAAATTATCCTTTAGCTTTGATCTTATCTAATTTGACATCACAATTTATTTACTTTTCATGGAATCAATTTTCTCCCTTTAAACACCTCTGCTTTTCTTCTGTGAATGATCTCCAACATTTTTTTGTATGACTTTAGCGCAGTGAACATAACAGAACACATAATTAAAAGAACATTAACATTTTTATCTGGCTGATTCTCGTAAGATTCATCTTTTGATGTGTTTAAAGCAGGTTAACTTTCATGTCCAACCAGTCCTTGCCAAATCTGCATTTGTTCTGGAGTTTGTGCTTCTTTTCTCCTGTTTTATTTCTTCCTGCTTATATCTTAATTGGAGAATTCTTGTTTTCTACAATATAATTGAAATACTAAGTAGATCATTTTTTAACGGCATTTGATGTCAGAGGACACTCTTAAAGTAACATTCATGGTAGCCCAAGTTTTTCCTAAGCCATTTTTTTGGCTTTGGCCTCCAAGTTATGTTTATGAATCATCTAAGAACTGAAAGGAACATGCTCCAGAGGTGTCCTTGTTAATCAGAATATCATATGATATTGAATTGAGAACCTTCTTAAAATCATATACACATATATATTATATCTTATATGCCACTTTTGCCTATGTAAACTGTCTGTGAGATATGTTCTTTGCAAAGATATGTGTTGTACCTGAGAGTATTCTAGAAGATCACTAGATTGATTGCTGATTATTCTATTATCTTCACAATTTTTCACACTGAACTGCTCTAATTTACAGAATCAACTTTTCTTCCTTTTTCTAAAAATGGGAACAGCATTATCTTCTCTAATTCTCCCATAAGTTATCAAAGGAACAGATTTTTATTATCTCCCATCTTCTAAGTAATTTTTCAATTAAAGCCTAGTGTAGATCTCTGACTTTCGCCACGTCACTGCATTTGGTTCTTTTCTGGCACATTTGATTCAGACTCTTTTTTTTTTTTTTGAAACAAATCAGGTAATAAAAGGAACAACCAGGTATTGACTACCTAAATGCTAAGTGCTAAAAAGTATACTATATGATTTGCATAAATTAAATTTAATCCTCTTGGCATTGTATCAAGATATTAATTATGCTCATTTTATAAATGAGGAAATTGATGCACATAAAGGTTAACAGGCATGTAACAGAATGACAGTCTCATATATTCACTGTTCCAGTCTGTTCATTTGACTGTTACTAAATTTTTTCACACCTTTTTTTAGTCACTTTTCCAAAAAATACATGAGGAATGCTTAAAATTTTTGCCATAAATCTTACGCTGACCATATATATTAATATAGGTATAATATCGTATATAAACATATATAAATATATATAGAGAAAAAACCTTTAATACTTTTATTCTTAAATTCAAAACACTTAAAATATTCTTTAGACTCTATTTACTAATGTTTTAGACACAATATTGTGTTTACCTTTGAGGAATGTTTGTCATACGGGTTTTCAGAATATTGTAGACCTATCTTGAGTAAATGTGATTCACTAGAAGGTTCTCATCTTGTCTCCAACACCTTTTCCTTGACTGATCTGGCTGAGTCACCTGCATTATCTCTGAGACTCAGTTTTCTCATCGACCAATGAGAGAAGATTGACTTGAGAATCTGAAGCCTATTTCAACTCAAAAGTTCAGTGTTGTTTTGCACTTTCTTCACTTAGACCAGTGAGCTCTTTTTATTAGAGGCATAAAAGGTGATTTAGATGGGCTTGGCCTAGTCCATCCAAGCCATTGCATGTGTATGTATATGTAGATACAGCCAGGTGGAGAAGGAACTAATAACTAGCAACACAGGACATTTATGTGGATCTTTGTTTTCACACAGCATGTGGGCAAATGGAGAAGGTGTAGCTTTTATTTGATCAATCCAGAGCACAGCTATGTGTGTGCTCTCATTGCTCTACTTAAAATTCTCTTATGTTTTTGTCCAAAAGTGACCTGTTCTATTTCATATATGAAAGCTTCACATTAAAAGAATATGAGGTAGCAAATATCTTTACTGAAGCGCTGTTGGCAGCCGAAATCACTGACAACTTCCTGGCTGTGATTCATAATCTATATCGGTGCCTTTGAGACAGCAGGCTATTGATTTTTCCCTGTCTATAATCCAAGACCATATACAGAGCTTGTTAGACATCTGTGGGAATATAAACTGAGTTTTGATACAAGTTAGGAAGGTTCTCTTAGTAGTGAACTTAGTTTTTGTCTTAGAAAAATCTTTATACAACCTTAATCTTGGTGAACTTTTTAAAAACAAATAATCCAATATAAGCCAGGTCACAGGCTTTGAAACAGAGAATATTGTCAATTTTTTTTGTGGTTTGGGTGTTTTTTTTTGCGGGTGGGGGGTCGATTGTTTTGTGCCCAGAGTTTAAATAAAACTACTTTATCCAGTAGTTAGTAGACTATCTATTAAATAATGATCGAGGCTTTTTCCCTTTGTTATACCTAAGGATACTTTTTATTTGATGAGACTAACTAGGATAGATTTCAAGTGATACAGGGAGATAACTGTAGGGCACAGATATAAATTAAACTATTACAAGTCATACGTTATTAACTGTAGAGCTGTTTCTGAAAAAAATGAATAGGAATTACCCATATCAGAAGCCTTCTTAGGTCTGCAAACTTTAACTTTTTCTAAATCATTGGCTAACTGTCTGACCAAGAAATGAAAATTTTTTTAAAGTAAACATCTCAAAGAGAGAAAATAAAGGCATAGGTTTTTCCCTGAAGTAGTTTCTTAAGTAACAGTATCAACTAATACTTATTTAATCCTAACACTTTAGAAGGGAGTGTATTACAAAGTCAGGTGTATACCCATTTCAGTATAAAAACTGAAGACAAAATAGTATTATATACTTATTAAAAAGTCAGACACACTCGCAAATGAATACTGCTCCAAAATGTATAATTTCTAGATAAAATTGCCTAACTAAAAGGTGTTCTTTGTACTTTTTATACGGTACTCAATTTAATTGCTTGTATCAAGTTTTCATTTTAATAAAAATAATGCCTAATATTTACAGGTAATACATTATGTGTTAAGACCTCTTCTAAGTGCTTTACTTGGATTACTCATTTGATCTTCACAACAATCTTAAAATGATTATTCAGATGTGGACACTGAGACACCAATATGTCAAACATCTTGCTCAAGTTCATGCAGCTAGTAAAGGTTGGAGTCAAGATGCAAACGCAGGTGGTATGAATTAGGAGATTATGCTCTTAAAATCTGCTCATCTAACTTAAAGTATTTTAAGCAAAGGAAGGGCAAGAATTTGTACTGACTCGCCTTTGTATCACCTCCAATATTTAACATATTACCTGGTACATGGATTGTCAGTAAATGCTTATTAATATAAATTGAATCATAGAGGAAATATGTACAGAAAACAAAATTAACTTAGACAAAGAATAATCAGTAGTTAGTATTCTGTGACCTGAGACGCAGTGCTTAGAATAGTATTTCTCACTGTTTCTTCAATTAACACTTCATTCCAGTCAAATCTCCCATCTCAAATTGTCTAGCTTCTGCAAATCATCTTGATTATGATATATGTTTTGAAGTTTAAGTGATGAGAATTTTGTTGCAAATATTTTTAAATTATTAGTATATTATTAATAATTTTTCACACTATACAGTCATTTTTCATTCTATCTTAGCCCATTGAGAGTCACTTACTTCTCTATACATACCTCTTGTACATAAATATATCTAGTTTTAAAAGTATGTTTGTAAATCTTTATGTTTATTAAAATATTTGTTGAAGATTAATAACTTAATGCCTAATATTAATTTTATATTTTAAAAATTGTGAATGACATAAAATAAAAAGCTAGCATGCTGTTGAAGTTCATCAAAAAAACTAAGCAGAACAGAACTTAATCTAAAATGATATTTTTTCTAATGCAATAAAAGAAGAAACTGGGGGAAATAATAGCAAGAACAACAACAAAAATTGCACTGTAGCAGAAAGAAAATGAAATCCTTCCAATTAAAAGGCAATCTCTAACAATCATTTGCCACAGGAAACAAAAATAATAATAATTTTAGGAAACTATGTTAAACTCTGTATGAGATTTAAGCAAACTCAATGAAACAGAGATGGAAAGGCATAATATAAGTATAGTTGAGGCCAGGAGTGGTGGCTCATGCCTGTAATCCCAGTACTTTGCGAGGCCAAGGCGGGCGGATCACCTGAGGTCAGGAGTTTGAGACCAGCCTGGCCAACATGGCAAAACCCTATCTCTACTAAAAATACAAAAACTAGCCAGATGTGTTGGCGGGTGCCTGTAATCCCACCTACTCAGGAGGCTGACGCAGGAGAATCGCTTGAACCCGGGAGGCAGAGGTTGCAGTGAGCTGAGATCACGCCACTGCACTCTATCCTAGTCAATAGAGTGAGACTCCGTCTTAAAAAAAGAAAAAAAAAGAGTATAGATTGAGATGAAAGATCATTTGGTGACATAAGAAAAAATGTGAGATTAAAAAATAATTATAGTGAAACAAAAAATGTAGAAGCAGAATTAAAATCTTAACGAAGCAATGAAGAGTGAAATTGATATGAAGAAATCAATTATGATCATAAAAACAATATCATACACAACCGAATTAAAATAAATTTGTAAAACCTAACTAAATATCTGGAAACAAAATTCCAAAAGTGATAAAAGAATAAATGGAAATGTGAATAAACTACATTACAATGAGGAAATTGCAATAAGGAAATAAAGATGACAGGTTAAGAAGGTTTCCTGAGTGTTAAAAATTGTCAAGGAATAAAGAATTCCTATCTTATGTGTTGTTGCAGAAAACAGAACAAAACTAAAAAAAAAATCTTAGCTAACCTAATTCTCCAGGGTTAGGAAAAAGAAAGCCATAATAATGTAGGACTTATCCCAGAAATAGAAGGGCAATTAAACTTAGAAAACCTATCATTGGAATTCATCATTATAAGGAATTAAAAACAAAAATTCTACAGGACACCAAATATTATACAAACTTTGAAACCTACTTAGGATTTTAAAACTGCACATGAAGAATGTGAGAGAATTTCCTCAAGGTCATTCCGCCAAAACTTGCAGCAAATATTACACTTAATGAAGAAAACGTACGCACATTCCATTTAAAGTGAGGGTGAAAACAGTAATGAGAACTATCAATATTCTTTAACTATAGCACTGGAGGTCCTTTCTACTGTAATACTGTAGCAGAGAGAGAGAGAGAGAGAAATACCTGACTTCAAAAGCAGGATTAAAACTGAAACCCAGTTATTTTGGGTTCGGCCAAGATTATGTAATACCATGGGCTGCTTGTTCCTTCTCTAAACCCTGGCTAAGCTATGGAGGAACATGTAAACGTAGAAACAAAATGTATTGCTACAGATGGGCCAAGAATATAAAATAAGTTTAATAGTATACAAAAATAGATACGAGAAATGCCAAGGAAACAGCAACAACAATAAACTAGAAATAGCTGAATCAATGGATGATTCCTCTGAACTACTGTATGTGGGACTGGAGAGAGTGGTTAGAGTTGCTAGATCCAACTCCAGAGAGTGCTATTTACATCAACCATGACGTGAAAGTTGTCCTCTGACTTTATATAACCCAGAGACCCTGAGCGGGTGGCTGCCACTTGGAGCACAGCATGGCTGACATTCTGGGAGTAGGAACTGAAGAGAAACCTTTTGATTTTTTTCTCTTTCCCACACTCTTGCCTTCTGCCAATAATTCCCTGTTCCATTCCTGTGGCAATCTATAATAATGGCTCAAACCTCTCATGCAGGTGTCTAGAGATGTAAAATCAGGAAAGTATAAAATGTTGCAGGGTGAGAAGTTGAAGAAAGTAAGTGCATTTCTTTGACACTCATTCGTTTACCCTTTTACCTCCAAACAGTTCAGCCTGGCCGAGGTAGATGCCTCCTGCCAGGGCTGCTTCTCCTAGATGATCTGTAGGTGAGCTATTGAATGACAGAGTGATGAACTGGAATTTTGTTGTGTCTGACCATCTCCATCCAAGGCATCAACCCTTTCCCTCTCCTCACCAGAGACTAGGGTGTGGGCTTCTAACTTCCCCAAACTTTTTCTAGAAAAGAATCCTAGAGCCCAAAAAGAATCTATTCTCACGAGCCAAAATAATGAGACACAACAAACCAAGCAAAATATATCACCAGAAGCAGAAGTATTACTACAGATGGATCAAGAGTATAAAATAAGTTTAATGATATACAAAAATAAATATGAAAAAATATTAACAAAATAATTCATAAAACCCCAAGTAAAACCAGCAGCTATGAAAAGTAGATGTAAATTATTAGCCAGTTGACAGAGAATTTAAATTATTCTTATTTGTAGATATGACTCTATTTAGAAAATCCAAAAGAATCAATGAATTAATTAAACAAATATGAGGGTTCAGCAAGGTTTTCAGATATAAGATTTATCTACAAAAATTTACCATCTATAAATTATAACATTTAATAGGATTTTATAGTAATGGACAAAACCAAGAACACACACGTCCTTTATAATGAATATCTTCAGACTATTACAGAACATTGAAAGAGAACTACATAAATGAAATAGACATGATGTTCATGGATGGCAAAACATAACACAATATGATGTCAGTTTGCTCTAATAAATCTATAAATTCAATTAAATAACAATAAAACCCCAACAGGATTCTTAGCATTCTTGAATCAGTATGACAAACTGATTTTGAAATTCATATGGAAGAATAAAGTTTGATCAATAGCGGAGAAAATTTTAAAAATTAGAGAAAGATAATTTGCCTTACTAGACATTAAGATACATTAGAAAGTTAAAATAATAAAATTTAAGAGTGGGCTATTTGTGTTGAAAAAGACAAACATATCACTGAAAGAAGAATGGATAGACATCACATAACAAATTAAGAGGAAACATAAGAATTTCTTAGTCCTAGATGGTATTGGAAAAACTGCCTCACTGCTTATAGAAAATCAAGGTTATCTACACATTATAAAATGGAAAAAAATTGATTCCTAGTGAATTAAATACTTCTATATGAGATATTAAAGGAGAAACATACATATCTTTTTGACTATGGGATAGGAATTTTAAAAAATTTTTTCTATAGGTTATGGTGGTACAGGTGGTGTTTGGTTACATGAGTAAGTTCTTTAGTGGTAATTTGTGAGATTTCGGTGCACCCATCACCCGAGCAGTGTACACTGCACCCTATTTGTAGTCTTATATCCCTCACCTCTCTCCCAACCTTCCCCCCAAGTCACCAAAGTATCATTCTTACGCCTTTGCGTCCTCATAGCTTAGCTCTCACATATCAGTGAGAACATACAATGTTTGGTTTTCCATTCCGGAGTTACTTCACGTAGAATAATAGACTCCAATCTCACCCAGGTCTCTGTAAATGCCATTAATTCATTCCTTTTTATGGCTGAGTAGTATTCCATCATATATAGATATACACTATATATATACATATATATCTCTCACATCTATATATACCACATATATACCACATATATATACACCATATATATACCACATATATATGCACCATATATATATATATACACACATCAAAGAGTTCTTTTACCGGGTTGGCTAAATTTATTCATAGCTGTATATATTTTTTAGTCTATTATAAATGGTCTAGTCTTCTTATTTCTTTCTCAGCTAGTTCTTTATGGTGTATATAAATAAACACTACTAATTTTCATGTTTACTTTTACCCTGCAACTTTACTGAATTGGTTTGTTTCCATATAAATTTTTGAATTACTTTTCCTAATTCTGTGAAGAATGATGGTGGTATTTTGGTGGGGATCGCATTAAATTTGTAGATTGATTTTGGCAATATGGTCATTTTCACAATATTGATTCTACCCATCCAGGAGTATAGGCTGTATTTATGTATGTTTGTGTCATCTATGATTTCTTTCAGCAGTGTTTTCTAGTTTTCCTTGTAGAGGTCTTTCGTCTCCTTGGTTAGGTGTATTCTTAAGTATTTTAATTTTTTTGTAGCTATTGTAAAAGGGGTTGAGTTCTTGATTTTATTATCCACTTGGTTGCTGTTGGTGTTTGGAAGAGCTACTGATTTTTGTACATTAATCTTGTATCCAGAAACTTTGCAGTTCTAAGAGCTTTCTGAAGGAGTCTTTATGGTTTTCAAGGTAAACAATCATATTGTCAGCAAACAGGAACAGTTTGACTTTCTTTTTACTGATTTGGATGCCCTTTATTTTTTTCTCTTGTCTGATTGCTCTGGCTAGGACTTCCAGTACTAAGTTGAAGATGAGTGGTGAGAGTGTGGGCATCATTTTCTTGTTCCATTTCTCAGAGGAAATGCTTTCAGCTTTTCCCCATTCAGTATTATGTTGGCTGTGAGTTTGTCATAGATGGCTTTTATTACATTGAAGTATGTCCTTCGTATACCGATTTTGCTGAGAGTTTTAATAATAAAGGGATGCTGGATTTTTTTGAATGCTTTTTCTGCATCCATTGAGATTATGTAATTTTTGTTTTCAATTCTGTTAATGTGATGTATCACATTTATTGACTTGCTTATGTTAAACCATCCCTGCATCTCTGGTATGAAATCAACTTGATCATGGTGGATTATCTTTTTGATATGTTGTCAGATTTGGTTAGCTAGTATTTTGCTAAGGATTTTAGTATCTATGTTCATCAGGCATATCAGTCTGTAGTTTTCTTTTTTGGTTATGTCCTTTCCTGGTTTTGGTTATTAGGGTGATGCTGGCTTCACAGAATGAATTAGGGAGTGTTTCCTCTGTGTCTTGTGGAATAGTGTCAAAAGGATTGGTACCAATTCTTCTTTGAATGTCTGGTAGAATTCTGCTGTGAATCTGTCTGGTCCTGGACTTTCTTTGTTGGAAATTTTAAAATTACCATTTCATTCTCACTGTGTGTTATTGATCTGTTCAGGGTATCTGATTATTCCTGACTTAAACTAGGAGGGTTGTAGTTTTCCAGGAACTTATCCATCTCTTCTAGGTTTTCTAGTTTATGTGCATAAACGTGTTCATAGTAGCCTTGAATGATCTCTTGTGTTTCAGTGGTGTCAGTTGTAATATCTCCTGTTTTGTTTCTTAATAAGGCTATTTGGATTTCCTCTCTTCTTTTCTTGGTTAATCTTGCTAATGGTCTATCAATTTTATTTATCTTTTCAAAGAGCCAGCTTTTTGTTTCATGTATCCTTTGTATTTTTGTGTTGTTGTTGTTTGTTTCAATTTCATTTAGTTCTGCTCTGATCTTGGTTATTTCCTTTCTTCTGCTTAGTTTGGGTTTGGTTTATTCTTATTTCTCACCTATGAGTGAGTATATGCGGTGTTTGGTTTTTTGTTCTTGCAATAGTTTACTGAGAATGATGATTTCCTACTTCCTTGAGGTGTGAACTTAGAATGTCAGTTTGTGTTCTTTCAGTCTTTTCCATGTAGGTGTTTAGGGCTATGAACTTTCCTCTTAGCACCACCTTTGCTGTATCCCAGAGGTTTTGATAGGTTGTATAATTATTGTCATTAAGTTCAAAGAATTTTTTAATTTCCATCTTGTTTTCATTTTTGACCCAATGCTCATTCAGGACCAGGTTATTTAATTTCCATGTATTTGTATGGTTTTGAAGGTTCCTTTTGGAGTTCATTTCCAGTTTTATTCCACTGTGGTCTGAGAGAATGCCTGATATAATTTCAATTTTCTTAAATTTATTGAGCCTTGTTTATGGCCTATCATATGGTCTACCTTGGAGAACATTCCATGCACTGTTGAATAGAATGTGTATTCTGTGGTTGTTGCATGAAATGTTCTGTATATATCTGTTAAGTCCATTTGTTCCAGGCTATAGTTTAAATCCATTGTTTCTTTGTTGACTTTCTGTCTTGATGACCTGACTAGTGCTGTCAGTGGAGTATTGAAGTTGCCCACTGTTATTGTGTTGCTGTCTATCTCATTTCTTAGGTCTATTAGTAATTGTTTTATAAATTTCAGAGCTCCAGTGTTAGGTGCATATATGTCTAGGATTGTGATATTTTCCTGTTGGACAAGGTCTTTTACCATTATATAATGTCCCTCTTTGTCTCTTTTAACTGCTGCTGCTTTAAGGTTTGTTTTGTCTGATATAAGAATAGCTACCCCTCCTGGCTTTTGGTGTTTATTTGCATGAAATGCCTTTTTCTATCCCTTTACTTTAGGTTTATGTGTGTCCTTATGTGTTAGGTGAGTCTCCTGAAGGCAGCAGATAGTTGGTTGGTGAATTCTTATCCATTCTGCAGTTCTGTATCTTTTAAGTGGAGCATTTAGACCATTTACAACCAACGTTAATATTGAGATGTGAGGTACCATTGCATTAATCATGCTATTTGTTGCCTGTGTACCTTGTTTTTTGTTTTTGTTTTTGTTTTTTAAATTGTATTTTTGTTTTATAGATCCTGGGTGATTTATGCTTTAAAGAGGTTCTGTTTAATGTGTTTCCAGGATTTGTTTCAATATTTAGAGCTCCTTTTAGCAGTTCTTGTGGTGGTGGCTTGGCACTGGTGAATTCTCTCGGCATTTTTTGTCTGAAAGAGACTATCTTTCCTTCATATATGATGGGCTACAAAATTCTTGGCTGATAATTGTTTCGTTTGAGGAGGCTGAAGATGGGGCCCCAATCCCTTCTAGCTTGTAGGGTTACTGCTGAGAAATCTGCTGTTAATCTGATAGATTTCCCTTTATAGGTTACCTGGTACTTTAGTCTCACAGCTCTTAAGGTTCTTTCCTTCATCTGAACTTTAGATAACCTGATGACAGTGTGCCTAGGCAATGATCTTTTGGCGATGAATTTCCCAGGTGTTCTTTGTGCTTCTTGTATTTGGATGTCTAGGTCTCTAGCAAGGCTGGGAAAGATTTCCTCAATTGTTCCCGCAAATATGTTTCAAAAACTTTCAGATTTCTCTTCTTCCTCAGCAACCCCAGTTATTCTTAGGTTTGGTCGTTTAACATAATCCCAGACTGCTTGGAGGCTTTGTTCATATTTTCTTATTCTTCTTTCTTTGTCTTTGTTGGATTGGGTTAATTCAAAGACCTTGTCTTCAAGCTCTGAATTTCTTTCTTCTGCTTGTTCAGTTCTATTGCTGAGACTTTCCAGAGCATTTTGCATTTCTATAAGTGTGTCCAATGTTTCCTGAAATTTTGTTTTTTCTTTATGCTATCTATTTCCTTGAATATTTCTCCCTTTACTTCTTGTATTATTTTTTAAATTTCCTTGCATTTGGCTTTACCTTTCTCTGGTGCCTCCCTGATTAGCTTAATAACTAACCTCCTGAATTCCTTTTCAGGTAAATCGAGGATTTCTGCTTGGTTTGGCTCCCTAGTGAGCTAGTGTGATTTTTAGGGGTGTTGAAGAGCTTTGTGTTGTCGTATTACCAGAGTTGGGTTTTTTGGTTCCTTCTCATTTGGGTAGGTTCTGTCAGAGGGAAGGTCTAGGGCTGAAAGCTATGGTTCAGATTATTTTGTCCTATTCAGTGTTCCCTTGATGTAGTACTCTCTCCCTTTTGCTATGGATGTGGCTTCCTGAAAGCTGAGCTGCAGTGATTGTTATCCCTCTTCTGGGTCTAGCCATCCAGCGTGTCTTCCAGGCTCTGGGCTGGTACTGGGGCTTGTCTGCACAGAGTGCTGTGATGTGAACCATCTATGAGTCTCTTAGCCATAGATGCCAGCACATCTCCCAGGTCCTGCAGAATCAGTCTGTTTCCTTCAGAGGGTCTGTGGGTCCTCTTGGGATTCCTGTTTTGTTCTTGCAGTCATTCTAGAGCTAAAATTCATGATTTGAGCCTCTGCACACTGTTCTGTCAGCCTGGGTTGGAGCTGCAATCTAGTCCTGCCTCCTGTCAGCCATGATGATCTATTCTAGATTCTAGAGGCTGACCACATTCCTTGGCTTGTAGAATTTTCAAAACCAGCAAAAGCCAGTGAAGTCTTTCTCACATTGCATCACTCTGATTCTAGGAAATGGTTTTTAATCAAAACTTAAAAATTAAAAATTAACAGAGGTAAATGTATTAAAGCTTCTCAAAATTAATGACTTTAATTGAATAACTTGTATTATAGATTAATTCAAAAATCAGGAACAAACCCCAAAGCAGTAGTTAATACAATGTGTAAAGTTACAGGCATTAATATATAAAATATCCATGGTACTTCTCCAGATCATCAAGAAAAATACATGAAGCCCATTAACAAAAACTACGGTCAAACTGGTAGATTCTAAATGGACAGCTTTCTTATAAATGAGGAAGTGAACAACTTTTCTAGTAACCAGAGGAAGGAGGACGGGGTTAGGGAACATCAGTGATATTACAAATTTTAGCTATCAGGTTTGAAGAAATAAAGACAAACCTTATGAAGGGCTATTGAAAACCTGAGCTAGTAAGAGCCCTCAAAATCTGGTGGTTGGAGTACAAATCGGCACAGAAATTTTGAAGAACAGTCTGCCAGTGTTTCATAAAAGTCAGTATTTTACATCCTAAATGTAGCTAAACCTATCCTAGGTATATATCCACAAAAATGTTCACATAAGTACATACAAGGATTTGTATTACAGTGACTGGATTTAATAACAAGAGTTTGGAGATCACTTGGTTGGCTAAATAAAATGTAAAATGTGCATGGTATGTGCATATAATAGAATAATTTTCAGCAATCGGAGTTAATGAACTATCCTCAAATGTAGTGATGTGGATGCCTTGTAGAAACATAGTATTAAATGAGAAGTTAGATTAAAATTATTTCAAAACTCTTCTTCTGTACATTTAAACACTCAGCCAAACAATATAAGTTACAAGGATACATACAAACCTAAATAAATGCTTAGGTAGGTGTCTATGGGGTAAAGGGGATGGGAGTAGAGATAAGGGATTAAGAAGAAATAATAAACCAGATAAAAAGTTTGGCTTTGGATTAACAAAATTACAGTGTTTTACAAACTTGGAATACGATTAATTCAAATCTGTGCATCTAAGTTCCAAAAAGTAAAATAAAATCAGTGAAGTGAGAGAAAAAGTTGAGAAATTTCATGATTGAAGAAAAACATATAAAGGACTTAATATAATAGATTTTGAAGATAAAAAGTAGGTATGTGCAGGGAAGAAACTTTAACAGTTTTATTAGAAAAAATTAATAAAGACATAATTGAAATAAATTCTTCTCATTGGAAAATAAAATCCTAAATAAATAAAGGAAAAGAGTTGTCATATTCCAGGAAACAACGGGAAAAGTAGTCTATTATATACAGATGTGTTAGAAAATAGCTCAAAAATTAGGAGCTGAAAACAAGAAACATTTATTATATTTCAGTTTCTGTGGTTCAGGAATCTTAGCATAACTTTCACTGGG
This sequence comes from Homo sapiens, assembly GCF_000001405.40. Lineage (NCBI taxonomy): Eukaryota > Metazoa > Chordata > Mammalia > Primates > Hominidae > Homo > Homo sapiens. Next base: position 76,334,071 of record NC_000008.11, read on the forward strand.
TGCCTCTGGCTCAAGATGTCTTGTGTGGTCTGGGGTCAATTGCAGTCATGTCCAGGTATGACTAGAGCTGTACAATCTACTTCTAAGCCCACCCATGTGGTTGATGGCAACGTAGACCTCTCCACAGGGATCCCTCACAACTTGACAGCTGATTTCCTGCCAGGTGCATGAAGCAAGAGAAAATGAGCGAGTGAGAGCACTCTAGATGAAAGTCACAGTGTTTTTAAAGTCATATATTACATGTAACATCCCATCATATCTATCATATTTATTTGTTATAAGCAAGTCAATAAATGCAGACAATACTCAAAAGGAGGAACTTCTACAAGGGCATGAATATGAAGAGGATAAAGAGGCAACATTATTAGGAGTCATTTTAGCATGCTTACAGAGATTTTTTTTATTCAAAAATATTATTGAGGTTTTTACATGTGCTAAACACTTTGTTACCCAAAAATATTAGAATTTTTAAGTTAAATAATACTATAAGATTCTATTCAGGAAAAAAAATGGATAAATGATAACTACAAAGAGAATTACTGGCTTAAACGTCACTGTGACACCAAATGACAGAGAACAGAATTTTCAGACTGAAACATTAATTCCCCATAAACACACTTCACTGTCAGTCAAGACATCTTGGTTGTGAAAGTGACAAAAAGACATTCTCATATATATATACACACAAAAAAAATCACCTGTAATCTTTAACATACAACTTGAAGATATATTCCAGCAAAACAAGATAATAAAAATTATCAGTACACAGATATGTAAGAAAGTTGTGATATGTAAAGAATTGACACTCATTCCTGTCTTCTCAGAATATATCCTTGGTAAATAATCCAAGAAATTCATATGTTTTATGGGTAACACTGTTATTATGTTAGCCAACAAACAAGCAGAAAATAGATATTAAAGGGCTATAAAAACATTAAAATGACCACAAATTATATTGACATTGAAAGTTATTTTCATGAAGTGCAATTTTTTTGATACAGAAAATATTTATGATTGAATCTTAGGTAAGATTAGATAAAATTTACATATACATTATAAGTTTTTAAATAATATCAGTGACATTTCATTAAAAATATTGCAGGAAAATATATCAAAGCATTTGGTTACATATCCTTATAACTTTAAATAATGATGAGTATTTTAAATTTTTTCTTTATCGTTTTCATACTTTTCTACAGTAAGAGTTTTATAATTAATTATAATAAACTGTTATTAAAAACTGGATAAAATGATATTAGGAAGACACCTAAGGAGAATCTATACCAAAAAATGTAGAAATCTATAAATATCTGTCACTCTGAAGATTAAGTTTGAATGGGAGGCATCCTTTTTTTAAAAAAAACTATACTGAAGCCTGACCCCCTGAACACAGGCCATGCTAGAATCATAAATGAATGTAATTGGCACACTGAGGTAGTATTTATTGTCAGTAGACAATAACTTTATAGACCATAAATGTTTATAGACAATAAAAACATAGACTATAATTGGGTAATGTTGTATCACCTTACTTGTATCCTTGGAATCCAGTACAATGCTTGGTTTATTTTTGTGCTTGGTTTATATGAAAAGGATAGAAGGAAATGGAGAGAGAGGGAGAAGAAAAGATGAAAAGATAAAAGAGAGAGAGGAAAGAAGTAAGGGAGGGAAGGAAGGAGGGAGGGATAGAAAGAAAGAGTTTGAATCATATAGGGCAACAATGGGGATACTCACAAGTCAAGATGAACAACAACAACAAAAATTGTCTTCAACCAGAAATTATTTCTATTTAATAAGTAGTCACTGCACGTCTTACCAGAACAAAATATGAGTTCTTCATTTCTAGATTCACTTTCATTTATGCATTCATAAAATATTTTCCAAGAGCCTATTATGTAGGGTAGGCACTGAGGTAAAATGGGAAACAAGATGGATGCTATTCCTTGTCTCAAGGAGTTTAACATATCATTTGGTTACTTGGACTAAAGATGCAGAACACAAAAATATAAGCAAATCCATAGCAAAGGAGTTTATGTGATTTTCAGTTTTGGATAGAAAGTCTTTTGAGTGAAAGAGTCTAAAGGGAAAAGATGAGAATACTTGATGCAATGAGCTAAATAGTTAAACCACATTAATGATATTTTTGCTACGGAGGCCTCAGCTCCAGTTGCCTTGTCTTTGCATGTACATTAAATTTTATATTGTATGTCTTGGTGAAGATGCCTAAGTAAGAAAGACATTACACACTACAGAGACAGTGGTAATATTTTGTTTTCTTCCAGAAAGAAAGGTCTTCCAGATGGTCCTCTCTCAAATCCTGTCAAACCTGTCAAAACGGCTATTTTCTGATAGGGAAAAGTAAGAACTCCAGAGCCTAATACATGAGACATAATCATAACCAGAAAATTCTGAAATGGTTTAGCCTATAGGTCAGAAGCCAACAATAGCAAATAAAAAATAGTGATAAAAGTATCAACAAGAAAGAAAATAAAGCTAGTGATGATAAAAAAAAATACTGCAAGAAAAGAAAATAAATGAAAAATCGCAGAAATCCATACCATAAATTAAAAAGTGTGTAGAGAAATACATTTTTTTATTTAAGAAAATATATTGAGCATCTATCCTACGAGAGGAACTATACTACATCAGGTATTTGTAGTAATAGTGACAATACCATAAAATAATAATAAATAGGATAATATTGGTAAATTGATTAAATTAATTTGGATAAGATATTGCCAAGTGCTTTATTATAGGTAACTTCATTTACTTTTCATTACAATTCTATAAAAATTTAAAAAACAATCTCCATTTTAAAGATGAAAAAATGGACTTTCAAACTCAAATGTCCAGACTTTTGGCCACTCTGTGTTATGTACAGTACACACACAACAAATAAAATTGGGCATTGGATCCATTTTATAGAATATTTAAATTTTTTTGGCAGCATAAAAACAGGGAGACAATAAGTAAAACAAAGTTTGTAGTCACACAAGTATAATTTTAACTTTTGTTCTAGCATTTAGCAGCTGTGTGAGATAAAACCAGTTGTTTAACATATCTGAGTACATTTATTCACCAGTAAAATATGCAAAAATAAATGTGCCATATAAGGATGTTTTTCAAATTAAATGACTAACATGTTCTGTAAAATATATAGGTATGTTGGACTTCATTAAATTTAAAAACTTCTGCTCTGTGAAGACACTATTAAGAGAATGAAAAGACAAGCCACAGACTGGGAAAAATATTTGCAAAACACATGTCTGAAAAACAACTTGTATCCATAATATAAAAAAAAACTTTTAATAGTCAATAAACAACCCCATTTTAAAGCAAGCAAAAGATATGACTGGCAGCTGACCAAAGATGATATAGATAGAAAATAGCCACATGAAAAAAAGTTCAACATCATTTATCACAAAGGGATTAAAACAACATGAGATACCATTACACACCTATCACGATGACTAAAATTTAAAAAGCTGAAAATGCCAAATTCTGGAGAAGATATAGAGAAAGGGGAACTCTAATTGTATAACTATATTACAAATGTTTCAAACAACCTCACTGAAGAGGATGGAAGAAAAGGTGCTGGCTGAAGTAACTTTGTAAATAACTGCATATAAGCACTGTACTCCAGTGGATAAAGTTGCTTCTTATGAGGGTACAATTTTCTCTCTTTCTTTTTTGTGTGTTGTTGTTGTTGAGACAAGAGTCTTGCTCTTGTCACCCAAGCTGGAGTGCAATGGTGCGATCTTGGCTCACTGCAACCTCCACCACTCGGGTTCAAGCTTCTCCTGCCTCAGCCTCCTGAGTAGCTGGAATTACAGGAGCCCGCCACCACGCCCTGCTAACTTCTATACTTTTAGTTGAGATGGGGTTTCACCGTGTTGACCAGGCTGGTCTCGAACTCCTGACTTCAGGTGATCTGCCCGCCTTGGCCTCCCAAAGTGCTGGGATTATAGGCGTGAGCCACCGCGCCCGGCCATGAGGGTACAAATTTCATACTGATTTGTATGTACACTGGAATGGAACAATGACATAAATAGAAGGTAGGTGGTGGAAGCCTGGATTCTCATCGTTGGAGTGGGAATTTACAGATAAGCAAAAACAGGAGGCTAGAATAAACTATGTGGTAATGAGTTAAGAGATGGAGACATCAATAAGAACTTATATTTAACTTGATATAGATACAGATAGTTACCTATAGAAATATTTCTAGATATTTGGGTACACGTGATATATTAGTCCATTTTCATACTGCTATAAAGAACTGTCTGAGACTGGATAATTTAAAAAGGAAAGTGGTTTAATTGACTCACAGTTCAGCATGGCTTCGGAAGCCTCAGGAAACTTACAATCATGGCGGAAGGTGAAGGGGAAGCAAGGCACCTTCTTCACAAAGCAGCGGGAAGGAGAAGTGCCAGGCAAAAGGGAAAGAGTCCCTTATAAAGCCTTCAGGTCTCCTGAGTACTCACTCACTGTCATGAGAACAGCATGGGGAAAACCACTCCCATGATTCAAGTACCTCCACCTGGTCTCTCCCTTGACAGGTGAGAATTATGGGGATTATAATTCAAGGTGAGATTTCGGTGAGGACACAAAGCCTAACCATTTCACATGAGTTATTATATATGCACACTTCTTTGCTTTGTCAGCTGAGAGGATCTAAAAAATGACTTCCTACTTGCAACAAGCACACATATTGCCCCCATCTAGATTTTTTAATACCATTGTCCATTAAAACAAACCACAGTTCCTTGAAGAAATGGCTGATTTTAGAACGGGGGCATAAAATATACTAGATGAGCTTTATAGTGTCAGAATTTAAGAAAATGCTCAACACACACACACGCACACACACAGAGACATTATGGGGTACATCAGAGGTGCAGAAGCCAACAGAGCAAGTGCCCAATGGCCAAAGCTGGAACAACCGGAGCAATAAAACAAGTGAAATTGCATTACATTATAACCAAAAGTGTAAAATAAATAGCCATGAGTCCATGCTGATATAAATGATTGAATGAATTAATAAATGAGAGAAAAAAGAGCAATCTTCTATGCAGAGGAATTTGAAATCAATTATGAAATCAATTACTCTACTGCATAAGGGGAATGTCATAACTTCTCACCCCTGAAGTGTGGGCTGAGCATAGTGACTTCCTTCCAAAAGGTACAATATGGAAAGGGAAGGGGGTGAGGGAGAGAGTAGCTTTACAGTGGAGCAATCTTACAAACATGCATCAGCCAGGCTATCAAGGTCAACAACAACATCACATATCATATTGATACTATGTACTCTTGATATGATGTAATGAAAATGGCACTTCACCTCTGTGGTCCGTCTTCTAAAAATCCGTAATTCTAGTCTAATCATAAGAAAAACAACAGATGAATTCCAGTAGTAAGGCATCCTACAAAATACCTGAAAGGTATACCCCAAAACCCTCAAGGTCATCAAATACAAAGAAAGTCAGAGAATGTGACATCCAAGAGGATCCTAAGGAGACATGGCTATTAAATATAACATAGTATCTTGAATGAGACTGCAGAAAAGAAAAGAGAAACTGAATAAAGCTGAGACTTCAGTTAATAGTAATGTATCAATTTGAGTTAAGTATAACAAATGTATTCTATTAAGTAAAATGTGAGTAATAAGGAAAAGTGTATGGAGATGATATGGGAACTTTGTATCATCTGATACTTTTTTGTAAATCTAAAACCATCTTAAAGCTTATTAACATAGACTGTAAAGCAAATACATGACTAAGAATGTATTGTTTATCTGGTATGATTTGACACATAGCAGGTACTCGCCAATTTGATATCTAGTGGTTTGAATATCAGACAAGAACAACAGAATATCCTGAAAGGAGGATGAATATAGATTCCAAAGTTAGCAAATTGTTGCCAACTCGAATTCAAGTATCGTTATCATACCTGAAGACTATATTATTAATGGAATAGAGAGCTGTATTGTTTGATTTGCTGCTTAGTAAATATTAGTTTTTTTTCCAAATTGCTATTAATAACTCCCAAAGAAATGTTTTGTTGTTATTGTTGTTGCTATTGAGTAGTTCACCCTTTGAGTTATATTCAAAGAAAGCTTTCTTCATAAAAAGAAATTAAGGTGTTATTCTCAGGGCTTGAAAGTCCTAGAATAAACTGTATAGTCACCTAGAGATAATGTCACCTTTACATAATGGGTAGAGAAGTATCTATGTGTGGGAATTGGGGGTTAGAGAGAGGACTCTGAAGCACAGAGTGTGTTTCAAATAGGAGAACAAAATAGGAACCATTACAGTACTTATTTTAGCTAGTAAATGAATGTAAAAACCATTTTTTTCTATATGAGGAACCCCAGATATGCCAGTGATGAATAGTTTACTTTCATCATCGAACATGACAGAAAGAGTCCACTCTATTAAAATCCTAATAATTTACTCTTTCTTAGGGAAAATATTGAGTGGAATCACATGAAAAGTTTGGATCAAATCACATCATTTGGCTCCTCAGAGATTTATTCTCAATTCTATATAGTTTCTTCAATGGAGTTGATATCTAATACCTGATATCTATGAATGCTTGTAGAATATTTAAATTTTTCTTTATTATTCAAGAAGTTTTAGAATATCATTTATTGTGAAAACAAATGCATTTTGTTTATGATGTAATTAATTTGTGCATGTATACAAGTTCGATTATGATAAAGTTCCATATGAAAAATACAACTGGTTGTGGCAGGGGAATAGGAAGAAAGAATACAATTTTAAAATACTCCTCCATTGAAAGCTAATTTCCTTTATAGATTATTTAAGAATCTGAAAAACGTTTAAAGTAGTAGTTCTTAGAAAATGTGTCAGCTTACCTAACAATATGAAAATAAGGTTAAATTATCATCCTATATTTAAAATAATTAATACTAGTTGACTCTTTAACTTAGAAGCACACTTACTAATTTGTGACTAACCTAGCATTTTTCACAAAATTAGCAGAGAATTTGTATCTGATGGGCTCTGAGTATCTTTTATCTTCAAGTGGATTTCACTGGGATCTCTAGCCTCTTTATAGTGTGAATAATAAGAACCAATTCTGGAATATTATCCTAAGATCATATATTTCTTTAATGGTCACTATGAAACAGTACCATTCACATCCAAGTCATAAATGTTGGCTGTTTCTGAATTTGTCTGCTTCACTGGGCAAAAATAGGAAGAGTGGAGAGATTCAGCAAGGCTTCTGTTCTTCAGAGATTAAAAAGACATGCTTTATTCTTTCTTTCGTTGAACCAAGAACATTCTATTTTTCTCATATCTTTACTTTTAATATGCTCAGAAAAATCATTTGGTCTTTTAAGAAAACTGAAATTCACTAAGCCATAGTGTTTCTCTACCAACTTTTAATCATTCATATACATAAATGGAAATATATGTGAGATAGAGAAAGACCAAAGAGGCAGGTAGAAAGGGACTTCTACAGAGAGACACACCGAGGCAGAGAGACACACTGAGGCAGAGAGAAGAAAAGAGAGCCAGCTCTCTCTCTACTGCAGTCTTGACCTGCTTTGCATATTTGTGAATGCAATACTATTGCTCATTGGCAACTTAAGTACGGGTAGCACCCTGCAACCTGCCATCACATCCACACTAGAAACATCTGATTAATGAATTATTGATCATCCACTGCTTATCTAGGGCCATGCTGCCAATTACATGTAATACATAAGACATAAACCACATAACAAGGGACCAATGATCATATTGAGGATGTAACGCTTATTTGCAAATACTATAACAAATAGTACATTATGGTATAATGAGAGCTACATGAATCTCCTTCTATGGTCTTTTTCACTGACTCCTCTTTCTGTTGTCTCTCTGGGATGCCGTGTATCTTTGTACTTTCCCCTCACCGCCATTTCTCTTTTCCTTCAAGTGTAAGTAAGTTCAATTAGTAATTTCAAAAGACTTGCCTACTTTAAATCCATCCTTGAGGCTAGGAAAGGGAGATACTGATGAGTCAGTGGTGGCTAATACTTCATTCCGCCTGGAAGCTAGTAGTAGGCAGCTCGATCTGAACAAGAAAGGAACGGGGAGGATGGACCTTCAAACAAAATTAAGAGATTTTACTGAGGTTCTTGAGAGTAAATGTCGAGTAGTTTTAAAAATTCTCTTTCACATAGTTTATTAGTCTGCATATGATTATTTTCTTCATAACTCATTTTTCACTGTTCTTTAAACACATAAATCTTCTAGATTTTCCACATCTCTATGCTCTCATCCAGGGAAGGATTTTTGGGCAGTCTTTTTCTTCTACTTGAAATTATCTTCTCATCCCAATTCTCTGATTCCCCACCCGCTACTCTCCACTTTTCTCTCTGCATTATTCCTTCTCATTCTTTGGTACCAGATTAAAATAGTTTCTCAAAATCTGTTCTATTATTTGCACCTAATGAAGTTAAAATTCATACCATATTTTATTATTTGATAGCACTGATACTTTCCTACAATATATCCATCACTGTGTTAATATGAATATATAATTTATGGCTATTGGTGGGATTATTTTAACGACTGCTGCCTCCACTATAATGTCATAAGCTTCATGAAAGCAAGAACTTTCTCTGTTTGGCTCACTGGTGTATCTTAAACTTGTAGAACAATGATTGCTACATAGGAAGTATGCACTTCATATTGTTGAAAGCATGCAAAAAATGAGTGAATAAATGGATGGGTAGTGATGCTGATTTTAATGAGAAAGTTAATATAATTTTTTGCAAACTACATAATAGCCTTTTATAAATGTGAGACTTTTTTATTATCTTCATAATTATTATTAGCTGGGTAAAAATAAAGCTAACTCCAGGGCAAATCAACAAGTATTCAATAAAGTTCCAAGACTAACTAACAAGGTAAATCATTGTCATTACGACTTTGGCAAACCATGGGGAAAAAATGTAACTGTTAAAACTTTAAACTGTAGGGCTTTTTGTCGTTGTTTGTATTTTTTTAAATTGCTGTTTTAATGAAATAGCTCCAGGTAAAAGTAAGTTGAAGAAGAATCCTAGGAAATAGTTAATAGAGAAATACAGATGCAGAATAGAAGAAACAGTCTCTAAATCAAGGTTGCACGCTGTCAGTGATAAAGGCTGCTTATTACTATGCCAGGCTTCCGACAAGCAACCTTAAACCAATCTACAACCAGTAATAGTCACTTGGCCTGATATTCCTCTCTAGAATTCTACTTCTTTTTTCTTCCATTTATTTTCTCATTCTTTAATTTTTTAATATCTTTCCACAAACTACGACCCTACTACCTCCACTATGAAACCTAGTGAGGATGACATTAATTAATACCCCTTATGTTATCCCAATACTCCACACCACCTCTTACACTGTATCTTGTACTGTTTTCTTGGTATCCAAATCTCATTCCCATGTTGCTGGTTTCACTCTTATTCTGTCTTGCATATTCTTAAATTGGCAGTAGTTGTATAACCATTTCACTATAGCTGTGCTAAACACTACAGAGTTTATATTATACTAAACTCACTTATACCTTTAAGCCCTCATCTTCAGATGTTACCATATGATTACTTTGTATTCTTCTACTCAAATTACTGATGGCATGTATTTTATTGTTTTAACCATAACATATATTTTAAAACTATACTTTATATTTTTGATATTTATTGGTGTGAAAATTGGCATTTTTACAGTTCTGTTTCAATGCATCGTGATTTTTTGTGACATTGAAATAAGCATTAGAGTGTGCAAGGCACAGTAATGAGACCCAGGAGAGCTGGATTCTCAGGAGCTCCTCCCACCAGCTGCAGGGCAGAGGAGGAGCCATTTAAATCTCGTGGCTCTCTACTTTATTTCACTTAAACCAGGGATTTAGGCTAAATGTTCATGAAAGCCTTCCTGCTCCAATGCTCAATGATCCCACGTCTGCTGTGCCTTCAGTAGGGAGGCTTCTATACAAGACAGAATACTTCCAGACTAAGTTGATTTGACATTTGGGTATTGTTATTTCTGCCTTGGCATAGAAGACTATATTCTCTCTTTATAGAAACATGGTTAATTGGACCCTGCTTTCCCAAACCTTGGTATAAGTAGAGATAGTGGCACATGAGGGCAATTAGGCAGATGAACTTTTAAATTTTTAATTTAATTTTTTTTATTTTAAAGTGTACGTACTATATATATATAAATTGTCATATCAAGCTTCTAATTTTATACATACTGATATTTAGGTTGAGGCCAGATTTACTTAAGATTAAAAAGTGAGTAAATCTAAAGAAAATTATTGTGTAAGTGTAGTTTTTATTTAACCCAGGTGATACTTATAGCAAAAGCTATGAAGGGTATTCGCAAAAACTTGAAGGCTTGGAGTCACCAGCTAAATCAATCCTAAAAGGTTTAAACTCGACCTTGACCTGTTGGCTTTTTGCAACAGCCTTATACTTTTCTTCTCCAGTCCTATAGTGCTGCTTTCCAAAGTTTCAGAGACAATATTTACTCTTTTGTGTTGTTTGATCTTTCACTGAGACATAGAAGAGTTTGTTGATGATGTTTGTTTTGACTATTTGTATGTTTGATTTCATCATTATTAAAATCCTTGCTAGCTTTGCTTCATTGGAGAATACAACATACATAGGCCCTTCAACATTAATGGGTTTTCTACTCTACTGAATTTTATTGTGACTTTGCCCTATCTCTAAAAATTGATCTGACAGCATAGGCAACACCACCACACAGGAACTGACAGTCAGTGACAGTTACTGGGAGGAAGACGGGGCAATGGCATGTAGTATTAAATAGGAATGTTTTCAGAAATGCATCTGCAAGGCTACAAAAGGCCTTATTGTTTTAGGAAACATAGCTTCATTAATAGACAGGGAGTTCAAAGCTGAATTCAGCAATACTTTGAAAAATTCAAGTTCTCTTCATTAAATTGTTTGTATCCAAGTTATAAAGAATTTTTTAAAGGGCCATTTCACTGCATCTCTTGGAGATAGGGTAACTGAAATTCATTATCTTCTCAGCCATATTCTCAGACTAACTTTAATCAAAGGGAGTTTTATACTGAAGACATACAATTTCTATTTAATTAGATGGGCTAAGGCATATAGATGAGCTAATATTTCTGGAGGCATCTCTAAGGCTTTTTATAAGGGCCATTGTGTTTTACAGTGTCACAGAAAAAAAGGAAGTTAAATCATGATTTTTACTAGGGCTGTAGAAAAAAAAAAAAAGCAATTGCCTTGCATTGTAAACAGGATTATTCAAACTCCTGCCTTAAGCAAAAAGTATAAGGTCAGCTTTTAATCAGGTTATTACATAAAAGTTCAATATTTTCTCAGTTTTTAGAAGATGGCTATCTAATGAATTTGGCAGGCAAATTTAAGCATAATATCCAGATACTCAAGGAGTATTGTGAAGCAAAAGAACCAATCTGATTTCTGGCAGTTGAAGACATTTTAGTTATGTCATCTGGGTTTCTCAGTTTTTACACATGGATTTTACCTATTTAGTGTTCTCTGTTAAAGTAATCTCAGTAGTGAAGGATGTAAATAATACTAAATCAATACTGAACATAGTTTAATAAATGAAGCTCTCTGCTTTCACTCTGGTCCTTATAGTATTTCTCAAACAACTTTCTGGAGTTTTGAAAATGTCATACAATTACTGTAATGTGAGTGATACAAGCAGAAATATACATTAGTGTTTGATGTAGATGATACCTGTTCTGCAATCTATCTTGATATTTTAATCTAGCTATTATGCTAATCAAAAATCATTTTGAATTTCTCTCTGACTTTAAAAGTTATTAGAATAAACACAAAGTAATGTGTATATATAGGAGACCAATTGAACCTTTGCTTAAAGTTTCTTTAAATTTGCCCTAAAATATCTTATCTCTCTTTATTCTTCTTTTTTATATCTGACGTATATATATATATATGTATATATATATATATACAATTTGTTTTTGATTTTTGGGAAGTCAAATGCAATATCTCTGGTAGCTACAGTAGTCTTTGTTGTACTCTCATGCTCAACTTTGTTTTAACTTTTTTACAGATAAACCTTTTCTCTTTTAGTCTAATTTAACTTAAAAAAAGGTGGAATCTTTGCTAGGAAAAAGTGATTTGCTTTTTCTTACTCATTTCTAAGACAAAATGTGAAGGAAAAGTCAATGTGCTACATTAGTCAATAAATCAATTAGGATTTACTGAGCACTTAGTATGTGCCAATAACCATGCTGCAGGAAACATATACAAAACTTTCAGCAGCCAAGCTACTTTTCAGCTTGAGATATAGCAATAAAATATAATAAGGCAAATGGAGAATATACTAAAATAATTTATTACTGAGAATTAGATTACTGGAGAAAAGTGGTGTAAGCTTTGAAATTAAGAATATAAGAGTAAGATAAAGACAGGTGGAGGGTAAATTGCGTGGGGGCATGAAAGATGCAAGGAAACTGAGGGAAAATAAAAGAAGAGCCAAGATTTCTCCCAGTGAGAAGAGTAGAGCTGGTTTAGGAGCAGCTCACGTGCTGATAAGTCGCAGTTGAGTAAATGAAAATAAACGTAAACTCTAGCCTCATGTCAGAAGAACTGTGAAACTATCAAGAGGTAGTTTTCACTGGATTTTGAGTTTATTTCCACTTGATGGTGCTATTTTGTTATTCAAGATCAAATATCTAAAATTAATTGATTACATTTAAAAGTAAACTTTCCAGAGTTAATTTTGTCATTTCACAAATAACATAAATATTAATGCCAATTTGTTGACAAACCCATTTGAATACTTAAAACTACGAAAATAATATAATAAAGGAGATACCAATTTAAGTACGACTGGATGAAATATACAATATAGATTTACTATGAACCATTTGTGACATCTACATGCAATTGTTCTTAAAATAAACCTGTGACTTTTGCTATATTTTGTCATAAAAAATTACCTTTTTCTCATATTTTTTCTTTTAAATCAGAAACATCAGTATTGTTTTCCATGTAGAAAAACAGAGTTTTAACAACTGCTATGGATGCTAGCAGCTGACAGATTCATTCAGTTTATCATCTTAAATGGCAAATGATCCTTATTCTTGTTTATATTTTTAATTTAGTTTGTCTTGTACCCAAAATATACATGATCATATTTGAAAGTTCAGAAAATTAAAGGAGTATAAAGGAACAGAAAAATCATAACACATCATTTATTGATTTATTTTCCAAATATTTACCAACCCTCTACTCAGTTAGAACTCGCAATTTAACAGTGAATCAGATACCATAGCTGACCTTAAGGCTTCCAACGTTTAGCAGAGGAGACAAACATGTAAGTTGGCATTTCAAAACAGAATACTATGGATGCTACAAAATCACAGAATGCCGTGTAAGCTGGACAGAAGAAAGGTTTTCCCCAGAATGCAACATAAAATCTGAATCTTAGCAGTTCTTTTTTTTTCCCCCTTCTTTCCATTGTCAGTTTGTAGAAAGAAGAGAGTCTAATATGTATTTTTGTTTGTTTGTTTGTTTGTTTGTTTGTTTTGAGACGGAGTTTCACTCTTGTTGCCCAGGCTGTAGTGCAATGGCGCAATCTCGGCTCGCTGCAACCTCTGACTCCTGGGTTCAAGAGATTCTCCTGCCTCAGCCTGTGCAGTAGCTACGTTTACAGGCATGTGCCACCACGTCTGGCTAATTTTGTAGTTTTAGTAGAGATGGGGTTTCTCCATGCTGGTCAGGCTAGTCTCGAACTCCAACCTCAGGTGATCCACCCACCTCGGCCTCCCAAAGTGCTGGGATTACAGGTGTGAGCCACCGTGCCTGGCCCAAATATGTGTTTTGATTGAAAGCCAGATGGGAGAAAATATTTCAAGATAGGTGATTGGAGTCCGGAGCTTGGGGTATAAAGAGAAACTCTAGTGAAGAGATTGGTCATGAATAGTTAGAGGGAGAGTCCCTTCTTTCTCTGAGACTGATAATCATTCTTTCTTTACGTTGTAGAAGGACCACAGAAAATGATGGAGATAGATATTGAGTAGTACTCCTTGAGACAAGTAATAAAGACTTGAAGTAGTCATTGAAAGGAAGCAGGAGAGGAGTTGATCAAGGATTACTACAAAAAATTAGCCTCGGCAGTTGAGGGTCTAACTGAGATTTTTAAAAGGTGAATTTGCAGGCTTCCTGATCATCATTGTTTTTGTGAATCAGTAAAAGAGGAACATATCTGGCATTTAAAATCTGATAGCAATTACTGTTATCATAGTAGTATTCATCCACTGTTGGTTTCTATTGAGTTAACACAAAAGTATGCAGATGGCAGAGAGTGGAAAAGTGCTGTCAAGTTTATTTTTCTCAAATATAAATTGGAATCAGAGTGGAAGCACTGACTGTCTACCTTATTTTTAAATTGTTACTCTAGAATTGTAAGAGCTATGATACTCTTTAAGGGAATCTTCTCCTTTATACATATTTCTTCATAACACCATCTCCCAAGAATGTTTCTAATGTCTTTTGGCCTCAACTCTGCATCTTCAAAATCTATCCATCATCAAGGCTAAACTTAAATGTTATCTCCTGCATGAAACATCTTTTATTTGAACTCTCATTTTAGACAAAAAAAAAACTTTCCTTCATGGAAAAATTCAGTATTTTGTTACACGTGTCAGTTTCATGATAGAAGATGCTATTGAAATTAGTAGTTGGCAGACTTAATTTCCTCTATAACCTACAAAAATATTTAGAATTGAGTGCAGCTCCTCCAGATTCATACTGCCCAGCACATGCCTTGTACACAGCAGGAGCTCCTAAATCCATCCATAACTTAAAAAAATGTGAACTGATCAAATTAAATAATCAACTTTTTTGATTTCTAAAAATATTGGAGACACTGGCAATGGGTCAAATGGAAATTTGGCTTCGACTAGAGGTGTTATGTTGTAGTGGAAGACATTTTGAAATGCTGTATCAATTTCCAACTGTTGTCACCGTGAAAAGTACAGTTGTCAATTTATTCTGTAGTTTGTTTATACTTTGCCATTTTTCAGGTTTTGAGAAAGTTTGATTATAATTTTGTGTACAGGAAGTATATCCAATGAACATTTATTAACTCATTGCATTTAAAATGCAAGAAGATTGGTTTCCTCACTGAACAAGTTAAACATCTATCCTAAGCCTATTACAAGCTTTCTCTTGGCACTGAATCTGTCAAAATGAACTGTGCTTTTTAATTCTTGTTCACATCTCTAGGACTAATCTGTAATTTCATACAAAACCTGGTAAGTTAGTTCTGATCTATTTCCAATTGATTTACTTTTCTCCTTGATAGCTTCCTTGTAATGAGTGTTTTAATTTATATCAAATTTGAACATTTGGTCCAATAAATGCATTTTATTTTTTTTTATTTGAAAGAGCTCTAAGAAAATTTTATTTAAAAAAGTTGATTTTAACCACATTTTACTAATGCAAAATAGAATTTAAACACAACTTCATATATGCCATTAGACAAAATTTTTTTTTCATTTTATCTTTTCAATATTATCTCTGGATTGTAATTTTACCTCAAGTATCATAAAATCTGTAGTCTTTGTGTTTCTGCTTGGTGTCCACAACTGGAGCCAATACTTCCAATGTGTTAGTCACATATACTACAATAAAATAAGCAAACTATTGAAAGCAACAGGGATATTTCAAATAATCACCATGACATAATGGAAGATTTGTTTGGGTAAATTGGCACAGCATTCACCAGTTCTGTTTATATTATTTGCCTGCTGATTTTGTTCCTGAATTTCTTATTGTTTAATATACAGCAACAAGCTCAGGAACCTGCAGACACATTCAAAATCAAGCAGGCCTCCAACTACAGAAAAGCAATTTGTTTGAATTTTCTTAATTCAAATAAAAATTTCTGTTTTTCAGTTTTTCAAAGTGTATGGCACAGCATGCCCAATTTTTACAAAATTTCATCCAAGTAGTGTTGCAGTAGCAATGTTGATTTTTCAAACAAGATTGCTCTGAGGAGGAAAAAAAAAATAAAGCCGCAGCATTCATTTCTTTGGGACAGGCCTTGAAAACAAGCATCTTCTCCCAGACCACACCAGGTGGGTTCCGCTCTGCTCTCCAGAGGAGCAGCAGCATAACCTAGTGGATAGACCCCACACCAGGGCTCGAAGATGAAAGTTCTTAAGTCCAATCGTGAGCCTACTAATCACTCACTCAGGCTGTGTTGCTAGTACAGGGAGAAACAACGAAGCAATGTAATCAACTCCCTGAGAGAGAAGGAAAGAATGGGGACTTGGCATCAAGAAGATCATAACACTTAATAAAGCCGTTTGTGTTTTTTGCATAATCAAGTGAAAGTATACATGTAGTCATATTCCAAGTACTTGCTTCTAGTCTCAAATAAATGATAAAATACTGTTCACATTTACATATGAAACTTCAAACTCTGCATAAAAGGTGCATATAGGTTTAAATAAATGCTTTTGTCTCAGTAGCTCATGTCAAATAGATGACTTTGAATTTTATTTTAAAGTGTTTATTTAAAACATGATATATATGTGTGTGTGTCTGTGTTTGTTTATATATAATGTATATTTATTATATAAAAGCAAAGATCCACTTCAAGTCACATGGTACATTTTCGTAAATGTAAACCTTCTCATGTTTTATGGTATTATATAAGAAATGTACTTTAGTGGGGTGGGGGGAGGGGGGAGGGATAGCATTAGGAGATATACCTAATACTAAATGATGAGTTAATGGTTGCAGTACACCAACATGGCACATGTATACATATGTAACAAACTTGCACGTTGTGCACATGTACCCTAAAACTTAAAGTATAATAATAATAAAATTAAAAAAATAAAATAAAATAAGAAAAGCAACATATATACTAGATAGGCATAAATTTGTACCTGTTTTAAAATGGCTTTTTAGATTCTTTGACACTAAAAAATAAAACACTAATGACAAGCAAAAAAAAAAAAAAAAAAAATGAGAACCAGAGGGCTGATTAAAAGTTTCACATACTGGGGGGAGATTAACTTATGAAAGCCATTGTATGGGTGATAAGGTAGAAATACAGCTGTTTTGTTGAGAGGATTTCAAAAAAAAATGTACTTTAAATTTGTCTCTTTCTGGGGTCATAATTCTTAGTAAATAATTTAGTGTTATGTAATCTAGAGGCTTCCTTATATAAATCATTGCAAAATGTTCATTTGCATTAGGCAATCCAGAAAATATTTAAGACAAGAGAAAACAGATTTTCTAAAATTTTTTTATCAAGCAATATTTTTAGAAAGCTTATATTCACTTGTATGCCATTAAAATTATTTATAGATGCATAATTAAAATAGAAAGATATTTGAGATTGACAATGAAATTGTATTCTAAATCTCAAATCCTATCTATATATTGAGTACAAAGATAGCTATAATAGAATCACACATATTCTATATATATAACCTATGACTTCAATTGAGATATATTGGACATCTTATTTCTGGATACAGAATTTAGGAGCAAAATACACCATAGTATCAGTGAACAAATACAGCAGGAATAGAAAAGGTGCCTGTAAAATTACAGCTATCACCCTTTCCATTTATATCCCTTTCTGGACGGATCTTTAGTCAGTGGTTCATAATTTCACTGGGATTAATTTGCCAGCATTCTGAAGACATTTATCTTATTTTCTGGAATTCAGAAAGGGATCAGCCTCCACACAATCTATTTCACTTATCTTTCAGAACAGCAGCACATGATGAAAGGAGATTCATGTTGAATGAATATATTTGTCATTGTCCGTGGTGCCTAGATTATATGAATATGACCCAGACTTTTTTTTTCTGAAAACAATGGGACATACTTGTGCATAAATAAATCCTATGCAATATAAGAACTATCATTCTTATTAGTTCTCATTTTTAGTCATGATTGATATCCTTACCTTGATCATAAGTTATTTGCCTTATATGAAGAATATTTTCTTAATTCTGAAAGAAAAAATGGAGTTCTCTATAAGCATTTATATAATAAGCCATTAAGTGATCTATTTTAATACACTTATTTTTGAAAAGATTTCAATTGTAACTTGCCTTGCTAATAAAGCATCTGAATGTCAAAACACATTAATGTTATTTTTTTTTCAGCTGTATACACACACATAATTTAAATAGCAGAGAACTTGAGGTAACATAAATATTTCTAAATATTTCTGTCCTTCCTTTTACATAAATGAACTTGGTTTCTTTGGGTTTTCCTCATTTTGTAGATGAGATGGAAGAGAGAAAGTAAGAGACAAGCAGACCCAATAGAACATAAATCAAAGTGCTAAACTTGCAAAATCTTGATAGATGCAACTTCTCTAGTAGTGACAATATAGAGGACACATTTCACTTTTAAACTTTTTTCCATTAGTTTTTTGACAGGAGTACACTAGTTCAGCTTTAATGAGATTCTAGTGTAAAAACTTCAGGGCTAAATAAAAGAAACAAATCAAAAGGACCGAATGATTGCCATTTAATGTGAAAGAATGAAAGTGCAAACAATCATTGTATGACATCTAGCTGGGCTAGTCACTGCAGAATGACAGGTAGAACAATTCAAAGTTACTGATCTAAAGATGGAATAAAAGCTTATATGTTTGAAGTGCTCAGAAGATGAAGAAATAAAACAGACTCTGAGATAAGACATGGTTAAACCTTTTAAATTCCATGCCCTATTGTCAGTATCATTTGAATGGTTTGGTACACTATTTTTTCTGAAATCATGTCATTTAAGGAATTAATTTTAGAGCCTATTTTATGCTTTCAGACTTTAGGGTTCAGAGACTTTTTTAAGCTAAATAATAATATCACATATAATATGCTTGCATAATCAAAAATGTATTTTACTGATTTGCCACTTTATGCATTGTAAGAACTCATTGTTAAGGGGCTATATTTGTAGGTAAATTTACACATTCAAGTTCTGCTTTGATTTGAAAGAAGATCAATGACTTTAATACTTAAACATAGTTTTAATTTCATGTTTTCCTTTTACTTATTTATTTAAAAAATAAAGAAAATCACCAATTTTTTCAATAAGCCTTTTTATCAGTGAAATAACCTATTCTAGTTACTGCTGGAAACAATAATCTGTAATTGCTGCTTTCAGTACTAATTTGGCCCATCCCTACTTTTTCATCTCAATCTAATCTAAACCTATTTGAGCAAATAAAATGATATTTACCTCATCCTCTGTTACAAGCTTTCAAGATTACAGGCTTCAGGAAAAATCAATACAAAATACCAGCTTAGCAGCAGGTTTGTGCTCAGTAAGAATGCTAACTTTTCTTCCTAGTATTTCTCACTCTCAGCTATCCTGGCGTGAAAGAAGAACTTATGCCTTTAAAAGAAAGAAAGAGAGAAAAAAAATAGAAAAGAAAACACTTCCACCAGTGACTCACGTGGTGCTGGGTTAGTAGCCACTCTCAGTTTACAAGCCAAAGTGGAGTGTGTGGTCAAGCTCCCAACCTTTAACTCTTGTTTCTGCATGACACATCTTACGGAGTTCACAAAAAGGAGGTTCTTGACCTCGCAGATGATTTTTTCAGACTCAAATACCATCTTCATTTATTATTTATTTGCTTCCAGCAGTTGGGACTTGAGGTATCATCATACCTGACTGGTTGATTTAAGGAAGTGGCCACCTCTTTGTGGGGGAATCTCATGAGAATAAAATCCTATTACTTTCCAAAAAGATTACTTCATTAACTTCCCAGAATAAGCTTTTGATGAAAACATTAGAATGTTGAGTTTGTAAACAACCAAGAATTCTCAGAAGTATTGCCCCCCTTTTTGTTTTTGAGGTTTCAAATAGAAGCTCATTTTCCTTTTTTTTTTTGGTTTATGTCCTTTTTAAACTTAGGACTTTGTGAACACAAATAGGTTGAGTCTTGTAAGCAGAGGCTTTGCTAGAATATTGAATTGTAGCATGCCTGTGCTCTTTAATGGTCATTCTACCTTTTCAAACTTCTCATAGAATTTTGCTATTTCTCTTTTCACCCCCATCTATTAACTTCCTTTCATTTTTGAGAAGATTCTGTTTTGAATGTTTTATGGACATAAATTAGTTTACGTCTGTTAAGGTGTCAAGATACATAATTACAATACTTTCTTTTTGTAAAAAATCAAGTTGTAGACAAAAAAATTTGAATAATTATATCATCCTTTTCTCCCATCCTTTCCTTTAATAAGAAAAGTACTGAAAAGGTCTGGTAATTTTTTTTCCCTAAGCACCACAAGAGAACAGTAAACACTATAGAATTCTCAACAATTTTTGAACAAGGAACATGTGTTATTTTTCCATTATTAATCAGTATTACTTGTAAGAATATCATATGGTACACAATTAAGTAAACAACTACTTGAGGAAAGCTAATAATAAGGTTAGTACTCATTTCCATAATACAGAAAAATTCCACTGTAAACAATGTCATTATATGACTGCTCTTAATGTAATAATGTCTGGTATTAGAAAGCATACTTTTCAAAACATTGCTTATTAAAGGTTGTTATTCTAATCAAAAAGATGGTTTTAAACCTTTCAAATGGTGTAATTATATAATACCATCATATAGAGAAATGATGTGTGTCCCTCTCTCAAATTGATATTTATTAGGTTAAAAATCATACATACAACACTGCTATTTTCTGGTAACATATGATTTTATATTAAGGAAAGTACATGGGTTCAATGATAATCTCAAGTTAAAGAATTCCCAGACCTAGTTTGTTACATAGTCTCAGAAATATTCAGTACAACAAAATAATAATGCATTAAAGCAAAATAATTTTGGTTATCTTTCAGTTCTTGCCATAATGCATTTATGACTAAATTCCTAGATAAATGTATTAGAATATTTTTTCAATTCTTCAATCCTAAGTGCTGTATCAACACGGAATAATCCTATTTCAAAATGCTCATAATGTAGAAATGTAGAATAATACCCAAAATGTGGATAAATATATAATGTATGCATTTGAAAAATTCCCAAACTTAAGCAGGGACATTTTGAAAACTGCATAAGAAAGCAGTGAATAAGATCTAGTGTTTGTTAGCACAACAGGATGATTACAGTCAACAATTATCTATTGTATGTTTAAAAACTAAAAGAATGTAATAGGATTGTTTGTAACAAAAAGAAAGGATAAATGCTTGAGGTATGGATATTCCATTTATCCTGATGTGATTATTATGCATTATATGCCTGTGTCAGAATATCTTACGTACCCCACAAATATATGCACCTACTATGTATGCATAAAAATAAAAAATAAAAAACATTTTAAAGTACATGAGAAAGCAAAAACAGATTTTCAACATATCATTTATAGCCACAAGATGATATTATTTGACAGGGTGAATCATCAACACAATGACTTTAAAGCCACATTAAGCAGAACTGAAAAAAGTATATATGTGTGTGACCATATACATAATCTCTAACCTAAATTACCTAAAACAGTCTCATATGCTAAACACAGACTACTAATGTCTGTAATTCTTACTGAAACTTTGATCTTACATGGTGAATTTTATCTATGCACCCTTTTTAAATAAACAGTTCATTAAAATGACTAAATAACAGGAAAGTTTTCCTTTGGTAAAATTGCTGCTGCAAAATATACAAAAGCATTTTTCTTGCCACATACTATAGGTTAGTGTAAAATCACTGAGTCGAACATTATTATGAAGGCTATCATTTCTAAAGCTAGGTTAGATCAGCTAATTAACATATCCACCATTCCAAATAATGTATACGTATATCATAGCACGACTTTGCTTCCTACAAATACATATAATTATAATTTGCCAATATTCAATAAAAAAGCTGTATAATTAAAAAAAAGCTAGACGATTACCAAATCAGCCAGACTTATAAAGTAGCTTTATATATATAAGAAACTAATTTTAACTTGAACATTTTTTGTTGTTCTGCATTTAGCCATTTCTTTCTGCTGAAGACGTTATTCAATAAATCTGAAAAGTGTTATTTCTAGAATCTATTTCCTACTTTACATATTGTGAAAGTAGCATCCTTTCATAGATAAATAATGAGCTACCATTAACTCCAAAATTATTCCATGACTTCTCATTTTGTGAAACAAATGCTTTTAGAAAGTTTGGAGTCATTCTTATTTGAGATTTTACTACTTAATAAGATGGGAAATTCAAGAAATTAACAAAAGAATTCCCCGTTAATTTCAAATGAATGGTGAGAACATACCACCAAAGTGTTAGAAAATATGTTTCTGAAAGTTTCAAAACTCCTTAGAAACTTTGTCATTATGTCTCATATGTCACTGTTAGAGTAAGCAATAAGAATCAGCAATTCCATCGTCCCAACTACAAACCCAAAGAAGGAAGGGATTAAATAACTTTCCCATGGAGCTCATAGTCAAGATAACGATCATCTATTCAAAATGGCACATGGTCTGCTTCTGGCTTAGCAGGACACTTCCGTAGAATGAATTCAGGTGGCTAGTCATTTGCCGAGATGCAGCCAAGAGTATGTTGATGACTTGCAAGGGTATGGGAAGCTAAGTGAAAGGTAGACTATCATTATAGTTTCAGTGCTTTGGAGATGCTTTTTAAACTAATCAATAAAAATATATAGCTGTTGTAAATATTTTAGCTAATTCGTTTATGACACTATAAAAAGAAAAGTCCAAGACCTGCTTGGTTTTGTCAGAAATAAGAGCATTGTTTTGATTTTTCCACTGACTGATTGATCCTTCATGATTTTGAGTGATTAGATAACTTCATCCAGTTGAAATAAGTCATTGGTGCTTATAGGATATGCCAATTCTAACAGGCAATTTAACGAACAGGAGGGTGTTTCAAAGTTGTTTTTAGTAATTATATTGAAAAACTAATGAGAATAAAAAGGAGCACGGAGGGTGGGGATAGCAGTCTAGGAGTGGTTCTATCAACATGAACTTAATACAACCTAATTTTGAGTTTTCCTTTCTGTGATAAACAACATGAAAAAGCACACAAATAATATAAATATACATATACATCTGGCCTTTCCTATCTGTGAATCCTCCATCTGCAGATTCAGCCAATTGCAGATACTGTATTTGGAAGTCAATAAATAATAACATTACAATAATAAAAATACAAATAAAAAAGAGTACAATACACCAACTATTTACATGGCATTTACATTGCATTAGGTATCATAAGCAATCTAGAGAGGAAGTAATCTAGAGAGGATTTAAAGTATGTGGGAGGATGTGTGTAGGTTATTGAAAATGCTGTGCCGTTTTAGGGGATGACTAAATTCACATGTACATACACATATACAGATACGTACACATTATGCAGCATCACAGTTAACAGGAATATTTTCTATGTTCAGCCTCCCCACTGTGTAAATTCTCCAGAATTCAGTGCTTATGTGAATACTACACATATTATTAATAGAACTGACACTGAAGGGGACATATTGGCTGTTCATATAATGTTATCCATTTATGGTGCAATGTAAAATTGAGCTTCAAATTTCAATTGTGTAGAATAATGAACTCTTGATACCCATTTCGAATTTAACTTTTATCCACAATACAACTTTTAAGAACTAAATATATTTCTGAATATTCACTTTCTTAGTATGAAGAAAAACTCATATTTCAGACTTTTATTAACAGTTAACTTTGTTAGCTGTTTTAGGACTTTTTAAACACAATTATCACAGCATTGTCATATTTAAATTGACAATAATTCATTGATGTCTATTTTTATTCACATTTTCTTGACTGTCTCACACATCTTTTTCTTATAATTGGTTGGTTCAAATGACTGTCGAAAGTCTACTTGCAGCATTAGTTGTATTTCTAAAGTCTCTTTTATTTTGTAACTGTTTCTCCATTTTTCTCTCTTTTCTTCCTTTTATTTTTTCCCAATTTTTGTTAAAAACTGTCATTTAACTTGCAGAATGTCCAACTGTTTCTTTGAGACAAAGTTTAACATCCTTTTATTCTTAACATTTGAATAGATTAGATTAACTTTCCATTGTTTGGAGACAAATGATTCACAGGTTGTGTTATGTCCTTCCTATTACATTCATCATGAGGCACATAGTTTATCTCATTTGTGTCAGTGAGTTATTAATACAATAATGTTACAGAACAAAAGAAAGCCACAACATCTCAGTGGTGTATAAAAATGAGCATTTATTCTCAAGGATCTGTGTGTCAGCTGTGTTTCAGCAAATCTGTACATTAGGAAGGTGGTTAGATATAGGCACTGACGGCTGGGGGAGCTCTGCTTGAAAGTTCTCTCATCCACCTTAGAGCATCAGCTTTGTTCTTGACAGAATGGAAAAGGCACAGGAAAATAGGTGGAAACCCGTAAAACTTCCTAAAGCCCAGCCTTGAAATGGGCATAGTAGTTCCACAAATATACCTCAGCCAAAGCAAATCGCATGTCCAGACCAAGTGAAACCTGGCAATATAAAAGGGTTACAGAATTGAGATCATCATCAACAGACAAATGGATAAAGAAAACATAGTAAAGATACCCCATGGAATACTATTTAGCCATAAAAAGAATAAAATCATGTTATTTGCAGTAATGTGCATTGAACTGGTGGTCACTATGGTAAGTGAAATAAGCCAGGCACAGAAAGACAAAGATTGTATTTTCTCACCTGTATGTTGGAGCTAAAAATATTGATCTCATGGACACAGGGAATACAACCATAGATATCAGAAATGGATAAGAGTGGGTGGGGAGAGAGGAGGATGAAGAGAGGTTGGCTATGGGAACAAGCATTTGGTGGACTTCTTGTAAAAAGGTCTCATGTTTGAGAGCAGACCAGGGTGACAACACATAGCAACAATATTAGGTAGATTTTGAAGTAGCTGGAAGAGAGGATCTGAAATGATACCAACACATAAAAATGATAAGCACTCGGGATGATGGGTACCCCAGTTACCCTGACTTGATCATTATACATTCTCTGCACATAAGGAAGACTCACATGCCCCCAATAAGTATGTAAATTATTATATATTAATAAAAGAGAATTAAAGACTAAAATAAAGAAAAGGAATTGGTACCAATCATTCAATCCACCACATACTTTCAGTGATGTTAAAACGGATTGTTGAGTTCATGTGGTGTTAGCATGATTCTTCTAGTAAAAATATGCCCATAAGCATTTATCTCAATGTTTTAATATCCATGGGTGATTGTAATCTAGGTGCATGTTTTTTTATTTTTCATTTTTAAAAGCATGCAGAATGGTTAATTTTTATTTTACTCTTCCTTCTGCTTTTAACAACCAGAATTCTTTTTTAAAGACGTTTCCCTTATTGTTATAGACTGAATATTTTTATGCCCTCTCCCCAAATTCATATAGTGAAGCCCTAACCCCCCAATGTGATATTTGGAGCTGGGAGTCTTGGGGAGATATTAGAGTTACTGAAGTTCGTGAAGGTGGGGCCCTCAAGATGGGATTAGTGCCCTTGTAAGGACAGAAACTTGCTCTCTCTCTCTCCAATAACACTGACTTAGGAAAGATTCTATGAGACTACATGGAGAGGGTGGCACCAGGAAGTGAGGAGGAGAGTCCTTACCAGACACTGAATCAGTTGGCACCCTGATCTTGAATTTTCCAGCCTCTAGAACTGTGAAAAATACATTACTGTTGCTTAAGCTACACAGTCAATGATATTTGGTCATGGCATCCAAGCAGACTAAAACACTTACTCGCTATTTTGTTAACCTAAAATACATTTTATGCAGGAAGAGCAAACTAAATGCTTGTTAGCATTTTCAATTTTCAAAATAATTATCTGGTATTCTAGTAACATCCAACAGGAAGCAATGAGATTTTTTAAAACCTAATATTGGGGTGGACCAAAGATGGCTGAATAGGAACAGCTCCAGTCTACAGCTCCCAGTGTGAGTGATGCAGAATACGGGTGATTTCTGCATTTCCAACTGAGGTACCAGGCTCATCTCACTGGGGAGTGCCAGACAGTGGGTGCAGGACAGTGGGTGCGGCACACCATGCATGAGCTGAAGCAGGGCAAGGCATCACCTCACCCGGGAAGCAGACGGGGTCAGGGAATTCCTTTTCTTAGTCAAAGAAAGGGGTGACAGGCAGCACCTGGAAAATCAGGTCACTCCCACCCTGATACTGCACTTTTCCAACAGGCTTATCAAACGGCATACCAGGAGATTATATCCCGCACCTGGCTAGGAGAATCCTACACCCACGGAGCCTCACTCATTGCTAGCACAGCAGTCTGAGATCAAACTGCAAGGTGGGAGTGAGGCTGGGGGAGGGGTGCCCGCCATTGCTCAGGCTTCAGTAGGTAAACACAGCGGTGGGGAAGCTCGAACTGGGTGGAGCCCAGCACAGCTCAAGGAGGCCTGCCTGCCTCTGTAGACTCCACCTCTGGGGGCAGGTCAGAGACAAACAAAAGACAGCAATAACCTCTGCAGACTTAAATGTCCCTGTCTGACAGCTTTGAAGAGAGTGGTGGTTCTCCCAGCACGCAGCTTGAGACCTGAGAATGGGCAGACTGCCTCCTCAAGTAGGTCCCTGATCCACGAATAGCCTAACTGGGAGGCATCCCCCAGTAGGGGCGGACTGACACCTCACACGGCCGGGTACTCCTCTGTGACAAAACTTCCAGAGGAACGATCAGGCAGCAGCATTTGCGGTTCACCAATATCCATTGTTCTGCAGCCACCGCTGCTGATACCCAGGCAAACAGGGTCTGGAGTGGACCTCTGGTAAACTCCAACAGACCTGCAGCTGAGATTCCTGACTGTTAGAAGGAAAACCAACAAACAGAAAGGACATCCAAACCAAAAACCCATCTGTACGTCACCATCATCAAAGACCAAAGGTAGATAAAACCACAAAGATGGGGAAAAAACAGAGCAGAAAAACTGGAAACTCTAAAAATCATAGCATCTCTTCTCCTCCAAAGGAACGCAGCTCCTCACCAGCAACGGAACAAAGCTGGATGGAGAATGACTTTGAAGAGTTGAGAGAGGAAGGCTTCAGAAGATCAAACTACTATGAGCTAAAGGAGGAAGTTTGAACAAATGGCAAAGAAGTTAAAAAATTAGATGAATGGATAACCAGAATAACCAATGGAGAGAAATCCTTAAAGGAACTGATGGAGCTGAAAACCATGGCACGAGAACTACGTGACGAATGCACAAGCCTCAGTAATCAATGCAATCAACTGGAAGAAAGGGTATCAGTGATGGAAGACGAAATGAATGAAATGAAGCGTGAAGAGAAGTTTAGAGAAAAAAGAATCAAAAGAAATGAACAAAGCCTCCAAGAAATACGGGATTATGTGAAAAGACCAAATCTACGTCTGATTGGTGTACCTGAAAGTGACGAGGAGAATGGAACCAAGTTGGAAACACTCTGCAGGATATTATCCAGGAGAACTTCCCCAATCTAGCAAGGCAGGCCAGCATTCAAATTCAGGAAATACAGAGAATGCCACAAAGATACTCCTCGAGAAGAGCAACTCCAAGACACATAATTGTCAGATTCACCAAAGTTGAAATGAAGGAAAAAATGTTAAGGGCAGCCAGAGAGAAAGGTCAGGTTACCCACAAAGGGAAGCCCATCAGACTAACAGCTGATCTCTTGGCAGAAACTCTATAAGCTAGAAGAGAGTGAGGGCCAATATTCAACATTCTTAAAGAAAAGAATTTTCAACCCAGAATCTCATATCCAGCCAAACTAAGCTTCATATGTGAAGGAGAAATAAAATCCTTTACAGACAAGCAAATGCTGAGAGATTTTGTCACCATCAGGCCTGCCCTAAAAGAGCTCCTGAGGGAAGCACTAAACATGGAAAGGAACAACCGGTACCAGCCACTGCAAAAACATGACAAATTGTAAAGACCATCAAGGTTAGGAGGAAACTGCATCAGCTAACGAGCAAAATAACCAGCTAACATCATAATGACAGGATCAAATTCACACATAACAATACTAACCTTAAATGTAAATGGACTAAATGCTCCAATTAAAAGGCACAGACTGGCAAATTGGATAAAGAGTCAAGACTCATCAGTGTGCTGTATTCAGGAAACCCATCTCACGTGCAGAGACACACATAGGCTCAAAATAAAGGGATGGAGGAAGATCTACCAAGCAAATGGAAAACAAAAAAAGGCAGGGGTTGCAATCCTAGTCTCTGATAAAACAGACTTTAAACCAACAAAGATCAAAAGAGGCAAAGAAGGCCATTACATAATGGTAAAGGGATCAATTCAACAAGAAGAACTAACTATCCTAAATATACATGAACCCAATACAGGAGCACCCAGATTCATAAAGCAAGTCCTTAATGACCTACAAAGAGACTTAGACTCCCACACAATAATAATGGGAGACTTGAACACCCCACTGTCAACATTAGACAGATCAATGAGACAGAAAGTTAATAAGCATATCCAGGAATTGATCTCAGCTCTTCACCAAGCAGATCTAATAGACATCTACAGAACTCTCTACCCCAAATCAACAGAATATACATTCTTTTCAGCACCACACCACACCTACTCCAAAACTGACCACATAGTTGGAAGTAAAGCACTCCTCAGCAAATGTAAAAGAACATAAATTATAACAAACTGTCTCTCAGACCACAGTGCAATCAAACTAGAACTCAGGATTAAGAAACTCACTCAAAACCACTCAACTACATGGAAACGGAACAACCTGCTCCTGAATGACTACTGGGTACATAACGAAATGAAGGCAGAAATAAAGATGTTTTTTGAAACCAACGAGAACAAAGACACAACATACCAGAATCTCTGGGATACATTCAAAGCAGTGTGTAGAGGGAAATTTATAGCAGTAAATGCCCACAAGAGAAAGCAGGAGAGATCTAAAATTGACACCCTAACATCAAAATTAAGAGAACTAGAGAAGCAAGAGCAAACACTTTCAAAAGCTAGCAGAAGGCAAGAAATAACTAAGGTCATAGCAGAACTGAAGGAAATAAAGACAAAAAAAAAACCCTTCAAAAAATCAATGAATCCAGGAGCTGGTTTTTTGAAAATATCAACAAAATTGATAGACCACTACCAAGACTAATAAAGAAGAAAAGAGAGAAGAATCAAATATATGCAATAAAAAATGACAAAGGGGATATCACCACTGATCCCACAGAAATACAAACTACCACCTGAGAATACTATAAACACCTCTATGCAAATAAACTAGAAAATCTAGAAGAAACGGATAAATTCCTCGACACATACACTCTCCCAAGACTGAACCAGGAAGAAGTTGAATCTCTGAATAGAACAATAACAGGCTCTGAAATCGAGGCAATAATTAATAGCTTACCAACCAACTAAAAAAATCCAGGACCAGATGGATTCACAGCCGAATTCTACCAGAGGTACAAGGAGGAGCTGGTACCATTCCTTCTGAAACTATTCCAATCAATAGAAAAAGAGGGAATCCTCCCTAACTCATTTTATGAGGCCAGCGTCATCCTGATACCAAAGCCGGGCAGAGACACAACGAAAAAAGAGAATTTTAGACCAATATCCTTGATGAACATTGATGCAACAATCCTCAATAAAATACTGGCAAACTGAATCCAGTAACACATCAAAAAGCTTCTCCACCATGATCAAGTGGGCTTCATCCCTGGGATGCAAGGCTGGTTCAACATACGCAAATCAATAAACGTAATCCAGCATATAAACAGAACCAAAGACAAAAACCACATGATTATCTCAATAGATGCAGAAAAGATCTTTGACAAAATTCAACAACGCTTCATGCTAAAAACTCTCAATAAATTAGGTATTGATGGGACATATCTCAAAATAATAAGAGCTATCTATGACAAACCCACAGCCAATATCATACTGAATGGACAAAAACTGGAAGCATTCCCTTTGAAAACTGGCACAAGACAGGGATGCCCTCTCTCACCACTCCTATTTAACATAGTGTTGGAAGTTCTGGCCAGGGCAATCAGGCAGGAGAAGGAAATAAAGTGTATTCAATTAGGAAAAGAGGAAGCCAAATTGTCCCTGTTTGCAGATGACATGATTGTATATCTAGAAAACCCCTGTCTCAGCCCAAAATCTCCTTAAGCTGATAAGCAACTTCAGCAAAGTCTCAGGATACAAAATCAATGTGCAAAAATCACAAGCATTCTTATACACTAATAAGAGACAAACAGAGAGCCAAATCATGAGGGAACTCCCTTTCACAATTGCTTCAAAGAGAATAAAATACCTAGGAATCCAACTTACAAGGGATGTGAAGGACCTCTTCAAGGAGAACTACAAACCACTGCTCATGGAAATAAAAGAGGATACAAACAAATGGAAGAATATTCCATGCTTATGGGTGGGAAGAATCAATATCGTGAAAATGGCCATACTGCCCAAGGTAATTTATAGATTCAATGCCATCCCCATCAAGCTACCAATGACTTTTTTCACAGAATTGGAAAAAACTACCTTAAAGTTCATATGGAACCAAAAAAGAGCCTGCATTGCCAAGTCTATCCTAAGCCAAAAGAACAAAGCTGGGGGCATCACACTACCTGACTTCAAACTACACTACAAGGCTACAGTAACCAAAACAGCATGGTACTGGTACCAAAACAGAGGCATAGACTTATGGAACAGAACAGAGCCCTCAGAAATAATGCCACGTATCTACAACTATCTGATCTTTGACAAACGTGAGAAAAACAAGCAATGGGGAAAGGATTCCCTGTTTAATAAATGGTGCTGGGAAAACTGGCTAGCCATATGTAGAAAGCTGAAACTGGATCCCTTCCTTGCACCTTATACAAAAATTAGTTCAAGATGGATGAAAGACTTACATGTTAGACCTAAAACCATAAAAACCCTAGAAGAAAACCTAGGCAATATCATTCAGGACATAGGCATGGGCAAGGACTTCATGTCTAAAACACCAAAAGCAAAGGCAACAAAAGCCAAAATTGACAAATGGGATCTAATTAAACTAAAGAGCTTCTGCACAGCAAAAGAATCTACCATCAGAGTGAACAGGTAACCTACAGAATGGGAGAAAATTTTCGCAACCTACTCATCTGACAAAGGGCTAATATCCAGAATCTACAATGAACTCAAACAAATTTACAAGAAAAAAACAAACAACCCCATCAAAAAGTGGGCAAAGGATATGAACAGACACTTCTCAAAAGAAGACATTTATGCAGCCAAAAAAACACATGAAAAAATGCTCACCATCACTGGCCATCAGAGAAATGCAAATCAAAATCCCAATGAGATACGATCTCACACCAGTTAGAATGGCAATCATTAAAAAGTCAGGAAACAACAGGTGCTGGAGAGGATGTGGAGAAATAGGAACACTTTTACACTGTTGGTGGGACTGTAAACTAGTTCAACCATTGTGGAAGTCGGTGTGGCGATTCCTCAGGGATCTAGAACTAGAAATACCATTTGACCCAGCCATCCCATTACTGGGTATATACCCAAAGGACTATAAATCATGCTGCTATAAAGACACATGCACACGTATGTTTATTGTGGCACTATTCACAATAGCAAAGACTTGGAACCAACCCAAATGTCCAACAATGGTTGACTGGAGTAAGAAAATGTGGCACATATAAACCACGGAATACTATGCAGCCATAAAAATTGATGGGTTGGTTCCAAGTCTTTGCTATTGTGAATAGTGATGCAATAAACATACGTGTGTATGTGTCTTTATAGCAGCATGATTTATAGTCCTTTGGGTATATACCCAGTAATGGGATGGCTGGGTCAAAGGGTATTTCTTCTTCTAGATCCCTGAGGAATCGCCACACCGACTTCCACAATGGTTGAACTAGTTTACAGTCCCACCAACAGTGTAAAAGTGTTCCTATTTCTCCACATCCTCTCCAGCACCTGTTGTTTCCTGACATTTTAATGATTGCCATTCTAACTGGTGTGAGATGGTATCTCATTGTGGTTTTGATTTGCATTTCTCTGATGGCCAGTGATGGTGAGCATTTTTTCATGTGTTTTTTGGCTGCATAAATGTCTGCTTTTGAGAAGTGTCTGTTCATATCCTTTGCCCAATTTTTGATGGGGTTGTTTGTTTTTTTTCTTGTAAATTTGTTTGAGTTCATTGTAGATTCTGGATATTAGCCCTTTGTCAGATGAGTAGGTTATGAAAATTTTCTCCCATTTTATAGGTTGCCTGTTCACTCTGATGGTAGTTTCTTTTGCTGTGCAGAAGCTCTTTAGTTTAATTAGATCCCATTTGTCAATTTTGGCTTTTGTTGCCATTGCTTTTGGTGTTTTAGACATGAAGTCCTTGCCCATGCCTATGTCCTGAATGGTAATGCCGAGGTTTTCTTCTAGGGTTTTTATGGTTTTAGGTCTAATGTTTAAGTCTTTAATCCATCTTGAATTAATTTTTGTATAAGGTGTAAGGAAGGGATCCAGTTTCAGCTTTCTACATATGGCTAGCCTGTTTTCCCAGCACCATTTATTAAATAGGGAATCCTTTCCCCATTGCTTGTTTTTCTCATGTTTGTCAAAGATCAGATAGTTGTAGATACGCGGCATTATTTCTGAGGGCTCTGTTCTGTTCCATCGATCTATATCTCTGTTTTGATACCAGTACCATGCTGTTTTGGTTATAGTAGGTCTTGTTTATCGCTCCCTAAGTGATTCTGTTGAGAACAAGTTACCTCATTTTATAGATGAAATAAGTGGGAAAAAGAAGAATTGGGTGACCATAGCCATAAAGTCAGAAGCTAACCAAGACTAGGATAAGTCTCCTGACTCCCGGTAACTGACTCTTTTTTTTTTGGACAGAGTCTTGCTCTGTTGCCCAGGCTGGAGTGCAGTGGTGTGATCTCAGCTCACTGCAACATCCGCTTCCCGGGTTCAAGCAATTTTCTGCCTCAACCTCCCAAGTAACTGGGATTACAGGCGCCTGCCACCACGTCTGGGTAACTTTTGTATTTTTAGTAGAGATGGGGTTTCACCATCTTGGCCAGGCTGGTCTTGAACTCCTGACTTCATGATTCACCCGCCTCGGCCTCCCAAAGTGCTGGGACCACAGGGGTGAACCACCGTGCCCAGCCTCACTTTTCTGCATTAACAACAAATGGAACTTACTGGCCTCTTAGTCTGTGGTAGTCATTTGTTAGCCCTATGATAAGATTGTTCAAAAACTATTGTGAAGAATAAGAGGTCAATCTGGAAATGTCAAAACTAACAATTGTAATCTATTTTATAGGAATCCACTGTTAATATATTTTAAAAACAGGTCATCATTTCTATGTAGAAAACTCCAAATATCAAATGGTTTTCATACATTTAGAAATAGTATGCTGGTGTTTTGGGGAGAGGAAATACTTCCATAGGCTATTTGTTACAATGTTTTACCTAAAGTGAATGGATTTAAAGGAGACTGTTAAATTGAGAGATCAGATTATTTATATAATGCTTATATAATTAGTGTAAATCAGTTTGAGAGAAACAAAAAATAGGAAATATATAAACCAAGTGTTATTATATTTGACATTTGTGCCACAATAACTGTCAAATCATGTCAAATTCATGGCAAATCAACATTATAATTTAAAAATAAGGATATTGAGGAGTCCAAGAAAATCCATTCCATGATGATTGAATCAGTCATGTAATAAAATATTTCATATGCATTTAACTTTTATTCATATTTAACATTACTGTTGTTTGGATGTGAATTCTGTCAACAGTAAAAGACAAAGACGTTCAAATGTTGGTTCCTATTGTCAAGTTTTTTACATCATAGGGGCCAGGTACCCTCAGTTCACCATGACTGCCACTAGATGGCACTGATGGCACTCTGGCACCCTTGGGACATAAATCAGCCACCTGTTTTTCCTGGCGTGGCGACTTCAGAAATGGCAATTGCCACCCTAAACAAATTATGGTCTTTTATGGCAAAATATATCCATGAAAATAGTTAAGGATTTCATGTCCTCTTGCATCCTATCTTCAAAGTACTTTATAAGCTTTCCTATGGTATTTATTAACTACATTCTCATCATGGAACCCAGCTTTAATTGAGAGTAAATTCTTGCTACATTCTTAAATACTAATTAGTTCTCACTCTATTAATTGTCACAAACAGACCATGGCTTCTACCAAACTTATTCCACAATAGTTAGTTCTTATTAATTATAGTAACAAAAGTATTATATATGGTAAATTTCTGGGAACAATCAGAAGTATATGCATGCCCAAATCTAAGAGAAACAGTTATTTTTTAGCTTGTTCCCTACAATACTTTGCAAAATTCTCACCGTGAAATATTTTTGAATGTAAATAACCTATTTTTTATTTATTTGATTTCTGTGAGTATCATTCTACCTCCGATCTTCATGATTCTTGACTCTGTAGAAAAAAAAAGATCTTGTCTTTAAGATAACTGTATTTTTACTTAATCAAAACAATAGCAATTTATAATTTATAAGGTATAGCATAGTGTTAAAAGAATTTTATCTCCTTGGCTCTTCTTAAATATCGTTTACAAATTCAAATATGCAAGTCCAAATATGGCCATTTATGTTGCCTCCCAAAACCCATGACATCTCTTCCCTCTCAGGGTTAATGGGTCAAAGATGATTCTGACGTGAATACATTGTGCTTTGTATAGTCTTTGATATTATACTTGTGACTCACTTTTTAAATATGAAAAGAATAATTTATTTAAGGCAATATGTTCAGAGCAAACAGAAAATCTAGTAAAGCTGAGATACAGTGTTTTGTGTTGTTGGAAAAACAGTCTACTGAGTAATAAGAACGTATACCCTATTACTCAAAATCAAAACATAGGCAATAACACATTGCTGGCATAGCCAATGACACAAAATTCTATTTGCTACACAGCGTCTCTCATCAGCGGGCTAGCAGTGGGCTACCATTTTCACTAGGAAGCTGTTTAGACAGCTTTCGGATACTAAAGAGAACTAAATATGAGTCAAAATAATACTTTTAGAAGTCAATGCATAGCGACCAAAAAAGGTATTCCAAGTAAATATTTCAGTAGAAAAAATAGATTGACAAGTAGGTAACTTAGTAAATTATTGAAGTAAAATTTCTGCTTTAATATGTAGGATTTACCTCAACAATATTTTATATAAGATTATGATTGTGTTATAATTGAAAAGAAATGAGAAGTTTGGCTTTGTTTTTGATTCCTGGGATGGTAGGTCAGGATTTTTCTTTGCAATTAGGACAGTTGTATCTCTATAAATTGTAAATTTATTGCATCAAAAAAAAACTGTCTACCCCTAAAGTTGTGATTATAAATATGCCTTCCTTTCTACCTTATTTCAGCCATAATCATTCCTTGAATTTTCATCCAAGTGAAGTATCTAATTAATTATTTTTTTTTTACTTTTTAATAAAGAAGTTCCTGGAAGTGACTCACTGTAGTACTACATAGTTAAAGCACATCTTAATTAAAGGATGGAAAAAGAATCACTAAGACCTTACTGGGAAATTTTATAAGGATGACAGACATGAAAGAGCTAAAGGTAACAGATGTTTTAACCAAAGTAATATAAAGCCCAGATGTTTGGCACATTCACATAGTATTAACTGCTTAAGTAAGAGTCATACTTTCCTTTTTTGAATAATCGTTATGTTTCCCCTATTTAAAAATTCTTTTAAAATAAGGAGTGTTGGTAAAAGCAAGGCAGAAATGGAGAGAAAAAACAATCAACAACACTACAATGAAAAAATTCATTCTCTCCCATGATGTCCTACAACTGTGTCGTGAATTCAAGAGAGCAAATAGATGTTTATATTTAAGTAATAAATATTTTTAAAAAGCATCACTTAAAATGATATATCATGAATGGAAATAAATATTTTACTTGTTTGGTAGTTATTTTAGACATATGTTGGGACAAGGCTAGCTCAGTTAATTGTCCTCTAGAATTTATTCATTTTTATGTTCCTAGACAGGAGAAAACAAGTTTTGGAATCACTTAAAAATATTTCATGTTTCCCAGTAATAGAACAACAAAAGCCATACTTTCATGAGAGAATATATGAATGTACATAAATAAGTAATTCTATAAGGCAAAAGCTCTGGCTGTCTTATAACATGTTCAACTGATGTAAAAGAAATTGGGTTTTATTAAGAACTTTAAAATATTTAAAATATTTTCCCTTCAATTCTCTAGGAAATTTGTATTTATATGATTTTCACAATATCCGTTGTAGAATAAGAGAAAGTACAGCAGTATTTTAGATTTCTCAACCTATTCTTTGTCCAGAAAGTCATTTTTTAACAAAATAGTTTTCAGAAATTTGTTGAATATATGATCCTTGATTTTTAACTAAATGTACTTCCTGTTTTGAAATAAAGCAAAAAGAGAAAGGAAGATATAACCATCAACTATGCAATAAAAAATATGCACTGAAAATACACTTATTTAAATAGACTCAATATAAGGTTCTGAAATAGAATTATATGTTCTTTATGGAAAGAAAATGAAGTTTTTCCCTTAATAGACTATATATCCCAAGATGATTTTAAAGTATTTTCACTTAGAAATGCTAGCTGCTATTACATATGAATTTTCAAAGCTTGCCAAACCTTTGGAAGGAATGATGAAAATTACTATTGCACGACCTTCAAGTTTTCTTTGTTTCATAAAGGGCTAAGATAGCATTTTTGTTATTTTTCTTTCAGCTGTGGTGTTTCATCATAAATATCAAAGCATGCAATTATACCTTCTCAGATCCTACCATATTCTGCCTGTTTTTCTATCCATGGTGATGATGTTTTCTCTATTTTTCACACAACATTTTGTTTATTAACACTCTGAAAAGAATTTCATAATTTGTTGAATAAAATAAATATAATGAATATAAATACAATGACAGACTGATAAAATATTATTAAGACAATAACAATATTTTTATCAAAGGCAGCATCAGACACTGAGAGATGTCTCTACTAGGCTGTCACATAGACTGTATTCATATGAGAATTATTTGACCTACAGGTGGGGTGTTATTATTAATGTTTATTATGAGGAGTCTCCTCGTCTTGACCTCATGCTATCTTTAGTTTTCCTACTTTAGCTTTACTTCCCATGCTAAATCTGCCTTCTGAATGGATCTTATTATTCTATCTCAATATATGTTCCAAGTATTTTACCCTAGATCTATGGCTCTTGAATGTTTACTGTATTCGTCTTAAATAAGAAATATCCTAAATAAGTCAATATGATAAATTAGCAATAGCTTTCTATTGAAGCCCAGAAACTATATATTAGCATAGCATACAAAATAAATTAAGGCAACAGACACAATCACAGTTTTATACACAATATTGCCTTTCCCTAAGCCTTGGATAAAATCCTGAAAAGTTGTAAGTCAAATTTATATATATATATATATATATATATATATATATATACACACACACACACATATATATACACATATATATACATGTATATACACATATATACATATATACACATATATACATATATACACATATATACATATATACATATATATACATATATACATATATACATATATATACATATATATACATATATACATATATATACATATATACACATATATACATATATATACACATATATATACATATATATAAATCTATTTCAACATTTACTCCCATTATTATTTCAGAGATTACATTTGTAGGAAGATAATTTGTCCCTCAGTATAATAGAAATCATACTTATGCATCTGATTATTCACCTGAAGAAGGAAACACAGTGTAAGTCTCTGAAACCAGACAGATCTGATTGAAATCTATGTTTCTTCTCTAATAAATGAATTATTTTTGCCAAGTTATTTAACTTTTCTAAGCTTCAATTTCTTACCTATAAAACGAACACACTAATACTAAAAACCTCAGAAAGAAATTAGAAGTATTAAAAAAAAAATACATGTGAAGAATTTGGCCCACTATCAGGCAAATGAGTTAGACTCATTATTTTTTATTAGCTATTATTATTTTGTTGCTTTTTTCAGGTTTTTTTTTTTTTTTTTTTTGGACGGAGTTTTGCTCTTTGTTGCCCAGGCTAGAGTGCAGTGGTGTAATCTCGGCTCACTGCAACCTCAGCCTCCTGGGTTCAAGCGATTCTCCTGCCTCAGTCTCCCGAGTAGCTGGGATTATAGGCATGCGCCACCATGTCCGGCTAATTTTTGTATTTTTAGTAGAGACAGGGTTTCACCATGTCGGCCAGGCGGGTCTTGAACTCCTCACCTCAGGTGATCCTCCCGCCTGGGCCTCCCAAAGTGCTGGGATTACGGGCGTGAGCCACCACGCGTGGCGGTCAGTTTCTTATGTTCATTTTATACATGTGAGAAAATTTTAACATATAATTATGCAAAATTGCTTCATTTTATAAGGAAGCGTGACCCTCCCTTCTTACCTCTGTATGAAAAGCTGGCTTTAGAAAGCTAAATTAAGACCAGAATGAAGTCTCCGGCTTTGATCTATGGTAGGGAGATTCTGCAAACAAGTTTGAGGGAGAACGAAGTGCAGAGAGATCAAGCAAGACATACCACGGAAATGGCATAGCAAAAGACTGAGCAAAAAATGAGAAAGCGTGCTGAGTTTGGTAAAAACTGGACAACATTCAAACACACAAAACAAGGGAAGCATCACATGTTGGAGTTGGAGAATAGCTAGGAGAAAAATGTTAACATGAGATTTTCTTACATTGGTTACCAACAATCTGTTATTGCTGAGTTAGAGCACTTAAAAATGATACTGTATATTGCATATGGTGGCCAGAGACATAATTTGTGTAGGAAGAAAACTAGTTTTGGAATCTGGGCCTGCATTCAAGTGCACCCTCCCCTTTACCACCTGGATCTGGTTCAACAAGGTAGTAACCTCTCTGATCTTGTTTCTGATATCTAGGGTTGTGGTGAGGAAAGAGTGAGCCATTGCCAAGAAAAGGCACTACAAGCACGACAGGTACAGAAATGTTTATCACAGCACTTTATAAGAGTGAATAACTTGAAACGAAAAACATGTACACCATCAGGGGAATATTAAAATAGACAATCTGACATCCTCACTATTAAACATGTTATAGCCATCTAAAGCAGCTAGTTATATCTACACTTCTCAAAAACAAATGTTTATGTTGGGGAAAAAAAAAAGCACACCAAGATGTATGAGAGTTTCTATACAAATCAGGATCCTTGGAGAAGTATAGTTCAAGTGAGATAGAAAAAAATAAAATGTATCTGCTGGCCAAGGAAGAAAGTAGGAAAACACAGCTCTCAGCCTGATCACTGATAAGGGAAAAAAGAAAAAGAAAAAAAAAAAAGGAACCTTGTTTCCTTGCTTCTCTCTGCCTCCAACCCTTCCCACAATCCTTCCTGAGCATTTCATTTTTATTTCTTAAAATAAAAGCTTTCTTAGGACACATAGCAAAATAGTAATAGT
This sequence comes from Homo sapiens, assembly GCF_000001405.40. Lineage (NCBI taxonomy): Eukaryota > Metazoa > Chordata > Mammalia > Primates > Hominidae > Homo > Homo sapiens. Next base: position 76,373,628 of record NC_000008.11, read on the forward strand.
ATTTAAGCCTGAGGATTAAAAAATGGAGAAAAGGTGGCAGTCAAGGAAAAATTTCACCATTTTTCCTAAATACATCTGTAAATTGTTTTAGCAAAGAATAAAACACTGTATTACTGTTAGTAAGTCATTTACATGTAAATTGACATTATCTATATTTCAACCTTTGAAAAAGCTGGCATTTCATTTAAATATCAGATTTTAAAAGCTGCTAAATATTTCTAACTAAATCAAATACAATTAAATATCATAAATTACCAATTATATAGACAAAGATTAATAGGATTCGTAATGCTCAGCGCTGAGAAGTATAAACCTATTTAGAGGTCAACCTGCCAATATGTATCAAATTTTAAAAAGGGCATACCATTTTATTCAGCAATTTCACTTATAGAACTTTATACCATAAAAATAAATCATACAGTGCACTGTACATATGATGATTTACTGCAGCATTTTTTCTAATTTAAAGAAAATTTATATTTTCTCCAGGCAAGGACTATGTATAAATTATGCATATTCCATATGACTGAATACTTTGTAGTAATTAAAAACAATATGGTAGTTCTCTATTCATTAATATAGAAATATGTCCCTAATAACTTTTGTGTGAAAAAGTCTGGTTGCAAAGTGAAATTTGAGGCATAATAACGTTTGTCATTATGTTTGTGCTGTGGATCCATAAATTCATATGAAGGACCAAACTGTTAATTGTGATATTCCCTGCTGTGTAAGATCACAGGGAAGATTCACTTTCTTCTTTTATAGTTTATTACAATTAGGAGAAAATTTTTAATGAAGATATATTATTTTATAACTCTGAAACAATAAAAATAAGCCCATTTTGGGAAAAAGAAAAATGAAATAATATGTTTCCTTCTTGAAAAAAATATAGAACAATAGGAAAAATAATCCTCTGAGGCAAATGTCTATTGTCTGTGCAAAGAGTAGGTGGCAGTGTGACAGGCAATGTGAGGTAGAAGAACAAAGACCAAGAACCCAGGGAAAACCTAGGGCAGGGGAAAGCCAGTTTCAAAATATTCGAATAAGGCCAGGGTTTGGTGATTCAAGGCTTAAGCACAAAGATACATGAGTATAAAGATAATTCAAAAACCTGGGCCTCAGTCATCAAGAGAAATGGCAGGTGGGTCTTAATGCCATCAAAGTACAAACTAGGTTCCAGATAAGTCAGATTTTTCTCCCTTTTGGGTTAGGGAGGCTATGGGATGAAAATCCAACACTCAATAAAGGTAATAATGGCATCTGGTAGTGAGGAACAGAGAAATGACAATCTCTTCTGCAGCTGGGACAAGAATTTACTTGTTATTCTGGGACAGGAAACCTGGGGTCTGAGGAAATGAGCTCTAATAATGAAGAAAAGAAGACTAAGAACAAATTTATGTACAAGAAAATTAAGTTTCTAATTGTATTTTTGTATCCATTAGCCATAATAAATTAAAATCTTAAATATTTTTTAAAAGTTAATTTTTTTTTTTTTTTTGAGCAGGTGTCTCACTCTTTCACCCAGGCTGTGTGCAGTGGTGCGATCTCAGCTCACTTCAACCTCTGCCTCCCAGGCTCAAGTGATTCTCCTGCCTCAGCCTCCCGAGTAGCTGGGAATACAGGCATCTGCCACCATGCCTGGCTAATTTTGTATTTTTAGTAGAGACAGGGTTTCACCACGTTGGCCAGGTTGGTCTCAAACTCCTGACCTCATGTGATCCACCTGCCTCGGCCTCCCAAAGTGCTGGGATTACAGGCATGAGCCACTGCTCCAAGCCTAGAAAAGTAATTTTCTAAGAGCAAAATGGGACTAGTGTTAGTTTGTTCTGTAAGAAATATTTTTTAAGCTTATTTTTTAATACTTTCAATTAAACAAGTATACCTGGTTGACTTCCACTTCTGGAAAACTGTCAGATTAGAAATATTAAAAATTCTCACACCTAAGAATGCTTAGAAATTATGCCTAAAACGCAGGGAAAAAAAAGCATTTTTAAATGCGTTTCTGAAAGTACAAGAAATAAAGCGCAATTCTTGGGTCTTTAAAATACATAAAGAAAAAATAATAAATTGTTGAGTGAGCACTAAAGCTACTTCTGGGCTATGAGTGTTTGGCATACTCCGGATTAATAGTCTCAGTTTTCCAGGAAAGCATGAAGAATGTGGCTCACGCATGGTAGAGAGTTAGAACTATTACTTCATTCATAAATCAGAATCCTTGGAGGACTATAGTTTAAGAGTGAACTAGAAAAAAAAAAAAAAAAGAAAAGAAAGAAAGAAAAAAAAGAGTCTATCTGCTGGCCAAGGAAGAAAATAGGAAAACACAGCTCTCAGCCTGATAACTTGTAAGGAAAAAAAAAAAAAAATGCCTTGCTTCTCTCTGCCTCATCCTCCCTTCAAAAGCCAGGTTATTTTTTTACACAGGCTTATGATTTCAATGGCTTTATCTGAATGGACTGGGAAACCTGAAACAGAAAAGCTGGTGTATTTTTGGCTTTCTTTAACCTAGAATGAGGCAAATTCTCTCTGAAAAAACATCCCTTCAACTTGGACCTCACAGAATGTCCACAGATTTAGATTAAGCAAATATGAGCTCAGAAACATAATTAGAAAACAAGGAAACAAATTCACTATGATCAAGAGTTGGCAAAAGAAAAAAGAGCAAAATTAGACTTCTAAGAACTACATATATGGATTTTTAAAATATTTATAATAATGTAAGTAAAATAAAATCACAGTTGTGCTATGGAAGCTTATAAAAATAAAAATACAGAATATGAAAAAGACTAAGTCGAACTTCTGATAGTTAAAAAAACAAAAGCACAGTGGACAGGTCAAGCTCTCTATCAGACATACCTAGAAAAAGAATGGTGAACTGGAAGATAACTTTAAAAAATTGTCCCAAGCAATAGACACATCAAAGACAAAAAATGTGAAAGAAAGATTAGGAGAGATGGAGAGCAAAATAGCAATGACAAAGAAGTAACTGGAGTCCCTGAAGGAGAGAATGAGAAAACAGGGAGAATATGAGAAAGGCAATATACAAATGACAAATATTTCCAAATTTAATGAAAGATAGAAAGCCTCAAATTTATGAAGCACCAGAAAATCAAATCTGAATCAGAATAAATAAAATCAAGTCCACATAAAAAGACCAAAGAAGTAATTCAAGCTCATTGTTTTAAAAGATAATGTAAGATAATATAATTTTTAAAATTATAATTACCCTGATCAGTATCCCAGTGCTTTTATGAGTTCCCCTTTGTTCTTTCTCTAAAAAAACTTCTCAGAAAATAAATCTGATAAAAGAATGAGAGAGAGAGAGAGATTACCACTTTTAATAGTGTGAAATTTATCCTTCAGGATACTTTTATGCAAAGAGAGCAAGAGACGTAGAGATGTAGAGCAAGTACTTAATTATTATTACATACAGACAAAAGTACATTAAAAGCAGAATTTTTCCTGCTTGCTATATTTACTTTGTTCCCATAATTTGAAATTTCTGCATTCTATTTTTAGTAGAAAACATATTTGAATCTATATTTTATCAATATCAATATTAAGTTGTATCTATAAACTCCAGTATGTACCACAAAGACCACCCTGTTGCCCCCTCAACATATTAATTTTCAAGCCTTAAGATAAGATGGATCCCAGAATTGATAACTGGGATAACACTATATGTTGGCATCAACTAACCCTATTTTCAAGAATAACAACAGTCTCTAACATTAATTGAAATACGCCAGGCATCATGATAAGTGGTTTACGTGGACTGATGCATTTAATACTTACAAAAACTCTATAAAGTAGATGCTAGTTTTTACCCCATATCATGGATGATATGGGCAAATATTTGTCCAAGACACACAACTGTGAAGTAAAGGATTCATATCCAGAATGTCTTATACTAAAAGATGTACAATCAACCATTCCATCTATGAGGTATAAAGACCTATAATTTTCTTTGTTTAATCTACAGAGGTTTTTTTTTTCTATTTTTAACTCATCATATTTTAATCTACAATTCATATATACACATGTAATTTTATCATAAAATGTTCACATGTATTCTGATGAGAGAAAATTCTATCCTCAAACGTGTCTTAATTTAGATTTTCAATCAATTATATCTATAAATGAAATATGATGATTATTTATCTTTATCAGTTAAGCAACAACAGCAACTATAAGTGCTAACAATCATGTCATATGCATAAGACAATCTATTGAGGGGAAGAGCTATCTATATACATTTCATTAGGAAGTTCGGAATATATTCTTAACCTTAAAGAATATGGCAAAGCAATTTCCACTTGAATTCTGTGATTCAGAGTTCACATTATACGTTTATTCTCACAACACGTGAAAGAAAATTCAATCAGGTAGAGTACTAAGATGCATATCTCTAAAAATAGTGCACTATCATTAAAAAAACAGGTATACAAATGATACATTCTGATTCTTCTAAATAAGTCAAAAGTATGCACAAATGAAAGTTAAATTTTATGTGACTGTTCTATTTATGACATTCTTAATTGTTATCAAAATTATTCTGACAAACAACTACAATGTGTTCATTGATATGAACTGGCCTATCACAAAAATGTTAACACCCTGGCTGTATCTTAAGTTAAATTACAGAAAACGTATATATTTCTCCAAAATATTTTGTGTAATCCCATAAAGTAAAAACAAAAGCATGGAGAAGACAATGTAACTAACACCTCTTTAAAAGTACAGTTCCTAGATCAGCAGCACTTTATTTTATGGAACAGAAAAAAAAATAAACAATGATTGGTTAGTCTAGAAAAGTTCTATTCTACTAAAGAAGATAACATTAGATAACTCATTTTAAATGCTTCATTGTATATAGATAACATAAGATACTTAAATAAAACATCTAAGTATATTTAATACACTGCACTTTAAAAAATATGGAATAGAAACTTCCATTAGAAAATGATCACTAAATTGGAATGAAAAATAGTAATTATAAACATATGAATAATTAAATACTCTTCATCAGAAACTATACATTTAAAATAATTCTTTAAAAGGAACCACTGTAAAAAACTTAAATATACACAGACATTTTAAGTGACAGTTAGTTATTTTTAATATTGAACATGTTTCAAAATTCTAGAAACTGACTTATCTATATAGAAACATGAGTTTTTATATTTTTGTATTAACACTGATACAGTAAATTATTTGACAATTATAATAACAGGCTTTATGGTTTACAAAATCATACAAAATATTTTGCCACTATCAATATGAATATTATTTAAACATTCTTGTAATTCAGTAAACAGTTAAAATGTTAAATTTGAGGTAATGAAATACAGCATTTAAATCTTTTGGCTTTCTTGTATAATATACTCTCCCTGATTTCTAATCTAAAATCAAATGTTTAGTTCCATTTTTCATTCTTTTCTTATTGAAAAATGAAAGCATTTGACTCAGATAATTTCTGTGATTTTAGCTTAACTATATATCATATGTTTTCATATGCTTGAATTTTAGTTTTGATGACTACTGGATTTAAATTTTTTGGAGGACTGTTTTAAATGCCCAAGATAATGCTGTGGCTTTGTTTCCATAGGTGTTTACTTATGCTTTTATTCCTTATTTCATGACTGGTTTCTAATTTCTAATTTTTAGAAGGTATTAGGGTCAGTTATAATACAATATAAATCCTTGAAAAGAAAATATATTATCTACTCTTTAGAGACTACAGTACTTATGTACTATATATTGTTAATTATATAATTCTAATTTTGTTGTCACTTACTCAATTTGTGATGTGCAAAGAAAGTTTAAACAATCTGATGTGTATTTCTTATTGTATTTCCTGAAGTTATTGTGTCTTTTATTTTTATGCTGTTTTATTTGGAACTATGCTTTTTGTGAATTACATGACTTGGATTTCATTTAATGCTTTAGATTCTGAGGTCAATTTTGTCTGCTATCAATACTGATGGCCCTCACTTTTTGGTTGGTTATATTTGCCTCATATATTTATGCTCATATTTTTACATTCAAAGTTCTTAGGCATAAGTCTTGTATTTTGTTTTTTTATCCAAACTGAGTTTTTGATTAATTTAATACTTGATTTTATCCCATTTTATGATCTTACCATACAAGTGTGACTATAAATGTCAGACTATTAGAATTATATTTTATGGTTTCTTGTTATTTGAAATATTTTATATACAGACATTTGCTGATTTAAATTTCCCCCCAATTTTTTCATGCTTCCTCCCTCATTCTTTTATTTGAAATGGATTTTTAAATTAGTTGCTTATAGTTGAGAGAATTTTATATTTATAGCATTTCTTCTATGAATTATATGTTACATGGCCTTTCATTTTATAATAAGAGTTACCAATCACCTTGATTCTATTGCCTATGTAATAATTTCAGTTCCCTCCCCTCCCTTCCAGTCTATGCCATGATAGAGTTTCATTTCAGAGTTCCTTATTGGGCACCAAATCTTGGTCAGATAGAGTACTTTATTGAGAAAGATTTTTCAAAAAGAACTCATGGGTGCTATATTATCTGAATTTTTTATATTTTTAGATGGCTGTTCTTGTTATAGATGGATAAAATGTGGCTAAATATAAGATTCTTGGGTTACGTTTCAGAAAACTGTAGATCAGCACTGTCCGGTAAAACTTTCTGATCTATACCTGCAGTATCCAGTAGAGTAGCCACTAGTTTTGTGTTGTTTTGTTTGATTGTTTGTTTGCTTAATGAATTTTGAAGCTCAATGATTGGGTATATATGTAATTATTAATAGTATTATGACAATGTTTTGATGATTTGGCCCTTTTATTATTATAATAATTTCTCTTTTTCACTTAGAACACTCTTGGTGTTGTCTACTTTTATTACAACATGGCCAAACCAGATTTCTTGTGTTTACTCTTCGCACGCTACATATTTTTTTCCACCTCTTTATTTTAAACCTATTCATATCTTTATATTTCAAGTGTGCTTCTTGTAACTGGCACCTAAGGGGCCATGGGGAGAAATAGAAAGGTAGGATTACAAGGGATAACAAGGAAACTTTTGGGGGATGATGGTGTGCTGTGGTAGTGTTTCTACAGATGAAATTTATCAAATCTTATACTTTAAGTACACTTTGTTTATTGTGTATCAATTAAATCTCAATTAAGAGAATCCACCTCTTTTACTTACTTGCTTCAGTTTCTTCTCAATTTAAGACAGGCAAAATTATAGTTTCTCCATAAGTCGGCAGCTATGGTCAAAAGAAGCAATGCATAGCACTATTCACAATAGCCACGATATGGAAACAACCTAAGTGTCTGTTGATGAATGAATAGATAAAGAAGATGTGATTTATATATACACAGTGGAATACTAATCAACTTTAAAAAGAAGATAGTTATACCGCTTGTGAAAATATGGATGAACCTGGAAGACATTATGCTAAGTGAAATAAGCCAGGCACAGAAAGATAAATACTGCATGATCTCATTTATATGCGGATTCTAAAAAAGCCAAATTCATAGAAACAGAGAGTAAAGGAGTAATTACCAGAGGGGAGGGGTTGAATGAAATGGGAAGGTGTTGGTTAAAGGATACAAATGTTCAGTTATAAGATGAATACGTTCTGGAAAACTAATGTACAACATGGTGACTATATTTAATGATATTGTATTGTATACTTGAAATTTGCTAAGAGAGTAGATCATAAGTATTCTCAGCACACACACAGGAAAAGACACACACAAACAGTAACTATGTGAGGTAATGAATATCTTAATTAGCTTGATTATGGTATTCATTTTACAAAGTATACTTACATTAAAACATCGCATTTACACCTTAAATACATACAAATTTTATTTGTCAGTTATATCTCAATAAATTTGGAGAAAAATTGGACAGTGCATGAGAAGCATCTAGAACTTGGTGAGTGCTCACTGAATATTTGCCTTTATATTTTGCATATTTTAGAGTTTCTATTACATTGATTTATCATGTATATGTCATTATTCAAAATTTTACAAAGCCTATTACATTTTCATAAATTGCAAATACATCACTTAAACCTCCTTCTTTATTATTATTGATTTCCAAAATGTATTTTCTATTCTTGCTAGGGGTTTTGGTCCCCCCACCCACAGTCATTAACAGGATAGATATCTTTGCTATTTTCATTGAAATTACATTAAATTTTAAATTATTTCAAAGGAGAAATGTTATATTATGAGTTTATTTTAGGTAATTAGCATTGTAACTTTATCAGAAAAAACTTTAATTATATTACAGAACTATTACTTCTCAATATGATGCCAAATGAGTGGTTTAACTTAATTTTTAAATTTAAATCTGTTACTTAAAATTACTATACTAGTTTGGATTTGATACACTGATTAAATATGTGTAACAGAATCACCTGTTTTGAATTGGAAATTGCTTCTGTAATTGTTCTCCATCTTATAGATCCTGCCATTCTAGTCTGCTTTGGAAACATTCTGTCGGTAGATGACAAGCCTTGCTGCATTTAGTTATTAGAAAATCATTTTTTCCCAGATTCCCACTGAAGTCAAACAAAAGACTAAGCATAAATTATGAGAGATCTCCCTTCAAAAACTTATATTCTTCTCTTCTTTATATCATAGTCCATAGCTAGGAGTTAACACATCAAAAAGTGTTCTTAATGAAGGCCTGCTAGTATAGCATCTCACTATAAAATTACAATAAAATTGAGATTTTAAAATGTGCTCCTGGAACAAAATGATCAGTATATGTGAACTCAGCTTATTATGGCACCTGCTGTGGCTCTGACTGAAGTCAAGAGGCTGATAGATGAGCTTTGTCTCTTCGGGTCTTAGGGGCCTTGAAGTCACTTAGATGGATGACTGCTTATGGAGAACAACATAACATTTTTGTACAGGACAAGAAATCTAGCTTGGCGCGAATAGACTGCAATACTTGCCTAAACTCAATATTCAGATCATGACTATTTAATTTATCTGTCAATGACTTGTTCCTGATTTGCATTACACCTATTTGGCATCTCTATTCAGACAGTATAGTCTAGCAGTTTTGTATTCAATATAATGGACGACAAGTGTTCTGAGCATTTAAGAAACAATTTTTTTTCTAATCCGATTTTTATTTCATTGAGACATTTATGTTTTAATTGATGCAGCTAGAATTCAGATATAGTGACATGTGAACTAAAACCCATAGATATTCCCATAACTTGGCAGTCCCATGGTGGTTTAAATTAACCTATGGGATTCAAGTGTTAAACCAGCACATCAAACAAAAGAGAATAATAAAGAAAGGTACTTGTAAAGAGGTCTAATACTAATACAGAATACATTCTTAAATTTTATGTAATAGATAGGCTCCCATTCATAACTAAACAGAGTATAAGACCATACTCTTAGAAGCTTTTTGAAATAATATGCTCCTTCTAAGTTATGAGAGGACTATGCTAAATCATACATTTATTATATTAAATAATATTTGGCAAGGACCCTTGATATGTTTTATTTTAATAATCTATGTTTAAGATAAAATATTATTAACTTGCTTCCTACTGATGCCATACAGGCCTAAAGCTTTGGTGAAACAATCAACAGACAAAATGATGTTTAGGATAGTAAGTTGTGATAAACATATTAGTCTGCTTGGGCTGCATAGCAAAATACAATAGACCAGAGGATAAAACAAAAGAATTTATTTCTCACATTTCTGGAAGCTAACAAGTCCAATATCGAGTTGGCAGCCAAGTAAGTTTCATTCTGAAGTATCTCCTCTTGGCTTGAAGAGAGTCACCATCAACTGTGAACTCACATGACCTTTTCTTTGTGCATATGCGCAGAGAGAAAGCAAGCTCTCTGCTGTCTTTTCTAAGAAAGACACTAAGCCCATCAGACTGAAGTCCCACCCTCATAGTGTCATCTAATATTGATTACCTCCCAGAAGCCCAATCTCCAAATACCCACATTGGCTCTTAGAACTTCAACATATTATTATTATTATTATGTATTATTATGTATTATTATTATTATTACTTGCGACAAGGCCTCACTCTTTCACTGAGGCTGGAGTATAGTAGTACAATCATAGTGCACTGCAGCCTGCAACTTCTGGGCTCAAGCCATCCTCCCACTTCAGCCTCCCTAGTATCTGCGACTAAAGACAAAGTCCACCAAGCCAGGCTAATTTTTTTTAATTTTTTCTCAAGACTGGGGTCTCACTTTGTGTCCTAGGCTGGTCTAGAACTCCTGTTTCAAGTGATCCTCCCAGCTTGACCTCACAAAATGTTGGGATTACAGGCATGAGCCATTGAGCCCAACAACATATGAATTTTGAGGGCATACAAATGATCAGTCCATTACATCTAAAAGTCAGTAACTGACTAGACAATTATAAACATAAATTTTGTAACAAACAATATATCACTGTATCAATCATCTATTATACAAAGCTTCTGTAAGTAGTGTAAAGATGCAATTGGCATGGTTCTTGGCCTGTGGGAGCTTACAGTCTAGTGGAAAAGGCAAACAAGGATGGATTCAACTTTTATATGAGTTCAATTAGCTGCTATAGTAGAAATACAGACTAAATGTTATCACAGCACAAAAGATGGAAAAATTGTGTTGCTTGAGAAAGTCAGGAAAGGCTTACTGGTAGTGATGCTATCTCTGCTTGACCCTGAAGATTGAATGGACAGCCTTGGTTGAGAGAATAGCTTAAGCAGTTGAAATTAAATGCAGTTTAAATAATTAAAAAACTGCATATTAATTCCATTTTCAGAATGATTTGCTACTTTTGCTGGGGTGCATATTAATCAACATACTTATTAGTAGGCAACCACAGTTAGGTTGTGATCATTTGTGGGGAAAAAAGCATTGTATTATTTCTTGTGCTTTCATTCTCTCCTTTTACATGTTTGATGGAGTTTTATTTTTTTCTTAATGAAACATGCTAATATGTTAATAGATAAAATAATGTTGTACATAAATTATGTAATATGTAGCTGTATGTATATATACACACGTATGTGTGTATGTATATGTTTGTGTGTATATTTGTGTGTATATGTATGTGTCTGTGTGTGTATATATACACACACTTATATTTCCTATACAAATAGCACACAAGAGCTCCCTTGACATATAGCACTGATGAGGCATTAAAATAGGAAATAGGACTGTGTGCCTTATACTCCAAGATGATAAATCCCCAAATTGGAGAAGACAATATGTTATTAAAAATGCCACTGTCATTATTACTATTTGTTCTGGTGAGAACACTTCACACAGTATCTACATATACTCAGCAAATCTTAAGTATACAACACTGTATTGGTTGTCTAATTATTATTCACAAACTCATCGAGTTATATACATTAAATATGTACCACTTTTTGCATGTCAATTATACTTCAATAAAGTGGTTTAAGAAAAAAATATCTCACTTAAATCCTCATTTTACATCTCTGCTAAAGATGAAAGTTTAAGGACAAATAGAGTTATCTCTCTTGAAAAACCAGTCCATGATATGTGCTGTGAATTTTAGCTTTTCCCTTCTTACACAAAAATATCCATCCTTGTAAAATTATATTTAGAAAATAAAGCCAACCAAAAAGAAGAAAATTTGAATGCCACTGACTCTACTCAGAGTTGTCACAGTGTACTGTCCCTGTCACTTATTGCAAAGATATATAATATTTAGTACACCAAATATGTATTTTGTAATTAGATCTTAATATAGGTTAAATATAGGTTAACATCTTTCCTTGTCAGTATTGTTCTCCATCGTGGTGTTGTACCTTAATTTATTGGATTAACTGTATAATAGTTAAATGCTTACTTCTATGTTTTTCTCTATTATAAACAACACTGTGATGAATATTTCCCCTAATTAAATCACACATCCTTGCTGAATTCCATAAATTAGATTTCTGCAATTGAAATTACAGGACAGGACAGGTGCAGTGGTTCATGCCTGTAATCCCAGGAATTTGTGAGGCTAAGGTGGGTGGATCGCTTGAGCCCAGAAGTTTGAGACCAGCCTGGGTGACATGGTGAGACCCTGTCTCCAAAAAACAATTAGAAAGAAATTGTGGGACGAATAGTTAAGCCCATTTTAGAGACTTTAACATACTTAAAAATTGTCCTCCAAAAAGATTGTGTTAGAGTACATCATCAGCACGGCGTATGAGTGTCTATGTCTGAACCTTCTCTGGGTTAGTGCACACTTGCAGGTGGTGTTGGTCTGTTGAAACAGCTAGAAGCCATATCTTAAAACAAATCTGATGAATCAAGAATGTGTTGAACCCAGTTAGACTCGGTTTCCTCTTGCAGAATCTGCCTGTGTTTTTCAAACACCAAAACATTTAGTCAGCTTAAAAAATTCAGTAAACAAATCAAATTTATTATTGATTTACTTTATAGAAATAAATTCAACTGATGTGATAATAAAGATATATTTAATAACAAAGATAATTAATGTTAATAATAAATATTTGATAATAAAGAATATTTGCAAAACTACAAGTTTAAAACTTGGATAAACTTATAAACCGTGGCAAATAATTTGCCATTTTATTTAAAAATATCACTATTTTCTCATAAAGAAAGGCTACCCTTCTACTCTAATCTTAATCCTGATAGGCAAATTGCCACCCTGGTTGAAAACTGTATAGTAGCTGTGATTCACTGTCCATAGCCACCTGTGATCAAAAACAAAGCATTCGATGGTGTTAATAATCCCCACATTGAAAGTTGCTTGACTTCCATAGCATCAGTTGAAATAACTATGTCTGCAGAAATTAACTTTAAAAATGATAGAAGTTTATTGAAAAAATGTCCATCTGCCTTCTTTATGAGATCAGAGATTAACCACTTACTAATTTAATCAGCCTTTAATTTACTCTTTAAAAATATCTGGAAAAATATTTTAGTATGTCATATAGAAAGAATGACAGTATCTGCAATATCTGAATCTGTGTGATGATTCTTTCAGGATTGGTTTAATATGATTCAGGGTGGTCAATTAAATAAGCTCTTCTGTTGTTCTGGCTGAATAGTGATTTGATTTTCCAAGCCTACTAATCCATTATTTTAATTAGCATTAAATTCGTAAAAAAACTAAATAGGTTTTAAAGGATCTTAAAAACCCTGAAATAAATACCACAAATGCAATTATCAGAAGGAAAGACAATAATAACTCTCATTTGGGTAATAAAGTAGAACTGCTTTCATGGAAAATAATTAGAGCAATAAACACACACTTTAGACATATTTAGAAGTGTTTGAATGCCACATGGATTACTGCCACCTTTGGGAAGAAACTTGGAATGTAGTTGACAAGAAAGACTTGATTTTCTGATTTATTTATTCAGTCCATGCCACAGAGTTCATGCAGAAGCAGTAATGTAGCATAATTTAGAAAATTCAAAAGACTCTCAAAGCCAAACACACACACACACACACACACACACACACACACACACACACACACACAAATAACTAAATGCCACCTGTATTTTGGGAGATTGGGAGAGAGATTCAAGGGAAATTTTCAAAATCCAAAGAAGTTTATTAAGTCATTCTGATGTTAGAGGAAAATATGGCACCAGAGCAAGTGGTGAAAGTTTATTTATTTATTTAACTCTATGGAACTGCAGCTGTTACTGTAGATATTTAAGTATGTGTTATCCAGGGTTTTCTCTGGGTAACATAGAACAGTATTCTGTAGAATACTGTTGTGAATATGAATAATAAATTCATATAGAATATAGAGAATTTGGGGAAGGAAGCAAATACAGCATTAGAACAATGATGCTTAATTCAAAACACTATTCATACTTTCTTAGGTGTTTTCCACATTTACTGTTTCCACTTTCTCATCATCTGTTGACTTTTGGCTCATATCTATCCCCTATTTTAATTTTTTAAAATTTTATCCTGACTTGTTTGCTTTTATAAATAATGCTATAATAAACATTATTTTAGCTAAAACTCTATGTACACTTAACATTTTTCTTTTATTTAAGATAGATTCTCAGAATGAATGGAGTGACATAAATGCATCAATACAGGGATAGAATAAACAGGTAAGCTTATAGGAAGAACAAATCTGTCTCACTTTGAACATCTCTGAGGGAATAAGGGAGACAGCATTGGGCAGGGGGAAAGGTGAACTACCATGCAGTTGCATGGGGGCTCACACCTGTAATCCCAGCACTTTAGGAGGCAGAGGCGGGTGGATCACCTCAGGTCAGGAGTTCGAGACCAGCCTGACCAACATGGAGAAACCCCGTCTCTACTAAAAATACAAAATTAGCTGGTTCATGCCTGTAACTCCAGCTACTGATGAGGCTGAGGCAGGAGAATCACTTGAACCCAGGAGGCGGAGGTTGTGGTGAACCCAGATTGCGCCATTGCACTCCAGCCTGGGCAACAAGAGTGAAACTCTGTCTCAAAAAAAAAAAAAAAAGTAAGATAAAACTCAGTAATGCTGCAAAAAGAAAACAAAAGAGTATCAAGGAGTAGCTAAAAATAAATACTAACTCATATTAGTATTCTCTTACATTGAAATAATTATTTCACACACGTCTTCAAACATTTATTAAAAGGACTTCTAAAGTATGAGGTCATTAGTACATAATGCATTGTTTTAAATATCAGCACTCTTTCTAAAGTCATGTCATATTATGAACACTAATTTTTATAACAGGAGAAAAATATCATATTACATTCATGACTTTGAACTGTACATATAAATATTAATGAAGAGTCTCTCTGTTTTCTTCCATTCAGAAAAAAACAATATTTACTTTAATGCTACTTATTCAAAAAACAGGACATCATCATGTCACCCTCATCATCCAAAACATTTATTAAGCACACATATGATGCTTTTCTTTGGGGATTGTCTAATTCAGGGCTCAAATTCTCTCACGGTGATAGCATATGATGCCAGAAAAAAAATAGTAAAAACACAGCCTACTCTGCAGATATTGTGTTTAGGCATATGCATCTCTCATATATTTGCACTATCTACACTTCCAAGCCTGGACCAAGCCCTTCATCATCATTATTACACCTATAGCCAGTGATTATGATATTTACATATCTTAAATGATCCTTTGAAAAGCATCAGCTAAGGAAATGACTATTTGTTTGAGTAAACTATCTAAAAGGGGAGTGGCTAATAACTGATGAAGTTATCCTAACTTTGATGCAATCTTTGACTTTATAGGGATCTCTGATCCACCGACCACATCAATTTCGTATGATCTCTCAATTCCCTCCAGCTATAACTATCCTTCTTATCTAACACAGATTTCACAATTTATCATCATCTTCACTGTTTTTTCAAATATTCTCAAATTCTTGCCTTTTACTCTCATTATTTTCAAGGGAGAAAAGTTAAAACTGGGATAATTCTTACTAGCTGTCTTCTTTTTAATATCACCAGACTTGGTGAAAAATAACACAACCAGCTCATTAGGTGCTGCATTCTCATTTCAAGATCAAATACCACCAATGAGCATTCAGTACAATTTGCCCTATTTCTTAACTTCCCAAAAGCCTAGCATTCCTAACCCCCTTCTCTTTTTTTAAACCACCTGCCCTTTCCCTGCCCTCACTTTCAATTGATGATTAATTCTAACCTTACACTCCACTGAAAAAGCAGAAGTCATCAAATGTGAATTTCCTCATCTTTTCTCACCACCATAGAAATCTACTTATATCTCCAAGAATTTTTCTCCTTCTCTTTGCTACAAAAGAGACGGCATCCATGTTTATTGCACCAAACACCAGCCTCTTCTTTGCTGCAAGCCTCACCTCACCACCTTCTTCTGGTTTATTTTCAGTGTTCCTATATGCATACAACCAAGTCATAATGAGCCGTGTTCATGAGCAAAACAGCAAGGAATGCTCCCTTTTATCCCTAATATCCTGTAAATTCCACTTTATTCTTCGGACCTCTGTCTAAGCAAAATTTCTTAAACATGTTGTTTTGATTCACTGAATCAATTTCCTCACGTGATATTAACTTTGACATACTCCAATCTGGTTTCCACCCCTTACATGTTATTAAACTATTCTTCCAAAACATCAATCACCTCCTTCTTGCTAAATAGAAAAGGAAATATTTTTTATTTATTTATTTTTTTTCGAGACAGAGTCTTGCTCTGTTTCCTAGCCTGGAGTGCTGCAGTGGTTCGATCTTGGCTCACTACAACCTCCGCCTCCCGGGTTCAAGCGAGTCTCGTGCCTCAGTCTCCCAAGTAACTTGGATTACAGGCACCTGCCACCACTCCCGGCTAATTTTTGTATTTTTAGTAGAGACAGGGTTTCACCATGTTGGCCAGGTAGGTCTTGAACTCCTTACCTCAGGTGATACTCGTGCCTCAGCCTCCCAAAGTGCTGGGATTACAGGCGTGAACCACCGCATCCAGCTGGAAGTTTCTTAACTTTAATGTACTAAATCTTTTGTTTAAAGTGACCTGTCAACCATTCCCTTTTTCTTCAGAGTCCCCACTCTTTGATTCTGTGACACCACATTTTCCTGTCTTTTTCTCTGTTACTCCTGTGCATCTTCCCCTGGTTTCTATTTCTCTGTCTGCCTGTAAATGATTATATTCCTATGGATATGGACCTGGGTCCTCTTCTTTTCTACTCCTGTACTCTCTTCCTGATTAGCTCATCTAATTTCATAGTTTTCAATGCTATTGCCTGGTAACAGTTCATATATTTATATTTCTACCCAGGATCTTTCTTCTGAGCTACAGGTTAACATATTAATATATTCAACTTGTCTAACATTTCTAATTAGATATTTCACAGATATCTCAAACCTAGCTTGTTCAGAATGAAACACTTGATTCAGAACACTGTCCTTCAGTCAATCCACAGAGACATCATTTTCCATCTTAGAAAAGGATGGATACAATCATCTGTCCAGTTGTTAAAGTCAGGAACCCAACCATCACACTTCTCTATATCATTAATTTTACCTTCTAAATGTCTCTTAAATCTGTTTACTTTGTGCCTCCATTCTAGTCTAGTTAACATCATGACTTACTCCTCCTCTCAAGAGTGATCATTTGACATAAAAATTGGATTATAATACTCCCCAGCATAATAATTTACATTGTATTTATAATAAAATATGGAATTTTCCCTGGCTTTCCATAAAAATACATGCCACTTGGAGGGAATTTCAGTCTCACCACATTCCACAGTCTTCATGCTCCAACTCCATCTTTTTTTTCACCGTCTCCCAGGGCTCACTCTGCTCCAGCCACACTGACTTTCATTCATGTCCTCAATCCTGTTTCCCAGTTAACAGGGAATTTTCAAGCTGCACTGAGGACATTTCCACTTCCCTGAGCCCAGTCTCTGCAGTTTGTTTCATCTTATATATCACATCTCACTTTACATATCCCTACATACCCTTTCTCCTACACGTGCTTTCTAAAATATATTTTCTTCATTTATTATCTATCTGAAAAACTTGTTTCCTTCAAAAACTTATCAAATCTATTATTTATTTAATATTTACTTCCTTTTGTTTTATTCTTTTTTATCATTTCAGTAGCCTACAAAAACTCAGTGCCACTATTACATCACCTTTTTTCAACACAGTAATCCAGCCCACTTATTTCATATCTTATGTATGGTGGACACTTAATATTCATTAAATAAATGGTTATTATCATTATATGTTTGTGTACATACACACACACACATATATATGTATAAAATTAGAGTGTTCCATAAGGTGGAATGTTTTCACTGTTGGTATACAATATGATCTCAGATGGCACATGAAAAACCACGAAGCTTTTTTATCTTAAAAACATAAATAGGTGAGGCTTGCTGGCTTACACCTGTAATCCCAACACTTTGGGAGGCCAAGAAGGGAGGACTGCTTGAACCCAGCAGTTTGAGACCACCCTGGGCAACATAGTAAGATTCCATTTCTAAAATTTAAAAGAAAAAAAGAGATAACTGGTGCCTGTAGTCCCAGCCACCATTTTGGTTGGCTGAGGTGGGAGGATCACTTGAGCCTGTGAGGTTGAGGCTACAGTGAGCCATGGTCATACCATTATATTCCAGCCTGGGTGACAGAGCAAGACCATATTACAAAAATAAATAAATAAATATAAAACTTTATTATATTATAAATTACATTTTCTATAAATATTTGTATTACGTAATAAATTATATATTACATGGGTAAATTATAATAAGTATTTATTTTCACATGCTTAGAAAATATAGACCAGTTCTGAAACCTACAACTTTTCAGATAATATGCATGGGACATCACTAAATATTATCACCCAATTTGAGGGAAAATATTGGATATGTTATAATATAGGTGAGAAATAGCCATATGCAAGCTTTGAGAGTAGCTTATACATTTTTGAAATATGAGAACACTGGTGTAAGATAAGCTGAAAACTTGATGTTGTAGTAAATCTGCTTACCTGAGGAAAAAGTGGAAAATTAAAAGGCTAGTGCACAGTTATTAACCTGCTCTGGTAGATTGTATTATTATGCACAAATCCTCACTGTCCATCCCAGGAGGAGAATTACATTTCCCACTCCATATCTGTCATGCTTGGCCATTTGACTTACTTTGAAAAATGAATGTGAGCATAGGTTATGGGTTTAGAAGAAGCTGTCAAGGCCAGAACATGGCTAGCAGGCTCTCTTTTTACCCTTTGTTACAGAAACCAGCAATGTTCCAGACGGAGGTTGATCTGTGAGCTTAAGTTCCAAAATGAAGTTAAAAGGGAAGAGTGCTATAACTTGTGAAGGGTCTAAAATTTTCTTCTACTTACAAGCTAACAAGGAAGCCTGTCACAGTTTTATGGGTGTTGGCAAAAAATACATAAATAAATAAAGCAAAGATGTTGTATTACAGACAAAGGAATGTATTACTCTGCAGAAATAGACAATCTTTTAAAGATAGACCTCTTCTGAACTTAATGCTTCATGGAATAAGTACTGTGGTTCACATATGTCAAACAGACATTTCCTAGAGTTGCAAAATCAATATGACATTCTAATTAAATAATGCCTAAAAAAAAAACTAAGCTCCATGGGCTTAATTTATTACAGTAATAACAATAGCTAGAGTATCATTATTTGCCCCTGTTCCCCGAGCTTCAATTCTTACAGGGCAGCAAAAAGGCGGCCAGGGGTACCTGCATATGGAGTGGGGTGCTTTACAGGTAAGGAACCAACTAGCGTAGGGAACCCAAAACTTTTTAATGGGTAGCAACGCTGGCCAACATTTGCCCTGGAGAAAAACAGTGTCGTTATACTGTTCTTTCCTTGAAAAGACACAATTAGTGCTTGTTGCAAGACATGCAGAAATGCAAAAGACCCTTGAGCAATAGTTACCTAACACAGTCAAACAACAATAGATACGTAGCATGAGTGAGAATTAAATTCTCATTATTGTATACCTCTGAGATTTGGGGCTTATTTATTACCATAATATAATCTAGACTATTCTAAATAGTATATCCACATCTGTTGATTTTATAGGAATCTAGATATGAAATTCAGAAATTCCTTAAACTTCCAGAACTATAGGGAAAAATTGCACATATATAAAAAGTACATACAAACACATTCTTCTTTGGCTAGAAAGCTTGTGACACATTTATGAGATTTTAAAGAGTCTATAACCCAAACAATTCTAAAATAGGCCAAAAAATGTATTTTACAGCTCCAATGTATAGATATTTTGACTTTCCATTAATGTCTAAGCAGAAAGAAAGTATTTTTTTAAACACAAAAGGAAATATACATATATGTGCCAGGAAGACGGAAAGTCCAGATGGAAAATTGGTATTTTTCCTATTAATAAAATTATTATTTTCTGATTATAATATTTGATATGATATAAGAATATTTTCTTATATCCAAGAACCCCCCCAAAAGTTTAGATGTTATGTTTGGAATATGAATGTTTCTTCAACTTCTTACATAATATTTGCTTGGACTGTATTTTTCTCTTGGTAAAATATTTGAGATCACGCACACTGCTTATAAAATAAAATGACTGAAACAGAGAAATATAAGCCAGGCATTCTATATAGTCATACAAGACAACCAATTTTCTTTTAAATTTTCTTTAATTACAGTCAGATTTCTCACTGAAATGGCACTGAGTAGAAGGATTTCTCTTTTTTTTATTATTATACTTTAAGTTCTAGGGTACATGTGCACAATGTGCAGGTTTTTTACATATGTATACATGTGCCATGTTGGTGTGCTGCAGCCATTAACTCATCTGGATTCCTCTTTAAATCTGGAAGTATTTCAATCAAATTAAGAAGTCAAATAATAGCACCCATAAGATAAATATATGTGGTTGATAAATGCTTTTACTTACTGACCTTCAATTTAGAATTTTGATGTGCGTGTGTGTGTGTGTGTGTGCGTGTGTGAGAGAGAGAGAGGAGAGAGATTAAGAGAATACATTTTAAACTCTTAAGTCAAAAAGAGAAAATTTACTTATTAGTGTATTAGTGCTCCAGGCTCCAGTGGTAGCCAAGCCATCTAAATCAGGGATTGAGTTAAGAGGGCCCACAATTAGGAGAGGGGCAGACAACAGAGTGAATCTCAGAGTTAAAGGGACAAGTCAAGTCAAAGTTTATTAGAAAATGCAGAGACTGAAATTCCATACAGACATGCATTAAGTGAGGACGAAGGGCCAGAGGGAAGATTGACATCAGGGTAACCAGGCAAGCTTCAGCTCCCACTGTTTTCAGGTAGACGGTTTGGAGCTAGGGCAGTCACTGCCTCTGTGAAGGGAGACCAGAGATGTTTTCTAAAACAGCCCTTGACGCTAGTTCTTAATCCTCCTGGTGGGTGGGTTTTGCCCTCAGTTTGAAGCACCAAAACCATGGAAATTGGGGTAGATCAAGAGTCCTTAATATGGAGTCTTAGAATTTGGAAAAAATATTTACTTTTATAAATTTCTAACTGAAACTGAGCATTTTATTCAAAATAAATGTAGGCAAAAACCATAAAAGTATTAGTATTAACTGTACTGGTGTCTTTATTAGCAGAAGAAATCAGATATTTTTGTATCACATTATAGTTGTTGCGTCTATTTTGAAATATCTTTTATATTCATGACTACTTAAAATGATGACAATTAAACTCATGACTTCATATTAATTTACAAATAAGCATAAATATTATCAAAGGTGATTAATCATAATAACTTTTATGATGGGTTTTCATTGTAACTTTGCAATATTTCATTTTACTAATTTAACATTTACATTCTAAGAAGATGCTCATGGCTTCACGAGACTATCGTGATACAAAAAAAATAAAAAGGTTAAGAACCTTTTATATAGATGTGCAAAGTTTCAGACTGTTCAAAAGTCTTTACAGTTTTAGTAATGGGATTGTTTTACCTTCTTAATGCATAAGAAAAAGCATCTAAATATTCATTAGTAGTTTAAAATTAACTGCATTTTGGTAAATGTTGAAAATTCTGAATTTATTTTTTGTCAAAGGAACATGTTATTTTTGTGTATGCACAAATATATCAGTAATGACAATTTCAAAATCAATGACAATGTGCACAGTGTCCATAATTATATCAATATCCTGGATGGGAAGAACTTTGGATCAGGAATTCAATATTCAGCAGGCCCCACACTAACTATAACAAATATTTTTAACTACATACTTAACTTATAGGCTGCTTTAAGTGCTATATCGTGTCATTTCATAAAGACCAGCAGCTTTACCAAGGCTACCTTTCCTTTGCAAAAATAGGCAATCTCTTTAAGACAGACCTCTTCAAAACTTAATGCTTCACGGAATAAGTACTGTTGTTCACATATGTCAAATAGACATTTCCCGGAGTCACAAGATTAATATGGCCTTCTAATTACATAATGCCTAAAACATAATGCCTATAACGTCTCCATGGGAAAAACCTGGTTGAAGACTCTGCTAAACGTTATCTATTACCTGAAATTTAAGAATTCCATAACAATGAAAAACTGCATCTCAGATCAGTAAGTCAGGTCTCTGTTGCACCAGATTCTCCATGTTGTTAAATTAAAAATTGCTCCTCAGAAATGCCATGATCCAGAATATTTGCATATTGACCTGGATGAGCAATCAAAATCATCAAAGAAAGGATGAAAAACGAATTTTAAGAAAACATTTGCAACATTTTCTTTCTAAAATTGACAAAAACCCATTTTATCCAAATGAAAGGCCTCAAAATGTGTTAACAAAGAAGGGTGGAGTGAAATGCAGTTAATGTATCTAAAATTATAAAATTGCTTTTAAAAGTGCCTTTCTCGTTACATCAAAATGCAATTTTCAAGATAGAGACATTGTAACATGACTCTTTGTGCTGTGCTGTGTGTACAATAAAGAAAGCAAAAATAATCCCTTCCCCTGACGACCTCTAGAAATGAAAACCCATTACAGTAATATTTGTACTTAGGTCTTGATATTTTTGTGCTGAATTTGAATGCCATGAAATGATTATATATAGTGGTTGATGGGGACATATGTGCAGATAATTACATAAATAATCTTCTTTACTTAGGTGCAAGGTAACTTTTTAGATTGGGTAAAACTAGTTGTAACCTAATAAAGCTCTTTAATACTTTTCCATACTGCTAAAGCATGAATTTTAGTATCCCAAAGATCAGTTAGGGATATTTCACTTTTCACTGGGATCCAAGGACAGAATTTGATAAGCCCTGCAATTTCATGACCATTGGCCAGATGCCTATCCTCAAGATACAAGCATCTACTTGGCTCGTTAGCATCCTTAAAAATGTCAAGGATCTTATAGTGTTGCTCTGCTCTGAAAAGGAAGGTAACCTACAAAATTATGAAGACAGTCTTTACAAAAATAATGTTTAAAAACCAAGGTACGTGTCTCACATATAAGAAAGAATTCTCCCTGGAACCGAAATACTAAACTATCTTTGTTGACCCACCTAAGTTATCCTCCCATTTTTCTTTAGCCATGACAACTTTCATTTCGACCTGTGAAATGAAAGTTTCTTAAGATTTTTCACACAATATGTAGAAAAAAATACTACCTTGTTGCCTTCACTTTCTTCGTTGTTCCTTCTTTTTATCTCACTGCAAATTAGCTTGAATGCCTTCATTTGCCAAGAATGCTTACTTTAAAAGTCACCAATTATTTCTTAGTAGTATACACTGTCTTGGGAGGATTCATTAGTAGGATACATTAGTCTACTTGGCAGCTACTTGCACTTAAACCTCTCACTTTCTTAAAATTAAGTAGTTATTTAATGAATAAACAAATGAATATTTATACTCTCCTGGTTTACCTTCTCTGTTTTTAAGTGCTTCTTCTCTGCCATCTGATGCATACACACAGTTTTATTTTCTGCCTTACTAGATGATTCTTAATTATCTTACTGTTTTCTCTACAGTACTCTTTACCAAATTCTAGATCTTGATGTTCAAATGCCTGTTAAAAATTCCCTATACAATTTAATCACCAATAGATTAAATTCAGTATGTCTCCTGGTCATCACATTTTCTATTTTGGTTTGTATCATTTATATCTCAGTTATTGAAGCTCAACATCTCAGTTTTTGTCAGAACTTCTTACTTTTCAATTGGACATAGAGTCTTGAAGTTTCTGCCTCTGTATTTTGTCTTGTGTTTATTTCACTGACAACACTATGGTTCACATCAACAGTACATTTTCTCTGAGCCTTCTAAGCACGGAATTACAGGCTTAGTTTTCCCCCTGATGCAAAACACGATGTATAGCATACTGTAATTGTTCCATAGAAAGTGTATAAAACTAGTGAATTTTCCTGCATAATCTCACCCCTTTCCAAACCACCTCTAATGAATTTTTCTTACTGAAAAGAAGCTTTGACAATGTCCTACTCCAGCTAAAATGAAAACAGAACATTGCAATACTTCTGCATTACTTAATCAACAAAATCCCAAACTCTTTTGTCTAATATGCCACAATTTTTTCCAACACTAACCTTCTTTTCTGAACCCTAATCCCATTTGTTTTGCTCCTCATTCTGGAATTCTGCTGTTAGCTTATTCAATATTTCAGTCCTCACTAAGACTAGAACTCTTACCTAAGTCTTGCCAATCTGCTTTCCAGAGATTAGGACTTTGATTCTTTCTCTAAGGCAGTGAGTTAGAGTTTGTACAATTCCTAAGAAAAAAATGCACGGCTAGAATGAACTCCCTAAAAAACAATGGGCATTCCTGTTATCTCCCTTTGTAAATTTCTTTCTTTTCATATGCATCATGACCAGAAATTACCATGAATTTTGAACATCAAAGTGTATTTGTCCACCAAATTGAACTTTGCTTTCAATAAAAGGAATGGGTTTCCCCCAAGAAGGTGAATCTGATACCAGATCTAACCTCTACTCTGCTTACTGTTATTGATTGACTATGTCTGCAAATATTTTTTCTGTAAAAATATTCTAGATTCTAGAATATGTTTTATTTTATTCTTATAACAAATATGGCAAGCTTCTACGTGTTGTTATCTATTTCTTATAAACCCATGGGACTATCACCTTATTAAGGAAAAGGAGTATGTTTTATATTTTATTGAATCATTCACTATAATTTGTACATTATCTTATATAAGGAGGGCACTCAAATATTTATCAAATGAGTTTTATACTCCATTCATTATCCCTTTTCACCTCATGACACCACAGTAGGGTTGAAACTGTCTTTTTGGCTCTTGACTTAAAGAGAAATTAGGGACAGCTATTCTGGTCATGATTGGTTCATAACTGAAAATATGTCCTAAAATAACCTGATATTAAAAAATGAAGATTCAGAGTTCTTGAAGGTCACAGAGAAGATTGAGAATTATTGATAAACTTTAACATTTTGGTCAGTTTTAAGAATAAATTTGTCTTTTATCGGACATTGCCCAATAATATATTTTAAATTGGGGAGATTTTTACACATGGGCAAACACAATCAACAAATTCTCTACTTTTCTTGAAAAACAAGAATCATGAAATTTTAGAAATGGAATAATATTTTGCAATGATAGCTCAAACTTTTCATTTTGCCAAAGAGAAAACTAACACAGAGAAACCTGGACTCCCAAGACCAAAAAGAGCCAGAATTTCAACAGCTATAAGGAGAACTGAGTGGGATTCCTAGTCAGGAGGGAAAGTACTTTGAGAGAAGGCCTTGAAATACATGTTGTTAATTTCTCCCTGATCACCATTCTTCTGTTTTTTCTACTAGCTGCACATGATCACTAATCTAAAGACTACATTGTGAAGGGTCCCCTAAAATAGGTATGGCAATGAGATTAAATTGCTTGGGCTTCTTCTCTTCCTGTTTTCATACCTTCCCACCAGTTGGGATCCAGATATGGTTTAAACTGAAAAGGTTAAGCAGAGTTTCCCAATCCCTGGGCTGTGAATCGGTGCCTGTCCATGGCCTGTTAGGAACTAGACCACACAGCAGGAGGTGATCAGAGGGCAAGGGAGCTTCACCTCCTCTCATTAGATTCTCACAGGAGCACCAAACCTACTGTCAATGCACATGTGAAGGATCTAGGTTGCACACTCCTTATGAGAATCTAATTAATGCCTGATGATCCAGGGTGGAACAGTTTCATCCCAAAACCATTCCCATCCCACCTCCACCACCCTGTCCGTGGAAAAATTGTCTTCCATGAAACCAGTCCCTGGTGCCAAAAGGGTTGGGCACAACTGGGTTAAAACAACAAGATAGAAGGAAACAGGGAGCCTCTATGAGCTTACGGAGGATAGCTGCCTACTTGCCCTGAATTGCCTTCCTATACCTGGATTATTGCATGAGGAATAATATTCTGAATGTTTGAAACATTGTATTTTTGGATGTCTTTTTATTGCAGCATAGTCTGTGCCCTAATATGCCCTCAGACCAGCTATCTGGATACATAGAACATAGAATTTTTGTGGTAAATGAGACCTTAAAGAATTCCTGATCCAACCACTTACCTGCTTGCTGATAGATACACAATTAGGCAATTTCATTGAGCAGTTGCAACCTACAATTCAAGAGAAATATCTTGGCAACTGTTTATCTTATCATTAACTTACCAAGCTTTCCTTCACTAAAGCATCATGTTAAAAATATATGCCTATGAGAGCAGCAAACTAAAGAGTATGTCACTTAGAGAGAAATTTATGCTGTAGCAATACATACTGTTCCTCTGAAGCATATATAACTTTTTTTCTCCAAAATTAACTTATTACTTATGTTCTTATAACTATTTATTTATTCAAACATGGGATCTCAAATAGCTAATGAGTAACTAATTGCTACGTAACAGGAACTGTGCTTGGAAAATATTCTTGTCCTCATGTTTGATTTAAAAAAACCAAAGTTATTAAAAATAATTAAATTAGCAAGTCTAGTCAACATTACTAAGGCAAAGGACATACTTGTATTGGGGTGTTAAACAGGAGGACCTAACATAATTTGGCGTTGAGAATGCTAAACTTTTTGTTTTGAACTTATTTTTATATATAATCTGTTATAATGGTAAAATTCTGTTAATTTTGGCTGATCAATAAAATTTTGAGGGCATGAGGAGGAGTGTAAAGCGAGACATCATTTTTCGTGTTGTTGTGAAAATAATCCTAGTGATGGAGAAAAATAACAGAAGAATTTCATGCACCCTCTTTATGTGTAGGACAGAACAGGGAGGAATCATCGAACCACAACCAAAAGTGAAAGAGAAGAACAAACAAAAGAAGTTTTTAGCTGTCTATCCAGAGAATAATGCCTCTTTCCACCTGACCCTATCTAAGTTAAATAAGCATAACTATATAACTATATAATGCTTTGAGTGTGTGATTGTCATAACTTTGAGTTTTAGGATTATAGAAACAATAAAATATTGTGTGTATGCATTGCGTGTGATGCATTGTGTGTGTATGCATTGTGTGTGTGTGTGACGCATTGTGTGTGTATGCATTGTGTGTGAATGAATCTTACATAGGATATATCCATTGTGATACAGAAAACTAATTTTATAGATTAAAAATTGATTTCAATAATTTGAAATAACTTATAATAATGAGTTTCATAGTACTAGATGTGAGAATTCAGTGAAGGCACTGAATTAGAATGTGACTAAAGGCATATATTGCCTACATGTTGGTTTGAACATTGCAACTCTACTTATTGCTAAGGCAATAGCAATAATAATAATAATAAAGCAGAGAGGAAGAAACAAGTCATTAGTCCTTCATGGTTGTCCCTTTAAATTCACGATGTGTGTACTGTAGGATGGTCTGTAAAAATGAAAGAGAAGACAGATGTCAAGGCAGAACCCAGCATAAGTTTGGATGGTATCCACCAGGAGGAAAATGCTTTATAATTGGTAAATACTATAATCAAATATGTTAATTCACATTACAAGGATTTAGAAGTCAAGGCCCATCTGTGTGAAACAAATATCGCCAATAAATATGTTTTCCCACTTGTGTTATCAGAGGATCAAATAGTAATTTCAACCACAGTTCAAAGATAAGCCATATGTTAAAAGGTCTCTCACATCTCAAGGGCAGTAGCGTGTTATGTAGTCGTATTTTCAGAAATAATAGGGAAGTTGCTTTCAAGCAATTGTTCATTATTTCCTATTTTCCTTTTCACAGTCTTTTAACTGATCTTATGTGTGTGGTTCTATCTGTTAGTTCACCATAGTTTCAGAGGTACCATTGAATCTCTCTAGAATGTCATTGTTATTCATAGTTTCTGATTTATAAAGAGTGCAAATGGGATTGATGTATTCTGTCCCCACATCAGGCTCTGCCCTTCTTTATTTCCCTTTAAAACATTTCTGGAAGCTTATGAAATCTACAATTATTCCTCTTTGGGCACTTTACAATACAACTAAAAGTATATTTTGAAATACAGCATTGCTCATGCAAGCATTGTTATTGATTATGCAAAACAAATCTGCCTGTTATGGTGCACATATTGCAAAAAGAGATGCTATATTATGTGGACTGTGTTCTCTGTTGATGAAAAACATGTACCTGCTCACAGCTCTGATTCCAAAGGCCCAATTTACTAAAAATTAGTGATCCATCAGATTAATGGGCATAAAGCAATCTGCACTGTTGGCACCTCGAAATTTCTTGCATCAGTCACCAGATCATGATTTACTAATAGGGTTTCAGATCTTGCAAAATAGCACAATTCTAACCACATATTAATATTTAATCTGGCATTTTAAGTGCACCTAACAAAAGACCCTAGAGCTGCTGACAGGACCCTAAATTGTGAATTTCTTAAAAGGGAATTGAGCAGGTCCGTAGTGATTTCATTAAAAAAATAAAAAGAAAAAGGAAAATAAATGTTTCTACATTTCTTATGTAGACGTCACAAGCCTGGGCTGTCATTTTTCTAAAAAGTATTTATCATGCATTTTTAGGTGCTTTATTAGAGAATCACAAGACTGGATCTAGCGGCTGGCTGCAAAATGTACAATTTGATGACAGCCGATGCATTTTGGTTAATAAATTTTATATTAGACAATTTGTTCCTAAAATAATTAATTGGCACTTCCAAAATGTTGCTAAATGAGAGATGATACAGCCTATAAATCACTTGAATCACCTTATTTCTTGCTTTTAAGTAACTAAATCTGTTCTGTAGTAGTGAGTTGAAGCTTCTCAGTAGGCAAGCATGTTTGCTCTACAATCTCAGGTTCATAGCTCTAGATTACCATCAATGCCAAATTCCAGAGATATCCAGATCCATTTCAAATCAGAAAGTTCAAAAGAAGGGAGAGTGACCTTACCTGCTGATGTTATCAATTATATGCAATTATTATATTTAACCAATATGATGAATACACCAAATAGGTGTTGCATTACTTCCATTTGTGAAAAACGTCATAATTTATGAAAGATATTTCTGTAATAACAGGATGCCACCTGTAATAACAGAATGTTTATTAGTGCACAAATGAGCGTTATAAATGATGTTGCTTATCTATGGAACAAAACACAAAAGACAACTTATTAGCCAAAGATAAATTGCCCAGCACAATCTCAATGAGATGCTAGGTTTGTCATGAAAAAAAAAAAAAGCTTTTTATTTGCACAGACCAATGCGTTTATAATCCATTTAAAATAATATACTTGCCACTAGGTGGCTATTTCTGATCAGATCATTTTACCATTTTAATTACATTTTTAATATCCTGGCTGCATAAACAAAGATAAATTACAAACCCTGCACAATCTGGCTGCTAGCTCAGGCATAGTCAGTAATAATATCAGCTTTTGTTTGGGCCTCCTCTAATTAGATTCTGAAATCTAGGCTTTGTCAATCAATAATTTTAATTTTAGAATCGCTTTTTGATCTTGCATTTCATGTTTGTTTGGGAAAATGATCAGTAGGACAAAGCTGATAATTTATGCAGAAACAATCTCTCAGCAGAGCTACATGCACATTCCTCCCCATCAACAGAAGCCTGCAGACTAAGCTTGACACAGGTCTAATTAGCATGCAGATATGTCGCCTCATTGGCAATTCAAATTGCTTTTATATAATGTACCTCAAATTGTGCTACTCAAACATTGTATTTGATTTCCAAAGCCCCCTGGGCATCCCATAATGTCTCCCTTCATCCTGGGTATGAAGCATTTATTGAACAATCTGCTGAGACTGGCTGTCTTTTCGAAAACACCCAAACATCGTATTCCTGGGACCAGCTTTTCTTCTTGTCAGAGAGCAACTTGTTCTTCTGCGGAATTCCTTGTGCCACATTTGTAGGTTTAGAGATGACATGCTACCTCATGAGTTGCTTCTCCCACGTGGTTGATCTATAGAGGGCTTCACTCCTGTGCCACTCATTTTTAAAGTGGGGGAGAATGTCTGGTAAGCACACATTAATATGCAGCACATAACCACATCTCTGAATGCCAGTCCTCCATTCTTCATTAAACAAAAATGGCTAGATTGCAGGGATTGTTTTTCCTTCCTCCCACATACATATGCACACACACTCACATTTGCTTTCTTGGGCACACCTACATGCACGCAACCACATTCACGCGCATCTACACACCTATGCAAGACACCCACAGCATATCATTGTCAGGATGGAGTTACGTGTGAAAGTTGTCTGCTGCACACATGACAAATAAGGGGATTCCAGCATACACTGGGGCTTTTTAAAAATTCATTTTTTTAACCATGCAGCAACAAGTGGCAGAATCAATGGTGTACAGTTATTCAGCAATGTAATTCATTTCACTGGCTTTGGCTCCTAGCCAGATCCGCCATCTGTCTCTAGCTCTCCCTCTCCCCCTCTCTCTCCCTCTCCCTCTCTTTCGCTTGAATTTGTCCTACATTTCGTAATGTTACGTGCCTGCCATCCTTATCCTATGCCAGAGGTACAACACCAGTCTCACCCCCATTCCGGCGTGGAGTTCTCTGAGTTCGGTGGCACTTGGGATATTCCACTTCAGTGCCATGGGAAGAAAATGGTAAGCAAAAAGCAAAAGGAATAATGCAAAAAAAAAAAAAAAATTATAATGTTGTGGTATCCAATTGCTCCTGCTTCAGCCTTTTATCCAAAGCCTTGAGATGGATCTGCCTCATCCAGGAAGTTTTCCTGCTTCGTTAGAGTATCTTCGTTTTCTTTATCAGACGCTGGCTGGCACTCCACGCCAGTGCACGGCTCCATGGAATGCCTGCTGTTGGACACTTGCAGAGCTCTGCCACCAAGCAACCTCCTGCATTGGAAATCGGGGGACTACTCCAGGATCTTATGCGTGCTTGCTGTTTGAAGCTGCAGAAAAGTGAATAATCAATTAAGTATTGATTTCTTGTAAGATTTGGTAAATTTCAAAGGCAAGACAAAGAGGATGGCTTAAGGAAACACTGCAGGGACTTGGCGTAAATTAGACAACTAACGGAAGCGCAGAATAAAATAACACCTCAACTGAAGATTTCCTTGGAAGAATTAGCACTAGCTATTGGAAGACAATGGTGGATTTAATCAAAACAGCAGGCATGCAAGAATTTTACCCGTGAACCAGAAAAAGGAGCTAATTATAACCACCTTTTTAATGGAGCTAATTTGACTGAATGGATGCAAATGTGCTTTATTTATGGATGAAGAAGCAAGCCTTACTGCATGATCTTGGGATCATCGGATCTGCTAAGCTTTGCAGCTCCTGTTACCTTCAGTACATTTTTTATTTCCGGAGAAGGTATTTGTATGTAAACAACAACTAACCATGCAAAAGATTCATCGGAACAATATACTGTGGTATATGAGATATAATCATAATTTTGCAGCCTCTCAGGATTTCCTCTAACTTGGAGGTTTTGCAACCTTTGTGTGCAATGGGTTATGGTAAACAATAAATGAATGATGCTAAAGTGTTGTGATTTTTCAATGTGTAGTTTGTTAATTTTAGCTTTCTTAACATATTGATTCTGAAGTATTTGCAATAAATCCATATGAAAGAAAGGGAATTGTTGGGTGGGGTTTTTTTTTTAATGCATTTTCAGTCTTCTTAGAGATCGGAATGTGTAGGTCCCACCAGCCCATGAGCTCTATAATTATAAAAGAATGGTAAAAAATTTGACAATTTGAAGTACTGGTTTTATAATGGGAACAATGTGTTATAATCAGCAAAAGGAGACTTGTTATGTTTTCTCTCTGTGTAGAATGTTCTTGAGTGGTTAACTCCTCTGTTGCTGATGAGAAGTAAATACCAGGACTGGCAATAAGCAGAGATTGTAAGGACAATGCTTTGTTCCTATGCATCCTCCTATTTCAAGCTAAAGTGCATTTTAAGCATTTCCTTCTATTTCTATTATTTTCCTTTCTATTTTTGTTCTTTTCATCATTTTTTTCTGTCTTGCAATCTACGTTCCCTGAGCAACCATAGGAACCAAGTTACATTAAGCTTCAACACAAAGACCTTGTAAGAATAATGAATCCTCATTTGCATCGACATTTGTATTCAGATTTGCCAGGCTATAAACTTGGCAGATCAAGCGGAATATTAAGTAGAGGCTTCCATGGTAAATTGTGGCTCTTGAAATTGCTAACTACCCCCTCCCCTTTTTTTTCTCTCTATCTGTGGTGGCAGGTGAAGTCTCATGACTACTTGCTTCTTAAGAAGCGTATTGGCTCCTTCATCTTTCATTATATGATGCCAGTTTCAAGCAGAAGAGGGGCAAAGCCGGTAGTAGGTGTGCTAGTTGAAGGTACAAAATGACATGTGACTGTAGCATTAATTCTAGAGTCCATATATCACAAGAGGTGTCTTTAAGTAGTTGAAGCTGTAAGAAAATTAATTCTCATGTGTGGGCTAAGGTTTGATCTTTCTGGTATGTTCAAAACGCATTAACCTCATGAAAGTTCACACTCATTTTTTAAAGCTTCTAAAGGTTGGAGGAGGACCAAGGTAGCTCTTTACTCACAAAATAATTCAGTTACACCATTCTGAGTCATCGTCACTGATCTACTCATGCCCATTCTTGAAATATTTTAAATGCCTCATTCTATTAAGCCTCCATGGATTGACTGACTTAATCCTTAGTTTTGCTTGATTCTGAAATGGTAAAATAGGAACAGTTATACTTACTGCTAGCAAACTTATAAATTCAGCAGTATGACCTATAAGGTCATTTCTACAACACAGCCAACAATGGGGTGAAAAATGTAGACTTTAATTTCCATGCTTGGTCCACCCTATGTGATGCCAAACAAGTGAGTAATTGGAAACATTTGTGCATAACTTAATTTTTCATGCATTACCCCAGTGTTTCAGATTTCTGTAAACAGAGCCTAAATCTATGACCTATTAACAAACTCTCACTTCTTGCCATCCCTTTTTCTCTCTAGAACTTTTCACTAGTGGGGAGCAACAAAACATATTAGAACTAACAAACTTACAATGGACATTTAATAGTGGTTTTCCTTTCTATTCTATTTTTTAAAATGTAAATGGAGTAAATGATAAAATGTAGACTGAATTTATCATAAAGACATTTTCTTTTGGTATACTGCAAGGAACTATGAACTTTTAGTAACTACTATAAGCAACTGACAGGTAAGTCTTACTCTAGATTGAGGTAAAGTTTAATTGCATATGGAAAAAATGGGAGAATGTTTCATGAAAGATGCTATACCTTTTTTTGAAAAGCATACCAGCAAGTATGTAGAATAAGGAGAAATATTTTATAAGTTTCCATAAACTTGTAAAAATATGTATAATAATCTTTCCATAGTGTATACTGGTATGATATTAACAAATCACAATGTAGCACATTTTAAAGTGGGGTTTTAGCTATTTTTCTTAGTAACTGAGTTTTAAATCTGAGAAGAAAAATGTAAATTATAACTTTTTGGGAAACTATATGCTTGTATTCCACAATCTAACTTTTAAGGAAAATAAACTATTTGATAGTTTGGTGCTAAGTATCTCTACTAATGAAAAACAAGAGTATTACCACTAACTGGCAATACTGTACTTGTATATTTACTCTTTTATGTGAAAAGATGGAAGAATGATAACTAACATAAAGTTGCCTTGATCTAGTAATAACAGTAATCTGATTACTATCAGAGTTAGAAACAATATTTAAATGGAACTCTTTTTCTGGGGTCCTAATGATAACATCTGATGACAGAGTATAACCATCAACTTCATAACACAATGCAAGCAAAGATTGGAGACTGATATATTAGTTTGAAACAATGTTATTTATCCATGTTAAACAAAGACATGACTGCATCATTTTTAACACATATTTGCTATTTCACATGAGTCTGAAATTCAATTTATTAGGCTTCAAAATGATATTTTTTCTAATAGATGGTGTTGACCATTTTATTTAAAAAAGTAAGAATACATTTGGTTATATTCAAAGAATATATTTTGGTTGTAATTCAAATAAGATTTAGAAAGGAAAAGATTTATATTTATACGTTTCTTCAGAACTGCCCATCAATTTGAAACTGTCTTCTTTAATAAATGCTAATGATTTGGTTGATTACGTTTGTGCATGTACTTACCATGCAGTTTTGGGAATCAACACACTGATGAATCTCTATCAAGAAGAGAAATTATATCATTAGCTCATTTGCTTTCTAAGCAGCAGGAGTGAAAATTCTATCCAAAATAATATTAATGATACTGTTTTAACATCCACACAGAAAAGCATGTACGATTTCTTATCAGTGTTTTGTAGATATGGTTCATATTTATTGGCTATTATCTCTTCCTTCTGTGTAGGAATACAACTGGGTACATATTTTAAACCAGAAAATCAAAACCAAAACCAAAAACAAACTAAAATGCCAACTTAAAACTGAAGTGTCTCATCCAAGTTTGAGAAGGGAGCAAGCCTATTTGTGCCCCTTGCATAGGAAAATAGTAAGATGACATGAGTTCAGGGCAATTTCTCTGTGTTATCTTTCTGTTTATATTAGAGGATTTTTTACTAACTGGTCAAAATGCACATTATTGTTACATTTTTCCCACCATAACTTATGTAGCCACTGTTATACTAACTAGTAAGGTTGTTAGCCAGAGGAACAAGGCCCAGAAAACAGGGCCGAGCATTCCAGGGCCAGTAAGTCCTTGTCCTGTATAGATTAGAGCAGTGGAGCCCCATGTGTGTTAAACTGAGAACTTGAGCCTTGCTGAATTTAACATTAACATGTTTTGTTGGTCTTTTTAGTAGGGTAGCTGAGGGCTTTGCTGTGTTTATAAAGCACTCAGAATTGTAAGACTTAGGCCACAACATTTAGAACACACACACATTCATGACTTGACTTTTAAAGTCAGTTTAATATTTTCACTTTTATTAAGAAGGAAATCATCAACAGCACTGTTTTGATTACATTTTCTTCATTTTCTT
Organism: Homo sapiens; assembly: GCF_000001405.40. Lineage (NCBI taxonomy): Eukaryota > Metazoa > Chordata > Mammalia > Primates > Hominidae > Homo > Homo sapiens. Next base: position 76,408,589 of record NC_000008.11, read on the forward strand.
CTACCCAAATAACGAACGGGAAATTTCTAGACCTATAAGAATACACATGTACATATCTTTGAATAGATAAAATTATAAATATAAACATATTTATTTAAGTAGTTATATATAAACTATATAAATATATATAAACAGTATAGATATACAAAATAGTATAATAATTTATTCTCAACTATAGGAAGATATGTAGATAGATACAGATAGATATATATCTATATACATATAGATATTTATATGACGTCAGTCTCAAGCAGAAGAAAGGAAAGCCAGTAGTAGGTGCTCTAGTTGAAGACACAAAATGACATGTGACTGAAGCATTAATTCTAGAGGACATATATAGATATTTACATCTATAGGTGGATAGATAGATATAGGTATAATTGCTTTCCTCTCAGATTTTAAATTGTATATACATCATTGCTACTTAGAGAACTATTAACAGTTCATAACTACAAATTCTTTCAATTAAGAATAGAAAATGTGTGTGTACTTATATGGTATATGTATTTGCGTACATATGCATGACCAAAAGTGTTTGATAGTAAAAATGCATGATTGACATATATAGACATCAAGAAATGACGAAATCAAAGTAGAAGATAGAAAACATCCCCAAAGCATAGGATCAAATAAAAATTATTCTTACTTTTGGTATCACCTGACAGTCTCTATACTTAAATAAAAACATAGGTTTAATTTTTATATTTAAATACTTAGTCTGATCCTTTTCATAGTTTGTAGAAGAGACCATTCCAGGAATAAATAGAAAGACTTACTAATATTTCAGTAATTTTGAGATCACTTGGAAGATTTTACTTTAATCATGAAAAAAACACATATTCTATGACAATTACAATGACATAAGAGAATTAAATTAATGTGTATTTAAATCTCTGCCTTAAGAGTTCCTTTTAAATACTAGTTACTTAAAAGTAAATTGGAGCAAGATTTTATACAAGTAATATATACTTTGTGTTACCCATTGTTACTGTAAATAATTTTAAATAATCATTCAAAATCTTTTTTAAATACTCTCATTTCTAAATATACTGAAAATTGTTAAGTATAATGATACTCATCTAGGTAGCTGTAAGAAAACAATAAAAATTCTTATTTTTATTTCAACTATTATCTTCATCAAACTAGACTACATTCTTTCCCAGACACCTGAGGCATAAATCAAACATCTCTCTCCCTTTTCTCTCTGCAAGGACTCACCTACAACCAGTTCAATTCTTTTTTTTCAATAAAATATTCACAGATTGACTACTCTCTCACCTGTTGGACATTCTGACATTAGTAGGCAAGCCTCAATTTCAGGACCTAACTTGAAATGGACAGCCTCTCAGAAAAACATTTTTTTTTCTAATTTTCTTATTTTGATTAATCTTCCAAGATATTGCGCCAGGTTGGTCAGATATAATTTCAGGTGTGGGAAGGGCTTCCTGCCCTAAATTTTAAAATACCACCCAAACAACTTCACAGTTTCCTCTGAAGGTGCTACTCACTCCTCCTTTGTTCGTGTAGGTAATCACATCTCAGCTGAGTCAGTTTCACATCTTCAGTCAACGGCCGTGTTCTTCATTCCTTAGTCCTCTTTCTAAATGAATTTACCTTCTTCCTCTTTCATTAAACTATTTATCATTTTGAATATTTTATACTGTCCCCTAGTCTGCTCTTTTCGTTGTTATTAATGCTGAAAAGTACCCTTTACTTTAGAAATCCGACCTCTTTCATGAAGCTATACTGATCAAGTAGCTATAAAATATATAAATTATATAAATATATAAATCTCATAGCCTGTATGATGATATGGGAAGATGCCAATGAAAGGAAATGTATCATGTACATGTAACTCATGATTGCTGTACATTTTGCTGTTTGAAAATGAGAGAAATAGTTTTACTTTATAGCTATATATATATATAAAACAATGCAACACAGATGCATGGAGCCTGTGTTTTGTGTTATGCACTTTTATAGAAGCTTTATGACTATAAAGGTGAGCTAGACAGAGAAGGTAGGCAAACTTTTAAAGTAGTAAACAATACGAAAATCTGCTCAGGAAGATATACACAATCTTACAGCTAGACATTTTGTTCATTCTTATGCACATATTGAAGGTCTTTGGGAATTCAAATTACAATTCAAAATGCTACCTAAATAAATCATAACCTTTCTATTCTAATTTCATTTGGTAACCCTGTGGTGGTTCAACTATCCTTAGCAAATGACAGCTTAGAACAGACTACTTTACGCTATTAAAAATCACTGAGATTATAACAGCTTTTGTTTATGCAGATTATAGTTAATCACATCTACCATATTATAAAATAAAATAGAAATTATATTTTAAAATTATTCCTCAATTAATTTAAAATAACTATAAACACATTAAATGTTAACATAAATAGTATATTATACTAAAACAATTATATTTTTCAAAATGAAAAAGCAAGGAAAATGTCATTGTATTACACTTTAGCGAATGTTTTTAACATGGCTTAACACAAGATGCTGAATTTTAATACCTGTTGTTACATTTAGTCTTGCAATATTTTATTTGGGTGAGGTTATGAGGAAAATCCACGTTTCCAAAAATATATAATTGAAAAAAATGAAGGACATTTTAGTAGACTTTTCAGTTAATTGTAGATATTCTTCTTTGATAAACCAAACATCAACAAGTAGTCATTTCTTTAAAGTTAGTTGCAACAGGGAATGAGAAACCATATCAATGAATATTTCACTCAGGTTAAAATCTATCAACTATCTTGCATTTTTAATGGATCTTTGACCCATGTATAATTTTGTAGCACCATGAATTGGTCTTTTATTAAATATTGGTTCACTGAGTTATGCAAATTTTGACACATTTCATTATCTAGTATCAAAAAATAATCACATGTATTAATATAACTTCTATGATCTTATCAGAAATGTCATTAAGTATTGGCAATCTGTCATGCTCATGGTGGCAGATATAAATTCTCCAAAATTCTAATTCTCCTTGAACATTAAAATGTTATTATTGACCACAAACACTGTGAGTTGTTTCACTTGTTGTAGATATTCAAGTAGATATTTGTATAAAAGGGGCTATTTCAGCTCAAACTGAATCACACAACTCCTTTACCGCAAAGTAGCCATCACAGTTAGTACTTCGGTATGTAGCACAAGTTCTTTATGGGCATTTCCTAGTTTGTGATATAAAGTATTAAAAATATACATAACTAAGAGAAAACATTTAATTAAAGTAATTGCTTCTTCAAAGAGCAACAACATTATTTTTGTTAGTGGAAATGTATCATCTTTGCCCAAAATGAAGAACACAATGATTTCTAGCAAAGTTTGGTGCTGTTGATTCATGCTAAGAAGCCAAGACTACTAAGGCTCCAGCATTGCCAGCAAACTTCAACCCAAGAAAAAAAGTAAATAACAAAAGTATTGATATAAAAGTGGTTTTGGACCTCAAGGACTCCTTAAAAATATGTCAGGGCTCCTCAGAGGTCTGGGCCTATGCTTTGAGAATCACTAGCCTAGAAAAAACTAAAACATCTATAAATATTTTCTAATCATTTACTAATAATCTGATATTCAGTATCACATAAAATTAACTAGAACTCACTACCACCTGTAACAACACCTGTCATTTCTAAATTGTTTTGCAATGCATTACATATGTAATTATATATATATACATATGATGTTCTCATAGTGTACATACTTGTTTATATGTATACATATATATTTTGTTTAATCCTTTCAAAAACCCAATGCACTATCACCATTTTTTAAAAAGAGAAAATTACAGCTGCATTTAATGACTTTTTCAAGGTCACAAGACCTATAAATGGCAGAATCCAGATTTATATCCGGATTTTCCGAAGTTTAATGTTCTCATTTTACCATAGCTGTTAAAATAACTCTTTCACAGCCTCCTCTAATTTAAGGAATAGTGAACAAGTCCTGTACCATCAGCTTGTTAGCAAGTCTCTATTTAAGCACTATGAGAAAATTATATGTATATGTATAAATCTTATTTCAAGTCCTTTATGGCATGGAAGTCCCACATTATTTCATCACTGTTCAAAATTGCACTATAATCATGTGATATTCCTCATCATGACTAGTTTTCTTAACTGCCATAATGATTGATAGCTGATTTGGTCATTATATTGGCTAAAATATCACCAACCAGTTCATGGTCCAGTTATTTCAACCTTGAAAACGACCATTTCAAATCAGTGTTGTGATCTATTCAACTGCATACAGGTCAGCTTTAACTGTGTTGACTAAGAAAAACTTACCTAAATCTTAGGGGGTACAGTAATACAGGGACAGAAGTTTAAAAATAATTTCTGAAATTTATGAAGTGCTTTTGCATAAAACTTTTCAAGTAAAGGCAACAGAAGCCCTGAATACTAGCCTTGATGCTAACTATTTAGCTATGTTAAAAAAGTGTTTACCATGGCCCGGGCGCGGTGGCTCATGCCTGTAATCCCAGCACCTTGGGAGGCCAAGGCGGGCAGATCACGAGGTCAGGAGATCGAGACCATCCTAGCTAACACAGTGAAACCCCGTCTCTACCAAAAATACAAAAAAATTAGCCGGGCATGGTGGCGGGCGCCTGTAGTCTCAAAAAAAAAAAAAAAGTATTTACCATTACTATGCCTTGGTTTCCTTGTCCATATGATGAGAGAGAATTACTACATGATTTGTTTCTCTTCTATTTTAATATTGTACAATTGTGCATAGAAAAAATGTACACCTCCCCTTGCACATTCATAATTTTCTTAATTTAAAGTAAGTATTCTTTTCATGCCAGTCTGACCTCACACTCTATAGTGAAATCTTTAAAATCCAATTAATTACCCAAATTTACAAGTGAAAGTTTTATAGAAGCACTTTATCGGCCTCTTAAACCTCCTTAAAGTATGATGTTTAACAAAATATACTCAAACACTGCTTTCTTTCACTAAATAAAAATGAAATTGTTTTTATAATTGTTTTATAATATTTATGTCATTATAAATTTGATAAATGGAGATTGATTTCCTCTTTTAAAGATGAAGTATAATCCATCCTGAAATATTAATAAGAAACCTTCAGAACAATGTTAGGGTGGGGAGGGGCAGATAAGCAAGTTTTTTGTTTGTTTGCAATTATTGAAATTATAGAGGTAGAATCCTTCCAGAGACAGAAATATAATCACAATTATCTGGCCTGTAAAGGAATTGTTTTTATTTATGTAGCCAAAGGACAGCAAATTATAGGTATTGAGAGCCCTTTTTACAGAGAATCTTCTTTTGTATATCTATAGTATTTGTTATTTACAACATTTCCCCCTTCTATCTAATATTGGAATCAGAGGCATCCTATTACCAATGAGAAAGTGTTTTAAAAATCAGACTATGCTCTGAAACCTGGGCTTTGATGCTTGCAAACTACAGGAGTGTGATCTGGTGTTTTGCCCTTTCTAAATCTTGATGGAAGACAATAAACCAGTTCTCTCTAAGCTACTGAGAGACATGCAGGCAGTATCTTCACGGTCAGGTCACTGCTGTGCCTTCCACACAGCTTACTCTACCTCTGGATGGTGAGAAGATGGGATGGCACATCGTAGGCAATCAATGCACAGCGGTTTCCCCGTGCTTTCATGCTATCCCTGAAGCTAAACTGTGAACTTGTAAAAATGGAAATGGCATCTTGATTTGTGGAGTAATGTGGGGACATGGTTATAAAAATATTAACTGAAGATAGCAAACAAAAGTTTTATAGCCATTATTTCAATTGTACGCACAAAACAAACACTGGGGAGAGGCCATTGTATGATTCTCATTAGGTGACTGTTCAGATAAGTTAAGGTACATCAAAACAATAAAATACGATGTAGCAATTAAAATAATAATGTAGTGCTTTAATGCGTTTATATGGAATAATTTCCAAGATACGTTAAACAAAAAAGCAAGGTGCAGAAGAATGTATATAATGTGCTCCAATGTATGTAAAGATATGTACAGTAAGGCTGGGTGCGGTGGCTCACGCCTGTAATCCCAACACTTCGGGAGGTTGAGGCGTGCGAATCATCTCAGATCAGGAGTTCAAGACCAGCCTGGTCAACATGGCAAAACTTCTCTACTAAAAATACAAAAATTAGCCAGGTGCAGTGGCTCATGCCTATAATCTCAGCTTTTTGGGAGGCTGAGGCAGGAGAATCACTTGAACCCGGGAGGCGGAGGTTGCAGTGAGCCGAGATCATGCCACTGTACTCCAGCCTAGGGGACTGAGTGAGACTCCATCTCAAAAAAAAAATACATATATGTGTACATATATGTATATATATATATGTGTGTGTGTGTGTCTGTGTGTGTGTATTATATATATGTATATACATACAGCAGTATCCCTATCTTCCAGGGGTACTTTCCAAGATACCCCAGTGGATGCCTGAAACCTTGGATAACACTGACCCCTGTATATCCTATGTATTTTTTCCTATCCCTACATACCTATGATAAAGTTTAATTTATAAATTAGGTACAGTAAAAGATTAAAAACAATCATAAAATAGAAAAATTATAAAAATATACTGTAAAAAATAGTCATGTGAATATGTTCTTTCTCAGTTTCTCTCAAAATGTTGTAATATTTTTGGACCTTGAATTGAAACCACAGAAAGCAAAACCATGAATAAAGGGGAATTACTGTACATGCATTTAATGGAATATGCAAATAATGATGCAAGGATCACAAACTAATAAAAACAGTTGTCTCTGTGGGAAAGAGTTTAATTTTCACCACATATGCTTTTGCATAGTTTGTTGCTTTTTAAACATGAGTACACTAATTTTAAGATAGAGAAGAGCAAATGTTTTGATGTAAAATAGAGAGGATTTATGTATTTGTAAGGCAAATCCTTGATATACTCTCCACCCAAAAACAAAACAAAAGTTGACAAAAGATCAATTTGTCATGAATTGCTTATATCTTGTAAAACCAAAGAAAATCTATTTTTAAAAATTTCAACCCATGAATGCATTAATTTAAAACAGAGCTATAAATGCAGAACAGACAGAGTCAAAGTGTATTGCTAAAAGGATTGCCAGATAAAATATAGTATTTTTATTTTCTAACTCGGTCAGTGCTAATTGCTGGAAGGTGAAAAATCTTCTCAATTCTTAAGATTATAGAGGCCATTTTATACATACATACATATATATACACACACATAAAACTATATATATAAATCTTAATGTTTGCATTGAATATATATAGCCATTATTTACATAATTATATATAATGTAATATATATTTGCCATTATATATATATATGAATGGCATATATATATGTCATTTGCCATTATGTATATATATAAACTGGCCATTTATTTGGCCATTATTTGCCATTTTATACATATATATGCCATTTATTTGACCGTTATTTGCCATTTTATATAAAATGGCTATACATAAATCTATAAAATGGCAATATATATATTCAATTTCAAACATACATAGAATACATTGAATATATAATTGAATATGTATTGAATACAGATATAGAATATATATTTATATATAAAGGCAGTATATATTTAATATACATTGAACATATACATTGAATATTTATATAGCCATTGTATATCATTATAATGACTACATATAGTCAATGTCAAACATTAAGATGTTTTCAGGTAGTCCATTTTCTATTATTGTTTAGATAAAATACACTATGCTATTTTATTTGGAGTTTTGAAATGATGTTTTTGAAGTTAGACAAAAATAATAATAAAAGGTTCTCCCAGGTTTAAGGCATTAAAAGTTTATCCAACATGTAATCTGGCTACAATCTATCTTTTCAAATTTATATTCCCATATTTTCTTATTATCCCACTATGTTACCAACAAATTAATTCTTCCTATGGTTTAGCAAACATGCCTTACCTGCTGAATACTCATTCAGCGCTGACTTTTATACCTTTCTACCCATGTTAAAGGGGCTCATGGATCTGAAATGTCAAGAGTCATTTTACTCTAACTGCTTCAGTTGAAAGGTTCTCTTCCTTCTGTGATCTCATTTGCAGAGTGCTTGTTTTACAATGTATTCTATTACTGCAATGTGTGCACATGGATAAATAGAAGCACCATGAAAGTAGGAAGCAATCATTTCATCCAAATCTTTAATTGCTACATGTGTTCCAGCAGCCTGGCCTAGTATCTTCACAGAGGTTATAACCAACAGAGTCCAATAGATGTGTACGTGAATGGTAATGGATAGTTTAGTTCCTCTGAAGGTTAAATTCCAGTCAACTTTGAACCTTTAAAGAAATCGCTACCTCAACTCAACATATAGTAATACCTATTTATAGTTTAAAATAGTCATTATATTGATCTTCAACCATATTCTTTCCAGGCTAAAGTAAAAGTTAAATTCCATGTGCTTTACTTAATATTTCTATTTTATTTTCTAATTCCTTAATAATTCTTGCACTGCTTTTACCAGCCTCCAAGTTATTCAATTGTTCTTTAGGCTGTGGAGTGCAGAGGGGGCATTATATTCTAGTGAATTAGGTCAGTGATGAATGATTTACTTCTTCATGTTCAACGACTTTTGAGTCTTCCCAGTATAATGTTTTACAAAATAGCATATTAATTAACTTTTAGACCTATACATAGTCATTTCCTATATTTGAACAACTTGTTTCTCTTTTAAGTAGTCCTTATTAAGTGATTCTTGCAAATTAATTTAGTCCCTTCTTTTAGCAAGGACATTTTGATTGCTATTTCTAACTACAAGGGGCTATTTCCCTATTACATTGAAGCTATTGTAAAACAGTCATGGTCCGCAATTCGTCCTACCTTTCAGTCAATTATGTTTAAAACAACGATGCTCAAATCCTAGGCTGGTGCTGCTTCATGATGAAGTTTTCACTCTTCCATAGACAGGTAAATAATAGATGCATTGTAATTAGTTTTTTAAATGAAGCTTGATAAAGTTTTTTCTCACTTTTATATCTTAAAGTATTTCTCTCATATACTGGGTAACAGATGGTAGTAATTATTTTTTAACTAACACTAAAACATTGGACACTTTATGCCAGACCCTTCTTTGATTTTTAAAAATATTCTTCCATGGAATACCAATTTGGGAAACCACTAAGTTAACAGTATCCATAGAAGTTGTAATAAGAATGGCTAACACCCAAAAGTTAATTACTATGTGCAAAGGACTGCTCAAAGAACTTTAGCTATATTAATTCAATGTAACAACTCTCTGAGAAACTTGCCATTTAATATGGTTTAGCTCTGTGTCCCCACCCAAGTCTCATGTTGATTGTAATCCCCAGTTTCAGGGGAGGGACCCGGTGGGAGGTGACTGCATCCTGGGGGGCGGACTTCCCCCCTTGCTGTTTTCATCATAATGAGTCAGTTCTCACCAGATCTGGTTGTCTGAAAGGGTGGAGCATTTTTCCCCTTCACTCTCTCTTTCTCCAGCCAGCCATGTGAAGATGCACCTGCTTCCCCTCCACCTTCTGTCATGATTGTAAGTTTCCTGAGCTATCCCCGGAGGCAGAATCCTATAGAGCCCACAGAACGATGAGCCCATTAAAACTCTTTTCTTTGTAAATTACCCAATCTCAGGTATGTCTTTATAGCAGTGTGAGAACAGACTAATACACCATTATTATTCAAATGTTCATGATGAGAAAACTGAAATATAGAGAAGTTAAAAAACACTTCCAAAGTCACACAGCTGCCAAATGAAGGAGCTGGAATTAACACAGGAAAGGTCCTTCAGAGCTCATGCTCCTAACTTCAGTGCTAACCGGCAACTCATGTTAGATATTAAGCCATTTTTATGCCCTGATACTAAAATCGAGCTGCTAAACTGCTTTAATTCTACCACATAGGCATTTGATAATGTTTTCCTACATTTTTTTCATATTTTGAAATCGTTGAGGTAGGATAGAATCTAAAGTCACAATAGATTTCAACCAGTGTCCCTAATGAACACATTTCCCTCACATCGTGTAGCATTCTCTCACTTCTGGCACGGCATGTTGATTTTTAAGATAATTCCTTTGGGAGTTCTCTCAACGTGCAAGAAACAGAATTGCAACTAGTCTGTGGAAAATCAGAAGTTTATCCTAGGGCCCTAAAATTTAGAGCACATAAGCTTTGAAAATAACAATTTTTTAAGGTTGCCATGTCATTAGCAGAGGTCATGAATTAAAATAGGAGCATTAGTGCCACATCAAAGATGACTGAGCAACTCCACCCCCAATGTAAGCACAAAATATAAAGATATAATTAAGAAAAAAAAATTAAGCAAGCTAAAAAGAAAAAATCAGTGCTAGGAAATAAAAATAAGAAACAGCCAGAGTAGTAAGTAACCAAGCTCCTATCCTTGGGGTCAAGGAGGATCCTATTAGATTTAGGCCCTAACACATAGTGATTGTTATTTTAAAGGTCATGTAGGGATAAAAGAGAAAACACACATCTTGAGTCTGAGGTGAGGCAGGGAGCATAAAGCTGGAACCCTTGTAGTCCAGATCCATTATCACTCTAGAAAACTAATAGCTCAGGGAAGTAGATGGGGACCTATCTCTGCCTGGGACTCTGTATGGAAGAAAAAGATAAAGTCAGTTGAAAATAAATTAAAATGCAAAGCCTATACCATGCAAGTATGTGGAGTTTGAATTTCTATTGCTCAAAATATGGTTATCTGAGACTGAGAAATTAAGATAAAACTGCCATCAAAATATGAAAGCTTTTATTCATTCGGGACTTCAACGTTAACCATCCACATCTTATTCCAAGGGACTTAGGGTGGGAAGGGTGAATGAATCAACTCTACTAGAAAATGAATCCACAATAAAAAGAATCATAAGCTATACGATAAGACAGACTTATAATAACTTGAGACAAATAATTTGAAAGATGATACTATACAAATATTAATGAAAGAAATAAAAATGAAATAGAAACCTTAATAAAATGACAGCTCACTGTGAAGAATAGAATGTCTAGAAAAAAAATACTGAAATTTAAAATTCAATGAATGATTTAAACACCATATTAAATACAGCTAAAAAGTTAATTTGTGCTGGAAGGTTTGTCTGTGAAATTTACCTAGAATGAGATAAGAAAAATTTGAGAAAATTTGAGGTTGTGAAGGACAGAATAAGCAAATCCAATATATATTTAACAGACGGCTGAAAAGAAGTAATTATAAAAGATGTGAGAGGAGGCCAAGTGCAGTGGCTCACGCCTGTTATCTCAGCACTTCAGGAGGTCAAGGCGGGTGGATCACTTGAGGCCAGGTGTTCAAGACCAGCCTGGGTAACATGGCAAAAACCCATATCTACTAAAAATACAAAAAATTAGCCAGGTGTGGTGGCACACCCCTGTAATCCCAGCTACTTGAGAGGCTGAGGCACAAGAATCACTTGAACTTGGGAGGCAGAGGTTTCAGTGAGCTGATATTATGCCACAGCACTCCAGCTGAGTGACAGAGTGACACTGTCTCAAAAAAATAAAAATAAAATAAAATAAAAGGAGAGGAAATATTCAAAGACACAAAAAACTTTAGATTTCCACACAGATAGAATCATACCAATCCAAGTGTTATATAAGTAAAAACAAATCTACACTCAGATATATCTAGTGAAACTGAACAAAACAAAGATACTCATCATCAGTAGCAGAAGCAATAACAGAAAAACAATTTTAGCGTGTAATGCCAGATACTCAGAAAGCTGGGATGGGAGGATACTTTCAGCCCAGAGTTTTGAGACCAGCTTGGGAAACACAGCAAGACCCTGTCTCAAAAAAAGGAAAGACAGTAAAAAATAAAAAGACATAATAATTCTAAACTCCCAAGAGCAAATGACTATCAAATAATAACTTTATACCCAGATAGACTACCATTCAAAGTTAAAAACATTTTCATACAAAAGGAACAATTTTATACTCATACCATCATTAAAATTACTAACATATGTACATCATTAATTTAAAGGGAAAAAAACAGAAGGGGTGGGATGTATAATGCTATACTGAGCAAAAACCAAAGCTAAATCTAAATAAACACAGATTAAAAAGTAAAAACAGTAAAAGTAAAAATCATGTATTTTTAAAATTTAAAGAGTTGAAACTATACAACAATTAGATGAAAGATGGAATAAGAGTAGAGGTATTAAATTTACGGTCCTTTTGTTGTGTTCTCTGATTTGTTTTTCACTGCTGTATCCTCAGTACCAAGGACACAGTAGATGCTCAATAAGTATCTTTTGAATAGATCACTGAACCAAAATTCCATAGTTAAAGGTGACTATAGACATGATCTTCAATTGCATTCCTCATACTCTGAGCACAGCATGTGGTTTGCTCAGGGATCATCTAGAGTGTGCCCATGCATGTGGTCTTTGTAGGCAGCTGAATTCCTAAAAGTGTGATGGCCTTTGAGGTTCACCCTTCTGATCTGCCTTGAAGGGAACATGCTGCACCTGCAGAGTCAACTGACGACCTCCAGCTGCTGCCCCTTCCGATCACCTGTAGCTTTAACGCTGAGGCTGTGCTCCATAGCCTGCTCCCAGTCATAACTGAACACAGCAAGCAGAGGTACCACAGCATGGCAGGTCTGCCCAAGGCGGAACTCCTCACAGGGGAAACTTTGCTGTGGGGCATCCCCGCAGCCTGGCCAAGCTTTTCTGAACCTAACTATAGACCCAGGCTCTTTCTACCTGATCCTTCTTCTTTCCCTCTCCTATCAAAGGTATTAGACATGCATTGAGGTCTAAGAGCTCTCTCTGCCTTCTCTTTCCTCTTCCCACTCCCTTTTAGTCTTCACAGTGACTTCTACCGATAAATCTCTTTTATAACCAAGTTTGTCTTGATATCTGTGTGCATCTTAGAGGACTCACACTGACATATAAGGCAGAAGAGTTTCTTCTCTGGAGACAGAGGGGACCAGGATGAATAGGATGGTCCCTTCATCTGAAGGAACAGCAGTCATGAATTAACTGGGTATACTCAGGGTGTAGACTTCCTGGAGTGGGAAACCTGCAGCATACCTCTTATACATGCTTTGTACCTCGACTTTAGCAGAGCTGAGACATCCTGATAAACAACCAAGTTTCAGGGCTATGATTTTCTTACGTACTCAGTCTGTGTTCTAACTTGGGAAGGCGGTTCAGGCCTAAGAACTTTAAAGTCAATTATCATTCTACTTTATGGCAGTAAGCTATATTACCTGAAAACTCTCATAGACTGACATACTTCTCACTTTTTAAGATTGTTGGAGACAGGTCAAGTTTTCTGGCGTTTTCTAAACCTCACCATCCTTTTGGTGAAATCATCATATTTGTGAGTTATCCATAAATCACAGTAACATCTAAATTTATGAGCCTTACACAGTGATACATTCATTCAGTGCTGTGGTTACATTTGGACCACACACTACCTCTGATACTTTCAATTGAAATTTCCCATTTCTGAACACAACCTCTGATACCTCCAGCTTGCATCATAACGTCATTATGTCACTGAAACTGTTTTTGTCTTTTTATTACTTCTTGCCATGCACTCTTCTATATGCATTCTATGTATCCATTCCCTACTATCCTCACTTCCCACTATAGCCAGCCTATATGCTATGATGGATCATTTTTATATTTTTAATTCTTTATTTCCTTGAAACGTACTGTAAACAACCAAGTAATGAAGTAACACAATGTCAGTAGATAGAGCTAAAAATATGGGATTTGCGCGGGGGGGCGGATTTTTTTTCTTATTACAATGAGGCCCAGCATCATAAGCATTCAGTGGGTCGTAATAGTCACCGGCATAGGTCTCGTCCTTTATAAAAATAAATGATTATTTGTCATTGTTCACTACCCAAAGCAATATTACTTTGTTGCATGTATATTTATATGTTGCACTGACACTTATCTTTATTGAAAGGCTATTATATTTTAGAGTCTAGTGAAAAGTCATGTGGAAAAAAGTCTTCAAGTTGTTTCTAAGTTGTAATTTGCTTAAATATTTTTAGCAGTTCTTTCAATTCTTGATTTTCTATCTACCATGTTATAATATGCCAGCTTTAGTTTTAAATTTTAACTCAATCTTTAGTATAGATTGAATTACTTAAAATAAATCACTGAAAAGCTTACCTTTTTTTTTAATCATTCTTTCTTTCACACACTTTGTTAAAGTCCCAAAAGTTGTTTTGACATTTTTATAGTTTTATTTCTCTCTGGTGCATTATTGGAGCCACAAGGATTGAAAAACTGTGAGTAAAGATCTCTCTTGTACTATTTCTTATATGACAAAGATTAAAACATTATCCAAGATAATTCAATTTTAATTTATATACATTTCTAAACTAGTTCAGAAAACGAGAAAACCATAGAAAATGTGTGGTTACTAAAGCTACTCATCTTAACTTCTTTAAGGTTATTTTATCACATATTGACACACATCATTGCTGGAGTTATTAATAAAAATCAGTTTCGTAAAGTCAAGATAACGTAACAATGGAATGATTTTAGGTACATAAATTATCCAGAATTCATGAACTATGGAAACCAGACCTTTGTGCTCTGCCTTTTCTGACTAATTCACAATAAATAGAGTATCTATTGCTCTGGCTCCTTATGTCCCCTGCTCAGTCTTAAATAGCTAGCCTGGGAATTAGAAGACTTTTTATTTTCTATCAATGTCAGAAAACTCTTTTTTTTTTTTTGGTCTACAAATTATAAAGTTAAATTATAAAGTTAGTCCAATAACTTCTATAAAGGTTATCGGTAACACTAATAGATACATGAAAACTTTTCTATTTTCTTCATAAAGAATCCATACATGGTGGAAAAAACCAGTAATAGTTTTAGAAATAAGAAGAAAATAACAACTTTAATATTTATTTTGGTAACTTAGTGATTTTTTTTTTGCAAATCTTCCTTTAGTAGAGGAATTATATCCTTATTAAATAAAATAAAGCTGGGGCTCATAGTCAAAGGCAAAACACCTTACATAAAGAAGGTTACATACACATACAAAAGAAACACTTAAAAAATCAAGTCTTGTTCCAATTTGTTTAGCCAAGAAACATGTGGAACCCAGACTCTAATTTATAAATTAATTCATATTATCCTTTGACTCTCATGCCTAAAATCACCCATTTTTAAAGAGGAAAAAGTATGCATTCTGTTGCATTTTCTTCACTATTTGATAGATAACTAAAATAATGTATTAAAAATAGATATTAAGTAAAACCTGTCACTGAAATATAGTTATTACATACACAAAAAAATAAAAGAAAAATAAATAAATTCTGTTATCCCAAATAACTGCCTGAGTGGCATGATGGGCTGTGAATGTTTTGAGGCCAAAAGAACACACAAACATTCTTTTTCCACTTCTACTGCATTTTTATATTTCAAATGCACAGAGTGAATCCCTGCTCAGAAAATCACCAGTCCAGAGTACACAAAACCCAGATGTACTTACCACATAGACCTACTCCTGACTCTGGACATGTTATTTTAATCGCAAAATAAATAAACTAAAAGTCTCTCTATTGCAAAAGCCTGACAGAGTCATGTCCGAAGAGCCTAAAAAATGGTCACTAGATTTAAGAAAAGTGGTAGATCATATGATGTTTGGCTAATCTAAGTAACAATTTGTGTGTGTGTGTGTGTGTGTGTGTGTGTGTGTGTGCATGTGAGAAATCCTCAGAAGCAGCAATTATAAAAGCAAAAGTTTTAAAATGCAATTATGGGCACATGCATTTCTAGAGTAATTATGTCTTCTATTTATATGAAAATCTAAACTTACATGAGCCAGGTTAACAATATGTTTAGTAAATTTTCAAAAATTTTATAGAGAAAAATACGTGGGAAAATTCTTGTACTTTCTATTTTGTAAGTTTAGCATGGTATATTTAAACTTTTGCTTCACTATTTTGTCACCTAAAAAATAAGTCAATTATGCATTAATTTTATCTAGTACAAATTAGTTTATAAATATGTGTGGGAGCATATACATACACATATGTATAAATAGCCACATCACACTTGCTATGAATTACCCTTTCCCTGTTTCATAAAAATTATTGTCTCATACTGTGTAAAATCCAGCTGGAAAGTCAGTCTGAGATTTCAGTGACCAGGTAATCTCAACAGAGTATCACCCGGAGACAGTGAGTAACTTTGTGCCAAAAATAGCACTTGATCTCCTGCATCTGCGTCCATCACCTTTGTCCCTGGCTATTATTAACCCATTTATGCCAGAGGTTGCCATTTTTTGAACTTTTACATGAGTGAAAAAATCAGACCTTGGTAATAACCTTGAGCAGCAGGATATAAAAAACTCTCACATTCTTAGCACTCCAATAATGGAACACTAGGCATAAGTGGGTCAGTTCTTCCTAAACTTTACCTTATCACTTATTTTCTTTCCACTGAATGTGAACCTAAGTTGGTAAATGACTAAGTTGCCATGTTTAGTGGTAGATACAGACTTTGGGTTGTTAACTAGATGTATGGGGAGCTGGTTTTTTTTTTTTTTTTTTTTTTTTTTATTATACTCTAAGTTTTAGGGTACATGTGCACATTGTGCAGGTTAGTTACATATGTATACATGTGCCATGCTGGTGCGCTGCACCCACTAATGTGTCATCTAGCATTAGGTATATCTCCCAATGCTATCCCTTCCCCCTCCCCCGACCCCACCACAGTCCCCAGAGTGTGATATTCCCCTTCCTGTGTCCATGTGATCTCATTGTTCAATTCCCACCTATGAGTGAGAATATGCGGTGTTTGGTTTTTTGTTCTTGCGATAGTTTACTGAGAATGATGGTTTCCAATTTCATCCATGTCCCTACAAAGGATATGAACTCATCATTTTTTATGGCTGCATAGTATTCCATGGTGTATATGTGCCACATTTTCTTAATCCAGTCTATCATTGTTGGACATTTGGGTTGGTTCCAAGTCTTTGCTATTGTGAATAGTGCCGCAATAAACATACGTGTGCATGTGTCTTTATAGCAGCATGATTTATACTCATTTGGGTATATACCCAGTAATGGGATGGCTGGGTCAAATGGTATTTCTAGTTCTAGATCCCTGAGGAATCGCCACACTGACTTCCACAATGGTTGAACTAGTTTACAGTCCCACCAACAGTGTAAAAGTGTTCCTATTTCTCCGCATCCTCTCCAGCACCTGTTGTTTCCTGACTTTTTAATGATTGCCATTCTAAATGGTGTGAGATGATATCTCATAGTGGTTTTGATTTGCATTTCTCTGATGGCCAGTGATGATGAGCATTTCTTCATGTGTTTTTTGGCTGCATAAATGTCTTCTTTTGAGAAGTGTCTGTTCATGTCCTTCGCCCACTTTTTGATGGGGTTGTTTGTTTTTTTCTTGTAAATTTGTTTGAGTTCATTGTAGATTCTGGATATTAGCCCTTTGTCAGATGAGTAGGTTGCAAAAATTTTCTCCCATGTTGTAGGTTGCCTGTTCACTCTGATGGTAGTTTCTTTTGCTGTGCAGAAGCTCTTTAGTTTAATTAGATCCCATTTGTCAATTTTGTCTTTTTAATCAAGGAAGGGGACTGGTATTTCATAAATATGACTGGTATTAATTTAAGCTAAAGGCTGGTAAATAATACTAGTAGGTGCTATGTAAATATTTGCTATATGCCATGTACTGTCATAAGTGTCCTGCCTGTATCAACTAATTTAATACCTCAACTATGAGGTAGATAATATTACCGCCATCTGAAGATGAGGAAATAGAAGAACAGAGAGAGTAAGTAAGTAAGTTGAGCAAGGACGTGCAGCAAATAAATAGTGGATCTTGAAATTAAACACAAGCAGATCAACTCTAGAATCCATGCTCTTAACTACACTACACTGTCTCTCAAAATGAAACATCCGTGGAGGTTTTCAGCATAAAAGCTGTCAGAGAAAGTTCTTGGTGGATTTACAGCTCAAAAATATTATCGCAAATTAAATTTTTGACACCCCTCACCATCCAATCTCCAATACCTAGGCACCACCTCAGTCTTCTTGACATTCGGGATGCCTCTGGACCCAAATAGGGACCAATTCAGAAACAGGCCGTACCCTCCTTTACCCAAGAAACACCTGTAGCCCTAAGTGAATCCACATGTTTCCTGTGATTATGGAATTCAATTCCAGGTTTTCTCTCCTATTTATTTTTCTATAATCCAATTCAATTTTAAAAGGTAAAATGGGACTGGAATAGAGGCCAGTACTCAAATGCACAACTAGCTTGTTATCACTGTATTTAAAGACTTAAAACTTTGCAAATTATCATTAGCTTTTCCTTTTAAAGTTCTAGAGGAAAACAATACAAACCTTGGGGGAAATACATGAAATTTATATTGAGCAAAGTTCTCTACTCCTATGATTTACTTAGCTATTTTATTTAAAAATATTTTAGGACAATTATAATATTTTGAAATTTACATGTTTATTATGTGTAATAGGTTAAAAGTAGTGTTTTCAGTTATTAATCAATTAGTTTTGGTTTTTATTTGGAAAGCCATTTTGCCTAGTTCTATGTTGTACATTTTTGTGTATCACAAATAAAGTCAAACTATCTCTTCCTATATATTATCTGAAGCAATACCATATTGACATGTCATGACAAACATGAGACATCGTGAGGCACTGTTTCTACAAAAAAAAAAAAAAAAGATTTTTAAATTAGCTGGGCATGGTGAGTGCACCTTGTGCTTCCACCTACATGGGTGGCTGAGATGGGAGGATTGCTGGAACCCAGGAGATAGAGGCTGCACAGTGAGCCATGTTCATGCCACTGCACTCCATCCTGGGTGACAGAGTGAGATGCTGTCTCAAAACAAACAAAATAGACCTAACTCAGCCTTTAAGATCTTTACCATATAATAGAGAAATAGGATAAAGTGAATATTTTGAAGTTCAAACAATAGTAGAAATCAGCCGTAATTCACCTATTAGGTTTGCTGTGGAGAAAGTGCAAAAGCTCATAACTAATGACCAGATGATGGGGAAGGAAAAATTCTGGCTCAGGTTGCTTATTTCAGGCATCTGGGAGGAACAATCCCCACCTTAGAGCTCTTCCTGGGATTTAATATGGCCCCTGTGGCAAATGCATTACAATTCACCTTCTCCCTCCACACCCTGCTTCCTAATTCCTCACAGGAATTGTTCCCCAGATCACTTTCCAAAAAACATCCTGCATGCATTTCTCAGTCTGTTTCCCAAGGAATCTGAACTATGACAAAGGTATTCCCATATAAAATAATAAACAAATAATGAAATAAAATATTTAGTTTTTCTGTTTGTTTCTTCACATACATTCCATGAAGTATTTGAAGCAGTTAGGAAATGTTGGATAAACAACTATGTCAACGACATTTATTTTAAGATTTGGAAACTGTTAGACTCAGATCAGAATTCTTTAGTCACTGTCCCCTCCCTACCCCAATCTGTGCATGCACACACATACACACAACCCTCTGTATGTACACACAGCCAGAAGTCAACCCAGTTAAAAAATCTGAAAGACAAAATTAGGTCAAAGATATAATTTTCTTTCTGACTTGGCCTTCAACTTTCATTGCAACTATTAGCATTGAACAGTTGATGATTTAAGAGGAAGTTGAGCTGCAACAAATATTTGAATGTGTGGAAATCATTATCCAAATACATTCCAAATCCATTTCATAAAATGACAAGCTTAAAATTATAGCTGTACATGAACCCAGACTTAACTCAGTGTGTGAGAACGCTATGAATTATTATGTGATACGATTATATTGTTGTTACTAACTTTAATATTGTCGTTCTCTGTTTCACTTCTTAATTACTTTACAACCGAGTTCATTTATGTGGCTAAAGCTTGTGGGTAGGTGGGCAAGATTCTTTTTCTAAAATTAATTGTGACTATCAATTTCAAAAAGTATGATTATTCTTTAAAAATCTGTAGGTCCAAATCCCTGGATTTTTAAGCAACTTAAAAAAAATTTTTTTTTATTTTATTTTAAGTTCCGGGATAGATTTGCAGGATGTACAGGTTTGTTACATAGATAAACATGTGCCATGGTGTTGCTGCACTTAACCCATCCCCTACATATTAAGCTCCACATGCATTAGCTGTTTACCCTGATGCTCTCCCTTCCACAAGAACCCCTCTCCCAACTGGCCCCAGCATGTGCTGTTCCCCTCTCCATGTCCATGTGTTCTCATTATTCAGCTCCCACTTATAAGTGAGAACATGCAGTGTTTGGTTTTCTGTTCCTGTGTTAGTTTGCTGAGGATAACAGTTTCCAGTTCCATCCATGTCCCTGCAAAGGATATGATCTCATTTTTTATGGCTGCATATTATTCCATGGTGTGTACACGTACCACATTTTCTTTATGCAGTCTATCATAGATGCGCATTTAGGTTGATTCCGTGTCTTTCCTATTGTGAATAATCTTGCAATGAACATACTTGTGAATGTACCTTTATAACAGAATGATTTCTATTCCTTTGGGTAAATACCCAGTAATGGGATTGCTGGATCAAATGGTATATCTGGTTCTAGGTCTTTGAGGAATTGCCACATTGTCTTCCACAATGGTTGAACTAATTTACATTCCCACCAAGAGTGTAAAAGCATTCCTATTTCTCCACAGCCTCCTCAGCATCCATTGTTTCTTGACTTTTTAATAATCATCATTCTGACTAGTATGAGATGATATCTCATTGTGGTTTTGATTTGCATTTCTCCAATGATCAGTGATGTTGAGCTCTTTTTCATGTTTGTTGGTCACATGTATGTCTTCTTTGAGAAGGGTCTGTTCATATAATTCGCCCACTTTTTAATGGGGCTGCTTGTTTTTTCTTGTACATTTGTTTAAGTTCCTTGTAGATTCTGGATATTAGACCTTCGTCAGATGGATAGATTGCAAAAATTTTCTCCCATTCTATAGGTTGCCTGTTCACTCTGATGATAGTTTCTTTTGCTGTGCAGAAGATCTTTAGTTTAATTAGATCTCATTTGTCAATTTTGGCTTTTGTTGCAATTGCTTTTGGTGTTTTAGTCATGAAGTCTTTGCCCATGCCTATGTCCTGAATGGTATTGCCTAGATTTTACATTTAAGTATTTTAGGTTTGAGGTTTTACATTTAAGTGTTTAATCCATCTTGAGTTAATTTTTTTATAAGGTGTAAGGAAGGGGTCCAGTTTCAATTTTCTGGATATGGCTAGCCAGTTTTCCCTGCACCATTTATTAAATAGGGAATCCTTTCCCCATTGCTTGCTTTTGCCAGGTTTATCAAAGATCATGTGCTTGTAGATGTGTGGTCTTATTTCTGAGATCTCTATTATGTTCCATTGGTTTATGTGTCTGTTTTTGTACCAGTACCATGCTATTTTGGTTACTCTAGCCTTGTGGTAAAGTTTGAAGTCAGGTAGCATGATGCCTCCAGCTTTGTTCTTTTTGTTTAGAATCATCTTGGCTTTACAAGCTTGTTTTTGGTTCCCTATGAATTTTAACATAGTTTTTTTTTCTAACTCTGTGAAGAATGTCAATGATAGTTTAATGGGAATAGCTTTGAATCTATAAATTATTTTGGGCAGTATGGCCATTTTCACAATATTGATTCTTCCTATCCATGAGCATGAAATGCTTTTCCATTTGTTTGTTATCTCTCTTATTTCCATAAGCAGTGGTTCATAGTTCTCCATGAAGAGGTCCTTCACTTCCAGTTACCTGTATTCCTAGGTATTTTATTCTCTTTGTAGCAATTGTGAATGGAAATTCATTCATGATTTGGCTCTCTGCTTGTCTATTGTCAGTATATAGGAATGCTTGTGATTTTTGCACGTGGATTTTGTATTCTGAGACTTTGCTGAGGTTATCGGCTTAAGAAGTTTTTGGACTAAGATAATGGGGTTTTCTAGATATAGGATCATGTCATCTGCAAACAGAGACAGTTTGACTTCCTCAGTTCCTATTCGAATACACTTTATTTCTTTCTCTTCCCTGATTGTCCTGGCCAGAACTTCCAATAGTATGTTGAATAGGAGTGGTGAAAGAGGGCATCCTTGTCTTGTGACATTCTTCAAGGAGAATTAAGCAAAATTTTTTCTAGCCTCCTCTTTTTACTTTTTCATGAAATTTCATAGGAAATATTCATATAAAAAGTAAGATAATGTATTTAGTTACACTCCAGCTAATAATAAAGGGGAAGCTTTAAGAGATGCTGAGATCACTTTTACTATGGAAATCTAAATCTACTGTTGAAAATTGCTCACCATGCAATCAGTTGGATTGTTGCCAAGTTGGTCCAGTTGAATAATTTAGAGAACTTTAAACAATGTCTCATACTTCAGTGATTTAATAGTAAAAATAAGATCAAATATACTAGACTGTAAATGATTGCTCAAAATTTAGCAATTTTGTTGCTTGGAAGTAAAAAACAAAAACGAGGAAAATAATAACAACAGTAATAATAATAATAAGCGAAACCCTGATCTTAATTGAATTTTACTAGACCAGCACTAAGTGACAAAATATCAACAATATCAAAACATACAACATTACTGATGTTGTATGTATTTGCCCATAAACATTGACTAAGTATCTGCTATCTGCCAGATATTTTAATAGGTAATGACAGACAAAAAATCTAATAGACAATTTCTAGCTTCTGATAAAGGATACCATAGAAATTTACAGTATAACATGTGTCACCACATAGCAATGTTGGTGGGGGTGAGTGCACGGGGTTCACAGATGAGAGACTAACACAGCTTAGGAGAGTTGAAAAGCAGGTTTCAGTAGGATGAGTAAGACTTTGTCAGATGAAGCGAGACGGTAGGAATTTCAGCCTATAACGAAGTGTTCAAAAAGGCAGACTTTTGAAAGTGTGTCAGAGAAATACAGGGCAAGGAAGAAGCATGGATAGATATTTTGGAGTAAACTTATAAAAGGTTTGATGTGCCTTACTAAAAGACTTAGAGTTTATGTTGCAGACAACAAGGTGACTCATAAAAGCTTAAATGAGCTAGGGGTATTTAGTGACTCCTGAGTCTAGGTGAGAAAGTCAAAAGATGAAACCTAGACAAAATTTTATAGGGTCTGCACAGTAAGGAGAAACAAAGAAATTTTAAAGAGGAAGGAAGAAAGAAAGAAGAGAAAGAAGGAAACAGGGACGATCCTAGGACTATACAGTCATTATATAAAATTGTGAAATAGAGAAAGATACTTCTGTATATAATATAAATCCATCAGGTGTATCATGTGTAAAATAAAATATAGATCACATACATTAATAAATGTCTGACATGTACATAGTTCTTTTTTTGGTTGTTTTTTCGTTTCTTTTTTTGCCCCCACTCCACTGGGATATATAGCTCTTTACGGTTTACAATACATGTTTATGTTTATAACCTTATTTAATTATTAGAGTCATCACAAAGAAAGGCAGTATCTCCATGTAGGTCTAAAAGTTAGACAACTCATGTGGAGCAACCTAAAAACTAAAAACACTGGATTCTAATCCTAGCTCTTAGCCCCCAATGCCAGTGTCCTTGCAATTAAAGCAACAATTTATATACAGAGTGAATGTATTCCAGCACATTTGACATGTGCATAAGTTCAGATTTAGTTTATACTTCAAATATCAAGGGACCTGAGCACCAAAACTTAAGTAAAGGAAGGAGCAAAACCAGACATGAGTACTTCAGTAAACAGAGCAAACAATTCAGAGGTCTGCATGTTGTTTGTTAGGATTCACCTTCTTTGTGGGAATAAAATTGATTCTTCTATCTTTTTACTTCTCCCTAATCCCCACTTCTCTACACCATGCTTCTTTAGTCCAAACTGATAAAATTTTCATCCACAAGCACTGCCTCAAAAACAGGACATGCTAAACACACACAAACACACACACACACAAACACACATACACACATGAGAAAGACAGCTAAGAGTCTTATAGGTTAACTTGACCACCATTTCTTTGATATAATTTAAAAAATGAAGTCCAGGGAACCTAATGGCTTGACAAATGTGGCACCTTAATTGGTGAGAGAGCTGAGTCTGAACCCCAGGCTCACTAACCTTCCATCCATAGAGGTTTCCACAGCCTCCAGCCAAGAATCATAGGACATATTCTGCCAAGAAGAAAACCAAAAGAAGGAGAGACTCCCAGCAATGCCCATGTGGGACTCGAAAGGGGGAGGAAGCCGGCCTACTGCAATGTTTCCCAGATTTTTAGATTTCATGGAGCAACAACATTTCAAATAAATATATAAGTTCCATCATTGGGCTGCCAATATTTTAATTTCACCAAGAAAAGACATTTTAAAACAAAGGCAAAAGAAATATAAATAACTTTCACCACAATTTCACCCAAAAACAGACACTGCCATATCAAAGGTTAGGACACTCTTACTATGGAATGAAGTCTGCTCTATGAAAAATTCATCTTATTGCAGCCTTTTTTACTATTTAGCTGAGGATTAATGCATGCTTTATCCTGCACCAGCACTGGGCTGATGGCCAAGATTTAGAAACTACTGTAATATGGGAATAAGCCCTAAACTAAGTATTAGAGGACCAGGCTTTAGTCACTCACTATCACTCAAAGACTGTGCGACATGGGCCCAACTCTGAATCTCACACTAGCTAACTTAGACTTCCAACCAGCTCTAGAATTCTAGCATTCTAGGAAGAGTTAAATATCTAAATCAGACCAACACTACAGATGCCGCCTGAGAACCCAGGGATTTCAGAAAGCCTGTTTCCCAGGTCTTGTCCTTTCAAGCCTCAGGGGAAAATTTGGGCAAGTGGGAAATAATAGCTGCTCAACCTGGCATGACACACTTCACATAAGTCCAGTAGTAGCTTTAAAATCACAGTACAGGAGATAAAAAGTCAGGCTGATCAGAACTGTTGATATTTAAATTCTCAATTGCCCTGTGCCTTTTTTTCCTATGGTAACTATGATTTCTGACATCATATTGCTCCTATCTTTGTAGGAAAAAATGGCAACAGAAGAAGGAAAGAGGAGAGAATGGGGAGCAGACACTAAGGTGTAGTGAAAGGAGGAAAATGAAGGCTAAGTCTAATGATGTGAATCCTCTTTGCAAGTAAGCCATGTCAGACACTGCTCTTTACAAAGAGTCTTCAATTTCAGAGTCTCTGCTGGTACATTCAACCCCTTGTGTGTCCATAACTAAAAAATATAAGTAGGGGGATGGAATAGAACTTTGCAATGCATCAACAGAGGAATCCTATTTCATCCTTCTTGTCCAGGGACCTGCAGAGGGAAGACTGAAAACCTGCACATTCAGTTAAATCTTAATGAGGTATTTAAAAGTTATTTTGGATCAAATACAGAGTGAAAGTGCAGAGATGAAACCACACGAAACCTAGAAACAACAAGGTGGAAGCAGATTTAACTAAGAATTTCCTTCCCTCAGTCTCTTTTAGTCACATCCATAATATAATTACAGCTTAGCATTTGCATTTAATTATATAGTGTTGAGAAACACTCTGAATTTTATAGCAAAGCTGAACCAAAAAGCTTTATTGCCAATTGGTTTTGTAGTTCCAATGCGGGGAAGGAATTGCAGAACAGGCAAATACAAATTTTGGCTAAATAGAACAGAATGAAGATGTTTATGGTCATGCCAAGCATAGACATATTTGCACAAATATGGTACAAATAAACAAATGTTACAAATTTGCTTAGGCAAATAGAAAACTCTCAGTAAGTGTTAGGTGTTATCATCATCATATTTGCAAAAAATGATTCAAGAATTTGTTGGTTTTTTTTTAACTTCCATGCCAATAAAATAAAATCTACAGAAGAGTTAGTGTAAGGCCTTCAAGCTACCTTTTTAAGGAAAACCCACAGCGTTCAGCTGAGCCATATACACCTTCTTTGGTGTTATTCCACTTCCTTTTTTTCCATCCTAAACTCCAGAGGTGTTAAAAAGAGGGTAAGTTCTTTCCTTGGGGTGGATTTTGTGGTACCAACCACAGGAATTTCGCATGACTTTAGTGCCTAAGTAATTGCTATCATGAAAATTCCTGATTTTTCAAAAATAAATGATGCATAAAAGGCACATAAAAGTTCAGTTAATAAGTCCCAATGCGTTCAAGAACATATGATAGCTCAGCCAATGGAACTAGTTTTTTATTCAGTGGAGACCTCTTCAATGCATTGCCTCAGTGCACAGTAAATCTATTCTTTTAGCAGGTTTATTCCTTTATCTGGTAGTCAATTAAATGGCCTTTCATGAAATGTAGCAATGACATACATTTGTGGAGGGAGGTATATTCTTATAACTTGTCTGATTATCTTCATGCTTTAGCATGTATTATTTATGAGTGTTATTTCTTGAGCAGGTTTATGCCTTCATCAAGTAATCATGAACACATTTTAAGTATAAATATGAGTCCATAGCAACTGGAAACCACCATGGTTTTAACCAGGTTCATTCTTGCACAAATATCTCATTCAATTTTGAAGAAATTGTATTTTGAGAATAAAATTTATTTTGTCATTTTCCCTCCTCACTTTCCAAATTGTAATACCTCTACTACAAAGAAAAGCAATCATCACTGTTGCATGCATTCAACTAAATATTTCTAGCTGTAGAAATGCCATCAGCTTATTTCAGACATCTAAGATGAACTGAAAGAAAGCTTTTAAAATGCAACAGCATCTATGATAATTCTTCAACCTAAGAGGAACTTTGCAGAATAAATATCAGAAAAATGTATTGACACACTTTTGTGGGTGGTAGAATGTAATCAGGTTTTTAATGTTTGGCTGTTAGATTTTTGTTGTTGCTTGTTTTTGTTAAAATTTTCATCTGACCAATGAATCACTTTTTCTGTTGTAAAAATGGTTAAAAATGGAAAGTTATTCTATTTTCAAAGATGGAATCTTTAGCTAAATTTTTAAAAATTTATTTTATGCATGAAACAATTGAAATGTTAGATGAATCAAGAATTACAATCTTGTCTCTAATCTTATTATTAAACCAGCATTTTGGGCAATCATCCGGTGTTTAATTGAATATTTTTTGAATCATTATTATTTTGGAAATAATTAAAATAACAACATGGTTGGCTGGTATTATTTCCTATACTACTATAATCTTTAAAGGTATGAATTAGCTGGTCTTGAAATAAGGAATATTATGATCCAGTAATGGTATGACATTCTTTTTTATGACTATAGCTCGGGTTATAATGTGACAAGGAAAAAAATGTAATGTTTCCAAAATGACAGTTTCTTAGATTTGTGTTGCCTGAGGTAGTTCAGCTGAACAATAAACTATAATTTGATTGACGGAAAATTGAAGTGGTCCATCTAATCTGCCAGTCTAGCCTACCTCGGCTTGGTTTTGCATGTATGATGATGTATCACACTTTTAGAGATAATGTTGTTTGTATTATACAGGAGATTTCTTCTGCCACATAAAAAAGAAGGACTTTATTGCACACAAGTGATCAAAATATTATGCCATAGATTAACATGGAATCAAATTTGTTGGAGTATAAGTTTGTAAGTTCAAATGTAGAAGACTAAATGATATAAATAAAGCCTCAGAATACAGTTACTGGTTGGAGAAAAATTAGCCATGTACTGATGGTAGAATTATTAAGTCTGGGGAAAGGTGACATCTGCATCTAGAAAAGCAATCAGATTATAGCTATTCAACTTTTTTTTAAATAAATTGCTGCCTTAATCAAGAGAAATCTTATATACATCAATTATATTAAGACTCCTAAGTTCTAGAGTAAAAAATGTATTTTTTGTATTATAATTTAAGTTCTGGTTTACATGTACAGAATGTGCAGTTTTGTTACATAGGTATACACATGCCATGGTGGTTTGCTGCACACATCAACCCGTCATCTACATTAGGTATTTCTCCTGATGTTATCTTTCTCCTAGTCCCCCACCCCCCACAGACCCTGCTGTGTGATGTTCCACTCTCTGTCTCCATGTGTTCTTATTGTTCATCTCCCACTTATGAGTGAGAACATGTGGTGTTTGGTTTTCTGATCTTGTGATAGTTTGCTGAGAATGATGGTTTCCAGCTTCATCCATGTCCTTGCAAAGGACATGAACTCATCCTTTTTTATGGTTGCATAGTATTTCATGGTATATATGTGCCACATTTTCTTAATCCAGTCTATCATTGATGGACATTTGGGTTGGTTCCAAGTCTTTGTTATTGTGAAGTGCCGCAATAAACGTACCTGTGCATGTGTCTTTATAGTAGAATGACTTATAATCTTTTGAGTATATGCCCAGTAATGGGATTACTAGGTCAAATGGTATTTCTAGTTCTAGATCCTTGAAGAATCGCCACACTGTCTTCCACAATGGTTGAACTAATCTATACTCCCACCAACAGTGTAAAAGCATTCCTAATTTTCCACAACCCCTCCAGCATCTGTTGTTGCCTGACTTTTTAATGATCAACATTCTAACTGGCATGAGACAGTATCTCATTGCGGTTTTGATTTGCATTTCTCTAATGACAAGTGATGATGAGCATTTTTTCAAATGTCTGTTGGCTGCATAAATGTCTTCTTTTGAGAAGTGTCTGTTCATATCCTTTGCCCACTTTTTGATGGGGTGTTTGCTTTTTTCTTGTAAATTTGTTTAAGTTCTTTGTAGATTCTGGATAGTAGCCCTTTGTCAGATGGACAGATTACAAAATTTTTCTCTCATTCTGTAGGTTGCTGTTCACTCGGATAATAGTTTCTTTTGCTGTGCAGAAGCCCTTTAGCTTAATTAGACCCCATTTGTCATTTTTGGCTTTTGTTGCCATTGCTTTTGGTGTTTTAGACATGAAGTCTTTGCTCATGCCTATGTCCTGAATGGTATTGCCCAGGCTTTCTTCTAGGATTTTTATAGTCCTAGACCTTACGTTTAAGTCTTTGATCCATCTTGAGTTGATTTTTGTATAAGGTATAAGAAAAGGGTCCAGTTTAAGTTTTCTGCATATGGCTAGCCAGTTTTCCCAACACTATTTATTAAATAGGGAATTTTTTCCCCATTGCTTGTGTGTGTCATGTTTGTCAAAGATCAGATGGTAGTAGATGTGTAGTCTTATTTCTCAGGCCTCCGTTCTCTTCCATTGGTCTATATATCTGTTTTGGTACCAGTACCATGCTGTTTTGATCACTGTAGCCTTGTAGAATAGTTTGAAGTCAGGTAGCATGATGCCTCCAGCTTTGTTCTTCTTACCCAGGATTGTCTTGGCTATATGGGCTTTTTGGTTCCATATGAAGTTTAAAGTCGTTTTTTCCAATTCTGTGAAGAAAGTCAGTGGTAGCCTGATGGTGATAGCATTGAATCTATAAATTACTTTGGGAATTATGGCCATTTTCACGATATTGATTCTTCCTATCCATGAGCATGGAATGTTTCTCCATTTGTTTGTGTCCTCTCTTATTTCCTTGAGCAGTGGTTTGTAGTTTTCCTTGAAGAGGCCCTTCACATCGCTTGTAAGTTTTATTTCTAGGTATTTTATTCTCTTAGTAGCAATTGTGAATGGGAGCTCATTCATGATTTGGCTCTCTGTTTGTCTGTTATTGGTATATAGGAATGCTTGTCATTTTTGCACGTTGATTTTGTATCCTGAGACTTTGCTGAAGTTGCTTATCAGCCTAAGGAGATTTGGGGCTGCAATGATAGGGTTTTCTAAATATACAATAATGTAATCTGCAAACAGAGACAATTTGACTTTCTCTCTTCCTGTTTGAATACCCTTTATTGCTTTCTTTTGCCTGATTGTCCTTGCCAGAACTTCCAATACTATGTTGAATAGGAGTAGTGAGAAAGGGCATCCTTGTCTTGTGCCTGTTTTCAAAGGGAATGCTTCCAGTTTTTGCCCATTCAGTATGATATTGGCTGTGAGTTTGTCATAAATAGCTCTTATTATGTTGAGATATGTTCCTTTGATATCTAGTTTATTTAGAGTTTTTACAATGAAAGGCTGTTGAATTTTGTTGAAGGCCTTTTCTGCATCTGTTGAGATAATCATGTGGTTTTTGTCGTTGGTTCTCTTTATGTGATGTATTACGTTTATTGATTTGTGTATGTTGAACCAGCCTTGCATCCCAGGGATGAAGCCAACTTGATTGTGGTGGATAACCTTTTTGATGTGCTGCTGGATTCGGTTTGCCAGTATTTTACTGAGGATTTTTGCACTGATGTTCATCAGGGATATTGGCCTAAAATCATCTTTTTTTGTTGTGTCTCTGCCAGGCTTTGGTATCAGGATGATGCTGGCCTCATAAAATGAGTTAGGGAGGATTCCTTCTTTTTTTATTGATCGGAATAGTTTCAGAGGGAATAATACCAGCTTCTCTTTGTACCTCTGGTAGAATTAGGCTGTGAATCTTTCTGGTCCTGCACTTTTTTTGGTTGTTAGGCTATTAATTATTGCCTCAGTTTCAAAACCTGTTATTGGCCTATTCAGAAATTCAACTTCTTCCTGGTTTAGTCTTAGGAGGATGTATGTGTCCAGGAATTTATCCATTTCCTCTAGATTTTCTAGTTTATTTGCATAGAGATGTTTATAGTATTCTCTGATGGTAGTTTGTATTTCTGTGGGATCAGTGGTGATAGCTGCTTTATCTTTTTTTATTGTGTCTATTTGTTTCTTCTCTCTTTTCTTCTTTATTAGTCTCGCTAGGGGTTTATTTTGTTGATCTTTTCAAAAACCAGCTGCTGCCTTCATTGATTTTTTGAAGGGCTTTTGTGTCTCTATCTCCTTCAGTTCTGCTCTGATCTTAGTTATTTCTTATTTTCTGCTAGCTTTTGAATTTGTTTGCTCTTGCTTCTCTAGTTCTTTTAATTGTGATGTTAAGGTGTCAATTTTAGATCTCCCCTGCTTTCTCTTGTGGGCATTTAGTGCTATAAATTTTCCTCTACACACTGCTTTAAATGTGTCCCAAAGATTCCGGTACGTTGTGTCTTTGTTCATTGGTTTCAAAGAACTTCTTTATTTCTGCCTTCATTTCGTTATTTACCCAGTAGTCATTCAGGAGCAGGTTGTTCAGTTTCCATGTAGTTGTGTGGTTTCGAGTGAGATTCTTAATCTTGAGTTCTAACTTGATTGCACAGTGGTCTGAGAGACAGTTTGTTATGATTTCTGTTCTTTTACATTTGCTGAGTAGTGTTTTACTTCCAATTATGTGGTCAATTTTAGAATAAGTGTGATGTGGTGCTGAGAAGAATGTATATTCTGTTGATTTGGGGTGGAGAGTTCTGTAGATGTCTATTAAGTCTGCTTGTTGCAGAACTGAGTTCAGGTCCTGGATATCCTTGTTAACCTTCTGTCTTGTTGATCTGTCTAATATTGACAGTGAGGTGTTAAATTCTCCCATTATTATTGTGTGGGAGTCTAAGTCTCTTTGTAGGTCTCTAAGGACTTGCTTTATGAATCTGGGTGCTCCTGTATTGGGTGCATATATATTTAGGATAGTTAGTTCTTCTTGAATTGATCCCTTTACCATTATGTAATGGCCTTCTTTGTCTCTTTTGATCTTTGTTGGTTTAAATTCTGTTTTATTAGAGACTAGGACTGCAACCCTCGTTTTTCTTTTTTTTTTTTTTTGGCTTTTCATTTGCTTGGTAGATCTTTCTCCATCCCTTTATTTTGAGCCTATGTGTGTCTTTGCACATGAGATGGGTCTCCTGAATACAGCACACTGATGGGTCTTGACTCTTTATCCAATTTGCCAGTCTGTATCTTTTAATTGGGGCATTTAGCCCATTTACATTTAAGGTTAATATTGTTATGTGTAAATTTGATCCTGTCATTATGATGTTAGCTGGTTATTTTGCCTGTTAATTGATGCAGTTTCTTCATAGCATTGATGGTCTTTACCATTTGGCATGTTTTTCCAGTGGCTGGTACCAGTTGTTCCTTTCTATGTTTAGTGCTTACTTCAGGAGCTCTTGTAAGGCAGGCCTGATGGTGATGAAATATCTCAGCATTTCTCTGTCTCTAAAGGATTTTATTTCTCCTTCACTTATAAAGATTTGTTTAGCTGCATATGAAATTCTGGGTTGAAAATTCTTTTCTTTAAGAATGTTGAATATTGGCCCACACTCTCTTCTGACATGTAGGGTTTCTGCAGAGAAATTCACTGTTAGTCTGAGGGGCTTCCCTTTGTGGATAACCCGACCTTTCTCTCTGGCTGCCCTTAACATTTTTTCCTTCATTTCAACCTTGGTGAATCTGACACTTATGTGTCTTGGGGTTGCTCTTCTTGAGTAGTGTCTTTGTGGTGTTCTCTGTATTAATGCCTTGCTAAGTTGGGAAAATTCTCCTGGATAATATCCTGAAGAGTGTTTTCTAACTTGGTTCCATTTTCCCCATCACTTTCAGGTACAATAATCAAATGTAGATTTGGTCTTTTCACACAGTCCCATATTTCTTGGAGGCTTTGTTCGTTTCTTTTCACTCTTTTTTTCTCTAACCTTGTCTTCTCGCTTTATTTCATTAATTTTATCTTCAGTCATTGGTATCCTGTCTTCCACTTGATAGAATCAGCCACTGAAGCTTGTCTATGCTTCATGAAGTTCTTGCACTGTGGTTTTCAACTCCATCAGGTCATTTAAACTCTTCTCTACACTGGTTATTCAAGTTATCCATTTGTCTAATCTTTTTTCAAGGTTTTTAGCTTCCATGCGATGGGTTAGAACATGCTGCTTCAGCTCAGAGAAGTTTGTTATTACCAACCTGCTGAAGCCTACTTCTGTCAACTCATCAAACTCATTCTCCATCCAGTTTTGTTCCCATGCTGGTGAGGAGTTGTGTTCCTTTGGAGAAGAAGACGTGTTCTGGTTCTTGGAATTTTCAGCCTTTCTGCTCTGGTTTCTCCCTATCTTTGTGGTTTTATCTACCTTTGGTCTTTGCTGTTGGTGACCTACAGATGGGGTTTTGTTGTGGATGTCCATTTCGTTGATGTTGATGCTATTCCTTTCTGTTTATTAGTTTTCCTTCTAACAGACAGGCCTCTCAGCTGCAAGTCTGTTGGCATTTGCTGGCGGTCCTCTCCAGACCCTGTTTGCCTGAGTATCACCATCGGAGGCTACAGAACAGCAAATGTTGCTGCCTGATCCTTCCTCTGGGAGCTTTGTCCCAGAGGGGCACCCGCCTGTATGAGGTGACTGTCAGCCCCTACTGGGAGGTGTCTCCCAGTCAGGCTACAATGGGGATCAGGGACCCACTTGAGGACGCAGTCTGTCCATTATCAAAGCTCGAATATCATGCTGGGAGAACCACTACTCTCTTCACAGCTATCAGGCAAGGATGTTTAAGTCTGGAGAAGCTGTCTGCTGCCTTTTATTCAGATATGCCCTGCCCCCAGAGGTGGAATCTAGAGAGGCAGTAGGCCTTGCTGAGCTGCTGTGGGCTCTGCCCAGTTCAAGCTTCCCTGCCGCTTTGTTTACACTGTGAGCACAGAACTGCCTACTCAAGCCTCAGCAATGTTGGACGCCCCTGCCCCTGTCAAGCTCCAACATCCCAGGTCAATCTCAGACTGCTGCACTAGCAGCGAGCAAGGCTCCATGGGCGTGGGACCCACCGGGCCAGGTACAGGAGGGGATCTCCTGGTCTGCCAGTTGTGAAAACCACGGGAAAAGTGCAGTATTTGGGCAGGAGTGTACCGTTCCTCCAGGTACAGTCACTCATGGCTCCCCTTGGCTAGGAAAGGGAAATTCTCCAACTCCTTGCACTTCCCAGGTGAGATGACACCCTGCCCTGCTTTGGCTTGCCCTCCGTGGGCTGCACCCACTGTCCAACCAGTCCCAAGGAGATGAACCATGTATCTCAATTGGAAATGCAGAAATCACCCATCTTCTGCATCGATATAGCTGGGAGCTGTAGACTGGAGCTCTTCCTATTCAGCCATCTTAGAAGCACCTCCTAAAAAACGTATTTGAAAAATAATAAAAGGGCAATAAACATCACTAAACACTTAACTACATGCAAATTCAAATAACAAATTGGTAAGCAAAGAACATGAGGCTATGTAAAATTAACTGCTGAATATTGATGATTGTTCATATTTAACCATGGTAAATTGAAATTAACATTCCTTGGTTAATTTCTGAGCATAATTTTGAACAAGATAGTTTTAATTCACTTCTACTACTAAGAGACAGTCAAAACAACTTTGTGAATTTTGTATACAATTTAAATAACAATATAAGAAAGTGTATCCAATTATTTGTCTTTAAATTGCTATAAAAAATTGAATTTATAGAGAGGTTTTATAGTTACTTAAAATTTAATATTCCAGATAGTAATATATCTTTAATCAGACAAGTGATATATTTTAAAATAAAAATTACAGTATTGGAAATTTTGTATGACAATTTCTTCTCTATTCAAGAATGAGCAATGGTTATTAGAAAGGAAACTACCAAAAAATTTGGGGATTCAATATCATTTCTGGACTATACAATTTATCCAAAATAACCATGGAAACATTTTTTCACTTATCAATTAAAAAACATTTTAAATATTTATTAACATTTAAAAAGGCACCATCACCAGTTTATTGTGAAATGAATGCTCATTTAACATGGGTGGAAGTGCAGGCTATTATGACCTTTCTGGAAAGCAATTTGAAAACGTAAACATAATTACTTGAGTACTTGCAATGTTTCAGGAATTGTGCTGTCCATGTATTTGCTCAAGTATAAACTTTATATCAAGAGCCATAAAAACTTTATATCAAGAGCCATAAAAACTTTATATCAAAAGCCATAAAAATATTCATAACCTCTGACTCATTAATTCCAATTTTTTTATTATTATATTTTAAGTTTTAGGGTACATGTGCACAATGTGCAGGTTAGTTACATACGTACACATGTGCCATGTTGGTGTGCTGCACCCATCAACTCGTCATTTAACGTTAGGTATGTCTCCTAATGCTATCCCTCCCCCCTCCCCCCACCCCACAACAGTCCCTGGTGTGTGATGTTCCCCTTCCTGTGTCCATGTGTTCTCATTGTTCAATTCCCACCTCTGAGTGAGAACATGGAATTCCCTTTCCTAGTCAAAGAAAGGGCACCTGGAAAATTCCAATCTTTAAAACAGATCTTAAGAAAATTAATGTAACATGAGAGAGATATATATGTATATTGATTGCAACACTACAAACAGGAAAAATTGAGGATAACTATCGTTTTCAATAATTATTTAATTATGATATATTCTTTTGATCACATGATTATTCAGTCAATGAAAATTATTTTATGTAAAATATTTTATAACATGCAAATTGTTTATAGTATGTTAGGTTAGAAAAAACAAGAAACAAAATTGTACTCATTACTTATATTAATAGCAAAGTATGCAAAGTTAGCATAGCAAAATATTCTAGGGAAACAGTTGGTGGAAACATAGTTTTACTCTTCTTTTACTTTTCTATATTCCCAAATATTTTTCGATCAGCATGCATTACTTTCATAATTGAATACTTCCATAATTGGAAAAAGTCACGAGCCCTATTACTTTGATTTTATCCATACTTGCTTACCTTGGCATACAAGGTACCTTAGAAGTGAGGGAAAAAGCATGAACTACAAGGTCAAATAAGCCTGACTTGCAATGCCAGCTCCACTGCTTTCTAGCTATCTGGCCCTGAACAGGTTATATAAACTCTCTGGGATTCAGTTTCCTCATATATAAAATAAATTCATCAATAATCCCATATAAAAGATTCAAAGATTAGAGACTGATCAACATTAACTTTAAAGAGGAAGAAGGTCCTAGGAAGGAATTCAACAAGAACATAATGTTTAATGAGTCCTGGAGGAAGAAATGGCTGTATATATCTGACTTTTGCAGGATGAGTTGGCTGTGTATATATATATATATATATATATATATATATATATATATATATGTGTGTGTGTATGTATATACTGTATATATATATACAATTGGCTATGTACATATACATATATGTATTTATGTATATATACATATACATATATGTATTTATGTATATATACATATATACGTATATATATCTCCAAGCAGAAGGTACAGAATGAAAAGGGATAAGGGGAAAGAGACAGAATGATGTAGTCTGGAACTTGCTCCTAGCCTCTTAGTATTGCAGAGCAGTAGCTGTAAAAGAGGTACTCACTTGGCTGAATGTAAGTCTTGATGTTATAATATTAATGAGATATTCTAATTTAGAGATGTCCTTAAATTTGTGGATTTTCCCCAAGTTTAGGGATCACTGCCTTTAGACATCAATTTTCAATTATTTTAGTTCCTAAATTAATTTACTTGTCTTATTCTGGAAAACTGTTTAGTTTTCCCTCTCATGGAATTAATAAAACATAATTGAATTATGGAAGTTGAGAGACAAGAGACACCACATTATCACCAAGACTACCATCACCTTCAATGCGCAAGAGAAAGGAGACTCATATTTAGAATTTGCCACAATGTTTGATGTCTCCATAACCATATGCAACATGAAGGATTGTTTGTTTGCTCCTATAACTACCCAACTAATACATCTCTCCTCAGAATTTAAACTAATAACCTAAGTAATATTCCATTTTAGAAAATTTGGCATTTATTGTTTTTCATCAGTTTTTGCTTCTGCCATCAGAAAATCATTCTGGAATTCATGAGAGCTTGCTGATCTCCTTTCCTAGTTATTTACTTGTGTATAGACTTATGTTTTGCATGAGATTTTGCTCAATTTGTTATGGTTACTTATAATCTTTTATATTTATTTATACTTTATTTGCATTATTCCAAAAATTCATCCTAAAAGCTTCATTTATTTTTTTTAGTATTCTTTTTAAATATATTTATTTATTTATTTATTATACTTTAAGTTCTAGGGTACATGTGCACAACGCGCAGGTTTTTAACATATGTATACATGTGTCATGTTGGTGTGCTGCACCCACTAAATTGTCATTTACATAAGGTATATCTCCTAATGCTATCCCTCCCCCTTCCCCCCACCCCACGACAGGCCCTGGTGTGTGATGTTCCCCATCCTGTGTCCAAGTGTTCTCACTGTTCAGTTCCCACCTATGAGTAAGAACATGCGGTGTTTGGTTTTCTGTCCTTGCAATAGTTTGCTCAGAATGATGGTTTCAGCTTCATCTCTGTCCCTACAAAGGACCTGAACTCATCCTTTTTTATGGCTGCATTTATTTTATATCTATTACTTAGATTTGGAAATTGAGGTCCCTATTAAGCAGGGCTCACTTGATTTAGCAGTAAAATTTAAAAATAATATTTTTATGGTATAAGAATAATATACCATGCATACAGTTAAAACAACATTGAAATATTTACACACATTGAGATCCATATATTTTAGTCATATGATGACTGCTGTTTCTATGGTAGACCTCTGTAGTTTAAGTCAAGGGTCTGTAAATTATAGCTTGCCAAATCAACCCACTGCATCCTTTTGTAAATAAAGTTTTATTGGGACATAGTCATACCATTTTTTTTTTTTTTTTGCTTTATCTATGCCTGCTTTCTTGTTACCATCTCAGAGTTGAGTAGTTGCAACAGAAACAAAGTGGCCCACAAAGCCAAAAATATTTATGGTTTTCCCCTTTCAGAAAAAATGTGTCAACTTATAGCCTAAGTAGTCAATACTGTTTTACTACAAGTTAATTGGTATGAAAGTTATTTTTGGAGGCATTAATTTCAACTTCAGTAATATATTTCATTATCAAAATACTAAATGTATTTGCCTGTTCTCGCATTGCTATAAATACCTGAGTCTGGGTAATTTATAAAGAAAAGAGGTTGAATTCACTCAAGTTTCTGCAGGCTGTACAGGAAGCATGATGCTGGCATCTGCTTGTCTTCTGCGGAGGCCTCAGGAAACTTACAACTATGGCAGAGAGCAAAGAGGGAGTAGATGCTTCACATGGCCTAAGCAGGAGCAAGAGAGAGCAAGAAGGGAGATGCTACACACTTTTAATCAAACAGATCTCATAAGAACTCATTCATTCTCATGAGGACAGTACCAAAGAGGACGGTGCTAAACCATTCATGAGAAATCCATCCCCATGATCCACTCACCTCCCACTGTGTCTGTAATTGGTGGTTCTTGCTCTCACTGACTTCAAGAATGAAGCCGCGGACCCTCGCGGTGAGTGTTACACAGTTCTTGAAGCTTTGTGTCCGGAGTGTGTTCCTTCTGATGTTCAGATGTGTTCGGAGTTTCTTCCTTCTGGTGGGTTCGTGGTCTCGCTGGCTCAGGAGTGAAGCTGCAGACCTTCGCGGTGAGTGTTACAGCTCTTAAGGCAGCGCGTCTGGAGTTGTTCGTTCCTCCCGGTGGGCTCTTGGTCTCGCTGGCTACAGGAGTGAAGCTGCAGACCTTGGCGGTGAGTGTTACAGCTCATAAAGGCAGCGTGGACACAAAGAGTAAGCAGTAGCAAGATTTATTGCAAAGAGCGAAAGAACAAAGCTGCCACAGTATGGAAGGGGACCCAAGCGGGTTGCCACTGCTGGCTCGGGCAGCCTGCTTTTATTCTCTTATCTGGCCCTACCCACGTCCTGCTGATTGGTAGAGCCCAGTGGTCTGTTTTGACAGAGTGCTGATTGGTGCGTTTACAATCCCTGAGCTAGACACAAAGGTTCTCCACATCCCCACCAGATTAGTTAGATACAGAGTATGGACACAAAGGTTCTCCAAGGCCCCACCAGAGTAGCTAGATACAGAGTGTTGATTGGTGCATTCACAAACCCTGAGCTAGACACAGGGTGCTGATTGGTGTGTTTACAAACCTTGAGCTAGATACAGAGTGCGGATTGGTGTACTTACAATCCCTGAGCTAGACATAAAGGTTCTCCACGTCCCCACCAGATTCAGGAGCCCAGCTGGCTTCACCCAGTGGATCCCGCACGGGGACTGCAGGTGGAGCTGCCTGCCAGTCCAGCGCCGTGCACCGCACTCCTCAGCCCTTGGTGGTCGATGGGACTGGGCACCGTGGAGCAGGGGGCAGTGCTCGTCGGGGAGGCTGGGGCCTCACAGGAGCCCATGGAGCGGGTGGGAGGCTCAGGCATGGCGGGCTGCAGGTCCCGAACCCTGCCCCGCGGGAAGGCAGCTAAGGCCCGGTGAGAAATCGAGCGCAGCGCCAGTGGGCTGGCACTGCTGGGGGACCCAGTACACCCTCCGCAGCCGCTGGCCCGGGTGCTAAGTCCCTCATTGCCCGGGGCCGGCAGGGCCGGCGGGCCGCTCCGAGTGCGGGGCCCGCCAAGCCCACGCCCACCCAGAACTCCGGCTGACCCGCAAGCGCCGCACGCAGCCCCGGTACCCGCTCGCGCCTCTCCCTCCACACCTCCCTGCAAGCTGAGGGAGCCGGCTGTGGCCTTGGCCAGCCCAGAAAGGGGCTCCCACAGTGCAGCGGTGGGCTGAAGGGCTCCTCAAGTGCCACCAAAGTGGGAGCCCAGGCAGAGGCGGCGCAGAGATCCAGCGAGGGCTGTGAGGACTGCCAGCACGCTGTCACCTTTCACCACCAGGCCCCACCTCCAACATTGGGGATTAAAATTTGATGTAAGATTTGGTGAGAATACAGATCCAAACCATATCACTAAGTAATCATGAAAACTATTACCTCTTATAGAGTCAGAGTCATTGCAATCAGGAATTGAAAGTACCCTATGTACTCAATTAAAAAGAAATGTTTGGGCAAACCAATAGTTAAAACATTTCTATAGCAGAACACCACTTACGAAAAACCCAGCTCATCTAAAAACCTAATGTTATATATATATATATATATGTGTGTGTGTGTGTATGTATAAACACGTATATACATATATAATATAAAACATACCTGTTTAGAGAGAGGCTAAGACAGAGAGAGATAAAGAGACAGGGAGAGCTCTTATGAAAATATGGGGCAGAAGGTCCATGACTCTACCTCCCCACCTTCCCCCCCCCATCCCCTGGGACAAGTTTTGATGTACAGCAGTGAAACTCAGGGCTCTTGAGACTATAACATGTCACTCACTATTACAGAGTTTCCATACAAGAGTTTACCATCAATTTAGTCTTAGCAATACTTGGCATGCTTCAACCAGACACAGTTTATTTAAACTGATTGTCATTCTGTACAATGCCTCTACCTTAACTTCCTTTACTGTCACTCTGTCCCTACCTATATACCTCCAGTCTGCCAAAATAATCATTTAGTAATAACATGTTTTCAATCTCCCTTTTTCAATAACTTCTAACTACTTCCACC
Organism: Homo sapiens; assembly: GCF_000001405.40. Classification (NCBI taxonomy): domain Eukaryota; kingdom Metazoa; phylum Chordata; class Mammalia; order Primates; family Hominidae; genus Homo; species Homo sapiens. The sequence goes on from NC_000008.11 coordinate 76,448,913, forward strand.
AGAATTCACCCAAAACCATGTGCCCAAACCTTCATGTTTCTGCTATGCCTCTTTGCTACTACAGAAATAAACAGCATAAAAATCTGTTACTTACAACTATGAAAATTAGTAACCAATAATTTATTGACCAAAGCATTAAACACTAAAGTTTCAAAAAATTTTAAATTTTTTGCAGATTGTTATCTGTGACAAATTCTTAGACATAGTTAACAAATCTGCATTCTTTTATCATATAGTTGTATTTTTAAAATAAAAAGCTTATTGATAATTTTCCAGAAAACTATGTGCTGGCGTAATGGTTTTAAAATTGTTTCTCATAATTTCCTTCAGTGACTACACCCTGAGGACACCAAACTGGATGTTGTGAATAGATAAAGCCATGGTGGAGGAGTAGGCAGAGTTGTAAGGCATATCTCTCTGGAATATTAATTTTATTTATAGACTTTTTAAAAGAAAAACAACAAAAAGCACCCATTTGCATGTAGAACAATGTTAGGGAGTAGAATTAGAAATTCACATTAATTTATAGGAAAACACAAGATGGATAAGCCTTATTGACTGTGCCTTCAGACTTCTCACTTGCCCACCAATTCTTCTCCAACCCCACTAAGAATTCATAGTTTGCCTTTGTATGCACTTTAATGGAAAAGTTTGCAAAGAACACCTATATTAAAAACATTTTGGCCTGGCGCGGTGGGCTCACACCTGTAATACCAACACTTTGGGAGGCCGAGGTGGGCGGATCACCTAAGGTCAGTAGTTCAAGACCAGCCTGGCCAACATGGTGAAACCCTGTCTCTAATAAAAATACAAATATTAGCTGGGCATGGTGGCAGGCGCCTGTAATCCCAGCTACTCGGGAGGGTGAGACAGGGAGAATCGCTTGAACCCGGGAGGCAGAGGTTGCTGTGAGCTGAGATCGCGCCATTGCACTCCAGCCTGGCAATAGAGTGAGACTCTGTCTCAAAAAAAAAAAAAAAATTTGTACATACTGGCATAATATATTCTGCATTTCTGGCTATGTGGGGTGATCCTGGTCAAGTCACTTAGCTTTTTCACCTCTTCGGCAACCTTGCTTTTTAAAGAAGAAAATATAATAGTATGATTTTCACAAAATAATTAAGACACTAAGCTGTCATGGAAAACTACTGTCTGGGCAGCCCACCTGTCCCTCACAAGGAAATAACAATTGGAAAGATTTAAAGAAAGCATTTTTGGAGCCCAATAACCTGAGAATTTTGAAACAGACCAAATTAAAGGAAAAACAGGTTGTAAATAACATCCAGCCAATTCCTCCATCAGGTTTCCATTGTGTGCTCCTACCTTCTATCAGAAGCCACTGCAAACTATATACATTTGTGAACATTTAAATTCTAAAAAGTATATGCTTGCTCACCGGTATCACATAAAAATAATTTATGTATACATTTGCATACTTAAAAATGCATGTAACTAACATCTACCTGTCGTATGAGGATATTAGTGGATGGTGTCAGTTTGCTTTTGGCACAGATATGTAGACAAAGAGTCACACCCGTGGTTTTAATCTTTTAAGTACGGGGACTAACTGAACATCTGGAAGTTTTACAGCGCAGGGATTGAAAGTCGCTGAGTTAAAGAAGAAGGCCTCCTATTTTTCAGCACAAAATAAGGCTCTCACGATAACATTTAGATAAGCAATTTTTTGTTAATTTTAGAAAACGTATGCTCCAAAGCAATTCAGGATTTCTGTGTTTGTTGATATTACCTTTTAATGTGACAACCATGACACCATTTTCCAAAACAGATGGATTAATGTCATTTAAAAAAAATTACTTCACCTAGACAGGTGTTTCCTGTGTATGTTTGACGTGAAATTAAACATAGCTCCAGATGTCCTGTTTGTAGCAAAGCCAGTTAATTTTATTAGAACATTTAATCACAGATCAACAGTGTACTAGAAGGGCAGGGAATGTGAAGCAGAGATTTAACAGGACTTCCTAATGAATTGTGAATTAGTTTATGGAGGGAGATCCAGAAGAATACAGTGCTGCTTATGTGAATCCCATCGTGTATTGATTTGAGTCTGTTATTTTTCTGGAACTCTGATACTATTCATATTTAAGAGCTTCACTAGAATTGTGAAGCAATGTGTGTGTGTGTTTGTGTATGTTTGAAATTGACAATGCAATAATTACATAGTTACTTAGTGTGAGTAGAATCTTTTTTTTTTTAAAGTCCAAGGTTGTGCTGTTTTGTCAACACTACTTCTTAGGCATGAGTGAGGCTGGAATTCTCTCATGGGCCTCAAAGTGCATTAGGGTGTCGCTGGAATTCACAGCAAATGCTCTGCCTACCACTCACATAGTCAAGAGACAGCAGCTCAGAGTTCTGTTATGCCAGGTTTAAACATCATTATATGCATAGTTATTTTTCCTCCAAGATTAGCTATAGATTTCCCATTAATTATAACATCAGGTTGATTCATCATTAATAAAATAAATCTCAGTGAACTGTCACTGATTTCTTGACTAAAATGAAAACAAATGAAGAAAAACCAGTTCCTGTCTTTGTTACACTCTTATAAAATTTGTCTTTGTATCAGCCTGGTCATTTCAGAGGCAGAGCAAAATATTCATAATTTTCTACTTTGAAATATTAGTGTGCCCATATGCACTAATAAAAACTTAAAGCCTTGCTATGATTGATGTTTTTTGTTGGACCATCACCTCATTGTATAGAAGTTTGTTTTAATGAGTTTCTCTAATGAATATTTTATATTGCTACTTGGATGAATGGCATATGGTAAATGCAAGGTAAATTACAGCTCTTTAAATAAATATTTTTCATAAATTATTTATTTTGTGATGCCTGTATTGGTAAGATGTCATGTCAGATAAAGATTGGAAAGTATTTACTGTAATACTTATTTGTAACTTGAAGAAGTAAAATTTTTTAATTATTAACAAGCCTCCAATATATCCATGAAACTTATAGCAAAATTAGCATAAACTCTATCACATTACAAATTTGTGTGGACAGCTTGCATTCTATAGTGCAAAAATAAGATGATCTCTTATGCCTGTAAAAATTTTTACATAACACTATGAAAATAAAGGAGAAAAACTATTTTTATAAGGATAAAAAGGGAACTTGGTAATAACCACATTTGAATGAAATTTAGTGTTGAGAATTATCCAATCTCTGAATTATATTTTTAAAAGAAGAATAAAATTATTTTAGTGAGTAACCACACAACATTTTCTATAGTATTCCTTATTTTCTTTGGGGATATAGTTGAGTGAATGGATTTTTCTCCTAATAAATATTAATAGCTACTATTTATTGACTGCCTTTTAAACATTATCTCACTAAATACTCAGGATAACCATAATATTGTGGTTGTATTATTTCTATTTCTACATATAAGAAAATTAAGACTCACATTGCTAGGAAGTAATAAAGATTTGAACCCAGCATAGATTGGCTGCAATGTGTATGGCATTCCAGCTAAATCAACAGGGTCCAAAAATATTTTATCTCCTACAGAACAATTAGATATGGGAAAAGCAAATATTCACTATTCTTACAGTGTCTTATTATTAATAATAGTAACAGCTAAAACTTAGCAATTACACTGTGGCCGACACTAAGTGCTTTGCCTATATCAATTTACTGACTCCTCACAATAATGCTAAGAGATAGATATTATCATTACACTCACTATACAGATAACAAAAATGAGGCACAAATCATTTAGGAAACTTGCCTAAAGTCACAGAGCTTTTAAGTAGCAGAATTAGCATTCAAACTCAGACATTGTGCCAAAGTCTGTGTTCTTAATAATAAAGCCTATCATGTTATACTGAAGCATGTTCATGTGTTTATCTCTCCCCTGAAATTACAAGTTCAGGGGAGACAATTATAAATGTGTCTTATGTGTTACCCCTATACATATAACATTGTTTGGGAAAGAGTAGACACTCAATAAATATTTGTTGGACTCACCAGTATCTATTGTTTACATATATTTTCAGAATTGATTTTCTCAACATTTTAACTCCAAAATGAGAAAAAGTAAGCCAATACTAACAGTTGTGTGCTGAAATTAATCATGTATGGGTCCACCCTTGCTATCCCCAAATTAAATTTTGGGTAAAAAAGAAAATATAATTTATACCACTTGCAGTTTGGCTATACTCATTTTCTAATTTATTTATACGTATGTGTTTGTGCAGTCATTGCTTTGTGAGCATTTGAGGTTCTATGCTGAATACCTTAAACACATTAGGATAGAGCATATGTGGACCTGGTGCTAACAATTATATTAAGTGAGACAAGAAGTCACATTTGGTCCTTAGAATGCTATGCATAACACTAGCTTAAAATAAACATCTTAAAGTAATAAAATATAAAACCATTTTCTTAAAATGGTCAGTAAGGTGAAACATCAATTAAAAATTAAATTAGTATGATCCATATGAAATTACTAACATTAAATCATTTTTAACCTACAAAAAATGGCAATTTTATGTGGTTCAACCTAATCGGTAACTGAGTGCCAACTTTTACACCATACTTGGATTACCAGTTTCAGATTACAACACAGTATTCATGTTATGTTAGACTATGCAAGGTGCAATTTAATCTCTGCTTAGTGATCAAAAGGGACATGAAGATTTTATAGTAGTTTTAGAGATACCATTACCAAAAATGTACTTTTTAAAAACTATTGTAAGCATACAATTCAACATTTCCAATTATTCTACTATTGACCTGATTTTAGAAAATAGAAATTTATGCCACATGTTTTTTACCTTCAAAAATTGTTGTGGGTACATAATAGCTGTACATATGTATGGGGTACATGTGATATTTTGATATAAGCATATAATGCGTAGTGATCAAATCAGGGTAACTGCGACATCTATTACCTCAAATATTTATCATTTCTTTGTATTGGGAACATCCCAAATCCACTCCTCTAGTTATTTTGAAATATACAAGCTGCATGTTTTTTAGTATTAATGCATAGACTACTCCCTGCAAGAGCTGAAGTTTTACCTTTTATTGTCTGCAAGTTAATTCATAAACCCAAATGTAAGCACCAGCAATCAAAAACATGTAGTTGGCAACATATCTTGGAACATATTGATTCTAAAATATCTAGAGAAACACAAAGAATTCATCCATATGTTGCTATTTTTTTCTCAATTCTGACAGATGGCATACTTGAGAATAAATAAAAACAAATGCCTAAAATCAGAAGAGTTCTTATATCTTAATTGCAGCTAACAATATAAATGTAAAATATTAATTTATTTAGATTTAAATTGAGATGCAAGGAAAATACAACGGATTGTCACTGATTATGAAAAGTGGGGGAAACAAGCAAAGTGAAGATTGCAGCACTTTAAGATTCACATTTACCTTCCCCTTCAATGGAAAATATGTCAATAGTTTTGTGTTGGACTCAGACTAGCCACTCTGGTAAGTCATGTTTGAAAAGCTTCATTGAGATGCCACTTCCACTTCTCTGAAAACAACTTTGTAAAATACTTTTGCCTTCTATGCTATTTATTACCAGAGATTTTTTATTTCTCTTACCAAATTTTTATTTAATATTATTTTATTGTCCCAATGATCACATACTAAGATAAAATATACATAAATATAATGACTAGCAAAGCAATTGATATTTGTGTATTATGTGAGCCCTACTTGAGAGGTAGGACATTTTTCAAATGACTTGAAAATGTTTTAAAATGATTATTTCTAATAACTATGTTGAAAGTGTTGGTACCCGTTACACATAAACAGACGAAGATGAACTCCGAAAGTAGCAACTGGAAAACCAAATACAGCCTATATGCTTGTGAAAGCAGGCAGAAAGGCTATCAAACAGGGCAGAAATAAGGAGTAACTACTGCCAAGATCTCTCACCCTTTCAACCTGTTCTTTCTTTCCAGAACCACAATCAGCCCTTCCCTTCTTGCCACATTAGAAACTGAAAGAGAAAATGTTGGCAGACTACAGTGAACAGAGGTGGCATCTGTGCTCAGTGAGGAGGGAGGGAAGTGGTATCTGTGGTCAACACTGCCTCTATCTGAGGCATCACTGAATTCTGAGTCCATAGGGTTGGCTGCAGCAATTTACTGCTTTGAACAGGAGTGCAGGGGTTTGGGGCTTGCAGGAAATAACCATAAGAATGAACATACATATTCTATATGATATCACAGGCATTATTATATTATCTATACCTTATATTGTATATACTATCACAGACATATATTACACATATAGAGAATATATATTTTTATGAGTGAATAATATATATTACACATAATAGAAATAAATATATTAATGCTAAGTGACCAAAGATCCAAATTTTGGAAATTAAAACGTATGGTTTATTCCATAGACTAGATGGATTGGGGATGTCAAAATAAGTGCTTAAGTAAAAGTGCTTAATATCAAATAAAACTGACTTTCTGTAAGTCATCCATATTTACCAAGGAACAGATTATTTGTCTAAATTCCTGGAGTAATACCATGGAATTAATATATAAGTACCTTCTCAGAAATTTTACGACTTATTTTTTCCAACATCACTACATAACAAAATAAGCTTTATTTTATAAGTAGAAAATTCTAGCTTGAGACATTTTATATCTTTCAAAAGCAGCCATGGACAAACACGTGGTAAATCTTTGGGAGGGGAGAAGATGGAGAAGGATGTAAATCAAAGCACTTTGACAATCACTGTCTTCAGACTTTCTAAATTATAGTGGTAACTCAATTGTTGAGAGGAGTGGGCAATAAAGAAATTACCTGGGAACTCTTCTCAAATTATAGGCATGCTGCCATTGTCCACATCCTCCCACATCATTCCCCCAGGAAAATATTGTTAATAAAAAGTATGTCACACATCACCCAGGTGTTTGCTGGGGGCTGGGGGTGTAGGGAACAGGGTAGTAGCTATTGAGAAACCCCAGCAAATCACACTGCAATTCCAAAGACTGTGATTTGCAGGTAAAGGCCATCTTGAAACTTAAACTCTAGGGCAGGGCTTCCTAACCTTGCACTACTGACATTTTAGATGGAATAATTTGTTGTTGTAGGGAGCTGTCCTGTGTGTTGTAAGCTATTTAGCAACATCCCAGCCTTCCACCCTCTAGACGCCAGTAGCCCCCTGCCCTCCGCACACAGTCAAGACAATAAAAAATGTCTCCAGACATTGCCAATGTTCTGCTTGGGGGTGTGGGGTGAGGAAGGGATTGCCCTCTGTTGGGAATCACTGAGCTGAAAGTATGTGTGGTATAAACAGGGAGAGAAGTGTTGATTTAAATCAAGCAGGAGACATCTTAATAAGATATATATTCATCACAATTGTGAACAAGATAATAATTGGGGTGTCATATTCAGGAATAAAAGGTTTAAAAAAAACAGCAGCAGTGTATTTTGTCAGTATTGGAAAAAAGCAAGTAAACATAGCTGTGTTATGGTCTACAGTAACTTTGAGAAAAAGGCGCTATTTGTAGGACACAAAATTTTCCCTCTTGGGAAGGAGAGGAGTGCCAACATTTCCCTGAAGAACATGCTGTTTGTCAATTAAAAAGTTAAAATTTGCGAAGTCTTTTTTCCCAGCAAAATAGGCTTTATGAAGATATATATCGTCTTTGTGTGGAAACGGATCCCCTTATTGAAAACAGACTTGTCATCACAAGGTACTGGGTCACCGTAAGTTTTTAATGGACCTAGATCTGCAAAGATTGTCAGCCACATTGTGCTCCTTTGCATAATTTCCTTATATTTACTATAAAAAATAAAGTATTAATAATTCATTAAAAATTACTTGTAGAAAATATAAATATGAAACAATGCACAATTTAACTAGAAATTAACAAAATAAAACATAAACACCATTAAGATCTGATTTTCACCAGCTGTTAGATTAGAAAATACCATATTTTATTGAATCTAAGGTACTTTCAATTAAAAGACATAATCATGATTTTATGTCATGGAGAAAGTAAACATGCTGCCAATTAAACTATTACATGTCATTGGTTATAAGACATATTCAAATTTTGGAGCTGCTAAAAATGGGGGAAAAAAAGAAGTGCATCTGAGAATCAGTGAAATCTACACTTGTAAAATTGAAACAGTCCAATGTTGTCAAGAGTGTGGGAAATAGACTTTCTCCTACAATTTTTGTGGCATTGTAAATTGGTACAGGTTTTTGAAACGAAATATGGTTTACCTTATTACCTAGCATTCACATATCCAGGAATCTATCCTACAAAAATGAATATAAACATATGTAACAAAACTGCACGTTCTGCATATGTAACTCAGAACTTAAAGTATAATTTTTTTAAAAAAGATATAAGAGATAAAGAAAATGAAGCATTACATAAAATGGCAGGTTTTCTTTTTCTTTCTTTTTTTTTTTTTTTTTGACTGAGTCTTGCTCTGTCACCCAGGTTGGAGTGCAGTGGCGCGATCTTGGCTCACTGCAACCTCCGCCTCTTGGGTTCCAGCAATCCTTCTGCCTCAGCCTCCCAAGTAGCTGGGACTACAGGTGCACGCCACCACGCCTGGCTAATTTTTGTATTTTTGGTAGAGACGGCGGCATTTCACCATATTGGCCAGGCTGCTCTTGAACTCCTGACTTCAAGTGATCCACCTGCCCTGGCCTCCCAAAGTGCTGGGATTACAGGCATGAGCCACCGTGCCCAGCCCATAAAATGGTTTTTTAAAAGTCAGAAACAACTTCAATGTCCACCAATAGGTAAGAAGATAAAAACATTTTAACATACACTAAATTCTAATTTTAAGCAGTCATTAAAAAACAAGGTGGATAGGCTGGGCATGGTGGCTCACGGCTATAATCCCAACACTTTGGGAGGCAGAGGCAGGCGGATCACTTGAGGCCAGGAGTTTGAGACCATCCTGGCCAACATAGCAAAACCCCATCTCTACTAAAAATACAAAACATTAACTGGGTGTGATAGTGCATGCCTATAATCCCAGCTACTCAGGAAATTGAGGCATGAAAATCACTGGAACCTGGGAGGTGGAGGTTGCAGTGAGCCAAGATTATGCCATTGCACTTCAGTTTGAGCGACAGAGTGAGACTGTCTAAAAATAAATAAATAAATAAAAATAAGGTGGATGCAAACATATAACTTTGGGAAAACGTTATCAATGTTAAACATAAGCAAGGAATAGAAAAGGGATATCACAAAATTCCAATTTTTTTGTAAAGACAATTTTTAAAACCATCTAATTTTACAGTTGTTACTTTTAGAAGATTGAAGGAAAGACATTTACTTTTTACTCATATGCTTCTCTATTTTAAAAAATATGTTAATTTTATGACAATAAGTATAAAGAAAGTCAAGTGCAAGAGGAGGGGCAGAAGAGTGAGTATAGTATGCTACCATTTATCTAAGTAGGTGATCATCTATACACATATATGCTGTGTAATTGTGGAGCATCTCTTGAAGGAACTCAGAATGTAGTAATAATGCTGGCCATTGTGCTGGAAAAATAGGACGATTAGAAAACAGCAGTAAAAATGAGATTGTTTTGTACATATTTTAATATACTTTTTAACATTTTTACTGTTTACATCCATTACCTACTTAAAAACAAAACAAATAAAAATTTTAAATATTTTTCATTTTATTTTAAAATGTGTTTACTTATCACCTGTCATTTATATGTCTAGTTATATAACTTCAGATATTTTAATGCTTGCTCTTCCGTCTGGAGTTTATACGGTTGGAGAAGAACACAGAAGTTATAAACAAATTTAGCGAGAGCAAATGTTGCAATGTCTAGACTCTAGCACCTGGGTTGCAATCCATTAACATTTTTCATCCGTGTGACCTAGGGCAAGTCATTTTCTATGTGCCAGATACTGCTTTAAACATTTCACATATACTAACTTTTCTTAGTCCTTATTACAATGGTCAGTCTTGTTATTATCGTGATTTTAAAGATGAGGAAACAGAGGCACTACCAGAAATCAAAGTATCCCACACCATAGTGTAAGAAAACCTGGAGATGTGAGGTGAAGAAAGCAAGTGCTATTTCCATCTGGAATGGTTCCTAGTCCATGGAGACTCTGGCTTATCTTATCCTCTATGAAGGAAGATCTGAGCCTCGGTGTGTGGTAGGGATTGAGTAAGTGTGTTGAATAAGTGCCTGCCAAGGGCCCAGTTTTACCCAGAACCTGAAGGAAAGGACAAGATTTAAGAGAGTGGCTAATATCTGAACAACTAGACTTGATTTAGGTCTATGGTTGTTTCAGGAAGTATCTCAGCACCTGTTTTATTAACTGAGGATAGATGACCTCATTGATGTATATGGGCCAAAGTCCTGGGGCTGTGGAACTGGTAGAGGTGGGAGAATCCATTTATCTTCTAAAAAAGTTTGTTTCAATCCAAGCTCCTGATTGTGTTGTTTTAAGCATTTTGGTTGCATCATTAGCAAGTAAAGACCACTTGCATTCATTTGGCAGCTTCATTAGTCTTCCAATAATTCTTCGAGATACAATTTGTTATTCCAGTGTAGATGCCCATAAACCTAAAACACTGAGAGATTAACTAAGTTCCCCAAGGCCACATAGCTAGTAAGACTCAGCACAAAGATTCGAACCTTCATCTACCTGGCTACAAAGCCAGTGCATCTGTGCAGAATCACGTGACCCAGGAATGCTAATCCAACTCCTAAGGTGCCTCACGTGGTTCCCAGATTACAGCTAGAGTGGGTTATATCTAGATCATCTAGGACATGTATTAATGCAGATTCCAAGCCTCATCTCAAAATTGCTGAATCAATCTTCCTGGGACTGAGGCCCATAATCCTTATTTACACCAAGCTGCGCTCCACAGGCATAAACTACTAAAATGACTACAACTTCCAGAAAAATATTATTATTTTCTCATAGTTTATATTTATTAATGGTACATATACATAACGTTTTATATGCACACATAAAATTACAAGTATATATGTTATACTTACTTAACTATATTCCATAATTATAATTACAAGTATAGAAAAATTATGTCTAATTGTACTTTTTAAACAAGAATTATAGAATTTGTGTATTATATCAGGTAGATAGGTTCATTTTGCAGCATATCAAAAACTTATTAGACAATACAATATATTAAGAAAAAGTAAAAATAACATTTTAAGTGGAAATGTTTGTATTTTATTCTGCACTGCTTTGTATATTCCTATGATGGACCAGGAAAATGCAGAGGTGATTTACCATGTAGCCACAGCGTGGTCATTTGAGTATCTTTATTTCCACCAATCAGTTAAAATATTATGCGAACAGTACTTTGAAAAATAATCTGTAAACACTGAAATACATATCATGCCTTAACAAATACCAAATTTCCTCTTTAGAATGCTGCTTGATAGGCCTTGCAGAGACCTGCATACTTCCCTCTGAAAGCTTTACATTGGTTCGGCAACAGCCCCTCAAATCTATAGCTGAGCTTTGTGCATGTCAAATTCAAAGTATCACTGCAAATTAGATAATTGCATTGAGTGGCCATAAATTGTGCATTTTTGAAAAACCTGTTTTTTTTAAGAGTATTTTGAGTCCAACAGCTCCCTTTAATGCCTCTGGATAGTATTTTCAGAACTCATTTGTTTGAGGGGTTTTTAATCTGAGGACATTGAAAAGTTACACCCGCTGTGCTGTCGTCAATCACGCCAGGAGGAAAAATAGTGGCATGATTTGTTATCTGTTATTCCCCTTGCTGTGGTGACTGTCTCCCAGTGCCAGCTCTGTCCTTAAGGCCATCACTTATAGGGACCACTGTCTGTCAAAACCACAGCCAACTTTGAGGGCTGCCTTTGTTGGAGCAGACAAATGAGTATGACCTTTAACAATAAAATAGGCACCTACTGAGAAAGATGAAACAGCAGCTGAAATTAAGAACACCATATAGCCATTTCAAACACTTGAGAAAAGTTAGAAGTAGAACTAAAACTTAATTATAAAAGTAAATGTGGGTAGACGTTGTCAATAATGAAACAGACATGGTCAGAATTATCGATTTGACGTCTGGACTAAAACTTCATCCAGGAATCATTCTACCTTTCATTAATTATAAATGGTATTGATGGGGTTTATTTAAAAGGGGGTGGGGGATTAAATTATGGTAGCTAAAGATTTATCAAGTGGTGATTTTTTCCAGTGGATGCAAGAGATGTGCAATTTGTTTATGAATATTCTAGAAGGGTATAGAAAAAAATGAGAATACATGAAATCTTTGATTTACACTAATAGCTACTTCAAACAATTTGAAGCAAAGTGCTTCTGCCTGGATTGGTAGTGGCTGTGAACTGGCCATTGATATTTTGTAGTGTTTCAGAGCTTAGTGTAAGCATTCCAGGCATTGCATTGTAAAGACCACAGCACAGTTTGTGGTTTGAAAGGCTCTTGTAACCCAACCTGGCAAGTGGTCAGTGGAGACTACATGTCACCGAGAACACAAATCAATCTTATTGAGCACTTTTCAAGTAATATAATATTCTGCCTGTGACAATAATGAAATTAGTCTATGGATTTTTTTGTATATTGAAATGTCATTTAAATATTTGATGAAATACAGTACTTTATAAATATGCACATTGTGCAAGTTTTATAATAATAATTTCATTGACTTTTATAGACAAATCATTGAGAATAATTTCAGAAAATCCCTCTTATTCAAAATTAGTTATATTTGTTAATTCAGCAATACAGTGTATATGTTTGAAGTAGTTAAAGAGTTCATGGATTTCCCACCTACGATTCTATCAGCTCTTCTGTAGTATACATTTAGGTTACTCACCTGTGTTTCCAGTTCTTCTCTTCCTTCAGTTTATGGTGGGGGTGGAAGGGAGTGGTCACTGAACTTCCCCATCCCCTTGATATTCTTCGGCCAATGAAACGTGAGTGGAAGTGATGTATTATTTCCAGGTAGATGCATTCATGTATCCGTGGGAGACTCCAAGCTGTCTCTTCCCTTACTATGGAGATAAACGAGAAAACCTATGTTGAGATTTTGGGTAACTTGGATCACTAAGAATGGAAGATAGATGCCTGCAGGGTCCCCAGGGCTTCTGTGAAGGAGAAATAAACAAAGTATGTTCAAATACATTGAGATTTGGCAGTTGCTTGTTACTACAGCATAAATAATCTTGCTCATCCTGACTAATATATTCTAAGTGTTTTTTTAAAATTTCTAAGTTACCAAAATGCAATGATATCATGACTTCTCCTATATGATCTATTTGCATATGTACATATGTGCGTGTGATTATTTTAACATGAGATATTAGATCCTGTGTGTAACTTTTCTACATTCCTGACAACTATGTTCCTAGCATCATTTATGTGTGTACTTTATGAGTTTAACTTGAGTTGGTTCACCCCGTAACTCTTCTAGCCCAAAATACAATCACAATACTTTTCAAAAAAGAAAGGATCTAAGGTCTGGGTTCTAATCCTAGAATTGGCTGCACCTGTAATAAGTCCAGGGCTCACAATATAACCTTGAGTACAGAGGTGTACATCATCAAAAGTCCATAGAATTTTTTTATAATCAAAAGCCTACACCAATGTAAAGGCCCAAGTTTTTAATAGGTTTGGAGTTTCAATTGTAACCGCACTCTGAAGTGGTTATCCTTTCAGCGTAGGGTTAAAAAGCTTTGACAAAGCACTGCAGGGAACATTGGATTGCCCTCACCTACATTGTACCTAGCTTGGGATGGATAAATACAGTCTTATTCTCTAATGTTCCCAACTGTCTCTAGGAACACTAAATTTTAAGAGAGAAAAACATGAATCCTGTATTTCAAGAGAGGTGGAACTAAGCCATTGTTAACTCCCCTTAAAAAGGATATTCAGTGGCTAGTTCAGATTGCCCCTGAGACACCTAAAGCTGCATTAAGTACTTGTGAAAGTGAAAATCCACTGGGAACCCAATTCCGGTGTTTAAACCTCAGCATGAATAGTAGAGTTCCTAGCAGGGTGCACTTTTACATGTCTTTATAAGCAGATTCAAAACTTACTGTATGCAGTCAGGCTACACTATTTCTATTAACTTAACGCTGACCATAGTCTTCAGTAAAATGAGCAATCCAAATCTCAAACATTATGTTATCTTTATAAAATTAGAGAGAAAAGGCTGATGAGTATCTGAAAATCCAGAATCTATACATTATATATCATTTAGTTAATATTTGAACAATAAAATATTAAAGAGTTAAGCACATAAAATCTCTAGGTTCCTATCTTCCTCCCAAATATGGCATAATATAAATCCTCCAAATTTATTTTAAAATACATTGACATTGGATTTTGAGCAGATCATTTATATTTTTAATAAATACTTCCCTCAGATAGGTACTTTATAAATGTACAACTTGATAGAATTGTATACAATGTATAAATAACCATTTGGTAGCATAAAAAGGTTCAGAATTTACTTAGAATGTAATATATAAAATATGGGACTACATAATTTTAAGTTAATAGTATAGATGCACATATATTTATTTTAAAACTCCTGTCTAAATGTAACCAAACTTTGAAGATTTGAATTATTTCCCCTGAAAAGTAAAAAGACTTAAGCATCCTTCCTTAATGCCATACTTGTTCTCCATATTGTAAGCTTATATTTGAACAATCTAACAACTATTTTACTAGCAACTACTGAGAAATTTGCATTTCATTCAATATCGCTTAGCAAATGTGTGTTCTGCTTTAAAGTCAGTTTTAAACACAGCATCTTGATTGCTATTTGACAGTAGAAGGCCAATCACGAGATATTTTAGATCCTATTAAAATTTTTCGGGTCAAGCACAGGTGATGGAAAAATAATCACTACAGGATCTTTATTGTGTATGATGGGAGCACAAATAAACTTTGCATCCCTACTCCCAAGTTGTTCAGATTTGATTGAAACCTAACGGGTGAGCTTATGTGTTGATTTTCACATGTAAGCAAAGAGGTAAAATAACCCCAGCTCATTAAACGTACCAGTGTGGTGGATGACTTGGCATCTTTTATCTTCTGAAAATAAAATTAGCTAAATGTTAGACATATGGTAGGGTTGTTAATGGGAGAACAGCACAACTAGATGTGCCCACCCTATAGGCCCCGTTTCTTAACTATTCAAGACTCTACACATTGATTCTTACACTTCAACATTTCCCACTTGCTGAAGGGACATTTGCTTTTAACCAGGGTCTTGAACACCTTCCTTTATTTTCTAATAGTCACACCACTTTCAAAGTTTGGTAAATGCTTACTAAATTTGTTGTTTGGACACAAAAATTCTTTTTTGGAAAAAAGGTTCTATAAAAACTTTATGAATGGAAGTAATTTATAGCTTGTGTGTGAAAGATAAATGCTATGAATCTACATTTCACATCTAGCCATTAAGGATACTAGGTTTGGATTTGATTTTTTAATGTACTATCAAAAAAATAACAAAAACTGCCCATTTATATAAAAATGAATGATTGAGATCATTGTCCCACAGTGACCATATTCAGGGAACGCTTCCTCTCTCCCTAAAGTGTTCCTACATTTTTGTGGTGTGTGTGTGTGTGTGTGTGTGTGTGTGTGAGGTCTTTATATCTGTCTCCATCTTATAGTAGCTTTTTTAAAACGTTATACTTAAGTCACACACTTCAAAGATGGCCAAAGATTAGATCGAAAAATATTATTTGAAACAATATTAAATGAAAAATATGAGATTACTGAATAAAAGCTCATATCACAAATTATTTTGAAGATTTAAAGATATTTCAAAGTTTAAAATAGGCATTTATATCTCTAAATCACAGTTTATCCTCTTTAAATAATATGCATATGTGTGTGTGCATGTGTGTGCATGTATAGATTGATAGATATATGTTTAATGTAAAGATATAAGACAAAAGAGGATTTCAATAATAGTATTTTTACTTTTCTTTTAAATTTATGAAGACTTCTTTAGGAAGTTGTTTACTTTTGTAATCATAGACTTCACATTTTCATTTCACTTCCCTATCATCTATCTCTCCAATATGATTCCCTCCTCTTCTTATCTTACCCTACTCTCAAATAAATGCTCCAATATACTGCTACATTAACAAGGTGATTATTACAAAGTTATGTATGAACTGCATTAAAAGGCATGAATGAGTCCATGTAGAGCATATCTGAGATATCAGATACACCTGAAAAATGTAAGTATAAAGGAATTTTCAATGAAATATAAAGTGACTATAGGGAAGCCCTGTAGGTAGACAAAAATAATATAAAAACCCAACTCTTTCTATTTCAAGGATTTGCTTTATCTTTTTTGCTTCTGTCTTACGCCTTTCACAACCGTAAGCCAGCCCTTATTTCTGTCGTAGCTGACCTGAGTTTTGCTTATAACCAGGGCATTAATCTGCAAGGAACCTGCTCTGAGGTTTCCTTGCATAATCTTTAGGATGAATTCCACATAGTAGTCACAGTGACAAAACCCATGTTCTCCCATGTTGGAGAGAAGCATCTGATTAGATGTTGGGACTTCAGGCAGAGACTGCTGTCTTCCCAATACTGTAATTTTGGACAAGAAGTTAACTCCTGGTACTTAGAAAACAAATTATTTTAAAAATAACTTCAAGCTCTAAAACTCTGATCCTGCTCAACAACCAATGCTTAAAGAATCACAGAATCTCAGAGTTCAAAGGAACCTTCAACGATACTTTTAACACCTTTAACACATCACTAAAATACAGAAGAGAGACCCAGAAGACCTAATAGGACCATTGCTATCACCACAAAGTTCAGATAACGGCAAACTCAATCTTTTTCACCACCAGATTAAATGAGTCAGACAATCAGCCTCATGATAAAACATTATTTTTAAAAGTTAGATACATTGTTTTGTTTGCTCTGAAAATATTGATCAGAATAAAAATCACAATTGACTTTTTAATGGAGAAAGAAATATAGAAAATTTGGACACATCTGTTAACTACTATTTATGGGAAGTGTGTTAGATAAAGAAGTCCTTTATCCAAGTCTTACAGATTCAGCCTAGAAGCTACAATTAGCAGCAAATATTTCATTCTCCTTCCCTTTGGTCATCTTTGGCAAGTTCTAACTCTTAAATTTAACCCTATTCTTAAAAAAAAAAACTATTACAGGATTGGCTTAAAATATAGACAAAATGACAATAAAGGGCCATAAACTACAGCTTAATATTGAAAACACAGCCTCAAAGAACATGCTCCTTGTTTTAAAACATCAACCATTTTGGTTTGAAACTTGGAAAAGGAACAGAGCCTTTTCAGCCCCTGCATTGACTTTAGAATTGTATCATTTTTAAGCATGTTTAACGTCCCATGGAGAATTTGTTAATTATTTAGATCCAGGTTAAGTATGGAAAAAGGAGCTTGTTGCTATTGTCCTGAAAACCATTCAAACAAGTTACAAATTTGCTGAGGTTGAAGCACTCTTTACTTATAGAATTAATTTATTTTAGTACACGTAATGAACCTTGCTCTTTTCCAAAAATAATTTGAATCAGTACTTACAGAGAAGCAATTTTTAATCATTTGGGGGACAGGAGTGGGTTTATAGAGTCCACTGAGAAACGGATGACATGCGCTTTCACCTAGAGATACTATCTAGAATTTCAAAAAGTTTGCCATTTTCTGAACCTCATTCATTAACTACATATAAGTGACAAAAATTATTTTTGAAATCTGCCTCCAGTATTACATGATTTACATGTATTTATGGAATTAAGTCAATGAATTAATCATCATAAGATGTTTACACAAACTTTGACAGGTAGGGTTCAGTTAAGAATAATTTATATTATCATGAATACATTATTTTACTTTCTTTTTGGAGGGAGTAGAAAAGGATTCTCTTTAAGATTTTACTGACATTGCATTAAATCTATACAGCAGTTTGGGTAAAACTGTTATTTTTAAAATATTGAATTTTCTGATCAGTGTACATACAATCACTCTCCATTGATTTAGATTTTCCTTAATTTTCTTTTGCAATATTTGGTAGTTTAAGGAAAAAGTTATGCAGTTTTTTCATTAATTTTTTTAACTTTTATTTCAGGTTCAAGGGAACATGTGCAGGTTTGTTATATAGGTAAATTGCATGGCACAGGGGTTTGGTATACAGGTTAATAAGCATAGTACCCAATAGATAGTTTTTCAATCCTCTTCCTCCTCCCTTCCTTTACCCTCTAGTAGGTGCTCATGTCTGTTGCTCATACCTTTGTGTCCATATGTACTCAATGTTTAGCTCTCACTTACAAGTGAGAACATGTGGTATTTGGTTTTCCATTCCTGTATTAGTTTGCTTAGGTTAATGGCCTCCAGCTCCATCAAAGTTGCTGCAAAGGACATGATCTCATTCTTTTTTATGGCTGTGTAGTATTCCATGGTGTATATGTAGTAAATTTTTTAAATCCAGCCTACCATTGATAGGCATTTAGGTTGACTCCATGTCATTCCTATTGTGAATAATACTGTGATTAACATACATGTGCGTGTGTCTTTACAGTAGACTATTCCTTTAAGTATATATCCAATAATAGGATTACTGGGTTGAATAATTTTTGCTTTGAGTTTTTTGAGATATTGCCAAACTACTTTCCATAATAACTAAACTAATTTACATTTCCACCAGCAGTGTATAAGCATCCCTCTTTCTCCACAAACTTACTAAAATCTGTTACTTTTTGACTTTTTAATAATAGCAATTTGACTAGTGTGAGATGGTGTCTCATTGTTGTTTGATTTGCATTTCTCCAAGGAATAGTGATGCTGAGGATTTTTTCATATGCTTGTTGGCCACACATATGTCTTATTTTGAAGTGTCTCTTCATGTATTTGCCCACTTTTTAGTGGGGTTGGTTTTTGCTTGGACATTTGTTTATGTTTTTTATAGATTCTAGATGTTAGACCTTTGTTGGATTCATAGTTTGCAAGTATTTTCTCCCATTCTGTAGGTTGTCTGTTTATTATGTTGGCAGTTTATTTTGCTGTGCAGAAGCTCTTTAGTTCAATTAGGTCCGAATTGTCAATTTTTGTTTTTGTTGTGTTTTTTTTTTTTTTGAAAACTTAGTCATAAATTCTTTGCCCAGGACAATGTCTAGAAGAGTATTTCTTAGGTTTTCCTCCAGGATTTTTATAATTTGAAGTCTTACATTTAAGTCTTTAATCCACCTTAAGTTAATTTTTATATATGATGAGAGTCCTTTCCCTATTGCTGTCAACAAATTCAACTTTGTTGAAGATCAGATGGTTGTAAATATGCGGTATTATTTGTGGGCTCTTTACCCTGTTGAATTGGTCTATGTGTGTGTTTTTATATGAGTACCATGCTGTTTTGGTAGCCTTGTAGTATAGTTTGAAGTTGAATAATGTCATGCCTTCAGCTTTGTCTTTATTTCTTAGGATTGCCTTAGCTATTTGGTCTCTTTTTTCATTCCCTAAGAGTCTTAAAATAGTTTTTGTTTTTGTTTTTTTTTTTTGCTAATTCTGTGAAGAATATCATTGGTAGTTTGATAAGAATAGCATTGCATCTGCAAATTGCTTTGGGTAACATGGCCATTTTAAAATATTGATTCTTCTTATCCGTGAGCATGGAATGTTTTTCCATGTGTTTGTGTCATCTTTCATTTCTTTCAGCAGTGTTTTGCAATTCTTCTTGTAGAGATCTTTCACTTCCCTGGTAAGTTGTATTTCTAGGTACTTAATCTTTTCATGTCTATTGTGCATGGGATGATGTTCTTGATTTGGTGCTCAGCTTGCATGTTGTTGGTGCATAGAAATGCTACTCATTTTCATACATTGATTTTGCTTCCTGAAACTTACTAAAGGTGGTTATTAAATCAAGCATCTTTTGGGCTGAGACTATTGGGTTTTTTAGATAGAATCAGGGAGTCAAACTATCCCTGTTTACAAATAATATGATTCAGGGATAGTTTGACTCTCTGATTCTATCTGAAAAAGCCCACAGATTTTATGTAAAAAACCATGCAAGCTGTTCCTGTTGGCAGATGATATGATTTATAAATAAAATATTTTAAAATAAATATTTCTAAAATATTTATAAATAAAATCATATCATCTGCAAACAAGAAGAGTTTGAAACACTCTCTTCCAATTTGGATGCTTTTTATTCCTTTCTCTTTCCTGATTGCTCTGGTCAGGAATGCCAGTACCATGTTCAATAGGAGTGGGAGAGGGCATCCTTGTCTTGTTCCAGTTGCCAAGGGGAATGCTTTCAGCTTTTGCCCTTTCAGTATTATGTTGGCTGTAGGTTTTTCATAGATAGCTCTTATTATTTTGAAGTACGTTCCTTCAGTGCCTAGTTTATTGAGAGTTTTTAACATGAAGGGATGTTGAACTTTTTCAAAAGCCTTTTCTGCTTCTATTGAGATGATCACGTGCTTTTTATTTTTAGCTCGTTTATGTGATGAATCATATTCATTAATTTGTGTATGTTGAACCAACCTTGCATCCTAGGGATAAATTCTACTTGATTATGGTGGATAAGTTTTTTGATATGCTGCTGGATTCGGTTTGCCAGTATTTTATTGGGGATTTTTGCATCGATGTTCATCAAAGTTATTCCTCTGATGCTTTCTCTTTTTGTTGTGTCTCTGCCAGGTTTTGATTTCCCCTTAATTTCATTATTTACTCAGCAGTTATTCAGGAGTAGGTTGTTTAATTAATGTGGAATTGTATGAATTGCGGAATTTTCTTAATATTGATTTCTATTTTTATTGTACTGTGGTCCTAGAATGTGTTTCTTATGTTTTCAGTTTTGTTTTGTTTTGTTTTTTCAATTTGCTGAGGATCTTTTTGTGGCTGATTGTGTGGTCGATTTTAGAGCATGTGTTATGTGCGGATAAGAAGAATATATATTTTGTTTTGGGGTGGAGCATTCTATAGATGTCTGTTAGGTCCATTTGGTCCAGTGTCAAGTTTAGGTCCTGAGTATCTTTGTTAGTTTTCTGCCTCCGTGATCTGTCTAACATGGTCAGTGGGGTGTTGAAGTATCCTACCATTATTGTGTGGTTATCTAAGTCTCTTTGTAAGTCTCTAAGAGCTTTCTTTATGAATTTGAGTGCTTCTCTGTTGGGTGCATATATATTTAGGATAGTTAGGTCTTCTTATTGAATTGATCTCTTGACCATTATGTAATTCCCTTCTTTGTCTTTTTTGATCTTTGTCACTTAAAAGTCTGTTTTGTCTGAAATTAGAATACCAACTCCTGCTTTTTTTCTGTTTTCCATTCATTTGACAGATTTTTCTCCACTCCTTTAATTTGAGCCTATGAGGTCACTGCATGTGAGACAGGTCTCTTGAAGACCACACATACTGTTAGGTCTTGCTTCTTTATCCAATTTGCCATTTATTTAATTGAAGCACTTAGCTCATTTACATTCAAGGATAGTATTATTATGTTTGGATTTGATCCTGTGAATCATGTTTTTAGTTGGTTATTATACAGATGTTTTTGTGTGATTGGCATGTAGTGTCACTGGTTTATATATGTAAATATGTTTTTGTAGTGGCTGGTAATAGTCTCTCCTTTCCATATTTAGCACTCCCTTCAGGACCTCTTGTAAGGCAGGTCTGGTGGTAAAGAATTCCCTTAGCATTTGCTTATCTACAAAGGTTCTTATTTCTCTTTCACTTATGAAGCTTAGTTTGGCTGAATATAAAATTCTTGGTTGGAATTTCCTTTCTGTGGTAATGCTGATTATTTATAGACCTCCAGTCTATTATGGCTTGTAGTGTTTCTGCTTAGAGGTTCACTGTTAGCCTGATGAGGGTTCCCTTTGTAGGTTACCTGCCCCTTCTCTCTTGCTGCTTTCAACATTTTCTTTCATTTTGACCTTGGAAACCTGATAGCTATCTGTCTTGGAGGTTATCTTCTTGTGTAGTATTTTGCTGGGGTTGTCTAAATTTCTTGAATTTAAATGTTGGCCTCTCTAGTGAGGTTTGGGAAGTTTTCATGAATGATGTCGTGAAATGTTTTCCAAGTTGCTTGCTTTCTCTCTTTCTCTTATAGGGGCCCCAGTGAGTCATAGATTTGGTCTCTCTACATAATTCCACATTTCTCAGGTTTTGTTCATACTTCTTTATTACTTTTTATGTATTTTTATCTGACTGAGTTATTTTAGTGAACTTGTTTTCAAATTCTGAGATTGTTTCCTCAATTTGGACGAGTCTCCTGTTAATACTTGCAATTGTATTCTGAAATTCTTGAAGTGATTTTTTCAGCTCTATCAGATAAGTTTTTTTTTCTTAAAATGGCCATTTTGTCTTTCATCTCTTGTATTATTTTACGTATTTCTTAGAATTGTTGAATTGGGTTTCAACTTTCTCCTGAATTTTTTTTTTTTTTTTTTTTTTTTTTTTTTTTTTTATGATGGAGTCTCGCTTTGTCGCCCAGGCTGGAGTGCAGTGGTGCAATATCAGCTCACTGCATGCTATGCCTCCCGGGTTCATGCCATTCTCCTGCCTCAGCTTCCCGAGTAGCTGGGACTACAGGCACCCACCACCACACTCGGCTAATTTTTTGTATTTTTTTTAGTAGAGACAGGGTTTCACTGTGTCAGCCAGGATGGTCTCGATCTCCTGACCTTGTGATCCGCCCGCCTTGGCCTCCCAAAGTGCTGGGATTACAGGCGTGAGCCACCACGCCCAGCCAACTTTCTCCTGAATCTTGATAATGGTTTCAGTCTACATTCTGAATTTTACTTCTGTCATTTCAGCCATTTCAGCCTGGTTAAGAATCATTGCTAGGGAACTAGTGTGGTAATTTGGAGGTAAGATGACACTCTGCTTTTTGAGCTTCCTGAGTTGTTGTGCTGGTTCCTTCTCATCTTTGTGGGCTGATTTTCTTCAATTTTTGAAGTTGCTGTCCTTTGGATGGGATTTTTTTGCTTTTATTTTCATATCCTTTGTGAGTTGATTGTGGTATAAGGTAAGTTTAGTTAACTGGCTTCATTTCAGTAATATTTTAGAGGGCCAAGGCTCAGCTCAGCACTCTGGGCTACATGTTCTCACTCTGTGGGGCTGGTGGGCCCTTTGCCTTGTTCTCTGTTCCTGTGAGGTTAGGATCCTGCTGCACTGGAGAGGTCGAGGTGTTCCCAGACTGCTGGCCACAACACTTCAATGGGTGGTACCAGCCAAAGCACTTCTTTGAGTGGTAGCAGCAGGATCCAAGCTCATTCACAAATGCCAGCAGCAGCAGCAGTAGCATGCAGGGTACATGCTCATGAGATCGGGCAGGGCATGGGCACAGGGCTACCAGCCTCTGTGCAGGCTTTGGCTATGGGAGCAGTGGTAGCATGGTGTGGGGTGGAACCACTAGCATCTGTGTGCACATTTGCACTGGCAACAGTCTTGGTGTGGGGACAGGGCACTGGTAAGTGCGGGGCTGACAGCCTCTGTGCACGGGTTTGTTCTGGCAGCAATGACAATGCACGGCCACTGGCCTTTGTGCATGCATTTGCACCAGCAACAATGGTGGTGCAGGACAGGGGAGTGGACCCACTAGTCTCCATGTGCATGTTTGCACCAGCAATGTTGGCATGGTGAAGGAGAGAGCAGGGTGTGCTTATACCATCAGCAGTGACACAGTGGGTGCACACACACACAGGAATCTGTTGGGGAGGAGAGGCGAGGTCCACTTGTGCACACATACACCAGCAAAGCAATGGGGGCCATGGATGAGTGTGTGCCAGCGAAGAGGCATGAGAGAGGCTGCTGTGGGAGGAGGGTGTGAGTGGGCTGGTGCATACTGGTGGAGCTCTCCAATGGTCAGGTGCATTCTGCCAGTGCAGCAGCTCTCATGCAGGTCCCCAGGAGTCACCCCAGTTGGGCATCCAAGGCTGCACTGCAAGCAGGCACAGGCAAGCTAGGACCCTGGGAGAGACCAACAGACAAGGAGGTGCTCAGGTTGGACTGGTCCCATCTCACTGGCAAGAAGGCCTTGCTATCTTCAGGTCCAATGATCACCCTAAGGTTAAAAATCTCCTAGGGGAGCATGGTAAGCCTTGAGGGATGGGTATCCCTGGCCATGCTCCACTGCAGATGTTCTCACATCAAACCCTCTGGACTCTGCACAGGTTGGAGTCTGGCCCCTACCACCTCTCTAAGCAGCTCTCCCTGCCAGCTCAAGTGTCCAGAGGGATTGTGGGGTCTCCTGCTGCCAGGATTCCAGGGGTTCATGGTGAGAACAGGTTTCTCCTTGCCTGCTCAAGTCACCCCTTCCCCAAGAGTCCTTGGGGGCCAGGAATGAGTGTGCAGTAGCCCCGTGCAGGGTTCCCAGTTTTCTCCCCCTTCAGTCCAGTGCCTATATCCTCCCTCTGTCCACTCTCAATACCTTCCATTTGAAGACCTACTTGGAGTGCACCAGTCTTCCTGATGACCCTGTCCCTCAGTGGCTGGGTCTAGTCCACCATCTTGCCTCTGTTCCCATATTTTCTTTAAAGACATAAGAAAATTCTTCCCAATCAAATATAAAAAGTCTATTCTAAGTTGAATATGAAAGAATATATATACTACCAGTGGTAAAAGATATTGTTGACTTTTAACCAAAAACTCATAAATCAAAATGCAATTGGCCCTTAAAGAACACAGGTTTGGACTACATGGGTTTACGTATATATAATTTTCCTCCATCTATGCCACCTCTGAGACAGCAAGAACCCCTCCTTTTCCTCCTTCTCCAAAGCTTAATTAACATGAAGATTGTGAGGATGAAGACCTTTAGGATGATCCACTTTCACTTAATGAAATATAAGTAAATATATTTTCACTTTCTTTCAATTTTCTTAATATCATTTTATCTAGCTTACTTCATTGTAAGAATACAGCATATAATTCATATAACATACAAAATATATGTTAACTGTTTATGTTATCGGTAAGAATTTCAGTCAACAATAGCCTGTTAGAAGTCAAGTTCAAGGGTTAATTGTAACCACAATAATAACAAAAGCAATTTGTTCAGTTTTTAAGATATTCCAGATTTCATCTTCTTAAGAACCTTATGAGGAACGTAATACTGTACAAATATCTCCATTATACAAGTGAGTGAACTAAAGTTTAAAGAAGTTAATGTAGGGGAGTAAAAAATGGCTTCCTTCAACTCTTCTAGGTTCCTTGTCTGGAATATGAATTAAATTGATATAAGACATAAGATTAACAGGAGGAAAATATATTTAGTGATGCACACATGCATGGGAGTTCCACAAAATGAGACTTGAAGAAGGATCAGGTGACTAAAGTTTCTATAGCGTCCTGGGCTGCAGAAAGGAATAGGGACTTGGGGCTTCTGGGAGGTGGTGGCACAAGTCATGGGAGGCTGAGGGGAGGAGTCCTGGTGAATAAATGTCTTGTTATGCATATAAAAGTCTCTCAGGTAATGGAAGCTATCAGGATCAGTGCTCGGTGAATAAGGGTGGGGGATGGTATAGGAAAGTGAATCCCAGGAGGAAAAAAAAGGTTCTAAAGCAGCCCAGTGCCCCCTAAATGCCCACCCTTTTGTTCTTAGTCCTCAGTGCAACCTCTGTTGTAGTTAACACCTAAAGCATACATGCCCTGGAGCTTGCCTTCAAGTTGTCCTTGTGAAGGTGAAGATGGCTGGTTCACTGCTCTAATTGAACTAGGCTACAGTTTCATAATCTGTCTATACCTCTCCATTGGTACTAATTAATTTATTCAGAATTCTATTTATGAATTGATGCATGCATTTATTGAGCATCTTCTTAGTAGTAAGGGTCAAAGGCAAAGTCTGTGGGCTCATTATGTAGGTAGATGGACAGTCACGTAAACCACATAATATAGTGGGACAGTACAAGAACAAGATATGTAACAAGAAGCAACAGTAAGGAAAAAAACAATGAACTGGGAAGTGTTGGGGTGGAGAGTCTGGGGAAATTTTTACTGAGGTGTTAGAAACCTTTGAGTTGAGTGTTCAAGATAAACCTAATGTTAACCCAATCTCTGCAGTGCTGCCTGACCCCTATAAACCTCCCAAACTCCGCAATGTTCGGCTAGCCTATAGCATACTAAAATGTGAGTGTTTGCTTAAAAAGCAAAACTAAGAAATGAATGAATTGGGTTTATGTTTATTTTTGTGGGGACAGTTGCAGCTTTTTACAAAAATGAAGTAAGTGCAGCAGGAATGAGTATTTGGGGTAGATCATGGAGATAATGGAAAACATTTTACCCTTCACCCTCTCCCTCTAAAATGTCTGTAGCAGATGCTGTTTAGCAGCAACCTGATAATTAATATTAACCAGAGTAGTTACTTTTTCTTAACACGGACACCTGATTCACTGTTCTGCTACCATTTAGCAGCAGACTGATAATTAATATTAACCAGAGTGGCTACTTTTTCTTAACACAGACACCTGACTCAGTGTTCTGCATATATTAATAATTCTTCAGAATAGGTACTAGTCACCCCATTTTTAGATGTAGTTAAGGACATTTTAATTCAGGGACTTGTCTAGGTCACAGTAAGTCCCTGAGCAAGGATTGATTGGGCCTAACTTCTGTTTCTTGTGCACGTGGAGAGGAATCTCCATATTCCTAGCTGTAGCAGCTGCCAACAATGAAATGTGCACTTTCCCTCCACAAGTACACAAGAAAACCAGAGCCAATGCCATTGAGTTTTGATAAATGTATACTATCTCAGACCAAATATTGCAAAATGCCCTCATTTAAATTAAAAACATGGAACTAATGTCATGTTTTAGCAAGATATTTAGATCTGTTCCCTCTCCCTCCTTGCAATAAAATGAGGGCTGTCATTTATTGCCGTTGACAAAATACTTATCTTTCATTAGCAAATAAATAATAAACTGAACCCCTTAGACATGACTTCACATCATAGACATGGTATCTTTGTCTACAAAATTTCTACATAAAAAGTAGTGAAGTGGGACTCCTTTCCTAAAGGCAAACTAACAACTATTGGTTCATCCACAGTTCCATCAAAGGAGGGATCTTCCTACTGACCAGAAGACCTGAACAGCCTGAGAATGATTCCTTTCAACTCCGAGAGAAGAAGCTGCAGATGAAGAGCAAGTAGGATGGTGAAGTGCTTAATCAGTGGCCAGGCAATCAATAAACACAACAGGTCAAATTAGTTGAATTGAATTAAATTGACCTTATGTCTTTGGAGAAAATCCTAAAGACAGACAGAAAGAGAGCAGGCTGGCCAGGCACAGTGGCTCATGTCTGTAATGCCAGCACTTTGGGAGGCCGAGGTGGGTGGATCATCTGCGGTCAAGAGTTTGAGAACAGCCTGGCCAACATGGTGAAACCCTGTCTATACTAAATACACAAAAATTAGCCAGGCATAGTGGTGGGTGTCTGCAATCCCAGCTACTTGGGAGGCTGAGGCAGGAGAATTGCTTGAACTCAGGAGGTGGAGGCTGCAGTGAGCAGCCTGGGCAGCAGAGTGAGACTCCGTCTCAAAAAGAAAAAGAAAAAAGAGAGAGAGAGAAAAAACAGGCTAGGGTTGCATGGGCTTGTAATAGCAAAGGAAATCCAGGAGTTAAGAAATTTTAGATGATAGCCTATTAAAGACCAGTTAGAGATGTATGCATCTTCAATGTGAGGAGGCTTCAACAGAAAGAAAAAACAGTATTGTCTGTACATATATAGTGTTTGCATATACAGAGAATTGTCTGTGCCCTTTTCCTTTTCACTCTGTTTCCCTGTCTGTTGGTTATTTTTCTCAGCCAGTAAACTTAATCAAGTTTTCTTTTACTATCAAGCTCCCATTCAATTTTATTCTCCTCCTTTCTCAAACTTTCTTACTTCTTGTTCTCTGCTCAATGTATACTTTCTCATTGCTCTGCTGAACTTACACTATTGACTCCTTAATTGCTTAATTCTCTAATTGTAGAAATAAGAATCTTGATCCACAAACTCAGATGTACAAGAAATATATCAAAATTTAATTTAATACATTGATTCTTTAAATCAACCTAATTCTAGTTATAAGCCATATCTTACTCAGCTCTTAAGATAATCAATCCCCATCTTGCAAGATCCTCCAGGACCTTGCGTTGAAGAGACCTTTAAAGTCTTCTGTGACACTAGTTAGAGACAAGCAATTTCATGTTCAAGCTGACATGGAGATTTTTAGCGCAGATTTGCTGATGCTTTGAAATCATTTACTCCTGGGACCAAGACATCATTTTTGAGAATAAGAATCCTGTACCTAGGGTTCAGCATCTCTGAGTTCATTCATTCTAAAGTGTAGGATTTCCACAGGACACCAAACAAGGCAGGGAGCAGGGTGTGTCTACTGAGGGACTCACCCACTTTCCCCTTTTATGAATATGGTGGACATGTTCTCATTGTCTCCTTGTCCTCAAAAGACTTCCTCACTTTTGCTCTTATCTATGGTATCTACCGTGATCTAGGCTTTCAAAAAAAAAAAAAAAAAAAAAAACTTGCTAAGACTAGGAACGATACATAGCATTGGCATGTAGAAAAAGGAAGAAAGAATTCTATAAGAATAAAACATTGGCTAATCCCACCATAAGTCATCCTACCACACAACCTATTGAGCACTTTCTTTTTGGTCCAGGTAAACTTGACCTAATTTTTCTGGTCACCCAAAGTCCACAGTTTACATTAGAGTCACTCTAGGTGTTGTACATTCTATGAGTTTGGATAAATTCTTAAAGACATACATTCATCATTGTAGTATAATACAGAGTAGTTTCACTGTCTAAAAATCCTCTATTCCCCACCTATTTCTTCCTCTTTTCCTTCTAATCCCTAGAAACCACTGGTACTTTTTATGATCTTCCTAGTTTTGCCTTTTACAGAATGTCAAGTAGCTGAAATTATACAGTAGATAGCTCTTAAAAAGTGGCGCCTTTTACCTAGAAACATGCATTTAAATTTCCTGCATGTCTTTTCATGGCTTCATAGCTCATTTCTTTTTAGTGCTTAATAATATTCTGTTGTCTGAAATCAACTGTTTACAGTTGATCTATCCATTTGCCTACTAAAAAACATTTTGGTTGCTTTCAAGTTTTGAAAATTTTGACTAAAGCTGCTATATACAACTATGTGCAGGATTTTGTGTGGACATAAGTTTTCAACTTATTTGGGTAAATACCAGGGAGTGCCATTGCTGGATTGTATGAAAATAACATATTTAGTTTTGTCAGAAATTGTCAAACTGTCTTCCAAAGTGGCTATAACATTTCACATTCCCACTAGAAATGAATGAGATTTCCTGTTGCTCCATATCTTCACCAACATACATTATTGCCGGTGTTTTGAGTTTTAACTATTCTAATAGGTATGTAGTGATATCTCATTATTGTTTTAGTTTGCATTTCCTGATGACATATGATGTGGAGCATCTTCTTACATGTTTACATAACTTTCATATATATATATTCAGAGTTGTCTGTTAAAGTCTTTGGCCCTGGACCTAATTTTGATGTTGAATACGATAGAGCACTCTTTTTTTTTTTTTTTAAAGGACTTCGGCCTTTTGGCTTCAATAGAAGGGCATTCTCCTGGTATCCCCTAGCTATTCTGACATTTTCTTCTCTGTCTCATTTATATTAAATACTTCCCACTGACTCCTTGACTTTTGGTTTTCTCAAGGTTCCCTTCACAGCTTTCCCTGGGAGCACTCACCCACAATTATGGTTTCAACTACCGTTATCTCAATCCCTATATTATCTAACTCAGTAAGTTTTATGCAAATGCTCAAGTTGGAAACACAAGAAATATTTTTGACATCTTTGTCTTCTTCACCCTCACTCCCAAACCTATTTATCAGAATATCTTGCTAACTTTCCAGCTCAATCAGTATGCAAATGACTCTATCTCACTTTCATAATGTACATTTCCATCGAGAACATTCAACTCTATTACATAAGCATCAAATATAAATCATAGGCAAAATGTTTAATATGTTTCAAGTACAAATATGAAGCCAGTAAGCTAAAGCTGGTAAGGCATGGGCAGAATTCATTCAATATGTTAAGGGTAAGTTAAGTATACAACATATAAAGCATAAGAGAAGTAATTAGCAAGTCAAGTACATATGTATTAAACATAGAGAGGAATGGCAGGACCACAAGATACTGAATATTCCTCAGGCACTTGAGACTAAGCCTGAAAGAGGCACTAAAATATTCAAAATGTGCTAAATATACATAATACCTAATAGTCATGAGATCTTAATTTAGTCACCTATTGATTAAAACCATTCTGATGCATGTGACCATCAACCAAGGAACACATATGAAATTCCTGAATGTTCATCAAACTAATTGGCAAACTGCAACTAACTGCACATACTTATCTTTCAGTATCTTTGATAGAGGTAGTGTCTGCTATTGATTCAGGGCACCTTCTGTCCATGGTTCACCATCAGCAAGGGAGACTGATGTGGAAGAATGAGAGAGAAAGAGGAAGAGAGAGAGAGAGAGAGAGAGAGAAGATATAAAAATATTGAATACCCCAAAAATTCAATTGTGTGCTTCTTTACTCAACTTTCTCCCTATTCTAAATGTGTTATTTTATTGTATCACTTTCCCCATAGTTCTTCTTTTTTTTTTTATCTTTTCTTAAAATACCTTTATTTCCTTTTCAAGCCCGAAAAATGGTTTTGCCAGATATAGGGTATATATTGCTGGGCAATAGGATTTGGAAGATGGTGAAAATATATTTCACTCATCACTTGAAATATATTGTGCCATTTCCATCTGGCCTGCATGGTTTCTTTATTTTTTATTTTTTATTTTATTACTATTATACTTTAAGTTTTAGGGTACATGTGCACAATGTGCAGGTTAGTTACATATGTATACATGTGCCATGCTGGTGTGCTGCACCCATTAACTCGTCATTTAGCACTAGGTATATCTCCTAATGCTATCCCTCCCCACTCCTCCCATCCCACAACAGTCCCCAGAGTGTGATGTTCCCCTTCCTGTGTCCATGTGTTCTCATTGTTCAATTCCCACCTATGAGTGAGAATATGCGGTGTTTGGTTTTTTGTTCTTGCGATAGTTTACTGAGTATGATAATTTCCAATTTCATCCATGTCCCTACAAAGGACATGAACTCATCATTTTTTATGGCTGCATAGTATTCCGTGGTGTATATGTGCCACATTTTCTTAATCCAGTCTATCATTGTTGGACATTTGGGTTGGTTCCAAGTCTTTGCTATTGTGAATAGTGCCGCAAAAAATTAATGAATCCAGGAGCGGTTTTTTGAAAGGATCAACAAAATTGATAGACCGCTAGCAAGACTAATAAAGAATAAAAGAGAGAAGAATCAAATAGACGCAATAAAAAATGATAAAGGGGATATCACCACTGATCCCACAGAAATACAAACTACCATCAGAGAATACTACAAACACCTCTACGCAAATAAACTAGAAAATCTGGAAGAAATGGATAAATTCCTCGACACATACACCCTCCCAAGACTAAACCAGGAAGAAGTTGAATCTCTGAACAGACCAATAACAGGCTCTGTAATTGTCTTCTTGTGTGGTTTAAAATGGACTTAATGAAGTGGTGATTCAGTTTCCACTGTGAGTCTTTCTATTCCATAACCTCTGGGACAGCTTACTTGTTGGTGTGCTTGGAGGTGATCGTTGCATCATTTTTTTTTTACTTAACACCATCTTGTATCAATATCCTAGAGCCTCTCTCATCACTCTTCACTTTAGCCTTCCAGCTCACCTCCGTTACCTCCAATACTATCTGCCCCCATTGATCAGTCAAATGATAGCCAGACTGATCTTCTTAAGATACACTTTGACCATGTTCATTCCAAACACTACTGAACACTCAGCATGTGCCAAGTATAATGCAAGGTCTAGGGATATAGCAGATGTAGCTGTTTTCTCTATCACACGTTTAGCTTTAGTGGCTTTGGGGTAAGGTAGGGTAGAAAGTGAGGCTGGATTTACCAGGCAACAAATAAATACTCACATAAGTAATTGAAAATTTCAATTTTAGTATGAGTTATTACAGAAAGGTAAAGGTTTTAAAACAGGAGTAACAAATAAAGATTGAGAAGAAGATTGGGGAAGATCTCCCTGAGGAAGTGAGCTGGGGGGCAAAAGAGTAGGAATTAGCAGGAGGTAAAGACAGGACAGCCTTCTAGCTGAAGGAAAAGCGAATGAGGGAGGCTGAGAGCCCCAAGAAACATAGCGCACTTCAGAGATTGGCAAGAAAACCACTGGTGCCTTTAATTCATTTTACTAAGAAGCTGAATGGCCTGAGATGAGGTTATAAATCTGGATAGAGAGAAATCATGCACCCATTTTAAAGATGTTTACCTTTATTCTAAGAGCAATGAGAAACCATAGAGCAGTTTTCAGCACAGGAATGACATACACTTATTAGTGTTTTAAATGTTAGGTTGAGTTTTGCTTGAACCAGGGCAAATGGAGAGAAGTTCAGTTGTGGATAAGCCATTGTCAAGCCTGAGCAAATGGTGGCCTTGCTTAGGCTGTGGACAATGAAGAAGAAAGTGAATGTTTGTATGTGAGATTTAGCTTATATATTTAAAATTCTACAGAAATCACTAGTGAATAAATATTATGGATGAACCTATTTCTAGCAAGAAGGAAAAAATGTTTAAAACAAAAACATTATATTAATTGTGACTCATTATAGTATGCTACAAAGCAAAATAGTTCTCCTTATCATCTCCCCACATGAAGACATTTTTATTTTATGTAAATTTTCATTGTTTGGTTCATCCACTTTAATCTATTGAAGAAGATTCCAAATTGTCTACAAGATTCCACCGTCTCCCTTCTTTAGTCCCTTCCCATTAAAACTAATGACTATTTAAAATCCACAGATCTGGTCCTGCATAAAAATCATAGATGATTCTCCATTGCTTAAAGAATGCCTTAAATAATTTTAAAAGCTTATTTTCAGGCCGGGCGTGGTGGCTCACGCCTGTAATCCCAGCACTTTGGGAGGCCGAAGTGGGCGGATCACAAGGTCAAGAGATTGAGACCATCCTGGCCAACATGGTGAAACCCCGTCTCCACTAAAAATAAGAAAAATAGCTGGGCATGGTGGAGCACATCTGTAGTCCCAGCTACTTGGGAGGCTGATGCAGAAGAATTGCTTGAACCTAGGAGGCAGAGACTGCAGTGAGCCAAGATCACACCACTGCACTCCAGCCTGGCGACAGAGTGAGACTCCATCTCAAAAAAATTAAAATAAATAAATAAATAAATGAAAGCTTATTTTCAACTTGCAAACGGAAAATATAAAAAGACATGAGAATCTCTGCATAGAAATGTTTTCCTCTAAGCAACTAAATTTCTTTTATTTCCTTTCCCTATAATCTCCATTTCAAATCTGAAAACCCCACACACCCCAATTGTGAATTGTTGATGTATAAAACTGAGAAACTTCCACAATCTAGCTCTAAGTTACATTAAAATAGTGTCATCTTCTGCTTCTCTTCACCATGCCATCCTACTCGCTTTTTCCAAAAAAAGCACTATTAAATTTCATCTTTTATTTCCCCAGAATGGTTTCATTCATTTTTTCTCTAAGTATAAAAAACCCTACTCATCATTAAGTACATAGCAATTGCTAAATTTTTTGACACCTTCCTCATTTTCCTAGGCAAAATTTTTTTCCACACGTAGTACGTTCTTTTCTCTCTTGTGATGGCCTGTGAACGTTTGCCTTGTGTTAAGCTTATTTCTGCCTCTCTGAGAAAAATGTGAACTTTCTGAGGAGGAAGGATGTTTGTGGTCTTCCCTAGAGCCTAGTCCATTGCCTGATATATAGTGTGTGTGTTTGGTTATTTTTATAAACTCTTTTTTTATCTTAATGTTTTTATTTTATCTCTGTGAGGAGAAAATTTGCAATGGGTCTCTAGCATTTGTGTACTTCTTGTGAGTAGAAGCACGGACTGTCTGCTCTGGAATACCTTTGCAGGGATAGTTGGATAACAAATAGGTGCAAAGTAGAGCTAGTGTTTCTCTCAGAAACAAAGGATCACTCTGTTCACTGTCTGATATAATGATAACGATGTCTCTTTCTGGGGCCAAGATTAGGCAGGCTTACTGCCTCTTATAAAAGATTTGGCTTCCCCAAACTCAGACTGCTCTCCTGGAACACAACCCACTGTGTTCACAGGTATCACCTGACCCTGCTTGCTTTGACTTTTGGGAACTGGAGTTGAAGGAACTGGAACAAAGGCTGAGACTGTGGATGCTGTTATTGCTGTCAGGAATAAAATCCTTTGTCTCTGATCCTGGAGTCTCAAGTCTTCTGCCAGCTTCTATGAATCCACAGCAGATTAACTTGTTAGTGGATAAGTAGGATAAAATCTCAGACCCTTCATGGTTCTTAACAATGACCAGGCCACCAACTGTCATGCCAGATTCTGTCTCCTTTTGATTTTTATTGGAAACCAACCAAACATTAAGGGCTTTCCTCCAAAAGAGGCAACATTGAAGACAAAAGAAGAGAGAATTTTCCTATGTTCTCATGCCTGGAAATCATTAATCTTTAATCTGTGGGAAAGGCTATAAATCAATGGGAACTGACATTTCAAGTTATAAATGAAACTGCCTTAATATTTCAAAGACACTGACCCTAAATGTCTTCCAAAATGTACAGGACTGCTCCAGTGTGTAGAAAGTTTAATTCTAGATTTTTGAACGTATATTACTAAAACTATTACTTAGCACTACATTGATGACAAAATAAATACATCTTAGGCTGATAACACATGTTACTTGGGTCATATTCCCATTTTATAAAAAGTTAAATGTATGTTGCCAAACCAATTTTTTATTTTTGAAATGATATACTCTTTCTTTATCAATATTCAGCTGACTGCTAACCTGCAGAAAGTGTAAATTTTTTAAAAGTAGAAAAGTAGTGTCTTGGTCTGCTTGGGCTGCTATAACAAAATACCATAGACTGGGTGGTTTAAACAACTAACATTTATTTCTCACAGTTCTGGAGATTTGAAAGTCCAAGATCAAGATGCCAGCTGACTCAGTTTAATGTGAGGGCTTCCGTCTTCTCTGGCAGACCCCAGCTTTCTTGTTGTTCTTCTCACATGCTAGAAAGAGAGAAGGAGTGCAAGCTCTTTGATCTTTTCTGATAAGGGCACTAATCCCATTATGAGGACCTTTTACCATCATGATCTCACCTAAAGGTAATTACCTGCCAAAGGCCCCATCTCAAAATAGAACCACATTGAGGGATAGGGTTTCAACATATGAATTGTGGGGAGGCACAATTCAGTCCATAGCAAGCAATATACTGTTTATATTAGTAATATTATGCTCCTACAATGAAAGTATTAATATCTCTTCTTGTAAACCTAATCTATATTTGCAGATAAATCTAAAATGTTGATAACACTAAGTTATAAAAAGTTTTTTCTCTTCTTTATTCTATAATTTTTATTTAAAAAATATGAATAATATTTTGTTTTACACTTACATGTATTTATTATTTTTCAATAACAACAAAAGCATGGTTATAACTTTTACTTAGATATGTTTTATAAGAAACTATTCCAATGATAGATATGTTTTATAAGAAACTATTCCAATGATAGTTAAAAAATATTAGACAAAGTCAACATAGAATATGTTTGTATGCCCACAATGGTCCTAATTGATTAATACTTGTGAACTAAAAGAAAAAAATAAATTCTAATTGATTAATACTTGTGAACTAAAAGAAAAAAATAAATTCAACCATCACTTTACACATTTGTAATTGATACATTATATGCACACTATTTAGGCAGCTAGTCCTATCTCCTTTGTCTAATATTTCTCATAAAATTATATAATTTAAATTTTCAAATTTATCACAAGTAGAGAAAACAGGAAAACACGGGAACCCCTCACCTAATTTAAATAGTTATGACCACTTGGCTCTTTAGGAAAAAAAACTCTACATCCTTTGTAATCCAGAATGAAAAATTTTAAGAGCAAAATAGTAACATTCCTTCTTAAATAATTTATTAAAGGGAAGTTTTGGTATACTGGCAGTTAGAAAAGGTGTGGGCCCGAGGAAATGGAGAGGAAATAGAGGAAAAAATGCTGGGAAAAAAAAAAAAAAAAGAAAGGTTTCCAATGGATTGTCATTACCCTCATTTTGATAGTTTTAAAGCTAGTACTTGTAGTAACATGAACTTTATTGAGCACATAAAATATTTCCTATATTAACTATCTCATATCTTGAAGAGGTGTTAACAACTGCTAGATCATTATAAACCACTTTTTCCAAAATAAGTCTTTAATTCATTCTATATTAGTTCATTCTCATGCTACCATGAAGAAATATCCAAGACTGGGTAATTTATAAAGAAAAGAGGTTTAATTGGCTCAGTTCTGCATAGCTGGGGAGGCCTCAGAAAACTTACAGTCATGGTGGAAGGCACCTCTTCACAGGGTGACAGGAGAGAAAATGAGAACCTAGCGAAGGGAGAAGCCTCTTATAAAACCATGAGATCTCATGAGAACTCACTTACTATCACAAGAGCAGCATTGGGGGAACCAACTCCATGATTCAGTTACCTCCCACAGGGTCCCTCCCTAAACACTTTGGAATTATGAGATTACAATTCAAGATAAGATTTGGGTGGGGGCATAAAGACAAACCATATCACATTTTTTCACTCGTTATCAAAACAAATATCACTTGAAGATCTACTGTGACCCAAGTGTTTTGAGAAGCACTGAGCTTAACAGCATTAAAAGAGACATAAGTTCTAGTCTAGAAAATATTTTTTCTTGACACCTCTAATGTATTATGCGTTCCTTTTTTACTCATAATATACTTATAAGTATACTTATAAGTATATTTCCATTTGAAAATATGTTACCTGTAGGCAAAACCCCATCGTATATTCACTGTGTGTAGCTTTACTTAGTAGGCAATCAATGAATATATATTTGAAAGGTTTATATTTTTATTGCAAATGAATATAATATCAGGGTTTATATCTCACATTTATTGTGCTGTATCATATGCTCATTTCTTCAACTTTAATTGAGATTACTAACTTTTAGCTTCTTTTATTTATAGAGTCAAAAAGACATAAATTTTCCTATGACATTGTAATTGTAATTCCATTAGTTTCCCCTAAAAAGAAACAATCTTATGATTTTAGCTTCTTAAAATTTTCAACTTTATAATTTTCTTTTAAATCAAGACCCAAAACTTAACCCAGCACATCCAAAACTCTTTTTTAACCTACCATATGTTTTCATTAGAAACCACAAATAATATAATGATTATAAGAAACTTGTAAGTAATATTATCACAGATTACCTCACTTATGAAAATAAGTGATTTACTTATGTGGTAGAGAATAATAAAAATTAATTAGTACAAATACCTATGCTGTCCAATGGAAGTTTACTATAAAATATATGTTCAATGATTTCTTTTGTTTTGCAAAAAGAGATGGAAATGTCATCACAGATCTGATTCTTTCCTTTACTTCATACCTAAACAAACAAATGGAGAATTAAATAACTTTGTAAAAATTCCAGGTGATACCTCTCCTTCAGTGAAAGTTGATCTTGGAATACAGTTAACCTAATTAGGTAATCTTGTTCTCTATATATAGCTTTAATTAATACATAACTGATATTCTCTAATGTAGAACATACTGAGAGTCTTCAGGTTGCCTGTAATGACAGTTGTGCTGCTCTTAAGGGATCTTCTCAAGTGGGACAACACATCTTTCAGGTCATCATTGCTTGCTATGGGGAGAGTGATTTGCCTTGAATGTAAAGTACTTACGGCGCAACTTGAAAATTGAGAAAAAGAATAATTTTGTTGCTGTATTTGGCCACAAATTTTATTAAAATATATGTCAAATGCTATTTTTCATTACTTCTCTATTTTACTGTGATTTTTGGTTAAGACAACCATTTTGTAGCAAAGTCACTGTCTCCATCTTAAGAGTTATGGCATAATTGTTTGGTGCTAATTATTAAAAGAAAATAGTCATCCATGAAACAAATGGCCTGCTTATCTAGATAAATTGTCATCTTTTAAATGATATAGATGATCAGAGATTGAACTGTTTTCATTATCAGGAGAATTAAAATGGGAGAAGAATGTTCAAATGGTGTAAAGTTGTTAGTGGGAGCGTTTGATTCTCACCTTTCTACCCCAGAACTATGCTTGAACTCTAGCTTCCACCAGAAAAAAATAAAACTTAAAAAAAATTCCTCATGTTATTTCAAAATGCCTGACATTATTATAGATATCTGCATATTATTTAAACCTTGAAATCCATCATCTTAATCCTACTCCTATTATTCTGTTACCACATCATTAGGAAGTCCCTATAACTAGGGAACCCCAGATAAGATGCATGGTGCCATGGATCTTTCTGCCAAACCAGTATATAAACACTGCCATTAGGGAACCAAAAATGTAATAGATGCTCAAATAATGTCCTGGCAAATTACACCTGCTTGATGTCAATTGGCACAGAAATGGCTACAGCAGTAGTTTTCAAACTTCAGAGTGCATCAGAATCACCGGGGGATAGAGGCAGGGTGATGCTGAGGCTGCTGGTTCAGGGATTACATTTCGAGAATCTCTGGGCTAGAGCAATATAGAAGTTGAGAGGTGGACCTCAAGAGTCACCCAATACAGTCATGTGTAGCTTTTAGATAATTCATGACCTTAAGCCCCAAAACATCAAGGTGGTGGCTAGCCCCAATCTCTCCAAAAGAAAATATAGGAGGACGAGTGGAATGAGGTCTTTGCTGTTGCAACTGATCTTGAGGCCGTAATTGATACTCATAATCTCCTTTCTTTACCACATGTTCTAGATTGATCTCACTCTTGGCCAGCATTTAAACAGGTCAAGTGGTATGACTTGCCTGGTATTATGACTCAGCTTTTCATCTCCAACACTGTTAGAGGCCTTTGTTGCTTTACCTAGTCAGGCATGTTTGCTCCCACTGGCCCTGCAAGCCTGAAAACACCAAAAATGGTGTCAGTTAATTTCCTGAGTCCCTTCACTCATTACAGAGAAGCAACACCATTTTTCATTGGTACTATGGTTTGGTTTATACCCACCAAAATTCAAACTTTTGTAATTTGATCTGCAACATAGTGATGTTGGGAGGTGTGGCCCAGTAGTAGGTGTTTTGGTCAGGGGGGCAGATTCCACATAACTGACTTGGTGCCACTTTCTCATTAGTAAGTGAGTTCTCATTCTTCAAGACTGAATTAGTTCTTGCCAGAATGGATTAGTTCCCTCCAAAATGGGTTGTATAAAGTAAGGATGCCCCTTGGGTTTTGTCTTTTCGCACATGTCTGCCTCTCTTTTGACCTTCTTTACCATGTTATGATGCAGCACAAAAGCCCTCCTCAGTAGCCAGGTCCATGTCCTTGAACATCCCAGCCTGCAGAACAGTGAACTAAATAAACCTTTCTACCCAGTCTTGGGTATTCTGTTATAGTAGCAAAACATACTGAAACCATTGGTAATCATCAGTACATTATGTTGAACTATGATACTGCCAATCCAATACACTGCCCAGCCCCTGAATTCATATGTGTAATTTCAAGGAGAGAGGCATCAGTGCAACGTAGGTAGATGACATAGTAACCTGTGCAAC
Source organism: Homo sapiens (assembly GCF_000001405.40). NCBI lineage: Eukaryota > Metazoa > Chordata > Mammalia > Primates > Hominidae > Homo > Homo sapiens. The sequence continues at coordinate 76,488,625 of NC_000008.11, forward strand.
CTGTTCATGTAAGTTATTTTTACCCTCTGGGATCTGCTTGGATTCACTCTTGAATATATCATTTCAATCATGAAATGGATTGTTTTTGTACTAACCCAAATGTATGCCTCATAGAATGTAATAATACTCAATTTGTTATGGACAAACCATTGTTGTCCACAGTCAGGTGTTCAGTCTTTAGTGGGGCCCAGTGTCATTCCAGAAGATATGCCAAATGCTACGTTTTCCTCCTCTTGCTCCACAACTATAATGGTTTGCACTGTGACTCTATTAGGGTATGATAGGGACACCACACAATATCCTCATCCAATGGATACCTCCAGCACCATCCAATTTGCTGAGTAATACAATCCAAATGACAGGGCAGCTTAAACCTCAGCCTGAACCTACTTCACAGTTCTTTCTTCCTATGGGTCCCACTCAAAACTAGTAGTCACCAGGTATGTAGACTGGAGCAGAATTACCATATGCAGTATATGGCCTACAAAATCCAATGAGGCTCATCAATAATCCATTACTTTCTTAGTTTTAGGGGATGCAAAGTTCATACATTTCCATGAATTTCTTAAATTGACAAATTAAAATTGTACATATTTATTGTAATACACCGTTAGCTCTTAAATATATATATGTTGTGGAATGGCTCAATCAAGCTAAGTAACATGCACTTTACCTTCCATACTAATCATTTTTTGTGGTGAGAACACTTAAAATCTACTCTTAGTGATTTTCAAGATATTATATATACATTTTTGTTTACTATAGTCACCACGTGTTACAATAGATTTCTTGAGTTTATTCCTTTTGTCTAACTGAAATTTTGTATCCCATGCCCAACATCTTCCCAACTTCCCACCTCCCAGCCCCTGGTAATCACCATTCTACTGTGCCTGGCTTGTTTAACTCAATATAATGTTCCCCAGGTTCATCCACATTGTTGCAAATGACAGGATCTCCTTCATTTTTAAGGCTGAATAGTATTCCATTATATATATATATTATATATTTTTATATAATATTTTACATATATAATATTATATATATTTATATATATGTGTGTGTGTGTGTAATCTATTGATGGACTGTCAGTTTGAGTCCATAACTTGGCTATTGTGAATAGTGCAACAATGAACATGGTAGTACAGATATCTCTTTGACATACTAATTTCATTTTCTTTGGATATATCCCTAGTAGTTGTATTACTGAATAATTTGGAAGTTCTATTTTTATTTTTTTGAGAAAACTCCATACCGTTTTCTATAATGACCATTTAATTTTATAGGGTATATCAGCAAGGTCCAGAAAAATTTTATCAGTCTGGCAAGGTCTTGGATCTTCATGGGGTTATCTCTCCTTCACTTTCATTTACATGCCTTGTTAAGGTATTCAAAATATTTACTAGCTTCTTTTCAATAGGTGCTATTAGTATGCCACCAATATGGTGAACTAGCCTAGTGTACTGTGATATGTCAAGTCAATCAGTGTGCCTCTGGTCTATATTTTAACGAATAACAACAGAGTTAGCATAGTTCCAAGAAAGTGAGATCTACGTAGAACAATTATACTGAAGTTCTGTCAAGTGGCACCTTTAAGAAGCTGTTTGTTACTCCAGAGAAATAGAACTAATAGAATTTGTGTGTGAAGTGATTTATTATAATTGGCTCATGCATTATGGAGACTGGCAATCTAAATCTGCAGTGTGGACCAGCACACTCAAGACCCAGGAAAGCCAATGGTGTAGATGAAGTCCAAAGGGAGTCTGTTGGAAAATTATTTTGCTCAGGGAAGTGACAGTCAATATTTTTATTCTTTTGGGGTCTTCAACTGATTGGATGAGGCCCGCACACATTATGGAGGGCAATTTTCTCTACTGATTAAAAGGTTAATTTCATCCAAAAATACTCTCACAGAAACACCTAGGATAATTTTTCACCAAATATTTGGATATTTCATGATCTGATCAATTTGACGTAAAATGGGTCATCATGGCTGTAATAAAATGTGGAGCAAAAGGATATAAGGTTAGGGAAGAAGACAGTATACAATATACCTTCTCTTTGAAACTTGGAATCTAATACAGAAATGTAGTAAAAATGGTTAAGTCAAAGCTGACACATAGTGTACAAAGAGTGGAGCAGACGGTGCAGTCTTCCCCAGTACAGACAAGAGTGTGCATTGTCTACAGAGAATTTAATAACAATAACAAATTGGCTATGATTTGCCCTACTATTATCACTGTGTTCCAGCAATTCTAAACAATTCAAAAATAAAATACTCCTCCTTGAGAAACATCTTTGGTAGATCTAATTTCAAAACAATTCCTGAGGTTCCCATTGAGATTTAATAATATTATATACACGCAAGATTTAAGCTAGAAAAAAATACTTATTCTTTAATAAACAATGTATTCTATGTGGAAGTTAATTCAAGGAAGCCCAGTTAGACAGACCTGCCCTGACTGTGCTGCACATGGTAACTTTGAGACTGGAACTGTTGGGAGTCATTCAAGCTCTCTTCAGATGCTCTTTGTGTCTCCAGTCCCTGTGGTCTTGCATATTCTTGCATTACACCTTTAGATTTCAAATAAACAATGACAGTACAGTGACCTGTAAAATAAAAAAAATGGAACTTGAGTTATTTCAGTTTTGTCATTTTAATAATACATACAAACTATTCTCTAAACCATAGAGAATTTACTCCTTTGGAAATATCTGTTACTTTTTTCTTGTTCATTTTTTCTGATTATTATTTTTGATTTAATTTTATTATTATTGAAAATAATAGAAAAGGAAATAAAAATAATGTGCTCTGGGTGTGAAATAAGAGAGAAAAGGATTACAAAGTATCTGCCCCAGTATCAAAGGTACTAAGCTGAGAGTATTCTAAGTGCTCCCAACAGTTGTAAAAGAAACAGATGAGAAAAAGAATGGAATTCTAGTTGTGGGGTAAAAGAGGAAGCAATTGGGGAATCAATTCAAAAGTTTTAATTTTTAAAGGTTTTTAATTTTTATGGGTATATAGTAGGTGTATATATTTATGGGGTGCATGAGATATACTGATAAAGACATACAATGTACAATAATCACAACAGGGTAAAGAGAGTGCCCATTGTCTCAAGAATTTATCATTTCTTTGTGTTCCAAACGTTCCATTATACTCTTAGTTATTTTTAAATATACAAAACATTTTTTGTTGACTGCAATCACCCTGTTGTGCTATCAAATACTAGATTTTATTTATTCTATCTAATTACATTTTTGTACCCATTAACCATCCTCACATGCCCCCTCACCCACTACCTTTCCCAGCCTGTGTAACAATTATTGCACTCTCTATATCCATGAGTTCCATTGTCTTAATTTTTAGCTCCCACCAATGTCTTTCTGTGCCTGGTTTATTTCACTTAACACAATTCTATCCACGTTGTTGCAAATGACAGAATCTCATTCTTTTTAGGGCTGAATAGTATTTCATTGTGTATATGTACCACATTTTCTTTATCCATTCTTCTGTTGATGGACACTTAGGTTGCTTTCGAATCTTGGCTATTGGGAATAGTGTTGCGATAAACACAGAGTGCAGACATCTCTTCGATATTCTGATTTCCTTTCTTCTGGATATAGCCAGCTGAGGGATTTTTGGATCATAGGGTACTTCTATTTTGAGTTTTCTGAGGAACCTTCATACTGTTCTCCATAATGGCTATACTAATTTACATTCCCACCTACAGTGTACAGGGTTCCTTTTTCTCCACCTCTTCGCCAGCATTTGTTAGTGTTTGTCCTTTGGATAAAAGCCATTTTGAGGCTGGGCACTGTGGCTTACGCCTTAATCCCAGCACTTTGGGAGGCCAAGGCAGGCGGATCAAGAGGTCAGGAGTTCAAGACCAGCCTGGCCAACATAGTGAAACCCCGTATCTACTAAAAATTAGCCGGGTGTGGTGGTGGGTGACTGTAATCCCAGCTACTTAGGAGGCTGAGGCAGGAGAATTTCTTGAACCCAGGAGGCAAAGGTTGCAGTGAGCCGAGATCTCGCCACTGCACTCCAACCCAAGCAACAGTTTGAGACTCTTATCTCAAAAAAAAAAAAAAAAAAAAAGCCATTTTGTCTGGGATGAGATGGTATCTTACTGCAATTTTGATTTGCATTTCTATGATTATCAATGATGTTGAGCACCTTTTCATATATCTGTTTGCCATTGTATGTCTTCTTTTGAGAAACGTCTGTTCAGATCTTTTCCTAATTTTTAAATCAGATTTATTACCTTTTATAAATAGAGTGGTTTGAGCTCCTTATATATTCTGGTTATTAATCCTTCGTCACATAGATAGTTTGCAAATATTTTCTCTCATTCTGTGGGTTGTGTCTTCACTTTGTTGATTGTTTTCTTTGCCTTGCAGAAGCTTTTCAACTTGATGTGATCCCATTTATCAATTTTTGCCTTGGTTGCCTGTGCTTATGGGGTATTACTCAAAAAATCTTTGTCCAGTCCAACATCCTGGAATTTCCCCAATGTTTTATTTTAATAGTTTCATAGTTTAAGATCTCAGATGTAAGTCTTTAATTCATTTGACTTAATTTTTGTATATGGTGAGAGAGAGGAGTCTCGTTTCATTCCTTTGTATGGATATCCAGTTTTTCTAGCACCATTTATTGAAGAAACTGTCCTTTCCCCAGTGTATGTTCTCGGCACCATCATTTAAAATGAGTTCATTGTAGATGTATGGACTTATTTCTGGGCTCTCTATTCTGTTCCATTGGTATATGTGCCTGTTTTTATGCTAGTATCATGCTGTTTTGGCTACTATTTATCTGTAGTATAATTTGAAGTCAGGTAACATGATTCCTCCAGTTTTGTTCTTTTTGCTCAGAATGGCTTTGGCTAGTCTATGTCTTTTGTGGTTCCACATAAATTTTAGGATTTTTTTTCTATTTCTGTGAAGAATGTCCTTAATATTTGGATAGAGATTGCACTGATCTGTAGACTGCTTTGGGTAGTATGGAGATTTTAGCAATACTGATTCTTCCAACTGATGAGTATGGAATATCTTTCCATTTTTCATGTGTCCTCTTCAATCTCTTCCATCGATGTCTTATAGTTTTCACTGTAGAGAGCTTTCACTTCTTTGGTTAATTCTCGGGTATTTTATTTTATCTGCAGCTATTGTAAATTGGATTACTTTCTCGATTTCCTTTTCAGATTATTTGCTGTTGGCATACAGAAATGCTGTAAACGTTTGTATGCTGATTTTATATCCTGCAATTTCACTGAATTTGCTTATCAGTTCTAGCAGTTTTTTCATGGAGTTTTAAGGCTTTTCCAAATATAAGATCATATCATCTGCAAACAAGAATAATTTGATTTCCTCCTTTCCAATTTGGATGCATGTTGTTTCTTTCTCTTGTCTGATTGTTCTAGCCAGGATCTCCAGTACTAGGTTGAATAACAGTGGTGAAAGTCAGCATCCTTGTCTTGTTACAAATCTTAGAAGAAAGGCTTTAAGTTTTAACCCACTCAGTACGACACTACCTGTGGGGATATTGTATATGGTTTTATTGTGTTGAGGTATGTTCTTTCTGCACCCAGTTTTTTGAGGGTTTTTGTCATGAAAGGATGTTGAATTTTATAAAATACTTTTTCAGCATTAATTGAATTAATATATGATTTGTATCCTTCATCCTGTTGATATGACCTATCACACTGATTGATTTACATATGTTGAATTATCCTTGCATCCCGGGGATAAATCCCACTTGGTTATGCATGCTGAATGATCTTGTATATGTATTGTTGAATTTGGTCTGCTAGAATTTTGTTGAGGTTTTTGGATCAATGTCCAACAGGGATAATGGCCTGTAGTTTTCTTTTTTTGATGTGTCTTTGTATGGTTTTCATTTCAGAATAATACTGGCCTTATAGAATGAGTTTGGAAGTATTCTCTCCTCTTCTATTTTTCAGAATAGCTTGAGCAGAATTCATTTTAGTTCTTCTTTAAATGTCTGGTAAAATTCAGCAGTAAAGTCGTTGTATCTCAGGCTTTTCCTTGCTGGAAGACATTTTATTACAGCTTTGGTTTCATTACATGTTATTGATCTGTTCATATTTTGGATGTCTTCATGGTTAAATCTTAGCAGGTTGTATGAGTCTAGAAATTTATCCATTTCTTCTAGGTTTTCCAATTTGTTGACATATATTGCTCATAGTAGGCTCTAATAATTCTTTGAATTTCTGTGGTATCAGTTATACTGTATCCTTTTTCATCTCTGATTTTCTTTAATTGGGCCTTTTCTTTTTTTCTTAGTCTGGCTAAATGTTTGTTGATTTTGTTTATCTTTTTAAAAAAAAACTTTTAGTTTTGTCGATCTTTTGTACTTTTTCTTTCAATTTCATTTTTTTCCTGCTCTGATCATTATCATTTCTTTTCTTCTGATAATTTGGGCTTTGGTTTGTTCTTGTTTTTCTAGTTCTTTAAGATGCATCGTTAGGTTGTTTAGTTGAAGTTTTTCTACTTTTTGATGTAGTTCCTTATTGCTATAAACTTTCTTCTTAGTACTGTTTTTGCTGTATCCTACAGGTTTTGGTATGTTGTGGTTCCATTTTCATTTGTTTCAAGAAATTTTTAAATTTTCTTCTTAATTTTTAATTGACCCACTGGTCATTTGGGAGCATATTGCTTAATTTCCATGTGTTTGTATGGTTTCCAAAGTTCCTCTTCTTATTGATTTCTAGTTTTATTCCATTGTGGTCAGAGCAGACATTTGTATAATATTTTAATTTTTTAAAAAAAATTTAAAACTTATTTTTGGCCTAATGTATTTTCTGTCCTTGAGAATGATCCATGTGCTAGGAAAAGAGTATGCATTCTGCAGCTGTTGGACGAAATGTTCTGTAAATATCTATTTGGTCCATTTGGTCTATAGTGCAGATTAATTCCAATGTTTCTTTGTTGATTTTCTGTCTGGAATGTCTGTCCAATAATGCAAGTTGGGTGTTGACGTCTCCAGTTATTATTACATTGGGATCCATCTCTCTCTTTAGCTCTAATAATATTTGCTTTATATATCTGAGTGCTACAGTGTTGGGTGCATATATATTTAAAGTTGTTATACCCTTTTGATCATTATATAATGATATCTTCATCATTATGTAATGACCTTGTTTCTTTTTGTAGAATTGTCTGAAATCTATTTTGTTTTCTATAAGTATAGCTACTCCTGCTTTTTTTTTTTTTCAACTGCAAGGAATATCTTTTTCCATTCCTTTCTTTTCAGTTATGTGTTTCTTTATAGGTGAAGTGTGTTTCTTGCAAGGAATGGACTGTTGGGTCTTATATATTTTTTTTAATTCATTCAGCTTCTCTCTATCTATTGATTAGAGAAGTTAGTCCATTTATATTCAATTTTATTCTTGATAACTAAGGACTTACTACTGCCATTTTGTTATTTTTTTTCTGTTTGTTTTGTAGACTTCTCTTCCTTCCTTCTTTGTTTTGAAGGTGATTTTCTCCAGTGGTATGTTTTAATTTATTGCTTTTTATTTTTTATGTATCTTTGGGAAGCTTTTTGATTTGAGGTTACCCGGAGACTTGCAAATAACATCTTATAACCAATTATTTTAAACCAATGGCAACTTAACACTCACTGCAAAAACAAACTAATAAACAAACGAGCAAAGAGAAATCTAATGAAAACTTTACACTTTAATCTCATCCCCCAACTTTTTAACTTTATGTTGTTTATATTATATCTTATTTTATTATTTCCTGAAAAGTTGTAGATTTTATAATTTTATCTTTTAGCCTTTATACTCAAGATATGAGTAGTTTCCACACCATTACTGGCGTTATAATATACTGTTTCATAAACAGATCTAAAAACAAAAATCACATGATTATCTCAATAATTGCAGAAAAGACTATCAATGAAATTCAACATCCTTTCATGTTAAAAACTCTCAATGAAATAAGTATTAAAGGAACATATGGCAAAATAAAAAGAGCCATCTATGACAAACCCACATCCAACATCATACTGAATGAACAAAAAAGCTGGAAGCATTTTCCTTGAAAACCAGCACAAGACAAGGATGCCTTCTCTCACCACTCCTATTCAACACATTAGTGGAAGTCCTGGTCAGAGCAATCAAGCAAGAGAAAGGAATAAAGAGCATCCAAATGGGAAGACAGAAAGTTAAACTACCCAGTTTTCTGACGACGTTATTCTACATCTAAAAAACCCCACAGTCTCAGCTCAAAAGCTCCTTTAGCTGATAAACAACTTCAGCAAGGTTTCAGGACACAAAATCAATGTACAAAATCACTAGCATTCCTATACATCAAAAACAGCTAAGCCAAGAGCCAAATCAGGAAGGCAACTCCATTCACAATTGCCACAAAAAAAATAAAATACCAAGGAATTTGGCCAACCAGGGAGATGAAAGATCTCTACAGTGAGAATTACAAAATATCGCTCAAAGAATCAGGGAAAACACAAACAAACATAAACTCTTTACCTGCTCATGAATAGGAAGAATCAGTATCAATAAAATGGCCATGCTATCCAAAGCAATTTACAGATGCAATGCTATTTCCAACAAACTACCAATGAAATTCTCCACAGAACTAGAAAAAAAGTATTTAAAAATTCACAGGGAGTGAAAAAAGACAAAATAGCCAAGGCAATACTAAACAAAAAGAACAAACCAGGAGACATCATGTTACCTGACTATGAACTATACTACAGGGCTACAATAACCAAAACAGAATGATAGTGGTATAAAAGCAGGCACATAGATCAATGGAACAGAATAGAGAGTCCAGAAATAATGCCACACTGCTAGAACCATCTCATCTTTGACAAAGCTTACAGAAACAAGCAATGGGGAAAAGATTCCCTATTCAATATATGGTGCTGGGATAACTGGATAGCCATATGCAGAAGATTGAAACTGGATGCCTTCCTTACACCGTAAACAAAAATCAACTCAAGATGGATTAAAGACTTAAATGTAAACTCCAAAACTATAAAAACTCTGTAAAACAATCTAAGCAATAGCATCCTGGACGAAGAAACAGGCAAAGATTTTATAACAAAGATGTCAAAAGTAATTGCAACAAAAGCAAAAATTGGCAAATTGAATCTAATTAAATTTCTGTGCAGCAAAAGAAAATATCAACAGAGTAAACAGACAACATACAGAATGGGAGGAAATACTTGCAAACTATTCATCTGAAAAAAGCTCCTATATGTAGCATCTATTAGAAATTTAAGCAAATTTATAAGAGAAAAACAAACAACCTCATTAAAAAGCAGGTAAAGGACATGAACAGACATGTTTTGAAAGAAGACATACATACAGCCAACGAGAATATATAAAAAAGCTCAATATCACTGATAATTAGAGAAATGCAAATCAAAATCACAGTGAGATACCGTCTCACACCAGTGGAATGGCTATTACTAAAAAGTCAAAAAAGAACAGATGCTGGCAAGGTTGTGGAGAAAAAGGAACGCTTATAGACCATTGGTGGGAGTGTAAATTATTTCAACCATTCTGGAAAGCAGTATGACAATAACTCAAAGACCTAAAATTATAATTACCATTTGACCCAGCAATATACCTGGAAGAATATAAATCATTCTACCATAAAGACTCATGCACTCCTATGTTCATCACAGCAGTATTCACAATAGCAAAGACATGGAATCAACCTAAATGCCCATAAATGGCAGGCTGGATAAAGATAATGTGGTACAAATACACCGTGAAATACTATGCAGCCATAAAAAAGAACAAGATCATGTCTTTTGCATGAACATAGGTGGAGCTGGAGGCTATAATTATCCTTAGCAAACTAACACAAGAAACCAAATACCACATGTTATCATTTATAAATGGGAGCTAAATAATGAGAACTCATGAACACAAAGAAGAGAACAACAGACACTTTAGACTACTTGAGGGTGGAGGATTGGAGAAGGGAGAGGAGCAGAAAAAAATAACTATTGGGTACTAGGTTTAGTACCTGGGTGATGAAATAATCTGTACCACAGACCTCTGTGACATGAGTTTGTCTCTATAACAAACCTGCAAATATACATCTGAACCTAAAATACAATTTTTAAAAACTTAGAAAAAAATACCAAAAGAATTTTGATAATAATTGATATTGATTACATGTTGAAATAACATTTTAGATATTTCAAGTTAAATAAAATACATTAACATTTTAAAAATCCATGTTTGTGTGTTTACTATTACCAGTGAGTTTTGTACCTTCAGATAATTTCTTACTGCTTAACAACCTTTTTTTCAGATTAAAGAACTCCTTTTAGTGTATTTTGTAGGACAGGTCAGGTGTTGATGAATAGCCAAAGCTTTCACTTTGTTTGGAAGTACTTATTTCTCCTTCATGTTTGTAGAATATTTTCACCAGATGTACTATTCTAGGGTAAAAGGTTTTTTTCACCTTCATACTTTGAATATGTCATGCCACTGTCTCCTGGCCTGTAAAGTTTCCACTGAAAAGTTTGCTGCCAGATGTATTGGAGCTCCATTGTTGTTGTTTTTTTATCTTTCTACTTTTTGGATTCTTTCTTTATCCTTGCCCTTTGGGAGTTTGATTTTTCAATGTCTTCAGGTAGTCTTCTTTGGGTTACATCTGCTTCATGTTCTCTGACCTTCTTGTACTTGAATATTAATATCTTTCCCTAGGATTGAAAAGTTCTCTGTTATTATTCTTTGAAGAAATTTTCTACCCTGATCTCTCTTTCTACCGCCTCTTTAAGGCCAATAACTCTGGGAATTGCCCTTTGAGGCTATTTTCCAGATCTTTTAGGCATGCTTTAGTCTTTTGTCTTTTGTCTCCTCTATGTATTTTCAATACCCTATCTTCAAGCTCACTAATTCTTTCTTCTGTTTAATCAACTCTGCCACTGAGATACTATGATACATTCTTCAGTATATCATTTGAACTTTTCAGCTCTGGAACTTCTGCTTGATTCTTTTTAAATTATCTCTAACTCTTTGTTAAATTTATCCATAGAATTCTGAATTCCTTCTCTGTATTGTGTTAAATTTTGTTGAGCTTCCTCAAAATATCTATTTTGAATTATCTGTCTGAAAGGTCACATATCTCTGTCTCTCCAGGATTGGTCACTGGTGCCGAATTTAGTTTTTTTGGTAAGATCATATTTTCCTGGATGGTCTTGATGCTTGTGGATGTTCATTGGTGTCTAGCATTGGAGAGTTAGGCATTTATTGCAATCTTCATAGTCTAGGCATATTTGTATTCATTCTTCTTGGGATGGCTTTCCAAGTAGTCAAAGGGAATTATGTGTTGTATTCTAAGTCTTTGGTCACTGCAGCCATATCTGCATTAGGAAGCAACTCAAGCCCAGTGACACTGTGACTCTTGAAGACTCGTAGAGGTATCACATTTGTGGTCTTGAGTAAGATCTAGGAGAATTTTCTGAATCACCAGGAAAACACTCTTGTTCTCTTCCCTTACTTTTCCACCAAACAAATTGAGCCTCTCTTTCTTCGTTGAGCTGTCTGGAGCTGAGGGAGGGGTGACACAAGCACCGCTGTGGCCACCACCACTCGGACTGCCCTTGGTCAGACCCAAAGCCAGCAGAGCACTGCTTCTCACCCAAGGCTCTTGGCAACCGGTGCCTGGTTACTGCCCATGTTCCCTCCAGGCCCAAGGGCTCTACAATTAACAGGTGGCAAAGCCAGCCAGGCTTCTGGCCTTCCCTTTGGGGTAGTGAGCTCCCCACAGCCCAGGGCAGGTCCAGAAATGTTGTTTGGGAACCACAGCCTAGAGATGAGAACCTTGGGAATCTACCCAGTGCCCTATTTTTCTGTGGTTAAGCTGGCACCCAAGTCACAAGACAAAGTCCTTCTCACTCTCCTTTCTTCTTTCCTCAAGCAGAAGGAGCCTCTCCCCATGGCCATCACCACCCCAGGCCTGCAGCAAGTATTGCCTGGCTACTGCCGATGCTCACTCAAGGCCCAAGGGCTCTTCAGTCAGCTTGTGGTGAATGCTGCCAGACCTGGGTCTTTCTGTTCAGGTCAGTGGGCTCCCCTCTGTCCCAAGGTGGGTCAAAAAGTGCTTTTTGGGGACCAAGGCCTTGCATCAAGGACCCCAGGAGCCCACTTGATGCAGGATGGGAGAGGACTGGTGACAGCAATTCAGGAGTGGCTTTTCTACCATCTTCAGTGCCTTTTTCTTTAATAGGATTTTAAAACCAGGTACTGTGACTGCTCATCTGATTTTTTGTTCTCATGAAGGTGCTTTCTTGTGTGGATCGTTGATCAATTTAGTGTTCCTGTAGAGGAGCGGAGGATGATCACTAGAGGGTTCTATTTGGCTATCTTGCTTTTCCTCCTCAGTATTTAAGTTTTAATTTTTTTTTCAAATTCTGTACCTATTGCTACTGACTCAGATAATTTTTTTGTAAATTAAGTTATAAATCGAGTAAATCAAAACAATGCAAATGCCTTTCTTCTAAAGTTAATATCTAAATAATTTGTTTTCCCATCTGCCCTAGCAAATAAGCATATAGAAGAAGAGAATAAGCCTTTTCCTCTATTGAAATTGTTTTACTAACATATGGTAACAGACATCTTAAAATACATGCAGACATTTGGCTAGTTATTTTCAAAAATATCTTGATATAATCAGGCTTAGATGTAAACCAGTAAAATTATACATACTTGAGATTTACTTTTTTTAAACATTTACTTTAAGTTCAGGGGAGGGGTATATGGGCAGGTGTGTTACATAGGTGGAAGACCATGTGGTGATTCCCCAAAGACCTAAAGACAGAAATACCATTTGGCCCAGCAATTCTATTACTGGGTATACATATACCCAAAGGAATATAAATCGTTTTATTATAAAGACACATGAATGTGCATGTTCATTGAAACACTATTCACATTAACAAGGACATGGAATCAACCTAAATGCCCATCAGTGATAGACTGGATTAAAAAAGATGTAGTACATGTATACCATGGAATACTATGCAGTCATAAAAAAGAACAAGATCATGTCCTTTGCAGGGACATGAATGAAGCTGGAAGCCATCATCCTTAGCAAACTAACACAGGAACAGAAAACCAAATACCACATGTTCTCACTTATAAGTAAAAGTTCTAGCCAGGGCAATCAGGCAAGAGAAAGAAATAAAGGGCAGCCAAATAGGAAGAGAGGAAGTTAAACTATCCCTGTTTGCAGATGACATGATCCTATATCTAGAAAACCCCATAGTCTCAGCCCAAAAGCTTCTTAAGCAGATTTGCTTTAAAGTGATCCATCAGGGAAATGGAATAAATGAAAAGATACATAAAATGAGATGGCAAAATTCTGAAGTTGAATGATATATACCACTGTCTTTGAGTTCAATATATCATTCTCTACTTCTGTGTTTTGTTTGAAATGTCTTATAATTTTAAAAAGGTCTCATTTTAGAATACTTAGAATTATTGTCAAATGCCAAAGCAGGCATAGTAAATTATTGTTTCCTTGACCATTGAGGATATATATTGCAAATCCAATGTTTTATATATTTCATAATTAAATCATCTCATGGTCAAGATTGTCAATTAATAATAACCACCTTTTTAAAAGCCAAGATAAACTCTTCCATGCATTTTTGTATACTAGTACATTAGCATTTCATTTACATATGTATCCCAGTAGATAATAAAATTATAATACCTCAGTTTGGGCTCTGTCTGCACATATACCTACAGTCTATATTACTCTACAATGGCCTCTGTCTCAAGCTGAATGTGCTAGGCTCTGTAATGTTCATACCTAATGTCATCTTTACACCTGTTTGCATTGATTTTAATATATAGTATCTTTCCTTAACATATCCTAAAACATATCATGATTTGAAGCATTTATCAAGGAGGTCAGCTTTGACCTAACGACCACCCAGCAGAAGCATGATGGAAATGGCTTGTGTGAGACAGCATAGTGTTTCATATTCTCTGTTAACAGTGACCTGCAAACAAAGTCTAAATCCAGAGGAACTTAACTCTCAGCCATTGGTAGGGTAATGCCTCAGACAGCTAGAGACACAAGGAATCTCAGATATATTTACTATTATTGAGCTGTGGATCCTGTTCCGAGGCAACAAATCTCAGATGACTCGGGAACCTCCACTTTTGCCTCTCCCCTGGGGCCACATATTGCCAGCAACACACCTACAAGTGAAACAAAATTACGTTTATTCGCTGATTGTAGCAAGCGAAACCACACACCATAGGGAGCAGTTAGGAATTGGGAGGGACTTATAGGATTTGGGTTCAGTAAGGACTTGGACGAGACTTACAGGATTTATGCTCACATTAGATAATTGTTGGGGAGTGTTCCAGGAAGGAGGGGCTTGTTCTAGATTGGGAGCTTTTCGAGAGGGGGCAATACTATGATTAGATACCTTAATAATTTTTACCAGGATGAGATAATAAAAAATAAAACAGATCTGAACGGTAAAGAAGCAGAATTCTGTCCTGTTAGCCAAGGAGTCAAGGGGGATATTTGGTAATTTTTGAAGTTTGCATAGTAACATTGAATTTGTTTGTACTTAAACATAATTACCAAGTAGTCTTGTTTGTGTTTCACTTCCCACATTCACAGAGCAATGTTATCAGATGTTGGTGATCTTTAAAACAGTTTATATCCCACAGTAAAATTCAATAGCCAACCTATAAGTGCCAGTCCAGCTCTTAACAATATCAGGCATAGATATTAGGCCCAGCTGTTACGGATTCCTTTTTTCCTTCTCAGGGGTCTATCCTTCCATTAGCTTGAAACATGGTATTATCATTTATGTGCATCAAACTTGATCAATATTGACAATTTCAGATAGTTCATCTTACATTAAGATCAAGAAGATGTTATGCTTAGTCTACATTAGCTTAAAGCACACAAAGTATGTCTTCTTTGTATTAGAAAATGTAAATTATGGATGCCATTTTTCATAAAGAATCAATATACATAAGATCTTATGAAGAACAGGATGCATATTCTGCAGGCTAAGGTAGTAGAAAGAATTCACGTGGGCTTTGGAAGACAGGCCTGAATTCAAGTTCTGACTACTACTTATTACTGATGCAACCTTGAATAAATTGTGTAATCACTCTAAGTCTCTATAAGATCATCTACAAAATGTGCCTAACAAATACTAAGCATTCAATAAAAATTAATTAGTTGGATTGCCTTCTGTCTAAATCTACAGCTGAATACAATCTCCATTGATTTTCTCAATGCTTATATATACTTATCATATAAACTTTTCCTGAAGAATAGGTCTAAGAAATACATTCCAAAAATTTGAAGAAAAAAAAAGTGTGATATCTGGTGTCATATAAAACTCTCTTATCGTTTTATTTCCTTCTAAGGCCTGATTGTTAGGAAATTCACACTTTCATTAAGAAACATAGGAGCCAATTGCAAAAATTATTTCAAGTTTCTAACACAACTATTTCCATTATTTTTTATTATTTACATGTCCTCTTTTATCTTTATTTCACATGTATTGTTCTACATATGTTTCTTAATTTTTAAAGCCACATATTGTATTTTAAAGTCAAGGAAGTATAATTTAAAAAAAAGTTATGTAAATGATCCCTCCAAATGCTTATAAAATTCAAGAAGGCAAACAAAATTACAAACAAAACCATGTACTATTTATTGTAGTTAGTATATCAGCTGAATAAACATGTAATATTTCTTTATAATATGCTGTAGTATTTTTGGACACACTTATAGGACATGAAACACACAAGGATAATTTCTAATTGGTCAAAATTTGAGTGAAAACTCATAATACGAGGGTTAGTTGGGTGAAGCTCAGCCCCTACTGCTGTAGTTGATTTTGAGGCGAAACTTATAGTCATTATATCTCTCCTCCACCAACCATTAGAGATTTCCTTTCTGTCAGCTAAAATTTATGTGGTATATTTGGCTGTCTTGTGGATTGACATGAACTGTCCTGACCACTTGATTGTTTACTGTCTCTTATACAGTGGATTCTCACTGGTGTGGTATAAAAGATGTTAAACATTTCACTAATTCTTATAGGTCTACTTTCCTGCCACTTTCTCAGAGTTCCTTGCTATATATTCCATTTTTTTTCCCATTTGAGGCCCTAACTAGCCAAACTATTCACTATTTCCCATGAGGCTATAAATACCTATCTTTGGGTCACTTCTGTCTTCACACAAAGTAGATGACCATCAGATATCTGCAGTTTGTTGTGTTGACAAGATTTTGTCTCACCACTTCTCTCTTGGCCACCGAAGAAGGACTGTCAGGTAGCATCTCAAGTACTTGCCACTCCTTGCTCATCTGTTCCAGATAATATATATAATACCATCAATGGCACCAATGTGGTGCCCTGCAAAATGTTAAAATATAGTCTACATCCCACTGGGTAAGACCATAAATAAATGATGTAAATGTGAACTCTTTCTGATAAATTTGTGATGGGTGTCTTAGTCCATTTTCTGTTGCTTTTAAGAGAATACCTAAAACTAGGTAATTTATAAATAAAATAATTTATTTCTTACGATTATGGAGGCTGAGAAGTTCAAAGTCAAGCGGCCTTATCTACCGAGGGCCTTCTTGCTGGTGGGAAGTCTGGAGAATCATGAGGTGGCACAGAGAATCAAATGGTGAGGTGGCTGAGTGTGCTATCGGAGGTCTCGCTCTTCTTAAAAAGCCGCCAGTCCTATTCCCATAACTCAGCAATCCATTAACCCATTAATTCATAAATCCATTAATTCATGAATAGAAAGGCTCCACCTCTCGATACTGCCACATTAAGGATTAAATTCAGCATGAGTTTCGGAGGGGATAAGCATTCAAACCATAGCAGTGGGTATTAAAAAGAATGCTTTCATCAAAGTGCTAGAAACATGTTGCATGCCAGAGACTATATTAATTTAGTAAAGCTACAGCATCCAGCACAGTAGCTAAAAATGGGGTGATTACTCTTTAAGTTTATAGTAGTCCACTATTGTATACAGTGATCTATCTTATTTTTTGCTGGGACCAAACTGGTGAATTAAATGACGATATAATGGAAACTGAGGCTTGCATCCTTTAAGTCTTTTTTTAATTGATGTGTAAAATTTGTGCAAATTTATGGGGTATATGTGGTATTTTAATACATGTATACAATGTGTAACAATCAAATCAGGGTATATAGGCTATCTGTCTCCTTGGACATTTATCAATTTTATGTGTTGAGTTTTATGTGGCCTTTCCAACCATAATAGCTTTTACTCTATTGTAATTGTTTTAATCCTAAATCAAGGAATTAATAAAAGAATTTCGCCAACTACTAAGTGCTTCAATGACACATTTGGGAAATGAGGAACGACCACCAAATTTCCCACTGTGAGCTGTACCTGATTGAAAACTTCATATCACCTGATCTACACATGGCCCTACTCTAACAGGGCTCTGCAATGGCACTGTAGGTCCCTAGATACCTGAGACAACTTGAACCTAAACCTAATAACCCTTGAAAGATATGAGTATTTCCTCTTTTTTAGTATATGAATATTTGAATAAATGGCAGCAAGCAATCTCTGGGTCTGAAAATTGACTCAGGTTGGAAACTGAAAAAGAATGAATGGATATCCATTGGAGTAGTTAATCTCAGTCTTCTCTTTATTTATTTCTTAACTCTTCGGATTGTAGCTAGTAAACAATACCCTTTTGGATGCTCATCTACATGCTGTTAAGACACCATGTTATATTAGCCCTTTGTATATCAGTTATACCCTATGACTGATAGTCTGACTCTTCTGTCAATTACAGTAATTATCCCATCTTATTTCTGATAGTCAAGTGCTGCCTTTGCTATTGCATCATCCTATCACCCTAATTGCCACTAGATGGCCACTGGGGAAAAAAAGCACCCCTCTCCAAAAAAACCTCCCTCTGATATCCCAGGACTACAGAGAAAAGCCACTACTGAGTACTAGATGATCCTGACCCCTTCACCAGTGCATTTCCTATTGTTTTGTTGAACAGAGTGTTCTCCATGCCCTCTTGAGGGACAACTAGTGTGTTTTCTCTTCTTCTGTAGCAGATCCATTCTAGCATAACTCTTGGACATACAATCCCTTTACTCCCTTGGAAGGTGGAATTTTTGATCTGGTGGCCAGCAGGAGAGGTGTAGGCAAATTTTGTAAAACCTAAATATTGCCTTGTAGGAAACATACCTTACGTGTGACTTTACATAATTTTCAAGCAAGGGACAACCACTGTCCTCAAAAACAGGAGAATGGGCCAATTCTGCAGACTCAGAGTGCTTCAGAGGATATCAGATATCATGATATGCCTATCCCAAGTGTTTATATCCAAACTATTCCTGTCAAGACTCTGGATTTAGCATAAGAGTTGTCGAGACTGACGTTCAGCCTATTAAACAATTAGGTCCTGAGACTGATTTTCAGTTTGGCCTGACCTCCAGCTTTGGGAGATTGAGTTTCTTTAAATATTACCAAGGAGGCCCTCCAGCTTTCACTTTAAACTCCACAGTTCTTACATTGCTTTTCACCCAAGACCTGTCAAACACCACAGATATTTCACATACCAGTGCATTTTCTCCCACTTTCATCCCATCCCAATTCACCACAGATGAAGTTCTAGCAGATGTTTTATACAGCATGTCAGGGACTATCAACATTCCACATACACCACTAATAGTCTTCATTGCCAGCTAACCAGTGAGTGATCCAACTTCAAAATCCTGTCCTCAGAATTTGCCTCTGGTACCAAGTGTCTTGGGGCAGATTCTTCATAAGGAGAGAGCCTGATACAAGAATTCAGGTGCATGTGATTTATTAAGAGCATGCTCTCAGAACAAAGGGAGTGGAGGAAGCAGGATAAGACGTGGGAAGGAACTAAACACAGTCGTACTTTCAGCTGGATTCTAGCTTTAGCTAATCCCACAGGAAGCTTTGGAACATGAATGACACCAATTTGTTGGTACTACCCTGAGACAAGATAGCCTCATAAAATGAATTGGGACATAGTTTCACTTTTTTATCTTAGGTTTTTTAAAGATTTGAATTATTTTTTATACTAAAAGTTTACTAGAATTCACTGGCAAAGCCAACTGGGCCTAAATCTTATTTCCTTTGATAGAAATTTGAATAATCAATCCATTTGTCTTAGTCTGTTTAGGATACTGTAATAAAATACTTTAGACTGAGTAGCTTATAAAGAAGAGGCATTTGTTTTTTACAGTTCTTAAGGCTGGGTAGTCTAGCATCATGGTAGCAACAGACTCAGTGTCTGGTTCACAGATGATGCCTTCTAACTGTGTCTTCACATGGTAGAAGGGGCAAAGGGGCTCTCTGGAGCCACTCTTAAAAGGGCATCAGGCGTCCAGGCACAGTGGCTCATGCCTTTAATCCCAGCACTTTGGGAGGCTGAGGCGAGTGGATCACTAAGTCGGGAGATCGAGACCATCCTGGCTAAACCCGTCTCTACTAAAAATACAAAAAATTAGCCGGGCATGGTGGTGGGCACTTGTAGTCCCAGCTACTCAGGAGGCTGAGGCAGGAGAATGGTGTGAACCTGGGAGGCGGGGCTTGCAGTGAGCCGAGATCGTGCCACTGCACTCCAGCCTGGGCAATAGAGCGAGACTCCGTCTCAAAAAAAAAAAAAAAAAAAAAAGGCATTAATCTCATCCAAGAGGCTGGCACTCTCATGATCTAATTGACTCTCAAAGGTCCTGACTTCTATTATCATCACATCGGTGATTGGGCTTTTAAAATGTGAATTTTAGGGGACACAGATGTTCAAACCATAGCACAATTCTAATACAAATATTGTTATTTTGATTATTATGTATAAAATTTGGTAAGTTGTATTTTCCAAGAAATTCGTCAGTTTCTTCTAAATTTTCAGATTTATTGCCATAAAATTATTCATAATCACATTTAATTATCATTTTAATGTTTGTGGAATCTGGGTTGAAGTCCCCTTTTTATTTCTGATATTGATCATTTATGTTATCTTTTTTCTTCATCTTGCTAGGGATCTTTTTATAAGCATTTCAAATTATAAAATTGTTATGCTTTTGATGATTTTTATTTTGTATATTTATCTTCTATTTTGTTGATCCCTGCTCCTTACTATCATTGTACTTCTATCTTATTTAAGTTTGATTTATTTTTCTAGTTCCTTGATATGAAACTTCAAATAATTGATTTTCAGTCTTACACTTTTAAATATATATTGTAATGCACTTCTAAGCACTGCCTTAATGAAATCTCACAAGTCTTAGTACATTATATCTGTGTTAACAATCAGTTCAAAATCTTTTAAAATTTTATTATGATTTCTTATTTGACCTATGAGCTATTTGAAGTATACTGATAATTTCCAAATGTTTGCATATTTTTGTTATACATTTTTGATTCATTTCTTGTTATTTTAACAGTGGTCAGAAAAGATACTTTGAATTATTTCAGTCCTTTGAAGTTTTTTTTGATATGTTTCATGTGCACTTGAAAAGAATATGTATATTCTGTCACTGTTGAGTGTGGTTTCTGTACATTTCAATTAGGTTGAGGTTTTTTTTATCATGTTGTTCAGGTCTCATATCTTCTGTATTCTCACTGACAACTTATCTCCTTTTTCTATCAGTTAGAGAGATGTATTAAAATCTTCCAACATAATTGGGAATTTATATATTTTGCTCTTAATATCATTAATTTTTGCATTACATTGAAGTTATTGTTGCATTTATACAGACTATGAATTATTATATCGTTCCAGTAAATTGACCTATTTTCATTATGAAGCATTCTTGTTTACCTCTAGTAATCCTTCCTTCATTAATATCTACTTTAATATTAGTATAACTACATAAGTCATATTTTTAGGGAGGTTCATGTTGCATGGCTCTGTGTCCTTATATTTTAAGAGTGTCTAAGTCTCATATTTAAATAGCATAGGGTAAGGTGTTCTAAAATTATCATTGTCTGATATTGTAATCATTTAATTAGAGTATTTAGTCCATTTATACTTAATGTGATTATTGATATGATTTGTCTATATCTAGTATCTTACTATTACTTTGCCTTAGATTTACATGTTTAAATGCTTCGTTCTTCCTCTTTCTTGCCTTATTTTATCAATATGTTATTATCTGCCTTTTTGCCTTCTTAAATGGTAGTTTTACATTCTTTTACTATTATTTCACTTATGCTAGCTATTACAATTTGCTTCGTTGACATATTATAACCCCAAAATATAAAACCACTGAAGTTCAAATGCCTGATTTTACTAAGTACAGGCAGATCTCCTTCAAACAATCAACCTGTCTTGGACAGAACTTTAAATCTGAAGAATACATTCTAGTATAAAATCAATTCTGACAGCAGTAGTGTTAAGAACAAAATCAACTTATTATGGTTATTGGTGACAATCCACAACATCTAATATACAATACCACTGCCAGCTTTGGGATCCTTACTAGAAAGTTCCTTCAGAATAATTTTGCCTATCTTTGTCCAACATGCCTCTTGGTTCTTGCCCAATTTTCAAAACTGATTCTTCTGTTTTATTGAATTTTTATGAATTATGCATAGTCTTTCAGGTTATTTCTTCCTTTATCAGTTAGCATTGGTTCTTGATCAATACATGCAGATTCAAGAAATATATATTGTCAAAAATTAACAATATTAATTTATTTTTCTTTTTTTTATTATACTTTAAGTCCTGGGATACATGTGCAGAATGTGCAGAATGTGTACATAGGTACACACTACCATGGTGGTTTGCTGCACCCATCAACTCGTCATCTACATTAGGTATTTCTCCTAATGCTATCCCTCCCTTAGCCCCCCACCCACTGACAGGCCCTGGTGTGTGATGTTCCCCTCCCTGTGTCCATGTGTTCTCATTGTTCAACTCCCACTTATGAGAGAGAACATGTAGTGTTTCGTTTTCTGTTCCTGCGTTAGTTTGCTGAGAATGATGGTTTCCAGCTTCATCCATGTGCCTGCAAAGGACATGAACTCATCCTTTTTCATGGCTGCATAGTATTCCATGGTGTATATGTGCCACATGGGAATGAGTTATACTAAAAGCAATAGCTATGTAAGAAAAAATTTATAGATTTGAGTTTATAATTAAAAATTATAATTAAAAACACATGAAAAAAGCTAAAAAGAAAGTAACTAACTGAAAAGATTTGCAATGATGAACAAATTGTTAGTATCCTGGATATGTGAAAAGATAAATGAACACATAACTAAAAATTTTAAGTGAAGAAATACAAATAATCAGTAAATACTTGACAAAAGTCTTTACCCCATGAGTAATTGAATAGATGCAAATGAAATTATATTTGTAACCTTTCATAGTGATAAAATGCATAAAGATATCTACTAATATTGGCAAGGAAACCTAGAAAAAAGTTCTGTTTTTAAAAACAGTGCTGGGGAAGTGCAAATAGCTACAACCTTTCTGGCCATCAATCTAGTACTAAAAGGCTTAAAAATGTGAATACATTTTTTAAAAACAGAGTTTTATACTTAAGAGTGTAGACTTGGAAGTCTACACTTGGAATTCAATGTCACCTCTGCACTTAAAGAATACAGAATCTTCAGCAAGTTATCATACTTTATTAATTCTAACATGCATATTTAAATATTTCTCATAAATGAATTGGCAGTACTTGTTTTTATTTTTATTTGCACATAATAATGGTGTTTCATACACCAGATGGCCATTTCAATTCAATTAGGTGCAGTCTTAGCTTCCTTATGTGCCAGTATCTTAACACCTTATACAAGTAACCAATTAATATTTGTTGGAGGAAAAAACAGAACAAAAGCAATCATGAAGCAGCATGTACTTTATAGAGTTGTTCTGAGAATTAAATGAATAAATGCATGTAATGCAAGTATTGAGTGAATGCATTTAAAGTACTAAAGTATTGTTATTGTCATTCTGCAATCATACTTCCAGAAAACTTAGCTTAAGAAGTAATTAGAAAAAGATGTATGCACAAGTATATTCAACACAGTGATTTGTATAATAGATTTTTTAAAAGAAACAATCATAATATATGACAGTGATTGGTTAAATAAATGATGACAGTAAATGTAATCATATATATTTCTAATAAATATGTTTATGTTTTTATGGAAATATGTTCAAAGTAGATGGTTATATTAAAAAGTTACAAACTACATCTATAAAATTAAATAACTGTAAATAAATAGTGTACGTATATACTCATGTAACTATACTTAGAAAAATACTTGAAGTAACTGTGTATATATAATATGTTATATATATATATATATATATATATATATACAGAGAGAGAAAAAATATTGAAAGAGAGATTTCCAATTTGTCACAATTTATGCAATCATTTTTTCTTTGCACATTTAAAATTTTCTTCCATGAGCCTTCATTACTATATTTAACAATAATCATAATTCAAGTAACTACTTTTTACAAGTTACTTGTGTGGTAAGAAATATCTTTGGCTGAATTTGGCAGGAAAATAAATTTGAAAATCCATTCACAGATCTTAGCAGTAGAAAATGAACACATTCCTGTTTTCTTACAGTGCCTGATACAAGTGACCAATTAATATTTGTTGGAGGACAAAATGAAACAACAGTAATCATGAATAAAATAGTTGATAACTTGGAAAATTAAAATTTTGACAAAACAAACAGAAGGCCGGGCGCGGTGGCTCACGCCAGTAATCCCAGCACTTTGGGAGGCCGAGGCGGGCGGATCACGAGGTCAGGAGATCGAGACCATCCTGGCTAACAAGGTGAAACCCCGTCTCTACTAAAAATACAAAAAATTAGCCGGGCGTGGTAGCGGGCGCCTGTAGTCCCAGCTACTCGGGAGGCTGAGGCAGGAGAATGGCGTGAACCCGGGAGGCGGAGCTTGCAGTGAGCCGAGATCGCGCCACTGCACTCCAGCCTGGGCGACAGAGCGAGACTCCGTCTCAAAAAAAAAAAAAAAAAAAAAAAACAGAAATTTTTCAAAAGCAACAATATAAGAAATGTATTTGTAATTGTGAATAAATAGTATTCTTACATACCAAACAAAGGCACTGTTTTAAGAAGATAAACGGTAACTACAGACACTCTTATTTTAACATCTAAGTAGTACAAACTCCTATACAGTCAAATATGATAGAACATTTACTTTTACATTTTTATAATAAGCATCTAGGCTCTGCCTTTATGGCATTGTAAAGAATGCTGATATAAGAAGAATTAATATAAACACATCAAATTCTAACATCATTCCATCACTGCCTTGCTGATGTTTATTTCACCCCTAGCAGTAGCATTAATTTTTTAGTCATTGAAATGATTATCTAGTTTTGTTTTTAAAAGATTCTTGGTAAATGCTTTGCTATCCATATTTGTCATGTTTCTTAGGTAGTGGTCAACCTATTTAGCGTCAGAGAAGTTGTAAAAAATAGCAAATGTAAATACGGAATGAGAAGAGATCACTGAGAAAATATTGCCTTTTTAAAAATTCATGATGCTATGGGAAATCACAAGGAAGTGAAAGCATTTAGTAGATGAAATGTATCTGTAGTCTTATTTATAAGAACAAAAGGAAAAAGCCTTTATATCTTATCTCATATGTTTTAATATATTTTATATACCTTTGTATGTAAAAAGATTGAAAAGTTTATGAAATTGAGATCGGACACAGATTTGTTAATCAGAGGCTTCAAAGAGGACTTTGTTTATTATTCATTTGTTTTCTTTTTCACTTATGAAATACTCATTGATGTTGACTGTGTGCCAAGCAAGGTGCTAGATATACAAGAAAAACAAGACAGACATTATTTTTGCCTTGGCCGACATCATATTTCAATGGCACACATACACAGACATTAAACAAATAAACAAAGAAACAGCATAGTTGCAGATTGGGTGAGTACTCTGAAGTATCTACATAGTGTGCTCTCATAAAACTAACAGCAGGGGTTGTTAACTATAGAAAGAATGTTACAGAAGCCCTTTTGAAGAATTTAAAGTTAAACTAAAGCCTGAAAAATAATAAGTTATCCATGCAAATTATCAGGGGAACAAGGTTCAAGGCAGAGAGAACAGGAAGAGCAAAGATCAAAGTTGTGAAGAACCTGACCTGTTCTTGGAATTGATAGAAGGCTAATCAGCAGTATAAGACCAAAAATGACTTGATACCTACTGATGGAAAGACAAAACTCACGGCCCTTTCAAGAAGATATGATAAATTTTGAAGATTGTTTTTTGAATTTAAGAAAGGTTTCATTAAGTAGGTCCATATTTTCACATTTCTACTTTTTTAAAATTTAAAATATGCCTTATCAGATATCCAAATGAAGTAAAAAAAAAAAAGGCAAGATGCAAAGCTGCATCTTCCAGTTTTAGATGCAAAGCTGTACAAGAAACTGAAAGGAATACTTCTCCCAAGGAGGGCAACCAGGTGACTCGGGAAAGAGACAGAAGGATGCTTATTGTTCAGACCAGCATTTTGTACCATAGTAAATTTTTTATCATATACTTGGATTACATTTGAGAAAGAAAAAAAAAATGTTTCATTATGGAGACTCAGTCAAAACTTCCTTAATGTCTTTCTGATATCCCTTGGTTTCTTTGAAGATAAAGGAGCATATACCAAAAAGGCTTCAGTGTGAAACAACAGAGATGTAATCTCCCCTTTAAAAAGTATACTATTCTATTAGGTATCCTTCAGAATTATCAAAGTAATGTGATTTACTTTTTTTGTATGTGTTAATGATAGGCAAAGCAATCTTGAACAACAACAACAAAAAAAAACACAAAGCTAGAGGCATTGCATTACCCAACTTCAAACAGACACATAGACAAATGGAACAGAATAGGGAACCCAGAAATAAAGCTGCGCACCTACAGCCATGTGATCTTCAGGAGAGTTGACAAAAACAAGCAATGGAGAAAAGACTTCCTACTCAATAAAGGATGCTGGAAAAATTGGCTAACCATATTCAGAAGAATTAAACTGGATTCCTACCTCTCATTGTAAACAAAAATTAACTTAAGATAGATCAAAGACTTAAATGTAAAATGAAAAATTATAAAAATCCTAGAATAAAATTTAAGAAATACTCTTCTAGACATTGGCCTAGGCAAAAAAAATTATGACTAAGTCCTCAAAAGCAAACGCAACAAAAATAAAAATTAACAATTAGGACCTAATTAAATTAAAGAGCTCCTGCACAGCAAAAAGAAACTATCAACTGAGTAAACAGACAACCTACAGAATGGGAGAAAATATTCGCAAACTATGCATCCAACACAGGACTAATACCCAAAACCTTTAAGGAACTCAAACAAATCAACATACAAAAGCCAAATGATCCCATTAAAAAATAGGCAAAGGACATGAATCGACACTTCTCCAAAGAAGACATACATGTCGCCAACAAACATGAAAAAATACTCATTAACAATAATTTCAGAGAAATGCAAATCAAAACCACAGTCAAATACCTTCTCACACCAGTCAGAATGCCTGTTATGAAAAACGCAAGTAGAACAGATGATGGCAAGGTTGCAGAGAAAAGGGAGCACATATACCCTGTTGGTGGGAACGTACATTAGTTCACTCCTTGTGGGAAGCTGCTGGAGATTTCTCAAGGAACTAAAAAAGAACTCCCATTTGACTTAGCAATCCCATTACTGAGTATATACCCAAGGAAAACAAATAATCCTACCAAAAGGACACATGCACTCATATGTTTATCACAGCATTATTCACTGAGACAACAACATAGAATCAACCTAGGTGTCCAATAATGGTGAACTGGATAAAGAAAATGTGGTATATATACCATGGAATACTATGTAGCCATAGAAAAGAATAAAATAATGTCCTTTGCAGAAACATGGATGGAGCTGGAGGCCATTTTACTAAGTGAATTAAGACAGAAACAGAAAACAAAATATCACATGTTCTCACTTATAAGTGGGAGCTAAACATCATTAATACATGGACATAAAGATGAGAAAAATAGACACTGGAAACTCTAAAAGGAAGGAAAGAGAGAGGGGGTTAAGAGTTGAAAAACTACTTATTGGGTACTATGTTCGCTATCTTGGCAATGGGTTCAATAAAAACCCAAACCCCAGTATCATGCCATATGTCCACATAACCTGCATAATAAGTACCCCTGGGTCTAAAACAAATTTAAAAGAAAAAAATTGCTAATAAGCTCCTAATCATACAATACCAACTATTATAATAAATTCAGAAAAATCACAAGTTCTTCAGCTGCATCATTATGAAATGAGAAGGTAGTAGTAGATGACTTATAGATTCATTGCAGTTCTAATTTGCTGATTTTTGCAATTCATCTATTCATTTACCACGTATTTCCTGATTCATAATGTGAAACAACACTGTGCTAGGCATTAAGAAATCAAAGATGTATTTTATGATAGAAACTGGTAGAGTCTCCCAGTATTTGTTCTCTGCTTTTATAGTTGTAGTATTTTCAGTGGCCAAAGATTGACAGCTAATATAAGACTTTATCTCCCAGCTTCCAAACCAATGTGATGGAAGTGAAGTATATGTGTTTTGAGTGGAAAAATATGGAAGTGAACTCTAGTCAAATTTGAGATCTTGCACCCATCCCTCACCTTTCCCCTGTTCTCTCACTGGCTGAAATATTGATGTAATGAAAAATAATTTTAACTTCATGAAACATAACATAATTTGAACATGAACAAATACACATTTTTCAGATTGGCCAATTTCAGAATGACAGAAGGGAAAGAAACTGTCCTAGATGACAAGATGGGGGCAACAGTTAAAAGATAGAAGAGGAAAAAGTCAAAGGAGCTATGTCCTGACATTGCGGAGTTGACCTGTCAACCGTGAACTGCTTATATCAAATGGATGAAAGAAAACCTATCTTGTTTAAGCTATATGGTTACTTTTGTCCACTTATTTGTTTTGTTTTATGAACTTAATTGTATCCTAATATGGGATCTCTACATCCCTTTTATTTCTTTTAAGTCACAATCAAGAGTTAGAGAAACAAGTTAATAAATGATTGCAACATAAATCGGCAAGTGATTTAATAATGGTATAAACTGAGTGTTCCAGAAAAGAAGGATCAACTCACTCCAGTAAACATAATGAAGAGAACGTTTACAGAAATAAAGTGACGTTTAACTGGGCCTTAAAGGATAAATAATAGTTTTCTAGATATAAAAGAAGATAAGGATATTCCTGGAAGAGAAAATAGAATATAAAAACTCCAAGTCATGACAAGACAAATCTTGCATGGAAACTAGTGAGAAGCTTATTGTGACTGACATTTGAAGTGTATAAGAGGAGAACGGCAAGAGATGTTAAAGCTGGGTGAGATTCCAAAGACAAATCAGTTTGGTCTTTTTCCCTTAGGTAATGTGGAGCCAGGAAGACTCATAAAACAAGAAAGTGACACCATCAGGTTTGTTTCTCAGAAAGTAATCAGAAAGACACAGAGATTAGAAAAGGAAGACATGTGGAAACAAGGCTAATTTTAACTTTGTGGATTGCATATAACTTGAATAAGAAGACATACATTTTTCAGATTGACTGATATAATTATTAAGAATATGCAAAAAAAGCAATCTTAACCATCTTTCTTGCTTATATTATGTTTACATCTTAAAAATACTAGTGGATACCTATAAAATGTAATAAAATTGTTATTAACAAAAGTAATCAATATGAATTAAAACTTAATTTATGTATGTTTTACACACATGAATGAATGTACATATACATATATGTTTATGCATACATGTATATATATATATGTAGAGACAGAGGGAGAAAGATATGTAGATATAATTAGATTTCATGTGCATGTTTATATATGCATATCGTTAATAAGTGAATTTCCAGGAAAAATTTACATATGTTATTATCTGTGTGGGAGTAGAAGACGGAATCAAACTAATAATTTATCTGTTCTGTCAGATGAGAATTCAAAGAGAAGACCAATTACACTAAGGCCAAATTATACTATTCAATTACACAGGTGAATCAATCCAACTCAACATGTCAAAGCATAAAAAAATGTTTTAGAAAAGACAGGCAACATACTAAATTTCCCTACCCATTACCTAGAAATAAGTACTACTTGAAAGAGTAAAATGTCATTCTGTCAATATTCTTGAGCTTATGAAATTTTTCTCAAGCCCATCCATCAAGGTGCCTTCTACTTCACTCTCAAATACTTTCCTAAAACATATTGTCCTGTGAATTTTCTTTGAAATGTTTTTGAGTTAAAGAAAATAGGGCAACAGTAAAATAACAATATGCAGAGACTCATCAGTGTCCCCAGTATTTATAATCTAATCTTTTTCTCGCATTTTGTTTCATTTTAAAATCTTACTTCTGAATTAGTGTGTGTGATACATAGAATGTGGTTAATGCAGTGGTCTTTTTTTAAAAATCTTGGCTATGTGTTCATGATATTGTAATGCAAAAATTGAGGGGCACTATGGAGAGAGATGAAGCAGGAAAAGTAGGTTGGAGTAGACCATGCGGAGTTTTTAAACCCACTTAATGTTTTCGTCTTTATTGATAACAATGGGATGCCAGTGAAGGGTTTTAAGCAGAAGAGTGTTATAATCAGATTTGCATTTCTTAAAAGATCTCTCTGACTCCACTTTGGAGAATGAACTGCATGGCGATAAGGAACAGGAAGGGCAGACAGGAAGCTACAACCATAAGCTCTCTGGTAGGGAGAAAATGGTAGCTTCCACTAGGTTGTGGTAATAGCAGAGAGAAGTGGACTTGTTCTAAAGGTATTTAAAAAGTCATATAGACAAGACTTTGTGAGTCACTAGATAAATTAAGTGAGGAATAGAGAGAAGTTGAGGATAATATTAATATTGTGCATTAGTATGACAATTGGCTATTCACAAAACTTTTTAAATTATTTCACTAATTTTAACATTAAGGAAAAAATGACGATTGTTATTGTCGCTCAGTTTTACAAAGGAGTAAACAGAGACCACGAGAAGTTAAGCAACCTAGCGAGGGTCTTAGGCACTTGTTAATATTTGGAGTTTATACTTGAACTTAGGAATTCTTTCTGCAATTTCAGGATACTGTTTACTGAAAACCCACCAATCTGATCTTTTATGAGAAGCTAGTCCCTGAAAAGGCCCTTGGATCAAAGGTGGGTACTAATTTTTCTACTCATCTTTCAATTCCAATCTCTCTGGGCAATGAGCCCAATTGATTTGTTAAGAGCTTCAAAGCAAAGAAAGACAAGGTCATAAGCCACAAGCATTCAAAAATATGGGGAAAACAAAACAAACCAAAG
Organism: Homo sapiens; assembly: GCF_000001405.40. Lineage (NCBI taxonomy): Eukaryota > Metazoa > Chordata > Mammalia > Primates > Hominidae > Homo > Homo sapiens. Next base: position 76,519,022 of record NC_000008.11, read on the forward strand.
AAGAAAAAAGAAATAGAGAATCCTCTGTCCCACAGTCAGCTCTGGAAGGAGTCATAATTGTATACAGTTAAATTATACTTAAAGGTTATGTCACCAAAAATTGTAGAAAGATAACAATAGAAGTGAACTCCTCTCTTAGCAGTGAGTTCAGATTTCAGTTATTCAAAAGTTTCAGGCATATGGGCCAGTGAGTTTCTTACACAGTAATAAGTGGTAAATATGATAAGCCTTTTTACTATTAGCACAATTGTTGACAAATATTTTTGAAATAGTGAATTGACATAAGGGCAAATTGATGCACCAGAAGCCAGCTTGATGAAATTGAGGTGAAAAAGTACCTTTGGGTATACCTGGACATATGGTCACAATGCTTCCCCACATTGTCTTACATGGAGTGATAGAGATAAAAGTAATTTTTGTGATAAAGCAAAGAAGGAAGCAGTTGCCTGAGATAATTTTAGTAATTCTGAAAATATTACCCAATAAACTTATGATCCAGTCTAAAAAATAAAATACAATTAATGCATTTGAAACTACTAGTATGTTTCCTGATTTGATCCAATTGCCACCTTATAGAGGTATCACTATTTTGAATTTTGTGTTGAATATTCTCGTTTTTTACACTTTTACTGCATTTGTATGTATTTCTAAGCAATATGTTTTTTCTGAGTTTTTTTATTTTTAATTCTATCATAATATACAATCTTCTCTGATTTGCTTATTAAATTCAGTTTCTTGCAAAATACCCCAAAACAGATCCTAACACAATTGTGTGCTGTGAAATTAGCCCTGAAAATCCACCAACCTAAAGGAATAAGACGACCAAAAAGAATTATGATGATGCTTAAGAAACAGCTCTCGGCTAGAAGTGGTGGCTCATGCCTGTAATCCCAACACTTTGGGAGGCCGAGATGGACAGATCACCTGAGGTCGGGAGTTCAAGACCAGCCTGGCCAACATGGTGAAAACCCATCTCTACTAAAAAAAAAAATACAAAAATTAGCCGGGCATGGTGTTGGGTGCCTGTAATTCCAGCTACTCAGGAGGCTGAGACAGGGAGAATTGCTTGAACCGGAGAGGCAGAGATTGCAGTGAGCCAAGATCTTGCCACTGCACTCTAGTCTGAGTGACAGAGCAAGACTCCATGTCAAGGAAAAAAAAAAGAAAAGAAAAAAAGAAACAGCTCTCACCCAGCCAGACATAAATGTATTCCTTGTCTTCCATCTAGCCATAGGCCATAGCATGGTCATCCCTTCAACACTGAAACTCCTGGGTAGATAAAGGATTAAATTTGGTCTTTATCAGTGTTGGGAATTGTCTTAAAGGGAATCTAACCTTCTATAATTTGTTTTCTTTTTAAATAATTTCAACTTTTATGTTAGATTTGGGGGTATATGTGCAAGTTTGTTACTTACATGGGTATATTGCATGATGCCATGGTTTGAGGTATATGGATCCCATCACCCAGGTAGTGAGCATAGCACTCAACATGCAGTTTTTCAATCCATGCCCCTCTTCTGCACTACCCTCTCTAGTAGTCCCCTGTGCCTATTGTTTCCATGTTTATATCTGTGTGTACCCAGTGTTTAGCTCCACTTATAAGTGAGAACATGTGGTATTTGCTTTTCTGTTTCTGCATTAATTCACTTAGGATAATGGCCTCCAGCTCCATCCATGCTGTGGCAAAAGACATGATTTCATTTTTTATGGCTGCATAATATCCCATGTACCATATTTTATTTATCCAGTCCACCACTGATTGGCACATAGGTTGACTCTATATCATTGTCTCAGTGAATAACGCTGTGATGAACGTATGAGTGCATGGTCATTTTGGTAGAAGTATTTGTTTTCTTTTGGATATACACCCAGTAATGAGATTGATTGCTAGATCAAATGGGAGTTCTATTTTTAGTTCCTTCAGAAATCTCCAGGCAGCTTTCCACAGGGACTGAACTAATTTACATTCCCACAAACAGTGTATAGGAGTTCCCATTTCTCTGCATCCTCACCAGCACCTGTTATTTTTGCCTTTTTAATGATAGCCATTCTGACTGATGTGAGGTGGTATCTCATTGTGGTTTTGATTTGCATTTCTCTGAAGATCAGTGATGACGAGCATCTTTTTACATGTTTTTTGGCCACATGTATGTCTTTTACTGAGAAACGCCTATTCATATCCTTTGTCTATTTTTTAGGGTTTATGTGTTTTCTGCATGTTGATTTGTTTAGGTTCCTTAAATATTCTAGATATTAGACCTTTGTCAGATGTATAGTTTGCGATTATTTTCTCTCATTCTGTAGGTTGTCTGTTTACTCTGTTGATAGTTTCTTTTGCTGTGCAAAAGAAGCTCTTTAGTTTAATTAGGTTCTAATTGTTAATTTTTATTTTTATTGTGTTTGCTTTTGAGGACTTAGTCATAAATTATTTGCCAAGGCCAATGTTTAGAAGACTACTTCCTAGTTTTTCTTCTAGGATTTTTATAATTTGAGGTCTTACATTTAAGTCTTTGATCAACTTGAGTTAATTTTTGTATGCAGTGAAAGGTAGAAGCCCACTTTTATTCTCCTGCATATGGCTAGCTAGTTATCCCAGCACCATTTACTGAATAGGGAATCTTTTCCCTAGTGTTTGTTTTGTTTCAACTTTGTTGAAGATCAGTTGGTTTTACGTTATGTGGCTTTGTTTCTAGGTTCTTTATTCCATTCCACTGGTCTATGTTTCTGTATCAGTATCATGCTGTTTTGGTTACTGTTGCCCTATGGTATAGTTTGAAGTATGATAATGTGATGCCTCTGGCTTTGTTGTTTTTGCTTGGGATTGCTTAGGCTATTCAGGCTCCTTTTTAGTTCCATATACATTTTAGAATAGTTTTTATTCTGTGAAAAATGACGTTGGGAGTTTGATAGGAATAGCATGGAATCTGTAAATTGCTTTGGGCAGTACAGCCATTTAACAATATTGATTATTCCAATCCATGAGGGTGGAATGTTTTTCCATTTATTTGTTTCATCTCTGATTTCTTTCCTCAGTGTTTTGTAGTTCTCCTTGCAGAGATCTTTTACCTCCTTGGTTAGCTCTATACCTAGATATTTTATATTTTGTGTGGCCATTGTAAATGGGATTGTGGTCTTGATTTGACTCTCAGCTTTAATGTTATTGGTGTATAGAGCTGCTACTAATTTTCATACATTGATTTTGTATTCTGAAACTTTATTGAAGTCATTTATTAGTCTAGAAGCCTTTTGGTGGAGTATTTAGGATTTTGTAGTAGAGGATTATATAATCAGAAAACAAAGATAGTTTGACTTCTTCTTTTCCTATTGGATGCCTTTTATTTCTTTCTCTTGCCTGATTTCTCTGGCTAGGACATCAAGTACTATGTTGAATAGGAACCTAACTTTTGAAAGCCTAAGCAGAGACTTGAGAGAGGAAGTGGAAGTGGTCTGTTTTTTCTGAGGGCTACTGGGAGCTATCCCTGGTGCTGCCACAAAATCAACCTCTCTAACACCAATTTTCGGCTGTTTGACCTCAGTAGAACATGACTACTAAGCTGAGCTAAATTAAGCATCAACTGTTTGAGCTAATGAATCTTACTAAAAATTTAACTTCAGTTTTGCAAGTGATTTTCATATGTTATGTGCTGTGTATCTCCACCACACTTCTTCCTTTCTTGTATTTGAGCACCGCCTCTTTGAGCACCACCACCACCAGCAATACTACAACAACCATATCTCAAAGGCCTCCTATCTCCAGGCACTGGCTTATTATATATACTAACATCTCTCCTGCTAAAAAAGAAAAAAAAACTGTATAATTAATATTATCATTCCATTTTACAGAGAAGAAGCAGGCTTAAGAGTAGCTAAACCAAAGTTAAAAATCTAAAAGAGTCAGGGCTCTGACTCCAAAGCTTGAATCACTCCCCTCCTTCTTTAATTGTAAACTGCCTGAACCACACTTCTTTCTAGAATCTCTAAAACTCCTGCCTTTTCTTAGAACATGTATATATTAGACTGTATTGTACCATAACACCATTAAAAAACTTACTTAAAACAATAACTAATGCATATCAAGTATTTTATACATTCCAAACACTGTTCAAAATATTTGCATGAAATTCTCACAACAATTTCATGAAATATAATTTTATACTTTCTCTCATTTCACAGGTCAAAAACTTGAAGCACAGAGTGGGATGTCAGATGCCAAGATTTAAATCTAGTCATTTGATTCCAGAGCCCACATTCTTAAATAATATGCTACACTGACCTTTATTGTCTTTAAACATTATCTTTATTTAATGTGTTTCATAGAAATTACTTCTCAGGTATTCCTAAATTTATTTTTAAAAATAATGTCATGCTATCACTATAATATAGTTTTTTAAATTAACTTGAGAGGTAATGTAGTATGATCAACTTCCTTAATGGCCTTTTAAACTGGAAATAACTATTAAATATTTTAATATTATAAATTAACAGGCAAAATGGTGAAAAATCTAACATCTGGTTCTTAAAAGTAAGTTGAAATATAAGATCAGATTTGAATGCACATGGAAAAATAGAACTGGCAAATAATGCCATATTTGAAGATCTTTTAGTATTCTCTGGTATTTTTCCTTTCATTTCAAAATTGTTATATTCTTTTTAATGACTTCAAATGAATTAGGAAATGTCAGGCTTCTAAAAATCAAACAGAACGTCCAACCAGTAGATTTCATTCAGGGCAGTGGGAGCCTGTTCGGTTGTTTCCTCTTTCCCCCTCACTTTTAAAAATCCTCAATCACTGCCATTTCTCTTCTCAGCTTTCACAACACTTTACAGGCAGCTGAATGAAAGGGCAGAAGCTTCCTCTGAAACTCCTGTTATTTCAGCTCTAAAATCAGCTGAAAAGGATGCCCTCCCCAGAGACAGAAATGCATTCCCTCCATCATGAACCTGCAATGCCCTCAGGTTGTGGCAAGGGAGAAGTTTAGCACTTGAACCTAGATAACGCTATTTTTTTAATCAAAGTGCACCATTCTTGTTTCATATGGCCTGTGGCACAATTTATTTAAAACAATATGGTGCATCAAAGAAGGTAAACAATAATAACAATAATAATAATATAGGAATAGCAATGTGCACATAAATAATATAGGAAAACACATGGCCTCAGTACCTTCATGAAATGGGACTTCAATATACATATTTCTTATACAGCTTTATGCATGACTTCATTGCACTTCACTGCTCTGTTGTGTCACTCTACCAATAAACCTATACATCATACTGAGTGAAGTATGTTCACAGTCCCTTTACTTGACAAAAAAAAAAAAAAAAAAAAAAAAAAGGAGCAGTGTGGTTTAGGAGAATGACCACTGAGCTAGAAGTATGAAGACTAGATAGAACTTGAGTCCCATCCCCAGCACTTTCGGGCTCCCAGATGTTGGGTGAGTTGTGCATCCTCTTTAAAAATCAGTTTGCAGACCAATGGTACATCTCTGTCCACCTGCTAGAGTTCTTGTGGTAACTAAATAAGGTAATGTATAAGAAAGCATTCTGAGAAAATGCTACATGTAAAAGGGGATTTTTTTTTTCTCATTGTGATTTTTTTACTATGTTTTTACTTTACAAATTTACAAATGTTTACTTTTCTTGAATTTGCTTACCAGTAAATTAGTTCACTGCTGGCACTTCTTTGTAGTCTATTGCTATGGGAAGTAATATGTTTATCTGAAAATTATGAAGATTCCTAGAGTTTCTTTACACTTGTTATATTTTAGGGGCAATAAAAAAAGTATATGCTTAAACTTGAATTATGTCTTATTTTTCTTTAGTGCATTATAATTTCACATCTAAATACTGGTATGTTTGTACCAAATTAGCAAAGCAAAAATGCAAAATGTTATTAATTGACATTGGTCGTTTTTTTATTTATACCACATCCCCATATCCTATTTATTTGACTATAGATGTCCATCTAATTTAGAAAATCATTATCTAACCTGTTTCATTTTACCAAATTGTCTTTTTTAATAATTTAGGTTTTGAGTATTTTCTCCTAAGCTTTTGAATCCATGCTTACACAATTGCATTGATATTATTTGAGTCAGAGTGAGTTGTTCAAAGTCTCATATTTGAAATGAGAGGCTTATTTTAACCAAACATATTGACTTTTAATGCTGTTAGCACTCATTTTTTCAATATATTTTTCTATGACATTCATGATATATAAAAGCATACAAACCTGTACAGAATGATAATACTTAAATATTTTCTAAGCGCACATGATCTACATGCCACGTTACAGTTGTAAATTAAAGTCTAGTATGTTGCAGAAATCAGCCTTCCATACCATAGTTTTCCTCCCTGAATGAGGCAAGAGTCAGTCAGTAAATATATGTGGTCAACCTCAGATTTGCCTCACTGGGAGTTCACATGTATTTTTAACTGCCTTCAATTGTTAATGTATTCCTCAAATGAGATGCATCACCTTGAAGAATGACTTTTTGCCCTCTGGGAATAGGCCAAACAAGTATTTCATTCGCTATGATAATCAGTTCTATCTTCAGCAACATATAAACCCAAATTTAATAGGCACTGGTGATTAGGTTTTAAGTCAGAGAGTCATCACTGTCCACTGTGAAAAATAATAAGAAAAAATACAAATTATAACGAATTTGCCTTCAGGAGGCCTTGTTAGACATAATGGGACAATACCTATTTCAGGATATAGTGAATAAATGTTTTTCCTTCTCATTATAGACATTTTTGAGTCACCAATTTTCAGTGATAAGAAAGATTTCCTTTAACTCATGCTAAAGATATCTTAGGCCATTTGTTTTGTCCACTTAATGTGTAACAGTCTTGAAAGGGAAAAAGGACTGCTTACCATAAAACACTTATTTAAATCTTTTAAAATGCTTAAAACCATATAGAGCCATTCAAAGCTATAGATAAATTTAATCTTATCCAAACCTTCCACTGTCAAATTTATCTAAGACTTTTCTTCAACTTAAACTTTGCATTGAAATAAAAAAAGAATTGTACATGACATTATGGAAAATAACAAATCAACCCTTAAATCAGCAGCTTAGGTTGTGGACAGTAAATGATACAGTGGTTCCACTTTCTTGGAAATGAGTAGCAGAAGAAAATGAAGAAAGATACTACTGACAGGGCAAGGATGATGGGAGCAGGCTAGCATTATGAATGATATGTTAAGTGATGGGCTCAGATGGAATCATGGGATTGCTGCTGCCTTTTGCAGAAGCTGATTTTCATTCTTATTGTTCACCTCATAAGACTCCAACATATGGAAGGGGGAAGGGAGAGGAACAGCTACGTGCACATGCATTCCCTATACATATACATATTTAGAAATATTGTGAATATTTGTCCAGATATACAGAGTGCTAGGAAAAAAACCTAATGCCAGAAATGTATATCTTGCCAGCAAGGTTTATTAGTTTTAATATTCATGTATTTTCTCTGCATTTTTCCCTGTGAATTGAAGTGTCATATTCCTTTTTATTTGATAAAGCCAAAGACATATATATTTTCAACGCCAATGTAAGTAAAATAGTAATTCAATACTCTATAATAATATATTGAAAATAATAACACAGAAGCATTATAGGTTGTTTTGATGTGCTTAAAGATGCATTCTCCATATTTCTTTCTTCAAGCCAATAGACAGTACCTGATTCATTTGGTTGGCCTGCGGGGTGTGTGTGTGTGTGTGTGTGTGTGTGTGTGTGTGTGTCCATATTAGCAAGATGAAGGTAAGAAGGGAGGGGTGAAAGATAGACCAGCACTAGGAGAAAATAATTGTTACATGATCCAGTATATTAGAAAGATATGCATAAAATTAAACATATGTGGTGTCAAAGGGTTCATTTACTAAGATTTTCTTTAACTTTTTTTCCTACACAAATATGATTAACTCAGAGTTTCCTTGAATACAAATTCTTGTGCACCAATGCTTAAATTTATGGCATAATTAACACTATAACTTGTTATAAATTTCTGGGTCCCAAAAAATTGTCAATATTGCCAACAATGTATTTATTTTTATACATTGTTAAATCCAAATTAGCAGTCTGTGTATTTTTTTCAGAGAAAAAATATAACAAGCATCACTAATCCAAAAAACAAAAATTCAGAGCAACTTTCTTATAGGCTGAGGAATTGTGGTTTATAAACTCGAATAAATATATATGGATTACCATGCTAATTGGGGAGAAAATTTTTGAAAAGTGTATAATAATCAATTCACTTACCAAATTTTATGTAACAAATCATTTTTTTTAAATAAACATTTTAACAGTTACCTTAGGCGGGTCATGAATAATTTTTGTAATCAGCAAATATAAACGTAAATCTGAAAACTAATTTTTACTTGAGGATGGACAACATTCTAGTTATAAGAAAAGCCCTTAGAATTTGAATGGAAGGCAAAACGAGTGAGATTTAAGGAAGGTGAGAAAAAAGCAAAATGAGCAATCAGCAGACTACTATAATTACTAAGCCTTCGAAATTGATGATAGAGTTATACAGTTGTTAGTATTATGGTACCCTACAGATTTCATTTTCTTGGGTATAGCCCAGCAGGCATATTCAGTGACTCCCCCTCTACCACTCAGCTCACCCCCTGAGGGGAAATGCCACGTGCATTCAAATCAAACGTTTTCCTATCAAGTTCTCAACTAATGGCTTTCCTAGGAGACGCAAGCCTGTCAGTCACCTACTACCTATTTAGACATGTTAAAACAGAATTGGTTGTTTATTTGTATTTCATTGAAGTGAGTCTGTTTTCTCATATTGAATCTGTATCCAAACCCCAGGTTGTCAATACTGCTTAGCTAGGGCTTCTGTTTGTTTTGTTTTTCTCTGCATGTAATCCAGAAAAAAAATGGTGCTGTTCATGCCAATTTCAACCCTTCTATAAATGTATAGGGAGTGTATTAACTAATTGTTTAAAATCACTAGTGCTAATGTCAGGAGCTAAAAATCACACTTTTTCTATTGAAAACTGTTTTTGTCAAATTCACAATTTTACATACTAGAGTCACAGTTCCACTTAAGTTCCTATATGGAAAAAATAAAAGAAGGAAAAAAAAGATATCCATCGTTGATACCAAAAACTAGGAGCATCATTTTAATTTAATTATTTTCTGTGTTACTTAAAGCATATCTGTTTTCCTTAGAGAAAAATCTGGTAATGTAAAAACACATACTTGACGAGCTTGTGATTTTTTGGTAGAAATATATATATGTGTGTGTGTGTGTATGCACATGTACATATAGATGGGTAGATAGATATTCCTGTGCTTACAATCTCTAAGTTAGTTTAAGTCTTGTGTTTAAGTGTAAGTATTAAGCATTCCATAAAAACAAGAACTGTTATGTTTGATATGCACTTCAAAAGCCTAAAATGCCAGAGAAAGCCCTTCCTTAATTATTGAAGAAGTGTCTGTAAAGGAAACATGAGCAAATAGCATTTATGCTTTCATCCCCAGTAACCTTTTATTGTCCTTTTCTTCAGATGGCCAAGTCAGTATATTTAATAAAGGCAGCAGCAACCATCAAAGAAGGCAGGGCTCTAATAAATGGTCCTGATTAAAGGCCCTGACAGGGTATGAACTTTGCATAAATTTTCTTATGGTGTCAGGCTAGGATACTGATTGAAAACTTATTAACATAATCACACATTTAGAGGAAATGCTGTAATGTATCAACAACATTTCCCTTAGTCTAATAATTTTAAGAATATTAAAATGCAAATGATAATAAGGAGCTGTGTTTAGTGATGTTCTGAAAGCCTGATTATTCAAATATTTAGTATGAAGTATGGAGCTGCGTTCAGTAATACATCTACATGAATTCAAAAATTTAATCTATATATGGACTCAAAAGTTGTCTTTGGTCTTACCAACTATTTTCCCAGCTCAAAGGCACATAAATTTAATACGAACATTTGGCTTAAGTATTACAAAACATTTTTTTAAAAAATTTAAATGTAACTACATTAAAAAAATGAATGCAAGCTGCCAGCATCATTTTTCTCCAATTAGGAAAAAAAATATTGAAAAGTAGTTAGCATTTTTAATTCAGTATGATTGTGCTTTGAAAATATGTTGAAGTATTTTTAGTGTCTTTTTGCCTGCTTTTATTAAAACGTGTATAAAGCAGCAGAGAATGTGGCAGGTCACAGCACTGCTATGCCTTAATGCTAATTCTTAACAATAAAAGAAACACTGCCCTCCCCCCACACAAATAGCCATAATTATGTAAAGAATGACTGCTTCAGACTGATGACTTTCAATATGCTCAAGTCTAGCCTACTGGTATAAGAGGCCAGAAAGGTCAACAGTAATTCATAACTGCTATAAAATTGTGTAGCATCCCAGGGCTTCTGCAGGATGCTGACATTATCATGAGTCTTCTGCTGGTTTGTATATGTAAATTTGTGATAGGAAGTGCACTGCTTTTACCGTATCACATGCAGAGCATCAATCAAGCAGTGGAATACATCAGAGTATTTTCATTACGCCTAGTTATTTACTGCATCAGAAGAAATTACCCTGGCAAGCCAAGCGGCCTTCTCTGGGTAGCATGATACGACCAACCAGGCTTCAGCTCAGGAGTCTTGTAAACATTACAGGATTAATCTCACAATCACAATCATCAATCTTTCCTAGTCCTGCCTGGGTGCAACTGTGGAGATTGGTAACCAGGCCATGTGGATTTAAATTTAACCCTGAGCATCAAAAACTAGATTGTCAGACCTAAGATGCATACTGCAAAACACCTGTTTTTTTCCATTTTGGTTGAAGACAATAAATAGAAATGTAAACTGAAGTACTTTAAAATTATATTTAATTTGTCACTTTCATTTCAGTACATGCTTGGGAAATTAGAATTTTTTTAAGCCACTGTTTTTCAACACCAGCTATAAGTGAGAAATGAGAGACCACTTTCTATTCATATAGACAAATTTCCCGTATGACAAAGTAGATACCACAGGCAGCTCTGCAGAGCTGTGAGATGGGGACTTCTCCGCCTGAGGTTTGGGGACCTGATCAAGCTCCTCTGGCATTAGGCCAGAGAAGGTTAAAGCTCTGGGGAGTAATAGAGTCAGCCCCTAACCAAGAGAGCGTTCAATGTGTCTTGCTGACTCATAAAATGACACTGGCATTGATTGCTGAAACAACTGCTTGCTTACCCTCTTGCCAAAGGAAAGGAAAAAAAAAAAACTGTCTCCCATTTCTTTCCCTCCCAACAGAAAGGAGGGGGAAAGGGATGGGTGAGACAGACGGGCTAAATGAACATTCTATCATTTTAAGTTTAGCAACTGCACGGAACATAGCCTATTATATTTAGATAATGCAAAAGATAATGTGCATTCATTTTTGAAAGTCAGGTGAAAACCATGATGATAATGATCATTTTTCCATAGTCAAGAAACAATAAACATATAATGAGCAGGTCATGTATAGACTGCCTGGCAGTTTAATTTGAACTGTGACCTTTTATTATTATTATTATTATTATTATTATTATTTTGTCCAAAGCACTTTTTCCTGAACACAGAGCACAGAGTCAATTTTTTCTTTCTTTCTCTCTCAATATCTTGCAGGCTCCCATCTTTGAATAAAAAATGTAGTAACCATAAAGATATGCCTTTCCCTTACTTTCAATAAGATTTTCAAATCTAGAAGCTTATATCCATCCCATATATAAAAAGTAGATATTTAGTCTATATGATTTAATCCCCAGTTGATTTAATCAGCCCTATAAGTACTTGTCTTCTAGGATTGTATGACTACAGTAAAAAATATTTTGTGTCATGTATTGAGAATGCCATAAGAGCTATTCATCCCCACTCAAGTGATTATTTTTATATGGCTTTCTTGATCATATAAAGGTTAGCCTTAAAAAATAGTGAAAACAATAATAAATAAGATTTCTCAAACAAATCATACGACAAAAGAAGAGAAATTCACCTTCAAGTGATTGCAATGACTGAAATCTTAAGGCGCTTGCTTCTCTTTTCCTTTCTTGTGTGGTTTTGTTTTATTTTTTGGTTTTGTTGCTGTTGATAATAGTAAGGCTTTTTGTTGTTAACATTTTTTTTGTATGCTGTCTTCCAGGCTAGCTTTAAAGTAGCTAATATTTAGATGCTATGTTTTTGCTCACAGAATTTTAGCTTCCCAAATCCTCCTTAAGGATTTGGGTTCTTTATGTGAGCTTCCAGGTGCAAGCGCATCGTGAATCTGTCACTTCCCAAGAAATGGGAAATAACATGCATTTTTCTGACTCTTGCCTTTATATAACCAAAATAGAAATTCTGCTGTGTTGTTATTTAAGGGCACAGTGTGTTATATGAAACTAGTTATGCTTGTAAAAGTACTATAACGTATGATCAATTGACATTGTTCAAAGCAGGAAGGCTGGAAATACAGTTTGTGTATGTGGATCACTATGGCATCAGTTTGAACAACTTCTGGCACCACTTTTTTTGTGTGTTGTTATAATATCCTGCCAGGTGTTACGCTTTGTTAAAGCTTTGAAACAACAAATAACTACTAGAGATTCGTGGTGAAGATGCTAAAGCAGCAAAATTTTGGTGCAGTCGTCATCGGAATGGTAGACAGAGAAGAATCCAATCCCCTGAGAGAGGAAGGCAGAACAATGGCACATTCCCCACCATGAGCAGCACGCAGGAAAAACCTTGGATTTCAGAGTCAAGAAACATGGGTTTGATTCTCATCTCCACTACTTTCTGGGCACATAACTTCAAACAAATCATTTTACTGTATTACTGTCAGTTCTAACATTTTACTTTTCACTCATTTCCTCAACAAACATCAACTAGACTCCTAGGCATTGTACCAGGTACAAAATAGTGAACTAAGTTAAAAATACTTGGTCTTGGTCTTTAAATAATTAAAGCAGCTGGTGTGTGTGCCAGGAACTTTGTGAGTGCTTTATACATCTTTTCATGTTTAATCCATCCATGATCCCAACCCTGGAAAAAAATTATCCTGAGTTTATATGGGATGATATCAAATATTCAAGAGGTTCAATAAGCTAGTGGGAGAGGCAAGATCTGAACACAGGTCCATCTGATATTAAAAACAGTGCTCATAATTTTGTAGGGCATGTCAAAGAACTTTACCATTTTACAAAATTTTAGTGAGAATCAAATGAGAAAGGTACATGACAGAACGTTATAAACCGTAATGTACCATACAAATGTCTGTTGTCATTACTCTTAACATGAACATAACAGAGAATTTTCCTCACATCACTTCCAGCCTTAATTATCCCCACTTGAAGATCTTGGACCATCCCACACAAATGATAACCACAGACAAAAAAATATTATCTATATAAACAAAATACTATCAGGGATTCCCTATCAGCATTTCTAAGCTAGTTATATGCATGGCCCCTTAGTGAATATTAAACAAATAGAAACCCAAGTAAGACATTTTTCTACATATGAAAATCTCTGAAAAGCACAAGTCTAGTGTTTACATTAGCCCTGGAACATCTTTAGTAATTCCTTAGGCACTTTAGGGTTATCTATCAATTAAGTGAGAATGGTGACATTAATGTAGCACCTGCAGATCTTATAAATGTAAAGTGTTTTACATTCAACCAGAATATTTAATGTTGATGCCATTTAACACAAAATTTTCCTCTTTTAAATAATTTTTATTTTTTTTATCACAGACCAGGGCTATATAGCCAAAACATATAAGATTAATGAAACCAACTAAAAACAAAGAAACCTTCCATGTCTTATCTTTGCATAGTTTACACTATCCCTACTACTGAATATTTGTGTATCTTTATAAAACAAGGTGATTTTACGAACAAACCAGTAGAGCTGGATTTTAAAAATGAATGACCTTCTTTGTTAATACAACCACACGTTTATAGTTCATTTTTAATTAAGTTTTGTCAAATTTTGGTGCCCTATTTTTCAATTTCTGATGTCCAATGAGTAAAAGTATTTACCTCAAGTTCTTTATATGAGAAACAACACGAAATGAAGGAATGCTTTATTTAGATATTAACAAGACAACTAGTTAAAAGGAACAAAAAAAAAAAAGCACATGATGGTTTTGTCCTTGTTATTTTACATCTGAAGCCACAAAAAATAATTTGATTTATTTGGGTTTTAGTTAAGCTAGTGCCTATAGATTTAAGGATGAATGATAGGTAAGAAATTTCTTTCTTATCATATCCCTTTTCAAAGTTAAATGAAAATAATATCACTTTATTTAAAGAAAATAAATATTACCTGTTGAAAATTGAGGAATCTAACAGTTGCTAAAAGCATACAGAGATATTCCAGGCATTAAAAAAGTTATAATTATCTTTGCCTTCAAAAAAGTATGTTTTTTTTTTAAATATTAGGATGCATTATTCTAATTAATACTGAAACTTCTATGCCTTCCAAATATTTCCAAATAACCAAAATCTTGCCATACAAGGTTAATAGTTACGACTGGTATGATTTTCAAGTAAGTTCTAAATGAATTTTTCATCATGTAAAAAAGCATGTCAGTAACGATAAAATCTGTTTCAACTGATATTATAACAAATTGTATGGAAATATTAATTGAAATTTTAACTAAAATTTTAACTCAGCCAGCGTAAATATGTGCTATTGGTCTTTAGGTATGTAATATTTGGTTGATGATATATGTTCATTAGAGTTTATTCTATGGTACAAACTGAAAATTTCTTCACTGAAAGATACCTATAAATATCTTCCTTGAATCTTGTTCACCTTTAATATCTTCTATTTTCTAGAAGCAGTTATGAGAAAATGAGCCTAGATTTTTCTCTATATTAAAGCACTAGATATTTGTAAACACGTATGTATATAAACACCTACCATTTGTAATAAAGAACACAAATTTTGGATTTTCTTATAGAAAATATGACATAAAATAAGAATAAAATAATGCTACCATACCTTTTTTTTTTTTTTTTTTTTTTTTTTGAGACAGAATTTCCAGGCTGGAGCGAAATGGTGCGATCTTGGCTCACTGCAACCTCTGCCTCCGAGTTTCAAGCAATTCTCATGCCTCAGCCTCCCAAGTAGCTGGGATTACAGTTATGCGCCACCAAGCTCAGCTAATTTTGTATTTTTAGTAGAGACAGGATTTTGCCATGTTAGCCAGGCTGGTCTCAAACTCCTGACCTCAGGTGATTCTCCATCCACCTCGGCCTCCCAAAGTGCTGGGATTGCAGGCGTGAGACAACACGCCTGGACTATTATACCTTTTTTACTATGCAGACTACTTTGGAAATGAAAGATTTTCTATTGTATGCTACTGTTCTCACTTTCAAACACACCACCACCAGTGTAGACATATTAGAAGTGAAGTAATGACAACTTTTCAAAGATTACATTATTCTGATTTTGTGACGAACACTGCAGACTTACTTTTTCTAACAAACTTGCCTGGACATCATTCATAAGTTTATCAAGGACAAATTGGATCGTGATTTGACCTGATATTAAGTATTAACATTTATAAGTGAGTATATAAGAACTGATCAATTCATTTGGAGACATGAGAATTTCTATCAACGTAGAGCTTTTTTTGTTTAGTGAACACAAAAAAGGCAATAACATCCTATATGAATGAAATAATCCATCCTCTAATAAAGTGACAGCCAAGTGATAATGGTGAAGTACAAGCATTTAGAACTTATTTATAATCACATACAACCATATATGTGTCAATGTATTAAAGTAACCAGAGTAGTCAGTTATCTTAAAGACAAACGAAATCATGAAATAAATTTTCAACAGCTTTGTGGTTTGTGTAGGTTGTTGTTACATAGCAAAGGGTATTTGTTTGTCATATTTACTTTCAGTATACTACCAAAATTAAAAGTACACATACATAGATACACACACACACAAACACAATTCTCTAATATTAAAAAAATAGCTACTACATATGCATATATTTGTTTAACATTGTATCTTAAAGAAAACTGAAATATTAAGCATGGCAAAACATATCAGGTGAAATCTATGAAAATTTACAGATTACCTAAAATGCTAGGAGTTAATTATAGGCTTCTATCCCTGGCATGTCAGCTTGATTAAATTTGGAGTTCGGAGATGAATTGGCCCAAATTCATTAGTGTTCCCTGGGTGCAGATGTTGGTCAAGGTCAAGCGAAGCACATTGACTGTAATGCTAGAGAGGAAGGGGGAAGGGATTCCAAAGAAGGTAGATTCTTAAAAGGTCTGGGGTTGCAGCAAGTAACTTTGATACTTTTTAACTTAATAAATCTTGACAGCCTAATCATGGCTAAGCCTTTGCAGTGTTATTGGTACAGATGGCAAAGCTAGACATATTTAAAGAGATCTCAGAAGCTAGTAGCAAGAGAGCACTGAATCCAAATGTAGTGTTGGGCTCTAGGAGAAAGTGAAAGAAAGGAGGATAAAAAGCTACACGGCATTTCCATCTCCTGACATCTCCAGCAGCCTCAGATACAAAATATGATAAGGCTCCTGCTGAGCTAATAAGCCCAACAAATGTCTGTGTCCGTGAAGTAGATGAAGTGGGATCAAGCAGAGGGGGCTGCTGTATGAAAATAAGCCAGCGACCAGGGTATAATGGCACTAGAAAAAGCTACAAGGTCAGGCTGATGACAGAGACACCAGTTAAGTAGAGACCCCATCAGTAAGAAAGGTTTGCCTGCTGGATCCAAGACATAACCATTAAAATAAAATGAACTCTCCATTTAAAGAAAGGAAGAAAAGAAGAAAACAAAAACTCTCTTTAAGGATTTTATTTTTATTTGTTTCTCTTATATGGCAGCTACATCCTTTTGCTTATTTACGTACACCCTGCCCAGGATAGAAACTAGAGTATTGAGTTGAGGGGTAGAGAATTAAAAACAGACATGCATTGCAAAATGCCATTAGATGAGTTGTTTCTGTGCTGTGATTTTAGTGGGTTCACAACCTATGCTAAGCATTATTTGTTTAATCAAATATTGCATTGAGATGAACAGAGTAATGAACGATTCCTTATGATCCACAAGGTTTCCCAGAGAGAAAGATTCCTAGGTGAAATATACCTTAACTCCAAAACTTCTCCCTTTCTCTGTTTCCTTTTAACCAGAGAATCTATTAATTCATTTTTGGTGTAAGGTAATATATTTTTCAGTAAAATATAGAATTGATTGAAGTTGAAATTGTATGATTCAGAACAGCAGAACTGACAGAGGTGCCATAAAAGTTAGCTTATGTGCTTGGCTCTTGACAGCATATACACCTAGGATGATGAGCCTGTTGGTTTTTCACAGACTATCCTGTTTAAGCACTGAAAATCCCCATGCCCTGCAAAACCTCTCAGTGGTCACTGTACTCCCATGGCTGAACCAGCATTTCAGAGGTAAACTACACCAACTTGTGTGGTGAATCTGACTGCGTCTAGGAGAAAAAGTGTGTCGTAAGGGAGAGTGATGGGTCAGTAGACAGACAAGCCAGATGACTTAGGACAAGAAACACTCATAGGAGACTAAATCATCCAGGTTGGTTGTAGCATTGATCAAATTAGCTTTATTATTCCCAACTCTTTCCATTGTATCTTGAAACCATTACCTTTTATTTACACACATTTACACACACACACACACAAATGAAGCATATAATAATTAAAATGATATCTGTGAACTGTAAGTATTTTTTGTTTTTCCTAATGGTTTAAATGATCCACCTTGACCTTAAAACCAACCATGGAAAGGCCTCTTAAGGGCTAATTCATTCTGCAGCCCATTGTCCAGGCCAACAAAAACAATCACAGATTAGAAGACAATGACAATGCTTTTCTTCATATGTATGGCAACAAAATCCAGCATATTGGAAATAATACTTAAGAATTAATATTACAAATCTTTTTTTACAGCTTGAGAAATGGTTTTGCACAATCTTTGCTTTTTTATTTGAGTAATAATTAGACCATGCTTGAAATTTCAAGAGTCTGTCACATTAATACATTAATTCTTAAGAGATCATGTCAACTTCATAATATCTGTGAAGCTTTGTTAAAAAGGTGAAAAACGTTTAAACACCATGTGAGGTGGTTCATTAAACATTTAAGAAAGCTTTGCAATTCTGACAGCATTACCATGGAAGATCAGATTGGGTACACTTCTAATACTTTTTTAAACCCATCTTTAGTTTTCATTTCATACAAATGCAAATGAAATACTGGTAAACAGCTTAGAATCAAATTTGGGGATATAGTCCTGAAATATCACACCATTGGATTTAGAAATATAAACTTTTTGACTTTAAGATAATTATGATAAAGATGAACAGATGATGGATTGCCAATAGTTGCTTTTTACAGTTGTGGAGATTTTTTTTTTTCTCAAGCTATAATTAAAATCTCTTAAACATCTTCCCAGTATTGGGTGGGGGGAAGGGGGAATCAAAAGAAAGCAATTATTGTTTCCACTTTTTTCAGTTTAGTTATTTCTTTTTTTTTTTAAAAAAAAAGGCATCAATAAAACTCATCTCTGATTTCCAATAACATACAAAACATGTTTAAGGAAGTATTAATTTTCAAAAATAATGGTTGCCATAAGTTTCCAAATCCAATTGTTCTCATTGAAGCTTACTTCAGGATTGCTGGAGAAGAGCTTCCTAGATTACTCTAACGTTGACTGAAAGGTCTGTCCGTTTTCTTCTGGCTATGCATATGAGATCATCCCTACAGGTTATGCATGAAAGTGAGACATGCCCACAAGAGGAAACATAGAATCTTTAACCTTCTTCCTGACATTATTATGCCTTTCCTCTAATTTATTCTGTGCAAAACAGCATTTGTTTTAGGAAAATGAAAGAAGTAGTAACTTTTACCTGGAAAAAAGGGCAGATCAGTGCCGACATTGCCACAAGTAGTACTAAGAAAGATAAAGAAAGACTTTAATAATTCAAGTGTTTAATAAGTAGAAAGCACCATGCAGATAGTACTATTAGCTTAGTTCAAAGAGATGCTATGGGTAAAGGTGATAAGCAAAAGCAATAACATTAAGACTTTTGTTTGGTACACAGATCAGAGACAATATGTAGCATTTAGAGTGTATTGAAAGTACACAGACTTTTCTGATATAATTTCCAGTCAGAAATTTGTATTCCTTATAGCTGGTATTGTTTGCATGTTTTCTTGTTTAAAGAAGTATTTTATGGATGACAATTATCAGTATTGTTAGTTTGAGTATTGTAGATAAATATGGAATGAAACATTAAGTTTATATTCATTTCAGGACAATATTATAATTAAGCTGTGTATGGCTCATTATTAGTTTTGTTGAGTGTATTAAGTTGAAATCTATACTCTTGGAAACTTACATTTATCTCCTAGTATATTTTTATTACCAAAGACACAGGAAATATATAATTAAATTTAGCTTGCAGAACATGCAAGAAATCTGGAAAGAGTGTATACATATAATGGAGATGCTCAGGAGCTTATAATCTGAAATCAAGAATGGGGTCAAATTCTAGCTCTGAAACATTGTTTGAGCAAATTTAAATTCACTAATCCCCATATTTTCTCTCTAGAAAATGAGCAGAATAATAGTACTTATTTCAGAAGGGTTGTGGAAATGTATGTTCAGCTATTAGACAGCAAGCTTCTTTATGGCAGGGGCCTTTCAGTTTGTAACTTTGTGAACTGAGGTTACATAAGAAGCATAATCATAAGTAAGCAGTAGGAGCTCATTGGAAGAAATAACTCACATCATTCTCTCAAAATTAAGTTTTTAAGATAGTAAATTAATCTTTTCTTCAATTCCTCAAACTGGTTACTGTTCCCAACTCTCTCATGTTTCTCAAGGGTAGCAATAATTTCCCCTGGGTTGATTCAGCCTTTCCTTTCATTCTTATCCCTAGTTCTCCATCTTCACTTCCTCTCTTCTCTGTCTCCTCCTTGACTACTACCACCAATAAATAAATAAATATAAATGTAAATATAAAGTATACTTATTGGCCCGCTTAATTGTGAATTCTAGAGATATTTGTCTTTATGAATGGCTGGATCAAGGAAAGCAAAGATTGTCATCAAGCAAGTACTTTCTCTCTGTCTTGGACCAGCTTTTTTCTGGGTTATCTTCATTTCTTAGGAAGGTTTCCATAGTTGTTGGCAAAATGACTAACAACTTAGGTTGGTAGAACTGTGTATTACTCTGTTAGTCTGTTCTTATGCTGCTAATAAAGACCTATCCAAGATTCGGTAATTTATAAAGAAAAAGAGATTTAATGGACTCACAGTTCCATATGGCTGGGGAGGCCTCGCAATCATGGCGGAAGGCAAAGGAGGAGCAAAGGCACATCTTACATGGCAGCAGGCAAGAGGGCATGTGCAGGGAAACTCCCCTTTATAAAACCATCAGATTTCATAAGACTTATTAACTATCACAAGAACAGCAAGGAAAAGACCTACCCCCATAATTCAATTACCAGGTTCCTCCCACAACATGTGAGAATTATGGGAGCTATAATTTAAGATAAAATTTAGATGGGGACACAGCCAAATCACAACAACCTGTATTCTACCAGCCTAAGTTCCCCTTTATATTGCCTCCTGGCTGATTTCTTTAACTTCAGCCATGTTTTTTTCTTTAATTCATCTTTTGTCCTTATAAGATTTATTTCTCGTTCATATATCTGGACTCATGCATGAAGTGTTTATAAGATGCCTATTTCTTTATTCTGTGTTGGGCAATGTCAAAATTTCTACCGAAAGAGAATAGTTTTCAAGATTCAAGACATATACCAATGAGGACACATTTTTAGAAGCACACATGGAACTTGCTTTATTGGATTTCCATTGGAGATTTTTAGTTTAACCAACAAGAAACATAAAGTTAGCTTTTATCATCAAACCTTATAGTTGACTCATAACCCTATGACTCAGGTCTCTCACTCACCTTCACAAGATTTCATTCCAAATACTTTCAGCTGATCCCAGACATTGATTTTCTACAATCTATCTCCAAGAGTCTTTGGTAGGATGTACTATCAAAGAAGCCAATTTTTTTTTTTTTTTTTTTTTGAGACGGAGTCTCGCTCTGTCGCCCAGGCCAGACTGCAGTGGAGCGATCTTGGCTCACTGCAAGCTCTGCCTCCCGGGGTTCACGCCATTCTTCTGCCTCAGCCTCCTGAGTAGCTGGGACCACAGGCACCCGCCACCACACCCGGCTAATTTTTTGTATTTTTAGTAGAGATGGGGTTTCACCATGTTAGCCAAGATGGTCTCGATCTCCTGACCTTGTGATCCACCCACCTCAGCCTCCCAAAGTGCTGGGATTACAGGTGTGAGCCACCGCACCCAGCCAAAGAAGCCAATTTTTAGAAAGGAGACTTCTACATTTAGAAAGAATATTAGGATAAGTATAATGCTATCCAAGAGAACTATTCTCCAAAGGACAGCATGTAGTTAGATATATAAATGTTGATAGTTAGGATGTAAAATCACTCATAACTTTTTACATGTTCATATTTTGACTATAAATGTGTAATACATATGTATGGGCATCCATATATATAAATACACATGTACATGGAGGGAAATATTTTCTGTAAAAGTTAGGAAATATAAATTTGATTGTCATATATTTTCATTTTATCGATCTGTCAACTAAAAATAGAGAGGTGCCTTTAGCTAAAGATACCTATTTCCCCTATGCTTTTTGAGTATGGCCAGGCATAAAACCCAGTACTTTACCTGTCATATTGTGATTCAGGAAAGACTTGCCTTTTCCTGGTCATGTAGTTTTAGCCCTTAAGGAATTCACTCATCATTTCATCATTAGTGGTACCTAAACTCCAGGAATACTGAGTGAGTTTGGAAGCCTAATTGAAGGATGCAAGATTATGAGATTATTTCTAGACATATCTTAAGCAAGATTTCTTACATCTTTACTATAGATTTCCACATTCATCCTGCTGCGAGTTTTCACCTTAACCAAAATTCTTCAACAGAAAAAAGCAACATGCTTTTTTAACTATGAGCAATAATTAAAAAACAAAGACTGGCCACAGACTAAAAATTCAGCTTTCAAACTTAGTAAACATACTTTTCATAGGGATCTAATAACCTCTCACTTTTTAAATATCTTAATAGACACTAAATGTTCTAACTTGCCAGAATATGAAAATGTAAAGAACAAGATCAATGCTACAATGCTCTCAAAAGCTCAACATAAAATGCAGCATATTTACAAGGTGGCCTCAGTAAGCTTTTCAAAGTTTTCTGTATTTTCCATCTTGTATGTTTCTCAATGTAATACATGGACACAGTTAAAAATCAAGTAGCAATAAAAAGCTCATCATAGAAAACAGTAGCTCTTTGTTCTTGTGTTCTCTGCTCCTAGTACAATCCATTATTTTCATCTTCTTTGTTTTATCTGATTCTTTCAGTAATTACATACAAATTTTTAAGTGATATGCTAGTGGTACTGTTTTCTTTGGTTTATTAATTTAGTCTTTATCCTCTAAAACTGTGTCTTCCTGATAAAACTATGTTTAGTTAAATAAGTAGACATGGTTTAAGTTATTATACTTATGCAAATATTATTCACTACAGAGCCAAGTAATGTACTATCATTAAATCTGTTTTTTAGTATAACTTTTTGCTATTCCTGGAATAAATGAATGTTTTGCTGTTTGCAAACATTGGCACACATCAATGCATTTCTGTGCTGTGGAAAAATCTTGGGCTTTGAAATTAGTAAACTCGCATTCCATGTTGGCTGTGTTGTTGCTTGTGACCTTTGGTAGGTTCCTTAGACTGCTGAGCCTTGGCAATTATTTCTGAGCAACAAATGTGCAAATCAGTAACTTCTTTGAAGACTATATATATAGGAAGCTTTTTTAAAAATAACATGTGTAAACATCCACCTGTAACTTCCTCCTTGAAATGTATGTGCCCTCCACTTTGTTCCTCACATAAAAACCATGAGGTGGGTGAGATGGAATTATTAGCACAGGTTAGGAAAAAACTGAGGCTGAAGAACACTAAAAGATTTATCCAAAGAGGCCTCGTGGAAAACAGCTCAACTGCAACATTTCTAATTCTAAGTCAAGAGCTCTTAACCCCATGACATGCTGAGGCTCCATCCAGCCAAGTCATCAATATACTACTGGTGCCAAATTTAAACCCCTGAGACTAAATTATGCAAAATTCCATTCTCTTAGTTAGTTTGGATTACTTGGGGGTGTGAGTCTAAGTGTTTTTCCTCTGTTTTCTCAAGCCCTGTAGGGGCTTAACAGAGGCAGTCAATGTAAAAATGTGAAAGATTGGTATAGAAAGTAACATACTACTATATAAAGTCCCCAGGGTGGCATAATCTGGCTGTTAGTTTTCTACTGTATTCTGTATATTTAAAGGCTCCTTTGTGGCCATGAACTTGAAGATGTAACCATACTATTATCAAGCCTTAGTACTTCTCATCTTGTAAATTGTCATAAAACCAATATATTCTTAGGCTAGATATTTTAAGTTTAAAAAAACTATTCTAGGTACTGAGAATATATAAAGAACCAATTATTTATAAGTTGGATAATAG
The DNA here is from genome assembly GCF_000001405.40 of Homo sapiens. Classification (NCBI taxonomy): domain Eukaryota; kingdom Metazoa; phylum Chordata; class Mammalia; order Primates; family Hominidae; genus Homo; species Homo sapiens. The sequence goes on from NC_000008.11 coordinate 76,542,637, forward strand.
CTTTATTATTTTGGTTATAGTCCTTTCTGTTTTTTCACCTCATACTTATTAGTGATTCTCCATACAATGGGAATATCAGGAAAGCTATTAGAACCTCTCCATGCCATTCTAATCATCAGTATGTTTTCTTTTCCTTTTGAAAATTCACCTGTTTCTATAAAGCTTAGCACCTTTCTTTGGCCTGCTTTCTACAAAAAATAATTTATTAACCATCAACTCATTAACCAAGTGGTTATTCTCATGTTACATATGTGTAAAAGTGAAGTGAAGTGAAGTAGTAATAAACAGCATAGTTGGTGTACAAATACAGAAATTTTAATTCTATGTCTGATAAGTTTTACACTTTACAACATTCATTTTGTTACAAATATTTGAAAGTATAAAATAAAAAATAAAATAGTATCACACACCCAAACACATAGACCAGGAAAAAATCGTCACCACATTAAAACTCATGGTCTTGAATGCTGGGTTATTCTGGATTTGATGACCTTATGGACTGTGAACATTTGAAAGGACATTAGCCTCTGATTCTTGAAAATCCTTGTCCATATGCCTACCAGATTGGACACCTCCAATGATAAGACTTCAATATTTTGCAAGGAAACTTATTTTGTCTTTAGACATACTTGACTGTAAGAAAACTTCATTGTCTGAAATATCTCTTCCTGTAAGATACAGGCTTTGATCGATCAGTTCTTCCTCAGAAACAACACAGAACAAATCCAGTTTTTTTCCCTACATACTATTTGAAAACAATTCTCAATTTCCCCTAATGTTTTTCTCGTTTCTAACCTAAACACTCCTAATCTCTTCAATTGTTTCTCTTATGATATATCTAAAATTTTTCTCACTATCCTTTTCTGTTGCTTTGATTATTTTTCTGTTTGGCATAATCCCTTTCAAAGTGTGGCACACAGAGTTAAAGACATTACTAAAATAAAGGCTTTCCAATGTCCCATAGAACATAACTACCATCTCCCTTCTTCTAATTACTATACCTTCATTAGTACTGCCTAAGACCACACAATAATTCAGGAAGCACAATCACAACACGGTGTTGACCTAACATTCTAACATCCATGTGATGGACCCTGGACTCTTAGTTCTTGACCTCAACTCCAGTGATAATTTTCTTTCTTCCCCTTAATTCACCATCTGCCATGATCACATTCTACACTTTATCGTTACTGGAAATTGTGAAGCTGTTGAAACTTTAGTATAAAACATCTCACTCTAGTCACTACATAATATCTTTATTTATACATATATATATATATATATATATATATTCATTTATTTATTTATTTTGAGATGGAGTCTTGCTCTGTTGCCCAAGCTGGAGTGCAATGGCATTATCTCGGCTCACTGCAACCTCTGCCTCCCAGATTCAAGCAATTCTCCTGCCTCAGCCTCCTCAGTATCTAGGATTACAGGCATATGCCACCACACTCAGCTAATTTTTGTATTTTTAATAGAGATGGGGTTTCACCATGTTGGTCAAGCTGGTCTAGAACCCCTGACCTCATGATCTGCCTGCCTCAGCCTCCCAAAGTGCTGTGATTACTGGTGTGAGCCACCGTGCTCAGCTCCCACATATAATCTTACAAGTTAACTTGCCCTAATGACCCTGGTGTTACTTTCTTAAAACAAAATGTGAGCCCCTTTATCCTACCTCTTTTTCACCATTCAAAAGTTTACACCTATCCTTATGCCCCTTATTCTCCAATATGGAGCTCATTTTCTGTCCTGTAATAATTCCCTAAAACATCTTCAATTCCCTTCCTACTCTTTTCTTTCATAATGTTCCTCTGGCAAATCACAACAGTAGAGGAGCTTTACCATTTTCTTGAGTACTGGAAACGAAGAAGCTGGAAAGAAATGTTAATAGTACCTTTGTTGCTTCATAATCAGTCAGAAAAAGAAGAACAGTGGTCCACTTAAACTACATCATAGATTAAAGAGAACATTGCCAGCATAAGTTAAAGAAAACATTTCCAGAGGCCTTTACTCTTCTGGATGGGCATTATTTGTTAGGTCTCTTTATCCATGGCTTGGAGTAAATGAGGCAATGATTAGAAATTTATCCCCCACAATCGGCTCTATAGCAGATTCTACTGCAAAGGCTATGGTTACACAACAAAGCTTTAAATTCTCTTGTGAAAGTTGTGCTAAATAGTAGAATTGCTGTAGATTGCTTACTGGCTGAGCAGAGAAATTTCTACACAGTTGCTGATAGTTCTAGCTGGACATAGAGGAATACATCGGGTATTACAGAGGCTCAGATGTAGGGGATTAATGAATAGGCTGCTTGGTTGAAATGAGTAGACTCCCTATCTAACTCATTCTTTGATCTATTTGATTTTAGTTGGTTTGGTTGATGAAGACCCTGGCTAAGGAGCATATTCTGAGCTCTTGGAATTATCCTCCAGATAGACATAATAGTCATCTCCCTGGTGCACTGTATTCTCTCAGAAGTTTTAAATGGTAGCCTGTAGCTATCTGTAGAATGTCAAATGATCCTTCTTCAACTAAAATGGCAAAAACTAAAATGTGCACTGTAAGGACACAGTAACCTATGAATGACATGCTGAGACCAGAAACCCAAAATGATGGCAACTGAGAGTGGAGCTAAGGCCCCAAGTTTTGGTCACACTCTCGCCTAAATGAGAACCTGACCAAAAAAGGGGAATTGTTAAACAAAATTATGGCAGTCCATTGTTTTAGACTGAGTTTGTACACTATGCCCCAACACACCAGACCACACCAAACCAAGATCAGTCACTCATGCTAAATGTGACATAATCAAACTAAAACTTTAAGAAAGCAGATGAGTCCTAAAGCAGACCTGGTTTTGTTTTACTTCTGAAAACGAGAAAACAGCACAAGGAGGTCCCCTGTACTCTAACCATTACAAAAAAGTAACCTGAAGTCCTTATTCCCACCTTACAAAATTCACTGACCTGCTATTCCCCAGTAAGATTTGAGACCAAATAAGTACATTTAGAATGATGACAGTGTGACAGCAATGCCTAAAGTCAATCTCTCAAAATTGAAAAGATGACCAAAATGAGGAAACTGTTAAATTCAGTTTCGCAGTTTAGCTTAAAGCTGCCTCCTTACATACTCTAAGCTCAGCCTAAGGTTTCTCAGTGCACAGTGAACTGTAGACTAACCTAACTATAACCTAACTGGTTACAGTGAATGTAACTTGATGTGTAAACAAATTGTAGCCTACTCTTGTTACAATCTCGGAGTTTCAGCCAATCAAAAGCAGCCAACTTTTCAAACCAGGTCCAAATAAGGCAAATGCCAAGCTGTAACTAGTCTAGTTGTTTATGTTCAACACTTCTGTTTTCTGCATGTCACTTCCCTTTTTCTGTCCATAAATCTTCCACCAAAAAAAAAATGTAGCTGAAAATATTTGGAGTAAACCACTCAAGCTAACTAGTTCCCTTTAAATTCATTATCGCAAACCTCAACTGGATGCTCAGTCCTTCCATGTAATAATACTGTGTTTCCCCAGGAGTCTAATTATTATATTTCCCACACAATGACTACTTTATGCCTTATATTTTCTTCTCAAAGTTCCCACAAATTCTTCTACCCTGTAAGACTTTGCTATTGACATCAACTCATACTTCTTTGAGAAAACAGAAGAAAGTACAACTTCCTCAAGTTCCTATATCCAAAGCTACAAACCAATGTTTATCTGTACTTTGTGTCTCTCTTTGATTTTGCCTTCTAGCTTATTAAGAATTTTGATCATGCAGTTATCAAACTTTCTTTGTTACTATTAGATTTACATAAGCATACTATCATGTGTTAAGATTTTTCATTAAACATCAACACCTCCCTTGACACTACATTTCTTTCCAGGCAACACTCCACCCTGTTCCTGCTCCTTTTACAGAAACTTCTAAAATTATTTGATTAAATGTAATGTTTCTATTTCCTTGCCTTCCATTTTCTCTTTTCTCTATCTCTTCTATCTATTCTCACCTCCTATTATCTATCGTATTTCTCTCTAACTTCACCGAAACTGCACTTGTCAAGATCTTCATCACATCCCAGTTGCCAAATCCAATAGCCTTTTGGTTCTCATCCTATTCCATCTGATTAAGCTGATGTTTTCCCTCACTTTAAAAATACTTTTCCCTCTTGCCTCCCATGTCTCCTCAAACTACATGATTTTACAATCCTCATTGGCCAGTCTTTGGTCTCCTTCACCACCTCTTTCTCTTGCAACCCCTAAATGCTGAGTTTCTACCTGCTCAGTCCCGAACCCTCTTTTAATCCTTTTTCTAACTCTCTCCCAAGATAGTCTCATATATTGACAAAGCTTGAAATGCCATCTCTGTGCTTATGAGTCTCATAGTGATGTCTCTAATTCAGACCTTTTCTCATATATTTAATTGACTATTTTGCACTCCACTGAAAGATCTCACATTCACTTTTAATATAACATGGCAACATGGAAATCTTGAATCTCCCCTAAATCTTTTTCACCCTAACTTATCTCTATGAAGTAGCACAATCACCTCATGCTATCTCAAACCAGAAAATTGAGAGACAGTTTTAATTCTGCTCCCTAATTCTTACCTTCACCTCTAATCCATCAGTGGATCTTATCTGTTCTACCTCTAATGTATATTTCAAATTGTCCTCTTTTCTCTATCTCTGTGACTACCTTAATTAAGGCCACAATAATGTTTTATATGATTACCATAATAATGTGTTTCAGCATCCTTCTACCTTTAAAATGTCATCATATACTTTTCTCTTCCTGGATCTCCACAGTCCACCACTACTGACCTATTAGCTCTTTCTAGATCACATCAGGGTCTTTTCTGCCCCTGAAACTGTGTATTTGTTATTCTCTTTATGTGAAAAATTCTTCCCATGCCTCTTGATGTGATTAGCCTCTTCTCTTTCTTCACACCTCTACTTAAATATTACATGGTCAAAGAGGACCTCCCCGGGTATTTTATCTAAAATATCCCTTCCCTATTGGACTTTCTCTTGATAGCCCTTCCTTCTCCTCTGCCTCTAGCACTTTCAAAATCATTATTTTGTTTACATATTCATTTGCTGTTTAATTTTTTTATCTCACTAACTAGGATGTAACTCCATGAGGTTAAAAAGAAAAGTGTATTTGTCTTCTTTACCTTTTCATTCATAACTCTAGCACAGTGACTGGCAGATATTAGATGCCCAACAAATATTTGTTGAATGAAGGTAATTTTCACTTAACGCTTTTTAATCACTGTTAAATTACCTATTTTCCCATTACATACATTAGTACAACTGGTTTATTTAATCTTTATGGGGCAATTTCTAAGGTTATTAAATTTTATTTTATTTATTTGGTTTGTAAAAATCCTGACAATATCATAAAAGCCACTCATTGGCTGTTCACATTTTCCAAACTGTGATCAGAATGCCATAATTCTTTTCTTTGAAGTCATTAGTATAATTTTTGAGTTGGGAAGGCCCAAGAGAGAATCTTTGTAGAAGAAGGCTGCCAATTAAAACATTCACCTCAAAACTGCCACCATAGGGTTTGCGTCTCTCTAGCTTTCACACTGGGATCCCTGAGCTATTTTGTCAGATGTTTCATGCTGCCCTGGTACATCATCTTTTGGCTGCCCAGTGGGTTTCACTTGTTCTTAATGAACATGTACTAGGTACTACTGGTCATAACTTCCTTTTCATTTTGAGGTGAGTCAATAGATTTTTAGTAATCTTTCCAGAATAGTGCCAGAAAGTAACATCTAGTTATTCACTAGAATGACTAGAATGTACCTTTCCACTTATCAACATTCAGATATTCAATGAGAAAATTGAAGAAAGAACAGTGTGGTAGTCTGTCTTTGTGTTGCTATAAAAAATACCCGAGGCTGAGTAATTTATAAAGAAAGGCAGTTTGATTGGCTCATTTAATTGGCTCACGGTTCTACAGGCTGTCTGGACAAGCATGATACTGGTTTCTGAGGAGGCCTTAGAGATTTATTTACTCATGGTGGAAGGTGAACCAGGGATGTCACATGATGAGTGCAGGGGCAAGAGAGAAAGGAGGGAGGTGCCACACACTATTGTGAGGACAGCACCAAGCCATGTGACATCCGTCCCCGTGACCCAAATATCTCCTACCAGTCCCCACCCCGAAGACTGGGGATTATACTTCAACATAAGACTTTGAGGGAACATACATCCAAATTATATATCATTCTTCCTCTGCGCCCCCCCACAAATTTCATGTCCTCCTTGCATTGCAAAATACAATCATACCTTCCTAACAGTTCACCAAAGTCTTAACTCATTCCAGCATTAACTCAAAAGTCCCAAGTCTAAAGTTTTATCTAGAGATGAGTTTCTTCCATCTATGAGCCTGTGAGATTTAAAAAAGTTATTTACATCCAAGATATAATAGTAGTATAGGCATTGGGTATGCATTCCCATTCCAAAGGAGAAAAATTGACTGAAAGAAGGGGTACAGCTCCAATACAAGTCTGAAATCCAGCAGGGCAATCATTAAATCCTAAAGCTCAAAAATAATCTCCTTTGACTGCATGTCCCACATCTAGAGCACACTGGTGCAAAGGATGGGCTCCCTAGGCCCTGGGATGTTCCACCTCTATGGCTTTGCAGGCTGCAGCCCACTTGGCTGTGCCCATGGGTTGAAGTTGAGTGCCCGTGGCTTTTCCAGGCATAGGATGCAAGCTACCAGTGGATCTACCATTCTGTGGTCTGGAGGGTGGTGGCCCCATTCCCACGCTCCACTAGGCAGTGTGTTGGTGCTGACTCTGTGTTGGGACTCCAATCCCACATTTCCCCTCTGCACTGGCCTAGTGGAGGTTTTCTGTAAGGTCTCTGCCTCTGTGACAGGCTTCTGCTTGGGTACCCAGGCTTTCTGATACATCCACTAAAATCTGGATGGAAGCCAACAAGCAGCCTTCTCTTGCATTCTGTGCACCTGTAGGTATAAGCCCATTTGGAAGCTACCAAGACTTATGGCTTATGCTGTCCAAAGGGGCAGCCTGGGCCGTATCTGGGGACCTTTTAGCCATAGCGGGAGTTGGAGCAGCAGGGAGATGGGGATTAGCATCTTGGGATGGCACAGGGCTTTAGCACGCCTGGTCTGGCCCATGAAACCATTCGTCCCTTTTAGGTCTCTGGGCCTGTGATAGAAGGAGCTGCCTCATGGATCTCTCAAAATACCTTCAAGTTCTTTTGTCCATTGCCTTGGCTATCAGAACCTGGCTCCCTTTTAGTCATGCAGATCTCTCTAGCAAGTGATTGATCTGCAGCCTGCTTGGGTTCTTCCCCTGAAAACAGGCTTTTCTTTTCTGATACATTGCTAGGATGCAAATTTTCCAAACTTTTACATTCTACTTTCCTTTTAAATATAACTCCCAACTTAAAGTAATTTTTTGTTCCTGCATCTGCACATAGGCTGTTAGAAGCAGCCAGGCCACATCTTGAAATCTTTGTTCCCTAGAAATTTTATCTTTCATATATGCTAAGTCATCACTCTTAAGTTCACACTTCCACAGATCCCTTGGTTATGAACACAATGCAGCCAAATTCGTTGCTAAGGCATAATAAGCATGACCTTTGCTCCAGTTCCCAGTAAGTTTCTCATTTCTGAGACCTTGTCAGCCTGGCCATCATTGTCGATATCAGTGTCAGCATTTTGGTCAAACCATTTAACCAGTATCTAAGAAATCTCAAACCTTCCTTTATCTTCCTATCTTATTCTGAGCCCTCTCAACTTTCCAACCTCTGACAGTTACACAGTTTCAAAGCTACTTCCATGATTTCAGGTATCTTTATAGAAACACCCTATTCCTGGTACCAATTTGCTGGGTTAGTCTGTTCTTATGTTGCTATAAAGAAATACCAGAAGCAGGGTAATTCATGAATAAAAGAGTTTTAATTGGCTCATGGTTCTGTAGGCTGTACAAACATAATGCAAGCATCTGCTTAGCTTCTGGGGAGACCTCAGGGAGAATTTACTTACAGCAGAAAGCAAAGCAGCAGCAGGCATATTACATCATCAGAGTGGGAGCAAGAGAGAGACAGGGAAGAGGTGCCACAGATTTTTAAACAACCAGATCTCACATGAACTCGCTTACTATTGAGAGGAGAGCACCAAGCCATGAAGGATCTTCCCCTACAACTCAAATATCTCCCACCAGTCCCCACCTTTAACATTGGGAATTACATTTCAACATGCAATTTGGAGGTGGCAAAAATCCAAACTATATCAAGCAGAAATAGATTCACATTATAATTAAATAATAAATTTGGCCTTGGCAATTATTTTTTGGTGATCACACCAAAAGTTCAGGTAATAAAAGCAAAAATAAATAAGTGGGACTACAGTAAAATAAAAAGCTTCCACATGACAAAGGAAACAATCTATAAAATGAAAAGAATCCTACAGACTGGGAGAAAATATTTGCATGCCAAATATCTGATAAAATGTTAAGATCCAAAATATACAAGAAACTCATACAATTCAATAGCAAACAAAATGAAAATAAGTAACCTGATTAGAAAATAGACAGAATATCTAAATGGACATTTCCCAAAGAAGACGTAAAAGTGGTGAAGAGATACATGAAAAGGTGCCTAGCATCACTCATCATCAGGGAAACACAAATCTAAACCACAATGAAATGTCAATATCACCTCACATTTGTTAGAATGGCTGTTATCAAAAAGATAAGCTACAAGTATTGGCCAAAGTGTGGAGAAAAGGGAATGCTTGTACATCTACAACAACATTCCATTGGTTGGAATGTAATTTGATATAGTCATTATGAAAAACAGTATCAAAGTTCTTCAAAACAATAGGGAGTGGACTACCATATGACCCAACCATACCTCTTCTGGGTATATGCCCAAATGAAATGAAATCAGCACTACATAGAGATATCTGTGCTCTCATGTTTACTGCAGCATTATTCACAATAGTCAAGATGTGAAATCAACCTAAGTATTTGTTGATAGATGAATAAAGAAATACACACACACGTGCAGAAACACACAATGGAATGTTATTCAGTCTTTTAAAAAGTAGATCCTGTCATTTGCAAAAACATGGACAAAACTAGGGACATTATGCTAAGTGAAATAAGACAGACATTGAAAGAAAAATATTGCATGATTTCACTTACATGTTAATATTCTGTAAGTTGAATACATAGAAACAGAGAGCAGAATGGTGGCTGGCAGGAGTTAAGGGGGGAGAAAAATGAGGAGATATAGGTCAAAAGGTACAAAGTTGTAGTTATATAGAATGAATAGGTCTAAAGATCTACTGTATGGCATAAGGGCTATAGTTAAGGACTATTGTATTTCATACTGAAAATCTACTAAGAGAGTAGTGTTTAAGTGCTCTTATCACACATAAAAAAAGGTAACTGTGAAGTGACCTATATTAATTTGCTTGAGTGTGGTGACCATTTCACTATATATGTGTATATCAAAACCTCATGTTGTGCAACTTAAATATATACATTAAAATGTGCCAAATTTATAGAAAATAAAGAGACCAGAGATCTTGTATACAACTTCTTGCTTTTTTTTTTTTTTTTTGATGGAGTCTCACTCTGTAGCCAGGCTAGAGGACAATGACGTGTTCTTGGCTCACTGCAACCTCCACCTCCTGGATTCAAACTCTTCTGCCTCAGCCTCCTGAGTAGTTGGGATTACAAGAGCGTGCCACCACACTTGGCTAATTTTTGTATTTTTAGTAGAGACGGGGTTTCACCATGTTGGCCAGGATGGTCTCGATCTCCTGACCTTGTGATCTACCCACCTCATCCTCCCAAAGTGCTGGGATTACAGGCATGAGCCACTGCACCCGGCCAACTTCTTGCTTTCCTAACACACAGCCTCAAAAGTGTCAGGTAGATTAAGAAATGTTTAGACATATTTTTGGAAAATTCCATATTTCCCCTTAGGAATTCATTTTAATTCTTAATAAACTTCGCAGTTATATCAAGCTTAACTCCTCATGCTGACATAAACTGTGAGTGTAATTTTACTTTTTTTTTTTTCCTCAGTCATAACATGGCAAGCATACTGCAAGGCTTATTTAGACAAACCAAAGTCTTGCTTAAATTTAAAGCACCAGAGCAATTCCAAAAGACTAAGTATTTTTATGCTTAGTATATTAGCCAGCTTGGGCTGCTATGACAAAGTATCTCAAACTAGAAACCTTAAAAAAATAGACATTTATACTTCACAATTTTGGAGGTTGAAAGTCCAAAATCAGGGTGCCAGCATAGTTGAAGTCCTGTTCCTGGTTTGCAAAAGCCATCTTATTGCCATATCTTCACATGGAGAAAGGACAGCTAGACAGTTTTCCGGCCTCTTCTTATAAAGGCATTAATCTCATTCATGAAGGCTCCACTCTCATGACCTAATTACCTCCTACAGGCCCCGCTTCCAAATGCCATCACATTAGGATTAGGTTCAACACATGGATTTTGGGTGGACACAAGCATTCAGTCCACTGTACTTTATCACTGTGGTTACTATTATTATTGTTTACTATCCTACGTGTTTAGACTAAACAATCTCAGTTTATTAACATGTCTTTTTTATCCTTACTTAATTTCAACTTTGAATTATACATTCATTATTGTCAGTCCATTAGGAATCCCTGATCATAGGAAAGCTGAATTAGAAATATGTTCATGCTACTACTTTTAAAAATTGAAAAATCAAATTCTAAAACTACTGATTATAAAATTTACAAATGTTAATACCCTAAGTCCTGGGGCCACAAGAGTGAAGTAGCAACTCTCTCCCTTTTCCAGCCAAATGGCAATTATAACTCTATAAACCAAAAGCACTGACCCTATACAGTTTCCTCTAACCCATAACTACTTGAACAGCTCCAACAGAGTTGTGGAAACACATGAGCTCTGCACTCTCCCTCATTCATTACATTTATAGTCTAATACTGCTTTCAGAGCACCTAGATATCACTATGATAGACATTATGGAAATACTTAGCCATATTTGTCAGGTGTCGTGGAAACATTCAAGAAATTACCAATAACTTTAGAGTCAGTGGCAGAAGAAGAAAAAGCACTGTGGCTTTTAAAAATAATGTTTTTAAAGATCACATTACGTCTATGAAAAATTGAATTGTGTCTACAAATGCATTCCAGAACTTAAGGGTTTATTGTACAAGGTATCATGCAAAAGTATATATTTATTAAGGTTTATATAAGGAATTGGTCACTTACATTTGACATGTTCTTATATAATGCATTGTGGGTCATGGAAGAATATTTTATTAAGAAAATATAGGAGGAAATAAGACAATCTTATTTTTAATAACTAGTTTTTGAAACCAGGAGATTTGGTTATTTTCATTTAAGTTCTATGGCTCCTGATGGGTAATTGAGGTATGAAGTATTTTAAAATTTAGTTTTGAGATTATTTTGTTTTTATTTGCTATTGTTAGAAAGTCTATAGTGAGAAAAAAGTACAGACATTGGGCAGTTACTCTCAAAGAGATGTGCTAATGCCTAACCAAGAAAATGCGATGTGGCCGGGCGCGGTGGCTCATGCCTGTAATCCTAACACTTTGGGAGGCTGAGGCGGGTGGAATGCCTGATCTCAGGAGTTCAAGACCAGCCTGGGCAACACAGCGAAACCCCATCTCTACTAAAATACAAAAAAAAAAAAAAATTAGCCAGGTGTGGCAGCGTGTGCCTGTAGTCAAAAAATAAAACATCTTTACATGTTAGTATCTATCAACATGGTTATTGAGATCTCAGCAGCATCTCGGAGGCTCTACTTGGGAGGCTGAGGCAGGAGAATTGCTTGAACCCGGGAGGGGGAGGTTGCAGTGAGCCAAGATCACACCACTGCACTCCAACCTGAGTGAAAGAGCAAGACTCCGTCTCTGAAAAAAAAAAAAAAAAAAAGAAAACGTGATGTTGCCTAATAAGGTATCTTCTTGAGATTTGGGCACTTGGTTGATAAATACACATATGTGTATGTGTAAGTGTAAATGTGTGTATGTACATATGAATACATCAGTAGTTTTGTGAAACAAATAATTGGATGCATTTTGGAAATAAAATATAAATTGTAGATTTGTTTCAGAGCTTAGGATAACAAAACATAGATACAGATTTAATTTAATCTTAATTTTCTATTTTTTCTTCATAGTATCTGTTCTTAATGGAGGGTTTCAAAAAAACCAATAGATCATTTTAATTGGAATGTCTCAGACTTAGATTACTGTCAGAAAATAGCTAGTAAAGCATACCCTATGAGATTCTTTAATACAAAATGATTATTTGTTTGAAATAAGTAGGTTATTGTTTTTAATAGTATTTAGCAATTAAAAGTTGCTCCAGAGCAACTCCTATCTGTGCTCACTCAGCAAAAAAATAAAACTCCATGGTGTCACTGAGAAGCTGTCGCTGTTATTGGCATTAACGTGATGTAGATGCAATAAAGATAACCATTGTTTATTGAGCAACTAGTATATGTTAGCCATTTTGCTAAGAATGTCACATACGTTATGCTATTTAATTTCTGCGCCAATCCTGCAAGTTACATACCATTCACAGAGGGCTTTGAAAATGTGGCTAAATTGGCATGACAGTAAATATCAGAGGCAGGATGCTGACCAGGTCTGTTGGATAGTAAAGCCTGTGTTCTTAACCACAGCACTTTGCAGTCTTGTTCTAAATGAGAATCAAACACTCACTCTCTACTTTGCCTGTGAAAGAAAGACCTATGTGTTATATATCTTTTTATCTCTAAGGTCAAGCAAAGAGACTGGCCCATAACGGGTGTTTGTGAGCAAATGATAAAACGAGTACACCAAGAGCATAAACAACTAAAACTGAGATTTTATTCTCCCTCTTAGCTCAAAAGGATATGATTATGCCTTTGTTTCAGTGTAGACAAAAGGTGAGCCTCTCTGTTCATGTTCCTGTATTCTCTCCAGAGGTCAGGAGGTGTGTGATTACCATCTTTACATGTTAGCATCTATCAACATGATTATTGAGATCTCAGCAGCATTAACCTGGGCAAGTTTCACCTATTTCCTTCCATATTTGTGATGAAATTGTACAAAGTGTGTAAACAACTATTTAATTATTGAGAACCTTCTGATTCCAATTTAATAAATTATAACAGGAATGATATCTGAAAATTTTTAATGGTCATAAGACAGTTTGTAAACTTAGAATCCAAATTTGTACAAATCCCAATCAATGTATAAAGCTGCAATTAAGAGTTAAAAGCCTACAGGAGCAAAGTTTTAGTTGAATAAATTATCGGCTTTAAACTCTATCAAAAAATCCTCCTTCCTGTAACTAGAAGGAATTTAAGAACTTTTATCACAGGCTTGACTCAACACTGGTTATTATTCACATAACCAGCACATAAACATAGTAACATAGCAGTGAAAATTAGCACAAGCCCATAGCTCAAATTTGAAGGGGGAAAAATATATGGCACAGCAATTTCTTAAATACAATTTTAATTTAGTTCACTACACACCAAATATTGTTATCTTAATGCAGGACCTAATGTTATACTAGAAGTAATGAGATACATTGTTTTTAATTATGATATTATGTTTATTGAGGAGCTTCCCTATGCCAGGATATTATCAAATTATCTCTAATCCTTAACAACACAGAAATATAAATATTGTTAACCTTATTTTACAAAAGCGGGAGCTTTAGCTCAGTGAAATGTTGTTTTCTTTTAGAATCACATAGTCAAAATCAGGATTTGCACTCCGGATTATTACAAAGTCTATGATCTTTTTTCTTTGCATAAGAAAACTCTTAACCTGAGGTGCAAGGTCCTTGGGCAAAGATTGTAGATCTGTATTGGGCAAAAGAATAGTAGCAGATACATGTATGACTTCAGGGGTAAATCTCTTAAAATTGTATGCAGAATAATACTTATGTATGGATACTTTCTTTCTTGAGGGTTCATAATAATTTTAACTAGATCCCAAAGGGTTCTGGGACTCAAAATATTTTAAGAACCCTTGATTTTCACCTCACTACATCCTTGCTGTGGGACAGATAAGCAACTTTCTCTACCGTGGCAAACAGCGGAAAACAATTTGAGAGTCGTCACATACCTCAGGCTGTAATTGTAGCTAGGATCCAGGAAGTCATACTACAAAAGGTGAAAGCTGCACCACGAAAAGTGAGAGGATGGAATGAGTTTTTAATGGTGAGAGCAGAAGAGACCAGAGGGAACTAATGCCAAGAAGTATATGCAGGCAAAGATTAGAAATCTTTATAGCAGCAGGGGCAGTGAGTGCTATGTTTTAAATGTATGTGTCACTCCAAAATTCCTATGTTGGTGGGGCCTTGGAGAGGTGATTAATCATAAGGGTTCCACCCTAGCGAATGAGCCGAATGCTCTTATAAAACAGCAGAAGGGAACTAGCTAGGCCTCTTGCCCTTCTGGTTCCTGCATGTGAGAACACAGCATTCACCTTTTTTGCTGTCTGGCAGAAGGCTTTACCACCAGGAAAAAAAGCACCACCTTGGAAGAAAAGAGCAGCCCTCACCAGACACCAACTCTACTAGCACCTCGATGGTGGACTTTCCAGCTTCCAGAACTGTAAGGAATAAATTTCTCTTCTTATAATTTACCCAGTCTCAGGTATTTTGTTATAGCAGCAGGAGCAAACTATGACAGAAATCAGTCAACACTGAACCTGGTTGTTGCTATAACAAATACCTAAAACTGTGGAAGCAGCTTTAAAACTGGGTAATGGGTAGAGGCTGGACTATAGAGGCTAATCTGGTGTGAGCTCAGAAAAAGAGGAGAGCTATAGAGAAAGCTTCAATTTTCTTAGAGACTACTGAGATGCTCTTGATAAGAATGTTGATAGAAATATAGATGGTCAAGGCAATTCTGATGAGATCCTAGACGAAAATGAGGAATAAGGTACTGGAAATGGGAGGAAAGACCATCCTTGTTATAAAGTGGCAAAGAACTTGACTCAATCATGTCCATGTTTTATTGTTTCATGTAAATCAGAAATTAATGATGATAAACTAGGATATTTAGCAGAAAAAAAATCTCTAAGCAAAGTGTTGAAGGTGTGACGACATGACTTCTCCTGACTGCCAGTAGTAAAATACAAAAAGAGAAAAGCAAAATAAGGATAGAATGTATAATCAAAAGACAAGCAGAAGTTAGAAATTTGAAAAATTATCAGCTTGGCCATGTTTTTAAAAAAGAAAGAAAAGGCATGTTTAGGAGAGAACAGTGAGGGAGTAGCCAAGAGTATATTTGATAAGGAGATTATTCTGGATAGAAGGAAGCCAGATAATATTTACCAAGACAACAGAAGAATGACTCTAAGGCATTTTGGAGATATTTGAGGCTGCCACTTCTTCCATCATAGGCCCAGACTGCCAGGGACTTGAGGGCAAAACTGTTTCAAGGGAGGGGCCCAGGGCATCTGTGGGATCTCAAGGACAGATGCCCAGTTTTACCTCAAGCCTCTGCTCCCTGCATTCTGGTGCAGAGCCCCTTGGCCACCCACCAGCTTTGGTTTAAGCGGGCCCTGTGCAACTTGGGCCACCCCTCCAGAAGGCACAAGTAATAAACCTTGGTGACATCCTTGAGGTGCTGACTCTGCAGAGCACAAGAGCTGTGCAGGCATGGCTACCTCCACTACAATTTCAAAGGATGCCTCAGAGAGGCTTAGGCCCTGGGTGGAATGCTACGGTTAGAATGTATGAATCCCTCCAATATTTATATGTTAAAATTTAAACCCCAGGTGATGGTATTGAAAGGTGGGGCCTTTGGGAGGCAATTAGGTCATGGGGATTCCACTCTCTAAAATGAGATTCATGCCTTTATAAAATGCTGAAAGAAACAAGTCATGTTTTTTTGCCCTTCCACTTTCTGCCACATGAGGACAGGGTATTCACCCCTCTGCCATGTGAAGACACATCAACAAAGTGCCACCTTGGAAGCCATGGGTAGCCTTCACTGGATACCAAACATGCTAATGCCTTGATTTTGGACTTCCAAGCCTCTGTAACTGAAAGAATTAAATGTTTGTTCTTATAAACTACCCAGTCTCAGGTATTTTGTTATGGCAGCCAAAGCAGACAAAGACAATGAAAGAATCAGAAAAGAAAAACCTTAGAACAGAAGCAAAAACATGCAGTAGCATAGTGTTGCAAAAAGCACAAAAGCAAAGCATATACAGATGGTCCCAGACTTATGATGGTTCAACTCAAAGGTTTTCAACTTTAGGATGGGGTTATCAAGGCATTAAATGCATTTTTTATTTCTGATATTTTCAATTTACAATGGGTTTTCTGGAGGTAACTCCATTGTAAGTCAAGGAGCATCTGTAATTAAAAAAAAAGAAAAAAAAAAGGGTACTGGAAAATCATGAGTACTGTTTGTGAGAATTTCCAGTAAGGCTAGCAAAACCCTAATAGAAATGCTAGGGGATTTCAACTCATTCACAATTTTATAAGTAGTACGATGTTAATGGGTATAGACCTGCGATACCAATTTGGCATTTTCCAATTAAGATTGGAGGAAAATAAAGATGCACCATCAAAGTAAAACTGGCATTTCTATGGTTTGTGTGCACCCCACAATCATGCATATGCATTCTTATTCATTAAATTTATTGACCTTAGTAACTAGGGTCAGTAGAAACATCAGGGCAATAAGGTATTAATAAACATATTAAAGTGATTCATACTTAAGAAAGTACTCTTAAAAATATTACCTCATTGGATTCTCACAGCAAACCCTGAACATCAGCCCCCATCTTATTGTTCTTTGACTCCAGTAAACATCATTATCTTCCAAATCCTGTGTTCCACTAATAAACTTACTTTCCTTCAAGTATAGGTATTCTGCACCAGTTTTCAGATCAATCCTAATTTGAAACAGAAATTTATTTTATTGCTTTAGCTTATTTATCCAGTTGCCTTGCCATTAAGTCAACGACAAAATGTCTGGGGAACATTCGAGACTTCTATAGTATTTCCTAGGCACCTATCCTAAGGTGCATCATTAGAATAAGATAGTCTTGTGTGCAAGTCCACTGCAAATACACTAGACTGTATACCCCAAGAGGCTTCTTCATGGATCTCAAGGTCAGAAAGATTTATTGCAACATTATGTCTAGGCCCTGAATGACACCACTTTGCTCTTGTGAGCCCCCATTTCAGTTATGGGAACCCGCCTCTGCCATAATCCAATGTTTAGAATCTTCCTTCATCATCTGTGGCTGTTTCAGCTGTTAACTGCCTACCTTTCCAGCCTCTTTGTTGTATTTCTATTGAAACCTACATGACAACACCATTACTGTTTATTTGATAGACCAAGTTCAGTAACTGTGTTAACCTGGAGGCATCACAGTTTTGCCCACCAGCCTGGACCTCCAGTGGCCTCTAGTATCCGGATCCATTTCTTCAATACTTGGGCTGCCTTGGAGCTAAAAATTGATAGGGAAGATGAGAAGGTGAATCAGGATGCTTTGATGAAGTGGTGTGGAGATGAAGTAGAAGGGAGGAGAGGCTTAAAGTAAACATCTTAAAATTGCTTATATCATTGATATAATTTGTTTGTTGAATTTCTTTTTAATGAGTCATAAAAGGAAATCTGGTCATTGCCAGTTTCTAAGATAATAAAAACTTGGAGTGTAGAACAAAAGTCATTATTTTTATGTAGGTATTGTTTTTTGGACAGTCAAGCGTCTTGTTCATAATATATTTAAAAGTAACAAAAAAGTTGTATTCTTTAAAAAAGAAAAAAAAATGTAGGCACTGTTTTTCCCTTTACCTAGTGGATATTCCCATGGCTGCCTTCTCAAGGAAGACATTTCTCTTTGTGCCAGAGCCCAGAGGTCAGCCATTTCCAGACCAAGTCGAGAAAATAAAAAAGAGCTGCTACTTCCTGATAAGATCCCCTAGAATTTGTAACTCTACTAGTTAAGGATTTATTGAATAGTTAATAAAAGTTGTTACAAACTAGAGCTTCAACAAAGGCTATAACCAAAAGTGAGTTACTACTGTCTACCTCATTAGTTAGGTTTAGTCATTTTTAACACTTGTGCCAAATCCTTGCACGTATTATTCAGCTATTAAGAACTCAAGTGGTCTTTAAATTCATTTCTAAAATTGTTCACTGACCTAGTAGCTTTTTCCAATCTGGACTGAGAAATTTCTATTCAGTGGTTTTGTTTTGCTGGAGTCAGAGGCTAAAGCTATATTAGGATTTACTGTTGGCTTTTTCACTTTTAACTTAGAAAGAAAAGCATTATTTTTTTGTTAATCATCAAGAACACCAGTTAAGTCTGCAAAACTATATTTTTGGAGGCAGTTCTTTGAGTTGTACTTACAATTGAATTTATTTCCATTTACTTTTCTTACCTGAGGTGAAATAAAATTGTTATTCCCATGTGGAATATATCAAGTTTTTAATAATTCCCATGAAAAGGAACTTTCTAAGATTATCTTTTTATCAATAGTTAAATTATGTTATGTTTTTAATTGGACTGCAAGTCACAGCCTCTGGCTTCCCAGAATTGTAATGGTGTTGAATTAATTTAAAGGGACTCAGAGGAACCAGATATGGAAGGCTGTCACCATTATAATTTAGTTTTATGATTAGATCATGGAAAACATTGTAGAATCCTGAAGAGAGTTTTAACCCTTTTATTTTGAAAGAGATTTTGTTCAGTTTGTCTCTCTCAAAAGATATGCATCTTTGGAGAGATTCCTAATCCTATAGAAAAGTTGATAAAATAAATGTCACAAGGAAAATAGCAGAGATTACCACATTAAAGGCATACACAATTTATGATCTCCAAATTAAAATAACCACAAACGTGAGTGTGTGTGCACACACATGCATACATCATATTCCATTATATGAGTTGTAACACAATGAAATTTGGGAACTTTTCTATATGCTTTGAATAATAAGTAACAAAAATGTTTTGTGTTACAATAAATATTCTGATTATTTTACATACTTTAAACAATACATTTATAGTAAATAATTCTGGTATTTTTATTTTAGGACTCTTGAATATTCTCTTTTCCAAGAATTTTCCAGAAGTAAATATATATATATATTTATGTATATATATGTATATATTTGTGTGCGTTTGACTGCTGAGAAGGCAAAAACTGTATTGACAATAAAGAGATTCTTTTCAGTTCTCAGAAAAATTAAGTACATTGGGCCTATTAAAGTACTATGCAGGCACACACAAATAGAAATGACTGTGTTTAAAAATATTTGTGAAAAACGAGATAATGGGTATATGGAATCTCTCCATATTATTTTTACAACTGCCTGGGAATCTGCAGTTATCTCAAAACAAAAAAGTTTTAAAAATTGTGTCATGCAATGGCAATATCTTTTTTTGCTATCTGTTTGTCCCTCAATGCATTGATATATACTGAAATATTTAAAATGCATACACTTAACAATAAAAGAGAAACAGCCCTAATTTTGTGATTATGTTGACATTTTTAGGGTAATTGATTCAAAGCAACTTCGTATTAATTTTTAATTATAGTGGGCGGAAGGAGTTCTATGTGAAGATAGAAGGCTATTTTACTACATTTGTTAAATTAATTCATGATGTTAGTTTTTTTTTGTGTGTGTGTGTGTTTTTTCTTTGTAAACTGTAAGAAAATGGACAGGAAAAAAAGGCCTTTCTTTAAATACATCAGTCACAAGAGCCGGGTAAAGGAGAATGCAGCTCTTTTATTTGATGGGATGAGAAAGCTAATAATGTATGACAGTAAAAAGGCAGAGGCTTTTAACGCTTTTTTTAACCTTACAAAAAAGGTCAACTCTGATCTGGAAATGAGAACAGCCAACACATGGGAACGAAGGGCAAAAAGCCAAGCGGAAAGCGAGAAGGAGCTGGTGACGAACACACTCAGCAGGGCAGGTTCCAGTCCCCAGTACCCACACCCCAAGATTCTAAAAGCACAGGCCAGCCAGCTCTCCATTAATTTTGTGTGTTTTTTTCCACATTAGGAGGGGAGGGACAATTTGGAGACTGGCAAAGTTATCCAGACCAGAAAAAAAGAATGCTTTATCTTGATTTAAACAGAGACGAAGAAAGAAAATTCTGCAACCAGCTTGCTAGTTTCATTTTTGCTGAAGAAAAAGCTAGTTTAACAATTGAGCTTCTAACTCAATGGTTAATGTACTTAATATAGGAAAGCGAATGACTACATTTATTGAATGCCTATTCTGCACCCAGCACTGAGTTACAGCCCTCATTTTACAGATGTGAAATTTAAGAGGAAAAGAAACGTGCTTAAGATAAACCAGTCAATATGTGCTGAATTGGATTTGAATCCAGACTTGATTCCAAAACCCTCATTTTTTCCACCACAGAAACCAGTCCTGATGACTCTTACTTTTATTAGGGCCTTTATCCAATTAAAATGATGCCAAATTCATTTAAAATTTAAAAAGCAGGTTTATATTTTCTGTATTCCAAAGCTAATAGCTTGCTTAAAAATATATTATTTTATGTGGTTAGATTAGAGGCCCCAAGGAGGCATCTAAACAAATCACCATGCTGTGTTGAATAAAATATGTGTTAGAGGCTGCTGGTTGTCATTCAGAATAGGGGTAGGATTCTTGTATCCCACATTTACTAGCCAGTGACTGTGGACAACTTACATAATCTCTCTGAGTTTCAGCTTCATTGTACAACAAATTGAGATAATACTTGTTCTAACTTGATAGTGACAGCTAAGAAGATTAAATAAGAAAATTAATATATGTAAAGTTCTTAGCATACTAACAAGTGTGTTTAATAAAAAATATGATTATGATTTTTAATATTAGTTGATATAATGCTGAACAAATGCGTATCTTCATTAACTAGTTGATTGATAAAAAATTGTATGCAGCCTCATGTGCAGCTTTGTAAATGTTACTATGATAAGTACTTGAGTGTTTTTTTTAACTAAATACATTATTTAACTACACCTATCTGACCCTATATTATATATTTGGATTTTAAGTTGACAGAAACAATTCAATAGCTTTCAATGTACGTGACTTTCCAACTATTACACTGTTATTGGCTCCTGGAGACATATTTCTTATTGCAAATAATACTTCTTTTATATAAGCCCACCACCTCATTCTAGTCCCTTCCTTCCCCCTGTCCAACTCATGTTTGCTGCTCTGTCTTTGAGAATATCAACAAGAGCCAGAGAACTAGAAACTATCCCTAGATGTTTCCTTTTTCTTCCCACCCCTATTTAATAATTTCACATGTACATCCATGGTCTTAGTTTAGGGCTTTAGGCCTTTGTCACTGTTCATGTAGACAACCATTCTCCATGCCAAACCCACCCAGTCCATCCTTCCCAGGATTTCGGGAGAGCTAATTCTGAAAGGGAAAGTGGATCATGACACAGCCCTGCTTAAGTCCTCTCGTTGCTCTATTGTTTTGAAGATAAAACCCAAATACCATTGCATAATACAAAAGACCCTTCATTACAGGTTCTGGTTATGCCTCTGGACCTCATGTTCTGCCACAGAATGATTTATGGCTTTTTACACCCTCATTGCTGTTTCTTGCTCTACTCTATCAGCCAGGTTACCTGCTTCAGTTGTTCAACTACAAGTAACTCTTTAAAATCCAAGCTCATATATTGCCTCCTCCAGCAAAGCATTCTCAGTTTCCCATATCTGTGTTAGGTGCATATCCTGTATCCCTCCATTTCTTCCTCCCCTTGCATCTACTCTTGTGTCCTTTTATACTTTTATATGTGGCAGCAATTTAAAGTTATATCTTGCTGGGCATGGTGGCTCATGCCTGTGATCCCAGCATTTTGAGAGGCCAAGGCAGGAGGATTGCTTAAGCCCAGGAGCTCAAGACCAGCCTGGGTAACATGGTGAGACCCCATCTCTACAAAACATAATTTAAAAATTAGCCAAGCCTGGTGGTGCATGCCTGTGGTCCCAGCTACTCTGGAGGCTGAGGTGGGCGGATCCCTTGAGTTCAGGAGGTCAAGGCTGTAGTGAGCTGTGATCACACCACTGAACTCCAGACTGGACAAGAGTAAGACCCTGTCTCAAAAAAATAAAAATAAAGTTATATTAGAATATACTAATGTCCCACTTCAAATCCTCCAGTGATTTTCTATTCCAAATAAAAACATGCCAGAATCCTTACACGGCCTCTAATGCTCCGTATGGACTGGCCCCTGTGTAGTTCTCTGACCCTCTCACATACCCAGGATCACTGTGCTTCAACCCGCTATCCAGAAGCACATCTGATAAATGCTCCTAGCTCAATTCTACAGCAGGCTTTACATTTGCCGTCATCACTTGCTTAGCAATTTCCACTTGAATATTTGCATGGTTGACTTCTTTTCATCCTTCACATCACTCTTTCAGAAAGCCTCTCTTTCAAAAGTCACTCTTTCAGAAAGCCTCTCTGACTAGCCTTCCAGTGTTGCTTGCCATTGCCACTCACTCTGTTTCTCTTTTATATATTTTATATATATAATATATATATAATATATCTAATATAAATATATAAATATATATTATATTTATATTATATATTTATCTATATTATATATAATATATATTTATATATTTATATATAAATTTATTATATTATATAAATTATATTATATTTATATATTTATATATAAATATATATTATATATTATATATTATATTTATAAATATATATTTATATTTATATTTATATATAAATATATAAATATATAAATATATTATATTTATATATAAATATATAAATATATTATATTTATATATAAATATATAAATATATTATATTTATATATAAATATATAAATATAATATAATTATATAATATAATAATATTATATTAATAATATAAATATATATATAAACATATATATATGTTTTTATTATACTTTAAGTTCCAGGGTACTTGTGCACAACGTGCAGGTTTGTTACATATGTATACATGTGCATGTTGGTGTGCTGCACCCATTAACTTGTCATTTACATTAGGTATATCTCCTAATGCTATCCCTCCTCCCTCCCCCCACCCCACAACAGGCCCCGGTGTGTGATGTTCCCCTTCCTGTTTCCAAGTGTTCTCATTGTTCAATAATTTCTTATTGAAATCAATTGTTATTCCTAAGGATGTCAAATCTATTTACTATTTATTGATACAACACTTCTACTGTAACTATTGAAGAATTGCAAATGATGAAAACTTGAGCTGTATATAAAAATTTAGGCAATGAGATCAAACAATTTGCCATATCAAGATAATTGAATTTTAAGATCAAAGACTAAATTCAAAGATGTAGATATGTGAGAAAAAATGCTAGGTGTTCCCTCAAATCCGCTCTTTCCTTCCTAGTATATAAACAATTGTAGCTATATATTTCACAACCCCTCTTGCAGTGAGGCATCATCCTATCACTTATTTCCAGCCAATGGAAAGTAAGCAGAGGGCCAGATCCTAGCTCTGGGCTACAGCCTATAAAAAGTCAGTGTGTCTTCCTATTCTCTCTCCAGCCTCTAGCGGGAAGCAGATGATGATAATAAGAACCTAGGCAACCAGAGGCACAGAGGAAGGAAGCTGACCCCCAATTCACCACGCAGAGGAGAGCGCCTCAGTGGCCACTGCCATTTGAGGGATGGTGCATTAGCTCATTGTATTTGAGCCATTTTCCATTTTACACCCATTTATTCCGCACTTTGTCCCACTTACCCTAAATAATACCATATTCAGTATGCTAAGTTTCATCAGGTTTACCAATATTTCTTGAAGAATTCTAAATATTCAAATTTTAGCTAGGCTTACGCAATGCGTGTTTATTCTTCTTCTCTATCTATGTTCATTACAGAAACCCAATTCATAAGCTTTAATAAATATTTCCTTAATCTAAAGAAGGCTCACATCAGATGAAGGGAAAAAAGCTATTATAAATAGTGGTAGAAGACCATTAGCCAAAATCAAGAAGGAAAAAAACATAAAGTTAGACTTTTTGTATGTATTCATTTGTAGGTAAAGAATGTCTTCTCTGCCTAATGAATGACCACATTAAATATCTATGGCAAACAATAAGAAGAATTAATTCATAAATTGTTTGAGTTTTCATTTCCAAAGTTATGTTATGCTTTTAATACAAGACTAATTTAATAAAAACATTTATGATTTCACGTCTTTGTTTTTCATAAGCCTTAGGTTTTACCTGAATTACCAAATTTAGTCTCATCTCCTGAGGCCTCTTAATTTAATAAATTTTCCAGAGTAAATGTGTATAAAAAAGAAAAATTAAATAAATCTGCTAAAATCTCTTTTTAAAATTTAAAGTAAACCAAATCTGGTATTTCCAGATAATGTTTGTGCATAATTTTAATGCTTCTTTGATCTAGTTATATCAAAATCCCTGCAATAAGCAATACAAATCCACAAATATTATCTCTGACATGTAATATTAACTGTCTACTATAAAAATAATTGATGCTTCAATTTTTAGTTATTTCCTTGGTTTAGGATGTGTGGGACAAAGGAAGTTTAGAGAAAAGAGTTTCAAGATGGGCTAAACCCAGTTTTCCACAGGACATAATGGGCTTTGACTCAAATGAGCACTCTACCTCTAATCCCCTTCCCTATAACAACTTCATACCTCAAAATAATCACCCTCAATTCATTTCCAATCATTCCACCAAAAATATTATCCCCAAAATTCATCCTTAATAAAATATTGGAAGAAAGAAAAGTATTGGGAATTAAAATAGGAATTTACCCTTTCCCTTATTAAATTCTGGTGTATCTTGAAATTTTTTTAGCTTCCTATGTCATGTGAGGAAGTCTCAGATCCAACATTGCTTTGTCTCCTATTACTGCAAACTAAGTGTAATTTTAAATGCTATACTCAGTATAAAAATTGCCTACAATAACAGAATTGTTTAAAGTACAATGTTTATTATAATTGCCTTTAATATTTTAGCTTTATATCTGAATGTCCGTGTTGCTCTGGGAAATTACAGCACTTTAATATTATAATACATATTGATTATTAACCAATGCTAAGTATTTTAATTGACGCTATTTCAAATTATAACTGCTACCCAAATCTCTTCATGAAATTTAGATTGTTTCAAATCTAAAATTGGTCATTATTATATTCTCTAACTATTCAGGATTGTTGTCAAACACCTGCAATTTTTTTATATGTAAATAAGTCACTGAATGAGTATTATATGGACAATTACAGAAATAACAAAAATTACTTGAAGAAAACTTCAAAGGAGGTTTCCTTGCCTTAGGGAATCAAAACTATCTAATTATACATATTATCTAATTTTATATATAGATATATATGTAATTCTATATTATAGAGCTAACTCATTCAGTTTTATATATAACATATATGTATATATTTAGCATAAATATAAATGAGTTAGATATAATACACACACACACATAAATGAGTTAGAATAACTAACATAACAAGTTTGAATGAACACCTAGCACCTATTGGCATGAGTGATACTTTTACGAAAAGACATAGTAATGATGCTCAGAAGATTTTATTTACTTCATATTAATATAATACACATTTTTCTGTCTACTTGAAAAAAGGAGATTTTTAAACAAAGTTTCATGATTGACTGTCAGAAGGACACACCTAGTTCTGTTCCTGCTCATCTTTAATGCTCTCTTGAGCTTCAGGTGTAATTTACCAATCCATAAATATGTGTATTTACCAGTCTCCAAATCTTTGCACTTCCATTATCTCATTTTCTCACTCTGCATTCAGGCAGGAGTGCATTACTGAAAAAGTCCAGAACTATGATGATTAGAACTTTCCTAATAAGTTCATAACACCTAATGTTAGCCAACCAGTTGATGTATTTTAGCAGATTCCTATTGCAGAGAACATTTTATACTATGTTTGTTTCAGGCCTTCGTCATTTTCCTGAGCTTCCTAACTCTTTCGAAACTTTTCATTCTCAAAAATGAGAGCATGAGCTTCCTAAACACCTCAAATTAGTCCTTCCCCCTCTTTCTCCATCTCCTCTTTCATATGGGTTCAGAGAGAGAGGCCACGCTTTCATCACACCCAGCCTTTTTATTCATGCAGGCGCTCATCTGTTTGCTTCCAACTGAACTATGAGCCAATCCCTCAAGTGGAGTTAGCAATAAAGATTATAAGACCTAGTCCCCCAAACTCAAGAATTCCACTCTCTGTTGAGGGAAACCTGAAGGGAAATAATTGTGATACAATGTAACAAGTTTATTAAAAGTTATAATTATGTAATAAAATGGGGAAATGCAAGAAGAAACTAAAATTAGTTTTATTGGGTTATGGAGGAACGATTCAGTAAGAATATTTTTAGATTTGACATTTGACTTTGAAAGGTATGTAGAAATAAGACGGAAAAAAATATAGAAGTGATGAGGAATGGTAGCTTTAAGTCATTTCATGCAAGGGAAGTAGGTAGATACAGAGAAACAGTACTCTCAGGAAATACAACTAGTTGGGTGGGGGCTGGGGTACATGAGAAAGTGGGGGGAAATGAACCCAGAAGAGGAATTCAGTCCATATTAGGATGAAAATTGTATACTATGCTGAGGAGCCTGTTCTTCACAATATGGGCAAAGGAAGCATTAAATGTGTTCTGAGTTTCAGAAAAGAAATAGAGTGACATTGTAGAGAATGGACTGAAAGGAGAGGAAATAGAAACAGGCCATTCAGAAGGGTGCTCACAGCACTCACTTATTCAACAAGGAAGCATTTACAGAGTACTTGTTATGAATAAGCATGAAGCTGGAGAAACAAAAATAATAATGGGGATACAGAAATTTAAAACATGGTCCTAACTTCAAGAAGCTCACTATCTTGTAGACGTGGGGTAAGGGGAGATAAGGATAGCTAAATAAACAACACTATTAAAACGTCATGTGACATGTGCTTTAATACAATGTGGATCAAATAAGAAATGTAAAAGCAAAATAAGAAATATAAGAGCAAATGTAGAACAGATTTGGAAAGAATGTGTATTCAGGTTGAGGCTTACTGAAATTTAATTGCCTGTGGGATATCTGCATAGACCTTGCTAGTAGTATTTGGAATACAAGTTTAAAGCTCAGGTGAGGTAGCTGACTTAGAGATATATATTAGACTGCCTCCTATGTATGACTGATTGTTGAGCATATGGCTGTGAATGAGGTCATCTAATGAGTAAGTAAAATTACAAGTGAATCAAGAATGCAGTCATTAGAATCTTTTCAGAGTGTAAAATACATTACAGTATTTATTCAAAATATCCACTGCCCTTTCCTACTGAATGCATCTCTACCAAATGTGCCCTTACCAGCTCTGTCCCTGAGGGAAAATTAGAATTCTTGCCTCATTAAAGTAAAGCTTTGTCCTGTGATTTTCTTTGGCCAGTGAAATGTGAGTGAAAAGAACATTAACCACTTCTGTGCAAAACTTTAAAACCCACAACATGGCTCTGCCTTCTTTCTTTTTAGTGCCTCAACACCAGCAAGGAGCCCAGAGTGAAGAGCCAAAGGCAGCTCATGATGAACATATAACTTCAGCTGAAAATAAACTGAGATTCTGGAGGTTGTCACAATAAAATAATTTTGTCAAAGCCAAATAATATAGTATGGGTAAAATGAAAAATGAAAAGAAGTATAGTAAACCAAATGGCAGTGATGATATAGAAATTAAATTTTGAGATATATGGGATATAGAATCAGTAGAACTTTAAACTATTTGATGTGTGGAATTATAAATAAGTCCACAATGACTTTGAGATTTTTAGCCTGAGTGGCTGTGAAAAGGTGACAGACATTATTGTAGGGCAGAAAACCCCATTACTGCTTTTATTTCAGAAATGGCATTCAAATGCACTTTGGAAGTGGAGGAAAAAAAGGGGAGAATTTAGATGTTGACATTTGGATATATTTTGTTTAAGATGCCTCTGGTATATCAGGTGGAGATACCTGCTTGGCAGTGGAATACATGGGCCTGGGGTTCTGAATGGGGGCTGAGCAGAGTGAGACCACCCAGGGAGAATGTGTCCAGTACAAAAAGGATTGAGGATGAACTTTGTGGAGGAAACTAATTTTTAAGAGAACAACAAAAGAATAGAGAGTAAAATAAACTTAATAGAAGTAGTTAGAGAAATAGGAATAAAACATGGAAAAGTGATGTTTGTGTGCCAAAAAAAGATATTTTAAGAAGTATAGTCAAATGTGTACACCGCTGCAGACAAGTAAATGAAACAAAAACTTTTGAGAGATTATTGGTGTTTACAAGGAAGACATATGTTGGAGTAGCACATTACAAGGAAGACATTCTAAAATCTGTACCTGAGATGATAACCTCACATGATCAAAACCATCCTAAGACATCTCTCAAATTGCCTTTATGTCTTCAGTATTTGGGTTCTGGAAACTCAAAAGCCGAGAATTAAATTATATATTTTCTCTGTGTATTGAAGCTACAGTGCATTTTCCTCCTGGTTAGAAGAGGCCAAAGCCTGATTCAAAGGAGGTTGAGGGTATAGAAATGAAGAATTATTTCTCTCCCTTCTTTTGACCTAGAAGGAATAAATTCCAAAAAGTGGTAAATTCACCTTTGCAGGAATTTCATTGTAAGTCACTGATTTTTAAGAGGTAGGCTTCAATGGTGTGGTAAGTGTGGAAACCTGATGGTAATGAGGAGAGAATTGAGGGTAATGAAGTGAAGAAAGCAGGTGCAGAGAAATGAGGCAATATTGTCCAGGGAGTCAAGGTTGCAGGGAGGTCATTTTAGGAATGGGTATGGTGGGTATGGTGAGCATGCTTGTTGGCTGAAGAAAGGAAGCCAGGGGAAAAGTTGAGATTGAAGACACGGGAGAGAGAGGAGATAATTGATGGGAAAAGGTTCCAGGTGAGAGAGGCGGGGACTGCACCAAGAATAAAATTAAAGCAAATAGCATGTCACAGAGCATAGCAGAACAGTACCTCTTCCTCTAGAATCTAGATAGAAAAAAAGGAAGAAAATGTAAATCACTCATTATGCAAATAAACTTTATATTAGCCTTAAGAGAAATTATGTGAAAGTAATTTGTAAACCCTCAAGCACTGAAACAAATGTTAGCCACCTTAGTATTTTTTTAAATTTTCATGTAGATGAGTTATCAGGAATGCAGACTGAAGCATGGGGCAGGGTCAGCAATGGAAAGTCTCTTTGAGAATTACCTGTAGAGAAGTGATAGGTAAACAAATTAGAATTGAAAGAAAACTCCTGAGTAAGAGTATAGAGGAATAAACACTGAGCTTATTCTCTCTGTAGAAACTGGTCAAGGACAATGACACAAAAATCCAGTGCTCATTAGAAGTTGGAAAAATTAGACAATTTAGTATCAGGCAGAGTGTCATTGAAAGGGAGGAAACCCAGTGTGTTAGTCTGTTTTCATGCTGCTGATAAAGACATACTGGACGCTAAGCAATTTATAATGAAAAGGAGGTTTAATGGAGTCACGGTTCCATGTGGCTGGGGAGGCCTCACAATCATGGTGGAAGGTGTAAGGCATGTCTTACATGGCAGCAGGCAAGAGACAGAATAAGAGGCAAGCCAAAGGGGAAGCCCCTTATAAAATCATCAGATCTTATTAGACTTATTCCCTACCACAAGAACAGTATGAGGGAAACTGCCCCAATGATTCAATTATCACCCACTGGGTCCCAATCACAACACATGGGAATTATGGGAGCGACAATTCACGATGAGATTTGGTTGTGAACACAGACAAACCATATCGCCCAGTACTGGAATGATTCCAACCCAGCACCTGGCACAACACCCAGCTGCAGCAGATAGGCTCATGCAATAAATGTTTATGGTAAACGAGAGTAGGCGTGGTTAACAGGGTGGAATTTAGTGAACAGGAGGGCATTTGGAGACCCCAGGCTTCAATCAGACAATCCTGATTGCTGCCCCGGTTTGAAGCATGATCAGACCATAGAAAATGAAAAGTGCTCCTAGAGAACATGTGCAGAGGGCAGGTGAGGATCATAACCAGAAAAGATAAAAAGAGCCGAAGCTTTGCCTTGAGGGCAGAAACACGACAGTCAGTTCAGGGGAAGACTGAGAAGAGTAGAAGAACTAGAAGATTGAAGAAGGAAAAGGCAATCATGAAGGAAGCGAAATCCTAAAATGCAATTGTTCTCCCTGTGAACTGTGTATACCTGGCTTTACAACATGCCTCCACCAGACACTTGGCTGAGGATGTTGGTCCCTGGCTCATAGTTTTTCTTTCTTTCTTTCTTTTTTTTTTTTTTTTTGTCCTCATTATGGCTCACAGGTGATGGCCTATAGAACAGGCTGTTCTCATGGTTACTGTAATAGTTTTCTTTTCTACTCTTTAGCAAGTCGGTATCTATCTTACTGTTGAGAAACTTCTGCCTCTATTACTTCCTCAATCCTACTAAGTTGGAGCTTCAACTACCCCAGGACCTCCTGTCCTTTATCAATTCTCCAAATCTCTTAGTCTCTTCACAGACATATTTTTTTCCTTCTCTCTTTTAAAACAATAATTTCTGAGTGTCTACTATGTGCCGGGTTTGGGCTAAACTCATTGCATAAACTTTATCAGTTTTTCCCTCCCCCACAAATTATGACACAAGAACTATCATGCTCCTTTTTTAGCTCAAACACTTGAAGTAACTTCCCTAAGAGCTTATAAATGGTAGGATCTGGAAGTGAACAAGGCAGTCAGGACTTACAAGGTTGTATTTGTGGTCCTTATGTTGAATATCTTTTCTAAATACTCCTTCCTTGCATAACCCGAATCTCCTGGTCAATCTTGGCACCACTGCTTACACCAACATTCTTAAATTTTTTTTCCTTCAGTTTGTTTGCACATACTAAGCCAATCCCAAATTCTGGAGCAGCTTAGTTGCCTGTACTCATCATGCCTACTTCCACGCTGCTAAGTGTTGTTGGAGAAAATTAAATAGCTGGGCTGTTTGCTTTCATTACGTTGTCATGATGTCCACCCTCAGCTAGGCCTTCACAAACACTGGCAATCCCTTCGCTCCTCTCTCGACAGCTATTTCCCATTTCCCACAGCATCTGTTCCAAATCTGTGTAGTTTTCCTCAAGTCTACTTTAATTAAAAACATTCTTAACATGGCTTACCAGGCTCTCCAAAATTTGGCTCCTTCCCACCTCACCAATCTCCCGAAGGGCTGTGTTCTCTCTTGCTTCTCTGGGCTCTAGCCACACTGATACTTTTTATTCTCTCTCTTGTCCCCTTCAGATATTCTGTTCACTATGCTTGAGAAGCCTTTCTCTTGCTTTTGTGTTTAACTCACTATTCATCTTTCAATGTTACATAATCTGATGAGCTTTCCCTGACTTTCTGCACTAGCTTAGATTTGTAACAGTTTTAATATTCTGCTTGTTTTTAAAGGTTTGTCTGAAGCCAGCCTTTCTCTTTAAGTGGTTAAGTACATGTAGAACATGACAATATTGTCTCATTCAACTAATATCTCCCCAGCATGTGGCACAATGCCTGACCCCGGGGAGGTGCTCCATGCTTATTTGTATATTTAACTGGAATCATACCTTTGGCATTAATAATCATATGTATTCATTTGTATTTACAGGCTGGAGAGATTTGAGATACCTCATGTATGCATAGAGTCTGTAAAGACATAAAAGGAACAGTAAGCCTGAGATTTTTCACACTGACAGTAAGTGGGGGAAGAAGAGCTTCTCAGAGTAGGTATAGGACCCAAGAAGGTATAGCAGATATGGTCCATGAAAATATGGCCCTCATGGTTTCAGCCCTGAAGAAACTGAGACGTTCTATAGAATAATATGTAAGATGGTGTCCTTTATTCAAAGAAAGGGCAAGAACTAGGATATCCAAATGCTGAAAATATGTGCCAGCCCTTGGGGTAACGGTGTTGATAATTCAAATGGCATATGCTCTACCAACGAACTGAAAGACTAAGCTATTGAAGACTGTGGAAGCTAGGACATTTTTACTCTTGTTGCATTCTCTAAGTTTATTTCTCTTGGCATGTTTTCCTCTTTGACATCTCTATTTATCTGGAGATTGAGGTTCAATCCTGTGTGACAAACTCAGGAACACAGTTTACTGAGAGCCAAAAGTTGCTGAGCTTGGGGAAGAGGAAGGCAAGTAAGAAACAAAATGAACAAAAGTAAACAGGTGAGGAAGCAATTGTCACAGGCATAGCAGGTCAGCTATAGGTTCAGGCCAACTTCAAAGAGACCTGATTTATTCATTCACTCGTTTATTCAATCATAAGGGGAAGAACAGGGAGGAGATATAGCTATGAAAGTGCTGAGAAGAGACAATAGGAATAACAGACTATGTCATTTAAAGAATTTCATCCTATAACAAGGCAGGAAAGCATTTCCCTGATGATTTGTGATGTTTAACATTTTTTCTTATACCTGTCGCTTTGTCTATTTTTCAATTTGATTGTTTTCTTACTATTGAATTGAGTTCATCCCATGATAAGACAGGAAAAGTCCAGAAAACATGACCATTAGGGGACATCTCATCTTTCCCTAAGATGGTAGAGGGTCAGTAACACCACCATGGTAAACACCTAGATCTGACCACCAAGAAATCTGATCAATGCTCAGTAGTATTCCTGAAACATACAGGGTCAGAATTTAAGCAATGTGCAAGAAGTATTCTCAAACCTTCCTTGTTCACAGGGAAAGTTTACTGATCTAGTAACTACTGACATCACCTGTGTTTCTAGAGATGGATGAACCTCCAGGCACACAACTCAACCCTAGCTGGCAGTATTTAGCAAAAAGATTTTAGAATATTTTGGTCTGCCTAGGGTGTACTGTGGTATATTATTCAGGACTACTGGGGTTTCAACAGGTAGAAACCAAATGCGAACTAACTTAAGCCAAAAAGCAATGTGGGGGCTATTTATTGTTTC
This sequence comes from Homo sapiens, assembly GCF_000001405.40. Classification (NCBI taxonomy): domain Eukaryota; kingdom Metazoa; phylum Chordata; class Mammalia; order Primates; family Hominidae; genus Homo; species Homo sapiens. The sequence goes on from NC_000008.11 coordinate 76,575,647, forward strand.
ATAGAATTGCAAATCTAGGTGAACATTGCTAAGTGCACAGTAATCAACCACTGGCATGGCCAGGAGTAGGGGATCAAATGATGTCACCAGGCTCTGGTCCATCTTAAAGTCTCCACTTAGCATTCCACTGAGAGGGTCCTTGTACCTCCAGCATCACTTCTTCCTTACTGTCAGTAGCCCCAATGGAAAGAGCTATATTTCTTCTCAAATTTTATAAAAACACTGGACTTGCTTCCCAATGGCCTAGATTAGATCTTATGTGGAACCCAATCAGGGTCATGAAATGTGCTGAGTGGCTAATCGTGGACCACATCCCAACATTTCCAGCTTAAAGTGGGTCAGCCTCATTCATATGGAGTAGACTGAGAATGTGGGGTGTGGGGGAAGTTTCCCAAGGAAAAATGGTTTACTTTTACAAGTGAAGAAGAGAAGGATTCCAAACAGGAAAAGAAAGAAAGAAAAAAAAATGATGCCCACAATAAATATATTCCAAGGAAAGGAGTTTGGTATACTGCCTGGGTGAGAGATGAAAGAAGCCGTGATGCTTCCTTTTATAAGTTAGGATGCTTGCTGTTGTTGTCGTAGTTGTTAGGAGATTCAGAAACCCATCATGAACTAACTTGAAAAGAAAATCAATTGGCTTTATATAATCCAATCATTGGAAGAGGGGGGCTGGCCTCAGGAATTGAATTCATGGTGAAAAAAAAATTATCAGGACCTTCTGCTCTCCAGCTCTTTCTCTTATTTTACTTGTTAGCTTTATTTTCTTCTACCACTGAACTTTCTTCACCTAGTGGTACACATGGCTCTCTGGACTCATATCCCTATCATTTCATCAGAAAGGAAAGGACATTTTATTATCATTTCTAGCCTGAAAAATCAAGGGAAGAAACTCACATTTAGCCAGCTGGAATCACTTATTTATCTCTTGATCAATTAGGAAAGCAGGGTCTATCGTCAGAAGCATAGTGCTTTGCTGTATAGATGGTATCCACAGCACTAGTTCTCAAACTTCTTGTGCCATAGAACTTTTTGGCAGTCTGGAGGAAACCGAAAAACCCAATCTAAGAATAATGTATTTAAACTCCTAAGACACAACATATAAGATTGCAAAGAAAAACTATGATATTTAAGTATAGCTATCAAAATATATTAAAAATAATTTATGATACAATCACATGCATGCTTTATTACTGATACACTAAGTGATAAGACGTGGAAACATGCCTAATCACTCCTCACGTAATTTTCAGGTAGTAGTGACCATAAGTATTTACCACATGTGTAAGGTTACATAAAAATATCTGTGATTTATTTTGGTAACAATACAGATACTGCTAGTATTATTGTGATTTGTTTCCTGCTTAAAAATTTGAATAAAGTTATACACTTTAGTTTGAAGCCAGTAAAAATAATGTTACAATTTTGCCCACCCAAGTCCTTAGTCCCTCTGAATTCTGCTCATAGATCACTGCAGAGTCCATGGACTCCAGGCTAGAAGCTGCTGAACTAGAGAGTCAATGAGGTAAGAATTGAAAAATCCCTAAGAAAAGATGCATTTCAGGAGCTACTGGATCCAGCTGCCCATCTTCACCTGGATAATTTTACGCCAAGGCCAAAACTAAGATTTTATTTTACATGATTGTGATGTAGGCCTTTCTTGACCTAGCTATTCCCATTATGTCTCATCTGAAGAGTGAAATAATTTGTGATGTCACTTTGTTCAGAAAAGGTTGTTTCTCAGACCTACACCTTGTTTTGCGTTTGAGTCCTAAACGGGTAGCAAGGTTTATATTTAGCACTAAGCCGTGAATAGTAGAGCTTAAAGTATCAAGAAGAGCGGTTCAACTCTGGTGGAAGTGGAGGTGTTCTGCTTTCGATGGGTGACAAGGAGAAGAGCAGTACAGGCCATAGATACATGGACACTAGCCATTTGAGGTTACAGTCTAGAACTGGATAACCCTGCAAGAACTAATGATAACAGAGTCAGAAATATCTACTTCAAAAACCTAATTTTTTTTAAAAAAAAATTCTTATTTCCCTCTTTTTCTTTCATAGTATTTTTAAATTATTTTAAGACTTTAACCTTCTTTGGCTGTGCCAAGAAGGAAAAAACAAATAGTTTATGTTTGGGATAGAATTTTTGAAGAACAATGAGGAATGCACCCCTGGGAACTGGCATTGATAGTCAAAGTAATTTATGTGATGTGAATGGTTGAGGAAATAGATTTAGGATCCTTGATCAGCTACTCCATGCTTCTTGGCAATCTCTTGGAGCTTCTGAGTGGATTTTAATGAGAAAGCATTTCGCAAAGCATTAACCAGATTATTGTGAACTCAGGTGAGGGAAGAGCCAAAATATCAAATCCAACAAAAACTGAATAACTACTATGAGTCAGGCATTATGGAATGCATTTTACAGATACTAATTTATTTAAGCCTCTCAAAATGTGTGGAATAGCTACCATTATTTTCATTTTACAAGTGAGAGAACTGAAACGCAGAGAAGGTGAGTAATTTATTGAAGATCACACAGCTGGTAAACAGCAGAATACGTATGTGATGCCAGGATGCCTGACTACAAATCTAGTGCTCCTCTTTGCTGTCATATCTCCTTGCCAAAGAAACGCACTTGCTCACCCAGTTATTTCTTGTACCCATTGGCCAGCTTCCCTGGACTCTGGGCAATTTGCCAATAGAAAAAACAGAATCATCAGTGTGAAAAACCTGGAAATGGACCTTATGTGACCTTAAGGCAGATTTCCTTACCCTGGCTTTTGCAAAGAAGAGAGTCAAAATGATTCCAAAAAAGAACAAAAGCTTAGAAGTTTTATATGTCCTTACTTGAGCTGTATTCCTATTTTTTAAAGTGATGATCCTAATTATTAGATTATAGTGAGATCAGAACAGAATTATCTAGAATATCTCTAATGTCACACTGAGAATCATAATAGAAAGCATATGTAAAAGTATTAACTTTCACAAAACAAATATTTGTCGATGGGGAGTGAGAGGGGAGAATAATTTGAGCTTTGTATTTGTCGAGCATCAGACTGATAGAACTGCTATGTAGAAATGAACATAAAGATATATCATGATTAGTTATGACATATTGGCACCACTCTCAAATTAATCCAGACATTTAGACCTTCAAAGCAGGTCACTATTTTTTGGACTATGGCAGCAATTAATAAATCAATCTTATCACAGAGTGATTGATTAGCACATTTTGAAGAATGTATAGCAAATGGCTACGCTAATCAAGGGAAATAAAACTATTCATAGATCTCTTTTTAATTTGAATTTTCTCCAATTATAAACAGATTCTCCCTACCCCCAGCCATATCTAAGTGCATTTAATATACTACGGATAGAAAAATGTGTGAGACTGACAAAATATCCACAGTCTGTAACCTCTATTGGAAAAGGCTTTGATTACAGTAAAATTACACAAAAATGTGTCATTAAAAGACATTGGACAGACATAAAATCTAACCTTTTGAGCTGAAGAATACTTAATATTCTCTTCATGATCACACAAGGGGAAATTCTTTGCTATGGAATAGCTATTTTCCTGTTAAGCAGGCTATTTCCTCAATGATTTATTTCTGAGATGTAATAGGTCGTTTAAAATGGTGGTTTAAAAGTTGGGCCTTTTGTTTAATTTTCTCACAGGCGGTTGGTAATTATCATGGTTCTGCAGTTTCTCTGGAATGCCGTGGAGGGTCAAATGCCAATGGAACCCTGCTTTATAGGGTAATTAAGACAGTCGACATGGTTATTAAATACATCATGCTAAACTAAACTGGAATGCTGTGAAATAAAATCCAAAATCATAAATAAAACTTGGGTATTCCAGCAAAGGGGTATGTGTGAAAAGGAGGAGCTTTATGCTCTCAGAATTGCAATAAATAGCTCTTGCCCACTCAGACTTACTAAAATCTGGCTACTGAAAGCCTCTGGATTAGCCTTTCAGAGAATGAAACTGAAATAAATATGGTATATTTTCCACATACACATGAAATTCGAATTCCTGCTATTTTATGTTATGTAAAATAATACAATAATACGTTTTGGTCGATCATTTGTGTTCTTTATTGCAAAGATCAAATGCTGAAAATATGTATAAAGTTATCCAATGTAAATTTGCTATGACTAGCAAATGAATATTAGATAATCTTTTCTAAACACTATCAAAAATGTCTCCCTTTGCAAGGTCTTTCCAATGACTGCTCATCACTGTGTATTCAAGCTGCCTTTCAGAATTCATCTGTAACCAGCATAAGACCACAATATAATGACTACTTTAAAGAAACCCGTAACAGGGTATGTGAAGGCTTGTTGATGTTGATAATTCTAAGCAGTGGTGATGGGTAAATATTGTCATCACAATATAAGCCTTCCAAATATGTAACTGTTTTGTGGTCATAAGCTTTCAAACTCAAGAGCTGAAGGCTTCGGTAATTTAATTTCTTTCCAGAAAATGTGATGAGTATACAAAAATGCTGGCAAAAGGCCTGGACAAAATGAGAACAGAATAAAATGCAATCTTTCCAACCTGTTATATGCTGCCTACAAGAGATTTTAAATTATTCTTCCCTTGCGTATTGCCTGAAAGTTTTTGCTATATGCATGTTTACAGGCAAATTCATTGGTTTACTAGGCAAAGGAAAAGAACTAGTCTTAAATAGGGGAAATAAATATTTCCAATTCTAGCTGTAAAACTAGAAGCCAAAACGTATAGTTGACAGGCAGGGAGCCAGCTGACTTAAGATCACTAGTCTTTCCTTAAAATCAGTCTCCGTATTTCCACATGGAACACATTTTAAGTTAACAATGTGTAGTTTGGCAAAGGAATTGTTTTTCTTTGGCATGAAACGGTTGTCTCGTTTTTTAAAAATGTATATTCTGCCTGCTTCTATACACAATGTGTGTCGACATTCTTTTGAACTTTAAAAACTGTTGCTATATCAGGAAATTTGTAGATAATTCCTTTTTACAATTTTTGTCTAAATAGAAAAGTGCATATTTAACATATTCATATGCTTGTTCTTACGCCTGGTATCATTCTGAATATTGCTTAAATATACCTTGAAATGCATATTGAATGGAGACTTAACTATATCACATACTTTGGGGAAAACAGGCCTCTCAGAGAAGTCATTTAAAATTTCTTTGATGAGTATTTTTATAGGGTTTATTGACAATGTACAATCTGAAAATGAATGCAGCCATTCCCTTCTCTCAGTCAGAGTCTTAAAATTGAGTCATTCTATCCACAATGTATTTATAGCACTGAAAACAGTAGAGTGGAATGCTACCCATTCAAACATTTGCAGTCTATTTCCCTATTTCTGGCTGCTACTACAGAAAACTCAGAAAAGCAGAAATGCAAATCTTCAGACATTGGTTCCACATGAAATGGGACAGACTGCTGCACCAGCTACTGTTGTTGAGACCAGATAGGGCCACTGCTGCCTACACATAAAGAAGGCCATTAAGGAGAAGTTGTTTATTTCTGCTTCTGCAGAAATCATAAACACCAACCTGGAGCCTGACAGCCCAAGCTGTGCTGCAGTAAATTCTAGTACTTTGTTGGCCATTCTAAACTGCCCAGTAAAAGTTACTGTAGCTAAATCCCATATACATTTCATGAAATAATCCTTCTCAGAAGATGGTATCATATTCATGCACAGCAGGGTGTGCAAATGCCTATAAATCACATGTAGAATCTGAAATATCTATTTAAAAAAATCTAACCATGACCCTTTGCCAGACAATAGGCCTTCATATGCTTTGCAGCTTAGCAGACACCCAGGAATTTTGTTTGGAAGTAATAGCTACTGTCTATGTAATATTTAGGACCTATTTATGAAGCATCTGGCAGAAAATAAAAGAGTTTTCTCCACTAACATATGCTAAAGAAGGATGTGGTCATGTGCCGACTCCTCCTTTTCTGATTTTTTGCAAATAGCACAACATAAGAGATGGTTGTTTCTGGCTGCCCTGCTGCCTGTCATGGCTGTCAGGCGAAATCCCATGAATTATTGCTCTTCCAGATGTAAGAGATTTTCAGGCTGCCTTAAACTGCCTGTGGTTTGTGGTACTGGAGAGGAGAGAAACGAGATTAAACTTCATCTCATCAGTGCAATCTGAAAAGATCACACAGAGGACTAATAATCAGGGCTTTTTCATTCCAGAGCCAGACTTGAGAGCTGTGTGTTTTTGTTTCAAGGTGATGTCCCATTAAGCTTGTTGGAAGACAGTGATTAAGGTCAAACAATATTTGAGGAAGATCAAAATTTAAAAAAAGAAAAGAAAAGTGTTCAACCCTCTTCTGATGCTTCCTTATTGTATTTGCTTAAAGGGGAAGGACTGATCATTTTCACTGATGGCAGAGAATGGGAAGTGGATGTACTTCTGCAATTCAAAGTTGTCAGCATTTCTTAATACAAGGTTAATGTGAGAAAAATTAGAAATGTTCCCATAAAATTATAGCTCTACTGTTCATTGTAATTTAGAGCATACATTCATCACCATAAAAAGAATCAAGTGTCACTTTTTGTTATCTCTAAAGGTCAGTTTTGAAGTCTTGATTTTGTGTGTGTGTGATTCTATGAACATGTTACATAGAGTCTGAAAATATTCATTTAAAAAATCAGTGGTTGGTAGTAATGCTTTATGATATTTTGAGTTTTTTAAAAGAAAATTTGGTTCAGTTTTCCCTTCAAAATAATATACTCCTATAACCTCCTATAAGTGGTAAATATCAGCAGATTCAATAACCCCAGTTACCAATATTTAACTAAAGGTTTTCATAACTGTTTCCAGAATGACTCAGAAAATAAATCACACCCTCTCCCATTATGTACACTTTGAGCCCTCAGGGAGAAAACTTATAACTCATTACATTTTGATTCCCTTTGATCAAATACCATATACAGCACCTGGATATTATAATTTTAAATAATAGTCGTGACATAAACTAGGATAATGCTTAAAAACCTAAGAATCTTAATATGGTTACTATTAGTTCTTATCATTTATGGCATGGAGAAATGCTGAGTGGTTTTGTGGCATTTTGCTAGAGTTCCATTAGCAGAATATTAATTATAGATCAAGAAAACATGTTTTTCAAGAAACACCTGGAAATAATCGACAAATATATATGTCTTAGATCAGAACATAATTGCCTCAATTCAACCTGTGTAACTTTTTTCTTTTTCTTTTTCTTTCTTTTCTTTTTTTTTTTTTTTTTTTTTTTTTAAGATGTAGCCTGTTTAAGTAATGGGGTAGGCTACCAGATGTGAAACCTCCCAGGCCAGCTTTTCTTTCCATTTCAGCGTAGGCACCTCACATAGATTCTCTAATGTGAGGGATCCCAGTGAAACAGTGATGAAAACCACAGGTACAAGTGGCTTACATGAAAGCATTTATTGCTTTTCATGCATTGCATTATAGTATAGTGGGAAAAAAAAGCCCTTCGTTGAAAATGCATTAATTATTTGACACTGGTTTGCCTCAAAGTCATTTTTACTATGGGATGCAAGTGAAAGATCACAGCTGAAAAAAACATCATCATACTTGAGGTAGGCTCACAGAATCTTTTCTTGTGTTCTGTGTGAAGTTGTCTTGAACTGAAACCTATGCTCCTTAAGGATTAAGGGATTGAAAAGCAAAGACTGAGGCTGCTGTAATTTAAACCCAGAGATTCCCCAGCACAAAGGTGCAAAATGGACTAAGCCAATCTGACTCTTTCCTTGTTCAGTAAAGAAATAATTTTCCTTTAGAAAGTTTTATACTATTAACATTCCAAAGGTGTTATCATCTTTAAAGCAAGTGGTCTTCTCTTGGTTTTAACATGCATTGAGTGCTCACAGACACTAAATAAGTGGACATCGTTTTAAATTACAATTTATGAATCTCTAAACAATTTTCTATATAAGAGAAATATAAGGCCATTTTAAAGTAAAATGCATAATGATCTTCAGTGACTTGCATTTTCTTTGTTAAATTGGTAGTTTATTTTATTAAATATTTTCCTGGAGTTTGAGGTTGTATATTTACTTTTTTTGTAGGAAAATGCTTATTTCCAACTCAATGAATTATCCAAGTCAATGAAATTTAAAACTGTTAATTTTCCTTCAAGTAACGAAAATAATCTCTGAGCAAGAAAAAGCCCTTAATTGCAGTCATCTATTTTATTACATGTGGTTTAAGTCCAAATGAAAACTCAAAGAGATCTTTATTCAGTCGTTGGGTCAATCTTTCATTCGAGTTAGTTTTCAAGCACTTCGTGTCATTCAGTTAGGCACTTCACATTCAAGGGTGCAAATATAGACATAGCTTTGCCTTCACGTCTAGTGAGAGACATATACATTAAATTAATAATTAAGTAAATAGCTATGTAAACTACAATTAGCCAGCTGTAAAGGGTCATGAAAATAAGAAATTCCCATAATGTGAATTTTGCCAACATTTGTGTTTGTATAGCTCTGACATAAGGATGCTATGATTTATTCTAAGTAAAATAACTGAAAATTTCATATCTATAGTTTCCAAAAAGAAATAAAACATCTACCTATAAACAAGATGGGAATGATAAGACTGCAAATGACAGATTTCAGAAATGATAAAATTTGTATTTATGATTTCAGAATTCTGAGTTTCATATTTAGTTTCACATATTAAGTAGGAAAAATAATCAGTATAAGAAGACACATATATATATATATATATATATATATAAAATATGTATGTATATAAGCCATTTCTAACCGGTCCTTAATAATTATATCTGATATCCCTTTGAAAACCATATAGTGAAAATGGAACATATTAAAATATAAAAACAAAAATTTTTAGTCAAAAAACTTGGATTTTAGCTTTTGATTTTTTCTCACATCAGTGTTCTACTCTAATCCTTCTCAGATTTTAGCTTATATTTCTAATTTAATCTTCAGAGTATAGCATCATTTTCTCACTTCCAATTTGGTAATGATTTGGATATTTCATACCTTGAAATATCAGTCTTTTACTTCCTGTGTTTTACTTTTTTCTTCAGGGTGTTATTCCTAATTACCCAATATTTTGCAGTTCATATTTCATGTTTTTATTAGAGTATGATTGAGTAACCATTTGGTTAAATTGATCAATTTGGCCAAACCCAATAATATAAAGTATCCAGATCATCTATGTACATAGATCAAGCTAGTCTTGTTTTCTTTTCTTTGAAACCACTCAACACATTCCTCTCAAGTATTGTCAAGTTCCCAGCCCCTTCTGAGCCACTTTTGCCTCTGCTATTGAATTTTAATTTTTCACCTTTATTGAGTTCACTTTCACTCAACTTACAAATCTAATTACTCACCACATAAAAATTTTCAAATATTCTTCCTCTAATGTCTAGTGGACTTAATGATTTTCAGATTTACAGAGTGAATATTACATTTCATTTTCCAAATATGAATGGGTGGATGACTACATAAAAAAATTATAATAAGGTGGAATTTAGGGAGCACTGTTTGTTTCAGAGATTACTTTTCCTGGTAAAAAAATAAAAATAAAAAAATAAAAGATTGTACAACTGTATGAATAAAAGATTGAGGCCAGACCTGCCAGTAATGCTTAACTGGGTTGGAAGATAGTGGAGAGTACCAGTTTATCATAACATTTTTCTGTATTTGGTATGAGACTTACAAAATACAGAAGAATGCAAAGAAGTAAATGAAAGTAACTTGTAATCCAACCTAAGAGATTAGATCAGTGGTTTTCATCATTATATCCTTTAGTGTCATGTGGTACATCTACAGGGAAAAAAATCATGTATTTTTCTTCTGTTAATTTTAAAATAAATTAATGTATAAATGCACATTACAAAGTTCTTAGTAATATGTAAATTAAAGTTGCAATTAAACTCATTTCAATTCAATTCAATAATAGCCATTGTCTTCTCTCTGAGGGAGAAAAATAGAGACCCTCAATCACTATCGCTCTCCCTGAAAGTGAAGGCTCGTCTCAAGTTAAACCTTATATCTTTCATTGTTGAAATTTTAAATCATTTGAATATATCTATAAGAATGATTCAACCTCTCCCCCTCCATTATATTTACATAACTGAAATATTTGATGGATTTTTTCCGCTTACAATGGCCTTCCTTGATACACATTAATACTGCATTCAATCATTACTTATTAATTCATCATAAAGTAGGTAGTGAGCATCCACTGCGTATTGTTGGGTTGTATATTTGAAAATCAAAGCTATAAGAAACAGCAATTATGCCCACTAGAAGCTTACATATTATTTTAATTAATTGCAATGTTTATTTGAAATGTAAATTATTTTATTATTTTATTTTATTTATTTTTATTTATTTATTTATTTATTTTGAGACAGAGTCTCGCTCTGTTGCCCAGGCTGGAGTGCAGTGGCGTGATCTCGGCTCACTGCAACCTCTGCCTCCCATGCTCAAGCGATTCTCCTGCCTCAGCCTCCCTAGTAGCTGGAATTACAGGCACATGCCACCACGCCCGCCTAATTTTTTGTATTTTTGGTAGAGACGGGGTTTCACCGTGTTAGCCAGGATGATCTCCATCTCCTGACCTCCTGATCTGCCCACCTTGGCCTTCCAAAGTGCTGGGATTATAGGCGTGACCCACTGCGCCCAGCCAAAAATCTGTTTATTTAAAGTTATATAAGTAAAATTTAAACAAGAAAATGAAAAACTTTTTACAACTTCGTATTACATACTCAAAATAAAATGCCAAGACTTGGTATTATTTAATATTTTAGAAAATCTTGTCCATACTTTTCTGTGAAAACTAAATTAGCTGTAACAGCTTCAAACTGCATTGTATGCTATTATTTCTATACATAATTGCTACTGTCTACTACATTCAAGTTATCCTTTTTGTGTAAAGTAATAGAATAAAATTATTTTATAAATTTGTAAACATGTCAAATAAAAGCCAAAAGTATGAATCATGAAAAGTATCACAGTATCTCAAATTTGCATATAATTATGGGATCTGGGGGAGGTTTTCATACAAGTTTATGGATTTCTGTCTGTAGACATAACTTTGGCCAACACTGCCCATTTATAACTTTAAAATCCTATTTTGAAGGTTCAGACACCCTCTCCAGGAGCAGAAGTAATTCCATTTCTATATTCCATGTGCCTCTTGAGGCCAGACCTGCCAGTAATGCTTAATTGGGTTGGAAGATAGTGGAGAGTACCAGTTTATCATAGAGGCAACTGACACAAAACTTTTTCATTTATCTGAGGTTGGACTGTGTCTGGGTTCAGAGATGAAAGGTCAGTTTTTTATCCACTAAGTCCCCTAGACATTCCAAAATCCTTAGTATGTTACAAATTTGAACAGTTTAAGCTCTCTTAAATAAAGAATCTCTTCTCTGGGTAAAGTATCCAGTGTATATAGATATAGTGGAGAAGAAACATGTGAAAGGTCATAGCCATGACCTTTTAACATCAATAGTTTTATTTATAGCCAGACGCTTAGTCTGTAGAGCTTAATATGAAAGCAAGACGAAAGACAAAGGTATCTCGTTAGCTTTATAATAGCTATCCAGTTATATAAAAGTTGTCTTTTTATCTTGAGTAGAGAATAAAAGTTATAAATAATTAAATCGACAGCTATTTTAAAGTAAAGAACAACATTTCTCAATCATTTTTAATTGAACACATTCTATTTCTCTCTGGATATGGCCTAAAATAATTTACCAGATTTTATAGGAATACTTTTATTTCTTCATATGTGATTTATTTGCAAAAGACAAAATAATAGTATGTTATTTTTATTACTACTTGCCTCTTTGTCACCTATTTGGTGTCTTGCTGTGTTTCAAATGACATGTGAGAGAGTTGTATCTTACAGCATTCAAATTCTGTTGCATGGATTTTTAGTAGTTTAGGAAATTTAGCAAATACACATGCATATGCATTTGTTTACTATTCTCAGAATACTTCTCAAGCAGTTTAAAGACAATGCCCAAGGTATATTGAGAAAAGCTCAAGTAGGTTAGAAAGACCACGTGTGTTAGCAAAATGTGAAACAAGGCTGGAGAAGAGGCCATGAAGAGTTTCTAGTGGAAAATGCAAGATGATGACTCAACCTAAAAACAAAGGGAGACTGGGAAGGCTTTTATGAAGAAGAGCAACCAAATCTTAGTTCCTGACTCTAGTCTGAGGGTATAACTGGACGTTACTTAGAACCACCTCCTCTTTGCAACTCCCCAGGTTGGAAGAGCCTAACAAACTGCCTTCTCTCAAGAGGCTGACTTGTCTCTCTGAGGCCCCCTAGCCGAGAGGTGGCCTTTCACTAAGACATTTCACTGATATGATACCGTTTGTCCGTTTCTTATAACCCCTTAGTTTAATTGATGCTAATGTCATAATGGAAACTAACAGGTATCATTTGCTTTTTAATGGGAACTCTTAGAGACAATGTCTTCACCTAGAAAAAAAAATGACTAAATTGGTCAGAATTTTAGCTACTGTATCTATGCATATAATGGTCAAGGATGCCTTTCCACACTTCATTTTAAGCTGTATATAATAATTGGGATTTTTTTCTTGTAATTCTGTATTCACAACCAACCTTCCTGGTGTGATACAGAAACCTCTCTGTGAATCATGGTCAAAACTTTAGAGATAAAAACTCTTGGGCTGTTTTTATCACTATTGGGCTGTATTTTGTCTCTTTGAGCTTTTATTTTCCAGTTGAAAGCTTATCTGCTTAATCACATTAAGGTAAAAAAAAAAAAAACTTCAGTAAACAGTGTTGAGTATCTATTAAAAGTAATGGCAAAAACCACAATTATTTTTGCACCAACCTAATAATAGTAGGTAAAAACCCAAATTATTAAAATTTATAAGATTTTAATACATAGGTAGAAGTCCAGGTTCAGGAGCTAGGAAGACCTAGTTTGAATGCATGTTCAAAAACCTACTTGATTTGACCAGTAGCTGAACATCCCTAAGCCTCATTCTCTTAAAATGAGGATGCAATGTGATGGGAGGTGTAATAATTGTGAGGCTCTAATGGGTTCATTTATGTAAATTATAAGGCTGGTTTAGAGCAAGCATTCACTTAACCTGCATTATTGTTAGTATCATTGAATTTAATGTCATTTGTACAACAAAAAAAAATTAAAAATCAAGGTTATTGACACTTTTAGGTAATTAAATGCTGCAAAATATATAGCCAACTATTCTCCTTTTTGTATTCATTTTATTTCTAATAATTATCAGTAAATTATCAGATTGAGAGGAAACTCTAAAATATATATAGAACAAATAGCAATGATAAAATATTAGCAATGTAAGTCATTTCTTTCAACTGCAACCTCGTTGGGTTCTCTAGAAAGTAAGTATTTTAATCTCCCTTAGGAATGAAAGGAAAAAAAAAAACGTGCTAACATTCTCAACTATATAAGATTTGTGCCAAATTATTTAGAGAATCACTCTGGGTGTCCTGACACCTTTACATGTGATGCAGTAATAAAGCCTCCTCTTTCTACCCCATCAAAGGAGACCAGAAAATCAGCTCTAGAGAATTACTCTTTTCTCTTGCCCTGCTCTGAGTCATGTTCAGGGTGAGAACTGGTCCAGGCATACATTGTACTTCAGTGTCACCAAGACCAAAACATCTCTATCACAAGAATTCTGGGCTCCAATTTTTCTCAGGTTTTTTTTTTTTTTTTTGTCTCCATTGCTTTCCAATTTTGTTAGTCAATGTGATTATTGAATACCTAGTATGTTCCAAAGTCTGCACTAGGCCCTCAGGCAAACATGAAAGCATAAGCCATAATTCCTGGTGTGGACAAGCTTAGAGCCTAAATAAAGGAGAAAAATGAGATAAATGACTGAATGCACTGTCTTCAATGAACTATTATCCCTTTGCATGGTAGAGAATCAGAAAAAAATATAGTGTTTAAAAATTTAGATTTTATGCTGTAGAAGGCAGATGGTGTTTTCTTTTAGTAATTCAAAACAAACTCAGAGAAAATATCTTGGGTGCTCCTAGTGTTCTGTTTCTTAGCCTGGGTATAGGTTTCCCAATTGTGTTCAGTTTGTGAAGAAATCATTGAGTTACACATTTATGTGTACTTTTCTCATAGTTATTATACTTTGATTAAAATTTTTAAAGGTATAGATTTGTTTATCCTTTACAAAGAATAGGCACACGTTTTCCTTAGTCTCAACAAATACTTTAAAAATTGAATTATAATTTAAGTTTCTAAAAAGCAAAAAACTAAAAAGTCTTAACACTTTTTAAAAACATGAGAAGCATCATTATTTTTATAAATGAATTACCGTGCTGAATTTTCCATTATGCTTCTATTTGTAATATTTTAGTCTATTGAGATAGTATATTCTCATGGTCATCCTAGAGAGCCTTTACCACCAGAAAAGTCAGCACACAAATTGCTCAGAAATTTCCATTTGGTCCTATTATTTTTTGCACTGACCACCAACTTAATGATGTCTTAAGCAAGCAAGCAATTACATTCACTGTATCCTCCTGGTATTATACTGTGTTAACATTCTTCTTTTTTTCATGAAAAAAGAACTGCTATTTGTAGGTGTGATTTACTTTTCTTAAATCCTCAGTTTCAGATGCTGAATATAAAATGTACTCAACTCATGGAAAAAAATATAGCACCAGGCAAAGCAGACACTTGAAATTGTTTTAAAATTAATTCCATAGATATTATATAATTTCCCCAATAAATATTCTACCAAACAATATAAAGGAAATAGTTCTAAATTTACTCCTTTCTGCAGCATTTACCTGTTGGATGCATACCTCCTTGAGTTTTCCTTAGACTTCATGACACAAGGTTCATATCATCTCATACTCCTCCTAAACCCACGTTCTTGGCTCCTCTTTCTCTACCATTGACAGCAAATAAGATTCAATAACATGTACCAAATTCTTGAAAGTGCTTGTTTTTTTTTTTCTAGGATTTGACCCTAGAACTCTCTGCAGTCTGCCTCTACACATTCTCTCTCACAATAAATAGGCATGGCCTTAGTTTTAATACAATGACCCTTTGCCCTACTTTCTATGTCTAAGTGACAACCAGGAACCTCCATCTGCAGGTTCCAACCACTTCAAACTCAATACGTCCAAAACTCAACTGTATTCTCCCCAAATCTGTTTCTCCCCATCTTTACCTCACCTCACTCTGCCCCCAGCCAATACTCTGGATTATCTTGTATTGGTTAATAATTGTCACTCTCCTGAATAACTTTCCAATACCCTCCTCACTATGCCTTTGTTGCATAATTCCCTCTCTCCTATCTCTTGTCTCATTTTTTTTTTTTTTTTTGACAGGGTCTCACTCTGTCACCCAGGCTTGATTGCAGTGGCACAATCAAGGCTCACTGCAGCCCAAAACTCCCAGGGTCAGGTGATCTTCCCACTTCAGCCTCCCGAGTAGCTGGAACCGTAGGCACGTGCCACCATACCTGGCTAAGTTTCTGTATTTTTGTTGTAGATAGGGGATCTCCCTGTATTGTCCAGGCTGGTCTGAAACTCCTGGGCTGAAACAATCCACCCACCTTATTCTCCCAAAGTGCTGGGATTACAGGCATGAGCCACTGCACTCAGCCCTTACCTCATTTTTGACATCCTTGAACCTTGTTCCCCTGCAGTTAGAGTGATCAAAAAGTATACATTATGATGGGCTTAATACCATTCACTTATTCATTCACTCATTCCTTCATTCATTCATTCAACAAATATTCATTGAGTGACTACCTCATGTTAGGCCTTAGATATTCAGAGATGAACAGGACAGACTCTTCTCTGAAGAAACACTATCTTGAAGGGGAAGGCATACAAGAGTGGCTTGCTTGCTTTTATTTTATTTTATTTTATTTTATTTTATTTTATTATTTTATTTTTTTGAGACAGGGTCTCGCTCTGTCACCCAGGCTGGAGTGCAATGGCGTGATCTCAGCTCACTTCAACCTCCACTTCCTGGGTTCAAGCAATTCTCATGCCTCAGCCTCCCAAGTAGCTGGGATTAGAGGCGCACGCTACCACGCTGGGCTAATTTTTGTATTTTTGGTAAAGACAAGGTTTCGCCATGTTGGCCAGGCTGGTCTCGAACTGCTGACTTCAGGTGATCCACCTGTCTCGGCCTCCCAAAGTGCTGGGATTACGGGCATGAGCCATGGTGCCCAGCCCAAGAATGGCTTTCTAACACATATATTGCATAGAAGAGAATTCAAATACCTTTCTATGTCATATAAATGTTCTTTGTAATCTGGCCTCTACAAACCTCTCCTGCCTCATTTACTCCATTTCCCGACTGTAGGTCCTTCACTCCAGGCACCCAGAACTACATGTGGATGTCCAATGAGCCTTGCCCTTATGCCTCTGTGTTTTAATTCCCTCTGCATGATATGTCCTTCTCAACCTTGTCAACTCAGCAGACTGATTCTGGCTACTTCAGACAGTTGGTATTTGTCCTCTGTACTCAACAACAGCCTGTGCAAATTTAACATTTATCACTCTATTTATTAATTACCAATCTTATTTTCATCTTTCCTACTAGAGAGTGAGGTGCATGAGAGCAGTGATTGAATCTCCTGTGCCCTTAGGGTTGAATGACCAACAATCGCATACTTGGGAATAAGAAAATGAATAAGAACTCAGCCCAGGTGGTCAGACAGACAGATAGGAATCCAGGCTCCACCAAATAATAACTATGTAACTTTGAGAAGTTACTTGCCTTTTGTGTGTCTTGGTTTCCTCAGTTTTAATTCTCTGTTAAAAGGAATCACAATATTTACTTTAAAGTGTTCTGTGAGGACTCAAGATAAAGCAAATAAAGTGTTTAGTAGAGTGTCTGGCCCATAGTAAGTACTCAATAATTTTTAGCCATTATTATTATTTCATTGTTTGAAAAGTGATGGTGGCATTATTGTTCCCTTTACCTTTTACAGTTGTGATCAGGTGGTAGGGAACACAGGATGGGAGAAAAAAGGAAGCATCATTTTTTAAGAAATGCACTCGGTATCTGTTGCACTCCTTGATATGTTATCTCATTTATCTCCCCAACAACTTGGGTGGAGTAAGAATTATTATCGCCAATTTATAAATTAGGAAACTGAAACTTAAAGAGCATAAACGACTCATTCAGGGGTACAAAGCTGCAGTTTGCCAGCGTAAGCATAACAAAATACCATCAACTAGGTGGCTTAAACAACAGAAATTTATTTCTCACAGTTCTGGAGGATGGGAAGTTCAAGATAAAAGTGCAAATTGATTTTCTTCCTGGTGAGGGCTCTTTTCTTCCTGGCTTGCAGATGGCCACCTTCTCACTGTGACCTCACATGGCGGAGAGCGACAAAAAGAGCTCTCTCTTCCTCTTCTCGTAAAGCCACTGGTGCTATAGAAGTAGAGCCCCACTCTTATAACCTCATCTAAACTTAATTACCTCCTAAAATCATGTCTCCAAATACAGTCATATTGGGGGAGAGGGTCTCAACATATGAATTTGAGGAGCCCCAATCCAGTCCATAAGATGCCTGTTCTTTGCCCTGAATCTCACTGCTATAGCCAAGGGATGAACCAATATGAAGACTTCACTGCTGTAATCCATGAAATCAGTAACTTTGGATTCAATTTACTCAAAAGCTTGAGGCTTTTTAGCCATTCTCCCTTTATTCCATACCCTATTATTAGAGTTTCTTGGTCATTCAAAACATAAAATAACTATTGGTAAAACAAAGATGGTGATATGGTTTGGCTGTGTCGCTACCCAAATATCAACCTGAATTGTATCTCCCAGAATTCCCATATGTTGTGGGAGGGACCCGGGGGAGGTAAATGAATCATGGGGGCCGGTCTTTCCCATGCTCTTCTCATAATAGTGAGTAAGTCTCACTAGATCTGATGGATTTATCAGGGGTTTCCGCTTTTGCTTCCTCCTCATTTTTTCTCTTCCCCCTGCCATTTAAGAAGTGCCTTTTGCCTCCCACCATGATTCTGAGGCCTCCCCAGCCATGTGGAACTGTAAATCCAATTAAACCTCTTTTTGTTCTCAGTTTCGGGTATGTCATTATACACAAAAGAATGAAAACAAAGTAATACAGATAGCTAAGCCATCTACTAGCCATTCAAAAGGAACATTCCTAAGGGACATGTAATTTAAAGTAGAAGAACTTCTGGGTCATGAGTTTGAAAGTACCCAGCTCCTTGAGATGGGAGGTAAGAGTGGGACCTGTGGAGAAAGGCTCCAGGAACTAGAGTAATGGGCTCCAATATCGCCCAGAGTGATTATGTAGGAAAAAGTGATGAATCATCCTGGTGAGATGGTGCTGGTAGAAAGAAAGATTTGAAGGGATGGTTAAGTCAAAGAGAACCCACCGAATGTACCAGTAGGTATAAATCCCGTGGCTATGACAGAAAAAGCAAGAGCTTATTCCTCACGCTAGATACTTGCTCTTCCTCCCCAACACCCACTGCCACCTAAGTTCCCTTGAATCCAACTCTGGCAACCTCAGCAGGGAGACCTCTAAACTGCACTCACATTAAAATACACAATTTATAAAATTAGATGATCACCCTTTGATATTGAAGAGGAAAAAAAAATGTCAAATTGCCTAAGTACTTCTGAGGGAAGTGTAAAAGAAAAGAAGAGAATTTATCTGGTTGTCAGGAAGCCATAGCTGAATGGAGGTACTGGCAGATCAGGATAAGTCCAAAATATAGGTTGAAAGTAAAATGGTAAATGCTTTTTTTAAGACAAGGTTTGTAGTTACTTCATTTGTTTCTTTTCTTACAATGCAAGAAGGAAAAGTCCAACACCCTGAATCTCTCTACAAGGACTCTCAACCACCCAAGATTTTTGTAAGGATAAAAGAGTAAAGAAAAGAGGCACAATTCCCATCAATCATGGAATCAGCATATAAATTACATAATATTTATATGATGGAATATTATATATCAATGAGAATGGACACATTAAAACTATAAGTGGCAATATGGGTTTTTAAAGATCTCAGAAATGTTAGAAGGTTAGGTAATGTTAATAACCTCAGAAACAGAATTTTTATAGTCTCACAAACATAATGTTGAGTGAAAAAAATGAGTATGTATTGTATGATTCCATTTATATAAGTTCAAAAACCAGACATGACTGATCTAGGTTGAAAGTCAAGAAAGTGGACACCCATGCAGCGGCCTGAGGTCTGGATGGGGGTGGGGCTTGAAGTGCTGGTCAATGTTTTGCCTTTTGATCTGCCTTCTGCTTAGGTGGGTGTGTTATCTGAAAGACAATTCATTAAGCTGTACCCTTATGATCTGTGTACCATTCTGTATATTTCCACAAAAAGTTTTAAAAATTTAAAAAACATCACTTCTGGGTTTATACCTAAAGAGGTTTCAAGGAGAGATTCCAGCAGATATTTGTATACTCATGTTATTGCGGCATTACTTACAAGAGCCAAAAAATGGAAACAACTAAAAGGTCTATGGACCACTGAATGGATATTTAAAATGTAGTATACACATACACTAGAATATTACTGAGCCGTACTAAGGAACCAAATTCTGATACATGCTACGTTATGGATGAACTTTGAAGATATCATGCTAAGTGAAATAAGCCAGACACAAAAAGACAAATATTGTGTGATTCCACTTATATGAGGTACCTAGAGTAGTCAAATTCATAGAGACGGAAAGTAAAGGAGCAGTTACCAGGGGCTGGGGGAAGAGGAAAATAAGGAGTTATGACTTAGTAATTATGGAGTTTCAGTTTGGGAAAACGAAAAAGTTCTGAAGATGGATAATAGTGATGTTTGCACAACAATGTGAATATGCCTAATACCACTGAATTGTACACCTAAAAATTGTTAAAATGGCAAATTTTATATTGTACATTCTACCATAATAAAAAAAATTTAAAAAACAAAATAAGAATAGAAGCACATGTATTTTTCTTCTCTCTCATTGGGGGAATCCTGCACATCTGACCCCAGGATCTTCCAGACAAACTTCCACATACTTCTCCCATCTTCTATTCAAGACCACTGTAGCACCCATTGCTAGGATTTTCTTCTGCTTTTGGTTATCTTTTTTACCTCCACGTTACATGTCAAAATTTTTCTGGCTGGCTTTATTTCACATTTAGGAGTAGAAGAGTATCTTTAAAAGAATCTATGTGCTTAATTTGATCAGGAGATTTGAGTTATTGACCATCGTACATGAACATCTTAAAAACATTACATCATTCCCAGACCAATATTCTAAAATATACTTCTAGGAATGTAAACCTTGGTAATATGCAGCTAATTTATTGCTCCTCTGAGTAGAATACAATCCATTGAGTGAAAATGTCTACATTTATTTATACCTCATCTAACTGTAAACAGACCTGTGACTAAAATCAAATGGCCAGTTCACAAAAGAATAATTTAGAAAAAATTAGACCATTTTAAGTCATTTTATTTTCAAGCAATACCAAAATATCAAATTGACTCAGTTAACCATTTATTCTGGCTACATGATATTAAAAAGTTTGACTAAATTTTTCAGAGTTTATTAATATTTTCACTGAATTTCCAGATGTTCTGCTTTCCCATATTGGTGTCACTATATATCTTTATTTTCTCCTTACACTCTGATTTCTATGTATAGTTTATTGTTGGGAGATAGCTGCAGGGCAGGACAGATATTAAAACTATATAGCATCTCATAAGATGTGAAGCTGAATATCTTTTTTTAGATTAGGTAACCTTTTCATAGCTTTGGGGGAAAACATGGATAGTACTCATGTGTGTGTGTGTGTGTGTGTGTGCGCGCGTGCGTGTGCGTGCACATGTGTGAGCTTGTGTGCATTGACAGATAATTATTTTATATTGAGAATAAGCAAAACTTTGTGTTGATCATTCCAAGAAAATCCTAGAAGATCTTGTTTTGTTTTCTTTTAAATCTATAGCTCTGCACTCTGTGTGTGTGTGTGTGTGTGTGTGTGTGTGTGTGTGTGTATCAACTCAACTCACATATAACTCAGAGGAATTAGTATAGAATACTGATTAAGAAGGCTGAAATTTTTACTCTGCTCTGACATTTTCTTAGTTTGCCTCAATTTTCTCATCTGTATTACAGAAATGAAAATCGCACCTTCTTCATGAAATATTTAACAAGAAAAGACGTATCAAAGTGACATACTCAATTAATGTTAGAACTCATACTAAGAACCAGAAATTTTTTCTGTAATTGTGAAATGACTCTCTACATCACTGACTTTGGGTCATTGGTCCTAATCAAAATATCATGCAACTCACATCTGAACTTAGTTGTTGTTTTAAAGGAGTGACATTTTTAGGCATATTATAGCTTGTTCAGTGCAGAGCAAGGAGCATAGAATATTTGGAACAGTTCAAGGAGGGACATACAGTTAGGGTGCAAGATGTGGTGAGAGGGGGAGGCAAAGACCAGAGCCAAAAATTTTGTTTTGTTCTCAACCTAGGCAGCAAAACTAGGTCTTTAGAAAAACATGACTCTTACAGTATTTGGCTAATACCACTACACTATCCTATTATTCAGTCAATTTTGAAATGATAGAACTTAAAATTTCTGATTAACTTGTAATGATGCAATAATTTACCATTCGCATTAACACGTGGTGAATCATACATACCTTTTTGTCCTTTGTTGTTGCTGGTGGCTCATTGACTCAACTACCATCACCAGGAGCTTTAGAGAAAAGTTTTTAGTTTTATCTTCGTATGGTCCGAATGAATGGCAGGAATGTGCTTCAGTTTAAGAGACAAAACGTCTTTTTCCAAACTGAATTTTTATACTCCAGGTTTCTTCCTCAAGTCGACCTCCATATCCTTAGTTTATAACCCATAAAATTCCTACTCCGGCCGGGCGCCTTGGTTCACGCCTGTAATCCCAGCACTTTGGGAGGCCGAGGCAGGGGATCATGAGGTAAGGAAATCGAGACCATCCTGGCTAACATGGTGAAATCTCCGTCTATACTAAAAATACAAACAATTAGCTGGGCGTGGTGGCGGAGGGCTGAGGCGGGAAAATGGAGTGAACCCGGGAGGCGGAGCTTGCAGTGAGCCGAGATGGCGCCACTGCCCTCCAGCCTGGGCGACAGTGCGAGACTCCGTCAAAAAAAAAAAAAATTCCTATTCCTCAGCTAAAACACTTTTCTAAATGTCTCTGGCTACTTGGCTCTTTGCTCCTCCTATTTCCTAGATTAAAGAACTCTGGGATTCATAGGCAAATGTTGTCAGGTAAATGTATCTAACCTAGCTTGTCAGAATTCTGCTTGTTTTTCTAATGGTCTCCAGACAAGTAAGCAATATGTAGATGGCTTGACCCATTTCTCAGTGTCCTCAACCGTATTAAATTGTATTATTTTCATGGAATAAATAGATTTATGTCCGACCTTTATGAATTGTACTCGTGTGTGTGTGTGTGTGTGTGTGTACATGTGTGAACTTGTGTTCGTTGACAGATAATTCTTTTATATTGAGAATAAGCAAAACTTTGTGTCAATCATTGCAAGAAAATCCGACGAGATCTTGTTTTGCCCAAAAGTCCTTAAAAATTCCAGAAAAGGTATCTTGTCCTTTATACTTTGCTTTAGAAACGTGTGTTATAGTCACAATTTTTCCATAATGGAATTTTATTTTTCAAATAGTTCAGATAATAATAAAGAACTTGTTTTAAAGAAATATCCAAGTTTTCACCTCTGTATCTCTATCATCTGAGTGGGCACACTATTTTAGTGAGTCTACTTAGTTTTCTTGACTAACTACTTTTTGATGTTCAGGAAGAGTTTAAAGTACATAGGAATTATAAGCCCTTTATAGATTTGATCAAATGCACATATAAGACCATCTGAGCCTGTGTATATGTGAGTGTGTCCATTTTGTGGAAAGGGACTGCTAGTAAGGTATATAAGTCTTTGACTGTTTTAGTCACTTTTTCAACATTTTTTCACAGTCATTTTTTACTTTTCAATAAAGCTTTATTTCTAATATTGAGTCAATTCTGGTAATTTATGCTTTTCAAGAAACAGATCATTTGCCTTTTTCTAGGAATCTATTTTATTAAAAAATAAAAAATTATAAGAGATTATACAAATTTATAGTCGTTATTATAAAATATGAAACAATTCAAAAAGATAGAAATTATAGACAATAATTTAAATTCATTCTGATTCCAGAGCCCATGCCTTTAACTACTGTCCTTCAATAAAAATCAAGGGAGTGGTATTCATAACATTAGCAGGAATACATAGATATTTGGGAAAGCTAGCTGCTAACACAAGTTGGGGAGCCATTTTGAAAATAAAAATGTCTAAATTAAAAATCCGTAATTCTTTTCAAACCTAAGCTTTATTTCTCCATGGAAAATCCACTTCTGGAGCCAGGTAAAGAAAGGTATTATGCAATGTTAAAATGGGATCAGTTTGTTCCAAATGCAGCTGAGAGATCAGAAAAACAAGGACTGAAATATACCATTGAACCTGGCAAGGTGGGAGTCTGCGGTGATCTTGTCAAGAGTAGCATCCAAAGTAGAGGAAATGCAAGCCTGACCAGACAGTTTTGTGGGGAGAAGAGAAGGTAAGTGAAGACAAGTCCTGATAGATTTTGTTTTAAGACAAACAGAGAAGTGAAACTAGATGATAAGAGGAGATTTGGAGCAGGTTTCTTTTTCTTAGCTGAGTGCTGTTAGAACATGCTGCATTGTTGCAATTTTATAAAATCGGTGAGAAACTGATGAGACAGGGGAGAGAGGAGAGTCAGGCATGAGTACCAGAAACAGGGAGGAGCCGGTGCACAATTAAATTTTTAAAAAAACCATTAGCCTTTGAAGAAGGAGTATTTCACCCATGTAATCAGAAAACAGGATAAAAAAGGTCAAGTGGATAAATTTGGATAAAGTGGTATTTTTAATGGCTTATATTTTATCTAATTGTTTTACTGTTAATTTTTCACATCGAGGGTTTTAATTCATCTGGAGTTGTATTATGGTGCAAGTTAGGGGTCTAATGTTATATTTTTCCAGGTGGATGGTCACTTGTTTCAGCATCATTCTCTGGTGCTTAGCAATGCCACCTTTATCCTCCAGGAAGCTCTCTCATCTTTCAAGGCTTATTTCCGTGTTCTCTGTTCTGCTTTTCTCATCTATTTGTGGCAAATTGCACTACAGTAATTAGTATAGCTTTATAGTAAGTCTTGACAACTGATCAAACAAAACATAGCTTATGATTCTTCTACCGCATTGTCTTAGTCATTATTTTTAATCATCTAAGTAGTGCCTCTATGTTTTTCCATTCTTATTTCTAACATTATTTAATTATACATATTTTTCTTTGATGAGACTTGCCAGAGGATTTTCCAACTGCTTAGTTTTGCTTCTAGTTTTGACTTTTTTTTGTCTATTTAGTAAAAGTTTCCAGTTTTATGTAATGTCTACTTTTTACCTGTTTTGTTTCCTCTTTCAAAGTCTTTCCTTCTCAAAGGGAAATTTTAAAATCACATGAAATCAAATTATAAATGATGGAAAACCAAATTATAAAAGTGAACAGTATCCCATAATATTAACTTTTTAAAAATCTCAAGTGTAAATTTTTTCAAAATTAGTAAGTCGACTTTGTCACATTGAATCATGTTAGCCAATTGGTCTGTGATCAGTCTATATGGAGGTGACCATATGATCTTAAAGAGCAACAAAACCAATCTTTCTCCAAAAATGTGTTCCCCAGGTACCAAAACTTGGCATTGCTCATTTCTATACAGACTAACATCTAACTGTATTGGCCCTGGTAATCAAATACCAATAGTGGCTGGATCTTTCAGCAACAGCTCTCAACGTTAAGCATTCCATAACAATGACTGAGGAAGCTGTTTCAATATGCAAATTTAGAAGGTCCGATGTGGGGGTCTAAGAATCTCAAATTTAAATAAGCATTCTAGTTTATTAAAATAGCCATTCTAGAACCTCTCTCTGAGAAATACTGCTGTAGAAGAGGAAAGAAGAGACATTCATTTACCTGGAAGTGATCTCAGAGCTTGCTCCCTATTAGCACCACAGCACCTTACTTTCTGTTAGTTGATAATATAAGCAAGGAACAGGAATATCTCAGAGGGAGAAGGTATTGGGGTGATGGCACCAGGCAGGAAGTAGTTTTGAGGGTGCCAGGCTAAAGAAGAGTACCAGTTGAGTCTCAGGCAGCACTGTCCAATAGAACTTTCTGCAAAGATAAAAAACTTCATATGCACAGTCTCCAAGAGAGTACCCTAGTCACATGTAGCTACTGAATACATGAAATGTGGCTAATTCAACTGAGTAACTGAATTTTAAATTTTACTTAGTCATTTTAATTAAAATGTATATAACCCCATGTGACCAGTGGTTATCATATTGGACAGCATAGGTCTGGAGCTTAGCCTAAGGCTGGGATAGAGATAGTGAAAAGAAACTTCGTGCTAAATTAAACAATTTCTAATTTACAATTTTGCCAAAGGTCAAAATATTTCTTTGTTATTAAGAATCATAGTATCAGATCTTGATATCATGCTAGCAGGGAGAGTTGTAAAATTGATAAAATGT
Source organism: Homo sapiens (assembly GCF_000001405.40). NCBI lineage: Eukaryota > Metazoa > Chordata > Mammalia > Primates > Hominidae > Homo > Homo sapiens. The sequence goes on from NC_000008.11 coordinate 76,601,273, forward strand.
ATTTTACTAATAGTTCCTCTATTATTCTGCCAGTCACATAAATTGCCTTCAGTACAGAAGTTATTGAGATGTATTGTCAGGAAATCTTGATGACGGTTTGGCAAATGATAGACAGACAAAAAAAATTGGTAGTAAATATCCTTAGTACATGCTTCAAAGTCTTTCAAGCTAAATTTTCAGTGCACATTGAAAAATCTTTCGTGAGTTGAGAAAATTGAAAAAGATGTTTGACTGAGGAAACTTTATTAATAGTGGTGGCTAACACTTTCAAAACACTGACCACATGCCAAGGAGTAGACTAATGCTCTACGTGAATTATTTAATTTAACTTAGACAAAACCATGAGGAACACATTGCTATCAATCACATTTGGAGATGGAAGAATTGAAGATCTGGGAAGTTCAGTAAACTGCCCAAAGCAGCACAGCCAGTCAAATGGAAACCATGATGGAAGCAAGGTCTATTTTCCCCCAGAGCACCACGGTGTGCTTCCTCTTTCCATTTAAATCTTGAGGGTCTTGAGTCTGACAAAAACTTCCCTCCAACATTTAGTATTTTTAAAAGTCAGTTCTACTGTATGATAATTAAAATAATAAACTTGAAAAAAATAATTGTTCATTAATTCCAAAATGTCTACCGAGCACCTGGGTAAGTTTGGGTTCGTGATAATGAATCTGAGGTAGGTTTGAGAGTTTGAGAGCTTGGAAAAGAAGCTGGAGTTCCTGAGAGCAATCCTGAGATAGTGACTAAGGAGGAGAGATGGAGTGGGGGAGGCAGAGGAGGGGGGAAAGGCCATTGAGTTGTATGAGGATAGGGTCAACATGGACTAAAAGGCCAGTGGTATTCCCTGGTGGCTTAACCCAGGCGTATTTTTAAATCAGACATAGCTTGTGCCTAATTTAGTTACTTTACTGCAATAGAAATCCTCCCCACTTTAAACTTTATTAAATTTCACTAAATCCACTAATGTTGGTGGGAGTGTTGTTGGTTGGTTGGTTAGTTAGTTTTGAAAGAAGTGAGAAAATTTAGCTTTACTGAGCAGAAAGAGAAACCTGGAAATACTAAGAATGCAAAATCCTCCCCCTGCCTGACTTCCACTCCAATCATTCATATTATGTTGCTTCTTAAATTTTCTCAGAGCATAGAATTTTGGGTTCAGGTCTATCTTATTCTGCTCTTGGGGTGTAGGAAGGCCTCAACTGAGATCCAGATAACATTGTAATTAAATATATGTTTATCATTACAAACAAGATGAGATAGCTACCTAATTGCTGACCCTAAACCCTCTAACTGGTAGATGCAGACTGGCAGTCTTTTCTAACAAAGCATGAAATTCAAGTGTCAGAAGAGACCCAAAGCTTACCTAGTTCTGTCTCCCCTTTGATCCTGAAATTCCTCTAAAACTTCCCTACCACGCGATCCATCGTTTGTTTGTTTTTTCCCTCTTGAATTCTTCCAGTGACAGAGAACTTAGTAACTCCTGAAGCAGGTTATTTCACCCAAGAAACTTAGCTTTTACCCATAGTCGTAGTTTATTTATTTATTATTTTTTAGGAACACAATCTCTTTATGTCAGCTTGAGATACAAATGTTCAGTTTAGATGATAAGAATGAGGAAAATACTGGAGACAATGTCTAGCTCCTGTGCCTGTCCCAGTAAACTCCAGTGGAAAAAGAAACTAAACAGGATCTGGATAGTTTCAGTCTATTGTATCCAGCTTATCAAATCCACAGCCTGGTACTTCTGGAACAAGGCTGCCCCAGGGATGACAGTTAAAGATGAAGATGGCAAATATAAGGAATTCAACATGTCTGTGCAGGGCAGTCTGATGTCTCCATATGTTCTCTAAAATTCCATATTTTGTCAGAGCTGGGAGTGAGAGCAGGGTGCTTGCCTGTTTGGGTCCCACTGCTCCTCTGATTCTGCTTTGCTGCCTTGGAGGAGAACAGGTTTAGATCCTCTAGAGGCTGGTGGGGCCATGCCCTTGGCAGCTTGCTGGGCTAACCAGTACTTCTATCTTTTGATTTTGGGCCTCTCAAAGTTTACCAGAGACATAGGCACCCTCACAGTACCAAGCCCATTTACCGTCACCTCACAACAGTACTTGCCCCACCGAGTGAGGGGCTCTTCCGGTAATTTTATTATATGGGGGTGACCACACCACCAAGATTCTTGAAGAAGTGGCAGGCAACTGTTTCAGGGTTCAGCTCCCGTTTGACACTGTTCTTCATCCCTACCTCCAGGTGACAGCTTTTCAGAAATGTCACTGTTGCCTCACCTGCCTTGGTCTGGATCTTCTGTAACTTTCCTCCTGGTCTCAGCAATTTCTCCTCTTCAAACAGCTTCTTGTTTTCAGGTGATGCATATGCAGCCAGTCTCTGAGAAAGGAGTTGATTCCGATCCACAGATTTCTTTACTGAGATCAGGTCACCCCAGACTCCAAGTGTCTCCACAGACTGTGTGAAGATGATCTCCAGATTTTCTTTGGGCCAGTGCTCCGTGTCCTCCACCAGCTTGTCGATGTAGTGTCGCTGGTGCAGACGCAGCTTCTGGCCCTCCCTGGCCAGTGGTACCTTCCATCCACCCAGTGCTCCACAATGCCGAGGGCACGACAGTCCCATAGTCATAGTTTATTCCTTTGGAGCCATATTGAATGACTGAGATTTCCGGCCTAGATGACTGTCAGCCTTTTCTGACTCTTCCCTTCTCCCATCCCAGGTTACACATCCCCAAAGTCAGCAACCATTTCTCTTAGGACATTCTGTGGGAACTTTTGTCATCCTGGCTGCTTTCCCTGGAAGAATTTCCCATTTGTCTGTAACCTTTAAAGTATGACAGCCACACCCAAACATTATTCCAGGAACTTTCTGACCAACACAGTATAGATCCAGATTATCACCTCCGTCTGAACGGACGCATCATTCCAGTAACATGAACTATATTTTAGTCATTCTTTGACAACAGTTATTAAATGGCTTAAGGATAATGTGCATTTTAATCTATGTTGCTACTTAACTCCTATTTTGAATCTGTCTTTTTTTCTTTACGTTCTAGAAGATGGTCTTAAATGTATAATGGAAATGACATGAACTTCAAAGTTAGATATTTCCATATGCATATAGTCTACATCATTTTAACTCTGTGTTTTTAAGAAAGTTACTTAACTTCTCTGAGACTCAGTTTCAATACTTGTGTAAGAGTTGGATAATGTCTACTTGTTTAGTTTTTTAAGGCTTAAATGAAATAATATATGTAAAATAATTCGCAATGATGTCAAAGTGTAGATTTTTCTGTTGTGCAGCAGTTATCTTGGCCCATGTCCTAGCCCCTAGCCCATTAATATTTTTTTTCTTTTTTCTTTTTTCTTTTTCTTTTTTTTTTGAGAGAGAGTCTCACTCTGTTGCCCAGATTGAAGTGCAGTAGCACAATCTTGCCTCCCTGCATCCCCCACCTCCTGGGTTCCAGCAGTTCTCCTGCTTCAGCCTCCCAAGTAACTGGGATTAGAGGCATGTGCCATCATGCCTAGATAATTTTTGTATTTTTAGTAGAGACGGGGTTTCACCGTGTTGGCCAGGCTGGTCTCAAACTCCTGACCTCAGGTGATCCACTCTTCTCAGCCTCCCAAAGTGCTGGGATTACAGGTGTGAGCCATCGTGTGGATTTCATGATCCAGTAAATTAGGTATTCTTCCCAGGGTTTCAGCATTCATGAATTCTAACATGCTTTCAAGATTTTCATCCTAACGGGACAATGCAAATAGGGATGTTTTCTAGTAAGGAATTTTTCAAATTGATGCTAACCCGTATTTTTACTGACCAAAAAAAAGTAGGAAAAATAAAGCTTCTAGAATTTAGCAAATCACAAAGGCATTCCCATGCGCAAGGTGGTCATCTAAAGACTGCATAGTTGTAACATTAGGTAGAATTCAAATGCTTCCTAGATGTAACCTGATTTAGTTTATGTCAACTCTTTGTAGCAGACTATAAAGATATCATCACCTCTCTTTTACAGCGGACCTTAAAGAAATTCACAAAAATAATAAGTATTTTATATCCTTGCCTCAATAATCATGAGTCTTTATTTTAAATACCCATGGTATAATAAAAAACTTCTTTCACATAGAAAAAAATGCACTTGATTCTTTCAACAAATATTTATTTAGCATCTACATACACCTGACACTGTCCTTGGCAGAGAGGAAAGCAGCAAAGGTCTGCCTGTGCTTTCATGGATATTTTGCTGGAAAAGGACAATAAACAAACAAATGAATAAAAAATGTGTCAAGTGATTATACAAGTAATGAGAAAATCAAATTGGAAATGGAAAATGTGGGGACATCAGTGATGGTGCTGGTGCTCTCTTAGATAAGAATGGTTGGAAGAATCCACTCTTACACAAACTTCCATCTGTGCAGAGACCTTAGGAATCTAAGTAATCTGAGAAAACTGCAGCCCAGGCAGTGGGCTTAGCAAGTTCAAAGATGCTAAAGGAAGTATGTTTGGCTTGTTTAAGTAACAGCAAAAAGGTCCGTGAGACTAGGGTAGAATGATGGCAGAGCTGTAGTTGTGCTGGAAAATAGATCAGAGAGATGGGGGACCACGCCATGCGGGGTCTTTGAAGATATAAGTATGGATTTACTATGTTAAAGGGGCCTCAGCAGAGGAATAACATGATCTGACCTGTATTTTAAAAGGATCGCCATGGTTGCTGTGGGCAATGTGGACTGGAACGTACAGGGTGAAATAAGAGAGATCAATGAATAGCTATTGCAATAACCCAGATGAGATATAATATGATTTAGACTAGAGTCCTAATGATGAAGGTGGTGACAAGTGATCTGTTTTTTGGGTATTTTGAAAGTAGAGCCTCAGGACTTGCTAATGATATTGTATGTGGGGTATACAAGGAAAAGAATAGTGAAGAATTATTTTGTACTGAAAAGCAGGAAGAATGGAGTAGCCTTTTACTAAAGTTTGGAGTCTGTGAAAAGAATCACAGATTTTAGAAGTTAAAAATCAGGAGTTTGTTTTGGACATATTAAGATTTAGATGCCTAGTACATATATCCACCTGGAGATTATGAGAAAGTCTCTGCCTAGGATTCTGGAGTCCAATTCTGGAGAGGTCTGCACTACAGAAAAAAAATGTAGAGTTTCTAGAGAATAAATGTGATTTAAAGCCTTGAGAGTACATGGGTCACCTAGTGAATGAGAAGTGATGGGGAAAAAAAAGATAAAAAGTTGAATCTGCAACATTTACACACAGTCAGGAAAATGAGTGACATTCAGAGATTGACATTGAGATGCAGTGGCCCGTGAGGTAGAAGGCAAGATGAAGAAAGTGTTCTAAATGGCAAACAACAATTTCTCAATACCATTGACAGTGATTCTTTGATTATATCATATAATACTAGCTGTATTCACAGGACTGAAACACAAAATAGTTGAATTTGTTTAAAGTTGAATGCTCTCTTATAAGTAGGCATCCATCTTGGAGTAGTGTGACTGGGAACATTCTCATGAGAGTTGGACTGCAGCGTGTGCTTCAGTGTTTAGTCTTCCTCAGCTACAGCAACTCTGTCTGAATTTGGCTTTGACCCTTCTTTCATTTCAAATCCTTGTATTAGCTAAAAGCAAGCTCTTACTCCCCATCTCTGCCACCCATGTAGCAGAGCGAAACCTGTAATTCACAGGAGACAAAGAACAGAAATAAAGATTCTGGTTCATAAGTTAATAAACAACCAATTGTGATGTTAAAGGCTAAATACATTTAGACATGTGTGGTCACATTGCTTTATGTTTGTCAGTCTCATTTTATATATCCTGGACCAACAAAGCCAACAAGCGGGGACACACACAGATATAAGGTCAGTTCAAGGGTTCAACAAAGTGCTCAAAATGATAGAATCAGCAGATAAAATGCTTCACAGGTTGCTAAGATACCTTAATCTGGGAAAAGAATCAGAATTAAGTTTTTGTTAAGAGGTTTATCATTCCCTATCCTGATCCTTTGATAGAGATAGTCTATAGGAATCTTAGCTTTGCAATTATATGGTTGGAGTAATTGGGGAAAAGTTTAGAAAAAGGGTTTGAACAAGAAAGATAATAGCTTAAGAATTTGAGAAGTCACTTGGGGAGAGTTGGGTCATCTTGAAATTGCTTTAGGCAAGTTTAAGCTGTTTAGAAGATTTTCTTTTTGTAAAGGAATAAAAAACTAAGCAATAATATTCTTCTGTGTGGATTTGCTACTGATGACTAATATGGTTGCGATCATAAAATCCATTTATTTAAGGAAAAAATTAATAAATCTTGTTTTTATTTAACCTTTGTGAAAAATTATGTTTTTGCACGTTTTACATACTGCTATTTACTTCAAGCCATTTAATTTACTTTTTCCTTGGTAAAGAAAAAAGATGTTATTTCAGTCCTTAATCATTCAAAGCAATGCTAATAGACACCATATTGCAGATTTTGAAAATAAATTTGTAAATTTATGTGCCTATATAAACCTGTTTGTGTGTCTATATAAACCTATATAGACACACCTATTATGTGTCTATATAAACCTATAAACCTATATAAAGTTATACAAGAAAGAGTTCTTGTATGCCATTTTTTTGATTCAATTATTTATAACTGCCCATATTTGCTAGTAAGTTATTCTCTTTCCCTCAATAGATGAGAGGGTGGGTGTATGTTTCTTTGTAAACCATTGAGAGCAAGTTGCAGAGGTAGTGATTTTTTTTTTCTTTTTTTTAGATGGAGTCTCTCTCTGTTGCCAGGCTATAGTACAGTGGCACAATCTTGGCTCACTGTAGCCTCCACCTTCCGGATTCAAGCAATTCTCCTGCCTCAGCCTCCTGAGTAGCTGGGACTACAGGCGCGTGCTGCCACACCCGGCTAATTTTTTTGTATTTTTAGTAGAGAGGGGGTTTCACCATGTTGGCCAGGATGGTCTTGATCTCCTGACCTCGTGATCCACCCACCTCGGCCTCCCAAAGTGCTGGGATTACAGGCGTGAGCCACCGTGCCTGGCTGGTGACATTTTATCTCTAATACTTCAATGTATATTTCCTGAGAACAAGAGCATTCTCATGCATGATCACAGCACAGTTATAACAATCAAGACCTTTAACATATATACAATATTATTACTGAATTCATAGTCCATATTCAAAGTGTGTCAATTGTGCCAAAGATATACAATATATGATTTTTTTTTTTTGAGATGGAGTCTTGCTCTGTCTCCCAAGCTGGAGTGCAGCGGCACGATCTTGGCTCACTGCAAGCTCCACCTCCCAGGTTCACGCCATTCTCCTTCCTCAGCCTCCCAAGTAGCTGGGACCACAGGTGCCCACCACCATGCCTGGCTAATTTTTTGTATTTTTTTAGTTGAGACGGGGTTTCACCGTGTTAGCCAGGATGGTCTCCATCTCCTGACCTCGTGATCCACCCGCCTCAGCCTTCCAAAGTGCTGGGATTACAGGCATGAGCCACCGCGCCCGGCCTATGATTAAGTTTTTAACAATCCAGAATTCATTCCAGGATGACACATTACCTTTTAATCTCCTTTTCCTCTTTTGGATCTCATCTGATCTGGAACATTTCCCCAGACTTTATTTGTCATATACAACTTTGACATTTTGGAAAGAGTACAGGCCATGGTGTTTAAAAACGATAGAGAGATGTATATGAAATGTAAATGGCTGTATATGGGTATACTCTGCCTTTATTCACTGAGAGGTTTACAAGTAATGGCACCTCCCTAGCCATGTGCACACCTGACATCCAGAACTTGATTTCTAAATACCATTTCCCACTAAAAGGAATCTGGGTTCTCTGGAGAAATGGCTGTTTATGGCACTGGAGCTTATATTCTGCCAGAAGCAAGAAAAAAATAAAAAATTATTAAATTATGCAAGCAATTATATATTGTGAGAGGTGCTATAATAAAATATAGATGATATATTAAGGGAGAGTCCAACTTTTGTTATGGTGGTTAGGGCAAGACTCTCTGAATAAGTTTCGTTTAAGCTGAGACTCAGAGAAGGGAAAGGGGAAGCCATGCAAAGAATGTGGAGAAGAGAATTAGGTATAAGGAACAGAAAGTTAAAAGACCCTGATGTCAAAAGGGTTTAGCTTGCTCACAGATGAGAGGAAAGCATTGTGGTTGGAGCCTAGTACTGGGTAATGTTGGTGGGGATGGCCAGGGAGAATGTGGGTGTGATATCACATCAGGTTGGAAAGACAGGCATGAGCTACTAAACTTAGCAATTTACACTGTATTCTGGGTAGAATGGGAAAATCTTAGGAAGATTTAATGTGGGTAGTGACATGATGTGACTTATGTGTTTAAAAGATCATTCTGGCTGCTTTGTGAAAAATAAATTAGAAAGGGTTTGAGAATGGAAGCAGAGAGACCTGATAAAAGACAATGATGAAAGCTCAGGCAAGAAATAATGGTGGCCTGCACAAGGGTGGTGGCAGTAGAGATAAAAATATGTGGATGAATTCAGATTACATTTTGGACTAGTGTTAGATTAAATGTGTGATGTGGCTGAGGAAAAAGGAAACTTGAAGGAAAATGTCCAGGTTAGAATCTTGGCATCAAGCTTAGAGAAGAAAAGCAACACCTCCATTTTGTTGATTGAGTGTGTTTGAAACAAGTTTTTGATTGGAGTGTGTTGATGGGAGTGTTTGAAATGAGTTTTAGAAACCAAATGAAAATATATTACATGAACAGGAAAAATGTACAACAATTTAAAGTTCCTATGGGATATTCTTACTTTTTTTATGAGATTAGGGTTCACTACTTAAATGAGAATATCTGCATCATTTCATCAAACATGAAAAGTTAAAGGAAATCTTAGTTATCTTCAGATTTTCTGGAAATTTAAATAGTACTATGTGTGCTTGGAAAGATAAAATATTGAGATTACCTACAATGATTTAAGGGGAAAATTATAAGACAAATTAATTTTCTAAGATAGTTTGAAGCTACAATTGAATAAAGGAGAATGTAAGTTAAACATCAGAAGTAATTTTCTAGGCAAGAATAATTCAAATCATAATGTCTTTTAAAGGCTTGTGAAAGTTCTTTCAACTGAAACATTAAAAATGAGAATTTAGAAAGCCTAGTTTAAAAGGAAGAAAAATATATTGCAAAGGAGATGAAATAAATGCTCTAATAATGTTTTTAAAAGTCTTATTACTGTTTGTGAAACCAAATCCAGTTAGTTAAATATTCCACCTTTGTCCACAGTGCTCTTTGTATAATGTATTGCAATTAGTGAAGGTGAAGTTAAACGGGCCAGTGTAATATTTTAGATGCCATTTCTGGAAGTTTCTGTAATATTGAGTAGAAATTTTATTAAGGAGCATATCTCATGCAAAATGAGGGTGTGCCAAAGAGAGGCAGGAGAAAATTAGACTATCAATTTCCAGAAAAAAAAAAGAATATTTACCGCTACTTGAGTGCAGGGAAAATAGATTTTGGAAGAGTATAACATAACATTCAGCTGAAAAAGATAATGTAATTCTTGTGAATAAAAGAATTTGATCTCAAATGCAAAGAAGTTTCATTCCAAAACAACTCTCATAAACACAGTGTATGTAAATATGATTTATTTTTAAAAATGGACACATTATTTCCATTTTTAAGGTTAGATCTTGAAATTATATGTATTAATCTATTTTCCATTAAGAATTCTACTTTTACAGAAAAGTTATTTGGGGCAAATTATATTCTTGATCCCAAGGATTGGCAGTCTTTTTATCGTACATAGGTATTTAAAATTTTTTTAGCAAAAATAATTTTAATATACCATTTCTGTGAAAGCAGTGATTTTAATTAAAAATAAGTGTGTCATTATTTATATATTGATTCCCCAATTTGTCTCCAAAAGGATTTGAAACAGAGTGTAACATTATGAATCTGGGAAGCAAAGCATCTCTGTCATTATACAACATTACACCTCAGTAAAAGGGGAGATGTGAGGGCTGTTTAAATGCCACGAAGAGAGGCATGAGAAAAATCAATACTGAAATGAGTAATTGAATGATGTTGGCAGGGGCTGAGTAGGTCATCATTAGGCATGACATGATTATGACGACATTTCTAGAGTTATTCGACCTAATGTACATGATATCTAGTAAGACTAGAAATTACATTTACTGCTTTGATTTACATAACGCTTTAAATAATTAGAATGTAGTCATCAGGCTAATATGATGCAGAGGAAGATGGAATAATCAGACAGTAAGATAATTCAGTGGCAATGGTGACCTTGACAATGCTGGCATTTTGTTACTTTCTTGAGAACCTGAGAAAACACTTCCTCACTGAAAGTAAGACTACAGACCTTATAAAAGAGAACTAAAAACAAAATTCAACACAGCCAATAATGATACTTGAGAGACCTTCTGTGGCACATGCTTATGATAGACATTTCTACCTGGAGAGTGAAGTAGGTAACCTTATTTAGTACATGATAATTGGTGCAGCATCCCAGATGAGCATCTTTTTATTTATTAAACCTTATGTCCTGTAACCAAAGCAGAGACTTCCATTTGGGGCTTTCCAACATTCTGGAATCTCCCCGAGAGCAGATTTTTGCTTTTTCTTCCTTTCTTAGTAATGTTGTTACATCCAGAAAAGGAAAGGCAGAGCAATGCTGGAGAACACTACTGTTAGGTCCTATTTTACTCATATTATGTAGCTCTGTATGTTCGAACCACATCTTCTTAGAAATGGACTCTATTTGAAAATAAAAAGAAAAGAAAAATTATAAAGGTTATATTGAATATTTCTAGTAATGCAAAACTCATATTCTCCCTTAAGACAACTAGCGCCTTGATGAATAGCAATAGTGATTGAGGGGGGGAAAACTGTCCTGTATGGTAGCGAAATATACCTCTCTACAACCCTCGCCTGTTGTTCTGATTGCATTCTTAAAGCACTACAGGGAATGTGCTTAGTCTCTTTTCTAGAAACAATTTTTCATATATTTGAAGAGAGTCACTACATTCTCAGCCTTCACTTTTTTAGACAAAACAGTCTCACCTTTTTTAACTAACAGAATATTGATTCTAGAACTCCCACTTACGCTAGTGGTCTCTCCTTACATACTCTGTGCTCTAAATGTATGCTGACAAGGACTGAAAATGATGCACCAACTGTTTTTCCCCAGGATATCATCTTATTTTCTCTAGGCACTCTGTTCCTATTAGTATTACATTAACAACAACAAAAATAAAGTGAGCAATTGGACTCCCTCATTTTATTGTTAATTTACTGAGTTTGCTGCTAACAAAAATCCTCTAATTCCTTTTTACATGATGTTCTTGTGTACTAATTTTCTACAATCTTTCAAGGTCCATTTTTCAAATTTATATTCTTGCCTTTACATCTAACCCAGAAAATCGTTGTAATTTTTTAATGCTAATTTGGTCTTCTAAGGATGTTCTCACACACTGTCTCCCACTCTGGCTCTTGCCCTTTATCTCTATCTCTGTCTCCATCTCTCTCAGTCTGGGGCCATCCTTAAATCTGCTTCTGTTGCACGGGCCAGGGAGAAGGTTGAAGCTCTGCAACCTGCCCCTAGAGACACTCCCAGGAGGATCTGGATACACCAGGGTGTTCCAAGTTAATATTGTCAGCCAGCCAGCCAGCATCTTCTTTTCTGCAGGACTATAAGTAAATGCATTATCAAGTAACTGCTAATATTTAGTTACATTTTCTTTATACAGAGCAATTCGTTTGCCATGAGTTGGAAAATATATTTATCTATCTAAGACGGTGTACTTAATTATTTTAATTGTTTGAAAACTAGTGCAATATATTTCAGAACCTACATTTTTAGGATCAGACATATCTAAGGTATCTAATTCATCCTGTCCCCAAACTCTATAGCTAAAGTCATCTTAGAAAGGCCTAAAATAAATTATTCTGAAGTTGTACTTATATCAATAAAAATGGAGATGATATCCTAAAGCATTAGTACTGCATATCTTCTAGATTGTTTAAGAAGAATCACAACTTGGATATAGGAAACTATAGAAAGTGTGAGTAAAATCGTTGCCATCTGATAAAAATGTCTTTCCAGGTAAAGTAACTTAAAAACCTTTTCCACATTTAGAGGAAATGCTGCCTAAATCAGAGTAAATCAACTTCTCTTTGAAACTGACTTGATTTAGAAATGTTATTGTGATAATAAATTATAGTTTTCTCCCAGCATATAAGACCTTCAAATGGAAATCTGGAAGTCACAATTCTGTCTTCTGTTCAATATTATTTTCTGCTGGGCACTGCCCAAAAATTCATTACAGCTTAAACATAGTTAATTTATTTCTACCTACCTCAAGGTATGTTACAGTAATTAATGGAGGCAGAAAGATTAACTAGAGCAGAAAGATATTATAAAAGTCATATATTATTTTGATTATATGTTTGAATCATATTTATGTATTTTATAACTCAGGTTTCTAAATTATCTACATTTTATAGAATTTTAGAATGCTATTTTATATTCTGAAATGGAATTCCTTTTGAAAACACTAAGTAAATTCACCATTAAGACAAGTAAAATAAATAATATACCATCTAAAACATTTTATCATTTGTTATTTGAGCAGTTGTAGTAAAATCACCAGAGAGGAATATGTAGTTGCAACCATCCACTGTATTTTCAAGATGCTCAGCAACCACGAAATGAATTTCACATCAAGACCATAATGAGAAAAAAGATTCCAGAATAATTTCCTACTTCTTGAATTGAATGTGAATGAACAGAGAAGGCAGATCATTTCTAAAAACAACATCTCATCCAGTGAACTGAATCCTTACAATCTGTGTATTAGGAATCAACATTTGAAAAATTATGCAATCATGTTGACTTATTCAGGCAATTTTTATTTTGAATATAGTCTATTTCTTCCAGACAACAACAGCCACCAAAACTAACTTTTCCATTTTTTTTTTAAATAAGTTGAGTAACAATAGCAACACTCTCAAGTAAACAATCAAGACCTAAGAGTTTTCTTATGAATCAACTACCAGAGGAAATGGTAAGATTTGTGTTATGTTTTTTCCATCTTCCAGCAGGTCATGTATAATTATGGCTATTAGCTCTGTGATCATCCACCAATAACTTCTCTTCTGATAACCCTTTGATTCTTTAAATAAAGGATTTTACTTCTTGTGTTATTCAAAATATGAGTATTGAACTTAGCACTTTGTGTTCTGGTTACTTATAAATATCGTCGTCTTTCCTGATAGATTAGAATCAAGTTGTCTATGTTTTGACTAAGGACATGTCATTGCACCTCTTTAAGCCCCACTTTCTTAATCATAATGTGTGGATAACAATCTTTTCAAATAAATATCACTGAATCCAAAGATTTTGTTAACAAAACTTTTAAAAGGATTAAATAAATATATAATAAGGGAAATAAAAAGGTTCTTCTTTAACAATTCCCCTTTGTTTTATTTGAAATATAAATATAAAAATAAGTTAGCCTCACATTCAAACAAGAATCCACTTGGTGTTCAGCTTAAAAATATGATTTCCTGAGTAGGTTTCATAGAGTTTGTTGCCAATTAGCTTGATGCCATTTCTGTCAGCTTCATGTCTCATTGAATCTAGCAGCTATTTTTAGGCCTTGATGGTCTACAGGGCTAGTGCGCAGAAGCAGCACAGGTCTGAAGAGAGGACAACAGCCCTTTACTTTGTAGGAACCACATTGTAATTGAAGATGAGGTTTGAAGTGAAGGAGGAAGTTTGCTGGAGGTGTTTTTGCTTGAAGAGTTGTTTTTGCACACAATGCCACACACACTGCAGTGACAAATTTGGAATGAACACCTCATGCTAACGCTGCTCTTACCATTTTCTTAATTTTCCATCAGAGACAAACAGCCTCTCAAACACTGTAGCTTAAAGACTCTTTTGACTTCCCTATATGTATGGGTTTTATCTGTTGTGCAGAGTGGTAGCATCTTTGCTGGCTGGCAAGTACAGCTTTTGTTCAGTGTTGCAGCTCAGATTTTACATCTAGCAAAAAAGAAAAACGTGCGGTTTTTATAAATCATTTTATTTTTTAAAAAAGAAGAAAACAAACATCCTTCCTTCAGAATTCTCCTTTTCAATATAAAGCCTGCAAGCCAATGGCAGCAATGCCTTCACTTTTAAGGCACCTTGTACAGGATATGTCTGTTTGAAGAATCTGTCATCTCAGCTCAAGGACCTTGTGTTTTGTGGCCAACCAAAGAACATTGTGTACCCTGAGCCTTGTTAGGAAACACATTAGGTACTGCTTAATTTATTTTAAACCTAATTTTAAGGAGAGAAATCAGGTTAGATTTAGCACTTTACTATAAATTATACTTTCTGCATACGTAGATGAAATTAATTTTGGGTGGGGGGAATTTGAACTAAAATACATATTCTAAAAAGTTTGCAAATTCTGCTCCTGATCACTTAAAAGAGAAATACAAGGTTGCGTTAAGCCTGTAATCAGAAAGACAAAAACTAAGGAAAATAATATTAACATCTTCTATAGATCAAAATAAATTTTTCACATATTCAAGTCTCCCTTTCCAAATATCTTACTGAACTGACTGGTAAGATTTCTTCCTTTGTTCTGAAATATGTCAGAATCTTAGAGAAACTAGATCAATAAGAATATATCGATAAATGTATGTACACACCAGAAAACATAAAGAAATATATAACATTATATATATGTATAATGTTCTACATGGGCTAAATGCAACATAAGATATTCTTCTGGTAAAATTGTTATCCTAAACCATGTCAGCTTTTTAAAAATTTTATTTTACTTTTCATTTTGAAATAGTGTAAAACTTTACATAAATGTTGCAAGAATGGTGCCTGTCATTATCTTCAGTGTACTCCCTGATTTGCTCCGTCCCATTAAGGTTACCAACACAGCCGCAGCACTAGCCACATCCTGGGCTCCTCCCCATCAATGCATTGGCTGCACTGCCCAAATCCTTGACCCAGATCAACGGGAAGTAGAAAGGACCATACTACCTTTTAAAATAGCATTTGAATTCTATTGAGGAGTGCCAGGTGTTTCCAGATGTGCTCTAGCTGAGTCTTCTGCTTCAAGACAGGATTGTGCAATCTCCATTTCAGACATTTCCCCTTTCCTTGTAAACTTCTAAGAAAAAAAGTCCACATCAGAATTTCATACAAACTATCAGCTCCACATTGCTTTTCAAATGAAGCACCATGAAGTTTGTGAAGTTTTAAATTTCATAGCAAATTCTATTTCTAGTTTTCTCTCACAATCAGCAACTATAGCAAACACTGAGTGGAGGAGGGAAACATGACGGAAAATATAGGAAAATCAATTTTATCTCCTGCAATTAGAGAAACTAAACTCTGTGGAATATTCTGCTTTATTGAATTGGATCTGAATCATCAAATGAAATACATTTTATCTATTATATCTGGCTTATTTATAGAATGTGGTTTATTACATTATACAGTAACTGGAAGGTATTGTGTGAGTCATTTAGCTACTCACCAAGGTTCATTTAGTAAAAGACCACCTCTGTTGCTCTATATGGTATGATAGGGACTTAAAAAAGAAAAATAAATTTTATAGCTATTATCAGTATTAGTCATAATGCCCCTTTGTTGTGCTAGGAGAAGATATTTTATAGAAAAACAAAAGAAGTCAGTGACCTAAGAGCTAAATAATTTGCCTAATGTCTCAGCAAGGCTGAGGAACAGAAGATGAAAATTTCCAGGATCCTCTTCTGGTGCACAAACCAGTGGAACACATTGTTCTCATAAATGCATGTAACTGATAAGAGGCTCCCTACTCCCCCCAGCACACAGAAAGACACTAGTTAAATGCCTTTCTGGGTGAAAAAGATCTCCAGGGTACAGGCTATTTTCTTACCCTCCTATGATAAAGGGAACATTTGGATGAAGTAAGACACCTTAGCATTCAGAGAAACCTGCCAAAAATAAGAGAAAAGAGCTACCCGGCTTAACATTTGTTCTTGAATAGGGAGGGATGAAATTGAGTGTTCAGCTACTCAGAAACTGTATCCCAAATGTAAGGGGTGGTGTTTGTCCCCAAATAAAGTCATATGATAAACACATGTGCTTGTAAAACAGCTCCAAACCACGCACTGAAGTGAAAAGAGGGTTGAAGATATGTTTTATTTGATGAACAATATACAAATCTTAGTATATGTTCACAACCTCATTAAATATGTAGAAACCCTTTGAAACAAACCAAACATGGTCACAAACTTCCTGAGCCTATTTTGGGAAATAGAACTACTGGGCAAGTTAAGCTTCAGGCCACAGACCAACCACAAGAGCCACAAGTATGGCTGAATGGATAAATTTGGAAACCCATAGTGCTGAGCCTGGGATGTTCCTTGGGTGGCTGAAGGCAGAGAAGCAAGCAGTTTCTCAGGGAATTACTGTATTTGTCCATATATGGCATATCTGAAAGTTGAAGCTACAAAATTGTCTCGGATTTTTTTTTTCTATATTCTAATCTCACCTGTGGCTAAAGATAACTAATATAAAATTCTGCTGACTAGGTGGAAAAAACAGATTTTAGCTCTATAGATATAGATATTTATAGATATAGATAGATGATATAGATGCAGATATAGAAAGATAAAGATATAGCTGGATGTAGTGGCTCACACCCGTATTCCCAACAACTCAGGAGGCTGAGGAAGGAGGATCACTTGAGCCCAGAAGTTCAAGACAAGACTGGGCAACATAGTGTAATCCCCCATCTCTAAAAGAAACTAAAAAATAAACAAATTAGCTTGCTGTGGTGGCAAGCACCTATAGTCCCAGCTACTTGAGAGGCCAAGGTGGGAGGATCACTTGAGCCCAGGAGTTTGAGGCTGCAGTGAGCCATGATTGCACCACTGAACGTTAGTCTGGGTGACAGAGTGAGATCTTGTTTCTAAAAAAAAATTAGGGATAAAAAATATATAATGCATATATATACAAATATATATAATGTACATATTTCTAAATAGTATATTAATTCTAGAATGGAGCAAATACTGCTCCAGCATTTTTAAATGTTTCAAAGTAGATTTTCTTTAACTAGTGTTGAATATCTCTGTGGGTATAAGGATATATTCTTGCGGATTCAACGAGTCTCAATTTTTTCAATGTTAGGTTTTCATTGCTGTGATAACCTTTAAAAACTTAATACAGAATATTCTGGATCATCTGGAGGATCCCAAACTGCCATTTGATTTGTGCTTACAAATTGATGCCACATGGTATTTCTGAAGGGAAAAAAAGAAATGGGTTCAATATATAAACCATGCATTCACCCCCAAATGAAGGCCAAATGCTGTCATGATTTACTGTACAAAAGAAATTTTCACAGCAGTTCCCAAAGGGCAAATTGGGGTGAACTGAATCATCACATAACAGGGTAATACAGACCTAGCAGTCCCTGCCATAGGGAAGTCAAGGCAGCTCTTTATGCCAGAGTCCTGGCTTCCATTCCTGTAATGTACTTGGAACATTCACTAAAGGTAGAAGGAATCCAGAAATGACCACCAGCATGAGGCATCTTATAGGACATATTTTCCGGAAGGCTCTAGCAAAGCACATTTTCGTGTAATGGGGGCATAAAAAGAACCTCACCTTTAAGCACAGTACAAAATTGTAACATAGCAAATTTGGGTAGAAATAGCTAAAATGAAAGAAATATCCTTGACAGAGGCTTTGTAATGCAAATTAGATCTCTATTTAAAAATTCAATGTGCAGCAATTATAAATCGGAAGACTGAGAACTTTCTGAAAGTGTGTGTTCCATTCTTTCTATCCCACTCAATAAGCAAAGTTTGAGCACCAGTTGTGCCAAACAGTGAAACATGGTCCCTACCCTTAGTGTACTTACATTTTAAGAAAAGAGACACAAGTAAAAAGATAATTTTAGTAGAATTTGGGTGCAGTGGGAGATAGAGAAGATCACTTCTGCAACCTGATACAAAAGTAGGACCAAACAATTACAAAGCAAAGGAGGCCCCCATGGAAGCACATCAAAATGAGGACTAGCAGTGGAGTCACAGAATCCAAGTGATGGCAGAAGAGTATCAGACCTAAATCCGCAGTAGAGACACTCTCTTAGTGCGAAGGGCTTGATCCTTTTGTTAAACACCAACACACACTATGCAGGTATGTCATCTTGGGTCACTGCATATTCTTGGTACATTGTACTTAATTCAGTCTGAGCTGCATTCTTTTCAACTCATCACATTGTTCTTCTTAGAAAGCCACAAAATTCATCAATAACTGTTGTTTTTTTTAAGTAGTGACAAATAATTCTAGCATCCCGCAGTGCTTCTAGTTATCTCAAAAGACATTGCAAAATCCTAAATACAATTTTCATTAATTTCAAGATCCAAGAAAAAAAAAAAGGAAAGATATTTGTATAGGAAAATTATTTTTAATCCAAGGTTTACCTTATGGCTTTAAAAAGGATGGAGAGTGCCCTATAGAGTCAGCTCAAGAATCAGAACAATTCAGAATGGAATTGTGCTAAACCTGTGAGAGCTATGTGGCTTGGCTAGTTATTGGCATAGCCCAGACTACCAGATGTATTTCTTAGAAGTCCCACTTAAGATTTCGTTTTCATGTAAGTGTAACTTATAAGTAACAAGAATTAAACCATCTTCTTCCTCTGCTGCTTTGAGGTCGATGCCACAAATCAGCCAGAAAGCTGGGTCCAATGGGTCCCTAAAGCCCGTTGTAGTTGCATGCTTACAGCATTCAGCAGTGAGCCTACAGATCAGGAAGGCAAGTGGCAGCACAAACCCCAAATGTTACAAGCTTCAAAGTAAATTCTAAGTAATGGGATCATGAGCTGGAAGTACTCTAAGAATCTGAAGTTCAATAGCTAGGAGTCTGACATCAGGTTCAATACATTGAAAACTGTGACTTGTTAGTAATAGTAACTTTTCTTTCCAGCCCCACCCACATTCAAAGGATTCTACTGTAATTTAGACATAGAGACTCTTAGAAACCCAGAGAAGAAGATGTATGTGTAACATATGAAGTTCAGTTTTAATTGCCGTTTATGTTGGTGTTGGGCAGGAATTCCGCCTTCTGGAATGCTATTCAAACCAAACCCCAGACCCCTGGAGAGTGTTCTGCTTTATTTATTGTTCTGCAATATCGCCTGCCTTTTCCCAGTGTTCTTTGTGCTTAGGAAATATTTTGTGCATGTCCCTTTTTTGCAGCATAGCTGCTGATTTCAGTGAAAAAATGAATGGTAGAGTATTTATTCATGTATATAGTTGTTCTTTTCTTTTTGCATTCTTTAAGAATAAAATCTTATAACTTCATCCCCCCAGGTAGTGATAGAAGCCAGGCAGAAATTATTTAAAGGAAAAAATGAGATTAATATTTCAGTTTGAATGTCAAAAGCAGAGGGAACTTGGGCAGTAAAAAAGGGTCATGAATTCACAGGCAATATCATCTGTAGTGTTTTATCTTCATGTAGAACTAAAAAAAAGATTTTGAATTCATTTTTTAGCTTGAAATAATACTTCTAATGTAACTCACTATAAAGTGAACTGTTTAAAACAAAATTAAATATTCCATCAGGTTTTTTACTTTCTTTGTATTTCATTCATGTCACCTCTTTCTTGAAATCTCATTTCATAAGCATGTTTTATTAATGATCTATTAATAAGCATTCACTTAAAACATGACTGATTAAAAAGTAGACGTGATTTTAAGTAAGTGTCCTGAAAATGTTTCATTTATTGAATTCATTGAGGTTTAAGTTCTCATTTGTATAGCTGGAGGGTAAATTACAGATACTCATGCTTGTTTTATCATTATAATGAAAGCAGTACTGATATTTGCAACACTAATTAAAATTCTACTCTGATCCATATAAATGCAGTCTCTTCCCCAAATAGATTATTTTCAGATCTTTATATAAAATTTACTCTATATATATATGTGATAATGAAAGTACCTATCTTTAGTGTAACATAATCAAGGTTAAGAGAAAGTAAAAATTAGGTTCAGACTTTTTAATACTGCAGGGTACATTTTTAGTACCCTACAGAGAGAATTAGTCACACGACTCCCATTAACTTTAATGGAACCTGTATGGGCAAATTGTATGCTGAAATTCAGAGGAAGTTAACGTCTGTAGAGTTTACTAGTTCCATTTTTTCTCTTTGTACTTTCAGTTTGGGTTACCTTTACTTTCTCATGATCCAGAAGGAAGACAAGTCAATACGAGTGATCAACATAGATGTTTGCCAAGCTTTATAAGCCCCCATTTTCTATACATCTGCCACAAAGTTAGAAATCTGCAAACAAAGCTTATAGCATTTGTGATTCCATTAGCAAGCAAATTCAACTAAATGGCATGGTTTTTAAATATGAAAATTATAATTATCCTGTAAATATAGTAAATATTATAGCTTTTTTTATTCTCCAGTGTGTATTCATATTTCATATTTGCATTTGCAATTACAATAGCAAAATTAGAAACTTTAAAAATATTTTCAAAATAATGTATGTTGAAATAAAATCATTGTATTACCATATTAGGTGTTTATATTTGAAATAAAATGTGTTTGGAATTGTATATATTGATCTTATTAAAATGATATATATCACATTTAGGCACTATTGAGAAAGACAAGGATAGGCAATTAAAAATTAAAACATCTTCACAAGAGATAAAGGAAGCTAAACGTTCTTCACCACTATCAACGATACCTTTCTATAACTATGAATTCAATCATCTGACAATGTAATGAAATTATTATCAGTTAACAAATCTAGTCAAAAGTGTTTAGAATTTATATTTACCACACAGGGAAAAAAAAGAGAAATAAATGAAGATACTTCTAATGTCAACTCATTCATGATGTTCATTCCACTATTAATTTGGAAACAACTGAGAATCTCTCTAGTCTCTCTTCCTCCCATCAAATAGACCTATCTGTACTTTAAGTTGTCCGTAAATTCACCATTTTAAAAAATTAACATTATTTTTTTTAAAAAAAGAACACGGAATCTAAACTTATAAGAATTTTTTTATTGTATCTTATTTGGGCATCTAAACAATCAAAACAGAACTTATAAGACAAAAAAACATGGTTTAATTGGGAAAAAAAAGAAGACATGAATGACGACACCAAAATTAACGTCATAATTAATTTCGTTTTGGACAGATGTTTCAGAAAACATCCAAATCTACTCCTCATTCATTTGTTGAGCAATTTTTTTTAAGCACCGACAATGTCCTTATACAACTTTAGGAAATGGGTTAGGTGATAGACAAAACATACAAATTCCCTGTAACCTTGGATCTGACATTCTAATGGGGCAAAAAAAAAAAAAAAACAAAGAAGGAAACGAGAGGAGGAAAGACAATTTAAGATTGTGATACATACTAAAAAGGAGTTGTTGCAATTTTCACCACCCGAGAATGCAGCTATTTGATTTTCTCTCCTCAACTTCTTTGATAAACCCCTTTTACTCCTTGAAGTTAAAAGTAAATATAAATGTATCAGTAGATCTATATTTCATCCATCTCATTGTGCCATTTCCCTTAAAAGGCATCCACATATTCATGAAACACATCAATATATGCCATGCTTTATAACATCCATGTTATGTGTTTGTCAGCATTCAAAGATGCTCACTTTCATTGAAGTTTTTTAGTTCTTGCTGTTGTGGTTGAATGTGTTCCATCCAAAATTCAGGTGTTGTAACTTAACTGCCAATGTAACAGTATTAAGGGGTGGGACCTTCAGAAGGTGATTAAGTCATGATTAAGTCATTAAGTCAGGGACCTTTTAAATGGTCTTGTCAGCAGTTCTTCCCGTTTGTCCTTTTGCCTTCTGTCATGTGAAGACAAGTGTTTTCCCCCTTCAAAGGACACACACAGCATTCAAGACTTCATCTAGGAAGTAGAGTCTGGACCCTCACCAGACAATGAACCTGCCAATGCATTGATCTTGAACTTCCCAGCCTCTAGAACTCTGAGAAATAAAATTTTGTGTTTTATAAATTACTCATTCTGTGGTATCTTGTTATAGCAGCCCAAATGGACTGAGACATCAACTTTTGCACTTTTCAGTATTTTGGGTTTGTCCCCAGGTCACCAGAGAAGTTCAGTGACTGAAAACCCAAGACTGTGAAAAAAAAAAAAAGTCTTCAGAAGAGGTTAGTGAATGAGGATTTTTCTCCAAAGCAAAATGATTGTCACTGCATGGTTATTTCTCATTCTGTGTGATTTTTCTATGTGGAGAACAAAAAAAGAGTTTGAAAGATAAGTTGGGGTGTGAATTTGGCTGCTTGTAATTCTATGAAATTACACTGACTCTCTTTTCTTCTATGTCAGACACTAAAACTGTTTCCTCTACCTAGCAAAAGAGATGCCAGTGCTTTTGTCTGTTATTTTTTCTTAATGCATAATTTATGTATGGCCCATTTATTAATAACAATGAAGTGTTGTACCTGGAAATCTGCTCTCAAAAGAACAGAATATACAGAATCAAACAGAACATTTTCATAAGACAGATATGATTTTTACATTAAAAAAATAAAACTTGCCCTAGTTAATTCTTCCTGAAAGTGTTGGATAAAATCCAGCAGAAATTATTCAATTATTAAAATAACCATATTTATCATATTAAACAAGAATTTTAACTCTTCCCTGGTTTCTGATAAATCTCAAGGGAAATTAAACATAATGGCATATTCTAGAAGAGGAAATATTTCAGTAAAGCACCATTTTTGTTATTTCTTTCAATGCAGAGAAACTTACATTTTGTACATATTATGTCATTTAATCTTTTCAAAAATCCAACAGTTTTGGTACTATTATCGTGTCATGTTACCAATAAAAAGAGATTAAATATTTTGCTAAAGGTCTCTTGGTAACAGAAAGAGCTAGTATTTAAGGTCAAGTATCTGACTCTAGAACCCTACTACTTTCTACTGCCTTGTTTAGAGAAGATACTCAAAAACACATTTACGTTAAATTAAAATCTTGCTAGATTTAGCAGTCTTGAGATAAGCCCTTAGAAGATGTAAACTTTGGCCGGCTGCAGTGGCTCACACCTGTAATCTCAGCACTTTGGGAGGCCGAGGCAGGCGGATCACCAGGTCAGGAGATCGAGACCATCCTTGTTAACACAGTGAAACCCTGTCTCCACTAAAAATACAAAAACAAAATTAGCCGGATGTGGCGGCATGAGCTGTAGTCCCAGCTACTGGGGAGGCTGAGGCAGGAGAATGGCATGAACTCGGGAGGCGGAGCTTGCAGTGAGCCAAGCTGGTGCCACTGCACTCCAGCCTGGGCGACAGAGTGAGACTCCATCTCAAAAAAAAAAAAAAAAAAAAAAAAGATGTAAACTTCTGGATACGTGTCTGGGGTAAAAAGTAAAATATTAATATATTAAATAATTCTATCTATTCCAAATGTTCTAAGCCTTGTAGAAGTCTTGAGCTACAAAGGATTTCAGCAGTCATTTAAAGTCAATCCTTTCAATTTTCAGAAGTGGATCCAAACTCTTCTGGGTCTAGAGAGGTGATTTAGTTATTGAGTGCCATGTAGCTTGCTAATAGCAAAGTTCAACTTGCTAATTTTCATGCAAAAAAAGTTAATTATACCCAACAGTTTTCATTTATGTATTTATTTGGGAGTGATTTGCTTATACCTGCATTATTACCTATATTAGCTTTATATAGTGTATTAGTCCATTTTCACACTGCTATAAACACATACCCAAGACTGGGTAATTTATAAAGGAAAGAGGTTTAATTGACTCATGGTTCAGCATAACTGGAGAGGCCTCAGGAAACTTACAATCATGGGGGAAAGCAAGGGGGAAGCAAGGCACCTTCTTCACAAGGTGGTAGGAAGGAGAAGGAACACAGGAGGAACTACCAAACACTTATAAAACCATCAGATCTCATGAGAACTCACTCACTATCATGAGAACAACATGGGGGAAACCACCCCCACGATCCAATTACCTCCACCCTGTCTCTCCCTTGACATGTGGGAATTATGGGGATTTTAAGAATTACAATTCAAGATGAGATTTTGGGTGGGGACACAACCAAACCATATCATGTAGTATGGCAGAGAGACATTTAAGGTCTCTCCATTACCCCTACCTCCTAGTATCTATGCCTTTGTGTGATTTATTTCCTTTGAATGTGGATAAGACCTGTAACTTATGCTTTTAACTAAAAGAATGTAGCAGAGGTGGTGTGGTGGGATGCACATTATTACTTACATGTAATTATATGTATATGTTACATAAGATTATAGCTTCCATTTAACTGTAGTCTCTCTCTCTCAACCCAGACACACACACACGCACAAACAGACACACACACACACACACACTTACTTTACTTTCTGGCTTTTACGAAGCAAGCAGCAATGTTAGAAGGCATATGTAGCAGGGAATTAAGGGCAGCCTCTAGGAGCTGAGAAAGGCTTCCAGCCAACAGCCTGCAAGGATCTCCAGCTGACAACCAGCAAGAAATGAGGCCCTCCATCCTGCAGTCACAAGGAAATGAATCATGGTATAACCTGAGTGAATTTGGACGTGAGTCCTTCCACAGTCAGCCCTTTAGATAAAAACCCAGTCCTCAACAAGACTTTGACGGCAGCCTTTCAGAGAATTCAGCTACTCTGTATTCAGACTCTTAACCTACGGAAACTGTTAGATAACAAATGTCTATTGTTTTAAGCCACTACACTTATGCTAACTTCCTATACAATAGAAAAATAATACATGTACTTAGCCTTATTACAGCAAGAATCTAACACTGAATTTAATTATTGTCAAACTAAGTAAGGTTTAGCTAGTTAAGATTTAGTTACTTTTTGTGTACTCAGAGGACCTGAATGAATATATCCTGAATGAAGGGATGATAATATATCATTAGTATAAAATCAACAAGGAAGAGGTAAAACCTGATTATGGTTTAATTGTATTATCATTTATTTTTTTAATTTTTTTTGCTGATAATTGCACTTTTTCTTTTATTTGTGTGTAATAAAGAGTGAGCATTATAAGCAAAAATAGCTTTGGTTAGAATTTCAACATTAGAAAAGAAGAAAAAATTACTTAGCCTCTAGAAATTTACTAATGTGACTTTCCACATCTGTGTTGTGTATGTTGCTATTATAGGTCTTTCTATAACTTTAGGGTCAATGCTATGAGAATTGATCAGTGTAGCTTTTGTACAGTCATTTCCATTTTTAAGATCATTAAAAGAACTGCTTTTGACTTCATTCTCCATTTCAAGAACTCTAAATCACACTTGAATGGACATTTACTTTATTCCGATGTTATTCAGGCATTCTAAGAGGCCTACTGAATGGCCTTCAAAAGGAAACTAACTACAGAAAGCAGGTATATGGATTTGAGTGTTCAATGAAAATGCTGGCCTATTTTTTAAATGTGACTACTCATAAAATTAAGATACAATGGAATTATTTCTATGGTTAGTATTTGTCATTGACTGTAACATTACTAAGATTATAGGCAGATGAAGTGAAATACAATAGTCTTTAAAACAATCTTGATTTTAAAAAGCCATGTCTTCATTTTGTACCCTTCAAAAAATTGCCATATTGTTTCCTTTCTAGACATTAAAGATTTCTGGGGTCATGGCCAATAAAGCAGATCTTGCTTATATGAAGAAAATATAAAATCATCCAGTTTGCTTTACATTATAGATGAAGATATTGAAGTACAAAGAGAGGCTAACCCAAGGACAAAAAAGTGGGTAATGGCAGAATAGCACTAGAAATCTCTTCTGAGTTTAACTAATGAACATAGGTCTCTAATTTTTTTGTGCATTTATCAGAACTTAGTAACTGAGTCACAAAGGTAGGATATATCAGTTATTTGTTCTGTTTTGTCTTAGACCATAAGAACCTAGCTTTGAGAAACATTCCCTTCTCCATATAATGTTATACTTTCTGATGCAGCATGGATAGCCAGTAAAGACTAATAAAAGAAAATTTGAAGCAGTGATTTTTCAAAAGAAAGAAAAGAATGTCAAGAAATTATTATTGTGAAGGAGTAGGAATATACAGTGTCAATATATTAAGTAATTTTTGAAAGGAGATAGGGTATTTATTCATTAATAAATAGCTAGCATAAGTCAAAAGTGTTTGCTGAATCTAAAGCATTAATTTCTGTACTTTTGAAAGGATCTAGTTACCATTCATTATTCTACCCACATATAATGGAAGCCACTACATTTTTTTAGACCGAAATTTGAAAAATTTAAAATATGAAAAGTAAAATTTAATCCTAGATCATACATAACACACGAAAGAGTTCAAAGTTTATTTCTGGGTATTATTAATTATGTACCAGTTTAGGATTTTACAATCTCTGTAAATGTTATTTGTACAATATTGGTTGAAAAATTTAATAAAATCATGGCAACTTTAATTAATTTCAGAAAATTCAAAATAGCCAAATGTCATCAAACTTCAACTGTTTGTTTATATTTAAAACTAAAAATCATTGAATTTTAATTTTTTCTCACTCCAGAATGCAATATTTTATTTTTCTTATCTATTTAGAAACAAAAGAGTAAAAGTAGATAGAAAAAATTAATATTATTCTTTTTTAATGTAACTTTTGGTATACAAAAGTACCTTGGAAAAATTGAAGATAGCATTTTACTATTATATTCAGTAGTCTAAAGGAAGACCTCAAGAGATAACCTGGTTCACAGGTGCACAACAGAGTAATAGTTAAAATAGAAAAGTTTTTAAATTAGATAACTTACTGGTTTTCACCAACTTTTATTGGTTGGAGTGTGTGAACTTTGGAACTCTTTATAGAACTCCATGGTTTTCATATTCGTTATGCCTGCATGCATATATGTGTATAGATAATTGCTATGCCTTGCACCAAGGATATGAACTATGTAAAATTACTGTAGGAAGTTGTAAATGATGTATGAAATGAGAAATCTTTGCCCACTGGCAGTACATGGATAGAACAGAGATAGTGGCATGCAATCGCTTCTCTGTCATTTGTCATAGTATTCATCTTATAAAAGGCAGAACATATCAATAAACCCAAAGTGTCAAACATGCATGCTAAACAATATATTTCATTGCTCCCTTTTTAAATCCTACTCTTTTTAAAAAAACCAGTTTACAAAAACCTTTGTGCTCAAGGTAAATATGAAAATCTTCTATGTTAATGATTTTGATTACCCATTCAAAAATCTTAAATGCAAAAAATTCTAAATAACACAATACATATGTGCCTTTATACTTATATTCAGTATTGCAATTTTCCAGATTTGCCATCCAAGGTACACCTTTTTGTCAGGACATAATAGAAGCTTTATCTGTAATGATTAACATACAACTATTTTAAAACATATGAGAGTAGAAGTGATATTTTCATTTTGTATCTTGATGTCTGAAAGACTTCAGATTTCACCCACTGTTAACTGGCACAAGCAACAGAATCAACATTGTTCTTCTAAACTATTATTAATCTAAAATTATTGTGGCTGACTTCTCACTCTCACTGACCAATTCTCAAATCAGTTGCTTAATCAAACAATTGAGGTAATTAAACTTTTGCATATTCAATGCCATCTTGTCACAAAAGTCCCCAGTACCAGGAAAATCCAAACTTGAGAGCAAAAATTAAATGACAATACAAATGGTCTTCCAGATTCTGGATTGGCTTGTAAGAAGTTTGGAAGCCACCGCTCTATCCTAACAACTAGCCAGAAGCTGAACGAACTGAAAAATCAACAACACTTCTGAGAGCCACAGAAGACATGAGACCACAGGGCAAACCTCTGCCTCCAAAATTGGAGAGACCAACAGGCAAATACAGAGAATTAAAACTTAGGGAAGAAGAAACCCACATGCTGAAACCTCCACAGGAACCAGTGCTGGGATAGGAAAATCCAAACTGTAGTTGATGAATTGCTGGAGATTCAGTGAAAACAAGTTTGAGAGATAAAAACTCCAGGGAGATCCAGTCAAGGGGTGAGAGAGATTTATTTATTATAGCAGTGCAGTAAATACATTATAGTAATGTATTTACTATAGGTAATACTATAGGTAATATAATAATATATTACTATAATGTATATATTAGATATAATATACATATAAGTAATATAATAAATGCATATAGCATTTATTATATATAATGTGTATATAATAACATAAGTAATATAATAAATGCTTTATAGCATTTATTATAGCAGCGCTATAATAAATGGTGCTGGGAAAACCGGATAACTAAATGCAGAAGAATGAGACCCCTATCTCTCACTATACACATAAATCAAATCAAAGTGAATTGAAGACTTAATGTAAGACATCAAACTATAAAACTACTAGAAGAACACATTGAGGAAATGCTTCAGGACATTGGTCTGGGGAAAGATTTATTGTGTAAGACCTCAAAAGCACAGTCAAGCAAGTGAAAATGGACAATTGGGATTATATCAAGCTAAAAAGCTTCTGGAAGGCAAAGAAAACAATCAACAAAATGAAGAGTTAACCCACAGAATGGGAAAAAATATTTGCAAACTTCCTACAGGACAAGGAATTAATGGCCAGAATATAGAAGGAGCTCAAATAACTGAATAGCAAAAGAAAAAATAAAACAACAAATAGATTTAAAAATTGGCAAAACATCTGAACAGATATTTCTCAAAAGAAGACATAAAAATGGCCAACAGGTATATGAAAAATGTTCAGCATCACTAATTATAGAAATGCAATCAAAACCACAATGAGATATCTCGCTCCAGTTAAAATGACTTGTATCAAAAAAAGAGGTTATAAGAGATGCTGGCAATGATGTGGAGAAAGGAGGACCCTCAAACACTGTGGTGGGAATGCAAATTAGTAGAACCACTATGGAGAACAGGATGGAGATTCCTCAAAAAGCTAAAACTAGAACTAGAATGTGAGCCAGCAATTCCACTACTGGGTATATATCTAAGGGAAAGGAAAATAATATATCAAAGAGATATTTGCACTTCCATATCTATTGTAGCACTATTCACAATCGTCAAAATATGAAATTAACCTAAGTGCCCATCAACAAATGAATGAACAAAGTATGGTATTATGTACACCATTTTACTCAGCCATTAAAAATAATAACATTCTGTCATTTGCACCGACATTGATAGAACTGAAGTTGATTATGTTAAGTGAAATAAGCCAAGAACAGAAAGAAAAATATTGCAAGTTCTCAGTCATATGTGGAAATTAAGATATAAAACATGGCTCATAAAGATAAAGAGTAGAACAGTGATTACCAGAGGCCAGAAAGGGGAATAGGGTGAGGGGAAAAATAATTAAATGTACTTATTACCACTGAACCTCACACTTACAGATGGTAAAGATGCTAAATGATGTAAGTATATTTTATATTTAAAATGAAGTAAAATTTAAAAACACAAATCTAGAACACTATACTCAGTGAAGTTATCTTTCAAAAGTGAAGGAAAAATAAAAACTTTTTCAGACAAACAACATTGAAGACATTTGTTGCCAGTAGGCCTGCCTTGCAAGAAATTTTAAAAGCCGTTTAAACCAGCACTTTGGGAGGCTAAGGCGGGCAGTTCACTAGGTCAGGAGGTCGAGACCATCCTGGCCAACCTGGTGAAACCCCATCTCTACTAAAATACAAAAAAATTACCTGGGCATGGTGGCACGTGCCTGTACTCCCAGCTACTTGGGAGGCTGAGGCAGGAGAATCGCTTAAACCCGGGAGGCAGAGATTGCAGGGAGCCAAGATCACACCACTGCACTCTAGCCTGGGCTACAGAGTGAGACTCTGTCCCCAAAAAAAAAAAAAAAAAAAAAAAAAAAGTCCTTTAGAAAGATAGAAATTATTTTGATTTCAGGTCGTATACTTAAGTCTTTGATCCATCCTGAGTTAATTTTAGTATAAGGTGAGAGATGAGTATGCAGTTTCATTCTTCCACATGTGACTTGCCAATTATCCCAGCATCATTTGTTGAAGGGTGTCCTTTGCCCACTTTATGTTTATGCTTTTGTTCGCTTTGTCAAAGATTAGTTGGCTATAAGTATTTGGCTTTATTTCTGGGTTCTCTATTCTGTTCCATTGGTATATGTGCCTATGTTTATACCAGTACCATGCTGTTTTGGTAACTAGAGCCTTGTAGTATAGTTTGAAGTTAGGTAATGTGATGCCTCTAGATTTGTTCTTTTTGCTTAGTCTTACTTTGGCTCTGTGGTCTGTTTTTTGGTTCCATATGAATTTTCGGATTGTTTTTTCCCAGTTGTGTGAAAAATGATGATGTTATTTTGATGGGAATTGCACTGTATCTGTAGATTGCTTTTGGCAGTATGGTCATTTTTACAATATTGATTCTACCCATCTATGAGCATGGGATGTTTTTCTATTTGTTTGTGTGGTCTGTGCTTTCTTTCAGAAGTGTTTTGTAGTTTTCCTTGAAGAGATCTTTCATCTCTTTGGTTAGATATATGCCTAAGTATTTTATTTTGTTTGTGACTGTTGTAAAAGGGATTGAGTTCTTGATTTGGTTCTCAGCTTGGTCATTTTTGGTGTATAGCAGTTATTTGTGAACATTAATTTTGTGTCTTGAAACTTTACGGAATTCATTTATCAGACCTAGGAGCTTTTTGGATGAATCTTTAGGGATTTTTAGGTATGTGATTATAGCACCAGTGAAGAGTGACAGTTTGACTTCTTCTTTACTGATTTGGAAAGATTTCTTTCTCTTGTCCGATTGCTCTGGCTAGGATGTCCAGCACTATGTTGAATAGAAGCAGTGAAAGTGAGCATCCTTGTCTTGTTCCACTTCTCAGGGGGAATGCGTTCAGCTTTTTCCCATTCACTATAATGTTGGCTGTGGTTTTATGATAGATGGCTTTTAAAAGCTGGTTCTTAGAAAAACCATACCTAGATGTATGTCGATTCTATGCCAATTTTGCTGAGGGTTTTTGTCATAAAGTGATGCTGTATTTTGTCAAATGCTTTTTCTGTGTCTCTTGAGAAGATCATATGATTTTTGTTTTTAATTCTGTTTATCTGAGGTATCACATTTATTGACTTGTGTATGGTAAGCCATCCCTGCATTCCTGGTATGAAACCCATTTGATCATTGTGCATTATCTTTTTTACATGCTGTTGGATTGAGTTCACAAGAATTTTTTGGAGATTTTTGAATCTATGTTCATCATGGACACTGGTCTGTGGTTTTCTTTTTCTGTTATGTCATTTCCTGATTTTGGAATTAGGGTGATACTGACTTCATAGAATGATTTAGAGAGAATTCCCATTTTCTCTATCTTTTGGAATAGTTTCACTAAGATTGATACAAATTCTTCTTTGAATGTCTGATAGAATTCAACTGTGAATCCATCTGGTCTTAGACTTATTTTGTTGACAATTTTTTTATTACTGTTTCAATCTTGCAACTTGTTATTGATCCGTTAAGAGTTTCTATTTCTTCCTGATTTAATCTAAGAGGATTTTGTATTTCCAGGAATTTATATTACACATCTCTGTATTTTCCAGTTTGTGCACATAAAGTTGTTCATAGTAGCCTTGAATGACTTTTTATGTGTGTGGTATCAGTTGTAATATCTCGTGTTTGATTTCTAATTGATCCCATCTAAATATTTGAATCTAATTGATCCAATTGAATTATTCAGATATTCTTTCTTCTTTTCTTGGTTAATCTCACTAATGGTCTATTAATTTTGTTTATCTTTTCAAAGAATCAGCTTTTTGTTACATTTATTTTTTGGTTTTTTTTGTTGTTGTTGTTGTTTGGTTTTGCTTCAATTCCATTTATTTCTACTCTGATCTTTGTTATTTATCTTCCTCTGCTGGGTTTAGGTTTGGTTTGTTCTTGTTTCTCTAGTTCCTTGAGGTATGATCTTAGATGGTCTATTTGTACTTCAGGCTTTTTGATGTAGGCATTTAATGTTATGACCTTTCCTCTTAAAACTGCTTTTGCTGTATCCCAGAGGTTTTGGTAAATTTTGTCACTATTATCATTCAATTCAAAGAAATTTTAATTTCCATCTTGATTTCATTGTTGGCCCAAAGATCACTCAAGAGCAGATTATTTAATTTCTATGTATTTGCATAGTTTTTATAGTTCCTTTTGGAGTTAACTTCTAGTTTTATTCCACTGTTGTGTGAAAGAACACATGATATAATTTTGATTTTCTGAAATTTATTGAGACTTGTTTTCGTGACCTATTATATGATCTATCTTGAAGAATGTTCCATGTGCTGATGAAAATAATGTATATTCTGCAGTTGTTGGGTGGAAAGTTCTGTAAATATATGTTAAATCCATTTGTTCTAGGATACAGTGTAAGCCCATTGTTTCTTTGTGGACTTTCTGTCTTGATGACCTGTCTAATGCTGTCAGTGGTGCATTAAAGTCGCCCACTATTAATATTGTGCAGTATATCTCATTTCTGAGGTCTAGTAGTAATTGTTTTATAAATTTGGGAGCTCCAGCCATAAATATTCTAGAGAATAACATCCATAAAAACTCTTGTAGACATTGGCTTAGGCAAAGAGTTTATGACCAAGAACCCAAAAGCATATGCAACAAAAACAAAAATAAATAGAGTGGCATAATTAAACTAAAAAGCTCCTGCGCAGCAAAATAAACAATCAGCAGAATAAACAGACAACCCACAAAGTGGAAGAAAATCTTCTCAAACTATGTGATATGGTTTGGCTTTGTGTCCCCACCCAAATCTCACCTTGAATTGTAATAATCCCTACATGTCAAGGGCAGGATGAAGTGGAGATAATTAAATCATGGGGGTGGTTTCTCCCATACTGTTCTCATGATAGTGAGTGACTTCTCACAAGATCTGATGGTTTTACAAGGGGCTCCCACCTTCACTCTGCTCTCATTCTCTCTCCTGCTGCCCTGTGAAGAGGTGCCTTCTGCCGTGATTATAAGTTTCTTGAGGCCTCCCCAGCGATGTGGAACTGTAAGTCAATTAAACCTTTTTTAAAAAATAAATTACCCAGTCTCTGGTATCTCTTTACAGCAGTGTGAGAGTAGACTAATACACTATGTATCTGACAAGAACTAATATCCAGAATCTACAAAAAACTCAAAAAAATCAGCAACAAAAAAAACAACTAATTCCATCAAAAAGCAGGCAAAGGACATGAATAGACAATTCTCAAAAGAAGATATTCAAATGGCCAACAGACATATGAAAACAATGTTCAATATCACTTATTATCAGGGAAGTGCAAAGTAAAACCACATGAGATAACACTTTACTGCTGCAAGAATCACCATAATTTAAAAATCAAAAAAGTAATAGATATTGGCATGGATGTGGTGAAAAGGGAACATTTACATTGCTGGTGGTAATATAAACTACTAAAATCACCATGGAAAACAGTATGGAGAGTTCTTAAAGAACTAAAAGTAGAACTACCATTGATTCAGCAATATCACTTCTGGGTATCTACCCAGAAGAAAAGGTGTCATTATATGAAAAAGACACCACACATGCATGTTTATAGCAGCACAATTTGCAATTGCAAAAAATATAAAACCAGCCTAAATGCCCATCAGTCAACAGTGAATAAAGAAAATGTGGTGTGTGTGTACGTGTGTGTGTTTGTGTGTGTGTATGAGTATGTGTATGCACACATGATGGAATACTACTCAGCCATAAAAAGGAATGAAATAATGGCATTTGCAGTAACCCGGATGGGGTTGAAGACCATTATTCTAACTGAAGTAACTCAAGAATAGAAAACCAAATATCATACGCTCTCACTTAGAAGTGGGAGCTAAGCTATGAGGGCACAAAGACATAAGAATGATATAATGGACGTTGGGGACTCCAGGGAAAGGGTGGGAGGGGAGTGAGGGATAAAATGATACACAATGGGCACCTTGTACACTGCTTGGGTGACGAGTGCACCAAAATCTCAGAAATCACTATTGAAAAACTTTTCCATGTGACCAAAAACCACGTGTTCCCCAAAAACTATTGAAATACATAAAATAAAATAGTGGAGCATACTTTTAAGAAATATTCAGAGTAGATTTTAAATAGTCTCACCACAAAGAAATGATAAGTATATGAGATGTGTGTGTGTGTGTGTGTGTGTGTGTGTGTGTGTGGTTAATTAGGCTGATTTGCTCACTTTACAATGTATATATGTATCATGGCATCACGTTGTACTCCATAAATATATACAATTATTATTTGTCAATTAAAAGAAAAAGAAATACTGTATCACCAATACATAGAACAATACTGTGTGGAAACACTTGGCCATTGATAACCAAGTCAAAAATTGAGTCAGAAGAATTTGATACTTCATTTGAAGGAGTACTAGATACCATTTATTTCCCTTATGTATATGTACTTTATAGAAAGTATTTAAAAGAGTGATTTTACATTCTGTGTCTGAATATGTCTAAATACCAATGAGTATCAGATAAAAATTCTGTTTAAAAAAAGAAAGAAATAATATATGTCAGAAACTTGAATCAATATAAAAAGAGCATAGGAGAAAGAATAAGTGAAAGTAAAGTAAAAAGTTGGATATTTCTTATTTCTAATTAATCTGATAGATAACATTTTGCTCAAAATAAAGAAGGCAAAAATACATTTAATTATGTATGCATATATGTGTAGATATATATATATGTATATGTGTGTGTGTGTGTGTGTGTTTATATACAAGTGAAATGAATGGCTGCAGTAATACAAAAGACAAGAGGAAGAAGTTAGAATTATAAGATATTTGCATTACCCATGAAGCTGCATAGTGTTCTTTTAATGTGCATTTTGATTAGTTCTAAACATATATTAGAATAAGGGCAATCTCTTTAAAAAGTAAAAAAATAAAGAAATGTAACTGATATGCTAAGAAAGGAGATAAAACTGAAATCATATTAAATGCTTAATTAAAACCAAAAAAAAAAGAAAAATAGTGGAAGACAAAAATGGGAACAAAGGACAAGGTTAAAAAGTAGAAAAGAGTAAAAAATATGATAAATATCAATCCAAGTATATTAATAATCACCTTAAATATCTATAGTCTAAGTGCACAGTTAAAAGACAGAGATGGCCAGGCATGGTGGCCCACCTCTGTAATCCCAGCACTTCAGGAGTCTGAGTCAGGTGGATTACTTCAGTCTGGGAGTTCAACACCAGCCTGAAAAACATGGAGAAAGGCTGTCTCTATTAAAAAAAAAAAAAAGCCATACATGATGGCACACAAATAAAACTGTCCCAATTTGCAGATGATGCAAGCGATTGTCTATGTAGAAAATCCAGAATAATTAACCAGAAAAAGAAACCATTCTGGAACTAATAAGCAATTATAGGAAGGTAGCAGGATACAAGGCACATATACAAAGTCAACCACTTCCCTATACACCAGCAGTGAATAAGTGGAATTTCCAAATAAAATCAAAATGCTATTTACAATAGCACCCCCCAAAAAAATTAAAAATTTGAGCATAAATCTAACAAAATATGTGCAATATTTATTTGAGGAAAACTACAGAACTGTAATAAAATCAAGGAAGTACTATAATACATGAACGGAAAGAGATTTTTGTGTTCAAGTTTAAGAAGACACCAAAATAGACAAATGGGATCTAATTAAACTAAAGAGCTTCTGCATGGCAAAAGAAACTACCATCAGAGTGAACAAGCAACCTACAGAATGGGAGAAAATGTTTGCAATCTACCCATCTGACAAAGGGCTAATATCCAGAAGCTACAAAGAACTTAAACAAATTTACAAGAAAAAAACAAACAAGCCCATCAAAAAGTGGGCAAAGGATATGAACAGACACTTCTCTAAAGAAGACATTTATGCAGCCAACAGACAGATGAAAAAATGCTCATCATCACTGGTCCTCAGAGAAATGCAAATCAAAAGCACAATGAGATATCATTTCACACCAGTTAGAATGGTGATCATTAAAAAGTCAGGAAACAACAGATGCTGGAGAGGATGTGGAGAAATAGGAATGCTTTTACACTGTTGGTGGGAGTGTAAATTAGTTCAACCATTGTGGAAGACTGTGGCAATTCCTCAAGGATCTAGAACTAGAAATACCATTTGACCCAGCGATCCTGTTACTGGATATATACCCAAAGGATTATAAATCATGCTCCTATAAAGACGCATGCACACATATGTTTATTGCAGCACTATTCACAATAGCAAAGACTTGAAACCAACCCAAATGTTCATCAATGATAGATTGGATTAAGAAAATGTAGCACATACACACCATAGAATACTATGCAGCCATAAAAAAGGATGATTTCATGTGCTTTGCAGGGACATGGATGAAGCTGGAAACCATCATTCTCAGCAAACTATTGAAGGACTGAAAACCGAACACCACATGTTCTCACTCAGAGGTGGGAATTCAAAAATGAGAACAATTGGACACAAGGTGGGGAACATCACACACCAGGGCCTGTCGCGGGGGTGGGGAGATGGGGGAGGGATAGCATTTGGAGAAATGCCTAATGTAAATGATGAGTTGATGGGTGCAGCAAAACAACATGGCACATGTACACCTATGTAACAAACCTGCACGTTGTGCACATGTACCCTAGAACTTAAAGTACTAAAAAAAGTATAAGAAGACACAATATTGTCACAATGCCAATTCTTTCAAACTGAATCTATAGAGTCAATGCAATTTTAATTAAAGACTTAGCAAGTTATTTTAAGGATATTAACAAACTAATTGTAAAGCTTATATGGAGAGATAAAAGACCCTGATAAGCCAACACAATACTGAAGAGGAATAAAGTTGGAGGACTGATTTCAAGGCTTACTATCAAGCTACAGTAATCAAGATAGTGTGGTATTGGGCCAGGTGTGGAGGCTCATGCCTGTAATTCCAGAACTTACAGAGGCTTAGGTGGGAGAATTACTTGAGACCAGGAGTCTGAGACCAGCCTGGGCAATATAGCAAGACCCCATCTCTACAAAAAATGAAAGCCAGACACAATGGCATGATGGCACGTGCCTGTAAGTTCCAGCTACTTGGAAGGCTGAGGCAGGAGGATTGCCTGAACACAAGAGTTTGGGACTCCAAAGAGCTGTGGTCATGCCACTGCCCTTTATCCTGGGTGACAGAGTGAGACCCCATCTCTTAAAAAAAAGATATAGTATTGGCAAAAGAATACGCAAATAGATCAATGGAACAGAATAAAGAGCAGATGGAGACTCACATACATATAGTCACCTAATCTTTGACAAAGGAGCAGAGACAATATAGAGGGAAAAAGATAGTCTTTTCTACAAATGGTGCTGGATCAACTACATATCTACATACCAAAAAAATGAACCTGGGCACATAACTTACACCTTTCACAAAAATTAACTCAGAATGAATTTGTGTTTTACTTAAATGTAAAACACAAAAGTATAAAGCTTCTAGAAGATAGCATAGGAAAAAATCTAGGTCACTTTGGGTTTGTCAATAACTTTTTAGGTACAGCATCAAATGCATGATCCATGAAAGATGTAATTGATAAACTGGACTTTATGAAAATAATAAAAATTCTGCTCTGTAAAATACACTGACAAAGGAATAAACAGATAACCCACAGAGTGGGAGAAGATACTTAAAATCCTGTATCTGATAAAGAATTGTTATCCAAAAATACACAAAGAACTTTCAAAACTCAACAATAAGAAAAATACAATTAAAAAATAGGCCAAAGGTCTGAATGGACACCTCAACACAGTGAATATATACGTGACACATAAATACACAAAAGTATGTTTAACATCAAATGCTATTAGATAATTGCAAATTAAGACAAAAAAAAGATAAAGCTGAGCAAGATGGCAGAATAAAAGCCTACACTGTTTGCCCCCACTGTTGGAACACCAAATTTTAACAACTGACTGCACACAGAAAAGCATCATGACAAGAACCAAAAATCAAGTGAGCAATCACACTACCAGGTTTTAATTTCATATCACTAGAAGAGGCATTGAGGAAGGCCGGAGAGACAGTCTTGTATTGCTAACAACAAGTCTGCAAAAACCACAGTGTTATTGGGCTTGAGGCCCAAGTCCCTTCAAATTCTTGGACAGTCCTCTGATATGGTTTGGCCATGTGTTCCCACTTAAACTTCATTTCAAATTAAATCCCCACGTGTTGGGAGAGGGCCCTCCTGGGAGGTAATTGAATCATGGGGGCAAACTTCTCCTTGCTGTTCTCATGATAGTGAGTGAGTGTTCACAAGATCTGGGCGTTTGAAAGTGTGTAGCACTCCCCCCTTCACTCTCTCTCTCCCACTCCACCATGATAAGTCATAGACATGATTGTCTCCCCTTCACCTTCCACTATGATTGTAAGTTTCCTGAGGCCTCCCAGCCATGCTTCCTGTTAAGCCTGTGGAATTGTGAGTAAATTAAACCTCTTTTCTTCATAAATTATCCAGTCTCAGGTAGTTCTTTATAGCAGTGTGAGAACAAACTAATACACCCTCCCAAGGAAAAAAGATACAAACAAGCTCAGACTATGAAGACTACAATACTACCTAACTCTTCAATGCCCAGACACAGACAACCATCTACAAGTATTAAGACCATCCAGGAAAACATACTTCAATAAATTAACTAAATAAGGCACCAGGGACCAATCCTGGAAAAACAGAGATATATGACCTTTCAGAAAATTGAAAATGCTGTTTTGAGGAAACTCAAAGAAATTCTAGATAATACAGAGAAGGAATTCAGAATTCTATCCGATAAATTTAGGAAAGATTGAAATAATTTGAACAAATCAAGTAAAAATTGTAGAAATTATATAGTTGAAAAATTCAATTGACATGTTGAAGAATTCTTAATAGTGTTGAAGTAGAATTGATCAAGCAGAAGAAAGAATTAGTGAGCTTGAAAACAGACCAATTGAAAATACACAGTCAGAGAAAACAAAAGAAAAAGAATAGAAAAACAATGAAGCACACCTACAGAATATAGAGAATAAGCCTCAAAATGTCAAATCTAAGCATTTTTGACCTTAAAGAGGAGGTAGAGAAGGACATAAGGGAAGAAAGTTTATTCGATGGGATAACATAGAGAACTTCTCAAACCAGAGAAAAACATCAACACTCAACTACAAGAAGGTTATAGAACACCAACCAGATTTAATCCAAACAAGACTAACTCAAGTCACTTAATAATCAAACCCCTAAAGATCAAGGATAAAGAAAGAATCCTAAAAGCAACAAAAGAAAAGCAATAAATAACATACTAAGAAGCTCCAATACATCTGGCAGCAGACTTTTCAGTAGAAACCATATAGGCAAGGAAAGAGTGGCGTAGTATATTTCAAGTGCTAAAGGAAAAAAAAAAAAACTTTTCCCCTAGAAGAATATATTCATGAAAATATCCTTCAAATGTGAAAGAAAAAACCTTTCCCAGACAAACAAAAGCTGATAGATTTCATCAACACCAGACCTGTCCTACAAGAAATGCTGATGGGAGTTCTTCAATCTGAAAAAAAAGAGGATGTTAGTGAGCAAAAAGAAATTGTATGAAGGTACAAATTCATTGGTAATAGTAAGCACACAGAGAAACATAGAATAGTATAACACTATAATGGTGGTGTGCAAACTGCTTAAGTAGAAAGACTAAATGATGAACCAATCAAAAATAACAACCACAACAAGTTTTCAAGACACAGAAAGTACAATAAGACATAGAGAAACAACAAAACATAAGAGTTTTTGTTAGTTTTCTCTTCATGTATTTGTATGGTTGTACATGCAATCAGTGTTAAGTTGTCATCAGTTTAAAATAATAGGTTATAATGCAGTATTTACAAGCTATCAGGGGAACTAGCCCCCAATATTTCAGCATAGGTTCTTTCTATTTTCCCTAAGTGTTGGCCAGTCTGAGAAATAAGAGAAAGAGTACAAAGAGAAATTTTACAGCTGGGCCACTGGAGGTGACATCACATATTGGCAGGTTCCATGATGCCCACCTGAGTCGCAAAACCAGCAAGTTTTTATTAGCTATTCTAAAAGGGGAAGGAGTGTACGAACAGGGAGTAAGTCACAAAGATCACATGCATCAAAGGGCAATAAAAGATCACAAGGCAAGGCAAAATTAGAATTACTGATGAGGGCCTATGTCCTGCTGTGCATGCATTGTCTTGATAAACATCTTAACAGGAAACAGGGTTCCAGAGCAGACAACCGTTCTGACTAGAATTTACCAGGCTGGAATTTCCCAATCCTTGTAAGCCTGAGGGTACTGCAGGAGACCAGGGCGTATTTCAGTCCTTATCTCAACTGCATAAGACAGACACTCCTAGAGTGGCTGTCTATAGACCTACCCCCAGGAATGCATTCCTTCCCCAGGGCTATCAGTTATTAATATTCCTTGCTGGGAAAAGAATTCAGTGATATTTCTCCTACTCACACGTCCATCTATAGGCTCTCTGCAAGAAGAAAAATATGGCTCTATTCTGCCCAACCCCACAGGCTCTCTGCAAGAAGAAAAATATGGCTCTATTCTGCCCAACCCCACAGGCAGTCAGACCTTATGGTTATCTTTCCTTGTTCCCTGAAAATCTCTGTTATTCTGTTCTTTTTCAGGGTGCACTGATTTCATATTGTTCAAACACACATGTTTTACAAACAATTTGTACAGCTAATGCAATCATCACAGGGTCCTGAGGTGACATACATCCTCAGCTTATGAAGATGACTGGATTAAGAGATTAAAGTAAAGACAGGATATAAGAAATTATAAGAGTATTGATTGGGGAAGTGATAAATGTCCATGAAATCTTCACAATTCATGTTCAGAGACTGCAGTAAAGACAGGCATACAAAATTATAAAAGTATTAATTTTGGAAACTGATAAATGTCCATGAAATCTTCACAATTTATGTTCTTCTGCCTCAGCTCCAGCTGGTCCCTCCATTTGGGGTCCCTGACTTCCTGCAACAACAAGCCACATGGTAATCTCAAATCAAAAAACATACAATGGATACACAAAAAATAAAAAGCAAGAAATTATAGCATATCACCAGACCAAATCACCTTTACCAAAGAGAAGACAGGGATAAAGGAAAGAAGAAAGAAAAGATTGCAAAACAACCAGAAAAAAGAAATAACATAATGGCAGGGGTAATTTCCCACTTATCAATAATAATATTAAATGTAAATGGACTAAACTCTCCAATCAAAAAATACAGAGTGGCTGAATGGATGAAGAAACAAGACCCAATGATTTGTTGCCTATAGGAAACATAAGTCACCTAAAAAGATACACATAAACTGAAAATAAAGGGATGGAAAAAGATATTTTATGCCAATGAAAACCAAAAAAGCATGGGAGTAGCTATTCTTATATCAGACAAAATTGATTTCAAGATGAAAACTGTTAGAAGAGACAAAGAAGGTAATTATATAAAGGGGTCTGTTCAGCAAGAGGATATTATAATTTTAAATATATATGCACCCAACACTAAAACACTCAGATATATAAAGAAAATATTATTAGAGCTAAAGAGAGAGACAGACCCCAAGTTTAACTTCAGGGGTACATGTGCAGGTTTGTTACACAGGCCAACTGTGTCACAGGAATTTGTTGTAGAGACTAGTTCATCCCCAAGATATTAAGCCTAGTACCCATTTATTATTGTTCTTGATTCCCTCCTTCTCCCACCCTCCATCCTCTGATAGATTCCAGTGTCTGTTATTCCTCCTGCTATCACCCATGTGTCCATGTGATCTCATCATTTAGGTCCCACTTATAAGTGAGAACATGTGGTATTTGGTTTTCTGCTCCTATGTTAGTTTGCTAAGAATGATGACTTCCAACTGCATCCATGTTCCTGCAAAAGACATGATCTTGTTCTGTTTTATGGCTGCATATCTATATATATATATATATATCACATTTTCTTTATCCAGTCGACCACTGATGGGCATTTAGATTGATTCCATGTCTTTGCTATCATGAATAGTGCTGTGATGAACATACACATTCACATGTCTTTTTAACATAAAATTTTATATTCCTTTGGGCATATACCCAGTAATGGAATTGCTGAGTCAAATGATACCACTTTCTTTAGGTCTTTGAGGAATTGGCACACTATCTTCCACAATGGTTGAACTAATTTACACTCCTGCCAACAGTGTATAAGCATTCCCTTTTCTCTGCAATCTTGCCAGCACCTATTATTTTTTAACATTTTAATAATGGCCATTCTGACTGGTGTGAGATGGTATCTCAGTGAGGTTTTGATTTGCATTTCTCTATTAATCAGTGATATTGAGCTTTTCTTCATATGCTTATTTATTGGCTGCATGTATGACTTGTTTTGAAAGGTGTCTGTTCATGTTCTTTGCCCACTTTTTAATGCAGTTGTTTGCTTTTACTTGTAAATCTGTTTAAGTTATAGCTGGAGACTTCAATACCCCACTTTCAGCATTGGACAGATCTCTGAGACAGAAAATCAACAAAGAAATATTAAATGTAATCTGCACTATAGAACAAATTGATCTAATAGATATTTACAGAACATTTTATCCAACATCTGTCAAATACACACTCTTCTCAGCATGTGGATCATTCTCAAAGATAGTCCATATATTAGGTCCTTAAAAAGTCTTAAATTATTCAAAAAATTGAAATAATATCAAGCATCTTATCTGACCACAATGGAGTAAAACTAGAAGTCAATACCTAAAAGAATGTTAGAATATATACAAAAACATGAATATTAAATGGTATGCTCCTGAATGACTAGTGAGTCAATGAAGAAATTAAGAAGAATATTTAAATAATTTTTCAAACATATAATTTTAACACAGCATCCCTAAACCTGTGGGATACAGCAAAAGCAGTACTGAGTAAAGTTTACAGCTGTAAGTGCCTATATCAAAAAAGATGGAAACATCAAATAAATAAATGAATGAAACAGCATCTTAAAGAACTAGAAAAGCAAGAGGAAACTAAACTCAAAAGTAAGAGAAGAGATACAAATCAGAGCAGAAATAAATGAATTTGAAATGACAAAAACAATACAAAAGATCAATGAAACAAAAAGTTGGTTTTTTGAAAAAATAAACAAAATGGAAAAACTTTTAGTCGGACTAGGAAAAAAAGAGAGAAGACCCAAATAAGTAAAATCAGAAATGAAGAAAAAAAAGACATTACAATTGACAACACAGAATTCAAAGGAACATTAGTGGCTACCATGAACAACTATATACCAATAAATTGGGAAATTTAGAAGAAATTGATACATTTCTAGGCACATACAACCTACCAAGATTGAAGCATGAAGAAATCCAAAACCTGAACAATCCAATAACAAATAACAAGACCGAGGCCCATAGTGAAAAGTTGCCCAGTTTAAACAAAAAAAAAAAAAAAAAAAGAAGAAAGCTGGGAACTGATGGATTCACTGCTGAATTCTACCAAACATTTATAGAAGAACAAATACTAATCCTACTCAAAGTGTTCTGAAAAATGAAGGATGAGTGAATGCTCTCAAACTCATTGTATGAAGCCATTATTATCCTGATACCAAAACCAGACAAAGACACGTTTATAAAAGAGAAAATGATTTAGTTTTCTAAATCATGAGTAAATGATTTAGTTTTCTAAATCATGAGTAAATGATTTAGTTTTCTAAATCATGAGTAAATGATTTAGTTTTCTAAATCATGAGTAAATGATTTAGTTTTCTAAATCATGAGTAAATGATTTAGTTTTCTAAATCATGAGTAAATGATTTAGTTTTCTAAATCATGAGTAAATGATTTAGTTTTCTAAATCATGAGTAAATGATTTAGTTTTCTAAATCATGAGTAAATGATTTAGTTTTCTAAATCATGAGTAAATGATTTAGTTTTCTAAATCATGAGTAAATGATTTAGTTTTCTAAATCATGAGTAAATGATTTAGTTTTCTAAATCATGAGTAAATGATTTAGTTTTCTAAATCATGAGTAAATGATTTAGTTTTCTAAATCATGAGTAAATGATTTAGTTTTCTAAATCATGAGTAAATGATTTAGTTTTCTAAATCATGAGTAAATGATTTAGTTTTCTAAATCATGAGTAAATGATTTAGTTAAAGTTGTTTGGTAGTAGGGTTGGTTGGGTTTGGAACTAGGGTTAGATCAGGTGGTCAAATTGAGTTGAAATTTCCCAGGTGTAAACTGGGTGCTTTATGTTAAGCTACACCTTGGTTCGTCCAAGTGCACTTTCCAGTACGCTTACCATGTTACGACTTATCTCCTCTATATAAATGCATAGGGGTTTTAGTTAGGCAAACATCCCTGATGACTATTGATGCAAAAATCATTGACAAAATACCAGCAAATCAAATTCAACAACACATTAAAAAGATCATTCATTATAACCAAGTGGTATATATCCCTAAGATTCAAGAATGATTTATCACATGCTAATCAATCAATGCAACACATCATATCAATAGAATGAAGGACAAAAA
This sequence comes from Homo sapiens, assembly GCF_000001405.40. Taxonomy (NCBI): domain Eukaryota; kingdom Metazoa; phylum Chordata; class Mammalia; order Primates; family Hominidae; genus Homo; species Homo sapiens. Next base: position 76,645,857 of record NC_000008.11, read on the forward strand.
CCATATGATTAATCAATTGAAACTGTAAAAACATTTGATAATGTTCAACATCTCTTCATGATAAAAAAAACCCTGAAATATCTAGGCATAGAAGGAACATAAAGGCCATATTTGACAGTCCCATAACTAGTAATATACTGAACAGGGGAAAATGAAAAGCCTTTCTTCTTAAATACTGAACATGACAAAGACTCCCACTGTTATTCAACATAGCACTGGAACTCCCAGCTAGAGCAATCAGACAAAAGAAAGAAACAAAAAACATCCACATTGGAAAGAAAGAAGTCACATTATGTTTATATGCAGATGATAGGATCTTATTTTTGGAAACACCAAAACATTCCAACAAAAAAAAAAAAACTATTAGAACTGATAAATTCAGTAAAGTTGCAAGACACAAAATCTACATACGAAAATAAGTGGCATTTCTATATGCCAACAGTGAACCATCTGAAAAAGAAATCTCAAAAAGAATCCCATTTACACCAGCCACAAATAAAATTAAATACCTAGAAATTAACCAAAGAAGTGATAGATCTCTATAATAAAAACTATGTAACACTGATGAAAGAAATTGAAGTGGTCACAAAAAATAGAGTGACATTTCATGTTCATGGATTGGAAGAATCAATGTTGTTAAAATGTCCATACTACTCAAAGCAATCTACAGATTCAAAGCAATCCCTATCAAAATTCCAATGACATTCTTGAAAGAAATTTTTAAAAAATTCCTAAAATTTATATGGAACAACAAAAGACCCAGAATAGCTAAAGCCTGGGTAAAAAGAATAAAACTGGAGGAATCACAATACCTGATTTTAAATTATACCACAGAGCAATGGTAACCAAAGCAGCATTGTACCGGCATAAAAGCAGACATATAGACCAATGGAAGATAATAGAGGACCCAGAAACAAATCCACTTACCTACAGTAAAGTCATTTTTGATAATTGTACCAAGAACAGCCACTGGGGAAAAGATAGTATCTTCAATAAATGGTGCTGGGAAAACTGGATATCCAAATGCAGAAAAATGAAACTAGACCTCTATCTCTTGCCATATAAAAAATCAAATCAAAGTAGGTTAAAGGCTTAAATATAAGACCTCAAACCATGAAAATGCTACAAGAAAAAATTGGACAAACTCTCCAGAACATGACTCTGAGCAAAAATTTCTTGAGTAATACACCACAAGCACAGGCATCCAAAGCAAAAATGGACAAATAGGATCACATCAAATTAACAAGCATCTGCACAGCAAAGGAAACAATTAACAAAATGAGGAGGCAACCCACAGAATGGGAGAAAATATTTTCAACCTGCCCATCTGACAAGGGATTAATAACCAGAATACACAGGAAACTCAAACAATTCTATATGGAAAAAAAACCAACTAATAATCTGATCAAAAAATGGGCAAAAGATTTGAATAGACATTTCTCAAAAGAAGACATACAAATGGCAAACAGGCATATGAAAAGGTGCTTAACATCATGGATCATCAGAGAAAGGCAAACTAAAACTACAATGAATATCAGTTAAAGTGGCTTTTATCCAAGAGTCAGGCAGTAACAAATGCTGGTGGGGATGTGGAGAAAAGGAAAAACCCTTGTACACTATTTATGAAAATGTAAATTAGTAAAACCGCTATGGAGAACAGTTTGGAGGTTCCTCAAAAAAGTATAAATAGATCTACCATATGATCCAGTCCCACTTCTGAGTATATACCAAAAAAAAAAAAAAAAAGGAAATCAGTATGTTAAAGAGATATGTATACCCTCATGTTGTTGTGACACTGTTCACAATAGCCAAGATTTGGAAGCAACCTAAGCGTTCATAAACAAATGAATGGATAAAGAAATGTGATACATATACACAATGGATGATATGGTTTATCTTTGGTTTTGTGGCCTGGACCCAGGGTCCCATTGCCCTGTGCAACCTCCGGACACTGCTCCCTGTGTCCCAGCCACTCCAATTCCAGCTGTGCCTAAAAGGGCCCCAGATACATCTCACATTGCTGCTCCAGAGGGTGCAGGCCGCAGGTCTTGGCAGCTTCCACATGGTGTTAAGCCTGCGGGTATGCACAAGGCAAGAGATGAGGCTTGGGATCCTCGCCTAGATTTCAAAGCATATATGGAAATGCCTGGCAGTACAGGCAGAAGTTTGTTTCAGGGGCCGAACTGTCATAGAGAACCTCTCCTAGGGCAGTGTGGAAGTGAAATGTGGAGTTGGAGCCCCTACACAGAGTCTCCACTAGGGCACGGCCTAGTGGAGCTGTGAGAAGAGAGCCACTCTGCTCCAAAACCCAGAATGGTAGATCCACCAAAAGCTTGCACTGTGCACTTGGATAAGCCACAGGCACTCAACGCCAGCCCATGAGAGTGGCTGCAAGGGCTATACCCTGCAGAGCCACAAGGGTGGAGTTACCCAAGGCCTTGGGAAACCAACCCTTGCATTATTAGTGTGGTCTGGGTGTGAGATGTGGAATCAAAGGAGATTATTTTGGAGCTTTAAGATTTAATGACTGCCCTGCTGGATTTCAGACTTGCATGGGGCCTGTAGCCCCTTTGTTTTGGCCAATTTCTCCATTTTGGAATGGAAGCATTTGCCCAATGCCTGTATCCTCTTGTATCTTGGATGTAACTAACTTTCGATTTTACAGGTTCATAGATGGAAGAGATTTGCCTTGTCTCAGATCAGACTTTGAACTTGGACTTTTGAGTTAGTGCTGGAATGAATTAAAACTCTGAGAGACTGTTGGGAAGGCATGATTGTGTTTTGAAATGTGAGAAGGATATGAGATTTGGGAGTAGACAGGGCAGAATAATATGGTATAGCTCTGTGTCCCCACCCAAATCTCATATTGAGTTGTAATCCTCTATTTTGGAGGAGGAGCTAGGTGGGAGGTGATTGAATCATGGGGATTGGCTTCCTTCTTGCTGTTCTCCTGATAATGAGTGAGTTCTCATGAGATCTGGTTGTTTAAAAGTGTGTAGCATTTCCCCCTGCACACTCTTCCTCCTGCTCTGGCTGTGTAAGATGTGCTTCCTTCCTCTTCCTTACCTTTCACCATGATTGTACATTTCCTGAGGCCTTTCCATTCATGCTTCCTGTACAGACTGCAGAACTGTGAGCAAATTAAACCTCTTTTCTTTATAAATTACCCAGTCTCAGGTAGTTCTTTATAGCAACATGAGAAAGGATTAATACAATGGAGTACTATTCAGTCATAAAAAATGAGATTCTGTCATTTGCAGCAGCATGGATGGAACTGGAGGTCCTTCTGTTTAGTAAAATAAGTCAGGCACAGAAAGACAAACATATGTTCTCACTTACTTGTGGGATCTAAAAATTAAAACAATTGAACTCATGGAGATAGAGAATAGAAGAATGGTTACCAGAGTCTGGGAAAGGTAGTGGAGGAGTGTAGGCGAGGTGGGGATGGTTAATGGGTACAAAAAAATAGCTAGAAAGAATGAATAAGACCTAGTATTTGATAACACAACAGGGGGACTATAGTTTATCATAATTTAATAGTATATTTTAAAATAACTAAAAGAGCATAATTGGATTGTTTGTAACACAAAGAACAAATGCTTGAGGGGATGGATATCCAATTTTCCATGATGTGATTATTATGCATTGCATGCCTATACCAAAATATCTCATGTACACTCTAAATATATACATTTATTATGTACCTACAAAAATTAAAATTTTTAAAAAAGAAGATAGCCCTACATACCTATTTGAATGGCCAAAATCCAGAATACAAGCAGCATGGATGTAGACTAAAAGAAACTATCATTCACTGTTGGCAGGCATCCAAAATGGTACAGCCACTTTGGAAGACAGTTTGTGTGGCAGTTTCTTACAAAACTAAACATACTCTTATTATAAGATCCAGTAATTGTACTTCCTGGTGTTTAACTAAAAGAGTTTAAAACTTATGTTCACACAAAAACATACACACTGTTTACAGCAGCTTGATTCAAAATTTCCCAAGCTTGGGAGCAACCTCCATCCCCTTCCATATTTCAATGGATGAATAAACTGACGTACATCCAAACAACAGAATATTATTCAGCAGCAAATAGAAATGAACTACAAAGCCATGAAAAGTCAAGGAGAAAACTTAAATGCACATTACTAGGTGAAAAAGCCCATCTGAAATGTTACATACTGTATGATTCCCGCTACATCATGCATCTTTTAACAATACAGATATCTTCTGAGAAGTGTGCCATTAGGCGATTTTATCATTGTGCAAACATCATAGAGTGTGCTTACACAAACAGAGGTGGTACAGCCTACTACACACCTAGACTAGATGATATAGCCTATTGCTCCTAGGCTACAGATCTGTATAACATGTTACTGTACTGAATACTGTAGGCAGTTTTGATACAACAGAAAATATTTGTGTGTCTAAACATATCTAAACATTTTTAAAGCACAGTAAAAATATGGTATTATAGTCTTATGGAACTACTGCCGTATAAGTAGTCAATCATTGACATTGTTATGTCATGCCCAACTGTACTTTTAAAATTTAAGTTTTCTCCATGTCTGTTTTTTTTTTTTCTTTTTTTCTTTTTGAGATGGAGTCTCACTCTGCTGCTCAGGCTGGAGTGCAGTGGCGCAATCTTGGCTCACTGCAACCTCCGCCTCTCGGGTTCAAGTGATTCTCCAAGCTCAGTTTCCCAACTACAGGTGCGTGACACTGCATCTGGCTAATTTTTGTATTTTTAGTGGAGACCAGGTTTCACCATGTTGGTCAGGCAGGACTCGAACTCCTGACATCTGGTTATCTGCCCTCCTCGGCCGCCCAAGTGCTGGGATTATAGGCATGAGCCACTGCATCCGGCCTTCTCCATGTCTTTTCTTAGATTCATAGATCACTGGTCCTTTGGTTGGTTCAAAGCATTTTTCTGGTCTACACCTCCACTTTCCAACCATTTTCATAATCATTTTCCCTATACCTCTCCGGAAATACTTACTCACCTGACATCTAAATTTGACATGAGGTAGTTTGCATCTGGAGAGCTACATTTGTTAAAGGTGAAAATAAATGAAACATATAATGATAGATATAGTTTGCCTCACACTTTCTTTATATTGGGGAATTGTACTTTTATTACATGTAGTTATATGTCATTTCTACAAAGAACCTCCACCTTTTTAGGATGCATCAAGTCATAAAAATTTACATTTTTTTGTAAATACCATCCCTTTAGGAAGAATATAATCAGAGAATTTTTCATAATACTTTATTTTGTAATCTGCACTTTTATTTAGTCTTCATACTTAAAGATTATCTAAATGTATTCTTAAACAACTTAATTTCATCAATTTTATTAAGAGCTTGAAGCTAATCATTCTTATCTATTGAGAATGTTGTTTACTTGGTTTTAGGAAAATGATTATATCTGTCATGAAGACATTATAAACATTTTCCCCATGCTTGATAATGATTAAGATTATGAAATTATACACACAAAAAATTATGAAACTGTTCTTTATTAGGTACTTTGGCTGTTAGGGGAAAAAAGAATTTTTTTCAGCCCATGGAATGGTAGGTAACCTAAGTCTTTGGAAACAAGGGTACCCACATGGTCTTGCAGAGTTGATGATTCATTTCTGTGTAAAATTGAGTTGTAATTAGTTAACTGCATGGAAAGCATTTAAGTCAATACCTGATGCACAGTAAGCACTCAGTAAATGCTTAGTATTATTATTTTTCTTAGTTATGTAGAAAACCTTTTCTACTCCCCCATTTCTGTCAAAATATTGTCCTTTTCTTGTCTTACAAACCAACTTAAATACCACGAATATCAGCGAAACTCCCTTTGGGTCAAAGTGATTATAATATTTGAGAGAACTTTCCTTAAATTTCTCATTGGCTTGTTTCTAGTTCTTCCTTGTATTTTCTTCCTCCTACTAGTCTCAGCTAAACGCTAAGCAAAGCAGGTTCTCCTACATATTTTTCTATACATCCTCGGTAGCGATGAGCACTAGATCTTGCATCCCACTAGGCTTTTGTGTATACTTGTGAAATTACCCAGTTAGACTCCAGTACTTACGTGATGAAATACACAGGCAGAAAACAGGTAAATTATATGGATTTTAAGCTCCCCTTTTAAACAGATACAAAACAACTTAATTTGCAAAATACTCACTTTTTTGGTTAAGAGAAAAATCTTCATTTTTGAACCATCCTAGGAAGCTGAACTCCCTCAAACTTATATTTTGTAACAACATGGATATCTAACTCATTTGAATACTGCATCAAGACCATGTCAAGCTGAATTTAGGTTCCAAATTCTAACTCCAAATTTGTCTCTATCTTGGAAGACTATACATATGTGGAACAGAGACTATGTTTTTCTGTCAAGAGCACAATAAACAACATTCTATTTTTAGTTAGTTTAAAACTTCAAAACTGAATAAGCCTTTACTAGTGTAAATGACAGAGTGACTAGTATAGTATAATATGATATATTCATTTTGAAGTCTACACTTTATTTTTATTGTAGTAATACACTTGCTCTTGCTCAAATCTCACGTTATTTTTCTGTGTTTTTATTTCCAATTTTTTCCCATTGCTTTTTAATTTATTCATTCTTTTAAATCCTTAACAAATTAGTATCATTTCCGAATTACCTCCTCCCATCTTATTTTTTTTTCATTTTACCATCAAACCTTCAGTCCTTAGTCCATGGCCTACTATTGTATCTTTAGAATGATTTAGGATTTAGATTCAACCTTTTCGTATTCAACAAACATTTCTTGAGCATTCTGATGAACAGTCTCTTTGCCCCTCCTGATCCAATTTCTATCCTTTATCTACTCTCTCATTGCTCTAGAAGGCTGGCTTTTACGGTCTAGAACTCTAGACCAACTGGGCTTTATTTCTTTTTTCTTAATGGATTTGTCTGGTAGTGCTAGATGAAGTAAGAGTTTGCAGTTGTAGCTAACTCCACTTAAGCCAGAACTACTGTATGGCAGTCCTTTCAAACAGGCAGAACTCTTTCTCTATATTCCAATAACTCTTCGCTTCTCTTGCTCCTTCTGGCCTAAACATGGTAACAGCTCCTTCTTGTTAGTTTCACTTAACCCTGTCCATATCTTGTAAATAAATTCTTTAATAAATTTCCGTAATTGCCTCATTGAATGTGCCATCTATTTCCTATAAATCCAATACTTCACTGTGTACCTGAATTCGTATAGTCTTTTCTATATATTGTTTTATTAAACCTTATGAATAAATTGATAATATAACCCATATTTTATAAAGGAACAGAGACACAGAAGATTTAATAGAGTTGCTCAGACACTCAGATAATATATAATACAGCCAAAAATTAAATCATGGTCTTCTATTCAAAGTCTAGTACTCCTTTTCCTGTGACTTTACCTTGGTATGATTATTTATTGAGAATATAGAGAACATTGTTATATATTGAAACTGTATCCAGATAAACTCACAGGTACATAGGAACAACAGAAGTGAATCTGAATAGGAATTATTTTGGCCAGAACTCTCTGACTGTGACACATTAGTAAGGGGTCACATTTTTCTGTGTTAGTATCAACACTGAATTTAAGGACTGCCTCTAGTTACCCTTCGGAGTCATTTTTATGCAACGTTGGAAGTACTAGAATTCTTTTGCTTATCCTGGAGAAACATGTTAAAAAACAATTCGAAATGGATGAATAAACAAATGGGTAGATAGAAAAGATCAGATGAGATAAGATAACAGACTATTAATGCAGAGCTGAAGAATAAGGGCTAGAGACAAGAAAACATGTTAATGATATGACTGACTGAGTAAAATTAACATGAGATAAGATGAAACAAGATAACAGACTATTAATGCAGAGCTAAAGAATAAGGGCTAGAGACACCCGACCTAGAACCAGATGCTGACCATGAAGAGAACACCATCTCACCCAAAGCTCACTGAGTCAGTCAGTTGGCAGAGCCAGCAGGTGGAATCTAATGAGGGGACTGTAGGTTATGGAGTTAATTGAAGCTATGGGGATGATCTGGAGAGTTGCCATATACAGAAAAACTAAAGGTGCTAAAAGATATAAGGAGCAAGAGTGCTAGTAAAAAAAAATTAGGTGGTCATTCAAAATAATATGTGCACTTCAGACTTATTCTGGGGAGTAAATAAAATCATACATGTAAAATATACAATCCAGGAGCCAGCACAAATTATATGTGTAGTATAATGAATGATATAGAGAAAGCTACTGATAATCATGCCACTGATGAAATGATAAAAAATATAAAGCAGTGGATAATAGAGATCTTAACTGAGATAAAAAAGAATGTTAAGAATCAAAGCAGGAACTGATACCATGGCTCAAAAATAAATGCTTGTGCTACAAATACTGGGGCACCATACAAAATTGCAACAGGTAAAAGATGTCTGCCAAGAGCCCTTCCACAGACCTCTCTCCCCAGACACTCTGATTCATTCTGAGATGATTCAAAGCCCCAAATGTATGGCTCTGACTAGATCTATTTTTCCTACGACAGACCTGTAACCTAGAATTAACTGCTCCTTTCTAATCAACACCTTTTTTTTCAAAATTGAAATTTCAGGTATTAGAAAATCTGATGTCACAATTTGTCATCAGGTGAGCATGAGTTTTAGGTTTAATGTCTTCTTCTCAACATGTTTGTTAATCTCAAAGGTAATCTTTAATTGGTTAAAGATTTTATGTTTTGAAGAACTGCTTCCATGAATTGTGGAACATTTGTTTGTAACCATCAGCAACACACAGAAAGTAAGTTTAGTTATGTTTGTGTGATGGTTAATTTTAGGTGTCAACTTGACTGGATTAAGTAATTCCTATAGAGCTGGTGAAGCATTACTTCTCAGTATGTCTATGAGGGTGTTTCCAGAGAAGATTGGTGTGTATGCTGGTGGAGTGAGTGAAGGCAGATCTCGCCCAAATGTGGGTGGAGACCATCCAATCAGCTGGGGACCCAGATAGAACAGAAAGTTAGAGAAAAGGTAATTTCCTTACATTCTCTCTCTCCTAGAGCTGGCATGCTTTTCTTCTGCTGCCCTTAGACATCAGAACTTCAAGATCTCTGGCCTTTGGACTCAGACTTGAACCAGTGGCCCCTGGGTTCTCAGGCCTTGAGCTGAAAATTACACCATAGACTTCCCTGGTTCTGAGGCTTTTGGATATAGATTGAGCCACACTTCCAGCTTCCCTGGTTCTCTAGCTTGCAGATGGCCTATTGCTGGACTTCTCAGCCTCTATACTTCTGGAAGCCAATTCCCCTAATACAGCCCTGAATAATACAGTTTGAAAGGGTTGTTGCTTCCTAGAGCCCTATGGGAGAAAAGGGAAGATCCAAAAAAGTTTTAGGGGTTATGTTTCCCTTCATGTTTCTGTGGATTTGATCAGCCTCTTTTATTGAAAGAGAAAATTCAGTACTCTTTATCATTTATGTTCAATTTTTCTAAATTAATTTGCACATTTAATATAATTCTCAATTTTAAATAAACACAACTGAATTTTTTTTCATAGCCTGACAGAAATTGGCAATAAATAATAATTAATCTAGAAAAGCAAGCAGGCAAGGATATTAAAGTATGTCATGAGTGTGTGTACTAACATAAAATATTGCAATTCATTAAACTTAAAGCAATGATAACTAAAATAGTGTAGTATTTTAGCCAGATGTACAAACTTCTAGACAGATGTACAAACCAAGAGAATAAGATAATAAATTCAAGAATAACATAAACATACATATACTATATATGTTAATATGTGTATGTGAATACATATATATATGTATACATGTATATATGATTAAAGGAAGCATCAAACAATATGTAAATAAATGATGTTGGGACCATTTATTAGCACTTGAAAAACTGTAAGTCAACACTCTATAAGTGCTGATTTAAAGTGTTTGATTAAAACTACAAAAAACTAGCCAAAACAATTGAAAAACTACCAAAAATGATTTTATAGTTATAGAACCCTGAAGGATTAAACACTTTATACATTTGAAATTATAGGTGTAGCCACAAAGAAATATATTGACAAATTTGGCCATTCTCCTGGTGAAGGAAAATCAATGTAAAATAAAAAGAATGCAGCCAAAGAAGGATATTTGCAGCAAATATTAAGGCTATATAAAGAATTCTTACAAAGAGAATAAAATCAGAAATATAGACGAAAGACATTATATATAATTCAGACAAAAGAAAGTATATTTTAGTAATTAGAACTCAAACAGAGGAAAAATAATTATTATATCTTCTAGTCAAAGAAATGCAAATTAAAATAACAAGGAGGCAGTATTATTAAATCAGGGAAATTTTTAAAATTCAGACTCAATGCTAGTATTACTGGCAGTCTCAGTGCCCATTTGAATTGATAAATAATAATCTAGATTAAAAACTAGAATTATCTTTCAAGACTATAAAAATATTTATTTCTTTTGATCCAAAAGCAAATTTCTTGAAACTTTACACGTATAAGTTTTTATTGCAGACTCATTTTTTTTAAGTAATTCTGTTTTTCTAATTCAAAAATAAGACAAGCTCTTTAGAGAAAAATATTAAAAGCCAAGAAGAAAAATAAATTAATAATCACTCAAAATCCCACCATTCGAAATTGACCACAGACAAAAGTTGGTAAATTAAATTTCCTTAATATTTTCCTAGGTATACAAAATGCTATATCATTGAGCTCATAATATATAAGTTTGTGTAATGCAGTTTTTGCTTTACTTTTTATTTTTAAGTCATTAGAAAGTTGGCAATAATTATTTTAATGATATATAATTCATCCTTGTATATTTCCATGGTTTATTTTACCATTTCTTTGTAATTGGACATTAAATTACAAATTTTCAACATTTAAACAAATGCATTCTATAGTAAAAAAAGTTTCAAAAAAAACCTAAAAGTATAATAATGTAAGTGGTTAAAACAGAATAAATCGGCCAGGTGCGGGGCCTCACGCCTGTAATCCCAGCACTTTGGGAAGCCAAGGTGGGCGGATCATGAGGTCAGGAGTTCGACCAGCCTGGCCAACATGGTGAAACCCCATTTTTACTAAAAATACAAAAATTAGGCAGGCATGGTGGCGGGTGCCTGTAATCCCAGCTACTCGGGAGGCTCAGGAGACTCTCTTGAACCCAGGAGGCAGAGGTTGCAGTGAGCCTGAGATCGCGCCACTGCACTGGCAATAGAGCAAGACTCTATCTCAAAAATAAAATAATAAAATAAAATAAAATAAAATAAATCCATCCATGACCAAATTAATGAAAACTGCAGTACAGTGGAAATAAGCTTATGATACAATGTCCATCCACCAAATTGCAGCTCAGGGCTTAATTTTTCTAAGAAACTTTTCCTGGTACATTACATTAAGGAGATGCTCACCTCACTTTCATTTAATATGTAGAACTTCCTGGCTTGTCCATGCTCTGTAGTTCCAGTTTTACAGTGCCTCTTTTTTAGTTGCCCTGTGGGCACCCCAGGACATGTTAATGATATGACTGACTGAGTAAAACCTGCTAATGAAAAGACTAAATAAGAGTAGCAAAGGTTTGCTCATGTTCTTCATCTCTCTTTTTTTTTTTTTTTTTCCAAGTAGTGGTTTTCCTTTCTCTTGTTGGTACCATGTAGGCATACATTAGTCATGGTTTTCTGAGTTAGGAACAAATGATTTTCAAAAGATTTGGAAAATATACTGCCTTAATTCTATCATGAGGTTCCATGCAGAGAGCAACAGTTCAGTGTGAAGAGTCAGCACTGTAGATTATTGACTTCCTATTTGCCTTGGCAGACAGAACATCAAAGTCAATCTCAAAAATCAGCGTTTCCATCAGAAGACACCTATGATAACAGATCATAGACAGGCCTGCTTTTATCATTAATACCAAATTAGAAGAGGAAATAATGCCTAATATCTCTCTTGAAAGCAACATTTACTACATACAGCTTAGACAGTGAAATTTGGGTTTAACTTCAGCAATAATAATCTAGTAGGAGAATTTTTTTTGTATCTAGCAGTTAGAAAGTCCTAAGTAATAATATACAAGGTGAAGTTAGACAAGAAGTCTGAAGCCATTTTTCATCAAGTTCATTTCACTCATGAATTAGTAGGGTAGAAGATTTAGGTCTGCTCTCTCTCCCTCCTTTTGCCTGTTTCATCGAAGCATCCTGCAGACGGCTGTACTATGCCCTACACAGCGACAATTTGGCTGCCCAAATCATTCGAGACATTTTGGCTTATTTTGACTGTGCCACAGTCAATCAAGGCAGCTACACTTTGCTTGTAACTGTCAACAGAAAGGATGCCTTGTGGTCACACACGAGGGCACAAGTGTCCCAAGTCAACGGACAAGGAAAAGATGGAATATTTGTTATTTTTGTCAGTCATAAAGGGAAAGATTTTTGCCTTTCCTTTTCCTAAAATTATGTATGTCATTGCTCGGCAGACTTTGAAAGAAAGTGGAAAACTTAAAAATGAAAGAATGCAGAAAGCATCATAAACATTACTTTTGCTGGATAGATTTTGCTATTTACAAACCATTTCACTGTTATCATGACTGTGTTATACAAGCGTGCATGTCAGTTTATGCAGCATGTAATTGTTCCTTTAGGGAAATAGTATCTTCTCTTAAGGGTGAGAAGAAAAAACACAATTTTTCTTTCTACAAATAGGCAATGATATCTTGCATGAAAGTATACTTTTTTGCTTTGTTTTCACAATTCATGAACAAATGCATATAGCCATACGTGCATACATACACAACAGGGACAGATGCAGGCTTAAATTGGTTTGATAATGGCATGGTATTCTCAGTAGTCTACAACATAAATTATATGCCCAGCTTTATACTCCCAAATTAGTTTCATGGAATTAATTTTTCCCATACTGCTCTTTGTTATAATTTTCATCACTAAATATGCCAGTGGGTTATAAATTTCATGAGGATAGAGATGGGATCTCATTCAACATTGTAGCCCACAATGCAAGAAAAAATGTTAATCCCATGGCATTTATAAAAAGAAAATTATATTTAATTTTAAATTTTGTGTATAGAGTATTTCTTCTACATATAAAACCAAGCTTTTTAAAATTTAATTTTTATAAACTCAACAAGTTTATGTAATCATAATGTTCTAAATTATATCTTTTCTTTAAAAAAAATTTCCCTCAGATTTGAGACTGTTTGATTCTTGGGGGAATTTTCAAAATTATAAGGATTTTATTGAAAATATCATTTATTAGTGTAATATGCCAAAAATATAACTTTTCAAATAGCAAACTGATACATACTTAGAGGCATTAAAATCTCCTATAAATTGATGATAATGATAGGTAATATTTATTGAGTGCTTATACAGTGCCAGGCCCTGTGCCATTTCACAGGATATTTAACAATCCTCTATTGAGGCATCTATCTCTGTTATTATAATACCCATTTTATAGAAAAAGTACACTAGGCTCGAGAAAGTTAATTAATGGTCTAGGATCGCACCACCATATGAACTGGAGCTAGAATTCTCTCTCTCTTTTCACTGACCCCAATGCTTCCACTCTTATGTACTTTGCTCTATAGTTTGCTTAATAATACTTGTTTGCCTTTCTGACATCTCTGTTTCCTCCCTAATACATACTAGCAAACTGCATTTACTATCTTCCTGTTTTTATGGTAACCTAGGGGGAAAAACAAAGTTTTTTTAACATAATAAATCTGAATGATCAATATTAGGATCAAAGTTCTATGGACCCTTTAAATCAGATTATTATCAAAGCAGATATTTATGTATTTGGTTAGCATTTATTGAGCACCTACTATATGTGAATCACTCGCTAACAGAAGTAAATTCCGTAGTTTTAAAAAATGAAGCAAAATGTTCATATTACCTCAACAGAGTATAGACATATAGTGTAATAGGGTCTGGTTCAGTGGTTGTAACTGATTTTCACATAATCTGCAACTCTGATGAGTAACAAAAAAAGGCAATTTTTAATAAAAGCCTTTTTGAATAAAAGTGAATGCAACAGAAATAATAGAAGCGATTATTGATAAAAAGAACAGAAAGTTAGGCACTGAATCCTATCTTGAGGGTAAAAAGCAATAATTTCTCTCAAAGTATCATAAGTTTATAATTGGTCTTTAACAATGGTGTGTAAATGCAACAACCACAACTAAGGAATATGCTCTTGGAAAGAAGGACATCATCAATAATTCCTATTAATGGTACAGAAACACATAAGTCAAAATATCATACTTTCACATGGAATACTTGGATTCCACTAAACTTGAGCATCTTTTACAAACCCATTGGTAAAAATCATGCCACTGAGAATGGTGAAAGTCTGGACATCATACCACTGAGACAGAGCCTGAAAATTAGATCTGTCACATCCATCATTCTGACATCTAGCCTGGGTTGTCTAACTCTAGATACATCTACTCTTCTTCAGAACCAAATAGTCAAAGTCAGCTGACTTTGGCCAAGGACACTTTCTCCTTATTTCTTAGCTAGGAGAGGTGAATGGAGGACTGTTTCTCCCCCATTGAGACAGATTATATTTTTACCCCCTTGGATTCAAAGAAAAGAACATTTTTTGCTATGTGACTTTTAGGGAAGCAGCATGACAGTGCTCATATAGAAGGCTGAATCCCATCTCTAGTACTTATCTGTTCTATAAACTTGTGCAAGCGTCTTAAAACCTGTGACTCAATTTCCTTTTCTGTAAAGCGGGGATAATAATAGTACCTACCTCAGTGGGGAGCTATGTGGATAAATGTGGCCATTTTAGTAAAGCACTTATCACCATGCCTGGTACATCGTGAGCACGCAGTGAACATTAACTTTGCTTCCCAACAGTCAGCAATGTCTCAAATGGTGGCTAAAAGCATTGGTGGGCTTATTTCCCATAGAATTCAGCAGTCTTGCTCTTTTGACTTTCATCTTCCAAACTCTTAGTAAATGAACTGCTTCATTTCATACTGAACATTCCAACTAGGCCCCTTCCCTGTGATCCTCCAAGGAAGGAGAGGATAATGTTAGACACAGAAAGGTATCCTGGTGAAACTAGAGGATATTATGCTAAGTGAAATAAGCTAGGCACAAAGGGACAAGTACTGCATTTTCCCATTTATATAAGATATCTAAAGGAGTCAAACTCCTAGAAGCAGAGGGTAGAATGATGGTTACCAAGGACTAGAGAGAGAGAGAAATAGGGAGTTGGTTTTTAACAGGTGTACTCAGTTATGAAAGAAGAAAAAGCTCTACAGAACTACTGTATCTCATTATGTTTATAGCTAATACTGTACTCAACAATTAAACACTTGTTAAGAGGTTGTATTAATCCATTTTCACAGTGCCGATAAAGACTGAGTAATTTATAAAGTAAAAGAGGTTTAATGAACTCACAGCTCCATGTGGATGGGGAGGCCTCAAAATGGTGGTGGAAGGCCAAAGGCACTTCTTACCTGACTGGGCGAGACAGAATCAGGGAGCCAAGCAAAAGGGGTTTCCCCTTATAAAATCATCAGATCTCATGAGACTGTTCACTACCACCAGAACAGTACGGGAGAAACTGCCCTCATGATTCAATTATCTCCCACTGGGTCCCTCCCACAACACCCGAAAATTATGGGAGCTACATTTCAAGATGAGATTTGGGTGGGGACACTGCCAAACCATATCAGAGGTTAAATCTCATGTTAGGTGTTCTCTAACCACAGCAAAAGACAAAAATTGAAATAACGAAAAAAAGGAAGGAAGAAGGAAAAAGGAAATGAAGGAAGAAGGAGCCTGAGCTGGTATCCTTCCAATTCCTGGGCCAATAGTAGAAGTATGCACTTCAAATGCTTTCCATTACTAAATCCCTTTAAAAAATGAGAGAGCCAAAAGATACTTTCAAAACTTACATTAGAGTTAAAAGTTATCTGACACTTTGAGCCAGGTTCTCCCAATCTGTCAGCTGCTGTCTGTTAGAGAAATTTTATGCCCTGAAACAGTTGGGGCACAAAATAATTCATAAATATGACTTCCAGGAACACCTAATTTACACAATACCAATATTAAGCATCTAAACTCTTAAGCTTTAAAATACAAGATTAATCAAACCAATAGAATGAGGATTTCAAGGGAGCTGTGACTCCAGCAATTTCAAAGTTATGTCATCTAATTGTATAACATCTTCACCTTTTCCCAAACATTTATTTCTCAGATTAAATGGAAGTATATAAATTGGTATGTGGGATTTGGAAAAATAATTTGTGGTTCACCCAAATATAAATGGTAACACTATAAGCTATTATTAAAAAAATTTAAAGGGGGGAGCAAAGAATATAGTCACAAGAATTAGAAATGAATAGCAGAATAATTACAAGTTTATGTCATGCATTCTGTCATTTCTGATAATACACGGATAAGACTTCCCATAGGAAAAAGTCTATAAGAACATTTGCTCACAATTTTAGTCCTAAATTTAGTAAGGGAGTGTCTTCGCTGGCCTTATAAAGTAAGAGGGAAACAGCTCTACCCTTCAAATAAAGATCATGGTGATTAAACACTTAAAAAGCGAAGAAGTTGGGTAGCTTTAGGTTGACCAATTTAGGCAGTCTTTGATGATTTATTTTTTATCCTTGAATACGAATACAAATGTTAAAAAAGACAAAAATTTTGAATGTCTTAGTATGCAGATTTACTGTGACGTCTCAAAATTTTTAATACTATTGGACCTTTTTTTGATATATTATAAAACATATCTTTTAACATGATATTTATTGCTGGAAATTAAATTTTAAGGCATTCCAGAAATACAAATATATAAGGTAAATTAATTTTAACCTAAAAATATTAAATAGAATATTTGCAAATATAATATCAGCATAGTTATTATAATATGTTTAGAAATAGACATGTACATTTCTATACCTATCAAATGCTTAATAAAAGATGACTCCTCAAGACAATTTGCAAACTGTGGTTTCATCTAGATATATGTTGGTGTAAATCAGGAACTTTCAGTTCACTGTTATTCTAAACAAGCAAGCCATAATCTTTGCTAGTTCTGTTTCGGTGAGGCCGTCATAAATCTACCACACTGTACTGTCTTCTCAGAATGCAGTCGAAGATTCAAATATTTGAAAGTATAGAGAACTATACATACAGAAAGTCTATCTTCCAAGTCAGTAATCTCAATCACCTGTGGGGCATATTTCATTTTAACAAAATCTTAATAGAAATGCCCTCATCATGTGTAAAAGCTAACCCTTTATTGTTATACTTTATTGAAAAAGACCTTTTCTGTTACCCTAGACAAATGAAATAGGAATGGACACTCTTTTCAATGTATACATATATGTCGCTTGCATACAATACCTACTAAATTAGCCAGGATGGACTTTAGTGAACTAAATGTAAACCTTGATTCAAATGGCATAAAACATTTTTCTCGATTTGCCACTGCTGATATTTAATTTGCTTTGATCTAAACCTGCTAACATTATCCAAGTGGATGGAACAACTAAGATTCATTATTACGGATTTACTTTTAATACTGAAGGTGTCTGTTAAAAGGAAAGTAAAATAAATGAATAAAAATACTTAATTTTCAGTCTTCAACCTTAAAATGCTATATTGAAACCAGAAAAAAAATTAACCTGTTCCTTTCTTGGAATTATACTTTATAGTTTTGTATTTATTGAACGCATTCATAGGCTCCCTTAGGATGTGAAATGTATGGAAATATATGTGCATTACTAAAGAAAGAACTAAATTTATTCTTTCCCCACATCATGCTCTTCTTTGCAGTAGAGGTTTTTAATTCAATACAGAGCTAGAATGAGATGGAGCCAATTTCCTGGTCTATATGTGTGACAAATGCTGAAAGTGGCACAAGATTAACAAATTAGTTGAAGTATAGATCTTAAAAGATTTTTTTTCTGTGTCTCTAAATCAAAATTCATACTTTATTTGAAATGAAGCCTTCTTTATAATTCAATAATGAATAAGGATATTTTATTTCTTTGTATTTAAGATGAAAAATGAAATATATGACAACATCATAGCAATTTTTTAAAGCAAATGTTTTATTTGTAGGAGAGCTTATAAAATTATATATCTGGAATATGAAATTAGTATAATTAGTATCTGAGGTTAATAACTGCAACGTATAGTTTGCTAAATCTGTAAATTATTTTCAAAATAGATAGTTATTCTCAAAATAAAAGCAGAAAATGAAAAGCAGAGGTACCATTTATTTAAATCTGTATATTTATGGTTAAAATATGTTTAAAAGGAAAGGTCCTAGATAAATGTACTTGCTTTTCTAATAACATTTGTTAGCTTGGTTCCAAGTAAACACTATCAGGCTTGGCTGTTTTACCTAACCTCAGAATCGTGTACTTGATATAATCCAGATATCTAACACCAAACAATAAAAACATCTGCGACAATAAAAGCATGTAACAGTTGTGGAATTGTTTAATTTGGGAGAAAATGGCTATGTTTAATAATCACATGTACATGAATTGATTTCTCCTCTTTGTCAAGAAACTTTTACATTTTGCAAATGATTTTTTTAAAGGAATCAACTTATGATGTGAAAAGCTTTATAAAAGATATTCTGAAATACATGTTTTGGAATTGGCTCACTCATTCCACTTTAGAACCTTCTCATGGTCCACCTGTTTTACTTGGGCTTAAATTATATAAAAATAACAGCATTTTAAAGCAAGCACAATCTTACTTGTTGTACCCAAACATGATAACACGCTTAAAATTCAAGAAGAGCTCTATGCAGGTTGTATTTCTCAGTCACCCAATCTCCTTTCACATATCTGTTCATGTTGACAGACTATGTCATAATACATCAACAGAAAGATCAGCACAGAAGAACAAAATTTCATCACCTGACAGCAAGAGGAAAACTGATTTTCAGTATTAAGTTTGTAAAAATATACCATTAACTCACTTCCAATAAGTCTAGTAGCTTTAAAAAATAGGGCATCTGCTATAATCACAAATATATGCAAAGGCAATTAGGTTTATGTCTTTGGTGTCACCCTTTGACTGACAGCCTATTTTCATTTGCACTTTTATATGATTTTTAACTCTATTTTGGAAGCAACTCAGATAATTTTTAAAAACTAATTTCTTAATGAGACATGTAGTTCTATGCATGTAAAAATATATCTACCAAATGTTTTAAAGACAGTCTTTCCTTATTAATCATGAGCAGAAAGCTACTGACCATTGAAATAGAAATGGGTAAAGCTTCTGATAAAAGTTAGGTATCTTTTATATACAATATCTTGCTCTGTGTATGGCTTTCAGTAGAAATTTAACAATACCTGTAATAAGTAATGTCTTTTGCAGCCTAGGACATCATCTGCCACTTAGGCTTTAATTTTGCCCCTGTTTGAACACCCTACAACATATGCACTTCTCTTTTGTCTATTATCCTAGAGTTGTGCTATTCCCAAATATTGACATCATCTACTTTTATCAGCATTAACTGCTCTGCAGCTTCCCAGGCTCATGCTCAGCTCTATTTCTTCCTATTGATTATCTTCCTCACTCCAGCAGGTAGCTAGCCAGCGAGGCTGTCCTGAGAAATAGCTTCCAATGACTTTATACGCACAATTTACACGGAATTGTTTAAAGAAGATATTAGCCTCAATACAAATCAGTGAACCTCATTTAGTCAATACTGCACAATTCCGCTGTTGGCACCCTGTCACATGTTCGTCTTCATAGTCAGCTGCCGTACCCAATCTGCACATTAGCCATAGTATTTAGTTTCATATTAAAATGAAGCCAGGTTTTTTCACTTTTGCTTTTCTTTTTGAAATCTTTTCAGTATACTTTTTACATCACCTCACTGAGCCATGTGATAGTAATATATTTTGAAATATAAAAACCTGAGATTAAATGTTTGATTTTTGACAGTGTTCTTAAATATAATAAATTCAAAAGGAAATACTGTTAAGTTAAAATGGAGTGTTTTTCATTAAGTCCAATCAAATGGTAGACAACAAAGGATCTTTTATTTGAGAATATGAAGTGAAAATGAAAACCAGAAAACCTTTACTAAGAAAAGGTCCAGCTAAATTATGTTGGAAGGAGGTCTCCAGATTGAGCCTGGGTGTTTCTTTTGCTAAAAGTGAATTAAACTAAGATATGCTCTAAAGAAATATCTTACAAAGAAACAAAACTTATGCTTTTTGGAGATGAAAATAAGGTCTAAGAACAGTTGACTTTGAAAATAATTCTAAAGAAAGATCACATATGAAAAAAATTGCCACAGTATCAGATCTTTTCTTATAATCATAACAGGGAAATGTTTAGAGTAAAGTAATGCTAGTCCCTTCTTTCTCTCCTATGGCAATGCTGTAAAATCCTAGAAAGAGTGTTTATATTTCAGAATTGCTCCTCCTTAAACTACTGGTTTATGATAGTTAATGAAATGATATCCAAATGTTGAAAAAGGAAAAATTCAAATGAAAATCTAAATGTGAACTATGAGGAATAACTAAGCAACATCATGCTACTCTGAATGTTTGTGCATCTATTGCAAAATGAACTGCAATACATTAAAATTCTTCAGTGGTAGTGTAATATATAAGTGGAGGTTTACATATAAAAGCTTTAGCTATCAAGAAAAGGATCATTATAAAATATTATCCTAAACGTTTACTTGAAAATATCATTAACATCTTAGAATACATTCTGAAGGTTGTCATTACACCTATTTGCATATTTTTGTAAACCGAAATAGGTAAGAATAAAGCACACCAATCAAAATAGTCTATTTGTTATAAAATTCATCCTCTAGCTTTAGTGGCTGAAAGGCAGAAAGATTTGGGGAACATGAGCAGCAGAAAAAATAATAATTCTAGTTTTAGAGATTTTTAAGGTCTGTATATGTCACATTTTAACTAAAAAGCAACAATTGAACAAAATGACGATTTTAATAAAAAGTGATAGTAATAGCAGCATTTTGAAAGTTAACATTCAGTAAAAATTATGTAATAAATAATTGTAAATATCTCAAGATTTTCTTTCTTTTACTACAAGATGCTAACAGTGATTTTTGTTTGACCTTTGCTTTATTTTCTTTTCTCTTTAAATAGCTTTAGTTAAGCCCAGGTAGAAAAGACATGCTAAAAGATAGGCAGACTGTCCTGACCACACATCTTCTCACACATTTATTGCAAACTGACACTCATACAACAGTGCTTTTACTTTTTTTAATCACAAAGATTCAACAAAGAACAATTCAGTTACCAAGGGAGAAATCACACTCCAGGAAAAAGAGAAATGTTGTAACTGCATATTCAAACTGCATAAATGCAGGTATGGCAAAGATAATTGTAATATTTGTGTGATAGCATTCAAAATAAGTCAATGACCTAAATATGAAAGGGTTTAGGTATAGTTATGTATATGCATTCATGTATAGAAATATTACATGTAATGCACAAATATAAATTCTAGCCCAAGCTACAATGCACAAACATTATTAGGCTTTTTCAATTTCAAATATATTTTGATTAACATGTATTTATATATTAAGTGTATTTCTACCAACTATGCTAGTCCATTTATCATGTAATATTCTTATATTAAATAAAGTTGCTTGCTTTATATATTGACAAACATAAGAATGTTCTCAGTAACGAAAATGTAAGCACAAACAATGGACATAAGATAGGTATTTAAAACGACTAACAGCAAAATAGTTAAAGATTTCAGAGAAATAAAAATGTTAATATTTTCTCCAAAACAGTTTCCAAATTAACAATAATGCTTTAAGTGTAAGTCAATGTTGGTTTCAATTTTTGTCAAAACATGAAAATCTCAAATAATAACATTCCATGATAACTTTTAAAAGAAGCTAATTTTCTTTAAATATTTTGTTTTAATTAAATTTCTAAAAGAGAAAATTATTTTTATTTTCTCGGTCCATTAAGACCTATCTGTAGAAGAAAACATGATGCTAAACCTAAAATTGTTATAAATTTTATAAATTTTCATATTTATGATGCATATTAAAGATTAATATTAAAGATCTATAGTGACCACCTGCATAGACTACCAAGATGATGCCAAAAAAAAAAAATGTGTATCATTTCACTGCATTAGTTTTACTAGCAAAATATCCTGGACAGATTCCAGAAATTTCAAATAAATATCTTTTTCATAAATATTTTGATGTGTATGATCTAGTCATAAAGAATATTTTACCGCCAAAAATTTAAAAGCAATATTGAATTCTATGAGATTGTCCTTTCTAGAAGTGTAAACTTAATGTATGCAAAGTAAATACACACACACACACACACACACACACACACACAAACACAGAGAGACATTTTGTCAGGAGACATTCTGTTTTTATTGTTAAAGTGAACTGAAAATGAACACATTAAGATGATTATTGCATTGTTATTTATGTAATTATGTAGCTTAAAAATACATAAACATTTCAGTTAGCCCTAATTTTACATATTTAATAATATAAGTATTGTTATTATTAATTTTTATAAGGTGAAAATATTTTAAAATATCAGCTAACATTTCTATTCAAATTCTAAGTGTTATTTAACTAAAAATATACAATGAAACTAGATAGCTAATTGGGTTTATTTCACAATATAATTTGATTCTTCTATATACAAAAATATGTATAACAAAGTACAATATTAAAGAAATTAATTTTAGCCTTTTTATAGAGTACTTTTAGACATCTATTACCATCTGTAGAAAACACAGATATATCGTACATGCATATATATGACTATGTGTATATGTATGCTGTTTATGTATTTTGCACAGAAGAGAAAAACATTGTCATAACCTAGAATAAATAATAAAGATGTGTGTGTATGTCTGTGTGTGCATATGTGTGTGTTTGTGTGTGGGGGGGCGGTTTATAGAGAGATGGAGAAAAAAATTGGTACCTTACAGAAAAGTTAAAGGTAGGATATTCACATGTCTGAAAGTTAATCTAAGGTTATTATGTTATATAAACATTATTAATGACTTATCTCTCTTTCTCTTAGTGTTTGGGGGGGTGTGTGTGTGTGCGCACACTAACAAGAAAGTGGATATTTGAGATGAGGGGAAAAGATAACTGTATGGAGACCTAAAATAAGGCACTTTGGTTAAAATTACTAAACTAAAACTTAAATCTATTGGGGTTTACTTTCCCAAAATATGAAATAATGAACCTATAAAATGGGCATTAGAATTACAATATATTTTGAAGATTTTCTATTGAAAACTTTCCCCATGTAAATGTTCTTATCAATACTGTCATATAGTACTATAAAATATTCTTAAGGCATGTATGACAATATCATGAAATAAACCCAAAAGTTTCATCTTGTATCACAAAGATGAAGAGTCTTAGTAAAGACAAAGTTCCTTATCATTTGATTCTGCTATAACTGTTTCAAACCTCCTACTGTAATGCTTTTTACGTATATCTATTTGTTGGTCTTCCAAATTTGTCCTTTTTTCAATATTCTAGGGCTGAAAAAAATATGACACTACATGTCAAGAATTTACACAGCTACCTAAGAGTTAATATTTTGGCCTTCTTTAAGACTATGCATTTAGTTAGAGCCTCAGTAATTCCAGTGTTACAGCACTCAAGTGATGGTATTAAATGCTTTCCACAGAAAAAGGACACCTTATTAGTAAGTGGGCATCATTTACTATGACCTGACTACTTAGATTTCTGAAGCGTGAACACACACGCACATATTTGTATAAAAACCACCTTATTTAAACTATTTACCCCTGTGAGGGTAGCAATATTTCTGGTTGTCATGAAGTTGACAAAAGACGGTACACAAAAAGTTGTATGTAATTTTCAAGTAGACATATTCATTTCCTAATTCCCAGACAATTAACAGGGATAAAACTATACCCTAAGACTCCTCCCTTCTAATGCTAAACTAATGATACAACGGAATCAAAATATATTAGGAGTGGGGGAGGGGAGATTGAGAGCCAAATACCTTTTTCTAGGAACCACAAAGGGTTGAGGGCCTAATTATTTCTCAGTATAATCCAACCAACCTCTTCTCATGCCTAGCTGCACTGAGTGACACTATTTGTGATGCCCAGTGTGCTGAAGCTGAGCAGGTTGCTGTCAGTTTAAAAATGACTATAATAAAAGTGACCATGAAGATGGATCTTGTGATTTTGCGTTTCTAATCAGTCATCTGTGAAGAACACTTTTGCTTTGATTCAGCAGACTGGTGACAGCCATGATTGATAGTGCACGAGGATGAAAAAAGGTTATTAACTGTCTTCCTATTAAGCTCAATGTATTACCCCTCTAGGTGCATCTCATACTTTAAGTTAAAGTACTTACTCAGGTAAGGTCAAGAATGAACTCTATGGAGATGGTATCCATCCTGTTGAAAATGAGTGAGGCATCCTTGCATTGATTTTTTTTAATGTAGTATTTAAACTATGTTTAATTCTACTATCTTATTCATCAGCTAAAGGAGAGAAATTTCCTCCTTCTAACAGCATCCATATGGAAAGTACTAAAAGTGTAAAAAATAGCTTTAAATGTAAAGATTTGAATGTAAAGCTAACTAGCAACATGTGTGTGGCATATACATGAATCTATATTTAAACAGATGGTCATATATTATACAACCTATGAAGGTATTTTTAATGGTAGACACTAAAATTGATTTATAATTAAAAAATAAATATTTGTGTTATAAATGCAAAAAAATTGTTTCAATTTTCAATCACCCATAAATGGCAAGTTCATGATAAAGAAAAACTTAAGAAAAATTCAAAGGATTTCTTAAAATACCTAGGCATTTGTTTTGGTTTAAATTCTTTAATATATTAACTTCATCTCATTTTAATTTTTTAAAATTAGAAATATTAACATAGAAATGAACACTTGAGTGACAGTATCCTTAAATAACATACTATATACACACACGCACACGAATAGTATTATAGATCCCGAAGTACTGAAAGTTTTCCATTAACTGAGGACATGCCATTAAAAGAAATAGTAAAATATTAAATGTCACCATATTTCCTGTGCTCATTTATTATTACAAAAGCCAAAGTATACTGAAATATTTTTGAACATTTTATTAAACTTATCTTTAAAAATATTTTAAATTTACAAATGTAGTTTCAGGAGATAACAAATTAAATATACGCATTTTAGTTTTAAATTACAGTATTATGTTTCTTCATATGTTTTCCACTGTAAACGCTCAGCACATGTTAAATGTAATGTGAATTAGCCAAAAATATTTAAGGATATCAATACCTTGGCATTGAGGTAGCCATTTAAGCAATAACCAAATATCAGCTCTGTGTGCTTGGCGGTTCTTCATTAAGCAACTCTGCACAGTAGCGCAGAATAAGAAAATATTACCAGTATGACATTAGAGTTTCAATGCAGGAAAAATCATATTATGTCCAAAAGTTTTTTCTAGGATATCATGACCTGTTTCTCTAGTGCCAGTAATTATGCCCATTTTGGTTCTATAATAAATTATATTTTGAAAATATACTGTTTTAATATTGGGATCTATCAACAATGAAACACAGAGAAAGTAAGGAAATGAAGTTCAAGATTTCATCGAATTTTTCTTTATAGCCTCAAACATTGGCTCTCCATCCTACTCTGCTTAATATTGCAATTGCTGCTTTTAAAAGCCTTTCTAGTTCTCTAACATTTTATGGATGCCAAGTATAATTTAAATACTTACACATTGAAAGCCTCTTCATAAAAATGTTAGATCAATATAAAAATTGTTTATTTAGTGAATCGTGTTTATGTGGAGTGGATTTAAGTGTAGATTTTGTAATTCATACAAGATTTCCTCAATAAGACACATTACCTTTGTTATTAAATAAATTTTCCTTTCTGTCCTATACAACTTCAACAGGCAAACTTGCATTCCAAAATTTAGAAATCATGATGAGATAAGTGACCTAGGGGGGACGTTTGGTCAATGATAGCATTCTATATTCTTGTACAAATATTTGTCAAAGGTTTCACAATGAAATTGTAAGTTAAGAAATATGTTGGGTGTTTCTCAAAAATATTGTTTGCTTTTAAAATAAAAAAGAACAATGCAATTCCAATCTATCTCATGGTAATTTACACAATGCTCTGAAATGTTAGTGAAATGCCCATCTTCCTTCATCTGCCTAATTCAACATTTCTTAAGGAAAATGAGGAAATACAAAGGCCAGGTAGGCCTTAGAGGAATACACACATTTCCTGGTGTCCTCTCTTTCTTCCCTTTATGGAATCAAGATCTAGAACACACATTACACGCAACACACCTTTTATGAAAGAACAAGGCAAAGACGGTTTCAGGTAAAGTTTAGGTCATCTTCAAGGAAGCCAATTACCATTACCATAGCTGAAATTAAAGTTGAGCAGACTCCAACAGTGGCAGACAAGAAAATTTTAAAATGCAACATCTTCCTTTATCCTTTTGGAACTCCAGAGCAACATCTTCCTTTATCCTTTTGGAGCTCCAGAACAGAATGTTGCATTAATGTTCAAACAAATAACAGAACTGGCAAACACACACACACACACACACACACACACACACACACACACACACACCTTGTTTGTGTAAACTCATTCCATTTAGTTTTGAGCCTATTGTGACTTGTTTTCATAGACTGCTGGGGCACAAGACATCTTTAGTTTACAATTCTAAGACTTGGATTCCTTTTAGTTTAAAACTCTTTTCTGCGGTTCCTGTTCCTCCAAGCCTATATGCTTCTCTCCTTCTCCTCCTCCCCTTTCTCCTCCAGAACCTACTAGGGCACATAAGGTAGGGGTATGGACTGGGTGGTGCACATATGTGTAGCCAGAACGTGGAGACCAGCAGCTGCTGTCCACTCCCAGACTGTGTACCTGAGCGCAGTGGCCACTCTGCTCTTCCGCCCAGCCCACTCCTGCCTGCAGTGTTGCTGCTGTCACGCCAGCCGGTGATTTGATAGGCTTGTCGGGTTGCCATGGTGTTGACTTCTTGCCTCTGAGGAGCTGCCCAATGACTGGAGGTCTGGGATTAAAGCGGGAAGAGGCAGCGGCCACAGCGAATTTCAGCGGCAGCTGCAGCAGCTAGAAACAAGAAGCAAGAGTACGAGGTCTTTAGGCTGCGTCCCCCTCCCGCAGTCAGGGCTGCCAGTGAGGGAAAGAGAAGAAAGGGTGGACGGTTGAAATGGTGATCACTCGAAGTCAGAAGATACAAGTGAGGGCTTTGAGACCCGCTCAGGAATAACTCATGAGCAATCAGCACGCGCTGAGAGGAAACGTCTTCCAGAATTCGTTATTATTCACATTAGACATTACTGGAGTGGGTGGTGGGACTGAGAGTAAAAAGGTGTTAAAAGGGACCTAAATGGTTGATACATTTCCCCCCACACCCTACTGTTCATTTGGGCAACGAAATAATTTCACAGATGCAAAGGCGCTGTACGGTGAACTTTATATCGTGGAAACTAACTTAACTCCGAGAAGAGAAAGTGCAATTAGACGGCAACCGAGTATAAGAAAATAGTTGCCTTGGACGGAGGCTGGCGGGGCGGGGGGAGCGGGGGCGGGGAAGTCAGAGAGTGCATGTGCAATGCACAACCCCAGACGGAAATTGTAAACTAGGAAATGAAAGGGAAAGAAACCGCTTCTGTTATAAATTAGTAGGTAGGTGAAGGTTATGCAAAGAAGAAAAGGGAAAGTAAAGCTGTTAAAAGAATAGAATAAAACCCCTGGGAGTTCAACTCGAAATCCCCCTTTACTCCCCAATCCAAAGGGAGTAGGAGGAGGAGAAAAAAAAGTGCATTCTGGTGTGATGAGAACTCTCTGGAATGTCTGGAGGAGAGGATAGAAGTGCGAGGGTAAGAAGACCCGGGTGCTAAATAAATGGCAGGAGAGAGAAATGGGGGAGGGGCAAGGTAGGAAAGAAATAGTCCGCGATTCACCCAAGGGACTGGGAGATTCAGAGAGATTCCAGGAGAAGGAAAGGAACATAAGTTCAGGCTCCCAGCGTAAGGAAAGGAGGAAACGACAAGAATCCCTAAGAGAAAAAGAGGAAAAAGCTGTGTGCTGCTGAGGCGGGGCGTGGGAAGACAACCACAGTCAATTGGAAGGAGCCCGAGTCAGGGAGCAATTGCTAGGACTTCGGACAGAGAGGGCAGAAGATTGTGTAGACAGGCGGTCAACCAGAGCAGCGCGGGGCAGGACCCACGAGCGCGAAGCCAGGTGCCGCGCGGTCCGCGCCCCGGCTCCGGGCGACGCAGGGACTTTGCTGGCAATGAGAAGGCTGCTCGACCAGCCTGCCGGAGTCACGATTCCCCGCGAGTCCCAAACACACGCTTCACTAACTACTTTACAGCCACTTCCATTGATTTTCTTTAACAAATAAACATAATACCCGTTACAGCAACACTTCCTCTTGCCGCCACAGCTAGAATGCCATAAGCTCTAATGGCTGCATTTCTCCGGACAGCAGTTTTCACATCTCCAAATAAATCGTTTTCCTTCACTTCAGGTTTGGAGAGTCTAGTCCTCGCCCCTCTCTATAATTTGGGAATCACCTTTAAGAATAGGTAGAAGACAAGTCCAGACACTAGTTTGTAAATCTGGTAGGGCTCACTCTTGTTTGCATATTAATTTTGCTTATAAGAAGTAACTCAATTTGGAAGGGAACCGCCGGCAAAGAAATCGACTCCTTTACATCTGCAGGGAAATCAACACTAGTTCGGCAGGCACACCTAAGCAACTGCCCTCGAGTTGTCTCTTAAAATATTCCTTTAAAAATAAAGTATTTATTTTAAAATAGCCCCCCTTCAAACACCCGTTTCTGCTGAGGTTCTTCCATACATGTCAAAGGGTTGTTGAATTATTCATTATTGTAATTACTATCATCATTGTCATTATCCCTTTCCATGTGGAAATAATTTTATTATCGTAATTTGATATCTGAAGAATTTCCTGTTAGTCGTTTGATAATCATTTTTTTCTGCTGAAAAGAAAAGTTTTGTTTATAAATGAGATAGAGAAAATGTTTTAAATGCTTTGATGTTTGCTATAGATTTCCGTTTATCTAATCGATCGGAATGCCAATAAAATCGATTAAAGGTTTAGTGTTTTACAAACAACCATTTTGTGCTTTTTGATTTTACGTTCAGAATGATTTTAATAAAGCTAATGCTTTCCTTTAACATTCTCCCCCCCCAAAGAAAACCTAAATCTTCATCGTTTTTCCTTTTATTATTAGAAATTGCCACTTACATTTCTCCTAATAGGAAAATAAACAAAAAATATAAGCAATGGCTGAAATGGTTTAAATTTCATTCTCTTATTGCTCAAGGTATTTAAATAAAGCCCTTTAAAATCTTGGTGAATTATATGCCATCATTCAGTGATTGCGGAATATTAAATTAAACTTAGATAAATCCGCATTGAAGGAGGCAGCACCCAATCCTGAATTTATTTCCCATTTTCTCTAACAGCATCACTGCGCTCCTCTTTGCAATGACAATGTGCCAAATCTGGGCATTTTGAAAACATTTTCCATATGCTTTAACAGGGGACTGATAGACAAAGAAGAAAAGGAGATGATCTTTTTGCTCTGAGGTATATTTTCTTTAACCTTTTTCTCTTAGACTTTAACTGATAATCATTTTAAAGCAAAAGTTTGAAAATCATTTAATGCATTTTTTTTCTTTCACCTTCTTTTTCTATCTTGTCATTTATTTCTGAATTGGTGTTTTGGTTATAATTTAATGTAAAGCTACCATTCCTGTATCTTGGCAAACCACATTTTCTTTCAAAATCTTTGATTCATTTAGTTTCTGCTAGTTGTCTTTTGTAATTAAAGATAGAAACAATTATACATTTTGTAACTTAGATTGGATGGGCTGTTTTGTTTGCTGTAGGATTTAAGAGTGCTCTTGTGTCTAATATTTAGGGACATTGCATATAGTGGTGGTGGCTTTTCTTCAGCTGTAAATATCTGCACATTTGTCTTAGAGATGTGGGTGTTTGGATGAATGCAATGTCGTTTTAAAATAATTTTATTTGGTGGCCGGAGTTTAGTATATTGTCTATACAGCATTTCATTGACTAGATATAGATGCTTTTAGGTCTAAAATATCACTTTATCTTCTGCTCAATGAAATTAGTTATTCTGTCTGTGTGTGTGTGTCTGTCTGTATCTTCTCTCTCTCTATTTGTCTATCCTTTCCCATTTGGATCATATCTTGGAGCTCTTCCCCAGACAGAATGTAACATTTTCTTTGGATACTCTTGCTGGAAATATCTCCATATATATTTGAGGAGGGTGTGATTGTGATCTTGGTTTTTGGTGGTGTGAACATGTATGTGTGTTGGGGGGAGGAATGTGATAAGGGGTCCTCATTAATTTGTACAAGTGCTGTGGAAGTGCTTATGAAGTTAGTGTACTGCTATTGTTTGGGGAGAGTCCTGTCTGATTTGTTTATAAACACTGGGCTGGTTGCCTAGAGGGAAAAGAGGTCACAGCACTGTCTGAGCTCTGACCTCTGAAAGACCAGAGGGCATCTGACTTTTCTCTTTCTTCTCCCTTTCCCTCCTCTCCTCCCTTAATTCTTCCTTCCTCAAACCCTCTAGCCCCTCCTTCTTTCCCCCTTCCTTTCTTTACCTGTGTCTAACTCTACATAATGACTCCCCTGCCCCCTAAAAGGTCAGAATCCCCAAGGAAAAAAAGAAAAAAGCTAAAACATTTACTCCAAAGTAGAAGCCAAAAATGGACTTTAGTCCAGGAATAGAGAAATACACATGGATATAGAGGTGCAGAGACAGAGACCCAGGAACAAAAGGGGGACATTTCTATGCTTTTTAAGAAAAAGAAGAAGACCATAAAGGAGATGCGAGTGTAGCTGGAGGAGGGGAGGGATTCAGGGAGGAATTTAACTGCCCACAAATACTACACACGTATATACACACTCAAAATGCCTTTCCCTTTTGAATTTTATTTCCTCTAGCTCACTCCCTCCATCAAAGAGAGTGTCCATTCTCAATGTTAGGTCATATTTTAAATCCCCCTTTTTTGTTAGTTCTTTAAAAATATATACCTTGTTCTGTATAGAAATCTTTGGCTCCCTCATCACACACACAGCCACACACACCCCACTATTTCTTGAATTATTTCACTGTAAATATAATGTGTTTATGACACCTTCCCAAACAAGCCCTGCACCTTTCCATTCATTGTCAACTTCACATCTCTCCCCTACATAAATACCCCCCCAACCCTGTCACTTACCTCGCCCCCCTACACACACAGTGACAAATATTGGTATCAGGCTTAAGTGTGTTTTGGAAAGGGGTTGCTAACTTAAACAAAAATGTTAGTTAACACACTGCCTTTGTTAAATAGCCCCCGGGTGGAGAAGACCCAACAAAAAGAGAAAAGGAGGAGGGGGGCTGAGGATCTTTAAGTGTCTGTGGTGATATAAAGAGTTCCTAACGCTGACATCTTGTAATACCTCGTTTCAAACTGAGCTCATCTATAGACCCCGGAAGCGCGGTCAAAAGACTGGAAACCTTTTTCCCCTTGGGCTGGAGTTGTTCTTGAGCTGGAGGGACATTGGGGAGAGGGAGGTGGGGTATTTATTAGTGAATTGGTGAGGACAGGGTGGGAGAAAGAACAAACAGCTGAAAACTCATTAGACCGATTGTGAAGAGTGTCCTCGGAGTGGATTTGGGAAATAAAATACGCCGAAGAAAAAGTCTAGAAGTGGAAATTACCTTTTGTCTCAATGTTAATTACTCCTTGCCTCCAACACTCAACACCTAACCACCTGGTAGTCCTTTTTGGTTCTCCCCTAACTCGGTGCTCAATGTCAGGGTCCGAGTGCTCTGCAGTGGATGTGGCTGGGCTGGGGTTGCCCTGTAAAGTGTTGAAGAGGATCTAGGGAAAGTTCTCGGAGCGGCAGGGAAACCTCTACTCCTTTCACTTTGAAATAAAAAGTGGCCCAACGTTCCGTGAGGGCGGCGGCGGGTTCGCGCAGAGTTTAGGGACAGTGGAATGGGGGTGGGGCAGGGAGTGGGAGTCAGGGTCAAAGGCGTCCGCGGAGACCCGAGAGGAGCAGCTGGGTTTCCTGGCGCTGGGAGCCCAGAAGTAGGGCGCAAGCGGCCGCGGCACAGCGGAGCAGCCAGGTCCAGCCGCTCGGATCGCGCTCGCGCCCCATAGCGGCCCGCGGGCTGGGCTCGGGCTCGCCCGCCTCCCCGCTCCCCTGCCAGCGGCGCCGCGCTCCGCGCCCCGGGGCCCACCCCACGCAGTCCCGCCGCCGCTTCAGCCCAACAGCCCTCCTCACGCTGGCGCGCTCCGAGGCCAAGCCCTGGAGGAAACTCTTGACTCTGCGCTAGAACCTCTCTGCCCCTTCCCTCAGCCCATTAACCCCCGACCCTCACCTCCAGCCTCTCTTCTTAGGGAAAAGGTGAAAGAAAACGAGAAAGAGATGGTAAACAACAACAACAACAACAACAACAACACACACACGTTAGGAGAATTCTCGCCAGCAAAAGAGGGGGTTGATAAAGTGGGCACCCCTTACAAATCCTCTTTTGTTTCCTTACTTAGAAATCAATAACCGCCCCCCACAACCAGACACACATACACACACACACACACACACACACACACACACACACACGGATACACACAGTTGTATTTTCCAAGAAAAGACGGGGGGAGGTGTAGAGGAGAAATAGCCACCAATTTTTTTTAATGGTTTTCTTGATTTGACGTTTGCTGTTTTGACATTAATGACATTAATGTTATTGATGTTTCAGGGAGGAAAAGGCAAAAGAAATAAAGAACTTGAAAACGAAATGATCATCATTTCCCTATTCTTCCATGCCAGAAATAGACCTCTTTCTTCACCTGAGCCTGAAACAGACTTATTGTTCTCAGGTGTTTCCTTCATCATATGCATTTACCCGTCTGAAGTCGCAGGAAATGGTTTTTCCATCAGTGAGCTTGTACATGGAGCCCTCTCCCGCAAAGGGCTTGATCTTTTCTGATTTGAACCTGAAAGTTTCCCTGCCTTCATTTCCCCTCAGTCTTTTTAAAATCTCCCACTCCCCTTCCCCATGCACACACCTCAAGTACTTTTTTTAAAGCCAGAAATTTTGCTCTCTGGGGTGTTTTTCAGTAAACAGTAACGCTACATAAACACCTTTTTCACTTACAAGTTGCAGAGAATTTAAATGTTACCCCTGTGTGCACGTATGTTTCTTAAGGCATATGGATAAGCCCCACTGAGGTGCAATCAGATACTGCTAGCAAATTGGTGATACAATTGCTGTGTAAAGGTGGGGCTGTAAACAAAGTAACTTTAAAATGTTAGAAAGCTTTCCACTTTCAACAAATTTCTTCCCAAAGAAGTTTAAAATCGAATAAAGTCTTTGGAGAGACAGATGATTTTCTTTCTGTTAACATTTAGTAGCCTTGGTTTCTAAAACACTAGTACCTGCCCTGACTCTGGATCCCTAAGGTGGTGATTTGCTTTTTTCTCTTAATAAAGACCATATCTAGGGGTTTTTTTCTCCACTCCATGCCTCTGGACTTTCATTGTAACTTTAGCCAGCTGCTGAAGGCAACCAGCTTTCCTGATCTGGGCCTAGGTCTGCTTTTTTGAGGACTGTGCTTTTATCCTCCCAGGTGTTTTGTTTGGTTTTTAATCCATTTGCATCAGTCCTAGGATTTTCCAAACGTTCCCTGATAATGCAAGGTTTTTGGCCTGGAAAGATGCATTTTTGCAGTCTCTGTTGTTCCAAATACTTGTGCGATAAATCTTTCTGTTGGTATTTGGTAGATTTGGTGCTTAAGGCCTAAGACAAGGTTTTGAAGCAGATCCTGGCGATCCAGAACTTCAAAGGCCTGTCAACTCAAAGGCAGCTGACACATCACCTGTCCAGGAAACTGGACATTGCAAGTATTTCCTGTTTTTAGTTCATTTGATTTGTTATTCTTACTTTCTCTTTAGAATTCCTATTTTTGAAATATTACATAGATGGTGTCTACCTGTGACCTGTAGTATAGTAGTGCGAAGTGCATCAAGATGCTGAGTAGCAATGCATATATATATATATATATATATATATATATATATATATATATATTTTTTTTTTTTTTCCATATATATATTCCAAATTCAGTAGGGGGTATTTAAAAGTATGTCTATTCCTAGTTTTAGTTAATTATCTTTTAATGAAAGTGTCACTCATATTCACATCTGTAATATTGGAAAGAGATAATTAGATTTTCAAATGAGAATCAGCCACCTTAAATTTTGCACCAGAAAATACCAAGTATATTTCATTCTAATGAGATCTGTAGTGGGGTTTTAAAATTCATCATAATGTGCTTCAAGAAAGATAACTCAACAGACTCAAAAGATGAAAGGTTTTTCTTTTCTAAGTCTTCTTAAAGTTATTACATTGAACTTATGCAATTCTGATAAAATATTCAAGAATATTACATAAAGGCTAGAACTGTACCCCACCCCCCCATCATTCTTGCAACCGTCACTTATTCTCATTTGGAAGTTTTCTTTGACTAACCGCTTCCATCTCCCATACCCTGGGTTTTCTCTCCTGCGTATACAAGTGAAGGATACGTGTTTAAATAGAGTGCCTAAGGATCCAGAGTGCAATTCCTCCTTTGAAATAGGCTGGGCTGAGCGGTGTTTGCACACAGCCAGGCACCCTTTATTTACATATATCTGCATATTTGCTCAGGCCCCCGCATTTCGCCATTAAAGTGCATTCATGTGCACAGCAGAATAAACTAGGCAGAGAAAAGCTCTTCATTACCCTAACTCATATTTCTGCTTAAAGCTCCCTAGTAAACAAATCTCTGGTCCGATAATAATTACTTTGCCTCATTAAAATAAAAAAAAAATCTCGAATGGTTAAAGGGCCATGCTTTGGCGGTATCTATGTTTTATTTCTTTCCCCTTCTTGCTCTGTGTGTGTCTGTGTTTGTGTGTAAGAGCGCGTGTGTGTCTAATGAAGTTTGGGAGTCGCGCGCAGGGGCGCGTAGGGTGCGAGACCCGGAGGTCCCCATCCCCTGTCCTCTCCGCGGTCGCCGCATCCGGGGCTCCAGCCGCAGCGCTGGGAGCTTTGGAAGCCGTGAGGCTCCGGAGCTGCTCTGAGTCCGGGCTGCGCGTCATTTGCAGTCTGGGGAATGTTGATCACCTCACTAATTACACCTCTCTCTCCCCCCTCTCCCTCTCCCTCTCCCTCGCTCTCCTCTCTCATTCCCAGAGTGCATATCGGGAATAGACACACAAAGACATGCGCACTCAACTTAATCAGCCATTTTTTTAAACAGGGCTAAAACGATAATAATTAGCAGAATAAAGACATATCGGATTTTCATTTCCTTTCCTCCTTTTCCCAACCCCTTCACAACCAAACAGCGAGACCGCGGTCGGCACATGCTTTAACTCCTCCCGGACCCCCGAGGACCGCTCCATGCCCCCCACTTTCTGCTCCAGCGTTTTTATTTTCACCCAATAAAGTTCGAGGATTATTTTTTATTTTTTTTGTTTTTTTAATGAACCCTCTCGTTTTACTTGGATGTGATCAGCTGTAAGTAAAATAAAAGCAAAACAAAAAAGAGGCGAAGATCGAGTAGGAACTGCAGGGGAAATGGAAAGTAAGTTTTTTCTTTAACTTTTATTGAGTAGTTTCTGTTAAATTTAGGTCGAGTATCGATTATCTTTCCAGCCTGATCTTGCACAATCTTTGATATTTCGCTCCCTCTCTCTCCCTCTCCGCCTCTCTTCCTCTCTACCCCTACCTCGCTCGCTCCTGCTCGCTGTCGCACACATCCCCTCATCCCGACCATCTCTTCCGCTCTGCCCCCCTTTTCTATCTCTTTCCCCTTTTTTTTGGCTCAAGGTTTTGCTCCGCTGAGGGAGGGAGGGGGCACTGAGGGACCTGATTTTCCACTTTCTTTAGGGGGGCTGCGTTTTTCCGGATTTAACTTTTGGATTAAGTGGCGGAGGATCATCTACGTTTGCTTGGGCAGTTTTCTCTCCTTTTCCCTGTCTTTTCGGGTTTTGCCTTCCCCGCGAGCCCCGGGCATTCTAGTGGCTGGGGGAAGCTGTCAGCTCCGCAACGGCGCGGGCACTGCCAGGGGTCTCCGCTCGCCCCGCGCCCCTGCACCCCGATCGGGATGACTGGTCCTCCGCACTCATCCTCTGAAAGTTTGGACGTTGGTCGGTGGGGCTGGGAGCCCCTCTCTCCCTGCTCTTTCCCTGCTTTACCCTCCACCCCCCACCCCACCTTATTCAGCCTCGTTTTTCTTCCTCCTTTTACCACCCGCCCCTCTTCCCCTTCTCAAGTTCCCCGAAGGTCGCTTAGTGTGCGGGGCTGGCGGAGGCCCGGGGGTTCGTGAGCTCTGGGGAGGGGATTCCAAGAGGCTGGGGTGAACGCTGGGGCTGGGGCTGCAGGTAGACACCCGCCCACCGGAGCGGGCGCGGCAGGCACTACCGAGGGCTGCTCTCGGCGGCGCGGGCGCGGGCGCCGCGGAGGAAAGGCAGGTCCGTTAGGAGGCGGGATCGCCCGGCCTCTGGGCCAGGGACCCGCGAGGCGGCGGCTGCTTGCTCCGAACGGAACGCCGCCGGGTGTGCGTTAGACCAGCGGATAGACGCCCGCGGCTTGGGGTCAAGAATCTTTTCCTTTTTAGCAAAGGGCAAGGGGTGTGTGCGTGTGCGTGTGCGTGTGTGTGTGTGTATTGAGTGGCTGTGTTCGGCTGTGAGAACCGATTCATTCTTCGGCCCCCCTAAAAGGGTTCCATGCCTACAAATGAACTTCACCTCCTTCGTTTCTCCAAGCATCAAGTGCGCCTTCTGGCTGGGAGCAGCTAAGGGAAAAGGGACTGGAATGCGCCGGGTCTCTCCTTCCTTCTACTTCTATCCACCCCCAACCCCCTTCTCGCTCCTCTTTTCTATCAGAAAAAAATAATAAAATCTCTCATGGAATTGTATAAAGTTTCTCTGCCGATGTCCAAGTTACAGAAGGTTCCCTATTCTAATCCCCTTCCCCTAGAAGACGGTGCACTGGTTTCTATTTCTTTTGTTACCTGTGATCCGGGCGGGGGGCTCCTTTCGGCCGCTCGGGCTGGGGTCCGGCCCAGAGAGGAGGCTTCTGCGGGCGCCTTTGGCCGCGACTTCTCACTTCCGCGCGGTTCTGGTGAGGTTTTAGCTACCGTTCGGTGAGACACCCTCCTTGTAGGTACCAAAGGTTCAGATCGCAAACACGGACCCCCCCCACCTCGACCCCTACACACACAGAGACACACTCACACTCAACACACACTCACAGACACACATTCTCCCTACTCTTCCCCCCACCTCCGGCCCCCACTTTGTCTTTCCCCTCCCCCCTTCCAAAAAAAGCACACACACACATACACACACACACAACAACATCCCCCCCCACACACACACCAAACAAAAACCCAAAGACAAGTTCACTGGCAGAAGATGGTGGATTGACACTGACTCAGACAGAGGCAGGTTCACCAGGAAATCTGGCCGTCCTGATTTCTGACAGTTGCATTTCCTCTCCTTGAGTCTCCCCCCCACCCTTTTTATTAACTCTGTTCCATGTTTAATCAAGGATCATGTAGATGGCAAAAAGAGAGACAGAGAGGAGAGAGGAAGAGAGAGAGGGGGGGAGAGAGGGAGAGAGAGAGAGAGAGAGGGAGAGAAGAGACAAGAGACAGAGGAGGGTTTTTTTTTTTTTATTGTGTTCTCCTGGATTTTCAGTGGCTTGATCCCTATAAACGTGGAGTGGTTAAAGCTCATATGTAGTATTATATTTTTAGTTGGGTGGATGGATGGAAGAGTGAGAGAGAGGCTGCGGCTGCCGCTGCCTTTTCGGGTGTTGCTTAGATTAAGGCTGAGACTTGGCTGCGATTGGGACGCGACAGTGACACGGGCATCGATCGCTTCCATTGAGAGCAATGCAAAAACACAGCCCGGGTATGTAACACTCTCGGTGCCATCAACACTTGTTTTACTTTGTATTTACTGGCAAAACTGACAGAGCAAGCTCAGACTTTCTTTCTGTTTTGGTTTTTTTTTTTCTGTTTCTTTACTAACTGAAGACTAAAAACAATTGTGTATAGAAATTGCTGAAAAGGGTGGTTTAAATAAAACAGAAAGGAGATATTCGGAATTATTTCACTACCTCTGTGACTGACTGTGTTTTGGAGTTTTCCTTTTCCACTGAAGAGCATATTAAAGAGAATGAAGGTTTTCTTTTTTCCTTCCTCATCTTAAAAAAAAAAATCCTTAAGGGAATATTTGATAGTTTTCAAGGTTTGTGGTTTCAGTCAGCAGGAAGGCACACAAAAATAAAAGATGGCTAGCCAGCTGTTTTAACCTCTTGCACCTGGCTTCAGTGTGGGGATCATAAGGTTTATACAGTTCTTTTTTTGAATGGTTTTAATATTTATGGCATAAACTGGGGAGAGCACCACTGTGTTTTTATTCAGTTGCTGGTTGATTTTGGATTTTTAAAAAAGTAAACTCATATTTAGGTGTTTTCATGTTTATGGCAATGAAGATAGGGTCAATGAAATATGGGGGAAATATCATAAATCTGAAAAGTGAAATGTACCCAAGGAACAAAGAAAGGTCAGGTAAACCAGCTGTGTAAGTCAAAGCAATAGCACCAACTGTGGGGTTAGACAGGGATAGTGGACTCTGGTTCTATGAAGTGAAAGTTGCCACTTAAAGTTAAAAATGAGGCAAACATGTTCAGTGCTTTTGTAATCTTTTGCAGTTTTTAGCAGATGAGCCCAAATCTGTTCATTAATTTTGAGCTAGTTGGATTATTTTAAAAGATTCTTCATGAGCAAAGGAAAACATAAAGGAGGCTGAGAAAATCACTGTTTAATATTGCAGAATTTACTGCTTCCATTCTGACCATGAGCCTAAATTTACACAATGAAATTTGATTATCTCTAATAACAATATTAGATCCTGCACTGGATGGATGAGAATTGAGGTGGTTTTGTTGATTGCAAGGGTTTAATGTTGCATTTCAGAATCTGATGTGGTTTGGCCTCCCCTCCATTAACTGGAAAACCCCTGAGGTTTTACAATTATTTCTTAAAGATAATACATTTAAGATTGCATTGGTAGGCTGAAGAAAAGTCATAAAGGCAAGAAGGGAAGCCCTTAATAACTCTTGAGATTCAGACATGTTCAGCAGTTAGATTGGCTCTGACTTCACCAAGGGTCGACAATGTGTCATTTCCACGAAGCCAAATTGCCCTCTGCCTATATGATATTAATGTGCAAATCAATATTTCAGGGATTAAATTTCCCTCCTTCATTTTTTATGGTTTCTACCTCAATAAGTCTCAAGTCTATTAGAAGAGGCTGGATGATTTAAAATCTTTCACTGCAGAATGGCTTGTCGTAGTCTTGTTTCATAGACCGTTTTAGGATTTTCGTTATAAAGACTAAAGACATCCTAAAGAAGTTGTGAGGCAGTGTAGACCCAGGCTCAATAGTGTAAAGCCCGTGTTCGATTAAGAACTAAAAGATATTGAAAATATAATATATACGTTTATGTAATATATATGTACATTCTGCTGCTTTAAAAATATTATGTTAATCACCTATTGATTTATTTCAAAATCAATTGAAGCTTCTTTCTTATTAGTGATTTGTTCAGCTTTCTTGAGGACTGTGTTAATTTTCTTAAAGAGTATGCATGAATTAGCTTGGTGTGAAAGTATTGGGGCAGAGGAGTTTTCAATTAGCAATATTTTCCTAAGAAATATTTTCAGCAACCATTGTTTAGGAGAGTAATAATCAAGAGGTGTCATTTGCATACATTGTTGTTATAGCTATCATTGCATTTTGTGGCTGAATGACTTAGCTGATCTATGTTAAATGAGGCCTTCTTCAATTCCTTTTACATTTTGTTTCTAGCACTTAGTAGGTGCAACGTTTCTTTTTATCCTCTTAGAGAAAGAAAATTATGAAACAAAATATGTGACTTGACTGGAAAGAATACAGAGCAGAAATTTGGAGAGAGGTCAAAATAAAAGATTGTGACTTTATCACATAATCTTGGGAAGGCCTACTGTCTATCATTTGGTGGTGTTTTATGGTCTTAAACCCTCTGGACCAAGTTCCGCACAGCTGCACGAATTTCATATGTGATAGAACATTTTTTCCATTCAGTGTGAAATGTTCCTTCCTAAAAAACGTACACCAGACTCGCTTAATTTAGTCTGTTAAAAGAAATGCACATGAAAAAGGACAAAAGGCTCTTTAATCTCTGCAAGCTGTTTGTTTTTCTTCAAGATTCCTGTCTATTTGGGTTTGAAAAGTCATGTTTATTGAGGAGATGATTCTGAGGTGTGACATTAAAATAATATATGATTTTTGGACTGGTGGCCACGCTTCTGCTTA
Source organism: Homo sapiens (assembly GCF_000001405.40). Taxonomy (NCBI): domain Eukaryota; kingdom Metazoa; phylum Chordata; class Mammalia; order Primates; family Hominidae; genus Homo; species Homo sapiens. The sequence continues at coordinate 76,686,407 of NC_000008.11, forward strand.
ATTTGCAGAACTACTTTTTATGCCTGTCAAAACACAGCGTTAATCTATCCTTATTTACAATTAATCTCAATAAAATTAATCTTAACTATGCTTTATTCAGTGGCTTAAAATATCTAATTATATTCAATTAACTGCTGTCATAGTAATTAATATTGCTTAATTGACTCTGCATATATTTATGTAAAGCTCATTAGGTGCTGCTGACTCCTTTTCCCTTTCCTACTTGCTATTTTTGCTGTTGTCAAACCATGTTCATCTCCCAAGGTTCGACAATGTCAATGAGAACAAATTCTTTCTTAACATTTTCTTGAAATGAATGTTCCTGCCTTCCTTTGAGAAGATACTCGTTATGAGTCTTTAAAGACTAATCCATCTCCCTCTCTTCATTTTCCTTATCCCTGGTCTCTAGCACTCTCACAAAATATGTTCTGTCATTGTTGCTAGAAATATGAGAAGCCAGGTTAAGCTTTGTGTTTATAAATGAGGAGCCTTTCTGTGACTGCCTAAGGGCTGTACCCACAGGGAGAGGGTTTCCCCCCCTTCTAAGACCACTCTAAGGGTTAAAGACTTGGCCAAGGTTCAAACTGAGAAGCGCCCAGGGAAAGTGCATGTGAATATGTACAAGTTTCATGTAATTAGTGCTTAATTATATTAACATATGCAAATTGTCAACTTAGGAGCTTGTTGAGCTGGCAAAGATCAGCTAGGCACAATTGCAGTATTGTTCTGAAACAATAATGGATTTCAAGTTGGATTGTGGAAACACATAACTAGCTATCTAATTTAACTCATACCGTGGTGAAATTTCATTAGTCTCCATGGAGACTGGTTTAATTGTGCTGACTAATGTTCTGGGCTGCAGAATGTCCTAAAAAGAAAGCGTTGTTTGCCTAATCCACCTTACAATGACACTTGTTTGTACATGTTTCCCTTGTGTGAGAATTTGCATATGCAAATAAATAGTTTCTCTGCCCCATTTGTCATGGCTGTTCATTACCCATGAAGAGGACATTGTTACTAGGCTGTTACTGAGTCTCCCAAGACGGGATAGTGTCAACCAGTCCAGCTACATTCTTTCATAATTTGTTTCTGATTAATAGACCAGAGTGAGTCTCATTCTTTTTGGGCATCTGTAAAAGGAAGGTCACTTCTGTCACAGAAAAGAGTTTCTGCAGTAACTGAAGGACTTTTTCTTCTTCTTATTCTCCCTTTTCCACCCATTGGTTAACATAATCATATTTAAAATAATGGATTCTTGTTCTAAGAATGCCTCTACTAATAATCTCTGGTTTCCTAAAGCAAAAAGATAGGAAAAGAAAAGAGATTCTGTTATTGGAATATTAATCCTGTTTTTGACAGAAAGGTAAACTGATATAATTGCTTTTCAGTTGAAGGAATGGGGGTTTATACAAGTGTGAAAGCATCGGAAAAGGATTAGCATTTTTTTGCATAATGAAAAGCTCTGTTGAATAGGGTCCTGAATGGCTGACTGAATGACTAAGATGAAAGGAAGATGAAAATGCAGGCTTCTCTTTCTTTATGTCTATGCTCCGCTCTCTCTAAAGTTATGTTTGTCCAAGACTTGAGAAAACAAGCAGGGGCTCAGATTTCAGCAACTTTATAAGATGCTGTGTTTTCATCATCATTGGGACGTAATGTGTATGACAATAGTGCAGCTAGAAGATGATCAACAGAGGTTTGTATATAGAAGAGTTTCAGAAACATGCCAGGCTAGCCAAATATTGACTATTGGGTATCAGGAATTCCCAGCACTTTGCTGGCAAAAACAATTATTTTAGAAGAGCCAATAGTATGGTGTGGATATTTAATTCAGTTAATGATGGAATATAAGGTGCCTGTTTTTTTCCCCATAGGCTATAAATAACTATCTCGATTGGTGAAACACTTCACTTGGGAAAGAGTTGTGTAATCTGACTTTTGGCAATGTTAAGTGTTTTAAGTGGTCTATCAGCTTTTGTGGCTGGGAAGGGAGAGAAGAGGGTACTGATGTATTTTCTTAAGATTTAATTCATAAAGTTCTGAATGCAGTCTTCATGTTGCTTTGTAGGTGTATTGTGTATTTTATTTAGAGATAAGTCTTTTTAAAAGTGTCTAGGTATTATAAGTTCACTCTTGGAGACATTTGTAGTAGGGTCCCCTGTCACTAGTTAGGGATGTAACTGGTTATCAGTTGACAATGTGATCAACACTCTTAATGATGTTTCTTCAGCCAGCATTAGGACAGTTAAAATACCATAAGTGTGAAGACTCTTTCAAAGATCGGAATTGGTTCTTTTGTACCTATGTAAATCAAATGCAGTGCAGATAATTATTTATATGTATACATTTTAAACAAGCTCTTTCTGGTTTGAGGTCACCACAAATGATCCACCGATGGCTGTCTCAGAACAAGGTTAGAAGATCTCATCAGATATTAACCCAACTTGTTTGTTGCTAGATTTTAGAACTTCCATTTGCCTCATCACTTTAGCAGTTTTGTTGTTGAGGTACTATTAAGATGGTTAGATGGAAACTTGGGAAATCACAAGTATTTTTACATAAATTAATGTGTAAGGGTTGACTCTTGAGTACAGCATATTGTAAAGGAAAACTGTTTGATCTATGTTATATAGTCCCCCAAATTTTTTACTGGAGTCCTTTTTAAAATTTGTCAAGAAATTCTGGATTGTTTCAGAAACTTTTATGGTTAACTTTATGATATGCTTGAAAAAAGTCTTAAAAGAACAAAAAAATCCACATGGAGGCTATTCTTTTACATGCAGAAGGGCTTATTAAGGTATTTCCATAAGAAAATGTGTTAATTTAAAAAATAAATTCATTTATATTTTAAGACATTGTTAACCAGGCACCATGTGTTGTAACTGGCAGTTTTCCAGCCACCATGGAAGTGGATCACACATGGGTTAATAGTAGCTTATGTGATGTCTGCATTCTTAGGAAATGGGCAAAAGCCCAGGGTATTCTGATATCAAGATTTTAGAAATCAGACAGAAAGCAGAATATGTGTTTATATGTGAACAGATGGACACATGTGAGAACTAAAAGTGCACAATTTCTCTTGGCACTTGTTTTAGTTATCCCTGATGATATAACCAAGATCTTAGTGCACTCACAGTCTTTGATGGCTAAAGACGAAATGGGCTTTTAATGAGGGCTCGATGGCATTATATTCTTGCATAAGGATTGTGCCCCTTGTGATCTTGCTGGACTTGATGTTCTGTTAATTCCCTAGTTTCAGAGGTTCACAAGTTGCCTTGAAAGTTTGATATGGTTTCATATTTGACATACAATCCTCAGTCCAAGAATGGCTGCTCTCTAGTCTCCCTTTCTTTTAAAGGTTTGTGAATAGAATCAAATATTTGCCACTTTAAGGCATATTTGAGTTTATGCACTGGACTTAAAAATGGCTTTGGCACTAAAGTCATATTTAGTAAGCAGCTTATCTCTAATATAATTAACCACTTTAACATTCTAGAGACTGGATAAAATAAACAAATACGATTTAAGAATTTGGGCAGACTGACTTAGTTAATACATCATAATGTCCTGATGGTCCAAGAAAAGTTGTGAGGACGTGTTTTGGTCACTCAGGTTAGCGGTTCACACACCAGCATCATCATTCAGATAATAGATCATTTCTAATGTTTGTCTGACTTGAGGACACAACAGTGCTCAGATGATAATTACTGAATGGTATGCACTGTAGGACATACCTCTAAAGACAACATTTATAGGTTTCATTGTGTTCTAGCTATAAAAAAGAAATCACTCTGCAAATATTTACTCAGGTCTAAATCATTTTAACCAGGGAAAATTGACTTTCAGGTTAAAATATGCATTTTATAACTGCCCATAAAATTCTTTTCCTTCACTGTAAAGAAGAAAGGAAATCCATAGTTCTAACAATGTTAAAATACAAAAACATATGAGCTGGTGTATGCCACCTGGTTATATTGTTAAAAACAAAATGAAACATAACTTCTTAAGAGGGAAGTTTTTGAGGAATCTTAAAGTTTGTCTGCTTGGAAGAATAGGTTGAAAAAGACCAATCATTTTTACATTTCCCATGGTATTTTCATTAAACCTGAAATACTTTGCTAATGTGGATTTTCAAAAATATAGTGCTTAGTAGTTTTTAAAATACCATAAATTTTGGAATAATGCAATTAATACTTAAGATTTCCTGAGCCCATTAATTGAAAATTAGAATTAATCATCTCTTTTGGTTTAGTGGATACAACTGTGTTTCATCATCCCTAACACTCCTACATTCCTATTCAGTAGAGTATATACAGACAGACACACACACACACATACACACACGTCTACCCTCTTTCCATGTTAGGCCTCTCTTTCCTCTTTAGATGCATTCCTAGTGGTAGCTTGTGAAGTTTTCCCTTCATAGGCTAAACTTCTTTCATCTTCTAAGAATTGGCCAATATAATCTCAACAGAAAAGAGCAACTAGGATGGTAAGGCAACTAGAAATTACCAAAATGCCAGAGCCTGGGAAGTGGCCTTACGATCATTCAGTTCAATTAACTCATTTTAAAATATGGGCTATTGAATTAAAGAGAGTTATCTTTGATTACCCAGCAAGGCAGGAAAATGTTGAGACAAGAATTCACATATTCTAACTCTAGGACCAGTGGTCACTCAACTGTATTGGCTATTTGAAAAAGGCTTGTTGAATGAATGAATATGAAGGTTGTGGAGATGGTGAAGAGTTGGAAGGAAAAATGTGCATGATAACCTGTCTTCTCTGAGAGAGTGAGCTCTCTGTTATCGACAGGAGACAAGTAGAATCTGGATGGCCTCTTGTTATTGTGACTGTTAAACATATTTTTGTGTTAAGTAGGAGGTAGATTAGGTGCTCCAAATGGACAAGAAGAGCCTATGATTCATAAAAATACTGATGATTTCAGTGACTTAAAGTGTATTTATCATAATCATAAACATGGTGTGAACAAGAACAACACTTCAATTCCGTGTAAGGAAAGGATATGAAGTCAAGGCTGTGATGTTTTGGAGGCAGCATAATGTACAGAAAGAATAACACCTAGTTAAGACCAGACATTTTTTGATTCTGCGTACTTTGGTTTCTTTTTTCTTTTTAAATGATATTATTTAAACGACATTATTTAAACTTACATTTTAGGTATTTTAACACCTACTACATTTGTTGGCAACCCAATGCTTAATAGGAATCTTATTCAACCTATAAGATACCTGGATTACATTTCTGTTATGGGTGCCCTTGTCCAAGTTACTTAATCTTCCTGAGCCTCAGTTTTCTCATCTGTATATCAGGGTTGCTGCAGAGATTACATAAGATAAAGTGTTGTGAACATTAAAATAAGTGATTGTGGGCAGGACCTGATAACTGATCCGTATGTTCCTTTTTTGTTTTTTCCCAATGGTTGTTTCAAAGTCATGATCAACTAAAGAGCATTTGGTAAAGCAAGTCTACACAGATATTTTGAGTAGAGTTTCCCCTCTCTCCTACAAGAAAAAGATATGAATTTGGCAATGGATATGTCTAAGAGGTGGGGGAAAGGAGTAGTATCCTTCTTTTGATATTTTCTTACTGACAGGTACCTAAATGGCATCTAGGTTGACAGGTGGATGCTCCTCCACATCTTTATCTGCCACTCCATCACTACAAGCTGGTTTGGTCCTAAGGGGCTTCTGGGTATTTAATGCATTTCTGAATCTTCATTTTTTTTTAAGAAGCAAATTAGGACAGAAACAGTTTTTCAATAATTCAGACCTTAGTCTATCCACATGAACTCAAGATTCCAGACACTCCATTAAATACAATAATAGAAATGACCATAATGCTTATTTCAGTCTTGAAGTTGAAAGCCTCTGTTTGAAAGTCGCTGAATTAGAGGATTTTCCAAAACTGGATTATGTACTTGCTATTAATGATATTATATACTTGATATTAGTGACATTTTCATATGCCAAGAAAGGAGAATGGATACTGTTACGTGGTATCCTGTTGACCAAAATTTATACCAACCTAGAGAAGAGATCCAGTTATTAATAATTCAATAACATTATGAAACCTTAAATTTTCTTAGGTTATTTTACAGCCAACTTATGGGTCTCCACCTGGTTTATCTCTTAGGGAATCACAGTCCTTTATTGTTCTATAATAATGCATTATTCTGGAGGACTACCCAAGTTCAAAGATGGTAAATTCATGATGAGTTAATGTATATAAATACAATTTTTTGAACCACCTGGAAATGAAAGTTCTGTTTTTTTAATCTGTTTATTTTTAATACATTTTTCATTGCGATACATGTAAGATACACATTTAAAATTATTGTTTATAATTTTATGGGAAATCTAAGTGCATTTGGATTATAATTTTCCAATTTTGTGTTTGATTATTGTTTAATATTTATATATGTTTGGTTCATAACACTTGTTAAAGTACTTCTTAAAAATAAAAGTGTGTGCATGGCCTATGTTCTGGTCATTTATAAAAGGCCCTGGACTTGACATTTCATTTGAAGCACATTTATTTAAGACAAAGCATTTTTTAATATTAATCAATATAAGGATATAATTCATGTAGAGAAAGCAATTAGCATCTTAACATTTTTCATGATGCTTGTTTAAGTGTCTCCTCAAATAAAACTGCAGCCTCCATGAGGGTAGCACCCACTTCTGTTTAAACACTATATCCACAGTGATGGACATACTATTGGCAAATCTTTGGTGCTTAATAAATACCTGTTGAATGAGTGAATGGATAAATGAATGATAATTAAAAACATAAATAGAAAACTTCAGTTTACTGTACTACTGGAATCTGCCTTTCCTCTTGAAATCTAGGTACTGAAAAAAAAATCACCTTAAAAACAGCTGGACTTGTCTTGGGAAATTCCACAGGGAACACTATCTTACAGAGAAATCTAAATGGCTTTTTATATTAGAACCATAGATTGTTGCAGTCAGAAGGGATATAGCACAATCCCCTTGTTTAACCAATACGGAAACCAAAGCTCATGGAAATTCCTGGGAAACATCACATAACTACAGAGTGCAGCTGAAGAAATTGAGTGTGTATGTGTGCGTGTGTGTGTATGTGTGTGTGCCCTCTTCAGTTTAGTTGGCTTAGCTTCTCCCTATCCAAAAATTCTATAATATTAATATGAGAATAATTTGTTATGCTTACGCTGGAGATTATTTTTATTTGTGAGCAAAGAAAGGTTTTAGTTGTTACAATTCCTGTGCTGACTGCTCTGGGATTGTAAAGGTAAACTGTTAGAGATAGGACCACAATTGCCTGAAAGGTGAAAGCTTGCAGGAAAAATAGGGTGGGTCATTTAGTTCTTGAAATGAAGGAGGGTGCAGATTAGGAATCATTATGGCTTGCCAGAAGTTGCTGGTCATAGAAGTCTGTTTAAGTGCTCACTGTCAACAAGGAAATCATGGGCAGCACTTGAAGTGGCTCACCTCTGATTTATTCATAAACCTTACACGAGCACTTGGCTTTGTTCTTACTCTAGTAAGGCGGTCTGATGCCAATAAGAACAGGAATAAAGAGCTCCTTGCATGGTCCAAGACTGAATAGCACTTTACCTCAAAGCCTGACCTCTTTTCTAGAAGTCTGTTATGCTAGAGTTGACTCTGATTGGCTGTGGCTCCTCAGATGAATTGAGAGAAGAGGTTATAACAAGTATCTACTCTGTAAACTCTATCGTGTACATAACAAGAACGATGTGACTGGAACTTGGGTTCTAACATAACCTAAAGGTTGCCATGTTTATGCTAAATGTTAAGGCTCTCCTTTTGAGAGAGCTTAAAAGTTTCACATTTAATCATAGTTTGGAAGGAAACTATTGCCTCTTTCTAATTGAAGAATACAATGATCTCAAAGTGGAATTGTTTTTGATAATCCCTTCCCCGACTAAAGTGAATGTAAAGAGATTTAGTAACATAGGAAATGAAGGGTTTGAGAATAAAATAGGTGCTACCCTGTGATAAAGACAAGCAAATCGGTTGGCCTGCCAATTGGTAAGCCATATTTTCTGAGAAGCTTCATTTGTGCCACTTCACAAATTATGCTCTGCTGCAGATGCCCATGTTGAACGGAAGGGACCTTTAAGAGACAGTCAGCCGGCTGGTTTGCACTGGGGCAGAGGTTGAGTAGAGTTACTTAAATCCCCAGAGCATCATTTAGTTAATGTTAGTCTTTTTTTTTTCCCTCCTCCTGCACCCGCCCCCCACCCTCCGCCCCCTGCTCCCGCCCCCGCCTCTGCCCCCGCCCCCGCCCCACCATCCTGTCCACTCAGGCTTCCCTTTTCTTCTTTTGATGAAGTTGATCTCTTATTACTTACAGTGCATATATTCACAAAAATTTTTCCTCAGATTTTCGCAACACATTACATGAACCCAGAAGAGCCATATTAGGAGATGGCGATGAGAGTTAATGATATATTTTTAGATAAAGCCATCCTCCCGTGCAATCACATCAGAGTCATCAGCTCATTTGTCATGGCTGAAGTGAAAATGTCAGGACCAATGAGTGTATGAGTGCTGAAGGGGGCGAAAGGGCTTTTGGAGAGAGACATTTTTGTGCTGGGAGTCGGTCATGGCTTAGATTTAGCTCCAGGGAAATATTGGGATTAGCCAACACTGTGTACAAATCCTTAGCACAACAGAATTAGTTGGGAAAATGGGGAGGTGGGGGTCATGAGGATAGGCACATTTCTGGAGACATTCTCCAGGCTACAGGCCAGAAACTATGGAAAAGAATGAGGTCATTTATAAAATTATTTTAAGGGATATGTTGTATGCAGGTTCATCAATTTCAAAACTGAAGTCATAGGTTTGAATGGTGTCAAGGAAGACCTGCATGATGTACCACTAAATACGCATATATGGCCTCTGTTTTAAATTTAGCTGCATGAAAAGAATTTCAATCTTAACATCCATTTGAAAAGTTTTCAGAAAGATAATATTGGAGTACACAAAGATAACATCCAGGCATAAAGTACTTTTGACATTATGGTAGAATGGAAGTTAACACTTAATTTAAATAACAGTAATTATGACGAAATACTTGTTGCATTGTTGAATTTACACAAAACCAAGAAGCTAAACTTTCTTTACAGAGACTTCATTCTGAAACTTTAATTGAAAAGCAAGTTATTTTCTTTAGCTGCAGAAGTTCTTATCTTTGATAGACCAATACTAGCAGATTTATTTCATTTTAGGTCCAGTTAACTGTTCTCTTTCAGATAATGTACCCATACAATCTTTTCTTGTTTAATTCTATTGATTTACAGTGTTAAAGTGAAATAATCTGATACCTGTTTCCTGCCCTTTGAGTATTTGTCGTCAAAGAGGCTGATTAGTTTTTTCCCCCAGCTCTTTAACTGTTTTAAATGTATAATTATCATTGCATGTCATTTGATAGCTGCACTAATTGCTGCCAACTATTGTCTGTTTGCACTTAATGCTGAAACCTGATCAACATCCTGCTTTGGTTGATGTTTGGTGGTAAACTTTAATTAACTCTTATTGCATTGAAGAAGAGTTCAAGCTTGGTGCTAACTAATCATTTACCTTCATTATGTCCTGACAGCTCCACTTGTTCTTGGTCCTAATAGATACACCAGTCAGTAAATAAACCTGCAAACCTCATGACTTGTAGTTTCTCCACACTGATATTTTGCTACTTAAAGTATAAGATAATTGGGCCCAGATAATTATTTAGTTAGTTTAGTATCTCTAGTTCTGTAGACACTAATCTTAAATTGCTTATTTCATGCTGGACAATTTCATTTTAATAGAAACTGTAGATTTGAGATAACATTATTTCTTCAACATGGTTCCTCTGAACATGCATCTTTTGAATCAATACAATTAAGCTTGTCTCCTGTTGGAATTCTTGTAATTATTTTTCCTGAGATACTTTTCCTGTAATGATATTGAAGTTAAAGTAATCAGGTTACCAGCAGATCATGTAAAATTCAACTCAGAATTGCTGGCTGCTTGATTTTAATTAGTCTGACATCAAGTTTGTTTGAAAAGGGATAATATGTGGGTAAACCAAGGAGCTTATAATTATGGTTGACGGTTGTTTATAATGAAATCTAATTAAAGTTCATATATTTAAAACACAAAAGCTAATTACTGAATTGCTCACTTCACTGATGGGCAGCAGTCAAATTTACTTTCAGGCCAAAAAAAAAAAAAAAAACTCAAATAAAAATCCCCAAACAAAAGGCTCTTCATAATAGCAATAAAATAACAACTAATCTCAGAAATCAAACATAAGTTTGCCAATATTTCATCTAGAAGAAAACTTGTCATTCTACTTATGTTCTCTATTATGCTAGTCCTAATGTGGTTTTTAATATAAAGTTATTTAAAATATTTACATGGAATGTAAAAAGACACTTGTATTTGGTAGAGTCTAAGAGTATTATATAGTAAGATGCACTTGGTAGTGATTTAAAGAATTTATGCATATAACTTTCTTGAGTGAAACTATTTGAAATCATATAAAATTATTGAAATCATTGCTCAAGAAATAGGAATGTTTGCTGGTGTACTTGACTTGTGATTGATTTTATGTAGATAATTATGGTAGGTTTAGCCTGCAAGAAATGATTTTTTAAAAATATGTACCTACGCTATTATACTTAGTTATAGTGGTTATGAGATCATATTGGTAGCAATTGTGAAATAGAAATAATTATACAATTGTTTTTTCTTTGAAATATTTGGTTGTCAGTAGTTCAATAATCAATTTCATATATGAATAGACAAAGGAGAAAAAATATAGACGCATGTTAAAATATACCGTCTTTACATTGTCTTTCATATGTCTTTACATATGAAATAAATTGTATGTGCACTGGTTTTTACTAGTTCGGTATATCTATTTTTGAAGCCAAATATTCTACAGTTATATATAACTTAATAAAACCAATTAAGATTAATTTTTTAAATGTTCTTATGTGATAACTTAAAAGGTTATCAACTACGCACTCTTAGATATGCATATGCCAGAGAGATTAGTCAGTTACATCTTAAAGACTAGCAATATAACATATGAAAAACATGGTAACTATGATTTATAAATTCCAAAAATGATCGATGCGGTTCATGTTTTTCCAAGGAAAACTACAGTGTTCTGTGTTAAAGCTTCATGTTTAGCAGTGTAATTTACTTGAACTTTCAGATATGGTAGAAATTGAGGGAGGGGGTCTGTGAAAGAAAAATAATTCTGTCCATTATTGAGATGCCTGTAAATGTAAGTGTAATTTACACAACCTTTCCATAACTTCAGGGTATATTTATATGCATTTTATCATAGTACCTGATTGATTTATGGATTAATATTTTTTTAAGGAAGAAAAATTAAAAGGATCATATAGTCATTTAACTCTAATCCTACTTTGCATAGATGAGCCAAAGAGGAGATGATTAATGCTGAAGTATGGCTGGGTCACTGGCATTTGGAAGTACCTTTTTCCTCAATAAAGACAGGAAAAAAAAGTCAGTATATTCTCAGTATTGGCAAACAACAGCTTTCTAGTAATACTTTAGCTGATTAGGAAATCCTTAACCTTTAATGAAGCAATCACTACAAAGCCTTAATGTCAGCTGGAATACTAGCAAAACAGTATCAAAGAAAGACTCAGAAAGAGGCACTGAACATAATTACAGTTCATGTCCTTGTCTCACACCAATGCAAACTATTCATTTTCAATTAGAATGAATAAGAAAATTAGAAATCAACTAGATTGGTTGCAAGTACCAAAGTTTGTTTATAGAGGGTAGCTAAATTATTGGGTCCATCTTGCACACTGATTATAAAATTTTCCTGAAGCAAACAAATAAAATGAGTCATATAATAGTGTAATTTTGTTAAGGAGAGATTATTGATTCCTCTCTAAGGAAAGTAGCTGGAGTTTGATTAAAGTTTTGAAGAAAACTGAGTAAAATTCCTATTTCCCACAACTATTCAAATTTAGAACTATTGGACTCATTGGTAAAGTGCACCTTTTCTCCTTAGCTCTTCATCACATATGTTTAATGCTATGTAATAGTTATATACAGTCTATGCAGATTTAGTGATGTGAGAGAGAATGAGGGAAATGAGGGTGGGAAGAGAGGAAGAGAAAGAAAAGAATGAGAGGGAGAAGAAGACTATCAATCACAGGGTCCCATTTACAGAGAAGAAAACAAATCTTCTTTGACTAGCTAACAGATTTTAATGAGAAAAATGAGAGGAAAACAGAGAAAAACGACTTAGTTGGCTCACATACTCATACTTGTCTTTGTAAATTTTCTCTACTTAAAAAATGTGCCTGTTTAAAATGCTGAATATATTTGGTTACATCCTTCTATTCAAACTTAATTACCTTCTCCCCTTTGTCGTGACATGGGTGGAAAGTTTTTGCCGTGTCAGGAGAGGTCGTCACACATTCTTTTGCAGTTCTCTTCATTAATTCCTTCTTGCAGAAGCATTTTCTCTCGTGCTGGGAAGGTAGGAGGGTGTAACAGAAGAGCCCTGAAACATCAGCAGGAAGCTCTAAGCTGGTTAATGCAGTATAATTGTCTGGACATAGACTGGTCTTTGTTTGTGTGGTTCACTCCGAATCAGCTGTAATTAACTCCAGAGTGTTTCCAGATTGCCAGCAAAGAAAAATTACAGCTTTTCTGTTTTAAATTGTAAAGCTCACAAACATTAACTACGCAGATTGCATTTACTTTGATATATTTCTATCTTACAAGTAAAAAAGCTTGTTTGGCTACCCAACCCCCACCTCTAAAAATGTGCTTTTGTTAAGTTATTTGATTTAGTGTCTATTGGAACATAATGACTCCTTAATAGTTGGATTTGAAACCTTTTCACTTAATATTTTCTATCCCTTTACATCCTTGCATTTGCTGTCCTTCTTGCTAATGTTTTTAATACTGCAGTGGAGAAAAAGTTACACAATCTTTCATGAAATACTCCACATACACCAAAATAAGCAAATAGCAGAGTAAGGTGAATTAAAGAGAAACACTAGCACCAACTTAAGACTGAGATCAAAGATGTATCTGACGTAACTGGTACTTCCACACAGGTATTTACCTGCGTTATGATATATCAAAAGAGAGACTGAGAAACAGGCAATTCCCCTACCCTCTTCTCTTGGTTAGCACACCACACCCTTTTAAAAGCTTCTGTACAGTAGTTTATAATTATGAATTCCAACTTGGGTAAAAGTGAGGTAGCGATAGTGGTGTGAACTAATACAGCCTTGTACACAAAAGATTTGTCAGCAACTGATGCAAAAAAAAAAAAAAAAGTCCAGCCAAAATTCTTTTTTTTTTCTTTCTTCTGAATTTAACAATAAGGAATTTAAGCCTCAATGTGGCTTTAGCAACCAAAGAAAAGAAGCTCTTGGTGTCTGCATAATACCACTTTGATGGATTTTTTTCATCAGTTCTCTGTACGTGGCAACAAATAAACAAGTATAATTATACTTGTGAAGGTCTATTCATTGCTTTGTCAGGATTAGATATATGTGCCGTTTTCACACTGCGCCTCTCTTTTGTCTTTGCCTAACTCACTATGACATATTGATAGAGGATTTGGAATGGGGAAAAGGCCACAGCAGAGACAGTGATGACCTTTTGGAAACTTGATATAATTCAAGGATTTTTATTTATTTTCTATTTTTTTTAAATTCGTAACTAGTTACCAAATTATCATGTAAGTGGACAACTTTTAACCCATGTAAAATGGAGTAAATAAAGACTCAAAGTGTTATGAGATGGCTAAAGGGCAGATGAGAATAAAAACAATAGGCTAAGGAGCCCACTGGTCTTCTTTCCCAGCACTTAGCAGAGTGGCTAACCTAGCATTCCTTTCCCATTATTCTTTCCTCTTGATCAGATCACGTTCTTTTTAATCATTTCACAAACACTGTCTCACTGGACCGTAGAAGAGGGCTGGGACAATCTCAATTAAAAAACAGAGGTAAAACTGGCCTCTCTGATTTTGGGTTCTAATGGGAACTCTGCTTTCTGAATGCAAAGGAATTCTTCTATTGTTCAGAAAGCACCCCCTTTCATTAGTCAGGCTCCTTGTAGGTGGGTTTGGTCATTTAGCAGAGCAGAGTTTAGGCAGCAGTGACTTCAGACGAAAGCAAAGCAGAATGAGTAATAAAAGTTCTTTTCTGCATATTGTCCATTAGTTCTGAAAAAGAGATTTGACATGATCAAAGTCACTGATCTTGTGAATTACTGAGAATACCAAAAAATGTGTATGTGCACATATTCTAAGCAGACCAGCAGGTATGTATTGCTCTGAATTTAGCATTAAAACTATGTTAGGTTTTCTCTTCGGGATTTCTTGAGGACTTTGGTGATTTTACAAACAGAATGTCTGGCAGTAGGGAACAGAAGTTGGTGAACACTGAATAAAAATCACCTTAAATGGTGAAGGAACTTTTATAGTGAGTTAACTTGTTATGCAGTCATTTTGGAATTAATTCTATGGTTTAAGTTAAATGGTTGTTTTTGTGGTCTTTTTTACTGGGACTTATAAAACTTTATCGTAAATTTCTTAAATGGGTCACTTTGATAAAAGAAAGACCTCGTCTGACATTGACGACAGTGAAATCACTTAGCATCATATTCAGTGTCACTGTATATAAGGATCTAAATAACTTTTTATCTATACAAACTAAAGTGATTCCATCAGAATATACTGAAAAACATTGTCATGGTTGTAGCCAATAGCAACAAAATAAAAATTTTAAAATCAAATAATATATTATTAGCTATATCAATTTAGAGAGTTTTGTTATTGTTGGTTTTAGGATGAAATGTAAATTTGATTGTATAGAAGACAGGTATTTGACTTAGTTTCTGATTTATGTGTAGTTTATTGCGAAGAAATTGATTGGCAATTTTCTGTAAAATTGTATGGGAGTATTGTACCAAAATATATCCTACCATATTGCTTTGACCTATGATGGATTCTTTAAGGTGGTTTTCATAATTTTTTATATAGCAATAATGTTACATTTTGAAGGTGACTTCTGGCTCTTTTAAGTAAAAGAAAAAGATCGGATCTACTTTATGTAGAGAAACATTGAGATGATACATTGCAGGGTTTATTCCACATCTGGCCAAAATTGTTAACTGCACATTTTATGCAATTCATTTGAGTTGCATTTAGAATGTGTGTAATAATTCTAGCTAGTGACTGTATTTGTGGGATGAGAACTGTTTTAGGAGTGAAGATAGAACTAAATTCAAATAGCATACATAGCTTAGAAACTTTTTTACAAAGCTGTAAAATGTTGAGGAGCTTTCCTCACTCTTTCTAATTAAAGTGAATTTTTTTTACATATCAGATATGTGCATCATGCCTAGCAGGTTACCCTATCATTGGGGAAAATCACCCTCGGTTCTGGAACTTTACATTTTAATCTAGCATCATTAATTTAGTATTATTCACCACCTTGCATTCATTCCAAATTTCTAGTCTCTTTCTGACTCCCTCATTTCCTTCAGGCCAGCAAGAGATTATATTTTAGGCATTTTGGCTGCCTTCAGTATGAATACGTTATTTGTGCAGAATTGGCAAATGCAAAGATAAACATTAATGTTTATGGACTAATTAGAAAATTATTAGGTTTTCTTACTTATGATTATCAGATTATTTCAGGTGGTTTTGAAAGCTGTATGCATGCCATAAGGATAATTAACCTGAAGCTCATCAATGATTAAAATTAAAATTACACACTAGGGTTTGTGATGTTTGATTTGTGAGCAATTAGAATGTCAGATACCAAAACGAATTTTGAATTCATTTTCAGGGTCCCATCTCAGATACCAAAACGAATTTTGAATTCATTTTCAATCTATGCAGATCTTTTAATGTTTTCTAAACTGATCACTTTCTCTCTGATTGGCCTGACAAGATTGGATTTGATTACAGTAAAGAGAGTATTAATAAGCTATTCTTTATACTTCATATGCCAGTGACCTTCACTGATGTCTTTCTTGTATAAGAACATTTTAAAAGGGATTTCTAAAATGCTTAGTAATATTAGTGAACCCAATATTCTGTTTTGTTTTCTTCTAGTTCTCTGCCACTCTGAAGACTGTGTAATAAGGTATAGGGATGGGAGGAGCATCCAGGCTGAGATAGTACATATTTATCATAACCAATATGATATGCAATGTAATATAGCAACATTAATCTTTCTTGTTTTAGAAATTGTCAGGATATGTGAAAGTGTTGATACTTTTAAATTAAGGTGCTGGCCTTGAAGTTATGAGACTCTTCAAATTTAAGATTTGAAATAAGGTTGCTTACCTGTTTCATGAAATCAAGACAGTGCCTATGTTACAGGCCGAAAATAAACACAAGTTTCAGACCACTCCATTGTTGTGTACAGTGCCATCATTCTGCAAACTGAGAGATCTGCAGGGACTCAGAGAAGCTTAAGCTGTAATCAAACTGCTATTACAGTAGCTGAGGTTCTCAGGCAAGACACACACACACACACACACACACACAAACGAAGAGAATGAGACTTTTTACCAGTGTATGCCCAACTTTCACTAGTACTTTACCCTGCTGTCAGAAACTGATATGGCTTTTATGGAGTGCATCTTGTCCTCAACAAATAGGGTTTCTGGTCTAAGACGCCTGCTTGCAAAAAAACTTTAAAAAAAATGAAGGATTTTCATTGGGAGTGCTTGTGTGTGATTTGTTAAGCCAGGGGAGATGTCGATTGAGGCAGTGGTTGAGAGATGGGCAACTCACCAGGATTGGTAACATCAAAATGGTATTTGAAATGGTGTTCATTACGCATTGCAGTGAAAAAAACTAAGTGAATGTGATTGTCCCCTAGGATGATAGGACTGGTTGCAGTAAATATTAATTTCTGTTCTGTTGCCCATTGAGGTGACTGAAGTGTGGGGAGGAATTGTGATTGGTGCTTAATCAGGGCCAGCCAGATACCTGCTGAGAGCTTTTGCACAAGGAAGATTTGTAGTAAGCTGATTTACTGGCAAAATGAAAACCAGAGAAGTTTGGTCGGTGCTGCCTGTGGCTGTAATATTTCTAATTTTAAGGTTTCTTTATTTGTTGGTCTCCCTCCCACACTCATCTCCCCTTCTAGTCACTGCCTGATAAAGAAAAGGTAAATTTTTAGAATTATAAGTTATTTCTGTTGTTCTTTCATTCCAGCTGCTGTATACAAAAGCTATTTACATTCCTATTACTGCAAAGGGGGTTTTAGAGTGGTCACGTATATTGTGTATTTTTTTGGAAAACAGGAATGAAAAAACTCAGGATTATTGATATAAATTTTAGACTTCTTATGAATGCTCATAGCGACTATGAAAACACCTTGGATGTCTAGGCATGCCTGTGATAGCTATCTACATTATTTTGCTACATTTATACAAAGTCCGTCTGTGATAGATAGGCACGCCGGTTTTAAGTTTTTCCCCTTACCTTTTTAGATAGTCACGTTTACAGCAGCTGTAAATTAGTGATGGGCTATTAGTGAGCTGTGTCATTATTTAATAAAAATGGCTTCTCTCACCTTATTTTTTATCCAGGTCCCTGACAGGCTGGATGAAATGAGATCCCCATGTAGCAATTGCCATGGAAACCTGTGACTCCCCTCCTATCTCAAGGCAGGAAAATGGGCAGAGCACATCAAAGCTATGTGGAACGACACAACTTGATAATGAGGTGCCAGAGAAAGTTGCAGGGATGGAGCCTGACAGGGAAAACAGCTCCACAGATGACAACCTGAAAACGGATGAGCGCAAAAGTGAAGCCTTGCTGGGTTTCAGCGTTGAGAATGCAGCTGCCACTCAGGTTACCTCAGCAAAGGAGATACCCTGCAACGAATGTGCCACTTCTTTTCCCAGTTTACAGAAATACATGGAACACCACTGCCCTAATGCCCGCCTTCCTGTCCTGAAGGATGACAACGAGAGCGAGATCAGCGAGTTAGAGGACAGTGACGTGGAAAATCTAACAGGGGAGATCGTTTACCAGCCTGATGGGTCAGCATATATAATTGAGGACTCCAAAGAAAGTGGGCAGAATGCACAGACTGGGGCAAATAGCAAACTCTTTTCTACAGCGATGTTCCTGGACTCCCTGGCATCTGCTGGAGAGAAGAGTGATCAGTCTGCTTCTGCACCTATGTCGTTCTACCCACAGATCATCAACACTTTTCATATCGCTTCATCCCTCGGGAAACCATTTACAGCCGATCAGGCTTTCCCAAATACCTCAGCATTAGCAGGAGTTGGTCCTGTGTTGCACAGTTTCCGTGTCTATGATCTCCGACACAAGAGAGAGAAAGACTATCTAACCAGTGATGGCTCAGCCAAAAACTCCTGTGTGTCCAAAGATGTCCCTAACAATGTGGACTTGTCCAAATTCGATGGTTGTGTTAGCGATGGGAAAAGGAAACCTGTTTTAATGTGTTTCTTGTGCAAGTTGTCTTTTGGTTATATCAGGTCATTTGTAACCCATGCTGTGCATGATCATCGGATGACCCTCAATGACGAGGAGCAGAAGCTCCTCAGTAATAAATGCGTCTCCGCCATAATACAGGGGATTGGCAAAGACAAAGAACCTCTTATAAGCTTTCTGGAACCAAAAAAATCCACTTCTGTTTATCCCCATTTTTCTACTACAAACCTCATAGGACCCGATCCAACCTTCCGCGGTTTATGGAGCGCTTTTCATGTTGAAAATGGTGACTCTTTGCCGGCTGGCTTTGCCTTCTTAAAAGGAAGCGCGAGCACCTCGAGCTCAGCAGAGCAGCCGCTGGGGATTACCCAAATGCCAAAGGCTGAAGTGAATCTGGGGGGGCTGTCTAGTTTAGTAGTGAACACCCCAATTACCTCTGTCTCCCTCAGCCACTCATCGTCTGAGTCTAGCAAGATGTCAGAGAGCAAAGACCAAGAGAACAACTGTGAAAGGCCAAAAGAAAGCAACGTTTTACACCCAAACGGGGAGTGCCCTGTCAAAAGTGAACCCACTGAACCGGGAGATGAGGATGAAGAAGATGCGTACTCCAATGAACTTGATGACGAGGAAGTATTAGGTGAACTCACCGATAGTATTGGTAACAAAGATTTCCCTCTCTTAAACCAAAGCATTTCTCCTTTATCATCCAGTGTGCTAAAATTTATTGAAAAGGGTACCTCGTCCTCCTCGGCGACTGTTTCTGATGACACAGAAAAGAAAAAACAGACTGCTGCTGTTAGGGCCAGTGGCAGTGTTGCTAGTAACTATGGCATCAGTGGCAAGGACTTTGCAGACGCAAGTGCCAGTAAAGACAGTGCCACAGCTGCTCATCCAAGTGAAATAGCCCGGGGAGACGAAGACAGTTCAGCCACTCCTCACCAGCATGGCTTTACCCCGAGTACTCCTGGCACACCAGGGCCTGGAGGAGACGGCTCACCGGGCAGTGGCATCGAGTGTCCAAAGTGCGACACTGTGTTGGGGTCTTCGAGGTCTCTTGGTGGTCATATGACTATGATGCACTCGAGGAACTCATGCAAAACCCTCAAATGTCCTAAATGTAACTGGCACTACAAATATCAGCAGACCCTGGAGGCCCATATGAAGGAGAAACACCCTGAGCCGGGTGGCTCTTGTGTTTATTGTAAGACTGGACAGCCTCACCCCAGGCTTGCCCGGGGTGAGAGTTACACGTGTGGCTATAAACCCTTCCGTTGTGAGGTTTGTAACTACTCTACCACTACCAAAGGCAACCTCAGTATTCATATGCAGTCGGACAAGCACCTGAACAATGTTCAGAATCTCCAAAATGGCAATGGTGAGCAGGTGTTTGGCCACTCTGCCCCAGCCCCCAACACCAGCCTCAGTGGCTGCGGAACACCCTCTCCGTCCAAACCCAAACAGAAACCCACCTGGCGGTGTGAAGTTTGTGATTATGAAACCAATGTCGCCAGGAACCTCCGAATTCATATGACCAGCGAAAAGCACATGCATAATATGATGCTTTTGCAGCAGAACATGAAGCAGATCCAGCATAATCTGCACTTGGGCCTCGCCCCGGCGGAAGCAGAGCTTTATCAGTACTACCTAGCCCAGAACATAGGCCTGACCGGAATGAAGCTGGAAAACCCTGCCGACCCTCAGCTGATGATCAATCCATTCCAGCTGGATCCAGCGACAGCAGCGGCTTTGGCACCAGGGCTCGGTTAGTATTTCCTGCTTTTCTGCACTGTTGTTAGTTTCTAATCACATTTTGATTTGGCGTGATGCACCCAGATAAAATGGTGAGTGCCAACAAATTGAGGACAGCTTACTAGAAAGGACTTTCTCTTTAAGCTGGATAATCAAACCATTTGCTCTTCTGCTTCAAAGCGAAATTAACTTCAGAGAAGAAAGAGTTAAGGGATCAATGGCGGCATCAGCGAAGTTAGCAAACTTTGTCTTCATTCAGTAAGTTGATTAACAAAAGCTAATTTGCATTAATTGCCTGCCATCATTAGCCATACCTTACAAGGTTTATAGTTTCAATTTTGGTGATTATTCGCTAACATATCAAACGAGCTTTAAAAGGGTATAGCATTATTTTGAATTAAATATATTTAAGAAATATTTTAATGGCTGTGATCCAAGATAATTAATCTAACAATAATACCATTACCTTATCCCAGGTATTTGGCAGTAGATTACAGGCACGCATACAATATTAGCCAAATCTCATCAAGCTTTAAGACAAATTGGGAAATAACAATTAGTGCTTATGTAAGTTTATCTAGGCTCTTAAATTGAAAGCACGTGACTGTTTTGTTATGGTATTGATCAACTTTCTTGCCCTCGAAAATACAAATTTCAGAATGACATCATGCCCAGTAGGAGTAATTAAAGCTATCTGATGAGGGAATTTAGAAGTTGAAAGGGATGATTGTAATTGATCCTGATTGAATCCTATTACAGCTTTTTATAGTTTAAGCTCTAGAGAAAGCACATTCCTTGTCAAGACTTTATTTTACAGATTCCTTTGTGTGTGCTGTGTTTTCTAGTCTCTATTTTTCCTTTTAATTTTTTTTTCCTGTAGTAAATAATGAGCTGCCGCCTGAAATCCGGCTTGCCAGTGGTCAGCTAATGGGTGATGACCTGTCCCTCCTTACTGCAGGAGAGCTGTCACCTTATATCAGTGACCCAGCGCTGAAGCTATTCCAGTGTGCTGTTTGCAACAAATTCACCTCTGACAGCCTGGAGGCCCTAAGTGTGCATGTGAGCAGTGAGCGCTCTCTCCCTGAAGAGGAATGGAGGGCAGTAATTGGAGATATCTACCAGTGCAAGCTCTGCAACTACAACACTCAGCTCAAAGCCAACTTCCAGCTACACTGCAAGACTGATAAACATATGCAGAAATATCAACTGGTGGCTCACATTAAAGAAGGGGGCAAAAGCAATGAGTGGAGGTTGAAGTGTATTGCCATTGGCAACCCTGTTCACCTAAAATGTAACGCCTGTGACTATTACACCAACAGTGTGGATAAATTACGCTTGCATACCACCAATCACAGGCACGAGGCGGCCCTGAAGCTCTACAAGGTAAGCAGTGACATCCATTTCCGTTGGCACAGAGTAGAAAAGGGAATTAACTCTTTCAGAGCTTGGAGCACAAGTCTCCAACTTAAGGAAAAAAAAAGAGAAAAAACATCAAAGGGCAGGGGGCACAGTTTCTGATTAACATTATAAAAACATATTGAAATATATGGAATTGAAGGCTTTATTTATAAAGTTTTACCCTATGTCTCACTTACACCTGTCTCAGTGGCATTTATTTCTTCACTGGCTTCCCCAAAATAAAAGAATTTGGGGGATAGTGTTATATATAAAATAATACTTTTTAAACCTATTGATTTTTTTTTTTTTTGAACCTAGCACCACTCTTGGCTAAATGTAAATGGTTACAGGGAGCAGAAGACAAAATCAGTGCCTAACCTTGTGAATGCATAATATTTTGTTTGGTGACAAACAATGACGCTCCAAACATAATGTTTGTTTCTTTGTTTTCTTGTGTGTGCTCAGTAGCACTGAGTAAACACACTCTCCCTTAGCATCCTTGGAAGTCTCTAAAAGTAAATTCTGTTGTTATTTTGTATGACTGTCTTCCTATCAATATTTTCCTCCTAAATGGGTGTGGTATAGATAAATATGCTTATTTATACAATGCTTTATACAATGGCAAATATACTTTTATCTTTACTTGGAAGACTGTGCACATGTACTGAATACGTGCAAGTGATGAACACCATTTATTACAGAACTTGTCTTGACTTTTTCTAAACCCTAATTACTGATTAATATATTTTCTGCAGTTTGTTCACTGGATTGTCTTGATTGTCTTGGTTCATGTACAAATATAACACATTCATTACTATGATGAATAACTTGGTAACTTATTAAAAACTTCTTTTTGTCTAGAGGATATTAAAATTCAGAAAATATTGCAAACCATTAGTCATTGTAACAAGCTCTAAATATGATTACAAAATCCATTTTGCAAGTGTTGTCTATTGATTTGTACTAGAAATCAGTGTTAACTATACTATCAGGAGTCAACCAGTGATTATCAAACCTACGACTTTTCTAACACTATTTAAAATTATAACCACACATGAAAAGAGCAGGTTGAGGCCGTTTAGATTAGGTGAAGGAATTATTTATTTGGATTTGTCTAATACTATGTGTTTGGGTTGTTTCTTGAAGTTGAAATTCTAGATAAATGTACTGTGCATAAAATCCTAACGACTCAGTGTGAGAATTTGTAGCACTCTTCCTGTGATATTGGCACTCTGTGGATCAATAATGAAAGCATTAGATTTGGGTTACGTTACAGAGTTTGAAGGGAGTGCAGGCCCTAATGTGAGATGGAAAGCTTCTAAGTTGACAGTATTGAAAATATAATATAAAGGATTAATTGTATTATAATTCATAGGTTTTGCAGCAACAGTTGACAACTGTTCAATTGTCTACTTTTTTCTGTTGATACCTGGCCTATTAAAACTTTTAAAATACCTAGGAGAGAAAAACAAACATTAAGTTTGTATAAATAATAGATTTAGACCCTGGGAGCTATATAGAATATTCATGAACTGTGTTTATATTCATGCAGCTCCTCTAACACTTTAAATTAACATGTTGTGAATGGAAGATATAAATGTATAAATTTTCTATTTTTTAATCTTTTGTGGGAACCTAAAGGAAGGTGGGGTGTTATTGTTTATTTTTTCAGAAAACATTTAATCTAACTGCTTGATGATTATTTAAATGTATGTGTGCGTGTGTGTGCGTGTGTGTGCGTGTGTGTGTGTGTGTGTGTGTGTGTGTGTAAGTTTATCCATTCATTCCATAAGCAGGGATTGACCACCTCATTCTCTTCAGGGCAATTTGCTTGGTGCCACAGTTACCCTTGAAGTTCCTTTTCATGGAGAGTTGGATGTTGTCTTTGAATTTATAACAACCAATTAAGACAAAAGCATGATTATAAAGAGGGCCTTAAAGCAGAGAGAGCTTCAGATCCCACAACTGAAAGGTGTACTCTTTCCTTAAAAATGTTATAAATCATATAAAAATTTATTCTTCTTTAGTTGTTTATCTCTTAAATACCTAAGTATCCTTGTTCAGTACAATGTTTAAATATGGTCAGCAAATAAACTTTGAACAAACTTATCTTGAATTAATAGAAGATTGAAGAGATAAATATTTGAGCTATTGAGACTTGGTATTAGAAAATTGAACTTTATTCTTTTGCATTTTCTTTCAAGAAACATTCATTATTTCTACTAGTAACTGAAAAAAATATTCCAAGTAGCATTGTGTTGAGGATTCCACCTCTAAACTGATTTCAGAAACTGTGAATCATAGAGGATTTTCAAGTGCAGTAATGAGGATATTAGCAAGCTTGGTTGGCTTGTGTTGGCAAAATAAAAGTGGTTCATAAGTAATATTAATTGCTTTTAAATGAGAACGTAACAACTTGGCCTGAGCCTAGAAAAAAATGATGGTGAAAATATTAAAATTAGACTTAAAATAGTTTCAGAGTTAGTGGCTAGACAGTAATCTCCTCTATAAAATTCATTTTCATTAGGAGTTTAATTTACATCATTTTGCATCATGAATTATTTAAACATTAAGGGGAAGTGACAAGTAGCAGTTATAAGACAAATACAGAGCTGCGAGAAAACAGCTTGTCTTGTTATTGACAACATATTGATTCATAACACTAAATGTGGTGATGTGTCATTTCAATTTGAATAGGCCACTTTACCTCTTGCATTGTCAAACTGAAGCAGCATTACCTAAAAGTGTGTCCTTATTCTAGGTTAAGGAGGTTAAAAGTTAAAGGTTAAGGTTAGCTTAGAAGCATCATCTGCCTGGCTGCTTGACTTGAAACTGATCAATGTAATGAAAATCTGTTTTACAGATGTTGTTTTTAATATATTTGGCAGGATTTAGGCAGCTTTAACATTAGATGTATGCTAGTAAAAAATATTTATTTATTTAACCAGAACAACACCTTTCCTTTTATATTTAAGGTAGAAGGCTTGTGGGTTATGGTATTTTGGCAAAGAACCCAGAGGCAGAATGTGTTGATGATCTTTCCATATGGACTCAAAAAAAAGAATACCTTTATGCCTATTGCTAATGATGACTGCAAAAACAAACAAAGCTATATTCATTTTTGGCAGCATTATTTTCCATAGAATTTTTTTAAAAGCAATTTTGTTACTGTTAAGAAAATCTTACCCATTTCTTCAAGTGAGAGTCTCTGAAGTGCTAAGCACTACTAAATTTGGACTTTTCCTCCAGAAATTTGATTGATGAAACAAAATTGCTCTAGGAAAATAAAACAATAAGATGAAACTGAAGATTGCCCATAATCTTTACTTTTAATGTTTGAATATGTATTCAAAGTGAGATTAATAAATACAAAATATATAGCTAGCTACAATCAATCTTGCAAAGTGAATGTGTGTGTCTGTGTGTGTATAAAACAGCAGTTTTTCAGCTAACCCATTTATTAGATTTAATTATATTCTTCTAATTTCATGTGTTCCTATTCTTTACAAATTTTAGTCAGTTGATAAAATAATTGGTTCTCAATAAATATTTGTAGAATGAGTGATGGATTAACGAATCAACTAAGGAACAAATTAAAGAAACTCCTTTACTTCCAGCCTTTATTTTTCAAAAATGCACTGTAATTTTGTCTACCCCTTAAATGATCTCCAACTTCTTCTAAAGAGTCTAGTAAAAAGATATAATGAAAACCACAGAGCACTACACGTTCAAATTGAGGAAGAACAAATGAAACTGGCAATATTTCAGATTTACAGTTTAGTTTGTTCTTGGCTCAGTATGGCCAAGACTTTTCTGGCCAGCTGATTGGTCTAACCACCATTCAGTGCAGGACATAGAAATACTCTTGCTGCATCTGTACTTCGGCTGCTCTTTTAATATTATATGTATTTATAAGTGAGGTGTTCACAGCTTTGCTTGTTCAAAGTCAAAGCCTTAATTATACTACCTCTTTTTTTCCTTCCTGCATCTGCTAGTAGTGAAGCAGAGTAGTCTGTCTGAATTCCATAATGCCTTTTTCATATTTGGATATCAAATTGACTGAAAGCAGTGAACAAATTGCCTGTCTCCATGGTGAGCAAAGGAACACACTTGGGATTTAGTCCTAGGTAACTTTTAGTGTAACATTCCCCCGTGGAGCATTTTTTGGGTTTTTCTCATTATCCATGTTATGGATTAAAGAATCCTGGTTAAGAACTAAAATCAAGGTGTTGGGGAGGCCCACAGAGGAGAATGCAAGGAGGCATATTGGGAACAGTATGTGTAAAGGAAATTTAAAAAATGGAATAATTAGGTTCATCTACCTTTTTGTGCCTTTTTTTTTCTTAGTAGGAAATAATAACCCGATCAGTTTGGAATTAACAGTCACAGGTATTTTCATTTCAATAGGCCTGAATCCAACTTTGCAATTTAAAATCAAATATACGAGATATGTACCATTTCAATTATTGAACTGTCATTGTCCCGGTGTGATGGTAAAGGAAGTCAGGAGATTGTGTGGTACACATTTACATAAAAGTCATTGTGTGAAAAAAAATTGGAATATGTGTGTGTATCTAAGAAACCAAAACAAGTTTTTCTTAATCTTATTCTAGTCATTTGTTTAGATGAAGAAAGCTGTTTTCAGAGATAAACAAAAGTTATTCTTTTCTGTTACTAAACATTAACCTGAATATGAAAATCTTTGCACTTTTGTATTAGTTTCAGATTTATGTTCATTTCAAGGTTGAAATGCAGTGTGAAATTTAATTCCAGTTGCAGGATTTGTTTTAAAAAAAAACTAATCACAGTTCAAATTATTCTATTGTATTCTTATATAAATAGACAGGGCAGAGATTGAAAAAAAACAGTTTCTCTAGTAGAATAGTACATACTTGCATAATACTTATAACTTATAAATACATGGATTAAATAAAGAGGAGTTGGTTTGCTAATAGCAACTAATAAATCCCTGGTGTTTTCAGAACAAATGCAATTGGCCAGCCCTATCAACTATGTCTACTTCTGTTTTTAAGCTTGACTTTTGCTGAAGCACGGCTATGTGTTATAACATGGCTACTTCAGCACAAATATGGACTTTCTCACTGCATTCACATGTCAAGTAATATATTACATTGTGAGCTGAGAACCCTCTTTGTACCATACCAGAAAAGAAAAGTGACGAAAAATCTGTCAATCAAAGGATAGAGAGATAGATAGAAAGATAGATAGATAGATAGATAGATAGATAGATAGATGATAGACAGATAGATAGATATCAATCCCTAGGAAGATTGACTAAGACCAGGCATTAGCAACTTACTACATCCATGTCAGGATAGATAGAATGATTTTTATTGTGTGAAATTGTTATCAAACCCAGACAAAATTTAAAGAAAGCAAAGTGTGTTATTAGAACCCACCTACTCTATTTTCTGTATGTCTTTTCTTAACCAACGCCACCGTCTGCCTACACATCAGGAAAATACTCTTATGCTCTTTTCTGTTTTCCTGAAATCCTTACTGTTTTACCCCACCTAGGTCTTCTCTTCATGGAAATATCCCATGTTGCAAGATTACCTATCTAATTCCCCACAGAAAACTAGCGTTCTTTTAATTAAGGGGAATGAAGCCTTTTTATAAAAGCAGAGTCGTGCCTCCAAAGGTGTAATTGACTTAGAAGTCTTTTTCAGCGTGCATTTTTTAAAAAGGAACTGCCTGATCTGGAGGAATTTCTAATGTTTGTGTGGAGTGGAGTGATTATGTCAGGGATTGGGGTTAGGTAGGGCAGTGCCCCTTCTTAAGAGCTTTCTTCATTTACTCCTGAACACACACACACACACACGACCACCACCACCACCGCCACGTACCACCACCACCACCACAACAACAACACACCACACCTCAGAAACAGAGTCAATTTGGCACCCCCATTCATGTCAACTCCTACTTTATGATTTACATTACATTTTTTTGTGTAACTTGTGTTCATTCTATTTCATGTGAAGTGCAGGTATGATTTAATCAAAAGAGCTAAATTGCTCATTTATCACCCACCCTGAGGTCATTTAGGTAATGCAGACAAAGGTGTTCTCTCATAATTAATGTGCTCTCCCTGTGTGTTTCTGTGGCTTAAATGTAATAGTCCCCGTCATTGGAGCTTGTTTAAAATTGCTGAGATGTTCAAGTGGGTGTTGGGACGCCATGCCATAATGCAGTGAAAGTCATATGTTAACCAGGCCTCACACTGCTGAAAGGGTCTTGGCCCTGGGTGGAGTGAGGAGGAGCTGGCATGTGTATAATGACCGTGGTTCTGCTTCCAGAACATCTGGACTTCCTGAACTTTGCTGGAAATGTTGCTGGAAATTCAAGCCTTAAAAGGTGCTTTCTGCCTGCCCCCCAAATTATCAGCCTATTCCAGGAGAGCGTATGGGAGGATTTGATTTGTTTGAAAGGTGAAGGACAGGCATGGAGGCACAGCCACCAATAACCGTGAGGAAACACCTTCACAGATTCTATAACTCAAGAGGATGGCGATTAGTATAACAGTCACAAAGGCCACCATTCTGTTAGCAGAATACACAGACGATATCTCAATTTTTACTTCTGGTAAATATAGAAGCACTTATTGAACACTTACTATGTGAAAGGTTTTGAAGTGTCTGGTATGGTGGCTGTGTCCCATTGATGTGATGGAATATAAGCCATCTTTCTAAGTGCTGCTCAGAGACAAAGAGTTTTCTAAGGTGATACTTCCTAACTCATTCTGCTCACCAATATTATGGGTTACATTTGGTGCTTAGATGTCGGGGACATTAAAGTTGTTCAGAGTTAAATCTATGGACGTAGTCATCAAGAGTTTCCATGCATTTTTTCAGCAATGTTTAGTCAAAGGGCTGCATGTGAGTGGTCTTTTGAGTCATCAGTAGATGTAGTATAATGT
The DNA here is from genome assembly GCF_000001405.40 of Homo sapiens. Lineage (NCBI taxonomy): Eukaryota > Metazoa > Chordata > Mammalia > Primates > Hominidae > Homo > Homo sapiens. The sequence goes on from NC_000008.11 coordinate 76,715,004, forward strand.
CACTTCTGTGTCTTCGCTTACTTTTATTGCCCTATTGCATAGCAAGACTTTATTTATCAGTTTTAGACAACGATTATGGTGGGAACTTGAGGGCAGGATAGAGCTTTTCTACTAGTTAGGACATATATGTAGTTTTCAAACATGAGGATGTTGCTACTAATGCATCTCCTAGAATATGAAGAAGAAAACCACATAATAAAGAATGCAGGCCAGGCGTGGTGGCTCACGCCTGTGATCCCAGCACTTTGAGAGGCTGAGGTGGGTGGATCCTGAGGTCAGGAGTTCGAGACCAGCCTGGTGAAACCCTGACTCTACTAAAAACACAAAAATTAGCCAGCAATGGTGGTGCGCACCTGTAGTCCCAGCTACTCGGGAGGCTGAGGCAGGAGAATTTCTTGAACCCAGGAGGTGGAGGTTGCAGTGAGCCGAGATTGCGCCACTGCACTCCAGCCTGGGCAACAGAACAAGACTCCATCTTAAAAAAAAAAAAAAAAAAAAAAAAAAAGAAATGCAAAATGTGTCTAATTACAACTACCATCCACCCCTTTAAATAACCAGGATAAAAATGTGGTATAACTCTTGGGAAACCTCTGTAAATTCAATTTACAATAAGGTCAATGAAAGTACTGCTTAAAGATACATTATTGTAATGACCAGTTACAGTGTTATTATCACAGATAAAAACAGTTGTTGTGACCATATTTTATTTCACTTGGTTTTACACCATTTTATTAACATTTTATTTTCCTTATCTTTAAGGAAATTTTGTAATCTTGAACTTACATAAATTAAATGTGCATACATAAATATTAAAGTGTATGGAGATCATATTCTTTTGATTTAGAATTTCCTATAGACTTTATTTCATTGTAAGTACTAGCATAAAATATACATTTCTCTCTTCTGTTGCTTAAGGGGTTAGTGTTAGGACTATATTTTTCCATCAAGCAATTTTTAAGGAGTAGTGCAGAGAAAGGTTATGATTGAAGAACTATTTGTTCCTCGATATCTGCTAATAAAATTATTGGAATGCAGGGCTGAATGTGGGAAGAAATGATCTATTGATAAATCCAACTGTAACAGTTAACTCCAGTTTGGGAGGAAAGCTTTTAAAGCTTTAAAATAATGATTTGTAGTCTATGATTACATGTCCTTTTGCAAGAAGGCCTCATTTATCGATAGAGTTGGCAATTTACTATCTATATAAAATTTATGGGATATTCAGAAGAATTTTACAAAAAAAAACCCTCCTGATGCCAGATAATCTGTCAACAGTGAACCCATATTGACAATTGACTTACTTATTTATTGCCTTTTACAATGGCATTACTTTTTGGAGAGAACATACTTACAATAATCATGTAAGTTAAATTCTTTGTGTACATTACTTCACATACTTTTCCTAACAGCCATATGCTATTATTATACTCTGACATATGAGGAAACAGATTCAGAGAAAAACACCTTGCTTGAGTCCTTATAGATAGTAAGAGGCTGGGCTGGAATTCTAACCTTGGCCTCTTTTCAGCTTATGCCCCTAGCCCACATTAATAAGGTTTTTTAATTAAGAAGACTTCTATATTTGAGGATAGGAAGAGCAGGTTATGGGAAAGTAGCCCATTTTCACTTCTTCAAGCAAGCAGATTTTCTTAAAGGTATTGCAGATGTAGTAAGAGCTGGCTGGTAGGTTTGTGCACATGAATGTAGTCTACTGAGATGATGAACTTAAACCCACTGGGTCACCTATGAACAGGAAGGAGAAACTGTTGTTAAAATTGTTAGCTGCTGTATGTCCTGGGATGACAGAGATTTTTAAAAGTCTTCCTTTTACTGGCATGTTTGGGTATTTGGTATATTAAATAGAAAGGACTAATAGAATATTTATCACTTCTAGTGCCTGAGCTCTCAGTGTTTGCAAGTTAAGCACCTTTGGAAGCTGCATTAATTCATTCAGGTCACCAGGGTACCTCAGCAGTAATGCACTAAATGGTACCCTGCTGACCTGAAAGAGGGAATGTGCCTCCCTAAGCATTTAACTTACTACACAAGAACAACTGAAGCACAATCTACTCACTGCCTAGAACCTGAGTCTCTTTCTCCTTCTCCTGGTTTCCTTACAACTACTGGAGGAAGTTGTATTCACTTGCTACTTCTTAGGATTTAAAAAAATCATCTTGTTTTGAATTATTATTATTATTATCTTAATTTTATCTTCTACATCTTACTTTGATCCATTTTAGTTACAAGACTCGAGGGATTTTCTCTCCATCATATGTTGATAATACACTCCTTTCCTCTCTCCTCCTCAAAATTCTGCTAATGATTTCAATGTAAAGCCCAAAGTCTTGATAGAACTACTTGTATTAACTGGACTTAGAGATGTTTGGAGAAATCTTGCCTCCCTGAATCTGGGTACCTGATCCGGCAGAAAATTGTCAGTCACTGACATTGCTGCAGTTGACCACATCTATTAAAGAATGTTCATTTACTGGAAAGTAAGAATAGTTGTAGCTTGGCATAACAGAATTGTTAACAGCATGGAAACTCGCAATAACTATGGTTGATGTGTGTAAAGCATGTAAAGATTTTTATTCTTTCTTTTTCTTTTTTTGAGATAGGGTCTTGCTCTGTCACCCAGGCTAGAGTTCAGTGGCGTGATCACTGCTCACTGCAGCCTTGACCTCCTGGGCTCAGGCAATTCCCCTACCTCAGACTCCCAAGTAGCTAAGATCACAGGCAGGTGCCACCACCCTGGGCTAATTTTTGTATTTTTTTGAGAAACGAGGTTTCGCTATGTTGCCCAGGCAGGTCTCGAACTCCTGGGCTCAGGTGACCCGCCCCCCTCAGCCTCCCACAGTGCTGGGATTACAGGCATGAGCCACTGCATCCAGCCTGTAAGGATATTTTGATAACTGTAATGTGCAGTATTTTTTATAGACTTAAAATATTTCTAACTATTCGTTTGGCAGGCCTGAGAATAACACTAGCATATGTCCTTAGGGTCTAAAATCATTCATTGTTCAATTGTGAAAAATCAGGTAGCAAGTCTAATTGCCGACACCTCTGAAAGAGAGTCAATTTACAAGACATCTCCTTTCAACTCAACATACATTCAGCACTTACTACTGAGTAACAGCGTAGGTGGTATCAGAGATGGAGAAGGAGGAAAATAATTCCCAATTTTTAAACCAAATAGTGTTTTTTTGAAAAAGATTGACATGCTAAAATGGGAATTATATAAAACCAGAATTTGCCTTTTAGAATTTATTTTATTTAATGAATTTACAACACATGATAAAGGGAGAAAATTCTCTCTTGTTTACTATGTGAAGTCAAATATCACTATTCTTTAAACAGAAATCCTGTGATATCTTTTGAGAAGAAATGTGTCTAAAGGCAATTTCTGGTTTATTATTTTTTAGTTTATGATTTTTATTAGAAAATTAGGTAATTTAAAAAACCCGCACATTTGGATGGAATAGAAGTACCAAATTTTTCCATGATGAGTATTTCCTGAGAAAATACTCCCCAGTTTCATAACTGAATTCCTTAAAAATAGGTGCAAGGGGAATTTACAAATAACTTTTTTTCAGAGAAAAATAGTCTTGGCTCTCTTAATTCTGTAAATATTAGAAAAACTAAAATGAGATTTTTGAAGAGCTGTTTAATTTTTAGAGCATCAATTCTTAACATGAAGGTAGAGCTACTCTCTTTAAGTCACAAAATGAGAAAATCTCTTCCTGATTATCCTATTGCTCAGTTTTTTTCCACATTTCCTTAGATGTATGTTTTAAATGTCTGGTATAATGTTTAGTTGTAAGTTGCTGTTCCATGTACCAGGTCACTCTGAATTATGACTACCCCCTTAATTACAGCAGCTTGATAATGTGTTGGCAAATCATTGATAAAGAAGAAAGTACACTGAAATTGATCACACACACACACACACACACACACACACACACATGCTTTTCCAAAAAGTGAACAATTTAATTCTTTCAATGAATGTAGAACATGGATCTATTCCGATCTCCTGTGTTAGATGATAAAAAAAAGGCCAAATGCCAGTACCTCAATTATATTTTCCATATATATCCAAGAAGACCTATTATTTTTTTTTGTCCAAACTTCCTTGGGATGAATTGCATGTGTGTGTGTGTGTGTGTGTGTGTGTGTGTGTGTGTAAGAGAGAGGGAGAGAGAGAGAAGAATGAGAATAGAATATATAAAAATGTATTAAAATTGATGAAGATTATGGGTTAATCATTAATGCCCTGTATTTTGTTTTAAAGTAGATCACAGAAATCTCTTCCTGCACAATGTAAGGGTTCTCAGTTCCTAGAGATAATAAACCTTTGATGATGTTGTGCAAGACTCGTCAAGAAGCACTGAAATCAGTTCTGTATGTACACATGACTAATCAAAGGATCAGAGAACAGGATATGATTTGCTAAAAGTGATAGTTTCTCCAAAAAGCAAATGGCCTTGCTAATTGTGGGAGGACAGTAAGCCTTTTCTTTTTCTACAAAAGGCAAGTCCTGCTCCCAACCTTGGAGTAGATATGCTTTTGCAAAGGCTTTAGTACTAAGTATTTTTAAAAAATATTTTAAAAGTAAAGTGCTTCTGAAATTACTGTCTACCTAATTAACACTCTGCTCTTTTATTTGGTCTTAAAGATATAATAGATACCACAAGATTCTTAGATTTAGAGACATCCTTGAAATTCAGAGTATTAGGTAACCCAAACAAGTATCTTCTTAAACTGACCGACTGTCAGATATTCATAGTGGGAAAATGATGAAATAAGATGGCAATCCCAATATTGAAGTATGCAGTTCTATAGGAAAATGTGACTGAAAGTTTTAAGAAAGCAGTTCTGCATTAGAAAGGGAAAGGACTAAAGTGATATGCTACAAAATCTACCATGTTGAGAGTACAGTGAATCTTGAGACCATTGTCTTCTGCTTTGCCTCCACTTCATTTTTTTATTTGCAACAATTCTATTGAAATATAATTCATATGCCATTCAACTAATCCATTTAAAGGATACAATTCAATAATTTTTATAATTTCTACAGAATTATGCAGCCATTACCACAATTGATTTTAGAATATTTTCATCATCCCAAGAAGAAATCCTGTACTGTTTCAGCTTCCCACCCTTATCCCCAATCCTCCCTTCTCCGGCCCTAGGCAATCACTAATTGCTTTTTGTCTCTATAGATTTGCCTGTTCTGGACATTTCATATAGATGGAATCATAGTATATGGGGTCCTTTGTGACTAGCTTCTTTCACTTAGCATAATGTTTTTAAGGTTCATCTGTGCAGTAGCATGTATCAGCAGTTCATTCCTTTTTATTACCAAATTTTCATTGCATAGGTATAGTACACTTTATTTATACCCCATTAATTGCTGGACATTTGGGTCGTTTCCACTTGTTGTCTATTATGGAAAATGATGCTATGAACATTTATATACAAGGTTTTGTGTGGACATATGCTCTCTTTTCTCTTAGGGTATATACATAGCAGTGAAACAGCTGGATTGACAGTCAATAATATTAACTGGATTCACATTACTGCCGTCTGTTCTTAATTTTTGCCTGATTTGTTCCTTCTCCCCTGTCCTTTAAAGAATACTTCACATTTTTATCATTCTCTCAATGTCTCTTATCCATCTTCTGTTCTTCTCTGACTGACTAGCTCAGTTAAGAAAATTGATGGTAGCATATGTTGAGCACTTATTTGGTGTCATGATAATATCCTAAGTTCTTCAAATATATATACTTATTTAATTCTCACAGCAATTCTATTAGATTAGCTACTATTATTATACCCATTTTGAAGATGAGGAAACTAAGGCAATGAAATCTTAATTTATATAAGGTCACATAGCTAGTAGTAACAGTGATAACTCAGTCAGGACTTGAACTCAGACTGTCTGGTTCAGCACCCACGTTGTTAAATAGAACACTTTATTACAGTGAGATGCTGCCTGGAGAGGGGATACCTGGAAGGGAAGGCCCTGTTTGTGGCAGAAGGGGATGGGAATACAGGTGCAACTGTAATAGTTGGTCTTTGAGGGGGACATGTATCTCCTGAGGTAGGAAGAAAAGAATGAATGATGAGAAAGGTAAAGATTTAGAGTCTTTTGAAGGAGGAGAAGTGAGGGCTGACAAATTAGAAAAATCACTCATACCAGTATGTAGGCTTTAGTTCTTTATAAAGTCTGAATGTGAATCATTTATTTGGTTCATACTATGTTCTTTGAAAAACATCTACAAACTGAATTTGCTATATTTGTAGGAATGAAAAAATTGGTACATTTATGACAGCTTAAATCTACTTAAGTATATGTTGTTTGATGTTCTAGTAATACAGAGAGGCTTATTTATCCTAATTGATTAAAAATGCCCTGTTCTGGGCCCCAAGGCAAATGAGACAGACACAAAGGGAAAAACTGGAGAGCTTCTCCCCGTCCTCAAGAAGCTCATCAGTTTTAAGAAGCAAATACCTTATACTTTTTCTCTGTGCTTTATTTTTTCTTGTAAGTTGTCCCTGTTCACAGCTTTCCTGAATTCCAGAAGTTTGTAAGGACATTTTTAGTGCTTTATATAACACATTTTTGTAGTGTTTAGTCCTTTGTATCATTTAGAGAATTAATATTTAGATTTCTTGTGGTATTTGGGGAAAAATTAGATTTCTGATTTGCAGAACTTTGATAAAGAGTGTCTCTGTGTTTCCATACCAATAAAGATGTTGTCACATTGTTGAAAAATAATGTACAGTAACAGTATAATTGGAGTCTTCTCTCTCTTTCACCACCACCTCTCCACCCATGTGATGTTTGTGACCGTATGTATGATTTTTATGTTTTCATAATAGTAAGTGTATGGATGAACCTAAATATTTCCTGGTACTTTTCTTGCTAACTGACAGGATTTTTTTTTCTTTTTATGAGTATAAAAGTATGAATATGCCTCTTTCTCATATCTGATGTAATATTCGATGTTGAAAGTCTTACTATTTTATCTATTGCTATTTCAGGCCTAATCCTATTTGTTTCAAACAGTTACTAATGTTTCTTGAAGTTTTCAATTTCTGGAGATCTTCATGTGGCTGATTGACATGGGTATGATGAGATCAATCAAGGGCTACCAATGTTCCTACTGTCAGAACATTATCATTGTGTAATTTTTTCTTTCTGTTTTACTGTTAAAATGAGTTAAGGGGAAATTATGCAAGAAAACATGATAAGCTCCTATACCATATCACATGCTAAAAGATTCTCTGCATCAGCTTTCTTGAGTCTGTAACACAGTAAAACTGAAAGATTGACTGCCTACTTCAGTATTTATGTCTATGAACACTTGATGAGCCTAATAAGCTTTAATGAGGTGGGTATCAATTTTTGATATCCTCCCATTATTAATATACTGAGGATGGAACATGGTGGGAGGGTATAGGGGAATGTCTCAGAGAAAGAGAGTGAAAAATATACACAAATACCTGCCTATATCTTTCTGTAACTCAAGAAAAGTTTAAAACAAGGTTGGGTATTTTCTATCTTAAGGTGTCCAACTGACTTTCTCACTTTTTATGTGTTTTTTTTTTGCAAGAATTTCTGTACCTTAGTTAATATATTAGTAAATGGAGAAAAAACACTCCACTGAGTTCTGTAGATCTTAATTGAGGTGCAAAAATAGCTTTGAAAAAAAAGGGATTCTGAGATGAAAGCTTTCCTTATGTGTGGAAAATATTACTCATGTCTTGTCAGTACATCCACTCTATTGGTGTTGCGTTTTGTACTTGGAGATAACTTCTGCTTTTTTATTATTGGTAAGGCACTTTATTTTTAAATTTCTGTAAGTGTACTTGGTTACACTATTATATCTAGGACTTGTCATTCCTGAAAAGCCATTCTTAACTTTATCTCCCCAATTGGCCTTCAATTGAAATTTGCTTTGAAGAGGAATGTAGCCATACTCATCAACTTGAAAAGCAGTGAATGTAGCTCGTAGAAAATAACTATTTGTGTATTCTTTTATGTTTTAACTTCAATATACATTCTTTCTTAGAAGTTTTCCCACAGAAAAGGAACTGTGTATTACACTTTTAAATACCAGTTTTCAAGTCAGCCAAGTGTGAATTTGCAAATGAGCAGTAGTAAGTGATGCTCACAGCTGAAAAATGAATGTGTAAAGTTTCTGTATCTGGCATTACTTTCCTTTTGCCTTTGGTATGATACAACAATTTTTTCATCTATAAAATGGGCTCTGAGTTACCATTAGAATTAGAAGATTAGCATTCACTTAATGCTCTTTGAGATCTAGTCCAAACTTAATCACTTCTGCAGTTCTAAGAGCTGAGATTATGCTGAGCTTTAACAGGTATCTCATCTTAAATTACTGATTTAATTACATATGTCAGGTTGCTTGTTTCCCATTGTTTTGCTTAATCCATGAATATATGTTTATTTGTTTTTCTTATAAACAGGAAGCAGAGTAAAAATTATGTAGGGAAAAATAACTAAATATCTCTTAATTCCCTTGCTTTTTTTTTTTAACTTATTTGATTACTCATTTCATGTATTCATTCATTGAGAGCCCACTCTCCCAGACTCTATGCTAGGAAATAAGGATATGGTGTCAAGCAGGATGGACATAGGCTTTGCTCTGGGGGAGTTTGTGGTTTAGTGGAGGAGACAGTAAAGCATTAAACATATACTCACCTATTAAACAAAGAAATGATTACTTATTGTAAATAGGTAATATAATTAGTATTTTTGACGTGGAACATTTGTGTCGTCAGTACCTTCGGATTTGTGTACATGAAACTCTTCCTCTAATCTTGGGGAAAGTGACGAGTTTGAATGGGAACATGCATTGAAGCAGTTAGAAAGGTAGCCAGGGCTGGAATGAATGGACTCTACTTGATATTGGCTATCAGGTATAGAAAACAAAACAAAACAAAAACCCCAAAAAACATTTACCACTGAGATTTTTATCAGAAAGAAAGACCTTTTCAAACTTTTTGCAGTCGTGAAAGGATTATGTGAAAAGGCATTCTAGAAATGGCTGTATATCCAGTTGACAAATCTGAAATGAATATAATAGTGAAGGTTGAAGGAGATGAACCTGTTGTAAGTTTTAAAACATCCTGATTCCAAGGTCATGATAGTGATAATCAGTCAAATTGGGGGACCACTGGACTAGAAAACTTTGAAGGTTGCTTGTAGATCTTAAGGCTCCAAGAGAAGATGGTGAACATGATGATTATGCTAATCTTAGCTCCATTAGCATCTGTTCCTCTCTTCTTCAGAAGAGAGAAACTGTGTCGCCTGCTCTTCTCTGTGAGTCTTCTCCTACGACAGGCTAGGATTTTTCTAGGGTCTGCCAATGCTGCATACTCTTTCCAAGTAAGTCATTGATGGTATTACCCTATCTTTCACATTGTTTTGCCTCTTAGGACAAGAGTCTGACATGTTTTGATATACAAAAATCTCATGGCAGTAGGAAAAATGGCAAGCGTTTTCAAAGAAACCCTTTCTGTACAAAAGAGCCATTCTTTTGTTGAAGGTCTGGCACTTTAGTGAACTGTTGGGCCAAGAAATCATATTCTGAGTCCAGAAGTTGGTTTAAAATACTCAAAGCTTCTGGATCAAATTTTGTAAGAATATCTTTTGGTAAATTTTTGGAATCATGCTTTGCCTTATCATGGTTGCAGAAATCCACTTCCTTTGTACATGAAGATATCCCCAGGCAGCAGATATATAGTCTATTTTCTGAACAGGAATCTTACAGGTCTCAGGAGAGCCAACTTCCACAGGCCCACTGGGTTACATGCTCATTTGTAACTCACTGTAATGATTCTTCAGTTTTTCATTTCCTTGCTATTCTAGGAAGGCAGATTCTGAGGTTTGTTTTGGGAGTTTCACTTCATAGCAGCATATATTTTCTCTCTGTCTGTGTAGATTTGGATATAAGTGTGTGTGTACAGGTATATGGGGGGATGTGTATGTGTAGATATTGATGTGTGTATATATGTATGTATAGCTCTTCATCCTGTGTATGAAAGGGAACTCTGTATTGTATGTTCTATAATTGGACAATTTTCTTTAATTATAACCCATACTTTTCTCCCAAATACAATATTGAATACAGATGCATTGGCAGCTACCTTGACAATCAGTGCTAAAAACAAGCAAATAAATATGGTACACAATCTTATGATCAACACAATGTACATTGTCATAATACTTTAATCTGGAAAAGTTATCGTATTTAACTACCTGTAAGTTAAAAACTGAATCTTTGTGTATTTCATAAAGAACTACCACTTCTGCAGATCAACTTGAAATAGTCTAGCGGTTCTGTACTGGCCACAAGAGCTACGTTTTAAAATATGAATCTAATATAAAATGCTTGTGCCAAACTGTATCTGAGTTCCATTGGCAATACAGCTTATGTTTCACAAGAGACATAAACGAATCAAGAACCCTCCCCACAGAGTGAAAAAGTTAGATTAATGAAACAGCTGAGTGATTTGGTTTAAAAAAAATCAAACCAATTATTTCAAGACTTGGCTAATAATTTGATAGGTTTGATCGCTTATTGATCGTTACCAGTTGATATATATAGATCAGTGAAGGGCATAAGTTTCTTGCCCTCCCTTATTTTAGGGTACTGATCAATGCGCAAACATCAGTGTACTGTAAACCTTTTGAGGTTTTGTTTAAGTAAAACACAAAGTACAATATTATATGTTTCTGTGACCTAAAACATTTTGCACTGCTATGACAAATATATCATCCTCCTGTGCCAGTACAATTGCAAGGACATTTCGAAGTCATAATCTGTTAATACCAGTTAGCAAGGACATTTCGAAGTCATAATCTGTTAATACCAGTTAGCAGTGTCACAAATTAAAGCATTAATAGATTTGTGTTGCTTGAGGAAGCAACTGATATGAAATACCAGGAGGCTGAAGGAGTGGGGCAGTTTGTTGTAACATAATGCTACATACCCTGTAAAGTCTTCGGGACACTGGTGTGAAGCCTTTGAGTGTACCTTCACGAAGAGCTCAAATGAATAGTTCATTATGCAAAAAATCTCATTAAGATACATTAGTCCTAATACATTTTTAAATAAGTTTTTTTTTTGGAAATTTGCAGACAACAAAAATCAAAAGAGCCTATCTTTTTTTTCAAATAAAATGATTTTACTGCTTTGTTAAAATGGACATTTGTAATGCAGACTGCAAGTTCTTCCCAGGAACTGAAGAAGTTTGTTTTCTTTATTTGTGTTGTTTTGGATCTGTCCTTAAATGAAAAGTTGATGATTTTAAAACTACATTTTTTATTGGAAATATTGATACCCTTTTGTCAGACATTTTGGCCAAATCATAATGGACACATGACCATCTCATCAAGAGGCCCATAACTTGGGAATATGGAAATGAAAGTGTAAATTATGAAAGGAATATTAGATTAAATATCTGTTTTCATTTTAGTAGTGGTTTGAGATAGTAATGCAGTTATTACTGTTACACATTTTGTATTTGCCTGAGCATTTAAATGACTTTTTATATTTCCCTTTTTTAACTCATATTATGGATATATTCTGAGAAAAAGTTAAAAGGAATAACAATTATAGAGAATGAGAACCCATGGTTAAAATTATATGCACGTTGAACTACAATGAGAGTATTAAAAGTATTTCATCCCGTTTGTAAAATATCTTCCTTGACTATGAAAGGGCAATATTTTTCCAATTATATCTGCTTTAGCCTGCAAATAGATTACCTTATAAAAACTCTCATAAAGCAGAGAGTCCAAAAATAATTGAAAGTGTAAGGACAGATAAGTTGGGCATATAAAGGCCCTGAGCAAATTTCACTCAACAGCATTCACAGAACAGAAAAGAAGAAGTTTATCTTAATTCCCGCTCAGGTCCAGATGAACATTTTAATGCTTAGCGTCATGATGCTTCTGATTGACAGGGAGTGCCTACTGCATAATTTCTAGCTCACTTCTCCAGTGTCTGGAAGATTACATTTTTACTGTCCCCAGTATTAATAACCATATTTGATCTTAGGCCTATCCAAGGTCAAGCTGACTGGCCAGGTCAGCCTGTTCGTCTGCGTGCATCAACTGTGACATCTACTGAGAGTGACAGGCAGGGCAAGAGGGTAGTGAGACAAGGGTGTTAACCTTCAGGCCACCAAAAGGAGCCTCTTTCTGCTGGAAACAAAGAGCTCTTGGGGCCGCAGCCACATTTTTTTTTTCTTCCATCGTTTTCAACACTCATAATATTTTCACAGAAGATGATGTACTGTTGAAGGAATGCATTTAAGAAGAGGTAAATTATTTGTCATCTCAACAAAAACATAATAATATAGATTTGCATTATTGCTGAGAACCTTTATCCAGATTTAACAGTATTTCATGTGGATTGATTTTGCATGGCTGCTCCTTTCCTTAGGTAAGTGACTCAGTCACTGTCCTGGAGTGTGGTATCATTATTCCTAAAATCTTCCTGGTTTTGCAAGCAAGTAGCACAGAAACTTTAGAGCCTGCAGGAATACATATTTCAGAAACCAGCTAAAACAACTTTTGGAACTTGACAATTCATAGTAGTCTACCATAAAACATATCAAATAAATTCAGTTTTTTAAAAATCTTGCTTCTTTCTGGGTAGAAATTCCTAAGAAGCTATTTGGTTCCTAATTGATTTTCTACGTCAGTTGTTCATTGAATAGATAAGTAGTGCCTGTGATATTTGATTACAGAGCAAGGCACCCATTTAACCTTCTGTTCTTTCCTGGCCAGGATTTCAAATACAATAGAACGTTCCTCCCCGAGGCTCAGCAGGATTAGACAGCTAGCGGTAATCCCTGATAGCTGAAATAGACCTGATAGAACTTCACCTCACTTGTTTAGGATTATGCTCATGAATTTCATCTCACTCAGCAGCATTAACCCTTTGGGGGACTTGAGCTGGAATACTCTATCAGTAAAAGCAACAAATAAGCAGAAACCTATTACATTCTGAGCCATTATACCTTATTTTTATTTTTTTGGCCAATACCTAAAAATAATTTTGAAGTCAGAAAGATGTGTAGTCCAAGTTGTTTTTGTGAAATTTTGCATCTTAAATATATATCTGTCTCAAGAATTATATTATCTTCTTAATATAATTTTGTTTAAGAAACTTCACGAAAGTTCTGGTTTGTGTAATAGCTTTCCCATCCTGGTCACGGTTAAATCATGTTGTGGAGGTGGAGGATAAATGACTTCATATAAAGTAGGCCCTCGATATTCTAGGTTAACTGGAACCAAGGCAAGTATGAAAATCTCCAAACCTCATTTTAGCCACTGGTTTCCAATATCTTCCTTTTCCTTTCATTAGAGCAAATTCCATAGGTTTGAGTTTAATTTTCTCTTTCCCCTCTGGGGGATATGAAAATGAGCTAAGAAATGGCCAAGAGGCAGGAAATCAGTGAGTGAAAAAGAACTAGTAAAAGGTATAGTTAATCCACAAATTGGAAAGTCTGCCCCATGTTAATCAAGAGATGAAAGGAAGAGCATACACCCTTTCAATGCAAGTGGAAGAACCGGCCTTTATCATGGTTTTTAATAATTTAAACATTGAAATCTGTGCCTGACACTATTAGGCCATCAAAATGAGGTCCTTGCAAAGTCACAGGTTTGAAATAGGTTATTAGTGACAACTAACACAGTCTGGGAGAGCACCCCCCCAATCTTTATGGAAGTGATTACCCTGAATTATCAAGGTTTCTTTGTGTTGACTCTTTAAATATTCATATTCACAACTAGTTCTATTAATTATTGAAATAAGTGATTTTGGTTCTGATGATCAGAAGATTTCCCACCATTTTCATAGGTTTTAGGAAAATGTAAGTTTTATTTGAGAGACTTGACCTCCAAATAATCTCATGATGATGAATACTACCTCATTGCCTATGGTAATATTTCAAGGTCAAAGATAATTTAATGCTAAAGCATTGGTACATCAACTTTCTTTCTGAAATTGCTCGTTAGTGGTTCTTAAAGGGTTTGATTGAGCAAAAATTTGTTTAACTAAAAATCCTTTAATAGGACACATACAATCATAAAAAGATAATTTTTATGGAATTTTTGGAAGCAGTTTCTGTTCATTTCCATATTCCCCACCCTATAGATCTACTACCATTGTAATGATAGCCAGCATCAAGTTGACAAGAGGAGAAATATCGTGTGTGCCTTCTGCTTTGAAGGTTAGTTGTTTGTAAGAACTTAAATAAATCTGTGAGTAAATTGATGGGATTAAGGCTGAAACGATGGTCCTGCTCGAATAATATTTTGTTTTTATTTGGTTAGGAATGAAGAGGAGCTTATGAAGTGGGGAGTTGTGACTTGAAATGATTCTGCTAAATTGTTAATTAACAAGCCTCCTTTTTACTTACTTTTTGTACAAAATATCTAATTTTCATGGTTTTAGAGAGCAAAGATGATTTCTGTTGTTCAATTTCAGTGACATATTATTCCAATTAATTGGAAAAGTACTCCCATGAGATAGATGGCTCGAGAATGGGGCCTCTTAGACTCTGCCTCTTACAGTGGTCCTGGGATTTGCCCTTTTCTCTTAACATAATTTTACATATGCTGGTGTTCAGATTCTAGCTCTTTGTTGTATGTTATAAAATTCTATTGCATCAGCATGAACAAAACAGAAATATTATAGATGTGAACCTTTCACCCCAAAAGACATATAACAGATTGAAAAGCTCCAGACCAGGGTAACAGGAATGCTTGCAGCCAGCCTGTATGGGTTTACAGATGACTAAAAGCTGGTATTAATAAATCTCAAAAGAAGAAGAATAGGAGCAGAATTTACTGAAGTCTATGAAATAATAAAGGGACGTGAAGCTAGGCCATGTGAATCTTTGTACTGTGTATCAGAAAGAACTAGAGATCCTTCCGTGTAACTGGGAGAAAAAAATTTTCAAAGCAACGAAGGAGAACTTGGTGTTTGTTTGTTGTGTTTCTATTTGTTAATATAAAGTAATTTACTTCTGGAATAATTGAATTAAAAGATTCTAGAAAAAAATAATTCATCTTGAATCAGAAGGACAAAGGAGACCTTGAGGAGTCTCCTTCCTGGCAGACAGGCAATATTAAAACCATCCCCCAAAGAGGTCCATCTGTATTATTTTTAAAAAGAAGGAACTGGTTTAGTTGTGGCCAATAGAATGCTTTGTGACCACGTGAACAAAGAGATAATGACTGAAGAGTTTTAAACTCTGAAGAAAATGTATTCATTCTGCAAACTGTGTTCATATCATATGCTGTTACAAAAATTCATGTCTTTATTAAGAGTTTTTCTTCAACAGTGTACTTTTAAAACTATTTTTAGGCCGAGCACAGTGGCTCATGCCTGTAATCCTAGCACTTTGGGAAGCTGAGGCAGGTGGATCACTTGAGGTCAGGAGTTCAAGACCAGCCTGGCCAACATGGTCTCAACATCTCTACTAAAAATACATAAATTAGCCGGGCATGGTGATGGGCACCTGTAGTCCCAGATACTCGGGAGGCTGAGGCATGAGAATCGATTGAATCCGGGAGGCAGAGGTTGCAGTGAGTCGAGATTGCACCATTGCACTCCAGCCTGGGTGACAGAGCGAGACTCCATCTGAAAAAATAAATAAATAAATAAATAAAACTATTTTAAAGGTGCCCTGGGGTATGCAAACTTAATTAGCACCTGGTCCTTGACTTGGGGATGGTTAAGGGATACACACAAAGAACTAATAAGACATCTATAAAGCTCCTCCGTTTTGTATCACTACATCATAGCTAAGTTCTATGTAGCGAGGAATGTTTTACGTCCATTGTCTCATTCGATCCTCACAACAGCCCACTGAAGTACATGCAGTTGTACAGATTAGGAAATGGAGCATAGCAAGGTCAGGTGTCTTTCCCAGGATCATACAGATATTTGAGGAGCTGGGATATGAACCCTGGCTTCTCTCCTGGAGGCTGTGCTCTAATAATCATTCTTTACTGATAAGCTTCTCCAAAGGCTGACGCTACCCATCTGGGGCCCATACACATGGAAGACATCCAGAAAGGTGTGGAAGGAGACTGTCCTGAGTATATACAAAAACACACATTTTTCTCTCTGAAGAGTGTGTCCATACCTTTCATAAGACTCTCAGACCCTGTATATGTAAAACCAGCTATCTAGACAGTGCTCACAAAGAGTTACAAAGTGGTAAGCCCTTTTACAACTAAAAGAGAGTACAGTTAGTAGGGCAAAACAGGAAGTGTTTGGCTCGATACTAGCAGGATTTGGATAGGTGGATGTCAAGTTTGGAGATGGGGAGAAGGGAGAGAAGCCCATTGTCTGAGTCAAGAAAGAATTGGTTGTTTCCTCTTCAGGTTATAGTTGAGAGTCAGTATAATTGAAGGCATTTATCTTCTTAGCAATGGGAGACTGTGATGCGATGCAGCTATTAGCAGTACATGGCCAGTGAGTACATGGGTTTGAGTGAATAAAAGAGCTGCTCCACTTCTTTCCTCCTCAGTCTGTGAATATTAGCAAAAATTTTATTACAAATATAAATAAAATAATCTCAAATTTTGAAATTAAATAAGTCCATTGTTTCACACTTTCAGTATTAGTAAAGTAGAACAATATTCTATCAATATATAACAAAATTAGTGTCAATATATATTTTGGAATCAAAGGAATGAATGCTGACCACACTGGACTTACTAATTTTAGCTAGCATCTTTATAATGCGATATGATAATTAATTTTTACTTTATGTGACAGTTGTTGGTGCCACACATTATTATTATTATTATTATTATTATTATTATTATTTTTGAGACAGAAGCTCGCTCTATCACCCAAGCTGAACCTCCTGGGTTCAAGCTATTCTCCTGCCTCAGCTTCCCAAGTAACTGGGACTACAGGTGTGTGCCTCCACACTCCGCTAATGTTTGTATTTTTAGTAGAGACAGGATTTCACCATGTTGGCCAGGCTGGTCTTGAACTCCTGACCTCAAGTGATCTGCCTGTCTCAGCCTCTCAAAGTGCTGGGATTACAGGCATGAGCCACCACACCTGACCATGATCACATTTTTGTAAGGAGTAAAATATATGGTAATTTCTAATAAATTCTCAGATGCAATATTTTTCATAAAGGAATATTTTATCATGAGTTGAATATCTTCATCAGTGTATAATTATGTATGTCATTAATATTAGCAGGTTAATAAAGGCATATTCAGGTAAAAGTAACTATTTTTCAAAATTGCTTGACTTTTTAGAAGGGCAGTCTGTTTTATGGGATATCTAAGTGTATATATATGTTAAAGGAGTATAGTTGTTAAATTATTAATATTCGCAGTATTCTATAAATTTAAAATGTAGCTAAAAATTAATAACAGCTACATTATTATAATATATATATTATTTACAGAAAGTAATTTTCACTTAAAATTAAACATTCCCTTGGAGTTCTTCAAAAGCAGTGGCTACACTTGGCCTCTAACTTGGCCATAACTGTAGGGTAAAACTAAGAAAATAAAGCACAGAGAAAATGCCTTAGTTGATTTCCATTGATCCAAATGCAAAATAAAAGGCAAATATGGAAAACAATGTTTTGAAAGCATGACTTCCTATCATAAAATACAATTGCAAAAATGGGCAAGGGCTTTTAAAAACTGGTTTTCCCTCAATAGCATACCTTCGAAGGATTCTCCATTAGTTTGTTTCTGAAGCTGCATTTCTAATAATGGAGCTGTCATTTTTTTCAGTCTTTCCTTTCAGAATAAGGGTGGGGGGAGATTAAAATAATCTTCAAAGCAGACACCATTACACTGAGTGGACCCTGGCATGCAAGCTGCTTTTCTAAAGAAGCACATTTTAGTTCCCACTGCAGATGAGAGTTAAATATCCACTCAGAGCAGAGACTATTTAGACAGAGACTCATCCAGCCTGTGGAGAGGCCTGGAATCATATATCCCTCTCTGTGTCTAGCTCATGAAATAATCTAATACAATTTTCTTTTGTTTTTTAATTGCAGAAAGGAATCTGGATTTCCAATGATTGTTCAGGGGTGGCGGTTTGGGGGATGGGATTGTACAAAGCTTTAAATTAAAATGAAAGTGAAACAATGCCAGGAAAAGCATGAAAAGATAGAGGACCAGTCCATTTTGCTCTTTGAAAATAAACTATCAGTTTTGCCAATCGTTTTTTTGGTTTTTCTGTTTCGGTCATCTCAGTGGATAAACTAAGGACTGGGTAAATATGAAAGCTGAGCTGTTCTCCTGTCTCCCTTAGACCTGATCCCCCACGTCTGTGCTGAGGCATACTAGTGGTAGTGAGAGGCTCACACTGCTCCTGTCTGTGCTGTGCATGCACAGTGGATCAATGGAGACCCAGAGCCCCAGGGGCTGTCAGGATAATACCTTTCATTTAAAGGAAGAAAAAAAATTTAATAACGGATGTTAAAGAACTATTTTAAAGTATGTCCTCCTTGCAGTTTTGAGTCAGTGCTACTTGTAAATGCCATAAATAGCAGTATGAAGAAAACATATTCATTTACTTTAGTAAATATTCCTTTTGCCTTATATTAAGATAATATTCATATGCTGTTCCTTCTTTTTAAGATCATGCCCAGATCGGATTTTCTCTTCCATAAATGGCCCTGATAAAAGTCAGTCTTCCAAGTGTTTTAGTATCATGGTCCCCAAACCTCAGCAGGGAAAGCCCAGCTAATATGAGACACATGCTAATAAGAGACTGATTTTCCATTTTTAATGTTTTATGCCGATGCCAGATGATGTATCCAGCTAACCACTTTAAACCTTTCAGTAAAGGTTTGATA
This sequence comes from Homo sapiens, assembly GCF_000001405.40. NCBI lineage: Eukaryota > Metazoa > Chordata > Mammalia > Primates > Hominidae > Homo > Homo sapiens. Next base: position 76,733,904 of record NC_000008.11, read on the forward strand.
ATAGATGTCATCATTGAATGTCCTCATGCATGCCCCTTTGAAACAAATGATCACCTATTAGAGGATAGAGACAAAACACATTTACTTGAATGAAATGTTTAATAAAGTACATCGGGACTTGTTTTTATTGGTATTGCTCTATGAATACTTTATGTGCTAATTTAGGGCTTAGGAGTACTTAGTTATCCCAGTGCTCCAGTCTGAAAAAGGCATGTACCTTATTATTATAAACGCCAGCCTTTAATGTTTAGAACATATTTATAAAACATACTTGTCCTCTTCCTAAAATTGAAAACATCTGTTACAGATTTTCTGTTAAAATGTTATGGACATGAGAGCCTGGTGATGAGGCAGTCTGCCATTTTGAATGGGAATTAAGCTGACAATGCATTCTGCACCAGTGAGGCCGTGAAAACAAACAAAAAAAGGCAGATGGTTCATTTAGTTTAGTAATTGTAATTTGTTGTTCATTAAAAGTAATTCCCACACAGGCATTCTTTATTCTAATACAGTACACGGAAAATTTTACTCTGTAAACCTGGCCTAATATTTTTTTCTTTAGCGTAATTTGCACTGACATTTGATAGGCAGTTGATTAGAGCAGAATAATTTCTTTAGAATGAAAATTAATTATAATTTTTGCAGCTTTCATTAGTCTGCTTTTGTAACTACTGTGGCTAAACAGCAGGGGTTTGGCCTGAAATGCTGAGTATCACTGGATCATTTGCAGTGTACTCTCCCTTTTAAGATGATTAGACCTCTTCATTGTAGTTTTTACATCTACATAAAATAAAGATTTGCAATAAAGCATTTTCAGTGTGCTTTCAAATATTCTCAAATATATGTTTACAGTAGTAAAGATGGCATCGTACTAATTCAGCATCACACTGTGTAGTCTTTGAAATATATTCAAGAACACAGACATATTTTAGTCTTCAGTGCACTGTAACATGTAATAAGAATATTTCCTGAATTTATACAAATTGCTACATGTGCACACAAATAGCATAGATTTTAACAGTGGGGATCCCATTCTTCAGACATACACAAAATTGTTTGAAGCATATTTTAAAGGAAGAAACATGATACTCTATTGATGATAGAATAGATTTCTAGAGGAACCAAGTCTATCCTAGGGTTATGATCTGATTGATAGATATAATGTGATTTCAGAAAATGATCTTATGAAGTAAATGTATATCTGACGAAATCAGCAGGACCTAGGAAGAAATTTGATCTTTTACAAGTGTATGCTATTCTGCCATTCCATTATGCTGTTCTTATTGTACATAAGCACATTGATATTAATGTGAGCTTTCCAAAAGAAAATAAGAATTTTGTAGGTTTTTGAGCCACTAGGTGAATCTGTGAGTTGAGTTTATTTTGCTTAGAAAATTCATCACAATGGTCTTCAGATTTCAGAAAGTGTTACAAGAATATCCGGGAAGTAAACCCTTGCCTATAAAGCATTTTTCAACCATGGAAAAAAGCTCATCTTTTCTATTTTCACACACAAAAAAGAATTAGAATTCAACAAAATTAGCAATATTTTTTTGATTAGGTAGTATTTTAGTGAAATGTTTTTATAAATATTTTTGCATCCACAACTTCTTATATCCAGAGTTCTGAATTTTCATAATTAACTATCCAGGAAATGGTTTTAAAACTGTAAAGAAAGTCTTCTGTTTTATAACACAATTTCTGTTTCTGTGGAATATGAACAAGACAGTGTTTATTGTAGTCAGAAAAATTGTTGGCATGATTCTGCATAAGTGAAGAATCTCTGGATTGTCTCAAAGTGTTAGCTGCCCATTTGCAGACAAACAAGCTTTTAGTGTGCAATTTAGGTCAATGGATCGAGGGGAGAAGATGTGTTTAGGCGACAGATTTTAAATCACCATAATATAAATATGCTTCCCTTTTCATCCGGAATTTGCTTTCTTTCAAGGTAATTTAGTGCAGCAGACATGCACTTATGCCTGTCTTTGTAATTTTAGGGATTAGGATAGTGAGGATTAAATGGTGACCCTTAATCTTCAATATCAACTTTAAGAGCGGAATATAATATGCAAATGGAACACATTCATTTTGTGTTTATATATTTTAATCTCTGTAATTTAGTCTTAAGAAGATGGAAACTCATCTTTGCCTTATTTATTTTGAATCCTAAAGCAAGATGCCATTAAAATCTTTATCCTTCTGTCTTAGTGGATAAATGTTTATCCTTTAGGGCTTAGAACATAATTTAAAAAAAAAAACTGACTTTAACCTAACAACATTTTTCAATCAAGGGAAGTGGCATGTATGGTTAATATAAAAGTGTAGTCGGACTGACTTGTGTAAAATGAATGGATAAGCTGTTAAGTCAAGCCTTGAAAAAAAACGAGATAAACTTGTGTTTTGAATTTAGTTTGAGAAATCAGTAAATTGAATTTTTATTAATAAAATTAGTTAGTGTATTTCTGACCAAGTTTACTTTGTTCTTAATAAACTTTTCCTTTTGTGGTTTGAATTTCAGTTTATGGACAAGAATGTCTTCTAAAGAAAACATTTATTATGGTGAAATATTAAACTGATATAAAAATCTGGGCCATATTCTCTTAGACAAACATAAGAGCTATACTAAGTAAGCAGATCAAAAAGAGAAATATAGTGTGAAAAACAGAAACAAAGAATCTTTTTATGCCTCTGATTTTACTTGGAAGAATGAGGTTAGAACAGTCCATGTAGTTTGGCTCACTGACTTCCTCAGCCAGATAATTTCTAGCCATTGAGACAAAGGTTTGCCAGATTTCAGGACATGTAACTGGAATATTCCCATATAGAATTGATTTTTGAGCAGCTTGTCATGAATTAATGGTTGCTTATATTGCAAAAATGCAGGTAATTTCAAATCGTAAGTTGTCTTTCAAGTTTTTCAAAAAAGGAAGGTAAAAATACCTTGATTAATTGTAGGAGTAGTCCTGAAGCTGTTCTCAGGCATCCAGACCCAGCATTATGTCATCACAGATAAAAGGAACATTGAGCATCAGATGACACATGTGAATAATGGGACACTACAAACATGAGCATTTAACCTAGACTTTTCTGCCTCCCTCCTGAAGCTGATTACTTCCAGTAAATACACAGTTGCTTTCATGATCAAAATCATTCTTAGAATTTAAACACTTGTTTACCAAATCCTAAAAATGGATTTACTGGTGGAACCTGCTCTGATGTTTTCCCTATCTACAATCACAGTGTTTTACGCTCTAGGTAATAAACCTGTATCTGCTGAGCTACATCTCTGAGTACTATGAGTAAATTTACCCTCTCTCACATACTTACCCAGTTTGACCTTTCCTTAGTTATAACTGATACAGATTTTTAAAAAATATTTCGACTTTAAGAAAATATCAGAGGGCATTTAAAAAGCTTGTGCATTTGTCTTCTCATTACCTTGCCATAAAATGGCCATAAGACATTTTATTCTGATGGATTATTTCACTAATGACTAAATAAACAATTACCTGTATAGACTAAGACCATGATGTTTAAGATTTTTCTAGATGTTCTGTACTTTGCTCAGTTGCTTATTAGGCAGAGCATTATAGTAATTAAGGGCTTTGGAGTCAGAGAAACTTGCATCTAAGTCTCAGCCTGGTCACATATTTGTTGTGTGACATGGAGCAAGTTACTTAACCTCTCTAACCTTCCGTTTCTTCATTTATAATATGGGATTCTTTTACTACCTATATAATAAGGTTTTGTGAGGATTACATATGATAATGTTATCTGCTTTGCATAGTGCCTGGAACATAATAAGTGATAAAAATGGTAATTATTTTTATGAATTTACCTATTAAGCTATTATATGGAGACAAGCTAATTGCAATTGCATGTAGGATAGGCTGTTTGTGAAAAGTGGTTATATTCACCATGAATTTGTCAGAATCCATCATAACTTGTTAGCAGTAGTGTTAGCCAATCAGAAATGGTACTGTGTCTCTTCAATTTGAATTATTTCATGCCCTGTGAGGTTAAATTCTTACTTATACATTTAAGAATCAGGACAGAGATCCCTCTGGAAGGGAACAGTGTGGCATTAATTCTTAAATAAAGAGAACAAATATTTTTATTTTTTAGAATTTAACTAGTGATTCAGTTATATGTAGAGCTAAGCACCTCACAAATTAATGAGCTAAGGCATCACATGTAGGAGGAAGGCTTTGTGAAAGTGGCACTTGAGGTTATTTTTAGTGGCACATGTATCCAAAATTTTGTTTTGCTTGTGGGTAGGTAAAAGCCACATTCTCAGGACACCCAGCCTTGCCCCTGAACCCTAGGTGCCCCCATTAAGATCCTGAGGCTTATGAATGTGTCGTCTGATGGTGCTCACACAGTTATGCTGATGTAACCAGGTCGGTTAAGGGATAAGTACTCACATCATTATTCAGTAAGTGTGAGGATCAGGTAAATATTTGGTAAGCTGATTCTGAAAGATGGCTGATCATGTAGCAAGTTCAGGTTGCCTAAGTGGAACAAAAGTGATGGCATCTCCATAGTCTTTGTAACTACCGTAACATTTCTCCAAAACTTTCATCACTGAACCAAAGCCACCGATTTGCTTAATTTAGAATATTCATTGTCTATCCATATTTCTTGTATAAAGCCAAAGGAATCAGTGGAACAAGATTTGTTTCTACTTTCTTTCTTTTTCCTTCCTTCCTTCCTTCCTTCCTTCTTTCCTTCCTTCCTTCCTTCCTTCTTTCCTTCCTCCCTCCCTCCCTCCCTTCCTCCCTCCCTCCTCCCTCCCTTTCTCTCTCTCTTTCTCTCTCTCTCTCTCTCTCTCTCCTTCTCTCTTTCTTTCTGATAGAGTCTTGCTCTGTCACCCAGGCTGGAGTGCAATGTAGCTTTGACATCCTGGATTCAAGTGATCCTCCCACCTCAGCCTCCCCAGTAGCTGGGACCACTGGCATGCGCCACCAAGCCCAGCTAATTTTTGTATTTTTGGTAGAGATGGGGTTTTACCATGTTGCCCAGGCTGGTCTCAAACTCCTGGGCTCAAGCGATTCACCTGCCTCAGCCTCCCAAACTTCTGGTACTACAGCTGTGAGCCACCATGCCCGGTCTGCTTTTTTTCATAACTAAATTCTTCTAGACCCATGTAAGGCAGCTTATGCAGGAACCATGATTTAGGAAGCTTTTCCTCCCCTTTTTGAATCATTAGATCAGCAGTGACTAAGGTGCAAGGCTGGCAAAACCATATCATTCTGTCATAGACAACAGGGTTAGGATACTTAGAACCTTCTCCAAGAACAAACTGTTATGTTACATTTGATTGTGGTTCCTTTTTTTAAAAGTCCATGTTCAATTTCAAAACTTTAAAAACTGTTATTCTTAAGCCTTTATTTTTTGTCCCTTTCTATTCATCTTGCTCCTTGAAAATAGCAAGAAAGGAGCTATCAACTGTGATAACCTTGGTTCTAAGAGATCATGATATAACTACCTCATGGTTCCTTTGGAATATTATCTAAGAATCAAGAAACAAAAGATTTTGATATACCCACTCCTTAAGTGTGCCTGAGTTCACTCTTAAGAAAATTCAATGATAGTGTATTTAAATGTGGATATCTAGTGGGGCAGGCAAGAGGACAAGCAATTCTTTCCATTAGAGTGATCAGGAAAGGCTTCATAAGAGATAGTTGTTTAATTGGGCCTAAGAATATTTTATAGGATTGATGCATGCAAAGATGGGGGTAAGCAGGGAGGGATAATAAAAGGTATAATGAAAGCATGAATAATTCCATGTTGTTATAGGCATTCTTGCCTATCACGAGTAAATGGAATGGTCAGGAGAAAAACAATGTACAATTCAAAATTTAATGTTACAATTTTAATATCATTCACAAGTGATATGAATATATAATGTTTGTTATATTTATAGGTCCCAGCCTTTGAGAAGAAATTCAGGCTCTAAAATTATTAAACATGATTGTCTTCTTCTTACCTCCTGAAAAAATGTACTTGTAACTTTCAGTCTCAGATTGCTAGTTAGTATTGTGGATCATTGAAGGAAAGTCATGGGGCAACTGTTTTGAAGAATGAAAACTATTTGGGTTGCAACAGAAAATAAGGTAGACCTCAAATATAAGTTGATATTAGACCATTTATATATGGTGTATATGGCAGTGGAAGAGAATTGTTGAATGCTAGGTAAAATAATATGAACTTTATTTTGTATGTGTTTTGAAATCTTTTTTAGTTTTGGTCAGGAGAGTCTTGTGTAAGGTTCATCTAGAAAAATTCTGATGGGAGAGATTCTGCTTGTTTTTTATTTGTATTCCCTGGTGCTTAAAACATGTTTATAATATTAAAGGAAGAACAAAAAGGAAGGAAGGAAGAAAGGAGTAGGAGATAGGAGAGAGAAGGGAAGAAAGGAGAAGAGAGAAAGGGAGGGAAAGCAAGTCAGGAAGGAGGGAGGGAAAGAAGAGTATAAAATGGGTTCCGCATACACTGCTTGGGAGATGGGTGCACCAGAATCTCACAAATCACCATTAAAGAGCTAACTCATGTAACCAAATACAATCAGTTTCCCCAAAACCTACTGGGGAAAAAAAAAAGTGTGGGATGGATTGGTTTGAGAAAGAGTCAAGGAGAAAACACCTTTAATGCTGTAGAGACATAAGGTAAACAGAGACTTGAAGTAAGAATTGAAATGGGGAGAGGGGAAGTATTTAAAAGATTTTTCTGAAATAAAATTTGCAAACCTTGAAAACTGGCTATATGGGAGGTAAAGAAAGTCAGAAGAGTTACAAGTTATTAAGCTGTTTTTTAAACACATGACAACTGAGAGGGCAATTGTGCTAGAAATAGGTGACAAAAGGGAAAATTATTTGAGGGAGGCAGTTGTGCCAGAAATAGATAACAAAAAGGAACATTATTTGAGGGAAAAGGAGCAATGAGTACAGTTTGTAGCACATTTGTGTGTGAAGTTTTTACAGGACATCTAAGGGAAGAAGTCAAACTGCAGAGATCAGGGGCTCTGATATAGTTTTGAAAAATCACATCAATTGAATTTATAGATATATTAATTAAAGGAGGATGAGATTTCCAAGTAAAACCAGGCATGCATGGAAGTACCTCTACATAGGAGTGGTGATAAGAAAGGAGAAGACAATGAAGGAAATTGTCTGAAAGATTAAAAAGAAAATTACAAGAGTAGAGGATCAGGGAAACAAACTAAGGAAAACCTGCTAGGAGAAGATGATGAAGTGCAGCAAATGCTATACAGAGGGTTCAGAATATCTGGAGACTAGGAACAGATGACAGTGAATTCCAAAAGTGGAATATAATTCATTCTCCAGAGAAGTTTAGCCATGAAGCAATGCAATAGAGAGGTGGCTGTGTTCCCATGAATGAGATCTATGTGTTTAAATTCTGTGAATTTCATCAGTTGAAAAACTACAGCTCTGTTAGGGGAGAAAATAAAAATAAATAAAGAAATTTCAGCTGGAAACTTATCCTTTTCAATATCAACTCGGGCAAGAGGTGTGAAGACCACATTCCAATGGCCAGGAGCAAGGTCAAGTCCAGTGGTTACTCTCCATCCTTATCTCCAAGTATAAAATCTCATGAACTAAGACAACTAGAATGAGTTATTAAATTTGCATTTGTGTGGGCCAAGACTCAGAAGTCATCAATGTATCTTTTGGGCAGAAACAAGGCAAGTTTGTATTTGGCGGGAAGAACAAAGAAAGGTGCCCTGCAACCCTACCCTGAACAGCCTGAGCAATCTGGAAGGGCTTTGTGGTATAGATAGAAATCGAGACACCTTAAAAATAATCAGAAAGTCTCTATTTCCAGAGTTTCCCATTCCTTATATCACCATCTAAAACCACTTTTTTTCAGAATGTGTATATTTTGGGGAAAAGAGTGGTCAAAGCTTTTGTGTACTCCTCCTGTTTCAGAGATGACCATGCTCTTAGCCTTAGCTATAATAAAGACAGGAGCAGAAAAGTTTCTGAAGAATTCCAGCCAGCATTTTTGGTCATATTTTCCAGCTTTCATTCAATGGCATGTTGAAGTTTTCAGTAGAATCTCAGAAATAGTGTTCTCTCCAGTTGTATTGTTATGTGGGAATTGTTGCTGATTGGTTTGGGCACAGAGTGCTTCCACATAAATAGATCCAGCTAATGTGTTGCTAGAGGGATAAATGAGGATGTACAAGAGGAATAAGCAGAAAATGAAGGCATTGTGTGTTAAGTAGTGGTTAGAAAAAGGACGTTTGGATGGTGTAGATATGCTTGTTGGGTGAAAGCAAAGACCCACACCAAATTCCACTCTTGACACCCTTAGAATTATGCTTTGACCACCTTCTCTGGTTGGACCAAATATACTGCACTTCTATTTTTTCTTTCTTTGACTATTGTTTTAGTAATTTGAATCTGGCAATTTTGGCGGCAATATCGATCTTGCTTCTTTTATCAGCAGCCATACAACTGGACCTTTACCTAGCATCCAGGAACCTTACGTTTAATTACTAACTCCTGCCATGTTCACTGACTGGTCTAAGAAAATGAATTTTTAGAAGGCCTGAGAGTTTAGATATTGCACTTAATACTACTCTTCAACGTTATAATATCTGTTCATTTAATGCATAACTCATTAAATCAAAGTGACACTGGGATACAAGGACAAGATAAGGGGAGTGAAAGGGATAATTTTAGACTTTGTTTCACTGTGAGTATGTCTTCTGCAATGCATGTTAATCACAGAATCAAAATAAACACACTTAATTGAACAGTATTTGGATCAATAAAATCATTGACTGAGTACCACTGGTGCTCACTTGAGGTAAACAAGTGATTTAATAGTCTGCACTTCCTTCAGGCCTCTTTGGTGTGGCCATCAATAGTATATTCCTAAATCGGAACTGGCAGTGACCAAAAGGCCCTCATCAAGCAACCCAGCCTGACCTCCCGAGGTGTATTATCGCCTGACATCTTACAAGCCACTTTTTATTTCCATTCTCTGTGTCCTATAATTCTTGTTAGATAATTTGAAGCTCAGCTTGTGAGAAAACACACACATCCCTTTTATAAAGAAGATGATTTCTTCAAGGACTTGAGTAAGAATTATTCTTTTCAAACATTTACATATTCCATTTTAAACCATTTACGCCTTTTACATTTACCATTTATCTTTCCAGTGCAGAAGTATGGGGAAAAGGAGAAGAGTAGAATGTAAAGGAAGTTGAAAGAATTAAGAGTAGAGAGTTTGCCACTAACACAGCCACAGATTTCAGGCCTTCAGATTGAATCTCAGAGACTGAGCTGTGATTTGTATCTCTTATGAGGTTCTAATCTTCCTCGAACTTCTGATTGGAGAAACTGATAAGCTACCATCACATGAATCCATGTTGCACATCTGAATATTGTCTTATAGACTGCATGCCAAACATGTGCCAGATAGATTTCCAATTAATCTGAGCTCTGCTCTGTTACAGGTTTCTGCTGAGACAATTCTGCTTTGCATGAACATGCGTGCCACCCATGATAGCCATTTTAAATTGAGTGTATTTGGGGACACATGAAATTCAATGATGGTCAACTGAATTAACTCATAGTTTTATGAGGAAACCTTAAAACTCCCAACTCTGGGTCCTGGGGAATGAGTCCATGAAGGCCAAATGAAATCTGGTAAAGGAGCTTAAGTCACAGCCTATTTTAACTGTTTAGCTAGAACATTTTACTAAGTAGAGTTGAATGAGTGATATTTTTTTAAAAACGAAATTTCAGCAGTCATTAGAAAGATGTTATTGGCTAGTAATAGTCACATTGTCAACATAGCTGTATGCAAACACTTTTGATCAGGAGCAGATGTATTAAGAAACTGGCAAGTCTAGAGACTCTTAATATTTCAGTAACTTCCAAAGGCCAAGCCTATTATGATGCATCAATGTTATTCTGGAATGTCAGATGAGAAATTCAGACCTGTAGTTCATCCTAGTCAAACTCTATTACTATTTTTTGGAAGAAAGAGTTTGGCCTATTTTAAATATTGCAGTATTGATTGAATATAGCTTAACCACTTCATTGTTTAAGGAGCATAAATGTGAGTACCTATGCCCTTCCTGTGGCTTTTCTAGCCATGTCTTAGCTATTAAAAATACAATGATATGCTGGGCACAGTGGCTCACGCCTGTAATCCCAGCACTTTGAGAGGCTGAGGTGGGTGGATCACCTGAGGTTAGGAGTTCGAGACCAGCCTGACCAATATGGCGAAACCCTGTCTCTACTAAAAATACAAAAATTAGTCGGGTGTGGTGGTGCGTGCTTGTAGTCCCAGCTACTCAGGAGGTTGAGACAGGAGAATCGCTTGAACCCAGGAGGCGGAGGTTGCGGGGAGTCGAGATCATGCCACTGCACTTTAGCCTGGGCGACAGAGCGAGACTCCACCTAAAAAATAAATAAATAAATAAAATACAATGATGGTAACAACAAAATCAATTTATGCCATACTTTCTTTTTTCTTATTTTTTTATTTTTGAGACAGTCTCGCTCTGTCACCCAGGGTGGAGTGCAGTGGTGCAATCTCAGCTCACGGCAACCTACACCTCCCAGGTTCAAGCGATTCTCCCACCTCAGCCTTCCAAGTAGCTGAGACTACAGGCATGTGCCATTATGCCCAGCTAATTTTTGTATTTTTCGTAGAGACAGGGTTTCACCGTGTTGGCCAGGCAGGTCTTGCACTCCTGACCTCAAGTAATCCGTCCATCTCGACCTCCCAAAGAGGTGGGATTACAGGGGTGAGCCATCGCACCCAGCCAATATGCTATACTTTCTGTAAGAATTTCTTGCATTAAAAAAATTTTTTTAGATAAAATGAAAATGAAATTATTTACTTACAAGTATGTAGTCATCCTGATGAGGTATGTACCACTTCAGGCTTAATCTAGAACTGAATAAGATTCAGTATACGTCCTGTGCTTTCCTAAACACTTACAGATGTTCAGGCTCCAATCTGGGAGTTTCTATTTCTAGACAAGAGCCTGGAAATCTGGTTTTTGAAAAAAGTACTCTTCTTGTGATGCCCAAGTCAGTGTAGGAATTGCTGCTTTCTCCACTCCACAATGCTGGGCCATGATGACATAGCATTCAGCCTTGGTATTTCTACAGAGGCTGTCCTTTCAGCCTGAAATGTTCTTTCCTCTTCCACTAAAAAACATACTTTCATCCTATAAAACCCGGTTTAAAAATCAGCTCTGCTGGAGCACCATGGGTATGATGCATGGATCAAGCATCACACCCATGATACTTGAAGATTGATCAGAATGCTCTATGACCCTCCCTCCTTGAAAACACTTGACTTTCAATTAGAGGGGAAAATGGACATTAGTTGGAAAGCTATATTTTTTTGCCTGTGCTCACAGTAAAGCCCATAATTTGTAAATGCATTTGAAAATATTGGTAAAATAAAATTCCTTTTTGTGTAGGTATAGTTTTTGTTATCCTTTCTTGGAGGATTGATTTAAAAAGATAGACTTTTAAATCAGACCAAGGTACTGAATAATGGCATTTTGTAGGGTAAGTCTGTACTTACTTGTTTTTTTCTTTTTCAAGAACCTAAAGTAAAAATGATAATAGTTGAAAAGTCAATTATTTTTTCAGTTTTACTACATATAATTTTCTAAAAGATATATATATATACATTTTCATCTTAATTTTTTCCCTAAAGATGGTGATTTCAGTGTGCATTTGAGAGTCTGTAGCAGAGTCAATGTTAGAGACAATTAGAACATTTGATAAATATGCCTTTCATAATATTATGTACAGAAAAGCTTATAATTTTGATGAAAGACAGTATATGAACAACAGAAAATTTTCTTAATGATTAAAATAGCATTGTTTGAAGCTTTGGGATAGCATAATTATTATGAAATGATATTCAACTAAACATTATAATATGTAGGGCAAATTTATTTTTTAATTAATGCAATGTTCTTTTAATATACTGGCCTGCTCCAAGAGTTAAAATAAGCAGATTCCTTGTCAGTAGGAATCTTTGACAATGAGCCAAGTACAGCATTGCTAGTGTACAGGATTACTTTTATTTCTTTAGTTTTAACAGTGGTTTCTGGTAACATATCTGTAGGGTGTCGGTTCTCAGGGAACTTTTCACCTGGCTGTAATCCAATTAACGTTATTTGGTGTATAAATTGCTTTAAAAAGTAAATTTTGGTCAGGAGCGATGGCTCATGCCTATAATCTCAGCACTTCAGGAGGCCAAGGTAGGAGAATGACTTGAGGCCAGCAGTGTGAAACCAGCTTGGGCAACATAGCAAGACTCCATCTCTAACATAAATTAAAAAAATTAGCTGGGTATGGTTGTGCACGCCTAGTCCCAGCTACTTGGGAGGCTGTGGTGGGAGGATGGCCTGAGCCCAGGAGTTTGAGGCTGCAGTGAGCTAAGATTGAATTATGACTGTACTCCAGCCTGGGTGACAGAGTGAGATCCTGTTTCTGAAAACAAAAAACAAACAAGAAATATTTTTTTCTTTTGGTTTTATGACAGAAATTCTAAGCAGAGAATTAAAGCAGGATTCACCCCGGTGATCATTTTCAGAACTTCATTCTTTTGAAATGCAAGTTTTTATTCACTTTTTACTAAATTTTTTAAAAATGTAAACTCTGGGCTATTCTATTTTGAATAAGACACTCTTGGTATTTTTTTCTCTGTTCAGATTGTGTAAAATAAATACCAGTTTTCAAAGTTATTTTTTTAGGTGTCCAGAAATAACATTTTGCAGTCAAATACCAGAACATGAAAGAGTCTTTACATGTGAAACCATAAAGTTTAAAAGCAAAACTAAGACTAAACAACCATGTAAGAAATAGAAGTAGAATCCATTGTAAAAGAAATAGGCAATTGTTCCACCTCTCCTTGGTACAGTCATTTCACCCTGCTGATGGTCCCTCTACTTGGGAGCCATTTTACTACATGGCCGCAAACTCGACTAATGGATTCTTTCAGTTAACAAAGACTGTGTTGTGTTTATAAACCCATGTTGTTTTCACCGAATTCTGACATGTTAAGGAACAAAAACTTCATTTCTTATATTTTCTTTTTAACAAAATCTTTTGAAAACTTCTCACGTGCTAAATTCTGCATTTGCAGGGTTTCCATTTCTCTAGTGATTCACTGTATTTTTCAAGGAAAAAAATGACTATATTTATGGTAACTTCTGAAACTATATTAATAATTTTTTTAGAATTTGTCAAATTCCTTTTAGGTATTTGGTTCTCAAGAGATATTTGCACAAAGAATATATCACTGTAAACATAACAAAAGAAAATAAAGCATGCTCTATTAAGCTCGATTTTTGTTCCTTCCAGCTTTTATTTTAGGTTCAGGGGGTACATGTACAGGTTTGTTATGTGGGTAAATTGCATGTCACTGGGGTTCGGAGTACAAATGATGTCACCATCCAGGTAGTGAGCATGGTAACCAATAAGTAGATTTCGATCCTCACTCTTCTCCCACCCTCCACCCTCAGTTAATTCCCAGTGTCTATTGTTCCCCTCTTTGTGTCCACGTGTTCTCAAGTTAACCTAAATTTCTTGATTAAGGCCACTATTAAAATAATGTGACTATAGTGTTTGGATTCCAAATATACATCACGCATCTCTGTCTTGGTTCTTATGAGTTTAGTATTTAGCGTGGCACTTAATAGAGCAGTAGGTGTTGACAAAATGAAAGAATAAAGGCCAGGCACAGTGGCTCACGCCTGTAATCCCAGCACTTTGGGAGGCCGAGGCAGGCGGATCACCTGAGGTCAGGAGTTTGAGACCAGCCTGATTAAGGTGGTGAAACCCCATCTCTACTAAAAATACAAAAATTAGCTGGGCGTGGTGGCAAGCACCTGTAAACCCAGCTACTCAGGAGGCTGAAGCAGGAAAATCACTTGAACCTGGGAGGCGGAGGTTGCAGTGAGCCGAGATTGCGTCACTGCACTTCCAGCCTGGGCAACAGAGCGAGGCTCTATCTCAAAACAAACAAACAAACAAACAAACAAACAAACAAAAATGAATAAAAATCCCTGTTTCTGTATCTTCCTTCTGTCCCCTTAAAATGTCATTTTTACTCAACATTCTGTCTTTGATTTTATTGTAATTTTAAAATGCTTTTATAATCTTAACTACTCGTATGATGTTAATAGTCATTTTATATGTTTGCAAAATCCTTGTTTTACCTAACTTCTCTCTTGAATTCTACATCCCCCATTTTCATATGGATGACTCATAAGATCTTTATCCCTCTCTGTCTGTGTGTCTCATATCTGTAAGTCTCACTGATGTTCTGCTCTTTAGCTTCTTCATGGATCATCCAGCTACTCCTACTGACTTCTAGCAGAACATCTTCTCTCCGATTTGCTGAGCCTTCCACCTGGCATTTTTGTTCTTAACCAATCAATTGCCAAACTTTATAATTTTGTATTTAATATCTTTTCTTAATTATGCCTTTTAAAAAGTTTTTATATTATTGTTTTATTTGTATTTGTAGTTTTTTTGTTGACAAGATCTCGCTGTCCTCAGGCCAGAGTGCAGTGGCACGATCACAACTGACTGTAGCCTCCAAGTCCTGGACTCAAGCGATCCTCCCACCTCAGCCTCCTGAGTAGCTGGGGGTACAGGCACACATCACCATAACCTGGCTAGTTTTTAAATTTTCTGTAGAGATGAGGTCTCACTATGTTGCCCAGGTTGGCCTCAAACTCCTGGCCTCAAGTGATCCTCCTGCCTCGGCCTCTCAAAGCGTGTCTTTTCTTTAAAAACAAAAAAATTGTTACCTCACACTTACACCACTATAACAGCCTCCAAACTAGCCTTTCCACTTACTGCACCTTTTCTTTCCTGCCTGCTATGTACAAGGCTACCATGTTGAACATTTTTATCCACTGTTTTTATTCCTGAAAACATTTTTGCTTAGAAATCCCAGTCGTTCCCCATTTCAACTTATATAAAAGCCAAGTCAATTTATGTGGGTTAGAATTATAACTTATTTATTTATAAAACAATATTACTGTACATCTGTATCATAATTTAAAGTTGGCAAATTGCTATCTTCTGTTACAATCCAGGTGGGGAAAAAACAGTAAAATGAACTAAAATCAGTATTAAAGGAGGACTTTGTCTGGGATGAACTGCTAAATTCCAGCAATCCAAGCTTTCTTTAAAGTTGATACTACATGTATTCACTTCACTTCTGGTGCATGGTGTTCCATGACTATTCAGTTGAGTCCTTCCACCATCTGTATGTGATATGCCATTTTCTGTTACTATTTTCTTCAATTTAATGTAAATTTTTCACAAAGTACTAGTTTGAGGTTTCCTGTCCCAGCTGTCTGACAATAAATTGATCTTTTATATGACTTATCTTCCCTCATCGACTCTTTGTCAATTTCTAGACAAGTAACACTGTTTCATGCAGGACCAAGTAACTTGTCCCAGATCAAGAATTCTTAAGTTTCTTCAGAAGAATAGTATCTATCAATCCTCATAACTTAGGTTCATTTTTCTTGATGAGATGTTCAGAACTTTAGGTAGTATTTGGTATCCAGAACTTTGGTTGTTGCTTGACTAGCTGCCTATTCATTTATAAGAAAGAGAGTGGAAAGTTCATGATTCTTTTTGAATGGGGTAAAACTTCCTGGGCCAGACATTTCTTTAGCCTAGAATTCTAGAACTAAGAACAAAGAGATGCTGGTTTCTAATTTTTACAATGTCTGTAATATAGAAAAATGAAATGAATAAAACACATCATGCTACAAAATTCTTTCTAATTTTTACCCAATACATGTTGTTTATCTTATTCTAGGTGTTTTGAGGATAGAGTAGGATTTATTGAGCGGAGCTAATTGCTAATTCAACACAAATAAAATAATGTAAGATTTTTGCAGTATTTTAAGATCTTTTGATAGACTAATTATATTGCAAAAGGTTGATTGCATTATAAAATTATATATTCTTCCTCTACAGAGTCAGTAGCAAATGCATGCTATTTCAAAGCTATGTTGTATATCTGGAAGCTTGATAATTGCAGTTCATATTTTCTTACCAAACTGATAATGTGAGATTTTTAAAAAATAACCTTCTAAATCCCTATGTTTTGTCCTAGGTTTAAAATTCTATGAGAACCAGACCACACATTCTTTTGTTCTTAGGCTGTGTTGTTTTCAGAGATGCTGACCTGTTAGTGATTAACCAAGATTAGGGTCTTGGATGCTTGTGGTTATCAGAAAGCTTTCCCTGAGGATGTCTCCAGTTCAAGGAGAATTTCACATTTATATCTAGGAGGGATGCCCTAAAATTGTATTGACTGTATATAAAGATTTACATTTGCTTTGTGAATGCTTGATGATGCTGTTGTATAATGACTGAAGTAAAAAATTTGTAAAAAATTTAACACTGAGTGTGCATGGCCTGGACTTAGTTTTGAGATGCTAAACTGTGCTCATTTCACCCTAAATGGAGTAAGAAGTAAATGTAGCTTAGTATATTTACAGTAAAATAAGTCATATATGATCTTACTGTGTCCTCAGAATAACCATACAAGGAAGTAGAATGTGTATTCTTACAAGGTAAAATGTAAAGGTGTGAAAAATGAAAGAAATCCAACTGCTAGCCAGATTTATTCTTTTCTTTCTGCTTCCAAACTGCGTCTTTGTGATATTTTCCACTTTGCTATTTACTAGTCTGTTTCCCAGCTATACTGTAAATTCTGTGAAATATTTCTATTTATCTCATTTTTCCATTACCCATAGTTCTTCAACAAGTTTTTATTAAATATAGCAGTTAACAAGTGAAAAAAATCAGTGGCAGTACTGGGGCTCAAACCCAGGAATGAATCTAAATATACTCCTTTGTTCTCTTTTACTATAACGACTCATCTAAACAATTCTAAACTTCATTTTGAAATTAAAAGATAAGCACCACAAAATAATGCATAAACTTTCAAGAGAACGAATTGATTACTGTATTTGTAAACACATTTTCTCATACCTTAAAAAACGCAGGAGCTGATAAGGACAAAATTAATAAGAAAGATGAAGACAATCTATATTGATTAATAGGAATATTTTCCTGTCTCCCCATATCACCCAGTGTTTTATAGGAAGCTTAAATTTGGAATTTCTTGCATCCTCTATGAAATGTCTCTTGGAAGCCCTTGGAATTCACAGAAGATCAATTCTTCTGACTCACATGGGTTATGGCCACATGTCCCTCTCATCTCTGTTCACTACCAGGTTAAATCTTTCTGTTCATTGCCTCTTGCTGAGAGTGTATCTCAGCCTAACTAATGTCTACATTAATATTTACCAAAGAACTGAATTGTCTAGTTGTTTATATTCTCATGAAAATAAGATGAGGTTTGTGGGTTAGCCTAGCAGTGAATGGAAATTTATTAGGCTTAAAAGCCAGGAAAGAATAGAGACAAATTGTAACCTCCAGTCTCTCCCTCAGGTTTCCACAATAGACATCAGTAATTAATAATGCCACTCAGAATCCTTCTTGACACAGTGGTCTTGGCAACAATTGTTGAATGATCAGAGAGGGCAGGCCAGTTAGAACCTATTTGCCATCTTTATGTCAGTGTCTGATGTAAGTTAAGGTAAACTGTAGCAAAGCTATTTGCTTTCTTTACTTCACTTTTACCAGAATTTTTAGAATGAATTGTGAGGGATACAAGTGGGAAAGAAGATGAGATAAAATAGTAATTTTCCTTCTTTTGTTAGGTAAACACCTTAGCCAGAAATTCATGTTTTTATTTGTAATATGATCTCACTCTCTACATACATCATTCTGGTTAGAATATTGACTTGGAAAAGAAAGTACACAATTTGCTTTGCATCTCTGGGAAACTCTTCTAGCTACGATGATGAGCATCATAAGTACTAATTTCACCAAGAGTGGTGGTTCCAACAGTGAGTATCCTAAGGTGGTCATCAACCGCATGCAAGGATCACTCTTATGCTGAGAGTAGATTATTATTGCTAGAAAGGATAATGCTGAGAGTATATCTCAGCCTAACTAACGTCTATGTTAATATTTACCAGAAAACTTAATTATCTAGTTGTATATATTCCCATGAAAATAAGATGAGGTTTGAGGATGAACCTAACAGTGAATGAAAATTTATTAGGTTTAAGGAAAGGATGTGCAAACTGATTGCAGCTTCCCTGCAATCCTTTACGGGACATCAGAATTCAGTTTATGAAAGTTCTATGAAGTCTAGAGTTTTGATAATGGTATTTCAATGGTGTAATGTTCAATTACCTGCATGAAGGCAAGAGAATGAAAAATATTGGTTCATTCATAAATGTCTAACTATATTTAGTATGGCTCTAAAGTATGTTTTTTAAAAAAAATTAACAGTGACTTAAAAGAGTATTAAAAAAAAAACAACACACATATGGGCCAGGTGCAGTGGCTCACACCTGTAATCCCAGCACTTTGGGAGACCGAGGCAGGCAGATCATTTGAGGTCAGGAGTTCAAGACCAGCCTGGCCAACATGGTGAAACCCTGTCTCTACCAAAAATCCAAAAAAAAAAAAAAAAAAAAAAGAAAAAAGAACTTTAGCTGGGCATGGTGGCACATGCCTGTAATCTCAGCTACTAGGAAAGCTGTGGCAGGAGAATTGCTTGAACCTTGAAGGCAGAGGCTGCAGTGAGCTGAGATCATGCCACTGCACTCCAGCCTGGATGATAAAGTGAGACTCTGTCTCAAAAAACAAAACAAAACAATACAAAAAACAAAAAAACACCCCATGCCCCCCACATTTAGCAGTACATATATATTTTGTCTTTTACTATTTGAGTATATGTGGTTCCAAATAATTTTTACATTCACTGGAATTTTACTTAATTATAGCTGCAAATCTTAGTCAGTGTAATCCAAGAAAGTGAATTCACTATAATAACTTATGTAATTACTTTTTCGTGAATTGTACAATTCCTAAATTGACATAGCTGATCTACCACCATAGTGTGCCACTTGAAAAGGTTCTGGGTTTATTTTTGTTTTTGTGTTGTTTTATGGTGTGTATTTGTACCAGTGCATGCCAATGCATATGTTCATATATGTGCATTCTTTGTAGAGATAGGGTTGCAAATAGGGTCCATCGTTTTCAATAAAAATGATATTAGTATTTCCTTCTGTATTGATTAATAAACTGCTTGTGTATCCATAAGTCAACAACATAGAATAACCATACTCCAGGCTTCTCTAGAATTAAATTGAACCATCAGTTTCCTTTATTGTTTATCTTGGACTCCCAGAAATCAGCCTTTACTGATTTACATTTTGGAATTATATCCCCTACCTATATGGATAAATGACACAAGATGTTGCCTGTGAAATCTCTTAGCCCATTTGCTTCAGTAGTGCTACAGGGCATATATCCAATTAGCAAATTCTGTGTCCCCTGTCTCCATTAGCAATTAATTTATTTTAAAATATATTTATATTGCATAAATAATACTTATTTCAAACAATAAAAGGAAACAAATTAGCCAAAAGAAAAATAAGCTAAACAGCACTAATCAATTCAAAATTCTCTTTGTCTTTTGCTACATCTCTCTGCCCCTGTCTTCTTGCCTCTCTTTCCATCTCTTTTGTTTCTCTGTAGGTCTCTGATTCTTTTCAATTGTTTGTCTGTCACAGTCACTTCATTCGTCTTAGGCCTTTTTTTTTTTTTTTTTTTTTTGGAGACAGGGTCTCACACTGTCACCAAGGCTGGAGTGCAGTGGCTCACTGCTCAAGCTCCATCTCCAAGCTCAAGCTATTCTCTCATCTCAGCCTCCTGAGTAGCTAGGACTAGAGGCATGCAACACCATGCTCAGCTAATTATGATTATTATTACTGTAGAGATGGAGTCTTACTATGTTGCCCAGGCTGGTCTTGAACTTCTGGGCTCAAGTGATCCTCCTGCCTTGGCTTCCCAAAGTTTTGGGATCACCGGCATGAGCCACTGCATCCAGCCAACATTTTTTATATGCAAAAAAATTATTTTATAAGTTGATAGTTAACGCTTTGGAATCATACTGACAGGGTTTTGATTCTTGATTGTGTCTTGGAAAAAGTATTTAACCTCCCCAAGAATCTATTTTTGCACTGGTAGAACGTGATTCTTATAGGTGTTATATACAGTACTTGGCATTTGAGAAATGTGAACAGTTATTCTTAGGAACATATTTGTTTACGTATCTTTACATTCCTGATTATTTACTTGTGATAAATTTCTGGGAAAAGAATTGCTTAGGCCAGGTGCAGTGGCTCATGCCTGTAATCTCAGCACTTTGGGAGGCCAAGAATGGTGGATTGCCTGAGGTTAGGAGTTTGAGACCAGCCTGGCCAACGTGACAAAACCCTGTCTCTACCAAAAAATACAAAAATTAGCCGGGCATGGTGGTGCGCACCTGTAATCCCAGATACGCGGGAGGCTGAGACAGGAGAATCACTTGAGACCAAGAGGTGGTGGTTGTAGTGAGCCCAGATTGCGCCACTGCACTCCAGGCTGGGCAACAGAGCAAGACTCTGTCTCAAAAAAACAAAACAAAAAACAATTGCTTAGTTACACAGCATACATTTTTTGTTTTGTTTTGTTTTTCCTTTTACTTTAGTTTATAGATAATAATTATACCTATTTATAGGATATAGAGCAATATTTTGATACACGTATATGATGTGTGGTGATCAAATCTGAGTAATTAGGATATTTATTACCTCAAACATTTGTCATTTATTTGTGTTGAGAACGTTCAAAATCCTCTCTTCTAGCTTTCTGAACATATGGTCACTTATTGTTAACTATATTTACCCTGCATTGCTATAGAAAGGTAGAATTGATTCCTCCCATCTACTGTAATTTTATATTCATTAACCAACCTCTCCCTTCCTCTTACCCTTCCCAGTGTTTAATAACCATAATTCACTCTCTACTTCAATGAGATCATGTTTCTTTAGCTCCCACATATGAGTGAGAACAGGCATGCATTTTTTAACACTCATTGCCAAATTGCCTTCTGGATAGATAAGGCCTATTTACATAATACCATCAACATTGGAGAATGTCCACATCTGGGCCACCCTGTGGGTTGCCATTCTATTAAATCTTTTCTAATAAGAAATGAATGTATTTATTATTTTTAATTTGTATTTATTTAACTAATAGGTCAAACTTTATATTCTTTAATGAATTGTATGTTCACATACTTTGCACAATTTTTCATTGAGTTATTTGTCTTTTTCTTATTGATGTATTAGAATCTTTATATACTGAGAATACTAGCCCGTTGTTATATATGGTGTAAATATTTTACCCAGTTTCTTTGTTGGTAACTTAATTTAGGGGATCTTTTCAGTGCAGGAATGTTTTAATTATTATGTATACAAATTATTAGTCTCGTGATTTTTGCCTTTTTAGATCTAAATGTTAGGAAATATTTTTTCTTTTCTTGAGAAATGCATATTACTTTCCTCTTTTTGACTATTAGTTAAGTCTTCATTAACAAGTCTTCATTAAGTCTTCTATGGCATCAACCAGGACAAGATGCCATAGGTAATATAAAAGCGCGGCTAAACATTATTATTCTCAGTATATGTTACAAGATGGGCTACATGCATGCTTATTAAAAATTAAATCTAGTGCTTGTGACATTGTATGGATACTGTTTGAAAGGCTGAACATTCTATTAGTAACACCAACAATTACAGAAATTGCTCGATGAAAGCTTGTCAAAATATTACTTTGTGTTGAAATTGTCTGATCTTTTTCATTATTAGTTAGTTGTATTTGCCTTTTTAGTATCACAACAGAGCCTTTGCGACTTCTTTGAGCAAGTATCATTTGTTGCCTTCTAGATAGTCTAGATCTTACAGTGTATGTGGTTAAGCTCAGCATTGCTATAATGATCTCATTTTTTGTATACTGATAATATGAGAGAGGTCATTCTCTTCTCTCTGTCACTGTGACCTCAAAATATCCTCACAGCCCTCACAACCCAGCCATTCTCTAATGTTATTTCCATCAACTTGCTTCGTAGGAGTTCCATGTTATTCTTTGGATTAAGTTAGAACACCAGAAGATGTGTCAAAGTCAAGTCCTTTTGAAGAAATCATCAAAGAAGAATCTTACTTCTTTCGTGCAGATTCATTTAAGTACAGTTGTCTTAGTGCTTGTTGATGGCATTGTCTTTTCAAGGCCATCATGTAGGGACGTCGTCATGTCATTTTTATCTTTCATGTTTTTATTGGCTTGATGAACAGTATAGTCATCCAAGAGAAATTAATTGTTTTGTCCTTCAGTTAAATCAAATGTTTATTTCACATGCTAGTGTAATTTATTTAGTATCTCTCCATTTCCTCCCAACTATTGAATAATTTCACTTTTAAAAAGGTAAACCACTTTCTTTTAGCCTTTGTTCAAGACACATTTTTTTTTAACTAGGTTAAATATCTGATTTCTAGAGCAAGAAACAGAGAGACCAGATTGAGGTTGGGATGGGTGGGTAGAGGCTCATACATTGTAAAAGGAACAATGTGATTTTTGTTGGCTGTTAATGAAATTTCTGATGTTAGATGCCTTATAATATATTTTGTCTAATTTTAGTTCATTTTAGTTTAATACATGCATATACCATCTATTACCATTTTTTTTCAAATGGTCTAATTGCCAACTTTTCTCAATCATTTCGTCAAAGCTATCACAATTGCCCTCTTGTCAACTACAAGATTAGAATCTATGTTACTATAAATGTCTGTCTTTTCCCTTTTCCCAGTGTCTTACCTTTTTCTAGGCAGCAAAGGTCCAAATTTACGCTAAACTATAGCAACTATAAAGGTCCTTATTGCATGCATATTTCTGATTTTTTCTCTTTTTCATCCCATGATGTGTTTCCTTGCATCCTTTATTAAAAGAAGCAGGGTATAAATTGCCAAATTTTTAAAAAAGGTTATTGTGTCTATTATATATCCCCAAATTAATATCATATTTTCCTCTGCATTTACTTAATTGATCACAGCTTGGCTTATTTTTCCAATAGCAGTGAAAGAATTTACCATGATATAGCCATATTTAATCAATACACACGCAGCCGACTCTTATCTCAGGAATTTGAATAGTTGTCAAGCAGGGGTTTCCAGGCAGTAATTTCTCTCTCCTGAAAACTTTATTAAGTGACACTAGACACAAGAGGCACGAGGTTGGGCACAAATGATATGACATACACAACATGTCTGTTCTAACTGGGCTCGCAGTCTAAAGTGGAAGCCAGACAAAAAGAATTGCAATATAGTGTGACAAGAGCTATGATAGAGGTATACAAAATTAATATGGGATGGAAATGGCAGTGGCGCCCGAGAACAGAGTTAGTAAATGTGCAGAAGTGAGAACATGGAGGTAAAAAGGGACTTGTGCCTAGTTGATTGAGGCTAGTAACACATTGTTTGAGAGGACCAGTCTCTAAAAATTTTGTAGCTCCACCACAAAAGATCTTCCATGCCCAGTGAGGGGCTTTATTCTGAGTGTGATGGTCAACCACTGGAGACTTTTAAGATGAAGTTGGGAGTGCTATTGTTAAACTCCAGGGCTCTTTGACTTGCCCATGGGCATGGAAGGTTTATGCCCAGGTCTGTTCCATTCTACTCTCATGGTCTCCCACACCCCAACCGCTCTCCCTTGGTTGCAAATGAGGAGGAAAGTGCAGAGAGAAAAGTGTTTTAAGTTCCTGTAAATAACTGAGAAGAGCTTGAGTTAGAACACAGTCCTCCTGATTTACAAAATAGGCACCATGCCTATGTCTCTTGCTCAGAATAGGCAGGGTAGGAGGAGCCCAGGAGAGAAGGAAGATTAAAGATGAGCGTGGGAGTAGAATGCTGAAGTGCACAATGAAGGGAGTCTTAGTGCGTAGCAAGAGGCTCCTCCACATACGGCAGCCCTGAGCCAGCAGGTGATGGTGGACCAGGGATGTCCCTAGTGGTCCTCAGAGGTCAGGTCCTTTTAGATTCTGAGCGCAGATACCTTCATTCATGAGGTTTATTATCATTGTTAAGGCACATAGTTTGTCTATAGAACACTGTTCGTTCATTTCCAGCAAATATATTGAGCTCTTAATATGTGCCAGGAACTGTCTTAAGTCCTGAGGATACCAAGGAAGGAACACAGTCTCTTCATTCATGGGGCTCTGATAGAAGAAATGGGCATGAAAACAAGTAAATGATGGCACAATATGGTAAGTGGAGAAACAGGTATGAAAAATGCTTTCTGGGAGCATAGAGGACAGAGAATGTTACTGAGCACTGGAAGGGACTCAAGTAAGACAACTTTCAATTGTAGCTCTGAAAGGTACATGAAAAATTACCAAGGAGGATAGGGAAGATACCTCAAAATAAAGAAACATGCGTAAATGCATAAGTGATTTATAAACAATAAAAAAAGACAATGAGATTTTTACTGGGTCTTAATATCAAGCATAAGAACAGGTATTTTCCTCTCAGCCATGATTGGGTTTTTGGGCAAATGTTATCATAAAAGAGTTTTTTTGTTTGTTTGTTTGTTTGTTTTTTTTGAGACAATGTCTTACTTTGTCACCCAGGCTGGAGTGCAGTAGCACGATCTCAGCTCACTGCAGCCTCGACCTCCCAGGCTTTAGCAATCCTCCAGCCTCAGCCTCCCAAGTAGCTGGGACTACAGGTCTGTGCCACAATGGCTGGCTAATTTTTGTATTTTTTGTAGAGATGGGGTTTTGCTATGTTGCCTAGGCTGGTCTCGAATCCAGGGTTCAAGCGATTCACTTGCCTTGGCCCCCCAA
This sequence comes from Homo sapiens, assembly GCF_000001405.40. Taxonomy (NCBI): domain Eukaryota; kingdom Metazoa; phylum Chordata; class Mammalia; order Primates; family Hominidae; genus Homo; species Homo sapiens. The sequence continues at coordinate 76,758,756 of NC_000008.11, forward strand.
AGTGCTGGGATTAGAAGTGTGAGCCACTGTGCCCAGTCATAAGAGAGTTTTATTATTTTTATGACTCCTGAGCTTGAAAACAGAGTCTAGTGAGAGGTCTGTGGCACCTTCATTGGTTGTTCCCTGTTAAACAACTGTTTTCCCCAGTCTTGAGGCATTCAGGCTTATATGTGAAATACATCTGGGAATGTATTTTGAAAATAAATAGAAAAATCAGTTTTCAGTGATACAATACTGGTATGTGGATTAAATATTTTCCACAAAATAAAATCATTTCCAAAATGACTTCAAGAAAGATTTTCTTTACATACATATTTACATTTTGAAAATAAAATGTCCAATTTTGGTGAAAAATGTAAAACTCACTGCTCAAACCTTAAACCTTAAAAATCATTATCCTTTTTGTTCATTTGATTTTATGCTTCCATAGATGTTATTCCTATATATTTCAGCCAAATTATATATTAGAAAGAAATGTTAAACTAGGTAACACATGATTTTATAAAGTAAAGGTGATAAAAAAAATCTATTCCCCCGTTTGCTATTTTACTTAATTTGCTCTTGGTCTTAATCATTACTCATTTTGGTTACCACTTACCTGGGTAGTTTATTAAGTGTAATTCCTCCCGGGTGGGATAGGCTGACTCTCAGCTTTTCACTCTCTTGGCATCAATAGCATAGTGATCTATGTTGTCATGCTAGTGAGGTCTTGGTGATGAACCATTAAATAAAATGATCTGCCCCCAGGCCAGGGAGTTGGTTGATTGCCAAACAGTAATCCAGTACAATTAACTATCAAAGATTTGAGCACTCCATTATTCTAGGAGATGGAACTGCAGCCATCTGGAAGAGCAGAAATGGTGATTGATCATCTGGCTAAGTTTAGGTTTGGAAATACATTTAAATGATTAGATTTATTATTATAACATTAGATATTTTAACCTTTAGTCATTTGAGTTTTAATTTTTTGAATTTTATTCAATTTCAAGATGGAAATAAAAAATAACTTGTTTAATATTTACCAAGAGTAGAAATGTTTAATTTGTGATTTATACATCATATCCTTGGTGGAATGAAGTGGGATGTAAATAAATAAAATAAATACTCTCCATGAGAGGGTTTGAAAATATCATACAGTATTAAGACAGGTAAATGATCTAAGTGATCAACTCTTTATTTTTTAAGACATGTTGCTTTAAGCTTATGTTGTTATTTTTAGTTACAGAAACCATAGATATGGTCATTCAGTGCCTTTAAAATATTATTTTGGCAATTTAAGCAATCACCCAGTCCACTAATAAGAATCTAAAGATCCCATAATTTTTTTAGGCTGTGTTCAAGAATACACATGAAGTTCATTAGATAAGAAAAAATTACATTCTCATGGTGATTATTTTTTATTATTTCTCCTAAGACCTTTTCTTGTTTTCCTTTGATTTCTAAGGATGTACCTACCATTCCACACAATAAATAGGTACATATACTTGGAGGTCAGTATCTTGGCATCCCACCATCTCACTCCATGAAACAATATGGCATGTGGATTGCGGCCTTTGAGCAGACACAAATTGTTTTATTCATTCCTTTATTAATATGTCTTTACTATTGAGCATCTACAATGTGCTAAGGACAAGTTTGGCACTGAAGATACAGGGTCGAACAGACAGACTTACTTGCTTTCATGGAGGTACAGTTTGAGAGTAGAGACAAATACTTAAAATCACAAAATCACATACAGTATCTGATTAAAATTATGATACGTCCTGTGAAAGAGGCATGCATTATGGAGCTGTGAAGGTGTGTAATGGAAGAGTTTAATCTCCTACTCTGAGGAGATAGGGAAAGCTTTTCTGACTCACAAGAAGTGTGGGGAGTGAAAAGTTAGTCTGAGGCCAGGTGGGGTGGCTCACACCTGTAATCCCAGTACTATGGGAGGCCAGGGCCAGAGGATCACATGAGTCCAGGAGTTCCAGACCAGCCTGGGCAACATAAGGAGATCTCTTCTCTACAAAAAAATTAAAAAATTAGCTGGGCATAGTGGCACATGCCTTCATCCCAGCTACTTGGGAAGCTGAAGTGGGAGAGTCTGCTCGAGCCAAAGCGATTGAGGCTGCAGTGAGCAGTGATCAGGCGGCTGCACTCCAGCCTGGGCAACAGGGCAAGACCCTGCCTCAAAAAAAAAAAAAAAAAAAAAAGAGAAAAAAAAGTTAGCCTGGCTCTCTATTGAGAGCCAGTTAGTTACTAAACACATTTCTTAGGTGGGGTTCACGTCCACCAGACAGCTATAATGTGTGAGAGTCCATCACAAGGGAAAAGTGTCCTGTATCCCAATTTCAGTTAACCCATTCTGCATTCAAATTAAGTGATTAAACTTGTTTATATTCATTAGACCTATAACCAAACACTGTTTTATACATAAAGTATTTTTTAACACAGTTTTGATATATGCTAAAATTTTCAGGAATGCAACTATCAGGTACATCAAGAGAAGATGCTGTTTTTGTTTGGTAGTTTAGTAAGAGTTAATTACCACTTTGAAAAATTATATCACCAATAGGTAGCCTCCTCATGAAATGTGAGTTGCCCATGCAATACACTTGAAACTGTGTTTATTTATCCTTGTAAATTCATGGCAATGCTACATGTGGGTGCAAGCTTATGGCTGCTTCATTACATGTAGTGGCCATGCCTCAGCTTTTCCAAAGTGAAATAAACTTATATATTATATTTTACATTTCTTTTCTTTTACTTCTCCTTTATTACAGTTAGGTTATTATATTGATTTATATACATTCTATGTGTAAATAGATAATGTTATATATTATTTTACTTCAGTATAGTAAGGGAGGAATGTAAAAAGAGATCCTTGGACCTCATAGAGATGAAAACCATTTGTTAAACAATACATGTGTTTTAAAATAGAAGGAAAAGTATTTAATAGTCAAGCTGAAAAATTATTTGATTTTCTAATCTTGGGATGTTTTACAGAGAAGACCTCTTGATTTTCAAAATAAATGAGGTTTAGAAGCAAATGTCTCCACTTTGACTGCTTTCTGGCCTGATGTTTAGGGCAATCTCTTTGCCTCTGTACATAGAGAAATGCAGAAGGAAGCATGTTACAATAGGATCACTTGAGAATACTTGCATTGGGTTGTCTTGTTTGGGCTGCTTAGTACTACTATCACTGGGTTGAATACTCTAAAAATTGAAAGGTCATTTGGAGAAAAATTACTAACAAATAAAATCAAGATTTTTAGAATGCTTTCTTGGAGTGGGTCTACTCCTCTGGAGGACAGCCAGTAGTTCAATGAAAACAGATTGAGTTGCTTTACAAGAGAGTGTTTTGTTCTAATAGATACCATCATGAATGAGTAAGACACCATCCCCACTAGTGCTACAAAGAAAGTATGACTAGTTTCTGGTCCAGGACACCCAATTATATTCTAGGGATTTATAGATATAGCCTCTTGGAGATTATAGGAAGTATGAAGTCAGGAGAAAAGAAAAAGGTATAGAGTACAGTAATTATTTCTCTATTAGGCATAAGAACTTCTAGCAACAACATAAATAGTGAAGAATACATGTAATAGTACAGGAAGTCAGATTTATAAAAAGAAGTTAATATCTCCCTGACATTCATATTGACTTTTAGTGAAAATCAAATGAGATAGTATGTGAACAATATTTTGTAAGTTCTAAGTTTAAAGTGATTGTTTTCTGCAATATTTAAAAATGTATAATACTAGAATTAGGATATGCTAGTAGGAATTCATCATGTGAAAGCCAGGAAATCTGAAATATGCCATAAAAGCAAATGAATATGTTTTCCTAAAGTGTGCTACCCCAAATTTTTTAAAATTACCAATTATTACACTACTCGTCACAGTTCAAATAAATATACACAGAGCTAATTTATGTTTACAACTCCTGAGTTCATCTTTGTGTTATCTTTTCCTAGAGAAAAGATACAGTCAATCTTATAGATGCCAATCTGTAGTCATCTTTTATACTATGCCTAAAACATATTGTAATCATCGTATTGACTCTCTCAATAGGTAACAGTTTTAGGTCTTCCAGTTCTCCAATAGAATTAAAGCAATTGCCACTTGCCAAATAAGGTCTTGATAATAATGAACATAAAGAGGAAGATACTTGAGAAGCAAAGAGATATTATTCTTTCTCTAGAAATACCAACACACTAAGATCTGTCCTTGACACTTTACTGCTTTGAGGTGCTGGATCGAAGAGTTTCTCAGGATTCCCCTTTCAATATCTTTGTCATCTTTATTAAATCTCATTCTTCTCATTTTTATCCCCTCACGGCATCCAGATGTTGAGGAAGAGACACCATTGTCATTGTTTTCTCTTTCTTCTATGCCACCGTCCCATAACAGGGCCTCAGCTTTGCTACTTTTAATATAGCCATCCAGTTGTCACTCCACTCTATTCTCATCCTGCCGTACTTGGGCTGTTCCCGTCTGATAGCTCCAGGTTTCCAAAGCCTGAGACTCTTCAGCGATAAGGACCTTAGATGAAAAAGCAGGATGTGTTTAGAATCATTAGCAGTGGAAGGATAAGATTAAGAAAGTGATTACAGTGGCTCATGCCTGTAATCCCAGCACTTTGGGAGGCTGAGGTGAGTAGATCACTTGAGCCTAGGAGTTGGAGATCAGGCTGGGCAATGTGGTAAAACCCTGTCTCTACAAAAAATACAAAAATTAGCTGGGCATGATGGCATGGACCTGTGGTCCCAGCTACTCAGGTGGCTGAGGTGGGAGGATCACTTGAGACAAGGAAGTTGAGGCTGCAGTGAGCCGTGATGGCCCCACTGCACTCCAGCCTGGGTGACAGAGTGAGACCCTGTCTCCAAAACAAACAAACAAACAGAAAAACAAGTGATGTATTATTATATATGATAATGGTTGTAAATAAGCCTTTTTCTAGGGAAAATCATAAATATTACAGTTGATTGTTGAGGAAAAAAGTAAAAAGAAAAAATGTGCTATAGGCGTAGGAAATATTAACTAGAAAAACATATAAGCTGCTTAAAATGTATATCCAATTACAGCTGATACTAGTAATAATAATGCATGTTGTAGATTCTCTAGTTTAAAAGTTACCATAAGTGCAATCCACCATTTAAAGATATACATCATTGGATATGGATCACATTAATTCTGATGTTTTTATTACAGCAGCTAAACTTTATATTCATATGTTCATAATCTTTATCATTTATTTTTCTCATCACATGGTTTGGTCTCAACAACATCAACAAAATGGAGGGAATATTGGAGCATTTAGACTGCAACAGGGGTCCTCTCTTAGCATTGGTCATCTCCTATATAAAAAGAATTTGGGATTACATATCTTCAAAAGACTATACAAAGAACTATGAAAATAATACAAACTTGATTTAAATACTGTAAGCAGTTTCTCAAAGGAAATTGCCAATACAATTGAGATTAATTTGTCTGGAGAGATGACTAATTGAGATTACTTTGTCTGGAGAGGTAAATAATAAACCATAAAAATTATACCTTAAGATACTACTTAAGTTACTTAGTAACTTTTTTCAAGAATCTGAGAGATTTGTTTGTTTGTGTTTATTTATGCTAGTCAGTTCTCTAGTTTCACGGACCAGCTGAGTTTACAGAGAAATTATAGAGAGATCATTTTCACCTTGAGATCTCAACTGTAACTGGATGATTAAACATTGGTACATGCTTACCAAGGAAAGCCATGAAATCTCCATCCTTGTGGGTTATTGAAAACAATGGTCTTGATAGATTTAAGCAAAGCATTGATCTAATTAGAATCTTGAGTATAAAAGAGATGTTATTTTCAGATTTATTTTATTACTCATTTCTATTCAAATATGGAGACAAGGATCACTTCAAAAGGACCAGTACATTTCAAAAGTGTCCAATTCCGTACATTTTCACTCCAGCTGGTTTTCTGTAAATTTGCTCCGACCTCTGACTGTTAGTTTCACGTTGCCATTCTTTGTTTAACTTCATATTACTATTGTGTAACTTTTGCGGTTATATTATTAAAGCAAAAGTCATTTCTTCCATGCTGTAGGTTAAGCAGTGCCTCCCTATTGTTCCAACTTTCTGGGATTCTTCACAGTAGGTTCCAGACCTAGGTTAATTAACAACTCTGTTAACACCTCCTTGAGCTCAAGTGGTTCAAATACAACCTGCTGAGACATTATTTCTTAAAAGGTGAGGACTAATGACCCAACTTTCAGGCACCATCTCAGAGGCCAGTTTTCAATCTCGTAAAAATTTTAAGTCAAGGAAGCTCAACATAGAAAGTCATGAGCTGTCATAAAATACCATTCCGGATATAGTTGTTTGGAACTGCCTGGGCACTTGGTAACCTAAAATACAAGTTAATAGTAATTCCACCTCATTTAGTTGTGTTAAAGGTGCTTGAGAATTATGCTTAATAGACCATAAAAATTATACCTTGAGACACTACTTAAATGCAATAATAAATCCTTGTGCAAAGTTCTACCAGAAAGCACGATTTTAAAAAATCATCGTAAATGTTAACTATACCTATTTTTCTTTATGAAAAGTATGAAGACTATTGATTATATAAAATTTTAGATATGCTGAAATTCTTAGAATGAATTAATTACAGAGGCTATAGCTTGGTTTATGCCTCTTTTTTTCTGGTAAATATTAAATGTAGCTTTACTCAAATATTAATGTTATACATGTAGGTTAATATATATTGAATGAAATAAATTTATTTCCCCAATAAATGGCCTTAGGATATAATCCCAGCAGAAATCACTTCTAAGTGGTATGGAACCAAAATTGGGTGGCAGTTTGAAATATAACAATGATGTCACTGTTCCTATATTATGACTCCATTTTCATTAGGTTAAAGGAATTAAAACGTCAGAAAATAAACTGTCACAAAAAGGGGAACAGAACAGATTATTTCCTGTCTATTGCATTGCCAGGCACAGTACCGTTAGGTATGGCACACTTGTTAATATTATTTTATTTAACCTTCAAAACAACCCCATGAGGCAGTTACTACAAGTCTTAATAAAAAAGAAAAGATGATGAAATTGAGGCCCAGCAGTTAGATGTTTCATTCAAGACCATACTGCCATTAATTAAGGAAGAAGCATCCAAAACTTAGTCTATCCCACTTCAAAAATCCATGCTTTCATCTTCATCACAGGAGATGTATGATATGACCATACTTAAAGACAGAGCTAAGAGAAACCAGGAAAACCTTTCTAATGTATCTAATATCCTTCGGTGATAGAAGGAATGGCTACAACATAAGGAGTGTTAAGTATTATACATAAATAGGGGAACTTTGAAAAATGATTATACATAATAATAGTACCACCACATTTTTAAGAAATCTTGTTGAACAAGTGCTTGAAAAAAAAGATAAAAAATTGATCATTTAGGCCAACTGATGTCAAAAATTTTATATAGGTAATTGGGCTTTCTGTTGCAAAATATGCTCTAATGTCTTAATGTCTCTCTCTAGCAAATAGGGTTTTCTTCCATTTTAATATGATTTGCTGGTAGGTGGTTGCTGAGAGCCTAATCAAACCAACACATTTGTGTGGCCATTAAGAACTATTCAAAAGTAACTGCAATTTTGATATTTAAAACGATCTGTTCCATGACACAAAAGCATGGTTTTAATTTTTATCTCACATGTAACTTAAATATATGAATATTATTTCTTTAAAAAATATCCAATTTCAGTTATTGCCTGAAAAGCAAAAACACTATTATTTTTGTGGCCTTGGGCTGCATGGGCTGTGGGTAGTATTGAATGCCTATATTATTGGTTAATAACAAATATCTCATGAGATTTGCAGACCTTACAAGCATCTATAGGTTTAAAATAATAATAGAAAATTTAATTTATTTTTCCTTTTTACATAGAGTGGAGGCTAGCAGGTAAAATAATACACAGGAGAATATTTTGAGAGCAATTAATTTAAATATTGATTTATATAATATTATAATTTTTAAAAGTACTTTTTGAATGTACAAATGGTATTGTTATTACTTTTCAATTACTATTTAAATAATTTATTATCTCAAGAAAATGGAACCTGTGCTTTTTCAAGAGACAGTCTGCAACATTCTATTAGCCAGCACAGTTTTTGGCCAATGTCAGTTGTTTAATTAATGTAGTTTTTTTCCCTAACACTCAGTTACTCAATCAAAACCTGAGGAAACACAGCCTCTTAAGAGAATCAGAATTTGTTTCTTCCTTTGTCTGTCTCATAAAGGGGTGTGTGTGTGTGTGTGTGTGTGTGTGTGTATGTGTGCATGTGTGTATGTGAGACAACGTGACACTGCGTGACATGAACATACAAATTAGAATGGCCTAAGCTTGCATTCCAGCTTTATTACTAAATAAGTGGCAGAAATGTGTTAATTTTACAGAGACTCAGTTTTCTTAACAGTAAAATAGAGATTGAGATAGGTGGTATAAAAGCGCTTTAAACCACCTTGCATTTATTCAATGAGATTTGGTTTCACTCCTTCCATTTTCTTGCTTCTTGTGTTAATGATGTGTAAACATTGCTGGGTTGGGACAGATTATTTAGGTGAGCTCTTTTGTTTTGCTCAGTTTTGCCCTAATAAATCGGAGACACAGCTTGGGAACTCCTGGTAGGTCTTTTTCTCCCACCTCTTCTGTGTTCTTGTTATCCCAGCACATGTTAAAATTGCTGTATGTGGGTATTGAAGTCATCTTAGAGACCTACCACACATATATTGAAGATAGGAAGGGAACCAAAAGTTATTAGATACCTGCACGTAGCAGTTTATATTATACTGCTTCACTTAATCTGATAAAAAATATATGACAGGTTGTATTAACCACATTTTAAAAAAGAAATTAAGCCTTCAAAGAATTAAGTAACTTCCAAAAGTCAAGTATCTGGTGAAGGGTAGAGGAAAAGTTAAACTTTGGGCTCTCAACAAAACTTTGTTCCTCCTAAATATAGTATGTTTCCTGTCATTAAAGGAGAACTGCTTTTCTAAATGTAAGCACATGGGTGGTTATTGAACATGTTCTCTGGATATGGGATTTTTATGAAGATGGGTTTGACATTGGTCCTGTATTGGACCCATTATTGGAATAAATAATGCATGTGTATAAATAACTGTAACACAAAAATAGAATATGTTAATCAGCATAAAGGGATTCAGATAAGGTATTTTTTGTTTGTTTTAAAGGAGGACAAGGATACCTCTGGTTGTAACAATTGAGGAGTCTTTTTGTTGAGGTGACATTTGGATTGGGCTTTAAAATGGGTAAAATTGGGGTATGTACACATAAAACATTGACAAGGGTAGAAAGAGGGAAGATTGTGAACGAAGGCATGTAAATAATGGAGTAAGTTATAGACATTTAAAAAATGGTGAGTGATTCAGTTTTTCTGGCACATAGAGAGCAAACAATGAAATGATCAAGAAAGGAATGTGAGATTTTAAATAACCTGTAAAGGGTTTGGGAAATTCTTGGTAGGCATTGGGGTACCACTGATGGATTTTAATTGCAGGAGTGGCATAATATGATTAGGAATGCCATTAATGGTAATAAATGTAATAATGCAGGTCATGATGCCAAGTGCTCACTTTGTGATTATACTCAAGCTGGCCATTGAGGAGATGGAGGTAGTAGTTCCAGGAAGAAGTAAATAGGAGATAGTGAAAGTAGGGGGAAAGAGAAAGATGAGGGCAACATTAGAATAAGCAAACACTTAACAACTAATTAGATGCCTGGAGCAGGGAAGAGAAATAAATCTGAGGGGGCACCCATGTGTCTGTCTTGTATCATCAACAGTAATGTGAAGGCACAGAGGAGCAGATGCAGGACTAAAAGGACGGATGATGAACTCATTATAGACTTGGAGGTTTGAAGAAAAGAAGGAGGCCCCAGAAGGAGATAATTTGGGGTTGTTAGACATGCAGTATAGGTTTGGAGAGAAAGGTCATTGTTAGGAATCTTAATTTATGAGTGATCTGCATCCAGGATATTAACTAAACAAAGAGAGAAAATGAAATAATAGAAGGGGGCTTGATATCAAAAGATGAGGCGAGCACAAGTGAAACCCCTATTTTATGTATCAAGATAAGAAAAAGAGATGGCAAACAAAACAGAAGCAACTACAAAGATAAGAAAGTTGAGCTAGGTGTGGTGGTGCATGCTTGTAGTCCCAGCTACTTGGGAGGCTGAGGCAGGAGGATTGCTTGAGCCCAGGAGTTCAAGACTGCAGTGAGCTATGATTGTGCCACTGCACTCCAGCCTGGGAAACAGAGTAAGACCCTGTCTCAATAAAATAAAATAAAGTAGAGGGCTTTTTACTGAAGCTAAAAGAAGGGATTTCAAGAAAGTAGGAGTCAGCAATGTCAAATATTGCAGGGGGACTCTGACAAATGGATGACATGAATGATCTTTCCATATGTGAGAAACAAATCTATTTTCAGGTTCGTGACATCATCTCAGTGTGCTTTGCATATTTTTTTCTATTACTTTAGAATTTGATAAGTTTTAAATTGTTTTCTCTTTCTTTCTTTTCTTTCTTTCTTTCTTCTTTTTTTTTAAGACAGGGTCTTGCTCTGTTGCCCAGGCTGGAGTGCAGTGCCCTGATCACCATTCACTATGGCCTTGACCTCCCAGGCTTAAGCGATCCTCCTACTTCAGCCTCACCAGTAGCTAGGACTACAGGCAATGAGTCACTATGCCTGGCTAATTTTTGTATTTTTTGTAGATACAGGAGTTTGCCATATTAGCCCAGGCTGGTCTTGAATTCCTGGGCTCAAGCCATCTGCCTGCCTCAGCCTCCCAAAGTGCTAGGATCATAGGCGTGAGCCATGTCACACAGCCTAGAATTTGATAAGTTTTCTATTGGGACAATTTCACTTGGCTCTATTTGTGGAGTCAAAGGGTCACTTGATTTCATTCACTTTGCAAATTATGATGTGTATCAGTGTCTACTGACGATAAGTGCATAGAGCAAAGATCTCAAAAATTAATATTTAAATAAAAAAACTGAATATTTTACATAAATTACATTTTTTCCTGCCATATTATTTGGTATTCTATGACTACTACTGTTTGTTCAAAGTACTTCTTAGCAGGATACTCATTTGTGGAATGAAAACTAGGGTCAGAAACTGTGGGAGCTGCTGCCTCCTGCTACTGTCTCCTGCTACTGTCTCAGCTCTGTGAGTTGGTGCCTGGCTTCCGCAAAACTGAGTCTGGAGAGGCAAAATAAAGACCAGGATTCCACCAGGCAAATGGGAATTTCTAGCTTTTTGTAACTCTTTTCAAAGTTTTTCTGGACCTGAGGTGACACAGGTTCTGTTAAAAATATCATTGTTATAACACAAATAAATCTTGCTATAAGTGATAACAAATTCTATCTAGACATCCCACAGGCATCTCAAATTCAGTATGTCTAAAGCATATAGCACATCCTTTTCCCCCAACGTGTCCTTTATATTGCATCTCCCATCTCTGTCAATGGTAGCATCCTTCATTTGCTTGCTAAAGCTAGAAATCAGAGTTATTTTTAATCTTCTTCCTATTGCTCTCCACTATATTCAATCAATTAGGCAAGAAATTCTATCAAATATGATGTCCTGATTAACTCTTCATGCTGTTGAGTACTTCTGATCTATTGCCTGCCAGTAGTTGTACCTCTTCACTATTATTCTTCCTAACCACATTTATTGAGCATATAGCTATATGCTGGACATTATTTAGGAATTGGAGATAAAATAATGAACAATAAAGAATCAGTCCATGCACTCAGGAAGCCTCCAGTCTGGGAGAGAATGCAATCACCTATCAATTAATTGTGCTAATATTTGATTAGTGATGGGATAAGCATTCCAAAGAAAACACACAAAGTACAACAAGGAAAAAAATGTCATATTTCTAAAGAAAAAGGAAAGACTCCTAAGTGGAAAAACTTTGATTTTGAGGAGAAATAGGAGTAAGACAGGTGAAGGGGGGAAGGTAAATTGTCAAGGCTGAGGGAATTCTGGAAGCTGTATACTCAGAATGAACCTTACACTTGGAAGATCTAAAATCAGGATAGTTGGAGTAAAGACAGCAAGTGAGGAAGATGAATGAACTAAAGTTAGAATTGGGTTGAAGCCATCATCATGCAGGGCCCTTAGGTATAAGGATTCCATTCTTAAACTTCAAAATGGAAATATTTTGAAAGTGAAGGGGTGATGGTTGTTAAACTGGAAGTGTGCTGGAAAAGCCTAGCCATATGGTCATTCTATTTAGAGTCATGTTAAGAATTTTAGGGTTTGTTCTAAGAGAAAAGGAATGCTATTGAAGAGTGTTAAGTAGAGATGTGCCTTTATCAGGTTGGCATACTCAAATAGCATCTTTCTCCACCACATCTGCTTTCCCTTTCTAATTTTACCTGCTTCATTTCTCTTCACAGCCCTTATACTACCTGAAATTATGTACTTATTTATTTGAGTGTTATATTTCTTCCCTTCATGGATTTAGGCTGTGAAGGCAGAGACTTTGTTATATTCACTGCTGCAATTCCAGCACCTAGAACAGTGCACAACATATAGCAGATGCTCTCTGAATTGTTAAATTCATGAATCAGTTTTCTTCTCTTTTTTTTCTGTTTTTGCTTTTTTGTTTTGTTTTGTTTTGAAGAGATAAGATCTTACTCTGTTGCCCAGGCTAGAGTGCAGTGGCATAGTCATAGCTTACTGCAGCCTCCAACTCTTGGACTCAAGCCATTCTCCTGTCTCAGACTCCCGAGTAGTTGGGACTACAGGCGCCTGCCACCATGCCTGGCTAATTTATTTAATTTTTTGAAGAGATGGGTTCTCACTTTCTTGTCCAGGCTGGACTCAAACTCCTGATTTCAAGGTCCCAAAATACTGGGATTCAGGCGTGAGCCACTGTACCCAAACAGATTGCTTTTCAAGACACTGTGGTTATTGTCCGAATTGATTAGAATGAATGAGAGCTTGTGGCAAGAGATGGTGGCAAAATGTAGAGATGTTGATAGATTGGGAAATAATCAGAAGGCATATTTAGGACTTTGCGATAATTTAGATGTAGATAGTAGGGAAGAGAAAGCATCAAAGATGACTTCCAAATTTCTGGAATGAGCCTCTGGGTGAATCTGAGGTGCCACTACCTGAAAGACCTGAGGAAGGAATATGGTATAATGGTTAGAAGCATAGGGGTTTGCCTGACTTCATCTTTCACTGACACTGTGACCTTGGGCAAGCTGCTAATTTCTGTGTGTCTCTGTTTCCTTATCCCTAAAATGGAAGGTAAGATTAGTATCTCCTTTGTCGGCCATATTGTGGAGATTTAATAAAAGAACGTTATGGAAGGCATTTAGAACAGTGCCTAGTACGTAAAAAGCACTCAGTAAAAGTTAATTACTGTGGGAAAGCGTGGAGGATGAGTAAAAAGGGAGGGAAATCAGTTGTGTTTTTTATTTGTTGAATTTTGGTTGCCTTGAGAGATTTCTGAGTGGATATGCTAAGATAGCTTTTATAGTAGATGAACTCAGATCTCAGAAAGGAAACCTGGGTAAGTAATAGAAATTTGAGAGTTGTCTATTTATGAATACTTGACCTCGTTAATGGTAGTTAGAACTAAATTCTGGTGGACACAAACATAATTAATAGTGGGTAAGGAAGACTGAGTAAGAGGGTTAAGAGAGTTATGGCTAAAGCCAGGGACTAAGAGGAGGGACATAGGTGAGCTGTATTTATGACTCCCAGGAGTCATATTTTGACTGTATTTTGACTCCCAGGAAGGCAAGGGCCATACTACCAGACTACTCTTCAATCTAGGCAGCACGACATGGCCAGAGTGGTGTTTCTGAACTAGGAAGGTTAATCTTATCTCAGCCCCACCTAACATATTTTGGTGACTTCCCACATCATTCTGTTTCGAGTTCAATATTAGCCTGCTATTCAATGTACTTCATCCTCTCCAGCCTTTTCCTTTAGTGCATTAGACACTGTGCACTGCTCTTGCCACACTTGCTCTTGCCTGTAGATGATATACTTGCTATTCCATCTGCCTTGACTGCCGCTCTACCTGTTGTCCATGACAAAAACCTGCCAAACCAAGTTCTAGTTTACTTCTTTGGGAAAGTGGTACCCAGAGGTGCCTTTTCTCTATCCCATGAAATCTATTTCACTACAGGAAAAACCTCGTTGTATGAGGTTATATTTGTTTATTTTGTTTCCTAACTTATTTCTTTAGGCCACGAGCACCCTGAGAGAAGGCTTTGCGTCATCTGGATCTTCAATGTCTTGCCCAATACTTGCCATAGTGTGCACACTAATTGTTTGTGAAATCGAGGAAGGATTTAAGAAAAAGCAGTGGATCCTGCTACCTTCTCAAACTCCATATGACTATTTCTTATTCATTCAGATGATCTAGAAAAAATTTAATATAGAAGGACCCAGGTTCAGAACATACTATATTCAGACTATAGTCAGATATATTCATAATACATTCAGATAAATGGAGATGAGCAGAATTGATCCATAGAGTTATTGGAGGATTTAAAATGTTGCAGAATCATTGTATACATCTTTAAATAATATCTTTTTAATATAATCTTCATTACCAAGTTTGTTCAGTGTTAAGTTTAAGATTCAGATATCATGTATATATTTGTTCAAGTTGATTTAATTTTTAAGTGCTTATTTTATTCTAGCGCTTTGACAGGTGGTTTGGAAGTGAAAAACAGAGTCCCCATCCTCCTGATATCTGTTTGGGTGATACAAAAGACGTGTAAACAAGATAAACCACAAAGATAGTAGAATGGGCCCTTCAAATTCCCTAATTGTTAAATCCTGGAAGATGGATTTCACTTTAATATTTGCTTTTTAAATGATCTATGTAAAGATATGACTTCACTACTCTAGAAAACTTGGACTTTCTTAAATCAATTGAGTAGTTACATTTGATTATCTAATTTATTTCATCTATGCTTTTATATTTATATCTTTTACTGTGGATTAGAAATGGCATTGAGAACTTTTATTGAGGACCAGAGTAAAATTGTATGCCCTCTTTCTCAGAATGCATCATTTTAAGTTTAATAAGCAGAATAGTATAATGACAAAAAATGATGTTTTTACCTGTGAGAAGACACGACAGAATCAGCTATTCTGTGAAACTAAGAATTCTGTCCTCCTTTCCAAAGTGGCCCACTTTTGGACCAGACTGAATAAAAGCACTGGTTGTTTTAGCTTTCCCTGGAGCAGACTCTAGTCCAAATTCTGGACCCCCATCCAAGTTCTGGACTCCAAATCCTGTAAGTTGCTCATCAGAGAATCATCAGATAATGATGAGGCATTATCATTATAATGTTGAGTGCCCCTTGTGGCATTCAGGGCTTTGTCTGAAGTGGCATTTATTTGGTGGTAAGACGTTTGTGATTGTTACTCATGGCAGTTGTCTATGAGATTACTAGAAAAAAAATTGAAGTGATATCATATGCTCATCAGGAAGAAATGAGTGTGGTAATTGGCTTTGCCCAGGTTTGTGAATCTTTTTCCATCCATTTCATTCAGATTTAAAAATAGACGTTCTTAAATTCAAAGACTCATT
Source organism: Homo sapiens (assembly GCF_000001405.40). NCBI lineage: Eukaryota > Metazoa > Chordata > Mammalia > Primates > Hominidae > Homo > Homo sapiens. The sequence goes on from NC_000008.11 coordinate 76,774,398, forward strand.
CTGGCCATACTGGTAGATAGAAATACATCTGTATTGATTCAGGTTTACTCTAATTTAGATGTTTTCTGATTTTTGAGACAATTATTCAACTTCATTCTTGCTTATAAATCTTAACTAAGTTGTTTTGCTTTTGTTATTTTTCCATGAAATGGAAAAATGAGAAATGATGTAAAAACCTAAAGGAGATATACAAAATATCTACCAAAAAGGAGATACTTCAAAGCAAATTATCTAAACATAGTATATTTTCTCATAAAAATTAGAATTGAAATTTATGATTTTTAAAAAAGAATATAATTTTCCTGACTTTACATACATAATTAAATATGTATAACACATATTCAGGTCTGTACAGTATTTTAGAAATTTGAAAAATTTAATAAGATATTGATTTTTAAAGATTTTTAGTGCTTAATATACTTGGTCCAAATAGCAATGACTTTATTTTAGGGATAGATGAAACATTAACAAATTACCTAAAACTTTTGCGTTTTTACACCTTTCATTTTTACTTCTACAAAATATCAGTAATAGTGGCAGCTAATTTTATCTGGAAACAATAAGAATATTTGCCTGACTTGGGAGATATTAGGCATAAATTGAATGTTTCCAGCTAAAATTATATGTCATTGGGTAAAGTAAATAATTTAAAAATTGATTAGTATTTCATAAAAGGCAAGGTCACAGGCTGTGAAAATATGAAAAAGTATGTTGAATAGATAATGATGAGAAAAATGTGAAGACAGTTATATTTAAATGCAAAGATCCATGGAAGAAATCAGCTGCTTGATAACTTACTAGAAGAATGTATTATTGCCACTGTACTCCAAACCACTAATGAGAAATGTTTTTTAAGATTTAAGATTGTATAAATGCTTTGTACCTAGAACTGATGGAAGTAATTGGTAAACTACTTAATCAAGTCCCACTTGGAAGTGAAAGGGAATGAGAGGATAGAAAATGTACGCTGGGTAAGAAACCCAACAAGTCAGTGGAGTTCTCTTTACAGAAAGAAACAAAGATAGCAGTAATTAATGACCCTGACTCTGTGCCAAAAAAGCTTTCTTCTGACAACTCCAACTTAATTAAAACTTAAGACATTTCAATGGCCTCCGAAAGCCCCTGATGGGGTGAACTCTTGCAGACTCGTGAGAAAATTTTGTAAATTAAAGGAAAAGATGTGTGTTACCACTAGTGCCATGGCTCTAATCCCTGACAGTCAAAGAATCTATTTAGCCCAAGCCTTTTCTTTTAACCGGCTCACACCTGCAGGCTTCCTGGCACTTCCTCTGCACCAGAGAAGGCAGTTTTTGTGTTTTACGGAAGATCAGATAATAGGAGCCTTGCTGTTCCTTTTGTTTTTGTGCATTGTTCATTAGCCTGTGAGTGTTGCAGGCACACTTGATATGCTTGGCTTGCTCCAGAGTAGAGCATGGCCTGAAAGCTTTAGGTGGTGCAACACAGGGTGAAGATGGGTTGGTGGAAAAAGTAAGTTTTCTTTTTTTTTTTTTTTTTAATGTGAAAGTGGCTCAAATTAAAACTCACAGTTGATGGGGCAGTCTGAATGGCTGTGGCCTGCTGTTCTTAACACAGCGGAGTGACAAGAAACGAGGTTCTGTTCTAGACAGTGCAGATTTGAGACAGAAGGAAATGTGTTGTTAAATAGCCCTTGCTCCTTTTATTGGTACCATTTTTAATTCACTTGAATCAACAAGCATAAGGATTCCCAGTAGGTGTGGAAAGGAGGCATACTGTGCGTGCTATAAAGAAAATCGGGTGGTGATCTATTTATTAATAAATATATCGAAGACTGAAATCTTAGAAATGACATTGGTTGAATACCAATTGGGGTGAATGGTTACACGATTTACATGAGAAAAAAAAAGGGAGTTTAATTTCTCCTCCCTCCCCTCTGGAAAGTGTTTTGGTGTGTTATAATAGCAAATACCACCCCCACCATCCCACAAGGCACTCTCTCTCACACACACTCAGGCGTCCTGTGGCCTCAGGCAAATCTGGTCGCTGGGACTAGAGAAGGTCAATTCCTGGCTTGTCTCTTCCCTTTTGGACCCGACTTGAGACTGGTGTGTTTGAAAGGCACAGAAATGTTCCTGTTTAGATCCAGGCTTGGGTATCTTTTTAAGTGTCCATACTAAGGAAAGAAAAGCTTACCTTCAGGTACTCAAGATTCTCATCTTTTGAATCTTTCAGGTCTTTGTTTGCTGAGGTTAAGTATGCAGAATTTATTCAGAATTTGTTTTTGCAGGTGAAGAGCCATAACTTACATGAGCTACGCTGCACTTCTATTTCTGGGAATGGGAATGATCAGAAACGTAACCTTTTACAAAAATTTTGAGAATGACGCTTTAGAACAAAACATCACTTCATTTGATTTTTTAAAAAATACTAAAAGTGTCCATGAGCGTTAACCAAATATAATATATGGGTCCTGTCTTTTGGTGTTTGGAAAGGCTCACCAGCTAGTTATTCTTTTCTTACTAACCATTTTCAGATGCTAAAAGCCAGGGAGGTGGGGGAGGGAAGGTAGAAATCAACATGTTTGATCCTGTATATAAAGGTTTTCTTTTTGTTTGTTTGAATTTCAGAATGCTAACCCTTATTCAACTAATCTAAGAACAAATAAATACCACCTGTGCCCATTTGTGTATTTTTTAAAAGAAGCACATAAAAATATTTTAATGAATTACTAAAACTCACATAGTTTATATTGAATCACAGTTATTAATATTCTTCCTCTTTGTTGCTATTCTTATTTTGGGAATTTTCTTGTTTGTATGGAATTGAACTACCCCAATTAAAATGGGGGAAAAGTTTTTTTAAAAATAAACTACTGTAACAGAATATGTTTGGGAGTTGTAAAAGTTTTTCCATTGAAAAAATCAGAATTTAAGAGGATCCTGTTACATGCTGTGGGCAGAAATCAGAGTCAGCAGAGCTTGCGAAACAGATTTTTTTTTAGCAAAAATTTGTTGTGGGTCACTGTGAATGGTAAAAAAGAAAAAGCTTCACATCATAGTGTCTGTTTTGAATTAGATTAAACTTCAAATTAAGTTACTTAACTTTTTAGTGTATCTAACATATAATTAAGAGAAACATTTTTGTTTATAGAAAATGTAAGTTTATTCCATGCATGCAGATTTATGGAAAATTTAAATAAACATTTATGTTTGAGTCAGTATTTGTAACAAAGTAACCTCTATCACGGAGGGCTCAGCTGAAATAGTCCCAGATTGTTTTTGCTTTGAGTTTGTGCTACACTAAAATATTAATTAAACCTGAGACCATTCTCATCTAGAAAATACCAAATGCCATGCAATTTGTGGATTTCAGCTTATGGTTAAAGTTTTCATCTTAACTATGTTTAGCATTTAAACATCAAGAAGTACCTCATTCATGTCAACCTAATTACCCAGGTATTCTCATACCTTGATGAACTTGTTTTTTTTTTTGTTTGTTTTTGTTTTTTGTTTTTTTTTTTTCTGAGATAACTAGTTAACTGTATAAGAAGACTCAATTTTCTTTGCATATATCTGTTGGAAAACAGTTCCTCTTAGGAGTGGGCTTATAAAGCTGGCGTGCTGCTTTCCATCTAGATTTACACATTATTTTAAATGTATCTGCACGGAATTAATTCACTTTTCAGGTGGTAGGCTGGGCTGCGTCTTATAAGAAAAATGCATTTGAGCATCTGTGTAACCAATGTTTATCATGCCATGGGTGGGTGTCACCTGTTTTGTTATCCACCATGGAGCTAGACCATTGTTCTAATGAGCCTTCCCTTCCTTTCAGCACTTGCAGAAGCAAGAGGGTGCAGTGAATCCCGAATCCTGCTATTACTACTGTGCCGTGTGTGATTACACCACCAAGGTCAAGTTGAATCTGGTACAACATGTCCGTTCGGTGAAGCATCAGCAGACTGAGGGCCTACGGAAGCTCCAGCTCCACCAGCAAGGCCTGGCACCAGAGGAGGACAACCTCAGTGAGATCTTTTTTGTTAAAGATTGCCCACCAAATGAGCTTGGTGAGTAACCCTGAAGAGGGCTGTCTCTGAGCCTCCCTCCACACCACTTCATCACACACACACACACACAAACACACACACACACGCCTCAAACTCTCCAACTCGAGCCTGTCCCCCAGTGTAAAACACGGCAGCTCTTAATCTCTCAGAAATGAACATGTTGTTCCCATTAAAGCTTTCTTTTTATATCAGTACCATACGCGGTCCTGCATGCGGTGACATCTTTAGCAGGCATGCAGGAGGTTATGAAACTCTACCTTGGGAGGATCTCACAGTGAAATTTTTCCCCCCAGAGTGAGCTTTAATTTCCTTTCTCATGACCAAAGCAATTTGGCTTTCATTTAAAAGTTTCTTTGCTGCCAGCAGCTAATAAGTGTAACAGGACTGTAAAACATTCTGAGACAAAAAAAGATTAATAGTTTTATTTGAGAGAGACCAGTAATTTAAAACATAAGACCTAGTCAGGGTCCATTATACAATAATTCCAATGTTAATGCTACTTTGCAAAATGAGCGCTTAACTTGTTTTTGCTTTGGTTGACCTGGTGCAGGGAAACAGCTAACACGTTTTGAATGGCATTCCAAAACTGAATTAATCTCTGTTCCCTAAAGTGTCCTGTTTATATATGAAATCCAGAAACAGATGGTCGTGAGCTAAAAACCACATGCGAAACTTTATGCATTAAAACTACCCATATTGGAATTAAATGAGACGGCTGTACTTTTGGCTTTAATTATAAATGGATCAAAGGTGGTTCAGGGTTTGGGTGCATAAAAAAGCCTATTTAGATAAATCATTATTATGTATTTAAAAAGTCCGTTTTCCCTTTTTTTTCTTCCTTTTGGCAAACCTAGGTGGTGTTTTAAATCTGTCAGGAGACATATTTACTCAGTACACCTTTATAAATATACCAGTGTTAAAAATATACTTGAATTAGTGGTTGTGAACTTCAAAGTAAAGTTTAGACAGGTCAGGTGAGAAGCGTCAAGGTCGCCTTTCTCAACTGAGCATTCTTATCTACTGTAGGCCAGTTGGAAAATCAAATCAGCATCAGTGAATCAGAATAGAGCACAGAGCTTGAGAGCGTACTCCATTACATAGCAACTCTATTGAATCCCATGGCAAACCCGGACCAATGAGGGCACTGCAGCAGCGAAAAGTCATCCATAAAAATGAAAATGGCACTCTAATTAGCTGCTAATACTGAACTAATCATTGTGTTCTTCACTTGAAACTATAATTTTTATTGAGACATTTCTTTTTTTCCCCCTCTTATTATTTCAAATTTTATGTAGTGGCGTAAGGGGGTCTGGCATGACTGGGCTGCGTGCCACGATTTTTCTCTGCAGAGACCAGCAATCACGAACCTATAAAGATATTTCATATGTGCGTTTTAGTTTTTATTTTACTGCAGTTTAGCAGTTCCTTGATGTTAATTAATCACCAATAGTCTAAGGGTGTTAGCATAAAAACCTTGGTCTTAAGTAGCCTCCAACTGTGCTTGGATAAGAATATTTTTGCTAAGGCATATGATGTGAACATAATTTAAATAAGAGTTAGAACCATAAGCAAAAAGATATGTTCAAATGATTATCCACCAAGGATAAAAAGTAAAATTAAAAAAAAAAACACAAAAGCATGGTAACCCATCATCAGTCTTTGGTAGGTTTTACCAGTGACTATAAAATTGGAGTGTGAACTCCAGAAAATCTTACCAGCCAACCTTTACTTATAGCACCTCTTTAACGTGTCCATGCTGAATGTCAAATCTTCTATTTTTTGTTTTCTATGTCTTACAATGTGTTTTAAATGAGTTGCTTTTAAATGAAGCTGTCTATCAAAGTACAAAGCATCTGTATAACCTGTCAAATTAATTTTCTCTGTAAGCTTATACTCAAGTCAGGAGTCAGCTTCTGGTTACTACCCAGTGGTTGTAGAAAACTAAGGAAGGAATGTAAGAAAGATGTGAACTCATTTGATAAACCAAATGATATCAGTAGGGAAAAATTCTTGTAATAAGGATGATGTTTTAATAACCTATGCCATATCTTTTATAAGTCCCTTGCTAATGCTTTTTGGTTTAGCAGTTTTTATTCATTAGAATGGAAATTTTTATTCTAATTTCTTTTTAGCAGTTGGCTCTTATCTAGCCTTCTCAAGCTCTCTTTTGGCTAAATGCCAAACAATTCTAAAGACATGTAGAACTAAACATTGTAAAGGCACTGTAATGATTTTCAGAGATAAGGATAGATATTATGAGTTTAACAAATACATTTTTGTAGTTATACTTAAAGGTAGACAGTATTTTGGACCAAATAGAAAAACCCAAGAAGTAATTTACTGGCAAAAATCAGCTGTGGCATTCTGAGGGAAGCATTGGATCAATCCTGTTGTCTTTCTTTCCAATTTGAAGTGAGACACATTCATATTAACTTTCTTAAGTACCAGATTTTGTTTTACAATAATAAAATATATTTCTTTAGTTGGATTGACTTTGTATAGGACCTGGGTTTACCTATTTCTGGATGATTTTAACAGCTAGGAAATTGTTCGGGAGAAGATAAATGGTTAGCACATCAGATACGTGCATGGGCCAATAATTTATCAATAATGTGAGTATTTGCTAATTTGTAAGTTGTGTGGTTGAGTTTATCTGATTACTTCATGACATCTGTTGTTGCTAAGATATTGAATTGTGATTTTTGCTTTTTAAGGAGAGTTGTAAACTACTGATATTCATCCAGTGGTTTTTGTTGTTTTATTTTCTTCTGTTTGTTCCTTACTAGTAGCTTTTACCTCCAACTTTATTTTAAAAGTGATTCCTGATAATGAATTTGCACATTATTAATTATTCATTTTTATCTTTGTAATGAGTACATTGTAATAGCAAATAACTATTGTCTACTTAACAAGCTTTAAGAATAGAAAGTTCCCTTCCAATACATGAGTAATTAAGTTTTTTTAAAGACAGTTTTTAAAATATGTACTATAGGACTGGGTCTTCAAAACGACAAAACAACCAATCATCAACTTGGTGAAAAAATTGATATTTAGAATGAGTCAAGAAAAACAATACAAGCCTGGTTCTTAAACTGGGTTTCTTAACTTTTCATTTGATTTTGTTGGCATTGTGGATGCATAATTTGGGTGGAAGATTTTTTGACCTATTAACTTTTTATCACGATGCAGAATATATCTTAAACATAAGCATTTCCCTTGGCATCAAGTGTAAGCAAATTTCTAGTGATATTTAAATGTAGGACTATAAAATATTTCTACTGGCATTTCCTTACTACTTAGCAGCTGTTACAACTGTCTCCAAACATCTGTTAAGTAAAGAGAGATTTGTTTGGTAATATACATTATTAGGAAAGCAATCACAAGGCTGGGAGCGAAAGTTTCAGGTGGATACAAGCACCTTGGTTCCTAGCTGGAAAATTGTATAAACACAGATTTTCAATAAGAATGTTAGCCTTCAATTGAATTCCATAAAGTATATTGAGTGTAGCTTAACATGTTTAATTTCAGACATCACCAGCAGTAATCAGATAGGGATTTCAGAAAACATTTTATTCCATTTCCATGGAATTTCCATTTTACTAGCTATAATCTCAAATATGTAAATGGTAGCCAAAGCTGGATATGATGCTTCAGTTAAGAATTTTTTTTTTTTTTTTTTTTTTTTGCCTATTGTTTCTTCTAGCATCTTCTTGCCAAATCTTCTGGAGCGCTTGTAATTTCCTCTGTACAGAGCCCAACAGGCTCATCAGCAGCAGAAGGTAAACATAATAGATGTGAGGAATTTCTGGAGATTTATGAGGTTTAGTTTTCTTGAAATGTACACTCTGTCTGGCTATGCTAGTACACAGCCACATGTGGACTCTACAAATTGAAAATGTTATAAATGGGGCATCACTTACCCCTTGTTAAGAATAAAGTTTAAGAACAAAAGTTGTTTTCTGTGAGCGTATTTAAAGATTACATTGCTATTTAAAGATAGCAATGCAGTAGAGATGGAAAGAAATAGTGAATACTTTGAGCCTTAAATTTTTAATCTTGGAATTTAATATGGATTCATTTTTTCTTAATTCAGTATATTACATTTTTATCTTTCTGTACCTTCTTAAACCTTTCTGCCTTCCATTTATAATATTGGGAAACAACTGGATATCTGTACAAAATATCCCAATAATATCAGACAACTTCTAATGAAGACTATCGACATTCCTGACATTTGGCATGATGTCCTGCCAAAAAGGAAATTAAAAAGTACAAGCCATTATCCGAAAGACCATCTGTTTATGAAAATAGTTAATTTCACATCACTTTCTTGAGCGTAAAAACAACCCCCGGCGAAGGACAGAATATGCCTCTCTCATAATCATAATCGTTTTTCATTGCTTGTTAAAACGATTCTTTAACTTTTTAAGGGACTCTATTGATATTAATTAATCAGCTCTCGTGCTATAAACATTTCAAGCACTAAAGTGCAAGTTATTCTTCTCTGCCAGGCATTTCTCTACATCTTTTCTTTTACATATATCTTGCTAGAAGAGGCTAGCACAGCATTAGCAGAAGAGCATAGAAAGGTCTCTTATTCCTACCATTGTTTACCAGTAGGGTTGCCTGATGGAAGGGCTTATAATCATGGTTGCAATTTTGTCATGGCCTCACGAAATGGCATCATTTTCAAGGATGTACATAAATGATAGTGTGAATCTTATAAAGATAATTATTACTAAGAACATCACTTTAACCTGGATCATCTTCCACAGAGTGCTGGAAAAGGGAGAAAGGCAGTCTTTTATCAAAGGCATGTTTTAATGAAAGCTCGTCTGACTTTGGAGATGAACAGCACTTGACGTGTTGTTGCATGATGCGTTTAAAATAAAAATAATTTTGCTCGGTTGCTTTCTGATTTTGTTTCTCCTGAATATTGGTCCTTCATGATGCTTCCAACCATATTTTAATTATTAAAACTGAAATGCTAACCATTTGAACATACACTTTTGAAGAATAACAAACTCCAGTGTTGTTTTCTTTTTTTAAAAAAGTACATATTGATTTGTTTATATCTCTCCCTATTTGGTGATACTGTGAAGCTAGGAAAAATGAATGTTTCATTTTGCAGCATTCTTGCATAATGTATATAAAATATGTGTGCACCTCAAGAGCATTATGGTGTCTTTGAGAATAATGGTAAAACTGACATATTTCAAAATGTAAGATAGCCATCATTGGAAAGCAACATTTAATTGTTAATGAAACCCAGGTATTACCTTGAAATAAAGATGGGTTTTTATTTAGCTTTGTGATATTTTAAAACAAAGTAAATAATGACTTTTCTTCTCTAACCCGGTTCAAATGGGGCTTCCAGTTGTCAACATTGTAAATATCAATAAATATATTAAGAATCGCAAACAAATTAAAAATTGAGTATTTCCCATTTTGTAAGCTTTATGTATGTTTCTCATCTGTGGTTATTTTGAAGCCGAATTACTACCTAGCAATTTCTTCTTGTCTGTGAAAATAATATACAGAAGATGAAATAATACAATGATGGTAATCCAGCTTTTTAAAATAATTAGTCTTTTATGCATATAATATTTATGTTATTGTCTGTGCAGGAGTATCTTTTTCTAGAACCGTTCTTTACCAAATTTCTTGTTGGACAAATAAGATTAGATTGCCAAGTCACAGCTGTGTATGCCAGTTGATATATAATTGTAGAATTGATAATTCATAAAAGCTCAGTGCTATTTGGGGGTTAAAGTTTTATTTTATTTTATTTTATTTTATTTTATGTTTTTAGATGTGAGAAAATAAGGCTGCCTGCTAAATATATTTTTCATTTCTTATCTAAGTTTTACCAGGTTTAGACTAGTTATTGACTCAGTAAATGTAAAAAAAAAGTTGATATGCTGTCAATATTAATGTAGATGTCAGACCAACACTGGTCCCTAATGTATGTAAGAGCAAGTATTTTTTTACCTTGATACAGAAAGGCAGTCATGTGTGAGATTTAATATACATCCTAATCTGTCTTGTCATTGCTCTAGCCATGGGTGATGTGCTAATGTGTGGGCCGCCATTTTCTTTTTCTCCTCACACAATGGAATAGATACCCATGAATGACAGTCAAGCTCCACTCTGTAATTATTTTGAGGACAGCCAGAATATATAGCAGGAACACTGCAGGGTTACCTTTAGACTTAAAGTCTATGACATATTTAAACATCCAAGCAGCCTGTAATTACCAAAAACAACCATCCTTCAAAGGTCCATTCGCAGGCATACTGAGAATTATTATTCTTCCAAAATTTTTTTAAAACTCAAGTGAATTTTTATTATGTTTAAATATAATAAAATACTGAATCAGCTTTAGCTGCTACTTTTTTCCCCAGACTATTGGCATCTTAACAGAATGTGCCAATATATATTCTAATTAGGCTATGCATTACTTGATCAGTTGGTGTCATTAAAATGACAAAGTTCTACAAAATAAAAATATGAAATACACAATCCACAGCTAATATTAATTAGATCTCTTCATTTCTAATAGTTGCAAATATTTAAATTTGGTACTACCTTTTAATTGAGGAAATATCTGATGAAATTTTAATATGCTATGTTAGTCTAGACTAAAAGAGTTTTTAATCATCAGGGCAAAAATATAATTAAATTTACATAAATTTATAATGTAAAGCTGTATCCCCCTAGAATCATTTTCTATAATGAAGAAAATTGTAATGTTTATAGACTGTACCATACTGAGTCAAATGAGTTTTATTCATATGTGGCAGCAACATAGTTGAAATCTGTATATTAGTTAAAATGGTTTCATGGTATTCTAGATATTTTGAACATATTTTGAAAGATATTTATTCTTTAAATGTTGTCTACAGAAGCTAAAGTAGCATTGTGGATCTTCACCCTATAATGGAAATCGGTGAAAACAGTGGTAAAATTTTAGCTGCAGATTTTTGCAGGCAAATATTCCCTCAGAAATAATCCCATTGGGAGAGGAGGGAAAAAAAACCTATTTTTAGAATAAATGTTATAAATTTGCCTTTCTACTTAAGTTTCCTACAAGTGGCTCTTCTTTTCTGAGAAGCGTAATACAAAGGCTAAATTGTTACCTTATGTTTTCATTGGGTAGGTTTGTGACCACTGACAGTTATAATTTACAAAAATTACAATGATTATAGACATTAACATACTTGACGGCAGCTATTATTTTTATTTGAAATACAAAGACCTTCAGTGGGTAGTGGACATTAAAACCTTGTCTATAGATGCCAAGTGAGGTGGAGAATTGAGGCAATTTTTCAAAGAATTTAGATTAAGGTGGCACATTTTTCTCAATTACGTAGATAGTTCGGATGCAAATGGTCATTTGGCTTGAATGTTCTCTACTTTCTTTGTATGGATCTTTTGCCAATAAACTGGTTATCTGTTACCAGTAAAACAGTCCAGATTTTGACTCTGAATCTGAACGGGTTCACTAAATATAATAACAAAAGGAAATATTTGTTTCCCCTTGATTTCCTCAACTCACGTAATTCTTGAAACAAACCCGTAACGTGGATATTATTTTATTCCTATTTTACAGGTGAGGAAACTGAGCTTTAGAGAGGTCAAGTCTATTTTTAAATTTACACAGCTCCATTATTTCAGTAACAGAACTGACATTTGAAAAGCAGTCTAACTTCAGAATCTATTGTTTTAACTATTCTAGAAATTAACACGCTATAGAGAATGAGCAGACGTTTTGAGACAGAACTTTTAAAAAAAAGCATTTCCATGATAATCCCCTGCTATTCAAAATCAATGACAAAAATTGCTCGTCATTTTGTTCTTTCTTTTCCTTCACTAGCTATCAGTTCTCATCTGGGAAAACTACTAACAACGTATGGAATAGTTTCATGTAAAGTATCTAGTATGAAGTTAGACATCGATGATCATAAATTTCACTTTTTTGGGCATTTTAGATAAGGAGATTATCTGAGTTTATAACACATAGTTCAATGGAAATTAGGTTTGATAAGACACAAGTCAATGCGATATAGTAAACAGTAGACACATCAAATGTGTCAAATTTCAGAAGTGTTGATATTTTAATAGTTATATCTTTTAGTATCTATAGTGTGTACCAAGTTTTGGTTTAATATCTCCTGATAACCAACCCAAAAAATAAGAAATGTATAAAATAATATTCTGTACTCCCTAGCTAAGTTTTTATGTAACATGTAATAATTATACCTTTGTTACAAAAGCAAACAAGAAAAAAGCCCTGAATAATTGTGTTCCCATAAGTAGAACTTCGGGCAGGGATCACTGATTGCAGTTTGAAAACCAGAAGCCCCTTGGCAAGAGTGTGCCACTGTTCACAGCACTTTTGAGGTTCGGAGGTTCAGGGCTATTTGTTCACCATAACGAAGAAAAGCTCAAAGCATGAGATTTATTGGCAGAAACCATCCATAGCATGATTGCTGTCATTTTCTAGGAAGATCAAATGACCAACATATTTATTTTGCCATAGGGGGGTAGTCAAATTTGTTAACTCAGGGTTACACAATCTCTTTTCCTGTAAATAGCATAATCACTGTGTATAAATGCATATTTTACATCCCACATTTTAACTATTTTATATTGTTTTCAAATCAACAAAACAACAAACAATTTTATATTGTTTCAAATCTTATTGGCATACTGTCACATGAGTCCCCAACAAAAACATGTCTTTGCATTTCAGTTTATAGTTTAAGGGGAAAATAGAATGTATGTGATCAAGTGTTGTAAGACAGGTAAGAACAGGTCATGAGAACCCAGATAAGGTAGCTAATACATAAATCTGAAACAAAATGCATGACTATAGAAAAAGAGAGTCTTGAAATACGGGCAGGTTTTCAACAAGGGGAGAGGGAAGTGATTAGGTAGTGATACTCCAGATGAAGTAAAACCTGGGAAGCAAAGGCTCTGAGTTTCAAAACCACAGGGTGTGTTGGAGGTCAGTAGCACAGTTTGGCTGAGATGCATGGTACTTGTTAGAAAACAAGATTAGAAAATATTACTGAAAGTGGCCAGGTGCGGTGGCTCATGCCTGTAATCCCAGCCCTTTGGAAGGCCGAGGTGGGCGGATCACGAGGTCAGGAGATTGAGACCATCCTGGCTAACACGGTGAAACCCCATCTCCACTAAAAAAAAAAAAAAAAAAAAAAAAATTAGCCGGGCATGGTGGCGGGAGCATGTAGTCCCAGCTAATCTGGAGGCTGAGGCAGGAGAATGGCGTGAACCCGGGAGGCAGAGGTTGCGGTGAGCCGAGATCATGCCACTGCACTCCAGCCTGGGCAACTGAGCAAGACTCTGCCTCAAAAAAAGAAAAAAGAAAATATGACTGAAAGCATGAGCCAGGCTTAGGAAAAGATAGTTAATGATTAATAATGATGATGATGATGATGTTGATGATAGCCGACCTTTACTGACCAATCTCTGTATGCCCACTACTATTTAAGTACTTTACACATCCAAGCCCAATTATTCCTCAGAGTAATGGTAAACAAGTGGTACCAACATGTTCCTTATTTTATAAATAAGAAAATTGAGAATGCTTTTAGGCTAAATGATTTACACAAGTAGTAACTGGCAGAGGTCAGGAAGGCCTGAGGAGTTTGGAATCTTATGAAGGGAAGATATCAGGTTGGATAGTAACATAGTTGTCTCCAGTTAGGAAACCTTACTTCTTCCTTACTTCCTGCCCAACAGGAACCACATGCTCATAGTCTTCTCACATTCTTTATGTGTTATCCGTATTTCCAGAAGCACCATTGCTTCTTTGCTTAACAATCCTCAGTTATCTTTTATAGGCTAGCATTTATTCTGAGGAAAGCCTCAGAACTTTGGCCTGTACTGCTATACATCCCTCATCAGTGATCTTCTCTAGTACTTACTGTATTGTAGAACTTAGCATTCAGTTACATATTGAATTTTATTCTTGATTATTAATTTATTTGTTCTAATTTTGCCTCTTGGCTCTCAGTCCAGATTTCAATTTTTTAAAAATATGTCTCCTGCTTCTAATAACATCATCCGTGCTGTTCAACTTACAGTAGAGATTCTGGTGGATTAACATGAATCGTTTCTGAGTTAGTTCTGGTCAAATAGACTTTGGACATTGAAATGCCATTTTGGGGTGTTTGAAGACATATGAAAGCTGACTAGTTGAAAACTGAATTTCTCCCAAATCAATGCTGTTCACAGCCACTTACATTATGAGATCTATACAATATCAAACCAAATAATTGCATTTTGTTATAAAGAGCCAGGTTTTTAGTTCTTTGTATACAAAGGAAAAAGTGAAATATTTTAAAGTGCAGGTCTGGGGTCTGGGCCATACTAAGTAAATTGTTTAACTTGATTATGGTTACTGTGCTGCTTATGTTTTTAAGGGAACTGATCAGATTATTTTAGCATACTGTCAACATTGCCTTGATGATTAAATTAGATTAATAAAATAGTTCATGAAAACATTTATTTCACACAAGTGTGTTATTTTGTATTCTGGAAAGTTTGCAACTAAAGTATTTATTTGTCATTATATGGTAGACAAAGAAATCAGCTGGCTTGATATTAAGTGACTTCCATTATTGCATGGCTGTTGGCTCATGTAAGACTAAACTGACATATGATTGTGAAAGTCCTCAAAAGAGCAATTAAGCGTTTTGGCCAAAATCCACTCCTGGATGAGTAGGAATTAATATCAAAGAGTGCACCAACAGACTGTTTTGACTGTCTACAAAATGGTAAACAAACATTTTGGCTAAATTCTGTCTTTTGATTATGGCATAATAGAGCAATTTGTAAGAAACATTTGTATGAAGTGCTCTAATGGGGAATCATAGAGCAAAATTACCAAGGATAATGAGTGAGCCTTAGACTATATCTGTGTTGTGCAAAAACAATATTTTGTCAGGAAATAAATATGTGCATATCACGGTAGGCAATTGTTTTTAGCTTTCTGCATTAATAAAGATAAGTAAATGACTGCAGAATCTCATTTTCACTTTGTGCTGTGAAGACAGTACATTTAGCATTTAACCAGTTTAAATTGATTTATACAGTCAAAGTAAGCATTTCAGGATCAACACAGATCTGTGGGTCAGAATTATCTAGTTTATTCATCTCCATTAATCAAATTAGTCAGATAATTACCAAATCTCCATTTCAATTTGTGGATTTGAGATCTGAAGTATCTTGATTTGTTTGTGTAGGGTTTTAAAAGTTTAATTTCTACGCTATTAATGGAATTGAAAATAGTGTTGAATTATTTTAGAAATAATAGGCTGTTTCATTAGTGTCTTTGTAGCCTGTCATATAAATATGTAAATAAATGTGCATATGCATTTAGAAAAACAATTTTTCAGATATGAATGCACGACAGAATCTTCTGAGATTTTACGGTTTGCTCTGTAAATAACTATTTGGATTTCACTTAAAATGTACAATACTTGCTTGATTTTGTTTCAGATTTGATTTCATGTAACATGCCGGTAACTTCTAAAAGATTCATTCTCATTACTGATTATTTATGTCAAAATATGAGTTGTCCTATTGATGCTTATCTATATTTGCATATTGAAAAGCCTGGACAATTTGTTCTGTACATCTGAATGTGGTTTTAGAAATTGTTTATGTATAATTAAGTGGTTGAGAAAGTACACTTTCCTATATACATGGTCCAAGGCATTTTCTAGTAATAATAATAATTGATTGCTTGCTTTGTGTTAGGCACTGGAATATACTTTAAACGTATTAATTCCTTAAACTTTATCACAGCCAAATTGAGGGGGAAATTATTACTATCTCTGATTTTCATCTTAGGAAACTTAGGCACAGATATTAGATAATCTTAAGTCACAAAATTGAGAAATGGTGGAGCTGTGGTTTTTATTCAACATGACTCTTGTATGCTTGTTATAAAGCATCACAATAATGAATTATTACTAAAAGTGCTATTATTGAAAGGATAACAGACCAAAGTACTCAAATATAAAAAGTAAAAATAAAAAATCAAGGTCTCCACTGGAAACATTAAATTTTTCCAAAATTCTCTACATAAAGAATTATTGGCTTGAGATAAAACTTTGATTAAAAGGTTTAAAACTAAAGCACTGATAATATTTAATTATCTTCTAATGAATCAAGTTTGGTCTTCTGTGAAAGGAATAAATCTCTGGCTCCAAGTTTTGAGGACTTATTGAACTACTATCATCAGTTATCTTTTTTTGCCTATTTGGTATTTGTGTGTGTGTGTGTAATGTAAAGGACAGCCCCATTTTTAATCCAGTAGCATAATTCCCAAGTTGGAACAATTCAGTTACAGAAACTTGCTACCTTTTAGGTTCCCAGGGGTAAAGTTTGAGTTTCCATCCAGCCTTGCATGAGCACTGAAGGATGGATTACTGAGATCTGCCTTGGTTGAGTAACAGCCACTCAACCAGAGAAGAATTTTTAAAGGGGCCTGGAGGCCTATGCCTTGCAGTTTTCTTCTTGGTAGATTGTTTCTTACTAAAATTAAAGCAAAAAACTTTCAATAAGTTCTTTTGCTTAATATTTGACTTCAATTTGCTACAAAAAAGACAAGTCAGAAACAGACTGAAAAACTGATTAAACATAGCACAAAAGATTCTCCACCTTCACTTTGAGCAGAAATGTCTTTTCCTTGCCATTCATTGAGGTACTTTTCAATCATATTTTTCTGAATTTCAAGAGTTTGGAGAATCCTACTTCATAAATTCTCTCTTCACTTTTTATACAGATCACACAGCACTGCTGATTCTGGCCACTTTGGGTGTCTGTTGCATACCATCACAGCTTATATGGTGTCCTGGAACGTTAGCTGTTTCAAAGAAAACCATTAATCTGATGTATTGAAGTTCAGTTTGGGGAAAAAACTCCAGAATTCTTATGTTTTAAGGTAGAAGGTTTGGATTTTAACGTAGAAAACTTTTGATAAATTCCCATTTATGTACTGTCTTTATAAATGATATTAATATCATATTGGCATACCAAATTTGAGAACATATTTTTATGCCTGGAGCTATTTTTACTGTATTTAAAATGTTGAGAAATTTCATTCCTGTACAAAGTACTGAACTTATTTTAGGAAGAAAAGGTGGCAGAGTAAGGAAGAAAAATCGCTCTACTATATGAGTATGGAGAAAACAGGATTTTAATCTCAGTCTTACTATTAAGTGGGGGTAATCACCTAACATCTCAGAGATTCTATGTCTTCATCTGTAAAGTGAAGGTTGTAGCATAAATTATCTGTAACTTTTAAAATTCTATGGTTAGTAATTTTTCACATGAATATTGAAAATGTGTAAGATTCAGTATGTATTAAAGTTGCACATTATATTATGAAAAATATATTCTACACAAAACCTTACACCACTCAATGTATAGATATTACTCATGAATATGCATCATGATTTTAATGTGTACATCTTAACTATACAACCATGAAACCTTTAAGTCCACAGATATAATTTTAAAATTTGAATTGTATTTTTTTCAAGTAATTTGAGGACTTGGTTACAAAGGTGATGACCTTATATATTCGTTTACTCTGGAAGAAATTCTTATAATCTGGAAGTTACAAATACTTCCAAAACCTAATGCTATATGGCCAGAGCCCTGGGCCAACCTCAGCCATTCTATTGTGAAAAGTGATTCTGTAACGTAACAGCAACAAAAAATTCTGAGATAAATACAACATCAGTTCAAGTTCATGACATGCAGGTGTGTCACTGGTGTTTAGTTGGGGGAAGGAGGTTAAAAAAAGCAAGGAACAGATTTGTGCAAACAAACTTTACAATTTTGAAGTAATTAGTGAGCTGTGCAGGTGTCTATTAAAACAAACTGACAATAAATCTTGGCTTCTCTTTTGACTATTGCTTCAGTTTCGCAAGATTTGTGCCTCAAGGAGCAAAAGAAAATGACTCCAGAATTAAATACCACAATGGTTTATTCCCAATAAGAAATATTTGTGAATTTATTATTTGTGTTATTATTACAACCACTAATAAAGATTATGGTTTAATCATTCTGGAAGACCACTGGACAAGATCATATGTTTCTTGGAGAAAGGAAGGTCCAATAATAGATCCTTAAGCAAATAGTTCTTTGGTTTTTCAGAAGTTATTTCTTCCAGGGAGTGCCTGATGCAGATTTCTTCTTCACAACATTTTAGGAGCACCAAAGTTGTAACAAGGTGCCCATGGCTGTATTGTCTACTGGTTCTTAAGTAGAGAAACTAATTGCAGGTAAACATAGCCACAGAGTGACATTTTTCCAGCTTCTCCATCTGCTCTTTTTTTGACACCCCTGCCATTAACTGTCATTTTCCTTTAAATATACGATGAATCTGAAAGGCCAGCTCTACATCACATCATTTCAGATTAGGGGCAGTTCCTTTGAGTTGAGCACTGTTTAGGTGTCAGAAAGAAGTCCCTGACCTCTCTGGAACCACATTGCCGTGGGGCCTTAATTAGCACTGACTCCAGCCATTACTGAAGAGAGCACAAAGGAGAACACATCATTTTTCTACTAAGGAAGTTAGTGTCTGACCTAATAACTTGTCCAGACTCGCAGGACACTGTAACCATACAATAACAATGGGCATTATTCTGCTGCTTCTGCCTCATGTGAAGCATGGAATGAGGCATAGAATGAGAAGGAATTACAGTTACCTTCCAAGGAACATTTTAGAGTTTCCTCTATCTTTGATTAGGGGTGAAGTTGTGATTGTCTTTAAGGAAAAAAAAAGAGTACTATTAGAGGTGGCATACATACAGGCGTTCTCAAATATATGTACTTAAAATTATTTAAATCATTCCATGTGGGTCTGTGCATTTGTTGATTTATAAAATAATTTTTAAGCAGATTTTTCAAATGCAAGGACAGTTTTTAAAATGAGATAAACTGTTTTGAAGTTAAAAATCCCTACTTGATTTCAAACGGTAAATGGAATGAAATCTTCAATGCAAATTCATATCTCTACAAAGTAGATTCATTTTAGGAAACACACATGGATTTGCTTTTGCCCTTCCATAATTCCAGCAGATGAATTTGGGGATGTATATTGGCTACTATAAAAATGATTTCACTTTATCCACCATTTCTAAGATCAGAAGCCATAAAACAGTTTAGTTAGTATAATTGCCATCATTTACTCATTTAAAACAGGAATCATGTAAAAAGACTATTAAAAAGAGGTTGGTCTGTAGTTTCATTCTGTTGCTTTTTCTTTTTCATTCTTTTTCTTTTTCCTTTCTCATTTTTTTAAACACTAATACTGGTGGTAAGATTATCATTATTGAAGAATCAACTACACACACAAATCAAAACAATAATTAAGTAGACAAATATAGGTGATTCTTACGAGTACGTAAGACTGGTTTGAGTAGGAAAGCTCTTTAAAAGTCAGTGTTGAAGTAATTAATGCACTCCACTTAAAATTGATCTTCTTCTATAGGAAAACCTGACCTTGATGCCCGCTGGCCCTTTCTCTTCTGACTCATAAGCCCAACAAGCATTTTAAGTATTTTATCTTAACAGAACTTTTTTATTTTTTTGGTGATGTTTCTGTTACTTCTATTAAAAGCAGAACTTTACAAAGCTTTATGGCTCAGCTATAAATATGTACATGGCAATGAAGTTGACATGAAAAGACTCAATTTTAGGCATCTTCTTTTATTAATTTTGATAACTTTTGGGGTGGAAATACTTTTGCACCGCTATAGCTGGAAGGTTAAAATTTTATGCAGTGATACTAAGATGAATGCAGGTATTTCCCAATTTTCAGCTGAAAATGGACAACGAGGTTTTTGTTTTTGCTCTTGAAGTAGATTTTGTGTCAGATTTTGTTCTCAGAAGAGGTTCTTATGCATTTCATGTATAAGAAGAGGTTCACATATACAGAATCCAGGAAAATGTGCTTTGGAAAGTTCTCTTTCATGTTTGACCACAGATTTCTTTTGCTCTGTGGCAACATATCCCCCTGTTGTTAAGTTACAAATTTTGGCTTTTAGAGAATATGAACAGTACTAGAATCAGAACAATGCGCTGCCACTTCTCTATATACTCTACATGATAAAACCAAGCTGAAAATGTGTTCTATACAGGAGACTGTAATAGTTTTCTCTCTTTAGCCTCAACATTCTCCTTTCACTTTTTAGAACCAAATTTCTAGTTTAACCTAAGTACAAAACTATCTACTCAAAAAAAGAATTAAGTGTAGATTTGTAGTAGTTTTATTTAAAGGTAGCCGTTTTAATATATCTTATGTGATTATGTAACTAGCAAAGTATCCTATCAAACATTTTTAAATCTAGTTAAAATGGATAGAGATGGAGAAGGCGGCTGGCCTGTCATTGTGTGTGTGTGTGTGTGTGTGTGTGTGTGTGTGTGTGGACAAATCAAGCCTCTTCTCAGTTGAAGTCCATCTCAGTAGACACTTTCACAATCAAGTTGTCTCTGGGCCAGCTGTCAGCCTGCAAGTAGAGAGTCAAGTACAAAGTAGTGGCTTCCTCCAGGAGAATTCATATAAGCAGCCTTTTCAAGTCCCAGGGAAAATGGAAGACAAGATGCAATCCCCACTGTTTCATTCCTTCTTCATTGTAATTACATCTGGTAACAGAAGAACAAATGATTAAATAAAAATCAGTGAAAGTCTGAGTTTGGAGAGTAAAGATTTCCTTTCATTTGACATTTGACAATATAGGAAAAAGTAAAATAGTAACCACAGAAAATAATAGCCATATTAATTTTTTTGTTTTTGGTTGTTTGTTTTGAGACAGGATCTCACTCTGTAGCCTAGGCTAGAGTGCAGTGGCATAAACATGGCTCACTGCAGCCTCAACCTTCAGGGCTCAAGTGATCCTATTGCCTAAGCCACCTGAGTAGCTTGCACCGTAGGCACACACCACCATGCCTGGCTAATTATTTTTATTTTTTGTAGAGATGGGGTCTCGCTGTGTTGTCCAGGCTGAAGCCATGTAAATTTTAAGCCATTTTGATCTTCAGAACAAAAATGATCCAAGTCTTTTTTTTTTTTTTTTTTTTGAGACGGAGTTTCGCTCTTATTGCCCAGGCTGGAGTGCAATGGCACGATCTCAGCTCACCGCAACCTCTGCCTCCCAGGTTCAAGCAATTCTCCTGCCTCAGCCTCCCAAGTAGGATTATAGGCATGCACCACCACACCCGGCTAATCTTGTTTTTAGTAGAGACGGGGTTTCTCCATGTTGAGACTGGTCTCGATCTCCTGACCTCAGGTGATCCGCCCGCCTCCAAGTCTTTACATGAAGTACTAGTCACTGTCTTCCAAGTTGCCACAGCTTATTGAATATTTGCATGTTTTTTAGTTGAAGGCTTATTGTTCAATTTTCATGGAATATACAGTAAGGGCTATTCTAAGTACCATTGTAAAACCTATTAAACCAAGTTTCATTACAAATATTGAAACCTTTAGAAAAGGAGGAATTCAAAGGATTAGATTGTGGAAGGCCAAAAATCTTAGAGAGTTTTGCATGGTAGTTTAAATCAGGAGAGAAATATTAATTTATAGAAAGTATATTTGGGGATGGTTGTGGAATTGCCAAAGTCCACAAGCCTAAATTTTAAGGTTAAGGTAGGGTAGGCAAGTACATTATCTGACTTGAATGGACAGTTTATATTGGGAAATAATGAAAATGATTTTGAAAATAGAAATTTATAAAAATTACATGACTTTACACAGCTTAGGTAAGATAGCTGACTATTGCACACATAGTATATTTATAGAAATTGTATTATTTTAGAATAGAGAAGATATAGCTGATTTCTATAGAATATGTAGAGATAGATGCTAACACTTAATATGAATTGCAGTTTTTTCACTATAACTTCAAGGAAGTTAATTTTCTAGAAAACTTACTAGTATAACAATAAAATCTATATTTTGATGCTTTATTACAGATACAAATTGTCTGTTAAGAATCAAGACTTATCTTTGGGGTCTTTAAATGTATGCCAAGATTCATCTTGTATTTTTAATTCCCATGACTGCCACACTTGCCGCTGGGCTTTGGGGTGGGGAAGATGAGCAACAGCGTGGTTAAACAAATATACCGTAATACTTCAGTGGCTGAGTGCTGCCTGGAAGAACTGGAACCAACTGTAATGGTCTAACCACACCACCCTGGAGAGTTTGAAAACCAGAACCCAGGCTGGGTCTGAAAACTTAAAGTGTCCAATTTCTTATTTGTAATGTTTTTTTGAAAAAGAGTTATTGTCACTTCTCCTGATAATCTTTTCATAACCAGGGAAAATACAGGCTGTTTTACCACACCGTGAAGAGGTGTTTTTGTTTTTAGTTTTCTGAATTCACAACCTACCCATCTTTTTCATACAACTCCCTGCACAGGTTCCTTGAATGATTTCTAACTAAGGCTAAAATGTCCAAGTATTGGCAATATGTGACTGTTACAACACTGGAAGAAAAGAGTGAGTCTCCTCTAACGTAAAGCGACCATATCTAGAACTGTTTGATGAGGTGGCAACCAGAAACCACTCATGTCCGCAGCATCTCCATCATGGAGGCAGGCACCATGAGATCAGCCAGGCCAGCTATTTTGTCGTATATTCAATCCATCTGTGTCTTGTGAGTATGGCTTGTTCTAGGAGTAGTATAGGTGGTTTTGCACACTTTGCTCAGGTTTAGAAATGAAAAAACTCACTCTGTTGGCACTAATACATGAATTTGGATATGACTTTTTTCCAGAGACAGTGTTATGATTTCTTCAGAATATTATTGACCTTGCTGATAAACAAGTGTTTTTAGAAAAGCGCTGATAAACCTAAAAAGAGATTTCATATGTATAACCATAAGATCACATCATAAACAACCCAGAGTCTGGAAATGCAGAATGAATCCAAAGCTCCTGTTCTACACTGGAGCCTCTGTACTGGTTTTTCAATAATATTATGGGATTAAAATGGCCAATGAGCAACTCTTATTGCATATGTCATAATCTGTGTTTGTTATTGTGTTTGAGTAGTATATTTTCTCAAAACTACAGATTAGTTTTAAGAAACATCTACTTTTAAACAATATTTAGTCAGCCCTTTTACTTGCGTTAATCAACTTGTTCTGCTGAACAAGGTATAGAATTGATAGCTGCTATTGATTGGATGTAGCATTACCTAATCTTCACTAAATGTAGGAAGCTTTTCAGATTTAGAAAGGTGGCAGAAAATGTCTAGTAATGATGCTGCTGGGAATTCAAGCTCAATACTGTGGTCAGTGTAAAAGTGATGTAACTATAAGAGGTATTTTATTATAAGCCTGTCAGTTTTACTAAACGTTTGACCTGGTATAATTTGTGGAGTTTTGGGGTGTGTGTCTGTATGTGTGTGTGTGTGTGTGTGTGTGTGTGTGTGTCTGTGTGTCTGTGTGTATGTGTGTGTATTTAGCAGATGTTTCCATATTTTAGTCTTCTAAGATGTTGTCAGTAACCAGTCTTATTAATACTAATGTGTTGCCATTTTTGTATACTAGGAAGCTAGTATTGAAACTTTAAAAAATTTGCAGATAAAGAATAAGGCATCATAGCATAGAAAGAAGATTACATTAGGAATTCAATACAGAGGAAGGGTACACAAAATCATTACTAAAACAGATATAAACGTGACCTTCACTGTGGTTCAGTAATTATCCTAGTCCATACTATGGTGTATGTATCATGATTTTCCTTTTTTCTCTTTGTTTTCATTTTTATCTGGGTACTTCACTGGTGAGTAATTGCTAAAGGGAACCCATTATGCAAGGCGAGCATTCAGTTTGCAAGTGAATTTGCTTGTAGCTATTGCCACATTTGAACCTCACTAATGTATGTAAATTAAAAACTCTGGTATTCGGAATTGCTCCTGTTTGAAATAAAAACAGAAACTGATCATTACAATCTGCAAGCCAGGTATTATCACTGGACTAGTGAGCTGCTGATGATAAATTGTACTGAATAGCTTGTGGATAGAATATTTTATCTCAGTTCTCTATCACACAGCACTGCATAAAATAAGAATGATTCATCAAGCATGAGAGCTGCTGGTTTATGAAATTCATTGCTCATGGCAAGTGTATTTTTTAAAATTCAAAAGACAAAGCAACTCACAAGGGTTATTTAGTAATCAGTGTGAATTACTTCTAGGTATAAACCTTAGTGGAAAGGAATTAAAAATACATTTGCTGTACAGGAAGCATTATTGCTAGCGGAGGTATAATTTGACTACTTCCCATCTAAGAGCCTTATTTTGACCACATTTGATTTGGATGCCACCTCTTTTTTTTAAATCAAAATTGCATAATCCATCATAATGGAACCATACATTGACTAAGACGGTGTCATACTTACAGCAGATAGAGCAAATGCATTTGCATCATCCACTCCTTTCTATCCTTTTGCCTGCAGAGGATATTTTGTTTATTCAAAAGGACATGTAAAGAGGAGAGGCACAATATAAAGTCATCTTTCTTTCATATTTACAATAAGAATGTTTCATTTCTTCTTATGTATTGATGTCCCAAGGCAATGTTCCAAATGAAAAGATAATAACTTACGAAGAAGTGTCAAAAACTAATTAAGTTTTGTAACTTGTTTTTCCCTCGCACAGGGTATATTTTTCATCACGCTGTCCAGTCACATGCTGAGATTCTTGCTAACATTATCACATGCCAGTCACACCAAGTCTCAGTGGTGCCTCTCCTTCTGTCATTATTTTCAGCATCAATTAATTTTCTTCTGACCTCGCCTTTAGAGAATGTAGCAGAGAATTATCAGCACATGCTTTGCGTCTATTTTGAAGGCATTAGGCCACTGTGTGCATTCAAAAATGGAGTCAGCCAAACATTATATTTTCTCACCTGCAGGGTTGCCTAGTAACCTGAATTAAGGATTTTCACCAAGCCTTCAAGACGAATAAACACAACTGGAAGGCAGGTTGACCCAGGTGGGAGAATCAGACCTATTGATGGAGATCAGAATTTTGAACGAGCCAATAGAAAACAAAAATCCTTATTAACATTCCTTGTGGAAACAGTTTCCATAACTAAATAAATCTGTTTCACTAGTCTAAGAGAACATTCAAGAACAGGATTCTCTCTCACACATACTCGAGTGTTTACTAAGTGGTATTTTGATGCTCCCTTTTATCTCACTCTCTCTTTCCAGGCCTAGAGTGTACCATTTCTATTTCTTTAATGAAGCATTGATTATTTGTGAAAATATTAAAACACCACCTAGAAATGCTTCCTCGTCACGATGTGAATCCAGGTTCAGGAAACATCGTCTTGCCTTATTCTATGTAATGTCTGATTATACATACTGGCTGTATACCTCCCGTGTTCATTCAGCTTTCACTTGATCACTGCAAAAAACGAAATTCCGAGTTTGGTGTGTTGCTTTTGAAAAGAAAGATTAGTGTGTTCTGTAAAGGTGGGGCTTATTCTTTGTAACACTGTTGCAGTTCGTCCTTGACATGTTGGATTGGATTCCTTCAGAAAGCGCGTGTGTCAGAAAGAGCGTGTGTGTGAGTGTGTGTGTGTGTTGTGGGGAGGGTCCTAGCAGGAGGGGAGGAAGGGGAGGCTCCTCCCAAAAGGTACAAAGTGAAGGAGTCGCACAATTAGGATGTTGGCACATCCTGACAGTCCTCTGCAAATGATGGTGTCAGGCCACAGAGGGACTGAGCGTGGCAGAAGTGACATTCACCCTAGCAAGATGGAAATAAACGCCCTGTTTGATAAGAGAAAACAGACAATTTATGTCCACCCTGAAGAGTTACCAGCTAGTGAGCCATTCCTATGGGTCAAGTGCTGCATTTGCATTTTGATGGGATGTTATCAAGTAATTAATGCACCAGTCAGGATTTATTACCTCAGGAGCGAACTGAAAGGTTCATTACAAAATCGGTTTCACTTGAAGATAGGCATTTCCTCAGAGTTAGCTTTTGACATGTTGTTCCTCACTCTCTCTGCCCGTGGCAGCCATGGTAGAAGGCCAGTGAGGTGAAATTCATTGCTTAATAAGGGCATTCACTTTGGGTATTCTTGTGATAATAAATGTATACATCAAGGCCGCACTGCCTTGTCAGTTTAATTGCTTCTTGTGCTCCTTAACAAGCCAATCTTAATCAGTCTGGACCACGTTATGAATAATTTAGGGATCAGCAGACTTCACGCTTAATAAGATGTACCAGATTATAAAACTTAAGTGCACTGTTTATAGAAAGCATGCAAAACACTTTAAGTTTTTATTAGCAGCAAGGAAAAAACAAGCAGTGAGTTATTCTAAAATTTGCAGTTTGCGAGCAACAGCTGTGTTTCTTAATGCTGTAACCCCCTCCACTTTTGTTGAAGGCCACAGTTCGGCCTCTCGAGCCTTCTAAGCCTTGGTGAGACATAATGGGAAATTTGAGCAGGCTATGAGATTAAAGCTCAGAATCGATGGCCAACCAGCAATTGTCATTTTAGAAAACATTCTTTTATCTTTTTAAATGCAAAACAGACCTCATTTGAAAGCAGTTTCCGATGGCCAAAATTACCTTTTTGTTGTTGTTGTTCTGTAGCACACGTGAATTTTTGACTTAATTGACTGGAGAGAATGGACATTGAGCCTTCTAACTTTTCTTTAATTAAAAAAAAAAAATTGAAAGATGTCTCCTTTCTCTCACAGTGCATTTGTCATTTAGAAGTGACTTTAAATAATGCTTATGCAAGATGCAGTTTATTGTTAAAATCCAACCAAAAGGTTTAGCCTTAAAAAAGAAAGGCAGGAATGTATACAATTAGAAGAATGAGCAAATCTCTGTAAGTTTATTAAGATTTCTGCATTTAATAAATATTGTTTGATTTAAAAGGACCGTTTAACCTTATTGTTTTAAAAGAACTCTTTGTCCTCCATTTTACCTCCGCATTTGTGGGCTATAAGTCGTCCACAGAGTAATGCATCATTCAGTTTATGACATCTAATAAAGGCCTATTGCAAGCATTAGAACCAGGTGCTTCAACCATTTTCTTTTCTGCTCCTAGCCTATTGTTCTCTTCTAACCAAAATAGAAAGAATTCCATATGGGCCAGCTTCATTTTCATCACTTTTATTTAAATCAAGACACATGCTAATAACCACGTACTTTCATTTGGCGTTGCTGTAAATAATAAAAAGTATGTGCGGTTAGGAGTGTGCTCACATTGATTGAACAAGGACTCACGTGTATATATGTTGGGACAAAATTGTGCATTTTTAGTAATTTGCTGAGGTATTAAAAGAAGGTTATTGTTGGAAATGAATTTATGAGTCAAAAATATGCGTGGCAGTAAATGAAAAACAACTCCAAACCTATTTCTCAACCTATAGCTGGACCATCATACTCCTTTGTTCTTGTGCAGGTTAATAGAGATTGAGGAGATGGGCAGAGGAAAAGCAGTGCAATTTTCTGCTATTTAAGCTTGGCGAAATGGTACTCTTCAGGAAGCAGGAAAAAGTATGAAAGCGTAATAGGCATTTTAAAAGTAGAAGTCCATATAGCTGCTTGAGGGATTCTCAGATTTAGGCATGCATAGAATCGCGAATGAGATAATCAGCATTGTGAAATTGAAACCTGTCTGCTGCCTGCTGCTGTTCTTCCCTCTTTCAGTGGAGTGATTTGTAACACTCATCTTCTTCAGGCAAGGCAGCCTTCAAGATTATCCAGAACTGTCAATAGTAATTGCCAAAGTATTTTATTACCTACAGAAAATCAAAGGAATTTTATAACCAACAGTTATCAAGTTTCAATACACCGTATAAAGAGAGCAATTTTAGTTGGAATACAATCGTGTTTGGCTTGCTTTAATGTTCTTGAGACAATTCCTGTGCAACCAACTACAACATTCACTGTATTTAAGCTAGAGGCAAGAAAACGCATATGTACTTGTAGCATAAAAAAATTACATAATGCCTACAAGCTTCTGCAAGCAAGTGGTTTTTAATTGCCATACAAACTCTGCCTTAGCTAATTACTTCTGAAAAGAAAGAGGGTTTTGTGAAACCCAAGATGCCATTTGAAGTTCTGCCATTAAAGGAATATGGTTTAACTGGGGCATTCCCTATATGATATGGTACAAAATGTGCCTCTGACTTAGAAAATATGACTTTACAAAGTTTGGCATTAAACCGAATGGTTACCGAGTGCATCATTGTGTATACACAGAAGGCTTTTGCAGTACTTTGGATTCAAGATTATCAGCTTTAGGCCTCAGAATTATTTTTACACCATAGGGACAGCCACTTTCAAATAGTTGTTGTTTTGAGAGTCAATAATGTTTTTCAAAAGAAATATTAGAAGGAGAAAACATTCCCTACAAACCTATTTCTACATTCACATTGGAATGTAAATGCCCTTATTACGTAAGAGAAAATAATAAGAAATCCTTTATATCTAATGGTACTTATTTAGACTTGAAGTCCTAGACCACAGAGCAAGGCCAAAGAAGTCTTTTGTATCCTTTAGTGGCTCTGAGACCGAAAAGTGTGATATTTTCTATGATAGCCCATTTTTCACTAATTCCTGTCAGCACACTTGAGCTGTCAACCAACAGTAAGCAATATCCATTTAACAGGAAAGACGCAAATTTACTCTAAAATATTTTTGAGCAAGGGAAATTCCTCTGTCTAGTACAGAAATAAAAATCCAGCCTTTTCTTTTGGAAGAATATAAATCAATATTGTGTGTGTGTGCATGCGCGTGTGTGCGTGTGTGTGTGTGTGTGTGTGGTATGACCGAAAGAAGAGGGTAAGGTGGCATATGTAGCAGGTCTTTTGATGTTTGAAAATTAGTGTTAACATTTTTAAAAGGTAAAATAGCCACGAATTTAATATTTATCCTTGTAAACTGCATTTATATAATTAAGAAAAGTAACTAAATTTCTTTGACAATGTTTATTTACACTAATTATTCTTAATTAAACTCTAAATAGGTCTTTCTTGGTAGAGTGTGAATCATGACTCAAATGTAACCTCCTAAGAGTAGTGGAGGACAGTGTAGTCAATGTTATCAAAATGTTTGGTGTTTGTGTCTATCCTCAGCTGAATTACTTCTAAAAAGTATAAAGTAGCTCTAATGATTGCACACTCATTTTTGTTCTTTTTAGTTTGAGAAATATTTGATTTAATATAAGCCACCAATTTTACACCTGAAGTCAATATAAATAGGGCAAATAAACAAGAAAGCCACAAATACTCATTCAACATCAGTAGGGATATTTTTGCCTTATTATGTTACATTTAGTTTTAAATTAAAACCCATTTTGACAATACACCAATAAAAAGATAGTAAGTATATATCATTTGCCTGAAGAAATAAATGATGCTAAATATTTTATATTCACATTGTAATTATACAAAAGTGATTTGCCCTAGATTTTGAAATACTCCTGCATTAACATTTGATTATAATTCAGACTTAGAATTTTTGCATTAAGTCCAGCAGTCTTTTTAATGTCTGAGAAAATACTCACCTCAAAATGCAACAAGGAATCTGAGATGGTTTCCTTTTGATGTTTCCAAAACATTAGAAAATATTCAAATGCCTTATTCCTGCCATAATAAAATATTATTTTATGAAAGGAAGCCTGTAGCTGTGTAAAGTCATGATTGATTTAACATCAGGTAATTTGTGAAGTTATGACACTAATGGAAGCAACGTGAGGAAAACAATCAAGGCTTTTCCACCGTAGAGTTGAGTGTAACACAATGTCCAAAATTTAATTTTTCAAAAATCAATCATACTTTTAATTTTTAATTTAAAAACTATATAAGACAATGTATATTTAGTGACTTTATGATTTCTAGTAACAGAGGAATTTGAATAGCGAAGTAGTCATTTAATATTTTTAAAGATAGAAAGCATAAACTGTTAAGGAATCAAAGCATTTTTAGTGAGTACCATAAATACCTGAAAATAAATACTTCCACTTAAAACAAATTATTATTCTTGACTCAGTCGACAAATCTATATACTGAAGAAAAGAGAAAAATACATATATATTATCATTTTTCACTGGCTTTTCAAACATTACCTTTAAAAAGGAAATGTGAGTTTGCAGAATTTGCCCTGCCCCTGGAAAAGCACTCCATCAGGTGGAAACTTCCCCAAGTTTAGTTTATTAACATGGAAGAGAGAAATTAATTAATTATGTTTGTTGATTTGGGGTTACCTTTAAATATTTATTTATTTAACCATCCACTGGGAGGTTTAAAGTCGGATTAAGTGAGGTGAGAGGTCATGGCGAAATTCCACAGCTGCATTTGTGGAGAAGGATCCCAAAGTGAACTGTTGCTGTGTTGTTCACTCACTGGGTTAGATCGAAGCACAGCTCAATAGCATTAAACTAGCCCCCGTTTGAGAGATTTGTCTTACAAAACCCTGAAAACTGCTCTGAACATGCATACATTGATTTTGTTACTGGAATCTCCTGAGCTTTGATGAAAAGGCAGCCTCCACATGCAGGTGAAAGGGGTTTACCTCTTCAATATTAAAAAGAGAAGATTAAGGATTTCTGTTCTACTAAGGCTGAACTAATCAGTGGCATACAAGGGTAAGAAAGTAGTCCTCATGCCTAACGCTGCCTGATTTTCTGTGGTTGAACAAGAAGTTAAAAATCCCTCATGTGACCTTCTATGTGCTGTAGCTTACTGTTATTCCATTTTGTACAGTTAATCAAATGGCATATGGCGCATAACCAAATTTGTTTCCACATTTTCCAGAAGATAGCCACTGACTTTAGTAAGGGATACTCACTTTAGCTGTAATATTAAAAATGAGGTTGTTGTAAAGGATAAAGGGAAAAATGCATCTAAAAGAAATCAGATCATAAAGGACTACCTAATTTAGTATGCACTAAAGATATATAGCTATTTTGAATTTTTGATATGAAGTTTCAATCTATTACATTTACTTCCACTGAGGCTGAAACTAATGATTTTCATAATTTCTGGCTTTTTCTCTACAGAACAAGAATCATCAGTGAGCTCAGCAGAGAATACTTGGCATTTGTCCTTGGTGTGAATGACACTTAGGCTTTTTTTTTTTTTTGTAGTCAGAGATTACATGCAACTTTACTATTTTTTATAAGCATCAGAGGATTATGTTGTCCCTTAGATAGTTTGCACACATCATGTCTCAGCAGGGAATTCCAGAATGAAATGAATGCACTTCTTCTACAAGAAGAACAATTTTACACCCTGTAGCACTAATTCCTGTAATTATTTGTGTCCATCTTAGCCATGATTTGGGTAAAGTGATATGAAACCTTTCTGAAATTACGGTGTAAGTACGCCTTTAGGGGAAAAAAAAAGGTTTAAATAAACTAGCCATGCTGTGAGATTTCATATATTGTAAGATATCTGAAATGCAACAAATTTATCTAGAATCAAGTCTTATCAACCATGTCTTTGATCTATTGTAAAAAATACAATAATGATCCTGAAATAAACACTACAAAAGCAGATCAAGCAAGATAAGAGAATTTCAGAAATTAGATAACCTTCATTTCCCATCCTTTATAGGAATCACTGGGTTTGCCTTTTAGGCATGTGTTGCCTGCACTTTCTCATGACTCACTCAGCATGGTTCATCATCTTCAAGCAGATCTCCTTTTCTATCACTGTTAAATTACAACATCCCACTCAAATAACACGTAGCATGATCATCCAAAAGACAAGATGCCTAGCTCCAAACCATTTGATGTCTTATGTTATTAAGATGATAACGAGTGAACACAGGGAAATGATGAGATGGCCGTATGAAATTCTTGAGATCTGACCAGTGGACTATGGGTGTAGACTCAGTGTCATTCTTACTAAAGTAGTCAACATTCTCCAAAGCCTGCTGTGAGAAAGGTAGGCTCTATTATTTTTGGTTATAGGTAAAATGGGATTAATGACACAGAAAAAATATTAGCAAATAATTTTTTAAGAGGTGTAAATCTGGCTGAGGTAATGATAATTTATTTTATCGGACAGAGCCAATACATTAGTTAGGTCCAATGAACAGGTATTTTTAGGTAGTTCTGTACTTTCTTTTTAATAATATAATTGGAAGTTTATAACTTTCAAGAGATTAAAAGAACTAAGCTTTTAATTATTTTTGTTACATGGATTTATAGCTTGAATCTTAAAATATATAAATTTTTCTATAGTCATTTCCAAGTGTCCCCAAGAGTTCTTAAAGAGAATTTAGGTACTGGGATAAAATCCAAAATGTTTTTGATTTTTTTTGTTTTTGTTATTTCGGTCCTTGCAAGCCAATTCATAAAGATGCCTTTTTCACCTCTTTGATGTGATAAGGAAGTGTTAAATTAAAGTGAATCCCCTATTTGAGATTTGGGATTCACCTTGGGACTGAATAGTGCTTAAGCCAATTGTTACTACTCCTGAGTGTTTAGGCTGGGAACCACACATCTCTCTCTGCAGATCAGAGAGGCCTGTGACAGGCATCCTTTGCCACTTGCTATCACTTAATTAGCATGATCATCTGATTTCTCCTTGGAAATAATGGCATCATGCACTTTTTAGTAAATGTAATCATCACAATATATTCCAAATTCTGTTACACCAATATTATGTGATTAAACTAATTTTGTAGGAGGGGTTTCTTTTATCTGAACATTTGAATCTGTGATTTTTTTTACTCCCATCCACTCCAAATTTTTCTGACAAGTTTAGAGCAAATCGAAAACACAAGTGGTATAGTGGTATAGCAGAACCACCAAAGACGGTGCACAGAGAAAAACTAAAGGCTAACCTTTAAATTACTGAAAACATCTTTTGTATCCATAGTGGATATAATGAATGAATGAAGATTCACAGTAAATGTAAAGATGATTAAAAATAGATTCTGAACAAGCAGAATTAGATTGGCAGCTTTCTCTCTCCTACCAGGAATTGCATGTCAGTAAATGAGTAGGGGGTTTCTGTTTGGGATAGCTTCTTTCTCATACAGACAGCTCTGTATAGTGAAGAATATGAGGACAAGACAATTGGGCTATAAGAGAGGTAGTATAGGCTGGGGACATTACCATCTTAAACCAAAAAGCCACACCTATAGTTTTGAATTCCTGAAAAAGAGTAACACTGGCCACACATATTACAATCAGGCTGTTGGAGACTCAGCCCTGTTAAGATGCCATTCCCCATGGAGATCATTCAGTTTTGTTCTTCTGATATAATGTTAGAAATTGCAGTTAAAGATTTACAATCAATGCCTCCTTCTGTATCCAGAGTTCCCTTTTAGTGGCAATAAAGACACAACAAATAAGTGGATAGTAATGATTTTGAAATACATGTATAAATCTTATCTATGCATGTTTTTATTCATCCATACTATATAATAGTTTAATTTTCTGTATTAGTTTTATTCTTCATGAAAACCCTGATAAAAATAAATTATAAAATATAATAACTGGTAGATTATCAAAATAATACAACATAGCCTTGTGTGGTTCCCTTGCAATGTTGTTGAATAAATATGGCCTTAAACACATATATACAGTATTTCCAATAGGAAATATAATTATTGTCTTTAAAAAATTCCATAAACTGTTATTTTTAGCTACCATTGATTATAATATAACCAGTATATTCAAGTTAGTGTTCTTGTTAGTCAATAGAAGCCAAAAAAACTTTTACTAGTCAATTGTTCAAAGATTTCATTTGTTTACACAGTTTTAAAATGTGCCATATCTAAACCACTTGCTTTGAAAAATAGCCCCTCTTTTTCTAATAGTCACCCAAATAATCTATCTAAACATTCTTCCTTCTGTAATACTAAAAGGAAAATAAAAGTGTAAGGTTGACTTACCTTTTCCTATATCTTTTAATTCTGTTTAAATTTCTATCCTTTCTTTGTGTTGTTTTGCGCATTCCTACATCTTGCAGTATGGTACACTGCGAAGACCTAGTAAGCGAGTTAAAGGCTGATGACGCTAACGAATCCCAGCGCAAATGACTGAATCGATAGGAAACCAGCCACTGCTGTTTAAGTGTATCGATAAATGTACCTTTATTTTCTCTTGAATGGATAAGTGTCGCAGTTAAGAGTCCTATGGATCTCTTAATTGAAAGTTAATTTTAAATCAATAAAGTGAGTCATTTAAATATTGATTGGCCCTTTCTACACGAATTGTTAGCTGATTTTTTTGCAACAACTTTGTTTAAATGCAATCAATAGCCCACAATCATTGTGTTCTATAAAAAATTGACAGATGTTCCCAAAATGCCTGCTAGGCATATTCTTATCTGTTTACATATTCAGCAAAGATATTTCAGTCCTTTTCGCACTTACCTAGATGGTTAGAGGTCCAGGAATCTTTCTCTGTCTCTGTCTCTCTCTATCTCTCTGTCTCTCTCTCTCTCTCTCTCTCTCACACACACACACACACACAAACACACCACACCTTATTTTCCTTTAATACCAGGGTTGTTTTTTTCTGTTACATCCAGCCTCTTATCTAGTGCACCTTAATCTTTCATTTACATCTCCAAAGATTTGAATGAAAAGACCATCTGGATATCATACCCGTATCACTCAAACATCTCTGTGATTGCAATTTGAAAAAGAAAGCAGTGTTATATACCCCTAAAAATCTAGACATTTGGAATATAGTCTTTAGTACTTTTATGTCATAATATATTGGCAATACTGCTTGAATAACGCTTGTCTTGGTACTTTTATGTCCTAATATATTGGCAATACTGCTTGAATAACCATTGTCTTCTAATGAAACAGGGCATTTTTGCAAGTGTGAATGTGGTTATCTAGCACAAGGCTAGCAAATAATTTTGATCTGTGTAGCTTCCCTTAGATATCATCTCTTAAGCATAACAGCACATAGCCATGTTTTCTTTTTTTCCAGTTTGACAAAGAAAGCAGCAAATTTAAAAGAATACAAATTGTATTACATGAAATTCATTGTGATTAACCTAATAAAGTAAACGAAGGTACTTGTAGCTTTCCTCATATCAGCAAATATGAATATTTTATTCTTGGCTTCAAAATTTCCCTGAGAAATAGTCTAAAAACTGTAGAACCATTATCAGTACCCCTTTCCACAGAAGGGTTAATTTTGAATAGTACTTCTAATGACTGTCTAATACTTTTATGAGGCCACTAATTGAAGGTGCTAGGCTTTGTTTTCCCTTCTGAAATTTCCATGTGTAAAAATACCATTAATAAATGCTCTTTTGGATTGGGAAGGTGAATCAAATTAGTAATTAAAAAATTAAAATGTATAAATAATAGAATTTGTGTGATTAGTGACATTTGATAATATAAAATAACCCAGAGTTAACTTACGGTCTTACGTTGATTGATATTTGACCAAAAAGTAAAAAATACAGCATAATTATATTTTTATTCCGAAGACCCAGTCAAAAATGCAAGTCCTATCATTAAACTTCTATCAATAAATATGATAAAATTGAATATAGTAACTTTTCATCCTTCCCCATTTTTTTGAAGGTTAAAAAATATCAACCTAAAGTGTAAATATTTGAGAATTGCCAAGTTAAGAGCCTAAGCTTGGATGCCACATAGTTTTAACATTTGTTATTCTTATAAACTCTTTCACTGTTCTGCAAATTCATTCTTATTTCATCTTGCATTGTTTTCCTCTTAAAATAACATCTCAGAACTTATTTCATTTTCAGCACTACAAAACCTATATCAAAAGGGAAGCTTTAAAAGAAATGGCGGGGTATCATTAGTTCATATGCATAGGAGTTCAGCATGTGAAGATGCTGTGTCTAGGATCAGCCTTAAGATGTGACTGATAGATCTTATTTGTCTGATAGAGCTGGCCAGAGAAATAGAGCTACAGCTGGTTACTTCATTAGGTCCTCTCATTGATTGAACCCTGCTGAAGTGATGCAGCAGGCTCCTCAGATAACTGCTGGTAATAGAACAAAATGAATTCTTATCACAGAGATTGGAAAGGCCATTAACCCTGGCCTCCAATGCTTTTCAGAGGTCACAGACAGGAAGCCAAGCAGTGACTGGGAAAACTGTTTTCTGTCTAACTACAGGTCACGTTAGAAGGGTGTGTGTGACTTTTTTACCCTTCGGCTTCTGTATGGATGAAACCGTTATACTGGCAGATGTTAATAATCAGCTGTAAATAAATATTGGAACCAGAAGAAGAAAAATGAGAAGGCACAGGAATTTATTTCAATAAATATTTAATAAAAGAACAATTGTTGCAGGTATATTTACTGCCAGTTCTGTTGTAGTTTTAAAACTAATATTTTTTTTCATATAAATTGGAACGAGAAATACATAGAGGCACTTTAAAAAGGAAATTTAATATAGGTCTCTATAAAAATGTTTCCTTCCTTCCTTTCTGTCCTTCAGAGATGGCGATAATAATTGCTCATGGCTGCTTCGCTTCCCCTCCTTGCTAAGAAGCTACTAGGCCATCTCTGAATGAGCCCGACGCTCTGCTTAACTTTCACCTGGTGGGAAGCAGTATATATCTAAAGAGCAGTCCTATAATTTACATTGAATGCAACCTTTCAGTTGACCAAGAGCCCACAAGCTAAACCCTCATCTCACGGCTAAGGACTTCCCCACATTTGTCAGTCTCTGCCACTCCAGGATCAGCTAAAAGATCCACCCATTTAAAGCCAGAGCCCCACATGACAGTTTTTCTGCCTCTGTGAGGAGAGTAGTCCTTAGGGCCCCTGCTGGTATTTTTACACATTTAGCCTGAGACAGAAAACTTTTAAAATTAGGAAATCTTCACGAAGGATGCACCTCATAGAAAGAAAAGGAGCAGTTTCTTTTCATAACTAATGTGCACTATTTGACTGTCCATGTATGTATGAGGTTGTACTACAGACTATTTTTAACAATATGTTGGTGGCTTCTATACTTATGACTGTGATTTCATTTCAGTGTCTGTGGTTGTGTGGTATTCTCTGTTAGAGCCAATCTTTCACTAGGAGTTAGTTTATTTCAATGTAATTGGGTCCTGTGGATGGAAAAAAAACTACTGATGTTATGTGTTTGGAGACCCACCCAGACATTTGGTTTGGCCTTCTGTACATAAATAATAACAAGAAGGTGTATGCTGTCATTGCCCTGCTTGAAACACCAGAAGTGGTTTGGCAGGAAAGACACCAAAACAGATTACTCCAGATAAACATACAATCAGATGCTTCTATGCATTAGGTTATTAGGTTATACATATGTATACAAAGTTATAGATTGTGGCCAGGCGTGGTGGCACATGCCTGTAATCCTAGCTACTCCGGAGCCTGAGGCAGGAGAATGGCTTGAACCCGGGAGGCGGAGGTTGCTGTGAGCTGAAATCACGCCATTGCACTCCAGCCTGGGCAACAAGAGCGAAATTCCGTCTCAAAAAAAATAAAAAAGTTATAGATTGTATTTTGGATTCCTTGTAGATTATAAGAAACAGAAAACCCTATCAAGGTCAAGAACGCACCTATCTAAATTGCTTTAAAATAGTTTAATTTTATGAGTTAATTATTTTTAGCATGAGCTTGTATTTAATTGAGCCAATATTAAGAAAATCATGTTTACAATTGCATTAAGTAAAAAACATCTAGGGCATCAACTTCTAAATGAAAGATTAAGTTGTATGTTTGTACGTTGCTTTTTGGTATAAAACTTTTCGTTGATTTACTTCATGAGTTAATAAATAATGCTTTAAAAATCTAATTAAGTAAATGCTTTTGCTTATCTCATTTATCAAGAATTTTAAATTCTGTTGCAGATGTTTCAGGGAATGACACAGAGGCCTGGAATTTTAGCTTGTGATACCTGGGGTGAAACTCATGAAACTTTTAGACTTGTAATGAGTTGAGTTGTGCACTCTCAACCTTAGCAGTGGAACTCTGAGTTCTGTGCATATTGTCTAATAAAGAACAGGCATTATTTCTTTTAGTTGGATTTCAGTACAAGTATATTTGACAAACTTAGGTTTTAAATTTCTTATACAGTAAGTAGCATTAGGTATTATTAAGCCAAATTTAAGAAACAGAAAATATGCTTTTCAGAAAATGAATATTGATATTTTTACTTTTTATCCATGTTAACTAAAAGTCATAATACTTATTTCATATGTACCCTCAAAAATCTGTAATTTTTAAGCATTTATCTCCATCTTTTAACGTCAATGAGTTAAAGAAAGGAAAGAGTTATATTTTTAGGTTCCATAAAGATTGTAACGAAAAAAATGGATTTGCGGTACACAGTGAATGAGTTTTTCTGTCTAACATATTATGTAATTTACAATTGCAGGTAAAATTTGTTGTTTTATAGTTTTTTAAAAAAATGTATTTGATGGCATTCAACTAGATTAATTTTCTCAAGAGCCAGTTAAGCTTCATTAACATATTTGCAAATGGTAACTATTATTATGAATGTTTAAGATAGTGATGGCAGCTGTGAGGCAAGAATTACATACTATTGTGATATTTAAAAGCCTCAATTTTTAAATTGCTTCATGGCCTTTCTCAGGATCTTTAATGCTACTAATATCATATACATATGCATAAAAGTAAAAATTCTAAAAATTTGTTTCTTTATAATCTTTTTAACATGCTTTTGTATTTTGTAAGAAAATCTTGACTTTGGGATTTATTGGGGGAGGGGAAGAACTCTCTGTTACTTAGCAAACGATTTGAAATAAACACTGTTAGTTTTCAATCTGTTCTACTTGTGGATTTTACTAAACTTTTCTAAAGGCACCTTTTTCCCCGGTACAGTCTCGTAAGAATTTTCTTTTATTGAGAATATTCACAAGTTTATTATAAGAAGAAAAAGAACTTTACAAAAGTTAGTGAGCCAAAAATATCATCATCTTTCATTGTTTTCATATTTCTCTTAGGTATTTAGGTGATAAAATTTGTGGTTGAGATTTTTGGAGAATTAAAAAGGATGTCTGGAAATCAACTTTATTTAAAAACCAAGCTGAAAGATTAAAATCTCTTCTTCCTCTTGAGTTTGGCTTTCAAATCAAAATTTTTCCTACTTTTTGTAGAATACATATTACATTTTATGAAGTTGCTTTGCATACTGGAACTTTTATGCCTTTTTGAAAGTATTTTTTGTCTGGAACTGAAATTCTCAAGATTATGCCCAAAACTAGCCAGAATACAGAAACAATGGATGTTCTCCTGGTAATCTACACTCTCTAGGTTACATTTGTCTGTTGTTCTTCATTGTATATTTAATAATCTGTGTTCTATGTAAGAGTTAAG
The DNA here is from genome assembly GCF_000001405.40 of Homo sapiens. Classification (NCBI taxonomy): domain Eukaryota; kingdom Metazoa; phylum Chordata; class Mammalia; order Primates; family Hominidae; genus Homo; species Homo sapiens. The sequence goes on from NC_000008.11 coordinate 76,813,791, forward strand.
TGTTTGGAGAGGCCCATTAGCACTTCTAGGCTCCTAGAATAACAATTCTTGGGAATATGTAAGCATATGATTCCAAAGCATTTGATTATTTCAGTTTAAAAAATTAGATTCCTTTTGGACTTTATATTACAGAAAAAAATGCAATCTTTTTTTTTCTTTAAAAGAGGAGTACTTTTTGCTTTTATATTAATGATCAGCTGATTTGTCTTCATGTAGACATGTCCATGTAGTTTGACAATAACCGTCATCATGCTATTCTTCCGTAACATTGTCTTTTTTTATTTAAAAAAAAGATTTTAGAGACAGAGTCTCACACTGTCACCCAAGCTGGAGTGCAGTGGTGCAATAATGGCTCACTGCAGCCTTGAACTTCTGGGCACAAGTGATCTGTCACCTCAGCCTCCTGAACAGCTGGGATTACAGGTGTATACCACCCTGCTCTGCCAACATTCTCATTAATAATTATTAAAAACGAAAAAGAAGCTAAAACATTGTGACTGTTCCAATTAGATGACTTAATCCTTGGTTTTCTGGTAAATGAAAAAGTTTTACATCAATATGATAAAAGAGAATGGAGATTACTTTTCTTAGAGTTATGTAACATCCACAAAATAGCTTATCTAGGCTATTTGTGCAAAGTTCATTAACCTGAGACCCATGGACCCAGGAATTCCATGGCTTCTTGTAATTGTCTACAAAATTATTCGTATGTACAGTTTTATACGAAGAAGGTCTATAACTCCCACTAGATTACTAATACTTTTGAAAAACAAATGCTGTTCCTTAAGAATGCTGAAATTAGAAAAATATAGTTTGATATATACCTAAACTACATTTTGAAAGATGGAGCCACTCTCTTTGGCATTACTGTGTTTAATGCCATCCCTGAAACCCCACTCCACTAATCTTACCATGTATTCAGGTGAGGGACTGGTGCCTCTCTAGCATCCTGCCTGCGTGGACAAACCTCCTTTCCCCTCGTTCAAGCTCCTAACTTCAGAACTTCCTAGGTCCATTGTCTTTTTGAAGAAACCATCTTAGAAAGATGGTCTCTAAATTAAACTGACTGTAGTAGTATCCAGAGTCACCTTTGTGCTTCTGTTCTTTGAGGTTTCAGCTTTAAGCACTCAGTCAAAAACAAATTCACTTCAGTGATTTAGAATAGCCTGTAATGGAGAAAGAGGGTGGAAAGGTGGTAGAAAATGATGTATCTAGTTCCTTTAGAAGAAAGGAAAGGGGAAAAGAGTTAAGCATAAAGCAGAGTAATATGAAATAAGAATGAATAAGGTTATAAGAGGTAGGTCTAGCAAGAGAGTGAGGGAAATTATTTGCAGTATGGTTAGAATGTGGAGGAGTTACTCAGAAGACTTGAGATAATGAATATGAACATACTTTGAAAAGTATTAAGGGTTATGCAAATATAAAGGACAAGAAGGTTAATAATGTGAAAGGGAATGTGAGAAAGGAAGGTTGTAAAACTAAGCTCACTGTCTTAGTCTGTTTGGGCTGCTATAACAAAACACCATACAATGCGTAGCTTATAAACAACAGGTGTTTGTTTCTTATAGTTCTGCAGGCTGGGAAGTCCAAGATCAAGGTGCCAGCCAATTAGATGTCTGGTGAGGACCCACTTTCCCATAAATGGTACCTTATTGCAGTATCCTCACATGGTGGAAGGGATTAGCTATCACTCTGCATTTTATTTTTTTAAATTTATTTATTTATTTTTGAGACAAGGTCTTGCTTTATTGCCCAGGCTGGAGTGCAGTGGCATGATCGTGACTCACTGTAGCCTCGAAATCCTGGGCTCAAGTGATCCTCCTGCCTCAGCCTCTGGGATAACTGGGACTACAGGCACGTGCCACCATGACTGGCTAATTTTTTATTTTTTGTAGAGATAGGGTCTTACTATATTGCCTAGGCTGTTCTTGAACTACTGGGCTCCAGAAATTCTCCCGCCTTGGTCTCCCAAAGTGCTGAGATCGTAGGCTTGAACCACTGCATCTGGCCTGCAATTTCTTTCATAAAGACACTAAACCCAAACGCCCCACCTGTTAATACCATTACCTTGGGGGCTAGGATTTCAACATATGAATTTAGGGGCAGACATAAACATTCAAACCATAGCACTCACAAGTAACATGTATGAGGTAAAGGTGAATTACTGTCCAGTCTTATGAGGTCTTGTCGTTAACCTTGTTGCTAGTACCTGTAATTTGATGAAAATAATTGCAGATGATCAGATAATGGGAAAGCCAAAAGAATCCTTAAAACTCACCTAGGTCCACTCCCTCATTTTACAGCTGAGGAAGCAGAGGCTCCCTGTAGTTTCATTACTCAAAGTCACAAAGCTAATTCATGGTGCAACCCAAGCTTCTGATTCCCAATTCAGCATTGCTTTATTTATTTGTATCATATTTTGCTATTTATATAGGTTGAGTGGAAAGTTTTAAAAGATGACCATTGTCCTTATTTTATCATTTGTCTATAAACTGTTTCTCCTTGATAGAACATTTTTTTAAACGTCATAATAGAGGATAAGATACATATTGCACTGATTCTCCCCTCTCCCACCAAGTTGCTTGTTCTGGGTTCTTTTGCCTCAAGAATATTTGGCTCCTATTACCTGCATATCACTTCTCATAATAGTGGGTGGATGTTTTGTCTCCTTCTCCAGATTCAAGCTCCTTGAGGGCACAAGAAGGTTGTTTTCATCTTAGGAGCTCCTAGCCAGATATGGCTCTTGCCACCTAGGGAGCTGTGACTGAGCTGTGAGTGCCTGTGTGTTAATTTAAATGTCTTTTTTTTTTTTTTTTTTTTTTGAGACAGAGTCTTGCTCTTGTCACCCAGGCTGGAGTGCAGTGGCACGAACTCGGCTCACTGCAACCTCCGCCTCCTGGGTTCAAGCAATTCTCCTGCCTCAGCCTCCTGAGTAGTTGGGATTACAGGCGCCTGCAACCATGCCCGGCTAATTTTTGTATTTTTAGTAGAGACGTGGTTTCTCCATGTTGGTCAGGCTAGTCTGGAACTCCTGACCTCAGGTGATCTGCCCGCCTTGGCCTCTCAAAATGCTGGGATTACAGGTGTGAGCCACCGTGCCCAGCCTTAAATGTCTTTTATGCTATAAGTTAAAATGTCTAACTCTGTCATTATTTCTAGTTCTTAAAACACTTTGTTAACTGTTACACATTTCCAGTGAGATGTAAACAAACAGTTTGAGAAATGGCAGATCAGGAGTTTAAGCAAATTAGGGTAGATTAGGAAACACTTTAAAAAAAAGGTTCAGCTAAAGTTAAATGAAACAGCAGGAGGCCACATGATATGCTTTACAGATAGAATATTGTGGATTGTTGGAGCTTAATAGGCAAATGTTCTCATTTTAAGGGTTATAAAATAATTTTTAACTGCAATTCCTGTGCTTAAAAGAAATAAAATCCCTTTTAAAGAAAAAAAAATGAGAAATTGAGAAAGTACTATTGGTACTTGCTCATAAGATTTTTTTCTTCTGAGCCTGCTTCAAAGCAGCGTTTTCACACTCAGTCTTCTTCTCATTTGTAGAAATGATATTGATCCTTTGAAGATTTTTTTTTGTCCAAATTCTCATAGTTCATAAAATTAAAAGTCAAGTTGACAGTCTGTTTCAGCCCTCTCAGCCAGATCTTCCTTGACCATGGTTCTCAAGGGAAGCGTGGGGAGGTGATTTTATTACCATTTTGCAATAATTGTATACTCTTATTTCATCCTCCAGAGCTTTTCTTTCAAGCAAGAATGTGTTTGGACTTCAAAGAATTAAATGCATACAACTTGCACATTCACAAACCAGTAACAAGAAGGGACTAGGAAAAGGAAAACAGTGCAGGGTAACTTATTTCTACAATGTGTATTGGGAGAGAAAAGGAGAAAGAATTGCTAACAAAGCTGGCATATAACCGTGAAGAACTTGTCTCCCTCTTTAGCCTATTTCAATTGGATTTTAAACTCCTGTCCCATTGAGCAAGAATACCAGATACTTGCATCTAATAGCAAATGTGGCAAATACTTGATGAATTAATTGGAATCAGAATCAGAATGAAGTGGAGAAAAGGACCCTTCTTTAGTATCTGGAAGATTCTTCTACTACTACCATTATTGGTTGTAGAAATCACTTGAAAGGAATCCACTGAGCAACAGCTCTGGGTTTAGCATTTGGCCTGGGGCTGTGAGAGATAGAAAAGTGAAAGTTCCCTGCCCTCAAGGAGTTTAGAGGCTGCCTAGAGGACAGAATCAATGAACTTGTCACCATAAACCAGGTAAATTAGGACATTTTGAGGGAATTCAAGTTCAGTAATGTTTAGAGGAACATTGAAACTGGGATTTGATATGGCTGATGGAGGTATGAGGACATGAAAATTGAGTAGGGAAGGAAAATGAAATAAGGTTTTATTTATTTCTCTCTTTGTGTGTTTCTTTATTTGCTTATTTATTTTGGCATTGTCCTTAGGGTTAAGAGGAGGAATGGCATGATGCAGACTCAGAGATGAAAGACAATTGATAAGACTGCGGGAGAAGCAAGAAACTATACTAAAAGACTATTAATGACCATTTAGGAGAAAGCAATAAAAATTAACTAGATAGTTAAGATTATGGAATGCCTTGAAGACCAAGCAAAGTTTGGATTCGATAAAGGAGAAAATAAGAAAGTACCAAAGCTTTTGATTGTATGAATGGCGTTGTTGAAGAGCTGTTTTAGAAGCAAGAGGACCTGGAGGCAGAGAGCTCATTCAAAGCCAGTCAACATACTGGGAGGCTGGCACTGAGGTAGGGCCCAACACATAGAAAAGAGCATTAAAAATGAATCTAGAACAGTCACGGTGGCTCACGCCTATAATGCCAGCACTTTGGGAGGCCGAGGCAGGGAGATCACTTGAGCCCAGGAGTTTGAGACTAAGCAAGCCTGGGCAACACAGGGAGACCTTGTCTCTACTAAAAATAAAAATTAAAAAATTAACCAGGCAAGGTGACACATTTCTGTAGTCCCAGCTATTCAGGAGGCAGGAGGATCCACTGAGCATAAGATGTTGAGGCTACAGTGAGCCATGTTCATGACACTGCACTCCAGCCTAGGTGACACAGCGAGACCTTGCCTAAAAAAAAAGAAAAGAAATCCAGAGTAAACTTACCAACTAAATAGAAGCAATGAAGGAGGAGCCAAGGGTCCCACTAAAGGTTGAAGCTTGGTGACTATAGAAAACTTCACAGCCTGATTAGGCATGGTGAAGGGGCCCTGATAGTAAGGCAGTACATTTTCCCCTTTCAGACAAAATGCTTTAAACTAGTGTGGGAAGGGGAGGGGAAGTAATGTGCTCATAAAGGTTTTTTTTTTTTTTTTTTTTTAACTCACAAAAAGTATTCATTTTTCCTCATGATTTTAATGGGCTTTTGGTAGTTTTAATAAAACAGTGTTGGGGCTCTGTTTTATTTATAACATTTAGAGCTTATGTTAGCCTATTAATGTCATTTATGCTGAATAAAGTGGAAATATTTCATGGAATGTGGAATAATGTAAGTCATTTTTATATCTTTCTAAATAAAAAGGATTGATTAAACAGAAATACCTATAAACTATTCTTTTGGAACTTCCGTAATGGGACTATCAGGGTGTCTTGCACCTAGTAAGTGTTCAATATGTACTCCTTGAATATGTAAATATAAATAAACCCAGAACTAGGCCATTAGGTGAACTAGACATGAGGTGAAATGGAGCATTCGTGGTGGGTGCCGCTCTTCTGGGAGAACAATGGGCAGAAGTTCATTTGTCCCTGTCTATAGGACTTTTGGTGAGACAGGATCACCTCCATGCATTTGGCAGGAAGAAGGAAGACAGAGTGCCCCAGCACCAGCTTATAAGTATTGTGCAACCGTTTCACGGGTATCACAGGAAAGATGGGGTGCCGTGGAACAAATGAAAACTGATTCTCCAATATTCCATTTGGCCTCACCCTATTACATTCTAATTTTGTGGATATATATAAGAGATTCTTCCCAACAATTAATAGTGTATGCAAAAAGCAGTGTATTTTCAACCCTTGCAAGCAACTTGGGCAAATTAGAGGGTGGTTTTCTTCACTCTGGAAATAGACTTCTAGAGTATTTAGGGTGATACAACATCTGCTTCCTCTGAGGACAAAAGTGAGGATCAGAGTAAAGAGATGTATATGAGAACATTACAAAAATATTGGCCATATAAAAGATGCAGTTTATTCCCACGTTACTTACATTTTTCAGTGAATGTACTTTTGCTATTCTTTCTATGTCCTAGTAACAGCATTGTTAAAAATCCTCCAAAGGGAATTCTGCCTTTGGCTGAAATTATTTACCTTAGTAGAGATGTTTTTAATTCTAGTTTGTATATGTGAAGTAAACAAAAATAAATGATTTTAAAAATTCAATTTCTTTACCACCAATATCGTCATCCTTCCAAACACACTTTTTATTTTTTTCAGATTACCGTATATTTTGCACATTTTTTTACTTTTGAATTCTGGTAATCATTTATGAATTAATTGTTCATACTTAAGTTCATTTTCCCCTACTACTTGCTGTTATCATGTATTGTAATGATGTATTTGCTCTTTTGCACAATTATTTTTTGTTTGAATCATAAGATGTTTATGGCAGTGTGACTTCAGCCTATATGTCACCTTTTACACTAGTGATGATTATGACATGCTTCATCTGATTAGTCATGCAGCAAATTTAATGGGTGTGTGGAAAAGAGTACCAATTTGCCACACACTTTTGAGGCCTTTTAATGATCTTGTGCCAAAATCCTAAAATACATGTGCCATATGCATTATATATTGTTTAGTTTTTCTGATCAAACTTGGGACTATTACAAAAATTACAGTGTGATGGTATTGCCATAAAACTTAAGAGTTTAATAGGAAAGTGTTTATGTTCCATAGGGATTTTCATCTTTGTTGATAAGTTTTATTGCTTATAGCCTCCATGATACCTACAATGAAAAAGTAATGGTGTTGGCTCATAGCTAGATAGGATTGCTAGCCAGATCTTTATGCAACAAAAATGATTACAGTCACTGTGTATCACAAACAGGCAATGGGTGTGTATTATATGCTAAAACCAGATGACTTTTGCTTTCTGAACCTCTTTTTTAGTCCCTGTCTTGTATTGTTCGCATCCATTTTGGTGCCTCTTTTCTCTGTCCTTCCTACTCTGCCAACTCTCCTCCCCAATTATTGTCATAATCCTGCTTCAGGATGATAAGCCCTAGTCTCAATTTCATTGACTTTTGTGATAATTTGGCTTTCACCCTCAATGTTTTTCAGACATCTACACCTAGGTCCATCCTATGACACCTGTCACTGCTTCACTCTCTTCTGCATTATTAATTTTTCCCTTTCCACTAGCTCATTCCCATCATCATCTCAACCTTCCCTACTTATAAAACCCTCCCTAATGTTACATCTACCTTCAGATACCACCCTATTTCTCTGGTCATTTTTACAGCAGACACTTCTGAGAATTTTCCACACTTGACATCTCCAGTTTTTTCATCTTCTTTTTCCTTTCTACCCACGTTCAGGAGGTGTTTGCACTCACACCATTCTACTAAAGAAGCTCCAATCAGGGACTCTGTTGACCTGTTCTTTGGCAAACCTAATGACCAATTCCTAGTCGGCCTAACTACGATAGCTAGCAGCTTTTAACAAGCTGACCTCTTCCTTCTTTCTGAGATTTTTTTTTTTTTTCACTAGGCTGTCTATACCACATCCTCTCTTGGTTTTCTCCTACCTCATTCCTGATCAGTTTTCTTCATTGGTGCTTCCTTGTTTTGGGAGGAAATCGTGGGACTCTTTCACCTCAGCACAGGCAGTAAAAACAATACATTCCCTGTAGGGAACTGAAATAAAGAAAAAACAGCAATAAAACTGACTAAAAGTTGGCCTGCTGTATTTTTGTTTTTACCAGGTACTGGCACTTCTAAATATTGTCGATGATAAATCACCTCTTGCATCTGGTTGTAGACTGCTACAGTGCCCCCAGCTTTGGTATGCCTTTTGTAGGAGTGAATCCCAGGCTCAATCATGGACCCTCATTCTCTAGGTTATCTCATTCAATCTCATCTCAAAAACTTAAACTACCATTAATGCATTGTCCTCTCTTCCCCTCCACTTGCTCTCTGTTTCTCTATCTCTCTCTCTGTTTCTGCCCCTGTCTCTCCACATACACACACATGCACACACCCCTTCATACCCTTGCCTACTTGACACCTTTACTTGCCTATATAAACAAAAAATCTCAAACTAAACATATCCAAACCTTCTTTTTACTCTCACTTGCTCCACCTGCATTTTCCCTCATCTTAGTAAATGGCATCTTAATTCTTATTTCTTGGGCCAAAAACATTGGAATAATCATTGATTCTTTTCAGTTTCTCCCATTCCTCATTAGACCCATTGGCAAGTCCTATCTACTGCTCTTTCAAAATATATACCAGTTTCTCTACTGACTCCTTGGTCCAAGACACCATCATCTCTGACAATATCAACAGTGACCTTATTTTACTTGACTTCTCTCTATAATTTTATACTTGTGATTCCAAGGTTTTTTTCCTTTGGCCACTATTTTACCAATCACTATCTGATCCTGTGTCTACCTCTTTTTTTTTTTTTTTTTTTTTTGAGATGGTCTCATTATTGCAGTGGCAAGATCATAGCTCACTGCAGCCTCAAACTCCTGGGCTCAAGTGATCCTCCCCACCTCAGTATCCTGAGTAACTCGGACTACAGGTGTGCTCCACCATGCCTGGCTAATTTTGTTTTTGTTTGTTGTAGAGATGGGGTCTTACTGTCTTGAACTTCTTGTCTTGAACTTCTGGCCTCAAGTGATCCCCCATCTTGGCCTCTTAAAGTGCTAGGATTACAGGCATGAGGCACCACTCCCAGCTCCTCTTTGTTCTTTCTCAGTATCTTTTGTCATCCTTCAGTGTCACTTAATTTCTTGATTTTTGTTCCCTAGAGTTTTGCCCTTACCCTTCATCGTCCGTACTCTATATATTCTAAGAAGTGTCATTTACTCACAAGTCATTGGTTAGTAACATTTTCAAATATATTCAACTCAGTTTTCTCTTCCAAGATCTAGTCCCATAAACTTATATGTTTACTAAACCTCTCTACTCAAATTCATGTTCAAAATTGAGCTTATCATCTTTTCTCTTGACCTAATCTTGGACTTTTTAACATTTCTTTTCTCTCCAGTGAAATGACTCTACTACCTTTCTCTACAATTTCTTCCAGACAGTTATAATTTGAAGTGTGATGGATGCTATAGTGTCTCCTTTTTTTTTTTTTTTTTAACAGTGAGACACCTCTTCCTCTATTTAATCCTCTGCACAGCATCCCACAGAAGAAAATATGATCATGGCACCTCTGCTTAAAACCCCCCATGCTGCCAAAATCCAAGGAACTCTTTGCCAATACATGCATACAGGCACAGGAAAAAATAAATTGGCTATGTCTCAGAAGCCATTTTTTCTGCTGCTCACACAGTCCAAAGAGAGCAGTGTGCCAAATCTCATCAATCTGTTTGCTCATTAATGAATGATTTATTAAATAAACATTTCATGGATATGCATAAGTATTGTCTTGAAAATTCATAGCAGGTTCCAATAGCACATTTTTCATCTTGGCTCCAAGCTAGCTTCTCTAATCTTCCTTTTCTGGGGCTATGAATACTTTCACTAACTTTTCCTTTCCAGATTTCTTTCACTTATGTTTGTATCAATCACTGCCTAGGTCAGATCTCATAAGTATAATTTGGTGTATATAACTACATAAATCTGACCTTTTTGAATGTGATGAGATGCAGAAATTTCCAAGCCAAGCATTATTTACATAGAATTTAGGAAACTTTACTGCATCTTAGGTTAATGGTAAATTTATTTCAACAATTATCATGTTGGTAAAAAACATTATCTAGTTATCTGAGGATTTTCTTTTATGGTCATATATAATTCACAAAATAAATAACCCAACCTATGAGAAGCAATAATTTCTCCCATGTATACAATTGTAAAGGGTAGTTTATTATAAGTAGTAGCGATGCATTCCATGGCAGGATATATAAACATTAAATATTTAGGAAGTATAGTAGCAAGATTTTATTTATTTGTTTTGCATGCATACCTAGAGATGGTGATAGCAACTTACATTTCATCCTTACAGTGACTAGGTGTGATAGCAAGAAAGAAGGTAATTGTATCCCGATTTTACAGATGAGGACACTGGTGCCAACATATTAATAGATCAGTTTAAATTTTTACAGTTTGAAGAAAAGTGTTCCTTATTGAGCTTCTTATTTTATGCATTTCCTATTGAACACTGCCTTTGTGAAAGCTCTAAAGTATTATCTATCTTTGGTTTCATTATGAATTGTTTTCAAGAAAAATAAATGTTTTGTGTCTTAATGGTGTGTTCAGTAAGGCATATGATTTAGGTGACTGCAACACAGGGAATAATCTAGAAAATTACTCAAATCCAATATTTGTGTACAGATGAAAATTTTTAGTTTTGCAGACTGCCACATTTGTAGGCCTATATATTCTGAGATTGTTCGTATCTTCTCATCAAGTTTTTCTCTTACCAGAAGGTGGATGGTGGAAGTTTGGTATGGGGAGCAGAGGATCCCTTCTTTTGCAAGGAAAAAAACCTACCTAGGGCTGACTTGTCTATTACTACCAGTCCTTCAAAGTTCATATTCTGTCACAGTAATTTTAGTTTATTTTTATTTTCATTTTTTGAGACAGGGTCTCACTTTGATCCTGAGACTAGAGTGCAGTAGCATGAGTATAGCTCACTGCAACCTCAAACTCCTGGGCTCAACCAATCCTCCTGCCTCAGCCTCTGGATTAGCTGGGACTACAGGCATGTGCCACTCTACCTGGCTAATTATTTTCATGTTTTGTAGAGACAGGGTCTCCCTTTGTTGCCAGGCTGCTCTCGAACTCCGGCTCAGGTGATCCTCCTGCTTCGGCCTCCCAAAGTGCTGGGATTACAGGAGTGAGTCACTGCGGGCCTCACTATGATTTTTGTAAAACGCCAAGCCTTTACAAATTGATACACATACTGCTTTTATTGCAGCATGTGTAAAATTTGCTTAGGGATTTACTTAAAAAAATAACTTTTAAACTACAATGCTTAAGAAATCGATGTTTAGTCTTGTTAACATTTGCTACCTCCAAAATATCTGCACAAATAATAGTGATATTTTAAAGGCCTAAAACACTAACTTAACTGATGGACAAAGAGTACATTACTTATAAATACAATCTAAAAAGCCATAGTACCAAATTGATATAGTCTTTTCTTTGAGTAACTTGTGTTCAGCAGGATTGATCAAAGCCAGAGAAGAATTATGCATAAGTACAACTACTACTTATTCAATACTACACACTTTGTATTTATTAACTTTGCTCCTTAATACCATCCTGCAAACTTATTATTGTTTCCACTTTCACATATAGAATCCTGAATGTCAGGGAAGTTAAGTAACTTGGAGAGTATCAAATAGCTAGAAACTGGTGGAGCTGGGATTCAAGCCCAAGTGTATATGGATTTGGTTCTTAACTCCATGGCGTTTCTTCCTTGCTCGAAGAGCAGCCAACGTTCTCCTAATGAAATACTTCTTTGAACAACGTAGGTTTCTGAGGGCAGGGTTGCTGTAGCAGAAGTTGGCAATTTTATGTCACTGATGTTTCACCTTTTATCTTTGCTTGCTCAAACTGCTCAAGCAAAAAGAATAAATCTCAGATAGTTAAGAAAGAATTGACCATTATTTCAACACAGGGGTTATGTTCTCTGATTCTTCACAGCAAGAGTGAATGATGGTTTCATGGATAATGTCTCCAAAGAAATATGCCCAAGTAACTCATTGCGATGAAAATAAAATATTGGGAATTATGAAATTAGAGAGTCAAGAAAGCATTTTTAAAAACTTGTGACATTGATTCAACTCTATGGTTGTAGTCCTTTAAAAACAGTGCAGCCTTAGAGGGAGGCACCTATCATCACAGGTCTTTGAGATGAAAGTGTAAGAGAAGTTATAGAAGCTTCCAAGAACCAAATAATATCACTGAGCCAAAGAAATGCAGCTTGCTTGAGAGTAAAGGTACCTTTGTATGTTAGGCCGTTTTTGCATCACTCTGAAGAAATATCTGAGGCAGAGTAATTTATGAGGAAAAGAAGCTTAATTGGCTTATGGTTCTGTAGGCTGTATAAGCATTGCACCAGTATCTGCTCTTGGTGATGGCCTCAGTAAGCTTCCAATCATGGCAGAAGGCAAAGGGAAAGCAGGCACATCACATGGCAAGAGTGGGATCAAAAGGGAGAGGGAAGGGGAAGGTCCCAGACTCTTTTAAACAACCACATCTTGCATGAACTGAGTGAGAACTCACTTGTCACCAAGGGAATGGTGCTAAGCCATTCATGAGGAATTTGCCCTTGTGATCCAATCACCTCCCACCAGACCCTACCTCCAACACTGGGAAACACATTTCAACATGAGTTCCAGAGGGGACAAACATCCAAACCATATCACCCTGTAAGGAGTCTCTGAAAGAGTTAAAGGAAGTAAAGATAAAGAAGTACTGCTGGATAACTATTTTTTTCTTATCGTTAAAAAATAGTTTCAAAAGGCTTTTGACCTAGTATACAGCTATTTGAAAAACGTAGTAACTGTGGAATAGAAAATAGAGGCTTTCATGAATTAAAAACTAGCTATGAGACAACATTGGATGAACCCTATCATGAAAAGAGAAATATTGTATGATTCCACTAAAGCAGTCTAAAGTACTTAAAATAGTCAAATTTATAAATCAAAGAGTAGAATGGTGGTTGCCAGGGACTGAGGGGTATGAGAAATGGGGAGTTATAAACAAGGGACATAAAGTTTCAGTTAAGTAATAGGAGTAAGTTCTAGAGATCTGCTGCACAACATTATACCTATAGGCAACAATACTGTATTGTGCACATAAACATTTGTTAAGATAGTAAACCTCATGTTTAGTGTTCTTACCACAATAAAATAAAAGCTGGTTTTGAGATAGGAAGCAAAGAGTTGAAATAACTAGCCAGTGCTCAGCACAAACAAAGGCTATTATTGGGTGGAAGAGGGATCAGTTTATGGATAGGGATCAGTTCCTATGCTGATGAGCAACCTAGCAAAGCCAGCACAGTAGGCTGAGGAATGAAATTTCTTCTAGACAATAAAGAGAAATTTTGATGAATCCCATAAGGCAGTGGTCTCCAACCTTTTTGGCACCAGGAACTGGTTTAATGGAAGACAGTTTTTCCACAGACGGAGTGGTCAGGTGTAGATGGTTTGGGGATGAAACTGTTCCACCTCAGATCATCAGGCATTAGATTCTCACAAGGAGCACACGACCTAGATCCCTTGCATGTGCAGTTCATAATAGGGTTCATGCTACTGTGAGAATCTAATGCTGCCTCTAATCTGATGCGAGGTGGAGCTCAGGCGACAAGGCTTGCTTGCAGGAGCTCACCTCCTGCAGCATGGCCCGTTCCTAACAAGCCACGGACCAGGAGCGAGCCACAGCCGCAGGGTTAGGGACCCCTGCTATAAGGACTTAAATCTAGATAATTGGGCAACTGGTTGATAGATGGAAACACAAGTTTATACTGAAATTATCCTCACAAAAGGTTGATCTTTTAATTTCAAAACAATCAGAAATGAAATAGATTCTTAAATGGAGAAATACAATAGGAATTAGTAAATTTAAGAAAAAACATTTTAATAAAAGCACTTTAAAATATAAGACATTAAGAAGATGTATAAGTAATTTATTGAAACTAATTTATATCAGGAACGTATTAAATTCTTTTGAGGCCCCATTACACCGAGGTCATAGATGACTCAAGAAGCAGAAAGAAGTGATCACAAATTCCTGGCTGAGGAGGCCCCAGGAGATAGTACTCCCTTACTATATAAAAATAACTTCTGGGTAAAAACAGACAGGGCAGGGCAAAGGAGCTTTACTTTTCCAGAAAATAAAAAATTACAAATCCAGCCCCATTCAGATAATTGACACTGGAGCATCCAATGCACTTCAATCTATTACTGCCTGGAAGAAATAATTTAAGAGAAAGCACTACAGGTCAACAAAGATGATGTTGCTTGGTTACTCAAAACCATATGGTAGCATGCTGAGTTGCTCAGCTTTTTAGAAGAGCAGTCTTTGTATCCGCATAGGAAAAGGATGGAGAAGACCACTTGAAATCATTTTGAATTGTGAACTTGCTTTATCTGAACACACTGACTTGACTTTTGCAATGCCAAGACAAGTTCAGAGGGCATTGTTAAAATATCAACTACTAAGATAATAATAAATGTTGAATTTTATGTATTCTTCTAAATATTAAGCTTGTTATGATGAATTTGCTTTGAAGCGATGTGAGCTATTTTTTTTTTTTTAGGAGGAAAATAATTTAGTTTTCAGGCTGCCTGGCCCAGGAGTCCTGAGGGATGCCTAGAGGCAGTGCTGTCCAGCGGGGAGGTACAGAGCTTTGGAGTCAGACACTCATTCAAATCTCACTTCTGCTGCCCTGTGCCTTTAGAAAAAGTTAAACTGTCTGAGCTTTGATATCTCATCTCTTCCATAAACACAGTGATTTTTTGCTGTTGCAGATTACTTTGAGGATTAAGTAAGGAAATGCAGGATACATGCCTAGCACCTAACAAGTTTCCAAAAATGATCATTAGTTTATAATTAGAGCACTGCTAATATCTTTTATTGTATTCATAGGCTCTAAAATATCCTTTTACAGTTAGTCACATAGCTCCAGTAGAAGTGGGAGAAGCTTCAAAAGTAAAACACAAAAGGCATGGCTAGAGGGGTTGTGGTGTGAAGGTTGACACTTGTGAACTCTATCATAGAATTTAGTCTTTTTATGCAATTTAAAAAAAAGTAAGAGTTGGGCTTATTGTAAATGAAAATAACATGGGATTCATAATGCTGCATAGGAATACAGAAAATGTTTTTCTTCGCCTTTACTATTTTACACCAGTTGGCTTAATATTTACTCTGGTGGTATATATTTTATTTTATGTGCTAAACATTTTGTAAGAATAGTACTATACTTTATTGTTTAATGCATTAGCAAATTATTGGGAGGAGGTGAGATGTGGAGGTTTTGCAGGCAAATAGTATTAGTACTATGCTTGGCAACTTGAACATATATCCATTATTTTAAAAATTCCAGTTGCCTCTAAACTTGTGCTGAATGCATCCCAAATTTTGCCCATGGCTGTTGCAATCATCTAGTACAGGTTAAATTTATTCCGATATCTGAATCTTATAATTCTCTGCATAAATATCTAGATTGTTAAAAAATTAAAATTCCAAATATATCCCTGGCCATGAGATTTGTATGGATTATAGTTTTGCAAAATTGTTATCCCAATTAGCCGGGGCGGGGGGCGGGTAGGAGCGGAAGATTTGCCAGATGGGAACTTGATGATTTTTGAACTGAGATTAAATACCTGAAAGTTGTCAGTTTACTTACCAGAATAAATATTGCTTGTACAGGGAAGGAAAAGGTAGAAAGGAGTAATGAGTTGGAGACTCATTATGGAGAGGCTTAGGGGTAGGTGTGGCAATAAAAGGTAGTGAGAGAGAGGGCTGTGAGAACTTTCATTCTTAACGATTAAAAGGAATTGACCAGCCAGGCGCGGTGGTTCAAGCCTGTAATTCCAGCACTTTGGGAGGCCGAGGTGGGCAGATCACAAGGTCAGGAGTTCAAGACCAGTTTGGTCAACATGAAGAAACCCCATCTCTACTAAAAATACAAAAATTAGCTGGGCATGGTAGTGCGTGGCTATAATCCCAGCTACTTGTGAGGCTGGGGCAGGAGAATTGCTTCATGAACCGGGACCCAAGGAGGTGGAGGTTGCAGTGAGTCAAGATCGCGCCACTGCACTCCGGCCTGGGTTACAGAGCGAGACTCCATTTAAGGAATGGGAACCTTAAACATTTTGGCATTAATCTTGGTTTTTGTAGATGTAACCATTTGGGTTACGCTAAAGAAATAGGTGATTAGCAGAATTCAGGCCTGAACGAGAATGACAAAAATGAACGCTAGAAATAAATGCAGAATCAAAAAAAGGAAAGCTACTTTCCTTTGAAATCCATAGGATTTCAAAACTATAGTTCAATGTATCATTGTGGTTAAGAGAACTATCCCTGAAATAAAACTGTGTGGGTTCAAATCCCAGCTCCATCACTTGCTATGGGTGTCATAATGCAAATAAAGATATCATTCAGTACTTGGCACAGAGCAGATATTCTGTAAAATGTTGTTGTTGATGGCGATTGGGATGATCAATACACTATTCCACAGAAAATGATGTTGATCACTCCCACATTGTGTTAATAAAAATAGCGTAATTTGGCATAATTTTCAAATGTGTGATTATCACCAAATTGACAGGATAGAGTAGAATACTGGATAAACTAAGTCAATGGCATTTTTTAAAAATACTATTAAAACAACGAAGGTCAGGGGCTGGAGAACACAAATTAGTAATCTAATTAAATTACCAGCAAAAGAGACAAATCGTGTTAACAGCAGTCAGATTTGTTATTACAGACCAGTTATTAAAGTGACATATTGTAAGATGCTATGTATCATTACTAGGTTTTAAACATTTTCATTTTACACAGGCAGAAAAATATAGATTCATCATTTCATTTTGTAAGTCAAAAGCTCCTTTATTAAAATATTTATATTATTTGTATGAAGAGATAAACATTATTGAGGATCTAAACATTCTTTTATGAAATTATTTGTACAAGTAGCTCTCATTGGAGCAGTCTCTAAGTGCCACATGACCTAATTTGTAAGATTAAACAACAGTTGCTGATTTTGACATTTTGTACATTTCATTAAATCACTATCAAATGAAGTAACTTTAATATGGCACCAAATTATTATTTGGTTATATTTTATATTCAAGGAACATACATATGTTATGAAACAGCAGGATTTTCACAGGTCTAGAGAAAAATTGCTTTCCCCGCAACTTGGTTTCCGGCCTTTGCTAAGACTAGGAAAACCTTTACAGGCTCCCAAATATTGTGGTATTACAACTAGATACATTGAAAATTTGACAGACTTTTATACGAGACAGACAAGGGTTTCATTCCAGGCCATTGGTTTCTAACTTTGTGACCTGAGGCAAATTACTTTAACCTCTTTAAGCTCTAGCTTCTTGATTTGTAAAAGAAGGATTAATAATTGCCTCATTATGTTATTGTGAGGATTACACGATGGTTTCTATACAAATAGCTTATCACAGTACCTGGCAGAGATATGAACTCAATAATTTGTCATTTTATTTTTATTTTCATTAATCTTTAAGGAATAGCAGTTATTTGGTCAAAGTCACCTAGGTACTACTGACATTCATTTTGAACAAGTCTATATGATACGTTGAAATGTGTATGTGGGGGTAGTGGTAGAGATTTTCTGAAAAATTATGTTGATTCTTCACTAGAAAAAAGAGAAATGGTTTTTACATGCACACACATAGAGAGAGAGAGAGCAGGGAGTATTATCTGCATTTGTGTTATCTGTGGTATAGTTGACAGAGCTCTGAATTTAGAGTCCTGAAGCTCTGGGAAGCTACAAGAAAATTCTCATCTTCAGATTCATCTGTTTTAGGATATAGGATGTAGGTTAGTATTTTGTATCAAAGTGTCTTAAGTGACTGATGTCTTACTCTGTCCTTACTTGAGAATCTGTGAAATGAAAAGCTGCATTTGAACAACTCAAAATTTATCGGGGAAACATTACTTGGACCATGTAAAAATTAACACATCATGATAAGTGCTGAAACATACATGTAAGCTAATCATCATGGGTGCACAGAGGAGGTTTCACGTGCTTTTGGTTCTGAGGGAAGAATAGGAGGCTCACAGAGGAAGACCAAAAAGGTATTCAAAGTCAAAAGAACCACGTTAATCAAGGCATAACTTTATAAGAAGTTGTCAAGAGAAAAAAGGTGGACTTCTTGAGTGACATGTAGGATGTCAATTAAGGCTGTGATTTATTTGGAAGCTACTTGTGGATTTATAAGTAAAGACTGAGAATAAATTTTTTCTTTCATGATGAATTTAACATAATGGTTTTTTTAGTGGGGGGGGGCACTGAGTGTTTATTATGATTGTATTGTTTTTAAATAGATTACTACTAAAGGCCAAAGGTTTTATACGCAGCAGGAAAGACAATTAGTAAATGCAATAATAGTGCCTTGGTATGCACTTCTATTTTCCAGGTTAATTGTTTGTTTAATTAAAGCCTTCAGAATCAACCAGAGATGCTATTGCTAGAAATAGTAAATAAACATGATTTCCTTTGGCAGTTAAGAATTATGTGACCATTTTTTTTAACTTCTTGATAACAATCTGGTCTTTTCAGACTTTAAAGACTATATCATGTTACACCTTTAGTTGTATTATTTTCTATTACTGTTACTATTTACATAATTCTATCTTCATTTTATGCATGAGGGGCTTGAGGTTTAGCGAGGCTAAGTAATTCACCCATACCTAGAAGTGATGGCGAAATGATTTGTACTCAAGATTCTATTTTCTAAAAAGATGACTCCTGAGATTTTATGAGGGATTGGATTGGAAAGACAGGGAATTTGAGGCATATAGACTATTACAGAGGCTGCTGAAACGGTCAGGAAAGAGAAGAAGACAGAGGGAATAGAGAGCACCCATGATAAGAGACTTGGTAAAATGGAATCAACAGCAGGTGGTGACTTGCTGTGGAGAAGGAATGAGATGTCGAAGGAAATTTCTGAGGTCTAGTTGTTTTGTTTATTCCATAGGTTCCCCTACAATAGAGTGCAAAAAGGAATCACGCAGTTAGTTGACAATAATGACTTGTGTTTGGTGTTGAGTTTTGTAAACCAAGACATTGTTGGCACTTTTGCTCTAAAGCTCAAATGAAAGATGAGAATAAAGATGTGGATTTGCTGATGACTTGGACTTATTCTTCAGGTGCCCCCTCCAGTGCCTGATGTTTGCTTTGGCACATCAGCTATCATATACAGTAATGATATTTTTTCTTTTCTTTTTGGTAACTTATCAGAGAAGTAAAAGTATGCTCATAATTTATGTAATGTGCTATTGTCACTATAACACATAATCCTATAACATATAGGCTTGGCCAAATAGTCCAATGACAAAAATCATGATGAGCCTTTCCTGCTCCCATATTTTCTCTATCAGTGTGTTTGTTCTGTGCTGCTAATACTTAAGAATTAAATCTAATCCTATCACTCCCTGGGCTCATTTTGCCAGCTGCTGCTCACTAGGATATAATGTGTGCTGGAGACTCACCTGAGCTTCACCTGATACTTATCTCTCCTGACTGCCAAATTTTGGGTTCTTGTAATATTAGCCATGATGAGAGAGCTGGATATGGCATGCTGATTACCTTTCACTCTGATGTCTTCTGCAGAAACTGCCTCATTGGGAGCCAGGACTTGTGATGATGATCTTACAGAGCAGCAGTTGAGATCGACCTCAGGTAATGGTTCCTACTCCTTCTCAAAATATTTCCTTGTCCTAAATGAGTTGCTTTTGTTACTCTCATAATTGATGGAATAAACATTCTCTGGAACTTCTCTAATTAGATCTGATCATATGCCTTATTCAAATAAGTAAAAAGCAAAATGAAATAAATTCAATAATTGGAAGTATATGTAAATTGACTTTACATTTTAGAGCAGTTTTAGGTTCACAGCAAATTTCCCCAATACCCTCTCCCCTGACACATGTATAGCCTCCTTCATTATCACTGCCCTCCCCACCAGAGTGGTACACTTGTTCAGTGATGAATCTATATTGACACAACATTATCACTTGAAGACTGTAGTTTTCATTAGGGATTACTCTTGGTGTTGTACATTTTATGGGTGTGGACAAAAGCATAGTGACATGGATCCATCGTTATAATATCATATAGAACAGTTTCACTTCTCTATAAATCTTCTGTGCCAGTCTATTCATTGTTTCCACCTCCTTGACCCCTGTAAACCAGTGATCCTTTATGGTCTCTATAGTTTGACTTTTTCCAGAATGTCATATAGTTGGAATCAAACAGTATGTAGTTTTTTTTAGATTGGTTTCATTCACTTAGTAATATGCATTTAAGTTTTCTCTATGTCTTTACATGGCTTGATAGTTTATTTCCTTTTAGTGCTGAATAATATATATATATCATTGTCTTCATATGTCACAGCTTATTTATCCACCTACTGAGAACATCTTGGTTGATTCCAAGTTTTGGCAATTACGAATAAAACTACTATGAGCATCGGTGTCCAGGCTTTTGTGTGGACATAAATTTTCAACTCCCTTTGATAAATGCCAAGGAGTACAATTACTAGATTGTATGATAAGAGCATGTTTAGTTTTGTAAAAACCACCAAACTGTCTTCCAAAGTGGTTGTACCATTTTGCATTCCCACCAGCGATGAATGAGAGTTCCTGTTGCCCCACATCATCACCAGCATTTGATGTTGTCAGTGTTCTGGATTTTGGCCATTTTCATAGGTGTGTAGTTGTATCTCATTGTTGTTTTTATTTGCATTTCCCTGATGACATGTGATGTGGATTTTTTCATACATGTAATCTTTCATATGCCTATTTGCCATCTGTGTATCTTCTTTGGTGTGGTGTCTGTTAAGGTCTTTGGCCAATTTTTTAATTGAATTGTTTATTTGCTTGTAAGAGTTGTAAGAGTTCTTTGTATATTTCAGATGACAGTCTTTATCAGATATGTATTTTCCAAATCTTTCCTTCCTGTCTGTGGCTTGTCTCATTATTTTCCAACAGTATCTTTCAAAGAGCAAAAATTTTAATTTTAATGAAATCCAACTTATCAATTCTTTCTTTCATAGATTATGCCTTTAGTGTGGTATCTAAAAAATTGTTGCCAAACCCAAAGTCATCCAGATTTTCCCTTATGTTATCTTCTAGGAGTTTTATAGTTTTGTGTTTTGCAGTTAGGTCTGTAACCCATTTTGAGTGAATGTTTCTGAAGGATATAAGGTTTGTGTCTGGACTCTTTTTTTTTTCTTTTTTGTGGATGTTTGTAGCTTCTTAAAGAATAAGTTAAAACTTCTGCTAATAATTTTTCACATCGATATTTATGCACTATGAAACTTCACCTAAATTATAGGTTTTATACAAAGTATATATTAATAAGCTGGATATTATTTTTCACAAGTCAAAGAGCCTAGTTGATGGAGTTATTTTTGGTAATTATTGAATTCATTGGATTTTGTATAGTTATGTCAACATATCCTCTAATCCTTTTGCTTTGGTGTATATATATGTATATATATATATATATATATGTATATATATATATATATATTCATACATATATTTGTTAAAAATGGCAGTTACACCTTCTTAGCTGCATTATATTCAGATAATTTAAAAGGAAATTCACTCCTACTACTACAACACAGCTCATTTATTTCTGCTATATATTTCTGCTATATAAATATGACCCCAGTTTCCAGATTTATCCAGCTGGAATAATAACCTGCTATATAGAACAATAAATGATTACCAAAGTCCTTTGCATTCACAATGGTATATTGGAATACTTAAAATAAAAACAATTTTGCAAGTGAAAACATCCCTTCCATATAAAGTCAGGACATTCCTCATAAAAAATTCCAGCTTCAAAGTTAAGTTTACGTTTACCTATGCATGTCTCATCAATACTTTTTAAAATCTTATTTTCTCCTAAAAATCTAGAGAACATATTTAATATGAAATAGAATAAACCTACTCTCCCTCCCCCACCTCAAACCAATGAAAAGATTTCATTAATGACCCAGCAGTGATATGGCAAAAATCAAGAGTTATGGCAAACATTTCAAGCTAAAAACAGATTACTTCCTGTCAATATATTTCTTTATTGCTTTGTAAACAAAGACATCAAAATCTACATTATTGCTTCAATCTGTCTGAGAATCTTTGGACTTAGATATTCCCATACCTTCTGGATGTTTTCATCTAGATGTTCTGTAGTGAGGCTAAATACAACAAATTCCAAATTGAACTTTCTTTTCTGCAAAACTACTTGTTCTCCTCTTTTCTCCATCTCAATTGATGACATCACACCGTAGACTTAGTTGCACAAATAGTCAAATTAGAAATCATCAGTTTTATTTAAAATATTAGTGAGTATCTTCTATGTGCCAGAGACTGGGGAGCATATATTGTGAATAAGACAGATGAAGTCCCTCACTTTAGATAATATCTCTAAACAAATAAACAAAAAAGTATTTTCAGATTGCAATAAATGTGATAAAGGAAGTGTTAAAGAGGTGATATGTTAGAGCAGAGGTTCTCAAAGTGTGGTCCCCTTTCAAACAGCATCAGTGCAACCAAGGAACTTGTAAGAATGCAAATTACTGAGCCCCAACCCAGACCTACTGAATCAGAGACACTGGAGTTGAAATCCAGCAAGCCCCTCAGGTGGTAGTGATTCTGCTAAAATCTGAGGACCTTACTTGTGTGACAGCTCATCAGCTACTTTAGGAGCGGTAGTCAGAGAAGTTCTCTGAGGAAATGACAAGTGAGCCGAGTCCTGGTTAATGAAAAGGAGCCAATTATGCAGAGTCTGCGAAAATGTACGTCAGAGTTTGGAAAAAATTGGTCCCATTCCAGGAAGAGAAAGAAAGCTAACATGGAGAAAGATGAGGGAGTGAGGAGGAGTGTAGCATAACATGCAGCCAGAAAAGTAGGCAAGGGCTTAATTGTTTCAGCCTAGTAAGGAGTTGTTATGTTATTGTAAGTGAAATAGTAAGCTATGACAAGGTTCAAGCAGAAGAATGGATTGATTTTATTTAGTTGTGCAGAATAAATTAAAGGAACACAAGAATAAGTCTTATCTAGTTATAAGACCATTGCAGGAATATAGGTAAGAGATTAAAGGTACTGGCAGGGAAAATGTAAAGTAGATGGATTCAGTATACATTAAGTATCTTGGAAGTAGAAATAGTATGATTTACTGATGGATAGGATGCATATGAATGGGAAAGAGAAGACTAAGGGATGACTCTTGCTTGTGCTGGGTGGTGGTATTGTTAATGGCAATGGTAAAGTTGGGGAAATGGAGTAAGATGTGTTGAGGAGCATCAAGAGCTCTGATTTTGGCATACTAAACTAGATAGACTTTTTGGACATCCAGTACAGTTACAAAATATAAAGCCATGATTCTGGATGAGATCGTCTAGGGAGGTAATGTAGATAGAGAAAGGGCTTAGTACTAATACTGGAGACACTCAAGTATTTAGTTGTTTAATAGAGGAGGCCCCAGCAGAGGAGAATAAGAGGAAATTCTCAGAAAGGCAGGATGAAAATCACAATTACCTGGTGCAATAAAATCCAAAGAGAGGCACGATTTTCCAGAAGAAGGGAAGAGTAACATCGGTCGAGCAAAGGAAGTGAAGTAAGATGCAGAGAAGTAACCACTGAACTTAGCATGGGAGTCACTGGTGACTTTGAGAGGAGGAATTAATATGAACAGAAACCAGACTGGAGAGGGTTGAATAATAAATATGATTTGGTAAAGAGGGAAATGCAAAAAGAAAAAAAAAAAAAACCAAAGCCAGACTACCAAGACAAAATCAAACACCCCTTTTACATTTTATTAAAGGGAAATAGGGGCTGGGGTAGCATGTGGACTCTTCCTTTTCTTTCCCAAATTTTGCTTTCTAAACCCAATTCACTGTTCCAACTAACATGTATTGCCTACCTACTGTATTCCAGGCACTGTTCCAGCTGCTTTTGGCACAAAGATGGATAAGATATTCACTATTTTCAAAAAATGTTTACCTATTACAGCAAGTAGGCAATATACAGATAATTTCCACAAATTAAATTGTGGTGAATGGTTTAACATCAATATACAGGTGGGGGGAAAATAGCATTTATCCAGAAACACTAATCCTAGTTCAGGGTTCAGAGAAGACTTTTTAGAGAAAAAAACAATAGTACTCAATAGTACTAGTAATAATGCAGCTATGATTTTTAATATTTATTTTTACTAAGCTTGTGCTCACCAATTTGTGTATGTTATTCCATAACAAACCTATGAGATAATTATTATTAACTCCGTTTTCATAGATGTTGAAACTGATATTTCCCAAGATGATTTGAAGGAAAAGTGGAATTTACACAGTGAAGAAAAGTTGTTCTAAATAAGATAAGGAAATGTAATGGTACATATAGGAAGGGAGAAAGCACTACAAACAGTTGGGTTTCTTGAACGGTGGTTACAAAATGTGAGCTGGACCAGGAACATCGGGCATTACCTGGAAACTCAACAGAGAGGCAAATTCTCAGGTTCAGCTCTAGACCTACGACATTATAACCTTTCAAGATGGGGTCCAGTAACAGGTCTATTGGGTGAATGTGACACTCTAAAGTGTAAGAAGACTGTTCCCAAGCACTAAGTGTTATGTAGGAAGTGAACAAAGATGAAACTGGAGTGACAGACAAGGACCAGGTATCTTGGACATAATCTCGCTATGTACAGAAGGTTGAGTTATTTCTTTGTAAGTGATAGGAGTCACTGGAAGATTTTAAGTGGGGAAGTCAGATTTAAGTAGATCATTAGGAGGATAGATTTGAGTGGGGCATGATTGGGCAAGGAGATCATGGAGGAGTCTAGGAAAGAATGCTCACGAGCCAGGTGTCTTGTACAGAGATACTCAATATGTTAATATAAAACTAAAGATGTCTAAGTTACTGTGTTTCCTCTTTATATGATCACTTCATGGGTTGAAAAAGTATGAAATGCTTTCGTAGCAGACTTAGAGGAGAGGGATCCCAAACCCAATTGTATGTTAAGACAATGGGAAATAAGGGCCAGGCACGGTGGCTCATGCCTATAATCCCAGCACTTTGAAAGGCTGAGTTGGCGGATCACTTGAGGCCAGGAGTTTGAAACCAGCCTGGCCAACATGAGGAGACCTCGTCTCTACTAAAAATATAAAAATTAGCTGGATATGGTGGTGCATGCCTGTGGTCCCAGCCACTTGGGAGGCTGAGGTGGGAGGATTGCTTGAACCCAGGAGACAGAAGTTGCATGAGCCGAGAGTGCCACTGCATTCCAGGCTGAGCAACAGAGTGGGACTCTGTCTGAAAGAGAGAGAGAGAGAGAGAGAGAGAGAGAGAGAGAGAGAGAGAGAGAAGGACAATGGGAAATAAGTACAATTGGGTGGTACTTAGATCAAAGGGATACCACTGATGTACATTTGCTTAGAAATTGTATAATGTTGTAGGATAAACTCATATCAGTTTTCCAATTGTTTCTTATTGTTCAAATGAAAATACTCTAAGCTAGTCATTCAAAAACACTTATTTTAAATATAGCCAATGTGTATATGTAGAGTAACTTATAAGATCATTTTAGACATGTCAAAAATGCTAGGGGAAGTTTGTTGTAACATTTCTATAAGACTACAGTATTTTGCCTTCTTTCTATTATTTTGAAACATGTAAAAATGAATATGTATTATCATTTGTCTGAAAATTGGGATGTTCAAATGGACCTTGATATACATGGTAAGCTTAAGTATAAACATATCATAAAGATTAATATAGAAATATTGTATTTTCTGTATTTCATGAGGCAAAAGAATAAAATGCATGTGGCATATCCATATGCTGTATACATGTATACTTCTACTGAATACAACAGTATCATGAAATGATTTAATACTTTCACTATTATTGCATGTAATATATTAGTGAAGAGGCTTATTGATGAAAATGAAAACCGCTTTGGCATCTTTATTTTGGAATTTTATGTAGTATATTTTCCTCAGTTCTACAGTATCTATTTAGTACATTTAGTTTTATATATATATTTCCCTTACATTTCATAGTATTTTACAACTGAGGATACGTGGTGCTTGAAAGTTAGAACGTAGCCACTCCTTCCCTTAACCCGAGTTCTAACCTACAGGGTTTCCAGAGAAAGTGGTTTCTCCACATTCATACTCTTGACTCTAAAGTCTATTTATACAATGAATGTCAAATTTATTTCTAAAACCCTCTTTGAGAATAAAAGTGCCCTTTTATTCTGACTTATATGAAACTTTATGGTGTGTATAAGTTACCTTTTGATTATTTTTTGCATGATTAAAAATTTGCAAATTCTTATGGCTCCAAAGAGCCTACCTGTAATAAACAGCTTTCCCCTTCTAAACCACAAAACAGATCTGAATTGCTTGAGCATTAGAGCTAATTGCCTGCCTACTTCAAAGGAAGAACCTGAAAAGAGAGAGGGGAAAAAAGTCACAGAAGCAGAGGCATTGCAGGCAAATCCACCTCTAAAGGTTATGAGTTGTGGCTTGGAGGAGCCAGGCAGTTATGGCCTCAGAACTGCTGTTTGCGATTAAGTTGATGGGGAGCGTCTATCCCACAATCTTTCCCTGCTGCTGACACAGAGTCTTTGTTCACATTCAGATTTCTCAAACTGTTGCCAGGGTCAGGCTGAGGTCAGACACCACAGTGATGTATAGAAGAACATGTCTGGGAATTTCTCTCACACTTAAAACACATACCAGAAAATGAAGAAGAGGACCCTGCAAAATCTCTCTGATGAGACCCAGATTATATACTGTAGCTTTTCTTTTAGTGCCTTCATAATTTTCTTTTTCTTCTCCTGACACACAATGTTTTATTAG
This sequence comes from Homo sapiens, assembly GCF_000001405.40. NCBI lineage: Eukaryota > Metazoa > Chordata > Mammalia > Primates > Hominidae > Homo > Homo sapiens. Next base: position 76,840,602 of record NC_000008.11, read on the forward strand.
TGTGAGTTGCCATAGCCCTTACAATTTTATGTACCCCCAAGATAAGGACACTCAGTAGCACTCTGACACTTTATTTTCCAGCCCTGGGGGAAAGGCCCAGTAAATCTACTCCAAGAATTCCTGCATCCCTTCCCCGGGATGAGTTGAAAAGTAATTGCCACAGCTGTCATAGGTCGCGAACTAGAGATCATGTCACATGTGTGGACTTGGGAGGGACACAGCCCAATCCAGTTGATCTCAGCCCTCCAGCCTCCCAAATCCAGCTTGGCCACCAGCCACTTTACCTACCAGCGTGGCCTGGTGCTGGGAGGAGGGAGCCTGTGTTTGATCAGTAATTATCACTGACGGGTGAAAGCAGGCTAGCGCCAGAAGAGGTGTTGTTTCTTTCTCTTCTTGAAGTTAAATTTCTGAGTGTATTTGCCTGAAAGGGAAGCTTCCCTCAAACCCTCAGATGATTGACCCCCTAAACAAGGGCCATCCCTCTGCTTTTGTGCAGAGGCAAAGGGCAAAAATGGAATAAATGGATTTGTATGGTGCCTTTGAGGACTCACAGTTGAAACAAACTCTTATTTTGAATGTATTAAATGTCCTTGTTTTCCCTTTAGCTTTTTAGAGTTTCCTATTGAGCCCAGAACTGTCCCCTTCTGTTGTTATCCTGCTCACACAGTTGTAGAGCATGGCTGGCAAGTGAGGCACTAAATAGATTTTTTTTTGGTGCTCAGCTGCTACATATGACAGTGGATATTTCATTCTGCTGTCAGAACGTTATTAATAAAACATGGGGGGTGGAGAGGGCCACGATTTCCCCTTTCAATCACTATAGCATTTGCAATGAAAATTTTATTCAGTGTGTAATTTTCAGTTAATGCTTGACACTTAAAATGTCCATAGCAGCGTTTTGTATGGTTATTGAAGGGTTAATTGTATCATGTTCTCTGCATAAAAGCTCTGCTTATCAAAAGCAAATAGAAGAGTGTATGCAAATGTGTGTCGGTGACCTTTTGCCTTTCCAGGGTTAATTTATATGGTCATTAAAGATTTTATGAAATTGAGCCTGGTGCTTCAAATCCCATTTTACCTTCTTATCCTAATTTATGTAATTCCTACCTGAACAGGGGAATATGATTTTTATTTTTTGTGCTGCAATGAAAACAGCATGCCATGCTGTGGGGAGTTGCGAGCCTGGTTATCTGGCATTACTCAGATTGCCAAAAATTCATTAAAATGTGACATCAGCACAGTGAGAGACAAATGATCGCAGGATGAAAGAGAACAGTGGGCCTTTCACGGATTAGTGCTACACAGCCCCAGCATAGAGGCTAACTGCATAAACAGATTAATCCACCAGCAGTGGCATAGCTAAGATTTACAGAATAATTAAATAGGGTTGAGTTACTATGAGGATTTCCATGTAATCTAGCTGGTGTGAACCCGTGAATGAGGTGTGGGGTGATGTGGTTGTCATAGAAGTATACCTTGTTATATCCTGCACCCAGTATAGCTCCCTCTACAGAAGAAAAAAAAAATCCCCAATGTAACTGAAGTTTTGAGATCTTACTCTAAGAAAATGCCAAAGAATTCCTTTGGGGTCTGGGGTCTGAAAGCTGGAGTAACACCTGTCTTATATAACCGTTGTTATATTATTTAAGATTTTTTTTCTAAGAATCTGTTTTCTTTTTCCTGACATCTATCCCAGTCTATGGAACAGTAGGTTTATGTTGTTACAAGGTTCTACTATTCGAATCACAGAATTGCCTTATACCCAATTTTTAAATATGTTTCAGCTTAAACTGTACTAAAAAGAATTTATTTTAATTTAGTATAGACCCATCCTCTCAATGGATACAAAAGAAGATCCTTTAGATACAAAATTTGCATTGGTACAGTCAGCATGATCAGCATAGACTTTTGCATAAATTTGTGTTCTCATTTGAGTATGAATATCTGCAGATGATTCATAAATAACAAAGTTTTCAAGTGGCCACCTAGTTTATTTCAGTGTGAACTTTTGGGCGGTTTTCAGTTCTACTGATTGGTCTGCCTTTCTTAACAGAAGAACAAAGTGAGGAGGCAGAAGGAGCTATTAAGCCTACAGCAGTGGCCGAGGACGATGAAAAAGACACAAGTGAGAGAGACAATAGTGAAGGCAAAAACTCTAATAAAGACTCTGGTAAGATGCAAGAATCTTTCACCTCGGCATTTCCCTATACCCATTCCCTGCCATCAACTCTTCCTTCACCATCCCCCCACCCCACAAAACTTATTAAAAGCTTTTATTCATTTTAAACTGTCTGAACATTCCCACTACTATTCATTGCATGTGCATTTTGCATGTGATTTCTATCAGTAGCCTCCCATTGACCTATTTTTAATCATAACCATCTGACAGAATAGATGTGGATAAGTTGAAGAATATTACAGGACGACCAGTGAGATTATTTTTTAATCAAATCAGTTTGTGTGCTTGTAATTTTTTAAGCGCCTTTCATTAATCTTAGCTATACTTGTGATTCCTCTGATGGCATATTAATTTTTCATAAGCATAGGATTAGATATCACTTGAATTTTGTCATTCAGTCACATGTATTCGCCCGCCAAACCACGTAACCCTAAAAATAAATGCAGTTTTCCTTGCTTTTTTACAACTTACACTCAGGAATTTGCCCTTTTTTAGGGCATCTATTTGAGGTATTTCAAACAAAATCCAGTGAAAAAGTTTACAGATGATTCAGCCTAAGAAAGAGGAAATATCATTGAAAAGGGATTAGGTGCTGGGTAATTTTGATCTTCTAGAATAGACAAATCCCAGTAATGAAAGCTACTGTCTTTGAAAACAAACCTTCGTGTCATGACATTTACTTGTGCACAAACAAACCCTAGGCCAGCATCTGGTGTGGATACCTAAGGCTTTTTCTGTGTTTGATTTGGCAAATATATGACTTCATCCATGCTTTGTATGTATGAGATGGAAATCTATGGTTGCAATGAATATTACATTGGCTACTTTTGCTGCACGCTATACCTCGTTTTATTATGTTGGACTCATTGAAGCAGAAGAAGTGCTGAAACGGGTTCAAGCCTATTAGTTTCAGGTAGTCATCTATCTTTTCCTTGAATTCTAGTGACAGCCACATATAAAGGAGTTTGTATTCACTATGAAGACATTGGGTTGTGCAAAAAATATCATTTTTACATGCAAGTTTATTTAAACCTGAATCATCCCACGTTTGTACTTCAGTCTTTGCATATCTAAGTTTTTCATTCCCTTTAAAAATTATCTGAAGGGCCTCTCTGCACCCCTCCCCACACTGTTCAGTACTAAATTTCTTTCAGGAGGCCAGTGAGAAAAGCGTCACTGAGATTTGCTCCTAGGATATACTGTCTAACATGTGATTCTAATTTGACTTAAACAAAGAAGATCTAAGGTTGGTATTAAGCCGCAAGCAATGTAAAAAGAAGCCATAGCTGTATATTAGTAAGCTGGCTCCTGAAGTTACTGAGGAGGAATTAGAAGTACCTAGTGATAAGTTAATATGAAAGACAGTACCATCTAAACTTTATTTGGAAAAGATTGGAAATAGCAAGGTGGTTTGTTCACTTTCTATGATGGACCTTATCAAATTAGCTGCTTGCCTGGTTCAGAGAGGGCAAGGTTCTGTCTGTATTCAGTGGCATCTTTCACATAGTAGTACCAAAACAGATTGTGGAATATATCCTTCCCATTCTTCAGAAGAATGTATAACAGAGATATCTGATTTGTGTTAATTCAATGCCCATGTAATCCCGAGGTATATGACATTATGCCAGGTCTCAAATGTCTAATATCTAGTACCTTGTAAAGGATGGATTCTGGGAATCTCTAGAAAAATGGATCTAATTTTACCATTGAGGAAAGAATCTGGCTTGGAACATAGCACAGATGCCAAGGCTCTATCTTTACCAGTGCCACTTACTGCTCCGCAAAAGTAGTGGACTCAATCACTCCCTAATGGGCTGATGAATTACTATTCTTCCTTGGGCACCTAATTGTACCATCCAGACAAGACTTGGGCATTTGAGAGGATATAGACAATAGTATAATGGTAGTTATTTAAAACAAATTGTATCCCCATATAAATGCCTTCCTGGGTTTTTCTGTAGGGATAAAAAATAAGCTCTAGGCAAGGACCAACTAAAAGCAGTTGCTGAAATGCAAATATTTATCTTTAAAACCTTCTAGCCTTCAAGACAGCTCTTGTGATTGACAACTAACATGAACATTTAACAAAGTTTTCTGCCTTCTGAATTGAATGTTTTTAGGTTTAAAATATTATTACATGGATTTTCTCTTGTATGTATTTCTAATGATTGAATAACCACTTACATTTATTGTTTTTCTCTATATGTGTCATAAATGTAAAAAAAATACTAGCAAGCTTACAAATTCATCACTATCTTCATACGTTAGATGGGAAGTAGTTTGACCCAACTTTAACATAGAATTTTTTAGACAAGAAGGAATTAACATATGTTAGGAAGGCTATGTTTGTGTAAGCTGTTGTGCTATGTTGCTGACATTAATCTGCAGGAGTAGAGCTTTCAAAATGAGACGTGGCAATATGCAAGTTATATTTGTTGAATATTCATTCATAATAGAAAAGCCTTCTAATGCTTCATTTATATTGTCATTTAAATCTAGTGCCACTTTAGATTAATTATAATCCAAATTATAGCCCTGTGCAGTACAAGAATTAATACAGAGTTTATCCAGATTAATACATTTGCATTGAAAATGTAATATGTCTCTGCCTTGGCTAAGGGGACCACTTTTTAATAAGGGAGTAAACATGAGGAAAGATGGAAATTAACCTTCATTATTGCAATTAAAATTATCCTTTCATTCTAGTCTCATTAGAAAGAATACTGTACTGGTAATTATAATTTATAATTATTTGGAGTTGAATAACATCTGTTATATCCAAGTTTTATAGTATTCAAACTTTATTAAATACATTGACTCATTAATAATAACTCAGTACTTTTATTTTTTTATTAAGATTTGCTTTGAGTACATGTGCGTTATTGGATTTTTCTTACTTGTTATGAGTATAAACCGTTTACAGCCTTCTGTATTTTAGGGATTGAAAATTATTAAGAAGGCGGCATCTGCATTGAAATGAATTATGTCATTTTTTATATTAGCAATCTCATGCAAGTTAAATAATCCCATAACTGACAGATAATCATTTTTTTCATCTATTTGGCAGTGCTTATTTGTAATTAGACTTCATTTTTTAGTTAAAATGAATGAAAATGACATTTTTTTTGAGGATATTGTGTTGTCCTCAATAACACAAAATAAATTATGATCCTATTTTAAAATTTTCTGATCTAGGGTAATCAACAGGGTTTACTTCAAATAAAGTGGCAGGCATAAACTATAAGCAATCATAAAACTTAAAACCTTCCTCAAATTAATTGACCCTTATTTAATAGGCATTTCCAGGATAATACAACTTAGAAAAGAGACCCCAGAGTTAATTTTCTATAATTTACCAGGGATGCCATAATATGAAACCTAAGATAGTATCCCTTTGAGTAAGAAAGGCATACACGCATAGAATGTAACATCCTTCATCTTTACAAATAATCCTGATGACTTGCCTCATCCTCCAGAGTCTGTTTTGTCATGTTACCACATCTCAATATTCTCTACTTCCTCTTACTATCAGTGCCATGCATTTTTGACGTACCTAGCTAATGTTAGATGTTCTAGCTTTTATTTATAACTTCTTGGTAATTTCAAACAAAATGGTCTTTAGGAGGCTCCTGGCTTATATTAAGATTATGGTTTAAGTTAATTAGCCAGAAAAATTTTGAGGGTGACGCATAACTGTATTGAATACTATAGCCAACAGTTGTTGCAACGGCCATGTGATAGTGACCCTAAAACTTAACTCTTACTTTTTTGATACAGCATAGAACATCACTAAATTCAAAAGCAATTATATTTTTGATGAATATTAATAAGCATAAAAATAAAATAAATATATTCTTAATATACATGGTATTAATTATACATTATGCACACCAGTGTGTAGGTTTAGTAAAATGTTCCAGATCTTGAAATCAATACATTTTTTGATCCCTGACAGTCTCAATATAAGAATAAAATACACATTATATATGCTTATGGAAATGAGTCCATAGCTATACATTTAATAGATTTATAAGTTTCTGAAAGATTTATTCTATTACTGATGATCCAAAGGGCCTGCAAGCAACTAAGTCATGGAAATTCTCTTTTAACTTGTGTGTGACAGTCCTTGATGGCACAGGGACCTGGATCGACTTATTGGTCCTGTCCAATTCCATCATGTACGCAAAAGAACGATAAGGGGATATGACAGAGTATTATTCTCCTAAGGAAACATATTCTTACTTATTAGTGGGGGAACATTTAAAGAAACATCTCACAGGAGAAGGCAATTGATAGACATTGGTTGATTTAAATGGCAATGATTTTATACAACTTGGTTTGACACTTTAAGCAGTAAGTTTTATTTGAAAATATAAAATATCATAGTTTTCTTAAATGTTTGTTTTTTAACACTTCTAAAACAATATTCCAAAGTATATTCAGCTTTGAGAAAGAAACATATATTTTTTGATTCCAGACTTAATTATGACAAGGTAATAGGAATTATGACTTTCCTATTTTGACATATCTTTCGATATCAAATACTTGGGCATTTTTAAATCAGTGTAATGAAACTTTCCAGTCTTTCTTGGATTTAAGTTCATTCAAATTCAAATATCATAAATTATTTTTTCAAATATCTAGAAATAACCTAAATTTCTCCGACACATATATATATACATGAAGACAAATGTACCAACTCAAATAAATTCTAGTGCTTGTAAATCTAGAAATCAGTAGTATCAGTATAATCTGATGAAAACTTTGCATTAATTCTGTATCTACCATGAACCCCAAGAGAATAAAATTATTGTCATGATGTAATTTAAATTATATTTTAATTTTGATCTGCATGGAATCACTCTTGCTTTCATATTTCTTTCTGAATTTGAAATTTCTGAAATTACTTATAAGGTATAAAACATGCATCTCTATCCACAGTTGAAATAGAATGTATTTTTTTTGTTTATTTTTACTTTGTTTCCATAACATCCTTGACCTTATTTCTAAATTAAAACTGGGTTATTTTGCAATAAGGTGCAATTTGTTCATTCATATGAACCGTATGTGGATTGAAAAAAAATCAAGATAAATCTTCATGCACAGCATACAATCAGATTACGCCTGGACTATATATTTACGTGGGGTCTGATAGCAATCAATGGTTTAGCTTCATTGCATTTCAAGATGTATTTGCACCCAGTTGTCCAGTGATAGTGTCCTCACCCTGGAAATAATTTAGTTGCAAATTGACTGGAAGATGGTGAAAATTGAAAGTTAAAATTAGAAATACTCATAATAAACAGCAGAAAAAAGGTCAGATGATGCCATGCTATGATGAGATTGGAATGGCTGGTAAATGAGGTTTTGTGTTTGTCATGAGATGTATGTGACATGCCTACCCAATGTCGCTGTAATATCTAGCCTTGCAGAGGAGATTATCGGGCAAATTGATGCTGGAAAGAATTTTCTGTTAGATTGGGAAATTAGAATTGCACTCTTTTCTTTGATGTATATGAGGCTCCTACACATTACACTGCTGGTCTAGGCAAAATCTGAAATCATTTTTAACACCAAATATTTGGATTAACCTCATAAAACCATTGTCTTCTTGAGATTTGTACTAAATGTTATATGTACAGCCAACTGCTGAAATATCTACAGCAAAGAGTAAATCACTAATAGCAGCAGCAGATACATATGATTAATTTTACAATCCTTTCCGTTTTTAAATCCATTCATGACATAAAATTATTATTATTTGAGTTTCTGAATTATAACCAGTCAGCCCTTCTCAGAACGTTGAAATATTTTAAGTGTCAAAGAATTTTAGAAAAGAGATAGGTAATTAAATGTTAGTAGAAATAATGATTTTTTAAGTTAGTATTTGTGAAAGGGAGTAGATTTGCTTTAATGTGGTAAAGGCATTCTGAGACACCAGAGAGCATGTGTTATTGATGAATCTTTCCAGGCCACCTAGGGTTATCTAAACATGAAACAGGAGTACATTTTAAAATATATTTATAAAGTCCACTTAGTCAGTGGACAAAAAGAAGTGTTCTTATTGCCTTTTGAGATTAGCATTATTTAAAATGCTTGTCGGTTCTTTTTGTGATTCAGTGTGTTTAGAGTCGCAAATGTTTGAAAAACATAATTTTTCTCATTTCGGAATTGTGTTTTTAAATTGAATTGTTCTATTCTTTTTGGGAATCAGGGATAATCACACCAGAGAAGGAACTAAAAGTTAGTGTGGCAGGGGGTACCCAGCCACTCCTGCTGGCAAAAGAAGAGGATGTTGCAACAAAAAGGTCAAAACCTACAGAGGACAATAAATTCTGTCATGAACAGGTAAATACTTTTTTTCCCCTTTACTGTGTAAATCTTTATTTTTTATTGCTCCTGATAGTTTTAAAGCCCCAAATGATTCCATGCTGTTGAAATGTATGTAGACATTGCAATTGGCAATGTAACTCTTGGTATTACCTCTAATGTTCTAAAGTCATCAGAATACATTAACTATGTTGAAATAGCTAGAAGAGAAGATTTGGAATGGTCTTAGTACAAGAAATAGTGAATGTCTGAGGTGATGGATATCCCATTTACCCTGATTTGATTATTACACATTGTAAGCATGTACCAAAATATCACACGTACCCCCAAAATACAACTACTATGTATCAAATAAGAAATGCATTAACTAATAGTGGCCATGTTTATTCAATATTTTCCAGTTCTATCAATGTCCTTATTGTAACTACAATAGTAGGGACCAAAGTCGTATCCAGATGCACGTCCTATCACAGCACTCGGTGCAGCCGGTCATCTGCTGTCCTCTCTGTCAGGACGTCCTCAGCAACAAAATGCATCTCCAACTGCATCTGACGCATTTGCACAGTGTGTCTCCAGACTGTGTGGAGAAGCTGCTTATGACAGTAAGGATACCAAATATTGATGCATGTGTGACATAATCTGTGTCAGGAATATCAATATAAAATCTGTAATTATTGGTTTATGGAAATGTATTTCTTCAGAGCTAATTAAAGCTCTGTTATTGCTCGTGTTATAGTAGTCACACTCAAGGCCCATTTGTGACCTCTTTTGCTTGGAAAAAAATATGGTACAAGGCATAGCTTAGTAAAGAACATTATTTTGCAGTCTTCTTTTTATATCTATAATGTTCATCAAATAACCCCAGTGGGCACCTTGCATTTCAAACTTGCTTCATTATCATTATAAAAAAATAAACCTACAGGAACCTTTAAGCCATAATAATAATAATACAACATTGCCACAGCATTGATCTAAAGTGGCAAGGTGTGGCATTGATCTGTAACATCTGCAAAACATCCCTGCTTTGGCTAAAATAAACAAATGTAAGTGGGATATGCTACCAGCAAAAGAGAGATGTGATGGAATTTGTGATTTCTGGGGTACATTTAACATAAACCCCTTTGGTTTCCAAAGGTGCCTGTCCCTGATGTGATGATGCCAAACAGTATGCTACTGCCAGCAGCTGCCTCTGAGAAATCAGAGCGGGACACACCTGCAGCCGTGACAGCTGAGGGGTCTGGGAAATATTCAGGTATGCCATCTTATCATCAAGACTTGTGAACAATACGCTTAGGGGCTTTGCATTTGTGGTGGTGCCCAAAGATTATTACTATCAAAAGATTTTCGTAAAGCATAGGGGAAAAATGTATGCCATTTCAAAGAGCCATATTTTCCAAGGCATATTTTGTGTCTGGTTATCTGTAAGTGACCTCAGGGGACCCAAGTGTCAGACACCCAGGAAAATTCTGTGTGATCTAATTCATGAACACCAAGGGATGGCCCTTAGTATCACACTAATTGCAGCAAGCTCTAATGACCTTTGACTTGCTTTCTTCCCTTTTCTGTAATTTCTTGAGGCCAGCGGTGATTTCTTGTTTGCCTTTATATCCCCAGTACCCAGTCCAGTGCTTGCCACATAGTAGTTGCTCAGTAAACATTTATTCAAACAATTAATTAAGCAGAAGCCTTTAGAGGCTACTATTTATAATATTAATTAATATTTAAGGAGTAGGTTTTCTTATTGTAAGAGAGATGTTTGTGCTTTTTCCTAATAGGTGAAAGTCCAATGGATGACAAAAGCATGGCAGGTCTCGAGGATTCAAAGGCTAATGTGGAAGTAAAGAATGAGGAGCAGAAACCGACTAAAGAACCCTTGGAAGTCTCAGAATGGAATAAAAATAGCAGTAAGGATGTGAAAATCCCCGACACACTGCAAGATCAATTAAATGAACAGCAAAAAAGGCAACCGCTCTCTGTTTCTGACCGTCATGTCTACAAGTATCGCTGTAACCATTGTAGCTTGGCTTTCAAAACTATGCAGAAGCTTCAGATACATTCCCAGTATCATGCAATTCGGGCTGCGACAATGTGTAACCTCTGCCAGCGCAGTTTCCGTACATTCCAGGCTTTAAAAAAACACTTGGAAGCAGGCCACCCTGAACTGAGTGAAGCTGAACTTCAACAGCTATATGCCTCCTTGCCCGTGAATGGAGAACTGTGGGCAGAGAGCGAAACTATGTCCCAGGATGACCATGGCCTAGAGCAGGAAATGGAGAGAGAGTATGAGGTGGACCACGAAGGGAAAGCAAGTCCTGTAGGAAGTGATAGTAGCTCTATTCCAGATGACATGGGCTCTGAACCAAAGCGGACCTTACCTTTTAGAAAAGGGCCCAATTTTACGATGGAAAAATTCCTTGATCCATCTCGTCCATATAAATGTACAGTGTGTAAAGAGTCATTCACCCAAAAGAACATTCTCTTGGTCCACTATAATTCAGTTTCTCACTTGCATAAGCTGAAAAAAGTTTTGCAGGAAGCCTCCAGTCCTGTCCCACAAGAAACCAACAGCAACACAGATAACAAACCCTACAAGTGCAGCATCTGCAATGTTGCATACAGCCAAAGCTCAACATTGGAAATCCACATGAGGTCTGTGCTCCACCAGACAAAGGCTAGGGCTGCAAAGCTGGAGCCCAGTGGTCATGTGGCTGGTGGGCACAGCATTGCAGCAAATGTCAACAGCCCTGGCCAGGGGATGTTAGATTCCATGAGTTTAGCAGCTGTAAACAGCAAAGATACCCATTTAGATGCCAAAGAATTAAATAAAAAGCAAACTCCTGATTTAATCTCTGCTCAACCTGCACATCACCCACCACAGTCACCAGCACAAATTCAGATGCAACTACAGCACGAATTACAACAGCAAGCCGCATTCTTTCAGCCTCAGTTTCTAAACCCAGCCTTTTTGCCTCATTTTCCTATGACCCCAGAAGCACTGCTGCAGTTTCAGCAGCCTCAGTTTCTCTTTCCATTTTATATACCTGGGACGGAGTTCAGCTTGGGGCCAGATTTGGGCTTGCCAGGCTCTGCCACATTTGGGATGCCTGGCATGACAGGAATGGCTGGCTCCTTGCTTGAAGACCTAAAGCAGCAGATTCAAACCCAACATCACGTTGGTCAAACTCAACTCCAGATACTACAGCAACAAGCACAACAATACCAAGCCACACAGCCCCAGCTGCAGCCTCAAAAACAACAGCAGCAGCCACCACCTCCACAGCAGCAGCAGCAACAGCAGGCAAGCAAATTATTGAAACAAGAGCAAAGTAACATAGTGAGTGCAGACTGCCAAATCATGAAGGATGTGCCATCTTATAAGGAGGCAGAAGATATTTCTGAAAAGCCAGAAAAACCAAAGCAGGAATTTATAAGTGAAGGTGAAGGACTCAAAGAAGGCAAAGACACAAAGAAGCAAAAATCCTTGGAACCATCCATCCCACCACCCCGAATAGCTTCAGGGGCCAGAGGAAATGCTGCCAAAGCGTTATTGGAAAACTTTGGTTTTGAACTGGTCATTCAGTATAACGAAAACAGGCAGAAGGTACAGAAGAAGGGCAAAAGTGGTGAAGGCGAAAACACTGACAAACTAGAATGTGGAACATGTGGTAAATTGTTTTCCAATGTTCTTATTTTAAAGAGTCACCAAGAACATGTACATGGGCAATTTTTTCCATATGCAGCGCTAGAAAAATTTGCTCGTCAATACAGGGAGGCCTATGACAAGCTTTATCCAATTTCTCCATCTTCTCCAGAAACGCCGCCCCCGCCACCTCCTCCTCCTCCCTTGCCTCCGGCTCCTCCACAGCCTTCTTCTATGGGTCCTGTAAAGATCCCCAACACGGTTTCTACTCCTCTGCAAGCTCCACCACCCACTCCTCCCCCACCACCACCACCTCCTCCTCCTCCTCCTCCTCCCCCCCCACCTCCTCCACCTTCTGCTCCTCCACAGGTCCAACTGCCGGTTTCTCTGGACCTGCCGCTCTTTCCTTCCATTATGATGCAACCTGTGCAACACCCTGCGCTTCCTCCCCAGCTTGCCCTGCAGCTGCCACAGATGGACGCACTCTCTGCAGACCTCACCCAACTTTGCCAGCAGCAGCTCGGATTAGATCCCAACTTCTTAAGACATTCTCAGTTCAAACGCCCACGGACAAGAATTACAGATGATCAGCTAAAAATCCTGAGGGCTTATTTTGACATTAATAATTCTCCAAGTGAAGAACAGATCCAGGAAATGGCAGAGAAATCTGGCCTCTCCCAAAAAGTTATCAAACACTGGTTTAGAAATACGCTTTTTAAGGAACGACAGAGAAATAAAGATTCACCATACAACTTCAGTAACCCTCCTATAACGGTTTTAGAAGATATCAGAATTGATCCACAGCCCACCTCTTTAGAACATTACAAATCTGATGCATCATTCAGTAAAAGGTCTTCTAGAACGAGATTTACTGACTACCAGCTTAGGGTTCTGCAAGACTTTTTTGACACAAACGCTTACCCAAAAGATGATGAAATAGAACAACTCTCCACTGTTCTCAATCTGCCTACCCGGGTTATTGTTGTATGGTTCCAGAATGCTCGTCAGAAAGCACGAAAGAGTTATGAGAATCAAGCAGAAACAAAAGATAATGAAAAAAGAGAACTCACTAATGAACGGTACATTCGAACAAGCAACATGCAGTACCAGTGTAAAAAGTGCAATGTGGTTTTCCCCAGGATCTTTGACTTGATTACGCATCAGAAAAAGCAGTGTTACAAGGATGAAGATGATGATGCCCAAGATGAAAGCCAAACAGAAGACTCCATGGATGCCACTGATCAAGTGGTATACAAGCATTGCACAGTGTCTGGCCAAACGGATGCAGCTAAAAACGCTGCTGCCCCTGCAGCAAGTTCTGGCTCTGGGACCAGCACCCCCCTGATTCCATCACCCAAACCAGAACCTGAGAAGACTTCTCCAAAACCTGAATATCCCGCAGAAAAGCCAAAGCAGAGTGACCCCTCTCCCCCTTCTCAAGGCACCAAACCAGCCCTGCCATTAGCATCGACTTCCTCGGACCCACCACAGGCATCCACAGCCCAGCCACAGCCACAGCCACAGCCACCAAAACAACCCCAACTTATCGGAAGACCTCCCTCGGCCTCTCAAACACCGGTCCCTTCCAGTCCACTGCAAATTTCCATGACGTCTCTCCAGAACAGTCTACCTCCACAGTTACTACAATACCAATGTGATCAGTGTACAGTTGCCTTCCCAACTCTGGAACTCTGGCAGGAACACCAGCACATGCACTTCCTTGCTGCTCAAAACCAATTCCTTCACTCTCCGTTCTTGGAAAGGCCCATGGACATGCCCTACATGATATTTGACCCCAACAATCCGCTGATGACTGGACAACTGCTGGGCAGTTCCCTCACTCAAATGCCCCCTCAGGCCAGTTCCTCCCACACCACAGCCCCCACAACGGTTGCTGCTTCCCTAAAAAGGAAACTAGACGATAAAGAAGATAATAATTGCAGTGAAAAAGAAGGAGGGAATAGCGGTGAAGACCAACACCGAGATAAACGCTTGAGAACCACGATCACCCCGGAACAGCTGGAAATACTCTATGAAAAATACTTGCTGGATTCCAATCCTACCAGAAAAATGCTTGATCATATTGCCCGCGAAGTCGGGCTGAAAAAAAGGGTCGTGCAAGTCTGGTTCCAGAATACACGAGCGCGGGAGAGGAAAGGCCAGTTCCGGGCGGTGGGTCCAGCACAGTCTCATAAACGGTGTCCGTTTTGCCGAGCCCTGTTTAAAGCAAAGTCGGCCTTAGAAAGCCACATTCGCTCTCGGCACTGGAATGAAGGAAAGCAGGCAGGTTACAGCTTGCCACCAAGCCCTTTAATATCCACCGAAGATGGGGGAGAAAGCCCACAGAAATACATCTATTTTGATTACCCATCTTTGCCATTAACTAAAATTGATCTATCAAGTGAGAATGAATTGGCTTCTACAGTGTCAACACCTGTTAGTAAAACAGCAGAGCTGTCACCGAAGAATCTTTTAAGCCCTTCTTCTTTTAAAGCAGAGTGTTCTGAGGATGTAGAGAATTTAAATGCCCCTCCTGCTGAGGCTGGGTATGATCAAAATAAAACCGATTTTGATGAGACTTCATCGATTAATACGGCAATCAGTGACGCCACCACCGGAGACGAGGGAAACACTGAAATGGAAAGCACCACAGGAAGTTCCGGAGATGTGAAACCGGCTTTGTCTCCCAAAGAGCCAAAAACTCTGGATACTCTGCCAAAACCTGCAACCACACCTACCACGGAGGTCTGCGATGACAAATTTCTCTTTTCTCTCACAAGCCCATCCATCCATTTCAATGACAAAGATGGCGACCACGACCAAAGCTTTTACATCACAGATGACCCGGATGACAACGCCGACCGCAGCGAAACGTCCAGCATAGCGGACCCGAGCTCCCCAAATCCATTCGGATCCAGCAATCCCTTTAAATCCAAAAGTAATGATCGGCCGGGTCACAAGCGTTTTCGAACGCAAATGAGCAATCTTCAACTCAAGGTTCTCAAGGCTTGCTTTAGTGACTACCGAACTCCAACCATGCAAGAATGTGAAATGTTAGGGAATGAGATTGGTCTGCCCAAACGCGTAGTCCAGGTGTGGTTCCAAAATGCAAGGGCAAAGGAAAAGAAATTTAAAATTAACATAGGGAAGCCTTTCATGATCAATCAAGGCGGAACGGAAGGCACCAAACCAGAGTGTACCCTCTGCGGGGTGAAGTACTCTGCCCGCTTGTCCATCAGAGATCACATTTTCTCCAAACAGCACATTTCAAAAGTGAGGGAGACCGTTGGCAGTCAGCTCGATCGGGAGAAAGATTACTTGGCTCCGACCACGGTTCGGCAGCTGATGGCACAGCAAGAACTTGATCGTATAAAGAAAGCTTCAGACGTGCTGGGCTTGACGGTACAGCAGCCAGGCATGATGGACAGCAGTTCTCTCCACGGCATCAGCCTGCCAACAGCCTACCCCGGACTCCCCGGCCTTCCTCCAGTCCTTCTCCCCGGAATGAACGGTCCATCCTCCTTGCCGGGATTTCCACAAAATTCAAACAGTAAGTCATTTAAAGGAGACTCAGTCTAGTTAATTAAGTAGCATCAGGTAGACAGTCACATGTAACCAAGAACGGGGTGCCTTTGGATTTCTTTTAATTTCAGCTAGTGAAATCAATACATTATTTAAAGTATATATTATATTGGCTATAGCTAATTACCAGGAAGTAGGTCAACCTGAAACACACACAGAAAAATAAAGACTAGGTAGATCACAGCAGATTCTCAGATATATATTAATTATTTGTATCATTACAGCTCCATGTCATAGAAATATTTTATTTTTATACTAATTTCAATCTTGATTTCAGATGGCATTCCAGCACTCACATGTGGCTTAGTATTTGGTACACATATTAAGAAAAATGAAACATTAAATAATATATTTATTGGTATCTTAATTTATGTTCTTTCCAAGGGATGGGGTGGTGGTGTTTTTGTTTGTCCCCCCCGCCGCCACCCTGTGACACCCAGAGTTCAAAAGTTGAGTCCTTCAGCCACAGGTATTCACCCACATGGTTCCTAGCAGATTAATAGGACTTATGTTTGAAGTTCAACAACTAAAAATATGACTTCTGTGATAGCACAGAATTTAGCATTGCTATACAATTTTGAGTTTTGTAACATGCATTGCTACTTGTTATTTAAATAAATTCAGCAACCTTAGAAATACATTAATATTACTTCATGCCTTTATTCCCTCACCCCTAGCCCCAGCTAAAGTTTCTACTTAAGGCATAACAAATTTGTAAAGCTGTTTGAGGCAACCTCAGATGCTGAATCTAATTGTGTGTTCATCAAAAGATATGCAGTTTGCACAGTTTAGATTTTGTGAATAAGTATAGGTATTCAATTATATTATGTTAAAGAAATGGAATATAACGTGCTAGCCAATCATGTAGCCAAAAATATAACGAAAGTTATATATCACCCAAAATAGGAAAACATGGTTCTTTTATAATTTAAGTAAGTTTTGTTTTCTAAATTATCAATGATTTTTTTCTTTTTAAAAGGAAAATTTAACATGTTAAAGGGACATCTAGAATTCACTAATTTTATATATATATATATATATATATATATCTACATTTACAAAAAATAAGGAAAGCTTTTTTCATTTTTACAAGTTGAATTTTTACATGAATTTCAAACTTTTCAATTCCATGATTTTCTTACAAAAAAACAAAATTGCCACTGTGATCTTAAGTTATTCCTATTTTAACTTTTAGTTTGGGAGGTGTGAAAACAATGACATCCTATGGCCCCTCAGCCACCGCTAGCTTACCTGGTTTTCTGTTCTGAGTCAGCTGGTTTTTGAGAGAAGCAGAATGGAACTATACATATAAAGAATGTCACCAAGAAAATGTCTGCCATGTCCCTTCCTTGAACTGTCATACCAACTTCCCTCACCCCAAAGGTACTTTGGGCTTCATTATCTAGACAATTTTGGAGTCTTAAATATTAGAGCTATAATTAAGTGTTTTGGTTGTACATTTTATTTAAGTAAAATACAAGTGTTTGAAGAATAATGCAATGACAGATTTTTTTTTTTTTTTGCATATGGTATGAGTCTTGTTATTTTCTGGTCCCATTTTATATACCACTGATTATTGACTCAGAAAAATATCTTATATGGAAAGATTTCTGTGATCAGTTAAGTAAAATAGAAGAGTTTTGATATCTTTACATGGGCTGAAAACAGTTGAAATATCTGTACCTTTAATCTACAAGTCTACTTTGATTGATGATGACTGTGTTGTCATCCCAATAAGTGGTGGTCAAAGCATCTTGTTTTTTCTCCACTGAGTCTGAAGGCCTTTGTTCGGACAGTGGTCCTTCTGCCAACTGCTCTTTGGTCAGTCATTCTGATATGGGCGCCCAGAGGGCCTAGGTGAAAGAAAGTGAGAAAGGAGGAAAAGAGATGTTTATGAAATATTTAAATAGACTAATATTTTCCTCATTCTATTCACCATAAATTATATCCTCTCCCAAAAATACAGGCCCTATTTGTAATAGCATTAGTGAGAAGATGTTGGAGGCAGTCACACCACGGATAGGAGTATCTTTAAACACACAAGGTACCCAGGAACTCAAATCTGTTATATCTGCTGCTTTATTAAATCGTGGACTGAAACAGACTGGGGAGTGTTATAAAGAGAAAAGCTCCATGAACATTGCTACCTACTGAAATTTTCAATTTCTCTCAACTTAGTCCTTTGTGAGAGATTTTAAACATTAACACAGCAGAATTACCAGTGGGGCCCCACCTGAGCGCCTGAGTTCCTGCACTTTCAGTTCATGTCTTTATTAGGTTAATTTACTTATGGTGGGTAGTGCTGACTATTTCAACCAGCTCAGTAGAGCTGTGGTTCTCTATTTTCCCATGATCATTTTCTACTGTATTATCTGTCACCAAACAATTATCTTCTTTGCTTAATGGGAGAGATAAACATACCAGTTAAGGCAAAATCAAAAGAACATTATAAGTAAAATATTTCTGCGTTTCTTACAAGCCCTGGGCCGTTGCTACAATTTGTTATCAATATGAACATCTTTGAGAATATGACAAGTTCCCCTTGGCTCCTTTTTAATAAGATTTAGTTATGGAAAAGCCTTCATTTTAAGGATGTCCCATCCCTTTGAAAGTAGGTTCCAAGATTTTGATTAGAAGGAAATCACTAAAAATCGCTTCAGTGAATGTAAGATGAACATAAGAGTTTACTCAAAGGCTACGCCCCAAAATTAGCTTAATTGCAGTGTAAAAATGTTCGGTTTTAGTATTTATCAACTTCTGAATTTCCTGATTTAAACATACACTTTATTTTATTTTGGGAGGTAGAATTGTTTTTCTGGTTGGATATCGGTTTTAATGCTCACAAAACTTTCTTATCTTCCAAGAAATCTGCAAATTTTTTATTCCTTCAAAATTACTAAGAAGGCCCTTTCAAGGGTAATATTCATCATGTATGCCTGCTTCCTAAACAGTGGCCAGCCCTGTGTTCAGTATCACTACCTACTATTGCTTTGCTCACTTTTTAATAGGATGAATTATTTTTTTCTTTAATTTTTGTTCACATCCTAGTTTTTGTATCATGATCATACATAAAAAAGGGAAAATGGCCATAGAATATCAACGTATGTTTATATACCTGGAAAAATTAGAAAACTTTAAATTTATATTTTATCCTTTAGAGTGTTAGCTGGCTTTGGGATTACACTCAAAGTGAATAAAAAAATTATTTGCTTTTCTATTTTTAACTTATTTACTTTATCATTTTAAGCAGTGTCTGATTTTAAATGTTCCATTAGTGTTTGGAAATACTGCCTAAGCTGATTTCCTTAAATGGAACTTTAGAACATGCCTTTTGCATTTTTCTCATACTTTAATGTAATTTACTAGCACATTTGGGGTAAATGTAGATAAGAGTAAGTCCTTAATAATTTTAGCACAATTGTCTTTGGCCCCATGTACATAATTATTTTCATTTCCAACCTCAAATATAAACTTGAGGGACCTCAGTCAAAGAAACTTGGAGAAAATGAACTACATATGAGTGCGTTAAGAAGCAGGCATTTTCTTCTGAAAGTATTACTATCAGGACAAGGTAGCTATTTCAGAGAAAGAAAACCCAACAAAATGATGGTAGTATGAGATTATTTACAGAAACATTTTTAATTCTATGTGAAATTTCTGAGAACTGCAGTAGGAGTTGGGAAATGGGAAAGAATGTATATTTAACAGTATAACTAGATAAAAGATAAAATTTGACACGCATTTAATTGTAAATTACCACCACTTACTCTACATCTCTATTGCTGTTCAGCTTTTCTCCTCTATTTCTGGTTTTCTGGCTACTGATATTTTTACTGCAAATTTTTATAGGCTTATTTATCTTACTAGTAAGCCAAATGCACATAGCTTATTATTCTTAATCTACATCTCTTTTCCCAAAATTTTTAGAGTAGCTCATTATTTAACTCAGCTTTTTGCCTCAAGATGTTGAATTTTTTTCAAAATTCCTGATAATCTTTGATCTAGGATTATTTGGGATTCCTATTGCAGTCTTCTAAAAATCTTTATTACTTCATTATGTAACCCTAGATAAAAACATGTAGACCCTTCATGATGGGAAAACCTAAGTCAACAACTATTGCTCCATCTTGCTTTCTAACCACAATTGCTATTTTTTCATGTCTCCATTCCTTAAAATTTATCTTGTCTTAAATTTTCATGTCGGAGACAGGTAAGCCAGTAATTTCCTCAGATTTAGGGGGGAAATTAGGTGAAAGAGGGTAAAATTATTTATGAGGAAGTTGTACTGTTATGAGATCTAGAACTAAGGTTGGTTTTGTGAGTAGGCAAAGGAAGCTGGCTACCAATGTAATATTTTAGCAATGCAAGTAAAGCCTCCTCCACCTGAATCACTCAGGCCTGAAATTTTATAATTAGATACTAATTCCTTTAACTGTCGAATGGAAAATAGTGTATACTGTGGTGAAATCAGAATATCATAGCAGGAAGAAACCTAAAAAATTATTGAATCTGGTATATATTGAACCTTTTTCGTACTACTTTATTCATTTCTTCAGTTCTTTCTTGCCAATAAATTTTTATAAACAGGCAAGTGGAAACGCAATCCCAGACATAGAACTGTAGGAATAAAGGCAAGGGAGTTATGCTTGTGGGCCCCCAAAGGCATATCTATTACTTCACAGTTTTCCCTAGGGCTAGGTCTAAGTCCCAGGAATCTAGACATCTATTACTAAAATTGGATTAAAGATCAGAGAGTTTATTCATTCATTCCTATCATATACCAGTAATGCTTGGGCCATCTTTATTTAAATTTATTTTTAATGTGTGAGCCATTCTTCAGTAAAATGTGTGTACTTGCTGTCAGTTTTTTTCTGGAAATATAACATTATTTTCCAGGATTTTCTTTTCTTTTTGCATCTTAAATATTTGAATTATTTAACCCCTGAAATTGATTCAGTTAAACCAGAAGATAAATTGGAGTGACAGCTGTAAAATTTAGTCTCCTCTAGCTCATCTGCCATTGAGTCATAACACTCCTAGGACTCGGTTTCCTTATTTAAAAATGGAATGTTTAGCAGCAGTTCCCCATTGCCATTAAGGATGTTGGGAGATTGTTTTCTAACATCATGTAAACTCCTTAGAGTCTATCACTATTAAAACTGTAGAAGTTATATCAAAGTAGGTCAGAGAAGAGTTGAGTGTAGCAAAGTTAAAAAGAGGAGCAGCCAATAATACCCTAAGTTAATTGAGGGTAATGTGATAAGGATAAGGGTCAAGGAAGGAGTGATGTTGACTTCACAGTATCTTGAATGCTAAGCTTTCTCGGTTGGGTAAAGATCAATTAAGAAACTATGGAGGTTTTTTATTTTTATTTTTTATTTTTTTATTATTTCTTAGCTAAAGAAAAAGAAGCATACAGTTTTTCTGTCTCTCCTTTTTTTTTTAACACTCACATGTTGCATTTAGCATGGAGGTAAGACTATGACCAATATTAACAAGATGGCTCTATGAAGTCTCATGATCATTCCCTCTAGAGCTATGCATTGATAATTAAACTTTATTCACCTTCTCCTGGTTAATTCTTCCTTCCGCCCACCAGACCTCCATCACAGTCCTTGTCATGATCATTTGGTAGTGAGCCTTCCCTTGTTCAAGAATGAATTACTGTCAGCCAGCCATTAGACTTCTGGTCTGTTCCTTTTGCAGTCAACTTTACTTGCCTCTAAAAACATCTTCAAAAAAGGCACAGGCTTTTACAAGTCCCTTTTCTATCCTGAGCTGTCCTTCAGTTTCCCAGCCAACTATCTAGCTCATAAAAATGGCTGTGTAATAGGTTATTATCAGCCACTACATTATACTGGGTACTTGAAACAAAGCAAAGATCTTTTACATTCCTCTAGGAGTTATGCTGTACCCACAGGTTTCTGCCTACTGATCATTTAGTTTCCCATCTCTAATGAGGTGAGAATCATGTTTGCGTACTACAAGCAAACCTGGAAGAAGCATGTTTTGGGGGTGGTAAAGTTGACTGTTAATATATGCAGTTCCTGTCAAGTACCCTGTTAGGCAAGTTGTCAGGATGGTAACAAACAACTTAACCTACACTCCTAAAAATGAAATCCTGGCTAACCTTGTTCAGTCCTAGTAATGAATGGCTCTGACTTCGCTGCTGTTTGTTTTTTGGTGTCTTCAGTGGTCATTTACTATTGCTATTTAATTAGCTTATCACCTTCTTTGTTCAATGTAAGTGTATTTTTCTGCTGGAACATAGGCAGATGGATTTCATTGTATTTGATAGCTAATTACTTTTAGTGAACGTGGTAATTATCAAACTGCTCAAGTGAAGGACGGAGAGAGTCTGCCTTCCCAGAGGTATAGTAAAAATTGCTTAAAATAAATAACAGAATAGGGATCTTGCAAGGTGTATCAATTGGAAGGAACCACTATAGTTCACGATGATGTTTTTTGTTATTCATCTTTCATAGCATGAGAGCCTGTTTTCTGAGTAAAATGTTGCTAAAATATGCAGCTTACATTCTTAGAGTTATTGGTGGGGGTTAAAACTAATATAAGAAATATTATAAACACAGGAAAGCCCCATGTTGAAGTTCTAGGTGGTGATCATGAATTTCCTATTGTGTGTAATACATCTTTTCTGATATAGCAATGTCCTTAGTGAGTTCTATTTAGGTGTTAAGCATACAGCCTTCCGATGTTGGTCTGTACATTGACAGTGGCCATCTCTCTGTTGTTGTTTTCAGCTTTAACACCTCCCGGTGCAGGCATGCTTGGGTTTCCTACTTCAGCTACTTCGTCTCCTGCCCTGTCTCTCAGCAGTGCCCCCACCAAACCTTTGCTGCAGACTCCACCACCTCCACCACCTCCTCCTCCTCCTCCTCCTTCATCCTCTCTGTCAGGACAGCAGACCGAGCAACAGAACAAAGAATCTGAGAAAAAGCAAACTAAGCCAAACAAGGTGAAAAAAATCAAAGAGGAGGAATTAGAGGCCACCAAACCCGAAAAACACCCCAAAAAAGAGGAAAAAATCTCATCTGCTCTTTCAGTGTTGGGCAAAGTTGTAGGTGAAACACATGTCGATCCTATTCAGTTGCAGGCATTACAGAATGCAATTGCTGGTGACCCAGCTTCCTTTATAGGCGGACAGTTCTTGCCATACTTTATCCCTGGGTTTGCTTCTTATTTTACACCTCAGCTCCCTGGAACAGTGCAGGGGGGATACTTCCCACCTGTCTGTGGCATGGAGAGCCTCTTTCCTTATGGCCCTACAATGCCCCAGACACTGGCAGGTCTGTCCCCAGGTGCACTGTTGCAGCAGTACCAACAGTATCAGCAGAACCTGCAGGAGTCCCTGCAAAAGCAGCAAAAGCAACAGCAAGAACAGCAGCAGAAACCAGTTCAGGCAAAGACATCCAAAGTAGAAAGTGACCAGCCGCAAAACTCCAACGATGCTTCAGAAACAAAGGAAGACAAAAGTACTGCTACAGAAAGCACAAAAGAAGAACCCCAGTTAGAATCCAAAAGTGCAGACTTTTCAGACACTTACGTTGTTCCATTCGTCAAGTATGAGTTTATATGCAGAAAGTGCCAGATGATGTTTACTGATGAAGACGCCGCAGTAAATCATCAAAAGTCCTTCTGTTATTTCGGTCAGCCTTTGATTGACCCACAAGAGACAGTGCTTCGTGTCCCAGTCAGCAAATATCAGTGTCTTGCCTGTGATGTGGCTATCAGTGGGAATGAAGCACTTAGCCAACACCTCCAGTCAAGCTTGCACAAAGAGAAAACAATCAAACAAGCAATGAGAAATGCCAAAGAGCATGTTAGATTATTACCTCACTCAGTCTGCTCCCCTAATCCTAACACCACATCTACCTCGCAGTCTGCAGCTTCTTCTAATAACACCTATCCTCATCTTTCTTGCTTCTCCATGAAGTCCTGGCCTAATATCCTTTTCCAAGCGTCTGCCAGGAGAGCTGCTTCTCCCCCTTCTTCTCCTCCTTCCCTTTCCTTGCCTTCAACGGTTACCTCAAGTTTGTGCAGCACCTCAGGGGTTCAAACCTCACTACCCACAGAAAGTTGTTCAGATGAGTCTGACAGTGAGCTGAGCCAGAAGCTAGAAGACTTAGATAATTCTTTGGAAGTGAAGGCTAAGCCTGCTTCTGGCCTAGATGGTAATTTCAATAGCATCCGAATGGATATGTTCAGTGTGTAGGAGTGAAGACAGGATCCCGTGCTTAAAAAAATAAAAAATAAAAAAATAAAAAAAAAATAAGACTTTAACTGCAGTTCCAAAGCTTCTCTAACCCAAAAATTACAGTACCAAATGATTGACTCAGGATTGTTTTTCCCATATTGATATGCTGGCAATATAGGATGGTATGTAATGGACAGAACTGATGCAGATGGTTGAATGCGCTTGTACTATATGCTAAAATATGGAAAAGGAAAAAAAAATCTCACAAGTTCTTTTGGAACTTGTTTCAAGCCAAAAACTCTCAAGAAAGCAAATTGCACCTCAGCTGGATTGATTTCCAAATGCTAGCATGTACTGTATGGGAGGATGATCCAGATGTTTCAAAGAGAATTTCTCTTAGTTTAGTTAGGTGTAATTCAGTAGCTTTAAATTCTCAGGTCAGAACATAACATTTCTCATTTGTTAAAAGCAGCAAGAAGCCTGGTAAAACTGTGACTTTTCCCCAAACGTCAATCTTTATTAGAAAGCATTTTCTAGGTGTGTTTAGTGTACAAAGAGACTTTATAACCCTTACTGGACAACACACAGATCCTTGAGCTCACGCTGCAGGATAGTACAGTTTTACCGCAGAGGGAATCTGGAACAGTGGAATCATGTGTCTGCCCTGTGTATTGCAGTTTGTATTGCCACAAGCTATATTTATACCAGTGTCACCCTTTTCTTGTAGAATATACTAATAATCTGTGCCAACTCTACCTTCTCACTTTTACCTCTGACGTCATTCTTTTTTTCTGAAAGAGGTAATAATTCTAGTTTTGATAGACTCTGAGGATTATGTGAACAGGACATTTTTCATTTGTGAATTTAATGCTATACTGTCAAGGTACTTGCTTGTGTCTGAACTCTAGTGCACTTATGATTTTGTAGACCATGTGAAATTTAATAAGATACCTTTTTTTTCCTTTCTTTGTGTGTAGTGCAGCAACAGTTTGGTCTGCATTTGTTAGAAGTTTAACTCCTAACAACCCAAAGACCTATTTAACAATTGGTGCATAAATGAAAGTAGTACTGTATACTTGAAACTGTTTAAGTACAAGTTGAACAAAAATTATGAAAAGGTATATTTGCTTCTCGGGAAAGCAAAGAAGCTGCTTTAAAAAATAAAAAGGGGACTAAAAATTTGTTTTGTATAAAGAGGTTAGCCCTGCGCACGTAGGACTGAATTCAGTGATATCCCTATACACTGCCATTTAGTGGATAGGTTATTGTACTTCCATTCATACTCTGGGCACTTGTGTTGTATTGTTCTGTTACATACTTTTTTTAACCTGTTTTGTTTTATCATATATGCATTAAAAGTATTATCTTTATCAACATTTGCTGCTACTGTGTTAACATTTTTGTTTTGCTTGCCATGAATTTCAACTTCCACCACCCAGTGAATTGATTTATAAATTGCTATGCTTTGCTGTTTTTCTGTTGCTGTGGAACTTAAAGAATGTGAAAGCTGTCAAAGGGTATTTTACGAATCACTTTTGTGTTTGATATAGTAAAACAATGTGATTCATTCCAAAGTAACAGAAGGTTATTTGTAAGAAAGTTAAAGGCTTGTGAACAAAGAAAGCTAAGCTGTTGTACATATTTGTAGTTGGCTGTGCATGGTACAAATTTATTAATATGAAGAAATGCAAAATGTATTGCTTTTGATATTTCTCTTCCGAGATGAACAAGTAGCATGTAATGCAACTGTTTGACAGTTTAACTCAAGTCATGCTTCAAACTGTTTTAATGATCAAATCAAGACACATTTCATTTTACATTTTATTATTGTACAGTTTTTGTTTCGGATGATGATCACAGCAATCTTTATTCTATACATTTTATGTGAACTTTTTTAATGTCTTTAATTTGGATTTTTTTTTTTTTTAGTATTTTAACATTTATTTTAATCCTGAAGACACTTTTTTGATTGTGTTTCGTAAGAGACAACATGGCCTCCTAAGGTGCAATCCTGCCGCTATAGTGAGCTAATGTCCTGAATCCAAAGGCTTCAGAAAATTGCTTTTGCCTTTTTCATGAATGTTAAGCAGCAGCATTGTGAGATCGATCTGTCCTGGCAGTTAACACGATGTGCAACAGTGTGTTAGCATGGAACAGAACGCTTTTCACAAAACAAAGGACTGTTTTACAAATGATTATTCCGACAGTGTGTCGACATAAACTTTTACAACTGCACAGCAGCCAAAAAAAGAAAAAAAAAAGAAAAAAAACTTTAACTGGATGGACGTTGTTAGGGTGAGAAATAAAAGGACAGCCTCCAAAGGTTGAGAATGAGAATTGTTTTTTCCTGGATATCAAAGGGATTATCACAGCGCAATCATTGTCTACACAACATGTACTCTCAACGCCTGGGTTACATAGGAAATGCACCCTGAGGTTTTAATAAAAGCCCCTATGGCTATAACTTTAAATAAACTAAACCAAAAATGTTATTGATGTTTTATATATAGAGAGTAGTCTCATTAGTTTTTGTTACTGTAATGTTTGAAGTCTCAAATGCACCGTATTACGGTAAATAACATGGTTTTGAAAACTTTTTTTTATTTTGTCACAGACCTGTTGTCATAGTTGAAATGATGTTTATTGTAGATGGTATTTGAACTTATTCTTCTGGAAATAGTTCATCAAGTATGTTTGTTGCTCATTGTGATACATTAAAAACTGTATCTACATATTTACTATGTGTTTTCTTTCTGAGTTGACTTTGCAATATTTGCACAAGGTATTAATTTCCCCCACCTGAAGGTGACTTAAGGGAGGCCACTTGAATTACCAGATTGCTCTAACAGGAGTCTGTGTTAAGCAGCCACTAAGCAATCCAGAAAAATAGACACATGGATTATTAAAAGTTAAATAACGGCATTATTGTCAACACATTTTAATGGCACAAAAATGTTAGCATGTCACATAAATAATTGTGATTTTTTTTAGGCCAATTCTATATCCTTTAACAGGCAAACTCATGCTTCTCAGTAGCACTCTTTATGCCTACAATGGGTATCCACACTTTAATGTTCCATATGCTGCATGCCCTGTTAGATTTTAAAATCTGGCAAACAGATTTTGACAAATGGAATAATTTCATTTCAGAGTTCATTAACTTATTACTTTTAGTATTACTGCTAGAATTTCAACACCTGTATGTTGCTTTTGGATATAGACCAGACACTTTTTCATTTATACTGAATGCAAACATTCCCTCTCACAAAGCTCACTTCATCTGCGAGTCAGCTAAAGAAGAAATGAAAGGTCCATTCTGCTTAGTGTTCTCAGTGGGTTCTCACCCCTAGCCCTCTCAACTGAACACAGAAAACTTTTAATTCAGAGCATCGCTTTTCAACCCACTCTTATCATTGATAATGGCAGAAGGCAAAGCATTTTGCACGTGGTTTTTCTTCCTTATTCTGCTCTTTGCTCAGACCCACCAATTTCACTCAAGTTGGAAAGCCCCCAAAGAAACGAATTCTGTGTTATAAGGTACAGATAAACCTCAAATAGAAAATATAAATAGGTTGATTTGGAAATGTAGTAGAGGTTCCCTTGTTTTACATGCTTTCTTGGCATTATCGAGCTATTTTCTAGTGCATCACTGGAAGTGAATAAAAGCTGCTTTCATTGTATTAGGCAGGTCACAACTCTTTTCCTGTTGGCAGCAGTGACAGAAAACCATTAGGATAAGGCTAGATTGTAGCTTCTGTGCTGAAATCAAATATTCAAAAGGCAAAACATTTAACACACTACGCTTGTACCTCTGAGACCATGTTTTAAGTTTGAGGCCAAGTTCAGGTCCCTGTTAAAATGAACTTTCTGATCTTGGTTCCCTCCCTAGTGATCACTTGTCTGCATTGAAAAACTGAATGTTAACCTGACTTTTTTTTTCCTAACATAGAAAAGCCTGGATTGTCATGGTAAAAGATATATTTCCTCATGTATAAAAGTATTCCTGTATAATATTTATTGTAGGACCAGAAGGGCCTTGTTCAAATGCCATTAAAGGGAGAAAGCAAAGCCCCATGGTGGTATCAGAGGAAGTATTATTTCTCTAGTGAACCAAATTCACATGTTTTAGCAGATCAAAAGTAGCAATGAACTTGGTAAGGTTAGCCTACCTACCTATCACAAAAATGATGGTATAGTTCCATGGGATTTTTATTTTGCTCTTTTCAAGAGTGAACCAATAAGTTGGTTACTGGTTGAACCAGTACTGTTAGAGCCCCAAACCCCACTCCCACTGGACTAGACTAGATTCCCAGAGTTTTGTGCCCACACTGGCTCATTTTCCTGCAATGTGTGTTTACTGTATATCCATTTATTGAACAACAAAATATTCTAGGTATGGTCCCTAAAGATGTAGCCTGTCATATAGTAGATATTCAAACTCAGGAAAAGGATAACCTCACTTGTAAATAGTTCTCTATGAGTTTTATACAGTGAGTTTGGGAGTCTCTACTCTACGCAACACTATATGGACATCTTTCCATTTTATCCTCACAGTAACCCACAAAAGTAAGTGATATGAGCCTTTCCTCTTCTATAAATGAGAATTGAAAATTTGATGCTCTCCAGCTGATGCAGCAGAGGTAGGATTGAGTGTCAGGTTTATCTGGGATCAAAGTACTGCCCCTTAGCTGTCTTCTCCATTTTAAAGTGTTCTCTTGTTACAAGGCTAGTTTTAGT
Source organism: Homo sapiens (assembly GCF_000001405.40). Classification (NCBI taxonomy): domain Eukaryota; kingdom Metazoa; phylum Chordata; class Mammalia; order Primates; family Hominidae; genus Homo; species Homo sapiens. Next base: position 76,869,285 of record NC_000008.11, read on the forward strand.
ATTATATATGGAGGCTTCAAACATGGCTGTGTATTTCAGGGCCTCAAGTAATTCCAAATATGCCAGACTGTCTTGATATTCTCCATTGTAGAGGTCTTCAAGATGGACCACCCTCACACCTCCAACCACATTTTCCAATTTTATCTTTACCCTGCACAACATACCCTCTGCATCCAAGTCAAATCTCACTACTCATTTTCATGGTCAGAACTTGTTTGACTTTACTCATCTGGTCTTGGCTTGCATGTATTAGTACAGAAATCAAACTGCAAACTCAGATATACAGAAATATAACTTTATTTTTCTCTAATCAACTTAATTTCTATTTGAATTCCTCTTTCTACTGTGATTAAGAAAAGTTAATAGAAGTCAAGCAGGAATTAATACATAAATTTCAGGGCCCAGTGCAAAATGGAAATGCAAACCCCTTGTTAAAAAATTATTCAAAATCATGAGATGGCAAAAGCAAAGCATTGAACCAAGCACTGAACCAAGCACTGGACTCTTCTGAAGGACAGAGTCCTATGTGACCGCATAGGTCACACACTCATGAAGCTGGCCTTACCGTCAATTTTGGATTCCTCCTGTCCCTGTGATTATGTCTAAATTCTGGGGGACTTACATGGTACACATTGTGGAAAGGAGACATTGAATGCTTGGTGTCCACTTTCCGTGATATCTGCTGAGGGAGCCCCTCTCTTTGGCCTTTCCTTTTTGGTCCAAGAAAGTTGCCTCATTCTCATCCGATGCTCTTCTACCTCCTGCCACTGTTGCTCCAGGGAACAACTTAAAGGTCAAGAAGACCTTTAAGTCTGCCTTATACCAAAACTCATCCCTGCCCTCAAACTCTCATCTATCTAGTGGTCCCGCCCCCTCTTGGAACTTTGCTAGAGGGGAAACACAGGATCCTATTTGAGGATCCTTTCACTCCACTTAACCTAGAGCATCCTGACCTTGTCCCAGGCCTGGAGGTTTGCATCTTTTTTGAGTTTCTTCTGTACCCTGAATCCTTTTTATTCCCTTCAAGCCCTAAGCTATGGAACCACAAAACCCAGGAAGGGGTTCCCTTCTCTCTCTTCCTTCTGCTTTTGACATACCCTGAAATAGAGAATATCCCAAAGTAAAGTCGTCCCAGGGGAGCAGAAATTATGAAGTTGTTTGGGAGTGCTGGGGTTGGGAGGTAAGAGTGAAATATTGGGAGGAAAAAAATTGATTGATATTTAAATATATTATCTGGCTGCATATGATATTCCCAGGGTTGTAAGGAATATATGTGTGAGCCCCACAGTGGGTATTGAACTCACCACCTCCTTAGATACCCTATGCCATTTTTAGAAACAACTTTCATTACCTTAAATATTCCCTTTAGTGTTTATAAAACTTACACAAGTAATCGCTATGTCATAAGTGTTTTACATTAATACATTAACTCGTATGAACTAATTTAATCTTCCCAAGAAGCCTACCAAGCAGGCAGTATTATTATGCTGTTATAAAGATAAGGAGAGTGAGCTACAGAGATATTAAGTGATGTGCTCAAGGTCCCATAGTGAAGGAGTCACTGAACCTGAATTTGAACTCAGGCAGAGAAATTCTAGAGACCTTATCTTAACCACTATTCCCTCTCACTTCCCCAAGAAGAGAACAAATTTTGCATTGGTGTAACTCCTATCTGCAGGTACTAGGGTAATGTGAGATAAAATGGAACAAATCTAATCATTGCTATGAAATAGTGGAAAGCCTTCCAAACTTGAGTCACTTATCCAGCTTTCATGGCCACCTTCAACTCCTGTTTCCCCTCTGAACCATTCTCCTACCCCAAACACTAACACACAGATGTAAGATTCTTTCTCTTTCTTTCTCTCTCTCTCCCTTTCTCTCTTTTTTAACATAAAACTTTCCAAGTTTATAATATATAATAATTTATATATTAATAATGATTTAGTGTATGTCTCTAAAATATTAACTATAGTGTGTAGAGATGACTGATATATACTAATTATTATAAAACCAGCTAATATTGGTTATTATTGTAATAGTCCATCACTATTAAGAATAGTCAAAATCAAAGCTAACACATACTGCTTCCTATATATACCCATCACTCTAAAGACTTTATGTATATTAATTCATTTTCATGAACAATTCACGGTACTGATTATCAGGGCTTTCTGAGATCTGGTGGGAGATCTGTACTGTGGTTTGACATGAAGGCCGGTCACGCCTCTGTCCTCAGGCGATTTAGGCCTCCTTGATGGTCATAACTTTCCTTCTTACCAAAAGAGAAGAACTGGGTCACACAATCTCCTGATGTTCTTTCTTTCCAACATTAATATTCATAATGGAAATTTGAATTTATGTTTAGTCTTTTAAATGACAATTTATACAATGCACAGCTAAGAAACTAATTATGCAAAAAATGTCTATTCAATTTTTTTTTTAGCATTCAGTTTCTAAATTGAGGCTGGGGTGGGGAGTGGGAAAGGGATCGGGGCAGCCAATGCCAGAGAGACACATGTAGGAAGAAACTGAAAATGGAGTTGTGCTGGGCTGGCCACCCTCCAAAAATGGCCCCAGGAGATAAGAGCCCTAGAGCAGAAAAGCTCCTCCAGGCCCAGGATCACCCCCCAGTAGAGCAACTTAATGGAGAATGCGTTAATGCATCAAGGGAACAGGGACTTTTCCTTCCTAATCTGCACTTTGCACTCAGCTGCAGGCTCACTGCAGGCGTCTCTTCATGAAGTCAACACGAAAATGAATTGCTCCCCACCACGAGGACGCTGATGCTTGTTGTTTGGAGATGTATATTGCAGAGGGGGAGAGTGAAAGGTCTCTCTTGTAGGGGTGGCAGAGGAAATCTGGATTTGTGTCCTAACAACACACCGTGAACAGGATTTGGAAGGAATGCCCGGATTTTAGAAGTGGCTATAGGCACACCAAAGTTCCTCCTTAAGAAATGGATACTTGGAAATATCTTAAGGATATAACTAAAGGGATTTTTATTCACTCACTTATTTAAAATTATTCGCTGGGATCATAACTATAACAAGTATTTGGGCTCTTTTCCATTTAGAAGGAGTTTCTACCTATTTGACTTTACCTATTTGATCTTAAAAGTGCACACCAGCCTGGGCAACATGGCAAAACCCCATCTCTACAAATAATAATAATAATTTAAAAAACTAATTTGGGCATGGTGGTGCATGCTGGTAGTTCCAGATACTTAAGAGGCTGAAGTGAGAGTTTTCCTTGAGCCCGGGAGGCAGAGGTTGCAATGAGCCTTATGGATTGCATTGTTGCACTCCAGGCTAGGCAACGGAGCGAGACCCTGTCTCAAAACAAAAACAAAAATAAAACACTGCACAGAACTGTAAGTATGATCACACATCCAGTTTCCCCACAATTACTGTGAGATATATATATGTTGTTCTGGGATAATTATGAGTAGCATCTCTGACACCTTGAATAGAATTCTAGTTTGGATAATAGGTCTGGCCTGGCCTTGCCACTCTAAACTAAACTGTGCTTTAATGCTCAAGAGTCTGCCCAGGTAGCAGCAACTTGATATAGAAATACGTCTTCATCCCTTGCCTGTTTTGTTGTTGTTGTTGTTGTTGTTCCTTCTTTCTCTGATTCCTAATTCCCCTTCTTTGGGTTATATCAAAATAAAGTGTACTCACTCATGCAATAGTTCTACATGAGGGCTCTGAGTCCAGTGGTTTTTCTGGGCAATTATTTTCCCAGTGCGGAACTGAAAACTTTTTTCATCTTATGGCTCCATTGTCTCTTAGGATCAGAGAGTCCTCTGCTTTGAGCTGCTGGGAGAGGTTAAAGGAGAGCAAAGGACAGACCTAGAAGTGGAAGTGAATATAAGAGAGAGAGAAGAGGTGGAGGAGGGGGAGAAACAAGCACAGGGCTATAAAGCTATCCTTCCACCCACATCCTACTAACCCAAACTCAGAAAGGTAACATTTCACCACTTCCATTTTCTGCACAAGTAAAACAAGAAACAGAATTTGGTTCTAAAGTCTGCTAACATCTGCCTTCTGGTCATCCGATACCCAATTCATCCTTTCTCTCACACTTGGAAAAGACTTATCCTCCCTCCTGCTTGGAGATAACGTGAAGCCACATCCAGTTCCTGAAGTCCACTCAAAGTCTAGGGTTTTTGAGAGATGAGTCCTTTCTGTCAGGTTCAGGTGTGGATCCCTGTGATACAGTGACACATAAAGTACAGAGATAAATTATCTATTCCCACATTGCAATACCAGCATGCAAAGGAGAAGCATGGATGGGATGGCCACAGTGACCCACTTGGAAAATGGAAGTATGGATAATACCACAGTGGCTAGTCTGTAGCAGTTCTGAAATCCTGCTTGATTAGACATTGTGAAGAGCTTCTACCCTGGTAGAGGGGCAATGAACTCCCATTCTGTCCTCTGGGAAAAATTCCCTTGTCCATTGTTCTTTGTGACCTCTGACTCTATCCTCAATGAAGCTCAGCCTTGCGGCCATTTCGATGGTCACATCAGAAAAGGAGATTGGGATATATGTTCTCCTTGGGGGATGCACCGCTTTGTCAGCCTGTTTCTTTGACAGTTTTCTGGTCTGTTTGCTTCCAATCAGTTCATAGTATCCAGTCATACCCAAAGTTTTTTCCTACGTATAATTTTCAAGCAAGCCTTATTTATCTGCGTTCTAGCCCTGTGCTTGTTTCTCCCTCTCCTTCACCCCTTCTCTCTCTCTCTCTCTCTCTCTCTCTCTTCCTTGCTCTCTCTTTTTGTCTCTCTTTCCAAACTTAATGGTGGCTACCTTGAAGCAATTTGAAAGAACAAACTTACATAGAAAATAATCAATCTGTTATTTGAGTATTAATAGGCCTTTGTTTCTCAAAACCATTGCCCTATATATTACTGTCTGAGGTCTAGAAACTATCAGGTTTTCCAATCTTGTGAAGCCCCAAATTTCTGAACTCTTTCCCCTTTTTTGTGTTGTTGCTTGTAAATCGATTGCTTTCTTTCTGAGCTGAAATCTTTCTTGAAATATTTTGCTAAAGGCAATCAATAAACTAACACATTCTAACACTTTTTTCTCAACCACTTCTACCAGAAACATAAGCTCATTAGGGAGGTCTGACTTCCAAATTATTGTAGACACAGTTCATCAAATATTTTGCCATTGCATAATAAGGGGTATCAGATTATCAGCTTCTGATATCTCATGCTCTGTTGCCCACTGTTTGACAACTAAGTCAATGCCACATATTTTACGTTACTGTTACGGTAGCAACCAATTTCAAGATGCCCATTAGTCCAAAAGACGTCCGTTTCCTTATTACTCAGATTAGTCAAAAAAGACTAACTATGGTTACAAACAACTGCAATATTCCAATGGCTGACCACTGTAAAGATCTATTTTTAACTCATGCAACATCCTCAGCATCAACAGGCCTGATCAGGTGACTCTTCTGGGGTCTCTTCTCAAAAGACAAGTCAGAGATCTAGAATATTTCCAGCATATTTCCACCTTGTGGATCTGCCATCCCCTGGGGATTTAGAATTCTTCATTTCCAGTTTTGCAGGTGGGTGTGTTAGGGACAGCCACAGTTTGTAGGGGCAAGTTCTGAAAGTATATCAGATTACCTCTGCATCTACCTCCTGGGCTAGAATTTATCTCAGTCACCCCCACTTAACTGCAAAGGGAGCTGATAAATATGGTCAAGCTACAGGTTTAGGAAGAAAAGGAAACTAGGTTCACTAGTTACCAGTTTACTGCCTCTCACTGCCACCTTGATACTTCAGTGCCTGCTCTGCAACATTGCACTAGACTCTAAACATTTCTTCTGCACAGTGAGCTCGATGGGAAGTTTTGTCAATAGGAGTTGCTGGAAGAACACCGCAGTCGAAAGGGGGCTTCTCTTCCTGGTCTGGTGTGATGAGTTTTGTTTTCTCTTGCTCCTGCTGTATAGTCTTGTGGTGCTTGTGCGTGGTGACATCCAGCAGTGAAGTGTCCCAGCTGCATGACTAACAGTGTACAGTCCCTTAACAACCTTGCAGCCTGAGCACCAGACTGGTAACCACCCCCAACATCCCCTCTGGTGTGGACACCACATACTCCAGGCCTCACACTGGCTAGAACACCTGGCACTTTCTGAACACACACCCACCAGCCTCAGCTCACCTGCACCCTGGAGTGTCGTTTCCTATATGCCTGTGACTGTGAACCAGCTCCAACCTGGGCAAGCCAGATAACTTCTCCATCATTCAGTTGGCTCCAACCTCATTTATCTGATGAGTTCTGCAACCCGGGCTTGGGGATTCAAGTTGTCCTTTTTTGTACATTGTCTCAGCCCTAGGATGCCCTTTAGACAGAGTTATCTTTACGTCTTCATAGTTACTCCTCTATCATACTTTAATAATTCTTTATAACAAACTTCCCCTGTTCAGATTACCATGTGGTTTTTCCTTCTGGCTGGACCCAGGCTGTAACACTGGGTTTGGTGAATGTGTAGCTCTTTCTGTCTTATCCTGAATCACACACCTGAGGTTTATACTGTGGCTGTTCAATTCTATAGCACAAGACATTTTTCCTGGAGAAGAGAACTGAAACCTGGCTCTTCTGATTTTAAATCATTATAAGAGATAAAAAATCATGTAGGACAAGGCAAGAGTGCCTTTCAGTAGGAAAATTCAAGTATGACAATATGAATTCTAAAAGATATTCGTTCCTCACCACGTGTATTTAGAAATGATAAAACAATTTATGCAACATTAAACATAAAATAAATCATTATCATGTTTAAAACACTGAAAATACATTACCTTGACACTGCCAGATTTAGCAGACTCAAAACTAAATGTTTTTTTCTATCCATTTCTCTCTGTATGTAATGTTATTTGAGATATAATTCAGATACCATAAAATTGATTATTTTAAAGTGTACAATTCATTGGTTTTTAGTATATTCACAAAGTATGTGAATATCATCACTGTCTAATTCCCGAATATTTTTTATCACCCTAAAAGGAAACTCTGTATTCATTAGCAGTCACTCCTTCTTTCCCTCCCCCCAATTCCTGGCACCCACTATCTATTTTCTGTATGTGCAGATTTACTTATTCTGGGCATTTCATATAAATGGAATCATACCATATACGGCTTTTTGTGCCTGGCTTCTTTCATTAGCCTAATACCTTCAAAGTTCACCCATGAAGTAGGATGTTACATGTAATTTTTAATATTTGATATGTATAATCATTGAATACACACATACACATATATTCTTCTCTGTTACCTATAAAACCTGTGTTAATAATACTAAGACACCCATTTAGTTTTTACTTGAAAGAAAATAATTATGAAAGGAAAAGTAAAAACCTTATGTGTCCATGAAATCCTGAATATGAGCAAAAGAGAAAGTGAAAAATACCTTCAATCCTGCCTTTTAAATTTTCTCTCATAGTATACTGCTACTAATAATCAACACTTACATAACACTTCAGAATTTCAACACATTTTTATATAGAATGCCAAAGGTAACACCTACTGAAGGAATTATATGCTGTGCTTTAATTCTAGGAGACTGGAGGAATAGTATAAATAGAACTACTTTTTTTTAGTTGTTATTATCACACATCCTAAATATAAGTTAATAAAACCTCTAGTGTTTCTGTAAAAATGCTTCTGTGAATAGTGATTGGGAAAATCTCTCAGAAGGGTTTGCTTCTTGTTTTCTGAAAGAAAATTTTGAAGTTAATTATGAGTATTCTCTAAAAAAAAGCATGATCTAATTTTACTTAAAGTTTTCTGAAATCTAAGAAGGGAAATGAGATGTGATATGTAATGCCATCATCACAATCGTATCTATATTTAACGGGTTTTTTTTCTGACCCTATCTTCAGAGGTGCCAAAAGCTATTCCCCAACAGTAATAAAATTCTAGTCTGTGTTTGGTAAAAATTTTTGCAATACCCCTCTGAGATATGAGGTAGGAATATTATTACAGCTGGAAATAGAGATGATGGTAAGTTAAGTGACTTGTCCAAGGAGACACAATAAATCAGACGTAGGCCTTGGAAATAAACCTTGACTTCACTTTAAGACTTTTCTCTGTGATACCATGTGGCCTTTCTGAGCCACTGTAAGTCTCCTCATTAACCCTGCAGTTAATCTTCATGTTTTATAAGACCTCCTCCAGATACATAAATATAACCTTGTAAAATACAATTTCTCAGGCAAGGTAAATTAAAGAAATCCATCCTAATAAAGACCAGGGAAAATTTACTCTATCCACAAGATACAGGAAACCCAGTAACTTGTAGTAATGACTTCCATCTGTCCTTAGTAACTGATATGAGGTTATCACATGGCCTTGCCTATTACCCTTATTATTGGGGACTGATACATAAATATGTTGGGACTACTGGCTATAGTTTTTCAATAATGGGAGCAATATGTGGAATATAATATGAACTCCAAAGATTTCTTAGTGAAGTGCAAGTCAGGAAAGATGAATCTTCTTTATGTTAAAGACACCTTTTCCAAAAATTATATTTGTCATGCTCTATATAGTGAGTTGGACATCTATAAACTAGGTTCAGACAAAGGGGCAATTATATTTCACAAGATGCTTCACTTTTCAAGATATCTGAGCCACAGATACTATCAACTCTACTAGGTGTTTTTTTATTGGCCTCATTGTGCTCCTCTGTATCTCGGAAGAATAGCTGCATCTCATAAGCCTGATCCATTGTATTTTTATTATCCTTCCTGTGTTGAATTTTCCATCTATGTTATGTATAACAAATATATATATATATATGTTATATATATTTATATAATTGTTCCTTACATACATTGACCATGCCCTTGCAAGAAAGTTAGATTTACTGTCTTCCATCTTAGCACCTACACTACAGAGGACTGTTCTTTCTTTTACATTGGAATCTCCTTCTTAGACCCTGAACCCAGAAAAGTAGCCACAATGTAGTTCCTATTATAATGCTGTCGGCTAAGATACTCTTGACAGTAAAGAAAACTCTTTGTATCATTAAAATAGAATAATTAATACCTCGATATGAGACAAGTATTTTAGAAAACTTTTCTAGGAAATCCTAACGGCTTTGTTCAATAAACATAGGTGAGGACTTGCCCTACATATGATGAAAATAGTTTACAAAAGTGGCCGCTTCTGAAAATATAAAAATCTTCTGTCCTGAGTATGAATTCTAACTTCAGAGGTATCAACAAATAAGAAACAAAAGGATTAATTCTCAGGATGCCCTGTTATACTTATATATAGAAAATATATGGAATAAATTATCCCACCATATCAACCACAGAAACAATAGGAGACTATATAGACATGTGTGTGTGTATATATATGTATATATATGTTTATGTGTGCATGTGTGTATGTATGTGCATATATATATATTTGTAAAATATATATTATCCTATACAGTATTATTACTATTTTAAGGAATTGGTTTATGCATTTGACAGCACTGGAAAATCTGAAGTCTGTACGGCAGGCAGACTGAAACTCACGCAGGAGTTAATGCTGCAGTCTTGATGCAGGTTGTCTTTTTCCCTGGGAAAACTCAGTTTTTGCTAGTAAGGCTTTCAACTGATTGACTGAGGCCCCATCCAGATTGTTGAGTGTAATCTCCTTTACTTAATGTCAACAAATTATAGATATTAATCACACTATGAAGTGACTTGTCAGAACACTTAGATTAGTGTCTGAATAAATAACTGGGTACTATAGCTTAGCCAAGTTGACATATAATATTAACCATCACAGTCTACCCCTTGTCAACTTGGGGTGACATCTCCTCAAAGCATACCTAATATTCAAATAAAGACAATAACAAGGTCATACTTCTACCTAATATAAAATAACTATCCTGCATGTAGCCAAGAACACTAGCCCTTTTTCCAGGATAGGATGCAAAATCCTTGGGTGATATTTTCTCTTTTCCTTGATATCTTATAACCTTTAAAATGTGGCATAAAATTAACTATTATACACAGATTTTATGTTATATGATAATGAGATAATAGAAAAGAAAACAAAGATATTTGACATATACATATGTGTAGGTATATATACACACACAAGCACACATAAAAGTTCATAACAAAATAAGGAATAAATACTCAGAACAATCAGAGTCATCAATTCTGCAACTCATTATGTGGTCATACTTTTATTTATAACTGCCTTCATCTGCGACTTATTCCATATTTCCTTTGCACTTCGCAAACACCTCAGCTGGAGGTGGTCCTTTGCCTGGTAGGGTGACCCAAACATTCCTTTCTCAAGGATCTTACTAGTCTTACCTAAGTTGGGTTGGTATGGTTGTCTACTGACTTTAATCACATGGCATGGCAGTATAAAGACATGCCCTGAGGGATCTCCTGTATTCTTTACTCCCATTGTATAGTAGCAGCTCAATTCCTCTAGTAATCAGGATCAGTCACGCCAGCCAGCATCTCCCTTCTTGGCCTGTTGATTTGGAAGCATGAGGAGCCCAAAGTGGCCAGGTGGTAGTCTTAACTTCCAGTTTATATAGTCATTGTTGTGTCTTCCAATGGAAACATTCTAGGTTCTCTAGACCAGCTCCTATGGACTGAATGTTTGTATTCTGCATATTCATATGTTGAAATTGAATTCCCAATGTGAGGGTATTTGGAGGTAGGGCCTTTGAGAGATGATCAGGTCATGAGGGCTTTGATTAGTGTTATTATTAAAGAGACCTCAGAGACCTTTCTCACCCCTTCCAGCATGTAAGAGCCCAGTGAGAAGATGGCATCTATGAAGCAGAAATCAGGTCCTTACCAGACACCAAATATGCCCACACCTTGATTTTGGACTTCCCAGCCTCCTAAACCGAGAGAAATAAATTTATGTTGTTTATAAGACAGTTTATGGTATTTTGTTATAGTAACTTGAATGGACTAAGATACCAGCCTAGCATAAGGTTGTGAGGACAGGAAGCAAGTATTTTGCTAGTGAATTACTGAGGGTAATAGTGATTGGAGCCATTCCCGTTTCTACCCTTTGATTTCTCACTGGTGGATGCTGGCTAGGGGACAAACAGTAGCTTATATTGGACATTGATTTAGAGCATATACAGCTTTCTGTGCTACAAAGTGTTACCACCTAGCTTGTGCTATAACTGGGTCTTTAAAGGCCTTTCCACCATTCTATCAAGTCAGTTGCTTCAAAATGATGGGGTACGTGACAAGACCGGTGAATTTCATGACCACGGGCCCATTGTCCCACTTCATCTGCTATGAAATGAGCTCCTTGATCAAGAGTAATGCTGTGTGAAACACCATGATGGAGAATAAAGCATTCTGTAAGTCCATGGATGGTAGTTTTGGCAGAAGATTTGTGTGTAGGAAAGGCAAATTCGTTTCCAGAGAAAGTGTCCAGAATATTAATACATTCACCTTATACACACATTCATCCTCCATGCTAGGGATAACAAGTTGACCTGCACAATGAAATCATATTGTCCATGGAGGGCAGATGAAGAGCTATTACGGTATGATGGGTAGTGTTGGCTGTGGGAACTTTGAATGAACAGATTCCCTTTGATATGTAGTAGGAACATATTTCTGTAACTTATACTGCTGAGAAAAAGTACATTACAGAAGAATTATTGTTTTGTATCTGGAAACTGTATTCCATTACTTTAAAATTAACTGCAGAGTGAAATAGAAATTTTCCAGTGTGCAAGAAAGACCAAACTTAGAAAAATGCCTTAATGAAAATAAAGGTTTATGCCCAGGCCTATCTTTCATTTCAGTGTACACTCAGACAAATTACTTTTATTGAAATGTTTATGGAACATTTCAATCCTCATTTGAAAATAAGGATAATAGCTATTCTGTGTGTTTTCCCCTATTTTAGTGAGGATTAAATGGGAAATTTATTTAAAGCACTTAACTCAGTGCACAGAACATAGAAACCGCTTAAGAAATTGTAACTAAAAAGACATAGATACTCATCTTAGTTCACAATAATACTGTGAAGTCATTTTTAACTAGTCCTGTTTTATGGATGAGGAGACAGAAACTGAAAGGGAGAATGCTTTGCTGAAAGTGAGAGAAACTGAGCTCAAAGAGATGAACCATGATTCATATTCAGGTTTTCTTCCTTACAAATGATATTTATTGTGGGTTGACTGTGTGTGTGTGTGTGTTTGTGTGTGTGTTTGTGTGTGTCTGTGATTTCAAGATAAATACAGGCTTATTGTAGACAATTTTAAAAACACAGAAACACACCAAGAAGAAAAATTAATTACTACTTTTAGCCGTTACGTTTTTATATCTAAACTATATATAATTACAGATACTACTATTAATAGAAATAATAGCTAGCCTTTATTGAGTCCTTTAATGAATCAGTGTTTTTTCTAAGTGTTTCACATAGATTAAAACACTTGGCCCTGACAAATACAATAGAGGGTAAGTATTATTCTTATCTCCATTTACCAATGAGGAACTGTAGGCCTGGAGTGATTAGCCAGTTTTCCAAAGGTAACCAGCCTCAACGGTGGAGGCCACTCACACTCAGGCTGGGTGACAATAGAACCAATATCTTTAATATCTAGGCTAGTAACCTTAATACAGACAATTGGTTACATTGGAATCATACTGCATACTTTTTATAATGAGACTTTTCCATAATGCTGCAATTATCCTTCTATGTCATTGAATATACTTCTACATGTTGATGTTTATTGACAACGTCATATGAAAAGTTAAAAAGGGAACCATTATTTAATTAATTTTATACTGTTAGATGCTTAAGTTGCTGTTGTTGATTGTTGTGATGGTTAATTTTATGTGTCAATTTGATAAGGCTAAAAGATACCCAGATATCTGGTAAAGCATTGTTTCTGGGTGTGTTTGTGAGGGTGTCTCCTTGAGTCAATAGACTGAGTCAAGAATATTGTCCTCACAAATGTGAGTGGGCATCATTTAATCTGTTGAGGGACTGATTAGAACAAAAAGTCAGAGGAAGGCAAATTTGCTCTATCTTCTTGAGGTGGGACACCCATCTTCTGCTCTTGGATATTGGCACTCCTGGTTTTTGGGCCTTCAGAGTTGTATTGGGACTTCCATCATTGCCCCCCCTGGTTTTCAGGTCTTTTAGCTTAGCCAGAAACTACACCACCAGCTTTCCTGGGCCTCCACCATGCAGACAGAAGACCACAGGACTCCTCAGCCTCCATCATCAGGTGAGCCAATCCTCATACTAAATCTTTTCCTATATATCTCTATATATTCTATTGGCTCTGTTTCTCTAGAAAGACCTGATTAATACACTCTACCACATATTAAGTAATCTGGATTTATTATTAATCTCAAGAATGTCTTTTCCTCTTCCTGCCATAAGTTTCTATCCAGGAGAAACAGCAAAGGCACAGCCAATATGTTTGTCATGCAACTTGACTCAAGGCTTCTCCCAGAGCTCTCTGTCTCTTAATTTTTAGAGATTTGTAGTGAAGAACTTTAATCAAATATTGCAATATGATAGATATGTTTGATAATTTTATTTTGTGAAAAATATTGTTTTCACCACTAATGCCTATTGAAATCAAGAATTCCCTCAAATTTCTTAAATTTTAAGTTGCAAAATACAGGATCTGTTAACTAGAGCAAATAATGCCAAGTGTTAAAATCCTAAGAGATTAGATTTTACGCTTCACTTCTACATAAATATACATGCATGAAGACCTACCCATTTGTTCCAATAAGTGTTTTATATTGCTTTTTGCCTTTCAATGCAAATCTAATGCAAAGATGAGAAACTATATTTCAACCTCAAATAACACTTCACAAAGTATGGATGATCATTTAAAAAAGAATAAAGGGAAAATATCAAGGAAAAAACAGATTCCTTTAGGTGTTTTTGTTTTGTTTTAACTATTAACACAATGGAAGATAGATTCAGTGGTCATTATAAGCAGGGAAAGAATATTGGATTAAAATTTGGGAAGGCTTCCTTGGGAGTTTTCTTTCTTGCTCTTGACTTTGTACATTCGAAGTACTGCAAGAGGTTGGGGAAGAATATCTGGGCATAGCCTCATCTAGATACCAAAATATATGTATTTTTTATGGTCAGTGCTCAACCACTTTGTGCAGGGATATACTCAGGACCCTAAGTTTCCTCCAGTGTGGCAGTTTCTAAGGCCAGACTTTGAGGAGTTAAAGGAGGCCAGGGCGCAGGGACAGCTGGAGATAATTACTTACAATCAAAGGACATGCAGAAAATCAGCAGGAACAGCAGGGTGAGGTGTTCTGCCTGGCTGGATTATAGGAGTCATCTGGACAGAGGCAACCAGGCTTAAACACTGGTAAGGGAATTTTGCACTGTTTGATCTTATTTTAAGACCTAAGAAAGAGATTGTGATTGGTTTGAACCTGGTTTAAAAAGCCCAAAGGTAGACATTCCTACCATAAACAGCTTGAACTCTCTTGTCCTCCAAGCGGGGATGTAGGAAGGATGTGTTAAGGTCAAGGGGGCTTTGCGTATTAAACACAAGATCGGGTTTTACTTCTAAAATTCTGAAGCATATGTTTGTACTCCTGTTTGCCAACATGAGCAATTAGTCTAAAATCTTGTACATTTGACTTTGTTTTTTGTATTTTTTTTTTTTTTTGCCTAAAATATCTATGTAAAAACCTCTTGACTTTCAACTTTTTTCATCAATTCACTTTTTTTCCTATAGTCCTAAATTATATTTCAGCAACTGCCATTTTCCCTCACAGGTCCAAGATTCATGAGGCAAATAAATATTTCTTCAGTGAGAGAGTGCATCATAGCTAGCACTATTTTGAGATATCAGATCTCTGAAGTCTTTAAATTGGATTTTCTTCTCAAATACTTATTTTTTCCACTTAATATCATGTGTAAAATGAATTCACTGCATTATATTCAGCACCTAAACCTTGACTCTCGGAGAAACCTTTCCTTGATGAACTCCAATCCAAAGCTATGATCACTCTTCTTTTTGATTTATCTATAGTGTTAAGAAAAAGCTCTAAACTTTACAACATTAGGCACTTTATCGGGTAACCACAGAATTAAGCATATGAAGCAACTTGAAAGGAGGGATGCTTGCTTCAAAGCTGATGGCATTAGATGTTACAAGATAAAACGGAAAAACACCTCATGTACAAATGCCTGGGGCAGGACTTATACAGACAGCATAAATGACAGCCTTTTCATTTATGATACGGAATTTGTGGGGGGCAGAGCTCCGTGGTAGAAGTCAGAAACTTTTATACACAAAAGCACTGTCAGAACCTAAGCTGTGTCTCCCTTCCTTAGAAACTGTCAATGGTTCCCTATTGCTTACAGGATGAAGCCCAAATGCCTTAGAATTCACAGCAGCTCTTTATGTACGTTTCAGATCAGCCTCTGTGCCTCTTCTTCCCTTTTCCTGTCTTTGCCCTGTGTGCCCACGCTCCATCTAGCCCTTAAAAATGCCCTTTGTGTTCTTAGGCTTGAACTTTTGATACTATTATATCTTCAAATGTCTTACCCTAATTGCACAGCCTGGAAATTTTCCATGTGAGTGTAAAGGTCAGCATCAGAAATTTTTCCCTCAACCCAAGCCCACAACCTTAACAAACAAACAAAAAGCTTTACCCTTTCTGCTACCCCCAATTAACAAACAAATCCATGCCTCATTCCTACTTGTCCTGAAGAATTAACTGATCCTTTATTAGTGTATTCATAGCAATATGTACATCTCTCTATAATTCATTTATTCCATAATTCAGGCATTACTTCATTCATGAATTTGTTTAAAAAGTGCTTATTGAGTATTTTTTTGCGTAATGATGACCAGTCACTGCTCTAAATTCTGGGAATTAAACAGTGAACCAGACAGACTGATGATCTCAGAGCTAACAAGCTAGCCATTACCTTAAACTTCTTCACATGACATTATGATTAGCCACTTGCCTCTCCACTATCCCTGGGAGAAAGAACAACTTAATAATCTTTGAATCTACAAGGTTGGTAGTGTGGTTAATATTCATGAACCTAATAACATATCCAAATTGATGCTCACTGTGTTGCAAGTAAAGCTTTTATGCTTTATGTGAATCTTCTCATGAAATCCTCCCATGAGCCCTGTGAGGGAGATACTCAATGCTCTCAGAGAAGGCAAGAAACTTGCCTAAGGTCACACAGTTATTAAGTAGTAGAGTCAGAAATTGAACTCCAGTCTGTCTGACTCCCAGAGTAAAGTGAGTGAAAAAAAATGGATGAATGAATGCAATATTACAAAAAGAGGTCAGTCCTTTGACCAGGGCTCCAAGTCAGGTGGGCATGTTGTTGTTGGCCTAAGGAAGAAAAATACTTGGAGCAAAAGTCTCCACTCTTAGTATGGAAGAAGAGGCAAGGGGCTTCATGTACTCGAAGGTTTGAAACTTACGCTGAAAAATCTATTTCTTACTTTTATCACTAATACCAGATCTGTTAGGACAGGTTAAAAATGGTTAATTCGTTCACTCATGTTTTGCCTCTCTATAAAAATTATTTCAGACTGCCTTAAATGGAATCAAATATAACCAAATTTGATAATAAATCCCTGCTTTTCTCACGCTGGAACATACTCTCTAGAGTTGCCCATGTGAGAAGCCGCTCCATGTCCCATTAGTTCCTGCAATGCCGAGTGCCTACCCGTGTGGCTTTTGCTTGAGAATCTACACCTAAAATCATCCCTTGGCCACCTCATAATATTCTGAGAGTGACTGTCTTGGCCTTTAAAATTCACCCGCAATGCCCCATCCCCCCAAGGTAAGTTTCATTACACAGAGCATAATTTTTACATCAGATCATAACAAGTACACCTTCTAAAGCTGGTAAAAATCTTTTTAGCCCTTTTCCTCTAATGCTGTTATGGACTTCTAGAAACTGTTTATTTACATAGATAAGATTTTTAAATGTAAATAATAGAGAAGAGGAAATATATTGAGTGTGTGGGGTGATAGAATTGTTATGACTGAGCATCAAAGTTGGGGCCGTGTTTCCTGATAAGTTTCATAATTTTCACCATAAAAAGAGAGCCTTTTGCTCTGTATCATTCCTCTTGGAGTCACTATTCTTCTCTGGACATAAATACTTACAATAATATCAACATCTTAAATATTGATAATCATGTTAAGAAATAAGTTTTAAAGTTTTTCTTATAGAAATGGCCAGGGAATGTTCTGTTCACTTCCTTGAAAGAGTTCATTGTTAACAGAATACTGAATTCATTTACATCAGTTGATATTTTCATCTTTGCCTTTAACTTTCCTACATTATTTATTGAATACGGTAGTCTTTAACATTTTTTATGAAAAATAATTTTCACAGGGCGGGGATGCTGAGGGGCAACCTCTTTTGCCCTCGACTTTGTGTTTCTCTGTGGTGAGGCATCATTAACGTAACACTCCAGGCCTCTCTCTCCACCCCCTCATTTACTCCTTCTGAAGGATGAAGGAACTTCTCTGGCTGGTGGATCTGGAACAACTAGGCATGCCTAGCTCTGTCCTTCCTTTTTTCCTTCTCTTTAGGATGTGCTTGTCTGAAGATAGCAAGCACTTTGGTCTGTAAATGTGAATAGCTTCTTATAGAGTTTGAAGTTCACAATCTGCCCAACGAGACACAGCGACTCTGGGTTCAGAAGTTGGGGAAAGGGGTGTCAAATTCTGGACACATCCAAAACTCAGCATTGGTTTGGAACAACTAAAAGACCATGCTTTGTAAAGCAAAGATGTTCCTCAAAATTTAGTCTAAGAAAAAGTTCTAAAACATAATGTGACTAGCTCTAACATTAGATCTTATTTCTAAAATTCAAAGACATTAGGTCTGTCAAATTATAAACTCTTTCTTCTATACCTTTGTATTGAAATTTAGTAATGAAATCATATCTTCTACTACCTTATCTTAAAAACGTGAGAGTAAACAGAGCACTCATATGGGAGCCCTTGGGTTTTTAGGTGTTACATAGCTAACTTCTAGATGACATTAGTATTAGCATTCCAGATCCAAAGTAAGAGACTACTTAGTCTGAACATAGAATTTGCGCTACTTACACTTCAATTCTGGGAATAAAGAATTTTACATCTGATTTTGTTTTTCTCTAATCTGGCAATGTGAGGGATGATTGCAGAAAGAGTTTACATGTGGCAGAGTAGAGTAATGATTTGTGATATCTTCACAGTAGAACATTTTTTCTTCCTCTGTTTTCCCAAGGGAAATAAATTGTCAGACTTTGAAAAGATGGGGCCTCATAAAATTCTTCATGCATTTCATCTGTGGCTCCTTCTGGTAAAACACACACACATGCACAGACACACACATGCACATGCACACACACACACACACATTTACCAAAGGCTAGGATTTCTGGAGATTACTTTCAAGTTTCTGTATCACCCAAAACCCATTTTTGAAAATTCTTCTGGAAAGGTTATCAGAGGCAGTAAAGGATGTGGGGACATCACTATGTAGGAGTAATGGGGCATAAAACCAAATATTTATTCTGCCCACTGAGCACCAGCTCTAACTATAGCGTAGGAAAGAACTCCTCTCTACCTGCCTCTAATGGTGAATGTACCTTACAGATTTATCACATATGCCTGGTTTAAAGATTAGTTCCCAGTGGGAGATTCCTTAAACTGAAGAGCTTTTTGAATCAGATTTATTTGAGTCTCATCTCTTTACTTAAGTATGGTTAGAAAGTATGGTAATGTATTTTGAATAGAGGGCTCATTCATTTTAATGAGAGAAAATGCCTATGGTGGCCTTGTAATGTTAGAAAGGTATTTATTTACAGCTCTATAGTCTTTCTCTCTGAAAAAAAGAATATTTTACAATAAGATTTAATCAGTTTAAAGAAATAAGTTACTTGTTGCAATATCACCACCATACTAGACACTAATTCTTTCAGTTTTATTTCTAGATGACCCAGTTAAGACTCATTTCTCTCTACTTCTGTATACTATTAATTTCTCTGCTTCTAAAGGGTTGGTGATAAGTCGTATCTTTAAAAAATTTAATCTTCTAAATCCATCTGCTTTTTATCCAGTAAAATGATAAAGAACTGGTTAAAAAATCACAAAACAGAAAATTATTTAATCTTTAAAATTATATGATCCAAATATACTTAAAATATAAAAAATGCTGGCATAGAACGTAAACAATTTGTGCAAGTTCATGTGGTTTTATTCACTAAAATATTATATGCATTATACATATTTAGTATATACGTGTGTGTGTGTGTGTGTGTGTGTGTGTGTGTATATACACTAAATTCAAAGGTGGACATAAAATGAGAATAAAAATAATTGCCTGCAATTTTGGAGGCCGAGGCAGGTGGATTACCTGAGGTCAGGAGTTAGAGACCAGCCTACCAACATGGTGAAACCCCATCTCTACTAAATAATACAAAATTAGCTGGGCATGGTGGTGGGCACCTGTAATCCCAGCTACTTGGGAGGCTGAGGCAGGTGAATCACTTGAACCTCAGAGATGGAGGTTGTAGTGAGCCAAGATCGCACCACTGCACTCCAGCCTGGGCAACAGAGAGAAACTCCATCTCAAAAAACCACCACCAACAAAAAAATCATTGCCAGGTAATAGCATATATGTGATTTACAAATACTTTAATATTCAATTTTTGTTATTTAACATTTATAGAGTAAATATTGCTTTTGTCATCAAAAAATGGCATTTTCGAATACCTGAACTAAAGAAAAGTTTTTCGGGGAACCAAAAAGGCAGCTTTCTGTCCTAGCTCCTAAAAACTATATAGATTTTGTCTTGTATACTCCTTTAACCACATAAAATAACAAGAACCCGAGTGTGGAGGTGTGCACCTGTAGTCCCAGCTACTCTGGAGGTAGAGTCAGTAGGATCGTTTGGCTGCTGGAGTTCAAAGCTGCACTGCACTATCATGGCACCTGTGAATAATCACTGCACTCCAGCCTGGGCAACATAATGCAAACTTGTCTCTAAAAAAATAAAAATAAAAATATGTAAAAAGAAAGAACCCTATAATATTATCTTCAGTATTAAAATTTTCATTTAAGCATCTGCTACCCATTGCTTTTTTGACCAGGTGTTTACTTAAGGCATTTAACAATAAAACATAATAAAATAGTAAAATAAAAATGGAATTAGAAAAGAGGACACAAGTCTGCCAACTGTAAAAGCCAAACTAATTGGTATGTTCTGCCTCAAATTTGTCTTTAATGTTTTCTTCTCTTTATTTAGAAGAAGGAGCAGACCTTCAGGGGAAACATAGTTTTCCCAGCACTATATATATATCTCTCAGGTAGAAATCTAACATTTAGTTCAATGTTAACTGTATAATTTAATGTTATCACCAATATGTGCAATTTGTGATTGGATTTAGCAAAATTTAACCTTCATTGAGAGAAAACGGCATATTACAACAAATCTTAAAGCAAGATTTTGGTGGCTAAACTGATTGGGTGCCATATATAATTTTCTGGTTTTCTAACTTTCTAACTTGATCCAATGATGACATTTGGAGTAGATGAAAAACACATGGCTTATTAAAGCTTCTCAAATATCGCTTTTCTAAATCAAGCTTTTGATTATAATTTCATGGCTGGAGGGCTAATGTTCTATACTTGTTGACTAAGGGTACATTGATTGATAAGATTTAGAAACAATGAAAAATGGCAGGGTTATATGACAGAACATTCTCAACTTCCTTATTTACAGATAGGGAAAGTAAAGTACAGAATTGTATGCAAGGATTTAAGAGATCTCATCCACCCATCCATTCATTCTTTCATTTAACAAATGCATCAGTTAGGATGCCCAGGAGTCTGTGAGGAGACCCATTAAAACCTAGGCAGCAAAGTAGGGGTGAAGAAAAAAGACAAATTTGAAATACGTTAGAGGCAAAACTGGCAAGATATAAAAACTGACTAAATGTGGGACATTAAGAATGGATCAAAAATCTTTCCAGAAGTCTACTTTGGGTGACTGTAGTATCAAAGTAGACACAGATTATTCGAGTAAGAGTCCATGTAAAGGAGAAGATGACGAAGTTTATTATGGACTTGTCAAGGTAGAGTTGCCAGTAGGAATTCCAGGTGGGCCCAACCAGCAGGAATTTAGAAAAGGGTCTAAATCCAGGTCCAAACTTGAGATAAAAGTTTGGGACTTATAAACCTTTGGGTGAAAGATGAAACCACAAGAATAGGTGGCTCACAAACTGTGAAAATGAGATGAACAGTGGGCTCAGAACTCGACTATCATAACACCCATATTTAAAGGGCGGAAAGAAGAAGGGATCCCATGAAGAAGAAAAAGATGCTACTGCCAATTTTATAATGAGAATAAGAAGCTATGGACAGGCATAGTTTCAAAGAGAGAGTGGTCAAACATCCTGAGTGATATTTAAAAATTCAGCAGGATGAGAACCCACAAACGATCACTGAATTTGGTGAGGAGAAGTGCCCAGTGATAACACTGTTAGTAAAGAAACTGGTAAGATAGAGAAATCACAATGGACTGGGAATTGCTACATAGAGTAGCAGCTTCTTCCTTGAGAAGTCTAGGGACTCCGTCAGTCCCATTCACACAGCAAGAATTCTAGATGGGGCAGAACTTAAACTCCAGGCAAGGTGGTGCAGCTCCTCAATGGCAGGGTAGAAACTAGACCTCCCTGTCCTAAGTTCAGATCTAAGTCTTTTAGATAGTTACATTCACCAAAGTACCTCAAAACTAACTGCAATCTTTTACCACATTTTCCAAATTTCTTGACAGTCTAGATGAGTTGCTCAGGGAAATTTTCCAAGCGTATATTAAAACATATATACAATCAGGTTAAAGAGAGAGCATTTAGGTGACTTACTTTAGTGGTAGCTGAACAGAACACAACAAACTAAAAATAAATGATACCCTACTAAATCCAAGAATGTGTTCAACTTTTAGGGAGTGCTTACTGGCACCAAGTAGTATTAGGAAGTAAAATTGAACGGACATGTTTTTAAACAGCACCCTACAGCAACATAATTCTGCCTGTGACCTTTTTCAATAATCAAGTTGCTTAGCTCATATTTATGCCTTACATTAAAGAAACGAAACAGTTAGAGGTACAAAGTTTTCGATGCTTCTTGGGGGTCACACAATTCTTCCATCATACTGGTATTAAATAGAAGAAAAACCCTGTTCTCATAGCATGTTCTGGGAACACAGAAAAGCTGTACATCTTCGTGGGGAGTGGAGGGAGATAAAGCTGGCCATGAAGGCCGGAACCAGATAATGAAGGGCTTTATATATCATGCTAAGGAGTCTGGACTTTATCTTGAGGGTTAGCAGTGAGCTATTAAAAACTTTTAAGTAAGTGATTATCATGATCAGATTTCCATTTTCTGGCAGCTGCAGTGTGGAGAAGAACTAAAGGAGGACAAAGACTGGAGGCAGAGAGACGATTTAGTAAGTCCCACTCATCCTTTCTCTTTCGCTCTGCCTCAGGAGTCCCAGACGCCACAAGCTTTCTTCCCAGGGGCTACTTTCGCTGGTCTGGGCTTCCATTCCATAAAGTACTATCCATATGTGCTCATGTGCTCTTGCACACACACACACACACACACACACACCATGGTTTTCATTCTGATCCTTTCTAGGAAGGATCAAGTCTTCCTGTCATATCCAAGTCACTCAGAAGTCATGTCAAGGAGCAAAATACACGTTATATGAATGAAAGACCCCCCAGGCTATTGAGAAGACATGGAAGGTTCAAGAGGTTTGCTCAGAGATGGGGCTATGACCATGTATAAAAATGTATACAAATTAACAAGCTGCCTACATGAATTTAATATACAATGTTTCTATTTTCTATATCTTTACTGTATATTTCTCTATACAGTATTACATAGAAAGGTATGTAGAAGAATGAACGGTAATAAAAGGAATTAGAAAAGAGAGGGAATTTTCAAACGTATGTACACATAGTGGAACTTGTACAAGAAGGCTCAAGTGAAGAATCTTGTGTGCTAACTGCACAAATTAGCCACAGAAGATATGACTAAGGCAAATGGAAGTACTCCCTTCTCCCAGAAAAAGAAAATAGTAAATGTTAAATGCAATAAAATATTTGCAAATGATGATTCAAAAGTAAGCAAATTTAAGGGAAGAAGTGATAGAAATGATCTATATATCTGGTTCATATGGTGCAGGTGTCTCTAGGTGAATAACCACAGGAGGACACCTAAATTACTGACAATCTTTGTTAATAGTTGTAAGTCTTGGGAGGTGGGTAATAATGTAGCCTAAGCATATTGCTAAAAGAGATTATACTAAAGAAAACTTTAATACCTATGTAGCCTTTAATGTTGAAAGTATCATCTGTGGAACGTTCTTTTATTATCCTCAGGAAAACAAAATAATATCTGTGGGGTTTTTTGTTTTCCTCATGTTATAAGACAGAGTGCAGATGATCTAATCAAAATAATGAGGTGGAAAGGAAGCAGGGCATTTTATATGTTATTGAATCACTAAAATATTCTTGAACATTGCGCACTTCAAATGTGACCATTAATCACAATGGTGTAATGGTGATTACAGGGAAACTGCACATACCTATGCCCCTTTGGTATCTGCGAGCATAATGAGCAGTGAAAGCAATTGCTATCGATAGCTCCCTTTGCACTCCTGGGACAATGCACAGGGTCCATTTCTTACCCTGGTGATCTCTGTGAGGACATGAGTGGGTTGGCAGTATTGGGAAAGCATGAAATCACAAAAGAGAACATTCAACATTGAAGCTACTGGTGGGCATCGAGGTCAGCAGGCTGATGGAGACAAGATAGCAAGAGCAAACCAGATGATAAATAGTGCTGGGATTTAAAGGTACCTCTTTCACTGCTCAAACACTGAAAGCTGGATCAGCTTCGGTTCATGGTGTCAGAGTCTGATAACTCTCCTGTTCACATAAGGTAGAGTGCTAATCCTAATAGGGGTTGCTTCCAAATAGTTTATAAACTTAGTACTGCTTCCACCCTCTAACCTCAATAGCTGAGAGATGATGGGGATAAGCTGTTAGGTTTTAGAGAGACAGATCTTTGGGCCTGAAACATTTCTTCCTTCCTTCCTTTCCTTGTAAGGCCAGGACACTTAGTCTTCCAAGTGTCTGTACTAATTAAATGCAGGTCTAGTATGCCAAAAATGTTTTGAATGTAAAAGATTAACGAGAGAGCAAACTTTTGTGAAAGGAGGGAATTGAGACAGGAGAGGCCCCTCCTAGTTGGCATGGTTTTAAGGGGGAGGTAATCTTGAGGTCTTAGGAACATAAGCAGCGCAATATTTTTTTTAAGAGACACTTGGCTCCAATGGGAAAGAATGAACAAAATATTTCAGGGACTAAGGCAGCAGCCACCCAGGAAGACGCACCATGATCCTGGGTGACAGATGAGCTGTAAGTGGACTGTCTGAGTAAATGAGGGCAAGACTAAAGCCATCTTACATTGGCCTCTTCTGGCTGTGTTTCCTCTTGTTTTATTTTAAGAAGAACCCACTGACCGTTTTGACCTTTCCTTCCAGGTTTGGCATTTGGAGGAATAAATCAGGATTAGTGCTGCCATTAGGCTTCAGATGTGGTGTCTTCAAGACAAAAAGTAAGACCATTACTGGCAGTTTTAGCTCTCGGGACAAGAACTGCATTGCTAATTTGGAACAGTAAGAATTAATCAGTAGGAGAAACTTGACGTTCCTGCCGGCTACATCAAGCTCCCCAAATATTTTAAGTATTACTTGTTCAGTCAGCTGGCCAGTGAGAGGTAGGGAGGGAGACAAAGTTTTGTGTTTGGTAACTTGCCAGCACTCAGATGTTGGCTAACCTTTTGAGAAGCAGAAAGTTTCTTTTTCATAAAAACATTTAGCAGTGGTCAGACTGATGAACATATTTGGAGACACTAAAATGATGTAATAATGGCAACAATGTTATTTTTACAGCATTAGAAGAAAGGAGGACAACTACCAGCTGCCAAACCCATTGGTCACATTGATCCCTAATAAATCCTGGATGAGCCTGCCCAATATTAGTCATAGGATTTAAGCCTGTGAATCTGTTAGGACTTAAGATACATTGCTTTCAGTTGGGAGAGTAAGAGAAAATCTCCTGGCATATGGTTCAATGAAGGGTAATTTAGTATACTTTCTTAATGCTTTGAAAAGCTATACTGAGGCAACATTTTTTTTTTTTTAATGGATGTCCTGTAGTCTCAAAAGAAAATGGCAACTTCACATCAGGGAAACATGGGGGAGATATATTTAAGGGAAGACATAAAAGACACAAAAGAGACTCTGTAAAGCCTTTCAGGTTTTTTTTAGAAACCCTAAAACAAATGATAAAAACCAAAAACATGGGATATAACTTTCACATACGCCAAATTCACATTTACTGAAGGTGGACAAAGATATCACACTTCCAAGAGGGCACTTGGCTTTTTCTAATATATTTGAAGCAATTACTCCTCACAGCTCTAGTAGCAGTAAATACTAGTAATATTCCTGTTTTACAGATGAGAAAGCTACCATTTACTATAACCTAACAATTTAATATGGTCAGCAAGTCCATACAGCTGGAGAACTGTACACCTGGAATTCCATATAGGGCCTGTGAGATTGCAGAGCCCAAGACTGTGAACGTGAGGCTGAACTACAGAGGGCTACACCTCTTTGGAGGTAGTAGAGTTGTTGATCAGGAGCACAGAAGTCTTGTGAGGTGAGACAGGGTTCTTTCACTTATCAGCTATGTGAATTGAGTAGGCTCTGAGAGAAATGGAGATAATAGTTATTTGAAATGGAGATAATAGTTAATGAATAGTTAATGAAATGGAGATAATAGTTATTTCATAGAGTTTTTGATGGGCTTAAACATTCACGAAACTTAAATCCTTGGTAAAAAGTAATTGTTTTTATTAAAGAACTAATTTTGGAAATGCTTATTTGTTTTACTTACTGTTTGACCAGAGATTTCCAAACTAAGTCTCTACTCCAGAACAGTAAGTCATCATTCCTGGGAAAAGACCTTAAAATATGAGCTGTCATCTCTCATCCCTTGTGATTCTTGGGATGAGGCTAGTTTGGGACATAATGCCTTCGGTCTTTTGGTCCCCCTTCTCAACTTCATACTAACCAATCACATAAGTAATTTGTTAAAGGTCATACCATGCCATTGCTCCCTAGATCATCCCTGCAAATTACAAACTACTCTTTATTTTCTCCTCGATCTATAAAGATTAGTGATGCTATAACAGTATGTCAGATAAGCTTCAGCTCTGGTTCTATTCGACACTGAATTATAATTTGTTCAAAGCACACATCCAGAGGAAAGATTGTCTGAATCCTTCGCAAATAAATTGCTTTTCTTAAACAGGTGATGTGCTGAGACCCAGAAAGTAAATCCTCTACAGAGCACCCCAATCATCTGACAGTCTTTTAAAAGTCAATTCAGAATTCACCCATTTCAGAATTTGCCACTGACTAATAGTACTTGACTTCAGCCACTTCCACATGACTCTCAGAATTTCAGTTGTGAATCTAGGGAAATAATTAGCCTTGGTTACATGACAAATGTTCTTAATAGTTGTGGTTTAATATCTTTCTTCAGCTAGACTATATGGTACTTGAAGATAAGAATCATGCCTGCTACATATTAAAGTGTATGACAGTACAAAAGAAAGAGAAGATACGGTCTTTGCCCTCAAGGAGCAGACAATCCAATTGACAAAGAATACTGATCTGGAACTCTTTTTTTTTTTTTTTTATACTTTAAGTTCTAGGGTACATGTGCACAACATGCGGGTTTGATACATAGGTATACATATGCCATGTTGGTTTGCTGCACCCATCAACCCATCATCTACATTAGGTATTTCTTCTAATGCTATCCCTCCCCCAGCCCCTCACACCCTGACAGGCCCTAGTGTGTGATGTTCCCCCCTCCGTGTCCAAGTGATCTCATTGTTCAATTCCCACCTTGAATGAGAACATGAGGTGTTTGGTTTTCTATCCTTGTGATAGTTTGCTGAGAATGATGGTTTCCAGCTTCATCCGTGTCCCTGCAAAGGAAATGAACACATCATTGTTTATGGCTGCATAGAATTCCATGGTGTATGTGTGCCACATTTTCTTAATCCAGTTTATCATTGATGGACATTTGCATTGGTTCCAAGTCTTTGCTATTGTGAATAGTGGTGCCACAATAAACATACATGTGCATGTGCCTTTATAGTAGCATGATTTATAATCCTTTGGTTATATACCCCATAATGGAATTGCTGGGTCAAATGGTAATTCTAGTTCCAGGTCCTTGAGGAATCACCACACTGTCTTCCACAATGGTTGAGCCAATTTACACTACCACCAACAGTGTAAAAGTGTTCCTATTTCTCCACATCCTCTCCAGCATCTGTTGTTTCCTGATTTTTTAATGATTGCCATTCTAACTGGCGTGAGATGGTACCTCATTGTGGTATTGATTTGAATTTCTCTGATGGCCAGTGATGATGAGCATTTTTCATGTGTCTCTTGGCTGCATAGATGTCTTCTTTTGAGAAGTGTCTGTTCATATTCTTTGACCACTTTTTAACGGGGTTGTTTTTTTCTTGTAAATTTGTTTGAGTTCTTTGTAGATTCTGGATATTAGCCCTTTGTCAGATAGGTGGATTGCAAAAATTTTCTCCCATTCTCTAGGTTGCCTGTTCACTCTGATGGTATTTTTTTTTCCTGTGCAGTAGCTCTTTAGTTTAATTAGATCCCATTTGTCTATTTTGGCTTTTGTTGCCATTGCTTTTGGTGTTATAGTCATGGATCCTTGCCCATGCCTATGTCCTGAATGGTATCGCCTAGGTTTTCTTCTAGGGTTTTTATGGCTTTAGATCTAACATTTAAGTCTTTAATCCATCTTGAATTAATGTTTGTATAAGGTGTAAGGAAGGGATCCAGTTTCAGCTTTCTCCATATGGCTAGCCAGTTTTCCCAGCACCATTTATTAAATAGGGAATCTTTTCCCCATTTCTTGTTTTTGTCATGTTTGTCAAAGATCAGATGGTTGTAGATGTGTGCATTATTTCTGAGGGCTCTGTTCTGTTCCATTGGTCTATATACCTGTTTTGGTACCAGTACCATGCTATCTTGGTTACTGAAGCCTTGTAGTATAGTTTGAAGTCAGGTAGTATGATGCCTCCAGCTTTGTTCTTTTGGCTTAGGATTGTCTTGGCAATGTGGGCTCTTTTTCGGTTCCACATGAACTTTAAAGTATTTTTTTCCAATTCTGTGAAGAAGGTCATTGGTAGCTTGATGGGGATGGCATTGAATCTATAAATTACTTTGGGTAGTATGGCCATTTTCACAATATTGATTCTTCCCATCCATGAGCATGGAATATTCTTCCATTTGTTTGTATCCTCTTCTATTTCATTGAGCAGTGGTTTGTAGTTCTCCCTGAAGCGGTCCTTCACATCCCTTGTAAGTTGGATTCCAGGTATTTTATTCTCTTTGTAGCAATTGTGAATGGGAGTTCACTCATGATTTGCTTGTTTGTCTGTATATGAACGCTGGTGATTTTTGCACATTGATTTTGTATCCTGAGACTTTACTGAATTTGCTTATCAGCTTAATGAGATTTTGGGCTGAGACGATGGGGTTTTCTAAATATACAATCATGTCGTCTGCAAACAGGGACAATTTGACTTCCTCATTTCCTAATTGAATACCCTTTCTTTCTTTCTCTTGCCTGATTGCCCTGGCCAGAACTTCCAATGCTATGTTGAATAGGAGTGGTGAGAGAGGGCATCCTTTTCTTGTGCCAGTTTTCAAAGGGAATGCTTCCAGTTTTTGCTCATTCAGTATGATATTGGCTGTGAGTTTATCATAAATAGCTCTTATTATTTTGAAATACGTTGCATCTATACCTAGTTTATTGAGAGTTTTTAGCATGAAGGTTGTTCAATTTTGTCGAAGGCCTTTTCTGCATCTATTGAGATAATGATATGGTTTTTGTCGTTGGTTCTGTTTCTATAATGAATTACATTTATTGATTTGCCTATGTTGAACCAGCCTTGCATGCCAGGGATGAAGCTGACTTGATCGTGGTGGATAAGCTTTTTGATGTGCTGCTGGATTTGGTTTGCCAGTATGTTATTGAGCATTTTCGCATTGATGTTCATCAGGGATATTGGTCTAAAATTCTCTTTTTTTGTTGTGTCCCTGCCAGGCTTTGGTATCAGGATGATGCTGGCCTCATAAAATGAATTAGGGAAGACTCCCTCTTTTTCTATTGATTGGAATTGTTTCAGAAGGAATAGTACCAGCTCCTCCTTGTACCTCTGGTAGAATTCGGCTGTGAATCCGTCTGGTCCTGTACTTTTTTTGGTTGGTAGACTATTAATTATTGTCTCAATTTCAGAGCCTGTTATTGGTCTATTCAGAGATTCAACTTCTTCCTGGTTTAGTATTTGGAGAGGGTATGTGTCCAGAAATTTATCCATTTCTTCTAGATTTTCTAGTTTATTTGCATAAAGGTGTTTATAGTATTCTCTGATGGTAGTTTGTAATTCTGTGGGATCAGTGGTGATATTCCCTTTATCAATTTTTATTGCATCTATTTGATTCTTCTCTCTTTTGTTATTGTCTTCCTAGTGGTCTATCAATTTTGTTGATCTTTTCAAAAAGCAGTCCCTGGATTCATTTATTTTTTGAAGGGTTTTTTGTGTCTCTATCTCTTTCAGTTCTGCTCTGATCTTGGTTATTTCTTGCCTTCTGCTAGCTTTTGAATTTGTTTGCTCTTGCTGCTCTAGTTCTTTTAATTGTGATGTTAGGGTGTCAATTTTAGATGTTCCCTGCTTTCTCTTGTGGGCATTTAGTGCTATAAATTTCCCTCTACACACTGCTTTAAATGTGTCCCAGAGATTCTGGTATGTTGTGTCTTTGTTCTCATTAGTTTCAAAGAACATCTTTATTTCTGCCTTCATTTTGTTATTTACCCAGTAGTCATTCAGGAGCAAGTTGTTCAGTTTCCATGTACTTGTGCAGTTTTGAGTGAGTTTCTTAATCCTGAGTTCTAACTTGATTGCACTGTGGTCTGAGAGAAATTTTTTTGTGATTTCTGTTCTTTTACATTTGCTGAGGAGTGCTTTACTTCAAATGATGTGGTCAATTTTAGAATAAGTGTGATGTGGTGTTGAGAAGAATGTATATTCTATTGATTTGTGGTGGAGAGTTCTGTAGATGTCTATTAAGTCTGCTTGTTGCAGAGCTGAGTTCACATCCTGGATATCCTTGTTAACCTTCTGTCTCGTTCATCTGTCTAATATTGACAGTGGGGTGTTAAAGTATCCCATTACTATTGTGTGGGAGTTAAGTCTCTTTGTAGGTCTCTAAGGACTTGCTTTATGAATCTGGGTGCTCCTGTTTGGGTACATATATATTTAGGATAGTTAGCTCTTCTTGTTGAATTGATCCCTTTACCATTTTGTAATGGCCTTCTATATTTCTTTTGATGTTTGTTGGTTTAAAGTCTGTTTTATTAGAGACTACGATTGCAACCGTTGCTTCTTTTTGCTTTCCATTTGCTTGGTAGATCTTCCTCCACCCCTTTATTTTGAGCCTTTGTGTGTCTTTGCACGTGAGATTGGTCTCCTGAATACAGCACATTGATGGGTCTTGACTCTTTATCCAATTTGCCAGTCTGTGTCTCTTAATTGGGGCAGTTAGCCCTTTTACATTTAAGGTTAATATTGTTATGTGTGAATTTGATCCTGTCATTATGATGTTCGCTGGTTATTTTGCCCATTAATTGATGCAGTTTCTTCATAGCATCAATGGTCTTTAAAATTTGGCATGTTTTTGCAGTGGCTGGTACTATTTGTTTCTTTCCATGTTTAATGCTTCCTTCAGGAGCTCTTGTAAGGAAGGCCTGGTGGTGACAGAATCTCTCAGCATTTGCTTGTCTGTAAAGGATTTTATTTCTCCTTCACTTATGAAGCTTAGTTTGGCTGGATATGAAATTCTGGGTTGAAAATTCTTTTCTTTAAGAATGTTGAATATTGGCGCCCACTCTCTTCTGGCTTGTAGGGTTTCTGCCAAGAGATCTGCTGTTAGTCTGATGAGCTTCCCTTTGTGGGTAACTCAACCTTTCTCTCTGCCTGCCCTTAACACTTTTTCCTTCATTTCAACCTTGATGAATCTGAGAATTATGTGTCTTGGGGTTGCTCTTCTCGAGGAGTGTCTTTGTGATGTTCTCTGTATTTCCTGAATTTGAATGTTGGCCTGTCTTGCTAGGTTGAGGAAGTTCTCCGGGATAATATCCTGAAGAGTGTTTTCCAACTTGGTTCCATTCTCCCCATCACTTTCAGGTACACCAATCAAATGTAGATTTGGTCTTTTCACATAATCCCATATTTCTTGGAGGCTTTGTTTGTTTCTTTTTACTCTTTTTTCTCTAACCTTGTCTTCTCGCTTTATTTCATTAATTTGATCTTCAATCACTGATACCCTTTCTTCCACTTAATCCAATCAGCTATTGAAGCTTGTGTATGCATCATGAAGTTCTTGTGCCATGCTTTTCAGCTCCATTAGGTCATTTAAGGTCTTCTCTACACTGTTTATTCTAGTTAGCCATTCATCTAATCTTTTTTCAAGGTTTTTAGCTTCCTTTCAATGGGTTCAAACATCCTCCTTTAGCTCCAAGAAGTTTGTTATTACTGACCTTCTGAAGCCTATTTTTGTCAAATTGTCAAAGTCATTTTCTGTCCAGCTTTGTTCTGTTGCAGTGAGGAGATGCTGTCTCTTGGAGGAGAAGAGGCACTCTGATTTTTAGAATTTTCAGCTTTTCTGCTCTGGTTTCTCCCCATCTGTGTGGTTTTATCTACCTTTGGTCTTTCATGTTGGTGACCTACAGATGGGGTTTTGGTGTAGATGACCTTTTTGTTGATGTTGATGCTATTCCTTTCTCTTTGTTAGTTTTCCTTCTAACAGTCAGGTCCCTCAGCTGCAAGTGTGTTGGAATTTGCTGGAGTTCCACTCCAGACCCTATTTGCCTGGGTATCACCAGCAGAGGCTGCAGAACAGCAAATATTGCAGAACAGCAAATATTGCTGCCTGATCCTTCCTCTGGAAGCTTCGTCCCAGAGAGGCAGCCACCTATATGAGGTGTCTGTCAGCCCCTACTGGGAGGTGTCTCCCAGTTAGGCTACATGGGGGTCAGGGACTCACTTGAGGAGGCAGTCTGTCCATTCTCAGAGCTCAAATGTTGTGCTGGGATAACCACTGCTCTCTTCAGAGCTGTCAGACAAGGACGTTTAAGTCTGCAGAAGCTGTCTGCTGCCTTTTGTTCTGCTATGCCCTACCCACAGAGATGGAGTCTATAGAAGCCTATGCTGAGCTGCAGTGGGCTCCGCCCAGTTCAAGCTTCCTGGTCGCTTTGTTTACCTACTCAAGCCTCAGCAATGGCGGACGCCCCCTCCCCCAGCCAGGCTGCTACCTCACAGATCCATCTCAGACTGCTGCTCTAGCAGGGAGCAAGGCTCCATGGTTGTGGGATCGGCTGAGCCAGGCACAGGAAAGAATCACCTTGTTTGCCAGTTGCTAAAACCTTGGGAAAAGTGAAGTATTTGGGCAGGGAGTGTCCCGTTTTTCCATGTAGTCTGTCAGCGCTTCCCTTGGCTAGGAAAGGGAAATACCCCGACCCCTTGCACTTCCCAGGTAAGGCGATGCCCCACCCTGCTTCCGCTTGCCCTCCATGGGCTGCAACCATTGTCCAACCAGTCCCAATGAGATGAACCAGGTACCTCAGTTGGAAATGCAGAAATCACCCATCTTCTGCGTCAATCATGCTGGGAGCCGCAGACCGGAGCTGCTCCTATTCAGCCATCTTGGAACACCCCTTGATCTGCAACTCTGAAGCAATATTTGCCATGTGACCAGGAGCAAATGACAGTGTTCTGGATATTCCATGAACCCAGCAGGCCAATAAAATACTAAATTCGGAATTGCCATCAGCTTCCTAAGGAGCCTCACATCTGAGGTTCATACAGTGTTTGGTCTCTTGGGAAGCAAAGCAACTCATTACAGATGTTCGAAGAAAATCAAAATGACATTTTCTCTTATGTAACACCTCTGTCTAGAAGTTGTTCTCAAAGTCTGTTTTTTCCTAGTACCTGGACATATTATGCTTTAGTCTAGCATTTTTCTTTATTTTTATTTTTTATTTTATTGTAAATTCTGGGAGCAAGTACGGAACACGCAGGTTTGTTAAGTTTGCTGCACCTATCAAACTGTCATGTAGGTTTTTAAGCCCTGCATGCATTAGCTATTTGTCCTAATGTTTTCCCTCCTCTTGGCCCCCACCCCAACTGGCCCCAGTGTGTGATGTTCCCCTCCCTGTGTCCATGTGTTCTCAGTGTTCAACTCCCACTTATGAGTGAGAACATGCAGTGTTTGGTTTTGTTCCTGTGTTAGTTTGCTGCGGATGATGGCTTCTAGCTTCATCTATGTCCCTGCAAAAGACATGATCTCATTCCTTTTAATGGCTGCATAGTATTCCATGGTGTATATGTACCACATTTTCTTTATCCAGTCTATCATTAATGGGCATTTGGGTTGGTTCCAAGTCTTTGCTATTGTAAATAGTGCTGCAATAAAAGTACATGTGCATGTGTCTTTATGGTAGAATAATTTATGTACCTTTGGGTATATACCCAGTAATGGGATTGCTCAGTCAAATGGTATTTCTGGTTCTAGATCCTTGAGGAATCACCACACTGTCCTCCACAATGGTTGAACTAATTTACATTCCCACCAACAGTGTAAAAGCATTTCTATTTCTCCACAGTCTCGACAGCATCTATTGTTTCTTGACTTTTTAATAATCGTTATTCTGACTGGTGTGGGATGTTATCTCATTATGGTTTTGATTTGCATTTCTCTAATGACCAGTGATGATGAGCTTTTTTTCATATGTTTGTTGGCCGCAAAAATGTCTACATTAGAGAAGTGTCTGTTGATATTCTGTGCCCACTTTTTGATGGGACTGTTTCTTTTTTTCTTGTACATTTGTTTAAGTTCTTTGTAGATTCTGGATATTAGATCTTTGACAGATGGGCAGATTGCAAAAATTTTCTCCCATTCTGTAGGTTGCCTGTTCAGTCTGATAATAGTTTCTTTCACTGTGCAGAAGCTCTTCAGTTAGATCTCATTTGTCAATTTTGGCTTTTGTTGCAATTGCTTTTGGGGTTTTCATCATGAAGTCTCTGCCCATGTCTATGGTCTGGATGGTATTGCCTAGGTTTTCTTCTAGGGTTTTTATGGTTTTGGGTTTTACATTTAAGTCTTTAATCCATCTTGAGTTAATTTTTGTATAAGGTGTAAGGAAGTGGTCCAGTTTCAGTTTTCTGCATATGGCTTAGTCTAGCATTTTGCTACTGTGACTTGTGATTTATTACTAGGTCAGGAAATTTATTTAGGGACCATGACCATTATTTTTATAACATGAAATAGAATAGACACTACAGAGATAACACACATAATAAAAATGAGTTTATGAAAATTGCTGTGTTCTGTATGTATACTAGGTCACAATGTAAAATATGTTTCTTACTGCGACTTATAGTCAAAAAGAATTTGAGGAACAATGCATCTAGTCAATATCTAAAAAATGAAACGATAGTTTTATTAAGAGTATAGGAAAGGTTGATGCTTGCAAGATGTTTTCTTTTTGAAGAAAATAATCTTATCTTGTGGTAATGCTTTCCTTGCTAAGTTCAAAACTAATCATGCAGAAAAATACATTACTCATGTTCCTGACAAAACTGTATTAAAGACCTGGTTTAGACGGATGGCCACAGTGGGCTTCCTAATGTGTGTCAGGGTACATGCTACTCAGTTGCATGCAGAACTAAGTGACTGCAGATCTCACTGGGGTCTGCACTGCTCCAACAAGCTTATCACGTGAAGGATTCTTTGGACCCGGCGAGAAAAGAGAAAGAGCTCAGAAGCATTTCTTCACCCAGACTCACCAGTAAGTTACTTCATATTTCCTCTACAAAGGGGGCAGAATGAGTGAGAAAAGTCTAGATGAGTGGTCTGGATGAGTGAGAGCAGATGTGGAATAGAGGTCCAGAGTGTTATTCTAGTGGAAATTCCTTCAGGGAAACACAAAGCCATGGAAGCATGAGGCCTATGAATTCACCTATGCATGGTCTCTTCTTTCAGAGAGTGGCATTTGAGATATCACCATCTTCCGCAACTTATCTTTCCTGGTTTGAGTTATACAGTCAGCTGAGGTGTAGAAAATCCACTATGGGAAGTAAATCCAATAACTTATTGGGGGTAAGTTACCTACCCTACCACACTGGCACTACTCTTTCTTTGTGTACTTTCCTGGGATCTCTGTGGACAATTAAACTTTAATACCCAGAAGATACATCTTTTCAATGCACACCCAGACTCCCCCATGCAAGCACACCCAAAAAGTGTAACAAAATGGCCCATGTGTAGGCTAGATGTGTTAACAGCAGGTTCTTCTCCATGCCCCATTTTGGGCAAAGGCCTATGTGCATTAGTCATGGTGTTTTTGGGCTTATTCTCTGTTCTGTGGTATAAAGATAATGTCGAAAATGTCAAAAGGCCTGAAGATATGCCTATAGCTAACAGTATGAAGAAAAAGAGAGAGTATTTACATTTCTATAGCACAGAAAGTCAAGCTTTTGGAGAAACTGTATAGTGATGTACGTATAAAACATCTTACAAAAGAGTATGGTGTTAGAATAACTACCATATATGGCCGAAAGAAAGAGAAGGAAAAACTGTTCAAGTTCTATGCTAAAAGTGCTAAACAGAAGTTAACGAAAAATAGTCCGGGCATGTTGGCTCATGTCTATAATCCTAGCACTTTGGGAGGCCAAGAGTTCAAGAAGTTAATGAAAAATGGAAAACACTGCAACAAGCTAAAAATGAAGATTTCGATCATGTATTGAATGAGTGGATCCATGAGTGTAATTTCCCCCAAATGTGATTTTATTAATTTAGCCACATAACCAGGGTATCCTTAGATCAATGAAGAATAAATATAAGAACACTTTCTTGAACAGTAGGCTAGAAACGTGTTCACACAGAGACATGAGTGTGGAAGGTTTTCAAGAGTTTAGTATGAGGCATGCCATACATGCTGCAGCCAATGCCTGGAACACAGTGACTAAAGACACAGTTGTACGTGCCTGGCGCAGTCTCTGGCCTGAGAATAGGTTCGGTGATAATGATGAATAAAGTGGTGGCTTTGAAGGACTCTGTATGTCAAGTGAGAAAAAAAATGATGTCTGATCTTTTTAAGCATGTAAAAAATATACCTTCAGAGTCCATCAGTAAGCTGAAAGAAGTGACTATCAAAGAACTTTTTAACATCAATAATGAGGCTCCAATTATTCATTCATTGACCAATGATGAGATACCTGAAATTGCTGTGAATTAAGGTGATTGTGATAATAGTGACAATGAAGATAGCGTTGTTAACACTGCAGAAAAGGTGCCTATAGATGACATGGTAAAAATGTGTGACAGGATCATTGAAAGACTACAGCAGCATATGTTATAACAAAACAACAAATCATATCAGTTCATGAAATCAAAGAGAAACTTCTAAGACAAAAACCATTGTTAATGAGGCAGATGGCTCTGGAGGAAACATTTTAAGAAGCCCTCCAACAGAATGCCTCCTCATAGCTAGAGGGCCCACTTCCTTGTCCATCACCTGCTCCTGATGTTTCTTCTCACTTAAAAAATAAAATCTTGTGTACAGTAACCTTCAACTAAAACACAGCATCATAGGTAGAGAATGAAAGCCTGCCATTGTTTGTTGTTGCTGTTGTTTAACAGCTGATCTAGGTATTCTGGTGATGCCACTGTACTTCTTGGCTAAACTAAGCACATTATTTCTTCACTGTACTAATGGTAAGTCATTTTTTTTTCCTGTTAAGTGTTTATGAGTGAATATTGTAAAAAAAAGTGATTGCTTATCTCTAACATATAAATTCAGAATCAGGAATCGTGGTGATGCCAAACAACCACAGGTTGTCCACAGGGGTGGCTGAGATAGTGGCACCTTTGCTCTCTGAAGGTTCAGTGTTCACAAACATTGTTTCTTGAACAAAATTATTAAAAAGGTATTGTATGAAACTGCCTCCAGGCTATGTGCATATGATAGATAAAAAAATAAATTAATTTTGTGTTTAAAATTGGGTCTCATCCCCAAGGTAATTCATTGTGTATATTCAAATATTGCAGAATCTGAAAACATTGGAAATCCAAAATACTTCTGGTACCAAGCATTTTAAATAAGGGATACTCAATCTCTACATAAAAATATCTCAAACTTAACCATAATACTTTTATCAATTCCTAGGAAGAAATGATGAAACATTAAATTTGTGGCCCTTTCTAAATAAATCAAAGATCAAAAATTTTCAACAAGTAAAAAAAAAGATAAATCCAGACTTCTTAAGTTCAAAAGAAATCTGTTAAATTCCAAAAGCTATCCCTATCATCAAATTTTCTTATTTTGTTCATTCTTAGCCAACGGCAGGTCACCGTGATACCTGAGTAGATTTGAGGTTTTTTTTTTTTTTTTTTTTT
Organism: Homo sapiens; assembly: GCF_000001405.40. NCBI lineage: Eukaryota > Metazoa > Chordata > Mammalia > Primates > Hominidae > Homo > Homo sapiens. The sequence continues at coordinate 76,906,977 of NC_000008.11, forward strand.
TTTTTTTTTTTTTTTTTTTTAGCTACTTGCAGTCTTGGCTATATTCTATGGGAATACATTTTCCCTAGGATCAGAATTTGAGTTATTTTGACACTAGCAATATCAATAAGGGTTTGGTCAGAAAACGGAAACTACTCCAGGTTAGCTTGATTAAAGAGATATTTATTACATGGAATTAGAAGTTTATATAATCATTTGAAGAGCTGATGGATTAAGATCAGAATACCTCTTTCAGAAAATCTCAAAGTGTAGCACTCACCAGGAAGTCACAACAAATGATCCCAGCCTCAGCCAGGCGGGTAATTCTCAAAACAAATCACAGAAGCCATGGGAAGCCACCACTGTTGTTTTGAGCTGCTTACCTCCAATGACTTCTTTTCTACTTCCTACTCTATGAAAATGCCCCTCAGTGACCAAAGCTAAGGGTATAAAAATTACCCTGGCACTAGTTCTACACCCATGAAAGTTTGAAACTCAAGCAAATTTGTCTACAGCCATACCACCCTGAACACACCTGATCTCATCTGAAACTCAAGCTAATTTCTAGGTCTTTGAGGCAGTTATCTAAATAAAACATTTTTCCTAGAAAGCAGTACTTAGTAAAAATCTAGATCTTTGTGACAGGCTTCAGAAGAAACTCAGTAGTATTCAGTGGTCGCATCGCCCATAAGTCTAGTGCAATTACATGAAATTATGGCTTGTGAACATGAAGTCAAATGGGAGAACTCTCTCATTGAGAGCCAGATACAGATATTGATCATGCAGGGAGGACAGGAATGCACCTATGTACAGCTTCCTCTGTCAGAGAGTAGGATTTGAGATATCACTGCTTTAGTGCAAAATTTAGAAATTTCCCAAGCCTTCTTTGGGCTGCCTTTCTTTCTCATCTATTATATTTAAAATCTCATCTTGTGTTACCCTTTGACCTCTTTGCTTTTGGCACCCCAGCAATGAACCCACCATGGCTTCTGTCTAATCATATGGCCTATTTTTCCGAGCTAGCATTTCTTGCTGCTACTGATCATAAATAAGGCCCCTGAATTCTGCTTCTGAGGTTTCATTTACTTTGTTTTGCCTGAAACATTTGTTTTGCTTCACCCTAGCAGATTGCTGACCAAAACTGCTGTTGGAGTTTGAGAATCTGTGTCTCTCAAGGCCTGGTCAGAGCCAACATTTTGCCACACACTATTTCCCAGAGCCTGTTCTTCCCCAGCCCCTTGTCTCTTCAGGTCGTGAATAACTGAGAAACTTTAATGTCAGCAAAAATGTTTTCTTCTACCGTCACTTTTTCTGGAGTACTACAACATGTCTCTGTTGTTCCCTTTTTCCTCTGATTCGTTTCAGGGCGGCCCAGCTATGTTTTTATAATTAAAGGCACTTTCTTTTTTGTACCACCCAAAAAACTCATCCTGTTTTCTGGAACCTCCACTTTTCTTTCCAGGCATTTATTTTTCTAACATATTCCTCTAGATTTAGCCTTGCTCAACTGCCACCAATCTGTCTGTCCTAGAAGAAATGTGAATTTAATGAACTGTGAGTCTGCCAAAAAAACCCCACTTTCAAACAAATGTGTCTACTCTCCCCACCCCATTCTGTGTTGCATAATCACACCTAGAAAGCATCCTCTCATCAGATGACCTTCTAATCCAGCACTAACCTTCAATATAAGACAGACAGTAAATTATAGTGCTCAAGAGCCCAGATGCTGGAGCTGGGCCATCACTTACATTACTATGCCTTAATTTTCTTATCTGTACAATGGAAATATTAATAGTCTCTCCCTTCTGAAATTACTATAAATATTAAATGAGCTCTTACATAAAATTCTAAAATTAGTATATAATACATATTAATAGGTATTAGGCCCTGTCTTCCCTGTGTCTTCCCTTAGCCATACATTTCTGAGGCATTTTATCTCAGGAAAGATTTTACTACCTACAATCACTATAGGATCTTCAAATGCACCTACTAATGCCTTAAACATGGTACGCTAGTCTTCTCCTCTGATACATATCCAACTATTATAAAACCACTCATTGACAGTTGACTTAAGCCTTAGGAGGATGATTATTTGCAGCTTTAATGGTATGCCTCCCCTTGGTTTTCTGGACTGAGGGCTCCCTCTGGGAGAATCATTCCAGTGAGCTTCTGGAGATCTCGCTGCCATTCCTCTGGTAGTTTTCTTTGAACCTCAATCACCCTTCCTGATCAAGTAACAACCAAAATACTCTTCTCTAATCCTATCTGCAAGGACAGCTAAACCTGGGTGCATGACCTTTCTCCTTTCTTATTTGCCCAGCCTGGCTGCCAAGGTTTTTTTTTCTTGCTCATATTGCCTTACTCTCTTCTCTAAAAGCTTAACCTTGCTCCTAAGAAAATCTCTCTCTTCCTCCACTTAACCAAACTTCCTTTATTTATTTTTTTTTTTCACTCTCCAATGATCATGTTCTGATAGTTTTAAAAACCAATCCAGGCCGGGTGGGATGGCTCACGCCTGTAATCCCAGCACTTTGGGAGGCCAGGGCAGGCTGATCATTTGAGGTCAAGTGTTTGAAACCAGCCTGGCCAACATGGTGAAACCCTGTCTGTTCTAAAAATACAAAAATTAGTTGGATGTGGTGGTGGGCGCCTGTAATCAGAACTACTGGGGAGGCTGAGGCAGGAGAATGGCTTGAACCTGGGAGGCAAAGGTTGGGGTAAGCCAAGACTGCCCCACAGCATTCTAGCCTGGGTGACAGAGTGAGACTCAGTTTCAAAAATAAATAATAAGTAAATAAAATTTAAAAAATCCAATTCCTCCTTGTTACCTGAGCAAACTTGGTTCCTGAGAACTGAGTATTCCTGGCACACACCTTTTTATTTGCCTTCTGAGCTTTTGGGTTTGAATATATTTCATTGGGATGCTTCTATTCTACTTCAGGCAAAGTTGTCTATTCCTTATTTAATAAGGACTCCACTACTGGGGGCTATTTGTTGATGAACCAGAGTCATCTGAAGAAAATATGTAGGGACAGAGTTCTTTTGAAACAAACCACATGAATACAGCGGATGGGCCCCTGCATAGTTCACCTCCTTTGCATTAAAAGCAGGTCAGGAAAAAAATTAATTCAGATTCCTATCAATGCCTGCTATGAAGCTCTGTTGCTTGACTGGAACTTAACGGCTTTTGAAATTTAAAGTCCTAGCTTGAAGGTCTGGATGAAAAAAATAAAGGAAGCTAAGATTATTTCATGCATCCAGTGCCTAAAAAGTTTTCACAGTGATATCTGATTTAAAAAAACCCCCTTTTTTCAAGATATCCTTATCCTTTTCTGGGCCTCACCTGCAATGCTTGGCCTAATTGCCTCTGTGCAATCGTGAGCAGCAATAATGACGTGCACACACAGACCTGGGCAGCCAGCTTGCTTGGATCTGTCCCAGCTAATAAACAGCCACACCACTGGAATAACAGCCACACAGATGCTGCCTCAAAATGCCAGGACTCAATTCTAGAAGACCTGGATCTGCAAACTATTAAATGCTTCTGTCCCTTAGCTGCATCCCCATGAGCAAAGACCACCACATGTTATTCTGCATCCATCTTTCAAGGTTAATAAACAGTGCATCATGCCTTTCTTCTCTTGAAACACTCAATAAATAAATAACGCTCCATAGCCACAGGAAGCAGATGAGCATCAAAATATTAGCTTTCTTACTGATAAAAGCTAAGATGGAAATATGGCTTAGGTTTGCATTTTTCTAACTCTTCACTCAGATTTATACTTCGCCACACTATCACAGTGAGCTGGGCCACCACAGGGCATCCCTGTAGGAGCCTCCTGACTCAAGAAGCCTAGCACGACAGAGCAGAACGTAGACTTTCTATGGGCAGGCAGCTTCACAAAGAGAAGCTGGGATTACTCTGTGTGCTTTTCTAGCTTGCCAGCCAGAAAATCCCACGAGAAGAAGTAAGTCAGTAAGCAAGTAGGGAAAGGCCACAAACCTCTGTCTATGGGAGCTCCCTCACGGGAACATGAGGCCAGGCCAACATTTTAACCTTGGCTTTTAAAGAATTGCCTTAATATTAAAAGACGGAGAGGCTGGATAGGGAATTGTTTAGTAAATCCCAAGGACTTTTACAATATTTTTCCCAGTTATTAAATGTAAATAATATGGGTAAAGGCTAGTTAACAATTTTTTCAACATTATAATGTTTGTAGTATGGACAATATATCACATTGACTACGTAGAGCTAATGTTGATTTTTCTTCTTGCATGTCTGTAAGACTTATCTTACTTTATAGACTGGAGACTTTTAAATTCAATTTAGAAAATAAATCCACGGCAATTGTAAAAATAACTTTTCCAGCATATTTTTGTAAAAATGTAATTCATGTGCAATATTTTTAATTTTTTCTTGAAAGTACTTTAGAAACTCTAAGACAGTATAATGTTTTCTATAAGTTTGGAGTTTTGTACAGGGCCTTCATCAAATAAACCATATCTTATATCTAAAGAAAAATGTATGGGTAGATACAAATTTTATAAAACACAACTTTGGAGTATCTGTTTTGTTTTTAAAGTATTTACTGGCCTGATAGGAGGTTAGATTGATGGGATATATTTTTTCTTCATTGTTAGGACACAAATAAGGATTGTTCTTTCTTTTGGAAATAATTAAGCATCAATAATCAATAATAACCAGTAATACCCAACTCAATTACCATTTTTATTTTTGTGTTTTCCTCTCTAGGCTCTCCCTCTGTTATACTCTTTCTCAAGAAAATAGATTGGTCTTATGTGCTCTTTCTCTAAGACTACTTATTGATCAGCTGAAATCGTCTGTGTTTGTGTGTGTGTGTATAATTGTGTATAATCTGCAATTATTGGAATTGTACATAAGCTGATTTCAAAATATTTCCCACTGACATGTAACTGATGGAATCACTTACATATGATTGGTATCTCCCTTTTTTGCTAGAGAAACTTCTCTTCATTTGGGCTGCCACGTGAAAAACTTGGGCCCCATGGGGATCTTGGATAATAGTTGTGATTGATGTCCAGTTAAAGCCCTTCCCACGCCATCTTTCTTCTTCTTCATGAAAGACTGTTTGAAAAGGTATGTAAACATACCTATCAAGTTGGAGTAGTTCCTAATAATACCATTATGTGGCATGGAAGTCTGTGATTTACAGACTCATGTTAAAATGTTATTTTTAATTTCCTTTTTGCCATACGATTATTCTTTAATGAATAATTTAAAAATAATCTTAACCTGAAGATTTCCTTTAAATGGAATACTAGATAAATGGAATGAATCCAAAATCTCTTACACCTTTATGTGCTCAAACTACATTACATTTTCCTGGGGCCTTTAATGTAAGATAAGTCACAAACAAGGTGATTTTGTTAAAAGAGACTGGGGTCTGCTCACAGGAACATATAAGTTCAAAATAAAAATATCTAAAATAAATCTTCTGGATTCCCCATTGTAATCAAAGTAATCTCAGAGGTAAGTCAAACAATAGTAAGACAGACAGCTAAATATATAGAGGGAGAATAACGAAAACAGTTTTCTACTTTTAAGAGGTTAACAGGTTAGAGAAGCTACTCTCTGGAAACCCCCAGAAAGCTCTCTTTCTGCTAGGTGAGAGGATTTGCAAAACAGCTTCTATGTAAATTCTACCCTTCATGCTCTATCCAGTTCCTGTATTACTCTCATCTCTGTATGAAGTGGTTGACTGATGTGGCTGTGCTGTTCTACCTGACCCATTGATAGAGTAAATTATCATCATGGTCCTGTTAGCAGGCCCAGGACAAGATAGTACTATGACAGGTATAATATAGGAATAATGTAGGCCGAAGTGTAAATAATTAAAGTTGTAATTCAAGCTCAGCTTACCAGTGACATCATTTTTCAATGTCACTAGAGTCTCTCAATGAAATTACAGCTTTATATGTAGAATTTAGATGTACACTATTCATCACAATACATGAAACATGTTCTGGTTATCAATAGGTACTAGATACATTAACATCAAGGGGAAGATCTTCATTCCAGTAACGAAGTCTCCATTCTCTTTTCTCCTGCCACTAAACTGAACTCAAAGATGGCCTTTTTTTTTTCTGGATACAGTGAATATTCTCTTAGTTTAAAAGGGATTGTCTTCCTTCTGGAGGGTAGTTCAGAGAGAAAAAGCAAGGCTAAGAAGGTGAGGAGGACAAGTCTTGGGCAAGTGTGACTTAGTGAGGAGAATCATACAAACAGACATCCATTTCCTAAAGTGTGCCAGAAGCCTCTTTTATCTGCATCAGGATCTCTTTAAAGATGTCCATCTTGCTGAGATAAAAATGTATACATGTACCCAAACATTACACTGTGCCCTATTAATTTGTACAATTATTATTCATCAATTAAAGATCAAATAAAACATTAAAAATGTCAAAGAACTTGACTTTCTGTTAACTGATTTCTTAAAATAAGTAAATTATAAGAATGTAATAAAAACATGCCAGAATATAGTTATTTCCAAATGGCCTTAATATTATGTATCACAAAATAGAAGAAAATAACAGAAACTTGAAAACAAATTATTCTAAATAGAGAAAATGAGCAGAGCATATGATTGCTATATTTTTTTACCAACATTTATAAATCTTCTGAGATGCCCATCTGTATGTTTTTTCTAGGTAGAGATCAATCGTTGAAACATGCAGAAGTAATCTATACTCTTTTAATCTATTGGACTCTCTCTTCATTTATTTCTCTGTCTCTAAACTTCCAATAAGAGAGTATCTCAGGCATGGCTCACACAGGGATAAACAATATGTTTATGTAAATTTAAAAGGGCAACATTAAATTATTATGACATATACACTATTGTCTCAACTTTTTTGGAGGATAATTTAATAGCAAAAGCTTTAAAATATGTATATCCTTTGCTCCTTGAAAATTCTATTTGACAAATCTATCCCAAAGCCGTAATTTAAAAGATGCTGAGATGCACAAAATTATGGTCTTCACCATATTCTTTATAAAAACAGAAAATGAACACAATGTAAATGGCTGACAATAAGGTATTTTTTTTAGGTTAAGAGAAATCAATCAGTAGAATATTATGCAGTTCTAAATGGCTGTATCATAATGTAGAAAAGTGTCTAATGACATAAGACAATCCTTGTAATATACTAAGTGAGGAAAAGCAGGTTAAAAATGGCTTGTGTGGTATGATCTCAAATTTTTTTAAAAAGCTATCTTTTAATATTTAATTTTTATTAATAAAGATGACTTAAAATAATCTGTAAATTTAGAGATTATGAGTGGTTAAATAATAGCAATAATAGCTTATTTAACAATGGTATCTCTGCCAGGCAGTCTTCTAAGTGCCTCACATGCACTGTTTAATAAATTTTCCACAACACCTTGGAAGACCGGCAGTACTGTCCCACTGAAAAGATAAGGAAGCTGAGCTATGTACAAATGAAGAAGCCTGGTCAAACTGAAAATGACAGACATGGGGTTGAACCCTGGCAGTCTACACAGAGAATACACTTTTAATTAGTATGCTGTAGTAAGATTTTGATTTTTATTCATTTATGTTTATATCTCTGTCCCAATGGTCTAGAGTAAATATGTATTTTTTTAACCAAAAAACTTATTAATCTTATTTTAAAATTATATTTGATATTGTAATGAAAAATAATAAAGTTTCTAAATAATACAGAATAATATTTCTATTTCAAGAAATAGACGTTTGAAAACTAAATTGATGGATTAGAGTTTCCTTAGATTTTCTTTTTGGATACAGTGAAACCGTATAGCTGATGAAATAACAAATGACAACATTTCTACCTTACTAATCATCTGTTTATTTTTATAAATTGATTAACCTACCCCCAAAACATGACATTTCCATAATATGACTGTATCTGTATTTAGTTAAAATCTTTCCCCTTCATTTCTCCTTTTTAAAGATGTATAAACATCTCACATAGACATTTGACAACTAGTTCTACTTATAAATAAGGAGAGAATAGATTGCAGAAAATGATACCATTGTGGAACAAAGCCTATCATCCTTCTTTCAAAAAGAATTGGTCACAATTTGCTTCAATGGAGCAATGTGTCCCTTGTTACCGATTTATTTTGCTCCGTGGGACTGTGTTAGAAAAACGTTATTATTATTAGCAGTAGTAATAGTTGGCAGACATTCAGCACATTTCATCAAAGGCTCCAAGAGCTTAGCCATCAATCAAACTTGCCTTGGTGCGCTCTTGGGAGGAGGTGGTATTATTTCTGTTTGGAACAGAGGTTAAGTGACTTGCCCAAGGCCTTGAAGCTGGTGAAATTCAGAGTTGGGAATTAAACCCTGGAGACTTGACACCCAGCATCCCACTCTCCTTCCTGGAGCACATTCCCTCCGTCTGTCTGAAAGATGTAGGGATAAATAAAGCATCTAATAGAAAAAATGTCCTGCTCCCCAGCATGTGTTCTTGTATTCAAACTCTTCTGGCATTAAGTTGAAAAAGCACAAGTAGTTTCATTCAGAACTTGAGCTGGTAACTTTCAGTTTTGGCACTCATTCATTCTTCACCAAATATGTATTTAGTGCTAGCACGTGTTAGGTATGATAGCAGGAACCCAGTTCAGTTGTTGGGAGCAAGACAGCTACGGCCTGCAGGGAGTTTTCAGTCTAGCAGGGAAGAAAGATTAAACAGAGACCATTGCAATACTGAGTGTTTATGACTGTGTCATGGTCCACAATTGAAATCCTAGATTCTCCCCCTTTAGGTGTACATTATAAATTTTAATGAATCAAAATTTGAGTCACTGAAATCAAAAGCATATGTTTGTCTTATTAATTTTAATAAGTAAAGTATAAATAGATGCTAATTGCTCTATATCTTTTTTTTAGAATTTGGTTGAGGATAGATATTAATAAATGTTAGAAGTAGAATGTGACTCCTGAAGGGCAAAATTATCTTCTTATTTACTTTTGCAGTATGAAAAGTAATTATGAGATTCAAATACCTGTTGTTAGAATTTAAGTTTAATACGTCATTTCAGAAGAAGCAGAAGCAGGTAGTATTCCAGGCTGCCAACCCACACTTTTTTTTTTTTTTTTTTTTTTTTTTTGAGACGGAGTTTCACTCTTGTTGCCCAGGCAGGAGTGTGCTGTGGCGCCATCTTGGCTCACTGCAACTTCCTCTTTCCAGTTTCAAGAGACCACAGCCTCCCGAGTAGCTGGGATTACAGGCGCCTGCCACCTTGGCCGGCTATTTTTTTTGTATTTTTAGTAGAGACGGGGTTTCACCATGTTGGTCAGGTTGGTCTCGAACTCCTGACCTTGTGATCTGCCCACCTCGGCTTCCCAAAGTGCTGGGATTACAGGCGTGAGCCACCGCACCTGGCCGCCAACCCACACATTTTTACTGTGATCTACGTGCCAGGCACTGAGCTATGGGCAGAGGCAAGCCCAAGTGACTAAGAATCACACCCTGTCTCTTAGGCACTTAAATTTATTACACAATGAGTTTACAGCCTAGGTAAACATTTATTTAAAGGGATTCTATGTTTCAGATTTTGTCACATAAATCCTAAATTATCTCCGAAGAAATAGAATTGCTCTAAGAACGAAGAGATTCCTTGTCACCATCCTTAGCAACTATTTTGTTACTACAACCAACTGGAAGGTTTGACTAGTACAAAGTTGTTTACAGAAGTGAAACTCCTATGTTAACATTACATATCTATAAAAATGTTTCATTTAATCTCTCTGAGCCCTATTTCTTCCACGGTAGAATGACTATAGTAAAAAAATTAGTTTAATTTATCTCAGAGGTTTTAAGGATCAAATGAGATCTTACGGGTAAAAACTCTCAGGTAAACTGTAAAGTATTATGCAAAGGTAAGTAACTATTATCTTATTTGGAGGAATACAATTCTTGAAATACAAACAGTTCCTTTGGGGAAGATATTTCTTGCCTGATATGTCTAATACTAATGAGATACTTCTTCCCCTTTTCCCATATCTGAGCAGATAGGGGCAGCAGCACATTATAAACTTAATATTTTTCCTTAAAATGTTTTGCTTTAAAAACCAGACCACAAACAACTTGTGTCTAAACAAAAAAGCAACATAGATTCCAATTCATAGTGGGTTCAAATCTTAGTTGCAACAAAACATCCATTTATGATAAAGATTCATAGCAATTAGAAATAGCAGATAATATCCTTAATATGAAAAGGGACCTCTACAAAAAACGTACAGCTATCATACTGAGTGCTCTCCCTCTAAAATTGAGAAGGGAATAAGGATGCCCCTTCTCATCATTTTGATTAGATATTAGAGTGGAATCCTGGCCAATGCAATGAAACAAGAAAAAAGAATGCATAAAGACTGAAAAGAAGAAATATAACTGTTTCTGTTTCCAGATGACATAACTATCTATGTAGAAAATCCCAAGGAGTCCACACACACACACACACACACACACACACATACACAGTGGGATACTAGTATGCATCAGATACAAGGACAATTTACAAAAATCAATCATTTCTATACATTAGAAACAAACAATTAGAAAATAAAATTTAAAAATATACCACTTACAAGAGAAACAAAACCATTTAACAGGAATAAAATTAAGACTTCTACAATAAAAACTGTAAGACATTGCTGAGCAAAATGAAAGGGGATATAAATAATTGGAAAGATATATTCACGGAGTAGAAGACTCAATAGCACTAAGATGCACTTTCTCCCCAAATAGATAAATAAATTCAAAACAACATCTCTCAAAACCACAGCAAACCTTTTCATAGAAATTAAGAAACTGTGCCTAAAAGTAGTATGGAAATACAAAGGATCTAGAGTAGTTAAACAATTTTTACAAAAAAGATTAAAGTTGCATAACATGTTTCTTGAGTTCAAAATTTGCTTTAAAAATAGAATAATCAAAACAGTGTGATGTTTATACAGATAAGCATATATAACAATGAAAAAAAGTATTGAACCAGCCCTTGCACACTTATGGTCAATTAATTCTGATAAAGATGTTCACTTCCAAAAGAAGAGTATAGACTTTTCAAAAAATGGTGTTGGAACAATTGGTTATTCAGATGAAAAAATGAACTTTGATCTTTGCCTCATATCTTATGCCAAAATTAATTAATAATGGTTCATACCTACACATAAAAGCTAAAATTATTAAACTTCTAAAAACAAACAGGAGAAAATCTTTGGAACTTTGGAGCTGGCAAAGATTTCTTATAAAATAACTATAAAATAAAAGGGAAAAGTGTTAAGTTGGACATCATCAAAAGTAAAAACTGTTCTTCATAAGACTTCATTGAGAAAATGAGAAGACAATATGCAGACTGGAAGAAAATACTTGCCACATAGATCTGATAAGGGACTTGAAATAGGACTATATAAAGAGTGTTTACAACTCAATAAAAAGAAGAAAATAACCCTACACTAACAGGCAAAGAGATTTATACAGGTACCTCACAAAGCAATGCATTCGAATGGACAATAAGCACATAGAAAAATGCCCGACATTATTAGGTAGCAAGGAATGTGAATTCAAACAAGATATGACTTCAGACCTACTAGGATAACTGCAATTAAATGACTGACAATACCAAGAAGGGTTGGTGAGGATGTGAAGCAAGTGAAACACTCAAACTTTGCTGTCAGAAGAGTGTAGCAATTTTTAATAAAGTGAATCATATGTTTACTATAAGACATGGCAATTTAACTCCTAAAATGTTAAAATGAGCAGAGAAAACATTCACAAAATCTTATATCCAAATATGTTTATAGCAGGTTTATTCATAATAGCCAAAACCTGGAAACAAACTCCATCAACAGATGAATGTAAAACTTTTTTTCATGCAATGGAATAGTACTCAGCAATGAAGAGGAACACAGTCATCCAACAATATGAGTAAATTGTTTAAGCATTACACTGAATGAAAGAAGCTAGACAAAAAATGACTGCAGAGTGTATTATTCCAGTTACGTGAAGTTCTAGGAAAGGCAAAACTAATTTATGATAGAAATTAGATCATCAGTTGTCTAGAATGGGGGGTAAGATTTACTGCAGAGGGCCATGAAGAAACATTATAAATTGTTTTGCATCTTCATTGGAGGGGTGGAAACCTTCTGCATCTTCATTGGGAGAGATGGTTTCAAGGGTGTGTACATTTGTCAGAATTCATCAGATTGCACACTTAAAATGTTTTACATGCATTTTGACATAAATTTTATCTTAATAAGCTGGGTTTAAAAAATCTCAGTCACATATTTAAGCATTCAATGAGTATAAATTCTTTGACTTGATAACTGGATCTGATATCTAACATTAAAACAATGCTATAATGCTTTCTGCTATAGCATGAATTCAGAATTAATGCAATTGATGATTCACCACTGTCCTCTGCTCTGCTCTTTTTCTCAAGAAGAAAAGCTAAAGTGGGTTAAAGTTTTATATTCTCTTTTGTGGATGGGTATGAGAGATAGGAAATAAACTTTCTCATGATGACAGTTTATAGAGGAATTTTCTGTTCAGTGTAATAGTTTACACTATAATTTTCACCACCTTTATTCTTCTGCTTTGTCTTTTTAAATAACAAATGAACTCAAACTGTCTTCTTTAACCTTGGTTTAATGCACCTCTTCTGGTTTTTATTTTTTATTTTTAGTGACAAGGTCCTGTTCTGTTACCCAGGCTAGAGTAAGTGATGTGAATGTAGCTCGCTGTAGCCTCAAACTCCTGGGCTTAAGTGATCTTCCTGCCTCAGCCTCTTGAGTAGCTGGGACTACAGGCATGTGCCACCATGCCCAACTAATTTTTTAAAAAAATTTTTGAAGAGATGGGGCCTCACTATGTTGTCCAGGATGGTTGTGAACTGACCTCAGGTGGTCCTTCTGCCTTGGCCTCCCGAAGTGCTGGGATTACAAATGTGAACTACTGTGCCTGGCCAAATGAAGCCTCTCCTTTTACATGATTACATTTAGTGTACTCCACTACTACTACTAATAATTATTATTACTACTAATAAATGCAACTATTATTGTTATTTAGTGTAGCCTACTAGTTATTAGTGTATCTCACTAATTATTATTTTATGTACCTCACTAATAATAATTCTAATAATAATTTTTTTATTTTGTTTTATGAAAGGATTTTACTGTACTCTCCATCACTGTGGAATAACATTAATTAGCCAATGTAGAGTTTCCTTCTTCCCTAGTGCTGTGTCTAAATTCTGGGAAGATTCTATAGTGCAAAAGCACGTGAAAAGGGCACACGCTATAGTGCCAAAGCACAGCATCCGGTAAGATGTTCTGATTCCTGTGATCTTCAGTTGTTCTTGCCCTCACAGGTCACTGCTATGTTGTCTTTTATTTCTAACTGCAAGATGTCCTCAGCTATTGCTCCCGGCTCTTAGTCCCTCACGCCTCCCCTGACATGGGAAATTATTGGGACTACAAATAGACTTTCCCATCTACAAGATTATCTTTAGCTACAGTGGAATTACTCTACTGTTGTTATGTAATTTGTAATAACCAAGATATGGAATCAACTTAAACATCCATCGGTGGATGAATGGATAAATAAAATGTGGGATATATACTTAATGGAATACTATTCACCCATAAAAAATAATAAAATCCTGTCCTTTGCAGCAACATGGATGGAACTGGAGATCATTACACACAGTGAAATAAGCCAGGCCCAGAAAGACAAATGTCACATGTTATCACTCATATGTGGGAGCTTAGTAAGTTGATCTCATGGAGTTAGAAAGTAGAATGATAGTTAAGAGAGGCTGGAAGTGTATGATGCGGGATAAAGGGAGGTTGGTTAATGTGTATAAACATAGATAGAAGGAATAAGTTCTAGTGTTCAATAGCACAGTTAGGCAACTACAGTTATCAACAATTTATTGTATATTTCAAAATAACTGGAAGAGAAGATTGGAAATGTTCCCAACATAAATGACAAATGAGGTGGATATCCTAAATACCCTCATTTGATCATTATATATTGTATTAAAATGTCAAAATATCACGTATACTTCATGTGCACAGTCATTACATATAAATAAAAATTTTAAAATTAAATACAACAAAAAGTTATGTCTTTCTATACATTGTTTTCATCATTAGTTTGATTCTTTTGCATAGGTTACACAGTTGACTTATTCTGAGAATTGTATAGATAGCTGGGTACCTGTTCCAAGTCACTCTGTGTGTGAGAGTACCTGGAACTCTATGCAAGTAACACTTTTCAGATGATAGGGACTACATCTTCACAATTTTCTATTTGTACAGTGAAGTAAAGCACTTAAAAACCATTCTTTTGACTTGAACTAATTTGTTCATCTTATCAAAAGTAGAGTATGCCTGCTGTAAGTAGCTGAACTATTTAGAAATCTCTTAGAATATTTTTTAAACCAATCCTATGCTTTTTAGTGTAATATTGTACAATATAGTATATCAAGAAATGAAGACAAACTGGGAATGTGATTTATCCTGAAAGAATAAGACATCTCCCTGTGACCTTCAGCTTGCTCTTAGCTATTTGTAGGCTTCCTTAAATAGTAAACATAACTAATTTTATAGTAAATTCTTTATTTATTTCTTTATTTATTATTTTTTACATTTTGAGACAGCGTCTCGCTTTTTCACCTAGGTAGGAGTGCAGTGGCATGATCCCGGCTCACAGAAGCCTCACCCTCCTGAACTCAAGCAAATTCTCCCACTTCAGCCTCTTAAGTAGCTGGAACTACAGGTATGTATCATCATGCCTGGTTAAAAAAAAATTTTTGGCTGGGCATGGTGGCTCACGCCTGGAATTCCTGAACTTTGGGAGGCCGAGGTGGTTATATCACTTGAGGTCAGGAGTTCCAGACCAACCTGGCCAACAGGGAGAAACCCCGTCTCTACTAAAAATACAAAAATTAGCTGGGCATGGTGGCAGACACCTGTAATCCCAGCTACTGGGGAGGCTGAGGCAGGAGAATTGCTTGAACCTGGGAGGTGGAGGTTGCAGTGAGTGGAGATTGTGCCACTGCCCTCCAGCCTGGGCAACAGAGCGAGACTCTGTATCAAAAAAAAAAATCAAGATAGGGTCTCACTATGTTGCACAGGCTTGTCTCAAACTCCTGGGTTCAAGTGGTGCTCTCGCCTTGGCTTCCCAAAGTGTTGGGATTACAGGCATGAGCCCCCACACTTGACTATAAATTCTCAGTATAATGTTTGTTGGTTCACTGTTGAAATGTCCTTACATTTGATTTTGATTGTCTGTTAGCAAAATGGCTTGTCAAGAATTCTCATTTGTTAAATTAGCAGAGAATCATTAATGTTTTCAATCACTTCCTTGGAAAAACTACTATAGAATACATATATATATATATATATATATATATATATGTATGTATATATATATATATATATATATATAAAACTTAAAGCATTGGAAATTTAAAAGTCATAAGCCTGGGGTAGCAATAGGTGCAATGGCTTAAATAGCCATTAGGAATCTATTAACATTAAAGCATTATCTTATCTACAAAGAACAATTCTCTGTTTACTTATAACTATCAGTAAGAGTTGGTATTCTATGGGGCTTCCAGATTGCATCCAGCACCAGGGCTTCTGACTAAGAGGCTGAGTCAGAGCTGAAATCCAGACTTCATTCACCTGGTCAAGCTGTTCACCCTTGTGTGAGGCTGCATCTGTCTAGGCTCTTGAAGGAAGTGAACTATGCTTAGTTAACACAAAGGCTCTGTTTGATATCTCTGCTGTCCTGGGTGTTAAGTTTGAAGCTGTAATACACCTTATTAAGCTTTTTTTGCAGTTAAAATCAAAAGATTTGTCAGCACAGTATTGAGGATTAGGATTAATATAAACCACTTATTGGTTTATCCAGAGTGTTCATTCATTCATTCATTCATTCATTCATTCATTCATTCATTCATCCATCCATCCGCCCATCCATTCATTTGATGCGTATGTACTGGTTTCTTCTTACATGCCAGGCTTTACACTATGTTCCAGCGATGCAAAAGGGAACATGAGGGACCCTGCCTTCAAGCAGTGTACAATCTGCTGGTGGCATCTTTTGAAAAATTGCAATTCAACAGATAATGGACGTATGGGCAAAGCACATTTGTGAGAAGTCAGAATGCTCTCAGCTGGCTCCAGAGAATAATGTCCCTGGGCCTGTCTTAGCCCTCTGTCCCTAACATCATCACCTCTGTTTTATCCAGCTTGAAACTCAGCCAGTCAACTTTCATGTGAAACCCTGGCTCAGCTAGGCACTAGGTGAGCTCTAAAGCTACACTGTTAGAATAGAGGAACAGAAGATGTGGCCCAGAGTATCATTAGTGTCCTGATGATATTCTAATATTTGCATTAAGAAATTATAAATATTTTTAATTGAAATTTAGAAATTCCCTGGGCCCAGCCTAATTTGCACAGGAGCTACCTAAAGAAATCTGGTAGAGATATATTGCAGAGTAAGTGGGAGAAGGTGGATTGATCTTGATTGAAAAGAAGAGTTGAAATAAAAGCTATGTGGTAACATAAGTCATGCATTTCTAGAGTATTTAAAAATAGATGTATATGATTCCGTAAAATTGAATTTGACTAAATCTTTTTAAAATGACTTCCAAAAAATATACTTTTTTGTGCAAAATAGAAAGTATCCTCTTTTTTCTCCCTTAGAAATGAGTATAACAAGTAAAACAGAATGCCAAAATATTCTAGTTAAAATGCACGATGTCAGAGATTCATCCCCATTGCTATTATGTCAGAGCAGCATGGTATCTAAGAACAATGGAACTAGAATGAACACTTCCAGGCCCAGTCTGCTTTATTTGAGTAGAGCACTTTTCTTAGCACTAATTTACCTGATTGACAGCAATATTGGCAGTGGAAAGGAGTATATGGGTATCACTAATGACAAGCAATGGAAGATTTTAGATATTTTTTGATGCCATTCAAACTAATATGATATGAGGATCTTTACTAGGATGAGATTCATAATACTTAAAACGGAAATCTAACATGAACAATTTATGCCTGTGTGCAGAAGCGGTTTTACAACTTTTCTGAAACTAGGCGGGTGATAGCTTATCAACTGGAAAGCATGACAAAGAGGAAAAGCCATCATGAGGATTTTTTGTTCCCCCTTCATCTATGATTGGTTACTCAGCCAAAGTTCTCCTTAATGTTGATGGTGCTAGGTCTGTATTAAGCATTGCACTCAATAGGATGCTTGGCAAATGAGATTGCTCTTAGAAACTGGACAGAAGTGATGTGCTTAAGTACTAGGAGATTACATTAATGTTACCATAAATGGGAAATCAAATTGTCATTGTCTTAGAGGAGTAGAGAGGGAAAAAATCTATTTAGACCAGACACATCATAAAATTAAGTTACTTCACATAAAATATGAATTACTTGAGTCCCAAGAGAAAACCTTTAAATATAGATAGGCATATACAGAGACAGTTTTGACTGTAACAGAAATGAAATGAACTCAGGATCTGATCAGGCCATCACACAAAGACACAGCTCTAATGGGGTGGGGGGCAGTCTGTTTCTGAGAGAGCAAGGATTTTTTGATGTAGAAAATTTGATGATGAAGGAAAAGAATAAGGGGGTGAGAGAGAAGGTGTCAGTCACACCTTTGCCAAGTACCATTTCGCATCCCCTAAGTCCAATTCTGATTACTCTTGCCATTTTAGAAGGCTCAAAGCCGGAGAATCTGATGAGAAAATAGACTAAAAGTTGAACCGCATGTAAACTATTTATAGATTTGCTAGCCCTGAGAAATAGGATGGGAAACAAACAGCAGCAGCAGCAAATTCAAAATTGACTGTAAATCTCAAATAGGAAGTAGAAGGCTCACATTGGGCATGGTATACCAGGATCAGCTTTAGAGCTAAGATGTATTTTACACATATAAAAAAGAGAACATCTTTCATTAGTTCTCTCAACTTGTTGAAGAAAAACTGCAGCAGAGAATTGGCACCCACAGAAAAGGCCTGCTACTGAGGCAAAACATTGTTTATATTTTCTGCTTTATCACTGTAAGTGCTGAAACTATTAGCAGGTTTGCTGAAGTAAAGAGGGTTGTGCGCCAAATGTATGAGTAGGGCCAGAGCTTGCAGGACTCAAATGTCAACTTTCTTTAGCCCCAGGCAGGTACTTTATCCTTTGTGGCTCAATTTAATCTTTCTACATAGCTCAGTGGAAAACTATACTATCTCCCTCAACAGAATTGCTAGTAGCCTAGGGACACTCATGCCATCTTCATGTCCCCTGGTCATCTGATACCAGGAGACAAAGCAAACAGCTTTACATGGGGAAGAGATCAGGCAATGTTTTAGGTGGGAGTCTTGAGCCTAGGGGCATTATCTTAGTGGCCCTGGGCATTTTACACTCTATATTCTTGTGTGCTAACAGAGGCAATGTTTAAAATGGTAGAGCAGCTCTCTACTGAGTTACTATCAACTACTGAAAGTTCTTCCTACGTGTAAATATGTCCTCAGTTTCAGTTGTGCCAGTTACATTTTATTCATATTTTCACTCACTGAAACACATTTTGAGAACAAACACAATGATGGGCACTGTGCTTGATAAGGTGATAAAATTTTTTAAAATAAAATATATAGCCCAGTCTTCAAGAATGTAACCATCTAATGGAGGAAGAAGATGTATAAACAAATATTTCCATGTAGTGTGATAAGAACTATAAGAGGTCACATGTTCTGTGAGTAGCAAGGAAGGGAGTAGTGGACCTGAAGTTAGGAAGCTGGAGAAAGTTACACAAAGATACCGATATTTGAACCAGGTTTTGAAGAATGAGGTTAGGGGTCACTATATGGTAGTTATGTGAGAGATGTTCTTATAGGAGTTTAAAAGTAGGGCGAAGGCTCAGAGAAATGGAAAACATGTTGTCTTCAGAATAATTAGAGATGTTTAATGTATGAGATGGGGACCAACAAAAGATGAAGTTAGAAAGGTAGGTTGGGAGGTTAAAAGGGCTTTGGATGCAGTTCTAATGCAGGGTCTCAACAGATTAGTTCATCACAGAATCGTTACATGCCTTGCTTTCCCAAGATGTCACTCCTGTATTTATATTGTTTCCTTGGAATCATAAATTTTTTTTAAATTTTATAATTATTATACTTTAAGTTTTAGGGTACATGTGCACAACGTGCAGGTTTGTTACATATGTATACATGTGCCATGTTGGTGTGCTGCACTCATTAACTCGTCATTTAGCATTAGGTATATCTCCTAATGCTATCCCTCCCCCTCCCCCCACCCCACAACAGTCCCCAGTGTGTGATGTTCCCCTTTCTCTGTCCATTTGTTCTCATTGTTCAGTTCCCACCTATGAGTGAGAACATGCGGTGTTTGGTTTTTTAACCTTTCTTATGGATCATTCTATCTATCTATCTATCTATCTATCTATCTATACATAGCTATATTAGCATTTACCATCTTTAATTTAAAAATTCTTCCTTAATGCTTGGTTCTTTCCCACTCATCCCTCTGAGCTACTGTCTATATCTGTCTATACCTATATTTACCTTCACAGACACTTTTCAATATTATCTACTTAGTACGAGTGGACTCAGCCCCTTACCAGCTGTTAGGGACTGCATGTTTATGCTTCCCCCAAATTCATAATACCAATGTGACAGTATTTGGAGGTGGGCTTTTTGGGAGGCAATTAGATTATAACAGTAGAGCCCTCATGATGGGATTAGTGCCCTTGTAAGAAGAGACAAGAGAGAGCTTGCTTCCTCTCTCTTCTCTCTTTCCACTATGAGGACACAGCAGGAAGACAGCTATTTACAAACCAGGAAAAGGGTAAGAACCCAACCACTCTGGCTCCCTTATCTTGGACTTCACAGCCTCAAAATCTGAGGAATAAATTTCTGTTGTTTAAATCACCTAGTCAATGATAATTTGTTATAACAACCCAAACTCACTAAGACAGTAGCTAAGACTCTCTGAGTCTCAGTTTTTTCATCTTTAAAATGGAGATAACCCATTCCTGGGTTTAAATATAGTGCCAACTACTACATATAGTACTACTATTTATGTGATACTACTGGAGATAACCCATTCCTGGGTTTAAATATAGTGCCAACTACTACATATAGTACTACTATTTATATGGCATTACTGGGTTTATTATAAGAAAATACATATTTATATATGAAATATATAGATTATAGCTATTTTACAATTATACAATATATAAAAATCTATAGTTATAAAGAAATATACATTATAAGTTACTAATATATATATGTAAAATATGTGTGTTTACAGTATTAAGAGTCTGGTGGTAATAAATATTATATTAATACAATTTTTTTTTGAGACAGAGACTCGCTTTGTCACCCAGGCTGGAGTGCAGTGGCATGATCTCAGCTCACTGCAACCTCTGCCTCCTGGGTTCAAGAGATTTTCATGCCTCAGCCTCCTGAGTAGCAGTGACTACAGGCCCATGCTACCACGCCCAGCTGATTTTTGTATTTTTAGTAGAGATGGGATCTTACCCTGTTGGCCAGGATGGTCTTGAACTCCTGGCTTCAAGTGATCTGCCCACCTTGGCCTCCCAAAGTGCTGGGATTACAGGTGTGAGCCACCGTGTCTGGCCAATATTATACAATTTTAGTTTATGATGATGATGATGATTTTCTGCCTACATTACTATTTGGGCTTCGTTGTCCACAGTCTGCTACTACTATATCAGATACTTCTGGTGCTGTACCTCACATCTTTTTGAATCACCTTTCTTTTCTCAGTTATTGTTGAGCAACCAGTTTGGCACATGAGTATCACAGCAGTATCTGGCCTTACCTGTACCAAGTATCTCTGTCCCTCTTTGTATTAGCTTTATTGAGGTATAATTGACATACAGTAAATTGAACATGCTTAAGGTGCACAATTTGATAAATTTTGACACATGAATATATCTGTAAAGCCAACATCACAACCAAAATAACAAACAAAGCCCTCACCCCTCAAAGTTTTCCTATGCCCCTTTTCAGTCCCTTCCTTCTGTACCCTCTGCTACTACCCCCGCAGTCAACCACTGATCTGCTTTCTGCCACTACAAATTCATTGGCACCTCTAGGATTTTATGTAAATGAAACAATAAAATATGCAGTTTCTTTAACTATCTTCTGTCCCTGTACATACTGCTTGAGAGGATTATCTGTGTTGTTGTAGATACTAGTAGTACTTCCCTTTATACTGAATAGTGTTTTCTTAAATGATAATATACCCAATCATATTGATGCCCATTTGTATTATTTACAGCTTTTGGCTGTTAAAACCAGCTATGCATATTTAGGTACAAATCTTTTATGGAAACGCGCTTTTATTTTTCTTGAGTAACCTTGGAGTACAATGGCTGTTCCGTGCAGTAGGTGTAAGACTACCTTTTTAAAGAATCCACTGAACTGCTCTTGACCGGGAATGAATGAGAGTTCCAGTGGCTCTACATCCCTGCCAACACCTGGTATGTGTGGTGAGTCATTTTAAATTTAGGCATGCTAATAGTTGTAGTTAATTGAGATTTTGATTTACATTTCCCTCATTACTAATAATGGTGACCATCTTTTCATGTGCTTACTTGCCATTCATATAACTTCTTTGGTGTATGAGTATATTCAAATTTTTGCCTATTTTCTAATTGTGTCTTTCTGTTATTACTGAGTTTTAACAGTTTCTTATATATTACAGATATTAGCCCTTTATTACGTAAATGATTTGCAAATATTATCTCCCAGTCAATGGCTTGTCTTTTCATTCTCTCTTTTTTTAAAAATAATAAATCTTATTTTGTATATATGAGGTTTACAGCATGACTTTTAGGCTATGTATAGATAGTAAAATGGTTACTGTATTGAAGCATACTAACCTGTCATCTAACAGTTGCCTTTTTTGTGTGACAAGAGCAGCTAAAATCTACTTATTTGAGAGGAATTCCTAATACAATAGAATGTTGTTAGCTCTAGTCCTCATGTTGCACATTAGACCCCTAGGTTTATTTATTTATTTATTTATTTATTTATTTATTTATTTATTGAGACAGAGTCTCCTACGCTTATTTATCCTTATATCTGCTACTTGTATTGTTTGACCTCCATCTCCCCATTTCCTACCTCCACTCCCCCTAACCACTGTTTTATCCTTTTTCTCTGTATATTTGACCATTTTGAAAAAAGATTCCTCATATAAGTGAGATCATGTAATTTTTTTTTCTGTGTTTGGCTTATTTGACTTAGCATAATGTCCTCCAGGTCTAGTGTCATGCCTAGAAAATTATTGCCTAACCCCAAATCACTTAAGTTTCTCCTATGTTTTCTTTTAGAAATTTTACAGCTTTTCGATTTACATTTCGGGTAATGATTCACTTTGAGTTAATTTTTTATATATATGTTATGAATTATGGATTGAACTTCTTTTTTTCTTTTCATTTCCTTCTTTTCAATAGGATATTCATTGTTTCAAGTACCATTTGTTAAATAAAAGACTTCTTTCACTAAGAATCATTTTTGTCAATATTTGTTGTTCATATGTGTAGATATAATTCTGGAATCTCTATTCTTTGCTGTTGGTATACTTATCTATCTTGACATCAATACCATACTCTCTTGATTACTGTAGCTTTATGTCTTTAATTCAGATAGAGTTTGTCTTCAACTTTGCTCTTCTTTTTCAATTTTATTTTGGCTCTCCTAGAGTCCTTTGTATCTCTATGTAAATTTAAGAGTAAGCTTGTCAATTACTGTGAAAAAGAAAAAAAACTTGCCCAGATTTTGTTTGGGGTTGAGTTGAATCTATAGACCAATTTGGAGAAAATTGACATCCTAACAATATTAAGTCTTCTAATGCACAAACACAATATACCTTTCCATTTATGTAGGTTTTTAAAACTATATTACATAAATATTTGTAGTTTTTCACAGCACAAGTTTTGCATATATTGTGTCTAACTTATCCTTACATATTTCATGTTTTGATACCATTGCAAATTATGTTGTTTTTATTTTAATTTCTGAGTGCTAGTGTACCAAAAAATAATTGATCTGGGGATATTAATCTTATATCTTGGAGCCCTGCTAAATTCCTATAAGTTCTAGTAGCTTTGTGTAGACTCCACAGGATTTTCTGCAAAGATGCTGCCTGTGAATAATTTTACTACTTCTTCCTTTTCAATCTGAAGTCTTTTATATATTTTTTCTTTTCTTTTAGAGACAAAGTCTTGCTCTATCACCCAGGCTGGAGCCCAGACTATGGCATGACCATAGCTCACCATAACTTTGAATTCCTGGGCTCAAGTGATTCTCCTGCCTCAGGCTCTTGAGTAGCTAGGACTACAGGTGTGTACTATGGTGCCTGACTAATTTATGTTTTTATTAAAGATAAGGTCTTGCTATGTTGCACCTGGCAGTTCTCAAGCTCCTGAGCTCAAGCAATTCTCCCACATCAGCCTCCCAAGTATCTGAGTCTTCAGGTGCACACCATAATGTCTGGCTAATTTTTATTATTTATTATTTATTTATTTATTTATTTATTTTTGCAGAGATGGGGACTTGCTATGTTGCCCAGGCTCGTCTTGAACTCCTGGCCTCAAGTGATTTTCCCCTCTCCCCCCAAAGCACTGGGATTACAGGAGTGAGACACCACACCGAGTAAAATGTACTAATTTTTGTAATGCTAAACTAACCTTGCATTCCTGACATAAATACCACTAGATTATGATGTATTATATATTTTAAGTGTTCATAGATTTACCTTGCTGAATTTTAAGAATGTTTACATCTATGTGCATAAGGAATACTGGTCTGTAGTTTTCATTTCTTGTAATAGTTGTCTGAATTTGGTATCAAGGAAACTACTGTCTCATAGCATCGGTTCAGAAATATTCCCATCTCTTCATTTTTCTGGAAAAGTTGGTTGAATTAATATTATATCTTCTTTAAATATCAGTTAGACTATTCCAGGGAAGTCATTGAGGCCTAGAGTTTTCTTCATGGGAATATATTTAACTACAAATTCAATTTATTTCATGGATATAAGGCTATTGTGGTTATTTATGCTTTCTTGTGTAAGCTTTGGTAGTTTGTGTCTTTCCAGGATTTTTTTTTTCATTTCATCTAAGTCATCAAATGTATAAGCATAAAGTTGTCCACAATATTCCCTTATTATCTTTTTACTATCTTTAGATAGAGAAGGCTGTTGATGAACATAAATTATAACCTTAGTCCCAGTTGCAGCAGTGGGGACTATAGCTTACTCAATTAATCCCTCAATATTAAATGTGTTGTAGAAATTAAGGCCATTCATTACCTTGAGGATCCTGCAATAAACTAAGCACATATGAGTGGTGCAAGGAATGGATAGTTTCAGGCCTTATTATGCCCCATCTTACATTCTTTATGGTCACCTTTTATTTCACGTATTGCTATGGCAACCAGCTTTCTGCAAATACAACCAAACAATACCTTGTCTCTATCTGTACCTCATATCTCTATCTTCCTGCTCTGATGTTTCTTTGATTCCATTAAAGACAGCATCTCTCAATAGTGGAGCTTGTGAAAACCTGGAACTGTAACACTCCATGAACAACCTTTGACCACTGGGGAAGGAAAGCCTATAGATAGATGTTCTTCTCTTCTATCCCACAGGCAGTCAATCCTGAGGCACATTCTACACAGCTTCTCAGAAGGTTCCAGGCCTCCCATGTAGAATGTGCCTTAGGATTGACTGCCTGTGGGATGGAAGAGAAGAATATTTATCTATAGGCTAAGTGTTGATGAGCTTAGTGCATGCTTGTATTGACTTTCCCTCTTTTTCTGTTTCATTCTTATCAATCTTACATTCCTAGTCCCTGGCATCATAAACCAAAATAAACTACCTTTATTGTCGCCTTCGTTTTAGACTGTGCTATCTTTGGGTAGAGGGTCAGGGTGAGTAACACAAATGAAAAATTCACCCATGACATGTACGATGGTAATTTCTCTCTCCTCATTTTATTCCATCTCTCAGAAACATTAGACAAGAGTTGACCATTCTCTCTTGTGACACATTTCACTCTCTTGGTTTCTGTGATGTACATTCACATGGGACTTTTCTACTACCTTAGTGGTTTGTCCATCTGAGTGTACTGCATTAGTGTAACATTTTATATTCCACCTGTAAGTGTTGGAATGTTTCAGAGTTCGGTCCTTGAACACTTTTTATCTAAAATATCTTATCTAGTCCCTTGGCTGTCATCAAAATGCCAACAAAGCCCATATTTGTATCTCCAACCATGATCTTCCCACTGACCTCTGGACTCCAATTCATTTGCAGCTGCATGTGCTTGACTCCTCTGCTTGAATGTATAGTGGGCTTCTCAAAATTATCTCATGGAAAACTAATTTCTAAAACTTTCTGAACCAATCCTCTGAGTCAGCCATATTGCTCAAGACTGAGTTAGGTTCTTTCATTTATATTCCAAGTACAACCCATAAGCAAGTCCCATCAGCTCTACCTTAAAAGTATATATCACACATCCATCACTTCTGTTCATCTTTACTGCCATCCTTCCCATCATCTTTACTACCTATTCTAGGCCATTATCATCTTTCACTTAAACCATGATAATAGTTTCCTAATTGGTGTTCCAGCTTCTATTCTTGCTCCCTAGAATTTATACTCTGCACAGTAGAGAGAATGACGTCTTAAATTCATTAATCAGACATGTCATTTCCTGGCTTAAAACCCTCCAAAAAGCTTTCTGCTGCACTTAGAATAAATCTAATGACCTACTATAACCTTCGAGACCCTACATGAACTAGTTGCTGCCTGCCCGTCTGACCTCATCATCTATGATGCTCCACCTCTCTTATTATGCTACAGCCACAATGGCCTTTTGACTAATCTATGAATTTATCATATTCCTGCCTTAGGGCATTCTTACTTTCTGTCTCCTCTGCCTGGAACAAGCTGCCATCATATCTTCATAGAGCTGGATCCTTGTTGTTTGTTTCAACTCAAATGTCACCTCCTTAGAGAGAGGCCTTCGAGTCTATCTACTATACCATATTCTCATGCCTACTCAATCTATATCATATTTTCCTAATTTTATGGACTTATCACTAGCAAAAATGGCTATGTTCATTAATTTGTTAATTGCTTATTGTTTCTTCCTCCCTTGGGAATGCAAGCTCCATCAGAGCACTTACATTCTTACACTAAAATACATCTAGTGCCCAACATCCTACCTAGGTGGGTTTTAATAAACATATATTGAATGAAATAAGAGATTTCACTTCAAAGCAAGGTTCTACTTTAAAAAAAAACTTAACACTATGGCTCCTACTCTGACATGCGGTTAAATATTTACTCTTTGCAATTCTGTCAGTCTTATCTAATCTCACCTTCATTTTTTCCCTTAGTAACTTCCTCCACAATTCCTAAATCATGGAACTATATTACAGTAATTAAAGAAGTATATGCACATAGCTATTCCTTACTTGATGTGCCTATTCGTGGATATCATTCTCCTGGCTCATTATGTATTAGATACAAATTGAAATAGTGTTGTATAGTTGGAAAAATACCAAGTTGAGGTTGAAAGGTTAATCTTCTAGTATCAGTTCATTAATTTGTAATACAGTTATAAAGTAGGACTGTTTTGCCTCCATGCTAACTAAAGTCCCTAAAGAAATACAACTGCAGAAGAAAGCACTCACACCTTTCAAAAGAAGGCATTTGAACGCTTATGAAGGATTTGCAAAGGTCTGGCCCCACACCAGTTTTATGGTTTTCAGCCCACAATCACTCAAGCAAGTAAAACAACTGAGTATGAAGGTACTGGAAGAGAGGGTGTCTTTGGAGAAAGCTATTGCGGTTTGTGGTGTTTTCCCTGAGCTCCTTCTGGGAGAGGATTGAGTGTTGCTTCCCTTCACTGAAGCCATGGGGGAGGTGCCTCAAGTAGCCCACCTACAAAACCTGCTTCATGAGCCCTTCAACTTGAGTAACATGGCTGGTGTCTATAAAATGCTCCTGGTGTCAGAGTGGTGGCAACACTGTGAGCAAGCTGAGGGTAGGTCAGAGTTGTATATGTATCAAATGAACTGAGGAAGGGCCCATTGGAAGAGAACAGGCCCAAGGATTATTTTAAAAGAAGCCCAGGTGGCCAGAAATGGTGGCTTACACCTGTAATCCTAGCAGTTTGGGAGATGGGAAGGTCACTTAAGCCCAGGGGTCGAAGACCAGCCTTAGAAACATAGTGATACCCTGTCTCTACAAAAAATAGAAAAATTAGCCGGGTCTGGTGGCATGCACCTGCAGTCCCAGCTACTCAGGAAGCTGAGGCAGGAAGATAACTTGAGCCCAGGAGGTTGAGGCTGCAGTGATCCATGATAGCACCACTGCACTCTAGCCTGGGTGATGGAGCAAGACCCTGTCTTTAAATAAATAAGTAAGTTAATTAAAGAAACCCAGAAGAGATTCTTGAAAGACTCCACAGCTTCTGCAATCTGTAACATGCCACAGGCAGCCATCTATAGCTGCTAGCAGCCTGTGGAATGTTACGGATTGCAGAAGCTACAGGGTGTTGTAGACATCTAACTGGAGAAGAGGTATCACCCAGTGTCAAAGGAATTGCTGTGAGACATTCTCCATGGATATGATTCTTAGGAACTCATAGAAAAAAGATTTAGCTTTAAATGCCTTCAGTTAGCATTACACTGTATGGTAGAGACTGAATATTTTCCCCAAGATAGAGGACAAGGTAAAGATGTGCACTGTTACCACTTCTATTCAACTTTGTACTGGACGCCCCACTCAGTATGATGAGGCAAGGAAAACTAAAAAGGGGCACCTTTAATTGCAAAAATCAGCAAACAACCCTTGTTAATATGGCACTTTTATACATGAAATTTGTCACTTTTATGCATTGGAATACTAAACAACAACAACAAAAATTTACTAGTTTATGTAACAACATAAATGACTTTAAAAGCATTGTGCCAAATGAAAGGAGCCAGACACAAAGGCTGTATACTCTATGATTCCATATATATATGACATTTGGTGAAAGGCAAAACAGCAGGGAGAATAATCGTATCAGTTGCAGAGGGAGATATTTGACTAGGAAGAGGCAAAAGTGAACTTTTTGGGGTAATAGACTATGTCCATGTCTTGACTGTGGGAGTAGTTACCTGAGTGTATATGGTTGTCAAAGCGCATACTGTCCTCTTAAAAGGGTGAATTTTTCTCAAGAAACTCAATAAATTTGACTGAAAAAATGAATCATGCCATATGTGGTAATAGAGATAAGTAGAATAGGTGAAGAGAACATTGACAAGGGAAATATAACCTGCAATAGGGTGTTGAAATGCTCTGATATAAATGCAGGGTCTGTATTTATCATCCACAAGGCATTGAGCTTTGAGTGGTCAAACAAAATACCTAAGCTGCTGAGGCTGAAGAGGATGTTGGACCACACTATATGAAAGTATCAATACACAATGTTTCTGTCCACTTGACTGTACGCTCCCTGAAAGCAGAGATTTGGTCTCATTCATTTTGTTATTCCCTGTGCTTAGCACAATGTTTGGAAATTCATAAGCGCACCACAAACCCTTCTTGATTGACAGACTGAGCTGCTAGTGGGATATTGCTTTTGAGCTTCCAGACTCCAATAGGAAAGTTACTTTTCTCAAAAATAAGAGTATAGTTTAATACACTTAGCCTATTTTCACATCAGGGCCAGATCACAGAGACAATGATCAACAACTACAAAGTCTTTGGATTGGAAAAAGGATGGAAATTTCAAGCAAACCGGGTTATTGACAATAAGTGGTGGCAGAAATTTTGCAGGCAGAATTGCAAACAAAAACAAAAATCATGTCCTTAGTAATCCTGGTAATAAAGAGCAACCTGAGGAGTGCAAATGAAAACTGAGACAATCTGGAGATAAAATCTCTGTACAATTAATCCCTCAGACTCATGTGGAACAAGAACAGTGTGAGACACACAGAAGAGTCTCAGCCAAATTTGAAGATGAAAAAAGGAGAGAAATCTAGACTGCCCCAGAGGAGACTCCTTGTTTTTTCAAACTTATCTGGGTAAGGTATTTTATTTATCGGGGAAGAATATGAAATTAATATTAGAACTATATTATATGTCATTATAGTTTATATGTGTATATTTATGCCTCCTTGATCTTACATTAAATTGAACTAACTCTTTTTTTCTTCCTATAAAATCCAAATCATAAGAACCCCAAGTTCAGGTATCAATATAGCAAGATATAGGGTCTATAATCATTCTGCCTGACATTGAATCAGGAAGATTTCACAAGAATGAGAAAAATGGGCAAATAATGCCTTTTTTGAGTTGTTGTTGTAATTAGATTTGTTACAGACTGGGAGGAGATATGCCTCTTAAAACCAAAGGTTCTAATTGGCATTCAAGGATCCAGGTTCGTTCTTTCTTTCTTTCTTCCTTCCTTTCTCTTCCTTCCTTCCTTCCTTCCTTCCTTCCTTCCTTCCTTCCTTCCTTCCTTCCTTTCTTTCTTTCTTCTTTCTTTCTTTCTTTCTTTCTTTCTTTCTTTCTTTCTTCTTTCTTTTTGTTTTTTTTCCTTTGAGAAGGAGTCTCACTCTGTCACCCAGGCTGGAGTGCAGTGGCATGATCTTGGCTCACTGCAACCTCCGCCTCCCGAGTGCAAGCGATTCTCCCACCTCAGCCTTCCAAGTAGCTGGGACTACAGGCGTGTGGCACCACACTCAGCTAATTTTTGTATCTTTTAGTACAGACAGTGTTTCATCATATTGGCCAGGCTGGTCTCAAACTCCTGACCTCAAGCGATCCACCCACCTTGGCTTCCCAAAGTGCTGGGATTACAGGCGTGAGCCACCATGCCTGGCCTCTAATCCAGATATTTTTACCTTTCTTGCCCCATATCTTCTTTTGCAGATGTAATTCAGATCTAGACTAATTTAACTATTTGCTTGTATTGTGGCAGTATCCCCAAAGAGATGGTATTTATCCTTTCACTTTTGTCCACCCTTCCACAGATTCTTAAGGTTCAGCTACATCAAAATGTTTACAGTTGTTCACTCATATTTATCCATATAGGCAGATCTGTACACTTCCTCCTGGACGTCTGCTGTTCTCCCAAGTCTGGCTGAGTGCTCATCAGGTGTGCTCTTCCTATTAGGGGCTTATCACCTTGTATAAGTCTATATTTATCTCCCCCCTCTAACTAGACTGTATGGTTCTGTGCCAGGATCTAACTTTCTGTTATTCATCTTTGTATCCCATAACTGAATGCCATGCCTCATTTATACTATATACTCTATAAATATACACTGAAAAGAAGTGAATACTCATGACTTTAATTTTCTTCATATTAATTATGAAGTTAAAAGGCTAAATTAAAACAGCTAGAATTGTAGTAGGGCTAAATAACATGTAACCTGCTTGAGAGTTTTCTTAATCAGCATCACTAGAGTCTGAACCTATTTTTATTTTTGTGCCAGTGAAGTACAAAGTTAAGTAAGGAATAAGGCCAGACAGGGAATACAATACATTCTTGTATATTTCTTTTAACCTCCCACTAGGAAACTAATAAGATGAAGACAGGGCAGTGGTAGTAAGGAAAGAATAAAATATCCTCTGAATAATGGTTCTACTTAAATATTTCCTTAATAAATGCCACAGCATTTGGGAATTCATTAAATGGAAGAACACTCTTTTCTATATGTTAACTGCAGCTTCAGCAATAGGAAAGATGATTAAGAGATTCTTTGAACGAAGCTCAACTTTCTCAGCAGCAGCCTAATAGCTATGATTTTTCTAAAAAGAGCTTTCCTAATAACCTGTAAGCTTTCCTAATCCCTGATTCAAGACTGCTTTCTGTCTACTAATAAAAATAGAATAGATCTAGAACTCAACCCTAAAATGCTTAAAATTTAGAATGTCCTTGAAAAGAGAAGACAAGTTGGCTAATAAGCATCTTCTATTGCTGAATATTTTTATTTTTGTTCCCTATTTCTTACCTATACAGGGCTCCAATTCAAGAAAGAAATCTCTAGCAATATGCATTCATAAATATTACCTTAAAATTGGAATGTATCGTAGGTAGGTTAGATTACTTTATTTAAAAAAATGTATTTGTAATTAGTATTTGAAGAAAGAACAGATTTCAGACACGTCGAGTAGATATAAAAAGTAAAACCATAGTATCTGAAAAAATTTAGGCTCTGGATTTATGCGGTCTTCTCAATATTGGGAAAATATCATGAATATATTTGTAACAACAATATTAGCATATAGAACTCTATAGAATGTCCCAGGTATAAAAAATAAAGCATAGAGAGTTTAATAATTGTCTGAATACAAGGGGTAAAACATTCAATGATTAATTTACATTTCTCCCACCCAGGTAATTTATCTTAAGATAAAATGTTCAAATATTTATATACTAATTTAATAAAAGCTAAGGATAAAACTGAAGTAATTATGTAAATGATCCAAATTCTCATAGAATTTCTACCTGTAATGTCCAAATTATTGGGCAAAAGGTTTTGTCATTGGGTTGCCTAATAATTTCCTCAGGTCTTCATTTTGTGCAATTACATCCATTTGTTTTAGACACTATCAATACTAATGCACAATGGGAATTAGAAATTTACATAACAACATCAAGAACTCATATACTCTAACATGGTAAGCTAAGAAACATATGATATGTATATGAACTTAATTTCCATCTGTTAAAAGATAGAAAATATGTCTAATTCACAATCTTAATTTTGGGGATATTTTCATAATAAAAGAAGAGCCTCATCAATAAAGAAAAAATTAAGCCTGGCCCGTGGCGCACGCCTGTAATCCCAGCACTTTGGGAGGCCAAGGCGGGCGGATCACTTGAGATCAGGAGTTCGAGATCAGCCTGGCCAACATGGGGGAAACCTTGTCTTTACTAAAAAATACAAAAATTAGCAGGGTGTGGTGGTGCACACCTGTAGACCCAGCTATATGGGAGGCTGAGGCAGGAGAACTGCTTGAACCTGGGCAGTGGAGGATGCAGTGAGCTGAGATGGCATCTGGGCAACAGAGACTCTGCCTCAAAACAAACAAACAATAAATTGTTATAAATTCTATATTTTCCTTAAAACAAAAGCTGTACATGAATTATACATTAAAGTCAAATTTTAAATTTGACACAAGTACCACACTTTGACCAATTTTTAATTTTTGAAAGTAGATATTTGTATGTGCATATGGATGTGCATTTAGAAAGCCTTATTCAATAAAGTTTGATTGCATAGTATGTACCAGACTTTAAACTATGTGCTCTGCTGCCACGTATACAAAAACACTAGTAACCATGGAATTCCTTGGAAGAACAAGAAAGTTTATGAGCCAGAATTCTTCCATTGTTTATCAGGACAATACTTTTTAACCTTGGGCTACTTGTGGGTATTATCTAAGAGCTTCTAAAAGTTTGATACCCAAAATTTACTAGTTAAATAAGAGTCTCTGGAGGTAGGACCCAGTTGGTTTTCAAGTTCCCCATATGATTCTGATGTGAGGCCCACTGGTCTAGAACGAGTAAAGGATAAGGAGATGAAATTTTCATTAACTCAGCAGGTGGAATCAACACAAATGGAAGGAGCAATTAAACGATCTTTCACCTTGACAGACATTCAACATGCATTTTCTAAAAGCGGTCAGCAAAGACATGGAATCAACCTAAATGTCCATCAGTGATAGACTGGATAAAGAAAATGTGGTAGATACACACCATGAAATACTATGCAGCCATAAAAAAGAACGAAATCATGTCCTTCACAGAAACATGGATGGAGCTAGACCCATTATGCTTAGCAAACTAATGCAGTAGCAGAAAACCAAGTACTGCATGTTCTCACTTATAAGAGGGAACTAAATGATGAGAACACATGGACACATAGAGGGGAACAACACATACTGGGGCCTATTGGAGAGTGGAGGGTGGGAGGAGGGAGAGGATCAGGAAAAATAACTAAAAGGCACCAGACTTAATACCTGGCTTACGAAATAATATGTACAATAAACCTCCAGGACACTAGCTTATTTATATAACAAACCTACACATATAGCCCTAAACTTAAAATAGAAGTTTTTTGCTTTGTTTTGTTTTGTTTGAGATGGAGTTTCACTCTGTCGCCCAGGCTGGAGTGCAATGGCACGATCTCAGCTCAGTGCAAAAAGTGTTTTTAAAAATGTAAAAACAAAAATAAGACTGCAGAAAAAATTTCCATTTATGTATAAGTTAAATTTCAATTCCTGAGTTTTGAAGATGAAACTAATGCATTTAGCTCTTCCATGTAAAATAAAAGGTTTGAAAAATCCATATATACTTACGAATTAGGATGTGGCCAATTTGCTAATAATCACCTCTACAAATATGTTAATTCTTTCCCCTGAAAAGTATTTCTCTTCCTTTTCCTTTTTCCCATTGCTACATTTCTACTATATTTCAAATTATACATAAAGTATTATCTTCCTGAAGAAGCCCTCAGAGACCCTCCAGTCTGATTTATATGTTGCTCTTCTGTGCTCCCATTTCATCCTAGCTAGATGTATTAAAAGTGCTGGCTCACTCCTCTCTCTCTCCCACCTCTAAGCAAGTTCCATAAAGGCAGTGACCACAATTGGCTCATTTTTGTATACCTGGGACCTAACAAGGTGCCTGGACCACAGCAGCTACTTAATACTCAGTAAGATATTCAATAAATTTCACATCTCTAAGACAAAACCTATTAATAAATGCAACATTCAGCTTTTTAAAAAAAGTAGCTGGTGCTTGAAAATTACTTGTGTGATGAGCAAGTTACTTACACTCTGTGCTGCAGATTGCTCATCTGTGAAATGGGGATTATGATATAAAAATTAAATGAATTATGATGTTCAAAACACTAAGACAAGAGCCTAGCACAATAAAATGTAAGTACTATACAGGTGTCTATTAAATAAATATCAATTTATAACAAATCAGCATTATTATGTTTTTTAAAGTGGTTGTATTTATTTTTTGAGCTATACTACTTTAACGCATTTTGAAAATGTTTTCTGCATATTCTTTACACAATGGAGGAATGTATTTCTCACAGTTATGGAGGCTGAGAAGTCCAAGGCCCAGGGGCCACATATGGTGAGAGCCTTCTTGCTGATGGGGTCTCTGTAGAGTCCTGAGACAGTACAGGGCATTACATGGTGAGGGGGCTGATCATGCTAGCTCAGGACTCTCTTCCTCTTTGTATAAAGACATCAGTCCTACTCCCATGATAACCTATTAATCCATTAACCCATTCATGGATTAATGCATTTATGAGAGCAGAGCTCTCATGACCCAATCACCTCATAAAAGCCCCACTTCTCCATACTGCCACATTAGGGATTAAGTTTAGACATGAGATTTCAGAAGAAGCAAACATTCAAATCATGACATTTTCCTATGCTTTCTTCCAGTGGTTTCATAGTTTCAGGTCTTTCAATTAGGTATTTAACCCATTTTGAGTTGATTCTTCTGTAAGGTGAGAGAACAGGGATCCAGTTTCATTCTTCTGCATATTGTTATCCATTTTTTCCAGCACCATTTATTGAAAAGGGTGTTCTTTCCCCCATGTATGTTCTTGGAGGCTTGTTGAAGATCAGTTTCCTGTAGATGTGTGAACTTATGTCTGGGCTCTCTCTTCTGTCACATTGGTCTGTTTGTGTGTTTCTATGCCAGTACCATGCTGTTTAAGTTAACATAAGCTCTGTAGTGTATTTTGAGGTCAGGTAATGTAATGCCTCCAGATTTTGTTTGTTTGTTTGTTTACTTAGGATTTCTTTGGCTATTCAGGGTCTTTTGTGGTGTCATACAAATTTTAGGATTGTTTTCCTATTTCTGTGAAGAATGCCATTGGTAATTTGATAGAAATTGCAATGAATCTGTAGATCACTTTAGGTACTATGGTAATTTTAACAATATTAATTTTTACAGTCAATGAATATGAGATGTCTTTCCTTTTTTGTATCTAACTTGTTTCATCAAAGTTTTGTAATTTTCATTGCAGAGATCTTTCAAGTCCTTGGCTAAATCTATTCTTAGGTATTTTTGTGTGTGGAGGGGGGGCTATTGTAAATAAGATCTCTTCCTTGCTTTCTTTGTCATCTAGTTCATAAATGATGTATAGAAACACTACTAATTTTTGTACATTGATTTTCTATCCTGAGACTTTAGTTAATTCATTTTTCAGTTCTAAGAGTTTTTGATGGATCTTTACGTTTTTCTTTATATAAAATCATGTCATCTATGAACAGGGACGATTTGACTTCCACCTTTACAATTTGTATGTCTTCTATTTCTTGCTCTTGCCTAATTACTTTGACTAGGGCTTCCAGTACTATGTTAAATAAAAGTGGTGAAAGTAGGTGTTTTTGCCTTGTTCCAGTTCTTAGAGGAAAGGCTTACAACTTTTCCCTGTTCAGTATGATGTTATCTGTGGGCTTACTATATATGGCTTTTATTGCATTGAGGTATGTTCCTTCTATATCCAATTTGTCAAGAGTTTTTAATCATGAAGGATGTTGAATTTATTAAATGCTTTTTCTGCATATATTGTGTTGATCATATTTTCTTGATGTGATGTATCACATTGATGAATTTGCATATGTTTAATCATCCTTGCATCCCTGAGATAAATTTTACTTGATGTGGTGTATAATTTTTTTGATGTGATGTTGAATTTGGTTTGCCAGTATTTTGTTGAGGATTTTTCCTCTAGGTTTTTCAGGGATATTAGCCTGTAGTTTTCTTTTTTTGTTGTACCTTTGTCTGGTTTTGGTATCAGGGTACTGCTAGACTTATGAATGAGTTTGGAAGAATCTTCTCTCCTGGAATTTTCTGGAATAGTTTGAGGAATTGTTGTTAGTTTTTCTTTAAGTGTTTGGTAGAATTCAGCAGTAAAGCCATCAGTCCTGTTTTTTGCTTCGTTGGGAGAATTTTTATTATTGCTTCAATCTTGTTAGCCATAACTGGTCTTTTCAGGTTTTCTGTTTCTTTCTGGTTTAATCCTAGTAGGTTGTAAGCATCCAAGAAATAATCATTTCCTCTTAGTTTTTTTACTTGTTAGCATATATTTGTTCATAGTAATTTCTACTGATTGCCACTTCTACAGTATCAGTGTAATGTCTCCTTTTTCATTTTTTATTTTATTTATTAGAGTCTTCTTTCTTTTTTCTTAGTCTAGATAATGGTTTGCCAATTGTATTTATGTTTTCAAAAAGCCGTTTTTTTTGTTTTGTTGACCCTTATAATTTTGTGGTCTCTATTTTGTTTATTTCTGCCCTGGTATTTATTATTTCTTTTTTTTTTTTTTTAGGGGTTTGGTTTATATTTGCTTTCCTAGTTCCTTGAGTTGCATAATTAGGTTGTTTATTTGAACTCTTTCTACTTTTTTGATGTACATGTTTATTGCTGTAAACTTCTCTTTTAGTACTGCTTTCTATCCTGGAGAATGTTCCATGTGTTAATGAGATGAATTTGTAATCTCCGGCTGTGAGATAAAATATACTGCAAATGTCTGTCAGGTCCATTTCATCAAAGTGAAGTTTAAATCTGATATTTCCTTGTTTATTCTGTCCAGATGATCTATTCAATATTGAGAGTGGAATACTGAAGTCTCCAACTATTATTATATTGGAGTCTATCTCCTCTTTTAGATGTAATAATATATATTATATACACATATATATTTGGGTGTTCTGGTATTGGGTACATATATATTTACAATTGTTATATGCTCTTGGTGTATTTATTCCCTTATCATTTTGTAATAACCTTCTTTGTTTCTCTTTACAGAGTTTGATGTAAAGTCTATTTTATCTGATGTAAATATAGGTACTTCTGCTTGTTTTTCATTTTCATTTGTATGGAATACTTTTTCCACCCCCTCACTTTCAGTCTTTGTGTATCTTTACAGGTGAAGTGAGTTTTTGTAGGCAGCATACCGTTGGACCTTATTTTTTTTTCCATCCATCAACTCTATCTTATATTTGGGGGAAATTAATTCATTTACATTCAAGGCTACTATTGATAGGTACAGACTTACTTCAGTAATTTTGTTAATTATTTCCTGGTTGTTTTGCACATCATTTGTTATCTTCCTTCTCTCTTAGTACTGATCTTTCTTTATGGTTTGGTGGTTTTCTGCATTAGTAAGTTTTGATTCCTTTCTCTTTCTTATTTGTGTCTCTGTTCTACCAGTGAGTTTTATACTTTTGTGTATTTTCATGATGATAGCTAATATAGTTTGGTTATTTTTCCCTTCCACATCTCAGTATCTTCATTGTTAGAGGTGGAGCCTGGTGGGAGGTGTTTGAGTCATGGAATCACATCTCCTGTGAATGGCTTAGTACCAGCCTCATGAAAATGGGTGAGTTCTTGCTTTATTAGTTCTCATGAGATATAATCATTACAAAAAGTCCAACATCATCCTCCTTTCTTTGTCTTGCACCCTCTCTTACTATGTGACACAACTGCTCCTCCTTCACCTTCTGCCATGATTGGAAGCCTTCTGAGGTCCTTATCAGAAGCAGATGCCAGTACCAGTTCTTGCACAGTATGCAGAACCTGAGCAAAGTAAACCATTTTTTAAAAAAAATAAATCATCCAGCCTCGGTTGTTCCTTCATAGTAATGCAAAAATCGACTAAGACAGTAGCTATTACCTTTTGCTTCCACATGTATTTCCTTTAGTACTTCTCATAAGAACAGTTTACTGGTGATTAAATCGTTGTTTTTGCTTGTCTGGAAAAGATTTTATTTCTTCTTCATTTCTGAAGGATAGATCTACTGGGCATAGTATTCTTGATGGACAGTTTTGTTTTTATTTGTCTTATAGGACCTTAAATATATCATCTCACTATCTCCTGGTCTGTAAGCTTTCTGCTGAGAAATCTGCTGTTAATCTATTGAAGATTCTCTTACATTTGACTTGACATGTTTTTCTGTTTTTGACTTTCAAATTTTGCTTTTAATGTGTCTTAAGGAGACCCTTTTTGGGTTGAGTCTATTTCAAGACCTTTGAGCTTCCTGGATCTGGATGTTCCTATTGTTTTCAAGATTGGGAAGGTTTCAGCTATTATTTTGATTAAATTAAATAGGTTTTCTCTGACTTTTTTCATCTTTTCTCCTTTTGAAACTCCCATAATGTAAACATTTGTTTGGCTAAGGGTGTCATATAATTCCAAGAAACTGTTTTCATTTCTTTTTTTATTCTTATTTTTTCTTTTTTGTTATTACAGAAAAAGGAAATTTATTTTGTTACTAGTTTGTTTCAAAAGACTTGCCTTCAAGTTCATAAATTATTTCTTCTGCTTCATCTAGTCTGTTGCTGAAGCTCTTTATTGTATTTTTTTCATTCATAAAATTACTCAGCTCAAAAATTTGTTTCGTGCTTTTTGATAATATATCTCTGTTAATTTCTCACTCTGATCATGAATTGTATTCTTAATTTTGTTAAATTGTCCATCTCTTCTCTTGCATCTTACTGAGTTTCCTTAGAATCACTATTTTGAATTCCTTCTTTGGCATTAGATTTCCTTTTCTTTGGGGTCTGTTTCTGAAGAATTATTGTGTTTTTTTGGAGGTGTCATGTTGTCTCATTTTTTCATGTTTCTTGTGTTTTTATATTCATATCTGCATATCTGGTGGAACAGTCACTCCCTCCAATTTTACAGAGTAGTTTTTGTAGAGAAAGATTTTTCCTGTAAATGTGTCCTATATTATGAGTTGCATAGGATGCTCTGGCTTTGGTTCTGGATGGGTGCAGTAGCACAGTCTCTGTGTGATTTCTTTGGCTGCTATCAACATTAGAGTAACTCTATGGTCTAAAATGGTTTTGGAGACAACAGCATGACTTTGCTAAGGGCAGGCCAGTTTTTGAGCCATCAGTGGGCATGCAACTGGCACAGTAGCTCTACTGTTACAGAAACTGTGTTGATGGCTGGAATATATGCTAAGCAGGTTTGTCTTCAGTTTCTGAGGGACACAGTTGTATGCGGCAGCATAGCCAGCAATAATGGGCACTTTGTGGGCTGATCTTCATCACCTTGGGGGGAACTTGAGCCTATGGTGGCTCTGCCACAGAGGAGGTAGGGTCGATGGCCAATTTGGGTGCTCAGTCCTTGCCTTATTTTCAACTGCAAATGGAATTACTGTCTATTGCAGCACTAAGCATGACAGTTATTAAGATGCCATAAATATTTATATTGTTAATAAATTATTCCTTTTTGCTAAAAGTGTTATCTTTAATATAAGTGGATACTAAATTTATCAGTTACTTTTAGGTCATCTATTAAAATGATCTTTGATTTTATTCTTGTGACCTATTAAAAGAATTAATTACAGTTGACCCTTGAACAACCTGGGTTTGAACTGCACACATCCACTAATATGCAGATATTTTCCAATAAATATATTAAAATATTTTTGCAGATTTGTGATAATTTGAAAAAATTTACAGATGAATTATGTAGCCTAGAAATAATTAATGAAAAAGTTAGGTATGTTATGAATGCAGAAAATGTACATAGATATTTGTCTGTGTTATCGTTTGCTACCATAAAATATACAAAATATTACATTAAAATATACAAAATATTACAAAAATTAAACTTACCAAAATTTATGCACACAAACATAGACTGTATGTGGCATCATTCATAGTTGAGAGATATGAAAGCAAATATAAAGATGCAGTACTAAATCATAATTGCATAAAATTAACTGTAGTACATTAACCGTAATAATTTTGTAGCCACCTCCTGTTGCTTTTGCAATGAGCTCAAGTGTTATAAGTTTCTGCCTAAAACACCATGGGACACTAATCATCTCCACCTGACCAGTGTATCTCTCCAGTAAATTGTGTATCACAATAAAAAGAGATATTTTGTTGTTCTTGCATATTTTTCATTGTGTTTAGTGCAATAATATATATCCTGAATATCACCATGTGACCCATATGAAGTGTGACTAGTAATGCTGGAAATGCTCCTAAGAAGCAGAGAAAAGTCATGACATTACAAGAAAAAGGTGAATTGCTTGATATGTGCCATAGATGGAGTCTCCCACTGTGGTTATCCAGAATTTCAAGATAAATGAATCCGGTCTAAGAACTGTTGTTAAAAAAAAAAGAAAGAAAAAAGAAAAGAAAATTTATTAAGCAGTCACTGCAGCTACACCAATAGGCATAAAAACCTTGCAATTTTGGTGAAATACCTTTTTATCTTGTATTGAAAGTGCAGCTTTTCCTAATGCTATCCTAATGCTATCCCTCCTAATGTTAAATGACGAGTTAATGGGTGCAGCACACCAACATGGCACATGTATACATATGTGACAAAACTGCACATTGTGCACATGTACCCTAAAACTTAAATTATAATAATAAACAAAAAGAAAGTGCAGCTTTTCCGTGGATGCAGGATTTCTATAAGAAAGTTATAACCGTAGACTTTAATATAATTTGAGAAAAAGTTATTATATGGCAACTTAAAGCAAAAGGAAGGTAGAGGATTAAAATTTGGAGAATTTAATTCCAGCAAAGTATGGTTTGATAATTTTAGAAAGAGGTAGGACTTTAAAAATTTCAAGATAACAGGAGAAGTAGCTTCTGCGACCAAGAGGCAGGAGATAAATTAGGAAGACTGAACAGGTTTTTAATGCAGACGAAAGTGCTCTATTCTGGGGTGAAAAAGCCAAAAAACAAAGCACTTAATAATAAGAAATAAAAGTGAGCATTAGGATTTAAGGCAGGAAGGAATAGGCTAACCCTACTGTTTTGTGCAAATGCAGTCAGGCTTAGAATCAGGACTGCCCTTATCTATGAACCTGCTAACTCTCAAGCCTTGAAGAAAAATTATAAATACTAGCTGCCAGTCTTTTGGTTGTGCAACAGGAAGGCATGAACAATGAGAATGCTTTTCTGGAGGGGTTTCATCAATGCTTTGTCATGTTATGCATGAATTCACAGGATTTAAAACACAGCCAATCAAGGAAATCATGAAAGAGACTGTGGATATGGAAAAAAAAAAAGTGGGGTTTAAAGGATTTCAAGATATGGATCTTGAGAAATTCAAGAGCCAACAGATGCCACACCAGAGGAATTAACAGAAGACGATTTGATCTGGAGATGAGTGCTTCCAAACCAGTGCCAGACAATGAGGAAAAATTGTTGAAGAAGCCGTGCCAGAAAATAGATTGACATTAGACAATCTGGTAGAAGAGTTTTGATTATTAAGGACTCCTTTTGATTTCTTTTATGACAGGGGCCCTTTTATGATACAAGCACTTAAACTAAAGCAACTAGTAAAAGAAGGATTGGTAACATATAGAAACATTTTGAGAGAAATTAAAAAGCAAATAGTCAGACAGAAAATACAATGTATTTCTGTAATGTTACACAAAGTGTACTTGCCTCTCCTGTCTCCCCTTCTGCTTCCTCTACTTCTTTCTCCTCTGCCACCTTTGAGACAGCAACACCAACCCCTTGTTTTCCTCCCAGTCCTCAGCCCACTCAACCTGAAGACCATGAGGATGAAAACATTTATGATGATTCACTTCCACTTGATGAATAGTAAATATATTTTCTCTTTCTTATGATTTTCTTAATGAAATTTTTCTCTAGTTTAAGAATACAGTATATAATACATATAACATACAAAATACATGTTAATGAACTGTGCTATTAGCCAGGCGCAGTGGCTCACGCTTGTAATCCCAGCACTTTGGGAGGCCGAGGCTGACAGATCACAAGGTCAAGAGGTCAAGACCATCTTGGCCAACATGGTGAAACCCCATCTCTACTAAAAATACAAAAATTAGCTGGGCATAGTGCCGCGTGCCTGTAGTCCCAGCTATTCAGGAGGCTGAGGCAGGAGAATCACTTGAACCCAGGAGGCAGAGGTTGCAGTGAGCCGAGATTGCGCCATTGCACTCCAGCCTGGCGACAGAGCGAGACTCTGTCTCAATAAATAAATAAATAAATAAACTGTGCTATTGGTGGGGCTTCTGGTTAACAGTAAGCTATTATAGTTAAGTTTTTAAGAAGTCAAAAGTTATATACAGATTTCTGACTATTGCAGGGGTTGGCATCTGACCTTCGATGTTCAAGTGTCAACAGTATATTGATTCCTAACAGTAAATCATAGTTACACCCCCTTTTTTATGTAGTGCTGGGTTTATTTGCCATTATTTCATTTTAGAATTTACATCTATTTTCATAAAAGAAATCGTTCTATTTTTTGTCAGTATCTTTTGCCAGGGTTTGTTAACAGGGTAATTTAATTGTTTTGTTTATTATTTATATTAACTGTAGGTTTTTCCCTTTTTAATTTTATGGAATTTTTTTTTTCCTGATAGGATCTCACTCGGATGCCCAGGCTTGAGTGCAGTGGCACAATCATGGTTCACTGCAGCCTCAACCTCCCGGGACTCAGGTGATGCTCCTACATCAGCCTCCCGGGTAGCTGGGACTACAGGCATGCCCCACCATGCCTGGCTAAATTTTTTTGTATTTTTTATAGAGATGAGATTTTGCCATGTTGCCTAGGCTGGTCTTGAACTCCTGGGCTCAAGTGATCTGCCCACTTTGGCTTCCCAAAGTGCGGGGATTACAGGTGTGAGCGACCCCTCCTGGCTCAGAACAACTTTTAAAAATAGAATTTATCTTTTTCTTGAAAGCTTTGAATAATTCAACTGTAAAATAGAGTGGATGGGTAACTTTTGAAAAAAATTTCTTTAACAGGATTTTAAATTTCATATTTATTGATTTATTCAGATTTTCTCTTCTTGAGTCAGTTTTGGAAACTTTAATTTTCTATGGGTATCAAGAATTTCAAGATTTTCAAAATTATTATTATATAATTTTATATATAACATTCACTTATACTTTTAAAAAATCTGTTTCTATGAAGAAAAAGAAATAAAGCACACCCAAGTAGGAAGACAGCAAGTCAAACTATCCTTGTTTGCAGACGACGTGATTCCATATCTAGAAAACCCCTTAGTCTTGGCCTTAAAGCTCTTTCAGCTATGACTTTAGCAAAGTTTCAGGATACAAAATCAATGTACAAAAATCACTAGCATTTCTATACCAACAGCAGCCAAGCCGAGAGTCAAGTCAGGAAGAAAATTCCATTCGCAATTACCACAAAAAGAATAAAATACCTGGGAATACAGCTAAACAGAAAGGTGAAA
The DNA here is from genome assembly GCF_000001405.40 of Homo sapiens. Taxonomy (NCBI): domain Eukaryota; kingdom Metazoa; phylum Chordata; class Mammalia; order Primates; family Hominidae; genus Homo; species Homo sapiens. Next base: position 76,950,308 of record NC_000008.11, read on the forward strand.
GATCTCTACAATGAGAATTACAAAACACTGCTCAAAGAAACCAGAGAAAACACAAAAAAAGAAAAACATCCCATGCTCATGGATAGGAAGAATCAATATCATTAAAATGGACATATTGACCAAAGGAATTTATAGATTCAACACTATTCCTATCAAATTACCAATGGCATTCTTCACAGAACTAGAAAAAACTATTTTAAAATTCATATGAACCAAAAAAGGGCCCCAATAGCCAAGGCAATCCTAAACAAAAAGAATAAGCTGGAGGCATCACATTACTTTATTCAAATTATAATGCGGGGTTACAGTAACCGAAACAGCATGGTACTGGTACAAAAACAGACACATAGAACAATGGAACAGAATAGAGAACCCAGAAATAGAGCTGCACACCTACAGCCATCTGATCTTCAACAAAGTCAACAAAAACAAGGAATAAAAAAAGAACTCTCTACTCAATAAATGGTGCTGGAAAAATTGATGAACCATATGCAGGGAATGAAACTGGACTCCTACCTCTCACCATAAACAAAAACTGACTTAAGATAGATCAAAGACTTAAATATAAAACCCAAAACTATAAAAACCCTGGAAGAGAAGCTAGGCAATACCATCCTGGACCTAGCAGCGGGCAAAGATTTCATGACAAAGGCACTAAAAACAATTGCAACAAAAGCAAAAATTGACAGATGGGATCTAAATAAACTTAAGAGCCTCTGCACAGCACAAGAAACTATCAATAGAGTAAACAGACAACCTACAGAATGGGAGAAAATACTTGCAAACTATGCTTCTGACAAAGCTCTAATATTCAGCCTCTATAAGGAACTTCAACAAATTTACAAGAGAAAAACAAATGCCCTCATGGGGAAAGAACATGAACAGACACTTTCAAAAGAAGACATACATGCGGCCAAGAAGCATATTTAAAAAAAGCTCAATATCACTGATCATTAGAGAAATGCAAATCAAAACCACAATGAGATACCATCTGACACCAGTCACAATGGCTATCAAAAAATAACAGATGCTGGTGAGGTTGCAGAGAAAAGTGAACACTTATACATTGTTACTGGGAGTAAAATTACTTCAACCATTGTGGAAAGCAGTATGGTGATTCTTCAAAGAGCTAAAAGCAGAACTATCATTCAACCCAGCAATCCCATTACTGAGTATATACCCAGAGGAATATAAATCATTATATTATAAAGACACGTGCACATGTATGTTCATTGCAGAACTATTCACAATGGCAAAGACATGGAATCAACCTAAATATGAATCATTGACAAACTGGATAAAGACAATGTGGTACATATACACCATGGAATATTATGCAGCCATAACAAATAATGAGATAATGTCTTTTGTGGAAACATGGATGAAGCTGGAGGCTATCATCCTTAGGAAACTAATGTAGAAATATAAAATCAAATACTGTATATTCTCATTTACAAGTGGGAGCTAAATAATAAGAACTTATGAACACAAAGAAGGAAACAACTTTAGACACTGGAGACTAATTGAAGGTGGAGGGTGGGAAGAGGGAGAGGAGCAGAAAAGATAACTATTGAGTACTGGCCTTAATGCCCAGGTGATGTAATAATATGTACAACAAACCCTCATGACACCTGTTTATCTATGTAACAAATGTTCACATGTACCCACAAACCTAAAATAAAAATTAAAATAAAAGATCACCAATGTTTTTACAAAAAAAGTAAATAAAAAAGCAAGCTTTTAGATTTATTAATTTTATTCTTTTTTGTTTTCTGTGTCATTTCTTAAATCTATAAAAGCATATTCCCCTCCAAATATGTTTCTATTGGGCCTAGGATTTGTAGCAGTAGCTGTTAGTTGCTTACCCAATACTCAGGCTCAACTTTTAAACTAAATAACAGAATCCTGATATTAATTTGGACAGCAATATGTCTTTTTTGAAAACTGCATTTCCCAGTCTCCTTTCAAGGTAAGTGTGACCATGTCACAATGTCCTGACCAATGAATTGTAAATAGAAGGTGGAGGGTGAGACTTCCAGATGGGCTTTTAAGGGAGTTTAACTTTGCCTTTCCTACTTCCTTCTGCTGGAGTATGGATGTAATGGCCAGAGATTCAGTAGCCATCTTGTGATTTTGAGAATGTCATCAATGTTCAAAGGATTGTATTGCAGAGGGTTAGCAGAAGGAACTTGGGTCTCTAATGTCTTATGAGACCTCCAGACCAGACTTGGGATGCTCACCTCTGGATTTATTTTTTCATATGGGAGAGAAATAAATTTGTCATCTCATTCTGTTTCACCACAACCTATTGTCAACCTAGTAGCCACATTTACACTTTTAAAGTGAAAATCAGATTACGGTTCTCCTTTGTCCTAATCATTATTTGTCTTCACTTCTAATTTGGTGATTATTGATATTGGCTTTTTTGGTTTGATGCTTTTGTCTTAATATCTTTCATAATGCTTTAATTTTTCACCTTTTTCTGTCATTCGGTTTTAGGTGTGACATAAATTGATTAGTATAAAATTTAACTTTGTTTAAATTCAGTATTTAATAATGAGAGTTTTTATTGAATACTTACTGTGTGTACTGTGCCAACCACTTTTACATGTTTATTTTTCTGTTTTATCTTCAAACTGTCATAGATTTTTATCATAAGTTATCAGGTATACTCTTATCACCATTTTATAGATAAGAGAATTGAGGCTAAAAGAGGTAAAGTGATTTGTCCAATATAAAGCAGAGAAATAATTTGAACTGAAATATCTCCAAGTCCTAAGATTTGCTCTGCCATCTTAGAGAGTCCATGACTTGTACACATGTACTGTACAAGTACTGTTTCATTAGTATTTATGATTATCTTATATTATGTAATGTTTTTTGTTGTTGTTCAATTTTTTTTCCATTTTGCTTTATTCAAATTTTCCTTCAATTTCTGTAATTTATCTACTGAGGGGCTGGACTAACCAATATAGTCAGAGATTTTCTGGAAAAGCAGGACTAGTTTATTCTAGACTAGAGAGCTTGGAATAATCACATTGTTATCAAGATGCCTGCACATGGCGCCCTGCATAGTGTTGGACAGAGGAAGGATGTGAAGGAGAAAGAAAAGGGGATAAGCCCGGGTGGCTTTCTCCTTCTGTTACTTTCTGAAGAGGAATTCCTAGAGGTCTGAGAAATTTACATTTGAACCTGCCTTCAGGTTGTTATGGAGGACATATTTTTCAGAACAGAACTGACATTTTATTTAACAGTTTGTTAACTGGATTTGTAATTTTAAGATATTTGAAAAGATGGTTTGTCAGTTTCCATTTGTACTCTTTTTAAAATTATTTTAATAGCTTTTAGGGTACAAATGGTTTTTTTGTTAGATGGATGAATTATATAGCAGTGAATTCTGAGATTTTAGTGTACCCATCACCCCAGTAGTGAATATGGAACCTAATGTGTAGCTTTTAAATTATAAATTTGGGGTAGTGATCCACCTCAATTTGAGAGAGTTACTGGGAAAGGTAGATCATCTGAAGAAGCCCAGACTTCCATTATGGTGGAGGAGGAGCTGTAGTAGGCAGAAAAATGGCTCCCTCAAATATCCTAATACTCCCAATCCCTAATCCCCAGGATCTGTGAATATGTTATTTTACAAGGCAAAAGGGACTTAGCAGATGTGATTATGTTTAAGGATTTTAAAGCAGGGAAATTATCCTGGATTATCTTGGTGGACCCAATCTAATCATATTGAGGCCTTAAAACATGAGAGCTTCTTATAGCTGTGGTCAGTGAGAGATGGCAACGTGAGAAGGGTCTAACACCCTGATTCTGAGACATACGACCATGAGCAACGACCAGAAAGAAGCTTCTAGGAGCTAAAGGTCCCCATTGCCAGTCAGCAAGAAAACACAGCTCTAATCCTGCAACTGTGAAAAACCGAATTCTGCTCATAGACAAATGAGGAGGACACAGATCTCCCTAGAACCTCCAGACAGGAACACAACCTGCCAATACTTTGATTTTAGCCTGGTGAGACTCATACAGGACTTCTGACTTAAGAACTGTAAGATAATAGATTTATGTGGTTTTAAGCCACTACGTTTGTGGTAATTTGTTAGACCAGCAAGATAAAACTAACATTGGGACCACTGTGGGAATAAATTAAGGCATTAAAGTAATTTACTGACCAAAGAATGGGGATTTTAGGGAAAAGATTGAAAATGTCTAGGGGGATACTGACAAAGGCTTCTTGAATTTCTGAAAATGTATGGATGATTTATTTTTTAAGTGTCATACCTTCTCTCATAAACTTACATGGCAATATAAATTTGGAGTCTTATATTGCCATGTAAGTTTATGAGAGAAGGTATGACACTTAAAAAATAAATCATCCATACATTTCAGAAATGTGTTAAAATAGAAATGATGTAATATGAAAAATATGAAACATCAGTTTGACAATTAGTCCTTAAAATTTTATAAACTAAAATTAACACTGTATTTTTATATTAATAAAATTCCACAAACCCATTGCTTTTTGTAATTAAAAAAATTTTAAAAATAACAAAATGAAGTTTATTTTTATTGCCATAGGAGATTGACAAAATAAAAATGATTAACTTTTGGCTTCCAGTCTACTTTTTCAATCTAGAAATATTCTAGAAATGACTTAGTCTTAGCCTCAGGGTAGAGCCCGGCTCATATGACCTCTTGAAAACTGCTCAAAAGAAAGGAAAAAAGACAGAAACAGGAACCAGACAAGAAAAAAAACCCTGCCTCTCTGAACCTTCTGTGATTTCATAGCACGAATGAGTTCCAATCCATTCCATTTCCATTCTAGTCCTGTATGCCCCACTTGTTTGGGAAAATTGTTCCTGACAGAGGGAAGGAAACAGACGGGAACTTGCCTGCGTTTTGCTGAGGTGCAGAAGAGATCTTTCCCAGAATTTCCTCCTGGCAAAAGCAGATCTTTCAATTTACATAAAAGTGACTGTGTTTTTCCTTTTACACGTACCCTTTTGATTTACATTCTTCCTTATTGACTCACTTCTTCCTGGCGTGTTAAAAATCACTCCTCAAATTCTAGAATGACTGAGAGTCCTCTCTGGCTCTTTTTCAAGCCATGCTTCTTCCTGACCACACTCTTTCTCATCAAAGGCTGCTTCGTTGTCATGACTGGCCTAGAGAATGGGCTCCTGCAGAGGCGTTCTCTGTGGACCTATTCTCTCTGCATGTTGGGGAAGTAAAACTTACTTATTGCACAAGTCCCTGTATGATATTTTAGTACCTAATATATTTTAAATATTATTTTTGTTAAAGAAATCAAATGTATTAAAAACAGCATTCTAGACAGGAGAATGTCAACTTTAAGAATAAAGAATGAGGATGATTTAGGGAAGACTTACAAACAAAATAAATGCATTAAGCTTTTGTATATTTAAATTGATGGAGAACACAGAAGTCAATAATAAAAGGACCATAGGTTTGAAATGAGATCGAACTACCTTTCACGTGAACATAAGTTCCATAACCTATTAGCTCTGTGACCTTTGGCTTAACACTTAACCTCTCGGAGTCTCAGGTTTATTGTTGCGATTGTCCCCATCTCTAAAATGGTGATATCTACATTATAAGGCAGTTGTTGTGAGAATTAAAACACAATAATTCCTGACACATTGAACAACTGTTTACTATCCTTTATGTGCATTAAGTGGGGGAACTCTGTCTTCTCACTTTGTTTTTCTCATGCTAAACATAGCAGCTACTGGCAGACATGCAAAAGATACACAATGAATGACTGAACAAGAGCAGTGGTGCAAATAACCTAGAATATCTGATAACTGGAGTGAATGGTATTCCTAGTGGTGGAAGTTTCCATGTGGCTTTCCATGGAATGAAATTTACATGATTCATGGTTAGCCATTATTTGCAATTAGATTGCACTGCTTGGGAATACAGAGGTGGAGCAGAAGGCCACTCGAGACCTTGCTGAACAATTAAGGGGCAACTGGCGCAGGACTAACAACCCTTATAAAAACTACATAGAAGTCAATAATTATGCCAATCCTTTTATACACATTCTCTTTTTCTTAATTTTTAACACCAGAATCAATGGATCCAGGCTAACACCTATGTAATATTATACTGTAGTTAGAGCTTTTCTTTTGGCATATTCAAATAAAGTATTTGTATCTTATAGGGCATTTTGGCCCACTTTGGGATTTTGATTCTTTTCTCCACAAAATCTTTAATCTCAGAGTATGAAAAGAACCCTAAAATCCAGAATTGAGCAAAAATTAATTGCAATGGCAGCTTCCATTTATAATGTCTAGCGCCCATGGTTTTTATAACGGGCTTTCACTTATTTAAAACCCTGTAGTGGGACTATCTTTGAGGTAAAACTTGGAGATCTTTTATTTAATGAAGATAGTAACCCAAAGAATAAGATAAACATTACCAGTGATTAGGAAAGTAATTGTTTTGAAAACAATATTATGGGTTATTACCAGTATTATTTTTAATCTGGATTGCTGTGGGTTGCACATAACCAAAAATCACTCATAAATATTTTAAAGCCATATACTTTGAGGACAGTCAATTAAATCTAAACGATACACTTGTTTTAAAATGACATATTTAAGCCTTCAGCTACAAGGGCTCTTTAAACTTTAGAATGGCATCATGTTTTAGTGGATCAATTGCACCAGAGAATGAATATGAATCATGCTTAATTTTATTAATCTATTTATATTGCTGCTTATTGTCTGAATAATCAAAATATTTTTGACTTTTAAGGAACCTAATGTTTTGCTGTTCTTTTGTTTGCAATAATTTAATTTAAGAAATTCATATCATATGTCACTTGTAAATGCCTACTATGAGTGGGAAAAGTAATTAAAGACTTGTGATGACAAATATTTCCACTCCTGATAGAATAAACCCAATGGATTTAAGCAATTTAACAAATAATTTAGCTTGTAATTTGTGTAGCAGTAACTATAATGAAGAAGAGAATCAGATTATATTTTTCAAAAGAAACAGAACAAACATATTTTTATTTAATTAAGTTGATTCATTAGTATATTATCATGACTAGCACAGTAAGGAAAGTAATTGTTAAATAATTAAATATAGAGGCACTCAGTAGTACAATATTGCATTGTTTTAATCAAAGTATCAGCTCCAATAATGTAGATACCAATGTGTTAAGGACCTGGGACAAGGAAAGTCAAATAGGTTTAGGGGACAGAGATGGTGGAAAGCATAGAAGTAGGTAAAGGGTAGAGATGATTCAGTGGTTAAGGCTGAGCTAGGGTTCTGAAAGCAAGTCCAAAAGGTAGGTAAGATAGAGGGAAAGAAAAGAGGGGAGGCTTATAATACAATATAAAAAGAAAATGTGCTTTGGAGTCCAATACGGATTGGTTCAAATCTCAGTTCCACTGATTACTTACAATATGACATCAGAGACCTAGTGAGCCTGTTTTCTCATTTGTGAAATGTGGATAATAATGTTTGCCTCTTAGGGTTAGTTTAGGTATTAAGATAGATAACTTGCATAAAACACCAACACAATACTTACTAAATGACACTTTTTTGTGACCTTGATACAGCATTCCATATTTATCTCATGTGTTCTCACCATGAAGGATTATCTTTGAATTAGTTCCCACTCTTCAGGAACTTACATTTTAATACACAAGAGAATGTGTACACAAACAATGACTATAGCATGAAAAATAGGAATAATGAACTCAGCTTGGATAGGCAAAAGAAACTGCACAGTGAAGGAGACACTTAATCCTTGTATATCCTATTATTGACTGCCTAAGGTAAGCATCTGTCTTAGTCTGCTCAGGCTGCCATTAAACAAAATACCACAGACTAGGTGGTGTTAAGTACTGTACTAGACATTTTTCTCATATTTCTAGAGGCTGGAAATCTGATATCAGAGTGCCTGCACCCTCAGGTCCTAGTGAGAGGGCTCTTTCTGGCTTGCAGATGGACACCTTCTCACTGTGTCCTCACACGGTATTCCCTCAGTTCGTAGAGAGTGGAGAGAAAGAAAGATCTCTTCCTCTTAGAAAGCCACCAATCCCATCAGGTTAGGACTTCACCCTTATGACCTCATTTAACTGTAATTACCACCTACAATCCCTATCTCCAAATAAAGTCCCATTGGGAACTTGGGCTTCAATATATGAATGGGAGGGGGCACAGTTCAGTTCATAGCATCATCTAGTCAGAAGCAGGCACCAAGACTTTAGGATTAAGGGACAATGGATACAGAATCCATGGAGGGAGTCTGAGCAAAAGAAGTCAGAAGCCTGGACAAGTAGTCTTGTCCACTGGTTATTCTTTACTAGAACTGGAATTCTTCACAATAAGGTAACAATTTTTCTCAGACTGGGGAAATTTTGCATATTTCCAATTTTTGGGGAAAAAGTCTCCAAGTGTGGCTATCTGGGGCCTTGTGGGATAGCTCAGAGGGAGCACACAGTTGGATAAATAATGATGGTATAGAAAGGGATGATAGGGAAACAGGTAGAACTGCTATCTCATCCATCTTTGATTTTTCCATGGGGCTTGGTACACTCAGCAGGTGTTCAATACATGTCAGTTTAATCAACTTGATAGGAAAATCCAAATACCTAAAAAATAAACTTTAGTTTTTGCCCCATTGGTGACAGATAGTATCTTCTTTTCAGAAGAAAAATAAAATAAAATTTCTGCTGTTTCAGGAAAGGTTAGGTATTTGTTAAAATAGCTGACTTATCTCTTCTACAGAAGTTTATATATGTTCAACTCAATGAAGAATGGGTGTAATGACAGTGCCTTGGTCTAAATTCCAATTCCACTTCCTCTTCCGTATGCACAAGAGGACTGCATTGTGCAGCCTTCCTTACGGTTAGATTGGATCCACACAACCAAGTACTGGCCCATGGGATATGGGCAGCAGTGATACAAGCCACTTCCAGGCCTGCCTCTTAAATACAGCTTGTGTGGCTCTGAACCTCTCTCTTCACTGCTGCAGGTAGCATGCTGTCTTGGAGACCACTCATTCCATGTTGTGAAGTTGCAAGACTGAGGGGGCTCATCTAACCTGCATTGGCTTTGCACATATGAGAAGGAAATTTTTATTGTGTTAAAGACATTTAGATATCAAGTATAGGTTAGCCTATTCTGACTAATACATTACCCTTTACATGAGTGAGGACATTTATTTTACCTTTTACTTACTTTTATTTTATTTGTTTTCAAAATAGCTTGTCTCAACCTACTAAATTGATTAATCAATCCTAGGGGGCTATGATCTGTAGTTTGAAAAACACACTTTGGAGACTGCTAGAGTTCAGATAAGGTAAGAAATGCTTGCCATGAAAACAGATGGACTGAATTAAATTCCTAAAGACTTTGGGGCTGTGGTTCAGACTAATCACAATGAGATGGTTCCACTCTCTCCTTAGACAACTAATATCTCACCCTTCTCCTCATTGATTGGTAATAATGGGCACCAACTCTAGAGACTTGTCTTTTTCAAAATGCAGCAAATACTATTCAAACAATGTTAATATTAATAATTCACTTCATAGAAAGAACAAAGAAATGAGATACTAATTTTAAAGTGACTGTGTTTCTTTTCTTCTGGATCTGTGATGTCACAGACTGCCTTGTCCTGTTTTATTTTCATGCACTGTCTTCTTCACTCTAGGTTCCCTACCTTTCAATTCATATCTGTGGCCTCCTGGAGCAGCATGGCTGTGGTGCATCCCCAGGAACTATGATCTGTCCAGTTGCTCTTCCTCCTTGAGGTTTGAATCTTTTGGGATAAACTCGAAGCCAGTTATATATTGACCTTTCAATTAACTCATATACTTAAGCTCCTTGTAAGAGAGGTTGTTCTTTATTATTTATTTTTAAGTAATATGTTACTCAAGCAAGAGGGTATTAAGCTTAAAGAGAGACAGCAGATCTCTACCACTTTTGAAAATGTAGGAAGTCTGGATACCTTAGTGTATTTTAGATTTAGATCTGTCTCAGCCCAACCTTCCATCTTTGGGTTTCAAATTATTTTAAACCTTTAGGAGGCTTTTTATCTACCCTGTCTCTACTTGAAAAATCAGAAAGGCTTGATGATAAGGAGCCAAGCAAGCTTTCTGCTGATAAGAAGTTACATTAAACTTTTTTTTTGCATTAAAACATCTTGATGTTTCAACATAACATAGCAAAAGAAAATATAAGACACATTTAGAAGTAGCTTCTTCATAGGTTCAAATCCTCTCATGTTACTTAGTATGGGGGAAAATGATGAGTAAATGTTTCAGTAAATGTGGTCATGCTCTTATATGAAGATTCCACAATCTGTGGACTTGCAGAGCAGGAATATTAAAGTTCTTACAGTTTGAAAGTATATTAAATTCACTAAGTGCCAGACAATGAGCAAAAGGTATAAATAATATTGTAATCAAATGTGCTGCTGTACTTTACAACAAGGCAGAGTCTACTAAGAGTGGAAATGATAAATTTATATCACACTTTTAAGAATAGAAAAACTATCAGAAATCATGGTGAAATTTAAAGTGCCATCTTTAGGGAATGTATTTGATTCACAATAAATAAATCCAAACTACTAGTTTCTACCTCGATTATGAAGAATGATTAGTATTTAAGACCACAGAAAATTGACATGAACTAGAAACAAAGATAATAGGTTGTTGGAGCCATGTTAGCTCCTGACATTTGCAAAGAAGTGGGAAGCATCAGAGTTATAAAGAAGTGGGAATCATCTGAAGCACACACACACACACAAACCCTGGAAGTCTATAGTGTTTCCTTTGTGGAGAGCAAATGGGAGAAAGAATAAAAGGTTCTTGAAGCCATGCCAAACGAATAAGGCATTTTTCCTTTTACTTAAATAGGAAACCATCAAAGAACCTTTAAAACAGTGTAGAGGCCTGATATGGTTTTTGCTGTGTCCCCACCCAAATCTCATCTTGAATTGTAGCTCCCATAATTCTCACATGTCACGGGAGATACCCAGTGGGAGGTAATTGAATCATAGGGGTGGATCTTTCCTACGCTGTTCTTGTGATAGTGAATAAGTCTAATGATACCTGATGGTTTTATAAAGGGGAGTTCCCTCCCCTACACATGCTCTCTTCCCTGCCACCATGTAAGACCTGACTTTGTTCCGCCTTTGCCTTCCACCATGATTGTGAGGCCTCCCTAGCCATGTGGAACTGTGAGTGAATGAAACCTCTTTCTTTATAAATTACCCAGTCTCAGGCATGTCTTTATTGGCAAGGCCTGATTAATTTAAAATTTCAATAGCAAGCAGCATTGTTAGAGATACATTGTGTGTCTCGATAGGAGGCAAAGAAGTTAGGGAGTATTATAGTCGAAACTAGGGCAGGGAGGTAAAAATGAAGAGTAGTGAGTAGAAAGGGTATATAAGGCAATGCAAATGTAGAATTGCAGAAATGGGGGACCAACTGAACACAAGAGTGAGGGAGGAGGGGAAGTCAAGAAATAATTACAGCTTTTCTTTCATTGTAACTAAATAGATGGTGGGACAATTAAAAGAACATAGTAAAGAGGCGGTTTGGGGGATAACGATAATCAGTTAAGTTTTGAACCCTTCGGGTTACATTTTCAAGTAAGATAGATCCAATCTATAAGTCATTGAAAGCCAGGTCCAAAAGTTCAGCTTTGATAAAGTAATTAGACAAGAGCTATTGAAGACTAGAATCATAGGATAATAAAAATGGTGCTACAGTATAATTTATTGCATAACAATATATATCATTTAGGAACAACTAGATTAAGAAAAAATCGATCGTTGAGAAGATAGTGATGTTGGCATATGGATAACAATGGAAAAATTTAGGAAGCAACCAGAGAGGGGAGATTAGAAATCATGTCATGTAAAGAACACAGGTCCCCTAAACTCAGGTGACAACTTTGTCTCAATAAGCGGAAGGTTCCTTCTTGAGATAAACTAAATCGCATAGATAAAAAGCATGACGAGTGGACCAAATGGAAGTACCTTCATGAAAATTATAAAAAGACACCTTCTTCTATGGGTGGATACAGTCCCAGTGTTGGGGTCCAACACTTGGCACATAGAGTGCAGCCTGAATTTCAGCTCCAATGCCGCTCCTTGACCCAGCTTCCATTGCAGCATGGGTGTATGGTTGGTGCTAGAGGTGACTGACTGGACATGAGTAAAGGAAGACAATCCTGCTGTGTTTTACTTCAAATATATAAAAAACTCTCTTGAGGAAGGAATATTCTACTTTTTCTAATGGCTTTACAGGACAGAATTATAACCAGTAGACAACTATTTTGAAATGACAGGTAAACACTTTAAGTAAATAAAACATCTCAAAAGCATGACTGATTTTTTCTTGGGAGACTGTGAATTCAGTTACTGAAAGTAATAAAATGGAGTCTGAATACCCAATTAATAAAGGTTTTATAGAGGTATTCTTTAAAAAAGTACTTTCAAGCCTGTGATTTTATGATTACTTACCAAATAAGCACTGTGGCCAGTAAATATATGATCACAGATAAGAGCTGACTATGGAACGGAAGAAGAAGAGCTTCATTTGGTTTTTGTAAAAGGAATAATCCTTGAACTACAAAGATTCAGGAAAAGAGTAGAAGAACCTCAGGAAACACTTAATTTTTTATATTTGCATATCAGTATAATGTTTACTACAGTTGACTGTGATTTTACATAGGTATCAGATAGCTTTAGCCTAAAAATCCTACTTGATAGATTATTTTAGTATGAAGAGTTGTGGATGAAATCCTGATTAGTCTTTGGCTAGATTATGTGCCTGCATTCCCATATTTTCTAACGTAGATAATGAAATCGCTAGTGTTGTTTTGTGCTTCGAACTCAATTGCTTTGATTGGATGTACTTTAGAGCTAGGACATCATTTCTATTTCAAAACGGAGGTCTTCAGTCAGGACCTGACTTTGTTAATAAGTGTACAAGTATAAAGTATCTATATTTCACTGAAACAAGAAAGTAAGAATAATAAACATCAAATACCTTGTTTTCACTGAATGTTAACTTGGCCAACTAATTTAAAGAAAATAAACTTTTTTCTGTAAACAATGTAAGTTAATAGAACAGTTTTTTTCCCCCAAATACTTCAGCAATAGAGAATGCTGAAAGAAAACAGAAAAATGGAAAGAGCCCACTAAGAAGGACAAAGAGGAACCTGAGCTAGCAGGTTAGTTACATAGCTAATGTTATTGCTTCTGTCTTTTCAAAAGATAAATAGAAGGTCAGGAAGATAAAGATCCTGTTTCCTGGTTCAAGAGGTTGCTGAGCATCTTGGAACATACTCTACCTTCCAAACCATAGCCCTCACTGAAGATTAGAAACAGTTTCTGACAGATCAGAATATCTAAGAGTTGGTGTTTTTAGCCAAGTAGAACATTGAGTCTAGCAAATATGTATACAAATACCTATTTCTGGTGATAGCAGTTTAATCAGAATTGTAAGAAATAGAGGAAAATAAACACTGGAAAAATCGGTGGTACAATGAACTCAGTGAAACTCAAACACCTTACTATTTGAAAAGAAGGACTCACGTTTAATTTGTAGGAAGTCCATTCATCAATATTCATTTATAGAATGTTACCATGTGACAGGCACTTAAGATAAAAACCGTAGCAGCAACAGCAATAACAACAAACACAATACCCTTTTCTTCATTGTTTTTTTTTTTTTATTTCCTTGTTGGCTTTATCTAACAAGCTAACTAAAAAAAACGACATTTCAATTCAAGTAACATTTTTTAAATGACTAGAAATGTACATCTTTATGGTACACCAACCGTACTTGAATTTAGGATATTATTATTGTTACTCAGTTGAAAGTATTGTATGTCAACATGCAGAAGTTATCTTCCTTAATTTTCAGTCTCAGTCAAAACACCTCAAGTGACTCAACTTAAGCTTTCCTAGGATTTATTCCATAAATACCTTTAACATATACATATGTAAACCCTAGGAGTGCATATCACTTTTTAATATACATATATGTTTAATTCATTGTCCCCATTTCTGAATGCTTTACTATGATAGATTCTGAGAAGTAGAAATCTTGGGTCAAAAGCTGTGAGTTGTTTAAGGCTCTTCATTCATAATGGAAAACTGCTTTCCCCAAGTATATCATTACTGGGCTTTCAACAACAATAAATATTCATATTCATATAGTACATTTTTATTCTAATTTGTTCTAATCACCATTTCTCTTTCATTGCTGGCCAAGTAGAACATATTTTTATAAGTCCATTAGCCATTTTCATTTCTTTTTTTCTGAGGATTGTTTTTTCTTGTATTTGGGCTCATTATTTTTTAGTAGATAGGTGGGAATTAAGTACATTAACTCTTTACCTTTTATATAATTTGAAAATATTTTTCTCATTTTGTTGCTTGCTTTTACATTTTTATGTTTTTTTTTAATTTTTGTTTTTGAATTTTTGTTTCTGTTTTGTTTTGTTTTTGAGGCAGGGTCTTGCTCAAATTCTCAGGTTCAAGCAATCTTCCTGCCTCAGCCTCCCAAGTAGCTTGGACTATAAGCATTCACCACCATACCCAGCTAATTATTTTTATTTTTTTGTAGAGACATGGTCTGACTATGTTATCCAGGCAGGCCTGGAACTCCTGGCCTCAAGCATTCCTATCACCTTGGTCTCCCCAAATGCTGTGATTATAGTCCTGAGCCACCAGCCTGATCCTTTTTCCTTTTATAAAATAATTATATATCTATTGTAGAAGATTTGGAGAATACATACAATCACATAGAACGGAATAAAAATTACCTATATCTCCCATAGATGGCTATTGCCAACATTTTTACTACAAATTTATCTAGTCTTTTGTAATAGACTTATATAACTATAAAAATATACATATTCTGTATTTAGGAAAACAGGATGATATTGTACATTCTGTTTATAACCAACTTTTACTTTTTACTAAATAATAGATAAGAAAAACTACATGTTTTTACAGCATGGTTTATTTAGTGTATCTCCTTTGAGAGATTTTTGGTTGTTGGCAATTTTCACCATAGTAAATAGAGATGCACATCCTGGTAAATAAATCCCTCTATTAGTAGTATTAAATTATAGAACTATAATTTCTTGTGAAAAAGGAGGCATTTTCTAAAGCTGCTGATGCATATAACCAATCTGCTCTCCAAAAAAATTTACACTGATACAGTAGTTTAAGAAGATGCTAGCTTCTCTATACTCTCAACAATACTTGGTATTTTTATTAAAAAATCACCACCAGAAAGTAGCTTTGCCAATATGTAAGTTAAAATTAGCATCTCCAGTGTTTTCCCTTTCCCTTGATATTCATTCTTCTAGTCATTCAACAAGTAATTATTGAGTATGACCATGGATGAGGCACAATGTTGAGTCCTGAGAAAACAATAATAACTCTTCCCTTTCTGAATCACTATTCTCCCTTTCTTGAGTCAAAGAAAGTCTGGACAAGGGCTTTTCCTCTCAAGTATCCAAGTATCTCAAGAATATACTATATCTCTCCTATTTCTCAATTATATCTACTCAGGACATTCTAGTTGGTTTCTATTCTCATATCGCCCCTACTTTAAGTGGTAGTTCCATATGCATGACCTTTTTTTGAAATTTTTTTGACACAATTCTGATTTTTGTTGAAAGCAGTGTATTGCAGAGGGTATGGACAAGCCAGTTAAACAATGAGCCTCTGGTAGCAATTGTGAGATAAAATTGAAGGGCGATTGGGTGTTGTAGAAAGAGGGTAGATTTTGCATCAGAAAGACCTTAGTTCTCACCCTTGCTGTGTATGTAACCTTGGGAAAATTACTTAGTTGCCTCTTTTGTAAAGAGTGGCTTATAACACATCTCAGAATAAAAAGTTCTAAAAGGGTACCAGCCACCTGGTAGAATGATGAATTTTTGGTTCATTTCGGCCAAAATTTGTTTGCTACTTGGTCTGTCCTCTTTCAACAGCCTTTTCTCTAGTTTTGTTTCCCTTTTTCTTCCAAGGCATCCTTAGCCTTTCCTAGTGGCCCTGGAAAAATCTCAATTTGGGATTACCAGCCTGGGCTTTCTTTCCTAAAGGATGTCTTATGTTATGACTCCATCTTCACCTTGTTCTTGCATAAAATTCTTTTCTCACGGGACCCTGTTTTCCATAGTGATTAACTAGTTTTCAGGGAAACTGTGAGTTTCTTAAGGGCAGAAAACATGTCCTGTATTTACTGTCTTTGCATCCTTGATGCTTACCTAGCAGTGTCTGGCAGACTGTGAGTCCTTGATGATTATCTGTTGAATGAATGACTACTCATCTAAACTTGGATGTTAGGGGCTCAGGTGTTAAATCTCAAGAACTTATATACTCTTAAGATATTCTTAAATGTTATTGTTTTCAGACATGAGGAAATCTGTCGGTTCTGTGTATACACACACATACACACACATATCCATACAAACATATATATATGTATGTGTGTGGATGACATGTGTGTGTACATGTATGTATATCCCATTTTGATGTCCTTTTTAAATTTCTTTACCTGAAGATATCCTACATACCTCAAGACTAAACCGAAATATCTTTGTCCCTGGAAGGCCTCTACAGGTCTCTGATGAAATAAATCACTCATTTCTCAATGCTCTCCAAGCACTTTGTCTATTTACTCCCATTGCCTTTTCCTTTGGTAGACTCTAATCTTTGGATTCTTAATGCCCAACATACTGAAAAAAAAATATTGAAAAAAGTGTTCACTAATCATTTGGCTGAATGAGGAGGGAGGCTAGGCTTAATCATTCATGTGGTCTTAAGTTTTAGCTTGTATAAAGGAGAAGCCAGTTTACAATGAACTTAGAGGGCCAGATGCAGTGGCTCACACTTATAGTCCCAGCACTTTGGGAGGCCGAGGCGGATTGCTTAAGGCCAGGAGTTCAAGACCAGCCTCTGTAACATGGCAAGACCCCCGCCTCTAAAAAAAATAATAAAAATAAAATGAACATGAATTTAGAGGATAGTAAGTAAAAAGAGGTAATGTGTAAAAAATAATTAGTGGTTAGGGAGATGAGGAAATAGAATAGATTTTGATTGGTGGTTCTATAGTTTACGGATGTATGTGTCCGAGCCACCTTTCTCCCACTCCAGCTGCCTCTAATCTCTGACTGGTGCTGGCAGGAAATCCACAACAGAAGGCAGCACATTGCATGGAATTTACGTTATAGATAATGCTCTGCCCTTATAGACATACTACTTTCAATTGATGATTAAATGCCAGGAACCATGGCAGAGCTAAGGGCAGATATTTATACCTCTAAAACACAAGCGGAGACCTCTGCATAGGAGTGGCCCTGCAGAGACCAAGTCCATGGGCATTACTTACTTAACTCATTAAAGGAAATACGTGGGTAACCAGAGCTGCAATGGAAGGCAGAGGAGTAAATAAGGACCAGCTTCAGAACCAAACTGGTTATCTTGAAAATCTATCACTTCACCCTTGCAATAGCTCATAACTCTGTATTGTAAGTAAATTCAATTATCATGCTTTTGATTCAACCTTTCAATCCAAGGACGATGTTCTTAAAAAAATTGGACTTTAATTTCATAAGCCTTCTAGGAGATGTTTAATCTTCTGAGAGAAGTCTTTTGTACTTCTGAGAAATTTTCATTTATCATATATGTCCTTAGACCATCACTGAGTCTGCAGGCTTTCCCCCACTCTTATCTCCATATTTTATACTGAATACCTATCTTCCACTTCTCAACCTTGAAACATTAGACAAAACCACACTCAAGTTATCAGTGGAAGAAATCTACCTGAGGAAAATTCTCGGGAGCTCCATTAATTGACAGATGGACACTTCCTGAATTTCCCCCAGCCCTCTGCCTGACTTCCTTACTCTGGGGTAAAAAAACAGTGAATTTAAGCACGATTGAAGAAAAAGGATTTAGGTTTGGGAAAACTTTTGTTTCTCTTAATATTTCTGCTTTGATTCCAGGGAAAAGAATGAATGTCATTGTTTCAAATACGAAGAAATCTGTTGGTTTTGAATTTGCTACCAGTTATCCACCCATGTGTGGAATCAACATATATAGGAAAGAAAAGGAGTCTGACTTCTTAATTTTAAAAAAATAAAACCAATGAGACAGCAAGTGATATTCAATCCTATTAAAGAGACTAAGCACAGACCTTTTAAAAAGTCCTTATGTTCCTGGCATTGGGATTGTGTGATATGGCTCCACAATTCAGGAGGACTGGAAATTACAGAACATCTGCAATGAAATTGGTTTTCTGTGGAAAACTGATGAATCACTTACTGCCAATGACTAGAAGGAAAAGCACTTGCTTATGCCCTTATGTAATGAATTTTTATGAGGTGAAGTTTGCTGTTTATAAAAAATACTTTACGCTGCTGTAGATGTAAAATAATAGAATTCAGAATTCAGAGCAATGCATTATTGCAAAGACAGTCACCAGCAGAATATTATCTGCTTACAAAACACCAAAACAGGGCTATTACTTTTATAATGGAATTAAAAAAAAACAAACTTCATCTACCCAGTTGGATTCTAGAAGAAAAAAGTATTTAAAGAGACATAGCTAAAATTGACAGCTCTGAAATTGCATGTATTTTCAAAGCAAAGTTATTAATTCTCTTATTGTGCTCTTGAATTCCAACTGTTTTTCTCAAAGCAAGAATGCCACAGGATATTTTAAATTAATAATGGCAATCCTAAGATACACTACAAACCTGAGGTGTGGCCTTTCCACAACATTATATACATGCATATAGAATTCTCCCTACGCTAATACCATCAGCTGCTCTGCTCAATCTTTGTGAACGGCTTGATGATCAAACTTCAAACTCTCTTGGTTTCTACAGACATTTACAGAGCATCTGTATTGTGTCAGTCGGTTTTTGGCTGTAGTGCCACAAAAATGAGAAAGATACAGTTTCTGTCCTTACTGAGCTGAAAGGCTATTTTGCTGTTTGAGAGAATCATCAAGTTGAACTGAGAAATATTCCACTAGGTCTGAGAAGGAAAACTAAGAAATAATGCTCACGATATTGGATGAGGATCCTTGCTCTTAAATTTTTTTTTTTGACCTCTATATTTAGTCTAGAACTAAGTATTTTTAAAGCAAGTAATTATAATTTCAATTAGTGAAAAAAATTGTAGTATTTTATTATTTTTGGTGACTAGAAAGGCACTCTTACAAATTGGCATGGATTTAAAATAGAGGCTGTCAGGAGAGGATGATATTTTCTGAGTGTATGGTGAGATATATTTACCAAGGAACCATTCTGAAAACCTCAAGAACAGTAAAGACTTCAGCTCCAATAATTCAGAATTGCGACTATTTATTTTATATATTTTCTTGACAAAGAGTCTTGCTCTGTTGCCCAGGATGGAGTGCATTGACGTGATCTCAGGTCACTGCAACCTCCGCCTCCCAAGTTCAAGCACTTTTCCTGCCTCCGCCTCCCAAGTAGCTGGGAAAGGTGTACACCACCACACCCAGCTAATTTTTACATTTTTTAGTAGAGACGGGGTTTTGCCATGTTGGTCAGGCTGGTCTCAAGCTCCTGACCTCAGGTGATCCACCCACCTCGGCCTCCCAGAGTGCTGGGATTACAGGCTTGAGCCATGGCGCCTGACCAACTGTGACTATTTAGATTAGGTCTCAGTTGAGATTCAAGTTTGCATTGTCTCTTATTGGCAGCCAAACCATAACAATACTCAGAAACGTCGACATTTTGTGTTGATATCTGGAAGAAATACAAAATCCTAGGTCAGACCCTGTATCTTAGATTCTTAGTTGTGGAAATATAGTGACTTTACAAGCTTAGGCAGTTGACAATATTAAATATTCACGTCAATTTTTCAGATCTGGTGTATTAGCTCTAGACTTTCCTACATACTTCTAAGTGATTAAAATGCATATATAGTATGGAGTTAGATATTTAATATGTAATTTAAGACATATGAAATAATTCAGACTTTCTACAGTTGTGATTGGCTATAAAGGCAGGTTTTATTTAATGCAAAAATAGGTACTATAGTAATTTAGAATCTTTTACCTCCTAAATTATCTCACATCAAAAAACTTGTTTACAAGTTGTGAAGATGTTTTATCTTTGGATTAACTGAAACAAAACTGGTCATGAAATTTTAAAGAAATAACCTGTTTGGGTCTTATTAAAAATAATTATATGCTCATTGTAGAAAATTTGGGAAATACAGAAAAACATAAAAAAGAAAATCAAAATTTGATTACTGAGAGGTATTTGTTGTTAGTAAAACATATTATGTACCTATTTATCTCATTGGTGAGGTCATAGTGTACTTAATTTAGTATCCTATTTCTTTAATTTAGTATTACATTATGAGCACTTTCTCATGTAATTAAAAATATTCATAAATATTTCTGCAAGAAATTATTTCCTGTTGTATTTGTATTACATTATTTTAGTCAACTAAATTGCTACACTATTTTATTTATTTCCCTATTGTTGAGCGTTTATGTTGTTTCACATCTTTCTTTATTATGAATAGTCTGGCACTAAACATTATCATTTCCTTCAGATAGATCTCTTGAAGTTAATAAATATAAACATGTCCACATCCACTCGATTTTGAAAATCAGTTTTACTTAACTAAGTAGATATACAATTTATTGGTTCTGAGGTTTCAGCGTAGACATAAGTTGAACCTGTTAATGAGAATATATTATTCTGCTGCTAATGAGAAGGGAAGTGAACTACCTACAGAATACTACACTTATGGATCTCCTGGCCTCAAAAGTGACTTCTCTCAACTTTATTTGACTTTTTATAGTTTCCAGAATAACAACTCAATTCAGGATTAGGTAAAAGAAATTATACAAAATGATGCTTACTTTATTTTTTCCCAACATTTTAAAACTATAAGCTTTTTTTTTTCTTTTTTGGAAAAGAGGGGAAATAAAAGACTACCTGGAAACATGAAGGCATATTCTCATATTCTGTCTTGTTTCATGATTTACATACTCTTTGAAAGATAAAAGAAATAGACATTAAAAAAAGTTGATTTTGTTCCCCCCAAGACGGGGGATTAGAGATTTTTAGTGCACCTCAGCCACTTGGAAATAGCAAGACAGTGCATAAAGACCAACTCTGTCAGCTTTAATTCAAGAAGGAAAGTAGGAATCCATACAAATTGTGAAGGACACCTCAGATTCTGATTTTATCAGTGTCCGGCTGATAAAAATGAGTGACCCCCAGTATGTGAAAGAAGCAGAGGGCCTCCCTCTGTAACTGACCTTTCCACTGCAGATTCAAGAAACCCAGGCCAAGGGAGAGCACTTTGCTTCTCCCAAAGCCAAGAGCTAACTTGGGGAGAGGCTTGGAGACTTTGTAAGGAAAAGACATTGGGAAAGCTGCAGGCATTTTCCCACACCCAGGACTGAGAGCAGAATGCCATTTTTGATCAGGGTGCATACAAAGTCACAGGCATTATTTGGTGACCTAGCAGCATAGCCATGCAGGCATTGCATCAGGCCAGAGACTGGAGCACCTGCTCTGGAGCAGAGTAGGGACTCCACAGCCAGAATTGTGGAAAGTGCCTCAGCAGTAGGTACTGGAATTGTGGTCTCCCCTGTTGCAGGCCTGAGGTAGGAGGAGATCTGGTACAGCTGCAGTTTCTCCTGGATGACAAGACTTGCAGCCAGTGCCAGCTTGGCAACCTGGAACTGGTCTGCATGTGTTACTGCTGGGTGCCCTCCCTGCTCTCCTGAGATTGTGGTGCAGTGGGGCCTGTTCCACTCCACCCCAAGGCAAAAATCTAGGCATCTGGAGCACCTACGTGCCTGGACCAGTAGCTTGGCTACCCCATCGTTCATGGACGTAGATTGTGGTAGAATAGGGCCCTTTCTGCTCCATGCCCAGGCAGATCTCCAGCTATTCAGAGCACTCCCAAGCCTGAATCAACAGCCTGAGCTGTCCCACCCTTCCAATGCATAGATCACGGTGTGGGTGGGGGGCAGCAGGGCTGTTTATACACAGGCAGATCTCCAGAGATTAGGAGCACATGCTCCCCTGGTTCAGCAGCTTAAATTGCCTCATGCTTTCTAGGCATAGATCATGGTACAGTGGGGCCCTCTCTGCTCCACATGTAGACAGATCCCCAGGCATTTGGAGTACCTGCTCACCTGAACCAGCGGCCTGAGCTAGCCCACTCCTCCTGGGCAGAGATTCTGGTACAGTGAGGCCCTCTCTGCTCCCTACCCAGGCAGATCTCCAGGCATCTGGAGCACCCACTCTCATGGACAGGGAGTTTAGGCTGCCCCTATCCCCTGTGCAGAGAACCTGGGGCTGAGGAAGTTTCCCAGCTCCATGCCTACGCATGCCTCTGGGTACCTGGTGACTTTGCAATGGATTCTCCCTTGGTACTGTTGCATGTGCATGCCATCAAGGGGCCTGCAGGCAGACCTGTCTAGTCCAGCCCTGACCATCTTGGCCCCCACCCCACTGGGGCTAAGGAGGGAGCTCAGATCCCTGTGTACTCTGTGAATAAGCCCATTGCCTGAGGCAACAGAGCTTCTCCCAGCATACAATGATCAAGTATATATCCAGCTGTGTTGGCCCAAACTGGCTCTTACCCATAAGCACCATCCACGGGCTCTTAGGTTGAACTGCACAGCCCAATATAAAACCTGACAACAGAAGTGCCTATTAGGGCAATAGAAGCAAAGCCAGAAGATCCTACATAGCATTCTCTACAGTGATACCACTTAGGGAGCAGGGGAAAGGGAAAGCGGGGAAAAAAAAATTATGTTGAATAGGAGTGGTGAGAGAGGGCATCCCTGTCTTGTGCCAGTTTTCAAAGGGAATGCTTCCAGTTTTTGCCCATTCAGTATGATATTGGCTGTGGGTTTGTCATAAATAGATCTTATTATTTTGAGACATATCTCATCAATACCTAATTTATTGAGAGTTTTTAGCATGAAGGGCTGTTGAATTTTGTCAAAGGCCTTTTCTGCATCTATTGAGATAATCATGTGGTTTTTGTCTTTGGTTCTGTTTATATGCTGGATTACATTTATTGATTTGTGTATGTTGAACCAGCCTTGCATCCCAGGGATGAAGCCCACTTGATCATGGTGGATAAGCTTTTTGATGTGCTGCTGGATTTGGTTCAGCAGGCAGGAGAAAGAAGGGTATTCAACTAGGAAAAGAGGAAGTCAAATTGTCCTTGTTTGCAGATGACATGATTGTATATTTAGAAAACCCCATTGTCTCAGCCCAAAATCTCCTTAAGCTGATAAGCAACTCAGGATACAAAATCAATGTGCAAAAATCACAAGCACTCTTATACAGCAATAACAGAGAGCCAAATCATGAGTGAACTCCCATTCACAATTGCTTCAAAGACAATAAAATACCTAGGAATCCACCTTACAAGGGATGTGAAAGACCTCTTCAAGGAGAACTACAAACCACTGCTCAACAAAATAAAAGAGGACACCAACAAACGGAAGAACATTCCATGCTCATGGATAGGAAGAATGAATATTGTGAAAATGGCCATACTGCCCAAGGTAATTTGTAGATTCAATGCCAACCCCATCAAGCTACCAATGACTTTCCTCACAGAATTGGAAAAAATGACTTTAAGGTTCATATGGAACCAAAAAAGAGCCTGCATTGCCAAGATAATCCTAAGCCAAAAGAACTAAGTTGGAGGCATCATGCTACCTGACTTCAAACTATACTACAAGGCTTCAGTAACCAAAACAGCATGGTACTGGTACCAAAACAGAGATATAGACCTATGGAACAGAACAGAGCCCTCAGAAATAATACCACACATCTACAACCATCTGATCTTTGACAAACCTGAGAAAAACAAGAAATGGGGAAAGGATTCCCTATTTAATAAATGGTGCTGGG
Source organism: Homo sapiens (assembly GCF_000001405.40). NCBI lineage: Eukaryota > Metazoa > Chordata > Mammalia > Primates > Hominidae > Homo > Homo sapiens. Next base: position 76,974,269 of record NC_000008.11, read on the forward strand.
AAAACTGGCTAGCCATATGTAGAAAGCTGAAACTGGATCCCTTCCTAACACCTTACACAAAAATCAATTCACGATGGATTAAAGACTTAAATGTTAGACCTAAAAACATAAAAGCCCTAGAGGAAAACCTAGGCAATAACATTCAGGACATAGGCATGGGCAAGGACTTCATTACTAAAACACCAAAAGCAATGGCAACAAAAGCCAAAATAGACAAATGTGATCTAATTAAACTAAAGAGCTTCTGCACAGCAAAAGAAACTACCATCAAAGCGAACAGGCAACCTACAGAATGGGAGAAAATTTTTGCAATCTACTCATCTGACAAAGGGCTAATATCCAGAATCTACAAAGACCTCAAACAAATTTACAAGTAAAAAAAAAACAACCCCATCAAAAAGTGGGCAAAGGATATGAACAGATACTTCTCAAAAGAAGACATTTATGCAGCCAAAAGACACAAGAAAAAATGCTCCTCATCACTGACCATCAGATAAATGCAAATCAAAACCACAATGAGATACCATCTCACACCAGTTAGAATGGCGATCATTAAAAAGTCAGGAAACAAGAGGTGCTGGAGAGGATGTGGAGAAATAGGAACACTTTTACACTGTTGCTGGGACTGTAAACTAGTTCAACCATTGTGGAAGACAGCGTGGTGATTCCTCAAGGATCTAGAACTAGAAATACCATTTGACCCAGCCATCCCATTACTGGGTATATACCCAAAGGATTATAAATCATGCTTCTATAAAGACACATGCATACGTATGTTTACTGCAGCACTATTCACAATAGCAAAGACTTGGAACCAACCCAAATGTCACCACTCCTATTCAATATAGTATTGGAAGTCCTTGCCAGAGCAATCAGGCAAGAGAAAGAAAAGGCATCTAAATAGGAAAAGAAGAGTGAAACTATTATCTCTTTGCTGATGATACAATTCTAAATCCAGAAAACCCAAAAGTCTCTGCCAAAAGGTTCCTCGAACTGATAACAGACTTCAGCAAAGTTTCAGGATACAAAATCAATGTACAAAAATCAGTAGCATTTCTATACACCATAACATTCAAGCTGAGCACCAAATCAAGACTACAATCCCATTCGTAATAGATGCAAAAATAAAAATAAAAATAAAAAACCTAGGAATACATCTAACCAAGGAGGTGAAAGAGCTCTATAAGAACTACAAAACACTGCTGAAAGAAATCACAGGTGATACAAATAAATGAAAAAACATTCCATGCTCCTGGATGAGAAGAATCAATATTGCTAAAAAGGCCATACTCCTAGCCCAAAGTAATCTACAGATTCAGTACTATTCCTATTGAGCTACCAATGTCATTTTTTAAATATAACTACAAAAAGGTATTCTAAAATTCATAGGGAACAACAACAAAAAAAGAGCCCAAATAGCCAAAGCAATTCTGAGCAAAATGAACAAAGTTGGAGGCATCATATTACTTGACGTCGAACTATATTATAAGGTGATGGTAACCAAAAGAGCATGGTACTGCTACAAAAACAGACACAAAGACCAATGTTATGGAACAGACAGCAGAGAAATAAAGTCACACACCTACACCCATTCTTTGACAAAGTTGGCAACAATAAACAATGGGGAAAGGACTTCCTATTCAATAAATGGTGCTGAGAAAGCTGTCTAGCCATGTGTAGAAAAATGAAACTGAACCCCTACATTTCACCATACACAAAAATTAAGTCAATATGGATTAAAGATTTAAATGTAAGATCTCATTTTAAGAATCCTATAAGAAAACCTAGGAAACACCATTCTGGACATCAGCTTTGGGCAAGAATTTATGACTAAGTCCTCAAAAGCAATTGCAACAAAAACAAAAATTGACAAGTGGGACCTAATTAAACCGAAGAGCTTCTGTACAGCAAAAGAAACTATTAACAGAGTACACAGAAAACCTACAGAATGGGAGAAGATATTTGTAAACTATGCATCCAACAAAGGTCTAATATCCAGAATCTATAAGGAACTTAAATAAATCAATATGTAAAAAAAAACTATTAAAAATGGGCAAAATATATAAACAGATACTTCTCAAAAGAAACTACACAAGCAGCCAACAAACATATGAAAAAATTTTCCAAATCACTAATCAGAGAAACGCAAATTAAAACCACAACGAGATACCATCTCACACCAGTCTGAATGGCTATTACTAAAAAGTCAAAAAACAACAGGTGCTGGCAAGGCTGTGGAGAAATGGGAATGCTTATCATACATTGTTGATGGAAATGTACATTATTTCAGACCCTGTGGAAAGCAGTTTGGAGATTTCTCAAAGAACTTAAAACTGAACTCCCATTTGACTATGCAAACTCATTAGTGGGTATATATGCAAACGAAAATAAGTCGTTCTACCAAAAAGACACATGCACTCCCATGTTCATCGCAGCACTATTCACAATAGCAGAGACATGGAATCAACTTAGGTACCCAGCAACAGTGGACTGGCTAAAGAAAATGTGGCACATATACACCATGGAACACAATGCAGCCATAAAAAGGAACAAAATCATGTTATTTGCAACATGGATGCAGCTGTAGGCTGTTATCCTAAGTGAGTTAGTGCAGGAACAAAAAACCAAATACCACATGTTCTCACTTATAAGTGGGAGCTAAACAACCAGTATTCATAAAGATGGCAATAATAGACACTGGGGACTACTAGGTAGGGAGAGACAAAGAGGGTATGAGTTGGAAAAAAAACTATTGGGTACTATACTCAATACCCTGTCACCTGTTACCTGGGTGACAGGATCCACTATGCTCAACCTCAGCATCATGTAATATATGCAGGTAACAAATCTGCACACGGTACCCCCTAAACATAAAAGTTGAATTTTTTTTTTTTTTTTTAAGACAGAGTCTCGCTCTGTTGCCCAGGCTGGCAACAGAGTGTAGTGGCTTGATCTCAGCTCACTGCAGCTTCTGCCTCCTGTGTTTACGTGATTCTCCTGCCTCAGCCTCCCAAGTAGCTGGGAGTACAGGCATGCATCACCAAACCTGGCTTTTTTTTTTTTTTTTTTTTTTTTTTGTAGAGATGGGGTTTTGCTATGTTGGCCACGTTGGTCTTCAACTCCTGGCCTGAAGTGATCCACCTGCCTTGGCCTCCCAAAGTGCTGGGATTACAGGTGTGAGCCACCGTGCCCAGACAGAAATTTTTTTTTTTACCAAAGAAAAATGTTTGCTAACTTATTTGTGGTGATGAGTATAAATGTAGACTACATAGTAGTTCTAGCTGCAGAGGACCATGGATCATCAGTTGTATATACAATATGGCCAATTGGTTTGGCTAAAAAGCTTGTTTAGAACTGTTTTCTTGCTGAAAAAGATCTTGTCTTAAACAGTAACAACGCTTACTGAATGTTTTTTGCTAAAACTGAATGTTTCAAATAAACCAAATTTTTGCCTCTAAGTGCCATCCCATTTTGAAGGCTTCTCGAACAGAGCAATACTAATTTCTGCCTTCTTAACCAAATCAAACAGAATATAGGGTAGATTTCATTGATGATACAAGGTCATTTTTTAAAACCACAATTACTATTCACAGTTAGTCCTCAGAGCCTGTGTGTCCCACTCTAAATGATACCAGATTAAACTCTGTTTTTAAGTTTTTCTTCTTTGATACCAAGTTGTTCATTATTGCTTGTTATGGTAAACCATGCTTGCTTTTACCAGTTTTCCTCTTCTCTTTCGTCTGTTATTTTTAATCTGTTGGTGAAAGTTGATTAGAATTCTATTCAAAATAAAGCAGCCTCTTACTGGAGACTTGAGAAACTGTCCCATGAGTATAGCTTTGGTGATAGAATCTATTAAAATCTATTTAGGTTTCTTCAGGCTTTATTTCAGATTGCAGACCATTTCAGTGATACTGTTAATGGAAATAACAATCATGGCTCATGTTGACTGTTAGCAATAGCCTTTGACCTGGTTTTCTTGCTTTGACTCATACCTCTGCACAAATTATCCAGAGTGATCCCTTAAAAATGTAAATCTGATCATGTCACATCTCTGCTTAAAATCCTCCTCTGGCCTCCTCAGAGCTGGAATAAATCCAGGTATTTTCCCCCTGGCTTGCATGACCTCACCTCGCCTACCTCATTTCCCACCTCTTTCTCTGGTTCACTGGGATTTCTTGCTGTTCCTCAAAAAGGTAAGACTCATCTCAGAGACTGGGCGCAGCCATTTCCTTACCCTAGCACCCCTTTTCTGCTTGGCTTTCTCCGTTTCCTTCATATCTCTTTTTAAGTATCACCTCAGAGAGGCCTTCCACAAGCACACAATTCAATACAGCAACCCCTATCACTCCCCATTTCAAAGCCTGTTTTATTTTCTTCAGAGTACTACTAACATTTGAAATTATCTTTATTATTTATCACCCCTCTAAGAATGTAAACTCCATGAGAGCAGGTGTTTTGTGGTATTCATGAATGCATTCCCTGAGTACGGAAAAGGAATGTCTGCAGGGGCTCAATAGATAATTTTTGAGAGAATGCTTTATTTAATTCCCATTAGAATTCTAACAGGTAGACATTATTGAATGTCCATTTCATAGGTGAACAAATTGAATCTTAAGTTAAATGAACTTGTCCCAAATCCAGTCACTAAATACTGAAAGCAGGGGAGCTGAGAGCAAAGTAGTAGGACATGCCTTGTGTGAGCTCTGATTGATATCTGAGTAATTTAGATATGATCACTGAAGTCACTTGGGTACTTTAAATACAAAAGTAGCAAACTTGATTTGAGAGCAAGTGCAAGGGAGAGAAAAGAAAAATGTTAAGTGTAAATGTTTTTATTTTCCTAAGGAAGAACACTTGTAACTGATGGTTACATACTTGAGGCTAACATGGAAACATATCATGTAGCTAAATCCCATCCAGTTTTCCTAAAGCTTGAGCCTGGAGCCTGCTGGGGAGTAGAAACAGTCGCACCAGAGGTATAGCAACTCTTCTGGCAGTGCCCAGAGAGGCAGAGACTGAATGGAGTTCCTGGGGGCTGTCATAGCAACTTGGCCAAGAAGTCTGGTATTTGTAGTGGGGCAGAGATACTCAAGAGACACTTGGGTGTGTCAGTCATAAATCTATTGTTTATAAACGAACACTACCTGGCATTAGTGTGTTGTTTGTCCAGTGTACTATATGCAAGAAAAACAAAAAAAAAGGAAACCAGAAAGGAAAAAATGGACAGTATTAGATGTGGTACACACCAAGATATGCCACCTGGCTCCTCCTGCAAGGATGTACATGGTGCCCAGCTGTGGAATGTGGTCAGTGGACTGCCTCCAGCTGTTGGCTCCCACAGGATCTGCTTCCGCTACAGAGCTGCCATGCTTGAGATCACAACCTTCCCAGAGCTGCCCACACCCAGTGACTGACAGAAGTGTAGGTAAAAAGGCCTATTTACTTTGGCCTAATTTAGGACATTCTGACAGATGACACTAGCTCAGAGCTCCCCTCTGGGCTGGCCAACTTTTTTCAGGCCTGCTTTAGAGTACTCTCATTTCTTCTGCCTATTCCTGCTTTGCTCTTTCCCTTCACAGGCATGGATCCCTGAGAGTTATACATAAAAATCTCTTGTACTTCAAACCCCTTTCAACGCCAGCTTCTGCAGAACCCTATCTGCGACCTTAGGTTTATTCAGCTAATAAAATGTTTCTATTGCTACACTAGAACTAAAAGGCTCTGGCTATCTAGTGATGAACAAAATAGTCATGGTCTCTGAACTCATGGGGGTTATCACCTAGTAGGGGTGGCAGATGTTAAATAAAAATGAAAAATAATAAAAACCTATTTTTACTAAGTGCCATTAGGGTCTGTGGAAAAAAACCACCCCCTACCCCAATACTGACAAGTCTATCAGCTGGCATATATGTAAAGTACTGTTTTCTTAAGATTTTGAGAATATGGATAACTACTTAGAAGTTACTCTATCAAAATAATACAATTGTTGATATAACAATTTTGTTGACTTTATTTAATCCTTTCAAATCTGCAATGTTAAAGAATCATCCAGTTACTTATGAATGTCCTTATCAAGCTAGATCACTGGTAAAATGAGACTGCAATGTGGACTTTTGAAATGAGTAAGGCAAATGTAGACTCTAACTAGTAGAGATCTGCCAGCATCCACCCTTCTAAGAACACCTCAGTTTCCTGTGGTGAACGGCCTCCTCCAGGACTCCTTTAGGTTCATGTGGTATATGGGAGGAGCATCACCTACATTTAAGTAACCAGGAACAGTATTTTCCATCCCCTAGCTATAGTGGCTGGTTCAGGAATGTGCACATAATCCAAGGCAGACCAGTAACAGTGAGCTCCTGGACTTTAGCTGTAACTATTAGGCAAGAGTATCTCATGCCAGTGGGATCAGAAAGCTAGCAGATTATAAGCCTTGAGCTTCTAGCGGCCATCATTCTGTGTGAGAATGAAACCGACTCAGAGTAATACTGACAACAGCAAAGGAAAGCACTACTATTATATTCTATTTACTATGTGTCAGGCATTGTTTTAAGAGCTTTATATACACTAAACATGTAATCCTTACAATGAACAGATGTGCAGAGATGTGGCACATTGCCCTAGGTTATACACAAGTGGGATTTGAATTCTAGCGGAATCTGTGTCCCTCATGCCATGTACACTCATCAAAAAAATGAGAGCCAAAGGATAAAGCCTGTCTCAAAGAGAACCATCTGAGCACCTACATCCAGACTGGGCCTGCAGTGTGCAGCTGGACTCTTCACTTAATGAACTCAGATTCAACATTGCATTATTCACAACAGAAAGTGAAAAGAACCTAAATGCTCTATGATGGTGGTTAAATAATAATAGGAATAGGAATATGATGGCATATACATAGCATTTTAAAAATATATTATGGCTGGGTGCAGTGGCTCATGCCTGTAATCCCACAACTTTGGGAGGCCAGGGTAGGAGGACTGCTTGAGCCCAGAAGTTCAAGACCAGCCTGGGCAACAAAGTGAGACCTCATCTCTACAAAAATTAGCCAGGCATGGTGGTATGGGCCTGTGGTCCCAGCAACTTGGGAGGCTCAGATGGGAGGATCGCTTGAGCCCTGGGAGGGAAAGGCTGCGGTTAGCCATGATCACACCACTGCACTCCAACCTGGGTGACTGGGTGAGGCCCTTTCTCACCAAAAACAAACAAACAAACAAAAAACAAAGACGTTTGTATATATTTTTATTTTTTTAGAAACGAACTCAAACTCCTGGGCTCAGCCTCCCTAAGTAGGGAGCCTGGGATTACAGGCATGAGCCATTGTGCTCAGCCCTAAAATAGTTTTGAAGAATATTTATACATAGGAAAAAATGCTATTTTTTATGCATTATAATAATTTTGTAAATAAGAAATGTACGTGCAACAAATCTACAAATATAGTAAAATATAGTGATGATCTCTCTCAAAAAATTGTGGGAAAGTTGATTTTATATTTTTTCCTGAATTGTTGGTGTTTTCTACAATAATGTTTTAAAATTACAGAAGGCAAAAGAAGGCAAATTCTTAAGATGTAAAATACTCTTAACTCAAACTACAAAACTTCTTCAGTATCTTACACTAAATTGAACCTAAATTAAACTTACAGTTCATTCAATCACAGAATGTAAACTCCATGAAGGTAACTTGATTTTTCCTGCTTAATATACTGTTGTGCCTCTAATGGCTACATCAGTACCTGGCACCTGAGTACTTGTTCAATGAAAGGTGAAGAGAAAAATGAACTGGCAGTGTATTTCCATCATACTAGCAAGATGTTTATTTAAAAACATTTAAAAACTGTTTTTTAAAAAACATTCTAGTTAAGACGAGATAATTCAATGTTCAAGCTAATAATTCTATACCATTTTAAGAGTCTGAATTTACTTTTAAGTAAAAAAAGGCAGAGAAAAAGAGTGAAGGATACAGAATTATCTTGATTATGCACTGCTGTTACTATTCCCATGCTAAAGACCCCTTTTGTTTCAATAAAACTATCAATATTTACTGAGAATGACAGCTCTGAATCAAAGGCAAGAGAAAGAGACCTGTAAATAGTGCTGTTCATACTAGTTGCCCCCAGTAGTTCCCAGGCCTCACTTCCAAGCTGCCTTAAGTAATTTTTACTTTCTGAATATAAAGCCAACTGTGGAGGGGTCAGACAGCTGAGGACTGAACTTCTTAAAAATTGGCTTCAGAGAAAAGCATAACATTACAACTGAGGCGGCCAAGCACAGTGGCTCACGTCTGTAATCTCAGCACTTTGGGAGGCTGACGCAGGTGGATCACCAGATCAGGAGATAGAGACCATCCTGGCTAACACAGTGAACCCCATCTCTACTAAAAATACAAAAATTACCCGGGCATGGTGGCATGCACCTGCAGTGCCAGCTACTCGGGAGGCTGAGGCAGGAGAATTGCTTGAACCCGGGAGGCGGACGTTGCAGTGAGCAGAGATCGCGCCACTGCACTCCAGCCTGGGTGACAGAGCAGGACACCGTCTCAGAAAAAAAAAAAAAAGTTACAACTGAGGCATCAGGTCTTAAGGTTTAAAACAGTCTCATAATTGTCACATTATCATATTATGTCAACTCTGAAAATAAATGCACACTCATCCCAGAGTCTCCAAAATCTTTATCTTTAGAATCCAACCTTGTTTTAAGAAGTAGTAAAATGAAGGAGCATTGTTAGTAGTCACCTGACAAAAGCTGTCCATTATTCTTGACATTAAAAATTGAATGCAATGATTTAAAAAACATAATACATTAACATTTACATAATATATTTAGAATCACATGGTTTCCAGTGATTAGATTTCAGTCATGCCTGGAAAGGAGAAGACAGTGGCTAGGAGCACATTCCTTATAAAGGATACATAAATGGTATACTTAGGATGACTAATATTAAGAATTTAAACACGGTGCATTTTTTTCCTCAAAGGAAGCAATTTTAGTTTCTAAAGAGCATTTACTTCTGACATCTCGATTCCTGATTTCAGTGGCTGCAGACTGTGTACTTCTGTGCCACACTTAGGACAAGTAAAGTACACGTCAAATAAGAAACTACTCTTAGCACAGAAATAACAGAAAATATGCTCACATCCTATGGTGTGAGGCATGGTGGGCCACTCTCCACATAGAGCGCATTCTTTGCCACTGGTGGCTAATGTATTGTCACTATTAGGTGCACCAGTAAGAGGAATACACCATGAAGACAGCTTGGCTTTCAACTTCTGGACATTGATAAGTGGTAAGAGAAAAATCAGAAATTCAGCAAAACCATGCCAGAGAAGTTCCCTATTCATGTATTCAAAGCCAACTTCACATATGTTTTGAGGCTTGCAAAATACAGAATGAATACCTAGGAGACGTTCTGTCAAAGTTGCAAACTTTCCCCTCTGAAGGAAAATCAAAAAATTAATCAGCCCACCTAATTTCAAAAGTCCAATCACAAAATTCACACACTGCTTGACTTTCCCAAATGATGCTAAATGATGGTTTCGAAACAAATCATAGCATCGTTCTTCTAACCACCTGCCACCAATTGTACAAACAGCATACCAGATTTTTTGATTTTTACTGGGTGGCTGATATCTCAGGTTAGGGGAAAAATCATTTTTGTACTTAATATTCAAAACTGACTGTCCCACTGTGGCATTTTTGGAGTAGATGGTGAATCTCCACAAGAAAACCCATAAGCACGCTTTCACCTCTGGCTCAAAGCGAGCTAACAGCCCAGGTTTAAATCCATGAAAGCACTGAGTAAACTGGGACCAAACTAGCTGCTCCAGGGCCTTGTTTAGTTCAAGTGCATCCAACTGGCTTATTCTTAGCACTCTGTTTGCACTCTTCGCATTCTCTTTTCTGGAAGCCATGTCTTCTCTGAAGGTCTCTAGGAAAAAATACAATTGAAGAACATTAGCAAAGAGTTGCAATCTTGTACAACCTCCTCAACTTATGCCTGGAAACTGTCATACACAAATTACACAGGACACATAGGCGATGAGCGTTTCAGTAGTCTCAAATAGTACAGCGAATAATCACTTCTTACTTGAAACTTCTGTCTCGTCTCTCAGAGCCTTTCTTTCTCCCCCTGCCTTTTTTTCTTAATTTCTTTTTCTTTTTTCTTGACCCTCTTCATCAAAGAAATAACAACAAAACAAAACAAAACTGTACCCTCTTTCCACAAATATACTTCTAAGCAATACTCTTTGGTCAGATATTCTAGCAGGGAGACATTAAAATCCTGAAGCTAACAGAAAGGAGGCTGAATAACATGACTAATGAAGAGATACAGGAAGGTAATAAATACAACAACTATATAGAACATTGCAATAGATGGTTAAGTCAAGACCTCAGTTTATTTTCCAGCACTACTACTGACTCCAAAGGTGTTATTTTTTCAGCAAGTCATTTAATCTTTCTCAAATACATTTTATATGTGTAAAGGAAGTTAAAAAGAAAACTAAATGAACAATACATGGTTACTATTCTATCACGCTATTGCCGAAAATAAATAGTACTAAATCTTAGTATGAAGGAACAAGAATGCAGAAATATCATTATTAAGGTACTAAAAATGTATATATCACACAGTACTCTAAGAAAACTATGATATAAAAATATATACCACAATAATGCCATAAATAGACTAAGGAAACAAATTGGTGCTAAAGGGAAAAAAATTTAAATGAAATATAAGAAGCTGAATGGTTAGCTAGGTACAGCTTACTGATTCAATACACATATATTATTATAAATATGTATTATGTGCAAGCTGATATAATTAAAACACCAAGTCACTGCCATAATCCAGTATATAGACCAGTTCAGATATTTTAAATATTATTAACTGGCAAATCCACCCATGACAAAAAAAAAAAAAAAATGAGGCTTAAATTTAGTTGCTAAAATGGACCTCAGTATGATCTCATTTATATGTGGATTCTAAAAAAGTCAAACTTATTGAAACAGAGAGTAAAATGGTGGTTGGTAGGGGCTGGGAGGGTGAGAGAAATGGGAGATATTAGTCAAAGGGTGCAAATTTTCAGTTATAAGATGAGTAAGTTCTGAGGAACTCATGTCCAGAATAGCATAGTTAATATGCTCTATTGTTTCTTTGAAATTTGCCAAGAGCAAATCTGAAGTGTCCTCATCACACACATACACACAGGTGGTAAGTAACTACGGGTGGTGATTGATGTAATTAACTTGATTGTGGCAGTCATTTCACAATGGATACATATATGAAATCATTACATTGCACACTTTGAATATATACCATTTTTACTTGCCAATTATACTCCAATAAAGCTAGGGGAAAAAAACACAAAAAAATTAAAATGGGCTATCACCACACCGGGCTTGATTATCATGTCTAGGCCTTTAAAAAGCCAATACCCTAACAGAAAGAATAGTTACTGAGGGAGGCATGGATCCTGCTGGAGCTCACTGCCACGGTCTGGTCACATATTCTTCGACAAGTCATTTCCCCTGACCCTGACCTATGCCTTGGTTTCTTCACATATAAAACAAAGGGCTGGAGATAAAATGACCTTCAAAGTCCTTTCAAATTCTACTCTGTTATGATTTTTAGTAAAAAGATGATAAACACAATTTATTAGAAGGTAAAGTAAACTTGTACTTCTTGAAATTGGGAGTATCTTTGACAACCAAAGTTGTTTTCAAGAGGGAAGTTCTAAATTTACCCATGCATCCTAGAAGACTTAGTGGCAGAAGACTACATGTTTAACAAGTTCAAGTCCAGGAAACAAAAATGATCAATGAATAACAGGTTGTTTGGAGCTATTTTTCTCTCAAACCAGATATACAACAGGAATGCTTCTCACCATAAATGCCAATGATCTTCTGGGGAGATCTCACCTTTTTCCTGTTCCTGCAGCTCCCTCAAGACTGGACAGCCTATAGCTATGACAGTGGGAATTTTTGCTCCAAGTTCTTCTGTGAAATCCTTGCCTCATACTTGCCAGAAGCTACATACAAAAAAGAATAAAGTTTAAAAGGGAGTTCCCTTTCCTCACTCTACAAATCAAATCCATTGCCAAGGACTGTTGGTACGTGGTCCAAAATTTTTCCTAACCCATCTGTCACTCCCTATCCCCCGCAAGCCTTTTCCTGAATTCTGGCTGCTCTCCTCTCTCATGGATTCCATCAAACTGGTCTACCTTACCTTCTGCCTCCTTCAGTGCATTCTCCACACTGCCAGTGTTCTAAAACACAAACCTCCCCAAATCCACTCCCAGCTTGCTTTCCTTCCTTACGCATCACATCCAGTCAAAAAGTACCCCCTTCTCCTGTTCACCAGTAGACTTCACTGTCTGTTCCCTTTGTGTGGAACAGTCCGTTTCCAATCTTTTAACTGAAAACTCATACTAAGATTTTAAGTACTGGCTCAGACATCACTTCCTGCTGACTCCAAATTTGGGTTGCTGCCCATCTAGTTGTTCCCTTGGCACTCTATTCTTTCCCTTTCTTGGCCTCTATGTACTGTACATAAACTACTTTTAAATGGTTTATTTCCTCCACTAGAGGATGAGCCTGTTGTGAAGATTATTTGAGCCTTATCACAGTTGAATCAGAACAACTATCTCAGTTCCTGGTACACAGAAGGCACTCTACAAACACTAGATAAATGAATAAATGAATAGGATGAAAGTCTGGGATGTGTGAAGGATAGAAAATATCAATTCCCATCCATTACCCTTTAAAACTATTTCAAATTACCATATCCAGAAAGATGATTATTACTAATTTCACCATGTTTATTGTGCATCTGTTATTTACCTGTTAATATGAGAGCTAGTGATATAATGGTACAACAGACACTGTTTTCAACCCTTGTGGAGGGTTGTGGAACGAGAGAGAAAAGTAAAGGTGTGCTATATAAAATAAACAGGTGATTACAATAAGGTGCGATCAGTGATATGCAAGGGAAAATTCAGGGCACTATGGTTACAACTATACTTCAGAAGGTCAGAGAAGGCTTCCTGGGAGAGGCAATACCTAAGCAGCCACCTGATATTAGCATGTCAGCCTGGTAAAGGAGGGTAAGAATACTATTGCCAATGGTGAGAAGAGTAGGTACTAAGGACTAGAGGTGCACAGATGAGATAAGGCTGGAAAGAAGCAGGAGACAGGTCCTAAAGGCCCTAGAAGCCAAGCTGAGGAGGCTGTATTTTATGAGGAAGGTAACGGGAAGCCCCCAATAGTGGTACGCAAATAACTAGTAAGATTTACATTTTAGACTACTTGTTCTGGCCACCCTGAGCAAGAATGGAATAGAGGCTGAGAGAAAGACTGGAAGCATAGAGACGAGTTAACAGGTTGTTAAAATGATCTAGTGAGAAACTAATGATGGCCTAAATTAGAAAAGTATCAATGGGGACAGAGAGAAAAGGGTTATCTTTGACAGCGGTGAGGTGGTAGAAGTGACACTATCTGGAGAGAAATAAGCCAAGAAAAACTGACTTAAGTAATTGAGTGATAGTGATCCAAGTCCCTGAAACAAGAAATACACGAGGCAATACAGGTTTGAACAGAAAGAAAATATATACATGCAATTTTAAACATCTGAGGATCCTATGAGACATCTAAGTGGAAAAGTTCAGTAGGCAGTTATGTAAATATGACAGAAAAAATCTGGGTAGAATTTTAGAAGTCTGATGCCCCTCTGGTAAAACTAATCTATTTTAAATCTACTTGATCTACATAAGTGCTAAAATCAAGAAGGCAGTGATTTAAAACAAGATAGATCTTGTCTATTTGTAACACATTCAACTTTCTTTGTAACAACGTAATCTTATTCTGGTAGTTTTTAACTGCTAACAGATATATGTGTCTATGATAAAGATACATATATCTCTGGGCTTTTAATCCTTCTAAACTGTGGTCTTCACCATCACAGTCCTGTGGTCTCTGCTCCTCTAGTCTAGTGGTTTTCAAACTTGTGACTTCATCAGAATCACATAAGAAAACAGGCATACCTCAGAGACACTGCAGGTTAGGTTCCAGACCACTGCAATAAAGCAAATATCACAATAAAGTAAGTTACACAACTTTTTTGGTTTTCCAGTGCATATAAAACTTATATTTTCACTATACTGCAGTCTATTAAGTGTGCAATAGCACTGTGCCTTAAAAACAATGTACATACCTTAATTAAAAATTACTTGATTGCTAAAAAATGCTAACAACCATCTGAGCCTTCAGTGAGTTATAATCTTTTTGATAGTGGAGGGTCCTGCCTTGATGTTGATGCCTGCTGACTGATCAGGGTGATGACTGCTGAAGGCTGGGGTGGTTGTGGCAATATCTTATAACAACAACAAAGTTTGCTGCATGGATTGACTCTTCATCTCATGAAAGATTTCTCTGTAGCATGCGAAGCTTTCTGATAGCATTTTACCAAGAGTAAACCTTCTTTCAAAACTGGAGTCAACAGTCTCAAACCCTGCCATTGCTTTATCAATTAAGTTTATGGGATATTCTAAATCCTTTGCTATCTTTTCAACAATGTTTACAGCATTTCCCCAGGTATAAACTCCATCTCAAGAAACCACTTTCTTTGCTTATCCATAAGAAGCAACTCACTGGGTGCAGTGGCTCATGCCTATAATTCCAGCCCTTTGGGAGGCCAAGGGAGGATTTCTGGGCAACACAGGGAGACACTGTCTCTACAAAAACTAAAAAAAAAAAAAAAAAAAATTAGCCAGGCGTGCTGGCATGCACCTGTAGTCCTAGCTACTAAGGGGAGGCTGACGCAGGAGAGTTGCTTGAGTCCAGGAGATTGAGAGGCTGCAGTGAGCTGACTGTGCTGTTGTTCACCAGCCTGAGTGCCAGAGCATGACCTTCGTTTCAAAAAAAAAAAAAGAGGGGAAGCAAGTCCTTATCAATTCAAGTTCTATTATGAGATTGTAGCAAATCAGTCACATCTTTAGGCTCCACTCTAATTATAGCTC
Source organism: Homo sapiens (assembly GCF_000001405.40). Lineage (NCBI taxonomy): Eukaryota > Metazoa > Chordata > Mammalia > Primates > Hominidae > Homo > Homo sapiens. The sequence goes on from NC_000008.11 coordinate 76,989,282, forward strand.
TCTTACTATTTCTATCACATCTGTAGTTACTTCCTCCACTGAAGTCTTGAACTCCTCAAAGTCATCCACAATGGTTAGAATCAACTTCTTACAAACTCCTGTTCATGTTGATATGTTGACCTTCTCTCACGAATCATGTTCTTAATGGTACACAGAATGGCGAATCTTTTCCAGAAGGTTTTCAATTTACTTTGCCCAGATCCATCAGAGAAATTGCTATTGGCAACTACAGGCTTAAGAAATGTAGTTCTTAAAAAAAAAATATAAAAGTCAAAATTACTCCTTGATCCATGGGGTGCAGAATGAATGCTGTGATAGCAGGCATGAAAACATTAATCTCCTTGTACATCTTCGTCAGAGCTCTTGGGTGACTAAGGTGCATATCAATGAGCAGTAATATTTTGAAATAATTTTTTTTGAACAAGTCTCACCTGTGTGCTTAAAATATTCAGTAAACCATGCTGTAAACAGATGTGCTGTCATCCAGGCTTTGTTTTTTTCATTTATAAAGTACAGGCAGAGTAGTTCTAGCATAATTCTTAAGGGTCTTTGAATTTTTAGAATGGTAAATAAGCACTGGCTTCAACTTAAGAGCCACCAGCTACATTAACCCACAACAGGAGAGTCAGCCTGTCCTTTGAAGCTCTGAAGCCACATATTGGCTTCTCCTCTCTAGCTATCAGTGTTACATGGCATTTTCTTCCAATATAAGCCTTTTGTCTATCTTGAAAATATATTGTCTAGCGTAGTCACCTTCATCAATTATTTAGCTAAAGCTTCTGGATAACTTGCTGCAGCTCTGATGTCAGCATTTGCTGCTTCAGCTTTCATGTTTATATCATAAATGGTTATTTCCTTAAATCTCACGAACCAACCTCTGCTAGCTTCCACCTTTTCTTCTGCAGATTCCTCACCTCTTTGTCTTAAAGAATTGAAGAGAGTTAGGAACTTGCTCTGGATTAGGCTTTGGCTTAAAGGAATTTTGTGGCTGGTTTGATCTTCTATCTAGACCACTAAAACTTGTCCCACATCATCAGCAATAAGGCTGTTCACTTTCTTTAATTCATGTGTTCCCTGGAGGATCACTTTTAATTTCCTTCAAGAACTTTTCCTCTGCATTCACAACTTGGCTGTTTGGTATAAAAGGTCTACCTTTTGGCCTGTGTTGGCTTCTGACATGGCTTCCTCACTAAGCTTAGCAAAATCTAGCAAAATCATTGCTAGATTTTGATTTAAAGTGAGAGATGTACAACCCTTCCTTTCACTTGAACACTTAAGAGGCCATTGTAGGCTTATCTTAATTGGCCTAATTTCAACATTGTTGTGTCTTAGGGAATAGGCAAGTCAGCAGAACAGTCAGAACACCCAATATTTGTTAAGTTCACCATCTTATATGGATACAGTTCTTGGTGCCCCAGAATATTTATAAGTTCACCATCTTATATGGATACAGTTCGTGGTGCCCCAGAACAGTTACAATAGTAATAACAAAGATCACTGATCACAGGTCACCACTAAGAATATCATAATAAAAAAAAGTCTGAAATATTGCCAAGAATTACCTAAACGTTACACAGAGACACCAAGTTGAGTAAATGCTGTTGGAAAAAAAATTGTGCAGATAAACTTGATTGACTCGGTTTGCTACAAACCTTTAATTTGTAAAAGCAGTATCTGCAAACCAGAAGAAAGCACAGTAAAATATAACGAGGTGTGAACTAGGCTATACCAAGTAGGTTTGTGTGAGTACACCCTATGATGTTCGCACAATGATGAAATCATCAAACTATGCGTTTCTCAGAATGTACCCCCTTGATAAGCAACTCATAACTGCATCTCTTCCTCAGGTTCCTTAGTGATATTTAGTGAGAAACTGGTCAGAGTGAGTGGTTTGTCAGAAGAATCATCTATTTCAAGTTTCTTGTTTTTGGAGGAATTACACTTAAAAACATTCAGTAAAAACAGGAATTTTTAATGACTGCCAGAAAAGGAGACCTAAAACGGTCTTTAACCAATACAATATTTAACAATATTTATTATCAAAAAATTCTTTCTTATCCCTTCTGTTACAGTTTAACATTTTTTTCTTTCTTCTTTTCCTCCCCAGGCCTGGCCTCAGTGTAGATTAGGAACAGCTGGGTTTGCTCTCCTCCCTACGTAAGACTCTTTAATAGACCAAAAGACTATTATTAAACTGTTCTTCAGCCTTTGCTCCTCCAGATGAATAATTTCTCTCTATTTTTTGTTTTAGGTTTTATTTTCCAACATTTTAGTCATTTTTGTGACTTCTTTTAGTTGTAAACATAGAACAGACACTGTCTATTACACACCATAGTTCATTAAAGTGGAATACTTCTCCCATGCTCTACATTCTTCTTTAGGCATCTGTCACAGAGTGGAAAAAGCAGATTTAAAATCAAACAGGCCTGGGCTCAAGTTCTAGCTCTGTCACTTACTTGCTATGAGATCTTAAAAAACTTCATTAGCCTCGGATTCTTCTCCTAAAAGTTGGAAATAACAGCTACCTCACAAAGTTGTTGAGATTAAACCAGATAATGTTACGAAAGTGGTTTAGAAGCCATAAAGCAGTATTATTTATTACATTATTGTTGCTTTGGCTAGGGATGAGCATGAAAAGTAACAGGCCCCAAACTAATTTTGGCAAATCTCATTTCGAAAGACTGAAACCTTCACTGTTAGTTATAGTAATGCCTCAATCAACCTGTATCAAAATGTTTTTCCAGGAAATATTGACATCATTAAGACATAAATTGTGGCAGTTAAACCACAAACATAATGTCACCCTTATGTGTGCACGTGGGAGGGGCCAGGCAGGAGTGGGCAGAGATATGATGGTTCAGTGGAACTCACTGCCCACTTAACTTGCACCTTGTCTGAAAGGATATGACACAGTGTGGATAGAGAAAAGAGATGGGTTCCCGCATGACCTGCTCCTGTCATTATTTAGCCCCTATCAACATAGTTGTGCCTGTTATCTTGAAGTAAAGAAACCTCATGAATGCACACTTACAATATTTGACTCTAGGGTGCTTTGCTGCACACAACATGGTACAGGCAGTCCAAGACAAGCAACAAACTTGTATTCATCACCAGCATATTACATTCAGTTCTTCCTCATCACACATACTCCCACCCCACTCCTCTCTTTCTGGCAGGTACAGCTATTCTAGAATACTCTCTTTAGAAAAGGGCAGCAAAGGAGTAGAAGAAAATGATGAAATCAAAATAACTAGAAATTCAATTAACCCAATTATGGAATCTTCTTCCCTCTACAGCAGTACAACAAGATTTGTTATAATAGGTATGAAGCATAAATGCCATAAACGACTTTATATCACATAAAATTATTCCCAATATAGTGTAAGCAGTTTGTGTTTTAGTGAATTCTAATTCTCTGACAAATGGTTACTCAATGTAACAAATATATACTGGACACCTATCAAATACAAGGCATTCTCCTAGGTACTAGAGATTCAATCTAAATATTTAACTGTCAGCTAGCTTCCTTTTATTCAAGCATTTTAAAAGACATAGGAAATCAGGACTGGCCATTGATCTCTGAAGTGAAGAATGGATCCCAAAACGTGAAAACATTATAAAAGATCACAAAACTTTCCAGGGAGAAAAGAGGAAAATGGTATGTAAGGCAAGGGAACAGGCTGTGTGAAAGCCCAGAAATAGCAAGCTCCTGACCATAGCCTAGCTGGGACATACGGACATGAGTTGCACCATGAGCTACATCCTTGGTTATTTAACCCCCGTCAATGTGGCTGCATCTGTTATCTGGAAGGAGACAAGTCATCTGTCATGACCAAAGCAGGCTGGCAGGAGAGACTGGCTGAAGTGTCAACCTAGCCACATTGTAAAAAGAACCTGTGTTAAGGAAATTGTATTGATTCTGTAGGCATGAATAATCATTGAAGAGAAGAGACATAATGGGATATAAATTTCAAAAGATTAATCTGACGGCAGAGTTCAATAAAACTGAAGAAAAGAAAAACTGCCGTTCTGGGAGACCAGATTTATAGGATTCCTGCAACAATTCAGGGGCCTACCTATGATGCTAACAACTTCCCTGAAAAGTCAAAGTAATTTAACTTACTTAAGAACCATGGAAATCAAGAGGAAGACTATACTATCCTTTCACATTTTTGGGTCAAAAATTCCCAGTGCTTTTGGTAAACTAGTACTCTCCTTACTTCTGTTACAAGGATTGCCAACACCCATGCCCAACCACTGGTAAGTCTATTTTGACTTTACCTTCAATCATTTAAGTAAGCTTTAACAATTTCTATATTATTGGTCATTGTAAATTAGTATTTAGTTTTATAAATGTAAGCTCAAACTTGAATATTTTTAAAAATTACAAGCTGCTTTTTGTAAAAAGAATTGCTTTGAATTGAACCACCATTAAATTTAATTCTAATAGATTTTTCCTATTCTACCTTTTCATACACAATCCTACCAGCCACCCACTCCTGCAATTCTCGACCTATACTAACTTTAAGATTCCAAAATGCTAACCCAGGGGAGGGGAGAGAGATATTTATTGGCTATGCAAAGAGATATATAAAAATATGTAACTAAAATTATAATTGGCAGTAAATAATCTTAGCATTTAGTGAAGGATTCTACCATGTTAAGGATATGTGAAAAAGATGCTTAAGGCAAAATCAAGACCAGATAAAAAGTATAGCATCTACTAGGGTTCGTGTGATTAACTTGTCACATAAATATGTTTAAGACAAAATGATCTAGTACTAAAAACTATTAAAAGGGTCTCCTGCTGACATTTTATCACTAAACATGTCACACTGCTTTTCTTTCACAGAAAAAGACAACTAAAAATTATTTACTAAGAGCAGCAATATATAACCTTATCCCTTAAATAACTCATGCTTTCCTTTTATGTTTTTCATATCCCAAAATAAAAACTTTGCCATCTATATCACATTCCAAAAACTAAACAAATGACTGTATCTCACTGAGGAAGAAGGAATGTTTCAGGATGTATTTTATAGTTTTATTGAGTATAGTACAAATTATGAATGAATATATTTTCTTTAAAAACATGTTATTGACAGAAATCTATCAATAATAATGTGGGTATTGTCAAGGGCCTGTCAATATTAACGTAATTATGATTAAGGGGATAACATGGATTTTAGCTATAATACCATGTAACATCTCCTACATCGCTGCTATCAATATACACATTATTATTGACCTGTTCCAAGACTCTCAGTATTAGAGGTATTACCATTAGGCATATTTGTCAATGCATACTGTCTACAAAATTCTGCATTTAAATTTACAGTCCTGTAAACTTTGTCAGCAGAAACGTGATTCTCAAGTAATCTCTACTGTGTCATACCCACTCATGCACCCCCTGCCAGGCTATTCTTTTCCATCTCCACAATAATAAACTAAGTTTTAGAATGAAAATGTCACTGCCACACCATCTTAAATGTTCTGGCAATCAAAGTGGATGAGACCACGTTCATTGTTTTCTCTTTCTGAAAATGTTAAACTAGCATTTCATATTATGAGGTTATATGAATAAAATTCTATGACTAGACATCTTAAGTTTTGAACCTATAACCTACTATTTTATTTCCTTTGTGTAGTCAGATAGATTTACTGTCCAATGTATTGAAATCAATACTAATAAATGGGACGTGCATCAAAGAGGGATTTAACTGGACACTGATTCCCAGAACACGTTTCAAATATGGGCAAAAGAAAAAAGGCTATGGCTGAAGCCCATTAGAACACTGTGACCTCTGGCACTGTGAACAGGCCTAACAACTCTTAAGTTCAAATCCCGCTTCTGTCACAGACTTGCTAAGTGCCTTGTCACTACTTTCTCGTTCCTCTCTTTCACCATACATAAACTAAGTTTTAATAGTTTATAGACACCTGATGTTGTAAATCCCAGTTGTGCTCATTTGGGTATAGCCAAGATATGTGAAATTTTAAAACTGTGTTATGTCCAACAGACCTCTAAATTACTTTTAACTTCAATGAACATTGCCTCATCAAAATCCAAATAGGATTTTTCTTTTTGAAGTGGTAGTGGATACATGACAAAACATTTCTAAAATGTATCTGAAAGATAAACTTCAAAGTTGCACATATTTCTCAAAAATATGGACAATGGTAAGTAACCTGCCCTAGAAGAGGGGAAAATATCTTTTTTTTTTTGCATTTAGGGAGAAGAGGAAACTCAACACAACTCAAGATTATATTGAGTCTTACACAATCAACTGAGTGCCTTACTTATCTCATACACAATATAGTTATTCAAGTATCTAAAACTAGCACAAAATACTTTTTTTAAACCTTAGAAAAGAATTTCCAATACTTGGGCCTAGCTTTATAAGTATATTTTTAAGATAACAGCATGGCACTCATATTTTTTTCTTTCAGAAACCTGATACTTCTGAGTCTGAGAATGCTTATTGTGAAAATAAAGAACAGATGTTGGAGCGAGTATTGGGGAAAGCAGAGTTAAACTGCCTCTGATTAGCTCTGTATTCTAGCCCAGGTTCACTAACAGATTGTGTGACTCTAGACAAGTCATTTTATTACACTATACTCTTCATTGGCTAAAAAAAGAAACAAAAAAAAGCAACTGTAAGTTTACCTACCTATCTAGAATCCTTATAGAAACTGCTTTAGGAAATCTTGCAAGGGAAAGGGAAAAAAATGAACAGCTATTTCCAATTGCAAAAGAGCAATACAGGACATGAGGAAAATAGAGAAATCAGAGCAGGACACAGGAGACAGAGACAGTATTCATGGAGAGTAACAGTAAACCACTAAGGAAGACAATCCCAATGAACTTGTTAGTTTACAACCAGAGAAAACACTTAACACCTACCAGTTACTGAGTGCTAACAAGTGACTACTATAGCTAATTACCAAGTACAAATTTAAATATTAAATCATTTAATCCTTATAATACTAATAAAGAGCTTCTGTTATTACTTCTGTTCTAAAACAAGGAAATTGAGGTGCAAAGAGATTAGATGACTTGTGTGAAATCCCATGACCAGAGGGGGCAGAACCAGCTCTAAACCAGCGTCCTATACTGACAACGCGGTAATGGACCCAAAAGTTAAACATAAACACTTTAGGATGGTACCACAGGTCACACAGATGGGGCTACCTTAAAGAGGCCAAGTACTAAGAGTATAGGCACAAACTATGGGAAAAACACTAGTGCGAGTATGAACAGGACACACATGAAATGTATGAGCAGCTAGATGTTTAAATACTCTATAAATAATTTAAAAATGGGCTTTAGAATCTAATTGCTTAAGAATTCTAAATGACTTGAAAATAACTGGAACAAACATTTAATTGCACATTTTATGGTACAAGAGAACACGGAAATATCCCCAAAGGAACAAAGAGCCATTAGCAATGGAATAGGAGGAACTACCATGTGATACATATCATGTACAAGGCACTACAACTTTTCTTTACATTCTTTATTTCATTTAATCCTCACAACACAGTAAGTACAGTATTATCATCTCCATTTTAAGAAGATAAAAATTAAGGCTTGAGAAGATTAACAACCCATCTAAAGTCAAGCTGGTAATAAGTAAATTTATGGTAAACATCAGAAAAACTGTAGAACATACAAAATACACTTAGTAGAATGGACATTTGCTAAGCTTGGATCAAATTTAATCCCACAGAACTCAAAAGAAATCTTTTTCCCCTTCAAGATCATTCAAAAGACCAGACTGCCAGTCAAGCTGTCAGGACTGTAGATGGGGAAAGAAATTAAAGGAATGAGGTAAAGTTTTCCTTGTTGCTTGGGATGTATTTTGTCTATATTCCTTCTCCCTGCTTCACTATACATGTGGTCAAAGGACCATTCAAAGAACCATGTCAAATCTGAACAAAAGGAATAGATGAGTGAAAAACTCAAGGTGTGAACATTAACTATTACGAACACATACATGCAAGGTAGAGGTAATGCCAACTCATTCATCTAACACTAAAAGACAAGTGGGCCGAGGTGGGCAGATCGCCTAAGGTGAGGAGTTCAAGACCAGTCTGGCCAACATGGTGAAACCCTGTCTCTACTAAAAATACAAAAATTAGCCAAGTGTGGTGGTGCACACCTGTAATCCCAGCTACTCGGGAGGCTGAGGTAGGAGAACTGCTTGAACTCGGGAGGCAGAGGTTACAGTGAGCTGAGACTGTGCCACTGCACTCCAGCCTGGGCAACACAGCAAGACTCTGTCTCAAAAAAATGAAAAGACAGTGGTTAGGCATAATCAAAACACCATTACACTTAAGTTCTTGGTTGTTTTACTAGTAAGAAGAAAGAAAAGATAACTTGGATGGAATTTTATCTCATCTTATTGACAGGCAGTAATAAGGGAGATGTCTGATAAAAAGAAAATATATTAAATTGAGTAAGAAGCAACATAGAAGAAGGTATTTTTATTGTATAGATGGGAATATGTTAGGAAGAAGTCTAATATCCCACACGGAGAAAGGCAGAGGACACTAGACATCCCTTCTTTGCCTCCACTTCCATGTAAAGAAACTACAGGGCTGGGTTTAAAAGAGCAGGATTACAGACAGGGCAAATGGAGCAATTTAGGGCTTTTCTCCTGAGGTTTCTTGTACATTCCAAAGGAATAGAAAAGGAACATGAAACATTTACAAACTGTTATCACTTCACAGAAAAGAGGTACAGAGAACATCCAATTTGCTTCTAGGTTGTCCAACTCAGATCATCAAAAGAGGAAAAAATGAAATAATTCAAGAGAGAACTTCTGGCCAGAAATAAAGATTGTGTACATTCACACATTTTCCTTGTGCTATTGGAACCTGAGAATGTGGATGGTGTGCAAGAGGGAAAGAAACTTACAATTATTTGATGTTGTGAGAAAAACATGGGGCTAGGACTGAGCTCTTTTAATGGGTGTGATGATGAGCAAGCCTGCTAATACCTTTAACGTTCAGGTACCAAATATGTAAAATGAAAAATACTTGTCCTCCCTACGGCAAGAATCATTATGTGCATCAAATATAAGCAAAACTTTTATGGCTAAAATAAAAGGATATGGAGAAGAAGGAATAATAAATTCTAATTCTGTTCATAAAGAAAAACATTTCAAATTTGTATTGATAAAATAAATTGAAACAGAATAGGGACATATTTGTAGCTTTTAGAAATAAATTAGCTGTGAATATATTATTTTTAAAAACTGTAATAAATGTACATTGAGTACAAATGAATAATTATCCCAAAAACCAGAATTTTAATGCTAGAAGAAAAGGCAGATCATCTCGTTTAAGACATAAATTTAATCTTCTTAACAAGAACCTTGTTATTCAAGCGGAACACCTAAATGGCTGCTCTTGTTAAAATAAACCTGAGGGTGGGCTTGCTTTGTCTCTCCCTGCACGGCTCCAGAAAATTTCTACACAAGTTCTCCTATGGAACAGTTTTAAAACCCCAGCTTGAGTACTAACACTAGTTTCTAAAAATAAGGAGAATACGGCCAAGAGGTAAAATTGTACAAAGGCAACTAGAGTCAGGACTAGAATCCAACTGTCTTGATTTAGTCTAATACTCTTCAGTCTACTAGTCTAGTATTCGCTCTATGTCCTGTTACTTCTATTTTTTTTTTTAAGAAAAAAATATGAAGGGTTTTTTTTTTTGACTCTGTAAATAATTCTTTCAAATCTCTTTCTGGCTCAAGATCACTCAACTGTAATCTTTCTGGAAACAAGTAATTGATAATATAGGTGAGATCAGATAAGTTAAAAGAGCCACCCCAAGTTCATTCTGTTCAGGATTAAGTAAAGGTAACACTTTAGGGGAAGGTGTTTAGACTACAAGCTGCGGTGTTGTGAGCGCCCAAGTATCATTTAATTGTCCGAAACGTCAAGATAAAATATTTCCGAGGGGCATCACGGAAGTTTAACAGAATGTGTTAGACTTGAACGTTCAACAGCTTGCTCATTTTGCCAAAAGCCCTTTCACTAAATGTGGGAAATTTGGAAAATGGTACCTCAATAAATAAACAAACAACGATTTTTAATTTAAGAACCCAGGAAAAAATGTTAACAATTCTCACATTCAGATTTCTTATCAAAAGTCAACGTGAAATATAACTAATTTATCGCAAGCAATTTTATCAGAAACTTTTCATTATCTCTTCCTCCATAAGAAAACCAAACTGCATTTACGTGCGCTTTCAACAGTGTTAGAAAACTAAGCACTCAAATTTTTTGTACTACATATAACACTTTACATGAACTTTCAGATATTAAGTAAAGTTTGGATCCTCAATTCTTTATAAAGCCGTTTATAAGAGGTAAATATCTTCACGACCGCCAAATGAGAGAAAAAGATTTCGAAGTTCGTCTCTTAAGTTACTACGTGGAATGCAGAGGGGCTCAACTGCAGCTGTGTGTGTGTTTATTTTTAATGCCGCGATCCTAAAAACATCTTTAGGAGTTTAGGTTTGCTTCACTGCCTTTCCCAAAATTCAGCAGCTTTGATTTGCCTTTTCCAGGGAGACAGGAAGCCAATAAACAGGGAAAAAAAAGCAAACGGCGACAATTACAAGGTCGTGAAACTCCACGACCTCCCAGCTGAAAACAAGACCTCGGGTTTGCACTCCGGCTCTCTAGGGCAGACACTGACCTTAGGAGTCTGCGAAACGCCCACGCTCCACGTAACTTTCTCTGAAACATTCTCTGGAAAGCTTGTCTTTTCCTAGCCGAATCTGGATTACCAAGGCTTCCGGAACTCGCAGGCTTCCGGAGCGACGCAGGAGCCGGAAGTGGCTGAAAAAAAAAAGAAAAAGTTACACCAACGAGAACTGCGCTTTAGCGGCGCTGCTGAAGGCACTGGATGGCCAAACAACCGCGAACGCCGACAAGCCGAAGAGCCGAAGGGCCGAAAAGCCGAAGCGGACACCCGCGCGCGGTGATTGGCCGGTTGGCCGGAAGAACTCTGTCTCTGATTGGCAGGAGAGTCACGAACCGGTCAGCCCCGGGTCAGGGGCCGCAAGTGAGGACACTACAAGTGTCGAGGGGCCTAGGGGAAGCCGGGGCTTGGGAGGGCAGGGCTTTCTCTGCTTGCGGACATCGCGAAGGGCCTCTGGCAGGCGCCGCCGGGTGGCGGCGAGACGCCTCCGCGCCTCCGGGGTTCCTTGTTCGCTGTCGGAGGAGGACCGGCTGAGGGATGGCCTGGTGGGGAGGGAGCCCTCGGGCAGGTGGCTGCGTCGGGCCTGGGGCAGTTGTGCTGCGCTTGGAGACCTGCCCGCCCTCGGGGCCTGTGTGCACAGGGAGGATAGGCTGTTTATCTCTGCAGGCTCAGGAAGGCAGGTAGCTGGCCCGTCAGTCATCCGCCCTGCAAAGCGCTCCCGAGAGACCCCGTAGAGCGGGCCAGCGCGCGCCTGGCCTGAGGTTTCCCGCCCCCGGAGGCCCTCACATCTCCCCGGTAACGCTTAGGAATTCGGGCAGCCAGCTCGCCTACCCCTGGGGAATCGAGGCAGAGCTTCTGGGAATGGGGTCTGAGGGAAGAGTGCTCACCAGGCAGTGACATGTAGCCGTTGAGGATCGCCACTGCCTTCTCGTTCTGTGGTATGAATGGCAGTGTCTCTCTAGAGAGTTAGTGCTTAAGTTTGAATGATGGCAGGCACTTCAGGATTCCAGCACGTAGTAGGGTTTAAGAACGTCTTAGTTCTTACCTCCAGTCTCGACTCACCGTTCCTACAAGGAACACTCACTTCTACGAAAGCTCTATTAGACATTCGAGGGAGAGCTTATACTGTAGAACCAGTGTTATTAGGAAAGTTTTTTTTTTTTTGCTTGTATTTTTATTTCAGAAACTACCCATGGAGCAGAGTTGCTAAAATAAAATTTATTAACTCTAATGCTATCCAAATTGTGAAACAATGGTACAAATGAGATAGAGTAGAAGCTACAAATTGATAGAGTATGTAGTTCACTTAGGGGTTTGGGAGTGGATTTTCTAGAGCTGCAACTGTCCAGTGTAGTAGTCACTGGCCACCTGAAAAGTGGCTAGTCTGAACTGAGGTCTGCTCTAAGTGTAGAACATGCACCAGATTTCTAAAGCGTGGTCTGAAAAGAAAAAGAATGTAAAGTATTTCATTAATTTTATATTGCTTACATGTCAAAATGAGAATGTTTTGGAAAATTTTAAATTACGTGGCTTCCATTATATTTCTATGGATACTGCTGTTCTAGAGAGTAAAAAAATCTCACTGAAGAAGAGTAGGCCTTTCGTTTAGCAACTGTGAAGAAAACCAACCACGCTGCACCTCTCAGGTAGCCTACAGATGTGCTGTGCTTCACTTAATTTTTGAGAGGGACGGGGGAAAATACACACAAAGACTTGATTGACATAGAGGACATTTTCAGAAAGCAAATTCTGGTTCATAGAGCCTTATGTATGTCATGTGAACATCACACAGTAGCGAATGAAAATAATAAAGATATCAAGAAACTTGAATCATATTTAATGAATCTCATTAAGAATGCGGGGAAACATGCAACAGTTAAAATTCTGTTGAAATTGTTTAAAATAAGTTCTAGATTTTAATGTTTAACCTGTAGATACAGTATACCTTCTTAATTTTCCCATGAGCTGGTGAGCTGAGGTTCCAGGGAAGCTTTGTTTCCAGTTTTTTAAAGATATATTTATTTTTCATTCATTTATTTAACAAAAGCTTTCTGAGGCCCGGGAGTTTTGCTAGGCAGTGTTGATAAAAATGTGAAGACAGAAAACAGACACGGCTCTTACTCTCTCAGAGCTAATTCATATCAGTTCAGAGGCAGTGAATAAGTAAATAATAACCAAGACAGAATATTTTCTTCTTAGTAAATGTTTACCTCTGTAAATGCAAAACATGAGTTATTTTAAACCTAGAATTTATATATTTCTAGTGACATGTTAAGAGTCTTTATTAGAACTTGGCTGTGGACTTAAAAATATTAGGAAAAAAATCAAAGTTAATTTGTTCATTAACTATGAGAAGTTAAAGAAGAAAAATTAAAATTGTTTTTTTAACCTTTACATAGAAAAGATGGAAACATTTTATAATAGCATTTTATATCCTCTTTAGCCTTTTAGCAACTTTTAGATTCTAAGAATTTAACAATAGAAATGTAAATAAGACATTGATTTATGTCCCTAATATAGTTTTAAAATGCTGACTTTAAGAAGTTAAATTTATTCTAGAATATTATGTAGTTCCTAAATCAATATATTTGAGTCTTTTAGGAAAAAGTTAAGTATGGATCTTATATTAGTTTACCATTAATACTATTTCTGTAACAAAGTTAGAAGCTCAAACCACCACCAATTTATTACCTTACAGTTCTGTAGTCAGAAGTCCAACATGGTTCTCAATGGCCTAAAATCAAGGTGTCCACAGGATTGTGTTCCTTTCTAGAGAGGTAAGGGAAGAATCTGATTTTTTTTTTTTTTTTGCTTATTCAGGTTGTTGGACAAATTGAGTCCCTTGCTCTTGTAGCTGTTCTCCCTGTTTCTTTGCTGGCTGTCAGCTAAGAGCTGTTTTCAGCTTCTAGAGGCCACTCACATTTCCTTGGTTATGGCCCTCTTCGTCTCCAAAGCCAGCAATGGTGGATTGAGACCCTTTCATCCTTGTAAATCTTTCTTTCTTCTTCTTCCATTGCTGTATCTCTCCAATTACAGCCTTTTAAGAATCCATTGGTTAGACAGAATCTCCCCCGCTCAAGGTTCATAACTTTTATTTACATCTGCAAAGTTGCTTTTGCGGTAATAATGTAACATATTCACAGCTTACAGGGATTGGGGAATGGATATATTTAGGAGCCATTATTCTACCTATCTCAGATCTCAATTGGGGCCATGCAGTATATCCAGTGTTTCATACCACTATTCTCAATACTTTATGTTAGAATAATAATATTGATAATAGGTAAATTTTGTTGGTTATATAATATGCTCAAGGTACTTTTCTGAGCCCTTTTACTAAATTCACTCATTTAATCCTCAGAACTACCCTAGGAGGCAAACACTGTTATTGTTCCCACTCACAGATGAGGAAACAGGTACTGAAAGCTGAAGTAACTTGTCGAATTTCTCACAGCCATTAAATGGTGAAATGGAGATCTGAACCTAGGTAGTCTGGTTCCAGAGCCTGTGCATGCTCTGAAGCTCAACATAATAAAAATAATTTCTACATACCTGGATTTAACTAAACATGTGTTGATGATACAGTGGCTATGAATTCAGGTTCTGACATCACCTTGTGGATTCAAATTCTACCTACCCATTACTGAATGACCCTGGGCAAGTTACTTGACCTCTCTGAGACTTAACAATAAACTGAACCAATAATAATAGTTGAGAATTAAACAAATACTATATGTAAGGTACTTAGAGCACTGCCTCTACATACAGTCATTCATAACAATAGAGATACGTTTTGAGAAGTGCGTCATTAGGCTATTTTGTTGTGTGAACATCGTAGAGTGTACTTACACAAACCTAGATGATGTAGTCTACTACATACCTAGGCTACATGGGATAACCTTTTGCTCCTAGGCTACAAACCCGCACAGCGTGTTACTGTACTGAGTACTATAGGTAGTTGTAACACAGTGGTAAGTATTTGTGCATCTAACCATGTCTAAACATAGAAAAATTGCAGTAAAAATACAGTATTATAATCTTAGGGACCACTGTTGTGTATGTGGGCCATCATTGACTGAAACATCATTATGCAGTGCAAGCAATTGCTAGCTGTAATTATTGATGACAATTCAACTTTTAAAAACAGTATTTATTATAAAAAGAAATGTTTCCTTTAGAGATCAGTCTTTCCTTGTAAAATAAAAACTGAAAATTAAAATTTTTACTTTAATACACTACAGTGCTATCTCCTTTCTCAGACTCTGATTTCTCCTCACTCTAGGCTAGCATCTATCGTTCTAACCATGGTACCTTCAGTGTTATCTGATCATGCATTCTAAATACTTTGTCCAGATCCTAGTATCTGCAGGCTAATATTCAAACTCTCTAGAAGGGCACCAGGACTTTTCACACATTCCAGAGACTCTCTCTTGCCATTCCTCTGCTGGGTATTTACACAGCCATCAATTCTAACTTTTCACTGCTCTCGTTTGCTATTATTATTCTTTGAGGGAGACTTATGTGTGTGGAGGGGACTCTGGGGAGTATGGACAATGTCATATCCTGGGTCCCCTTCCATAATGCCTGCTAATACCACTCCAAATTCACTCTCTCTTTTAATAATCTTTCCTGCACTTGCCTTAATTCAAACCCTCATTATCCTTGCACTTTAAGCCATCTCTTAACAAATTGGTGGCCTCCAGCCTCACTGCCCTTCAGGCTTACTATCCTTGCTTGCTGGAATGATCTCTAAACTACAAAACTCTATATGTTACTCTCCTTCTTCAAACCATTCAGTGTCCCCTCTGCCAGGTCCTACAAATATTACTCTTTTTTCTGTGCCTCTTGGTACCAGTTACATGCTTCTACCGTAACTTAAAAGGTGTCACACAGTTGTTTATTTAAATACATATCTTCCCTTCTAAATCAGGAGCTCATGGATAATAGAGCCATAAGAGATGGTTTTGCTTTAATGAATTTATATTATTTCATGATAACATAAATTATTGTATTATTGTATCATCTGTCTCTTGTCACTAATCTGTGAACTCTTTAAGGGGAGACTAATTGTTTTATTCATTTCTCTTTTTCCTCTATGCCCGTGGCATAGGAGGTACTTAGTAATTGGTCAATGAATGATTTGGGAAAAATAATCCAGAATATATACAATTTTTTAGTCTGCTTCAGTCTAAATAAATATATGAAACTATGTATTTGGAATATATATGATTTCATTATGATTATTATATACAATTCAATTATGATTTTAGAAGAAGCATAATTCCTGTACTCTGGAGCCAGAGTGCCTGAGTTTGAATTCTGGCTCTGCCACTTACAAGCTTGGGGAAGTTTTCTTGGGAAAGCTAATCAAAATTGTGTTTGTTGTTTGTCTGTAGAAGAAGAATGATAATAGTAACTGTCTTTTAAGTTAATAGAACTAAATGAATAATATTTATAACGTATCTATGACTTTAGACTCTATAATAGTGTCTACCACCTAGTAAATGTTCTACAAGTGCTTGTTAAATAAAAACATAATAGTTTTTATTCTCATTGCTTTTGATGATAGGTAATGGTCTTGAAATACAATGATTTAGAAAAAATCGTCCCGTACTTTCTAGTGGTGTTTTGAACTAGTTTTTTTACTCAATGATTTTTAATATTGTACATTCTAGAATGATCATATATATTCCTTCAACATTTAGAGAGTACCTGTGTGTGATCTCTCTCAGGAAACACTTACATATTTTCTCTTTGTATTATTTTTCTGTTGCCATTATAACAAATTACCACAAACTTAGTTGCTTAAAACAACGTAAATTTATTATATTATTATTCTATAGATCAGATGTCTGACAATAATCTCACCAACCTAAGATCAAGTTGACAGCAGGGTAGCACTCTTTACTGGAGACTGCAGGCTAGAATCTGTTTTCTTGCCTTTTCCCATTTTGGAGGCTGTCCACATTCATTGGCTCTTGGCCCCCTTCTTCTACCTTCAAAGCCTGCAATGTTGCATCTCTCTAATCATTCTGGCATAATCACAAGTGTTTCTCTGACCACAGCCAGGAATGGTTCTCTGCTTTTAAAGGATTCTTGTGATAAAATTGGACCCACCTGGATAAACCATGTCAGTCTTCCCATTTCAAGAACCTTAACTTGATTACATGTGCAAAATTCCTTTCCCTATGTAAAGTAATTTATTCATAAGTTCTATGGATTGGAGTATGGACTTCTTTGGAGGACTGTTATTCTGCCTACCACACTCTTGTACTGTAAATGAGTCACTGTGGAAAGGTAATAGGTTGTAGCTTCTGAAAATAAAGATAAATGTTAGCTAGATTGTTAACAGTAGTGTCAGTATCATTTATGACTCTACTGGTTGTTGAGAGCGAAGTTGGCTTAGTAGAATGCTTAGGTACTGCAGGGCTCACTGATTATGTCTTTGTCTCCTAGGATTTTTATTCTACTAGAGAGGGAAGAATACATTCATATTTGTTGCATATCTGCCGTGTCCTAGGTACTCTACAATGAACTACAGATACATTAATCCCATTTAATTTCCACAATAACTTTATGAGGTGTGGTAGGAGGCCTTCTAAGATGACCCAATGATCTCCATCACATAGCACTCACCCCCTTGTATAATCTCCCTCCTTTGAATGTAAGCTTAACCCAGTGACTCTACCAATGAACAGAGTAGGACAATAGTGATAGTATATCATTTCTGAGATTGGATTCCAGAAAACTATGACTTGTCTCTCACTTACACTGTCTGTCTCTTGCCCTCTTATTTGCTTGCTTTGATGAAGCAAGCTGCAGTGTGGTAAACTGCCTTTGAAAGAGACCCACATGTCAAGAAACTGAGCATCACCTGTGACCAACAGCCAGAAAGTAACTGAAGCCCCAAGACGAACAGCTTGTGCAAAACTAAATTCTGCCTACAACAAGAGCATGAATTGAGACGCAGATCCTTCCCTAGTTGATCCTTGAAATGCTTGCAGCTCTATGGACACCTTGATTGCAGCCTTGTGAGAAATTCTGAACTAGAGGACCTCGTATGCCTTACCCATAGGTCTTACAAGATAATACGTGTTTTTCAAAAAAGTAAGTTTGGGGATAATTTCTTATGCAGCAATAGATAATGAATAATAAAGTAAATACAGTTTTTTGCTGTTGACTTCAAAAATGTTTAAAGATTTTACTGTTATATAATTGTACATATTTATGGGGTACATGTGATATTTTGATACATGCATACAATGTGTAATGATCAAACTGGGGTAATTTGAATATCCATCACCTCAAATGTTATTTAGTGGTATTGGGAACATTCCAAATCTTGTAGGTATTTTGAAATATACAAAAAGTTAATTTTATATATAAATATATGTCATATATTATTAATATATTAATAATATATGCCATATATATATATGTATGTATAAATGCCATATATATTAATTACATGTATGGCATGTTTTCTTTTATACATTTATCCACTGATAAACACTTAGGTTCCTTCCTTACCTTGGCTATTGTGAATAGTGCTGCAATAAACATGGGAGTGTAGATAATCTCTTTGATGCACTAGTTTTCTTTCTTTTGGATGTATACCTAGCAGTGAGAATGCAGGATCATATGGTAGATATATTTTTAGTTTTTTGAGGAACTTTCATACTGTTTTTTACAGTGGCTGTGCTTATTTACATTCCCACCAACAGTGTGTGAGTGTTCACATCCTTGCCAGTATTTATTATTTTTTGTCCTTTGATAATTTTAACTGGAGTGAAGTGATATAATTGTGGTTTTGATTTGCATTTCCCTAATGATTAGTGATGTTGGGTATTTTTTTTAATACCTGTTGGCCATTTGTATGTATTCTTTTATGAAGCATCTATTTAGATCATTTGTCCATTTGTAAATCAGATTATTTGTTTTTTTGCTATTGAGTTGTTTGAGTTTCTTATATGTTCTGGTTATTAATCCCTTGTTGGATGGATAGTTTGCAAATATTTTATCCCATTCTGCAGGTTGTCTCTTTATTGATTGTTTCCTTTGCTGTGCAGAAGCTTTGCTTTAGTACAGATAATAAAACAAATACTTGGAAAGATTAGGCAACTTCCTGGGTCACTTAATTATTAGTAGAAGCTCTTTCCACTGCAAATAGTGATGATAATAGTAATAAAATTGAAGTATTAGTAGTTGCTTATGTTTATTGAGCAATTACTAGGTATTAGACAACTTTCAGTGCATTTTATATGTTATAATCTTAGATTATTACAACTTTATAAAGTAGGTACTATAATTATCTCATTTGATAAATGATGAAATTGGATTTAAGAGAGGTCAAACTATATTCCCAAGATCCGCAGTGAGCCAGTAGATTGGCAGGATTTGAACTCAGGTTGTATGGCTCTTGAGTTCTCACTCTTACCACTATAATAAATTGTTCCCTAAAGATCCATGCTATGAGGCAAAAGGTGATGGTGCAGCAGGAAGAAATGAAAGGTTACAGTCTGTCAGGCGAATGAGATTATCCCTGACCAAGTTATTAGGAAATGCTGTGGCACTAGGAAGGTATCCGACATGGCTCTGAAAGGCTGGGTAGAATTTAAGCTTCTGGCTGTTAGAGGAAAGAGCATAATCAGCTGAGCAAGACAGCTGGAGAAGCATGAGCTGGAAGACACCAGCTCACAGCATCTAGAGCTGCATCAGGATGAGGAAAAGTGGGAGATAAATTTAGAAAGATAGTTTGGGGCCTGGAGATAGTTATGTAAAAAAAAAAAAAGAATGTATTGTTTATAAAATTATTGATTCTTGAGGTTTGTGACTAGTAGTTTAAATCAACTACATCTTAAACTATTTAGTGGCACTATTATAGAGATGATATTCGGGTAAATTTGAAACACACAGAGAATCAGATTGTATAGATTGTATGAAAATATGAAATTTAGTTTCAGTACAGTACAAAAGAAAACTTATGAATGTACACTGAACATTTTGTGTGGTTAAACTTCTTGACACATTAAAAAATGTGTTAAGTTTATATTTAGTTTCAGCAAAACTGCATGAATCATTATATATCAACATATACAGGTATTTTTTTCTTATAAAAATAGTATTATTGGTGGTTACATGCAAAGAACATTAAGCATTCCACTAAAAACAGAGCTTATAGAAATGAAGAAAAAATTTCATTATGATTGTGTTTTAGTTACCTGGGAGTAGGCCTTAAAAACAGAAGTATTTTTTTCTTCAAAACATTCAGATTCACTAGATGAAAATTTAATTTTGTAGGATGTCTGTACAGTTCAACTTTGATTATGGTGTGAGCTTTCAATTTAGACAATTTATCATTACATGGAGAGGAATTTTTTCTCTTAAGCCAGATTGAGTTTTCTTTCCAGGGAATAGATGAATCCAGGAGAAATCTTTCCACAGCTTATACCTAGCCAATGGACAGCTCATTGAATAATGGCAAAAGGAAAATATGTAATATCTTTTCCTATAGTCTCTCTTTGACCTTGACTTATCTCAAAATTCTCCTATTCATAGATTAAAGCAGTTTACATTTCGATTCCTAAATTTGGGGGTTGGACTTCTGCTTCAAAACAGTACAAAGCAGGCAGTTGATAATATAAAATATATGCAGAGGCCTGACTGATTTGCCTCTGACAGTTGTGTGACCTTTGGAAGGTCTCTTAACTGTCAAGGCCCTCAGTTTCTTAATCTCTCATCTGTTTGACATGTCCTCTAAAATTTTTCCTTTGTTTTAATGGATTAGGATTCTACAGGCCAATTTTTTATGGCTGCAGTTTCAACCTGATCGTGCAGTTAAACATGTGGGCCTTTGTGCTGTCTATATGTTTTATTTGAAGTCATCTTTTCTATGTCTGTAGCTTTACAGGAATAACATAATTACATCCATAAGAGAGGCTAAGTCCTAAATTCCTAGCCTAGCCCAAGTTTGGCTTCACTTCTTGCTAATTTTGATCTTAAAATTTAGGAGAGGCTACTCCCTCTACCTCATAGCCAGACAGATTCTGTACTATCCCTAGAGGAATAATCTTGAAGCCCTTTCATTTTAAAATATCTCCCTTTTCTGTATGTATTTAAGTGTTTGTACTATATATCTTACTGCCATAACAGAGGAAGCCAGTGAGGTAATGAGAAAAAATATATGGCAATTATTTGACCTGACATCATTAACCTTAACAGCCTCAGCATCCAATACCTACCTTCATCCCCAGCCCCTACGCTCCCACCTGGAAGACTGCAGTGACCCTTAGAGGCAGGACATTTCTTTGAAAAGAAGCCTTTGGAACTCTGTCTGGAAAGGGTATTTTGAACACTCATTACTTCAGAGTTTCAGGACGAGTCTGAGGTCAATATTCTTGTATCCCACAAAAAATATGAGTAGAATAAAGGATTATATACATACACTAGCATTTCACATGATTTCCAAACAGTCAGAAAGTATCCAGAAGTCCTGGTTTTTCTTGAGTTCCTGAATTAATGAATTTTTCCTCCTCATTTTAGAAGGATCTAATGATTAAACATTGCTCCCAAGTACTTCTGGGTCATAGAAATTCTCTGAGAGTTGGATAAAGAAGATGCTGTAGAGTTACAAGAACTGGGCTTGAAGTTAAGGAGACCTGATAGCTTATATCCACATACTCATTGAGTTGAGTGCCCTTGAGCAAATGATAGAACATCTGAGGGCTTTAGTACTTCATGCGAAAATGAAGAATATGGGCTAGATAAATTTAGTGAACTTTTCCAATTCTAAATTTATATGATTCTAAGAGTAAGTTGCCAAGTGTCTATAGATACTTTGGATTACACCCAGGCACCAAGGCGAATGTCAACGGGTAGTGCTGCTTAGCTAGGCTTTGACATTATCCAGAGTAGTAGAGGTGGAAGCTTAATTCATTTGGTTTCCAAAAACTACTGAGGGATGAGTAGCCCTGAGAATATAAGACTAGGCTAGTCTTTGCTACACCATCTTGAAGTGTTTTGTTTTATAATATTCAGTTTACAGAGATTTAGTAAATTTAAGGTGACTTTTAGCCATTATTACAGAAAGACAGTATAAAATCTATGATTTCTTTACTTATTCATTTTAAATCCTATTATTTAAAAATTATCCTTGTTAGAAAATCTTACTAAGGTTTATTAATCAAATGGCAATCAATGAAATAAGATTTGTACTGAATGTATGACACTATATTAGTCACTTTGGGAGGATATAAACATTTGTGGGAGCGTGCTTGCCCTTAGTTTGTATGTTAGGAGAAGAGAAAAGTCACTAAGAAATAAAAATATGAACAAGAATGAAAGAATCAAAATGCTCAGGACATTTTGCAGGAGAATGGAATTAATCTAAAAGAAAGAATGTATCCTTTGGTTTTTTAATGAAATAACTTTGGGAGTACTTTTTAAAATTAAAGATTATTTTACTTAGAAGCAGATTGAAATCTTTCTTTTTCCAGCCTGCAGAGCTCTCTTTAAAGATAAACGTTGCAGTGGTATTTTTAATTATTAAGGCTGGGCACTTATTTCCTTCTTACACTCACACACTTCCAAGGGGATTTGGAACATGGAAGAATTTCATAGCTATTTAGAGAAATGAG
Source organism: Homo sapiens (assembly GCF_000001405.40). Taxonomy (NCBI): domain Eukaryota; kingdom Metazoa; phylum Chordata; class Mammalia; order Primates; family Hominidae; genus Homo; species Homo sapiens. Next base: position 77,011,632 of record NC_000008.11, read on the forward strand.
AACTTAGGTCTTTATAATTGCAAATGTTACTTTCCAGTTCTAAGTTCAGGCTCTATTCTCCATGGTATTGAATCTTCCAAGTTGTGATACATCAATATAATGTATGATCTGTGCCTGAACATCCAAACATTTGTAAGTTTCTAGGATAGATGAAGGCAAATTTGTTTCAGCTAGCTTTGTTATGATTTATTTTTTCTAAGTGGTTAGTAACTTACCAATTAAATATATAATTTGGAAAATAAAATTTGATAATTTTTTCTCTTTCACAAGTAATTGTAGCTCAAACACAAAGCAATACTAATGTAGTCTGGCTGTCTATGGGCAAGTTACCTGAAGCAGTGTCTGAGCGTGTTTAGTCATAAGCCTAAGACAACCAGAAAATGTTCATTTTGGGAAGATGATGATTTCTGCTCACCTATCAGAACCTCAAACTACATGTGTGCTTAAGTAGTGTTTAGTGAAGGTAAATATTTCTTTTTTTTTTTTAGACATGGTCACTTGATTTAATAACAATACATATACCATGTTATCACTATGGAATGTAAATTCAGGTTAGACAAGAGAATTTCACAAGTGTAATAGCATTCTGTAGTATATAAAAGTGTGTATACACTGTCTGACCAAACCAGCTTGCTCATAAAGCATTAATCAATTCCATTATAGGTAATTTGTTTAGTTTAATGTTTATAATTCTTAGGGAGAAAATAAGAAAAGCACACATTTATTTATTTATTTATTTATTTATTTATTTATTTATTTAGAGACAGGGTCTCACTCTGTTGCCCAGGCTGGAGTGCGGTGGTGTGATCTCAGCTCACTGCAGCCTCTGCCTCCCAGGCTCAAGCAATTCTCCTGCCTCAGCCACCTGAGCAGCTGGGACTACCAGTGTGCGCTGCCACACCTGGCTAATTTTTGTATTCTTAGTAGAGGCAGGGTTTAATTATGTTGCCCAGGCTGGTCTCGACCTCCTAAACTCAAGCAATCCACCAACCTCGGCGTCCCAAAGTGCTGGGATTACAGGCATAAGCCACCGTGCACAGCCAGCAACGCACACATTTAGAAAGTGTTTATTTACCTTTCTATGAGTGCTTAAAATACACATTTCTATTTCAAGATGATATTTAAAAATTATTCTAATGTAACAGCCGCAAAAATATAACTCTACAATTACAAGAGAACTAAACTAGAATCCATAAGTTATTCTCATGTTTATAATTACGTTTTTTGTTGTTGTTGTTGTTGTTTGTTTTTTTTGAGACGGAATCTCACTCTGTCGCCCGGGCTGGAGTGCAGTGGCGCGATCTTGGCTCACTGCAAGCTCCACCTCCCGGGTCCACGCCGTTCTCCTGCCTCAGCCTCCCGAGTAGCTGGGACTACAGGCGCCCGCCACCACACCTGGCTAATTTTTTTGTATTTTTAGTAGAGACAGGGTTTCACCGTGTCAGCCAGGATGGTTTCGATCTCCTGACCTCGTGATCCACCCGCCTCGGCCTCCCAAAGTGCTGGGATTACAGACGTGAGCCACCGCACCCTGCCGCGATTCTTTAATAAATACTACTACTCTGCAGCCCTATTGTAAGCTTTCTAGATTTGGTTTAAACACACACACACATATATACTTTCAGCTGTGGGAGGCTTTACAACTTCTATTCCATGCATTTTCTAGACAGAGCTCTAAAAAAGCCAGCCAGTCCACAAGACAGGTAGAAAAAAAGTTAAATTAACTGGGGCAAATAGGACTCTTATATAACATCCAAAACATGAGAGATTCTGCAGCAAACTGGGAGTACTTCAGGGTTGGCGTGCTGTCTTCTTTAGAACTAATTTCACCTCAATAGTTTAAGAAGGTGGACATTTTAACACTATCCAGTGCATTTAGGTGACATGTTTCTTTTGTGTTAACTTGACTCCCCTGAATGACCTAGTTGGTAAACTAGTCACGAATAATTCGATCACCAGGCAAATCAAGCCTGTAGGAAAGGAAGCCAATATTCGAAATGCCATGTTACCATCTGAACCCACTCAAATAGTTTATTTTTAACATTAATATGTAACTTCAGTAATGAGATCTCTAACTAAAGCAAGCTCCTCCAAGAAGACCAAGACAGCTTCATTTCTTCTAAGGCTTAGGATTGCCCAGAATTCCTAATACATGGAATAGCCCATGCCAAGAGTCATTACTCCTACAACAAAGTCTTGGGCTGCCACACACACGTGGATCAGATGAAGGGGCATTTTAGTATTTCCCCTGCTCTTCAATTTGTATAATCCCTATACAACAATTGCTGCAAAACCTGCCATTCCAATGGGGATGAATGGTGCGTCTTTAGCTTTTCTAATAAGTTTGGGTCCCTGATCTTCATCATATGAAGATAGGGAAGCATCTGTGTCTGTTGACGTAGTGATTGCTTGAAGAATCTCCCTAGAACTAGCAAACCCCTCACACGCCAGCTGGCTCGAAGCTAAATATTTCTAAGTATTGTCATATATAATTTTTAAAATAATGCTAATTTATAATAATGTACTATAGGTGACTCAGATTTATGATTAAAGTTAGGCTATTTCCCTCTATTTTATAAAATAATAGTAATGGTTAATAGTACCAAATATATGCAACACACTATTGTAAGTATTTTACGTTTATTAATATTAATGCACTTTACATTTGCAACAACCCCATGTAGTAGGCATTGTTATTACCAGATTTCCATTTTACAGATGAAGAAACTGAGACACAGAGAAATTAAATAAATTACCCCAGATCGAAAGGTTGACAGGGCCAGAATGTAATGCCAGGCACCCTGCTCCTGGCATCAGTGCTTTAATCACTATACTATTCTTCCTCTCAATACAGTCTGCACTTCAGCTCCCTTCATTTAGACCTGGAGCCGCATTCTAAACTTGAGTACCTGCAGCCAAAATCTGTTTTTCAGTTAATCACTCGATATTGAATGAATGAAATGGAAAGAAGTCAAATAACTAGCTTATAGTCAGAGCTGGCTACGTTATTTGCAGGGCCAAGTCCATAATGAAACTGCTTGTTCAAAAAATAGGAAAAAAAAGTGTAATTAAATATACTAAAATATAAAGCTTTTCCTTTAGTTTACAATCTTTCTCCTGTCATGATAGTTTTGTTTGCCATTTAGTGTCATCTTAAGAAAAGGAAAATTAAAATTTAAAATGATTAGCATACATTTTATCATTCATCTTTCTATTGTGCAATACCTATTTTTAAATGCAAATATGGGAGTATTTAATTCGCATGTGGAAATTCCACCATGGTTTTATTGTTTTTTTTTTTTTTTTTTTTTTTTTTTTTTTTTTTTTTTTTTTAGTTTGCACATGAATATCTTTTTTTTCCTTACCAGAACAGTGGAAACTGCATAAACTAATTCAAATGCTTTTATTTTACTTCTTTACATGCATACATTCTACCAGCATTCTCTACCTTCAGCTTCCTGATGAGTAATGAAAGACAGAAAGAAAATGAAATATGGGTTGTCCTGTTTTTTTCTTTCCTCCTTTGTCATCATTTTCAATGTAAGTAGGTCATTAACACAGGAAACTAATATGCATAAGAAAGTATGGTAAGTTTCCTTGGTTGTTCATGTTTCTTAGAACACTATTGTTTTCTTTCTGTGTTTGAAGCAAGCTCTGGTTTGAATAAAAATCATGGCCTTTTGGGGCTATCAGTGCCTTTGCTTCCTCAGTAGTGGACATAAGACACCGACCGTGAATACTTGACTTGAGTCTCTATGAACTTCCACTTAGCGTGGGTCCACCAGAATCCTGTGCTCCTGGACATCACGAACACTGTGTGAATTGGGAGCTAAGGAATACAACAGGCCAAGATGCCTGCATTTTGCTTTGTATCTCCTCTGTTCCAGTGTATATTCCCCTGACACACTGGACCTCACTTACGAATATGTTTAAATATGAAATTGTTGGCAATTTCAACATGGCAATAGCAGAGCCCTTTTGAGTGCAAGGCACTGTATGACTACTCAGGTCCTACATCTCTGAAGTGGGCCTTGCTCAGGGCCATTAGATGAATTGAAAGCTGGATTGGCCTCACACCATTTTTCCAGTCAACCCCAAACATGCTACTAAAGATAGAAATAATTGGCCTGGGAGGGTTAGGTGTGATCAGAGGCGATCAAGCCAAGGTGAGATGGACTTCCAAAGGATTCTTGCCAGGCAGCTTGGAAAATAGTCTGGAGAAGCCAGTTAGTTGCTCGACACCATGCTCAGTAAACACCTTCCACAGGCTGAGGGACTTTCTCAGAATGGCCTGGGTTCTTGTGAGATGGTTCACTCCTGCAGTAAATTGCTGTGCTGATTTGACAGTAGATGATAAATCCAGCAGCCAGAAAGCAAGCAATAATCACACTGCAACCCTGCCTCATAATGCATGCAACATTTTTTGAAGTATTTTCATCCTCATTAGCTTATTCATGCTCATATCTCTATGAGAAAGGCAGGAATTTTTTTCCATTTTACAGCTGAGAAAGCTTAGGAAGTCTAGAATAGGACTGTCTAACAGAACTTTATGCAAAGATGGAGATGTCCTTTACCTGTGCGTCTAATATAATCATCACTAGCCACACATGGCTAGTACCACTGAAAAGCTGAAGTTTAAACTGATTTAATTTGAATTAAATTCAAGTAGCCACATGTATCTAGTGGCTTTTATATTGGACATGCAACTGGAGAACATACATAGTGATGCACTCTCTCTACACATTCACTCACTAAATTACCAGGATCAGAGCCTGAGAGTCTAGGAACTTCTCAAGAGCAGGCTCTTAACCAGGCACTTTTGGCATCTGGGGCCCGTCACTCAAGATCAGCTAATCTGCCTGGCCCTCAGGACACTTCCTCCCGCCTTGTTCAAGTCAACAGCCAGGGGAACAGACGTTACACCACACATCTCCAGGTGGTGCTAGGTTGGCAGTCATGTTTTAGGAAGCCAGCAAGAGGTCTTTTGGATCTAGATATGCCTGTCTGTCTCTTAGAAGATTAACAAGGCAAGGACATCAGACAATCCCAAAATGCTAATCCCATTATCTTTTCAACTCTGTGGAAAAATACCATCCTTCATTTTCTCAGATTTCATTTGCATTCAAGGAAGCTAAAAGTGGTCAAGATGCTTTCCTTCTGGGGTCCCATGTTACAGGAATCTAAAGCCTACTTGATTGACCTGACTGTTTTTACCCTGGGAAGAGGCGTAATTAACCCTGTTCATCTCTAAGACGAGGTTACAGCAGCCCCTATGCCAACTCTGGGAACTCCTATTCAACGTTACTGACCCGTTCATTCCCATACCATCAGAATGAATTTCACTTCAGGCCTAACCTTGCCATCATTGTTTCTCCCAATCCTGGTACAAGCCATTTTAGTGTTAGTATACTTCATCAGGTGGGAAGTGTATTTACCTGAAACACTCCTCCTCTCCCCCACACTACTAACAACTCCCAATTTCTTTCAGTTGATCTGTTGGCCATTTATTCAAATACTGCTAGGTGCTGAAGAGATGCTAAAAAAACATACAGTTACAGTCCCTCGTCTCCATCTCCAAGCTTCCCAGTCTCAAACCAGGTTGGGAAGGCAAGATTCAAACTAGCCATACTTGTCAGTATCCGTCTGTTTATTTACTATCACTCAGATATCGACCAGATGCTAGAAGAGTATGTACTTATATTCCTATGAAAATGGTATATACAGTCACTGGAGAATCTGCTCATGATCTCACTGTCATCCATCCAGAAAAGTTCGTTTTACAACTAGAAGTTTCAGTATCCCCTGATTATCCAAACTTCCTACCACTGCTGACACACAGCAGTCAGCTACTATTATGAGACTTATGAGCACTCAAGCGTATGGCTTTCAAGTTTATTATTTCCCAGAATCCTTGAGGACTACAATACAAGAATTTTCTCCATCTCTTATACCTCTTCCTAGTTTAAGCCAATTTTCCTCCCCTGGAATACCACAATGACCTCTTAACTCATCCCTACTATCCATTGTACACAATTCAGCTAGAATGATACTTTAGAGAGATAATTTGAAGCACGCCATTTCTCTATTCTAATACCTTTAATGGCACAATATTGTTCTTAGATTAAACACCCAAATCCTGAATATGACTCACAGGTATTGTTAGATCAGCTGTGGCCTCTTCCTCTTCCTATTTCAGCCATTTTACCTTAGCTCTTTGTACTTCAGGCAGTAAGCCTTTTTATGTTTATTAATCAATTAATTCAATAGACACGTATACAGAACCTGGGTGAATAAGACGGAAAACTTCTTCACTTTTGTGGAACTTTTATTTTAATTATAGAAAATAGATAAGTAAAAAGAAAAGATAATTTTAGGTTGTTGAAGGAAATACAGTGAGGTCCTTCAAAGTAGCTTGGAAAAAGCCCTGCTGCAGAGAAGGTGCTATGAGGGCTTCTCTTACATGCCCCACTACTTTCTGTCCTAGGACCATCACTCCTGCTATTCCTTCTTCTTGGAATCCCCTTCCAGAATCTTCTACCACAACTTCTACCCCATTCCACTGAGGCATCTTCTGCTCATTCTTCAGAACACAGTTCAGCTGTCTCTTTCTTAAGTAATCTTTCCTCAATCCCCAGGCAAACTCAGTTTTCCCTGTTACTTTTTCCTTATTTCACTTACCTGAATTATAATTAAATATTTGCTTAATTATTATTATTTTTTCCTAATGTCTGTCTCTTTTACTGTACCACAAAAGGGCAGGGGCTGGATCTTCCCTGTCACCTCAGGGCCCCACCTTGAGTCTGTCATATGTAGTTGTTTAGTCTGTATCTGCTGAGTGAATTGATGATAGTGGCTCACTACAAAGTGTTTCTCGCATAGCAAGAGATAAGAAAGGAAACATGTATACATATGTAACAAACCTGCAGGTTGTGCACATGTACCCTAGAACTTAAAGTATAATAACAATAAAAAAAAAAAGAAAGGAAACACTTCAGAATATCCCCCTGGTTGGTTCCGATATGCCTTCCATACTTTGGACCATCATCCTCTCCTGTATGCCAAAGAATTGTGTAAGGCCCATGCTGATGGACACTGTGTGTCAGGGGAGGTATCCAAGTTGGCTTTCCTACCAACGCATATGGATAGTCTGTCTTTGCTGGAAAGAGCATTGTGATAGATTACTGTTTAAAGGTCCCCTCTCCCACCCCTCCTGCCATGCCTCTCTCCTTGACTTTGGCCTTAGCTTTGTTAATTTGCCTTGGCCAATAGACCGCTAGAAGAGCGACCACAAGCAGGGAATTGACATGTGGTTAGTAGCTGGGCACATTGTCTTATATTTCTCTCTTCACCGTGAGAAGAGCTCCCTGTTGGCTGGGCCCCAAATGAACACATATGGACAGACCTGAGCCCAAACTTCAGTGAAGAGCTATGTCCAGCTGGACTAAGGCTTGGAGCGGAGCTGTGCAGCTGAGCCCAACCCAAATCAGCTGAACCTCACTGACCTGCAGACATTTGAGCTAAATAAATATCTATTACACACTGGCAATGTTTTGTGGTTGTTTGTGATGCAGCAAATGCTAACTGACACAGACCTTAAAGCTTGGATAGATTTCTGCAATTGGTCTGAATGTGGTTCCTTTTTCCCAGGGGACTTATGAACAAAAAGTTTATCTGTCTCCAATGATGTACATCTACAATGATGGAACAAAAACAAGATTGTCACATTAAACTTTCCATTTGGAAGACCCAGAGCAGTCAATAATTATTAACAATTGTAAAGTCCTACTAGATAAACAATGTGAGGGGCTGTGAAGGCCATGAGAATGTGTCTGCAGGTTTTAATACAGGGAGCACACTTGACCTAGAGGGGATCCAGTGATACATCCTTCATTGCCTTGGAGTAGAGGCCATGTCTGCCATGGTCTGCTCTTCACCAAAGACTTCGTGAGCAAGAGTTGGAATCCTAAAACAGAATTGTTCCTGGGAGACCTGGTACCCCTTTTTAGACCAACCTTAGCAGCTTTGCTGAGCCTGCCTTCCTCTGTAAAGCAGTTTAGGCACCTTTCCTCAACACACTCTCTCTCTTGCTTTCCTTCATTCACAGTCTAATGGGTTTCCCACCCTTGTCTAACTCTCTCCCTATTTCTTTGCCTGCAGGTGTTTGCTCTACTAAAATCCTTACATGCTTAATTTTGCCTAGGCATTTGCTTTTTGGAGGATCTAAACTAAAAGAAGTGGGAGTAAGTTTGGTTTAGGAAAATAGGAGTAAGATGAAGATTTGGCACTGGCCTACTGACCACTCAGTGGAAAATTAGACACCGCCCTGATAGGCAGGTAGGAGATGAATAGCCCCTGGCACAAGGTGAAGTTTAGTGGCTAATCATTTTGCTGATAATGACCTGGAAAAATGTCCTGGTGAAAGGGAATGCTGAGGAAGGTGCCATGGTGCTGGCATTTGAGATATATAGGATGAACCATGCCTGCCAACACAGTGAAATTGGCTGGTTACCGCCTTGTTGAAATTAGGTGCTTCAGAAGGATAGCGTAAGATTGCCTGACATTAATATGTGATTAATGGCTAAGTGTGAGAACCACAAAGCTTGGATGGCAGTAGCATATTGAAAGAGAGGGATAATCGGCCAGGTGCGGTTGCTCACGTCTGTAATCCCAGCACTTTGGGAGGCTGAGGTGGATGGATCACCTGAGGTCAGGAGTTTGAGACCAGCCTGACCCACATGGAGAAACTCTGTCTCTACTAAAAATACAAAATTAGCTGAGTGTGGTGGCACATGCCTGTAATCTCAGCTACTCGGGAGGCTGAGGCAGAAGAATCACTTGAACCCAGGAGGCAGAGGTTACAGTGAGCTAAGATCATGCCATTGCACTCCAGCCTGAGCAACAAGAGCAGAAGCCCATCTCAAAAAAAAATAATAATAATAAATGAGAGAGAGAAAGAGAGGGACAATCAAATGGCTAGGAGAACTAATTGTGAGTGTTGCAGAGTTCCAAAGATGATTGAAAACTCAGTCAAATCAGTTCTACTATGTGAAGGTCAGAGCCCTAGGAAGGAAAACTACAGATTCTGATAACTGTGACAGTGCTATCTGGATTTTCCCAAGGATGTTGACTCTGCAACCCTCTCTGGATTCTCTTGGTGTGCAGAAGTTGCCACCTTTCCCTTCTGTAGAAAGATCTACCACTTCAACTATGCTAGAAGATGCTTCAGAACCTCTCCACACAGGTAACCCATACCCTGTTCTGCCCTCACCACTTCTACTGGCCGCCAGACCTATAACTAGGGACTGGATATTTAAGAGTTCTTGGTCAAAGGGCCAACGTTTAAATCTGAATAAGCAAGAGTTTATTGACTTGGGGAGAGTTTTTGGAAAATAAGTTTTAATACCCTAACAAAGACCCAAGTGATGGGGCACATGTATTATTGGAGTGGCTCTCAGAAACTGGAAAAAACAGCACCATTTATTGAATAGGAGATCATTTTCCCATTGTTTGTTTTTGTCAGGTTTGTTGAAGATGAGATGGTTGTAGATGTGCGGTGTTATTTCTGAGGTCTCTGTTCTGTTCCATTGGTCTATTTGTCTGTTTTGGTGCCAGTACCATGCTGCTTTGGTTACTGTAGCTGTGTAGTATAACTTGAAGTCAGGTAGCATGATGCTTCCTGCTTTGTTCTTTTTGCTTAGGACTGTCTTGGCTATACAGGGTCTTCTTTGATTCTGTATGAAATTTAAAGTAGTTTTCTCCAATTCTGTGAAGAATGTCAATGGTGGTTTGATGGAAATAGCATTGAATGTACAAATTACTTTGGGCAGTATGGCCATTGTCACGACATTGATTCTTCCTATCCATGAGGATGGAATTTTTTTTCCATTTGTTTGTGCCCCCTCTTATTTCCTTGAGCAGTGGTTTGTAGTTCCCCTTGAAGAGGTCCTATACATCCCTTCTTAGCTACACTCCTAGGTATTTTATTCTCCTATTCAATAAATAGTGCTGGGAAAACTGGTTAGTCATATGCAGAAAACTGAAACTGGACCCCTTCCTTACACCTTTTAGAAAAATTAGCTCAAGATGGATTAAAGACTTAAATGTAAAACCCAAAACCATAAAAATCCTAGAAGAAAAGGCAGTATTATTCAAGACATAGGCATGGGCAAAGGCTTCATGACAAAAATACCAAAAGCAATTGCAATGAAAGCCAAAATTGACAGATGGGATCTAATTAAACTAAAGAGCTTCTGCACAGCAAAAAGAAACTATCATCAGAGTGAACAGGCAACCTAGAGAATGGGAGAAAACTTTTGCAATCTACCCATCTGACAAAGGTCTAATACCCAGAATTTACAAGGAACTTAGACAAATTTTACAAGAAAAAAAAATCCCATCAAAAGGTGGGCAAAGGATATGAACAGACACTTCTCAAAAGAAGACATTTATATGCCAACAAATATATGAAAAAAAGCTCAACATCACTGATCATTAGAAAAAGGCAAATCGAGTCAGGCGCGGTGGCTCACACCTGTAATCCCAGCACTTTGGGAGGCCGAGGCAGGTGGATCACAAGGTCAGGAGATCGAGACCATCCTGGCTAACACGGTGAAACCCTGTCTCTGCTAAAAATACACGCAAAAAATTAGGCAGGCATGGTGGCACGCACCTGTAGTCCCAGCTACTCGGGAGGCTGAGGCAGGAGAATGGCGTGAACCCAGGAGGCGGAGCTTGCAGTGAGCGGTTATCGTGCCACTTCACTCTCCAGCCCAAGCCCAGGTGACAGAGCTAGACTCCATCTCAAAAAAAAAAAAAAAAAAAAAAAAGGAAAGAAAAAAGACGTAGAGAGAAGAATCAAATAGACGCAATAAAAAATGATAAAGGGGATGTCACCACCAATCCCACAGAAATACAAACTACCATCAGAGAATACTACAAACACCTCTACACAAATAAACTAGAAAATCTAGAAGAAATAGATAAATTGCTCGACACATACACCCTCCCAAGACTAAACCAGGAAGAAGTTGAATCTCTGAATAGGCCAATAACAGGCTCTGAAATTGTGGCAATAATCAATAGCTTACCAACCAAAAAGAGTCCAGGACCAGATGGATTCACAGCCAAATTCTATCAGAGGTACAAGGAGGAAATGGTACCACTCCTTCTGAAACTATTCCAATCAATAGAAAAAGAGGGAATCCTCCCTAACTCATTTTATGAGGCCAGCATCATCCTGATACAAAAGCCTGGCAGAGACACAACAAAAAAAGAGAATTTTAGACCAATATCCTTGATGAACATTGATGCAAAAATCCTCAATAAAATACTGGCAAATGGAATCCAGCAGCACATCAAAAACTTATCCACCATGATCAAGTGGGCTTCATCCCTGGAATGCAAGGCTGGTTCAATATACTCAAATCAATAAATGGAATCCAGCATATAAACAGAACCAAAGACAAAAACCACATGATTATCTCAATAGATGCAGAAAAGGCCTTTGACAAAATTCAACAACGCTTCATGCTAAAACCTCTCACTAAATTAGGTATTCATGGGACATATCTCAAAATAATAAGAGCTATCTATGACAAACCCACAGCCAATATCATACTGAATGGGCAAAAACTGGAAGCATTCCCTTTGAAAACTGGCACAAGACAGGGATGCCCTCTCTCACCACTCCTATTCAACATAGTGTTGGAAGTTCTGGCCAGGGCAATCAGGCAGGAGAAGGAAATAAAGGGTATTCAATTAGGAAAAGAGGAAGTCAAATTGTCCCTGTTTGCAGATGACATGATTGTATATCTAGAAAATCCCATTGTCTCAGCCCAAAATCTCCTTAAGCTGATAAGCAACTTCAACAAAGTCTCAGGATACAAAATCAATGTACAAAAATCACAAGCATTCTTATACACCAATAACAGACAAACAGAGAGCCAAATCATGAGTGAACTCCCATTCACAATTGCTTCAAAGACAATAAAATACCTAGGAATCCAACATACAAGGGATGTGAAGGACCTCTTCAAGGAGAACTACAAACCACTGCTCAATGAAATAAAAGAGGATACAAACAAATGGAAGAACATTCCATGCTCATGGGTAGGAAGAATCAATATTGTGAAAATGGCCATACTGTCCAAGGTAATTTATAGATTCAATGCCATCCCATCAAGCTACCAATGACTTTCTTCACAGAACTGGAAAAAACTACTTTAAAGTTCATATGGAACCAAAAAAGAGCCCACATTGCCAAGTCAATCCTAAGCCAAAAGAACAAAGCTGGAGGCATCACACTACCTGACTTCAAACTATACTACAAGGCTACAGTAACCAAAACAGCATGGTACTGGTACCAAAACAGAGATATAGATCAATGGAACACAACAGAGCCCTCAGAAATAATGCCGCATATCTACAGCTATCTGATCTTTGACAAACCTGAGAAAAACAAGAAATGGGGAAAGGATTCCCTATTTAATAAATGGTGCTGGGAAAACTGGCTAGCCATATGTAGAAAGCTGAAACTGGATCCCTTCCTTACACCTTATACAAACATTAATTCAAGATGGATTAAAGACTTAAATGTTAGACCTAAAACCATAAAAACCCTAGAAGAAAACCTAGGTATTACCATTCAGGATATAGGCATGGGCAAGGACTTCATGTCTAAAACACCAAAAGCAATGGCAACAAAAGCCAAAATTGACAAATGGGATCTAATTCAACTAAAGAGCTTCTGCACAGCAAAAGAAACTACCATCAGAGTGAACAGGCAACCTACAAAATGGGAGAAAATTTTCGCAACCTACTCATCTGACAAAGGGCTAATATCCAGAATCTACAATGAACTCAAACAAATTTACAAGAAAAAAACAACCCCATCAAAAAGTGGGCGAAGGACATGAACAGACACTTCTCAAAAGAAGACATTTATGCAGCCAAAAAACACATGAAAAAATGCTCACCATCACTGGCCATCAGAGCAATGCAAATCAAAACCACAATGAGATACCATCTCACACCAGTTAGAATGGCAATCACTAAAAATCAGGAAACAACAGGTGCTGGAGAGGATGCGGAGAAATAGGAACACTTTTACACTGTTTGTGGGACCGTAAACTAGTTCAACCATTGTGGAAGTCAGTGTGGCGATTCCTCAGGGATCTAGAACTAGAAATACCATTTGACCCAGCCATCCCATTACTGCGTATATACCCAAAGGACTATAAATCATGCTGCTATAAAGACACATGCACACGTATGTTTATTCGGCACTATTCACAATAGCAAAGACTTGGAACCAACCCAAATGTCCAACAATGATAGACTGGATTAAGAAAATGTGGCACATATACACCATGGAATACTATGCAGCCATAAAAAATGATGAGTTCATGTCCTTTGTAGGGACATGGATGAAATTGAAAATCATCATTCTCAGTAAACTATCGCGAGGACAAAAAACCAAACACCGCATATTCTCACTCATAGGTGGGAATTGAACAATGAGAACACATGGACACAGGAAGGGGAACATCACACTATGGGGACTGTTGTGGGGTGGGTGGGGGTGGAGGGATAGCATTAGGAGATATACCTAATGCTAAATGACGAGTTAATGGGTGCAGCACACCAGCATGGCACATGTATATGTATGTAACTAACCTGCACATTGTGCACATGTACCCTAAAACTTAAAGTATAATAATAATAAAATAAAATAAAAAAATAAACAAAACAAAAAAGACCAAAAAGAAAAAAAAAAAAGAAAAGAAAAAAGACGCAAATCGAAACCACAATGAGCTACCATCTCATGCTAGGCAGAATGGTGTTTATTAAAAAGTCAAAAAATAGTAGATACTGTCAAGGCTGTGGAGAAATGGAAATGCTTTTACACTGTTGGTGGGAGTGTAATTTAGTTCTACCACTGTGGAAGACAGTGTGGTAATGCCTCAAGGGTCTAGAACCAGAAATACCATTTGACCCAGCAATCCCACTACTGGGTATATACCCAAAGGAATAGAAATCATTCTGCTATGAAGACACATGCACATTGTATGTTTATTGCAACACTATTTACAATAGCAAAGTAATGGAACCAACCCAAATGCCCATCAATAATAGACTAGATAAAGGAAATGTGGCACATATGCATCATGGAATACTATGCAGCCACAAAAAAGAATGAGATCACGTCCTTTACAGGGACATGGATGAAGCTGGAAGTCATCATCCTCAGCAAACTAAAACAGGAACAGAAAGCCAAACACCACGTGTTCTCACTTATAAGTGGAAGTTGAAAAATGACTACACATTGACACAGGGAGGGGAACAACACACACCAGGGCCTGTTGAGGGGTGGGGAGCGAGGGGAGGGAACTTAGAGGATGGGTCAATAGGTGCAGCAAACCACCATGGCACACTTATACCTATGTAAAACCTGCACGTTCTGCACATGTATCCTGGAACTTAAAATAAAATAAAGAAAAAAAAAAAAGAAACCCAGAAAAAATAACGGCCAATTGTCAGTAAATTAGAAATGCTTGGTTAACTTGGCAGATATTAAAAGAAGGAAAAAAAGCTTGAGTAAAGTGGGCATGTTGGATTGGATATATATAATGTAAAGCCAGACGAGCCATGAAAGGATTATGTCCCAGGAGAGGCTCAGAGGAAATACATTCACTAAAGCCATTAGGAATGTGCTGGTGAGAGAGAGGTACTTCAGGGATGAAGTAGGATAGGCAGGCACAGACAGAGCTGGGCTTATTTCGTGAACTGATGACTTATGGGGCCCATCAATAGTAGAGGCTGGTGGTGGTGGAAAACCATCAGAAGCCAGGAGGCCACAATTACTGTAAAACTGGTGAGCTCAAAGGGAATTGTGGAGATGATGAATAACATATGGTGTCCCAGGGGCAAATAAGCCTGCTGCTTAACATTGATGGTGGGGGCAGAGAGAAAGCGAGAGTGAGAGCGAGAGAGAGAGAGAGAGAGAGAGAGAGAGAGAGAGAGAGAGAGAGAGAGAGAGAGGACAAATGATGGAGGAGAAAGAGGCTGAAAAGTTGTCCCGCCCAATAAAAAAAAAAATCCCTTTCTCTGTCCCCAGACATAAATCAATTTTCTTTTTTTTTTTTTGTTTTGAGATGGAGTCTCACTCTGTCACCCAGGCTGGAGTGCAATGGTGTGATCTCGGCTTGCTGCAATCTCCGCCTCTCGGGTTCAAGCTATTCTCCTGCCTCAGCCTCCCAAGTAGCTGGGATTACAGGCGTGCACCACCACACCTGGCTAATTTTTGTATTTTTAGCAGAGACGGGGTTTTACCATGTTGACCAGCTGGTCTTGAACTCCTGACCTCAGGTGATCTGCCCACCTCGGCCTCCCAGACAGCTGGGATTACAGGCGTGAGCCACTATGCCCAGCCCATCAGTCAATTTTCAAGTCTGGAACCCACTGGCTGAAGAGGTGACTGGGTGCCTAAGAGGAGACCCTCTTGAATTCTATGACATTTATATGCCATGACAATCCCCTCATCTTTCCCCAAAAGGAATTACATGTACTTGGGAAATAGTACACTGGATAAAGGGGAATAGCAGAATATTTGAGGACTATTGGACTCAAGGTCTGAGTTGACATTGATAGCCAGAGACCCGAAGTATCATCATGGCCTCCTGTTGAGGTGGGGTTATGGAGGACAGGTAATAAATGAAGATCTAACTAAAATCCATGTCACAGTGAGTCCGCTTGTCCCAATGACCCACTCAGTGGTCATTTTTCCAGTCCCCAAGTGTGTAATCAGAATTGACATACCAGGAAATTGAATTCTCACATTGGCTCTGTGGAGAAAAACCTATTACAATAGGGGAGGCTAAAGAGAAAACTTTGAAATTCCCTCTCCCTAACCCCCAGCCAAGATAGTAAATCAAAACAATATTTTATCCCAGTGGACATGGTAGAGTTAAGTGGCACTATTAAAGAGCTAGATGATACAGGGGTAATGATCTCTGTCACATACCAATTTAATGCCACTCTGGCCCCTGCAGCAGCCAGATTGAGCCAGGAAAACGGCTGTAGACTAATGCAGGCTAAACAAGTAGTAGCCATGATTGCAGCTGCTGCACCAGATTTGGCACTGTTGCTAAAACAGATCAACAAGACCTCAGGTACATGGATGTAGCCAATGATTTGGCAAATGTTTTATTTTTCATTCTAATGATAAAAGGAAATCAGAAACAGTTCGCATTTGTATGCGTCAGATGACAATATTCATTTGTAGAAGGAGGAAGAAGTTCAAGTTTGAATTATCAGTGTATTGGGTAGGTAGTGAGTGCCAGCCAGAAGTAGAATATAACTATATTACTGTCTCTCTACAGACAGTAGAGGCAGCAAAGCTTCTCAATGGAAAAACAAA
This sequence comes from Homo sapiens, assembly GCF_000001405.40. Taxonomy (NCBI): domain Eukaryota; kingdom Metazoa; phylum Chordata; class Mammalia; order Primates; family Hominidae; genus Homo; species Homo sapiens. Next base: position 77,028,049 of record NC_000008.11, read on the forward strand.
CAAACAACAAACAAAAACAAACTAATGTACTTGGTAGTCTACTTTGTGTGGAAGGAGAAATAGCCTGAGGTGAGAATATTCATAGATTCCCAGCCAGCAGAGTGGCCAGCGGCCAGGTGATCTTCAGGGGTCTGGAAGGAAAATGACTGAAAGGTTGGAGATAAGGAGACCTGGAGGAGAGGCATGTGGATAAATGTATGGGAGTGTGAACAAAGTGCAAATTGTTATTTATCCTTAATGACCACCAGAAGGTACCGATCACGGAAGAGGCACTAGGAAACCAAGCACAGAAAATAACTTGACCAGGGCCGGGCGCCGTGGCTCACGCCTGTAATCCCAGCACTTTGGGAGGCTGAGGCGGGTGGATCACCCGAGGTCAGGAGTTTGAGATCAGCCTGGCCAACATGGCGAAACCCTGTCTTTACTAAAAATACAAAAATTAGCCGGGAGTGGTGGCAAGCACCTATAATCCCAGCTATTTGGGAGGCTGAGGCGGGAGAATCGCTTGAACCTAGAAGGTGGTGGTTGCAGTGAGCCGAGATCGTGCCACTGCACTCCAGCCTGGGCTACAGAGCGAGACTCTGCCTCAAAAAAAAAAAATAAATAAATAACTTGACCAAGTGATATGAGCCAATGCCGGCCACCCTAGAACTGACATGGTGGGCACATGAATGAAGCAGCCACAGAGGGAGAGACAGAGGCTATTTATGGGACCAACAGTGTGGACTCCCACTTTGGCCCAAGGACAAAACCACTCCTCAGTGGGTTTGCTAGTGAATGGCAGTCTAGAATGCTTCCACCTAACCTTCTTTTCTCTTCTTCAGTCAGGGACAGACTTGTATCATTGTCTGACAGACTCTCAGAGCCTTATCCGGCTCCCTTCCAATTCCCTTCCACATAGGAATTTTCCCTAATAAAATCATTTCATGTTTGTTTCTGTCCTGGAATCTGCTTCTTGCAGACCTTGTCTTACATAGTTGCCTACCCTAGGAATGCAGAAATGTCCTTTGATTAGGCTCCAGTTCTATTCCCTGAAAGTAGTTCCCTTCTCTTCTGTTTTCTGTGACCTTTAGCTCTGATTTTCTTCTGCATCAGGCTCCATGACCACACTTGAAGAGGGCATGGGAGACTGAGTACTGAGTAGCTTTCTTTTCTTTCTTTTTTTTTTTTTTTGAGACACAGTCTCGTTCTTGTCCCACAGTCTGGAGTGCAACGGTGCGATCTCAGCTCACTGCAACCTCCGCCTCCCGGGTTCAAGTGATTCTCCTGCCTCAGCCTCCTGAGTAGCTGGGATTACAGGTGCGTACCACCACGCCCAGCTAATTTTTTGTATTTTAAGTAGAGACAGGGTTTCATCCTGTTGGCCAGGCTGGTCTCGAACTCCTGACCTCAGCTGATCCACCTGCCTCGGCCTCCCAAAGTGCTGGGATTACAGGCGTGAGCCACCACACCTGGTCCTCAGTAGCTTTCTTAGCGCCTGCTTTCTGCTTCTGAATGTTAGGAGTCCAAAGGACATATTAAGTAACAAATGACCACAATCTCTTTTTCTTCAGGTAGGTGATAGTACAGTTCTCTCAAAACAGTTTTGTATCTAACTCTGGTTAGCACAATTTGCCAATTGTACACTCATGATTCTTTTTGAAAGATATCCCTCTCTCTACACTTAATTGTTGGTAACTTTAAAGTCCAATCATCTGTGAAAGAGCCACTTCTTCAGATGTCTTTCATTGAGCTATTTTGACCAATGGAAAAATTTTACTTCATTCTGCTGTAGAATATTTACTCACATAATACTACACTGACCCTTTTCCAGTTTGCCTGTTTGCTCAGTTTTTGTTTTCTAGAATCCTCATGCTTCTTTTAGGCTTCATCTTCCCTCTTGAAGTGTTGTTACTTGGCCATGTTTTCTATATTAGAAACACCATGTTTCAGACAATGCTGTTAATTGAACCTTCACACACTTCCTGGATTCCAAATCTTCATTTTCCCTCTCATGCTTTTTCAAAATTTCCACAAACAAGCCAGAGATCTGTGCCAGTTCCACACTTTCCCCCATTTTCTTCAGTTCCCTGTGCTTGAAACTCACTCATTTGTTTTTTCACTTCTACTACAACAAATAGAAAAGAAGAACAAGGACCATATCTGTAGACACTTTAATATGTAAGTATCAAGGAGAAAAAGAAGAACCAAGTGAAACTGAGAAGGACCAACCAACAAAGGAGGGGAAAACCAAGAAAGTGGGGTATCCTAGATGCCAAGTGGAGAAATAGCAATTGTCCTCAATGCAGTTAAGGATATCTCATTTATCATGAGATGAAGACTGGATATTGACCATTTGGTTTAGCCACACAGGTCACTGGTGACTTGGGGTAGAGTGGTTTGGGTGGAGTGATAAGATTGGTGCCTAACTGCAATGGGTTGAAGAGGAGATGGAATCTGTGTCTTGTTTCTTCATTAGGTAAATAAATTTCTCCCCCTCTCCCTGTTTCTTCAGTTCTGCATCTCTGCCAATCATCTCAGTCAAAATTGAACCATCCAAGTAGCTAGAGCTGCAAAGGATGTTTCCTTAGAAAGTGGGAGAGATGGGGTTATTATATCTATTTTAATATGTTGTCTTCATCTCATTCATTGGTCTGATCTGCTTGTAGAACCCCTGAAACCATGATTGTATTTTACCTCACCACTTAGCTTCAAGGTTAGCACTAAGTAGTTTAATTTTGGAGACAGTTTTCTTACCCTTCTAATTCAGAGTGTTTTTCTTCCTATCAAATCAAATTCCAGCTGGGACTAGGATTTAAGGGGCTGAAATTATCAGGTTTTGTTTCAAGGCAGTTGGAAAAAAAATAGAGTTGATGGGAGTCTTGGGTTCTATCCCTGATTCTAAAATAATTACGTGATTCAGTCAAGTTCTTAGTTGTAAGGGTATCTGGGCAAATTACTAAGAAAATGTTAGCTCTGAAGTGAGAGAGTCTTTCTGGTTTCCCATATCCATAAAAGTCAATGCCTTATTGCCCTCAGCTCTTCACACAATTTTTAAAAAATCAACATATTCTTCCCAAATGTCTGAGGCGTTAGATAATATTATTCATGTTTTAGAGATTTGGAAATGGAAGCTAAGAGAGTGTAGGTGATTTACCATGTTTTAAAGTTGATAAGAAGGAGAACAATTTATGATTGTAAGCCATGAAGCCAAATGGCCTATGTCTGCAATCATGGCTCTGTAACTTACTAGCTGTGTGACCTTGGACAGTGACCTAAATCCTGAGACTCAGTTAATTTAACAGTGGAACGGGGCTAAGGCCAGCATTTGCCTATGGATTGTTGGGGACATTAACTGTGATAATCCAGGTAAAATGCTTCAATATTCCTCAGCATGCAGTATGTCTTCAATAAGTATTAACTCAGAATGAAATGTATTTCCTTTTCTCTTTAGTATCGGATCTGCCACTTGCATCTGAAGTATATACCAATTGACTATCTGGTCTTTTAAACCCCATTTTTATTTTGGAACTCTACTTGTTGGATTATCTGACAAACTAAAACAGTTTTTAAGGAACAAATTAGTATAAAAGTAAGAGGAATTTTATCATTTTCTATCAATTTCCAATACCAAAACTAACAAATTGAGGCAGCTCAAATTTGAAAATGTGTAGAGAGGAAGATCACCACTAAATCACTTCATTTATTTTCTCTTTCAAAAATATATATTTGAAAAAAGGAAAATTGCATTAGAAAAAGGGCTGTTACCCTACTACATTTCCCCCAGTGATTGATTGCATTTTCTCCCAGGAATTGAAGAAAAGGAGAAGAGAATATAAGGGATGATTGCATCAAAAGTGTGACACGAATAAAAGAATCAAGAAATCACATATGTCTGCACAGAAGTTAACTAATAAATCAAAAGCATGTTCTTAGCTAAGTCAGATGTTTCTTTGAAACAGCATATGGTGCAATTCCAATATACTCTATATTCAGCTACCTAACAAGCTGTCTTGTTGCTTTCAACTAGTGAAAAATATGGCAGCACAAATGTTTATAAGGCTGGTAAAATATTTTAACTTTATTTTATGCCCTGATTAGCTATTGCTGGCCTGGCAATTACATTGTAAAACCTAAAATCATAAATGAAGAAAATAACCTGTTGGCAGGAGTGAACACTAATTGTTACAACGTCCTATATTAAACCTGTTCATAGTTTCTTTTTAGTAGTTATTTTGATGTAAAATTTAACAAGTTTTCTTTTATGCCATATCAAGACTGTATTTTAAAAAGTTGTGGATTTAAATTTCTGCATCATTTGTAGAATTGAGTCATAAAATTAACATTTTCATCATAGTTTTAACCAAATCAAATCCTCATGATGGAATCATGCCTTAATCAGGAAAGAATGAAGATTATAACCCTTAAAAATATTATGATGGTAGTATCTTGCTATAAAGGATAAATAAATCCTAGTATAATTGAAGAAAAGTAGTTCACATGGAGTTTTACACTTTGAGATACTAAGAAGTTTGTGACCATGTGAAGGTTACACTTTGAAATACTAAAAAGTTTGTGACTATGTGAAGGTGGCTGTGGGTGGATGTAACTTTGTAACCAAAGGAGAAACTACTATAATTAATTGACAATAGTAGGAGAAATAATTTTCAGTGAATCATTATGCTCTCTGTTTTTTTCAGGATTATCTTTAATTGCCATTATATTATAAGGTTAATGGGAGTCAATGTCAAATCTGAAAACTGTATTATACCCCCATACACACCTTGACCCAAAAATGCAACCACTCATGTTTTTTGGTCATTGATAACAAGTGGAACAGTCTTGTACAGTAAATTGTTGAGCCCTGTATTTTATAAGACCCAAAAAAGAAGGAGAGTTGGAGGACATCAGTGAAAGGGTAATTTTGGAATAGAAAAGTGATAAGGGAGACATTGGTATAATTTTATATCCAGCTTTTTTACTCTCTCTACATGTGTAAATATGCAAGTTATTATGAATGAATACTCAAGACCACATTCAGCAGCATCCATGGAGCACATGAGAAGTAAGAGTGAACTCTTTCCTACCTGTGTAGATACTTAAGTGTTCTGCGAGGGCCCTACCAATACTTTGCCAGGATTCTGAAAGCCATGTTTTTCTGCTTATTTCTTCTTATCATTAGCCTTACTCATTATTCCCCAAGGCCACTAATTCTGTGTTTATGTCTGTTCACAGCATATAGCTAACATTAGTAGCTTATGAGAGCATGGTGCTGTCAGTAACAGCAAAACAACTAATGGAAATGTTATGCGAAAGCTCCAAATGGTCAGATGTTGGTGGGACTGGTCATATGTTGTAGAAGGTATTACTTGTGTGATTTTTCTTCCCCTCAGTTTCCTAAATAATGTATTTGAAAGAAAAGAAGAAAGAAAATGGCACCAGTGAAGTGTTTGCTCTGTGGTAGGTACTTGGCACACATCATCACAATCATTTTCCCAGTGATCCAAGCCCAAGACCAATTCTGTTCAACGTTGAAAAATAATTAAAAGACTTGGCACAATAACTTGCTGACTCAGCATCAGGCCATCCACCTGAATGGCCTTGCCAATTGCTTGTGCTCCACTTGTAATAACTGGTGTTGTCAAGCCTTTGACTAAAAATGTGGCCTTTCCCTGGATCCTACTTAATTTCTCCATAACTTATCCTTGTCCTTGAATCTTATCCAGCTTTACCTAATACCAAACTCCTGAAGGCCTTTGCAACTTTTTCTGTTTGCATGTACAGACTTCTTGTTGCTTGCAGCTGCTTTCTACTGGTAGTTGGGTTCCATCTTCAGGAGCTGCTGCTCCAGGCTGGGTTGTCTGGCTGCTTGCATTTCTTTGTTTGCTGTAATTCCCTAACATGCCACATGTGGATTCAGAATTACTCTGCCTACTTTGGGATCCATCCCTAGTAGCCTCCTCTTTTTATTCTTGTCAGCCTAACTTTACTGTCTGACCTTTGCTGTGTGCTATGGTTCTTTGATTATAAGAACAAGGAAGGACAGTATGTGCCGAGGGACTGGAAACACGACAGTGGTGAAAAATCTGAACTTTGGAGTTTTCTCTGCTTTGGAACTGTCCTGGAGAGATTCTTCCATTTCTATTTTTCCTTTCTAATTGTATGGAGAAGGGATTTGTTAAGCCTTGATTAATTCGAAGCTAGTGGGTATGTCATCTCACAGGTAGTGATTTTGGCAGCTATTTTGAGTTTATTCACATGTCAGTAGCTGTAATTGTAAGCTTCTTTCTTGTTAATTCCTGGAGTTGCCTGTCTTCTTCCCCTGCTGTAAAATTTTGTCCCTCTCTGAAACAGAACACATTTTTCCCTGATATGCAAAGCACAGTCATTAATTTCTCACTTAGTGATGATTCATTAATCATAGAAGGGCATGTAAGCTTCAGTAAAAGCAACTCCTTTAATGTAATTTAACGAACATTTATTGAGTGTTTAATGTGCAAAGCAAAGCGCAAAGCATGAGACCAAAGAGACCCAGTTTGGGTGATATGTAAATTATGTTTCATCAGGATAAGTGTTTAATAAACTTTTCTGAATCGAATCTAATTGGCAGAGACTTTATTAGGGCTTTCAGTTTAGATAATAAGTTCTAAGATAAACTGCTTAGTAATACACTTAAAAGAAACATATTCAGAATGTTTCCATAGAGAATAAATAACTATTTTGGGAAGTAACTAATCTATAGTTCATATTCCACTAAAAACAGTGTCTAGTCAATATTAAAACCTGCAAAAAACCACTGGCTGTGCTTTCCTTGTGTGCTCTGTTTCTTCTTTGTAGTTTCCAGTATGTAGGAATAATACAGGGCTATAATCAGAAACACAGAGATGAAATGATATTTGAGCAAAACTAAGATACAGTGTGAAGTGGTTATTTTATTTAAATATATGTTAAATCACAGAATCATGAAACGTTAGGAAAGATGACAACCTGGGGATCAATCCAATTTCAATCATTTTACAGGTAAGGAGGCTCAGATCCAGGGAGAAGACGTGATTTGCCTACAGTTGCACAACTAGCTGGAATTAGAAACCAGCTTGTGGTTTATATCTGAAGTTGTTAAACATGACTCTTTGGATGGTAAGAAATGGAAAACAGTTCAAGCTAACTTTTGGAAAATTTGGGGTCACACCATTAAGAAGTCAGTGAATTGCAGTCATGGCTTGATCTAGGGGTATCAATGTTTGTAGTTTCATTCACTTCTCTCTCTCTCCATCTTCAGAATTGACTTCTTTCTCTAGTGGCCTTATTTACTCCTACTGGGGACAGGCTTCACTCAAAACAACAAAAACAATGGTTTCAAAGCCTAGTAAATTAGAAAAAAGGTTAATTTTTTTAAGTTTCATATAATTAAAAATAATATAGTTGAAACTTGACTTAATACTAACGACTTAATACTTTTGGAATGTTGCAAAAAAGTGGGAGGTATTGATGAGGAAATTGTTTACTATATTGGATGTTATTGCAAACATTGAGTAATTTTTGTCAGCATACTATACTCTCCTCTTTCCATAACCTTCCCCCAATGCTTCAAACATATCCACTAATAATTAGCAAACCCACCTTTCGTACTCTGTCTTCACCCCTCTTATTGTCAACTGTAAAAATCCAGATAAACAGCATAAAAATCATATATTATATATATATATATCCATAGGTGTTTGGGAAATGGGAGGTATTTGGTTACATAAGATTTTTAGTGGTTATTTGTGAGATTTTGATGCACTCATCACCTGAGCAGTATATGCTGAACACAATTTGTAACCTTTTATCACTCACTCCTTTCCCAACCCTTTCCCGTGAGTCCCTAAAGTCCATTGTATCATTCTTATGCCTTTGCATCCTCATAGCTTAGCTCCCACTTATGAGTGAGAGCATATGATGTTTGGTTTTTCATTCCTGAGTTACTTCACTTAGAATAATAGTCTCCAATCCCATCCAGGTTGCTGTAAATGCTGTTAACTCATTACTTTTTATGGCTGACTAGTATTCCATCATATATATATATACATATATATGTATATATATTGCAGTTTATCTGCTTGATTGATAGGCATTTGGGCTGCTTCCATAGTTTTGCAATTGCAAATTGTGCTGCTATAAACATGCATGCACAAGTATCTTTTTCTGATAATGACCTATTTTCTTCTGGGTAGGTACTGGGATTGCTGGATCAAATGGTATTTCTACTTTTCGTTCTTTAAGTAATCTCCACACTGTTTTCCATACTGGTCGTACTAATTTACATTCCCACCATCAGTGTAGAAGTGTTCCCTTTTCACCGCATCCACACCAACATCTATTATTTTTTGATTTTTTGATTATGGCCATTCTTTCAGGAGTAAGGTGGTATGCGATCATCTCAATAGATGCAGAAAAAGCATTTGACAAAATCCAGCATCCCTTTTTGATTAAAACCCTCAGCAAAATTTGAATACAGGGGACATACATCAATGTAATAAAAATCATCTATGAGAAACCCACACCAACCTAGTACTGAATGGAGAAAAGTTGAAAGGATTCCTTCTGAGAAGTGAAACAAGACAATAATGCCCACTCTCACCACTTCTATTCAACATAGTACTGGAAGTCCTAGCCAGAGCAGTCAGACAAGAGAAAGAAATAAAGGCATCCAAATTGGTAAAGAGGGAGTGAAACTGTCACCGTTTGCTAATGATATGATTGTATACCCAGAAAACCCTCAAGACTCCTCTGAAAAGCTCCTAGAACTGATAAATAAAGTCAGCAAAGTTTCAGGATACAAACTTAATTTACACAAATCAGTAGCTCTGTTATACACCAACAGCGACCAAGCTGAGAATGAAATTAAGAACACAACCCCTTTTACAATAGCTGCAAAAAAAAAAACATAAAAAAATACTTAGGAATATACCTAACCAAGGAGGTGAAAGACCTCTACAAGTAAAACTACAAAGCACTTCCAAAAGAAATTATAGACTACACAAACAAATGGAAACATCTTCCATGGTCATGGATGGATAGAATCAATATTGTGAAAATGACTATACTGCCAAAAGCAATCTCCAAATTCAATGCAATTCCCATCAAAATACCACAGTTATTCTTCACAGAACTAGAAAAATAATCCTAAAATTCATTTGGAACCAAAAAAGAGCTCCCACAGCAAAAGAAAGCTAAGCAAAGAGAATAAATCTGGAGGCATCACATTATGTGATTTCAAACTATACTATAAGGCCATAGGCACCAAAACAGTATGGTACCAATATAAAAATAGGCACATAGACCAATGGAACAGCATAGAGAACCCAGAAATACAGCCAAATACTTACAGCCAACTGATCTTTGACAAAGTAAACAAAAATATAAAGTTGGGAAAGACACCGTATTCAACAAATGGTGCTGGGATAATTGGCAAGCCACATGTAGGAGAATGAAACTGAATCCTCATCTCTTACTTTATACTAAAATCAACTCAAGAAGGATCAAGGACTTAAATCTAAGACCTGAAACTATAAAAATTCTAGAAGATAACATCGGAAAAACCCTTCTAGACATTGGCTTAGGTAAAGATCTCATGACCAAGAGCCCAAAAGCAAATGCAACAAAAACAAAGATAAATAAGTAGGACTTAATTAAACTAAACAGTAAGCAGAGTAAACAGACAACCCACAGAGTGGGAGAAATCTTCACAATCTATACATCTGACAAAAAGACTAATATCCAGAATATACAAGGGAATCAAACAAATTAATGAGAAAATAATAAACAATCCCTTCAAAAAGTGGGCTAAGGACATTAATAGACAATTCTCAAAAGAAGATATGCTAATGACCAACAAACATAAGAAAAAATGCTGAACAGCACTAATGATAAATGAAATGCAAAGAAAAATATCTTATTAAAAAAAGGTTCACAGCCTGGGCAACATAGTGAGACCTTGTCTCTTAAAAAAAAAAAAAAAGCCAGGCGTGGTGGCACATGCCTGTAGTCTCAGCTAGTCTCGAAACTGAGGTGGGAGGATCACATGAACCTGGGAAGAAGCAGCTGCAGTGACCTGTGATAGCATCACCACACCCCAGCCTGGGTGACAGAGAAAGAAACCACGTCAAAAAAAAATTGTTTAGGTGCCTTTATATTTATTTGATTCTGGTTTATGTTCATGCTAATTATATTGTAATAAATATTATTGAGTTAATAAAGTAATGGGTAATTTGCTTAGAACTTTCCTACATACATTAAAAGCACTATTAGTTTTTTTTTAAATAAAGAAGTAAAAACGTTTTGAAAGTTCGTCTTCTTTAATGTGATTATTTTGTGCCTGTGCATGATCAAATTCAGTCATTATAGTTCAAGGCGTTACATACTCATTGAACACTTATAAAGTTCTTTTTAGAATGAGTTGTCAAATAAATGAGAACATACAGATATATGTTGACTCGCACATTTATAAACAAACAAACATCTGACCTGGAGGCAAAGAAAACTAACAGTTCTCAACCACTTCTAGTCTTTATTGCTAATTAATAATTCTACCTTTATAATGTAGATGTTATTCCGAGGTAAATTATTAAGTAATTAGCCTACTATAATATTAAGGGGGGAAGCTCAGTCTGATAGTGTAGACTTACTTAAACTTCTAAGTCTCCATCCTCATTGGAAAACTAGTGATAGTAATAGGATCTAAATATGTGCCAGACAGAAAGAAAACACCCACATTTGATTGCAAATCCCAACCTGCTTTCTTTCATTCTTATTTTGTATACCTCAAGCTGGAGCATGCAAACCACTGTATTTCTCCCCACTCACACACACATTTATGCACAAGGGAATGTGGCAGTTTGTCATAAGTGACAAGTCAAAAGATAAATAAAGCAAATCATACTCCAGCACATTTACATACAAAAGTTTCTGAAGAAAGTTAAATAATTTAACTACCAAATAATGTACAGTGTTTTAAAGATCAAAAGAAGCATAGATATATTATAGCTCCCTATTTCCCTAGTTCCTATGATTCATTTGAATATTCTAGCCAGACCTTAGAAGCTCAATTCTGTGAGTTCATCATTTTCAGTTATCTTCGTTCTTATTACCATGGTCATCTCACTCCATAGAAATATTCTGGATCTGAAGGAATTTTGAATTCCTTTGCCACTGAGAGATTAAGTTATAATATCTTATTCTTAGCACAATGTCTTAGTTTCCTAACTCATTCTTTGAGAGCTCTGTGTCTAGAAATCTGTTCTTTCTTCCTATTACTCTCTTTTCTTTCTAGCCTCTGGATGAGGCTTATTTTTTCTCAGAGTAGACTCTGTTAATGTCTCCAGTTCTCTTCACCTGTTATCTGCTACTGTCTGTGTGCTGTGACCTTCAATCTTTCTCCATCTACCCAAACTCTATATTCCACTAGAACTAAAAGTACTGGAAGTTCCATGAATGTGCCCTGCTGGTATGAGTTTTTGTTCCTTTGCTTGTGCCACTCTGTACTTGAAATGCCTGTCATACAAAGGTACATTTAATTTTAAAGTCTTTTGGTGAAAAATTTCTGTGAAAACTTTCCCCCTAGATTAAATATATTACTCATTTATTTGGTGCCCCACAGTGATCTGTATCCATTACGGCACAGCACACATTACACTTGTTTCCATTTTTTTGATGTTTATGTCTGCCTTCCATGGCTGTTTAATTTCTGTGGGCTCAGCATCAGTGTAGTGCCTAACATATAGCAGTCAGTTAATAAGTATTTATTGGATACATTTTTTAAATGAATTAAGCAAGGAGAAATGCTATTTCCCTGGAAAAAATACAGTTTTTATTTTTCCAATAGTAAGGCATATGCAACTTTCACCGTCCCTGCCCTCTTTTCTCTGGCAACTGGGAAGGAAGGGGCACGTGTGAGAACAAAAGTTATTAGCTATGTTGACCCTCATTGTTGGTAATTTGAATTCTCTATTTTCTCCTATCAAGAGATTTGCATTATTAATTTTAGATTATGTGATTTTTAAAAACAAGTTATACACAAGTGTGTGTGTGTGTGTGTGTGCATGTGTGTGCAGAAAGAGGTGGATAAAGTATTTCAATAGGTACTATTTCAGAAAATAATATTTTTCTTGATACTTTCTGATGCTTATAAATGTACTAGATTATTAAATTTTTTCAATATGCTATAAAATACATTTCTAAGATTACTATTTTATATGGAAGAAGATTTTCATATTAAAAAAGAGTATTGCAGCACCAATAAGGTAATTTTACTATTTTAAAATGTATGATTAAAATAAATGCACTGAAATATAAATATCTCAAATAAATATAATACTTAATTCCGTAAACTTTAATTTTCTTGCTGTCAACATTACCTATGGCTCCTGAAAATGTCCAGTCAAATATTTAGAATGAAATGCACAAATAGTATTGTAATAGACAAAGAAGCTCAAGGTCTATGATGTAGATTTTGGGGAAATTTAGGGAAAAACATTGAAATATGTGAATTCATTTTCACATAGAAAAAATAAGTAGAAAAACATACCAAGCCAATCACTTAAGTCTGAAAGTTTAGTACATTTGGTTTTCACATCAGAGATAGCTAGCTAATTATGTCAAATGTTGGTATATATTTTAAAGTTTTATGAATAGTAATGAAACAGGTCTATGATCTAATCCATCATAGTTAGGCATATCAACTGTATAATTTGCAGTATGTTAATCTAATAAAATATATTGTATGTATGTATAAATTTTGGAAACTCTTAGAATGAGTGAATTCATGGTTTATTATATAATTCACATTTACTATAAACAGAGTAGAATTGATATTAGTACTATTGATATATTTTGGACAGTTAGCAGTGGTGTGCTGGTAAATGTTTAGTAATTTGCTCTCTGAGGGAAAAATTCCTAATCTGTAATACTTGCCAGTTTCTGTGGTGTAAATGCATCTACCCCAGCCAATTTCAAGTACTAATGTGAGGCCGCTGAATGCAGAATTAGGATTCTGCATTCATAATTAGGAATGTGCATTCCGCTGAATGCTTCAGCACAGGAGTCATCTCTTGCGAGCTCCATAAGCCAGCTCCAGAATACTGCCAAATTCTTATGCTTCTGGAGATATCTAGTAGCAGCTCACTGTTTTGATTTAGATACTTGTAATAAAGTGATGAAAGAAGCCATTGTATATGTGGGACAGATTACCCTGAAAAGCTGTACTCAAGGATACATTTTCTTTCTCTGAATTTCCTTTAGCGATTATAGTCAATGAAATTTAAGTTATCTATCTATCTATCTATCTATCATTTTGCTAATTAGGTATGAGGCAGTAGTAATTTTCTAAGAAATACATAGAAATTTTTGAATGTGAGAAGGCTTTATATACATCCTTTGTGTTGTCTGGGCTGCTTGAGCATAGCTTTTTAATTGGGGCCTATCATTTGTTTGCTTTGATAGGTCTCAGAGAATGAGAAAATATTAATTTCTAAGCATGTTCTGTTTGAATGCACACTATCATTGATAAGACATAGTGACACATTAGTACTTACTTTTCTTTATTCAGATTTTAAAAATTTTTCCAGGATCCTCCCACCTAACCCTCCTGAGTAGCTGGGACTTTCAGGCATGTGCCATCATACGCAGCTAATTTTTTGTATTTTTGGTAGAGATGGGTTTCACCATGTTTCCCAGGCTGGTCTTGAACTCTTGATCTCAAGTGATTCACACACCTCGGCCTCCCAGAGGGCTGGGATTGCAGATGTCAGCTGCTGTACTTGGCCTCAATGCTGTTAATTTTTTTTATATATGGGGTGGTTCCAAGATGGCCAAATAGGAACAGCTGCAGTCTACAGCTCCCAGCGTGAACAACGCAGAAGACGGATGATTTCTGCATTTCAAACTGAGGTGACCAGTTCATCTCACAGGGGATTGTTAGACAGTGGGTGCAGGACAGTAGGTGCAGTGCACCGAGTGTGAGCCGAAGCAGGGTGAGGCATCGCCTCACCCGGGAAGCACAAGGGGTCAGGGAATTCCTTTTCATAGCCAAGGAAAGGGGTGACAGACGGCACCTGGAAAATTGGGTCACTCCCACCCTAATACTGCACTTTTCCAATGGTCTTAGCAAATGGCACACCAGGAGATTATATCCCGTGCATGGCTCGGAGGGTCCTATGCCCATGGGAGCTTCCCTCATTCCTAGCACAGCAGTCTGAGATCAAACTGCAAGGTGGCAGTGAGGCTGGGGGAGGGGCGCCCATCATTGCTGAGGCTTGAGCAGGTAAACAAAGCGGCCAGGAAGCTTGAACTGGGTGGAGCCCACCACAGCTCAAGGAGGCCTGCCTGCCTCTGTAGACTCCACCTCTGGGGGCAGGACATAGCCAAACAAAAGGCAGCAGAAACCTCTGCAGACTTAAATGTCCCTGTCTGACAGATTGGAAGACAGTAGTGGTTCTCCCAGCACACAGCTTGAGATCTAAGAATGGGCAGACTGACTCCTCAAGTGGGTCCCTGACCCCCAAGTAGCTTAACTGGGAGGCACCCCCCAGTAGGGGCAGACTGACACCTCACATGGCCAGGTACCCCTCTGAGACAAAACTTCCAGAGGAATGATCAGGCAGCAACATTTGCTGTTCACCAATATTCACTGTTCTGCAGCCTCTGCTGCTGATACCCAGGCAAACAGGGTCTGGAGTGGACCTCCGGCAAACTCCAACAGACCTGCAGCTGAGGGTCCTGACTGTTAGAAGGAAAACTAACAAACAGAAAGGACATCCACACCAAAACCCCATCTGTACATCACCATCATCAAAGACCAAAGGTAGATAAAACCACAAAGGTGGGGAAAAAACAGAGGAGAAAAACTGAAAATTCTAAAAATCAGAGTGCCTGTCCTCCACCAAAGGAATGCAGCTCCTCACCAGTAATGGAACAAAGCTGGATGGAGAATGACTTTGACAAGTTGAGAGAATAAGGCTTCAGATGATCAAACTTCTCCGAGCTAAAGGAGGAAGTTCGAACCCATGGCAAAGAATTTAAAAACCTTGAAAAAAGAGTAGATGAATGGCTAACTAGAATAACCAATGCAGAGAAGTCCTTAAAGGACCTGATGGAGCTGAAAACCATGGCACAAGAACTACATGATGAATCTGCAAGCTTCAGTAGCTGATTTGATCAACTGGAAGAAAGAGTATCAGTGATGGAAGATCAAATGAATGAAATCAAGCAAGAAGAGAAGTTTAGAGAAAAAAGAATAAAAAGAAATGAACAAAGCCTCCAAGAAATATGGGAATATGTGAAAAGACCAAATCTATGTCTGATTGGTGTACCTGAAAGTGACGGGGAGAATGGAACCAAGTTGGAAAACACTCTGCAGGATATCATCCAGGAGAACTTCCCCAACCTAGCAAGGCAGGCCAGCATTCAAATTCAGGAAATACAGAGAACGCCACAAAGATACTCCTTGAGAAGAGCAACTCCAAGACACATAATTGTCAGATTCACCAAAGTTGAAATGAAGGAAAAAATGTTAAGGGCAACCAGAGAGAAAGGTCAGGTTATCCACAAAGGGAAGCCCATCAGACTAACAGCTGATCTCTTAGTAGAAACTCTACAAGCAAGAAGAGAGTGGGGGCCAATATTCAACATTCTTAAAGAAAAGAATTTTCAACCCAGAATCTCATATCCAGCCAAATTAAACTTCATAAGTGAAGGAGAAATAAAATACTTTACAGACAAACAAATGCTGAGAGATTTTGTCACCACCAGGCCTGCCCTAGAAGAGCTCCTGAAGGAAGCACTAAACATGGAAAGGAACAACCAGTACCAGCCACTGCAAAAACATGCCAAATTGTAAACACCATCAAGGCTAGGAAGAAACTGCATCAACTAATGAGCAAAATAACCTGCTAACATCATAATGACAGGATCAAATTCACACGTAACAATATTAACCTTAAACATAAATGGGCTAAATGCTCCCATTAAAAGATACAGACTGGCAAATTGGATAAAGAATCAAGACCCACCAGTATGCTGTATTCAGGAGACCCATCTCACATGCAGAGACACACATAGGCTCAAAATAAAGGGATGGAGGAAGATCTATCAAGCAAATGGAAAACAAAAAAAAAGGCAGGGGTTGCAATCCTAGTATCTGATAAAACAGACTTTAAACCAACAAAGATCAAAAGAGACAAAGAAGGCCATTACATAATAGTAAAGGGATCAACTAAACAAGAAGAACTAACTATCCTAAATATATATACACCCAATACAGGAGCACCAAGATTCATAAAGCAAGTCCTGAGTGACCTACAAAGAGACTTAGACTCCCACACAATACTAATGGGAGACTTTAACACCCCACTGTCAACATTAGACAGATCAACGAGACAGAAAGTTAACAAGGATATCCAGGAATTAAACTCAGCTCTGCACCAAGCGGACCTAATAGACATCTACAGAACTCTCCACCCCAAATCAACAGAATATACATTCTTCTCAGCACCACACTGCACTTATTCCAAAATTGACCACATAGTTGGAAGTAAAGCACTCCTCAGGAAATGTAAAAGAACAGAAATTATAACAAACTGTCTCTCAGACCACAGTGCAATCAAACTGGAACTCAGGATTAAGAAACTCACTCAAACCCGCTCAACTACAAGGAAACTGAACAACCTGCTCCTGAATGATTACTGGGTACATAACAAAATTAAGGCAGAAATAAAGATGTTCTTTGAAACCAACGAGAACAAAGACACAACATACCAGAATCTCTGGGACACATTTAAAGCAGTCTGTAGAGGGAAATTTATAGCACTAAATGCCCACAAGAGAAAGCAGGAAAGATCTAAAATTAACACCCTAACATCATAATTAAAAGAACTAGAGAAGCAAGAGCAAACACATTCAAAAGCTAGCAGAAGGCAAGAAATAACTAAGATCAGAGCAGAACTGAAGGAGATAGAGACACAAAAAACACAGCAAACTATCACAAGGACAAAAAACCAAACACCGCATGTTCTCACTCATAGGTGGGAATTGAACAATGAGAACACATGGACACAGGAAGGGGAACATCACACTCTGGGGTCTGTTGTGGGGTGGGGGGAGGGGGAAGGGATAGCATTAGGAGAAACACCTAATGCTAAATGACGAATTAATGGGTGCAGCACACCAACATGGCACATGTATACATATGTAACAAAACTGCACGTTTTGCCCATGTACCCTAAAACTTAAAGTATAATTAAAAAAAAATCAATGAATCCAGGAGCTGGTTTTTTGAAAAGATCAACAAACTTGATAGACCGCTAGCAAGACTAATAAAGAAGAAAAGAGAGAATAATCAAATAGACACAATAAAAAATGATAAAGGGGATATCACCACCAATCCCACAGAAATACAAACTACCATCAGAGAATACTATAAACATCGTTATGCAAATAAACTAGAAAATTTAGAAGAAATGGATAAATTCGTTGACACATACACCCTCCCAAGTCTAAACCAGGAGGAAATTGAATCTCTGAATAGACCAACAACAGGCTCTGAAATTGAGGCAATAATTAATAGCTTACCAACCAAAAAAATCCAGGACCAGATGGATTCACAGCCGAATTCTAACAGAGGTACAAGGAGGAGCTGGTACCATTCCTTCTGAAACTATTCCAATCAATAGAAAAAGAGAGAATCCTCTCTAACTCATTTTATGAAGCCAGCATCATCCTGATACCAAAGCCTGGCAGAGACACAACAAAAAAAGAGAATTTTAGACCAATATCCTTGATGAACCCTGATGCAAAAATCCTCAATAAAATACTGGCAAACCAAATCCAGCAACACATCAAAAAGCTTATCCACCATGAAGAAGTTGGCTTCATCCCTGGGATGCAAGGCTGGTTCAACATACGCAAATCAATAAACGTAATCCAGCATATAAACAGAACCAATGACAAAAACCACATGATTATCTCAATAGATGCAGAAAAGGCCTTTGACAAAATTCAACAGCACTTCATGCTAAAAACTCTCAATAAATTAGATATTGATGGGGCATATCTCGAAATAATAAGAGCTATTTATGACAAACCCACAGCCAATATCAAACTGAATGGGCAAAAACTGGAAGCATTCCCTTTGACAACTGGCACAAGACAGGGATGCCCTCTCTCACCACTCCTATTCAACATAGTGTTGGAAGTTCTGGCCAGGGCAATCAAGCAGGAGAAGGAAAGAAAGGGTATTCAATTAGGAAAAGAGGAAGTCAAATTGTCCCTGTTTGCAGGTGACATGATCATATATCTAGAAAACCCCATCATCTCAGCCCAAAATATCCTTAAGCTGATAAGCAACTTCAGCAAAGTCTCAGGATACAAAATCAATGTGCAAAAATCACAAGCATTCTTATACAGCAATAACAGACAAACAGAGAGCCAAATCATGAGTGAACTCCTATTCTCAAGTGCTTCAAGGAGAATAAAATACCTAGGAATCCAACTTACAAGGAATGTGAAGGACCTCTTCAAGGAGAACTACAAACCACTGCTCAACAAAATAAAAGAGGGTACAAACAAATGGAAGAACATTCCATGCTGCTGGATAGGAAGAATCAATATCATGAAAATGGCCATACTGTCCAAGGTAATTTATAGATTCAATGCCATCCCCATCAAGCTACCAATGACTTTCTTCACAGAATTGGAAAAAACTACTTTGAAGTTCATATGGAACCAAAATACAGCCCGCATTGCCAAGTCAATCCTAAGCAAAAAGAACAAAGCTGGAGGCATCATGCTACCTGACTTCAAACTATACTACAAGGCTACAGTAACCAAAACAGCATGGTACTGGTACCAAAACAGAGATATAGATCAATGGAACAGAACAGAGTCCTCAGAAATAATGCCACATATCTACAACCATCTGATCTTTGACAAACCTGAGAAAAACAAGAAATGGGGAAAGGATTCCCTATTTATAATAGGGAATATAATAAATGGTGCTGGGAAAACTGGCTAGCCATATGTAGAAAGCTGACACTGGATCCCTTTCTTACACCTTATACAAAAATTAATTCAAGATGGATTAAAGACTTAAATGTTAGACCTGAAACCATAAAAACCCTAGAAGAAAACCTAGGCAATACCATTCAGGACATAGGCATGGGCAAGGACTTCATTCCTAAAACACCAAAAGCCAAAATTGGCAACAAAAGCCAAAATTGACAAATGGGATCTAATTCAACTAAAGAGCTTCTGCACAGCAAAAGAAACTACCATCAGAATGAACAGGCAACCTACAGAATGGGAGAAAATTTTTTCAATCTACTCATCTGACAAAGGGCTAATATCCAGAATCTACAAAGAACTCAAGCAAATTTACAAGAAAAAAACAAACAAACTCATCAAAAAGTGGGCAAAGGATATGAACAGACACTTCTCAAAAGAAGACATTTATGCAGCCAACAGACACATGAAAAAATGCTCATCATCACTGGCCATCAGAGAAATGCATATCAAAACCCCAGTGAGATACCATCTCACACCAGTTAGAATGGTGATCATTAAAAAGTCAGGAAACAACAGGTGCTGGAGAGGGTGTGGAGAAATAGGAACACTTTTACACTGTTGGTGGGACTGCAAACTAGTTCAACCCTTGTGGAAGTCAGTGTGGCAATTCCTCAAGGATCTAGAACTAGAAATACCATTTGACACAGCCATCCCATTTCTGGGTATATACCCAAAGTATTATAGAGCATGCTGCTATAAAGACACAAGCACACGTATGTTTATTGTGGCACTATTCACAATAGCAAAGACTTGGAACCAACCCAAATGTCCAACAATGATAGACTGGATTAAGAAAATGTGGCACATAGACACCATGGAATACTATGCAGCCATAAAAAAGGATGAGTTCATGTCCTTTGTGGGGACATGGATGAAGCTGGAAACCATCATTCTGAGCAAACTATCGCAAGGACAAAAATCCAAACACCACATGTTCTCACTCATAGGTGGGAATTGAACAATGAGAAAACTTTGACACAGGAAGGGGAACATCACACACCAGGGCCTGTTGTGGGGTGGGGAGAAAGGGGAGGGGGGAGGGATACCATTAGGAATATATCTAATGTAAATGACGAGTTAATGGGTGCAGCAAACAAACATGGCACATGTATACATATGTAACAAACCTGCACGTTGTGCACATGTACCCTAAAACTTAAAGTATAATAAAAAAAATTTGATTATCAATGACACCTCAATAAACTTATAAAATTCGGTGTTAAAAGGAAATTTTTTTCCAGATGCCATTATAGGTTAGTTCTGGAGACTCAAGTCTCTAAAGAGTTCTACAAAGGTTTTGCTTAGATGGAATATGAAATTTCTTTGTCTGTGTAAGTTGTAGAAAGCATTATACTGCGGAAGACAAAAACCTTGATTATATAGTAGATAGCTATAATATATAACATGCCCTCTGCTTAAATAAACAATATTTTAGGTAATATAAGTAAAAATTATACAAGGTCCTTAGTTCTAAAGCTAAAGTTTGAATGTCTGAATGTTTATTTTTAAATTTCCAGATGGTTCTAGCTTCATGTTTTACATACCATTTAAAGTCTTTGGAATTTATCAGAATTATATACAAACAACATGAAAAAATGTTTGAATCAAATAAAACCAGTTTCTGAGCTTTTGAAGTTTATGTATTTTTACTGTGTTGTGACAGGTTTTCTAGAAGGATTTGTCTTCAAGAAATCCTGTCTCATTAGTCCTGAAAATATTTCTGCAAAACTAAGCTTGATCTTCAAATTTCTTTAGAACTGTTTCCTAAAGTGTACCAGAGTATAAAAATCCCATGAGATGCTTACTAGAAATGGGGTATATGCAGTAAAGTATAACCTTTAAAGAGATAAGATGCACATAAGAATGTTAAGGACTCTGACAAATCCTACAGAAAGTAAATCTTCAATATTTGTTTTAAAGCATTTCCCAGTGGTATTGACTATGGATCCTATTTTTATGTTATCCTAATAACATCCATGAAACATACTTCTTGGACTATCTTCTTTACATATCTTTTTGAAAAATATTGAATTTCCACTTTTTAGACTAATATTTTCCAAAGCATAACCAACTTAAAAATTCAGGAACAAGTTTCTACATTTTTTTAAAGAAATTGAAAATAACTGACATTAATTCAAGAGATATAGATAGCTAAATAGAAGAATGATCATGGAAGGAATTCATTCTGATGTTAAATTAGGGCATTGCCTGTAAATATACCAAAGAATTTCATGGATGAATGTTTTCAAACCTTCAAAGAGCAGGTAATTCCTGTGCAATTTAACTTGTTCCAGGAATATAAAATAAAGGAAGTATTCCAATTCTTAAAAAAAAAAAACTAATATGACATTGACTCCAAAATCTGACAAAGAAACCACAAAAAAGAAAATGATAAGCCATCTTACTCATGAATATTAATGCAAAATAGTAAATAAAATCTAGAAAATAAAATACAGCATTACATTAAAAGAATAATATGCCAAGACCATGCAGGGTTTATTTTAGTTGCACGAATGCTTAACAATATTAAATCTTCTAGTACCACTGACTACAGGTGAAAGAAGAAAAGTCCTTTGTAAAAAAGGAAGAGAATAATAACTTTAGGTAAAATTATATGCATATCTCAGACCATTTACAAACATCATTCTTGGATAAAACAATCCAAGAAATCCTGTTGAAGTCAGAAACAAGGCAGGTATGCCTAGTTTCCCCACTATTCTTTAATATTTTCCTGGAAAAGTTATAGACAATAAAATTAGCCAAAGGAGTGTAACAATGATTATAGATATTGGGAAAGAAGGGACAATATTATCATTATTGATAAATGATATGATTATGTATTTTTAAAATCCAAGAGAATAGGTAAAAATACTGGTAGAAAGAACAAAATAATTTAATAATGTGACTGGTCACAAAATACGTAACATGACTAACAAAACTGTAAGCAAGAAAATCATATAAGGAAAGGTATACCCAGCATAATCACAACAAATAAATAAATTGAAACCCCAAATAACTCCGAATAAACCTAATTAAGAAATATACAGTTCCTAAGTAAAGACTGAGATTCAAATTATTTTGTCATATTTATAGTACTTAATATTATTATCCATAATAAGATATATACTAATAATATATGGATAATAATATATAGTATTGTTATAATACCATATGTTGTCATAAAAGATAATAATACTAAACATAATACTATATTATTCTTTTGTCATATTTATAATATTATATATTGCTATCCAAAATAAGGTATGTACCTTACAAATATGAAAAGATAATCTTGATTAACATTTCTATTAATTGCAATCCCAGTTAGAATCCAAACATAATAATTCTGAGGTTCATCTAGAATAACGAATATGTAAAAATAGGTGATACATTTTTGTATTTTCACATTTCTACCATGAATAACATGATAGAAAATAACATTAGCTGAGTAACAGATTATTCTTAAAACCTCACTGGCTTGACATAATAGAAATGTATAACTCATTAAAGTCACAGTCCAATGTGGGTTTATCCAATTGTATGTGCCTCTAGTGATCTTTTAGGAATCCATGCTTCTGACATCATGTGGCTCTATCTTCCTCTAAATCCTCTGAGACCTACCTATTAGAATTGTTTCTTAACCGGTTTGGCCTATATGCATTATACATCATCCCCAGGCCAGATCCCAGGCACAGTGTCGGTTAACTGCTCTTGGAACTAGAAAATAAAATCTAGCTGTATACACTAGAAGAAAATGAAATATATTTTCACAAACAGAACTGTCTAGCAACACTTTTATAATTAGAAACAAAAAAGCAGATTTCAAAATATATGATGTACATCACTATATCTGTCTAAAAGAAAAATTAACAATACAATTAACCAAGAAATATCAATGCGTTTTAAAACATAAATAGATTTTCTCTACTGGATTGAATAAAACTATCTTGCAAAAAGAAACAAATTGTTTTTCATGTAATGGTGTGTGGAAACATGCCTTAGCATTCATGAACAGCTGGGCTAGTTGGAGGAACTAAGTGGGTGGATTTTCAAGTAGTTCTCAGTTCTTCATACTGTTTATTAAACAAAGCTTTCCTAAAAGTTTGTGTGGGCATGGTGCTTGCATCTACATCTGGAACATAGAATGGACATGGCAGATGGAACTCAATCTGGCAAGTGTGCAGTACTGAAGACATCTTGAGAACACAAGTGTCTTTCAAAGACTATTACAATCTGTGAAAACGGATTTTATGTTGTATGAATTATGACCTTGGGAAAGTATAGGAAGACGTTTTCTAGACATATTTTCTTTCTTTTTTTTTTTTTTGAGATGAAGTTTCGCCCTGTTGCCCAGGCTGGAGTGCAATGGTGCCATCTTGGCTCACTGCAACCTCTGCCTTCCGGGTTCAAGCAATTCTCCTGCTTCAGCCTCCCAAGTTGCTGGGATTACAGGCGTGCACCACCACGCCCAGCAAATTTTTGTATTTTTAGTAGAGACAGGGTTTCACCATGTTGGTCAGGCTGGTCTCGAACTCCTGACCTCGTGGTCCGCCCACCTTGGCCTCCCAAAGTGCTGGGATTACAGGCGTGAGCCACCGCGCCTGCCTTCTAGACATATTTTCTAACTGTAAGTAGTTTATAGTATTTTTCTGAGAATCAATTACAATGATATATTCAGAATTACTGTTTAATATGACATATTGTGCAAAATGAGGTAAACCTTTATCCTTTCCATCAACAGAGATTGCGTACCTACAGCACCTAGATGCTGTTCAAGGCACTGGGGGTGTGGTATTGATGAGAATGGCCACACTTCCTGTTTCAAAGGGCTCGCATTCTACTTGAGGGTGAATGGTGGGCAGTGGATAGAAAATAAACATACAGACAAGTAGATAAGATAATTTCAAATAGTGATAAGTGCTATGAATGACATAAAACAGGGTATTGAGCTAAAAAGAGACTGGAAGGGGGCAAGGGCTGAGTGGATTAGCTAGACTGGCATGATCTCTCTGGGAAGGCAACACTGGAGCTGAGCCCACAAAGATGAGATGGGTAAATGATACAAAGGACACTCAGCACATGTTTGCTGAATGAATCCATTTACTTATTTATTTTTTGTTTTTTCTTCAAATTCATTTTACACCATGAAGTAAAAAATAAAATGTTTTCAGCAGCTCAGCTCAAATAACTTTAAATTCATATATAAAGCTTTTACTGTATAAATGATCTAAATCAAATTATATGTTTTTACATCAGGCAGAATAGTAGCTCAGTCTGTCAGCTTTTTAATTTTTTTTAACAGACATTTTAAAAGAACTAGGACTTTATTGTAAAGGTGTCACTTAAAAGTAGTTACAGATGTAAACGTTGTGGCTTCTGCCCTCTGACCACTCACACCATCTCTGATTTCTTTAGCATCTTCCCTGACTCTTGTCCTCTCCAACACTATTTGTGTCATCATTGTTGGTGACTTCATCCTCATTGCTCACCCATTCGTACTAATGATGAAACCACTGTACCTGTTTCCTTATCTATAAATTTGGACTAATAGTTGATTCCTACCCAGAAGACTGATGTAAGAATAAGTTGCCATGATTTATGTGAAAATACTGTTATCATAAAGCACTACTTATTTTTTATTATTATTCTAGGTTTGTAGAGCCTTTTCATGTAATAGTGTCATAATTTTTAGATGGGTATGTTGTTGACATTCTTCACAAGAAAAAAATTGCTCTTCTGGTTAATTAAATGCATATCTAAACATTACATAAAAACAATTTTCTAGCATTCCTTTAAAATGTAGCTTGTAAGAGGGTGTGGATGATAATTCTCAGAAGATTTGTGTCTCCTCAGCTAACTGTCATCACTTTGACTGGCTGTGTCTTCAATGAATGTTTCTGAAGACTTTGGTGATCATCATTCATTTTGTGAATGTAAGTTCTTAGGTTCAGAAAGATCACAGGACAAATAAAAAAAGAAAAAAACACACACCACCTATCCTTGTGTTATGAGTATTCCAAGAGGAGAGAGTAAACTGATCAAAGAGTGCCCTGAAATATTTTTACATAATTGGCTTATGTAACTTGATTTCAGAGATAAAGCATTCCACAGGTTGAATGATAAGAATCTTGGCTACCTTCAATAGGCCTTTTAAAGATGTTATCAGTTTAGTGTTTAATATACGGGGCAGTGCAACGTGGTCAGGTAACGTGAAGTTACTTTTGTAAAGTCTTTCCTTTTGGCAGAGTTAATGGCAACTGTATTAGGCAAAGTTAATGAATTCCTCAGTTCCACTCTCAATTATACCAGAAATTGCTGTGATTTTCCATCAAAAGCTATTTAAGGACCATTGGTGGAAGGAAGATTTTAGTACAGATAGAAAACTCTTACCCAATATGAAGCGTTGTGTCAAGACATTAATATGGATTTTTTCAAAAACTGAGGTTCTTATTTCCTAGGAAATGGGGCTGTGTTCATTTCCATTCTTTCCAAGTGGGTGTCAATTTTGGACCTGTAAGCATAAATTCAGGCCAATTCCTGGATGTGCTGTCGGTAACGTACCTAAAATGTGTCAACAGACCCCTGGAATAGTGGTTCAGTTTCCCCAGAAGAAGCATTCTTTTTAGGGAGAAAATTTATGTTGATGATTTTCAAATTATTGCAACTCCTCAGGCAATTTTCCAGCTGGCCAGACCCTATATACTGACTTGAGAACAAGTGCCAATTTTGGATTTTTGGCAGTCACTAGCATGACCTGGTCAACTTGAAGAGGCAGCTCAGGGAGAGATTTCAGCATCCACATTTTAACACAATTACCAGTTTGCTTCTGGATGAAATCCAGCACTTTATTTCTAATATATGAGGCTCAATATCTCTTTAAAATCACTTTCTCCTTATGTTCTATTTATGAGAAACTGAAGAAGTTGTAAGTTAGGAAAAATCTAAAACAAAGTGTCCTTTAATTTATGAATTCTAAAAATGAAAATGTCTCTGATTGGATTGTCTAATTTTTTTTAATGTTGGAGATTCAAATATTCTTTATTCGTGCTATTGTGTGCATGTGTATTTAGGATGTTAATATTCAATATTTAGAATATTGATGAGGATTATTCTTGCAAAATTTATAGAAAATGTGGAAAAAGTGTTAAATATCTGCTAATTAAAAAATGATCATTTATATTAAATGTTTGCATTCATTAGGTATCTGTCTTCTGTTTATAGTAGAATTAGTTTATTTACAGACTTAAAGGAGAATAATAATGATTATGTGTGTAAACCATTGAGCTGTCTATACATACTATTATAAAGGAATGATACTATGATTTCCTGTGCTTTCTCCATATTTTAACCCTACAGGGAACCATGGTGCCTAGCTTTGAAATACACCCACATGCACACATGTGCACACACACCCACCAGATTTTCACAGTGCATATCCAACTTCTAAGGGTGGCAAATGTTCATAAGTACAACGGTAACATGTAAGTGGGCTTGAAAAATTCAAAACTGCTGATGAATAGCTTACTAATGTCAAAGAAAAGGGAGACATACATATCATTTGGAAGTGTGACCACAAACAGGTTACCTAAATTATCTAAGCCTCAGTTTCCTCATCTGCAAAATGAGGATAATAATACCCAGCCAACATTTTTGTTGCATTAAGCAAGCACAGTGCCTAGTATGTAGTAAATATTTAACAAATGGTAGCTCTTGTGAAAATCAGTATGAGCTTTGGAGTTGCATTGTCTGGGTTTGATTTCTATCACTTACTAGCTGTGTGACTATTTGGTAAATTAATGAATTGGGTTTCATTTTCTATTTAGTGTTGTTAGATAGTAAATAAGGTAAAATATATAAAGTGTTTAACCCAAATGTCAATAAATGTTGCTATTATGAGTAATATAACATTACCAGTTTGAGGGCTCCCAAATGTTAGCATTGGGTAGCACCAGCTGGTTTAGTGGTTTTCAATTTGCCCCCCATGGTGCCTGATCTTGGATGAACACACACTCTCTCTCTGATTTATTTGTTTTGGGGCATGTAAAATATATTATTTTTCCACATGAATTTTCCTTTGAAGAAAGAGTTATATTGCTAAGAGAAGTTTGAAAAACATCCACTTGGTCCAAACTCATTACAAATGCTTAATTGAAGCTAAGGAAACTTAATAATGAAGCAGTCAGGACTGGAATTCAGGTCAGCAGAATTCTGACTCCAAGTTATATGATATTTCCACTATTTCATTCTCAGTGGCACTTTAGTTTTCATTTTAATTAAATGACTTCAGAAATTGAGACATCTGCAAAATTTTTTTGAATTACACACTAAAGAGAAATGTTTCTGAAAATATTTTAAAAGAATTACTAAAAAAAGAGAAAAAACACATTTTTATCACTAATTCCAAGTATACATTTTAATATGTGTGTATATTCTCCATAACAATATTCACTCACTCTCAATACATATTCATTTTCTTGCATACAGAAATGTTCAATTTTTTGTCTAAAATAAATAATTTTTCTTACTCTATGTGGTTTTTCCCCCACATACAATACTTGTATTGCATTATTTGCATTTTTCTGTTTTATGACAATTAATTCATTCAATAACTTGTCTATCAGCTTGCTCAGGGAGTGGCCGTGATCTTATTACATTTAGAATTTCTGTTATTGTAGTATTTGATATAATATTTGAGCAAAGTTTACCTCTTAATTTTAAATATATTTTCCTTAAAGTCTTGGATATCATTACTACTTAAGGTCACATTCTTCTAGATTTATAAAGAACATATCCTTAGATAAGAACAATGCAATGCTTGTTCAATGCATTGAACAATGCATTGTTCAATGCACAAGAACAATGCAAAAGAACCTTCTTGATATACATAAATATTCTGAAGTAAATAGATCAAGTAACTCAAATGGACTTACTTTGAAGAGGAGAAAAATAATATCATGACAGTTGAAAGAAATAAAATGATGGGAAGAATTTTTTGTGGCCATTCATACATAGCAAACAGAAAAATGTGAATTAATCATATCATCTGTCTACAATATCTAATGTCTTAAAATTATTATACTGTCCCTGGGCAGAGGAATGAGGAAAAAGCAATACTTTCTTTTTTCTATTCTTCAATATTTGATGCTTTATGTAATTATAAAGACAGTTAGGAAACATGTCATTTCAATTTTACATTAATGAAATTTGATAGCATATATCCATCTCATAGTTGATATATTCTGACATCTATTTATTAAGATATATACTAAATTGTCAAAAAAATGGAAGGGTAGCATGTTAACAGATGCATTTTTTTTCCGTTAAAATACCAGTTTTAGTAAGTGTCTAAATATTGAAATTGTTACTCAATTAAAACTCTACTGAAGTTATGCTCTTTTTCTATTTGAACGAATTATCGTTAATTTCTACTTCATTAATTCTGCATTTTTTATTATTTGACCAAGACTTGGATGAGGTTTATAAAAGGTTTGTGAGCAGCATAAAATAGCATCATAATAGGAACATTAAGCCAATTTAATAGAACAAATTTGAAACAATTTGGAAGAACTCTTCTATACATAATTTTGCTTAGAAAAATTATCAGAAGATCATCAAAGTATCTTCTTTTTTTACTTTATGTATTTAGCACTGTTAAATATCCTCTGTTTCTTGAATGTCCACCTCTTCTAGTTTCTATGGTACCATCTTGCTGTCTGGCAATGTTAAAAATTCACTATCACTGCTCATGGGTAATAAATATAACCAAGCCTAAAGACTATCTTATCGAATCTTTCCTTCATCAGGTTATCTCTTCAATGACTGATTTTGCATGCTAATTGATTTCTAGGTTGGTCTCAGAAGCTTTAATATAAAGTGCCCTACATCTGCTGCCTAGCAATCTCAGTCCTTTCTCTGCTCGTGCTCTGGCTTGTAATGGATTGATATGATACATTTCGTCTGGTTGTATTTCTTCTTTGGGGTGTTTTGCCGCCTCCATTGACTTTACTTCCTGTTTCCCAAGGTTGGCCTAATGCACTTCATGTTATTTGTTTTCCTCCTTTATGGTTCATAGTTCAGTTGCTTCTTTATGGCTGAATCCATATCAGCTTTGGTCCCCCTCCTGAGTTTTGGCCCACATTACAAAGCTCTTGCCAGATACTTTTGGATGTTTTACTCTTACCTCAAATTAGCAGGTTTTATCCACTTCTCCTTCTTCTCTGTCATTGCCAGTAACAACAGTATTACCTTTGTAATCTCTGTAGACATTCTCTTTCTTGCTCCACATTAAGGCTGTTACCAGATTGCTATTTTTGTATTTTTTTCTCAGATAGACATTTTTTAACAGTCCTTGGTTATTTCACCTTATTCATTCATGGTTAATTCTAATTCGCCAGCTGATTCACCAGCTGAATCCTCTTGTTTCCAATCTGTTCCATATACTTCAACTAGATTACCCCTCTTAAAACACTGATTTATGCGTATCATTGTTTGGATCAAAGCTACCAATGACTATCTCTGTCCAATTGATTGGAGTTTAAACTTCTCATTCATCATTTAAAACCTCATATATTCTGGCCTCATCCTACATGTGTTAGTCCATTCTTGCATTTTATATATAAAGAAATAGCTGAGACTGGGCAATTTATAAATAAAAGAGGCTTAATTGGCCCCTGGTTCTACAGGCTGCCAGGAAGCACTGTGCTGGCATCTGCTCAGCTTCTGGTGAAGCCTCAGGGAGTTTTCAATCATGGTGGAAGGTGAATGGAGAAGCCATGGTGGGAGCAGGAGCTAGAGAGAGAGTAAGGGGGAAGGTGCCACACATTTTTAAATGACCAAAGCTCACAAGAACTCACTCACTATTGCAAAGACAGCACCAAGCCATGAGGGATCCACCCCCACGACTCAAGCACCTTCCACCAGGCCCCACCTTCAATACTGAGGATTACAATTCAACATGAGATTTGGGCAGGACACGCAAACCATATGACCACCTTTCCCCACTTATTTTGTAAGACTTCCTTTTCTCCAAATATAATAATTTACTTGTAATGACCAAATATGCCTTATATATTATTCTCTTGACCTTTGTACACAGGATTTGTGTCACCTAGAATGCTAATCTTAATCCTCTCCATTGATCTGAATTTGAGTCATTTTTTTAGTTCAGCTGATGTTCTTTTTCATAAAATTTTTTGATAGTGAGTCTTCTTTATTGAACCCCTACACATCTCTTTTCATTCCTTTAGCAAAACTGCCAATGGAAAATTTCAATGTAACTTTAATATATATTTATGGGTATATATTGTTTCTTCTTAGAAATAATGTAAGCTCCTTGAAGAAAGTGTTTAGGCATTTTGTACTCTCATTGTATTAATTTGCACATATTATATAGAATTCATTTTTTGGCTTGATGTAATAGATAACTCTATTGTTTTTTAGTCTCATATCAATTTCACGTCTTATTTCAGATCCAGGTTTTATCTGAAAAATTTATTTAAAAAATTTTAATCACTTTTTTCTGAAGTACTCCAGAATGATTTTGGAATTGGTGTTGGTGCATCCTGTCCAGGTCATGACAGGTCAGGTTTCAAAACATCTGGCCTTCCTCAATTTTTTATTTTTAAAACCTATATTAGCCTTGTATAGTGTCATACACCTGTAGACCCAGCAAATCAAGAGGCTGAGGAAAGAGGATTGTTTGAGCCTAGGAGTTTGAAGCCAGCTTGGGCAATATTATGAGACTCCATTTTTTAAATTTTTAAAAAAGCGCCTGTATTAGAATTTTTTTAACTGAGAGCTCAGAAAAGTCAACTATATGATCTATCTACAAGAAGTGATATTGTATTTTTGTCGCATTTTTAGAAATATGGTATTTAGGGTAATTCCGTCAGCTTCAATACTTTTGTAGTCTCAGGCACATGACTTTTAGGAAGAGTGACAGAAGGAAGAACATAATAGAGTTAGAGGGGAGTACCCAGTATGCTGACAGGAGTCAAAGCCATATCTTTGAGAAATGACTAAATAATTTGAGTGTGGTAGTTAGTTCTGTAGAAATATGGTACATATTTTGAAGGGCTATGCTGTGGTTGAAATGTCAACTTGGTTTGTATGGTTTTCAAAGGCAGAACCAAAAACAGTGAAAGTCAAGGAAGCATATTTTAGCTCAGTATCAAAAATCGTATTCTATTGAAGTGTCTGAATCATGCAATGGGCTGAAACATACTGTATAGATGTTCCCAGGTTGTTGGAAGTGTTTAGAAAATGATTACTTCTTTATCTTTATTCATGTTTCTCTTGCACATAATTTGTTCTTATCTTATGGAACTTAACACTATCTGCCTTGCTTAATAATGTAACCAAACATGGAAAGTAAGTGTGTGTGTGTGTGTGTGTGTGTGTGTGTTGTCTTGGAAGTCATTCTTTCTCAGTATAAGCTGAGGCTCCTCAGGTTAAGAACCTTAGGTTATGTAATTCTTGCCAACTATCCTCAGCTATCTTGGACAAGCTAGTAATTTGGAAAAATGGTTTTGCTAATGTTAATAATAAGTGACTTCTAGTCTACTAAATAGGAATTGAAGTATTGACAGAGAGGATACCTGTAGAGAGAGTTATCCTTCAGTAGGAAAAGAGAGTAAGATGTTTTGCCTTCTTTACATGTAGCCAGTGAGAAGAGTTTCAAAGTTTATTTGCATCCCTGAAGTTTAGGGAACTTTTGTCTGTTTCTCAACCAAATAATTCTACAGCCAAGAGACCACAGGCAGAATACTTGCTTGACAGCAAAAACAAAGGGAAAGAAGGCTATCTTGCAAGCAAACTGCACCTTCACAGTTGGAGAAAGTATGTGTAAGTCTTCTTGTGAGTCGAGTAGACCCCTGGGAAAGAGAC
Source organism: Homo sapiens (assembly GCF_000001405.40). Taxonomy (NCBI): domain Eukaryota; kingdom Metazoa; phylum Chordata; class Mammalia; order Primates; family Hominidae; genus Homo; species Homo sapiens. The sequence goes on from NC_000008.11 coordinate 77,060,008, forward strand.
AATCAGGGCAATCCATGAAATGGATTTCATTCACAAAGGTTACCAAGAGAGATGAAGTCACTGGGAAGAGTAACATATCAGTGGAGGCCCAGAGGCTGAAGTTTAAGCTGCTTGAAGGAGCACAGTCATGATGTCTGTGTCATGGAAATTGCAACTGGAGGTACCTACGGGATAACTTCAGAGAAATCCGCTAAACACTCCGGAAGGAGTCGTCTTTGAGCATACAAAACCCAAAGTACATCAATGCTATAATGATGTACTTTGATGATGAGAGCTCCAGGCAGTCACATAAGCCTGTAGATAGGGGATCATTTCCCTTGTCCTTTTTTCGCTGGGCCTCATCTTAGAAGGGTGGGATACCGTGACTTGGGAATGAGGGCGTAGCTGGCTCAATAATAACCTCTCAGTACTGCAAACTTTCCAAGCTGAGATAGTGCTGTGCTAGATGAGGGAAGAATTATATTGTCAACAGTTCTGAATTGTGATTATTACACTGACCTGGACATTTTAATTACCAAAACAAGACTGTTTTTATGAATAAACTGATGAGAGGACTATTAATTACCTAAGAACAAAAGCTATAGGAATTGTTTGATGTGTCATCAGAGGCATATAAAGAATTACCCCACAGAATTATTTACTTACAATAAATAAGCCTGGAATCTATGGATTTATGAGGCATGCCTCTGTGAAGAACGTGATATAAACTATACAACCCTCTGGAGTATAAAATAACAATATTTCATAATTTAATTTTTCCCTGTTGCATGTTTTCAACCTCTTTTGTTATTCTAGGCCAAAGGGGAATGTATGACATAGGAAAAAAGAACCTGGGGAGATGTCTTCACTCTTCAGGGCTTGCTGTGCCTTTCAGCTGTTTATCTCCTTGAAATTATTTATAGATTATGAAAAGGTAAGATCTCCAATTTATGTACATCTGATTTCACAATAAGCTTCTATGTGTTATTTCAGAACTTACATAATAAGACTAAACTGACTTTTATTTATCTGAACATGAGTGAATAAACTATGAAACTGCCCAGAATTTCATACAATTCTAAGAAAGCAGGTTAGGAAAGCTGATTTGAAGACATATGACGGGGGAAGAATAAACTTGTTTTCTACTTGTGTCCTTATGAATCCAGAATGTTTAATAAGCCATTCATAATATTTCTTTTTGTACATGCTTCTTATTCTCTTTTAGTCTATATGCTCCTTGATTGCAACAGGCATGTCTTCATTTTTATATTCTTCTTAATTTCTATTATAGAACAAACTAAATCATGCGTTGAAGTAGAGTCATTCCAACCTTTATATAATAGGAAATTCAACTAAATATTTAAAAATTCAATGTTTCAATATTCACATTTGAGTCTATAGTTAAAAATATCAATTTAACAAATGCCATTTTCTTGAATAAGCTTTTTATAATGAAAGATTTCTAAGATCCAGAACTAAATTATTTCAAAGAATACTCTTTTTAACAGAGTATCATGTAAGTATTTCTGTAACTCCATGCAGTTAGTTATGTGCAACTGAATTTGAATTGTGCAGGTAATATGTATGGAAACATCATTATATTACAGAAATACTTGAATTCTGGTACAGTTACAATTTATTAGCCTGTGACCTACCAAGAGAGTTCATTGTTGACTAATTTTGTGGCTCTCTAAATCTCAGTGTCTTAATCTTAATCTATAAAATATGAGAAATAGTGGTTGCCTTGCTTACTGCTGTGTGCAATAAATCCATTCAGTACATATTTATCAAGTGTCTAATATGCAATAGAAGGTAATTCTGTCAATTCTGACCAACTATTCCTATTCTTCTTAGTCACTTTCCTTTGTTGAATTTTAAAATCAACTTAAGGCATAACTTATATACCAAAAATTCACTCAATTTAAGCATATAGTTTGATATGTTTTATCAAATGCATGCATAGCATATATACACTAGTGTAATAAACATCAGTCAAGATACTGAACATTTCTCTCTTCCCCAAACCTTCCCTCATAACACTTCACCATTCATTCCCAGTCCCCGTTACCATGCCAGGCAACCACTGATTTCTATTACTAAAGATGAGATTTTCCTGTCCTAGAACTTCAAATAAATGGAGTAGAAAGGTATATACTCTTTTGTATCTAGCTATTTTGTTCAGCATAGTACTTTTGTGATTCACTCATGTTGCTTCTTTTATCAGTAGTTCATTTCTTTTAATGACTGAGTTGTATTCCACTGAATGGACATTTGCACTGTTTTACTTTTTGGAGTAACATAATAGGAAATTTATAGCAATGAAGTCAATAATTGGAAGCATAGAGGACTTAACTCCTATTGGTAACCAAAATATAAAGTATACATAGACAATGGCAACATGTAACTTCCTGTACAAGTCACATTAACTTTTGATAAGAAAACAGTAGAAATGGTAGGGTTTTTTTGGGCTTTGTGTTAGATACTTTTTAAATGCTTATATAGATATTATTTGAAGTGGGTGATAGTGAAGTCAGCTTGTATACCTTTTTACGTAGTTGTTACACAAGTGCTTGCTAATTTTTGTGGACTATGCACAAAATGCTTTAATATATTTCATATTTTCAAGAACTCTTGTAAGAATAACTGCTGGAATAATAATTCTAGACTATGTATGTATTAAGGATAGTTTCTAGCACACACAAAAAAAACACTGTGTAGTAATTGGTAATAATTCCAAAAGCAATATAAAAACACATTACTTTCCCCCGTATTTACAAGCACTAATATAGGAAAATATATTAAACCAAATCCTTGGGGACTTGAGTAATACTATGTGTCGTATACTCGATGTTTGAATAAGTGTTTACAGATTTTTCTGTAGTAGACTTGGATTTTTATTCTTGCACATTTTGAAGCTTGTGAATGTGTATGTTAAGTTCGGAATTGATTCATGCTTAACAAGGAGGTTTTATTTTTGATGGCCTTCCTTTTACCTTTTAGTACACTAAATAATCCTCTGCTTCTAGAATACGTCACTTTTACAAAGCCTGCTAACCTCAGAGTTGACAAGAGTTTTTTTTTTTTTTTTTTCCTTCTTTACCAACCTCACATACCTTACATATTGGCATTTTAATGAGGTAACATACTGCTATTTTCAAATGAGGGAAGGGAATTTCCTTTTTTGGTGGGCGGTTTTCTTTTAAATATTTGATTTAGTTTTTTAACTTGATTCAGTTTTGAAAAGAAGTATGACATGACCCTTCTTATTCTATACATGAGGAATGATTACTGAAAAATTCAGTTGTTTCTAGCTTTCAGCAAAGAAGATCTTTACTTCTTGGATGAGCTTATCTGTACAATAGTTGTAGTTCAGTTTTGATTTCTTTCTGTAAATTAGATGCTAATTCAATAATTTAAATTTAATTAGATGATAAGTAAAGAATTTAAATAATTCCATTTGAAATTAATTTTACTGTAAAACTGGAACTATTTGAAAATCATTAAGTTTAAGCAAATTTATATGCTCAGGTTTCTATTGTTTAAATGTAAGTGCACTCTCATAGACTGTGAATACCATCTTTTCACAAGACAATTGGCCATATTGATCACAATTTTAAAATTTGCATGCCCTATAATACAACAATTCTAGAAAACCATCTAACAGAACACATATTTAAGTATAAAAATTACTTATGAGTGAAAATTCATTGCAACTTCATCTGGAAAATTTAAAAAATGCAAACCCCCTGCATAGAAACTATGAGGGTGGGAGTGCTATCTGTTGGTCAGCCTGTTTCAGGGCCTAAAACAGGGCCTGTCATACAGGAGGATCTCACTAAATATTTATTTAATATAGTCAATACATTCCTAAGCATTTTGACACTATTATGAATAGAATTGTTCTCTTCATTTCATTTGCGGGTTATTTTGTTCATATGGAAACATAATTGACTTCTGTACATTAATCTTGTGTGCTGATTTTGACACATTCTTCGTTGTATCAATAAAGAATTTTTCTTTTATTCTTTATTTTCTTAGATCCTCCATGCTGAAGATAAACTGTCATAATTTTTTTACTTATGAAAATAATTCAATATTTACTCATTAAAATAATACATGCCTTTTAACAAAGTTAAATGATATGGATAAGTAGAAGAAAAAGTATAAAAATCAGTGCCCATATTTAGCTCTGAGTCTAAGTGTGTGTCTGTGGATGTATGTGTATTGATGTGTGTTTACTCACAGAAAGAGAGGTTTTGTTTATACGGATACACCTTCTTACATCTTTGTGTAAATAAATAAAATAGTTCTATATCATCAATTTTAATGACTGCCTGATATTCTATGTACTACAAATTATTTAATATAATAAAATTTGTTTAATTGTCAGTCATTATTGAGTTGCTTAAAATTTGAAACTATTAAAAATAAGATGAGTTTTCCTGTGGGTAACTTTGAGATAACCTTGTATGGTGTTTCTCTGGGAGATAATTCCTGAGAATGTTATTATTGAACCCAAGAAATGCTCACACACAATCCCTAGATCCTATGGAACATTTATAATAATTTATTTTCCATCAATACTACATGAAAAATTCAATTTCCATATACTCTAACTAATGTTGATTTTTTAAACAATTTTTAAATCATTTTAAACATATTTTAATCATTTGCTGTTTCTTCTGAGTTACAAAAAGACACTATGCAATTTTCCTTAATTCAAAGGAGAAAGAAAATGAAATATCAGATAAGCAACAATTTTAATACAAGTGTTATTTTTGAACCACAGAATTTAACATTTTAAGGGATATTACTGCTGCTTTTTTCATCTCATCTCTTTTTAAATTTTTTTTTATTTTCAATTTTTATGGGTCCATAATAGGAATATATATTTAGGGGGTATATGTGATGTTTTGGTACAGGCATACAATGAGTAATAATCACATCAAAGTAATTAGAATATTTATAACCTCAGGAATTTATCCTTTCTTTTGTATTAGGAACATTAACATGAAAATACTTTCTAAAACAACCCTGACAGATAGCTGTAGTATATTTTAGTGGCTATCTCTATCAACACAGCAATCATCACCATCAGGCATACAAATAATTAGATATTTTAAACTATTAAAATTTTTTTATTGTCTTGAGTGAAAATCTACTCTTTTGAAGTATCTGTTAAGTGGATTAGACTTCTTTCTAAGGCCATGCAGCTTTCTTTCCACTGCTTCTTTCACATTAGAGGTCTTTAAATACAGGAAGGCATTTGTTATTTCTCTCTTTAGTTACCTGTTTCTCATAATTTTCTAGAATAATTTGGAGATTATGAGATTGAGTTTCTGTGTACCGCAGTTTGGCAAATCATCACAAACTCGATTTTATTCCTTTTGCTATGTGTTGCTGGTAAATTTTAGAAGTTGGGTGAGTTTTACAACACTTAATCTTGATACATTTAAATAAAATAAGGTAAATTTTTTAAGAAGCAAAATGTTAAGATTGGCAATTAAAACTAGGGCAATCTGCCTACAAATATGTTAGGAAAATGGCTGTTTCCAACATCTGTTTAGGAGTGTGAGTAAAAAGAATACAATGCATAAGTTGTCTCAGTCTAGTGGAAATATTTCAGATTTGTATGCTGCCTTACAAATCATATGTCAAAATATTAAATTTGTCATCTGTTTGTATTTTAAAATGGATATGCAGAAAATTAGATAAAAAATTAATTCTCAAAATTTTTATTCTTTTCTTGAAAACATTTCATATATAACTTTAGGGAGATGGATGAGCTCACTTGAAGTATTTATTGGTTTTACTCATCATGATTTTATTGGCTTTGGCATGTAGTTGGTTGGTCAATTAATAATATGTTTATATTCCAATGTGAAAAGGTGAATAAAGAATAAATATATGTCTCCAATTCTGTGAAAGCTTCTTAAATATTTTTATTTTTTTGGTCTTCAAAAAAGCAAGCAAGCAAGAAAAACAAGTAATGGACTGACCTCTCAATACAGAATACATAAATATTTATAAATGCTTAGATTCTTCTTTAAAGTTGTACTATTGGATTTAAACAGGATTGGATGATAGTAATTTGAACTCTAATAGCCTGTGGCTTTTTGACCTATGGTGTACTGTAATTATTGTCTTTGGCTAAGACTTCTCTACACCTTCCATCCTCGTTGAATCTGTTTCTCTGGTCTTATTAAAGTTAAAAAATTGTCAGTAAATATAGAACGAGGCAAATGTGAACGTCATCATCCAAACATGAGGCACTACCATCCTTATACCTATTGTTCATTTACCTTTAAGTGTCTGCTATGGGCAGGTGCTTCTCTTTCTTCTCATATGTGAATGATGAATATATTTTGTACTATTTCATATTTTGACAGTGCTTCTCATTACAATTTTTCTTTTCATATTATGCAGTTGATGGGAAGTCAATTTTTCTGTCTATGATAGATTTCATCATTTTCTCAGTAATGTGTCTCTTGGCAGTGAATATATTACAGTAGCACATCCCAGTGGTTTGAACAGAAAGAATTCAAGTTCTAATCTAGACCCAGATTCTGTGTTATCTATTTCTCAAATAGGAACTCTACTCATAAGAAATAAGTATTCATAAATATTTTTTATTTCATTCGTTCCCTCTACCAAACCCTAACAAAACAGTAAAAAAAGTCTTTATTGCAAGCATTTAAATGTGATTTATTTGTGATAAATTTTCAGTTTAATAACAGGTATACAATCTTAATGTTTCATTATTCATTAAACATATCAGACCAGGGTCCAGATGGCAAAAACTTGAATATTTTTTAAAGATCATGAAGTATTTTGGCACAATTTCTTATTATTGGTGCTTTCATGTCATGGCATGACAAAGGCAAGGAATGAAATAGATTTGTGGCAAAAGTGAAGAGGATGAGAGTGAGAATTTGAGAACATGGAGCTTCTGGTACACATATTTACTTATGTAGAAAACATAATCAATTTCTCGGATAGTCTGAGTATAGAGGAATCAGGTAAGACATGCTCTTTCAGGATTACATGAACTTCTCATTCATATGATGCTTAATTAGGTACAAAAGTGTCTTAGTCTATTTTTAGTAATCAACTTCTCAATCTTTTCCCAAGTCTACATAGGCTAAGAATTTTGACTGCTAAAAAGTTGTATGTCAGTTGTCTAAAAACAAATTAATCAGCTATTATTTGAGCATCTGTCATCTTCAAATAAAAATTTTTGGTCATTTTCTCAGAAAACTAATTTCTTGTTGTTTAAATTATTTTCTTAGAAAAACATTATTTTAGCTTCCTTTTCCCCATGTTCCTTTTTCCTCTCACCTACCCATGTATAAGACTTCTGTTAAAAATGTTCTTTTCCAACTGTCATTCTTCAAAGATACCAAAACAACAAAATGGCATATAGACATTTTTTAAAATAAAAAAGGAAAAGATTATCATTGACACTCATAGCAGCTTCACCTCTGACTCTGCTCACTGTTCTCTGAGATAACACAATAGTCTTCTGCCAAGGTCTCTGTCACTTCCACTTTGCCGTCCCATCCCCCCTTTTGCTAAAAATATTTCCTAAATGTACTTCCTATCCCACCTATATTACCTACATTTTAAAATCTTTTGTCAGATAAAATTGTTAGCAAGGCAAGTCAAAATGCTTTAAGTTGTTTTACTGATGGCCAATGGAAATTCCAACTGATGACTGAGAATTTGAAGTTGTACATATTACTATATTTTTGCTGTATTTCATCATCTAGTCTCTATTATTTTTGTAAAGTTATGAGGGATGCACCATTTCATTATACTTTTTTGGCTCCGGAAAACAATGTTACACTTTCAGAGTGATGTTTTTCTTGTTCTTCTCTCTCTTAATCTGTAATTTCTCCAATATACTTCCACCACCAAGATTGTGAATAAACACTCAAATAATGCCATCCTCCAAAAATATTATGCTACTCAGCTTTCTCATTTCAAGTGCTTGTTTTGATTTATCTTGTTTATTTTGTTTAGTTTTATTTTTTCAAAATATATCATTCCATTAGTAACTTTTAGTTTAAAATTTTATATTTAAGGGAAATCTGTGAGAAATACCTATTACTTTTTTTTTTTTTTTTTAGATAGAGTCTGGCTCTGTTGTCCAGGCTGGAGTGCAGTGGTGCAATCTCAGCTCACTGCAACCTCCGTCTTCCAGGTTCAACAGATTCTCCTGCCTCAGCCTCTCGAGTAGCTGGGATCACAGGCGCCCGCCACTATGCCAGGATAATTTTTGTATTTTTTGCAGAGATGTGGTTTCAGCATGTTGGCCAGGCTTGTCCTGAACTCTTGATCTCAGATGATCCACCCGCCTTGGCTTCCCAAAGTGCTGGGATTACAGGCGCAAGCCACTGCACCCAGTCACCTTTTTAAAAAATAAAAAATAAAAAAAGCCAGATAATTTAAATTTATAGTATATGCAGTTATCATCACAGATTACGAATATTGTTTCTAAATTCCTTAATCTTTCCTTTGGTATGAATCACTAAATACTTTCTAACCTACTCAATTTTGTTTTCATTTTCATTAGTCTTCCATCTTAGCCTCTTTCTCCTTAATTATTTGGAAGCTGTTTTCATCATACCAACTAATTTCTGAAGAAGTGTGGTTTTCATAAATTATGTTTAATTGATACATAATAGTTATATATATGTATGGGATACATGTGACATGAAACATGCATACAATGTGTAATGCAAATCAAAGTAATTGGGATATCCATCACCTCAAACATTTATCATTTCTTTGTGTTGGGAACATTTCAAATATTTTCTTCCAGCTGTTTTGAAATATAGCATAAATGCTCATTAATTGTAGCTGCGCTATTATGCTATCGAATAGCAGAACTTACTCTATCTACCTGTATTTTTGAACCCATTAGCAGACCTCTTTTCATGCCCTCCTCCCTCAGACCCTTCCCAGACTCTGGTAATCACCATTCTACTCACTACCTCCATGAGATCGCTAGTTTTTTCAGCTTCCACATTTGAGTGAGAAAATGTGATACTTATTTTTTTGTGCCTGGCTTATTTCACTTAGCACAATGTCCTCCAGGCTCATCTGTGTTACTGAAAATGGCAATATTTCATTCTTTCATTGTGGCTAAATACTATTCCATTTTGTATATATACCACATTTTCTTTATCCATTCATCATTAATGGTCACTTAGGTTGAAGTGTCCAAACAGTTTGATCTTGGCTATCATGATGGGTGCTGCAATAAACATGGGAGTGTAGCTATCTCTTTGATATACTGATTTCCTTTCTTCTGGATATATATCCAAGACTGAGATTGCTGGATCACATGGTAGCTCTATATTTCTTGAGGAAGCTCTGTACCATCTTTCGTAGTTGTTGGACTAATTTAAATTCCCACTGAGAGTGTGCAAGCATCTCCCTTTCTTCACATCCTCCCAGCATCTGTTATTTTCTGTCTTTTTGATAAGAGTCGTTTTATCTGGGTGAGATGATATAACATTGTGGTTTTGATTTGTATTTCCCTGATGATGAGTAATCTTGAACATTTTTTCATATATCTGTTGGCCATTTGTATGTTTGCATTTGAGAAATGTCTACTCATATTTTTTTACCAAAAAATTTAATGAAATTATTTGGGTTTTATGTGTTATTGTGTTGTTTGAACTCTATATATCCTGGTTATGAATTTCTTGTCATATGGATAGTTTGCAGATATTTTCTCCCATTCTGTAGGTTGTCTCTGCACTTTGTTGATTGTTTAAATTGCTGCACAGAAGTTTTTTTAGCTCATGTAATCTAATTGGTCAATTCTTGCTTTTAATAACGGACTTTTGAGGTCTTACTCAAAAAAAATCTTTGCTTAGTCCTGTAGCATTTTCCCAATGTTTTGAAGAAAAGTGCTTTTAAGATGACTCCACCTTGAGCAAGACCCCATTGTTTTCATGTCATAGTTCTTATACATACTTGGCAATTGTAATCTCATGGATCTAGAATCTAGACAAAATTATTTGACTTTTTCATTTCATTTCATATAGATTTTGAAGCTGCTGTCTCCCTGTTCAACTCCATGTGTCACTATTTATAGTTACTAATCAGATATTTGATTCAGACTGTCACTAAATCTTCTTTGAATTCTTCTTCCTAAATTCAGTATAACCTAAAAGCTTTTTTTCATATTACCTGAAAGCTCTTTTCACCTCTTCTACAATCCTAATAAAATATATAAAAATATCCCTTGATAAAACTCAGTGGTTTTTAGTATATGCACAAAGTTGATCAACCATCACCACTAATTAATTTTAGAACATTTCATCACACCAAAAAGAAACTCCATTCGCATTAGCAATTTTTCCCTATCTGTCCCTCCTCTCAGTCTCTGGTAAACCACTAATATAGTTCTGTTTTTATTAATTTGCTTATTCTGGACATTTCATATAAACACCTCATGCAAAATGTGGCCTATTATGCATGGCTTCTCTCCTTTAGGATTTGTTTTCAAAGTTCATCTGTGTTGTAGCATATGACAGTACTTCCTTTTTATGGTTGAATCACATTCCATTGTGTGAATAGATGACATTTTGTTTACCCATTTATCAGTAATTGGACATTTAGGTTGCTTTCATTTTTTGTCTATTATGAATAATGTTGTTCTGAACATTTGTGTGTATATTTTTATGTGAACATATGTTCTTATTTCTCTTGGGTATATAGCCAGAAGTAGAATTGCTGGGTTATATGATAACTCTATTTAATATTTAGAGAAACTGAACTGTTTTATAAAGTGGCTACATCATTTTATAGTTGAAACAGCAACGAATAAAGTTCTCGGCTGGGTGTGGTAGCTCATGCCTGTAATCCCAACACTTTGGAGTTTGAGACCCGGTCAGGAGTTCAAGACCAGCCTGGCCAACATGGTGAAACCCCTGTCTCTTCTAAGAATATAAAAATTAGCCAGGCGTGGTGGTGCATGCCTGTAATCCTAGCTACTCAGGGGGCTGAGGAGGGAGGATTGCTTGAACCTGGGAGGTGGAGGCTGCAGTGAACTGAGATAGTACCATTGTACTCCTGTTTTTTTAGAAGTTTTATCTCATTGTGATTTTGTTTTGAATGACCCTAATGATTAATGATGTTGAGAATCTTTTCATGCACATATTGAACATTTGTATGTCTTCTTTGGGGAACTGTCTATTCAAATCTTGTGCTCAATTTTTAGTTGTTAAATTGTGAAATTTCTTTGTATAGTCTGGATACAGGTCACTTACACGATATGTGGTTTGCAAATATTCTCTTCCATTTTGTGGGTTGTCTTTACATTTTTTAAAATTGGTGCTCTTTAAAACATGAAGGTTTTAATTTTGATGGAATATAAGTTATCTATATATATTTTTGTCCATTGTGCTTTAGGCATTTTTTCTAAGAACCCATCACAAATATTTACACCTATGATTTCTCCTAGGAATTTAATAGGTTTAGCTCTTACATTTACATATATGATCTATTTTGTGAGTATTTTATACATGGTGTGAGATAAGGGTCCAAGTTATTCTTTTGCTTGTGGATGTCGAGTGACCCTACACTATTTGTTGAAAAGACTACTTTAGACACATTGTTTTGTCTGGATACCACCCTTGTTGAAAATCAAATGATCATAGATGTATGGATTTATTTTTGAACTCTTAATCCTAATCTATTGATCTATATGTCTGTCCTTATGTCAGTACCACACTGTTTTAGTTATTATAACATTGTTACAAGTTTTGAAATAGAGAATTGCAAATCCTTCAACTTGTTTTTTTTCAAGATGATTTTAGCTACTGTATGTCCAATAATTGTTTTAAATGTGGCAAATATGCTTAAGAACGGTTAGTTCTTAAGTAGCATATAGTAACCATCATTGTAAATTGTGGCTCACATTTTTTTAAATTTGCATTTTATAAAGTTACTAGCGCCTTAGCTCCAAGAGTACTAGAAACAAACTATTTCACATATGTGGGCAGAATGATTGTTGACTTGGCATCTTGTTAAGAATAACAATGTTGGCTTTATATCATCAAAGACTCCCATGCTTTATTTGAGTATTGGGAATTGACTAAGGGAGTTGCCAATATACGTTGCAATTTTAGATCACCTACAATGGTGACTTACGTTTTTCCAATGTAGTACAAATAAAAGGTAAGAACTGAATCCAACTGGCTGTTCTCTAATTATGGCTCAAGGTTTTGGTGATAGTCTGACAGACTTCTTGAGAAAACACTGTAAAACCATCTCCCTCTCTAGTATAATTACTATTATTAATTTCAATAGTTAATTCAATTTTTTAAGTTGAATTATTTTTATAATTTTACCAAAAATTGATTTTTATATTTGTGCTAGACATATTAGACTGGACACATTGCATTAACGAGATGATCTGCAGGTGCAAGAAGTTGAGAAACACTGTCCTGAAATTAAAGAGAACATTTAACAAATACTAAACACTTTTTACATTTTCCAGGAGAAATTCTGTTTCCCAGAAATCATGTGATGTTTCACCGTTGCTTGAGAACTACTTTCTGCAATTCTTGGTATAAAATTTTCAGGGCAAAGATAAATATCCCATAATAGCTCATATGTGGAATTATTTTGCCTTTGTATCTGGTGTTGTGATTTCTGTTAGAGAACTTTTACTATCTTTAACAACACAGAATTGATTTTCTAAATGAAATGCATCACAGAAAAAGTGTCTAGTGAATAATTTTAATAACACTTTATGGAGCTATCTTGGGACAAGCAGTCCTCTAGCACTTATTTTCCCTTGAGACTTAGAAGAAATCATATCTCTAGTGCTCATAATAAGGAACTAATTTAACTGAGTTCAAGTTAGCTGTGAACAAATGGATTAACAAGCACCTTATTAAAATTTTAATTTACATTTCATTTATCACATTTAATAGAATCAACTTTGTTGTTTCAGGGTGGGAAAAAGCATTAATTTCCAAAGATAACTTTGGGTACCATTAATTGCTAATGCTTTCCTTGTTGGTTTTCATAATTACCATAATTGTGTACCCTATGTAGCATGGAAATATAAGATGCATAACATAAACTTTTACTCTTAAAGACCATTTAATTATTCAACAAATAAAAAATATTTATGTTTGTATAGATTGTGGATTTTGTTGCTACTGTAAGAATGTTTAATTAAGATAATGTAAAAGTTTTGGTCCTTTTAGGATATAACTTAGATAGTTACATATTTTGATGTCTAGAGAAATAGTCTGGATATTCTTTGATAATATTTTGTCTTATATCTTTTTTACTCACATTACTTATTTTTCTTAAATTTACTTAAGTATTTCTGCTATTTGTATATGAGAATGTTCCAATTATATTTGTTAAAGATTTATGCTTTTATTGGTAAAGTGTATTGGTAGAGTAAGAAAATTGTTATGTCTTCAGGAAAAAAAAATGTATGTATTATAGCATTTATTATAATACCAATGAACAAAAGACCGATGAAGAAAACGATGAAGTACACAAGTATTAACTTTAACGAAGAGAAGCAACCATTTGGAATCATTGTGTAAATTAAAACCTTTGTATCCAAAGTCTTTCCTCTAAAGCATATCAGTTGATTACTTGAGTAGGACTGCAAGGATAGTCTTAAAATTCAGTTTTGGATCTGTTCTTTAAATGAAGTTTTAACTATAATGCATGAACTCTGATGGTTCTAATAAAATAATTGATGACTTTCATCCATTTTTATAATGCCAATTATAACTATTTGATATACTTGAAGGCACAATTTTAATCACTTTATACATCTCTGAATAAGAATAAAAATATGTATATGTTTAAGGGCCTGTATTTCATTTATAGAATTAGCATCCTGTCAAGATATTTTTCAGATTATATCATTAAAATAGGAAAAGGTAACATTTTCTTAAAATGAGACAAGTGATCTAATCTTAATGACAGCTACTGTTAATGTCATGCACCTAGATATAGTTTATAATGCTTAGTAATTACAGCCATCTTTCTTCTCTTTTACTAATTATTTCAAGAGAAAGAAGTAAAAGCTTTAAGAAGGGGCACAAAAGGCAGCTACATTGGATCTTTTTTGTAAAGCAAATAGCTTTCAAATCATTCCATTAGCTGTCATCAGAGTACAAAAAGAATTAATCAAAAATGACATCAATCTTAAAGGCCTGCCAAAACCTCATGAGAAAAACAATCCCATCATAAAAAGAGATAAATTAAAGGCACTGTCCCTGATTCTGTAAAAGGATTTCACGTTTTCCCCCTATGCACCCACATTTGTGTTATAGAAGATTATATATAAGATATATACTTTAAATTCTTCTGGTACATTTATTTTGAGCAACTAGTGTATCTAATGTAATAGTTAATCAATACATTTCAGTATATTTTGTATTTACCTAAGTCCTTTTTTTCAAAACATATCTGTATTTGTCTTTTTAAGTTTAATTTTGACTTTTTTAGCATAATATTTGAAATTATTAGAATCTCGTGTGGAATCACAACAGATAACTAAAGCACATGATACTTGGAAACCAAAAGAAAGATAAAAGTTGGCAAGGACATAAAAGGTATTTTTGTTGAGTCTACATGTAAATATCCAAGAAACTGTAATTTAATATTATTTATCATACAGTTGTTTTTAAGTACTTATGAACATAACACAACTTTATGTTTACTTAAAGGGTTTCAAGCCTATATCATCTTCTTTGTTAAAATTTGGTTATTGGTAAACCTTGATATCCACAAGGATAAATATTATTTCTATTCTTTATAAGAGTTAACCAAAGCTCAGAGCAATGAGACTGCCAAACATAATAATGTATTAAAGTGGAGAAGTAAGACCTGGAAGCTGGATCTTTACATTTCCGGTGCTCTTCCCACTGCTTTACATCTCCTGTCTTACTATGTTCTGTGCAAACCACTTTGGACTTCAAACTTTAATAGGAGGTGAGTATAGGAAACATAATAAAGTCAATTCCCTTATTTTCTGGTGTTTACTTGGGATGCATCAGTGAACAAAACAAAGGTATCTGTCCTTATGAAATTTATATCATAGCAGAGGAAGACTGGAAATGAATAAATAAATAAAGAATGGAGTTTGTTGGAAGGTAATAAGTTCTGTGGAAACAAGGAAAACCAAGGCATGGAGGTTTGGAGTGCTAAAGTGAAGGTGTGAGAACAGATTGCTCTTGCTCAGTTTTCTGTCTTCTTTTGTTTAGGAAATTGTCATTCTCTGTATGCTTCATTATAATATATACAATAAATATGAATTGTTATAATTTAAGATAAATTATATAAATATAAATTATAAATGTGTGTACATATGCATATATATGCACATATATGAATACATGCATGTACATACAAATACCTGCATATTTAACACAATTTTTATTTATATAATTTATATTTTATAAATGCATATGTTTTGTAATTATGAATTTACTCAAATTTGTTTGTAACTCAAAAATGAATGCTTGTGACACTTGATTCGTCATTCAAAGACACACACATAAGTAGAACAGCAAAAAATTGGACTCTCCTAGCGTGCATATTCCCAGGGAGGTTGTATGCTCCCCGGGAATTGTTCAACCTCCCTGAGATCAAACAGGGAGAATCTATGACTTTTTGTTTCAGTCCTTCTACTGTAAACAAGTGCCCTTTTTGCAATGTGTTTAGTGCTATGTTTTTCACAATTTGTGCATTTTGTCTGTGATTTCACTGTTGAGAATGGCCCTCAAGCATAGTCCTGAAGTGCTGTCTAGTGTTCCTAAACACAACAAGGCTGAGATGTGCCCTGTGGAGGAAATACATATGTTAGATTGGCTTCATTCAGGCATGAATTATAGTGCTGTTGGTCATGAGTTCAGCGTTAATTGATCAACAAAGTGTATTAAATAATATGTCTTTAATAAATATACGTGTGCATGTGTCCTATAGTAGAATGATTTATAATCCTTTGGGTATATAGCCAGTAATGGGATCGCTGGATCAAATGGTATTTCTGGTTGTAGATCCTTGAGGAATCACCACACTGCCTTCCACAATGATTGAACTAATTTACACTCCCATTGCAGAACTATTTACAATAGCAAAGACTTGGAACCCACCCAAATGCCCATCAATGATAGACTGAATAAAGAAAAAGTGGCACATATATACCATGGAACACTATGCAACCATAAGAAAGAATGAGTTTATGTCCTTTGCAGGGACATAGATGAAGCTGGAAGCCATCAGTCTCTGCAAACTAACACAGGAACAGAAAACCAAACACCATATGTTCTCACTCATAAGTGGGAGCTGAACAAAGAGAATACATGGCCATAGGGAGGGGAACATCATACACCGGGGCCTGTCAGAGGGTCGGGGGCAAGGGGAGGGAGAGCATAAGGACAAATACCTAATGCACGCGGGGCTTAAAACCTAGATGACGGGTTGATAGGTGGAGCAAACCACCATGGAATATGTATACCTATGTAACAAACCCACACGTTCTGCACATGTATCCCAGAACTTGAAGTAAAATTAAAAAAAAGAAAAAGAAAAAGAAAAAGAAACAAGGCTGGAGAGCCTTCCAGTATCAACTGTGAACAAGATGGGAAAGCATTCACAGCCACAGAGAACAACCTGAACTAAGGTGTCCCCCCAAAAAAAAAAAGAAAAGTAGAAGAAGGAAAAAGGAAAAATTACCTTTTGAGGTGGCCTGTTTCAAGTAATAATCATATAGCATAGTCTCTCAAAAAATAATGTATTTAGACAATCACCATCTGGGCATCTACCACACACTGCACTCAGTGCTGAGGACTCAGCAGTGAACAGGTTGACAAAGCCCTACTCTGCTGGAGCTTTACTTTGGGGAGAGAAAGAAGGATGCAGGGTGACAAGTATATTAGCAATATCATTTCAATTTGTGATATATGATACAGAAAAAATAAACAAGAAGCTGTGACTAAGGGAGAAAAAAATTCCTTAAACCAAAATGCACATAAAACAAGGTTATGTCTTAATAAGTTAATAAAACAGTTGTGACTGGAGGGTCACAGGAACTTAACCCTGTTTTTCCCTGAGTGGCAATTATTCAGTATTCACTAACTCAAATTTCACAAGGACTTTTTTTTTCTTCAACTCCTATTTTAAGTTCAGGGGTACATGTGCAGGATGTGCAGGTTTGTCACATCAGTAAAAATGCACTATGGTGGTTTGCTGCACAGATCATCCCATCGCCTAGGTATTAAGCCCAGCATCCATTAGCTATTAGTCCTGATGCTCCTTCTCTTCCTGCCCCCCAACCCCAACCGGCCCCAGTGTGAGTTTTTCTCCTCCATGTGTCCATGTGTTCTCATCATTCAGCTCCCACTTGTAAGTGAGAACATGCGATGTTTGGTTTTCTGTTCCTGCATTAGTTTGCTGAGGATAATGGCCTCCAGCTCCATTTATGTCCCTGCAAAGGACATGAGCTCATTCCTTTTTGTGGCTGCAAAATGTTCCATGGTGTATATATACCACATTTTCTTTATCCAGTTTATCATTGTGGGGCATTTGAGTTGATTCCGTGCCTTTGCTATTGTGAATAGTGCCGCAATGAACATACATGTGCATATGTCTTTATAATAGAATGGTTTATATTCCTTTGGGTGTATAGCTAGTAATGGGATTGCTGGGTCAAATTATATTTCTGCCTCTAGGTCTTCGAGGAAGCCCCACACTGTCTTCCACAATGTTTGAACTAATTTACAGTCCCACCAACAGTGTAAAAGTGTTCTTTTTCTCTGCAACCTCACCAGCATCTGTTGTTTTTTGACTTTTAGTAATAGCCATTCTGACTGGTGCAAGATGGTATCTCGTTGAGGTTTTGATTTGCATTTCTCTAATGATCAGTGAGGTTGAGCCTTTTTTCACATTTTTTGGCCGCATGTGTGTCTTCTTTCACGATGACGTTATAGAATATGACTACATTGAATGAGAAAAGCAATTGTATTAGGTTACAAGGTGTTTAATATAGATTAAAATTACATCCTCAATTGCAAACAATTACAATAATTTTCACCAATAAGCCTCTGATTATTTCCTGTAGTCAGCGTATTTACTGACTAAATATTTTAGCACTATCCTGTATGATATAACAGCTTAAAAAACATCACCTTTAAGAACTACTGAATGATTCTGGTGGAGATTTCTCAATCTAATTCTGTTTGACAATGAATTTTTTTGGAGCTTTCTGAATAGGATTTTTTTATGTGGAATCTTGGCACTTGGTGTATAGCTTATTTCAATATGCTTCTTATGCAATTCTGTCTATTTTTTCTCATTTTCTCTTCATGCTTCAATCTGGATATTTTCAATTGATCTATCTTCTAGTTTACTCATCTTCTCTAAACATAGAAAAGTCTAACCTTCTCTTAAACTTATTTATTGAGTTCCTAATTTTAATTTGTGTATATATATATTTAATTTTTATTTATTTATTTTATTTGTTTATTTATTTATTTGAGATGGAGTCTCACTCTGTCGCCCAGGCTGGAGTGCAATGGCACAATGTCAGCTCACTGCAACCTCCGCCTCCGAGGTTCAAGTGATTCTCCTGCCTCATCCTCCCAAGTAGCTGGAATTACAAGCATGCACCACCACGCTCAGCTAATTTTTGTATTTTTAATAGAGACAGGGTTTCACTGTGTTGGACATGCTGGTCTCAAACTCCTGACCTCAAGTAATCTGCCTGCCTCAGCCTCCCAAAGTTCTGGGATTACAGTAGGCATGAGCCACTGCACCCAGTTATTTTTATTTTTTCAAGAGAATCTAGTTTTGTCTTTTAAAGGATTTTTAATGAGCCTGTGAATATGTAAAATTAAGCTCAGAACTGACTATGGAGTAGAAAGTTAAATTGTTCTGCCTAATAAAGTGAGAAAGCCTGGAACACAGAGAAGCAGAGAGAGAAGGAGACAATCTTGAGGGTAGAAGTGTGCTCTGAGGGATACAATAAAAAACTGAAGCCTGCACAGAAAGTTGGGCAGTGAGAAATTCCTATGAATGGGCTCAGAGAGAAGCCTGTGCATGCAGTGTGTGTTACAGGGACTCTGAGTTTAGAAACCGTGAATCATTATAACGGGCTGTGTAAAAGGGTCCTTGGATCTAGAGGGAGACATCCCTGTCTCAAGGAAACCTGTCCTGCTCTGCAGGGAAACCTTATTATTTTCCAAGGCTGTTTTCTGTACAAACATACTTGGAAAGATAGTCCGAAAAAGAGGGCCGTGCTTGAAACAAAGGACAGACAATGCCTTACTTCACAAGATATGCAGCAATGTGAGAAATCCTTGGAGAATTGTCTCCCAATGGACTGTAAAAATTCATCTTTCTTTGCAATATTGGACATTTTTTCTGGGAGCTTTTTCCATTTTAATTGCTTGGTATACTATGCCACTTAGCATCCTCACTTAGAAACACACATTTTGATCTTATGCTGTGGGTATGATTATCATATGACTCATAAATGACAGTATGATACAATCATCACCTTAAAGTAGGAAAAACTCTTATTTCTCTTCAATTACATATAATTATCCTTGGAAAACTGTATTGAAAGACTAATTTTACATTGATGTGTCACATAATTACATATCACTAGTGACATAAAAAATTCAAAATATTCTATAAATTATCCTTTAAAAAAAGCCCAGACACTTCTTACCCCAGTATTACCAAAATCAAGAGTGTTGGATCATCTAGTTTTTTATAAATAAGTTCAGATTGCTATTACTCAAACTGAGTAACTAAGCTGTGCTAAAGCTTGCAATTTGTTGGGAAAGTTGTGGGAGGCCTAAAGTTCCATCTGTCACTCTGCTCCAAGCCCTCTTCTTGGGCTCAGGTGTTTTTCCTGAGAGTTTCTTTCTTCCCTGAAGGAAGCTCCAATGACTTAGCATGCTTTCCACCCTGCTCTCAGTTTCTGTGATCTTATCCACTTTACTCCTTGGAATTTTGTTTTTCTTTCCTTCTTTTTCTTTTTTAATTCAAGCCTGATTGTAGGATGTAAAGCAACCTCTACCATTCTCCTCTTTCTAGCTACTTTGGAAAACAAACAGATATGCTTTTCTATTGAAGGATTTTAATGATCACCACATTAGGGAAAGCTATTGAGATTAATTAAATCATTAATGTGAGCAAATTACAAAATTGCAGACATCTAAGTTCTTAGTATGTAAGAATTATTCAAAGTTTCTTATTTCCTATAGAATAAAGTCCAAACATTTTATTCATAAAAGTTAGCCTATCATCTTCTCCCTACTTCCCTTTCTAACTTCATATCACTTATCAATTTCGGTTCTGCTACATTCACTGTGCAGTTTTTGGTTAAAGTCTCTCCTGTGTTTATGCTTCTCTATCTTTATAGGATGCCTTTTCCTCTCATGTCTGCTTTACTTGTTTTTTCTCTTTCTTTAAGAGTGCATTCAAATGTTTTTTGAATTGATCTCCAGGAAGTTTTCTCTGACTATAAGACGTGTTCCCATAATATACCATGTATACCTTCATATTGTACTTATATCATTTAAGAATATTATAATTTAATTATATGTATAGACCACTGTTACACTGCAAGTCAGTTGTGACAAATATTTCTGCAGCATATTTAGCACAGAGACTGTCACATAGTTGGTATTCAATGTTTGGTGAATGAATGAGTGAATACCTCTTTCCAGGGTGACTTTTACTGGTGCCAGTCTCACACTTTATATCGTCCAATCCAAGCATTCATTTGTCATCCCTGCACTCCTTCCTGTGCTTTCATTCATGATCTTCTCTTGTCAGAATGGCAATCTGTAACTCAAGCCCACTTCCTCCATTATGCTCTTCCTTGCAAACTGCTACCTTTATCACTGATAGAATGAAAGGATGCTCCCAATGAATGTCGTGTAGACACTTTTATTGTCACACTTAAAACACTATTTTTAGCATGTTTTTTTTTTCATATGTCTCTCTTTCACTGACAATTATAACCCTTCAAGGATGAGGCAGTTTTGTAAATAATTTTGCCACCCCAGAACCTAGCATAATGCCTGCCACTTGCTGGTTTGTCATATGAATAAATTGATTATTTAATACATGGTACTCTTTACATATAGCATACAGCTGATTCTGTAATAGGAAGCTCATGGTTTCTGCTCTCCATTTTTATAATGCTGAGGGTGGTATTCATCAAAACCAACCTTTATTTTTGACCTTTGTCCCTGGCCAGAGCTATAATAAAAGTAAGCTAGTCATCTCTTTTACCTCAAATGGGAAATTTGAATTTCTGAGGACCTTTTGACTAGGTAACTTCTAATTATCCTGGCTTTTATCCAGCCAACAAATTATCATCTCTAGCTAGAGATTTCTTAACATGAACATATTTTTATCTAGATATAAATATGCAGTGGTCTTGTTTGGGCTGCATGGGTTTCCACATAATGATGAAGAAAGCTGGACTGGATAAGACCATGGGCCTCAGCCAAACCAATCTTATTTAAATAATTATTCAATATTAATTCATAGGAAATACTAAAGGCACTGAAGAAATGCATCTTGTGGGGAGAAATGAAGAGAGATCATTTATATCATCTTCACCACTTTCTCTTCTTTACCCCAGCAAATCAGCTCTGGTTGAATTGTGCCCCTCACTCAGCCAACAAATCAGACCTGTAAGGAAATGCATGGCCACCACATGTTACTTAGGTATGCTCCTTAGTTGGTGGTGGTGGTTGGTTGGGGTTGGGGTTGTTGTTGTGTCCCGTTTCCACCCAGAGGAATTTAGCAAAGTATTACCTTAAAACCACATCTGGTATTTTTGCTGAAATTTTATTAAATCACTTGTTTCCTTCAAGCTGCATTTGCCGAATGTAATTTATCTCCCATTATAAATCTTGATCAGGACAACTGTAACAGGATCCTTGGGGTGTCACTTTGCCAGCTGGAAAGCTGTGTGGCTGGTGGTGCCTTTGCCCAAGTTTTGCTTGGACCCACTAGGCTTTTTCTGTCCACTCAGCCTGGCAGGCTGTGCTTGACTTGCACTACCAGCCTGGATCCCATGCCTGCCAAGGGCAAGCCAGGCACAGAGTGGTGAGGGGTGTGTGAGCAAGCGTGGGGGTCAGGGCACTGTGCACAGCCAGGTGTGCCAGGTGTGCCAGGTGCAGTGGGGCAGGCAGCTTAAAGTACCAGCACAGGCTCCAGTTCTGTGCGAGACTGTGGCTAGCTCAGGCATACCCACAAGCAGCTTCCACTTCGGGCATTGGGGAATGCAGTGGCACCCAAAAGCTTGGAGACACCAGGAACCAGAGTCCCAAACAGGGCAAACAGGGTGTCAAAGCTCTGGTTTAAGTATCCCCTAGGTCTGGGCTTCCCAAAGGGCTGCAACTCTTCTCCCCTTCTCATCACCCGCAATGTGGCAAGCAGGAGACGTGTTTCAGCCCTGTTTGTGTTACAGCTCTTTCAATCCTGCCATTTGCTGTATCCAGAGTTCTAGTCCCACATCCAAGAGGAATGAGGTACATGGACAACTAGAGAGTGAACAAGGGGGAGAGGAGCTTCATTGAGCAACAGAACAGCTCTCAGGAGACCCGAAGTGGGTAGCTCCTTTCTGCAAGCAGGTCATCCAGATGAGTGTCCAGCTCTCAGCAGAGAGGAGACCCGTGGTAGGTAGCTCCTTTCCACAGGCAGGTTGTCCCAACAAGTTGAGGAGACCCTCAGGGAGGGAAGAGGGGGCGCTCCTTCCCCTTGTGGCAGCTGGTAGTCCCCAGTCTTCTGTCTGGCTGAGTCCAGGCTTTATTTATTTATTTATTTATTTATTTATTGAGACAGAGTCTTGCTCTGTCTCCCAGACTGGAGTGCAGTGGCATGATCTCGGCTCACTGCAAGCTCCACCCCATGGGTTCACGCCATTCTCCTGCCTCAGCCTCCCGAGTAGCTGGGACTACAGGCACCCGCCACCACGCCTGGCTAATTTTTTGTATTTTTAGTAGAGACAGGGTTTCATCGTGTTAGCCAGGATGGTCTTGATCTCCTGACCTCGTTATCCGCCCGCCTCGGCCTCCCAAAGTGCTGGGATTACAGGCGTGAGCCACTGCGCCCGGCCGAGTCCAGGCTTTTATGGGCCCAGAAGAGAGGAAGTGTGTGCTGATTGGTCCACGGGCAGCCATGGGCAGGCCCAGAAAAAGCACCATAAGTTCTTATTCTGGGACATGGACTCCACCCATAACTGGCAGCCGTTCCCCCAGGCTTTAGGACATCCCTGGCTTGAAAGGGGGGTTTCACCAGGAACCTGCCCCTTTCCACCCAGGAACCTGTCTACCCCCAACCCCCCACCCTCCACTCCTCTTCAGTGCTCAAAGTCTGGAGGAAGCTGAGGCGGCAGGGGACTGGTGTGTCAGCACTGTCTTGAGTGCGCACACACCTGGCTGTTTGCGACACTGCTTGAGCTCGGCCACAGCTTTGCTCTGGGGGCACTGGGATCAGGGAGAGGTCAGGTAGCAGGAGCAGGCACTTCGAAGCTTGCAGGGGCAGAGGCTTCCTGAAACCCTGAGAACACAGGGATGCCTGGATCTGGAACCACAGCTGAGGGGCTGCAGCTGCATCCAGAAGCATGGGCTCCCACCCTGCCAACTCCATAGGGGGTGGGGCTTCCACCTCTTCCCACTTCCTGCTGGTCCTGCTGAGCATGCAACTGCAGCCGTGCCTTCCTCACCTCAGCGGCGTTTTTGCAGCAGCCACTCCAGAAGGGCCGCCGATGCCATCACAACTGTCTTACAGGAATTTACTTACTGGTAAACCATTTATGTGGAAACCTGTGAAGCTCAGTGGCACTCAGTGTTCTATGTTTCCTGTGACTGGAAAGGACTGAGAAGGGTGGGCAGCAGGGCCCCAGAACACAGCATGCTCCTGAGAAGGGTCAAGATTCCAAGACGGGTTGTGGGCCATGTTCAGCCTTCCCAAGATAAGCAAACTAGTGAGTAAATGGCAGTTTTGCTCAACTTCTTGGTTGCTCCAAGTCTTATTTAGTTGTATTTCTGCTGTTATATATTTGTGTTAGGGGGTGTAATTTTAAAAAAAAAAAAGAAGTATATTTTAGTACAGAGTCTTATTTTGAAGATTAAAAGTGGCTGAAGTCTTAATCCAATAAATAAGCAACAGTGGTGTGGAACAGCAGGACATCATTTAGTTATTCAGAAAAAAGCTCTTCATTTTTTGCCAGCAATCAAGATTTTAAGACTAACAAAGTTTTCATTAAGCTTCACATTTTTTAATTCAATAAGGATAGATTACGGCTAAATCTCTATCATTATAGCTAATACATTGAGTTAGTTTAGGAATATGGCCTGGGCCAAATGTGTATACATCATATTCTATCTATCTATCTATCTATCTATCTATCTATCTATCTATCTATCTATCATCTATCTATCTATCCACTTATCACTTACTCCATTTGGCATCTATTTGTAATATCTCCATTTTACAGTTAAAAAATTGAAATTTAGAAGCAGTAAGTAACATTTACTGAGTAGAAGAGAAACTTAAAGCTGAGTTCTCTTTCAATTGAGAACCTTATCTTTGCCCTTACACATGAATGCAAATGCACATAAATCTGACTGACAAAATAATAATGCACATTTTGAAAGTGATACGTTTGAGGGCATGTCTCAATGATTTACTATAAAATTTGAGGAGATATAAAACTTTTTTAAAGACAATCTTGATGTTACTGTCTCCTCTTCCTCCTTTCAGCTTTGAAATTTCCATCATTTGAGGTACTGTGATAGTTAATATTGAGTGTTAATTGGATTCGATTGAAGGATGCAAAGTTTTGTTTCTGGTGTGCCTATGACAGTGTTGCTAAGGGAGATTAACATTTGAGTCAGTGGACTGGGAGAGGAAGACCCACCCTCAATCTGGTGGGCACCATCTTGCCAACATGGCTAGAATAAAGCAAGCAGAAGAAGTTGGAAGGACCAGACTTGCTGAGTCTTCCAGCCTTCATCTTTCTCCCGTGCTGGATGTTTCCTGCCCTTCAACATTGGACTTCAAGATCTTCAGCTTTTGGACTCTTGGACTTACACCAGCGGTTTGCCAGGGGCTCTCCAGCCTTCAGCCACAGACTTAAGACTACACTGTCATCTTCCCTACTTGTGAGGTTTTGGGACTCGGACTGACTTCCTTGCTCAGTTTGCAGATGGCCTATTGTGGGACTTCACCTTATTATCGTATGAGTCAATACTCCTTAATAAACCCCCCTTTATAAATACATCTATCCTATTAGTTCTGACCCTCTAGAGAACCCTGACTAATACAGGTGCTTAGTGGCAACTTATGACAGGGAGAGGAGAAAGAAGGCCTGTTGTCTTTAGAAAGCACATATATTAAAGTGGAAGGAAGGAGTGAGACATTGGGGGCAACAATTCCTTCTCAAGTGAGCATGGTTGGTTATATAAATTTTACAAGTGAGAAAATGTGTCACTTTAGAAGATTCTGAGACCCTTGCCCAGATAAGAGGTAATTAAAAAGGAAAGAATCATAGACAATGCTTGTTAGAATAAAGACCATGTGAGCAGATGAGGCCTGAGAGGGAAGTCTCTGGGCTTAGGAAATCTGAAGTGGGTCCTACAAGGGAAAAGTCTTAGAAAACACGAAGCCAAGGAATAATGCCTTCTACTTTACAGTTGTACCTCTGACTAATTCTCTCCTTAATGATGGTATATAGTTCACTTAGAGACTATGTAAGCATTTTTTAAATTAAATATAACTCGTTTGAAGCAAGTTATATGAAATGGGATTAAAACATCCACTACTAATAAAGAAGTAATATTCTCTGTTTCTAGGAAAGTTGTCCCCATAAAAAAGGGTGCAGATGCAGCCATCACTGTATTATTAATTCATTCTATAAATATTTAATGGGTTCTTATTTGATGCCAAGTGCTGTCACAGGCCTAGGAAATTCAGTAGTAACAAAACATTATGATCACTGCCCTCATGTAGCTCCTACTTTGATGCTGGAGTTGATTTCTTGTTTTCTCAGCACTATTTGAAACCGCCACCCACTAGCACTCTTTCAGTGGGACTCTCCTCAGTCTTTGCCTTTAATCCTGGGAAACTGCTTTAGTTTGAACTTACAGGAATATAAATACTTTTTTTCCTAAATCCTGTAGATTTTAAGTGTGAAGATCATCATACCATCTACTGGTCCAGGTGCTACAAGGACAGGATTTCCTGATGAAAGAAATAAAAACTCACACTTTGATGTTCACAGGAGCCAGTAGGCAGAATCTAGTTTTGTAGATGAGAAGATGTTGGCAAAAAAGTCAGAGCAGGGAGCCAAGCGTTCTCTCTGTGTGTCTACAGGTCTCGAGGACTAACCTTTAAAAGCAAAATAGTCATAAAGCCTAAAAACTAGAGTGTGGGTCTTTGCATAGTTTTTAAAGTGAACTAAGGAGGAAACAAAAAAAAAATCTGAGCCAAAGTTACATCCCATTTGAATATTAAGCTGGCAATAAACCAGCAGAAAGGCACTCAGACCAAGGTGGGACACCAACTTGAAATAACAACTTCATAGGATATGCAGAAACTAAAGAAGCTTTTTAAAATGAACGATAAAATGTTAGGCTGAGGTCAGTAACAATGGTTGGAAATTTTCTCCAAAAGGCAAGTGACACAAATCAGGCTAACCATTGGGTCTGACTTTCTAAAGTTTTTATTAGATTTAAAATTGTAACCCAGATGTCAGCTGCAGTTGTACTTGAGCTTTTTAATACCAATGTGTTAGTCTGCTTCAGTTGCTATACCAAAATACCATAGATCATGTGCTTACACAACAAAAATTTATTTTCCAACAGTTCTGGAGACTAGGATGTTTGAGATCAAGGTGCCATCTGATTTGACTCTTTGATGAGGGCTCTCTTCCTAACGTCCAGATGGCTGCTTCCCATGTCCTTAGATGGCAGTATACAATGCAGTTCCACCTTCGTGTAACTTGCCAATACCATTCAGTTTTTTAAGAGAATCATTTGCTAGATAAAGTCTGCCTCTCAGGACCTTTCAATACCCAAAAATTTATTTACTACCTCTGTAATTGCCTACAGCTAATTCACTTTTTTCTTTCTTATAAAGAAGGTTGTATTAGTTTTTGAATTTCTATAAAGAAATACCTGAGACTGGGTAATTTATAAAGACAAAAGGTTCAATTGGTTCTACAGTTCTGCAGGCTGTATAGGAAGCATGTGCTTAGCTTGTGGGGAGGCCTCCAGGAACTTACAAGCATAGTGGAAGGTGAAGGGGAAGCAAGCATGTCTCATTGCTGGAACGCGAGGAAAGAGAGAGAGCGAGGAGTTGCTACACACAACCAGATCTTGTGAGAACTCTATCAAGAGAACAGCACTGGGGGATGGTGTTAAACCAAGAGAAACCTCCCCTATGATCCAATCACTTCCCATCAGGCCCTACTTCCAACATTGGGGATTACAATTGAACATAAGATTTGGATGGGGACACAGATCCAAACCATATCAACTATATTGAAGCCTCACCCATGTAGCCCTTCTTTTGAGTCTCATATTTTTGAGACTCCCATGTCCATGCGCTTGTGAAACATTTGTATGCCTGTTCTCCTATTAATCTATTGTCAGCTTATTTCAGTGGGACCTTCAGAGGGCAGAGGGGAAGTTTCCTTCTACCCCCATAGCAACCAGTAAGGTTAATTCACTCCCTCATCCCACTTGACTTCCAAGTCCTGTGGAAATGTAGAGCCCCTTCCAAGATCTTTGTGAATTTCACCAGGCTTAGGTTCTCAGCTTCCTCTACTCCTAAACTCCTCCCTCTGTGTGTGCCACCTCTGTTTTGCACTGAGAGAAAAATCTCAACTCTTTCTGAAGTTGCCCTAACAAACCCACTCTCACACATAACATTCATGAGCATGTTAAATTTTACTGAAGAATTTTGGAAGAGGTTTAAGGATCACATACAACAAATAAAAAAACATTGATTTGAATACTAGTCATTTTATTCTTTAAAGGTCCTTTAGCCATTACACTTCATAGACATTTCTACTGGCTGATTTCCTGCAAGGTCCCCACTTTCAAACCTCATTCTTCATGCTCTTGTTTGCTCTTTTTCTTCTCCTTGGTTCTCTCTCTTCCTCTCAAGAACAAACTAAAGTCCTCTCCCTCTCCAGGTAGCCTACATTTGCATTTCTGCAAACTGACATTGCTCCTCACGCTTCCAGCAGTTACTCTCAGCCTCAATTGGCTCACTAAAGTATTTTCTAAAAAACAGCTCCCTATCTAGAATAATTTTGCCAAATGTGAATATACATAACATTTTGAAAGATAATATATCACTTTTATAAAATATAAAAAATAGAGCACAGGGGAGGAGCCAAGATGGCCGAATAGGAACAGCTCCGGTCTACAGCTCCCAGCGTGAGCGATGCAGAAGACTGGTGACTTCTGCATTTCCATCTGAGGTACCGGGTTCATCTCACTAGGGAGTGCCAGACAGTGGGTGCAGGTCAGTGGGTGCGCGCACCGTGCGCGAGCCGAAGCAGGGCGAGGCATTGCCTTACTTGGGAAGCGCAAGGGGTCAGGGAGTTCCCTTTCTGAGTCAAAGAAAGGGGTGACGGACGGCACCTGGAAAATCGGGTCACTCCCACCCGAATACTGCGCTTTTCCGACGGGCTTAAAAAACGGTGCACCACGAGATTATATCCTGCACCTGGCTCGGAGGGTCCTACGCCCACGGAGTCTCGCTGATTGCTAGCACAGCAGTCTGAGATCAAACTGCAAGGCGGCAGCGAGGCTGGGGGAGGGGCGCCCGCCATTGCCCAGGCTTGATTAGGTAAACAAAGCAGCCAGGAAGCTCGAATTGGGTGGAGCCCACCACAGCTCAAGGAGGCCTGCCTGCCTCTGTAGGCTCCACCTCTGGGGGCAGGGCACAGACAAACAAAAAGACAGCAGTAACCTCTGCAGACTTAAATGTCCCTGTCTGACAGCTTTGAAGAGAGCAGTGGTTCTCCCAGCATGCAGCTGGAGATCTGAGAACGGGCAGACTGCCTCCTCAAGTGGGTCCCTGACCCCTGACCCCCGAGCAGCCTAACTGGGAGGCACCCCCAGCAGGGGCACACTGACACCTCACACGGTAGGGTACTCCAACAGACCTACAGCTGAGGGTCCTCTCTGTTAGAAGGAAAACTAACAAACAGAAAGGACATCCACACCAAAAACCCATCTGTACATCACCATCATCAAAGACCAAAAGTAGATAAAACCACAAAGATGGGGAAAAAACAGAACAGAAAAACTGGAAACTCTAAAAAGCAGAGCACCTCCCCTCCTCCAAAGGAACGCAGTTCCTCACCAGAAACGGAACAAAGCTGGATGGAGAATGACTTTGACGAGCTGAGAGAAGAAGGCTTCAGATGATCAAATTACTCTGAGCTACGGGAGGACATTCAAACCAAAGGCAAAGAAGTTGAAAACTTTGAAAAAAATTTAGAAGAATGTATAACTAGAATAACCAATAAAGAGAAGTGCTTAAAGGAGCTGATGGAGCTGAAAACCAAGGCTCGAGAACTACGTGAAGAATGCAGAAGCCTCAGGAGCCAATGTGATCAACTGGAAGAAAGGGTATCAGTGATGGAAGCAAATGGATGAAATGAATGAAATGAAGCGAGAAGGGAAGTCTAGAGAAAAAAGAATAAAAAGAAATGAGCAAAGCCTCCAAGAAATATGGGACTATGTGAAAAGACCAAATCTACGTCTGATTGGTGTACCTGAAAGTGATGGGGAGAATGGAACCAAGTTGGAAAACACTCTGCAGGATATTATCCACTAGAACTTCCCCAATCTAGCAAGGCAGGCCAACGTTCAGATTCAGCAAATACAGAGAACGCCACAAAGATACTCCTCGAGAAGAGCAACTCCAATACACATAATTGTCAGATTCACCAAAGTTGAAATGAAGGAAAAAATGTTAAGGGCAGCCAGAGAGAAAGGTCGGGTTAGCCTCAAAGGGAAGCCCATCAGACTAACAGTGGATCTCTCGGCAGAAACCCTACAAGCCAGAAGAGAGTGAGGGCCAATATTCAACATTCTTAAAGAAAAGAATTTTCAACCCAGAATTTCATATCCAGCCAAACTAAGCTTCATAAGTGAAGGAGAAATAAAATCCTTTATAGACAAGCAAATGCTGAGAGATTTTGTCACCACCAGGCCTGCCTTACAAGAGCTCCTGAGGGAAGCACTAAACATGGGAAGGAACAACCGGTACCAGCCACTGCAAAATCATGCCAAAATGTAAAGACCATCGAGACTAGGAAGAAACTGCATCAACTAATGAGCAAAATAACCAGCTAGCATCATAATGACAGGATCAAATTCACACATAACAATATTAACTTTAAATGTAAATGGACTAAATGCTCCAATTAAAAGACACAGACTGGCAAACTGGATAAAGAGTCAAGACCCATCACTGTGCTGTATTCAGGAAACCCATCTCACATGCAGAGACACACATAGGCTCAAAATAAAAGGATGGAGGAAGATCTACCAAGCCAATGGAAAACAAAAAAAGGCAGGGGTTGCAATCCTAGTCTCTGATAAAACAGACTTTAAACCAACAAAGATCAAAAGAGACAAAGAAGGCCATTACATAATGGTAAAGGGATCAATTCAACAACAAGAGCTAACTATCCTAAATATATATGCACCCAATACAGGAGCACCAACATTCATAAAGCAAGTCCTGAGTGACCTACAAAGAGACTTAGACTCCCACACATTAATAATGGGAGACTTTAACACCCCACTGTCAATATTAGACAGATCAACGAGACAGAAAGTCAACAAGGATACCCAGGAATTGAACTCAGCTCTGCACCAAGCGGACCTAATAGACATCTACAGAACTCTCCACCCCAAATCAACAGAATATACATTTTTTTCAGCACCACACCACACCTATTCCAAAATTGACCACATACTTGGAAGTAAAGCTCTCCTCAGCAAATGTAAAAGAACAGAAATTATAACAAACTATCTCTCAGACCACAGTGCAATCAAACTAGAACTCAGGATTAAGAATCTCACTCAAAACTGCTCAACTACATGGAAACTGAACAACCTGCTCCTGAATGATTACTGGGTACATAACGAAATGAAGGCAGAAATAAAGATGTTCTTTGAAACTATGGAGAACAAAGACACAACATACCAGAATCTCTGGGACGCATTCAAAGCAGTGTGTAGAGGGAAATTTATAGCACTAAATGCCCACAAGAGAAAGCAGGAAAGATCCAAAATTGACACCCTAACATCACAATTAAAAGAACTAGAAAAGCAAGAGCAAACACATTCAAAAGCTAGCAGAAGGCAAGAAATAACTAAAATCAGAGCAGAACTGAAGGAAATAGAGACACAAAAAACCCTTCAAAAAATTAATGAATCCAGGAGCTGGTTTTTTGAAAAGACCAACAAAATTGATAGACCGCTAGCAAGACTAATAAAGAAAAAAATAGAGGAGAATCAAATAGACGCAATAAAAAATGATAAAGGGGATATGACCACCGATCCCACAGAAATACAAACTACCATCAGGGAATACTACAAACACCTCTACGCAAATAAACTAGAAAATCTAGACGAAATGGATAAATTCCTGGACACATACACTCTCCCAAGACTAAACCAGGAAGAAGTTGAATCTCTGAATAGACCAATAACAGGATCTGAAATTGTGGCAATAATCAATAGCTTACCAACCAAAAAGAGTCCAGGACCAGACGGATTCACAGCCGAATTCTACCAGAGGTACAAGGAGGAACTGGTACCATTCCTTCTGAAACTATTCCAATCAATAGAAAAGGAGGGAATCCTCCCTAACTCATTTTATGAGGCCAGCATCATTCTGATACCAAAGCCAGGCAGAGACACAACAAAAATAGAGAATTTTAGACCAATATCCTTGATGAACATTGATGCAAAAATCCTCAATAAAATACTGGCAAAACGAATCCAGCAGCACATCAAAAAGCTTATCCACCATGATCAAGTGGGCTTCATCCCTGGGATGCAAGGCTGGTTCAATATACGCAAATCAATAAATGTAATCAGCATATAAACAGAGCCAAAGACAAAAACCACATGATTATCTCAATAGATGCAGAAAAAGCCTTTGACAAAATTCAACAACCTTCATGCAAAAAACCCTCAATAAATTAGGTATTGATGGGACGTATCTCAAAATAATAAGAGCTATCTATGACAAACCCACAGCCAATATCATACTGAATGGGCAAAAACTGGAAGCATTCCCTTTGAAAACTGGCACAAGACAGGGATGCCCTCTCTCACCACTCCTATTCAACATAGTGTTGGAAGTTCTGGCCAGGGCAATCAGGCAGGAGAAGGAAATAAAGGGTATTCAATTAGGAAAAGAGGAAGTCAAATTGTCCCTGTTTGCAGATGACATGATTGTATATCTAGAAAACCCCATTGTCTCAGCCCAAAATCTCCTTAAGCTGATAAGCAACTTCAGCAAAGTCTCAGGATACAAAATCAATGTACAAAAATCACAAGCATTCTTATGCACCAACAACAGACAAATGGAGAGCCAAATCATGAGTGAACTCCCATTCACAATTGCTTCAAAGAGAATAAAATACCTAGGAATCCAACATACAAGGGATGTGAAGGACCTCTTCAAGGAGAACTACAAACCACTGCTCAAAGAAATAAAAGAGGATACAAACAAATGGAAGAACATTCCATGCTCATGGGTAGGAAGAATCAATATCGTGAAAATGGCCATACTGCCCAAGGTAATTTACAGATTCAATGCCATCCACATCAAGTTACCAATGACTTTCTTCACAGAATTGGAAAAAACTACTTTAAAGTTCATATGGAACCAAAAAAGAGCCTG
Source organism: Homo sapiens (assembly GCF_000001405.40). Taxonomy (NCBI): domain Eukaryota; kingdom Metazoa; phylum Chordata; class Mammalia; order Primates; family Hominidae; genus Homo; species Homo sapiens. The sequence goes on from NC_000008.11 coordinate 77,092,966, forward strand.
CATCCCCAAGTCAATCCTAAGCCAAAAGAACAAAGCTGGAGGCATCACACTACCTGACTTCAAACTATACTACAAGGCTACAGTAACCAAAACAGCATGGTACTGGTACCAAAACAGAGACATAGATCAATGGAACAGAACAGAGCCCTCAGAAATAACGCCGCATATCTACAACTATCTGATCTTTGACAAACCTGAGAAAAACAAGCAATGGGGAAAGGATTCCCTATTTAATAAATGGTGCTGGGAAAACTGGCTAGCCATATGTAGAAAGCTGACACTGGATCCCTTCCTTACACCTTATACAAAAATCAATTCAAGATGGATTAAAGACTTAAACGTTAGACCTAAAACCATAAAAACCCTAGAAGAAAACCTAGGTATTACCATTCAGGACATAGGCATCGGCAAGGACTTCATGTCTAAAACACCAAAAGCAATGGCAACAAAAGCCAAAATTGACAAATGGGATCTAATTAAACTAAAGAGCTTCTGCACAGCAAAAGAAACTACCATCAGAGTGAACAGGCAACCTACAAAATGGGTGAAAATTTTTGCAACCTACTCATCTGACAAAGGGCTAATATCCAGAATCTACAATGAACCCAAACAAATTTACAAGAAAAAAACAAACAACCCCATCAAAAAGTGGGCGAAGGACATGAACAGATACTTCTCAAAAGAAGACATTTATGCAGCCAAAAAACACATGAAAAAATGCTCATCACCACTGGCCATCAGAGGAATGCAAATCAAAACCACAATGAGATACCATCTCACACCAGTTAGAATGGCAATCATTAAAAAGTCAGGAAACAACAGATGCTGGAGAGGATGTGGAGAAATAGGGACACTTCTACACTGTTGGTGGGACTGTAAACTAGTTCAACCATTGTGGAAGTCAGTGTGGCGATTCCTCAGGGATCTAGAACCGGAAATACCATTTGACCCAGCCATCCCATTAGTGGGTATATACCCAAAGGACTATAAATCATGCTGCTATAAAGACACATGCACACGTATGTTTATTGCAGCATTATTCACAATAGCAAAGACTTGGAACCAACCCAAATGTCCAACAATGATAGACTGGATTAAGAAAATGTGGCACATATACACCATGGAATACTATGCAGTCATAAAAAATGATGAGTTCATGCCCTTTATAGGGACATGGACGAAATTGGAAATCATCATTCTCAGTAAACTATCGCAAGAACAAAAAACCAAACACCGCATATTCTCACTCATAGGTGGGAATTGAACAATGAGATCACATGGACACAGGAAGGGGAATATCACACTCTGGGGACTGTTGTGGTGTGCGGGGAGGGGGAGGGATACCATCGGGAGATATACCTAATGCTAGATGACGAGTTAGTGGGTGCAGCGCACCAGCATGGCACATGTATACATATGTAACTAACCTGCACAATGTGCACATGTACCCTAAAATTTAAAGTATAATAAAAAAAAAAATAGAGCACAAAGAAAAATGAAGATCGTCTCTGATCTTACCATTCCTAAAGAGGCTAACATTTAGCCTGCCTGCATGTTTTATTCTTTTCCCTCTATAATTTATTTAGCACATTTATATATGTAGATATTACAAGAAAATGGAACACTAGTTAAGAATTAACTGACAATTTGTTTTAGTAATTTAAATTTAACAGAATTTTTTAATGCTATAAAAATAGTTTTCTACTTCATTTATAATGTCTACTTAGTATTTAACTATCAGAATACAGTGTACTTTATTGGTTCTCTACTATTGACCATGCATGTTTGCTTCTAAATTTTTGCTAAAAGAAACAACATTTTGAAACACATTCTCAAGTGTATACCTTTGCTCCACATATATCCACAGTCATTTTTAAAGATAAACTCCCAGAAGTGAGATAGCTATAGCAAAGTATGTGTTGCTGCCTTTAAACTGTGCTGCTAAGGCCTTTTCAGGCATTACAGCCAGAGATAACCCACCTTATGTTTAATAGGGCCAGGTCCTCTAAGCAGAAAGGGACTCCAGTGGGTCCCCGGCATAGTGAATCTCAGCCAAGAGTTATTTATTGTGGTCAAAAAGAGGTTAGAATTTCAAAGTGAATCCTGTTTTTTGGTGACCTAGGGACAGGGACAAAGCATTTTTTTTCATGCATGTCTGCTACTCACAATGTATATAAATTCTCATGGACACATATATTGCTACTTCCACCCCATTTTCAAAAGGCACACACTCATACACCCACACAATGTTTCACATTGGACACCATAGTGCATACAGAAGATGGAGCTGTTGCTTTCAAGCCATTTGGAGAGCTCTTTTAAAGTTTAATTTTTGTTTAAAATTCCTTTTGCTTTCTTTAAAATTTTGAAGTGTGTAAAAATCACCCTTTCTTCCAGTGACAAATTTCAAAGTGAATTTATACACAGAAATGTGGAGAGGTGTTTGTGTGAAGTGGTACTAGACAATTGTTATCATTGCAGTATCTGTAAGTATCCTCTCAGATGAGTAAAATATTCCCTGTTGTGTCAAGTGCCTCATAGTTGCATTACATCCTCCCTCCCATTAAAGGACCACTTAGTACAATAGGGCGCAATTAAGTCAATAGAGCCTTGGTGGTCTGAAAGGTAGTTCTCTTCCAAAGTGCTTCATTTACTCCTCTGTGTTAATAATGGATGGTTTTCCCATATTATGCTATCATGGGTTACCCAGTTGTAAGAAAATACTTTAGGCCTAGACTAAATGGGACAGAAATTCTTACATTTCATCAGCATATTCTCAATTCTAGTTTTCTGCAAACATAGCATTCATTTTTCTTACTCTTTTCTAAGGACAAATATAACAATTTTACCCTTATGTAGTATATTCTAATATTTTCTGGGAAAATGATTTCTGCATCTTCCCCTGACTGTATTTTGTTGCTCTCTCCTGTGTTTTGTCTTTCAGCTTGAATCATAAATTCATATAGAAGTGGCTATCTCTACCTTAAATACAGCTCTAATGTATTGTTGATGCTCAGATATATTAAATAATGATTATAACAATAAAAGTTTAGTCCCATAGAAACATTATTAAATTTTCCTCTCCCTTAGATTACATGTCAACCTCCTGGTAATACATGGTAGCTGGATGATTTACGTGTTCTCAAAATTTTAAAATATTTCTGTGACTCTATAGCTGCTTTTTTTTTTTTTGGTGGAGATAGGTTAGTTTTTCAGTTCTTTCTTACTCTACACATTTAATTTCTTCATTTTTTTCTACCTAAAGACTAATATGAAATACTTTAATATTTTAGCCATTTTCAGTAAGTTGTATACCCCTATTGGTTTATTAGGTTTATTTTTTCCTCAATTATCTTTTCCTTAAGATCATTTATAAAATTCCATCTTGTTGCTTTATCCTGATGGCTAGCATTTTATCTTGCTTTATCTTTTCCCTTTAAGTTTCCATTAATGCTATGTATTCTTGTTTTTCTCTTTTTTTAATTTATTTCCAGGACCTTTAAATCACAGTCTTTGGTTTACTTTTCTTGACTTCCTATTAATGGTTTCTTTTTGCTTTGTACTATTAATAGAAATTGTGTGTAGTCCTTTTAAATTTTTACACTTAACGATATAATTCAGGATGATTTAGTCATTTCCCAAACTCTTGTCTTTAATATAACCTGTTTGTGAATTGCTCAATTTGTTCGTGCTTTTTCTTTAATTTACATAGTAGAACACCTTTAAGCTATAAAAGAAGTAATTTGATTCTCTTCATTTCTCCCTTACTAGGCTCCGAACCCAGGACAAACTTTTGGGAAGTGAACAGAATTATTTCCCAGAAATTCCGGCTCAGAATGTCCACGTGTCCACTCACACATAGGAATGTTAGGTGTTTGAAGGAGCTTGCTCCTTCAAATGTGGGCCCTGGACCAGCATCTCTGGCATCAGCCAGAAACTGATTTGAAATGCAGAATCTCTGCTTCCACCTCAGACCCTGGATCAGGATTTGCATTTGAAGGGTTCCCCAGATGACCCTAACTTACATTCCAGTTTGAGAAGCCCTTCTCTAAGGTTTTCCTGTGGTTCACTTTTAGGAGAGCTCCCTGGGGAATTGAAATAATTCTACCCTTAACTTGGGGGCTGAACATGGGCCAAATGTTCAATGGCTGGATATTGAAATAAACATTTGGCTGAAGCCAAAATTGAAGCCAAATATCATCAGTGTAGAAAGTCTGTGACACAAAAATACATCTGAGATTTTGTAACTGCCCAGTGGGTTCACCTTGCCCGCTGCCTAGACAGAACCGATTTATCAAGACAGGGGAATTGCAATGGAGAAAGAGTAATTCATGCAGAGCCATCTGTGTGGGAGACGGGAGTTTTATTATTACTCAAATCAGTCTTCTGAGCATTTGGAGATCATAGTTTTTAAAGATAATTTGGCGGGTAGGAGCTTGGGAAGTGGGGAGTGCTGATTGGTCAGGTTGGGGATGGAATCATAGCAGATAGAAGTTAGGTTTTCTTAATATGTTCTGTTCCTGGGTGTGACAGCAGAACTGGTTGGGCCAGATTACCAGTCTGGGTGGTGTCAGCTGATCCATCGAGTACAGGGTCTGCAAAGTATCTCAAGCACTGATTTTAGGTTTTACAATAGTGATATTATCCCCAAGAGCAATCTGGGGAGGTTTAGACTCTTGGAGCCAGAGGCTGCATGACCCCTTAATTGTAATTTCTGATCTTTTAGCTGATTTGTTAGTCCTGCAAAGGCAGACTGGACCCCAGGCAAGAAGGGGGTCTTTTTGGTAAAGGGCTGTTACCAATTTTGTTTCAGAGTCAAACCATGAACTGAATTCCTTCCCAAAGTTAGTTCGACCTACCCCCAGGAATGAACAAGGACAGCTTAAGGGTTAGAAGGAAGACAGAGTTAATTTGGCCTGATTTCTTTCACTGTCATAATTTCCTCAGTTATAATTTTGCAAAGGTGGTTTCAATTTTACCAAAACTTAGAATATATACATTTATTAATTATTTACGTTTGAAGATTCAAATTTGTATAATTTTACCTTGTGACTTAGAAACAATAATTTTTCAGCACTGCTGGCTTCTAGATGGCTCCTGTAGGTACTTTACTACATATTTGTACAGTAAATAGATGCTCCCTTTTTACTGATACCATTGGAGAAGCAAGATATGAATCTCGAAATACTTATGGCCTAAATATAATTAAATATCTCAAATTATCGGCCATTTTTTAAGGTTATATGCTTTAATGTCAGGAATGCTAGCACATAAATAATTTTACAAATATTAGAATTATAATTTTATCAACTATTGGTTGTTTTGCTTTATATCATTATTTAAATTTTTAGAAAAACTATTGACTCAAAAATTATATAATATGCCTCCCAGGGTTACCTAACTCATTCTTTTCAATATTTTTACTGTCTCTTTAACTACTAATTTCACTTCTGAAAATAAAGAAAAAAATAGTTTCACTTAAAAGTAACGGGAATCAAAGTGCTCATTAATTATTTTACTCTGGCAAAAATATTTACACAATTATGTTTCAAAAAATTGATGGAATCTCAACATACAAAGGCAGAATTTCATCACAAAGTACATATTGAACTTTTTTTATGTATGAAATTTTAATATTCAGATATTAATACAAATCTGAAAAACATACTTTATGCTCATAATGGCTCAGTTACTCTTTTGTAAGATGGTAACATACTGTAATCACATTGTCATTTGTCATGCACAATTTCTGAGTTACTAGAGGTGATACTGAAGTATGCATTTGTCGTATGAGGAAACTATCAAGTCAATTTAGGCTGAATAATAGGCTAAAGCCAAACTTGTCTGTTTTTTTCCATTCATGAATAGCTGCAGTTTTCTATTGTGCCTACTAGAGAATTTTTAGCATTACCAATGGTAAAATTTTGCCATTGTAATTTTTATGACAAATAATTTTGTCATATATGTTAACATGGGTGTTAGCTTTAAAATGTATAAAATTTTACTCACTTTGATTTTGAAAACAAAGAGAATTGAAAATATTTTCCTCAATAAAACTATATATAAATTTTTTAAAAAAATATTTTCCCTTCTACTTTTGTTAATTAAGAAATATAAATATGGGGAGACCGCATCTCTACAAAAAATATGTATATAAAAATTAGCTGGGCATGGTGATGCACCACCTGTGGTCCCAGCTACTCAGGAGGCTGAGGTGGAAAGTTTGGGCCTGCAGTGAGCTGAGTGAGCTGTGATCATACCACTGTACTCCAGCCTTCATGACAGAGCAAGACCCTCTCTTAAAAAGAAAAAAAAAAAAGAAAAGAAATATAAACTCTTTCCACACATACACATTACTAGAATTAGTCTCTCACTTGCAATTAAAAAGTTTTCATGTGGTGTTACAGAACCAGCTCAAATACCAGATGATAGTTAGTGGTATTGATAGTTATTTTTCTTGATATTGATGATGAGACAGGAGCTTCTGAATAACTATAGTAAAATAGTCTTTTCCACCTCAAAATTCATTTTAACAAATTATATTATTTTAGTTAATCTCTTATTAACTTCTAATTTTATTGAATTATTTTTAAAGAAAGCTACCTTTTAAAAATCTGTCAAGCTTTATGATGTCTCTAAATTAGGCATATAAAGGAAATGTATATTCTGTACACAAGGGATATATCTATTAAATCAAGTATTATTCACTAGCTGTTCTATGACCTTACTTATATTTTGCCTATCGGAGCTGTGAAATTCTGAGGTATACCTAAGTTTATCTTAAGCGGCATCTATTCGTTTATGCATATGTTCTTTTCATGTTGGCACTGGATACCTTTACTTTGGTCCTTTACAAAATTCCTAGCATACTGACCTTTTAAAAAAATCTGAAGTTCAATGATTCTTGAAATTATCTTTAATCTTATAGAAAACCTCTGAATCATTAAAAAGAATATTACTTGATTTTTGTAAAATTAAATTTATTTCATTTTATCAAATTTCCACGGACATATTCCAAATGCTACTTTTGAATTCTAGGACCTGAGCATTTAGGAAATATACAAATTTCTTATATTTCTTGACAACTCTACTACTCCTCTGAGAAGAATCTGTATTTGTCATTTCTATTACTATCATAACTCTGATGGTTAATGTGTCCACCAGTAGACGACAAGGAGCAATAATAAAGTTCAAGGTCAATGTTTAGTAATTATCCCTAAACTAGCTAATTAACTAAATCTCTGAGGAAAAATGTTATAGATTTCTGTGACAAATAAAGTGGGATTCTAAGTGTTGATTTCACAGATTCAAGAAAAATTCATCTATCTATACAAATTGCCAAGTATCTACAGCAATCTGATCAATATATTGATAAAGAAGAATATTTAACTACCAGGTGGCTATTAACTATAATGCCAATAATACTGGCTACCTAATGAGCAAAAAAAGGAAAAGAAAATTGCTTTAATTTTATTATAAAAAGAGATATTTGCATTGGGGGTTTGGAAGGAATAGATAAGTTAAGGCTTTGCCAGTAGTAGGCATTGTGAAGTTGAAATGAAAAGCAGAAAGTAGTGGGTCTTAAGCAATAGGGGCATTAGATACTCAAGGTTTGTCCGGGGACAGATAAAGTGGTACATAGTTTCTTATGTAATGAAGAATAGTAGGCAGAAGAATATAGGTTGTATTCCAAACTTGTAGTGCATTGACTGAGTGTTGAGAAGATACTAAAGAATGACTTTGTTTTACATTATTAGATAAGCTTTGATAGCATAGGGATGATTATGATATAAATCTATTGATTGGTGTTTATTCATAGAAGTATATTGTAGAAGTCAACATGTATACCAAAAACTACCAGTGCTAGGTGAAATGAAATCATAAAGTACTATATTTTCCAAGTTACACCAATAGCTTTCCTAAGTTATCTTGTCCATTTTTTTAATGTATACAAGGTGATCAAATTTATATTGATCCTTTCCATCACACTAGCATGAACTGTATTCCAGTTTGTACTGGTTAAGTGATTGAATTGGTGAGTTTTAGTTTGTTTAGAAAAATGTGATTTATATATTTAATAAGGTCCTATAATATTTTTCCTGATACGTTATTATCATTTTCTCTGGTATAATCCTATGCAGTGATTCCCTTGGCATCTATTTCAATAAACATATTTTTAAATTTGGCCAGCGTCATAAATACTGCTTCCAGTCATTTCATTCTCATTATTAATTAATACTTAATTCTGTTGATGTTCCTTTCATAGATAAGGAAAAGCAGGACAATGAAAAAGGGTCCATGGATGGTCTGAGTGTGCTCACAAATCTTTGTACAGAAAAGGCCCTGAGATTCCTACCTTGTTAAGCAAAGGGGCTGTATCACTACATGGTAGGGTGACTATAAAATTTATTGTCCAAACTGAGACACTTTTGAAAGTAAAAGAGAGTACTATTAATAATTACACCTGGACAACAGACATAAACCACAACTGTCCTGGCAAACCAGGACGTATGGTCATCCTATTACATGGTGACAGTACAATGATGTATGGACAGGATCTTTCAAGCCTAGAATGTAACTTGGTTTGAGATATTTTTCTGAGCTGAATTCCCTCACATTGTCTATGTATAAGTTCTGCTTCCTTTTAGCTAGGCTATCATAAGAGTTTATATGGAAATAAACTACTTATCTCCTCATTTTGAAAAAAATACAAGCTTTCATCTAACCTGGACGTTTATGTAGAGAATAATTTGAAGATGGGATGTTGGATAGTATTGATAGTTATTTTTTTGATATTGATGATGAGACAAGAGTTTAGAAGAGCTATGGTATAAAAGTCTTTTCCTCCCCAGAGTTCATTTTAACAAATTCTCAATATTATTTTAGTTAATCTTTTGTTAACTTCTAATTTTACTGAATTATTTTAAAAGAAAGCCACCTTTTAAAAATCTGTCAAGCTTTATGATGTGGCTAAATTAAGCATATAAAAACGTATATTCTCTATACAGGGAATATATCTATTAAATATACTACTATTGAGTTATTTTAAGACCTTATATTTTATCTATTAGAGCTGTTAAATTCTGAGATATACTTAAGTTTCATACTCTAATTTAGTCAAAACTTTATTGCAGTTTCAGTAGTTTTTGTTTTATATCCCTAAACTACCATATTGTTGATTTATAACATATTATTAATGAGTGTGTGTGTGTGTGTGTGTGTGTGTGTGTTTAAGGCTGTTTATATTTTTTATGAATTGTGATTTTTATCATTAAATCATTATATTGTCTATCCTTGTTGGTGCTTTTAATGCAATTATCCATCTCACCATATATCCATTCTTGCTTTCCTTTTACTTGCATTTGCCTGGTACCTCTGTTTATCCTGTTATTTCCAACCTTAAAAAAAATTGCTCTGTTTTCATTGTGTTTATCAGTTAGAAAGGAAAAGCTATGTTCCACTAACAAATTAGCCCTGACATTTAAAAGGCTTAGAGAAACAAAGTTTATTTTTGGTTCTCACTAAAGGCCAATTAGGTTTTTTTGTTGTTGTTTTGTTTTGTTTTAACTTGAAAACTCAGCTGCCCTCCATTTGTACCCTCAATAATCCAGGCAGCTTCAATCTTGAAGTTCTGCCATCTCAACCTGTGGTGTTAGGGTTCACTGTGGCAGGGGAAGAGGAAGCTGGGACATGTGCTTCCCTCTTAAATTATTTGTTTCACAGACCATTTTCTAAAACCAGTCATGTGACATATTTACCAACTAGAGTCTTCTGCACACCCAAGAAGGGGAGAATCTAATAATAGTGAATGATTTTAATGTTTACAATAACGTATTTCTTGCAAATAAGGTACAGTGTTTTAAAAGTTGAATCTTACGATCTCTATGTTTTATGAAGTGTTCATTCCGTTTACATTTAGTAGAGTGAATGATATACTTGATTTTACTAAGCATTTTTGTTTCTTTTTTGCTTTACTTTATTATTATTATTGTTATTATGATTATTTTTCCGAGATGGAGTTTCGCTATTGTTGCCCAGGCTAGAGTGCAGTGGCGCAATCTCAGCTCACTGCAACCTTTGCCTCCCGGGTTCAACCGATTCTCCTGCCTCAGCCTCCCAAATAGCTTGGATTACAGGCACCTGCCACCACAACCGGCTAATTTTTTAGTATTTTTAGTAGAGACTGGGGTTCACTCATTTACTTTATATTACTTGATAATCAAGTTGTGATTTTTCCTTCCAGAGCTTCTATTTTTATTTTCCATTCTATTAGTCTTTACATTTCCCTTTTCCTGATTTTATATGTAATCAGATGCATGTATTTCTGCTAATATCTGGAAGCAAGATACCAACTTGCTCTTTCATATTACTTAGTGTATTGGTTTGCTAGGGCTGCCATTACAAAATACTACAAACTTGGTGGCTTAAACAACAGAAATTTATTATCTCATATCTCTGGAGGCTAGAAGTCCAAAATCAAGCTGTCTTCAGGGTTTGTTTATTCTGAGACTGTGTGGGAGAATATGTCTCATGCCTCTCACCTGGCTTCTGGTGGTTTGCTGGCAATCTTTGTTATTCTTTGGCTTGTAGATACATCATGCTGATCTCTAATTTTCTTTTCACATGGTGTTCTCCCTGTGTGTATGTCTGTGTCCACGTTTCTCCTTTTTATAAGGACATCAGTTATATTGGATTAGGGGCCCACTCTATCCCAGTATGACCTCATCTTAACTAATTACCTCTTCAGCAACCCTATTTTCAAAAAAGATTACATTGTCAGGGTTAAGACCTCAGCATGTGAATTTTGGGGGAGTACAATTAAACTCATAACACTGTTTCCACAGATTTGATTCCACTGTTTTTCCCCAACCACCCCAATAAGGTAAGCTCTTTAGAAAATTTACTTTCCCCCCCGCCCACCACTTCTTTGCCTGATATAGATTCGTGCTTTTAATAGTAAATCTCTTATCTTTAAGAATGCTTGTTTGCCATTTATACTGTACACATTAAGTCTGCCTTTATCCATGTAGATTTAATAATGTTTGATATAAAATATACATGGAGATAATCATGTATATAACATAGTGTAATTATAAATGTCAAAGTTTTTTATTCACTGCTATATCTTGCATGCTTTATTGTGTCTCTAATTGGGTTCATTTGTAAATTGGTAATTTGTAAATTGGTAAGAAGTTTTCTTGCCTGCATTTTATTTAGATGGAGTTAGTAGGTGTATACTCTGAATTCTTACAGATCCTCAAACATTTTACTTTTGTCCCATAAGATGAGTGATATCTTGATAAGTATAAGCTGTAGTCTTGTCCTGTTGAGAGTTTCTGTAGTTGCTATTCCCCTGTTTCATAGCCTCCAAAATGCCAGATAAAGAGCCTGGAGACACAGATATATTTTTCAAATGCATACATTTGTTTTTCTTCCTGGCCACCTGTGAGATTTCTCTGTATCTTTAGAGTTTGGGAATGTTGCTACTATATGCCTGGGAGGTTCTCTGTTCTCCTTAATGTAGTCTAGAAGCTAGTGAGCTACAGGCAGTCTGAAGAGTCAGGACATTCCTCAACTCAGGGAAATTTTCTTCAAAGATTATTTTAGACTATTGCCTTTCCTTTATCTCCACTTTTTTCGTCTTCTGAATTACTGTTGTTTTAATGTATGGGCTTTCAAATCTACCTTCTGAGTCTTGTGTCTTTTTTGTCATGATTTTTACCCCTTTATAAATCTTTTGAACACTAGAAAGTTTCTCACATATGATAATTCATAAATGATTATTGTTTCCTTCAAGCAATCTATTGAATTTAACTGATTTTATTATTTGTATTCATATTTACATCCAATATTCCATCATTTCTATATAATGCAGAGTGAGTTCTGTTTGTTTTCCTTCTCTTCAGTTGTTAAGTTCTAGAGTACATGTGCACAAAGTGTAGGTTTGTTACATATGTATATATATGTATACATGTGCCATGTTGGTGTACTGCACCCATTAACTCATCATTTACATTAGTTATATCTCCTAATGCTATCCCTTTCCCCTCCCCCCACCCCACAACAGGCCCCGGTGTGTGATGTTCCCATTCCTGTGTCCAAGTGTTCTCATTGTTCAATTCCTACCTATGAGTGAGAACATGGAAAACTGGCTAGCCATATGTAGAAAGCTGAAACTGGATCCCTTCCTTATACCTTCTACAAAAATTAATTCAAGATGGATTAAAGACTTACATGTTAGACCTAAAACCATAAAAACCCTAGAAGAAAACCTAGGCAATACCATTCAGGACATAGGCGTGGGCAAGGACTTCATGTCTAAAACACCAAAAGCAACGGCAACAAAAACCAAAATTGACAAATGGGATCTAATTCAACTAAAGAGCTTCTGCACAGCAAAAGAAACTACCATCAGAATGAACAGGCAACCTACAGAATGGGAGAAATAAACTGTTTTCAAAGGCAATTATCTCCTGATCTGTTGGCCTTACTATATCTCAAATTAGCTATTAATAGACTATACAGTTGACCCTTGAGCAATGCAGGGTTACTCACACAGTTGAAAATCTGTGTACGGGGGGCACCAAGATGGCTGAATAGGAACAGCTCCAGTTTGCAACTCCCAGCATGAACGACACAGAAGACGAGTGATTTCTGCATTTCCAACTGAGGTACTGGGTTCATCTCACTGGGGCTTGCCAGACAAGTGGGGGCAGCCCACGGAGCAGGGCGGGGCATTGCCTCACCCTGGAAGCTTAAGGGGTTGAGGAATTCCCTTTCCTAGCAAAGAGAAGTTGTGACAGGAGGCACCTGGAAAATCTGGATACTCCCACCCTAATACTGTGCTTTTCCAATGGCCTTAGCAAACCGCACACTAGGCGATTATATCCCGTGCCTGGCTCGGAGGGTCCCACACCCAAGGATCCTTGCTCACTGCTAGCACAGCAGTCTGAGATCAAATTGCAAGGCAACAGTGAGGCTGGGGGAGGGGCATCCACCATTGTTGAGGCTTGAGTAGGTAAACAAAGTGGCTGGGAATCTCAAACTCGGTGGAGCCCACCTCAGCTCAAGGAGGCCTGCCTGCCTCTGTAGGCTCCACCTCTAGGGGCAGGGCATAACTGAACAAAAGGCAGCAGAAACTTCTGCAGACTTAAACGTCCCTGTCTGACAGCTTTGAAGAGAGTAGTGGTTCTGCCAGCATGGAGTTAGAGATCTGAGAACGGACAGACTGCCTCCTCCAGTGGGTCCCTGACCCCCGGGTAGCCTAACTGGGAGGCACCTCCCTGTAGGGGGGCGACTGACACCTCATAAGGCCAGGTTCGCCTCTGCGACGAAGCTTCCAGAGGAAGGATTAGGCAGCAACCTTTGCTATTCTGCAGCCTCCACTGGTGATACCCAGGCAAACAGCATCTGGAGTGGACCTGCAGCAAACTCCAACAGACCTGCAGCTGAGGGTCGTGACTGTTAGAAGGAAAACTAACAAACAGAAAGGATATCCACACCAAAACCCCATCTGTACGTCACCATCATCAAAGACCAAAGGTAGATAAAACCACAAAGATGGGGAGAAACCAGAGCAGAAAAGCTGATAATTCTAAAAATCAGAGCTCCTCTTCTCTTCCAAAGGAATGCAGCTCCTTGCTAGCAACGGAACAAAGGTGGATGCAGAATGACTTTGACAAGTCGAGGCAAGAAAGCTTCAGACGATCACTAATAACAAACTTCTCCGAGCTAAAGGAGGATGTTCAAACCCATCACAAAGAAGCCAAAAACCTTGAAAAAAGAGTAGACGAATGGCTAACTAGAATAAACAGTGTAGAGAAGTCCTTAAATGACCTGATGGAGCTGAAAACCATGGCACGAGAAACACGTGACACATGCACAAGCTTCAGTAGCAGATTTGATCAAATGGAAGAAAGTGTTTCAGTGATTGAAGATCAAATGAATGAAATCAAGGGAGAAGAGAAGTTTAGAGAAAAAAGAGTAAAAAGAAATGAACAAAGCCTCCAAGAAATATGGGACTATTTCAAAAAAAGCCTCCAAGAAATATGGGACTGTATCACAAGCATTCCTTTACACCAATAACAGACAAACAGAGAGGCAAATCATGAGTGAACTCCCATTCACAATTGCTTCAAAGAGTATAAAATACCTAGGAATCCAACTTACAAGGAATGTGAAGGACCTCTTCAAGGAGAACTACAAACCACTGCTTAATGAAATAAAAGAGGACACCAACAAATGGAAGAACATTCCATGCTCATGGATGGGAAGAATAAATATTGTGAAAATGGCCATACTGCCCAAGGTAATTTATAGATTCAATGCCATCCCCATCAAGCTACCAATGACTTTATTCACAGAATTGGAAAAAACTACTTTAAAGTTCATCTGGAACCAAAAAAGAGCCCACATTGCTGAGACAATCCTAAGCAAAAAAATCAAAGCTGGAGGCATCACGCTACCTGAGTTCAAACTGTACTACAAGGCTACAGTAACCAAAACAGCATGGTACTGGTACCAAAACAGAGATACAGACCAATGGAACAGAATAGAGGCCTCAGAAATAATACCACACATCTACAACGATTGATCTTTGACAAACCTGACAAAAACAAGAAATGGGAAAAAGACTCCTTATTTAATTAGTGGTGCTGGGAAAATTGGCTAGCCATATGTAGAAAGCTGAAACTGGATCCCTTCCTTATACCTTATACAAAAATCAATTCAAGATGGATTAAAGACTTAAATGTTAGACCTAAAACCATAAAAACCCTAGAAGAAAACCTAGGCAATACCATTCAAGACACAGGCATGGGCAAGGACTTCATGTCTAAATCACCAAAAGCAATGGCAACAAAAGCCAAAATTGACAAGTGGGATCTAATTCAACTAAAGAGCTTCTGCACAGCAAAAGAAACTACCATCAGAGTGAACAGGCAACCTACAAAATGGGAGAAAAATTTTACAATCTACCCATCTGACAAAGGGCTAATATCCAGAATCTACAAAGAACTTAAACAAATTTACAAGAAAAAAAACAAACAACTGCATCAAGAAGTGGGCAAAGGACATGAACAGACACTTCTCAAAAGAAGACATTTATGCAGCCAACAGACACATGAGAAAATGCTCATCATCACTGGCCATCAGAGAAATGCAAATCAAAACCACAATGAGATACCATCTCACACCAGTTAGAATGGTGATCATTATAAAGTCAGGAAACAACAGGTGCTGGAGAGGATGTGGAGAAATAGGAACAGTTTTACACTGTTGGTGGAACTGTAAACTAGTTCAACCATTGTGGAAGACAGTTTGGCAATTCCTCAGGGATCTAGAACTAGAAATACCATTTGACCCAGCCATCCCATTACTGGGTATATACCCAAAGGACTATAAATCATGCTGCTATAAAGACACATGCACACGTATGTTTATTGCGGCACCATTCACAATAGCAAAGACTTGGAACCAACCCAAATTTCCATCAATGATAGATTGGATTAAGAAAATGTGGCATATAGACACCATGGAATACTCTGCAGACATAAAAAGGATGAGTTCATGTCCTTTATGGGGACATGGATGAAGCTGGAAACCATGATTCTGAGCAAACTATCGCAAGGACATAAAAGCAAACACAGCATGTTCTCACTCATAGGTGGGAATTGAACAATGAGAACACATGGACACAGGGTGGGGAACATCACACAGGGGCAGGGGGGCCTGCCAGGGGATGGGGGGAGGGGAGATGGATAGCATTAGGAGATATACCTAATGTAAATGAAGAGTTAATGGGTGCACACACCAACATGGCACATGTATACGTATGACGTACGTAAAAAACCTGCACTTTGTGCACATGTATGCTAGAACTTTAAGTAAAAAAAAAAAAAAGAAAGAAAGAAAAAAAAACAAAATCTGTGTATACTTTTTAATTCCCCCAAAAGTTAACTATTAGTAGCCTACTGTTGACTAGAAGGTTTGCTGATAACAGAAAGAGTTGATTAACACATAGACTAGTATCTACAGATAATTTATGCATTCATGACATACCTAGCCTTTTCTTAACTTTTTTTCTGATATTTCTAGGCTATGTGATTCATCTGCAAGTTTTTTCAAATTGTCAGAAATCTCCAAAAAGTTTTCCAGTATATTTATTGAAAAAAAATCCACATACAAGTGAACCCATGCAGTTCAAAGCTGTGTTTTTCAAGGGTCAACTATACAACTAAATATAGGTCTAGCTATTGTAATCTACCACACATGCTGACAGTCTTATATGTCTGCGTTGCTGATGACATTAGTGTGTTGATCTCCTGCCAAGGCACCAGTTTCTGGCCCAGTCTCAGAGGAGACCAATTATCAGCACATCCATTACGTTCTCAATTGACTTTTCTGGTCTGGTGTACATAGAACGCTTTCACAGGGCCACTGTTACCTTGTCTCTAGGTATCTGGCACCCACCAAGTGTCAAGCTCCCTCCAGGCTCTGCTACTCTCAGAATTGCCTCCATGATTTTAGCAGTTTGTTCTGTGTTTGTCCAGGCCACTGCTCAGAGAATTGCATCTGTAACTCTCCGTGTGCTACACCATATCTCCCAAGGATTCTGGTAGCCCCTTGACATTGGCTGAGTGAGGCAAACAGTTTAGAGTGGAGTGAAAAGGAAGCGAAACATTACCCTAATCAACCCAGAGTGTCATACTTGGACTCTGGAGCTACCTGACTAGGTTTAAATCCTAGCTGTGCTACTCACTGACTGTGCAACTTTAGTCATGAGACTTGAACGCCCTGTGCCTCAGTGTCCCCATTCGTTTGAGACAGAGACTTGCTGTATTGCCCAGGCTGGGGTGCAGGAGTGTGATCTCAGCTCACTGCAGCCTTGATCTTCTGGGCTCAAGCAATTCCCCACCCTTAGCCTCCTGAGTAGCTGGGACTACAGGCATGCACCACCATGTCTGGCTGATTTTTTATTTTTGTAGAGACAGGGTTTCGCCATGTTGCCCAGGCTGGTCTCAAACTCCTGAGCTCAAGCCGTCAGCCTGCCTTGGCCTCCTAACGTGTTGGCATTCCCGACATGAGCCACCACGCTGGCCAGTTTCCTCATTTGTACAATAAACGTGATGATAATAATTGTTCCTACTTCCTAAGTTTATTGTGTGAGTTATTATATTTAAAGCACTATGTAGATGTTGCTATTGCCACTATTATTCCATAATATAGCTACAATTTCCAAACGAAAAACAAGGAACTAAAAAAAAAAAAATTGCCACCTGGCAGTTTTTGACTCTAACAGGACTCTAAACATCTACTGAGAAGACCTAAGAAAAGAAAGGACTAGACAAAGAACTTTCTACTATCTGTCTGCTGTCTATTTGGTGAGTAAGGGAGTAAAGCAACTTTCTACTACCTTACTCACCAAATCTGAGAGAATTTGAAGGTCCATGGCTGCTGATGACTTGGAGATATAAACCTAAATCCCAAAATATTTCTTCCTGTTCTTGCAAATTAGATGCTTTGTTTAGAAAGAAGACCTGCTGTTTTTAAGTGAGCAAAGGACATGAATAAACAAACAGTGCGTAGAAGAATAAAAAGAATGTAAACAATTCATGAAATAGTGTTGAACCTCAACTCAGGTTTAGGGACTATGGAAACCCAAGCAGCCCTTGGAATCTTGATGGATTATATAGATAACATATGGTTAGAAAATTTGAAATAGACAAATATGAAGAAGGAAATAAACAAAATCAGTTATCCCACTATGTAGAAATAACTATTGGTAGCATTTTAATTAAATTTTCAATTTTTTTTCTATTTGTTTCATACACTTTATATGGTAATGTATACAAAGTCTTTCACAACAATTTTTTTCGGCCTAATATGGCACCATGAGCACATTTTATACATTCAAGTATTGTTTGAAAATGAATTTCTAAGTATATTATTTTTTGATAAACATTTAGCAAAACATATTTAGCCATTTTTCCTGTTGATATATATGTATCGTTTACAAATTTTCACTAGTTGTCTGAGACTGATGATGTTGCATTTTTGACTTTCTTTTTCAAATTTTGTTTGTAAGTAAGAGAAAGCAACTTGTGCTAATCTAAGACAAAAAAGAGAAGAGTGGTATAAAACTTTTTTGAAATTTTGTGGGTTATCTTTCACAAAATTGAAGTTAATGAAGACAATGGCTACTATTTTTTAACTTGTCAAATTGAAATTGGTATTTCCAAAAATTATAATAATCAATGTTCAGCAAAGGTGTGCTGAAAGATACAACCTCAGTCAGTCTTGGGGTGGGGAAAGGAGACAACAGAACAACTTTTCTGAAAAGAAATGGCAATCCTTTAAGAAGCTTCAAAAAATAGTTTTTAACTAAATACTTTTTGAAAGGAATCTCTTTAATTGAAAAAAGTAGATGGATTCAAATATTTCTGTATGACAATTTATAGCATCTTTTTTAGGAGAGTTATCTTTCTAGCCCTCCACTTTCTGTCTCCATCCAATTAGAATTGCCCACCATGCTTATAGGGAAGTTCTCCCATCCTGAAAATGTCTGCATCGCTTTGCCTCTCTTTTGTAGCTTAATTGCCCAATGTGGATACCTGATGGAAACTGTATCAGAGATTTCCAAAGGATTTGCAGTATTAAAATGAGAGACATGGTGACCGGCATTTTTGGCAGCACAATCATATTAAAGGCAACATTCTTAAGTGGAGAAGCCATGGGTTCCTCCTACCAAGATCCCAAGGGCTGGCTGGGTTCCCATAGTCCCTAAACCTGAGTTGAGGTTCAACACTATTTCATGAATTCTCTATATTCTTTTCAATTTTTTTGTGCACTGTTTACTCATCATGTTCTTTGCTCATTTAAAAAAGTAGGTCTGCTTTCAAAACAAATGTATCTAATTTGTGAGAACAGGAAGAAATAATTTGGTATTTAGTTTTATATCTTCAAGTCATCAGCAGCCATGGACCTTCACATTCTCTCAAATTTGGTGATTAAGATAGTAGAAAGTTTTTCTAGTCTTTTCTTTTCTTGGTCTTCTCAGTAGTCCTGTTAGATTCAAAAATTACCCGGTGGAAAAACAGTATTTTCTTTGTTAATTCCTTGCATTTCATTTTAAAAATGCAAGTACGTTATAGAATAATGATGGTAACAGGGACACCTGCATAGTGCTTTAAATGTAATAACTCAACAAAATTTAGGAAGTAGGAACAATTATTGTTATCACATCTATTTTACAAATGAGGAAACTGAGTCACAGAGCGTTTAAGTGGCGTGACTGAAGTTGCACAGTAAATGAGTAGCACAGCTAGGATTAGAACCCAGTTAGGTGGCTCCAGTCTATAAACTTTTAACTCCTATGCCATATGGTTTCTCATAATAAAATAAATTGGCTTGTGTAAAGAAGTTTTATACTTCTTATATAATTACCGTCCTATTCAACATAATTTAGTGTATTGACCATTAAAAAAAGAAAATCAAACAATATGTTTTCTCTTTGAGAATTTGAAATAAAGAATATTTTACAGAAAAAAAATTAGATGTTTTTAATTTGCTAAGGAGTTTTATTTTCTAGGCTGAATATAACTAAGAGGCAGGACTGTAGAGGAACAGTCAAGGTTCTCATCATGTGACTTGTGACAAGTCACTTAAAGTCATACTTCTTACCTGCAAGATAACTATATCTGCCTTATTCACTTTCTTAAGTTGTAGAAGATGTCAGAGGAGATAGTTCATGGAATGGTTTTGTAACTTATGATATCTTGTCAAAATTTACATTGGTATTATTATTAATGTTGGTGTGGCTTTGGGGAGTAAATCACATAACGTTATTTATTTAGGGCAACATTTAAACAATATATTTTAGGATAGTAAAAATCACTTTTATCCTGAAATGACAGAAAAATACAAACGTATCATGCCAGGACTAAACAGAAAAGAGTTCAGAGGGTTAACATGAAAGTAAAAATAAAAATATGGGTCTTATTCACTTGGCTCATCATACACTGTGATGAAAAGTCAACAAATGTATAAAGAAACATAGATGTTGGGATAATTTCTTTTTGTATACCAGAAGATGTTCTGTGTCCTACCTATATTTTCAGCCACTTTGGGTTCTATAGGCGTAAATTATGACAGAAGATTTCACTTCGAGTAGAATCTCTAATGACTTGCAAAACCTTACTTTGCTTAAGAATAAATGAAGAGAAAAATATTTATTTTGGTAGTTTTGAATATTTTAATAAAGCAGAAGTATTTGTTAACTACCTATTCTGTTATCTGTGACATCTTTTAATTTTAAACCATCTTTTTACTCCTACCCCCAAATTTCCATCAATTGCGTTTCTTTAATGATAAATCAATTGGATGTTCCTCAGTCCTCATCTCCTTCACTGTCTCAAATATGGAACACTCGTGATCAATATCTGCTGGAACTTTTCTCCTTCTGCTTCCCCTCTGAGATTCCTTTTGTTTTTATAGCTAGCTATTTTCCACGTATGCCTTGAAAATCAAGGTGCCACTTGGTTATGCAGTCAACCTTCTGCACACTTGCTCCAGGTGATCTCATACACGGTCACTGATTCTTTTCACGTTGGATGCCCCAGAAGTACATGCTCTAGCTCAGTTCTCCCATAGTCCTCCAGTGCCATGTTTCTCCCTGTCCACTTTATTTATATCTCTGTGGATTCTGAAGGAATCTTAAACTCAACATGCCTCATAAAGAACCCATTATCAATTTATCCCCCTTTATCAACTTTCTCTACTTCCTCTAGTTGATAATAGTACCACAGAGTCATCTAAATTCAAAAGCTTGGCATTATCTCAGATTCTTCTGAACTTCTCACACCAAATCTCACCAGGCCCTAAGGCTATTCTCCTTTTTAAATGTGCTTCAAAGCCCATCCCTAGCTCTAGGTCACTATAATGATTTGGGTCCCAGTCCCCTCTCATCTCATAGAAACGAAGAATTTCCCAAGTGATCTTTGAGGCTTGAGATATTTGTCTTTGCTACAATCTCCATTCACATTCATTAGAATGTTTTTTCTAAAAACCAGTGTTAATTTTGTAATTTTTTTACTCTAAAAATTTCCATTGGTTTTCAACTGGATCGAGTATTTGATCCTATATAAAGCTCTTAATGCAGGTTTCCCTTTTTACCTTTACTTGTATGCGTTCTCCCCATCTCCACCTTCACATGTGCTATATGTACAGCACCACTGTTCTACTTCTTCCCTACACTTGCCTGGTGCCTTTCTACACAGTCTTCCTCTGCCTATGACCAATCTATCTATATTCTCTGTCTGGTCAACTCAGACCTGGTTCAAATGCCATTTTCTTGGTGATTTTTCTCAATAGCCAGATATTTTCTCAATTCTGCTACTGTAACAGTTTTAACATAATATTAGTAGAGCTGTTATCCTGTTGATTCTCTATCATTTGTTTACATGTCATTCTCCTGGTTAACTAGCACATTAGATTTTTGAGGCTATCAAAACCCTATCTTCTTTTTCCACTTTGCCTCTTTCATTTTACTATTGCTCACTAGTATGTGTGCAGTAAATGCTTGTTTAATATGAATAACTGAAGGAAAGAGGAAGGAAAAGTATTGTAAATGGTAAAAAGACTACCCAATTGTGGGTAAATATATTTGTAATATAAGATACAATTCTTCCTCACAAAGAAAATATCAGTGCACTTTATCTAATTTCTTTTTTGTTCCTTATTTGACAGAATTATATTTATTTTTTCCACTGTGGAAATTTTCATCAAAATTATAATGTTAAAATTAAAAAATAAATTTACTAATATGTTGAAATTATTCTATATTTTGAGTATAGTTTTTTACCAACATTCTTAATTAATTTATTATACACTTAAATACCCAGTGAAAGAGGTTTCATTGTACTGATTGAAACCATTCAAATGCAAACTAGGTGAAACATTGTTTTAAATGATTCAGGATGTGTGCTATGTATTTGCTAAAGATTTTTCATTTCCTTCACACTTTTAATCAAATAGATGATCCATGCTTTTTGTTGAAAGAAAAAAAAAAATCTTGTCTGTTCTCTGTATAGTCTACAATGAATCATGAGCATAATCTAAAAGTCTCGATGACATACTAATGGCATTCTAAAAATAGCTTCCAGAATTAAAAACTTTGGTTCTAAAGATCAAACAACACCCTTAAAGGTGGTTTGTTATTTCTTACAGCATTGTTTAAAATGATTCCTTTATTTTTCTGAATTAGCCCCACTTTTTTTCTTACTGACGTTTTGTCAGCAGGATTTTTTCTTGTCATTTCTATTTGCACTATACAGCATATACCAGCTTCATGACCTTTGCTCTCTTACTCTAGCATAAGAGTTCAACAAATGCAAACTCTAAGATTAGACAGGCAGCTGATAGATAATTATTAGCAGTCATAGAAGTTTCTTAATTTCATACTTATTTTTAAGCAGTCATAGTGTTGAATAATGAGAATTTCATACCAAATGAACTGGGTTTAAGAATCAACACTGGCACATCCTAGTGTTAATTTAATCTTTCTAAATCTCAGTTTCTTTATCTGTCAAATAGATGTTTCACAGAGTCTAATTAAATACAATGGTGTCTTTGATGGTGAAGCACTATGTAATCTAACTTTGTTTTTATTTTGCCCATTACAATAATATTAACAAGTTGTAGATTGTCATCCCTAATGAAGAGAAATATACATGTTTACTGTTTTCCTAATATATAACTTTTTAAAAGGAATATGGGATATATGGACTGAAAGACATGTCCAAATCTTATAACTAGTTCCACTGAGAAGTGATCCTATGGGAAAAACAATAAAGAATGAACTTATGCATCATTTCACATACTTCTACACATATTCAACAAACATTTATTGAAGAAATACCTTTGTGTTAAAATATTTTGAATGGGGTGGTCTGTAGAATACAAGGCTTTCAGAAACAGGTGAGTCCTTACCTTCTGGAAGTGTGCAGTTTGATAAATTGTTCATCATCTATTTATTGTTAGAATCATTAATTCAACATTTACCTTTTCTCAACCATCAATTTATCTGCCTTGCACTTGATTGAGTACTCAAGTTCAGTCAAATGACCAATACTTTTACTATATCTAAAATATGCTTTTTACTAAAGTGGAATAATTGTAAAACAATAATAATAGAGCTACAAGCATTAAGATAAAATATAATAGATGCCTCTCTGGTAAATTTGTAATACAGACGTTCTTTGAAGGGTTTCAAAATTTGGCAACAACTATTTTATATTTCTGTGACATCACAGTGTAAGGAAAAACTATGTACACTGTTTAGAAACATGTTTCTGTTGAGATTTGAGGCTAATAAAACCCACCCTTTATCTTTGTGAAAGTTGTCAAACAATTGAAACATGAGACATAAAAATCATATAGATGAGATCAGTATGTCAGTTTTATTTTTCCAAATTTGGGAAAACATGGCTTAAATCTGCAGGCAATTAGGTTTTCTAACACTTTCACTTTTGCATGTATCCACCCCAAACTGGATGCTTCTCTTCCTTCATTGTAAGTCCTCTAAGGGTAAATCCTGCCATTGTAGACCTGCTACAATTGAGAAGCAGATACTGGAGCATCCTGAGGACAGATTCTCAGAGGGGAGAAACATGGAAGGAACAGAATCATGCTGTCCCTGTTCCTTCTAAATTCACTAGTTAATGAATTCACCCCTTCCCCTTTAGAAATGAAGAGAAATCTGTCTGTCTTCTAACTTGAGGGGGAGGGGTTAAATGATTCCTCCTAACATTACCTTATAGTCGTTCATGCCCTGCCCTCAAGGGTGATTCATAAGGGATTTCGTTTAAAAAACAAAAATGTATTTGAACATTCTGAATCTTTTACGATTTAGATTTGTGCCACATGGTCTATGATGATGGGTTTAGTAGGCTTTAAAATCCAAAGTAGCCTTTAAAGTTTTTATTTAAAAAATTGCATTATTTCAAATGTGCAAAAACTTATAAAATATAATTAAACACTTTTATAGATGAGGAATTTAAGGTCCACAGAATCTAAGCCACTTGGTTGAAGACATACATAACCATTTCTCTACTAAACTGAGTCTTATTAATCGTTAGAGTCCCAGTGCCTAGCACAGTGTCCGGCACTCAACTATGTTTGTCGAATGAACGAATGAGTGGATGAATGCATAAATGAGGAGGCATAGTTTTAATACTGATTTTCTTCGTAACTTAGGTCTTTTTTTTATTATGTCCCTCTCTTTTTTTTTTTTTTTTTGCAGGCAAGAATGAAGACAGCCAGAATCTTCTCTGCACATGTGAGAAAGAACAGAAAATTCAGATAGATATTTCTCAAATAAGCCTTCAAGATTTATTACCACATGGTTAAAAACGTTACTTAACTAGCTATGATTACTAGTCAACAATAATTGTAATTGTGTTTTCCCACTTTTATTGAATTCATTAAGATTTATCCCCGTCTCTACTAAAAAAAAAAATACAAAAAATTAGCCGGGCGCGGTGGCGGGCGCCTGTAGTCCCAGCTACTCGGGAGGCTGAGGCAGGAGAATGGCGTGAACCCGGGAAGCGGAGCTTGCAGTGAGCCGAGATTGCGCCACTGCAGTCCGCAGTCCGGCCTGGGCGACAGAGAGAGACTCCGTCTCAAAAAAAAAAAAAAAAAAAAAAAAAAAAAAAAGATTTATCAATTGATAGTTTAAAAGTTGCCTATGGTCTTCTGAAAGAAATATTATTTAGACTTTATTGGACAATGAATTAATTCACTAGGGAATAAATTACTTGTAAATCAATAATTTAAAAACTTTTTAAAATTTCCAACTTCTACTTTAGAAATAACTTTTTAGTTACCCACAGAGAACCACGGAAACTTGTTTTCATAACCTTAGTTTTTTTAGGCAAGAACTCTGAAGGGTCTAAGATTTGATTGTACTTGCAAACTTACAAGGTAGCCTGCTGCAGTTCTTAGCATGATGGCAGAAGACCCGAGATTCCTAGGTTAGAGAAAAAGGACTTTTATTACTCATGGCCAGCAACTAGCATGGGCTTATTTGTATCACTTCTTGCCTATTCGTTTCAGGTCTCCCCTGGGACCCAGAGAGATGTTTACATAAGCAATGAATTATGTTACAGGAAAGGAATCTTGAGTTTAGGGAATCTAGATTTTTGTAACGTGCAGTACACATATCCTTTTTTTTACTCTGGAGAATGTATTATCTCTACTCCCTAAAGCTATAAGCACACTTGCACTGTACTCCAGGGGAAGATACTATTTCTGTCTTTCAAGGCTATTTGCTGTACAAGCATTGATGAGAGGATAATCTGAAACAAATGGTGTCACTGCCTCTCTAAGATGTGCAGAAATGTGACAGAGTCATAGAAAATTGTCTCTTAATAGTTTTCTGTTGATTTAAGGCAAAGTACATAAGTGAAAGGCCTCTAATATTTATTGAAAACCTAGGTCTATAAAACAGTATTAGATAATTAGACACTGTAGGATGCACTGTGATGAGAAAGCCACAGCCTAGGAGTTCAGGCATGTACACACACATATACTATAAACACAGTGGCATAAATGTTCCTTTTGAGGCAAGGTCACATAGCAGTTAATAGTCTGAGCTTGATGTCAAAGATGCTGGAATAGCTATAGCATAGTAGTTGAGAGTTGGGGCTAAACTCCTTGAGTTTAAATCTCAGCCCCACTGATTATCATTTGACACACGGTGTTTACCCTCTTTTGTTGTTCAGTTTCCTCATTGTTGGAATTTATATTAGTACCTACCTCATAGAGTAGTTGGGAGGATTAAGTGACTTACTATAGGAAAGAACCTAGAACAGTCTCCAAAGCATACTATCTGTTCAATAAAGGTTAGCTTTATAAAACCTAACTTCTTTTACTTTCTCATTGTAAACTTAAGTTACTTAACTTTCGCTCTGAGTCACATTTTCCTCACTTATAAAATGAGAGTGATAATATCTCATTGGTTGACTGTGAGTCATAAGTTAAAAATGTATTGAATGTGGTTAATAAAGACTTAAAAACTGTTAGCTGCTATTATTAATAGAGGAGCATATACTACACGTAATTCAAGGGATAGATCTGGATTTTTCTTTCTACCTTTTTAAATGTCTTTCACTTAGTCACAGCTGGGTAATAATGTAAGGTGGTGGGGGCAACCCGTACTATACAGTGAGACCTGCTTCTATTCTTGATTTTGTCACTAATTCATTTATTCCAAAAATGAATTGGCAAAAGATAAATAGGACAGAGTCCCTTGCCTTTAAAAATCTCACAGTAGTGGGTCAAGCCACTTTCATTCTTCTACATAGCTCCGAGGAAGCAAATGTGATCAGGAGGTGGTTTCTGACCTGGGTCATGAAAGATTAGTTGGGAGTTGGGACAATGTGAACAAAGGCACAGAGAGACCACAAAAAAAAAAAAAGAAAAAGAAAAAAAAAGCAGTCTGTTTTCAGAGAACAGTAACAAATTCAGTTTAGCCACCTTAGAGTCTGAAGGGGCAGGTTGGTTTGATCAATGGAAGCAGGGCAGGGAAGGATCTAAGTGCCAATTTCAGGGTTTTCAGGGTTTAACCTTAATTCCACAGGCCCTGTGAAACTATTAATGGTGCTGCCGCAGCTGCTAAGCTAAGCTGAGCCAAAAGCAGGACACTTAGAGAAAAATCAGATTCTCAGCCTGTTGAAACTGGAGATGCAACTGACCCAGCCTTTTTTGTTATATTAACAAGTGAGAAGTGCTCCCAACTTAATAAACATGGGAAGGAACCATCAATCACCACCGGAAGTCACCTAATCATCCCTAATTGCTATGATAGATAACACTACCTGAATAAGGCCCTAAAATATAAAGGCTAAACATTGATTTAGGGAAAAGACGAGCATTTGGGGTTAAAATTACACTCCGTGGTAGTAAGCATAAAGTGTGATCAAGAGTTTAGAAGGGAATTGCCTTGATGTTTATGGGAATGTTTTACCCCCCAGGCCACAAGGACCTGCAGTGATTCTATTTAGCTATTTAAGGTTAAAAATACTGCTCCGTGGGAGCTTACTTCTTAGCACATGAGACATTTGCTCAAATGTTTACATGGCTTTACAATATTTAGCAGAGTTAGATATTGAATTGCCAAGTATGTACATTTTATTGTAGTGCTGTTACATCAGTCCCCAAACTCTAGCATAAAATATTCTCATTAACTGCTATTACGTTCATCAAACACATAACTTCTCGGCAGGGCTCTAGCTCCCTAGGCAAGCCCATCATCAGCCCCCTTACTTCAAGCAAGTGCATAAGCACCAGCTGTCAAGGGCGCTTTCAATCCAGCTGTCAAGCCAGGTGTGGTAGGCGCTGTGCTGCGCTCTGATGTTAATGATGGATTAATTAAGGCGGTGTGTGTATTCATGCAGTGGAATCTGGAGAGCAGTTTGTGTACTGCTTTTGGCTGGAGTTCTACTGTAGTCCTCAGTGTATTCCTTGGGGGCCTTCTCTCAACTTGCCAACAGGTCTGTACACTGCATTCAAAAGCAAACAATCAGCTTATCTGAACTAAAAACAAAGAACTCCATGACTAATTCACCAAAGCTTGTGATCTTGACAGAGAAAGCACAGCACTTATTTGACAGATCCATAAAAAGAGGGGGAGGTGTTCTTTTCTCCTTACTTTTGCAGAGTAGACCAATCTGTAGGTATATTGCTTATGCTTCATAAACAAATGACATGTTGTGTTATTCAGAGCTCATCAGATAATAGGATTTTGCTACATTTAAATGTTTTCTAAAAATACATATTTTTTATATTTGTGCAGGATGGCAATAATAACAATATTATTGGCCTTTGCAGTTGCTCTTCCCCCCATATTAGTTGTCTTTTTTGTTACCAATACAATCTTTGACTTTTGACTACAGAGTTTTTATTTTTTATTTTCAACTTTTATTTAGGTTCAGGGGGTACATGTGCAGGTTTGTTACATGGGTAAATTGCATGTTGCGGAGTTTTGGTGTACAGATTATTTCATCACCCAGGTAATGAGCATTGGCGTTTTAAGTTACTACCTCTGTCTCACTCACCACTGGTGGTGTCCTATCTGTTAACACATTTCTTAGGGCTTGGGGTCCTAGTACCTATGGGCTCAAATGCTTTGATCCTGGTGTAGATTTCATTATATTTTGGTTGAGAAATGCAGGCTTTCTTTTTGTAGATGGAATAATAACGATGTTAGCAATAGTAATAATAATAGCTACAATTCATTAAGCACCTATTATGTGCTGAACTCTGTGTGGAATATGTACCTAATCTTACAAGCACATTAGCATAAATGATCATATTTATTCATGCATTTCAGAGAAGAAGTTAAAGTTTGGAGAAATTAAATAATTTTCCCAGAGTTGTGTAACTCATAATGAAGAATGGAATACATTTGGAGGGAATAGATATTGAAGAATCATTAGGGATTCATCAGGGAGAAAAACAGGGTACCTGTCAGGAAGCAAACCTAGGAGGTGAATAGCCTGGAGGCTGATAAGCACAATGCCTATTAGGAAACAATAAGAACCTGGCATTGCTGCAGCACACAAACCTAGAATAGAGAGATAGGATTGGGGAGGACAGAGAAAATGTCATGGTAAGGTGTTTGAACTGGACTTTATTCTCTTCACAGAGAAGAACGGGTGAAAAGGTATGATCAATTTCGCTTTTTGAACAATAATGACAATGAGAATGCATTGAGGTGAGAGCGTCTGGTAAGAGAATGCCGTTAAGAAATTATACCATTGATGTATACTCTACACCAGTGACAGAAAGTAAAGCAGAAAGGTGAGCTTTGCATATTCATTGCACTGCAGTCTGCTCTAGGAAGCTGTTAGACTAGAAAAATGTCAGACAACTGAACACACCACTACTTGCCTCTTCATAAAACAGCTAACGTCTGAGTGACTAATGCATGCCAGGCCCTGTTTTAAGTACATTAGGGATATTAACTCATTTGGTCCTCCCAACAAGCCTGTGAGGTACACATAGTAAAATGGAGGGACCAGGTGATGAATCCACAGAGGTTGCTTTTCAGGTTTGCTATCTTGACAACAGAATGAGGTGGTATTTTAGGAAGATATTTTATTTTATATTATTTTATTAGTTTTATTATTATGATAATTAGCTATTGTAGTTTATCACTCAGGAACATTTATGATGCTCTTTACATCAATTATATGTATATATATAAAATTGTCAATAACAAGGTGTTTTGCTTGAGAACTCTCTGAAGAGGTTTTGAAGAATTCCTGGGACAGCGTTTTTTTGTTGAAGTTTAACATTTAGGTAATGACAATTAGATCATATTATATCTCGATATCAAGGAAATATTTTATATACTACCTCCCAAGTTCTCGCCAGAAAAATAAATTCTCAATGGCTTGAATGTGCACTACTGTCAAATGGATTTAAAACACAGTGAAGGGACCCTAAGCAAAGGGTAATGATAGCAATAATAATGATAAATGGCAATGCACTGAGTTAGGACCAGGGTGCACACTTGGCTGCTTTTATTTAAGATGTCTTGGTAATGTTAAAGCCGCAAAAAGCATTAATAAATGAGTATGTAGGGTTATAATCTGAAATCTTGTTGCAGAAATCTTGGTCCTTGCTGAATGTAATTATATGTTGCTATTGTTATTTAATTAAAGATTTAAAAATAACATCAATTAGCCTGCAGGATATATCAAGTATCACAGATATTTCAAGAACCTTCATTGGTTATTTATTGTTATGCAAACCAGGACTACTAAACTGCCAGAGTGAACAAACTCTAAGTTTTCAAGGTGAAGGAAAAAAAGAAATGGAAATGGACTTTAGTTCCAGCTAACGATGTTAATTTTTTTTTTTGCAACATATAGATTTCCCAGATACAATTACAAGGATTTAAACCTACAACCTATGTTAACCAGCTTGTGCATAACTTAAAATAGTAATAACAGACACATAAAAGTGAATTTAAAAATGAAAATGTACCTATTTTTTAAAGAGATTATAAAATAAAATTAATGCGTATATGCAAATTTTCTTTGCTATGACTTCATAATTTGTAATGGTATTCAGCTTGACAATGTTTACACTTGTTAATGACTTCCTTTATGAGTGATAATTGATCTACTTCATTATCATATTAAATCCTTGATCATATGCCATTAGGTTTGATGTAATAAATGATCTGTGTGATTTTTAGTGTAATGAACTAATTAGACTAATTAAAATCAATATGTGTGCCAATATTATACTTTGAATCCAAATGCTCCCTCTAACTGTGCTGGCTTAAAATCAGCAACTCAGTAAAAAGGATCTAATGCTGATTTATGAGCACTTGAGGAACATGAGGCAGAATAAATTGCTTGTGGTAGTAGAGACAGCATTAGTGAAGTATAAGATACTAAGTGCATTGTAAGGTCAGCAATAAGGGTGTACTTACACATGTAGTTATATGGCACCTTAAACCTCCTCTTAATATATCATAACATCCTAGCAAAATTATTTGGTTTAAATGCCAGCTTTTTTAGTCTACTCTTTTTTATAAATAACGTTGCAAAAATGCAAGTATTCCAGTTGTGTAATCAGTCTACAACTCTAATGAAAATACACATATGAAGTTTGATAAATGTTTTTAAATAATTGATTTATATTCTGTAAGAGTAACGAAAACACATTCCAAAGAAAAGATTACATAAGATCAATGTGTAATTCTAGAACTTTAAATCATTCATTGTTCATTCAGAAATCTGTAGAAATTATAAATGATAATTTTGGAGAATCAATAAATTCTTCAAAACTAAGTTAAATTATTTCTTAGAAGAAGCCTTGCCTAAGTCAATAACAGATCTCCAACTTATGTTTCCCTTTTCTATTTCCCAAAATTTTAATTGTATGATAGATTGATTAATGGTTATTGAATTTCTAGAGTATAAACTCCACAAGGGCAGAGAACCCACCTCTGATTCTTCCCTATGTAGGTTTAACATAGTGCCTTGTACACAGAAGGCAAAATAGGTTTTATTTAATTTTCTTTTAAATATATGTAATTTAATTTGCTGTTTCAAAAGTTTAAGCAAATCTTATTTTAACGGAAACTAAATACCATACCTCATAAGTCAATAAGTAGCTACATAAAAGTTTAAAATCAGATAGCCATATTTTTCTACAGAGCCTGGCACATGTCTTTTGTATTTAATTCCCTCGAGAGCCGGTGGAAGTTGTAGTCACAAAAGGGAGTCGAACTGGAACGTGGAACTTTGGATTGAATGATTCTAGGCCAGATCAAAGGTTACTCAGTTTTTCTTTCTTACTGATATAAGGGTTTATATCTATGCTAGCAAATGGAGACAGTAAATAATGTCTTTGGATAATTTCCTGGCAGGTTTGTTTTACCTGTGTCTTCTAATGATTCAAATATAGGTAAGCATTTACTGTGAGCAGTTGATTTATCTTTGGGAGAGTAATCTCTAGTGATTTGACTGTGAGGCAACGTAAAAGAGATTCTCAAGGCATTTTCTCCAGTCCACTCAGAGCTTTGTTTCTCCCATTTTTTTTTCCTTCACATGCCCCATAGCTTCAGCTCATCACTCATTTAAACATATACACATATTAGTTGAGAATTTATGGAAGCATTATAGGTTCTCAGACAGAGCACAAGTTTCCTGGTCCTAAGCCATTTCTCATCTAGGAAGAAAGGTAAGACATGTACATACATAGTTCTAATCTAAAGTGATATGTGGTAAATCTTGGAAAGAGCTTCAAATAATTTGCTAATAGAAATTTAAAGATCAGCTGATGATTTCTGGCAGTGTGATTTGGGAAAGCTTTGTAATAAAGGTAGCATTCAAACTGAACTTTGATGGCTGAAATGAATTTTCTCAGTCTGGGATGGAAAGTGACCACTCTGGAGAGAATGAAACACATAATCTTCCTATTCTTAAATAAGGTGAACTATCGTAATCCAGACTAACTAGATGGGTAAGGGCAGCAGTCTAAATGAGCGCAAAGATGAATTATAGATTAGCCCTTCCTACTGTTTTCAAGTACTTGAAATAACTGTCAATTTTATAAATAAAGTGGTATCTAACAGAGATCCTAAGTAATTTTTACAGGTAAGATATAAGTATTATGACAGGTTGTTAAGAACTTCTAACATATAATGAGAATCTTATGAAATACCTTTTTAAGCTATAAATTCTAATTTTTTATCACATAGGAAACCTGTAGGCCTGGTGCGGTGGCTCACGCCTGTAATCCCAGCACTTTGGGAGGCCGAGGTGGACAGATCACAAGGTCAGGAGTTCGAGACCAGCCTGGCCAACATGGTGAAACTCTGTCTCTACTAAAAATACAAAAATTAGCCAGGCGTGGTGGCAGGTGCCTGTAATCCCAGCTACTTGGGAGGCTGAGGCAGGAGAATTGCTTGAATTTGGGAGGCGGAGGTTGCAGCAAGCCAAGATCGCACCACTGCACTCCAGCCTGGGCGAAAGAGTGAAAGTCTGTCTAAAAAAAAAAAAAAAAATAGAAAAGTGCAGTTGACTAGATTTCCCTGGCAGTAGAGAGCGAAGATGAATGATATCAATGGAAACATTAAAAGGAGTGTTCTAAAGATGCTCTCAAATCTTAGGCAAAACTCCAGTGCATAACATGGGTAAGCATGGACATCCTCTCATTGAAACTAGGATCGATCCATTCTTTTGCCCTTCTTCCCATTCCCTGAAACAACCCACAAGCTGCTTATTCGTCTGCTTAACACAGGTGGAAAAAACATGTATAAGTAGTACCATTTAACATTATGACATATGGGTTTGTCTCAAAGCACTGCTGCTCCAGAGTGACCACTCAGAAATGTTGTCTATTATTACTGTTGTGATTCTCCTCACTTGGAGACTCAGGAGACTGGAAGTCTCAGTTCTGACATAGTTGGGCTTTGTGATTTTATGACAATAGCTTGACCTGACAAGGTCTCAGCATCCTCATGTTTAAATTAGTGGGTTTTGAGCTAAGTAATAAAGTTTTTCCCAGTGATGTCATATTATTCTTCTAGTAATAATAGTGTTTTAACCCTCCCAGAGATAATTTGAATTTTTAAAGCATTATTATTTTTTAAGAAAGAATAATCCCATGGTGGAATTGAGACAGCGTGACAAATGAAGTAAAAGTATTCAGGTATTTAGGGGAAGAGTATTTTGGTTCAGGGGCCCCTGCATAGGCAGACTAGCTCTGTCTAAAATCATCCTTCTTAGAATTAGACAATGTTTCTTTGCCCTATTTAATAACCGTCACAAGTTCCCTAAATTGCCTCTCTTCCTGTTCCTATTTATCTGTATCTATTCTCCTCTCTCTGTTTGTATCTGCCTTTCTCTTGCCCTCCTCATTTGTCTCTTCACCGGTGAGGTCCTAGGCTACAGAGGAAAGACAGGTATAAGCAAGAAGTTACACTTAATCTGACAATATTTAGCTTATTTTTCTAAATAGGCATGTTTTCTAATCTAATGTATTTTTCTGATAGCAAATCTATCAAGTATATGCACTATTAAATCTGCAGGAAACAGAGGCTACATTATTTCTGCTTAAATATTTAATGCCTGCACTGTGAATCATTTCACAATTGTTCACTAAAAATCCCTGGTTCATTTCTCTGGTTCATCTAGATGTCTTTGACTTGCATGATGGTTGCCGAGAAAAAATAGATGATTGAGTGTTTTGCTTCTTTGAGGCTAATCTCTATCATTTGATTGTAATAAATGAAAACAGGCATAATTGATTTTTAAAAAGACAGTAACACTGTTACACTTCGCTGGTGGACTTTCATGTGCATTCTGCAGGCAGATGGTGTTAAATTAGAAAGAGGATTGGGCTTGGTTGCAACTTTGGGATGGCCTCGGCTCTTCTACTTGTTAATTGTATGATGGAGAACAACTCGCTAAAAAGTGAGGATGATAGTATCTTCTGTCATTCATTTGAAGCATTTTAAAGATTGCATGAAATACTGCATGTGAATGCAATTCAGAAACTTATAATGGTTCATAAACTCATAAGGATTTGATCATTGTATTAGTCGATTTTCACACTGCTATGAAGAACTACCCGAGGCTGGGTAATTTATGAAGAAAAGATGTTTGACTCACAGTTCCACAGGCTTAACAGGAAGCATGACTGGGAGGCCTCAGGAAACTTACAATCATGGCAAAAGGCAACAGGAAGCAAGCACCTTCACATAGTGGCAGGAGAGAGAGAGAGCAAGCAAAGGGGGAAGTGCTACACATCTTTAAACAACCAGATCTCATGAGAACACACTCACTATCATGAGAATAGCAAGGGGGAAATCTGTCCCCCTGATCCAGTCACCTCCCTCAAGGTCCCTCCTTGACACATGGGGATTACAATTTGACATGAGATTTGGGTGGGAACATACAGCCAAACCATATCAATCATGAATTCTTACTATGCATACAACTAGAAAATTTCACCTGCATATTTAAATATGTTGAACAAAATACAGATGTTATGTATGTAGGACAGGAAAAATAAAAGCTGAAAACTGCGATCTGTGGAATGGGTATAAAGAATAAGCCCTGGTCTGTAAGAGAGAGTTGAGTAACAAAAAAGCAACCACAACAGGAGTTTCCAAGAAAAGTATATTTTTTCTTATTTCTGATTGTTATTAAATGGTATGACTTGAGTTTGCTATATGTTTGTACATTTAAAAATGTTTAATATTTTAATATCTAATGGCACTTATGCCCAAAATGACCCTTATGAATTATTATAAGTCAAGATTAAAAGACAGAAAATTACTACACTCTCACAGTGAAAACAAAACCATACAAATATATATACACATGCATATACTTTAATTTTGAATGGGCAAGAGTTATTTTTACTTTTATTCCAACAAAAATATTCAAATATTTTTTGTCCCTGTCCGTTTCATTTAAAATTATCTTATTTTTCAGTATTGGAACTTCTGTGGAAGTCAAGGGACACTTCAATATTATACCATGTGCATCTTTAATATGTCATTTTAATCTCGAGGTAGTTTAAATTAAAATATTTTCCAGTTGAACACATATTTTGGATTTAATAGCATGCTAGTATTGTTACTTTCAAAGAGACATTTTACAAAAAGGAGCATTCAAACCACAAGCATTTTACTTGTTTAATATATTGTCTGTGCATTTTAGGGGCAGATTTATTTTTGATGGGTTATTGTACTTATTTTAATTCAGTTATCTTTTTTGTCCTCTTTTTGTATGCTAAGTGATATTTTGTGAATCTCTGAAACAAATTGATTTTCAAGTATATTGAGTCATATAGCTTTCAAAACTCTTTCTTGATGGCGCCCTTGTAGGACCTGACCTACCTGTGTCCTGTGTCCATGAGACTTCATCCTGTCTCTTTTCTAACAAATATAAACAACATTCGTACTTCTTTACCTGTCTCTTCATATTAGATTCCAAGTTTCTTGAAAGCAGGGCTATATCTCATTTCACTATTCTTGGTATCTAGACTTGTGCCTGACATTTGATAGTTAATCAAATGATATTTTTGGAAAATAATAAAATGTGAAATAACATATAACACATTTTATTTAGATTGCTTCCAGAAAAACATGAGCTGAAAAAAGAATTCCAGCTTTCTGAGCTTAAACCTATATCTAATAAGTATCAAATTCTTCATGTGTGTTAGTTATAGTATGTTCATATGTTGACTCTAGTGTATCTGTAACACACTTCTTGATTCTTTATATATAAAAAGTCACTGAATATGTGTTAACATATTTCTCAGGGCTATTGTAAAAATCAAAGAAGAATCTCTCAGAAAGTACTTTGTAAATAGTAAATTGCTGTAGAAATGTAGTAATAAGTAGAATAAATTAGTAGAAGTAGTAGTAGTCATAGTTGTCACTGTTCCATTAATGGTACTGGCTTGTTTTAGTGAGATGTTCAATGCTCAAACATTCCAGGCTTGTTATCTCACCATGCAACCTCTTATTTACTCTCGCTTTTATATCTGGAATGCTTACTTATCCCCTCCTGTATAATCTTCTCTGTAGTTTTAACCAAAGTTGCATCAAGTCTCTTCATGGCATCCTTTAGCGGTGACTTCACAAGATATTGGTCATCTGACACTAATGTTTTTGACACATAGTACTTACTTACCCATTTTCAGATAGTAACATACTGAACTTTTGTTTCAGTATTGTTGGAATCATTAATTAAGCTACGGTGCACATATCATGCTTAGGCACATGAAGCAAAGTAGGGCAGGTGAACTTCTGCATTCCTAGAAGAAATTATTTGAGCTGATTCATCTTAGTGTCTTAGTTTGCCCATTGTTCTTGCCACCCCATTCCTTAAGCTGTCCCTGTCTTTTCCAATCCAGTCCTTCTGCTTTTGAAAAATATTTACTATAAACCATTTCATACTTTTCTGATAAATCTCCTCTTAGTGTAAGTTAATTTTGGCTATGCAGGACAGAAAAGCACTAATGGATATCTTCATAGTATAGTTAACTTTGGTTAGGGATGACAGAAGAACCCTAATGATACATGGTCCATATATGTATATTATGTTTCTTTTTTCCTAATTAGAATGAGTAGTTAGTACTTGAGTAATTTTTAATTCCTTTTGAATGTTCAAAATATTTTACACTGTACTTTTCAGTATGTGTACATACTTATGAAATGCTGAATAAATAATTTATCACTAAATAATGTCCGATTGAAGTAGAAATAGCAGAAACATACACTTTAAATTTTATGGCATATTTCCTGTGGCATTTAAGTTATAATATCCACCTGCATTCATGCTGTTAAAGAGAATGACTCAAAATTGAAAAGGGATTACTTTCACACTTCTACCCTTTCCATGTTTAATAGCAATCAGCAACACAAAATTGTTTTCTTATCTCAAAACTAAGTGTTAGGGATTTATGGTCCAGTCCTCTTGAGTTTAGAAGGAGCTTGCGTTTCTAAGTAATTCATAATAAGATCACTAATTGTTTAGTCACAAGATTAACACAACATTCAGGCCAAAATTCTGAAGCTGGTTTCTAACCAAAATGATATTCAGTTGCAAATTTATTGTCCAATCAGACTTTAGTTTTGATACTTTTCATGGATAATCCTTTGTTACCTCTTTTTGGTGACCACATGTATGTGTATGAGGATAGAGGGAAACATAAATTGTCATTTCAAAAATTATGTTCATAAATTATGAACAACAGAAGACACCAGGAAAAATAATAATTTCACCCCTAGGTATGATTTCTAGAAACAAAGTGGATATTTTGTCTAAAGGTTAAATGGGCAATATTTTGTGGCTTTTTAAATTACCTGATTTGGGAATGTTAAAATATTCTTTTCTGTTGAAAAACATATGTGAAAATATGCCTCTCAACTTATGTGAACTTAGTGAAAACGTTCAGTGATTTTGTTTGTTGCCAATGCTGTTTTTCTACTTGTATTGAATTATAGCCATATTGTGTTTATTTATGTTATGATGATTAGTATCATTATTTTAAATTTGTGTCTCTCTGCTTGCAGACTTCCTCTTGATTGGTACAGTATGACAACAGGTAATAGATACAATAGCACTAAAACAGTCATCATCGCTGCTGGGATGAGAAACCCCTCCTCTTTGCTTTTTTTAACCTTCCTCAGCTGGAAAGTTTTGACATCTGCTGGTTTGGGACATGGCTGAGCAGCTGTCAGCAGTAGGGTAGCTGCTTTCAGCAGCAGTTGGCGGGATGGCAGGGTGCCAGCTTGTACCATCTGTGCGCCTGACATTTCATTCTAATTAACAGTAGGGTTAATTGTTCTGGCAGGCTCAAATGTAGTGTCTAACATTACCCAAGGGAAACATGTACAAGTGCAGGAGTGGCAGGGAGCTGGGGACAAGCATCGCTAACAAAACCATCGAGGGAGAGTGGTTAACAACTAGCGGTGATTTTACTAGCTGGCCACTTGCAATAAGGCTAAGGTATTTTTTATTCTGATGAATTATGCCAAGCCTGTAATGATATAGAAGGAATCAAGCTTAGAAAGGCTGAGACTGCTGCCTTAGGGCAATTGTGAGGGAACAATTTGCATGTTATTACTGCATATTCATACCTAATTGTGTTAGGCTTTGCTAATAGAGCAGAATGACAGTATGAAAAATCGAGCAACTGCTTTAGAGGCAACAAAGCCAATATTTTTTTCTTCCTACACTATGAGTGCTGAATGATCATTTAGACATTTAGTTGCTCAATATGACAAGTCCACCATTTGTTAGCTTGACATATTATAATTTATAAAGGAGTATTCTAATTTTACTTTTAGTTTATTCTTCTCATTTTATACAATATTCATGATAGCAATTTGAATGGGGATATTCATAGCTATTGTGAGTAGCTG
Organism: Homo sapiens; assembly: GCF_000001405.40. Lineage (NCBI taxonomy): Eukaryota > Metazoa > Chordata > Mammalia > Primates > Hominidae > Homo > Homo sapiens. The sequence goes on from NC_000008.11 coordinate 77,131,430, forward strand.
TGATTTAAATAAAACTATATTTGGTATGAAATATTACCATTGTTTTATGATGTATTAATTTTAATGTTTAAATAGCTTTTTCATATGTTAATATAACATAAACCAAGAGTTGATGAGAAATCCTTATTATAGTGGTGCTCACTCACATTGCTATAGTTAATGTCTCAACATTTCCATTATATGAAGACCTATTTTTAGTGTGGCTTGGACAAAGAAATTGTCATGGGGTGCAAAGCCAAAATCTGCTGTTTTAGAAAAGTGACTACAGATTCATTGAACTGAGTATCCGATTCCATCTCCTAAGCAGATAATATTCTTAAGAAATTTTAAGCCCAGTAGTACATTTTTTATGTTAGCCCACAATGCCTTTTAAAATCTTTTTATGGAAGCTCAGAGAAGACAAGGAATTAGAAAATTTAACTTTAGAAGACTACATTTTAAAACTGGTAACATATATCTTCCATCTAATTTTCTTTCTTTTCTGATTTATAAGGCCATAGTTATATCTTTGATTTGTTCCAATTTGGCATTTGAATATGAATTTATTTCAAATTATGAGCTAACTTGCATTTTAGCTTGCTTGCTCTGAGTGTCCAAAAAAGTAGTAGATTAAATGAATGAATTGGAAAAAGAGTTTCAGTAGCTTTTCTGGTTAAATCATAATAAAAGTTTTACATTTATTTCCTATATTTTCTATTTTTTTCAGTGTCTAACATATTTATCTAACAACTTATTCTAAATATTTATTATGTATAATATTCAAAGTAAGTTAAAACTTTGCCCCATTTTAGTTTGCTTTGTGATTTTTCTTCTTGTTCTCCTTTTTTTGTTTTTTTGCTTAAAACACAACTACTTTCAAAAATAAAATGTGGTTGGTTAAATAATATATACTATAAAATCTTTTCTAACTTGGAATTAAATTTCAAACCATGGAATTATATAAAGACTACATATTTACAGCTTAATTATGCAGTAAAATATTAAAGAACTGTAATTCAAACATCATATGATATGGCTTGGTTAATTTATGAGACTAAAATGTTGGCTATTCGTTAGTAATTTCATGGCTTTGGACATAGAAATTTTGTTTCCCACATAAGATATGTTCTATATTTGTATATTTCTGAGTTACAGGGCAAATAGAGACTTCTCTTATGTATATGAGTCATCTCTGCCAATGATATACTTTATTACATTTAGTGTGTTTTGTCAAGTTTTATATATATTTTAAAAGGGTGCGGGTTAAAACATCATTTTGTAACCTTATTCCGATAGATCATGAAACTTTAAGCAATTATAGAACTTTTAAGTTGAAATCCTAGCATAATAATTTTCCTAAAATAAACACCTAACTGTTCTTCCCAAAGATATCAGGTTACATTACACTGTTTTTTTTTTCTAATCCTTATTTTTGAAGGGTAAAAAGCAAAACATTACACAACAAAACAAAATACCAAAATAAAAACCTAGCGCCTGAGTTTAACTTGTTATACATGGTTCTGTGCTGTAGCAGAATGTGTTTCTGGGCCACATGACAGAGAGATAGAGGTAACCTTGCAGTATTTTTTGGCATATCCCTTCTGCACCAGTCTCACTTGAGGGGCTGGTTACTTATTACCTTCTAAATCGAAACATTTAACTGCTGGGAATTCTTGACTATAAGGGAGTGAGATATTTTATATGTTAAAAAAGAAACAAAAGAAAGAAACTTGAGTTAGAATGAATTTTCTTTCCATAAATTAATAAACTCCAAATGTAACCTATATAGTTAGATTTTTAAAGTAAATCAACAGTGTAAAAGTAACATTATTTTGGTGAATATCATTTTTGTGAAGCAAAGTTCTTTGCTTTGAGCGCATTATCTTTTTTTTTTTTTTTTTTTTTTTTTTGAGACAGTGTCTCACACCATCACCCAAAGCCGGAGTGCAGTGGTGCAATCTCGGCTCACTGCAGCCTCCACCTCCTAGATTCAAGCAATCATCCTGTCTCAGCCTCCTGAGTAGCTGGAATTACAGGTGTGCACCACCATGCCTGGCTAATGTTTTGTATTTTTAGTAAAGATGGGGTTTCGCCACGTTGGCCAGGCTGGTCTTGAACTCATGATCTCTAGTGATCCACCTGCCTTGGCCTCTCAAAGTGCTGGGATTACAGACTGAGCCACCATGCCTGGCCTAGTGAATTATCTTTATCTCCATTTTATAACTGAGTCTTCCAAGTGAAAATGCATGGAACCATTTAATTAAAGAAAGAAAATTACTCATCTAAAAACAATAAATGCACCTCTTCTTGATGTTTGAACCAAATTTTTGATCTAGTCCTCAAGTGTACTTCATCATCATATTTATCATTATTGTCAATTTCCAGAACTTCTATTACTTGCTTCCCTTCCCGATTTTACCTGCCGGCTACTGTGCAAGCAAACACTCAACGGATATTGTTCCCATATCTCAACTTTCAAGGACATTACAATGACATAAAAATATTTGCTGAATGATTATCACGTTTCAGAAATGCTTCTAAAATTTGCATGTGTTACTTCATTTAACCCTTACAACAATTAAATAAAGTATTTGTCTTTACTATCTGCATTTCTCACAGGTGGAAACTGAGACTTAGAGAGCAACAGTGACTTGCCTGTTATCATTCAGTTAGTTAATGAGGAGCCAGAAGTGCATCTGGAGCTAGTTCTTTAATCAAAGTAATAGACACACTATCAAAATACAATACTTAGAAAGACATGAATACATGAGAAATAAACGTATATAGTTTACCTATAATGTTAAAAGCATATTTGTAGAGATAATGGAGTCTTAGGAATCATTTGTTCAGAAACTAAGAATTTTCAAAACCAAAGTTTTATACTTGATACAGCATGTCCAAGGTTTGAGAATGCACAAAGAGATTACTCTGGGTGTTCTTTTAGAAAAGGCCTAGGCATTGTCTAATGGAATGTCTGGGATTATTTGATTGTAAAGGAGTGTTCACATTTGATTAACTTTTTATTGACTAAGCTATTTTACAACTCAGTAGGGGTAGACGTCAGCCTGTAGAAAACAAATAGCAATGCAAATGATTTTTGTCCATAGCAAGGCAAACAAATTTTGTTGAGTAGAGAAACAATTGATTTTCATCCCATAAAAATATAACCCCAAATATCACATTTTTATTGCCAAACATGAAAACACCACATTTTAAAAAATTTCATATTAAGTTTTGCATCCATTGGCAAACTCATTTTTAGTATTATTGACTGCCAATATATATGCGTCTTTAAAGTTCTTTTTTGAACCAGTCTTAACATCTTATTGGATTCCTCATTAATTAAAAGGTAGAATGAAATCTTTGGCACATGATCATTTATTATTTGCTTGGGGGTTATGCTTATAACTTTTTGAAAATTATACTTTGCTAAGCATTATAAGGTTAAAACAAAAGAAAAAAGGTCAAAAGCAAGGTGACTAAATTTTATTGTGTGCCTGCTATGAGTCCAGGATTTGGCTAAATCCTTTCATACCAGAGCTATGTTAATTTTTACCATAACTCTATGTGGTACCTATTAATTTCATCACTTACAAATGATGGGACAAAGACTGAGAATGACTAAATAATAACTCCAGTGTCCTGTGCTCTAAGTAGTAAGTGGGAGAAGAGAGGATTTGAATCTACATCTGTCTTACTCCACAGAGAAATTCCTGTATATTCTCTAGGCTCAGGACACCACATAAAAGAAAACAAAAAGCTGAAATCAATGATTAGTATATGATGACTAGCCCAGGGTAAAGATGCTCTTTTACAGTGAAAGGTAGGTAAGTAACAAGATGTCTGATGTGTTTATTAAAAATAGCCACTGATAATGATGATACTGCTCTTTTAAAGGACAACACTGGAAAGTAACCTGGATATTCCAGAGTTCAAACTCCCTTCTATCATTATTGTCTTCACTATTCCTTCATTTGCATAGAGTGTACTCTTCTTTGTCTCGAGAGTTTTCAGCTAAAGTTGTCTAGAATTAACTCTTGTAAATTCTATCTAAAAATCTGAAGGAGGAGCCTCTTTTAGGCAAAAGTTATCTGAAATTTTTTAAAAATATGAACTTTATTATAAAGTAAATCATATTCCTGTAGCATAGTAAAAAGAGAGAGAGCTGGTCGCTGACAGATCTGCACTGGAATTTCAGTTTTGACACCTATGATCTGTGTGAACATGGACAAGTCATTTAAAAATTTCAACCTTAATCACCCCACTTGAAAAGTTGATATGAAAAATCTTATTTGGATTTGAGATGAACTGGGTAATAAAGAACATATAATTATGACAAATATATAGAAGCCATTTAATAAACAGAAGTTTGAAGTAACATCTGGCCTTCAGAGAAGGCATCATTGTATAATTGTTTCCTTTTTTTGTAAAATTTCAAAAGTTTGGCAAAAACGTCTTTGGACAAAGAGATACATAATTATACTTTTGTCATATTAGTTAAACATTTTTGTTTTATTTGGGAAACTACGCTTAACCCAATTTCTGGTTTCCGTATATGGAAATACAAGCCTACATAATTCTAAAAAGAGACATTTGTATTTATTTAAAATTACAAATTATATTATGTGCCTCTTAGTTCCCAAATATTTCCCAAGTTTTAGCAATTTTTTTCTTCAAAGCTAATTTAACTGATAGTATCTAATACTTATATAATATATTTCCTATTGCAAATATTTTAGTTCCAGGAAAGAGAAATTCTACTGAAAATTTATGATCACTTTTCTGCAAAATATTAGTTATATTTACAATGATACTTTTAGTAGGTAATACATAGGTATACATATAGGCTAATATTATGTAGGTGCATATTTCATTTAGTTATTTTCATTTTAAAAATGATTACCTGACTGAATAGTATTCCGTTGTGTATATATACCACATTTTCTTTATCCACTCATCCACTGATGGACACTTAGGTTAATTACATATATAGGCTATTGTGAATAGTGTCACAATAAACATGAGGGTGTAGGTACACCCTTTGATGTACTGATTTTTTTTTTTTTTTTTTGATAAATACCCAGCAGTGGGATTGCTATATGCTGTGTTAGATCTATTTTTAGTTTTTTGAGAGATCTCTGTACTGTTTTCCATAGTTGCTATACTAATTTAGAAGAAAGGAACAAGTTCCAATGTTTGATAGCAGAGTAAGATACCTATAGTTAACAACGTTTTGCATATTTCAAAATAGCTAGAAGAAAAAACTTAAAATGTTCCCCACATATAGAAATGATGAATATTCAAGGTGATGTATGCCTTAAATACACTATTTGATCATAACACATTTTATTCATGTAAAAAAAATCATACATACTCCATAAATATGTATAAATATTATCTATCAATAAAAATAAAAACAAAAAGAAAAATTTTGAAAAGCATACATTTTTTATAGTTTAACATGAGCTTACAAAAGATTTTGACTACCTAATGTCTTCCTAAAAGAACAGAAAATGCTCACTTTTGAACAGTCCATTAATTCATATTCGATACACAAAATGACAAACTTAAGCACAGGCAGTGCTGTGGTTTGAATGCTTATTGCCTCCAAAACTCATGTTGAACCTGGTTGCCCGTGTGTGTATGTTGGGATGTGGGATCTTTGGGAGGTGACTGGGCCATGAGGGCTTTGCCAGTATGCGTGCGATTAATGCTGTTACAAAGGGCGGGTTTGGACCCCATTTGTCTCTTTGCCCTTCTGCCTTCCACTGTGTGATGACGCAGCAAGTAGACCCTTGCCAGATGCAAGCACCTTTATCTTAGGCTTCCCAGCCTCCAGACTCATAAGAAAATAAATTTCTGTTCATTATAAACCATCCAGTCTCAAGGATTCTGTTAGAGCTGCGCAAAATGAACTAAGCCATGTGGGTTCTGCCTGCAGAATGTGAGGAAGTGGAGGGATGCATTTCTGAGACACAACACGCTAAAATGCAATTTGTTAATTTTAAGTATTCTGTATGCTGCAAACATGCAAAGAGGATGTCAAAATAAGTTCTGTCAGTACCAATTAAATGTTATTTCACCAGTATATTTCTCACAATGCCAAAAGTAGGAGTAAATCTAGTGAAATTATGTGTGGAGCCATTTATTTGGCTTGTTATTCATGTCGTTGGTTAACTTTTTCGTGGAATAGTATAAACAACAATGTTTTTGTTTTTGTGATTTTCAATCTAACATAATTCCTGGTCTCTAGGCCTAATCAACCTGAAGCAACAATAAAAAGATAGATATAATAGAAAAATTTATTTTTCTGAACCCCAGCTGGCTATATCACTGAGACTCCTGGCCTTTTAAGTCTCCTTTTCACTTTCACAAAGTCTCCTTGTTGGATATTAAAATTACCTTCATGCTGCTCTTTGCCTTGTAAACTGGTCACTCTAATACGCAATTCCCGTTGTCCCTATCACTTACCCAGGAGTGTTTTAATGTTGCCCTGGGGTTTAATCTCATTGTCACTGTTTAGTTACTGAATTCATAGTTCCTTCTGCAATTTGTTATTCTTCCCCTCCTCTTCTTCTTTCGATTTATTTTCCTTTCTCTTTCTCTTCCCCCTTATTTTTTTCCTCTTTTTCATTTTTTCTCCCTCTCCCTCATCCTGTTTCCCAATCCTTCTCTATTTCCTCCTCTCCTTCTTCCTCCTTCTTTTTTGTCACCCTGTCACACTCCTCCTTTCCCTCCCATCTTCCTCTCCTGCCCCTCTGTCTTCCTTCTGCCCTTCCTCTGTCTTCTTCTTTCACTGTCTCCTTCTTTACTTTTCTTGCTCCCCCTCCACCTCCTTCTCCACCTTCCCTTCCTCCTCCTCCTCTTAATTCTCCTCCTCTTTTTCATTCTTCTTTTTGAAAATGGATCTTTAATGAGAGGAGAAAGGGTATAATTAGGAAGTCATGGCAACTGTGAAAATAAATCTGCTGAGAAATAAAATAATTTCATATTTTTGAAGTGTAAGTACAGTGGCATAAGTGTTTATAACACAGTTCCTTCCTGTAGAAGCTTAGTGGACAAAATTGAGATAACTCACACAGCTTCCAGAACTTTCCAATGGGAGCAGCTGGATAAGAAAGATAATATGCACAGAACAAGTAACTTATATCAGAACTTCCTCAAGAGTTGGTTCCCAGCAGCTCAAAATCTTAAAACACAAAGGAACAAGTCAGTGTTCTGTTTGGTCTTGTTTGAAGTGATGATGAGCAAGATGTTGCATTTGAACCTTCCTCAAGTTGTCACCATGTTAAAGGTAGGATCAGGACCCAAGGTTCCATTAGTCTTTATGTTAATAATCTTTAGATTTTCCAGTTGTTTGAGGCACATTCTCTTTGTATTCTTAGAAAAGACTCACAGGAACAATATTTTATGTTTCTTCTATTTCAAACAGGTTATCTGCGGATTTTATGTTTAAAGATAAGTTTGGCATAGGTATAAAATTTGTGAATTCTATTTTATTTTTTTCAGTATTTAAAATATGTTACACCATTGACATCTAGCATAAAGTGTTGCTTTTTAAAAAGACTAAAAGCAATCCGATTTTATCGCTTTAGGAGACTTGATTTGTTTTTTGCCAGTAAGAAAAGATTTTTAAAGTTCAATAGTTTTACAAAAATATGTTTGGTGTTGGCCATTTTAGGTCAATTTTCCCACTTAAGTAGTTTCAAGTTTTTTATTACTGGGACTTTTGTTGTTGTTGGTTTTTTTTTTTTTTTTTTTTTTGAAACAGAGTCTTGCTCTGTTGCCCAGGCTGGAATGCAGTGGCATGATCTCGGCTCACTACAACCTCTGCCTCCCAGGTTCAAGCAATTCTCCTGCCTCAGCCTCCTGAGTAGCTGGGATTACAGGCACCCGCCACCATGCCCAGCTAATTTTTTTGTATTTTTAGTACAGACAGGGTTTCACCTTGTTGGTCAGGCTGGTCTTGAACCCCTGACCTCGTGATCCACTTGCCTCAGCCTCCTAAAGTGCTGGGATTACAGGTGTGAGCCACCGTGCCCGGCCTGGGACTTTTTTTTGATCTATGATTTTCAACATTGTTGTGTTCCATTGCTATGGGTTTGGAGGACATTTGTTATATGTTTCTTGAATTTCCGTGTTTTCTACCTTTATCATTATATCCAAATTCTTCTTATTCTTTCTTCATGCATTTTGCTTTTAAATTTTTTCTCCTTTCCATCTTTCATTTTTCTAAAAGCTTCATCTGTTATGCTTTTGTGCTATGTTGGTTTTTTAAAAAAATAATTGGTTTATTAAAAAAATAATATTTATTTCTAATTCTTGCCTTAATGCTGTCACCCCTCTTTTTATATTTTCCTCTTCCCCAAACATCTTAGTTTTGAGTTTTTTTCTAAATTATAAATTTCTGTTCTTTTCCAGTTTCTACATATATTATTTTGTTTATATTCATTTTGATATATTAAAAGGCAGTTTAAAATTGTTTTGAAGGCAGGACTTAGTGGCTAGCTTTTATTTTCTATAGGGGCATTATAATTATTTAAAAATGGAAATTAGAATTCTATATATTTTTATCTTGTTCATTTTTTGCATAAGATGAATTTTCATGTACTTTTTGGAAAGGATATTGGGGTCATGATTTCTTTTCCATCTTCAGGGGCTCTAGAGCTCCTTTCCCCCCCCCCCACCCCCCGCCCACAAAGCAATGAAAACATATGGCATTTCATTTTCTTCGAGTTTGTCGTTGTTGCATTTTGCTTAATAGTGAGGCTGAGGCAGGGCTCAGTGGCTCATGCCTGTAATCCCAGCACTTTGGGAGGCTGAGGAGGGCAAATCACCTGAAGTCAGGAATTCGAGAGCAGCCTGGCCAACATGGTAAAACCCTGTCTTCTACCAAAAATACAAAAATTAGCTGGGCGTGGTGGTGAGCACCTGTAATCCCAGCTACTCGAAAGGCTGAGTCAGGAGACTTGCTTGAACCCAGGAAGCAGAGCTTTCAGTGAGCTGAGATTGCTCCATTGCGCTCCAGCTTGGGTGACAAGAACAAAACTTTGTCTCAAAAAAAAAAAAAATAGTGAGGCTGAGTATCTGCTTAATAGACCTTCCTCTGCTGTATTTCCTTATTTATACATTAAATTTTGTAGTATTTGCTATTTTCTTTTTTTGTTTGTTTGTTTTTTGTTTTGAGATGGAGTCTAGCTCTGTCACTCAGACTGGAGTGCAGTGGTGCAATCTCGGCTCACTGCAATCTCTGCCTCCCAGGTTCAAGCCGTTCTCCTGCCTCAGCCTCCCGAGTAACTGGGATTATAGGCGCGCACCACCACATCCAGCTTATTTTTGTATTTTTAGTAGAGACGGGGTTTCACTGTGTTGGCCAGGCTGATCTTGAACTCCTAATCTCGTGATCCACCCGCCTCGGCCTCCCAAAGTGCTAGGATTACAAGCGTGAGCCACCGTGCTGAGCCTGTATTTGCTATTTTCTACTTACATTGTAAACACGCATAAAATGAGATTTTGTTGTTCTTATTGGTCTGTAAATGATTTTGAAGAATGTGTAAGATCTCCTAATTCCTACATAAATATGTTCCACCAAAATGTAAATATAATCAAAAATTACCTGATTATTTGAAATTTTAAAGTAAATTTAGAACAGCATTCATAATAATTTTGTGTTTACACTACAACATAGTGCATTTCCAATATCTGTAGTTTTATTCTGTGAATTGGTTGGAAAAAACTCTAATTTTGAAAGTAACCTATATTTTATTGGAAGCATTTGGTAACACTTATATACAAACAGGATATAAGTGGATATATCCTGGATCCACAAACAGGTTATAAATATCCACAAGCAGGATATATTAATATCCACAAACAGGATATTATTTATATCCACAGACAGGATATATTTATATCTACAAACAGGATATAGATATTAGAATAACCAATATACAAACAGATATTGCTTTTCCAATTATACATAATAAAACTTGGTTTGAAAATAAATGAACTTAGAAGAACAGTCATTTGATCTAAATGAAAAGTCACCTCCTTTAGCTTCTTTGTAAATCTGTAGTCTTATGCATGGTCTCCTTAAAACAACTTCTAATCACAATAAGATGTTATTATTTCTTTAGTAAATTTGTGTATTCTGGTTTTTGTGTAGTCAGTAATATCCTTAGAGCCCCATAGTGAATGACATATATGCTTAAACATTTAGTTGATGTTTCGTGTCCATCATCAACCTTTTGAGATACAGAAATTCTGTATTTTTTATTAATCATAAACTTTCATATTTTTGAGCTCATTCTCAAAAAGATTTATTTGCATGCAATGAAATCATTATATATTTTCACCCTACAATAAATGGTAGAATTATTTAAATAAGTGCACTCCAACTAATGTTTATGCAGTCTACAGTGTAACTGCTCTGCCTCCATATTCTAAAAACATATCTCATGATTTCCCGCAATATTTACTCACCACATTAACTGGCAGTTTTGCACATCTTTTAGGCCAAGGCTATTGGTGGCAAGGTAGTTAGGTGTACCTTGTAGGCCAAAATGTGGGACATGGAACAATTGTCTGGTATGCAGATAGCTTACAAAACCACCCATCATCAAATGCTTCTCTCACCAGCTCTAGAAGCTGAGAGGGAGCCTTTAGCTACTCCTCTTAGAGCACACTTATCAATAAGTAACTTGCATGTTGTCCTGGAATGTGTTGTTAGCTAGATTGTATCTGGAAAGGGTCAGGCAAAGCTAGTGGAACTCAATTCACTATACATACGACTCATGCACTCCTAGACAGAGTGTGGTGAACTTGAAGTGTAAGAGATGTTACGTCTTAATTTAATGAAACTATTGAAAATAATTTTCTGAAAAAATGAAAGCAAGAAAACAAACAAGATACTTCCTCAACCAGACAAAATACAAAGATGGCAGGTATAAGCTGGAACATTTATTACTGAACAAACTGGCATGTGTGGTCATCCTAATCACATATCTAGTTCCAAAATAGTCTTCCTTTAGTACCCAACAGTGATTGATTTTTAGGCCTCAGGCCCCCAACCTAGGAAACCAAAATTTGTGAAGACTCAAGTCCCTTACATAAAATGGCATGGTATTTACATGTAACTTATACATATTCTTTAAATCATCTCCAGATTACTTATATTACCTAATACAATGTAAATGCTATGCAAATAGTTGTAATACTGCCCTGATTTATTCCATTTGCATTATTTTAAAATTTTTGTATAGTTATTTTAATTTTTTGACTGAATATTTTTATTTATTAATTAAAAAAAAATTTTTTAAGAGATGGAGTCTCACTATGTTGCCAGGCTGGAGTGCAGTGGCTATTAGCAGTCAGGATTATAGTGCACTACTTCCTGAACTTCTAGGCTCAAGTGATCCTCCAACTTCAGTCTCCCTACTAACTGGGACTACAGGCGCCAGCCATCGCCCCTCCCCACCCCACCCTGAATATTTTGGATCCATGGTTAGTTGAATATGTGGAAGTGAAACTCAAGATGCAGCCAACAGATACAAAGGGCCCGTTAAATATACATGGCTGTTTCTGGGGTTCCTATTCTCTTTTGGACTCTTGGATCTCCCCTTCCTCAATAGCTGATACAGAAGTTACCGCCGCCTGATCTATCCAAGAGACCAGCTGCCCTGAACTTGTCCTAACGCCTGTTAAGTATCCGCATTACAGGTATGCCTATCTTAATTATGAGTCCAGGTAAATTTTTAGTTTATTCATTCTATAATTTATCAAACACTACTATGTATTTGGTGCATATCATGCATGTCAAAGTACATTTATTTGCCACGGGGACTAGAAGTCTCAAAGATTGTTTCCAGAGAAAACATTTATCTTTTTCCCACACTGTAATGTCAAAAATGTTAAATTATAAAACACCTCTTTTCATGTTAATGTAATGTTATCAAACAAAATTGGCTACCAAATCATTCTTAATTAATAAAGACTTCTTTATAAGTTCTAACATCATAAGAAATAAAACAAAATTTAAAGACATTTTTGATTTGAAAGAGTCATATTTAAATGAGAATACATTTGACCATTTCTATTTGTATATTTAGTCTTCATTGTAAAAATAATTGTTTTGAATAGCAATAATTCTGGACTATTTAGCAAAACTAAACTGTCAAATTTCTTATCAACATGTAACTGGATATTTATTTTTTCCTCTTGCTTCATACCAACCTTCTATGATCATATTTAACACATTAAATATGCAAATATTATCTGGGCTAATGAATATAGAGTTATGTGAACAAAATGACAATTAGAAATATAATTGTTAACAGGTTGTTTTACTCTTTCTTTGCTGTACTTTTTGGATAATTCTGTTATGGAATATTTGAGGGTAGAGTGATTATAAATTCATATGATTTTTGTTATACAGAAAGGAATGTATTAGGTAACAATTTATGGAATTTTGAAAACGCTGTATTTCCTTAAGATATGTTTGATATATTAAAGCTAAGTACGGGTTTTGAAAGACTTGGAAGTGTATCATTTAGCTGCAATGAATCAACTCAGTCACCCATTTCATATAATTAATAAAAAGAGTAATTATTATGATTGAATAATAGAATTTGGACATGAGATAAAAGAATTCTCACTGAGGAACCAGTGTTAGTAATGTCATGGGTTAGGAATGCTCAGGTTAACAGCACCTATTTTAGTTTGAAAATAGTGTTCTGGATATGATGAGCATTTGGAAGATAGGAAATGGAGATAGGAGACCAATTATGGAGGGCTTTGAATGTTAGACAAAGAGCTTTATCCTCTGTGCCAAAGGGAGAAACAGACAATTTTTATTTGAGGTTATATCATGATCAGATTTGTGCTTCAATGAGATAAATATGCTGTAAACCCAAGTTGGAAGAACATTTAGAATGCCAGTGTTTAAGAAAGGTAATGAGAATAGTGTCTGTGGACATAAAGAAAAGGGAATAGAATAAAAAAAATGTGCAATTAAAATGAGAAACTGAATGAGAAGACTTACAAAGGGAATGTTAAAAAAAAAAGGAGAAAAGATTGTTTTTGAGCCTGGATGATGGAAAGGTGATGGTATCAATAAGATAAATCAGTAGCATACAAATAAGTATAGTTAGAGGATGAAGATAACATTTAGTGTTGAAAATGTTTAATTTGTGGCATTGATAGGACGTATAGGTAATTGCCATTAGGCTGCTAGAATTGTGGCTATATATTTGCTTCTTCATACAAACACTTGCAAAAGAAATCCAAAGCTTCTATTGAAAACCAAAAGAAAATTATGTTAGCATCACTGTCAGGAAATTGTAATGTACAAAATATGTATTTTGTACATTACAATTGTATGATTTGTACAATTATGTACAAAATATGTACAAAATACGTATTTTGCAATGTCCTTTGCATTCTTGTTTAAATTCAAATACAAGGAATTTACTATATATTCAGTATGTATTTGGGAAATCTTGATAGTCTAGCTAAAATACAGCACACATGCTACCACAGTTTAGTTTTATTGCCAGACTTGGGGAACATTTAAACTCAGGACCCACCACAATGCCTGGAATTTAGTAGGTCCTCATGGATGAGGATGAAAGGATAAATGAATCAATAGATGAGTGAACACGTTTTTGGTCTTTTGAAGCTATGGAGGTCATTGGTGTTCTCTTTTTTGTTATAGTGTTGAAAGAGAATGTGATAGGAATACATGATGAAAGTTGGAAAAAGTTACATTGCTTAAATATAACTAGACTTCCCATAGTTGATCAGATTAAAGCCCCAGAGTCTCTTATGGTTAATCTGAAGATTTATGAAGCTACAAATTTGTTTTCATTTCCTCATTTACATAACTGTATGAAACACAGGAGAGTGGCATGTGATTGATATATATCCCCAAGTGAAATATAAAGCCAAAATTATTATTAACATTAGACATTTCTTAAAAATAATTATCTATTCCACCCATGTCTATCCACATAGGGTAATTGTTTAGCTGCCAATGACAACTGGAAAAAAAAATCACTATGTGAAGATTCATTGATTTAGGTACATTTCTACTTGATTGCAGGTGGATGTCAGAATAGACCATAGGAAAATTCTTTGTACTTTTTGGGTCTTTAGTCCACCTTGCTGTTCATTCTTTGGATTCCATTTCTTGTTTACACTATAGCATCATAAAGCTGATGATAACGATTTTAAATCTCATGATCTCCTACAAAGCTTTGCCAGCCAAGAGGAGGAAATGGTGGTGTTTTATCAATTCTGATGTGCTACCAAGTGCTTTCTGGTATTGCAAGAGTGTTTTGGATTGATTGTGTCCCCTCTGAAAGAATATATTGAAGTTCTAACCCCCATTACCTCAGAATGTGACTTTATTTGGAGTTAGGTTGTTTGCAGATGTAATTAGTTAAGATGAGATCATACTGGAATAGGATAGGGACCCTAATCCAACATGACTGGTGTCTTTGCAAGAAGATGGCCACGTGAAGACAGATACACACAACGATTTCACCATGTGATGATGAAGGTAGAGATTAGAATTATGCAGCTGCAAGCCAAAGAATGTCAAAGATTGCCAGCAAACCACCAGAAGCTGAGAGAATGCAAGGAAAGATTATCCCATACATTTCAGAGAGATCATGGTCCTGATGATATTTGATCTCTGACTTTTAGCCTCCAGAAATATGAAATAATAAATGTCTATTGCTTTAAGCAGTTGAGTTTGGTGGTACTGTGTTATGGCAGTACTAGGAAATTAGAGAGCAAAATACACTCTGGGGCATAAAATGCTAATGTTTATAGTCTCCATTACATTTTCATGGAAGTGACAGTTGGATAGGTGTGGCCACAAACTTGTGCTTCAGAATTTCCTGTATTTTGAAAAACCATGACTCCAATAATAGGTTAGTATTCTAACAACGTCCCTTGACATTTATTTCCAGATATTCCTGTCAGCTCCATCTTCTGTTTGTTTTTAAAAGATGCAACTACTGTTAAGAAACCACTTACCAAGCTATGATTTCTATGAATCATTTAAAGCCATTGGAAGCTGGACTCAAGGATATCAAATTCACTTTAGGTTTATGCAGCTCAAGGATAGTTTTTAAAAGGAATGACTTGTGTAGTTTTCCAGGATAATGAGAACTCATCATATTTTATGAAAACTGACATATTTATTACTCTTTCATACTCATTAATTATTATGTAAAGTCTTCTGACATGAAAAATCTAGTCATTAATTTTTCCTTGCTTGAATTTTGAGATATATAATTAATTTTTATTTCCTTGGGCTATGCAAGTTTAAGTAATTATTTTGGGAGAATATTTTTGGTGAGAGAATCTTATAGAACTTCACAATATCCATTTATGATTTTATTTACATTTAATTTCCTAAAAATGTATGAATTTTAACTTCACAGATTTCCTATTGAATATAGTAAATTAAAGATTCACAGAAAATCAATAACTTGTTAGCAAACAATGAGCATAATTCATCCTTTTATCATTTTTCAACGTCTGTTTTAAACTGTTTTATGTAAAATATTTCTATTTCCCTGTGACTCTGTTTTCCTGTCTACTGCTGTCCTTGTCTGGTACAAGAACAGAAAATTTCTTGTACCCTGTTCCACTGAAAAGTTATTTTTGCTATAATTATTCCTAATACATATGTAATATGCTAGGCAGATACGTAATATTATTATATATCTAGATGACATGTATTCAGCTAGTTTTTTTTCAATTCATATATCTTTATAGATGGAGAACTTTAAAAAATACAGAATCACACAAAGTTGTAGAAACTATGACATCAGGTACTGTTAAGGTCATCGATCGCACTTCTGTACTAAATAAGAAAAATGCATTGGATAATGGTTTCTTTCCATATTGTGTTTGTGTGTGTATGTACGTGTGAATAATTGATGTGTACAGCTTCTCACTCACACAAAAGTATTGAATGAAATATCCTTTATTTTAGAAAGGAAAGTACCAATGATTTTGATACATTTTGAAGGTCAGCAATGTTCAGCGTAGAGCAATATGTGGAGAACAATAGCTCCTTAGAGAGTGGAAAACATGGTACTCTCATTATCCATAATCTCAGCTGGTCACCATAGTAACAGCATTTTATTTTCCAAGATGTAAGCCTTTATAGTTCTGGAGAATTCACTTCCTAGGCCTCCAGACACTTCAGCGGCATCTAGTGGCTGAGATTTCAGCTGAATTTTTTGCGCTTTACCGCCTGCTACATTATGTTGAAAAATTGATGTCATGCACATGTGGCTAACTATGCCTATATTTCTCACTCATCATGATGGGCGACTATAATTTTTCAAAGAAATATTTGTGGGTTTCAGTCCAATAAAAGGGTAAAAATGTAAGTACAAAAAGTAATTTTATTAGTAGTCCTATTAGAAAGAATTTTTCAGGGGAACTGGGGAGTGGTAAGAGGCATTGTGTATTTTCTGAATATAGAAGGACTTTGGAAAGTTGCAGTTTCCAGAGATGATTAAATGTTTGCTCAGAGAACTATTTACAACTATATAGAACTATTTTCTGGAATGTCTAGGGGAAGGATGTGTTAAAGATTCAACAATTTCACCAGTGAATTCTGACAGTAATTAAATCGTATTTACCCATTTTCACTTTCTGATTCACGTATCTGCCCTTTACTATGCAACTTTTAGAAATTAATGAGTGGAAGAGTGGCTATTATATATTTCATATACTAACTGGAGTCTAACTGAACTTGATTGAAACAGGGCAATTCAGAGCCCCTGTTTTACCCTCAGGGAGGTAGTATGGGATGTTTGAAAAGACAAACACTAGAATGATACCCAGGTATAGTCTTGCTTCCACCATTTCATAGGTATTTATGCTGGAGCAAAATCTACAGCAGTTGTTCTCAATCCTGGCTAAAAAATCAGTACCCTGACTCTTCTCCGGACTAATTGAGTCAGAATCATTGGAAGTGGAGTCTGACCATAACTTGAAAAAAAAATCTGAGCAACCACACATTGGAATTTCTTGATGTGCTTTTTAACTAGTCACTTTTCTAACTACACCTTACTCCTCACAGTGTGGACCACTGATCACCAGCATCACTTGGCAGCTTGTTATAAATTAATACACATTTAAGTTTGTGAAGCAATGAAAACCCATAGTTTCCAATTCAGAATGTCTGGGTGAACCTAGGAATTTATGTTTTTTGAAAACTTAGGTGTTTCTGTGTGTGCTTAGTTTCCTGTTATAGCTGACACTGTTACCTAAAAGTTACCTGGGAGGATTAAATGAGGACACAGGTAAAGTACTCTGTGAGTTCCATGTTCTATATAAATATTGTTACTCATTTATTCACTAAGTCAACCAATATTTATTGAGTACCTACTGTATCTCAAGTGCTATAACAGGGAAACATAAAAGAGGAAATTTGGATGACACCCAGGGCTAAAATCAGTCTTGGAAATAGGTACTTCTTAGTTTATAAGTGTTTTTTTCTAACATTTTTTACATTCTTATCTTATACATATCAGATAAATTTTAACATAAATGAACAATATGATTTCATCATAAATTAACAATATCATTTCTTTGATATTGTTAATTCCTAAAGTATGAGATGAATGCATATCATGTGTCCAAATCGGTATTTATCTTAGTGGAAATTTTTCTTAAAAGATACAACATATTCTTTACCTTTAGAAATGTATATATTAATGTAGAAGATTGTAACTGGACCCCTTCCTTACAGCATATACAAAACTTAAGATGGATTAAAGACTTAAATGTAAACCCTAAAACTGTAAAAAACCCTGGAAGATAACCCAGGAAATACAATTCTGGACATAGGACCTGGCAAAGATGGCAGGATGAAAATTGCATCACAACCAAAAATTGGCAAATGGGACCTAATTAAACTAAAGAGCTTCTGCACATCAAAAGAAACTACCAACAGAGTAACTTATAGAACTATCAACAGACAACTTACAGAATTGGAGAAAATATTTGCAAACTATGCATTAGACAAAGGTCTAATATGCAGCATCTACTAGGAACTTAAACAAATTTACAAGCAAAAACAACCCCATTAAAAAATGGGCAAAGACATGAACAGACACTTTTCAAAAGAAGACATGTTGTGCAGCCAACAAGCATGTAAAAATATGCTCATCATCACTAATCAGAGAAATGCAAATCAAAACCACAGTGATACACCATCTCACACCAATCAGAATGGCTATTATTAAAAATTAAAAAAGTAACAGCTGCTGGCAAGGTTGTGGAGAAAAGGCAACACTTATACACCACTGATAAGAATGTAAATTCGTTCAGCCACTGTGGAAAGCAGTTTGGAGATTTCTCAAAGAGCTTGAAACAGAATTACCATTTAACCCAGAAATCCCAACAACAATGGGTAATTCTGAATACTCACTGCAGTATTATTCAAATTAGCAAAGACATGGAATCAACCTAAATGCTCATCAACAGTGCATTTGATAAAGAAAATATGGTACATATACTCCATAGAATATCATGTGGCTGTAAAAAAGAATGAGATCAGGTCCTTTACAGCAAAATGGATGGAACTGGAGGCCATTATCCTAAGCATACTAACACAGAAACAGAAAACCAAATACCGCATGTTCTCACTTATAAGTGTGAGCTAAACATTGAGTACATATAGACACAAAGCTGGGAACAAAAGACACCAGAGCCTACTTGAGTGTGGAGGGTGGAAAGAGAGTGGGAATAAAAAAAACTACCAATTTTGTACTATACTTATTATCTTGGTGACAAAGTAATTTTTACACCAAACCCTCTGACATGCAATTTGCCTGTACAATAAACCTACACATGTACCCTTGAATCTAAAATAAAAAACAGAAGAAATGTATATATTAGATGAGTAAAGCATATAAATAAAGTAATTAATGAACAATACCAGAATAAAATTGTCAAGATGAACGAATTATAAACTTTTTAGTGATGTTATACATGTTTGAAGAAAATTGTATTGGATCAGGTTTCGGAAAACAGAATCTGATATGGAGAATTGTGTGCAGGAAATGTATTAGGAAGCTGTCTTGGAATGACACCTGCAAGAGAATGAGAAGAACAAGACTGGGTAAAAAGAGAGATCTAAAAGAGAAGTATTTGTACCAGATAACATTTCATCCAGGGAACTCTGAAACTGGAATGATTATTCAAAGATGTCCAGGAGGACAGGCATTTGTAACCCTGTATCAACAAGCCATTGGATGTGAATTTCTTCCAGGCGGAGGTGTAAACTTGGGTGAAGCAGCTCTCTTTGGCTGTGGGCAATTTTCAGAGACGGACTCAACTAAGGCACCAGGAGCAATGCTCACAGCCACTAAGTGGATGAGTTCTGAAGGGTAGAACCTGAAGAGTGAATTACCTTTATTACAAAAGCACCCATCTGTTTATATACACTTATTGGATCCCCTCAGCCTCATTTTCTTACCCAGATCCATTCTATATTTCAATGCTTTACTTTTGCCACTCCGAAAAAAGTCTTTGCCTTAGCTAAACTGGCCAGCTATTATAGGCCAGGCAGAGTGGCTGATGCCTGTAATCCCAGAATTTGGGGAAGCCCAGGTGGAAGGACTGCTTGAGATCAGAAGTTCAAGACAAGCCTGGGCAACATAGTGAAACCTCAAGTCTACAGAAAAAAAAAAAATTAGCTGGGCATGGTGGTGTGCACTTGCAGTCTCAGCTACTTGGGAGGTTAAGGTAGGAGGATTGCTTGAACCTGGGAGGGTGAGGCTCCAGTGAACCAAGATCATGCCGCTGCACTCCAGCCTGGACAATAGAGCGAGACCCTGTTGCAGAAAATTATACAAATAAAAATAATTTTAAAATTGGCAAGCTAAGCTCTTCCTCGAACATGTCTCAGATTTTCTCATGCTATGCTTTCGTTTTCTTCTGACTACTGGCCTGAAATTCTCTGGCTCCTTTTTCTCTAACTTTCTTGGCCTGCTAGTTAGGTTAACAACTGATTTAGGTACTAACTTTCCAACGAAAATGTCCAAGATGGGGATTCTCCGATTTGAATGTGCATGTAAATCACAAGACCTGGACATCTGCTAAAATGCATATTCTGATTCAGCAGGTCTAGGGTGGGGCCTGAGATTCTGCACTTCTAACAAGGTATGACCATATTGGTGCAGGTCACTGAAGAACTACCTTGCTTGTATTTTAGTAGTAGCGGTTTTATCTATAGCATCATTTACTGCATGTAACTTGTTTGTTTGTAGAGTATTATTATTTTGTGTTACTAGAAATTAATCCTCTAATGAAATTTCAGGCTTTTTTACATTATAGTAATTGTGTTTGATATTTTTCTACATTTCTCATAGCACTTAACATAGTGATAATATGGATTAAGAACTCTGTAGATATCTGTTGATTGATTTTATAAGAAAGTGCTACCATGTAGTTTGATTTTTCAAATTGATCATGTGAGTTTTCAGGTTTCGCATTGTTATGCCTGCTGAATGAGAACTGCTTTTAGTCATGAAGTTTTCTGAGTGCCAGTGGAACTGTCCTGGTTCTGCTCCCCACCCATCTCAAATAGCAAAATGTGCTACATCCCCACTGAAGATTTTTTAAAAATACTTCTTTGGCTATCTTCTTGAACTAAATACACATCACATTAGTCCAAGGAACAGGTGTCATATCTCTACTAATGTTCAAGGGCACAGAAAATAAAAATAATTTTAACTAAAGACATAAGAAAAGTAGAATACATTTTTTCCCTTAATTTCCCACAATAAAAACCTCACTTCTACATTTTCTCCAGTTTTCAAGAAACAGTGACATAGGAAATCTAATGATACCTGTCAATGACCCTTTTCTCTTTTTGGGGGCTGAGAAACTGGCTCATTATTGCTGAAGAACATCAACAGTTTATATTCTATTTCCAGGTAATACTTGACACCAACATTTGATTGATAGCTATAACAAAATGTTTATTCCAATTTTCTTACTCTGGTTAATTCCACCTCCCCATTTAGGTCCCTATTTGCCATCCATATACTTTTATTATTCTGTTGCTTTACTCTTGGTAAAAATGTAGACTAGAAGATGTAGCTCTTTTCCTGACTGATTTTAAATAAATTAATTAGAATGGGTACTTGCATAATCTAGAAACCTTATGTGTTAGGGATAAGCAAGTTAAACACCTCATTAGATGATTGTAAGTTGTGAATTTGTTGCTGAACCTGTGTCCATTAATGATGCAGTGAATTACAATTGACTGACTTGGGCTATTGTCCAGGTAGATGTTTTTGCTTTTGTGATCATTATAATTTTATATGTATTGGTATAGAGTTATTGGTATTCAAACTACAAAAGAATTCAAATGATGCTTTTCAGTATGCTTCAAATTCTCTGGGAAGCCAGGAGAGTTAATACTAAATATTTGATAAGGTACAATAATTTGAAAGAACTTTAATAAGCCCTTTTACTCAAAGACTACAGAATTGTGATGAGTATTGCTTGTTACTGGTTGACAGCATGTGTATACTCAGGAATTGGTTATTTTCTTGGAAACTCAGGCACAAGCATAGTTGTGCATATTGATGTTATACAAATCAAATATGTTAAAAGAGACTAGGTTAGCAGAGTCTCAATATTAAAAGGCTATGGTTGACTCTTTCTCTTGATCTTAATTTCTGTATCTCTTTATAATTGATTAATGTTCATTGGTATAGTAAGTATGAATAATTTATGATTCACATAGCTGCTGGGTTATTAATTGTTTAATTTCAGAGAAAGTAGCTATATATTAAAGAAATTCAAGTTGTCACTCATAGCAGCCAATTGAATTTATACACTTTGTTACTGCATAGTCCAGAAGTAGTGAGAGTATATCAGACATATACTCTGTGTTTCCTACAGTGCTTAAAAAGAAGAATATTAATGAGATGTTGAAGACATTTTTATAAGTAAAAATGGAGTAACTGATTTGGAATGGCTGAGGACTGTTTACTCTGGGTTGCCTCCCCACCTCCAGCCCCCTTTCTGCATTTTCTTCTGCCTCAGTGATTCCATGTAATGTGCCAACCATAAAATGAAGTTAATTGAATGAACAATACTCTTTAGAAGGAAACATAATTAAATATGAAAAAAAGTTGTAATTAACCTTATATACATGATAATCTCTTTAGAGTTTTGGCAAATGATTTTTAATTCTGAGACATTAAAATAAAAGACAATTTTATTAAAATTAAAGACAGTGATAAATTTGCTTCTTTTAGCAACCTGCATGGGAAAACATTACTGTCTTAGAAAAAGACATATTGTTCTTATCATAATTGGTAATAATTTTATTGTTCTTTACATTTATTGCTGAAACCAAAAGCTGATATAAACTATTTAAAATAAATGTTGACTGTCTACTCTTGTTTGGTAGAATAGTTTTAAATAAATTTAAAAATCATAGTTTTAATTAGCTATCATCAAAACAATTTGCAATGAAGAATTTTAAAATTTGAACAATAGAAACTTGAAACCTTTACCTTTCTGAAACATAAGTTTTAATGTTATATAGTCAAAGAACAGATTTTGAGAAATGATCCATGAGACTGATTTTGTGCATTTTAAAATATTTTGGCTCTGTGAAAAAAGTTTCACAGCAGGGAATAGGTAGGTAATATATTTCCTAAAGGTGAAGTGTGTTTTGGTATGAGAGAAACAGGATGATTTTAATGATTTATCCTCCTCCCCATCTTTTTCATCCATTTAGTCTGAACCGTTCCCCATCTCTGATGAGCTGCTTTAGAGCTCTCAATGCTAAGCCATCGAAGGGAGCCTAAGCTTAATGTTGGCACTTTGGTAAATATTGCTATTTTCATGTGTCCTTTCTTTAAAGAACTGGGAAGAAAGAGGATCAGAAAATGCTATATAATCTTAGAAAATGAAAGAAGAAAAGAACAAAATAGCATGGGTATGTTGAGAAAGGAGGGATGAATGGCATTTTAGTTACCTTGTTTGTATCTTGCTTTTCCTAGTAGACTGGATGCTCCTTAAGGGCATGATGGCCCACATTTAATTTTACTTTATATATTTTTTATGTGAATAAAATAGAGTTGTGGGCTGACATTTCCTTAGATCTTCACAGTGCTATACCTAACATGTCCTTCGCCCAATGTTAGACTTCCTGCCTCTTACTCTGCTTTCTTATATTACTCAATATTCTTAAATTTATGCATGCCACGTGTCCTCCTATACACATTAATTTAAAAATTAAGGTATTCTTGTTACTCTTTTGCTCAAGGCTACACTTTGCATTGGTGCAATTGATTGCTCCATCATTTCTTTTCTTTCTTATTTTCAGGACATTTTCCTCTCTTGTGGCTACTTCTTAGCTTAGTAAGGAGCTCATGGTTCAGTCACAATGACAGAATCAAGTGAAAAAAAAAAACAACAAACTTTACTTTGAGCACGCATCCAACCTCAACTATCTCTTCTCATCCTGGATCATCTAAGCCACTGAGGAAAGTCATTACTTACTACTCTGTCTCTGTTTTCCTTTTTCTCATTCATTTCTCAATGTTCTGCAGTCTGATGTTAGCTTCCCTGGTGCTCTGGAAAAGATCTCCCTTGACCTCTAGATGACTAAATCCAGTGAATATTTTTTGAGCCCTGTCTTTCTGGACCTGTCTGCCACTTGGCATTTTGATTCACTTTTTAATTAGACATAATTTTAAATTATAAGTAAGGCTCAAACAAATTGCTACTACTGCTGTCCTCCTTCTCGTCTTCAGGCAATGGTGTATTTTGTTGGGTTGTTCTGAATTTCTCTTTTGTGAATTGTCTGTATACATGTTTTGTCCATTTTCTTATTGATTTGCTTTATATGTAGAATATATTTCAGATTTAAAACTGTTCTTACTGGTATGAATTGCAAATGCCTTCTTTCAGGTATGTACGTATGGAGCTTTCTCCTAAAGAATTGGCACAGATTTTGTTGAACTATGCTATTTCTTTTTTTTTTTTCTCATTTTATTAATTTTTGTCCATTTCGTTGATTTTATTTCTTTTTTCTTTTCTTTTTTTTTTTTTTTTTTTGAGAGTGCAGTGGCACAATCTCGGTGCAGTCTCGGCTCACTGCAACCTCTGCCTCCTGGGTTCAAGTGATTCTTCTGTCTCAGCCTCCCGAGTAGCTGGGATTACAGGTGCCCGCCATCATGCCCAGCTAATTTTTGTATTTTTAGTAGAGATGGGGTTTCACCATGTTGGTCAGGCTGGTCTCTTACTTCTGACCTTAGGTCATCCACCTGCCTTAGCTTCCCAAAGTGCTGGAATTACAGGCATGAGCCACTGCACTTGGCCTGATTTGATTTCTTTTACTTTCTAAGACTTTTTTTTAAACTGTTGAAATTTGGATACTTAGTTGATTGATTTTTGGTCTTTTTTCCTTTCTGAATTTCTTTTCTAATATTATTGTTTAAAGGTGTATATTTTCCTCTAAATAACACTTGAGCTTTCCCAAAAGTTTCAACAAATAGTATTTTTGTCATTTCAAAGGTTTGTAGTTTTAAATATTTATTATTATTTCTTTCTTGAATGATGTGCTATTTAGAAATATCTTTGTGAATTTACAAATGTTTGTTTTGGTTTGCTTTTTTTCCCTTTTGATTTCAATGTAATTTTATTATATACAGAGACATGATGTGTATCATATTTCTGTGAAACATGACGCTTTCCCATGACTCTATGGAATTTTATGGTGAGGCTGTTTGGTGTAGTATGTGATCAATATTTAGAAATGTATCATATGTAAATGCAAGAAAAAGTATTGATTAATTGTTGGGTATTGAGTACTACTCAGGTCCATTGGAGTGAGCTTAATTATCTTATTCAAAATTTTTAAATTTTTACTAATTTATTGCCTTCTTGTTTTTTGATTATTGAGAAAATTTTCTTAAAAATTTTCTATCTTGAGTGTGAAATTTTCCTTTCCTATAATTTTTAATTTATTCTAATTTTAAGGTTATGAATTTGCTACTTTTTATTATCGTTAATTGCCACCAAGTAGACTGAAAATATCATTTTCTCCTTGCTACCTGTCTACTGACTTAAAAGTGAAATATTATTGACATTTTTTATTGACTATGCATGAAATTTTAACATAAATACCTGTATTAAAAGTCTGCTAACAATATAATTTTCATGTTTGCATTTCTAAAATTACATGTATTTTGTTCTCACTTTTGGATGATAGATTGGATATTGACGTTTGCCTTGAGGTTTATCTCAGCACATCAAAGATATAATTCTGTTGATTTTTGATTTTTATTGCTGCTTACTGGCAGTCTTATTTGTAAATCATGCAAAAGTGAGAACAAAATACATTCACATGCTCCTTCATAGGTAACGTGTTTTCTCTATGATTTCTTTTGAGATTTTTTTTTCTTTTTATTCTTTGTTTTACAGTTTTACTGCAATAGGTCTCAATGTGGGTTTATTTATTTAGCTTAAAGGAAAGTTGTGCTTTTTTTCAACTATTCATAAAATTTTAAGGTTTTATTTAATATGCATCTTTCCATTTTCTCTATTCTTTTATAGTAAAAATCCTATTAAATGTGTATTGGAACCATAGTTTGATTTTCCATGCCTCTTAGCTTCACTACCATTTTTTAAAAAAACTTATTTCTTTTCCTGTCTTGTTGCATTCCAAGTAATTTTCTGATTTATTTTTCAGTTAACTTTCTTTTTAGCTCCATCTATGTAGGCTGTTTTACCTACTGACCAATATTTTTTATTAAAATTACTCCATATTTCAGTTCTTAAAAATTAGAACCATTGTATTTCACTTTTTTTAATGTTTGCTTTTAAAACATGGAATCATGTAGCACTTCCTCTTTATGCTTTAATCACTTTAAATCTTTTTCACTTTATACAACCCCTATGATAATTATTAACTTTTCTGTAATTTCTAGAGCCCAACTTGCTGTCTTTTGCATTTGATAACTATTGGTCATATTGAGTGTTTCTTATGGTGTTTTGCTATTTTACCTTGCTTGTCTTCAAGGCTTGTTGTGTGGTTATCCCGAGAGTTTATTTTGTTTCTGTCACATGTCTCAGAAATATCAATAGCTTGTGTGACAGCTCTCATGCCATGCCATTTATGTGAATTTGAACCCCAAAATAATCTAAGGAGCAAGCCCATGATGACTATTATTAGAATCAAGGTTCTTGTTATATTCCTGTGCTTCTAAGCAGATGTTTTTTTCCCACATTACTCCTTCAATGAGAATATGTTATGCTCAGGGTATACATTTAATTTAGTCCAACTCTTTATATCTACCAATTTCTACATTTTCTTTCCTTTCACTATGTGGTCACTATATCCAAATGCCAAAATGATACTAACAACTTTCATGCTCATGTAACCCAAGACAGGGATAGTAGGAAGCTGTACAGTAAATGGTCTGGTTTTTATTTCACAATTTTACCTAGAAGTCTCACTCTTTACTTCCATAGTATCATGGAAAAAAATGGTTGCTGTTTGTTATTCTCTGAATGATTGTTGATTGAAATGAGCATAAGTTATTGTAGGCCTAGGATGGAATCAGGCCTAGTAGAGTAGAGGCTCAGGCTTGGTATAGGATTAGGCCTAGTACAGGATCAGGCCTAGTATAGGATGAGCAAATGCAGGCACAGAAGTCATGGTACAAACTGCTGAAGAAACACTGACTGTGAAACAGATCCAAAAAATTCCTTACTTGAAAAAATTCCAAGATGGAATTTATCTTTTAGCCACATGTCCCTTGGCATTACATTTATACATTGGTAATGTAGTGCTGAATAATTGTTCCCAAAGATGTAAAATTCTAATCCCTGAAACCTTTAAATATTCTTATTTGGAAAAAAGGTCTTTGTAGCTGTGATTAAATTAAGAATGTTGAGATGGGAAGATTATCCTGAATTATCAGATGTGCCCTAAATGCAATCACAAGTGACCTTGTAAGAGAGAGACAGAGGGAGAGCTGACACAGGCAGAAGAGAAGACACACACACACAGAGGAGGAGTTATGTGAAGATGGAGCATAGAAAGATTGACACAGGCAGAAGAGAAGACACACACACACACACAGAGGAGGAGGTGATGTGAAGATGGAGCATAGAAAGATTGGAAGATGCTGACCTTGGAGATTAGAGTGACACAGCCACAAATCAAGGAATGCTTGCAGCCACCAGAAGCTGGAAGAGGCAGGAAATGGAATCTCCTCTAGAACTTCTGGAGGGAGCATAGCCCTGGCAACACCTTGGTTTCTCCTCAGTGATGCTGGCTTTGGGTTTCTGGCCTCCAGAACTGTGAGAGAGTACATTTGTTTTATGTCACCAAATATGTGGCAATAAGATACAGTAAATTTAAGAGACTAATGCAGATATTTAACAGGCCTGCTTATCTTCAAAATTAGATATTGGAGCAGAGAACTAACCCTAATCATCTTATGCCTGCTCTAAATGTCTTTAGATGTGGTCTTACAATTCAAAGCACATACAGGTTAAGGTAGGTGCTCTATCATGATATGAAGGGTAAAAGCTCTGGATTTAGGATACCTGGATTTAAATCCTACCCCTTATGAGTTTTATCACTTTGGGCAAGTTACTTAACCTCTTCTAAGCATCTTCATCTACAAAATAAGGATAACAACAGTTATAACTTTGCAATACAACAGTTGCAACAACGCCTCTCATAGGAGGTGTTACAAAGATTAAAGTAGAGATAGTTCATATAATCTGAGCACATAAACAATACTCAGAAAATGTTAGCTAACATCCCAAGGTATTACCTTACCCTGACCCTAAGGTTATCCATACCTTAGTCCCAAAGTATGGATAATGAGCATTCTTTTCTCAGATTGCACCCACTCAACTGTGTTCTTTCATTTGCATTCATTTTGTTAATAAGGTGTAAAGGAATGTCATTCAGTATTTAAGTTTTTGTACCTAAACTTTTGAATTATTCAACAAAAGATGATGATGACACGTTTTCAAATATGACATTACGTCACAATTTGTTTACATTTACTCTTAATTTGAACCATTTTTGGCATAAACCATACTGTATTTCTATATCTGGAAATCTGATCAACCTGTGCTGGACTAACTTTTAAATAACATGTGTAAAATATTTAATTTTATGACTAATATCATCTAATTATATCTGATGCATAATATTACATTGCAGGGAGCAGGAAAATGCTAAATACATATTCCTGGACAATAACCATTTCTTGGGGGAGCTTCCTAATATCTAGCACAAAAATCGCTATTCGGTTCTCAAGGAGGTCAATGATTCTAAAATAATCTTTCAGCAATGTTATAAGGAAGATGAAAATATCAGACAGGAAAAAATGTTCTCTTCTCATTTATGCATGGTTGGGACATTTGTAGGCCTGAGTTATGAGTTATGCAGCAGACAAACCAATCCTGCCTGAGTAAAGGGCTTATGAAAAGGCATCTTGGGAGATAAATTTAGGGAAGTAGGTTCTGGCATGTTGAAAAGGTTTCGAGTGATAGATAAAAATATCAACTTTGGAGTGGAGTCTGCTAGTCTAGGGTAGGAACCTACCACTTACTGGCTATACAACTTTGGAAAAATTATATTCTTCTGTAAAATGGAGATAATATTAGTATAACCTGCTGGAGTTGTTACAAAGATTAAAGAAACTCATACACTCAAAGTCATACGTGCAGTGCCTTGCATTTGGCAAACAGGCAGTGGGGAGCCAGTAAATGGCTTTGAGAAAGGGAAGAAGAGGACCAGAGTTGCACCTTGGACAGATCAATTTAACAGCAATGTTTTTGGCTGTCAGGAGTTGGGGAAGGATTGGAGGAAGGATTTGATGAACTGATGCAGGGCTTTCTAGAAAGGCTTCATTGCACAAAACAAGATAATTCTGTGGGTTGTACTGTTATGGGCATTGTCATGGGAGCTCTTAATAGACACTTACTATGAGTTACTACATAAGTTAGTTTTTCAAGTTATATACAAGGTCTATTAACTTATAAGAAAGCAATGGAACTTACTTAGGTATATAGTAAACATGAAAATGAACAGAAAATAGTTACAAAAAGATCCAAGAGATTTCTTTATCAAGAAAACAAAATAAGAGTATAAAATTAATTACTCTGTTCAAAGTAAGGAAAGGGTATTTTTATTTATTTTTTACATATGGGCACGTATCTGGGCATTTCATAGAATTTCTTTCCTTTTGTTTACTTGTGCTGAATTCTCAATTTAATTTTACTGCCCATCTTACATTACATCTGAATTTTATAGTCAAGTTGAACGAATATACATTTTTTCTAGGTACATTTTGAGAAAAAACACGTAAATAAGTTTGAGTAACATTAAAAACAGTTAATTTTCCTAGTTATATGTTAGTTCACCAAAGCATCTTAAATTTTTTCAAGTACTTATTTGGTATAATAAAAAGTTTGTTTTATAAACTCTGTCTCTGAAGTTTTCAGTTGTCATTACTGTTAATGGGTTTGGTGAAAATAAAAAATAAACGTGAGCTCTCTTCTTATTTTTCTATAACTTTAAGAGTGAAGAATGATCACTCACCCTGGGGGCTGGGCTGGAATCCAGGCAGTATCCAAAAAGAAAGAATGTCAACAATATATGGATCTGTGCAGTCAGTACTGGGAGTTGCACCTAGCACTCTCCACCATGCTGTCTAGATGGCATAGCCTTTCTATTTCTTGTATGTCAGAGTTTCTCAGCTGCTCTGGCTGACCATTGAACATTATATCTGTGCATTAAGGCCAAGTTGGAATTATTTAAGTTTCCTTTCAGGTAAATGTAGGGGAAAATATGCAAATCAATTTGACTAACATTTAAAGGCATTTGTTCCTACGTTTAGATACTTTTCTTAGGTGATTTCTGCTCTTGTATTTTTCCTCTTACAAACAATACAAATTAATTTTACAGTGAGATGGAAAGGTCAGTAAGAATTTTTTTTTTCAAGGGCTTGCTCTGCCTTTTTGACATGTCTTAAAAAATTCAGCTATGTACAATGTAGTCTACTATACTAGAGTATTTTTACGTTTCTTTAAAAAATAAGCTAGTCATAAAATATTTTACTATATCACAAAGATGACAATTTTATTGTTCCCCTGTCTCTTATGGTATCCATGAGAAACACAAGTATTCAGTGAGCTATTATCTCACCAAAACACAAGTCAGTTGGAGTGGAAGAGACTGGAGACTTCATTTAATACAGACGTTTTGAAACTGAGGTTTACAGACTCCTGGGACCTCTACAGAGACCACTTAGCCCTGTCATGAGGAAAAGAGAGATGTGAATTTATTTTAAAATAATTTTAAGGATTGAAAAACATATTTTGAAGGCCATTGATTTAGAAAATTGTACAACTGGAGATACAGTACAGTGCAGGTATACCCTGTTTCGCAATGCCAAGTAAGTGTGAATTTCTAAAATCAGTGAAGTAATTTTTTCATATTGAATAATATTTTACCACCTTGCTTTATTTCAAGGAAATCTTTGATATTCTTTTCTAAATTAAAAAATTAAATTATTTTGTAATAATGTTTTATGGATTTTTAAGTAATTGAATTTTATAAATCAGAGAACTTCTATTAACTAATGTACCATTGGTTAAGTTCAAAATTTTTTTTTCTCATCTCAATGTTATTTTAGGTCATCTCCAGTCCTTCTTTAGATGTACTACTAACTTACTGGGTAATTTTACTTCTTTATCAAACATTT
Organism: Homo sapiens; assembly: GCF_000001405.40. NCBI lineage: Eukaryota > Metazoa > Chordata > Mammalia > Primates > Hominidae > Homo > Homo sapiens. The sequence continues at coordinate 77,162,209 of NC_000008.11, forward strand.
TTTTAAAACTTTCTGAAATTGGCTAATAACATTAACAACATATTATGAGAAATGATTTTAATTTGAAAGCAAGTCTACAATTGTAAAATAAAATTTTATTATTTAATAAAAGTCTTCTAAGGAGTTTGGAAATTATAACAAATAATAAAAGGTGAATGTTTTTAAAGATCACTGTAGAATTTTCAGCATCACAGCACAAAATCTGTATATGAGAAATTGATAGCTTCCTCTGCATTACTCTTTGTTGCTATGGGCATCTTGTGTGATTCCTTTCATCAATATTCTTCTAGTGTAGGGGTGAGGAGATGAGTGACCGGGAGGGAAAGAGGCAACCTGGTGAGCTCTTCAGTCCTTGGAGCACCTGTTATCCATGGATTTCAAAGCACTTAATCCTGTTTGATGGTCCTGTGAGTTAAGAAGTGCTTTACTACTTGGCTGTGAACTTGTCATAGGTCTCCAGTACATTATTGGAAAATACAAGCCCTGGGCTATTTTCCTGACTCCTGGGTCAACGTTCAAGTAAAGAGACAACACTTAAGCCTTGGCTGACAAGAGGATTGGATCCTGATGGCTAACACACTGCGTAATCAATCTTCTTGTGCCCTATTTATCCATATGTACAAAACCTGCAAAATTAAACATCCCCACATTACAAATCTCAGTGGATGGAGAATGATGATCTTCTTCTATGGAAATCTGAATAATTTAAAGACCACATGATTATGCCATGAAAAACTGAAGCCAAAGAATAGAATAACTTAAAAAGCCTTGTGATAAAATATAATTTGGAGGAACTACATTAAGACATAACCCACTTATGAGATATTTATAGACTTTAACTTTGTAAAGGAACTTTGAATTTGACTGTGTTTATTAGTGAATGGGAATTTATTTCTCTATTTTGAATGAGCATTTCTTGGCAGGCAAACTGTGCACAGGCTACAATGAGCTTCAATGAAGTGCTTTCACATTCCCTTCCCACTGAGTTGAAAGCCTTCTTATATTCTCTCAAGTGTGTTTCTTTTCCCATGGAGGATGTCTTTGTTGAAAATTGCTTCCTCTTCTCTTGATTATTGAATCAGATATTATATTCAGTTATTCAATACTTTATAGAGTGTTGGTGAAAAATGAAATATAATGAGTGTGATTCTTCCTTATATTTTGAAGGCTATGTAGATTCAGCTCTAAAGAATTTAGTGGAGCTAAGCCAGAATTGGAAGAGGGATATTATTTGAGTTTTCTCTTTCTCTATAAATGTTCCCCCACTGCCTCTATCGTTATGACACTCTTCCTTTCCAGCATTTTCTTTATGTCTCAATAGCCAGAGTCAGCCCTCATCTCCTCATTTCCCTTTGTTCCTGCCCAGAGGAATCACATAGACTGAAGGTAATTTGCTATAATTCCCAAACAAACCAATGTCCTATATTCCAGAATTTGATTTTCTCTTCCTTCTTTATTCATCATTAATATTAACCCGGCCTTAGAATGTTGCTCATCTGCTGAGAAGCAGCAGAATGAAATTAAGGAACCAAAGACCCTAAAACTTAAAGTATACTAATAATAATATTAAAAAAATCACGAATACCCTTTTCCACACTTGAAATTCAAACTGCCAAGAAATGGAAAAAGCCCTGAACGTTTATTAATCTTCGCTTTTGCTTCTTCATAGTTATACTGTGCATTATAAAAATATAGACTAAATCTTACAGCTATATTATTTTTGTCTTTTGGGGTGCTATGTTGTAATAATTTTATTTTGCTAATTCATAAACAATGTAGTTATTAGATCATAAATTCTGGAACAAAATTCTTATAACAGTGTGTCTGTCAACTTCTCTGTTGTGTCTTTGTGCCTGAGATTTCTCATCTATAAAATGAAGATAAGTTTGTATTAAATAAGTTAATATATGTAGTGCTTGACATATTGTATATGCTGTACAAAGGCTTTCTGCTATTGTTATTTATTATCAAAGATTTATTGAGCTCCTATATGTATCATAATGGTGACCTTTTAGTGTTAACAGTGTTGGTGGAGGCAGATATTAATTCAAAATCATTTAAATAAATACAATACTGAATTGTGATATACATGTTGGTGAAAAATACAGGGAAAGAAGAAAAATAGAGTTGATGGAAAACAAGATTGAAAAATAGAGTTAGAGGAGGGGTCACTGATACTGAGAAACATGGGGAAGTGGGAGGGAAATGGAACTCGAGTTGGCTGTAGGAAAACACCTATTTTAAAAAAGAAATAATATGAGACTGTGACAAATGAAAGTATGTTCATAGGTTTGATGGCAGGAAATTTTCCTCTCATTGCATCTATTTACTCTGTGTAGTAGAAGGTGAAGCAATATACTGGGAATGAGGTTTCTGTGAAAGTCTGGTGGTTTGTAGACAATGTAGGAGGGCAGAAATTGTCGTGCAGAACAGAAAAGTTACCAATAAATATGGTAAAATTGCCAGGAAGTCTTAAGTATTCCTTTAAGATTGGTGATTATTAATTAATGTAAAGGTGTCAATATTACCTGTAGTGTGTTTTTTTCTAGCAAGTCTCAGCTGCCTGAAGTCAGGGCTGGAGAAAGAAGACTACTGGGGCCATCCAAATTTGGTGTCTTTAAAGTGGGTGAGATATATGTAAATGCAGAGAGGAACAGGAATTAGATAATATAAATGCAGTGATTCGAACAAGGTCTCATAATGTAATCGGGTAAGGATAGAGGTGAAGTTCTGGAGACTAATTATAGAAAGATGGTAGAGGAATCAACAAATTGGAGTTTTCAGTTTAATAAGTTTTAAGGTTGTAGTTAGTTTAGTTAAATAATAATAATAAAATAATTTAAGAAGCTGATAGTGGCCAGGTGTGGTGGCTCACATCTGTAATCCCAGAACTTTGGGAAGCCAGGGCGGGTGGATCACAAGGTCAGGAGTTCAAGACCAGCCTGGCCAAGATGGTGAAACCCCCATCTCTACTAAAAATACAAAAATTAGCCAGGTGTGGTGGTGGGTGTTGTAATCCCAGCTACTCAGGAGGCTGAAGCAGAGAATTGTTTGAACCTGGGAGGCAGAGGTTGCAGTGAGCTGAGATCGCCCCACTGTACTCCAGCCTGGGAGACAGAACGAGATTCCGTCTCAAAAAAAAAAAAAAGCTGATAGTAATCAGAATTCAGAAGACTTAAAGTAACAAAATTAAGATTTGAAGAGTTTCAGGCATGCCAAAGTCCAGTGTTTGTTTGGGAGAGTGGATGGCCGAAGAGACAGTCACTGGAGATGAGGAGTTGAAGAAATGGGAGGCCAGAATTTGGGACGACTTGTCCATGTGGCTTTTAAAATCTCCCAGGATTATGGCAGAAATTGCTATGAATAGATATACTGTGAGCAAAGTACCAAGATTTTCAACAAATGTGAGGGCTGAGGGGCTGGGATCTTGACAGATGTGATTGTGAAAGTCATATAATTGAATGGATTGTGCTTCAAAAAAACTGAATTTTATTATAAAAGCATAAGTGAATGATTGTCTACAGATATTGACATGAACAGTTCATAAAGAAAAAAACAATTTTATAACTCTTGCTTTCTAAAGAAAGTATGGTTTTCATGATTTTCTCATAATTTGTCATTAAAATACATTCTTTTGATTTTCACATAATTAAAGGTGAAATGTCAGTTTTGGCTTAAGGCCCAAACTGTCCTTTTAAAACTTGCCTGCCTTTAAAAATTTCAGTATTATTTAAAGAGCTTTGCCTTATATTTAAGCACATAAACACATATATTTTCTGTAGGTAGAAATACCATCATATAACTCATCAAACAATACCAGATATTTGATTGTATACTGAAATATTACAAATACTTAGATATTAAAAAATATGTTAGGGTGAAATGTGTTTACAAGGATATGCAAAAACACACACACACACACACAGAGGAAAATTGTGATGATGAACTCAGTGTGTGTTAAAAGAAGATATGTGAAAATAAAACATACACAGAGGAAAATTATGATGAACTCAGGGTGTGTCAAAATAGTTGCATACCACTTCATCCATGTTCATACATTAGAAAGGTGGTTTAATCACCCATAAGAAATTACTAGCTTCTCTGTTCGTGAAGCATGACATTTCAATTGCACAGCCAATAAAAGAATTACATGAAGAGACTGAAATGATTTACTGTATGGCAAGCATCAAGACCAAGGTTACCATGGTGAACTACCTTCCTGCACACCCAAGGTCAAGTGAGAGTGACCCATCAATGGGCAATCCTCAATCACAACCTACTAAGGGATTGTTCTGATGATCATTAGTTGGATTCCTTCCTAAATACTAACGATGATTCTGTACCTGTTACTCGTATTTACCTTTAAAAATATCCATTTTAAATTTAAATTTATGACTTAAAAACTGACATCATTGTTAAAGAGTTATTAGAAGAGCATTGGTGTTTCTCAGAACCTCATAAATTGCAGCTGTGCACTATAATCATTTCCTGAAAGTGTGGGTAGGTTAGGAAATGTTTACACATTTTTAATGTAACATAAAAGAGATTCCAGTTGTGTTGTAGTTTTTAATGTTTAACCAGAATCTTCTTTATTGTAAATACTATCTTTATTCCATTGGGAGGGAGAGGGAGAAAGAGTATAAATAGTGTATACATATTATAAAATATTGTTATGTATAATTAATACCTTAAAAATGTCCAAAATTCTGGGAAGTTCATATATTGCTTTCTTCAGATACATTTTGTTGATGCATAAAAAGAGGACTGTACTAATAAATGTCTTTTGAATTACACATGGTGTAAGAAAATGAAAGCCTTTGGGTTATGAATCTTGGATTTAAAGAGGCAATCATCAAATATTTAAGATGAAAATGCAGTAACACATGCTAGCTGTCATGTGTAAGTTTGGTGAGCGTATGACAAGGTTTTTAAAACATTTATAGTTGGAGTATTTTTACGAAAATATTCATTAATTCAAACAGACATTCGTATCTGGCAACCTGCATTTTAATCGTGATTTCTGGCTGCAAGAGAAAATCGGTAAAGCCATGAAAGAATAGGTGAAATATATAGCAATCATATTTAAATTATACATTATAAGGCATACATATCTGTATGTTGTCATATTATGCATTAAATTTAATGCATAAATCAAATTGTTATAATTCTGATGTCGCCAAAAGGCACAAAATATGACAAACAGGAATAGGCATGTAGATATTATCATATTCAATAATTCAATGAGCATTTGTTTTATGTAAATTAACTTTCTGTTAATAAAATTTATACTCATTTATTATACCAATTCCATATGATAATTAAAAAAAGTCTTTTCTTCTCTAAAAATCATTACAAAATGTGAATAATGCATTTGTTTAATATCTATATAAACAAGATCTTACCATCAGATTAGTTCTGGAAATGAAAGTATTATTGATTTCTGTAATAATTTTGATAATATTGCTACACTGCAGTACTGAAGCTGCTAATCTCATTTTTGTGGAGAACTCTATGCATTTAAAGCAGTGTTTAAAGTTTCTGAAAGTAAACAATCTTTGGTTTTGTAGGACACGGCAATGTACAATTTGTAGAAAATATACTTTTGGAATTAAATAGAACATACTGTGAAGAACTTGGAAAAAAGTTAAATTCCTCCTCAATTACTGTATTATATTTTCAATTAAAATAATATTGAAAGCAAATCCAATCGACTCTTAAGTTCTATATGCTTCTTTCTTAAAATTGGTAGGGGTCATGTTTAGGAGAATGGATTGAATAAACTCCCAAATGGCTGACTTAAAACCATGCAAAAAAGTTATAAAATGTCACTTTAAATGACAACAAATTATAATATTTCAGAATACATTGTTCATATTTATTTTGCAAAACGTGATGAAGCACTCTGTAATGGAAGTTTTTTTTTTCACTTTCATTATATTTTCATATTTAATGGTTTACTCAGGTCATATTATTATATGCATGGAACTTACCATCTGAATCATTCTACGGTTTCTACTTGAGCCCTGTAGGTATTCATGAAAGAAGTGAGCATGTTTTATAGATGCCTGAAGTTTTACAACTTTACTATCATGGATGGAGATGCTTATAAAGTTTTTGACTTAGTTTAAAGAAACTAGGATTTCCTCTTTAAGGAAGGCCAATGAAGGTAACTTACAGACTAATGAAGGAAATTCCATTTTAAACTTTAGGTAGCAAACTGAAGGATCAAATAAAGAACACTTAATATACACTAATTACATATCTCTACTCTATGGTACCAATGGGATGTTTAGAAAATTGTTAGGCTGAACCATATAATGTTGGTAATACTTGAACATTTTTGACTGAGGAGAATGGCAGTTTCATTTTGTTTAACTTAAAATATCATGCATATGTACTTCTTATTGTCTAAAGTACTTACTGTATACTCTACCTTTATATAGCACACTATTTGTTAATCAATAGTTTGTGAAAGCAACCAGTCCATAAGGAAAAGTATTCACACTTCCGTGAGTTCATGCATGCAAAGAGGGTCAGCATTCCAACAAGATTAGGCTCTGGTAACGATGTGGGTATGAGGAGATTGCTTATATGAGTACTACCAAGTTTGTTTTATACTAATTCATCTAATCACGTAATAATAAAAATATAAAATGTATATGAAAAATTGGGAAATAAAGAAGTTGAATTTTTTTTTTTACAATTTGTGACAGAGTGCTGACAAAACTGGATACTTAAAGGTAAAATGATACAAAAATAATTCATGTGTAAGCATGTGCAATACAAGCCATAACATGATTATCAGTCATGGTAAACAGTTGTACAAGTTGCATGTGATGACATTGGAATGTGGGGAAAATGTTAAATTAATTGGTAATATATTTATTAGAATAGTGAGCTTTCAAGAATATTTGGCTAAGTTACTGAATTTTCCATAATTTTAAGAAAAATTTTTAAAAATTTTGGATAAAACTTGAGTTGACTAAATGCTTAATAGTAAAACTTAAAACTCATTGGGTTTACTCAAGGGATTTTTGACTTGAGAATCTAACCTCTATGTAAGTTCAAAGATAAAGTTAGAAAAATCGCAACTATCCTGAAGACAATATAATAAGATAACTGGACTTTCAATATTAATTTCCAAAGCATGTCAGAGATAAGAGCTTGTCATCAACTCTGGGGAAATGTTCTTCTGAGTTACATAAAATATTTGACACTTAGTAAGGGCATACTTAATATTTTAGGTTGTAGCAGTGCGAATGAAAAGTACAAGGACCCAAAATACTAAAAAAGTATCAGTATATAATCTTAATATATATTAAGATTATAAATTATATGTATATATAATTATATACAAGATTATATATTAAGATTAAAATTAGTTTAATATAAATTTACTTTATAAAACTGAATGACTTTACATTTAAAAGCCTATTTCATAAGAAACTGGCACTCTTTCAGGTATTAATATCTAATATACAGATGGTAGACAAATGAGGTGAGTTACTTAACAGGTTAGCGTTAGTCATTAATTGCTTTTTAACACAACAAACAATCAAAAGAGAAGCTCTACAGTCACACAGAATATAATTAAGTAACTTTAAGTAGGCAAATTCCTTTATTAGACATGATGGGGGACTTCAGTAAGCAATTAAATTGATAAGAACTTTTTTAAAAATGAACACTCTTGCTTCATACAATATAATTTCTTTATACCAAACTTCCTTTTTGGTAATAATGTACTAAAATCTTTTAGCTTTATTTAGAAAATTCTTACTTAAGAATAAATTTGATTTACTCATCTTAGTAAGAAAGAAAAGTATACAAAAGTCTAATTGGCATAACCCACTAGTCATTTTATTCTGGTATTTTGTGTTGGTATATACAAATGGGCGAATTATTTGACAAAAGTGTTGCGGGACAGCAGTTCCCAACCTTTTGTCATTGAGACTGGTTTCGTGGAAGACAATTTTCCCATGGACGGTGGGGCGGCGGGGAGGGGATGGTTTTGAGATGAAATTCTTCCATCTCAGATCATCAGGCATTAGTAGATTCTCACAAGATATGTGCAACCTAGATCCTTTGCATCTTCAGTTCTCATAGGGTTCGCGCTCCTACGAGACTCTAATGCCGCCACCGATCTGGCAAGGCGGAGCTCAGGCTGTAATGCTCGCTCACCTGCCACTCACCTCCTCCTGTGCGGCCCATTTCCTAACAGGACACAGACTGGTACAGGTCTGTGGCTTAGGGGTTGGGAACCCCTGTTGTGAGTGATACAAAGCAGAAAAAGTTTGATAAGTAAAACAAAATTGATTAAAAAAATTATCCATACAAGACGGAGTGGGGTGAATGCTGTGCTGAGTACAACAGTGATTTCTAATACTATACTACAGGTAGATTTCACTTGTGATAATTTTCAGGAGTCTGGAATGAAATGAAGAAAATTGAATATAGCGTTGTATACATGTTAGTATAAAATTATAAACTGTTTCTAAATTTAATCTAAAGTTATGTTCATCCTATCTTTTTGGAGTCAAAATGTCCTATGTTTAGTGAAATAATGACATTTTAATATTCCTACGTAACAAAATTAAATACTGACTATGCCAGGCTCTGCATTTATTCTATTTTAGTAACTTCTTGCTCCATGAAATGTGAAAGTCTTGGAACAACTGGTGCAGACCAAAAACTATAGGAGCTGAGTTTAGGAAATTTAGTTTAAATGAAATAATCCATCCTGTGCAAGAAGAATCAGGAAGTTTCCTAGTTTTTATATTCTGCCATCCCTTTTTTACATATTCAATACTGAGAATAGATTATTTTCCCATATGATGCAGTCAAGGGATGTACTTTTCCTGCTTGTATGTCTGTTTTGAAAGTAGAACTGGGTGTGTATGAGGAGAGAATTGGCAATTAAGGGTTTGGATTAAAGATGCTACTCTTCATGCAAAATAAATAAAAAAGATCTGAAATAGCAATAATTGAGTCTGTATTCTCAAGATAATTGGGATTACATTTTCATAGATTAGTCAATATATAAATAATTTGCTGTCATTTTATTGAGTTGGATATATGTTAAAAAATTAAGATAATATTTAATTTTTTAAGAAAAACTTGTCTTGCAAAAATACTTTTTTATGCCATGAAGCATAGGTACAACACACTCATTCCTCTTTAAAAGCTTCAGTTGATTTTTCAGTTGAGATAGCAAACACAAGATGATCCATGAATATGCTACATATTGCCTGAGAATATTTGGCTTCCTTAATTGATGAACTTAAGTCTATATTAAATCTTAAATTAAAAATACTTTTGGTGATATTCAGGCAATTCCCTTCATAAAATGTTTACTTGAGAGTACAAATGAACATAATGTCAGACTGGAGAGAGGAAACCAGCATAATGATATTAAAATTATACAGTCATTTTTAAATAAATGATAAACAATGTCATTAATTTCTATCAATGTGATAACAATTTACTATGTTTAGAAACAAGGAAATAGATATTAAGCAGCTTGTATTTGTCACAGAGATACAACATGGGTAACTGAATAACTTTATAAAAAGCAAATTAAATAGTTTATCCCCTCTGTGTTAAAATTATGATCTGTTCCAGAAAATCTCTTAGGTTTACTTTGACCTTATGAAGGTCCATACATTTATGTTTCGTAATTTTTCTTCAATAGGCTTCTTTCTAATTTTCTTTAAGCTTTGACCTTTATCTCAAAATCAACGAAATTAATTAAACTCGATATCTTACATGTTAATTTGAAACTCCAACTGTAATTTATTGCACCTGAAGTGGAAGAAACACAAATGGTTAATGCACTTGATCAAAATTCTGGATTGCTTATAGAACAGAGTCTAGGGAAATAACTTTTTGTGGGGCAGTCCATGTAGACAATTGATACTTTAAAATGTTACAACAAAAGAATTAAAAATCATTGTAAGTGTACCTGGAAGAACAAAGCAGCCCCACTTTGATTTTGTTTGTAGAAAGAAGGAAAACAAATGTCTAGTTTCAGATTTTAAAGATCAGTGAGCAGAAGGTGACTTAGCAAAAAGTAAAGAAATGGTTTTAACCTTCAAGGTCTGCCTGATTTCTCTTCTGTGTAAGGAAGACATCCAGGCAGATGGCTCTATTATTTGGCAAAGGTGTTAATAGGCTTCATTGTTTGTGTACCGGCATCTAGCTTTCCTACAAGCACAGGACTGAAACCAGTCCTCAAAATAATGTAAAGCACTACCCGTGATTTAGGCCAGGGAATCTGAGGGATGATAAGATAGGACTATATCCCTCTTCCTTAATGTGGATATAGTCTGTATCACCTCTAAAAATCATGGTGTGTTTTTTGAAGTGTGTGTGTATGTGTGTGTTTGTGTGACTGATAAATGCGAGGTAATTAGAAGTTAGAATAAAGCCAGAATGGAGAAAGAAAGTATATCCTTGTTAATTTCCCCATTTTTTAAATAGCAGAAAGTCAATACATGCAAAAAAGAATAATTCCTTGAAAAAAGTTTAAGTAATTTTTGTAAGGTCAGGGTCTATAAGATTTACATTTTGTTGTGTAACCGTAATCCCCCGTTACTTAGCCTTATTTAATTGGATCCCATGCTCACTACTACATAATTTTTTTAATGATTTATCAATTTTAGAGCTTTGAAATTTTTGATTTACCTTTTTGTTAAAGAGATTTTTATGATCCACTAACCTTTTCTTTTTAAAAATTTCATGAGTACTCCATTCACTGCTTTCCAGCCTGGATGACAGAGTGGGACTCCATCTCCCAAAAAGCCCCAAACACCACAAAAATAAAAAAAAACTACCCTAGAAGGGGTAATTTATGGAGAAAAGAGGTTTAATTGACTCACAGTTCCACAGGCTTAATAGGAAGCATGACTGGGAGGCGTCAGGAAACTTAGAATCATGGCAGAAGGCGAAGGGGAAGCAAGCATGTCTTTGCAAGGAGGCAGGAGAGAGAGAGGGACAGAGAGCTTATGGGGAGGTGCCACACAATTTTAAACCATCAGATCTCATGAAAGCTCACTCACTATCACAAGAACCGCAATGGGGAAATCTACCCCCATAATCCAGTCACCTGCCACCAGGCCCAGGCCCCTCTTCCAATGTGACATGGGATTTGGGCAGGGACACAAATCCAAACCATATCGCCCTCTTATGACTGAATTTCCCTTACTGTCTGGATGCCTATATAAGTCTTTATTCTTGAAATGCAATGACTTCAAGAAGACATGCTTTGGCAAAATTATCCTTTATCATTTCTTTTCTGATTAGATGCACTCCCTCTACTTGCAGATTCAATTTTGTCTTCATTTCAGGAAAATGTATTCTGGTATATTTTTAAATATATATTCTAAATTGTATCTGTTTTCTTATTCAGAAATATCAAATATGCATATGTTAGGTTTCCTTTTCCTGTCTTCCATTATTTCCTTTTTCTGTCTTTTATAATTACATTGTTTTTATAAAGGCTGCGTGGAAGAAGTTATATTGGAAAATGTTTCTCTGCTTATATTAGGCCAATATTTCCAACTACATAGGTCATGTTGCTTACTCCTTAGTTTCCAATTTCTTACCACCATCCTTAGGATACGTCTGAAATTTCGAACAAAACTCAACATATTTTTTTCCGGTATCATCTGGGAATCTTCTCCCCAAAATGTCCATGCAAGCTCCACTGGGCTTGTTTTAGTTCTGCAAATATAATATGCTCTAGTGCTCTTTCTCCTTAGGAACTTTCCATGTACTATGAATTCAACCTTGAATGAGTAAAAGGGAGTAGTTTAGGAAAAGTAATCTGACTCTACTGTGTCCATTGGCATGGGGATTGTGGAAATTAGAGGTGAGGAAATCTGTTAGAAGAGTGTTAGAGATATGTGGACAATGTAATTAACAGCCTCATAAAAGGGAACCATGAGAATAAAAAAAGAGTGGACTAATAGCCAATGAGGAAAAAGATATTAGTGCCCCCACATTTTAAAAAGTCAGTGTGCTCTTCTCCACAAAACCAACTCAGTATTTATATTTGTTAGTTTTTATCTCTTTTTCTAATGTTCACCAAGTTGCCCTAACCTGAAACAAAGGTATCCTGGATGCTTTTGTCTTTGTCACAATATATTTACCAATTTCTGTCAATTAAATTTTATAAATTTCTTTCCCTCTATTCCACTGCTGTGCCCTTAGTTAAGAAACATCAATTTCTTCCTTCCTATTCGACTGACACTCTCTTACTCAAGCACTTTGTTATTCCTTGCTTAGACTAACGCAATAGCCATTTAAGTTTACCAGACTCAGCTCTTATTTTTCCTCAAGCTTTCTTCCATATTGTTCCCTGTGCAAACTTCATAATACATAATTCTGAGAGCTTTCCTCCTACCAACTTTCTTTTGTGCCTTCTGATTAAATTCAAGAAAATCTACAGATTTGTTGCCATAGTTCACAAGGCCTATTTCTTATAAACCATCTTGCTTATATCTCTTGCTTCAATTCTTGGTCCTCTGTCTTTAACATTCCATAGTTCACTCATGACTATGTGTGGTTGTGTGGACCCTCAACTATGCTATGATTATGATAATTTTTTGTTGATCTTTCAATATTTACATTTATATCTCAGACACTCTCTCCTGCTTAATTTTTAATTATAATTTTTATTTTGTGAAATCTAAAAGTACAGTAAACTCAAAAAACAATATGGCAAACATCTTTGCACACTTCACAGAGAATTAACATTTCGTCATAATCTATTTGAATATTTTTTAATAAATAAAGTAAAACATTACAAATAAAGATGACGCTCCATTTTCCCCAGTGACATCCCTGTCCCAGCTTCTTCCCTACTTCTTCCTTCCCCATTTGTATCAGTCATTGATCATTAATTTGATGTCCATCCCTTCAGTCCTTTAAACGTGTGTGTGTAGCCAATAGCATACGTAGTATTGCTTTTTTTGAAAAAAAAAGTATATAAATGACACTTAATTATATAAAACCTAAAACTTGCTTTATTAAATTATGTTTTTGAGATTTACTGATGACATTCTATATATTTTTAATTTTCATTTACTTTTTCTTTAAAAAAACCTTCATTTTAAAATCTGGGAGAGTGTATTTAGGTTCACAATGCTTAACATTATTTTAGTAAGTAACTTTAGTTGGCCATTTTGCCATCCCACCAGGATTCTATTAAAAAACAAATTGCTCTTTTAAAAAGACTTTCCTGTCTCTACTCTGTCTTGAAAGAAAAAAAAAAAAAGAACTTCCCTTTGTCTCTGAAAAAGTACTCTAGGAACAATAGTTTATATCTAGAATTATCACCTGTATATTGTTTCTTAAATCATAACTTGAAGTTTATTTTTCAAGTAAAAGAAGATTTAAAATCATGTAAACAAAATTAAAACCATACTCTAGGAGAGATGAGAAAAATGTTTAGTGTAGTAGGTAAATTCCCTTGGAATAATTTCTTATGTCCCTTTGTTTTGTCTTATGTAATTGTGTTACGCTGAAGATACATCTGGGTGTATGTGTGAAGAAATAGAAATTGTTTATACAGAAGCCTACTTCTCTGTGAGCATGCACACACACACACACACACACACACACACACACACACACACACACACCGAGTTTGTACATTATTTCAGCAGTGGGAAAAGAGTGAGCTCAAGTCATATCTAATTAAAAATGAAACTCCCTAAAGAAATATGCATAGTATTAAATTCTAGTTTTTCATAAGTGTAATGAAAATTAAATAACTAAATTAGTATATATACTCTGGAGTTCATCTATCCATCAAAATAATTGTTTTTCTTCCCCTTTATTACTTTATTAATCAGTCTCTAGTAAGTAACTGATCTACTATTGGTGGAGCATATGCTTGGAGTGTTTTTTTTTTCCTATGTTGAACTGATGGAATTTTATGTTAATTCAATGCCCCTCATCTAATCAAACCAATTAATATATTAATGTTGAAGGAAACTTTGGCAGATTCTGGGACCAGTATTATTTGTGATGTCCACAAGGCTTACAAGGCCAGCCATATAGGCAGCCATATGAATCCCTCCAAATGATATAGAAGCGTCTTTACTTCTTCTGCTTCCATGCTAAAGGTTCCATTGCCCGAATCAGACCTTCTATTTGTGTGTTCTGCTGTTCCAAGATATCCACCCTCTGTTTGCTCAATGTGGAGGTTAGGGGTGCCATATTTATGGTTTTATAGCTCCTCCCCACAGGTTTAGTCTTTTCTATGGAGGGGTCTAGACTAGAATTTGTCACCCTCAGCACTAATTGACATTTTGACTGGATAATACTTTGCTGTGGGCACGGTGGGGAGGCAACTCTCCTGTGTATTATGTAACATTTAGCAGAGTTTCTGACTTTCGTTCAGTAGATACCAATAGCACATCCTCACTCCCAGTCATTAACAACAAAAATGTCTACAGACGTTGCCAAATGACCACTTCAGGAGGAGATCCCAAGTGAAAACCACTCCCCTAGACAATACTACCATTGTCTATCATCACTACAATCAGTCTTACAAGTTTGGACAAAATTTATATTATTATATACATTGAAGTCTGATCTTTGGGGCTATGTTGGCTCCTGTTAGGCTGAATTTATATATAGAGGTATACTATTTTATTGAATGTTTTATTTGAGGTAAAAAAACGACAACTAGATTTTTCTATTTCTGAGTCTTGCTTCTGAAAAGCAACTTTACATTCTTTTAGATGTGCTTTTTGGTAAATTTCCCTTTGTATTTCAGAAGTGGGTGCTATATGAGATAGAGCTACAAATATATGGCTTTGGTTTATTGGAAATAATACTGTAGTGAGGGCTCAAATGTTAGAAGCTGAAATGTTGGCATAAGATTATACCAGGGAACAATATGAAATAAACTGTTGCCTGCCATACATTGGAAGACAGACAATGAGCTACGTGAGATCTAGAAGATATTAAGAATGTGTTTTCTTAATATTTTTATACAGAGAAAGTGAAGATAGATTAGCCTACTTGCCAAGTTCTCTCTGCTTACAGCTTGTAATGTAAGTTGACTGACAGTTGGATAGTTTGGGATCTCAAATTTAAAAAAGAAACAAAGTCTACTGATTTTTTTTTTTTACCAACTGAAGGAAGCAGATTTCTCAGCCTGTGATAGGTGCCAACGTAGTCCAAAGATCATATGAGTGGGGTTGACTTCTCACCCAAGCCTGTTGTTTCACAAGAGAGGCAGATGGCACAGATCAGAGATCAAAAACTAAATATCCGACTTACCAGATTTATAAACTATATCTTGAGAGAATATGGTTTGTGTTTACTTAAATGTACAAGTGATCAGAAGCAAGGGGACTGAATTTCTACTAAGTTTTTGAGGCAATTGGATTACTACAGAAACCACAAGCTTAACAGAAGCTGTGATCAGGTCACCTCTAAAGGATCCCCAGTCTGCATAAGCAGAAAGAGTGCTATAAAAGCAGTACAGTCTCTAAGAGGTACCCAAGCTGTAACACCAACTACAGTCAAGTAGCTGATAGGAGAGTCAAGGAATTTTCTCCACTGGTGAGGAATGGAGTTTCTTTCATTCCAGCCATTATTTAAAACACTTAAACTCCCTTGAGTTGGATGAGAAATAGTAGATTAAACTTGGCTTCACTCACTACACAAACATCTAGGTTATGTTTTCCTTTGTTTATTCTCTAATGAATATACTTACTCTCTGCTGTGCTCCATGTGTGCTCTCTTTCATTATTAAAATTAGATTATGAGAATCTTTGAGTCTCTTTGATTTCTAAAAACCATTGACATAATTGTTCCCCATTATTTATGTTTTTTTGAGACGGAGTCTTGCTCTGTCACCCAGTCTGGAGTGCAGTGGCATGATCGCAGCTCACTGCAACCTCCACCTCCTGGGTTCCTATCCAGCAGGGTTTGAATTGCTTTGGGGTACCCTATTTTCTAAACGGGAGGTTTAATTTCTGTAAACTTATTTATATTTTACCCAGTATAATGGCCACATAGTAGGCATATAATGTGATATCTGTTCTCTATATCTTCCCAAAGAATTCTCTCATGGCCGCCCATTCTAACTGGAAACATATGCAAAATGAAATTCTGGGAAATGTAGTTCAGTCTAGCCAATATGAAAGTGTACAGATTCACAGATGAAAGAAAGCTGAAGCTGAAGTCTATTATTCCTTGTGTGTTGGCTAATCTCTGTCACTCTTTGTATTCCCAGATCAGTTTTCCGTCTTTCTTTACTTTTCTCTACAACACAAGAGGCTGCCTTCTATTCATTGCAGCAAGCAAACTCCCTTGCATTCTGGCTTCTGGTTGGGTTTGGCTAATGGGAAGTGCTGAAATGAGGAATGAGCAGACAATGAGCAACATGGGGGTAGTTATTTCACACTGTCTCTCTGACTGGCTGGGATTTCTGCAAGGACTGCATTTCACAATGGTCACAAGTGCTGTCCAAAGCCTCCTTTTCATGTCCCCAGTCCTTTCCAAACTCTTGAGGACACATTCCTTCTTCTTGACCTTTAGGTTACAGTTGGTAATAACGTCTCACTGTTCTGGTCTCTGGGTGTTCACCATTCATTATTGTCCCCTTAAGTGTGCTCTCACATATGTAAGTAGTCTCTTCAATAAATTATCTTTAATTAAACCGTTTATATTACATCAAGGTTTTGTTTCTATTTTCCATCATTCATGTGTATTTATTTCTATCTTTTATCAAGTTCTTGTAGGATGTGTAAATAAACACATGGTTAACAGGAAATTGAAGAAGACTATTTTTTAAAAAAATTCCTCGTTAAAAAATGAAAATTTTGTGGCAATTATAGATTTGAAATTTAAAATGGATTTTTTTCCCTTTTCTTCAAAATAGGTGCTAATAAGGATCAGTTATATTGTCACATGGATTCCAGTTTGAAGACAGCTGACAATTGCTTTATTTTTACAAAGCCCTAAGCTGCTGTTGCTTAAGCATCCATGTTATTTCATAACTGCCTTACTAAATTTGGCACCTTAATTGATCATTCTCCTCCCACTGGATAGAAATTCTGGTTCCATCTACGATCACTCTCTAGTATATTTTCTTATCTCTAAAACTTTCTTTTATATACCTTTTTACCCCTGGAGGGCTCTTACTAATTGAAGTCTCATGGTAAGAACCTTAAAATACATCTTCCTTTATTTCTGAATCTTTAGCAACTAGGTATTTAATGAATGACTCAATGAATAAATAGGATGGAAGCCCCATTTTTCAATTTTAGTCTCTTTTAGATAGGTTATCTATATATTTTGTCTTTGCTTCTTCCAGCATTTGGTGGATTTTTTTTTAAATTTATTAAGCCCTCCAGAAAGGTATGTTGGGTAACGTAGAGGTCAGAGATCACACAAAAAAACACTAAACGCAAAGAAATTGTAATAACTTCTCAATTTTTTCTGAAACAGCTCTCCTTCCATTACACGTGGCCTGTATTAAAGCTATTCTATTCCAGATTTCTCTCTGATTTCCTTTTACTGTGCTCAAAGACAGCTTCCAAACTTTCTTTAGATTGTTACATGGTCTGGGCAAATTGACCTCTATTTGATCATTTCCAAGGTGGATAGAATGATTTTGAGTAATTTGGACTTTTCAAAATGTTTCTTAAAAAGAGTAAAAGGCATGAAGACAACTATTTGTAGTTTGAGTGGTAGTTGGCAATTTTTTTTCCCACTTCACCAAATCTCCCATTTTCTTTCATTCCAACCATTATTGAAAACATTTAAACTCCCCTGAGTTGAATGAGAATTAATGGATTAAACTTGGTTTCACTCACTAAACAGGCAACGTCTAGGTTATATTTTCCTTTTATTTTTCTCTCATGAATATATCTAGTCTCTGCTGTGCTCCGTGTGTGCTTTCATTATTAAAATTTAGATTATCAGAATCTTTGAATCTCTTTGATTTCTAAAAACTACTGACATAATTGTTCCCCATTATTTTTGTTTATTTATTTATTTTTGAGACGGAGTCTTGTTCTGTCACTCAGGCTGGAATGCAGTGGTGTGAACTCAACTCACTGCAACCTCCGCCTCCTAGGTACAAGCAATCTTCCTGCCTCAGCCTCCTGAGTAGCTGAGATTACAGACATGAACCACCACGCCCAGCTAATTTGGTATTTTTAGTGGAGATGGGGTCTCTCCATGTTGACCAGGCTGGTCTCCAACTCCTGACCTCAGGTTCTTTGCCCTCCTTGGCCTCCCAAAGTGCTGGGATTACAGGCGTGGGCCACCGTGCCTAGCCCCCATTATTTTTAAATGCAGAAAGATGAACAACAACACTTTTTAATAATAATGCTATGAGGAAAATATGGAGGCAAAATAATGCAAATAAAGAAATTACTCACACAGATTAATAGTTACAATTTAAAACGAGAGTTTGAGGAAACAGTTATTAACAATAGGTCAAAAATAGGAGAGAGATGAGTCCTAAAGATAATTGGTTTACCGTTACCAGAAAAGGTGAGGATGGATGTTAGAGAGGCATAGTAATAAAACAAAAAAGAATTTTAATAGTACTGGCATGTAGTTGTTACTGCATGCATATTTAATAAATGAAACTACTGAAGATGGAGGTAAAACACCCAGTTGCAAAGAGTTTTGTTTATTGATTAAGAGTTACAATAGAATATTTGCAGATTAAATGGGGAAAGCCTATTTTAATACATGATTTGTTTCATAAGTATATGCGTACTTTTATCCTTTTTAATATAAATTATGCTGTTTTAAAAATTATTTAATTTTTCAATTATACTTTATATCTAATATTAGTTTGTATTGTATAGATTAATGCTCCCTAAATTCAAACATATCCAACTTAAAATGATCAATATGGTAATTATATATACAGTTATGCTTATGTCCTAATGAGAGACATATTAATAGCTTATTACAGAGTGTCTGGATAAGATATCTCCATAAAATACAGAAAGTGTAAATACATGTGTGCTTCTCTGGAGTTCAAATACAGGATCTCCTATGATCCAGACAGATGGATACTATTTTTTGATCCTTATACCTGTTGGATAACTTTGAAATAAAATTGGAAGTGCAGGCAGAGAAACTTTAGGAGAAGCAACTTCCAGATAGTCTAGTCAAACTCCTACAATTCTGGTTGCTATTTATTTACTTTATTATTTTACAAAGATCTTATTAATTTTTTGTCAAATTATTATAATATGTAAGCTGAATTGAAACTATTTATAAATACCATAACTGCCTTTCTGATGACTTCACAGGTGAAATTGTTTGACCCATGAAAATCTGAAACATATGAGGTCTCTTGTTTTCATTCAGCATATGCCAGTTAAGTGCCTAATTGTTCACCCAGCACCCAGATCCTGACTCACAATTAATTTTATTTATAGAGCCTCACTGCTTTGCTGCTTCCCTACTTGTTATTTTGACTGTGGGAGCAAAAAATGGTAACAGGGAAGTTGGGTCTGGTAAATATTACTGAGCAAATAAACAGATATATACTCTGAATATGAGAAAAATTCCTGAACTGTTTCAAAATTTCATGTTTCAGAATTTTACATACTCACCTAAAAATGTTCTGTGTACTCATTTCATATGTACAACAGGTTAAATACTATAAACCCTATTCTATTTTAGGTTTACAGTCTAAAATAAACATTGGCAAGAATAAGTTGTACAAAACAGTTAAATTAATTACATGTGTACATTGAAAGAACTGTGGATCTGGAGAATACATTGAAACATCACAAAGTTGATCTGCTACTGATAGAAAATCATTTTCATTTGGATGGCTCTACTGTTTTGAGGGTTTCATTTATTTCTCATTTTTAATAAAATTCTTGCCACCACTAATGTGCTTTTAGCTCTTGATTTTTCTCTGAAAGTCTTCTCAGCATCATCTTCCTCACTTTAGTTTGATTACACATGTCTTCATCTCATTCATATCAATAGTATCATTTGTATCAATCTTAGCTCCACCTCTACTCTTGTATTGGGGTTTTTCAGAGAAAGAAAACCAATGAACACACACACACACACACACACACACACACACACACATCCCACACATATCCCATTTTTATTTATTTATTACAAGATATTAACTCACACAATTATGGAGGTTGAGAAGTTCCTAGGATCTGCAGACAGTAAACTGGAGACCTGTGAGAGCCAGAGATGTAAATTCCAGTCTGAGTTCAAAGTCCTGAGAACCAGGAGAGATGGTGGCAGTCTTAGAGTGTAGGAGAAAACTAATGTCCCAGTTCAACAGTCAGGCACAAAGAGAGTGTGAATTTTCTCTTCCTTTATGTCTTTGTGTTAATTTGGGCCTCAATGAATGGGATCCTATCACTCACATTAATGAGAGCAGGTCTTCTTTACTCAGCTGATTACTACTGATTCAAATACTAGCCTCATCCAGAAACTCCTTCAAAGACACACCCATCCCAGCACTTTGGGAGACTGAGGCAGGCGGATCACAAGGTCAGGAGTTCGAGACCAGCCTGGCCAACATAGTGAAACCCTATCTCTACTAAAAATACAAAAAAATTAGCTGAGTGTGGTGCCAGGTGCCTGTAATCCCAGCTACTCAGGAGACTGAGGCAGGAGAATCACTTGAATCCGGGAGGCGGAGGTTGTAGTTAGCCAAGATTGTGCCACTGCACTCCAGCGTAGAAGACAGTGCGAGACTCCATCTCAAAAAAAAAAAAAAAAAAATGACACACCGAGAAATGTTTAACAAAATAGCTAGGCAGCCTATGCCCCAGTTAAATTGATATAAAATTAAGCATCACACCACTCAAATTTATTACCTACTACACAGAAGCCTGACTCCTCTCTGATTAGTCAGGTCTTCTAATGATCATTACAACATTACAACATTGTGCCTTTGCTTCTTTCCACTTGCCACAACCCTGGTTCCATTTTCCTCAACTATCTATAGCCCAGGCATCCTTCAAGGACTGAGGTTGCATTTCTTCCTGGAGGCCTTCCATGCAATTCTATCTTAGCTCCAAGAGTAGTCTTCCTCACAGTCAAGGACTTGATTCTCTTCTACCTTGAATTGTTTCTTTATTGAGGCATATACCTTAGAAAGATTGCAAACTTCTTGAGGATAATCAATTTAAGGTCCTTTTATATTACTTTTTCCATATCTTAGGTATCATTTAAAATGCACAATTTTGAGGTCTAACTAACTAAAATATAAAGATGTAACATTCATATAATTACTACATTATAGAATACAAGATTTGGAAGAGAAGTTAGAGATGTTGGGATCTCTTTCTCTAAAACTATACAGAATATTCTTGGAGGAACCACAGGTAAATAATAAAAGCAAAATATAGGCATTTTTATTTCCAGATTATTTTCCTTAATTCATCTATTTTCTACCCAGGTGAGTTAAGCTATATAACTCAGAAAATAAAAGTTTTGTTTTTCTTAATGCCTTGATTCTAGAGTCTGGAGTTTAGAATAAATACTAACTAATCACACATATTCCTTTGTGTAAGGACTCACTATGAGTCCTCTTAGCTCTCCAGAAGGTTATGAGAGTTTCAAAACCAACCTCAAAAACTGAAAGGTCTTCCTACTTTCAGGAATGAAGGCCATGAGGAGCCAGTAAAGGATATTAAAAAGAAGAGTAACAGTGTGTTTTAGCATGATTATCATACTTAGAGTATCTGAGGTCCATTTTGCAGATTATAGTGCTCCAGTAAGAAAAGATTGGTGCTGAAACTCAAAAATAAACGAAAGAGTGCATCAAAACAAACAGACATTGTTGCTATTATTATTATTATTATTATTATTATTATTATTATTTGAGACAAGGCCTCGCTCTATCACCCAGGTTGGGGTGCAGTGGCATGATCATGGCTCACAGCAGCCTTGACTTCCCAATCTCAAGTGATTCTCCTGCCTCAGCCTCCCGAGTAGCTGGGTTACAGGTGTGTACCACCACACTCAGCTAATTTTTTAAAAAGCTTTGTAGAGATAGGGTCTCACTATGTTGCCCAAGATGGTCTTAAACCACTGGGCTCAAAGGATCTGCCTGCCTCAGCCTCCCCAAATGCCGGAATTACAGGCATGAACATAGCACTCAACCTCAAAGATATATTATTAAAAAAGAAGCAAGAGAACTTTGTTACTAAATTCATTTGGAGGAAAAAGTAGCACTAGAAGATAAATTATATGAATGCATGATTCCAATGCTCAGACATTTTAAATCTAATCTTGAGTAACCAACACAAAGAATATTATTTATTTTTCATTCTAAATTTACTGAAAGAGTGTCTATTATACTGAACACACATTTTCTTCAAAATAATACAAATACCTGATAATCAACTGGAGAAATGTAGTATGGATTAGTTAGCAGAAAGGTAAGTTAGAATGTCTACTCAACTTTTTCTCTGAAATCTAGACATTTAAATATAATATTCAGAAGGATTTATTGTGACCTTGTGACTAAACAGGTTAAAAGACTGTCTATCTTATTTTTTTAAATATTTTTATTTCCATAGGTTATTGAGGAGCAGGTAGTGTTTGGTTACATGAGTAAGTTCTTTAGTGGTGATTTGTGAGATTTCGGTGCACCCGTCACCCAAGCAGCATACACTGCACACTATTTGTAGTGTTTTATCCCTCACCCCCTTCCCACTCTTTCCCCCTGAGTCCTCAAAGTCTGTTGTGTCATTTTTATGCCTTTTCATCCTCATAACTTAGCTCCCACTTATGAGAGAATATATGATGTTTGGTTTTCTATCTTCACTTAGAATAATAGTCTCCAATCTCATTCCGGTTGTTGTGAATGCCGTTAGTTCACTCCTTTTTATGGCTGAGTAGTATTCCATTATATACATACTATATATAACATATATATACACACCTATATATACCATATCTAACATATATAAACATATATATCTATATATACTATATATAACACACACATATCTATATATATCTATATATATCACAGTTTCTTTATCCACTCATTTATTGATGGGAATTTGGGTTGGTTGCACATTTTTGCAATTGTGAATTGTGCTGCCATAAACATGCTTGTGCAAGTATCTTTTTTGTATAATGACTTATTTTCCTCTAGGTAGATACCCAGTAGTGGGATTGCTGGAACAAATGGTAGTTCTACTTTTAGTTCTTTAAGTACTCTCTACACTGTTTTCTATAGTGGTTGTACTAGTTTACATTCCCACCAGCAGTGTAGAAGTGTTTCCTGTTCACCGCATCCACGCCAATACCTATTATTTTTAGTTTTTGTTATTATGGCCATTCTTGCAGGAGTAAGGTGATACTGCACCCAAATACTTACATAAAGTGGGGAAAAGACATCCTATTCAACAAATGGTGCTGGGATAATTAGAACGTCACATGTAGGAGAATAAAACTAGATCCTCATCTCCCACCTTATACAAAAATCAACCAAGATGGATCAAGGACTTAAATCTAAGACCTGAAACTATAAAAATTTTAGAAGACAACATCAGAAAAACCCTTCTAGACCCTTCTAGACATTGGCTTTGGCAAGGATTTCATGACCAAGAGCCCAAAAGCAAATGCAATAAAAACAAAGATAAATAGCTGGGACTTAATTAAACTAAAGAGCTTTTGCACGGCAAAAGGAGCAGTCAACATAGTAAAAAGGCAACCCTCAGAGTGGGAGAAAATCTTCACAATCTATACATCTGACCAAGGATTAGATCTACAACAAACTCAAACAAATTATGAAGAAAAAAAAATACCATCAAAAAGTGGATTAAGGACATGAATAGACAATTCTCAAAAGAAGATATACAAATGATCAAAAGACATATGAAAAAATGCTCAGCATCAGTAATGATCAGTGAAGTGCAAATCTAACCTACTTTTCACATGTTATAATTAACACTTTATTTTCATGGGGACAATTTGAGCATGATCTTAGGCAGGAAAATAACTTTACAGCAAATATGCATGTTCTTTGCAACAAAAATCACTTTAAGACATATATAATATGTTTTATGGTAGTATGTAAGAATGCCAAAATCAATTTTTTTTTTTTTTGCTCTTGTGTCCCAGACTGGACTATAGTGGAGTGATATTGACTCACTGCAACCTCTGCCTCTGGGTTCAAGCAATTCTCCTGCCTCAGCCTCCCAAGTAGCTGGGATTGCAGGCATGGGTCACCTCACCCAGATAATTTTTGTATTTTTAGTAGAGACAAGAATTCACCATGTTGGCCAGGCTGGTCTTGAACTCCTGACCTCAGGTGATCCCCCTGCCTCGGCCTCCAAAAGTGCTGGGATTACAGGCATGAGCCACTGCACTTGGCCTAAAAACAAAATTTAAAGTGCTAAAACATATAATCTTTCTCCATCTTCATTAGAAGTAAGACCTTACTTTATTAACCTATTAGTAATTAATAATAACAATATACCTTTATATTGATGATTTGTATATAAACTTCTGGCCTAAGTTTCTGTAAATGATTAAGATTTAAAGCCAATCTAAAATCAGTGTTTAGAAATGGAAGACTGGCAGAGAGCCATCTCTTAACTTTAATTTCTGCTCTAATCCTAATTATAGATAAAAAAATATACATTGATGGGCAAGACAGAAGAACTGGAAATGTTTCTGTAATAATTTTTTTTTTATTCTGGGAAGCAAAGCAAAATTTCTTTCACGTCTGTGGAAATGTGTAGAGCAGGATAATGAGTGCCTATCCTACACTAAAATAATTATATTAAAATCCTTTCTTGATAATTTGCAATTAAGAGGACAATAATATTTTAATACTTGAGAAATTTTTAAATATTAAGATAAACAGTTAAAAATGAAATGAAATGAATGGTTACATATTTTTCTCTGCATTTTTCAACTATATAGAACACTTTCTGTAAGTCTATTATTTTGATATGCCATAAAAATACATTATAAGTCAGATTGACTTATAATGAAATTTCTGGATGTGCTCTGGGATGGATCCTTATTCATTATAGCATGGCATATTGATAATTTAGCCTCACATGATACAAAGGGAAATTTAGATTCAGATTTACCAGTTGTATCCTATTTGAATAACTTTAACAACTTTATATGCCAATTTGGCAATAAATGTTTTATAGGGAATAAAATTATGTCCTAGCTAAATTTCACATAATACTAGTTGTTATTGTTATTATAACAGTTAAATTATTTTCATCATAAGAATCTCCAACTATTTTTTTAAGATATTATTGCCAATAATTGCAGATTTTATGCATATATTTAATTTAATTTAATTTAATTTAATTTTAGACAAGGTCTTGTCCTCTCGTCCAGGCTGGAGTGCGCTGGTGCAATCACAGCTCACTGCAACCTCGACCTTCTGGGCTCAAGCAATTTTCTCACCTTAGCCTCCTGAGTAGCTAGGACTACAAGTGCACACCATCGTGTCTGGCTACCTTTTTAAATTTTTTTGTAGTGATGAGGTCTTGCTATGTTGCCCAGGCTTATGCATAGTTTTAGAGAATATGTTAAGAAGCGTTCTTAAAATTTAGTGAAACTTGTATATATCTACATTTGGAGCTATACCCGTATATTTAAAACAAATACTCATAATCTATTAATAATTTTTGTTAATCTAGGGGGAACAGACAAATAAGATTATTACATTTTCAATCATGCTCAGTGTCTCTAACCATTTGTCAGAAACATTAAAATGTAACTTGGCTAGCATAAAAGCCAAATAAAGTAGAATATTAAAGTAATTCTGTTTGGAATAATTTTTAAATTGTTTTTTCACATGGCTCATTTTTACTTCATCTTGAAGGTCCAATTGAAAGTTTTACTCCTCACTGATTTACTGCAGTAATTATGTTCTTTTAAATTCAATGTTTACTTCCTTTTACTCACTGCTATAGTTTGAATTTTTTTTCTTATAGATTCTTTCCTGAACATATGCCATTTGAAGTTTATGTATTATTTTATTCATGAGTATATTTTAACTAATGAACTCTCCTTATCCTGGCAGCAAGGCAAAGCTCTAAGACTTGTTCTAGCCAATGAAATGTGATATCTGTCACTTACAGGTTGAGGAATTTAAGATCTGGTTAGGAAACTCCATGTTGTCTCTTCTCAGGTTCTAAGAGCCATGAAAATCATGAAAGCCTCATGTGAGACGATTACATCCTAGAGTGAAGGGAGCCTGGATTCCTGAGCCAATGAGTATTCAAGAACCTCCACTGACCCGCATTGGATTTTCATGAGTGAGAAATAAACTTCTGAGGTTAAAGCATTGAGATTTGAGTTTTTCCTCTTCATGAAAGCCCATATATACATGTGTACAGCCCTAGTTTCTGACTTTCTAAAGTCCTAATTTTCTATCTGCCACACCTAGTAACTGCTTACAAGATTTCAATAATAATGAACCATTTTTTAAAGCTTTTGTATAAAATCATTATTAGAATAAAATGTCATACTTATTTGTTTTATTTGTAAACTGAATACCAAGTTTATTCACACATTTATTCATTCATTCAATGAATGTTTGTTGAGTGTTATTATGTGCCAAGAACGGTCTGTCTTGGGTCCTGGTAGCACAGCAATGATTAAAAAAAGACTAAAGATAAATCTATTCCTATGAATTTTAAATTCTGCTGTGAGAGATAGACAATAAACCATGTAATGATGCCAAATATATATGCTAAGGGGAAAACATAGAGCTGAGAGAACCGATGAAACAAGATTGTTTGCTTAAATTTTAGCTTGAGTAGCCAAAGAAGACCGCATTGAAAAAGTGACTTTTGAATGAAGATCCAAATGAAGTGAGGAAACTAACCATCAGACTGTGGGAAAAACTCCAGTGAGGAAACAGAATGTGCAAACTCAGCAGCATATGTAAAGCAGGTCTAGACTATAAAAGAAACAGCAAGGAATTTGGTGACCATAGCTGTGTGAATGCGGGAAAGTGTAGGAGCTGACACATTCAGTCAGGTAATGGCTCCCAGATTATTTAGGGCCTGAAGACCATTTTAAGGACTAGCTTTTATTCTGAGATGAAAGTTCATTGGAGAGTTTTGGCAGGGGAGTGACATGATATGGATTAGGTTTTAAAAAGACTACTGTGGTGCTAAATGAGAATCTACTGAAGGATGATATCACTGAAACAGGAAGACTTGTAGAAGTCTAACTGACATAACACTGTCGAGTGATACTGGTGGTTTGAAGTAAGTTAACAGTGATGAAGTTGAGATGTGATAAAATTCTGAACATTTTTGGAATTCAGGACCATCGGATTTGTTGTCAGACTATATATGGAGTTGAGAGAAAGATTTGTCAAGAATGACAACAAGATTTTTAACTGGAAGAGTGTAGTTGCCATTAACTAAGATGGGAAAACAGTAGGAGGAACAGTTCTAGGAGACTATCATAGATGAGTTTTAAATGTGTTAAGCTTGAAGTATAATTAAACAACTAAGTAAAGATGTCAAAGTTCTTGAAATTATGAGCTTATCATTCATGGGGAGTCCAGGTAAAAGGTATAAATTTACAAGTTGTCAGTATAAATATATGTTATCAGAAGCCGTAAAGCAGATGACACTATCAGTACAATGACTGAAGAGAGGATGAGTTCAAGGACTGAGTCCCAGAACATTCCAAAATTTAGAAATCAGAGATGAAGACTTTGACGGGGAGTGGACAAAAAGGTAGGAGGAAATCCACTTGGGTGTGATGTTTTGGAAGCTATATTTAAAAACCAAATTTGAGGAGAGACTAATTAACTATGTCAATTATTGTTGGCTGATAAAACAGGGTGAAGTCTTAGGAGTGACTATAGGATTTAGTAAAATGAAGGTCATTGCTTGTGATGGTTAATAGTGTCAACATGACTGGATTAAAGGATAAAGTATTGATCCTGGGTGTGTCTGTGAGGGTGTTGCCAAAGACATTGACATTTGAGTTAGTGGGCTGGGAAAGGCAGACCCACCCTTCCTTAATCTGGGTGGGCACAATCTAATCACCTGTCAGTGTGGCTAGAATATAAGCAGGCAGAAAAATGTAAAAAGAGAGACTGGCTTAGCCTCCCAGCCTACATCTTCCTCCCGTGCTGGATGCTTCCTGCCCTCGAACATAGGACTCCAATTTCTTCAGTTTTGGAACTAGGACTGGCACTCCTAGCTCCTCAGCCTGCAGACGGCCTATTGTGGGACCTTGTGATAGTGTGGTTAATACTTAATAAACTCCCCTAAACATATTCCATTAGTTCTGCTCCTCCAGAGAACCTTGACTAATACATTGCTGAAGTTGATAATGGCTTCTTTGCAGTGGTGGTGGTAGAAATTAACTTAGTGGATTTAAGAGAGAATAGGAAGAAACAAAACAAAACAAAACAGTACTGCTATGCATAGATTCCTTCAAAGAGTTTTGTCATAAAACCAGAAGTAAGAAATGGAGAAAGGTGCTTGCTCAGAAGAGACAGAGACTAGAGCTAAATTAGGATTAGTTCTCAACTAGAGGGGAAAAAGGGATATAATCCCATTAGTCCTGATGTTCCAAAGGCAGTAATAGCAGGGCTGTGGCTGCCGAGGGGAGAGGAGAGTGGGAGTGGGAAGTAGAGTGTTTGAGTCCTGCAGAGGAGGAAGCACAGCGTCAGTTTTCTAACTCTCACTGATGGTGGTTTGTACAGGGGATGTGCTCCAAGACCAGAGTCTCCCTCTTGATTTGGTTGTTACAGGTCTAGGTACTTTAACAAACAAATTCAGCAAGGCTGATTCACTCAGTAGAGTGGAAGACCAGGATGCAGTAAATGTTATTTCTTTTTCTAAACTGTATAACCTATCAAATTTGTCTGAGCTGTCTTCCTTAGATTACATTTCTCATGTACATCTTTCTATACTCAACAGTGAAAATTCTGCTAACCAGATAATCAGAGCAAGACCAAATGAGACCAGCCGCTCTCTGGAAATGACTTTTTGATGAGGTATAAAAGTAGAAAAGCAGAAGTAATTTTCAAACACAAGACACCTGGGGAGGTACTAGGTGATATCACCTTTACTATATGTCTTTCACTTTTAAATTAATATTTTTACTTTCTTCTTTCTTCTAGTCTGCAACAATCTTATTTTCTCTGCTCTAGTTTAATTTCTATTCCAGTGCTCTACTAATTATTTATTTTCCTCTGTAATAATTCTGACATTCATCTAATTCTAAAGATATATACCTCCACTTAAAATAATTCAATACCAAGTACTGCTTATTTTTACTTTATTTTATTTCAGTTTTCTTTTACATATAGTACAATTTATTCTTTTTAAGGTACAATTGTATGTGTTTTGACCATTACATAGAAACTTGCAAACACCACCACAATCAATATATAGAATAGTTTCATTATGTCTAAAGATTACCTCATGCTTCCCTTTATATCAAACCTCTTCCCCCACCTCTAGCCCCTGGCAACCGCAGATCTGTTCTATGTCCCTATAGCTTTGACTTTTCTAGAATGGAAATCGAATCAGAATGTCATTGGTCTTTATTCATGACAGAAATTACATTCCCCCAATTATTGAGGGCAGATATTTGAGAATCATCTGAAATAATTCATTCTTCAGACTCCACATCTAATCAGTTTATGTCCTCCTTAATATTTTTGGAATACCTTCTTCTCTTTCAATGAGCTAGAAGAAGTCAGAAAAGGAAGTTATGTGAATTTCATGTTTAATCAGAATGGTTTTGATAGTAACTTATCTTCAGTTTTAATTGAGATTTCTTCCTAGAAGGTAGACTTTATTAATCTGTTTTTAGGTTTATGTTGATGTTATGAGAAAAGAGTTGAGATGGTCCAGGACAGATAATTTTAAATGTATGCTGTAGCTTTCATTGGGCAAAGTGCACAAAACAAATAATTTGATGAAGTAAAAATATTTTCTTGGGATGAATAGAGATCTTGACCAAATTCAGAAAAACAGAAATCATACCAATCACACTTTCGAAGCACAGCACAATAAAAATAGAAATCAAGATCTCAAAAAAAGTATAGTTACATGGGAATTAAACAATCTGCTACTGAATGACTTTTGGTTTAACAAATTAAGACAAATATCAAGAAATTCTTTGAAACTAATGAAAACAAAGATACAAAATACAAGACTCTCTGGGACACAGGTAAAGGAATGTTAAGAGGAAAGTTTGTAGTGCTAAACACCCACATCAAAAAGTTAGAAAGATCTCAAATTAACAACCTAACATCATTCTTAGGGGAACTAGAAAAACAAGAGTATGTCAACCTCAAAGCTAGCAGAAAAAGACATAACCAAAATCAGAGCTGAACTGAACAAAATTGAGATGTGAGTAGCCATACAAAAGATCAACAGAATCGAAAGTTTGTTCTATGAAAGAATGAAGATGATTGACAGAGCACTATCTAAATTAATACAGAAAAAAAAGAGAGAAGATTGAAGTAAACACAATGAGAAATGACAAAGTGGACATTGCCATTGACCCTGCAGAAATACAAACAACCCTCAGAGACTATTATGAACATCCCTATGCACATAAACTAAAAAACCCAGAAGAAATGGACAAATTTCTGGAAATAGACAACCTCTAAAGATCGAACAAGGAAGAAATTGAAACCTTGAATATACCAAATGACAAGTAGTAATTAAATTAGTTATTAAAAAACCTCCCAACCACAAAAGGCCAGGACCAGATGGATTCACAGCCCGGTTTTACCAAGTGTACAAAGAACTGCTGGTAGCAATCCTTCCGGAACTATTTTAGAAAATTAAGGAGGAGGAACTCCTCCCTAACTCATTCTATGAGGCCAGCATCATTCTGATACCAAAACCTGGCAAAGATACACACACAAAAAAAAAAAAAAAAGAAAAAAGAGGACTTTAGGCCAATATCCCCGATGAACTTAAATGCAAAAATCCTTAACAAAGTGCTAGCAAACTTAATCTAGCAGCACATCAAAAAGCTATCCACAATGATCAAGTAGGGTTTATTCTTGGGATGGTAGTTTAGTTTAATCTGCACAAATCAATAAATGTGATTCATCACACAAACAGAAATAAAGACAAAAACCATATGATCATCTCAATACATGCAGAAAAGGCTTTCAATAAAATTCAACATTCCTTAATGTTAAAAACCCTCAACAAATTAAATATCATAGGAACATATCTCAAAATGGTAATAGCCACATCTATGACAAACCCACATCTATGACAAACCCACAGCCAACACTGTATTGAATGGGCAAAAGCTGGAAACATTTCCCTTCAGAAATGGACCATGACAAGGATGTCTGCCCTTACCATCCCTTTTCAAAGTAGTACTGGAAGCCCCAGCCAGAGCAACCAGGCAAGAAAAAGAAATCTCAGGCACCCAAATTGAAAGAGAATGTCAAACGATCTCACTTCACAGATAATATGATTCTGTACCTGGAAAACCCCATAGTCTCTGACCAATGTCTCCTGGATCTGATAAACAACTTCAGCAAAATTTTAGGATACAAAATCAGTGTAAAAAAATCAGCAGCATTCTTATACACCAATAATGTTGAAGCTGAGAGCCAAATCAAGAGTACAGTTTCATGAACAATAGCCATGAAAAGAATGAAATACCTAGGAGTATAACTAATCAGGAAGGTGATGGATCTCTACAAAGAGAATTACAAAACACTGTAGAAAGAAATCAGAGATGACACAAACAAATGGAAAAACCTTCCATGCTCATGGATACAAAGAATAACTATTGTTAAAATGGCCATACTGCCCAAAGCAATCTACATATTTAATGCTATTCCTATCAAGCTACCAACACAATTTCTCAGGGAACTAGAAAAAGCTACTCTAAAATTCATATGAAACCAAAAAAGAGCTAGAATAACCAGAGCAATCCTAAACAAAAAGAACAAAACTGGAAGTATCACACTACCCAACTTCAAAGTATATTCTAAGACTACAGTAACCAAAACAGCATGGCACTGTTACAAAAATAGACACCAAGGCCAATGGAACAGGTTAGAGAACCAAGAAATAAATCTGTGTACCTGCAACTATCTGATCTCCAACAAAGTCAACAATAACAAGCAATGCGCAAATAACTCCCTGGTCAATAAATTGTTGCTGGTATAACTGGCTAGCCATAGGCAGAAGACAGAAATTGGACCCCTACCTTTCACCATATACAAAAAGATGGTGATTAAAGACTTAAATGTAGAATGTGAAACTTTAAAAACTCTGGAAGAAAATCTAGGAAATGCCATTATGGACATAGCCCCTGGCAAACATTTCGTGACAAAGACCACAAAAGCAATTGTAAACAAAACAGAAGCAAAGATTGACAAGTGGGACTTAAACTAAAGACCTTCTGCACAGCAAAAGTATCTATCAACAGAGTAAACACCTAGAGAATGGGAGAAAATATTTACAAACTAGACATCAGACAAAAGTCTAATATCAAAATTTATATGGAATTTATACAAATTAACAGACAAAACCCAAACAACCCCATTAAAAAATGGGCAAAAGATGTGAACAGATACTTTTCAAAAGAAGACATACACGTGGCCAAAAGCATATAAAAAATTCTCAATATCACTAATCATTAGAGAAATGCAAATCAAAACCACAGTATGATACCATCTCACACCAGTCAGAATGGCTGTTTTTAAAGAGTCAAAAAGTAACAGATGCTGGTGAGGTTGTGGAAAAAAGGGAATGCTTACATAATGCTGGTGGGAATGTAAATTAGTTCAGCTGCTGTGGAAATCAGTTTGGAAATTTCTCAAAGAACTTAAACAGAACTACCATTAGACACAAGAATCCCATTACTGAATATATAACCAAAGGAAAATAAATCATTCTACCATAAAGCCACATAGACCCATATGTTTTGTAGCACTATTCACAATAGCAAAAACATGGAATCAATCTAGGTGCCCATCAATGGTGGACTGGATAAAGAAAATGTGGTGCATATATACCATGAAACACTACACCACCATTAAAAAAGAATAAAATCATATCTTTTGCAGCTAGAGGCCATTATCCTAAGCAAGTTAACACAGGAACAGAAAACCAAATACTGCATGTTCTCACTTATAAGTGGGAGCTAAACATGGAACACATATGGACCCTAAGAAGGTAACAACAGACAACTGGGCCTACATGAGGGTGAAGGGTAGGAGGAGGGTGGGTATTGAAAAACTATCTATATGGTACTATGTTCATTACCTGGTTGGTGATATAATCTGTACACCAAACTCCTGTAACATGCAATTTACATGGGTAACAAACTTGCACATGTACCTTAAATACATGTGCTTAAAATAAAGGTTGAAAAAAACGAAACAAAAGAAAACAAACAAAACAAGTCATGTGACCCGGAGGATCTCTCATTCTAAGTCTATTTGCAGGAAATGTCAAAATTTTCAGATTTTTTTTTTTAAAGAACAGAGTATTGGTAAAATTGGAAGTGAAAATAAATTTTAGTAATTGAGTCCATTAAAATTTAAAATCAAAAGATTACTTTTTTCTGCTTCCTCACCATTTATTTAATGCTGTGCTATAACTAGACTATTCAGCATTTTCTTTATGACATGCTATTTTATATTTTTCCTCTTGATTCTCCTTCTGAGGAAAAAAATTGAGTTAGTTCAGGTAGCTATCTTTAACAATATTTAAAGTACATTTTATCTTTAAGCTTTATATATGTAAATATACATATTAAGATTAATTGAATCTGAATTCTGTACTGAGAATTGCTTAGAATTTGCTATAATATTTATATATGATGGATGATACTGTATAAATTCCTTACTAAGGTACTGATGATAACCCTTAACAATGTGGCTAAACTGTGCTACAGCCCAGATTGCTTTATTCCACACACGTTTCGGAAAATGTTATGTAGTGTGAATTTTACTGTGAGTAAAATAATGCCTCTTAATCTTAATTTTGAGCTTTTTTCTTTAATATAATGAATATGTGAAGACCTTAATCCTGAAGAGAATGGAAATTTATCAGGTAAAAGGAACTTAATAGATAAAACAAAAACAAACAAAGAAATACAGGAACAACACATATAAGCATATACCGAATGTTGTTATATATGATTGATTAAGTTCTCACATTTCTCATCAAATTATAGTAAATATTGGGACTATGTTGGCAAGTAAATTGCTACACTTACGGGATAAAGTCTTTTTATTGTATGGTGGATTCAAAAGGAATGAAGATGATTCGTGTTGCAGCAACTAATAAAGAAGTTGTCAGGTGTAATGGCTTAGGGGTAAGGACAGTTGGGTAGGTCTTGAAGGTATGTGTCCTTTAGAATGTCCACAAATCCATAATATTCAAAGACCTATCCATGCTACCAATTTTCTTTGACTCAGGGCCTTATTTTTGTTGATGAGCAAATGCAAAGACTGTCTCTTTGCTTTAAGCTTTTCCTATTGGAATGCTCCGTTCTATTTTAGACTTGACCACAGTGAACTCTAAGAGTTAAGCTGCCTATCTCAACCCGTACTTATTCCTGATTGTTATCAGAGAGTATTTATCAGTCACCAACATTAATATGATTTGGGTATCTTTAGAATACAGTCTTGCACCACACAACAATATTTTGATCAACAATGGACAGTATATATGATGGTGCTCCCATAAGATTATAAGACAGTTGAAAAATTCATATCATTTGGTGACATCATAGCCATTGTAACATCATAGGGCAATTAGTTAAAAAATAAATTTAATGTACCCTAAGTGTACAGGGTTTATAAAGTCTACAGTAAGGTATAGTAATGTCCTAGGCCTCTACATTCGCTCACCACTCACTCACTGACTCACCCAAAGCAACTTTCAGTCCTGCAAACTTCATTCATGGTAAATGCCCTTTACAGATGCACCATATTTTATCTCCGGTACCATATTTTTACTGTACCTTTTCTCTGTGTAGATATGTTTAGATACAAAAATGCTTACTGCTATGTTGCAATTGTCTGCAGCATTCAGTACCATAACATGCTATATAGATTTGTAACCTATGAGTAATAGGCTATGACATCTAGGTTTGTGTAAGTGTATTCTGTGTGTGCAATGACAAAATCACCTAACAATGCATTTCTGAGAATGTGTCTGAAGTGACACATGACTGTGTTGTCTGCTCTGACCACATGCCTCCGTTCCATCATATATGGATTTCTATTCTCAGATATGAAAGTAGTTTATTTATTAACTAAGTAAAACATATTGTCTCACATGTCTTTCTTTTTTTAGTATATGTTAATTCAAAAATTGAATTAATTAACTTTTGGAATGAGATTTACTCGGAGTAATGCAAAAATTTATGGTAGAATAATTTCTTTACTACATTGTCAAATATACATTTTCTATCAACCATTCTATATTCTCAAATATAGTAAACCAGAAAAAAATTATTCCTGGTGAATTAAGGACCTTCATTACTATTTTCGTGGTTCAAATTTTGGTTCTGCTACCAGCTTGTTTTTGAAGTGTCAATTATTGATGTTCCCAGTTCTGATTTTATTCATTTTTAGATGGTAGGGTTGAATTAGCTTGGTTGATTTCACAATTTATGATAACAGTTTTCTTTCTGCAAATAAAAAATGCACACTGAAGTCAAACGTATAAAGTAAATCAGATCTTCTCTGACTAAAGTGTTGAGAAGGGGATGAGAAACTCAAAACCCCTGAAAGGAGCCCCTAAAAAAGTCCATTTTGAAAATCACTGTTCTGCATGATCTGGAGCATTACTTGAACTTCTAACTTCACATGAGTCCAAGTTGTATGGAGAGTATGTGAGGATTTAATTCAGACAATGTGCATCAAAATCTGTTACAAGGAGATAGGAATAATAGAAAAACAAAATGATTAAAGAGAGTTTTAAATTTAGATTTTTATTTTAGGTGAATGTTAGATTTGAGTCACCATTTACTTAGGGATCAAAACCAAGCAACTCATTGTAGCCTCAGCTGCTGGAGTCTTTGAGCCTGTAACTATAGATAGCCTAGGTGTTAGGGGAAAAGATAATCAGAGAGAAGAGTGAGGGGTTGGATAGCAGGATAAAGTTGTGAGTACTGACTGCCTGCCCTCATCCAACTCTGTCCTTCTCATGCCAGCTAGTATGAACAGCAGTTTCTCCTTTAATTTAACCATTTACTTTCCTATCAAGTATTAAACTTACTTATTTCAGTTCTGTTCATCACTCATCGAGGGCCTACTTTGTGGCAATCACTCTAGTAGGTGCTAGAGGTACAATGATAAATTCCAGATATACTTAAATCTTTCAAACAGGTGATTTCAAGGGCAGTTTAGAGAAATTGCAGTTGATGGAGCAAAGAAGAATTAAAAATTAGTACATGACTTTTTTTTTCTTAAAATATTGGTTTAGGAAAAGGTGAAAAAAGATCTGAGAAAAAAATGATAGGTAAGTATGTTTGTTTTCAAGTAGTGCAACTGAGTTATACTGTTTTCTAATCTCTGAGACCTTAATTTTTGTATTTGTTTTATAGAGAATTGAGTTTCCTCGCTCACATCTATTATATTAGGAAATAAATGAGAGATGAATGGGCCAGATAGGAAATAAAGAGGAGGTAGCAAGTGTGTATATTAAAGGTTAATGGGAAAGCAGATAGAAGATTAAGTTGGAATTGAGAGGAAGTGTTAGTGGAGGACTGAGAGAGAAATTGAATGGGACTAACATATGTTAAGAAAAAAAGAAAGGAGAGTCACAGAGAGCAACCGGAACAGAAAAGAAACATAAGTACATATTTAATAAATTTTCCAAGAAGACATCTTTAGCTAATTTTTGTTTCTATTTCATTTTAAGTGCTACTGAAATTTTAGGTTTCAAATTTTCAATTCAGATACAATGTTACTGCAACCATTGAGGAGGTATAATTTTGAGGAGGGCTGAAAAACAAAATAGCTCCAGGTAATGGTGCTATTTCACTGTAGAATGCAGCATGCATATAACTGATGAAATAGTATTTAAATACATATAAGACAATATATTAATAATTTATATAATATTTATATAATATAAATTATATTTAAATATTACTCAATGAAAAGCCTGTAATAAAACCTTTTCTGTGCCTTTGCTGATACCATGTGCCAACAATGTACCGTTGATCTCAAAAGACAAAATTCAGTGCTGTAAAGGATTTGGTAATATAAAAGCTTATTTCTAGTTCCAGTTTATGCAATAGCTGTAGTTAAAGACTAGGTACCTCTACACTCTTAAAATATAAAATTGAGACTGTTCTAAATTTTAAATAATGAAGCATAAACTAGATCTTCTACACTTGGAAATGTGTAAAAGTGGACTCCCTCTTAATTTCAGCCAGTAATTCACATGAAGAAAATGTAGCTGACTTGATTGTATTACACCTTTCAAGGTATGAGGTAATTTTGATGGATGAATATGACAGTTGACTGGCAAGTTGGTCTGTATCAGTGCATCTGCAGCACAACACAGGGAACAAAATGCTGTGAGTGAAGGAGCCAGTGATTTGGTACTCCTGGCAGTCATTTTTCTGTAGCGGAGTCCATAGCATCCTGCCTTTGGACTGCATAATGTGATCCACTAACATACAGTTCTCTTGCCTAATTTCAAATTCATTGTACAGAAATTTTGGTTCAAACATTGAGTCCGGCTCTCAAAGCTGTAATCTTGGGCAAGTTACTCAACGCCCTTTTGCCTCAGTGTCCATATCTGTAAAATTAGGATAATAATTATAAAAATGTCATAGAGCTGTTATGAATATTACATAAATGAATACATATAAAGTACTCAGAACAGTGCCTGACACATAGTAAGTGCCAAATAAGAGTTAGCTAGACTATAAACTTCATAAAATGTTTTTTTCTCTCATCTAGTTTACTGCTTTGTCTCAAACACCTACTACATAATAGGTGCTTAATAATATCTGTTGACTGAATGAACAAGTTTAATGTCTTAGCCTTTAAAAATGAGATCATGAAATGCAGAAAATACTATTCTGGCTGGTAACATTTCTATACATTATTAGAAATTAATAACATTTATTAATTTTGTATGAAATTCTGTCATACCTGTTAGTAAATCAGGACTTATTGTTTCTTGCAAAATTGATAAAACGGAATTTCTGAACCTGTATAAATTAAGAGTTGGCTGGTTGGAGGCAGTTAGTATAATGACTAAGGGAACTCGGAATCTCAGATTCACCATTTACCCATCTGTGTGATTTTGGCCATTAGTTACTCTCTCATATGTTATCTCTCATACCTAATCTCTCAATAGTAGTCATACTTATTATCTTGGAGGGTTCTTTTTGAAAATAAAATGAGATAATTTATGTCTAGTGCTTGGAAGGGTGTGTAGTACATAGTAATCCCTAAAAAATTGGTTTACAAACATAGTATTAATTCATTTATTAATGCAGCCAACAAATTTTTGTTGAAATACTTTTCATATCAGATATACAAAAACAAGTAAGATTGGGTTCCTATTTTCAGGAACTTCCACTGTAGTAATGTAGGAAAACAAGTAAAAAGGCAATTACAAAATAGTGAAAGTAGTCTTATAGAGAGATAACAGGGAATTTTAGGAGCACACAGATATGGAACTTGAATCAATGCTGAATAGGCAGAGAAGGTCAAGAAAGGATTCCTAAAACAAGACCTGTCTGAGCTGAGTTTTGAAGTAAGAGTAGGTTTAGATGCAGATGGAGAAAGCTATAGCAGCTCACAGCATGGAGAAGAGAGAATGCATGAATAGTCCTTTAGCAATTTGAACAGTACTCAGTATAGCAGGGAGAATAAACGTATGCTGCTTACATTTTCTATTAAGAATAATGGGCTGGGCTCAGTTACTCACGCTTGTAAGCTCAGCACTTTGGGAGGCCGAGGCGGGTGGATCACCTGAGGTCAGGAGTTCAAGACCAGCCTGGCCAATATGGTGAAATCTTGTCTCTACTAAAAATACAAAAAATTAGCCAGGCATGGTGGCAGAATCCTGTAATCCCAGCTACTCGGGAGGCTAAGGCACGAGAATCGCTCCAACCCAGGAGGAGGAGGTTGCAGTGAGCCAAGATTGCACCATTGCACTCCAGCCTGAGCAACAGAGTGAGGGTCTGTCTCAAAAAAAAAAAAAAAAAAAGAATAATGAAAACAATAATAATGGCATAGCTCTTTAGAGGTTATAGGGTTATCTTTATATATTTTTTTTAATTCTCACCCCAAACTATAAAATAAAAGCTGGTATTATTTTCTGTATTTTGTATTTGAGGACACAATATCTGATTTTTTTTGCTTTGCTATTAATTTTTTATTCCTTTTAGTTTCTCGAGTAAAGGACTGAAGATCTGTTAATAATTTTTTGGCATGTGCTTAGAATTGTTTTCCTGGTGGTAAGGATGAGTTTGCACCAGACCACTTTTTTTTTTAATTTTAATTTTATTTTTTTATTATTATTATACTTTAAGTTTTAGGATACATGTTCACAATGTGCAGGTTAGTTACATATGTATACATGTGCCATGCTGGTGTGCTGCACCCATTAACTCGTCATTTAGCATTAGGTATATCTCCTAATGCTATCCCTCCCCCCTCCCCCCATGCCACAACAGTCCCCAGAGTGTGATGTTCCCCTTCCTGTGTCCATGTGTTCTCATTGTTCAATTCCCACCTATGAGTGAGAATATGTGGTGTTTGGTTTTTTGTCCTCGCGATAGTTTACTGAGAATGATGATTTCCAATTTCATCCATGTCCCTACAAAGGACATGAACTCATCATTTTTTATGGCTGCATAGTATTCCATGGTGTATATGTGCCACATTTTCTTAATCCAGTCTATCATTGTTGGACATTTGGGTTGGTTCCAAGTCTTTGCTATTGTGAATAGTGCTGCAATAAACATATGTGTGCATGTGTCTTTATAGCAGCATGATTTATAGTCCTTTGGGTATATACCCAGTAATGGGATGGCTGGGTCAAATGGTATTTCTAATTCTAGATCCCTGAGGAATCGCCACACTGACTTCCACAGTGGTTGAACTAGTTTACAGTCCCACCAACAGTGTAAAAGTGTTCCTATTTCTCCACATCCTCTCCAGCACCTGTTGTTTCCTGGCTTTTTAATGATTGCCATTCTAACTGGTGTGAGATGATATCTCATTGTGGTTTTGATTTGCATTTCCCTGATGGCCAGTGATGATGAGCATTTTTTCATGTGTCTTATGGCTGAATAAATGTCTTCTTTTGAGAAGTGTCTGTTCATATCCTTTGCCCACTTTTTGATGGGGTTGTTAGTTTTTTTCTTGTAAATTTGTTTGAGTTCTTTGTAGATTCTGGATATTAGCCCTTTGTCAGATGAGTAGGTTGCAAAAATTTTCTCCCATTTTGTAGGTTGCCTGTTCACTCTGATGGTAGTTTCTTTTGCTGTGCAGAAGCTCTTTAGTTGAATTAGATCCCATTTGTCAATTTTGGCTTTTGTTGCCATTGCTTTTAGTGTTTTAGACATGAAGTCCTTGCCCATGCCTATGTCCTGAATGGTAATACCTAGGTTTTCTTCTAGGGTTTCTATGGTTTTAGGTCTAACATTTAAGTCTTTAATCCATCTTGAATTAATTTTTGTATAAGGTGTAAGGAAGGGATCCAGTTTCAGCTTTCTACATATGGCTAGCCAGTTTTCCCAGCACCATTTATTAAAAAGGGAATCCTTTCCCCATTGCTTGTTTTTCTCAGGTTTGTCAAAGATCAGAGAGTTGTAGATATACGGCGTTATTTCTAAGGGCTCTGTTCTGTTCCATTGATCTATATCTCTGTTTTGGTACCAGTACCATGCTGTTTTGGTTACTGTAGCCTTGTAGTATAGTTTGAAGTCAGGTAGCATAATGCCTCCAGCTTTGTTCTTTTGGCTTAGGATTGACTTGTCGATGCGGGCTCTTTTTTGGTTCCATATGAACTTTAAAGTAGTTTTTTCCAATTCTGTGAAGAAAGTCATTGGTAGCTTGATGGGGATGGCACTGAATCTATAAATTACCTTGGGCAGTATGGCCATTTTCACGATATTGATTCTTCCTACCCATGAGCATGGAATGTTCTTCCATTTGTTTGTATCCTCTTTTATTTCATTGAGCAGTTGTTTGTAGTTCTCCTTGAAGAGGTCCTTCACGTCCCTTGTAAGTTGGATTCCTACATATTTTATTCTCTTTGAAGCAATTGTGAATGGGAGTTCACACATGATTTGGCTCTCCGTTTGTCTGTTATTGGTGTATAAGAATGCTTGTGATTTTTGTACATTGATTTTTTATCCTGAGACTTTGCTGAAATTGCTTATCAGGTTAAGGAGATTTTGGGCTGAGACAATGGGGTTTTCTAGATATACAATCATGTCATCTGCAAACAGGGACAATTTGACTTCCTCTTTTCCTAATTGAATACCCTTCATTTCCTTCTCCTGCCTAATTGCCCTGGCCAGAACTTCCAACACTATGTTGAATAGGAGTGGTGAGAGAGGGCATCCCTGTCTTGTGCCAGTTTTCAAAGGGAATGCTTCCAGTTTTTGCCCATTCAGTATGATATTGGCTGTGGGTTTGTCATAGATAGCTCTTATTATTTTGAGATACGTCCCATCAATACCTAATTTATTGAGAGTTTTTAACATGATGCGTTGTTGAATTTTGTCAAAGGGCTTTTCTGCATCTATTGAGATAATCATGTGGTTTCTGTCTTTGGTTCTGT
The DNA here is from genome assembly GCF_000001405.40 of Homo sapiens. Classification (NCBI taxonomy): domain Eukaryota; kingdom Metazoa; phylum Chordata; class Mammalia; order Primates; family Hominidae; genus Homo; species Homo sapiens. The sequence continues at coordinate 77,203,983 of NC_000008.11, forward strand.
TTATATGCTGGATTACATGTATTGATTTGCATATATTGAACCAGCCTTGCATCCCAGGGATGAAGCAAAAAAGAGAGAAGAATCAAATAGATGCAATAAAAAAATGATAAAGGAGATATCACCACCGATCCCACAGAAATACAAACTACCATCAGAGAGTACTACAAACACCTTTATGCAGATAAACTAGAAAATCTAGAAGAAATGGATAAATTCCTCGACACATACACTCTCCCAAGACTAGACCAGGAAGAAGTTGAATCTCTGAACAGACCAATAACAGGATCTGAAATTGTGGCAATAATCAATAGCTGACCAACCAAAAAGGGTCCAGGACCAGATGGATTCACAGCCGAATTCTACCAGAGGTACAAGGAGGAACTGGTACCATTCCTTCTGAAACTATTCCAATCAATAGAAAAAGAGGGAATCCTCCCTAACTCATTTTATGAGACCAGCATCATCCTGATACCAAAGCCAGGCAGAGACACAACCAAAAAAGAGAATTTTAGACCAATATCCTTGATGAACATTGATGCAAAAATCCTCAATAAAATACTGGCAAACCGAATCCAGCAGCACACAATATCTGATTTTAAAGACAGTCTTGTGGTCATATACCCATTGTTGGAAGAGAAAATTGAGTTTTGGTTCTTCTTGTGTTTAGCATCTGGTAAAGTCTGACCCAGGGCAGAAACAGAAAGTTAGGTGACTTTCACCTGATTTTGCTTCTCCGGGTAATGGTGCTTAGCAAATTATTATTTTGTATGTATTATTTTGGCATTAACTACAAGACTTGCTTTATCATTTTCAGCTATATTTAAAATGGTTCTGTTAATGAGTGCCACTTTAAAAATTCTGTCTGATATAGGGTTAAACATATTGTGTCTGGTACATACTATTCAATATGAGTTTGTTGAGTGAAAGAGTGATTGAATGACTTCATAGCTATTTGAATACTTGTTAGTAGGGTTATTCCAGATAAGTTTTTGCAGATACAATATAAATGTTTTCTTAATTACATTCACATAAAAATGACTTGACTGACAACATATTTTGAAATTTCAGTATTTTATTAATTTTGCATCATCACGAGACATTTTTATTAATTAAATTTTTTCACTTGGCCAAGGAATATTTACCATAGACCTACTATGTACTGGGCATTTTGCCAGTTACAACATATGTCATCTGAACTAATTATCGCAAAAACCCCATAGGAATATTCTACTATTTTCTGCTCTTTTTTTTCAGAAAAGGAAACTCTCAGAGAAAAATAAAAAGGTCACCAGAGCTAACAAATGGGAGAACTGGGATGTTAAGCCAAGATCTGTCTGCCTCCGGACCCCAGGTGCAATTCAGTTTTTGTATATCATAACAATTCATTAAATTTGCATCTGTTGATTTTGTAAGGTTTTGCCTAAGTTATACTCATTTTCCGTGTGAAATATGCTAACTAGACTGAAATAGTCCATTTCCTAAAATATGGCATTCAGCATGAACTTCTTTTTGTTTTAGTATATTCTGTTCTCTTCAGTTTTTTGCTATTTTATAACTGTTCATGTGTTTTCTTAGATGTCTGTATAAAATGTTCTTCTGTAGTATCATTCATCAGAATCCATTTCAAAAAACTTAATATTTCAGTTTTTGATTGCTTACATTTATAAATACTAATCATTTGCATTTCTTTAGTTAGAGATTAAAATAATGAATAAGATTTGCTTTTCTTTAATAAGGTCATCTTTTCCCCTATTAAATACAAAATTTTTAACCCAAAATAATGACTTATTCCATGGTTATATTGCTATCAATGAACATCATTTTATTTTTGGTGTTAGTCTGAATGAAAAAAGTCAAACAGTATATAAGCATGTGTCTTAGCATTTGAGGGTGGCAATGATTCTTAAATAGGTTGAAAATGTCATCTGTGTTTTTTGTTTAGCAGGACTAAGACATAAACTTCCTTTATGTCAAGGCAAAAGCTTTGGAATAAGGGTTAAAACTCAAGCATTACTTTCTATTTAACAACACTGGCTTAGGTTTCTGTTCTGTTTATAGAGTGTCACTTTTTATTTATATATCAATCAAATGGAGAACATCTATAATTATAATTGTTGTTCTTTTCGTATAACTCATGAAGATACAAGAGTTTGCTTATTTTTCACTTCTTCTCCAATTATGATATTCAGAGAAGTACATTATGGCTTTGGGTATCTTCTAAATACCTGAAAGTCATTTAGAAGACTTCTGTGCCTACTTTCATTGTATATACATCCCTGTTTATGATTGGAAGATGAGTAGAACTCTGATTATCTTCTATCCAGGCTGAACAAGTATGAGGCTTTGTTTAATACTCTTGATGCTTTAATGGCCCATTTTAGATCTTGAACACTGAGGGGAAATATGTGCCTTTCTGTAAAGCCTGTGATTCTTATACTGCACATAGCATAGAGAGCAAAAAGCATGGAAGATCTCTTGTCTCACAGGAGAAATGGGTGGCTATATAATGCCAGTTGCATATATTACTGAACTGTTACAGAGAAGAGGAAATTACCCAGTCAGAATAGATATGTCTCTGTAGCCTTGTATCCGCATTCTAATAGCCACAGAGTTTATCTTAGTCTGAATGTAGCTCTAAGTTATTAATTGTTTTAATGATTTCATTGATTTCTGTTAATCTGGGTAATGTGTCTTACTAAACGCGGTAGTTTATTTTGCTTTTCAATTAACCTTTTACTTTTGTTATATCATTTTTTATTAAAAACAAAGGTTTTATCTACATTTTAATGATATGCCTATCTTAGTGCATTATGAATTATATTTGGCTATCTGTACAGCAGTTTTCATGAATACTTCAGGGTAATGGCATCCATAATGGCTTAGTATTTTTATTACAAGTTATCATTGATACAAAGGATTTAAAAAATATATTTGAATAAATGCTTGAATTATTTATGTAAAACCAACAACTTTTCAAAGATTTTGAAGAACGTAACTGTTTTAAAAAATGTGTTAACCTATGCTTTAATTCCTGAAGTTTAGTAATAGTGCTATTGTTTTGACTTAATTACAAGTTGTTTTAATTTTTTAAATTAATAGATGCAAAAACATGTTGAAATGCTTTGAAAAGTTAAAAGTGATTGGAGTAGCATATTCCAAAAGAAAAGATGCAGTATGTACACCCTTATATTTCAGTAGCTTACTTATATAGACTACTTAATATTAAAATACATTCTCCCTAAGTAAGGTCTTAACTTACTTTGAAAGATATAAAATTATCTGTGTGTTCACACACACAAAGAAATATTAGCGAAATGGTCCTATAGAATGCTGAAATAGGTTCTCTTCTTTTCATTTCTGGAGCATCACATTCACATATAACTTTTATACCAATTAAAAACTGTTAATGGCAAAACATTGTAATTGATTAGTCTTTGTATGTTTACAGCTTACTTTAATTGCTGAAAAACGCTGTTTGTCAGCTTCATGTTCTATTGACAATGCTATTGATTTATCTGAATTTGGCTTTGTCTTGTCTCTCGTACATAAAACTCACATATGCAGTTCAAATGGGAAATGACTGTATTGATTTCCTTAACTTGAGCCCAAATGCTAAAGATTTTTGGATAAGCTTTCTCATTACTTAAGCCAAAATCAATAAGAAAGAGCATCTTTTAATGAAAGAGCAGTTTGAGCAATGTACTTCAGAAATAGGGTCCTGTTCATTCTTTGCTTTACAAATCGATCTCCTAGGTTCCTTAAGTTAGGTCCAATTGGTTGACATTGTGGTTTGTCTTTGTGTGTAAACTTGCAGCTTCAGAAAAGAGATGAGCTTCAGAGACATTGGAAAAGAACTCTGCTTGAGAAAGAAGATCGTCCACCAGCAGGTATAAAATCTAATGTTGAAATGCAACACAGCTAACAAATATACCAATAAATTCTTACATCTCTCAAGTTCATGCTTATATAAATTTTATGACTGCACAATATTTTATAATTCCTTAACTGGCTTATCTTTTTAATAACTCTATATCATATATATGCATATGATGTACATTTACACAAATATTAATTCAATATTCACTTTTATTTTAAGAAAACTTCTATTTATTTTTACACTTTATGTTTACTTTATGTAATGCACAATAATTTGCTGAAATATCAGGTTGTTTTTCAAATAAATTGTTTAAGTGTTCTTTTGCCTTCATTTTTTAAGTGTCAAATTTCCTATCATCTGTAGGAAGACAAGCATAGACAGTGGGCTACAGAAAAAAGTGTCTGTTCTGAGGAACAATAGAATGAACTGAATGGATAAAACAAGTTTTATGGACAACTCAGACGTCAGGTACTGTACTATTATATCATTAACTTCTGTGAACTACATAAATTAAGCTGATTATGCCTTCACTTAATTAACTGACAATGACCTATTGATGTATAGGCTGAGTTAGCTAGAGACTGCTTGCTGCACTGTACTTAATTTATTGGTTTTCAATTAGTTCTTCTCTTGCCTGTGATTGTTGTGGGAAAAAAAAAAGTCCATTTACATCTATGTCTTATAGTGTGTTTTTATGCATAGGGGGTTTATATTTAAAACTTTATTCCAAGCAGTTGTTTTCTTTGCCAAAAATGCTTCATATTTTGTGAGCAACTTTTTCTTATTGTTACATGTAATTTGGCTTCTGGGTGAAATAAATATTCAGATTAATTCTTCTTGTTAGTGTTGTGATACTATTAAATGATCATTGCAAATGATCTCATAAATTCATTTCAAGAAATATCTTGCTTTAACTAAAATTTGGAAGATAATTTTTACTTAAATTATTGTTAGAGTTTTTTTTTGTGAAGCAGTCTCTGCGAAGAAAGTTCTTAGGTAAATGTTTAGGTTTTTGAAATTTTTCTCTAGCAACTTACTCTTATTTTTTTTACATAGAAAGATTATAGTATTAATTATCACTCAATGTTTTGTGGTAAGATTAATGTATGTGAGAATACCTTCGGAGAAGATTTATCCTTTAAATTTTGAACCTTTTAATACTGATTTTGTGAGGGCTATTAGACTTACTATGTTGTCCTCTACTACGCTACGCGGCTTTTGTAAACCACAAATCCAAAGATGTTTATCAGACCTTTCTTATGTTTTCAGTGTCTTCACATTATGATACTTCATCAGACATTGGTAGTCTGATTTCAGGTATTATAATTATTTTGAACTGTTTACTATTGATAGTTATTAAAATAGGGTCAGTTTAAGTATGAAAGTAAAATATAAGGAAAGTACATCACTTTGCTTTGGCAAATTGTTTCATCTTTCTCAATCTCAGGTTTTCATATGAGAATGGAGTTAATAATGGGACTTGGATTCAATACTCTATTGAGGTATCTGCCAACTCTCTTATATATGTTGCATAAATATTACATGTTTTGGAACTTCAGAAGAGATAAATATTTCTGTGAACTGGAGCCGTCAGGGATGGATTAGAGATTTAATTGCTCCTATAAGACATACATGAGTAACATTATAGTTGCTAATCCATGTTAAAATTTCATGCATAATTTAATTAATACTGTAGGGGCTTGTGGGCATATAAGGATTTAGTATTCTCATTATTTGTGAATGACTCTGAAAGCCCACTAATAGTTGTAGTAATCCACAAATGTGAGTCACATACCCTGAACACATATCCTAGTGTTGGGAGAGCAATTTAGCAGCCATTCTCAAAGAGGCATTGTTGTTTTCCACACATTTTAATATTTGCAATAATTGTGATTGAGAATTTGACTGGCCTAGTTAAACTTTCAGCCATATTCTTCTGAATTTTAAGAGAGAAGTTATATGCTATCACATAATTTGTGAATTAAGGGATACACAGACGACTTGGAATGTCCTTTGAAAATATCTAATGACTACTGTTCCTTGAAAAACAAATGTAAGTTTACATGGTAAAGCATTAAGTGGTAAGATATATATGTTTTAGGAAGACTATCCAAAGCCCAATTTCAGTTTTCTTTTATATTATCTATCTATTGGACACCAAAGTGGAGGTGCTATAGATGAGCCTTTGTATGTGTGTGTGTTTGTGTGTGTGTGTTTACACATTCAATTGAAGGGTTCGGGGGAAAGTTTTGAATTAAAGATATGAATTTGAAAATTGTCAGCATATAGATTGTATTAAAGGCAAAAGAAGGGATGAGAGACCAAGAAGTGAATGTTGAGAACAAAGAGAAACAAGGAAAAATCCTTGTTGGCACTCCAATTTTAAGAGATCAAGGATGTGAAAAACAAGGAAAGAATGGAACAGTGAGGTCAAAAGAAATCCAGGAGAGTAGAAAGTCTTGGAAACCAAGTGTCAAAAGTGTTGCAAGGAGAGAGGAGTAATCACCTGTTAAAAATGCTGCGGATAGTAAGATAAGAACTAAAATTCACCATTAAACTTAGCTACATAAGACATTGGCAGTCTTGACAAAAACAGTTTCAGTGTATTAATGGGTTCATGTTTATAATGACTGTAATGATCAATATAGAAGAATAAATGATCTTACACAACTTCATGAATTTAGAATATTTGACTTTTTAAATATGTATCTGAAATGTCTGACAAGAGTCTTGAATTTATTTACACTTGCCTGAGACTATAGTCTGTGGGAATGTATAGTTTTTTCCATTTTTCATGCTTGCTTATTTTAACGTTAACATTTTTTACTATCTTATTGCCTAAAATAATTACTAAGAATTTATAATTAAAGTAATGACATAATTGTTTAGAATTTGTAATTAAATTGATGTGATAGCTATTGTTATTTTCAAGTCAGAGTACAGTATATTACTGTAATAATCTTAGGCAAACCTTCAACTATAATTTAAAAAGTGGAGTAAATTCAGAATTTACAATCCTTTGTGTATTTTTGATCAGGTGATAAATATCATATTTATTATCAATTTTCATATTTCATCTAATCAGAAAACATTTACTACAGCCATTTGTAAAATTCCTGTTTTCTTCATTTTAAAAATGAGTGTATGTCTAGACACTTATTTTCATAGAGTTCTAACATACTCTATAGATATTTATGAGAATTCTGCTGTAAACATGTAAATATGATATATATATATATCATATATATGATATATCCAAATGGCAAAATTTTTGAAAGTTTTACATATCTTAATGATACAATTTAGCCATTTGGTATTCAATATCCTATAGTTCTAACGTGGGAAGGGACCTTAAAATTCATGTAATCTAATCTTTACATTTTATAAACTAGCAAAATTAGGTCAGATGTAAAAAAGCCCTCCTGCCCTTATAGGACATCTTTAAATGTGTTAATTAATATAACATCACTGTATTAAAGTGCATATGGCTTGGGCACATAACTTCTCCAACAATATTGAATGTATGTAGTATACAAATATAATAATATGTAATTTTAAAGTTTGTAGGCTTTTGGGAGGACACTGAGTAATATGTACTTGAGCAAATATTTTGGTGTAACCACTGAAATTTGAATAAACTTGCATCTTTTTTTCTAGTCTTAGAAAATTTATTCTAATACTCTCAAATACATTTCTTCTGAGTTTTAAGACCAGTGAGATTTTTTTTTTCTGGAGATTCTCATTGCTTGCAATCAATTGCATTAGCTCATACTATTCAATATGAGAGAATCTCTTACCCCATTATTTACGCATTACCTAAAGCAGCTGAATATTTATACTTTCTATTCTATCTAATACCATTTAAGTGGAAACAATTCTGAAGGTTCTAAGGTTGTTGGTGATATTTCCTTACGTTAAAGGTTTCATTAGACATGTCTCTTTGGGTTAGCATCCCTTTACTATAGAGTATGGGCATCCTCCCACAGGAACAACCAACCAGCTTAGCAAACAGAATAATTGGTACCATTCTTTTCACACACACAAAAGTAAGTTAAAACAGGATAGAGCTTTTATCATCAATTGATTCTCAGAAGTCCTTTCTTGATATGTCAGCCCCAAGGCTTATATCAAAGTTGTTTCCTTCAATGTGAAAACTTCAAGCTTCCAATTCACCAGTCTGCAAACCCTGAGCATCAAAGCAGCCCTGCCCTGTGATCCACGGCTAAGCACTTACTTTCTTGAAGTGATGCTTAGTGCTCTGATTCAGCATTGAGATCTAAGGGTGCTGTTACAAGAAGATAAATTAGGGAACCAGACGATTACACCCTTTGGCCTCCACTGAGATTTCCTGAGCAGGAGCACTTGTCTCCAATTCCTCTTTGACCCTTTATTGTTTCCATATGGCGGCCACTGCTCAGGATTCTCGCTTGACTAACACCGTTCCTGAGAGATTGACGTGTGTAGAGCCTGACTGCTTGAGAGGTCAGTTGTTGAGAGTCCATGTAAACCAAAAAGTCTATCCAACTGCATATTATCTTCTTTTTAGCTACTATTTTATTTAATGCCAGCGCCCATGTGTTTTTTTCAACTATACTGTCCATTAAAATAATTTCCTTGTTTTTTAAAAAAATTATGATAGTTTCTAATTTCAGTCCATCAGGCTGTTTTTCTAATTTCTTCTCCTTACTTGGAGAAATCATGATTTTAAAATAATCGTCATCATTTTCGTCATCATCATTCTTTATCTTATCTAATTGATATTTAAACAAGAAGAAAATTAAATGATATATAACATTAATATTACCTGGTTATCAAGTTTTCATTATTTTGTCCAAATTTCCACAGGTATGATGTGTTTTTTCCTGTACTGACGGGGTTCAAACCATGCTACTCCAAAATATGGCACCTTGGCATTTGAGGAAACAGCAGAATCAGGAAGACTGCTTTCACTTTCTCCTTGCCTTTCTTCCCTGAAGCAATTCATAAGACCTACATTTGAGAGGTGCCATTCCTATACCCAGAGGAAAGGAATATCTTTATCTTTGAAGACATAGGTACACGGAGAAGAATCTACAAAAGCAAGACTAGCTAACCCCCACCCCCAACCTGTTAGTTATTGTCTAATCATATTTCTTCATGACCATTCACTTTTTAAAATCAAAAATAACATAAAAAATATACAGGTTTACTTACTTCTTTAGGTTCTCATTTCCTTACAAAGGCTTCTGTGTCACATAAAGCTTATATTAAATAAATTTTTATGCTTTTGTCTTGTTAATCTGTATTTTATTATAGGGGCATCAGCCATGCATCTTGCAATGAATGAGAAAAAAATCTTTCCTCCACTATGGTTCTCATTTACGACTGTCTGATACATAGTAAATGCTCACTAAGTCACTTTCTTATTCTGCCACAAGTGATTAGACAGTCATGTGATAAGGTGGAAATATTATATCTTCGTTGTTTAAGGGTATGAATTAATACCAGGGGGCAGAAGGGGACCATTTCCTAGATGCTTTTCCCATTGATATTCTAGTCAGGTCAGCTACCCTGCTAAAATGTCTTAAATTCCCCCTTTTTATCTTTCTCTTGTCACTTATTTCAGGTCTTCAGCATCTGTCTCTTGTACTTCGGCATTCTCTCTGCCCATTGGTATCATTTTCCATTCATACTCCTGTTACTAAATTGGCTCTAAACATGTACAGTATGCACAGACAGACATTTGATTGTGGTACTCCTCCACTTAAAATTCTTTTATATTCCCAACTAACAATCGAATTTCCTTTAAACCAAGGGCACCAGGAAGAGGTAAAAGGGAGCTAACCAAAGCGGTCTTTTGAGCCTCTCACTGCCACTCAACTCTAACAATTCTGCTTTGCATATTTTATATATTAGGCCCAGCTAAAATTACATTTAAAGAGAAAGCATTAGTCAACAATCACCTTAATAATGCTATGTAATAAGCATCTTTCAAAGTCTTACAATGACAAACATTTTCTTTGTTCATAGGTTTTAGGATTTGCTGAGGTGGTTTTGTGACAGGTAGTTCAGATTTTCTTCACATGTTTTTTGGTATGAGTGGCCTTTTGTGACTTGCTGTCCCTATGAAGCATGCAGATGTCCTAGAGACAGATCAAATAATACAAGTACATTTCAAAGTTTGCTCATATCCTATCTGTCCAAATGACATTGGCCTATGACAATCAGTCAAGAAGCATACTAAACCCATAGTGAAACCATGGCAAGGGCACAGAGGTCATGGGAGATCATGAATAAATAATACTATCTGCTCCATAAAGCGTCTGCTGTTCTAAACAAAATTTTAAAACAGTTGATCTGCCAAGTAAATAGAAAACCTCAAGGGAAGAGTAAAAACCTTCATGACTTCTTATTTACCTTTCAGTTTATTTCAGGACACTCACTGCTATATCTTAGTATCTTGCAGCAAAAGAATCCTAACAGCTTCCTCTGCATATATCTTTTCTCCTGTTTTGAATGCTCTACCTCCTCTGCCTGGGAAACTAATTCTCATCCTTGGTTACCTAGCTGATGGTTAATTGTGCTATTCCCAAATAAACATTTTATTGCTGACATGAACAAATACTCTCAATCTTGAAATCAAATGACTCACATATAGGCTTAGATCCATTTAGTTCATCCAAGCAAAAACAAATCCCATTAAAGCAAAGTCTGTAAGGGAATGCTGCTGAGACTGGTTTTGCCCACCCCTGTTCAAGAATGTTGATTAAAATAGGCTAGATTTGTTTATCCGAGGCTTTAACGTATAATATTTTTAAAAAGAAGTGTATCATACAATGGCATTCATGTTGACTCTGCTACCATAATTTACGTAGAACAGAAAATAAGTGACATTCAGTAAAACTTTTATATTACTTTTTATCATTAGGGAATAATTAAAAGACTAAGTTGTTCTGGGGTTCACATTGCACTCTTTTTGTCTTTTCCATGTTCTTCTAGCACTTTAACATGCATCCTTTACAGTTCTTTCAGCCATGCTCTGCTACTTTGGAATGTAACTCTATTACTTTCTTGTATAAGAAATCTTGATATTAATTGTCTAGTTGGATCTACTCCTTAGGGTGTGTACTGTAATCATGTCTTTCGACCATTTTATTCATGCAGTCAAGAAAGGACATTTTATTTTACTGCCTTTGGAAAGGGCAGTATTTTGGGGCAAAAGCTGAATATAGTTCTTCATGGAACTGAAATGTGAGTACAAAAATACTAGTGAAGTAAATATTGCCTTGGCAGCTCAGGCTTATCTAGTTTAACCATGTTATGTTCATTGTATTGTAGATTACATATACATTCCAAAAACAGGAAATTCAATTTGTGCTTGCAAAGAACATCTCAAAGTAGATGGAGGAAGAGCAAGAGCGAAGGTATGCTGAAGCTGGTTCCCACTGGATTGTGAGACTAGACTGTTAACATGTCTTCCCAATTCCTTGTTCAGTAATACTAAGTTGATAGCTTGCAACTGACCATGGTAGGAGTATTTACACCATGGATATAGGCAACCACTCAAATCAGAATTTATTTTCCAGGGGGCTGGTTTACTAGTATACCAGAGCCAGGACTTGGACTTTTGTGTAAGTTTCTTTATCTTTCTTATGATTGTCAAATTTGTAAGTTCTGTTTAAACATTATTTTATCTTACTTCTCATGTTTTATATTATGACACATTCTATTTTCTTTTCACCTAAGGTAATTGTATTTACCATTACTTTTTTCCTTTCTTTTCATTCTCATGTTCTTTTTGTTCCCTTACTATTCTGAAAATATATTTATGAAGATTCTAACATGCTATATATTTCAAATTAAATGAATATCTTGCTTATTATTATAAATGTTACATTATGCTAAAACGTTATGTGTAAGCATTCAAAGACTTTATTCCAACTGTTAGCTTACAAGGAATTTTATTTTATTTTTTGGCAAGGGATTATAAATGAATCTAAGGAATTTTTTAATTTACTGTATATATAAAGCTAGAAAGTAGTGAGTTTAAAAAGATCCCCTCCCCTCTTTGTCAGGAAAATCCATATCTCCAAAAAAGCAGGCAAACTATTTTTTTTGCTATAGAAAATATTCAATTAGATTATAAAATATATGTAAAATATAAAATAAACGTTGTAGAAAAGTAACTCTGCAGCTACATGTAAAACTGAAAAATAAAAAACACAAAATTTATAATGTTGTCAGCTTTTGTGATTTTCTTGTTGGAATTGTGGTGCTGTGTACATAAAACTTTAGCCTGGGCCTGAGGATTTAAAATATTTACCACAGTGCCCAGCAAATTATTTAGTGGTCCAGGATTTTATTATTATTTATAAATCATTAGAAATATAAATTGAGGTGGTGGGAATAAGAAAACAAAGGAAAAATAAATCAATATTGTTGCCAGCAGAATCTGTTTCCAGAAACCAGTGACAAAACTTTATCCTTTTTATATACAAACTTGAGGAGCAAACACAATCATTCTTATCGATTTATTATCAGAATATGATTAGAAATATGTTCCACAGTTTTTTTCTGTTTTAGTGCTGTTTATATGTGCATTTATATTGTCTTACAATTGTCTTTTGAAAATGTCCTCTCTAGCTTCAGGGTCTTTCTTCTCTTACCTTTTGTTCCGGTTAAATTTCAGAGGAGGAAAAATCCAGATTGTGGCACCTTATTAGTTTGTTACCTTGAGCAATTTGACTTACACCCCATTTTCTCCCATCTGTTTACTTGGGAAAACAACACTACTTATTCTATAGTGCTGTTGTGAGATTAAACAAGGGCATGCTTATAAAGTATTTAGGGAGTGCCTAGCAGATAATTAGCATTATTTTCACAAACCACCTTCTTGATAGTTTCATTCTTAGGTCTATTGATAATCACTCACATTTTTAAATACCTGAAATATTTATTTTAACTCCCCTTGTTAATTTCCTCTTTATTTACTTGCTCTAGATTGTAGGGTCTTTTTTATTCCTCATAGAATCCAAACTCCATAATGTATTGTCATATTCAAGTGGACCTAAATAAACATTTATTGTTGACGGTGAGGTTATTGATAGAGGAATGGGGGAACAGTTCAACTTACTTTTCATAGACTTACTATGTTCAAAAAGAGTTTGCATTTGTACTCATACTTTCTCTTGCACATGACATTCAAATACGTAAGTTCTTATTTTCTAGTGCATGTCATGTGTAGTTTATTTTTAGAATTTGTGAGATCTGAATGAATGACATTCAAATAAATTAATATTAAATTATTCAAAATGGACAGTGATACATTGGACAAAATTATAAAATAATTTAATAGTAAATGTAGACTCTGTATCAGGTTTTTGTTTCATTTGCTGAAATATTTGTATTTTTTAAGTATTTGGTTATTCTATGGTGGGTGTGTTAATTTCTCATTATATATTAAATGGTTCATCTCTTCAGATGTTTGTATCTCAACTCAGAAATTCTTGAGCAGCTTAAATTTTAACTCAATAAGCATATGATACAGAATAAAAATACATAAATCAATAACAATTTTCAAAAATAAAGATTAATATTATCTATGCAATGATCAAATGAAGGGAGGCCATTTATGCCAACGACAGTTGTATTTTGAACTAGTTTATCTCTAATTCCTTTGTTTGCCTCTTACTTGTAAGATTATTCCTGAAACAAGTACAGTGGCAAGCTAATTTTGTACATTCATTTACATAATTGCCATCATAACTTATTTTCTCTTTTCTGTCAATTTATAACTAAAAGCTCACTCAGAGTATTTCTATGCAAGTTTTGTTTTCTATATTGTTTCTAAAGAACTATTGAAAGTGTTTATGATTCCAAGCCTCATTTTTATAAATATTAACCTAGAAAAAACAAACAGGTGTCTTCTCATGAACATTTAGAATAAATAGGGAAATAATTTGAACACTTAGTATAAAGATGAAAATTTATTTTAGGAACTCATAATGACATGTTCTAACTATTTTAGAATATAAATAAGATTAGGGAACATGCAACTAAATGAAAGGAGATAGTTTCGGCTATGTCTTTATGTGTGATTTAAGATGCTTTAAAATTAGAATAAAGAGTGGATGAAAGATTCAAAACACTCATTGTTAACCTTGACCAAAATACTGGTATACTGACTTCCCCATCCTTTAAAAAAATTCATGCTTTGGCTACAATCAGATGGCCAGTTTAATCAAAGATTTGATAGGTAACATATTTTCCCTAACTCACCACAGTGGTCTCCCCATATCTGCTGGAGATAAGTTCTAAGAACTCCAGTGGATGCTGATAGCTGTACATACTATGTTTTTTCATATACATACATTCCTATGATAAAGTTTAGTTTCTAAACCAGGCACCAGAAGAGATTAACAACAATACAAAAATAGAACAATTATATCAATATGTCAACATCACTAATCTTATGCTTTGGGCATTATTAAGTAAAATAAGGGTTACTTGAACACAAGCACTGCTTATATCCAGGCAAAAGATCTGATAACTGAGATGGCTGGCTGCTAAGTGACTAATGGGTGAGAGGCTAGCACAGAGAAGGTGAAGATGCTGGACAAAAGGAGGATTCATGTCCAGGATACACAGAGTGGGAGGACAAGGGATATAATTATGCTGCACAGAAAGGTGCACAATTAAAACTTATGAATTGTTTATTTCTGGAATTTTCCTTTTGATATTTTCAGGCTGCAGTTAGTTGACTGTAGGTAACTGAAACCTACGCTGGAGAAACTGCAGGTAAGCTGGAACTACTATAATAAAACTTCTGTGTAAATTCATTTAATAACTTTTAAGATAGCTTAGGGTCTTAGCACTTTGGGAGGCCGAGGCAGGCGGATCACAAGGTCAGGAGTTCGAGACCAGCCTGGCCAATATGGTGAAACCCCGTGTCTACTAAAAATACAAAAATTAGGCAGGTGTGGTGGCAGGTGCCTGTAGTCCCAGCTACTCTGGAGGCTGAGGCAGGAGAATTGCTTGAACCCGGGAGGCGGAGGTTGCAGTGAGCTGAGATCGCGCACTGCAGTCCAGCCTGGGTGACAGAGTGAGACTTCATCTTAAAAAAAAAAAAAAAAAGTTAGCTTAGGGACTTGAGTAAACAGTGTAAATTCAGAATAAACTGTGATGGGAAATAAACTACAAAACACAAAATGAAGTACTCACATTTCTGTAAGATTTGCAAATATAAACATTATGAAGAAATCAAACGAACCTATATAATAACATGCATATGTGTGTTATGTATTTAATAAAAGACTCATCTTTTAAAATGTATATTTAAGTAAATGCAATTGGATTCTTTCAATGGTCAACAAAGATGTGTAAAAACAAAAGTAAATACATTGTTTTAGTATTTGTTATGCAAGATAAATAGCAGAATGCAACTTCTAGGATGCTTTTTTGAATAAAATTATTGATTTATGATTTCACATTACTTCTAATATTTTAACTTGATTAATTTATAGAAATTATGTATTTTACTATTTAAAAGACAATTAGAATAATTTTATTATGTCCTATTATTAAGTGATTTATATATTTTTTAACTCTGACAAAACACTGTGAAATTACTATTATACTTATTTAATAATGAGAAAGCTTAGAGTCGTAGGCATTAGCTAACTCTCTGAAGATTATTTCTAGTTCACAAGAAGGCCAAGATGTGAACCCAGGCTGTCTACCTGTAAAACCCTTGCTGTTTTCATTCCAATACTCTATATCTCATTTCTCAACAGCAGCATTACTTGGGAAATAAATATTCATGCTTCAGTGGAATATTGTCAGGATAAAGATTGCAAAATTTAAGATAAAACTCAAATAGCACAAATTACAAAATTGAAAATAAAACACAATAGCTCAAGTAGGTAAATGAAGCTACAGAGTGTACTTTTCAAACTGTACCACTGTTTAATCATAGCAAGAATAATATCTGCTAGCTTCCTCTCCCTCTCTCACAATTTTTATAAAGAAATCAAATCTCCCAAAGTCGTACCTTACAGAGCCTGGGTAATTTCTCCCAATTTATTGTATTTGGTGTTATGTTTTGTTTTATGTTTTCTACCTGGGTTCAGAAATCAAAGAAGGGATGTTAATGGGAACAACTTTTTCAATAGCACCCTTATTAATCCAATAGCTTCCTATCTCCACAACATTAGACTTTGCTGTTCTAATGTTTTTAGTTTCCAAAGATAAAATATTTCCACCATGGGACACACAGTAGGTTACCTTAAACTGGAAGTTGAGGTTAACATGACTATTTTGGGTACTGATGCTGGTAAATTATATGGCAAGGTACTGAGTTTTTACTACTTGAAGTGATTGTGAATTTCGAGAGGAATTTGGGTTGCTACTACACAACGTGAATAAAAAACAGATTATGTCAGGAATGCAGAAGATTCCCTGAGATGCCTCTTTGTACTTCCATATCCCGTGGTTCAAGTCAATGAAAAACTAAAACAACCTAATTCAGGCAGGGCTGAACCAATTCAGCAACTCAGTTCAGACAGTAGTAAAAGCTTGAATCACACCAGTAGGCAAGGAACTTCAACAAGCTAAGAGCACAGGAGATATGGAGATATAGAATGGATAGTGGCAGAAGTTAGCTATTTACCAGCTACAACCACGTTACCAGAGGGAGAAATGAAAACTGTACAAGTCATGTGTATTTCTTTTAGTTTTCATTACTACCATAATACATTTATTAACCAATTATTTTCTCTTTCCATTTCTTATTCTTCAGCTAACATCAGATTTGTTAATACTAGTTAATTTAATGGGTCAATGTCTTAGTTTTAGACTATCAAAGAGGATTTGTGACTCAGCCAGAAAAATGAACATTAATTAACAATGGATGAAAGGATATTACACCCTTTATGGGAAGAAGGTTAGCTTGCTTTGTGTTTGTATGCAGGATAGGGGCATAATACTAGGTTGAAGCATGACTTTGCTAATGTCTTTCTTGGGAAGTTAACTATGGTAAGAAGAGGCATGTTTGGATGACTAGCTGACAAAAAGTAGTTTATGGTGGCTTTAGAATGTGTTAACTTGGCTAAGCTGAACTACATTTTCCCCAATTTTTTTCTTGTTAGTTTTTGCTTAGATTTAGCCACAAAAGGTATCTGTAAGATTGAGAAAGTAAAATAAAACAGTAGGTGTGTTTACTCTAGGAAGGTTGATGAAGACTGGATGTTTTGAGACTCATGAAAGTTTCTGCAGATTGCTTCGTTCACATCGGCACAGACAGTGGACCAGTCCAGGTTTTCAGCTTCTGCTCAAGATCTTCTGTCAACATCTCAGTTCTGAGCGAGGTTTAAGTTTGGCTCTTTGGCTACAGTGACAGTGTCTTCCACAAGTCATCCGTGGCACTGAGGTTGGAGGCTTAGAAAGAAGAGGCCACTGTGGGTTTCCATGGGAAACAGACACAAGTTTCAGTTATTACTTTTCTCCACTTGCCCATTTTTCAAACATCACCACCACTCCTGTGTCATCAAGCTCAGTAGCAGATGGAGTAGAAACAGCAGACCAGGACTATTTTAGCAGCTACTAAAATCACATGAAGTCAAAGCCCTAGAGTAAATCGCTTATTCTGCGTGATCCCTAATGGTTTTATTTCTCTAATTTAATTCTGATAGTATCTCTTTTATGATATACTACCTATAGGAAACAAATGTTTTTACTTTAAAGGCATATTATCAGAGCAAAAATTTTAAAATGGGAAAATGAAATATGTCAAAAGTTAACATACAATCTTTTTGAAGTTTATTTCAAACTCTATGACTCTTTAAATCATATTAAGAAAAATATCTCCAAATACCTCTTTCATAGTTTGTGCAGCAGAATCAAGCCTCTAAGGAAGAACTTTTCATTTCCTTAACCATTTCATTATCAGGAACTGCAGTACTACACATTACGAAGACTGACATAAACACCAAAAGTGATTTCATCTATTAGTTGCAGTAAGAACCTAAGCTAGCAGATAAAAATGAATCCAAATTAACTCAATTACATGTATTAAAACATAATGCTCTTTTTTTTTTGATGGAGTCTCACTCTGTCGCCCAGACTGGAGTGCAGTGGCACAATCTCGGCTCACAGCAAGCTCTGCCTCCTGGGTTCACGCCATTCTCCCACCTCAGCCACCCGAGCAGCTGGGACTACAGGCGCCCGCCACCAGGCCCGGCTAATTTTGTTTTTGTATTTTTAGTAGAGATTGGGTTTTACCATGTAAGCCAGGCTGGTCTTGATCTCCTGACCTTGTGATCTGCCTGCCTTGACCTCCCATAGTTCTGGGATTACAGGCGTGAGCCACTGACTCAGCCCCAGCTCTTCTTTTTACATATGGCAGAATTCAGCTATGAATCTGTCTGGTCTTGGATTTTCTTTGGTTGGTAGGCTATTTATTGCTGCCTCAATTTTAGAACTCATTATTGGTCTATTTAGGGATTCAATTTCTTCCTGGTTCAGTCTTGGGAGGGTGTATGTGTCCAAGGATTTATCCATTTCTTCTAGATGTTTTAGTTTATGTGCATAGAAGTGTTCCTAATATTCTCTGATGGTTGTTTGTATTTCTTGGGGTCAGTGGTAATATCCCCCTTGTCATTTCTGAATATGTTCATTTGAATCTTCTCTCTTTTCTTCTTTATTAGTCTAGCTAGCAGTCTATTTATTTTATTATTTTTTTTCAAAACATCAGTTTTTGGATTTGTTGATCTTTTTAATGGTTTTTTGTGTCTCTATCTCATTTAGTTCAGCTCTGATTTTGGTTATTTTTTGTCTTCTGCTAGCTTTAGAATTTGTGTGCTGTTGGTTCTCGATTTCTTTTAGTTGTGATATCAGGTTGTTAACTTGACATCTTTCTAACTTTTTGATGTGGGCATTTAGTGGTATAAATTTGCCTCCTAACACTCCTTGGCTGTGTCCCAGAGATTCTGTTATGTTGTATCTTTGTTCTCATTAGTTTCAAGAAACTATTTGATTTCTGCCTTGATTTCATTATTTGCCCAAAAGTCATTTAGGAGCAGGTTGTTCAGTTTCCATGTAATTTATGGTTTTGAGTGAATTTCTCAGTCTCAATTTCCAATTTGATTGTGTTGTGGTCCGAGAAGCTGTTTGTTATGATTTCAGTTCTTTTGCATTTGCCAAAGAGTGCTTTACTTCGATTATGTGATTGATTTCAAAACAAGTGCCACATGGCAATGACAAGAATGTATATTCTGTTGTTTAGGGGTAGAGAATTCTGTAGATATCTGTCAGGTTCATTTGATGCAGTGCTGAATTCAAGTCCTGAATATCTTTGTTAATTTTCTGTCTCAATTATCTGTCTAATATTGTTAGTGAGGTGTAAAATCTCCCACGGTTACTGTGTAGGAGCCTAAGTCTCTTTGAAAGTCTCTAAGAACTTGCTTTATGAATCTGGGTGCTCCTGTGTTTGGTGCATATATATTTAGGATAGTTAGATTTTGTTGAATTGCACCCTTTACCAATATGTGATGCCTTTCTTTGTCTTTTTTGATCTTTGTTCTTTTAAAGTCTGTTTTCTCAGAAATTAGGATTATAACCCCTGCTTTTTTCTGTTTTCCATTTGCTTGGTAGATTTTTCTCCATCCCTTTATTTTGAGCCCATGTGTGTCATTGCATGTGAGATGGGTCTCTTGAAGACAGCATACCGATGGGTGTTGGTTCTTTATCTATCTTGCCATCCTGCGTCTTTTAATTGGGGGCATTTAGCCCATTATATTTAAGGTTACTATTGATATCTGTGGATTTTATTTTGTCTGTCACATAACATTAGCTGGTTATTTTGCAGACTTGTTTATGTGGTTGTTTTATAGTGTCAGTGGTCTGTGTACTTAATTGTGTTTTTGTACTGGCTGGTAATGGTCTTTCCTTTCCATATCCAGTGCTTCCTTCATAATCTCTTATGAGGTAGGTCTGGTGGTCATGAATTCCATCAGCATTTGCTTGTCTGGACCTTATTTCTCCTTCACTTATGAAGCTTAGTTTGGCAAGATATAAAATTCTGGGTTGAAATTGTTTTTTTCTTTAAGAATCTCAAATATTGGCCCCCAATCTCTTCTGACTTATAGGGTTTTCACTGAGAGATCTGCTGTTAGTCTGATGGACTTCCCTTTATAGGTGACCTGGCTTTCTCCCTAGCTGCCTTTCATTTCAACCTTGAAGAATCTGATGATTATGTGTCTTGGGGATGATCTTCTCATGGAGTATCTTACTGGGGTTCTCTGCATTTCCTGATTTTGAAAGTTGGCCTCTCTAGCAAGGTTGGGAAGTTCTCATGGATGATATACTGAAATATGCTTTCCGTGTTGGTTCTTATCCTTATCTCATTCAGGTACGCCAGTCAGTTGTAGATTTGGTCTCTTTATATTATACCATATTTCTTGGAGGTTTTGTTCACTAATTTTCATTTTTTCCTCTATTCTTGTCATCCTGTCTTTTTTCAAAAAGGCAGATCCTTGGGCTCTGAGATTCTTTCCTCTGTTTATTCTATTCTGCTATTAATACTTGTGATTGCATTATGAAGTTTTTGAAGTGTGTTTCTCATCTCTCCCAGATTGGTTACATTCTTCTCTGTACTGTCAGCTTCTGCAATGTTTTATCATGATTTCTAGCTTCCTTTCATTGGGTTACAATGTATTCTTTTAGCTCAGTTAACTTAATTCCTATGCATATTCTAAATTCTACTTCTGACATTCAGCCATCTCAGCCTTAGCATGATTCTGAACTTTTGCTGGAGAAGTGATGCAGTCATTTGGTGAAAACTGGGCATTCTGGCTTTTTGAGTTTTCATCATTCTTGTGCTGATTCTTTCTCGTTTTTGTGGGATTATCTACCTACAATCTTTGAAGTTGCTGACCTTTGGATTTTTTTTTTCTTTTAACAGTCTGATCACTTTTCTGTAGGGCTGCTGCAGCATGCTGGGGGTCTGCTCCAGTCCCTAGTTGCTTTGGATTTTCCAGTACCCAGAGGTATCACCAGTGAAGCCTGCAAAACAGCAAAAATGGCAGCCTTTTCCTTCCCCTGAGAGCTCCATTTTAGGGAGGTGTGAACCTGTTGCCTGCCAAAACACACTTGTAGGAGGTGGCTAGAGACCTCAGATGGGAAGTCTCACCCAGTCAGGAGGAACAGGATCAGTGATCTGCTTAAAAATGTACTCTGGCCGCATTTTTGTAGAGCAGCTATGTTGTGCTGAGGGTCCACTTCAGCCCCTGGTCACCTCGGACACTCCAAAGGCAAAAGGCTGGAATGACTTAGTCACCCAAACAGCAAAGATGGTGGCCTGCCTCTCTTCCTTGGAGCTCCATCCCCCAGAGGTCTGAAACCTCTGTCAGATGGAGAACATCAGTGGAGGTGGCTGGAGACCCTGATTGGAAAGCTCCACCTTGTGATGAGAAACGGTTGGGGACCTGTTTAAAAAAAGCAGTCTGACTGCATTTTGGTAGAGCAGCTGTGCTGTGCTGGGTGATCCCTTTCACCCCCAGTTGGTTTGGACTCTCCAGAGCTCGAAGGCTGAAATGGCTAAGTTGGTCAAACAACAAAGATGGTGGCCTGCCCCTCCCACTAAGAGCTTTGTCCCAGGTAGGTGCAACACTGCTACTCGTGGCTGGCTGGAATTCCAAACTAGTGGGTCTTATTCTGTGAGGTGCCATGGAAGTGGGGCCCACAGACTTTCACTCCTTGGACCCCTGGATTTAGTCTCTTTCCTAGGGGTGTGCTATGAGGGTGTAACCTCTCACTTTGCTGGAATTGCAATTGCTTATGCAGGGAAGCCCAGGGCCAGAGCATCTAAAGGTCTTTTGTCTCCATGCATGCACGAGTGGCTGCTGTGCTGAGACTCCATGTGGTTCTGTGTGACAGACTGAGGGTTCTGGTGGAGTGGGTTCATAAGGGGAACTTCTGACCCTAGGGTTGTGAAGATCCAGGGGAGAAGTGTGTTTTCCCAGGGTTGCACAATCACTCACCACTTTCCTGGGCAGTGGAGGTTCCCTTGGCTCTGTGTTTCTCCTGGTGGGCCATCATTCTGCCTTGCTTTTCGATCTTCATGGATCAAGTTGTTTCCTTGATTAGTCCCAATGCAAGAACCTGGAATGAGGAAGTCTTTGCTCTTGTGCTGTAAAATGGACTGTTAAGACGTGAAAATAGTATATCAGAATTAACAGGAAGGCAATTTGTTCTCAGAATCTCATGTGCTAATGTGGGTCTGAAAGAACAAAGGAAGGAAATAGTGTCACTAGCACAGTAGAAGAAGGACCATAGGTGGAGGTCAGCAATGGAAGAGCTCTTATCTTTATTTTGTTTTGGAATATTAATTGCAAAGTTTCTAATAAAATATAAAACACAAGCATTTACTGCTTACAGATGGTGTATTTGATACTATTAAGTAATTAGCAGTAATAATATATACCCATTCACATTAATAAAACTAGTTCCACTTACATATTTGAGTTTAGATAAAACTACCATTTTCTAACAGTTTCGTATATCAATATTTCAAATGGGTTAAAAGCACATGACTTTTTTTTTCTTTTCTTTTCTTTTTTTTTTTTTTTGCAGCTAACTGCACCCTCCGCCTCCCAGGTTCAAGTGATTCTCCTGCCTCAGTCTCCCAAGTAGCTGGGATTACAGGCACCTGCCACCATGTCCAGCTAATTTTTGTATTTTTAGTAGAGACAGGGTTTCACCGTGTTGGCCAGGCTGGTCTCGAACTCCTAACCTCAGGTGATCTACCCACCTTGGCCTCCCAAAGTGCTGGGATTACAGGCGTGAGCCACTATGCCTGGCTAGCACATGACTTTTTGATTGCGATAGAATCCTGGATATAAACATTAAACAACATCAGTTGAAAGTCAAACAGATATAATGAAAAACAAGAAAAAAAAATTACTGCTTGTCAGAATTTGTAGCATAAAATTATGATAATATACTCTAATATTGCTCTTGGTATTGCAAGTTTGTGGCTTAGTTCATGTATTTGGTTATAAGCTTCTTTTTTTGTAAGTTTCAGTTGCGGTAGACACAATTTGTTTTCTGAGCAATTGTGCTAACCATTTAAAAAGGTACTGTTTTGCTAAATGTTTGCTTATTATCAAAAACTGCTGTTTGTACCTAAATTATATTCAATGCCCTTCCAATTAGAGCCTGCTTTTGATGTTAGCACCTTGTATGAAAGACTCACTGGTACAGAAGCAACAATATTTTAATTATTCTGACAATTTCCCCTTTCGTTAAATGTAGGAACAGGGGCGCTGGAGCTCTAGGTCTTGGGTTATTCTGAAATTGTTAGGCTCTGACACTAGAAGGTTTCTTCTGTCTTGTATACACAGGCAATGGAATTGATGCAACTTTTATCACTAGTCATCTATCTTGTACATAGATTTCATCAGGAAGGAGTCATTTCTAATACCTTTTATGCTAATTAAAAATTCTCTGGTGTCATATTTTATAACAATGGTTAAAGGTATAAGCAACCATTTTCTGGAGGGCCGCATCCTATTTAGCATATGTGCTAATTAATGGTACATGAACTTCAGATTAGACTTAGCTTGGACACAGATGAATTCATCACACTGTTTTTCTCAGATGTTTCTTTAAAAAGTGAATGACTCTACAGGTAATAAAACAGGTAATAGATTTTGCAGTCCATATTTGATGTGTTCTGTCTGATTCTGATAATACTCTCCCAATTTTCCCTGGAGACCTGTCCCCTTAGTTATTATTCTATGTGGTGAAATTGACTCCATTTTCTCCAAAGGGTGGATTTGTGACCCAAGGTTGGCCTTTTAGAGCTCTGATTCTTCTGATTTATTCAGACAATAAAAGTAATGCTCATGATTAAACCAAGCCATGAGAACCAAAGGCTCCAACACTGAACTTTGTTGAAACTACTGAGAAAGAGAAGTTTGTTTTATTTTTTCACTGAATTTGGAGTTGTGAAGGTATGTAAATAGAGAGCTTTTCTTTCCTTTTTTTTTTTTCTTTTTGAGACAAAGTCCAAAGTCTCACTCTGTCACCAAGGCTGGAGTGCAGTGGTGCAATCTCGTTTCACTGCAAGCTGCGCCTCTCAGGTTCACGCCATTCTTCTGCCTCAGCCTCCTGAGTAGCTGGGACTACAGGCGCCTGCCACCATGCCTGACTAATTTTTTTTTTTTTGTATTTTTGGTGGACAGGGGGTTTCACCGTGTGTTAGCCACGATGGTCTCGATCTCCTGACCTCGTGATCCGCCTGCCTTGGCCTCTCAAAGTGCTGGGATTACAGGCATGAGCCACTGCACCCGGCCAATAGAGCTTTTCTGCAACTGAAGCTAGCACAAAGGAAAGCAGAACTTAGCCAAGTAGTGAGAAAAGTCCTCATGGAAATGGAAAACCAATAACCATTACGTTTTCATTTATAAGTGGGAGCTAAGCTATGGATATGCAAAAGCATACGGAGTGGTATAATGCACATTGGAGACTCTGCAGCAGTGAGGATGGAAGGGAGTTTTGGGATAAAAGGGTACATATTGGGTACAGTGTGCACTATGCAGGTAATGAGTGCACTACAATCTCAGGCTTCACCACTATACAAATTGTGCATGTAACCAAAACCACTTGTACCCCAAAAGCTATTGAAATTTAAAAGTATATTAAAAATAAATAAATGAAAAGTATTCACATTAGCTGAATGCTTATCCAGTCAGAATTGAAACTTTAGAATTTTTAGTTATGGGACAATGTATTGTTTATTGTTTTTCTGTGATACATAGATTTATTGGTACATAAATCTATAAAACTTTAACTTGTATATGCAAATCAGTTAATTATAGGTACAATGTGAATCACTGTCCAAACACATTTTGACTAGAATTTATAATTGTCCCACTGGACTGAGAGATGTCAGCCAGTACCATGCAAAAGGTGATGTGAAAACTCTTTCCAGATAACAACAAGAGAACATTGAGTACATCCTCCTAAACTGGTGCTGTAGAATTACAGCAAGAGCCTTATACTGGAAATAATGCAGTATTACAAATAATTTTACTTTCTCTCTAGATTTGGGTCTGGATTACAGAAGTCACTTGATTTCACCTGGATCTGTTACTTCATGAGTGTAAAGATAAAGCTGGATTATGACTTCTGAAGGTGTTTTTGTTCAACACTTGAGATGAATGATATTTGAAGAGCACATAAAAGGAGTCGTGCTTAATCTTGGGAGATGTGGATTAAGAAACCTGGGTCAGAAAGCCGAAGTAGAGTACATATGGTATGAGCACAAAATGTGCAGGTTGTAGAAATTATGGTAAAATCTCTGCCACATAAAAGAAAGAGAAATCTGCGATTCAATCCCAATCTTGCATCTAGCCAGTGGTGTACTGGAATTTTCAGGCACAAGTTCCTTCATCAGTGAAATGAGAAGAAAGGAAAACACAATCTCTAAGTTCTCAGAGCTGCACCATTCTGGAAACTACACACTTTTGCTCTTCCATAAGAGCAAAGCCTAGCCAGTATCCTACCCTATTGGGCTAGACACCCTAGGGAAGCAGGTGAGCAAGATTTGATATGATTTCTTAAACAGTAGTGGCAACCTGATGTGAGCTTTGGTTGTTCCTTTATTTTCCTGAGCTTAAATAGATCATTGTTTACTTAAATTCCTTATTCAACCTAAACTTCCCTTCATAAAATGTCACCAGAGCCTCATCCCTATGTTAACTCTGGCCATTATCTTGTTGATCATCATCTCTACCTTCTTTTCTTCACTGACATCACTATTATTCCGTATTTTCATTTATGTCTATAACTTCTTTTAATGACTAAGATCAGCTATCAAATATCTTCTCAAAAACCATTTTACAAGGCAACTCTTCAATTTTTAGTATAAAGTACGTGATGACCAATTATCTAGTTGCATATGACTTTCCAAAATCTGTGAATATGTTTCTAGCTTATTCAAAGTTTTTTATTATTAAGCAAAACAAATAAAATAAGAAAGCATTAAATGTGTTTTAAATGATTTTTACGAAATTTCAAACCCACATTTGGATTAAGGCGGAAGAAACATGACCAAATCCCTAAGTCAAAATATCTTAGAGTCGTAAGTTCTAAAATTAGTTTACTACTAATATAAATCAGTCAGATATCTACATATAACTTCCATAATACATCGTTAAAAGTAAAACTATTTAAGAAGGTAATAAACCCTAAAATTGTCAGTTTTGATAGTAATTAGATATAGTACTATACTTTTTAATTTGAATGCAATTAGGTATGGAATTATATCAATAGTCCATGTATTAATGATTGATACCAGTATCTTAAAATGATTAAACTAACAACATATCCTAGACTAAAGACCTAGATAAAAGCCAATTTGAAATAAATTTTTAACAAACAGCCCCCAATTCCATAAATATGATAAAATCTATGTTTAGGAATGTCCATTACAGTGACTTTTTTTAATAACAAAAATTTGCAGAAATAATGTATCCCAAAATATGGTACTATTTGAAAAAAAAATGGATTGTGCATTCTTATACAAGCCATGTGTAGCCATTTAATATCATGTACACCTATAAGTTTTGATATAGGAGGCATCAACAATATATAGCTAAGAAAATTTGTTCTGGAATAGCAATGATAAAAAAATTTTAATAATAAAAATACATACAACACTTACTAAATGTTTACTATGAAGCAGGCCCTTGTTTCCATTGTTTTAGACACTGACACATACTGCCACATTTCATCTTCAAAAAAAATTTTTTTTTTTCTTTTGAGAGATTGTCTCCCTCTGTTGCCCAGGCTGGAGTGTAGTGGCACGATCTCGGCTCACTGCAGCCTCTGCATCCCAGGTTAAAGCAATTCTTGTGTCTCATCCTCCCGAGTAGCTGGGATTACAGGTGTGTGCCACCATATCCAGCTAAGTTTTGCATTTTTAGTAGAGATGGGGTTTCGCCATATCGCCCAGGCTAGTCTCGAACTCCTGACCTCAAAGGGATCCACTCGCCTAGGCCTCCCAAAGTGCTGAGATTACAGTCGTGAGCCACCACACCCAGCCAATATTCACAATTGTTAATTGGATACTAGTATTATTTTCTTTGTACAAAGTAGGAAATTGAAGTTCCAATAAATGGAGTTTAATAATTTGCCTGAGGACACAGAGAGTAAATGATCAATAATCATTTACTGTGTCTATAATCTTGTGTCTATAATGATCTATTTATCTATCTATATCCTATTTTAATTGGCAGCATACAATTTGAGTAGGAATCAAGTATGGAATAAACACTTGGAGACACTTCAGGATGAGTAGCTGATATATACACACAGTTGCCCTTTGCTATCCCTGGGGTATTGGTTCCAGGACCCCCAAAATCTACAGATGCTCAAGTTTGTTATCTGGTGGATACCAAAATTCACAGATGCCCAAGTTGCTGATACAAAATGAAAGTTGGCATATAACCTATGCATATTCTCCTATACACATTAAATACTATATAAGTAGTTGTACTGTATTTTTTATTGGTATTATTCTTATTGTTGCATTGCTATTTTTAATAATTTTTTCTGAATATTTTCCATCTACATTTGGTTGAATCCCTGGATGTGGAACCCACAGATAACAAAGGTTGACTATTTATGTGTGTGTGTGTGTGTGTGTGTGTGTGTATATATATATATATATATATATATATATATATATATATATATAAAATTAGGTTCAATAGTTTAGGAATTAACCCTCTGTAGGATACTTGTATTAAATTTCCTTGACCACAGTAAGTGGACTGGCAAGACTTTTGACCTCCAAAAGAAGATGGTGTCTCTATTTATATTTTAATGTTGTGGGACTTCCAAATAGTTCAGAGAGAGTATTTCAGATAAGACTATATTTTACTTTCTTCTTATGAAGTGAAGTTTAATTAATAGTTATACTGCTATTTGACAAAGAAGTTAGACATAAACTTCAGCAAATCAGCTTATTATGCATTTTTGCCTTTCTTTAATCTTATTTATCAGAAATGTTAATATAAAAATGGGATACAGAAAATACATATAAAAAGGATGACTACGGAAAAGAAAATAAGCTAATAATCTATGATGAAAAATCCCCATATAATTTGCAAAGTAGTAATAAGATAATGTTAAGACTAATCAGAAAAATTTTTATTTAAGCAAATTCCTTAACACAAAAATTATGAAAATAGAGCCTCGCACAAGCACCTGCTGCTTTAGTTTTCAGTCTTCATTCATATGATAATGATTTCTTAAAATGTGTTTTCTAATCTGCTAACTGTGAAATGAAGGAGCTGCAGATTTGTTTGTTTGTTTGTTTGTTTGTTTTTTCATGTTCCAACTAAGGAAATCAGGCTTGGAGAAGCTCAAACGTTTTCTCAAGGTCACAGAGCTGGTCTAGGGAACAGAGCTCCTAATTACCTAGTGTTTTTTTCAGCATGCTTCACTGATTCTTAATAGAAATTATGATTCAGAAAAGTTGCACCAAAGGGAATATTGTCAAACTTAGCAGAAGCTAATTAAAGTGCAAAATATTCTTAATGCAGAATTTGATAGCGATTTGTTTCAACAGCAAGTTACAGGTAATTTTGCAGTTATCTAAGTGGCTTTTATTTCTGAAATTGTGTTGTACTGACTGCTATTTTCTTGCTCTTTGCATTCTTTGTCATTTTTAATATCTTTAGTGATTTCGAAATATTTGGTGCTGGATCATTCTGCTGCAAATATGACCTGCTATTCCAACAAATGGACTGATTGAATCTGTCACACTGGTGGGATTTATAGTAAATTCACCACAGCACAAGTAAAGCCATTAGAAATTTCATTGGTTTAAATGACTGAATATAAGAGTCCCCTGATTTTATCAGCAGACTGGTTTATATTTTCCCTCCAAATGACCATGGAGAATCTTAAAATTACATCAATTTTAATGTGCATATGTTGCTGTGTTGATTTCCATTTCAGATCTGTAACATGGTTTTGGCCTCTAAAGTCTCCATATTGAAATAATTTATGGGAAGAAT
Source organism: Homo sapiens (assembly GCF_000001405.40). NCBI lineage: Eukaryota > Metazoa > Chordata > Mammalia > Primates > Hominidae > Homo > Homo sapiens. The sequence goes on from NC_000008.11 coordinate 77,232,924, forward strand.
TAATGGGATTTTATACTGTAAAGTATTTTCCTTAGAAACCAATGAACATATCTAAAATATTCATTTTTTCATTTTAATTGTGTGTATGTGTACATTAACGTAAATAAACTACTTTTTAGTGTATATGTTAGAATACTTTAAATCATTTACTTTTTTTACATTAGCTTTCACACTAACTCACAACTGAAATGAAAAAATAACATTAAGTTATTAAGCAGAGCTTATGTTCTGGAGTAAGTTTTCAGGTATTGATAATTTGAATAATTCAATAATATTGTCATAATAGTTCATATAATCCTTGCTATTCTAAGTAAAATATTTTGAATCATTTTCACCTCTGAAGTAAAACTAAATTTAACTTTCAATTCCTAAAACATGAGTTTTTTTCTCAACTATGAAAATATATTATTTTGTATAGATAAAATATATTTTACTTTCCATTGTTAGCCTCCACTTACTTGATTACCTGTATTTTTTAGATTTTTCAGATTTAATGTAGTCATGTTTCACAGTTTATTTTACTTTGTTAACATACAGGTCAATTTGATACTATCCCTATCTGAATACTAAAACTACAATTAAAAAAAAGCAGTTTAATAGTCTTGTAAAACAGGGCACATAAAACAAGAACATTTATTTTAGTTGAAGACATGTGCTAATTTTTTATTGAGAAATGCATTAAACATTGATACATCCAACCTCTGATTGAACCTTCAGACTTGTCAAACTTAGGGGCTGTTGAAGATTTATTGCACAATATAAAATTAGGCATATACAGTAAACTTGATAGTAAATGACTTTTGCAGACAGACGACTGCCACAGAGAATAGTTGCACAATAGAGGGGGATTTGAAAAACGTATTTAAAGACATTCAAAGATGAAAGATGAAAACCGAAAAACATAAAGGAAAAAATTCTCAAATGAAATAGATATATAGAAAATGCACTTTCTAAAATGAATAGATGTTTTTAACATTTCTAATTCATTTATTATACAACAATCCATATTAGAGAGATGTTTAACTCGAATCATAAATATTTCTATTTAGTCACGGTAGCTTGACAAAGTACCTGCAAAATATTCGTAAATAAAGATCTGTTTGATCCTCAGAAAAGTACAAATTAATAGAGCAATAAAGACTCACATAAGAATAAATATCATGTGTCAAAATCAGGGCACCTTGTAACCTGACAGGAGGTTGACTTCATTGTGAATTGACTTTGGTGCACACTTCATTTTATTGTCTGTGCATTCTTCCCTTTACTTTTCTCCTCTCTCCTTTCTCTCTGTCTTTCTTCATCCCCATCGTTCTGTATTTCTTTCATACTTCAGTTGATTGCTCATCGGCATGAGTTTTCTTTTGTGGACAATTACAACTGTGTCTGCTGCATCACAAATTTATTGACATGAGGCCTTAATGATTCTTTAATTTGAATTCATAAAAACTGGGCAAAAAATGTTGAGATTTTAACATTGCTTATTCAAAGTATGTAAATTTAAAAAGTTGCATCAAGCTAACCAAAAGCAATATAAAATTATTTTAAGATAGTTGCATTTATTTCCTACCTGTGAGATTAGGTCTATTGGTTTTAAAAATAATAAAACTCATAACCATCAGAAAACAGTGCTAATAATGAGTCTGTCTAAAAATAAACTAACTTTTCTCAACGTGGTAGAATAAAATTTATATTTATAAAATCTATTTTCTATAATAAAAATAAAGACTGCACTAGAAGTTTGTATTAAAACTTCTAAAGTAATATTTTCTTGAATTTTATGTGATTTTAAGCCATATTTTTTGAATCCATGTGGTTTCCTTTTTACATGAAAGATAAAATATTCAAAGAGTCATATTAAGCTTTCTTTGCTTTTTAAAAATATTGGGAAACATTTGAGTTTTTTTTATCAGATAAAACTACTACAATCAATCTGTTTTCTAACAATTTTTGTTCTATTTTTTTTTTTAAAAACAGGTTGACCATCTCCCATCTGAAAATCCAAAATCTGAAATGCTCTAAAATCTAAAACTCGTTGAGCACTGATGTGACACTACAAGTGGACAATTTCACACCTCACCACATGTGATGGGTTGCAGTCCAAACATAGCAAAAACTTTGTTTCATGAAAAAATATATAAAAATTGTATTAAATTATCTTCAGTCTACGTATATAAAGTATATGTAAAGCATAAATAAATGTTGTGTTTAGACTTTGAGTTGCATCCCCATGATATATCATTGTGGATATGCAAATATTCCAAAATTTGAAAACATCCAAAATTTAAAAACACTTCTCTTTCCAACCATTTCAGATAAGGGATACTCAGCCTTTAATAGCATTTATAGTACTTTTAGTAAAATTGACATAGTTTACTAATGTTATGTAGACATTCTTGGGCCACATGATGAAAAGATATTTCATAATTCTGAGAATCAGATGCAATCATTCACTTCTCAGTCCCAGGACCAAACAAGTCTGAAGTAATAAATAGTATTCTGTTTTTAAAGGGGGTGTGGAGGGAATGGGAAAATCCTCCTGAAGTAAATATGACCATATCATAAAACTCCATTAAATAGGTGATACTCTTTAGCTGTGAAATTCAATTCAACAACAAGCAGTTAAACATTTTCTTAGATTGAAATTATGAGATATGATACAAGAAAGAAATCGGAGACTAGAACTGAAGTCTGATCTTGATGGCCAGCACAACATGACCTTGTCTTAGTGTCTGTATTTTTTCCTACTTATATGCTTCTCTGGGATTTTGTTTAGATGTTCCACCTTTTTAATTCTTTCAGTACTAATTTTGCTTTTTTCTTTAGTTCTTTTTTAAAAATTAAGTTTCTATTAGATCAGGCATTACTAAGAGGGAAAAATAATCAGCTGTAATGCTTTCCACAAAGCAGAGTTCGGAGGAAGATTTATTTACTGAAATAAAGATCTCACATGAAGAAAAAACTTTTTTTCACCTGAATTTATTCTCTCCCTTGCCATCTATATAACCTCATTGAAATCCATCATTATTTGGAGACTTGTAAATTCCTTTATACTTGTAATGCAAATAGATTTAAAAAGATTCTGACATAAAGAAATCTTATGCATGAGGGAAAGTTGGTAGATGACATCATTCACAAATTGCAGTGCTGTCTCCTGCATTTTCTTCTGCCTTCCACGTGGCTTCAACGCTGGTAAGTCTAGTAATTTCTTAACTTCCTTCACTGTGCAGCCTAGAATTCTTCCTTGAAGACCAGTGTAAATATTCTATCAAGATTTGTGTGTTTTGCTTTCTTCAGATTGTGCAGTTACTAAGGTGATTGCCGTCAAGTTTACACATGAGATTGTTTAGTCTGAATCTTGCTGCAGCCAATGATAGATGAATGATTAAAATTTGGGATTTGAAATTTTTAATTAAAAATTAATTTATACTAATGTTCAATGTTGAGCTAAAATGGTTCAAAAATAAAATTATGCACAATAATTATTTTGATTCACAAATTATATATTTTATGTAAATAAGGTAAGTTGTCTTTTAAGTTTTTAAGCCATTGTCTAGTAATAAATTAGGAATTGGTCAAGATATTCTTTCATCATTTCACAAATTTTTTTCAATGAATGTTCTTTTTTCTGTCTATATTTTCATCACTATCGACCCTTTTATTTCTTTTTCCTTATTTATTCAGCAAATTTTTATTGAGCACCTACACTGTACTAGGTACTATGTTGATCTTGAAGATACAGCAGAGAACAAGATGAAATTTATCTTCAAGAAATTTACTAACTACTTGGAAAAACATAAATAAATGGATGTAATAAGTTCTATAGTGAGAGTAATTACTATGGTAGCACGTGAAGGTATGTTTTTAATTCAATTCTTCTGCAATCATAATAGCATAATCTTTTTCCTTTCCTTCCTTTCCACACTCAATCTTGTCCCACTTGTGAAATTCTTTTCTTTACATTCTACTGCATACTTTAGCGTCTATAACATAGCTATTTCAAAGGCCTTGTAGAATAATTCAACATTAGGGCTATTTTTGTATCAGCTTCTATTCGCAATTTCTTCCCTTCATCATGGGTCACACTTTATTGCTTTCCTGTTATGTCTTTTTATTGATGACACACTGCACATTTGTGTTAAAATGGTAAAAATTAAAGTGTGCCACACTGCTAAAATGTGGGACTTATTTTTAGTTCATCTGAACTTGTACTCACTTGCAACTTTAGTTTATTCAGTTTATTATTAGCAGTAATTAGGGCATTTTTTTCCTTCAAGTCTAGAGACCTGAGCTCTGGAAAGACTGTTGATATCTCCTTAAGCTTAAAATTGAATCACCAGTTCTCTGAACCACGGAAGAAAGACCTCTTTCTCTCTCTTTTCTTTTCTTTTCCATTTCTTTTTCTTTCTTTCTTTCTTTCTTTTTCTTTCTTTCTTTCTTTTTCTTTCTTTCTTTCTTTCTTTCTTTCATCTTTCTTTCTTTCTTTCTTTCTTTCTTTCTTTCTTTCTTTCTTTCTTTTTCTTCTTTCTTTCTTTTCTTCCTTTCCTTCTTTCTTCCTTTCTTCCTTTTTCTTCTTTCCTTTTCTTTTTTTCTTTCTTTCTCTCTCTCCTTCCTTCCTTCCATCATCCTTCCCTTTCTTTCTTCCTTCTTTCCTTCCTTTCTTCCTTTCTTCTTTCCTTCCTCCTCCTCCTCTTCCTCCTCCTCCTCTTCCTCCTCCTCCTCCTTCTTCTTCTTCTTCTTCCTCTCCTCCTCTTTCTTTCCTTCCTTCTTCCCTCCCTCCCTCTCTGTCTTTTCTTTTCTTTTCTTCTTTCTTTCTTTTCTTTCTTTCTTCTTCTCTTCCTTCCCTCTCCTTCCCATCCTCCCTCACTACTTTGCAGCTTGACTTGAAGCCTTTTGGCTTGCAGAAGACTGCTTTCGGCATCGTGTAACACAGGTAATGGGTCTGTCTTTCTGTGTGACTCTGACCCTGTCTCTTCCCCTCTCTTTCAGCATCATTTTTGGGTTTCGAGTTTAGGAATGTAGCTGAATTACACTCTGTGAAGGCCCAGAATGCCCCAGAAGACTTGTATCAGCTCTCTTGCCCCTCTCCAGAGTCTGAGAGATGAAAACCCAGAAAACTTCCTTCATTTTCTATTTTTGATATTTTACAGATGTTACTCCACTCTCTTCTTGTTTGCATTATTTCCGATGAAAAATCTTTTGTCATCTTTATTTTCGCTCTGCAGTTTATGACATTGTAGTTTATGTTTCTAGATGTTTGATTGTGTTTTGTTTTTATATCTTTCATGTCTCTAAATTTTCCAACATATGAAATACAGTTATAATAACAATGTTAATATCTTTGTCTGCTATTCACAGAATTGTTATTCACAATTGTAATATCTGTGTTAGTTCTGGGTTGATTTTTATTGCTTGATTATGGGTCATTTTTTGCCTGCTTGATTGTATGCCTTTAAGCTTTGATTAGATAACAGATACTGAGAATGATATTTATTAGGTACTGGATATTTTTTAATTCCCGTAAGAATTCTTGAGATTGGCTCTGAAATGCAGTTAAGTTGCTAAGAGAATGTTTGATCTTTTTAGGTCTTGCTTTCATGATTTTTTTAAATGCAGAACTGGAAACATGCCCAGTCCATGGTTAATTACTTCCCCAAACTGATACAAAACCCTTCAGATAGTCTACCTAATGCTTCAACAGCAGATTTTTTAAAGCTGGCTGGTGTAAAAAGACATTGTTCCTGGTCCTGCGTGAGACACTCTTAACACTCATCCCTTTGGGTGATTCTTCCTCAGCCTTGGGTGGTTGGCCTAGATGCACGCACTGACCAGTACTCAGATGAATACTGAAGCAGACTCTATGTCTCCGCAGTTCTTTCTCTGGGCAGCTTTCTTTTTCCTGGTAATCTGTCTTGTTTACTCTAGCTGCTACAGTTTCTCTAGACTCTTAGATTCATTGCTTCAAGAATTTGGTGTCCTCCTTGAGATTTTCTCAAGGTTGTAAACTGGGAAAAGTAGAGCTCACCCTCTTCACTTGCCATTTCTCAAAGATCACTGTTTTCCATTACTTGATATCAACTATCTTGAAAGCTGTTTCATATATTTTGTCAAATTTGTGATTGTTTCAGGCAGTGATAACTCTTGCTCCTGTTATGATGTCTTGGGTGGAAACCCTTTCCCCATTCTTAAGACTACTGCTGCTTTATACTTTAAGGGAGTTTTCAAATACCACAGGAATTACTCCTTTTCAGCTTACCTGACCATTTCCCAAACCTTGGTAATATTCCTGAAAACTTGGTAAAGATTCATGAGAAGGAGTTGGCAGATGGTGTAGAATTGCTCTGTGCCAAGGCTCACCTCTTACGTAAAATCACACCCAGCCATTAAAGCTTGTTAAAATTTGTCTGCTGGCTCCATAGTCTATGTTGTTTAGCTTTTCCTCCTCTCATTTTATCAGGAGGTAAAAGCAGCTATGAGTCTCTTTTTTCCTATAAAGGTCTAAGAGCTTTCTAATGTTTAGTTCATTGGGGTTTCTTTGCATGCTCAGCTCTCTGATGAGTTTGGAAAAAAATGGTGATTTTCTAGCATTTTAAACTAGTATTGGTATTAGTAAAAGCCATGTTATTTTAAGAACTTTCTACAACCTATCCAAAGGGATTTGTTTCTTGTAACCTATGCCTTCATTCAGGTTTACTTTGCTTTTTTGCAATACATCCTCTCAATGATTCCTTTGGGGAGAGTCTAAGGAATGTTATCTATGGATACTTGTTAATGTCTTTAATTTATCTTTGCTTTTGAGTAATATTTTAATTACTAAATGTATTTCATAAAATATAAAAAGTTATTTTCCTTGAGACCTGAATGTATTATTCAATTGTCCCCTGGTATTTTTTGCTACTCAGAAGATGTCTACTCTGAACCAAATATTCCTTTGAAGGTAATCTGTCTTCTTTTCCTCTGGTAGCTTTTGAGATTGTGTCTTTATACATAAAGTCTGCGGGTTTTCTATAGTATGTTTAATTTTGTATATATTTTAGTTTAACCATCCTAATATGTGGATTACAACTATGTATAAGTTTCTTTTTGATACTGGGAAATCTTCAGCAATTATTTTTTCACATGTTCCTTTTGTCCATATTTTGATTCTTTCTATTCATTTTTATGCTGGAATATGTAATCTTAATTTTTGATTCATGTGGTTTATTTGTATATTGGAACTGGCTGAATTCTCAGCAGTATCTTTCATTTTCCAATTTACCAATTTGTCTTTTGATACTATTACATATTTATACATCTATGATTATTTTTTTAATAATTAATTCTTATTTTTCTTAACTACCTAATAGCCTTTATTTAATAATTTCCTGGTTTTTAATATAAGCTATGACCTAATTATTTCCTCTAAAAAACTTTAAACACATTTGCAGAGGTTACCCCTTTATGTATAATTTTGCTTTCTGCTGTTTCAATGACCTATGGTCAAATATGGCCCAAAAATATTAAATGGAATGTTCCAAAAATAAACAATTCATGCATTTTAAATTGCACAGTGTTGCACATGGCATGATAAAATCTCACACTGTCCTGCTTTATTCCATCTGGAATGTGAAACCTCCTTTTGTTCAGAGTCTCCATGGTGTAGGTGCTATGTGCCCATTAGTCTCTTAGGAGCCATCTTGGTCGTCAGATTGACTGTTCAGGTATCACAGTGCTGTGTTCAAGCAACCGTTAGTTTACTTCATAATACCCTAAAACACAAGAGGAGTGACGCCAGCAATTTGGGCATGCCAAAGAGAAGTCATCATGTGTTTCTTTTAAATAAAAATGTAAAAGTTCTGTATTTGATAAGGGAAAAATAAATTGTAGGCTGATGTTGCTATGATTTATGGTAACTTGAATGAATCTTCTATCCATGAAATTGTAAAGAAAATAAGAAATTTGTGCTAGTTTTGCTGTCAAACTTCCAACCACAAAAGTGATGGTCACAGTGTGTGACAGTGCTAAGTTAAGACGGAAAGGTCATTACATTTTTGAGTGGAAGACATGAAGAGAAATGTGTTCTGATTGATGGCGATCAGTTTGGTACCGTCATTTCAGGCATCCATGGGGGGGTCTTAGAACATATCCCCCCAGATAAGGGGGGACAACTGTACCTTAATAAATTTTACATTCTTTCATGACACTAATTTAGTGTGGAATAAATTCATGCCCCATGTGCTGACTTTATTGGTTTTCTCACTTAGCTTTAGGTACTCATTTATTTTGAACTTTTAATTTGCACATTCATTTAGACTGAGCTTTCCTTTCCTTTCCATTCTGTTCTTTTCTCTGTATTTCCTTGTGTGTCCAGTAGTTTTGAATTTTTGCAGCATTCCTTTTTGGCTTCCAGTCTAAAACAAGGTCTTATTATAGGATTTTAGTGGTCTTACCCCATGTTGATATGGTAAATTAGAGAGTCAGAGTTTTCAAAGAGCCAGTTAGTTGCTTGTTCAGGTTCCAGATTCTTGGACTATGACTGTGCCTTCTAGTGTCCCTGGGATTGCAGCTCCAGGCATCATGAGGGAGTAGTTTATCTTCAGACTCCTTTATGAGCTAGGAGATCTCTGTAGCCCTAGCCTTCCATAATTAAGATGATTTCCAGTCCTCATCTTTCATCAATACATTTAATCTTCATAACATCACCCAAATATTATGTTGAATTGTAATCCTCAGTATTGGAGGTAGGGAATGGTAGGAAGTGATTGTATCATAGGGGTGGATTTTTCATGACTGGTTTAGCACCATCCGCTTGGTACTGTCCTCATGACAACGAGTGACATCTTGCAAGATCTGGCAGTTTAAAAGTATGTAGCACCTTGCTTTCTCTCTTTCTTACTCCTGCTTTCCCATGTGGCACACAAGCTCCTGCACCACCTTCCACCATCATTGTGAGCTTCCAGAGGTCTCCCCAGAAGCAGATGCCAGTGCTATGCTTCCTGTTCAGGCAGCAGAATGTGAGTCAATTAAACTTTTGTCTTTACAAATTACCCAGTGTCAGGTATTTCTTTACAGCAATGTCAGACTGAACGAATACAGAAAATTGGTACCAAGAGTGGGATATTGCTATAGAGATACCTGAAAATGTTAGAACTGGGTAATGGGCAGAGGCTGGAAGAGTTTGGAGGGCTCCAAGAAAGACAGGAAGATGAGGAGAAGTTTAGAATTTCTTAGAGACTTTTTAAATGAGTATGACCAAATGCTGATAGTGATATAACAGTTAAATCCAGTATAATGAGGTCTCAGATGGAAATGAGAAACTTATTAGGAACTAGAGCAAAGGTTCCACTTGATATGCCTTAGCAAAGAAATTGACTGTCTTGTGTCCATTCCCTAGAGAGCTGTAGAAATTTGAACTTAAGAGTGATGATTTAGGGTACCTGGTGGAAGAAATTTCTAAGCAGCAAAGTGTTCAAAAAGTGGTGTGGCAGCTTGTATTAGTAACAGCTTATGGTCAGATGTGGGAGCAAAGAAATAAGTTGGAACTTACATTTAAAAAAAGAAGCAGAGCATAAAAGTTTAAAAAAATGTGAATCTTAACCATGTGGCAAAGAAAGAAAAAGCTTTTTTTGGAAGAGGAATTCAAGTGGGCTGCTGAGCACTTGACGAAAAAGAGATGACAGGGTTTTTAATCCAGGTCAAGATATACCAAGAATAAGTTTTAGATGTATAAACTTTTATCATTTACTTTGTTTTACTTCCTATTTGTAAGCTTTGTTTTCAGTAATGCCAATTTTCTAAAAGTATTTAAAGTCAAAATTTTGGCACTCTACTTATTTGAATACTTTATTGAAGTTTTCCAAGTTATTTTGAACAAGTTGTAAAATAATTGAGAGCACATTTGCAAACGTATTCTGTACCATTAAAGTATACTTTTTCGAAGGCTAAAACATTATATAAAAGTTTTGCATACCTATTTGTCTTCTAAATAATAAGTACCTACTCTTAGCAAGATTTCATTAATAATTAATATGCCTAATTTCAAAATATTTTTGTTTTATCTTAGTTGTGCTTGCTCTTCTACTCAGTATCATATTACTTAAAATTGGAAATGAAAAGATAAAACAATTATAATTTGTACTTTTTAAATTAAACTATGGAATGACACAAAAATGGAAATAAATGCAGGTATTTGCCATGTTACTGGTATTTTTTAAATTAGCAATTATTTGCCAGGCCATTCAGGTAGTTTTCTTGAGCTAATATTCAGACACTATGTTTTTGGAATATTCCATCAGAATATTTAGATTTTATAGGAAAGATTTCATTGACTTTTTTTTTCTAAAGGCAAATTTACTTTTAGCCCTCATTTAAGTGGACATGAATAGTGAACCATGAGACGTTTCATTAAGTTACATGCTTTTCAGTAATGAAGACACGTTAGCAAATGGGTTTCAGATTCAAAGGAATTCTTTTTTCATCAAAAACCCAGTTGATCTTTAAACTTCCTTTTGAGCTTTAAACTTTTAGTAATGATAAATTATAAAATTACTGATGGATTTTTTTAACTTATATTAACTATATCAGAAAGGGATCATTTTGACAGAGATTATTATATTAAGTAAAACAAAAAGTTTCATAAATATCAAATGACAGAGAATCAAATGTGTAATAAGACCTAGACAAAAAAAAATCTAAACAGACATTTCCTTTGGTGTCATTTAATAAATTCTTTTGTACAATAATTTTTGCAGAAAAAAATGGAAACTAACACTACAGAGGTGTGTTCTCTATTTTGTGTCTGACGTAAATTTAATTTTCTTGTTAAACAAAAATTACGGGAGACCACCGTTTTGGACTGAGCTCCTGCACTAAGGCCCCAACATACCAGACCAAACTAAAATGGATTCATTCATGCTAAATGTCACACAATCAAGCAGAAACTGTAAGAAAATTGGTAGATTCTCGAAACAGGCCAGATTTTCCTGAAAACAGCAGATTCCAGTCTACCCAAGTCAGCATAATAAGATAGTCCCCTCTGCTTTAACCTTTTCCAAAAAAAAAAAAAAAAAAGGTAAGTGAAGTAAACTGACATTAACAATCTGCTCTTTTTTTTTTTCTATTTTTTTGTTTCCTTGTCCCACTTTCAAAAATCCAGTTATCCACCACTGCCCAGTGGGAGCTCTCATTGTGTTTTATAGACTGAAGGCTCCCTGATTCACGAAACACAAATCAAGCTTATTTAATCTATAAGTAAATTTATTGTAATTTTGTCTTTTGATGCGATTTACTAAAACTGTATATACTTTTTTCCTTAGTATGTGTTCAATTCCTTTTAACAAATATTTTGTGTTATTTTTCTTATTAAAACCTGAACCCTTAAAGTTAAAAAGACACCTTAAAGCTACAAATACCTTCTTGAACTTCTTGAACCAATTGACAATTACATCCAGATTCTGATGTCCTTGGCAAATGCCATGCCATTGAGAATGGTGCCTGTACAGGGCTATTCCTTTCAGGATTCATCACACACTTACCCAATAAATAAATAAATATCCTGAGATACAGCATAAAAGGAATAAATTGAGTATATTTTATTCTGATGGATTTTAGTTCTTTGTATTTTTAGCGGGTTTCTACTTTCCCTGTTCTTTTGTAGGCATATTTTGTAGGCCAGTATCATCCTATCTCCCAAGAGGTACTCTTGCCTCTTGCTTTGGCCAGAGTCTGTTTTACTGAATATATGGCTTGGCCCTTTGACAAGGATGAATTGTTTGTTTGCTCATTTGTTTTTATTGCCCTAGGTCCTCAGGAGTTTTCTTACAGGATTGGCAATCACTGCTTGTTTGCTAGGTGCCTGACCCTTTTATCCTCTGTGTCATCGCTCCTGGCTGTTGTGATCTCCTCTTACATCTTGGCATGCAGATCTTTTCTCAGTTATACTTTGGTTGTTACTAAACCCTTTGGTGGTATCCCTCAAATCTTCTACTGTCCTGGCAGTATTTTCAAAGTGCTGTGTATAGTGATCCTCTGAATTTTTTTAAGGTTTCTCAGTACATATTGTTTTTCTAGTACAATGAATAGTTTCTTACGGAAGTTTCTTATTTCATAGGATTTTATGAGAGTCAAACTATCTCAGTTATTTCAAAAGCATGCTTATAACCAATGCACTTATATTTTACTGCTTATTTATGGTCATACCTAATAGTTTCTATAAAGCAGAAAAGACAGTTTTCATAAAAATCCATTGACGGCAAAAATAATAAGTCAAGACTACTTATAGTTTTAAAATTGCAATGTCAATTACTTCTTGGACATCTTCGTGGGTTTTATTATTCTTCTTAATGTTTTCTTAAAGTTTTCTTTTGAGTAACATACTTTCATATAGTATTTAATTTGACCATGCAACAATGCTATGAGAGATAACCTATCCTAGTAACTTCAGAAGCAACATCAAAAATATTTTAAAGAAATCTTCAATCTAAGATAATGCACTCAACCATTAAATACTGTGAGAAAATATATAGTAAAATAAAGCATGCTAAAATGTTTTATGAACTGTTATACAAAGGTTAATTATTTTCAGTATTATTAATTATACCTTCTTAATGGTCCATGATAGTATTTTCAATGTGAAGAGGAAAAAATGAAACAGACTGAAATTAATTTATTTATTTTCTTTTTTGAGACAGAGTCTCACTCTTGCCCAGGCTGGAGTGCAGTGGCACCACCTTGGCTCACTGCAAACTTCATCTCCCTGGTTCAAGTGATTCTCCTGCCTCAGCCTCCTGAGTAGCTGGGATTACAGGCATGTGCCACCACACCAGCCAATTTTTGTATTTTTAGTAGAGACAGGGTTTCACAATGTTGGCCAGACTGGTCTCGAACTCCTGACCTCAGGTGATTCACCCGCCTTGGCTTCCCAAAGTGCTGGGATTACAGGCGTGAGCCACTGCACCCAGCCTCATTTTTTATTTATGTAAGGACAGTGTTTTACTGGTGATTAGGACAATCTGGCTGATGCTTATCATTAAAATTTATCATCACCAAACATTATCATATTTCTCTAGTAAACTCTTTCTCTTCACAAAAAGAGGTATTTTTGTAGTTGACAAAGAATGAATCTGAATGAACTATTTGCTGGGTTTGTATCTAAGCTCTTTCACTTACCTGACCTGAAATTTATTATCTAAAATTGGGGTAATAAAATGACTTATCTTAGAGAGTTATTATAAATCACAAACAATGATAACTTAAAATTTAAAAATATTTTAAATAAAAAGTATATTTTTATTTAACAAGAATAAAAATATTAGTTTTTTCTCAAATATTTGACACTTCTTCCCACCTTCCTTTTTGGCATATGACCTTTCATATTAGAAGCCATTAGATGGGAACTTCCTCATGGTTTCTCCATCAAATCTGCAAGCCTATGGTCATCTGTGCTCATCTTTTCCTTTAATCCATTAATAATGGAGGAAACTTTCTCACCTACCCAAGACAACTCTTTCTGTTTGCTTGGAAACCCTTGATTTTCCCCTTTATCATCACTGAGATCCTTTAAATTAGGATCCTTTAAATCTTGTTAGGCTCAAAATTTTTGCTTTATAATTGATTATTCTCATTAGGATTCTGACATCTATCATCATTTGTGTTAATATCATCGGCATTTACTTCTTCATTACTCTATTTTTCTTAATTATTGACCTATCCTCACTCTCCTTTAAGACCAAACTTCTTGAAAGAGTTGTTCATATGTGATTGCTGCTATTTTATCAGTTTTCATTCGTTCTTTATTCAATTAAAAGCTTGGCTTCCAGTTGCACTTCTCCATCAAAACGACTCTGGCTAATATCACTTACCAAGTTCCATGCTGTTAAATTTCATGCATACTATTTCTGTCATTTTATATGTTCTGACACTGCATTGCACACTGTTGATTACTCCACTCCTTAAATTTTTATGCACCCTTCTCTTGTGGCTTCTATGACACGGTATTTTTTCTTTACTTTATCTTCTTAGTTTTTTGTTTGCCAAACTTTTTTCTTTTATTAAAGAGCATCTCAAATTGGAGTGGGCCATGAGACAGTGCATCTCTACAACTTCCAAGTAATGCAGACGTTGTTATTCTGTAGACCACACTTTGAGAAAAATGTTTCTACAGTATAACTGAAAATCCTTAAGTCACAGACAGCTCTTATTACTTCTCATTCAGAAATCTCTCCCTAGTTGACCTCATGCATTCTCTTGGCTTTAAATGCCATACACATGCTAATGACTCCCAAGTTTAAATATCCATTCTGGCCCACTTTCTTAATTTCCAGATCTATATATCAAATCTCTACATGGCATCATCTCTTGAAAGTTTTACCTGCATTTACAAACTTTTAATTTCAAAAGCAGGACTCTTAAGCTTTCCTCCAGTTTTTTTGTTTTTTTTTTCCTCTTAATTACCCACTTCAGTCAATGGTGCCTCTATCTACCCAACAGCAAAAGCAGACATTTGATACCAGATTTTATCTTACTCATCTGTCAAGTGTAATTCCTTACCAAGTTATATTTCACCTTTCTTTTAAATATATGAAGACTGTACACTTATTCTTTTTTCCCTACTTCTAGTCTAGCTTCTACTTATTCCTCAGGTTGTAGCTTAAATATCAATTTCTTAGTTTATCTTTTGTAACTGTTCCTATGAATGAAATCATTTAAGTTATCTTGTTAAGAACTTTCATAATATTTATGTGGGTTAATAAAGGACCAATGAAATTTGTGGAGGCAAAAGGAGAAGGTTATCTTCTAAAAGCAATTTGCATATTGCGTAGATGAAGCCTTTCATGCAAAATGAAAGTGTGCTCCAAGGAGGGGTTGTAGGGTGAGCAATTATAAAGGCAAAAATCACAGGGCAGGGGAGTCAGCGGAGAGATGAACAGTCTTGATTGGATGACCTTTAAGCCCCAAATCACCAGTCTGTCTTAATTGGCTGGTTCCGAGTGGTCAGTCTATTTATACCACGTGTTCTGTTGGTGGTCAGTTGGGAAATTTCCAGTTACAGTTTATCTCAGCACTGACAATAGGAACTGGTTTGGCTTGATTATAGAAAGGGCAGCCTTTTGACACTATTACAACTTCTTTCTGAGAACACAGTCATTTTCTGAACACACAGGGTACATGACTGTTCTCCAACCCTGCCATGGCTGCCTGGATCTGCTTTTAATTTTTGGTTTCTTAGCCACAAGGAGTCAAGTTTTTCTCTGGGTCAGGGCATACTTTAACATGGCTCTTTTCAAAACCATGCACACACACCACACACACACACACACACACACACACATTTAAACTCCATGTATTTATATATTTGTATGGCCAAGGGAAACATCCCATTCACCCTTTGAAGGTTCACTGAAAAAATTCAACTGTCAAAAGGCAGATTTATAGGAGAGAAGGCATACAAATGTATTAACATGCATAATGGAGCATCACAGAGTGATGATTCCAATCTCAATGTGGTACAGAAACTTAGCTTTTATACCATCTTGACCTGACGGAGAGAATGGGGACTCAGAGCATGTCTCCAAATAGGTTATGGTAGTATAGTGGCAAGACAGTTATAGAAGGCAGAGAAGAGGAGGCCTGGCTAGCAAAGGTGTCTTGTTATGTAGATGAAACATCACAGGTGACAGACTTCAGAAAGAATAGATGGCGAATATTTCTTTCAGATCTTTAAAGGTGTCCAACTCTCAATTAATCTTTCCTAGACTGGACAAGAGAGAGCCTGAGAGAAGGCCTGGTTGCATCAATGCAGATTTTCTCTACAAATTGCAAATCTTTCCCACAAAAGAGGACTTTTCAGCTATTCTTGTATTTCCAGCCCTTTCAAACAGCCATCTTGAAATATGTGAAATAAGTATATTTTGAGGTGAAATATGTTGGTTTCCTTCATATTCATTTAATCAACAGTTTTGAAGCATAGGGACTCTATGAGGTGTTGGTACAATGTTAAACAAAACTAACATAATCTCTGGTTTATGGAGCTTGTGAGATTATGTCAATTTTGTTCAACATTGTACCAACACCAAGCAGAGTGCTTGCACTTCAAACATATTTGTTGAATGAACATTTTAATAAAGATAAAAAAGAGATGATAGGGTTTTAATCCAGATATCTTGACCTTCTAACTCTGTAATTTATTCTGCCTCTGTGATACTTAAGTCACTCAAACTCACATTGAATTAATTTTCAACGGTCATTAATTTAAATAACTGCTTGATTTCTCCCTCAGGCCTTTGCTGCTAGATAGAATAGTTCACTGTTTCTCAATGTCAGCAGTGCTTTGTAATTGGGCTACCTGAAAACCAGGATTTGGTTACATTTTGTTAAAGAACAATTAATTACCACAAGGTATAGAAAAAGAACTGACACCTAGAATCAAGAAATGCCTAAGATGCTAGAGATTATCTAATCAAAAGATGCCAAATTGATTTCCTCTTTAGTGTCAAAATCTATTAGTTCTTAATGACTCTGTGAAGGGCTAGGGTGAGAATGAATGTGAGTCCAGCTTGGGCACAATGGCAGAGCATGCTGAGGTCTATTTGCAGTATTTGCAGTAGTTGCAGGATGGGACACTGGGGCTTTTTGATGTCTATTTCAATTCTGATTTGATACATAGATAAAGAATATGAAAATTAGGCAAAATATTTGCTGCAGTATAGGTCCCAGTACTAGTTTATGACAGAGTTAGGACTAGAATTTAGATTCCTAACTTTCAAATCTATTCCATAATTTCACTGCTGTTCCTAAAATGTTCTATTTATTTTAACCTTTTCTATGTTTATCTAAATTTTTTTCTAGACATTTAATGGACATGCAATCTTTTGTTCTTATAGAACAAGAATGGGATAAACTTCAATGCAACAAAATTAAATAAGCTTCTTTAAGATAGTACATTTGATTTTCATTTATTCAGACGTCTAAATATTATACAAAGCAATTTTTTAAAAAAATCATTGAGTTAGTGTGATAGTTTTTGTGGGTGTCGACTGGGTATATGGTGTGATAGTTTTTGTGGGTGTCAACTTGACTGGATCAAGGGGTACCCAGATAGCTGGTAAAGTATTATTTAATTCTCAGTGCTTTAGTAGGTGTTGAGCCCCTTTCTCTTCTACAAGAAGGGAAATCCAAGTAGTTTGGCATATGATTAGAATAACTGGGCTACCCAGTTGTGGCTTTGAGGGTGTTTCTGGAAGAGATTGACATTTTTGTCAGTGGACTGAGTGGGTAAGTTTTGCCCTTAATGTGGATGGGCACCATCCAATCAGCTGAGGACCCAGATGGAACCAAAAGGTAGAGGAAGGATGAAGTTGGGCTTTCTCTTCTGGAGCTGGGACTTCTTTCCCTCTTCTTAGACATCAAAACTCTAGGTTCTGGGGCCTTTGAACTCTGGGACTCACATCAGCAGCCCCCCTGGTCTCTTGGGCCCTTGGCCTCAGACTGAGAGACACTATCAGCTTCCCTGGTTCTAAGACCTTTGGACTTAGATTGAGCTATGCTACTGGTTTCCCTGGTTCTCCAGCTTATAGACAGCCTATGGTGTCTCCTCAGCCTCTATATTGGAGTAAGCCAACTTCCATAATAACTCCCCTCTCTCCCCGATAAATAGAGAGATAGATAGATACATAATTTATACATTCTATCTTTCTGGAGTACTCTGACTAAGCTGGCTTTAACCATTTTTAGACCCAAGACTATTTTGATTGTGTTGCTAGCAAATTTAACTGTATTTTATAACTCTAAATATTGAAGATTATCTTAAGAACAATTACAAAATTCTTGCCCTACTATCTCTTTCCTTGCAAAGTTTCTCCTTGGAGCATGGCTTATTGTTATGTTTATTTAAAATGGAAGTTGGAATTTAATTGTACTTAGTAGGTTTACATAAACAGTATAATATACATGGGTTACATTAGTTATTACAATTGCCCTTAAAAACTCTAATAAACATAAGATAATAACTCTATTTTCTCACTTTATTTGGTTGTCAGCATTGCACTCACCTATTCTGTTTTAAAAATTGTCAGACAAAAGTGGGAAAAGCTTAACCTTTTAATGAATGTAAAGTGAGAACCTATATCTAAGATTTGACTGGCTGAAGGCTGAAGTATTTTAGGAGGTGTGATAAATAAGATTAGTCTCCCTAGTAGAAATCTATAAGGCTGTTCAGTGTTTAGAGAAATTAGAGAATAGTTACTGAATGAGAAAAAATTCCTGTTTTGAGAAAATAAACATTCTAGAATAGCATGGGTGATAGCAACACCAACAAAAACAATAACTAAAAAAACCCATACAGCATAGAAATATTTCTTATTATAGAAAAAAAATGGATTTGATTTCAAACTAACAAAAATATATTCTGTGTTTTTCAAGATTTATACATAGTTTTTATGCTTGGTAGCAAACACAGTTGTAAGGAGGGTCTAGGTACCAAACAGGTGACTCAGTTCCTTTGTGTCTCTGCAGAAACACCTGGGTCCTGCAAAACAGGTCTTGAAGAAGCCCACTCTTGTTGAGAGTCTCCTTAAACTTGTATTATACATTAGCATTCATATTCTATAAGCTCTAAGATAACTTGGGAATTTCGAGGTCTCAAGCTACTACAACTCTGAACAACTTTCCCTGTCTCTTTGTGGCATTTTATGAAGTGATAGGCAGTGAAGTAACATGCCATAGAGTAGTTATATTATTCAGAATTCTCCAGAGAGACAGAAACAATAGGATTATATATGTGTTTTTATATACATATATGAGAGAGAGGAAAAGAGAGAGAGAGACTGAGGAAGACAGAAAGAGAAAGAGAGAAAGAGAGAGAGAGAGAGAGAGAGAGAGAGGAGAGATAATTAACTAGGGAATTTGGCTTATGCAATTATGCAGGCCGAAAAGTCCTAAGTCCAAGTCTGAAGGTTTCAGAACCAAGGAAGACAGTGGTGTAACTCTCAGTCTGAGGCTGAAGGCCTGAGAAACTGGAGGGCCATTCATGCAAGTCCCAGTGTCCAAAGACTCGACAACCCAGAGTTCTGATATTCAAGGACAGGGAAAGAAGGGTGTCCCAGCTCCAGAAGAGAGAAAGAAAAATCAAGTTTTTGCTTCCTTTTTGTTTTACCTGTGCCCTCAGTAGATTGAATGGTGCCCAGTCACATTGGATGAGGGCAAATCTTTTGAATTTACTCCAGTGATTCAAACACCCTCCTCTTCCAGAAATGCCCTCACAGACGTACCTGGAAATAATGCTTTACCAATTATCTGGGCATCCCTTAATTCAGTCAAGTGGACACCTGAAATTAAGCGTCACGGTACTGCAGTGCTTTGCATCTTTGCCTCACTTCCGGTTTCTTTTTCTTTCACTGTCTTTGTCAGTGCCTTGTAGTTTTTAAATAAAGGATTAAAATTGTAATCCTTGTTTCACACTCTACTTTCAGGAGAATCTGTCCTAAGACAATGCCCTATTGGTGTGAAGCTTACCACACCTAAGTTCACAAAGTAGCATTTTTCTCAGTGGCTTTTCCTGTGACAGTATTACAGTTCTTTTGGGTATTGCAATGGGATTATATATACAGACGGTCCCAAACTTACAATAGTTCTCCTTATGATTTTTTTGATTTTATGACGGTGTGAATGTAGTAGGTATTCAGTAGAAATCATACTTCAGTACAGTATTCAATAAATTACATGAGATATTCAACACTTTACTATAAAATAAGCTTTGTGTTAGATGATTTTGCTCAACTGAAGGATAATGTAAGTGTTTGAGCATGTTAAAGATAGGCTAAATTAAATTATGATGTTTGTTAGGCTAGATGTATTAAATGCATTTTGGAAATACTATTTTTTCAACTTATGATGGGTTTATAAGTTTGCAGCTCTATTATAAATTGAAGAGCATCTTTATATACAAAATGCATTATATATATATATATAATTAAAGAGTTTCAGACAGCTAAAATTATGGGGAAGTTACTAAATAATACAAGCTGTTATCAGTGTTATTCCTCTTTAAATTTCATGTGAAGAGGAAAAATTTCTTGAATTTATTTTACAAATAACAAATATAGTAAAATGTTACAAATTTTACAAAGAGAAAAATCCTCACTGTACAAGCCTCTTTTAAAAGAAGAAATCTTTTGGGGGGATTGTTGTTCATTAAGGAATCCCTCAGAGGTCAGCACCTTTCTTGGAAAGAAGACAATAAAAATGTAATGAATGGATTAAGGAATAAGGTCTCAGCACTAACAATTGAGCATTTCTCAATGATTCCTATTATTGTTTCTGATATGATGATTGTCCTTTATGCTTTAAGGTACACTTTGCTTTTAAATAACTTTATTTTCACCTCTGAAAAAGTCTTTTTATAACTTCAACTTTCAAAATATTATCTTAAAGTACTTAACTTTTCAATAAATATCTTCAGTCTTTACTTAATCTTTTTAAAAAATAATCTGGCGGTCTATGTGGATGATACTAAAAGCTTATTGATTCATTTATCTCAAGCAATGGGTCGATTCCCTAAATGAAATCAGTAAAATTTGTTGTTTGATTGGTTTAACTCCTGACAAAATGGTCTATTGTGTTGCTAGGTAGATACAGCCAGTTTTATTTTCTTCTTTCTATACCTTTTAAAAGTATAGTATTGCTTCTCTTAGCATATTCCAACTTAGTGCTAAGTGAAATTCTTCAGAAGAAGGTGCTATGTAAATTTAAAGTATTTTTAGTGTTACAGATGGCTTGTTCCTGACAGGCATCTATGTTTCAGTACTCAGCAATATTCATCAAGTACAGAATTTGTTTTCACTTATTTCCCAACAAATTCAAATTTCTCTCTTCCTGCAGATGTCTAGCTTAAAATCAGGGATATGAAGAACTTCTTAGGAAATTCTATCCTTATTTGAAAGTAATGCTTTTGAAGTCTTTCCCCTAGGGAATATCAGGGGTATAGATTTCTTGCATAACTTTTTATAGCAAAAAAGTCTGTAGATTTACCTAATCATAAAGGCCTGAATAAGTATGTTGTGCAAATAAAATATATACTCAAATGCTTTCTCAGAAACAGGCCTTTTCCTGTTGAATTGGGGAGAGCAACTTTATGTTTTATTTGGAGCAATATAAAAGACTTTGAAGATTTCCAACTGTAACTGATTGTATTAAAAGACTAAATTAAATGTGCATTTGGAGTTAGAATATTTTCCGTGTCCTAATAATAATAACTATGATAATAAAATGAGTTATTATTTTTTAAAAAGCGTATTTATTATATACATCTTACTTGAATGCTGAAGTTAATCAGATTTTGCAAAAGAGAATTTTACAATAATAATTTAAACACTTGAAACAGAAACAATATTTTGATTATTGTGCTTTGAGTTTCAGCCCATGTGCAACAGAAAACAATTTGTTAAAGCCATAGCCTTATCTGATTGTAATCTTAGTTTTTGGTTATATATTTATGTTTCTGAATTGTGAGTCTATTGAGGCAAATACATATAGTTTATTTATCTCTCTATCCCTAGTAATGAGTATAATACATGGATGCCCACAACATTTTTAACGGGATGAGTGAACGAATAAAAAATACATAGTTGGCATAATATTTATTACTATACATTAAGGTATAATTTTACCTGCATTTCTTTGGAAAAATTTTTACATTTAGATTTTAAAGAATGCAATTCCTTGCCGAATTACCTGGGTTTAGTCATGCACACAAACGGAGATTTTTTATATCTGTGAGAATGCTTTAGTATTAGGTCTAGCATAGTAATATGGAAGGCTGGGAATTGATACAGGGTCAGGTCCTTGAACCATGTGAACTTTCCATATGTTGTTGCTTATATAATTCAAATAGATGTGTGAGGTTGGGCCCTTTGCTTGTGTCTTTTCTCAGTTCTAACTTAAGTATATCATGGCTTATTTTAATAGACATTTATTAATATTTTTGGTAACTGTGTCTATATTTAAATAACTTCATTCCTTCACTCTTGGGAAGGGAAATTATATCTTTATATTTATTTCTTACTGTGTAATATACTAATACTTCTATTGCTCATCACAGTTTTTCAAGTGCCCAGTGATATCCTTCTGTTACTAGCCTTTCTGTACTTTGTGAAAAGTTCCCCCAAAGCTTGAAATCAGTTTTATTTTTTTTTCATTTAAGCCTAGGGTTGTTGTGATGGCACATGGAATTTTTTGAAGATGACAGCAAAATTTTATAAGTGTTTATCTATGAAATAATTTTAAGAGTAGCTTTAATTTCATGAAATAAATACAACTTAAAGATATTTATTTTAATTTCTTAAAATATAGTTTTCAGTAATTTTATTACAGCCTTCAACCACAGAAGTTATTTATAGGTAATAAATAGAATTTGATTTGATTTGATTTGTCATTTTTTCTTTTTCTTTTTTTTTTTTTTGAGACAGAGTCTTTCTCTGTTGCCAGGCTGGAGTGCAGTGGTGTGACCTCAGCTCACTGCAACCTCTGCCTCCATGGTTCAAGTGATTCTCTTGCCTCAGCCTCCTGAGTAGCTGGAACTACAGGTGCGCACCACCAAGCCCAGATGATTTTTGTATTTTTAGTAGAGACGGCTTTCACCATGTTGGCCAGGATGGTCTCAATTTCTTGACCTCATGCTCTGCCCGCCTCAGCCTCCCAAAGTGCTGGGATTACAGGCATGAGCCAAAACGCCTGGCCTGATTTGTGTCATTCTTTACAAATCTGACATCTTACAACCCCCTGAATTCATTAATTCAACAAGCATTTATTTAGCCCCTGTGATGTACTGGATATTGCTTTAAGTCTTGGAGGTACAGCAGTGAATAAAAAAAAATATTGCTCTCTCTGAGTAATTACATAAAAGTACTAAGTAAAAGGAATAAGGTTTTTACTTCTGGGACATCCTCCACCTCCTGCTAGGCTGTCATACACTTTTATTTGTCCCACAGCTCAGGAGCTTATATACACAATACTTTTCTTCCTTTTCGGGGAAATATCTTATTCTCTTAAAAAGATTGAATATAAACAATTAAAATTCCATGTGATTTTGTTGAGAAGTGCTGTGTCCAAAAACAGGGACTGGCTATCACTTATTGCTGTGTGATATTTAAACTACAATAGGATGCAATATGAAAGGTACTTTAAGATCACTTCAGTAACACAATACCCCAAGAATTCCGGAAGGCACAAGTGACTGGATTACTGTAATAAGGAATGAGTGATCATGGTGCTGGCATCATATGGTGTCATTCCCTGTTGCTATGCAGGTCTAGTCTGAGTGCCTTGGGACATGTTTTGGAACTGAAATAATCTCAAATTGCCTAAGCCCATAATGTCATGTCTATATTAGCTACTAGTAAAGGGCTTTTCGCCTACTGTAGTATAGAAAGTTAGAATATTGAGACAAGAAAGTTATCATGGTATGGTGGTGTGGTTACATATGTGACATAGTCCCAGCGTCTTCCAATAGATAGTATACAACCTAATATCACAGTAGTCCTTTGCACTACACTGCTGGGAAAAAGTCACATGACTAATTGTAACTGCTTTATATATATGTATATATATATATATATATATATATATATATATAACTGCTTATATATATAACTTTATATCTATAACTGCTTAATTATAACTGCTTTTTTAATTCTAAGAGAAGCTCTTAATAAGGGTTTAGTGCTTACCTATTACAATAAGCCAATGGTTGAGGGTGGTTATTACTTCAGATGAGGATGCTAAGCTTCAAAGAGGTTAAAGAATGTAATCACTCATGAGTGAGGTGCAGAGT
Source organism: Homo sapiens (assembly GCF_000001405.40). Taxonomy (NCBI): domain Eukaryota; kingdom Metazoa; phylum Chordata; class Mammalia; order Primates; family Hominidae; genus Homo; species Homo sapiens. The sequence continues at coordinate 77,256,724 of NC_000008.11, forward strand.
TGTTAGAACAGAAGCCTGTTTGATTCATCCATAATCTTTTTACCAGAAAACTGGACTATTTTAATGTCCTTCATCTCTATTTCCTGTTTTACATTAGTTCTTGAAACGGTGTTTCTTGAAGGGTCTTCTACTAAAATACTAGTTCAGAAGAAGTGAAGGATATTTCTCTAAAACAGGCATTTGAAGTAAAATATTTGATTAACAATGGCTTGAAATTCAATTTTTTTTTCTAACAGTAATAGTGTTCTGAATGTTTGGTGTATACACACACATAAGGAATTAACAGGAAAAAAAGGTGCAGAGTGTTATTTCTAAGGAGTCCCCAATTTTCATAACTGTGATTTTTTTTTTTTTGTATGTGTGTAACATGCTTGGATTAGTGCACTAAAGAATGTATTTTTCAGCATGGTGCTTTAAACCAGATTTGCCTAGAAATTGTTAGCTCATGATAAGCAATTTAGAAAACTGAACCCAGGTGGTCATATTTATTTCCATTCAGCTATTTACCTATTAATTGCCTAATTATGCTTCCAAACTTGTCAAAATTTCAGAGAAACAACAACAAAAACATAAATACAATTGTAACTTCATATAACATCAGTAAGCCCAAGTTAGTTGTGATGACAGACTCTAATGCTGTTAAATAAACAAAAACTTAAAATTCAAAGCAAAACTCATAGACATACCACTACATTGCTGACTACTGATGGATAGTGATCTCAAGGTTGTTATTATACATGTAAAATATTGTGTTGTATACTATTAATTCATATTAAATGCATAATAAATATGCTAATATTAATGTATGAAATATATTTCGTATTTCACCTTTAAAAGCTCTTTTTGAAATTTGATCACATATTTAAAAACAAATTCTTAAAAATAATTAATAGCAACATGGGGAGTATGAAATAAATTTTGTCTTCAAATTTAGTAGTAAACCACCTAACTATTCCACTGGCAAAACTTCTCAAATTGCACAAGAATATTTCCATGTTTTTTCCACACTCTTTTCCATGTTACACATAAGAATATTTTTACATGTCAGGTATATTTGTATAGTTAAAGAAAAATCTGAATGAGCAGAATAGGTAAATTAATTTCTTAAATCAACAATGACTGAGCATAGTTCAACTGGCATAACAAAATAAAGACACATTTAAATTATCACTTCTCTTCAATAGTAAGGGCATATACCTTCCTAATCCGTGTTTCCATCCCCTACCTCTGTGGTTTACTTCTTATTTATTTCATATGTTGCTTCTGTTATAATTCAAATGTCACTTCAGCAAACCTGGGCAATAGTCCTGAAGCATTGACAAGATTAGCAACGCTGCTGAGTACAATACGCAGCAAGTCAATAATTTGGGGGATAATTTTCTTTGTAGATAATATGAAGTTTCTCATTTTAAACAATCACCATTTACTGTGCAAAGTCTTTAAATAAGATCAGTTTTACATTAACTGTTGCCCAAATTTCCAACTATGAGCTAAATTCATGGATATTTTAAGACAGTTAATATGAGAAAGGTATTTATTTCAGGCACAGCATCAATTAGAGGGGCCGCTATCGTGACATTCAGAGGCTAGGTATAATTGTAATAGTACTGAATAGAATGCAATTATATTAAATAGCATTATGGGGATTGGGTGACCCAAGGAATGACTACTGAAATGTAGTCTTTTTCTGTTTTTTCATTCAATGGTTGAAATTATGCCAAGGTCATTTGTGATTGAGAGCTATCTGATGGTTGTCGGTATTCTCTAGGAAAAATTAATTGAGGGTCACTTTTCTATTCTGAGTAGAAAGCAGAGCTGGACCTTCTAAATCACTCAGCAAGATTCTGGGAAAGCTTGTCTGAAACAATCTATTTTGTGGTTTTATTAGCAGAGATTACCTTTTAGAACAAACTGGCATGACTTTTAAGCATTGACCTGTTTTTTTGAAAATATGTTTCTAAGAGAAAAAATACTCATGCTCATAATGTGTTCACTATGTTATTATCTCCTTTAGAAATACCTTGAATTTCAATGCTCTTCCATTTTTTAAGTACACCTGTTTTCTTTTTTGATCTTTTACAACTTTCAGTAGGTTATGTTGTAATAGGTTAAATTTTCTATGGTGTATATTATATTCTTTCTTTTTAAATAGAAAGTTTTTCCCTCTTTTATCTTAGAAAATGATGTATGTTGTCTGAAAAAATACTCATATGTTTAATTAGTAGCAAAGTATTGTTTTAATGTATAACCAGAGGCGATGATTATGTATTTGAAAATTTTAACTACGAAACACAGAAATGTATGCATGTGCGTGTTTGTGTGTGTATGTGTGTGTGTGTGTGTTTTACACACACATATGCACATGAGTATTAACTACTCAATGTAAAACATTACTTATCATCAATGGGTTATCTTCTGACATCGCATTGGGATAGAACTATACAGTAAATAATGAATTGTGGGATGCAGCCAGGCTTGCAGAAAATAACTATTTGAGGGATGGTGCATGAACAGAAAGCTGTAATTTTGACAGGTGGCAAGGTGTCGTGTCACCAAGCCTTTCTAAAGCCTCATATCTCATACCTATTGATTAATGGCTCTAATTAAGGAATGAAATCAAGCATGTGAAGACAGGGGATCGCTTTAGGTCCTTGTTTGGTAGTTTTCTCTTCCTGGCATAGGACTCATCCATCTAAATATCACTGCTCTTTCATTTATTACTGCTGTATGGTATCACGAAAACAGTAGAAGGGGCGTATTCTGATCTTGTCCTGGTCGTGCAAAAATGTAATTTGGCGAGGACTGAAGTAAGAGAACGTGCCAGAACATCATTTGAATAAGAACCTTTGTGCGAGAGCACTTCACTTGCAAATGCTTCCATGGGGATTTGAGACAAGTTCAATTGCCTTTGAAAACAAACGATTATATCAGTTTACTTTCTTGGACTCGATCTTGCAAAGCTCTTACTTTCAAAGCTCTCAAATCTACTTAATTTAAAATCTTTTGTTAGGTTGTTAAGAAAACACCTTAAAATATGGCAGGTGGCATTTAGGTAAGTGAGGAGAAAAATAAACAGGTTATATTAATGAATTTTAAAGAATACCAAGTATGCCAAAATTATATTCTCCCATACTGCTTACTAACAAGATCCCAATCCTGACATTGTACTATACAGCTGAATAAGTCCCAGAGGAAATTCTTGATCCTCTGACCCGGTATGAAAATATTGACTCCTTAGCAGATACTCGGCTTAAGTTAGTTGGAGAGAGCCACCAGATGGAGTCTGCAGTATACATGGTGAAATGCTAACTTTTCTTTATAATTCATAAGCTTAAACTGAGATGTAATTAAATATCCCATCTCCAAATAAAATTTATCATATTTTTAAAAGCTTTACATGTTTAGACCATTGACAATAAAATTAACATTTTATATTGATTAAAAATAAATGTGTAGTTCTAAAGAGGGATTTATAGGTTGCATTCAGAGTGTTGTACGGATTTTTATTCAGGTAGTATGTGGATTGACATGTACAACTTGGGTAAAATGAGGTCAATTCTGACTGTTTATTGGGAGTGTTGGAATATTTTTTCCTCGTTTGCTACTTCATTTTGCTTTCTTATAATATAGAAGCATAAGATAATTTTATTCCAAAATGCTTATTTAAACACATCTCTAACCAGTTTTTAAGAAAGCACACTTGTATACTAAAATAATCTCAACTTTTATTTATCCTAAACTATAGGCTGACACTTTTTATAGAGCCATAGTTTAGAATACATTATACAGTTCTAAAACATGGATCGAAGATTGCATATTTTCTATTTTTAAAAAATGAGATAAAGCGTTTTCCATATATTGAAGCAACAATATGTTTAAATTGTATTAAAAGTAATAAAACTTTTTTAGAAATCCAGATTACTGAAATAGGGACATCTCATATATTTGTATTTCCTTTAGGTGGGATTTGAAAATTGGAACACAACTATGAGGTGAGAAGTTTTTGTTTTTGTTTTTATACTCATGGTATATTGATTTCTAGGGTGATATTTGATGAAATTATTTGCTACAAGTCCTGTATTTACTCTGATATATATATGAATACATGTATATATAGGCATGCTAATAAACTTAGAAATTTTTTCTGTCTACATTTTAATTAACTTGCTTATACTATTTTTCACTTACTAATTTTGCACACTACCTTATCTCTTTATTTTATTTTAAGAATTTTTAAGACAGAAATAGTGATAAAATCATTGCTTACTGAAGCAAGTAGACATTGAATCCAGCTATGCACATTAGAAAGATGTTACACACTGCATACTTTTAATAATGATCATTTAGAAGATAATTTTAGCATCCACACAAGGGAAAAATGGATTTTTGATGAGTTCTTATAAGACCATATGTGGTATTAGTCAGTGTGAGGTATTGCTAGCAAGCTCATTGCTTTCAAAAATCAAAGTTAAATGGTTCATCTATCATCAGAATTTGTGTCTGGGAGACTTGTCTGAACATCAGTATGATTTATGGTTTGAATTGGAGGAGTCAACCATGCATGTTTCTTAGTTTATCGTTTTATGCTGTCTTCAATTAAATGTCTATAAACACAGTGATGGCTTTATGACATTGTCCATCAATAAAGACTATCAGATTTTGCATAAGAATATGTAATTTTCAGAAACATACTGACCTTTTGACTTCTATGTGCCCTGTTGTTTCTATTATATACATATACATATAGTATTTCTTCATAGAAAATTTTACTATGGAATTTGTCATACAGAAAAATTACCTATTTTGTAGAATATCCTCAATTATTATTTAATACTTTTAAAAACACATACTTATCAAATTATAATTGGAGTTGAAGTTACAGCTATGTTTTGCACACCATATAAAATGCTTTTATCGAAATGCAAAAAAGAAAAAAAAGAATATATCTGAATATTTTCTTGCATGCTGATTCAATATTTGATTGTTTTATGGATTCAGAAGAGTTTAAACAGGTCTTTGCTAAGAGAAAATAATGTATATGATAATATTAAATTAAATTATTACACATAAAAGATGAATCCTGGAAAAATCTCGTCTTTTCATTTTCTTTGGGACATTGAATAATGATACTTTCAGTTTTCATATTTATGAACGTGGTGTATAGTATTCACACTGGCAGCTTGTGGAGGGTGAATCATTTTCTGTGTAGCTCTGCACTGATATTGCTGCTGACAGCAAGGCATTGTAAGAAACAATTAGTATTCTAGTTCTTAAAGCTATGTTGAATATCTTTTCACCATATTTTTAATAAAAAATACAATATGAAGGTTTTTATATAACAAATAATCTGCATGTAGTTTAAACACAGAAGAATAGCACAAGACAATTAAGGAAGGCTTAGATGTAAGCTTAAACAAGTGTATTTTTGTGAGTACATAATGTTCACGTATATATAGTACTCTTTCTGTGTTGAACAAGTGTTTTTTCCATCATATAACAGAAAAGTGGTGCATATGTGGCAGGTATATGAGGCCACCATCATATAACGGAAAAGTGGTGCATATGTGGCAGGTATATGAGGCTACCAACCAATGATTATCATAGTTCACATCACAGTATTGGGAGTACACTAAGATCCATGTATAGCTACAGATTGAATCTCATATGTCTTTATAAATTTTGAAGAACACATTTGATTTCTCTACTATAAATTAACAGTGCTTAAATCTATGCATAAATTGGATATTGAAACAAAAAATGATCTTTGACTTCAACTAGATAATTCAGGGAAGTGAAAATTACGTGTAGGAATGAAACTACTAGATATCATTCTAAATTGTAAAAAGCACCTGGCTATGTAGAAGAAATATTTTACATGTAGAAGAAAAATTCTGTGTTACTGGAAAATATAAATAGGTTATAAATTCCCAAATTTATAACCTATAAAGAAGTATATACATAAATATAAATATTTAAATATTGGTTTGTTTGGTTAGTGCTGTAGGATTGGCTTGCTACCTCTTTTTTAATGCAGTTATTTTAACCAAATTGTCTAAATCAGGCTGAAGATATATTCTGAGAAACAGAGATTTTAAGGATATTTCTAAAGTTTTGAATTCTCTTTTTGATTATATCTCCAGAAAAATTTTATCAATAATACAGAGATTTTTTTAAGAGATGAATTGTAATTTCAAGAAACTAGCTAGCATGAACTTTAGATTTTTTATTCAATGTTTTCCACGGTGTGGTTTTTTGGATATATTCTTTGAGGTCCAATCGTTCTGTGACAATATTTTAATTTTGCATTTTTATTTTTATAGTGATCTAACATAAGAGCAGTTGTAAAAATAGAATTATTATTTTTCAGAGACTGCAACATAGTTATTCATTTGAATACTTTAGCTTCTTAGCTACTATTTTTCAAACTTTGGCTCTGGATAATTTTTATCAGGTATGAAACATTTTTCCCCCTCAAAAGAGGAACTTATATCCTTTGATGTGAAAAACTGTGAGGTAAGTAAGTGTTTATTCTTTTTTAAGAGTTGCTTTAAAATATGCCCAATATAATGTAGAAGTAAACCTAGAAGTAAGACATTTAAAATAGTCACTATATTCTTAATAGGTGAATTTTTCAAATACCCAAATTTCCCTTAGCTGTTGCAATTTGAAAGAACTACTTATTGTGAATATGGAAAATAAGCTCTTGGTACTTGGGGGCCATGATATCAGATGTTCCCTTTTTGTTTTTAAATAACATTTTAAAATAATATAAATTAATTATTGAACAGTTGAAAATTTTCAGAGTATATAAATAAAATATAATTTTAAACATCTTAGAACATCACAGCGTGTTGTGTTTGGGAGGTGATGGTGAAAGCAGTGAGATACTTTTCTTGATGAAGATTATACGGTACTTTTTTCTTCACATTATGTCACATAGTTTTCAAGACTTTTGCATCTTATATGTAAACTATCTACGGAGAATTTAACCAATTTGTATGATTATACATACATCTTGTTTCACTTTTTTGATATTATAAAGCTTCCAATGAGCATCTTTATAGGTAGCTTTTTATTTTATTTTATTGTTTTTCCATTTATCTACTTAGGAAAATACATACTATGGCATCTATAACCATACTATAAAGACTTACTCAAATATATATAAATATATGGTGATACCTGTTTTGAGTGCTTTTTAAATAAAGTAACATTGCTGACTACAAAAAAATTGATTTTTGCAAGATTTGAGAAAACACTGTCAAATTATTTAAAATCTCTGCAAAAGAACTGATTTTACAGTGCTTGAACATAAAATTCTTAACTGTCTTTAGCCATTTTTGGTGTCATCTAAATATGCCAGAGACATTATTTTAATATCTTTGTCCTCCTCCCGTCCTTAGCCTCATTACATGTTAACTTAATACTCAAGATGTCAAGATGTTCCAGATGGCATTAGGACACTACTTTCCCAGCTACAGAATGCTTTTTTTGGAGAAGTGAATATGAGCAAAAAATAACTTTGGATTAATGCAAACATGTAAGTAGCAGTAGCTTTTCAAAAGACTAAACAAATGAAATCCATTCTACTCTTTGTTATATTTAAATCTTTTGCACTTATAGAAGATTCAAAAGGAAATATTTCCTCTATTAATACACAAAATGTATGTTTAGAGATTAAGTTAAAATGTTTGTGTTAAATAGAAATGTTTTCTAAAATGATTTGATTGCTGAAGAAGTGAGGCAGTCATAATTTGGACCCATATTTATTTTTGAGTAGAGGAGCTGTTTAAAAAATAATTTCTTACATAATTTCTGAGAAAAGAGTAAATTTTTATATGCGTGAATATGTAGATGTAGTTATAATAAATACTCTAGAAAGACTGTCTTTCTTATATGCTAATTTTCCCAAATATAATTTTTATATGATAGCCATGATTAAATGTTTTTGTCTTTCTTTTTCCTTCCTTCCTTCCTTCCTTCCTTCCTTCCTTCCTTCCTTCCTTCCTTCCTTCCTTCCTTCCTTCCTTTTCTTTCTCTCTCTCTCTCTTTCTTTTTCTTTCTTCTTTTTTCTAAAGTCTCCCTCTGTCGCCCAGGCTGGAATTACAGTGGCGTGATCTTGGCACTGCAACCTCTACTTCCTGGTTTCAAGCGATTCTCCTGCTTCAGCCTCCTGAATGTCTGGAATTACAGGCATCCACCACCACCCCTGGCTAATTTTTGTGTTTTTAGTGGAGATGAGGTTTCACCTTGTTGTCCAGGCTGGTCTGGAACTCCCGACCTCAGGTGATCTGCCCGCCTCGGCCTCCCAAAGTGCTGGGATTACAGGCGTGAGCCACCGCACCCTACCAAAATGTTTTATTTTATTATAAATTTACATAAATCAGCAAATTAATGATAAGAATTTTTTGGTATCAATTTATGTATGGTACATTTCCTTCTTTCAAGGGCTAGAGGTTGTTTTGCTAAAAATATGTGACCAAGGTTAAAATTATTTCAAAATTAGGATGGATAATAAAATAATGATGTCTTTATTGTTTTATTAGGAGGTCTACTCTTGCTCTAAAAGGATTCTGAAAAATATGTGTTGTGTTGTTTTGTTTTATTTTCCAGGTTTGTGTACGTGTGCATGCATGTGTGTGGGAAGCCTTGGAGATTAGGGTTGCAATGTGTCTGCTCAGCTATATTGATCTCTTTATTAAACTATGTTGTTTCTCCAACTTGCCTCCAGTCTCTTCATGACTTTTATATCAAGCACAGAATTTAAATGTGCATTTCTGTGTTGAAATTTTAATATGCAATGATATTGTAGTTGATTCAGCCATAGGGAATGCATAAAACGACATGAAAATTATATGATCACAGAGGCAGAACCAAACCCTTAGGAGAGACAATTGTTTTTGAAAGGTTAGCAATGTTTGTTCATTTTTATCTTCAGATTCATAATATGCAAAGTTCTCCTATTGTTTCTCAAGAAATAAATAACTTTTATAGTGTAATATTTACATTCAACTTTCTTAAGCTTAAAATGATATCAGTTCTGTCATGGTGATACTATTCTTCTTGGTTCTTGGTAGGGTTGGTGAAATAAAAGTGACTCATTTCATTACAGTTTTGGTTTCCTTTGTTTTGTGAATAGGCACTCTCCTTTAGTTATTTATTTAGAAAAACTATGTATTTTTCAAAACGGTAATGTGCTGATGGTGTAAAAACATTTGTAAATAAGCAAAGATGAAAAATAGCATGTAATTTATAAGGGGTATATTTTCAGAAATTCTATTATCATGATATCTGGTAGAAGTTTAAGTTTATACATAGCTGTGATTAATCAGCTATGTATACAACCACTTAAGCAATGGATATATGTAGCATCTTGTTAATAAAGATGAAATAACTGATGAATATACTAGGCTAAAGAGCCTTTCAGCTCTGGTTCTGATATGCTGTATCCAGATATGACTAATATCATATAATGGAAGAGACAGTCCTAGTAAATTCTGTGCATCTATACAAAAGCCTTTTTAAATTTCACCCACCCTTGTCCCACCAGATTTTAAAGTGCACAACATATAAAGGTATGTTTGGCAATTACCCCAAATACTTAGCTATTTTTGCAGAGATGCTTCTGCTCTGATCTAGTTCCTAAATGTTTTTGATGCTTGCATCTATTTTTAATCTGAAATTCCTCTTCTACACTTTGTTCTTTTGTTCCTACTTTTTCTTCTCTCCTTGTTCCTTTTCAAAGATTTTGGCTACAATTCAATAAAACAGTGCCACAGATTTTATTCACTCTGATGAGGAATCTCTGCCCTACCTAGAGTTTTAGGACCTAATTCTACCCAGCCATGGCCAATATTTGAATAATATTATGTATTAAAATAAATATGGAAAGAAAGCTTTTCTTAAATAAATCATTCCCCTGACACATATTGGTGTGTTAGCTCTCTGTATAAGATACATATGTATTCCTCTGTAGAGATGTACAGTTGTCCTACTTTTACTAGATTATAATTTTTATGCAGGCAGAGATTTTTGTGAATTTTGTTTATTGATTTATCCCAAACATCTAACATAGTTTCTGGCTTATATACCAGATACTCAATAAATATTTATCAAATGATTCCATGTTATATTAAGCACACATCTGTTCATAATTTTCTGTATATATTTTATCTCTATGTAAATACTGAAGAGTGCATACGCGGAATTGTGAATAAACCAGATAGTTCCCCCCAAAAAAGGCAAGAGTGTAAAAATCAAAAGACCTACACATATAGTCTAAAACCATAGCCAGATATAAATATCTATATATTGCATCATGATGGATTAACCAAGAGTTCTGAGGAACTCTAATTGCATGGACTTAACCCCACATTTCTTGAAAGAGGAAAACAACAGAAGACCTACTAATTATAATAAAATGTTACTAAGAAATAAGAAACAGTAAAGCAATTCATGCTGTCCTTTGACTATGACATCTTGGATTTTCAGGGAAGAAAGAGCATGAAGATGGACTTTCAGGGAAGAAAGAGCATAAAGATAAGACTGTCTTAATTGCTATACTTTATGTAACTCAGCCTTTCAATACGTAGAGCCTAGAGGTTGTAGTTGGAGATAAGAATAGTTCTTACTACATTAACTCTAATTTGTTCCTTGGGAATATGGCAGACTGCATGTGAGATTATGAATTAGTACTGTTTGATTTTAACTTGGTGCTAGCTATTTAAGAATTCAGAGATTTGTACTATTTGTTCGTGATTACTAGACAAGGAAAGGGTCTCAGAAGCTTATGGGCCCAGAAAATGCCTTTGTAAAACAGAGTAATTACAAGGGGAGCCAACATGGTTTACATATGTTATCCCTTATATTCTGCACACCCAGAGAGATAGATGCTATTAATCTCACTGTATAGTGCAGCAGAGGTATAGAGACAGTCAAACAACTCTTAAGGCCAAATAGCTGGCAAATGACAGAATTGTTCTGATTCCTAAGATCTTAGATGAAGTCTCCCAGTCTTTGCCTCCTTTGTCTTTCCAGCCATTTGTTAGATAACAAAAGATATAACTAAATTGAGAAGATACCATGCCAAACATTTTATTTTAATGCACTTATTGTAACACTTTTTTTATTTTGAGGCTTCTAGGCCTATCTGTAGATTTACCTGCATATCTCTTTAATTTATAAACAAGTGCTTATAAATTAAACACTTGTTGAAGTTCTAGCTTTACCCAAGCTAGAAAATATGTTATTATTTCTCACATTTAAAGCCAAGATATGATTAAATATTACAAAATGAATGGGGTAATAGTTGACACTTACAGGAGCTGAGTTTATTGCTACTTTATATTTCATATTCCTGCCAATTTTCTTCTGTGTGCAAAATTAATTTTTCAGGGGAAATCCAAATGTAGAAAAACCTCTTAGTTTTCATGCCTTCTGAAATATTGTTTATTAACATGAATGAGAGCCCCAAATGGCCTTCTATATGTGTATTATTTATATGACATAAATTTACTTTTGTACGTTTTGGTTTTTATTAAATTATAATTTTTGCATTATATTGTTTTTATATTCTCCAATTCATTCATTCAAAAGTATTTCAGTATCTACTAGGAGTCAAGCAGAATCCTGGATGCTGGGAACATAGTAGTGAACAAAACAGAAAAATCTATGCCCTGATAGAACTCACATTGCATTGAGGGCAAAAAGACATTAACAAAATAAATAAGTAAAATATATTATATGGTAAATGGTAATAAGTATTTGGAGAATAATCAATCAGGAGAGACAAAGAATCTCGTATTTCTGTTACAAATAATAGCAAACATGCATATAGCCAAGTAACCTTTCTTTATTGCTATCTAATTTTTAGTTCTGTATTTAAATTGTAAATGAGAGTATCATGCTACATGCCTTTCATGTGTCCCTACGGAACACTTTGTACCCTCTCCTTCATATCAGATAGGTAGGGATCTGATTGGATTGCATAAAGTCGGCTTTGCCAAAGTGAAGCATTTATGGATTGGAATTTGGGAAGGGAATAAGGGTGGGGTGTTTGTTCTTCGTGTTTCCTCCCTGACAGTGTGCTGTGGGTGAACAGTGCCTCTCTGTTGAAGGTCACAGTTTCTGTCAAGTGTCCCCCTTCATACAGTCACCCTCATGGGGTTCTAGCAAGCACCCCTACTCTTTCATACTCAGGCTCAGGAGTGATAGGTAGAGTTCCCTTTTTTTTGCTAGATACTAGTTATTGTGTTGGTTTCTTGGATCCTGGCCCACATCTCTGTAAATAGTCTTTTCTTGAATTACCCACTTATAGTATGGACTCTGGCTGACTCAAACATCTAGTACAGTAATTGGTTATTTACCTAATAAAATCAAGTGGAATCCTAGTGGAAAAACAAAAGAAGGGTCAAGAAAAGATAGAAATGGGAAGGGGGCAAGCCTTTCCTCTTTGAGTGAAACCAAGTAATAACTTCATGTTGTTAGGAGCTGCACACTAGTTTTATACACTTGGGGTGATATATACCTGTGTGCCTAGAGGTTAGGTACCCTCAGATTTCTGGACTTATATATAGAGAGAGTGTAAAGTGAAAAGGATGGATAATAGGGTGAAAAGCCAAATTTTGTTTTGATTTATGTTCCTAGCCCTCCACTCTCAATTTAAATGCAAGAAGAGAACTTAATTTTTGTTTCTTGACATCTCAGAGGTCAGTATCATCAATATGACCTCTTTTTCTTTTTTTTTTTTAACCTTCTCATTTTCACTTGGAGGAAATACGTTTCTGTAGATACATTCTACAGAACACTTTTGTATCTAATAGTGGTGATTGTGGTTTCAATGGTTAAATTTATACCATGTGTCGATAAAAACATAACTATAATTTTTCTATAAAACTTAGAAGAGCTATCAAGTCCTTCTCCATATGCATTATAAACATTCATTGAAATCAAGTTCATGAAATGCATAGATGTAAATACGTGGTAGGATTAAAAAGGCTTTTATATATCAATAATTTTGCCCATGTAATGTGATTTGTGAACATGTTTTTTATCAAAGATATTTTATTTTCTCAATAAATTATTATGCAACATCCCACTAAAATTTTGATGAAGAGAAATATGGTGAAGAGAATCATAAGGAGATAAACTTGTATGTAATGTTATTGGAGTACCAATCAGACTATGTATGATAGAGATAAAAATAACTACAAGGTAAAGCAAAAGTGATTTTTAGAAGTATAGGGTTTTAAAAAAGTTATTTTAAAGAGGTCTAAATTTTTATTCAGTTAAATCCTTAGCATAAGTTATCTGCTGAACTAAATGGAAAGTGTATACATTAATGTCTTAAATATCTTATAATCTGTACAGCTACTGCCTTTTATAAAACTTAAACTGCTAGCTTAGAAGAATTATTCAATATATTTATCTACGTGGTGGGGCTTATATTGAAATTTCACATCTCTTTTGGAGAAAAATGTTTTATATTTTTGAATGATTTTTAAACAATTTAGTAATACTACTATTTCTAATAACAGGAATTATAATCAGTGCTTCTCCTAACAGTTAATTTTTAATTACTTTATTAAACATTATTTGGTGATAATTTTAAAAGCAATTCTAGTGAAACTCGCACAACATATATTTGATGTATATGATTTATATTTCTCTGTTAATGACACTGACTTCATTATATCTTTGTCATTAAACACTATAATGTGTATTTATTTAGCTGTATATTTAATTTTATTTAAAAAACACATTTTGGCAGGAGGGTGGGCAGTAGATGGGTAATGTTGTGCTGGTGGGTAGTTCAAGGCACACACAACACTATATTTAACAATGAGAAAAGTGCATGTTAATCCTTGGCACTTTGAGCACATTTAGTGTGTGCTGTAAAGATGTATAGTATATTTACAAATATTTGCATATTTGCAATCAGAGTAATATTTCTTAATAAGCAGGAAATATGACTATTAGAGATTGAGATATTCATTTAGACAGAATAAAAATAATCTTATCTGATAATTGATTTTCCTACAGGAAATGAATGGCTTATGCTAAATTGAGAACATGGAGTATATACATTCAATGTAGTATATACCTACCATGGAATACTATTCAGATTTTTAAAAGTACGTAATCCTGCCATATGCAATGACATGAATGAACCTGAAGGATAGTATACTAAGTGAATAAGCCAGGCACAGTACAAATGAGTAGAGTAGAATGGTGGTTGCCAGGGCTCGGGTAAGGGGGAAATGGAGAATTGATGTTCAATAGGTATAGTGTTTCAGTTACACAAGATAAACAAGTTCTATACATATGCTCTTCAACATTGTGCCTATAGTTAACAATACTGCATTGTGCATTCAAAAATTTTGAGTGTAGATCTCCTGTTAAGTGTTCTTACCACAGAAATCAGCCCAAGCACACAAATAAACAAACAAAATAGAACAAACAAACCAACACCCAAAGGTGCATGAGGAAACTTTTGAAGGTGATATGTGTATTTATTACTTTGTCATGATGGCATTACAGATAAATGCATATTTCCAAACTCATCAGAGTATACGCATTAAATATGCACAGTTTTTAAATGTGTCAATTATACCTCAATAAAACTATTTTTTTAAAGAGCAATATATGAGATCTTATTTATTATGTAGGTTTTGGTGAGCATGAGGTGAGGAAATTATAGGATCCTATATGTTGCATTTTTTTCAGCTTCAGAGTGCTGAAAAGCTAATTTAAAATGTCCCTACGAGGCACAGAGGACTATGAAAACCATTTAAAATGAGTTTAAGAAGATTCAGAAAATTCTCAGTGTGGGAAAAAAAAAATCTTTTAATTGGGAAATTTTGTAGGTTTGTGCTATGGGCCATGTAAGTAATAGAGAAAGGTTTGCAGGCGAGTGAGACAGGTTGAGATAAGTGTTGTGTTGACCTAAAAGCTAAGAGATTCAACTCCAGACCATGACATGGCTTAGAGGTAATACTTGGAAACCTCTTCTTTTTTAAAAATTTATTACTGGAAGGGATTTGACACTCATTCTCTGATAACAGCAAGAGGATAAAGCCTTGGGCTGACCAAGCACATGTTATTGGAGTTTCATCTTAATTACTCAAAGGAGCTTTACGTTTCACACGGGTAGAGTTAGATGCTGAGAATGCCAGATAAAATATTAAGTATTGTGAGAATGCACAAATATGGCTTAGTGTCTTCATAAAGAGTCTATTGCAAATGTAATAATTATTTCCTCTGTCATGAAATTTCAAGATGTTAGTTTCAACATCAGTTTATTGTGGGTTAAGAAGCATTTTTATTTATCTAATTTTTACATTAGCAAATAAAGTTATACGTATTTATAAACATATAAATGTTGTTCAACATGATGCTTTGATGTATTTATATTGTGGAATGGCAAAATAAGCTAATTAACACATGCATTACCTCACATACTTATTTTTTTGTAGTAAGAACTCTTAAAAATCTAATTTCTTACCAATTTTCAAGTATGGGCACACATCAGAGATATCACAGGTTCAATTCCAGACCACAAAAATGAAGCTAATATTACAATAAATTGAGTCACGAATGTTTTGGTTTCCCAATATGTATAAAAGTTATGTTTATACTATACTGTAATATATTAAGTGTACAATACCATTATGTCTTAAAACTGTATACACCTGAATTAAAAATACTTATTGCTGACATATGCTAACAAAGAGAGCACATGCTTTTGGAAAATTGTCATCAATAGACTCGCTAGAAGCAAAGTTGCCAGTGATGTTCAATTTGATAAAAAAAAGGTAATATCTCATAAGTGAAATAAAGTAAAATGGAGTAAAATGAGATATGCCTCTATGTGATATTAGTTATTAACCATACCCATCTTGGTGTCTGATAGACCTCTTAAATTTATTGTTCCTAAATTTAATTTTGTATCCTTTCACCGGCATCTCCCAAATTCGCCAAATCCCTAGCCTCTGGTAACCACCATTTTGTTCTCTGCTTCTATGAGTTCAATTTTTTCAGAGGATTGAAATTATTTTAAAAGTATTTTCAAATGGGCTTGTTACCTTGCTTTTAATTCATTTATTCAACAATTATCACCAGGCACCCATCTTGCTAGTGAGGGTATGAAGACAAGGATTTTAACCACTAAATCCTCATAGTATATTGGCAGAAACAGATCAGAATAGTTCATACATTGAAGTGTGGTGAATCGTATACAATGGTCTATACACAAAACATCATGAAAGTATAAGAAGCGGTTCAGGGAAGGATATCTAGAGGTAATTCTAAGAGTCTGAAAAACATGTTTTTCCTCTGTGAGTGGCAACTTAACTACACAGCAAGAAATGATTCAAATGATTTATACAGAGGAATACAAAAGGACTACAAGGAAACCTTAACCTGTTTTTAGTAATCACATTGTCAGTAATAACATCATAGGCACTGTGATTCTGAAACTATTATACAGTGATAGAGAAAATTAGAGTTTATGTTAGTCATTAAGAACTAAGAATTCCAGAAGAAAATAGCAAAAATAAAATCAAGACCTTATGTAAAACCCTGTACTCCTAATTTGAATTGAAAATCAGTATTTTTAATGCATTTTTAAAATAGTATTTCCTATTTCAAATCAATGTAAAGACCTAAAAACATTACCAACCCAATGGCATAAACCCACAGGTCTAGATTGTGGTCTCTAAATGTTATTTCACAGAAGAATATGATGCAATAGGAAGTACTCAATACCATCTATGAAATATTCTGCAAATAAATAAGTAAATAAATGAATAGCCTCTAGATACAACTTCTATTCCAAGAAATTTATTCTATTTAGAGAAATGTATTAACAACACAGAAATGAAATCATCAAAATATAGAAGATGGTAAATTCTGCACTACAATGGATCAGTTTCCCATATTCCATATTGGCCAGAAGTAGATTTCAACAATTATTTAATGACTTTTGGATTTTGGAACAAAATTTTTCTAAGGAAGAAAAGGAACTAAGAAAGTAAGATTTAGTATACTTCTTAATAATCTGTATTTACTAATAGCACAAATATATTTTTATTGCTTTTTAAATGTCTTTATTTTTTTCTGGATTATAAACTTCATGAGGGTCATGTTATCTGGTTAACAGTTATAACACTAGCTACAGTTCATGTAGCATTGAGATGCTTTATTAAATTTTGTCAGCTAAAACAAACGAACAAACAAAAAACAAAATAAGTAAGCAAAACAAAGAAGGTTTGAAGGAATTGTGGCATAGAGAGAAATGCTATGTATTAGATTCCTGGGGCCTAGGAAACTGATTTCCTAAACAAGTTGAAGTTTTTTTGTCAGCACCAAAAATTTCTTTTTCATACCTATTCTATATTCCCTTACAGAGTTAACAATGTGGTTACTTAGCTGACATCACACTCTTACATATAATTTAACATGCATAAAGCTTGAAAGTTTTGTACTGTAATATTGATAGAACAAAGTACCTATATTCACATATGTTATATGTTTTATTTAGAGGTAAATTTTCTTCTACATTGCCAGTGAGGGGATTGCTCCATTTATACTTGTTTCTTCGCTAATACGTGAATTATCCATATTCTTTTATATTGTTTAATTGCTAATGTTCCTTTGCTTAAAATTTTCCAATAAGGTGAAATATTACTTAAAGTTTGAGTTAATTCATATGCTACCTCTGCTGTGAGGCTCCTCTTATCAGATGACATCAATATGAAATAATCTTTGCTCTCAGGAAAATTCATACCTTAATTATAACACTGTTCTCACTTGCATCATAATAATTTATTGACATATTAGCTATAATGAGAACTTTATGCATTATCTATATCTTATACACATTTTTGTCCAGACTACTCAGGGCGATACTTGGAATAACGAATGGCTGGTCATTACTGAAAGGGCAACAGTAAGAGTCTAAAACCTAACTTCTTTTTTTAAAAAATTTTATTATTATTATACTTTAAGTTTTAGGGTACATGTGCACAATGTGCAGGTTAGTTACATACGTATACATGTGCCATGCTGGTGTGCTGCACCCATTAACTCGTCATTTAGCATTAGGTATATCTCCTAATGCTATCCCTCCCCCCTCCCCCCACCCCACAGCAGTCCCCAGAGTGTGATGTTCCCCTTCCTGTGTCCATGTGTTCTCATTGTTCAATTCCCACCTATGAGTGAGAACATACAGTGTTTGGTTTTTTGTCCTCGCGATGGTTTACTGAGAATGATGATTTCCAATTTCATCCATGTCCCTACAAAGGACATGAACTCATCATTTTTTAAGGCTGCATAGTATTCCATGGTGTATATGTGCCACATTTTCTTAATCCAGTCTATCGTTGTTGGACATTTGGGTTGGTTCCAAGTCTTTGCTATTGTGAATAGTGCCACAATAAACATACGTGTGCATGTGCCTTTACAGCAGCATGATTTATAGTCCTTTTGGTATATACCTAGTAATAGGATGGCTGGGTCAAATGGTATTTCTAGTTCTAGATCCCTGAGGAATCGCCACACTGACTTCCACAATGGTTGAACTAGTTTACAGTCCCACCAACAGTGTAAAAGTGTTCCTGTTTCTCCACATCCTCTCCAGCACCTGTTGTTTCCTGACTTTTTAATGATTGCCATTCTAACTGGTGTGAGATGGTATCTCATTGTGGTTTTGATTTGCATTTCTCTGATGGCCAGTGATGGTGAGCATTTTTTCATGTGTTTTTTGGCTGCATAAATGTCTTCCTTTGAGAAGTGTCTGTTCATGTCCTTCGCCCACTTTTTGATGGGGTTGTTTGTTTTTTTCTTGTAAATTTGTTTGGGTTCATTGTAGATTCTGGATATTAGCCCTTTGTCAGATGAGTAGGTTGCAAAAATTTTCTCCCATTTTGTATGTTGCCTGTTCACTCTGATGGTAGTTTCTTTTGCTGTACAGAAGCTCTTTAGTTGAATTAGATCCCATTTGTCAATTTTGGCTTTTGTTGCCATTGCTTTTGGTGTTTTAGACATGAAGTCCTTGCCCATGCCTATGTCCTGAATGGTAATGCCTAGGTTTTCTTCTAGGGTTTCTATGGTTTTAGGTCTAACATTTAAGTCTTTAATCCATCTTGAATTAATTTTTGTATAAGGTATAAGGAAGGGATCAAGTTTCAGTGTTCTACATATGGCTAGCCAGTTTTCCCAGCACCATTTATTAAATAGGGAATCCTTTCCCCATTGCTTGTTTTTCTCAGGTTTGTCAAAGATCAGATAGTTGTAGATATGCAGCGTTATTTCTGAGGGCACTTTTATGTTCCATTGATCTATATCTCTGTTTTGGTACCAGTACCATGCTGTTTTGGTTACTGTAGCCTTGTAGTATAGTTTGAAGTCAGGTAGCGTGATGCCTCCAGCTTTGTTCTTTTGGCTTGGGATTGACTTGGCAATGCAGGCTCTTTTTTGGTTCCATATGAACTTTAAAGTAGTTTTTTCCAATTCTGTGAAGAAAGTCATTGGTAGCTTGATGGGGATGGCACTGAATCTATAAATTACCTTGGGCAGTATGGCCATTTTCACGATATTGATTCTTCCTACCCATGAGCATGGAATGTTCTTCCATTTGTTTGTATCCTCTTTTATTTCATTGAGCAGTGGTTTGTAGTTCTCCTTGAAGAGGTCCTTCACGTCCCTTGTAAGTTGGATTCCTACATATTTTATTCTCTTTGAAGCAATTGTGAATGGGAGTTCACTCATGATTTGGCTCTCTGTTTGTCTGTTATTGGTGTATAAGAATGCTTGTGATTTTTGCACATTGATTTTGTATCCTGAGGTTTTGCTGAAATTGCTTATCAGCTTAAGCAGATTTTGGGCTGAGACGATGGAGTTTTCTAGATATACGATCATGTCGTCTGCAAACAGGGACAATTTGACTTCCTCTTTTCCTAATTGAATACGCTTTATTTCCTTCTTCTGCCTAATTGCCCTGGTCAGAACTTCCAACACTATGTTGAATAGGAGTGGTGAGAGAGCGCATCCCTGTCTTGTGCCAGTTTTCAAAAGGAATGCTTCCAGTTTTTGCCCATTCAGTATGATATTGGCTGTGGGTTTGTCATAGATAGCTCTTATGATTTTGAGATACGTCCCATCAATACCTAATTTATTGAGAGTTTTTAGCATGAAGGGCTGTTGAATTTTGTTGAAGGACTTTTCTGCATCTATTGAGATAATCATGTGATTTTTGTCTTTGGTTCTGTTTATATGCTGGATTACATGTATTCATTTGCATATATTGAACCAGCCTTGCATCCCAGGGATGAAGCCCACTTGATCATGGTGGATAAGCTTTTTGATGTGCTGCTGGATTCAGTTTGCAAGTATTTTATTGAGGATTTTTGCATCAATGTTCATCAAGGTTATTGGTCTAAAATTCTCTTTTTTGGTTGTGTCTCTGCCTGGCTTTGGTATCAGGATGATGCTGGTCTCATAAAATGAGTTAGGGAGGATTCCCTCTTTTTCTATTGATTGGAATAGTTTCAGAAGGAATGGTACCAGTTCCTCCTTGTACCTCTGGTAGAATTCGGCTGTGAATCCATCTGGCCCTGGACTCTTTTTGGTTGGTAAGCTATTGATTATTGCCACATTTTCAGAGCCTGTTATTGGTCTATTCAGAGATTCAACTTCTTCCTGGTTTAGTCTTGGGAGGGTGTATGTGTAGAGGAATTTATCCATTTCTTCTAGATTTTCTAGTTTATTTGCATAGAGGTGTTTGTAGTATTCTCTGATGGTAGTTTGTATTTCTGTCAGATCGGTGGTGATATCCCCTTTATCATTTTTTATTGCATCTATTTGATTCTTCTCTCTTTTCTTCTTTATTAGTCTTGCTAGCAGTCTATCGATTTTGTTGATCCTTTCAAAAAACCAGCTCCTGGATTCATTGATTTTTTGAAGGGTTTTTTCTGTCTCTATTTCCTTCAGTTCTGCTCTGATTTTAGTTATTTCTTGCCTTCTGCTAGCTTTTGAATGTGTTTGCTCTTGCATTTCTAGTTCTTTTAATTGTGATGTTAGGGTGTCAAATTTGGATCTTTCCTGCTTTTTCTCGTGGGCATTTAGTGCTATAAATTTCCCTCTACACACTGCTTTGAATGTGTCTCACAGACTCCGGTATTATGTGTCTTTGTTCTCGTTGGTTTCAAAGAATATTTTTATTTCTGCCTTATTTCATTATGCATCCAGTAGTCATTCAGGAGTAGCTTGTTCAGTTTCCATGTAGTTGAGCGGTTTTGAGTGAGTTTCTTAATCCTGAGATCTAGTTTGATTGCACTGTGGTCTGAGAGACAGTTTGTTATAATTTCTGTTCTTTTCCATTTGCTGAGGAGAGCTTTACTTCCAAGTATGTGGTCAGTTTTGGAATAGGTGTGGTGTGGTGCTGAAAAGAATGTATATTCTGTTGATTTGGGGTGGAGAGTTCTATAGATGTCTATTAGGTACGCTTGGTGCAGAGCTGAGTTCAATTCCTAGTTATCCTTGTTAACTTTCTGTCTCGTTGATCTGTCTAATGTTGACAGTGGTGTGTTAAAGTCTCCCTTTATTATCATGTGGGAGTCTAATATATATGTTATAGATATGATTGACCTTAGTTTCATCAAGGTATTTGATATTATCTTTAATGATATGGAGAGACAAGATTGAAAAATGTAAACGATATTTTTCAAATGAAAAAGTGGAGATTTTTGGAATAAAATAAAAATCATGGTAAGGATACATATGTGAAAATGAAAAATCCTTGGGCTATGTTGACAGTAAAAATATGATACCTAGTGATACTAAGAAAAGTTTTCACAAATGTCGAAGAGTCTCATTATGGTTGTGAAAAAAATTTCAGGAATTTAGAGGCTGGACACAGTGACTCACGCCTGTAATCCCAGCACTTTGGGAGGCCAAGGTGGGTGGATCACCTGAGGTCAGGGGTTTAAGACCATACTGGCCAATATGGTGAAAGCTCATCTCTACTAAAACTACAAAAATTAGCTGGGCATGGTGTCGAATGCCTGTAATCCCAGCTACTTGGGAGACTGAGGCAGGAGAATTGCTTGCACCTGGGAGGTGGAGGTTGCAGTGAGCCAAGATCATGCCACTGCACTCCAGCCTGGGTGAAAGAATGAGACTCCATCTAAAATAAAAGAGAAAAAGAAAAAAAAATTCAGGAATATTGAAAATGTTTTTACTCAAAATTTCAGGAATATTGAAAATGTTTTACTTTCTAGAGTGAAAACATTAGTTTGAGCATTAGAGATTGAGAGGGAATGACAAATTTTAGGACAAGACATTGTATCAAACTGAGTCCAATTAAGAGAGAGAGAATGTTATCTATCTGTTCGGGGATTCGTTTTTTTCCTGGTTCAGTTTTGGCAGGGTGTATGTGTCCAGGAATTTATCAATTTCTTCTAGAATTCCTAGTTTGTGTGTATAGAGGATTTCATAATATTCTCTGATGGTTATTTGTATTTCTGTGGGGTCAGTGATAATATCCCCTTTGTCATTTCTAATTGTGTTTACTGGGTTCTTCTCTCTTTTCTTCTTTATTAGTCTAGTTAGCAGTCTTTCTATTTTATTAATTTTTTTTCCAAATACCATCTCTGCATTCATCGATTTTTTGAATGGTTTTTCATGTCTCTGTCTCACTTAGTTCATCTCTGCTTTTGGTTATTTCTTGTCTTCTGCTATCTTTGGGGTTGGGTTACTCTTGCTTCTCTAGTACTTTTAGTTGTGATGTAAGGCTGTTGATCTGAGATCTTTCTAACTTTTGATGTGGACATTTAGTGCTGTGAATTTGCCTCTTAACACTGCCTTAGCTGTGTCCCAGAGATTCTGGTATGTTATATCTTTGTTCTCATTAGTTTCAAAGAACTTGATTTCTGCCTTAATTTCATTATTTACCCAAAAGTCATTCAGGAGCAGGTTATTCAATGTCTATGTAATTGTATGGTTTTGAGTGATTTTCCTACTTTTGATTTCTAACTTTCTTGTGCTGTGGTCCTAGTGATACCTAAAAATAGAATTGCCATTCAATCCAGTAATCTCATTACTGGGTATATACCCAATGGAGTTAAATCATTTTTATCATAAAGAAACATGCAGGCATACATTAATTGCAGCACTATTCACAATAGCAAAGACATGGAATCAACCTAAATGCCCAGCAATGGTAGACTGGATAAATAAAATGTGGTTCATATACACCATGGAACACTATGTAACCATAAAAAGAATGAGATCATGTCCTTTGCAGGAACATGGATGAAGCTGGAAGCAATTATCCTTAGCAAAGTAATGCAGGAACAGAAAACCCATACCACATTGTTCTCCCTTATAAGTGGGAGCTAATGATGACAACAAACGGACACCTAGAGGGGAAAAACACATACTGGGGCCTATCAGAAGGTGGAGGGTAGGAGGAGGGAGAGAATCAGGAAAAATAACTAAAGGGTAGTAGGCTTAATACCTAGGTGACAAAATAATCTGTATATCTAACCCCATGACACAAGTTTACCTATATAACAAACCTGCAAATATAACCCCAAACTTAAAATGAAAGTTACAAAGAGAGAGAGAAGTCACATAGTAATCTGAACAAACAATATAGAAAATTATTAAATTATAACAAGATATTGGACTATGGAGCAATTAGCTTGTAAGAACACTAATGAGCACAGCAATAGCAGATATATGATATAATAGCACATACTATATGCACTAGCTTGCTAAAGCTACCATAACAAAATACCGCAGACTAAGTGGCTTAAACAACAGATTTTTTTTTCCTCACAGTTCTGGAGGCTAGATATCCAATATCAAGGTGCTGTCAGGCTTCATCTCTTCTGAGACTTCTCTCCTTGGCTTGCAGATAGCTACCTTCTGGCCATGTTCTCACATGGCCTTTCCTTCATGTATACAAATCCCTGTGTCTCTTTGTATGTCCAAACTGCTTCTTCTTACAAAGGGTACCAATCAGATTGGATCAGGGCCGGCCCTAATGGCCTTCTTTAACTTAATCACCTCTTGAAAGGCCCTGTCTCCAAAATATAGTCATACCCTGAGGTAGCTGGAGTTATGGCTTCAACATAAGAATTATGGAGGAACAAGATTCAGCCCATAACTATACTATACTATACTATACTATACTATACTATACTATACTATACTATACTATACATGATAAATATAATACAATATGATATAGTTTAACATGATATAATAAACTAGCCACTAACTCGAGACCTGGGTTAGAAAACTCTCGTAAGTGTCACTCCCTTCCTAAGGCTGAAGTCCAGACCCTGGTGTAGAAGATCTGCCTGCCATTCACTGGATGGTAAAGATGTTGCTGCAGTGCCCTACTGGTAGAATTGATGAGAAGTTGACCTTTGAAATTGCTGGAAATCTGCCTTCTGGGTTGCAGAAGAAAGCTGTTTCACTAGCAGAAGTCTGCTATAAAACCAACTGAAGGTGTTTGCTGGGGAAAGCATCTGGTGGCTGGTTGCTTCTGGCAGCTCTGCGCTGCAGGAACCAGACAGGTGAGCATATTGAAACCAGGAAGCAAAACACTTTCCTCTCCAGACCGTCTAACGACAAAACTTTAGTGCCAACTAGCAAAAGATAAATGTTTAAGGGGCTCACATTCATTTTCACAGAGCAGTCAAAAGGGACACATTTAGTACCGAGAGGCTCCATAACAGGCACAGACATAGATCAAATCAGCTTGGAAAATAGTGATGAGGGCAGTGATAATTGAACTGGTATATCTTATTGGGAAACAGATTAAAGAGGAAAGGAGAAAGTCTTTGACCTAGAAGATAGGAATTTGATTAGGAACTAGAAATTTACTTGTTCTCACGACCTCTGAAATAAAATAGTAAATTCCTTATCTTACCATTTCTTCCGTAAAATACTCCTAAACAATTATTGAAGGAAAATCTGTTTATCAGAAATTTATCATCTATCTGTCTATCTATCTATCTATCTATCTATCTATCTATCTATCTATCTATCTATCTATCATCTATCTATCACCTATCTATTCATCTTCTTTAGTGAAATACATACATATATAAATACAGATATATACTATGAAAATATATAGAAAGTAAAAATATTGTGAGATGAATTAATATTGAGCATTGATTTATAAGACACAAAGTTTTTATTGTGTTGAATGTTTGGCAAAGGACAAAGTAATGTGAAGATAAGGAGAAACTGAGGAAAAATATTTTTCTCTATTACTACAACAATTTTGTAAGGAAAACATTTATTTATTTATTTTTGCAAATTTCCTTCTATAAAGAAACTCTTTGCTGCTTATTTGTTTTATTATGTCAGTAATTTCTTTACTTCAGAGGAACCTTAAAAACATGTTTGTTGAGTTGTAGTCTACGTATCTCTTGTATTCAGAGTATACATTCTAAAAATCTGTAACTGTTTTGTGATTTTTTTATTTTGTTCTCTCATTTATATTATATTGTACAGATAAAAAAAGTAAGCATATTCTAGATCAATTGGATGCTGTTTTGATAGTAGAATGTTCTCATATTGAACACCCAAATAAAAATGGGGGCAGTGAAATTGATCTTTTTGGCAATAATTAGTTTTACTCCAATAGTCTGAAAAAACTTGTAGGAAAGTTAATGTATAAATGACAGTAAGTGAAAGAAAATGCTATAATGATATACAAAGGTTTCTAAAATAGTTTGAATATGGAATAGTGGTAAGGGTATGCTATGGTTAATTTTATATGTTGACTTGACTGGGACATGGGATGCCCAGACATTTGGTCAAACATCCTAATTATGTTCATAAGGGTGTGTCTGGATAACATTAACATTTAAATAGCTAAACTGAGTAAAGAAGATTGCCTTTCCTAATATGAATGGGACTAATCCAAGCAACTAAAGATCTGAACAGAACAAAAAAGTTGAGTAAAGTGGTACTTCTTTTGGTGTTAATTTGCTAGAGATTATGGCCTCTAGTTCCATCCATGTTACTGCAAAGGACACAATTTCATTCTCTATTATGACTTCATTTCATAGTATTCTACACTCCAAACTTCAGCATCAGACATTATTCCCATGTAACGAATCTGCACATACGCACCCTGTATCTAAAGTCAAAGATGAAATAAAAATAAAGATACTTCTGGCTGACAGTTTGAGCTGTGTCATTTGTCCTTTTCCTGCTTTGAAACTCAAAATGACAATTTAGTTGTTCTTGTATCTCAAACCTGATGACTTTCAAATTGAAGCTATTCCACAGGCTCTCCTGAGTCTCCAGCTTGCCAGCTGCAGATCTTGTAAGTCTTTCATACCTGTATGAGCCATTTCCTTACAGCAAATCTGTCTTTCTCCGTTTCTTTCTGTCTCTCTACACACACACACACACAGACACACACACACAGAAACACACACACACAAACACAGACACACACACTATTGGTTCTGTTTCTCTAGAAAACCCTGACTAATCAGATTTACACCATCGGTGTCATCTATATAGACATTTAGCTTCAGTTAAACAAAGCCATGTGCAACATTACATTTGTTTTAATGTTGATGGTACTGATTTTACAGTTTTCTTTATATTTACCTTGTAAAAGTGTCTTAACTTTACAGTTGTGTAAGACAATGCATAATAAATTTGTGACTTTTTATTGCTTTTTTAAAACAATTGCCCTTAACTCAAGTGTTATACTTTTGATGTTTTTGCTTTTTTTGCTTTAAAATGCTTTAATGACTCTCAGCCTTCTTCTGTTTTCCTATGGTAGCAAAAACTGCAGTATTTATAGCATCTCAATAGTACTTATATTTAATTAGCCACTGTGCATGTTGGTGTGTTTGAGAATGTATCAGGGAATATATATTTTGAGAGAATTTATAGCCAATATGTCTTGTTCTAAGAATAAAACTGTTATAAAAACTCAACATATTTCATCTCATCTAATATTAACATCAATTTATAAATTAGGATATACTGCTATACTCATTTTATAGAGAAATAGAATAAAATCTATGGGATGTGAAGATATATCTAACTACCTTGAGTTACGGTGATCAGAGGAAGAGGTTATTTCTAAGCTGAGTCTACTTTAGGTAGTGAACTTTCATGGAAAATGACATAAAAGTTAATTCAAACAGAAGGCCTAGCATAAATAAAGACCAGAGGGTGGGAAGAACCATATGCCATTGGCAAACTGCAATTATTTTGGCATGGGTGGAATTATGTTTTTTTAGTGGTATGTATGATCAGAATTTTGAGAGATTGGGACTTCTCAAAATTTGAGATATCATCTGAAAAGTTAGAATCCATTAATCTCTTATATTGCACCAGATACTGAAAAACCAAAATAAGAAGGAAAATTAAATGGATCAATTTTGAGAGCCAATGGTGTTTATAGTGGTGAACAGCCCAACCAAGAAAGATTTCTGATGACAATTGGAAGATTTTTTAATATATAAGGCAGACATCTTTATTAACATAAGTAAAATGTAAATCGTTACATTAAATATATTAATGGATCATGTTAATTATTCATGTTTATGTATCTTACTTCGAATTTTCCCAAGGCTAGAAGCTGTGACACATTTGAAGCAGGTTGCAGAAGTGACCTTCTTTTAATTTCTATGCATGTCTTTGAAATTTTTTTTATAGCTTAGAAAAGAGGTTTATCAACACTGGTTGGGATACAATAGTTTTCATGACTCAAGAGTAGGGAAAGGAACTTAACCATAAAAAGTGCATTGGGACTTATAAACAAGCCACGGTCTAAATTAAATGTGAGACAATCCAAACAAGAATGATGCTCCTGGCAGTCTTCTGAGCAGGTGAAAATTATCCATTAATTATATCATGTCAGAGTAAGAAAAAAAGCTTAGGAACCACAATTTAGAGTCAAGGATTAAGAAAGGCAAAAGCTATTTTAGATAATTTTATTTATAATAAACACACCTTACATGCTTTTTGTAAAGGATCATATCTATGCATCTGTGTCAGTTATTCATAGCTAAATAACAAACTACACAAAATACACTGGTTTAACACAACAGTCATTTTATTATATTTCATTATATTGGAATTCAGGCAGAACTCAACTGGGCAATTCTTCTATTTCCTTTAACATCAATAAAGGCTACTCAGTGAAATCTTGGTGATAGACAGGCTGATCTGGAGGGTCCAAGATGGCTTTTCCCATAAGTCTTATGCCTTAGCAGAAATGACTGGAAGACTAGACTCCAGTGGGCTATTGAGTTCACCTACAAATATGGCCTCTCCAACATGGCAGGCTCAGGGTAATCATATCTCTTTTATGACAGTTCAGGAGGCCTAGAAATAGTGTTCTCGGTCTTATAATGTTACTTTCATCACATTCTATTGGTCCAGGATGTCATTAAAGTCAGCCTGGTTTCAAGACAAAGGGGATTTGAAGCATTTTTCAATGGTAGGAGTAATAACTTGTAGCTATCTTTACTATATCTGCTACTCATTATTGGCTTTGTATGTATGTTAACGTATATAATTTCATTGTCTTACCTTTGAAAGTGGCGCAATTATGAAATAAGAGGTCAAGAATGAGACTATTAAAAAGTGTACCACCCAATATATACCAGAAAATACTTTGACTCCACAGTATTTGAGAGATATAGTTCAAAGAAATTAAATAGCATTGTGTTTGTGCTTCCATTGTATATTGTTCAGTGAAATGTGTGATGTGTGGCATAATGATGTTTTGGTCAATGACAGACTGCATATATGATGGTGGTCCCAAGATATCATAATATATTTTTACTGTACCATTTCTATGTTTAGACATGTTTAGATCCACAAATACTTCCAATTATGTTACAATTTCCTACACTATTCATTATAGTAACATGATGTACAGGTTTGTAGCCTAGAAGCAATAGGCTATACCATATAGCCTAGGTGTGTCATAGGCTTTACCATCTAGGTTAGTGTAAGAACACTCTATGATGTTCACACAACAATACAAACTCCTAATGATGCATTTCTCAGAATATATCCTTATTATTAAGCCATATTTGACTGTATATTATACATTCATGTAGTGATAAATGTAAACACATTGGAATTTTTCTCAGGCAGTGAACCAAGTATTTCTTATATTGCATGTTTGTTAATATGGTTTTGAGAGTAAAGAGGAGAGTCATCAATATAGGTAAAACTTTCAAATAGAATTGTTTTTAATTATACATTTTAAATTGTGTTGGCACACCCTGAGGTTCAACGTCATAAGTGACAATTAAAGTAAATCACAGTAAGCAAAAGAAATACGTGAACACACAGAGTTACAGGAAAGGCTATGGAGTTATTTACCCTATTAACACTCATTTAGTAAGTTTTGTTTAAAATACTCTAGTATATTGGCAGTTCTAAGAAGTCTGGGAAAATAATTTCAAAATAACTTTTGGTTTCTAATGAGAAAATTTGATCTATATAATGCCTTTGAATTGATAAACATGGATAGTAGAAAATTAAAAAACCTTGCAATCCCACCGTCCAGACATTGGCATACATCCTTATACAGAACAGTTGAATTTTGAATGATTTCTTGGTCATTGTGTATTTTCCTATTATATGTAAGCTGTCGATTTAAAAATATATGAATTATTCATTTTTGACAAACTTCCTTATAACATTAAAATAGCTGCATACTAAACCATCAAGACATGAGGATCAAAGAATGCAAAACTAATTGTACAATGCCCTACTTGTAGAAAAGTAGTTTTCTACAAGCTTTTGTTCCCAAGAGCTAACATTTCTGAACTCTTCCCATGTCTCCCACACCTCTTTCCAGGGAAGGAGGATTGATGGATTTGGAAGGAAAACCTGAGTATACACACACAGTCTCCTTCCTTTTCATCTCTTGCAAACATGCTACCTTATGGGAGAATTTATTCCCAATTTATCCATGTGTGACTCTTACATATCTGAAAATAACTCGGTTTGCAGGGAAAATCCTGAGCATTGGAGGAGGAGAAGTGTTAGTGATGGCAGTGGCAGCCCATTTGGAGTGGCTGCTGCCATGATGCCAGCTGCAGTGGGGGAGGCATGGCCTGGGTTGCTTGCTCCATAGAGCCAGGGGGAACTGGGAGCATTCAGGGGGAACTGGGAGCATTCAGGAGCACCATCCTCCTGGGTGCAACTTCAGTCACTAAAGCCATGGCTGTGGACTTAGGAATCCCTGTGCTTTTGGGGGCCAGGAGCAGGCAGGAGCTCCACCCTCCTGGGCACAGCTGCAGCCACCCAAACTGAGGCAGACCCAAGCATCTCTGCACTCTTGGGGGCCCAGGAAGGCCCCTCCTGCACCCACAGATTAGGAAGTACCAACTTCCACTGCTTGGTCTTTCCCCACTCCCATACCTGCTCCAATCTTGGAGCAAAGTTGAGGCCAAGTCCAGGTGCTGTTGCAACACAGCCAGGTGTGTTCACACTTGGAGTGGCACCGACACACCAGCCCACTGGTGCTTCAGCCCTTTCTGGATTTTGTTTGTTGATGAGGATGAAAGGAAGGCCGAGGGGGTCTGAGGCTGGTTCAGCACTGGTCTGTAGGCACCTGTTGGCACAAATAGCCTTGGCCATAAACACCAGAAGGAGGCAGGCAGGCTCCTGGGCAGAAAAGGATGGGTCCCCAGTTAAGCCTCATCTTCAAGCTGGGGAAAGCCTGAAGCCTGGGGACTAGGCTTCCAGCCCCACTGACTGGAGTGGGAACTTATGGTGCTTTATCCAAGCCTGTCCATGGCTACCCATGAACCAATCAGCACACACTTCCTCCCCTCTGAAGCCCATAAGAACCCCAGACTCAGCCAGACTTGAGTAGATGACCAGATGACCTGTCTGTGGAGAGGAGCTACCAAATGCAGGATCTCCTCTCTGCTGAGAGCTGGGCAGAAATCGTGACTACCAGCTGCAGAGAGTAGTTACCCAGTCCAGGGTCTCCTTTCTGCTGAGGGCTGGACAGATGTCAGAACTACTAGCTGTGGTGAGAAACTCCCCACTCCAGGGTCTCCTCTCTGCTGAGACCCAGGCAGATGTTGGGACTACCAGCTTTGGAGAGGAACTACCCACCCCAGGGTCTCCTCTCTGGTGAGAGCTGAACATTTGTCAGGACAACCTGCCTGTGGAGAGGAGCTACCCACTGTGGACCTCATCTCTGCTGAGAGCTGAGTACTCATTGTGACACCCTTCCTTTGGAGAGGAGCTACTCACTGCAGGTCTCGTCTGAGCTGTTCTCTCACTCAATAAAGCTCCTCTTTGCCTTGCTCTTATCCTCCACTTCTCCACATACCTCATTCCTCCTGGACACTGGACAAGAACTCAGGACCTGCCAAATGGCAGGGCTAAAAGAGCTGTAACACAAACAGAGCTGAAAGAGGCCCCTTACTCACCACATTGCAGGCAACAAGAAGGAGAGAAGAGAGAATGAGAGAAGAGTTGTGGCCCTTTGGGGATCTCAGACCTAGGAGCTGCCTGAGCCAGGGCTGTGAACCCTCTCTGCGGCTCTGCAGTTCCTGGCATCTCTAAGCTTCCAGGTTCTGCTGAGTTCCGTGGTGCCAGCCATGGAAGCTGCTTACAGTACACCTGGTCCAACTGCAGCCTCACAGGGAGCCAGTGCCCATGCTGGTGTTTGGAGCTACCCGCCCCACCATGGCCAGCATGCCTGGCTGTGCACTGTGGCTAGACCCCACACTTATTTGCTCACCCACCCCCTCACTGCTCCACACCTGGCTTGCCCTTGATAAATGTGAGATTCAGGCCAGTATTTGAGCTGGTTTAAGCATTAGGCATTATATTATTTAGGCTACAGAGAGGGCTTTGGCACAGATGAGGATCTATTTCAGGATAGATGCTTTCCTGTTTCTTTAGAAGAAGGGTTACACTTAACAAACATTAATTAAAGTTTTTAGGACTTTAAAAAAGTCCTGTTCTTAAGATAGGACACCAGAGACTCAACCAGAGGCTGATATTAAGCAAAGGCTTGAGAGGGTTTCAACCTTGTTGCTAGTTCCTTGGGTCAAAGGAGAGGTACAGCCTTAGGTTATCAAGAAATGTCGACAGTCAAGGAAGTCAGCAAAAGCAGAGATCAACCAGTGAGTTTGAACTAATGGCTCATAGGCTATTTGTGGCAGCTGCAGTGCTTAGCACTGAACTACACAGACTGAGCCCTTGGTAGCCATGTGTGGGCAGTGTGAGGATCTTAGCAGACCCCGGAAAGCCACAGAGCCCTTAGGAAGCAAGGGTAGTTAATCCAAGGATGCGTGTATAGGGACATTTTTTTTTTAACTTCAGTTTTTTTATTTATTTGGTGTATTTAAATTTCAGTAAAGGTTTATGTAGATTCCATAGCTCCACTGAGGTTTTATCTTTACAGTTTTAGTGCAATGCCACATAGTAAGTGCTAAATTGAATTTTCCAAAATCCATTCTAATTCAGTATTGAGAGGAGAATTACGGAGAGGCCAATCATGATGTGTTAAAGCTATTGCATTGATTCAAGTGTCTCCCCAGCAAGTATCCTCAGGTTGGTTCTCAATTGATTAATTATGTGTAAGAGGAAAATTTCCTTACATGGCAGTTGATAATTCCAAAGTGTGAGCCAATGAGAGCAGTAAGTGCATACTCTGTCACTAAAGCCTGAGCTCACACTTGTGTAATTCTACAGCTGCACCCATATCCCAACATGTCCAAAGAGATCATCATCTTAGTTCATCTTTGGGTGTCCTGGTTTTGTTGCTTTCAAACATATAGATGGGTGTCTTTGGCAGAAAAATGAACATCTCTGAGTTACAGAATAGGATACGGTAGTTTTTAAAAGGTTGCTTCTCTTTCATTTTTTAAGTAACTCAATATTATTTTTCTTCAAATAAATTTTAATGAAATATTTAATGTATAGAGATATAAAAATCAAAAGACTTTGTCCACTAGAGATTATGGATTTTAGGCCCATGTCTAACACCCTTCCCCAACCCCGCTAGTCCCCATACTCATCAGCACCAACCCATCTCCACTCAGGTTAGATTTTGAAGGTTAGGAGCAGGGGAGTGGTGAAGAGGGGTAAGGTCTGAGCTTATCAGCAACTTTTTATTAAGCCTTGTTGAGTGAAGAGAAGATAAGTCAAGTAACCTATACATTACTCTCATTGAAAACTTAAAGTATAATAATAATAAAATTAAAAAAAAGAAAAAAAAAGAAAATGGCATTGAGTCCCAGCCATGACAGTTTTGCTTTCCCAAACATTTCTACTCTTCCTACCCCTGGAAGATCTAAGAGCAACTTGAATCAGTTGAAATTCTTTTAGTTGCAAGTAACAAAAATCACATTCAAAATGGCACAGATTATAAAGAGGGACTTATTAGCTAATGTAACTGAAATCTGAGAAATAAACTGGGTTTCAAAGGTGGCTTAATTTTCCTGCCCTTGCAGGGTACCAGGAGCCTACTTTCTCTCCAGCTCTATATTCAGACTTTCCTTGGTTTACCTCATGAATGCACGTGATAGCTCCCCCACTGAAGTTGCTAACTCTTTCTATCTGGCTTGAAAGTGGCTAAAGCCTTTCCAATCTTCACATCTACACAACCCAATTCAACTGAAGTAGATTTTCACCATAACTTCTAGGATATCTGAAAAATATAGGGCTGTTTTCTCTAATTCAGGTGCCGTAACATTCATCTCCTCTTCTACTACTGGGTCTGACTGATTTATTGCATAGTCTTATATCCAGGCTTATTTGCACAACTCTGTGCCTCCTGGAGTTTAATCCACTTCAAATGATATAATGGAAAATGAACACAGCAGAGCTACCTCGGAGCAAAACCCAGCTATCGTTATTGAAATAAATGGAAAGTGCTTGCCAGGAAACACATATATGGGTTTCTACTGGTCCACCCCTTTGAGTACCCAACCTCTATACAAATTGTTTTTCTTGTAGAAATGCATGCAAAATTTCATTTTCCTGTCCAAAATGCACTGACACCTTACCCAAAATAATACAACCTAAAATACCTATTTTCTGATTAACCTGCAAGTCCAGAGTCTCTCTGTAACTGTGTATTCCTTTCAGTCATGTACGGTTGTAATCTTTTATTGTCTAACACCCAATTGATAAATTTAAGTTAAATTACCTTTTATTCTATGCCTTCTACATATTAGAAGAACATATACATATTCTATATATACAAGAGTAGAGATGAGGCCGTATAGCAAGAAAAACGCTCCCATTTTAAAATAAGAAGAGCCAGATACCTAGTTTGTAACAAACATAATTAATATCTTGCTTCCCACCAGTGGAGAAAAATTTTGTGTTTGACATTCTGCCTTTTCTGGATTTGCCCTCTGGGAAGGTCCCCTTTTTTCCTTTCCTCCAAGGCAACCTCCCAAGCATTCTGTGGGAATGGAGATTTCGTACAAGCTGTCTTACGTTTGTCTTAAATAAGTGGTTCTCAAAGGCAAGGTACTACTCATTGCATAATGCCTTTTAAACTTTTTTGGGCTTTTTTGATTATCACATCATTGAAGGTGCTACTAGAATTTGGTGGGAGGGGCCCAGGATTCTACTGCAGACTCATGAAACCCTTTGAGTTCATTTAATAGACATTGAACTAAACATTTCTAAATAAGTGTTGACACAACATTCAAAGATGCCTTTACATTTTATTAGTAAGATTTGATTTGGATATATTTTCACTTTATTGGCAGTCCATATATATCTTGTAGGCAATAGAATTTTTGTATAGAAAAAATGAAATAACTAGCTGGGCATGGTGGTTTGCGCCTATAGTCCCAGCTACTCGGGAGGCTGAGGCAGGAGAATCGCTTGAACCTGGGAGGCAGAGGTTGCAGTGAGCTGAGATTGCACCACTGCACTCCAGCCTGGCAACAGAGCGAGACTCTGTCTCAAAAAAAAAAAAAAAGAAAAGAAAAAAAACTCCGTTGGGCCAGGAAAATGAGACTAACATAGATATAATTAAATGGTTCAAATAGAAATACTTATAGGAGGCTTTTAAAAAACTATTAATTCTATTATTACTGAAAGGGAGCAGATGAAAAATAAATGAATCAGCAAGATGGTATAAAAGGTGGTTTCTACGTAATGTAAAGGCCCATATTAAACTCTCTTTTTGGTATGGTACAGCCAAAAGGCATTTTAAGAACATAATTTGTTACTGAAGTTGCTTCTGAAGCTGTTTACAATTATAATATAAACTTCTCTTCTGTGTACACTCAAAATACTAAGTAAAATCTACTACATTCATGTATACCCTCATTGATTCTTATTTTATTGGGGAAATAAGATTAGAGAGTAGATTTCACAGCGACAAGCATATACAGAACCAGGATCCCTGAGGTTATTTTTACAAGTGACCTGAGAATCTGAGTCTATTTTTCCTACTAAAGAATTCAAGAAAACGTGCATGAGGCCTTTTACTTCCACAGGACTAACACTGGAATTTCCAGCCAATCTTGATATGTGTTCCATAAACTCCAGTTAGTCTCTCCATCTGAGAGAATAAATTTGAAAGGACAAAAATTAATTCTATATATTTTTCTTGGAATGACAGCAAATTTATTTTTATATGTAGGTTGTACCTTCATTAATGTATACCTTCCTTAGCTGTTAAAGCATATAATATTGAACACTCTCTTCTATGGCATAATCAGTATTAATCAGTAATAAAAAGCTTCCACTTCTAAATACGTATTAAGCAACAATATACTTGTTTGATGCTACTAGTCACGTATCTATGATTTATATTATTTCCTCTCTTAAAGAAGCAGATATATCACAACTTGTTTTATCTTCTGATATGGGGTTGATGAAGAAGTAGAACTTTTTAGAGACATTCTTTCTTATGGCAGCTTCATTTATACCTTTGAACATCTGTATAAATGTAATAAATCTTTTACAGTTTTATTTGTTTTTATTCTTTATCCACAACCATCCCTTACCTGTGATCACTAATTGTTTCACTGTTGCCTAAATCCCCCAAATCCAAGAAATCTAAAACAAACAAACCACACAGGACCCCTGCAAATGTGTTTCTTCTACTCTTGTTTTCAGAATCAAAACAAAAGTGAACAGATTCTGAAACTTTGTATATTCCCCTTCAACTCATGGATATATGCATTCAGTCATCAAATACCACTAGCTTATCCCAATCACTGATATTGTTGGGTAATTTGGAAATATTTTCTTCAATCTGATTTCACAAGCAGAATTTTATTTTTACTCTCCACCTCTACAGTACCCCCCTCACATACCCATACCCATTGTACACACACACACACACATACACGCACACACACACATCTCTTACTATTGAAATCTTACTTTTACAGCAGTCCCTCATTACGGGTGATTTTGCTTTCTTTGGTTTTAGTTACCCACAGTCACTTGCAGTCTGAAAATATTAAATGAAAAATACAAAAAATGAACAATTCGTAAGTTTTCAATTGCATGCCATTCTGAGTGCAGTGATGAAGTCTCTCGCTATTTGGCTGTGTCCTGCCAGGGAGGTGAATCCTCCCTTTGACCAGTTCTGCTTACTGTCTATACTATCCGCTCTTCAACACTTAGTAGCCAGCTTGGTTATCAGGTAGACTGTCGTGGTAAGGCAGTGCTGTATTCAAACCACCGTTATTTTACTTAATGGCCCCAAAGTGCAAGTGTAGTGAAGCTGGCAATTCTATATACTAAAGAGAAGCAATAAAGCCCATCCTTTAAGTGAATAGGTGAAAGTTTTTGACTTAATGAAAAAGGAAGAAAAAATGATATGCTAAGGTTGCTACTATTTACAGTAAGAACAAATCTATCTATGAAATTGGGAAAGAGAAATAAATTTGTTCTAGTTTTGCTGTTTCACCTAAAACTGCAAAAGTTATGGACACAGCATGTGATAAGTACTTAGTTAAGATGGAGAAACCATTAAATATGTGGGTGGAAGACATGAACAGAAATGTGTTCCAGTTGATGGCAATGGTTGTGCCAGAAAGCATTGAGCCTGTATGAAGACTTTAGCCATTTACTGCAAGTAAGGAAATGGTTACACAGATTCAGAAATGTTTGCCCAGGAAAATATGAAATCATTGAAGAGCTTTCATCTGCCAATTAAACTTTATTATGGGTATGTATGCATAGGATAAAATATAATGTATCTATAAATATATATAGATAGATAGATAAATAGATACATGGATAGATAGATAGATACATAGATACATAGATACATAAATACATAGATAGATAAGGTTTGGTACTATTCATGGTTTCAGGTATCCAGTGGGGGTTGGTCTTGGAATGTATCATTTGTAGATAAAAAGGGACTCCTGAACTATTAAAATCTTAAAATCCTTCAAGAATAAGTTCAAATTTTACTTTTTTCTTGATGTCTCCCTTCAATGTTTTGCTGATTTAAATTTGTCATTATAGACACTGAGTAAATAATAGAAATTATGACATGCTTTTTTCAAAGGACACTCCAGCCTCAAAATATTTTCTTAATTTTACTGATTCCTTTCCTTCTTTCCTTGTATCCACCATTCTTTACTGTATAGTTAATTGGGGAAAATATAGGCTTTATATAAAATGATAAGTAAGAAAAAGACAGGAGTTCAATATATTTGAACTGAAGTATAATTTTAAAAGTTGTTAAGAATTTTAAAAATTCAGATTGGATATCCAAAATATAATAATTACAAAAATGTAATGAACTGTTTTCCATAAAGTTGTTTTGCAGATCTCGAAGCTATTCTTATCAGATTTCTTTCTGTTGAATGAATTTTTAAAAATAGGACCATGTTATTTTCAACACCACAATATAGCTATTGACTGCTTTTAATATTTAGCAAGCTATTACTAAAAGAGTTTGCTGTTATAATAGAAAGAAGAGGAACAGAATTAAACAGCTCTATGACAACTATACCAAGAAATGAAGGCGAAAAATAGTCAATTTTAAGCCAGAACTGAAAGCTTTGTTATAACTTCTCAGAATGAACAAGATGTTCTTTCAAATGAGGTGTATACTGCTTCTATTTCCTGACATTCTGTGAGTCATGTTTTATTACTTTAGGGCCTTTTGTAAAATTTCTGAGCTGATTTCACAGAAGTAGACTTTTATTTTCATTTTGTGACCTTGCAGATCTCTTATAAAAAGGACGTAATTCATAAGGTAAAAATATAACAAATTGATAGTGAAAATGGGGATGTCTGTTTCTACACATGCAAGTCCCTAGATTTAAGTAATTTTTCTTTGTGTCACTTTACTTTCAATTTAAATAGTCCAATTATTTGTATTAATTACGTCTTCATGGCCATAACCTAATATGATAAAAGTTAGAATTAACTAGATCACTACTTGGAATTTTCATCCTTCTATATATATATATAAGAATTCATTTTTAGAAAACTAATACCAATTATTTATATGTTTTGTATGCAAGTAGCTAAGCATTATATTTTTAAAATAACCTGCAAAAGTCTGTGTTTTTATAGATATAATTTTTTATGTTGTTGATGTTGCTGACCTCAAACTGTATAACTACAAATGCATTATACAAAAGCAACTCTTAAAACAGTTCTCCCCCTAGGGACTGCACCTGTAGTGTAATTGGACCTGGCATTTAATTGTCCCTTTAGTTTTTTGAACAGGTATGACTGCCCTGAGACTTGGATTTGAAAAATGTCAAATTCTGTGGCAAACACGTGAAGTGGAGGGTGAGATTTTCACTGCTACCTTGTTACCTTCATCAGACTGTCTCCTCGTATACGCTTAGTCAGACCATAAACCACTTTAACAGTAGTAGGATAAAACAAGTAGAGCTGGTATTTTCTATCCCTCTTCACACAATTCTATAAGGTGTTTTTAAAAGAAATATTCCAAAAAGGGGCATATGTTAAAATGTTAGGAAGCACCAAGGAAAACAAAAATCAGAATTTATTACCAGTCACTCACTCTTGGGATGCTTCTGGATCAATCTAGAGTAGTAGGCAATTATGCCACCCAGGGTTTATGGACAATATCTGGAGAAACTTTGGTTGTCACAACTAAGTGAGGAAAGGGGAGACTTCCCACTGGCTTTTACTGGGTGGAAGCAGATAATTCTGCTAAATATCTCACTAGGTACAGGATAGTCTGCCACAACAAAGAATTATTCAGCCTGAAATGTCAGTAGGTTAAGGCTGAGAAACCCTAATCTAGAGAAATAAGGAGTATCTTGCAAACCAAGGGAAATATTCTAGGTCCTAGGAATAAATGACAATTTTTATATCCATGTTTGCATTTTTAGTGCAATTAAAAATATACTCTTAGCAGGAGTGGAGGCTTACTCCTGTAATCCCAGTACTTTGGGAAGACGAGGTGGCAGATCACTTGAGGTCAGCAGTTCGAGACTGGCCTGGCCAGTCTCTGGTGAAACCCCGTCTCTATTAAAAATAAAAAATAAAATAGCCGGGAGTGGTGGCAGGTGTCTGTAATCACAGCTACTCGGGAGGCTGAGGCAGGATAATCGCTTAGTTGCGAGCAGAGGTTGCAGTGAGCAGAGATCGTGCCACTGCACTCCACTCTGGGTGAAAGAGCGAGGCTCAGTCTCATATATATATATTTGAGATATATAATATATATATATATATAAATATATAGGTATATATTTATCATTTGTTGATAAGAACCCTACACATTTGACCTTTGGAGACACAGCTGAATGATGGCCACAGCTGCAGACTCCTTTCATATCTTGGGGTCTGTATATCAGTTTGGAGCTTTCGGCTGCAAGTAACAGAATTCCTCATCCAAACTGGATTAAACATTAGAGAAGATTTATATTTTACACACAGATCCGGTGGTAGTATGAATCAGAGTTAGCTGACTCAGCTTATCAAGGACTACTTTCTCCCCTTGCTCTGTGGTCTGTCATCCACAATATTAGAGCATTCTAAGATTAATTTCCCTCCAGTCATGAAATATATGTCTATTCTCTTGGCCTGATCAGTCCAATTTATGTCACTTGCCCATGCCCATGTCTGGATGAATTGTGGTAGGACAAAATAAGATGAGAATTCATCATTATTAATTTAAGAACAGTGGGTAGATAAGAGAGACAGTAGGAAGGTAAGATATCTAATAGATATATTATAAATTCTCATAAAGAACTAAATTTCTACTTCAATTCTACTATTCCATAAGAAACCCCACAACTGACTTCAATCATTTCTCATATCACTACATAGCAACATCCATTTCTTTTTCCAGAAAACTAAGAGCAATCCTTGATTTCTCTGTAGCTCCAACACTATTGTAGCATTTTCCAGCAATGCTGCTTAATATATTTTTCTATATTTAATAGCAATTTTTCTCTACCTGCTTCTTTCCACCTCTACTAATTTCATTCTATCCTAAGACATCTGATCTCCTGAATGAGCTGCAATGCCAGGCAGAGAAAATCACTGGCAAAGTGACTCTGAGCTTTGATTGAGGTTGATATATATGAAGGACAAAATAATGAAAGACAGTACACTTGAAACAGTGGATTTTCAACTCTAGATCTTAACACAAATACTTTGTTCTTGTCATTCCAATCTCAGTAGAAATATTACCTCCTTTGAGAAGCTTTCTCTGAACACTTAATCTAAAAATACCCTTTTGCTCCAAAAGATCTCTATCTCAGTTGTTTTATTTGTCTGAGTACTTGTCACTTTTTAAAATTATTTTGCTTGTTTTGTGTAGTTACTACTTTATTTACTGTCTTTCTCATGAGAATGGAAGAAACATGAGATTATAGACCGTGTCTATGGTATTTGCAACTCAACTGATGGACTAGAATATCACCAGGACCTGGTGGTTACTCAAATATCAATTTATTGAAGAATAAATAATAAAATGACTATTCCAGAATGATTTAGAAAACTGCATATCTATCTCAAGCCTTTTTCCTTTGTAAAATGTTTCTCTCATTTATGTTCCATATATTCATCCATCCATTCATTCAGGTATACATGCATATTTGGGGAAGCAAAAGGAGAGAAAAATGAAGTACCCAGTGTAATTTGATTTTCAGTATTACAATCTCCAAGGCAGGTCTTAATTCTCAAAGACCATTTAAACCCTCACCCACCTCACTTTCCTATCAGAGAAAGTTCTTTCATTACACATCAACCAACCAAGAGGGCATAATAACCACGAATATGAGTAGTTGTAACCTTTAGAGTATTTGAATCTTGATCGCAAATAGATACTGCTGAATAGTGAAGAATTTTCCTAGT
The DNA here is from genome assembly GCF_000001405.40 of Homo sapiens. Classification (NCBI taxonomy): domain Eukaryota; kingdom Metazoa; phylum Chordata; class Mammalia; order Primates; family Hominidae; genus Homo; species Homo sapiens. The sequence goes on from NC_000008.11 coordinate 77,298,052, forward strand.
ACATATACAAATATGTAACTACATTAACACATGGGCATAAAATGATTTCCAAAAATTTTCTAAATTCAGTGTTAAGGGAAAAAAAAATTTTACTATACAATAGTACCTGGTTGCATAGTGTCATGTAGAAGAAGGTTAGAGAAAATCAATTCTTCAAATTTTCAGTAATAAAGCTGATAATATATATAATATAGTTAATGTTATTTACTTTTATTAAGTGTATTGTTTAAAAGTCTGATTAATTCATTGACAAAAATACCTTTGCCATTCATTTTTGTGAGAATCTTTCACCTTGACAACAGGATTTTGGACAAGAAGGAGTATAGTTGTCATCAACCATGTGGTGGAGAGACAGTAGACTTATTCTGGGTAACAAAATTAACTTATTTCCTTACTAAACCTGATACAGCTTGGTGTTAATAGTGTCTTACACAAGGGAGTAGTGGAGGTGGGGGAAGCAAAATCAGAAGAGAAAACTGAACAAATGCCCCAGATTCCTTCTTAGGTAGGCAGGGACATGGCTCATGGCCTGGGTGTGATTTCACATGTGAGGTGGAGCTGACTTAAAGCTGAGGCGATGAGTGTTCTTGCCAGACAGGTTTAGGAAAACACACAAATATGTCTGAAGAGACTTACCTAAAGAAGACCACTCCAGGAAAAGTAGTAAAATCAAATCTGAAATGCCTCAAAAAAAAAAAAAAGACCAAAACAGGAATAGTAGAAGTAGGAGAAACTGAAGGTGAAAGCTGGATAGAGAAGCAGGAAAGAAAGAAAAGATATTATATGAGTTTGTATCTCCACCCAAATGAATTTAATAGATTGTATGTAGAAAAAAATGACCTTAGTCAGCTGACCTAAATATCCCAATTTCTCTGGACAGAACACTTTTCTATAAATGGGCATTTAGTCAAGTAGGATGAAACATATTCCTTTTGCATGTATTGCAATAGGTGCTAGTAGAAAAGAGTCTCTCTTTTTTAAGATCACAAACTACAAGGATTCAATGAGCCTGAAGCTAAAAAAGACTATTTATTTACCATGCATGGGACATTTTCTGGAGAATGGAACTATTGCACAGGAAAGCAGAACTGAAGATTAGAGAGAGTAAGAGAGATGCTTGATGAACCAAACCCAAGTCTTTGGTCAAGCATTGTATTTCAGAGCCACAAATTCAGCCGCCTTCCTTTTTTTTTTGGCTTAAACTAATTTTTGTTATAGTTATGCCACTTCTAGTGAGTTGTTATTTTTTGCCATATAACATTGAATCATTATAATTCTATTTGTTGGAGCAGTGGTAAAATATTTTTATATTTTATATAGTTTATTATTATTTTTATCATATATAGACCCAGATTTGCAATTATTGGGTTGACCTTTAATAAATAATATGTTTTCTAAAACTAACTTAAGATTTCTCTTATCTTCTTATCTTCTTATTCCTATGAAAATATTTAGGGAGGAATTTGGCTCCTTGTGTTCATTGCACTTATATCTTTTGATAGCTCATTGGGATATCAGAAGATATTTTAATTTTTTTCTGAATGTTTAGTTTAAAAGTATGGATTTTAATGTTTCATTGGTTTCATAAAACTTTTATTTTATAGATTTTCCCCCAGAATTTATATATATGTACATATATATATATACACACACATATATATACATATTGCTGGAGGCCATATATATACACATATATATGTGTGTGTATATATATGTATAAATTCTGGGGAATTTATACATATATATAATTGCTGGTATGTTTCCAGTTATTATTTAAAGGTTCTGTGAATCAGATGATCAGGTGTTCTGGGACATTATAATTGCCTGTTCTGATTTCACTGGAAAGGTTTTCAAAATCCCCTTCTTAGAAATGCTCTTCACAAGGTAAGGATGAAATTGAACTTCTATACATTTTAAGATGCCACCATTCAATTACTGTCTATTCACGACTGTTTGGTATGTACCTTTGTGTGGTATCCATGGTGCTGACTCACCAGTTCTGCTTTATAGAGGAGAACAAATTTTAAAAGCTTCACTCACCTGAAGGTAAACATTTCTGGTATACTTTTGGTTCCTGGACAAAGATATCCTGTAAAAATAGTTTTCCATCAAACACGAGACTTCCTTAAGCTCACTTTCATTCATGAAACATAGACTGGAAAAGTATAATTAAGAGCCAAAGGGTTTCAGAAAGGCTTACCTTTGTCTGTGCCTCATTGATTGATATTCGTTCACATATACGCTCAGTAAAAACCCAAACAAGCCTGGTTCTATAACTTTGAAGTGGTTTGATTATTTCAGTGAAGATTGAGATATTATACATTATAATAAAAAGCATGAACACTATGGTTACCGGAAGTTTAGGTTCCATACTTTATAATAGAAATAAGTACAGGTGGGAGGATTGCTGGAGGCCAGGAGTTCCAGACCAGCCTGGTCAACATAGCAAGATCCTGTCTCTATCTAAAAATTTTAAAAAATTAGCCAGGATGGTGGCACACATCTGTAGTCCCAGCTACTCAGAAGGCTGAGCGAGGAGGATCGCTTGAGCCCAGAAGATCGAGGATGTGGTGAGCTGTGATCACGCCACTGCACTATAGCCTGGGTGACAGAGAGAGACCGTGTCTCAAAAAAAAAAAAAAAAAAAAAAAAAAAGAAAGAAATATTGTATTGTTATATTGTTTACTTAGTTCTTTTTTTACTGACCACTCTTTTTGTTGAACTTCATAACAGCTTTTTAAATCTTCCAAAAGCTGTAAACATGCTTCTTGTTATTCTAAGCCAGAGGTTGGCAAATTATGTCCTACAGGGCAAATCTGGCTCATATCCTGTTTTGGAAATAGAGTCTTATTGGAACAGAGTCTTGCCCATTTGTCTGTGGCTCTTACCTCCCTGTAATAGCAGAATTGAGTAGTTGCAAAAGAAACTATGTGGCCTACAAAGGCTAAAATATTTATTATCTGGCTCTTTTCAGAAAAATTCTGCGAACTTTGCTCCAACTGGTTACAAAATACTCAGGAGCTAACTTTTCTTTTATGTGGTTGGCATAATTGCTATATTTTTCTCAGAAACTGTCTGGCTTTATAACTTAAACACTGCCTCCTTAATGTATACATCTGTATGTAAGCATTTGTCTTATAATTACTATTAGTAAAAAGTAGAAAGAAATATAAGTACAATAATGTTCCATTTTATTTATATCTTAAGATATCCAAGGTTAATATAAATTATATTAAAGGCTGATGAATGCAACTATAATTATTATATGATAAATATAGAAAATATGTTACTCAATACATTAAAAACAATAGATTTTGTTCACATGTTCCTACTGGATACTGAATACTACATTATGATATTTTATTTTAACCGTTCTATATTTATTTAAACTGTATTCATAGCATGTACGAATGCAGAAGATTTCCATAAATAGTATTAATAATTTTTAAGTATTGCATTCATTACCATTCAATTAAATTTTGTTTTTCCATAACATGTAGTTCCATAATTGAAATGATGATACATGGCAAAATATTATTGATTCTACATATAACATTTTACAGATGTAAATAATATGTATGGAAAGGTCAAGCTGAATAATTGATAGTTGTCTATAGTGATTAGTATTATTTTTGATAATTTCTTGTTAATATTGATTGTAAATTAATATATATTAAAATTGTAATCCAAATTTATATATATAATGAATACTTAAAATACTTCTAGCCTCAGAATATATCTTACATTCAGATTTTGAATTAGATTATTTCTAGATTTTCTAACTTATCTGTACTTTTACTATACAAAATTTGATATGAAGTATATTCTTAGAGTGAGACTTCATTGAATCAGATATTACTTAAAATAGTGTTAGAATGATTAAGACATTATTTACACGATAGGCAAATGTAAATTCTATTTTTTCCAGTCATAATTTAAATTTTCTTGATGTTACTGTATTAAGAAACTCAAAGAATTTTTAAAGTGACACCCCAGGTTTTTATATTACATGCTTCTCACAATTAATTTTGGAAGAGATAACTTTATTTTCTTTCTGTCTTCAATAATATGTCATTAAAATGCAATTTTTTTCCTGAATAGCATCACTTTCCCCAGCATCAACTCCAATATAGTTTAAAGAAGATTAATTGACATATCCACTGAAAATTGTATTTGATAATCTAATTTTACTTTAGAATTTGAGACTCATTATAAGACAAATTTTTCCTTTCATAGAAAAGAAAAATCAAATGACATGTATAGTAAACAAACAATAATATTATTGTGCTTATTTCATAATTAAAATAGGAATACATAAATTTCAAATAAACATAATTATTCATGTTGGTTTAGGTGGATATATTGATGCACTTTCTGAAAGCTTGAATACTATTATTCATTATGATACTATTATTTATTTCTTCTACGGAAGGCTGTGTTATGTTAGAATTATCACAATGGATGTTTGTGGCAACTAGGCAATAAATGGAGTTTTAGTCCATGTTCAAATCCCAGGAAGCAGAATTACCCAGTAGTTATTTCCTCTGTTCTTGAGTAATAAGTAAAATGGACATTCTCAGCAATAGGCAGAATTTTCACACTGGCTCCCTGACTCATGCACTGAGTGCCATTATGTTGCATAGTACATCTTTAGCAACATTGCTTCCTTGTGTGAATTGCAGAAATTAGGTAGAGAGTGTTATGGTCTCCATGTTTTTGTTCCCCAGAATCCATATTCTGAAACTTAAACTAAGATGATACCAATGCATAAAATTTTCTGAAACTGGAAGAAAAACCAAAACCAGACACCCATGGTGTTAATTTGGGAGGCATGAAAGCTGTGAGGAGCAGAAGTTTGTAAGCTTACTATAACAGTTTTAGAAATGGCCATCAGAGAAATGCAAATCAAAACCACTATGAGATATCATCTCACACCAGTTGGAATGGCAATCATTAAAAAGTCAGGAAACAACAGGTGCTGGAGAGGATGTGGAGAAATAGGAACACTTTTACACTGTTGGTGGGACTGTAAACTAGTTCAACCATTGTGGAAGTCAGTGTGGCAATTCCTCAGGGATCTAGAGCTAGAAATACCATTTGACCCAGCCATCCCATTACTGGGTATATACCCAAATGACTATAAATCATGCTGCTATAAAGACACATGCACACGTATGTTTATTGCGGCATTATTCACAATAGCAAAGACTTGGAACCAACCCAAATGTCCAACAATGATAGACTGGATTAAGAAAATGTGGCACATATACACCATGGAATACTATGCAGCCATAAAAAATGATGAGTTCATGTCCTTTGTAGGGACATGGATGAAATTGGAAACCATCATTCTCAGTAAACTATCGCAAGAACAAAAAACCAAACACCGCATATTCTCACTCATAGGTGGGAATTGAACAATGAGATCACATGGACACAGGAAGGGGAATATCACACTCTGGGGACTGTGGTGGGGTGGGGGGAGGGGGGAGGGATAGCATTGGGAGATATACCTAATGCTAGATGACGAGTTAGTGGGTGCAGCGCACCAGCACGGCACATGTATACATATGTAACTAACCTGCACAATGTGCACATGTACCCTAAAACTTAAAGTATAATAATAAAAAAAAAAGAAATGAAATCCTTTTCCTTTATGCATTGTATTTAGGCATTTATAAGAAAAATGCAGAAAGTTAAAGCCTTAAAAAGTTGAAATTACTTGTTATGTCATTTGTTTATATTAGTCATTCTAAAGGTCACATGAACTGTGTTTTTCATACTTGTTAAGAACAAACACATTTCTAGGGCATTCTGCACTCCGTGTTCTGTCACATAAAGTACACTAGCACAGTCTAGGAAAATATCTTTCGTTTTGATAAATGGACATGTCTAAGGGGTTACACTTACATAAGCAGGTATGCTTGAAAACTGTGTCACACTTGAGAATTTGCTATTTAATGCATCCTTCTCCATGTTCCTCCATGTTGCTTATTTATTGACTTGGAAAATTTTTTAGATATGATAAATATCATTAATTATGATTCCACTAACTTATAATATTATTTTGCCCAAGGAAGTTGGCCTTTTCTTCATCTGTCAGTTCTTCTTTCTTTCCTATTTCTTTATTTTCTCATTTCATTCCCTATTGGTTCTTCCCTCCCATTGCCTTCTTTTCCCTCTCTTGCTTCCATGCTTTACTGCACTTTTTCAGGAATAGTACATAATTTTTCCAAAATATTTCAAATTCTTTTATAATTGTAATTATTGATAGTATTCTAGATCATTTACATGACAGTTAATTTCATCAATCTTTTCAAAATTAAAAGTAAAATATAATGAATATGTAGTTTGCCAAGATTAAATTATTATTACACTAACATTAAATATTCTTAAACAATTAACTCTTTTAATTGGAAAAAATTATTTATAAACTGCTTTATTCTGTTGCAAGTAATGCGCTTTTTCTAGATTCTAAAATATTGCACTTTTAACTCTTCAATTACAACAGTAATTGTAAATTCCTTCAAGATAACTTTTATCAGGATGTCTAATGCTGAGATAATTTTGCAGATCATCAGAACATTGCAAAAATGTCATTAATAAGTTAGCCAGATCTTTCGACAAATGTATTGAATAGAAGCCTAATAAAAAACATTACTCAATACAGTTATTGAGAGATGCTGGCTAACTTACTTTTTAAAAAGTTAGAGGTAGATTTTTAAAAAGTTGACTAATTAATATAACTGTAACTCAGTATTAAACTAATTGTTTCTTCTATTCAAGTATGTTTCTTGAAAAGGGCTTATCTCTTTGTGTTCATTGAATTTCTTTTCTTTCTATGCACTGACTTATTGTTCCGTGCCAGGTACTATTTTAAATACTTACAAGCATTACATCATTAAATAATCCTACTATGTGTGGGATAATTTAATACAGTACTTTTACAGATTAGGAAACTAAGGATTATGTAGCTACTGTATCTTATCTGAGTAAGTGACAGCTAGTAAGGATAGAGCTGGTATATGAGACTAAGTCTAACTCTAAGCGTATTTTCCCAACTCCAGTTTTGTATTTTGACAACAATGTGTGAAAATAGAACATAATTTTAAAATATTTAATTAATTTTAGTATTTTCTTTTTGATATTTTATTAATAGGTGTGTATATTTGCATTTATATGCATACACAAACAAATATACACATTTATATAAATATATATGTATATCTACATAGACACATAAATAAGTTATTCTGAAGTGTTGAGTAACAAAAGGAAAAAACTCAGGTAATTTTATTTAATGTGCAGACTTCAGCTTGCTGTTAGCAGTGATTTTTGTAAAGTATTAAATTATAATTCATTCAGCTTGAATTATTTGAATAATGATAGAGTTGCTGAAGGAAAGTCTGTTGCATTTCCTAATGCTTACAAGAAAATGTAGTATATTGCCATGCACTTGTCTTATTTCACATTATTTACTAATTTGTAACCAAGCAGCGATTTATCAATTAAATCATTTTTCATCATTAGGATTTTGTAAATGCATGTTTTCTATTGCAAGATATACTTTTATCAAGAGTATTTATGTCTAGAAGTTATATGAGAAGAGTTCTGAAAAATTCAATCAATTGTATTGTCAGCATGGAGAATATTGACTGAAACAATCATTCAGTTTAACTGTGGAATGATTTGTTCTTCATATACTTAATAATATTAGCAAGGCTAGAAACTAGCATTTATGAAATGCTTTCTGTTTTGCAGGCACTATTCTCAGAGTTTTTCCTTAAACAAACTAATGTAAATAAAAATAATTAGCTCAGTCTTATTAGTAAGTACAGTGATATTATTTTCTATTTTACATAGAAATTAGTAAAGAAAATGAGTCTCACAGCCAGAAAATGAGAGTAATTGTCTATTCACATGTATAGACTAAACCAAAATCAATCCGTTACTAATAGTTCAAAAAGAAATCTATTTTCATGATAATATTTCAATTTCATTTATTTCACTTATCTATTTAATATTTAAATATTATGTGCCAGACACTAGGACACTCACTGTTAAAGACACAACATTAATCAAAATAGTACAAAACATTTTCTCACATAAACTTAATATCCTAAAGTTAGAAATAGACACTAAACTATCTGTGTATATATATATATATATTATATATATATAATATATATATATATACACAAATAGAATATATCTATGTCAGACAGTGATAAATGCCATGAAGAAACCAATGTTGAGTAAAAATATAGAAAAATACATTTGGAGGCTGTCTTTTAAAAAGGAGGTCTGGAAAGGTAACGAGGTATTCTCTAACAAGGTGACATGGGAGGAGATAACTGAAGGAGGTGAGAGGGGGCCATGAATCCATCTAGAGCATAAACAATCCAAACAGGAGAAAACTCATGTAATCCTGATGTATGCTCATGTTTGACATGTTTGAAGAATAGCAAGGGGGCCTGTAAAGCAGGATCTGGTAGAAGACTAAGTCAGGATGCAGGCAGTGGCCAGATTATGTTTCTATGTAAACCATCAAATCAACAGGCTATTAAAAGACTTTCATTTTTACCCAGAGTGATATGTAAGGCACAGGAACATTTTGATGATATGAATGTTTAAAATTGCCTTTTATTTTAAGTGAAATACTCTTACTGTTTTGTGTCAAATGGAGTCTAGAGTAGTCAGGGGGTAAACAGGGAATATTAAGTTAGTCTATCATAATAGTCCAGGCAAGCAATAATGGTGGGCTTGGACCAGAGTAATGTTAGTGGGAGTAGTTAAGTTATACAGATTTGGCTATGCTTTGATGATAGACCCAAGAAGATTTGCTGATATGTGGATGTAAAAGTTAGACAGAATTTAGGTATGACTCTACAGTCATAGGCCTGAGCAGAAGAGTGAATGGAGAAGCCATTTATTCAGATGAGAAAGATTGTAGTAGAATCAAGTTTAGAAGAGAAAATTATTTAGTTTAGGTCATGTTCAGTTATAAGTACCTATTAAATATCTATGTACATATTTCAAATAGGCAGTCAGATATATGAATCAGAATTTGAACTGCAGGTAGACTTTCGTGTCATCAATAGGTTGTACTGTATTTAAAACCAGAAAATATGGTGAGATCCATTGTAATTGAGTGTAGATATGAAACGAAAAAAAAAAAGAGGCTCAAGAAATGAGAGCTGGGTCACCATCTTACCCTTTAGAGAAAGAGAAGATGAGCAGGAAGGAATCCACAACAGACTATGAAGGAGTTTCCAGCAAGGTAGAAGGAGAATCAAAAAGAGAATGGTGTACTTTTGACAAAAATTACAAAAGTGTTTTAAAGAAGAGGAAACGGTATGCTGACACAATTTTAAAATTGCTGAAAAGTGCCCATTGGATTTAGCTATATGGAGATCTTGGTGACTAACAAGAGGAGTTCAGCAGAGAGGTAGAATTCAGTGGGATGAAATCAATGTGTAGACAGCAAGTTTAGGCAATTGTTTTATTGTTTAAAAACTTTACCAAGGTATATTTTCTTCATCATAAAGTAGACAGTACTTGTGAGTGTTGATGTAAATGGGAATATTGCTGTAAATTGGAGAAGCAGCTGGACTATAATATAAGGTGAAGGGAGGTGGGTTTCTAAATTTTAATTAGTTAATTAATTTGTTTTTAAGATGGGAGAGATTTCAGTACGAATATGATGATGGGAACCACCCAAGACATTTATACAGAAGGGAGAAACATGCAAAGAGCAAAACTCAAAAGTGTGTGAAGTAGAGGAGATAGTATACAGGGCAGAAGTTGAGAGGTTAGCTTTATCTAAGAGGAAAGACAATGTACCTTCTTATGATAGGAAGGAAGGTAGCATATGTAGGTAGAGATGCAGGTTGGTGGGTATAGTTGGTGGTGGAGGTTTTTGTAAAGCCTCTACTGATTGGTTTCATTTTCTCAGTGAAGCTTAAAGCAAGGTCATCAACTAAAAGTGTAAGTGTCTGTGTGTTGATGGGGTAGGGTCTCTGGAAGTCTGACTAGAGAGAAGACAATATGAAATAGCCCTTGAGAGAATGAACCAGTTAAGAAAATGACGGCTACATAGTACCAAGTTTCCATCTGAAATTGGAGGTCATGCACTTAAAATAACGTTAATCAGCACAGTTGGACTTTTTCTCCTATCACAATTAGAGATATAGGAGTATGTTCAAGTAGGAACTGAATTAGATTTGACCAGGTGTTAATCTAGGTGTGACTTTGCCCAAGAAGTGGGCAGGGAGGAGGACAGAAACTGAGAACATTACAGTAAGTGAAAAAAGTCAGCCACAGAAAGACAAATACTGCATGATCTGGTTGATGTGGAAATTTAAGAAGTCAGTCTCATAAAAGCAGAGTGGAATGGTGGTTACCAGAGGCTGGGGATGTTGGGGAGATGTTGGTCAAAAGATACAAAATTACAATCAGACAGGAGGATTAAATTCACAATATGTATTGTACAGCATGGTGACTATAGTTAACGAGGATATATTGTATTATTGAAAAATTCTAAGTGGATGTTAACTGTTCTCACTGCAAAAGTGATAACTATGTGAGGTCATGCATATTTTAATTAGCTCAGTTTAACTATTCTGCAATGTGTATATACCTCAAAACATCACAATAAACACAAACAATATTATCTATTTAAAATAAAAATAAATAAATAAATTTGAAAATAAAAAAACTGATAATGCCTCCTAAGGAGGGATTATAATGATGCTCCATGGAATATAAACTGAGTAAAACGACACTGAGATCCTGAAGCAGGGGAGGACCAATGAAAAGCTTAGAGTCAATAACTTAGAGATCCTGATGCCATCAAAATATTTCATACAGGCCTTTCATAAATAGGAAAAAGGTGACTTGTTGGCTTTTAGTTCAACCTTAAAAAATACGTCTTCCAGTTACCTGCAGAATTTCATTTTCTTAATGTCTGTGAATCAATTGATTTCAGTGATTCTAACTAAATCGTGATTTTTGTCTGAGGCGTAAGTCCTATTTCTATGTGATTTTTTGCTGAATAGGGCTACTTGGATTGCATATGAGGAATCAGTAGTTTTTATATCTTTCAAAAATAAGCATGCTTTTGAAAGCAGTAGGGTAACATGGAACCTATGGTAATTATTTGCAATAGTGTTGAGTAGCACATTCAGAATTTATGCAGCAGAAACTTTTAGCTTGAATGAATTAAAGCTTTTGGATTTGAAAACCTATCTGTTTCTTAATATAATCAGATATGTGACTCTCTGTAAACTTTCTTTGCTTTCAAAGGCAAACATAACTAATAATTTCTGTAAAGGTCTTGAATCGTTCCAACATCTGTTCTTGGTTTACTATAAAAACCATGTCTCTGATCTCATGTGTTGAACTACTGTATGTTTGCCACTGTCTATTTCCTGTGAAAAAATACATCGAACAATAATAGCTTTTGTTCCTAACGTTCCAACCACTAAAACAGCTGAACAAATAACATCCATGCTTTCATTTGGAATAATTTATTCCATGTACATGTTTATGCAGAGTCATTTGGCTTATTGGACGTTTCATCATTTAAAAATCAAATCTCAGAATTTTAGACTACTGAAAACTCTGGTCTAATAGTTTCCTCATGTTTATAGTAATTCTCTTAACAGGATTTCCTTCCTAATTCATCATCTTATTTTGTGTAGGGTTTGGTATATGAGTAAAAGTGGTTAAAATTCCCTGCATTAACAAAGTTAGTGAAAATTTCCATTCGAGGCTACACATTTTGCGAATAACATTAAAAGATTAAATAATTTGGCATTTGAGCCATAAAAAGTAACTATTTCTGCTCTTTTGTTGCCTAAAGAAATAATAACTAAACAGTACTAATGATACAAATTATAATACATTTGTCTTAACACACTCCAGATGACTTAATGATGGGGCAGCAACACAGAGCAAGCCTCACTTCCATTCCACAAAAATCTTAGTACACAAACTTTACTAGCCCAGACATGGAAGAAGTTTTGCACTGATTAAATAAGACAGATAAAAAAATACTCATTAAAAGTTAGAAAAATAAGTTATTTAAAAGTCAATTTTAAATCATTTGCAGTGCCATCAGTTTGGAATTTTTTAATATACTTTTTTTTTGTTTCTAAAAATTTGGAATGATAATTTAGAATCCATTTACCACAACATCCACTGAAAGCCAAAAATTTGCAGTGGGTCATTCAGCTATACAGTTGATTCAGTGTTTAATAACAGACTACCTAGAAGGCTCGGGATACCTAATGTTTTCAATTTACATTCACATATTATAATCTATGAATAAAATGAGTTTAAGTTTTAAGGTTTGAGTTTTAAGGTTTAAGGTTTTAAGGTTTGAGTTTGAAATACCAGCATTTGAGAGGTTAACATTTCATCAGAATTCCACTGCCTTAAAGGAATAACTACTTTCTTGTTTGCACTGTGTTCTAGTTCAGGAAATAAAGAAATTATGACTGTATTAGTTTGCTAGAGTTGCCATAACCAAGTACCACACACTAGGTGGCTTAGGACAATAGAAATGTATTATGTACAGTTTTAGAGGCCAGTGTCAGCCAGTTCACACTCCCCCTGGAGGTAACTATGGCAGGATCTCTCCTGGCTTCTGGTAGTTCCTTGGCTTCTGACAGCAAAACTTCCATCTTCGCATGGCATTCTCCCTGTGTACGTGTCTCTATTTTGAAAATTTCTCTTTTTTATAAGTACACAATTTACATTGGATTAGGGTTCATTCTAATGACTTTATTTTAACTCCATTGCCTTTGTAAAGGCCTTATCGCCAAATAAGATAAAATTCTGAGGTACTAGGGATTAGGGCTTCAGTGTTTCTTTTTCTGGGGACAGAATTTAGCCCACAACAATGGTATTTGTCATAGGTATGGCATACGTATGCTTTGCAACTGAAGCATTCTCAACAATTTTTACGTTTTTAAAATTATATATATATATAATAATTGGTAATACTTAAATAGTTTAGTCAGTCATTTATAAACATATTATTCACAATTATGTCTTAGAGAATATGATAACTTAGTAACTACTTCCCAAATCCAAATTTACTTAGCTTTGGGACTCTCACTAGATCTCATTCTCCCCACATTTCAGGGAAGTGGATGACTGCTTCTTGCAGCTCACCATGAATCTCTGCTTGAGTCGAGCTGATATCAGCGTCACATCAAAAGCTCTTGTAGCTACACACATGCAATTTCTGATGGCTTCTCTGGTAATTTGTGGTTAATTTCTTATTTTATGTATGACTTGTCAGAAGGCCAAATAAGAAAGGATTGCAAATATTCTACACAGTTTCATAATATTGCATGCTTTCTTCCCACTCTTTTTTCTACAATAAAAATTTGATTTTACATGTTCATTACTAATTCATTGAAAAATAATCTTTCACACAAAGGAGGATTAATTCATAGATTATATTCCATTAATTTAAAAATACTTGCTGTGTTTAGTTATTACTAATTATTGACTTCATTTAGATGCAGCTTCCTGTTAAACAATGACTTCTTTCATGTTTCTTTTTAAGAACAAATATTTGAAAAAAATAAAAATGTTACCAGCTTTATTGAGGTGCAGTTGACAAATAACTTTACAAATAAACATTGTATATATACAAATAAACATTGTATATATTTACAACGTACAAAGATGTTTTTATAAGATTATACATTGTAAAATAATGATGTTTTATAAGCTTATACAATTTTTATAAGCTTATACATTGTAAAATAATGATAATGATAATGACCACAACCAAGATAATTAACATATTTGCCACCTCAAAAAGTTGCCTTTTTTGAGGTGAAAATATTTAATATCTACTCAGTTAACAAATTTCAAGAGTATGGTGTAATATTATTAACTAGAGTCGCCATAGTGTATATCAGTCTTCAGAACTTATTCATCTTGCATAACTGAATCTTTTTGACCAGCGTTTATTCATTTCCCTTACCCCTCAGTCCCTGGCAATACCATTCTATTATATACTTCCCTGAGTTTGACTTTGTAAGATTCCACATGTTAAGTGAGAACATGCAACATTTGTCTTTTTGTGCCTGACTTATCTCACCTAACATAATGTCCTCCAGTCACATCTATGTTGCTGCAAATGACAGGATCTTATTCTTATGGCTGAATAGTATTCTATTGTGTATATATGCCACATTTTCTTTTTCTTTTTCATCTATCAATGGACACAGATCTTGGCTATTGTGAATAATGCTGCAATGAGATGGGATTTCAGGTATCGCTTTGAAATACTGATTTTAATTTTTTTGGATATATATACCCAGAAGGGGGATTGCAATTCAACATCAGTTTTTGGTAAGTATTCTCAACAAACTAGGCATAGAAGGAATGGACCTCAACTTAATAAAGGCCATAAATGACAAGCCCCAAACTAACATTATACTTAATAGTGACAAGCTGAAATATTTTCTTCTAAGTTCCAGAACAGGATGAGAATGTCCACTTTCACTTCGTCTATTCAACATACTACTGGAAATGCTAGCCAGAGCAATTAGACAAGAGAAGAAATGAAAGCCCTCCAAATCAAAAAGGAAAAAGTCAAATTGTATCCACAGATATACAAAATATTATATATAGAAAACCCTAGAAACTCCATCCAAAAATTATTAGAACTAATAAACATATTCAGTACAGTTTCATGATACAAAATCAACATATAAAAACTCATTTTATTTCTATCTGCCAACAAACTACCCAAAAAAGAAATTAAGAAAACAATCCCATATATAGTACCCTCAAAAAATAGAATCTTTATGAATAAGTTTAAATAAGGAGATGAAACATCTGTGCAGTGAAAACTATAAAACAGAGGTGAAAGAAATTGAAGAAGACTCAAATAAATGAAAAGACAATCTGTTCATAGATTGGAAAAATTAATATGGTTAACATGTCCGTACTAGCCAAAGTGATTTACAGAGTCAATGAAATCCTGATCAAAATTTCATGCACATTTTTTAAGAAATAGAAAAACAATGTTAAAATTCATAGAAAACCACAAAAGATTGCAACTAGCCAAAACAATCATGAGCAAAAAGAACAAAACTGGGTGGATAAAACACAACAAAATAAAACATAATAAAGACACTATAGTCATCTACCAGGGATGTTGGATTATTTCATATGTAAGACAATTTGATTTTAAACTTTTCCAATGCATTCTGATATTTTTCCTTTTCAGGTTATTTATTTCTGTTTTATTGTAGTCTGTACATTAAAGATATTTCACAAATCACTAATGTATAACTTCTCATAGTTTGAAAGCCTCTGAGAATCTGGGATTTGGACACACACACACACACACACACACACACACACACAAATTTATACTCCTGTACTGGAAACAGTGATGCCCACCTGGTAATCTACTGGCCAATATTGCATGTTTGCTGCTGTGTATTCTTGTTTCTGCATACCAGCTCAACATGGTTCCAGAATCATGAGATTGGAACTGTTCTCCTTGTGTGAAATCTCTCATCTCTGGGTATAAGATACTCTAAGGCATAATAGGAGCCTATGGTGAAAAAAGATAAATTTAGCTTCTTTATTTTGCTCTCCTATCTGTACTTTATTTATTCACTCAATAAGTATTCATTGGGCACCTAGTACATGCAGGGTGTTATGGTAGGCACTGGAATTTGATGAGTAAATTAATGCAGGCATGGGCTGTGTCATTACTAAGATTAAAATCTAGTGATTGACAATATATAATCACGCAAAAAATGTAAAATTGCAACATTTTATGACATGTTTGAGAGAGATTCTTTTGCTTCTTAACATCCTTTTCCTACTACTTTCTCCTCCTCTTTCTTTTCTTCCCCTACTAAATATTGTGAATGAAACAATCTTCAGCAGATAAATCTAGGAAAGTCACCACAAGTGTCTCTCCAGAGAAAAATAATGTGGTGCCACTATACACACACAAATAGCATATTACATTGTATTTTTGGAGAGAAAAAGACAGAAAAGTAGAAAGGAAGAAAGGAAAGAAGAAAGAAAAAATAGCACCTGTCTCAATTCCTGTCACTTGATTTTCATATACAGATTTGGAATGTAGCTCATTTGAGTTTGAGGATTTCCTGAAATGTATTTTCACAAAACGTAATAGCAGTGACCAAATTGTCAGCAAATTTGATTTATTTGATACATGAATTTTCTCATTCCAGACAGACATCTTGCCTTTACTTTTCCTGAGGCAGGTAGAGCCATGTAGATTCACGGAACAAAACAGATTTGCTACTCTTGTTCTTTTCTTTGGACTGATTATTTCTTATTAAAATAGATTCTCCTTAAGTTTCAGTCAGGCTTCCAGTCAGTGATGGTTATCCTGAACAGTATTGGCAGGAGGCTCTGACTTTCATTTGGATTTTGAGCTTTAGTGTCAGGTTGAGTAAGGAGTTGATTAAATTATTTCATTTCATTTCTAAGGTACCATTTTTAAATGTCAAATCATTGTTAGATGCTAGACCTTTCATTGTATTTTAAAGTGTATTTCAACCTACTTTTAAAGAAAAAATACTCCACAAAATATTGAATCAATAGTACCTAAATGATGTACATTTATGCAGTCTCATCCACTTGTCTGAAAATGAGACCTGCATTATAGTTACATGGAATCTTCCAACCTTCTTATGATGTTAGGTTGTTAGATTACTTTTCAGTGAGTGTCATGTGTAAATCTCCAGTAATTCTGATTTTCAATGGTAACATCCTCAGAATAAAATCTTACGATGAAAAGTACATTTAGTCCTAAAGACACAGATAGTTTGTAAAAACTAAAATTTGCCAGATAATCACATTTAATATATTGCTTTCTATAGAACACCTTGCATAAATTTAAATATAGCTAAATGTAGCATTTGTGTCACATTCATGTTTTTCAAATCAGGCAACAGTTTAGTTAGATGGTTTCATCTATTTTTCTTTTTTTTATAAAATGTCTTTCAAACAATAGAAAATGCAAGACTAAGGGCTAAAGCAAGATGCTTGATCAAACATTTCTGTAAGTCATATTCAAGCACCAAATGAAAGCAGATAAAACATTATATTGAACTATATTAAATAATATTATATGATATCAAATCATGTAGCAGTACTCTTCCTAGTATTAAACTTGTGTGGCTATAGTTAGGATAGGGTAAGGTTTTAGGGCTAAAATCTTGGGCTTTTTGGCTAACAAGACTTTGTTCTCTGAGAACAGTTACATGCCCTTGGGTAAATTATTTCACTTCTCTAAACCTAAACTTCTTCAATTATAAAATGTACACAAAATTACAAAAAAAATTGCATTGCAATAATGAAAGTGGCATTAAATTAACTAATTTGCTTAGCATGTTTGCATAGTACCTGGTAAACAACAATAGTAATAATTATATTTCCACATTTTCTCTACATTGCCCGTGATTCATTTCTCAGTGTTACCCAAATATGAAGGGCCAGGTAAAGAATCATAGGCAGTACTAATTATCACTGTCCATCTGCAAAGTTCTGTTGTTTGTGAAAATAGAGATTTTTCTTTCTTTTCCCTTGTGCTTGTACCCAAAGGGTTCTAAAAATCTAATATGCCTCTTATTCCTGTAGCCATGTTCATGTCCCCAGTGCCAGTGCTATCCGGTGCCCTCCAGGAATGATGTATTGCTCAAAGTTATATTTCAGCAAGTTTTTATAACATTTCTTCTGACTGCCCTGCTTCTTGTGACTTTAGCTTGCTATCCAGAATCTTATTAGATATTCTTCTATCATCAATTTCTTCATAAGTCTAGCTCAGTGGATCTATTTTATATCAAGTAATGTTTAAACACTACTGGACTGATTGTATTACAGGATTCATTAATCTTGTCGGTTGATATTAACAAATGCCTCTAGAGTATTATTTTCTATTTGGCAGGATTTTTTTCCTGAAAGGGTTAGCTTCATTCTGGATTTGGATATCTACAGAGACTAGCCACTGATGGTGAAATACATCTTTAGATCCTAAAGATATTGGTTCATTGGACTTTATGTTGAAATTCTTTAAAAATCTGAGTGATATTCCTGGTAAATTCAACATTTAGCATTGAGAATTCATTGGTGCTATCTTTAAAAATTATTAGTTTGCAATAGAGAAAAGAGAAATCACTGACCTTTTGTCTCCATCCTCAAGTTCATATATTGAAGCCCTAACCCTGAATGTGACTATATTTGGAGAAAGGACTTATAAGAAACAGTTAAGATTAAATGAACTCATACAGGTGAGATCCAAATCTGATAGGATTTGTGGACTTGTAAGAAGAGAAAGAGAGTAAGATTTTTACTACCACTCTTTGCCATGTGAAGACACACTGTGAAGGCTGTCATCTGCAAATTAGGAAGAGCACCCTCATCAAAAACTAAACCCTCTGGTATCTTAATTGTGGACTTTCCAGCCACTAGAAAATAAAATTCTGTTGTTTAAGTCAACCAATTTTTGGTATTATTTTTTATGGCAAACCAAGCCGACTAATTCACCTCTCATCACATTTTCTTGCCTCCAAGGAACTTGCTTGTCTACTTTTTAAGCAAAGTATAGATATTTTTTATTTTTGTTGGTACATAGGTGGTGTATACACTTATGGGGTACATGACATGTTTTGATACAAGTATGCAATGCTTAATAATTACATAATGGAAAATGGGGTATCCATCACCCCGAGCATTCACCCTTTGTTTTATAAACAATCCAGTTATGCTCCTTTAGTTATTTTAAAATGTAAATTAAATTATTCTAGGCTATAATCACCATATTGTGCTTGTCCTCTTGATTTCTTTGTCCAACGGTGTTTCAGTCAAGGATTTTCTGCTTAGTTGCATAACTGGTTGACAGGATATACTCTTTTACTTAAAAAAAAGTCAAATAGTCAAAGTTTTTATTATACATATACAAAATTTTATACATAAATAAAATATATTCTTTTTGAACATTATGCTGGGGATTACAATAATCTCAATGTATACAATTATAAACTGTTTAGGACAAAGTAAACTGTCTAAAATTATAGAAAAGAGAGGCAAAATAAACGTTTTTAAATTATAGAAATGAATAATGTAGTTGAACTTCTGCAGAAATACAATGCATAATTTCACAACTCATTTTAAGTTTTTTTCATTAAAATGTATTCATTATTAAAATTACAAACAAAATTGTATGTATTATTATAACATGCTGTCTTATAATACATATATTGTGGAATGGTTAATGTAGCTAATTAATGAATGTATTACCTCACATAGTTATCATTTTTGTGGTGAGAACACTTAACGTCCATTCTCTCAGTTTTTTTTTTTTTTTTTTTTTTTTTTTGAGACAGACTCTCGCTGTGTCTCCCAGGCTGGAGTGCAGTGGTGCGATCTTGGCTCACTGCAAGCTCAGCCTCCCTCCCGGGTTCACGCCATTCTCCTGCCTCAGCCTCCTGAGTAGCTGGGACTACAGGTGCCCTCCACCACGCCTGGCTAATTTTTTCTATTTCTAGTAGAGATGGGGTTTCACCGTGTTAGTCAAGATGGTCTCAATCTCTTGACCTCGTGATCTGCCCACCTCAGCCTCCCAAAGTGCTGGGATTACAGGCGTGAGCCACCGTGCCTGGCCTCCCTTAGCAATTTTTTAGAACACAATGTATTAGTCATTAACTGTAGTCACTAGGCTGTACAACAGGTCCCCCGAATTTACGCCTCCTATCTAACGTTTGACCAACATCTCCTCAATTCCTTCTCTCCCCAGTTACTCCAGCCTCTGGTAATCAACTTTCTAGTCTTTACTTCTAGGAGAAGTAGATATAAAATCTCATTTTGATATTTTCATTTCAACAAAACCTAAACATTTAAAAAATATTTTACTCAAAAAGTTTATTGCAACATTATTTTTAGTGATGAAAAATTAAAACCAAACAAGGTAATGCATGTGCATCAATAAAAATTGGAGAAAATTGTAGAAAAAGAAAATAAGGTTATGTTGTTAGATTATAGATGCTTTGATTGTTCTCTGTTTTACTTCGTATTATCCAAATGTTTTTTCAATAAATTTTATGTATGTATAAAGTGTGTGTATGTGTACGTATGTGTGCATAAGTATTCTTGCATCTTTTCTTGAAAAATAAATACTCATTGCTTAAATAAATTCAAAAGTGCCATCATTTATACATATGTAACTAAAATGTAGTTCTAAAAATAAGCTCTGATATTTAAATGTTTATCTTTGTGAAGTTTTATTTTAAAATAGCAGGCATCTCAGAAAATAGTGAAGGTTAGAAACGACCAAAATGATTAAGAAACTTTAAATTTATTTCCATGCCAGAATCCAGCAAATGCATTCTCAAAGTAATGGAATACACTTGACTCTCTACATGACTGATTGCATCTTCCTCCTGTAGCTACACGATATAAACATTATGGAGACCACAATTACATAAAATGTCCAAGCAATGCACAACAATAACAAAGCCACCATTATGTCACATTTTTATAAAATCTTAAATTGTCATAATATGGATACCTATGAAATTTGAATACAAATTTAAAATTTACTAATAAAATACAGTTGTCCCTTTTTACCAGAAGATCATTACTATCAGTAATAGTAAACTAATAGTAGCAACTTTCATAAAATAATAAATAAGTTTTATTTTCATTGACTGTGATATTGAAATAAGCCTCACTGAGATCCTGCTCAAATATCGCTCATGTCACATCGGACTCATATGTATTTTTGAAGCAATTAGCAAAATTCAGAAATTGAGTGCAAGGCTTGCATTTTCACTACTTAGCATAAAAATCTTTTCATTCCTTTAATCATTTGGATGTAAACAAATCCAGCTTCATATCTCTTCTACTGAGACTCCTATAAAGCACACATCATTGCAGTAAAACTAACAGAAAAATACACATGCTTGTGCTCACTAGATATTTTCTATCTTTGAATATCAAATTAGCAGGCCATTAGCTGAGATGTTATTTTGATATTGAGATTTCTTTTATAAAACATATTTTAATGAAATATTAACAACACAGCCACAATATCCGTATGTTTACTTTGGTAAAAGTGAAAGCATAATTTGCACAAACAGCAGATTCTACCCAATGTGCAAAACCTTTCTTTAGATATAGAATGCATAAATTGAAATGAAATGATATTTGGATTAGCATTGAGGATGGGTAGCAAAAGCCTGCAAATGAGCAATAATCATGTTTCTTTTAGATGATTTTGAGGCATGGTTGTAGAACTGGAATAAAGTTAGAAAGGAAAGCCCTATTTAACTAAATCTACCTTAAACATTTTTCAAACTCAGGGCCAAATTTTGAAGTCTTTTAGAATGTCCTATACTTTTCTTAGAAAGTTAATGGAAGAATAAGTATGGAGCCTACGTTATTGAGAACTTGGTATTTGCTGATTGCTTTGTATGCATCTTCTCACTTGACACTCCTAATAAATACATGAAAGGTAAGTGTAATCCCAATCAACATACAAGGAAACTGAAGCTTTGAGGAAATACATAGAAATACATCACATATGCAAGATCACTCTGTTAATAGATTATAATGTTACAATTGGCTCTCTGTTATGCCTGATTCCAGAGACCATGCTTTGTGTGATTCTTTTTGTATACAGCAAATAATATATATCTAGGAGTCCAGACACACAAAACAGTCCAACAATAGAATAGTATGTGTGTGTCTGCGTATGTGTGCGTGTATGTGTGTGTGTGTGTGTGTGTTGGATAGCCTTTAGTTTTCTTTGATGAAGAACAGAGATATTTTAAATAAACAAAATGAAAATATCAAAATGATTTCATCATCCATGTGAGAGATATGCTTAATAGATCAACACTCTCAGTATATACTTTAGTCTTTTATTGCAAAGTTGAGATTATTGATTTTCTAATTTTATCCTTAGCAGATTCCATACTCTGTTCATACATTCCTTATGATATTTTACAACTATAAGGAGAATGAAGAGAGTGAAAGTTTTGAGGAGACACAGGTACTCTGCCATTCCTCATTAGTTATGTACGGTTGTTCTTTCCCGTCTCTTATTGCTTATGAATTGCTTCGTTGGGAATATCCCAACAAATACTTTTCCTTAGTTTTTTAATTTTTTAAAAAATTTCAACATGCTCCTTTTTCTAAAGTCCCATATCAATCTAAAATATCGCATTACTTTCCAACTTAAGTCTCTAGAAGTTTTCAAGCCAAAAGGCTCAAGAAGAAGCCTAAAATGTGAGATAGTGGGAAAATATTTAAATATAGCAGCTTATGTGGTTTACAAATTATTAAACAGGAATTTGATGGTAAGAATTCCAATTAATACAGATATCTGGGAAATAGATTTGTAGTTACCTGTACTTACTACCTACCTATTTCCCAATGAATTTTGTATAGAATAGGAATTTTTCCTTGTCCTGCCCAGGTCATATCACCTATGCAGGCATCCTGGCAGTGACTAATATCTGTATTAAGAAAATGAAAAAAAAAATTCTTGATCTTCACTCAGATCATAGAGGTATACCATTAAAAATACCCTCTTGTCTCTCAATGTCAATAATACCGCAAGGTAGAGTATGGTCATATTTTATGAAAAACATTAGAATATTCTAAAAGCTCAGACATTCTCAGGATTTAAGCCTGAATAATTATGCAAAATAACAAAATTTTCAGTAGGTTGTAAACAAGGACATATACCAAATTAAATCTATTTGGCAAATTTCTCTTACTTTTCTTAAGACTGGTACTTACTTTTCTTTATGATTATTAAAACCTCGACATTGTTAATGTTTTTTGATGATGATAGGTCTAAATTAAATGAACAAACAGATTAATCATTACTTTAAAAGTAAATTTCAATTATTTAGCAATTAAGAATAATAGTTCATTTAAAAAGCAATGCTGTAAGGAAAAACCATTTTTAAGTATGTTTTTTTCTTTCTTTTAAGAAAGATGTGCTTTGATAAATTGCATAAACATATTATGCATTATTAAACTTTAAAATTATATGCTTGACAGATTATGTGTACTTCTCTCTAGGGCTTTATTGCAATCTGTGGAACTTATTAGTTGTGATTTCATTGCCAGCGGCAAAAGGTAGTATGTTCTATAAATTAAAACATTTGGCTGTGGCCATGGGAAATTTTTTATGGTGAGCAGAGATTGGACGTGGGGGTAGGAAACAAATCTAACAGTTTTAATCCAAAAAAGAAAAAAATTCCGCGTGTGATGAATTTGTGCTTGGCGTTTGTTTATCTCAGGGATTGCACATTCTAAACAATTTGGGAATTGCAGTAATTTTAGAACTAGGGTAGATAAATTTACCAGTTAAATCACAATGTTTACAAAAGAGTATATAGAGCAGTACACCTTACTTACACCAGATGCTGGTAATCTGGACATTGGACTATCAATTAAATTGGACAATTACTTGGCCGTTTTTCATGTTGCTTCCATTTTGCCAAATCCTTCTTTTTCCAGGTTTTTTAAAATACTATTTGCCTGTTACTTTCTGTCATTATCAACATTTAGTAACTCTGTATTTTTCATCTCATATTCAAATAAATTACTTTATTGAAAACAACAAATATATTTTCCACCACTGGCCCATTCAGGGCAAGACAATATAATTTTCTGAGGTAAATACATTTTCATGTATAATGAAATAGATAGTCAATTTCATTCTTATTTTTATTATATTAATATAAAATTCTACATAGGAACACATTTCTGTGATATTAGGCTTGTATATCTAATATCGATGAACCTTACAGTTTTACATAGGAAAGAAAAGATCAGGAATAAGTGATTGCAGATAAATTATTATCAATGCATAAATAACGAAGGCATTTTCAAAGGAACAACTGATAACTAATTAGTTAAACTTGCCAAATAATTACCAAATAATCACAGCTCTCATCAGCAGCTGTTAAAAACTGATAAAATTTGATTCAATACAGTATGTATAAATTTACACTTGGCTGAAACATCTGCAAACTGTGGCAAACACTTTTTTTGTGCATAGGGCTAGAGGCATTTTTGCAGTCATTTTCAAACTATGTTGAAGCCAGTATTCCCTTTCCCTTTACAACCTGCAAACTTGTCCTTTCTGTTCTCCCTGCTCCTTTTTGTCTTTGTGTTCTCCTCTTTTTGTTTCCTTACTGTTTTAATCTCTTCTTTATTAAAATTTCAAACATAGCACATATGATTCATTTTACTCTGCCATTGCGCTCTGAACCTAAAGCATTTAAAACTTTGCATGTGTTTTTGTAACTAAAGAATTATATATGTACACTTATTTCATTATTCAAATTCTACATTAAATATACATAATACATATCTTTGATGAAATAAAAGACAATAGATTGATTTCAGATTATTTACTTTTCAGACTAAAAAATTGTACGTACTTGTTGATTTGCTTGTTTTCTGTAGAGTTAGTCCTCCTGCAGTTATTTCCTCTATGATCATCTTCTGAGCTAAAACCATAAATATCTATTGCCTAGCCTGAATTTACCTGCCAGAAACTCTTTTTAAATCTTAGTGTTTTATACATGGGAAAATGCACACAGCTACAAACCTACACCTTTTGTATATACAATACAGGTAAAAACAAAGACAAAAGTAACTCAGGTAATTGTGTTATTAAATTTGGTTCAGGCATTGGACTATGTTGTTTGAAATGTAGGAGTAAGCATGATAAAAATTCTTAACTTCTGTCATATCTTGCTGTTCTTTAAAGAGCTTGAAGATATGTTTACCTCATAACACTGGAAAAATAAAGACAGTAATTAGATCTATATTTATTTCACCAATATATTACCAGCTCCAAGTCATGTTCATTGCACAAAGCTTTTGTGACATACATCTCTGATATAAAATAATTGTATTTGTTTTGTCAGAACATTTGGTACTTTCCTGGAATCAATAAATTCCCAATAAATTTATAGTAATAAAATAATGAAGTAAATAAATGAGAAACAAGGGATACCATATAATATGTGTGCAGAAGACATAATGGGACGAGAGAGCAATTTCATAGTTTCTCCCAATTGGTTATTCCATTAAACACTTCATTTTTTGCATTGGAAATGGCCTTAAAACTCATCAATTCTAACTTCCCAATATTACAGACCAGACAAGTAAACTTCAGAAAGGTTGAGTGATGTTTCTATTTAACCAGTTGTCTACAATCTGTCCAAACAGTTACAAAGCCAATTGTGAGGGCTATGCCAAGGAAGATTTCCTGAAAACTAGGTCAGTGGTCTTTCCCCTGCAACACGCTTCTGTCAGCCCAAGTATATATGGAAGGACCATAGTAGAGTAAAATACACAATGACTCAGGATTCACAAGACCTGTGACTACAGACCACCCTGGTCACTTACTGGCAAGTAACTTAGTTCTTCAAAGCTTCACCTTCCACATGCATACGTTAAAATTACATATCTATCCTGAAATGTTAGCAGATACATTCATCAAATAATATGCTCTCTGTGAAAGGGAACAGAACTCTAGAAAATGTTTGTTTCATAAATGAATTAGATTTTAAATTTACATAGTATAAAAGTGAATTCCCAAGCCAAATTCAACTGTTTAATCATGATTTTCTATTAGAACATTTCTCATATCTAACATGCAGATATTCATTGACAAACATTTATCAAACACAATCTATATGCCAAATTCAATACAGGAGATGTGAAGTTGAAAAAGAGATTACTTTGTATTCAGAATTAATTTTACTTGGTTAGCCTGTGCTCAAAGCTCAAATGTTTTATTTAATCGACTTTCATAGTCACAGGTTGTACTCCTAGCACAGCTGATGTTTTTCAATTAGATCAAAAAGGTTACATAGAAAGAGGAGAACTTTGGGACTGAACTCAACCTTGATTATTGCCATTTGCTTAAGCACAACAGGTAATTCTTTGCCAAATTCTATTGGCTTTAAATTCCCAATAAATCAGTCTTATTTCTATTTCAATTTCTACCACCTAAGTTAAAGTACCATCATATTTCATCAAGATACTAGACAACGACCTCCTAACTATAGTAGTCTCTTTTTCAATTTCTGGCCCCTTATGCTCTACTCAGCACAAACGTAGAGTAATCTTTTGAAAAACAACATAAAGATCACGTTACATTGAAGTTTTAAAACCCTCCCATGATTACCAGTGCATTGACAGTGAATTCTGGGCTCTCTACCAATGACTTATGGGACCATAGATGGTCTGACTGCTACTTAATTTTCCAAATACACACTATACTACCTGGATTCAGCTTCACTGGCTCCCTTTCTATTGCTTGCACGAACCCAATTTTTTTTTCTACTTTAGAACTTATGAACTTGTGGTTCCCTTTGCCTGAATGCTGTTTCGCTAACTCTCTGCATGAATGACTTTGTATCTGGGCTTAATTTTTCAGCTATGGGCTTAAATTTTATCTCTTCAGAGGACACTTTCTTTACCACACTGCCTATGGGTCATTCTTTACCAATTTAACAAATATTTATGGAGTGCCTATAAACCTAGTCTTGGCCAGTTACTCTGTATAATATCACTAAGCTACTAGTTCCACTGTACTTAGAATAATTGCTACTTGTCTTATTTATATATTAATTTACGTATTTATTCTGTCACTTTAGAAGGTTTAATTTTTCAAGATGCAAAGATTTTGTTGGTTTTACTCATAGAAATGCCCCCAGAACTAAGCATAGTGTCCAGCATATTATAGGCACTAAACAAATATATTGAAGGAATAAATAATTTTATAAATATTATTTGAGAAGCATCATATGCCTGCCATTGATAGCTGCTGAGCACGTAGTTCTTGCCAACAAGACTGAGAGGCAATAAATGTGAAATAATTAGTTCATTCAAGTTTAAAAAAAATACCAAATAAGCATCAGTAGCTGTCCCATGTAGATGCTAGAAATACAGGTGTATTTCTATTTAACCAGTTGTCTACAACCTGTCCAAACAGTTCAAAGTCAATTGTGAGAGCTATGCCGAATAGCCGTCACATTCTAGCCCACCTACGTAGGACAGCTTCTGATCCTTATTTGCTTCACAATTCTGGAAATTAGAAGTCCAAATTTTTAGAGTCAGTCTGAGTCTGAAGGCCTGAGAACCAAGAGTGCTGAGGGCAAGAGAAAATTATTGTGCTAATTGGAGCAGTCAGGCAAAGAGTAAATTCAAACCCCCTTCTGCCTTTTTATTTTATTGGGCTCTGAAGAGATTGGATGATGCCCATTCACAATCAGAAAGACCATAGACTTTACTCAGTTCATCAACTCAAATGCTAATCTCTTGTAAATACCATTACAGACACATCCAGAAATAATATCTAACCAGGTATCTGAGCATCTCAAAGTTCATTCAAGTTGGTATAAAATTAGCCATCATAGTAGGTGTGAGGAGACACATAGTTGAACAGAATTTTAAAGACTTTCAATGTTATAAGCCATTTATTTGTGTCATCTTTAATTGCTTTCATCAGTTTTGTAGTTTTCTTTGTAGAGATCTCTCACCTCCTTAGATAAATGTATTCCTATGTGTGTTTTTTTGTATCCATTGTAAACAGAATTGACTTTTGATTTCTTTCTCAGCTAGCCCATAGTTGGCATATAGAAACACTACTGATTTTTGTACTTGGATTTTGTACTCTGCTAGTTTACCTAATTCATTTATTAAATTTAAGAAGTTTTGTATAATTGTTAGGTTTTTTGAGACATAAGTTCATATTATCAGAAAAGGGGAACAATTTGACTACCTCTTTTCCAATTTGGATACATTTTATATTCTTCTATTGCCTGAATTTTCTGGCCAGGACTTCCAGTACTATGCTAAATAGAAGTGGTGAAAGTGTCTTATTCCAGTTCTTAGAGGAAAAGCTTTCGACTTTTTCCCATTAAGTATGGTATTAGCTGTGGGTTTGTCATATATGGTCTTTATTTTTTTTGAGGTATGTTTATTCTATGCCTAGTTTGCTGAAGATTTTCATTATCAAAGATTTAAAACTTTATCAAGTGCTTTTTCTGTATCTATTGAGATGATAAAATGGTTTGTATCCTTTACTCTGTTGATGTAATATATCATGCTTATTGATTTGTGTATGTTGAACCGTCCTTGCATCCCTAATATAAAGTACACTTAACTGTAGTTTATTATCTTTTCGATGTGCCATTGGATTCAGTTTTCTAGTGCATTGTTTAGAATTTTGTGTCTATGTTCATCAGGGATAATGGCCTGTAATTTTCTTGTATGTGTGTGTTCTTGTTTTATTTTGGTATCGTGGTAATACTGGCTTTGTAGAATGAGTTAAGGAGAATTCTGTCCTCTTTGATTTTTTGAAATAGTTTCAAAAGGATTGGTATTAGATCTTGGTAAGTTTAGTAGAATGCAGCTGTGAATCTATCTGATCTGGGAATTTTCTTCATTGAGATTAGTTTTATTACTGATTCACTCTTGCTGCTCATTACTGGTCTATTCTGGTTTTATATTTCTTCTTGATTCAGTCTTGGTAGGTTATAGATTTCCAGAAATGTATCAATTTATCTAGGTTTTACCATTTGTAAGTTTATAGCTCTTCATAACAGTCTCTGATGATCTGTTGTATTTCTGTGGTATCAGTTGTAATGTCTCCTTTTTCATTTCTGATTTTGATTATTTGGGTCTTGATACAGTTTGGCTCTGTGTCCCCACTGAAATCTCACCTCTAATTGTAATCCCCACATGTCAAGGAAGGGACATGGTGACAGGTGATTGGATAATGACAGCAGTTTCCCCCATGCTGTTCTCATGATAGTGAGAAAGTTCTCATGAGATCTGTTGGTTTAAAAGTGGCAGTATACTCTGTGCTTTCTGTCTCTTGCTGTCATGTAGGATGTGCCTTGCTTCCCTCTCCACCATGATTGTAAGTTTCCTGAGGCCTCCCTCGTCATGTAAAACTGTGAGTCAATTAAACCTCTTTTTTTCATAAATTACCCAGTCTCAGGTAGTGTCTTTAGAGTAGCGTGAAAACAGACTAATACAGGTTTTTTTCTACTTTTCTTGGTTAGTCTACTAGGAGTTTATCAACTTTGTTTTTCTTTTTGAAGAACCAACTTTTTAATTTGTTAATCCTTTGTATTTTTTGTCATCTCTATTTCATTTAGTTATTCTCTTCTTTTTATTATTTATTTTCTTCTGATAATTTTGGGTTTGGCTGGTTTTTGCTTTTCGCTTTTCTGCTTCTTTAACGTGCATTGGTAGATAGTTGTCTGTAGTCTTTCTACATTTTTGATGCAGACATTTATTGCTAGAAACTTCCCTTTTAGTACATTTTTTTCTGTATCACACAGGTTTTCATATGTTTTGTTTCCATTTTTATTTTTTAAGATTTTTAAAATTTATATTCTAATGCCTTGTTTTTACCCAATCATTATTTAGGAGCATGCTATTTAATTTCCATATATGTGCATAATTTCCTGGTGTTTATTTCTAGTTTTATCCCAAAGTGGTCTGAGAAGATATTTGATATTATTTTGATTTTAAAAAATTTTATTGAACTTGCTTGTTTCCTAACATGTGGTCTATCCTGAAGAATGTTTCATGTCCTAATGAGAATAATTTATATTCTTCAGATGTTTCACAGATGCCTTTTAGGTCCATTTGGTCTAAAGTCCAGTTTACACCAAAAATTTCTTTGTTAGTTTTCTGTTTAGATGACCTGTCTAATGTAAAAGACCTCCCTCCATGCTTTGCAATTTCTCTTTCTCTCTAGGTCTGGTAATATTTGTTTTATGAATATGAGTGCTTCAGTGTTGGGTACATATATATTTAGGATTTTAATATCCTCTTGCTGTATTGATATTTTTACAATTATATAATGACTTTCTTTGGCTATTTTTTTCTTAACTTAAAATCTGTTTTATCAGATACAAGTATAGCTACATCTGTCTGCTTTTAGTTTCTGTTTGTGTGAAATGTCTTTCTCCATCTCTTTATTTCAGTTTCTACGTCTTTACTGATAAGCCAAGTTTCTTGGAAGCAACTTAGCTGGATTATACATTTTAAATCTATTCAGCCATTCTGTATCTTTTCATTTGGTCCATTTCATTCAAGGTCAATATGTGAGGCTTTGTTTCTGTCATATTGTTAACTTTTTTGTGGTTGTTTTATATCTTCTTTGTCCACTTCTTTTTTTCTTTGTCATTATGGTTTGGTGAATTTCTGTAGTGACACATTTGGATTTCAGGCCTCTGGGCAACTGGTGTGGTGTGGGCAATGGCTTATTCTTCATTTTTTGTATGATTGTTTTACTAGTGAGTTTTATGCTTCCATGTGTTTTCATGGAGGTAAATGTCATTCTTTTACTTCCAGGTTTAGGACTCCCTTGAGCATTGTTCGCATGGCTAGTCTAGTGGTCACAAATTTCCTGAGCATTTTCTTGTCTGAGAAAGGCTTTACTCTTTTTTCATTTATAAATGATAATTTTGGTGAATATAACAATTTTTTTCTTTCAGAACTTCAAATTCATTATGCCATTCTCTTTTGCCCTTGTAAAGTTTCTGCTGATAAATCTAATTTTAGTCTTATGGGATTTCCTTTATAATTCACTAGCACTTTTCTTTTGTTGTTTTTAGAATTCACTCTTTATTTTTGACTTTAGATAGTCTGTCTATAATATGCTGTGGAAAGAATGTTTTTTTACATTGTATCTTCCTGGGGATCACTGATCCTCATGTATATGAAGGTCTAAATATCTTCCTAGACTTGGGAGTTTTTCATTTATTATTTTGTTAAATAAGTTTTCTAATTTTTTCATTTTCTCTTTACTCTCTTAGATACCGACAATTCAAATATTTGGTCACTTTAAGTCATCCCAAATGTCATAAAAGCTTTGCTCATTCTTTTTTATTATTTCTTTCTTTCTTTTTCTCTGACTGGATTATTTCAAAAGATCTTTTGTTAAGTTCTGAGATTCTTTCTTTTGCTTTATATAGTCTATTTTTGAAGCTTTCAAATGTATTTTGTATTTCCTTCAATGAATTATTAAATTTCAAAATTTTCATTTCATTCTTATTTAAAATATCTATCTCCTTGGTAAAATTTTCATTCATATCCCGAATTGTTTTTCTGATTCTTTGCATTACTTTTCAGAATTTTTTGTACTTTGCTGAGTCTCTTTAAAATCAATATGTTGAATTCTTTATCTAGGATTTTGAAGATTTCTTTTTGATTAAGATCTATTGTTACAGAATTATTATGTTCCTTTGCAAGTGTCATATTTTTTCTTACTTTTTAATATTTCCTATGTTCTTACATTTATATCTTTACATCTGTTGTAACCATCGCTACTTATTTTGAATTTACTTTCGTAGGGGAGAATATTTTCCTGAATATGTATTTATAGTGTTGGTTAGGTAGGGCAAACTGGCTTTGATTCTGGATGCATGCTCTAATGTAGTCTCTGTGTGATGTTTTTGACTGTAAACAGAATTAGTGGTATCTGTGATTTTTTTCAGTTGGTTAAGGTGAAGTTATTAAGGGAGGCTGTGGTGAAGCTGTGCTGGGGAATGGTGTGCCAGGTAGGCCAGTTTTTAGGCCCCGTTGGTGGCTGTGGTGGGCTATGTCTATCCTGAACCCCAGGATGGTTTTTGTTGGCAATAATGTTGGCAGTTACCAGCAAGCTGTTTTCCTGGGCTTCCAGGTGGCTTTCTCAAATTCCAATAGAGGCAGTGGTGAACTGGATAGGTGGGTGGATTTTCAGGCCCCTGGGCAACTGGTGTGGTGTGGGCAATGGCAGTAAGCAGTGGTGGGAAAATTCTGTAAGTCCAGAGCAGTGTGTGTTGTTATTAGTGATGGCTGTGATAGGCTGGGCAGGCTAATCTCCAGGCCCTCAAGTAGCACTTGCAGGTAGGTGCTAGATGAGGTGGTAGAATCAAGAAATTTAGGCCCAACTTCAGGCTCTTGCTATGCGTGCTCAGATGCCCAAGTTAGTGGACTGGGTTGGGCAATCCCCAGGATCCTGGGCAGTGTACTCTGTCTCAGAGGAGGGGCACAAAGCTGGGCTGAACATGCTTATTCTCCAGCTTCTAAATGGTGAGAGTGGGCCTCAGCCATAGTGAACAGGGGAAGGATGATCCTCAGGCCCCAGGCAGAGTGCTTGGATGAGTGGGAGTAGTGGCCACACTGAGGCTCTGCCACTGAAGTGAGTAGGGCTGGCCTTGGCGGCCACAAGCTAAGCTGGCATGTAGGGAATGCATGTCCCCCTTATGCTGCGATGCTGGTAGGGCTTGCCCCTAAGCCCTGGCTCCAGCAGACCTCACCCAGAACACAACTAAGTTCCAGCAGCAACTTTGTCCCACTTGTATCCCAGTTTCAGCCCTGTCAGTGCTTGCTTCTTAGCATTAACAGATGCAGACCGTGTTTGTCTCACTCCTTAACCCTGGCTCCCAGCTTGCACACCAGTCTCAGAAGCAACAGCCTAATTTTCCCAGACACCTCAGACCCAATACTGTTGGGCCCCAGAAGAGTGTGCAGTCTGCCAAAGGCTAGGTTTGAAAATGACAACTTGTTGTAGCTGCTTAGATCGCAGAAAGGGTGTGGGAAGCAGTGCAAGCACACTCGCTAGAGCAGTTTCATCTCACAGTATCCTGGAAACTTCCTGTGTTAGTTTCAGGGACTAGGAGGTTCAAGGGGCTCTCCCCTTGGCAAGATTGCACAGTTCTACTGTGGGGATGTGGGCCACTGGAAGTCTCTCACTTATCACTCTCTGTGTTGAAAACTTATTTCCAAATCCCACCCAATCCCAGCCAAACAGACTGCAACTTTCCTTCTCTGTCCTTGCTTTTGGTGTTTCCTGTCACTTTTCTGTTGAAATTCAATGTTCTTTCTTTGATAATGTATTTTGTGTCCTTGTTTCTACATTATTTTTATTCTTTTAAGTAGAGAGGAGGC
Organism: Homo sapiens; assembly: GCF_000001405.40. Classification (NCBI taxonomy): domain Eukaryota; kingdom Metazoa; phylum Chordata; class Mammalia; order Primates; family Hominidae; genus Homo; species Homo sapiens. The sequence goes on from NC_000008.11 coordinate 77,331,061, forward strand.
CATGTAATGCTTCTTGTCAGCCATCTTTAATCTCATCCCCACTATTTTTAAATTTAACAACTTTAAATGTTGGTCAGTTGATACTTGGATAAGATAAATGAAGATTTAGCTTACTTCACCAACTCCCCTTCCTTGTCCCATTCTACCCCAAACTTTCACTAAAGCCTTTTAAAACCTAACATTGGCCAATTAAAGAATGACAATACCTCCTATAAAATAGTTGAGTAATTTTTAACTTTTGAGAACCCATGAGTTTCACATTTACATGAGAAAGCTAATAAGGATAGAAGAAACATTTTAATTTCTGATTTTTTTCCTACCTGATATTCTTAAAAAGTAGTTATTTTGGATAACAATTAAAGCACATGAGAAAAATGTTCACTTCAAAACTAAGACTGTTCTTGCTCTAATGAATTAAGATTTTTTACAACACTTAATTTTCTTAAGTTTTCATATTAAAGGTCACAGTAATCAAGTTTTTTGATTTCTCAATTGGAAAACATTTTAACTTAAACACTGTATATCTAAACAGTTTTTCTTATTTCTTCACCTATAGTTATTACTCTTTCATTCTCAACTTTGTTGTTTGAAGACAGTAATATCTACCTTTATCTCCTTCATTGCTAAAGAAACTAAATTCAACCATATTTATGTTTACTTTTACATCTTAGATATTTGTATTGATTAAAATTAACTTTATGCTTTTTTTATTATACTTTTAAGTTTTAGGGTACATGTGCTCAATGTGCAGGTTTGTTACATATGTATACATGTGCCATGTTGGTGTGCTGCACCCATCAACTCATCATTTAACGTTAGGTATATCCCCTAATGCTATCCCTCCCCCCTCCCCCCACCACACAACAAGCCCCGGTGTGTGATGTTCCCCTTCCTGTGTCCATGTGTTCTCATTGTTCAATTCCTACCTATAAGTGAGAACAAGTGGTGTTTGGTTTTTTGTCTGTGCGATAGTTTGCTGAGAATGACGCAGCCATAAAAAATGATGAGCTCATGTCCTTTGTAGGGACATGGATGAAGCTGGAAACCTTTATTTTTTTTTCTATGAATTCATTCAAAAAGCTGAAAATCTACAAATGTGTTTGTATTATTATGACTATTTTATATTTCAAAGCCAAGTACTCATATTTACTTATTTTATTGTACATTTTTTCTGGGTTTCCAGTTGTCTTCTATTTTTGCATTCCTTAATTTTCTCTAGAATAGTGGAGTCTTTTCTTACCATACTTTTTATTATATAGGAAATATGGATTACAAATTCGAGTTAAATAACACTGGAGACACAAGAACAGTTAGAAAGCTGCTGCATTGTATAAGCTGAAATATAAAAGGAGCTTAAATGACAACAATGGCAGTAAAATCAGCTCAAATTCATCATTATTATGGGTAAAACAGCTGGAAGCACACATGCTCCATACAGTGTGTCAGTATCATCATTTTGCACAGAAAGTGTTGCACAGTATCATTACATTTTTTATTGTGCAAATTCTAAGATTAGTGACCATAAATACTGTAGGTCATAGAAATTTCACAACTAACAAATGTAAACACACACACACACTAATTCAATAGCTATTCGTTTAGTGTTATGTCACAATTGTATCATACTTTTAAGAGCTACACAAAGATTTTTATGGGCTTTTTTTTAAGTTATACGGATAAAAATTTCCTTAGTTATAGTAAAGTTAGTGCTTTTTATAACATGTATCCTTAATAGACAATAATTAATTGGAGTATGTATGTGTTGAGGGGTAGTTGTTAGTATTTTTAAAGGATGACCTTGACATGGTTTGTGAGGCCTCCAAAGAAATTACTGAAAAAACTGACATGAAAAGCAATGGTAAAAAGCAGAGAGAACTGCTTGAATTAGTCCAAATCATAGACATTGCTCAGCAGCATTAGATGATAGTTCACTTTTAATGAGGGAAGACACAAGGCAATTAAATCTTGACATACAATTATGAAAGAAAATATCAGGTTACAATCTTGCTATGAAATATAAAAAGAAGAAAAGACATTTTCTGAAAACTTGCCTGATGCTCTGTCATCTGAAACTATTCTTTATGAGTGCAGGGTGAAGGTCAAGGAGGTATCTCAACTCCATCAATCCTTTGGACAGTTACAAATGACCTTTCGCTTTCCATAAGACATTCAATATTCTGAACTGGAGGGATACATTTTTCTGTGTTTAGAAAATGGCAAAATTGAAACCTTTCCTATCGCAGGAGGTTCACTTCTGTTGACTCTTTTGGACAGCCTGTTCATTCCCAAAGCTTACAGAGGCTGTGATCTTATTTGCATTAGCTACCTGAGCTAGAAAAAAAATGTCAAATTTATGTTATTTATCAGAAATTGTTCTACTTGCTGAATAACTTTCACTCAAGCCTTTTAAAACCTAACATTGGTCAATTAGAGAATGATAATACCTCCTCTAAAATACTTGAGTGATTTTTAACTTCTGAGAAATAATCCAAAAGTTTCACATTTACGTGAGAAAAATAATAAGTAGGATAGAAGCAAGATTTTAATTTCTGATTTTTTCCTACCTGATATTCTTAAAAAGTATCTTTTTAAGTTATCTTGGATAACAATTAGAACACATGAGAAAAATGTTCACTTCAGAACTAAGACTCCTTGCTCTAATGAATTAAGATTTTTACAACACTTACTTTTTTTAAAATTTTCATATAAAAGGTCACAGTAATCAAGTTGTCATCAACTTATGATATATATAGTGGAACAGCTACTGGCTAAAATTACATTTATAGTTACTTTAAGATAACACAAGATTTATACCATATTTGTGAATAAGTGCATTGTGACAGGGAGTTATAAAATTATAAGTGTTAAAATGCATCTGACACCATTCAAAGAGTAAGGCATTGTGTTATGTATTTATTTATGTAATTATTTGTTTAACATAAAAATAATGAGTCTCTGCTATGTCTAAGGGACAGCTCTAGCACGAGTAATACAGCAAAGGAGCAAGACAGACAATACTCTTGCCCTTGTGGAGTTTCCACTGTGGAAAGATGTATAAAGATAAAAACAAATAAATAAATTATATAATCCCAATATTGTTAAATCCACTGGAGAAATAAGACAGACTAATGGGTTACATTAGGTTAAGTTAGAGCAGAGAAGTGTATTTTACACAGTGTGGTCAGGGAATCTTTGACTAAAGTATGTACTTTTGCCTGAAGGTATTGGAATTGAGAAACAAATATATGGCACTTAACCAGTAACTGATTAAAGCTATGGTCACTGATTGCATTCTTCCCTAAGTCATTTCTCCAGTTGAACCATTCAGAGTGATTTTTACCTATACTCATTATTTATTCTTCTTAAAGAGAAAGGTAGTTGTTGATCATTGGCTAATCATATAGAAAAATTACAGAATGTACTAATTTGCTTAAATTTCTTATATTGCCTGCAATATAACTATAAATAAATCAGTATTTTAAAAAACGTTTCATGTTTAATTTTGGAAGAAGTTAATATTACAGATGAACTTTTTCATTTTCTAAAGCTTGTCTTTGTTTTATGTAAATTAAAGAATTTTTAGGGAATTTATTATAAAATTATCCAAAGTTCCATCATATATTATACAAAAGAGGATACATTGCATTTTAATGGTCTTCTGTTTAATATTACATGGTAACTATGTTCACCACTCCTGAATTTCTATGTAATATTACAGGTTTACTTACAGGAGGCAGAGAATAGTTTTTGTTGGCCATACACAGATATAGACAGCTAAAGACAACCTAAAGAGAATTGACAAAGCAGAAAACAAAAAGAATAAATGTATTGATGATAATGTTATTAAAACACTTAATAGAGCTTTGAAACTTAATTCAGATATAATAAGTTTATGATAAGTCATGATTAATTCTACTCAGAGTGTGGCTGTGTTCATGTTAGTTGATCTCAAGGTTTTGCAGAAGTATAAATGCAGTACTGTTATTTGCCTTACCTAAGAGCAAACACTTAAACTTTCAATGGAAAATTAAATCTAGTTAAGTAAAATAATACACTTTAGGACTAGAACTTAATTGCAGGGAGATTTTCTATTTTTAACAGGAAAAAGTAGTTTACTCTTTGTAGGATGGAATTCATTTAATTTTTACAAATAATGGCTTTGATTTTTGCGTGTTGTAAGATGAGATGTAAAATATCCTATTGTCAAATCAGATGCATGAGAATCAGAGACCTTAGTGTCATGCTTTTCTATTAAATTCAAAGATAGAAGTCATGAGGCACAAGCAAAGCAGAAAGAGGTCTGAGATTGCCAGACTCTTACCTGCTTCTATCTAGCTGTATCAGATTCATTCTGACTCAGCTGAACTAGGGAGATTTGTAATGATGCCTGTGGCCACATTACTTACATGGAAGGAGACATTTTGGTTATGAAACGTCTCCATTTTACACTCAGTTACATAGCTAATACAACATTTTTCCAGGAATCCACGTGGATTCATGCTACGTGAATTGGCAGATTCCAGATTTGCTTACCACCAGCAATACCTAGCATGTATATCCTGGCATATCCACTGATAGGGATTTTTCTGTTAGCAAATAACAAATCTTTTTTACCATGAGGTCTATTATTAGCCTTTTTAGAAGATTTGACTGTGTCAAATTTTCTCCATCCCTGAGGCATTATCCTTATGCCCTCTCCAGCTAGGCAAAAAAATAAAAAATAAAATGAAAAATAAATGTTTAACCGTTTATTTCCCATAAGCAAATATGCTATGCTCATTTGAAATTAATCGTTTCAGGTTCACATACCTTGGTAGAGGAGCCGCCCTAACCTGAGCTAGTGAGGAGCATGTCCACCAGGAGACATCTGTGAGAGGGTAGCAGAAACTTTGTTCTACTCCTCCTCTTGTCCTAAGCAGAAAATCCTAGCTCCATCTCCAAATAAGGATCATTTCTAATGGATCATTGCAACTAAATCATTAAAATAATTCCTAGAAACTTTAGTTTCATTACTTCCCCCATATATTCAGCTTAAAATCAATGAAAAGTAAAAGGGAAAATATAATTTCCTTCAGCTACATTTACGTGTAGTTGACTAAGAACCCAAGAAAGAAAGTGCATGTGTTGGTTAAGGATTCACATCTGCAGTCACACCACCTGGATCAAAACCTGGCTTCACTCTTTTCACCTATGTGATGTTGGAAAACTTAACCAACCTCTATTCACTTTCATTTTTTTCTACTATAAGTTGGGGAATGTAATTATACTCTCTTCATAATATTGTTGTAAGAATTAAATAACATATGTAACATTCTTAGAAGCAACTCACTTCAAAAATAGCATCACCCTAATAATCATTTCAATCTTATGAGTTGTGATTGTGCTGTAACACTTATTCAGTTTTTCTATTTTAATACACTAGTACCAAAACACAATTATACTCAGTGAACTTATTCTGACATCATTTGTATCCTATTGTTCATATTTACATTTGATTTTTATGTTGCTATTGTGTTGTAGAGGTTACATTCATAGTAACGGGTTGATTCTAATGTCATTACATGAAATATAAGATGAATAGTGAAAATAAAAATACAGCCATAAAAACTTAGAATAATATTATGTGTTTAAATTCAAACAGACAAGTAGAACTAGAGATTGTGAACCTTCATGATGCTGGTAAAATGAACATAAGATTGTAATTATTTTCACAAGCAGCGGAAAGAGAAACAAACTGCAAATAGAAAACTTGAACTTAGTATCAAAATACTATATTCAATTAGCTAATTATTTAATTTTAGTGCTCAGTGTGTTTTGGTCAATTTTTGTTGTTTTGTTAGCGACACCTTTATTTTCAGAGTACTCTTTCTGGTAATCTGATTGAAACACATTGGAATAATGGCAAATAATGCTTTCCTATATTAAATAAATATTGGCCAGGAAGACAAAATAAAAGACCAAATTTATAGCAATATCATTCTAAGTTGCACTTTTTGTAGCAAAGACAGATGTACTATTTCTGAGAAGCTCATAAAGCTGGTGTAAAGTATATGACAAATATGCTCAAAGAACAAGGTGTATTGATATTGGCAAAATCTCTTTATTAAGTAACAGAGTTGCACAGTGCATAGTACAAGTGGCATATATGGCAGAAGAAAATTGACTACTGAATCGATGGGTTGGTAGATAACTATCATTGCAGTCCAATGACTCCACTAATGTGCAGAGTATGAGCCTCTCTTAGCAATTTGCAAAAATATATGGAAAAAGTATGGGAGAATGAAATTTTGTTCTGTTATAACTGAAACATCATGATGCAAGAGGGGTTTTATTGTTTTTTATTTTGGTAAAGGCATACTTAATTATTAATAATTATATTTTACTGCCAGACATAGTGGTTCCCTCCTGTAACCCCACCTACTTGAAGGTTGAGACAAGAGAATCACTTGAGCCTAGGAGTTCAAAGCTTCAATGAGCTAAGATTGCAATTGTGACACTGCACTCCAGTATTAGTGACAGAGCGAGATGCCATCTCTAAATAAATAAAAAATAGAAATATTAATACTATTTCTTTTCTGGAATCATAATGTTGACTAAGAAAGTTACTCAGAATCAGTTCTAATGGAGCAGCAACCACTAACAAAGTGTCTGCTTCTAAGTAAAGTCCCCAAATTGCCCTCCTAATAGAACATTTGGAAACACCAATAGAGCTTTTTAGTTTTTTAGTGTTAAAATAAATAATAAACATAACACATAAAAATGGACTAAGTTCCAGTCACAAATAATATATTTTTTCAGCTTCTATTGAGTTCAAGATTTTTATTTTTCATTCTGAAGTATGTGTCTGGTGAAAAATTCTCAAGCTAGATAGGAAAATGGATAAAATATGAACATTGCTTTATGACATTGATATTGCCAAGAAATTCCATTTCTATGATATTACATCCAAGAGATGTAACTCAGTAAGAAATGCATTAGCTTCAAATGCCTGAATCTATTATTTGAGAGTCAATACATTATATTTTAAATGTTGACAGTTATGTGTCAGCATTTATTAAGGAGATAAGCAAATGGAGTGACCAATGACAATTCTTCCAAGGGACCTGGTGGGAGGTGACTGGATCATGTTTTCCCTCATGCTGTTCTCAGGATATTGACACAAGACCTGAAGGTTTAAAAGTGTTTGGCAGTTTCCACCTTAGCGCTCTTTCTCTCCTGCTGCCATGGAAGACGTGCCTTGCTTCCTCTTTGTCTTCTGCCCTGATTATAAGTATTTTGAGACCTTTACAGTCATGCAGAACTGTGAGTCAATTAAACTTTTTTTATTTATAAATTATCCAGTCTCGTGTAGTATCTTTATAAGTGGTGTGAAAATGGACTAATATCTGATCTAAATATAAGTTATTTTTATTAGAATTACTCTTCTGAGTTGGGGCTTAGTTTTCTTTTTCTTTATGGTTTTTTTTTTAATAAGTAAAAGTTATAGATTTTAATATAGTTAGATATATCTAATTTTTCCTTTATTGTTTGTGCTTTTGGCATGTTTTAAAACAATAAACATTTTCCTATGCTTGTGCATTCATACTTCTTACCTTAAAAGTTTTATAGTTTTACTTTCTACATCTTTAGTTCATGCCAAATTTGTGTTTTACATATGATATGAAAGTGAGATGGAAATTCAATTTTTTATTTTTTGACATATATACAACCAATCATGCTACACTCTTCATTAAGAAACCCATAATTTCCTATGCTATTTGCCATTCCATTCTTTACATATATCATATTTACTTATGTATGTAGGTTTGGTGCTAGGCTCTCTGAGATTCTTGATTTGTCTATCCTTGCTTCAAAAATTCACTGTTGTAATTTTCATGATTTATAATGTATTGACACACTTTTCTTCTTTCTTTGAATGTACCATGGCTAACTTTTATAGATTTAGAATCCATATGCTTATATAAAATCTACTTATACAGATTTTAGCATCTACATTCCACACTCCTCCAAAAATATAGGTAAAATTATGAGTATGTGACATGGTTTGGATTTGTGTCTCCACCCAAATCTCATGCTGAATTGTAATCTGCAGTGTTGGAGGAGAGGCCTGGGCAGAAGTGACTGGATCATGAGGACATATTCCCCCATTGTCCTAATGATAATGAATGAGTTCTCACAGCTCTGGTTCTTTAAAAGTTTGTAGCACCCCCACCCCAAACTCTCTTTCTCCTCCTCCAGGCATGTAAGATGTACCTCCTTACCCTTTACCTCCAGCCATGACTGTAAGACTCCTGAGTCCTCCCCAGCCATGCTTCCTGTACAGCCTGTGGAAATGTGAGCCAATTAAATCTCTTTACTTCATAAATTACCAAGTCTCTGGTAGTTCTTCATAGCAATGCAAGAACAGGCTAATACAGAAAATTGGTACCAAGGAGTGGAGCATTGCTATAAAAATACCACAAAATGTGGAAGCAATTTTGGAACTGGGTAACAGGCAGAGGTTGGAACAGTTTGCAGGGCTCAAAAGAAGACAGGAAGATGAGGGAATATTTGGAACTTCTTAGAGACTTGTTGAATGGTTGTGACCATTCGACTAAACATTTAACTAAATGCTGATAGTGATGGACGTTGAAGTACAGGCTGAGGTGGTCTCAGATGGAAATGAGGAACTTACTGGAACTGGAACAAAGGTCAACTTTGTTGTGAGTTAGCAAAGAGGTTGGAGGTATTGTGCCTCTGTCCTATAGATCTGAGGAACTTTGAATTTGAGAGAGATAATTTAGGGTATCTAATGGAAGAAATTTCCAAGCAGCAAAGCCTTCAAGATATGACCTGGCTGCTTCTAACAGCATATGTTCATATGAATGAGAAGAGATGATCTGAAACTGAAACTTACATTTAAAAGGGAAGCAGAGCATTAAAGACAGAAAAATTTGCAGCCTGACCATGTGGTAGAAAAGAAAAACCCATTTTCTGGGGAGGAATTCAAACTGGCTATAGAAATCTGCATAAGTAAAGAGGAGCCGATGTTAATAGCCAAGACAATTGGAAAAATGCCTTGAAGGTGTTTTAGAGACATTTACATCAGCCCCTCCCATCACAAGCCCAGAGGCATAGGAGGAAAGAATGGTTTCATGGAGTGGGCCCCAGGACCCACTGCCCTATGAAATCTCAGAATACTGCTCACTGTGTACCAGGTGCTCTAGCTGCAGCTGTAGCTAAAAGGGCCCCAGATACGTCTCAGGCTGCTGCTCCAGAGGGTGCGAAACATAAGCCTTGGCAATTTCATGTGGTGTTAAGCCTGTGGGTGCACAGATGGCAAGAGTTGAGGCTTGGGAGCCTCTGACTAGATTTCAGAGGATATATGGAAACACCTGAGTGTCCAGGTGGAAGTCTGCTGCAGGGGCAGAGCCCTCATGGAGAACCTCTACTAGGGCAGTTTGGAGGGGAAATATGTGGTTGGAGACCCCACACAGAGTCCCCACTGGGGCACCGCCTCTTAGAGTTGTGAGAAGAGGACCACTATCCTCTAGACCCCAGAAATTTCCTCCAGACCCCATTGACAACTTGCACTGTGCACTTGGATAAGCCACAGGCACTTTTTACAGAGTCTGGATATTAGAACTTTGTCGGATGCATAGTTTGTAAATATTTTCTCCTGTTCTGTAAGTTGTCTGTTTACTCTGTTGGTAGTTTCTCTTGCTGTGCAGAAGGTCTTTAGTTTTATTAGGTCCCATTTGCCAATTTTTTATTATTTCTGCAATTGCTTTTGGCATCTGTATCATGAAAGCTTTGCAGAGGCCTGTGTTCAGAATGGTATTTCCTAGGTTATCTTCCAGGGATTTTATAGTTTTAGGTTTTATTTACTTCTTCCCTGTCTAAGCAATCAAATACATTGCTATGGATGTGTAATCTACCCCTCTTTTTTTCTCCTTTGTGCCTTTGTACAAATTTTTCTGAATTTCTTTAAAAGTTGTTATATTACAAAGCTTTTGGGATGGAACCTCTTAAATAAGTTAACTGTATTCAGAGTGCAGAGTTCAAAGTGTATTACCTTTTCAAGACAACCCAATCATCAATGACGTAGTCCCTGAATGGCCTTAGTTTATATTCATGGCAATGTTTACTATCCATGAAGGTCTGACCTAAAATTTGATTACTTTATTTCTTATGAAGCATATAGAGTCAACTGATAAACGTAAAGCTAGACTCAATAATAATAAGGTATAAGTCAGTTTTTTTCACTCATTTGCAGAGATTAAGTGTATACACAGAATATTCGCAATACATATAAGACAATGAATTTATATAGTTTCTGATATGTAATTATAAACACAGAATTATTTATTTTAGAACACCCTTTCTGAATAATGTATTTAATTTTTCCATCATTTAAAAATATGTTTTATGAATAAATATATAGTTAATTATTGGGGAAATAAAATTATTGTGGAAAATTACCCATAGCAAGATTTAATATTGCAAAAATTTTACACCCCTTTATTTTGTACATGTTTACCTTTGCATGTCCACTGTCTGAGAGAGTGTCTACTGCCTAGTAGGCAATAAATAGATATACATAGAATAAATAAATAAATAACATATAGTTCAAAGTTTGATAAACATATGTGAAGATTATATGGCCTTTTGGGGCTTTTCTTCTTCACATCCTTGAAAACAGTTTTTAGTGATTTTCAGTGAACTATTTTTGATTATAAGTCTTCACTGATTTAGTTCCCGATGACTATAGTTCTTATATTCTGATTATTGCATACAAATAAATTTGGCCTATTAATTACAGAGGGAACTTATTTTAGAAATTTGCAATTCATTCTTTATGGAACTATGGATGTCATTTTCCCTGTTTTAGGTCTATTCTTGAATGAATATAAATGTTAGACCTGGTTAGACTAAAATACACCATTGGTGAGTAAGTGAGAATTTTTTTCTACATACTATTGAGTATCTTGTATATGTCAAACAATGTGCTATTTTGCCTATATTATTTCTTTTAATCCATTTTATAGCAAGAAGAAGAAAGTATCACTTTGTGGCTATGAAAACTGAAAATTAAAATTGCTAAATAAGTAACATAAGGTTTATGAGTAGCAAACTTAGATTTTGGAGCCAAAAAATCTTTCTCCAGAACCTGTGTCTGTAACTACGACATTACATTTCCTCACACAGGGCAGATACTTTATATTACTTCCCAAAGTAATCACACACCTTAAATAGTGTGTGGCACAAAGTAGGTGCTGAAATAATTTGTTATAACAGGATGGTTAATCTAAGGTCAAGTCTGTTGTCATAACAAATACCAGAAAGATAAGATTTTTAGAATAACATAATTTAGAATTTCTGCAACAAAATGACTTCAGATATTCTTTTTAGCTCCTCATAGATATATAAGATATATATAATTGACAGAAAAAGGTATTAGATATTATGAAGCATTTTGAGTCCAATGCCCCCGGATGGGTAACATAAGATATTCAAGTTAAATATTTTTAAATGTGTTTAAAAATATATAAAATAATGTATTGTACACTTAAAATTTGTTAAGTGTAGTTATAAATCTCCTGTTAAATGTTACCACAATAAAATTAAATTATATATAATTATATATATACAATCATATATACATATAATATATGTCTGGTATATATCGTATGTGTGTATGTACATATTTTCCATGGAAAAAGTAATACAGAGATTTTTACCTGAAAATGGTTTTCCTATTTATTTTAATATTAAACTATTTACCATTGCATACTTTACATAATCTAGCCAAAATTTGCAAGATTCAAATTCTACATACCCTCTACAAAATTTGTACCAATTGTTGACATCATTTAGAGACAACTAAAACAGGTCTTAGAGGCAATCAAAACCTTTTTGTGATAATTTCTATTTACTTTAACAAATACGATATCCACATTTATTCCATAAAAATATTAAATTATGCATTTTTTCTGTGAAAAAATGATTTCTGCTTCTCATGGAAGTCTTTGTTTATTTCCTATTAATTACCAGTAGTAATTTTTATTTATAAATAAATTTATTTATAAAATTATTCATGAATTATTATGTACAAATTATTTTATAAATAAAATAAATATTTTATAAATATTTTATAAATTTATATTTATAGTTTTATAAATATATAAAATACATAAAATATATCTTTTTATATATGTATGTGTATATATTTTCATATATGTATACATAAAAATACATATATACATGTGTATATATAAAAATACATATACACATATGTGTACATATATAAATATATATATTCATATATATATTTATATATATATTCATATATATATATATTTTTATATATATTTATATATATTTATATATATAAATATATATAATATATATTATATATATAAATATATATAATATACATTATATATATAAATATATATAATATATATTATATAAATTTAAATTTATAAATATAAAATTATTTATAAAACAATAAATATTTTGTAAATAAAATAAAATAAAAATTATTTTATTTATAAATCATGATTTATAAATTTATTTATAAATAAGTAAATTTGTTTATCAATACATTTATTTATAAATAAATAAAGTTATAATTTTTTTATATTTGCCATTGGAGGTATAAATAAAATTATAAATTTATAAATAAATTTATTTACAAACAAATAAATAAATTTATTTATAAATAAATAAATTTATTGACAAACAAATAAATAAATTTATTGACAAATAAATAAATAAATGTATTGACAAATAAATAAATAAATGTATTGACAAATAAATAAATTTATTTACAAATAAATAAATTTATTTATAAATAAATAATTTCATTTACAAATAAATAAATTTTTTACAAATAAATAAATAAATTTTTTTACAAATAAGTAAATAAATTTATTTACAAATAAATAAATAAATTTACAAATAAATAAATAATTTACAAATAAATAAATTTATTTACAAATAAATTTTTTTTACAAATAAATAAATAAATTTTTTTACAAACAAATAAGTTATATTTATTACCTAAAAGTTCAGTAGTAATTTTTTCCCACAAATATGTAATAGCCTTACACTCTCTGTTTCACCCACTTTCCAAATCTACTTTAAATTCAGTTATTACAAATGAATACATTTCATTCTTGATATTTTTATGTCCTATTTAAAATCTGCCTATATGTAAACTAGCACAAACAACCCTCTCTTCTTCCCATAATCCCTCCCATGAGCTGAAATACCAATATTCTGCAGTCCTGATAAACTATATGATTTATAAACTTTATTTTTAATGTACAAACATTTATATATTTATAATATGAATATATTGTTTATGACATCTGCAAATTTGCTCCAGATCTGTAAACATTTCAAACATTTTTCCCTCATGACATTATATATCTTTTCAGATTGCACAGTTCCTCTTTAATTTGAGGGTATAAAGACATGCAGCTTTTAAATAAAGGGGAAGGGATTAGACTTTGCCATTGAAGGTATAAATCAAAACCAGTCTTGTTTCCCCAAAACCTATAGAAATAAAAATAATAATAAAATAAAGTAAAAATAAAAATAAATGAATAATTTTTAAAAACCAGTACATACAGACAATTTTACTTACAATTAATAATAACTACAGTATGCTTAATCTTAGAAGATATTCATAAAAATACTTATTTAAATTAAATTTAAAGCAAGTACCTACTACTTCTCCATTACCTGCTCTATAACATAATTATTTTTAATGCCTAATATCAGATATCAAAAGCTTTAAACTAATCCAAGTTAAACCATTAAAGGAATTACCAAAAAGATAAATTTTGTGATTAAGAATATAGTAATTACTGCCACCTAATTGATCAGTTGCTGGAAACTTCAAGTGAAATAAATTGGTCTAAATTAAATAGTAATAGTTGCAATACATTTTTTTCTTTTATGTGAAAAAATATAAGTGGATTTCTATTTTTATTGACCTCTTTTTACATCCTTATCATAATATTTTAATTTTGTGTTTCAAAAGTTACTAAAAATTTAAGTTGTATTTTTCTTAGGTCAATAGTTCCGTTAAAAAATTGGACCAAGAAAGCAAATTTAGATGTCTCTATGTAACTATTTTCATTTGAAACAAAAGTATTCAAGTTGTGTTAAAAGCCATATGAACAAATAAAAAGGAGTGAAGTGCTGATACCTGCTATAACATGCATGGACCTGATAAACATAATGCTGATTGGGAGGCCAGGGAGGCAGATCACGAGGTCAGGAGTTCAAGAACAGCCTGGCCAATACAGTGAAACCCCATCTCTACTAAAAATACAAAAATTAGTTGGGCGTGGTGGCGGGTGCCTGTAATCCCAGCTACTCGGGAGGCTGAGGCAGGTGCATCGCTTGAACCCGGGAGGAGGAGGTTGCAGTGAGCAGAGATCATACCACTGCACTCCAGCCTAAGCAACAGAGTTAGACTCCATCTCAAAAAAAAAAATATGCTGAGTGAAAGAAGCTAGCTGTGAAAGAACACATATTGTATGGTTTCATTTATATGAAATGTCTAGACAAGGCAAATCTACAGAGATAAAATGGATATGTGATTGCCTCATGCTGACAGTAGAGATGGGAATGACTCTAAATGGGCCCAAAGTTTCTTTTTGGGGTTATAAAAATGTTCTAAGATTAGACTGTAGTAATAGTTTACAACTCTCTGAATATAATAAAATTCATACAATTGTACATTTGAAACAGATCAATTTCATGGCACGTAAATTATATCTCAATAAAAATTATCCCAAACCCTCCCTCTACCAAAAAAAAAAAAAAGAAAGAAAAACACCACATATGAGCAAAGGCATTAGAGTTCCAGTAACTGTGGAAGTAACTCTTGATGTGGAAGAAGAATGTCAAAAAGACTAGTACTTGAGTATCATTTTCTCTAATAATCATCTTTCTCCTTGATTCATGCTTGATCATATTCTCAGCTGAAACTGGTGACATTGAAATGGTTCAAAGTTCAAGTAAAAACCTTGAACCTATTGAGTAAAGAGATTGAATCTCAATGATTATAAGTTGAAAACTTAATATTCAATACAAAACATTAACTCCCTGATGATCTTAGAGAATACAAAACTATTTTTAAAAGATCATAATTTATTCTCTTCTTATTGGTTAAAAAAGCTTCCAAAACTTGCATTGCCTTCTCCAGCAATATTAGAGTTGTGTTTTATAAATCTGCTCTCTGTAGAAAGCTTAGGATATAAAGGTAAATAGATGTGTCGATACTGTGTGATACCTTGCAAGGACTGAATTTTACATTTGGTTTGTGAAAATTCAGATCATGGTTTGCCCATGGTGGTAATTTAGTATAAACTTAGTGAATTAATGAATAGATGACAGAATGGACTAGTGACTGATGCAGTATATAGAGTTGTGAGGGTAGCTGAAATAATGTTTTTGAAGAACCTTAAATTTCTCCAACCAGGTTTCCCACAATATGGAGTACTGGATTTGATTGTACAGTAATTCAACTCTATAGTGAGAAAATTGCTTACTAAAATGGAGTGAGTTATCTCTTCCCAAAATATGAAGGTTCTAGCGCACTAATGTACTGGAAGTGATTATTTACCAAATGTAATTCCTATCTTTTGAAGTTAATCCAATTCACATGGTTAAAATGTGTAGGTCTAGTGACTATTTACATTGGCTAATACCATCTTTTCTTGTAAAATTTATATTTAAAATATTCATGTTAATGCATTTGTGTCGCTGCTGTTTTATAACCACTGGATATATGCACAGTAAAAAATGAAAAATGCTAATAAGTAGGTAGGTTTTACTCTTGATACTATTAAAATGAAATTTTACACCAGAACTTAAAAGTTAACAATTGTTACACTAGCAGAAAAACAGACATAAAAAAATTAAAATGTTAAAAAAGATCTTCCATAGAAACTCTCTGGTTATTGGTTGTGCTATAAAATTTGCTACTTGGGGGTGTTAATTGTGCTAATGGAGAGAGCAATTTTAAGCTGTAATCAGGTTTAAGACTCCATAAGACTCTTCATTTTTCTTTCCATTTGATGACAATTTTCTATAATTAATATCAGTCCTTTTTTACATCAACCAACTGCCTTGATATTACAAATAGAGTATTGTGCTGTTGCTTTAGGTAAGGATTAAATTAAAAACAGATGAAATTTTCACAGCCTTCTCTCAGAAAATGTTCATGTTTATAAAACAATATAAGTAAATAGTTACTGAGGATGTGAAATACATAAGAAAAATCTCATGTTAAAAATCTTTAGTGATTTTTCTAAAGTTACATTAATTTAAATTCATCAGGGCTCATGCATTTGAATGGGCATGCAAAGAATTTTAAAAATGTATGGCAATATGTAAGAAGCAGATACATGTTCATGAATAGATGAACATAGATATATTTTATTATTAGAAATAAAGTTACAATTGGACATTCAAAAATAACTGAATTCTTAAAATTTTAATGGAATTATTAGTCATGACTTGTAAAACTATCTTCAGTTTGTATAAGTGGAATGAATTACACAACCAAATCTTTGAAAGTTTTAGGTCTTTTGCTTTAGTTGTTACAGGAAAAAGAAAAAAAAATAGAAATCTAGAAACTTACACATCAAAATATTGCCTGTGGTTATTTTCTATTAGAAGATAAGGAAAAATATGTACGTCTCCTCACATTGATTTCTTCTCCTTTTTTCCATTAATGGTTTCTATTTTATTTCTGTATGATACACATTTTCTTATGTATTTAAAAGAAATAAATATTTTCAAAAAACTGTGATTATTTTGTGAGAACTTTGTTTTGACAACATTGAGGCATAAAATAGTAGAAAAATGAGTTTTAAATTAGATAACTCTTTTTACCTTTCACATCACGTTAAATTGTTAATGATTCTGAAAGTCCCAAATGGATCTAAACAGTTGGTTTTGACAAGGTAAGTCTAGCCATTATGAATAAATGAAAATAATACTCTTAAAGGACTCAGTAGGACTAAAATAAAACAAAATAGTAAAAATAAAAGGATAATGTGATAAATATATATAAAAATTATTTAATTTTAACAGGCAGAATATGAGTATCCTGTTTCTGGATTTTACTTCCGTAAAACGGAAATAGTAATGCTGATTATTGATTCAGTCAGTATTATACACGTTACTAAAAAATTATAAGCTAGAGTAACAGCCTTGCAACTCAGAAGACAAATACTCCTGGAACTACAGAATGGAGAAATAAATACATTATGGAGTAACAGTGTTCCTGAAAAATTCAATTTTCTTGTTGCGTATGAATACCAAATAGGGATGTTTCTTATAAAAAAAAAGATCACCTTTAAAAAAGAGGAGTCCATTTAAAAACAAATTCTTTCTCCTCCATACAGAAGGTAACTTTGTTACATTCACACTTAAAATTTGATAATCCCTGAAATATATCTCATTATTATTTCATTATGTAAGAATGATAAACCTGGGGACAAATGCATGATTGGGTTTTTTTTTTTTTTTTTTTTTTTTTTTTTTTTTTTTTTTTTTTAGTAGAAGCCCCCAAATAAATGTTACATTGCAAGGAAACTGATCTTTAGAAAATAGTGTTCATATGGGCACAAGTAAATCTTTTATCTACTGAAGTTGTACAAACCTTTTGGAAGTGAAAATAATGATTAATTAGCAAATAAAGAAATGTTTTTAAGTTTGTTTTGTGTTCTCAGCTAGTCTTGAGCAAAACTTGTGGAGACTACATTTTAAAATTTTGTTTTACCAACATTATGAAATACCTGCCAAGTTCTTAAAGTAATTGTAAGTTTTAGATTTTTTGACTTCCTCAGGGGTTACAAGAAGAAAAAATATTCTGAACCTTTTAGGCTTATAAAAACTTGAAAGTTATGCAGCACTTATATTTAGAACAGACTTAGTTGAATAGTTTCAGGTTACTGCCTGAGCTTGGTAGAATAACAAAATATTGCTACTGCAGAAATAAGTTACTCTGTCATTGGGGAACACTAGGAGAATCTACTTACATTTGAAGAAATATCAAATAAATGAAACTCAAAGTTGAACCAAAACCTGAACAAAAAATAAACTGCTTCATGAAAAAAATAGATAAATAGGTAAGAAAAAATAATTTGGCTTTCATGTTTTTCTTTATTTTTTATCTTAAATACATACATAAACCAAAATATTTGTATGACGTTCACAGAATGTATTTTTTTCAATTTGAATAAAGATTATTTTAGTCAGAGTAATACACAGTATAAAATGAGCTAAATATTGGAGTTAAATTTCAACACCATTTTTTTTCTTTGGGTGGAATTTGGTAAGCTTTTAAAGATACAAAGTGTACTCATTATTATATGCAAAGCTTTGTTGATTAAATGTTAAATCTGCTGTACAAAGCGAGGATGAATAAAATGCTTGTGCATTTGGTTATACATTACCCTTTACAAATATTTTCAAAGCCCAGTATTTAAATTTTAAGGCTTTACCTTTAAAGTTCTGAAGTAGTACCAAAGATCATAAAGGTCACATGTCCAACCTATTAATTTCTTGGGGCTTTTTTTTAATCAAAATGCATTTCCAGTGACCATGAACTTTATTACCAAGTAAATGCTATTTCAGTTTTGTGTATGGATACACTCAGGTTTTATAAAAGAAATATTTACATTTCTATGTTTATATAATTATGCAAGAAAATTCCTTTTCTGAGTTAAGGGCAAACATTTCAAAGGAAATTGGAGTTGATAAAGGTATTTGAGTTATCATTCGCATGCATGCATGCATATTTTGTCTTACATTATTACTTCTCTTTCAAGACAACATTTTGACATTTGCATTCTGTTGTCTAACCATATTTACAGTAATCATTTAGATAGTATTTCTATGTTTAGCTGGTTTCAATATTCATGATCAGTCCTTTCACGTAATGGATTTTTTTTGATTTGTTGATTATTTTATTACTATCTCAATTGACCAAATGTATTAGTTTGCTAGGGATGTTGTAACGAAGTACTGAAACTGGGTGTCTTAAACAATAGCTACATTGTCCTGCAGTTCTGAAGGCTAAAAGTCTAAGATCAAGGTGTTGGCATGGTTGGTTTCTTCTGAGTGCTGTGAAAGATCTGTCTCATGCCTCTCTCCTAGTTTCTCATTTGTGGGAAATCTCTCTGGCATTCCTTCTCTTCCTCTGTATCACTTTATCTTCACACGCCATTCTGCCTGTATGTGTGTGTCCAAATTTCTCCTTTTTATAAGAACACCAGTCACTTTGAATAACGGGCCCAATTTAGTCTAGTATGACTTCATCTTAAATAATTACATCTGCAATGACCTCATTTACGAATAAGCTCACATTCTGTAGTACCGGGGCTTAGAACTTCAATATGTTAATTTTGAGGGTGGAACAATTCAACACATAATAGTGAGGATATCTTTAATTTACAAAGCAATTATTGGTGGGGTAATGTCAGCAACATGTTTACTAGTCCCTTTCCCAGCTAGAATGTGTTTTAATTCCCTTCATAAACAAATAGCAATTTTGTTCATTATAAAATATTTTTTGTTTGTTTGTTTCTTTTTTTTTTTGAAATGGAGTCTCACTGTGTCACTGAGGCCAGAGTGCAGTGGTACAATCTCAGCTCCCTGCAACCTCTGCCTCCTGGGTTGAAGCGATTCTCTTGCCTCAGCCTCTGGAGGAGCTGGGATCACAGGCACCCACCACCACTCCCCACTAATCTTTGTATTTTTTGGTAAAGACAGGGTTTCACCATGTTGGCCAAGCTGGTCTCGAATTCCTGGTCTCAAGTGATCCTCCCGCCTCAGCCTCCCAAAGTGCTGGGATTATATATTATATAATTATAATATTTTTGAATTACCCTTTTGATTAAAAAAAAAGTTGAAGCAGGTACTCTCCATAAGCATCTAGTTCCAAAGCCAGACTGATTGTATCTTCTTCGTGGCTGATATATTTTTTACCTGTCCATATATTTGAAAAACATTTTTATTATAGATATTATTTTTAAATAATTTTACCTGCCACATAGTCAATTTAATATAGAAAACCTGGTGATATTAGTTAAGACAATGATTTGCTATTGAAACAGATCTCCATAGTTCACAAGAGCTTACACGGTTCGGAAGTTCATTTCTCTCCTGTGTAAATGTTCCTTTGTTATCAAGGTCTTCTTCCATGAGATCGTCAAGTGCCCCGGCTCAACATACCTTGCTACTATTCACCCTCGATATTTAGCTTCCATCTCCTGGTACAAAAATATTTATTCCAGTTGCTGCCATCTTATCTCCATTCCAACTATAGGAAGAATAAATTCAAAGACCTGATTATTTGTAATTAGGACATTGACCAGAAATTGTACATATCACTTCCGCTCCTACCCCACAGAATGGAAGGTAGATATGTGACCACACTTAGCAACAGGCATTCTTGAGAAACATAGTCTTTCACTTGGGCTCAACAAAAAACTGTATGAACACAGAGGAAATATTAATAGATAGATATTAGTGACAACTAGTAGGCTCTGCTAGAGTCCACACTTTGCTTTTATCAAATATCCGTTTATCACCTTCTTCTCATGCATTTAATATTCTTGCCCCTCTCCAAAGGCAGCGACCTCAACATTCCATGCAGTCACTGTAACCTACTCAATGTCTCCGGAAAATGTGTAGTCTAATTTGTTAGATATGATTTTTGACTCATAATGGCCCAGTACTTTTCAAATAAATGGCATACTATCTGTCTTTTCTTGCTCTCATAATCCCCACCACACATATGTAATATGTGATAATAGAAGGACATAGCAAGAAAATAACTTCCCATTCTTATTATTAAAGAAAGGGAACACATAACAGTCTTTTTGTGTGTCAAGTGATTATTTATGTAAGAGACTTCATAGATTTGAGAGAGAAACTATGTGAAAGTGCAAATCCAGATACATGATAGTAGTTCAATATAGTTAAATTCAAATTTTTCCTTGAAATGCTAACATAAAACAAGTGGCATACTGAGCCAGTCTCAATTATGACCACATTTGTCAGTTTAGCCACACGTAGTTGGCAATGGTCATCTGATGAACTGAATCAGGATCCCAAATAAAGTGGCAAAATATGGATAATATACTTTATAAAAGTATATTTTATAAAAGTGAAGCGATAAACAAGTCATAATCACAAATATTTGTCAGATAGTTACTTGATAATATAAATAATAATTTATTTTAAATAAGTATAATAAATAGAAGCCGATTATAAATGGAGTAGAATTTATGTTGAATCCTGTGAATAATTTACCTCTAAAGGGTAAATCTAAAAGATATGTACTATTTTAGAATTAAACTTTTTATAAATTTTTACTTATAGATACTTTTTTCCTAAGGATGTAGGCCTTGACACCGATATTTTTGTTTATATTATTTTTTCTCCAACCATCCTTTTAATATTTATGGCAGCTTGCTTAGGCTCCATCTACTGAAAGGCACCGAGCAGTACAGAACCTAAGAACGCTGGCTCTCTAGCCACACCGCCTCGTTCACATATAGGCTCTACTACTTCCTGTCTTTGAAAACTTAGACATGTTATTTAGCCTTTCTATGGCTCATGATGGGGTGATCCTCCAAGTAAGAATAAGCAATTCATTCTAAACTATTTTCACCCCAGAATGTTGATACTGAACTATCAGAGTAATATGAATTGGGGGTAAGAGATGTTTGTATTTTGTGTGTGTATGAAAGGAGGGATAAACTTAAAAAAAAAAACAAAAAACTTCAAACAATAATCACAGGCCAGAGATGGAGTTTGGGGGACCCTGATTTGAGAAATCGAAGACAGTTTGGACTACATAAGTTCCTCAGACTAAAAAGAAGAAATTACTTGAAATTCACAAAATATCACCTATACTTTGAAAACCTATAGTTGTTTTCCTTTGGATTGTAGACACTTACATAAGAAGTGTCACTTCATGTACTTAAATATTGCTGTGGGTTGAATGCTTATGTGCCGTCTCAAATTCCTAATGCAATAGTATTAAAAAGCAGAGCTTTCAGGAGGTGAGTAGGCCATGATTGTTCCACTGTCTTGGATGGGATTAGCACCTTATAAATGAGCTGGAGGGAACTAGCTAGGCCTTTTTTTTCTTTTTTTTTTTTTTTTGCCCTTCCATGCCTTATGCCCTTGCATCTTCCACCATGTGAGGACACAGCATTTCTCTGTTCTGGAGGACACAGAGTTGAAGGCTCCATCTTGGAAGCAGAAACCAGGCCCTCATCAGGCAATGAATCTACTAGTATCTTGATCTTGAACTTACCAGCCTCCAGAACTGTGAGAAATAAATTTATGTTGTTTACAACATTCCCAGTTTCAGGCATTTTCTAAATAACACCACAAATGGACGAAGACAACTTTTAAACATATGCAGATATCTGTTCAAATTCTAATCTTTGAGTTTCAGGTGACATTTTGCTGTATAAAAATAATACCCAGGATTCAAACTTCTACCCAAGGTCACAACATATAGCATATGCATATGTGTTGCTTCACTAGATACAGCTAAGCAGTATTCTACATGTTTCAAGCAATTTAAATACCTATCATAAATATATACAAATTAATTTTCTCTATAATATTGGCAAAATATTATATAAAAGTAGTTCAAAATTATACTTTTCCTGTGAGTAGATAGTAGAATTTTGATATAGATTTAATCTGCATTCATCTAATGACTAATAAAGTTGAGTAAATATGGTAAGAATGATTCTGAGGTGCCCCTTTCCAACACACACACACACACACACACACACACACACACAACACCCCTGCCTTCTAAGGTACACACCCCATATAATCCTCTCTCCTTGAGTGTGGTGAGACTTATGAATATAATGGATCTTGCTCCTATGATTAGGTTATAGTAATATTGTAAAGCTGAAGGAATTACACACATGTAATTAAGATCCTTAATCAGTTGACTTTGAGTTAATCAAACGGAAGATTTCCCTAGGTGAACCAGACCTTATCAGATGAACCCTTTAAAGATGGCAGAGTGATCAGAGACTTGAATGAGCAGAGAATCTCTCTCTAGTCTGCTGGCCCTGAAAAAGTAAGCTGTTATAATTTATACAGCTGAAAGTAAATGAATTCTGCCCACAACCATGTGTGGTTGGAACAGGGCCTCAAGCTTCAGAGGACACCACAGCTCTAGCCGATACCTTCATTGCAGCTGGTGAGACACTGGGCAGAGGGCCCAGCTAAGCTGTTTCCAGATGCTTGACCCAGAAAAACTGTGAGAAGATAAACTTCTCAATTCATGGTGACTTGTCAGGTACCAACAGAAAACAAAGATATCAACTTTATGTGTGTGTGTGGGTGGAGGATGTGTGTCTGTATAAAACCTCCCTTTTTTTTGGAAATGCCTATTCTACCAATGTTGCTGTCGGTTTTTTAGAAGTATCATAGACAGGGTGTCTTACAAACAAGAATTTATTTCTCACAGTTCTGGAACCTGAAAATTTTAAGATCAAAGTGTCAGCAGATTTGTATCTGGTGAGTGCTCACTTTTTGGTCCATAAAGGGCCATATTCTCCCTGTATCCTGCTACAGTAGAAGGGTGACAGATTCTGGAGCCTTTTTTATAAGAGCACTAATCCCATTCATCATGGCTCTAGCCTCAAGTCCTAATGACGTCCCAAAGTCTTTACCTCCACATATCATCACATTGGAGGTTATGTTTTAACATACAAATTTTGGAAGAATACATTCAGTTTATAGCACTTTGATATTATATATGAATTATTTGCCAGATATGTGATTGCCATTATCTTCCCTTACTCTGTGGCTTGGTTTCTCACTCTGTTAGAAGTGTCTTGTGACGGAAATAAATCCGAACGTTAATGTAATCTAATTTATCAATATTTTCTTTGTGCCTGTTGCTTTTGAATCAATGTTTAACATCATCATAAATTAAATGCGTTTATTCTTCTATCATAACTACTATATGTTTTTTTTTCAACTTTCACTTCTATATCTACAGTCTATGTGGAATTTATTTTTATGTGTGGTATCAGGTAGGAATAAAGATTTATTATTTTCCCCAGTGGATAAAATGATCTAGTATCACTTATTGAAGAGACTCTCATGGGCCTACTGCTGAGAAATATAATTTTGTCAAAGATTGAATAAACTGATATATGATAGCCTATTTCTGAAAGAGCTATTTTGTTCCTTGCTCTGTATGTCTATCCTTGCAACAATACCACACTGTCATATCATAAGCCTTAATATTTGCTAGTAGACATTATACACATTTTTTCATCTTTAAGATTTCCTTTTATATATTCAGTCCTTTCTATTTCCATATAAACTTCACAATCATTTAATCAATTTTTATTTTTAAACATACACATGGATTATGATTAGCATTGTATTAAAATATCTCCTAAGAGATAAATGATATTTTTGCAGAATTGGGACTTCCAATTCAAAAAATTATATATTCCTGTATTATTTACAGATTTTTCAATTTCTCTCAGAGGTATTTAATAGTTTTTCCTTATAAACATTTAGCGTATATTTTTAATATTTTTTTCTTAAGCATTAGATCTTCATGTTACTGCAAATAATTTTCTAAATATTTTATTTTCTAGTTTTTATTCACAAAAGGGAAAATACATTTTAATACATTTTATACATTTACTTCATATAAAGCAAAATTGCTAAATTTATTATTAAATATAATAATCGGCAAGTTGATAGTCATAGACCTATAATCATGATATTGACAAATAATAAAAAATTATTATAATTTTTATTTGTTTGTTTTGTTCTTAATGCAAGGCTATGCCTACTAGTCCAGTGACAAGTAGAATTGGTGATAGCAGACATTCTCATCTTATTTTTAATCTCAGGGAAAAAGCTTTGAATATTTTCCTATTCATTATAATATTTCCTGCTTATTTTTACAGAGATGTTCTTTATCAGATTATGGAAGTTCACGCATTACTAATTTGATTAAAGTTTTATTTTTAAAATAATGAATAAATATTGAATTTTATAAAATCGTTTTTCTGCATCAACTTAGATTTTTATTAATTTATTATTGTGTAGAAATACATTTACTCATTTTCTTACTTAATTCAACCTTTTATTTCTGAAAAATATTTAAATTTCTATATTGCTCTTTTGAGTTAATACTTTGCTTATAGTTTTTTTTTCTAAGTTTGTAAGAAAAATTGAAATGTATACCATTATTTCTTATCAGCTCTTGGCATGAATGTTGTGTTACTGTCATGATTAAGTTGAGAAAATTTCCTTCCTTTCTTTGTTTTAGAGCAATTGGTAAATGTAGTATTATTTTATTCTTAAATATTGTGAAGAATTTTGAAGCTAGATAGAGATGAATTTTTATTTGGGGGGAACATTTTAAATAAGATCCAATTTATTTAGTAGATAAAGGACTATACAGATTTTCTATGTCTTCTTTTGTTCAGTCAATCATGATACTTTCTGAGAATTTTTTAAAACTTTATCGAAATTTTTAATTTTTGCTGTAAAGTTGTTCAAGTACCCTCTTACTATAGGTTTAGTGTTTGTGGGTCGAAATAGTGTTTTTTTAATTGTTGAAATTGGAAATTTCTGACACTGCTCTTCTTTTATTCATCAGTTTTAGTAGGTATGTAACAATTGGATTGTTCTTGCCAAAGAATAACCTTTACCTTTTGTAACTGTTTCTCTATTCTACATTGTTTATATTATCAACTTATATCTTTATCAATTTATATATATAATATATATCTAGATATAAGTATATCTATATATTTATATATACAAATATATATTCTAATTGCTATTTTCATTTGTATTCATGTTCTTAGATTTTTGTTTTAATGTGTTCATTATGTACATAATGACATTCTTTTTATAACTTATTTACATGGTTATTATACATTATAATTTATTTTCTAGCCTTCTTTTTAATATATGCATTTAAGTTCTTAAATTATACTCTAAGAATGGCTTTAGTATCCATCATCATACAATTTTGATTTCTCATATTTGAATGATGATTACTTTCAAAACATTCTGTAATTTCTGAATTACTGACAAATATGTTAAAATCTCATATTATACTATTTTATCATTTTTTCCCCTGTTTCTAGGTTGTGACCTTTCTGGATGGCTCTTTAAGGCTTAACAGCTCTGGCTAGAAGCAAACTCCTACTTTTCCAAGCACCATGAAACCTTGCCCTCCCAGCAGCCGTCTACTGCTCTTATTATTTAAGCAGTCTGATGAAGTAAAAAGCCTTAATTCCTCTTACACCTCTTTACCATCCCCCACTATAATTGCTTTAAATATTTCCTCTATATACATTTAGAACCAAATCATTCAGTGCAGTAATTTTGTTTAAACTGTCAAACACAATTTAGAAAACTCAAAAAGAGAAGTAAAGCCTATTGTATTTCCGTTTTTACTTACCATGTTATTTATTTTTCTTGATGTTCAAATGTTTCTTTTTAAAACTGTGTATCCTTTAAAGATAACTTCCTTTAACCATGCTTTATATTTGCTATGTGGTGACCAATGCTCTCAGTTTTTCTGTCATTTGAGAATAACTTGATTTCTTCATTTCTATAGGATATTATTTTCTCTGGATATAGGAATCAGGGATAAAATTTCCTTTCTTTAAGCTCTTGAAATCTACTGTGTCATTTCCTCTGGGCCTTCATAGATTTTGATGAGAAATCTCTTGTTTTTCAACTTATTTTTCCCTGTAGACCCTCTGGCTTTTTTTTTTTTTTGTAACTTTTATAATTTATTTCTGTCTTTACTTTCCGGAAGTTTAATTATGATGTGTCTTGTAATAAATTTCTTTGGGTTTAGAGTTTATCTGAATTGGAGTTTGCTCATCTTTTTTAACTGATAGGCTTATGTCTCTTCTCAACTTTAGAAATTTTTAGCCATTTTTAAAAATACCTTTTTTTAACCCTATCCTCTTTCTATTATTTTTCTATGACTCAGATAATAGATATGTTCTTTCTTTTGTTATTCTATTTCATGCAGCTGAGACCTCGTTTGTTTTTTCAGACTATTTTCTTCCTGTTATTCACATTGAGTAATTTCCAGTTGTTCTCTATTGCAGCTCACCAGTTCTTCCCTCTGTTCCCTCCATTCTGCTGTTGAGTACATCCACTCAGCTTGTCACTTCAATTACAACATTTTTCATTTCTAAAGCTTTCATATAGTTCTTTGCTTATATTTTCTATTTCTTTTCTGGGGCCATATATATATATACATACACATATGCATGTATATACATACATACGTGTATATGTATATACATATACATATGTGTATGTGTATACATACATGTATATGTATATACACATATGTGTATATGTATATACACATATGTGTATATGTATATACACATATGTGTATATGTATATACACATATGTGTATGTATACACACACATACACATACACACACGTGTGTATGTATATACATACACATACACACACGTGTGTATGTATATACATACACATACATACACACGTGTGTATGTATATACATATATGTGTATGTATATACATACATGTATATACATATACACACATATATGTGTGTGTTTGTGTGAAGTAAGTTCATAGGTGCTTTTTGTAGCAGTTTTATGCTGGATTGTAAAAAATCTTTTTCAGATACTTCTTATTTCTCTGTCATCTCAGAGTTGGCATCTATTGGTTATCTTTTTTTTCCTTTCATTTAGTCAGTCTGGTTTTTGGTACGATGACTGACTTTTTATTGAAATCTGGACATTTTTATTATTTTATGAGATTCTGGATTTTATTTAAACCTTCTGATTTTAGCTGGCTTTCTCCAACACTGCTCTGTCAGGAGAAGGGCATTTCTACCTTATTATTGCCAGATGAAGGCCAAAGTTCAGGTACTTCACTTGGTCACTGTTGACACCCGAGGAGAGGGCTTCATCTATGTCTCTTGGTTGCCAGTCATTTCCTTAAGCAATCTATTGAAGTCAGTCCATTGGTTTTTGGTTTTTCATTACTTTTGTTACCATATCAATACTCAGGCCTTATTTTGCTCCTTTCCAGTTAATGTATGTTTTATCTTCTTTTATTTGTTCTTAACATTTTCTAGTTAGTATTTTTTTACAGCACTTTGAGTATCCTGTTTTAATTTATAGAGATTATTAATTATATAGATTGATATCTTCAATTAGTGTTTTGCAAATTCTTAGCCATTATTTCTTCACATAAAGTTTCTATTCTTCTCTCTCTTTTCTTTTTAGAATTTGAATTACATGTTTATTTGAAATATTCACTGGGTCGCTTTTATTTTTGCCCATTTTAAATAATTTTGTTTCTATGTCTCCTATCAATAATTTGCTAATGAGTATTTTCCAGTGCACTATTTTCTATTTCAATAATCCTTTCTTCAACTGTGTCTAATGTGTTTTCACACATATCTATGGAGCTTACTATAGTGTTCTTTTCTGCTGACAAAAATTTGTAAAATATCTTGCCCACTGATAAAATTGATCCCATTCTCTACTGCTATGTTTTAATTTTTTTCTATTTAAATAAACATTAAAAATAGAGAAAAAACTTTTTTAAGTTTTTCATTATGACCCAGGCTTTTATACTGTTGAGAATATAAACTTTATGAACCTACACAGATTAGTCATTCAAATACAATATGCTCTGTCACTTAGTTAAATTAAGTGTCAAGATTTAGATATTCTCATAGGAGAATTTTTTGTAACTATTTTATTCTCTGTGATTTTGGATATTTTTATATTTTATCTTTGGTTTATAAACATATTTTATTTACAAATCTCAATGCTTTAAAGAACAAACTCGGCCTGGCATGGTTGCTCACACCTGTAATGCCAGCACTTCGGGAGACCAAGGTGGGCAGATCATGAAGTCAGTAGCTCAAGACCAGCCTGGCCAATATGGTGAAGCCCTGTCTCTACTAAAAATACAAAAATTGGCTGATCGTGGTGCTGGGCATCTGTAATCCTAGCTAATTGGGAGGCTGAGGCAGGAGAATCTCTTAAACCCAGGAGGCAGAGATTGTGGTGAGCAGAGGTCGTGCCATTGGACTCCACCCTGGGTGACAGAGCAAGACTCCATCTAAAACAAAGAAGCAAAAATAAACAAACAAAAAAAGAACAAACTCACATAATTAAGCTAATCTATTAACCTGGCATCTTAAGTTATATGTTGTTTTGTGCCACCTCTACAGTAGTTTCCTGAGCTCTTCTTTTCCAGGGAAGAATTAAGGATTCCCAAATTTGGATGCCTGTCTGGTACATCAAAATACTTCTATTTGAATGTTCATTTTCTGGAACTGTTTAATCATGCTTTTCCTAATAAACTATGAGCTCTTTAAAAATATAAGTGTTTGCTCTGTTCTTCATCTATCATAATGCCTAATACAGAGAAAGTACTCAATAAACTTATGGTTTATGAATAAATAAATAAAGAAATGTTAACCCAGTCCTTAGATTATTTTACACTCTAAGATTCTAATGACTGTGACCAATCACTCAATGCATATAAAGTGAGAGAGACAATTGCTCTCTCAAATATCCAATCAAGTTTCTATGGAAGGTTATGTGTTTCATTACCTAGTAGGTTAAAGTTAATCTAATAAGGTAGTACAATGCCATATGAAATGAATAACCAAATTGCCATGAGTGAGCCTTCTGAAGAAAGGAACATTCTATCATTTTTTCAGTAATTGCTTAGGATATATTGCAATATTGGGAAGACTCATTAGTCTTCATACAGTGACTTTGAGTGAGGAGAAATTAGTATTAGGGATCACTTCTGAGCAAAGTGATTTTAAAAAACAGACTTCCCAATTTGCTGATTCATTATTCCCATTTTTTCACTGTTCCAGAATGCCCAATTTCCCCACACACAACATCATCAAAGAAAATTTATTTAAATGCAAACACACTGAAAGACAAAACAAGCAAACTAGGTTTTTGCCATCTAATATCAGATCCCTTCCTAAAAAGTTTGGAAACAGAGGACAAAGAGGAGGTACAGTTTGTTCCCTACATCATCAGTAGTATTAGTAACTCCCACTTATGTATATGGCAGTTTTATTTTTGGGCTTAAGTCTTGCTATTATTGACTCTTAGAGGCCTTCTGCGGCTCCCAATATGGCTGCTGTCAAGAGTAATTGCCTCTTCTAGCAATGGCTCTCTTATCACCAGCATCTATTAAAGGATCCCCATTGCCACTTAATTTTTTTCAGTGGTTTTTCTGTGTGTGTGTCGATCCACTAGAAAGCTCAGGGCCATATGCAAACAACCATGTAAGCAGAGTACTTATAGGAACTCTCCTGCTAAAAACTCAAGTGGCAGTTTTATGCTACTGGTCACCTGTTTTAAGAAACATAGAATAGTGTTATCCCTCTGCCACTATACTAAAGGATAGAAAATATTGCTGGCTTACAGTAACTATAAATGCTTCTTGGTGGAAACATCTGAGGCAGTGTGATCACAGTTTTACAATGGTGTGACCTTGTCCCTTACTTCCCACACTCTACGTAAAAAAGAGAAATGATATTTTACCTGTTAAAATTATCATGAAAATAAAAAGAAGCAACATATTAAAGTGCTGAAAAAAATTAAGACACAGCAATCCCTCATAAAATGTTACCTATATATAAAACAAAAGAGATCAATGTAATTCATAAGTAAATAAGTTTATCAACTTTTTTTAAATAAAGGAGAATATACAAATTTTATTATATATTTATTATTATTATTTATTTATACATCTATTTTTTTATTTTTAATAGAAAACAACAAAAAAAGTCAGTCCATATAATGACTAAAAAAATTAAAGTATATGCATGAAATGGAATACCATACAGTAGTGAAACTGTACATGCAACAATGTGAAAAATCTCACAATCATATTCAACTAAAGAAGCCAGACCCAAAATGAATATATTCTGTGACTTAATGGAGGTACTGGTTAGGATTGCAGTTACCTTTGAGTACAGGTAATAGTGTCTTGGAGGGGTCACCAGGCAGCTTCTGGGATTTTGGGGATTTTTATCTTTCTTGATCTTGGGACTGGTTTATATGACGTGTTCAATTGTTAAAAATTCATTGAATTTTGCATTTATGAATTTTTCACTTTTTTGGTCTGTTAAAACAGATATTTAATAAAATTCAATATGAAATTTTTAAAAATATAAGCTCTATGATCTCTCATTTTTTAATGAAAAATATATTTGCTCATCACTAAAATAAAAAAGCAGTCTCTATGCCTTTATGATTGTATTTTTATAAATGGTCTAGTGGATTGTTTTGAAATAATATAGACAACA
Source organism: Homo sapiens (assembly GCF_000001405.40). Lineage (NCBI taxonomy): Eukaryota > Metazoa > Chordata > Mammalia > Primates > Hominidae > Homo > Homo sapiens. Next base: position 77,362,465 of record NC_000008.11, read on the forward strand.
TCCCTCCATTTGTTAGCATTTGGAAACTTTCCACTGTCATTCATTCAATGCCATTTATTCAATTCAGAAGTTTTATTTATTTATTTATTTATTTATGTATTTTTGAGATGGAGTCTCGCTTTGTCACCCAGGCTGAAGTGCAGTGGCATGATCTCTGCTCTCTGCAAGCTCCACCTCCCAGGTTCACACCATTCTCCTCCCTCAGCATCCTGAGTAGCCAGGACTACAGGCGCCCTCCACCACGCCCGGCTAGTTTTTTGTATTTTTCATAGAAACGGGGTTTCACCATGTTAGCCAGGATGGTCTCAATCTCCTGACCTCATGATCTGCCTGCCTCAGCCTCCCAAAGTGCTGGGATTACAGGCGTGAGCCACCATGCCCAGCCCAGAAGTTTTATTTTTAACTTCAAATGTTATATTGGACATAGCTGTATAAATTTTAAAATCTGCTGTGTACTGTTTTATATTGTTAATATCTGACATGGAAAATATATTAAGTTTTAGTGTCATCTGATAGTGTAACTGGAAAGTACTACTTTGTGTATTAAATTTGGAGGTCTTATAATGTGGACAAGCAATATTCAATATCTCAAAAATAATAACAAGTGAATGTGTCCCATTTAGCTTTGGAATCACTTTCTTCATGGTTAGTGTGCAAGTACATACAGTAATGTGTTGCTTAATGATAGGGACATGTTCTGAGAAATGTGTCTTTAGGCAATTTTGTCATTGTGTGAACATCATAGAATATACTTATGCAAATCTAGATGGCATAGCCTTCTACATACCTAAGTTACATCGTATAGCCTATGGCTCTTTAGGGTACAAATCTATATGGCAAATTACTGTACTGAGTATTGTAAACAGTTGTAATACAATGGTAAGTATATATGCAGGCAAACATATCTAAACATAGAAAAAAAAATACAGCAAAAATATGGTATTATAATCTTATCTTTGTTTATGTGGCCTATTGTTAACCAAAACACAATTAGATGGAGCATGACTCTGTGCGTGTGTGTGTGTGTGCATGTGTGTGTGTGTGTAAAACAAATATATAACTCTGTTACTGGATAATGAAACCTCTGGAAAAACATTTTCTTCTGCTAACTCAGTGAGGGTAATTTGCTATCATATGGCTGATTTACTATTGCTCTGATCTAACAAACTTTTCCACAATTTTATTCTATTAATTTATTTTAATACATCTCCAATTTGAACAGCACATTTGACAAAAATAGAGTAAAATTGATTTAAAACAAAATGTATCATTTTGTAGTCTAATTCCCATTCCAATTCTATATAGTGATACTAAAGTCATCTAAATTAAATTTAAAATTATACCCTCCTGAAAATGTCCCTGTCTGACAGCGTTGAAGACAGTAGTGTTTCTCCCAGCACCAAGTTTGAGATCTAAGAACGGACATACTGCCTCCTCAAGTGGGTCCCTGACCCCCGAGTAGCCTAACTGGGAGGCACCCCCCAGTAGGGGCAGACTGACACCTCACACGGCCAGGTACCCCTCTGAGACAAAACTTCCAGAGGAACAATCAAGCAGCAACATTTGCTGTTCAGCAATATTCGCTGTTATGCAGCCTCTGCTGCTGATACCCAGACAAACAGGGTCTGGAGTGGACCTCCAGTAAACTCCAACAGACCTGCAGCTGAGGGTCCTGACTGTTAGAAGGAAAACTAACAAACAGAAAGGACATCCACACCAAAACCCCATCTTTACTCTCACCATCAGAGAGACCAAAGGTAGTTTCCTGAGAATGATGGTTTTCAGCTTCATCCATGTCCCTACAAACTATCGCAAGGACAAAAAACCAAACACCACATGTTCTCACTCATAGGTAGGAATTGAGCAATGAGAACACATGGACATAGGAAGGGGAACACCACACGCCAGGGCCTGTTGTGGGGTGGGGGGAGGGGGGAGGGATAGCATTAGGAGATATACCTAATGTTAAATGATGAGTTAATGGGTGCAGCACACCAACATGGAACATGTATACATATGTAACAAACCTGCATGTTGTGCACATGTACTATAAAACTTAAAGTAAAATAAAAAAAAAAAAATAATAAATAAATAAATAAATGACCAAATGTAGATAAAACCACAAAGATGGGGAAAAAACAGAGCAGAAAAGCTGAAAATTCTAAAAATGAGAATGCATTTCCCACTCCAAAGGAACACAGCTCCTTACCAGCAACGGAACAAAGCTGGACGGAGAATGACTTTGACGATTTGAGAGAAGAAGGCTTCAGACGACCAACCTTCTCTGAGCTAAAGGAGGAAGTTTGAACCCAACGCAAAGAAGCTAAAAACCTTGAAAAAAGATTAGACAAATGGCTAACTAGAATAACCAGTGTAGAGAAGTCCTTAAAGGACCTGATGGAGCTGAAAACCATGGCACGAGAACTACGTGATGAATGCACAAGCTTCAGTAACCGATCCGATCAACTGGAAGAAAGGGTGTCAGTGATTGAAGATTAAATGAATGAAATGAAGCCAGAAGAGTTTAGAGATAAAACAGTAAAAAGAAATGAACAAAGCCTCCAAGAAATATGGGACTATGTGAAAAGAGCAAATCTATGACTGATTGGTGTACCTGAAAGTGATGGGGAGAATGGAACCAAGTTGGAAAACACTCTGCAGGATATTATCCAGGAGAACTTCCCCAGTCTAGCAAGGCAGGCAAACATTCAAATTCAGGAAATACAGAGAACGCCACAAAGATACTCCTCAAGAAGAGCAACTCCAAGACACATAATTGTCAGATTCACCAAAGTTGAAATGAAGGAAAAAATGTTAAGGGCAGCCAGGCAGAAAGGTCGGGTTACCCACAAAGGGAAGCCCATCAGACTAACAGCTGATCTCTCGGCAGAAACTCTACAAGCCAGAAGAGAGTGGGGGCCAATATTCAACATTCTTAAAGAAAAGAATTTTCAACCCAGAATCTCATATCCAGCCAAACTAAGCTTCATAAGTGAAGGAGAAATAAAATACTTTACAGACAAACAAAAGCTGAGAGATTTTGTCACCACCAGCTTGCCCTACAAGAGCTCCTGAAGGAAGCACTAAACATGGAAAAGAACAACCAGTACCAGCCACTGCAAAAACATGATAAATTGTAAAGACCATCGATGCTAGCAAGAAACTGCATCAACTATCGAGCAAAATAACCAGCTAACATCATAACGACAGGATCAAATACACACATACCAATATTAATCTTAAATGTAAATGTGCTAAATGCTCCAATTAAAAGACACAGACCAGCAAATTGGATAAAGAGTCAAGATGCATCAGTGTGCTATATTTGGAAGACCCATCTCACGTGCAGAGACACACACAGGCTCAAAATAAAGGGATGGAGGAAGATCTACCAACCAAATGGAAAACAAAAAAAAGCAGGGGTTGCAATCCCAGTCTCTGATAAAACAGACTTTAAACCAACAAAGATGAAAAGAGACAAAGAAGGCTATTACATAATGGTAAAGGGATCAATTCAACAAGAAGAGCTAACTATCCTAAATATATATGCACCCAATACAGGAGCACCCAGATTCATAAAGCAAGTCCTTAGAGATCTACAAAGAGATTGAGACTCCCACAAAATAATAATGGGAGACTTTAACACCCCACTGTCAACATTGAACAGATCAATGAGACAGAAAGTTAACAAGGATATCCAGGAATTGAACTCAGCTCTGCACCAAGCAGACCTAATAGACATCTACAGAACTCTCCACCCCAAATCAACAGAATATACATTCTTCTCAGCACCACATTGCACTTATTCCAAAATTGACCACATAGTTGGAAGTAAAGCACTCCTCAGCAAATGTAAAAGAACGAACTCAGGATTAAGAAACTCACTCAAAACCGCTTAACTACATGGAAACTGAATAACCTGCTCCTGAATGACTACTGGGTACATAACAAAATGAAGGCAGAAATAAAGATGTTCTTTGAAACCAGTGGGAACAAAGACACAACATACCAGAATCTCTGGGACACATTTAAAGCAGTGTGTAGAAGGAAATTTATAGCACTAAATGCCCACAAGAGAAAACAGGAGAGATCTAAAATTGACACCCTAACATCGCAATTAAAAGAACTAGAGAAGCAAGAGCAAACACATTCAAAAGCTAGCAGAAGGCAAGAAATAACTAAGATCAGAGCAGAACTGAAGGAGATAGAGACACAAAAAACCTTCAAAATATCAATGAATCCCAGAGCTGATTTTTTGAAAAGATCAACAAAATTGAGAGACTTGTAGCAAGACTAATAAAGAAGAAAAGAGAGAAGAATCAAATAGATGCAATAAAAAAAGATAAAGGGGATATCACCACCAATCCCACAGAAATACGAACTACCATCAGAGAATACTATAAACACCTCTACGCAAAGAAACTAGAAAATCAAAAAGAAATGGATAAATTCCTGGACACATACACCTTCCCAAGACTAAACCAGGAAGAACTTGAATCCATGAATAGACTAATAACAGGCTCCGAAATTGAGGCAATAACTAATAGCTTACCAATCAAAAAAAGTCCAGGGCCAGACAGATTCACAGCCGAATTCCACCAGAGGTAAAAGGAGGAGCTGGTAGCATTCCTTCTGAAATTATTCCAATCAATAGAAAAAGAGAGAATCCTCCCTAACTCATTTTATGAGGCCCGCATCATCCTGATACGAACGCCTGGCAGAGACACAACAAAAAAAGAGAATTTTAGACCAATATCCCTGATGAACATCGAAGCAAAAATCCTCAATAAAATACTTGCAAACCGAATCCAGCAGCATATCAAAAAGCTTATCCACCATGATCAAGTGGGCTTCATCCCTGGGATGCAAGGCTGGTTCAACGTATGCAAATCAATAAATGTAATCCAGCATATAAACAGAACCAAAGACAAAAACCACATGATTATCTCAATAGATGCAGAAAAGTCCTTCAACAAAATTCAACAGCCCTTCGTGCTAAAAACTCTCAATAAATTAGGTATTGATGGGGCATATCTCAAAATAATAAGAGCTATTTATGACAAACCCACAGCCAATATCATACTGAATGAGCAAAAACTGGAAGCATTCCCTTTGAAAACTGGCACAAGACAGGGATGCCCTCTCTCACCACTCCTATTCAACATAGTGTTGGTAGTTCTGGCCAGGGCAATCAGGCAGGAGAAAGAAATAAAGGGTATTCAATTAGGAAAAGAGGGAGTCAAATTCTCCCTGTTTGCAGATGACATGATTGTATACTTAGAAAACCCCATCATCTCAGCCCAAAATCTCCTTAAACTGATAAGCAACTTCAGCAAAGTCTCAGGATACAAAATCAATGAGCAAAAATCACAGCATTCTTATATAGCAATAACAGACAAACAGAAAGCCAAATCATGAGTGAACTCCCATTCACAATTGCTTCAAAGAGAATAAAATACCTAGGAATCCATCTTACAAGGGACGTGAAGGAACTCTTCAAGGAGAATTACAAACCACTGCTCAACGAAATAAAAGAGGACACAAACAAATGGAAGAACATTCCATGCTCATGGGTAGGAAGAATCAATATCGTGAAAATGGCCATACTATCCAAGGTAATTTATAGATTCAATGCCATCCCCATCAAGCTACCAATGACTTTCTTCACAGAATTGGAAAAAACTACTTTAAAGTTCATATGGAGCCAAAAAAGAGCCTGCATTGCCAAAACAATCGTAAGCCAAAAGAACAAAGCTGGAGGCATCAAGTTACCTGACTTCAAACTATACTACAAGGCTACAGTAACCAAAACAGCATGATATGGGTACCAAAACAGAGATATAGACCAATGGAACAGAACAGAGCCCTCAGAAATAATACCACTTATCTACAACCACCTGATCTTTTACAAACCTGACAAAAAAAAGAAACGTGGAAAGGATTCCCTATTTAATAAATGGTGCTGGGAAAACTGGCTAGCCATATGTAGAAAGCTGAAACTGGATCCCTTCCTTACACCTTATACAAAAATTAATTCAAGATGGATTAAAGACTTAAATGTTAGACATAAAACCATAAAAACCATAGAAGAAAACCTAGGCAATACCATTCAATACATAGGCATGGGCAAAGACTTCATGTCTAAAACACCAAAAGCAATGGCAACAAAAGCCAAAACTGAGAAATGGGATCTAATTAAACTAAAGAGCTTCTGCACAGCAAAAGAAACTACCATCAGAGTGAACAGGCAACCTACAGAATGAGAAAAAATTTTTGCAATTTACTTACCTGACAAAGGGCTAATATCCAGAACCTACAAAGAACTCAAACAAATTTACAAGAAAAAACAAACGACCCCATCAAAAAGTGGGCGAAGGACATGAACAGACACTTCTCAAAAGAAGACATTTATGCAGCCAACAGATACATGAAAAAATGCTCGTCATCACTGGCCAACAGAGAAATGCAAATCAAAACCACAATGAGATACCATCTCACACCAGTTAGAATGGTGAACATTAAAATGTCAGGAAACAACAGGTGTTGGAGAGGATGTGGAGAAATAGGAACATTTTTACACCGTTGTTGGGACTGTAAACTAGTTCAACCATTGTGGAAGTCAGTGTGGCGATTCCTCAAGGATCTAGAACTAGAAATACCATTTGACCCAGCCATCCCATTACTGGGTATATACCCAAAGGATTATAAAACATGCTGCTATAAACACACATGCACACATATGTTTATTGTGGCACTATTCACAATAGCAAAGACTTGGAACCAAGCCACATGTCCAACAATGATAGACTGGATTAAGAAAATGTGGCACATATACACCATGGAATACTCTGCAACCATAAAAAAGGATGAGTTTGTGTCCTTTGTAGGGACATGGATGAAGCTGGAAACCATCATTCTGAGCAAACTGTCGCAAGGATGAAAAACCAAACACCGCATGTTCTCACTCATAGGTGGGAATTGAACAATGAGAACACTTGGACACAGGAAGGGGAACATCACACACTGGGGCCTGTTGTGGGGTGGGGGAGGGGGGAGGGATAGCATTAGGAGTTATACCTATTGTAAATGACAAGTTAATGGGTGCAGCACACCAACATGGCACATGTATACATATGTAACAAACCTGCACATTGTGCACATGTACCCTAGAACTTAAAGTATGTAAAAAATAATTATACCCTCCTTCAGATACCACATTTTAGCAGTAGCTTCACCCACTGGTCTTATGGGAATTTCCTCTGGAGGAAGATTCAGAATTGAACATACCATTTATTTTTTTTAAATTGGAAAAATAGTTTTTGTGTCTCAACTGTATGCTAGATGCTATAGAAAAGTAAGTCACTTCTCTTTCTAACATAAAGAGCTTACAATATGAATATGAAAATAAGATGATGTGATTATAAGTCAAATAGCAAATTGAATAGCAAATTCAAATGGCAAATTCAAATAGCAAATTCAAATAGATATAGAATCTAATCAGTTCCATTGTGTTTTAATTGTACTTTTTTCTATATTGGAAGAGCAAAATATTAAAATATTAATATCATTTTATATTACCAGTATGTCTGTGAAGAGGTTATGGGATTAAAATACAGACTTGGCATTTCAAAAGACACTGAGGTAATTTTTTATAATCAGTAATCATTTCATAATCAAGTGAGCTATTGAAGTGATAAATGAATTAATACAAGAAGGGCTATATATTTGAAGATACAAAGGTGGGCATTAAATCAACTATACTGTATATTTGAAGATACAAAATAATAGAGTTGAAATTATATAGCAGATATTATCAGCATTTACTCATATCTCATGCTCTTCTACTTCTTGCCACCTACAAGGAATATCCTTTCTTACTCTATGACTTAGTTTGCGGTCAAAGGATGTGAGCAGAAGGGACTGATGTCACTTCCAGGCTGATGCATTTAATTTCTGATGCAGTGTCCTCTATACTACCCTCTCCTGCTTGGTAAACTGTAGAGCACTTGTGTTGAGAAGTAGGTGCCACAAGATTGAAGCAGCCTTGGATCTTGAGCTGCCACATGGAGAACAGCTGTTTTGAAGAGAAGCTCAGACCACAGGGGACTTTGAATGAGAAATAAATATAAAGACTTTGTTGTAATAAGTCACTGAAATATGGTGTTCTTTTTTTAACTTTAATATAAACTTGTCTTTTCTGACTAAAGCAAAATAAGCAGTGGCTAGGAAACAAGTAGAAGAGGAAGTCAACAGAGTCTGTCTAAAGGTTTAGATAATTAAGTACACTACTAAATGTAATAGTATGTTAAAAACACTAGACAACTTATGAATGTTCCAAATTATCAAGAAAAAACTACTCACAAGCATACATAAAAGAACACAAACATTGTTTATCTAGTGAAAGAACAAAAAGAAGCAAAGGGAAAATATAAATGAGATAATTAAACAAGCATGTGTGTCATTAGAATAAATGTAAAAGGGCTTCAGAATTTAAAGTGAAATACTCTCTATTAAAACCAAATAAAAATCTAATAACAAACTATATGCAAAAACACACTTATTACAAATTAGCTCAGAAAAGCCAAATATTTAAAAAAGGGGGTATAGTCATTCCAGACATATGCAAAGAAACAAAAGACGAAAGGTGAGACTGCCCATTTTATAATCAGAAAAATTTAAATTCAGGACAAAAATAATTAAAATAATAATACAAATTGCACTGAAGATCAAAGAAAATTACATGTACCAAATAATGTAGTATAGTCACTGATAAGATTTGGTTCCGTGTCCCCACCCAAATCTCATGTTGAATTATAATCCCCATGAGTTGAAGGAACAGTCTGGTGAGAGGTGATTGAATCATGGGATTAGATGTTCCCTTTGCTGTTTTCATGATAGAGTTGTCACGAAATCTGGTTGTTTGAAATTGTATAGCATTTCTCCCTTTTCTCTCTCTCTCCTGCCACCATGTAAAGATGTGCTTGCTTCCCCTTCACTCTTCTGCCATGATTGTAAGTTTCTTGAGCCCTCCTCAGCCATACTTTCTGTACAGCCTGAAGAACTGTGAGTCAATTAAACCTCTTTTCTTCATAAATTACAGTCTCAGGTAGTTCTTTATAGCAGTATGAGAACAGACTAATACAGAAAATTGGTACCTACCAGGAGTGGGATATTGCTATGAAGATACCTGAAAATGTGGACGCCACTTTGGAATTGGGTAACAGGCAGAGGTTGGAACAGTTTAGGGGCTCAGAAGAAGACAGGAAAATGTTGGAAAAGTTTGAAACTTCATAGACACTTGTTGAATGGTTGCGACCAAAATGCTGATAGTGATATAAACAATGAAATCCAGGCTAAGGTGGTCTCAGATAAAGATGAGAAACTTATGGAGAACTGGAATAAAGGTCACTCTTGCTATGCTTTAGCAAAGAGACTGGTGGCAACATGCCTGCCCTAGAGATCTGTGGAACTTTGAACTTGAGAGAGATGATTTAGGGTATCTGTCAGAAGAAATTTCTAAGCAACAAAACGATCAAGAGGTAATCTCGCTGTTTGTAAAAATGTATGCTCATATGCGTGAACACATATATTATTTGAAACTGGAACTTATATTTACAATAAAATCAGAGTCTAAAAGTTTGGAAAATATGCAGCCTGGTCATGTGGTAGAAAAGAAAAACCCATTTTCTGGGGAGAAATTCAAGCTGGCTACAGAAATTTGCTTAAGTAAAGAAGAGCCTAATGTTCCAAGACAATGAGGAGGAGTCATCAAAGGCACTTCAGAGCCCTTTGTGGCAGCCCCTCCCATCATACACCTGTAGGCCTAGTAGTGAAGAATGGTCTCTTGGGCCAGGCCCAGGACCCCACTGCTCTGTGAAGCCACAGGACATGATGCCCAGCAACCCAGCCACTCCAACTCCAGCTATGGCTAATAGGGGCCAAAGGAGAGTTTTGGCCTTTGCTTCAGAGGGTGCAAGCCCCAAACCTTGGCAGCTTCAACATGGTGTTAAACCTGTGAGTATGCAGACAGCAAGAGTTGAGGCTTGGAAGCCTCCACCTAGATTTCGGAAAATATATGGAAACCCCCGGATGTCCAGGCAGAATTCTGCCGCAGGGGCAGAGTCCTCATGGAGAACCTCCACTAGGGCAGTGTGGAGGGGAAATGTAGGGTTGGAGCCTCCACATAGAGTTCCCACTGGGGCACTGCCTAATGGAGCTGTGAGAAGAAGGCCACCATCCTCCAGACCTTAGAATGGTAGATTCATTGACAGCTTGCATCATGCACCTGGAAAGCCCACAGTCACTCAATGCCATTCCACGAAAGCAGCTGCAGTGGCTGTACCTTGCAGCATCATAGGGGAAGAGCTAACCAAGTCCTTCAGAGCCCATTCATTGCAACAGTGTGGCCTGGATGTGAGACATGAAGTCAAAGGAGATTATTTTGAAGCTTTAAGACTTAATGTCTGCCCTGTTGGGTTTCAGACTAGCACGGGGCATATAGACTGTTTCTTTTGGCAAATTTCTCCCTTTTGGAATGGGAGCATTTACCCTATACCTATATCTTCATTGTATTTTGGAAGTAACTAAACTGTTTTTGATTTTACAGGCTCATAGGCAGAAGAAGCTTGCCTTGTCTCAGATGAGACTTTGGACTTGGACTTTTCAGTTAATGCTGGAATGAGTTAAGACTTTGGGGAACTGTTGGGAAGACATGATTGCATCTTGAAATGTGAGAAGGACATGAGATTTAGGAGTGGCCAGGGATGAATGATATTGTTTGGATTTGTGTCCCTACCCAGATCTCATGTCAAATTGTAATCCCCATGTGTTGAATACCATCTCTAGCAACTATATCCTTATGAAATATATTTCTTAAATAAGAAGACTTAAAAGTTGAATTTATTCCTTGACCTATGGGCTATGGAATGGATGTTGTGTTAGCAGGCATGAAAACTACAGTAATTTCTTGCACATTTCAATCAAAGCTTTTAGTTGACCGGGTCCATTGTGAATGAGCAGTCACATGTTAATGAAAGCATTTTTTTTTTTTTTCTGAGCAGTAGGTCTCAACTGTGGGTTTAAAATATTCTGTAAGCCATGCTGTAAACAGATGTGCTGTCATCCAGGCTTTTTTTTTTCCATTTCTAGAGTGCAGGCAGAGTAGATTGAGCATAATTCTTAAGGTCCTAGGATATGCAGATTGGTAAGTGAGCATTGGCTTCAACTTGAAATCACCAGCTACATTAGCTCCTACTAAGAGAGTTAGCTTATTCTTCGAATCTTTGAAACTAGGCATTGACTTCTCCTTCCTAGAGAGGGAATCCATATATGTCTTCTTTTTCCAATATAAGTCTGTTCCATCTACATTAAAAATCCATTGCTTAGTGTAGTGTTGGGAGCAGGCCACCCCATATACTGGCCCCCAAACTGGCCATAAACAAAATCTCTGCAGCACTGTAACATGTTCATAATGGCCCTAACGCTCACGCTGTAAGGTTGTGGGTTTACCAGAATGAGGGCAAGGAACACCTGGCCCACCCAGGGCAGAAAACTGCTTAAAGGCATTCTTAAGCCACAAACAATAGCATGAGTGATCTGTGCCTTAAAGACATGCTCCTGCTGCAGTTAACTAGTCCAACCTATTTCTTTAATTTGGCCCATCCCTTCGTTTCCCATAAGGGATACTTTTAGTTAATTTAATACCTATAGAAACAATGCTAATGACTGGTTTGCTGTTAATAAATACGTGGGTAAATCTCTCAGCTCTGAAGGCTGTGAGACCCCTGATTTCCCACTTTATGCCTCTATATTTCTGTGTGTCTGTCTTTAATTCCTCTAGTGCCACTGGGTTAGGGTATCCCTAACTGAGCTGGTCTCGGCAGTGTAGCCACCTTCATTAGTGTCTAATGTGCACAGGTGACTCTTAGGTGTCTTGCATTACTGTTTGTCTTCAGTAAATAACTTCAAGATAAATGACTGATTCTCCAGGTCTTCTTTCAGGGAGGCTCAGGACTTCCCTATGCTTTATTTTCCTTTGCATGAATGATCTTAGCTAGAAATCCTGGACAACCTGCTGCAGCTTTGACATCAGCACTTGTTGCCTCACCTTGAACTTTTATGTTGTAAAGATGGCTTCCTTTTTTAAGCCACATGAGCCAACCTCTTCTAGATTCAAACTTTTCTTCTGCAGCTTCCTCACAGCTCTCAGCCTTCATAGAACTGAAGTGAGTTAGGGCCTTGCTCTAGATTAGGCTTTGACATAAGGAAACGTTGTGGCTCATTTGTTCTTTATCTAGACCAATCAAACTTTATCTATGGCAATAGTAAGGATGTTTTGCTTTATTATCATTCATGTGTTCACTAGAGTAGCAAATCTGACTTTCTTTAATAACTTTTCCTTTGCATTCACAACTTGGTTAACTGGCACAAAAGGTCTAGCTTTTGGCCTGTCTTGACTTTCAACATTCTTTCCTCACTATGCTTAATCATTGCTAGCCTTTGAGAGACACAAAGTGAGAAAAGCATGAGTCTTCCTTTCAGGTGAACACTTAAAGGCCAATGTAGGGTTATTAATTGGCCTAATTTCAGTATTGTGGCTCAGGAAATATCTGTCTGAGAAGAGGGAGAAATGTAGACAAATGGCTTGTCAGTGGAGCAGTCAGAACAAACATATTTATCAACTAAGTTCACCATCTTATATAGGCATGGTTTCTAGCCCTCCACAAAATTACAATAGTAATATGAAATATCAACTGATCACAGATCACCATAACAGATAAAATAATAATGAAAGTGTTTGAGGCCAGGTGTGGTGTCTCACACCTGTAATCCCAGCACTTTGGGAGGCTGAGGTGGGTGGATCACGAGGTCAGGAGATTGAGGCCAACATGGTGAAACCCTGTCTCTACTAAAAATACAAAAATTAGCTGGGTGTGGTGGTGCACACCTGTAATCCCAGCTACTCAGGAGGCTGAGGCAGGAGAATCACTTGAAGCCGGGAGGCAGATGTTGCAGTGAGCTGAGATTGTGCCACTGCACTCCTGCCTGGCAACAGAGTGAGACTCTGTCTCAAAAAAAAAGTGTTTGAAATATTGTGAGAATTATCAAAACGTGACACACAGACACAAAGTGAACACGTGCTGTTGGAATAATGGCACTGACAGACTTGCTAAGTATATGGTTGCCACAAATTTTCAGTTTCTAAAACGTGATATCTGTGAAGCATAATAAAATGAGGCACAATAAAAATGCAGAATGCCTGAATATATAAACCTGTATCTGTATGCATGCATACACATGTATTTCTTGAGATGGATTTTAAATATCATAAAATTAACCTATTTCAAGTACACAACTTAATGGTTTTTGGTAACTTTATTGACTGGTGCCACAATGACCATAAATCAGTTTAAAAACTTTATATCTCCCAATATGATTCCTCATTCCCATTTTCAGTTTATCCCTATTTCCCACTTCCAGCCCCAGGCATTCACTAATCTACTTTATTTATTTGTAAATTGCCTTTGTAAGACATTTTAGATAGATGGGCTCATGCAACATATATTATTTTTGTCTAGCTTCTTACCCTTAGAATAATGTTCTTGAGATTAAGCCATGACATAATGACCAGCCATTCCTTCTTTTATATTGCTGAGTAAAATTCTATTGTATGGATATGCTGCATTTTGTATATCCATTCACCAGCTGATGGACATTTAATTTGTTTCCACGTTTTGGCTATTTGAAGTAATGCTTCTGTGAACATTTGTGTGCAAGTCATTGTGTAGACATATGCTTTCCCTCATCCTAAGTATATACATAGGAGAGTGGGGTCCTACAGTTATTTTATGTTTAATTTTTTGAGAAACTGCCAAACTGATTTTCAAAGTGTCTATACCACTTACATTCTCCCAGCAAAGCATGGAGGTCCCATTTGGGGCTAACATTTGTTACCATTGGTTTTATTTCATACAGTTAATCTAGTGGGTGGAAAATGATATTTCATTATAGTTTTAATTTGCGTTTTCCAAATGACTTCCTGTCCTGTACTTGCTAGCCATTTGTATGTCCTCTTTGGTGAAATGTCTGTTAATATATTTTGTCCATTTTGAGATTTTATATATATATTTAATAAAAATACATGACATATCATATACACATATAATATGTATATTGTGTGTGTATAAGTAATAAGTGCAAAATAATTGAACTTTTTCTATCAGAATTTAGGGAATAAAGCTAAAGCTTTTGAGGAGGAAACCTCATGGCCTAAGAAACACATATGAGTGAACAAAATGAAAATAAGTAAATTAATAATCCAACCCAACAAATTAGAAATCACAAAATTAAAATAAGAAAAACTGGAAAAATGTAGACATATGTCAATAAACAAGAAAAAAATTAATTCATAGACCTAATGAATTACCTGATGATCTGTTCTGTGGAAATATCAAGACAATGAAATAGGTAAATCATTTTCTAAACTAATAAAAGAAAAATTGATGACATACAGACATATGACATACACACTGATAATAGAAAAAAATCATAGATATAGAGATTATTAACTAAATCATATAAGACTATTTTTTCCCACTGTATTCCAATATATTTGAAGCCTGGATGAAATATATAAGAAAATATAACCCGCCACAAGCAACGACAGACAGACAGGTAATCCGAACAGGTTTACATCATCAAGGAAACAGATTTTTTAAAAAGAACTACGCTAAAAAAAGAACTGTTTCTAACAGCAATTCATTAAGAATTGGTTAATTCCAAAATTATGTGAAAGTATCTAAAACATAGAATGAAGATATCTTTCAATTTTTTTATGAAGGCGGCAAAATATTAAACCAAAACAATCATAAAAGATATACTTCATCTGTTATGCTCTCTTCCAAAATATAAAGAGAATTCAAGCCCAATTTTACCCATGAATGCCAATTTATAAAAACATTAAATAAAATATTAACGCACATTACCTAGAAGCATATGAATCAAGACTGAGTCTTATCGCATGGATGCACTTGTTCTGCTACCTGTCTGAATCTGATTACTCTAGTACCAGCATCTACATTTTAGCATTTAGATATTATTTGATGATATTTAACATTTATTCACTGATGGTCATGGAGTGTCTAATGTGTGCTGATGACTCTTAGCTGCCTTGCATTACTGTCTGTCTTCAATAAATGACTTCAAATAAATGACTGATTCTCCAGGTCTTATTTCGGGGAGCCTCAGGACTCCCCTATGCTTTATTTTCCTTTGCATTCTGTCTTAACAGTTCGCCTCTGCTTTGTTTTATGTTTATGAGAAAAGGCAGAAGTTCTTCTAGACCAGAAATAACTGTTAGGTCCCATAGTTTGACACTAAGTATTTAGTTATATGTGTATATATATATATATATATGTATATATATATAAAACTTATTTGTTCAATTAGGGATATAGTGATAGTTTATGGTGATGCAATATATACATAGGTAGTCTTGGATTAAAACGACAAACTCAAACAAAATGCCAATATAATATTTAAAGGTAACATTTTTAACACTTGAAGAATGAATTTTTTTTAAAAAGCTGATTCAATTAGTGGTCAAATCCAGAGTATGGTAACTAAAACTGACATGTCTAAGGCAGACAACTGTCTTTCATTTGTCTTTTTCTTTCCTCTTTCCTATCTTAATTTATTACATTCAACTCTTTCTATAGGGCTATTATCCAATAATTTCCTAGAATTTATTTAAAATTCTGCTCTCAGACTTTAAAATGCTTTTAGGATTAGCTGTACTTTCAGATTCCTTTCTAAGAACAATAGGCAGCACCTGATTATCTTACCAATAGACGTAAATGCCTGTCCTGATTGAGAGAAAAATGCCACAGTATTGTACATTTTCTGTTCTCCTTGAAAGAAGGAATAAGATTGGAATAAGGGCTGTAGATGGAACTAGATATAAGCTAATTTTCCTTGGGCCTTGCCTGGAGGAGCATAAAGAGGCCTAAATAAGGTGTGAAATAAGGTGTTGGGGAAGCATCTAATTAAAGGTAGGCTGCCCAGAAGGAGCAGAAGAGATGCTGCGGCTGTAGAGCAGTGAAGTAGCAAGTCCAGACTTACAGGAATTCATATACCTGGGGTCTGGAACAGTCAGACCAGCTTGAAGCCATCTATCACCATAGCAGTTAGTGGCCGCAGGAGCGTTTGAACCCTGGATTCCTGGGGAGAGTACAATACCAGAGTGGCTACATCACAGAGCCTCTGACCCTGAGATCCAGTAAGTAGATGTTCATAAAGCAAGGATCAAGAGATTTGATTCTCCCTGGGCACTTTGAGCTGATGGCAAACAGGCATTCATTAGATAGATAAGGCTGAAGTTTGAGAGATAGGTCTTAAGTATTAGCAAGAGCCTATCTGAGACCTCCCAAAGCAAAACAGCAGGACATCTATCCCAGCAGAGGGAGCTCAGAGAAGACACAGCTGTGGCTGACATAGAAGGCTAGGACCAAGGAAGAAAGTTTATTATAAATAATAGTGTCATCAAGAAAAGTAAAATTTACTAGGTGAGTGTTAAACATGCATTCTTTTCATTTCTAAATATATATCTGATTGCTTTTAATGGACTTAATACTTCATTTCTGGTATTCAGAAATAATTAATATGCAAAGTTTAAAGTTATGTTTTCAAAATCTTCAGAGCTAGAAAGGACTGTAGAGATAATTTATTCCATCACATACCCATGAAAACATTTCCAAATAAGAAATGTGACACTCAGGGAGATTTTCTAACTTGCTTAGAGTTAGTCAGCTAATGAGTGGTAATGGACGAATTAATACTTATGAAGTAGATTCCTAGCACAAACTTATTTTTATTGTGCAATGTAGAATACTTTTGCTAAAAAAGAGTTAATTTGCTACATAAAATCTCTGAAATTGATTTTCATTTTTTAAAACATCAACAACTACTGGTTTGCCAATTTAAGCTTACACATACACAGATCCTTTACCATTCACTAAATTAAAGAGAAAAGCTGCTTATGAATATAAGTCATTTATAGTGATGGTTACTGGCACATTCTAAACTAATATATATATATATAAAATATATAGAATGCCACACTATATGTCGTATATATAGGAATATGGAATAGATGGATATAGACATAGATAACATATAGATATGAGAGATATAGATTTATATGTAATTAATATATGTAAGGATATGTACACAATATATGCATGCACATATATGCAATGTTACTATATAACATTATAGCTATTCATTGTAGATATAATATGATATTAACTAGTATTTCCTTGGGCCTGCTCAATCACAGTCATCTTCACTTACTGCTTCAGCAGTTCCAATTCCATTCAGAAAGAGGTTTCTGTAAAAAGCAGACAAACACTGGAAGGGTCATGGAGCTGTTGAGCTGCTTGGTACAAACATTTTGGATTTAAGAGTACCAGTCTTTCTTTAATATCCATGATTAAAATCTTAGGTCCAGCTTGCCTCATCGGTAAACTTATAATCTACTTTTTCTCAGAAATATATGCATATGTTGGTAGATAGGTAGATAGATGGAGAGAGAGAGAAAGAGAGAAAGAAAGAAAGAGAGAAACAGAGGCAGAGACAAAGAATAAAATTCTTTCCTAAGAACATAGAAATTTTTTTAGTAATAGGGGATGCCTCTTAAAAATTGATAGGAGCAAAAAACTATTACAGAGGGTGTGGAAATTGCAATTGTGTAAGGCTGACAAGCTAATAAAGCATGGTGATATCCTACCACCCAGCATGACAGTTCAGAAGATGGTAACTGTGGTTTCAACATTGACTTATCTGACACAGAATACTATATTATTAAAATAGAAGCAACTTAAAAATACAATCCTGGTTAATTAAATTGTTTTTTTGTTTATGTCACCCAACAGTTGAGCAATTTGGAGTTTCCCTCAAGTACTTAGTAACCTGTTTTTCCTAGTTATTAACATGATGTATAATTTGCTAATTATATCATTTTATTTAAATTTCCATTTTTTGTTTGTTTTATTATTTCTCTTAGTCTTTGGAACAAAATAACGCTTAGGACATGATATGTAAAGTATGGCTGCATATGTGTTGCATAAAATATATATTATTACTAAAGTATATTACATAATGAATTTAAATGTAAGCAAGTCAGAAATTAAGTAAGTTTTCAAACTCCTTTTTTCTCCTTAGAAATAAATCTCTTTCCCTAGGCCTTATTTATGACCAGGAATCTAGGACTGAGTCATAATAAAACCACTTTCCTTGGATCTTAATCACATAACGTTACCAAATTTTCTAATGAGAAAATATAATAATATAAGAACTTAGACACATATGTTTAAAATAACTTTTGGACACTTTTGGTTTACACTGAAATGAAACAGTCTATTTATTCCATAGTCTTCTTCCTTATAACTCAAAAACCTGAACATAATGCAACAAGCAAACGTAGAAAGACCCTGAATGATGAAAAGAAAACAATGATGGCAAAAAACCATGGCACTTGAGGAATGAAAAAATGGCGAGTTCCCCAAATTTTCTTTTTGCCTCTCATATATCCGGAATGGGAGAGGACTACAACCTAGAACCACCTAAAGAAACAGATAAAAAAGACCCAAGAAAAACTTGCTTCCTCCAACCAAAAGACCAGAAAAATGATGACCTTGTACAAGAGTAAACTTTTTGACACCCTAATCCAGCCAATATCAGTAGAAACACTGCTGCTCCCTAACACTGATATCAGTGGAGATGGACATTTCCATCCTCTACTTGGCAGCAACAGACAGCGTTCTGATTGCCCCACCAAATTGTTCTCAGTGGGGCCAAGCAAGGACCAGAACTTCAACCTATAAGACAGAAATATGGCTGAATAAGGCACTACAAGGTGGTGCTATTAAACACGCTGCTGCCACATCTTCCTCAGTGTAAGTGAGGCCCAGTAGAGTGATGAATCTCCAGCCCCACTGTCAGCAATGAGGCAGAATGAGGTGGCATGGGGCTCCACTTTCCCTGTGGGGATCAGCAGGGAGCTGAGCTTCCATCTTCGCCCAACAGTAAGGAGGTGGTGCAATTCTGTGCTCTGCTTTATTAGAAGTAGTGTCAGCAGGCCCAGTGGAAAGCTGAACTTTCATCTCCACCCAGACCTGGATAATTGGTATAGGTAAATATATATATATATATATATATATATATATATTATTAGGTATAATATAAATAATATATATGTAAATATATATATTATATATATATTTTATATATATAAAATATATATACACCTATATTTTATAGGTAAATACACGCACATATATACGTGTGTGTATATATGTGTGTGTGTATATGTGTGTGTGTGTGTGTGTGTGTATATCTCAATAGTAGATTGGAGATAACAGAGGAAAGAATCATGAACTTGATGATAGGGGCAATATAAATTACCTAATCTGGAAAAAAAAAGGGCTAACAGAGCATTAGAGACCTGTGGGCCCAAATCAAAAGATCTAATATCCATCTCATTAGACTATAAGAAGGATAAGATTAAAAAGCATAGTGTGTACTACAAGGCTATAGTTACCGAAAGAGCATGATACTAGTATAAAAATAGACACGTAGACCAATGAAACAGAATAGAGAACCCAGAAATAAACCCAAATACGTACATCCAAATGATGTTTCACAAAGCAAACAAAAACATAAAGTGGGGGAAGGACATCCTATTCAACAAATGGTACTGGGTAATTGGCAAGCCACATGTAGGAGAATGAAGCTTGATCCTCACCTCTCACCTTATACAAAAATCAACTGAACATGCAGCAAAGGCTTAAATCTAAGACCTGAAACCACAACAATTCTGAAAGATAACATCAGAAAAGCCCTTCTAGACATTGGTTTAGGCAAAGAGTTCATGACCAAGAATCCAAAAGCCAATGCAACAAAAACAAAGATAAATAGGACCTAATTAAACTAAAAAGCTTCTGCACAGCAAAAGAAACAATCAGCAGAGTAAACAGAAAACCCACAGAGTGGGAGAAAATATTCACAAACAATGCATCTGGCAAAGGACTAATATCCAGAATCTACAAGGAACTTAAATCAGCCAAAACAAACAAACAAACCACAAACAACAACAACAAATAAAAAAAAAAAAAAACCCAGAAAAACATACGATCCCATCAAATAGTAGGCAAAGGACATGGATAGACAATTCTCAAAAGAAGGTATACATTTTTTTATTATACTTTAAGTTCTAGGGTACATGTGCACAACGTGCAGGTTTGTTACATATGTATACATGTGCCATGTTGGTGTGCTGCACTCATTAACTCGTCATTTACATTAGGTATATCACCTAATGCTATCCCTCCCCCCTCCCCCCACCCACGACAGGTCCCGGTGTGTGATGTTCCCCTTCCTATGTCCATGTGTTCTCATTGTTCAATTCCTACCTGTGAGTGAGAACATACGGTGTTTGGTTTTTTGTCCTTGCGATAGTTTGCTGAGAATGATGGTTTCTAGCTTCTTCCATGTCCCTACAAAGGACATGAACTCATCATTTTTTATGGCTGCATACTATTCCATGGTGTATATGTGCCACATTTTCTTAATCTAGTCTATCATTGTTGGACATTTGTGTTGGTTCCAAGTCTTTGCTATTGTGAGTAGTGCTGCAATAAACATACGTGTGCATGTGTCTTTATAGCAGCATGATTTATATTCCTTTGGGTATATACTCAGTAATGGGATGGCTGGGTCAAATGGTATTTCTAGTTCTAGATCCCTGAGGAAAAAGAAAAAAAAAATATATATATATAAAGAAAAAGGAGAGGGAAACTTAGTTTAATCATAAACACCTCAAATGCAAATGTATCATTGTCTTAATAGGATTCACATAAGGTTAAATACCGAAAGCAATAAAGGTTGTAATTGAATTTAAAAATAGATAAATAAAATCCCTTTTCTCTCCAAAAAAAAAAAGAAGGTATGTAATTGGCCAACAAACATATGAAAAATGCTCAAAATCACTTATTATAAGGGAAATACAAATCAAAACCACAAAGAGATACCACCTTACTCCTGCAAGAATAGCCATAATCAAAAAAAATCAAAAAATAATAAATATTGGAATGGATGTGGTGAAAAGGGAACACTTTTACACTGCTGGTGGGAATGTAAGGTAGTACAACCACTATGGAAAACAGTATTGAGATACCTTAATGAACTAAAAGTAGAACTACTGTTTGATTCAGTAATCCCTCTACTGGGTATCTACTCAGAGGAAGAAAAGTCATTATATGAAAAAGACACTTGCACATGCATGTTTATAGCAGCATGATTCACAACTGCAAACATATGGAACCAGCCTAAATGCCCATCAACTAAGAAGTGGATAAAGAAAATGTGAGATATATATATACACACACACCATGGAATACTACTCAGCCATAAAAAGGAATAAAATAATGGCATTCTATTCCAGCAACCTGGATGGAATTGGAGACCATTATTCTAAGTGAAGTAACTCAGGAATGGAAAAACGAAACATTGTGTGTGCTTACTTACATGTGGGAGCTAAGCGATAAGGATGCAAAGCTCCTCATATTATCATTCATACCGTAAGAATCATTTAATGAACTTTGGGGACTCGGCGGGCAAGTGTGGGAGGGGGATGAGGGATAAAAGACTACACATTGGGTACAGTGTACACTGCTCAAGTGACAAGTGAACCAAAATCTCAGAAATCACCGCTAAAGAACTTTTTCATGCAACCAAACACTACCTGTTTTCCCCAAACTATTGAAATACAAAATACAATTTTTAAAAAAAGCATAGCATGGAAAATTATTCAAAAAATAATGACAAATTTTTTCAAGTTTCATTAAATACATAGACTTATGGATTAAAGATGCTGAGAAAAACACAAACAGAATAAACCCAAATACATGAACACTAACGCATATTACAATCAAACTTTTCAAAGATAAATCATCAGGGCAGCTGAAGATAAATGACATCACCCATAGGAGAATGACAGTTTGAGTGACAGCAGATTTCTCATCTGAACCTATGGATTCAGAAAGAAGCACACATCATTTTTCAAGAGCTTAAAAGAAAATAAAACTATTTACCTTGAATTTTTTTAATCAAAAAAAATCCTTCATAAATGAACATGCTGAGACCAAGGAAAACTAAAAGAATTTGTCACCAGCCAAGTCACCCTTAAAAAATGGCTAAAGGAAGTTCTCTAAAGAGAAAGGAAAATAATAACTTTAATCTTTCATTTTTACATCATGGTTGAATCATATACAGGCTTATCAGCTTAACACTATTCAAATGGTAGTTTTTATCAGTGGGAGTTTATTTATTCATTCTTTTGTTTGTCTACTATATACTAGGCACATGACGGGAAGCTCTTGCCAGGTAGTAAGCTAGGCACAGGGAATACAATACTGACCATGACAGAATTGCCAATTCGTGCAGAGAACCCAAACTGTGGTTAGAGAAACTGACAGTAGGCAAATAATGATACAAATGTGTGTTTATTTATAATTACTCTAAATCTTATAAAAATGAATGGGACCCCTGATGGTGTATGTCAAAAGAAACTTACCTTGTCTAGTGGATGGAGTAAGGGGTGATTTTTGAGAAAGTGTAATTTAAGTTGATGATGAAAAATGAAGGAAGTAGCAAGGTTTGAGGTGGTGGTAGCAAGTAAGGTTGGAGGAAGTGAATTCAAAGGTAAAGGGATAATGTTGACCCAGGCCCTGACATGGGAGAAAAGCAGTTTAGGGCACTCTAATAACTAAAAGAAAACAAGCACAATGGGAATTTAGTGTGTAATAGGAAAAGTTGAACTTTTGGAATAGACAGGGCCTGAAAGCCATTTAAAATTTTAAGCTTTTAATAATGACAGCATTAAGCTGCAGCCATGTTTAAAATTGGAAGGCATTATGGTGAAAATATGGGCTACTGTTTGTCCTTCCCAAAGCACCTTCTTTTTTGCAGTGTTTAAAACAATTGGGTGACATCGAGATTCTCATTCACGGTTGTATTAGTCAGTTCTCACTCTACTAATAAAGACATATCCAAGACTGGATAATTTATAAAGGAAAAAAGGTTTAGTGAACTCACAGTTCCACATGGCTGGGGATGCCTCACAAGCATGGTGGAAGATGAAGGAGAAAGGGCATGTCTTACATGACAGCAGGCAAGATAATGTCTGCAGGGGAACTGTCCTTTATCAATCCATTAGATCTTGTGAGACTTATTCACTATCATGAGAACAGCATGGGAAAGACCCGCCCCTATGATTCAATTACCTCCCATTGGGTCCCTCCCATGAAACATGGGAATTATGGGAGCTACAATTCAAGATGAGATTTTGGTGGGGACACAGCAAAACCATATCAGTGGTTCTCACTGAAAGCAGGTACCACCAGTTTCTTCTCTTTGTGAAAGAGGCAGCTACAAGCAACAAATGTTCCCAGTGACGTTTCAGTGACTTGTAACATCTTCAACATTTTATTGGCTAATTTTCTGAAGAACGATTAAATTGATCATTACTATCTTACCACCATATATACAGAACTTCCTCCCGCAGAACGCTAATTTTCTTAAACTAAGTGAAATAAATAAAATTACACTTAAAATAGTGCCTGGCAAGTGAGAAAATACACTAATTTAGAGTAGTATCTACTACTTACACAAAATTTCCTCAAAGTCCACTTAAGGTGTCCTAGAGGAGCAAGCAGAAGTAACACTACTTATAGGTTAGACTCCAGTGTTCCCACAAGCTGTGTTTCCACAGATGTCCACTGTTACATCCTGGGGGAAAGAGAGAGAAAATAAATTTATTCACCCTCCCAGTTTAAGCTGATTGTTCTGTATGCTTGTCTTGTCAAGGGCTTTTAATGAAATGTCCTCTAGTAGTAGTTGAATTTATTTACTATTACTAACATTTATTTTTCTGTTTATCTTCTGGCCCCATCTCCTTCTGTCTGTCACTAATACACTCATGGACACTTACATAAACCAAGTCTTATTAAGCACTCTGAATACATCACGTAGTTCCACATGTCAGATAAGCAGATTCAACTTTAATAGAAACCAATTAACAAAGCCCATAAACTAATCTATTAAACATGTCTCAGAGTGTTTGAAGGGCACATGTTTATCTCTAAGCCCTGCATAGAGAGGGTAAGTTAGGCAGATATCTCAAGGGTAATCCACAAGACACAGTTAAGAAGGAACAGCTAGTTGCTGGCATTTCCTTCCTTTGTGGGTATTCTGCCTTCTTCTTCTTTTTTTTTTTTTTTCTGTATTTCCTTCTCATTGATCCCAAATTCTCTTCAAAGCTTCCAACACCCCTTCAAATGTATATCACATATAATATTTATCTCTCTCATTCTTTCCTCTCTCTCTCTCTAGAGAGTACACTAGCCTCTACGTTGTTACATCTGACTTGAAAACCAAATTCTGACCTGACAGTTTTATTGGCTTACATCTACTCCTTAGCCTCGGAACTCTAGATTAGATCAGTGTGGAGTTAACATGTACTTACCAGGATAAATCTGTCAAGTACCAGAGAGAAAGCACCAGAATCTTCTATTTCAAAATAGTTACAAAATAATAATGACAACTCCATTCCATCAAAGATAATTATTACAATTGAATTTTGATTTATTTCTTGTTAATCTAACAAAGTAGACTTTTAAAAAAATTCCACAGATTGATTTGACTGGACTTGATTTATCATTATAAGAAAACATGTTAAGGAGTGCAATGATCTGAATGTTCGTGTCTCTCCAAAATTCTTATGTTGAAATCCGAACCCTTAAGGTCATAGTATTAGGAGGTGACACCTTTGGGAGGTGATTGGAACATGAAGGCGAAGCCTTCATGAATGAAATGAGTGCTGTTGTGAAAAAGGCTCCCGAGAGATTCCTTTCCTCTTCTGCCAGATGCGGACACAGCAAAAAGATGGTCTTCTATGAACTAAGAAGTAAGCCCTCACCAACTCCAAATCTTCAAGCACCTTGATCTTGGACTTTCCAGCCTCTAGGACTGTGAAAAAAAGCCTTTTATAAACTACTCAGTTTATGGTATTTTGTTATAGCAACCTGAATGGACTAAGGCAGAGAGACAGTTAAACACATGATTGCAAAACATAAGGAAAAAGTCATCTTTGAAAAACAGTGAGATTTAAAAATATAGTGATCTTTCATGGAGGTAGACAGTGGAATGATACATAAGAGAGAGTGGGAGGTGTATGTGGTTAGGGAGGGGGATAGAGACAGGTTGGTTAATGGGTACAAAAATATAGTGAGATGGAGGGAATAAGTCCTAATGTTTGATAGCCAAATAGCATGACTATAGTTAATAACAGTGTATTGTATTTTCTAAATAGCTAGAAAAGGCTGGGTGTGGTGGCTCATGCCTGTAATCCCAGAACTTTGGGAGGCCAAGGCGAGTGGATCCCCTTGAAGTCAGGAGTTCAAGACCAGCCTGGCCAACATAGTGAAAACCCACCTCTACTAAAAATACAAAAAAAAAAAAAAAAAAAAAAAGGAGAATACCCACAAAGGAAGGAAATGCCAATAACTAGCTGCTGCTTCTTAACTGTTGCTAGTGGATTACCCTTGAGATATCTGCCTAACTTACCCACTCTATGCAGGGCTTAGAGATAAACATGTGCCCTTCAAACACTCTGAGACATGTTTAATAGATTATGGGCTTTATTAATTGGTTTCTATTAGAGTTGAGGCTGAGGCAGGAGAATTACTAGAACCTAGGAGGCGGAGTTTGCAGTGAGCTGAGATCACACCATTGCACTCCAGCCTGGGTGACAGGGCGAGAGTCTGTCTCAAAAAAAAAAAAATAATAAATTAATAAAAATAAATAAATTGCTAGAAGAGAAGAAATGTCCCTAACACATAGAAATGATAAATTTTCAGGTGATGAATAGTCTAAACAACATGACTTGATAATCACACTTTCTATACATGTAACAAAATTTCACACATACCCTATAAATATGTACAGATATAATGTATCAAGAATATATATATAGTGGTATTTACACATGGTGGCTGTTCGTAATTTTCAGAATTGCTTAAATTTAAATAAACTTTTAAGATAAAAAGCATAACCCATTCTAATCATATTAATCTTTTTAATTAGGTGCCTACTGTGTCAGGTATATAACCAATGTGTTTTTGTTTTGTATCTTACAACATCTCTATGAGATAGCTATTATATTCCCATTTTACATAGGAGCAAACTGAGACTCAGGAAGGATTAATGGTTCAACTAAGTTTACACAGTTAATAAGTGGTGAAACTTTGATAGAAACTTTAATCTGTTTGCATATCCTGCTCTGGATTCTTTTAACTCTGGATATTTTAACTTTTGGCATAGATAGAATTTTGAGTACTTTATGATATGATTTTTCAAAAGCCACTAAAATGACTCAGAAATTCCAGTGAGAATTAATATTGCTGAAGATGATAGTCCTATGCCTGAATTATAAATAACATAATTTTTTTTTGAAAGCACACGGAGAATGAAAGTTTTGAACATCTAAACTAAGCTGGGTATGTGGTTTTCCATTTGCTTGCTTTTAAAGGACTTTTATATTCTTTGTGATATATACATAATTAATTTGTTTCTCAGAATTAAGGTAGCCATTTATTCTCACAAAATTTACTGTATATGTAAGAAAGAACACTACAAACTATAACTGTAAAATAGTGACTCACTTTATGTACTCATTTTTCAGTTTTGGAAACTATAAGTAATTTATTGCTAAATGTTTATTACATAAAATTCCAACTTAGTGAATTCATCAGTTTTCTTAATACACTTTACTTATGGATATTTTTTCCAAATTTATAAATTTGATGTGTATTTAAAGTGTCACTATAATCATTATCATTGCTTCTTAAGTTCTTAGTTCAATCCAACATACATTTATGAGTAATTTATTGTTTAATATTTATTACAAAAAATTCCAATTTAGTGAACTTATTAGTTTTTTTAATACACTCTATGTATGGATATTTTTCTCCAAAGTTATGAATTTGATGTGTATTTAATGTATCGCTATAATTATTATTATTGATGCTTAAGTTCTTAGTTCAATTCAGTATGCATTTGTGAGCACCTACTGTATGCCAGGAGCAGGGCTAGGGCCATTGAACAGAAAACATACAAGACAGTCCCTGGTGTCAACAAAATAATGGCCTAATTCTAATACATTGTACAAAGTAACAGTTGCAAATGGGAATTTTCTGAATCTCAATAATTAATAATGATGTGCTAAGCTATTGATATTACTGGCCAAAATTCTAATTTTCTAATTTTATTATTCATTGAATAGCAACAGGTTTCAAATAGGGCTCTCTATAAAATGAATTTTTTAAAAAATTCATTTTCTCTGTACCTTATGATATTTGGTGTTCACTGCCTATGATCCAGCATCTCTTAATTTTTTGTTGTTGTTGTTTTTTGAGATGGGGTCTTACTCTGTCACCCAGGCTGCTGTGCTGTGGCGGGATCTTGACTCACTGCAGTCTCCACCTCCCAGGCTCAAGCAATCTTCCCACTTAAGCCCTCCCACGTAGCTGGGACCACAGGCATGTGCCACCATGCCTGGCTAATTTTTGCACTTTTAGTAGAGACGGGAGTCTCACCATGTTGTCCAGGCTGGTCTTGAACTCCTGAGCTCAAGCAAGTGGCCCACCTCAGCCTCCCAAAGTGTTAGGATTACAGGCATGAACCACCATGCCCGGCCTATCTTTTAATTTTAACTTGTATCTTTGGTGTTTCTCCATCCTAGGATTCTGCCTTATAATCTTTGTCCTGTCTGTAGATTACCTGATTCTACTTTTTGATACACAAGGCTGATGGCTCACAATGTAGTAGTGCCAATTCTTCAGGTCTCTTTGAATTTTTCTCTGCTATTGAGGACATTTCCACTTCTACTTATCTCGACTCTATAACAACTCCAACAGAATATGGTCTAATTAATCATTAGTAACTAATGATGTTATCTAGTATTTGATAATAATTGCATTTCTGGTACTGAGGAAATCCTTCACTGTGCGTAATTGGCTTCTCTGGATGGAACAGAAAAAATACGACACCAAGAAAGAGAAAGAGAAAGGGAAAGAGAAAAGAGAGAGAGAGAGAGAGAGAGACTCATTTCACATTGCTAAATATTGTGATTTTCACTCAAAATAAGTGGACTTGAGAACAATAAAGAGTTCAAATCACGATGCTAAAGCTTAAGAGATAGTTTCATTTAGATATATGTTTGAAAGTGTTCCCCAAATTTCTTGTGTTGGAAACAGTCCACGAATTCATATGTTGCTTGGAGGTGGGGCCTTTGGGAGGGGATTAGTGACTTTGTAAGATAAGGAAGAAAGACCTGAAATGACACGCATGCTCTTGCCCTCTTGACATGTGATGTCCTTTGCCATGTTATGATGCTGACAGAAGCCCCTCATCAGATGCTGGTGCCATTCTCTTGGGCTTCCGAGCCTCCAGAACTGTGAGCTACGTAAATTTCTTTTATTTATAAATTATCCAGTATATGATACAGGTTGAATATTCCTTGTCTGAAATGATTGAATTTTTTTTTGATTTAAGAATTTTGTATTATACTTACTAGTTGAGCAGCCCAAATCTGAAAATCTGCAATCCAAAATGCTCCGGGAATTATTCCTTTGAGCTTCATATTTGCACACAAAAACTTTTGAATTTTAGATTTTTTGATTTGTGATGTTGAACCTTAGTCCATTTTCTTAGCAACAGAAAATGGACTAAGTGACATAGTTTGTTCTAATGTGTGATTCACATTGAGTATAATATTACCACTGTCATCATATATATTATGATTATTGTAATATAAATTCAAACTTTTAATTTAAATGTTAGTTTATTAACCTAGTAATGTGTACCATAAAACTCAAATCTTTCCATAACAATGCTAAAAAGCAATAGCATGAGATAGTAGAAACAGTGAAGGATTGAAAGTTTAGTTTGTTCATAAAATGAGATAGTAATGTTAGCTTACATTAGGGGTAAAAATAAAATCATTCATATTAAGTGATTTTGTATAATGCAATAGGATTTTTTAATTTAATTAACTAGCAGGTAGTTTATTATAAAAATAAGAAATTAAATTACTTAAGCACACTGGAGTAATTCTTACCTGAAGAAATTTCTTGCTTAGGCTGGGCATGGTGGCTCATACCTATAATCCCAGCAGTCTGGGAGGCTGAGGCAGGAGGATCACTGGAGCCCAGGAGTTTGAGGTCAACCTGGGCAATGTAGTGAGACTCCATTTCTACAAAAAATTAAAAACTTAGCGAGGGAAGTGGCATGCATCTGTAGTCCCAGCCACTCAGGAGGCTAAGCTGGTAGGATTACTTGATCCCAGGAGGGCAAGGTTGTAGCGAGCTGTGATCACGCTGCTGTACTTCCAGCCTCGGTAACAGAGAGAGATCCTGTCTCAAAAGAAAAAAGAAAGAAAGAAAGAAAGAAATGCCTTGGTTATATGAAACAAGTGTGTGGAAGTCCTCCTCCTTTTAGGTTTGTTGCAAGAATATGATAGTTCCTTGATTTTCTAAGATGTAAAAACAGCATATGTAAAATTACCCCAGGCTGAGATAATTGGTTTCACTTTGATATCCCTCAGTTTCCACATTTACATTAAGCGTACTACGAGAAAGACATGCTTGTTTATTTATTCTAAGTGGGTCTATAATGTTTAGATAATGTAATGAATGGAATATATCTGGTATCATGCACATTAATTTCTTATTTTAGCCATGACCTTAAATGCAGTACAAACTGATAAAATTATAAGAATGTGAAGAGAGCACAGAAGAAGAAAAAAGCCAAAACAGCTAATATCTGATGCATACATGAGGGAGAAAGCTGTTCTTGCAATTGAAAAAGCTAGAAGACACCTTGCAGTCATTGCATTTGGATGTAATAGCTACCAAACATAACCACAAAGTGGAACTTGTTCATCTAGAACATCACATAACACAGCCTGAAAGGGTCTTTACAGCTGCTAAGAAACTTTGTAGTCAGAAAGATCAGCTACACCCTTGAGATTGTGAGAAAATGGGGAAACATATCTATTCAAAAATCACATAGCTGTTGAAAAGGAAAGGGAGCTGGAAACATTACTTTGCACATCTTTTTCTGAATTATTGAGGAATATCTATTTTACCATAAATTTTTTGACTTCATCTCTCTTGTTGTTTGTCTCTAAATTCAATATATACTGTAAGTGTTGGTTATAGAAATGCTATCAAGTTTCGTTTAGATATAAATTAAAACTAAATAAAATTGTAGTATTTATCCAATTATGCCTGTAGATGGCTCGAAGATAAATCTGCCAAAACTGTAAGTGTAAATCCTTCCTTATTTACTTTGTATTTCAGAGGCAAAGCAAATGGCACATTTTTCCTAGTAAGGAAAATGACACATATCTGACAGGTGAAATTAGCAACATCTACTCAATGCAGTTCACTAAAGCTTTACTGTATAGAAAGTGCTACCTATAGGACTCTGAACAAGATGCTAGTAACACACAGATGGATAAATAGGGCAATGTCCTTGTCTACATAAAGCTCATATCTTGGTAGGAGTTCACAGAGAGGACGATGATGATACATATGTTCCAACTATGTGGTTTACTGCAAAGTATATATATATATGTATGCATGTGTGTATATATATATATATCTACTTTTAAAAGTATATAATTTTTATTGTTCATGCAAACAAAAAAGTGATTTGCCTTCTTAAAAAATAACATGATCCAATAGTTGAAATCTGTTCAAGTTTACAATCTTTGTCCCCAAGTTTTCCAATTTCTATTCCTTTAAATATATATACATAAGATGTGAATGGTGAATTCTACTAATTTGGACTTTTCAAACTCATATTATTTTGTAAAGCAGTACTTTCTTGGCCCAGCATGGTGGTTCATGCCTGCAATCCCAGCTCTTTGGCAGTCAAAGGTAACAGGATCGCTTTAGGCTGGTAGTTTGAGGTTATAGTAAGCAGTGCGAGATAATCCTGCCACTGCACTCCAGCCTGGGCAACAGAGCGAGACCCCATCTCTTAAAAAAGAAGAAAAAAAGAAAGAGTAGTAGTGCTTTCTTTCTTTTTGAATCTGAATATTACTAGAGTCTGCTCAGAATAGGAGAATGAAAGAACTGGCCATTGAGAGTTTAGGACCTTTAAGTTTTCTGTGGAAAAACACACAAACAAAAACCTCTAATTCTTATTTTTATAAGAACTGTGGAAATACTTCATTATCTCTGACTTATTTAAAGGCAATTTATGATAGTAATACCAAGGCATTCTTGAGTCTGGATTACATTTTAACAATTTGTTAGCAAAAAGCCATTTGGAATTGAATAGGCCTGTTCATACCTTATGTTAATAATGACAAGGGTAGTAGAACTCATCGAAATACATATCCATAAGAAGATACATGCCATTTACTAAGTTTTGCATACCTGAGAAGAATATGTTGATATAAATTGTTGTGATAAAATTATAGTCAAACATATCTGCAGTTTTTAAGTTGTCTAAAGCAATTTTACATTCTCAATTAATAGTGTTTAACATTTTAACCAAAAACAGTTCAGCACGAATAATTAAAGGCTTAAGTTAAATACATAGACAGTCATTTAAATTTAGATCTGCAATAACATTTACTATTATTCTCCAAGGCTTTGACTGCTTGACAGAAACAAAGTACTCTGGGATTAATTTCAAGAAATGGTGCCAACTGTGCCGCAATTTGCTGTAATTAAGACATGAAAGAACACTAAATGTTCAGATTAAAAGAAGCTTGATAAAGCATGATAGAGAGTCAAGGTGTGGCAGGGAGCCAATTTTTAAAAAGGTCAGGAATACCATATTGATGGATATGAAAACATCACCAACAAAGTTGAGCGAGTTTTCTTTTAGAGAAGCACTTTCATTTATCATTTTGGTCTTTGATTATATTTAATGTCTCACCTTACTCAAATTTAACATTGAGAGATGGTGTTTTAGAAAGATAATAAAATTGAAAAAGAAAGTGACAAACATAGTATTCTTATAAAGCTAATTAGTTTAAGTGGTGTGGAGAAGTCATTAGGAGAATATCATAATTTTCTTTATGGTGGAGGGATTTCCCTGTGTGTCATATTTACGTAGTTTGCTTTAGAATTGAATGAAAGGAGTATAAAGGTGTTAATTCAAAGAGATTAAACACAGTTTATGTATTCATTCAATTCTCTTTTATATTTTCAATAAAAAGAATTCATTTTGATCCAACCAGTCCCTTTTTTTGATTCCCTAAGAATTATAGAAAATATTTTATTTTGCTTTTGAACCTTTATTTGTTGATTAACACTGTGTTTAGGTTAATGGTGAATCTTCTCTTCAACTGACTTTTTTTTTTTTCTTTAGAAATTCTCCTTAAGGTTTTGACCCTGGAAGACATGTGGATACTCCCAGTGCTAATGAAGGGCTGTATAATCTGTAGTATCTGTTAGTTCAAAATAGAAGGATGCAATACAAAAAGTACATCATGAAGGATGCTATTGGAATGTTTTTTGTCTTCATAGGCAAAATGCAAAAAAACACAACTTTCTGAGAAAGTCTGAAGCTGGTCTTCTGCAGGCACACGAAGCCATCAAAATCAAAGTGGGTAAGGTGAAGCACCTTGATGGTGTGGTCAAGAGACTGAAGCAAGTATCCAGTATACACAGGGAAAAAACCATCTGACAAGCAATCGGCATCGTTAGAGCAGCCAGAAGGAGACTTGCAGAATCTGCATGGAGCAGGGCTCTGGGAGAGGTGATAGTGTAGCTCAAATTGTGAATTAGGATGTGAATCTGTGCTTGCCTTACAAAAGAGAATTTCACATTAGGGATATATGATTAAAGGCTCAAAATAGGAAATTCGGGTCTTTTCAAGCTTTGAGGAAGATGCTGCAAAGAGTCAGCATCTTTGGGAGAACCATAAAAACAAAACTGTGAGTTGTTTCCACACACAAAGATCTTAGCAGAAAATGTGTTTAATGTCTTTTGGATACAGAACTGCATATGTTAGCTCTTTCCCTGATGTTGCAAATCTTCATTTTATTAAAAAAAATGCTTGAAAGAAAAGGCTTATCGTATAGCGGGTTGAACAGTTCAAACTCATATCCAGTCTAGAATTTTACCATTCTAGTAAAAAAGTAAATAAAAGTAGTTGAAGAGATGTCAAAGTATTTCAGAGACAACAGTATTTATATAGCTTAGATAAAAGAGGATTTTTTCATAGCATAAATAAATAATCAATATTGCCTATAATTTGTGGTACATAATATTCACCCAACATTGAATTTCTATAGTTTATATGCATATGATTCTCAAGGTTTTTTAATAACAAACAAATGGCATAAAGCCATGGATATTATTATTATTGTCGAGCTATTGTTTGACTAAACTTTGTAGTGTAATACTTTTGTGAAATAAAATATTAATGAAAACATTGGATGCAAAATAGACAGCTTTGTCAACCCGTTAATTTTTTCTTCCTCTATTCACAACGTTGCCAGATACGTGTTTCTGGATAAAACCCCCTAGAGGTCTCCTGCAAATTCTTTTTCAATACAACCAGATCATTGCAGATAATTGTATTACACAGTGTATCGATCCAAAATCGTTGTGCACCGGAAACATCTGAAAAAACATGATTATAGCTTTCTGTTTATTGTTCGTACATCATATAAGCAGGCTTTTGTGTGAATCACCTGTAAGAAAGGCAAGGTGGAAACATCAGAGAAATTACCTCTTTACAAGAATCTATTGATCACTTTAAATCAAAGAAGTATGTTTGACATAAGATTACCTGCCAGTTTGAACATTAGGTACACTATGTTATAGCCTGGGGCAGTTGTAAGTCTGACAAAGGGATTGTAAATAAAGCATGCAGCTGTGAGCGCCTCTGGCTTGGGATCAACTCAGGCTCAAGTCCAAGGTATAGGTAAACTTAAAATAATTTACCCCTTTTTAAGCAACACGTAATGAATTAGAGTAGACTCTTAGGGGAACTGTGGTGCATAAATCTCTTAGTCATTTCAAAATGGCAAACTTCATAGAAAATTCACATCATATGTAGCTGATAAAAAATCTTTTTGTGTATGTGCCACAGGTTATCTCAAGTAATCTTGAAGTCAGTCTATTGGTATCAAGTAGAGTCTTCAAAAACTAAACTTCCTGGAACATTCTTCTGTCCATAATGGTTTGTATGGTGCATTATTGCTCAAGGTTCTTTAAACTTAAAGATCATTAACCTCTCAGTTTCAGTGTCTAAAAATTCCCTTCAAAACTCATTCAAAAAGTTTTAGTGTAGTTTTCTTCTTTTATAAGAAATATAGACTGTGAAAGGTGAAAAAGTGTTTAAATTGCACTTGTTTATGCAACCCTATTAAAAATGCTAAAACAATATGACCATAAAATATGAATTTACTTTATTTACTTATATTTTCTTATTGGTTAAGAGCAGAGAAGGCATTAGTGCCTTTATACATTTTTTAAATTTGAAAGTTTTTTCTTTTTTTTTTTTGTAGACAGAGTCTCACTCTGTCGCCATGCTGGAGTACAGTGGCACAATCTCGGCTCACTACAACCTCCATCTCGCAGGTTCAAGCAATTCTCCTGCCTCAGCCTCCTGAGTAGCTGGGATTACAGGCATCCGCCACCACACCTGGCTAATTTTTGTATTTTTAGTAGAGATGGGCTTTCACCATGTTGGCCAGGCTGGTCTTGAACTCCTGACTTTGTGATCCACCCACCTCTGCTTCCCAAAGTGCTGGGATTACAGGCGTGAGTCACCGTGCCTGGCCACAATATATTTTTTTAACTTTGAAGGCAAATCTGTAAGATCAGACTTGGAATTATTTCTACATTTCAGCATGTGTTGAAATTGTAAGATGTCTGATTCATTTATTCATGTAAGATTCCGATGTATTTAGAATTTAATAAAGATGAGCCCTGGATGATGCATTCTTCCTTGTTAAATATTTAGCTGTTTGTGTTAGTTCTGTGGTTTCCTGAGGCAAAAATTTAAACTGTTAATATATAGCAGATTTAAACTATAAAAATGGTAGATGCTTTAATTTCTTCTGGGGCAAAACTGGTCACTTTGAATACTTGCAAGAAAACAATGCAAATATATATGCAGCATATATTTATTGAAAAATAAGCTCTGTGCTTAACATCTATACATGAGAAACTGATAATCAGATAAATCTAGATCTAATTTTTAAGGGAGACATCAGTAAACTTTAAAGATGAGTGATAGATGCAGAATATTTATATAAAGTTACTTCTTTATGAGGCTGCCCATAAAAGTAACCTCTGATGTAAGACTATAATATCTTGGTTAACAACTTTATTGAAGCTGAACATAAACACTATTTTTGGGATATAAAATGAGAATCATTAAAAGGGAAGATGAGCTTTTTCTGAAAATATGTCCTTCAATATTGCTATTTCTGTTGATTTGAGAATCATACAAGTATTTATTTTTTTCTTCATTTTGTATTGTAGAGTTGAAATTAATGATTTTCATAAAATATCATTTTATTTAATGCAATAGACTAGATACACAATTTAACTTCAAAACCTCTCCAACAATTGACTGTATAAGACAATGTGAATAAATATATATTAAAGCATATGATTAAAAAAAATGCCTGATAGCATTTACATTTGACGGTATATATTTGAGGCCATAGAAATAAAGTGATAAACACTTTTATAAAGGAGAAATATTTGAACAAAATATACAGATATATCTCTCTAGGAATATGGTCAACAGAGAACAAAGGAAAAATGTCTTTGTCTTAAATCACTTATTTTTGAGAGCTTGAAGCATCCCAGGTCTGCGTTGGTCTAATGAAAGAGTGCCATCTATTGGATGACCTTGAAAAAGTACTTAAATTTCATAAAGGTTATATGGAAAATACACCAGTGGAGAACAGTTATTTTGGAAAAATTTATAATTGTATCAGTCTTAGTCTATGTGAGTGTATAGTTACCTGAATCTTATGCTAAGAAAAGAAGAAGAATCTGCACATCAATGTTGTTATTTTGTGGTACATTTATGCAGCAATAGAAGTCTCAAAACTCAGAAAATTGTCTGATTAAGACATATAGTTTTTTAATTCAAATGTTTTATAAAGTTGAGATCACTGACATGCATCCTATGTTACTCATACATACTTTTATTTACTTGTGCTTTAAGTAAAGGAATCTGAGAATTGAACTCTTGAGCTTGTATTTTGACAACAAGGATCTGTTTAAATCTTTCTCAAAGTTACATTGCATTACATTTAAACTAAAAACAAAAGGAAAACAAGACACATTAGCTTGGTTTTTTAAAAAAGCAATGTTCTTGTTTTATCTTTCAGCCCCAGAACTTGCCAGTCAAGATGAAAAACTTCTTCTAATGGAATCCAGCTTGAAAGCTACTCAAGAGCAGCTAACTGAGCAAATAGCAGAAACAGTTCGCCAAGAACAGAACAGTAGAAAACCCCAGGCAGAGCTGAAGACAGTGACAGAAGGGATTATTGCTTCTGAAGAAGAAAAAAAATGATTACAAGTGAGTTGTTTTTTAGTATTTCAGAAAGTTTTACTTTACATACTGAGATCAAGTCAGTCCTTTTGACTTTAGTTGCTAAATGTTTAACTCTCTCTGTCTTACAAAAGTTGTGAGTATATATGCTAGCTTGCATAATATATTATTGGCTCCAAAATATGATACAGACTTATCTAAAATGGCACATGTTAAAAATTGTAACAGTTCTATTACAGATTCTAAATAATGATGTCGTTGTCAACTTTGTTATTAACTGTCAAGAAATGTTCAAGGTAGATGTACAAGAGAAAGAATACACTGTGTTTCTGTAGCACCTATCTGCCAATGGCATTCTCATCTTTCTCCTTTTGGAGTCCAAAGGTTACATATGGCTCTTGTTGGCTTTCTTTTTTGTAAAAGTAGCTGCTCTAAGCAAGACACTATTAAACTGAGAGACGTTTAGAGTAGACTTTTTGGTCAGACCATTAAGGCATGTAAGAAACTGTGAAGAAAGCAATAAAAATCTATGCTAATTTTGAAACATTCATGGAAACTATTCTTAGTGAAACATCTTCTAGTATTGAATATCTGCTTTGATCATCTAGGTATTTATGTAATGATCATACCTAATACAATGCTTTTAAATTTTATTATTTTTCAAATAAATGTTAGAGAATTTCCATTTTGAGTGTTGTCATTAAATCTTCTATCCTTTCTGTCCTTTTCTTGGTTTTCTTAGTCTGCTATTATAAATAATAATGAAAGTAACATAGTCAACATGAATACCTACATCGGCCCCACTCTGTCTTTCTCTTTTACTCTATTTGTCAAGAATTACACTTTGCTCATTGAACTTTGGTTAAATTGAGTAATCACAGTCAGGAAAAGCACACATAACTAAACTTTTTTTTTCTCCTGTCACTCATACCTTTGAACACAGTCCGGAGGCCAGAACTAAAATGCGCATTTGCTATTAACTGATCTTTGGAAATCAAATTTTAAACTTACATGGCTTACAGAATATCTTGATATTGTCTATCAATATCATTTCAATATATTATGAATGTTTAAGTAACCTTGTGATTTATAATTTATGAAACTCTGTTGAAATATATTTTTAAATCTGACCAATTTATTTCTGTTTTTTAATACAAACTTTTAATATTACAGGCATTTAAAATAATTCTACAATCTAGATTGACACTTTACATGCTTCTAAATAAAGATAAACACTCAGATAAACTGTTTGCTCTTCATGTACCTTTAGCCAGATGCCTTACTTCAGATAACAAAAAGCTACCTTTAGCAAATATTAAAAGTAGAAATTCACATTAAGAATTAAAAGCATATCGGGCGAAGTTTCTTAGTGAATTACTAAGGTAATGTACTACTGTTATAAATATTATGATTTTTAAAAATAGCTAAATTATACTGGGGAATTATATGCTTATGATATAGAGAACAAGAAATATATAAAAATGATTACAAACATCTGAAGCTAATGACAGTGTTTGATGTTAAGTTAATGTTATAAAATAATGACACTTTTTAAAATTAGGTGTCAATATAAAGGCACATTTTTAGTACACTCACAAAAATTTTTATTTTTGATCTGGAAACTGGCATGTAATGACCTGCTTCTAGGATTTGATTTTATAAGAAAATCATGCTGTGATTCATCCAGTTAAAATACACTGAGTGATCAAACTTCAGCTGTATGTGCTTTATCTGTACTTATCTATTTTATTTTCCAGTACTGCTTGAGTATGAAATTAAGTAGGATATTCTTTTTCAATGTGAAAGCACTGGTGAGGTATACAAATATCAGCTACAATTTAAGAAGGGTAGAATTACAACAGTATTTTAAATTCTATTTGCAACAGTTTAACGAATATCTCAAAAGTCATAAATTATGAATATTAATATGCCCTGTTATCAGAAAATGTTACTGATTGTTAAATAGACTGAAAAATGATCATAATCAAAATGATGATTTCTTTGGAGAAACAAGATCACTTTTCCTTTAAAAAATAGCCTTAATATCATATTGTTGTAGGATATGCCTACATGTGAGACGTGTGTATCTAGACATGAAAAAATATGTTACAGTGTAAATGTGAAACAAAATCAAATCCTTTCTGGCCTAAAAATGACTTCCTTTTGTTTATTTTTCTCCTCTGAATAAGCAAGTGGCATTAAATTGATCAAATTAACCAAATGATTTGGTATTGGGCAGTGCCGGACACTGTGGTGTTCACCAGTCAGTAAAAAGACAAGCCAGGTATCATAAGACGTTAAAGCATTATAGTTATTTCCCTCAACCAATCCTCCCTTATTTGGCAAAGGCTGGAGTTTGACGAAGTGATGCAGGGTGTTATGTATAAAGCACAAAGGTATGGTCAAAGACTTGAGTAGTTTCTAGGGTTTGCAATGACAGTAGAATTTTGCTGCAGAGATAAGAGGATCTCAATAGAAAACAACACTCTGGGGCATTTTTTTTCAAATACAAGAAACACTTTTATGAAATTTTGTTTTTTTATTTAAGCAAAAAATAATAGAAAAACTGAAATGATTTTTTAAAATGTGTTGGAATTAGTCATAAAAATAAGAAGTAGAATTTGTATTTTAAGGGATCTACTATAATTTAAAATATATGCAGGTTTCTACACATTTCTTCCTAATAATGGTAATGCATCTTAGGAATTTTTTTGGACAAATAATTACCTCAAAATAATTTCCTTCATTCATTGACTTTGCAGTAGTCATTCAGAAACACCCAGGTTTCTATACCACCAACATCTATTACTAGGCTGTAATTTCTTAACTAAATATAAAAGTTTAAAAAGAAACATGTAAAAAATAATTGGTAATCAAAAGGAAGACTTTTTAGTTATTAAAATGTGACCCTCAAGTTTTTTAATCCATAAAGTTGAATTTTGAAGAACACATCGGATTTAGGTTTTATTTTTCCCTCCGCTTTTTGAACTAAATGTAGAGAACACACACCATACACTCAGTATAAGCCTGTTACACTTGAAAGATTTGTTCTGAATGTCCAGTGGGAACCTGGAAATCGTAATAATTTGTAGTATCGATTGAGTGAAGCTATGCAGCTGGGGCCTCCAGTGAATAGACAGGAATAGACATTTTATTGATTAACTTTTACAGTCATATTTTCAAGACTCCGCTGCAACATAATTTTCACTTCCAAGCTTTGTGTTGCTGCATCATGAAACTTGGATTCTTCTCCTTTAACATTTACCCACTTGAGGAAAAAAGTATGGACATGTCTCGCCAGGGCTGTATTCTGCAGAGGTGTGTAACTTTCCGGGAAATGATTTTTCTCAAGTGATACTCTACCACAAATAGTAAAAAGAAACTATCTGGTTATAACAGTTTTGGAAATATCATTATGGCAGCTATTTGGTAATTAAACTTCTTCATATTTTTCTCATTCTTTTCTTGCTTAAGAATCTTAATTTTTATACTTCGAATTCATGCATGTAACCATCAAAATGAATTATTTTGTGCTGGCTTTGTTTTTAAGCATTTATATGTTATATCTTATTTAATATGAGCAGTAGGAGAAAAATTATGATTATAATAGTCTATAATTTAGTATGGAATGAAAACTGTTAAGTACTAAATCATTTTGGCCAACATTTCAAAGTATAAAAATGTGAATATATACATATTGAACATATGTGGTATTTCTATAGTTCAGTGAAAATTTTATTTACCTAAGCAAAGTATGTGGCATTTGCACAGATAAACATATTGCAAATATTTTGTGTATAATCATGTTTATTTATCTCAAGTTCTTTACTACTTTGCATTTTTGGTCACTAGAACAAATGGCAGATTTTTATACCTATGTATGTGGAAAAGATTTCATATAAGAGCTGGTGACAAATAGTTAGACGTTAAATTAGGTTTGAAAATGGAATGTTTTAAAATATTACATCAATTCCTTTTTAAAAGCTCATCTCTCTGAATATCTTATATTTCTGACTTTGAAAAGTCTAGCAGCTTCATATTACTACACAAGTCCAGAAGATATAAAATACAATTAAATTACACCAAATTTAGCAATAATTTTTAACAGTTAAGTAAGATAATTTATATTGTATAATGTTTTTACTTGATTTAGGTAATTTTAAGAGTTTATTTTTATTTAAGATTGATAATTAAAGTAGAATTTTGATTCTAAAATTTGTATGTAATTTAAAAAGTATTCAAAGCATTTTCAGCTGGTAATTTACTGCTCATTTAATTGAAAACGATAGATTGAGTAAAATATTCTTTCTTATTAGTAAAAGTGTGAAACTGATATATCTTCTCATTTCATTGAATAATTTTTAGAATACTTAATACATTTGTAGTTGGTTGTGTACATATTTTCAAGATACAACTATTGAGAATGTACTGTGATTTTCCATCCATAGAGCTTTAATTTATTGTATAATAAGTATTATCAGCACCTTTATGTACAATCAATATGTAAAGACAGTGGTTGTTGAAGTTCCACAGCACTATAATTAATGGAGCACATTGATGTGTTGCAAAATTAGTTACTTGCATATACGTAAATATGTTTTTTGCCCTAATGGAATACATATTTTTAAATAAAACAAAAATGGTTGAAAAAATATTTAGGAATTGATTATTTCCTTATTCACATTAAAAAATGAATCAAATAATATAGGTTATTTTCATAACTTGTGTGGCTTTTTAATAGAAGATTCTTACCTGCGTAATGAAGTATGTTTTGAACTTATGAGAATAAGAAACACAATTAAGACAGATCAAATAATAAGCATAAAATACAAAAGCCTGAATTGAGATTGATTTCAGCGTAACACTGTAGAGGAATCCCCACTTATTGATCAATTTTAAAGCCCATGCATAGCACTTAGAAAGATAAAGTAAGCAAGGTCAGATAATCAAAGCATTTAAATAGTAAAAACAGCAACTGCCACTGTAGACTGCTAAAATAAATCCATAATACAAATTGCTTTAGCAAAAAGTGGATGAGCAGCTGATCTTCCTATTGAACTCTGATACTGTTCAGTGACCACACTGGGAAAAGGATTGGGAGAAATGCCTTCAAGATCAATATTGAGTGAGATGTAGCAGGGATTCATTTTGAACATGCAAGCATTACAGGTGTGAGAGTATAGACATCTTCAGGAGATGTCATCAGGTGGAGATTGTTTAATGCAGCTAAAAAGTGCTGTCTATGCATGATACTGCCAAACAACAGTAGTAGAAATGCTTTCTTAATGATTTCAGTAAATTGTTGAATTGGGTTTAAGACAGGCCTAGCATAAGAAAGTTTACTTTATATTAAAATAGTAATACAAATACTTACCAAAATAAATTAGTATCTCTCCATCAATATATTTTACACAAACTTATATCACTAATAGCTGTTTAGGATATCAAATAATTATGTGATGGTAGTCTCTGCAAAAGCATAAAAATTAATTATAAAACAGGGGATGGAAAGACCACTTTTTGGAATGTTATAGGAAGGGAATACACTTTTGTTGTGACTCCTTTTTAAAACTTGTTGGAATTTGGGGAGTTCTATTCTTAATGAAAGCATTTGAATTCTACTGGCTCACTTTATATTCTTGGCTTTAGTGAACTCCAGTGGGAGTTTTCAGTATATAGATCTATGACCAGCAGAATTAGTTTTAACATTTTTAACTTCTTTTCTTATAAATTTTGAATTTAACTTCTTCTACTTAATGAGACATCTTCATGACTATAATGAAGTTTTGTGGGAAACAACATAATTTCACATAAATACATGTAGTTTTATTATATTATATTTTAGAACAAATTGATTCTTCAGACAAGATAGACAATATTGTGATTTAATTACTCCTTACCTTTTTTCAAGGTGCCATAGGGTGTCATCTTTATGTCATTATCTGTTTTCATAGTTTCTAAATTCATCTACATACTAATTAAACAAACAGCATTGTGTCTTGACAAGAGGATTTTCCAAACATACATTTCCGATGGAATATAACCATAGTCTCCTGGTAATTTAAGTCTTTACAATATTACTGATTGGGAGATTTTACTTTATTTACAAAAATGTCTCCAAGTTTAACTTCTTAATTAAATGACCTAATTTAAAACGTTGAATTATTGTAATGTGTTTCCTTCTAGACCAGGGAAGAAAGAAGCAAAATGGAGATTGGTTACATTTAAGATAGAATTTCTTTAGCAAAAGAAAATACAAAAATCAGGATTGGGGCTTAAAAGCTGTATAATCTGGCCTGGTGCAGTGGCTCACTCCTGTAATCCCAGCACTTTGGGAGGCCGAGGCGGGCGGATCACGAGGTCAGGAGATCGAGACCATCCTGGCTGACACAGTGAAACCCTGTCTCTACTAAAAATACAAAAAATTGGCAGGGCGTGGTGGTGCGCACCTGTAGTCCCAGCTACTTGGGAGGCTGAAGCAGGAGAATCACTTGAACCTGGGAAGCAGAGGTTGCAGTGAGCCGAGATCATGCCACTGCACTCTAGCTTCCAGCCTGGGCGACAGAGTGAGACTCCTCTGTCTCAAAAAAAAAAAAAAAAAAAAGAAAGAAAGAAAAAAAGTTGTATAACTTAGGCTTAGTTTTCTCCATCCCCTTCTTACCGTAATGAATAGTTATTTACAACTATTGTAGTCTCCATGTTTACTGCATGAAATGCTGATAGCAGCGATTTTAATGGTAAAATTGTGAAACAATATTCATAGTTGTCAGAAAAAGGTCATTCCATTTGCATTCATTAGAAACCTGGAGGACCGTGCAGTGTGTGTTTCCTTTGGGATGGTGCAGCTATTGATTTATATACAGCTGGAGGAAAAATTAATTAGGATTATATTTCACTTATTACTGCAGGCTGTGTAATAAGAAAGAAAAACACTTTTTGTTAAAAAGTTGAACAGAAAATACCTATATGGAATCATTGTTTCTTAAATCACAACTACTTCATCATATATTTTTTTATAACCTAGTTAAAGGCTTAGCATTTGTGGCAATTTA
Source organism: Homo sapiens (assembly GCF_000001405.40). NCBI lineage: Eukaryota > Metazoa > Chordata > Mammalia > Primates > Hominidae > Homo > Homo sapiens. The sequence continues at coordinate 77,406,180 of NC_000008.11, forward strand.
ATTAGCACCTTGAAAAATAAGTATTTTAGTACATATCCTATAATAATAATGATAATTTAAATTACGCAAAAAAGACATTTTCCCCTTGTTAATTGAAACTTTCCCTTCTCTAAACTAAGTCATGTGTATTTGTCTACTGTGAGTTTGCAGGCTTAGGAGGCTTTTTGCCAAAAGAGTTAAATAAAAAAAACAAAACAGAGACCAGAATCAGGCGAATTATCAGGGTGAAGAAACAGATCCCAGAAATGAGAGTTTTAGATCTAAATATATATTTGGCTTCATATATATTTGACTTCTTTCTATGAACATCATCTATACTTTCTATATGTGACACATGTTTGAGTTTAATCAAATGGTAGCCACTTTTAATTAACAACAGAGAATAATTTCAAAATGGGGCAGTCAGATGATAAAAGGTAGTTTTCGTTCAAGACATACTTTATGAATGGAAACACCTGCCTATTGTGATATTTCTAACATGAAAATTCTATAACCTCTCCTATTGTCTTTTAGATGTGTAGCATTTAAGAGAAACCTACTGCCTGGCCAGTGGTGAGCAATAAACTGTCGAATCAGCATTTAGGGGAAATACAATATCCAACAGAGGTCTTTTGATGCCACTATAATAATCTAAAAGTAAAGTGTATAAACTCATTACTACTATTAGAAGTTCATAGGCTTTATGAAAAGAGCTTATGAAAGGTCATCAAGAAAACAGTATAAATCCGGGTTGCTAGTATATTTTATAGATTAAACATTATCTAGGAAATAATGGCTAGGATTGAAAAATACAATACGCCCCTCTCCGAACTTTTAAATAGTTTTTCTCAACTATGACCATAAAAATCTATTTCTTGGCTGGGCACAGTGGCTCATGCCTGTAATCTCAGCAATTTGGGATGCTGAGGTGGGTGGATCACCTGAGATTAGGAGTTCAAGACCAGCCTGACCAATATGGTGAAACCCTGTCTCTACTAAAAAATACAAAAATTAGCTGGGTGTGGTGGCATGAACCTGTAATCCCAGCTACTTGGGAGGATGAGGCAGGAGAATTGCTTGAACCTTGGAGGCGGAAGTTGCAGTGAGTCGAGATCATGCCACTGCACTCCAGCTTCAGTGACAGAGTGAGACTTTGTCTCAAAAAGAAAAAAAAAAAGCCTATTTCTCAATATACCTAATGGAATATAAATTTAGTGAACATTTTTTCCTTTTCATCTCTTTTTCAAATACTTGGAGCTCTTTCAAGAGAAAGGAGTGTTTACCTTGAGTAATTTGGGACTTTGCTTTCTAGAGTGATTCATGATATTTTCCATGTTGGCACATTTTGTATTCGTTTGCAAAAATCATATGAGATAATTATAGGAGATTCATTGCAAGCCCTTAGCCTTTGTAGTGAATCTAGCTTTTTCAGCTTGTTTTTGGGGTAATGCTATGTGCTAAATTAATTAGATAACTAAGAATTATATAAAATCATGGAAGTACAAGGCTAAAATTTTGAATTACTTTCTTCACTAAAACAAAATGACCAGATCTATATTTCTTAGGAAAATTTATTAATCAAGCTGTATATTGGTTCACAATTTATTGAAAAGGTAGTATTTTAAAGATATTGTTTTCATAGGTTGTGAGAAACACAAAAGATAACTCAGATATGGTTCTTCACCATGAAGTGCTCATAAACTAGTAGGGAAAATTTCATGGAAAAAGGTGTTCACAAAACTGGATAATATGTAATATGTTACTTAAGCATAAAAGAAAATCATGTATAAAACAACGAGTGACATCTTCCTTTCAGAATGGTTATTAAAGAAGAAATAATTGGGAATTATGTTTTCAAAATGGGTAAATATTTGACAGAGTATTTTTCATGGACAGAAGGCTAAAGAGCAAAATCACAATGATGAGAAAGTACATGTTTTTTTGCTCTAGAAAATGGTAAATCATTTCCTAGAGAATATTTAAATGACTAGACAGGCAAGTTGAAACCACAATTGGGGGAGTCTTCTATACTAGATTTAGGAATTTACAATTTGCTTAGATGTAATAGAGAGATTATGAAGAGTCATTAGCAGGGAAGCATATATGATCATAGTAATGGCAGAGAAGGAATAGTCTTACTTTCTCTTTTCCCTGAACACTTCACCTGGCTTTTTCCCAATCATTCTTAGAAATTGACTTTTAGTTTAGCTCCCACCTATGCCTGCCTCCTCACCCATTCCAGAATGAACTATTATCTCACATACTCTGTGCTTGCATGGCACCAAATGAATGCTCTATTATATAGTGTGCATCCCACCTTACTATGCCTAGTGGTGTAATAATAAAGCCCATTTCCCCCACTGCATGGGTTCACGTTCATTGTTATCTTCCTGAACCATTGTAGGCACTGACATCTTTTCTTAGAGGTTAGATTAGTAGCGTATGAAGAGAATGAATTTAGCTCTGTGTCTGGTCCAATCTGTTTCTCTTCACTGTAAAACATGCTGAAATGCTGGCCTGACCCCTAGCATCTTTTGAGAATAATTTCAGACAATGCATCTATGAGTGGGAGAAATGGATTGGGTAAATGGAAGCTTTATTGAGGTAACCAGACATGCTAGATGGCAAAAAATTCTGAAATAAGTGTGCTGACAATTTTGTTTTGAGTATTTGGTGGGAGAAAAAAAGGAAGACAGATAGAGTATAGTAGTAAATTAAAAGGTGTGAGATCTCAAAAATCTTTTGAGATTTATTGCATGGCATGGTGACTATAGTTAGTTATAATGTATTACACTTTCTAAATTGCTAAGAGAGTAAATTTCAAATGTTCTTACCACAAAAATGATAAATATTTGAGGTAATAGATATGCTAATTAGATTGATTTAGTCATTCCACATTGTATACATATATTATAACAACACTTTGTACTCCATAATGCATACAATACAAAAAGGGGTGAGAGAAGACTAGGTCCTTATGCAACGTAGACTTGAACTTGAGGATATACAGAAAATAAAGAGCCAGTGGGCATGGATGATACAAGAAATAAACTAGGTAATTGATAGAGCAAGATATTAAAAGATGTAGCAGATATGTATGACATGTAAAGACATACTTAGAGGGATCTCCTTTACATTTGAGAACAGGCAAGCGTGGGTGATAGGGATGTAGGAAAAACTTGAGGGCATCTCAGGAAAATGAGAATGTCATTTGAAATAAAATCTTCTAATAAAACTAGTAAGATAGGGATTTGGAGTACTTTGAGCAGGATTGTGAAAAACTGGTAAAACTATTGAGGGAAGATGAGAAGGCAGCATTACTAAGTTGTGCTTAAGGAAATTTACATTCTCAATATGTTGAGCATTTATTGGACAAAGATAACCAGGTTAAAATGAATTTGAAAATGTTAAATTCATTTAACAACTATTTATTTAGGTCCTACTATGTGCCTAATGCTGATCTAACCCCTATGCAGGAACATCAAATAAAACAACAAAGTTCCTGCCCTCAAGGAGGTTATATCCTAGTGGGCAGTCAGATAAAAAATATATGAAAAATATGTTAAATTTAAATATATAAATCATATATTGTGTTATATAAATTATATGTATTATACTTAAATTATATATACACACATATATATTAGACAGTATAGGCTATATCTTTCATGGATTTTATCATTTTTTCTTTATATTAAAAGAGACTTGGCTATCAAAAATGTGAAAGCACTTGGATGGCGCAGCTTTCTCCAGTTCTGAGAACATTTTTTGTTCAGGAATCTATTATCTTTTTATGATTTGCCTGCTTTCTGAAGACTGGAGAAGGGGACATTTTAAGGGCTGTGATAAAAACTCTGGGAACTTTATAACAATGAATACAAGGCTAGTAGAATACATGTCCAAACTACAGTTGCACTTTTCCTTTCAGACACCTTACATTCTTTCTCTTCTTTTAATTTTGAGATTTGTCCTGGATCTTTTCTTTTGGCCTTCCTCTTGACTCTTGATCACATTGACAGCTTCACTTACAGGAATGACTGAAGTGGGAGAGTCATTGAGCTATCTAATATAGGCACCAAAGATCCTCTCCCTCCCATGTTTGTTCTGCTCCTGGAAAAGTTAAATTAATCCAATTTATATGTTAAAATTATTCTATCCTTTATCATGGTTGCCGCTAAATCTCTCTACTTTCCTGGAATCATGAAGCTGAGTTAGTGTCTCTTGCACTGTCATGCCATCTGGGCATCTTCCTTTCACTTTATTCCAATAACACTTAGCAGAGGTGGATTCAAACTAGTGGTGACTTCCAGACATCTGGGCTATTCTTGATTTTAATTAAGGTAAAAGGGGAGCCCAGGCTGATGTAGCATAATTAACTGGACAACATCTCAAAAGAACTTGGAAGTATACACTCAGAGACCAATTAATTTAATTTTCTAAAGAAAAACATGTTTAAAAGAATAAAGCAAGTACAAATACAGACCCAAGAGAGGCTTTAGACTTAAATATCACAGTTCACAGTAAAGATTGTTGCTATGACATGTTGCCTTACCCATCTACCTAATTGAAGTCATGTTTTTATTTGCTAATATACCAACTGCTGATGGAGAAATTTGTTTCTGTTTGTTTGAGTTTGCTTTCTCCTCCTCACTCTAGAGCCTGATGTGTCCTTTTTTATGACCTTGGAAATGTTCCCAATTTCATCCAATCATTCACTTAATTGAACATTATCTGATTACCTCCCCACCTGGGCAGGAGACCTCCAAACACTGTAAATATTCATATGCTTCAAATGTAAGTGAAGGTCAAACTCATACATAACTGAACACCTTTATCCAGAGCATCACAGATGTCTCATTTCTACAAAATATATGTTGGAAGCTACAAATATGAATGAATGAACTCTCCACAGCTTACTGCCATGTAAACTTGAAAGTCTTGTGATACCCAATAGCAAATCCAAGTGTGGAGACAATAAATATGTTGATGACACTTGAGTAATCAAATAATCAAATATTGTAAGAGAGGCTATATCTTACTGAAGCCTGAACTAAGGTGAAATTATTAGAAAAAGAGAGACTCTAATGAGAATTCAAAATAGCATAATAATTAAATATATGGCTTCTCATTTAGTGAGGACTCAATGTGTGCCAGGCTTTATACTGATTGTTTATTTGGAATATTAAAATGGGAAAAACTTTAAGAGGGGAGACTCATCCTGTTCCACCATGCTGACCAGATACTTCTGAGGGAACAGTGGATGCATGACCTATTTTGGAAAAAATAGGAACTCAACTGAAAGAGCCATAGAGACAAATTTAAGAGCCCAGAATAATTGTGTCAAATCATCAGCCTTAATTATTTTGGAGAAAACAAGTAGGTAGGTCTTTATATCCTTGAAGTTCAAATAGAGTTGTGCTTCCTTTATGACCTTACACAGCTGGGTTAGTTTGTTCTCTAAAGGTGTTTTTAGGTAAACTTACTTTTAGTCTCAAACTATGCACTCAAACACGAATTCGTCAGGATTTCTGGTCTAATTTCCCACTTTGGAAGCATTGTGTCAAGAAACAAAAAGAAAATTTTGAAATAAAATATCCTCTGTTGGAATAAATGGATTTCTCCTATTCATGAAGTCTCTACTGCCCTCCGACCTTCAAGATGCTTTTTGCTAGTGAGACAATCACATTAGCCTGGTGTGGCAAAAAGGAGACACTTTGGGAACACAATATTTGGCATGGAACAACTTTTAGTTTTTTCCCTGATGAGTCTGGAAGCCTAAGGCTACTTTTAAACTCAACTGTATAACTCTAGAGAAGTAAATGTGCCATGGTACTAAGCCCATTGTTAAAGGGAACTTATAGTAGTATGTAACAAATGGCCACAAAAGGAAGAGAAGGAGGAAGTAGGGCTGGAAAAAAATCAAACAAAAATGCCAACTTGTATTTCTATTGCATGTTAGCCTCCTATATCCATTGGAATTTTAGTTTGGATTATCCAAACAGAATAGGAATATATATCAATATCCTAGGCTTGCAGGAGGTCACATTGAAAATAGAGAAAGTCTGTGAACTACAAGTCTAGTGGTGGATCTGGGACTGGAATACTGATTTTCTGACTAACCTGGGGATTCTTCTAATTAGGAGTTCTATTGAATGAAATCTGAGTATTATAAAAGTGTCTTTAGAAAACGATTCTATATTTCCATTTCGCATAACTTAGTATGAATGTGAGAATTGAAGTTCAGCAGATAAGCAGCAAGAATGTAACATGCAAAGCAATTCTTACCCTCTGGTGAATATTTCATGTATGTTTTCTGTGCTTTAGGTTAAAGTAAATTTTTGCTCATGCAAGAAATAAATTTTGCTTAGGTAAAATGTAGTGTATTATTTTTCTTCCTATAATTAATAAGTGGCCTTGAGGGAACAAAATTGCTGAGTAGTATGATAAAGCACTTGTTAATGTAGATTTGTTTATCCAAAACATATTTATTTTTTTCTGAAATAAAAACCTCTTTAGCCAAATGGTAGCACATAGTTAATTTATTTTTCCCCTTTTAAATATCAGACCATGTAAATTACACTGTAACACTCAAAATTGAGCTTGGCAGGGCTCAGGAGAAATGCTGCTCTGCACAAAAGAAGCTTTTAGATAAGTAGGCTCAAATGTTCTTAGTTGGATTTGACCGCATCAGATAAATGAACAGAACACCTTACTTATATAGGAAGTAGACTAAAGATGAACAAAGTGTTCTTTTCAATAGTAATACAGGACCTATTCTTAATATCAGACCATGTAAATTATTTCAACAGCTATAGATTATACCAGTAAGCAGATCATAATGCTACAGTTACAATTTGTAAATGTGGTGATAAAAAAAGTATATTTTACTGTACATACTTGTAAACACTATGTATGGTAATCTCCACATAAAATTCAGTTTGGTTTATTAAAAATATTTAAAATTTAAATATGGAAAAACCAATTTGTTTTCTTTAAAAACCATGGAGTAACCACTCATCTAATTGAGTAACACCTCTTGATGGACTGCTGAGGCAAACAGACCTGAGTTTGAATCCTTATAAACTATTGCCACCTTGAACAAATTATTTTACTTCTAAGACTCAGCATTTTCATCTGTAATTTGGAGATAATAATGTCTTCCTTCTAGGGCTGTTAGGAGAGGGCAGACAATTCTGTAGAGGGCATGCACTCTGCCTGACATGTTGTGGTTCTCAATAATCGGTAGACACTCTCAACCTAGACAATTTTTATTGTCAGATAAAGGATGCTACAAATTTTCTAATAACAGCAACTCCACCATTATCCTCTGTATTGGGACATGATGGATACAAGATTAAACAGGTTAATATATTTGGAGAATATTGCCCTTATTTGTGCCTTGATAAATGGATATAAAGTAGTACCCGGCAACTACCAAAGGAAGATTTTTGTGGTAAGTTTCAACAGCACATGGATTATTGCCTGGCTCCGGCCCTCAAGAATACAGAGGATTTCCTCCAAAGCTCAACAGCATCATATGTGAAATATTATTAATATCTGTGGAGAAAAGAAACATTTGTTTTTGGGGGATTGCCTAGAACTATTCCCTTCAAATTTGCAGTCTCTACAAATTTAGTATTTTTCAAACTACTTTATGTATAGTTAGTTTTAACATAATCCCCGTAAGAAAAAAGAAAGTGATTAATTTGCTACTGACAAGAGTTCACATTCTTTTTGTTTTTTCTCAGAGGATGCATCTGCTTTCTATTCTGAACATGGTTCTACTTACAATCTAATTTCCCTACCCTACACTGCTCTATTCTTTTCTAAGTCTGAGTCTGCATTTTAGGCCAATCATCAATAGTACAGGAAGAGAAGACTTAGAAATTGAAGGCTACAGATATACATACTAGTCTCATTATATATATGTGTGTGTGCATGTGTGTGTGAGTGTGTGTGTATACATATATACATATGTATATCAGGATAGGTGCTTCATGTTTTTTAAGCATGCAATTCTATGGTTTAGGCTTTTCCTAATAATTTCCTGAGATAGCTATGAATTACTGTCTCCATATGAAGTGTGATATTTGTCATCTAATGACAAATGGTTGAATTATTTAAGCACTATTGTTCAAACTTTGCCCCTTTCACTTGGTCTTGGATTGTATTTTACTCAGATGCATGAATGAAGACTTTGAAGAAAAAAAAAAACTTTCAAGCTGTGTTATGTTTAACTACCCAAATGTCAATGTGAATAGTTATTAAATGAAGATCTATAATAAACGATATGCCATTTAAAGAAATATAACCTATGTTAAAACTAAATTCAAGTTAAGATTCCATCTTCATGTTAACTTAGTGAGTTTAAGTTATCTTGCAATGTTATCCTATTCCCTAGAAAACCACTAAGGATGCTATTCATATCATATTCAATAATATGTATATTCTATCATAAATTGGAGTTAGAAGGCTTGGGGAGGTTTAACTCTCGGAAGCAGCTCTATTTTTGAGGTTAGTGCATTTGGTTGAAGACTCTAGTTTCTCTTTCTTCTCTTTATAAATCAAATCTTTAATAAGGAACTTAGCAACCTATTTTTTTTTTACTGTTTAGCATAGAAAACCTTAATGAAAAGATTAGTACAAAAGATGAATCATCATACCTCAGAACAGAATCATAAACCTAAGAATTACAAAGAGCAAAATCAATTTAGACTCATTTTTAACTGATGGTTTCTGAATGTTATTTTCATCTATTGTATTTATTCTGAACATTTATCTATTATATTTCTAGAATCATTGGTAACATTTTAAATATACAACATTGAACCTACATTAACATAAGTATGTAATATGTCTTAACAAAATGCTATTGGAAACTTTCATACATCATATAACACAATCTTAATGTCAGCATCTAACAACGGAACTGAAGTTTCAGAGAGATGATTCAACTCTGCTAATGTCACATAGCTGATAAACCTCAGGTTAGAATTTTAAATCCAGGATTTCTAACTTCAAGACCAGCATTCACCCAATTCTGTTATGTTTGAATTTTACAATATTATGACATATCTCTTTATATTATACTTTATTTTTATTATGCTTTGAAGATATTGCATTTTTTAATAAATTGAAGTTTTATGGCAACGCTGGGTTGAGCAAACCTATCAGTGCCATTTTTCCAACAGCATGTGCTCAAATCATGTGTCTGGCACATTTGAGTAATCTTCACTGTATTTCAATTTTTTTATTATTATTAAATCTGTTATGGTGATCTTTGATTAGTAGTCTTAGATGTTACTATTGTAATTGTTTGGGGGCACCAGGAACCACATACATGTATGTTGGAAGACTTAGTCAACAAATGTTTAGTGGTTGGTGTTGTGACCACTACCAATCAGTGCTTTTCCTGTCCCTCTCTTATCCTTTCCAGGCTATTTTCTGAGACACAATATTATTAAAATTAGGCCTACTAATAATGCTACAATAGACCCCAAGTGTTCAACTGAAAGACAGAGTCAAATATCTCTCACTTTAAATCAAAATTTAGAAATAATTACACTTAGTGAGGAAGACATGTCAAAAGCTGAGATTGCCCAAAAGCCAGGCCTCTTGTGTCAAGTAGCTGAGTTGTGAATGCAAAAGAAAAGCTCTTCAATGAAATTAAAAGTGATATTTCAGTGAGCATATGAGTAATAAAAGAGTGAAACAGCTTCATTACTGATATAAAGAAAGTTTGAGTGGTCTGGATAGATCCAAGCAGCCACGACATTCCCTTATGCTAAAGCCTAATCCAGAGCAAGGTCCTTACTCTCTTCAGTTCTATGAAGGCTGAGAGATGTGGAAGCTGCAGAAGGAAAAGTGTGAAACTGGCAGAGATTGGTTCATGAGTTTAAGGCAGAAAGGTGTCTCCATAACATAAAAGTAAAAGGTGGGCCGGGCGCGGTGGCTCACGCCTGTAATCCCAGCACTTTGGGAGGCCGAGGCGGGCGGATCACGAGGTCAGGAGATCGAGACCATCCTGGCTAACACGGTGAAACCCCGGCTCTACTAAAAATACAAAAAAAAAAAAAATTAGCCGGGCGTGGTAGCGGGCGCCTGTAGTCCCAACTACTCGGGAGGCTGAGGCAGGAGAATGGCGTGAACCCGGGAGGCGGAGTTTGCAGTGAGCCAAGACAGCGCCACTGCACTCCAGCCTGGGCGAAAGAGCGAGACTCCGCCTCAAAAAAAAAAAAAAAGTAAAAGGTGAAGAAGCAAGTGCTGATGTAGAAGCGGCAGAAGCAAGTGCTGATGTAGAAGCGGCAGAAGCTATCCAGAAATCCAGTTAAGATCATTGACGAAGGTGGCTACACTACATAGCAGATTTTTAATGTAGATAAAACAGTCTTATATTGTAAGAAGATGCAATCTAGGACTTTCAAAGCTAGAGAGGAGAAATTAATAGCTAGCTTCAAAACTGATTCTCTTGTAAGGTGCTAATGAGCTGGGGACTCTAAGTGGAAGCCAATGCTAATTTACCAATCTGAAAATCCTAAGGCTCTTAAGAATTTTGCTCACTCTACTCTGTCTGTGCTCTAGAAATGGAACAACAAAGCCTGACTAGATAGTACGGGCATTTACAGCATGTATTTTAAGCCCATGTTTGAGAACTACTGCTTATAAAAATAAAAAGATTCTGGCCAAGTGCAGTGGCTCACGCCTGTAATTCCAGCATGGGAAGCCAAAGTTGGTGGACCACTTGAGGTCAAGAGTTTGAGACCAGCCTGGCCAACATGGTGAAACTCCATCTCTACTAAAAATACAAAAATTACCTGGGCATGGTGGCATGCGCCTGTAATCCCAGCTACACAGGAGGCTGAGGCAGGAGAATTGCTTGAACCTGGGAGGTGAAAGTTGCAGTGAGCCAAGATTGTGCCACTGTACTCCAGCCTGAGTGACAGAGTGAGACTCCATCTCAAAACAAGCAAGCATTCTTTTCAAAATATTACTGCTCCTTGACAATAAACCTGGTCACCCAAGAGCTGTGATAGAAATGTGCAAGGAGAATACTGTTGTTTTCATGCCTGCTAATACAACATCCATTCTGCAGTCTATGGATTAAGGAATAATTTAAACTTTCAATTCTTCTTATTTAAGAACTGCATTTCATGAGACTATAGCTGCCAGAGATAGGAATTTATCTGATGGATCTGGGCAAAATCAATTGAAAACCTTCAGGAAAGTATTCACCACTCTAAATGCCATTAATGATATTTATGATTCATGAAAAGAAGTCAAAATATCAACATGAACAAGAGTTTGGAAGAAGTTGATTCTAACCCTCATGGATGACTTTAATGGGTTTAAAACTTCAATACAGAAAGCAACTGCAAATGTGTTGGAAATAGCAAGAGAACTAGAATTAGGAGTGGAGCCGCAAGATATGACTGAATTGCTGTAATCTCATGATAAAATTTGAACAAATGAGGACTTGCTTCTCATGATTGAGAAAAGCAAGTGGTTTCTGAGATGAAATCCGCTCCTGGTGAAGACACTGTGAATATTGCTGAAATGACAACAAAGGATTTAGGATATTCCATAAATTTAGCTGCTAAATCAGGCAGATCTGAGAGTATTGACTTCAATTTTGAGAAAAGTTCTACTGTGGGCAAAATGATCTCAGACAGCATCATAAGCTACAGATAGACTTTTCATGAAAGGAAGAGTTCAATGATGTGGCAAACTTCATTGTCGTCATATTTTAAGTCATTGCCACTGCCACCCCAACCTTCAACAATCACCTCTCTGATCAGTCTGCAACCATTAACCTGGAGGCAAAGCCTGCTACCAGCAAAAAAAAAAAAAAAACAAAAAACAAAAAACAAACAAAAAAAAAAAAACAACAACTAAGACTCACTGAAGGCTGAGATGAAAATAAGCAATTTTTAGCAATCAAGTATTTTTAAAATTGTGATACATTCCTGTTTTATTAGACATAAATGTATGTACACTTAATATACTGAAGTATAGTGTAAACAACTTTTATAAGCATTGGGAAATCAAAACATTTATGTGACTTGCTTTTATGAAACATTTGCTTTCTTGTGATAGTCTGGACCAAACCCACAATATCTCTGGGGTATGCATGTATAAGATTTAATTGAATTTTGAAAAAAAAATAAAACTGGTATATTCTTCATTAGTCTTGGTAGTCTCTCTCAATGACTAAAACCAATTATCCGTATTGTTATTTAGCTCCCCAAGGGAAGAGACCATTGTTTTTTTTCTCTCTGTATATTCTCAGAATCTAATACAGTGTCCTGCATGATTAGGCATGGGTAACTGTTGACTCAAATGGACAGAGACAATTCTTCAAACCAAGTGTATGACAAACTTCTAATTGTTGTCCCAACAGGCATATCTAATAAGTCTAATTTTTCCAGAAATAGAAGTCCTTATTCATTCTATTTCAATTTCCTGTTTCTGTTTCATTTTAATATATCCGTTTTTTTTCTCTTTTTAAATCATCTCACCCAGGATATGCTTCAGCCAAATATATTGGGCTTACTCTAAGAAATAGTAACACGTCATGAAATTTTTCTTGTGAGTTATAATTTCATATTTCTTTCTTTACAGATAGAGGTCAAATTAAAAAATATTAATAAAGCTATAGTAAGACTTGTGACAGTCTGATAAGTAATGAAGAATGTTTATTCTTTGTCCTATATTCTATGTACTATAGTGTTGTATGTAGTAGAGTCTATGAGATGGAAAATTAGAAAACTAAATCTCAAAATAACTTTACAGAAAAAAAATCTAAGGGAATCAACTGACAAGATAATCTTTAATTTTACAAAATATATTCATTATATAAATTCCCCATAGCATTACTTTTCATTATACTCTTAAAACACTAAGAAGCTTTTAGGACAGATGAGTCTAACATTCATCTGAAGATACCATAGATCCTGATAATTATAAAATAATTCATTTCATGCATAAACTGCTAAATGTAAGTGCCTTCTACTTTGTTTGAGAAAACAGGAAGATTCTTTCTGATGGTATTTGAGGAGATTAGATTTTTCTATAAATTCAGATGAATTAGATACATTCTTAAAAGTAGCTTATTCACAACACTTTTGTCCCACAGTTGATAACCATAAAAACATAATTGCATCTGTTTATCTAAATACATATAGGAAATACATATGCTACTGAGTTGTTGACATTATCAGATAAATCATAGCATCCTAATCAAATAAAGACCAGATATATATGTTGGCAACAGCTAGGCTTCCTAAAAGACTATCTGCAAATATTTATTGACCCTTTCTATATAGCAGATACCTTTGAAGATCATAGAGGGATGTAGCAGAAAACTAAACAGGCAAAAATATTTCTGTTCCTTATGGAGCTTACATCAAACTAAAGAGATATATACAATATAAAATTATGTATTTCCACATGTGATGAATTTTGCAAGGGAAAAGCATGTTGTGTAGTAAAAGTGTATATAAAAAGAGCTTAAACTTGACTGGAGAGTCTCATTTAATTTAAAGGAAATGTTAATGATAATTCAGATTTAAAGTACAAGAAGTTTCTTCTCAAGATTTAAAGTACATGTTTCTTCAAGGGTCATCCTGAGTACTGCTAGAATGAATATTTCTTTTTTGTTTGGAAGTTATTTGAGGGATATTGTCTCACATCCCTGACAAATATTTAGATACCTGTTTTTAAAAATAAAATGCATAATATCACATGTTGGAAATTATAAAAATGACTTTCAAATCCCTCTCTTCTTTCCATAGGAAAATAAATACGAGCCTCAGCATGTCGATTCTGTACAGATTTGCAAGTGTAGACCAAGGACTATTAGCACAAATGACAAGAAATATCTAAGAAAATCTCATGAATGTTCATTAAGAAACATGGTCACATAGGTCTTCTCATCTTTTGAATAAATAAAGCATATGAAAAACTGATATGTCAGCCACACGAGTCAACAACACTCTAACCAGAAAAACTGTATATAGCCTTCGCATGTACTGATTACACAAAACAAATACTACCAAAATTTGCATGTGACTAGTATGTAAACATTTTATCGGTTTTTCTTTTCCAAATGACATAATTACATTGTATTTTGAAACCAGATTAAAGTATATTACCCATGATGGTATCTTTGCAAAAACAGTTGTCTTAAATTGGATTCTGAGATAGAGAGTTGTGTGTAGGTCTGTAGGGAGTGTTCTTGGGAAATACAGGAAGGTGGGACTGGGGAGGGGTGGGTCCAGCTAACTCCAATCTTGATGCCACAAAAGCATCAACTGATCCCTAGAGGAGCTCTGGAGATGTCTCAAATTGAGGAAAAGAGACACAGCCATTATATCTCCATGTCAGCCAGGCTTTGGCTCCTGAAAGGGGTCATAATCTTGCATGATTCCCAGTGAGGGGTCTCAAATGGGAGACGTCAGCCATTTATGAACATTCCTAGCAGCTGGAGGATGGATGCTGATCCCTACAGAGGGGATTTGGTGGAGCACTACATTGTTCTCTATAATCATACACCATTATGAAATATATAATCTAATTTAGAGGAAATTCTGTCACTTCAAATGCAAATTCATTGCACATATCAACTTTTTTTAATCTTCAAAGTGCATGTCTCATTTACTTAGATTTCTACCATAAAAAGATTTGTCTAAAAATGTTAACTATTAAACACTCTCACCTATTAGTAATAAAACAACTTAGGAAATTAATAATTAAGAAATAAAACAGATGCTAAATGGACAAAACAGATAGCATAATAACAAAAATGTAAAGGAGCAGACAATTTCATAAAGTGCTTTCACTTAATAAAATATTATTTCATTTGGTACTCAAACAAAATACAGAATTTATATAGTAATTTCCATTTTGATAATGAAGACATTGAAGCACAAGAAGATAAGGCAACTTAACCAAGGTAAGTGACAGGAACTTGAATTAAACCATCTATTTTGATATCAGATAACCATGGGAAGTAATAATTCCTTTGATACATAGTATTGAGGCAGAGGCAGGGCCAGTTGTATCAGGAGCCAAATCTCTAAGTTTCTAGGTAGTGTGTTTCAACCTGTTGAATGTGAACACATTTTTAATGAATGCATATTCAGCTTAAATGTGAAAACCATAAAATCTAAGTCTATCAATATTTTTTAAAATGTCTTAAATATCAACTAGATAATATTAAAATTTCACATTAAGGTAAGTTTGATTTTTTTCAAAATCAATAAATTTTTCAGTCCCAAATTCTTAAAGACAGTTATGTCCAGTTAGCAGTAAGTTGATTATTATCATAGACTTCAAAATGCTAACAACTACTATAAGTATCTACTAGGTAACACTGGCTGTTATAGGCATTGGAAAAACAGCGATTAAAAAAAGGAGTACCAATTTCTCTTATAGAATTTATATCCTAGTGATAAAAATAGAAATGGAGAAGCTAGCTCATGTGATTATTTGAGATGGTAGAAAGGGCTTTGAAACAGGAGTCCCCAAACCCTTCTGTCCATTACTGGCCCGTATCCTGTTAGGAACCGGGCCACACAGTAGGAGGTGAGCAGTGGGCAAGAGAGCATTACCATCTGAGCTCCACCTGCTGTCAGATCAGCAGCAGCATTAGATTCTCATAAGAGCAGGAACCCTATTGTGAACTGGGCATGCGAGGGATGTAGGTTGTGCGCCTCTTATGAGAATCTAATGCCTGATGATCTGAGGTAGAACAGTTTCATCCCCAAACCACCCCCCTCGCCAAAATTATCTTCCATGAAACTGGTTCCTGATGCCAAAAAGTTTGGGGACCCCTGCTTTGAAGGACAAAAAATGACAAAATAGAGTAGGTTGAGGAAGTGCTTTATTTTCCCTCTGAAAAGTAAATAGTTCAATTGGACCCAAGTGATGAGAATTTGCTGACCATTCAGAGTTCTAGGGGAAGAATATTCTAGACAGAACAAGCAAGTACAAATTCTTTATATGGGGATGAAGTTGATGTTCTAGGAAAGTTTGATTGAATGGTTGCAGCCTTTAATGAGAGGCTGGTGCTGGAGATGTAGCTTGGGAAGTAAACAAAGGCCAAATCAGGTTGAGTCTTGTGGACCGTTTGAGAAAAAGAGTTCGTTTTGTATTCCAATTCCAATGAGAAGCCATTGGACTTAAGCACGGAAATAATATAATTTGATAATTCTCTTTGAAATATTACTTTACTTGCTTATTGGAGACTGTGTTAAGGGAGTGCAAAACTTTTTGATGTACTGATTACGTGAAACCTAAAGTCTTTTGTCAATGATGTATTTGATTAACATTTATTTTCTGATACATTGATCAAATTTATACAAAGCAAAATAAAATTAGCATATAAACACATAAACTTATCCATTCTACCACAACTCAAATTAGAACAAAGTTAGAGTTATGAATTTTTGATTATTGTCTCTGTCTTCATTAAATGAAAACATACTCTGTGGAACTTCTACTGGAGAAGAGTTCCACATTGCCTATATCTTACGTACATGGAGTTTCATGGGAAATTTTATGGTATATTTATGGCCAATATATAAACAGGGAAAAATTGTTTGCCAAAATGTACTAATAACTTTCAAATTTCACAACAAATATTATTAACAAACTGCAAAGCACCAGGACATGTGGTGAGACTCAGATATATTAAGGTTAGTAGATTCTTGCTATTGTTTTAACTTGCAGAATTCATCTATAAATTTTATATTGCAAGATTATTCTGTAAGAATTTATGTGCTTTTAAATTTTTCATTTTGTGCACTGACATTAAGTTCTATGATTTCAAAATGCAGATTTGTTCACTTAGTATATAGTACCTACTTGAAAGATAATAGTATTCAATTAATAATTGGTAAATGAATGAAAAAAATGAATAAAATGAAAGTGTGGCCTAATGGGATAATGGTATTTTTCTTTAATCAACATATCTCAAAATCAGATTACATTTATTACATCAATCTTGTATGCTAGGCTTTAAGCCTATCTTGGAGAGATAGTGTCCATATAAGAAAGTTCATCCTCAGAGAAATTGGTATAACTATTCTGTATAAACTTGATAATTTAGATTTTGCCACATAATACACCCTTCTTTGGGGAAATTTACAGTACAATTTGGCTACGACATTTATTTTTTAATCTGTAATTCCCAAAACATAGCTCAATGAGATTATTTCTTAGTTTAACACTTTCCCACTATGATATTTTTCTTTGTTTCTCATCCATTTTCATTAGATTTTGTTCAATACTTTTTCTTGAAACGAATTTAGTTTAAATCAAAATATTTTTCCTATGTTAAAACACTATTATTCACCAGAGCTTTTGGTCAAGATATGATAAACCAACATAAGTATACTGATTTATAGAATTCCAATTAAAAACAACCTTGATATTATGGTTATTTTACATCAGTTTAAAATGTCAGATACATTTGCATTCTTTTCAGAATATTGAAAAGTGTATAGAGTTTCTTATCTTTACCTTAGAGAACTTCTTTGAGGGTCATATTGAGAAGAACACCTTTCAAAGTTAAATTTAGTAATTAATATCACACTGTACACTCTGGAGGGGTGGAGACTGCATTTTCTTGGGTTAGCAGCACACTTAATAAAAGCCAAATTATAAATATTTTAGGCTTCATAGGCCAAGAAGCAAAGTCAAGAATATTATGCAGGTTCTTGTATAACAAAAGAGAAATAGATTTTGACAATATTCTTATTGATGACACTCAAAATATAACAACAACAATAATGCATGAGTACAATTTTTTTTTGTAAGACAGGTCAACTAATGAGAATGAAGGTTTTTTGAGATGATCTTTTCATTAGCTGGGGTTCAAAGTTAGTGTTCTCTATTACCAAATGATTACAAATGTTTGTTTGTAAAAAACTTCTTAGCTTGTGGATCATGCAAAAACAGAGACTGAAACGGCATAAGCTGTGGTTTGCCACTTTCTGATACATAGGATCAAGAGCAGATAGATGCAGGTAGACCAATCTCTCATCATTACTATTGCTACATCGTACAAGTTATTGCATGTTTTATCTTTACTATTCAGTTCAAAATATTTTGTAAATTCTGATGTGATTCCTTCTTTAATCCATGGAGGTTTTTATAAAGTGTATTACTTATTTTTTAATTTTAGAATTAACTTATTATTCCGTGTGATTTCATTGACATGACATAAAATAATATTCATTAAAACTCTCATCCAATTAACTTCTTCACTGTCTTCAAGATTCTTTGTTATCAATTTTAGGAAGTATGACTTCTGCTTTTTAAACTAATTTTTAAGATACAATCAAACTCATTTTAATGAACCATGGGAGTGCAAGTATCTCTTTGAGATCCAGTTTTCAATTATTTTGGTAAATACCCAGAAGTGGAATTGCTGGATCTTAAGGTTGTTCTCCCCTTAATTGTTTGAGGACCACTCATACTGCTTTTCTTAGCAACTGAAACATTTTACATTTTCAACAACAGCACACAAGGATCCCCATTCCTTTACATTCTTGCCAACACTTGTTCTTTTATATTTTTTGGTAGCAGGTGTGCGGTAATATCTCACTGTGGTTTTGATTTGGATTTTCCTGATGATCAGTGATGTTGAGCACCTTTGTGCTCTCATGTTCATTGCAACATTGCTCACAATAGCCATTATCCACTTTTTTCCAAAATTTTTCTTAATTTCACTGAAATTCATTATTTTTAAGTATGAGTTTTTAAAATATAATCCCCATCTGCCTTAGTCTTATATTCCAACTTTCTTGATTATATTAGGAAAACAACAACAAAAAAATAGTATTTGTTAGCAACAATCGCCTCTTACACATAGTTCAGAGCATGCCTTTTCCTAGCACATAATTGTCATTCACTAGTTTTCCATATGTTGGCATAGGACTTTGCTTACAAGTGTTACACAGGGACTCAGACTTACAGAGCAACAACTATCTGTGTAATTTTTCAATAGGGCACACAGTTATTTAAATCTTATATCTCATTTATAAAATGGAGGATTGCAATTAGATCATGTGTAAACATTTGATCCCCAAGAAATTAATTACTAAATTAATGTCATAAATTACCTGGTCTCAGGTAGTTCTTCTTAAATTCTCATTTCATGCACTGACATTAAGTTCTATGAATTCAAAATGTGGTGTGAAAACAGACTAATACAGAAAATTGGTACTGGAAGTGGGGCTCTGCTATGAAGATAACTGAAAATGTGGAGGCAACTTTGGAACTGGGTAACAGGTAGAGATTGGAACAATTTGGTAGGGCTCAGGAGAAGACAGAAAGATGCAGGAAAGTTTGAAACTTTCTAGAGACTTCTTGAATGGTTTTGACCAAAATGCTGATAGTAATATGGAAAATGAAGTTCAGGCTAAGGTGGTCTCAGATGCAGAGGAAGAACTTACTAGGAACTGGAGTAAAGGTCACTCTTGCTACACTTTAGCAGGGAGACTGGTGGCATTGTGCCCCTGCCCTAAAGATCTGTAGAACTTTGAACTTGAGAGACATAATTTAGGATATCTGGTGGAAGAAATTTCTAAGTAGCAAAGTGTTGAAGAGGTGGCCTGGCTGTTCGTAAAATTCTGTGCTCATTACCATTAGCAAAGGCAACCTATATTTACAAATTAAGCAGAGCATAAAAGTTTGGGAAATTTGCAGCCTGATTTTGTCGTAGAGAAGAAAAACCCATTTTCTGTGGAGAAATTCAAGCCAGCTACAGAAATTTTCTTTTTTCGGTTTTTTTTTGTTGTTGTTCTTTTTTTTTTTTAATTATACTTTAAGTTTTAGGGTACATGTGCACAATGTGCAGGTTAGTTACATATGTGTACATGTGTAAAGAGGAGCCAAATGTTAACAGTCAAAACAATGGAAAAAATGCCTGCAGGGCATTTCAGAGACTTCACAGCAGTCCCTCCCATCACAGGCCCAGAGGACCAGCTGGGAAATACGGTTTCATGGGCCAGGCCTAGGGCCCTGCTGCTCTGTGCAGCTTTGAGACACGGTGCCTTGCATCCCAGCCGCTCTAGCTCCAGCCGTACTAAAAGGGGCCGAGATAAATCTCGGGCCTCTTGCTTCAGAGGTTGCAAGCCCTAAGCCTTGGTGGCTTCCACACAGTGTTGGTCCTGTGAATGCACAGAAGAGAAGAGTTGAGCTTTGTGATCATCCGTATACATTTCAGAGGATGTATGGAAACCCCAGAATGTCCAGGCAGAAATGTGCTGCAGGGGCAGAGCCCTCATGGAGAACCTCTATTAGGGGAATACAAAGGAGAAATGTGGGGCAGCCACACTGATGTACTGCCTAGTGGAGCTGTGAAAAGACAGCCACCATCCTCCAGACCCCAGAATGGTAGATCGACCAACAGCTTCCCATGCGCCTGGAAAAGCAGTAGGCACTCAATGCCAGCCCATGAAAGCAGCTGTGGGGAACGTATCATGCAGAGGCATGGAAAAGAACTGCCCAAGGCCTTGGGAACCCACCCCTTGCATCAGCGTGACCTGGATGTGATGTGAGACATCGAGTCAAAGAAGATTATTTTTGGAGCTTGAAGACTTAATAACTGCTCTGCTGGGTTTTGGACTTGCATGGGGCCTGTAGCCCCTTTGTTTTGGCTGATTTCTCCCTTTTGGAATGGGATTACTTACCCAATGCCTGTACCTCCATTGTAACGTGGAAGTAATTCACTTGCCTTGGATTTTACAGGCTTATAGGCAGAAGGGATTTGCCTTGTCTTAGATGAGACTTTGGACTTGAACTTTTGAGTTAATGCTGGAATGAGTTAAGCCTTTGCGGGACTGTTGAGAAGGTATGATTTTTTTTTTTGGAATTTGAGAAGGACATGAGATTTGGGAGGGGCCAAGGCAGAATTACATGGTTTGGCTCTGTGTTCCCACCCAAATCTCGTGTTGAACTGTAATCCCCAATTGTCAGGGAAGGGAGCTGTTGGGAGGTGATTGGCTCATGGTGGTGGATTTCCCTCTATCTGTTCTTGTGATAGTGAGTTAGTTCTCATAAGATCTGGTTGTTTAAATGTGTGCAGCACAGCCGCCTTTGCTCTTTCTCTCTCTTTCTCCTGTTCCACCACTGTAACACATGCTTACTTCCCCTTCGCCTTCCGTCATGATTGTAAGTTTTTTGACTCCTCCCAGTCATAATTCCTGTTAAGCCTGTGGAACTGTGAATCAATTAAACCTCTTTTCTTTATAAATTAACTAGTCTCAAATAGTTCTTTATAGCAGTGTGACAACAAATTAATACATCAGTCTACCACTGATGGACATTTAGATTGATTCCATGTTTTGCTATTGTGAGCAGTGTTGCGATGAACATACATGTGCATGAGTCTTTATGATATAATGATTAACATTCCTCTGGGTATATACCCAGTAAAGGGATTGCTGCCTCGAATAGTAGTTCTGTCTTTAGCAATTTGAGTAATCATCACACTGTTTTCCACAACTGTTGAACTAATTTACACTCCCAACAACAGTGTATAAGCATTCCCTTTTCTCTGCAACCTCTTTAGCACTGGTTACTTTTTTACCTTTTAGTAACAGAAGATTAAAATTGGACCCCTTCCTTTAACCATATACAAAAATAAACTCAATATAGATTAAAGACTTAAATGTAAAACCCAAAACTATAAAACCCCTGCAAGACAACATAGGCAATACCGTTCTGGACATAGGAAGTGGCAAAGATTTTGACAAAAACACCAAAAGCAATTGCAACAAAACCAAAAATTGACAGTTGGGATTGGATTATATTAAAGAGTTTCTGCAAAGCAAAAGAAACTATTAACAGAGTAAAAAGACAAACTACAGAATGGGAGAAAATATTTGAAACTATGCATCTGACACAGGTCTACTATGCAGCATCTATAAGAATCTTAAACAAATTTACAAGAACAGAACTTATTTTTAACTTCTTACCAGATGTTATGTTAGCAAAGTTAAAGCATGTTCAACAACCAAGTCTATACTACTATATAGAACATACTACTGATCTGAATTTCCCTTTTCAGTTAATGGTATCACCATGCACCAAAACAAACTGTTCAAATACTATGAATTGTATTAGGATTCATTCTCAAATGAAAAGAGTATGACCTTGGAATCAAACACACCTGGCTTCAAATAGGGCATCTCCATTTCCTTGCCATTTGAGCTTTGGCAAATTAAATAACCTGCAAGAGTTCTATTCTTTTCTATTTGTAAAATAGAAATAAATATGTGTATCACACAATGCTATTACCAGGATTAAATGCCATAGCATATGAAAAACACCTGGCAGAGTGCTGGGCATATAAAACATATATGCTTCATAAATAAACACCAACTCGTTTTTTTTTTTCTCTCATTTCAGATAGATTAACAGATCCTTTTGATCTGTGACTGAAATATTCTATGAGTCTTTTCTTTCTTTCCAGTCTCTTGGAATAATAATTATCAATTATTTTCTCATAATTTTTTTCCAGAACAGATCAGTATCTCTTCCCTAGTTCTCTTTTAGTAATCTCTCTTATCCAATCCATTCTCTAAATTTCTACAAAATAGCTTTCTAAAACATAGGTCTGATCCTGTTGTTCACTTTTAGTACTTTATATTTTTTCTTTGTAAGTATGTATGTAAGTTAATATAAGTGTATCACAAGTGGTACAAGTATCCTTCTGCAACTTTTAACCTTGCATCTTTGGGGTACATACCTTCTTATGTACACAAAACTCTCATTTATTAATAGTTATGTTCATAGCACATTTCAAAAATATGCAACAAGGTATTTCTCTTTTTCTGTTGGTAAATATTTGTGTGCTTTGACCATTCTAGTACATTTTTTCATATATATATGTATAATTATATAGATACACAAAGTTTTATAGACATGAAAGTTTTATGTATGTATGTGTATATTATATATATATATATATATGTATATAAAACTTTGTAATCACCACCCAGAACAAGGTATAGAATAGTTCCAATATTGCAGAAGGCCACTATTAACCCATCCCCTGAGATAACAATTCTGATTTCTATCGCTATATATTTATGTTCTTGAACTGCACAGATATCAATTCACTCTTTTGGATCTAGCCTCTTTTCCTAAATATTGTGTCCATAAGACTCATCTATGTTCTGCACATAAGTTCCCCCACCCCATTATATAAATGAGATACTCAAGAGCAGTAAAGGGAGAATGAAATATAATTTATGTCATTTTCAAAACATATTTATCCATTATACTCTTGAGGTACATTTTTATTACTTCCAGTTTCATGCTATTAAGAATAAAAACTTTATGAAATGAACATTTACACTACTTTCTTTTCAGATTTTACCTAAGGGTGAAATTGCTATATCATAAAATAAGTACATGTTTAATAGATACTCTCTATACCAGCTTTTTCAAAGTGAGCTACTCATCTATATACTTAGCAGAAATTTATGACAGTTTCAGTTGTTTCACAGCCTCAGAAATACTTGATATTCTGGTTGCCATTCTGCTAAGTCTATGGTGATATCACATTATGGTCGCACTTTCCATTTCACTGATAACTAACATTTTAAAGTATCTTTTCATATATGATTATTAGCATTTGAATATCCTTCTTTCAAAAGTGGCTTTTCAGTATTTTACCCATAATTTTATTAGGTCTTTTTAATTATAAGGCTTTTTATATAGTCCAGAATGAATCATTCACTGAATATATATTTTGCTAATATATTCACTAAATCTGTGGCTTATTTTCTCCTCTTAATGTATATTTTATAAACTTATTTAGTTTTAAATTTTCATGAAGTACAAAAACAGTCATTAGATGTTTTTGTTATTAGTGGTGTTATACTGCTTAATACATTAAGTTCAAAAAATTTTTTTTTCCTTTTTTAAGTTTAATTGTTTTAGATTTTGCATTTATTTCTATGATATGATGCATCTGGAATTAATTTCTGTATATGGTGTGATGTAGGGTCAAGGACCATTTTTTCCATATGGTTATTTAATTCACCCACCATCATTTATTGAAAAAACAATCATTTTCCCCACTGAATTGTGGAAGTGGCCTTGTCATAAATCAGGTTACTGTATATATTTGTGTCTGTTCTGAAATCTGTATTCCCTGCCGTTGAAATATTTCTTTATCTTTGTACCATATCACAATGTATAAACTGCTGTATTTTAAAAATAAGTTTCATAACTGGAGGTGTAAATAGTCCAGTTTGTACCTTTTGAGATTGCCTTCCTGTTATAGATTCTAGGTCTTTTGAATTTTAACATACATATTGAAACTAGTTTGCCAATATGTTTTTAAAATCCGCTGGAGTTATATTGGAATATCATTTAAGTTAAAATAGAATTTGATGACAATTGACATCTTAATAATTTAGACTTCCAATCTAAAGACATTGCTATACGTTTACTTAAGTCACTTAATTTATTAGTTTTCTCTGTGGAAATTTTATGCATCTTTTGTTAAAATTATTCCTTGTTAATTATAGATTATTGATGTGAATGTAAATGGCATTGTTTTTGCCTTAATATTCTCATTTTTTTTCCTAGTTACATAGGAATATAATTGATTTTTCTACATTGGTATACATAGAGCTATCTAGTGAAATTTTCTTATTAATTGCAGTAATTTATCTGATAATTCATTCAGATATTTTTATACAATCATATGCTTTTTAAAAATAATGGCAGTTTTACTTTTCCATCCCAATGTTCATAATTTCTATTACTTTTTCTTGCCTTATTGCACTGGATAGAACTCCTAAGGCAATTGTAATCATTGCTATTTCATCTCAAACTGACATACAAAGCATTTGATTGATTATAATTTTTCCCTGGCTGTCTTTACTACTTATCATATTAATGGCTTTTTATTTCTTTTTAATTGATAAATGTATCATAAATGCATTTTGAGTTTTATTAAATGGTTGTTTATAGTCTACTGATAAGATTGTGTTGCCTGTCTTTATTCTTTTTAATATAGTAATAACTGCCAGGTGTGGTGGCTTACGCCTGTAATCCCATCACTTTGTGAGGTAAGGTAGGCGGATCACATGAGGTCAGGAGTTCGAGACCAGCATGGCCAACATGGTGAAACCCTGTCTCTAGTAAAAATACAAAAATTAGCCGGGCAGGGTGCGGTGTGCCTGTAATTCCAGCTCAGGATGCTGAGACAGGAGAATCACTTGAACCTGGGAGGTGGAGGTTGCAGTGAGCTGAGATCATACCACTGCATTCCAGCCTGGGTGACAGAGTGAGATTCCGTCTCAAAATAATAATAAATAATATAGTTAATAACATCAATGTTAAGCCAAACTTTTCATATATCACTAGGTTCAATTTACTGATATTTTGTTCAGGAGTTTTGCCTAATAGATATTGATTTATATTTGATTTTCTTGAATTGTCCTACCACGCATTGCTATCAAAATCTGAAGTCTTCATAAAAGTAAATGGGAAGATTTTTATTTGTTCCTATTCTCTAAAATAATTTTTATGTTTTGTTTTTTAATATTTGGTGGAATATGGATAAATTCCACCTGTGGGTAGAATTTTTCTTGGAAGATATTTTTATTATGAATTAATTTTAGACACATAGGACTCTGTAGTTCCTCCCCTTCTGTTTTTATCAATTTGTTTTTTTAAGAAATACTTCTGTAAGAGGAAATAAATTCTTTCCATAATAATTTATTCCTCTTGTCCAGCTATAATTTTGTTTCCTTCACCTAAATATTAGATTTCTTAGACCAAATTATTTATTATTTATAATATTGTATCTTCTTAGGATGTTTTATTTATTTATTTAATGGATACAGTCACGTGGCCCTTAACAATCATTATACATTCTGAGAGAAATGCATTGTTATGTGATTTTGTCATTGTGTGGATATCACAGATTGCCATACAAAAACCTAGGGGATATAGCCTCCTATACACCTATGTTACAGGTACAGCCTATTGCTCCTAGGCTAAAAACTTGTGCAGCATGTTATTGTACTGAATACAGTCGACAATTGTAACACAATGTTAACTATAAGTGTATCTAAACATACTTAAACATAGAAAAGGTATAGTAAAAATATAGTATTATAATTTTATGGGACCATGTTGTATATGTGGCCCATAGTTGATAGAAACATTGTTAAGTGGCCATGACTGTTCTTATTTTTTATTTATTTACTAACTTTACCAATTAACTTTGGACATGAATAATTATAACTTAATCAATTATTTTATGAGTATGGAGGCAATAGTACAATAAATGTGGTCTTTTTCTCATATAAAAATTGTTATATTTATCATGTACAACATGATTTGACATACATACATTGTGAAGTTGCTCATTTGAACTAATTAACATAGTGTTATCTCAAATTATTCCTCCTATTTAACTAAGATTTTGTATCCTTTGACCAGTGCCCCTGCCAAATCCCTGATATGGGGATCCCCAAATCCCTGACAGCCTCTAGTACCTAGCATTCTACTCTTCACTTCTGTGTACAGCTTTTTTAGATTCCACATATAAGTGGGATCGTGAGGTATTTGTCTTTTTCTGCCTGGATTACTGCACTTACTGTAATGTCCTCCAGGTTCATCCATGCTGTTGCAAATGACAAGAATGCCTTTTTTAAGGTGGAATAATATTTTATTGTGTATAATATCCATTCATTCATTCATTCATGGACACTTAGGTTGATTTCATATCTTGGCTCTTGTGAATAGTGCTGCAATAAACATGGAAGTGCAGATGTTTCCTCAAGATGCTGATTTCATTTCCTTTGGACATATACCCAGTAGTGTGATGGCTGGATCCTATGGTAGTTCTGCTTTTAATTTACAAGGAATCTCTATACTGTTTTTCGTAATAGCTGAACCAAGATATATTCCCATCAGCATTGCATGAGTGTTTCCCTTTCTTCACATCCTTACCAACATTTGTTATTTTCCATATTTTTATAATAGCCATTATAATTAAGATGATATAGTGAAATCAGGTTGTGGTTTTAATTTGCATATTTCTGATGACTAGTGATATTAAGCTCCTTTGTCATATACCAGTTGGTCATTGTATGCATTCCTTAGAGAAATGCCTATTCAGACCCATTGCCCATTTTAAAATTGTGTTATGTGTATTCTTGATAATGAGTTGTTTGAGTTTCTCATGTATTTTGGATATTAAACCCTTATTGGATATGTGAATTGTAAATATTTTCTCCCATGTGATAGGTTGTCTTTTCACTCTGCTGATTATTAAACCCTTATTGGATGTGTGATTTGTAAATATTTTCTCCCATATGATAGGCTGTCTTTTCACTCTGCTGATTGTTTACTTTTCTATGCAAAAGGTTTTTCGTTTGACATAATCTCATTTCCCTGATCATTAGTGATGTAGAGCATTTTTAAAATGTTTTTTGGCCATTTATATATCTTCTTTTGAGAATTGTCTATTCATGTCCTTAGCCCATTTATAATGGGATTGTTTGTTTCTTTCTTTGTAATTTGTGTGAGTTAATTGTAGATTCTGGATATTAGTCCTTTGTCAGATGTATAGATTGTGAAGATTTTCTCCCACTCTGTGAGTTGTCTGTTTACTCTGTGGACTGTTCCTTTAGTCATGCAAAAGCTCTTTAGTTTAATTAAGTCCCAGCTATTACTCTTTATTTTTTGTTTGTTTGTTTTGTTTTATTTATTTATTTATTTTTGAGACCGAGTCTTTCTCTGTGCCCGGGCTGGAGTGCAGTGGCGCGATCTCAACTCACTGCAAGCTCCACCCACCAGGTTCATGCCATTCTCCTGTCTCAGCCTCCCGAGTAGCTGGGACTACAGGCACCCACCACCATGCCCAGCTAATTTTTTGTATTTTTAGTAGAGATGGAGTTTCACTGTGTTAGCCAGGAGGGTCTCAATCTCCTGACCTCGTGATCCACCCACCTCAGCTTCCCAAAGTGCTGGGATTACAGGCATGAGCCACTGCGTCCGGCCTACTCTTTGTTTCTATAACATTTGCTTTGGGATTCTTGGTCATGAAATCCTTGCCTAAGCCAATGTCTAGAAGGGTTTTCCTATGTTATCTTCTATAATTTTTGTAATTTCAGGTCTTAGATTTGAGTCCTTGATCCATCTTGAGTTGATTTTTGTATAGATGAGAGATGAGGATCTAGTTTTAATCTCCTACATGTGGCTTGCCAATTACCCTGGCATCAGTTGTTGAATAGGGTATTCTTTCCCCACTTTATGTTTTTGTTTGCTTTATTGAAGATCAGTTGCTTTATTGAAGATCAAGAGCAATAAAGTTGTTTGCTTTATTGAAGATCAGTTGGTTTATTGAAGATCA
The DNA here is from genome assembly GCF_000001405.40 of Homo sapiens. NCBI lineage: Eukaryota > Metazoa > Chordata > Mammalia > Primates > Hominidae > Homo > Homo sapiens. Next base: position 77,434,552 of record NC_000008.11, read on the forward strand.
GTAAGTATTTGGGTTTATTTCTGGGTTTTCTATTGATTTCTGGGCCTATTTTTATACCAGTACGATGCTGTTTTGGTGACTATGGCTTTATATTATAGTTTGAAGTTGGGTAATGTGATGCCTCCAGATTTGTTCTTTTTGCTTAGTCTAGCTTTGGCTATGTAGGCTGTTTTTTGGTTCCATATCAATTTTAGGATTTTTTTTTCTAACTGTGAAGAATTATGGTGGTGTTTTGATGGAATTTGCATTGAATTTGTAGATTGCTTTTGGCAGTATGGTGATTTTCACAATATTGATTCTACCCATCCATGAGCATGGGATGTGTTTCCATTTGTTTGTGTCATCTATGATTTCTTTTAGCAGTGTGTTGTAAGTTTCCTTGTAGAGATCCTTCAGCTCATTGGTTAGATATATTCCTAAGTTTTGTTTTTTTTTTTTTTTTAGCTATTGTAAAAGGGGTTGAGTTCTTGTTTTGATTCTCAGCTTGGTTACTGTTGGTTTATAAAAGAGCTACTGATCTGTGTACACTAAATTTGTATCTGGAAACTTTGCTGAATTTTTTTTATCAGTTCTAAGAGCTTTCTGGAGGAGTCTTTAGGGTTTTCTAGGTAAATGATCATATCATCAGCAAACAGCAACAGTTTAACTTCCTCTTTACCAATTTGGATGCCCTTTATTTGTTTCTCTTTTCTGATTGCTCTGACTAGGACTTCCAGGACCATGTTGAAGAGGAGTGGTGAGAGTGGGCATCCTTGCCTTGTTCCAGTTCTCAGAGGGAATGCTTTCAACTTTTCCCCATTCAGTATTATGTTGGTTATGGGTTTGTCATAGATGACTTTTATTATTTTGAGGTATGGCCCTTGTATCCCAATTTTGCTGAGAGTTTTAATCATAAAGAGATGTTAGATTTTGTCGAATGCTTCTTCATCATCTATTGAGATGGTTGTGTGATTTTTGTTATTAATTCTGTTTATGTGTTCTATCACATTTATTGACTCATGTATGTCAAACCATCCTTGCATCATTGGTATGAAACCCACTTGATCATAGTGAATTATCCTTTTTGATATGTTGTTGGATTCGGTTAGCTAGTATTTTCTTAAGGATTTTAGCATCTATGTTCATCAGGGATATTGGTCTGTAGTTATTTATTTATTTATTTATTTGGTTGTGTCCTTTCCTGGTTTGGGTATTAGGGCAATAGCTTCATAGAATAATTTAGGGAGGGTTCTCTCTTTCTCTATCTTGTGGAATACTGTCAATAGCATTGGTACCAATTCTTTTTCAAATGTCTGGTAGAATTCTGCTGAGAATCCTTCTGCTCCTGGACTTTGTTTGTTGGTAATTTTTAAATTTCCTTTTCAATATAGCTGCTTGTTATTGGTTGGTCTGCTCAGGGTATCTAATTCTTCCTATCTTAAGCTAGGAGGGTTGTATCTTTCCAGGAATTTATCCATCTCCTCTTGGTTTTTTAACTTATGCACATAAAGGTGTTCATAGTAGCCTTGAGTAATCTTTTGTATTTCTGTGGTGTCAATTGTAATATCTCGTTTCATTTCTAATTGAGCTTATTTAAATTTTCTCTCTTCTTTTCTTGGTTAATCTTACTAATGGTCTATCAATTTTATTTATCTTTTCAAAGAACCAGCTTTTTGTGTTTCATTTGTCTTTTGTATTGTTTTGTTTGTTTATTTCAGTTTCAATTAGTTCTGCTCTGGTTTTGGTTATTTCCTTTCTTCTGCTGGGTTTGGGTTTTGTTTGTTCTTGTTTCTCTTGTTCCTTCAGGTGTGACCTTAGATTGTCTGTTTGTGCTCTTTCAGTCTTTTTAATGTAGGCATTTAGGGCTACGAACTTTCCTCTTAGCACCACCTTTGCTGTACCCCAGAGGTTTTGATAGGTTGTGTCACTATTGTTGTTTAGTTCAAAAATTTTTTAAATTTTAATCTTCATTTCATTTTTGACCCAATGATCATTCAGGAGCAGGTTATTTAATTTCCATGTATTTGCATGATTTTGAAGTTTTTTTAAAAATTTTTTTGAGTTGGTTTCCAGTTTTATTCCACTGTGGTCCAAGAGAGTGCTCAATGTAATTTCAATTTTGTTAAATTTATTGAGGCTCGTTTTGTGGCCTGTCATAGGATCTATCTTGGAGAAATTTCCATGCACTGTCAAATAGAAAGCTTATTCTGTGGTTGTTGGGTAGAATGTTCTGTAAATATCTGTTAAGTCCATTTGTTCCAGGGTATAGTTTAAATCCATTGTTCTTTGTTGACTTCCTGTCTTGATGACCTGCGTAGTGCTGTCAGTGGAGTATTGGAGGCCCTCACTATTATTGTGGTGGTGTTTATCTCATTTCTTAGGACTATTAGTAATTGTTTTATAAATTTGGGAGCTCCAGTGTTAGGTGCATATGTATTTAGAATTGTGATATTTTCCTGTTGGACAAAGCCTTTTATCATTATATAATGTCCCGCTTTGTCTTTTTAACTATTGTAACTTTAAAGTTTGTTTTTTCTGATATAAGAATAGCTACTGCTGCTATTTGTTGCCTGTATACTTTGGCCTTTTCTTTTCTTTTTTTGGATTTTTGTTTTATAGGTCCTGTGAGATTTATGTTTTAAAGAGGTTCTGTTTAGATGTGTTTCTAGGATTTGTTTCAAGATTTAGAGCTCCATTTAGCAGTTCTTGTAGTGCTGGCTTGGTAGTGAGGAATTCTCTTAGCATTTGTTTGTCTGAAAAAGACTATCTTTCCTTCATTTATAAAGCTTCATTTTTCTGGATACAAAATTTTTGGCTGATAATTGTTTTGTTTGAGAAGGTTGAAGATAGGGCCCCAATCCCTTTCAGCTTGTAGGGTTTCTTCTGAGAAATCTGCTGTTAATCTGACAGTTTTGTTTTTTTTTAAATAGGTTACCTGCTGCTTTTGCCTCACAGCTCTTAGGATTCTTTCCTTCATCTTAACTTTAGATAACCTGATGACAATGTGTCTAGGTGATGATCTTTTTGCAATGAATTTCCCAGGTATTTTTTGAGCTTCTTGTATTTGGATATCTAGGTCTCTAGCAAGGCTAGGGAAGTTTTCCTTGATTATTTCCCAAATATGTTTTTCAAACTTTTAGATTTCTCTTCTTCCTCGGGAACATTGATTATTCTTTGGTTTGGTCTTTTAACATACTACTAGGCTTCTTGGAGGCTTTGTTCATATTTTCTTATTCTTTTTTCTTTGTCTTTGTTTAATTGGGTTAATTTAAAAACCTTGTCTTTGAGGTCTGAATTTTATTCTTCTGCTTGTTCAATTCTATTGGTGAGATTTTCCAGAGCATTTTACATTTATATAAGTGCATCCATTGTTTCCTGAAGTTTTGATTGTTTTTTTATTTATGCTACCTATTTCACTGAAGATTTCTCCCTTCACTTCTTGTATCATTTTGTTTTTTAAATTTCCTTAAATTGGGCTTCACTTTTCTCTGGTGCCTCCTTGATTAGCTTAATAATTAACCTTCTAAATTATTTCTCTGGTTAATCAGGGATTTCTTTTTGGTTTTTACCCATTGCTGGTGAGCTAATGTGATGTTCTGGAGGTTAAAAAACTTTGTTTTATCACTTTACCAGAGTTAGGTTTCTGGTTCCTTCTCATTTGGATAGGCTCTGTCAGAGGGAAGGTCAAGGGCTCAAGGCTTTTGTTCAGATTTTTTGGCCCATGAGGTGTTCCCTTGATGTACTACTCTCCCCCTTTTCCTAGGGATGTGGATTCATGAGAGTCAAGCTGTAGTGATTGTTATCTCTCTTCTGAATGTAGCCACCCAGCAACTCTACCAGGCCCCAGGCTGGCACTGGGGGTAGTCTGCACAGAGTCCTGTGATGTGAACCATCTGCGGTCTCTCAGCCATGGATACCAGCACAGTATTCAGTGTGTCTCCCAGGTCCTGCAGGAGCAATCCAGTTCCTTCAGAGGATCTGTGGGTTCCCTCGGTTTTCCTAATGTATTCCTGAAGTCGTTCCGGAGCAAAAGTTCTAAAATCTGTTTTAAAAGCGTGTTCTTCTGATGTGATTTTGTTGTCTATGGGGATATCATTTTGTCCTCGTTCTCTTTTATCTTATAATAACTTTGAGATTTAACCATTATGCATTTATTTGGTTCATTTTTAATAAAAGTAAGTGTTTCTAAACTTTTAAAACTTGATGGAGTTCAGTATGAACTTCACAGTTATCTTTATTCTCTTCTTGTTTGTATAGTGCTCAAATATATATTGACTTGATTTCTTAAATCTTCTCTCTCTGAACTCTCCTCATTTCATTTTTCTCTCTTAATTTTCTCTATTGGCCTATCTTGCTCAATTTTTTAACAGTTGTATGACAGTATAAGTGACATACAATAAACAGCATAGAGTTCAGTTGTATAAACTTGTAAGTTTTGACATATATATATATGTATATATACCTGTGAAACCATCATTGAACCAAGAGTTTCCTTGTGATATTTCATAATTCCTACCTGATGTTTCTTCCCATGCCTTTGACTATGCCTATACAACCGCTGATCTGCTTTGTGTTACTAGAGATTAATGTGATTTTTTTTTAATTTTATATAAATAAAATCATATAGTATGTACTTTTTTGTATGGCTTATTTTTTCCACATAACCTCTTGAGATTTATTTACATTATATCATGTATCACTATTTCATTCTGTATTATTGTGGATTAGTGTGGAATTAAAATACCAGTTTCTTTATCCATTCATCTGTTAATGGCCCCTTAGGTGTAGTTTCAGGCTGTTGTAATAAATATGCTCTGAACATTTGAGCACAAGTCTTTGCATAGTTGATAGTTTCATTATATCTTGGGTAAATAACTAGGCACAGAATAACTGAGTTGTATGGCAGGTGTATATTTAACTTAAATAAAAAAACCTGCTAAACTCTTTCACAAAGTGGTTGTACCATTTTTACAATAACATCAGCAGTATATGAGTGTTCTATTTCTTTCACATGTGCAACAGTACTTGGTATTAGGTAACTTTATAATTTTAGGTATTTTGATATGTGTGTAGTAGTAATTGTGTTTTTATTTTGCAATTCCCTACTGACTAGTGGTGTTAAGAATACTTAAATGTACTTACTAATCATCAGTATCTCTTTTATGGTAAAATGTATATTGAATTATTTTGTCTATTTTTATTGGGTTTGTATATTTATTACTTAACTGTCAAGAGTTTACATGTTCTGGATACAAATCCTTTTTATAATACATACTGTGCAAATATTTTTTCCTGCTCTGTGTCATGTCTTTTTATCTTGATATCAGTGTCTTTTGAGAGCAGAACTTCTTAATTTTGATAAACTCCAGTATATTACTTTTTTCTTTTATGCCTTATGCTTCTGGAAAACCAAATTCATAAATTTTTTTTCTAGGTGTTTCATAGTTTTAGGTTTCATCTTTAGGTCTATTTTTATTTAAACTAATTTTTGCATGTGATGTGAGAGGTTTCTTACTTAATGGATAACCACTTGTTCCAGCATCATGTTAAAGACAATTTTAATGTTAAAGAAATTTTAATTTTCTTTAACATTAGTCATTGAATTGTCCTTGCAATTTTCTCAAAAACAATTGAACGTATATATATGCACACACACACACACACACACACACACACACACACATACATATGTTCATGTGCACTGATCCATTGTCTATGTCTTTAGTCCAATATTATAATGTTTTATATTATAATTTTAATGTTAAAGAAATTTTAATTTTCTTCATCGAATTGCCCTTGCAATTTTCTTAAAACCAATTGATCATATATATATATATTTATATACACACACACACATATGTTCATGTGCATTGATCCATTGTCTATGTCTTTAGTCCAATATTATGTTTCTATTACTGCAGTTTTATAATTCTTTATGTTTGTCTTTAGTCCAATATTACAATGTTTTCATTACTGCAGTTTTATAATTCTTTACATTTTATTTTGAAACATAATAATTGTACATATTTATAGGATAATGTTTTAATACATGTACACATTGTGTTATGATTAAATCAGGGTAATTAGCTGATGTATCACCTAAAACATTTATGGCTTTTTATGATGAAAACATAAAAAACCCTCTTTTCTTTTTAATATAGTTATTTTAAAATGTAATTATATTGTTAACTATAGTTATACTATTGTAAAATATAACACTGAACTGATTCCTCTAACCTATCTGTAATTATGTTCCTGTTGACCAGTTTACTCTCCTGCCCTCTTCTCCTCTAACCTTCTGAACTCCTGGTAACTATCAATCTATTCTCTCCTTCCATGAGATCAGCTTTTAAAAATTATGCAAATGAGTGAGATCATGCAATGTTTGTCTTTCTGTATCTGACATTTCATTTAACATAATTTTCTCCAGTTTCATACATGTCGTGGCAAATGAAAACAGAATTTCATTCTGTTTTCTGGCTGAGTAGTATTCCATTATCTCTGTGTACGTGTGTGTGTGCGTGTGTGTGTGTGTAATTTTCTTTCTTTATTAATCAGTAATAGTGATGCAATAAACATGAGAATGCAGATATCTCTTGAACATACTGATTTATTTCCTTTAGATATATACCTGGCAATAGGATTTCTGGATCCTACAATGGTTTCATTTTTAATTATTTTAGGAACATCTGCAACCCTTTCTATAATGCCTGTTCTAATGTACATTTTCATCAAGAGTGCATATCTTTCTATATATCCTTACTGACACTTGTTATTTTTTGTCTTTTTGATAATAGTAATTTTAACATATTAGATGATATCTCACTTTGGGTTTAATTTGCATTTCCCTGATTATTGATGGTGTTGAACATATTTTCCTACATCTGTTGGCCATTTGTATGTCACCTTTTGAGAAATGTCTCTTCAGATATTTTCTTTATTTTTTTAAAATTGGGTTGTTCATTTACTGTTGAGTTGCTTGAGTTCCTTATACATTTTGGATATTGACCACTTTTCAGATATATTGACCACTTTTCAGATGCATAGTTAGCAAATACTTTCCCTCATACTGTAGATTGTCTCTTTATTGAATGTTTCTTTTGCTGTGTGCAGAAGCTTTTTAGTTTGATGTAATCCCATTTGTCTATTTTTGCTTCTGTTTTTTTTTTTTTTGTGATTTTGAGGTCTTATTAAAAAATTTCTTGCCCAGTCTAATTTCATGAAACACTTCCCCTATGTGGTCTTCTAGTAGTTTCATAGTTCTGGGTCTTATATTTAAGTCTTAAATCGTTGATCTTTGTATAAAATGAGAAACAGGAATCTAGTTTTATCCTCCTACATGTGAATATCCAGTTTGCCCAGACTTATTTATAAGAGAGGCTGTCCTTTCCCCCATGTATGTTTATGGCACCTTTGTGAAAATTCAGTTGGCTGTAAATGCACAGATTTATTTCCAGCTTCTCTGTTTTGTTCTATTAGTCTGCATGCCTGATTTTATGCCAGTGACATGCAGTTTTGATTGCTATAGCTTTTTCACGTATTTTGACATCAAGTAGTATGATTCCTCCACCTTTATTCTTTATGCTCTAAACTGCTTTGGCAATCTGCGGCCTTTGTATTTCCATATGAATTTTAAGTGTTTTCTTTTTCTATTATTTTCAAATGTTAAACTAAGCTTGCACTACTGGAGTAAATCCAACTTGGTATTAATGTGCAATCACTTTATACAAATAAGTTGCCAACATTTTGTTAGAAGTTTTTGTGTCAAATTTCATGGGGAACAGTGGTCTGTGGTTTTCTGTATTTGTAATATTATCAGTTTGGTATCAGGTTAATGCTGGCCTCAAAAATATAAATTATGAAGTATTTCTCCTTCAGTTTTTCTGGAAGAGTTTTCTAGAATTGATATAGTTTCATTTTTAATTAAGAACATTTTATTCAGGAAGCCACTTATAAGGTCTTTTGCTGGTTTGTTTGACAAATGTTTCAACAATTTCATTTAATAGATACATATAAGGCTGTATAGGTTATCTATATTTTCTTGAAGGAATTTTGGTAGTGCATGTCTTTCAACAAATTTTCTTATTTCTTCTAAATTTTTGAATTTATTGGCACAACATTTTCTATACTAATTTCTTATTTTCCTTTAAGTAACTGTAAACTCTCCATAGGTGTCACTTTTAAGATTCATGGTATGGGTAATTTATCTTCTCTCTTTTTTTCTTATCAGTCTGGCTAGAGGTTTGTTAATTTTATTGATCTCAAATAGTTGTATTTCATTTTTATTGATTTTTCTCTCTTGTTTTTACTTTCTAGTTTGTTGATATCTGTTCTGCTTTTATTATCTTCTTTCTTCCAATTATTTATACCTGTGTTTACTCTTGTTTTTCTAGTTCTTAAGATGGAAAATGAGGTAACTGATCTGAGAACATTTTTTTTCTAACATAGCTATTTAGTTCTATAAATCTCCCTCTAAATTCGACTATAATATTATCCCCCAAATTTTGACATGTGTTTGCACTTTTATTGAGGACAAAATGCTTTTAAATTTTTATGCTTCTTTCTTGAATGAATGGAATGAAGAGAGAATGAAATAAAAAAAATTATATATTTAGAAATATATTTATGTAGGTATACACCTATGGTATATATATGTATGTACATACACCTACCTATATATTTAGGAAGGTATATATACACCTACATAAATGTATGTATGTGTATACCTATATATATATATATACCATAAATGTATATATCTCCATATAGGTAGATGCATATATATGCAGATGTGTGTATGTATATAGGTAGATATATATGTAAATAGGTAGATATATATGTAGATATGTATATATACCTACATTACCCATCTACATACCTACATACATACCTATATATTTATGCCTACTATATATAAATATATATACACCTACATAAATGGATACATATATATGCCTTCATAAATACACACACACACACACACACTCATACATAAATGGATATATAGGTAAGTATACAGAATTATAGCGCATATTTATGGTATATATATGTATATATACACATTTATGTGTGGGTATATATATATGTATATATACACATTTATGTGTGGGTATATATATATGTATATACACACATTTATGTGTGTATATATATATAAACTGTTATTTTAGTTTTGAATCAAAATAAAATAATTCACCAATTATTTTATTTTGACTCAAAAGTAAAATAGCAGTTCATATAAAAATTGTTACCAGCTGTAAAGAAACCACTTGACAAATAATGCTTCTCTCATCAAATTTAATAATTTTTAAATTAACCTAGAATTCTAGGTATTCATCATGCTGGCATAATGTTTTGAATTACATATACACAGTGGAATGGTTAAATCTAAGTATATTACCAAAGGGATTACTTCTCATAATTATCATCTTTGTAGTGAGAATACAGTATTCATTCTCTTAACATTTTTCAAGAACTCAATATATTGTCATTAACTGTAGTCACCATGCTCTACAATCTGTCCCTTGAACTTTTTTCCTCCTATGTAAGTGTGATCACGTGTCCTTTGACCAATGCTTCTGAATAGCACTAGATATTTGTAGGAGTTTCTACTTTAATTCTAGAAATGCTGGACTTCTCTCCTAGCTCCCTGTTCCAGAGTGGCTAAATAATAACAGCAAAATTTCAGTTGAAAACTCTTTGCCAAAAATCTGTGTATTCCTGATGGGCAGAGATGTGTTCATCTTTGATTTCCACTATACCTATTTCAGTATATTTAACTCTATTTTTGAAATTAGTTACGATTTTGAAGTTGTTAAACAATTATTTTGGGAAATAATAGAAATGTCTTAAAAGGCATTTAATATGTGCAGATTATTGTGTTAAATTATTTGACAATATTATTTTATTTAATCTACACAGTGACATCATTGTGTCAGTTTAATCCTTATTTTCAGGTGAGAAATTTGAAGTTTAATTAACTCATCCTAGTTCACAAGAACTTGTACATTTTGAAGCTAGTACTATAGCTAAGCAGGATAGATTCAGAGCTTGCACACCAATGCTGTGTTTTACTCTCTCCCCAAAAGACAACATATTGTGTGTTTTGTTCATTTGAAATCAAATCATAAATTACATACCTAATTTTTGCTATATCCCAGGAGTTAAATTAGAAAATATATCAGTGGGAGAGAATGCATTTTTGCGTTAGAAGTTGCTTGTAGGCCCAAAGTGGATTTCCACCTCAACATGGCATTTTCTGTTCTCTTCCCAGTAGCAGTAAACAAGTTATTTCTTGCCTCCTGCTGTTATTAACCCATCCTTCAGTGTAGCTGAATGTCTACCTGGTTTAGAGTGTATGTCTCCCTCTCTTTTGTTTTCTTCTGTGCTATGCCTCTTTCTGTGCTCCAGTTCCCCAACTCCGATAGCCCCAGCAAAAAGCCCTCATCTCCTTCTAGTTACCTTGACCATGAACTTATTTATTGCCAGATATAGTGCTTTGCCTGCCAAATGACTGCTTCAGAAAATTAGATTGATTCACTCCCAAAGAAGAAAATCTAGCCAAAAATTCTGTCACTTCCATTCTTTCCCAATTTAAAGATAGCGCTGAGATTTTACAGCTCATTCAGTACAGACTAGAGACTATTCCTCAGAAGAGGAAAGTGACCTGCTATTTAAGGGCATGCACACAGACAGTGGCAGCCCAGCATCTGAACCTATGGCTCTTTGTTCAACTTGAACAGATTAATAGTAAGTCATAAAATATATGATTTTATATTATTTTTACTCCACATACTAGAAATAATAGTTTATTTATCTGTGCAAATGTACATTTTAAATAAGGACCTTCTAAAAAACAGCAACCCAAGTAAACATAAAAAGGTATACCATATTTTCACAATTCAAAGATGATCTTTTTTTCAACATTTTAATATTTTTGAGGCTTACTATAGTAAATATGTTTACTACTATTGCATTTTTGTTTATTTGTTTTTTCTTAAATAAATAAATTAAGTGTGCCTGTCCAGAAAATGAGTGTCTATGAATTTGTCTGGATATTTACCTTTGTAACATCATAGACTGCAGACTCATTATCCAACTTACACTTTTAGTACATGATAAAACCATTTTATATTGACAGTCTTTGGTTGTAGCAAGACACAGATAAGTTTAGAATAAAAATCATTCTCTTTTCTCAAATGGTAAAAACCTTTGCTTTTAAAATGACTTATTTACAGTAGTACCATATAACATTAATTGTGTTAATGGTCTTTCTATTTTAACTAATTGTAATAATGACATTTTGAGTAAAAATGATATATTTTTATTACAGTCATTTAAAAATTGTATATGAAGTTATGTTTCTTTGAGCAAAATACTGATAATTTTTGGTATGTATATTTCATTGACACAGATAAAGTAGGTTTAAAATGGACATAAATTACTCAGAACATTTTAATTCAGTTTTTCATTCAAAGATTTGGAGACTTCTTTTTAGCCTTTAACATGGAAATGTAAAGATTCTTAGGATAACTGGGTCAGTTACACATGATGTCATGAGGAGTTTGACTTAATTATACTTGTTTAACTTACCTCACTCTTCCTATATAGGCCCTTGTCTCAGAGCTTTGTCACTTTCACAAAAAACTTCCTACATTGTCTATGAAAATTATATTTAGGCTTAATTTTGCAACTACATAAACTCATTCTGTCGTGGTAGGCCCTAAATTGTGGGTCCTTAAATTTGGTTCATGTGATTTTATTCGCTTTGTTTTTAGTATTTGGTATGAAATTGGCAATAGAGAATAAATTGTATGCACTTGCATTATCTCTTCTATATGCTAGCTTTCTGTTGAGGTTTGAAGACTTTAGCCTGATAAATTGAAAGTAAAAAAAATTTCTGTAGTAAACGTGTCAAAAAGTTACAGCTTATATTTCCTTATAAGTGAAAATAGAAACTTTCCATGCTGAAAAAGTGCCATGAATCAGAAATTGCAAATTTGTGGTTTCTCTCTATTAAGAGAGCCAGAAATTCAATATACATGAACATTATAGTCCCACCATCTATTTCAAAAAGAGAAGAATAAAGAATAATCATCCTGGAAGGTATGTTAGAAAATGCATCATGTGTCTCATATAATCTGGCTTAAATTTCAAGATGGCCAGGAATATGAATATTTTAAAATTAAGTCCTAAAACTTAAAGTATAATAATAATAATAATAAAAACAATAAAAAATTTAAATTTGTAATGCTTTCCACGTAGTTAATTTTTAAAAATCTACCATGCCAAGGACTTACATAATATGTTAAACCACATTGTTTCATGTGTATTGTTTCAAGTGTATTGTTACATACTGTTTTTTTTTTTTTTTGCAAAATTTTAGCTGTTTCTCTAATGACTTTTTAAGCACTTAACGTAGTATTTTCCTAAACGACTACTCATCTCCATTTTCTCATTTTAGTATTTCAGTAGATCACAGGAACAAAATTTGAGTATTATTACAAGGAAACTCTGTTTAGAAGACTTTTTAGCTGATAATATTATGTATAGAACCAAAAACAAATATTGGAAAAAAGTTGTACACATGATGCTATTTTCATTGTTGTATAATATTAATAACCTCCAGCCTGGACTATAGGGCAAGACTCAGTATTTAAAAAAAGTCAAAATATTTTAGGCACTGTTGTTGGGTGTTTAAATCACAGACTATGAGAAGATTATATTGTCTTAGTCTCCAGACTATTAACAGTGCCTAACAAACACTCCCCATATGTTAGATGAAGATTGCCAAAATCAATTTGTTTGCCAAGCCCCATCAGTATAGATATTGCAATCAGGTCTTCAACTTATTTTTTTTTAATTTAAAACCTATGGAGCACTATGGAACTATTACATTAAACACACTGTGAAACATAAGAAGAAATGGAAAAATCAAGATCAAATCAACATCAATGAACTAGGTTTTGCTCACTTTGCTTCGTAGATGACTATACTAGATTAATAAGACCCGTCAGGTCTTCCTGTACACATCACATGCTGTCTAAATCTACCCTTAGCCTAGTGACAGATCTTCCAAAAAAACTGTAAATAAATAAATACAATTCCCCTTGCACTTCAAAAACCAGTCATTCTGTTTCATTCTATTTCTGCATGTCTGGAAATTCTATGAGGACTCAGAGTTTTCTCTCACTGACAATATTTTACCTTCATTATCTCAAAATGCTTCTCTAAATCTTGGTACCCTTTCCACACAAAAGGGATCTAATAATTAACCAACTATATAATTTTATATTCCAAGCAAGGCACTGTCAATAATTAATAAGTACACCACAATAACAGGCATAACAATATTTTTTTACTGGGAAAATAATGTCTTATTTTTATCCCAGCAATAAAGGTTATTATAAGGTATAAATAAAATAACCACCCTCTCAACTGCATATCACCTGATATCCTTTGTTTATGCAAAAGTCATCTATACAAAATTGCTTAACATTCCTACTAATTAGTATAGCACTGTCTTTATCTCACTCAAAGTTTCTCAATAGAAACATTTGGTGTTTGTCATTTTATAAATATTTTCATCTTTCTGAACTTTTTAGAAAAATCATTTAATTTTAATTGACATGGTTATATATATTTATTATGTGCAACAGAAAGTTCTGACATACAATGGCATCACATACTAATCATTTTGTGGTGAGAACAGTCAAAATCCACGGTCTTAGTAATCTTCAAGAATACAAGACGTTGGAATTGACTATATTCACCTTTTTTTTTTTTTTTTACAATAGATCCCTTGACCTTAAAATCTTTCACATATTAACAAAAAACATTTTGAAAAGAATTTAATAAAATAGGCCTTTTAATTCCTTGGGTTTTTGAAAAGTGCTAAACAAGAATTCGTGCAGAGGGGAATTGTGGAACATTAAAACAAAAAATCTCAAAAACACACCACGATAAAATTGCTAGTAGGGACCAGTTTAGTGAATATCTGCAAGGGAAACAATTCACTGCTTGAGAAAAAGATTTTTTTTTTTTTTTTTACTAAGTCAATTTAATCACACTATGGAAACAAAAGGACTACTTTGTTTTTTTCACTTTTATTTATGCTTCAGTTATAACAGCACTACATATAATTTTATTAGGCCAAGTTAATGGTATCTGGTACTGTTTAGTGCATAATCCTTGTACTCTGTAATGTTAACTGCATAACTTCTTGGGGTGAGACATATATCAGGTCAGAAGGCAAGACTTGGTTGTATTGAACCCACTAAACTGAAATTAATAGGTTTCGAGTTTTCAAGTTTTAGAATATATTTAATTTAATTAATTTAAGTTTAAATTGAGTTCATTTCTCAGCAAAATTTTTAAGAGTATAGTTAATTAGCTAAGGTCCAAATTTGTCAGTTGATTCTAATTTGATGAGGGATTTCTTCCAGGCTCTTAATTGCTATATTTGCCTTTTGAAAATTATAAATTCAAAGTCTGAAGAAAGCCACTAGCCAATTGAGTAAATGCTTTACAGAGAAAACATGTATTAACAAGAAATATTATTGGAACTGTGTGTGTTATTTTTAAAAAAATAAAAATTGTGTGTGATAACAGAACTGTAGTTATGTTTTTCAGATATCACTGGAAGTTCAGTAGGAAAAAGTCTCTGTTTATTGAAAAAGAAGACTTTCTATTGAATAAAAGTGTTACAAAATAGTGAACGTAATTCTTTATGAGAATGGGAAATTTAAAGGATACCTTTTCATTTCAATTCATAAAGTGCAACTACTATCAAAAATATGTTGCCTATGTAAATGTTCTTCCTGAAAGATACATGGCAGAAAGCCATTTTAAACAGTTTTTTCTGACATTTAGGGAAAATAGTGCTCTACTTAACAAAGTAGTACATCTAGCTGTTCCACTGTATTGTCTAAATTACCATTGTAAGACTAGAAAACTTTACAATTCTTTCCATGAAAATAAATATATACCTTTACATTTACATTTATCCAGAAATCCTGTTCATATTTCTATGGGGAAATTTTGGATGACGAACAATTTCCTTATTTTGATTATGTGAATTTGAAGTGAACTATGATGAATTTATTAATTACAAGCAATTTCTCAAGAAAATAAATCTTAAAACGAAGTATTGCCTTGTTCTGATATATTCATTATTATTAAAATTTTAGGTCGGGAGCCATGGCTCACTCCTGTAATCCCAGCTCTTTGGGTGGCCATGGCGGGTGGATCACTAGAGTCAGGAGTTCGAGAACAGTCTTGCCCACATGGTGAAATTCCATCTCTATTAAAAAAAATACAAAAATTAGCAAAGCGTGGTGGTGCACACCTGTAGTCCCAGCTACTTAAGAGGCTGAGGCAGAGAATTGCTTTAACCTGGGAGGCGGAGGTTGCAGTGAGTGGAGATCCTGCCACTGCACTTGAGCCTGGGTGACACAGCGAGATTCCAATTCAATAACCTGCACATGGTGCACATGTACCCTAAAACTTAAAGTATAATAATAATTTAAAAAATAGAGTAAAGGACCTGATGCCAAAGGCATCTGAGTTATTAAAGATTTGAGAATTCGAAGTTATTGTTGAAATGCAATGAGCTTGTGTATATTATTAGGTTCAAAGTTAAATAACTTTTTATTTAAGTATCATTATTTTATTTGTAGATACTTTTAAAACCCTTCTAATATAAATCTATGTATTATAGTGGTTGCTATTCAGAATTTTTAGTTAATTTTCCCCTGGTATATAAATTGTACTAATAATCTAAAAATACATTAATTGGCTCCTTAGCTATTTAAATTAAGATACGAAAGATAGTATATAATAATGATTAAGATTTTTAATTGTTAATTCAGACAATCTTAAAATCTAATTCCAACAAATTAGTATCTGTGTAAAGTGAGGCAAGTTGCTTAACCTTTCTGAATTTTAAGTTTCTTTATCAGTAAAATGGGGCTAATGATAATGCCCAACTCAAATGGTTTCTTTGAGAATTTAAAGAAAAAAAATGTACACTTCTTAGCCTAGTGTCTGACAGAAACAATTCTCATTATCTTTATGATGTTCAATTTCTTTCTTCTTCTTTTTTTTTTTCCTTGATATGTCACCCAGACTGTCCTCACACTGTCACCCAGGCTGGAGTGCACTGGCGCGATCTCGGCTCACTGCAACCTCTGCCTCCTGGGTTCAAGCGATTCTCCTGCCTTAGCCGTGATGTTCAGTTTCTAATACTGTAAGTGGTGTTCTAGGTTCTTCTTTCCTTCCTTCCTTGCTTTCTGGTAGGATTTCACCATTGCTATAATCAGATGACTCCACATGTTTTTCATTCTGATATATCTCTAAGCAGTCAGCTGTCCTGTGATTGCTTAAAGTTGGGTTGAAAACACCTAGACTTTTTAGTTCATGGGGTGAAGAGCTATGAGGAGACACATTTAGATGTAATGCCAAGGACCGTGCCTCTCTTAGAGATCTTGAACTTTGAGCTGGATACAGTGACTGGATGGGAATTAAGCTTCTATGTCTTAGGAAGAGGCTGGTTGCATTCTTTACACGGGAGAAATTTGAGACATTTCTGATAGTTGGTGGCCAAAAAGAGGAATGTGGCAGAGAATGATGACTTGTTTACTATGCCCATTTCCCTTTCTGTCTCATAGCCTCTCTTATAGATGGGAGTGGCCATGGACAGAATTTTGGCCCATTCAATCTGGGCTAAGTTATTCTTAGGCAGGACACTTCCAATTCTGACCCATAAATAATCTCCTCTCTCTCTTCCCAAACACTGACCTAACCTGTGGGTCCAGTGGGAATTAGAATCACTATTTGGAATGAAGCAGGTCAGTGAGTCACTACACAAAAAGAGAGTCTTCCAGAAGAACTGCCTATTCATGAGCATACATGTTGGGTGACTTTATTGTGTTAATCGCTGACATCTTGGGGTTGTTTGTTACAGCACTGTGACTAATACACATTCCAAATAGGGCAACATTTACTCTGTGGTCTATAGAATGAAAAGAATTATTCAAAAGATAGAAAAATAACATGTGTAGAAGCAGAATATATAGTTTAAGACAGAGGGAATAGCAAGTATACTAGGCAAGAGGAGATAGAGATAGAAAGAGATAGAGAACGGGAGAGAGAGAGAGAGAATGGCCTATTTCAGTAACTGCAATAAGCAGTCTCTCTATACCTATATTAAACTCCTTCCTACTTTCCTCTTGTTTACTGGAATCCAACCACAATCAGCACTCTCAGCCCCCCAAAGAAACCAATCTGTTTTCTGTTGCAGAACCTTCTCAAATGCTGTCTCTTCTGCCAGATATCTCTTCTCTTGAATGTTTGGCTAACTCCTATTTACCATATGTGTCTTAAATTAAATGATGCTCCAAGAAAAAATATTTTCTGAAAGTACAATCAAATTAGACCCTTGTTCTTAAATTCTTTCACAGTATCTTGTTATTTTCTTTTACAAGTCATCAAAATTTGTATTCATTAAATAATGTGTATATTAAATTTTAAGGTATCTGTCTCCTCTATCACACATTAAACTGAATGAAGGTTTATTTATCATTGAAAAATACTTGGAACATAACATGTACAGAAATATTTAGTGAATGGATTTATATGACATGAAAATAGAAAGTAAATAAGGGAGAGTTTTTATAACTTGTGTGTTTCCACTTTATCTTGGGGACAATTGAGTGTTCTGAGGGGTTTTAAGCCATGGGTTGATATAATCAGATTTGCCTTTCAGAAAGATTACTTCATTTGGAAAAAGATTGAGCAAGGTAGAGTAGTGTGGTGTTAGGCAAGTGTAGAGACAATTGTCTCTGTAATTTATGAGATAGATAAAGATAGTATTAATTAAAGAAGTATGAGTGAGACTCAAAAGCAAAGCATGGAACTGAAAGATGCTACAAATGCCAGCCAAATGGAGAAGACAGTGTAAGGTACTGATGAAACAAATGTTTGGGAGAAACACCCAACATTATTCTTGGCTACTTATAAGCTATGTAAATTTCATCAAATAGCTTAAATTTTCTGTAGTCTCAGTTTTGTCATCTAAATAAATATGTTTTCTTTGTCAGTTTTCAAACTTTTATGCCAGCAGTCAATTAATGAATAAAATTATCAGCAAAACTACATCTTCTTTGATTGAATCAGTGAGTGGAGGGTTCAAAGCCTCAAACCCCTAAAGTTCTGCTCTTGTCACTTTTCCTGAGAGCTCACATTGATCTCTGAAGAACTTTTGGGATTTGAGGGCCAAAATGTAAAAATAATTGTACTCCTGGAGATCTACATTTGGATGACATGGACATATCTCAAATTGAACTCTTAATCATACTTCAAATCAGTTTATCCACATATTGCCTCTTTTTTTCTAAGACTGTGCTTTTTCAGTTATCCTATTAATTTTTTATGCTTCATTTACCCACTATTTACTAATTGCTCTTAAATCTACTATCTCCTTCTCATATATTTCGTGTGTGGTCTAGCCATCACCATTAAGATGGCCCACTAGCTTGTCATACTTAGTAAGCCCCAAATTAAACTCCACATATAATCTCCATCTGCACAGCTGTTCCCCATCTTATATTCCGTCATCTGAATGATTTCCTTTAACAGCTATCCAGCTCCCTGTTTGAAAAACTCAGGAAAGTCCCAGACTCCTTTATCTCTTTTTATATCTCTTTTATTTATATTTAAGTGGTAAGACCCAACCTTATTCTTGCAAAAAATATCTAGATAGCAGTTACAATGATTCAACTCATCAATTAAGTAATCGTTAATACTGTGAAAATATATTAAACCAATCAATTAAATAATGAATCAATAAGAAGATAGGAAGACAAGGAGTATCTTGTAAATCCATTTTAAAGACTAGCAAAAAACGGCAAGAAAAATCAATCAATCAATAAGACCAAAGGTGAAAGAAAGCCTGAGAGAATGTTAGGCTGCAAAAGTCTGGAGAAGAGAAAGCAGTCAATGTAATATATTGCAGACAACGAGGCAGATAAGGACTGAAAGGGGAACACTAGCTTAGTAACAAAGAGGAGGTAGAATTTCCTAGTGAGAGAAGTTGCTAGAGTCCTGGGCATAGAACTCAGGTTTCATTGGGTTGAAAAGCAAGCAGGAGGTGAGAAATGATAGGCATTGATACCTCTCAGGAGCCTTGGCCATAGAAGCGAGGGTAGCAAGTTACAGTATTTCTGAGCCTCACTTTTCTCATCTGTTCAATTGTTGTGATAAATACCTTGTCTTCTGCACAGAGATTTTTGTAGGTTGGGAGGAAAGTGTGGGTGGCACTAGAAACTTTTCAAATCACTCTTAAATCCTTGAAAATAAGTACAATTTCTATGTTCAGTAACCAGCAGCTGATAATTGTCAGTTACTTATGTTATAATATCTATTTTAAATTTTAAAAACAGCGGTCTCCTTGAAGCCAGAGTATCTCTTATTCATTTTGGCATCTTCAGTCCCTAACGTAGTACCCAGTACATAGTAATAACATAATAAATATTGCTTTGTGTCCCCCAAACTGTATTTTGGCATGTAACTTAAATTCTATACAAGTAAGGGTACATGGCTTTAATTCCAAAAAAGATACAGAAGAAACAAAAATAAAAAAATAGAAGACATAAAACTGGATGCCATTCAAACCACAATCTAGTGTGTCTTTTCTTCTTTCTCCTTTTCACAGATAGAGAGAGGCTTAGTAGTTCACTAAACCCAAAACTGGTATATGATCTATCTAGTTTTTAGTTAATTAACATTTACTTTGGGTAAAGGTATCTACAGGAAGACACCATTAGACAGTTTCCTCAATCTACAAACCGATGATTATATCTGATGAACAAAAGACAGTGGTAGTTGTTTAAAGAAATATTCTAAAAACCCAGAATGATATTAGCACACTACTTGCTACATGCAGAATGAGATTAAAAACTCAGAACTAACCAGCTTCTGTGTAACAGCTCTAATAGAGTATAAAAAGTAATCAAATTTGGAACATATGCAAAATCCTTAGAGTTCACTAGTTTCAGACATAATAATACATGCCAGGTTATATTAATGAGAGATTAAGTATTGTGTACTTGGAATCTTTAAATTATCCTTTGCCTAATTTAGTTTATGTTTGAGTTCCATTCCCCTGCTCATATAATTTCCCTTGTGCTGTGTGGCACAGAATGGTCCAGGTAGATAGTATTTTATCCATCAGTAATATTGCATTAATCCAAAGGAAACCCATTTTATCCCTAGGGTAGTGAGTCAAGTTTAAGGGACCATTGTGCATTGCTCAAATTAAGAGAAATAAGAGAGGGACCATGGTACATAAAATTTGCTGAAGCCCTAAATGTTGATGGAAACAAAATACAATATAGCATTGTTATGAATCTGCACCAACAGACCTGGCATGACTCCTGAGTTCACAAATGGAACTTAGGTTTTTGCAACAATCTGCAAGGATTTTGTATTAAATTCTCACTTCAATGTTTATAGAGAAGCATATGAAATCAGAATAATTTCACCCCAAAATAGGTGAAAGACGTGTTTAGGCATAAAATGATGGGACATGTGTTCTACAAGGTTTAACAGAAAGTATGTGATTAACTTTTCACCAAGGCAATGGAATTTCAGTTTATATCTTTTATAAAAATAGTCCAAAATATTCTAAGTATTTATATTCAGTAACAGCTACTGGTGATGCTATGCTTTAGTTGTCTTTTGCCATTTCTCTGTCCCCATCTCATGGTTCGGGCTACTAATAGTCCACACTTCTACTCCTCTTTGGAAGAATTGCCCTCCTTCAAATGGAGTCACTTTCCATACATTTGCAGATAACTGGATGTGTCTGAGTTTTCATCTCTCCACTCAAGCTCACTTGCCTAAAGATGGGACAATGCACAATTCTTAGGGATAATTTGTACTTCACAGATTCCTTGTAAGATTAGGTTACAAGGAATGATTGGCCTAAAGTTACTTCCTTGCTTGTTTTTCTTTCTCTTTCTTTATTCTGATTCTCTTTATTTCTTACCAGTGTCTCCTGAAAACACTTCCTTAATTAGTAACTTTTATAAAAATTATCTCAGATCCATTTCCGGGGAATCCAACATGAGGAAGATAATGTGCAAAAACACTCCTGCATAATAATTAGTTTATTTTAGAGTTGTCCAATAAATAATCTGTTTGCTGAGAGAAAATGTCTATATTCAGTGAATTCATTAAAAATACATTTATTGTATACATGTGCCACATTTTCTTTATCTGTTCATCTGTTGATGGACTGTTAGGTTGCTACCAAATCTTAGCTATTATGAACAGAGCTGCAACAAACATGGGGGTTCAGATATCTCTTTGATTTATTGAATCCCCTTCTTTTGACTATAGCCGATAATAACTTAATTGTACAATTTAAAATAACTAAGAGTGTAATTATATCATTTGTAACACAAAGGATGAATGCTTGAGGTAATGAATACCCCATTCTCTGTGATGTGATTTTTTTCACATTGCATGCTTATATCAAAACATCTCATGTACCTCAAAAATATATATACATACTAAGAGTGTATATACCCAGAACTAACCTGCTTCTATGAAACAGCTCTAATAGAATAGCATATAAAAAGTAATCAAATTTGGAATATATACAAAATCCTTAGAGTTCGCTGGTTTCAGATACAATAATATATCCCAGGTTATATTAATTGGAGATTAAGTATTGCATATTTGGAATCTTTACCCTTTACCTAATTTAGTTTATGTTTGAGCTTCATTTTGCTGCTCATATAATTTCTCTTGTGCTATGTGGTACAGAATGGCCCAGGTAGATAGTATTTTATTCATCAGAAATATCCCATTAATCCAACTGAGACCCATTATATCCTTAGGGTAGTGAGTCATGTTTAAGGGACCATTGTGCATTGCTCAAATAGGCATGCAATGTGAAAAAAAATCACAAAATAAAAAATAAAACCACAAACATAAAAAAATAAGATTTATTGAGAAGCTGTTGGGTGTCAAGCATTGGAGTAGGAACTTTGAACATAGAAGAGACCAAGTCTTCTCCCTACCTTCATGGAGCCTATAGTCTACTAGTAGACAAAAATATTAAATGTACAATATACTTAATTCAAGATGTGATTATTTTGTGAAGGGAAAGTAAAGGACTCATGAAAACAAAGATGGGAGGGTGAACTATATTAGGTAGTCAGAGAAATCATACACAAAGAAATGATATTTAAGCTGAATAGGAGAAAACCAGCTAAGTAGTGTGGGAGCATTTCCTCATAGGAGGGAGAAGCTGAGGAGAAAGGCCCAGAGGCAGGAAAAAAGGCCAGCTTGGCTAGAGTCTAAAGAGCACTGCTGAGTAACTTAGAATAAGGAAACCTAGAATGGTCACCAAGAAAAGCTGGCAAGGTGAGCAAGTGCCAAATCATACCTTTTCTTTTAGGTCACAGTAACTAACAGTTTCTACTTTATACCAAAAGCCATTAGAAGCATTAAAGAGTTTCAGGAAGGAGAAAAAAACACACATTATATTTGCATTTCAAATGATTGCTTCAAGTTCCAGTTTAGGTTGGAGAGAAGCAAGATCAGGAGGTGATTTTAGTAGGTCTACGTACAGTCCAGGTGAGTAATGATGGTGGCTTTGGACGATGGGAGGCAGTAGAGGTGGAAAGAAGTAAACGGTTGAATTCAAAAGATATTTAAAAAGTAGAACTGAGTGAATAATCAGAGATGGAGCAGAAAGGAAGGAGAGGTGTCAAGCTAACAGTACCATTTCTGTCATAAACTCCTGGGTATAAAATCATGTTATGGAGATGTGGACCACAGAAAGGAAAGTAGGTTTGGAGGTCAAGGTTTCAATGATTTACCCCCATTATGTCAAATATATAATACAAATACAGGTATGTGCCACTCAACCATATGCAACCATATGGATATGTCTAAAAAATGCATTGTTAGGTGATTTTGTCTTGTGTGAACATCATAGAATGGACTTACATGAACCTAGATGGTGCAGCCTACTACACGCCTAGGCTAGATGCTATTGCTCCTAGGCTACAAATCTGTACAGCACATTATTGAACTGAGTAGTACAGGTAATTGTAACACAATGGTAAATATTTACATATCTAAACATGTCTAGGTATGGAAAAGGTACAGTAAAAATACGGTACTCTTATCTCACGGGATGACCGTTGTGTATATCCAGTCTGTCTTTGATTGAAATGTTATGTGGCACGTGACTGTATTATTGTCAGGGAGAGGCACCTTTAAATCTGTGTAGATATATAAAATATAAACACACAATGTATATTCTGAGTTTTTGATAATGTATTTAACTTGATTATGACTTTCTTATATATATAAGAATTCAGAATATAAAAGCATTTTGTAACTATTGTTAGTCTTCTATAAAATGCAAAGTATATAAAGTCTTACTGAAAAAGATTGTAGGACAAGAAGAGAAAAGAATAAAGGGAGACATGCAAGGAGAAAATAAGAGAAAAATAAAGTTAGAAGAATTAATAGAGGAAAGAAAGAAAGAAAACATTTGTTCACTTTTTCTCCATTAATTGTCACAGTCAGATTCAACCTTATGCCAAGGTCATTCACTTGTTTATAATGAAGATAAATGTAAAATACTGTATCCTTGCTATATCATATAAACAACTATTTTTCAATTGAGGGTTGAGACTTTTAATTTAGTGTTTCATCTTTAAAAACATCTATTAAATTGAATTTGGTGTGCTTGTAAATTTGTATTAAGTTTAGTCTGATCTATTCTATAAACAAAATACCTTATTACTCTTGCAAACCATAAGGTGAGATCAAAGCAATGCATTTCCATTAGCCAGACAGTTCCACTAAAGATACATCATTTCTAGTTTCCCAAGAGAATGTCTAAGAATAATTTAGAAAGAAAATTCTCAAATGTTGTGTGGGATGAACTAGAATAATCAGGCACCTAGTGTAAATACAATAGGAAATCTTTTCCATGTTTCTAGCCCTGCAGTGTGGATTTTGTAGAGTGATATGTAGAACTCTCAGCATGGTGTTATAATTGAAACATTGTTGTGTGTTACAAGATTCCATTTTTGATCTCACCTCCATAATAGTCACTCTTTAATCTTTTTTTTTTCTCTGTTGCCTCATTTTGCCTTTTCAGAGTATTACGCATGCTGAATACCATTATTGCTTTTGGTTATTAACCAAGGATGGATTTGGAAAAAGTAATTTTGTGCTGGCTTGATGTCGCAGAATAAGCTGTCAAACATCATAGCAGGTGACACTGTGCTGTCCTTCTGTGGAGCTGCAGCACAGTGTGTGTTATAGCTGGAAGGTTATAGGTAATCAGAGAGGATTACTGATGGCAGCTTTATTAAATATCTGTGGAGGTCTACTGTGGCTGGGGCCAGATAATATGAGCTTCCAATATGAAAACAGGAAATTATTAATAAACTGGATTGGCTGTTCTGAATGCCCTTGCAAAAGTTTATCTAATTTTATTTTCCAGGGAGATGAATGTCAAGTATTAGATTTATTATTACTTAAGGTGTAGGCCTTTTATTCTTTGAAGTGATTCTCTTTTAATTTGTTATATTTCCCTGGATGTTTGATGATATTAACATTGTTTAAACCAGAATGTTTCCATTCTCATTTTGTAGTAAGTAAATTTTGACAGTTCTGAATAGAGCAGGCTTTATGTGCGTTTTCTGATACTATATGATAAAATATAGTTTACCAGGAGATTTAAGTCAGCATATAAGTTGAGTGATGTTTTTCTACATTCTAATAAGTCATTTTTATAAATTTCCTTTAAACACAATTCTATAAACTTTTTGCAGATTTTTCTAAAAGCTAATAATTTGTTTTGCTCATCCCTTACTGAAGGAGAAATTGTTGATTTATTTTTAATTGCAGTACAAAATAATAAGGTAAAGCATTTTAAGAACTTCTACAACCACTTTGATGCACCTTTATCTACTCAGAGAGATGAGAAATGTGGCACTTTATGTTTAACACTGTGAAGTTTGACAGGCATTGAAACAAAAAAGGAAGTGTAAATTTTACTAATCAAAACATCTGTACTGTGCAGCCATTTACATTTTCCTATCAAGACATGAGAGAAATGTTAATTTTAG
The DNA here is from genome assembly GCF_000001405.40 of Homo sapiens. NCBI lineage: Eukaryota > Metazoa > Chordata > Mammalia > Primates > Hominidae > Homo > Homo sapiens. The sequence goes on from NC_000008.11 coordinate 77,459,694, forward strand.
ACGACTCTTTTTATGACCTATAATTACTGTCATTAAGAAAGCTCTGGAGACTTACAGGGAGCTTTGACTGAAATACAGTTTGACATGTTCTATAATTAATGCTGAATTAACGTGCTACATGAAGTGCTTAGGAAAAAAAGGGTTTCTTTTTCTCAAAGTGAAGTCAAAGAAATTGTATTACAGGAAAGCCCGCCAGCACAGCAGTATTTCAACCTATATTATTGAGCCTATGAAAAGTCAACTTTTTAGGTACTTTAAATTATCGTAAAACTTTCCTTTCGTTTTCATTAGAGTAGGACATGGATACACAAGGATAGATGTTTGTTTCTAAGTTCTTTTTTTCATATACTAGGTAAAAAGTTAACTAACGATTAAAAGTAGTTAGTCGCTTTTGACATTCTGAGAACATTAATATGATATTAACAGAAAACTTCATTATAAAATGTATAATATATGCTTTTTAGTGTAGTCATTTTAATGTTCTCCCTTAAGGAGTATTATTGTAATTCTTGGCGAGAATGTAAGTTCCATGAAGGCAAGTAATTTTGTCTTTTTATTTTTTCACTGTTAAATTCCTTGTAACTAGAATTATGCGTAGTACATACTGGTTGCTCAATAAGTATTTGATAAGTGAATTAAGAAAATAAGTGGTTTGAGAATATTTCAATATTTCCAAAGATATTCTTTATAATACTCTATTAGTCAAGAAAAGTTTTAATTCCATGGCAAGCAATGTGACATAAAATCTCCTTAGCAATAGACTTCTTGTACTTAGAACTTGTGTGTGTGGTATAGAAAGAGATCAATGCTTTTTAAGAATAATCTTCTAAATAAAAATTGCTCAAAGAGAAAAATCTTACTTTTTTGTAGGAGCACATTTAAGTTTTATGTTAGTTATAATAATTTTATATTAGTCATTTTTAAAAGAGTGAAACTGAAAAGTCTTTGAAGTCATTTCCAGAAGCTATATTAAGCAGTTACAATTCTTACAATGTGTGTCAATAAAAAAAAATAATCTTTGCAATAAAAGAAAACACTGAACGTTATTTTCCTTTTAATTTTAATTGTATTATTGTTACAATTTTTATTTAATGTCAATTATTAATTAGAAAAGGGATACTCTAGGGAAGATTTAGAAATAATGTGTCTTCTACCATATTCCATTTCTATCTTTAAGACCCAGAGTAAGCCTCAGGGAGCAGCTAGTAAGCAAAACACTAAAATACTTGTAGGTCAATTTTCTAATATTTAACTTAATATTTATGGTTTGGAAATTTAGACATCTCAGATAATTTAGTTGAGAATTTTCCAGACTATCTCAGCACCTGAACTGATTGCTCCTTATAGCCGAAGCAACATCTTGAAGTTATATTGATTTGCTTAACAACATTTCTGTGAATTAAAAACAAAAACAAAAACCATAAGTCATACAAATGCCCATAGACTCAGTGAAAGCAAGAGAGATTCTGATGGATCTTAACCTAAAATACCTATGATGGACTGGTCCAGGTAATTCTTCTTTAATTTTGAGAAAATCCTATTATTATTTCTGTCTAGAAACGTATTTTGATTAACATTGGCTTAGGAAACTGACATAATAAATATGTATAATTATATTGGTTAGAGTATTATTATTCTCAATTTGGAAAGTAGGCATCATATGAGTTCCTAAAATATCTGTAATCAATTGACTTAATCTATGATCATCCAAGGAAATTTGCAAGTATGCAAAATTTAAAATAAAATTAAAGTACAATCAATCAAAACCAAGGATCTTCTCATAGTGCTTTTAGATCTCGATTTTGCTTATCACAGACTGACAAAGTGGTTTAACTCTTTGAAGAAAAGTTCCTATTGGAGTTTAAATTGTTGTTATTGGAGCTAAAGAATATTTTTGAAGAAGATTTTTCAGGAAGTGGGATAATAATGTGGGTTTTTCAGCTATGTTAGAAATGCCTTAATTTTATTCTCCCTCGATCTTTTGTGGGAAATCAAGCTTAATATTTTTTGATTCATTTATGTTTGAGAGGAGAGAAAACATTCCAATACAAATAACCACAATGAAATGAAGTTAAATGTAGTATAGCTTTGTTTATTGTAGACAGTTTGGTTACCCATTTTTGGGGAAATTACAAAATCAAAAAGCTAAAATTGAATGCTTTCCTCTCCTGAGCCTCTCTGATTTATATTTTACAAGCATCTCCCCTTTCACTGTGAGCCTCTTCACGCAGGAGACCATGTACTACTCCTTTCAGTATCCTAATTGAAGTAAGGGCTTTGTTGTAGCCATGCCCCAAGTTTTAAGTGAATGCTCATGACACAGAGACTAAGCCTGTATGGAAAGTAAAGATTCCTCATAACGGAAGTGAGGATACAGATGGGCTTTGGAAGCACTCTGACACCATAGAAGATCTTCTCTGAAGTCAGTAAAGAGTATATACTGGAGGACAGTGGTAGAAAGAATTGCATTATGTATTCTCTAAAAGGTGAGTGATATGTGAATATGAATGTGTGTGACAGAAGCAAATTTTGGATAAATGGTATATGAAATACATGGCTTATGAGCTGAGATCAAACTACAAAGTTCTTTGAATTTGCTACTCACTCTTCAGCAAAAGATAATCATAAATTGATCTTAAGTTCTAAAATAAAGCCCCAATTCAGAAATTAGAATTTGTGCAGCCCAAGATATTAGTTAATATATTTGTTCTTAAAATAAAGCTTTTTCTCCCTCTAAGCCACGATCAGTCCTGTAAATGGAAGTGTGTTCCTGGAAGAAGATAGGGTATTCCTGTCCATGCTCCCCATTTACTTCTTTTGTTTCTTGTAGCAGGGTTGAAGTGGGAGAAGACAGGAGAGGTTGAAGGATAGAACAGATGGTTTTATTTTCTGGGTGGCTTCACACTCCCCGAGCCTAAGACTTGGTTAATGTGACCTGTCCCTTTATAAGGGCATTTGTGGGAAATTCAGAGCCCATCTCTAAGGAACACACTCTGCAACACTCTGGCTTGTAACTCAGTCTCACTCTTGGTTTACTTTGCAGTTCTCTTCATAGCCTAGACTTTCTTCCAAGGAAGAACCTAAGTGTAGAGTATGGGCCATTAGTGCCACTGCCTCTACCTTACTGCTTTCTCCGGGGTGAGTCAGGCACCAGTCCACTTTTCCTGGATCCACTTAGTTTTAGAGAGAACTTACCAGATATTTTCCACAAGCCTGAAGACACTCCCTCACAGGGTGCGATAATTAATTTTGTTTGTCAACTTGACTGGGCTCAGGAATTCCAAGGTGGCTGGTAAAACATTATTTCTAGGTATGTCTGTGAACATTTCTCCAGAAGCAATTAGCATTTGAATCAATAGGCTTTGGAAACAAGATTCTCCCTCATCATTGTAAGTGGACATCGTCTAACACAATGAAGCCTGAATAGAAAAAAAATAGGCAGGAAAAAAAAGTGAATTTGCTCTTTCTTTTTGTTAGCCTGGATATTCATCTTCTCTTGCCCTCACACATGGGTGCTCCTAATTCTTGGGCCTTCAGACTCAGATTGAATTATACCACCAGCCTTTCTGGTTCTCCAGCTTGCAGGTTGTAGATCATGGACTTCTTGGCCTCCACAATTGCATAAGCCAATTCTCTTAATAAATCTCTTCTTGTATAATATATATATATATACACACACACTATATATATGTGATATTTAGAGTTCATATATATGTGTGTGTACATATATATTCACACACACACATACACACATCCTATTGGTTCAATTTCAGTTTAATACACACACACATGCACACATACTATATGTATATATATAAAATATATAAAATATATATATTAGGGTTCTAATATAGATATCCTATTGTTTCAGTTGTAGATTTTATATATATACACACACGCTATATATATTAGAAATATATATGCGTTAGGGTTTATATTTTATACCTATATCTATATCTATCTATCTATCTATCTATCTATCTATCTATCTATCTATCCATCCATCTATCTACCTATCTCTCCTATTGGTTCAGGTTCTGTGGAAAACCCTAACTAATAAACAAGGCATTAAGGTAAAAGATATAGTATCCTTGACTGCTCCCAATTTTTGAGAGTGGAATAGCAACATTCTTCATTTCTCTCTAAAAGTGTTTCTTCATATTTCTCACTCTCAACAATAACTTTTTCTTATTTCCCTGCTCTGGCCAATAGTCCAATTTACTAAGGGGACAATTATGCAAAGCCCATACTTGTCCCCTTAGTAAATTCTGCGTTTCAAATTGACTACGTATTTTTTTCTTTCACAGAATCACCTATTTTACCGTCTTTTACAACTTCGTTGTAGGAGGTGTGAAAGAGGAGGGAAATTGTGTTGGTAAGTACTTTGAAGCCAGAATGACATATTTGCCCAAGTTTCTAAGGATTGAAAGTATGTCAAAGGAAATCTTACCTCCATGTCCAAAAAAGAAAATAAGAAGAATGTTACTCACTGAAGTAGTCAGTAAGCTCAGAAGCCAGAAAGCTTTCCCTCCTCTAACTCCCTGTCTTAGAGTGCCCCAACAGAAAGCACTGGATATGAAAAACTCATTGTCAAAAACTTCTCCTAAAGACCATGTGACAAAGAACCAGAAGATTTAAAATAAGAAAAAACAAAAAATAAGATGTGTGTTGAGGAGACAATGAAGGCTATGAGATCAATTATGAAATAAGAGAGTGGTGGCAGAAAAGGTACAGGAAGGGAAGAATTTAAGCACAATTTAAGAAAAAAATATGTGTAGATAGTGGGTAAGCAAAAAGGAAAAAACTAAACAGGTGAACCTTATTGTAGTAAGATATTTAACCCAATGTATCAAAAGCTGGTTATTTCAAAACATAACCAACATAAAAATTATAAATGAGACATTGAAATTTTTTAGACTAAATCTTTAAAATCTGGTATGTATTTTATACTTACAGCACAACTCAATTTGGACTAGCCAAATTTAAGTGCTCAATGGCCAGGGCAATTCTGCACAGGAGTTGGCCAACCTCGGTTCACAGGTTCACTGGCCAAATCCAGCTGAATCCCTGTTTTGGTATGGCTTGGAAGCTAAGAAGAATTTTTACACTTTTAAGTGGTTGAAACAATCATAATAGGAATAGTATTTATTGACACCTGGCAATTACATGAAGTTTAATTTTTTATATCTATAAATAAACATTTCTTGGGGCACAGCCATGATCATTTATTTACATATTTTCTGTGCCAAATTTCTTGCTAAAAACAAGAGTGCCAATTAGTTTTGGGAAACTGTATGGCCCAGAAAATATTTACTCTCTGGCTCCATACAAAAAAGTTTCTGACCTCTCCTCTGTAGGGCTAGCTCTCCAAGGACCTTGACCTCATCTTTGCTATCCTTGTTAGCCTTCAGAACATGGCCGACGCGAATGGAACCCAATAATTTCAGAAGAGAATATATTTTATAAATTAAGTTGAACAAGCATATTTTTGAAAACAAAAATGCACTCCTAAAATACACACTCTTTATCTAGAAATCTTATCTTAAAATTCTCCTAGTCACAGACACTATGTCACCAGAACAGAAAGGTGATAAAATATATGAATATTTAAGAACATAGGATTCTCAATTCAGATAGGCCTGAGTCCATGTTCCAACTCTGTCCCATCTTTAAAACTGGGTAATTCCTAAACCCCTCTATCCCTCCATTTTAATATATGCAAAATGGAGCAAAATACTGCTTATTTCACAAAGATTTTGCATCAATTAAATAAAATAATGTATGTAACAGTATAGTAACTGAAGTCAGCCAATATTTTAATTGTCAGATATTTTTACTACATATATCCAAAGTTTTTAACTTAATTTATTCCTTTCAGCAGTTTTAATCACTTCTTTTGAAGGATGTGATACACTAATTAATATGGTTTATAAAGCTGTATTTTAAGTATTTGTTCATTTTGAAAAATCTTAGCACAGCTATATAAGTTAGTTGAAAATATTTTGGACACCAAAACACATTACTAGACCATTATAATTGCATGAGGCTTATAAATAAACACACATACATACACTATTTACATGGAAATGAAGAAAATATTCAAAGAAAAAAGGTATTCATGTATAAGGGACATATTTATGTCTAAGAAATATCACTTAGAAAGCTTTAACTATTCTGAGAATTATAAGCACACATGTTTAAGTAATATACTATACAACTTTACCCTACGCCCATAAAATATTTTTTAACCACAACTTTAATATTAATAATTTAAATAATTTAAAATTAATAATTTAATAAGTAAATATTTTAAATGAATAATGTTAAGTTAAGGATGTTTAAATGTTCTAATACATTATTATATTTGATATTATAATAATACTTAAATCACATTGTTCCATTTATTTCCCTTGTTGAAATGCTAACATTACTGAAAATAATTCTTTGGACAGTTATGTTTAATTTAGGTTTTATGACTCCTCAGAGTGAAGAGAGGAAGAGTGTTGTAATTTTCTGGACATGGAGAATCATTTGCTATGCTAAACTGGATAAATGCTTGGCCTACCTCATGGGAGTAGGATAGAAAAGAGTAGCTGGATCTATTCTGCTGAGACGCCAAGGTCTCCATATTCTTTCAAAATCAATGGCCTTAGAGGGATCATGAATTGCTGAGGTAGAACAATCCTTGCTCCTCTTTATCTCTCATCTACTGCCTTTGAAATCAACTGGAGCTGCGTACTTGGGAAACTGGAGCTGCGTACTTGGAAGCAGCACAAACGGTTAGACTGGAAATAAAAATATGGCCTAGGATTTGTGATGCTCAAGTGATTCAGACTCATTTCTCCAATAGCTGTGGTTTTGAAATATACTAGACTTATTGCTGATATATTACAGTTCATAGTGTTCTAATTCATTTTGCAGAAGTAATCCTGCCCAACTCGACCATTACTCTTTAAAGTAGAGCTTACATTTTGGTTCCATTTGAAATCACTCATTATTAAGTTCATAATACCTGATTTTATCAAATTATGCATATACAAAAGGTGTCCATGCCTATTTTGTGGACAAGAACAAAGTAAGTGAAAACTCCCATGATAGGTAATGCTCATGTGTGATATAAAATGCACCTCCAACTTGCTGAAGCTTTCTCTTCCTTCATTGATGCGGTTTCTGTAATTCCACATATTCTTTCCTGAATAATTAAAAATGAGGATAATAAGGTCCCTTAGCTTCTTTACTCAGCATATAACAAAGTACACTTATTCTTTCATATGTATAAAATCGATATTTAAAAAATCATATTCTTAGTCTTTATTCAATTTTGTGGATGCACTGCACATGTTAAACTTTTATCTTTTAGAGAGAGCATGGTTTGTATTTACTTAATTTGTTTCATATTAGTATATATTAATTTTGTTTTATATTCATAGGCTATTTATCATCAGTTAGGAGAATTTTGTTCCTACCTTTTCAGAAAAACCCCTAATATATGTTATATGCCTTGGGAAAAATATGTAATAAATCTAAAAATAATTACCACTTTGTAGTATTTCACAGTGAAATATTGATTATTACTGAAATTATTATGCTGATATTAATCTTTTTCTTAATGTGTAACAATATTTCCACCTTTGTTAGTTTCATTTTGTGCATCAAAAGCAGGATTAAAGGACCCTGTGTGGTGGCTCATGCCTGAAATCCCAGCACTTTGGAAGGTCGAGGTGGGTAGACCACTCGAGCCCAGGAGTTTGAGACCAGCCTGGCCAACCTGGCGAAACCCTCTCTCTACTAAAAATTCAAAAATTAGCCAGGCCTGTGGGCGCACTCCTGTAATCCTAACTATTCATGTGGCTGAGGCTGGAGAATCGCTTGAACCTGGGAGGGGGAGGTTGCAGTGAGCAGAGATTGCACCACTGCATCCCAGCATGGACGACAGATCAAGACTCCCTCTCAGAAAAAGAAAAAAAAAGAAAAAGGAGGTTTAAAATGTTTAAACATTATCATGATGAAATGGTCACTAAAAACAATAATAACATAATTATATTGCCCTAAAATTATTTGGATTTAATGAGTTTTTTCCCGAAATAAAAAATTTCAGATAGATTTAAATGAGAGAAGCTAACCATTTAATGAAAGAGAGATATGAAAAAGGGCCTAAATTTAACTTTAATACTGCTGATAAACAAATAAGTGTTATATTTCATAAATAATATCAGATTTTACAAATACTCTAATTTATTCTAACGTGATCATCATGCAAAGTGATATTTTATTTATGTAGGTAACTGTTAATCAGCATCAGTTCAAACAATACAATAATTTGGTTTCTTCAGACTATAGTCACACATTCAGTACTTTCTCATTTTAAGTTAAACTATCACTAATCACGAGGGAACAAAGATGTGTCCAAATTTTGAAGGAACATGGGTGTCCCAAACCTCAGATAATGAATTTTAGCTTTCTCTGAAGAAAAGCCTTTCCTGTATGTAGTCTGGCAATATTCCAAGATTTCTTTTTAAAAGTAACTCCATATGTGTACTGAAAATAAGCTAGTGATGTTTTAAATCAACTGGAAAGAGAGGCTGTTCTTTTCAATATTTTTTTCCCGAGCAAAACTTTGAAGTGCAGCATTTGGGGATTATGAAGGTTTGGGTTACCTGCTGCATGAAGGCATGGAAAATTATTTGAAAAAGTACTCTTTTTAAAAAATGTGCTTTAAACTTATGAAATATCACCTGTGGTTCAGAGAGGGTATGCAACTCAAGCATTTTTTTCAATCTAAAGAGAAAGAGTTAATTTTAAATTGAGATTATATTTTCCAAGTTTTCTATGGCTACAAGATTATAATCAAAAGTTTGCGGTTCACTTATTTCAAAGGCAGGGGATGATGGGGATGAGTAAATGCTATTAAATTAAAGAAAATGTGGGTAAATTTATAATGAGTTAGGCACTGTGAGCAAAGCTGAACCAAAGAATACAGCTCACAATACTCTAATGATTGTTTCACAACAGGCATTTTTTTTTATGTTCTCACAATCTCTTTTTATTTTTCAAAGATTTATATCAGTTTATGACAGTATAACTACAAAAAAAGTATAGTCACCAAAGTAAACAATGACATACTCCTTGTCAAATCTTAGGGCCTATTTCCACACTCTTGGCCCTTATTTCTTTTATTTATTTATTTATTTATTAATTATTATTATACTTTAAGTTTTAGGGTACATGTGCACAGTGTGCAGGTTAGTTACATATGTATACAATGTATACATGTGCCACGCTGGTGCGTTGCACCCACTAACTCATCATCTAGCATTAGTTATATCTCCCAGTGCTATCCCTCCCTCCTCCCCCCACCCTACAACAGTCCCCAGAGTGTGATGTTCCCCTTCCTGTGTCCATGTGTTCTTATTGTTCAATTCCCACCTATGAGTGAGAATATGCGGTGTTTGGTTTTTTGTTCTTGCGATAGTTTACTGAGAATGATGATTTCCAATTTCATCTATGTCCCTACAAAGGACATGAACTCATCATTTTTTATGGCTGCATAGTATTCCATGGTGTATATGTGCCACATTTTCTTAATCCAGTCTATCGTTGTTGGACATTTGGCTTGGTTCCAAGTCTTTGCTATTGCGAATAATGCTGCAATAAATATACGTGTGCATGTGTCTTTATAGCAGCATGATTTATAGTCCTTTGGGTATATACCCAGTAATGGGATGGCTGGGTCAAATGGTATTTCTAGTTCTAGATCCCTGAGGAATCGCCACACTGACTTCCACAATGGTTGAACTGGTTTACAGTCCCACCAACAGTGTAAAAGTGTTCCTATTTCTCCACATCCTCTCCAGCACCTGTTGTTTCCTGACTTTTTAATGATTGCCACTGGTGTGAAATGGTGTCTCATCGTGTTTTCGATTTGCATTTCTCTGATGGCCAGTGATGATGAGCATTTTTTCATGTGTTTTTTGGCTGCATAAATGTCTTCTTTTGAGAAGTGTCTGTTCATGTCCTTCGCCCACTTTTTGATGGGGTTGTTTGTTTTTTTCTTGTAAATTTGTTATTTTAAGTGATTTCATTTCCAAATACATTCAACTTGTATGTATTTTCTTGTAATCTGTTTTGAATTTACTTGATGCATTCAAAGGCTTGATATCTATGAGTATGTGTGTAAAATGCACACAGACATACACATACATATATATATATAGATTACATTGGCAATATTTTAGCTAGAAAAAAAGTTGCTAGTATTGCTAAATTTGTATTATGTAACTATAAAGTAAAATGCATTTGAATAAGCATACTTTTTTGGAAAGCAAAGAAACTGTAATAATACATGTCTGATTTACATCTTGAGAGATATTTTTACCTACGATATCACAGACACACCCGCTACAATGAGATACTGTCAACTAGCATTTTGAAAGTTTTGAATGCCTAGTTAAATATTCACTTTAGTATGCAAAATATTTGATAATAATCAAACAGGAAGATGGTTAAATCTTCTATTTACAGCGATATTTCCATGATTTTAAAATATCAAAGGTTATGATATTTATCAACATAAATAGCAATTTTATCAAAAGTCATACTTCATTAAAGATATAAAGAAATTTCTTTAGACACTCACTTCCAAATTAAGTTAACTTTTATAAATAGGTGTGTTAGTTTTAATTTTTACAATTTAAACGTAAATGTAGTATGGTTTATAACTTACTGTAAACCTATAACTTTCACTAGAATATATGTTTTATTAAATGAAGAAATATTCACTATCTGTGTCTTCCAGGGAGCAGACGCTGTGCTAAGGGCTGAGGAGCCAGTGAAACTGAAATATAGTACATATTTGTATTGATAAGAGTTAAGGAGAAAAAATAATGCAGAGAAGGAGATTATAATACTTTGAGTGTGTTGTATGTGGTGGGTTGTTGAAATTTTTATATAGAGGCTAGAAAGCATCTCTGAAGTGACTTTTGAGGAAAGGAAAGGGCTACGGGGCTTAGAAAAGTGGACATTGTAGGTATTGGGAGTTGGAGTGTTCCCATCCAAGCCTGACACACAAGAATGTCTCTGTTGTGTTCTGTGAACAATGAGGAGGGCAATGTCACTGTAGCTTAATGAAAAACAGTGAAGGAAGTTATAGGAGATTTCTGACAGTTATGAGGTCAAGATCAGGTAGGACCTTGAAGGCCATAAAATAACTTTGGATTTTAAATAGAGGGAGTTGGAGGATTTTGAGTAGAGGAGTGACATAATGTGAACAAGGTTTCAGCAGATGACTCCTGTTAGAACAGACTGTAAGTGGGCAAGGGTGGTGGCAGCAAGGCCATTTGGGAGCCCATTGCAACAATCAGGGCAGAGGTGATGTTTTCTTGAACAGTGGATTGTGACAGTGGTGATGACAGTGGATGTGACAGATATTAGGAAGTGGCTGATATAGTATTTCGAAAGCAGAGCCAACAGGGTTGGATATAAAGTATTATGTGGAATATAAGATAAAAAGAGGAGTCAAGATGGGCAGATGAGGTTGGAAGGATGAGGTAGTCATTGACTGTGACAGAGATGACTGTTAGAGCAGAAGGTTTGGGCAGAAAACATTTGGAATTCCGATTTGGACACTCTATTAATAGTAGGCAATTGTTTACACAAGACTAGAGTCAATGTGGAAGCCCAGAAGCCCAGTTTTAGGATATACATTTGAAAGTCATTAGAATATAGATTGTATTTAAAACCCGTAAACTAAATGAGATCACCCAATGAAATATGCAATTACTGACAGATAAATATGCAATTCTTTATTATAAAATAAGCATAGTCCTTGTTACTTTCTTTCTATATGTTGCAACTATAATACACACACACACACACACACACATATATATATATACATAAAACTTAGTAGACAAAACTAGACGATGCCATCTCAAGAAAAAAATAGGAAGATGTTGACAAGAAAAGAAAAGGAGAACTGGTAGAATTGCTACAAATAATCCCAAGAGCAATTTACTACTGTGTATATAGCTGAAAATGTGTATGCCCAATGACTCAAAATGTCCACGTATGGACATAAGAAAATGTTATAAATTTTATCATATATCCTCAAAATACTTACATTAGAATTTTTGTTAAACCACTGCAACTCACTATCTAGCAGAAGAGAAATGGAAGAATACAGGTTGCCATATCTGAACAATGGAATATTACACAACTGCCAACTATATAAACTAGAACTATATAAATCAACATAGATTGGCAAACAGACATAACATTGAGTCAACAAGCAAAGTGTGTATATATTATATAGTTTTTAAAATATTTTACATCAATTAAAAAGAAAAATATGTTATGATATATATATATACATATATACACCTTACTAAATATAAAAGCATTCATAGCTTCAAACATCATTATAATTATTGTTACTGGGGCATAACACTGGAAAGAGGAACATAGATGATTACAATATTATTTATATTGATTCATTTCTCAAAAATATATAAAATAATATGATGCAAGTATAACAGAATATTTTTATTTCTTCTTTTTGGGTATGTTATCCTATGTTCTTTTCTATATTATTTTATCTTTTTGAAGAGATTATGAAATTGTGTGTTTGTGCATGTGGATGTGTGAAAATTGGATTAGGAACTCTCCCAGATTTTGAGTCATTATGCTACAGAGCTAGATTGCTACTAGAACTATTAGATCAATTGTAGTACACTTGGCTCTTAGTAAAATATTTTACTAAACTCTATTATTAACTTCTCTCAATGGAAAAGAATTCTCCTTCTGCTAGTTTCCATAGTCGAATATAAAATTATAGCATTACACAACCCAAATGCAAAGGATGGAAACAAGCTACCTCTTAAAATAAAAACACCCCTCCTCCTCCAACTCTGGAAACTGACATAATCATCATGGGGAGAAAACTCACAAACAACAGATGCTGTGGTTCACTTTTCACTTGTTGACACTAAACAAGAACACCTCTGAGATTCCACAGCCAGTGTTTATGGATCACAGTTGAAATGGTAAGATGGTATATTCTGGTACTGTACTTCTAAATATTTTATGATAGAAGGCATTTATGACAGAGAATCATTTTACTCACAAAATGTTAGGTCTCCTCTAGTATTTTCTTTATTTTAACTAGAAAGAATACTACACCTTTAACCTGTACTGAGATGAAAAATAATAAACGTGTAGTGACGCAGAAGAATTTTATGAAAAGTAAATGATTTCATTTTCAGAGAGGTAAATGTTCAATAAAACATGTGGGATATGATTAATTTTTAGTATTGCACATAGTAAGATTCTCAAAATATAGTTCATTAACATAATTAACAAATATGAAAAATCTTCAAATTTGGTAATTTGAATATTAGAAATATGTTTAAAAATTCTATATTACAGGCCGGGCGCGGTGGCTCACGCCTGTAATCCCAGCACTTTGGGAGGCCGAGGCGGGCGGATCACGAGGTCAGGAGATCGAGACCATCCCGGCTAAAACGGTGAAACCCCGTCTCTACTAAAAATACAAAAAAATTAGCCGGGCGTAGTGGCGGGCGCCTGTAGTCCCAGCTACTTGGGAGGCTGAGGCAGGAGAATGGCGTGAACCCGGGAGGCGGAGCTTGCAGTGAGCCGAGATCCCGCCACTGCACTCCAGCCTGGGCGACAGAGCGAGACTCCGTCTCAAAAAAAAAAAAAAAAAAAAAAAAAAAAAAAAAAAAATTCTATATTACAAACATGAATCATTACTAATATACATTTTTAAAACCATTTCTGGAACTTATGTTAATTTTCCATTAGGTCTAATTAGATTGCATTACAGATACTTTCATATTTACATGAAATAAATTACTTCTCTAGCTTCTTTAATTCTTCATAGCCAACTTGCAAATGCCTGCTGTTGATTACAAGGATGTGAGACAGTAAAAGTTTACATTGCAGTGACTTTTTCTTTTACATGAATCAAAACAGTGCATTTACTGAGCATGTGAGCTATGCACATTGCCTAGGTTCAAATTCTTTAATTTCTCATTTTCCCTGCCTTTAAACAAGGCTAATTATTTTGTGATATTTCAGTGGGATAATACATAAAAGTATTAGGTGTTTGGCACCTGGTAAGCACTTAGATCTCATCTATCAACAGCTTAATTATTATTGGGTATTTTCTGTTGCTGAAAAGGAGCTCGTTTTCTAAATAGTCTCTGGTTTCTCAGCATGCACCTTGGACCCACTTCAATCGATTTTCCTTATTTAACAGTTATTTAGATCATTTAGAAAAATCACACCTGATTAAGTCCCTTCTGTAATTAAAACCCTGAAGAATTTTCAATTACTTTTAGGGCACAGACCAAAAATCCTTAACATACTCTTTAAGGTCCTGCATAACATGGCCCTGCCTTCCTCAACCAGCCTCATCCTCATAATTTTTCCCACTGCTTTCACCTTCCAGTCACACATTGTCCTCTTTAAGGTCCTCAAAAATCATCAAACTTCTCCCTACTTTAGGACAATCACATACACATGCAACCCTTCTCCCCAGTTAATTCCCACCTGCACTTTAGATCCATCTTCTAAATACGATTTCTGTGAATCTTCCTGACAATCCATGACAGCTCCTGCTCAGGTCAGCACTGCTCTATAATACCCACTTCTTATTTTTTCTTTGTGGTTAGTTTTATTGTGAGATAGTATTTTAATATATTAACAAAATGAGTTTTCCACATAGAAAGTATATGATGAGTTACAGCAAGCCTCATTACACGCCCTCCAATTACCCATGACTATATAAAGTTCTCCTAGACTGGAGTGAGGAGAGGGGGAATCCTAGAGGAAACAAGAGAGCACAGAACTTATTGGTTCCCACAGAGAAGGTAGGTGGGGAGAGCAGGCAACAGGAAGAGCACAAAGTTTTGGAACTTTAAGAGTTTAGGAAATTTAGGAGCTTATAAACCTACTAGGCCTATAGATGAAGTCGCAGAAGTAGTCAAATCCTCAAGTATCTCACCCTACAGCGTGTTGTGTAAGTAGGAGAAAAGGCCCAATGATGTTTCTCGATGTTTGACTCTGAAACATCAGAATTCTTTGCAGTCCTAGAAAATTGCGGGTAAATTTCAAACAATTTTCAGCAAAGGTGGGCATAAATTGTGAAAAACCTCTGTTATCATCACCACTATGTCAATGATATTGGCCACCATGTCTGGGTTGAGTACCAAGCAATCTCCAAAACTTGGGCAAATCCTCAGAGAAAATGTTTCCACTAATAAATTAGGGGCCATAATACAGTTGAAATTCAAATATAAGAAGATAATACAGTTAACTTTTTTACAATATAGATTTATTGAATACATTTGTTTTGGCTCTTTAAAATTATTTAACTCCATGATACACTCTAAGCTCTGTAAAGATAGGAATTTTGTCTCTCTTATGCATCTACCTTCAGAACTCAGTACAAACTTTGGCACAATAAATGAATACATATTATAGGCTTGGATAAATAGGTGATGATGAATGAATGAAAAGTGCAAGGCCTACTGGTTGTAGATCACAGGCAATATCTTATGGGATATATATTTGATTAAAAACTTAGATATACTAAAAAGATTACTAGGCTTATTGGCAAAGATGTTGCCTCCTGAGGCTAGACCACTTAACTCATCTGGTCCCCAGTTCTCACATTGGTAAAATGGGGGTAATAACACTTAAATTGCTTAGTGTTCTGAGATTTAATATGAAATAATGTTTGTACACGTATTAGGCCATTTTTGCATCACTATAAAGAAATGCCTGAGGATGGGTAATTTATAATGAAAAGAGGTTTAATTGGCTCACAGCTCTGCAGGCTGTATAAGCATAGCTCCAGCATTTGCTGGGCTTCAGCAGATGGGGTAAGGGCTTCAGGAAGCTTACAATCATGAAGGAAGGCAAAGCAGGGGCAGGCACATTGCACAGTTGAGAGCAGGAGCAAGAGAGCAAAGAGGGGGATTTTTAACAACCAAACCTTGCATGAACTAAGTTGAGCTAGAACCCACTTATCACTGAAGGGTTGGTCTTAAGTCATTCTTGATGAATCTGCCCTCATGATTCAATCACCAGGCCCCATCCCCCAACACGCCCCATCTCCAACACTGGGAATCACATTTCAACACGAGATTTGCGGGGAACAAACATCCAGACCATATCAGCACACTGTAGATGGAGTTTATTTTTTAAGCTCTTTTTTTTTTCTTTTAAAGAATATTTTTTTCTAAGCTACTCTGAAATCAGAAAACATATCTTGACTTTATACTGTAGGAAATAAAACAACACATAATTTATGGATTAATATTTAGAGAATCATTCTTTTCTGAGTCAATGGATTTTTGCAGACATTAAAAAAAAGTTTGGCAATCAGATTACCTGACTTAGCTACTGTTAGGAATTGAATTGTGCTCCCCCAAAATTCATATGTTGAAGCCTTAACTTCTGTATTTCAGATTGTGACTGTATTTCAATATAGGACCATTAAAGAGATAATTAAGTTAAAATGAGGCCATTAGGGTAGGCCCTAAGTCAACATAACTTTTGTCCTTATAGGAAGAGGAGATTAGGACATCAAGAGACACCAAGAGTAACCATGTACAGAGAAAAACATCATATGAAGACACAGCAAGAAGGTGGCCATCTGTAAGCCAAAGAGAGGCCTCAGAAGAAACCAAATCTGCTAACACAATCATGGACTTTCAGCCTCCAGGACTGTGTGAAAATAAATTTCTGCTGTTTAAGCCACCCCAGTGTCTGGAATTCTATGGCAGCCCTAGCAAATAAATACAACTACTATCAGTATTATTTGTCTTTTTATATTACTCTACAGTGTCAAGCCAAATTTAATTTTTAAAATAATGATATCTCATATCCACTTAAGCTAAATAGGGCCCAGGATTTCATTCTTGGGTATATATCTAAGAAAAATGTATGCTGATATTCACTATAAATATATTCATACCAGCTTTATTCATAATAGCCCCAAACTGGAAACAACTGAAATGCCCATCATGAAATAGGATAAATAAATTGTGGTATGTTCACACAGTGGAATATAATACAGCTCTAATGGAAAAACAAAAGCTGATACATGAAAGAAACAGGATGAATCTCAAAATAGATTTTTTAAATTTTTTTAACTTTTGTGGGTAATAGTTGGTATGTGCATTTATGGGGTACATGAGATATTTTGATACAGGCATATAAAGTGTAATGGTCACATCAGGGTAAATGGGTAAATGGGGAATCAATTGCCTCAAGTATTTATCCTTTCCTTGTGTTACAAGCAATTCAATTATACTCTTTTAGTTAATTTAAGATGTACAAGAAATAAAATTTTGATTGAAGGAAACTAGACACAACACAATAGATGTCACATGTATTTATTTAAATTATCTTCAGAAACAACACCAACTAATTTATTATGATACAAGTCAGAATAATGATTACACTGGGTAGGTGGTTACTGAGTGGAAGAAGGGGCATAAGAGGTGAACGTGCTGGAAATTTTCTGCATATGATCTGGTTCATAGTTACATGAGTGACAATGTAAGTTTTTTTTTTTCAATCGTGTAGCTGAACATTTAATATTAGCATGATTTATGCATGCTATATCTCATTTTAAAAAGAAAAAGTCACCCATTTAATTCTATTTTAAAAATGTACATATTCCATGATAAATAGGTGACTGTGCTTACATCCCATCTCTAGAACTGCTTTAATCTGGGATTTTTAATTTGGGTAGGAACCTGAAAGGCATACATTTTGCTTAGGTAGCACTTTCTTGAAAATGATACCAGTTTTTAAAGTTTGGTAGATCTTCCCTAAACACCTGATCTTTCACATTCTTTCCTTGCACCTGTTGCTCCCAAATTGCACAAGATGTACTCTTAGTCCGTCCTCTCCTCCCGACCCTTACCACCAAGGTGGAAAATTACTTGTTTTCTAGCGACTGTTCAAATGTCACTTCAGAGTCCTCTTTCTATATCCGTAGGCAGTGTGTTAGCTCTGTATATTCTTAAAATTCACATAGTGTATTGTAATATGTTTGTATGTGTGTCTCCTGTACACAAAAGATTCCCAAATTGTTTATTGAATGAATGAATGAATGAATGGAATAAATTGCATATGGAGTCAACCATAGGGTAAGAACGGGGTTGCTCTTTGAATTATGTAAGAGAACTTTATTATTATTATTATTTTATCAGGAATGAGCTATCCTTGTTATTGCTCACATGGTAATTTGTACATTTCCTCTGATAGCTTGAATAAAAGTATAATTTATATGTCAATCTCTGCTACATGCTATAAAATGCCACAAGTGCAGCACTGTGCTTTATTTATTCTTATTTTCCCATTACTGCACTTAGTTCTATTATAGGTGGTAGCTGGCACTTCATGAATATTTGTTATGTGATTATGAATCAATGAATTTAGAAGCAGTCAGTTAAACAATGAATGCGAAATCTGTCATACTTACCCATTCATGAAATTTACCATACTATCAGTTAACATTTTCTGAGCTGAGTTGAAATTTTCTGGAAGTCTTTACTACCAGAGTACAATTTGCATCAGAACAATGTAAAAGCCACTTAATGGACACCAAAAATTTTCTAGTAAATACTGACAAAAAGTTTAATTGGAAACTAGTTTTGAAAAATAAAATCAAAATTATAAAAATGAGTTTACTTAGCCTTGTATTTAACAAAAATTTTCAATGCCAAGTCTTAGAATAAAGAATTAATAAGACATTGATTTGAAAATATATAGGTCTTTCCTAATTAAATTGTATAAAGTACTATTTTTTATTTGAGTGTGACTTTGAAGATAATAATAAATAAAGTCATTTAAAGAATATTAAAGGGCTTTATTAATTTCCTCAATTATCTCCTTTGAGAGCTATCTCTTATCCTTTTCCTAATTTTCTTGTATATTAACCAGTATAAATAAGTCAGATTTTTATTTGTGAATGATTTAATCTCTAATCTGAACTGCCCTTCCAACATTATTCATCACCTGCAAGAAATTCTACAACATTTTCAAGGTTTATGATTTAAATTGCTGGACAACCTCTCCAGAAACTTTAGGAATACACTCTTTTTAAGTGTATACACTGTCTTCATAGTGTGTTCCTAGAGTTTCTGCAGACGTTGTCCAGAAAGTATAAGACTTCAATATAATGGATGCAGTAAGTTATTTTAAAAAGACAGCAAAGTTTGAATGATCAATCTTATAAAAATCCTGTTAGCAAAAATGATTTCATAATGACTAGGTTTGCTACTCTTTGCAACCTCGTAACTCTGGACAAAAATTGTAATATATTTTCATATATTAAATATTTACATGAAAAGAATATAGCATAAAAGCGTAAAGTACAAGTAAGAAAATGTGTGCTGTGCATGTGTGTGTTATTTAATGTTTATTAATTTCTCACTAATTTCAATCGGTACTCTATATTCTTTACATACATCATAATTTTTAGAACAAATATGTAAGAGGTAATTTTATCACATTATGCAGAAAAAAAAAAAGAAAAACTTACATCCCGTAAGATTACAGACCTAGCTCAAGGGATAGAAACAGGATTGAAACCAGAATTCTGAATTGACACAAAAATGTATAGATATCCTTTTATTCTTTCGATTGCTCAAGCAAAGCCTCTCTCACACCAGTTTCAATTGATGAGGTTTTAGGAAGTTGGGATAAGCAACCTCAGGAAACTTTCTATCTCTAGAATGCTTAATAATAAATGATGTTCAATGGAACTATTAGTTTTTATAATTAAAGAATAATTCTAATTTTTTTCTCAACGTAAACCACAAATTTCCATTTTTAGTATCTAAACAGTTTAGAAACCCCTTTTCCACAGGACAGTAATGAATACCTCTTAAGATGCAGTTTGGAAAATACTGGCTAAAAACAGCATGTCATCCTTAAATCGTTTTACTCTTCCTCTTTCATGAGTCACTCATTTGGAATATAAATGTATTCAAAATAAACTTGATTGTTCATTTCCTGTTTATTTATCTAAAACAAATAGATAATTATTTTCTTCATATAATGAATTTTCTTCTATATTATTAAAACAAATTCATCCTTAAAACAGACTTGTACTAAAAATTTTTACAGAAGTCAAAGGAAAATTGAAATGATATTCAATAAATTCAGTCTGATTGCAACAGTTTCCTCGAAGCATGAAAGCTATAGGAACGTTTATAAAAATGTTTTCTTTCTATTCAGGCAAAATGTAATAGCAAGAAATATTTCTTAAGTGTAATAAAAGTAAATTTAAGTTTGCCTACCTTAGAATGGTTAAACAAAAAAAAATACCATGATGTCAATGTCCACTCTTTTACAAGACGTTGTCTTTACAGCCACTGTGATCTCCGGTGCCAAACATAACCCTAAGATAGACTCTCTAAAATTTGTGTCCAATATATTAGAAACAAACCACATTTACAGTCTAAAAGAAAAGTAAATTCATCCATTTTGTTCTAAAATAGAACAATTATCTGGAAATACCTGAATGTCTATTTTAAAATATAATCTCAAAATTAGGATGTGACAGATAAAAAGAGTTACATATTTCATCAAGCTTTAGTATCTTCACAATTTCATTCAAGTTTGAGCTAACTCTGTAGAAAGTGAAACAAGCTTACTATATATATCTCATTTCCAGATTAGACAGAAATTTCAATAAAACAAAGTAATACAATATATGTAGGAAAGCACATTGGCTACCCCTTCATTTTTCTGCCTCCTCTCTGTGGTACCAGGAAGTGGTATAAAGCCCTATAAAAACATAGCATAGCTGGTGAAACTAATAGGTTGATGTAAGTGGAAATTCAATATAAGCAGGCTTGACAAATGTGGGGAAATTTAACATTGAGCCTGTGGGATTTGGGGCTAGACTTTTAAATTTGATTGATAGGTTTAAGAATTTTATATATATGGATTCAATACAAGTGGGTATCATGGTATCATAAAAGCAATGTTATCAACTAAAAAAGTTACAAACTGTGTCTCCTAGGCATTGGATATGTGATGTCTTTTTAGCTACTAAAGTTAACTGTTGGAATTGACTTGTTTTTACCTAGTTTTGATGTGCTTTTTGCAATTTAACATATTTCTTGAGCTTCTTCTTAGAAGCCCATTTTTTTTTTTTTTTTGGTCCAATTGGCATTTGGCGATGTCGCCTGAAGGCAGTATTTTGCATAACTTTTTGTTTGATTAAAGTTTTGTTTTTAAGTGCCATTTTAGAATTCAGTTAAATAAAACGTTTTTTAATTTAGTTTCCTAAGGAAACTTTATTCAAACCTTGTATACATTCTTGCAGATATTCTCATCCTCAATTTAATGGAAAGAAAAACCGCCTCTAAACTACGTTAACAAAAGCAACATCTTAAATGAGGATAGTTTTCTTTTTCGTCACCATCTTGGGAAATATCCACAAATACTTTGAAATTTTAAGGGCAGAAACTATTAAAAAACAAAGTTAATAGCCATGAATGTGGCTTCAAACTGCAACTTAAAATGTTAAAACAAAGATCCTAATGCCACTTAATCCTTTAGTTATCTACACTTTATAAACATATGAATATACAAGAGATAGTGTTAAGTTTGTGATATAATTTTCTATTATAGCAAATTGTTTCTATGAAAATGGTTTAGTATTTCCTACTAAGTAATATGAATTAATGAATGCCAGTAATGGTAAAATATGTTGGAAGTGGTGGATTCTGAATAATTTTTCTCAATGCAACACATAAATTAAAAAAAAATGATTAGTTAATCTAGTTCAATATTTTTTTCTTTTTCTTTTTTTGAGACAGGATCTCACTCTGTCATCCAGGCTGGAGTGCAGTGGTGTGATCTTGGCTCACTGCAGCCTTGAACTCGCGAGTTCAAGCTATTCTCATGTCTCAGCCTCCCGAGTAGCTGGGATTACAGGAACAGGGGATCACTCTAGGCTAATTTTTGTATTTTTAGTAGAGATGGGATTTTGCCATGCTGGCCAGGCTGGTCTCGAACTCCTGACCCCAAGAAATCCACCTACCTCAGCCTCCTAAACTGCTAGGATTACAGGCATGAGCCACCATGGCTGGCCTGATTTCTTAATTACGAAACAAAATATAGGTATGAACTAGATTAACTTTAGAGAATCAGATTAATTAATGATAGGCTGGATAGTATGTAGATAGAAGGAATGTGTGGAAAAGATATATGAAGAGGGAGAGGGGGAATGTTTTTAGTTTTAGATTTACATTTACCCAAATATTGAAATAGCAATTATTCAGTTAGTATGTAGTTAAATATCTGAAGTGCTGAAACATATATCCAGATTTAATAGAAAAAGATTTTAACTTCATTGAAAAAAATTTTTGTTCAGTCTCTATTTACTGTTCTGAAAGCAATCCATAGAAATTAAAGTCTTTAATTGACATTTCTATTTCAATAAGATATACTCAATATCTATGTAAATTATTATAAAATTCTATAAGCCAACATTCAATATTTTTAGATAATTTTCTAAAATATTTTATAAATATTTCAAAAATAAATCAAATGTGATTACTAGGTTCCATGGGATCCATAAGAGAAGGATCACATATCACAAGAATGTGTTAATATTTTGTAGAATTAAAGCTAGAGATTATGATGTTTAAACAAGAAGAACTATTGCATATTATTTATAAATGTGTTATCCTTTGTTTAATTTAGGTAATTGTCTTGCAAT
This sequence comes from Homo sapiens, assembly GCF_000001405.40. NCBI lineage: Eukaryota > Metazoa > Chordata > Mammalia > Primates > Hominidae > Homo > Homo sapiens. The sequence goes on from NC_000008.11 coordinate 77,482,468, forward strand.
TAGTTGTATAGCAATTAGGGAATAGAGTTTGAGCCATAATACACGCTTATCAATTGTTTTTTCAAATATATCATCAAAACAAATATAATTGTGTATTTTATATATTTTTTCTAGGAAGGCTTTTTGTTTTTGCTGGTTAAATATAATAACAAGAAAAGTGGCAAAAATTCTACACAGACTTTTAAATACACTTTTCACCAGCATAACAATTGTACAATGATCTAAACTAGGAATTTAATATGTTTTTTTTAAAAAATAGAAGACAAAAAATAAAGATGTGAATTCTAGATGTACTCATTGCTGCTGAGTATATTACTTTTAGGCCGTTTTCAGAGGATAACGCTAGGACATTCATGGATGTATTCTAAACCATACACAACACACCTATACCTATTTATATGTTTGATTCTCAAGGGTTCTTCAAGTATACTATTGTATCATTTCCTAATAGAGATTTTTTTAATCAATTATGTCTCCAATAGATTTATTTGTCCAACTTCAATGTTAATAGCTATAATGTCCTATATAGTTTAAACATTTAATGAAAAAATTCTTTTTTCAACCTATATAATTATTATTAAAAATGCAAACACTTTCTGGTACAAATGTTTTCCTCTATTAATTTTATAGAAAATACTAACATTAAGTTTTACATTGAACATCATAAATTCAGTCAGAGCAAGTTTGTTTTGTTTGTTTTGTTTTCGAGACAGTCTTGTCACCCTGGCTGGAGTGCAGTGGCACGATCTCGGCTCACTGCAACCACCGCCTCCCGGGTTTATGTGATTCTTGTGCCTCAGCTTCCCAAGTAGCTGGAACTACAGGCATGTGCCACCATGCCTGACTAACTTTTGTATTTTTAGTAGAAACGGGTTTTTGCCATGTTCACCAGGCTGCTCTCAAACTTCTGGCCTCAAGTGATCCACCCACCTCTGCCTCCCAGAGTGCTGGGATTACAGCGGGAGACACCACACCTGGCCAAGTTTTTCTAACTTCAAGAAGCAGAGGAAGGACACAATGTCATTATTCTCAAAGTTGTAGACACATCTGCTTTCATCCAAAGTCCATTAGAATTGTGTTTGTCTTTTCATTGTAACCAAACTGTTTGGGCACTAGTGAAGATGAACTGTAGTATACAAAATTAGCATGATGTAATTCAATCAAATTATAATTACTTTCTGTTACATTGTTATTTGTAGAGGAATAATAAAGATAGATTTCTAGTCTCTGAAGACAAAGGTCTTCCTCCCTTTCTCACTTTAACTCCAACGCCCGTTTGTCTCAGGCATACAGTAGACAATCAATAAGTTAAAACATACCATAAATCAACATGAACTCTCTAATTTTGTATTCTCAGATTCTGGTTCCAATGTGATGAAAACATCGCTATTTCTGGATCACGTACAGACTAAATATCAAGAGAAGTGATTCTCTTTCTCTCTTTCTCCTGCTTTCTGTAATGGCCATTCACCCTCATTTGCATTCCCTGCAGACAGCCAAAAGGGAAATGAGAAGATGGCCTTTGGGTCACTCAGCTTGGCTAACACCCTATTAAGTCTCAGAAATGACAGAGTGTGGGAAAGGCTTTACATTACAGGTTATATTAGGTTTTAAGATTATCTATACCAGCGCTATCTCAGTTCTTCATGACCACGGATAATTAAAGTGAAGTCTGCATTCAATCTGCTGCTTTTCTATGGTTGGCTGAACACTAGGGAAATTTAGATGTATGGGAAAATATGAAAATATTTTCTAGTACTTGAAAAACTCCTTTACAAAATTGAAAACGATATAGTCTTTTCTTTTTATGACTGGGAAAATGATATAGGTTATGTTGAGAAAAACTGGAATGTGTCAGGGAAGAAAACAAAATTTTTTAATGTAACTTTCGAATTGAAATCATTTCTATTTTTATTAGTAATATTTGCTCTGATGTGGAAGCAAAGAGACTTCCAGCTAAAAACAAGAAGCTGAGAAAAGGAAACCTTCTTTTCTAGGGTTCCCTGTTCTTAGATGTGACAGACTGTTAGTGAGAGTAAGACTGATATTAATACCCTGGGCCCAGGCCAAAAATACCATGCATCTGTAACTTGTCCCAGGACCTACAAAGTAACAAGATACAACAGAAACTTGTTGGAGTTTCATATGAATGCACATGTGATTATTGAACCACTTTATATATATTACGTACCATATAATTATAATATGTATTATACAAACATTATCATAAATACTAACAACATTGAAAAAGAAACTTTTTTTTTTTTGAGACAGAGTCTCACTCTGTCACCCAGGCTGGAGTACAGTGGTGCCATCTTGGCTCACCACAACCTCTGCCTCCTGGGCTCAAGTGATTCTTCTGCCTCAGCATCCTGAGTAGTTGGGACTACAAGCGTGCACCACAACTTCCAGCTAATTTTTGTATTTTTAGTAGAGACGGGATTTCGCCCTGTTGGACAGCTGGTCTCAAACCCCTGACCTGAGGTGATCCACCTGCCTTGGCCTCCCAAAGTGCTAGAATTACAGATGTGAGCCACCATGCCTGGCCGAAAAAGCAAATATTAAAGATTACTTTTCCCATGTCATCAGACATTTATCATCACCTAAACGCTCTCCTGATTTTAATCATTTCAAGCAGAATTCCTATGAAATTGTTATTAAATTGAATATAAACTTTTGTGCTTTAATGTGGTTTTATTTAACATAAGAATCTCTACTAATTTTTCATTACTATTTAAAAGGCAAAACACCATCTCAATAATTTATTTCAGCTTAATTTTTAAGAATATTAATATATTGACATATTTCCTCTTTTTTGCTTTTAATTCCTTATTTGGTAACAAATAATTCTTTTTTCATTTAGAATTATAATCTTGCAAGGAATTCATGACCAAAAACCCAAAAGCAAATGCAATCAAAACAAAGATAAATATGTTGGACTTAATTAAACTAAAGAACTTCTGCATAGCAAAAGGAACAGTCAGCAGAGTAAATAGAGAACCCATAGAGTGGGAGAAAATCTTCACAATCTATACATCTGACAAAGGACTAATATCCACACTCTACAACTAACTCGAACCAATTAGCAAGAAAAAAAATGTCATCAAATAGTGGGCTAAGGACATGAATAGATAATTCTCAAAAGAAGATATACAAATGGCCAACAAACATTAAAAAATGCTCAACATCACTAATGATCAGGGAAATGCAAATCAAAATAACAATGCAATACCACCTTAGGCCTGCAAGAATGGCCATAATCAACAGATCAAAAAATAACAGATGTGGACGTTGATGCAGTGAAAAGGGAACACTTCCACACTGCTGGTAGGAATGTAAACTAGTACAACCACTACAGAAAACAGTGTGGAGATTCCTTAAATGACTAAAAGTAGAACTACCATTTGATCCAGCAATCTCAGTACTGGGTATTGATCTAGAAGAAAAGAAGTCATTATTCATAAAATATACTTGCAAATGCATGTTATGGCAGCACAATTCACAATTGCAAAAATGTGGAACCAACCCAAATGCCCATCAGTCAATGAGTGGATAAACAAACTGTGGTATATATATTGTGTGTGTGCGTATACATACATATATATATATCTCCACTCATTGATAAACGAGCGTATATATCATATATATACTCGAATGTACCACTCATCGATAAGAAATAAGCATATATATATATATATACACACACACACTCAAATGTACCAGTTATCAATGGCATATATATATATATATGTGTATATATATATATGTGTATATATATATATGTGTATATATATATATGTATATATATATATATATATGTATATATATATGATGGACTACTACTCAGCTATAAAAAGGAATGAATTAATGGCATTCGCAGCAACCTGGGTGGAATTGGAGACTATTATTCTAAGTGAAGTAACTCAGGAATGGAAAACCAAATATCGTATGTTCTCACTCATAAGTGGGAGCTAAGCTGTGAAAGCTTTGAAGATGCAAAGGCATAAGAATGGCACAATGGATTTGGGGACTGAGAGGACATGTGTGGGAAGGGGGTGAGGGATAAAAGACTATGGATTGGGTTCAGTGTATACTGCTCAGGTAATGGGTGCACCAAAATCTCACAAATCACCATTAAAGAACTTACTCATGTAACCAAATACTACCCACTTCTCAAGAACTTATGAAAATAAATTTTTTAAAAAAAAATCTTGGTAAATGTAACCAAAGTGGGATAACTATGTCACAACTTTTCTGTCTCCTTTTACGTATTACCTTTTCCTCTCCAGAAAGACTACTATATTTTTTAACAATTCTCAAAAGAAGATATATAAATGCCCAAAAAACATGAAAAAAATGCAAAAATTACATTTTTGGTTTTCTTTCCTATCACATTCCAGTTTTTATTAACACAACAAATATCATTTTGCCTGTCATAAAAAGAAACGGCTGTATCATTTTCAATTATTGTAGAAGAGTTTTTCAAGTACTAGAAAATATTTTCATGTTTTAATTTTATATATAAAGTTTGTTTGAAAGCCAAATATTGTGTCTTTTTCTTCTATAGTTTAATTAATAGTGTTTTATGGCATTTATGAATATGATTAGTTGTTAACTTTTTTTGCTTTCTTTTTGCTTTTTTCTTTGATATTTTTCATCGTACGTTCACTACATCTTTAATTTCAAAGTATTGAATGTACCAGGTGTCAACAGCATTTTACATGCGCAGCTTTCTAGGCGTCATCATTCATTCTTCCATTCCATAGATACATGTTGATACCTTTGTGCATCACACTGTGGGAAGCACCAGACATTGTTGGTATTTATTGTTTCGCCACAATCATCACATCCTCTTTTTATGGTAACCAGTTTGTGGTTTGGGTTTAGATGATCTACACTTCTTCCACTCAGCCCATCTGTGTTAGGTAAAACTGATTCTCCATCCTTCACCCCTCAGCTCCACTAGTAGAACAGTCAATTGGTGCATTTCCTTGTTAAGCTCTCAGTGACACTGTGGAAACAAACACATAATCTAACAGAACCAATGAATGTGTGAAGACTCCTTTTTTTTCCTGTAGCACCCAGAATGCAAGCATCTAGAGAAGAAACGTGGCTGCTACCACAGAGAGCTTTCTCTGCATCCACCTCTCAGAAGTCACAGTGCTGAGACTGAGAGAGATTCACACTGTCCAGCCACATGGCGGAGGGCTTCGTTCCTCATCCTGCAGCTAGCCTTACACCAGTTCAATTAGGCTAATCTACATATTTGCTTTTCGCTTAAAAGTCAGTTGGTTTAGTTTTGTAGTCACTTGTATCCTAAAGAATATTAATAAATAATTTGGGTTCAAAATAAACACAAAATGATGAAAACATCCCTGTGTTTTGTGGGTTTACAAGGAACAATAGACTAGTGAGAGATACAGATATTATAAAATAATTATGTGATGATTTAATTGTAACTCTGGTGAGTGCTACAGTGTCTAATAATCCAGATCTCTAACCTAGGTTTCTTGGCATGTGGAAGCCTTCTGAAATCGCCATTTTGCGTGTGTGTGTATTTAAATATATACACACATATATGTATGTATGTGTGTGTGTGTGTGTGTGTGTGTATATATATATATATATATATATATGGAGAGAGAGAGAGAGAATATGTATATAGTACCAAGTTCTCTGTAAGATGTCTTGGAGATGGTATTCCTAAGGATGAGCAGTTAAGTGGATAGCCAGGCAAAGGCCCCCAAATTGGGGGAACATTCTAAGCATATGAAAAATAACATATCATACTCTGAAGCAATAAAAAGCATGAATAAAAGAAGGGTGGTAAATTTGTGGGAAGTTCATAATTGAAATTTGAGTGGGACAAGATTTGAGTTCCTGAAAGTTGTGTTGAGATTTTCACTGGTTATCTTCTGAGCAAAAATTAAAAAAAAATGAAATGCATTCAGAAACAGGCACATAAAATAAGATTTGCTTTTCACAGATACCTCCTACTGCAATGTGGAGAATGGAATGATTGAGGAAGAGCAGCAGAGGCAGGGCAATACTAGATTAGATGTGGCAGTGTAGGCCACTTAGGAGAAAACTGCACTCTTTTAACAACACACACACACACACACACACACACACACACACACACGAGACTGGTTTGAATGAGTGGTAGAAGCAATGCTTATTTTGACGTTTTGTCTAAAATATAAATTGCCTGGAAGCTATTTCCAAACTTTCTTTTCATTTTACACACTTTTTCTCACACTAGAATGGGGAGAAACTGAAGCCATTTTAAAATTTGCTTAATACAGATTTTTTTAAATGCACTTACACTTTCACAAGAATACCACTTCATTTAATTGTTTTCTCCATTTATTCCATGCACTTTTCACATGTAAATACAGGTAGATATAATTTTAATGACTCATTTAATAAGACACTACATTTTAAAACTCTAAGAAAAACACTTAATCTTCCTTACTCTGTTCTCTTTCCTCCTTGAGGTACTCTAGTAATAAATTTAGTACTGATGATGATATAAAGAATAGGTTATTCTCTATATACTAAAAAGGAAATAAATTATTAGTTTATCCATTTTATGTTATAATTTCTAATATTTAAAATTTTAAGAACAATATTAAAATGGAATAAAATATAATTTTTCTAATATACATGAAATCACCTATTCTTCTCTTTATAAATATTTTAAGTTTGTGTATTTTCTTCCAACTTTATGAGATATATAAATGTATTGCTTTTTGAGACTTTAATAAAATCAAACTTTTTTTTCCATTTGGTATGACCCATTTGTATCTTTAGCATATCTATCACTTCGGTGACTATGTAATATCTCATTCAATTGTCTTCCACAATATACATATTTATCCTCTTAGCTGACAACTTATTTCCAAATTTTCACCATTGTAGACAGTTCTGTAACAAATGATTTTTATGTTTTATGTATTTACCATTTGGGTAGTTCATTTTGTATTTATTTATTTATTTATTGAGACAGAGTGTTGTTCTGTCTCCCAGGCTGGAATGCAGTGGTGCGATCTCAGCTCACTGCAACCTCTGCCTCCCGGGCTCAAGCAATTCTCCTGCTTCAGCCTCCCGAGTAGCTGGGATTACAGGTGCATGCCACCACACCTGGCTAATTTTCGTATTTTTAGTACAGATGGGGTTTCACCATATGGCCAGACTGGTTTCGAGCTCCTGACCTCAAGTGATCCACCCACCTTGGCCTGCCAAAGTGCTGAGATTACAGGCGTGAGCCACTGTGCCCCGTGTGGGTAGTTTATTTTGTGTTGGGGGGAGGCATATGGTTTTACAGAATGGTCAACTTTTATACTAATTTTGTCACAGTTTCTCCAGGATGGTGAACCCCTTATTTTGTTTTTTCTTTTGCTTTTAGCAGACAAATAATGTTTGTAAATATTTATGGGTTACAGAGTGAGATTTTGAAGCATGCAATGTGTAATGATCAAATCAGATTGATTAGCATATTCATCATCTCAAACATTTATCATTTCTTTGTTGTGAACATTCAAGATCCTCTTTTCTAGCTTTTGAAAATATACACTAAATTATGTTAACCATATTCACCTGAAAATGCTATAGAACATTAGAACTTATTCCATCCATCTAGCTGTGACTTTGTATCCATTAACCAACCTCTTCCTACCCCGGCCCATAATTTTTCTTAAAAAATCTGTGGTTTCAACTGGGCGCGGTGGCTCACACCTGTAACCCCAACACTTTGGGAGGCCGAGGCGGGCGGATCACCTGAGGTTGGGCGTTCGAGACCAGCTTGACCAACATGGAGAAACTCCATCCCTACTAAAAATATAAAATCAGCCGGGTGTGATGGCACATGCCTGTACTCCCAGCTACTCAGGAGGCTGAGGCGGAAGGATCACTTGAACCTGGGAGGCAGAGGTTGCGGTAAGCCAAGATCACGCCACTGCACTCCAGCCTGGGCAATAAGAGCAAAACTCTGACTCAAAAAATTAAAAAAAAAATATATGATTTCAAAGTCCACAACATCCTTTGAAAAATATGACATGTTCATTGTCTGAAAAGTATGACATGTTCATTGTTTTTAAAGATCTGCAAACTGAAAAACAATACTGAAGAAATACTAGTATTAATCTTATATTCCTCCAATATAGTTATTATTGTTTACAAATTGAAAGGTAAATGGTTACTTAACTTTTTTAATGTCAATTTTCTTAATATTCTGGGATCTAAACTGGTAAAAATGTACTATATCAACATTTATACACATATGCTTTTAAAGATTTAGAATAATTTAGAAAAAAATAGATTTAAAAGGTCTCTCTGTTCTTCATTGCACCATGATCATGCTTAATCATGGATAGATTCCTCTCTCACATCCTAGCCACAAAGTGAGGATTGTTGTATTTTGTTTCTTTCATACTGATCTTGTGATGTCCAACAGAGAAACATGCAACATGGGTCCCTATTTCTTTTTGGTTGCAGAATAATAAAGGTAGTAAATTTGCATTGCAACCTTTCAGAATAGTGACATAATGAAAGAAAATCATTCAGACTCCATAATTTTAGCTCTTTTGCTCTCAAGTAACATCATAGGTAGACTTGCATTTTGGTGTAAAATGTTCCCATCTACCAAATTGATGTTATTTTAAGGATTATTTTAAACTTTTGAGTTAATTGTACGTTATTTCTTTCTAACATGCTCAACATTTTATAGCAAAACAGAAGAAAAAAACACACATATTGTCATAATTAAATGCTAACCAAGTAGATAGCATTCTGGAGTTAAACTCTGTCAGCTAAAACCTTAGAGTTGGAAATGAGAAATTTGTAGTGGGAAGAGTCAAAACCATTTTAAATGACAAAGTAAGATTTTCTCATTGTAGTTTTCATGGCATATAAATTTGTCAGACCTGTAAGCTACAGTTGTTCATAACACCTGAACAAAGAATTCAAAAGAGTTGAAGGGAAGACTGAAGGTGGTGGGAGGAGGAGGGAGGAGCAGAGGTGATATGGTTTGACTTTGTGTCCCCACCCGAATATCATCTTGAATTGTAATCCCCTTCTGTCAGGGGAGGGGCCATGTGGGAGGTGATTGGATCATGGGGATGGTTTACCCCATGCTATTCTTGTGAAAGTGAGTGAGTTCTCACAAGATCTGTTGGCTTAAATGTGTGGCAATTTCCCCCAATCCTCTCTCTCCTGCCACCATGTAAAATGTGCCTTGCTTCCCCTTTGCCTTCTGCCATGATTGTAAGTTTCCTAAGGCCTCCCTAGCCATGCAGAACTGAGTCAATTAAACCTCCTTTCTTTAAAATTACCCAATCTCAGGTAGTTCTTTATAGCAGTGTGAAAATGGATGAATATAAGAGGTAATGGGAAAGGAGAGGTCTTAATGGAGCCAGTTTAGGGATCTTGCATTTCCCAAAGAAGCCATTGAAATTCAAATTACCCTTAGTAGAGTCATGCCATCAATGAAAGAGACCAACAAAGTTATTGTTGTGCTGACATATAGTCACTAACTACTAAAATGACCACATATTAAGCTGAATATGGGTAACTTTATAGTCAAGAGGAGTTTGAGGAGGAGAGTTTCAGTTGACAGAGGGGTTCTCACGGGAGAGTAGAGTCAAATAGAAAGAACAAAGGCCTTTCAATTTTCCATAAAAAATCATTTCCATCCTAGGAGTCCGGGAATTAATCCCATTCAAAACAAGAAGCTAGGAAGCACTTCCAGCACAGGAGGTACTTTTCAAAAGAAGCCTGAGACTAACCCAGCTTCAGAGAGTGCATTCAAAATTATAAGATCAAAATCTCTCCCTGCCATGCTTCAAGGACTGTCCTTGTGAGCATAGAATCAGGAGTTGGCCTCAACAATGGATCCCTGATCAATCATCCAGGAGCAAAGACAAAGGTGCACACTTGAATACTGAACCTTATTCTTTATGTCATAGACATCAAAACTGTTAAAGAAAAAGAAATTACTTGTAACACATGTTAAACATGGTAAGGAAGACTTTATTCAAGACAGACTACTGCAAGAGGGGCTTTGCAGTAGATTCAACTCCTAATACAACAAGGACAAGTGGAGATTTATAGTCAAGGATTAGAGTTGGGAGTCAGTGAATGGAAAGTTAAGGAGAGAAAATATAAAGGCTGAACAGGATATTTTCTGTAGGCAAGCCATGATGATTAAAATATTGAGAATGAGGATGAGAAATTCGATCAGATGTAGAGGGTGATCAGATATCAAAGGTGGAGTTTTTCCACTAAATTGACTCAGCAGAATTCTCACTAAACTGGACTAAGCAAGCCAAAGACAGAGTCCAAGGTCAAGGCCTTGTTAAAAAAAAAATTTGGTCAAGAATAGAATCTTTGTAATGCCCAAGGCAGAAGCTTCCCTTCACTTAATGGCATATAGAAAATTTAAAGGACACTATTCTATCTACTCTGAGTGTACATAAATAATGATTACATAGGGACTTCTGAGCAACTCTACAAACTGAGAAAAATGAAGTCAGTTATATGAGGAAAGAGATCCTGTTGTTATACATGTTTTATTTTATGTCCTTTCTGTATCATTATCATATAGCTTTTATACATCTGAGGTGTACAATACATGATTATGTGGCTAGAAATTAGAAGCATTGGCCATTATGTTTTTCCCTTCAGAAGACATAAGGAATGCATGTTGACTGTGGGTGCATCTTCCATGCTCCAGTGTCTTAAAACAATCAAGCTATAGAAACTATCACCTGGGTAAAAAATGTCCAAAGTTCCCTGACTAGAGATTAAACCGTTGAGAAGCAAATGGTGAATCTGGAATAAAAAAAAAAGCAAACACCTACTGTCCCATATAAAACAAACAAACAAACAAAAGACTTCAGTCTTTCATAGTGTGATAAGCTTAAAGACAATTACCAGTTATTGAAGAGTTCTTTGAACTAGGGGCTTCAAAATCTTAAGTAGGGTCTCATAGGACCAAGCAATCTTCATAAAGTATTCATGGTAAAACTTTCAATATTTAGAAAAGTACGTAATGAAATTCTACCAAAAACAAGTTAAGCAGTATCAAAATTGCATAGGGTAGTCACCTGCACATACACAAATAATTATAAAACATAAGAAGATGCATAGCATGTAAAGCTAAAATAACAAGTTTTACCCCCTCCATTTTTATGAAAAAAAAATAGCAACCTGACTTGAATTAAAACAACCTCTGGAGGTGGACTAATGTATATTACAAAAAAAGAGTAAGTTAAGGCGTGGGAAAAGTTCATACATTCCTTCTGCATATTGAATCAATTAATAGCATGTACAAGGAAACCCTTATTATTTGAAGGAGTGGAGAAAAATGACTTGATTCTTTACATGTAGTACAGACTATTATTAGTATTCCAGATAGACTGTGTTGTAGAGAGTCCATCATATGCTTTGATCTGTCTACATCCACAGCTGGAAACTTTGTACTGGGCCCTGGAAGCATCACTATCTGACAGTTGGCTCCATCAGGAAAGTGAGTTGGTGGTTGCAAATGTTAATCAGTGGATCAAAGCATAAAATGGAGCAAAATTGGGTCCTTTTAAAAATCTGGTTTCATATCCTATAGACCTAAACAATTAAAACATTCATAAATTTTTCCCAACTTATCCCATACTTCTTATCTACAACTCCTTGGGTGGTCTTCCTTCCCTCCCTCCCTCCCTTCCTTCCTTCCTTTCTTCCTTCCTTCCTCCCTCTTTCCCTCTCTCCCTCCCTCCCTCCTTTTCTCCTTCCCCTCTCTCTCTCACTTTCTCTCTTTTTCTTTTATTCCATTTGAAAATGTGTGTTTTAGCTTAAACAATAACCAGTGTTTCAAATGATCAGAAAGATTAAAAAGTTATTTAAATACTAATATAATTTTAATATATGAACCACACACATACACCCATGCCACACCACACAAACAAACACACACATCCCTTCCCAATGTGAGTAAAAACTCTTAAATAATAGACACAACAAGAATATAACTGAGTTAGAAATATACTGGTTTGGATCATTAAACATCTAACAATGACAATGACACCAAGGCAAACAAGCCAAAACAAGCAAACTAACCTGTTTATCTTAATTCTTATGGCTCCGGACATGCACTTTCAGAACTACCTGATTTTCAGATTCTAATTTTTCTCCTGCATAAAATTCTATATACAAAAAGATATGGTCAAGACCAATAGAGTTTTCTAAAATGTGCTGTAATTCTATAGTTTTGCAGATGAAATTAATTCCTCTTCCACAGAATATTCATTCTATTTAAATAGTTGAAAGCTGGTTTTTATAATAAGAAGTATTTCATGGTGAATGGCAAAAAATGCTGTAACAGAAGTACAGACAATTTGGTGAAAGTCAGATAATCTATGTTTTGACAATTTGAACAGATAAAGAATGAAAATAGCCTTTCTCTAAAATTCCATGCCTTTGCATGCAGCACTCAAATAATTCATGATGCTAATGAAGTTAAAATGACCACATATTAAGCTGAATATGGGTAACTTTAAAATTTTTTAATGAAAAATTAAGGAAACATTACTGCAATTAATTGATGTGCTCAAATTCACATAAGATATTTTAGAAATCATCTTTCACAAATATTACTCCATCCACTTCCTCCTACTATAATTCTTACAGTGTGCCCTTCTCTATGTCTCCCTTGCCAATTGTCTTCACATGCATAATACATTGTATTTCCCAAGGTTTTTCACCTGCATTGCTTCAAATATCTTGATAAATGTTTCGTTTCTTGGAGAACTAATCTATACAAGAATCATTGATATCCTCTAACCCATAGCATTTGAAATTGTCATGTTTGTTATTAAGCACATAAAAATAAAGACTAATTTCTAGTGGTGATATATTATGGCCCTTTGTGTAATGGAACCTTGTTCATTCTAATGTTAGCTTGAATTTTACTTAAAATTTAAGATGAAAATTTGAAGTGAAAGTATGCATTACTGAAAAGAATAACGTGCTGTGTTACTTTCATCCTTCCTAATTCTCAAAGTGGTGAATATAGAGAATATAATTCTGCCTTGTCTCAGAATCAAAGCACCGTGGTGAGTTAGCTACCTTTTAACCAAAGTATCCTAGCTTTCCAAGAGAGATAAACTCCAATTTTTTAGAAGCCTTCATGTCTAAACTCTCTGGGAAATATTTTGCCTCCCAAAATTATATGTCGCTGAAATCAGTACCTCACAGCTTTCCACTAGTCAGTCATTTAATTTATTATCAATTATAGATATATAAGTATTTATGCCATTTGTTTTATTGTGACTAGTGTGTCACATTGACTTAATATTTTTATCAATAAAATGACAGACTTAAAAGTAATTTAAATATCCCCTAAATCAGTTAATTGGGCTAAGTTTTAGCTCTGTTTTTTCTTCTGAGAATACAGGATTGAGTAACAAAAAATTTATTCCAACATGCCTAACCTCTTTAAGATTCTCTGAATTCTTTCTGAATTTTTATTTTTTTTATCATTGAGGTTGACCATATTTTGTTAACATCATTATTTGCTTTTCTCTTCTATTTGATGTCTCCAGGTTATCAAACTGCCTTCTTAGGCACTTTTATTTGGGGTCCCTTATTTTTGTAATTTGAAATCCTTACACATATTTGATAAAAGAAAGTCTTTTATCATGTTTAATGGAAATTATTTGCCTTAGCAGTGGTCTCTTAGAAGACTTTTCAATAGATTTAGGGTAGTTCCAACAAGTTTTAAGCAGCAGATTCTCATTTGCCTTTGATTTTATCAACATGATACACATGGGAGATCTGCTTTTTGGGGTAACCCTGGAAAGACGATTTGTGAAAATCTTACTTATTAAATACTGAAGTTGAAAATTTATTTGTATCAGTTTGCTTTTGCTGTGTAACATATCATTCCAAAATACAGTATCTTTCAGCAACAAAGATTTGTTTAACTGATGATTCTGTTGTTCTGCTGGATATATATTATTCTCCAGGTTAACTTGTTTGATACTGGCTTGGCTGACTCTTATGCATAGAAACACAGCTGTGAGTAGATGGAACGTTGATTATTGGCTGAATGATACAGACTATGCTTACTCATACATGAGGTGTTTAGCAGGCAGTTGGCCAAGGTGATAAAGACATTTGAGATACATGACTCTAATCATCATGCATGTTATCCTATGTTTACCAGAGTTCCAAGAGCAGAAAGAGAGCAAGCCTCAATGCACACACATTTTTAAAGCATCTACTTGCATATTTGTTAACGTAACAGTGGTGGAAAGCAATTAGCATTAGCCTACCAAATATAAAAGGCATGGAGAAATAGGCACTACTTCTTAATGAGAGGAAAAGACTAGATGGACATTTTTGTAAACTGTCCCACATTAAACAGAGTTTTGAGTTTCAATCCTTGCTCTGTTCTATGATGTTGAACAAGTCATTTTGCTGCTGAATTTTTTTTCTACTTCTCCTGTAAAATGATGAAATGTAAGATTGTATGAAGTTCAAAATCTCTTCTACTCTTCTTTGGCAAAAAATATCAATATTTTTCATATTATTTGTTTTCTATTATGACCAAAGGAAGTTCTTGATATATAAAGTTTTCTGGTGAGTTAGTAAAAGCCTTATTTTATAAGTATTAAGTTAATTTTGGGGAAATATAAAATTTTAAAATGTATAAATTGGAAAATTTGCTTAGTTTTATTTATTTGGTTTTGAGACAATTGGAAGAAGAATTTCAGTTGATGAATGAGGCCGTATTTAATTTATCTCCAGCAACTAAAATATAAATAATTAGAATTTTATTTTTTTATATTTTTTAGAATTTTAATGTCTAATATTAATTTATATTCAAATAGTTGGCTATAAGAACAGATAATATTCTTTTAATATACTGTAATGTCTTCACTTAAAATTATGAATCATATGTATGCATATACCTTTATAAATATAAATATAAAGATATATACATACATATAAATGTAAAGATACAAATACACAAACACATGTATAATTTTACTCAGGGCAAGATGTGGACTTTTCCGAATTGTCAGATTTAATACTGTCTTTCTGCTATTAGAGAAGAAATCTTCTACAGTCTTGAGGAGTTAGGGGTATTTACTTTTACTGTCTTTTCCAAAGTATTCAGACTGAAAAAAAAAAAAAGATTGTTTTAGTTGTAACGATTGTTGCTTTCAAAGTGCAAAAAAAAGCCAACATTTAGAGAAGCTTTCAAAGGCAACTTGCTAAAGCCTTCACGAATTCTGGTCTCTACAACTGTTTCATCATTTTAAATTACTTACTCACTAAGATTCACTCTGTAGCCACCCTCATCACCCCTGGTCAACACTTCACTACTGAGTACCCTATTACTTTTGGTGTTTACCTTGGAACTGAGCACATTTATTTACTTATAGGCTCATTCTCTTGCCAACATTTGAATGAATGGGCCATATGGTTTTTGGAATCAACAAACTCTTGGTTTGAAGAAGAATTTGAAGCTGCAGTTGGCTCTGCATCTGGATGAATATGATTAGATTATCTAGTCAAGATTACTAAACCTCAATTTACCTACTATTACAATAGAATTGATAGTACCTTTTACATAGGTTGTTGGAGTATCAAATGAAATTATCCTTAAAAATGTTAAAGTAAGCGTTCAATGGAATAGAGGTATTGCTTTCCTTATAAGAATTAGTGGCTGGGCATGGTGGCTCATGCCTGTAATCCTAGCACTTTTTGAGGCCCAGCCAGGGTGATCACTTGAGGTCAGGAGTTCAAGACCAGCCTGGTCAACATAGTGAAACCCCATCTCTACTAAAAATACAGAAATTAGCTGGGTGTGGTGGCAGGTGCCTGTAATCCCAGCTACTTGAGAGACTGAAGCAAAAGAATCACTTGAACCCTGGAGGCAGAGGTTGCAGTGCTGAGACCACACCACTGCACTCCAGTCTGGGCAATAGAGTCATAGAGTGACACTCTGTCTCAAAACAACAACAACAACAACAGAATTAGCCATTTTTTTCTGGAATCTTGTTTTTAAACCTCCAATGCCCTGCGAGATTTGACTAGGTTGAATAAATGAGTAGTTACATGAGTCTAGCCTATTTTTCCTGAGGATAAATAATCTACCAAGGACTGTTAATACATTGGTAGCATTAGCTTAGTATTCATTACTGACACTTAAGTAGTTTTTAATTTTGTATTTTTAGTGCATATTGTCAATTAATAATTCTAGTGATACTATTAGTGCCTTAAAGACAGTGTTGTTATTTTTGTGGTCATTTTTTTTCTCCCTAAATTACTTTAGTAGCCATCATATTTTTGTATCAGCATTTCTAGAGTTTTGAATGACCAAGTGTTAAGATTACTGACATTGTCTATTAAGAGCATGCCTATTAATAATCTTATCATGTATTCTGGGTTATTTTAGGGAGAACATTTGTCAAAACCACACATATTTTGGGGTGAAAAGAACTGCACTGTAGACTATGACAGCTGTGAATGGAAACTACATCAAATAAGGACTCAGTTTCACTGAGCTGGGTGGGACACCTAGGAAAGCTTTCAAGACACAACCTTATTCCATGAACACCTCTTTTTGATCTTTGTGAATTTTGTTTCCTAGAACCATCTTGTTCATGTTCATCCCAGGGACATGAACTGTAAAGACCCAATGTAATATTCACAGAGTTTTGCATAGCCTTTTCCAGGTTTATTTCTTTTTTTTTTTTTTTTTTAATATGGAGACAAAATTCTACCCCTATGTATTGTTTAAAAATACAGCCAAATTCTCCAGATTCAGTTTTAGGTCATGCATTCCTTGAATTTTTTTTTCTTTGGATGAGTTCTTGCATAGAGACAACTTTTAAAACACTTTAAGTAAACAATTTGCACTTGTGTCTTCATTCAGTGACACTAAATGTCACCAGTCCGTGTTATGGCAATCTGCCCCATGAGTCACAAAAACCTTGGAAACGTTGTCATTCTAAACTTTGGTTACAATACTGACAAGCATAATTTGGAATCAGAATTGATTCTGTGAATCTTATTAAGGGAGTTTCCGAATCTATTAGGACAAATATTTCTTAGCAATGTGCTAGAGAAGTTGTACACTTTTTTTTTTTTTAACATTCTTGCAATAGAAAAAACTGACAACCAATTGTTTGAGCCAGATCATCTCTTAGGAAAATTTATGAAGACTTTCATGGTAGCACACATATCTTTTGTCCTACTGACTTAAAAGATTTTTCTATCTGTCTCAAGGAATCCTAATTTTTTATGAGATGAAAATAAATTATGCAATAATGAAAAAAGAGAGAAACACTGTTAGTTAATTCACCAAGCAGAAAAATATTTGACAGAAATATTTTTCCTCTTATCACCAGGGCCTGTATATATGAGGATTTCCTCTTCATTGAAAAGCAAATTTATAAGCTAATTTGACCTCAATAGCATATTAGTTTCTATATAGTCTTTCTATTTTTACTGTTTAATGTACTTACTAGATAGCTAGCATAATAACACTAGCTTCTTCTACTTTTTTCTAGGAAGAAAAAAGTACACAGATTTGTAATGCTTCAAATTCTCAACTTTAGTTATAGCAATATTTGTAAACTTATTTAAAAAACATTTTTAGTAAAATGTTCAGAAGAATAAGTTGCATCCAATGGCTTTTATAATTATTAAAAGATGCAGAATGATTATTTCTGTTTCTTCCAAGAAATTTTACAATACCAATGAGAGTATGGAAATTAAGATATTCCTATTGGCAACAGAAATTGTTCTTAATGTAAAAATCATGTAGAGGTATTTGTTATTCTCAAAACACTTGTGAAAATATGCAAATGTCTTAGGTCTCAAAGTATTAAGGTTCTCCATTTTCCCCCTATTTCTCAAATGCCTACTTTTTTTTTTAATATATGGATAACACTGTAAACCTTGATTTGTTATCAAAATAAATTAGAATCAGGGTCATTTCCCCTTTGTTTCATATTCAGAATCCTATTACAGTATGTTCAAAATCAGGATCTGAATTTTTTAGAAGAGAAATTTAATAGTATATCATTTAAGCTTAAGTGTCTTAGAAAAATACATTTTTAAAAGATAGCACTTGATTGAATTAATTAATGCTGTATTGTTCACTTTTTTGTTCGTATTTCCACAAAGATATTTTGTAAAAATCAGTTTTATGTATATGTTGTTATAAATTAATTTTGCATATACCATATTTAAGCTTTGCACTGAGATGGCTACAACCTGTAATTTTTAAAAAATGACAAAAATAGTCATATTTTATTATAACCTTAACAGTTGTAACAAAACTGTAATTCTCATATGAATGCCTTAAGAAATTTTTTCTAACAAAACTGGTAGAAAAGCCATTATTGAAGCACATAGTCATTAAGAGATGCTTGGTTTATGTATTCCACATTTTAATACATGTAAAAAATTATGTTTGGCAAACAAAGGAAACCAAAGAAAATTATGACAATACCTTTTGCCTGACTGTTACATGTGGCTTATTAAATAGACTGAGATGACTTGTTCCACAATGTGGCTTGTATGTTGTCTTAGCCTTTAATAATTTCTTTAATTTTACGTATACTTTATTCTGTACAAAAAATTTCACATTGACTATTATTCATTCTTACAAACTTGTAGTGAAATAAATAAGAGTCATGATAACTTTATTTTTTAGATGAAGACATTGAGAATCAAAGAAGTTAATTTTATCTGAGGTTATATAGTTCTTAAATGAGGAGCCATTAAATGAACTTGAACCCTGATCTTTTAAGAGTAAAATTTAAGAAAAGGGTAAAATTGAGCACTGGATAAGAAGTGAAAGCAATTTAATGATCATGAAAGACAGGAAGAGACTCATAAATATTAATAATAAAAACCAACCAGTTCAATATAAATAGAGCATTGAAAGTTAAACTTTATAAAACTAACATCTGAGCAGAGTCAGGAAGTAAGAAAGGGTCCCTGCCCTACGCGAGACTTGATTGATGGTATTCACATATATAAATGTGTGTGGGGGGTGTGGGGAGGTGTGTGTGTGTGTGTGTGTTTGTGTGTGTGAGAGAGAGAGAGATAGAAATGTCTTTCTCTCTGTCTCTCATCTGTCTTTTCACCCATCAAGCTATTATCTAAATACCCATCAACTTCCAAATTCATCAAGGCTTTTGATAAATTGTTAGATACATTATTTTCACTATTTCTCCACTTTACCAGGCCATCATCTGACTTAGTAACAAATAATGAAAAAAGTAGTGTAAAATAGAGGACTAAAGGGAGAAAGAGTTGATTCTGTAGTCTTGGAATTTGAAAACAAGATAATCAGAATCTTAATAATAGAGGAGAATGAATGTTAATTTTACAAATAGACTCATAAATTCCATTCAGTGTGAAGCAAATTGGAAAAAAAAATGTGGTACTTTTAATGGCTTAACCAGCTGTAAATTGAAGGACATGCAATACACGTGGAATTTATTTTTTATATTTTTTCAGCATATGCAAAGACTTAGTTCCCCATCATCACTCATGGCAGTTGTTCAGCTAATTTTTGGCAGGTTGTAGAAACAATGTCTCCATAGTCGCCAAGTGGCTCATTTCATTTATATAATGAACACCATTTAGCATTCAAAAATAAAAACACATATCTAATCTATTGAAAAATACAAAGAGTGCATGATGAAGTGGGAAGCCACTAAATTACTATACACCAGCTTTTCCATTTTATTGCCCATGTGAAATAAACTGAACAATTCCAGATGTTCCAAGGCTTCTGAAAGATATGAGATAACCTTTCGCTCTATCACTCACCCTGGTCAAATAGTTTCTCATTTCGTATCATTGCTACTACTTGCTATTGTAGAGTAAAGAAAAGGCTGGTCAACAGTAGCTGCTGAAGACACCAACAGTCCCACATCCTGGCCCACTAACGTTTTTCTCTACTTGATCTTTCAAAAATTGTTAATAAAAAGGCCCTTATTTAAGGCGGCAGAGTAGGAGTTCTCAATTATAAAATATTTCAGGCTGCTCTGCCTATGGAGTAGCCATTCTTTTACTCCTTCACTTTCTTAATAAAAAAAAATTCAGTATTTTTAAGGCTTGAGTAATTCTAGTTTTGACTCATTTCTCCTATACTTTTATGTACCTAACTAAAGACTTAAAGTAGTTTTTGTCTATTTGCTTGACAGTTTGAGGGAAGAGGATGTCATTGTAGTCTGACTTCAGTAATCTCTACTGAAAACAACATTCCTTTACATTGATTTGAGTTGTTGACTTTCAAATAGAAGAATTTTGGCCTTCTAACCCAGATACTTTTAAAGCTATGGTTAGGGAGCTTATCTGATTTTCTAACTACCTTCTCATATTTTTAGGGCTTCCTTTGCTTTGATAAGTAAATTGGGATAAATAAACATTCTTAGTATTAATTTTTAAATGCATGTACCCAAAATGTTACTTACTGGCAGCATAAAAGTAAAAATTTAATTTTCAGATAATACTGACATAGATTCTCTATGTTCCTTAAGAAAAAAGAAAACATTTAACATAACTAAAAGTAATGATCATTCCTTTTTAATTGTTTACATTAATATTTGTAATTTAGGTTATAAATATATTTTAAAAGATGCCATTCATTCCCAATTTAAATGCACAAATTTAATGTATTTTACTAAATCTTAAACATACTATTTATAAACATTTTAATGCTTGGTCATCAAAGTGGGTGACTGCTTTGGAGAGGACTAAATTTCAGAAATTATACTATATGCTAGCTTTCTTTTATCTGCAGCTCCATTTAAATATTTTATATATCCAAGTGCAACAGATCAAGAAAGTAAAGTATGCATCTAACCCAGTATATATATATATGTATATATTTATATATATTTATATATATTTATATGTATAGTTATATAGATATTTATATATATTCATATATATTTATATATTTATATATATTTGTATATATATTTATATATAATATATATACACTAAACTCCTGGGAACTTGGCTGTCATGGTTATCTTCGGTGAGGGGAACTATCATTTAAATGCCTAATATCTGATTCTCTATGAGCATTGTGTCATTTACAAATCATGACACCCCTACAATGTGGGTATGAGTAATACCCTTAAAATATACTAAATATACATTGAAAGACATTTGACTTACTCAACGTCTTACACCCAAGAGAGATGAAATTTTACTCTTCCAAAGATGTTTCTTTGTAATAAGCTCATAAAAAAAAGATAACAGAGGATTGGAAGAGAGAGGTTTTAGAAGACACAAATTCAGTAGCCATTTAATTTATCATTCCAACCAGGATACTTTTGAGAATAAAGGGAGTAGTATTAATAATTACATAGGCACCAAAATATGAACTGTGACTATTTGGGGGCACTACAATGTACTACTTTAATTCTAGACATAAAAGAGCGTACTAGATTTTGTGTTGCTATAAAAGAATACGTGAGACTGGGTAACTTATGAAGAAAAGTGGTTTATTTAGCTCATGGTTCTGCAGGCTGAGAAGTTCAAGGGCATGGCACTGGCTTCTGTTGAGAACTTTCATGCTGAGTCATAACATGGCTGAGAAGGTCAAAAGGGAAGCAGACATGCGTAAAGAGAGGACCTGGGGCATGTCTTGGCTTTATACCAGCTCCCTGTCATTGGAACTTATACAATCCCAAGAGAATTAGTCAAGCTTCATGAGAGCAATAATTCATTAACTACCTAGAAGAACAGCAAGCTATTCATGAGAGATCTGCTCCAACATCCCAAACACCTCCCACTGGGCCCCACCTTCCAACACCACCACACTTGGAGATTAATTTCAAACAAGAGCTTAAATGGGGATAGACAAATCATATCCAAGCCATAGCTGCAGCCAAGGCAGACAAGACATGCCATTGTTTAAATTTAAATAGGGCCAAAAGAACACACTTCAGTTCTGATCCAATAAATAATTAATTCACAATATTTTAATAAAAACAAAATATATTTATTGAGAGCTTACCATAATCCGAACACTTTCCTAATTGTGGAGGTTTTGACAGTGATCAAGAAAAAAGACAGATCCTGCCTCCTTTTGCGAGCTTTCATCCAAATAGGGGCAATAAACAAATATAAGCAAAACAATGAATAAAATAATTATAAACAGTGATACCTACTATAAAGAAACAATGAGTATCAATTCATGTCTTTTTGAAGAAGAGACACTTATTCCTTTTGTATCCTAGTCAATAAGTTATGAGGCGGGGATAGCTCAGTAGAAGGAAATAGCTGCCTGTTCCCTGGCAGCTCTTGCTCTAGCCTGCTCTTGCTTGGCTAAAAGTAATTTTCAGTTAAAAGGGTGGCCGTGACTTGTTATTAGTGAACACAGAATCTTGGGAAGGATTCATTATGTGAAATGTGAAATAAAAACTTTCAGGCAAAGGGAAAACTAAGTATATCCAAGGTGGGAAAAATTTTGCAGTTCATGAGGACTTAAAGATGACTCCTTTGAACTATGGGGGAGGCAGGTGTGGAATAGAGGAGATCAGGAAATGAGGTCAGAGTTAGGTGGGAGCAAAATCACTTCGAGATCATGCAGAGTATGGGGAACTGATAAGTTTAAGCCCCAAGGCTCAGAGATGCTACTGACGGGTTAAATGAAGACAAGTAACATGATTTGATACTAGTTTTTTAAAAAAATATTACTCTGGCTTTCTTCTTCATCCCTTTACCTTTGTCCCTTTCTTTATCCACCTGCAATTCCAGTAACATTGTTCATGTTATCCAGATTACAAAAATTTAAACACTTACCATTTGTATAACTGTTTTCCCTCTTCTTTCAGATTTTTTACTTTCTTTCTCTCAAGAGGCTGTGAAACCACTTTAGGGTATACATCTGGTCAGACTACAAGTGTCCAATGCTCTTGGAGACATTTGTTACGAAGTAGTAGTTGGGTGACATGGTTTCATTGTTTTAATGAAAGTGAAATGGAATTAATACATTTTTGTATTAAAATGGCTCTTTAGCGATCTGACTGCTAGGGAAAACAACAATTTTTTGTTCGACTGTGCTAATAAGTCTTCAAATTTAGTTCCCAATAAACCTCACTTC
Source organism: Homo sapiens (assembly GCF_000001405.40). Taxonomy (NCBI): domain Eukaryota; kingdom Metazoa; phylum Chordata; class Mammalia; order Primates; family Hominidae; genus Homo; species Homo sapiens. The sequence continues at coordinate 77,505,614 of NC_000008.11, forward strand.
CTGGTATTCATGCTTTTGTGTATTCCACTCCCCACAAGTATAAACTAATCCTAGTGATCAATAAACTACAGTAAGTTGATGAGATGTCAATCATGTAATTAACTTACAAAAGTTTGTGACTTCCATGTTGCTAAATCATCCTCTCTATTGCTTTTTTGACTTGCACAGTTTGATGGAGAGACTCAAATTAACAAAGAACTGTGGAATATTTCTAGCCAAAAGCCACTGGGGAACTGATTCCTGCCAACAACCACTGAACTTCGAAGTAGATCCATCAGCAACTGGACCCTCAGATGCGACCCATGTATGACACCTTGATTGGGATCCTGTGAGAGACCCTCAGGCAGAGCACCTAGTTAAGTCAAACTCAGATCGCTGACTCCCAGAAACTGTAAGGTAAGAAATGTGTGTTATTTTAAGGCAATAAGTTTTGTGGTAATTTATTATGCATGAATATATTACTAATGCATTCATGAAATACAGTTTTACTCTTAAAACATGGGCTGTGGGCTATCATTTTACCTCTTTCTCTATTGTAGAATTTGTAAACCCAACAGACAGGCAGCAGTATGACCTTAAAGGCCAGTAGTTGTGTGTGATTGAGAAGGCATAGATTCTTAAGCATCAGTCACCTTCAAATAAGGTGACTAATGAATGAATAATTAAAATCATTTAACTTACTTAAAAAATCTTCTTTTTTCAAGTACTTTTAAAATTTTGTTTGAAATACATTGTTACTAGCACCTCAATTATTTCATATTCCCTCTGAAATGCAATGATTATCTTTCTCAATTATTTTATTAGGTCAGGTTCCCTAGAAGCAGAGCCTGAAACTGGGAAATTTGTTCAAATATTTTATTGAGGGGAGTGCTTTCAGAAGAAAGGGAGTGAAAGAAACAAGATGAGGTAGTGAATGAACTCAACAAAGATATTTTCTCAATTGGAGACTAACTTCAGTCTCAACCCATGCAATTTCTGGGATTATGGCTCTACCACAGAGTTAGCTTTTCCCTTGAGGAGAGTGCTCCAGGCTTTTGTATCTGGCTGAAAGTCAGTTACTGAGGGAACACAGACTCCATGTAGAGGAAGCTCCCAGTTAGGTGAGGGGAATTCACAGAGAAAACAGGAGTTGGTGTTAGCCAACAGTCAACAGCGTCTAGGGAACAGGTGAGCTGCAAGTAAAAGACAGGGGCACAAATTTCCACTACAATAGCTATGCATTCTGATTCTTATTTTTTATTTTTCAGATAGGCTGGGAAAATGGACACTTGCAACTTTTTTAGTCATGATACTTCCTAAAAGATATCTATAAATGTTAACTTCAGTATGAAATGGGTGTTGAAGAGACACAAATATATTGCGGGATGGGAAACACAAAATTGATCACTTAATAAATATTAATTGAGGAACTTTTGTATGCAAGCATTTACTAATTATTTTTAAAAATGCAAAGATGTTTTATGTTTTAAAAAATCCCTTCAACTCACATTCAAGAGAAAAAATTCTTTCAGGTATTCTCTCATTGTCACAAATTTTTAAAATAACAGTCTTAAGTATGTACAAACTTAAATTAGGCCTATCTCTCCCTCTCTTTGAATATTTTTGATTAAAAATGAGAGGCAATAGTCTTGAAATACTAATGGACTAGAATATGCTTATATTAATTATTTGCATATGGTATACCATACAAATTACATATTACCTAATGAAAATTTTTATAGCTGTCTTCGGTTACTGGATTCTTGTTTGTATAATCTTAGGTAATAGCATGTGTCCATTAGGTTTACTTTGAATATGACAGTCCATTGAGTTAACATTTGCTTTCCTATTGAAGACTGTTGGCTGGCTACTAATAAGCTAAATCCTAAATGTTTCTGGGTTTTCACTATTTAGGAAATTCATTTAATTTCTTCCTATTTTGACACTAATATTAGGTCAGCCCACCTCTGAAAACATTGTGCTGAAATGGCTGTCTTCATATATTCCTTATTGTTGTACTTTGGTGAAATTGTCACTTTCGAGTCAAATTAGGGATCATTCAACCAGAGCCACAGCAGCAGTGGTAATCAGCCTCAGGTTATTTCTTCCACTTGAGAATTTTCAAGGCAGCCACTCATAGTTCGTTTCATACTTTTCCAAAGCATTAATGTCTATTGCTTGCATTGGGTAATGAGTCTGAGTTTAAGTTTATAATTGCATAAATTTATGGTTTCTGTTTGGTAGTATTTGGTTTTTGCATTTGACTCCAGGTTTTCTTTGTTACAAAAATATTTTTTGCTTTTTAATATTTTCATATCAAATTTTATTGCATCAATTTATATTAACAACTTATAGCCAATTGTTTTAGTTCATGTTTTTTCCCTAATTTAGGAAAAGTTCCTAATAAAATTTACCATCATGTAGTCAAGGATTCTATGTATTAATTAAATAAACACTATGCTTTTTTGTACATTCTGTAATGTAAAAGAGCTAAAAGACCCTGACAAATCATAAACACACTTCTTTGAAATACTGCAGTGTTAATAATGAAGGGGCAAACTTACTGAATTCAAAGAGTAATTTTTTTCAGATATTTCTCTTTTTCTGAATCTCAGAAAACTATATTTTAAAATTTGAAGAATTTAACTATGAAGAATCACCAAGTATATTCACAATTTTAATCTCATATATGCCTTACCTTTTAAAGTTGTACAAAACTGAGCTGTTTTAAGTCTTCAATGACACTTTAGATAATCATTCTATAAATAAGGGCAGAATTCACCCCCATAGAAATACATATTTTTAGTCATTTGAAATTCTGAATGTGAAGAGATAAATAGTATCATTTTAGTTCAACAGCTTGAGCTTTGATCAGCAGGGATTTCATGGCTGACTACATCGTTGCTTTCACAGCACTCTCCTGCATACCTGTCACCAAACCTCCAGGTCAATCTCACATTTACTCTTGAAGAAATGGAGTCGAAGATGAAATAGAAAATAATTAGGTAAGGCCAGTGTAAAGAGGATGATTACGTTTTTCTGCATATCATACAAGTATAAAAAATACTTAGTTTTTTATAAAACAAGTTTAAATTTTAACTTATTACTTTCAACTCCCCAAGCCTGGTACTGTCAAGGCAATGCCATCTCAGCTAACCCAAAGCACAATTTTAGGAAATCAGCTTTTGGTAAATACACATCCAGTGTTTTCCTCTTTTTTCTCCTCTACCAATAGTGTAAGCGTATTTTTAATAATTTCTCATCATTCTTAGAATAAATACCAATCCCCTTAGAAAGGAAGAAATCTACGCCTTTTAAATTTACTCCTTCAATTCTCTGTACTATGTTTAATGACTTAGTAAGACAGAGCTCTTTGACCTTACTCATACATACTATTATCATTCACTTTTATGTATATTTCACCCCATACATAGAATTCCTCTTTAAACATTTTTTTCTTAGCTTACTGCTTAGTGAGAGGCATATTTGTTTCCAGAAAAAGTTCCCCTTACCCCCATAATGGGTCTATTTTCCCTACTCTACAGTTTGTACTTCTTGTTTCTTTCTTAATACTCATCACATTATTTTAAATTATCAATTTGCCCTTCAGCTAGAATTAGAGTCCTTGAGAGCAGAGATTTATATGGTAATCATTACTCTTTTATAGCTAGTTCTTTGCCCAGAGTTTGATACACCCACACAAAAATGCTGGTTGAACTAAAACTTAACATGTTATCGTTATTGTTATTTTCAAAATCCCATCAGCTTCCTCGGTGTTTATTTTATTTTGACTAATTTGTGCCAAATTTGCTTGAATTGCATGAATGTAAAATAAATAAGTGATACAGGAATTATGCTGTATTATTAATAACACTATTGATTGGGTAGCTCATATTTTTATTTTGAAATGCTAATCCACACAACCCATCCAATAACTGTTCCATTAGCACATCAGTTCAGAGTTTAGATTTTGCTTTAGTTTTGGGTTTTGTTTTAGCCTGTAAAACTTCACAAGCAGGAAGGAAAGTGTTTATCTCGTATATTGCTGTATTGCCATTGTCTAGCACTAGCTCTTGCTGCTCAATATATTGTTACATATATAAAGTCCATATAATAGAGTTGAGGAATAGCTCTTATGCTATACATTTTATTTTGATTTGCAAATGTATGTGGCTTCTTCCCCTAGTGTGCAGAGGAAGTTCTAATCTGTATGTAGGAGAGGCCATGGGACAACAAGCGTATCCATAGCTATATTTCATCATGTTTTGTGTTGTACGTTCTCCATACATTTTGTTATTTTCCTAATTTTCCTCAAACTACATGAGTGCATGGTTAACTCACATAAAATTATATACTAGGAGTTAAATTTTAATTTATCTTTTTTATTTTTTTCTTAAATGTGAGTTAACTCTTCACTATATCTATAGGAAGAATAGTTATAATCTATACTTTATCATACATTTGTAACATTTAACTATAGGAAGAATAGTTACAGTCTATAAAAACTTTCTATAGTCTTCAGTTTTCAGTGCATCTGAAAACTTTCGTATTACTACCTGCCTTTTGAATGAAATTCAGAGGTAAAATTTTGTGAAGCATAGTATTGTGTGTTTTATTAAAATAAAGGTATATATTCATACATATATATGCTATGAATATAAGCATAAATATATATATGCTACTGCATTTTAATTCATCTTCTAACTTTATTACTCTATTTAAACCACAATATATTCTTCCTGCTGTGAAGTATTCTTCATGACTCTATTGCTTATTGTTATGATTCCATTATGCTGAGATGCCTACAGATATTATCTTTGTATATTTGTCCCATTATTTTACTGCTTAATATAATTTCCAACCCTTGGTATCGGCCTTGGAAAGTTCTGAAGATTTCCTTTGAGTTTTTAAGCAGATAGATGACATCACAATTTTCTCTTAAATTTACTTATTTCTGTAATTTCTATTCTGTGTTGATACTTGAAAGATGGATAAAACAAAGTCAACATTTTTTGAGAATGATGAAATTTCATCCTTCATGTGACAATAATGAGAAAATATTCTGGATAATTAATACATTTAGTCACAGTCAAAGTGTATCATTCCTTAGAGTAACAGCATAACATAATTTCTCACATTCTCATTTTTCTCATTCTAGCTATAAAAATCTGTTGTCTAGACTTCTGTCTCACACACTTAATTTTTAACTATATTTACTGCTCTGAATTTGCTAACATTACATCTTTCAAATAGATAAATACAACACATTTCCAGAAATTAGGAAAATAAATTAACACAAAAGATAAGTCAAAGTTGAGCATTTTTTTTAAATTTTATTTTTCTATCCCCAGATTTGGGACCAATCTGGAGATAGAAAGTGCTATTCATTTCCATGGTTAACAGTACTTTTCAAAATCTATAGGACACCCCAAATGTGACAATAGTTACGTATTGCCAATTAGAAAATGTGTTTATTAGTTGAGTGAGTGAATCTAAATTGTTACTGTTTCCATATGACATTGAAAATATATGAATATTGAGTATGGCTGTGGTGTTGCTACTAATAATTAACTTTTGTATATTATAAGTGCTTTTTAAAGTTAAATTTTCCTTGGGAATAAATGTTATTAGACAAGAACCTTAGTCTTACATTCCACTGTCTCATTCAGGGATTTAGCATAGAGGACAACATAGAAACATCACTCCCTGTTTCAAACCCATAAGCAGAGCTAGATGCATGCAGGAGATGCATGCCCTCTGACTTCTCATAATTTCTATATTTTTTTATGGTGGCAAAGTCATCACATATTAATCTATAACATATTCAGGGAGTTTTGTTTGGCTGATTTAAAAGCATTTTCTTCCAAACTCCCATAAAAATAGAGACTATAAATTGGTTAACATAGATTGCCCATGGCAGCACATTTTTCAAATGAAAATTTTCATTTCAATGGATTTTATGCAGAGCCTTCAGAGATTGTTCAAATCGCCAGCAGCCAATTTAACCATGCTAATCTTTGTACCTGAGGGCCTAATTCTTAGAAAAGCTTTTGGCATGTTTTCAGAGACTACTCATAATGATTATATAGATGAACTGTGATTTCTAGTTGTCTGTATTATAATCACCTCATTTTATGATTTGGAAAGTAGAAAGAAAAGTCACTTTCCCCCCAATTACACACATGTACCCACACACAAATGGCCGTAATCTTTTGGATTAGGGTTCTGAGCATCCATCTGAAGTGAATAAATATTTCTTTGTAAAGGTAATATTAAAAATGGAATGTATACATTTGAACTGAACTAGTCCAGCTATAGATACGTGCTCTATCTGACCACTTTACACAATTGTTTACAGTTTTACAAGACATACATAGTTACCATAGCAACAACTCAACATAAGTATGGTATAAAACTTATTCTACTCCAGGAAAGAAAGCCACTTCAACAAAGTGTTGGGCACACGTTATAGGTTGAAGCCAAGTTATCTTATTTTTACTGAGAATTATCTTCTCCAAATCATAGCTGGACTATTACAATTTATTATCTTGAAAAAAATATATAGTTCAATGTTCAAGTATTCTAACCAAAAAGACCATACCTAAGACATTCTATAGAAATCCTTCTCAGATAGCTGGGACTTCTTATCAGGGAAGTTGTTATAATCTATATGCTTATGTTTTATTGTATCAGTCCCTAATTCTTACAATGAAAAATTCATTTGATTCAGTCTGAATTTATAATTCTATATTTATTTATGTTTATTTTATAGGATACATAAAAATAGATTCATTATTTAATTCTTTAAATCCATAAAATGCTATCAAGCATTTATATTAACCTAAGTACTATTCAAAGCATGGAAATTCAGAGAAAAAGAAAACCACATACATGCCTTTAGTAAGGTTAGAATATGATATATCCTTTTCATTTTTTATTTTTTAATATAAAAAACAGTAGTAATATCATCTTGGATTTGTTTCTTCTTTTATTTTTAAAACTTTTATTTTATTGTTAATTCTTCCTTGGAAGTTCATACACACACATCTCTAAATATTAATACTTATATGTATGTATTTAAGAGTACACCCTTTATTTGATTAACAATTCCTGATAAATTATATGTGAAGATTGTAGAACAAGTATATTTAATTTTATGGGATCCGAATTTATTTAGCTGTGGATAATACATTAGTTAACACTAACATAACGAGAACTTTACTTAGCATATGAAGTACACAAGGCACAGCACCAACCAAAGATGTATAAACCATAATGTCTGACCGTAAGAATCTACAAGAAAGCAAGAAAAATAAGACAATATAATATGCCCACAAATAACCAACGTCTTAAATCACTATTTAAGAGGCTCTTCAACAGTATATTGACAACTATATGAGTAGGATGGTGCATAAGTGCTAACGGTTGAAAGGAAAATGATTTTTTTTTCTGAAGGTGTGTTATAGAAAGCAACAAATCTACAGGTGTCACTTGTCCTGTATCTCCAAGAGTGTTTAAGGAGGGTTTCTAGTGGTTCATAACTTTGACTGAACATTATAATTGGTGAACTTAAAAACTATTCCTGACCCATCCCTAAGAAATAATAAAATAAATCTGCAGTCTCAGAGATGGTTTTCAAGGTCCTTAGGTAACCCAAATATGCAGCTCACACTGAGAACCACAGAGGTAAACATTCTAGTGTTTACCTCTGCGTGCAATGTGTTCTAATGTGTGCAAACACATTGTAGAAAGAAGAAATAATATTTGCAAAGAACAGAGAGGGGAAAATAAATGCAACACACACACACAGTAACAGAATACATACAGTCAAACCTTTAAGTATTCTAAGAAAAGAAGATTAGTTTTGAGGCTAAGGATGGGGAACTAAAATAAATTTATTCAAAAGACCATAGATTTTAAGAGAACAGGGCAAATGAGAAGGGGAAGAAGAAGAAGAAGTAGGAGAAGAAGGAGAAGGAGAAAATAAATATAAGCCATACTTCATATCATATTTAACATTTTGATTATTATTTTATATAATAAATTGGATCCCAGTGAAATACTACTTTGATTTAGCATTTTAGATTTAACATTACCATGACATTCAAGAGAATAAGAATTCTTTCACAGGATATACTTATAAGTGTCTTAACTGGATTTTAAAATTTCACAGTTTGACCTTGCAATGGACTGGGCAGCTACATTAGGAAATCATAGTGTGGTTTTCTTTAGAGTTCTCCTTCACTGAAGAAACTGTAACACAGCTATGCAGCAGGGTCCTCTTAAGAAAGAAAGGGCATGATCTCTTCTGTTTGAGAGCCTCTTGGCAATGCTCAATTCTGATCAAGAGTCACTTAGTGATTAGTTAACATGCAGTCTACTTCTGTTGATTAGTTTTTTAAACCTCTTATGAGTGTAAAATATTCAATCTAATAGGTATCGTTCAGTTCTGATACTAAAAAGACACCCAATCCAAGTAGATGAAACATTCAAATGGGTCCTAATAATCTTCAATGAATTTTAACTAATTTTCAGGGATAACAAAGCACTTCAGATTGAAGTCAATTCATGTATACTATTTACTCAGGAACTTTTAATTTTTCCTATCACATACATGCTGTTGCTGGGTTTCTTATTTGTTAAAAGATATTTCATTCCCTACTGTGTTTACCCTTTGTTAGCAAAGTTGGTTTAGAGTGACATAGCCTGATGAAACCCATAAAACAGCCATAAATTGCTCTTATATGGGATAAAACAATATTTGAACACTATATTTCTTAAAAATATAATCTTATATTGGGTGGTTAGAAGTGATCTTCACATCGTGTGTGTGTGTGTGTGTGTGTGTGTAATATATAATATGAAAGACTTTTAAAAGTAACTTTAAAAATACATATTTTTATATACATATTTTCATACATATTTACATACATTTTCTGTTTTCAATTCATCTAGGTTTACATTAGACTATGTCCTTAGTTTGAGTGTTAAAACTATAAAAAGAGAATAAAGTTACAGCAGAATTAATTGCCAAGGATATGACAGTTCGAGCACTACAGTAAAAAATGAGACACAGGTTTATAAAAACATTTAAATTCTGAATTTTTGCTTTCTTAGGTTTCTCTGTCAGTAATAGATAATTGTTAGTATGAAATATTTTAAAAGGATATACAATTTGATCAGTTAATTGATTTTAAGGATCTTTAATTTCAAGTTTATCCTTACTCTTTCAAAGATTACCTTCACATTGTATAAATTTCAGCAGCACATAAAAAGGCAATCTGTTGCTTACTTTAAAGACAATTATTTCAGTAGAGCAGTGTTAAAGCTTCGCCAATCCAGAATCTAACCCACATGGTATCAGTTTGAATCCAATTTAGACAAGTTTGACTAATCTCACCTTGCCTAAAAGTACTATAAATATTAAGCTCTCACTAAAAGCTCTTTGTGATATTTCTGTCTCCTGTTCAACTCCTGACTCCTTTTCAGTTAATTTGCAACAGCTTCTACATCTGGTAGGTGACTGGATCCATGATCCACCAAATAATTCCTAATTCTTCAAACTCGATTCAGTATTTGTTGTACATAATTTGTATTTACCTTTGTTTTTCCCAAATATCAAGCCTTTTAAAAATATGAATTATGTTCTAGGTCCACTAATTTTATTTTTGTTATATAAATTTGACTCTCTTCATTATACAGATAATGAAATGCTAATATAGGAATTGAATGTCAGCTGCAGTGCTCAGAAGCATAAGGTAAGGGGAGTGACTTTTGACCCTTAAGGAGAATGTTGAGTAATTTTGTCTCTGTTGTGCATATGGCAAAAATAAGTAACTGGATATCAGAGAAAGTGAGAATGGCCTCCAAGAATCAAAAAGCCATTTAGCTTATGGTTTCTGGTAGAATGCATTCTTCTTTAGGCTGTAAAATTGGTAAAAGACATTTTGTAAAAATTAAGTTACATTTTATAAAAAACAAAATTAAGTTTACATTAAAAAAATTATTACAGTAAAACTTCCCATCTCTGTTTTGAAAGTGGCATTAATTTATGGTGTTGGCACATTGGATGATTTCAAAATTTGCCATCAGCATCATTATCACAATAAATAAAGATGTTAAGTTATCACATTTTTCAAACTGTTTTCTACAAACTGTGTCGTACACAATTGTGCCAAAGTAAATTTATTATACATTTGTAGCATTTAGCTTTAAGATGTATACTTGAAAAATACCCTTATGTTTACTTGTCAGATCAATTATTTCTCCCTTTCAAAGTTGATGCAACCAAAATCCAAACAAATAAGTATTTTTACTTTTATTTCCCTAAAATTGTGATACATCAAGAGTCTCAAATGTCTCAGTAACTCCTAGCAATATAGATAAGTTAATTTGGAAATGCATTGCTGATTCTGGTAGGCATAGGCTTCTTCATTTGACCTAAAGAATTGTGATCGTTTACCCACTTTTTCAGAAAAAAGAATGAGCTATTGATTATAAGCATAGCACGTTAATATACCTAGTTTTGTCGGTTTTTCTACCAAACGTTAAAAGAGGTACAGGATTTGCTCAGTGGTGAGAGTAGAATTTAATAATAAAACTTTAATCATCTTGGGTTTTCTTTGTGATGTGACTCTAGAGTTTTGGAGAAGGTCTCCCTTGATCTATTTCCAGCAATGAAGGCATCTACATTAGTAGCTGTTGAGGAACACCCACATTTTTAGGATCATCAAAAGCCATGCATCAGTGTGGTGAATGCATCCCCTACTGAAAACAGCCAGTGAGGCAGAAAGGGAGAGTTGTACAGAGAGCACCTGATTGTAGCGGATCAGAAGGACTGTGTTTGACCCTACTTGAAAAGAATAGAAAAAAAATAAAGACAAAAGTTGAATAAATAAAAATATGATTACCAAACTGCAAACTGTTATCGATCAATGAATGCATTCAGCGAGTATTTATTTCTGTATGTGTGTGATGTTTGACGTATCCTGAAAGGAACAGGAACTATCCAAAGTTTACCTTTAAGCTATATTCTTTGGTGACTGCCACAAAGTTTCACTTGTGTCACTAAATTACTGAAAGTGTTGAAGGAAAGAAAACTGGGGATAGCCACAAATGCTTGCAGTTTTCAATTTGCTGACTTGAATGTTTGCAACCGGTTATTTAACACATATATGATTTTGGTCGATTATTTTTATATATACTTTCAATCAGTATTTCCCATAATTAAAAATACATTTGCATTTTTTCTATTATCTGTTTTGGGTTAGGTCAAGTACTTATACCCTATATTTGTATTGCTGATCTTTATATTAAAAATATTTTCTCCTGCAATTTTCTCTGCATTTTTATTTCTCCTATCTCATTAGTCCCTGACTGTCACCCTTAGTTAATATTATTGCTTTGGGGGAATCATCCTAATTATCTAATACACAGAACATGTTGAATAGGTTAACATTTCAGGAATAGTCATAACAGACAGTACTATGTAGGAAAACACCTTTAATTGCAATAAAAAGCTTAAAATCAGCCCTTACATATATTGATCTTTTAGTGGATCTCATTTGAGAGATTGTGAAAGATTAGGTGCAAATATTTTATTTTTTGACATAGGCGCATCCTCTAAGTACAAAACAGACCTATTAGAAGAAACACATAAAACTTAAAAACAAAGAGGGAAAATGCCTAATACTGAATTTTTTAGTGAGAATATTACAGAACTATTCAATATTAATTAATTTACCAAAGTGATTAATTCTTAACATATACAGAAATTGATCTTAGGAATTCAGATTATTAACTGATAGACAGCAGTTTAGCCTTGCATATTAAACTCGGTGATTTATTTCAGTGATTTTCTTATTTGAATTCACTGGAAACAATTGATTTGAATGAGGCGAGCCAACAGATATTTAATGACTCTTCTTATAATCAGAGAATAGGATTTCCAAATGTCTAGTCAGGGATAAAATTAATTTCCTTAACATGTATTTTTTTAAGAATTATTTTATTACAGCATGAAAAAAACCTCACAAAATAGGTAACCTCCAATATATTTTTTATTTTTTATTTTAAACTGTGACCTTATGAACCAAAAATAGTTTTAGCACTAAATTTGTGGCATCAGTAAAATAACTTGCAAGAACAATGAGGATGGAAACTTGAAACCTTGAGAACTGAGAAATACAACCAGGGAGTATGTGTTTGACAAAAATCCATAGGAACTGGGGGTTTCATGTTTCACTCAATTCCATTATATTCAATCCAACAAACCTTTGTGAAACATTATACTGTGGGAGATGCAAAGGTGGTTGTCAGAGTCAACGTTTTTGAAATGTAGCTCTTGAGGGTGATATTTAAAGGGGGAGGCACTAGGATTGTTCATTGCATTGTTCACTGAAATTAAGAAGCATAAAGGTTCTTCTACTGTATCTTTTGCATCACTACTATGTTAGAAAGTCAGTTTTGCATTTCTACAGTGTGAAACAGGATAAGCATTTTGAGTTGTTGCAATAAGTAGCTGCCTACCTGGAATCCCCAAGTCAATGTCTTTGGGAGTAAGGAAAGTAACACGTACGTGTAAAGCAGCCTAGTGGAATATAATAGTGAGTATATGGAAAAATAAATATCTGGTTTCTGGACTAGTCTCCCAGTTTACCTCAACATTTGACTTTTGGGCAAATTATTTAAGCCCTTTAAACTTCAGCTTTCTCATGTATAACCTTTAAAATATAAAGTATTGCTGGTATTCAATTGTGTTTGACTCACAAAATATGCAGTTACATTTGGTTCAAGCTAGGAAAATGAAGAGTTTTAAATGCAAGATTATCTTCAAGATGATCTTCACGTTCTTGTTGAGACTGCATTTGGAAGAGTTGAGAAAACATTAGGTTGAGAAATCATTGAACATGGTTGAAGAATGAAAATGAGAGAGGAGCTTGGAGAATACAGCCAGTGAAAATGGAAACCTGGGGTCTGGAAAAATTGAGTCCCAATTCTATAGTTTGGACTCATCGGGCTATCTCAGGCCTATATAAATGAGATTCATCTAAAGCAAACTGGGTTAATTTTACAAAAAAAATTCAAATCACTTTCTACCAGTTCAAATGAGAAGAATATCTGAATGTTAGTAATGTGAATACATAACACATGATAACTTGGAGGTAAGGTTAACAGGATGGGACATGAAGAGAGAGACAAAATTTTTGGAAGGAAGTATATGTCAATTCTTACAATATGAATATCTCATTGGGGGCTTTAAAAATGCAAATTCTAGTAAAGCAGAGTCACTCATACAACTTTATACAAGAAAGTTAATGAATTCTTTAAAAGGGCACTTTTAAAGAATTAAAATGTGTATATACACACATACATATATGTATACATATATATATATATAAATTAAAAGGGGCACTTTTTTCTCAATTGGATTATTTTTATAAGAGCCAGCTATAATTAGGAAACAATTAGATGTCCCTTTCATATAGCTTAAACAGCAACAGAAGTTCTTCAGTGATAAATAACAGCTTTGTTTGCCTTGTTCTTTCTGTGTGTTTATAATTTCTTCAATTTCTAAAAACACCTTATTTCCTGACAATGAGAACAAGACTGTTGAAAATGGCAATGAAACTCCACTCTCTTTCATTACCAGTATAGAGCTGAATACTGCCTCTAACTAAAAAACTGAGCAGACACTGCACATAGACAGTTGCTTTAGACACATTACGCATTGAAGCATTTGTTTTTGGTGACCTTGCTTTCAGATACACGTGTCTGAAATGTTTTTATAGTGAAGAAACTAAAAGAAAAGTCCTGAATAAAAGCAAGCCCTACTATTCCTATTCTGGGGGCTCTTAGCAGTCTGTCTCATCTGGAATTGCAGTTTGTTAAGGCTTATATGACTGTTAAAAAAACAATTTAGTAGATAATCAGATTTCCAGATTCATTAATTACATAAACAAAATTAGTTGCTCAGATAGAGCAAAACTTCCAATATATCAGATACACAGTATTTTTCGCAGTACCCCAATGAAGAGATTGTTGTTTGTTTTACGCACGCACTGCATAAAATCACTGAGTATAACTTTTGTCTCAACTACATTTGATATTTTTACTGCCTTAGTGACAGTAAGTCACAACACATTATAAATAAAAGAATATACATTTAGTAATAAATAATGTCCAGAATTGAAGCAGATACCTCGTGATATTTGTGTCAAATACAAAATAGCACCACTAATTTGGAGTCAGTTCAGACCTAAATAAAATACTTGTTAAGGCTACAGAAGCTAGTACACTAACTTTGTTTAAAAATTTGTGATGGTTGTGCAGATTCTCAAAGTGTTCCTCACTCCATCTAATCATTTATACATCACATTTTACTGATTTCTTACTATTAGCCAGATAATTTTCTAGGTACTGAAGTTGCAGAGGTATACAAGAGCCTCAATATTTTTTTGTCTGTATGGTTCCCATACAGTCAGAGAGACAGAACATAAATAGAAAACATATATATATATATATATATATATATATATATATATAGAATTTCAACTTAAACCAAAGAATAGCTCTGCTAACAAATACATCCTGAAATAAAGTTAACTTCGCTATTTTAAAAAATATTTTTAAAAAAGTGCTACTTGACATTATATCACATTTAGTGTCCATTAAATATGTAGATTAATCGGAAACTATAGTTGGCTACTCAGAACTCCTCTTTGGGATTGAGGAGCTCATTCCCTCAGCTGCCTGGCTGCTGATGGCTCATAGCTAACTCCTTTCTCAAGGAATTGCTTTCAAAAAACAGAACTTCCAAGCCCAAGGTTATGGTCCTTCTTCAGAGGCAGCTTGTAAACAGTGACTGGTAGAAATGTGTGTACAACGGCTTGGCTCCTGCACTAGTCTGTTCTCACACTGCTATAAAAACATACCTGAGACTGGGTAATTTATGGAGAAAAGAGGTTTAATTGACTCCCAGTTTCACAGGCTGTACAAAAGGCATGGCTAGGGAAGCCTCAGGAAAACTTCAATCATGGCAGAAGTTGAAGGTGAAGCAGGCATACTCTTCACATAGCAGAACAGGAGAGAGAGAGAGAGAGAGAGTGTGTGTGTGTGTGTGTGTGTGTGTGTGTGTGTGTGTGTGATAGAGAGAGAGAGAGAGTGAGAGTGAGAGAGAGTGTGTGTGTGAGAGAGAGAGAGTGAGAGAGAGAGAGAGAGAGAAAGGGTGAAATGCTACACATTTAAAACAACCAGATCTCATGAGAACTGACTCACAGTCAGGAGAACAGCAAGGGGGAAATCCACCCCATAATCCAGTTACCTCCTAGGAGGTCCCTCTTCCAACACTGGGGATTACAATTCAACGTGAGATTTGGTTGGTGACACACAGCCAAACCATATCATTCTGCCCCTGGCCTCTCCCAAATCTCATGTCCTTCTCATATCTCAAAACCAATCATGCCTTCCCAACAGTGCCCCAAAGTCTTAACTCATTCCAGCATTAACTAAATGTCCATTGTCTTGGCTATTAACATTTGGCTCTTTATTTATTCAAATTTCTGCAGCCTTGAATTTCTCCCTAGAATATGATTTTTTTTTTCTACCACATGATTAGGCTGTGAATTTTCCAAACTTTTATGTTATGATTCCCTTTTAAACATAAGTTCTAGTTTCAGGCCATTTCTTTGTTTATGCAGATGAGCATAGGCTTTTAGAAGCAGCCAGGTCATATCTCATATGCTTTGCTACTTAGAAATTTCTTCCATCAGATACCCTATATTATATCTCTCAGGTTCACCATTCCACAGATCTCTAGAGCAGGGGCACAATGCCACCAATATCTTTGCTAAACCATAGCAAGAGTGACCCTTACTCCAGTTCTCAAAAAGTTACTCATCTCCATCAGAGACCACCTCAGCCTGAACTTCACTGTCCATGTCACTATCAGCATTTTAGTCACAAGCATTCAACAAGTCTTTGGGAAATTCCAAACTTTCCCTCATGTTTCCATCTTCTTTTGAGCACTCCAAACTATTCCAACCACTGCCCATTACCAAAGTTCCAAAGTCATGTCCACATTTTCAGGTATCTTTATACCAATGCCCCACTTCTCTGGTACCAATTTTCTGTATAAGTCCATTCTATCATTGCTGTAAAGACCTACATGATACTAGGTTATTTATGGAGAAAAGAGGTTTAATGACTCACAGTTCCACAGGCTGTACATGAGGCATGGCTGGGGAGACCTCAGAAAAGTTACAATCATGAAGGAAGGTGAAGTGGAAGCAGGCACAAACTTCATATAGCAGAGCAGGAGAGAGAGAGAACAAAGGGGGATATGCTGTGTGCTTTTAAACAACCAGATCTCATGAGAACTCACTCACTATCGTGAGAACAGGAAGAGGGAAATCTGTCCCCATGATCTAGTCACCTCCTACCAGATCCCTCCACAGCACTGAAGATTACAATTCAACATGAGATTAGTGTGGGGACACAGAGCCAAACCATATCAGCTCCCTTCCTTTAACTGAGACAGCTCTGAGATTGCATCTCAGTTTTAGAAGGTGTGATGGCTTTTTGATCGACAAGGTGTTTGTTGCAACTACAATGCAGCTCACCTTTCCCTCTGCCCAGTCCTGCTTCCTTCATTCCCTTACACATGTCAATTCATAGAGAGCATCTAGTGAGTTTTTAAAATTGAAGAAAGCTCACTATCTCACAATCTATTTCCCAGAGATCTTATCCTTATGTGATAGGAGTAGGGAGAGGTACTTTGGGAGGTGCCAGTATTTGTGGAATATATTTTTGTGTAAGTAAGTATGAAGTTGAAGCTGAGTACAGTGATTTGCCTCAGTAATATGTAAAGGTACCTTTTACAATATTTGTTGATGAGAACTCTTGCCTCATATTTTCTTCAAGATGGCTGAGTTTGATATAGACTGATAAAGTAAAACAACAAAACATAGAACTTTTCAGATGGAAATTTTGAGCTCCAGTTCTAATCTTGGATGCATTTAGGGAGCTTCTTGGCACTGACTCAAGTGATGACCATACAAAGAAAAATAAATACAGACCCATAATTTCAAGAAGAAGATACTCAATAGTCGTATTCAGAACAATACCTATGATTATTAGTTCCAAGAATGAAGGGGTGATAATATTAATGCCTACATTATAGAGTTGTAAAAAAAATCAAATGCTATAATGTAAAAGAATATTTGACATAGAAAATTTACAAAATAAGTTTTATTTTTAAAATTAATATGATATAAATACTATACATAATATAAATATCATTGTTGTAAATACTGTTAGGTAGTTGATGTGAATAACTCACTGTTGTACAGTTGGGTGGCTGGTGTTAGGAGCTTGTAACATGTGGCTTGTTCAAGCAACAGTTTTCACCAGTGAGCAGCAATGTATAATTGTAGGGAGAAAAATTTTTATCTCTATAGATATTAGTGTTTTCTAAGAAGTTCATACTATTCCAAATAAAATGCCTTGTCAACAGATTGCTCAAAAAATCACTGAGAAAATAGAGACATAAAAAAGAAGTGCTAAAAGTTAATATGGATAAAACCTTTACATTAGCTAATTTGAAAGCTAGGAATATACTTAAAACTCTCAAAAGAAAAACAGAAAACACTGACGAGATCAAATACACAGCTGCATAAGGTCTATGTCTCCAAGAGGCAGTCACAGATACATGGCTTATCTTTCATTATCCTTCCATAATCTCTCCAGTGCTTACTATGTGCCATGTACTGAAACAAACACTGGAAATGTGGTAAAGAAAAAGGAATTATTTTGTTACCTTTCAAGAGATTATAATGACTGGTGAAGACTTATGATAAAGTCAAGAGTATGGAATACATAAGGAAACTCAACAGAACCTTGGAAGGGCTGGCTAAGCTGTAACATGAGTTATGAGTAGGGGCTAACCAGTCAGATAAGACTGGGTTAGCCAGTGCACTTGTGTGGTGGAGGGTGGAAGGGATGGCCAAAAGAGGTGTTCCAGATGAAAGCAACAAAGAGTTCAGGGTCTTAAAAATGTATCCTTTGTTTTGACAATTGGGTAGGGCTAAGGATGTGACCTGTAAGAAACTGTGGGCTTTGTATAGTTATAACATTTTAAAATGCACTCCAAAGGCAAAAATGAGAAACGTTGGTGAAGAGACGGCCATTAAAGATGTTAAGTGAAGCAGTGGCATAATTGTAATTGTTTCCCAGGAAGATCACTGCTGCCATATGAAGGTCACTGTTGTTATATGAACAATGATTTGCATTCAAAGAAGAATGGAGCGATTGAAACTAGCAGAAGTTTTTTCTCCACTATTCCAGTAACTATGGCTGAGTTTCGCTTAATGAAGTGAAACTCATTAGCCACACCATAAATAAATAGGACCCTTCTCTGGGTTGTGAAATGAATAAATGCCTTGCCCTGCTTGCTACAAGGTGATGGAAAAACTTTTTCTACCAAAAATGTGACACCTAGGACATTAGTTCTACTAGATGTTATTAGCAGCTCTATGAGTAAATACACTGATAAAAGACTAAGTTAAACAAAGTTAACATATTTTATAATGGAAGCATTTATCAGGAACTTTTTATATTGTATGAATGGTGTAAATGTTTAAGATAATAGTATAGGATGTCTTGTTTCACAAAATCGTTTGACCAGGAAATCCTTCTCTACGCTCAACCTGAAACATCAATCAAATATTCAGTGAAAATTTATCATGAACTGAGGCTAGATCAGTGGAGAAACAATAAACAATGGCAATCGAATGAAAAGTCTTAAAATGTTGCATGAAGTTTACAGAGTGTAGAGACAATAAACAAATAACTAATTTAACTGTGTTCTACACTAGATTGTGATAAATGTTTTGGAGGAAAATAGAAAGAAGGCTGTGGTTTGAAACGTCTCAACAAACTTCCAATCATGCAAAACTTGAGGGAACGAGGTAAGATCGATTTTAAAAAATCATAAAAATATTGATGTGTCAAATTATAATCCAATAACAAATATTTATTCAGCAGAGTATTAGCTGTGATGATTCAGTGGCAGGGAATGCAGAAAGTCCTGGGCTTCATGGAGCTTGTATTCTAGTGTTAAAGAAAGAAAAAGTGTAAGCAAATAGCCCAATCAAGAAAATAAATACAGAGTAGACTATGTATTTGAAGGAGGCATACTGAGAGTTAATATTGAGAATAATATTGGGGAATTTATTTCAAGTGGATCATCTGGAAATATTTCTTTGGAGTAATTGCATTTAAAATCAGACCAAAGGAAGAGAGAAAGACAGTCATCTGAAGAGCTGTAGAAAGGATGTAACTACAGGCAATAGATTCAGCATTTTTGAGGAATTGAGAAAAACTATGGCTGAAGCAAACTGACTAGAGAGAAAAGGGTTGGGCAGTTACAGAGAATAAGGAGCACTTAATGCAGAACCTTGCAGAGTTCTGAATTTTATTCTCTCTGCAACAGAAAGCCATGAAAGGACTTCATCATCCCATTTATGTTTAGAGAAAAAGATCCCCCTCTCTGTAGAAGATGGGAGAGTCTATAGATGGGAGTCTGAGGGAAACAGAAGGCAGTTTAGAAGGAAGTTCATTGCAGATAAGATAATGGCCTGAAGGCAATCCTGATGAAACATAACACTTATAATCCACATAGATTAGCAAGAGCAGTTCGGAAAAGAAATATAAAAGGTGACAAGTAGTCAACGAGGTAGGTGAAAAAACAGTAGAAAATGGGATGGTGGACACAAGCTAAAGGAATATGCTATAGGAAGACAGTGGTTAACAAAAGGCCTCCTTTTCTATTTGATTATTAAAATGTTTTATTGTATTATTAAAATTTAGCCTATATCTGAAAGGCACTGTACTTGATTCTTTCAATCATATCATTTATTTATGACAATATAATTACAGGATTTCAGAGCATAATCATACAGAAAACATGAAGCTTTATAGCTTTAGCAGTAGTTTAAGCACAAGATTGACTCAAACACTTCCCCATTTCTTAATGTCTTACCATAATTAGTTATATTTCTTTAAATCACCATTCTTTCAGAAGCGCTATATTTTAAAATACGGGGGACTGATAACAGCTCAGATCAGCTATGGAAACCAGTGAATCTAGTCCTAAAGTCATACTTCCCCTCTCTTAGGAATGGAGATGCAACCCTCCATCTGCAGTCTCTCTACCTAACTGCCATCTCTCAGGGAAGAATTTCAGTCTCTATGGAGACTGCCTCCATTTCAGTCAGTCAATTAGAGGTGAAAGGTATTCCATTTGCAGTCACCTAAACCATAGAGTCCATCTATTTTTCTCTTCATTCTTTCAGCCAAATGATATCTTCTTATCTAAGAGAGGAAAAAAATCTGAGTATCGTGGTCATTTAATTTGAGCTTGTTCTGTCCTAGTTACTCTGTTTCCTTTGTTTCAAATGGCAGCATTCTCCATAAATCAGATAAAGAACTGTATCTTTATGCTATCATCTTTGAAAGCTCCATAATTGTACCTTTTCTACCCAAGTCACTGAAATAAAACATCCATTTCTACACTAAATATTAATTTATTTCCTGTTGTACTTATTACATTATTTACTTAGGTGATAGTACTTCCAACCTTTTTCAGGGGTAAACTCGTACTGTAGAGAACTATTTTCTAAATAACACACATTTTCACAAAAGAAAATGAAAACTGTACAGATTAGAAGTTATTCTTAACACACCTATCTTTTCCCTAAAAGAAGCTAAAAGATTTATGTTATTTCTTTTGTTTTAAATTTAGTCACATTTGCTGAAAAACATTACATTGAATATGATTAAAACTAATTAATTTAATTTCCTGATCAGAGCAGTTAAGATTTGTGTAAAATGAAGAGAGATAAAAAGAATAATAAATAACAGGAAAATATTTACCATGAATAGTCTGCTGATGAGCTTCTGTTATCATATTTTCTTCCTATCCTTGTTCCTCAAGAAAGGAAAAATGTGGTGGTTGTTATTTAAAATTAGAAACTTTTGTGGTTGCAAACAACAGAAGCCCAATTTAAATAGTATGAACTGAATAAAGGCATTTAAGTAGAATTTAACTGGAAAGTCCAGTTATGGACTCTAGTTTCAGGCATGGCAGCATCAAGGGGCTCTTATATCACAGGTCTTAAGTTTCCTTTTTCCATTTATTCTATGCTTTCCCCTGAGTCTGGCTCCATTCTAAGGCAGTTAATCCCCTTGAGATATCATTTTACTTAAAAGCACTTTCAGGCTTACATTTTAAACTTTGAGTGACCACAAATATTTTTTAAAGTCCTAGAACTGTACTGGTTTGTATTATATGTTTAGCCAGTCCTGAACTAACTATTATGGCCATGTTCGTGTTGCTTTGATTGCCAACGTGGGTTTCATAACCACTCATGGGGTTGGAGTATGCAACGGGAGATTACACCTGAATCACATGGACTTAGAATATTGGAGGAATATTTCCTTAAGAAAAATTGGGTTATTCTTGCTAAAAGAAGAGTGAATGGGTGATAGGCCGCCAAAAACTACAGAAGTACATGCCAAACTCCCAATTCCTTGATATTGCCATTCATATAACTTTCTTTTCCACTTGATGTCATGACCACTTTTTGACATGACCGCAACTGTTTATTCCTTAGAAGAACCCTCTATGTATTTTGGACTTCAAATATTCAATCTCTAAACACAAGCTACTGTCTTTCTACATTTCCAAACTTCTCATCCTTAATATATCTACTTCCATTTCCCCATCCCCCCACTGTCCTTTTCACCAGCTCCCTCTGACTGCATGTACACTTTCCTGGACTTCAATTTCTGTTCTTTCGGTTATTATCTTACTGACATTTTTGGTCCCGTTGCCCTCTGTTCTTACACAATTCTTCCCTGCCAATCTCAAATCAGGATTCTGAAAACACTAGCTTTTTCTGTTTCTCTTCCTAGATGCTAATCATTACTCAGTTGGAGAAGTTTTAAAACAGCACTAATTTTCCTAGACATGCACGCCAGTCAACGCCAGCCCTCTTTTCAATGTAACTGTTCTTTTTGAAGGATTTTGTTTAGATGCTACTCTAAACAATGTTTTTATCTTCAAGCCCTCTCTCATGAGCATGCATCTTAAACTAAATTACATTATATTCATACAATCCTTTCAATTCAAGCTCCCTCAATCTTCTGCTGACTTATTAAGCCATTTTCTAGCAAAAGAAGTATTTTTTCATCTTCCAAAGATTTACTCCACAAAATATTTATCTTTTCATTTTTACTCTCCTAATGTCACAACTTCCCATATATTCCAAGATCAATTATCTTCTTTGAGTCTTCAAATCCATCCTCTGATTTCTCTTCTTTCCATTATTCAGTGGTCCTGTGGTGAATAGTTTCTATTCAATATCTTAATTTCTTATCAAATCCTCAATAATTTACACCTGTTTTCTGTATTTTTTCCTGAAACTGTTTCCTGAAACTACTATTTTTGTGCTCCCCAATAATTTTTAATGACACCAGCATTTTCCAATATGAAAAATTTGAAACACCAATGATATCACGACTTCTCCAGATAAATTATGCATAGTATCAAATAACATAAAATTTCTTATTTATATATTTTAAATATATTTTCCATCTATCTTATCCTGTCAAAAAAGTGACATGTCTTTTTTTTATATTTGGATTTTTACATCAAAGGAAGTCATAGCTCTTGCAGAGTGAGAAATGGGGCAGCCAGAGGACTTCTTCAGGGTGTAGGAATGTTCTCCGTCAGGGGGAAGCCGAGTGATTCTGGGTTATTTCATGGGGAAATCTGACTTAGTAAGATTAATATGAGGGAATATTAGAAGGGAGACCAATTATAGGAAACCTTAGTAGTCTAAGTAAGAGTTAATAAAGGTTAATAACGAATTAAGTTAATAAGGATATAATCACACCACTTTTATATTAAACTTTTCTCACCTTTTTTTGCATTTTCTGCAGGTTCAGTTCTAATCCCTTTAATTGTCAAACAAGGCACATCTTGGTATGCCTTGTACCTATCCTGGTACTCTTTTTCAGAGTGTTAAAACACTTTCTCTTTACATACTAAATAACTGTACATCCATGATTACATCAAGCTCACAATTCTAGTACTCACATATTTTATGAGAAAATAACTTGTATATTCATTTTTTTCTGACTAAAATGCCTAAACGACTCTGATTTTTCCTTTACATACCCTGCATTTGTGAGCTATATCGCCACCTTTCCAGGTTGATTGCAGGTAATATGTGTTCGGTACTTGCCCTGAATATTAGTCTCCTCTCTATTTCACTTATATTTATGTGGGACTTTCTAGTCAAAGACAAATCTCTCTTTCAAAGGATGGAAATGGAGTAAGCGCAAGAAATAGAACCATCTGGTTACTCTCTTAGAAATCTAGAGGAAGTGGCTATGGAAGGAGATGATTTAGGGAGCACTTTGTGTTTAATACAGAAAATCCTACTTACTACCTCATTCTACTATTTTGTCATGACTTTGGGAAAATGACTTCATATATACAGCAAACAAATGGGTTCGGAGGCAAACATGGTTGCATCTTCTTTTTCCTTAAGGCTAGACCTGAGCATCCACTATAAAGAATGAAGATGTCAGAAACTCATTTCTAATCATTATAATTAGGGCATAGACAAGTGATCCATCTCTGGCTAATATAATAAAATAATATAGTTTGTTTTGTTCTTTATATTCATATTCTTTAAGCATTTTATTATTTTTAATTTTCTTTTTACTTTTCAAACTTTCTGTTGAAAACTAAGACACAAACACACACATTAGCCTAGGCCTACGCAGGGTTGGAATTATCAATAACACTGTCTTCATTGATACAGTGATCAATATCACTGACAACCATAAAATTATGCCACTGGAAGGTCTTTGGGAGCTGTAACATGCATACAGCCATCATCTTCTATGATCACAATGCCTTCTGCTGGAAAACCTGCTGAAAAACAGTCGGCCTGAGACTATTTTACACATAACTTTTTTTTTTTTTTTTTTTTGAGACAGAATTTCACTCTTGTTGCCCGGGCTGGAGTATAGTGGCACGATCTCGGTTCACTGCAACCTCTGCCTCCTGGGTTCAAGAGATTCTCCTGCTTCAGTTTCCCAAGTAGCTGGGATTACAGGCACCCACCACCACTCTTTAAAATAACAATAAAAAGTATAGTATAGTAAATACATAAACCAGAAACATAGCCATTATCATTATCAAGTATAATATGCTGTACATAATTGTATGTGCTTTACTTTTATACAGCTGGTAGTGCAGTAAATTTGTTTACACCAGCATCACCACCAACACAGGAGTAATCTGTTGAGCTATGTCGGTACTGCAGTTACGACATCTATAGGTGATAGGAATTTTTCAGCTCCATTATAATCCTGTGGGACCACCATCATATATAAAATCTGTTATAGACAGAAATGTGTTATGCAGAGCATGACTGTACATTTTTTTTTGCCCTAAGACAGAAGCTTTGGAACTGATAAGAGTTCTGAGTCATAAGTGTGAAACATAGAACTATGGAATATGGACTGACAATGTTGATGACACTGATGGAAAGAGTTGCTCTTCCCTCTATACATCCTCATTGTGAGGTCTAAACAATTAAGGCAGAACCAGTGCCAGTACATTGTCTTGATAATGAGAGGGATTTCTATGTCGGGTACAGCAGATAGCTTTCAAGTCTCTATGGCTCAGTTGCAGTGCATTCCTCTATCATTGGAAAATCATTAAGCAATAAGAAAAGGCCATGCCAGAGCTGCTGAAATGCTTATTCTCAGCAGCCAGACTGTGAGGTGATATCAACAACAGTCAAAGGGAAACAGAACTCTTCATTAATCTGAACATTCTTTTAATTTTACCTATCTTAAAGAAATAATAATCAGGTCTCATTTTTAAATCACAGGTGTGGTAGCTTGAACCTCATGGCAAAACGAACAATTTTGTTACAATTAATTCATTAAAATTTCTTATTGAGAACCAATTATGTGATAAGCTTTGCACTAGATATTGCGGACACACAAGTGAAGAAGACAAGCAGATCCCATTTCTGGTCCCCTTGGAAGAAATATTCTGGGTTACAGGTAGACAATGACCATGGGCAAAACTCAATTTTAACTTGTGATGATTATGAAGGAATCAAAACTCGGTGAAGGAGTGGAGAGAATTAAGTTAGAGTTAAGAACTGTGAATTTACAAATCACACACACACCACACCCGCACACACCAAACAGGAAAAACAATTCCAGGCAAGGAAAGAGGTAAATGCCAAGACCCTATGGCAAGATTTATTCCGAGTGTTAAAGGACTAGAAAGCTGGTGAAGGTGGTCAAAGTGTACTAAATAAAACGAAAATTGTATAGCATTCGAAAAATAAACATGAGCCATCAATTTTAAGTTTCCTAAAGCTAAGTCATAATGAGAGTTTTAAATTATACTCTAATTGCATGAGACACCACTGTACAGTTTTAAGCAGAAGTGAAAATATTCTGATTTACGCTTGAAAAGATCCCTTGGGCTGCTCTATGGAAAATAAACATGAAGGTAATTTTGAGAGTGGGTGACACAAAATGGAAGCACTTAGGAAACATCGTTGTGGTCCAGTGGAGAAATGATGTTGATTTGAACTTAGGTAATTAATAGTGTAACTATTAAGAAGTCATTAGATAATTGAGAGTAAAACTAAAAAACTGTGGAACAGGAGATTCTAATTTTACTTCTGGATTTTTAACTGAGCTACAAGTGATATTATTTGAAATAAGTGGAATAGGGAAATCAAGAATTCTGTTTAGTTACATTAAATTAGATATATATTTAGGAATGACTAGTTACAAATTGTCTATTAAAATCTGGTCTTCTAGTGAGAGTTTAGGGTTGGAGTATCCAAGAAGCAAAGTTGGAAGTATTTGGCTCAAGAATGAATAAACTTTATGAGTAAATATCTTTAGAAAAATTATAACTTTTACAATTTATTTCTAACCTTTTTTTCACTTTAGAATATATTATTTGGCCTTAGTCACACCTATGCAAATAATTATTTATCAAACTCCTGAATTTTTATTTTCAAATAATGGTTATGTACTAAAACAGAATTATTACTAAAAATACTAGGATTTGAAGTATGGTGAGTATAGAAAAATGTTTAAAAAGTAATTTTGAAGAGAGCTTTTACTTAATTTGTGACTGTAAATATAACAATGAAAAGGCAAATTACTATAGATATAGACCTTGTATTTCAGGAACTGAACATAATTAGCCTTTACTTTGTTTTATGTTATCTGAGGGTCTGTATTTCTTCAGTTCTATAAATGTAAGCAATGTAATATTTCCCATGTTGCTAAATGGAGCTTGAAATCAGGGTAGCTGCTTAAGTTTTGGCATCATGATGATGTCAGCATTTCCCATGAAAAATGAAAGTTACTCAATATAACTACTACATGCACAAAAATATTCAGCTTTCCATATTTGAAATTGGCTGACTGCATACAATATAGATGGTTCAGGAAAAGGAAACACTCTTTTTTCTCTAGGTTTTGCCAAACTGGTAACTACTTTGTTGATGAAAAATTCTGTAAAGCTATATAGTTAGTAAAACATTTACATTTAACTCCAAGGTCTGTATTGCAAAATACCAATTTGGGTCCTATATTCTTATAGGAAGTGGAGTTTGATTAATGCTGGTATTTGATAAATCTCATTTATAAAATCCTCAATTATTTTTTAACTAAAATTACTTGGTATATTATGAATTATTCAATTGTTCTATATTTAATTCCTAAAAATACATGTGAGAACTCAATCTCATCCAAATATATACTGTTTGGAAAAAAACAACAATACTAATATAGAATGTCCAAAATCTAAGAATTAACTAGGTATTTCAAAGCCAAAAAGTTTCCTGTTCAACATAAATTGAGCATATAAACTTACATTAATTTTTTTCCTAATTTTTAAAGAAAACTTTAATGAACGTAAGAACATTTGTTTTTATTTTTTGGTAGTAAAGTAAATCTGTAAATGAAAACTAACCATAATTGATTTAGAGGCTTATCATTAATGATCATTAGTTAGAGGCTGATCATCAAAGTCTAACATACGTGAAATGTGACTGTGCAGCTATGCAGTTGATAATTTATTATTATAAGAGAGAAAGAAGGACCTGGAAAAAAAAGTATTTCCCAAATTTTCCAAACTGGTCTCTAGTGAAGCTTGAGCAAGTAATATACATTGCAGCGGATATTTATCCATTGAATGTGAATTTAAATTTTGGAAAATGTACAAAGAATTTAGAGTCAGGACTGTGCATACAATGATAGAACTATAGATACATTCATCAGATACGAAGTGTGACTTTGAGTTATTTAAATTGAATTTGAGTTTTGAAGATAATTTATAAACCTCAAAACTTTGTAGGCATATTAAGACTTCTTTTCTGATGCTGCATTTCAAAAACATTGAAGTCGCTGTATTAATTTTAAATCTCTCTCTCTCTCTCTGCCTCCTCTTCCTTGTCAGATCACCAAGATAAAATATGTGAAAAATTAGATTACTTGGCATTGCAGGATATTATTTCTTATGCACAGAACAATTCTCTAGTTCCCTACATAATTTGGTGTCCCAGAAAGCTACAACACTTTAAATGGTCTGTACATCTAATGGTTCTACTTGTAAATCAATCCAACAGTAAATTCCCATACTCCATTTATATCAAATGCATAAATGCAAAGCTATTTTACTTAAATTTAGACTTCAGAATATTTATTTTTAAAAGCTGTGACAGATACTATACGACAGAAATTTCAAAAGAAGCAAAGATATATAGTAAATATTGCTCAAAGAAATGTTTCAAACTCTGAAGCAATTGATGAAACAAACATTTTAGAAATGCTAGAGGGAAAATAACTGTTTTATGGAGAGATTTAGTACTAACGTATTTGTAAGGAGAATGAGATTGAGAGGTTTCTAAGCCTCCTAGTGAAATAAAGTAACCCATGAGCATTCCACTGAACAATAATTTGACAGCTGTCTTTTTCTTTATTCGGGGGTTCTTTCTTTACTATTCTTGGCTTCTGTTGTTTTACTTAGACTGGGTTCTGCATACTTCTTGCACTTTAGTCACTATATACATTTAGTTATCGTAGACTGTACTAGAATTTAGTCTTTTCCTTTGGCCTGATTTGGCTACTCACCAATAATGCTTAGCAGTACTTTTCTATTTGCTTAATGAAAATGATTTTCCCTTGGCTCTTTTTTGTGGCCTTTTTTTCTTTCCTTTTCTACTGCTTCTAAATACCTTGACAATGCAAAATGTGTTTTTAAAATTTCTTCATTTAATTTTTTTCTTTCCATTTCTCCAGGTTAGCTATTTAGCAGATGTTTAACAGATTCTTTTGATTTGAGTTGAATTAGTCCCATATGAAAGTGTCAGAAATATAATGCATATGCTACACAGCAGAGCTAGTGTGAGCAATTCTTAATGATCAATCTGCCCAGTCTCTCCAGATGCAGGTTATTCAAACTGATTAACTGATGACTCAGGTGGAATCACATTATAGTCAAAGTTATAAAGTAAAATAATTATATTACAGCATATCATTTTAAGTGATATGATATACTGTAATATAATTATTTTACTTTATGAAAACTTGGCTAAAGGCTTTATGAAACTGTTGACCTTTGTCGTTACATTTTTCATCAATGTTTTTCAAGTTAGGTTAAAGCAACATTTCAATACACATTTTATAAAGTATTTACAACAAAATTTACTCATAAGTGGGGAAGTGTTCAATTTTCTAAAATGCTACTTTGTTAACCTATCTTTTCCATTCTGTGCCATTTTTAAAGTAGTTGTCACTCAAAACACTTAATTTTATATATATGTATACACACACACACACACACACACACACACACACACATATATATATATATGTTTTAGTGGTAGAAGAAAACAAATTGAAATTGAACCCTTTAAAATGAAATTATAGCAATTACTCCTTGATTGCCTATACTATCTTAAATCCTAAAATATTGTCACCTAAACCAAATCTTAAAGCTCAAAACCATTATTTTCCTTTCCTTGAAGAGTAAAATAATAAAACCTAAGAGCAAGAAGAATGAGAGAGACGGAGTTGATCAGACATCTTCTTATGTCCCTTAATCAGGGCAAAAGTACTTTGCCAACTTGCTAATTGATATTATAGAAATTGATTTTGAATGCCTTTTAATGTCCTGTTGTTTTACATTGATAATGAAACTTCTAGCCCTGTAACTATTCAAGGAAAATTTGATTATAGATTTTTTGTTGCCTGTATAATTTTTATGTATTTTACTGTTTTTTTCTTCTTCTTTGACATACAGCTTAGCTCTTCTCTCTGTAATAATCATTTAATTTTACTATTTTAATGTTTTTTAAATGGTTTTAATTCCTTCTTACCCAAAGTATATGATTTTTTTTATGGATATTTTTTCGAATTGTCATATTCATTACATTTTGTATTGCTGCCTTACTTTATTCAATGTTTCTCCTTAGTGCCCTTTTCTTCCACAAAGTTTGCCTAGATTTCTTCTCCATCTTTTTTTAGAAAAAGTCATTTTGCCTACTACTGTGATTATATCTCCCTGAAGGTACGTAATTTTGAAAACAATGTGAGATGAAGAGGTGGAGTTCTCTCCAATGCTTGGATTATTGCAGTGGTTGGCAGGGCTTAGTCCTTATTGCAAATACCTTACCCAGAAAGAATCTTAAAATGCAAGGTGGACTGCTCTATCAGAGAGCCTAGCACCACATAGGATGTTAAGTGACAATGTTAAAAATGCAGAGTGAGCATGTTATGTAGAAAATAGAATTACTTAACTTAATTTGAATTATCCATTCACTTTTGTTTTCACAACTGTCCTATTAGCTAATAGCAGGTTTTGATATACTGTGTGTGAGTGATTCCCATCACTCACTTCATTCAACAGCAATAGATCTATCATGCAGCTTCACAGATTTATGCTGTCTAAATTTTAAGGCAGTCACTTGGTTATTCAGTATTCTGTAGAGAGGGTGTTATCAGTCTACCATATCCAAGGTCATTCATGATTAATAGCATAATAAGAAGCAGAATTTGAATGTTTTGAAATCTTCTGCCAACTCATGTGCATTTTTGAGAATACACTGCAGATCACTTTTTCATTTCCTTTCATTTTCCTGCCACCCCTGGTTTCTGTTCTTTAAGGATATCCTGACAACATATGTACTCATCAAGCCTTAATGGTCTAACTGAAAATGAGATACTGATTCTCTTTTACCCTCTCTCACATGGATGATCAATATCTACACTTTACACACACACACACGCACACACACAATACTTGCCACAAGAAAGTTACTTGTTTCTTATGTCAGAAGTCATTGTTTTTATGTACAACATTGTTTTTCTGTATGCTGTAATTATGCATCTACACAACACATACCTCATTTTCACTTTATTTACAATCTCAAAAAGAGATGGGAAGAAGTCAATGACACATGAATAAGGCTGTGGAAAACTGGTTATTATAATCAGTGGACAGACAGGCTTAGAGAGTTAACCTGTAGAATCTGATAGATAAAGATCATGAAAAGGACAACCAGGTTAGAGAAGGGCTACCTTCTTTAATTGAAGCTAACAGCTCATTACTGATATGATTAAGGTGCCTCCCAGAAGTCATTAATACATGTAAATGAAGAAGGAAAATTTTAAATTTTAATATGAAAAGGGAGTATGTTGAAATGAGAAAGAATGATATAATAACAGGTACAAACTCAATGATCATCAAAGAGCCTGGGGCACAAGGGGAAAGCAGGAGTTGAGGAAAGAAGAACATATTAGTATTTTGCTAGCATAGTCCTTAGGATGAGTATACTCTAATTCCAAATAATCAGTAGTACCCCCCAAATTTTAGTGTAATTCATTAGGCTACCATGGTTGATAGATTTAACTTCATGAAATTTCTCAATTTTCATAAAATGATTCTGTATTAATCAAGTAACTCTCTGTTTTGGGGGGGAAAATCTTGAAATGGCCTATCCAAAAAGAAATGGTCATGACTCATTTGATTTTTTAAAAAAATATTTTTAAATTTATATATATATATTAGTGATTAATAGCACTAATTAATCACTGTGCTTCAGCTTTATGAATCTGACTCTTGAATAAATGAATATGTGCTTGTTTGTAACAAATTTATCAGGACCCACCCAAAGAGACCAAATAAGTGGTAAGTAGAGACTGAGTGTGGAAAAGTCAAATTTTTCTCTCTGCTTTATCAACATTAACTCCTTGCTTTTGATCATTAGGCTCTCTAATGCTTTGATTGCCTAGCATTTTTATTATTAAATACTTCCTTACCTCAAATAATGTTATGAATAGCAGTAAGAAACATAATATTTTTAAGTATAATAAAAACTATATAAAAACAAGGAATTGTAATTGGTCACAAAATTAACGTCGAAAATAGAATAAAACCAAATCTCTAACTCTGCAAATGTGTGCAACGATACAAACATTTAAATATGCAACCTTCTTAAATCTTCCTAGGAACAGCAAAGCTTGGCACTTTGGAAGCTTGATAACATCACAGCATGGAAGAAAAGTGGAAGGAAGGTAAGGAGTTCTTCAGAAAAAATAAATAAATAAAGACGATTGCCAATTCTTGTATAAGAGAAAACCGAAGAGGCAAGAGCTAGGGAAATTAGGATTCTCACTAACAAAATATTTACCAAGGATTGCAAAACCTTTCCTTTGCTTCCTGTGCTCTCTGGATTCATCAAAAGCCATAACTCTTTCCTTCAACTTTTTCTAACAGATTTTGGGACCATCTAGAAGGTAGGGTTCACAATAAAATTAATTGTTTACTTATTGCTATATCTGCAGAATCTATTAAATTTTTAAAAATAGCACAATGTTTGATAAATTTTTTGAATTAATGGCTGAATAAATGTAGTCACGGTGCTAAAACCAATGTCTTCCATCCTAATCCTTTGCAATTACCATGGAAGGTTGAAAAAGCTAATGTAAACATGGGTTTGCACAGTAATTGAGAAAGAACATGTTGATATTTTAGAAAATAAGTGTTCATTAATTTCCATTATTTTCATTCCTTTTAAATCTTCATTACTGCAAAAGAAATAAGCTAAACAAGATAATTTGGTAATACCACTTACAGATATATCTGCAATACTACATTTTGCATTTGTAGTAAACGAGTAAGAATAAAATTGTAGAATAGAATAACATATCTTATATGATACCAATTTCTTTGAAAAAAGAGAGCAAGAAAGACAACAATATAGCTATACAATTTTATAGCCATCCCTATTACTCTATTCTCTAGCTGCTTGGCATTGGGCACGTTATTAATTTCTATATTGCCATGGTATAATCATCTATAAATTCAGGGTATTAATATTACCTATTTTCTTTGATAAGTATACAATAATGAGATGAATACACAATAGATGGCACAGATTAAGAGCTTAATAAATATTTACTACTTGAATTATTGTTTCCATTTATTTTCTAGAATAAGTTCAGGTGGGTGAAGGGATTACCTGTATCTTCTAAGTACTTTGATGAGCTATTCTGCATTGTATAACTGCACATAGGTATTCAGAAATAAAAGCTATTTTAATTTTGAGACAAATGGCTGTTGAGATATGCTTTGGAACACTGCATAATTATAAGATTTCATTCAAATCCAGACTTAATTTTCTTCAGCCATCACCACTTCGATATTTAAGCCTTTTCTATATAAAACTTGTTTATGTCATCTGGTTTGTCTCATTCGAGCTTTCACTTTAAATTTGTTTTCAAAACATCTAAGTCCATCAAATTTCTACTGAAAACTTTTTCTGTAGATATGTGAATTCTACAGGATCATTCTTCTCTTCTGTTCTTTATTATTGTTAAACATAATAATTATGATATTCATACCTGATAGAAGAGGCTTCATTTATGTACAGTATCATAAACTATTAGAGAACAATGGGCCTAATTACTAAGTTATTTCAAATTCTTCAAGTTACATAGTGAAAATGATTGCAGGCCTTTTGGGGGCCAGGGCTCTTCATTATTCATCTTTATATTCTCAGCCTCTAGCATTGTGCATGATAAATTAAGTATTTAAATAGAATTAGCCAAGAAAGTTCTAATTTCTATGGTTCCTTACAGCAAAATAAGATTTGATGATTCAGAGAAAAAGGCATGTCAAAAGTGCAGCAAAAACATGTCTTAAACATCTTCATTGTGCCAGTTAAAGATGGAATATAAGTTTAAAAATCAAAAATAAAGTGCTGTATGGCTGTTTTATTATTATTATTGAAATGTCTATCACATAAACTAATATATAAAAATTTCCTCTGAAAATTTTAAAATTACTTTCTATGTAATAAATGCTTCCTTTTCTCTGTAAAAAAAAAAAAGGCAGAAATTAACCCACGCATGTAGATGATTTCAGAAACGGATGGAATAACTAGATTTGTACAAAAACCTGCGATGTTATTTCTATGTGTGGCTATTTTATCAGGATGGGCCTTATAAGTTATTAAGAATTCACAACATAGATTTAAGGGCTTATATATCTGGGGAATATAAAGAAGGGGGAAAAAAGAAACCTTGTCTCTATTATGACGGCTACTGTTATGCCAACAACGTCAAACAACAAGGCATTTGCCAACTCATAAATGTGGTGAAAGCTCTCTAACTAGCAGTATTGTTTCTTCATGATAAATTCACTCTATCTTTCCTCATGAGCTTGGAAACATTACCAAACTCAAAAGGAACATGGGTGGAAGGATCACTACTGAGAGCTTTCACCTGTTTCCTGTTGCTAAGGAAACCATTTCCTTTGTACATGTTCAGAATAGCAGGTTCCTTTGAATTCTGCCTTTCAAACTCTATTTTTTAAAGCAACATATAGATATATAACCCATATTTTGAGATGTACATCCTCTTATTGTTTCTAGTATCTGATCAAAAAGTTTCATCCAATTAGAGGTAATATATACTTTTTGCAGATAAAAATATTGCAGACAGAAAATTCCTTTTTGTTGTTTTATATTTTCTAAAATCTACAGTGCTTTCCAACTCACAAAAGAGTCAGTAAATCTAAGATATCTCTATGACCTCTGAATATGTATCTCTCAACACTGGCTGAAATATTTTACAACTTTTGGTGTTTGATATGATTGGAAACAGTCATGTTTAGTTGTTCTGTAGTGACGGAGTTATCACACACTAACTTAATTGCTTAGCAATCGCTTGTTGAAACTGTAGGGGAAGAACAGCACATTTTTATTCAACATAGTTCTTAGTTGGAAGGAAACCAGTAACAACAGGTAAATTAACAAGAGAAAAACAAACAGAAGTTTATTAACATGTATATTTCATATATACATGAATATACCCAAGAAATAAGTCATTCCTTCTCTAAGAGATGGCTTTGAATTCCAGATTATGTAGCATGTTCAACAAAGAAAAGTAAATTTTTAGAGAAATGACAAAACAAAAAGAAAGAACTTTGAGTCTCTAGGGGTGCAATTTGGGGGAAGCAAATAAATGCCAGATTAAGAATAGTAAAACTTGTTAATACATATTCCTGTGGTAGAATCTTCCAGGTCCATAAAGTTCCAAAGCAGTGATGGAGGTAGGGGTTGGGGGTAAGGGGATGTCCCGGTGTGGCAGGAGGGCTGGAGGGGGTGGGGCATACCATTTGCTTTTGTAAATATATGTCCTGCGTTTCGACAAATAGAGAGATGATAGGCAATTATTCTGCATCTGCTTTTTCTTAATTGTCTTCAGATCAACAATTCATATTTTGGGGTGGCATATCCTGGTCTCCCACAAAAAATCCCATCTTTTTTCATTAAAAAATATTGTTAATATTTGTTTATTTAAACATTTTGTGGAAGCATTAGCTCAAATGTAAAATTTCAAAGACAAAAGATGAAAACTGGAGTTTCATTATAGTGCAGTGATTGCTATGTATATTTGCCAGCCACTAACAACAGCAGGTGTGGACATTGGCCATAAATACTAGCTGATTTCATAACTTGGATTGTAAATGCTATAATTATATGTTGTAATTCACATTATACGACTGAGAATTGTAGCTCAGTCTACAGCTTTATTGCAACATTCTCATTAATGTCCTGTTTATTCAGGATCTTCCAAATAATTCCTTTGAGCACCCATCATGATATTTGTAATTATATTCTTTGTATCTCTTCAAAATGTTTTGGACCCGTCTTACATGTTTTGATGTGCATGGTGCTCTGAAACCACAGACTACAAACCCAA
Source organism: Homo sapiens (assembly GCF_000001405.40). Lineage (NCBI taxonomy): Eukaryota > Metazoa > Chordata > Mammalia > Primates > Hominidae > Homo > Homo sapiens. The sequence continues at coordinate 77,540,984 of NC_000008.11, forward strand.
ATTACATCACCAAAAAGTTAAAGTGCTTTTGATTATTATAAAATAATTTCCTTTATTTGTTTATGTCTATTCAGTGATTATGACTTCTGGTGAAAAATTTGTTTTTAATTTTAGAGAAAAGTATACGCCTATGTATTAAATTGACATTTAATTGACTTCTACAAATTCTTATTATTATGCATATTTATGTGACTTGCCTATTGCTTTCAGCCTAACAATCACTGATATAATACCACATTTCCTTCAGAGACAATGTTGTTTTATGCACAAAGAAAAAAATTTTAGTGCATAAACATGCTTCAGTTTCAAGGAGACTATTTCACTGATATGAATAAGAATGCACTATGAATAAGAATGTACAATAATTTAGTTAACTCACTGCTTTTCTCACATTAGCTGTTCAATGAAGATATTTGTTCAGTAATGTTAAGCATTAATTTTAATAGAATAAAATTGTGTGTGTATGTTACATGTGTATACACAAATGTATATATACACTACACAATTTGGGGCATATTTAAGGATTCACAATTCTGCTTCTTAGATATCGATTAAATAACTGCTTTAAAATTAAAATTTTCATAATATTCCATTCCTTAAAGTCCCATATTTATTCTTAACTTACAATTCAGTATCATACTGGCACTTTGATTTTAAAAGCGAAACAATTGCTTTGGTTCATCAGCCTCTGGGAGTATAATGTTTGATGGCTTTTGTTGGCTTATTGCACTTTAATTAGCGTGATGCTGTGCACCTTTGGTATGTAGCACGCGGTTATGCTACCCTTAATTGAAATCTTTCTCTTGTGTCTGTAATCATTATATCATCTTGATGCTTGGAAGTGCTACTTTTATGGAGTATGCGGTAATACTGCATTAGCCCCTTGAAGCTGGGGAGTTTGATTAACAGAATCAGATAAGCTACAAGAAGTTCTCTGATTCTTAGCTCTAGTATCTCCAAATGCATTTTATAAATTGCCTGCTTACCTTAATATTACAAATATGCAGATACATACCACTTACTGTAGAAAATGAAAATTTACAGTGAAAATTTATTTTCTTGCACACACTTAGACTAAAGGTTACTGATTCAAAATGTTTAATAAAGATATTACTTCCCATTTTGCACTCAGTGGGAAATAGTTTTAAAAGCAAGACAAGGTATATAAAAATCATCTTTCCCTTTTATTTTGCTTTCCTTTGACTCTGGATTATTTACACAATGCTTTCTAAGCTATTTTTTTTCCATTGCAGATTTTCCTTACTATTTTTCTAACATGCTGGTTTACACTGCTTTTAAGGGTCCTCAGAATGTTTCTGTAGGGTGATTGATTTAAACAACTCTTACAGTTATATCAAAAGGAAAGTCATCAAAGGTGGAGAATAAACATTTTAAAGAACATGCAGAATTCCTTTGTCAAACTAAGACTTTTACCCAAAAAAATATATTCAAATAGTGAAAAGGAAAAACAAACATAATGTACTTTAAAGATGGCATATGCAACAGTAGTCATGAAACAGAGCTGAGGGTTTAACCACAGCTCAGAACCATGAGGCTTGAAGTATTACAAAGTAGGGATAGTTTGGAGACTGATGGAAGAGGATTTTCCAAGATGAGTAGAAAAAATATTGGCAGCAAGAAAGAACATAAAGATGTTAAAATGAAACTGTCACCTATTCTTCAATAACACTTAAAATGGTCAACATAACCTTTTGCATTCTGAAAAACCTAAGTTGGTGAGAAAATAGCTGTGTAATTTCCCAAGACCTGCAGGATTGCCAATAGGTTCGAAACGTAGAGCCAAGGAGGACTCTGGATGAGACGTGCAGCTGGAATTCAAAAGCGTCAGTGGCAGAAGAAACGGTGCAGTAAATAAGATAGAAATAAATCTACTTAATGTTAACTATGTTTTTCTTTGATGGTTGTGACTATAGGTGGTTTTCTTCTTCTTTGTGATAATCTGTATATCAGTTTTCTACAATAGACAGGCACCCTTTAGTTATAATCTTATTTATTTATGTTATTTGAAAAGTTACCCATAAAAAAGTGACCCCTAGAAGGAACAGCCCCTACAGTTCACTGATACCTTCTTTATAAGCAGGGCTTGCCAGGTTTATAAACCAGCTAGCAACACTAGCTAAAGTTTTAGTTTGATGTTGTATATACATCATGTTAGTAAATATATGTGTGATTTAAATTAAACCTTGTATTTCAGTTGAGTGTTTTACAAATATGTCGTGCAGCAAAAAAACATTGCTTACATGTTTACCTATTCTACATACCAATATAATGAGCTAAAGTCATGTGCACAGGTCATGATGGACTGCATATATGACAGTGGTCCCATAATGTTATAATGGAGTTGAAAAATTCCTATCACCTAGGGACATCATAGCTGTAAAACTATACCACACACAATTATGTACACTACATAATACTTGATAATGAAAACAAATGACTGTTACCATTTATATACTATAGTTTTTATCTATATAAAAACTATATCTATATGGTTATATATATATGGTTATATATATATAACCATATAGATATAGATATAACTATATACAGTTATATATAGTTATATATATAGCTATATATGATGTATACATTTATCTATATAAAAACTATAGTATAAAAACTATAGTTTTTATACTATATGACTGTTACCATTTATTATACTATAGTTTTTATCATTATTTTAGGGTATCCTAATTGTACTTATTTTTTAAAAGTTAGCTGTAGGCAAAGAAAGGCTTTCATGAGGTATTCCTGAGGAAGAAACTGTCATCATAGGAGGTGACAGCTCTATGCATGATAATGCCCTAATGACATTTCAGTGGACAAGATTTAGAGATGAATAACAGTTATAATAATTATTCTGACCCTGCATAGGCCTAGGCTAAGGTGCGTGTTTGTGTGTTAATTTATAACAAAAAAGTTTATAAAGTAAAAAAAAAATTAAAAATAGAAAAAATTTTAGAATAAGGATGTAAGAAAGAAAATATTTTGTACAGCTATACAATGTGTTTATGTTTTAAGTAAAGCATTATCGCAAAAGAGTAAAAATGTTTTAAAAATTAAAAAGTTTATAATGTAAAAAATTACATAAGCTAAGGTTAATTTATTACTGAAGAAAATTTTTTAACAAATTTAGTGTAGCTTAAGTGTACAGTGCTTATAAAATCTACAGTAGTGTGCAGTAATGTCCTGGGCCTTCACATTCACTCACCATTTGTGCACTGACTCACCCAGAGCACCTTCCAGTCCTGCAAGCTCCATTCATAGCAAGTGTCCTTTATTTTAGGAGTACTAATTGTTAATATCTTTTATGCCATACGTTCACTATACTTTTTTTTTTATTTATATATGTTAAGATAAACAAATACTATCTTTGTGTTATACTTGGTCATAGGCAATTTTGAAATCTAGGTAATTTTATTTGGGGGTATATTTTGTTCTGGTTTAGTGGGATATATGTATATGGTTTGTATTCACTTCTACTAGTTAATTACTAACAATTGTCCCAGTATAGAAATACTTTTCTACTCACTTGTGTCATGGACCAAATATGCAATGAAAGAAGCCGTATGTCAACATGAATATGTCATATGGGATCTGCTATGATAAGTGTGTTGGCAGTGGTGAAGAAACAATATTTGAAATGTGCATAGTCAAAAGTTAGTCTACAGAAATTTATTCTACATAACAGACATATTAAATCTTAAGTACAAGATTTCATTCTCATACAAGTTCAGTTTATATGGAGGCAATTTTCTATCAACAATATACATAATTAATATACAAATATATACACACAAAACATATTTTATTCTTTGAGAGAATCACATCAAAAAAGAAATTTTTCAGATTTTATATTTCAAGGTTTTAAACCTGTAACAATCCTACAAATTATTAATATATTTTCATGTGATATTGCAAGTTTTATACATCCAACTACCAACCATATAACAAATCTCGATCACTGTACATTTTTCTCAACTTTTATGTTAGACTCAAGGAGCACATGTGCAGATTTGTTACCTTCATATTTTGTGTAAAACAGAGGTTTGAGGTACAAATGATCTCATCCCCCAAGTTCTTAGCATTATACCTAATAGTTAGTTTTCCAGTACTTGTTCCTCTCTTCTCCTCCCCTCTCTAATAGTCCTCAGTTTCTGTTGCTGCCATTTTTATATTTGCAAGTACTCAGGGTTCAGCTCCCACTTGTAAATGAGAACATGCAGTATTTGGTTTTCTGTGCCTGTATTAATTCACTTGACATAATGGCCTCCAGCTGCTATAATGTTGCTGCAAATAACATGATCTCTTTCTTTTTTATGGCTGTGTCAAATTATGTGGTATATACATACCACATTTTCTTTATCCAATATAGCATTGATGGGCACCTAGATTGATTCCATGTCTTTGCTATTGTGAATAGTGTTGCAATAACCAAGCAAGTGTATGAGTCTTTTTGATAGAACAGTTTGTTTCCTTTCAGCTATATACCCAGTAATGGGTTTGTTGGATCCAATGATAGTTCAGCTTTCAATTCTTTGAGAAATCTTTAAACTGCTTTCTACAGTGGCTGAACTAATTTACATTCCACCAACGGTGTATAAGCATTCCCTTTTCTCCACAGTTTTGCCAGTATCTATTGTTTTTATCAGTTTTTTATTAGTAGCCATCAAGACTTGTATAAGATAGTATTTAATTGTGGTTTTGATTTGCATTTCTGTGATGATTGGTGATGTTGAGCATTTTGTCATATGTTTGTTGGCTACTTGTATGTCTTCTTTTGAGAAATACCTGTTCATGTATTTTTCCCACTTTTTAAAATGAGATTATTTGGGTTTTTGTTTGCTAAGGTGTTTAAGATCCTTATAGATTCTGAGTGTTAGATCTTTGTTGGATGTATAGTTTGTGAATATTTTCTCCCATTCTGTAGGTTATCTGTTTACCTTGTTGATAGCTTCTTTTGCTGCACAGAAGGTTTTTAATTAGGTCCCACTTGTCAATTTTTTTAAATTGCATTTGCTTTTGAGAACTTAGTCAAATTATTTTCCAAAGCTGATATCTAGAATGGTATTTCCTAGGTTATCTTCCAGGGATTTTATAGTTGTAAGTTTTACATTTCAGTCTTTAATCCATCTTCAGTTAATTTCAGTATATTGTGAAAATCAAAGGTCCAGTTTCATTCTCCTGAATAGTTAACTATTCTAGAACCATTTATTTAAGAGGGAGTCCTCTCCTTGTTTCTTATTTTTATCAAATCTGTCAAAAACAAGATAACTGTAGGTGTGCAACTTTATTTCTGTTCTTCGTTCCATTCCACTTATCTATGTGTCTGTTTTTATAGCAGTATCATGCTGTTTTGGTTACTCTAGCCTCATAATATAGTTTGAAGTCAAGTATTGTGATGCCTCTGAGTTTGCACTTCTTGCTTTAGCTAGATGTGCTCTGTTTTGATTCTATATGAGTTTTCAAACATTTTTTTTTCAGTTTTGTAAAGAATGGCCTTGGTAGTTTGATAGAAATAGAGTTAAATCTGCAGATTGCTTTTATCAGTATGGCCATGAAAATGATATTGATTCTTCCAATCCATGAGCATGGAATATTTTTCCATTTATTTGTCTCATCTATGATTTATTTTGGCACTGTTTCGTATTTCTCGTTGTAGACATTTTTCACCTCCTGGCTTACATTTAGTCCTGGGTATTTTACCTTTTTGTAGCTGTTGTAAATGGGATTGCATTTTTTATTTGGTTCTGAGCTTGAATGTTATTGTTGTATAGCAATGCTACTGATTTTTGTAGATTGATTTTGTAACCTGAAACTTTACTGAAGTCATTCATACAAGAGCCTTTTGCTGGAATCTTTAGGGTTTTCTAGGTATCAAATCAAATTGTTTGTAGAAGATAGATAGTTTGAATTCTTCTTTTCCTATTCATATGTTGTTTATTTTGTTTTCTCTCGTGATTGCTTTGGCTAGCTATTTCAGTACTATGTTGAATAGGAGTGGTGAGAATCAGCAACCTTGTCTTGTTTCAGTTCTCAAGAAGATTGCTCCCAGTTTTTGCCCTTTCAGTATAATGTTGGCTGTTAGTTTGTCATAGTTGTCTCTTATTATTTTGAGATGTGTTTCTTTGATGCTTCATTTCTTGAGGGCTTTTATCATGAAGCTATGTTGTATTTTATCAAAAAGCTATTTCTTTGTCTATTAAGTTGATCATATGGTTTTTAATTGTTTAAGTACTAATTACATTTATTTAGTTGTGTATGTTGAACCAACCTTGCATCCCAAGAGAAAAGTCTACTTGATCATGGTGAATTACTTTTTTGATGTGCTGTTGAATTAGGTTTGCTAGTATTTTTTTGAGGATTTTTGTGTCCATGTTCATTAAGAATATTATCCTGTAATTTCCTTTTTTTTTGTTGTGTCTTGCCAAGTTTTGGTATCAGGGTGGTACTGGCTTTGTAGAATGAGTTAGGAGGAGTCCTCCTCTACAATTTTTTTTAATAGTTTCAGTAGGATGGTTACCATCTCTTCTTTGTACTTCTGGCAGAATTTTGTGGTGAATTCCTCTTGTCCAGGGCTTTTATTGGTTAGTAGGGTTTTTATTATTAATTCAATTTTGGAACTTAGTATTTGTCTATTCAGGGCTTCTATTTCTTTCTGATTCAATAATTGGAGGTTGTGTGTTTCCAAGAATTTATCCATTTCCTCTAGATTTTCTATTTGGTATGCATAGAGGCATTCTTAGTAGTCTCTGAGGATCTTTTGTATTCTGTGGGGTCGGTGGTAATGTCAACTTTGCTATTTCTGATTATGCTTGTTTAAATATTCCGTCATTTTTTTCTTGTTAATTTAGTTAATGGTTTATTAATCTTGTATATTCTTTCAAAGAGACAACTTTTGGTTTTATTGATTCATTGTGTGGATTTTTGAACTCAACTTCATTGAGTTATGCTCTCATTTTCTTTCTTTATTTTTTTTCTGCTAGCTTTGGGGATACTCTGTTCTTCTTTCTCTACTTCCTCTGGGTGTAATCTAGATCATTAATTTGAGATCTTTTTAACTTGTTTAGGTAGGCATTTAGTGCTGTAAACTCCTTTAACACTGCTTTTGCTGTACCCCAGAGATTTTGGTGTGTTGTGTCTCTGTTCCCATTTATTTCAAAGAACTTCTTAATTTCTACCTTAATTTTTGTTTTTTCTCAAAATTCATTTAGGAGCCAGTTGTTTAATTTTCATGTAATCATGCAGTTTTGAGAGATCTTCTTGGAACTGATTTTTATTTTTATTCCACTGTGGTGTGAGATTATAGTTGGTATGATTTCTAATTGTATTTTAATTAATTGAGATTTTTTTTATGGCTGAGTATATGGTTGATCTTGGAATATTTTCCTTGTGCAATTGAAAAGAATTTATATTCTGTGGTTGATGAGTATTCTGTAGATGTCTACTAGTTCCAGTTGATAAAGTGTTGAATTTAAGTCCAGAATTCTTTTGTTAGTTTTCTGCCTCTATGATCTGTCTAACACCATCAGTGGGGTGTTGAATTTCCCTGCCATTATTATGTGGCAGTCTGAGTCCTTTACTAGGTCTACAAGTATTTGTTTTATGCACCTGGGCACTCTAATGTAGAGCATGTATATATTTAGGATATTTAAGTGTTCTTGTTTTAGTTGAACCCTTTATCATTATGTAATGCCTTTCTTTGTCCTTTTTTTACAGTAGTTGGTTTAAAGTCTATTTTATCTGATATAAGAATAACTACTCATGCTCTTTTTTGCTTTTTGTTTCTGTGGTAGATCTTTATACCACCATTTACTTGCATCTATATGTGTCATTACTCATGGGATGGGTTTCTGGAAGACAGAAGACAGATGGGTATTGTTTTTAATCCACCTTGCCACTCTGTGTCTTTTAATTGGGACATTTAGACCATTTACATTCAAGGTTAATATTGATATGTGAGGTTTTGATCCTATAGTGAAGTTGTTAGTGGTTACTTTGTAGTTTCTATTGTGTGGTTCCTTTATAGAGTCTATGAGCTATAGACTTAAGTGTGGGCTGTTTTGGTAGCAGGTATTGTTATTTAGTTTTTCTGTTCACAACTCCTTTAAGGATCTCTTGTAAAACTGGTCTAGTGGTAACAAATTCCCTTAGTGTTTACTTGTCTGGAAAAGATTTTATTTCTCCTTCAGTTACAAAACTTAGCTTGGCAGGAAGAAACTAAACTTGGTTTAGATTTTTGTTTGGAATTTCTTTGTTAAAATTTATTGTCTTTAAGAATGCTAAAAATAGCCCCCCAATCTCTTATGGCTTATAAAATTTCTGCTGACAAGTCCACTGTTAGCCTGATGAGGGTTCCCTTTGTATGTGATCTGGCCTTTTTTCCTACCTGGCTTTAAGATTTCTAATTTAGCATTGACCTTGAATAGTCTGGTAAATACATATCTTGTTAATGTATTTTTTTATAGCATCTCACAGATGTTCTCTGGATTTTTGGATACCTGGATGTCAACATCTCTAATATGATTAGGACATTTTTCTTCAATCATTCCTCAAATATGTTTTCTACATTGTTTAGTTTTCTTTCTTCTTTCTTAGGAGTGCCAATAACTCATAGGTTTGGTTGCTTTACGTAATATCATATTTCTCAAAGACTGTTTATTTTTTCAAATTCCTTTTTTGTCTGACTGGGTTTGTTCACAAGACTGGCCTACAAGTTCTGAAAACTTCTCCTTCGATAAATCTATAGATGGTGCTTTCAATTATATTTTGAAATATTTTAAGTGAATCTTTTATTTTCAGAAGCTCTGATTGATTCCTTATTAGGATATTTCTCTCATCCTTTATTTCTTGGATTGCTTTAGAAGTTTCTTTATGTTGATTGTAAACCTCGTCTTGAATTTTGTTGATCTTCCTTGCAATCCATGCTTTGAATTCTTTATCTGCCATTTCTGAATTTCTATTTTGTTTAGGACCATTACTGGATGGCTAGTGTGATCCTTTGTTGTTGTCATTGCATTCAGATTTTTTATGCTGCCAGAATTATTGTTCCTTTTTATCTGGAGATGCTGGCACTTCTAATTTCTTTTTATTTTTTAACCTACAATACTGTTGTGTTATTTCCTTTCTCTTTCCCTTTTCCCCATCCCCAAGGGGTGTGACTATAGAGAATGCTGGGTGGAGTCTTTTGACTTAACTTCTACAGCCCTATGCATTTCGGTCAGCATGTTTTATACTGGGCTGTGCAGTTACATCTAGAAGACAGTAGCTAGCACTTATATATAATATATGACTATGGCCAACATGGCCTGGTGTATACCTGAACTTTGTTTACTGGAAGAAGCTCTATTTTGCCTCAGGCAATGGGCTGATTCATAGAGGGCACAGTGGTGAGAGCTCCCTGCTCAGCCCTGGGCAGGAATGAGCCAAGATGTATGGAGCTGGAGTGGGGAGTTCTGCCTACAGGTTGCTTGATGGCAGCCACAAGCACTAGTGCCAAGGAAGAATCCACTCAGCAGCCAGCAAGCCTCCAAAGTTGTGCCTAGTCATGGAGCTGGGAAACCTTCTCATCTCTAAGTTCTCTGCAAGAGTATGGGAGTGGTCTTAACTCCTAACTCAGGAGAGTGAGTACTCCAGACACCTGGTGATTAGTCTAGGTATGGAGCAGAGAGGGCCCTCCTGTACCAAGATATCCACAAAGGAGGGATAGGACAACTCAGGCTGCTGAACGAGATAAGCAAATTGTCCGAATACCTGGAGATCTGCCTGGGCATGTATTGGAGAGGGCCCTGTTGCACCTTGATCTATGCCCTGGAAAACTGAGGTGGCTCAGGCTGCTGAACAAGGCAAATGGGTGCTCTCAATGCTTGGAGATATCCCTGGGCATGGAGTAGAGAGGGCCTTCCTGCACCAGGATTTCCACACAGGAAGGTTGGGGAAAGTCAGGTCGTGACCCAGGTGAGTGGGTGCTCTGAATGCCTGCAGATCTGCCTGCACATGGAGCAGAGAGGGCCCCACAGCATCATGATCTCAGAGGAGCAGGCTGGCACCCAGCAATTGCACTAGCAGACTGGTTCCAGGTCATCAAGCTGGCCCTGGCTGGATGTCTCACCACAAAGGTGAAACTGTAGCTGTAGCAGTTTTCCTACCAATCCAGACTTGCAACAAGTGGGAGCACAATTTCATTTTCTACTGCTGAGGTGCTTTCCACAGTTTTGGATTTGGAGGCCCCTACTCAGCTTCAAATCTCCGGCCCAAGGCTAAAATGCCTATGTGGCCACACTTCTGGGTTGCCAAAGTATGGTTGCCTTTGTTTTTGCCAAGATTGGAAATAACATTCTGCTCCCAGTCCTGGGTTTGGGAAATTGCCTACAGCTTTTCCTGGTGTCTTTCCCTCACAGCATCTCTGAGTCTCTTTCCAAGTTAGCTCCAAGACTTGAGAGAATGAAAGTTCTCTCCCTCAACTTGAGTTGTTCAAATGCCCAGTGTAAAGGTGAGTCACAGAGGGAAACCCTCTGCCTCTTTCATATACGGGAGCTTTACTCACTTTTATTGGCTAGACACCATAACAGGGGTCATTTGTGAGGATTTTCCTCCACAGGCTGTGGGGAGTTCTTCATGATTCCAGTGGATTCCCACTTTCTTTTTTAAATTAAAGATCACAGAGTTGATCTTTATGCACTATCTTGCTATTTTCAAGTGGCTGAGGCATGCTAAAAGCCCCTCCTCCCCCATATTTGAAAAAATAATCAACACGCATATTTAAAAATTGATAGAAAATCTAAAAACATTTTAATATTGAGAAAGTTTGCAAGTGGGGAAATAACTTATCTCTAAATGTTCTCCTCTATTTCATGTGTATTTTTTAAAAATAAAACCTTTATTCTTAATTTTTCTGACTAAGGAGAAAAGTCCAAAGAAATAAATAAATCTAAAAGCAAAATGGGGTTGTGAGAAGAGTGACAAAGCAAGATGGCAGAATAGAACTCTCCTGAGATTCTACCCTAATAGAAACATCAGATTGAAGTGTTTCCATACAAGATAACACCTTTAGAGGAGCTAAAGAAAACGATGGTAGATCAGAGTACCTGGTTTTAGAATAGTATCAAGGAAAGAGGCATTGAAGGGAGTAGGAAGGATAGAGCCTTATTTCCTGTAGTTCCTGTCCCACAACCCCAGACAGCACAGTGCAGAAAGAGAATCTATGTGTGTAGGGGAAAAAGAGACGTGTGTATAAGACTTTGTATTGGAACTTAGTACCAGCTACACCACATTATAACACAGCACTTGGAAGAAACTCAGCCCTTGATGCCAGGTCATTGTACATGAAGTGAGAATTTGGGCCCATTCTATGCCAGAAGGGAATCCACAGACCCATTGGAAGAAACTCTTTTCTCAACCTGCTTCACCAAATGGTGAAAAAAGTGGCTTCAGGCCTTTAATAAATTTCATTGGCAGGAAGGTTGTAGTAACTGCAATTCTCAAGCAAGTCCTGGTGCTGTGCTGGTCTGGAAGGCTGTGGGTTTGGAATATAACTAAGCATCACATCAACTGTGGTGACAATGGAAGTGTCTGCATCACCCTTCCCCCAACTCCATATAGTGCAGCAACAAGAGAGATTCCTTCTACCTGGGAGAAGGAGAAGGAAAAGATCAGCAGATTTTGCCTTAGAACCAAGTACCAGCCTCATCAGAAAATGCAGCAATAAGCAGAGACCTGCAGGCCCTAATTACAGACAGGTAGCCCTAGATGGCACTTCTAGACCCACCCTAGGCCACGGGAAATCCAGTGCCTTGATATAATGGACCCAAATCTTGGCCAGGATTGCCATCAGCTGACTAAACTGCTTCAGGCGGTGATTAAATATCTGTGGCAGTCAGTCAGCAGTAACCACAGGCCTTAGGCTAGCTCCTTTGCTACACTGGTCTGGGAGGTCATGGGTTTAGGATGTAGTCCAGCATGCTGCCAGCTGTGGTAACCATGAAATTACCTGTTTCACACTTCCTCCAACTTAGGGAAGTGCAGTGAGGAGAGACTTCTGTTTATTAGAACAAAGGAAACACTTTGATCTTTTCTAAATTCATTAGGGCTGAGAACACAGTAGTCTTTAAGAGTTGCAGTGCAACTGGATATAAGGTGCCCTCTTGTGCCAATATTTTTTTCTGTGACATCAGGCTTAGGGAATTCAATAGTCATCCTACTTTAAATTCCTAGAAGACCCTCTGAAGAAGGACAGGTATAATCAAGGCTTGAATGTAAAGACTGGAATAAATACCCAAATCTTCAATCCTCTGACACTGGTGAACATCCAGGAGCATCAAGAATATTCAGGGCAATAAGACCTCATCAAATAGATGAAATTAGGTACCAGTTACCAGCCCTGGAAAGATGGATATATGTGATATCTCAGAGAGTGAATTCAAAATTTATGTTTGAGAAAAGCCAACAAACTCTAGGAATATCACAAAGAATCAATTCAGAAATTTATCAGAAAAATTTAATAAAGAGATTGAAATAATTTAAAAAAATCAAACAGAAATCCTGAAGTGGAAAAGTACAATAGAGAAAGCGAAAATTGCATTAGAGGGTCTCCACAGCAGAATTAATAAAACAAAGTAAAGAATCGGTGCACTCAAAGATAGGCTATTTGAAACAAACAGGAGAGAAAAAGTAAAAATAAATAAATAATTAATTAAAAAGGAACAATATATGCTGATACCAATGAGATATATGGGGTGGTATAAAAAGAGAAAATGTAAGGGTCATTGGCCTTAAAGAAAGAATAGAATAACAAAAATGGCTAAAAAGCTAAATCAAAGTAATAATAACAGAAAATGTGTCCAACCTAGAGAAAGACATAAACCTCCAGGCAGAGGAAGGTAAAAAATCACCAAGCAAATGCCATGCGAATAAGACTACTCCAAAGCATATAATAATCAAACTCTAGAAGGTCCAGGACAAAGGGAAAATATTAAAAGAACCAGGAAAAAAGAAGAAAATGACACATAATGGGGCTTCATTACCTCTAACAACAGACCTCTCATTGGAAACTTTACGGGCTAGAAGATTTGAGTAACACATTCAAAGTGCTGAGGGGAACGATGACAACAAAATGCAACTTCCAACTGAGAATATTTTACACAGCAAAGATATCCTTCAAACATGAAAAAGAGAGAGATTTTCCAAACAAAAGCTCAGGCAATTCATCACCACCAGAACTATCTTACAAGAAATGCTAAAGGGAGTTCTTCAATATGAAGGAATAAGACACCAATTTGTAATAAGAAAACATCTGAAGATATAAAACTCACAGATAAAAGTAAGTATACAGACACATTTAGAATACTTTAATACTGTAATTATGGTGTGTAAACCAATCATATTTTTAGTATAAAGAATGAAATATAAAACAATTAAAATAATAAAAACAATTTGATAAGAGATAGATAAAAAGATATAAATTGAAACATTCATAAGTAAAAAAGTAGGAGAATTTGGTATTTAAATATAGAGTTGTTTAGGTTTTGGTTTGTTTGTGTACATTCTTTTCTTTGCATTCTAAGTAAAGTTGTCATCATTTTAAAATTACATGTTATACCTGTAAGATTTTTTTAGAGCATTATGGTAACCACAAATCAAAAACCTATAATAGATACCCTAAAAATCAAAAGCAAGTAATTAAAATGCACTATTAGAGAAAAATCACTTAACCACAAAGGAATATATTAAGAAAGAAAGAGAGCTGTTATGAAGCACGCAGAAATAAAGTAAGATCATGGTAATAATAACTCCTTACCTATGGATAATAACCTTAAATATAATTTTCAAATTAAAGGACATAGAGTGGCTGAATAAATAAAAATGCAAGGCCCACCTATATGCTGCTTAAACTAAATGCACTTTACTTATAAAGGCATGCATTAACTAAAAGTGAAGAGATGGGAAAAATATTCCATGCAAACATAAACCAAAATAGCAATAGTAGCTATAGTTGTATCATATAAAATAGACTTTAAATCAGAAAAGATCTTAAAGACAAAGTTATTAAATAATAAAAAATGGCTCAGAAGAGCAGAAGGTTAGAACAATTGTGAACCTATATGCACCTAACACAGGAGAATGTAAATATGTAATGCAAATATTAACAGCCATAAGGGTGAAATTGACTGCAATACAATAGTGCTGGAGAACGTTAACACCTTTCAGCCACAGACAGATCATCCAGACAGTAAATCATCAAACATCAAAGTTAAATCACCCTCTAAACCAAATGAACCGAACAGACAGTTAGAAAATCTTCTATTGAACAGATGCAGAACAAATATTCTTTTGTCAATGCACATGGAATATTCTTCAGGATAGAATATATGTTAGGCCACAAAACAAATCTTGAGTTTTTAAAAATTGAAATGATATCAAGTATTTTTTTTCTGACCACAATGTAATAAAACTAGAAATCAATAACAGGAGGAAATTTGGAAACTGTTCAAACACACAGAAATTAAATAGCATTTTAATATCAAACAATGGGTTAATGAATAAATTAAGGGAAATTTTTAAACAGTTAATAAGGAATTTAAAAATTGCTAGAAGCCAATGAAAAGGAAAACATATCATACCCAAACCCATGGGATACAGCAAAAGCTATCCTAAGAAGGAAGATTGTAGCAATAAATTCCTACATCAAACACTTAGATTTCAAATAAATGATGTAAAATTATACCTCAAGAAACTAGAATAACAAGAACTATCTAAATCTAAATTAAGTATATAAAAAGAAATTATAAATGTCAGAGCAGAAATAAACTAAGCAGAGACTTTAAAAAGAATACAAAAGATCAATGAAAGAAAGAGCTGTGTTTTTAAAAGACAAACAGAATCAACAAACAATTAGCTAGACTAAGAGGAAAGAAAGAAAACTCATAAAATCAGAAATAAAAATGGAGACGTTACAACTGATGCCACAGAAATACAATAGACCATAAGAGACAGCTGTGAACAACTATACTTCATTAATTTGCAAACAAAACAAAAGGATAAATTCCTGGACCCATACAACTTACCAAGATTGCAACATAAAGGAATATACGACCTGAACAAACCAAGAATGAATAACAAAATTGAACAGTAATAAAATGCCTCCTATCAAAGAAAGCCCAGGAACTGATGGCTTCACTGGTGAATTCTACTCAACATTCAAAGAAGAGCGAGTACCAATTCTACTCAAACTATTTAAAAAAATTGAAAAGAAGGAATACTTTAAAACTCATTCTACATGGCCAGCATGCCTCCATACTAAGACCAGAGAAGAACAAACAACAAAAGAATTATAGGCATATATCTCTAATGAACATTGGTGCAAAACCCCTCAGCAAAATACTAGCAAACTTAATTCAACAAAAGATTAAAAAGATTATGCACCATGATCTAGTGAGATTCATCCCAGGGATGCAAGGATAGTTCAACATAAGTAGATCAATAAGCATGATGTGTTACATTAACACAATCAAAGACCATATGATAATTTTAACAGATGCTGAAAAATTATTCTGTAAAATGTAATACTCTCTCATGATTAAAAACTCTTAAGAAACTTAGTATAGAAGCAATGTATTAGACTCATAATCCCAAAAGACACAATCCCAAATGGCATAATGCTGAATGCTGAATCTCTGAAAGATCAAAGCTCTTAAAGATCAAAATCCATAACATCCAAAATCCTGAAAATCACAATCACAGGCTACTTGCATTATGTTAGGCAAAACTATTACATTGTTACTGTCTTTATGCAGAAGAAAATAGATTTCATTTGAATCCTCAAACCATAATGTCAGATTTGGAATTGAGTGTAATCAAAACTTCTTAAAGTAAATTTCAAGGTCTCACCAATAAAGCTTGCTTTTTCCATTCACCCAATGCATTTGGAAGATCATTTAAATGAATAATTTGACCACAAAATCTGGTTATAATGAAAATTTCAGTTGAAAAACATGTCATTTGCCTGCATTGGCATTCCTTTCAACTGATGACATTCCACGACCTTTTAATGAATTAAAGCCACATTTTCCTGAAGAACCAGTGAAGTTACTGACTAATTTGAAAATAATTTTGTCCATAGTAGGATAAGAATTAACTGACACAATGGTATTGCTGTTCAATCACCAGTATTGTTTCTGCCAAATCTGTGGTCTTTATATGAGTGCATGAGAAATGAATTTTCAGATACCCCAAACAATATAGAAGCATGGCACAGAAGATGGGATAATTTAATAGGGAATGCTCAAGTCAGTGTATATTGGATCAAATAATTTAATAAAGAGCAGTGCAATGTAGAAGATGAATATGAACATGTTCTGCAAGGAGAGCTATGTGCTAAAAGAAGAAAAAGCAGCTATTTATCATGCTGCAAGAGTTCAAAATACAGTGAATGATTGCAAGAATCATCAGTTCTTATGGATTATTTCTGTGCAATTGCCCACAATCTATTCCTGCAAAACACCATTTCATATGCTTTATTTTCTTTTTAGTTATTTTTCCTTTTTTGAGTTTTTTTAATTCACTATTTTAAATTGTCAGCATAATTTTCTCAAAATTCACTATGCTATGTATTTCATCTTCACATCTTTTCCAATACTGGAAGTGTGAATTTGTAAAGATTTTTTGGTGAGTTTTAATCTGTTTTATGCATTTTTGGCAAATTTGACTTCATAAAAGTGCTTTGACTTTTAGGCATTGTGTGTGTATATGTAAAAATGTTGAAACTTCCTCAATAAATGAAAGGTTGTTCTCTTTATACATCTGCATTAGTGAAAGATAAAATTTCTCAAGATCTTAGCTTTTTTGAGAGGCTGGTATTACTGGAAATGAGGAACAAATAAAGGAATTTAATAAAGTTGCAGGATACAAAATCAGCATACAAAAATCAAGCGTCTTTTTATATGCTGATAGTGAACTATGTACAAAAGATATCAAGAAATCAATTTCATTTACAATAGCCACGAAAAGATTAAAATAACTATGAATAAACTTAACCAAAAGTGTAAAAGATCTACACAATAAAAACTATAATACATTGAAAGAAATTTAAAAGACCACAAATAAATGAAAAGAAATCCTGTAGAATTAATATTGTTAAATGTCCATATTACCCAAAGTGATCTACAGATTAAATGCAATTTTTATCAAACTACCCATGACATTTTTCACAGAAATAGGGAAAAGAATCTTAAAATTTATATGAAAATGCAAAAAGCATCACATTCTTTGACTTCAAATTATACTACAAAGCTGTAGTAAAAACAACAGCATGGTGATGGCATAAAAGCAGGTACATAGACCAAGGGAAAAGAATAGAGAACCCAGAAATAAATCCATGAATTTATAAGCAACTGATTTTTTGCAAGGTGCCAAGAATATTTATTGGCAAAACAACAGTCTCTTCAATAAATAGTGTGTTTGGAAAACTGTAACCCACATGCACAAGAATGAAAGTATACCTCTACCTCTCACTATATACCAAAACTATCTCTAAGTGTATTAAAGACTTAAATGTTAGACTCAAAACTATGAGACTACTAGAAGAAAATATAGAGTAAATGCTTTGTGAAACTAAACTGAGTAAAGATTTTAAAATAAGACCTTAGAAGCACAGGCAACACAAGCAAATATAGACAAATGGGATTTTATTAAACTAGAAAGCTTATGCTCAGAAATAAATAAATAAAGTGTAGTGACAACCTACAGGATGAGAGAAACTATTTGAAAATTATGCATCTGACAACAGGTTAATATTCACATACATAAAAAATTCAAAAAACTCAATAGCAAAAATCAGATAATCCAGCTAAAAATGCATAAATGGTCTGAATAGACATATTTCCAAGGGAGAGACTCACAGAGCCAACAGATATATGAAAAAATGTTCAATGTCATTAGTTATTTAAAAAAAATCACAATGAGATATCATTTCATCACATTTAGAATGGCCATTATCAGAAAGCCCAAAAATAACACATGCTAATGAGGATACAATGTAAAGAGAACACTTATACACTGTTGGCAGAAATGCAAACTAGTACATCCATTAGAAAACATGATAGAGGTTTCTCAAAAACTAAAAATAGAACTATCATATGATCCAGCAATCCCACTACTGGATATTTTTCCAAAGAAAACAAAATCAGTATATGGAAGAGATACCCATGTTTATTGCAGCTTTATTCACAACAGCCAAGATATGAAATCAACCTAAATGTTCATCCACAGATTAATGGATAAAGAAAATGTTATATATATGTATACACAATGGAATACTATTCAGCCATAAAGCAGAATTAAATTCTGTCATTTGTGATATATTAGGCTGTTCTCATGCTGCTAATAAAGACATACTCGGTCAGGCGCAGTGGCTCACACCTGTAATCCCAGCACTTTGGGAGGCCGAAGCATGCAGATCATGAGGTCAGGAGATCGAGACCATCCTGGCTAACACGGTGAAACCCCATCTCTACTAAAAATACAAAAAATTAGCTGGGTGTGGTGGCGGGTGCCTGTAGTCCCGGCTACTTGGGAGGCTGAGGCAGGAGAATGGCGTGAACCTGGGAGGTGGAGCTTGCAGTGAGCCAAGATCCTGCCATTGCACTCCAGCCTGGGCAACAGAGAGAGACTCTGTCTCAAAAAAAAAAAAAAAAAAAAGACTTACCCAGTACAGGTAATTTATAAAGGATAGAGGTTTAATGTATTTACAGTTCACATAGCTGGGGAGCCTCACAATCATGCTGGAAGGTGAATGAGAAGCAAAGTCACATCTTCTATGGTGGCCAGCAAGAGACCTTGTTCAGGGGAACTCCCATTTACAAAACCTTTAGATGTTGTAAGACATATTCACTACCATGAGAACAGTATGGGGGAACCCACCTCCATGATTCAGTTATCAACACTTGGCCTCACCCTTCACATGTGGGGAGTAGTACAATTCAAGATGAGATTTCAGTAGGGACACAGCCAGACCATATCATATGGCAATATGGATGACCCTAGAGTACATTAAGTTAAGTGAAATAAGCCAAGCCAAGAAAGACAAACACTCCACATAATTTCACTCATATGTGGATATTTAAAAACTAAATTTTATAGAGGTAGAGGGTATAATCATTGGTTAGCAGAGGCTGTGGAGGACAGGGGGAAAAGGGACGAGGACCAGTTGGTCAATAGGTACAAAGTTACACAGGAAAAATAAAATTTGGTGTTCTATTACACAGTAGGATGACTGAAACCAATAACAATGTAGTGTGTGTATATTTCAAATTAGCTAGAAAAGATTTTAAATGTCACTACTAAGAAATAAGACATAATTAAAGTGATGAATATAGCAATTACCCCAGTTTGATCATTATGCTATGTATGCATGTATTTAAACAGCACATTGTATTCCATAAATATGTATAATTATTATGGTCAATTATAAATAGAAATAAACTAAAATGATAAAAAATTAAACTTAAAAAAATGAATGGACCCCAGTTTCTAATCCAACATGCAAGGAATTTAGAAGTTGCCACTCCATCTTACCAATAAAGAAAAAGCTGAACAACATAAAAAATCAACAACTCTTCTTAGATCCATGAAAGAAGTGAGGCCACAGGACAAACTGCTGCCACCTAAACTGCAGAGACAGGCAGATGCAGAGAATCACAACATACCAGATCAGAAACCATGAGTAGAAACATTCATGGGTATCAGTGCTAGGGTAGAAAAATCTCAGCTATAGCTGGAAAATTGCTAGAGACTCAGTGTAGACAAATATATGAGATTAAAAATTCCAAAAGGATTCTGTCCTTTGGGAGGGCCCCACACTTTTATGAATTTGGCCTCCAGGTGCTCCAACAGGTTCTCACAGTGAATGTGAAAGAAAATTCTGCTTCCAGTAGCAGAAAGGGGAAAAGCAACCATTTAGAAATACTCCGGAACATTTTGTTCTACTTACTAAAAATTTCCCTGAGGAGAAACTATCTTATAAAATCTAACCTATGGGGGACTTATCAGAGCCTAACAGACCTGGAGGAAGTGAAACATCCAAATATAACTCCCTCTGGTTTTCTATATGGGCAGGAGGGAAATATCAAACTCTAAGCATCCTCTTCCACCTAAGGTGGAGGAAGAGTGAGAAGCACTGGTGAAGATCACAGTTCAGGGACACGGGCTTGCCAAAAAAATAAGACTTAATCACAGGATTATGGAACAGTTTCTCTCCCCCTACACCTTGCCACTACATTATTAAAGACCTAACTATTGCAATTCTTTTTATGCAGTATATCATGTCCACTTTTAAATAGAATTGCAAGGCATACAAACACAAAATTTTAACAATAAGTTTGAAGTGACTGAACAAGAGTCAGAACCAGAGTCAGAAATAGCAGGAACTGTTGGAATTATCAAAACAGGAATTAAAAATAAACAAATACAACAAAAAAACCAACAACAACTATAAAAATGTACTAAGAGCTTTAAATTAAAAGAAAAGCAGAAAATACATAAGAACTAGTGGATGATGTAAACAGAGAAATAAAAAATCTAAGAAAACAATATGGAAATGTCAGAGATAAAAAACACTATAATAGATACGAATAATGTTTCTAATGGGCTCATGAGTAGATTGGGTATGGCTCAGGAAAGAATTCCAGAGCATGAGAATATGTCAAAATGTCAACATGTCAACCTGTCAAAATGTCAATAAAAACTTCTGAAACTTAAAAGCAAAGTTTAAAAAAAAAAACTGAAAGAAACAGAAGAGAATATCCAGTATCTGAGGGATGTATCCAATGTGGAATTACAAAAGATGTAACATGTAATAGTTTAGCAAAAGGAAAAGAAAGACAGAATAGAACAGAAACAATATTTGAAGTGATAAAGTCTGAAAAATTTCCCCAAATTAATGTTAGACATCAAACTACAGATCCAAGAAATTCAGAGATCACAAGCAGAATAACTCCCAAGCAAACAAACAAAAACCAAAATACACATAAGTATGTCATATTCAGATTTCAGAAAACCAAAGATTAAAAAAAAGAAAGAATCCGGAGAGAAAAAAGGAAAACAAATTAAAACAAGTTATAATTTCTTTATTTTATTTACTGAAAGGTGTAAACAAAGATGAAAAACTCAAAATGAGAAACTTAAATGTATAAAGATCTGGCAGTATATACTAAAAACAATTAGTTAAATAGAAAAAAACAATATTTTTTTAATAGCATTCTAAATTGGATTTGAAAGGAATGACTTCATGAATAAAAGCGTTAGAAAAAGAGACAGATTTGGAGGTCAATTTATAGATTTAATCCACAAAAATAAGAAAAGAAAGAAATTAGTGTAAGTAATAACCTATTTTCCTTACTTGTATAAGGAGGATTTTAAATGATTGTGTCATTCTTTACTTAAAATTAGAGAAGATCCATTTAGAAAATATATTAATTACTTTATCCTGAACACATAAAAGTATGTTCAAGACAGAAACTTTTAAAATAGAGGAAAACTAGGGAGCCCTCTTTGTGTAGCCTTCTTTGTGTAGCCGCAGTTTGTCGGTCTCATAAAATAGAAGAAAACTCATAAAATAGAAGAAAACTAGAAAAAGACAAAACTCATTGGGAGGATAGTTTAACTTCCTCTGTTTCTATTTGCATGTCCTTTATCTCTTTCTCTTGCCTGATTGCCCTGGCCAGAACTTTCCAACACTATGTTGAATAGGAGTGGTGAGAGAGGGCATCCTTTTCTTGTGCCAGTTTTCAGGGGGAATGCTTCCAGCTTTCGCCCATACAGTATGATGTTGGCTGTGGGTTTGTCATATATGACTCTTACTACTTTGAGATATGTTTCTTCAATACCTAGTTTATTGAGGGTTTTAGCAAAAAGGGATGTTGAATTTATCAGAAGACTTTTCTGCATCTATTGAGATAATAATGTGTTTTTTGTCTTTAATTCTGTTAATTCTGTTTATGTGATGAATCACATTTATTGATTTGCATACGTTGAACCAACCTTGCATCCCAGGGATGAAGCTCACTTGATTGTGGTGGATAAGCTTTTTGATATGCTGCTAGATTTGGTTTATCATTGAAAAACATTCCATGCTCATGGATAGGAAGAATCGATATTAAAATGGCCAGACTACCCAAAGCAATTTATAGATTCGATGCTATTCCTATTAAACTACCAATGTCACTCTTCAAAGAACTAGAGAAAACTATTTTAAAATTCATATGGAACCAAAAGTAGCCTGAATAGCCAAGGCAATCTTAAGCAAAAAAGAACAAATCTGGAGGCATCATGCTACCTGACTTCAAACTATACTACAGGCTGCAGTAACAAAACAGCATGGTACTGGTACAAAAACAGACACATGGACCAATGGAACAGAATAGAGAACCCAGAAATAAGACCACACACCTACAATTATGTGAGCTTCAACAAGGCTTAAAAAACAAGCAATGGGAAAGGATTCCCTATCCAATAAATGGTGCTGGGATAAGGCTAGCCATATGCAGAAGATTAAAACTCGACCCTTTCTCTACACCATATACAAAAATTAACTCAAAATGGATTAAAGACTTAAAAGTAAAACCCAAAATTATAAAAAAAAAAACCCTGGAAGAAAACCTAGGCAATACCATTCACGACATAGGCACATGCAAAGATTTCATGGCAAAGATGCCAAAAGCAATTGCAACAAACACATTGACATATAGGATCTAATTAAACTAGAGGGTTTCTGCACAGCAAAAGAAAAGATCAACAGAGTAAACAGACAACCTACAGAATGGGATAAAATTTTTGCAAACTATGCATTCGACAAAGGTCTCATATTCACCAACTATAAGGAACTCAAGGAAATTTACAAGAAAAACATTTAACTCCATAAAAAATTGGGCAATGGACATGAACAGACACTTTTCAAAAGAAGATATACATATGGCCAACAAGCATAAAAAATGCTCAACATCATTGATCATTAAAGAAATGCAAATCTAAGCCACAATTAGATACCATCTAACAGCAGACAGAATAGTTATTAAAAAGTCAAAAAGTAACAGATGCTGACAAGGTTATGGAGAAAAGGGAATCCTTTACACTGTTGGTGGGAGTGTAAATTACTTTAGCCATCTTGGAAGACAGTGTGCCAATTTCTCAAAAACCTAAAGACAGAAACATCATTTGTCCCAGCAAACACTTTACTAAGTATATATCCAAATAAATATAAATTATTCTATTTTAAAGACACATGCACACATATGTTTATTGTAGCACTATTCACAACAGCAAATACAATGGAATCAACATAAATGCCCATCAATGATAAACTGGATAAAGAAAATGTGGTACATACCCACCATAAAATACTTTGCAGCCATAAAAAATGAGATTATGTCCTTTGCAGGGACATGATTGAAGCTGGAGGCCATTATCCTCAGCAAACTAACAAAGGAACAGAAAACCAAATACTGCATGTTCTCATTTATAAATGGGAGCTAAATGATGAGAACATATGAACAGACAGAGGGGAATAAAACACACTGAGGCCTTCCAGAAGGTGGAAGGAGGGAGAAGGTCAGAAAAAATAACTAAAAATAACTAATGGGTACTTTATACCTGGGTGAGGAAATAATCTGAGCAACAAACTCCTGTGACGCAAGTTAACTTATGTAATGAACCTGCAGTTTATTCTTGATCTTAAAATGAAAGTTAAAAAAGGAATATATATCTGTCTTAAATTAATGCTAATTGAAGTTATCAGGGATTCTCTCCATTATTCTTTGTTTTTATCTTTGGAGGACATCCAGAAGAGAATAGGAATGATGCTGACTTACGCACTTCGTATGGGTAGTGGAACCAGTAATAACTGTTTGTTAATAATGATTTTAAGTGAGAAGAATCACTTTTAATATTTTGTTGGTGCTTACTTTCACATATCAACCACATAGTATGCAACTACCTTGTGGTTCAGGCTTAAAAGAGTGCTGCATTCAAATAAACACAGTTTCAATCACCACCAACTTACTGAAACATGTAAAAATATCCCCTGATGTCTCTCAGTTGAAAATATATAGCAATGGTTTGGTAATTTTATCCTTTCTTTCCTTGTCTGTCTGCTACCCAGTAACTGTCCCTGCAAATACCTCTCCTCTCACTCCTCAGCTCTGTCTACATTGAGTTTTGTAGTTTTCTCTTTCTTATTATATTTATAAATACTATTATTTGCTCCTTATAATCTTTCTCCTTTCAAATAATAACTTTCGCCTCTCTGGCATCCCCTACCCTTTCTTACTTCATATTCCCTTGATTTTTCACCAGAAAAATCAGAAAAAGAAAAAACAATGATAAAATTATCCCTAATGGTGGAATGTGAGGGAGAAAAGACTTAAGAATATTTGTTTGTGATTTTTTTTTTACCCTTTGAACATTTTGAGTTTGTATATAATATTTTAGTAGGTTTGAGATTTTCCTCTATATGACAATGATATTTTCTTGGTGGCATCTTCTGGGTATATATTTCAACCTATTGTCCCTTTATTTTTCTCTATGACTCTAGGAGTTTTCTTCTTTCTCTCTTTTCTATATTTGCTCCCTTTGCCTCCAACTTTTACCTTCATTTCCAGTTTCATAAGTAATTCCTCACACATCTTTTGGTTTCTCACCCTTTCACCTCAAAGTGCAAAATTACTCTTACCTCCCCTCCCGGAAAATTACTTTCTCTTTCATCTCGTACCTTTGGCATTCATTTCCTGTGGGGTTTCATCACAAACAGCAGCAGGTGATGTTAACTGTTTAAAAGCCGTGGAGGCAAAAAAAATCACAGACATCAGTTGCCATGGTCAAAATATATACAGTCACTTCGAGGGCACTAAATTTTCACAAACAGGTTTGCATTCGTTTTCTAACAGTAGTTTGTATTATATTAGTATATTAAAAGGTAACCTAAAAACAGATCAATTGTTTTCCTTAGTATTATTATCATAAATACTGGCAAGAATCAGTGTAGCCAGGGTGTAACTTTGACACAGACAATTTTTGAATCAAGCAACATATTTTTAAGTACAATTCAAAAATTCCACTTGACAGACATCCCTTTTTAAAAACCCTTGCAGTCCTCAGAATCCTTTTAAATGCTAAAGCAATGTCCTAACACTGATGTTTGAGTTTTTTATGGGCCATTAAGTTGAGTGCAAAGTCATAAATTATCTGTAAAAGTTACCCAAATTATAGCTATCTGTGGTTTTTCGATAAAGGCCAAGAATGTGTTTTTTTAAAACACACCCCATTGCATGGAAAACCGCCAATCATGGAAAATATGTCTACTATTCTACTTGTTTAGAAGTTTTTGAGTAACTTAAGTGTTTCTACTAAGCTGCTCTTCATTAAAAAAAATCTTCATTGACGCAAACTTACAATAAATATTGTCAATATTATTATTACTGCCATTCAAAAGAGCATGCCATATGGGATAGAAAAGACTCTGCCTTATTGAATTTATTTATTTATTTGGTTTTAAGATGATCTACAAAAGGCATTATAACAAAAACACAGTTATTTTAAACTCACAAGATCATAAAACTTCAATCTACCTGAGCTAAGCTAATACAGCTGAGTCTCATTAATATGTTTACCAAGGACATTCAAACATCAAAGATGAAAACATCTGTATTCTAAATCAGACTTTATTTTATTTAATAAATAAAAATTATGCAGTTCTTTTCATATTTTAAGTCTAACAAATTTCCTGGATCCTGAGGCTTTATGAGTTATGACCAAAGCACTGTCAAGCTTGCAGACAGCAGGTAAAAGTGATAGCAACATTTCTTTTCTAATTAGAATGAATTAAAGTGGGATTATTTGCTGTTTCCCTACACATGTATTAAAATGTTTCTAGAGTAGTGTGACATATCCTAACTAGACTTAAGTAAGAGAAAATAAAAAATCTTAAAGAAACTTTTTAAATAATGTTATATATTATTGACTTGCTTTTAATAGTTTATGAAACTGCTCAGAAAACAAAATTGGTAGTTTTTGCCCTGAATAATGACAGAAAACTATGATTGCTACAAATCTGAAATGTGTAACAGTTGTTTTGAAACTTTAATTTTTTTTTTTTTTTTTTTTTTTTTTTTTTAGCAGAGGAATGCTTTTGTTTTTTTACAGATGGAATGTTGCAAAAAGCACTGACCCATGCTTTGGTGAGTGCTACTGCACTATTTGTCAGTAAATTTGATTGACTTTATACACATAGTTACTAACAAATAAATCAACAATAAAAATGAAGACAAGGTTTTGTGAATACTAAATTGAAATCAGGTGTTAAAGAAAGATGATTGTGATTTTTTTTAAGCTCAGCCTTCAACTTCTGTGTTTTTTTGTGTGTGCGTTGTTTGCCCATTAGTAAGATCATTGTGATCCACCCAAACAGGTAGTTGCAAAGGTTAACATTATTGTTATTTGAGACAACAGTTTACATTGCACTTTCTGCTTACTATTCAATTAATCTGATCCATATGCTAAAAAAGAGTAATGAGATGCATTTTTTAATTTATTTATTGTTACTTTTTTTTGAGACAGAGTCTTGCTCTGTCGCCCAGGCTGTAGTGCCGTGGCATGATCTCGGCTCACTACAGACTCTGCCTCCCGGGTTTAAGCAATTCTCCTGCCTCAGCCTCCTGAGTAGCTGGGTCTACAGGCGCATGCCCCCATGCCTGGGTAATTTTTTTTTTTTTTTTGAGACGGGGTCTCACTCTTGTCACTCAGGCTGGAGTGCAATGGCATGATCTCAGCTCACTGTAACCTCCGCCTCCCAGGTTCCAGCGATTCTCCTGTCTCAGCCTCCCAAGTAGCTGGAATTACAGGCACCCACCACTATGCCCAGCTAATTTTTGTATTTTTAGTAGAGACGGGTTTCACCATGTTGGACAGGATGGTCTTGAACTCTTGACCTTGTGATCCTCCCACGTAGGTCTCCCAAAGTGCTGGGATTAGAGGTGTGGGCTACTGTGCCCAGGCTTTTCAAATATTAATACAAAAATATCCACAGATTCCTCATATTTGTTCTCAGTGTTTAATATGTAAAGAGGATATAATTTTCTCACCATTTATATATTTTTTATAGTAAAAATATTTTTAAATGTATCCTGTAATATTATGAGCTAATTGATGATGCTTCATATTTTCTCCCAGGAAACCCAGAGGTTATTATTATTGGATAATAACATCTTATACACAAAGAGTAAAATATATTTTGTTTTAAGGGTGGAATTCAAATTTGATATTCATGTTACATGCGTAAGCATGTAACATTTATAGTCAGTAACATAGCTAGAGTTGCACTTGTTACAAAAGACAATAATATATCTCTGGTGTTTATCCATGTTCTTGAGTAAAAAATTTAGATAAAATTTCTTCATCACTATATAAATGTAAATATCAAAATAATTATATCTCTATCTCTGTAGCTGATAGCATTTGAAATATTCAAAGCAGCTCTTGCTTTTGAGATAGTCTGATATTTTAACATAAACATATATATTTGTACTTGCTATCCAAATAATTTCAAATAAAAAGCTGGGAATTTTATATGTATCTTCATAATATTGACTATAATGATAATTTTTCAACTTGTTTTATAGGAGGACTATTTCCCTTAATAGTTAAGTTTAGATTTGTTACTGTATTAGTTTGTTTTCACACTGCTATAAAGAACTGCCTGAGACTGGGTAATTTAAAAACAAAAGAGGTATAATTGACTCACAGTTCTGCATGGCTAGGAAGGCCTCAGGAACCTAAAATCATGGCAGAAGGCAAATGGGTAGCAAGACATGTCTTATGCAGTGGTAGAAGGTGGCAGCAGGGGGAATTGCCAAACTTTTAAACCATCAGATCTCATGAGAACTCACTCACTATCATAAGAACAGCATGGGGGAAACTGCCTCTATTATCCAATCACCTCCCACCAGGTCCCTCCCTGGACACGTGGGGATTACACTCAAAATGAGATTTGAGTGCGGACACAGAGCCAAGCCACATCATTCCACCCCTGGCCCCTCCAAAATCTCGTGTCCATTTTAGAATTCAAAACCAATCATGCTTTCTCAATGGTCCCCCAAAGTCTTAACTCATTCTAGCATTAACTCAAAAGTCCAAGCTCAAAGTCTAATTTGAGACAGGGCAAGTCCCTTCTGCCTATGAGCCTGTGAAATCAAAAACAATTTAATTACTTCCAAGACACAATGGAAGTACAGGCATTGGGTAAGTATTTCTGTTAAAAATGAGAGAAATTGGCCAAAATAAACGGGACAGAGGCTCCATGCCAGTCTGAAACCCAGCAAGGCACTAATTAAATCTTAAAGCCCCAAAATAATCTCCTTTGACTCCATGTCTCACATCCACGGCATGCTAATGTAAGAGGTGTGCTCCCTTAGCCTTGGGCAGTTCCACCCCTGTGGCTCTTCCAGGTTACAGCTCTTGAACCTGCTTTCACAGGGTGGAATTGAGTGCCTGTGGCTTTTCCAGTCTCACAGTGAAAGTTTTAAATGGATCTACCATTCTGGAGTCTTTAGGATAGTGGCCTTCTTCTCACAGCTCCACTAGACAGTGCCCCAGTGGAGATTCTCTGTGTGGGGGTTCCAGCCCCACATTTCCCCTCTGTATTGCCCTAGTAGAGATTCTCCATGAGGGCTCTGCCCATGCACCAGACTTTTGCCCAGAAATCCAGGCATTTCCACACATTCTCTGAAATCTAGGTTTCCAAACCTCAACTCTTGTCTACTTTGCATCTGCAGTCCCAACAGCACATGGGAGCTACCAATGATTGAGGCTTACACTCTCTGTAGCAACAGCCTGAGTTATAGAGCTATACCTTGATCCCTTTCAGCCATGGCTGGAGCTGGAGTGGCTGTGACACAGGATGCCATGTCCCAAGACTACACAGAGCAACTGGGCCCTGGGCTCAGCCAACAAAATCATTTTGTCCTCTTAGGCCTCCAGGCCTTTGATGGGAAGGGCTCCCACAAAGATCTCTGAAGTGCCCTGAAGTCATTTTTCCCATTGTCTTGGCTATTAACATTTACCTCCTCCGTACTTAAGCAAATTTCTGCAGCTGGCTTGGCCTTGAATTTCTTTCCTGAAAATAGGTTTTTCTTTTCTACCACTTGATCAGGCTGCAAATTTTCCAAACTTTTATGCTATGCTTCCTTTTTAAACATAAGTTCCAATTTCAGAACATCTCTTTGTGAATGCATATGACTGTACACTTTCAGAAAAAGCCAGGTGAACCTTGAATGTTTTGCTGTATAGAAATTTTTTCCACAGATACCCTAAGTAATCTCTTTCAAGTTCAAACTTCCTAGATCTCTAGGACAAGGGCAAAATGCTGCCAGTTTTTTCACTAAAGCATAGCAAGAGTGATCTTTGCTCAAGTTCCCAATTAATGTTTCTTCTACATCTGAGACTGCCTCAGCCTGGACTTCATTGTCTATATCACTATCAGCATTTTGGTCACAACCATTTAACAAGTCTCTAGGAAGTCCCAAATTTTTCCTCATCTTGCTGTCTTCTTCTGATCTCTCCAAATGGTTTCAATCTCTGCCCATTACCCAATTCCAACGTTGCTTCCATATTTTCAGGTATCTTTGTAGCAGTGCCCCAAACTCCTGGTACCAACTTTCTGTATTAGTCTGTTTTCACACTGCTATAAAGAACTACCTAAAACTGGGTAACTTACAAAGAAAAGAGGTTTAATTAACTCACAGTTCCACATGGTTGGGGTGGCCTCAGGAAACTTACCATCATGGCAGAAGGCAAAGGGGAAGCAAGCCCTTACGTGGCATCAGGAGAGAGAGAGAAAAAGTACCATACTTTGAAACCATCAGATCTCATGAAAACACACTCACTATCACAAGTACAGTATGAGCAATACTACCCCCATGATCCAATCACCTACCACCAGGTTACTCCCATGACATGTGGTGATTACAATTTGAGATGAGATTTGGGTTGGGACACAGAGCCAAACCATATCAGTTACAGGTAGCAACTATGTGGAAACATTTTCAAAACAGCTTTTTAAAAACATCATAAAAAACAGAGGCTTTTGAAAATTTTTACCATTGTCTTTATATTTTCTTCAGAGCTTGCATTTTTTCCTGTTAATTAACTTATCCACATAACAATGAAATATAGTTAGCCCATAGTGGACATTTACTAAATGCTTCCTTAGAAATATTGAAAACAAAGGAATTAATTATATACAAAATAATTTAAGTATATTTTTTCTTTTGTATACATCAAGCATTTTTACAAAATTAATATCCTCTAATATTTGCTCACATTAATTAACATCAGCAACATATACCTAAAAACCTAGAAAAACTTAAAGGATTAATATAAGCTAAATCTTTTCAAAAAATTGTATGAATGTTATCTGATTATATCAAAAAACCCAAGTATATTTATCAAATACAATGATGTAAATGCCAACAGTACATGTTAACATGATTTTTCAACAAATTTATGCTGTTTTTCCCTCAAATACAGAAAAACATACTTTGAACACTTAAATTATTTTAATTTTCAAATTCTAATGTAGTTTGCTAAATATAATTAATAAAACCAACCTTATCTTATTATAGTAAATATTTTAAGAGACATTTTTTCTCTGCATTTTATGTTTTTTTTTCAGAATAACATTAGAATTTCACATGTGCTCTATAGAACTCTTTAGAATTTCACTTCGAACATACATTACAAAATATAAATTCTAAAAGTTGACAATTATAATTATTCTTTTGTTTAAGTCTTGTATCCATTTTGAGTGAATTTTTTATATGGTATTATCTCACACATGCTAGAATCACTATTATAAAAAAATAGGAATATAAGTTTTGGTGAGGATGTAGAGAAAGGGAAACTCTTGTACACCGTTGGTGGGTATATAAATTAGTAAATCCATTATGTGAAATAAGGAAGTTTCTCAAAAACCTAAAAATAGAATTATCATATGAACCAGAAACTCAACTACTAGGTATGTCAAAGGAATTTTATTAGTCTATTTTCATACACATATAAAGAAATACCTGAGACTGGGTAATTTATAAAGAAAAATAAGTTTAATGGACTGACAGTTTCACATGGCTGGGGAGGCCTCATAAACATGATGAAAAGTAAAGAAGGAACAATGGCAAGTCTTACATGACAGCAGAAAAAAGAGCATGTACAGAACTGCTCTTTATAAAACCATCAGAACTCGTGAGACTTACTCATTATCATGAGAACAGGATGGCATAAACCTGCCCGCATGATTCAATTATTTCCCACCAGTTCCCTCTCAAAACATGTGGGGATTATGGGAGCTACAATTCAAGATGAGATTTGGGTGGAGGCACAGCCAAACCATATCAGGAATTGAAATTAGTATGTTGATGAGATAGCTACATTCTTATGTTCATTGTAGCATTTTTCAAAATATTCAAGATATTGAATGAAACTAATTGTCTATTAACAGATTAATGGATAAAGAAAATGTGGGGCTGGGCATAGTAACTCACACCTGTAATTCCAGCATTTTGAGAGGCTGAAGTGAGAGGATAAATTGAGGCCAGAAGTTCAAGATCAGCCTAGTCAATATAGTGAGACTCAGTCTCTACAAAAAAATAAGAAAAACTTAGCCAGGCATGGTGGTACATGCCTGTAGTCCCAGCTACTCAAGAGGCTGAGGTAGGAGGATCACTTGAGCCTCAGAATTTGGGACTGCAGTTAGCTATGATCAGTCTACTGCACTCCAACCTAGGTAACAGAGCGAGATCCTCTCTCTCTAAAATAAATAAATAAATAAATAAATAAAATAAACTGTCTATATACACAATGGACAACTACTCTTAAATTTCCTCTTAAAAAGGAGGAAATTATGTCATTTGCAAAAATATTGATTCACCTAGAAGACATTATGCTAACTGAAATAAGGTGGGTACAGATAGACAAATACTGCATGATCTTACTTACATGCAGAATCTGAAAAAGTCAAAATCCTAGAAGTAGAGAGTCGAATGGTAGTTACCAGAGGCTAACGGTCAGGGGTATGAGAAAAGAGTAGATGTTATTCAGAGAGTACAAATTTTCAGTTAGACAGAAGGAATACGTTTTAGTGATCTATTGCACAGCATGGTGATGATAGTTTTTTATAATGTATATCTTAAAATACTAAATGAGTACATTTTAAATGCTCTCATCATTCAAATATTAACAAATGTATGAGGTGATGAATTTAAATTATTGTTTTAGCCATTACACAATGTATACATATATCAAAACATCAAATTGGACTCCCTAAATATGTGCAATTAGGTTTGTTTTGAGAGGAGACAGAGCAGTTTAGCCAAATAGAAGCTTCCACTGATTCGCTTCCCTGCAGGAGCATCAAATTGAACAACTATCCACATAAGAAGTACCTTAATAAGAACCAAAAATCAGGTGAGTAATCACAGTACCTGGTTTTAACTTCTTATCATTGAAAGAGGCACTGAAGAGGGTAGTAAAGACAGTTCTGAATTGCTGATGCTACCCTTCCTCCATCCCCTGGCAGCAGCCATGTAGCATGGAGAATCTGTGGTCTTAGGGGAAGGAGAGCAAAGTGATTGTGGGAGTTGGCACTGGAATTCACTATTGCTCTGTCAAAGCAGAATACAACACAGAGCAGAACTCAGACAGCACCCACAAAGGAAATAATTAGAACAGCCCTAGCCAGAGGGAAATCACCCATCCCAGAAGTCAGAACCTGAGTTTTGGCAAGTCTCACTACTGTGGGCCAAAGTGCTCTAGAATTCTAAATAAACTGGAAAGGCAGTCTAGGCCACAAAAACTGAAATTCCTGGAAAAGTCCTGGTGCTGTGCTGGACTTAGAGTCAGTGGATTTGAGTGGCACATGACACAGTGAGACACCAGACAGGGAGGCCAAGAGAGTCCTTGAGTCACTCCTACCCCAACCCCAGACAACGGAGTTGCTGGCTTTATGTGTGATCCAGCACATTTCAAGTTGTGGTGGAAAGAATCCTTTTGCTTGAGAAATCAAAAGACTAAAAGGGACTTTGTCTTTTAGTTTACTTACAAGGTTGGCCACATGGGGGTAAAGCACCAAGCAGGCTCTTGGAGGCCCTGATTGTAGGCCTTGGCTTTTGGATGGCATTTCTAGACCTTCCCTGAGCCAGAGCGGGAGAACTCACTGCCCTAAAGGGAGAGTCCAAGGCCTGGCAACATTCACTACAAGCTGACTAAAGAGCCCTTAGCTTGTTGAAAGAATGTTGGTGGTAGCCAAGCAATACTTACTGTGGGCCTGGGGTGGAGGTGGTCATAGGGAGTGACTCCTCTGCTTGTGAAAATGGGAAGGAAGAGTGGAAAGGACTTTGTTTTCTGGCTTGGATGACAGCCCAGCCCAGCTGACTAGAGAATCAGGTAGATACCTAAGGTTTCCAACTCCAGGCCCTGGCTCCCAGATAGCATATCTGGACCCACGAAGTACTGGGGGAAATTTACCACCCTGGAAGAAAGGAAACAAGCCTGGCTGGCTTTACAAAATGCTGATTTTAGAGCCCTAGGACCTTAAGTGAACATAGGCAGTAGCCAGGCAGTGGTTGCCATGGCCCTCGTGTGAGACCGAATGCTGTTCTGGATTCAGGCCTGCCCGGCACGGTCCCAGTGGTAGTGGCCACAGGGGTCATTATGTCACCTCTCCCATAGCTCCAGACAGCTCAGTACAGAGAGAAAGACTCAGTTTGTTTGGGAGAATGTGGGGAAGAGAACAAGAGTCTGTGCCTGGTAATCAAGAAAATTCTTCCATGTCTATCCAAGACCACCAAGTCAGCACTTCTACAAATCCACAAGAGCCACAGCATTACTCAGCTTGGGGTGCCCGTAATGCAAATGTGGTTGTACTGACAAAAAATTTAGATTACAACACCTAAGTCCTTTTTAATATACCTGGAAAGCCTTCGCAAGAAGAATGTGTAGAAATAATATATCAGAGTCTCTTACCAACAAAACGAATCAAGCAGAAGAAAGAATTAGTGAGCTTGAAGGCTAGCTATTTAAACATACAAAGAGGAAACAAAAAGCAAAAGAAGAAAAAAGAATAAAGCACATCTACAAGGCATAGAAAATATATAAGAGTTACTGTCCTTAAAAGGGCAAATATAAGAGTTACTGTCCTTAAATTGGCGGTAGAGAGAGAGATAGGGGTAGAAATATTAATTAAAGTGATAATAACAAAGAACTTCCCAAACCTAGAGAAAGATATCAATATACAAGTAGAAGAAAGTTATAAAACAACAAGCAAATTTAACCCAAATGGGAATATCTCAAGGCATTTAATAATTAAACTTCCAAAGGTCAAAGATAAAGAAAGGATAATAAATACAGTAAGAGAAAAGAGACAAATAGGATACAATGGAGTTCCAGTACATTTGGCAGCAGACTTCTCACTGGATTCCTTAAAGAACAGAAGAGAGTGGCATGATATATTTAAAGTACTGAAGGAAAAAAATCTTTTATCTTAGAATGGTATATGCTGTGAAAATATCCTGCAGACATGAAAGAGAAAGACTTTCTCAGATAAGGAATAGCTAAGGGATTTAATTTGTCTTTCCTGTAAGAAATGCTAAGGGGAACTCTTCAATATGAAATAAAAGGACATTAATGACCAATAAGAAATCATCTGAGGGTACAAAATTTGCTGATAATAAGTATACAGAAAAACACAGAATATTAGAACACTGTAATTGTGGTGGGTAAACTACTTATTCTTGAGTAGAAAGATAATAACGTATATTTTAAAGAACTATAACAACCTTTAAAGACATAGGCAGGATAATAATAAATAAATAGAAACAAAAAAAGTTTAACAGTGGAGGTGGGTATAGAGGTAAAGGGCAGAGGTTGTATTAGTTTTTTATTTGCTTGTTGGTTAGTTAGTTTATTCAATCAGTGTTAAGTTCTCATAAGTTTAAGATAACGAGATATAAGATATTATTTGAAAGTCTCGTGGTAACCTCAAATCAAAAAATTTCAACATATACACAAAAAATAAAATGCAAGAAATTAAAATATACACCAGTGAAAATCACGTTTACTAAAAGGAAGGCAGGAAGGAAGAAAAGAAGGAAGAGCAAACCACAAAACAATCAAAAAACAAATAATAAAATTTCAGGAGTAAGTCCTTATTCATCAGTAATAACATTAAATGTGAATAGACTAAACTCTCCAGTTGAAAGACAGAGTGGCTGAATGGATTAAAAAAGAAAGATCTAATAATCTGTTGCCTACAGGAAACATACTTCACCTATAAAGACACAAACAGACTAAAAATAAAGGAATAAAAAGCAAATGAGATCAATAAACAGCAGGAGTAGCTAGCTATACTTAGACAATATAAATTTCAAAACAAAAACTATCAAAAGAGACAAAGAGGCTTGTTATGTATTGACAAAGAGGTCAATTCAGCAAGAGAACATAACAATTGTACATGTATATAAACCCAACACTGAAGCACCCAGAAATATAAAACAAATATTATTAGCACTAAAGAGGGAGATAGACCCCAATACCATAATAGCTGAAGACTTCAACATCTCACTTTCAGCATTAGAGAGATCATCTAAACAGTAAACCGACAAAGAAATATTGGAATTAATATGCACTATAGACCAAATTGATATAATAGATATCTATAGAGCATTTAATTCAACAGCTGTAAAATACACATACTTCTTCCAAGCACTTGAATCATTCCCAAGGATATGCCATATGTGAGGTAACAAAACAAGTCACAAAACATTCAAATAAATTGAAATAATATCAAGTGTCTTCTCTGACCATAATGTAATAAAACTGGAATTTTGGAAACTATACAAACACATGGAAATTACACAGTATGTTTCTGAATGACCAGTGGGTCAATGATAAATTAAGAAGATTAAAAACCTCTTGAAACAAATGAAAATAAAATCACAATATATCAAAACCTATGTAATATAGCAAAAGCAGTACTAGGAGGGAAGTTTATAGCTATAAGTAACTGCATCAAAAATTAGGAAACTTCAAGTAAACAACCTAATAAAGCACTTTAAGGAACTAGAAAAGCAAGAACAAGCCAAACCCCAAATTAGCATATGAAAAAACATCAGAGCAGAAATAAATAAAATTTAAATGAAGAAAACAATGCACAAGATCAATGAAATAAAAGTTGGTTTAGAAAAGACAAAATTTTAAAAAAGATCTTTAGTCAGACTAAGAAAAAAAAAGAGAAGACCCAAGTAAATTAAATCAGAAATGAAAAAGAAGACATTGTAGCTGATACTGCAGGGATTTAATGGATCATTAGAAGTTATTATGAGCAACTATATGCCAATCAACTGGAAAACCTAGAGGAAATGGATAAATTTCTAGACAGATATGACCTACAAAGATTGAACCATGAAGAAATCCAAAACCTTGAACAGACCAATAACAAGTAAAAATTGAAGCCAACAAGTATTGAATAGACCAATAGCAACAAATAAGATCGAAGCCATAGTAAGAGTCTCTCAGCAAAGAAAAGCCCAGGACCTGATGGCTTCACTCCTGAGTTTTAACAAACATTTAATGAAGAAATAATACCAGTTTAAATCAAGCTATTCCAAAAAATAAAGAAGGAGGTTATACTTACAAAGTCATTCTACAAAGCCAGTATTACCCTGATACTAAATCCAGACAAAGACACACACACACACACACACACAAAACCGGTAAGCCAATATCCCTTATTAACATTGATGCAAAAATCCTTAGAAACACCATATGATCATTTCAATAGATGCTGGAAAAACTGTCAGTACAATTTAATATTCCTTCATGATAACCCCCCACCCCCCAAAAAATGGCATAGAGGGAACATATCTTAACATAATAAAAGCCATATAAGGCAGACCCACAGCTAGTATCATACTGAATGGGGAAAAACTAAAATCCTTACCTCTGAGATATGGAATACAACAAGGATTCCAATTTCCACCAGTGTTATTCAACATAGTACTGGAAGTCCTAGATAGAGCAATCAGACAAGTGGAAAAACTAAAGGGCATCCAAACTGGAAAGAAAAAAGTCAAATTATCCTTAGTTGCAGATGATACAACTGTTTATTTGGAAATGCTAAAGACTCTGTTAAAAAAAAAACCATTAGAACTGATAAATTCAAGAAAGTTTCAGGATACAAAATTGACATACAAGAATCAGTAGCATGTCTATATACCAAGAGTTAACAATCTAAATTGAAAATCAAGAAAGTAATCCCATTTATAATAGCAACAAATAAAATTAAATACTTAGAAATTAAGCAAAAAAAGTGAAAGAGTTCTACAATGAGAATGGTAAAACATTGATGAAAGAAACTGAAGAGAACACACAAAAAATGGAAAGATATTTCATGTTCATGGATTGGAAGAATCAGTGTTGTTAAGATGTTTATACTGCCCAAAGCAATCTACAGATCAATGCAATCCCTATCAACATACCAATTAAATTTTTTACAGAAATGAAAAAAAAAATCCTAAAATTTATGTGAAACCCAAAAAGACCCAGAATAGTCAAAGTTATCATGAGCATAGAGAACAAAACTGGAGAAATCAGATTACCTGATTTTAAATTATACTACAGAGCTATAGTAACCCAAACAGCATAATACTGGCATAAAAACAGACATATAAACAAATAGAACTGAATAGAGTACCCAGAAACAAATCTACACGTCTATATTGAACTCACTTTCAACAAAGTTGCCAAAAACATACACTGGGGGAAAGGACAGTCTCTTCAAAAATAGATGATGGGAAAACTGGACAGCCATATGCAGAAAAATTATACTAGATCCCTATCTCCTGTCATACATAA
The DNA here is from genome assembly GCF_000001405.40 of Homo sapiens. Classification (NCBI taxonomy): domain Eukaryota; kingdom Metazoa; phylum Chordata; class Mammalia; order Primates; family Hominidae; genus Homo; species Homo sapiens. The sequence goes on from NC_000008.11 coordinate 77,578,949, forward strand.
AACCAAATCAAAATGGACTGAAAACTTAAGTCAAAGACCTGAAACTATGAAACTACTAAATAAAACATTGGGTGAATTCTCTAGGACACTGGGCTGGGCAAATATTTCTTGAATAACACCCCGTAAGCACAGGCAACCAAAACAAAAATGGACAAATGGGATCATATCATGTTGGGTTAATAACCAGAATATATAAGGATCTCAAATAAGACTACAGGAAAAAAACCTAATGATCTGATTAAAAATGAGCAAAATCTCTGAATAGACATTTCTCCAAAGAAAACAGATGGATGGCAAACAGGTATATAAAAACATACTTAACATCATTGATCATCAGAAAAATGTGAATCAAAAGTACAATGAGATATCATCTTACCCCAGTTAAAATTGCTTTTATCCAAAACATAGGCAATAATAAATGTTAGCATAGATACGGCAAAAAGGGAACACTAGTATATTGGTGGTGATAATGTAAGTTAGTAAAATTACTATGGAGAACATTCCATTTCTCACCAGAAACTGCCTCAAAAAACTAAAAGTGAAACTTCCATAGCCAGCAATGCCACTCGTAGGTATGTGTCTAAAAGAAAGGAAATCGATATATTATACAGATATCTGCATTCCTGTGTGTTTTGCAACACTATTCCCAATAGCCAAAATTTGGAAGCAACTTAAGTTTCCATCAACAGATGAATGAATAAATGTGGTACATATACACAATGGTGTACTATTCAGCCATAAAATGTATGAAATCCTGTCATTTGCTACAACATGCATGGAACTGGAGGCCATTATGTTAAGTGAAAAATGCCAGCACAGAAAGACAAACTTTGCATGTTCTCATTTATTTTTGGGAACTAAAAATCAAAACATCTGAACTCATGGAGATAGAAAGTAGAAGGATGGTTACCAGAGACCAGTAAGGATAGTGGAGGAGGAGAAGTGGGAATGGTTAATGGATTAAAAAAAAAAAAAAAGTAGTTAGAAGGAATGAATAAGACCTAGTATTTGACAGCACAGCAGGGTGACTACAGTCAACAATAATTTACTGTATATTGTTAAATTACTAAAAGAGGATAAATGAATTGTTTGTAATAAAAAGAAGTATATATGCTTGAGGGGATGGATACCCCATTTACTCTAATGTGATTATTATGCTTTGTTTGCCTCTTATCAAAATATCTCATGTACCTTATAATTATATACACCTACTTTGTACCTGGAAAAATAAAAAATAAGCATATACAATTATTATTTGTCAACTAAAATATTTTAAGAAAGAATCACCCTTCTGTGTTGTTTTGTTTTGATTTTGTTGTTCGAATTACCTTACATTAAATGTTGTGAGCATGTTGCTTTACTTTCATATCTTTTTACCAGTTAATGTGAGCTATTTAGCTTTGGTCACAGTAATTTTTTGTGTTTTTTTTCTCAAACCTGATAACTCTTGTTACACTCATATCAAATAGTATTCTACAATTTTCTTAGTAATCAGTAACTTTTTTAACTTTAAAGGCATTTCACCTCAATAAAATAAAGTAAAATTTACTAAGTATATAACTCAAACTATCCATGTTGAAATAAATGCTAAAGGTAATCATGAAGCAATTTATCCCCTCTCCAGCTTTATTTGTTACTGAACAATGCTCAGGAAAATATCCATTAAGCAGGTACCCTTAAGCTTTGCTCTCATTTTATTGAGCCAAAAACATATGAAATACAGATTTTTAAAAATTAAATTACACTTTTACGAAATTTGATTGGGACTTCTGCAGAATGCCAAAAATACCCTTGTGGAGACATAGACCCACTAGAAAACCACGTGAAAAACATTCCCCTGATGGAGTAGCAAATTGTGTTTGATGAGGATGACTGTTCGGGACTAATAAGAATTAGAACAATTGTCATTTACTAAGCATCATTAGCTTGTCTCTGACTTCTATTATTATATTTCTGAAAGTGGATACATTTCTGCCCACTTTGAATACGTGGAAACAGGTTCTGATAAATTAGGTTATTGACTGAAATCCCATAGAATTATTAAGTGGCAAACTCAGGATTTGTAGGTAGGTCTTTCTGACTCCAGTGTTTATGTTCTTTCTTCCTTTTCCACCAAATACATTTACAAGGTTTTCTTCATGTTTATGAGGTAACACACATGTATTATATATTTTTCAATTATTATAAATGTATTAAATGTAGCATTATATATTTATATTTGCAATTAATAATATTTTAACAACATAAGATTGTATTACATATTGTTTTACAACACACTTTTTTTTCACTGAGCAGTTATCTTGGGTAATGCTTTAAAGGCTTTGAAAGTCTTTCATCTTACAGTGTATCATCATCTAGCAATCCCAGCATTCACGAACTGTGCTTCAGATTTTTTATACTTGCTTTTAAGTAATGTCAGCAAAAGAAAGGGAACTAACACTTATTTATTGTCCATTCTGAAATATTTGGTATTTTAAATATGGAAATAATTCATAAACACCTGTGATATATAAAATATACTCAAATTATGCATATTGATTTGTTATGGAAAGAATTTTAAATGTAAAATTGATTACAGAGATTGGTGGAAATACAATTTCTTAAATAACAAATGTATATTTTATCAGTGGTATATGTACTACTAAATATTTCATATATTTAAAAACTAGATGAAATTCATCTCAGACTTTAGATATATTTTAAGCACCCTTAATATTTTCATTAAGAACTTGACTGAAGTATATGCAACCCCAAATACATTAACAGGTCACATTATTGTAGGTTTCAATAAGTGGGAATAATTTTATTAAAGACATGAACTCATGTATAAGTAGCTGCTTCTAACAATTATATTACTTAAAATGGCTTTGTTTCGAAACTTTTCTATGGGGTCTCAGAGTATTTAAACAGAATGTTAATGAGGGGAGTTTTACAAGGAGAAAAATATAGTGGAAACAAAGTATTTTACTCTTCATTCAGTTTCTTTTTCACTTTTTGATGGCCTTTTTCTTGAAGTCTCGGAAATACTATTAATAATATCAAATAATTTATTTAAATTAAATACACATTAAATATTTTTAAAATTAAATAATAAACGAAATAAAAGAGTTTTGTATCAGAAAGGTTGTAATTTATATTGGTGCTTCAGTTATCTCTTGCTGCCTTACAAACCTCCCAAAATTTAGTGCTTAAAAAAACCCAAACATTATTTATTTGCTTACAATTTTGCAACTTGGCAGCACTTGTCTGGGCCTGTGCTTTATGTGGTTTGGTTGAGGAAACTCAACTAGGGCTGCATGAAGATTTATTTATATATGTGATATCTCAGGTAAGATGACTATCATGGCTAGAGGTTGGCTGAACTTCTTTCTCTTCCTTCTTAGTCGCTCATTCTTCAAGCATCCTTCTTTCCACTCTTGTCTCAGCAGCAATATAGCTGGGCTGCTTCACATGGTGGCTGTTGTTCAAGAGAAAAAAATGTATGAGCTGGCAGGCTACTTAGGCTTAGGGCTTGAACTAACAAAATAACACTTTCTACCGTATTCCATAGGTCTTGGTCAAAACAAATAACAAAGATTGCCAAAATACAAAGGGAGAAGAAATAGAGTCCTCCCCTTTGTGAACAGAACAACATATGCCTACAGGAATGGGACAAGTTTTTGGTAGCTATCTTTGCACAAGATCTATCACAACTGGTTAAAAAATAAGTTCATATTCTTGTTCTGTCAATTGTTAGTTGAGTGATCTTGGGTAAATTTTTTTAACCTCTCTAAGCTTCAGAGTTCCGAACCACAAAAGTAGTATACTGGTAATCTTTATTTCAAAACGTTGTTGTAAGAATTAAGTGACATATATACATACAACATTAAATACATTGCTAGCCACATGTTACATTTCAATAAATGAGAATTATCATAAAAACATAATATGCAATTTTCATTAACCTCAAAACCATTTTAGTATAATTCAGATTTATAGAAGTCACTGGTTTCAGAGAATAGCCTGGGCAAGTAAGATTTAAGTAAATAAAAATGTTTTCATTTTTAGCCCTGAAAAAGTTTGTTTCCATAATAGATTCCCTCTGCATTTTATATGATATCCAGAAGAGTAAGGTTGAAAATTGCAGCATGAAATTGGCAGAGACATATCTGCTTAAAAATATTTGTGTACATATTGCTTGACCAGCATAATTGCTAGGTATTAAATTCAACCACAAAACTATTCAGATGGGTAATTATAAAGAGAAATTAAGAAGACTTTATTTTAACATGTCCAGACATTATTGTAAAATAACACATCAGGGATTATACTAATGCTTTTTCACAAACCAACTACTTCCTAATAAATGAATCTATATAATGGATATGAAATTTTTCTTCTTACTGTATACACATTTTATCAGATGCCTGAGGTCCAAAAAAGTCATTATGAGAATAATCCATTAAAATACAAATTTAATAGATTACATTTTAGTCTCAAGGTTTTCTACTGTTGCCCATCCTATCCCCCCGAATCAAGAAGCCAGATTTTGCTTTTTCTTTGCCTTAGGGAAAACTAGATTAAAAGCAAAAGATGCTTAAAAACAATCACAATTCTTGTCTATTAAAAGCCAACTTTATTGAGAATTTTATGCTATGTTCCTTAAGTGGGAAAAGAGAGTACGAAAAAATAGAATAAAAAGGTAGGAAAGAAAATTTCATCAAAAAATATGAAGAAGATGATGTTTCAGTTTTCTTCATACTTGCCCTGAACCCAGGAAACTGTGTAAGTGGAGAATCCAAAGCCTGATTCTTTTGAGACAGAGTCTTGCTCTGTTGCCCAGACTAGAGAACAGTGGTGTGATCACAGTTTACTGCAGCCTTGGCTTCTCAGGCTCAATGGATCTTCCCACCTCAGCCTCCCAAATAGCTGGGACTACACGAGTCCACCACCATGCCTGCCTAATCGTTGTATATTTTTGTAGAGATGGGATTTCACATGTTGCCCAGGCTGGTCTTGAACTCCTGGGCTCAAGTGATCCTCCCACCTTGGCCTCCCAAATTGCTGGGATTACAGGTGTGAGCCACCATGCCCTGCCAAGAGATCTTGAGTTTTTTCCTTGTGTAGGTCCACATTTTTAGAACATCTGTGATAGTCTCAGATGAGCTACAATGTGTTATATGAGTAAGAGATAACGCTGAGTTTCCTTTAAATGAGAATTTACCGTGAAAGAAAAGGGTAACTTCAGTACAAATCCAAGGCTTGGGTGGTACTGAGGAGACACGGATTCTAGTTCACGGTGCTGCTGAAAATTTGAAGCACTCTCTGAGTGAGGGGACGTGTGCTTAGGAATAACAGCTGTATGTGTGAATGTGGGCTGCAGGATAGGACCCGAGACAGGGAACATGGGCTTTCAGCTTGTGCAGGGTGGGGTACAAGGATATTGCTGCAACAATAGGCAATGCCATGTAAGAGGTATTGACCAGTTCTCAGTAGCAATGCTAAATGTTTTATCAGATGCTATTTTTCTTTCTACGTTGCTTCAAGTGTGTCCTAAGCCTTTGCTCTAAATAAGTCCACTCATTTTTTGATATTTTACTGGATGTGTATGAAGACCAGCATGAAACAACTAGACTTGATGCTATTTGTGTAGAAGGGTCTCACACAAATTACATAGAATATATCAGCTGACTATGATATGATAAAATGAGATTATAATAACAAAAGTACAAATTGAAAGGTGTTACCACACAAAGCATAAAAATTAATTCTCGGTCAGGTGCGGTGGCTCAGGCCTGTAATCCCAGCACTTTAGGAGGCCGAGTTGGATGGATTATTATAGGTCAGGAGTTCTAGACCAGCCTGGCCAACATGGCGAAATCCCACCTCTACTAAAAACACAAAATATTAGCTGGGCATGGTGGCGGGCACCTGTAGTCCCAGCTACTGGGGAGGCTGAAGCAGGAAAATCACTTGAACCTGGGAGGCAGAGATTGCAGTGAGCTGAGATTGCACCCTTGCACTCCAACCTGGGTGACAGAGTGAGATTTTGTCTCAAAAAAAAAATAATTATTCTCACAGAGTCCTGTTGATACATACTAATTTTTAATTTCATTTTATGGTTCAAGACATAGATGTTGAAGTTAGAACACTAGGTCAAGGGAATACATAGGGGCAAGGTTGAAATTTGAACCTAGATTTTAAAAACACCATGATTTATCCACTTAGCTACCTTGTAATATGTATTAAATATTGTATCTTACAATGGTTAGACTTGAAAAACTGTTTATTGATATTATGTAAAGTCAAAAAGTATTCATTTTTATACTCAATTTTTATATTCAATTTAGCTTGTTTTATAACTGATAATGTCTAAGATATATACAAATGTATTTGTGTGTGTATACATAATAAGAAACCAAGCATTTTTTCTATTGGATTCATCTCTTTATCTTAGGCAGTGATATATAGCAGGCATCCAATAAATATTTGAGTTATTAACAATTCAATGAAATGTTTGCAGGCTATTGGGTATTACATATTCATAAATATCCTTTTGATAGACTGTCAGGAAATATGTAAAAAAGTTATCACTGTTTATATCTAGGTTATAGAATTGTGGAATTTTATTATTTTGATTTTAAATTTATTTATATATTAAATATTTTCTTCAACAGGGATATCTTTATCATCAGAAAAATACTAAAAAATATAAATAAAATTACAAATCTAACTTACAACAAAAATCATGTGATAGGAGAAGCAAAACAGAATTTCGGCCACAGGCGTGCAAAAAAATAATCCATGCAATGTCAATTAACTAACTGATTCTCACTATATTGAATACTAGAATAATTTACACTGAAATTCAACGTATCTAATCTGAAAACCTAATGAACCATAGTCTTAAACAATGTTGGACAACTTATTTAGTCCATTTGAGGAAGATTATTTATCTGTTAAGAAAGGAACACTAATGTTGGCCGGGCGCGGTGGCTCAGGCCTGTAATCCCAGCACTTTGGGAGGCCGAGGTGGGCGGATCACGAGGTCAGGAGAGATCGAGACCATCCCGGCTAATACCGTGAAACCCCATCTCTACTAAAAATACAAAAAAAAAAATTAGCCGGGCGTGGTGGCAGGCGCCTGTAGTCACAGCTACTTGGGAGGCTGAGGCAGGAGAATGGCGTGAACCCAGGAGGCGGAGCTTGCAGTGAGCTGAGATTGTGCCACTGCACTCCAGCCTGGGCGACAGAGTGAGACTCCGTCTCAAAAAAAAAAAAAAAAAAAAAAAAAAAGGAACACTAATACACTAATGATGACCAGGCAGGATTTGGGAGAGGTTTAGAGCTGTTTGTAAAAACCTTGTTACATTGTTTAGCATAGAGCAGGCACTCAATATATGCTGCCTACTACTGTTATTATACTTATAAGAAATAGTTAATTCTTTAAAAATGCTTGTATATGTATATATTTATAATAGTAGATATGAAGGCCTTGAAACATCACCAGTCTTGATCTAAAGAGTTAATATTTCTATTACCTTAAATATTGAAGCACATGTTGCTTTTGAATGTTTGCTACCAGTGATTTAACTTCCCGCATCAACTGAGGTACTGGAAAAACTATAGTGTTGAGAGTATATGAAGAAATCATGCTACTTGTTGCTGTATGTGCCCACTTTTAAAAGAAATATTATAAGTCAAAAGCCAGAAATGAATATTTATAAGAAGACATGTTCTGTCTGCATCATCGCACATGGAAATCAATGTCTTTATTTCAATAATTAAATAGTCAAGTAGCCACACATGTTTATTTGAATGTTTAGTACATTTATCTAACTGTATTATGACTTAAATATGCTCATATGGTGAAATGGTTTATTTTACAAACACTCATTTAATTGACTCTGACATTTCACATTCCTGTGTATATAATGCATTGACCTGGACTATGTGATTAATAAAATGTATCGAGTATTTTCTCTATTTCCTATTGTTTCTTTTCAAGGCAGAAAAGGAAATTAAATACCTCAAAACCTTTTCACCTTTGTAATTTTGTAACTTATGCCTTAAAAGAGAGATTTTTTCTTTTCAGTTTAACCTTAGTTACTGAACTATGCATATCAGTTGCAGCTCACATATCTATTAAGAATAGAATAATGTGTTATAGATTAACCAAATGCACATGGAACATTCACATTCTGGTAGTTATAAGTCATAAGTTTCAATGCTCTGACTTTGAACTTACAAGATTTCAGGTACAATTGTACCCTAATTGCAGGATTGTGTTGCTCTTTTATTTCAAGCTTCAGAACTAATGAGAGATAATTATACTGTAAAAAAGACACTCACAAAAAAGGAGAGATTCTCTATGAACAATAGTACCAGATTTTGAACATACAATATGTTTCTTATTCAGACCTGTACTGTCAAGTCCTTGAATACTTAAATTAATGGAATGTTAAAGTACTTACTTGCTCTTTATATGTCTTTCAATGTACTTAAGGGCTCCTTTAGTTTAAAACCTGGTATCTTACATTGGAAATAAGAAGAAACAGATAAGCGCATTTGGGCGATAATTCAGAGTTGATGAGCTTCAACTGATTGGGAGACAAATAAATAAATCACAACAGCAACAAAAATGCACAGCAACTCTATATAGTCAATCATATTTAAAGACCTGGAAGCAAAGCAACACTAAAATGGTCTATTTTGAATAGATGGGCTAATAAGAATATATTCTCTAGACTTAGTGCACCATTATGAACCACAAAAGACATCTTGGGTTTCTGAAAACTAATTCCTGCTGTAAATAGTTCTTTTAATTGTGGTTTATAATATGAGTAATGAAAAAAACTATTTCACGTGAACCATAACCACTACGTAAGATTTCAGAATGGGTCAAGCTTAGGTAACTAACTTTGCAAAGTGATGAATTCCATCCTCCTAGGTTTTCTTGTCTGGAATGCCCTCCATCATCCTACTCTTCATCCTTCCATAGCTCAGGGTCTTCTGAAAGTTTCTGTGAGGTTTTTCTCGATGCTAATGTTTGCCCACCTATTCTGGAACTTTCATAGCAATTTATCACATACAAGAAGCCTGGAACGTAGCTAGGGTTCTGTAAATACTTTTCTTAAGTAAACATAAATAAATGTGCTTTTGGGATACAGGGAGAAAGTCATATTTTGCAGAGTGCTTTATGTGGTCTTGCTTAATAACTATTGATGCCTATCATGTGCTTCATAAACGGTTCACCGAAAAGAACCCAATATCACTTTTGTGGTTTTTCTGCCAAAAATGCATACCCTGAATCTAGTAATGAGAAAACATCAGATAAACCCAAATTGAGGGACATTCTAGAAAACAAATGGCCTGTGCTCTTCAAAATGTTAAGGTCATAAAAGATTTAAAAACATACATTTTAATGGAAATACTGAGAAACTCATCCAGATTAAAGAAGATTAAAGAGACATGACAACTAAATGCGTCAAGTAACTCTGGGTAGAAGTGCAGACCAGGAAACCATTTTTTTTTATAGTGAGAGAAATGGTGACTTTTACTTGAATAAAAAGTGCGTAGCTTATATAATAGTATTATATCAATATTATATCATATATCAGTATATTATGCTATTGATATACTGATATATTATTGATATAATTGATATACATATTAGTATTATATCAATACTATGTACGATATATAGTACAATATAATGTACAATAGTATTATATCAATAATATGCTATATTAGTATTATATCAATATTAATTCCTGGATTTTAATAATTAATAATTATGATGTGGTTCTATAAGAGAATATCATAGTTTTCATAAATACACATTGATGTATTTAGGGGCAAAGGGTCATTATATATGCAAATAGTTCAGGAATCATATATCAGAAACAGTCCAGGAAAACAAAGTACCTGAGCAGGATTGGGAATAGAGAGAGAGAGGGAGAAAAAAAAGCAAATGTGTTAAAATGTTGACATTGGGAAGCTGGATGAGGGGTATAAGGAAATAGTTTAAACTAGTTTATTCAAGTTTTATTAAGCCCGCAATAAATTAAATATAAAATTTTAAATAAAGATTGGTAAGAGCAAGCTAAATTTTATACCTCTTTTCTTAGTTATCACAAAGGAATAACAAACAACGTGCTCTCCTTAAGCCATCCTGACTACTCTAACATCCTGCTTCCACTAAAAATACTGACGGCCAAATTCACAAATAAGAGACAAGATGGAAACTGATTGATTTCACACCGGTAAGGCTGAAATTTAAATGGGTAGTTTTTTGGAAGAGATCCCATTAAGGGAGGGTATTTGGCCATTTATCATAGGTTCATAATGAGTTAATTAGTCAGAACATTTTTTCTTCCATTCATTCAGATACTCATTGTGTATGTATTGTGGTCTGTGTGTGCATTTGTGTTTGTAAATATGGCAGGATTCCATCTCTGCCCTCAAGTTGCTTAACTGAGGGTCACTGCACAAAGCACAATATTTACTGCATAGTTATTGCTACTGCTTCAAGGCACAAGTCAGATATCTTCCAGGAACCTATATTTAAGTTGTCTACTAATTATTCAACTAAATACCTGAATGATATCTGTCTATATTGTGCTCTTACTCTAAGCTCCCACAAAGCTGGCTCTATGAAATACAATTTACTTTTTCATATTCAGATAGAGTTTACTATATATATTTGTGGATTGCAAATATGACATACCTAAGAAGAATAAATATACAGTTTTCCTAGAAAACTAAGGTATCACCAATTTGAAACAATGAACATATCATAAATTAAAGAGTGATCTTTTACATTCAAAAGTACTTCAGTAGATGTTACCCAGCATATTTTCCAAGTCTTAAGTAACATAGACAAAATGCTGGTATCAAAAATTGAGATAATTATAATTTAGTGAATTTCAGAAGTCATATTGTAGTTCTAAGAAGAAAAAATTGTCCAGCTAGTTTATTTGGATATATAATTTTACTAAGGTATGTTTTGCCTAAAGTAAGGTTTACTTTACTTCTGTTTTGTTTAGTAGATTAGTTCAATACGAACTGATCTTTTAATAGCTAGTAGAACTTTGGATTTAATATTTATTTACAAAGAAGTATGGGTTTCTATATTTCCTAAAATTTGTAAGCAAACTATATTTAATCATAGAGCCCCAGCAGATCCTTATGAAATACTTAATTTTTATGCTATTGAGGATTGGTTTCTGAGATTCTGCATTTTGAATAGCTTTATCTTTTTGCATAGATATATTTTAAATAATGTTTCACGTAGTACTTGTCACTATGAAGAATAACTTCATTAATTTTATCTTGTGCAGTTATTTTAATTATACTCTAAACTTTTATTTACACGTCTCCAATCTTTCTAGACACAATGTGAAAACCATCACAAAATGGTAAAAATCATTTTAGAGTCTGCTCTCATTTAAGAAAAATCAACTTTGAAATGAGTTTCTCTGAGAACTTTTAAAAGCATTCTAAGCACAACTTTAGAGTAGAAAATATTTAGAAGTGCTAGATCTTCAAATACATAATCTTAATAAAAACTAATTTTTATTTTCATTTGAATAGTACATATAATTTGATTTTATGTAGTTTCAAATAGCTGTTTTCTTTTATGCAGGCATGTATATGCCTGCTCCCTACCTGATGAATGAATACATTCATTTCAGGAGATCAGAATGGTGCATAATATTCAAATATTTTATCCAAAAATCATTCAAGCAATATTTTTGGCAGGCCCATTTATATTAATAGGAATGCAGCAATGAAGAAAAAAACAATCAAACATCACTGCCACCGTGAAATTTGCATCCTCATGGGAGAAATATACAATAAATAAATTAATGATAAATATATATATTATGTTACAATGCATTACATAGAAAATAAGGCATAACAGGAGGATATGAGGTGCAGGGGAGGGAGTATTCATATTTTAAATAAGGTTTTCAGTTTAGACCTCATTGAAATAGTGGGTTTAGACAAGACTTGGAGAAGATGCAGGGCAAGCCACTGGATATCTTGAGAAGAACATTCTAAACAGAGGAAACAGGAAGTACAAAAGAATGCCTAAGAGAATCCGTGGACAGTTAATTGGCAAATGTGACTGGAAAAGTGTGAGCAATGTGAAGGGTAGCAAGAAATGTGGGCTTAGATAAAATTAGGCCTCAGAGATTTAAGAGCACTAAGGCTTTGACTATGAGTGAGACAGAAAGCCTTTGGAAGTTTTCTGCTAAGAAGAGACATAATCAGACGTATTTTTAAGAGTGAAAATGAAGAAAAAACATATGTATTGAAAATAAACTATGGGGGGAAATGATAGAACAGAGAGACTATAGATGGAATAACCATGATCTATTACAGTAATCCAAGCATAAGAAAAAAGAGATATGGTTTGGGACAGTAGTAGTGGAGGTGGCAAAAAGAGGCAAAAATATGTATATATTACAAATATAGAATCAAAAGTATTAGATGACTGATTGGAGATAGGGTGTGAAGGAGAAGGAGCAAAGATGATTGCAGGTTTGACCTGCATGACTAGAAAGGTGGAGTTTCTATTCAGAGAGTTGAGATAGAATGAGCAGTAACAGGCTTAAAGGAGAAAATCATAAGCCCAGTTTTGATCATTTTAATTTTAAGGTGATTAGATACTCATATAGCGATATCAAACAAGCAATTACCTACAACTTGAGAACATAGAAGATGATCACACTCTAGATATATATTTGGGAGTTCTCAGCTCTATCACATTTAAAGCGAAGAGGCAAGGTGAGACCATCAACTGAGCATGTACAGAAGAGAATAAATCAAAGGACTCAGACTCTGGAACATTCCAGTAGAGGAGGAAGAATCAACGAAAAGGCCCGAGAAGGAAACAAGGGGAAAACCAGGAAACTATGCCTTCCTGGAAGCCAATGGAGGTATTTTTGGGTGAGGAACAGGATCAATTTTGTCAAACAGTACAGCTGGCTAGCGTAAGAAATATATGTTGCTCATTAGATTTAACAACATGAAGGTGACCTTGACAGAGAAATTTCGATGGAAGGTTAGGGGAGATACAGGGAATGAAAATTAGAAATGGAAAGAGGGGAATTGTAGACCGGAAATATTAAAAATATATTTTAAGATATTTATTGATGAATGAAAACAAATAAATAGAATAAGTCGATAAAGGGTGCACGTGTGTATATATGTGTGTTTATTAATGACCAAAATCAACCATGTTGAACTCTCAGAAAGCTGTGTTGAAGTATGCCATTACTTTATATAGAGAATACAATTCAGAGAGCAAAGTGAAGAAAATGGGGTTTAAGCAGGGAAGGGAAGAAATTTGGGATGGGTTTTATTATGTCTTGATATTAAATGTAACCGATAGCTGGATCTCATAGTATTGCCATTTCAGAAGCCAGAAGAAGGACTACTTCTTAAGACTTTCTGTTCAGGGTATCCAGGGAAATTTTATCAAGGGAAATGGGAAAGTTCGTCTTTCCCATTAGTCAAATTTTCCCTGTAGTATTAATTCTTCTGCATTTTTGGATTCCACGTGCTTAGCACCCAGAGTATCCTATGGTGCCCCGTGCTTTAACATAAATATGGACAACCTGCGTGAGAGTAAAACAGTGCATAGATGTAATGCAGAAGGTAAGTTAATTGGAATCCATATCATGTTTGTAAACCCAGTGGCAGCTGAGATGGGAACAAGTAGTCAAAATCCTGAGACTGGCGAGGCCAAGTATCTGGAGTGACACAGAACATACTATTAGTATTCATTAATATTATAATTAACATTATGATACAATTTGTGTTCTGAGAGCAATGAATCAGTGAAGGAAAATATTCAAAGATCTGAGAAAAAGATAATTATTGGAAGAATGTGTAGGCAGAAGTGAAGCATTTGAGTAAAAGAAATGAGTTCTAGTGCTCTTAGATTGAAACATGGACAACTTATGCGGAATACATAGGCCTAAATGCAGGTATATAAATAGATGTCATTTGGGAGTTTGTGGATTTTCCCTTCTATTCTTCATATTTTCATTAGGAACAACATGAAGAGCTAAAGGCCAGGATGGGCAAGAAGATATTAAAAATTTGAGCACAAACAAGTGGGGTAGAAAACTGGACTTGATAAATGTATTAGTTTTTTTGGGGCAGTACTATAGCATTGATTTAAAAGAAGTATATAATTTTAAATTAATACCAGTCAACATGATTTTATGTTTTTATGCACATAAAATGTATGTAGCATTTAGCTACATAGATGCAGGCATAGAGTGGATGGTTACATTTAACCAATTGTTATTTTCTACTTTGGAAATGATATAATTGTTTTAAAATTCTCTGCCTTTTTCCCATGAATTTTAGGGTTTTTATACAAATATCCCAGCCTAAATTACTGTCAATATCTCACATATCTACTATCATTACATAATGTGCTCTGTATCTTCATTTTTTTGTTTCCTTATTGTGTCCTTCTCACCCTTGTGCCTTCTACCGTGTCACTATCAGATTTGTAATACTTTTCCAGTTTCTACTTGAATAAGATCTATAACTCTTTTACTTGAGGTTTATCTCATATGTATATACATGTATGACCTTCATTATAGATAAATTAAACATATCTTAGTGAAATAGGTAAGACACTTTTAACCATTAAATTATGATGAGAAATATCTCTGTATTTTCCATAGCTCATCTCCTAAAATAAGATGAAACATTGCCAAGAATCATATTTGTCATTTTCATTAATATCTTCATCTTTAAATGCTCTAGTGTCCTTAGAATATTGTAATATACCAGAAAATAAATGTATATTTGTTTGTATCTGATGAAGCTATAAAACACTTTTCCAGGAATTATGCAAAACTAAATGCAAACTTAATTCTGCCACTCATTTAATATTCAAACATGTTAGTTCTTGTGGGTAAAGAGAAATACACAGGCTGATAAAATCTACCTGTGGATGTATCATAATCTGTGAATATTTGACCAGATTGTCATGGGATACATTATTAGTGAAATGTCCAAAATTCCCTAGAGATTGCTGCCCCCAATAGGTTCATTGTACCCTCTTAACTCAGTAGTAGTGGCTCTAATACCTATTCCTCACCTAATACTACATGAAGTACATAAAACATTTCCAACACCAAGAGGTGAAATGGAAAACTAAAGCCTTAATCTACGATGTTTAGATAAAAACTGTGTACCTTCACCTAAATTATCTAGATAATTAGGTCAAATAATGTCTTTTTTCTAAACCTAAGGCAGGGTTTTGTTTTTTATTTAGATTATAAAATGACATTAGGTTGCAATCTCAGTTTACATACTTGAATGCAGCATTGGTTTCTTTTTAGTTTTCAATTGAATTCTTAACTAATACACTGCTCGATTGAATTTTCATCCCCCTGGTTAAGATTAATCATGCCAGCTTTTGTTGTCCTACACGCCTACTCTGATTACTTATTACCAAAATTCTTTCCTAATGATTAAAATAATTTGTGTTTGTATTCGACAGCAATAGATATGAACATTTTACTTGCTTCAATAGAAATCCTATTAAAAGGGTATAAATGAGTTCCAGGGACACTAAATCTGCATGAGCTCATTGATTACCTACATCATATATTTTTAGCATAGTCTTTTCTAACACTTTAGCTGCATCCTTAACAAACAAAAAACAAAAGAAGGAAATGTATAAAGCTACAATTCAACACGTCATCTTTGAAGAATTTTCCTGTGTCAGAAATCATAAGAAAATTATCTTTTCCTATTGTCTTTCCAAGGAATGGTAACTCAGACCCCATAAATCCTGAGACAATGTGACAGAACTAAAGAGGCAAGAATTTCCCCCAGAATTTTCACTCATCAACTTGAGGCAGTTTTCTCTGCAGTAGTTTAAATTTATATTCAACTTAGAAATACTTTTGGTTTTCAATATTTTTTCATACTTTTTCCTCCCAATTTTTATAGCTTTAAGGCCTCGATGATTTTATGGTTAATAGTTCATATTATTGAAGAAGAAAGTAGTTTTTCTCTAGGATTCCTTTTACATTTGATAGTATTCATTAATATTCCCTTGTTTAAAGACTATTATAGCTAAATTATACTTAAAGTTATATAATAGAGTTTTAAATTTTTAAAAAAGTTTCCCTATGAAAATTCAAATTTTGTGTTTCATAGTTAACATTGTTACATTTCACATGTCTATTATATGGAGCATTTTTAAAAGTACTATAAGCAACAAAATAAATTAATGAAATGCAAATTTATATTAGTTATAATAAACTTTTAAATAGTATAAATTGTTTAGCTACATAGCTAATTTTCTGTCAGATGTTATATTTATACTGTGATATTTAAAATTGCATTTACATACATTCACACATATTACAATATTCATATATTGCAAAAAAGATGATTCACATTTCTTGATTTGATGTAAGCATAAAATTAAAACCACTTTATTAAAAATAAAGCACATTAAGACATGCATAATATTTTAAATTACTGTTTATTTTTAATAATATCTATTCTCATCAATTTAAATTGTTTAAGATTCACCAAAAAGGTATAATGATTTCTAATATTAAGATAAGTAAAAGGAGAGTAAAATGGTAAGACAGTTAGACCCAAAACATTTTGTCTCCCTCAGAAATACCAAATTCAGCAACAACACATAATCACTTTCCTTTATGGGAAATCAAAAAAAAAACTCCTATGCTCCCAGGAAAGCAAAAAATCAGCTGTATTAGTAGAAAAAATTGTGGCACTTTCTTTCATAGCCCCTCTCACTGGCACAGTGCTACATTAGTAGTACTCTCCCATCTCCCAAGTTTCCCCTGGGGAAGCAACAAGGAGACTGAATACTATATCCAACTTTCTGACTTTTTGGGTGGCGGAGGCCTACCTGACAAACTGGCCTCTAGCTTCTGTATCTGCTGTCTAGGATGCTGACAGGACGTGGCATACTCTAGATGCCTAGGAGCTGCTGAGAGCAAAAGAGTGTTATGGCATGCTGCTGTTCCAGCAGACAGAGGTCAATGCAGGTTGGCAGCTTCTCCATCAGAGAAAAAAAAAGAGTTGAGCATTAATTCTACTTTCTAGGGCTTTGCCCAACAGAATAGTTTTGTCTTGCCTGTTTCAAAGCACTGATGACACCCAGGAACTGCTTTTGTGTAGGAGCCACTCACAACAAAAAAAGAGCTTGGAAGAGTGCTGTTGCTTAAAGGAACCAGGTATAGCATAGAGGCACCACAAAGAGTTAAGAGTTTATCAGCTCCTGAAAAGACAAAACTGGAAAGCCTTCTAATATAGAATTAACACACATAACTTCAGAGAGGATATATACACAGAAAAAGGTTGGAAAGCCTCCCAGATTCTCTAGTTGAGCTGATTGGTGAAGGGGTTTCTTTGTATGAAGCCAATCCATAAAGAATGGGAGAGAAAGCTGGCTTTTTTTTTCAAATATATAAATACCAACACAGAAGGTGTAAGTAGCATTAAAAAAACCAGGAAACTGACCAAAAATAACAAAACATCTCCAGAAAATAACCTTAAATAAATAAAGGTATATGAGTTACCCAACAAAGAATTCAAAATAACCATTGAAAAGATGCTTAGTGAGCTCAGGAAACTAATGCCTGAGCAAAAATAGAATTTCAACAAAGAGACAAGAAATATAGAAAAAAGACACAAACATACATTTTGAAACTGGGAAATGCAATACCAGAATTAAGAAATTTACTAGAAGAGTTCAACAGCGGACTAAATCTAGCAGAAGAGAGAATCAGTAAACTCAATGGGAAGTCATTTGAAATTATTCAGTCATAGGACTGAAAAAAAAAGAATGAGAAAGAGTGAAGAAAGTCTAAGAGACTTACTATATACCATTAAGTAGAAAATATATCCATTATGGAAGTTTCAGAAGGAGAAGAGAGAGAAAGTAAGGAAGAGAAAGCTTATTTTAAAAAATGATGGCCCAAGCAGTTCAAAATTAGGACAGAAAATGGGCATCCAAGATGACCATTTAATCACAACTAGGATAAATCAAACAAGTCTACAGTGAGACATATTATATAATCAAATTGCCAAAAGTCAAAGTGAATTTTGAATGCAGCAAGACAATGATAACTTGTTATATA
This sequence comes from Homo sapiens, assembly GCF_000001405.40. Classification (NCBI taxonomy): domain Eukaryota; kingdom Metazoa; phylum Chordata; class Mammalia; order Primates; family Hominidae; genus Homo; species Homo sapiens. Next base: position 77,597,092 of record NC_000008.11, read on the forward strand.
CAAAAGAACCTTTATCAAACTCTCAGTAGAAATATTAGCAGAAATCTCGCAATACAGAAGGTAATGCTATAATGTATTCAAAGTACTGAAGGAAAAAAAATTGCCAATCAAGACAACTACATTTGGCAAAATCGTCCTTCAAAAGTGAAGGAGAGATACATACTTTACTAGATAAACAAAATTTAAGGGAATCATCATCACTAGACTTCCTTATAAAAACTGTTAAAGGAAGTCTTTCAAGTTGACAGGAAAAGATACCAGAGAATCACAAAACCATAATGAAGTACAAAGCTAGTTGATAAAGGTAAAGATATACACAAGTACAGAATATTAAAATACTGTAACTCTGGCACATCGATCATTTTTAATTCTGGTAGAAGTGAAAAGGCAGAGTATTGAAAACAACTATGAGTATAAATATATTAATGAATACACTATAAAATATGTAATTTGTGAAATCAATAATATACAATGTAAATGGAGATGAGTAACAGTGTAGAGATTTTGTAGGTGATTGAAATTAAGCTTAAACTGTCATAACTATAAGATGTGTTATGTAAGCCCCATGTTAATCACAACTATAGTAACTATGTAAGACATAACAGGATAAATTTAAAAGAAACTAAGGCCTATAACTTCAAAACAAATCAATAAAACACAAAAGAAGAAAGAAAGGGAAAAAAGAGAGGCAAAAGAAGAACAAGAAAGGCAGAAAAAGCAACAAAATGACGATGTAAGTTCTTTCTCATAAGTACTTTAAATATAAACGGGTTAGATTTCCCAATCAAAAGACATACAGTAAATAAATGGATAAAATGAACAAAAACAATATCTGACAATATACTGCCTATAAGAAACTTGCTCTAGGTTAAAGGACACACATAGGCTGAAAGTAAAATAATGGAAAATGATTATTGTATGTAAGTTGCAATAAAAAAAATAGGCATGGCCACACTTACAGCAGACAAAATGAACTTTAAATCAAAAACTGTCACAAGAGACAAAGAAGGATGTCATATAATAAAAAGGTCAATTTACCAGAGAGATATAATAATTTGAGTACACATTCACCCAAACATATGAGGAAAACATAGACAAAATGAAGGGGAGAAATAGACAGCAACCCCATAATAACAGTAGGAGGTTAATACTCAACTTTCAATAATGAATAGAAAATCCAGACATATAATCATGAAACAGAATTGAACACCCTTATAGAACAAATGTACCTAACAGACATATACACTTTATAGTAATAAATACTTACATTTAGGGAAAAGAAAAATCTTGAATAAAAAATGCAACTGTGCACACCAAAGACATAGCAAAAGAAGAGAAACTAAACCTAAAGTTAACAGATCAAAGGAAAAAACAAAATTCAGACCAGAAATAAGTGAAGAAGTATAAACAAACAAAGAAAAAATCAATGAAATTAAGAGTTGCTCCTTGAAAAGTGCAACTAAATCAATAATTTTTTAGCTAGATTAAGAAAAAAAGAAACAGGATTCAAATAAACAAAATCAAAAATGAAAGGGGAGACGTTACAACTGATATGACAGAAACAAAAAAATTAAAAGATAACACTATGAACAATTATATGAAAAAATTAATTATGCTATAAGAAATAGATAAATTCCTAGAAATTTTCATTTAATCACAACTGAATCATGAGGAAATATAAATCTGATCAGATAAATTGTTGTCATGAGATTAAACAAGTCATAAAATATCTACCAACAAAAATAAGATAGGACCAGATAGATCCACTGGTGATTTCTACCAACTATATCAAGAAAGAAGAATTAATGCCAATCCTTTACAAACTCTTCCAAAAAAATTGAAGAATACTTTCAAACTCATTTTATGAGGCTAGTATTACCTTAATAAAAAACCAAAGACATAAAACTACAGGTTAAAATATCTGGTGATTATAAAAGCAAAAATTCTTAACAAAATATTAGCACATCAAATTTAACAACACATTAAAAATATCATTCATCATGACTACATGGGATTTGTTCCCAAAATGCAAAGATGAATTATAATATGTAATCAATGTGATAAACGATATTAACAGAATAAAGGATAAAAACTATTTGATCACCTCAAAAGATGCAGAAAAAGCATTTGACAAAATTTAATATCCTTTCATGATAAAAAACCATCAACAAACTAGGTATAGAACAAAATTACTTCACTATAATAAAGGATATAGCTGAGAAGCCCACAGCTAATATCATACTCAATGGTGAAAAACTGAAAGTTTTTCTCTAAGGTTAGAAACAATGTAAGGATGCCTACTTGCCATTTCTATTCAACACAGTACTAAAAGTCATAGGCAGAACAATTAGGTAAGAAAAAAAAGGCATTCACCTCAGAAAGGAAGAAGTGAAATTGTATCTGTTAACAGATGATATGATTTTATATGTTAAAAAATCTAAATATTCTACCAAAAATCTCTTAGAACTAATAAGCAAATTCAGTACAGTTGGTGGGCACAAATTAACATAGAAAATTCAGTTGTGTTTCTATATACTAACCATACACCCCAAGAAAAAAAATAAGAAAACAACCCCATTTATAATACCATCAAAAAGAATAAGATACATTAGAAGACACTTAACCAAGGAGATGAAATACTTGTACACTGAGAACTACAAAATATTGAAGACATTAAGGAAGACATAAATAAATTGAAAAATATTTTATTCTAATAAATTTAAAGAATTAATATTGTTAAAATATCCATACCTCCCTATGTGATCTACAGTTTCAGTGCCATCACTATCAAAATTCCAATGTCATTTCTTACAGAAGTAGAAACAGAAATTCTAAAATTTATAAAGGACCACGAATTACCCTGAATATTTAAAACACTCTTGAGAAGGAAAGCAAAGCTGGAGATCTCATAACTTCTAATTTCAAAACACATTACAATCCTACAGTGAGCAAAACAGTATGGTACTGGCATAAAGACATACATAAAGATCAATGGAACAGAATAGAGAGCCCAGAAATAAGCTTACACAATGGAAAAATAATAGTCTCTTTAATAAATGTTGTTGGGAAAACTAGATATTCACATGCAGAGAAATTAAATTAGACCTTTAGGTCATACACAAAAAAATCAACTCAAAAAGGATTAAAGACCTAAACATAAGACATGAAAGTGTAAAACTCCTAGAAAAAAAAAACATAGGATGCAACACTTCATGACATTGATCTTGGCAATGATTTGTTGGCTATGAGACCAAAAGCAGAGACAACACAAGAAAAAACAGACAAGTGAGACCATATCAAACTAAAAAGCTTCTGCCCAACAAATAAAAGAGTAAAGAGACAACCTATGTAATGGGAGAAAATATTTGCAAACCAAATATCTGATAAGGGGTTACTATTCAAAATGTATAAGGAACTCCTACAACTCATAGAAAAATATTTAATCACTTAATTTAAAAATGGGCAAAGAAGCTGAATTGCTGTCTCTTCAAAAAAGACATACAAATGACCAAATGTTTGTGAAAAGATACTCATGATCACTAATCCTCAGGGAAATGAAAATCAATACCAAAACTAAATTAAATATTACCCCACACCTGCCAATTGATGACCATTATTAAAAACAAAACAAAACAGAGAACAATGTGCAAATGTTGGCAAGAATGCATAGAAATTAAAACCCTAGGGTATACTTTTGGTGCAGCTTCTGAAATGGTACAGCCACTATATAAAACAGTAGGAGGTTACTCAAAAATTAAAAATAGAATTATATGATCCAAAAATTCTACTTTTGGGTATTTATTTAAAAACTTGAAATTAGGATCTAAAAGAGATATTTGCATTCTCATATTCATTGAGGCATTATTCACAGTAGCCTACAGGTGGAGCAACCTAAATGTCCCTTGACAGAAAAGATAAAGCAATACAATGCTAAGAAGTCTACCATTAGTCAGATGGGATTCCATTTGTAGGTGATTTGACCCTTTTCTCTAGCTGCCTTTCAGATTTTTTTCTTTAGTGTTGATCTTGAATAGTCTGATGACTATATGTCTTGGTGATGTTTGTCTTGTGTAAGATCTAGCAAGTATTCTTTAAATTTATTGATTGTGTCTACCTCTCTAACAATATTAGAAACATTTTCCTGAATCCTTCCCTTAAATGTTTTCCAAATTGCTTACATTTTGTTCTTCTCTCTCAGAAATGCCTATAAATAATATATTTGGTTGCTTTACATAATCTATTATCTCTCAAAGGCTTTATTAATTTTTTAGAATTCTTTTTTCTTCACTATGATGTTATTTAATTTGCAAGACTGCCCTTCAAGCTCTGAAATTCTTCCCTTAGCTTGGTCTAGTTTATTGCTGAAGGTTTTAACAGTGTTTTGAAATTCTTTAGTATGCTGTTCAATTTCAGAGTTCTATGTTTTCCGCTTTTTTTGTTTTTAAATATAGTTTTCTCATCTTTTATATTCTGAATCATATTTCAGGTCTCTGTGTTGTTTTTCAGCTTTCTGTTTGAACTTCCTTTCAATCTATATTTAGAATTCTTTATTTGTCATTTAAGAATTTTTATTTCAGTTAGGACTCATTGCTAGAGAGCTGGTGTAATACTTTGGAAGTGTCAAAACACTCTTTTTGTACTACTGGAGTTACTGTGCTGATTCATTCTCATCTAAAGAATTTACCGCTTCTTATTTTTTATTTATTTATTTTTTCATTATACTTTAAGTTCTAGGATACATGTGCACAACGTGCAGGTTTGTTACATATGTATACATGTGCCATGTTGGCATGCTGCACCCACTAACTGGTCATTATATTAGTTATATCTCAATGATATCCCTTACCCCTACCCCCACCCCACGACAGACCCCAGTGTGTGATGTTCCACTTCCTGCGTCCAAGTGTTCTCATTGTTCAATTCCCACCTATGAGTAAGAACATGTGGTGTTTGGTTTTTTGTCTTTGCGATAGTTTGCTGAGAATGATGATTTCCAGCTTCATCTATATCCCTACAAAGGACATGAACTCATCCTTTTTTATGGCTGCATAGTATTCCATGGTGTATAGTTGCCACATTTTCTTAATCCAGTCTATCATTGTTGGACATTTGGGTTGGTTCCAAGTCTTTGCTATTGTGAATAGTGCCGCAATAAGCATGCATGTGCATGTGTCTTTATAGCAGCATGATTTATTATCCTTGGGGTATGTACCCAGTAATGGGATGGCTGGGTCAAATGGTATTTCTAGCTCTAGATCCTTGAGGAATTGCCACACTGTCTTCCACAATGGTTGAACTAGTTTACACTCCCACCAGCAGTGTAAAAGTGTTCCTATTTCTCCACATCCTGTCCAGCACCTGTTGTTTCCTGACTTTTCAATGATCGCCATTCTAACTGGTGTGAGATGGTATCTCATTGTGGTTTTGATTTGCAATTCTCTGATGGCCAGTGATGATGAGCATTTTTTCATGTGTCTTTTGGCTGCATAAATATCTTCTTTTGAGAAGTGTCTGTTCATATCCTTTACCAACTTTTTGATGGGGTTGTTTGTTTTTTTCTTGTAAATTTGTTTGAGTTCATTGTAGATTCTGGATGTTAGCCCTTTGTCAGATGAGTAGATTGCAAAAATTTTCTCCCATTCTGTAGGTTGCTTGTTCACTCTGATGGTAGTTTCTTTTGCTGTGAAGAAGCTCTTTAGTTGAATTAGATCCCATTTGTCAATTTTGGCTTTTGTTGCCATTGCTTTTGGTGTTTTAGACATGAAGTCCTTGCCCATGCCTATGTCCTGAATGGTATTGCCTAGGTTTTCTTCTAGGGTTTTTATGGTTTTAGGTCTAACATGTAAGTGTTTAATCCATCTTGAATTAATTTTTGTATATGGTGTAAGGAAGGGATCCAGTTTCAGCTTTCTACATATGGCTAGCCAGTTTTCCCAGCACCATTTATTAAATAGGGAATCCTTTCCTCATTTCTTATTTTTGTCAGGTTTGTCAAAGATCAGATGGTTGTAGATGCGTGGTATCATTTTCTGAGGGCTCTGTTCTGTTCCATTGGTGTATATCTTTGTTTTGGTACCAGTACCATGCTGTTTTGGTTACTGTAGCCTTGTAGTATAGTTTGAAGTCAGGTAGTGTGATGCCTCCAGCTTTGTTCTTTTGGCTTAGGATTGACTTGGCAATGCAGGCTCTTTTTTGGTTGCATATGAATTTTAAAGTAGTTTTTTCCAATTCTGTGAAGAAAGTCATTGGTAGCTTGATGGGGATGGCATTAAATCTACAAATTACCTTGGGCAGTATGGCCATTTTCACAATATTGATTCTTCCTATCCATGAGCATGGAATGTTCTTCCATTTTTGTGTCCTCTTTTATTTCTTTGAGCAGTGGTTTGTAGTTCCCCTTGAGGAGGTCCTTCACATCCCTTGTAAGTTGGATTCCCAGGTATTTTATTCTCTTTGAAGCAATTGTGAAAGGGTGTTCACTCATGATTTGGCTCTCTGTTTGTCTGTTATTGGTGTATAAGAATGCTTGTGATTTTTGCACATTGATTTTGTATCCTGAGACTTTGCTGAAGTTGCTTATCAGTTTAAGGAGATTTTGGGCTGAGATGATGGGGTTTTCTAGATATACAATCATGTCATCTGCAAACAGGGACAATTTGACTTCCTCTTTTCCTAAATAAATACCCTTTATTTCTTTCTCCTGCCTGATTGCCCTGGACAGAACTTCCAATATTATGTTGAATAGGAGTGGTGAGAGAGGGCATCCCTGTCTTGTGCTAGTTTTCAAAGGGAATGCTTCCAGTTTTTGCCTATTCAGTATGATATTGGCTGTGGGTTTGTCATAGATAGCTCTTATTATTTTAAGATATGTCCCATCAACACCTAATTTATTGAGAGTTTTCAACATGAAGCGTTGTTGAATTTTGTCAAAGGCCTTTTCTGCATCGATTGAGATAATCATGTGGTTTTTGTCTTTGGTTCTGTTTATATGCTGGATTACATTTATTGATTTGCAAGTGTTGAACCAGCCTTGCCTGCCAGAGATGAAGCCCACTTGATCATGGTGGATAAGCTTTTTGATGTGCTGCCGGATTTGGTTTGCCAATATTTTATTGAGTATTTTTGCATTGATGTTCATCAGAGATATTGGTCTAAAATTCTCTTTTTTTGTTGTGTCTCTGCCAGGCTTTGGTATCAGGATGATTCTGGCCTTGTAAAATGAGTTAGGGAGGATTCCCTCTTTTTCTATTGATTGGAACAGTTTCAGAAGGAATGGTACCAGCTCCTCCTCGTACTTCTTGTAGAATTCTGCTGTTAATCCATCTGGTCCTGGACTTTTTTTGGTTGGTAGGCTATCAATTATTGCCTCAATTTCAGAACCTGTTATTGGTCTATTCAGGGATTCAACTTCTTCCTGGTTTAGTCTTGGAAGAGTGTATGTGTGTCCAGGACTTTATCCATTTCTTCTAGATTTTCTAGTTTATTTGCATAGAGGTGTTTATAGTATTCTCTGATGGTAGTTTGTATTTCTGTGGGATCCGTTGTGATATCCACTTTATCATTTTTTATTGCGTCCATTTGATTCTTCTCTCTTTTCTTCTTCATTAGTCTTGCTGGTGGTCTATCAACTCTGTTGATCTTTTAAAAAAATCAGCTCCTGGATTCATTGATTTTTTGAAGGGTTTTTTGTGTCTCTATCTCCTTCACTTCTGCTCTGATCTTAGTTATTTCTTGCCTTCTTCTAGCTTTTGAATGTGTTTGCTCTTGCTTCTCTAGTTTTTTTAATTGTGATGTTAGGGCATCAATTTTAGATCTTTCCTTCTTTCTCTTGTGGTCATTTAGTGCTATAAATTTCCCTCTACACACTGCTTTAAATGTGTCCCAGAGATTCTGGTGTATTGTGTCTTTGTTCCCATTGGTTTCAAAGAACATCTTTATTTCTGCCTTCATTTCATTATGTACCCAGTAGTCATTCAGGAGCAGGTTGTTCAGTTTCCATGTAGTTGAGCGGTTTTGAGTGAGTTTCTTAATCCTGAGTTCTAGTTTGATTGCACTGTGGTCTGAGAGACAGTTTGTTATAATTTCTATTCTTTTACATCTGCTGAGGAGTGCTTTATCTCTACATCTGATTGGTATACCTGAAAGTGACAGGAAAAATGGAACCAAGGTGGAAAACACTCTGCAGGATATTATCCAGGAGAACTTCCCCAACCTAGCAAGGCAGGCCAACATTCAAATTCAGGAAATATAGAGAATGCCACAAAGATACTCCTCGAGAAGAGCAACTCCAAGACACATAATTGTCAGATTCACTAAAGTTGAAATGAAGGAAAAAATGTTAAGGGCAGCCAGAGAGAAAGGTCGGGTTACCCACAAAGGGAAGCCCATCAGACTAACAGCTGATCTCTTGGCAGAAACTCTACAAGCCAGAAGAGAGTGGGGACCAATATTCAACATTCTTAAAGAAAAGAATTTTCAACCCAGAATTTCATATCCAGCCAAACTAATCTTCATAAGTGATGGAGAAATAAAATCCTTTATAGACAAGCAAATGCTGAGAGATTTTGTCACAACCAGTCCTGTCCTACAAGAGCTCCTGAAGGAAGCACTAAACATGGAAAGGAATAACCAGCACCAGCCACTGCAAAATCATGCCAAATTGTAAAGACCATCGATGCTAGGAAGAAACTGCATCAACTAATGAGCAAAATAACCAGCTAACATCATAATGACAGGATCAAATTCACACATAACAATTTTAACCTTAAATGTAAATTGGCTAAATGCTCCAATTAAAAGACACAGACTGTCAAATTGGATAAAGAGTCAAGACCCATCAGTGTGCTGTATTCAGGAGACCCATCTGACGTGCAGAGACACACATAGGCTCAAAATAAAGGGATGGAGGAAGATCTACCAAGCAAATGGAAAACAAAAAAAGGCAGGGGTTGCAATCCTAGTCTCTGATAAAACAGGTTTTATTGTTTTTTCCTTAAGGATATGACTGTGATGTATGTTATGTATCATCATTTAGTTTTGTTTCTGGGTACTTTCAAGGGACCAACTCTCTGTATGGGTTCTTTGGTTTTGATACCTTTTGCGTGGTGACTTTCTCAAATGCTGCTTATTGTAACAATATATTTGACCTATGAGCCGACTCACTATCTCCTTTGGGGCTGAGAGTCCAGAGGTCTCTGGAAGCTTATTTATTTCACTGGCAACATGCTCCTCTGTCAGTTTTTTATTTGGTGGTGCAGTTCATTCTTTATTCCAGTAGGTGTCACTTAAGAGTAAGAGCCAGCTTTCCCTTAGGTAACCCAGTAAGGAGTGGAGGCTTCCACCCTAACGGGGAGTGATGGGGAAAGAGATGGCCTTGGGATGGGCTGAGGTCTTGAGGGAAGGGGCACCAGCTCCTCATCCTGCATGCCTTATTTATTAAGAACCCAATTAGCATCTGAGAATTGTTGCCACGAGTCAGGTGACCAGATGCCTTAAGAATATCTGTTCTCTTACCTTGCTGCTTCTTCCATTTGGGCTTTACCTCTTCTTTCCCACTCCTCCATCCACGGTGGAAAAAAAGAAAAAGAAAGAAAGAAAGAAGGAAGGAAGGAAGGAAGGAAGGAAGGAAGGAAGGAAGGAAGGAAGGAAGGAAGGAAGGAAGAAAGAAAGAAAGAAAGAAAGAAAGTGAAAGAAAGAAAGGAAAGAAAGAAAAAGAAAAGAAAAGAGGCGCCATGAGCTTGTCACCTTCTCTAATGGAGGAAGAGGTGAGTTCATAGTTTTTGTAAAACATTTCCACTTCGAATCTGCTAGTTTCATGTTCATCCATAATTCATTTTTCTGTCTTTTCTCCTGAGCTGATATTATGATGATAATTATAGTAAAGCTGTGTCATATTCTTTTGGATAAAGTCATTTTAACGATATATTTTAACTTCCTTTAGCGCTTTGTGTGCTGACATAATCAGGAATTGCATGGAGTTACAACTTTTCTTTCTCTCACAATCTCCATTTGAAGAAATCATTTTTTAATGTGCTGTGTGTGTGCATGTATAGGCATGTGTGTATATGTGTATAATAAGAGAAATAGGGTTGGGACATGTCTTGATAATCTCAAATTTCTAACCATCCTGCTCCTTTTTTTGTTGTATTTGTAATATTCTTCTAATGTTATTAATAAAAATAAAACTGTTTCCCATTCAGAGTTTTTTTAAACTTTTAAATAGTAAAATGACATGATAATCGGTGGATTTAATAAGAACAGAAAAAGTTGGGACAAGCGTATCAGACATTTTATTAATCAGAGGTAGTAACCACTTGCCATATTAAAGCTGGGTTTCAAGTGACCTTAAATGCCCTTCCTCTCATTACATTCACCAGAAACTGCCAGAACATTCCAGATGCATGTCAATGGATATGAAAATAAAATAGGAATTTTATTACTTCTAGCTCCTTGAGAAGGTAACAATACAATAATTTGCTTTATGTTTTGCAGTTGATGGGTTATATGATTCAATACAAGCAGTTCCAAATAACTGTGATTGCATCATCCAAATAAGTTAATTTGTGTGAGATCAATGATTTACCTGAGCCACGCATGGTAAAATCAAGCTGGGAAAAAATAGTCTTTTTGACAACAACGGCAGGGAACTGAGACTTTATAATTTTTTTCTGTTCTGATAACATTAGAATCCCCTTTAAAAGAAGAAAAGTATTATTGGTTTGCCTCAAAGACAAGATAATAGGAAAAACATGTGAAATTATTCTGTTTCAGTAATCCAAACAAGAGAAAAACCCTAATGGAAAGAAACTGATAGAGAGCAAAGTAGATAGACTCATTTCTGAGTCTGATTTTTTTAATGATTAAAAGGGAAAGTGGAATACATATATGAAACAATTTCTCAGTTAAGTTGCCACGATAATAGGAAAGCCTGATACGGTCATGCGCATTTAACACTGAATATGTTGAACCTTCATATTTTGAAACTTGGACAAAAAAAAAACGTTTAAGTACTTAAATGAGATAATCACAAACTTGAAAATAAATGCCCTATTGATATTCTATGTTTGTTTGTTTGTTTGTTTGTTTTAATTAAAGGAGAGTTGCTGTTGCAGGTTAAATAAAGAGATGTTCTTAATTCCTTACAACTGAAAAAAACTCCATATTTGTTTGCAACTGAAAAAACTCCACATTTGTTAGTTGCCACTAAGCAGTGTCACAGGCAAAGCAATTCATTTAAACAAATGTATTATTATACACACATAGGGCTTGTATTCTTTGAAGTAGTTTAACAGTTACTAGCCACAAAACTTCATTTCTACTGGTAAATCGCTCTATCTATCCATCTATCTATCTATCTATCTATATGTATATATGTGTATGAACTTGTACATGTGTTAAGAATAAAACACACACCTTATCAACAACTTATGTGTACACAGATATTTCATCAGTATATTTACAGGTTATAAAAATTTTTATATTTCTGTTTATATTTCTCTTACGTAAAGAATTTCTTAGGACCTTATTTTCATCCCTCCTAGTCATGATCCATATTGTACTCACATGCTGCTTAAAATACAAGTTTTAATTTTCTTATTAACACATGGTTGGTCCATTCTCTGTGCACCATATGCCTACCAGCAGCCCTTATTGTCTTTTACCATCTGGGCTGCTGATTCTCAGAGCTTCTCCTCTCCTGTTTTTTAATTTTTTTATTTTTTTTAATAACTATTAACTATATTTTAAAGGCAATGATCTTAGAATATCACTGGATATGCTACCAGCTGCTTAGTTTCCACTTAGAGTTTTTTTTTTCCCTATATGAGTCTTATGAATTTTTAAAGGACCATTTACGGCAAAGAGCAGATTAAACATGTTCCGGATGATTTGAAAATTTGGTATTTTAAAAGCAGTATTAAAGCTCAAAATAAAATTTAAGAATCAAACCTGGTTACATGGCACATACTACTTTGAGGAAAGGGCCTCGAAAATTGTCATATGGCCAATGTGAATTCTAGATTACTTCCTCATAAGCCTTTTTTATATGCCCATCAAAGTGCTTAGATGCTGTGGTGAGACAGCCTGCCAAACATTCTCTAGAATGAAGCTGAAATTAGCCACCCAAATGGTGCTTCTAGTCTTGATCCAGGTTTTGCAAGTCATTGGCTATAGGCAGGATTAACTAATTGAGGACTTATGTTCACTATAATGTAGAAAAACAAGGAAACAAAAAAGACACCAAACAAAAATTTAATAGCTCATATCTAGGAAAAATAAACAGAGACATCAACCTTCTTATGCCCCCATGAATTGCTGCTAACCCACTTAAGGCATTTTATGTTGGACATGTTCAACTGATATTAGAGGGAAAGAAGCATCCAGTGCTCACAGCAGGCAATTGCCCAAGCCACTGTGGTTTAGCAAGGACATCTAGCAGCTCCACCTCTCTTACAGCCCTTTAGGAAGACGCAGGGCGACAACTATAGTTTCTCTGCCCATTTTGAATTACTTAGAGAAAGTATTTTGTGAAGTATTACATTTTTTAATATTTGCTTCATATAAACCTACACTCTTCACAACTCCCAAGGTAGGGTACGTCTTATTTCTATACCTCTGCATACCTAACTGATACTGTATATCTTTGTTTAGAAGCTATGGCTTCTATTAAATTTAATTACTTACCCCTGTGGCTTTAAATTGAGGGTTGCTATGAAACAAAGACGGCTTCTATTAAATTTAATTACTTTCCCCTGCGGCTTGCATAGGAATGGTGGCTTCCATTAAAAACTGCATGGTATAGGTGTGGCTGCTAATCAAGGATGCTTCTAAATGAAGATATACAATCTGTAGTAACAATTAATCAAAGAAGATGTTAGGTATGGAAATAGAATCACATGATAATGTCACTTCTAAAATTTATTAAAGTCATCATAGTTCTGAAACAATTTTCATAATTTATGTCGTTCTGTTTTCTAAATAAAAACTATAGCTCACATCTGCACATACTATATAGGATATATTAATGTTCGATTGAAGAAGGTAAATATTTTTAAACATCCAAACCTATCAGGTAAAGAATAAGACTTTGTGATGCTTTAAACTGATTTTCCCCCTTTGATAGTAGCTGAATAAAGAAAATGGCTTACAGATTTAGCTGTGTATATAGTTTGAAAGTAACAACTGAAAAATGATGTTCATAATCTGAATTGCAATGAAACCAATTATCTGTACTGTGGTTATTCACATGGGAATTCTCCTAAAGGTTTAGTATTTCTTAAAAGAAATTAAAAACAGCTGTAAAAATACCATAAAACAAAAATAGCAGCTGCAAAAGAGATTAACATTCCTAAATTTCATTTGAACCTGATATGTTATTTTTCCAACAGCAACATATATATTATGATTTTTAAATCTATCTTTATGAAATTTTACCTTAAAAAAAACAAGACTACTGAATACATTTTGATATTACCAGTCTTTAATATTTACATGAATTTTATACAGTTTTCCCCCCTAAGATTTTTTATTATTATTCTATATTTTTAGTAATCCTCAAAGATGAATGACCATTTCTCAAAGATGAATATAATAGAATATTCTAAAATCATTTCAGATTTAAAGATTACTTATTACTGTAAATTGTTTAATTTACAGCAGTCTATGTGTGTCTCTCTTTTTCTCATATTTAGACCTGTCAACTGCCTTTCACAGTGAACCATGCATGAAGACCAAGAGCCTTTTAAAATTTTTATATAGTGTCTGCTTTCCAATTAAGCAAACAGCCATAAATGAAACTATACCCAATGTTTATATACATGCATTATATTAAAACAAAATGCAATTTATAAAACAGATCTGGAGGTGGTGACAGTATAAAACAGTTAGTTTTGCTGTACTGTTCAAACATATGGCAGCAACTTTTGTAGACTTGCACCAGATGGAGGCCTTTAATCGATCCGGGCTGTTATACCGTATGTTATTTCTCCATTAAAAAGAGTTCCTCCTTCCCAACTTATAAATTACATAAATTGCTAAATTTTTAAATACAAGCAGAAGTACTTTTGCAATATAGAAATTATAAATTGTGAATATTTTCAAAAGGCAACAAATTTTTAAAGAGATAAAAGCTATCTGAAACTTATATTTATTGAGCAAAACTTGTCAGCTTTTCAGATTTAGCATATTCAATATTGATTGAGCAAAACTTGTCAGCTTTTCAGATTTAGCATATTCAATATTGCTTACATATCTTATTTGTCTGGGTTTTTGTTGGTTTAGTAGTCAAATGCTTTCAGAAGACAGCATTATACTCTTGGCAAACTAGTAAATTTTGCCAATATTCATGGAGCCAGTTAAACAATTAAACTTGATAAACGCTTCAGTAATTAGAGTTTTCAATGGTAAAAAACACTTTTTCACTGGACTTCACATTAAAATATTTCCAGGTTTTCGACACAATTTGAAAAATATTTTTCCCAAATGAATATCAACTCAGTCTCATTGTCATTTAAATGAAATTTGAGGAAATTAATTTATATAAAAGGTAAAATGATTTATGTATGTTAGTACTTGAGAGACAAATCTAATGGATAGACACTGCTGTCATACGCACACACAGAATTGTAGTTTGTTTTATCTTAAATATGTTAGCAAAGCCAATTTTCTCTCTCACACACACATACAGTATAATTTAAAAAATATGTGAGGGGCTGAAAAATATACAGCATTTTGAAATAGTTTACTGCTATTGTTCTTTTGTTATAAATATTATTTGTGACATAGGTTCAGATTTTGAAGTAAACTAAGATGTATACATAACAGAAATCAAATGAAAGCAACTAGTCTCTGGAGAAATATGCAATCCTTTTGTAGAATCCAGCTTTAATGTAGACCAGTACTTAACATATTTACAGCTTATAACAACTTAAGAAATGGGTGAATGTTGAAACAAAATATCAACCAGATCTATTCTCTTTAGCATGTTTATTTATGACTACTTTCTTTTGAAAGAAACCAGGAGTATGATAATGGTTGAGCACAGACTAAATAGGCTGTGTTTTCATGAGCAGAAATCCCATACAAATACTGGAGAGAAAAGCTGTATTTTTTCCAATGTAATACTACAAGAGCAAATGACAGCCTTACCTGATGGCTGATATCTTTTATAGTACAACAGTGACATATTTTATGCATCACAAAGAATGATCAAAGATGTCTCAAGAGGCTTTCTGTCATGGAATGTGGCCCCACAGCCCCTGTCTGCCTTTAAATCAGGCAATAATACACCTTTAAAATAAGTTGGACATGCTTTCCAGCTTGATGATTATTTTGGATATATTTGAGCATGATTTTGATTTCTCTTTCAGTTACGGGATTTCTAAAATTATATGCATGTTTCATTTGGTTATGAAATGAAAAGTCACTAAAATAAACATGAGATTGTATATTTTAAAAAGTGTATGTTTAGCATATAGTTCTGCTTGTTTTTACTGCTTTTGTAATATAATGTAGTTAAGAAAAGAAAATGCAATTCAGAAACTAACAAAACCTTTCCCATTTGTTTCCCATTAAAATATATTAATAAAATAACGTCAACAAACTTTTTGTTCTTACACAGAAAATTTTGCATTGCAGCTATTTCTTAATATAACTTAAGTGACTATTTAGATTTTCTATACAAATTAAAAATAAATTGAAAAATTGTGGCATTCACCTTGTTAATTTTAGCACATAGCCACCAATCCTATAATGTCTGGATAATTTCCAAAAATACTATTTTCCTAAATACCCTGACAGATTTTGATGAAAATGTCTTGTTACTCAAACTTATCTAGATAATTAAATTCTCTCCTCTCTTTGGTGTTTGTCTCTACACGTGAGCAAAGAACAAGAAAAGAGACTATTTAATGAAATTAAAATCTACTGGCTATTCATAGTGAGTATTTTGCCAGGACGACATATATTTTTGAACAAACAAGTAACCAAAAGCTGTTTATGCTGGTTGGTTAAAGACTTTGTTAATGAGACAAGACCATCAGTTGCATAAATCATCCAAGTTCATTTTGTTGCAGTGACAGAAGTGTATTTTTAAAGAAATGCTACATGAAGGTACTTTTACCGAGATTTTTATTTAACGATAGTTCTAGAGTACTAACAGATTTTAACTCTGTAGTAAATTGCTCTGAAGGGTGTCCTCAAAACAGCACAAAACAGGGCCAAATTATAAACTCAGTTAATCAGTCTTATGGGCAAAGCCACTCAAAACGTATGCCCTAAAGAGAGTGAGTATTCCAACATTTTCTTTTATTTCTAAAAAACTTGCATAACAAATTGCAAAAAATTGTGTACTAAAAATCTATATTTTGCTCTTAGGCCATTAATCATATTGCCTTTTTAGCCTTTAACAACTACATAAATTACAATAAAATTGTAATTATAGTCACTATTAGTTCAGCTAAAGATATCAGTTGATATTTAAATTTGTTGTAATGTTTGTTGTCATACTAATGATCTTATATAAAATTAGTTTCTTTGAAATGAATTGTTAAAATTAATTGTGATTTGTTAGATTACATAATTTTTAATGAGTCCCCACCCCCACATCTGAAACCAATAAAATGCCATAAAAAAGGTAGTAGCAAGAATATTTTTTATAAGAAACTATTGCTCCTTAAATTTTTCAGAGTCATGAAAGGTATGTTGGTCCACGATTTTACAAGATTATCAGTTTATGTATTTTGACTTCGCTGAGCTTTAACTCATTTTAAAGTTAGGATTTGCAATTTGATGTTTCATTTTGAACAAATCAGTAATATGTCATTATTTATAGTCTACCTAAAATGCTTTGAAAACTATCAAATATTAAAGAAATGTAGGATTACTTGAACTCAGCAATCATAAAAATACCTTCTTACACATATAACAAATACTGCTTTTGTAATACATGACAATTATAATATATATGACAAATATTTTAGCACTGTATTTTCTATTTTAATTGTCCATCTTTTAGAATCCTATTAAAATTAAGAAAACACAAAATAATAATTATGAAATACCATGTAACTAGGTGCAAATTTTCAGAATTGTTATTTTTTTACTACATCATATCTGTTCTGTTTACAAGGAATCTAGAAGACTGATAGAAATGATAGAAAAAATGATAGAAAAGAATGATAGAAAAAATTAAAATACTTTTAGAAACAGAAAATAAATTTTTAGACTTTGCAGTATTTCAGGGAGAAGACAAGATAAGGAATCTTCTAGGGTCTTCTTGGCCATTAGGTAGTATATGTTTGATATCTGTAGTTTCATATGTCTGTCATTTCAACATTTACAAAATGAAAACTTGATAAAATAAGATCTCTTCGAGCTCAAGAATTACAGGGCTTTAGTTTTAGAAGAAAATCTAAATTTGATCTAGCCTTTTACATCCAAACAGTATGTTAGACATCTTGCCAACACACTAAAATCTTATATTTACATATACATTTATAGATCACAAAATACGGTAACATGTATTATCTTAGATCATTCATGAAATAGCTCAAAAAAGCAAGCCCCGTTATCCTTTTACAGGATAATAACAAAATTTAGACTCAGGGAGTCACTTTTTCCTTTAATATTTCCACAAAGTGTTCAAGTGGGAAACAGAAACCACTTCTATTTCAAATGCAATATTCTTTGCACTGTACTGTCTTCTATAGAATTACTTCAACAGCTTTGAAAAGTAATAATTCAGCTTTTGAGTGACAAGGAGCTCATTATAAGTCAGCTTATTTCTATTTGGGGCTGCCTTGTAATAAAATGATATAATCATTAATATATACTTTATATTCAACCAAATATGGCTTCTTGTCTTTTGCAGCCATTGTTCTGCCTCTGAAATTGCACTCTGCTGTGATCTTCTCAGGGGTAGGGAATGTGGATGATATGTGCATCTTCAGCAAGAAGCACAGTAATTACAACATAGTAGATGCCTAATAAATATTGGTTGGCTATATTGCTTCAAATTTGGAAATTTTTCTGTCCCAAACTGTTATAAGTTGTCAAAGTGTTATCTTTGCTTTCGGGTGAAACTTCCCCTGCCATTTCAGCATGGATTCAAATAGCCTTGTTCAAAGATATATCACCAGCACCGGAACAGGATTGGCACATAGTTGGCAAGTAACTATATAAATGCACTATATAAATATGTGAAATGACTAAACATAACTGATTTAACCATTTTAGACAATTTATTACATTTGGATCATTCTTCTCGGGATACAATCAATTTTATCAAAGTTCCACTGAAAACATACCATTCAACACTGAACATATGAAGCGCTTATGTGTAGTATAACCCCTTTAAAAATTGCTAAAAGAAGTAATTGTTACCTGTACATATTCATTGCTTATAATAATTGAGTCAGAAATTATTTTTATTTTTATAACTCATCTACATAAACCCAGGACAAACCTATATTAGAATATCACAAAAATAAATTTGTAATAAGGAAACAGAATAAACTGGACAATTACAAACAAATTGAGAGGTTTTTCTTAGTGTATATATTTTTGCTATGACCTTCAAGTTGTGCTAAAGTATAAAATTAGCAATAGTAGGCAAATAAAATAATTTTATTTGACTAGAAACTTGCATGATTCATGAGGTTTAATTGCAATAAAACTATTTCAGACTATTTAAAGCTCACATAAAAATTGGTCTGATTTATACCTGTTTTTAAATAATTTATTGTAATTAGAGTTATTACGTTGATTATATTTTGATACTATAATTGGAGTTAGCCTTAAACATTTTTCTAATACTGGGTATGTTATTCTCATTTCATTTAAAAAGTATGATTTTTCCCACATAGTAGCACAGGTCAAAAATAAATAGTTGTCTTTAACTCTCATATAAGGCCCATAATTATATTTTTACATAATTTGTTTCTAAAAGCCCCCAAAATATATGTTTATAAGAGAATAGTGGCCCTTAAATAGTCATTTCAACTACAGAACCAACACTTAAAAGAAATAGAAAATCCTGAAAAATCCAGAGTTAATGCTTAAAGGCAAATTGAAATTACTCTTTTCATAAATAATGAATTAAAATATGATAGGAAATGACAACAAACTTTCTATGATTAAGATGAATATGAGAGAGTAACTGAAGAATTAGTAATAAGTTTCAAGGTTAATGAGAAAAATTAAATGTTAAATATTGGATATAGTTGTTGCAATAACTATGAGTCCCAGGACTTAAACTAAGACCACATTTAGAAGTCCCTGTGTTAGAAAAAATAGTCTCAGTTGAAACTTTCCTCCTAAGAACTTTTGCTTTATTTTGGCAAACTAAAATGGGAAATGAAGATAGTTAGCAAAGTAATTCAATAAAAAGTCAAGTAAACAAATATAATTCTGTTGAAATGTCCATAATATTTGGGAGAAAATGCTTTTGGTTTTGTGTTTAAAAAGAACGTGTACATATTCAATAAAATAAAACATTGGGAAAGGAATGGATGCATAAAACAGGTGAAGGTGTTAAATTCATAAAATGAGATCAGACACACTTTATAAACCATATTCATATTACTGTTTGAAACATTTTTTTGGTCTTTTAAAGCAATTTTCTAGACAAAGTGGTCCACGTTGAGTGATTAAGCACCAGAGTTCTTGCCTTGTCTTATGACAACCTAACACTTTGTGTGTATGTATTCTTTATCAAATTAGAATGAAAAACAAGGAATTGTGTTTACCCAGAATGATTGTTTTCTAGTGTCTTACAGATAACTCTAAACAACTAGAAGGAACGAAAGAGCCAAGTTTGACAAAATGCTTTTTTAGTGACACTTTGGAGGAACAGGTGCTCCCACAAGTTGCTGATGAGATACATAAATTTAGATGCATCTTAAATACATTATGTTAAGCAACAGCAGCCAATCATAAAAGATTACATATGTGTGTGTGTGTGTGTGTGTGTGTGTGTGTGTGTAATTCCATTTATATGGCATACTTAAAAAGATAAAACTTTAACAAGAGAGAACAGATGAATGGCTGCCAGGGGTTTGGGATGGAGAGAGGGCATAATCACAGAGAAGTACCATGGGAGATTTGGGGAATGATGGAACTCATCTTTCTTCCGAGTGTGGAGGTAGTTCTACAAATCTATACTCTGTTAGAACTCATAGAACTGTACCACAAAAAAAGTAAATTTTACGTCTGTCAGTTTTTAAAATAAAAATATTTATATTCTTATTCTTAAAAGGTAATTTTAAAATTCTTAAAAGAAAATAATTTTACACATAAGAATATATACTTATATATTCTGTGTGTCTAGTCATGTTATATATTCTTTATCTATATGCAGAAATACTGGGAGGCTATACTAGAAACTAATTAAAGTGACAGGGCTTTGTGGGTAAGAATGGTTTGGACAATGACAGGAACAAAAGAGAACTTCTTAATTTCTGTCTTTTAATATTGTTTTCTCTTTGCACCATATGATTGAACTACCTATTTGAAAAATACAATTAAATTACAACAAAACAAACAACAAGAATCAGATCTTTGGCTGGCTGATTTATTTCTCCCTCCCCCCACCCCCAGGGATAGTAAATTATTTGCTTAATACTTTCAAATTGTGTAAAAACAATGAAAGGTAAGTATATACAAAGTTCATTGGACTCATTTCTTGAGCATTATTTTTTTAACCCTATGCATAGCCAGAGACAGCCTTTTACCTAATAGGAATTAATGCATCTTTCTTCTATAAATGATTCCTCTAATGTCTGAATCAGCTGCTTTGAAATAAACTGGAAAAAATGGCAATCCATTTCTTTATGAAAACCCTAACACTCACAGCTATATGTTGTGGCTTATTCTGTAACAAAACTTTGGTTTACTATTTTTAAAATACAGCTATGTTTGTATTATGTAATACTAACAGGTTACCAAATGAAGTAAAAGCAGTTAAACAAGTTGCTTATCTAGTCAATGGGAAATAACTAATTATTTTTCTACCCAGTTGACCTGTTTGAATATTTTGGTGTTGTTGATACTGTCTAAATATGAAACATAACTGAGAGAACCTATTACTTTTCATTGGCATTCATCTTTGGGTTTCTTCTCTCAAAATTCAGTAGGCTTACATCAGAACCCAGACCACTAAGAGGTTTTCTCCTTGTACTTTCATAAATGGCACCACTAAGTGTGCGCTACGATTTCCTTTTTCAATTTTTAAAATGCAAGGTTTTTAATTGATTGATATTTTCAGCCAGGGTATTGTTTGAAAGATGCTGCCAGTTTTCATTGTCAATTATTTATTTATTTTTTCTATTTGTTTCAAATGCCTTCTCAAGGAATAAGGAATAACCTTTCTCTCCATTTTGAAGAAAGACTCCCCATCTTTTCAAGTATCAGTGAAGTTAAAGGACATGGACACTGAGGACTTGACTTCGAATTTCCAATTCCTAGGATCATGTTACACCAAATAACCAACTAATTTAGTTAGAATATCAATAAGTTTAGTCCACAAAGTTAGTTGCTTAAGTGCTGCAGCTACATTTTTATTTTAGGTTTTGGTCTACTAGCGTTCCAAAATATTCTGAAAAGAAGTTCCAGTTTGGAGATTCCTGTGCATGGTTTTTCTCTTGCTTAGTAAGGACTTAGTAAGAATCGACCCAACTAATGCCCCTCTAGAGGAAAAAACTGTGAAACTAGTTTCCAGAGTTGAAACGAGTAACCATTTTAAATCACAATAAAAATAATTTTTAAATGTTCTATATTATTTTACCCTTATCCATCCTAGACAAACTGTACCCACAGTACTATTCAATACTGTGAACAGGATGATATTCAGCTGGAGAATTTTTGTCCTGGTTTCGCATTCTGTGACACTGCGCTAATTGATAGCAATGCCTTCGATGTATTATATTAACAAGAGAGAAAGCATGTAGGACACTGAGAGAATGACAGGCATGCCACTCATCAATATTTTATTAGATCAAATCTTGACTCTTATAAAGCCCAAGTTCTCTCCCTCCCCAGGTAGAAGGATGGTAATGTGCTAGATTGTGTATGATTTCTTATTACAGAGATGTCAGTTTTAGCTTGAAACATAAACATATTTTTATTCATACATTAGTGCTTATAGTGATCAATGACAGTGTACCTAGTATACTAGAATTTGTTTTTGATCAGTAGAAATGCAATTATTCATAAAACTCAAAACAGAGGCAAAGTTGTGAAAGAGAAGAAAAGAATTATAGGTTTCTTACAGGGAAGGTAATTTTAATATAGACGAGATTGGTCCAAGTTCTGCCATTTGGATTGATAGATTATCTAGCAGAACTATCATTTCAATAATCTCAATGACAGTACAGCACTGGATACGTGGTGCAGTATTATAAATTAAATTTACTGCAAATGTTATTGCAGAGAATATGGAAAGAGATCTATTATTTATGTTGGTGAAAGTTTAGATAGGAAAAAATTTAAGGTTCTTTGACAAAACATAACAGAAATGATCTATATGATATGGCTATATTGCCAGTTGTCAAAAATTTCACTTTGGCCATTACTTCTTCATCAGTATCCTTGAGTTATAGTGACATGATTCCACTTGTGAGAGAAAATATTATATTAATCAACTTGAATGTTACCCCTGTAAGGTGGTGCTTTGTAGTGTTTAGCAATGTTGGATGCAGTTAACTTTTTAAAGAAATATTTTGGCTTTTATTTATTTTGTCCAATATTGAGAACTTGTAGCAGGCACAATATAAAGTTGTTGGTAATTCCTGCATACTGACAATAAGAACTGTAATCATAGCAAATGGAGTTTATTGCATTCATGCTTACTGATTTTAACATGCAGATTTTTTATTAACTTATCAGATACTCTTTTTTATACTTGAATAATTATATATCTAAAATATAATTTCATATCTATCATCTGTTTCTATCCATCTTTCCATTCAATTATATTTCTATTTACATAAATACCTTTCGCTAAAGTAAAATTAAATCAGTGTATATTTCTCAGGTATATTATTTATTATCAGAACTGTATTAGTCTGTTCTCACACTGCTATAAAGATCTACCTGAGACTGGGTGATTTATGAAGAAAAGAGGTTTAATTGACTCACAGTTCCACAGGCTGTACAGGAATCATGGCTAGGAGGCTTACAATCATGGTGGAAGGTAAAGGGCAAGCAAGTATGTCTGTCTATGGTGGAGCAGAAGAGAAAGATAGTGAAGGGGGAAATGCCACATACTTTCAAACAACCAGATCTCGTGAGAACATACTATCACAAGAACAGCAAGGGGGAAATCTGCCCCCATGATCCGATCACATCCCACTAGGTCTCTCCCTTGACATTTGGGGATTACAATTCGACATGAGATTTGGGTGGGGACATAGAGCCAAACCAAATCAAGAACATTCGGCCTACATCATTATTATTACTTTACATCTGTCTTATTGGCTGGTTTGCAAGCTTCATAAGACGCAAGTGCCCCAAGCATTCAAAATACTAAAACTATCAATTTCACCTTCCCCCTCCACTCCCATTTGGGTGCATTTGATACAGGATTCTTTCGGTGCCACTTCACCAGCTGAAAATCGCCAGTGGGCTCGTTCCACCCACTCGGCGGCAGGCTGCGCTCAGCTCACACTACTGGCCTGGATCCTATGCCCATTGCAGCTCTGCCCTCAGCCTGCAGCTGGTCCAGCCATGCCGCAACTGGCTTCCTCCTTGGGTGCCGACATCTAGACGAGGGGGATGCGATGGCGTCCGAAAACATGGAGAAGCCAGCAAACGCAGAGCCCCAAGGAGTGTTACAGCTTTTGCTTGGAGAGTCCAGAGGTCTGAGCCCCCAGGAAGTGTTACAGTTCTTGTTTGTTCCTGCCACCCTTAGCTCAGCAAACGGGGGCCTGTGGTGTCCAGCGGTTTTTTCACTCCTGTTGCTCCCCAGCAGAAACGCGTGTTACAGCTCTTTTCACACCTGTCATCCAGTGGGTGTTGGGTTATTATCCTGCGACCAACAAGAATGAGGTACACAGACACTGGAAAGTGAGTGAGGTAGAGAAGAATTTTACTGAGCGACAGAAAAGCTCTCCACGATGAGAGGGGACCCAAAGTAGGTAACCCTCTTTGTGAGAGGAAGCCCCAAAACGAGTAGTCATTTGTGAGGCTGAGTCCAGGGTTTTTATGGGATCAGAATAGGGGCATGTGTGCTGTGTGGTCCCTGGGTGGGCCTGGAAAAAGCACCATTCGATTGGCTAAAAGGCATGGAGAAAGTTCTCCCTCCGGCGGTGGACTCTACCCCGAAAAGGCAGCTCGGTTTTCAGGCTTCGGGCTGTCTTTGGCTTGAAGGTCGGGTTTCATCAGGGACCCATCCCTGTCTGGCTAGGAATTTGTCTGTCTTCTGCTGCTATCACATTCGTATACACCACCTACCAATAGTCTTTTCTACTAGCCAATGAAGCAATTAAAGCTCCAACCATACCGTAATAAATGCTAAAAATTATTGAATGCTTACGGCATGCCTGACCCTCTTTGAGAGGTTTAGTCTTCCTAACTACCCTATCATCAGATACTATTATTATATCTGTATTAAAACTAGGACACTGAGGCACAAAAGTTAAGAACAAACCCCCAGATAAGACAGTTAGAAAGAAGAGCAAGGATTCAATAACTGAATTTTGAGGAGTTAAGAAGGGAAAGTAGAGATTGATTCTTTGCATCTTCGTTTTCTAAACATATGAAAGCATATGGAGGTAAGATCATAACATTTTTAGGACCCCTTCCATATTGATGCTCTTAAGAAATTACAGTGTCATCCTATTATAGATGCTAGAAAGTAGTTTTGTAGCTGTTGGCATGTTCAGATGCTTCTGTACTTAAACAAATTCTAAGGTAGACTTAAAAACTTAGAATCCTCTGGATATATCAGAATAGCTACCACACTGGACGGTTATCTTAACCAACATATTCATTTCCCCTTGTGATATTTTCGAAGAAGTCTCATGAATTTAGAAGAATATGTCAGGAAAATATCGGGTTTTCACAACATCTTTTTAAAAAGTTTACATCAGAGAACCCCATATATACACAGAGTTGCCCAAGGGGGAATATCCCATTATTCAGATAAACACTGCATTGAACCACTGCATTGCTGATTACAAGATCTAAAATACATTCTAAGAAATACGTTCCAGGAAAATAAATATATCTTTATATAAAATAAGTCCCAAAACTCCTAGCCACACACCCCTCATATATACACACTAGATTTGGGGGTAAACTTTTACAAAAAGAGGGATAGATTTGGTGGAAGGTAGGATGATTAAAGAAAGAAAAGTCTCAGGGCCATGAATGAGTGGAAGTTAAGGATATCAAGGAGCAGAGGACCAAATTTGTTGTTACATTATTTGGTCCACACTATCCAATCTGCAACCTTTGGGAACAAGTGTTAGAAATCAATATTTCACATTTTAAAGTGAAAATACTGCAATAGAAAAAAGAATACCACAACAGAGTCTGGGGCAGCACCTTCTGATCAAACACATCAGTATTTTTACAGCAAGTGGGATAAGGATGAGTGAGGGAAAGTTGATTTTGCTCCTAAATATGTTGTCTCCAAACTTTTTAATTTTTTAGATTGTCAGGCTTTATTTGAGAATTGTGGATAAAGATTTAAAAATAACAACATTTGATAACAATTATTCATTTAGATTTCTTCTACTCCTTTTATCATGAATTACACTGTTTCTCATTGCCCAAGCTCTAATAAATGGATCTATATATTGTTCTCATCTCTGAGAATCTTATAGAATTCCATTCTCTTTTTGTCTTTTCAGAACAAACTATCCTCACCACTGTATAGCTAGAGACCTAGCTGTTCTAAATTAAAAGGTGTCATTTAAAGAAGCAGTTTTTATTTTCTTAATGCCCTAATAATAGTTGAATAATAAAAGGAGTCTAGATCAAAATGTTTTATAAAAAAATTGAAGTTTTACATTTTTTACTCAACTGTTTTACCACCAGCAGTTGATAATTTAATTATTATTTTGACACATGTGGTTTTTGGCAAGTGGTTACCATAAATAACTTTCCAGTTTTCTAAATTTGAATTTAAACATTATGTATAAAAATATATATGTTTACATTTTTATTGTTTGTATGTCTGTGAATTGTTATCTAAGAGTATGGAAAAGAAGAGCATGACTAGAGTGAATAATTTAACCATTTCTGTAGCTTCTAATTTGCGTATGAATTAAAATGTCTTATTTCTTCAAGTAAAAAAATGTTAAGAAAATGAGTGTTCTCTATTGTTTATTTAATAATGTAAAAATTTGGCCTGTCTCTCCTACACTGCACACCCAATATAGCTCTTGTCTATCTAAATTTTTCAGGCACATATCCTTCATACAAAGCCAAAGCTACTCAGATGAATTAATATAAGTAAGTCTTGGACTTCATGAACCTTGTAAGCTAGTATATGGAATAACAAAGAAACCTCTATTGTTTAAAATTTTAGTTACTGGTATAATAAATAATGATATTATACCAAATAATTATTAATACAATTGAAATTGACATAATATAGTATTACTGACATTATATTAATTTAATATATAATATAATGTCATATAATTAATATTATAGTTAATAATTATCACAATGATTGTTAATATCAAATGAAAGGTTTAATACAGAGTGATTTTTAAGAACTCTTCTCATATGTAAAAGAATACATATTTATTGTATAAATTGAGGTGAAAATATAAAATATATGTTTTCCCATTGTGTAACATATATAGAGAACATAATTTCTGTTCTCTCTTTATTTAAATATGTCTATCTATTGTGGGCTTATGATGACATTTATTTAATTAATGGGAAAAAAGCAATATTACAGTGCTTGTTTTATATATCCATTATCTCTATACAACTATTATATTTTAAGTGTCTCTTTTAAATGAATTTGCATCTTGTCATACACAAAACATCTATGTATGGTTATTTTTCTTTAAGGACACTTAACATGAGATCTATTGTCTTAACAAAATTTTAAGTGCACAATACAATATTGTTAACTATAGGCACAATGTTGTGCAGCAGACCTCTAGAACTTTTTTATTTTGGGTAACTGAAACTTTATACCCACTGAATAGCATGTTTACCCCTCCATCCAGATCCTGGTAGTTACCATTTCACTCTTTATTAGTGAATGTTACTGCTTTAATACCTCAGAAAGTAGAATCATGCAATATTTGTCCTTCTGTGACTGATTTATTACAATTAGCATAATGTCCTCCTAAAAGAATTAAAATCATAATTTTGAAGGTATCTGTACTCCATGTTCATTGTTGGATTATTCACAATGGTCAAGATATGGAAACAACCTAACTGTCCATCAACAGAAGAATGGAGAAAGAAAATGTAGTCTGTACATTAAAAAGGAATATTATCGAGCCTTCAAAAAAAGAAAATCCTGCCTTAAGTGACAACATGGATCCACCTAGAGAATTATTTTTTTTAACTTTGACTTTGTTACAGAATTTTAGATATTCAACTATCTGAAGGCTTGTAAAATTCCCAGAACTATCTTTGTAAAAGAATTTCAGGTAGAAAATTATTGATGTTATTATAAGTATCATGTAAAGATGACATGTCAAAAACCAACACTAAAAGATATAGAGGTTTCAGAGTTCTCCCAATATTTGAAATTGCTAAATTGGACATCACTAGATTTCATAAAATTAAATCTAAAATAAATATTTAATAAAACGCCAAAAGTTTTCCATATGATTCTTCCACCATGGATATCAAAACCAACTTAATAGGCAATAATAGAATTTGATTTAGAGAAGAATCAAAGAGCAATGGTACCTTTGAAACAGAGAATTACGAAGACAAATGAAGATTTCTGCTTTGCATTGAAAAATTAAAATATTTAGAAATGGAAAATAACATTTGGTGCTTCAAAGATATTATTAGTTTTTATGTTACATTTTCTACAGTTTTTAAACTGCAATATTGTCTTTAAATTATTCAGGGCAATGTTATTTTACTTTTCTTAATTTAAGAAAAATTAGTACAAAAATTGCCACTGATTATTAGACTATGTAAGCTGATGAAGTTTATGGTCAATAACTCTCAATATCAAAGTTCTTGCCATAGCATACCAAAAAAAGTTTTAAAAGGCATTCATATAAGTAGCAGAATATTATACATTCTTAAGATTTGATTTTCTGATACAAGAAATGTCAGTTTAAAAAAAAATAAACCTAGTTATATTATAGAAACCTCTGTCACATGGTAATGTAGAAAGCATCTAAATAGAAAAGGTAATTTGGAAAGTTGAGAGTAAATCCTGATGAATATTGTTTTTATGAAGATGGTTAATTAGGAATACAATATTTGCTTGCATTACTGTCCAACAACAAGCACTATAGAGTTAATTCAACAATGCTAAATCCTAGAATCTGGCAACATTGCTATATGAATCTGGAATTATTGCTATTGTGGATAATCCTTTGGGGTGTGAGTGAATTTAAAGGTAGTAAATTTTCTCTGTTTCTTGGTCCTTTGTAATGGCACAGTGTTAAAGCACCTTTGTTGTTGCGTGCCCTAATTTAAGTGTGTCGCTGTTTTTCTGTTTTTACTCCACATTCAAATATTTCTCAAATGCCAATCCTGTTGGAAATCATAGGGGACCTTTTCTTCCCTTTTTTACTTCCCAAAGTGGTATATTTTCAACATTTTTAAAGTAACATGTATTTATTCTTACGTCAAACATGAATTGAGCATTCTCTCAGAGCTACGTATAGTTTTAAAGCTTTAGGATGGTCTGGTAAACAAGACTTTGTACCTCTCTGTCTAGCACCCTCATTTTACTCAGTCATCCATTGTAGCTTCATTGTAGGCAAACAGACCTTTTCTTTATGCTGACCCTATTTTCTCCTGCTCTGTTACCCATGCGTGGTGTTCTTACCTCCTCAAATTATCTATGCTGTCTTGCAGTCTCACTCTCCACACCCATCTGTCCCAGTCCTCTCTCAGATATCAGTTCAAATATAACTTCCTCCAGGAAACATTTTCATCTTCAAATCTAACAGAACCATGCATTTCCTTACTGGAACCTTAATTCAGTGGTAAATTTATCTTTATTTGTGTAATAATTTGACTAATAACTATATCACTCAGCAGACAGAAAGCTCCACGGAAACTTTTTTGGTCACCTCTATATCCCCAGCACCTACTACTAGTTTGTGTATGGCACAAACCAAGGATGCTGCTACAGTTAGAACCATTGAGGTAAAACCAGAAAAATAGAGCCCCTTCCAAGTGAAAAAAAGTGAACATTTATTAGACTTTTTGAAGTTATTAAATTTTTACCTTCATGATAATATATTATAAAGAACACTTTTGACTACAATGTAGTTTGGATGTGTTGTACTTTTTGTTTTGTACTTTTTTCCCTATTTGAGTAGGGAATCAGACAGATATTTAAAATTATTTTACTGAATTGAGTTATTAATACTGTGAATTAAGGTTGTTATCCTCCAGTAGAATTTATTGTATTTAAGCCTGAAACATACATCATAAATGACTTTGCTACTTTGTAGTTGGATACTCCCAGGATTTTCCAGAACAATCCCAAGTTTTTGAGACATATTTTTAAAAACACACTATTTAATGATACCTTTTAGTGCATAATTTAAATGTATCATTAATGTTATACTCTTACATATTTCATATACAACATCATTATAATTTTTTAAAATTCTCTAATCAGTTCATGAGTTCCAATTTTTGTTCTGAAAACGTGAATGTTGGTGAACCCAGATAACAACATTGTTATTTTTAAATTATCCTACAAAAGTGTTTAAAACCAATGCTTGTATCTAGGGCATTAAGAGATATCCAGAAGTTTGAACATTTCAGAAAATCAATAAAGAATAAAATTGAGAAAAAGACACTTGGTTTATCAATAAGTTACAGATAACCTCACAGAGAAGAATCTCATGTAAGTATCTGAACAGAAGCAAGAGAGATGGTATAAAGAGAGATGCATGTTAAAGACATTCAGTCACTAAGTGTAAACCTCGGGGTTCAAGATTTTTCGGATGGAAGAGCAAGTTGAGTATTTGACAAACTAGAGTCAAGCAGATAGTTTTATTTGAAACAGGAAATTAAAAAAAAATAAAGTGAGGTATTTATAATAACTTTCAGAGTAAGGTCCCAAAGAAGAGAGTAAGGCCTGAGTGGTGGGGTTAGTTTTATAAAGCAACCATGAATTTGTAGTTCTCAGGAGTTGACCTAACGGTAAACTAGCAGACGTGGAAATGTTCATTTGCTAAGATGAGGGAAAAACTGTGATATTTAGCTGCCTTCTGCTTCAAAACTCCCAGATATGGCTTATTATCATCCTGAACTCGTTTATATCTCTCTTTGCTATTTCCACATTTCTTCATGAATGTGGGACAGAGCAAACTAAGGTTCCAGAAACAAATTGAGGTCCTTCCAAACTAATCCCATTGCATTTGTTATTTCCTCTTCTGAACTCGAATTTATTAGATTTGTTTACATGTTTTCTTAAAGAACACCAACCATTAACTTCTTCCTGTTTTTCACCTCCCTCACACATAGTGAGGTTTCTTTCTCCTTTCTTCCCATTTTAACAGAATATATTTTTTCAAAAGATAATCTCTCCACCACCAGAACTCTGAATCCCATGCCTCACTTCCTTCTTTATTTTTTTTTCCTTTTCTATGTATTGTCAGTATTTCACTGGCTTCTGCTTTGTCCACAAACATAGTAGACTCTCCAGTCTTCTCACAGGTGCACACATAGGCCATGTGTGCATACATAAAACATGCAGTTACCCATATTCTTCTGACTGCATGTTCTCTGATAATTCTCCTCAGCTCTTCTCTTTCCTTTCCAGCCAATCTCCCTGAAAGGTTTACATTCTTTGACTGTGCTTCCACAAGTTAATTTATTTGTCAATCACCTATAATATGAATTCTCGATTTATGTCTTAACTAGTACTGCTTTCCATAATTTGATATTATCTTATTTGTAAAAACTGTTGATCACAATTTGAAACTTCTCATCATTGATCTCAGAGCAACATCTGACTCCATCTCTGCCACAATGCTCTGAAGGCTCTCTCTTCTCCATGCCTCCTTCCCTGGGTCCTCGGGCTTGTTGCGTAGCATTCTGCTCTCAACCCTTCTCCGTGTGCACCATATTCCTGAACAATATTATCTTTGCTATAGACTACAGTTATTGCCTCTGCAGAAGGCACTGATAGTAATGGCCCTCCCTAGTGTCTGCTGTAGAACTTCAAGCACAGTCTCCAAAATCTCCCACAAGTTCTCCCAAGGCAAAATCCCAAACTGGGTTCAGCTTCTCAGTCTCACCTCCCACAGGCAGGTCTCATTCAGTGTTCTTGGCCAGTGAAAATGATATCACTCTTCTCCTTGCCACATCAAGCCAAAATTCTCAATTCAATTTTTATTGCTTTTTTTCATATTCTTCCCCCTACACATATGTTATTGGTCATCAAGTCCCTCTGATTCTGCATACTAAATACCTTTAAATAAAGTTTTTCCATTCTATGCATTTGATACTTCCAGCACCTACTTATAACTGACATTCTTTGTGAAGTAATTTCTTTAGTAGTTGCAATGTTTTCAATTCAGACCTTCATCACTTCTTACATAGAATACTTTAATAGCTTCCCAAATAATATTCCTTTTCTCTTAGTGTGATTCCTCCAAAATGTTCTGCTAGAGAAATCTTTCTAATACAAAATTGTGATCATTTAATTTGCTGTTTATAAGTCTTTACATGATGCACTAGTAT
Organism: Homo sapiens; assembly: GCF_000001405.40. NCBI lineage: Eukaryota > Metazoa > Chordata > Mammalia > Primates > Hominidae > Homo > Homo sapiens. The sequence goes on from NC_000008.11 coordinate 77,628,958, forward strand.
TTATTTGTTCAACATCTTATTGGACATTGTTTTATTCCCCATACAATGGACTGCTATGTAAGTATTAGATAGACTTACAGATTTATATAAACTGAGGTGAAAATAGGTTCATGGTATGTTCACAACAAAAAAAGTAGGCCACAAATTATTATATTGACTGTGATTCATTAAAAAAATATTTGGAGATACAGTCTCTGTCATCCAGGTTGGAGTGTAAAGATACCATTATAGCTCACTGCAGCCTTTAACTTGGGACTCAAGTGATCCTCCCACTTCAGCCTCCTGAGTTGCTGGGAATACAAGCATGCACCACCATATCTGGCTATTTTGTTTGTTTGTTTGTTTCATTTTGGAAAAACATGGTCTTACTATGTTACCCAGGTTGCTTTCAAACTCCTGGCCTCAAGTGATTCTTCTGTCTCATCCTTCCAAGTCATTGGGATTACAGGCATGAGTCACTGCACCTGGCTTGACTCGTTTTTAAAATAAAAAACATATGATATGTAAACTGTGAGAAATAAATCATCTAGCTCATTTAACTTTTCATCTATCTACATGACTTACTCATAATACTTTTATCGTCAGTTATTGTTTTTTAAAATGTATTTATTTTGCATTATTTGAATTTTAGAGAATACATGTTTTATATTCATGAAAATCATAAAGATTATTGTAATATCCTTAAAGCATTTGAATACATTTCTTGAGAGTCCAGCTTTCTGGGGCATTCAATGTCCTTCAAGATCTGGCCTATATCAAAATCCCAGCTACATACTTGCCATTCCTCCTCTAAACAATATCTAACCAAATTTCTATCTATGGCAGGATCTTCAATGCATTTGCACATTCCTTTGTTTATCAGACACCTACTTTGTCATCCAAGCAAGAAATCACAAAGAAATGCAAGGATCCATTTTCCATTCCTACCAATACCCAATTGCTCACCAAACCCTACTGATGCTACATTCTAAATATTTTTAAAATTAGTCCCCTTTGTAATAATAGTTCCTAACTTTAGCTCTGCTATGTAGTGATTCTTGCCCTCTGTCCAATACAGTTATAGGTTTTTGTGTTTGTTCCCATAAATTTCTGTTTTCCTTCTCATATCACCTATCACATAGTCTCTTGTTTTGGCTTTTGTTTGTTTGTTTCTCTTTCACTAAATACAAGAAATTTAACACCGCTTTCTGCACCTGACATAGGATTAAAATTCATCATGGTGCCTAATACATGGAAGGCATTTAAACATCATTTGTGGAGTATACTAATAAAAGACACAGTGCTGGGCAAATGGGCATATGACAATTGTTTATGGTAATTAGATTGGCTGAATTTTCTAATAATGCCTTTTGTTTTAAGAAAATTCATGATGTTTAATAATTATAATGCCTATAAACCTGTGCTTATTTAAAATCTGTTGGCAAAAAAAGAAAACATCTGTTATTTTTGCTTCATGTAGAGTTAAAAGGGAACAGAAAGAAAGTCATTGGATAAGACGAAGAGTGATTGAAAAGAAATTTAGCTGCTTCTGCTGAGCGAAAGGATAGAGTAAGCAACTCAAGTATTAGCCACTTAGTGAAAATGATGCCAGAGGTAGTGGAGTTGGGGAGAGATTGAAATTAATATATATAAATGAATTATATATATCAATCAATATTTATATATAAAATTAAGATAGATGATAGATAGATAGATAGATAGATAGATAGATAGATAGATAGATAGATAGATAGATCGATCTCAGGAGGGGAAGAGTAGATACAAAGGAATCCCTATGGAAATTTCTCTGTCTCTCTTATTAGCTTCCACCAATTTGTATCTGTAGTTTCCAAGTTAATATAGATCCTGTGACTTAATACATCAAACAAAATTTCCATTTTTAGGTTGAATTCTATAATAAAAAATGCATGTTCATCTCAATAACAAAATCAAATAAACTGACCACAAAAGTAAACGAAGAACATTGTCAGTAGGATGAATATGGAGTTTTAAATAAGAGGGAGAGGACTAGCATTCTACCTCATGCTGGTAGAGGCTAGAAAGTGTCTAGCAGATCAGAGTGATACTCAGAGAGAGTGGGGTATATAAGGGATAGTAGGGCAAACATATGCATTCATTCATTTTTGCATCAAATCACTCTTATGTACTGCACTGTGTTAAGCCCAGGTCATCTAGCAGTGAATCAAGGACATAAGATTCCTATCCCTTATGAGGTCTACAGGAATAAAGAACTGAAATGTGTTTGGCCAGGAGCAGTGTGATCTTTTTGAAGTTTATAAGCTCCATATATTGGTAACTTAAAAATTTGCCTATACCTATTTTTTGACAATATGGAAAACATCAGCTGGGCACAGCTGTGGCTCATACCTGTAATCCCAGAGCTTTCAGAGGCTCAGGTGGAAACTGAGGTGAGAAGATGGCTTGAGTTCAGGAGTTTGAGACCAGGGTGAGTAACAAAGCAGGACCTCACCTCTACCAAAAAAAAACAAAACAAAAAGAAGAAGAACAAGAAGAAAATATTAGCCGGGCATGAGGAATGGTAATACACACCTGACACTTGTAGTCCTAGCTACTTGGGAGACTGGGAGTGGGAGGATCCTTTGAACTCAGGAGTTGAAGGCTGAAGTGAGCTATGTTCACACTACTTCACTCCAGCCTAGGCAATAGAGCGAGATCCTATCTCTAGGAAATTAATACTAAAAATTTAAAAAATATATATGAAAAACGTTGATCCTATAAATGCATATAACCAGTGTGACTTAGAAAATGATATTATGTCAATTATATTGATAGATATATTAAAATAAAATAATAAATTAATGGAGAAATTTAGATTGAAAAATAATGTGCATAGTGTGGTCTAATTTTAATAGCAATTATAAAATTGTATAACATGTGCATATAATAAATTATATTATTATTATAAAAATGTATATTTTTATAAAATATACAATTATAAAAATGTATAACATGTGCATATAATGTACATATATACTATACATGTCTAAAATCAATTAGAATAAATAACATAAAAATTATATTATGGTATGTATATTATAAATAATATATGCATGTAGTTATACTGAAGGAGAAATGTAGAAAATATACCCCAAAATGTTAGCAATAGATGGTATTTTTGATTTTCATCCCTTTGTGCTATATCTATCATCTCTGATTTAAAAAAAAAAAAATTTTGAGACAGTGCCTTACCCTGTGTCCCAGGCTAGAGTGCAGTGGTACATTCATGGTTCACTGTAGCCTCAACCATCTGGGCTCAAGCAAACGTCCTACTTCAGCATTCCCCAGCTGGGACTACAGGTATATGTCACCATGCCAGGCTAATTTTCTGATTTTTATTTTGTCAAGACAAGGATCTTACTATGTTGCCCAGGCTGGTCTCAAACTCCTGACCTCAGCCTATACTAGTGCTTTGGCCTCTCAAAGTGCCAGAATTACAAAGTCTGAGCCATCACTTCCAGACTCTCTGATTCATTTTTAAAGGAAAATATCTTCTTTGTACAGTAAAATAATTGGAAAAATAAATTGGAAGATAATCAAATAGTTTTTGATAGATATTGGGTATAATGTATTTATGGAAAATTGTCTTGCCTCAGAATAGTTACAGACTTCTATAATCAATTCATACTAGGATTCTACATTTATGTTTTATAATGTTGCTGAGAGTAATATATTCATAGAGTTTGGGGAAAATCTGATTCATTGGCTTTCGTTTAATGTAAGTTGTAACACCTGGTTCTTCCTTGTTTACAAACCACATAATTTTTAAACTTTTCCCATTATGACACACATATAGAATACCAATATTATATCTAAAATTTGTTCGTAAGGCTACTATAAGGAAGACATGAGGAAATTCCAAAAGAACTTTGAGTTATTGAGAAAGAACTGGCTATATAAGTTCAAAGTGTTTCTTCTTATATTAGGTGGATTTAAAAGAGGAAAATATGTGTCTGGAACACTTTCTTGAAAAATTGTTCAAATGTCTTGGGTTTGGCAAAGTTGAAACTGCATTTTCCCATTCCTTTTTTTGTGCTCATAATTTACAAAACCATGTATACTTCAAGAGAAATTTAATCCATATGTTCTGATTCATTTGCACTTAACTTGTCATATTATTGTTCATGAAAGTCATCTCATGCCTAGGAAAGTTTGTGAGAATCTTTTAAATAATTCTCTTTCCTTCCTGTTCTAAGAAGCTGCATTTTATCGTTAGTTAGTAAACTGTAATCCCCAAAAGATCATAAACCCATAAAATTCATAACATTTCATAAAATTCATAAAAATTCATAAATTTCAAGTTTCATACTCAGCCAAAATTTTCGCTCTTATTTATTTATATGTGTTAGTAGTAAAGCTAATAGTATTCAGCTAAAGACCAAGTGACACAACTATACGGCCTTTGGTGTTTTAAAAATCAGCTCTTATGAATAATTTGAACAGATTTTGTATTTAATAATTATGTTTCTCCAAATAAGAAGCATGATGTGTCCATTGATGAAATATTATACCTACAAAGACAAATTGAAGAGCAGATGCTAGATTTATGAGAACCTTTGTCAGCTGTCATTCTTTGGAACTGAAAGGAAGCCATCAATAATGAGTCTTACACAAAGAGAGACTACCAAGACTCAAAGAATAACACTTTCTAAAAGTCATAATTGCTCATGCTATACAAGATTTTTTTTCTATGTCTCTCAGAGAGGATGAAATCATGTGTCAAGAAGAATCTTAAAAGGTTTTAAAAATCTAATTGCATAGAAGATACAGGTATTTGAATACTGATGTGAGAACATTTCAAATGTATTTTTAAAAATTTTTAAATAAATTGTTAAAAACTACATACAGTCATTTTTTTACCAGTGCTTCTAAGTATTCTTCCAGCTACATAACACAAGACTTGTGCATTGTGGCTGAACAATCCCCAGTACCCCAGGTATTTCAAGGACACATTAAGAATGCTAATGTAAAAAACAGAATGTACTGCACACTGTTTAGGAGATTGAGATGCCATTAAAAACTCCCCAGGAAGAATGAACTAAGGTCCAGTGTAAGGCTAAGATTGTGAAAGCTCAAGTTCTAAAACAAACTTAAAATTTCAGCCCATGTCTATTTAAATTGATGTTAGAAGACCTATCCCTTGGGAAAATGGATGCCTGTGTTTGCTGTGCTGTGAACTATTTTAGAGCAGAAAGATTGTATATTCTCCAATGAATGTTTCTGTGCACATCTGGATATATGCAGAAAACTAATGTAATTAATGGTCTATGTAAAACAAATTACTGTATTTGAAATCTCGCTCTTTGATTCTGGGTGAGTAAGTTTGTGGTTACAAAATTAGTGCCTCAATAAGTCATGCATACATGCACAAACACACATTTCATTCCACAAACCACCAACTCCAGTAATGAGTGAGGAATTTAGATCCTTGGACCAGATTGACGCTGTTAATTAATTTCATCTGCCTGAGATACGTGTTTCTAAAGAGAGAAACTAATCATGTAGCATTTGAATATATTTTCAAAATATTGTAGTAATTAGAAATTACAAGAAATATAGCATTACTACATATTTTATCATTTATATAAATGAGTTAGTTTAATGGATAGAATATTCTCTCACCTAGCAAATTAATCTTCAGGTAAGTTTGTATGACCAGAATTTATTCAGTCCATTTAACATCTATCTATCTAGCTAGCTAGCTAGCTAGCTAACTATCCATCCCTATTTTTTTTTTTAATACCAAAGTATCATTGGACTTCAGAGTGGTAATGGGACAGGATTCATGTACAAACCAAGCAAACCTAATCTTGGTATTATGTTGGTAATTCATTCTCTGAGCGCTCCAGTTGAGACATGTTTGGAACATTGAATGCTTAGACAAATCTACAACTGTCTTGTTCTGAAAGCCAAAGAAGAACTTTATAGAGGAGAGGTCATTAACCTGAGTGTGGTGATTTTATCTCACTCTTTGGGTCATTGGTTCTGTAATAGAAAAACGATGACTTACTCCTTCATAGGGGATTGTTATGAGCCAGCTCACTGGGTCTCTACATTTGCTTCACCCTTGGAATATGGCTTAGTTCTTACTACACAATGCTAGAAAGGAATTACATTAAGGAAATTTTCATTATCTGGGCCTTGGGGACGGAAAAGAATCCAAAACTCATGTTGAACTAACTTATACATCCATTTCTCTCCTAGAACACCTAAGATATAGAAATCTCTCCATTTTCCAGAAGATTTCCCAAGTACAAAAAATATTTACCCCAGCCTTTTTTTTTTGCCAAAATATATGTTTTTCTATGTCTAAAACACTGTCTCTAAAGCATGATGCCTCATAGGTAGATGCCTGTATTTTCTGCAAAATGTGAAAATTTCTTCTCATTCAAGGTTTGTATTTACAGGGCTTCATTGAAAAATACCGTTTTGGACATGACAATGACTAGAGTACTAATACATAATTATAATACCTATTATGGATTGTTTGCAACTGTGTTCATTAATTATTCTTTTACATCAATATAATCATTAGTCTAAAATGCATATGAAGTATTCTTTAATGCATCATTTTCTCTTTTGGGCCGCAACTCAAGTTCATGAATATTTTCTTTGTGGAAATTATCACGCTGGCTTACAGATAGTTATTTGGGCATCTTTTATTAACTAGTTACAGTGTGAGGATGAGTGTGTTATTCTTCTCACCTCTGCCAATGCTTGGTAAAGGGCATGACACATGTGAGCACTCACTCAATCTTTGTGGAACTAGTGCATTAACACATGTCCTAAATTTCACCTAAAACTGGTGTTAACACTCATTGAATTCCTGCTCATCACCTTTTCTGAAAATAAAAGTATACACTCAAAATTAGTGACATCCTGCAAGAAGAAAGTCTGTGGTTTCCACATTTTGTTTTAACAGTTTAAAATTTAAGTGACTACCTAATGTTTGAACTCAAGTTTAACATACCTAAAAATCTATCAGTAAATTTCATCTACTTTACTTATCATCTTTGCACAGTGGTTGGATGGGTTTTGATACTCTGTTGTAATAGTAGATGGGATAAAGACAGAGTCTTGCTATTAATTTGGAATAGCCAGACTTATGGTAACTTAAGCCATCACGTTAAAACATATTTAAACTGGTTCTAGATCCTTGAGGAGTCGCCACACTGACTTCTACAATGGCTGAACTAATTTTAACTCCCACCAACAGTGTAAAAGCGTTCCTATTTCTCCACATCCTCTCCAGGATCTATTGTTTCCTGACATTTTAATGAATGCCATTCTAACTAGCCTGAGATGGTATCTTATCGTGGTTTTGATTTGCATTTCTCTAATGACCAGTGATGATGAGCTTTTTTTATATGATTGTTGGCCACATAAATGTCTTCTTTTAAGAAGTGTCTGTTCATATACTTTGCCCACTTTTTGATGGGGTTGTTTGTTTTTTTCTTGTAAAACTGTTTAAGTTCCTTGTAGATTCTGGATATTAGCCCTTTGTCAGATGGATAAATTGCCAAAATTTTTTCCTATTCTGTAGGTTGCCTTTCACTCTGATGATAGTTTCTTTTGCTGTGCAGAAGCTCTTTAGTTTAATTTGATCCCATTTGTTAATTTTGGCTTTTGTTGCCATTGCTTTTGGTGTTTTTGTCATGATGTCTTTGCCCATGCCTATTGACCCAGCAATCTCATTACTGGGTATATACCCAAAGGATTGTAAATCATTCTACTATAAAGACACATGCACACCTATGTTTATTGCAGCACTATTCACAATAGCAAAGATTTGGAACCAACCCAAACGCCCATCAGTGATAGACTGGATAAAGAAAATGTGGATAAAGAAAATATGGCACATGTAGATCATGGAATACTATGCCGCCATAAAAAAGGATGAGTTCAGCCAGGTACAGTGGCTCACGCCTGTAATTCCAGCACTTTGGGAGGCTGAGGTGGGCAGATCATGAGGTCAGGAGATCGGAGATCGAGACCACCTGGCCAACATGGTGAAACCCCATCTCTACTAAAAATACAAAAATTATCTGGGTGTGGTGGCACATGCCTGTAAACCCAGCTACTCGGGAGGCTGAGGCAGGAGAATTGCTTCAACCAGGGAGTTGGAGGTTGCAGTGAGCCAAGATCGCGCAACTGCCCTCCAGCCTGGTGACTGAATGAGACTCCGTCTCAAAAAACAAAAAAACACAAACAAAAACAAAAAAAGGATGAGTTCATATCCTTTGCAGGGACATGGATGAACCTGTAAACCATCATTCTCAGCAAACTAACACAGGAAGAGAAAACCAAACATTGCATGCTCTCACTTATAAGTAGGCATTGAACAATGAGAACACGTGAACACAGGGAGGGAAACATCACACACTGGGGCCTATGCGGGGGTGTAGGGCTAGGGGAGGAGTAGCGTTAGGAGAAATACCTACTGTAGATGATGGTTTGATGGGTGCAGTAAACCACCATGGCACGTGTATACCTATGTAACAAACCTGCATGTCCTGCCCATGTATCCCAGAACTTAAAGTATAATAAAAAAATATGTATTTTAACTTTGCACTTGGGTATGTGTATATATATGTATATGGGAAGAAATTGTGCCTACTACACAATTGCACACATAATTTGAGTTCTGTGATTTCAGTATAAATTACAGGGGTATGACAGTGTAAGAATATTTATGGTTAACAGCTTTTGTTGATATTTTTTTCTGCCAGAAGAAGTTTTCTTGTTCAAATTCATTTCTTGTGAAGAATAGGGTTATAAATGTAAAGGCTGTGGCAGGGAAATTGAGTTAATGATGAAATAAGGTTAGAGAGAAATAAGGCTTAGAGAAAAATTGGCAGTAGGTCTTTTTGAAAAACAGGGTTGTACGTTTATTTTTTAATCAATAGAGATAATAAAGGGAAGTTTTTTACAATAATTTGATGAATTTGGAATTTTGAAAATGTTACTGAAAACAAGCATCTGTCTTTTAATTTGTTTTTATATTTCTGTCAGATTTATCAGACTTGCCATTATTATTCAGTATTTACTATAGAAAGATGTTCATATTTAAGATCCGGTATATTAGTTTTATCTCTTGCCTCTGAGACAGCCTGCACAGATAGTAAACTAAAAAAAAAAAAATTAACAATATAGGCAATTTTAAAAGTAAAAGAAATAAAGCAAATGCATGTTGGGAAAAAAAGACTCTACTAAAACCAGATATCATTTAAATCCCCCATTTACTAATAGCTTATAACTAGTTTTATTGAGTTCAAATAATATCTGGAAAGGGTTGTAGGACTCTCAATACCCACTAAAGTTTCAGGGCAGTGCCAGATAATTATAGAAGGTACTGAAGCAAAATCTGAATGCTGATCTTTGAATGCAAGGATTTCTTTTCTGTTTACTTTTACATTCCATGTGTGTAGAACAGTGCTTGGTAGACAATAGCACCCCCAAAAACATACTTCTTGATTGATAGGTTCCACACTGTGTTACAGCTAAAATGGGCTTGACTATTAGCTATTGCAACAATATTGATAATCTATTTACTCTTATAGGTTTCTGTAAATAAGAGTCATTCTAATTTCTTGCAGGGTCAAGATAAGTACAATTAATGTTATACAATAAATGTTTTGCTTCTCTTTTGTTACTGCTTTGGTACTTTCCATAGACGACAGAAAATATCACAGGAATATGAAAGGTCTGTAGAGATGATAATGAGTGCTCTCTAGAATAACACTGCCCAATAGCAATTTCTGTTTTAAAATGTTCTATATGTTTTTTGACCCAATACTGTAGTCACTAGCCACTTGCAGATACTGAGTTCTTGAAATGTGGCCAGTGACACTGAGACATTATATTTTTAATGTTATTTAATTAAAATCAATTTAAACTTAAACTTAAATTTAAATACTTGTACATGTCTGTGGTTGCTATATCAGACAGAACAGCTCTCAAAAAAAAATCAGAACAATTATTTGACTTTACTGCTTTTTCTTCTCAATTCCAATCTGTGTGTTACTTTTATTTCTTTCTTTCCATTTTATGTTGGTAAATATAAAGATGATTGTGCAAAAGTATTTAAATATCGTCTGATTATACCATTTTTCAGAAAGATAAGGTTTTCCTCACATCCACTGCTTTCAATAACTCACTCCACTTATGTCTTACAAAATTACACTGTTTTAAATGAAATATGTAGGGAGAAGTAATAAGTATACAGAGAATCATAACAGCCCTGCCTACCATTACCCATATTATTCTTTTTCAGATAAATTTTGGTCATTGAACACATCAATACGTCTGGTATTTTTGATGGTCTAAAATCCCCGATTCTTCAAAAACAATCATAAAAAGTAATTACCTCTTTATATCGGTTTATTTCCTTGTTTAATAGAAGATTTAGCTCTAGAAAAGAGAATGACAAAAGGTTTAAAAGAGTGAAAAACATCATTGTATTACTAATGTTTTATCAACCCTTCTATGCCATACTTATCACTGTGTTCCTCTGAGAACCTTTATGACTGTCAGTGCAATAGATAACAATTGCATTTTTAGGGCAAAAGAAACGATAATAAGGGAACAGGAACTGTTTTAAACAAAATGCCATTTTTCATTGGACAGATTTAATTATTACTAGGTACAATAAATAGAATGCATTGTTGAACATTATTGGCTAGCTTCTCCTACGATTTCATTCACTGGATGGCAAGAACATTATCTTGGACAGAGAAGCTTAAACACTTTTACATCTATAGGAACAAGGTACTGCCAAGAACACTCGGGTATCTTTCTGTTTTTATTAGCCTGGCTTCTCTAACAAGTCCCATAAATTCTGTGCCTTTCCAGGGCCACAAAGAACTGGGAAATAGATTATTTTCAGGGTCCATGTATCTTTATGCAGGCTTTCATGGAGCAGCTGGACAGTGATTCTTGAACCAGGCTCATAGTGTAATACTAGGAGAGATGATATAATAAAGAGTCAATTTACTATTCAGTTTATAGCCGTCAGTAAATTAGACCTATTTTCTGGGGATAAAACTGATTGTTTTGCAAGCCAAATATCTTCCCCCGGCAGGTTGGTATATGTGAGACTTCTTTGTGTTTTGAAGAGAGTGTGGTTGCTTCTTTTGTAAGCAATATTTATTACATATACATTCAAGCTGGGTTTTGTTCTGTTTTTTTTTTTTTGAAGAGGATATATTAATAACTGCTAGTTCTAGACAGTTTGTTCATCCACTGTTTTGAGTAATGTAACAACAACTGTATAGAATTCTAATATATAAGGCCAAGTCTAATGAAAATCCTGTCTAATATTCTTTGTGAGAAAGCCTTTGCAAGTGCCCCCAAATTACATTTTGAGGGCTTTGCTGTTTTTTTTGTTTTTTGTTTTTTTTTTGTTTTGTTTTTTGTTGTTGTTGATGTTGTTGTTAAAATAGAAGTCAGAGGATTTTTCTTACCAACTTTGCCCTTTACATTGCTTCATGGTTATTTCTTAAAGAATTAAATGGATTCTGTATTATAGAGCCCAAAGTCCTTTGAAAGTAAGGGTAGAATAAGAGAACTGAAGGACGAAAAGGGGAAAGGGAGAGGAGAGGAAGTAAAAAAGCTCAGACTAGTGCATCTGTAGGTGCTTCATAGCCAGAATAATCTTTTCTAATGTTGAGCTACATATTTTTAGAAACATAGTAAAATTTATCTGGAATATAGTATCGACTAGCTCAAAGATAGGGATGACTCTTGGCCCATTTTGCTGCTTAGATCTCAAGGATAAGTAACAATGTAAGTATTATCAATACACTGAGAATACAATAAATGGGAATTTCAGTAACTCTGTATAGTCTTAGATTAGAATCCTGCATTAAGAAGGTCTTGCTCACCACTTTTCATTCTTCCAGTTCCAAAAGACTCAACTAGATGCCATGCTTGCCTGTCTCCATGCACTAATGAGAGGATCTCCTAAGGTTCCCGACGTTCTTCCTGCCCTGCCTGTTTTAAGGTGTTTTTGTTTTATTTTCTCTCTTACTTGGGATTAAACTCTCATCAATGATGTTTCCTGAAATGATAAGGAGGACCCAAACTGCAAATCCAGCCCTTGGCATGATTTTCATTTAGATTATCTGTAGGTTGGTGTTTTATTGATATTTTCAGGGGCTTCCTGATATGATTTTCTACTCTGGGGAAAATTGGCTGTGGGGATACTATGAGAAATTTTTTATGAAAATGAAAATTCATAAAAATAAATATTTTAAAATTATTTTTCTGTGTGTATATCCGCTGAGGTTACTGGTCTTTCACACCCACATGAAAGGCCCATGAGAGGCTTTCCTGCAAACAGAAAATGAATCAGTTGGGGTAGAAGATAGATAGCATTTCAGATTTAGTAACAATTGTGTGGACAGAAAAATATTAAGGAAAATAGAAAAAAAATCTTTCCTGATGAAATCTAAACAGGCAGAAATAAGACAAAAAGAAATACAATGGTTTTCCATATGTCCTGAATGAAAGAAGAGTATTTGTCCTGATAGAGTTGAAATAGTATGGAGGCTATTTGACAGATGAATTGACAGAATTTCATCACCTAAATCTACTTTATAAAGTGAAAGGACTAGAGAGAAAATGCAGGTGATGGAATTTCAGTGTGATGACAGGAAACACGCACTACGATCAGTGTTAAGTACCAACCATCCATTTCTGTGTTTTGTGTTGTCTCCTATAATAATTGAGAATAACATTGGTTCTTCAGTAGCCACTTGCTTTCTTTCATCTCTTTCCTTCTTTTCCTTTCCTCTTGCTCTGTCTGTTTCTCTAGGCCACCTGAAAACTATACACCGAGCCCAGGCAGAAGCACCTGGATTTCCACTGAGGTCTCCAAGATGGTGAGACAATGCCTAATGTACTTGGTTCAGGAATCCTCTTCTCATAACTAAATCTCATCTATTTTTTGATTCCCTCCTTTTCAGAACTTCTAGCCCCCAAATAGCATCCAACTGGTTATTTCCAACTCTCATACTTTAGTTCTGTTTTTTTCTGCTTACAAATATTGACTTTCTATTTCACCGTGGAGCTTGAGTGTGTGACTCAGATAATAAAAGTTTTGGAAGCCTCTCTCCCTATAAAACAGCCTAAAATTTATAAAACCTTTGTTTTATTTCACAATGGAAAATTAATCAGATCATGGTATTATTAACATTAGTTCTTTCGTGCTATTGCACTAATAGATTTTATTGAAAACATTTTGAAGGTATATGTCTATTCTTTCAGTATCAAACTTATTTTCTGTTGTGTGTTTGTGCAATTCTATTCCTGTTCATGTACAATTAACTCTATAATTGATACTTTGCTTTTAGTTGATGCTTAGAACAATTATTTTGGAATATAATTCAGTCACGCACGCTTCAACTGGGACCCACGTGTCATGTTGGAGCAGAAAAATTCCTGTCACCTAGTGACATTTTAGCCATCATAACAGCATAGACTAATGCATTACTAATGTGTTTGTGCCAATGCTGATGCAAACAAACCTACTGCACTGCCAGTTGTATAAAAGTCTGGCACATACAATTATATATAGTACATAATACATGATAATAATAAACAATTATGTTAGTGGTTTATTTGTTTACTGTACTCTATTTTTAATCAGTTTAGAGTGTATTCATTCTGCTTATTAACAACAAAAAGTTAACTGTAGCTTAGCTACAGGCAGGACCTCCAGGAGGTGTTCCAGAAGGCAATATTATCATAGAAGATGACAGCTCCATATGTGTTATTGCCCCTGACAATCTTCCAGAGGGACAGCATGTGAAGATGGAAGAGAATGATATCTATCATCCTGATCCTATGTAGGCCTAGGCTCAAGTGTGTGTTTGTGTCTTAATTTTTTAACAAAAACGTTTAAGAAGTAAAAAAATAAATAAATAAAAATAAAAAAATAAGTCTATAAATAAAAATATAAAGAAAGAAAATATTTTTGTACTGCTGGACAATGCTTATTTTAAGCTGTGTTATTACAAAAGAGTCAAAAAGATTAAAAAGTATATAAGGGAAGCCAGGCATGGTGGCTCATGCCTGTATTCCCAGCTATTGGGGAGGCTATTTTGGGTGGGGTGCTTGAGCCCAGGAGTTTGTGCCACTGCACTCTAACCTGGACAATACAAAGAGATCATGTCTTTTTTTTTTTAAAGGTTATAAATGAAAAATGTGACAGAAAGCTAGAATTAATTTATTACTGAGGAAAGAAAAATACTTTTTATAAATTTTGTGTAATCTAAATGTACAGTGATGTCCTAGCCTGCACATTGAATTACCACTTACTCACTGACTCTCCCAGAGCAACTTTCAGTCCCTCAAGCTCCCCTTGTGATATGTGCCCTATTCAGGTGTACCATTTTTAATCTTTTGTATGGCATTCTTACTGTACCATTTTTATATTTAGACATGTTTAGATACACAAATAGTTATCATTGTTTTACAATTGCCTACAGTATTCAGTACAGTAACGTGCTGTACAGGTTCGTAGCCTGGGAGCAACAGGCTACACCATATAGCCTATGTGTGTAGTAGGCTCTACCATCTAGATTCCTGTAAGTGCACTTTATGATGTTTGCACAACAAAATGACCTAAAAACACATCTCATAACATATACCTGTTGTTAAGTGATGTACAACTGCATTTTAAAACTCTTTCTGTTATACATTATAATAATTTTTCACTTCATTAAGCATTTTCTCATAACATAGTTTATGTGTGCATAATAAGTAGTCATAATCAATTACAGAAAATGATTTCTAATTTAAAAGTAAGTGATTTCCAACTGCAGAGAACTCAAGTTGTTTTAAAACTTTTAAAATAAGAGCATATCAATAAATATTATATTATGTATCTTATATAATTTTCTATGTATCTTTAAATTTTTCAAAAGTTTTTAGGAAAAAAAATCACTCCAAAGTAAATAATAAATAGAATCTTTCAGAATATATATTGCAAAAGGCAATCCAGAAACACTCTGAAATATATATATAATATATATAAAAATATAGAGAGATATATATGTGCATTCACTAATGTATGTAGTATCTACTTATCTATAGCATCACAACATCAAGGATTAAACTTAAAAAAATTTTTGGCAATTGTTTAGTTGAGATGTTTATATAATTTTATTAATGTATTATGGCTATTCATAAATTATAGCTATTAGCCATTTTTCTGTAATTTTTCCTCAATATATTTGCCAAGTTTATTTGACTTTATAATTTATTTTGTTATTTTTTGTAAATTTACTTTTAAATGTCAAACTTATCAGTATTTACAATTTTTTTAAGAAGACTTTTTTTATATTAGACATTGGTCTGTACTTTCTTTTAATTCTTTCATTTTACATTTAACTTTTTATATAAATGGATATAATTAGTTGTGTTAAGTATAAAATTTGAATCTTTGAATTTTTAAAGCAACTAACCAAACATCAAAAGGCAATTATATTTTCCTGACTGGTTTGCATTTCTACATTAAAAAAATATAATATGTAAATGCATGTATATATAATTTCTTATTTATACTATAAAGTCTTACTAATACTAGTAGTAAATTATAATGGTTATTTTTAATATAAAATAACATGTATAGCATAAATTATAATATATTACTTTTATTATAATGCTACTAAAATTTTCTGCTGTTACATTTAGAAATTTGGCATCTATATTTAATTAGTAATATAGATCTATGGGACAGTTACATGGTACATGATATGTGTAGTAGTTCTCCTGTCAAGAGAGTATTTATATGTAAGGTGTACAGTCAGCCGCATCCCTGCAGCAGCAGTGCCTTTGTTTTTCTCTGCAGCATTCAAGCTCAGAGCACATTCTGCCTGGGCAGCTCCAGCCAAAGTCTAAGGCGATTAGGATTCCTAGAGCCTGGCCATATCTAACCAATCTCAGACTCTTCTTCAGTCATGTTACATGTTGGGACTCCCCATGAAGCTGGGCAAGACTCAGGCCCGCACTTCTCTAAGAATCTTTCTCCTCAATATTTTCCTCCCTTCCCCTTCTCCTTCCATAGGTATAATGCTAACTCCCTAGTCTGAAGGGGTTCCCTGACTCTTCTTGTTAGCTCTTCCCAGCCTTCCACATGTATTTCCTCAATTAATTCCTTGCTCTCACTGAATCTTCTTCTCAGAGGTCCTAAATGGAAAGAGTCCACAAGTTCCTTTATTTTTTTTTTATCATTATACTTTAAGTTTTAGGGTACATGTGCACATTGTGCAGGTTAGTTACATACGTATACATGTGCCATGCTGGTGTGCTGCACCCACTAACTCGTCATCTAGCATTAGGTATATCTCCCAATGCTATCCCTCCCCCCTCCCCCCACCCCACAACCGTCCCCAGAGTGTGATGTTCCCCTTCCTGTGTCCATGTGAGCTCATTGTTCAATTCCCACCTATGAGTGAGAATATGCGGTGTTTGGTTTTTTGTTCTTGCGATAGTTTACTGAGAATGATGGTTTCCGATTTCATCCATGTCCCTACAAAGGACATGAACTCATCATTTTTTATGGCTGCATAGTATTCCATGGTGTATATGTGCCACATTTTCTTAATCCAGTCTATCATTGTTGGACATTTGGGTTGGTTCCAAGTCTTTGCTATTGTGAATAATGCCGCAATAAACATACGTGTGCATGTGTCTTTATAGCAGCATGATTTATAGTCCTTTGGGTATATACCCAGTAATGGGATGGCTGGGTCAAATGGTATTTCTAGTTCTAGATCCCTGAGGAATCGCCACACTGACTTCCGCAATGGTTGAACTAGTTCACAGTCCCACCAGCAGTGTAAAAGTCTTCCTATTTCTCCACATCCTCTCCAGCACCTGTTGTTTCCTGACTTTTTAATGATTTTCGCAACCTACTCATCTGACAAAGAGCTAATATCCAGAATCTACAATGAACTCAAACAAATTTACAAGAAAAAAAACAAACAACCCCATCAAAAAGTGGGCGAAGGACATGAACAGACACTTCTCAAAAGAAGACATTTATGCAGCCAAAAAACACATGAAAAAATGCTCACCATCACTGGCCATCAGAGCAACACAAGTTCCTTTATTTTACTCCTTTCTCAAGAATGCTTAATAATGTTATGTTGGCTTCATTAAATGAATTTGGTAGCTTTCCATCTTTCTAATATTCTTTAAAAAATTTGTATTATGAGAATTAGGTTTCTCTTATGTTTTGAAAAAACAATTAAAACCTTTAGGCTTTGTAAATATTGTTGCTTATTTTTGATAATCTTTCTTTTTTGTAGCATTGTATAGTTTTGAAAATTACTTTTCTTGGGATAATTTTGAGATTTATGTTTGGGTGGATTAATATACCTCTGTGTGGTTGCAAATCACTTAAATACTTTTAAATTTGCAAATCCTTCCTTGTAATTGATTATAACTGATTATTATGCAAACATAAAATATTTTATGAGAAAATACTTAATGATTTGAAAAATTACTTCAAATATAAGATGGAGTTCATATTACATTTTTCTTAGGTTTTGAAAGAATAATTAAAACATTTATGCTTTGTAAATATTGTTGCTTCTTTTTGATAATCCGTTTCTTTTCTTATAGGATTTAAGCTTTCATATGGCTACTATATATGGCTACAAAATTACTATTTATATACATATAGACATATTTATACATGTATATATAATAGTGATTTTCTAGCCATACACACACACACACACACACATATATATATATACACACACATATATACATACAGTTTTTTTATGGGTAGAGAAATCACCACTTTCCCAGGATTGTTCATACATTATTTTTATTCACTAATTTTCAGATTATCTATGGTTACATTATCCTTCTTATTAGTCTTGTATGTGTGCAAATTTGTTTTCTTAAGTTGTGACACACTTGATTTTTTTATGTCTAATTTTAATTTTTACTTCTCAATTTACTTTTACTTTTTCTTATATAAGGGAAAATATAGGGTCTCATATTTTGTATTTGTGCTGATATGTAAAGCTGTGAGAAGATATGCATTATTATTTTTCCTCAGAGCAAAGGGGGCAGAGTTTTTTTCCTTAATAGTGGGAAGGCCAGAAACAAATATATGAATCCATATAGAAAGAACTCTGGGTCCAAATTCTAGGGAGAGCACACAGGATAGGAAAAAAAAGCTCAAGAGATAAACTGAAAATTCTTAATGGTAACAACAGGCAAGGCAAGTTAGCACCTGAACACTAATTTTTAACAATAGCTACTATTTCACAAGATTTATATAATAAATACACAAAATTATGCAGATTCTACTCAAATTATTTTATTCTTTTTAGTTCACATAATCGCTAATAACATCATTTAACATGTTTTCAATTAATTATCAAAATTTCAAATGTATTCACTTCATTTAGCCCATCCTGGACAACAGCATTCTTTCACTTATCCATAGGATCTAATCATAACTTATGTTATTTTATTTATCATGTGCTTTCTGAGGTAAAAATCTGTATGACTTGTGTAGGAAGATTTAAGAAAATTAAATACTGTGAACTGGAAAAGATATTGTGCTTATCTGAAAGTATTTTATAATCAAGCAGAATGCATGTTTAATGCCACAATAATTTATTATAAAGGAATTTATTTCCTTTGTGTTTGTTCTACAAATAGGCTTACCTTTTAAAATACAATTTCTGTAAAAATATAAGAGAACTAACAAATGACATTCATCTCATAAGACAAAGAGGAATACTGGCACTATTTTGGTTTATATGTCAAAAAGGTAAGAATGGAAATAATTATTCCAGAGCACCAGCTCACCTCTAGCTGGCCTGTGTATTCAAGCTGACTGAAACTTTTGAAGCTATTTCAGACACAGTCACATTGGGAGATTCTTTGAGTTTTCTTGTCCTCCTGGATGCCACTTTTCTTTCATTTCACTTTTGTTTTTTTATCTGTGCATTTTAATCCATTTGTGAATATTCCCATACTTTTCTGTGCTAGATGCCTTTTTTAAGCAAAAAAAAATTTGTTCTTAATTTTTATTCTTGGCTAGTACATATTTTTGCCAATACTCCTGCAAAGATTAAAAAGGATATATTCAGAAATGTTTACATTTTGAAATATTATTAAACCATTTCAATATTTTTTAATTGCAGATGTTAACTAATGAGTAATAATTATATGCTGGACATAATAGTAGATTTTTTATACCATAACAATGCTGTGAGTTTGGTAGTTTTTGAGTAAATGGACAAAGGCTGGATCTTAGTTGCCCCACTCGCTATCTCTGTAACCTAAGGGGAGTCCTTCAAAATTGTGAAACTTCCCTCTCTAAATATGGGAAAGAAAGATTATAATGACCTACTTCTTATAAATTTGTTTTAAGAATAAAAGAGTCAATACAGGTAAAGCACTTATCAATGCAGCTAAATACAGGGACAACTCCCATTACATTTTAGTTATTTGTTGGTATTAAAATTTTCATTTTTCACAAGATGAAATAGATTAATAGATGCTAAGTCATTTATCAAATATCACACAGCTGATGTGAAGTTTCATCAGGTTGCAAATCTCTCTCAGCCATGGGTTCAGAAGCAACCTCTCTTTCCCTAAATATGGACAGTAATTTCTGGATGAGCAACTTAAGAAATGTAGAATACTCAGAAGATGGGGTGTGAGGCAATCATGATCTGAAATAGTGAAACATCGGTTTTTATGATAAATGGATTTTTTTGAAGTTTGTACTTACATCTTCTGTGTTTGAAGGCAGTAGTTAACAATTTCTGTTTCTGAAAAATGGTAGGGGAATCATGCCAGCAGATAGGCAAATCTGGTAAGATAAGAACTGAGAAATATTTACTTGATTTGGGTATTGCAAGTTCACATTTAACTTTAGTGAGAGCACCTTCTATACAATGGACACAAGAGCACACCAAGTTCAGTTGTTGATGAGAGATGAAGAGTTGGAAACTAAGAGACAGTACACACAATTCTTTCAACAAGCTCTGTGGTAACTAGAGGGAAAGAGTTGCTAGAGAAAAGTGAGTTTATTATTATAATAGTCTCAGGGTGTGATATATGGATTTCTCTTATCCAAAAGACACACCTATATGTGGCTGTTGTGGACAAGTGATTCTTTGTGGTTTGCTAACTTCAGCATAAATAGACAGAGAGATGGTATCTTTCTCTTTGCAGTTACAATGAGAACCTGTTGATACACTTTTAATGCTGAAGATGAGAATTAAAGGGAAGCTTATTTAATGCAAAACTTCTGCAAACTTGGCATGATTTCTTATTGACTTTTATAACTTAATTTGTGTTATATTAGTAAAAATTTCACATATTCTGGATGGCACGTATAATTTATTTAAGTAAATTGCATTATCCTCCCTCATTTAAGACACTATAATACCTCAGTGGTAGTTAAAAAGTGCTGAAATGTATGGCCAGTAATTAAAAAATTGTTATAAAGGATTTGTGTTGACATTGTTTTCTTTCATCAATTGTTCATTTACAGAGCCCATATTTTACTCCTACAGAAAGTGATAAATTTAAGATGAGAGTGGCAAAAGAACTGAGGAACACTGGGGAGAGTATTATATTAATAACTGGAAAAAGGAATCTTGTTGGAATAACAACATGGAAGCTGTTTCTATTGCTCTAAATGTTTGTTTCAAAAGTGTGTTCATGCTGGAGGGTGGAGAAGAGGGATGAATTAGTCAATGTCCTATATGTTACTGCTATGATACTAAACTTTTTCTGAATTTTTTTTAGTATGGTTTGGTTTCATGTTCGACCGAGGAGTCATACCTGCATGAGTTGCATTAATGAAAAGGTCTCATTCTCTTGCAACATACCAGTAGCTGTTGCTACTTGTTCAGCCCATAACCATTTCAATTTGCTACAGGGATATTACCCCTTGGGCCTTGGAATGCACTTTAAACCTCTCTAGTGTATAGTTTTACTCATGGTATAATTCAGTGGTTTCACTGTGATTACAGCAAATGGTATATTGGGCTAAACCCCAAATACCAAGCAATAAGTCAATAAATGGATTTTTTTTTCATTTTTTAAATTACCAACTTCTTGGCAATACTGTATTTTTGCTTAAGTAAATAGTTCCAATTGACTTATGACCACATGTATTCTCTACCATATTTTGTAAAATATTGTGCAATTTTCCACACTAACCTAATATCCCCTTAGGTTACAGAGATAGTGAGTGAGGCAACTAAGATCCAGCTTTGTCCATTTACTCAACTTTCTTTCAAAGACCATTCTCCTAGATTGGAGAAAAAATGCTCCAGTTCTCAATGAAATCTTTCTCTATTTTTGCTTAACGTGGTCTCTTTCAGGTGATTACTTAAGGATTTTCCACTTCTTCTAACTTTCAAGATGGTATCTGCATGCAGGGAAAAGCATACACATCCTCCAGGCATGGGTAGACTGGTGTGACAGTCAGGCTGTTCCTCAGGTCCTTGCTTGGTCTTCCAGTGATCTGGTATATTGAATCCTTGTTGCATAACTAGCCCTTAGTTTGGATCTCCCTAGCACTGCCAGTCTTTTGAGGTTGACTGGCAATATCCAGTCACTTTTTGTTTAGATTTATTGCTTTCCTTATAGTCTTGTCATACTCTCCCAATTATGGTGAGTAAGCACTAACTGCTTTTAAGGTACTTTCCACTGCAGAGTTTAGTGCTACTGGATTTTCTTTGCTGTGGGAGTAGTCAAGAGAAGTGAAAGATTAACTCAAGCCATTTACCTGGGCACTGGGCTCAGTCATTTCTGTTCCTCAGCAAATGCTTCATGCTGAACATATGGAGTGTTCTTTAAATTGTCTATAATTCGTCTAGGCTGCATCTAGGATTGCTATGTTTGAAGTAATTTTACCACCATGTCTACAAGGTTCGATCTATAGTTGAAAATAAATACCACTTGGTTTATTTCTAAATATCGTCCCGCTATATAGTTATGTGGGTTTTTTAGGTCATATCTTAAAAAACTTCATCCAGGGCTCCTCTTAATCTCACCTACTTTTATTTAACAACATAATGGTTTGGACTAAGGCAAATAATATGCTTCAAAATAGAGTATGCAAATAGAACCATGTGCATGAAATGCAACTAGCTTTTTCCCTATTATAAATATTATACTAAATTCTGGATTTATCAATGAGTTGTACATATATTTGTGAGAGAATGATGAAATGCCATTGGATAAAATTTTAAGTTGCATAGCGCATAAAACTATAGACTTCATTCAAAACCAATTTTAAGTAAAAGAATTATTTTAAGTAAAAGAATTATTCTCTTCAGACTATGGCATTATCAGATTGCATAAAAGCATGCTTTTAATATTATTTTTGTTATAGAGAAATTATTTTTGTTATAGAGAAATATGTTAAGAGAACATATTTAGTAACCATTGATTAAAGATCATGAACTTAGTGAAGTTGCACAAGTTATAGGTTTTTGTAAAAAAATATTCAAATAATTTCTTTCTGATAGAAAAATAACTCCAGATATTATGGTTAATTGCCTCAAAGAAATTAACCAGCTATGTAAGTTCCTTTCAGTATTCATATGACTGACCATAGAAATCTCTATTTCTTGAATTATCTTTTGAACATTTTCCTTTTTCTTTAAGAAGTTCAATAAAACATTTTACTTATGTTCAACTTTATACATGAAACAAATGTTTTCATTATTTTGAAAATATGCAGTTGATTTTTGTTATTTGCAATAGTTGTATTCTACAAAGTCAGTATGAAAACTGAATTAGTGAACCATTGCACCTAGGGGAAAGGCAGGGTTAGCTTCTTGCAAGTCTCTGGTCACAACATTTTCATCAACTGAGAAATATTTGTAGGTATGTTTCTGTATAAAAACACCTTTTTAAATACATATTGTTGATCTGTTAACTTTGAAATTACAACTAAGAAAACTATGATTGTACAAAACTTATCTAACAAGTGTATTTTCTCCATAAGGCACATCACAACCTTCTTGTGCTGAGAAACATGATAGCAATTCAACACTATAAATAGGGCCATTGTCAGCAATGGAATCAGCAAGAGAAAGCACAAAAATGTGAAAAATCTGGCACTAAACAGAGCATCTTCTTGTTTGACTTCAGCTGGAAATGTATACATGGAGCCATTTCACTTTTTTGCTCTGAATAACCATTGTAGCATCACCAATACTGATTTTGGAGTTATGAATATATTTTAGCAAATAGGCAAAAACTCACAAAAACAGAATCCAAAAATAATGGCAATTGGATCTGTATACACACACACACATAAACTAAAAACTGTCACATTCAGTCAAATCGTCACATTTATTATGAAAGAAAAAACAAAATAATAAAAAATTCTAAAGCATTTTATAAATAATATGTATCCCCAAAACAAAAGAAGCAACAATGTTAATAGGAATTTTATATTTTAAGATAAATTATTACTTTTTAATATGGTTCAAATGTACCCACTTTTAAAAGAAAAAAATGCAGACATTTTTCTCTTCTGCTTAGTAAAATACATAATAAAACACATCTACCTACAAAATGAAAAATGGGGTTGTCTGAGTCATTTTATCAACATGATTCTCTAAGTAATCTTAGCTGTGTTGGTACGTAATGACAGATGGAAATGCTTTGGCTTTGTTGGTACTGAGTTCACACCAGGGAAACATACATGCTTCCTTTGTGTAAAAGCTATGAGTGTTTCTGTGTAGAAAAAAGGCTAAGAATACTTTACAAGAAGAAAGCAGTTAAAGCCTCACCTAATGTTGGTGTGATATACAGATAATGCATCAGAGAGTGTTTACGAAAAAAGGGACGTGCTTACCAAATAAAATTTTAACTAAGACTATGTATCCACTGGAACACTAGCTCATAATTTAATTTCAAAATTTTATATTGATTTGTAAAATATTTCTGAGCTAGAAAAGCAAAGGAAGAGTAACATGGATTCAATAGAGGCTTTCCTTTTATTGCCAGAAGTTTTTGAAGAAAACTTTTTCAACCCACAATATTCTTGACCACCCAAGACGACTACATATAACTCCTTAGTTATACCTGACCCTTTACCATTACTGCATAGCAAGTTTCCCACAACACTCTTTTTTTGAGTGAGCAACTAGAGGATTATATGCAGACTGATTTTTTTAAAATGAAAAAGTTGAGAAGCAACAATTAGTCTAGCTTGGCAGAAATATATTTTTCTTTTGCTCATTGTGGGCCATATCCTAAAAGTGTGCTAAGCCTAGTGAAATTGAAATATGCCCTGAGAGACCGTAGAAATCTCAATGAGAGGCAGTGGAGTTACCCACGTGTGATGTCTTGAGAAATGTTTCAGATTTTATAGCTTCCTATAGAAAACAATAAAGTTCTTATTAAAGTCTAAGCATTTAGATGGAAAGCAGGCAAGTGTTGTCTCTTTTGTTCCCAAGAAGTCTGTGCTGAATTCAAGGTTATTAAGGCACATCTGTGGGTCCCCAGTAATCCCTTGGGATAAAGGATCCCATGCAGGTTTCTCTTACATGCTAGCTTCTCTTTCAACCCTGGTATATAACCAATCAGTATGCAATATATAAGATAGAACTCTCTGCTTTACAGACCCTTCTTAAGTGTGTGTCACAATGAGAAGCATGAAGTAAAATAAAGCAAAGCAGCTCTTTAATACCTTGGCATTTAGCTCTTTCATTTCCTTAAACAAGGTTTAAGTGAGACTGACATAAAAACAAAGAAACAAAACATGTTAGGACCATAAGTAAAACAGTGTATTTAAGTAATATAAGCTAGTATCACTGTCTTTAAAAAACCCAAAATACGTATTTTTCAATTTCAATTTTATGCTACTAGTGTCAGATGCTGTATTACTTGGGATGTTATAGAGAGATTTGTATATCTAGTCCCACCCCTCTCTGAGTTAACAATTTAAGTTGGATCAGGAGACACAGAGAGGGAAAAAGAGAGGGAGAAAGAGAGAGGTGTGTGTGCGTGTGTGTGTTATCATATGTACCAACAGTGGAGTTGAGAAATTGAGAGATCAGAAAATTAAGTTCCATCTTTAAACTAAAAGGGAATCTGTCTAATGAGAGATGAATGAAGCCCCCAATTGCTTTTTTTTAAATGAATATTACTCATTTTATTTTTCCTCTGTTATTTTATTCTCTCTTTATTGTCTATCCCTCTCATTTCTTTCTTCTTATTTTATGTAGATACACAGCAGGGGATCAGTGTATTCTTCCCAAAGTTTACTTTCACAAAAAGTAAATAAAAATTTGAAAAGTAAACAGATCATCAGATTAGAATTTAAGGGTTGTTAAAATACTTCAAAGACTACTTATATGGAAAGTTTAAAGAATATATATTGTTTATCAGAGATGGAAAAGATGACGAGTAACTCCATTCTATGCGTACTTCATTTTAGGTCAATGGCGAACATTTTCTACACTTTAATGGCAGCATAACAAAGAAGACATCTAAGGAATTTTACTCATCAGTGTGGAGTAATGGGCAGGCGTATTGAAATGGTCTCTGGAGTAATGAGCAGGCATATTGAAATGGTCTCTTTTTATTTTTTTAATATGAACACTCAACTTGTGCCTTTTTTTCTTTCTTGTCTTTGTAAATATAGATACTTGCAGGGGCCTTCCTTTTTGCTATTTCCCTCCCATTTTCCCCTTCACACTATCTTCTTTCCTTAGTTTTTCCTTCTTTCTATTCTGGGAAATGAGGATTTGACAAATGAAATATGAAAATATAGTTTTTGAAGAAAGAACAACTGTTCTTCTTCAACCAAGAATAAATCAAGTTTTCGGTTTGGGGGTTGGCAGGGGGTTAGCTGACCATGTAATGCTGATGGGCAAGGTCAGGGGGAGACTAACCCTGGAGAGTTGCCCCTGAGAGAGAAACCACTTCTCAGTGGCCACATGATGAGTAAGTAAGGGAAACTCCTCAGGTTCCCAGAAGTCTATCTGAGCACAGCACTCATCAGCCAAAAGCCCTTTGGTGAGTAGCAGTATGGCTTCACTCTCTTCTATAGACGGTGACTAGATCTTCTCTCTCTCTCACTCTTTCTCTCTCTCTCCCCCGCCCTCTACTGCTTTTCTTTTTTAAATTTTCTTTCTCTCTGACCTAAACTGATGCCTAGGTGAAAGCTTGACTCTCTTGTACCACATTTATTCTGCTATCTCATACTTTTAGTCATAAAGTCACCTTTGTGTGGTGTTCAGCAGAAAAACAGCAAGATTGATCCAAGTAAATTAGAATGTCCAGAGTTCACTGCTGAGAAATTTAAATTATTACTTTCATATAGAGTTAAAAGAATAAACTGCTGAGGAACTTTGACATCTCTTCTTATGTAATTTTTTCAACATTAGAAAGTGAACTTGTACATGAAAGTATAAATTCGACAACTCCCAGACTTCCTTTAACTCTATGATTTCATGGACACGGATTTGATATGGACAGGAGGCAGGGAAATCCTGGGTAGAAGTGGGCAGGGTCCCTGGCGAGGGTTCCACCTCAAGACCCTAAATGAGAACTTCACACCCCTGTTTTCCTGCCCAAAGGTTGCCTTTGGACCCTCCACATACCCCACCCTGTAAACATACAAACCCCAAGTTCCACTGGCAGAGAAGCAGAGTAGCATGGCAGAGAAGGAGAGAAGAGAAGAAGCATATGAATATTGAAAGGAGAAGAGGCAACTTAACACCAGAGACTACAGTCAGAAAGGAGTTCCTCCAGGGATGGTCAGAGAAGATTTCGTCCAGGGATGGCTGAACTCCAGGGGAAGATTATCTTCCCACTCCATCCCCTTTCCAGCTCCCCAACCTGCTGAGAGCCACTTCCACAGCTCAATAAATCTCTGCATTCACCATCTTTCAGGTTCATGTGACCTGATTCTTCCTGGATGCTAGACAAGAACCCGGTTACCAGAGGGCATGGAGTGAAAGGATGTCACCCTAGCCCTCCACTCAACTGGTTAACACTTAGCTGTCCATAGACAGAAAATGCTAAAAAGCATTGTTTGTAACACTTGCCTTCTGGGGCTTCAGAGGTCATGTGCAACCCCTGGATGCTGCCACAGGCTGGTACAAGGTATGTTTCTGCTGTCGCCCGAAGGCATTCGCCCCAGCTCCTCCACCTGCTCAACTGTATGCTCACCCTTCCACAAGGGGTTTGAGCCACCGCTGTCTCAAGTCCCTCAAGGGCGTCAAGGGAACTCTCACATCTCAGATTCTAAATTAATACCACTCAACAGAAAATTTCAACAATATAGGATTCATCTACCATGAAGCATGTATCTGTAATGAATATGAAATAGTTGAGATTGCCTGAGTGGCCACTTTCTCACATGCTTCCAAAAAATTTTGTATGCTTTTAAACTTCAAAATAATTATGATGCTACTTCCTCATTTTTCTAGCAAATTCTTGGATGATATTTATGTCCTTTTACATTTGAAAGTTATAACCACAGACTTGAGATAAACGAATAAGATAGTGCATCTAGTTGTAAGCCTATATAAAAGTACATTATAAACGACAGGGAAGATATTTGAGTAGATAAGGGCAAGCCTGGAAAGAAGGACATTTAAGCTTTCATCCCAATTTGACCATCAATTATAGAGACATACGCAACTTTGAAATTGCTTTCCTTGATAGTGAAATAATAGATACACTGCAAATGTCTATATATTTGACATATTATTTAATTTATAAAATATCTTTTGATATCTTTGAAACTGATCATTAAAATATGAAGTTGTAACTCAAATGTTGTAATTTTCTTTCACTTTAATATATACTGTCTTGTTCCAGACACTGTGTTTGTTATAAAAGTCTTTATTATACAATTGTTAAATAATTACTTTTATAAATGGTCTCTCATTTATTCCTGAAATGCAGGTATTTTTCTCCTTTTTGTATTATTGACGAGGAGACTAGGGCTTAGAGTCAGACTAGTTACTGTTGTGGGTTGAATTGTGACCTCAAAGAGATACATTGAAATCTTAATCTCTGGTACCTGTGAATTGAAACTTATTTGAAAGTAGGACCTTTGAAGATGTGATCATATAAGAATG
This sequence comes from Homo sapiens, assembly GCF_000001405.40. Classification (NCBI taxonomy): domain Eukaryota; kingdom Metazoa; phylum Chordata; class Mammalia; order Primates; family Hominidae; genus Homo; species Homo sapiens. The sequence continues at coordinate 77,657,088 of NC_000008.11, forward strand.
TGGTTATTCTGGATTCTTTTGGGCTCTGATCCAATACCACCAAGGTCCTTATAAGAAGTGAAGAAGCACAGATACACACACATGAGCGCGCACACACACACACACACGAGTCTACTATGTGAAGATGGAGCCAAAGATTGGAGTGATGAGCCTACAAGTAAAGGGACATTAAGGATTTCCAACAACTACCAGAAACTAGGAAGGAGACATGAAACTGATTCTCCCTCAGGGCCTTCAGAAGGAGCTGACACAGCTAACACTTTGATTTCAGACTTTAGTCTCCAGAACTGTGATAAAATAAATTTCGGTTGTTTTAAGCTACTCAGTTTGTGGTACTTTGTTATGGCAGCCCCAGATAACTAATACAATTACCAAAGCCACTGCAAAACTAAAGTTTGAGTTTCCCATAGCCTTGGCATCTACCAGACTAGTGATAGAATCAAAACTAGTAACACAGTTTTGAGGAAATATATATTTTTGTATACTAGCTTCATACATATTTCCACTATTGGGCAGAAAAGACACATTCAGTCATATTTATCAAATATTATTTGAATTAAGCCATTTATTATACTACATAATAAGTTGAAAGAAATACTTCTGTGTCATTGTTATTCTATTTTTAGGTGCTAATTGAAGGATCCAGAGTCTTAAAATCATGTTACTTTGATTTTAAAAGACCATTTGATTTTAAAAAGACCATTCTTTTTCCCTTAGAAGATATAACTCGTTGAGATTTTAAATCTTAACACATTGATTTTGCATTTATTGCTTTCTTCTCAGACTTGTAACATTTTGAAGAATTATGTGATGGAAAGGTTATAGGAAATTAATTACAAAGCCTATAATTTTTTAGATAAAAAATGGAAACTCTCCAACATGGCAAATTGGAGAAAGGGATGATCATGATTCTCATTCTCTTTCAAACACACAACTTTGTTTTGATTGACTTCCATAACTAGAACATGGAAACCTCTTAAATGGTCTGGATATAATTTGTAGGTATTTATGCTTATAATTTTAATGTAAGATCTGAAATTAAGAGAATACTAGTTACAAAGTACAGAAGAATGAGATGTTTTCATGAAAATGTACCTGTGTTGTTTTGTGGGGGTTTGTTTTTGTGTTAGGATCTGGTTTTCTCCTGGCACATCATAGTTTTATTAACTTAGAAGAAAAATTCCTCTCCTTTGCTTTGTAGCTTCTGGGAAATAAGCATGAATCTGTCATTTGAGTCATCATTATTTCTAGAGTTCCAATTCTTTAAACAACTTTTATTCCTAACACAAATGCAAATATTATGAAAAGAGTGACGACCTCTAATTAACCAGTTTGAGGCTTCAGTAGTTAAGACAGAATCAAGATGTTAATAGGGTTTACGTTCCTCACCAAAGTTTGTCTTGAAATATAAAACTGTTTTTAAGAGTCAAGAACAACCTCAAATATGTTGAACATATATAAGCATTAGTCTTCCTTTCATGTTACTTTAACAAAGACACAGAATACAAACAAGGTCATTTCCTTGCCTTCGCTAGACATGAACATGAACTAGGAAAGAACTAAGCCACAAAGCTGACAGCTATGGAAAATCTGTCAATCAGTTTAAAGGTCAATAAAAAAATTAATTACATTTTTAGCATGAGAAAAAAAAGTATACAATGTTCCTAACACGCAAGAAATTTTTAACATTAGTAACTGTATCTGAATTTTCAGAATCTATTATGAATTCTAAAGAAAAATTACAAGGTTGGTACAATATTCTATTCCTAGAAATTGTTTAAGAAATAATCAAGTGATTTAACAACAAATTTGTTATTTCATCTACAAAGTACTCTTTGTATATTGGCATTGCTGTGAATTTCAAGACTCACAGTGAGTGTCATCAAGATGTTACCATTTTTCCTTACTTACTTTTAAATACCATATTCCTAAGGGGCAGGATCAGAAGAACATCTTGCATTTCTAATCTTAATATTTTATATAAAAGAAACCACTTTAATTCCCCCCAGAGCACTTAACAGAATAATAAAGGGTATCCTGTATCGTCTTTTACTGTTGCAGTTATATGCAATTTATATACAGATGTGTAGGACAAACCTTTCTTTAAAAAAAATAAGAAAACATGCCAAAATTCTAAAATATCTAGACAAAACACAATTTTATTGTATAGAGACACATTTCTTTGTCTAAAAACAGATGATAGGAACCACCGTTGACAGGGACTGATCATAAAAAGAAACCCCAGGAGCATGGAGACACTATAAAAAGATCTAGAAGGAAGTCATTATGCTGTTGAGGGAATAAGAAACTTAAGTCAGAGAGTTGTGAAATGTTCTCATTATAGGTCATCTTGGTAATTATCTGACATCTACAGACAGAGTCACTTCTTAATCAAAAGAATGAATCATTACTGATATTGATTCAGACCAAGATGTTTGAAATAATGAGTTCAGTAACTTAAGTATAAATTTAAAGGTAATTCCAACAACTTCTTTGCTAAAGTTTTATACTAAGTAATAAAGAAATATATTGTTATTTTTAATGGTTACATATAAAAATAACCATAACTGAAAATAAAATTTTAGTAGTATAATCTGTATATTATGACTTAAATATAATTAAGGTTGCTAATATTAATAATGCCACTGACATGGATTATTTATTATCAAGCACGCCAAATAATTACTTTCTTTAATAATAATACAATAACTTAATATAGAATTTCATTGGATAGAGGAATGCATTGAAGTTTTAAAATAACTATTTTCAGAACAAAGAGGCTAGATTATAATAAATGTCTAGCCAGTTTAGCAAAGAGAAATATAACTAAATGTAAATTATATTAAACTTAATTTAACTACAGTTGAGCCCTGAAAAGTTTTGAGGTTATCATAGATGTAATCTGTAGACAGCACACTTGTTGTCAAACCGGAATTAAAGACAAGAAGGAGAGTTGTACATGCAACACATGGTAAAGAGAACGAATAATTAGCTATTAAACTAAAAAAAAAATAGTAATCAGTGGAGAGCTGCTGTAAGATGTGGATCAAACTATGGCAAGTGGCTTCCTTTCCATGATCAAATTGCTGTTGGTGGTGACAAAAGGGTAACAGGGAGGAACTTCTAGAAAACCAGGGCTATTGCCCACAGTCTCTTAGGGTTATACAGTGAATGAAAACAAAATGACTTTAGTGAGTGCTTAATAGTACAAGCAGTTAAAGGAAAAGAAAAAAAGAAACAAAGAAAGAAAAAAATAGTGTCACTCTACTGAACCAAGGACCTAGCTGAGATTCCATTATGCTCAGGATTCAAATTCAACCCAAGACTATTTAATAGTTATATTTTCATTAAGATGAAATTTCTACACCTTCCATTTTCCTTCTATTATCAGAGTACTAAATAGCTTTGGTTCTTAGAGTCCAAATGTCTGTATTAGAATCCAGGCACCATCAGTTATTAGCTATGTGATTGGGGGAAACTATCTGTAACTCAATTTCATTCTCTATAAAATGGAAGTAATGATCATACCTATTGTTTAATGCTTTTTAGATAAACAAGTGAACTAAATACTCAAAAATGTGAATCACCATCAATAGAAAAAATTCACCATTTGTTCATCTGGGAAGCACTGGATATACTATATTATGTGAATCTCCTCAAATTATAATTCACAGAGTAATTCCCATTTGATTTTCGGGTAATGCTTATAAGAAGACAATATTGAATAATGTATAAAAATAAATTATTTGTGCAATAGCTAACCTTGAGCTATTTCAGCTAGGCACTTAATATGGTATAAAATCAGGCTATGGGGAAACAAGATGGGCCAGAAACACTTTTAGAAATAAATAGAATGTGATGGTTGTTTTTACACAAACTGATGCCAACACAGTACCCAGAAGGGCTTCTTGAAATTTTTTGTGACAAACGTGTTTTTAACAGGGCTTACGTTAGACACTTTTTTAAAAAAGAAAGCTGTTATGACCCGTCAGGTAAATAATGCATAATTAGTGCCACAAATTCTTGTAAATAATTTCCTGAAGATTCTAATTTATTGTACTGTAAAACATATAATGTTACATATCCGTATATTCTCTTTCATATTGCTTTTTCCATCTTAGGATTTTTATGAGTCTGGATTATTGCAAACCCATATTAAACATCAGGATAAAATTGGAAAACCCAGCCTAATTAACTTTAAAGAGATAATTTTCTGAATATTTCTCCAATGCAGATGTTTATGTTCTTTTAAGTAAAACACTGCAGATACAGAGACTTATTTTTATTAAGATATATTATACTGGTAGAAATAAACTGTAAGTTTAAAATATTTAAGGAGATGAAACTGAAGCCACCTTTGCAAAGCTTATAACAGTGAGAAAATTATGACAGAGAAAGAGATCTGAATTAATTGACTCTATCTTGCTTCTACCTCCAAGCTGCCCTTCTTCATTTCTGGTCGTAGGCTGAACTAAATTTGGGAAGAATTTAATTTGCAGTTTAACTTTGAAACAAAGATGATAACAGCGCCTCCTCAAAGGAAATACCTTCCTTGTTTGGGTACCACCTTTGTAAAACCAACAAGTTAGCCACGAGATTAGAAATTATGGCTCAAGAGTCATGCAGGCAAGAGGCCACAAGATTCCTAACCTCCCCAATTTCTCCTGTGGATAGCATCACTATTGTTAAAACCTAAGATTGGTGTTTGTGGTATTTTTTCAGAACCTGTATTCTGATGGATCAGCTGGTGCCACCCAGATCAGTAAACTGGCTCATCTGTTCCTGTGGCCGCCTCCCAGGAACTGACTCAGGGCAAGAGGACAGCTTCAAATCCCTGTGATTCCATCCCTAACTCAACCAATCAGCATCCCCTAGTCCCTTACCTGCCAAGCTATCTTTAAAAAAACCATAGCACCTGAATTTTTAAGGAAACTAATTTGAGGCAGATCTTAATATAAATCTGGTATCCTGTGTAGCTGGCTTTGCATCTATTAAACTCTTTCTGTTGCAATGTCTCTGTCTTGATAAATCACCTCTGTCTGGGCAGTGGACAAGATGAACCCATTAGGCATTTACAAAAAGACTTTGTAAAGGGTTAGTATATATCATTTGCGGGAAAGTCTTATGCTCTTTCCCTGAATTTATGAGAAAAAATGGTGGATTTTTGAGGAAATGCAACGTGATTTAACAAGATATCCATAAAAATCTGAAAAACTAAGACTTTCCAGCTAGCTTTTAAATGACATATTTCACAAGTGGGATAGTAATAATTGAGTCCAGAATAAATGTTCTAACTTTCAAATTACACCATTGTACCCCAAGGGCAGAAAAGGAGAAGGCTTAGGACTATAAACACATGAGCTTTTCTTCTCCCTCCCATCTAAATATTTGCTAATTACAGAGATCCATGTGCAAAATTGTATCTTAAATGATTGAAGCCTCCTCTTGCTTCTGAGCTTCTGCCTGCTTATACCACTTGCAGTTAGTCACAATGGATCCTTAACTCAGATTTTATGTAGATGAACAATATATCTTCACCATATTTAAGCTTTTATTTTCATTTGAAATATGTGAAACTGTATTTTACAGTCTTTCTAATCTTAGCAAGGAGAAGTATACTAGGATGCTATTGAAAAGTAGAGTCTTTTGCTGTCAGCATATCTGGAATCTAATCCCAGCTCTACAACTTTTCACACTGTGGAAAGTGGATTGGGTGAGTTAATCTCTATGCATCAGTTTCATAATCCTAAAATGAGGATGTGAATTGGTAATTTATAGTGTTCTTAGAGCTTCAAATGAGCTTCTAGACTTCGTTTGCATTCCCAAATGTAAACAGGTTAAAAGTTGTTACTCCTATTCCTACAACAACAGAAATTTAACAAATTGAAAATCAGCTACTCTTCTTAGGCCCATCAGAGAATCGAAGTCATGGGGAAAATTGATGCCATGTGAATTGGAGAAACAGACAGGCATATATGGAGAATTACAGTTTACCAGGGACACAATCCCACTTCCAGAGCCATCATCTGTAAAGACACTTCTAATTGTAATGATGAGCTGCTAGAAGATCAGTGTGGAGGAGCTTGAGAGTTAAAAAGTGTGAGAGGGCCTAGTTTTAGGGAGTCCTTCACACTTAGTTCTGAGTTTTCTTCCAATGGCCCAAGTAGATCCTTTATGCTAAAGATCAGAGACAAATTTCTTATAATTCTGGTGTGGGGGGTTGTGTGTGTGGTGTGTGTGCATGCGGTGGGGGAGTGGGTGTAAGTAATCATTTCTGAATATACTCAGAGCTATCTGTTCTCTTTGACAAGGCCTGTCCTCAAGAGAAACTATTTTACCAGTGCCTAAATGACTAGGATGCTACCCAAGCCCAACTGACATGAAGAAAGAGATATACGTAACTCAGGCTCACTTAAAGACTGAGACCTAATTACAGAACTATAGAAGATTTTACCTCCCCCTATACCTGATCAACCCAACAGGGCTCCTGTATAATAGCAGGAAATTACAGGTAAAAGAACTGAAATATTGGACCCTCTTTAAGGAGGTTCAAGGAAAATCCAAAGACAACAGAGAAAACAGAAACAAACACAGCAGAGGAAATATTAGCTTCTAATACTACAGCTACAGCACACATTGAACGCAGCCTAACTCTTAGCCAAATAAACAGAAAACCTCACACTAAAGAAATATTTACCTTTCTTTTACACAATACATCATGTTTACCTTTCCACAAAAAATTACAAGTAATGATAAAAGACAAAAAAATCCCACAGTCTAAAGCGATAAAGTAAGCATCAGGACCAGACTCGTATGGCAGAAATGTTGGTATTATTAAACAGAGAATTTAGAATAACTATGATTAATATGCTAAGGGCTCTAATGGAAAAAGTAAATAACATACAAGAGAAGAAGTGGATAAAAAGAGACATGGAAATGCTGAAAAGTCTAACAAAGGCTCAAAAGGAATGGCTATAAATCAAAAACACTGTGATAGAAATAAAGAATGCTTTTGATGGGCTCACCAGTAGACTGAACACAGCTGGGGAAAAAATCAGTGAGCTTGAATAAATATCAATAGAAGTTTTCAAAACTGAAATGCAAAAATAATAAAGAATTAAAAAGATAAAACTGATTATCAAAGAATTGTGGGACAATTAAAAAAGGTATAACATATGAGTAAAGAGAACCAGAAGAAGGAACAGAAGTAAACAGAGGAAAAACAATTTATACCTAAACATATTATATTCAAACTGAAGAAAATTAGAGGCAAAGGGAAATTCTTTAAAGAAGCCAGAATAAAAACACCTTATCTATAGAGGAATAAGAATAAGTATTACATTAGGCTTCTTTTCAGAAATCATTCAAGCAGGAAGAGAGTGGAATAAAATATTGAATGTATTCAAAGAAAAACAAACATAGTATTCCATATCTAGTGAAATTATCATTCGAAAAAGAGAAACAAGAAACAACTGGACAAGAAACTTTCTCCAAAAAACAAATAAACGTTTACAAATATAAAGCGTATGTCAAATATATGGCATAATTCTGAATTATTGTTCCATAAATGGTAGCTGTTTCAATAACCAATGAGAAAAAGTAATTATGCTCCGAGTATTCATGGGCAAATAATGCACTGTGCATACTTTCATAATTTTTACTTAAACCTTATTAAACTTCACGGTTAAGTAAACTGAAATTTAAAAATTTTAATTAATCTCAAGTGAAAATGAACATTTCAATAAAAAACAAAAAAACTCAAAGGAAATACCAATTTCATAGGGAATAGAGATAACTCATGAACTTGAGAGTAAGAAGCGTTTAGTTGATATAAACCAAATAGCTAGTTGATAAACTATATTTACAGGTTCTAAAACTTAATGATTAATGCTATATTTAAATAATTTTGGAGTAGACCTATACATAGGAAAAGGAATATTTTTGCAAAATTCCCATCAATTGACAGAAAAATAATATAATTTCAATTATGTTAAATCTGGCTGCACATTCAATGCCTTGCCATCACTTTCTGGTTTTTTCAACCCTGGATCTTCAATTGAACCACAAAATTTTAAAAAAATGATTTGAGTAATATATCTCAATTATCCCAAGAATGATGCAGTTCTAGAAGTGTGGGAAAGAAATTAATTTATTACATACAATGCATGCCTTGGGGCGCTCAAGTTTAATTTTCTCAAGGTAACTTAGTTGAAAGGCCATGCTCAGACCATTGAATCACAGTCTCTGGAAATATGATCCAGGCACCATGTGTTTGTTAATGTGTTTTTTGTTTGTTTGTTTTGGATTCATGCAGGTTTTATAAGCTTTTCATATGGAAAATCACAGATTCATAGTATTTTTTTAAATATGACAGCTAACAGAAGAGATTAACAGATATAAAACAGAGATAAACAATTTGCCAAACTAGGAAATTGGAAATCTGATTCCACAGATGTCTATGAGGATAAGTCCTTAGTTATGAGGAGAAAATGATAGACAAAATAATTTAATTCACAATTTTATTTAGAATCAGTATTAAATATAACAATCCTTTTGTCATGTTGATATTGTTGCACAATGAACTCCAAAATGTTCCTTTTCAGGAAACTAACTGCTACAAAAAATTATGTCCAAAATGTTTGCAGCACAGACATTTATTCAGTTACTTAATACGCATTTTTAAAGAGGCCTTATGCAGCAAGTGTTGCAATTGTCTGAGTAGCATATGATCTTGTGGGACAAAATATAAGCAAAGAAAGACATAAAGAGAGAGACCTGATAATGTCCTGGGATATTCACATGGGCATTCTAATGCACAACTTGGCATAGATCTCAGGGCAGCAAGAAAGTTAAGGGTTCACCACTTCAATCAAAATGGGAAGGACTATCTAGCTGTCTGCTCTCTGTGATAATCTAACGAAAGCCACTGATTTCTCACTAGAGAAAAGCAACTACATACTACATTTTGTGTGCTGTTTAGGGTTTCACTGAGTCATTCAAATCCATTCATGGTTTTGCCCAAAAGAATCCTGCTATTTATTTTTTCCAGATAATAAATTACTCAGAATATTTGCGTTGTTTCTGAAGTATCACTGTTATTTTAAGGTTGTTGGACATTTTGGATCACGTTCACTAGTTATCAGTATGAAAATTTAAGAACATAAACACACAGATCCCATTTTATGTAATCGAACATTTCTTAAGTATTCATGTTTAGTTAGTGAAGGGAATGTTAAAGAATCCATTCTTCTTTAATAGTAATCGTATAACTTATTCTACAGGTTTTGAGAAAAGCATTTATTCTGAAGTACCTATCTTTCTCAGAAGATCGTTTCAATTCATTTGTCAAACATTTACTGAGTGTCTTACATATATATTCCTGTGCTATGTGCTTATAATATTAACATTTATAAAACATTAAACTTGCTTACATGAAACAACAGTTTATTTGCATGTGTATAGTGAGTATCACTTAAAATCAGAATTCGTTAAAAAGCTTCCACTTCCACCTAGGAGATTAGGAAGGTACTCAAAAATATGGTAAATTTTGAAAGTGGGTAGTAATTTTTTCTTCATCATAGATTATGTAAAACTAGGAAAAGTATTAGAAATAGGAGCAACTTCTTACATATAATGTATAGATATGCTGCAGTTTGGCAACTTTCGTATTTTATCATTTGGGTATCACTTACGAGTCAGATAAAGAACTAAATTTATTTAACACTTACTAATATGCCAGTTTATTTCCAAAACAATTTCCAAATAAATAAATAGCATCATTTTATTTATGAGGTAAAGGTTATTGACTCCAATTCCAGTTCTCTTTCCATTAAATCACGTTGATTCACAGAGGATTGTGGAAGGGCATGCTCAACCAGGAGCAATAAATAAATCTGTGTTTCCATGAAGCAGTGTTCAGACTGCTTTTAGAAGTAGGGTGGAAGGAGTGAGAAAATACAATCTGACTTTCTGCGTGTAAGTTGTGACTTACTCTTTGTATTTTTTCTATGCTCTGTAACAAATTACCACATGATGGCTTAAAAACATTAATCAATTAGCTCAAGTTGTATAAAGTCAGCAGTCCAGGCACAACATGACTGTGAACTCTGCTCAGCTTCCTTTAAGCCTGAAATCAAGGTGCCAGCAGGACTCGGTTTTTGTCTGCAGTCTCCTAGGAATAATCCACTTCCGAGTTAAATCAACTTATTGGCAAAATTCAGTTCCTTGTGGTTGTAAAACTGAGATCCCCATTTACTCGCTAGCTATCTACTGTGGATCACTCTCAGTTCACAGAGGATACTCTAGGATGCTTTCTACATGACACCTTCCATGTTCAAAGCCAACAGAGGAGAATTTTTTCTCTCCTGTCAAATGCTTCATGCATCTACTCCCTCTGACTTTGTCTTTGGCTCCAGAAGAAGCCTTGGAAGGGCACACCTCATTAAGTCACATTGACTAAAGGTAATCTCTCTTTATCAAAATCTACTGTGTCAAATAACAATCTCAGAAAGTGAAATCTATCACAGGCACAGATTCAGGGATTATGCAGGGTATGTACACCATGATATAGGGATCTTGGAAATCATATTAAAATTCTGCCTGTTACACTCTATGACTTTGTACAAGTCATTTAACCTCTCAAAGTTAATTTCCCTGTAAATATAATGGGAATGTCTATTTAATCCGATGGTATGAGGATTACCAAGGGGTAATATATAAAGGCATTTAACTCATTATCTGGATAGTAATAAGTATCTAACAACTATTTAACAATTATTATATAAGTTTGAGTTTTTATAGGGCAAATTAAACAATGAACAATGTAATATTTTAACAGTGAGAATCAGTGTAAGTATCTTAGTTACACATATTGTTTTCTGAGTCAAAGAGAAAAAAGTTGATGCAAGTGGCAGTTTCAGTTAAAAAATCTGTAAGATTTAATTTTTCTTAGGATTTGCTAGGAATGAAGCTTCTTTATTGGAACTGGAAATAAATAATTTTAAAAAAGACTTTCCACACCCACTTTAATCACTGCATTAATGCTCATGGGATTTTAGTTTAAATCTAATTCCATTCATTTTAATTCCTTATAAAACCAAAAGGTGTTCTATCTATGGCATAATTGAACATATTCTTAATGAGAAAGCAGTAATCATTAAATTCACCATTTACACACTGGGAATGAATTGGATATTATTCTTTATCTTGTCTGCTAAACCAGGCTACTATTGCTGGCTTGGCTAGAATTGAGAAATTATGTGGTTGATTTCAAACAAGTCAGTGAAAAGTATGATTTATTAAAATGTCCATATGCTTGTTAAAAGCTTGGGAGGGAAGTTCACAGTAGAGAGTCTACTCTTTAAAAAGAGATAATTATTTTTATATGAATATGATGTATGGGTCCAGCTTTGGAATATTTGGACACAATAACAGATGCTTCAGCATAAAAATATGTTCCTCACACAAAAACATTTGCAATTTAATTACGTAGGATAGTGAAAAAATGATATTATATATGTTGTAAATATTGGGAGGATAATTTCTTTCTAATATCAGATATTAATAGCTTTAAAAAATTAAACAGTTCTGAAAGGAGAATTTAAATCAGAAAGCAATTTTGTAAAGTAATTTGGAATTCTGCAACTGCTTTTTGACATTTTAGGTCATCAGTTTGTTACTTATGATATGGGAACAACATGTGAACTTATCTGCTTTACTTTTTTAATGTAGTTTTTTGGAGGGCTTATTAAGAAAACATCTACAGGGTTACTAAAATTGATTTGTCTGCTCAGAATAAAATTATTTATAAATAAGAATTTGATTGCATATACATTTCTTTGTCAAATCAAATACCTTCCTGGAGAATTGGTTGCTATTTTACAAGATAGGTTTCAAAGGTTGAGTGCCCAGTAAAGATTTGAGGCCTAAGAAGGCCCATCTTTTCCCAAAGGTCCTGCTGGACTATCAGTGTAGCACCCATACTGGTCCCATAGCTCCTTAGACTTTAATTTTCTGCATTTTCAAATTAGTAATATATTAATGCTTGTGCATCCTTACTAGATATATGAGGATAAAAATGAGATAACAACTATAAAAAGGCTTTAAAAACTGTAGTTTGAAGAATTTAAAGACTGTGATATATTTTAAAACTAAACACTTAATACAAAAATATTGTCACTGCACACTTGGTGTTTCTTAAGAATACTAGATTGGAACCAGACTCCATAGATAATGGGAACAACAGATGATTAAACTGCACTCTATCTTCAAATAGCTTTAACGTAACTGTAATGTAAATACCATAAATATTGGGTTTCCATCTTTTTTGTTTGTGTTTACCTTCAGCTTCCTTCCTTCCAGAATCAAATTATAATACATATAGGTGTTTTTTTTTAATATTTCCAAAAACTATAATTGATGGAAAATAACCAACTTAATTACATAAAATGTGAATGAAAATGTATTGCTTTGGAAAGCTATGGTCAAGCATTTCTGAGTCCAAAGAAAAGAAGCCCAATGCCAAAAAATTAACACTTTCTATTCTAATCTTCCTCTAATTCTTAGAAAACTTTGTGTGCCATGTGTCCCATTTGAAAGTTCAAACTATATAATTACTTAACTTTTTACTAAAACAACCATATCTGCTTTCATAATGTAAACAGAAACAGTAGTTGTTACATAGAAGTAGTACTTACTTGTATCTTGTAAAAAACACAATTGTTTTCTCATTGGTGAAGATAAAACTTTTAAATAAATTAAAATGAAACTATACTACAAAGCTACTGTAACCAAAACAGCATGGTACTGGTACAAAAACAGACACATAGACCAATGGAACAGAATGAAGATCTCAGAAATAAGATAGCACATCTACACCATCTGATCTTCAATAAACCTAACAAAAGCAAGAAATGGGGAAAGGATTCCCTATTTAATAAATGATGCTAAAAGAACTGGCTAGCCATATGCAGAAAATTGAAACTGGATCCCTTCCTTACACCTTAGAGAAATTAACTCAAGATGGATTCAAGACTTAAATGTAAAACCCTAAGCTATCAAAACCCTAGAAGAAAATCTAGGCAATACCATTTAGGACATAGGAATGGGAAAAGATTTAATGACAACAATGGCAAAAGCAATTGCAACAAAAGCCAAAATTGACACCTGATATGTAATTAAACTAAAGAACTTCTGCACAGCAAAAGAAACTATCATGAGAGTGAACAGATAACCTACAGAATGGGAGAAAATTATTGCACTCTATCCATCTAACAAAGGTCTTATATCCTGAATCTACAGAGAACTTAAAAAAAAATTACACGAAAAAAAAACAATTCCATTAAAAAGTGGACAAAGGATATGAACAGACACTTCTCAGAAGAAGACATTTACGTGGCCAACAAACATATGAAAAAAGCCCAACATCACTGATTATTAGCGAAATGCAAATCAAAACCACAATGAGATACCATCTCATGACAGTCAGAATGGTGATTATTAAAGTCAAGAAACAACAGGTGCTGGCATGGCTGTGGAGAAATAGGAATGCTTTTACACTGTTTGTGAGAATGTAAATTAGTTCAACCATTGCAGAAGATAATGTGGTGATTCCTCAAAGACCTAGAACCAGAAACACCATTTGACCCTGCAATCCCATTATTGAGTATATGTCCAAAGGAATGGAAATCATTCGTGGTAAAGATATATGCATGCATATGCTCACTGAAGCACTATTCACAATAGCAAAGTCATAGAATCAACCCAAATGCCCATTAATGATAGACTGGACAAGGAAAATATGGCACATACACACCATGGAATACTATGCAGCCATAAAAGGAACAAAATCATGTGCTTTGCAGGGACATGGATGGAGCTTGAAGCCATTATCCTAAGCAAACTAACACAGGAACAGAAAACCAAACACCACATGATACGGTTTGAGTGTGTCCCCACCCAAATCTCATCTTGAATTCCCATGTGTTGTGGGAGGGACCTGGTGGGCGGTGATTTAATTGTGAGGGCGGGTCTTTCCTGTACTTTTCTCATAATAGTGGATGAGTCTTATGGTATCTGATGGTTTAAAAAAGAGAAGTTCCCCTACACAAGCTCTCTTCTCTTGTCTGCTGCCAAGTGAGACATGCCTTTCACCTTCCACCATGATTTTGAGGTGTCCCCAGCCACGTGGAACTGTAAGTCCATGAAAACCCTTTTTCTTCCCAGTCTCAGATATGTCTTTATCAGCAGCATGAAAACGGGCTAATACACCACATATTCTCACTTACAAGCGGGAGCTGAACAATGGGAACACATGGAGACAGGGAGAGGAACAACACACACTGGGGCCTATTGAGGCATGCAGGGGAGGGAGAGCATCAGGATAAATAGCTAATGCATGTGGTGCTTAATACCTAGGTGATGGGTTGATAGGTGCAGCAAACCGTCATGGCACATGTTTACCTATGTAACAAATGTGCACGTCCTACACATTTATTCTGGAACTTAAAATTAAATTAATTTTAAAATAAAAAAGAAGCAATACTTAAGATTAAAGCAGGATGATCAAGTGAGCTTAAAATGAGAAATTGGGGGTAACTTAGTCATAATTTAATACAGAAATGACTTAAGGTCACTTTTAAGTATGGCAAGCAATATCCTTGACTTCAAGACCATACCATGTGAGTATCTTGATTTAAACAAGAATCTTTTAATTTGGTGAACAAAATAGGTTTCTACAGTGTTAGTTCTTAATTAAATGGCCTGCAGAACAGATATGTACTGTCACTAGGCTGTCAGGCTTTTGGTTAAAGAGGAGATGGTATTTCATTAAATGCCTAAGATTAATCTCACCATCATGTTGCATCTAACGTTGAAGCTCTTATGCTAATTATTCCATTTAAGTTGACATGCCTATCAGACTACTTTGAAAATATGTGCAAGGAAAAGGAGATTAGTTTTTCCTGATTGGCTTTTTTGCTATTCAAAAATTGTCTTTCTTCTTCCTTATTTTGTTTAGGATATATTACTTGAATTTGTACTCCATGATATCCCTAAGGAAAACTGTCTATAAAATAAAGATTTCCTTTAGTTCTCTTCTCCTTTTGTATGTGTCTTGCTTCTCCTTGGAAGACACAATAAACACCATGTGCACTGCAGTCAGATGTACATGATTTACAGTATCTGCTTCTACCCTGTGCCTTTGCTTTTGGGCTTTTGCTTTAACCCTCTGAACCCTGATTTTATCATCTACTAAGGTTCATGACTTATAAAATTATTGAAAGAATGAAGTGTGACACTATATACATTTGGGACAGTAAATGGTGATTAAGTGGCAGCTAACATAAGAAATCATCTTACGCTGCTCTTGTATTCCCATGCCCTTATTTGATTCCCTATCACTCAGATAAGTTTCTGTTTATAAACTTTTGTTAGTTCTCCTAAGTTCAAGAACTTACTATGTAAGAAAAAAACTCCCTAATTCTGCTTCAGAATAATAAACGGAAAAGGACTAAGAATGCTTTCCATATAATCCAACTGAAATGTAACAGCTGTTTTCTGGAGATAATTTTTCCATTTTGTGAGATAATAAAAATATATCAAAAACATATCGTTCATAATTTGCTTAGTGTGTGCCAAAGACCATGCCTAAGCCTTTAAGTACATTGTCTCATTCAACCCTAAAAATAATTCTTAGAGGTAAGTATCATTTTCCTACAGAGGCTAAGTAGATTTTCCCAAGCCACCTCACTGGTTAGTAGTGTATTCAGTATTTAAACTCAAGTTTTTAACACTCTGTACCCCTAGGATAAAAGGTCAAAATGATGAAAATGAGAATCCTTGTAGGAATGAACTATTTTATGTGTCTACTTTGAGACAGACACAGCCTTTATAGACTTAAACTGTGGTCTGATTTCCAAAGTAGGCAAGATTATTTATACTTGGATTATCTATAACATTTTTCTTGTATTTAGCACTTATATATTTATTTTAATAGCAGGTCAAATTCATGACTTTAAAGTTAACACTACTGAAGGGTAGGCTAAGTAAAACAAAACCAAAAAGTATATAGAGTTGACATCAGCAACATGGTGGCATAGGAAGCCTTGACCCTCCCTCCACCTATGGACACACCTAATAAACATCTATTCATGGATCAGTTTTCCTCTGAAAGAAGTTTAAGAGACTAGTTGCAAGACTCCTACCCATCAGACAACGGAGAAAACACTCACAATGCACAGCCTGGAATAGCTGAGGAGCATTCAGGCATCAACCTTACCCCAGGCACTGTGACATACAGTCAGGAAAGGGACTTCTAATACCCAATTTCTGCCTGTAAAGAGAAGAGTTTTGCCCTCACATACAGCATCCTAACCCTAAGCTTCCTTACAGTTTGGCTTTTAATTCATCAACTCTGGTAGTGAAAGGAATTAGACACACACAAGTCTCTCTGGACCACAACAAAAAAACAGCAGTTTGATATGGACTCTCCAGGGCTTCCCAGGGCCTCATCCCCTAGGAGCAGTAAAGAGAAGGGACTTAAAAGGCAGCTTCTGGTTCCTTCCCAGGAGGGTCTTATGACACACGCTTCCAGTGGTTGCTTAATGGTCTGGCTTCAAACTAACTTGCATCAGAGAGTTAAAGGTATAGACAAATATGAGCCCAGCCAGCAGCCTGAGAAGTAGATTGTACCTCTGAGCCTGATTTCACAGCTTGCCCCAGTGAAAACTTCAGGTCTGTTAATTCTTCTTGAAAGGAGTTTGTCCACACAGCAAGCACACTAACTTTTACCACTTCCACTTGAGTGACTGCATTTAAACATTCTAGCTCTGGGAGCAAAGGGAATAAAATAGATGCAAGTCTATCTAGATGACAGTAAAAGTGGCAGTTTTATATGGGTGTATAAGCACTAGCAGGGACTTATCCCCCAAGATCAGTGCTGAGAAAGGGCTTAAAAATGCAGCTCCCTGTTTGTTCCTGGAAGTGTTTTATGCCATGCATTAAGTGGCCCAACTTTTATAGCTGCCTCACAGAGGACTTCATCCTAAACCTCTTAGCTCTAGCAGCATAAAACACTAGGCAAATACAAGTCTTTTTACCTTTAAATAGAACACCGACATGGACTTAAACAGGTGTTCAAAATCTTTGAGGAGCTACACTCTCTTGGAGCAGTGCAGAAAGGGATGAGCGATGTGTACCTCCTGTTTTAACACCAGAATGGTACAACACAAACTCCTAGTGGCCACTTGATGGCCTGGTGTATTAGTTCATTCTCATATTGTTATAAAGAACTGCCTGAGACTGGGTAACTTATAAAGACAAGAGGTTTAATTGACTCACAGTTCCACACGGCTGGAGAGGCATCAGGAAACTTACAATCATGGTAGAAGGGGAAGCAGGCATGTCCTACATGGTGGCAGGTGAGAGAGAGCATGTGCGTAAGAGAAAATGTCAAACACTTCTAAAACCATGAGATCTCATGAGAACTTACTATCACAAGAACAGAATGGGGGAAATGTCCCCCATGATCCAATTACCTCCTACCAGGTATCTCCCTAAACACCTCAGGATTACAATTCGAGATGAGATTTGGGTGAGAACACAAAGCCTAACCATATCACCTGGTTTCTGATGAATATGCATCAGGGAGCTAATGAGACAAACAATAGCCCTTCAGCAGCCATAGCCAGAGCTTGGCACTTTATGAACCTTTTTTTCTGGCTCACCTCACTGATAAATTTAGGCTTATCCATTATCCTGGAAGGAATTTGCCCATGCACCAAGTGTCACAACTATAGCTCCCAACCGAGGGACTACCTCCTTAACAAATTAGTTCTGGAAGTCTATGGGGCTTTGCATTCCTGAGTGCCTTAGACCACAGAAAGCCAACAGGTGAATGTGTAATGGGCCTGCTGCTAGCAGATATTTCCCCAGGATTAAAGGGTGTAGCCTAAATGTGAGTACAGGCATTTGCAACAGGTCGTCTATCCAGCTTAACAGAGAGACAGTAGGAAATAAACGCCCACATTTAACTTCATTGAGAGGATGGAAAAAACTAAAATGCACATCTGACAGTGCAATCTTTCCACCTATATCTAGAAAGCCTGGCTTTCTGGTCTCAGTATACTGATGGGATGTGTCACATCCTAAGTTCCAAGGGACAACCAAAACAGAGACAGCAGTCTGAACAAACATAAACACTTGAGAGACACCATAAA
The DNA here is from genome assembly GCF_000001405.40 of Homo sapiens. Lineage (NCBI taxonomy): Eukaryota > Metazoa > Chordata > Mammalia > Primates > Hominidae > Homo > Homo sapiens. The sequence goes on from NC_000008.11 coordinate 77,675,303, forward strand.
ATCTTTGGCCAGAAGGATTCCTGATATTCTTCTCATACATGAGGCCAAGCTGAAAAGACTGGGAAAGTTAGTTGTCTTATCTAATGTGCAGAAATCAACACAGAGGGTCAAGCAAAAGAAAGAAACAGGGTAATATATTTCAAACAAAAGAAAAAATAAATCTTCAGAAACCAGTTTTAGTGAAGTAGTTGTTTGTGATTTACCCAACAGAGAATTCAAAACAGTGGCCAGAAAGATGTTCACTGAGATCAAGAGAACAATACAAGAATAAACTGGGAACTTCAACAAGGAGATATAAAGTATAAACAAGAACAAAACATATACCATAGATCAGAAGAATATTATAACTGAACTGAAAATTTCAGTTGAGCGGTTCAACAGCAGACTAGATCAAGCAGAAAAAAAGGAGCAGTAAACTCAAAGACATCCAATTTGAGAAGCAAAAAGTAAAAAGAATAAAAATGAATAAAGATAACTTATGAGAGTTATTGCACACCATCAAGCAGAGCAATTTATGAATTATCAGCATGTCAGAAGTAAAAGCAAAAGAGAGAATGGGACAGAAAACTGATTCAAATAATAATGTCAGAAAATCTCCTCACTCTCTGGAAGAAAGAAGAAAGCCAGATCCAGGAAGCACAGTAGACACAAAATAAGATGATTCCAAAGAGACCCACATCAATACACATCGTAATCAAATTATCAAAAGTTAAAAACAAAGAGAGAGCTTTGAAAGCAACAAGGGAAAAGTGAATCATTACATGTAAAGAAACCGTCATCAGTGAATTTCTCAGGAGAAAACTTGTAGGCCAAAAGCGAATATGATAATACATTTAAAATTCTGAAATTAAATAAAAACTGCAAAATAAAAATACTATACACAGAGATCTTGTCTTTTAGAACAAAGGGGTGATAAAAGCTTTCTCAGACAAATAGAAACAGAGTTTATTACCACTAGACCTGCCTTATAAGTAATGCTAAAGAGAGTTCTTTAAACAGAAAGAAGATGCAAATTATTATGAAAACATATGAAAGTACAAAACTCACTGGTAAACGTACATTGTCAAATACAAAACACTCTAATACTGTAATTGCAGTGGGTAAATCAATTATATCTCTAGTAAGATGGTTAAAAGGCAAAATGATTAAAAACAACCAAAGCTAAAATAATTTTTAATGGATACAAACCATAATACTCAATGTATGACAAAGAAAACATAAACTGTTTAAACATGGGTAGTCAAAAGTGAAGTTTGCATATGTGATTAAAATTAAGTTGTTCAAAACTCAAAGTTGCCTGTTATAAATAAAATATATTTTATATAATTCTCAGGGTAACCCCAAAGTGAAAGTCTATAGTAGATACACAAAAGATGAAAAGATCCCAAGCATACCACTACAGAAAATTATCAAATCATAAAGTAAGAAAGCAGGATTATTAACCAACAAATTGAATAACTCAGAAGAAATGATTAAACTGCTATAAACATATGACCTACCAAGACTGAACCAAGAAGATACTGGAAATCTGAACAGACCAGTAATGAGTAAGGAGATTGAATTAGTAATTAAAATCTTTCATCACAGAAAAGTGTAAGTCTAAATGGCTATACTGCTGAACTCTAGAAAACATAAAAATACTAATCTTGCACAAACTTCTCCAAAGAATTCGGAAAGAATACATCAAAACTGATTTTAGGAGGCCAGCAACACCCTGATATCAAAGCCAGACCAAAAAAAACAAATCAAGCTACAGGCCAGTATTACTGAAGAAAATAGATGCAAACGTTCTAAAAAAATGCAGTTGAACCATAAGCAACATAAAGGTTGACTCACTGAACCTTGTGCAGTTGAAAATTTATGCCTAACTTTTGATTCCCCAAAAACTAAACTAATAGTCTACTGTTGACCAAAAGCCATAATATAAAGAGTTGATTGACACATTTTGTATGTGTATTGTATACTGTATACAATAAAGTAAGCTAGAGAAAATAAAGCATTATTTTTAAAAAATCATAAGGAAGAGAAAATATATTTACAGTTCACTAAGTGGAACTGGATCATCATGAAGATTTTCATCCTTGTCATCTTTATGTTAAGCAGGTTGAAAGGAGAAGAAAGAGGAGGTGTTCAATGTATCCTCTATAAAAATTTTAATGTTATTTTGTACAGAAATAGAAAAAAAATCCTAGTATTGGTATGAAAACCACAAAAGAACTCTAGTAAACTAATATTGACAAAACAAAACAAAACAACAACAACAACAAACAAAGCTGCAGGGAATACACCACTGGATTTCAAAATATATTACAAAGTTATGGTAATGAAAACAACATAGTACTGGCATAAAAACAAGCACATGAGCCAATGGGATAGAACAGAGATCCAATAAATAAATACATGCAACTATAAGCAATTGGCTTTGGACAGTAATGTCAAGAACATACAATGCAGGAAAGATAGTCTCTTTATTAAACGGCATTGGGAAAACTGGATATCTATATACAGAAGAATAAAAATGAATGCTTATCTCATCCCTTTTACAAGAATCAATTCAAAATTGATTAAAGACTTAAAACCTGAAACTGTAGAATTACTAGAAGAAACAATAGAAGGAAATTTAATAACATTGGTCTGGGCACAGATTTCCTTGATATGACCCCCAAAATACAGGAAACAAAAGCAAAAAAAATTGACAAATAAGATTACATCAAAGTAAAAAGCTTCTGCATAGCAAAGAAAACAACTAATAGAGTGAAGAGACAACCTAGAGATTGAGAGAAAATATTTCCTAACCATACACTGGATAAGGGGCTAATATCCAAAATATACAAGGAGCTCCAACTACTCCATAACAGGAAAAAAAACCCCATTAAAAATAAGTAAATAAATTGGATAGACATTTATCAGAAGACATACAAACAGCCAATTGATATGTTAGAAAATGCTTAACATTATTAATAATCAGAGAAATGTAGATTAAAACCACAATGACATTTCACCTCACACCTGTTAGAATGCTATTATCAAAAAAAAAAAAAAAAAAATGAAAGAGAACAAGTGTTGGTGAGGACATGAAGAAAAGAAAGCCCTTATATACCATTGGTGGTATTCTACATTAGTATAGCTATTTTGAAAAATAAGATGCCAGTTTCTCAAAAAGCTAAAAATAGAATTACCATATAATGTAGCAATCCCAGTACTGCACCAAAACATACTGTATAATCTCACTTATATGTGGAATCTCAAAAAAGTTCAACTCATAGAAGTAGCAAGTAGAATGATGGCCACTGGGGACAGGAGATAGGGTGGTGGGTGGTGATTAGGGGAGGCGGATAGAGAAAAGGAAACAATGGTCAGTTTCTACAAAGTTGCATTTTGATAGGAGGAATAAATCCTGGTGCTCTATTGCACAGCAAAGTGACTACAGTTAATAATAGAGTAACGTATATTTCAAAATAGCTAAGAGATGATTTTAGATGTCCTCACTACAAAGAAATGATAAATGTTTGAGGTTTGGATATGCTAATTACCCTGATTTGATGATTTCACAATTACCCTGATTTGATGATTTCACAATTTGATGTATTTATGCATCAAAACATCACATTGTACCCCTTAAATGCATACAGTTATTATTTGTCCATTAAAAATAAAGTAAAACTTTAAATATATATATATATAACTTTAAAAAATTAAATAAGAGTGTAGACAATTAACAAATATTACAAAATTTTGAAGGTAGTACAAACATTTCTGGAATTTAAGAATTATTCCCCAAATCCACCATACTGTATAGTACTGGGGTAGACATAAGCAGAAACTGTAATTGCAAATTTTATTTTAAATTATAATTTCTTTTTTCTAATTGTGTAGTAAAGCAACACTATTCAAGATCACAGTAGTAACAACATTCCTGTCTTTTTTTCCACATAATCTTAGTCCCTCATTCTTATCTGCTGCATACGATAATGCCATTTCTTTCCTTGATATACATCAATCTGAATGTATAGCCTCCCAGTCATGGGATCCCTTATATATGGTTCAAAGAAAAGGTCATATTACTTATCCAACTCTTCACCCATTTAAACAAAACTAATATTTTATCACTTCTTTTCTCATGGTTTTCAGGAAACATCACCATTTTACCACTTACTGCACGATGTTAGAAGTATGTGTTCTCATGTCTCTCCTGAAATCAAGTGAACATCATTGAGAGCCTATCAAAGCAGAAATTATCTTTCTATTATTTTTATCTTTGGTCCTAATATACTGCCTGACAGATCATAAGTTTCTTATAAGAAGAAAGGGAGCCTGGAGTGGAGAATTCCAGCATAGTCGTAGTGTCCCTGATACTCAGACTTTTCTCCTGTAGGTCTTTAGTGTATAATTCATGAACAAGGCGAAGAAAATAAGAGAGACAAATTCCAGGTTATTCAATAGTAAGTCTAGGCAGATTTTTTTTTTTTTTTGGAGGAGTTTGGCAGGTGGGAAAATACAAAGCAAAGAGAAGAAAAATGGAGAAAGCAGACCTAGAAAAAGAGGTCTCCAATAGAAGGTAGCAAAAGGGACTTGAGCTGGGGATATGTCCACATGTGTTCTCCGTTGAGAATTTGCTTCTTCCCACTGTATCAGAAAGGGAGTTATAAAGTGCTCCAACAACCTGACATCATAGATGTTTTCTAAAGTGGCATACTCAATTTCACTAATGTATACATAGTAGATGAAGCAATCTTGCTTGATGTTTTAAGAGCTGGATAGAAAGAATGTGGTGGCCAGTTTGCACTTTTGATTGTATGTTAAAGATAGTGTCATTTACCCCATGCATAAGATGTGAGAAAGATGCAACAAAAGATACATATTATTCTAATCATTCCCAGACAGCCCTCCTATTAATTAGGTCTATTTCTCATTGCAAAGAATGAATAAGGAATTGGTTTAGTGGAATGAGATAGTGGACTATCTCAACCAGGAATTGAGAGCTATGGTCTTGGTGGGTAGTAAAACTTGGTCAGTCACTGGTTGATTTGGCCCCTTCATTGGGTGAATAAAGTGAGAATTTTTCAGTGTTAGAAAAATTTTTTAGAAAGATTTAGACTATCTTTATTTCTTGGGCTTCTGTAGCACATTGCAGGCAAGATAACAGTGACAACCAAAGTTGCACAGCATAGGAGAAATCTTGTAATTTGTTTTTTAATGCCAGTAAGAAAATAAAATTCTGGTAGTGATATTTTGGCATGTGGGATATAATGTGCAATGCCTGTTGCACGAAGTAAAACTCTGAACTGAGCTCATAAAAGCAATCTTTTTCTTTTACACTAGTATTTTATTTTTTAAGAGACAGAGTTCTGCTCTGCCACACAGGCTAGAGTGCAGTGCAGTTGCAGGATCATAACTCACTGCAACCTACTGGGCTCAAGTGATGCTCTCACCTTGGCCTCCTGAGTAGATAGGACTACAAGAGCACCCCACCATGCCCGGCTAATTTCCCTTAGGATCTTAATTTTAGTATCAACGCAAGTTGTTGTTTTTTGCTCAGTGTGACTTAGAATCAGTGAAATCACCTAGAAAGGCAACAGAGAAATTCACTGCAGATTTTGCCTCATGGTTAAGGATAAACCTATATATAAATCTTTAAGCACAGCTTATTGATAGTTGGATCTAGTTAGCTAAAGAACATGCTTGACTTTCTTCATTTTACAAATTTTACTTTCATTTAAAACCATGCAATTTAGGTAGAAGAAATTGATTGAAATTATTTGTTCTTTTGAAAAAACATTTAGCCACCTTAAGGATTCTTCTACTTATACTTTGAATTTTTTTGTCTCCATTAACATTTAAAAATTGGATACTCAGACTTATTCTGCATTCATGATAGACATTTTCTGAAACCTCGTAATCCTTTATATTCATCTGCATAGCATCGTCCAGATTTTAGAATGTTTTCAAATTCATTGTTTTAGATTGTCCTCACAATAATTTGTGTTGTAAGCAGAAATATTATGGTAATCTCAATTTTATTTATGAGAAACTGAGGTTCCATGAGATCAGCTAGCTAATTATTGTCAAAGCTAAGAACCAAAACAATTTCACTTCTTGTGCATTGCTCATACCCTTTGTCTTCTATGTCCAATTCGACATAAAAAGCTAATGAAATATGTAAAGACAAACAAGTTAATTAGACATTTTGTAATGCTTTAGTGATCATCAATAGAGCAATTTTAAATTAACTTCTAATCTTCAATGGGCTGTGAGCTGTGAAAGCTCCCTTGTATCTGACAAGGAACTATAAATTTATTTGACCTGGGGAAGGTTTTATATTAAGACCTACTGTTGTGGTATTCTATGGTACAAGGTGAAGTAAATTCAGGTAACATGCCAAATTTGGCTTTACAATTTCTCATTGGTAGCTCCCCTTGAAACCATACTCAGGGTGAATGTCCAACTCCAGTGCCAGATTTTTGGCATAGTGAATGTTGTAGGTTAAAAACTGTCTCTCGAGAATTTATGTCAGTCCAGGAACTCAGAATGTGACTTTATTTAGAAATAAAATTTTTGCATATGCAGTTAGTTAAGTATCTTAAGATAAAATCACACTGGATTTAGGATGGATTCTAAATCCAGTGACTGGTGTATTTCAAGAAAAGGGAGAGGATGCAAAAACAGAGACCTTTTAACAATGTACACGTAGACAGAAGTGATACATTCCCATAAGCCAAGGGAATGCCAAGAATTGCTGGAAGGTTTCAGAAGGTAAGAAGACGGAAGAAAGGATTCTTCCCTAGAGCCTTCAGAGAAAGCATGGCCAGCTAACACCTTTATTTTGGACTTTTAACCTTCAAAACTGTGAGAGAATACATTTCTTTTTTTTTTTTAAGTCGCTAGATCTGTGATAATTTGTTATGGCAGCCCTAGTAAATGAATACAGTGGCAAATAATGCTCTGGAAAATAGTTCCCTTATGGTTTCTGGTTTTATATAGGGAGCTTAGGTCTAACCTACTGAAGTATGTAAGATTATATTTCTGACTCTGGGCATTAAAAATCCAAATATAGAAATACCTAGTAGTGCATCTCCTATGGGTTGTTTTGGCTGCAACTCACTCTCACTACATTAGGCTTGAATTTCCCCTTTGATTATGGCATCTACCAGTTTGATTTTTGTTTTGAGACCAAGAATATATTTCTATTTTTCTTTGTTGTATTCAGTTCAGGATTTATATGTATTATTATGCTGGACCATGACATATAGGTAAACCTCCAGTCAACTTCCTCTCCACTGTCCACTGGCTGGACATGTATCCTGGCTGGACATCTCTAAATTTAAAAAAAAAAAAACACTACCTTAGGCAAGCACAGTTTAATCCACGAATGTAGCTGAATTTCTCTTAGATGGGAATAAAGGATATTTTCTTGACTTTTTTTCCCCTGGTGATCTAAAATGGTTTGCTCTTGCAATGAAATGTCTTAATTTTCTCAACGTCTTAAAACAAATCTGAAGCATATTTAGCAAGGGTATAGCTCATAGTCTTTTTAAAATACCCTTAGTTGAGAACCTTGGAACTCAAACTATAGTACATGTTCAGATGGCACTGTAAGAGTGATGCTTTTAGCACTTACATTTATGCTATTTGTCATTAGTATCTACTCTCGATGTGCTTTTACAGTGTATCAGTTCCCTTACTTCTGGTTTTTTGACTAATAGGAGAGATACATTTGTATTTTTATATTAACTTCCTTTTTCTTTCCCAATTCTTTGTCTGTGGGAAGTAAGTATAGAATTATTTGAACTAAATATTATAGAGCAGCTGTGTTAATGAAAGCATTTGTTTTCATTTATTTTATGTGCACATACCTAAAGAGTTATGTAATGGCTCTGCATTTATAAATCTGATGAATGACTATCATAAATAAACACAGGAATAGAATTCAGTTAGAAACCAGAATTTGCAGTTAAAGGGACTATGTAAACTATACAAAGAGACAGAAAATAAATTTCAGCTCTGTGAGATTTCTTGGGGAAATGCTATATTATCATTTAGTTTTAGTTTGACATCTTCTAATTAATATCTAATACCTGAACCTCATTGCAAATGGAATGGTCCAACATTGTGATTTTGATGCTTGTAGTCTCACCATATGTTCTATTGGGCTATATGAGCTAGAAATGAGAAAAATGTCAATTTAAAGATAATATGATACAGACACAATAACTTAATTTGTACAAAGAAGTAAAAAGTGTAAACAATCTTTCAGAAAGTTTACTTGAATATTGTGAAAATACACAGATAGTCGGACCACTGCTAGTAATTTTGAATGGAATCCATCCTGAAGATTCATAAAATGACTTTTAATATTTTAAAATAATGAAGATATTAAGTGGGGACTTGCAGTTTTAGCTCTGACATGTAAAGAGCTCTGATGTCATCTCTACCATCCTAAACAGAAAAAGCTAACAAACCAAAACGCCATGGAAATTAGAAAAACCAATAAAATGGCTTTACTTGGATCCTCCAGAAGACTGAGGATGCAGGAGAAGCTCCCTTTCCCAGGTCTAAGAAGTCATGTGTACTCAGAGAGTGAGAGCTGGCGTCTACACACCTGGAGCAGAAGACACTGGAGCCATAATCTAAGAACACTTAAATGGTACTTTTGATAAATTGGTGAAGACTGGGTGTGAGGCAGCATGAGAGTGTGAGCTCATAGAGGCTTCAGTCTAATGGATATCCCCACATATTTGTGAGGTTTGTTTACATTAGCTGTACTAGGTTCATATAGTGAAGATCCAAAAATATATCCTTGGTGGCCCTAGCCTGGAGCAAAGACAATTCTCTGTAAAATGCAACCAGAACATCCTCCAAAAGTAAAGCCCACTCTCCAAGAAAAAATCCCTACCAGAACCTTTTCCTAGCTCACAGAAGGGCACTGTTTCCACTCCATCCTCACTTGCCTTTCTATCTTACTAAAGGGCAGTAGAAATCCTGTACCACAGAAGAAACATTTGTGAATTTTAACATCCAGAAACACAGACCCAGTAAAAATAGACATTTAAATTTAAGAATATAGCTCTTTTCTTCTCTCTGCATCTTACTATCGCCCCAACAGGACTCTAAAATAAAAAGGGTGAATTATAACCTAAATAGTTGCAAGACATATACTCTGTGTGAGAAGGAGCTCAGTTCCTCACTGCTTTTGCATATAGGACTCTACTTCTAGCCTTGTCTAGGCACTAAAAATCCAGATAGAGATACATCTGGTTATGCAGCCCCCATGACCTTTTTTTTGACATTGATGCCTCTAGGTTTCAGTTTCATTCTGATTTTGGCACCTAACAGTTTTATCTCTGTTTTGAGATTACCAACATATTTATGTTTTTTTCTCATAATCTAGCAAAGTGTACCTCACAGGGGGATACAAGAACAAGGACACTATACAAGGGTAAAGCCGTTGACATCTACAGCTACAGAAGATATTAAACACAACACAACTCCTAAACAGATTCACATGAATCTTCACTCTGAAGGCCGATGTACCTCAGTTCCTAATGTCTAAAACAACAGTCCCCATTTCAACAAAAGAATTATAAGGCATGCCAAAAAGAAAGAAAAAACAAAATGTGAAAACTAAAGAAAGCATCAGAATCATACTCAGATATAACATGTATGTTAGAATTTTTGAATCTGAAATTTAAAATAACTATGAGTAATATGTTAGCAGCTTCAATGGAAAAAATAGCAAAACCTGTTGGGAAATAAAAGTAGAAAATAAAAATACTAAAAATGCTAGAAATTTAAAACACTGTAATAGAAATGAAGAATATTTCTTGTGGCATCATATGTAGACTGGTCATGGCAGAATAAAGAACAAATGAGTTCAAAAATAGGTTAATACAAACTTCTTAAACTGAAATACAGAGAGAAAAAAATATAAAAATTAAAAAATAGAACATGACATCAATAACTGTGGAGGCAATTTCAAAAGATGTAACATAAGCATCATTATATTACAAAAAAAAGTAGAAATAAAGAATAGAGGGGAAGACATATTTGAAGGAATAACACCCAACAACTTTCCAAAATTAATGACAAACATGTAACCATAGATCCTGGAAACTGAAAGGACACATAAAAATAAATACCAAAAATAATTCTTTTGGTTATATATTCAACCTGCAGAAAACCACAGACAAAGACAAAATCTTGAAAGAATCTGTTGGGTAGGGGAGCTGTGTGGAGGAACAAGAATAAGAACTACAGTAGAAGTCTGACAGAGTTTGGATCTGTGTCCCCACCAAACCTCATGCCAAATTGTATTCTCCAGTGTTGGAGGTGTAGTCTGGTGGCAGGTGACTGGATGATGGGGGAAGAGTTCTCACAACTGGTTTAGCACATCCCCCTTGGTCATGATAGTGAGTTCTCACAAGATCTGGTTGTTTAAAAGTGTGTGGCAATGCCACCCTCTCTCTCTTCTTGCTTTAGCTATGTAAGACAAGCCCGCTTCTCCTTCAATTTCCTCCATGATTGAAAGTTTCCTGAGGCCTCCCCAGCCATTCTCTCTGTACAGCCTGCAGAACCATGAGCCCATTAAACCACTTTTCTTCATAACCCAGACTCAGGCATTTCTTTATAGCAATGTGAGAATGAACATATATAGAAAATTTGTACCAAGGAGTGAGGCATTGCTATAAAGATACCTAAAAATGTGGAAGTGAAATTGGAATTGAGTAACGGGCTGGAACAGTTTGGAAGGCTCAGAAGAGAGGAAAGATGAGGGAAGTTTTGCAAATTTAGAACTAGAGATTTATTGAATGGCTTTGACCAAAATTCTGATAGTGATATGGACAGAGATGGCCGTATCACTGTCATAATAATCATATCACTATCATATGATCATCTGAGGTCTCAGATGGACATGAAGAATTTATTGGGAACTAGAGCAAAGGTTACTTTTGTTATGCATTAGCAAAAAGGTTGGCTGCGTTGTTCCCTTGCTCTAGGGATTTGTGGAACTTTGAACTTCAAAGTGATCATTTAGGGTATCTGGAGGATGAAATTTCTCAGCAGCCAAGCATCCAATGTAGCCTGGCTCCTTCTAAAATCCTGTTCTCATATGTGTGAGCAAAGAAATGGCCTGAAACTGTAACTGATATTTAAAAGGAAAGCAGAGTATAAAAGTTTGGAAAATTTGTAAGCTGGCCATGCAGTAACAAAATATATATATTATATATTATATATATATATATATATATATATATATATATATATATATATATAATCCCAAAGAAATCCATGATGGGAAGTCAGATTATAAAACTGAAATGTTATATATATGTAACATTATCTGGGGGAGGAATTCAAGCCAGCTGAAGAAATTTGCATAACTGAAAGAAAGGCAAGTACTAAAAGCCAAGACAATGGGGAAAAAGGCCCTGATGCCATTTTAAAGACCTTCATGGCAGCCTTCCCATCACAGGCAAAGAGGCCTAAGAGAGAATGTTTTTGTGGGTGAGGCCCAGGGCCCCACTACCCTGTGCAGCCTTGGAGACACAGCTTCTTGCATCTTGGACACTCCAGCTCTAGCCATGGCTCAAAAGGGTCCAGGTACTCATGCTGCTGCTTCAGAGGGCGCAAGCTGTAAGCCTTGGTCTCTTCCACATGATATTAGGCCTGTGGATGTGCAGACAGCAAGAGTTGAGGCTTGGGAGACTCCATCTAGATTTCAGAGGATGTATGAAAAAGCCTGGATGACCAGGCAGGAGCTTGTTGCATGGGTGGAGCCCTTGTGGAGAATCTCTACCAGAGCAGTGAGGAAGATAAATATGGGGTTGCAGTCCCCATACAGAGTCCCAGCTAGGGCTATGAGAAAAGAGCCACCATCCTCCAGACCCCAGAATGGTAGATACACTAACAGTTTACACCCGGATCATGAAAAGGCTGCAGGCACTCAACACCAGCCCATGAGAGCAGCAACAGGGGCTGACCTCTGCAAAGCCACAGGGGAGGGGCTGCCCAAAGCCTTAGGAACTCACCTCTCGCACCAGTGTGGCCTGGATGTGAGACATGGAGTCAAATGAGATTATTTTGGAGCTTTAAGATTTAATGACTACCCTGCTGGGTTTTGGACTTTGATGGGGCCTGTAGCCCCTTTCTATTTGCTGACTTCTCTTTTGGAATGGGAGTATTTACCTAATGCTTTTACCCCCATTGTGTCTTGGGAGTAACTAATGTGTTTTTGATTTTACAGGCTCATAGGTGGAGGGACTTGCCTTGTGTCAGATGACATTTTGGACTTTGGACTTTTGAGTTAAGGCTGGAATAAGCTAAGACTTGGGGAACAGTTGAGAAGGGATGATTATCTTTTGGAATGTGAGAAGGACATAAGATTTGGAAGTTCCTGAGGTGGAATGATATAGTTTGAGTCTGTGTTCCCACCAAATCTCATCTGGAATAGTACTCCTCAGTGTTGAAAGTGGGGCCTGGTGGAGGTGACTAGATTATGGGGGTGGAGTTCTCATGATTGGTTTAGCACCATCACCCTTTGTCATGATAGTAAGTGAGTTCTCAGGGAATCTGGTTGTTTAAATTTGTGTGGCACCTTTCTACCACCACTTTCTGTTCTGGCCATGTGAAACAAGCCTGCTTCCCCTTCACCTTTCACTGTGATTGAAAGTTTCCTGAGGCCTCCTCAGCCATGCTTCCTGTACAGCTTGCAGAACAGTAAGCCAATTAAACCTCTTTTTCTTTTAAATTACCCAGCCTCAGGTATTTCTTTATAGCAATGGGAGAATGGACTAATATAACATCTTATCAGTACACATGCAAACAAGGATAAAGTAGATTGAAATATTTAGTGTTGAAAGAAGAAAAACTTAGATTTCCATATTCAGTGAAATGCCCTTCAAAAGTAAAGTAAAAGATAAAGAGTCCACACAAACATGGGGACGCCTTTCAGCAGTAGACCTGCCTTGCAGTAAATGTTAAAAGAAGTTCTTTTGGGAGAAGGAAGGTAAAGTAAGTCAAAAACTGAGATTGGAAAAGAAAAAAATGAAACTCAAATTGTCTTGTTATCTTCATTGATCATAAAGCATCAACTGAACAAAAATACGTGAAATAAATAACAGTAAAATTACAAGGAAATGAAAGGGAGTAATTATCGATACTCTGCCATAATTTTTCTGTGCTATGACAGGAAAAGGTACAGTTATTTAAAAGTGGACACACAGCAGTTAGAATTTATATGGAAATTTGAACCAAAAATAAAATCCTAAGGCCTGCAACACACTGAATGGAACTCCCTCTTGGCCAAGGGGATCCCAAAGAAATCCATGATGGGAAGTCAGGTCAGACGTACCTCATTATACCTTCTGTCTTTGGGAGTTTAGGTACAAGTGACCAGTATTAGCATAAAAATAGAGATTATAAGACTGAAAAAACAAACTCTTTGTAGCAATAAGTTACCAAATGCTAACCTGACTCTGGTATATCATCACAGGACAGATATGAAGTCCTAAAGAAAATCAAAATATTTTATCCCAAAATATAGCTATTTGGTATATTTTGGAATGGTCCTTCAAAGTAGTCCTTTGTGGAGGAAATTTGCATTCTGTAGAGAATCTCTTTCCCTTGCTAGTTCTTCTCCAGAGAGTCTGACACCTTTTAAGTTCTGATAAAAAATATTTACCATCTATTCTATGTGAAGCCTCTTACTTTGAGGCTTCATGTACATGACAAGAGTCTTGGCTTCCATAACCCTCCTTAACTCAAACATTTCTTTATGCAGATTCAACTCTTCAGGCAAATCTCAACTGTTTCAATCAATTGGCATTCAGAAAATCTTTGAATCCACGTATGACCTGGACACCCCGGTTTTGAGATGTCCTACCTTTTCCGGCTGAAGCAATGTATGCCTTACATGTATTTATTTATGTCTTGGCTTGTGATCTTTGTCTCTGTAAAATGTATAAAGCCAAGCTGTAACTTAACCACCTTGGGCACATGTTCTCAGGACCTCCTGGGGCTGTGTCATGGGCCATGGTCCTCACATTTGGCCCAGAATAAACCTCTTCAAAGATTTTACAGAATTTGGCTTTTTTCACCCACAAAACTCTAGGGCAAACACTACAGAAATGCTCACTATGCTAAGAGACAAGATAAACAGGAATTATAAGTGTTCAATTGGAAACAGAAAAAAAGTGGGATAACAGAAAACAAACTATCAAAATAAGAAGAAACAGTTACAAACCCGGTGGATATTAATCTAGTTATATCAATAATGACTTTAAATATCTATTATCTAAATATGCCAATTTAAAGAAAGAGTTTAAGAGAAAAAATAGGTTAAAAAGGTTAACAAGGTAGATTTAAAAAAAAACAGAACACTAACAGTGTGTTGTCTTAGGAAATTTAGTTTAACTCTGAGTACTTTTAGAAACTAAAGGATCAGGCAGAGCACACTGGCTCACCCCTGTAATCCCAGCACTTTGGGAGGCTGAGGTGGGTGGATCACCTGAGGTAAGTAGTTCAAGACCAGCCTGGCCAACATGGTGAAACCCCGTCTCTACTAAAAATACAAAAAATTAGCTGAGTGTGGTGGCAAACGCTTGTAATCCCAGCTACGCAGAGGCTGAGGCAGGAGAATTGCTTGAACCCGGGAGGCAGAGGTTTCAGTGAGCCGAGATCACCCATTGCCCTCCAGCTTGGGCAACAAGAGCAAAACTTGGTCTAAAACAAAAAAAAAAAAAAAGAAAGAAACTAAAGGAGGGTTGAAAATTATAACACAAATAAAAAGAAAGGTAGAGTAGCTATATTAATTTCAGACAAAGCAAACTTCAGAATAAAGAATATCATCAGGGATACAGAAGGGCTTTACATAATGATAACGGTATCAGTTATCTAAGAAGAAACAATATTCCTAAATGTCTGTGCAGCTAACAACAGACTGTCAAAATATGTGATGCAAAAACTGACAGAATTGAAAGGAACAAGAGAAAAATTCATGATTTTAGTTGGAAAATTCAATATCCTAATTTACTAATTAATAGGCTAAGCAAATAAAATATTTGTAAGGATATAGTTGACCTGAACTGTTCCATTAGCTTGATCTAAATTACCTGTATAGAATACTTCTTCTGATAATAAAAGAATAACATTGGAAAAACCCTTCTAGAAATTGGCTTAGGCAAGAATTTCACGACCAAGAACACAAAAGCAAATGCAATAAAAACAAAGATAAATAGTTGAGACTTAATTAAACTAAAGAGCTTTTGCATAGCAAAAGAAGCAGTCAGCAGGGTAAACAGACAACCCACAGAATGGGAGAAAAGTTTCACAATCTGTACATCTGACAAAGGACTAATATCCAGAATCTACAATGAACTCAAACAAATAAGTAAGAAAAAAACAAACAATACCATCAAAAAGTAAGCTAAGGACATGAATAGACAATTCTCAAAAGAAGATATGCAAATGGCCAACAAACATAAAAAAAAAAAAACTCAACATCACTAATGATCAGGGAAATGCAAATCAAAACCACAATGTGATACCACCTTACTCCTGCAAGATTGGCCATAATCAAAAAATCAAAAAACAATAGATGTTGGCGTGGATATGGTGATCAGGAAACACTTCTACACTGCTGGTGGGAATGTAAACTAGTACAGCCACTATGGAAAACTGTGTGGAGATTCCTTAAAGAACTAAAAGAACTACTATTTAATCCAGTAATCCCACTACTGGGTATCTACCCAGAGGAAAAGAAGTCATTAAGCGAAAAAGATACTTGTACACTCATGTTTATAGCAACACAATTCACAATTGCAAAATAGTGGAACCAACGCAAATGCCCATCAACCAATGAGTGGATAAAGAAACTGTGATATACATATATATATATATCTGTTTTATATATATATATATGTTTTACATATATATATCTGTTTTATATATATATATCTGTTTTATATATATATCTGTGAGATATATATATATCTGTTTTATATATATCTGTGAGATATATATATATCTGTTATATATATATCTCTGTGAGATATATATATATCTGTTATATATATATCTCTGTGAGATATATATATATATATATATATATATACCTCTGTGAGATAGATATATATATATATATATATATATACACACACACACAAACACACAATGGAATACTACTCAGCCATAAAAAGGAATGAATTAATGTCATTTTCAGTGACCTGGGTGAGATTGGAGACTATCATTCCAAGTGAAGTAACTCACAAATGGAAACCCAAACATCATATGTTCTCATTGGTATGTGGGAGCTAAGCTATGAGGATGCAAAGACACAAGAATGGTACAAGGGACTTTGGGGACTTGGGGGGAAGGGTGGGAGGGGTCTGAGGGATAAAACACTACAAGTTGGGTGCAGTGTATACTCTTCAGGTGATGGGTGCACCAAAACCTCACAAATCACCACTAAATAAGGTACTCATGTAATCTAATACCACCTCTATCCCCAATAACCTAAGGAAAATTAAAAAAAAAAAGAATTGAATGCATATATTAGAAGAGATAAAATGATCTAATATCAAAACTTAAACTTCCACTTCAGGAATTTAGAGCAATGTAAGCCTAAAGCAAAGAGGAAAAAAAAACAAAACATTAAAATAGAGCAAAAAATCAATGAAATTGAAAACAG
The DNA here is from genome assembly GCF_000001405.40 of Homo sapiens. Lineage (NCBI taxonomy): Eukaryota > Metazoa > Chordata > Mammalia > Primates > Hominidae > Homo > Homo sapiens. Next base: position 77,691,987 of record NC_000008.11, read on the forward strand.
GAAATCTATAGGAAAACCAACAAACCCAAAATGTGGTTATATGAAATGATAATAAAATTGGAAGTCTAACCAGGAGGAAAAAAGAGAAGACTCAAATTATTGCTAATGGTAGTAATCCAGGAGGAGCCATCACTATTGATCCCATGAATATCAAAAGCATAATAAAAGTTACAGTGATGAGTCTGTTCAGTAGACCACAGTTCAAATCATAGACTTCCAGTGTATAATTCTGATGTTTATTCAAGCAAATGTAGACATTGAAAAGAAATTTGTGGAGCTGGCTCAGCAAGAGTCAATTCAGAATGGGTGATAAAAAGTGTTCCAGGCCGGGCGCGGTGGCTCACGCCTGTAATCCCAGCACTTTGGGAGGCCGAGGCGGGCGGATCACGAGGTCAGGAGATCGAGACCATCCTGGCTAACACGGTGAAACCCCGTCTCTACTAAAAATACAAAAAATTAGCCGGGCGTGGTAGCGGGCGCCTGTAGTCCCAGCTACTCGGGAGGCTGAGGCAGGAGAATGGCGTGAACCTGGGAGGCGGAGCTTGCAGTGAGCCGAGATCGCGCCACTGCACTCCAGCCTGGGCGACAGAGCGAGACTCCGTCTCAAAAAAAAAAAAAAAAAAAAAAAAAAAAAAAAGTGTTCCAGGAGGAAAACCATACTAAAGGAAGATAGAATGATGGTTTAAATAAATAAGAAAGTTATAGTTGGAAGAAAAAAAGCATCCTAATTAGAGTTTAGAGTCTGATACATACAGCTGTCCTTAACCCATGTCTTTAACATGGGGAAGGAAAAAACAATGAAGAAAATGGAAGAAAAAGGTAGGGAGAAGAAGGAAAGATTAATAATAAAAAAGAAAGAACAGAAAAAAATGAGTGCAAGCAGTATAGGTTTATTTTGTTTAACTCTGGTCACTGGCACATAAGCAACATGCTTCAAGAATGTGCAGAGGGTAGCAGAAAGGAGAGGGAATCGTTGCTGTAAGACAACCATGTGGCTTTGACACCAGAAAGCAAAGAATGTCTCTGGGGAAGAAAGGAAATGGTAACTTATGCTCAAATATTCATGATGATATGGGATAATGTATCGCTTAAGCTAAAACGATCATGTTTATACCTCCCACTTTCTTCTCAACCACCGAAACCACTCTTCTCATTGTAGCCAAAAACAACCTCCTTCTTGCCAAATCCAATATCCGAGTCTCAGAATTCGTTTTACGCCATTCTTCAGTAGCAGTTGATGAACTTGATCACCTTCTTTCTCAAAATCTTTCCTTGCTAACTTTCAGGACACTGTATTTACATGGGTTTTATTCTACCTCTAGCTATGCCTTCCCATCTTTTCTACCTTTCCCTTCAGCATTTGCCTGATATATCCCTCCAGATATTTATAGGATTTCCACTTGAATGTTTAATAAGAATCTTCATCGTAAAATAATTGAAACATCATGATTTCCTCCCCATCCTCCTTTCTCCATTTCAGCCAAAGGTATCATTGTTGACTCAGTTACTAAGGCCAAAGCCCCTATGACCATCATTGAATTTTTCCTCACAGGCCACATTATCGGCAAATCCTATCAGCTTCATTTTCAAAATAAATGTAAAATGCAGCCAGGTCTTACTACCTCCACTGGTCCATACCTGTCCAAGCCACATTATGTCTCCTGTGGTGAAGCAGTAGTCTTACTGGCTTCCCTGCCTTCTTTCTTGGTTGCCAGCTATGTGTTCTTCATAGAGCAGTAAGTTGATCTATTTTTTTCTTTTATGTATTTATTCTTAAAAGAAAATTAGGTTACATGTGCAGAACGTGCAGGTTTGTTACATAAGTATGTGTGTGGCATGGTGGCTTGCTGCACCAATTGATCTGTCCTCTCAGTTCCCTCCCCTCAGGCCCCCGACACACCCTGGTGTGTGTTGTTCCCCTCTCTTTGTCCATATGTTGTCAATGTTCAGCACACACTTTTGAGTGAGAACATGCAGTGTTTGGTTTTCTGTTGCTGTGTTAGTTTGCTGAGAATGACAGCTTCCAGCTTCATCCATGTCCCTGCAAAGGACATGATCTCATTCCTTTTTATGGCTACAGAGTATTTCATGGTGTATATGTGCCAATTTTTTTTTTTATCCAGCCATTCTTTGATGGGCATTTGGGTTGGTTCCATGTCTTTGCTATTGTAAATAGTGTTGCAGTAAACATACAAGTGTATGTGTCCTTATAGTAGAAAGATTTACGTTCCTTTGGGTATATACCCAGTAATGGGATTACTGGGTCAAATGGTATTTCTGGTTCTAGATCCTTGAGGAATTGCCACACTGTCTTCCACAATGGTTGAGCTAATTTACATTCCTACAAACAGTGTAAAAGCATTCCCATTTCTCCACAGTCCAGTCAGCATCTATTGTTTCCTGACTTTTTAATAATCTCCATTCTGACTGGTGTGAGATGCTATCTCATTGCAGTTTTGATTTGCATTTCTCTGATGATCAATGATGTTGAGTTTTTTGTCATATGTTTGTTGGCCATGTAAATGTCTTCTTTTGAGAGGTATCTGATCACATCCTTTGTCCATTTTTTGATGGGGTTGTTTTTTTTTTCTTTTAAATACGTTTAAGTTTCTTATAAATTCTGGATATTAGATCTTTATCAGATGGGCTGATTGCAAAAATTTTCTCCCATTCTGTAGGTTGCCTGTTCACCCTGATAATAGTTTCTTTTGCTGTGCAGAAGCTCTTCAGTTTTATTAGATCCCATTTGTCAATTTTGGTTTTTGGTGCAATTGCTTTTGGCATTTTTGTCATGAAGACTTTGCCCATGCCTATGCCCTGAATGGTATTGGCTATGTTTTCTTCTATGGTTTTTATGTTTTGGGGCATTGCATTTAAGTCTTTAATCCATCTTGAGTTAATTTTTGTATAAGGTGTAAGAAAGGGGTACAGTCTCATTATTCTGCTTATGGCTAGTCCGTTTTCCCAGCACCATTTACTGAATAGGAGATCTTTTCCCCATTGCTTGATTTTATCAGGTTTGTTGAAGATCAGATGGTTGTAGATGTGTGGTGCTCTTTCTGAGGTTTCTGCTTTGTTCCATTGGTCTATATGTCTGCTTTGGTACCAGTACCATGATGTTTTGTTTACTGTAGCCTTGTGATATAGTTTGAAGTCAGGTAGCGTGATGCCTCCAGGTTTGTTCTTTTTACTTAGGATTGTCTTGGCTATATGGGGTCTTCTTTGATTTTATATGGGATTTAAAATCATTTTTTCTAATTCTGTGAAAAATATCAATGGTAGTTTGAATGGAATAGCATTGAATCTATAAATTACTTTGGACAGTATGTCCATTTTCACAATATTTATTCTTCCTATCCATGAGGATAGAATGTTTTTCCATTTGTTAGTGTCCTCTCTTATGTCCTTGAGAAGTGGTTTGTAGTTCACCTTGAGGAGGTCCTTCAAATCCCTTGTTACCTATATTCCTCGGTATTTTATACTCTTCGTAGCAATTGTGAAAATGGTTCTCTGCTTGACTATTGTTGGTGTAAAGGAATGCTTGTGATTTTTGCACATTGATTTTGTATCCTGAGAATTTGTTGAAGTTGCTTATTAGTTGAATGAGTTTTGGGGCTCAGATGATGGGGTTTTCTAAATATAAAATCATGTCGTCTGCAAAGAGGGACAACTTGATTTTCTCTCTTCCTATTTGAATATCCTTTTTGTCTTTCTATTACCCGAGTGCCCTGGCCAGAATTTCTGATACTATGTTAAATAAGAGTGTTGAGAGATGGCATTTTTGTCTTATACTGGTTTTCAAAAGGACTGCTTCCAGCTTTTGCCCTTCAATATGACATTGGCTGTGCATTTGTCATAAATAGCTCTTATTAACTTGAGGTATGATCAATCAATACCTAGTTTATTGACAGTTAACATGAAGGGATATTGAATTTTATCAAAGGCCTTTTCTGCATCCATTGAGATAATCATGTGGTTTTTGTCATTGGTTCTGTTTATGTCATGGATTACATTCATTGATTTGCATGTGTTGAACCAACCTTGCATCCCACTTATGAAGCCATCTTGATTGTGGTGGCTAAATTTTTTGATGTGCTTCTGGATTTGGTTTGTCAGTATTTTATTGAGGATTTTTGCATTGATGTTCATCAGGGATGTTGGCCTGAAGTTTTCTTTTTTTGTTGTGTCTCTTCCCAGTTTTAGTATCAGGATGATGTTGGCTTCATAAAATGAGTTAGGAAGGAGTCTCTCCTTTTCAATTGTTTGGGATAGTTTCTGAAGAAATGGTATCAACTCCTCTTTGTATTTCTGGTAGAATTCAGCTATGAATCCATCTGGTTCTGGGTTTTTTGTTTGTTTGTTTGTTTGTTTTTGGCTGGTAGACTATTAACTACTGCCTTAATTTCAGAGCTTGTTATTGGTCTATTCAAGAATTCAACTTCTTCTTGGTTTAGTCTTCGTAGGGTGTTTGCAGCCAGGAATTTATCAATTTCTTGTAGATTTTCTAGTTTATTTGGGTAGAGGTGTTTGTAGTATTGTCTGATAGTAGTTTGTATTTATGTGGGGTCTGGTGATATCCCCTTTATCATTTTTTACGGGGGCTATTTGATGCTTCTATCTCTTCTTCTTCATTAGTCTAGCTAGCAGTCTATTTTGTTAATTTAAAAAAAAACAGCTCCAGGATTCGTTGACTTTTTGGAGGATTTTTTGTATCGTATCTACTGAAATTCTTCTCTGATCTTAGTTATTTGTTGTCTTCTGTTAGCTTTTGGATTAGTTTGCTCTTGTTTCTCTAGCTCTTTTAATTATGATATTAAGTTGTCTATTTTTGATCTTTTTAGCTTTCTGATGTGGGCATATGTTGCTATAAATTTCCCTCGACACTGCTGTAGCTGTGTCCCAGAGATTCTGGTACACTGTCTCTTTGTTCTCACTGGTTTCAAAGAACTTCTTGATTTCTGCCTTAATTTCATTATTTACCCAGGACTCATTGAGGAGCAGGTTTTTTAATTTCCATATAGTTGTGTGGTTTTGAGTGAGTTTCTTAATCCTGAGTTCTAATTTGATTGCATTGTGGTCTGAGAGACTGTTTGTTATAATTTCAGTCTTTTGCATTTGCTGAGGAGTGTTTTACTTCCAATTATGTAGTCAATTTTAGAATAAGCATCATGTGGCACTGAAAAGAATGTATGTTCTGTTAATCTGGAGTAGGAAGTTTTGTATATGTCTCCTAGGTTCACTTGATCCGGAGCAGAATTAAAGTCCTGAATATCCTTGTTAATTTTCTGTCTCATTGATCTAATACTGACAGTGGGATGTTAAAGTCTCCCACTATTATTGTGTGGGAGTCTTAAGTCTCTTTGTAGGTCTCTAATAACTTGTTTTATCAATCTGGGTGCTCCTGTATTGGATGCATATATATTCAGAATAGTTAGCTCTTCTTGCTGAATTCTTCCCTTTATCATTATGTAATGCCCTTCTTTGTCTCTTTAGATCGTTGTTGGTTTAAAGTCTGTCTTGTCACAGACCAGGATTGCAATCCCTGCTTTTTTTTGCTTTCCATTCACTTGGTAAATCTTCTGCCATCCCTTTATTTTGAGCCTATGTGTGTCTCTGCACGTGAGGTCTCCTGAATACAGCACACTGATAGGTTTTGATTATTTATTCAATTTGCCAGCCTATGTGTTTTTATTGGGGCATTTAGCCCATTTACATTTAAGGTTAGTATTGTTATGTGCGAATTTGATTCTTTCATCATGCTGCTATTTGGTTATTTTGCACACTAGTTGATGCAATTTCTTTGTAGTGTCATTTGTCTTTATATTTTGGTGTGTTTTTGCAGTGGCTGGTACCGGCTTTGCCTTTCCATATTTAGTGTTTCTCTCAGGAGCTCTTGCAGGGCAGGCCTGGTGGTAATGAAATCCCTCAGCATTTGCTTGTCTGGAAAGGATTTTATTTGTACTTGACTTATGAAGCTTAGTTTGGCTGGATATGCAATTCTGGGTTAAAAATTCTTTTATTTAAGAATGTTGATTATTGGCCCCCAATCTCTTCTGGCTTGTAGAGGTTCTGCTGAGAGTTTTGCTGTTTGTCTGATGGGCTTCCCTTTGTAGGTGACCTGGCCTTTCTCTCTGGCTTCCCTTAACAGTTTTTCCTTCATTTCAACCTTGGAGAATCTGAAGATTATGTCTTGGGGTTGACCTTCCTTTGGAGTATCTTAATGGTCTACTCTGTCTTTCTTGAATTTCCATGTTGGCCTTTCTTACTAGATTGGGGAATTTCTCCTGGATAATATCTTAAAGGGTGTTTTCTAGCTTGTTTCCATTCTCCCCATCTTTTGGTACTCCTATCAGTTGAAGGTTTGGTCTTTTTATGAAGTTCCATATTTCTTGAAGCTTTTTTCATTTCTTTTCATTCTTTTTTCTCATTCTTGTTTTCATGTTTTCTTTCAGTAAGGTGGTCCTCAAACTCTGATATCCTTTCTTCTGCTTGGTTGATTCGGCTGTTGATATTTGTGCATGCTTCATGAAGTTCTTATACTGTGTTTTTCAGCTCCATCAGGTCATTTATGTTTCTCTCTAAACTGGTTATTTTACTTAGCAATTCCTCTAACATTTTATCAAGGTTCTTAGCTTCTTTGCATTGAGTTAGAACATGCTCCATTAGTTCATTGTATTTTTTTATTAGCCATCTTCTGAAGCCTACTTCTATCAATTCATCCATCTGATCCTCCATCCAGTTCTGCACCCTTGATGGAGAGACAATGTGATCATTTGGAGAAGAAGAGGCACTCTTGCCTTCTGGGTTTTCAGCATTTTTTCATTGATTCTTTGTCATCTTAGTGAGTTTGTCTAGTTTCAGTCCTTGAAACTACTGATTCTCAGATGGAGTTTTTGTGGGGGCCTTTTTGTTGTTGTTGTTGTTGATGCTGCTATTGTCACTTTCTGCTTGTTTTTCTTTCAACAATCAAGTCCCTCCTCTGTAGGGCTGCTGCAATTTGCTGGGGGTTCACTTCAGGCCGTATTAATCTGATTCGCTCCCATGCCTGCAGATGTCCCTCAAGGAGGCTGGAGAGCAGCAAAGATGGGTGCCTGTTCCTTCTTCTGAGACCTCTGACCTTGAGAGGCACCAACCTGATGCCAGTAGTATCATTCCTGTATAGGGTATCTGACAACCCCTGTTGTCTCATGCAGTTGGGTGGCCTGAGGAGCAGGACCCATTTAACTAAGCACTGTGTCCCTTGGTAGAGAGGGTGTGTTTCGCTGGGGGGAAAACCCACTTGTCTGGGCTGCTGGGATTCCTCAGAACTACCAGGAGGAGAGGCTAAGTCCACTGGTCCCCAGAGACTGCATCCACCCCTCCCCCTAGGGGCTCAGGTCCAGGGAGATCAGAGTTCCGTCTCTGAGCCCCTGGCTGGAGTTTTTGGAGTTCCTGCAGGGAAGTCCTGTCCACTGAGGAAGGATGGGTCAGAATTATACCTGAAGAGACACTCCAGCTGCAGACTGCCACAGCAGGTGTGTTGGGCTGTGGGGACAAGTCTTGGGATCAAGCTGTCCAGCCTCCCTGGTAAGTGGAAAAAGCACATCCTGGAGCTATAGAAATGGGTGCTGCCCTTCTCTCCCAGGGAGCTTAGAGTATTAGGCAGTTGCAAGTCCTAGTTCTGGCTGCTGTCCCTCCCACAAAGAGCTCAAATGGCTTAGATAGTAGGCCGCTACAGCGAGTGCTGGTTGCACCTCCCTTGGGAGTTTGGTAGGCTAAGCAGATTCCAGCTGAGAGGCTGTAAGAATCTGCCTGTTCCAGGGTTGGGACGCTAGGACCTGGTGGCGTGAGCTTACCAGTGGAAACTTCCGATCCCTAGGTTGCACGGTTCTGTGGAAAAAGCACAGTTTCCCTGGCTGGGTAGCACACTCACTACCTCCCTCAGCTGAGGGGAGGGGGTTCCTCTTCCCCATGTGGCTCTCAGGTGGGCCACTGCACCACACTGCTCTTCCTTCTCTCCGTGGGTCCTGCCAGCCTTCTAGTCAATTTTGGTGAGAGAACCTGGATATTTTGGTTGCCGGTGAAGGATTAACACGTTTATTACATTTTTTTTCGATAGGAGCCTTTGAACTCCGCTGCTTCTAGTCGGCCGTCTTGTCCCCCCTCCCCATGCTTCCCTACCACAAGATGATTTTTTGGAAGGTAAAAAGATAACATGTCCCGTCCTTCTTCAAAATACTCCCATGGTTTCTCATCATGCTGAAAATAACACTTAAGCTTCTGACTACTGTTTCTGAGTCCTTTATAAGACCAGTCCCTTAGCAAGCCGTTCAATTTTGGGTCCTATTGCTCTTTCCCTCACTGGTTGTTTCCTTATTTTTTTAAATCTTAATGAGCATTTTTATGTCTTAAAGTCTTCTCTTACATAGGAACATGTAGCGTACTTACACCAGGTTTTGTGTTTGAGAAAACCTGTGTTTTGACCATCTTATGATCACACTCTACTTCAACAGGTGAGGAGTCCCTGGTACACTCACCTCTTTTAGGCTATGTTATGCATATCTACACTTTAAGTTTTTTGTCTTGCTATTGAGAGGTGACAACGTGCTACCAGCCCTCACTCGCTCTTCGTGCCTCCTCGGCCTCCGCATCCACTCTGCCCACGCTCGAGGAGCCCTTCAGCCTGCTGCTGTGCTGTGGGTCCCCTCTCTGGGGCTGGCCGAGGCGGAGCCAGCTCCCTCTGCTCCCAGGGAGGTGTGGAGGGAGAGGCACAGGCAGGAGCCAGGGCTGCCCAGTGCTTGCGGGCCTGCGCAGGTTCCAGGTGGGCGTGGGCTCCGCAGGCCAGCACTCATTACAGCCACCCAGTGACTGCTGGGCTTGATCGGAGGCTGGGTCCCATGTGGACAGCAGTTCCCTCTTTGCAGGGTCGTTGGCCACAATGGCGGGTCTCCGTCTGTATCTGGCTTCCCCTCTTTTCCTTTTGGTTGTCTGGGAGGAGCTCCCTCTGGGCTGCTGGAGCACTTGGGCTGGGTGCCGCAAAGTCCCACGGGAGTGCCAGTGAGAGGTAAAGCTGGCTGGGCTTCTGGGATGAGTGGGGACTTGGGGAACTTTTCTGTCTAGCTAAAGGATTGTAAACACACAAATCAGCACTCTGTGTCTAGCTAAAGGTTTGTAAATGCACCAGTCAGCACTCTGTCAAAACGGACCAATCAGCTCTCTGTAAAACGGACCAATCGGCTCTCTGTAAAATGGACCAATCAGCTCTCTGTAAAATGGACCAATCAGCAGGATGTGGGTAGAGCCAGATAAGGGAATAAAAGCAGGACACCGCCACCAGCAGGGGCAACCTGCTTGAGTCCACCTTCCACGCTGTGGAGGCTTTGTTCTTTTGCTCTTTGTGATAAATCTTGCCACTGCTCACTATTTGGGTCTGCGCAACCTTTATGAGCTGTAACACTCACCCATGAAGGTCTGCAGCTTCACTCCTGAAGCCAGCGAGATCATGAACCCACTGGGAGGGACGAACAACTCCTGATGCGCCACCGTTATGAACTGTAACTCTCACCACGAAGGTCTGCAGCTTCACTCCTGAAGCCAGCGAGACCATGAACCCACTGGAAGGAACAAACAACTCCAGACATGCCACCTTTAAGAGCTGTAACACTCACCACGAAGGTCTGCAGCTTCACTCCTGAAGTCAGTGAGACCACGAACCCACCAGAAGGAAGAAACTCCAGACACATCTGAATATCTGAAGGAGCAAACTCTGGACACACCATCCTTAAGAACAGTAACACTCACCATGAGGGTCCACGGCTTCATTCTTGAAGTCACACTATGGCTTATGCTCCAGCCTTATGCTCCAGATGTCTCCTCCAGCGAGAAGACTGTACCACACATGTTACACACCCTATGATAGGTGTGTCCACACATGGGACTAAGTGATGGCCAGGGTGTGGCTGTTTCTGGCTAGGGAGTGTGAACAGCAATTTGACATGCACATTGTCTTCTTTTCTTTTCTTTTCTTTTTTCCAAAAAAGACTGTGTGCCTGCAATCTGGGGCCAGGGCTGTCTCTCCTTACGCAGGCACGTTCCTGCTTGATACTGCAAGGAGCCCAGAAATTCTAAATTTAAGGTAGCCATCCAAGTTTTCATGAATGTGTATCTGTCAAAGTAGTAGGATGAATGTTTTTTAACAATGTTTTAGTTTGACTTGGTAGTGTTTTGCTGATACATTATATTATAAATGAGTGCTTTAAAGATGTACAAACTATATTATTTGATGAAGTGAATACCTATTTAGCGAAATGAATTATGGTATTCAATGTTTTAACTGTGGTAAAATACACATAACATAAAATTTACCATCAATGATTTTAAGTGTAAAATTTAATGGTATTAATTCATAAGGTTGTACAGTCATCAATATCATCTATCTTAGTAAGTCTTTTTCTTTATGAAACTGAAACTCTGTACCAAATAAAAAATATCTCCATATTTACCCTTCCCCCAACCCCTGGTAACCACCATTCTACTTTATTTCTCTATTATTTTGGCTACTCTAAATACCACATAGAATTGGCATCACACAATGTATATTTTTTTGTGACTGGCTGATTTCACTCAACATCATGTTCCCAATTTTTAATCTATATTAGATCATGTGTCAGAATTTCCTTCCTTGTAAGGCTGAATAATATTCCGTTGAATGCATATGCCGCATTTTGCTTGTCCATTCACCTGCTGATAGACACTTGACCTTTGTCCACAATTTAGCTGTTATGAATAATGCTGCTATGAGCATGAGTGTACAGATACACCTTCAACATATTGATTTCATTTCCTTTAGATATATATAAAAGTGAAACTGCTGGATTACACATGGTGATTCTATTTTTTATTTTTTTAAGGAAATACCATAATTGTTTTCCATAGTGGCCATACCATTATACATTACCAAGGTTCCCTATTTCTCCACATTTTTGCCAACAATTGCTTTCTGTGTTCATTTTTTAAATAGTAATTAGCCTATTGGGTGTGAGATATATTGAGCATATTTTCTTATGCCTGCTGGGCCATTTGTATATCTTTTTGTATGTATATGTATGTATTCAAGTATTTTGCCCATTTTTAAATGGGGTTGGTTCTTTTAAAAATTTTTATTGAATTTTAGGAGCTCTCTATATATTCTGGGTATTAGTTGCTTATCAGATATATTATTTGCTAATATTTTCTCCCATTTCATGGATTGTCTTTTTGCTCTTTTGATATTATCTTTTGGTGTATATCTTAAAAATTTTTACATAGAGTTCAATTTGTTTACTTTTTAATTTGTTGTCTATGCTTTTGTTATCACATCAAAGAAATTATTACAAAACTTGATGTCATGAGGATTTTTCCCTGTGTGTTATTGTAAGAGTTTTATGTTTTAGGTCTTTTAGCTCTATTTTGAATTAATTTCTGCATATGATGTTACATAAAGGTCTAACTTCATTTTTTTCTGCATATTGATATCCAGTTTTCCCAGCACCATTTGTTGAAAAAACTGTCTCTTTTCCATTGAATGGTCTTGACACTCTCAGGAAAAATCATGTGACTCTCTCTGAGGCCTTATTTCTGCACTGCCTATTATATCACATTGGTCCATATGTTCACCTGTATGTTTGTTCCACACTGTTTTGGTTACTGTAGCATTGTGGTAAGTTTTGAAATCAAGAAGTTTGTGTTCCAGCTTAATTCTTTTTGATGACTGGCTATTTGGGATTCCTTGAGATTCTATATTATTTTAGGATGAGTTTTCTTATTTCTGCAGAAACAAACAAAAATTTATTAAGATGCTGAGATTCTCATAAGGATTGCATTGAATCTGGAGATTGCTTCGAGTAGTATTGACATCTTAATGTTATTAAATCGTAGAGTCTATGATAATGGGATGTTTTCTTATTTATTTACCTCATCTTTAATTTCTTTCAGCAAAGTTTCATAGTTTTCATTGATAACAGTTTCATCATCTTGGTCAAGTTCATTCTTAAGTATTTTGTTATTTATGATGCTATTGTAAATGGGATTGTGTTCATAATTTCTTTTTCAAATTGTTCATTGTTAGTGTTTCCAAATAGAACTAATTTTTCTATGTTGATTTTGTTTCTGGGTATTTTGATGAATTTATTTATCTTTTCTAATAATTTTCATGGAATCTTTAAGGTTTTTTTCATATAATGTTATATTGCGTGCAAAGATACTTTTATTTTTATTCACTTCTTTCCAATTTGGATGTCTTTTATTAGTTTTTCTTGTCTAATTGCTCTGGCTAGACTTTCCAGTACTATGTTAAATAGAAGTAGAAAAAGCAGGCATTTTTACATTAGTTCCTGATCTTAGAGGAAAAGCTTTCAGTCTTTCACATTTGAGTATTACATCCTCTGCGAATTTTTTATACATGGCTTGTATTATGTTGTGGTAGCTTCCTTCTAGTCCTAGTTTTCTGAGGTTTTTTTTTTTTTAATCTTGAGAGAGTATTAATTGTGTCAAATTCTTTTCTGCATTGTTTGAGGTAATCATGTGTTTTTTTCTTCCTTCTGTTAATGTCGTATATGCATTGATTAATTTTCATATGTTGAACCACACTTGCATTCCAGGAATATATGCCATTTGCTCATGGTATATACTTCTTAAATACGCTCCTAAATTGTTAGTATTTTGTTAAGGATTTTTAAATCAATTTTCATAAGAGATATTGGTCTTTCTTGTCTTACATTCTCATTGTTTATTCATTATCAGGGTAACTATCTCTTCATAGAATGAGTTAAGAAGTGTTTCCTCCTCTTCAATTTTTTTTTTTTAAATTGTAGAAGTTTGGTTTTATTTCTTTAAGTGTTTGGTAGAATCACCAGTGAAACTATGTGGTACAGGGCATTTCTTTGTCAGGAGATTATCAATTACTCACCCAATCTCCTTACTAGTTATTGGAATACTTATATTTTCTATTCTTTTGTGATTTAACCTTGACAGGTTTTGTGTGTCTAGAAATTTCTCCAACTCGTCTCAGTTATCCCATTTATTGGTGTACAGTTGTACATAATACTCCCACATAATCCTATTTATTTCCATAGAACTTGTAGTAATGTACATTGTTGATTTTATTAATGCGATTAGTTTCTTTTTTTAAGCTCATAGATCTAAAGGTTTGTCAATTTCATTGATCCTTTCAAAGAAACAACCTTTCGTTTCATTGATTTTTCTCTATTTATTTTAATTCCCTAGCTTAACTCTGCTCCGTTCTTCATTATTTTCTTTCTTCTACTAGCTGTAGGTTTTGTTTGCTCTTTTTTATCCAGTTTCTTAAGTTGTAAAGTTAGGTTGTTAGTTTTCTGCCTTGTTTTTTAATATAAGCATTCATAGTCACAAATTTCTCAATTAGCATTGCTTTTGGTGCATCTCTTAAGTTTTGGTACATAGTGGTTTTAACTAGCCTCCAAGTATTTTCTAATTGTCCTAGTAATTTTGTTTTTGATTCACTGGCTGTTTAAGAGTAAGTTATTTAATTTCCACAATTTTGTAAATTTTTTTAGATTTACTTCTGTTGATTTTTAACTTCATCTCATGGTCAAAGAGGATACTTGTATGATATCTATTTTTTATAATCTATGAAGATTTAGCTTGTGGCCTAACATGTAGTCTGTTCTGGAAAAGGTCCCAAGTGCTCTTGAGAAGAATGTTTCACATTTCATTTTTGGACATAGTATTCTGCATATGTCTGTTAGATACATTTGATTTATTGTGTTAAGTTCTTTATTACCTTAAATATATTCCCTCTGTTTTTTCTATCCATTATTGAATTGAGATATTGAAATATCCAACTATTATTGTAGAACTGCCTGTCTACTCCTTAAGTTTTATCAGTTTTGCTTCATATACTTTGATGGTTTGTCACTAGGTGCATAAATGCTTATAATAGCTATATATTACTGCATTGAACTATTTATTAAGATATAATGTTATTCTTTTTGTCTTGTAAACTTTTTGGATTTTTTTTCTGAAGTATGTAAGTATAAACACAATATAAGTATAAACTACTCTGCCCTCTTGGTTACTAACTGTATGAAATATCTTTTTCTATTCTTATATTTTTCAATCTACTGTTGACCCTTGAACAATGAAGAAGTTAGGGGCACCAATGCCCTGTGCATTTGAAAATCTGCATATTATCTTTTGATGTCTCTCAAACTCAGCTATTAATAGCCTAATGTTGATTAGAAACTTTATTGATAACATAAACAATTTTTAACAAATATTTTGTATGTTATATGTAATATAGGCTGTATCACAAAAATAAAGATAGGAAAAAGTAAACGTTATCAAGAAAATCATAGGAAAAGAATATATATAATTATTATTATTTAAGTGGAAGTGTATCATCATAAAGGTCTTCATTCTTATTGTCTTCATGTTGAGTAGGCTGAGGAGGAGGAGGAGGAAGAGGAGGGTTTAGTCTTATTGTCTCAGAGGTGGCAGAGGCAGAATAAAATCTGTGTGTGAAAGGACCTACTCAGTTCAAACCCTTGCTGTTGAAGGGTCAACTGTGTTTGTTTCTTTGGATCTAAAGTGAGTCTCTTATGGAGAGCATATACTTAAATTATTGGTTGTTGTTGTTGGTGGTGTTTTATCTATTCAATGTCTGTCTTTTGATGAGAGAGCTTAATCTACTTACAATTAAACTAATTACTAAACAGAAGAGATTAACTTTGATCATTATACTGTTTATTTTCAACATACATGGTAGCTTTTTTGTCCCTTATTTCATGTATTATTGATAAGTGTGTATGTTTAGCTGATTTTTTAAGTAAGGAAACATTTGAATTCCAATATTATTAGCTTTTATGTGTATATTATAGGTATTATCTTTGTGGGTATCGTGGGGATTACATATACTATCTTAAAGTTGTAACACTCTAATTTAAATTTTTACCAGCTTAACTTAGATAATATACAAAAACAATTTTTTAGAAGGCCAGCCCTTACCCATTTTGAATGTTGATTTACAAAATTACATCTTTCAACACTGTGCACCCAGAAATATAAACTAACAATTCTTTTAAATGCATTGTCTTTTAAAGTTGTGTAGAAAACCAAAAAAAAAAAATGTAGGTACAAATAAAAGGTACAATAATATTGGCTTTTTGACTAGTTTTAAAAGTTTATTAGTCTCTCAAATAATGTAGAAAAAAAGTGGAGTTTACAAGCCATTTTTACAATAATGCTAGATTTTGTAGTTGCCTATGTATTTCCTTTTTTTCATATATTTATTTATTCATGTGCATAGGGATTTGTGATACTCACTAGTGTCTTCTCATTTCACCCTGTATGACTCAGTGAAGCCTTTTCTACAGGGCAGGTCCAGTGGTAACAAACTACCTCAGCTTTTGTTTCTCTGGGAATATCTTTATTTATCTCTCACTTTTGAATAAATTTTTTGCTGGATGTAGAATTCTTGGTGACACTTAGGTTGTTTTTGCTTCTAGCATTTTGAATATAATGGCTCATTGACTTCTGGTATCTAAAGTTTCTGTCTAGAAAACTTCTTATAATTTTATTTTGGATGTCTTATATGTGAGAAGTCACTTCTCTCTTATTTTTTTAAGATACTTTTTGTTGAAAGTTTGAGTATAATATGACTGAGTAGGTCCCTGAGTTTGTTTTACTTTGAATTCATTGAGCTTCTTATATGTTTATATTATTCTTTTTTACATATTTGGGGAATTTTCACCTATTTCTTTAAATGTTTTTTCTTTTCTTATATCTCTCCTCTCTTTTTGAGACTTCTTCAGTGTTCATGTTGGTTCACTTGATAGTGTGCCACAGGTCCTTAAGCTGTGTATACTTCTCTTTAATCCTTTTTCTTTCTGTTTCTCATTCGCAATAATTTTAATTTTCTATCTTCAATTTCAATGAATTTTTCTTCTGCCTGCTCAAACCTGTCTTTGAATTCCTCTAGTAAATTTTTCATTTCAGTTATTGTATGTTTTAGCTTTGGAATTTTTTTATTGTTCTTTTTTTGAGGCTTTGTATCTCTTATGCATATTTACATTTTGTTCACACATTGGTGTTTTAATTTCTCCACATCTTTATTTAGTCCTCTGGCATCTTTAAAATAGTTACTTAAAGTTATTTTCTAGTATATGTGCCTTTAGGTATTTTTCAGAGACAGCTTCTGCTGATTGATTGATTTTTGAATGAGCCATACTTTTGTGTTTTTGTTTTTTTTTGTTTTTTGTTTTTTTTTTTTTTTTTTTGCATACCTTGTGAACTTTTGTTGAAAAAACTGGACATTTCAATGTAATAATGTGGTAACTGTGAAAATCAGATTCTCTACCTTGCCAAGGGGCTTTGTTTTTTGTTATTGTTTTTGGTGTTATAATTATTGCAGGCTGTCTCCCTGTTAAAGATTAGCCTGATGTGTACACTTAAGATCTCTTCAGGTCTTTTCTGAGCCTGTGCTTTTTTCTGTAAGTGTAATATCACTTTCTAATTTTCTTCATATATGTCGTTACTTTGGAATGTCCTAATCTTTGACGTCTGATTTTCAAAAAGGAAAAAGAGAGAGAAATGAAACAGGGCAAGCAGGGAAAGGACACTAGTCTCACATTCACTGGAAATCACTTCAGCCAAGGAAGAGAGGCTTGCAACAATGACATGAGGTGGAAAACAATGGCCAGCTGCCTCTTTCTGCATCTCCATGATAAAAGTAGCAATCCGAGATCAGAACACAGGTTCCCAATATTCAGAGGACAGCATTCCTACTGCTCAATCTGGCTAACACAAGCTGCATGCAAGATGTTCCAGGAACACCTGCACAGCTACCTGTCAAAGGACTGGAGGTGAGAAATGGGGAGCTGCAATTCTGTTAAGAGCTGAAATTGACCAAAATCAACTACAGTTTACCACCTAAGTCTTCCTCTAGAAGTTGTAAACCTTAAATAGAATTCAAACTTCCAAAATAGTTACATCAGACAGATTCTTCCAATAAAATATTTGTCTAGGTTGGGGGAGAGATTACTGGTGCTTTCTACTCTACTTTATTCCCAGAATCCTCTTTTCCTAACCTGTCTTTTAAACATTGCTATTTTTCTCTTTTCCTTATCAAAAAAATATGTTCAACCATTAATCTTCTGAATTTTTTAATAAATAATTTTGCATAATTTATATTACTATAAAATTTGTACATTCTAAAATATGTTCATTGTTATTAATCTGAATTTTTAATAAATAATTTTACAAAAGTTATACTACTATATAATTTATACATTCTGAAAATATTGCACATATAGTTTCTTTCCTTTATATGTTGCACAAAACTGGTACAAATTCACAAGTAATTGATTTTTTAATGAGAAGTTAAGTAAACTAATGGAGTATTTAATTTAAAAGTTTAAAAATTTGGGAGTTACTTATTTTGTTCTATTGTGTACAGGCATTACACATGAATAAAAATGAATGAAATTTGTAAAAACAAACAACAACAAAATATGTGTGAACAAATAAGATATTGTAGACTACTGTTTTACAGCTGTAGATTTCTTTCCCATGTATTCATTCTAGAATATAACCATTACATTACAAAATTGGCATAACTTTTAGATAATAGCCTTATGCCACTAAAAAGTAAAAAGAAAAAACAGAAATTATATGTGTACTAATAATCACTTTCAATATTTTTGACACTGTGTAAAATTATAATCCATGAGCTTTTCATGTATTTCTAAAACCATAAACTTCAAATTTTTTTCTTAAGGAATATTTACCTTGACAAGTAATAAAGTGCTCACAAACATATTTGATAGATTCACAAACTGTTAAGATGTCATTCTTTATGACTATTTAGGTTTTCATACACAAAAACCAATGTTAAGCACTAAGTTTTTCTAAAGAGCTACTGCACAGCAAAGGAAACTATCATCAGAGTGAACAGGCAAACTACAGAATGGGAGAAAATTTTTGCAATCGGCCCATCTGATAAAGATCTAATATCCAGAATTTACAAGAAACTTAAACATATTTAAAAGAAAAAAAACAACCCCATCAAAAAATGGACAAAGGATGTGATCAGATACCTCTCAAAAGAAGACATTTACATGGCCAACAAACATATGACAAAAAGCTCAATATCACTGATCATCAGAGAAATGCAAATCAAAACCACAATGAGATACCATCTCACGCCAGTTAGAATGGTGATCATTAAAAAGTCAGGAAACAACAGATGCTAGAGAGGATGTGGAGAAATAGGAACACTTTTACACTGTTGGTGGGAATGTAAATTAGTTCAACCATTGTGGAAGACTGTGCTGCAATTCCTCAAAGACCTAGAACCAGAAATATCATTTGATCCAGCAATACCATTACTAGGTATATACCCAAAGGATTACAAATCATTCTACTATAAAGGCACATGCACACGTATGTTTATTGCAGCATTATTCACAATAGCAAAGACTTGGAACTAACCCAAATGCCCATCAATGATAGAATGGATAAAGAAAATGTGGCACATATACACCATGGAATATTACACAGCCATAAAAAAGGATGAGTTCATGTCCTTTGCAGGGACGTGGGTGAAGCTGGAAACCGTCATTCTCAGCAAACTAACACAGGAAAACCAAACACCGCATGTTCTCATTCATAAGTGGGAGTTGAACAATGAGAACACATGGACACAGGGAGAAGAACATCACACATGGGGGCCTATTGCGGGGTGAGGGGCTAGGGATGGGATAGCATTAGGAGAAATACCTAATGTAGATGACGGGTTGATTGGTGCACAAACAACCATTGCATGTGTATACCTATGTAACAAACCTTCATGTTCTTCACATGTATCCCAGAACTTAAAGTATAAAAAAAAATGCAAATAAAAGAGACATTATTCATCGTATGATTCCTGTTATTTTGCATAGCATTATTCTTTGTGAAAATAATATTTTGTCCTCAGGAGGAGAAATATGTAATTGAATGGACAGCAATATATTTTTGGTATGGAGCCATAACACAATGGTATAATTACTTTAAAAATTACCTTAGCAATCAAGTTTACAGAGCTAAGGTAAGAGAGAAAGAAAAATAGAGACAGAGAGAGAGAAAAGGGAATAAATTAAGAAGAGCATGAACATTTCATTTTTATTTTTAACATTTGAGAGTCAACATTTTAACAGATACAAAACACACTAGCTGGATTTTTTTAAGTTATTGTTTGTCTTAATGGTATGTGATTTCTGCATAAAGGATCTGTAGTTTATATGAATTAAAATTACACAGTAAGCTATAAAATGGATGGTAAGAATGACATGATTGCCATTTTATTGTATCTATCTTTGTGATATATGTTTTTATGAGCCTAAAGATAAGAACTATAAAGCTCCTACTAGTTCTTTCCAAATTTTAATTTGTCTTTTTAGAAAAATGAATGTCATTATCAGTAATTATAAATTATATTTTACTTTACCCAACTTTTAAACTTATGTGTATATTTTTGTCATATATAAATATTCACATTATTGTATATGTACATTTTTCAATACTACATAACTCCCTACTGTTCATAATTATCTTTCTGTCCTACTAGTAGTCATGCTTATATTTGAGTTTCGATAGTTTCTGGTACATTGCCTTTTGTTCAGTAATAATAAGATAATTAGGCTGGGCACGGTGGCTCATGCCTGTAATCCTAGCACTTTGGGAGGCCAAGGTGGATGGATCATGAGGTCACGAGATCGAGACAAGCCTGACCAACATGGTGAAACACTGTCTCTACTAAAAATACAAAAATTAGCTGGGCCTGGTGGTGCTCGCCTGTAATCCCAGCTACTTGGGAGGCTGAGGCAGGAGAACTGCTTGAACCCGGGAAGCAGAGGTTGCAGTGAGCTGAGATCGCGCCACTGCACTCCAGCCTGGTGAAGGAGCGAGATGCCGTCTCAAAATAAATAAATAAATACATACATACATACATAAATTAAAAAATAAAAATATAATTTTTGAATATAATGTGTAACAGTTAAAATTATTTTAAATAACTAAAGATAATTAAATTTCAAAATATTTTTAATATGTTTGATAGTGCATATACACAGAAATCTAGAAATATTTATATATTTTTAAATAAGTTTTATAAAATTTTAAATAATATAAAATCTCAACATATCTATATAAATAAGAAGGGAGTAAAATTTTGATTTTGCTTTATATCAAATAACACAGGTGTATTGGCTTATTGTAAAAATAGTGCACGCATGCATTTTTGTAAAATTTTCAATAACAATTTCAACTTGTTTATCAAAAGATATATTTTCAGAATGAACTTCTTATACATTTGCAAATGTCTACTGAATATGTGGTCTGCCACATCTCTCAATATATCTACAATATCTGCATTTTATTTGGGTTCAGTTCTTAAACCAGTCCTATTGATTCCATGTGAAATTCTTTCTTTGAAGTCAGTGGAAGGTCTGCATTTGGGAGAGATTCATGGTGTGTGGAGAGAGATGAGAATTGCAAATGTGGTTTTCAACATCATAAAAGAAACATTTTTTCAAAAATTTAAACAACTAAGCATAAGGTTGATATATAATGTAATATATTTATATTTCAAAACCTCAAACATGACCTGATTCTTTTTTTTGCCTGAGGTTTTTATTTCTAGTATCTTGAAAATATCAAATTATAAACACCAGCAATAATTTCAGTGAGCTCTCATGTCTTTCTTATATACGAGATTGCACAAGCAGCAACGTTTTAGCTCCATCACACTTACACCCTCAAATATTTAAGCATTACTTCTACCCATCAACTTTTCCTGTCTACTGCTCTATTCTATTATTGCTCTTACCCTCTGCATTTGTCTCCTCCCCATCTGAACAACTAGCTAACCATTTGCTTCTTTTTATAGAAAACCTCCTAGAAGTTGTCAGTCATTGCTGTCTTCTTCCATTTTCTTGAACTCACTCCAATCAAACTGTAATCCCCACCAATCCACTGGTCATTAACAAAGTCACCAGTGAACTTCATACTACTAAGTCCAATGGTAAATTCTTATTTCTTAGCAGTATTTAATCTTGTTGAGTACCCAAACTTCCTTGGCACGTTTTCTCACTGGGCTTTATGTTTTAACATTTTTCCTGCTGTTGAGCCATTTTGGATTCTGTTTCCCTTTGCTGTTTCTTCCTTGCCTTGAATGCTACATGTTGTGCCCAAGGACTCAGTCCTTATAGCTCTTATTATTTTTTCTCTCTCCATATATTTTCTTTTGTGGATTGCACAAAGTCTTACAACTTTAAATATTGTTTGGGCATGCAATCCCCAAAATTTATTTCCACCCCAGTCTCCCCTGTGAGCTCTCAATTTGTTTATCTTACTGTGTAATACACATCTCAAATTGAACATATCAAATCTGAATTTCTAATTTTTCTCTAAACTATCCATTAAAAACCTTGCTTTTCTGTCTGCATTACCTCAGTATGTAACACTGTCCTTTCAAATATTCAGGCCCCGAGTCATAAGAATCATAACGAACTCCTCATTTTTTCCAACTATACATTTTATCCATGAACAATACCAGAGCTCCATCTTCACAATATATCCATAAACTGCCTACTTCAAACCACCTCCATGATTACTGCTCCAAAACATCATCATCTCTTGCCTGCATTTTTTTTATAGATTTTGGGGGTACAAGTGCAGTTTTGCTACATGCATATATTGCATGGTGGTGAAGTCTGGGCTTTTAGTAGAACTATCACCAGAATAAATTACATTGTACTCATAAATTTCTCATCCTTCACCCCCTTTCCATCCTCCTACCATTTGGAGTCAACAGTGGCTATTATCCCACACTCTATGTCCATGTGTACACATTATTCAACTCCCATATGTAAGTAAGAACATGTGATATTTTACTTTCTTTTCTGAGTTATTTCACTTAAGATAATGGCTTTCAGTTTCATCCATGTTACTGCAAAATACATTATTTCATTCCTTTTTTATGACTGAGTAGTATTTCTTTGTATAGATGCACCATATTTTCTTTATTCAGTCCTCCACTGATGGGAACTTATGTGGATTCCATATATTTGCTATTGTGAATAGGGCTGTGAAAAACAGACAAGTGCTAGAGTATTTTTTATTTAATAGTGTTTTTCTTTGTGTGGATACCCAGTAGTGGGATTGCTGGATCAATGATAGTTCTATTTTTAGTTATTTGAGAAATCTTTATACTGTTTTCTATAGAGGTTTTACTAATTTATATTCCCACCAACAGTGTGTAAACGTTCCTTTCGTCTGCATCCTTGCCAACATCTGTTACATTTTGATTTTTTTAATAACAGTCATTCTGACTGGTGTAAGGTAATATCTCATTGTGGTTTTAATTTGCATTTATCTGATGATTAGTGACGTTGAACATTTTTTTCATATGCTTCTTGTCTTGCCTAGATTTTTATAATTACTCCCTTACTATTCTTCCTGATTCTATTATTACCACCCTTAGTTTATTCTCTACACAGCTGTCAGAACAATCATGTTAAAATACAGACAAACATAACATCGCTCCTGTCAAAACCCTCCAACGTTTGATGTCCTTACAAGGGCCTATAGGGCTCTATGTGACCTATCCACCCAGTTACCTCTGACACCTAACGCTCACTCCTTCCAGTCAATCTGGCTTCCTGGTAAGTTTTTGAATATGCTTGTCAAACATTTGCCTCAGGACCTTTGAATTTTCTACTCCCTCTTCCTGGAATAGTTCTATTTCTCATAGTTTAGAAACCTGGGAAGTCCAAGATCAAGGCGCTGGCAGATTCACTTCTAGTGAAGGTTCTCTTCCTGACTTGCAGATGGCCACTTTCTTGCTCTTTCCTCACATGATGAAGAGGGAGAGAGAGTGAGAGAGAGAGAGAGAGAGAGAGAGAGAACGAACTCTGGTCTCTTTTTCTCTTCTTATAAAGACAAATCCCATAATGGAGGCCCTACTTTTGTGACTTCATAGAAACCTAATTACCTCCCAAAGGACCCACTTCCAATATCATCATGTTGGAAGTTAGAGCATTAACATATGAATTTGAGGTGGACACAAAAATTCAGTCTATAATAACACCCCTATTCAAATTACATCCCTTTATCTTCTCCCCAGCAAGCACCACTATGTATACGTATATACATAAACACACATAAGCATATTTTATATCTGTATATGTGAGATCAAATGCATCATAATTAATATGTAATATATGTACATATTATTTATATACAATTGTTATTTTCTATTCACGGTCTTTACATATAAGATCTAAATTATGTGAGAGCAGAGATTTTTATCTTATTAACTAGTCTTATCATGCATTCAATACAACAGTGCCTGATACATAATATAGCCTCAATAAATATTTGTTGAATGAATGAAAGGACTTCAACTAGCCCACATTTCCCAGGAGATAACTTTATTTTGTAAACCCTTGATTGAAAACTACTAAGTGATAAAAGTGTCAGTTTTGAAAGTTTTTCTTCATTAATTCATGATTCTAACCATTTTATTCCTTATGGCCAGTATTTTGTGTGATCTTAATAACATCTTTGTTTATCTTAATGTCACAAAGATTTGTTACTATGATTTACTCTAAAAGCTGTAATTTTATTTATTTATTTAATTATTTTTACATTCAAATCCAAAGTGTATGTGGAGTTATTTATTGTTTTATCTATAATGTGATGTAAAGATCAAGTTTATTTTCCTCATATTCAATAAACTCAGAAAAAGTTATTAAGAAAATCTTGAGTATTACCATTTCTATAAATCATATGTGTATATATGTTGTGGATCTGTTTCTACACTCTCTTCTGCTTTACTAGCTTACCCATCTCTCTTTTAACCAATATCATTCTCCCCAATAGCTATATCATTAAAATACACCATATTACCAAGTTAAAAAAATTTGTATTATTTTTAGGAATGTTTTTACTTTGTATTTATGTTATGAGTGTTTTCATATGTTGAAAACATATGTTGAATTTATGTTATGAATGTTTTAACTTTGCATTCTTTTTAGGAATGTTTCTATTATCCTTGACCATATTTATTTCCACTTAAATTTTCCTTTCAGGTACCCATAGGACATCCATATACCATGCTAAGTTAGCAGTAGGATGGTCAAGACTATTGCCCAGGATGTAAATCTACCTTTGTTTAGAGTAAGAGACATTGAATATATAGAGATCGCTTGAAACCATGAGACTAGAAGAATGAGGCATGTGGAGAGAGAAAAGAAGCAAGAAGAACCTATTGATTACTAACATTTAAGGAGCAGGACGAAAATCCTTAATGAATATCCAGAGAGGTAGGAAGAAAAGCAAAAGCAAGATTGTTACAGAAAATGAGGACAGATAATGTTTCAAGGGAAGAATTGCCACAGTTTCACGTGATAGAGGTCGTGTTATCAATAGATAAACATTGAGAGTACAATTGGTGCTCTTAAGAGCACCCATATAGCTGATGATTCAAATAGGTTTCATGGTGAGTGGGAGAGGATGATACGAAGTCAGCAAATGTGGACAAATGTATCCAAATGTGGAATTGTTAGATTAGACACTCATGCTAAAAAGATAGTGTGTGTGTGTATATATATATATATCATATATATGTATTTCAAATACATATGTGTGTGTATGTGTTATCTGAAAGGCCTATCTTTTAAAACATTTTTCTCTTTACAGTATTTTAAAAGTCTCTTAAATTTTAAGAATTAGTAGCCCCCACTGAACATCTCTTGAAGTATCATAAAAGCCCTATTATTTGATGTTATTCAAGCAGTGGTTGGTTTTACAAAGTCAGTTGAGGCAGCAAATCATAAAAATAATACCTGAATATGTTAAACAGGTTGTTTTAATTTAAAACATATAAATATGTGTTGAATTGTCAACCTTTGATATGAGACCAATCTTTTAATATAGTTCTGCTTATTCTCATTTCTAAACTGTTGCTTTTGCATAAATAGCCAATGATATAATCACTATGAGTATTAGTATCACTTTCTTTGATACTGTGTCAAAGATACTTTCTTTGACGTAGTGATACTCATAGTGATACTATGAGTATCAGTACCAATTTCTTTAAAGTCGAACAAAAATTTAAACACTTATAAAAATTCTAAATACAAAACAATTTTCATATTTTAAAAATGTTCAAGTCTTTTGTGGATGTTTTGGCCCATATCTAATTTCACAGTAATAATTTTTAAGTTACCATTGTTGAATAATTTTAAATTACTCAACTGAAGTTTCAAACATTCAATGCTATTTTCATATTTATATGACATCTAAATGTTTAATTCAACTATACAATTAGGTAGCCAGTGAAGCTGCCATAAGAAATATAGCAAATACAACCAAGTTTTAGTAGGCATTAAGTTTCAGTTTGCCTGTTCAAACCAATAAGTAGACAACATGTTGAGAGCATGAAGCATGCCACGACCACCAGTCAGTATACACAAAAAGGAAGCAGAAAATGTTTGATGAACCAGCAAGTCTCTTACAATGGGGTTAGTCAAAAGACCATCTACTTAAGGTAATTAACATGTATGTTTATTATTTAGCATGGTATTTCTTTGTATTTAGTGTATTAGTGAAAAGAAAGTTTCAGCGTAGGGAGACATAAAATAGGTACGTTTAAAGTAACAAGGAGTAGGTAAAGAATATTTCAGAAGCATGGGCACTTTCTGCACAATGTATAATGACTGAATGCTAGGGCCAATCTTGGAACAGATTTCAGAAATTAACACTGATACACTAATGACATATAAGTATCTCTTAGCCCTAACCTATCTCTAGAACAGCAGATTTATATGTTAAACAGTGTTTTTGACATTATAACCCCATGATCTCTAATAGGTATATCAAAACTAATGAAAGCAAAACAGAACTTCTAATTTCTCCTCTATCACAACCTACCATCTTACAGGGACTTCTGCTGATTTACCTCTTTAGATGCTTTTTCTGTACCCATGCCTCTACAAATCTCTAACTCTAGCTTCAAAATGGTTTTGAACCTATTTATTTCTGCTTGTTTTTTATGATTACCACAATCGTTTAAATTACCATCTTCTATAATCTAAATTAATGCCATCGGCTCCTAGTTAATTTTTTCATTCTCTGCAATCCATTCTTCTGAGTAATCATTAAAAAGTATAAATGAGATTGTATTATCTTCCAGTCTCTTAATGGGTTCCTAGCACAATAAAATCTAACTCTTTACTAGATTTAAAAACCTTGCATGTCCTGGCTCTTGATCATCTCTCTACCCTCTTTTACTTCTTTTTCTTCCACTGGCCATTATGCTTCAGCCACTTTATCCTCATATTATGCAGATATTTTATTTATTGTGCACACAATATATTCATTTTCTATTAGCTAATTATCAATCTAAGTCATTCTCTAAAGTCAATAATTAGATTTCTATTTATTATGTAAGAGAAAGTGAACTGTGTGGACAAGATATTAGGACTGTCACAGAGGTTAAATTGCTGTTAGTCTTAGTTTCAAAGGAACTAAAACTCTATGATTGATGAGCCATGGGAATAAAACGGTTTCTTCCACATACAGGCCTACTGGGAAATGTAAAAGAAAAAAACACTAGGAGATAGATAATAGAAAGTAGGTTCAAAGAAATACATAGGTAGAGAAATAATATATTGATCATCTTAACTAGGATTTTTGAGATTGAAAAGAACTACCATTAGTAATCACACTAGTGTAAACCAGGACTCTTACAGGCACACCTGTCCTAGATTGCAACCTATGAGAAAGACCAATATTTTACCATAGAACAGAGTCAGCATTGTTTGCGTAAGAAATAACCCAGGATATAATATGGGTTATTTATAGTATTATTAATTTGCTTTATATTTCACTTTACGTATAATCTGTGCTTAGCCAGATCCTTGGAAGAAGAAGCTATTATCTATGAGATTTAGTCTCTGGTTGTTATAATAATCCAAACAAGAAAACCCTAAGGAGAAGCAGAATTTCCAAGGGAACAGAGCAAAAGGTGACAGGGTAACCAACCTTCCCTATACATGGACCTGTCTTTCCAATGTTAAATAGTTGAAATTGTATTTATGGCTGAGGGTTATAATCCCTTCATATTTCCATTGAGAATACCCAATCAAATCCATTACCAAACTTAACTATCTGAACATTAAAAACTAAGATTTAAGCTTTAGTGCAATTTTCATTGTACTAGATCGTATCTTTGAAAAGTCACTGTATGATTAGAGTAGTGTGTCATTTCTATACAGGTACATAAATCAATGTGTATAAATATTCTCAGTATCATCTACATGAGTGAATCATGAATTATATACTGATTTACCTTTTGAGGTCATTGTTCTATGTTTCAGTGATACTACTAATGTACACAACAGAAAAAGCCTGGAAGAGAGGAAAAGTCATTTGGGATCAAAGATACAAAGAATACCATCTATACAAAAATTTAAGCTTAACAGTGTAACGTTTTCTCTTATTTCATTGTTTTTCACAGTGTGGCTCAAGTGACATTCATCATAATCACATATGTACTCTTCAAAAATGCAAGTTCATTGGTTCTATTTCATCATATGGAACTGGAATTTATAGAGAGTAGATCTAGAAGTATTTTTAAGATGGGACCAAGGTGATTTTTTTTTTTTTTTTTTTTGAGACAGAGTTTTGCTCTTGTTGCCCTGGCTGGAGTGCAATAGTGTGATCTTGGCTCACTGCAACCTTGGCATCCTGGGTTCAAGTGATTCTCCTGCCTCAGCCTCCCAAGTAGCTGGGACTACAGGCATGTGCCACCGTGCCAGCTATTTTTTTTTTTTTAATTTTTAGTAGAGACGGGGTTTTTCCATATTGGTCCGGCTGGTCTCAAACTCCCAACCTCAGGTGATCCTCCTTGCCTCGGCATCCCAAAGTGCTGGGATTACAGGTGAGAGCCACTGTGCCTGGCCCAAAGTGATTTTTTTTGCAGTTTAAAAAACTGTGAACCAATCATCCACATCTAAGGGCTTGACATACTTTTATCACACAAATATATTTTGGAAAAAAGCATAGAAAGAGGTGATTTTCTTTATTGATGCAACTAAGAATAAACAGTCTTTTCCAACAATTATTTGAAATTTTCCTTCTGTAAAAAAGAAAAACTCTTTGTACAGCACGGGAGAAAGATGACTTACTAAATAATTACAAGAGAAAATGGCAAAGGAAAAATACACATGTAAAGATTTTAAATATTTAAAAATAATGAAATTTGATGAAATAATTGGAACGATTCTAATTATCCTAATATATAGATAATTAAAATTATTTAAATGAATATAACAATAAATGTATGCTTTTAACTGTACATTATAAAGAATATAACAAAGAAAAAACAGGAAAAAATGTAAGCACATTTATATTACTCCATATTTGATTCTGGGCTTAATACATTTTTTCTAATACATATTTAAGCTAATGCCACCATTTAGATTATTAAATTTAAAAATTAAGAACAAAATGAGAGAGAAGTCTAAGAGTGGGCTATAGGGATTTTTGGAAATTTCAAAGTTATGGGACTAAACTAAAAATAGTCATGAAAAAGAAAGAATGTGTCAACTAAAATGTGAGAGTTAATTGATATACACATGAGGCTTTACATGGAACAAAAGTTGTAAAAAGACCTATATTCATGGAAAAAATGGGGAAATTTTATATATTACATGGTCTTAGTTCCTAACTATACTGTTCAGTATTAAGTTTCTAAATTACTTTGAACTCTTTTAATACTAAAGAATAAAAACATACATTAAAGATTTTTACATCTCCATATCAAACTCCCCGAGTATTTGTTCAAGAAACATTTTTTAAAAGCATCGAAGTGATGAAAATGAATTCCATAAGGTATGCTTACATATGCTAAAAGCAAAATTTATTTTTCTAATCTCGGAAAACATCTGTACTTTATAACACATTTTTGGGTGTGTAATTGTTTTTCATACAAAATGGTTAGGCCACCATTACACTTTTCTTCTTCAATAGCAGAAATGCATTTCTAACTCCTTTAGTTAGCCTAAAATTGATAAAGTGGTTTTATTTTTTGTTTTTTTTCATGTTTATGACTAATTTTTCTAAATGATATTTGAGTATCACTATGCATTATTAGCTGCAGGCCAGAAGGAGGAGAGAGGAAATTAGCTGTCACCCACAGCCGTGTTTTCTATGTTCTCATAAGCAAAAAGGGCTAAGTTATTTTGTGTTGGTCATGCATGCAGATCATCTCATTTCTTTTTTTTTTTTAATACTTAAGTTCTGGGATACATGTGCAGAACGTGCAGGTTTGTTACACAGGTATACATGTGCCACGGTGGTTTGCTGCACCCGTTAACCTGTCATCTACATTAGGTATTTCTCCTAATGCTATCCCACCCCTTGCCCGCTACCCCATGACAGGCCCAGTGTGTGATGTTCCCCTCCCTGTACCCACATGTTCTCATTATTCAACTCCCACTTTTGAGTGAGAACATGTGATATTTGGTTTTCTTTTCTTGTGTTAGTTTGCTGAGAATGATAGTTTCCAGCTTCATCCATGTCCCTGCAAAGGACATAAACTCATCCTTTTTTATGGCTGCAGAGTATTCCTTGGTATATATGTGTCACATTTTCTATATCCAGTCTATCATTGATGGGCATTTGGGTTAGTTCCAAGTCTTTGCTATTGTGAATAGTGCTGCAATAAACATATGTGTGCATGTGCATTTATAGTAGAATGATTTATAATCCTTAGGTTATATACCCAGTAATGGGATTGCTGGGTCAAATGGTATTTCAGGTTCTAGATCCTTCAGGCATCACCACACTGTCTTCCACAATGGTTGAACTAATTTACACCCCCACCAACAGTGTAAAAGAGTTCCCATTTCTCCACATCTTCTCCAGCATCTGTTGTTTCCTGACTTTTTAATGATCACCATTCTAACTGGCGTAAGATGGTATCTCATTGTGGTTTTGACTGGCATTTCTCTAATGACCAGTGATGATGAGCTTTTCTTTTTCATATGTTTGTTGGCTGCATAAGTGTATTTTTTTGAAATTTTTCTATTAAAAATTAGACTCATGCATACATTAATACATATTGACAAAGAATTTCAAGTTAACATGATTTTTAACACTGCACAAAATTTGCATTTTGTACTATATAAATAAGTGAACTATTTGACACTAGAGCAAGAAAATGGCAAAATTAAAATAAAGTAGCATAAATGAGTGAACTATAATGAAATGTGAGAGAATAAAAGCACTGTCTTACCTAATTAAGCATTTGTAGCTCATTTTATTTCAGATAATCTTCCACTTTGGCAACTCATTGTAATTAGAAATGTTCTACATTTTGTTGTGCTAATGAAAGAATATTTGTTGTAAAGAACATTTTCATTAATTTTTGATTTTTGGTTTTTGATACTGACATAATGGTTGTTAGAAGGAGAGTATATCATAACCTTGTTACTAAAAAAAAATCTCTTTTTTTCTATTTTAATTTCAAAATTGTCTTTACAATTTCAGTGATTAGAACAAAGTACATAAATTTGAGACTAGGCTGTTACAAAAATATGGTCTGTGTGACAGCACAAGAATATACTAGTTTGATAGAAGATGACTTCAAGCTCATCCTGTCTTCTATTCACATGGCTGCTTTGCTTTTGGTCATCATTCTATAGTATTTTCTCCGAAGGCAGTTGATACTTTGTCAGGAGTTGTTCTTTAGAAAAGGTATTGTCTACATTTGAATATGGCTTTCTTTTTGTCTGTTTCAAAATTGTTGATTGTGTTTCTAGGTAGTAAATCTTTCAACCATTGATCCAAAATTGCAAAGCACATAAAAACAGTGTCTGAAGATTGTGTGGGTGTTCATGTGCATGTTCAACTCCGCTAGTAGTTTCCTCTCTTTCTCTTTTTCTCTCTCACACTCATACACACACACACTTAAATCTCACAGATTATGCTAGGGAATGAGAGCCAATATGGCCAGGTATCATAAGTGATTAAGTCTTTCCACTTTATGTAGCAGGCTTCAATCAGGTTATTGCATTCTACCTTAAGGTTGTGGCACTCACTTTAGGTGTGATGAAAATATGCATTTACATTTAACTAATTTTTTCCAGAAGGAGAGTAAGGCAACATTTTACATTAAAAAAAAAAAAAAAAACAGAAGCTATTTCCATGATATGTTTATTCTTAGGCTATGAGTCATTGCACTGCATTTAATTGTTTTATTGACATTGATGATAGAATACAGCAACATTTTCTTTCTCTGCTTATCACTTTAGCTGATTGCTAGATTACTTTCCACTGATTAAAAATGGCTATTTCTTACACAACTTGCTTCTCATAGTGTCAGTTGATATTTAAAAGCAATAGGCAATTCATCTCCCTTTCATCGTTTCCATAATGTTTAAAAATTTTGCATGATTTCTAGGCAAAGATGCTCTTTCTTCGTCATACCTTCTTGTTTCTATAATTCAATGTAGTATATATTAGCTTTAAAATCAGAATATGAATTTTCAGTGGAACTTTCTTCACCATCATCAAAGAAATGGATGCCTGGTATCTCCACTCATCTCTCTCTCTTTCTCTTTCTCTCTCTCTCTCTCTCTCTCTTTTTGTTTTGTTTTTAATGTAGCTTAATTGGAGTCATGACGATAACCCAGAAATAACAATGATACTACCCAAGACGATGTTCTTGTCAAATTGAGGATTAAATATATCAACTATCAGCACCCTTTATATTTGTAGTAAGAAAAAATGTCATTCATTAAAGTGTTGACACTGAAAGTGCAGTTTGATATATAAAATATTACTTGGATAATATTTGAATAAAGCATTTACTTTAGCAAAATAGGGAAAACTGTTAATGATTACTTTTGTATTGAAAATATGTTTACTTTAGAGCAGTTTGCTCCAAGACTTAATAAGTGATTAAATCTTTCCACTTTTTGTAACATTTTTCAAATAAATATTGAATATGATAATCACCTGTTCACTTTGAGGATTTTGATGAGAATATAGTTCTGTTCCACATAATGATGTTTTGATCAATGATGATCACATATATGAAGCTGTTCGCATAAGATTATCTTACTTTTACGGTACCTTTTCTATGTTTAGATATGTTCAGATGCACAAAGACTTACCACTGTGTTACAATTGCTTACTGTATTCAGTACAGAAACATGCTGTAAAAGTTTGTAGCCTAGGAAAATAGGCCAAACCATATAACCTATGTGTGTAGTCGGCAATACTATCTAGGTTTGTATAAGTACACTTTATGCTGTTTGCATAGATAAAATTGCCTAATGATGCATTTCTCAGAAAGTATTTCTGTTGTTAATTGACATACAATGTAACTACATTTAGATTCATGCAATTAACATGTAGGCACAAGCAACATGCAGAGAAGCAACAAGAATGAACCATCTAAGTGGTATTTACATGATCTTTAAGAATATGGCATCAACAGAGCTTAACTTCCAAATCTGAATAAAAACATTCCACGATAGTCCTTTCGAACAAATTAAGTGTTTCAGGGAAAGCTGGTGATCTAAACAAATTTCCTTGGACTGGAGATATTTCTACAACCACTGAAATTGTACTGAATTACTTATTTGCTTTTGATAAAAGCATCGAATGCCTTGATATATTTAAGAGAATCAGATTTTCAAAAAATGATTATTGCTGTCAGTATTGCTCTTGGTACACATCGTCTCCAATGTTATGAGTATATAGTATATGCTAAGCACCCACATCTATTATTTTAATTAATTCTCACAATAACCCTTTAATTAATTGTAGTGATGAATTAATGTCAATATGAAAACATTATTAAGATATTATTAACGAAGTCAATTTGATTAGATCTTCAATAAGGCTACCGTTGATGGGGACAAATGGAAGAAAAAAATAAGTCATATTTTAAAAAATCTATTCTGTGAGATCTGGCACATGTTTAAATGTGACAGGAAAGGGAAAAGATGAGGTCTAAGATGGCTTCTAGATGTGAAGCCATTTGTAAAGATCAAAACTGGGTAAACATTATTTGAACCAAATCTGAGCCTATTAGAAAGACTTCTGAGTTTTATGTAACATTCCATGCTATAGTGGAAAAAATGGCCTACATTTTCTGATTGATGTACAGCAGATACAGGTAAAATGTTGGATATCTTGAAACTCATGAATTTGTATCAGGATCCAGTGGGTATTTATCTTTCCAGTGAGTTAAGATTCCACCCCTGCACTCCAAACTGGGCGACAGAGCAACAGAACAAGACTCCATCCCAAAAAAAAGAAAGAAAAGAAAGATTTGTCTGCAGCATCCATAATTCATCAGTTCTGTTACCTGCTTTCATAAATATAATAACGATTTATTACATAATTTATAATGATTTTGTACATATTTATGAAATGGAGAGAAAGAAGAGAATACATTTGTGCCAAGACATACAGATTATGAAAGCCTAAACAGGAATATATATATAATCTGTTTTGAATTCTTACTTTTCAATGACAAAACTGAAGATCAGAAAGATGAAAAGACTTTTCTAAAGTTATACAGTAAGAGCAGACGTAGAAGTGTCATGTACAGCTCCTTCCTGAACTCTGTTAACCTTTTACCTGATACCATGATAATATTGTGATTCATGCATATATATGTCATCGGTCATAGAAAGATATTGAGCTTGATATTAACCAAGCTCAATATCAGCAGATAGGGAAGTAAACTACATTCGTGTTGATTCCATAGTGAAGGTGTGAATGCAGAGTGGGGAGAAGGATTGAGATCAATTATGCAATTGACCATTCCATTTATTCAAACATACTTTTTAGAATGACAGTAATATCTTGTATGAAATGACTTAGAGTCAAGTGGATAGGAAAATTAAGTATGTTTCATGTAGGCTTAGTGACTTAACATACATATTTAAATATGTAAAGGTAAATCCTTTTATATTTCAATTCATAAGTCTTCTTATAGCAAACAGAACATGTTCTCATTCCACTCAATTATCCTGCTTTTATTTATTTTTCTCTCTTCCTTTCCAGAAAAGAATTAGAAAACGTATTTTATGGTCAGTTATTAAGTATGCAGGCTGTAAGGTCAGATTACCCAAATAAAAATTGTGCCATCTATTCTTTATTTGATTTAGGGTCCATCATTTATTTTCTCTAAGCCTTGGCTGTACAACAGTGTTAAATATCACCTCAAAAAGTTGTTGGGAAAAGCAGTTGAGCTAAAGCAGGAAAATCACTCAGCAAAGACCTGACACATAGTAAGTGCTCAATAAATGTTACTCTTTTTTGGTTTTAGCAGGAAATATTTTTGAAATTCTCAAAAAATAAATATAACAAAATAGGCCTGAATTGATTTTTTAGATACAATGTTTCTTTTGGTTACCAAAAAATCAAATGTATATGTCTTAGGAAGGTTTTGCCTATTCAAAGTAATTTAATTGAATATGACTTTCTCCTTTTGTGATGTAAAAATACACAAGGGCCAGAAAATTTCTATTTCTCTATATAGGCAATTAAATTTATTTTCTATATGTCTTGAAAAATAATACTGGTGGAACGAATCACACAGGAAGGATTATTTCTCATAACACTCTTTTCTACTGAAAGATTACTTTTGCTTCACTTGAAATGATCCTCAATTTAAATGAGGTTAAACAGGACTTAGTGCTTAAAATACTCTATTTATGATATATCTGTACATATTTGTGGTTAAAAATACAACAGTGTTTTAATCAAAGCAAAACATCTTAGATATTATATTCTACATCCAACTGTTTAAAGGCTATGTAGTCACAGAGATTCTATTGTCTATGAACAGTATTTTATAAGGTGATAGTCTAAAAATATGGGAAATATTGGCAAGAAAGCTAGGTTCACAAATGTTCTTACTTTGTATTAAGAAAAAAACCTATAACTGTGTTTTTCAGGTTCTTACTTTAAAAAAGAAAAAAAATATCAGTTCTGCAGTAGTTATTGCAAGTAAATATTTGCTAATATCATAGATAACTCCAAAGAGAAAACAGGAAGAACTATTGTATTGTCCTATTTGACCAGTACCTCTAATATTCAATAGAATATTCAAAAGAGGTTAAAAATATTGAATTGGAAAAGTATGATAAATACTGAAACTGATGCATTGTGATAAATCAAATCACATAATTTAAGATGAAAACTAACATTTTCTCAAAGCTAAATGAAAATGTCAACTATGTATTAAGAATCTAGGAAAGAATATATCCTTCACTGAAAGAAATTCTGTTTTATTCAGTGATTACTAAACTTAGAGAATTTTTATTTTCCTAAAAGAGATAACAGAGAATGAAGGACTACGCTTGATATATATAAAAGTATGCAAATCTGTATACTACAAGACTTTATATGCTGCCTACCAAAAGTCACTCCCAAAATATTTGCATTACAATGAGATGCTGATGCTGACCATTCAATGCTGGCTCTGAAGCAAAATTAAGTGGGCCAGCTGAGGTATTATATCCTGGCAATATCTTAGCACAGTTCTCTACCACCCTTACAAATCTCTCCCCAGCCACAAAGACCTTTTCTGCTTCTCCTTCTGCTGCTCCTCCTTCATCCCTTCCTCCTTTCTCTTTTTACCAACATTAGAATATATAGATATACAGCCACAAGTGGAGAAAAAAAAATTACACAGTTGTTATCAAAGCAATGCCGCAGTATTGAGGACTGGTCTAACTAATAGCAATTTAGAGACAACAAAAATTCCCCCACGTAGCTAATGCAACAACGACACTTTCGAGATAAAAAGATAAATGTCAAATTAGAGTAAAGAAGAGAAATCTTGGGGGTCAGGATTTATTTGGCTCTTGAAGAATGAATAGGGGCTTACCAGGTGGAAAATTTCAGAATGGCATTCCAGGTAGGATAACATTGTATGTAAACGCACATTAGCTTTAAAGGCATGAAATGCCTGAGGTGTATAATACTCAAGCCAAGGCCAGATGTGGTGGCTCAAGCCTGTAATCCTAGCCCTTTGGGAGGCCAAGGCGGATGGAGTGCCTGAGCTCAGGAGTTGGAGACCAGCCTGGGCAACATGGCAAAACCCCGTCTCTACTAAAAATACAAAGAATTAGCCAGGAGTGGTGGTGTGCACCTGTAATCCCAGCTACTTGGGAGGCTGAAGCATGAGAATCGCTTGAATTCAGGAGGCAGAGGTTGCAGTAAGCTGAGATCATGTCACTGCACTCCAGCCTGGGTGACAGAGCAAGACTCTGTCTCAAAAAAAAAAAAAAAAAAAAAAAAAAGAAAAGAAAATACTCAAGCCAGAGAGTAGAGCAGACCCAGCCCAGGAGCCTCCCTCCAGTCTGTTCCCCCTTTGGATCTTAGATCAGTCTTATCTTGCCCACTATGAGTGGTCACTAGATTGTAATAAAGTTCAACTTTTGTCATAACAATGCCTTGTTCTGTCTCCCTTTATTATTTGCTATAGAAATCCCACAAAATTTGAAATACATTTGGTTCTGAGGTGGGAGTAAAACGATCCTGCTGAAAATCCCTGTGCTCACTCCACCACCACACACCCTGGTTTTAGTATAGAAAATATATGCTAAATATATAAAAATATGCATTTAAAATATAATACAGTAATTTCTCTGAAATGAGTGACTCTGTATTTTGAGATTAAAGCAACAGGAAGACATAATTATCAGCCAATTTACTCTCATTGGGGGAGAAAAGATGAAGGGTTCCAGAAGAAGTAAAAGTAAAACTCTAATATAGTTACAAAATATCTACATAACATTACTTATTTGTTTTAAATATGCCCTAGCCACTGATCTGTTTAGGCATATTGACCCCATGCTGATTTTTGCCACCTTGATAAATATTATTAGTCTGTAAAATATTTTAAATAAACTATTAAGGAATAATCAGTAAAGCTATATTTTCACTTTTCTTGATTGCCAAATTAATTTGACATTTATAGCATGGCAATGCATATCTTCATTACAGAATGGATGTAATAAAGGAGAAAAATGGCCTTATGAAATTCTAGTCTCTATACTTAGAATTGTTCATAAATCAAGAATTAAAACTTGAAGGTGAAGAAAAAAATTATGGTAGATGTTTATGAAATGCAGAGTCCTCCTCAGAGTTTCTGCTATTCAGCTCTGCATCCATAATGTACTAGGAAAGCATACAGCCAGAGATAGAAGACAGAGTCCTGGAGGGGTAACAGGGTAAGATTACCGGGGGTAGCCCTCTTCAATATTGGGAGCAAAGAAGAAAGAGGTTTACATGGAGTAAAGGAGGGAAAAAAAACACACAACTTTGGGATACTATTCTTAATACAGGGCTTGAACAACAGACATGGTGATTTGAAGGATAAATCACCTTAAAGAAGGATAAAGAAGGATGTCTAGGGTCAGAAACAATGTGACTCATGGGTTTAGGGAAGGTCTATTTGAGCCCAAATTTTGCGTTACGTGCATTGAAATGCAGGCCTGAAATAAATACATGTCCTAGTAGAATCATCCCTCCCCACCCTTTCTACTCCCTTCTCACCTTCATGTTTTGACCATGGAACATTGGTGCCCTTTTACTTGCTTATTTATTTTGTAAAGCCTGCCTTTTAAAATAATTTGGTCTCTACTAAAGACAGAAATGACTGGCAAAACATAATAAGTCCTATTAATCTCTGGGAAATGGTGTGACATAAACAAATCAAGTCCCTCATTTTAGTGAGTTATGACCAAATGATAATGTTTTTCTCATTTTTCCCGTCAGCATTACACTGGAACATATTAACCTGCATATTGCTAGATACATTTTTTGATTTTTATCTACTAGCCAATCAACTTTTGACCAATATGTTAAATTAAAAAGAACATTGCTACATATTATTTCCAAAGCAAATTTCAGTACTGCAAAATAATGGCTGCATTTAGGATGCAGGAGGCAAGAACAACAACAAAAAAAGAAATAATCAGGATTGAGTTTCCATATAATTAAAAAAAAATAGGCCTTCACTCCAAAAATTGTGCTAAAGTTGGGAAGAAGTTATCTATAACATCATTTCATAACTGTCTACTTCAGCAGTATTTACTGTATAAACAGCCCATTTTATCCAAATTTCACTGACTACCTGGATTTTGGAAACCTGGGCTTTTTGCACCTTTGAAATTATGAGTTATTCGTAAGTAAATATTCAAATTTTATTTTAAAAAGTAAACAAAAAATCTTTGTCTAAACAATGTTACTTTCGTCTGTCACATTATTCACTACCAAAGAGAGAATGGTTTGTTATTGCAATACATTGGACTGCATAGCACAGGGTAGTTTTATGCTCTATACACTCACCCTTTGCAGAACTATACTTTCCAATTTACAACAGGAAATCCAATTCTATAAAAAATCTAATTATTTCATATGGTGGACTCAGCATGACTCTCCCCTCCACTCCTTCCCCCTTTATTTGGCTGAGTGATGAGTGTATTTCCTCTGGAGGTTTATATTTTTTCAACCCAGCTACATTTTGAGAACACACACACAAAAAGGGATTTGGCACACATCTTTTCCCATCTCCTCTCAGTAATTATAGTTAATGAAACTATGTGTGTTTTTTCACTTGTGTGGTCTTCTGGAAAATAAGAGTTTATTTTATTCCAAAAAATGTCATTTCAGTATTTTGGTTGGTTCAATATTATTATCTTTTTCAAGGGTAACAAGCAGATTCATTCCAAAAATATGTTAATAATTATGGTATTAACCAAGAAAGAAACTGCTGTACTTCAAAATTAAAATTCATCGTCTGCTGCTCTGTTCTGTAATAACTAGGTCATCAGTTTGGGTGCTCCTGCTTAACATGCATTTACTATCCATATGTATTCCCTCACCTAGAGGCCTGATATTTTTAATGAGATTATATCAAAGGATGTGAAGGCTGGAGAGTAGTAACATCATTTTACTAGGTAATTCCCAGAACTCTGATCCATTTCAGTGAGGCAATTAAGACTGCTGACTACAATAAATGATACTAAGAGATTATGGAGGTTTTTCTGCATGAGTGCATAGTTTAAAAAATAATCTAGGTTTACTTAACATAGAAAAACACTTCCAGAGGGGAAAAGTGTAGGTTCTTTTTTCTTTTCATTTTTCAATTTAGCTGAATCCATAGAAGCGATTTTCTCTTACTGTGTCTGTGCGGCACTTACGTGCAGTCTAATAATAAATGATTTCTTTGAGGTGTACTAAAAGAAGTAGACTTTAATTGTGTGCTTTCCCTACATGTCACTAATATCTATAATGTTCATTAGCATTATATCCACTATGCTGTTTAGCTGGGTAAGACTAATAAGCCTTAATATCATTTTCATCAAAAGCTGTGTGCATTTTAGCTATTTCCTTCACATCAGCTTATTAGCGCCATTGCCTCCAAAGGCAATAGGAGAGTTCCTAAAAACAAACACAGGAAAATCAAAGTTTGTTGTCTTAAAGAGTTAATTCTGACAGAGAGGTGACCTTTATCCCTACATACTCACTCTGTTTTTATTTTATTTTATTATTTTTTTTTATGAAGCCTCTCCAAAGGGACTCATCATATGCAGGGTTCTATGAAGAGAAAAAGAAGAGCATTGTCCTTATCACCTCCTTCCAGAAAGTGGCAGAGTAATAGGACTTTGTAAGGCGAAATGAAGCCCAGTCTGATGGCTGCTGATTAAAAATTGACTCTGCCACATCAAAGAGGAGTTGAAGGTGAAAATGATGATCACTTCCCTCTCCCAGGGACCCTGCACCATTTCTTTTATTCAACCTTGAAAGGTTCTTTCTGAATAAGATAATATCCCTCGAGTCCATTCTGCCTTGGCAGCATGGAAAAATGTAGATCAGTATGCCTCTTCTTTATGGAAAAAAAATGGGATTTTGTTAATGACATAGCACTTTAAAGTGATGGCTTGTATGTAGTAAATGCTGAGAAATTAATTATAAAATGCTTCATAGACTGTAGATCAAATTAATTGCTTGTATGCAGCTACTAAAAAGACCACTGCAAACTGCACTGCCTTTACTGCTTTTCCCTGATTGTTTTTACCCTTAGTTATGATAGAGATGCCTATGCTCCATTTTTATTTTCACCACAGATTTGAAAAACTGAATTCTTAGAAAGGTTGTCATTTGTAGTATTATATCCTTTTACATAAAAGAAAAAGTATATTTTTTATGTCAACATATATTTCAGGTCTCTATTTCCTGAATGCCTTATGCTACCCATTTGACGATACAGTCACCAGAATATATAAACATATATATATATATATAGCTATAGGCATATACATAGAGAGCTAGCCAGACAAACACATGC
The DNA here is from genome assembly GCF_000001405.40 of Homo sapiens. NCBI lineage: Eukaryota > Metazoa > Chordata > Mammalia > Primates > Hominidae > Homo > Homo sapiens. The sequence continues at coordinate 77,732,413 of NC_000008.11, forward strand.
ATGTAGACAGAATTAAAATGTCTGTGAAAATAAATTGTACAGAACAGTTCTGTGTTTATGAACAAATACAGAATTTGAATCAATGTGAAAACATGAAAGAAAAAGATGAAGAAAACATTTCATTTAGCTTGGAAAAAATAACTTATGTAAAGAATCCATAAAGATTTGATACTTAGGAGAAGTTGCCAGACCTTCATTTTAGATTTTCCCATTAGTCCTCACTTGTCATTATAGCAGATGCAACATTTCCAATGAGGGCATCTCTAGCTTGGTCAATTCTGTGTATAATTATATAACTAAGAAATTTCTCCTGGATTACCACAGAAATCTAAAACACATTATAAAAATCAGAAAGTAATAAAAATTTTTCATAACAATCCTTAATATCTGAGTTAAAAATGATTAAGATGAAAGCTGCATACTTTGGTAAATGAAATATTTTGAAATATTAATTTTCTGAATAATTTCATCTGTGAAAAATGTATCGCCACTTACTTCTTAGGCTATATAATTTACAGGTTTCATATTTGTCATCCATGTATTGCATGGTTTATATACAAGAAATAATTTTAAATACAAGAATGAAATCAGATATATATGCTGGTGTGCTTTTAAATTCAGTATATATAATATAAAACATATTGTTTCTAAATTTTCTTGCAATATTTAAATGATACTTTAGTCTTGCTAATTAATGACTGAGGAAAAATTCTCTTTTTAACATGGAGGAAATTGTGATGTATAATCATAGCATAAAACAGCAAGTAAACCACTAAACACTTTAAAAATTTTAAAATAATAATATGTACTCTAGATGCACACACATACCAAAAGAGAGATCGATGCAAAATTAAAACATTGATGGTTTTACCGCTCTTGATATTTTTAACATTTAAATTTTTCTTTAAAAAGAATAACAAATTATTCTCGTTGCATTAATGCCAAGTTTAATATGCTTATATATGGGAATAAGTGACTTAACTTTTTGTAGAATTTTTTTTGTCTGCTTTTTAATACCTCATTTCCAAAATAATCTAGGTTTCCTTTAGGTATAGCTGTCTGAAGATAACCCCCTTCAAATTACAACGTACATTATGATAAAATTATCTTCAGAAAAAATGAAGTTTAATATCATTTTATACTGGTTTTAATTATACAGTAATATATTTCATGTTAAAATGTGATAACAAATGCATGTAAAATATTTAAAATTTAATCAATTCTTATTCTAAACTTTGTTATATTAATTACATTTCCATGGAACCTATAGAATTATTAATGTAAATATATGGCCTTTTAAATTTGTTCTTGCTTTTCTTTTTTCTTTTGTTTTTTTTTAACGGAGTCTCACTCTGTTGCCAGGCTGGAGTGCAGTGGCGTGATCTTGGCTCACTGCAGCCTACAACTCCCCGGTTCAAGAGATTCTCCTGCCTTAGGCTCCCGAGTAGCTGGGATTACAGGCACGTGTCACCATGCCCAGCTAATTTTTGTATTTTTAGTAGAGACAGGGCTTCATGATGTTGGCCAGGGTGGTCTGGATCTCGTGACCTCGTGATCCACGCCCCAGCCCCACCCCCGGGCTCCCAATGTGCTGGGATTACAGATGTGAGCCACTGCTCCCGTCCCTGTTCTTGCTTTTCTACAAAATTCTTCAATATACTCAATCAAATTAAAATAAGTTGTTTCTGGTACTTATAACAACATTCTGATTTAACCTAAGGCATACTTTCTTTAATCAGCAAAGCAAAAAATTAAAAGTGAAAGGTGATTAATCTTGTTTTTTGCTGCTTCTTTTTTTTAAATAATCCTTCGTTTTCAGTTCTGCTGATCTCTAAACTTCTTGAAAGTAGGGACCATTTTTTGGTTTATTTTTGTCTACCTAATGTCTTACTTAAAGTTTAGCACATAAATGGTTTTCAAAAATATGTCTGAATAAATATTTTGAATTAATACCAACTTAAACAAATAGATTTACAAATAATTAAGTTACAACCTGTGTTCCAGTGGTCCGACTAGTTTGTGTGTATTGTTAGTGGTTCTTCAGGGTTATCATAAACCCAGCTGAATTAGATTAATTTATCAAGGATGTTTATCAGCATCTATAGGAAAGAAATGTAATGGTTTATATTGGTTATTAAGGTTCACAATACTATGTATCAACAATTTTCTTCTGATTAGAAACTCTATTTTGAGATGGCAACTGAATCATCTCCCTAAACCCACCCAACTCGTATGGCTCACCTGCTCCCGTATTTCTTGTGCATCATTTATACGAATCTCTCCACTTTGGTACTGTTGATATTTAATTCAGATCATTCTTAATTGTAGGCAGCTGCCCTTCCCATCATAGGATACCTAGCGACATTACGAGTTATCTACCTAATTGATGCCAGTAGCACTATCCTAACCACCCCGGGCCTGTTGTGTGAAACAGGTATATCTCTGGACACTTCCAAATATCCCTTACGGGACACAATTTTCACCAACCCTGACACTGAGCCACTGAAAACCACTGCTGTAATTTATGAAATAGGTTAAGGACCTAGTATTACTGTTGAAAAGCCCAAAAGTAAATCTTAAAATTATTCTGCGGCTTGAATTTGGTAGGTCTCTAGAGTTCTTATTTAGGCTCTATGTGATACAACCCATGGAAAAGCTTGTGTTGAGTTCTATTTATATTCGTTATTATTCTGCCTATTTCTTTTCAGCGTAACTTCTAAGTTATATATAAATGTTTTGTATAATATCTGTCTTGGCAACTAAATTGCAAGTGCTCTAACACAGTAGACAGTTTTTGGTTTTGTTTTTTGTTTTTTTGTTGGTTTCTTTCACCATTTGACTTCAATCTCTACCTTCAACTCTATTGGATCTCACTTTTCCTCTGGGACTGACTGCAATTACAAAATTTTCATAAATCTTAAATGACTAATGCAATCTTATGACATGAATTGAAGCTAATTCTGGTTTGCATTAAAGTTTTGGCCTCAAACTCAATTCAAAGTTGTTATACCTTGAACAACCATTGCTTGGATTAGAGGAGAGGGTGACGTGTTCTTTCTCTAAGACCATCCACTCCTCCATTTTTTTCTAGGTGGGTTATTCTCAGGGGTTAGGGATATGAAAGAAAAGTAAAACAGACAGGGGTCTCCTTATCTTACTGCCCACTTGTCACTGGGGAATAGATTGTTCATCTTGTTACGGTTCTGCCTATTTTTTTTTTCCCTGATGCTGTGAATCTCTGTTAATTTTGTGGTTTCAGGTAAATTGTGTGTGGTTTTTTGCTAGGCCGAATTAAGCACCCTTCATTCAGCCCTCTCTGCTCATAAGGAAACCTTCCAAAGAGACACCACACTTTGTCCTGACCCTACCGGGAATAGATCACCCTGACTCTTTTTAGGATTCCTTACCCTCACTTGGCACAGAAGCCTTCAGCAGAGCATGGCAGAGCCTGCTTCTTTTCTGTCCTACATGTTCATTCCTGTGGTATCACTAGAACCACTGGGATCCTCCTCTGCCACTCCATGGGGCTGCAGAGTTGTGGACTGGAATGGGAGTTTCATGAATCATATTCCCAGGTCCATTACGACATAGTCCCTTCAGGCCCTGCTGGGATCAGTTACTCTTTCAGATACCATTTTTTTCAACTACCCAAAGACCAGAGGCAGGCTCCTTTCTATATTCAAGAATGCCCTCAAATTTCAGAGGAAAAGAATATGTCTCCCTTCTTTACCATGTTTGAGGAGTAGGACTAACAACACTTTAATTTGTTAGGCTCCCAGAATAATTACCAGAGAACTCTCTTCTCACATACTTTGTTATGCTGGAGGTACTGAGGTGTGAGTGTTTCTATCTTACAAACACCCACAATTTCTAGGATTGATTCTCGGAACTCTACTCCTTGGATTTGGGGAGAGAATATTTATCTTCCCAATTAAATTACTCTACAAAAGAGTGACAACTCTCACAACTCTTGCGCCAGTCTTTTTTGAACATCCACATTTTATACTCATAGCTTTCTGCAAATCCTTTGGAGAAGCTGTTTGCCCCACCTAATGATTGCTTTCTTTGATGCCTGTTTTCCCCAGCTTAGGACCTTGATCATATTTTTAGGACAAACCGGATTAAAAAAAAATCCACATGATATCTTGCTATCTATGAATCACTGTTAAGTGTCTGCTCTTCTCCCATAGGATTTACCTTAAGCAGGAGTTAATTGTTACTTAATTTAATAGTGGTGAAAAAGAAATACCAATAGTGACCCTTTACCAAGTTTATCTTTTATGTATATAATTGTGATGGTTAAATTTATATGTCAATTGAAAAGGTATTTTTGGATGAGATTAACAGTTAAATTGTGACCTTTGGGCAAAGCAGAGTTCCCAGAGTTCCCTTCATTATGTGGGTGAGCTTCCTCCAATCAGTGGAAGGCATGAATGGAGCAAAACACCAGCTCCCTAAGCAAGAGAAAATTGCCCAGCAGTATCCTGCTGGCACAGCCTGTAGATAACGGACTTCCCAACTTTGAATATTATGTGAGCCAAGTTCTTATAATCTCTGTCTCTCTCTCTCTAATGATTCTATTTCTCTGGAGAACCCAGACTAATACAAAAATTAAGAAAAAAGGTGCTCAAATATATTGCATCTTATATTCATTAAAATATACAGAGGATCCAAATTAATTTTTCAGGTTAAAATTACTTTTCATTTTCAACCTATTCTATAATAGAGTACTGAATTTCTAATCAGTGTTTCTCTTTAATTGGAAGGATGTCAGAGCACTAGTTTGATTTGTATGTGTGCCTTTGACATATGGTAACTGTAGACACAAAAAATGTCAAATACTATGAAAGAGGTGTATAATCTTTTTCTCATAGACTATATATATTTAATGTATATATGTATATCCACATATAATACATACATACACAACATAATATATAGAGAGATACATATGTATGTATAATATATAGGTATATATTTTATATCTAGTCCTAGATGTCTCAGAATAAACTTCATATGAAGTCTATTTCAGAGAAAAGAAAAATCTTCACAAAGATTGGCCTGACTTTGGTGCTGTCTTTAGAAGACTTTTTCTGGTAGATTAACGAATTACTAAATTATTACCTGTGAAAGTTTCATCTATGATTGCAAATAACTACATAGAGAGAAAGTCTTATTAGACATTTAGTTTCTAGCTGTATATTTTTGAATGTTCTTGTTGTTACCACTATTATTTTAAAATTTCCTTTCTTCCAGATTGCTCCAGCAGACGGCGTGAACTTCTCTAAAACTGATATAGAATACATTTAAATTTGGCCATGACCTAATCTAAGACTCCTACTCAAAACTGAAATGTGAATTAAAATTATTAATAATGGTTAAACATTTATAATTTGTGATAGTGCTTAATACCTCTCATGAGGGAATATTGGAAAACAAATATGATAACAAGATGACTAATAGTTTGCCTAGATTTTAATTTCAGTGTTTAAGCAGGAAGTAAGCCTATCTCATGCTCTTACATTGTATTGTAATGTAATTCCACAAAAAGAACACTGAATTGATAAGGTAACAATCAGAACTTATTTTTTGAAACTCAGGAAAAATAATATAAAATTATGATTAGTTAATATAATAAAAAGGCAAAAGTGAATGTTAGGTATACTGTGGTGTACACATAAATTTTTCAAGGTTAGATTATTATGCATTTTAGAATAGAAAAAGAGAAATAAAAAGTCATATTTCACAAACTGTACCCAATAATTTAAGAATAATAATTATAACTTTACTTTTCTTTTTTGGAAAGAATGTTCATTAAGTATGTAAAATTTCAGGAGCAGTGCAAATGCTGTAGTAGTAGTATTTTAAGAAGATTAGAGTAGAGAATTATACCAAACATAAAATAGAACAATGTGTTGAGAAACTCAAGAAACTTAAAACAAAATGTTATATATTTCTTATCCAAATCTGAATATCTACTTCAGTCAATTACATATAATCCTGAAAATCACTATCATATATACCTGTTGGTTTTCTTCAAAGTTAGTTTTATTTTTTTAAAACTGTATTACACACTTACACGCTTCTTCAATGACAGTATCATGCAACAGAGGAGTACATTTTTACCATAGATTAACCAACACTGATCCATTATTACCATCCAGTCCATAATTTACATGAAGATTTGCTCTCAGCATTGTATATTTTATAGGTATGATGAATTCATAATGACATGTAGCCATCATTATAGTATTATACAGAATAGTTTCTTTTCCCTGAAAATTTTACAGAACAGATAGTGAGATCCAACTTTTTAAATATGTTTTTCATAAATCATGGCTTTGGTGTTGTTTCTAAGTCACTAAATAGATGTACAAAAATTGACAAAAATAGCTTCTATAAGGATCTTGCTACAATAAGTTATAAACTTGCTACAATAAATTACATAAATTTAAAATCTAACATATTATAGTGTCTTCAATAAGTGAAACAAATATCAGTGAACTGTAGCTATATGAAGAGAGATTATAGTTTAAAAACACAACTTCTGAATAATTAGGATTCCAAAATCTGGAATGCCTCTCATAAGTGGAAATACATTTCTCATTGTTTAAAGTTAAGAAGTTCACAAAGTAAGAAATCTTAGTAAGCTGATTAGAGCATGCTTGATATTTGAGGCCTCTTCTATTCTTTAAATTTTATGATTCTGAAAAATGGGATAAAAATACATTATCTTAACTATGTAAATATTTTCTTCACTATCTTGTTTCTTGACTGAATTTCAATTAGTTTTTCAGTAAATATTTATTGAATGCATACACTGTGCTTTTTGGGGAATACATGGGAAAGAAAAATAAATAGTTATAGAGTATGATTACTTCAAAACTATTTTTAATATTTATACATTTAAGTTATTATATAGCAAACTATAAGAATTTGTAGTTAAGATGGAAGACAGACATTTTTATAAGTTATTCACAGACATCTTGTTAAGTTTAATACTAAAATAATATTTATTTTTGGGAGCCCATAGTGAAGAGAACTATTTCTATTTGTAGAAATAATCATCAAAAATGGTTAAATTACATTACTTCTGAAGGAGTATAGATGCGTGTTATGCTAGTTCAAAGGAAATAATATTTCAGGATAAAGTAAAAGATTAATGAATGGGATAACAACAAATATACATTTAGATAATGATATTACAGTATTGGGGAGATAATAGGAAGCTAAGTTGAGAAAAAATAACAGAATTAGTTCAATTAGTGTTCTAATTAGTATCGATAGTAATAACAATAAGAGTCAGTGGAATATTGGATACAACACAACCTGTTCAAAGCCTTTCAGCTTATACTTATGCTGAGTATTTATGGAAACTGCAGAACAAGTGGGGTGGACAAAATGATGAAGCTACCTTTCTTACCATGCCTCAGTCAAGGGTTGTGTTATCTCACTAGGAAGGGCAAGCCCCCAGAATTTTTCATTTGTTCTCTTGCAGCTACAGTTTTTCAGAGGCTAAATTTTAGGTGAGTAGCTGCTAGGAGGTTGGACTCCCTTTCTCCACCAAATACCCACTTCTAGAGCAGAGGTTCTAGCCCTCACAATGGTAGATTGAGAATATTGTGACACTGATTGGTTGTATCCCAAGTTGCTCATAGGGTAGAGGTTTCACACTAGATGAAAGCCAAGAAGACCAGGGATTACCATCCCACTAAAATGCTACTCATGGAGCATTGGCATCACATCAAGAGTAGTGGGTCACTTTATCTAATCCCAGCTCTGGAAAAGTAGCTCAGGAAATTTTTCCCCCCAAGTGTATATGCAAGTTGTAAGACCAAAGTGTTCTGAAGCTTTTCCTAAAGAAACTGCCTTTATTTGAAACACAGCACTCTTTATGATGTAATAGCAGAAAAACAAGGAAGATGAAGAAGAGGTTCATAAGAGTTACATTTCTATATTTTACTGCAATTACAATAGTAGAGATTTGTAGATTCTGAAAAGCTAGATGTATATGATATGCTTGAGAGAACTAGGAAAATAACAAAATATATTTCAAAATATAAAGAATTAAAATATTACACTAGAAAATATTTGCTATCCCAAAGAAAGTAATAAAAAGAACAGAAAAAAGATGGTATCAGGTATAGAGAAAATAAAAGCAAAATGACAAAAAGTAAATCCAACTGTATCAATAATAACATTACAGTCAAAGGATTAAAAAATCTAATCAAAAGACTAACATTGCCAAACAGGATTAAAAAAAAGAGAGTTAAACTATATGCTGTTTACAAGAGACATCCTTTAGGATCAAAACATCATAAGTGGATTGCAAAAGGATAGAAACATATATATTATGCAAACAGCAACCATAAGCAAGCTGCAGTGCCTATACTAATGGCAGATAAGACAGACTTTAAGTCAAACATTTTAACTAGAACAAAAGAAGTACATTCTGTAATGATGAAACAGTCAATCCATCAGAAAGGCGTTAAAAAAATATATGCACCAAACAACAAAGCTCCAAAATACAGGACGCAAAACAGAATTGAAGGAAGAGTACAATTGCAGTTGAAGACTTCAATACCCTACCTTCATTAATAATAAAACAACTAGGCAGATGATTAGCAGAATAACAGATGACTTCAACAACACTATAAACCAACTAGAACTTATGAATATCTATGGAACACCACCTAACAGTTGCAGAATATACCTTCTCTCAAATGTACACGCAATGTTGTTCTACAGAAATATGCAACACAGTGGCCAAACAATGTCTCAATAAATTTGAAAAACTTGGTATCATACAAAAGTGTTACCCTGATCACAGTGAAGTAAAATTAGAGATAACTAACTGAAAGAAATTCCCAAAATCCACAAACACATTTGCAATAAAAAAAAAATCATATTCCTAAGTTACAAAAGAAAAAAACATTAGGGAAATTATAAAGTACCTGGGATGAATGACAATGAAAACAAAACAGATCAAGACATAGGATGTAGTTAAAATAGAGGTTAGAGGAAAATTGAAAATGGTAAAAAGGCTATTTTTAAAAATAAAAAATTTTTTAAACATAACCTTAATGCACTGGAAATATAAGACAAGCTAAATTGTTAGAAAGCACATGGTACAAAAAATGAAGATTAGAGTGAAAATTAATGAAATGGATGATTGTTTATATATATAACTATACATATAACTATATATATTATATACATACAGGTTTATATATATGACTATAAATAATAGAGAAAATCAACAAAACAAAAATTCAAGTCTATAAAAATATGAATAAATTTGGCAAATTTAAACTAGACTTATAAAAAAATAAGAGGAAACTCAAATTTCTAAAATCAGAAATGAAAGACCATATGTTACTACCAACCTTACAAAGGTGAAAAGGGATTCTAAGAAGATACTGAGAGCAAAACTATGCCAAAATTTAGAACTTAGATTAAATCAATAAATTCATAGAAAGACACAAAATACAGAATTTGACTCAATAAATGATGTAAAATAGAAATCGATCTGTAACAAAAATTCAAGTGAATTAGTAATTTTACCACATTCCACTGGAAGGCCCCTGGCCCAGATAGTTTCATTGTAAATTCTACCAAATATTTTATTAAGAATTAGTATCACTTCTTTGCAAACCCTTCCAAAAATAAAAAAACAGAAAACTACTATTTTTATGAGGCCAGTGTTATCCTGAGAAGATAAGAAAACTATAGATTAATATTTTATGAACAGTGATGCAAAAATCCTCAGAAAAATATTACTACATAGAATCTAGGAGAATATAAAAAGGATTATACACTATAACCAAGTGGAGTGTATTCCAGCAATGCAACATCAGCTTAACATTCATAAATGAATTATTGAAGTGCACCGTATCAATAAATAGAGGACAAAAACTGCATGATTATCTTAATAGGCACAGAATAAGAATTTGACAAAATTCAACACATTTTATGATTTAAAAAAATCACTGAACCAATTAGGAATAAGATAAAACATCCTGAATATAATAGTGCACCTTGAAAACTCACAGATAAAATCACACTTGATGGTGAAAGACCAGAAGCTTTCCTCCTAAGATCAGGAACAAGACAAATGTGTCAATTTTCTACATTTCTAGTGTTACACTAGGGGTTCTAGCTAAGGTAATTAACAAGTCTTAAAAAGTATCCAAATTGGAAAAAAAATAAAACTATTCCTATTCACAAATGACCTCATCTTGTACACAGAAAATCCTGAGGATTTTATGAAAAACTATTAGACCTAATAAATGAGTTCAGCTAGTTTGCAGGATCCAAGAAAAATGTATTAAAAAGATTGTGCTTTTGTATAATATAAAATATAAAAAAAACTTGTAAAATTATACAAAAACAGTTTCTATAATCGCCATGTACAATTTGAAAGTGTAATTAAGAAAACAATACCGACTGGGTGTGGTGGCTCACGCCTATAGTCCTAGCACTTTTTGGGGCCAAGGTGCATGGATTGCCTGAGCTCAGGAGTTCAAGACCAGCCTGAGCAACATGGTGAAACCCTGTCTCTACTGAAAATACGAAAAAAAAAAAAATTGCCTGGGCATGATGGTGCATGCCTGTAGTCTCAGCTACTTGGGAGGCACGAGGCATGAGAATCACTTGAACCTGGGAGGTGGAGGTTTCAGTGAGCTGAGATTGTGCCACATCACTCCAGCCTGGGTGACAAAGGGGGAGACTCTGTCTCCAAAAAAAAAAAAAAAAAAGAAAGAAAAAGAAAACAATACCATTTATAATAGCACAAAAATCAATGATACATTTAACAAAACAAATGCAAATCTTATTATCTGAAAACTTCAATATATCATAAGAAATGTTAGCAGCTCCAAATAAATAGAAAGATATCCATTTTAAGAAGCAGAGGACTTAATATTGTTAAGGTGGAAATATTCTGTAAACTTATCTACAAACTCAGTGCTAGCTTTATCAAAATACCAACTGGTTTCTTTACAGAAATTGATAGTCAGATTATGAAATTCACATGCACAAATCAAAGGATCCAGAGTATTCATATCAATATTGAATATGTAGAACAAATTTGGAAGACAAATTTTCCAATTTCAAAGGCTACTACAATATTAAAAACTTCAGCAATTAGGAGAGTGTGTTAGTGACATAAAAATCAACAAAACCTATAGTAAAGAATTGAAAGTCCAGAAATAAGCTCTCACATTTATTGTCAACTGAGTTTTGTAAAGAGCATCAAAACCATTCAAAAGGGAAAAAATAATGTCTTCAAAAATTGATGCTGGAACAACTGGATATCCACATGCAAAAAAATAATAATAATTGAACCCTACCTTATACCATTTATAAAAGTTGAATTAAAATATTAAACCACAATGAGATACCACACCAGTCAGAATAGCTGTTACTAAAAAGTCAAAAAGTAACAGATGCTGGCACTGGTGAGGCTGTAGAGAAAAAAAGAAACATTTATATACTGTTGGTGAGAGCATAAATTAATTCAGCCATTGTAGAAATCAGTGTGGCGATTCCTCAAAGACATTACATTTATTAAAATGTAATGCAATAGCTAAAACTTACATAAGAAAACATGGATCTAAAGCTTTGCTAACTTGATTTGGGCACTAGATATTTTAGATGTTATACCAAATCATAAGAAATATTTTTAGGACAGGTGATGTTGGGAAGAAATGGGGAGCAATTACTGTTATGTGCAGAATTTCTTTTTGGTGTGAAGAAAATATTCTGTTTCAAAGCACAGACTCTTGATTGTGGTGATGATTGTACAGTTCTGTGAATATGCTAAAATAATTTAAAATGTATATTTTAAATGTGCAAATTGTATGTTATGTTAATTATATATGAATAAAACTGATATAAAAATCAGTGAGAATGAGAGAAGATAAGATAACCTGCATAAATATTTTGAGTGTAGAACTTAAAGGGACACATATTCCAATAAACTGATAAATATGGTAATGAAAAAAGTCTAGGATTGTTCCCAGTAAATAGACATTCTCATAACTAGGATGGAAAAATCAGAAGAATAAGTTGGGAGGAGGGTTATTACATTATTTACTTTGGATATATTGAGTTGGAGGAAAAATAAGAGAGTTTTAAAAAAGGAAATAGAATGTGGAAGTGCCTGGAAGAAAGAAATAATGGAGGGGGTCAAGCAACATAAAGACATCTGGTGTAGCTTGAGCATGGACATTAGATCGTGAGTGGTTTGTTACGACAATGAAATGGTAGTACGATGTCTTGTAGAAAATGTCAAAGGTTGTGATGAATTTTAAGAAAGGGGTTGATGTAATCAGAATTATAGTGAGGAATATTATTTTGGCTGCAAGTGAAAGATGGACTAGGTTATTAAAGTTAAGGTAGATCAATTAAAAGGCTGCTATGATAAGACTTGAGAGATGACAGTGTTCTGAACTAAAATAGGGAAGAGGAGATGAAGAGAATAATAGACAGTAAAAAAAAAAAAAAGTGGAGGAAAATGTCTAGATAGAAACCTTCTAGTGAATAGAACTTCACTAGAAGTTCTTCCTCCCCAGAAGAATACCAAATTGAACAACTATCCAGACACAAAGAAGTACCTTTATAAAAACTAAAATTAGGTGAGAAATCACAGTCCTTGGTTTTAACTTCATGTCACAGGAAAAGGCACTGAAGAGGGTAGAAAAGTGTCTTGAATTGCCAGTGCCACCCCTCCCCAATCTTCAATCAATGGCTTCATGGCACACAGAGATAATCTGTGGGCTTAGGAGAGGGAGGGTACAGAAATTGGAGGACTTTGCACTGAAGCTCCATGCTGTTTTGTCACAGTGGAAAACAACACCAGGCAGGACTCAGCTGGCACTCACAGAGGGAGCATTTAGTGGTCTGGAATGGGGACCTCAGAACTCTGCCCACTGCCCTATCCTACTGTGGCTGAGCTGGTATCTAAGTTGCAAGACAAAGTCTTCTTTACTCTTCCCTCTCCTCCCCTCAAGCAGAGAAAAGGAGCCTCAGCTCTAACCAGAGAAAACGTCCATCCCAGCAGTCAGAACCTGAGTTTCAGCAAGCCTTGCCACCATGGGCAAAAGTACTCTGGATTAGTAAACAAACTTGAAAGACAGGCTAGCCCTTAAGTATTGCAATTATTGGGCAATTCCTCATGCTGTGCTGGGCTTGGAGCCAGTGGATTTGGTGGTTCCATGACCCAGTGAAATACCAGATGGGGCAACCAAAGAGTGCTTGTGCCACCCCCTCCCCAAACCTCAGGCTGTTCAGCCCACAGCTCCAGGGGAGACTACTTTTCTTTGCTTGAGAAAAGGAGAGGGAAGAGTAAAGAGGACTTTGTCTTATAACTTGGATACCAGTTCAGTATCCAAGGGCTGTTGGCAGAGTCCTGAGGTCCCCATTCCAGGCTAGCTCCTGAATGAAACTTCTAGACACACCTTTGGCCAGAAAGTAACCCGAGGACTTGAAGGAAACAACCCAGTTTGGGCAGGAAACTAAAGAGTCCTTGGGGCCTATCCTAATAAAGACCTCTTGGACTCTAAATAATCATCAGTGATACCCAGCAGTACTCACTATGGGCCTTGGGTGAGACTCACAAATGTGTTGGTCTCAGAAGTGACCCAGCACAGTTGCATGTGGTGGCCAAAGGGAGGTATTCCTTCTGCCTGAGGAAAGGAGAGGGAAGAGTAAATGAGAATTTGTCTTGCAGCTTGGTTACCAGCTCAGCCACAGTGGGGTAGGGCACCAACCATGTTGTGAGTCCAGGCCTTGGCTCTTGGATGGCATTGTTTGACCTTTCCTGGGCCAGAGGGGAGCCCACTGCCCTATAGGGAGGGACTCAGGACTGGCTGGTGTCAACATCAGCAGTAGCCAGGTAGTATTTACTGTGGGTGTGGGACTATGATGTCTATGAGGTGAGGCTCTTCTCCTTGAGGAAAGGAAAAGAAAGAGTGGGAAGAACTTTGTCTTATGGCCTGGGGGCCAGCTCAGCCACAGCAGAATAGAACAGCAAATAGATTGCTAAGGTTTCCAACTCCAGGCTCTGGCTCCCAGATGGCATCTCTAGACCTGACTGGGGCCAGAGTTTGGCTAGCCAAACTGAAGGACAGGACACATCCCTAAGGTCTTGAGTAAATACAGGTGGTGGCCAGGCAGTGGTTACCACATGTCTTGGGTGAGAGCAAGTACCATGCTGTCTTCAGATCTGACCCAGCGCAGTCCCAATGGTGTGGACACAGAGATACTTGTATTACTCCTCTCTCAGTTCTAGACAGCTCAGCGTAAAGAGAGGGATTTTGTTCGTTTGGGTTAAGTAAGGAAAAAGAACAAGACTCTCTGCTTGGTAATTCAGAGAATTCTTCTGGGTCTTATCCATGACCACCAAGGCAGTACCTATACGAGTCTGCAAGAGACAAGCATCACTAAGCTTGAAGTGCCCCCTAATGTAGATATGGCCGTGATGACCAAAATTTAGATTACAGCACCCAAGTTCTTTCAAATACCTGGAAAGCCTTTCTAAAAAGAATGTGTACAAATAGCCACACTGCAAAAAGTACCATAAATGCTTAACTTTGCAATGCTCAGACATCAGCAAATACCCACAAGCATCAAGACCATCCAGGCAAACATGACCTTACCAAATGAACTAAATAAGGCATTAGGGACCAATCTTGGGGAAAACAGAGAAATGTGACCTTGGAGGCAGAGAATTCAAAATAGCAGTTTGGAGGAATCGCCATGAAATTCAAACTAACACAGAGAAGAAATTCAGAATTCTATCAGGTAAATTTAACAAAGAGAATGAAATGACTAAAAATATTCAAGCAGAAATTCTGGAGTTGAAAAAGGAAATTAACATACTGAAGTATGCATCAGAATTAACGTACCAGCAGAATTGATCAAGCAGGTGAAAGAATTAGTGAGCTTGAAGACAGGCTATTTAAAAATACACAGTAAGAGGAGACAAAAGAAAAAAGGAGAAAGAAGAAAGTACACCTACAAGATATAGAAAATAGTCTAAAAATGGAAAATCTAAGGGTTATTGGCCTTAAAGAGAAAGTATAGAAAGATATAAAGGTAGAAAGTTTACTCAGAGGTATAATAACAGAATTTCCCAAACCTGAGATAGATAGAAATATTCAAGTACAAGAAGGTTATAGAACACTAAGCAGTTTTAGCTCACAGAAGACTACCTCAAGGCATTTAAAGTCAAACTCTTAAAGGTCAAGGGTAAAGAGAGAATCCTTGAGAAAGCAACAAGAGAAAAGCAAACAATTTACAATGGAGGTCCAATATGTCTAGCAGCAGACTTGTCATTGGAAACTTCACAGGCCAGGAGAGAGTGAAATAACATACTTAAAATGCCAAAGGAAAAACTTTTATCCTAGAATACTATGTCCAGCAAAATTATCCTTCAAACATGAAAGAGAAATAAACACTTTCCAAAAACAACAACAAAAACAACAACAACAACAAAACAAAAACAAAAACAAAACCCCAAGCTTGGTGACTGGGAGCTGAAGCTGACTCCCAGCGTAGAATAGCTGCTCTAAAAAAACGTGGCCAGACTGCTTTAAAATGAGTCCCCAGTCCTGTTTCTCTTCACTGGGTGGGATCTCTCAACTGGGGTCTCCAGCTAACCCCATTGGTGTTCTCCTGCCAAGAGAGGTTTCAAACCTTCCTGGAATGAAGCTTCCAGAGGAAGAGGTGGGTTGCCATCTTTTCTGTTTGGGCAAATTGGCTGTTCTGGCCTTCAGTCTCTGAGGCAACCAGAGACTGAAGCAGATCGCCAACACAGCACAGCTGCTCTACAAAAACATGGTCAGACTGCTGTTATAAGTGTGTACTCCATCCCAGATCCCATTTCCCCTCATTGATGGGATCTCCTGACCAGGGCCTCCAGCTACCCTTGCTGGTGTTTTCTGGTTTGATACAGGTTTCAAACCTCTCTAGGATAGAGCTCCCAGAGGGAAGAATGGGCTGCCATCTTTAATGTTTTGACAACTTAGCCATTCTGACCTTCATGCTTTGGGAAGTCCAAGGCAACCAGAGGCTGAAGCAGACCCCCAATACAGCACAGCTTCTCCACAAAAATGTGGCTAGACTGCTTTGTAAAGCAGGTCCCTAATTCTGTTCCTCCTCACTGGGAAGAACCTCTGAACTGGAGTCTCCAGCCTCTTACTCTAGGTGTCTTCAGGCTGTCAACAGGTTTATATCTCCTTGGAATAGAGATCCCAGAGGGAGGGGCAGGCTGCCATTTTTGCTGTTTCACATCCTTCACTGTTGAGACCTTCAATGTACTGGAAATTCTGAGGAGACTAAGAACTGGAGCAGATCCCCAGCATACTGCAGCAGCCCTATGGAATAGTGGTCAGACTATTATGTGGGTGCCTGTTCCCATATCTCCTCACCAGGCAGGTCCTCCAACCCTGGGCCACTAACCACCCCCTGCTGGGGCAATTGAGTTGGTAGCAGTTCTGCAACTTCCAAAACAGAGACTCCAGGGGCAACTGAAAGCCTCTCTGCACTGCTTCTGCAATGGAACTGCCCTTGCTACTCTCACACACAGAGGAGCAAAGACCTTAAGTGTCATCACAACCTCCAGCAAGCTGCAGTTGACAGAAAAAGAGGAGTCCAGTCTGTTTCCCATGGGTCCCACCAACCCCTGCTGCTCATCATCAGACAAGGAACCCTTGGCTTGGGCCCACAGCACAGAACCTCCATGCTGTGCTGATTGCACTGAGTGATTATGACTTGCATCTCTCTGGGGTGGAGCCCCCAGGAGACAAGCAAACAATCATCGGCCACAACCATTACAAATGTCCCTTTCTCTGGTGCCTCCAAGTTGGGAAAGGAACGTAAACCCTAAGATTACCCCAGAGCTTCAGTAGGCAGCCCAGGAGTGCCAAGATGCAATGTACAGCCAACCCTCACGGGGAGAGGACCCCACATTTTCAGTGCATTGAGAGGAAATACAGCTGCAATTGAGAGGAAACATAGGGGAGCCAAACAATGGAGCAAGAGTCTACCAACTGACCAATAAAGCTAAGTGCCACCTACTAAATCATACCCCAAAACTTCAACAGCAAAAATAGCTCACTAACATACACCCCAGTGAAACCAAAGACAAGAACTTGGCTTCAAATAACAAAACTTCTAAATCCTTGGCCCCAGCTGGGCGTGGTGGCTTACACCTATAATCCCAGAACTTTGGGAGGCTGAGGCAGCTGGATCACCTGAGGTCAAAAGTTCGAGACCAGCCTGGCCAACATGGCGAAACCCTGTCTCTACTGAAAAAATACAAAAATTAGCTGGGTGTGATGGCACATGCCTGTAATTACAGCTACTAGGGGGCACTGAGGCAGTAGAATTGCTTGAACCCAGGAGGTGGAGTTGTAGTGAGCCAAGATCACGTGACTGCACTCCAGCCTGGGCAGCAGAGCAAGACTCCATCTCAAAAACAACAACAACAACAACAAAACACACAAAAAACGCTTGGCACTGTAAAAACATCCAAAAAGGAAATCTAATGACTGTACTCAATCTACACTGCAGTTAAAGGAACACCCACACACAAAGATGAGACAGAAGCAGCAATGCAAGAAGTTTGGTACACAAATGGCTAGAGTGTTGTATGTCCTTCAAATGACAACACAAGTTCTCCAACATGAGTTCTTAGCTGAAGTGAAACAAATATAATTCAGAATATGGATTAAAATGAAGGTCATCAAGATACATAAGAACAGCAAAACCCAATGCAAGGAAACTAAGAATCACAATAAAATGATGCAGGAGCTGAAGGATGAAATGACTGGTATAGAAAATAACCTAATGGGTCTTAAAGAGCTAAAAGACACAATACAAGAATTTTACAGTGTAATCACAAGTATTAATGGCAGCACAGACCAGGCTGAGAAAAAAAAAAAAAAATCACAGAACTTGAAGAATGGAATCTGAAATAACACAGCCAGACCAAAACAATAAAATAAATAAATAAATAAATAAAAACAGAATGAAGAAGAATATATAAGACCTTCAAGAAGTAAGAGATTATGTAAAGAGCTCAAATCTGCAAATCACTGACACCCCTGAAAAACAGGCAGAAAGTAAACAACTTAGAAAACACATTTCAAGATACTGTCCATAAAAACTTTCTCAAGCTTGCTAGACAGGCCAATAGTCAAATCCAGGAAGTATGAAGAACTCCTGCAAATTTCTTTACAAGTAGATTACACCCAAGACACATAGTCATTAGATTTCCCAAAGTCAAAACGAATTAAAAAATGTTAATGGTGGACAGAGAGAAATGGCAGGTTAACTACAAAGGGAACCGCATCAGGCTAACAGCAGACCTCTCAGATGAAACCCTAAAAGCCAGAAGAGATTGGGGGGCCTATATTTAACATTCTTAAAGAAAAAAAAATTGAACCAAGAATTTTATATCCAGCCAAACTAAACTTCTTTACAAAAGAGAAATAAGATACTTTACAGATAAGCAAATGTTGAGGGAGTTCATTACCACCAGACCTACCTTACAAGAGATCTTGAAAGGTGTACTAGTATAGAAAGAAGAGACTGCTACCAGCTAATACAAAAACACACTTATATATACAGACCAGTGGCACTATAAAGCAACCATACAAACAAGCCAGCATAATAACTAGCTAAAAACACAATGACATTACCAAATTCACATATATAAATTCTAACCTTACATGTAAATGGGCTATATGACTCAATTAAAAGGGTCAGAGTGGCAAGCTGGAAAAATAAATAAATAAACAGAAAATGCTATGCTGTCTTCAAGGGAGTCATCTCACATGTAGTGACTCATTGGCAAAAATGAAGGGATGGAGGAAAATCTACCAAACAAATGGAAAACAGAAAAAAGCAGGCATTGCAATCCTAATGTCAGACCAAACAGATTTTAAACCATAAAAGATCAAAAAAGACAAAAATGGGCTTTACATAATGGTAAATAATTCAATTCAACAAGAAGATATAGATATCCTAAATACATATGCACCCAACACAGGAGTACCCAGATTCATAAAGCAACTTCTTAGAGACCTAAAAAGAGACATATTCTCCCACACAATAATAGTGGGAGACTTAAACACTCCACTGATAGTATTAGACAGATCACTGAGGCAGAAAATTAACAAAGGTATTCAGGAACTGAACTCAACATTGAACCAAATGGTTCTGATAAACCTCCAAAGAACTCTCCGCACAATACAACAGAATGTACATTTTTCTCATTGCTACATGGCACGTACTCTAAAGCTGACCACATAATCAGACATAAAATGATTTTCATCAAATCCAAATAACTGAAATTATACCAAACATACTGTTGGATTGCAGCACAATAAAAATAGAACTCAAGACTAAGCAAATTCCTCAAAACCATGCAACACATCGAAATTAAACAACATGCTCCTGAACGAATTTTGGGTAAATAATAACATTAAGGTAGAAACGAAGAAGTTCTTTAAAACTAATGAGAACAAAGTTACAACATACCATAATCTCTGGGACAAAGCTAAGGCAATGTTAATAAAAAAATTCATAGCACTCAATGTCCACATCATAAAGTTATAAAGATCTCAAATTAATAACCTAACATCAAGACTGAAATAAATAGAGTCAAGAACAAATCAACTCCATAGCTAGCAGAAGACAGGAAATGACCAAAATTAGAGCTGAACTGAAGGAAACTGAGACAGAAAAAACACCATTCACAACATTAACAAATCCAGGAGCTTTTATTTTTAAATAGTAAGACAGATGGGCTGCTAGCTAAATGAATAAAGAAGAAAAGATAGAAGCTTCAAATACACACAATTAGAAATGATAAATGGGATGTTACTACTGACCCCACAGAAATAAAAATAACCATCAGAATCTACTACATACACTTCAATCCACACAAACTAGAAAACCAAGAAGTGAATAAATGCCTGGACACATATACCCTCCAAAGACTAAACTAGGACGAAATTCATTCCCTGAACAGACCAGTTTGAGCTCTGAAACTGAATCAATACTAAAGAGACCATAATAAACAGATGCTGTCAAGTTTTCAAAGAAAAGGGAACACTTATACACTGTTGGTGAGAGTAGAACTTAATTCAACCATTGTGGAAAGAGGTTTGGCAATTTCTCAAAAAGCTAAAAACAGAACTACCACCAGACCCAGCAGTCCCATTACTGGATATGTGCCCAGAGAAATATAAATTATTCTACCATAGAGAGACATGTATGTGAATGTTCACTGAAGCACTGTTCACAATAGCAGAGACATGGAATCCACCTAGATGTCCATCAATGACAGATCAGATAAAGAAAATGTGGTACATATATACGATGCAATACTATGCAGCCATAATAAAGAACAAGATCATGTCTTTTGTGGAAACACGGATGAAGCTGGAGGCTATGATTCTTAGCACACTAATGAAGGAACACAAAGTCAAATACTGCATGTTGTTACTTATAAGTTAGACCTAAATAATGGGAACTCATGAAAACAAAGAAGAAAACAACAGACACTAGTGTCTACTTGAAGGTGGAGGGTGGGAGGAGGGAGAGGAGGATAAAAAATTACAACTGGGTACTAGGCTTAATACCTGGGTAATGAAGTACTCTGTACAACAAATCCCCATGACACAAGTTTACTTATATAACAAACCCCTAATCTAAAATATAAGTTAAAAATATAATAAGATAAAATAAAACACAAGCTGAGGGATTTCATCAACACCAGGCATGTCATACAAAAATGGTAAAAGGTTTTCAATCTGAAATAAAAGAATGTTAATGAGCAATAAGAAACCATCGTGCAAAACTCACTAGTTATAGCATGTACACAGTCAAACACCAAAAATTATACCACTATAACTGTGCTGTGTAAACTTCTCAAATTGTGCATAGAAAGATTAAAAGATTAAAGTTTGAAAGGTACTGTTTTAGTAGATTGTTAGATACATAGGTACAGAGCTCAGTAGGAAAGTTGGGTGAGAGTTAAGGACATGGAAGTCAATATCACATTATCAAACAAAACCATAGTAATCATGAAATTGTGATTATATTGAAAGAATGAAAATTTCACCATCCACTTCATTATGGTATTAGATTGCATTTGATTCTGAATATTTTTATTATCTATATTTATAAATCATGATTTTCTACTAAAAATTATAAAGTTGTAAAAAGGCAATTTCAACAGAAGTGAATATAATTTTGCTATTTGATTATTGTGTTTCAGGGGATAGAAATACAATAATCAAATAGCAAAATTATACTGTAGCATACTTTGCTACTGTAACTGCAAATGGAACCCTATATTATTATTTATTAGAAGTGAAAGAGAAGATACGGAGATCCAGATGCATTGTTTAGATTTCTAAAATATTTATCATAAAACAGTTTGAACAAACCAGTGCAATTAAAAACTCTCTTTTCTTATAAATTTAATTTCAAAAAATATATATCTGGCAAATAATTCACTCAGAAAGTCAACGCTTGGAAAATTTATAAACAGAATAACATAACTTTTCTATAGGCATAAATTATTTTTTTCTATAAATAAGGTGCCCCAGTGTGGTTTCACCCTTATATAGCCAATTTGTCAACCAAGACCCCATGCCAGGCAGATACAGTTAAAAAGCTGTCTAAACATGTCTTTATTGTGCTTTTCAGTTTGGTTCCCACATTTCAACCCAGGACTCTCATTCTGCCCTGAACAGTGTGAGTGCATTTAATTACAATCTGACATGTGTATTGGTGAGAAACAAAAGGCTGTGAACTGAGGGTGATGATTAACTGTTCTACTGGATAATTGCTTAAACTACTACTTATATTATGTGGCATTATCTCTTTTGAACAAAGTGATTATTGGCTTTTTGTGTAGTGATTATACAGTGTAAGTGCAATCTTGCTGTGTTAATTTTGTCAGAGTGTATGTTTAATATACTTCCTTTACAACGAGGCATGCAACTTTAGATATTTCTTATTTGGTTGAGTCCTTCAAGAAACAATCTTCTACAGCTTCATTTGTCTGTTTGAAATGCACAACATCTTCTGGCCTTCAAAGAGAAAGGAAGCAAAGACATGATGATACAGTATTCAGGAAGAAAATAAGACATACTTGCAACTTTTGTATGCATAGCCACAGATGGCAAATACATTCAATATTATAATTTTGACAAAAAGGTTCTAAATGGCTATAAGGGAAAATAGATATTTTAAAAAATTAAATATTTAAAAAAATTTTTTAAATTCTTCTATGGACAGAATGTATATGCCACATACTTTATTCACTTGTCAAATATGTAAAGATATTCACCAGTAGTTTCCATGATGAAACTATATTGTTGTTTCTATAGAAAATTATAATTACATTTTTTAAAAACTTTAATTTATATTTAGGTAATTAAGTCTTACTGAACTTTACTCCTTTCCAAAAACTGTTCATATTTCAAGCTCTTGTTTCCTCAAAAGAAAATGTTTTTGATCCTATTACGTTAGATTGCATTTGGTCTATTTAAAGATTTTTTAAAAATTCCTTTACAGTTATTTCTGATGAAATCAAAGCACACGCTATGTTAATGCTTTTCTTTAGGCATAATTAATATACAATATACTACATATAGAAAAATGTACAATTTGATAAGTTTTGAAATATTTATATGTCACTGTACCATAACCACAATCACATCAATTAATATAGATTTAGTCCTAAAGTTTCCATGGGTCTCTTTGTAATCTTTACCTCTTGCCCACCCCTGAAACTCTCCATTCCAACCCCTAACTACCACTGCTCTGCTTTCTGATGGTATAGATTCATTTGCATTTTCTATAAAGTTAAATATAAATGGAGTGGTAAAATGTGTACTCCATCTGGCTTTAATATTAAATGCAGGTTTTCGAAGCATGCCAATTATTAGGTTGAGGAAGGATCATCTACTCATGGTATTTATAACAAATGAATGTTGAATTTTGACAGGCTTTTTTTCATATATTGAGAGTGATTATCATAGTTTTTTCCTTTCTTATTTATTAATATGATGAATTATACAAATTGGTTTTTGAATGTTAAACCAAACTAGCAATCCTGAGATTAACTCTATTTGTTCATAATATATTATCCCTTTTTTATATAGTTGGATTTAATTTAGTAAGTGTTGTTAAAGTGTTGTATTTTTATGAAGGATATTGCTCTGCAATTCTTTCCTGTATTGTTTTTCTCAATGTCTTCATCTGCTTTTGGTATCACTGTTATAGTGGTCTCATAGAATTAGTTAGGAAGTGTTCCCTGGTCTTTATTTTCCAAAAAACTTTGTGTAGAATTGATATTATTTGTAGATCTCCAATAAAGTCATCTGGGCCTGGACAATTTTTGTGGGCAGATTTCTTTTTTCTTACAAACTCAGTATCTTTAAAAGATATAAAGTCTTTTAGCTTATCTACGTATTCTTGGATGACCTTTTGCAGTTTGTGTTTTTAAACTGGCTTTTTTAGAGCGAATTGAGTTTGTTCCATCCTCTTTAACTTTTTAAAAGTTTATTAACGTTTCACATTAATTATTCTTTTAGTGTTCTGTGGAAAGCATTGAGTCCTGGGCTTTACAATGTTTTAAGTGTATTGATTAGTAATGCCACGTTGCTACTGTTACAGGTCTCTTTAGATTCTGTTTCCAGTTCACGTTTCTAGTTGAGTTCTGTGGTTGTAGAAACATCCATTTCGTTTAGGTTATCAAATTTGTTGACATAGAGTTTCTCACAGTCTTCTCTTATAATCTTCTCATTTCTTTAAAAGCAGTAGTGATTATTTACCTTTCATTTCTGATTTAAATAATCTGAATACTCTCTCATATTTTGGTTCAGTCTAGCTGAAAGTTTCAAAAATTTTTATTCCATCCAAAAATCAATTTTATGTTTTTTAAATGTGTTCTCTATGATTTCTGCTCTTTTCTATTATTTCAATTCATATTTATTATTTATTGCCTTCTGGTTTCTTTGTGTTTAGTGTCTACTCTTTTCATAGTTTCTTTAGGTTGAAGGTTAAACTAAAAAACTGAGATGTTTATCTCTTTTAAATTTAGGCACTTACATTTATAGATTTTCATCTGAGCATTACTTTTATTGCATATATATTTTGGTACATTATGTTTTGTTTTCATTCATTAAATGTATTTTCTAATTTCACTTATGATTTCTTCTTTAGACTATTGGTCAAAAGCAATTTGTTGTTTATCTTGTACGTATTTATGAATTTCCCAAACTTTCCTCTATTACTGCTTTCTAATTTAATGTCATTGAAGTCAGGAATATACTTTTTATGATTTCAACCTTAAATTATTTGTGTCTCTCTTTTAATGTTTTTGGCCTAGCATATATAGCATGTGGCCTATCCCAGAGAAATTTTCATTTGTACTTGAGAAAATGTGTGCTTTAGGTAAAGTGTTCCAGAGATGTTCATTTAGTTGACTTACAATGTTTAAGTCTTCTATTAAATTGTTGATCTCCTACTTATTGTTCTATTCACAATTAAAGGTGAAGTATTAGAATCTCCAACTATTACTGTTGTTTATGTTCTTCAATTATGTCTATTATTCTTTATTTATTTTGAAGTTCTTTAGTTAGATGGATATTTATAATTTTATATATGTCTTATTATTTCTCCCTTTTATCCTTGTAAAATGTACTTATTTTTCTGTAACTTCAGTGTTTCAATTAAAGTATATTTTGGCTCTGATATCAGTATACCTAGTCCAGCTTTCATTTTCT
Organism: Homo sapiens; assembly: GCF_000001405.40. Classification (NCBI taxonomy): domain Eukaryota; kingdom Metazoa; phylum Chordata; class Mammalia; order Primates; family Hominidae; genus Homo; species Homo sapiens. The sequence continues at coordinate 77,757,228 of NC_000008.11, forward strand.
TTTTTTGGTTAATATTTGCATTGGCATGTGTTTTGCCCACTTTTATTTTCTATCTGGTTGTATCTTTGTATCTAAACTATGTATCTTGTAGAAATAATGTAATTTTATCATGCTGTTTTTAATCCATTCTCTCAATCTCTGCTTTTTGATTGAAGTGTTTAATCCATTTATATTTAATGTATTGTGGACAATGTATGATGTATACCTGCCATATTGCTATTTTTCTATATATTTTATGCCATTTTTTGTTTCTTCTATACCTTAATTATTGATTTATTGTGTGATAATATTTTTGATAATCTTCCATTTTAAATCTATTTTTCATTTGCTGGTTTTTGTTTGTTTTTGTTTTTTACTAATTTTAAAGCTGTTTTTATAATAATTTACTTGGGAAATGCAATTAACATCTTAGCTTGAAATATTCCAATTTGAATTACTATAAATTTCAGTTCATCAGAATATAAAAACTTTGCTGCAATATACTGTAATATTGGGTTATCTCTTCTCTTTTTTTGTTATTTTTGGCAAATAGATTAAATCTTTATACATTATAAGACTATCCACACCTTTTTATAATAATTTAAGTCAGGTAAGAAAAAGTTTTACAACAAAAATATTTTATACTCTCTTTGTATTTACCTGAGTCGTTGGGATTACAGGCACCCACCACCATGCCCGGCTGATTTTTGTATTTTTTAGTAGAAACGGAGCTTCACCATGTTGGCCAGGCTGGTCTTGAACTCCTGACATCAGGTGATCCACTAGCCTTAGCGTCGCAAAGTACTGGGATTACAGGCTACTAAAGCTTTTTATTTATTTCTGTGGATTTGAGTTATTGTGTAGTGTCATTTATTTTTCATATGAAGGATTCCTTTTGGTATTTTTTGAAGAACTTCTTTATCAGAATTAATTATCTCACTTTTGAAAATTTTTAACAATCTAGAAACGTCTTTTTTGTTTTTTGAAGAATAGTTTTCTGGATGTAAAATTTTTGGTTAATTTTGTTTTTCTTTGAACACTGAATATTTAATCTTATGCCTTCTGGCTTTCAGTACTAATGCAAAGTCATCTGTTAGTTATATTAAAGATTCTTTCTATGTGAGGTGCATTTTTTTCTAGCTTAATTCTAGATAAATCCTTTTTCTCTACCTTTGGTATTTTGATTATGATGGGCCTAAGTACAAAGCTCTATGTACTTGTAATTTGTTGAGCTATTTTGATGTGTATATTAATGTTTTACATCAAATTTCAGGAATTACAACAAATAGCCTTTTAGTAATTTAACACGTGTTCTTCCTTAGGAATTTTTTTAATTGATTGCTTTTTAAAAATGTGTATGGATCATACCTTTATATTTATTTGAAAATTTTGTCATTATTTGTATAAATTGGCATTAATATAATATGATGTTTCCATTCTGGGAATACAATCCACTCCTCACCCCAACGGTTTCTTGTTGTTTGTTCTTTTTGTGTTAATGGTTGCTGCTGCCTTTTACTTATGTTTTGCTTGCTTTGTTTTAATCTTTCTAAATTAATTAGACTTTCTAGGACTAATTCTGTTAAGTTTTTATTCTTTGTTGTGTGTAGCCACTGAAGAAAATTACCTTAGTGGTCACTGAGCATTTAGACAGAAATTTGTTCAAATTCCTTAGCCAATAATCCTTTCACCTTTTGTCAAGAGATTCTTTGCACATGTGGAGGCATTTATTCAACATCATCCAGAGGTGAGCAATTAGGGCCTTCTCAGATCTTTCTTTGGGTTTGTCCACAGCCTTTCATATGTACTCAGTCTTCTATATATCCCGAAATCTGTCATATATCCTTAATTCCTCCTATGGAAATATCACACCAGAGATGATTTTTTATATACATTTTCTGGTCATCTTTTGGGCCTCAATTAGCGTTACTCTCTCAGTCAGCTATGATGTTAAGCAATTGCTGTTGATAGTTTCTGATAAATGTCATAGTTCTTTTCTCATGGAGCAAGATTTGAATCAAGTATAAAGAAAAACTCTATAAATGGGCCACTTCAAGCTAGCTCCCAACAGGTAAAATAGTGACAGTTCCCTGGGAATGAGTCTTTTTGGAGACCTCAAAACTCATTCTGCTCTTTCTCAGTAGCTTTCCAGGCTGCTGGTTTTCCTTGCTACTGTGGTGAGATTTTTGAAGCTGCAGGTTTTGTTTGTTTTTGTTTGTTTGTTTTATTTTTGTTGTTGTTGTTTATGAGACAAGGTCTTGCTCCTCACTCAGACAGGAATGCAGTGTAGTGGTCATAGCTCACTGCAACCTCAAACTCCTGGGCTCAAATGATCCTTCTGCCTCAGCCTCCAGAGTAGCTGGAACTACAGGCATAAGATATAACACCAAGCTATTTATTTAAAAAAAAAATGTAGAGATGGGGGTCTTGCTGCATTGTCCAAGCTGGTCTTAAATTCCTGGCCACAAGTGATCCTCCCACTGGGAGGACTGTGCTGGGATTACAGGCATGAGCCACTGTCTCTGACACGAGGTTGATGATTTTCAAGGCTATCTCATAGATATGAGCGAAGTGTGGGAATAGGACAAATTAAAACACCAGAAAACTCACTGTTCTCATCAAGATTTAGCCACCTTTTTTGAACAAATATTCCTAAAATTATTCAAGCCTTTGGTTAATTTCCAGGCTGCAAAACAAGTTGATTTTGCTATTTCTTTTCATGTGTATTCTGCCTTTGTAAAAAAGCGATTCTCAGAAGTTTTACCCCATCATTTTGGAAGTACTTCTTATATTCATTTTTGAAAAATATTTTCACAGTTACACAATTGCAAGAAGACAATTTTTCTTTTTTCTTTGGCAGTTGACAGATGATGCTCTTTATGCTTGTATTGTTTTTAATGAGAAGTCTTTTGTTATCCGAATGTCTGTTCTTCTGTAAGTATCATGTTTCTTTTTCCTGGATGCTTCTAAGATTTCCTCTTTACAACTAGAAGTTTGATTGTAATGTGTCATAGTATGCTTTTCTTCCTCTTTCTTGTGTTTCTGGTTTATTTCGCTTCTCGGAACTGAATGTTCATAGATTTCACAAATTTGGGCATTTTTCTTCTGTAAGTTATTAAAATAATTTTAACCTCTTTTTCATCCTCTAATTTTGGAACTCAAATTACAAATGTATTAAATTACTTGAAGTTGTCTTATAGCTTATACAGGCTTTTCCAATTTATTTATTTTTATTTGTATTTGTATGTTTTATTTCAGTTAATTAATATTACTGTGCTTTCAATTTTCTGATCTTTTTTCTCTGTTGTTTATTTGTTCTAGTACATATTTCATTTCAAGCATTGTAGTTTTTATCCTCTAGAAGTTTTATTTGCATCATTTTTATTTCTTCAATTCTCTATTGAAATTTTTTAGTTTATGGAATCCAATTCTAATAACTGTTTTAGTGTCTTCATCTGTTACTTTAACATTTGATTTACAGTTGGATCAATTCATTAATTTTTGTCCTGATTAATAACTGCATTATCTTGTTCTTCTGAATGTTTGATAATTTTGATTGGATGCTAGACATTGTGAATTTGACTTTGTTGAGTGCTAGATATTTTTGCATTTTTATAAATGCAAATTTTATAAATTTGCTTAATATATATTTTTCTGAACTTCAGTTATTAGGAAACATGGATCCTTCAGGTCTTACTTTTAAGATTTATTAGGTGAGACAGAGCAGCAGTTCATTTAGGGATAATTATTCTCTACTACTAAATCAAGGCCTTTCTGAATATTCTACCCAATTGTCTATGACTTACAAAGTTTTCCATTCTGACTTGTGGGAATGGCAATATTTTCAGCCCTGTGTCAGGGCTGAATACTCTCACCTCTTGATTTTTCATATGGTTCTTTCCACTGCCTCAGATAGTTTCCTCACAATCATGTATTGATCTGTATTCTGCTGAATACTTCGGGGTGATCCTCTGCTGGTATGAAGGGTTCTTGCTTCATAGTTTTTTTCTGTCCTGTGAACCTTAGCTTTGTTGGTCTCCTCTGACACTCAGCTCTATCTCTTCAAATCAGAGTGTCTGCTGGGCTCTATTTGGGACCATCCTCTGTGATGAGACTGGAAATTCTCTTAAGTCAATAAGCTCAGGAAATCACAGGACTTACTTCATTTGTTTTCTTTCTCTAGCACATACTGTTCTTTCTTGCTGCTATTCAGTGTCTTGAGGTTGTATATATATATATTTTATTTTTTTCCAATCTGACTTGGGGAATGGCAATATTTATATATACATTTAATATATATAATGTAAATACATATAAATATATATTATATATTTATATTGCAAAGGTATATTATATATACAATCAATATATACAAACAATTGCCAAGGTAAATATATATATATAAAATCTACCTTTACAATTGTTTTAGGTGGGAGGGTAAATCTCTTCATTGTCTTCCATCTTGGACGGAAGCAGAGAACCACCGTGTCTACTTTTAATGTCCTTTTCGGGGTTGGGGGCAGTTAGTGAACTGTGGAGGGAATTATCATAGAATAGGAAACAAAGAGAAAATGAAAGAAGGACCATCATATCTTACTTGCCCATTCATTTAATTGCTAAAATTCAAAGGATTTATTTGGTTTCTCATGTAGATTTCAGCTAGGAATTACTTAAACTTCAAGATTCACTAGTAAAAAGATTGCCAACATTTTTGTGTTATTCAATTTGCCCATTAATACACAAAGTAAATTTTTACAAATTCCGGATCCAGCCAACAAAGATTTTTTTAAAAAAATTAAACACAAACAAGCTATTTTGAAATTAAAGCAATGTTTTATTTTCCAAACCATTGAAGATCCTTACAATTGTAGTGTTTCTTTTCATTATGAAGAAAATTGGACAGAATAGAGATAAGAGTTTTTGTTGATTAATCTCTACTTTTCTTTCTAATTAGGATATCTTTTCCTAAGACATTGCAAATAGCTGATTTTCATTTTAGATTTACATAATTATATTTTAGCTGAAAAAAATAACATGAAGAAAGCATGATGGGCCGGGAGCTAGAAGATATAGGTTCTCATCTTAAATCTCACCATGAGAGCATATGCTACAGCTTTATTATTTAATCTCTCATGCTTCAATAATTTAATCTTTAAAATTATGATGTTAGTACAGATTATCTTAAAGGTTTTTTTTAGTTTCAAAATTTCTAGATGATTTATAGGTGTTTAGGGTAAGTAGTATTAATATAACAAGAATGAACCTATTAGTACACACTTGTCTTGCTTTTATAGTTACATAATTCACTATGTCATGCAAATACCCTCTCAAAATTTGCCCACAATGTATTTTTCACAACACTATATTATTAATCCTCTTCTATCTTGCTGAGAAGTTATTTCCAAATCGAGAACTACCTAAACCATATTATTTTTTCTGACTTTTATTATGTTGCTGTAAACTTCATTTTTATAATGCTTTCTATATCTATAAATACTCGGCTTTAATTCAGACACAGAAAATTTGAAACACAATCTGACTTGCCTATTTCATATCCTGAACTCTGGTCTTGACCCAAAAGTGCAGTTTCCAAAAGTGTTAACTTCTTTAAGATATTGTGTTTCTTTTATATAGTATAGGCTAATTAAAATTGGTACCGTAAGTCTCTGTGCTTAGGTCATTCTAAACATATCAATTTTAACTCAATATATTGACAGATTGAATTATTTCGATGAAGTTAAATGGATAAATGAAAAGGAATTCTTTTTATATTTCCTAATACACTTGTGACATATGAGTAGATGATGCTAATTTTCATTAAGCAAATAGGGAAAATCTAAGAATAGAGTGAAACATATCCCTGTTACGGAATGCTATTTCTTCTATCCTTGTAGAAATTAGTACACTCACATATTCTGTCCATGAAATCAGTTAGAGTAAGCACTGTAGCTTCCGATTCAGAAAGCTAAACTTCCAGTCATTAAAAATGCTGCTTTGGAGCAATGTAGATCTAGGCTTTACTTATGCCTTTATCACATATAAACTCTTTGACTTAGGAAAATATTCAAGTTGCTAAACTTCAGTTTTCACATCTATTAAAGAGGAAAAACAATAGGAATTACCTAATAAGAATGTGAGCAGTAAATTACATATTATATGTTTATTAACAGCACTCTAATTGGCCCACTAATTGCTCAGTAAATGTCAGCTGTTTTAGACAATTTTGATAATTATTGGAAACTAAAAACATCCCAAGCTTATTCTTACTCATCTTGTAAAATAAATGTGTAAATTTGGTAGCACCACTGATTTTTACCTCGAACTCCAAACTCATTTTTTCCACAAACATTCCACAAATTGAAAATCTTTACATTATCTATAAAATGCTGCTTTGCATCCAGCACTTATTGTTCATTCCAACTTAACTAGCCATGAAATTGTGGCTTCTTGTATCCTAAAGGTCAAAAAAGAAGTCCTGCTTCAACATTACTAAGAGGTAATATAATTTTTTTCCATCAAATATAAACTTAAAGAGAATTTTTCTGCAAGTCTTCTCCCATTATATGCCCTCATGTGTGTTAGGCAGTGCATGGTGGGAAACACATAAGTAGTAGTACGAGTTTTCATTGGCACTTGCACAAATGGCAGAGAGGGAAAGGAAACGTTCTTCTCTGTAAGTTATGGTCATCTAATATTTGTTTAATTTTCAGTAAAGGTTCTGCAGTGAATATAATGCCTTTGAAAAACCCTGACTTGATTGCTATCCTCAGGTCTCTGGCAGAGGTTTTGTCAATTATTTACTCCTCATTATTATTTATTTTATTTTTATTGACATATGATATCTGTGCATATATGTGGGGTACATGCAATATTTTGTTACATGCATCAACTATCTAATAATCAAGTCAGTATATTTGGGGTGTACATTACTTCCAGTGTTTATCATTTCTTTGTTTTGGGAACATTTCAAATTATCTCTTCTAGCCATGTTGAAATACAATATGTTGTTAGCTATAGTCATCCTACTCTGTTATCAAACAGTATCATTTTTAAAATTCTGATAGGTTTCTACTGAGTTTATCCTAGGGATGTGTAAAACTAGGGAGAATATGGGTTAATCAAGGAGCTACTCCTAGCTTAACACCATTTTACTTAGAGCATAATTCTTATGGGCAGGGAGGGACTTTGTAGATAGACATATCTATGTTTGTATTCTGGTTTCAAAACTCACTCGTTAATTATCTCTGGGAAGGGTCATTTATAATCCTTACCTTAGTTTATTCATCTGTATAATGTATATAATAAAATCTTATTCATAGAGTTGTTGGAGGGAATAAATTAAATAGTGAATGTAAAGTGCTTCAGACACAATTCTTGGTGGGTGGTAAAAACTTAAAGAAATGTAGCTGGCCTACAATATCAGAGAAGCATAATAAAAGAGAAATATAAGAGAGAACAGATGGGATAGAGGAGAAGCAGAAAATGTCAAAACTATGCAAAAGATGGCTCAAACAACGTTAAGATTGTCCAGCCTCTGCAAGGTGGACAGAATAAGGGTCACAATGCATTTACAGGGCATAAAATACTCGATGACTTGACATAACTACAATTCAAGATGACATAGGCAGAATTTTTATATGCTCCCTAAGTACTCCCCTGTGCTAAATTTTCCATTATCACTGACACTCCTCTCATCTCTTCCACTTATCAAAGCATTGATCTTTCAGTCATATTTGATTTATAGAAATCCTTTGCAACTCATTTGCAATCAATCAGCCAAACCTGCTTTTTTTTTTATTTTTTTATTTTTTAGCACTGTGTATCTCCACATGATGTCCATCCAGTTCTTAGAAGCACCACTAGGCAGGGAGTCATGAGACATGGATTTTAGCTTCAACTAACAGTGACTTGGACGAGAGTATGTATGCCTCTTACCTATGAAATAGGAGTGGTAATCAAGAGAGCTCAATCTCATGGAACAGCATGGTCATTAGATATGATTACAGATTGGAAGGTCCTGTAAGTGTCAGGCATTACCATTATCATCATCATCGTGGTGATTTTTTTATCTGTGGTATCTATCTATACCTTAATTTCTTCAGGCCTTGAGATCTTCATGTGAAGGAAAAGGACGTAGTTGCAAGACCTGCCCTTTGCATTATCATAAGTTTTAAAAGCAATAAAGCACAGAGAAATGTTTTCTAAAATCTAAAACATTTTATGTAAGTGAGCATTGTTAGTTACCTCAAGATCCTTAATGGAAATATGTCATGGATACTGGACTAATAAAGAGCTATTTTGAGTGACAAATTATTTCTAATAAGTTGAAATTAAACTTTTAAAGCTTCAGAGAAAGCTTAAATGGTAACTTTTGTTATAAGTATATATATCTACATGATTATTTGTGTGTGTATGTGTTTGTGTATGTGTGTGTGTGTGAGTGAGCACACAAATATTTGCCTATAAACATATCTGGTTAGGCCTATTTATGATAAGTTTAAAGGTTTTATTGTTTATGACACTGCAAATAAATCCATATAATCTTTTTTATTTATTAAAAATGAATGAATGTGTTATTAGAATTACTTTTGAAAGCATTGTATTGTACAGGCTTAATCTGACAGCCTATGCTTAGGCATTCAATTTATTTTAATGGCCCTACATTTAAATCAAACTATGCATGACTTACAAAACAACATTTACTATTTTTACATAGTAAGAGTTTGTTCTGACCTAACAGAAAGTTTAGAATTGAACCATATTTCAATGCAAATCATGTAACAAACTAAAATTTAAGTCCTAGAAATCTGTGCATGTGAATTTTAAAATGTAAATTAGAATTAAATTAAATTAAACTTGAATTTCTCTATCATATAAGGCACATTTCACGCTCTCAGTAGCCACAGTTAGTGATTACCACACTGGAGGGTGCAGATGTAGAAATTTCCATCATTGTCAAAAGTTTTACTAGAGAAAATTGCTATAGACAGATACTTGAAATAATATTGGACCAACAACCAGAAAGTTTTATTCCATTTGCATATCCTCATCAAATTTCCACATTTAAGAAAAGAAGGAGGATGTTCTGCATATAATTTTTAGCTACACTGAGAATTTGTGAAGTTTGATTTTCTGTGAGAAATATATGATGATATCAACCTTATATTTTATTCTTGAGTATAAAATAGCATATACAAATTACAAAATATTTTAAATAGTAAAAATGGCATATTTGTATATAATTTCTTTTTAACATTTAATTCTGTTTTGCGAAGTTAATTTTAAGACACTCCACATATTTCCATATTTTGATGCTGTTTCATTTTCGTCTATCATTTTAATGTTAGATCAGAAGAACATTTACTTATTAGTCATTGCCACAGATCAGACAACTAAAAAATTAAAGATAGTAACATACTAAGTCCCACATTTTTATGATTAATATTTCTTTTTAAAAAATCAAATGTCAATGAAATGCTCCACTGAACATTTTAACCTATTTTATATCCTTAGAAACATTTAATTAATTGAGTTGTTCACCTGACATTTTTACAGATTGCTTTGATTGTAAAAACGTCATTTTAAAATGACATTTTTATATGGTCTTGGTCTTAAAAACATCAAATGGGGGATAATTCTTCATTTGAAGTTATTAAACATGGCTATAATCATAAAAATGTCATTTTAAGATAATTCTTCATTTGACCTTTTTTATACTTAGCTGCTCTTTTCTTTTCTTCCTTAAAAATTTGATATTAGAAATGAAAGTTAATAGAATTTTAAAGCTGTACTGAAAAAAATTCAAATCAAGATTTCACTGCTAATGCTGCCATTGCACTCACAAAATGTTTTTACTACCCATCCTTGATGCATTACAGTTAGTGGTGGAGTGTGCATGTGTATGTGTTTCTGCATGTGTGTGTGTATGTATGATCCAACAATGACATTCACCCATGCTTACTGGTGTCTTCTCTCAAATAATCAATGGCTCTTTACAGCTTTTAGCTGTTATTACACTTTTAAGTATATTAGTCTCTAGAGGCAAATCGCACGATAGCCATTTTCTTTCAGTTAAGATGAGGATGAATATGGCTTTAAAGTCATGTAATTGTGATAATTACTTGGATATGGGGTATAGTCTTCTCCTAACTCTATGCATATGTGCACCTTAAATAATATTTGTTTATTCATATACATGTTTTATATTGAAAGCATAGGAAGAATGGAGTTCAATATTTGTGTTTATTTAATGACTTTTTAGTGTGTAATAAATATGCTCATATTTTTGGCTAATAGAATAATGATAATAATAACATTTTTGAGCAAATGTTTTCCATTAGGCACCAGTGTGAGAATTTTGCCTGCATGATTAATTTTCAAAACAACCCTGTGAGGGTTTTGTTATTGGATTATGCTTAGAGATAATGAAACCCAAAATGAGTAGAACCAGAATTTGAAAGCAGGCAGGCATAGCCAACAAGATAAGTTAATTCTCAGGGTTTTTCTTAAATGCTACTTGCCAATAGGTAACACAAATATTTTCTTATGCTTTATTTCATAAGATAAATCAGTGGACAAGCATTTAGTAATTACCAATATGTTGTTATTGCTGAGAAGAAGATTACCAAAAGAATAAAAGCATAATGATTGACATACATAAACATCTATTATAATTGATGAAATGAAGCAAAGTGAATGCCTTAGATTTATACTCTCCAACAGGGCAACACATTATTTTTTGCTATCACAAACAGGCAAGAAAGAGCACAGAATTAAGTATTTATGTATTACCTCATTCATCTCTTTATTCCAATGTTATATATTAAGTATTTTAAGAGATAAAGAGATATTGTACTCAGCTTGAACATACCTTGGTAACATAAGGCAAAGTTCCGTCCAATAGAAATTGAGCCTCAGAGAAGAGAGAATAGACAGATACATCCAAATAAAGTTAAAGGCAAATAAGGAATTGGAAGAATTTGAATGCCATATTGGTTAGATTCTATTTATATTGTAGGACATGCAGTTTTGGAATTATTATGGCAGGAGATCAGCTTAAGTGAAGGAGATTCCCAGGAGGTACCAAAAAGTATCTTGCTTCTCCTTCTCCTATTTCAGTTACAAGCAAGTCTCCTCTTGTAAGCCAAGAAGACACTGGGACAGGTAAATAGCTAGGACATAAAGGAAATGATCAAGACAATTACTGCGGTATCTGTACTGTGAAACACCTGAGTCTCTGGACACCGGTGCAAGAGAACACTAAAACAAAGACCGATCTGGCGTAAGTTATGGTGAGACTTTGGCCAATGGACAGGAAAGGACCCTCCAAGGAAGGGCTGATATAGACCATCTTAATAAGACTTCCCTTTACTTATTACTTCTCAGAGAATTGAGGATGGTCAGAATATATGATCGGAGTCTTGTCTATACTTCAGTCTGAGAGAAACCCAGAAGCCTCTTTCTACTATCTGTATAGGGGAATAATGACTACCTGCTGTTATACTACCAGCCTGACTCCCCCATTCTTGATAAACATTTTATTTAATGTTCTCTAGTAGCTTGATCTGGACTCACTGAACTAATTGAAAGAAATAACAAAGGATGGGGCCCAGAAGGCACAGAGAGTAATAACCAAACATATAAACACACACACACACACAGTTTCCCAAAAAGTAGGCCTGGTCTGATAGAGGGAGCAATTGTAAACTTAAATAACAAAGATGATTCTGGTATTTAAGGAGATTCATGTAGAGCACACAAAAGAAAGAAAAACTCTGTGGACTGGAAAAAAGGGATTTTCAAGTAAACATTTTTGGTAGAAAATTGAAAGAAAAGAAGATTATCGATGAGATTTGACTTAATCAGCTTAAAGAGGCAAAGAAAGAAAAAATTATCCTAAACTAAAGAAAAAACTTAATCTCAGTCTGAATTTTCCTAGCAAGTTTCATAGGTATTAATGAGAAAACACACTCAGGCATTTAGTGCTAAAATGCTTTAACTCCAAAATCAAGGAAATAAAATGTCACAAGCTTTCAAATTAAAATAAAAATGACTTATTCAAAAAAAAAGTAGATCAATTTAGATGTTACATCTGCAACGTGTTTTCTTGTTTGTTTGTTTGTTTGTTTTGAGACGAAGTCTCGCTCTCGTGTGCTATCCTAGTTCACTACAACCTCCGCCTCCTGGGTTCAAGCAATTCTCCTGCCTCAGCATCCCAAGTAGCTGGGATTACAGGCATGTGCCACCACGCCTGGCTAATTTTTGTATTTTTAGTAGAGATGGGGTTTCACCATGTTGGCCAGGCTGGTCTTGAACTCCTGACCTCAGGTGATTCTCCCACCTCAGCCTCCCAAAGTGCTGGGATTACAGGTGTGAGCCACTGTGCCCAGCCTTACATCTGCAACATTTCAGGCTTGAAGATGGTGGGATAATATCTACAGGCTATTAGGAGAGAAGACACCAAGTCAAAAATTATATCATTCAACTATAAGGAGATATACATTAAATAAGATAATATATTGAAAATTAAGAAAAATATACTCCCCAAAGTAGACTACACAGACAACAAATAAAAACCTATCAGAAGATAAATAAGAAAAAGGAGGAAAAACAGGAATGCAACACTTCGTTATGTTCTTGCTGTTCTTGCATTGTTGTTTGTTTATTCTTTGCTTTTAACCTTTTCTAACTATATAGATACCAAAAATAATAATAAGCAAGATAGAATATAAAAGATAGATAACACTTATTGTATTCACTTCTTGAAATTGAAGGGCCAGGGTGCGAAGAAAATTTTAAGGGTCAGAAGTGAAAGTATGGACACTTTAGCAATATTGATTCTTCTAATCCATGAACATGGAATTCTTTCCATTTTTAATGACCTCTTCAATTTCTTTCATCACTGTTTTATAGTTTTTATTGTAGAGGCCTTTTGCTTCCTTGTTTAAGTATATTATTAATAATTTATTTTATTTGTAGCTGTTGTAAATGGGGTTACTTGTCTTGATTTCCTTTTCAGATTGTTCACTATTGGCATATAGAAATGCTACTGATTTTTGTATGTTAATTTTATAGACTGAAAATTTACAGAATTTGTTTATCAGTTCTAATAGTTTTGGGTGGAATCTTTAGGTTCTTCCAAATATAAGATCATATCATCTGCAAACCAGGATAATTTTACTGCTTCCATTCCAATGTGAGTGTCTTTTATTTCTTTCTCTTGTTCTGCTCTAGTTAGCACCTTGAGTACCGTGTGGAATACAAGCAGTCAAAGTGAAAATCCTTGTTGTGTTCTAGAACTTAGAGGAAAGGCTTGCATTTTTTTTTTCGCATTCATTATGATACTGGCTGTGAGTCTGTTGTATACAGCTTTTATTGTGTTGAGATATGTTCCCTTCATATCCGGTTTTTTAAAGAGTTTTGAATCATAAAGGGATGTTAAATTTTACTGAATGCTATTTCAGCATCAATTGAAATGATCATATGGTTTTTGTCCTTCAGTATTCATATGAGGTATCACATTGGTTGATTTGTGTATGTTAAACCATTTTTGTATCCCTGAGATAAATCCCACTTGGTCATGATAAATGATCTTTTTAATGTGTTGTTAAATTAGTTTTGCTAGTATAGGCTGAGGATTTTTGCATCAATGTTCAGAGATATTGGCCTGCAGTTGTTTTTTTTGTTGTGTCTTTGTCTGGACTTGGTACCAGGGTAATACTGGCTGTGTAGAATGAGTTTGGAAGTGTTTCCTCCTCCTCTATTCTTTTGGAATAGTTTAAGTATAAATAGTATTAGTTCTTCTTCAAATGTTTGCTAAAATTCAGCAGTGAAGCCACAGATCCTGGGGTTTTCTTTGAAGGGAGACATTTTATTATGGCATTGATCTGGCTACTTGTTATTGGTCTATTCAGATTGAGAATTTCCTTGTTGTTCAATCTCGGTAGGTTGTACCTGTGTAGAAATTTATCCATTTATCACAGAGTTTCAATTTATTGGCATACAGTCACTCAGTAGTCTACTACCCCAAACAATCTACAGATTTAATACAATCCCTATTAAAATAGCAATGACAATCTTTATAGAAATAAAAATATCCTGAATTTTATTTGGAAGCACAAAATACTTATTTTAGATAAGTATTTTGTGTAATAGATAGCCGAAGTCATCCTGAACAAAAAGAGCAAAACTGGAGGAATCACATTATGTGACTTCAAATTATACTATGTAGCTATAGTTACCCAAACAGCATGATACTGGAATAAAAACAAACATGAAAACCAATGAAACAGAATAGAGAACCCAGAAAAAAAATCCACACATGTAAAGTGAACTCATCTTTCACAAAAGTGCCAAGAACATACATTAGGAAAAAAACAGTCTGTTCAGTAGATGGTGCTGGAAATACTGGATATCCATATGGAGAAAAACGAAACTAGACACCTATCTCTCACTGTATACAAAAATCAAATCAAAATGGATTAGAGACATATCTACGCCCTCAAACTATGACACTACTAAAGGAAACATTAGGATAACTCTCCACAACATTGGTCTGAGTAGATTCCTTGAGTAATACCTCAAAATCACAGGCAACCAAAGGAAAAAAATGGACGAATGAAATCACATAAAATGTTTTAAAAAACTCTTCCGCACAGCAAACAATCAACAGAGTGAAGAGACAATACACAGGATGGGAAAAAAAATTTAAGAGTACACAATTGGAATATATAATACGCTCAAACAACTCCATAGGAAAAATTCAATAATCTGATTTAAAATGAGTAAAAGATTTGAGTAGACAATTCACAAAAGAACAGATATAAATGACCAAGAGATGCATAAAATTAATCATTAGAGAAATGCAAATCAAAACTACAATTAGATGTCATCTCACCCAGGTTAAAATGGCTTTTATCCAAAAGACAAGCTATACAAATATTGCTGAGCATGTGGAGAAAAGAGAACCCTTGTACACTGTTGGTGGGAATATAAATTAGTACGGTTACTGTAAATAATAGTATGTACGGTTCTCAAAACACTAAAAATAGAACTACCATATAGTCTAGCAGCCCTACTACTAGATATATATATCCACAAGAAAAGAAATCAGTATATTGTAAAGATATCTGCACTGCCATGTTTATTGAAACATTATTAACAATAGCCAAAATTTGGAATCAATCTAAGTGTCCATCAGTGAGTGAATGGATAAAGAAAATGTAGTACATATGGCCTAGTGCAGTGGCTCACTCCTGTAATCACAGCACTTTGGGAGGCCGAAGCGGGCGGATCACGAGGTCAGGAGATTGAGACCATCCTGGCTAACATGGTGAAACCCCGTCTCTACTAAAAATACAAAAAAATTAGCCGGGTGTGGTGGCGGGCGCCTGTAGTCCCAGCTACTCGGGAGGCTGAGGCAGGAGAATGGTGTGAACCCGGGAGGCAGAGCTTGCAATGAGCCGGGATCACGCCACTGCACTCCAGCCTGGGCAACAGAGCGAGACTCCGTCTCAAAAAAAAAGAAAAAAAAATGTGGTACATAAACACAATGCGATATTATTCAACCATAAAAAGGAATTAAATTCTGTCATTTCCAGAAACATGGATGGAACTGGAAGATTTTTTTTTAAGCGAATTAAGACAGGAACAGAAAAACAAATTTCACATATTCTCACTCATATGTGGGAACTAAAAATTAAAACAATTAAACTCATGGTGATAGAGAGCAGAATGATGGTTACCAGAGGCTGGGAAGGGTAGGTAATATGTGTGGTGAGTGAGGGTGATTAATGGGTGCAAAAATACAGTGAAATAGAATGAAGAAGATCTAGCGTTTGATCTTACTAATTGACAGCAAAAGAGGGTGACTACATTCAATAATAATTTATTGTATATTTTAAAATAACTAGAAACTGGAATGTTTCTCACGTCTCTCACCTCTAGAAATGATAAATACTAGAGGTGATGGATACATTTACCTTGATATGCTTATTACACATGATATGCCTGTATGAAAACATCACATGTACCCTCAAACTATGTACATCACTTGTACCCACATAAATATATATTATGTATTCATAGTAATTTAATTATGTATCCATAATAATTTAAAATATTTTTTTAATTCCTGAGAAAAAGATAAGTGAAAGTATCAAACCAAATTAATTAATATAAAAAAGGGAGAAAAATTTGGGTAGAAAGATAGAGGGATAGGATGGCTAAACTTTGAAAAAACAGAATATTTTGGTGGGAAAATTAGTATTTTATTTTCATATAAAACTGAAGACAAGTGTTTGATTATGAACACCATTATAGGGAGAGTAAAACTAAAACAATAGTAAAATATAGCATAGTTTACAAATTATAAAGAGAAAAATAAATGACAAATATTGCTGTGTTCACATCAGAAAATATAATAAAAATATAAAAGAGAAAAAATATGTTACAAACTAAAACACTGGAAGAAATAAAATGAGCTTAATTCTTCCATTAAAAGAAACAGCTTGTCAAATTGAGTTAAGAAGAAGTAAAACTTTATGTTTGTTTTAGATTGGAGAAATGATGCAAATTCTTTGCTTCTTCTTGAATCCATACCTTTTGTTACATAAAAACAGTCCTTTTACAAAGGAAGCAAAGTCGTTTCATTGCTTGGATCTGTCATTTGATTTAGAAGTACCAGTGTACCGAGGTACGAAGCTAGATCTTGAAAGGTGGTGCATGTTGCATTGCTATTGGTCCACTGTCCTGGCTAAAGCAGCATGCTTGGGATAGTCAGCTCGAGAATGAGATACATGACACAAACTAAGTTGCCCAAGTTGTCCCAGTAGAGACCATCCTGGATCAGCTAACAGATAGCAGACTTTCAGATAAATGAGAGAAACCTGATGAAAATCTGAAGAACTCCCATTCATATGCAGTTCGCTGCAGACAGATAAAATAAATCTAGCTAAAATCAGCCAGCCATAGGTCAGTACGGCTGAATTCTGCCACAAAATTAGTTTGCTATAAATAAATGATTACTATTGCAAAATACTGGAGTTTTGTGTTTCTTTATGACACATTATTGTGACAACAGAAAGTAGATTTATATAACAAAGATACTAAAACAATATATAACACAAAGAAAGTTAGAAATAAAGACATTGGCAGGAAAAGATGAAGCAAATGCAACCAAAAAGAAAATGTAGAGGCCCATTTAATATCAGATAAGTGAAATGTAAGATTAAAAGCATTTAACATGAGAAAAGAAAATATTAAATAAAAATAAAAGGCCCAACGTATAAAGAAAATGCTATAATCATTAACATGTATCACCTAAGTTGCTGATAAATATGTACTCTCTAAACTATTAGGATTGTAAAGAAAATTGATTTATTATAAAATAATTTTCATATGTCTCTTTCAAAACTTAACAGCTCCTATAGAATAAAAAGTAAAAATATAGAGCATTTAATTCAATCAACAAACTTAGTTTATTGACATACAGAGGCTTAAACTCTTTTACTATCCCTTTTTAAAGCCCTGAACATTAAAAATATATATGTACTGATCATATATTGGCTCAAAGGAAAACCTCAACAAATTCAACATTTGTGGTTTAATCAATATTTAAACTTAAACCAGTATATCTAGATATTGGTAAGAACAAGGTGATTTATCTCCACCAAGCCTTAACTACCAAGAAATTAACACTTCTACATATATCTTAGATCATATTAAAAATCAATACTGATATTATCAACTATATGAAAAACAATGCAAAGTAGAACATTTTAAAACAAAACTATATGACAATACAGCTTATATAAGCAATCTTCAATAGAGATTTGTATCCATGAAATATATCACTGTGAAGAGGAACAACAATGGGAACAAAATATTAAACTTATCTTAAGAAATTAAACCAAAAATAAAAAATGGAAATGTATTAATTTTAAGCTGAAATTAATACATAAATATTTTAAAAATATATTGTAAAATATCTAGAGATATAAACATCATATGAGTCTCATAATGGAAAAATAAAATATTAAAAATCATAATATTAAGAATTAGGAGAAAAAATACATAAAATATGATCAAATTATTTATAAGAAAATGTAGGCAATTCTATAGAAAATAATTACAATCCTAGAGGGTACAGACAAGTACCTCTTCAATATAAATACCAAAATTTACCCAAAATGAAGTGAAAAACGTTAAAAAACCAATTACCATAAGAAAGAAAATATGATAAAGTACCTACCAATGAAAAACTATAACTATAAACTAACCAGAACTATAAAATTTTGCGGCTGAATTTTGCCTCATTTCTAAAGAATCCATTCCAAGTTGTTGAAATATAGAGAGCTCTAAAATTATTTTTTCTGAATTCAACATAAATTTATAACCAACTCCAAACATCATATTCAATGTTGAACGATTAAAAACTTTTCCTCTAAGATCAGGAACAAGACAAAGATTTTCACTTTCTTTACCTCTATTTAACATGGTACTAGAAGTCCTAATCAGAGCAATTGGACAAGAAAAATAAATAAAAGGCATCTAAATTGGGAAGGTAGAAATAAAATTACTTGTGTTTGCAGATGACAGACCTTATATGTAGAAAACTCTAAAGATCCCACACACACATACACAAAAAATATTAGAATAAACAAATGAATTCAGCAAAGTCACAGGATACAATATTAACACAAAATTCTATTATGTTTCTATACATTAACAATGAGCAATTCAAAAAGAATATCAATTTATAATTACATGAAAAATAATAAAATACCTAGGAATAAACTTAACCGAGGAGGTGAAAGACTTAAGCAGTGAAAACTACAAAACCTTGCTAAAAAAATTAAAGAAGACATCAACAAATAGAAAGACATCTCATGTACCTGGATTAGAAAACTTAATTTTGTTAAGATGTCAATACTATTCAAACTATGCTACAGATTCAATGCAATTCCTATTGAAATCTCAATGGCATTATTTTTTTCGGAAATAGAAAAATTCATACTAAAATTAATTTGGAATCCAAAGGGATGTTGAAGAACCAAAACAATCTTAAAAAGAAAAAATGAAAGAAAGAAGTTGGGGAACTCACTTTCTGATTTCAAAACTAATTACAATGCTACAGTAATAAAAAGTGTGATAATGTCATACAGACAGATATATATACTAAAGGAATAGAATAGACAGCCTAAAAATAAATTCTCACATATATGGTCAAATGATTTTCAACAAGTGTTCCCAAGATTGTTCACAAGGAAAGAACATTTTTGGGGGGAAAAACAGGATATCCACAGGCAAAATAATAAAGTTGGAATCTTACCTAACATAATATAGAAAAATTAAGTCAAAATGGATGAAAGACCTAAACGTAGAAGCTAAATCTGTAAAACACTTAGAATAAGCACAGGGGAAACACTTTAAGATACTGGATTTGGCAATGATTTTTTGCATATTACACCAGAGGTAAAAGAAACAAAAGAAAAAACCAGATAAATCAGGCTACATCAACATTAAATACTTCTATGCATCAAAAGACACAATCAACAGAGTAAAAAAGCAAGCAAAAACTGAAAAAAAAAATGAAAATCATATATCTAACAAGGGGTTAAAATGCAGAACAAATAAAGAACTCCTACAACCCAACAACAACAATAAAACAAACAACCCATTTAAAAACTAGGCAAAGAAGTTGCATAGACATTTCTCCAAAACAAACGCTCAAATGATCTGTAAGCTTAACCTCACTAGTCATTAGGGCATTGCAAATCAAAATCACAATGAAATACTACAAATTCACACCCATTAGGATGTCTTTTACCAAAAACGAACAAACAGAAAATAACAAGTGTTGGTGAGGATGTGGAGAAACTGGAACTATCGTGCACTACAGGTGGGAATGTGAAATCATGTAACTGCTATGAAAAACAGTATAGTGGTACCTCAAAATGGTAAAAAGAATTATCATATTATCCAGCAATTCCACTTTTGAATATGTAGCAAAAAAACTGAAAGTATGGTCTTGAGGAGATATTTGCATACTCATGTTCAGAGCAGCATTATTCAAATTAGCCAAAAGATAGAACACAAGTGTCTATCTACAGGTGAATGAATAAACAAATTGTAGTATAACATACAATGGGACATTATTTATCCTTAAAATAGAGGAGGATTCTAAGACGTGCTGTAACATGAACCTTGAGAACATCATGCTAAATAAAACAGACACTTTAAAAAAGACAAATAATGTATAATTTCATGTATGTGAATTACCTAATACAGTGAAATTCATAGAGATAGAAAGTAAAATGGTTGTCAGAGGCTGAGTTTAGTGAAAAGTCAGGATTGTTTGATGGGTATAGGGTTCAGTTAATGCAAGCTAAAAAGAGCTCCAAAATAAACAATAAACCCCTCTTAATTTTGATTACTGGTGCTAAAACTAAACCCCTTTCTTGCATATTAACAAACACAATTTGTATCTGTATTAATATAATATATTAGCAATAATTCTATATTGTAACATATCAGCAGTAATGATATATAAGACCATTTGGTATGTTTTCCAGATACAGAGTAATAAATAATATAATAATATTGCACTATTAAATAATGTTGAAACATGATGTTTAAATATTAAAACATCTAATATTATAATTCACCATGTCAAAATCTAAAGTAGAAAATAATCATTAAATGTCAAAAAGCAAACATTAGCTGCCATTTTATACAAAATTACAGAGTACAAAAATAATATAATAATGATTAATTACAAATAATACTTTCCATGATTATAAACATTATAATTAAGAATAGGATCTAATGGATTAATAGGTTTAGAATGAACTGAAAAATCAGTATAGTTCTCTATAGTATATGAAAGAACCTAAAAACATAGTAACAGAAAGCCAGACAACTCAAGGAAAAGAGATCAAGGACAGTAATAAGCAATTAATGACCCCAAAATTTAACAACTACAAGAAGAACTGTTCAAACTCACTAATTAGACAGGGTCATAAAAACTAAAATAACAAGGAGATATTATTTCATAACCATTAAGCAGGCAAAGGAAAAATGTGATAATATGTTAGTAGGAATTTAGGAAACAGTATCCTCACACATTGCTGGCAAAAATGCAGGTTGTTACATATAGTACATCTATTCCAATTATACCTGTACACATATCATTCCCCCAGTGATTCCACTCCCATGGAAACCTGTCCTGTATTAAGAAATAAAAATAAATAAATCATTCAATATATAAGTAAATACAGTGTAGAATTATGCATGGTCAAAAATGGAAACAGATCGAATGCTCATTAGGAAGAAAATAGAGGTAAGAGTAAACAGTGGTGTTAGAAGCCAAGAAAATATAGCTGTAAAAGAAGAGTACGTGTGTGGGGAGAAGTAGCATATTGTGTGCCCATGTGTGTTTTGTGTAGTGTGTGTGTGCGTGTGTGTGATATGCATGTATTTTACAGAGTATATCCATGATAATAGAGAGGTTAATCAAATTGCCAAAGTTTATATAATCAGCAAATGGAGAAGTCAAATTCACAGTCATCTTTTGCATCCCTGCAACACGATGCTGAGCTCAATAATGCCTATATCCTAAACCAGAAAATGTCTTTTTCATGTGGTTATAATTGCATATCTCATTATAAGTTATGTGACTTGACAATGTTTGCCTAATTGATTGTAGTCACTTGAGGACAGTGACTTCTGTCATGAGGATGTCTCTTCCCTATACATGGAAGATTGCAAGATAGCTATTTCCTTGAGGTATATAAAACAGAGACCTCTAAATGTTTACGGGGCAAGAACCTTCTGAAGAGTTAAACTTCCTGAAATTATCATTAATTCTGGTGTCACTAGGTTTAAGATTCTCCAATAACTCATTGAGTATCAACAGGTATGGATTGATTTATTGGGCCACCACTTTTACTTTGCAGGTGTTTTCTCATACATGAAAACAAATAGCCATCAAGATGGTAAATGGTATAAAGCCATTTATGGCTTTCCTTGTTTCATTTCTGTATGTAACTTATCTGTTCATATTTATGCAGTAGTGTTAATTAGTGCTCTGGCAAATTACAATAGGACTCCTGTGGTGTAATATTTTACATCCACATGAATACCAAAACAATTCAGTATGATTCATATTCTTAAAATGAGTACCAAAGTAAGTAATAGTAATTGTGTCACTTATTATAGCATGTTGCCAAACAATTATTATGTGCAGTTGATGAACATTTGAATAAATGCCATCATACTCTCTATTCAATTAAAACAACAGCGCTGATAATTAATATCACCATTATTCATATCAAGTTATGGCTGTGGGTATTGTGTGTTCTAGAAAATGACTGGAAGAATAAATGTTCATTTCAATTCCATTTATATCTTGCTCTGAAGTATTAAAATATAATTTGCGTGAAATACAAGCATCATTTTCAACATAGCTGCAGTCCAAGAAAGCAGCTTTCTCATCTGCTGGATGATTAAGAAAATAAATAATTATTAAAAGAAAAACTATATTTGCATAGATAAGGACAAATGCCACATTTTTATAGCTTGTTTTGTCAAGAAAGAATTTACTATTTGTTTACTAAGAGATAAATGCAATTTGTAGTCATTTACAATCAGTAGTTAAACAATTCACAGAAAAATAGACTATTAGATAAAATAGATCTATCCACTCTGAAACAAAAATCTTATTAAATAACTGTATTATCTATGGTCCTGGAAATTGTTATCTGAGAGATGTAAACACTAAATGGCTTCAGTCATTAACATATTAATAAACCAAATTATGCTGTTAAGGGAGAGCCTGACTTTAAGAACACGAGACACAAAACAGTCATATTTTGACTGTGGGGCAGAAAGAAGCAGTACATTGCAATAAACATATTTGGCATTCACCCAAAAATCCAAAGGTATATTTAATTTATCTAGTCTTACAACCAAAAAGAAGACACAGAATTGAAATCTCAAAGATGGCCAGAAGAGACGAGTCTGCTGTCTATAGCATCTATGAGAAATCAAAATACTGTATAACTTGCACTATTCTATCCTCTTCAAACTCAGAAGAGCACCAAGTACTTGCCATTTGGGGAATAGCTCAACTGCTTTGCAATATCTTACATATATTACAGTCCTTCTGAGCTTCAAAGTGTAACAATACAAAGTGTAACATGACAGAATGTAAAACAGGCTTAATGGCACTGTAAGTGTGGAAAATGCTAATATATCCTTTCCTTCGTGATTCAACTGAAAAATTGATTCACTAGAACTTTGAATTCTACAGCGCAAGGAATTAAAATAATTGTCCTGTGAAATATTCCTGTCTTTATTGAAGAAGTGCTCCTGTGAGAAGAAAAGAAGCAGATAACAGGACTAATATCCTTGTAACCATGCTGATAGCTGACCTCCACGTATATAGACTAATGATATCTGCTACGAGAGTCCTAATACATGGAATACTTTTTGCAAGATGATCTTGGTTGAGAATTGCTTACAATAAACAAATATATGATCTATTGATTTATGAAGCATGGTTCTCTAGAGAATGTTATGTAAGCTCTGAGGTATGAAATGGGGATTTTCATAACCTAAATTCATCCTAACTGGGGTATGAATTAACCTGCATACCTCTTTAGCAACACAATGTACACTCAGTCAGAAAGTAGAAGACTCTTACAGGAAAGAAAAATCCAGAGTCACATACGGTGGTCCAAACATCTTGCTGCCTATGGGTACCTCTTGATTATGTGCAGCGTTAGCAAAGTGTGATATTGTGTAAGATATAGCATTTGTGTGGATATTAATCTATGTATCACCTCACCTGCATTGGAACCTCTCTCTCTATGGGTCAATAATCGAAAGGGCTAGGATGGCATTGACATGCTTCTCAAACTGCCCTCAGATGCATGTCTTTTCTATCCACTTAGTCTCCTAGCTCAAGACTATTAGTCCATATTCTTTTTTTCCCTCAGTCACTGACAATTGGTAGTTATTTATAAATTCTTTACAGTTTTTTTGTTACTATTTTTTTTTTTCAGGGAACATGGTCTTGCTCTGTCACTCAAGCCGGAATGAAGTGGTGCAATCATAGCCCACTGCAGCCTGGAACTCCTGGGCTCAAGCAATCCTACTGCCTCAGTTTCCTGAGTATCTGGAACTTTTTTTTTTCTAGACAAAATTTTACACTCGTTACTGACAGGCTAAAAATTATCTACCAAGAAATCTAAACTAACAAAGTCTATTTCTTGTTCTTAAAGTTTAAAAGGTATTTTGCCTGTTAGTTTCTCTGTGTTCTATCCAAAGAGTGAGTTCCTGGCCTTAGCTTTTCTTCACACAAAGTAAAGTAATCACTGTCCAATCAGATTTGACCCATCAATTTATTCTTCATTTAAAATATGTGTTCTTCATTTATAAATTCTATTTGGTATAAAATTGTATACAAGTATAATCAATGCTTGGAGTTTTATTTTGACATTTTCTTCTCTACCAGTGGTTCTCTGCTCAGAGTCTCTCTCAATTTATAATACTGACCGGAACTCATATTCCCTATTCCCAAAAGACTCTATAATGGAAAAAATTTCCACAGGTGATCATGATAAACTTACTTATTGACACATAAACACACACACTCATTAGGAATAATGTTCCATTTTATGTCAAGAAATCCATAAAATCCATTTTATGTCAAGAAAGGAATAATTTGTAGTCCATGTTTTATTATCACTTTGCTTTAATCAGTTAGGCTGATTTACTCCTAAAAAGAGAATGGGAGCTTTTAGAATATAATGAAATGGGAAAAATGTGTAAATCTATTTATAGCCATATTTTATTTTATGAACAAAGATCCTGAATTCAGTAGATGTATTAGTGGGATAAAAAAATGTGTCTTGTACTGGATCTACAATGAAACATGACTCTTAAAATCAAGAAAATGTAATTCAATACTCGATTTATTCTTTAACAATATATTTGGTACACCATTATCTATAGGGGAGTCTTTAGTTATTCAGAATGAAAGCTCATTTTCTTACTCAAAGGTTAGAGTAATAGTATTTATTTGAAATGTAAATGAAGATTTCCACCAAGGAATTTTGCATTTGTCTCTAATCAGAATGCCCTATGAATAATGTAGTTTGGCACCAATGTCCTCATTAAGCAAGTTTCCCATTATTGCATTTTCTGATTATAATCTTCTCATTAAACTTCTTTTACTCTTCCTGCTTATGATCATTCATATTTTAGGTCTTCAATATTAATCTGAACACATACACACATACACACACACACATAGTCTCCTGTAGATGAGAATCAAATTATATTGATGACCAGATGTCCTTTAAATAAAGGGTTGTTATCCATTGTATGTCCAAAAAATGGCATGGAGCTAAATTGTCCAACTGGGCTAAAAGAGAAAATGAGTTTCAAACTAGTCTCAATTTATATCCATCTACTAGGCAATTTCACAATTATACTTGATTGACAGCAATGGCCAAGAAAGAAATAGGATGACAAAAGAAATGGGACTAACTAGAACAGTTTTTTGTTGTTGTTTTCTTATTTTTTCTTTTACTTTTAAAGAACTACAGAATTATACCACATTAGAATATGCAAAGAACTTTGAGAGACCCACACTATAAATGTGAGACCTTGGAAGGAATGCTTTCATAACCATGATACAGATTTCAACCATATAACTCTTTTAAAAACACAAATATACAAGCTTTTTAAAAATATATATTAATACTTTATCTCCATGAAACACTGGCAAGATTAAAGAAGAGAAGGAGCTGGCAGGTTTAAGTAGTGATGATAATAGCATGTGAAAGCCAAGGTGAAAAGACATTTCTCATTTCTAGACTCCTGCCTTCCTTCTTAATGTTCCTAGAAATCATATTTGAACCACATTTGAGGTTCTAGGAAATAATTCATTAATTAGAGAACATTTTTCCACATGCTTTCACTTGTTTGCTTCAACTGTTTCTCAGTGGAAATAAAGATGTTTATCATGTCGTGTAAAATATGAATCATATACATTTAACATGGATATGTGAAAAACGTAGATATAAAGATATAAAATGTATATACAAACTGTAAGTAGTGGTTACCTCTGAAGAGAGCACTAAAACAATGAAAGGAGACTTTCATTATTTAGTGTAAATATTTCTGTAGTTTTAAATAATTTTGTAATGACTATATTCGTAATTTAAAAAGCAATACATGATTTCCTTCAAACTTTAATATGCCTAAAAGTTCTTATTAGCATACATTTTATCTAAGTTAGCACAGATTTATAAATTTCCTAAGATATAAAATTTCCCACATAAATTAAATTAAATCATTTGTATACCTTTCTTGAAATGTTTCCAAGGTATTTATGTTGTGTTTTATTAACATTGCCCAAATTAAACATGGATTTTGTAAGCACTACACTAATATTAATAATTAATAGTAAGATGATGTGTTCCTATGTGGACTTTAATTTTTTAAGGAAAATGGTATATATTTGGGACATTATTAATCCTTACAAGTTGGAAACTTAAGGAAGTTCATTATCTTCCAATACCATGTTGATAAATTGATATACTGCTGCTCAGCATAATGGTTCTCTCAGTGTCAGTGCAATGATAAAGGAAATTGTAATGACTATTCCAGCCTCTGGTGGATAACTTACTGGTTTACTAATACCTGGAAAATTGCTAAAATAAAAACTCTCAAAATATATTTCCTTATTGTTTTTTCCTAAATCTCACTATCAATCATACCACCTCTACTGTGATCTGTAGTGGAAGGGCAAGATAGGATATAATTACTTCATTCTTAGGCATGGCTTAATAAAGACAATTATCTAAAGGTATTTTGCTATTTTGTGTCTTTGACCATATATACCATAATAGACATTGTGCATTTAAGATGACTTTACTTTCCTAATCATATCCAGGTAATAGATATGCTCCATATCTATCCTTGATTCTCTAATGATAACTTATCCTAAGCAGCCAGATCCCCTTCAAGACTGAGGAATTCCAGCCGCATAAAATGTTGACTGTTGACAGCCAACAGCTCAGTTTTTCTCCAGAAATTCCACTGACCAAAAGGAACACCTCAGCCAAAGTGTGTCCCTTCCCTGGGACAATAGACATCCAAAACCTGATTAATGCTGGAGTAAGCAATCTGGCCTCATTGTCTCAACTCAGAACATTTTCAAAGGGCCATCCCAACATCAAAGCTCCACAGAGAGTTGGCATTACAGTCCACATTCTCACTTTGCCTAATCCTATTTGCCTCTTACCTGCAGGTCTCCCTCAGAGTTTGTTTCCAGGAAAGCTAAATTATGACATTTGGTGCCAGGACAGGTTGCAAGTCATAGGCACCTAAATAGATTTTTGAGGAAAAGATTGATAGCCCCTGGCAAACTATAGCAATGTCTTTATAAACATTTTCAATACTTCAGTGGTAAACTGGATAGGATACCAGTGAAAAAGTATGCACTGAATGATTCAGTATTTATTTTTGGCATTTGAAAGTTTCATAAAACGTAGACATGATAAGGACACTGGAATCAGATGCTATTTCTGGGTGTCTTCAAGGCACAAACAAAAGTCAAAGAAAGTCTGGTGGTAACTAATTATCTATTTAAGGCAGAATGTAAAAGTCATTGGGCCCCCTTGGTAGCATATAAAGAAATTTTCAACTCCTTTAAGCTGAGGGCAGAAAAAGCAAAGGAATAAGGGCAGACTTAGTTTTAAGAAATCAGAACTCTAAAAACTTTTGACTTCTTAACCCAGAAACTCTGCTTTAATAAGGTCGATTATTTCATAACAAGGTCAGTGTTGTAATTGGGAATGAGTGGGACTCTAGGATTGTGATGAAAATCTCTGTGATGATATGTTCAGAAATCCAAAACCCCAAATTCCTTGGTCTGTTCAGGAAATGAATTTCTTCCTAGCATAGTCTTTAGAGGATGTGTGTGTCTAGGAATTTATCTACCTCTTCTAGGTTTTCTAGTTTATGTATATAAAGGTGTTCATAGTAGTTTCTGATGGTTATATTTATTTCTGTGGAGTCAGTGGTAACATCCCTGTCACCATTTCTAATTGTGTGTATTTGTATCTTCTCTCCTTCCATCTTTGTTAGTCTAGCTAGTGGCCTATTGATTTTATTAAGTTTTCTAAAAATCAAGCTCCTGAATTTGTTAATGTTTTGAATGTTTTTTTGTGAATCAATTTCCTTCAGTTCAGCTTTGATTTTGATTATTTCCTGTCTTGTGCTAGCTTTGGAGTTGATTTGTTCTTGACTCTTGAATTCTTTCTTAGGTTGTTAATTTGAGATCTTTATAACTTTTTGATGTGGGCACTTAGTGCTATGAATTTCCATCTTAACACTGCTTAGCTGTCTACCAGAGATTATAATATGTTGTATTTTTGTTCTTATTAGTTTTAAAGAACTTCTGGATTTCTGCTTCAATGTTCTTATTTACCAAAAACTCATTAAGGAGCATGTTGTTTAATTTCCATGTAATTGCATGGTTTTGAGAAATTTTCTTAGTCTTCAGTTCTATTTTTATTGTGCTATTATCCAATAGTGTTTTTCATATGACTTCAGTTCTTTGAATTGTCTGAGGATTGTTTTATATTTGATTATGTGGTTAATTTTAGAGTATGTGCCATTTGGCGATAAGAAAACTGTACATTCTGTTGTTTTGGGGTAGGAGTTCTGTAGAGGTTTATCAGATCTATTTTGTCCAATGTTAAGTTCAGGTCTTGAGTATTTTTGTTAATTTTCTTCTTTGATGATCTGTCAGACACTGTCAGTGGAGTGTTGACGTCTCCCACTATTATTGTGTGGGAGTTTACTTCTCATTGTACGTCTCTAAGAAGTTGCTTTGTGAATCTGGGTGCTCCAGTGTTGGGTGCATATATATTTAGGATATTTGTGTCTTCTTGTTGAATTGAACCCTTTACCACTATATAATGTTCTTCTTTGTCTTTTTTTATCTTTGTTGGCTTAAAGTCTATTTTGCCTGAAATTAGGATTGCAACTTCTGCTTTTTTCTGTTTTCCATTTTCTTGGTAGATTTTCCTCCACCCCTTCATTTTGAGTGTACGAGTGTCATTACATGTGAAATGGTATCTTGAAGACAGCATACAATTTGGTCTTGCTTCTTTATCCAGCTTGCCACTCTGAGCCTTTTAACTGGGGCTAAATGTTAGTATTGAGTCTGCCACTCTGTGACTTTCAACTAGGGCATTTAGTCCATTTACATTCAAGAATAGTATTTATAGTGTCACTGGTTTGTGTGTTTAAGTGTGATTTTGTATTAGCTTTCCTTTCTATATTTAGTGCTCCTTTCAGGATCTTTTGTAAGTCAGGTCTGGTGATAATGAATTCCCTCAACATTTGCTTTATCTGAAAAGAATCTTATTTCTGATTTACTTAGGAAGCTTAGTTTGGCTGCACATGAAGTTCTTGGTTGAAAACGTTTTCTTCTAAGAATGTTAAATATAGGCCCCCAATCTCTTCTGGCTTGCAGGGTTTCAGTTGAGAGGTCCACTGTTAGTCTGATGGGGATCCTTTTGTAGATAACCTGCCCTTTCTATCTTCCTTAACATTCTTTCTTTCATTTTGACCTTGGAAAATCTGATGATTATGTGTCTTGGAAATGATCTTCTTGTGTAGAATCTTGTAAGTGTTGTCTGTATTTCCTGAATTTGAATGTTGGCCTCTCTAGCAAGGTTGGAGAAGTTTTTATGAATTATATTCTGAAATATGTTTTCCACATTGTTCACTTTCTTCCCCTCCCTTTCAGGGATGCCAAAGATTCGTAGACATTGCCTCTTCATATAATCCCATACTTCTCAGAGGTTTGCTCATTCCTTTTTATTCTTTTTTCTTTATTTTTGTCTGACTGACTTATTTCATTTATACCAGTCTTCACTTTCTGAGATTCTTTCCTATGTGTGGCGTGGTCTATCCTGCTGTCAGTACTTGTGATTGCATTGCAAAATTCTTGTATTGTGTTTTTCAGCTCTGTCAGACCCTTTTTTACACTGGCTATTTCATCCTCAGCTCCCATATTGCTATATTGTGATTTTTATTTTGCTTGGATTGTGTTTTTCCATCCTCCTGAATCTCAATGATCTTCACTCTTATTCATATTCTGAATTCTATTTCTGTCATTTTAGCCAGTTCAGCCTGGTTAAGAACTCTTGTTGGAGAACTGGTGCCATCATTCGGTGGATTTTTGACACTGGCCATTTGAGTTACTAGGGTTCTTGCATTGGTTCTTTCTGCTTTCTGTGTGTGCATGTTCCTTTAACTGCAGTGTAGATCGAGTACAGCTGATAGACTTCTTTTCTGGATGTCTTTACCAAGTTGAGGCTTTGTGCAAGGTCTTTATTTGAAGCTAATGTCTTGTCTCTGGTTTCAGTGGGGGTTATGTTAGTGAAGTATTTTTTGGTGTTGAAGCTTTGGTGTGTGATCCAGTAGGTGGCACTTAGAGTTATTGGTCAGTTGTTTGACTCTTGCTCAGTTGCGTGGCTCTTGTATGTTTCCTCACAGTTGCAGCCGTAATGCTTTGAAAGTGTAGGCTTTTCTCCCTTTGAATGCTGGCTATAGATCATAACTTGGCACTCCTGGGCTGTCCACTGCAGCTCTGGGGCAATCTCAGTGATTATGGTCCTTCTCCAACTTGGAGACAGCAGAGGAAGAGACCTTTGTATTGGTTGTGGTCAAGTGTTGTTTGCTTGCCTCCTGGGGGCTCCAACCCCGAGAGGTACAGGTCAGTAATAACTCAGTGCAATCAGCCCAGGATGGAGGGTCTGTGCTGTGGGCCCAAGCCAGGGGTTCCCTGTTTGGTGATGAGTAGTGCGGTATTGTGGGGAAGATTGGGTGGGACCCATGGGAGGTAGACTGGCCGCCTTTCTTTGGGTCATGTACAACTCGTTGGAGGTGTGGATAGGGATAGCTTCTTAAGGAAAAAATTTTCAACCAAGAACTTCATGTGCAGCCAAACTAAGCTTCCTAAGTAAATCAGAAATAAGATTCTTTTCAGATAAAACTCCTTCATTAGTCTGAGGGTAGCAAGAAAAATTCTATTGCAGAGGCAGTAGCAGAGAGGCTTTTAGTTGTCCCTGGAGGCTCTGAACAGGGACTTGCCAAGTTGCTACTGGCTTGGTATCTCTGGTAGGGGGGTGGCTGAAGACCCAGACCTGGGGGACCTGCATGGTGAGGAGACATGGGAGTGGGCACCCATGTAACAGTTCTGGCCCCTTTTCTGTAGGGCTACTGCATTATGCTGGGACCTGCTGCAGTCCCTAGTCATCTCATATTTTCTAGTATCTGGAGGTATCTCCAGTGAAGGCTGAGAAACAGCAAAAGTGGCAAGCTTCCCCTCCCTCTGGGAGCTTCGTCCCAGGGAGATAAGGGCCTGTTCAGTCCAAAGGCACCTGTAGGCAGTGGCTGGAGACTCTGTTTGGGAGATCCCACCCAGTGAAGAGAAGCAGTATTGGAGCCCACTTTAAAAAGCCATCTGGCCATATTTTGGTAAAGCAGCTGTGCTGTACTGGGGGTTCACTTCAGTCCCTTGCTACCTCAGATACTCTGAATCCCAAAAGCTGGAATGGCCAAGTTGCCCCAACAGCAAAGATAGTGCCCGCCCCTCCCTCTGGGAACTCCATCACTGAAGGAATTCAGATCTCTGTCAACTGTTACAGGGGTGGCTGGAGGCCCTACCCAGTGAGGAGAAATAGGATTGGGAAGCTGCTTTAAGAACCAGCCTGGCCATGTTTTGGTAGAGCAGCTCTGCTGTGCTGAGGGATCCCCTCTGCTCCTGGCTGGCCTGGACTCTCCAATGGCTGAAGGCTGAAATGGCTACATTGCCCAAACAGCAAATATGATGGCTTGCCCCTCCCTCTGGGAGCACTGTCCCATGGAGAATTCAAATGTTTGTTGGCTGGAGAACACCAGCAGGGGTAGTTGGGAGGTCCTGCCCAGTGAGGAGGAACGGGATCCAGCACTGTCTTAAAGCAACGATCTGGCCACATTTTGATAGAGCAGCTGTGTGCTGGGGGATCCCTTTCACTGCTAGTCGGCTCAGACTAGCTGGAGTAGCGAAGTTGCCCAAGCAGCAATGATGGTAGCCCACCCCTCACCCCAGGAGCACCTTCTTAGGGAGGTACAATGCTGCTATTGGTGGCTGGCTGGAATTCCTAGCCAATGGGTCTTATCCTGTCTGGTGCTATGGAAGTGGGGCCAGCAGGTTGTCTCTGCTCAGCCCCGCTGGATTCAGCCTCTTTCCCAGGGGTATGTACAGGTAGGAAACTAGCTTCCCACTTTGCCAGAGCTACAGTTACTTTTGCCAGATAGCCCCGGTATCTAAGGCTTCAGGGTTTCCATGTGTGCCTGAGTGACTGCTCTGCAGAGACTCCATGTAGCTCTGTCAGACTGAAAGCCCTGTTGGAGTTGGGTCAGGAGACCCAAGCGTTGCAAAGATCCATGGGAGAAACATGGTTTTCCAGGGTCACACATTCACTCACCACTTTTCTGAGCAGGGTAGGTTCCCCTAGCTCTATGTTGTTCCTGGGCAGGCCTTCATCCTGTCTGGGTTTTCTTGAAGTTGTTCTCTTGATTAGTCCCATTGCAAGCACCTGAATGTTTCATTTGAAGGTGTATTTACTCCCCTCTTTCATTCCTTTCCACGTGAGCCATGCACACTAGCTGCTTCTAGTCAGCCATCTTGGTCACCCCTCTTTTATTTCTTTTTTTGTTTGTTTGTTTTTTCAGAGACATCAGTCTCACTATGTTTCCAGGCAGGCCTCAAACTCCTGGGCTCAAGCGATCCTCCTTCGTCAGCCTGCAAAAGCCTTGGGATTGCAGGTGTGAGCCGTTGCTCCTGGACAAGTATAATGAATGCACACAGAGACTAAGGATCCCCTGCAATCAGTACATTAGACTAAATGCCAAGAAATACTTAGAGCATTAAGGGATATTATAGTTCCCCAGAAACATCACCTCACCTTTGTGTCCAGATGGAAGAGTGGATGACACAATAGGAGACAAAAAAATACTCATATTGTCCTTAACCATGTATGGTTCAATACTTCACTAATTCCTTCAAAAAAATTACAAATTAACAGCCAAATTTAGTATGTTTGTTTCTTTGTAGGTATGTAGCATAAGAGTATAATTACAATAATCTTACTCTTTAATATATGCTTAAGATTTGTCAAATGAGTCTTTCACTATCATCATTAAAATACGAAGTTAATATAATTCCTTTAGAGTGACCCAATTGATAATTATAATGGTAAAATTTAATTGTGTAGTGAGGGCAAAAAAGATAAAAACATTCACCCTTAAAGAGTGGTACCTGCATTAGGTATCTGGTCAAATGTATGTAGCTATTTCACAAGTTACCTCAGAACAAATAAAGAGACTTTGGTATAAGGCCAAATGCAAGGTAGGGCTGACATTTTTGTACACATCCCTAGCCTCTTACTAATGACCTCTTCTCCCCACTTAAGTACCTATTTCTGTATTTTTCAAAACAAGAAAACATCTGTCATTGATTTCACAATTGTTACCTCTCATACTAGCTTTTGCATTTTAAACTTTTGTCTGAAATAATAGAATAAAAGCCTTTGTGCTCTGCTTTAGGAATTGCATGGATCAGGAAAATATGTGTGATAAAATTGAATACAGGTTATTGACACAATACTTCTGCAATGTTATAGAAACCCAGAAATTACATTTACCTTAGTAGTTTTAGGGCACTTAAAAGTGAGGTTAGCGCTGAAGGGATAGTGCTTTCTCAGTTGCACTTTGTAGACAGAGCAGAATCATAAATTACTGCAACTTTACTGCTGCTACTGCCGCCACTTCTACTGTTACTATCATTCCATTGCCAGAAGACCATGCCCTAAGATCTACTAAGCACCTTTGAATGTCCCCTAGTATTACTACCTCCTTAATACTCTAACCTCAAATACTGAAATGTGCCCAGTCTTAGCACAACCTGCCTGCAGCATGACATTTTAATGTATGCTCCTTTACTTTGTGCTCTTATTGCTTCTTCCAATGAAGGTTTATCATATGGTCTAAAAGCCATTCTTTAACTTTTTTTTTTTTTTTTTTTTCCCTGATACAGAGTCTCGCTCTGTCTCCCAGGCTGGAGTGCAGTGGCGCGATCTTGGCTCACTGCAACCTCCGCTTTCCAAGTTCAAGTGATTCTCCTGCCTCAGCCTCCTGAGTAGCTTGGATTACAGGTGTGTGCCACCACACCCAGCTTATTTTGGGATTTTTAGTAGAGATGGGATTTCACCAAATTAGCCAGGCTGGTCTTGAACTCCTGACCTCAGGTGATGTGCCTGCCTCAGCCTCCCAAATTGTTAGGATTACAGGCGTGAGCCACCGCACCTGGCCCTATTTTTTATCTTATAGGTAGAGTCACCCAGTAAGATGTCATTGGCTTTAGAATAAGACAGATCTGAATTGTCTTATTGAAGAATGTGAATAATAGCCAAGTGAACTTGAATGGTAACTTGTTTCTAAAGCTTGATATTCTGTTCTATAAAATAACAAAAATTAATATATTGAAATAAAGTTGCTAATATTACAAATAAGATAGCTAAATACAGTGACACATAGGTTTTTATAAATGGTAGATATTTAGATCCAACTCAAATTCTAATTCCTACAAGAGGCAGCCCCTGTTCAAATCTTCTATTTTTTTAATGAACTTCTTTGAACTGATAGACAAGGTAATACAATCCTTGAGGATAATTGTTATTTAATTGTCTCATGTGAATTATATATGTCTTACCAATTTAAATGTAAGTTTGTCTGTCAGGGACCATTTGTATTTCTGAAAATAAAAAAAAACACTGTTGAGTGTTCTGGAAATAAATATTAAAGATTCAGTCAGATGATAAGTGTTTCAGGGTAGTCATTTAGGCAACGGGAGAACTCTAAATGCATAAGGATAAAATCGATCTTTGATTAGGGTGCTAAGGATGGGAAAATATGAGTTAGAATAATTGAGACATAAAGTCAAGAGCTTGACAACTGATGAAGGTCTGTTTTTGTTTACTAACATCTGGCTACAAGCTCATAATGAGGTCACATAGAAAACCAACCTGGTTGTAAGCTACCAAACTACTTATGTGACTTCTGTTAATGACTGTCAAGTATGAGGATCATGATTGATCCCAGAATTTGAGGCCAAGTTAAATATGCATGAATTGTCTGAATGTCGACCTGTGCAGCTACCATACATTGAACACAGGAAACCAGGCAGGCTAAAATGTAAAGGAGGCATAGGGATAGACTTCAGAAACATCAGGTTTGTATGAACTCGGACAATCTTCCAAGAGCAGTGCTCAGTAAGTAGCAAAAAGTTTAAAAAATAATATCAGAAAACAAAATAACTAATTGAAAATGCATGACCATTGTGAAATTACAGGCTTAAAGAAGAGGGTGAAAGGAGTTTAGAGAAGTACATTTTATGTAATTAGGAATTTATAAACAGGATGGGTAGGATGAAGATGACTTGAACAGTGAAGGCCTTCTGCTAAGACTTATGCTATAGCAAGGAGTGAATTCAAATCCTGCAAAAAGGATTTTTTTGAACTCCAAATATTCTAGAGATGGAAAAAATTATCGTTTTCAAAATACCCAAATTATACTGGCAATATACTTACCAGCCTACTGAAGAAAATTTACTTTCAATCTGTTTATTGTGTTAATCAAAATATGGGTAAAATTAAGATATGTTCAATGGTACAAGGATATAGAAAGATACAATTTTTTTCTTAAGTATTTTGAGGATGCCCTCTGGCTAAGAGAAGACATTCATTAAGAAAGAAACATTGGATCCAGGAAGCGGTGGAATCAAGCTGAAAACCTTCTGGTTAACAGCTGTATTGTAGATTTAAAGATCAAATAGTCAAGACTGAAACAAGAGGAAGAAAGACTCTAGGATGGGAATTATTAGGGAAATAAAGATGCCATAAAACAGTATAATGAAGACAATGGGAAAACTTCAGGGTAAAATAAACACACATAATAGATTAAATTTATAAGAGCAATTATACTGAGAAAAATAAAAAACCTTTATCAAAGTTATGACTCAAATATTAAATGTACCCAGGGTAATGCTGGGGGATATTTTCACTTCTAAAATCACTTATTTCCAGTCAACCCTTGGCTTCCCCTACCACTATATAATTTTAACTAATTTATTCAAGAAGAATATGGATACAGTTGAGAGAAGGACTCATTGCACCAAATTGTAGGATTTATTGCACTCAATTGCTTCTCAAGTTATACATTTATTTTCAAAGAATCATTTGAAATCTCATCTTTTTCAAGGCAGAGGAGGGCTTTCAAAATTCAAGATATTCTGAGAAAGGCAAATTTGGAAAAACGAAGTGTGAAGAGATCTGTGACCTTCTTTTTAGTAAAATAACCATTAACTGTTTAATATTGTTTTAAAAACAAACAAACATTTATTGAAATTATCCTAAGGACATACCACAAATACGGAGATGATTATTCAAGAGAAACCTACCAAATCTTCATAAGAATAGCAGCTTCTTTCATTTGAGCCGTAA
Source organism: Homo sapiens (assembly GCF_000001405.40). Lineage (NCBI taxonomy): Eukaryota > Metazoa > Chordata > Mammalia > Primates > Hominidae > Homo > Homo sapiens. The sequence goes on from NC_000008.11 coordinate 77,793,842, forward strand.
TCCCCTCACTCTTTTCCCTTCTTCCAAAATCAGTGAGATGGGTGCTGTACTTCAGACAAGAAAAGAGTTTTCCTTTCTACCAATTCCTAGTTTAGGGCTACCAGATCTTCCCCAGAAGGGACAAGCTGCCACCATATATCAAAACCCCATCTCTATCTTGCAGGAATGCTATCCAAGCAAGAGAGGCTGAAAAATCTTAGATTCTCTTCCTCAGTTCACCCTCCTCTTATAGGACAGAAGTTCTGCTGAGAATACTAGGCCCCCGTGCCTCTTACCTCAGCTTACTCATAAGGTGGAAGTTCTACACAAAGAGAAGGAAACCAAAAAGACCTGAGGCCATCTTTCCTAACTCACACAGCAACATTACCACTCAAAGAAAAGTTGGAACTGTCCCCACTCCATCTCTAGCCAATAAGAGACGAAATGACACTCAATTTCATTAGCAATTAGGAAGATGCAAAACACAATGAAATAGAACTTCCCCCTTATTTGATTGGGTACAGAAAAAGGAAGATATAACAAGTGTTCATGAGATGTGGAGAAAATAGAAGCCTCATAAATTGCTGGTGGGGATGTAAAAGTGTGCAGCTCCTTTAGAAAACAGTTTGGCAGTTCATCAAATGTTAGTTAGACAACCATGTGACCCAGAAATTTCACTTCTAGGTATATACCAATAAATAAAAACACATATCCATGTAAAAATTTGCACATGAAAGTTTGTGGTGGCATTTTTATAGTAGCCAAATATTGGAGGTGAGCAAAATGTTCACCAATCTCTGAATGAATAGATAAAATGTGATATATTCATACATTGGAATATTATTTTGAAATAAAAAATGGATTATGGATACATGCTACAACATGGGTGACCCTTGAAAACATGATGATATATAAAATAAATCAGTCAGAAAACATCACAGATTGCATAATTTAATTTGCATGATATTTCCAGAGTTGGCAAATCTATGGAGACAGAAAGTAGACTAGTGGTAGCTTAAGGGGCATGTGAGGTGGGGATCTGGGGAGTGATTGCAGATTCTTATATAGTTTTTTTGTAGATTAATGAAACTGTTCTCAAATGACTGTGGTCATAGTAGTTACAAAAATTCTCTGCTTGAGCATCCCTTAGTCAGTCTCCTGAAACTTCCCCTAGGTCCACTTATTTACTTTCTTATAAAATCCAGTTTTAGCAAAGAACTCAGCTAAGTCAATTCAACAAAGACCTCTTCATCCTCAACATCTGATTATCCTAGATATTTGATCAGGCTCTTCATCCTCCAGCATCCCCCAGGGGATATCTGATTGCCCTGGCCTGTCTTCACCAAGAATCTTGTTAGGTGAATTTAGCCAGAATCACACTTACCCCTGAGATATCCTCTTGCAAATTTCCATTCACCATCCCCCACCTTGCTAGTTGGCTATATAAATCCTCATTTACCCACACTGTAGTCACAGTTGAGCCCTGTCTTTCTATCCCACAGTGAGAACTCATTGTAGTGGTCTTTATGTCTATTGTAATGTTCCTAAATACAGTCTTCCTTAGTGCTTTAACTAAGTATCATGAAATAATCATTTCTTTTATAATAGCACAACTCTATGAATATAATAAAAATTGAACTATATCACTTAAATGCATTGATTGTACAAAATGTGACTAATATCTAAATTGTCAAATTTTATATATTTATTTATTTATTTGAGATGGAGTCTCACTCTGTCGCCCAGACTGGAGTGCAGTGGGGCGATCTCAGCTCACTGCAATCTCCGCCTCCTGGGTTCAAGTGATTCTCTTGTCTCAGCCTCCTGTGTGGCTGGGATTAGTGGCACACAGCACCACACCTGGCTAATGTTTTGTATTTTTAGTAGAGACGGCGTTTCATCATGTTTGCCAGGCTGGTCTTGAACTCTTGACCTCAAGTGATCCGCCCACCTCAGCCTTCCAAAGTGCTGGGATTACAGGCGTGAGCCACCACATCTGGCCAAAATTTAAATTTTTATCTTAAATATCAAGAGCAAAACTTTAAGGTGTACATACAGATTACAACTTTAAGCTTGGATATGTAAACATACTTTTTTATTTAGAAAAAAAATTTAATATTAACATATGTAGAGGGCACAAGTGTAGATTTCTTATATGCATATATTGGGGTAGTGGTGAAGTCTGGGTTTGTAGCACCCATCACTTGAATAGTTAACGTTGTACCCGATAGGTAATGTTTAAACTCTCACCTGCCTCCCACCTTCCCAATTTTGTTACTCCAATGTCTATTGGACATTGCATGTCCATGTGTACTCATTGTTTAACTCCCATTTATAATTGAGAACATATGGTATTTGACTTTATATTTCTGAGTTATTTCACTTAGAATAATGGTCTGTAGTTCTATCCATATTGCTGCAAAACAAAAACAAAAATGAAACATGATTTCATTCTTTGTTATGGCTGAGTAGTATTTCATAGTGTATATATACATTGTCTTCAACCAATCCTCTATTGATGGAAACTTAACACTGATTCTATACCTTTACTATTGTGAGTAGTGCTGCAGTACACATACAAGTACAGGTATCTTTCTGACATAATGATTTCTTTTTCTTTAGGTATATAGCCAGTAGTGAAATTGTTGGTTAAAATGGTATTCAGTTCGAGATCAGCCTGGCCAATATGATGAAACCCCGTCTCTACTAAAAAAATAAATTAGCCAGGCATGGTGGTACACACCTGTAATCCCAGCTACTCAGGAGGCTGAGACAGGAGAATCACTTGAACCCAGGAAGCAGAGGTTGCAGTGAGCCGAGATCACGCCACTGCACTCCACCCTGGGCAACAAAGAGCAAAACTCCATCTCAAAAAAAAAAAAAAAAAAAAAAAGTAGTCGTATTTTTAATTCTTTGACAATTCTACCTATTGTTTTGCATAAAAGTTGCACTAATTTATATTCCTGCCAACAGTGTACAAGTATTCCCTTTTCTTTACATCCTTGCCAACATCTATAGTTGTTCAACACTTTAATGATAGCCATTCTGACTGGTGTAAGATGGTGTCTCATTACAGTTTTATTCATACTTTGATGACTAGTGATGTTGAACATGTTTTCAGGTTTCTTAACTGCTTGTATGTCTTCTTTTAAAAAATGTCTGTTCATGTCCTTTGCCCACTTTTTAATGAGCTTCTTTATTTGTTGAGTTATTTGAGTTCCTTGCAGATTCTAAATACTAGATGCATAGCCTGCAAATATTTTTCCCATTCTGTAGATCGTCTCTACTCTGTTGATTGTCTCTTTCTGTGCAGAAGCTTTTTAGTTTAAGTCCGTTTGTCTATTTTTGGTTTTGTTGCATGTGCTTTTGAGGACTTGGTCATTAATTATTTGTCTAGGGAAATGTCTAGAAGACATTTTCCTTGGTTTTCTTTTTAAGATTTTTATAGTTTCATGTCTTATATTTAAGTCATTAACCCATATTGAGTTAATTTTTATATACGGTGAAAGACATGGGTCTAGTTTCACTCTTCTGCATTTGGCTATCCAATTTTTCCAGCACCACTTAACTGAATGTGTTGTCATTTTTCCATTGTATATTTTGGTCAACTTTGTCAAAGATCAGTTGGTTGTAGATATGTGGCTTTATTTGTGGGTTCTCTATTCTGTTTCATTGATCTATGTGTCTATTTTTATACTAGTACCACACTGCTTTGATTGCTTGTAGTAATTTAATTGTAGTTACTTGTAGTATAATTTAAACTCAAGTAATGTGATGACCCCAGTTTTGTTACTTTTGCTTAGGATTTCTTTGGCTATTTGGCATCTTTCCTGGTTCCATATGAAGTTAAGATTATTCTTCCAAATTCTGTGAAAAATGGCATTAGTATTTTGATAGACATTGCACTGAATGTGTAGAATGCTTTGGGCAGTATAGTCATTTTAACAATATTAATTCTTCCAGCCCATGAGTGTGGGAGGTTTTCTATTTCTGTATTTCATATACCATTTCTTTCATTAGTGTTTCTTCATTCTCCTTATAAATGTCTTTCATCTCCTTTGTTAAATATATTCCCAGGCATTTTTTAAGTAGCTATTGTAAATGGGGTTGCTTTCTTGTTTGGGTCCTTGGCTAGATTGTTATTAATGTATAGAAACATTAATAATTGCTGTAAGTTAATTCTGTATCCTGAAACTCTACTAATTCGTTTAGCAAATCTAAGAGTTTTTTTGGTGATGTCTTTTGGGTTTTCTAGATATACGATCGTATTATCCATGATCAAAGATAATTTGACTTCCTCTTTTCCAATTTGGATACCTTTTTTTGATCCTTAATTTCATTGGATGTTTTTTCTGCATCTATCGACTGGATCACATTATTTATATTTTTAATTCTGTTATTGTGATGTATCACATTTGTTGATTTGTGCATGTTAAACCATCTTTGCATTCTTCGGGTACATCCCACCTAATCATGATATTTCATCTTTTTGACACACTGCTGGATTTCATCTGTTAGTATTTTGTTAAGGATCTTTGCATCTATATTCATCAAAGGTGTTGGTCTGTAGTTTTTTTGTTGTTGTGTCCTTTTTTGTCTGGTTTTGGTATCAGATAATACTAGACTCATATAATTATCTAGAAAAAAAAATTTCCACATTAATTTTTAGAATAGTATTAGAATAATTGGTATTAGTTCTTCTTTGACTGTTTAGTAGGATTTGGCTGTTAATCTATTTTGTCCTGAAGGAGAAGTTTTCTTATGAATTAATTCCCACTTCTCATTAATGGCATGTTCACGAATTCTATTTCTTCTTGGTGAAATCTTGGGATGTTGTACATTTCTGGGAATTTAACCAATTTCCTTAATTTCTAGTTTATGAGTGTATAGTTGTTTATAATAGTCTCTAATAATCTTTTGTCTTTGTGTGTTATCACTTGCAATGTCTCCTTTTTCATTTCTGATTGTGTTTATTTGACTCTTCTCTCTTTTGTCGGTTAGTCTATCTGGTGGTATATTAACTTTGTTTATCCTTTGAAAGAACCTAGTTGTGGGTCCTTAATCTCTTGCATTTGTGTTTTGGTCTTTATATAATTTAGTTCTGCTCCGATCTCTGCTATTTTTTCTTCTGCTAACTGCGGGTTCAGTTTGATTTTGTTTTCCTAGTTCCATGAGGTACAATGTTACGTTATTAATTTGTTACATTTTGATTCTTCGGTGGAGACATCTAATGCTATAAACTTCCCTCTTTTGCTGTATCCTACAGATTTGGGTATGTTGTATTTATATCTTCATTCATTTCAAAATGTTTTATAGTTTTCATCTGAATTTTTTTCTTAAACCAGTGATCATTCAGTAGCATGCTTTTTAATTTACATGTACTTGTATAGCCTCCAAAGCTTTTCCTGGTACACTTCCTAACTTTATTCCACTGTGATCTGAGAATATATATAATATAATTTTTTGATTTTTAAAAACTTGTTAAAATTTACTTTGTGGCCTAACATACAGCCTACTTCAGAGAAGGTTCCAAGTGTTGATGGAAACAATATATGTTCTGTAGTTGTTGGGTAGAGTGTTCTATAATTGTTGGTTAAGCCTATTTGGTTTAAGTACAATTTAAGTCCAACATTTCTTGTTTAATTTTGTCTCAATGATCTGCCTAGTGCTGAGTATTTAAGTCCTATATTATTATTGTGTTTCTGTTTGTCTCTTTTTTTTAGGTCTAGGAATGTTTGTTTTATGAATTTGGGTTCTTCAGTGTTGGCTGCATATCTACTTAGGTTTGTTATATCCTCTTGCTAAATTAATACCTTTATCATTATACAATGAACTTCTTGGTTTTTTTTTTAAATTTTTTTCTCAAGTCTGTTTCACATGGAGTACACATGGTACAAAAGAAGGGAACAATAGACATTGTGACCTACTTGAGGGTGGAGGGTGGCAGGAGGGTGAGGTTTGAAAACCTATCAGATACTATGATCATCACCTGGGTGACAAAATTATCTCTATGCTAAATGGCTGCAACACACAATTTACACATGCAGCAAACCTGCACATGTACTCCTAAGCCTAAAATAAAATTTGAACAGAAAAAAATCATAATAAATTAAAATAAAATACAGTAAAATAAGTAGAGAAAAAAATATCTGCCCTTCACTGGCTAGGCAGTAGCCAATGTGAGGTGCAGCAACCCAAAGGTGAGGTGCAGCCCAGTGTTAAACTCTCAAAATGGCACCTTTGCCCTGGGACCAGAGAGGGCAGGATCCTGTATTAATTTGTTCTGACACTGCTATAAAGAATATCTGAGACTGGGTAATTTATGAACAAAAGAAGTGTAATTGACTCACAGTTCTGTACAGCTGGGGAGGTTTCAGGAAACTTAAAATCAAGGTGGAAGACAAAGGGGAAGCAGGATTCTTCTTCCCAAGGTGGCAGGAGAGAGAGAGACAGTGAAGGGGAAGAACCACACACTTACAAAAACAACCAGATCTTGTGAGAACTCACTCACTATCACAAGAAGAGCATGAGGGAAACTGCTCCCATGATCCAGTCACCTCCCACCAGGTCTCTCCCTCAACATGTGGGGATTACAATTTAAGATGAGATTTGGGTGGGTCTACAGAGCCAAACCATATTAGACCCCTCCCAGGAAAGCAACCTGGGCAGGAAGCTGTGGGAAATGCTCACATTTCAGACTCAACAGCAGGGTGGTAAGGACCCTCTCAGGGACCCTCTCCCTCTTTGGAGCAGTGCAGTGGCGGTAGTTGTGTCTATAGATCCCTGGTAGGTACACTCTGAAAATGTATAGCTAAGGCTAGCAGCTAAGGTTAATCCAGAGTAAGATGCCTGTGGGATTTGGTATGGGTTCCTTTCTGGAGCAACAGTTCTGTGCAATCTTTAGGCAGCTCCATTTGTAAGGCCCGAGGCCCTAGTGGGTGGAGGGTTTCTCCTATAGCCAAGACTGTAAAAGCCCCTTTTATAGTGTGGTGCCTGGGAGTTTCTCTCTTACAGCTTCCCATGTCCAGCCTCTCTTGGCTCTCAGTCAGTCTCTGGCCAGGCAAGCTGCCTCAAACCCTCTCCTTGCTTAATTCTGGCACTTTCTCTCTTTTCTCTCGTGAATCCTTGCACTCTCTTTTAGATGATCTGTTCAAAATGTATCTACTTTTACTCTGATTTCTCTCCAGGTAGCAGGCAACTATTACTTGTATCTAGTCAGCCATTTTGATCCTTCTGCCTGAACATACTTTTTATATCAAGACATTGAGACTTAAGGAGGAAGTCAGGATACAGCTGAGTTGTGCACTGCTCCTAAGCGATCTCATCAGCTTTAATTCCTAGCAACCAGTAGTACATGGTTTTTCTTTTTTATTTGGCTTACTTTGATATTGTTTCCCTGTAGATTGGTATCACCCTGTATATTATACAACTAGAGACAATAGATATAGGTTCTAAGGAAATTTACATACCACTAAATATAATTTTGTATTTTTTGTAAATAAATATACTTGCTGAATAGAATTTTTTGTCATAATGCACATCTTAGTTTCTTGATATTAAAGGTATGTTTTTCATACACAAGATGAATTTCAATTTTGCTGCCAAGTTGACAATTCTTAGAATTTTTTAATGAGATTTTGCTTTACATTTCTAATTTTCTTCCACACATTTTATGTTGCTAGAAATATCAAAATGAAAAGAATTACTTTAAAGTATCTTTTGTGTGGTTTGATTTAATCTGAATCTATCTAACTTTCTCTCAGGCCAGACAATTCAAATCAATAGACAATTTAAAATATATTTATATGCATTTCCCTTAAAATTTTCCACCTGCTGAAAAGACGAAATGCATGTTATTTCATATTATATAAAGCTCAGAATTCATATTTGTGATCTTATAATTATGTGATTAGAGTCTATGAAGCTATTTGTATCAGTAAACACACACACACACACACACACACACACTCTCTCTCTCTCACACACACACACCATATAAAAAATACATACATATTCTCCACCCAAAGAAGCAAGAACTACATACCATGATTTCCTGCTGATTTGTGTTTTTGGTAGATTATCATCATTACAGAAATGAAACTTAATTAAAAGATAAGTATCAGGAATTTATGCAAGAGAATTACACATTAGCCATAATAGATCTTGAAACAAACTAATTTTATTATTAAAAATATTTTTGATATTTGTTTTAATGTGTTAAATCTTTAAAAATGCATGTTATTATTAAATTGCCATCTCCAGAGGCTTATTCAGTAGAGACTCTGCAATTTATTTCTGTCTACTTGTGACGCCAGTGTTTCGTCCCACCTCTCAATCTCTTGCTTTTCTTCCTCTATTGTCCACCTTGATCTTCCCTTTTATTGCTACTCCTTTAGGAAATTCTTTTGTTCTGAAATTTGCTTAAAAGAATTAATTAAATAATTAGTTACACAATCCATAATAGAGAACTATTATGTTTTTAATTTTCCAGTTAAGCCTTTAAGACAAGTTACAACAATACATTCAATACTGTCTTTGAAAATATATTGATGCCTAGCTGAAGAATTTCTCTTTTTACTAACAACCCTTAACAACTATCAAATCCTCTTACTCTGAAACCAGATGTTTGCAATTTTCTCCTAAGCCAAGACTTGAACACACATGCTAAAATGCAGCAAAAAGACCTTAAGTTTAAATATATCATAAAATACAGTAGTTGTTCAAGTCCCTTTACTTTTCTTTTCTTTTTCTTTTTTTTAATGGAAGTAACCTGAGAAAGTTTCTGCTATGTCTGTACTCCCTAGGAATGAGTGCTTCACTGTCGCTCAAGCACGTTCAATCCCCATTTCTGAATGGTGTGCACTATTTGAGAGTGAAAGTGACTCTGAAAACTGCAGGGAAAAAAATAGGACAAAGCAAATTTTGCCTGAAGTTATGTACGAATATATAAAGCAGATAAATGACTGCAAAGAAACGTGGTCCCTGACCTTTTTGATAGCAGGTACCCATTTGGTGGAAGACAATTTTTCCACAGACCAGAGTTGGTGGGGGGTGGTTTCAGGATGATTCAAGAGCATTATATTTCTTGTGCACCTTATGTCTATTATTATTAAATTGTAATACATAATCAAATAATTTAACAAATCACCATAATGTAGAAACAGTGGGAGCCCTGAGCTTCTTTTCCTGCAACAAGACAGTCCCATTTGGTGGTGATGGGAGACAGTAACACCGAAGTGTCTTGCTTATGTCCAGTGTACTCTGTAATCTCATTTTGGTTGTGGTCACTGCAGAAAACCCTGCTTTGGAAAGATAGGATGTTGGAAGTAGAAGTAGGCTTTTTGGTGCTTTTGTGGCAATCTCAGGATATTATGCCTTGACTTTATTTCAGAATGTATGGAGCCTTGAAGTTGTGCAAACGTACTTTTAAGGCCACTGTCATGTGCTATCTCAAACAGTTGATCCTTTTCTAGGACAGACAAAATCGATTCACCTGGCTTATTCACAGATGGAGCACGGATCCATTCCTTCTTAGTTCTGGGGTCTTTTGTGGTTGGGGAGTAATGCTCAAACTCTTTTGAAAGCTGAGATAGGTGATCATGCACCAGCTGGGAGAAAGAAAGCCCTGGCTCAGTCTTTTTCAAAATTTCCGCTAATGTTTGAAATATGACAAAGATCCCAGTGTTCACTTGTCACCCCCATAATTCCAGTTTGGAATTGAATGTAGCCACTTTATCTGCCAACTTGAACACAGTTGTTTTCCTCTGAAGTGACAGATTGTGTTTGTTGAGCAGGTTAAATAGGTCACACAAGTAAGCAGTTTTGTGACCCAATCTGTGTCACTGAAATGTGCTGCCAGTGGTGACTGTTTTTATAAAAGAAATCTCTGAAATGGCTCTTGTAACTCAAAAGCTCTAGCCAGTGATCTACCTTTAAAAAGCCACCTTATTTCTGTCTATAAAGAGGATGTGTGTGCTTTGTGTCCAGTTCTTCACAGAGCTGTACAAACAGATGTGAGTTAAGGGCATGTACTTTAATGTGTCTGGTAATTTTAATCACATCCTCCAAAACAGCATTTAGTCCATGTGGCATTTTCAGGTAGCCAGTATTCCATATGGATGACACAGTGCATAGACTCACATTCAGAAGTGACCTCTTTGACCCAAGTATTGAAACCAAAAAGCCATTCACTCATGGCAGCCACTCCATTCATGCATATACCAACACAAAATTACCAAATAATTTTTCCTGATATGTAATCATTCAAAGACTTGAATGATTCTACAGCTGTGGTGTCGTTTGGCAATGAAAGTGCACATAATATATTCTCACGCCCATCCTTCTGAAACAGTATATCACACAAAGACAAGCATTGTTGCTTTGTTGTCAACATCAGTAGACTCGTCAGCCTGGATTGTGCACCAAGGTGACTCATTAACCCTTTCTAACAATTGTGCCTCAATATCCTCTGCTATTTCATCAAATCATCTAGTCATGTTGCTAGACAAAAGAGCAACATGTGCCACCTTTTGAACTGCAGCCTCTCCTAAAAGTTTATGACAGATGTCCTCAGGAGCAGGCAGCATCAACTCTTCACCAATAGTAAAGGGATTCTTAGCTTTAGCAACGTGGTTAGCCACTAAAAATAATGCTCTCAGTGCAGACACATTTGATGAAATGATGACCTTCAATAATTACTTCTGTTCTTTGTGTTCATGTTTTTCTTTCAAACAACTCCAAAGACTTATCTTTCTTTTCTTTTTTTATCTTTTTTTTTTTTTTTTTTTTTTTTTTGCACACCAGGCTGGAGTGCAATGGTATGATCTCGGCTCACTGTAACCTCCACCTCCCAGGTTCAAGTGATTCTCCTGCCTCAGCCTCCCCAGTAGCTGGGATTATAGGCATGCACCACCACACCCAGCTATTTTTTTTTTTTTTTTGTATTTTTAGTAGAGACAGGGTTTCACCATTTTGGCCAGGCTGGTCTCGAACTCCTGACCTCAAGTGATCCACCCACCTTGGACTCCCAAAGTGCTGGGATTACAGGTGTGAGCCCTCGTGCCCTGCTCAAAGGCTTGTCTTTTAATGCGGGGTGCTTTGTCTCCATATGGCAAAGCAATTTGGAAGGTTTCATGGCTTAGTTGGATAGCTGGTCATCACAGTATACAAAGCGGACTTGGACAATGTGAATAACCTATTGCAATGAACTCATAATTTAAGTAGAACTCTTGGTATTTTCTTTTAAATGTAGCTTTATTTTTGTTTGCAGTCTTACTTAGAGTGTTCTGCTGCCTCATCATTGGGCCTGTCTCCCCTTTCAAAGAACTCTCCAGTGACATTTGTTTTTTACTCATTTTGGCTAGGGTTAGCTTGTGGGCTTACCAAAACTGACTGAGACAAGTGCAAAGTGTGATAAAGAGGCACAGATGGAAGTGGTAAATAAAATAATGGGCAGGCCATGCACAGAATAAAAAATAAGTGTCGAATTCTGACTCAAAGCCTGTACAATTGAAGTACATCAACTCACTTGGCATTATAAAGCCTGCCACAAGATACAGCTTAATTCTCACTTGCCAATCACTGATAGGTTTTTGATATTAGTCTGTAAGCAATTAATTTATTATGGCCTCTGTGCCATCAAAACCTCTCTGCTAATGTTAATCTGTACTTTCAGCTGCCCCCCCAGTGCTAGCATCACCACCTCAGCTCTACCTCAGACCATAAGGCATTCAATACTCCTAAGGAACATGCAACCTAGATACCTTGCATGTACAGTTCACAGTAGGGTTCATGTTCCTAAGAGAATCTAACACCACTGCTGATCTGATAGGAGGTGGAATCTTAACATAAGTGGCAGGATCCTAATTTACAATATTGAATGAGAAAAATAAAGGCAGAAAACTGACACTAAACATGTTCAGGTGTTTCTGTAAAGCTAAAGTAATCAAGACAGTGTGGTATTGGCCAAAGAATAGACAAATAGGCAATGGGACAGAATCCAGAGACCAGAAATATACCAACACAAATATAGTCAACTTATTTTTGACAAAAGAGCAAATGCCAATGCAACGGAGTAAAGATTTTTATTTTAACTAATGGTATTGGAACAACTAGTCATCCACATACAAAACAATGAATCTAAACAGAGACCTTAACATCTCAACACAAATTAACTGTAAATGAATCACACACTTAAATGTAAAATGAAAAACATTCAAGTCTCCTAGAAGAAAACATAGCAAATATTCTAAATGACCTTGGGATTGGTGATAAATTTTAGCTACAACAACAAAGGCATGATCCATGAAACAATTGATGAGATGGACTTCATTAAAATGAAAAACTTCTGCTCTGTGAAAGACACTGTAAAGGAAATGAGAAGACAAGCCACAGACACTAAGAAAATCCTTACAGAACATGTATCTGATTAAGGATTGTTATTCAAAATGCATAAAGAACTCTTAGAATTCAACAGTAAGAAAATAAACAATCTGATTAAAAATCGGATAAAAATTAATGTCTCATGACAGAACATATACTCATGATAAATATGCATATAAAATGATTGTCAATATTATATACTATTAGAGAATTGCAAATTAAACAATGCTATACCGCTACACACCTACTAGGGTGATAAGAATCCAAAACACTGACAATGTCAAATTCTAGCAAAGATATAAAGCAACAAAACCTCTCATTCTTTGCTGGTGAAATTGCAAAATGGTACAGTCACATCGGAAGACAGTTTGAAAGTCTCTTACAAAACTAAGCATACTCTTACCCTGTGATTGGGTAATCATGTTCCTTGGTATATCTACCCAAAGAAGCTGAAATAACAAATGCCACAGAAATACAAAGGATCATTAGAAACTATTATTAAAAACTATATACCAATAAATTTGAAAAACTAGAGGAAATGAATAAATTCCTAGATACATACAACCTACCAAGATTGCTCTGCAAAGAAATAAAATTTCTGAAAAGACCAATAACAAGTAAGGATATTGAATCTGAAACAAAACAAAACCTAAGAAAAGTCCAGGACCAGATGGCTTCACCACTGAACTCTACCAAACATTTAAAGAACACTTAATAATAAGTCTTCTCAAACTATTCCCAAAGATGGAAGTGAAGGGAGCTCTTTCTAAATTATTCTAAAAGGTCAACATAACCCTGATATCAAAATCAGACAATGACACAACAAAAAATGAAAACTACAGGCCAATATTCCTGATGAATGTAAACACAAATTTTGTCAACAAAATACTAGAAAACTAAACCCAACAATACATCAAAAGGATAAAACACCATGATTAAGTGGGATTTACCTCAGGAATGAAAGGATGGTTCAACATACAACATCAATAAACATAATATGCTTTATCAACAGAATGAAGGACAAAAATCATCTGATCATCTCAAGAAATGCAGAAAAATCATTTGATAAAATTAAATATATCTTCATGATGAGGACTGTCAACAAATTAGGTATAGAAAAAAATGTAAAAAAGACCATATATGGCAAATCCACAGGTAACACCATATTAAACGGCAAAAGCTGAAATATTTTACGTTAAGAACTGAAAAAAGACAAAGATGTCCATTCTCATCTCTTTTATCCAACATAGTACTGGAAGTCCTAGCCAGAGCAATTAGGCAAGAGAAATAAATAAAGGCATCTACATTGGAAAAGAATAAGTTACATTGCTCCTGTTTCAGACAACATCATCATACAAATAGAAAAATCTAAAGAATCTACCAAAAAACTCTTAGAGCTGATAAACAAATTTAGGAAGGTGCAGAATAAAAAAATCAACAGACAAATATCAAGAGTGTTTCTGTGCACAAACAATAGACTAACCAAAAAAGAAATAAAAAAGGCAACCCCATTTAAAATAGCTACAAAAAATAAATAAAATGCCTAGGAATTAATTTAACTGAGGAGTTGAAATGGCTCTACAAAGAAAACTACAAAACATGATAATGAAATTGAAGAGAATACAAACAAATGGAAAGACCATGCTCAGTGATTGGAAGAATTAATAGAGTTAAATGACCATTCTATTCAAGGCAATCTTTAGATTAAGGGCAATCTCTATTGAAATATTGATGACATTCTTCATAGTAATAGAGAAAAAACTTAAATTTTTAATGAAACCACAAAAGACTTTGAATAGCCAAAGCAATACTGAGGAAAATAAACAAAGCTGGAGGCATCACACCATCTGACTTCAAAATTTACTACAAAGCTACAGTAATACAAACAGCATGGTACTGACATAAAAATAAACACACAGACCAACAGAACAGAGGATCCAGAAATCAATCTATGCATCTATAGCTCACTGATTTTTGACAAAGGTGTCAAGAACACTCATTGGGGAAAAGACAGTCTCTTTAACAAATGGTGCTGGGAAAAGTGGATATCAGCATGCAGAAGAATAAAACTAAACCCCTATCTCTCCTGTATACAAAAATCAACTCAAAATTGATTAAAGACCTATATGTAAGAATGGAAGCTACAAAATTATTAGAATAAGACATGAGGAAAATACTTTAGGACACTGATCTGGGAAAAGATTTTATGAATAAGACCTCAAAAATACTGGCAATGTGGACTTTTTCCAAGATGGTCATGAAATACAGCTGGAAAGTACCACTCCCTCAGAAAGGGACTGCGATTTTGACTACCTCATGATTTGAACAGATTTTCTGAGAGAAAACATTGGAATGGATAGAGAAAAGATGTAGTCACTGTGGTAAAAGGAGGAGGAAGTTGGGAACCCTGCATGGGGTTGCCTAAATGCTACAACTTGTTCCCTGCCTCAAATGGTGCCTGCAGAAGGAGTGCATGAATGGACAGAGGTCTGGTCACTCTCACTACAGATATCTGGGATCCAATAGCCACAAAGAAAATGAAATAACTGGGAATACAGGTAACCAAGAAGGTGAATTATCTCCACAAGCAGAAGTACAAAACACTGCTGAAGAAAATCAGAGCTGACACAAATAAATGGAAAACCATTCCATGCTCATGGATTGGAAGAATCAATATCATATAAATGGCCATACTTCCCAAAGCCATTTACAGAGTCAGTGTCTTTCTTATAAACCACCAATGTCATTATTCACAGAATTTGAGAAAATAAAAACTATTCTAAAATTCATATGGAACCACAAAAGAGCCCAAATTAACAAAGCAATCCTAAGCAAAAATAACACTACCCAAGTTCAAACTATAGTACAAAGCCACAGTCACCAAAAGAGCTTGGTACTGGTACAAACACATGCATATTGACCAATGGAATGGACTCGAAAACTCAGAAATAAAGATGCATACCTACAGCCATCTGATCTCCAACAAGGCTGACAAAAACAAGCAACAGAAAAAGGAGTTCCTAATCAATAAATGGTGATGGATAGCTGGTTAGTTATATGCAGAAGATTGAGGCTGGAACCCTACATTTCACCATATTCAAAAATCAACTTAAGATGGATTAAAGATTTAAATGTAAAACCCTCAAACTACAAAAATCCTGTAAGACAATCTGGAAAATACTCTTCTAGACATTGGCCTTGGCAAAAAATTTTAGCTAAGTCCCCAAAAGCAGTTGCAACAATAACAAAAATAGACAAGTGGGAGCTAATTAAACTAAAGAACTTCTGCACGACAAAAGAAACTGTCAACAAAGCAAACTGACAACCCAGAGTATGGGAGAGACATTCACAAACTATGTATCTGACAAAGGCCTAATATCCAGAACCTACAGAGACGTTAAACAAATCAACAAGGAAAAAACAAATAACCCACTAAAAGTTAGCAAAGAACATGAACACTTTTCAAAAAAAGACATACAAGTGGCCAAAAAACATGAAAAAATGCTCAGTATCACTAATCATCAAAGAAACACAAATAAAAGCCACAATGAGACACCATGTCACACCAGTCAGATGGCTATTATTAAAAATTCAAAAAATAACAGATGCTGGTGAGGCTGTGGAGAAAAGGGAATGCTCTATACACTGTTAGAGGGAATGTATATTAGTCCAGCCACTGTGGAAAGCAGTGCAGAGATTTCTCAAAGAACTTAATACAGAGCTACCATTTGACCAAGTGATCAATTACTGTGTATATACCCAAAAGAAAATAAATTATTCTACCAAAATGACACATGCACTTGTATGTTCATTGTTATGCTCTTCATAACGGCAAAGACATGGAATCACCCAGATGCCCAATAGTAGATTGGATAAAAAATGTGGTTCATACATCATGAAATACTACACAGCCATAAAAAATAATAAAATTGTGGCCTTTGCAGAAATATGGATGGAGCTGGAGGCTGTAACCCTAAGCAAAGTAATGCAGGTACAGGAAATTAAATACTACATGTTCTCAATTACTGGGGTAGAGAGCTAAATATTGAGCACCGGTGGACATAAATATGGAAACAATAGACATAGATACTGTGGACTAAAATAATGGAGGTAGGGGTGATGGGAAAAAAATTAAAATGAAAATGAAAAAAACAGCTATCAGGTACTGTGCTCACTACCTAGGTGATGGGATCTGTATTGCAATTTCCATATGACAAATCTGCACATTCTATACCCTGTATCTAAAATAAAAGTTGAAGTGTTTTTTTAAAAGATTGACAACAAAAGCAACAATAAATAAGTGGATTTATATGAAACTAAAAATTTTCTGCACAGGAAACAATCAACAATGTAAAAAGGCAACCTACAGAAGATTAATGTCCAGAATATGGAAGAAACTCAAACATCTTCATTGAAAAAAAGGAAAGATTTAAAAAATGAGCAAATGACCTGAACAGATATTTCTGAAAGAAGACATACAAATGACCAGCATATATATTAAAAATTGCCAACATCACTAATCATTGGGAAAATGCAAGTCAAAACCACAAAGAAATAATATCTCACCGCAGTTAGTATGGATATTAACAAAAATATAGTAAGAAATGCAGTTAAGTATGTGGAGTAAAGAGGACTTTTGTATACTGTTGGTGTGAATGTAAACTAGAACAGTCACTTAGAAAACAGTATGAAAGTTTCTCAAAAAACTACAAATAGAGCCATCATATGATCCAGCAATTCCTCCACTGGGCATTTATCCAAAGGAAAGGAAAAAGTGTATCAAAGAGAAATCTACACCTCTACGTTTACTGCAGCACTATTCACAATAGCCAAGATATGGAATCAACCTAGATGCCCAACAGCAGATGACTGGATAAAGAAAATGTGGTATGTACACAGTTGAATATTATAAAGCCATATGAAAGAATGAAATTCTGTCATTCACAGCAGCATAGATAGAACTAGAGTACATGACATTAAGTGAAATAAGCCAGGAATAGAAAGTTAACCACCACATGTTCTCACTCATAGGTAGAAATGTTAAAAATGTGGATTTAATTGAAGTAAAAAGTAAAGGAGAAGATACTGAAAGCTGGGAATGGCAGGGGAAAGGGGAAATTAGGGAAACGTGTTAAATGACACAAAATTACATCTAGTTAGTAGGAGCAAGTTCTAGTTTTCTATAATGATGTAGGATGATTATAGTAAACAATAATATGTTATGTAGTTTCACACAGCTAGAAGGAAGATATTGAGTGTTCTCAACACAAAGAAATGATAAATGTTTGAGATAATGGATATGCTAATTACTCTTATCTGATCACTATATATTATATGTATTGAAACATAACTATGTACTCTCTAAAATGTACAATTATTATGTGTCAGTTAAAAAAATTTAAAAAAGGGAATAGAGAAAGAAAGAGGAAATTGACTAGTATTGGATTAGTCAGTTATCCAGTGAAACAGAACCAAAAGGAGATATGTAGATATGAAAAAAATTTATTATGGGACTTGGCTCATTTGACTTTGGAGGCTGAGAAGTCCCATGATCTGTCATCTGCAAGGTAGAGAACCAGGAAATCCAGAGGGTGGTGTAATTCAATCCAAGTCCAAAGTCTGAGAAACAAGAGCTCTGATATCTAAAAGAAAGAGAAGAATAATGTCCTTGCTCAAATGAGAAGGAAATTTGCCTTCCTTTGCCTTTATATTGTATATAGTTCTTCAATGGATTGGATGAATGATGCCCACCAGAATTGGTGAGGGCAATCTTCTTTACTCAGTCTACAAATTCAAATGCTAATCTCTTCCAGAAATAGCCGCAATGACACAACTAGAAGTAATTACCAGCTGTCCGTGCATTTCTTAGCCCAGTTAAATCGACATATTCTGAGGTATATGTATTTTTTTCAAAGAAGGAACAAAAAGTGATTAATTTCATACTCTGTAAAGCCAAGTAGGCAGACTAAAATAAGTGCAATATATAAATCCTAAATTAGTGTTGAAAGAAATAAATGAAGAAATATTTTTAATGCAGTATTACATGACCAATATTACCATATTATTTTAAAAATTAAAGTGTGTTATTTATCTTATCCCTTACCACTTTTCCTTCTTTGCATAAAAAGATTGGGTCACTGCATACTTACAGGTCCTATGGCCCACCAAGAATGTTTGTACATATCCTGTCTTTCCTAGCCCATGAAAGAACTAAGAGCTCTTGTCAATCCCTACATAGACTTTGCTCAGATGAAACAGAACATTAGACAACAGAAAAATCCTTATATAAAACCACCTTTGAGATTAGTGTAGGTCAAGTATGAAGCAGCTAAAAATGTATGAAAAATAATAACAGTAGGAAACTAAGTATAGAAGCTTACATGTCTGCATTCCAACTGAAGAGAGTAGTCTTTGTGTAAGAGGACCCCAAACTTTAAAACACATTGAAGAAAAATTGTTTTCAGTGTACAAACAGTAGAGGAAGATAAAAAGTATTATACTTCTTTATTTTTTTGTTATATCTTATCTATTTCTTGAGTTACAGAAAGTCTGAGAATACTGTAAGACAGATAAAAGCATAATTTTCTTTCAATGTAGTTCCCACCCATTGCTTTAGAATCAGTGTGGATTTCTTTCCGTTTCTAAAGTTAGGATGATTTCCAGCATAGCTTGTGTTGTTATGAGCCATCTGGTTTTTCATTGAGATGTAGTGAGAAGTGGTAATAATAACTGCTAGTCAAACACAATTTTAATTGTATTATAAATCATCATTATGATACCTCAAAAGGCTCATTAGAACTTAAAATACATATATATATATATGTACATAAATTAAAAAGTGAATTTTATTAATTTGGGCACTAATGCTCATTACTATAACTTCCTTTATTGCTGTAACATTGTGTCAGTGGGTAACAACAGAGATAAACATAATAGACTAATTTTAACTTTGGAAGGACTTCAGTTTTATTAGGTGCTAAATTCTATTTTATTTTTAAATTCTATTTGCTGAAAATTATATAATGGCCATGAGCTTTTGAATCATTAATAAATCATTCATTCAACAACTCATTAAAATATTTCATGAATACCTGTTTTGTACTTAATTGTGCATTTATATATTTCAATAATTTATTGCATACTTATCATTTAGCAGGCATTATCTTGGTTGGTGAAATTCAACATTGACCTATAGATAGAAGAAGAGAATGATTCTTACTCTTTTCAAATTTGTGGTCTACACAGACTCTATAGAAATAATTCCACAGGAACTTTTTTATTTACTCTTGTAACACAAAGAATATACACATCCTATCTCTCAGAAGCATACAATTTAATTAGAGGATTAAGACATATGTACACAAAAATTAACTAACCATGTACATTGGCATTATAAGTGGAATGCTGTGGTAGATACAGAGATGCACTGACCAATACTTTTTTTTCCAAGCAAGAACTTGTTACCCAAGCCATCAGTAAAACCCTCAACTTCCTTTTGTCAGTATTTTTATTGTTTGCTGCAGGCATGGAAAGCCAGGTTACACAAAACATTCCGTTCCTGGAATGATCCATGTCCAAATGGCTACTCAGGTAGGAATAAGAGAGCTCAGCCTCCACAGGAATTGAGGGACAATTTCATATGTGCTTTGTAACTCCCTATGGGGTAAAGATTTGCTGGTTTGGGGTTGTAGTTTGAGTCCTCCCTCCACCTAATTCTTTATCTCCCCATCTCTTTCTTCTACAGTTGTCAACTCCTAACAAGTATCCCTCACATCAAAATTTCACCTCCACAGCTGGTCTCCTTCTAAAGAAACCAACCTCTGATATTTGGTAGCAAGACTGATCCTAGAAAGCAGGTGACATAGCGGGATTTTGGAGCTGTATCCCACACTGCCTAGTTGGTGATGAGGATCACAAAACTGGCAGTAGATGTAGTACAGACAGTTTCTGATACAAGATGGTGATCCAATATTTTAAGCTCTCACTAGTAGCAAATTGAAGTAAATATCACAAACAAATGGGAAAACATCCCATGCTAATGGATCAGAAGAATTAATATTGTCAAAATGACCATATTGCCCAAAGCAATCTATAGATTGCTATCAAGATACCACAGAATAAGAAAAAAAATCTAAAATTTATATGGAACCAAAAAACAGCTTAAATTAACAGAGCAATCTGAAGCAAAAAAGAAAATCTGCAGGCATCACAGTACCTGACTTCAAATTACACAGCAAGTTTATAGCAAACAAAACAGCATGGTGTTGGTATGAAAATAGACACCTGGGTCAATGGAATAGAATATAGAACTCAGAAATAAAGAATCCAGAGAGAAAGCCACATATGTTCAGCCAACTGATCCTTGACACAATTGACAAGATCACACACTGGGGAAATAACACCCTTTTCAATAAATGCAGCTGAAAAAATTGGATTGCCATATGCAGAAGAATAAAAATGTACCCCTACCTCTCAAAAGAAACAAAAATCAACTCAAGATGGATTAAAGAGTTAAATGTGAGACTTAAAACTATAAAAATACTGGAAGAAAACCCAGGTAAAACTCTTTAGACCTTGATCTAGGCAAACAATTCATGACTGAGACCTCAAAAGCACAAACGGCAATAATAAATACAGAGAAATGGGACTTAAACCAAAAAGCTTCTGCATAGCCAAACAAATAATCAACAGAGTGAGCAGACAACCTGCAGAATGGAAGAAAATATTTGCCAACTATCCATCTCACAGAGGACTAATATCCAGAATTCACAAAGAACTCAAACAACTCAAACAAACAAATAAATAATCTCATTAAAACATGAGCAAAGGACATAGACATTTTTCAAAAGAAGACAAAAATGGCCAGCAAGCGTATAAAAAATGTCCAACATCAGTAATCATCAGAGAAATGCAAATTAAAACCACAATGAGATATCATTTTACATCAGTCAGAATGACTACTGTTAAAAAGACCAAAAACAACAGTTGTTGGCAAGGATGTGAAGAAAAATGAATGCTTATACACCGTTGGTAGGAATGTAAATTAGCACAACCTCTGTGGAAAACAGTTTGGAGATTTCTCAAAGAACTAAAAACAGACCTGCCATTCCATCCAACAATCCCACTACTGGTTGTCTACCTAAAAGAAAAGAAATCATTATATTTAAAAAGATACGTGGATTCATATGTTCATCACAGGACTATTTACAACAGCAAAGTCGTGGAATCAACCTAAGTGCCCATCAATGAATGACTGGATAAAGAAAATGTGATATACATTGTATATGTGATGTGATATATACTACTTAGCCATAAGAAATAATAAAATTATGTCTTTTTAGCTACATGGATGGAACCTAAGGCCATTATCTTAAATAACTCAGAAATAGAAAGTCAAATATCACATTTTCACTTATAGTGAAAGCTAAATAATGTGTACACATGGACATAGAGTGTGGAAAAATAGTCACTGGAGACTCAAAAGGGTGGGAGTGTGGGAGGAGGATAAGGGAGGAGATGTTTCATATTGGGTACAACATACAGTATTTGGGTAATGGTGATACTAAAAGCCCAGACTTCACCACTAAGTAATATATCCATGTAGTAAAACTGCACTTGTACCCCCTAAATCTATAAACAGAAAAAAGAAGCAAATATATTAACTATTGTGATTTAGCAGTCAGTGGAAAAGTCTGAAGAAAAGAGTAACTCTAAGGATAATAAAATTAGATGACTGGGCCAAGCACTGTGGCTCACGCCTGTAATTCCAGCACTTTGGGAGGCCAAAGCCAGTGGATCACGAGGTCAAGAGATCGAGACTATCCTGGCTAACACGGTGAAACGCTGTCTCTACTAAAAATACAAAAAATTAGACGGGCGTGGTGGAGGGCGCCTGTAGTCCCAGCTACTCAGGAGGCTGAGGCGGGAGAATGGCATGAACCCGGGAGGCGGAGCTTGCAGTGAGCCGAGATTGTGCCACTGCACTCCAGCCTGGGCGACAGAGTGAGACTCTGTCTCAAAAAAAAAAAAAAAAAAAAAAAAAAAAAAAAAAAATCACATGACTAGTATTAATATCCTATTGAAAGATAAATATAAATTCCCAGTTATTAACAAATAATTGAGAACCAACTGTAAAAGCCAGATGACCTCCCTAGAAGCCCTAGAAGTTTACAAAGACACTCTCATCTTATGCTTCAAAAATGGAGCAATAGAGAAACGTGATGATTAGGCCAAAAGCTATTCCAGCTGCAGAGAAAGTTAAATTCCCAACCACAACATGTCTGTAATGCCTACAACAGGGTCCTGATTGGGAACAAACGTGACCCTGACAGTTGGGATGGGGACGTCTATGTGGATGTCAACGAAAATTTTGAAGATAAATGTTTTTATGAACACTTTGAGCCTGAAAATATGGCACATCCCTTACTCTTAAGAGAACCCTCTAAGCAAGACAAAATCTGCCTCTATTTCTTCTCCTTCCATTAAGTTTACAACTTTGATTAAGTCACGGCATAACTTAGTTGGGGTATACTGAGTCTAATAAGGAAAAGAAATTGCTCCCTCAAAGTGGCTAGACCTAACCAACACATACCAGCAGGAGCCAGGGAAAAATGCATGAGACTAGATTCTAAGAGTACTTGATTCAAGGGACTAGAACATAAAATTGGATTGGAAAGCCCTTATTCATTTGGAAGCACTACCTCAAGATAGACTTAAATACTTTAGCAAGGACCTCATGTAATGTAGGGAAGTCACTAGACTGGTACCTTGAAGCTCACTAGACTGGTATCTTGAAGCATGGACAAATGAATGGGTGATGCTGATTGAAGTTAAAATGCCAGAATTACATGTCAGACTGCAGAAAATAAGATTAAAAGGCTCAGAGATATGAGCATGCTGAAGTGAATGAACTATGTAGGGCAGGAATGCCTACCATGGAGAGCACAAAAGACATGCCATTACCAAGGCCATTGGAATGCATTATTGAGAGAGCCACCAGTAGTACTGAAAAATTTGCTAAATTCTCCTCTGTAAGGGGGCTTAATAGTAGCACAGACTCAATAATAGCAGTAACAATGATAGGACCCTAAACAATGGAAGCCAGGCTGCTACACTTAAACACTAGAAGCTATGAGGATGGGGAATGATCATAATAAGCTGCAAGACCAGAGTGATAGTCAAGGGTACTTGGCCCCATAGAGTCATGGAGATTGAACATGGTACCCCAAGCAGCAAACTAGATGGGCACTATTGAGCTTGTACCATAAGAAGAAAACAAAGAAAGAATTCATGATGTGGGCACATATTCTAACAAAAATCACTGTCATTTCCACAGTTTCCAGATGTCAGGCAGATCCTGTTGTTTTAAAGGAGACTGGGTTCAAAAGAGGAAGGACTATACAAACTTATGTCAATTTTACACAATAATGATTTCTCCAGTTCTCCTCAAAGAGGCCCATGATCATTTCCACAGGTAACTGTACATTAAGGAGAAGGAAATATTGAACATTTTGAAGACTATTGTTCGATAGAGGAACTGAGGGAAGAACACTGACTCTGAAACACAGTGCCTTTGTTAGAGAGGAACACATGCAGGCCAGATAATAAATCAATTCTAAGCTTACTGTATATACGTGTATTGGGTCTTATCTCTGAATGCTTGATTGATATTAGAATACTTAGTAGGCAGTGCAATCAGCACCTTGAGTCCTTGTCCCTTGGATCAAGAGAAAGTATAGGTGAATACACATTAATGTATTAAGGTTTTCCAGACAAATAAAACCAGTAGGATGAATATATGCATATGTATATATTCATAATACATGTATATAACCATAACATATGACAAATTATAAAGAATAGGCTCACCTGACTACAGAGCCTGAGAAGTTCCAAGATCTTTAGTAGGCAAGCTGAAGACCCAGGAGAGCCAATGATAAAGTTTTAGTCCAGGTCCAAAGGTTTGAGAATCAGGAAAAACAATGTTATAATTTCAGTCCAAAAGCCACCAGGCCTGAGATACATAAGGAAGCAATGTTTCAGTTCAAGTCCAAAGGCAGGAAAAGATATACCAGCCCAAGTACTCAGGCCAAAGGAGTTTCCTGTACTTGCAAGAAGATCAGCCATTTTGTTCTATTCAGGCATTCAACTAATTGGACAAGGCCCACCTACCTTGGAGAGGATAATCTGCTTTACTCAAACTACTGAATCGAATGTTAATCTCACCCAGCAGGACTCTCACAGACACACTCAAATACTGTTTTACAAATGTCTGGCAATCCATGAGCCAGATAAATTGACACACAAAATTAACCATTACAGTGAAGTGCAGTGGAAGCCTCTGGAACTGTTCCTCCTCCAGACAAGAGAGGGAATATAAAACAATGTTTCATTATAGGAGTAAGCAAAATTAGTGCCAGCCTTAAAGACCTAAAAGATGAAAGGATAGTAGTCCCCATGATGATGTCTATTTAATTTACCAATCTGGTCTCCCAGAAACCAGATAAATTCTGGAAAATGAAAGTAGACTATCACAAACTGACGTTGTAGTAGTTTCAATTTTAACCACTGTAACACACGCTGTAACTTTGGTAGAGCGGATTAAAATGAACTCAGCTACATGAAATGCACCTATTGATTTGGTAAATACATTTTTTAAAATTTAGTCATAAAATAGAATCAGAATATTTTGCATTAAATGAAATGGACAACTTTACAGCAAGCAAGGTATGATTGCAGACTCATAGCCACGAATCTACTGGTCATATTCCATACCACACCATATAGAACCCGCTGTCCTGAATGGCAGGTTGAAATGGTCTGCCAAAGTGCCGTTAAAGCATTAGGGTAGAAGTGATAAGAGATTAGATTGTTGTCTTTTAAGATGAGGATACGAATTAAATTAAGTTCCTTTATATGTCACTGTGTTCCCATTAGGAAGAATATATAGATATGGAAAATAAGTCATCAAAACGGAAAAGGTCTCACTTATCATCATTTTCAGTGACCAACTAGAGCCCTTTGTGCTTCCCATCTACAAAACTCTGCAAGATTAGAGGTCTTGGTTCCGCTATTAGTGAGGGTTCTTCAGCAAAACCAAACACACAGGATGTGTGTACACATACACACACACACACACACACACACACACAAAGGCAATCTGCTAGAGGATGCCCTCTTGCTTGAGGAATCTATTCCTATTGTTCTCTGATTGAATGAGGCCCATCTAAGTAATGGAGGACATCTGCTTACTCAAAGTTAATTGATTTAAATATTAACCTGATCCAATATCACCCATATTACTTGACATATAATATTAACCATTAGAATTCTACCTCTTATAAAATTGGCACCTATGCACATCTTAAAACCACAGTTAATTCCAAATAAAGACAATAACAAAGTCATACATCCAACTAATATGACAAGGCTAGCCTATGCACAACTAAAAACACACTAACCCTTTCTTAGAAAAAGATGTAAAATCCCTAGATGATGTTTATACTTTTGATATTCTATAATTTAAATACTATGATGTAAAGCTAACAATACTTAAATTCTGTAATATAAAGTCAATAGATCTTATGTCACATAATAAGTATATAAGAAAGAACAAATGTATTTGCACAATATACTCAGGACAATTATAGTCTTTATTGCTATAACTGGTCATGTAGTCATTTAGTCATAGCTGGGATTCATAACTACCTTTTTTAACCATTCTTTGTTACCTCTGCCTTTAGCAAACACCTCAGCTGTTCGTGGTTTGTTACCTGGCAGAGTGACCCAAATCTTCATTCATGAAGGGTCTGGGCCATTGGTAGCTCTGTCTGGGTTGGGTTGCTGTAGTTGTTTTCACAGGAAATGGTAAATCTTAGATGTATCCTAGGAGATCTCCTGTATTCCAGACATACTCTTTCATACCTCTATTATGAAGTAGCAGTCCAATTTCCTCACTGGTAGTCAGGATCAATAATCCCAGACACCTTTCAAAATTCTTCTTGACAGAGATTGTCCTTTCATAAGCTTTCATATGGGAAACAAATATGTTTGCTATTTTTGTCCATATGGAGAAATATATCCACATGATTCCCAGACTTTATTCTCATCAATTTTTCAATCATATTTGTCCCAACTTCCTAACCATCCAGCCAAACCATTTGCCACAGACCATGAAGCAGTACAAAATCACACATCTGAACATTTTTCCTTCCAAGCATAATGAGTGACCAGGTGCACTGCTCACAGTTCTGCCAACTGGTAGAATTTTTCTTCACCACTGTCCTCAGGGGTATCTCATAAGGGAGCTGTAGTGCTAAAGCTGTCCACTTTCAGATGGTGCGTGTATATCATGCAGAATCATGTAAACCAGGCCCAATTTTTCTTTTCCTCTGTCAATTGATGGTGAGGAGTTCCTCCTCATGAGACCATAGGTTAAGGCTAGTAAAAAGAAGGCAGTGCAGTGGGAGTGGAGGCCATGGGCATTTGGACCACTTCCTCAATGAACGTATTTGTGCCTTCAGAGCCACCATCAACTGATCTCATATATGCCACTTGCATTAGATAATGTGCTTTCTGCTGTGCATGTCCAACTTTATGGTTTGATGGGTAGGACGACTTTAGTTTGTGATGGGTAGCTCAGGTTGTATAATAACCTGGTGACCCATGGTTAAACATTCAGTCTTTACTGAGACCGAGTAGCAGGCCAACAGCTGTTTTTTAAAAGGAGAGAACTCATCTGCAGGTGATGGCAGGACTTTGCTCCAAAATCCTGAAGGCCTGTACTGTCACTGTAATTCACCTATAGGGGTTTGCCAAAGTCTTCAAACAACATGTCTATCTGCAATTTACACCTCAAGTTCCCTTGGATCTTCTGGATCATATGGCCCAAGTGGCAGAGCAGCTTGCACAGCAGCCTTGACTTGTTGTAGATCCTTCTCTTACTGTGGGACTTACTCAAAACTATTTGCTTTGTAGATCATTTGGTAAATAAGTCAAAATAACACAAGCTAATAAAAAATATGTTGCTTCCCAAATCAAAAAGGCCCACTGGGCATTGTGTTTCTTTTTTGGTTGTAGGAGAGGCCACATACAGCAACTTATCTTTCATCTCAGAAGAGATATCTTGACGTGTCTCTCACATCACAAGTCTCTAGTAATTTCACTGAGAAAGAAGACCTGTCAATTTTTGTCAGATTTTTTCCTACCCCCTGACACAAATGTCTTATCAATAAGACTAGAATGGTTGCTGCTACTGGCTCACTATGTGCAATCAGCATAGTGTCATCAATGTAATGGAAGAGGGTGATATCTCATGTGTGGGAAAAGTGGTCATGATTCCTGTGAACTAAAGAGTGCCATAGGGCTAGAGAGTTGATATACCCCTGAAGTAGGACACTGAAGGTCTATTGCTGGACTTGCCAGCTGTAGGAAAAATGCTTCTTGAGATCTTTTTTAACAGGCATGGAGAAAAAAAATATTTTCCAGATTAATAGTTGCATACCAGATATCAGGGGATGTGTTAATTTGCTGAAGCAATGAAACCACATCTAGTATGACAGCTGCAATTGAAGTGGCCATCTGGTTAAGCTTACGATAATCCATCGTAATTCTTTAAGATCCATCTGTCTCTGCTCAGGCCAAATAGAAGAGTTGAATGGGAATGTGATGAGAATCACCACCCTGCACATTTAACATCTTTCAAATCCTTGATGGTGGCACTAAGCTCTGCAGTGTCTTCAGGAAAGTGGTATAGCTTTGGGGCTTCTATTTTTCTAGGTAGAAGCAGTTCTAATAACTTCCATATGGCTTTTCTATCATAATAGTTCTCATTCTACAGGACAGGGAAGCAGTGTGGGAATTCTGCCACTTGCTGAGTATATCTATTTCAATTATGCATTCCAGAACTGGGGAAATAACCACAGGGTAGGTTCAGGGACCCATTTTACCCACTGTGAGATGAACCTGAGCTACAACTCCATTGAACATGTCATGCCCATAAGCTTCTATGTTGACTGGTAGACTGCAGTGATGTTTAGGGTCCCCTGAAATGTGTCAGTTCAGAGCCAATGTCTAATATTCCCCAACATTTTTGATTATTTCCTTTTCCTCAAAGCAGTTACTCTAGTAAAAGGCTATAGGTCCCTTTAGGGAAGGCTAAGAGAAAGATTAACAGTAGAAGTTTTTGTCAGTGGGTCAGGGTCCTTCCTCAAGGGGACCTAGCCTCCCCTTCATTCAAGTGGTTCTGGGTCTATAAACTAGTTAAAATCTGGGAATTGACTAAGAGGGTGTAATTTTTTATGTGTTTTTATGATTCAGGTTAGACTTTCATTCACCTTACCTAAAACTTTTCTGCTTATACAAATCAACTAAGAATTTTGTAGTTTTCCTATTTTACTTATAGAAATACCATGATCAAATAGCCAATGCTGTAGGTCTGCATGTGTCAGACTATTCTGATTTCTGCTTTGATTCTGCTATTAATTACAGTAATCACACCCAACTCACTATTGGTGGTTGAATCCCATCACTTGGTCCTTGCCACCCTAGGATCTAATTACTCCCAATTACAACCTAACTGAATTTAGCTTACCCAATTTAGTGACCACAGTTTTCATTAAAAGGTCTGGCCTCTGTAAAACACTGGTCACGGAGCTCTTCAAAAATTCGGGGGCTTCCCACCCAAATTTATTTCTCACAGTCATGGCAAAAGTTGAGTCTTCTGGATCCTCCCAGGTTGAGTGAGTAGTTCTTAGATGACAAATTCATTCTAACATTCCAACACCTTTGAACTATTCCTTTATAGTAAACCAAGGCAAGTCTGGAATTTCATGTTCACATCCTGTGTTCCATCTTTTGGTCCATGTTTTAGCGAACAAACCACAAAAACTGTTGGAGTCTTTTTTATCTCTCTGACCAACAACATTTAATGTAGAATCTGTGCTTCATGGGTCCAGATCAATTAATCCAGCCTGATTCAACTTTATTTGCCTTCCACCATTATCCCACACTCATAATATCCATCCCCACACATATTCTCTGAATTTTTATGTGCATAAATAAGAAAACACAAGTAATTTTTTGGAGTGTAATTTTTTTGAATTACAATTTGTACCCCACCTTTAAGGGTCTACTGGAACTTGAGTTCAGTTAAAAGGATAAAAGCAAAATGAGGTGGTGGGCGGTGGGTCCTAGGAAGACTCAGGAGAGGCCTCTTGAAATGCAGTTGCTTCAGGAGAGGCCATTACAGTTTCCTCAAGCAGTCCAGGATTAATCCTCTCAAATATAGGTGGAGAAGCTGCTTCTACTGGCAAAGAAAACTCATTAGAATTTTGAGGCTCAGTGTCCCAGCTTCATTAGGGTCTTTTGATAGTTCCCAATTCAATCTTTCAGGATGCCGTTATCAATGACCCACCTTAATGGTAGACACCTTGTCAGTATGGGAACTCAGTATGTTTTATAAGTCAATCATCTGCCGAATGAAATTCTAGCTTTGGTTTTTAGCAGTCTCTTCTCTGCCACTATCGGAGATAAAAGTCTCATTTGGGGTAGAAATAGATGCCTTCAGGTCATTTACATGGTGCTGAGCTAGAAATTCAAATCCTTAAGCTCATTATTTTATTCCCCACTTTGTCCAGGGATGTTAGAAGCAGCCAGTCAGTCTTATTATACTCATTAGTTTGACAGAAATGTTTGAAAGTATCATATACATGGTCACTCAGATCTTTGCTTCTCTTATGTATTTGATTAGGAGGATCTAATGGCAATGTTTTGAATAACTCTATTGCCAGACCATGCCATGTACTATAAGTGTTCTCTTTACTACTGGAAATAGAGCATTAGTAGTATCTTTAAAACTTATCAGATTAGGCCAGGAGCGGTGGCTCGTGCCTGTAATTCCAGCACTTTGGGAGGCCAAGATGGGTGGATCACCTGAGGTCAGGAGTTCGAGACCATCCTGCTCAACATGGCGAAACCCGGTCTCTTCTAAAAATGCAAAACATTAGCCGGGCGTGGTGGCGGGTGCCTGTAATCCCAGCTACTCGGGAGGCTGAGGCCTCCTGAGAATCGTTTGAATCCAGGAGGTGGAGGTAGCAGTGAGCCGAGATCATGTCACTGCACTTCAGCCTGGGCGACAAAAGTGAAACTCTGTCTCAAAAAAAAAAAAAACAAAAAAAACAAACAAACAAACAAACAAAAAACACTTATCAGATTACTGAGTTAATTCCAGAAACCTCAGAATCAATCCAGAAAATTCATCCTTAATTTTATTTCCCTCTAAAAACATTCTTGGTAACAAAAGTTTGTGTTAGGGTTCTCTAGAGAAACAGGTATGTTTTGTACATGTGTATATGTGCATATATAGATATATTTTAATGAATCAGTTCACATGATTATGGATGCTACTGAGTCAAAAATCTGCAGTGCGCTCCAGTAGGCTGGAGACTTAGGAGAGTCGATGGTGCAGTTCTATTCTTAAGGCAGGCAGGCAGGCAGAGACCCAAGAAAGCTGATAGTGCAGATTTGGTTCTTAAGTAGCCCACTGGAGAATTTCTTCTTTCTGGGGAATGCTTGTCTATTTGTTCTAGTCAGGCCTTCAACTTACTGGATGTGGCTGACACACTTCATGAAACATAGTATAGTACAGCTCTGTATTTCCCTTCCTTCAGGTCAGTTAGACTCTGGTAAAACACATGTTGGATAGATGCTAGGAAAATAGTTTATCTTGAAGCCAGGTATTGTTAAGAATAGAATCCTCTGCATGTGTTTTTACATGGTTACGTCCTAACTCCAATGTTGAAAGTATAAACCAAAAATAAAATTCTAAGCTCCC
Source organism: Homo sapiens (assembly GCF_000001405.40). Lineage (NCBI taxonomy): Eukaryota > Metazoa > Chordata > Mammalia > Primates > Hominidae > Homo > Homo sapiens. The sequence continues at coordinate 77,825,034 of NC_000008.11, forward strand.
ACAACAGACTGAATATACCTCCACTCTTGGTCGAGGGGATTCCAAAGAAATCTGAAAAATTAGTTCAGGCCATAATAAGAAAGAGGATGTGGGCCTGCCACATTATACACTCACCCATTTGAAGTTTAGACATAACTGACCAGCATTAACATTAAAACAGAGATCTTAGGACTGACAAAACAGATTCTCTATAGATATAAGATACAAAATTCCAACATGACTCTAGTATGTTATCACATGACAGATAACAAGCTTTAAAGGAAATCAAAGTATGTTAGTCTGATACATATTTCTTATTAAAATTATTATTATTATTATTATTATTATTAGAGACAGTGTCTTACTCTGTCACCCAGGCTGGAGTGAAGTGGTGTGAACACGGCTCACTGAAGCCTTGACGTCCTGGGCTCAGGCAATTCTCCTGCCTCAGCCCCACCAAGTAGGTGGGACTACAGGTGTGTACCACCATGCCTAATTTTTTTTTTCATATTTTTTGTAGAGATGGGGTTTCGACAAGTTGCCTAGGCTGGTCTTGAATTCCTGAACTCAAGCAATCTGTCCACTTCAGCCTCCCGAAGTGCTGGGCTTTCAGGTTACCAGATATATTTATTTTACATATTTTGAAATGGCCTTGGAAAGCTCTCTCCTATGGGGTAAATTTACATTGTATAGAGAATCCTCTTTCCTTTCCAGAACTTTTTCTGATTGAAGGGATTAGCTTAGAGTCTATCACCTTTTAAAGGTCTGAAAAGGAAACATTTGCTACCTATTGCCTCTAAGGGTGGCCACTTATCAGACTTCATCTACATAATTAAGAGCCTTGGTCTTCACAATCCCTTATCTTAACCCAGAAGTTTATTTCTATTTATTCCAGACTTTTATATAACTTAACTCTTTCAACCAATTGACAATCAGAAATCTTTGAATCCACCTAAAAGATGTAAGCTCCTGCTTTGAGGTATCCTCCTTTTCCAGACTGAACCAGTGTAAACCTTACATGTATTGATTGATGTCTTATGTTGCCCTAAAACACAAAACCAATCACCTTGAGCATATGATCTCGGGACATCTTGAGGCTGTGTCCTGGGTCAATATTCTCAACCTTGGCAAAATAAATCTCTAAATTGATTGAGACTTAGATAATTATTTGGTTTACAGAACTATCAGAGTTTTTCTTGTATCTTTACTATGAGAAGTTAATAAGGCTCTTGAAGGAAAACAACTAGCAAAAATTTGAGGGCCTTTCTGAGACTGGGTCCCCTTATAGTTTCTTAATTAATACATATTAAGTGTACCTATTTATGAAGTATGTGTGATATTTTGATACATGCATACAATGAGCATGATCAAATCAGGGTATTTAAGATGTCCATCACCAAATACATTTATCATTTATATATGTGGGCAACATTTCTAATCATCTGGCTTTTTTAAAAAATGCAATAAACTATTGTTAAATATAGTCACCCTACTGCACTATCAAAAATTAAAATGTATTTATTCTAACTGTATGTTTGTACCCATTAACCAAACTGTCTTCATCACCATCCCATGACCATCACCTTTCCCAGAATTTGGTAACCATCATTTTACTTTCTACCACCAAGAGATGAACTTTTTTAGCTCCCACATATGAGTGAGAACATAGGATCATTTTCTTTGCCTGGCTTCTTGCACTTAGCATAATGATATCTAGTTCCTTCCATGTTCCTACAAATGACATAATTTTATTTTTTATGACTGAATGGTATTCCATTGTGTGTATATACTACATTTTCCTTATGCATCTATCAGTCAATGGACACTTACATTAATTCCATATCTAGGCTATAGTGAACAATGTTGTGATAAACATGGGAGTGTAGCTATTCTTTTGACATACTGATTTCCTATCCTTTGGATAAATAGCCAGTAGTAAGAATGTTAGATCATATAGTAGTTCTATTTTTAGTTTTGAGAAACCTCCATGCTGTTTTCAATAGTAGCTATACTGATTTACATTTCCATCAATAGTGTATAAGAGTTTTGTTTTCTCCATGTCTCCATACAGGATGTCTTTTTTGATAATAGCCATTCTAACTGGCGTACCATGATATCTCATCGTGGTTTTCATTTTTTCGTATACTTGTTGTCCATTTGTCTGCTTTTTTAAGATATGTCTATTAATATCCTTTGTCCATTTTTAATACTATTATTATTTGCTGTTGAGTTGCTTGAATTTCTTCTGAATATTCTTGGGTATATTATGAATATTATTCTCTTGTCAGATGACTAAGTTTGCAGATATTTTCTTTCATTTTACAGGGTGTCTTGTTACTCTAACAATTGTTTCCTTTGCTATGCAGAGCTTTGTAGTTTAATATAGACCCATTTGTCTATTTTTGTTTTTGTTGCCTATGCTTTTGAAGTCTCAGCCATAAAACCTTTGCCCACATCAATGTCCTGAAGCATTGCCCCTATTTTTTCTTCTAGTAGTTTATAACTTGAAGTCTTAGGTTTAGATATGTAATGCATTTTGAGTTGAAATTTGTACATGGGAAGAGATAGGTGTCTGTTTTTCTTATTTGGCATATGGATATTCAATTTAGCTATCACCACTTATTAAAGAGGCTGTCCTTTCCCCAGTGGACGCTTTTGGCACCTTTGTCAAAAATCAGTTGACTTAAATATGTGAATTTATTTCTGAAATTTCTATTCAGTTCCATTAGTCTAAGTGTCTGTTTCTTTATGCCAATACTATGCTGTGTTAGTTATGATGCTTTGTAGCATATTTTGAACTCAGGCAGTGTGATGCCTCCAACTTTGTTCTTTCTTACCCAGTGTTGCTTTTGCTATTTGGGATCTTCTGTGGGTTCATAAATATTTTATGATTTTTTTTTTACTTCTTTGAAGAATGTCATTATATTATCATAGGGATTGCATTTAATATATAGATTGTCTTGGGTAGTGTGGCCATTTTAACAATATTAATTTTTCTGATCCATGAGCATGGGATGTCTTTTCATTTCTTTGTGTCCTCCTCAATATTTGTCATCAGCGTTTTATTATTTTCATTGTAGAGGTATTTTATCATTTTGGTTAGATTTATAACTAGGTATTTTATTATATATTTTATAACTATTGTAAAAAGGATAGCCACTTTGACTTACTTGTCATCTAGTTTATTATTGGGAAATAGAAATGGTTTTTGTCTGTTGATTTTCTCTCCTGCAACTTCACTAAATTATTCATCAGTCTTAAGAGATTTTTGACCTTTTCTATATGTAAGATAATGTCATATGCAAAAAGGAATAATTCGACTTCTTCTATTCCAATTTGGATGCTTTTCTTTCTGTTGCTTAATTGTTCTGGCTAACTCAGTACTATGTTGAATAGGAGTGGTGAAAATGAGCATCTGTGTCTTGTTAGAGTTCTTAGAGCAAAGGCTTTTAGCTTTTCCTCATGAAGTATGATGTAGCTGTGAATTTGTCATTACAAACTTTATTATGTTGAACATATTTGTTCTATTTCTAATTTGTTGATAGTTTTTATTATAAAGTGATGCTCAAGTTTATCAAATGTTTTCTCTGTGTCTATTGAGATCATATTTTTTGTGCTTTATTCTATTGATGTGATGTATTACATTTATTGATTTGCATTTGTCGAAACATTCTTACATCCCTGAGATAAATCCCACTTGATCATGGTGCATTACCATTTTGATGTGTTGTGGGATTCAGTTTACAGTATTTTGTTGAAGATTTTTGTGTCTATATTGATCAGGGTTATTGGCCTGTAGTTTTTATTTTCTGTTATATCCTTCTCTGCTTTGGGTAGCAAGGTAATGTTGACTTCACAGAATGAGTTAGAAAATATTTCCTTCTTTTTAATTTTTGGAAATATGTTGAGTATTTTGTTCATTATTCTTTATAAGTTTGGTAGAATTCAGCAGTATAGTCATATTGTTCTAGGCTTTTCTTTTCTTGAAAGATTTATTATTACTGATTCAATCTTGATTATTGATCTGTTCAGGATTTCTATTTATCCTGGTTCAATCTGGGTAGGTTTCATTTGTCCTGGAATTTATGTTTTATCTAGGTTTTTTTCAATTTGTTATCATACAGTTATTTATAAGAGTCTCTAAGCATCCTTTTTAGTCTGTGATATTGGCTTCAGACAAGATTTCCATTTCTCTTCTATCCCAAAATTTTAGATGGTTACCTATATAGTAATCTTTTATATGTGCTAACAAGTTATTTGATTGAATTAAGGCTTCACTTATGAAGCAACTATAGAAACAAAAATAGGATAATTTTCTATCATTATAAAGCATATATGTACTTTAGCAAACATGTACAACAGTTGTGAGTGTCATTGCCATTATAATGAGTTTTAAAACAAAGATGTCTAATCTCACAACTATAATTTATTCCTGTTTCAAATTTGAAAGCTTTATCTAAAGGAATCAGAAGATAAAACATGGGTTACAAAAATTAGAAAGGAGGAAATTTTTATTAGTTACATGTTTTCTTGGGAGAAAGAACAAAAAAGCAACTTAAAATTATTAAAACTCTCCTCAGAATTTAGTACATTTTTCTTTCATTAAATAAATATACAAGAGTGAGGACTTAAGATGGCCAACTAGAAGCAGTGGCAATCAGAGGCTCTCATCAAAAATAACCATAACAACATGCGAGCCCTGCACCGGTAACTGAGGTATCCAGGTTCTGTCATCAGAACTGACTAGGCAGCTGGCATGACCCATGGAGAGGAAGGAAGAGCAGTGTGATGTGGCTGCCCACCTGAGAGCCACATGGGGCAGGAGAACCCCCACCTCCCAGCCAAAAGAGGCAGTAAGTGAGCATGTTACCCTGACTGTGAAACTGTGTTCTCCACAGAACTGTACAACCCATGATTGGAAGATCCCACTCATGAGCCCACACCCCTGGGGCCTAGGGTCCTAACCACAGAGCTGTGCAGATTCTCAACTAGAATCCATTCAGCTAGAACCTGCTTAAGCCTGCTGAGTTCCCAGGGGGAGGGTTGGCAAGCACCACAGCTGCAGCTGCCTGCTGTCTAAGCCTAAGCCTTTTGAGCTCCTTGGTGAGGGTCAACAGCCAACACTAGGACTGCTAGCTGCCTAACACACTAAGCTCCCAGGGTCTGGGAAGGATGACAGCCATCTCTATAGCTTCAGGCTGTGCTTTTCCCCTGCTGAAGCCAGGGAGGCTGGACAGCCTGCTCCCAACAGGTATTCCCCACAGCCCAATACACCGGCTGTGGCCGACTGTGGCCAGAGTGCCTCTTCAGGCCTGACCCTGGCCCATCCCTCCTCACAGGGTGGGACCTCCCTGCAGGAACTCCAACAACTCCAGCCAGAGGCTCAGGGACAGAACTCTGATCTCCCTGGGCCTGAGTCCCTAGGGGGAGGAGTGGCCACAGTTTCCATGGACCAGCAGACTTATTCTTTCCTCCTGTTAGTTCTGAGGAATCCAGGCCGCCCAGACGAGTGGGTTTCCCCCAGCAAACCACACCCCCTCCATCAAGGGACAGCCAAAGTGCTTTGGTAAATGGATCCTGCTCCCCGTACCACCCAACTGGGTGAGACCCTCCAACAGGGGTTGTCAGACACCCTATACAGGAGTGTTCATACTGGCATCAGTTCAGTGCCACTCAAGGTCAAACTTCCCAAAGGAAGAAACAGGCACCCATCTTTGCTGTTCCCAGTCTCCTCAAGTGACCTCTCCAAGCGTGGGAGCAAAGCAGATGAATAGGGCCTGAAGTGAACCTGGCAAACCACAGAAGTCTTACAGAAGAGGGACCTGACCATTGAAAGAAAAACAAACAAAGAAACAACAGCAGCATCAACAAAGAGTCCCCACATGAACCTGATCCAAGGGTCAGCAGCCTCAAAGATCAAAACTAGACAAACTCGTAAAGATGAGAAAAAAAAAAATCAATGAAAAAATGCTGAAAACCCAAAAGACCAAAGTACCTCTTCTCCTCCAAATGATAGGAGTACCTCTCCAGCAAAGGTGCAGAACTGGATGGAGGATGAGGTGGAAGAATTGACAGAAGTAGCCTTCAGAAGGTGGGTAATAACAAATTCCACTGAGCTAAAGGAGCATGTTCTAACCCAATGCAAAGAAGCTAAAAACCTCGATAAAATGTTACAGGAGCTGCTAACTAGATAATCAGTTTAGAGAGGAAAATAAATGACATGATGGAGCTCAAAAACACCGCACGAGAACTTCATGAAGCATATACAAATATCAATAGCTGAATGGATCAAGCAAAAGAAAGGATTTTGGAGTTTGAAAACTGTCTTGCTGAAATAAGGAACGCAGACAGGAATGAATGAACAAAACCTCCAAGAAAGATGAGACTATGTAAAAAGACCAAACCTACAATTGATTGGAATACCTGAAAGAGATGGGGAGAATGGAATCAAGTTGGAAAACACACTTCGGGATATTATCCCAGAGAACTTCCCCAACCTCGCAAGACTGGCCAACATTCAAATCCAGGAAATACAGAGAACACCACTAAAATACCCCATGAGAAGATCAACCCCAAGGCACATAGTTATTAGATTTTTTTAAGGATGAAATGAAGGAAAAAAATGTTAAGGGCATCCAGAAAGAAAGGCTAGGTCACTCACAAAGGGAAGCCCATCAGACTAACACCAGATCCCTCATCAGGAACCCTACAAGCCAGAAGAGTAAGGGTCAATATTCAACATTCTTAAATAAAAGAATTTTCAACCCAAAATTTCATATTTAGCCAAACTAAGCTTCATAAGCAAAGGAGAAAGATAATCCTTTTAAGACAAGCAAATGCTGATGGAGTTTTGTCACTACCAGACCTGCTTTGCAAGAGTTTCTGAAGGAAACACTAAATATGGAAAGGAAAAAGCAGCACCAACCACTGCAAAAACACACCAAAATATAAAGACCAATGACACTATGAAGAAACTGCATCAACTAGTATGTAAAATAACCAGATGGCATCATGATGACAGGGTCAAATTCACATATAGCAACATGAACCTTAAATGTAAATAGGCTAAATGCCCCAATTAAAAGACACAGATTGGCAAATTGGATAAAGAATCAAAACCCATTGGTGTGCTGTAATCAGGAGACCCATCTCATGGGCAAAGACACGCACAGGCTCAAAATAAAGGGATGGAAGAAAATTTACCAAGCAAATGGAAAGCAAAAAAAAGCAGGGATTGCAATTCTAGTCTTGGACAAAACAGACTTAAAACCCACAAAGATCAAAAAAGACAAAGAAGGGCATTACATAATGGTAAAGAGATCAATTCAACAAGAAGAGCTAACTAACCTAAATATATATGAACCCAATATAGAAACATCCAGATTTATAAAACAAGTTATTAGAGACCTACAAAGAGACTTACACTCCCATACAGTAATAGTGGGAGACTTGAACACCCCACTGTCAGTTTTAGACAGATCAATAAGACTTAAAATTAACAAGGATATTCAGGACTTGAACTCAGCTCTGGATCAAGTGTACTTAATAGACATCTACAGAACTCTCCACCCCAAATCAGCGAGTATACATTCTTCTCAGTGCCACATGGCACTTATTCTAAAATTGACCACATAGGTGGAAGTAAAACACTCCTCAACAAATGCAAAAGAACTGAAATCATAACAAACAGTCTCTTAGACCACAGTGCAATCAAATAAGAACTCAGGATTAAGAAACTCACTCAAAACCATACAATTACATGGAAATTAAACAACCTGCTCCTGAATGACTCCTGAGTAAACAATAAAATTAAAGCAGAAATCAAGAAGTTCTTTGAAACCAATGAGAACAAAGAGACAACATACTGGAATCTCTGGGACACAGCTAAAGGAGTGCTAAGAGGAAAATTTATAGCACTAAATGCGCACATCAGAAAGCTAGAAAGATCTCAAATCAACATCCTAACATTACAACTAAAACAACTAGAAAAGCAAGTGTAATACATCCAAAAGCTAGCAGAAGACAAGAAATAACGAAGATCAGAGCAGAACTGAAGGAGATAGAGACATGAGAACCCTCTATACAAATAAACTAGAAAATCAAGAAGAAATGGTTAATTTCTGGACAAATACACCCTCCTAAGACCAAACCAGGAAGAAGTTAAATCCCTGAATTGACCAATAACAAGTTCTGAAATTGAAGCAGTAATTAATAGCCTACCAACCAAAAAAAAAAAAGACCAGGACCAGACAGATTCACAGCCAAATTCTACCAAAAGTGCAGGGAGGAGCTGGTTCTATTCCTTCTGAAACCATTCAAACAATTGAAAAGAAGGAATCCTCTTTATCTCATTTTATGAGGCCAGCATTATCCTGATACCAAAATCTGGCAGAGACAAAACAGAAAAAGAAAATTTCAGGCCAATATCCCTGATGAACACTGATGCAAAAATCCTCAATAAAATACTGGCAAACTGAATCCAGCAGCACATCAAAAAGCTTATCCACCACAATCAAGTTGGCTTCATCCCTGGGATGCAAGGCTGGTTCAACATAGGCAAATCAATAAATGTAATCCAATGGAACCAATGACAAAAACCACATGGTTATCTCAGTAGATGCAGAAAGGGCTTTCCATAAAATTCAATATCGCTTAATGTTAAAAACTCTCAATAAACTAGGTATTGATGGAACATATCTCAAAATAGTAGGAGCCACTATATGACAAACCCACAGCCAACATCACATCAAATGGGCAAAACTGGAAGCATTCCCTTTGAAAACCAGCACAAGACAAGGATGTCGCCTCTCACCACTTGTATTCAATAGTACTGGAAGTTCTGGCCAGGGCAATCAGTCAAGAAAAAGAAATAAAGAGTATTCAAATAGGAACAGAGCAAGTCAAATTGTCTGTTTGCATGCGACTCAATTTTATATTTAGAAAACCCCACCATCTCAGTCACAAAAATCCTGAAGCTGATAAGCAAATTCAGCAGTCTCAGGATAAAAAAAATCAATGTGCAAAAATCACAAGCATTTTTATACACTAACAATTGACAAGCAGAAAGTCAATCATGAATGAACCCCCATTCACAATTGCTACAAAGAGTATAAAATACCTAGCAATACAGCTAACAAGGGATGTGAAGGAGTTCTTCAAGGAGAATGACAAACCGCTGCTCGAGGAATTAAGAGAGGACACAAATGGAAAAACATTCTATCCTCATGGATGGAAAGAATCAATATCATGAAAATTGCCATACTGCCCAAAGTAATTTACAGATTCAATGCATTCCCATCAAAATACCATGGACATTCCTCACAGAATTAAAAAAAATAAAAACTACTTTAATTTGACATGGAAACATACAAAGAGTCCATATAGCCAAGACAATCCTTAGCAAAAAGAACAGAGCTGGAGGCTTCACGCTACCTGACTTCAAACTATACTACAAGGCTACAGTAACCAAAACAGCATGGTACTGGTACCAAAACAGACATATAGACCAATGGAACAGAACAGAGACCTCAGTATTTACACCACACATCCATAACCATCTGATCTTCAACAAACCTGATAAAAACAAGCAATGGGGAAAGAATACCATATTTAATAAATGGTGCTGGGAAAATTGGCTAGCCATATGCAGAAAACTGAAACTGGACCCCTTCCTTACATATTATGCAAAAATTAATCCAAAGTAGACTAAAGACTTAAATGTGAAACCCAAAACCATAAAAACCCTAGAAGAAAACCTACGCAATACCATTCAGGACATAGGCATGGACAAAGATTTCATAAGAAAAAACACCAAAAGCAATTGGAACAAAAGCCAAAACTGACAAACGGGATGTAATTAAACTAAAGGGCTTCTGCACAGCAAAGGAAATTATCATCAGAGTGAACAGGCAACCTAAAGAATGGGAGAAAATTTTTGCAATCTATCCATCTGTCAAAGGTCTAATATCCAGAATCTACAAGGAACTTAAAATTTACAAGAAGAAAAAAAACAACCCCATCAAAAAGTGGGCAAAGGATATGAACAGACACTTCTCAAAAGAAGACATTTAGGTGGCCAACAAACATGAAAAAGCTCAACATCACTGATCATTAGAGAAATGAAAATCAAAACCACAATGAGACACCATGTCACACCAGGCAGAATGCAGATTATTAAAAAGCCAAAAAACAATAGATATTGGCGAGGCTGTGGAGAAATAGGAACACTTTTACACTGCTGGTGGGAATGTAAATTAGTTCAACCATTATGGAAGACAGTGTGGCGATTTCTCAAGGATCTAGAAGCAGAAATACCATTTGACCCAGGAATCCCATTACTGGGTATATACCCAAAGGAATATAAATCATTCTACTATAAAGATACATGCACACATATGTTTATTGCATCGCTATTTACAATACCAAAGACATGGAACCAACCCAAATGCCAATCAATGATAGACTGGATAAAGAAAATGTGGTACATATACACCATGGAATACCATGCAGCCATAGAAAGAAATGAGATTATGTCCTTGTCAGGGACGTGGATGAAGGCAGAAGCCATCATCCTCAGCAAACTAACACAGGAATAGAAAATCAAACTGCATGTTCTCACTCATACATGGGAGTTGAACAATGAGAACACATGGACACAGGGAGGGGAATGACACACACTGGGGACTGCTAGGGGGTGGGAACGAGGAGAGTGAACGTAGATGATGGGTTGATAGGTGCAGCAAACCAGCATGGCACACATAGACCTATGTAACAAACCTGCACATTCTGCGCATGCATCCCGGAACTTTAAGTAAAATAAAAATAAAAAATAAAAAATAGCATGCACAATTAAATTACATTGCAGAATATTTGCAAAAATTGTGTTAAAGCAATGTAAAGGGTACAATTTGTAATAAAAATAACAATAATAAAACACCTTAACAAAAAATATTAAATAAGGCTTAATTTTTTTCTTTTGAAAAGACAAAAATTCATAGGAGAGTAGAAAAAAAAAAACTATGAATAAATGAAAAATTCGTAGTATGTTTCTGGATGCAAAACTCAAATACTGTAAAGATATTCAATCTCTTCTAGGTAATCTGTAAAATTAATCCAGTTTCAATCAAAATTCTACTGTCCACACATTGGATAATTAAATCCTTCTAAATATTAATCTTTTTACACATTCTGCAAAAGCCATTAAATCCAACATGGAGAGCATATAAAACCACTCATAACTTAATGGAACAAGAATACTAAAAATGTCAATACCATCTATGTAGGGAAATAGAAATTCTGAATCCATTATAGCCAGTGCTGGAATCCACATGAGAAATCAGGCAAAGAAAATGAAAGAGGGCAGTGATGTGCTACCAATAGCTGAAGCGAGGTAAAATTACATTTAGCAAAAGCAACAATTCTGCCCTGTGTGAGGAAATGCTTGAAATAAATCAAAGACTGATTCTATCAGAAAATAGTTTAATGGAGAAACAAAGATAAAGCTTGAATGTTCATAAAAACAGATAGGCCAGTCTTGCATGGCATTGTTTCTAAGAGGGGAGTGCTGACTTACAACAGAGAGGCAGCTTTTAGATACTTGGAAGTAAAAAAATAGAAAGAAGTAAGTGACAGAAGTTAATGATCTAACAGAAACAAAATAAAATAATAAAATCAGAAAATAAATCACCTCCCACAAAAAAAGCACAATTTATTAAAGAAACTGTAATTCACTATATGGAAAGCAATTTTCCAAGTGTTTTTTACTTTTCTGTTTATATTTTTGAAAATAAGCAACTGATGGCTTTTCTTTTCTGACTTTTTAAAGAAGGTTGCATAGCAAGCAACCTTGGAAGATGGAGAAAAATATCATCCTCTAAGAGATGGTTGGGTAGGCTTGTTTGAAGCCTGTTTTCAAAGACGTGGCTTTCCTAAGGTCTGGTTCCACAGGTGTTATACAAACCCACTGGATGCACAACACCCACCTGTACTCTTCAGTGTTACCCCAAGGGACCTGGAGAGGCAGTGAAACTGATGTGGCCATGAAGAATATGTTGCTTGGCTTTGTTTTCAGTAGTAAAATTTATTATTAAAGTATTCTACTAACATCTTTAAAATTTTGGCAGACTTGATGGCTAATTTGCAAGTATTTTAAAATATCAGGTTTGAAACAGTTCTTAACACACTATGCATGGCAATAGAGATGTTTTGAACTAAAAATATAACTTGATATTGCTGGTCCTAAAACTGATACATGTGAAAAAGGAAGAGGATATTTTTACAAAGTTTCTATGAAAATAAAACAAAATGTAAATTAATAGCAATAGAGATAATCCATTAAAACAACTGATAGACATTCACCAATAAACAACCACGAATCAAAAGAACATTGTATAGAAACACTTTATGTAAAAATAAGGTCGTATCATAAATTCAAAAAAATCACAATGGAAATATACTGGAGAGAAAGGAACTTGAGAAAATAAAGTTACAAAATTATTGCCAAACAAAGACAATATGATATGCACATTAAGACAATGCATTTTTCTGAAAACCTAATGAGGGATTGAGAAAATAAATGAAAATTACGAAGGAAATAAAAATAAAATCAAAAGAAAGAAAGAGTTTTAAAAAAATTAGAAAGAAAATTATGTACACATAGAAGATAACCCTGAATTGCAAAGAGCTAAGAAAATGAAAAGAGGTATTCTATAACTGGCTTAACTTTAACTCGGAACATTTTCTAGTCAATAAATTTTTTAAGTATAAAACATTTAGAATCAACTCAATTAATTACCTGTCACAGGTTGAGTTCTGTAAGAACATGACTCTGAGAAAGACTCTAGATAGGTTTGAATGTACAGATGTATCTTTGAGAACAATACCTGTGAAAAAGAGGGAAAGTACTGGTTTGGAAATACCTGTCAAGTGGTTTGGCTTCCATATTCCTCCATCAGTCACAAGATTGACCAGGGAAGGGTTAGCTTGAATGAGGAACAGTTGGGGCAATTCCTATGAGCTTGAATGAGGAACAGTTGGGGCAATTCCTATTAGCTTGAATGACGAGCAGCTGGGGCAGTTCCTAAGTGGTGAAGAGCTGAAGGCTGTTGCAACTCCAAGTTAGTGCATTCCAACCAAAGTGGAAAACAAGCCCTTCAATGAAGAGGAGCTGTAAATGGTGCATCATTAACTCTACTGTAACAACAAAATGTTTATTATCTGATTAATATGTTTTCTCCCAATCATTTTTAAGAAAAAAAATTTAAACATAGCAAAATTGAAAGATTTGGTAAATATTCATATACTGACCACACAAATTTTATCATTTAAATTGTATTTTGCTGTTTTATTATATGTATAACTATTTTCCCATCTCTCTATTCATCTATTATCAGTATGCTTCCACCAAAACATTTTACATGCATATTATTGGCTATATTATAATTTGGGGGGTTTATGTACAATTTACATAAAATGAAATATCCAAGTCCTGTGTGTCTTTTGCTGAGTTTTGATGAACGCATATACACAAATAAACCCAAACCTCTAGCAGAATGTATAGAATTACTCTCAACCATGAAATTCCCTTCAGTTTTCTACCCAGTTAATTCCTGCACCTACCAACAAGAAACCACTGCCTTAGCTTTCCCACAATACTAAAGATGTTTGTATTCTAGAATTCCTATAAATTATATCTTACTATGCATATAGTGTAAGGCTATTTTCCCTTCAGTATAATGTTTTCGAGATTCATTGGTGTTGTGTGATTATTAGCAGTCTGTTACTTTTGTGTTGCAGAATACCGTTATATTTTAGGGTTAGAACAAGTTTATGAATGATTTTCCTATTGATAAAACCAGTCTTCGGCTTTCTGAATAAAGCTGCCAAGAAATTTCATGAGCAAGTTTTTTGTGAACATATTTTCATTTCTCTTGGATTAATGCCTATAAGTACATTTGCAGGGCTAGAAGGGAGGTTTGTCTATTTATTTATTTATTTAGGCATTTTTCCAAAGTAATTGTACCAATTTATATTCTGAAAATATTTGAGAATTCCATTTTTTCCATATGCTTGCCAATACTTGTAGTTGCCAGTCTTTTTAAGTTTAGACATTCTACTGCCTGTGTAGTATTATCTTATCATGTTTTAATTTAAATGTTATTGTATGACCAACATTGTTGAGCATTTTTCTATGTGTTTACTGGTTTTTGATATATCTTCTTTTTGAGATAATTATTCAATTATTTACCTAATTTTACAGGTTTTCTTTATTACATTGTAAGACTTCCTTATATATCCTGGATACCTGCTTTCTGTCAGATATATACTTTGTGACTTTTTAAAACACCTATTTTCTGCTTATTTATTTCCATAATGAATTCTCAGATAAACAGAAAATTTAAATTTTGATGATTTTTGTTATCAATTTTTTGGGATTATTTACATGATAAGCCCAATAAAACATTTTTTACACTTAAGTCATGAGAGTCATCTATGTTTTTGTTTAAAAGTTATGGTTTTATCTGTCAACCTAAATAACAAACAGAGAACACTCTCTAAAAGAAAATGATGTTTGTTTGTGAATAGCCACTGTAATGGGAATACATCATAGTAAGCTATTGTTATATTCAGAGAGATAAAAGAAGACAGAAGATTTTAAAGGAAAAATGAGGATTACATAATTGTTTTGAGATAATTATCTTTGGATGCAAGGATCAATAACAAGGGTGGTGCTAGTCTAAAGTTGGATAAACTGTTGCTGGGCAGAGGTTTTCACAAAATTATTTTTTTTGTATGGAAAGTTGTCCTAGCTTTGTGCAAAGTTGTAAGTTTTTCAGTCTTTTGTGATAGCTCTTGTTATTAGGCATTCACCCATGAGAACTCTACCTTTATGTCCTTCCTTGGTTCTATTTGTCAGGGTGCTTAACACAAGTGACTTCATTTTGATTCTGATAATTTAACATTTTCTCCTTCTGATCACGATATTTACCCAAAAGTATCACTGATCAATCATCTTGTTGTTAGGTGTTGATTGTTCCTTGATGCTGGGATGGGTCTGTCTCATTTTGGTCTGGTTTCACAGGAGAGGCAAATGATTTGCAACTTTGCAGTCAATGTCAAAACCCTTTAGCCACATTTAAGCAACAAGGGAGGTTTGGAGAAAGTGACTTTCATAATAAGTTGATCTGGAGTCCATTGTTGTTTTTGTCTGTTTCATAAACTGTTGGCTATCATCTCAAAGCGGTGGGCCAGCATTACTTTGTTAAGAGTTGTATTTCTGCAAAATTTTAACAAGTAACCAGTATAAAATTTACCAAAAAATTACAAATTAAAGTTAAGAGAAATATGACCATTTGGATAGTAGCTTTAAGCCACAAACCTAAGCTTGAAGACAACCAACTGAATGAGTCAAATGGACATGGAAATTGGATAAAACTTGTAAACATGTGACTTGATTTTTTTCTTTTGTGTATATGGGTTTCAACTTTCTCAGAGGAATTTATCCAGATATAGAATGTATTATTAATAATAGCATAGCCATTTCCTTATTTCACCAATAGATAACACAAAGTAATTTTATTATCTAGTGTTCTATGACTGGATTAAATTAAAGCAGAGTGTGAGCAACAGTTGTACTAGAGATGTCAAAGTCACTGCTAGGTGGACTAAAGGATCTCCTAGGCCACGTCCTGTCGAGTTACCAGCAGAAGTTGCTGATTGTAAAATTTTGATTATACCATTATCCTGCCAGCAGCATTAAGGGAGGTAAGAGTCTCATTATGATATCAAATCTTGTTTCCATGTCTTGGGGAAAGCTGATTATAGCGTAAAGCCACCAACTTTTCATCCTGGTTTACCATTTAAATGCCTCTGGTTATGGTATTGAGTAATTTGGTAAACTGTGTGACCCATATGCCAGACATGAAACTTGTCCCTTAAAACGTATACAATCTCAGCTTATAGGGCTTTAGGAACAGAGCAGCTCCCATTTTTAGTAATTTCACTGAAGAAAGTTGGATTGGAAGAACCTAAAAGAATTCAATATCTAGTCTAGTCTACAGGTTGATCATAAAAACTGGACCTGAAATGGGAGCAGGAGTGAAGCCGACTGATGCACTTCTGGAGAACCACCTCTGGAGCTCCTTTGAACCATTTGAGTTCCACTAATGTAGAAATGGAACTGAGTGACCTAGAACAACTTTTCAACACAGATATAATTTTACATTATTATTTTTGTACATAGGGTCCTATATGGTGATAGGCAAGTTCTAGGAACAAGACAATAGGCATTTGGAGGAGGTGATCAAGGTCATACGATCCTGCTATAGGTCTCTTCAGGTTTATTGCTTTTATAATGTTCAGGGGTGATTATGCAAATCTTTGACAATCATGGCTCTCAAATTACTGCTTTTTGGTGAGGCATAATTGCATGAAAACTGCAAAACTTAAGTGATTAAAGACATTCTTTCCTATAACAGAGATGAACAAGGAGCCAAATTAGAATCTGAAAATGTACTGCTATAGAGAGTGTAGAGTTAGAGCAAAAGAAATATAAATGCTCTAACCAAACTCTTTTAAATTTGTTTAAATTCCTTATAGATGCTGGATATTAGACCTTTATCAGAGTTCATTGCAGCACTGTTCACAATAGCAAAGACATGGAATTAACCTAAATGTCCATTAATGGCAGACTGAATAAAGGAAATACAGCATATATACAACGTGGAATACTATGCAGCCATAAAAACAATGAGATCATGTCCTATGGAGGGACATGGACAGAGCTGGAGACCATTATCCTTAGCAAACTAATGCAGGAACAGGAAAACACATAATGCAATTTCTCACTTATAAGTGGGAGCTAAATGATGAGAACACATGGACACAGAGAGGGGAACAACAGACACTGGGTACTAATGGTAGAGGGTGGGAGGAGGGAGAGGATCAGGAAAAATAACTTATCGGTAATATGCTTAATATCTGGATGACAAAATAATCTTCACAGCAAACCCTCAATGACACAAGTTTAACTATATAACAAAGCTACACATGTACCCTTGAACTTAAAATAATTTTTTTAAAGACAAGACAAAAAAAAAGTCTTTAGGCTAAACTTAACAGAGACTATTTGTTTTATTACAGTGAAAATCTTTTCAGGGGAATAAAGTTTTTGAAATTTGAGTTAGGCTCCCACTTGGTCAGTGCTCAATGAATACTAATTAATTTCTGCCTTTAATAGTCAAAATTGTATCATCTTTAGATGGCAAGTTAATGTCTTTTTCTGTATCTTCACATATGCTGTATTAGTTTGGTAGGGCTGCTGTCATAAATTGCTACAAACTTGATGACTTAAAGCAACGGAGATTTATTTTCTCACAGTTCTCAAGGCAAGAAGTTTAAAATCACTGTTGGAAGGGTTATGCTCTTTCTTTGAAGGCCCTAGGAAAAATTTCTTCCCTTCTTTTCCTAGGTTGTCATGATTGTTGTCAATATATGTCTCTCTCTCTTTTCAAATGACATGATTCTCTCTGTGTCTGTGTCTCCGTGTCTACATTTCCCTCTTCTTATAAAGATACAAGTCATGTTGAATTTAGGGCTCACCATAATGCAGTATGATCTCATCGAAACTTGATTACATCTGCAAAGGCCTTATTTCCAAATATGACTCTATTCAGTGGGCATGAATTGGGAGTTGGGTATTGAGTAAATCCAGGATATATTGCTATCACATTGTCTAGTCAAGCTTTAATGCATGTTCAAATACTGTTATTTTGCCTCTATAGTAATTCAAGACAACTTTTCAGCCACCAAGTTCCACGTTGTTTTGAATGTGCATGTGTTTGTTTATTTATTTACTTATTTGTAGAGATAGGGTCTCACTCTGTTGCCCAGGCTGCATTGCAGTGGTGTGATCTTGGCTCACTGCAACCTCCGCCTCCTGGGTTCAAGCAATTCTCCTGGCTCAACCTCCTGAGTAGCTGGGACTAAAGGCACACACTGCCATGCCCGGCTAATTTCTTTTCTATTTTAGTAGAGATGGCTTTTCACCATGTTCCCCATGCTGGTTTCAAATTCCTAAGCTGAGGCAATCTGCCCGCCTCAGCCTCCCAAAGTGCTAGGATTACAGGCGTGAGCCACTGTGCCCGGCCTGTGTCTTTATTTTTCTTTCCTTTACACATCCTACATCATTGTTGACATGCTTCCTGCTCACTGTAACCTAGTGCCCTCTTGCTGCTACTTACCTGTCCTATTTCTGAAATGTAGTTATCTCAACCACATCTGACTTTAGAGAATATCTAAAATTTCTCATCCTGCCTGTGACATATCTCTTTCCTCATTCTACCTTCAAGTTCGCTGTAGGGTGAAGGTAATTGATTTTAAATGTTTATAAATTTTAATACTTTTAAATGTTTAAATGGAGAAAGAGATAAACCAATACTAGACTTGAAACTCAAAGATTGTCCCACAAGAAGTAATATATATATATATAATTATATATATATGTAATATATATATTATATATATAATATATGTATATATAATATATATTATATATGTGTGTATATATATATATATTTCCAGAAGCTTAGATAATTTGGAAAAGCATGTTCTAAAATAATTATTGCTTTGGTTTACTTTTTACTTGTTATGTGGTATATTATATATAAAGTTTCAAATTAATATGAACTTGGATATGAAAAATCCCTGTTTATCAAATGAGAGAATGGATTTACAAGATTAAAAAACACTAACAATATGTGGTTTCCCTCAAATATATTTCACTCTGAAATGGCTTTTTAATTTTTTGCTTGAAGTATAAAGTTAACAAACTTTAAGTGATGTCAGAGATATTATAAAAACACTAACTACAAACTCATGAAATTCACATAGAAATTGTTAAGAATAATTCAAATCAAATAAGTAACCTTGAATTTAACTATTTTCAGGTTAAAATAGTTTATCGATGTCTGTACATATCAAATAATGTACTCATGTTCTTAACCAAACAAAAGCTACTTAACAGTAGCTTACTGAAAAAAAGTTGATATGGTGGTTGAGATTTTCAGCAATGTGTGGCCCATGATGCACTTCATATACCACTCTATAAATTCCATCACACAAACTATTTTTGTGATTCATTTAGACTTTATGTATTGACCAGACACTTTAGCTTGTCTGATGGCCTTTACTGGTGCCTGAAGGACATTCAAGAAATTCTTGGCATTTGTGATTTGACGGTAGTGATTTCAGCTGTTTGAGGGTGTAGATGAAGCACACATTTTTAACAATGTTCTCCCAAACCTGGGAAATGAGACTAAGCCTCCTCACTAATACAGAAAATTGGATAACTGCCCACCATGCACATATCAACACTCCTTTATTGTTCTCCGCTTATCATCTTAAAGGCATAATCATCATTAGGTATTTGAAGCAGGCATGTAACACATTCCCATTATTATTTATTTAATCTTTTAAAATGAACAATATACTTTTACAGCATTCATAATATGGAGAACTGATAAAATTCCCCAAATATCCCATGAGAATGTTAAGTCCCTGTGGCCTATGCATATGCTTTCCTTCACATACAATATAGACTTTGTGGTGACCTACTATGAATTACTCTGTAAGAATTATACTTCACATTGAGACTCCTGGAAGCAAAAAGAGCAGTGTTTACTATCTCTGCACTGCACTTATCCCATGCTAAATCTCATCAGATTCTAAATGAAAATAATTCAGAACAGGACAATATATAGTATTGTGGTTAGGGTTGATTAATGTTAGTAGACCTGGGTTGGAATCAGGTATAATAGGTTGTTTGCCAGGCTATCTTGGACAAATTTTGTGGCTTTTTGAAGCCTCAGTTTTTGTAGCTCTATACTAGGGACAATAATAGTGATATCTCATAAGTTTATAGTAAAAATAAATAAATAATTATTGTATTCACAGATTGCAGCACATTCAAGAAAAGTTAGCTATTATTTTAAATTTATCTTTTTTTGATAGAATTCTTCTGTATGATGTATAAAATCCAAAAGGTCCATGAATAAAGATGGGGAAAAAAGTGATTTGACTTACATTTATGCCAAGTTATGTTCTTTTATATAGCAACATTTAAGCATAATCAAAAGTAGCATGTAGTAAGTAATAGCTTCCCAAGTGGATCCACAAAAATCTAAGTATTTCTTTAACAACCCAAAAGCTGTTTATAGTAGATGACAATGGTGGAGAAAGTACTGGTGGTGGTAGAGGTGATGTGAACATACACAAAAAACAAAGTGTACAATTTATCTGAATAGAATTGCATCTTCAAATAAAGTTTTCAGAGATTTAAATGAGACACAGCAAACCTTTCTGGAACTTAACATTGGAATACCTTAGCAAACATCATGATACTGACTAAATTTTGGTCCACTATGAAGGAATGGGGAGAACAAAAGCTTGAAGTAGAAATCCGCAAAGCATCAGAAACAGCTTGCGAAAAATGGCAGGCATGGGTTTCATGATGAGAATTTGACAGCTTTTAAACTGTTTTCTCTTAATTATATATCATTTATTTGGTGTTATATAAATCTCAACACATGCTCCAAATTGAATGTTCTCATTCTAAAGATAAGATTGCTGCAAGACACAAGATATCCTGATTTAACTAAAAAGGTCATCTCTATACCTAAGATGGCAGGTTGTCCTTTAGTTTCTATTTGGTTTTATATATTATCATATGAACTATAAAGAAGGTTGAAGCAAAGAAAAGCCAAATAATAGTGCCAGCAAACAACTAAAGGAGAAAATAATGGGTGAAAAAGACAAATATTCTTCAGAGATGAGATCAATTGATATTAAAGCAATATAATACTTACTATAAAATTATTCAGCTGGGTCCTGTACTCTTTTTATATTTTGAAAAGGATAAATATTTTTTTTCAGTAGAAATAAAAGTAGGGAATAGCATTCAGGCCATGAATATATCTTACTCTATCTTAAAGAGTTTGAATCATCTGTTTTTCCTTCAATCATTTAATACAAGAATTTCTCCAACAGCTACAAATGGTAATGTAAATTATAACGATTTAAAAAATTATATTCAAAAGTGCTCTGATGACATGCAAAACAGCACAAGCCTATCTTTAACTTCTAATTAAGTGAAAGTAAAATAGTAACTATTTTCAATTAACAGTAATAGGGAGGAAATAGTCGAAATAGTTGGAAATATTAACCTATTTTTTCTCATCCTAACCTTCCATTTTTATACTTTTTCCCATTGGTTAATTTATTACATCATTCAAGAAATATTAAAAACAAGTTTACCATCATTGTGACTATAAAGTTTACAAAATTATTGAAAAAACCTCACTTATCATTTTGGAAATGCTTTATTTAACTTAGCAAACATTTATTGAACACAAATTTGATTAATTCACAGTCTCATATTCTATCAAAGTTATTGTTAAATTTATTATTTTATAAATTTTGCTCCTGATGGATTAAGATATTATGTTACATATTCAAAATAATATGATTCAAATTCCTGTGGTTGTACGTATTTCACAAGGGGCTTCTCCACCACATCAAGCTTGGCTTTTCATACTTAACATTCTGAATTCACCCATTCACAGACAAAAATCATTATTTTAATGTCATTTTTTAATCAAGACCTAGGTCAAAGAGTATCTTTTCAAAACTCCTCTGACTAATCTCATAACTATCATAATATACTTTGATGTGTTTTCCTTCAGGCTGCTCATAGACAGTATATGAGCAGTTCTGTAGGTGTTTCTACATTGCCTTCCATTGCAAGGTTGGTTGTCCTGTGCATGATATCCCTTTATTTGACCTTTTTTTTTTTAAGGAGGAATCTATACAGGATATAAACTAACTTTATTCTATGTTTTAGATGTTCTTCAATTCCCAGATTTTTACAGGAAAATAAGCTTCTTTTCCAGAATAAAAACTGACAATACCACATTCAACAGGCAGATTTTAAGATGGCCTTCATGCTTCCCATATCCTGGTTCTCACAGTCCTTGTATCATCTTCTCATCTGAATGTGAACTCAACCTATAATTTATTCCTACATAATAGAATACAGCAAAGATGATAGAATGTTATTCCTACGTATGGCAAAAGTGATCTAATATTGTATGGCAAAAGTGATCTAATATTACTGTAGTGATTATGTTACATTATATTAAATAATGGTTTCCTTTTCTGGATTTGAAAAATCATTATTCCAAGAGTCCTAAAATTAAAAGTAAATGAATTCTGGCAATAACCAAAGTGAGTTTGGAGGCAGATGCTTTCCCAGTCGAGTACCCAGGTAAGAAACCGCCTTGGCTGATACTTTGCTGCCTTTCTGAGAATGCAGAAAAGCCTGGCTTGGAATCTTGACTCACAGAAATTGTGAGAAAACACATGTGTGTTTAAACTGCTAGATTTTTATTAATATGTTGCATAGCAAATAAACCAAAAAAAAAAACCACAGATTTTGATACTTGGAGGTGCTGCTATAAAAATACCTAACAATATGAGAGGGACTTTGGAACCAGTCAGTGGAAGCTATAATAATTGGTTTCTTTAATTACTACCTTTTATTTTTAAAGGCAATTTTAGGTTTGCAGCAAAATTGGGCAAAAAGAACAGACAGTTTCCAGGTATCCTTGCACAATGTTAACCTCAATATCCTGTATTGCAGTGGTACATTTTTTACAATCAATGAACCTACACCGAGATATCACTATCACCCAATGTCCATAGTTTACTGTGTGGTTCATTCTCGGTATTGTGCATTCTATGGATTTTGACAAATGTATAATGACATGCATGTATTATTTTTAATACTATCATCCAGAATAGTTTTACGGGCCTAAAAAATCCCTGTGCTCTGCCTATTCATCCCTCTCTTTTCTCTTCAACCCCGGATAACCACTGACCTTTTTTCTTTTATT
Source organism: Homo sapiens (assembly GCF_000001405.40). Lineage (NCBI taxonomy): Eukaryota > Metazoa > Chordata > Mammalia > Primates > Hominidae > Homo > Homo sapiens. The sequence continues at coordinate 77,847,959 of NC_000008.11, forward strand.
ATTATTCTCATAGTTGCCTTTTCCAGAATGTAACATGGTTTGAAATATTTATCATGTTGACTTTGTAGATTAGCTTATTTCACTTAAAAATGTGCTTTTATGCCATGTCTTTTCATGGCTTGACAGCTCATTCATTTTAGCACTAAATAATCTTTCATTGTCTGGATGTACCACAGTTTCTTTCTCCATTCTCTCACTGAGGAACATTTGACTGTTTCCAAGTTTAGACAATTATGAATATAGCTGCTATAAATATCTGTACAAAGGTTTTTGTGTGCATGTAAGTTTTTAATTTATTGGGGTAATGAATTAAAGAGGCACAATTGGGGGATCATATAGGAATGTATATATATATACACACACACATTTATATATACACTTCTATATGATAGTGGTGTTCATGTATATGAACCACCAAAGAAACCACCAAAGTGGTTGTACCACCATAGCAGTTGTACCATTTTGCATGTCCACCAGCAATGAATGAGAATTTATCTTGCTCTACACCCTTGCCATCATTTAACGTTGTCAGTATTTGGATTGTCATCATTCTAGTAGGTGAGTATGGTATCTCTTTGTTGATTTAATTTGTAATTTCCTAATGACATATGATATTAAATATTGTGTCATATGCCTACTTGCCATTTGTATATATATCCTTTTTTGAGTTGTCTGTTGAGGTCTTCTATTTTATAATCGGGTTGTCCATTTTCTTACTTTTGAGTTTTAAAAATTATTTGTACATTTTGGTTATCAATCCCTTTTCTGTTATGTCTCTTTCAAATATTTTCTTCCAGTATTCTCATTCTCTTGACAATTTTATCCACCAAGTAGAAGTTTTAATTTTAATGAAGTTCACCTAGTTATTTTTTTATTTCATGTTTTGTGCCTTTTTGTTGTATCAAAATTCATCACTATACCCAAGGTCATCCCGGTTTTCTCTTACGTTATCTTATGGGAGTTTTATAGTATAGCATTTTACATTTAGGTCTATGCCCTGTTTTGAGTTAGTTTTGGTAAATGATATAAGGTCTAGTTTTTTTTTTTTTTTTTTTCATGAGGGTGTCCAATTGTTCTATCACAATTTTTGAAATGACTATCTTTGCTTCATTTTATTGTCATTGCTTCTTTGGCAAAAATGAGTAGATCATGTTTGTGTGTTCTATTTTGGGGCTTTCTATTCTGTTCCACTAATCTATTTGTCTAATTTTTCATTAATTGACACCATCTGGATTACTGTCAATGTAAGTCTTTATATTGGGTAGTGTCAGTCCGCTGACATTCTTTTTAAATATTGAGTTGACTATTTTGGGTCTTTTTTCTCTCCATTTAAACTAGAATTTTTTGGTATCCATAAAATAACTTGTTGGGATTTTGATTTAGATTGCATTGAATTTATAGATCAAGTTAGGAAGAAATGATTTCTTGACAAATTGAATCTTCCTATCTTAAAAATGGAATATCTCTCCATTTATTTAGTTTCTTTTTGATATCATTCATCAGAGTTTTGTAGTTTCCTGATATAGACCTTGTACAGACTTTCTTGCATTTATACATAAATCTTTCATTGTTTGAGTGTTAATATAAATGGGATTGTGTTTCAGCGTACTTCTGCTGTGCCACTCTGCTACCTGGAGGCTGTATTTTAAATTTCAAATTCCAATTATTTATTGCTGGTGTATAGGAAAGTAATTGACTTTTTTAATATTGACCTTGAATCCAGCAAATTTACAATAATTACTTATTGGTTTCAGGAGTAGTTTTGGTCATTTAAAAATATTTGGTATATAGATGATGAAGTCATCTGTAAATAAAGATGGTTTTATTTTTTCTTTTCCAATCTGCATAAGTTTTATTTTTCTGTCTTGTTTTCTTGAACTGGTGAAGACTTTGGCATGAAAGTCTTTGGCATGAAATCAGGTAAGAGACGATATGCTTCTCTTATTCCTGAACTTAGTGTTTCTCACCATTAAGAGTAATGTTAGCTGTAGGATTTTTGTAAATGTTCTTTAACAAGAAGAGAAAATTTGCCTTTGTAAGTACTTTGCTGAGAATTTTTTTATCATAATTCAGTGTTCATTTTGTCAAATGCTTTTTCTGTGTCTATTGATATGCTCATGTAAGGTTTCTTCTTTAGCCTGTTATTATGATTGATTAATGAATTTTTTTTTTATTATACTTTAAGTTTTAGGGTACATGTGCACCTTGTGCAGGTTAGTTACATATGTATACTTGTGCCATGCTGGTGCGCTGCACCCACTAACTCGTCATCTAGCATTAGGTATATCTCCCAATGCTATCCCTCCCCCCTCCCCCCAACCCAAATGTCCAACAATGATAGACTGGATTAAGAAAATATGGCACATATACACCATGGAATACTATGCAGCCATAAAAAATGATGAGTTCATGTCCTTTGTAGGGACATGGATGAAACTGGAAATCATCATTCTCAGTAAACTATCGCAAGAACAAAAAACCAAACACCACATATTCTCACTCATAGGTGGGAATTGAACATTGAGATCACTTGGACACAGGAAGGGGAATATCATACATTAATGAATTTTTAAATGTTGAACCAGCCTAGCGTACCTGGGATAATTCGCATGTGGTCATAGTGTAAATTATTTTTATACATTGTTAGATTCAATTTGCTAAATTTTGTTGAGGATTTTTGCATCTATGTTCTTGAGAGATATTGGTCTGTACCTTTATTTTATTTTAATGCCTCTGTCTAGTTTTGACATTAGAGTAATACTGGCCTAATAGAATGAATTAGGAAGTATTCTCTCTGTTTTTGTCTTCTGGAGGAGATTGTAGATATTTGGTATAAATTTTTCCTTAAATGGTAGAATTTACCAGTGAACCCATCTAAGCCTGGTGTACTCTGTTTTAGAAAGTCATTAATTATTGGCTCAATTTATTTAATAAGTCTATTGAGGTTGTCTGTTTTCTCTTGTGTGAGTTTTGACTGGTTGTTTCTTTCAAGAAATGCATTGATTTCATCTATGTTATCACATTTTTGTCACAGAGTTACTAATAATATTCCTTTATTATCCTTTTAATATTCATAGAATCTGTACTTGTGTCCTGTTTCTTTTCTTATATTAGCAATTTGTGTCTTTTGTATGTTTTACTTCATTAGTCCTGCTAGAAGTTTATCAATTTTATTGCTATTTTCAAAGAACAAGCTTTGGTTTTTATTGTTTTTCTCTATTGATTTTCTGTTTTCAATTTCATTGATTTCTGTTATAATTTTTATTATGTATTTTCTTTCACTTGGATTTTATTTGATTTTCTTTTACTAGTTTTTCAATGTGGAAGCTTAGACGGTTGACTTTAGTATTTTTTTCCCTAATAAATGCTTTCAATGCTTTTACATTTTCCTCTAAGCACTGATTATGCTTTATCTCACAAATTCTGTAAGTTGTATTTTAAATTTTCATTTAGTTCAAAATATTTTTAAATTTCTCTTGGGATTTCTTTTTTTATTCCTTTTTTATTTAGAATTATATAATTAATCTCCAAGTATTTGAGGATTTTCCAAATCTATTTATGTTATTGATTTCTAGTTTAATTTTATTGTGGTCTGAAAGGAGACACCATATAATTTGTATTCTTTACATTTGCTAAGGTGCGTTTTATAATCCTGAATGTGATCTATCTTTGTTATTGCAGCATGTGACCTTGATAAGAATGTATAGGCTGTAGTGACTGAAAAAAAGTAGCATTTACATGTCAATTGCATGCAGTGGTTTGATGGTGCTATTGAGTTCAATTATGTCCTTACTTGTCTCCTGTCTACTGGATATCTCCATTTCTGATAGAGGGGAGTTGATGTATCCAACTGTAATAGTGGAGTTGTCTATTTCTCCTTATTGTTTTATCAGTATTTTCCTCAAGTAGTTTGACACTCTGTTGTTAAGCACATACACATTAAGGATTGTTGCATCTCCTTAAAGTATTGATCCCTTTATCAACATGCAATACCACTTTTTATCACTGATAACTTTCCTTGCTTTGAAATCTGATCTGTCGGAAATTAATATAGCTTATTTTGCTTTATTTTGATTAGTGTTAACATAGTATGTCTTTCTCCATTCTTTACTTTAAATGTATATGTATCTTTAAATTTAAAGTAAGTTTCTTGTAGACAACATAAAGGTGAGTTTTGTTTTTTAATCCACTCTGACAATATCTGTATTTTAATTCATGAATTCAGACTATTTTCATGTAAGGTGATTATTGGTATAGTTATATTAAAATATCTATCAAATTTCTTAGTTTTCTATTTGTTGCCCTTGTTATTTGTTTCTATTTTTGGCTTCCACATATTTTCTGCCTTTTGTGGTTTATATTGAGCATTTTATATGAATCAATTTTCTCTCCTTTCTTAGCATACTAATTATACTTATTTCTTTGTAATGTACTTAGTAGTTGCCTTAACATTTGCAGTATGCATTTAAACTAATCAAAATTGACTTTCATATAACACTGTACTGTTTCATTTGTAGTATAATACCTTATCATAAAACAATATTCTTAATTCCTCTCTACCTATCCCTTGTACCAGTGCTGTCATTCATTTCACTTATATATAAACATATATAAACATAACATATATAAACATAAACATACAAATACATGCACACTCTACATAAATACCTACATGACAACACATAATCAAGTATATTGTTGCTATTAATATTTTGAGCAAAATTATTTGTTAGCTCAATTAACAATAAATAAAATAAAATGTTTATTTTACCCTAACTTATTGTCTGATGCTCTTTCTTAATCTCCTTCCATGTTTCTGACTTACATCATTTTCTTTTGTATTTTATTTTATTATTTTTTTTTAAATCTCACTTTAAGTTCTGGGATACATGTGCTGAACGTGCAGGTTTGTTACATAGGGATACATGTGCCATGGTGGTTTACTGCACCTATCAGCCCGTCATCGAGGTTTTAAAGTCCGCATGTATTAGGTATTTGTCCTAATTCCCTCCCTCCCCTTTTCCCCACCACCTGACAGACCCTAGTGTATAATGTTCCCTTCCCTGTGTCCGTGTGTTCTCATTGTTCAGCTCCCACTTATGAGTGAGAACGTGTAGTGTTTGTTTTTCTGTTCCTATGTTAGTTTGCTGAGGATGATGGTTTTCAGCTTCATCCATGTCCCTGCAAAGGACATGAACTCATTCTTTTTTATGGCTGCATAGTATTCCATGGTGTATATGTGCCACATTTTCTTTATCCAGTCTATCACTGATGGGCATTTGGGTCGATTCCTAGTCTTTGCTACTGTAAATAGTGCTGCAATAAACATACATGTGCATGCATCTTTATAGTAGAATGATTTATATTCCTTTGGGTATATATCCAGTAATGGGATTGCTGGGTCAAATGGGTATTTCTGGTTCTACATTCTTAAGGAATCGCCACATTGTCTTCTACAATGGTTGAACTAATTTCCACTTACACCAACAGTGTAAAAGCATTCCCATTTCTCTGCATCCTCGCAAGCATCTGTTGTTTCCAGACTTTTTAATGATCGCCATTCTAACTGGTGTGAGATGGTATCTCATTGTGATTCTGATTTGCATTTCTCTAACGACCAGTGATGAGCTTTTTTTCATGTTTGTTGGCTGTATAAATGTCTTCTTTTGAGAAGTGCCTGTTCATATCTTTTGCCTACTTTTTGATGGGGTTGCTTTTTTTATTGTAAATTTATTTAAGTTCCTTGTAGATTCTGGATATTAGCCCTTTGTCAGATGGATTGACTGCAAATTTTTTCTCCCATTCTGTAGGTTGCCTGTTCACTTTGATGACAGTTTCTTTTGCAGAGCAGAAGCTCTTTACTTTAATTAGACCCAATTTGTCAGTTTTGGCTTTAGTTGTTATTTCTTTTGGTGTTTTAGTCATGAAGTCTTTGCCCATGCCTATGTTCTGAATAGCAATGCCTAGGTTTTATTCTAGGGTTTTTATAGTTTTAGGCCTTAAATGAAAGTCTTTAATCCATCTTGACTTAATTTTTGTAAAAAGTATAAGGAAGGAATCCAGTTCCTGTTTTCTGCATATGGCTAGCCAGTTTTCCCAGCAATATTTATTAAATATAGTATCTTTTCCCCATTGCTTGTTTCTGTTAGGTTTGTTGAAGATCAGATGGTTGTAGATGTGTGGTGTTATTTCTGAGGACTCTGTTCTGTTCCATTGGTCTATATATCTGTTTTGGTACCAGTACCATGCTGTTTTGGTTACTGTAGCCTTGCAGTATAGTTTGAAGTCAGGTAGCAGGATGCCTCCAGCTTTGTTTTTTTGCTTATGGCCATTTTCACAATATTGATTCCTCCTATCCATAAACATGGAGTGTTTTTCCATTTTTTTGTGTCCTGTCTTATTTCCTTCAGCAGTGGTTTTTAGTTATCCATGAAGAGGTACTTCACATCCCTTGTAAGTTGTAATCCTAGGTATTTTATTTTCTTTGTAGCAATTGTGAATGGGAGTTCACTCATGATTTGGCTCTCTGCTTGTCTTTTATTTGTGTATAGAAATGCTTGTGATTTTTGCAAATTGATTTTGTATACTGAGACTTTGCTAAAGTTGAGAAAAATTTTTTAAAAACCCACCAACCCCAAATTCTGTACCCTGTAAAATTATTCTTCAAAAGTAAAGGAAAAGTAAAGACTCTCTTAAACAAACAAAAATTGAGGAAGTTTGTTGGCAGCAGATGTACCTTGCAAGGAATGTTAGAAGAAGTTCTTTGGAGAGATTGAAAGGAATGTTAAAAGAACTTATCCTAACATTTCTTGCAAGGTAAGCCTACTGGCAACAAACTTCCTCAATTTTTGTTAATCTCAGAAAGTCTTTGTTTTTTCTCTACTTTTGAAGAATAATTTTGCAGGGTACATAATTCAGGGTTGGCGTTTTTTTTTGTTTTTTAATTTTCCTCACTATTTTAAATAGTTCATTTCATTCTTTTCTTTATTGCAGGTTTCTGTGGAGAAGTCAGGTATAATTCCTATTATTGATCCACTATAGGTAAGGTGGTCCTTCCCCACTGACTTCTATCAAGTTTTTTCTTTATCTTTGATTATTTGGTATTCGACTATGATATACCTGAGTATAGGGGTTTTTTGTTTGTTTTTTATTTGTTTGGCACTGCTGTGTCCTTTATTCTCTATTTCTTCTCCTTTTGATGTTCACTTACACGTATATTATACCTTTTTTGGTTGTCCCACAGCTCTGGGCTATTTTGTCAGGGTTATTTTTCAGTTATTTTCTCTTTGTTTTCCAGTTTTGTGTTTCTATTGTCACATTCTTAAGCTCATAGAGTCTATCCTCAGCCATGTCCAGTCTACTAATAATCCCATTAAAGGAATTATTCACTTCTTAATATTTAGGGTCTCTAGCATTTCTTTTTTATTCTTTCTTAGAATTTCCATCTCTCTCCCTACAGTATTCATCTGTTCTCAACCTATTACTTTAAATCCCTAGCATATTATTCATAGTTTGCTTGGTTGTTTGTTTTCTTTTTCAAATTTCTGATCTGATAATTTTAGCTTTCTTTTCATATATGACTCTGGTTCAGATGCTCAGTCTCTTTAAACTGTGGGTAGTTTTTTTTGTTGTTGTTGTTGTTGATTTGGTTTGTTTTCTTTTATGTTTTTTCTTTTTTTTTTTTTTTTTTTTTGGTTTTGCCTTTTGGTATGCCCTTCAATTCTTTGTTAAATGGTAGACATGATGTGGGTCTACAAGGAATAGTAGTAAGTAGTCCTTTAGAAATGTAGTGGTAAAGTTTGTGGGGTGAGAAATTGTTCTACAGTCCTGTGACTAGATATCAATCTCTTGGTGAGTGTGTATCCCTGAACTGTGAACTTCACCAGTGATTCACATTTTCTGTCACCCTCTGAGATCAGAGGATATGTCTAGATGGGTCAGTATTAGGATGTTTTCCTTCCCTCAGGTACGTTAGGCTCTAATGAAACCTCAGCAGATCAAGCTCTGGTAAAATAGTTTCTCCTGAAAGCAGATCCTGTTAAGAACAGAATTATCTGGTGTATATGAAAATTGTTCTTTTTTTTCCTCTCCCTGCCAGAAACATAAGGAGATTTTTCTCCAATATCCACTGTGAGGACCTGATGGAGTTCCTAAAGGTAAACTTTATAAAATTGTAGATGTCTACCCTGTGACTGAGTCCTTGGTATTTTTAACTCTCAGATTTGTTTACACTAAGCCTCCAGAAATTTGTCAATTATAGCTAGGTTTTCTTACCCCAGCAATACTTCTCATAAAGATTTTTGTTCATTAGTTTTTCTGCTCCAGTAAGTTTTGATTCTCTGGATCTGCCTGTCTCTTTCCAATTTTTGAGACTGTAATTTGCCCAATGTCCTCTTTTCTATTATGAATCTAAAAAGAGTTATTGATTTTTCAGTTTATTTAGCTTTGTACTTGTTTTAAGTACAGAGTGGTGACTTCTAAGCTCCTTACATGCCAGACCAGAAACTAAAAGTAAAGGCTAAAAAAATGTTGAGGGGCATGATTAAAAAAAATTGCTTCAAATTGACTTTTAGTAAAAAAAATCTAGACTTCAAGGACTCTGCTGATGATGGCTTAAAAGAAAGAGAAAAATATTGAAAAAAATATTATTGGAAAGAGAAATATTATTGTTGTGTAGTAACAGAAAACTTAGAAAATTGCTTCCTGCAGTCATATGGAAAACAGAAGGTATAAGTGATAAAGTTGGTACATAGTAAAGGAGAATTTCAAGAGAAGTGTTGAAGGCGTTACCTGGTTTCTTGTGGGGCTTATAGAGATGCTTTTGGAACCTATGGCAGGAGTGTAAAGGTATATCAGAGCACAGACCCTTAGAATACTGGAGCAAAACTATAGACACTCTGTAGTTATTCTCCTTTTGAAAGTCACAAGATTTTGGCTTGTGACTAGGGTCTTAGAAGAGACTGATTGCTTGACCATGGACAACAGGAATACCACATAACTTGAACTGCCCATCATGAACTGGGTGTTGTCTGACACACCATGTCATAAGGCTGAGCATGCATAGAAGAATTTTATCATCTAACGAAGTAGTATATATAGGATTGGGCTCCAACCATGAATATATAAGGAAGTTGCACGAGGAAGTGACCCCTATTTCTGAAATACTGCCTTTTGTCTCTCTCATCAATACCTATATTTCCCTATTCTCTACTACCGAAGAAATAAAAATTTAAATTGGATTAATTGATCATTCTTCATGATGTGCAAGTACCACCTGAGTGTAGTGTAGTAATACTTCATGCCACTGTGAAACAGTTCTGAAAAACAATAATAAAAAAAACAAAATGAACAAAGTTTCAATCAGTCTCTCCAGTTATTCATTTTTTTCTTGAAAATAAAGATAAACAAAGGTACAAATCTATGCAAATCCTTACGTTGTGGCCAATGGTTTGGCTGGATGGTTATGGCATTAGTAGGAACACAATTGGGAAATTGATACAAGGAGGTCTTGGAAAAATGTATGTTGAGAGATGTCTCTGAATGGGTACAGATTGTGAAGATATTTGGATACCATGTGAATGCTCACCAAAAGATGACCTAAGGAGTGAAGGGAATTTAAATAATCAGCGAAATAGGATGACTTAGTTTGTACACACCAGATAGCTTTTTCCTCAAGCGTCTTCCATTATTGTCCAATGGACTTATGAACAAAGAAGCCATAGTAGCAGAAATAAAGGTTAGGCATGGGATCAGTAACATGGTCTTTTACTCACCAACGCTGACCTGGATGCAGTCACTTGCAGAGTACTTAATTTGTTTACATTATAGAACAACATTGAACACTATTCCTCAGCATGATTAGTCAGCTATTTGGTGGAAGGTTGATTACATTGGACCGCTTTCATCATAGAAGGGGAAGCACTATTTTTTAATGGAAGAGACATTTACTCTGGATACGGTGTTGTGTTCTCTGCTCTTAATGATTCTGCTGAAACTTTCATCCGTGAAGTAACTGGACACAATATTCACTATCGCAGTACTCCATGCAGTATTGCTTATGTCCAAGGAATTCAATTCACAGTAAATGAATTTAAAAATAAGGCTATGGTCATGAATTCAGTGCTTTTACCATATTCTCCATAATCCTGAAGCAGCTGGCTAGATAGAAAGGTGGAATAGCTTTTAGAAAACCAAATTATAATGCCATATAGATTATAATACCTTGTAGGACTGGAGCAATATCTTTTGGGATGTGAAATATGCTCTAAATCTGTGTTCAATATATTGTGTTATTTATCTCATAGACAGCATATGTGAGTCCTGTAATGAAGAAGTAAATATAAAGTGGCTTCTCCATCATCCCTAATAATCTCATAGAAAAACATTTACTTCTGTGACCATGATTTTATGTTTTGCAGATCTAGAGGTCTTAGTCCAAATGGAAGAACTATTTTCATCAGGAGAAACAATAATTCTATTAAACTGGAAGTTTAAATTGCCACTTGTTTCATGCTCTTCTCATGCCTCTGAATTAACAGGCAAAAAGAGGAGTTATTATGCTATCTGTAGTAATTGATCCTGACTATCAATGGGAAATCGAATTGCTATTAAACAAGAAGAGTAAAGAGGAATATATATGGAATATAGGTGATAGTCTGTCTTGTGACTGAGTAAATAAAAAAAACTGAAACTCAATTCAGTCAGGCCTATGGCTTACACCCTTCAAAGAACGAAGGTTTAACTCACCTCACTAGGCAAAGACCCGTGATAAGGTGCAGCACTTACTGAGGCCAAAGGAAATATGAAATTGGTAGTGAAAAAGGTAAATATCAGCTATGGTTATATGACCAGTTGCACAAATAAAGATTTATGTAATAGTTATAATTATTTTTAATTTTGACTTGCTCTGCATATATATTACCAAACTTTAAGAAATCTACCTCTTCTTCCGCTTACCATTCAACATAACATTTTTAAATAATATATGTTTTTAGTATTAAGTTACAGATATCAAACAGGGAGTCTAAATAAGCTAAGAGAAGAGTGAGTGAATATGTTTGTTCAAAGACTGTCTTTTCTTCAGACAAGATAAACGTGTTTTCAGTTGTAGGTAGGGTAGTTGCCTTAAACGAAATGATTATTTTGCTATTGTATTCATTTGAAGATTAAATATGGTTTAAGAGTATGTATGTGCCATACAAAAGGTAAACTATAATGGCTTAGTGATGTATTTATGTGGCAGGCTGAACTACATCCCCAAGAATTCCCTTTCTAGTACATTTCTAGCTAGAGTAGAAAATACGAGTTTATTTAGTGAGAACTGAAGAATGTCAGAGAGAAAGCATTTATTTGCGACATCTATTTTCATCAAATTTCAGTTGAAATGTTGTTGTAAAGAAATATTTTAGATGCAATTAAAATTCCAAATCAGTCGATTTTGAGATAATAAAAATGGAGATTATTCTTGTTGGAGCTGAATAAATCAAAGGGAAGTCTCTTAAAGACAGAAATAAGCCTTCTGTGAAAATAAGAGACTCCAAGCCATAGCTGGATCTGCAATTTCTTTCTTTTCCCCCATTCATCTTCTCTTCCTGGGTGCTTGCCCGTAAACTTTGGGTTTATTTAGCTTACAACACAATTATGAAAGCCAATTCACTCACATACACACTCTCACAAACATACATGCACACCACCACACACACACTCCTGCATATACGCATATCTTCTATTTGTATTGCTCCTTTGGTTAAACCCTGACTGATATATCACACATACATTTTTTTTCAGTCTTCCTTGCAAATACTTCACATGCCTATGACAAGAAAGATCTGTCATCCAATGCATCTCCATCAGAGCAGTGAAGCAAAGAAACAAACACAGTAGAGATCCTTTTCTGGCAAGGAGAGCGCTAGCAACACCCAGTTTAAGCAGGGCCAGAGCATGATTCCAGAACCCAGTGACCTTGTAATTGATTGTATATGCTGCAGCTTCAAGGGTCTAGTAGTGATGGTGGAGTATTTCTCAGTAAAATAGTTCTAGAAATGTAATTATATCTTCATAGGCTTCTTTGTTCCTGACCGTTTTCTTCCCCCGTACTCCACTATTCCCGAAGCATCTGTGAACTACACAGTATACTTTAAACCCATTTATTCTCTGATTAAATAGGCCATCCATTTCTATTGCTTACAACTAAGCAACAGAACTTGACATCTAGATTCAACCTCAGCTACCCACAATCAGGAAATATTTATTCCACTTATTTCCTGTCCTTTTCTAGTGTTAGCCAAGAAATGTTTCTTGCAGTTGTTATTCTATTGCTAACAAATAGGACCTAATTGTTTTCTGGTCCTTTTTGTTTCATTGTAGCTATTGTTTACTTATTTTATTTTGTTTAGTCTTTCCTCTTTCTTTAGCAGAGTGGTTAAATGCGAAGACTCTAATGGAAACCAAAAACAGAGCAGTAGTATCTATACTTAGACAAAATAGATGTCAAGACAAAAACTATCAAAAGTGACAAAGAAGAACATGATATAATAATTTAGGGGTCAATTCAGCAAAAGAGTATAACAATTATAAATATATATGTACACAACGCTACAGCAAATATATATATACCCAGGTATATAAAGCAAGTATTGTTAGAGCTAAAGAGAGAGATAGGCCCCGATGCAACAATAGCTGGAGACTTCAACACCCCACTTTCAGCATTGGAGATATTATCCAGAGAGAACAGCAATAAACAATATTGGACTTAATCAGTACTGTAGACCATATGGACCTAAGAGACATTTAGAGAACATTTCATCTAATGGCTACAGAATACACATTTTTCTGTCTAGCAAATAGATTATTCTCAAGGAGGGACCATATGTTAAGCTACAGAACAACTCATAAAATATTAAAAAAATGAAGTTATATTAAAAATTTTCTCTGACCACAATGGAATAACACTAGAATCAATAACAAGGAGAATTTTGGAAACAATACAAACACATGGAAATTAAGCAATATCCTCCTGAATGACAAGTGAGTCAATAAAGAAATTAAAAAGGAATTTGAAGAATTTCTTGAAACAAATGTTAATGAAAAGACAACATACCAAAACCTATGGGATACAGTGAAAGCAGTACTAAGGGGAAGATTAAAGCCATAAATTCTTATATCAAAAAAGTAGAAAAACTTCCAATGAACAAACCAAAAGTGCATCTTAAAAAACTAAAAAAGCAAGAACAAATCAAACCCAAAATTAGTACAAGAGAAGAAATCATGAAGATGAGCAGAAATAAATGAAATTGAGATGAACAAAATAATACAAAAGATCTAAGAAATGAAAAGTTGTTTTTTTAAAGGTAAACAAAATTGACAGACCTATACTAGACTAAGAAAAAGTGAACAAAATAAAGGAAATCAGAAATGATAAAGGAACCATTGCAGCTGGTACCACAGACATTCAAAAGCTCATTAAAGGCTACTATGAGGAGCTATACGCCAATAAATTAAAAAACCTAGAAGAGATGGATAAATTTCTAGGAACTGAAAGAAAAATATCTTAGGCCCCCAAAATTGCTAAGCTAAAGGGAAAAGGCAAGCTGGGAACTGCTTAAGGCAAACATGTCTCTCATTCTATTCAAAGTCACCCCTCTGCTCACTGAGATAAATGCATATCTGACTGCCTGCTTTGGAGAGGCTAATCAGAAACTCAAAAGAAAGCAACCATTTGTCTCTCATCTACCTATGTCTTGGAAGTCCCCTCCCTGCTTCCGGTTGCCCCGTGTCTTTCCACACCAAACCAATGTTCATCTTACATATGTTGATTGATGTCTCATGTCTCACTAAAATGTACAAAACCAAATTATGCTCTGACCACCTTGGGTGCATGTTGTCAGGACCTCCTGAGGCTGTGTGTGTCCTCAACCTCATCAAAATAAACTTTCTAAATTAACTGAGAACTGTTTCAGATTTTTGGGGTTCACAACACATACAACCTACAATGATTGAACCATAAAGAAATCCAAAACCTGAAGAGACCAATAAGATATGATGAGATTAAAGCCATAATATAAAACCTCCCCAAAATAAGCCCAGGACCCAGTGGCTTCACTGCTGAAATTTACCAAACACTTAAAGAACTAGAGTGCTAGCAGTTGCAAGGGTGCCTGCCTCCCTGTGGGCATTCACCACATTGGCATAGACAACACAGCTGCAGGGGAGGATGGGGACCCCGATGGAGAAATTGTGCATGGTTACACTGAAGGTGGTGATGGCTTGGGGGTGGCCGGTGCAAATCTGGGTCAAGGTATTCCAGGAAATAGAGGAGGGGTGCATACTTCCAAATTCATCTCATTCTGTGAAGCCAGTATTACTCTGATACCAGAACCAGATAAAGACATATGAAGAAAAAGAAAAAAAAAAAAAAAGGGCAAACACCCTTGATGAACATTGACGTAAGAATCCTCAACCAAATACTAGCAAAACTAATTCAACAACACATTAAAAAGATCATTTATCATGACCAATTGAGATTTATTCTGGGGATGCTAGGATGGTGCAACATATGGAAATCAATCAATGTGATCCATCATATCAACAGAATGAAGGACAAAAACCATAAGGTTACTTCAATTGAGGGTAAAAAATAACTTTGATAAAATTCAACATTCCTTCATAATAAGGCCATCAAAAAATATGGGTATTGAAGAAACATACCTAAACATAATAAAGCCATGTATGACAGATCCACAGCTAGTATCATACTGAAGGGGGAAAAACTGAAATTCTTTCCTTTGAGATCTGGAACATAACAAGGATGGCTACTTTCACCGCTATTATTCAGCATAGTACTGGATGTCCTAGCTAGAACAATGAAACAGAAAGAAATAAAAGGCATCCAGATAGGAAAGTAAGAGGTTAAACTATCTTTGGTTGCCAGCAATGTGATCTTATATTTGGAAAATCCTAAAGACTCCACCAAAAATCTATTAGAACTGAAGAAACAAATTCAGTAAAGTTGCAAGATACAGTATTAGCATACAAAAATTAATAGCATTTCTATATGTCAACAGCAAACAGTCTGAAAATGAAATCAAGAAAGTAAACACATTTACAGTAGTTACAAATAAAATTACATATCTACAAATTAACCAAAGAAGTAAAATATCTCTACAATGAAAACTATAAAATATCGATGAAAGAAATAGAAGAGGATACAAAAGAATGAAAAGATAGTCCATGTTCATGGATTGGAAGAGTCAACATTTGTTAAAATGTTCATGGTATCCAAAGCATTTTACAGATTAAATGCAATCTATCAAAGTGCCAATGACATTTTTTTACAGAAGTAGAAAAACCAATTTTAAAATTTAAATAGAACCACAGAAGACCCAGAATAGCCAAAGCTACCCTCAGCAAAAATAACAAACTGGTAGAATCACATTACCTGACTTCAAATTTTTCTACAGAGCTACCTGACTTCAAATTTTTCTACAGAGCTACCTGACTTCAAATTTTTCTACAGAGCTATAGTAATAAAAATAGCATGGCACTGGATAAAAGCAGACACGTAGGCTAATATGACAGAATAGAGAGTCCAGCAACCAACCCATACATCTACAGCAAACTCATTTTCAACAAAGGTGCTAAGAACATCTATTGGGAAAGGAGTCTCCTCAATAAATAGTTCTGGGAAAACTGTATATCCATCTACATGCAGAAAAATAAAAATTAGACTCCTATCACTTGCCATATACAAAAACTAAATCAAAATGCATTGAAAACTTTAAGACCTCAAAATATGAAACAACTAAAATAAAACATTGGAGAAACTTTCCAGGCCATTAGACTGGTCAAAGATTTCTTGAGTAATAACCCACAACCACGGGCAACCAAACCACAATGGACAAATGGGATCACATCAAGTTAAAAAGCTTCTGCACAGCAAAGGAAACAATTCGCCATGTGAAGAAACAATCCATAGAAGGGGAGAAAATATTTGCACTCTCTCCATCTGACAAGAGATTAATTACTAGAATATATAAGAAACTCAAACAACTCTATAGAAAAATACCTAAGAATTTGATTAAAAATGGGCAAAAGATATGACTAGACATTTCACAAAAGATGGCATACAAATCACAAACAGGTATATGAAAAGGTGCTACCATCATTCATCATCAGAGAAATGCAAATTAAAACTACAATGAGATATCATCTCAACCCAGTTAAAATGGCTTTTATCCAAAAGACAGGCAATAACAAATGCTGGCGAGAATGTGGAGAAAAAGGAACCCTTGTATACTGTTGATGGGAATGTAAATTAGTACAAACACTATAGAGAACAGTTTGGAGTCTTCTCAAAAAACTAAAAATAAAGCTACCATATAATCCAGCAATTCCACTGCTACGTATATCTCTCAAAGAAAGAAAACCAGCAAATTGAAGAGATATCTGCACTCCCAGGTTTATTGCAGCACTATTCACAATAGCCAAGATTTGAAATCAACCTAAATGTCCATCTATGGATGAGTGGATAAAGAAAATATGGTAAACATACACAGTGGAGTACTATTCAGTTATAAAAAATAATGACATCCTGCCATTTGCAATAACATGGATAGAACTAGAGGTCATCATATTAAGTGAAATAATCCAGGCACAGAAAGACAAACTTTGCATATTCCCACTTATTTGTGGAAGCTAAAAGTTAAATCAATTGAATTCAAGAAGATAAGAGAGTAAAATGATAGTTACCAGAGGCTGGGAAGGGTGGTGGGCGGGAGTGGGAAGGGTAGTGGGTGGGAGTGGGAAGGGTAGTGGGTGAGAGTGGGGGTCAAGTGAGGAGGGTTAATGTGTACAAAAAATAGAAAGAATGAATAAGATATAGTATTTGATAGCACAACAGGGTGAATCTAGTCAAGAATAATTTAATTGTACATTTAAAAATAACAAAAATAGTGTAAATGTACTGTTTCTAACACAGGATAAATGCTTGAGGGAATGGATACTCCATTTACCATGCTGTGATTATTACACATTGTAGGCTTGATCAAAATATCTCACATACCCTATAAAGTATACACCTACTATGCACCCATGAAAATTAAAAATTGAAAATATTGAAGTAAAAACATAAAAATAATAAGAAAATAAAATTAGGCTAAGTTGAGTTTGAATACTGCTTTTAAAGTTTAATCACTTTGTGACCTTAGACACAGTACTGAAACTCCCTATGCCTAATTTTTTTTTAAATTAGAAATTGGTATAATTGTAGTACCTAACACAAAAGGTAACAAGCTATTAAGTTTTAATTAGACAACACAAATAAAGGAGTTATTTGCTATTTTAGTTGTTATTCCTACATTCACTTATTGAACACCTCCTAGAAAATATTCATAATGAAACCTTTCTAAGGGAGGTTTTATCATATAATTACACTAAACCACGTTGGCCAATATGCTATAATACAGGTATAAAGCAAATTTCCTTTATACAGTTTTGAAATCCTAAAAATAAACATACACTTGTGTGAAATATGTAAATGACAGAGTATCTTAATTTCCTTTGTTAGGGTGAAGCTTTTCATATTCGAGAGTAGAATGGTGCAAATACATGGAGATACTTATTAGAATATTTAATTATATCATTACATAAGTTTGTCTTCAACACTGTTTGAAATTGTTCACAAGTTAAGTATGGAGTTTATACTCAAACATTTTGATAGGAAACAATACA
Organism: Homo sapiens; assembly: GCF_000001405.40. Lineage (NCBI taxonomy): Eukaryota > Metazoa > Chordata > Mammalia > Primates > Hominidae > Homo > Homo sapiens. The sequence goes on from NC_000008.11 coordinate 77,865,686, forward strand.
ATAATTCATACAAACAAATGTAACATTTTCAGAAAACTGAAAATTAAATATGGCCACTGCTAAAAAATGTAATGCAGAAGCCTAAAATATGTGTAAAATTATGTAAATAGGTTGAAAAAAGTATTCCAGCTAAACTTGACTACTAGTTTTCTGAAGTCTTGCCAAACTCCAAATAAAAGCTGCATTGACTAGAATATTTTGACATCTGGATACTTTTTCTTTAAGTTCTAAGAAAATACTCTGCATTTAGTTTGAAATGTGGCTGCTGCCTAAGTCGCTATTTCCACTATAGTCAAAATAGTTATTCTTTGTAATTTCCTGTTTGTCATATTACTTCTTTTCAACCACCTGATGATCAAAGATACTCTCAATATTTTTTTAAACTGTTTTTCCTGTCTAATTTTTTAGTTAGTGTTTAAACAGGCTTGCATTGGCAAGCTAACTTTTCCTTTGACCTATTCAGGCTTTCAATCTTTAGACTTCACTTTGTTGCCAGAGCTATGCAATTTATTAAAATTAAATTGAACACTGCAAAAAATATTAACAAAGTTCAGCAGTTCACCAAATTGAATGTTGAAAATTATTTTTCCAGTCATGTTCATGTTGCAGGAAATTCTTTGAATACTGAATCTATCTTGGGTAATTTCAATCTATAATAAAACCAAAAAGTAAAGCTTATTCTGTATGTGACTCTCTCCCTTAAAATACATTGAAAAACACGAGTTTGGTCGAAGTTCTGTTACACAAAACACATTTGGTGTCCTTATTTCACTGAGAATCTCCAAGCCTGAGCCCTAGCTCAGTCAACATTTACTTAATCACATATTAATAAAATGCAGACCGTTAGGGCAGTATTCAAGACATGGCTTTACATAGTTACTATAATTTCTGCATAAAGAAATTGAAATTCACACAAGTTTAAAATATGTTCAGTGGAAAGTAATGTGTCTTCACAACTGTGCTCAATCGACTGCAATGTTATTTTTTTCTTGCTTCTAAATGGCAATCAACATATGCACAAACACATGGTAGAGACAATGGGATGCTCCATCAGAAAATAGAACATTTGTTCCCTCATCTTTAAAAACTATTCAAAACTTGGATTTACAAATGACCTGTGTCTGGTGGCACAAAAATGGTGTTTATCCTTTATTACATTATATACTGTTTTCTGAGTATAGACTCTAGGGGAAATATTAAGCCTTGTACAGTACTTTTTGTCACAATAATATGACATTACATATTATCTTCAGAGAATTTATTTGATTAGTTTTTATTTGTTTTGGTTTATGGGTATATGCCATAATTCTTTGATGTGTTTATTATTATAGAAGATAACTAGCTCTAAATTTATATAAGTATATATAAATTATATATAATATATATTCATATAGAAACATATGTAATTTTTATATATAAAAATGTAAATTTTTATTATGTAGTTTATTATAACTGTGATTTGTCTAAATGGAGCTTACGTAAGTTAAACATTGACTATAAGAACTTACTAGAAATACAAACTATCATCAAAGAATACGACAAACACCTCCATGCAAATAAGCTAAAAAAATCTAGAATAAATGGATAAATTCCTGGACACATACACCCTCCCAAGACTAAACCAGGAAGAAGTCAAATCCATGAATAGACCAATAATAAGTTCTGAAATTGAAGCAGCAATTAATAGCCTACCAACCAAAAACAAAGCCCAGGACCAGACGAATTCACAGCAGAATTCTACCAGAAATACAAAGAGGAGCTGGTACCATTCCTTCTGAAACTATTCCAAGCAATTGAAAAGGAAAGACTTCTCCCTAACTCATTTTATGAAACCAGAATCATCCTGATAACAAAACCAGGAAGAGACACAACAACAAAAAAAAAAAAGTTCAGGCCAATATCCCTGATGAACATTGATGCAAAAATCCTCAGTAAAATACTGGCAAACCAAATCCAGCAGCACATCAAAAACTTATCCACCACAATCAAGTCGGCTTCGTCCCTGGGATGCAAGGCTGGTTCAGCATACGCAAGTCAGTTAACATAATCCATCACATAAATAGAACCAAAACAAAAACCGCATGATTGTCTCAATAGATGCAGAAAAGGCCTTTGATAAAATTCAAAATCATGTTAAAAATGCTTCATCTTAAAAACTCTCAACAAACTAGGTATGGACGGAACATATCTTAAAATAATAAGAGCTATTTATGGCAAACCCATAGCCAATGTTATATTGAATGGGCAAAAGCTCGAAGCATTCCCTTTGAAAACAGATGCAAGACAAGGATACTTTCTCTCACCACTCCTATTCAATATAGTATTGGAAGTTCTGGCCAGGGCAATCATGCAAGAGAAAAAAAAAAGGGTATTGAAATAGGAAAACAGGAAGTCAAATTGTCTCTGCATGTGACACAATTTTATATTTAGAAAACCCCACCATCTCAACCCAAAAACTTCTCAACTGATAAGCAAATTCAGCAAAGTCTCAGGATACAAAATCAATGTGCAAAAATCAGAAGCATTCCTCTACACCAACAATAGACAAGCAGAGAGCCAAATCATGAACAAACTCCCATTCACAATTGCTACAGAGTATAAAATACCTAGGAATACAGCTATCAAGGCATGTTAAGGACCTCTACAAAAAGAACTACAAACCACTGCTCAAGGAAATAAGAGAGGAGGCAAACAAATAGAAAAACATTCCATCCTCATGGATAGGAAGAATCAATACCGTGAAAATGACCATACTGCCCAAAATAATTTATAGATTCAACACTATTCCCATCAACTACCACTGACATTCTTCACTGAATTAGAAAAAAACTATTTTAACTTTCATATGGAATCAAAGAAGACCCAGTATAGCCAAGACAATCCTAACCTAAAAGAACAAAGCTGGAGGCATCACGCTAACTTCAAACTATACTACAAGGCTTCAGTAACCAAACCACATGATACTGGTAGCAAAACAGACATATAGCCCAATGGAGTAGGACAGAAACCTCAGAAGTAAGACCACACATTTGCAACCCTCTGATCTTTGACAAGACTGACAAAAACAAGCAATGGGGAAAGGATCTCCTATTCAGTAAATGGTGCTGGGAAAACTGGCTAGCCATATGCAGAAAACAGAAACTGAACCTTTCTTGCACATTATACAAAAATTAAGATTGATTAAAAGACTTAAATGTAAAACCCAAACCATAAAAACTCTAGAAGAAAACCTAAGCAATATCATTCAGGACACAGGCATAGGCAAAGACTTCATGACAAAAATGCCAAAAGCAATTGCAACAAAAGCCAAAACTGACAAATGGGATCTAATTAAACTAAAGAGCTTCTGCACAGCAAAAAAAAAAAAAAAAAAAAAAAAAAGCTATCATCAGAGTGAACAGGCAACCTACAGAATGGGAGAATATTTTTGCAATATATTCATCTGACGAAGGCCTAATATCCATAATTTACAAGGAACTTAAATTTACAAGCAAAAAACAAACAACCCCATCGAAAAGTGGGCAAAGTATATGAACAGACACTTGGTCAAAAGAAGACATTTATGCAGCCAACAAACATGAAAAAAGGCTCAACATCACTGATCATCAGAGAAACACAAATCAAAACCGCAGTGAGGTATCATCTCACACCAGTCAGAATGGCGATTATTAAAAAGTCAGGAAACAATACATGCTGGTGAGGCTGTGGAAAAATAGGAACGCTTTTACACTGTTGGTGGTAATATAAATTAATTCAAGCATTGTGAAAGACAGTGTGGCTATTTCTCACGTATCTAGAGCCAGAAATATTATTTGGCCCAGCAACCCCATTACTGGGTATATACCCAAAGGAATATAAATCATTCTACTATAAAGACACATGCACACGTATGTTTATTACACCACTATTTACAATAGCAAAGACATGGAACCAACCGAAAGGCCCATCAATGCTAGACTAAAACAAGAAAACGTGGTATATATAACCATGAAATACTATGCAGCCATAAAAAGGAATGAGATCATGTTCTTTGCAGGGACATGGATGAAGCTGGAAGCCATTATCCTCAGCAAACTAACACAGGAACAGAAAACCAAATACCACATGTACTCACTCATATGTGGAAGCTGACCAATGAGAACACAATGACACAGAGAGGAGAACTTCACACACCAGGGCCTCTTGGGGGTGGGGGATGATGGGAGGGAACTTGGAGGACATGTCAATAGGTGCAGCAAACCACCAGGGCACACATATACCTATGTAACAAACCTGCACATTCTGCACATGTATCCCATTTTTTTAGAAGAAATTTTAACAAAAAGAACTTACCTCAAAATTGGAGATAAGTTCCAATATTAATGAATATTTCACTTATTATTTTGAGCTCTGATTGATAATAAACAATATTAATACATACTTAAATAGATTTCTTTTTATGAAATGGTTATCAGTAGACCGAGTTCTGTATAATGTGTTAGAATATTATTAAAATCTGATGAATCTGAAATTACAAAAGTAAATCCAGCCAAATTTTGTGGATACTTTTGACATAGAAATGTGTTCCTTGTTTTTTTAAGTATATGTCTCTTTATTTTATTCAAGTTAACTTTTTTAATATGTAGGAAGAAAATAATTAAAATAAAGAATTTTCATAGAAAGTTAATTATCAAAAAATGGCATTTGATATAGAACACAGTAGTAAAAAACAATAATGTGTGCTTTAAAACTTTTCAGCCCATTACCTAGGTATTAACCCCTGCATGCATTAACAAACCACCATGGCACACGTTTACCTATGTAACAAACCCGCACTTCCTGCACATGTATCCCAGAACTTAAAATAAAATAAAATAAATTTTTTTTTAAATGTAGTGCACAAGCTTCCAGCCTCTTGTAACGCAGAAATGGAGTGGAAAGTCAACAAAAGAAATTAGCATCAGTACTAAGGTCAGATCAGCAAAAGCCTCAAGCCTAAATTGATGCTGATTTCAGAAGTTACTGCCCACAGTTTTCTCAAACCCCTTCGTAAAAGACTATGATTGCTCTCTAAAACTCAGCTGAGTCTGAGATGGGGAGTGAATAGGCTCCAATATCAACATTAGAAGGAGGCAAGGATGGAAATCCTTATCCTAGCACATAATATACAAAAGATCTACTGCTTAATCCCCACTTGGCATTTTATTATTAACAAATATGAAGTACCATTTGCAAACCTGAAGACTCAATTTGCTCAGGACTCCCAGCATTCCAGTCCCAACTCAGGCCCTAAACACAAGACTTTCACCTCTGTTGCTATTTACAACTACAGCCATGTGCTGCATAATGTTTTGGTCAACAATGGACCATATATATGACAGTGGTCCTGTAAGATTATAATACCATATTTTTTCTGTACCTTTTCTGTTTAGAAATGTTTAGACACACAAACATTTACCATTGTGTTACAATTGCCTACAATATTCAGCCCAGTAACATGCTATACAGGTTTGTAGTCTAGGAGCAATCAGCTATACCATATAGCTTAGGTGTGCAGTACGCTACACCATCTAGATTTTTGAAGTATGCTCTATATTTGCACAAGGATGAAATCTCCTAAGGATACATTTATCAGAATGTATCCTCATCGTTAAGCAATGCATGACCTTATTGATAAAGTTAGTGTAATATTCTCTGAAATGAGCAAAGATGCAGGTTGCTAATTTTGAGTTGATCTCATGTTTTATTTTGTCTTTCCTTTATGTTCACCAAGTTATTATTTGTGATGCTATCAAATAATAAAGGAGCAGTTTAAGTTGGCTTCATAAAAAAGTTTGAAGGAAAATTTCATCAGGCAGTTTATTATAACTGTGATTTGTGAAAAATGAGCTTATATAATGTAAAAATTGACTATAAGAACTTATCTCAAAATTGGAAGCTTTTAACTATAATTCACTTGTTTTGAGATCTGATTGATATTAAACAACATTAATACATATTTAAATAGATTTCCTTTTTATCAGTAGACTTGTTTCTGTATAACGTGTTAGAATGTTATTAAAATCTCATGATTCTGAAGTCAACAAAATGATCATTGTAGCACAATTTTAACACATTATCCCTCTTTCCTATTTTATATATAGTCATGCCATGAGATTGTGTCCCCTTGAAGATATGTTGTATTCCTCTTTATATCCCATCAAAGTACTATCTTTTCCATGTTACACTTATAAAGTGCTTAAAACTATTAATAGTCTTGCATTGAAAAATCTATTAATCCTGCATATAAATTATTATCTAAATTAGGGGGGATATAGCAAATATACATAGCTATGTCAAAGATCTTTGTCAGAAAAAAATCTAAATTTAAAAAGCAAATACGTTTTCTGTGTGTAGTTCCAATGCCAATATATAGAGGAGCCAGTGATGGAATTAAAATTAATGGACTGACTTTAAAATATCTAACTTCTGACTTCAAGATTTCAGCAGAAGTATAAGAGGAGAAACACTTTAAAAGGTAGGCAAGAAGTGTATAGTAATTTTGTTTTTAGGCATAATTCAATTAACTTTAGATTAGAATCATTTAGTAAAAAAAAAAAAATAGACATCACCTTTTCATGTTTATTTAAAAATACATTTAAGCATTGGTTCCATGACCTGGAGATAAAATATGATTGGAGAAAGCAGAAACATAGTTGTATGTTTGGGTGATGTTAGAATCTTATAATTTAGAAGTTGGTAATGAGATGTTTATAATAAAACTAAGTAAATGGTTCACATAAACAAAGGGGTTTTTTAAGTTTGTTGTTACTTCTATATATTTAAACCATTAGAAAAAATAATATTTCTCTTTAATAAACTTTTTTTTCTGGACCCTTGCTTTGATATATGGTGCATTATATTGTAAGAGACCAATGCTCCAGTCTAGACTATTTTGAAAATCCAGGCATAGTATTTTAAGAAAAAAAAAAATATGTTTGAAGATTTTGATGAGCTGTCAATGCAATCAGGACTTGATGGGTAATATCTTGTAAAGCAGCAAATCTAAGAGGTGAGCCTATAGTTCAGATGTCAATTTTCTCTTGAGATAGTTTTCAATTGTAAGTATAATGATTGATCCCAAGAAGAGGGACAGAGACATGTAAATAAGGTCAAGGAAGCAGAAATTTTGGAAATTATATGGGGCTGGAGAAGGAGAAAACAGAGTTAGGGCTATCAAAGCAATCAAGACATATGAACCAATAGTTAAGAAATGATGTTCAAAGAAGTGAATCTGACATTCGATAATTTTGCTTCTAAGCATTAGATGAATACATAAACTGCACAGAAGAAAAGCTTTAGAAACTACACAAAATCTTCAGAAGGTTAGTGTTGAATACTATATAATCCCATGCTCTCAAAGACAGAAATAGAAATGTACTTCAGGACCTGCTCAAAAAGAAGGTAACCTGTAAGCATCATAGCCTTTCATTTGGAATCCCCGGAGAGCTATATCCTGATAGCTGTGGTAAAACAGAGATAAGTGGAAACTATAAAAGTTCTAATCCAGCCTTAATCAGTTAAATACCCAATGAATTAACGTAATTTCCCCCAAGTCTATCAGCCAACCAGAGGACAGGATAAATCCCCTTTGGAGAAGATTACATCATCAAAAACATCCATTATTTATCATACATAAAGTGCAACATTCAACGAAAAATTACTAGGTATACCAAGAAACTGGCATAAACACACACACCTACCCACATACACACACACATACACACACACACATACACCACACACTACTTACCACATACACACACAAAACAAATACAAACAACTACAAAAACAAGACAATAAAAACAGGCTTAAATTCAGAACTTATGAAATTTGAAATAGCTGTGATAAAAATGCTCAAAAAATATAAAATAGTAGGTCAAAAATTTCACCAAAAACTGAAATATATATAAAATAATCAAATGGATTATCTAAAATAATAAAATTAAATTGTTAACTTAAGGTAGATTTAGTAGAAGATGTGGCACAGTGGAGAAGAGAATTAAACAACCGTGAAATATTTGGAGTAAAGTATCCAGGATGATGCTCAAAAGGAAAAAATATGCATAAGAGAGCATCTGAAACAAAATGTGTAATTGGAGTCTCAGAAGAAAAGCAGGGAGAAAATAAGGCAGAAAGTAGAAACTATATTTAAATAAATACTGGCTTAGAATTTTAAAACATGATGAAAATATGAAGCTATATGTTCAATAACTTGTGTAAACCTGAAAAACAAAACCAAAGAATTTAGAAAGCAGATAGGGGAGATGAATACATTTTAAAAGCAGGTAGAGGGATAAAAATGCATTATCTTTAAAGCAGCAACAATAAGACCTGTAGCTGACTTGATCACAGCTCACTGCAGCCTCTACCTCCTGGACTCAGCTAATCCTCCCACCTCAGCCTCCCAATTAGCTGGTACTACAGGTGCACACCACAATGCCCAGCTAATTTCTGTCTTTTTTTTTTTTTGTAGAGATGGGGTTTTGCCATGTTGTCCAGCTTGGTTTCAAACTCCTGCGCTGAAGGGATTCATCCACTTCAGCCTCCCAAAGTGCTGGGATTACAGGCATGTGCCATGGGTTCCAGCCAAGTAACTGACTTTCAAGAGTAATGATGTAAAATAGTAATAGACCATACTATTGTAAAGAATAAATGGATAAAATATTCCAATTAAAACATCATCACATGGATAAAAAGATTTTTTAAAAGGCATGTTTGAAAACACTAGACAAAAGAAACCTGGTGCAATTTATTCCCTATTAGACAATGTTGATTTAAAGGCTTGATGCATAATGCCTGATACCTGCTAAAACAAAACTAAATTATTGCTTTTTGTAATATATAGTTGGTTTTTCTGTCATCAAATCAAATCAGTCAGAATTATATTACTAGCTAAGTTTTGACAGAACTTTTTCGGCTTCTGAGTCATGGTATAACAGAAGTCTAGAAAGTAGCACTTAAAGACTGATATACTTAAATTATTGAGAAATTTAGAATGATATCTTCATTTGTTTTCAGTTTATTGGATTTAGGGCATATCTCAGTGTAATGTAACTTTTCTAAATAATGTTATTGCACTAGTTGTTAATTCGGTACAGAAAGTAGCTAAGAACACAAGTTGTGAAACAAGAGCCATATTTAGAGTCCAGACCGCTATTTGTCCTTGCAACCTTGGCAAATTAGCTATCTACTGGAAGCTGTGGAGAATGTTAGCGTTCCAGGTAGTCTAGAAGAGGGTTCTGGCCACTAAGTGGGCATGTCCCATTAGCTTGCTAAACTTTTGTCCTGGTAGGGAGAGGTGATGCTTCAAGACATAATGGAGGGTTTCTCTAAAGCAGTTGATCAAGGCAAGTTGTTCCCTGGCCTAAGGTGGTGCTGTTTATTTAGAGCTTGTTAGGTTTTAATATTTCATGTTTATCATGTACCTTTTATTTTTGATAGCCCGGGGACAATTTCTGACCATTTAGAAATGATTACACTGGTGCTAACAAGAAGCAGATAAAGATATAGATGAATTTTTGAGATGTTACAAAAATGATTTTCATTTCTTTAGATGTGCTGCAAGCACTGCTATCATAGCATATCTCCAAACATTTGATGTGATTGTTTAATACTGTAGGGAAATAATATTTAAAGTATTGTAATAGCAAATATACCTGTATTACCACCATACTATTAACAGGAGCAGCACATGCCCCATAGTAGACATTTATGCTTACAGAGAGTTTTCCTGAATTAATCCAGAGTGATGACAAGTTTAAAATTCCAGGAGCTTTTTAGTTTAAAGAAATATGACATTAAAATGAGGCAGGAGAATCGCTTGAACCCAGGAGGCAAAGATTGCAGTGAGCCAAGTTTGCACCACTGCACTCCAGCCCGGGCAACAGTGCAAGACTCTGTCTCAAAAAAAAAAAAAAAAAAAAGACAACATATGAAGAAATATTTTATTCAAATGGAGATGGCAAGATTATTCTGTCAGTGGCTTTATTTTGCCAGCATTTAATGATACAATCAACACTCAATTTTCTGTAAGAACTTTTAATCATTTCAGTTAACCTGAGCTACATTTTGTATTTACTTTGTTTTTATCATTGTTATTGAATTTCATTGAAATTCCTTTTTGACTTTTATCCAACTTTGGCTCATGCTGGTTTTTAGCCCCGCACTAAGGCATGCCATTGCACACTTTAAAAACTCCCCAAATAGGGCCGGGCACGGTGGCTCACGCCTGTAATCCCAGCACTTTGGGAAGCCGGGGCGGGTGGATCACGAGGTCAGGAGATGGAGACCATCCTGGCTAACACGGTGAAACCCCGTCTCTACTAAAAATACAAAAAAATTAGCTAGGCGTGGTGGCAGGAGCCTGTAGTCCCAGCTACTCGGGAGGCTGAGGCAGGAGAATGGTGTGAACCCAGAAGGCGGAGCTTGCAGTGAGCCGAGACCGCGCCACTGCACTCCGGCCTGGGTGACAGAGCGAGACTCCGTCTCAGAAAAATAAATAAATAAATAAATAAATAAAATTCCCCAAATATAATTATCTTCCCTGTAACCTCCCTTCCTCTCACCTCACTAAGGATATATGTACAGGAGAAATGGAAATCACAGGGAAAAGCTACACTGAATCTTTCACTCCTTTTGGGAGGTGACAATAGAGAAAAAGAGAGTGGAACAAATACATATGTTTCATATAGTTCTTAATCTAGTATGAATAACAAAATGCGCTTATTTTTAAGTTACTATTGGCAATAAAGCATTGAAAAAATATAGTATAAGGATTTTGACTATCATTTTTTTCCCAAATTTCCAAAATTCTATGGTGTGACAATTTCCTTTTTATCATTTGAATGTTGATATTTATGGGAAAAATTAGTAGACCAACAAGGGATTACAAAAAGGAATTAGGTGCATATTGAGTTGCTCTGTAACTATTAAAAAGGAGGGGAAGATTTTAATCATGATAGAGAAATTTTTTACATATTATATAATTAAAGCAATTTTTTCAGGCTGCATTTAATTCCACAATACAATTCATACACATGTATATAATATCTATCTTTATCTATCTATTTGTATGTATCTATCTAGCTACGCATAGCTGTGCAACCAAAGTCACAATAGCTTCAGCTTTTGCTAGTTTTCTATGCTATTGCTTCAGCTCTTTCCATCAAATTTCAAAAAATTTGTTCCACTCTAGCAGCCTACACATTAAACTGGAGTGATGAGGTGTCAGTGAGATCTAGAAGACAAAAGGGTGTGTCTTATTGCAATGACAAGGTTGCCTTAGTAGTTTATGACTTGGTGAAATGTAAACCCTGTCTCAAGGATACCGATTATGTCTGTTCTATGCTACAGGCATTTAGCAATGAAGGAAAATATCCACTACAAATTTTTAATCTCATAAACATTATATAATAGTACAATATGAATTGATATTATCTATATATCTACACATACAAAAACAAACATATAGAAATGTTTGTACATATGCACCTGTGCATATGCATAGAGGTGTGTATATCAATGTATACATACATATCTATGTATGTATTACACATGTGTAATATATATGTTATATATATAAATATATGCACAGATATCAGAAGTAATAAGCACATTCAGAATGCAAAGGATGAGGCCAGTTGGAAGGACCATAGGTTATTTACATAAACTATTCTTATTTTCAACCCTAAGAAAAATGTTCAGATGATGAAGATTTATGATTAACAAAACTTGACAAAAAAGTGGGCTGCTTTGAGTAAATAAAGCCTACACAATTCTGACATATCAAAAATAATTTAATAAAAACAAGATTAAAATTCAGAAATCTCAAAAAGAATTTTAGAAAAACAAAATAAATTATGCAAATACTGTTCTCCTGTAGAATAGACAATGTACTCAACTGAATACACTTATGTTGCTATGTCTTAATATTTTAATTTTTAATTTTTTATTTTTTATTATACTTTAAGTTCTAGGGTGCATGTGCACAATGTGCAGAATTGTTACATATGTACACATGTGCCATGTTGTTGTGCTGCACCCATTAACTCGTCATGTACATTAGGTATATCAGGTAGCGTGATGCCTCCAGTTTTGTTCTTTTGGCTTAGGATTGATTTGGCAATGCGGGCTCTTTTTTGGTTCCATATGAACTTTAAAGTAGTTTTTTCCAATTCTATGAAGAAAGTCATTGGTAGCTTGATGGGGATGGCATTGAATCTATAAATTACCTTGGGCAGTATGGCCATTTTCACTATATTGATTCTTCCTAACCATGAGCATGGAATGTTCTTCCATTTGTTTGTATCCTCTTTTATTTCACTGAGCAGTGGTTTGTAGTTCTCCTTGAAAAAGTCCTTCACATCCCTTGTAAGTTGGATTCCTAGGTATTTTATTCTCTTTGAAGCAATTGTGAATGGGAGTTCACTCATGATTTGGCTCTGTTTGTCTGTTATTGGTTTATAGGAATGCTTGTGATTTTTGCACATCGATTTTGTATCCTGAGACTTTGCTGAAGTTGCTTATCAGCTTAAGGAGATTTTGGGCTGAGACGATGCGGTTTTCTAAATATACAATCATGTCGTCTGCAAACAGGGACAATTTGGCTTCCTCTTTTCCTAATTGAATACCCTTGATTTCTTTCTCCTGCCTGATTGCCCTGGCCAGGACTTCCAACACTATGTTGAATAGGAGTGGTGAGAGAGGGCATCCCTGTCTTGTGCCAGTTTCCAAAGGGAATGCTTCCAGTCTTTGCCCATTCAGTATGATATTGGCTGTGGGTGTGTCATAAATAGATCTTATTATTTTGAGATACGTCCCATCAATACCTAATTTACTGACAGTTTTTAGCATTAAGGGCTGTTGAATTTTGTCAAAGGCCTTTTCTGCATCTACTGAGATAATCATGTGGTTTTTGTCTTTGGTTCTGTTTATATGATGGATTACATTTATTAATTTGTGTATGTTGAACCAGCCTTGCATCCCAGGGATGAAGCCCACTTGATCATGGTGGATAAGCTTTTTTGATGTGCTGCTGGATTTGGTTTGCCAGTATTTTATTGAGGATTTTTGCATCGATGTTCATTCTTTAAAGAATGTTGAATATTGGCCCCCACTCTCTTCTGGCTTGTAGAGTTTCTGCCGAGAGATCCGCTGTTAGTCTGATGCGCTTCCCTTTGTGGGTAACCCCACCTTTCTCTCTGGCTGCCCTTAACATTTTTTCCTTCATTTCAACTTTGGTGAATCTGACAATTATGTGTCTTGGAGTTGCTCTTCTCGAGGAGTATCTTTGTGGTATTATCTGTATTTCCTGAATTTGAATGTTGGCCTGCCTTGCTAGGTTGGGGAAATTCTCCTGGATAATATCCTGCAGAGTGTTTTCCAACTTGGTTCCATTCTCCCTGTCACTTTCAGGTACACCAATCAGATGTAGATTTGCTCTTTTCACATAGTCCCATATTTCTTGGAGGCTTTCTTCATTTCTTTTTACTCTTTTTTCTCTAAACTTCTCTTCTCACTTCATTTCATTCATTTGATCTTCAATCACTGATACCCTTTCTTCCAGTTGATTGAATTGGCTACTGAAGCTTTGCATTCATCACATAGTTCTCCTGCCATGTTTCTCAGCTCCATCAGGTCATTTAAGGACTTCTCTCCACTGGTTATTCTAGTTAGTCATTCATCTAATCTTTTTTCAAGGTTTTTAGCTTCTTTGCGTTGGGTTCGAACTTCCTCCTTTAGCTCGGTGAAGTTTGATCATCTGAAGCCTTCTTCTCTCAACTTGTCAAAGTCATTCTCCATCCAGCTTTGTTCCATTGCTGGCGAGGAGCTGCATTCCTTTGGAGGAGTGCTCTGATTTTTAGAATTTTCATCTTTTCTGCTCTGTTTTTTCCCCATCTTTGTGGTTTTATCTACCTTTGGTCTTTGATGATGGTGACGTACAGATGGGGTTTTGGTGTGGATGTCCTTTCTCTTTGTTAGTTTTCCTTCTAACAGTCAGGACCCTCAGCTGCAGGTCTGTTGGAGTTTGCTGGAGGTCCACTCCAGACCCTGTTTGCCTGGGTATCAGCAGCAGAGGCTGCAGAACAGTGAATATTGCCGAACAGCAAATGTTGCTGCCTGATCATTCCTCTGGAAGCTTCGTCTCAGAGGGTACCTGGCCCTGTGAGGTGTCAGTTTGCCCCTACTGTGGGATGCCTCCCAATTAGGCTACTCAGGGGTCAGGGACCCACTTGAGGAGGCAGTCTGTCCATTCTCAGATCTCAAACTCCGTGTTGGGAGAACCATTACTCTCTTCAAAGCTGTCAGACAGGGACATTTAAGTCTGCAGAGGTTTCTGCTGCCTTTTGTTTGGCTGTGCCCTGCCCCCAGAGGTGGAGTCTACAGAGGCAGGCAGGCAGGCCTCCTTGAGCTGTGGTGGGTTCCACCCAGTTCGAGCTTCGGGGCCACTTTGTTTACCTACTCAAGCCTCAGCAATGGCGGGCGCCCCTCCCCAAGCCTCGCTGCTGCCTTGCAGTTTGATCTCACACTCCTGTGCTAGCAGTGAGCGAGACTCCGTGAGCGTGGGACCCTCTGAGCCAGGCACGGGATGTAATCTCCTTGCGTGCCTTTTGCTAAGACCATTGGAAAAGCGCAGTTATTAAGGTGGGAGTGACCCGATTTTTCAGGTGCCATCTGTCACCCCTTCCCTTGGCTAGGAATGGGAATTCCCCGACCCCTTGCACTTCCCAGGTGAGGCGATGCCTCGCCCTGCTTTGGCCCACACTTGGTGGGCTGCACCCACTGTCCTGCTCGCACTGTCCCACGAGCCCTAGTGAGATGAACCCGGTACCTCAGTTGGAAATGCAGAAATCACCTGTCTTCTGCATCGCTCACACTGGGAGCTGTAGACTGGAGCTGTTTCTATTCGGCCATCTTGGAACCAAGTCATATTTTAATTTTAAATAAGAAATACTAAACCTTTTTACATGAAAGTATTCTTTCCTTAATAACATCAAAATAGATTGAGTTAAAAAATGAGCTATCCCATAACTGATAAAACAAAGCAAAGATGCCTGACTTGCAATCAGATAATAAATAGGCAATGGGAAAAATATGTTCGTTCCAGTAAAATATTTAATTCACTTTTTTAGAATTTTAGAAGACGGCTTGTTCTTCATGTGCAAGCATGTTTGTGTGCATTATATTTAGGATTTGTGATTATACAAACAAAGTAAGTCGTAGACATCAATTGAAGCAAATAGAAATTATATTATTATTTTTGTTATTATAGCTGCAGGCTGATAAATTAACTTCATCTAGTCTGTAGGAAACCACTTAGCACCATGGAAGAGGTTGCTCATACATAAGACCTATTACTCATAAAGAGTTAATTTAGTCCCCATGGTGAAGCACTTTACTCTCACAAAGCTCTTTTTCTTCATTCATGTTCACCATAGGAATAGGCCAATTGATGATAATAATATACATCGCTGAAACTGCTGTGATGGATAAACATTTCTCCAAATTATCCAAATTAATTTCAGCAGGTTGCTAGATTTTCTACCTATGGATTTTTTTTTCTTTTTTTTTTTTTAGTTCATCTTTGTTCATATGAAAGATTTCCACAGAACAAAACAGTTCTCTCATACTTGCATGCCAGAACCTGGGCAAAAGTGAAAAGCTGAGGCATTTAAACATTGTAAAATGGGTCATTAAGCATGCACAAATATTTTGGCTATTAGCCTTCAGCTACAGTCTCTAGTTTTAAACATTGCTATTTCCGTCTTAACCCTCTATTCACAAAAAAAGTCATAATTAAATGTTACTGACTTGTTCTTCATATTGATCTTGAATATATGTAAACAGGCTCCTCGTAGGAAGGAGGTGTTTGTAATTCTAAGAGTATTTCTTATTACTCTTTTCATTTCTGATATTGCTAAACTTCCTTAAAATTAATTAATATGATTATATATCAAAGAAAACAGCACATCAGCCACCCTCGGTGTGAAGGTAGAAATGGAACTTTTCCTTTCACAGATGATGAGCCTGGTAGAAATTTTATACCAGGGATTTTCCACCCACATTTTCATCAACTGATTTAAAATATACAGTAATAATCAGAGTGGAGGTAGAAAAAAAAATACATCTTTTAACTCTGTGACTGTATTAGTACATTTTCACACTGCTATAAAGAAATAACTGAGACTGGGTAATTTATAAAGGAAAGAGGTTTAATTGACTCACAGTTCCACAGGGCTGGGGAGCCCTTAGGAAACTTACAATCATGGCAGAAGGGGAAGGAGAAGCAGGCACCTTTTTCACAAGGCTACAGGAGAGAGACAGAGAGAGATTGAGAGAGAGAACAGGGGAAACTGCCACTTTTAAGCCATCAGATCTCATGAAAACCCCCTATCATGAGAAGAGCATGGGGAAAACCACCCCCATGATCCAATCACCTCCCACCAGGTCCCTCCCTTCACATATGGGGATCACAATTGGAGATGAGATTTGGGTGGGGCACAGAGCCAAACCATACCACTGTTTTTTATAGTATAAATTGTCTTCTCAGTTTATTGTGAAGTTTTATACTTATAAATAAAGTACACTTCTATTCATAGTCTCAAAAGAAATGAGGTTGTGTCTAAGAACCTGAAGATATGAATAATAGAGAATGGTGTACCTACTCTCTTCTGTCTTTCAGGATTTGGGGTTTTCGTGAGATTCTGAATTCCAAAGAAACGCTGACATTTTTGTTCTTTTAATATATTGAATGGGAAAATGAAAATCCCAGTATATGTTGGAGATAAGCATTTTAAAGGAACTATGAAACAAATTTAATAATATCTTAAAACTCTTTGGAAGATTTCCTAATTGTGGTTTCTCTGCAAACAATCACATATTTTAGAGTAAAAAAGTTATCACATACTTTCAGGGTAAGATAACATTTGGTGGCCTTTTTTTCTCTAAATGCCACTTGATGCTAACAGCATCAATACCTGGGAACATATATGCAGCCATATTGTTCTTTGGTCCCATAGTATGTGTTTGACATTTGCAATACAGGCAAAACCAATTTTCTATGAGATAGTGATTCATTCACTTCTTAATTCTATAAATAAATGTTCATTAAATGCCTTCCAGATTTAGAGAATGTTCCATGTACTACATAAACAATAGTGAACAAGATAGGTGAGATTCTTGAAACTGGAGGTACATTCTATATCACTGGAGTAGCCAGAGGATTACCAAAGAAGATATCAGAAAAAAAAAAAATGCTACCACAGCATTAGAGTGCAAATAAAAATAAACATATTGCATGAGTCCCTCTATTCATAAGTTAACATATATTTATACTGGACTATGTACTAAGAGATATTGATAATTATGTCACTATAAAATAAAGGTGTATTAGAGTTGAAAGCAGCCTCAGGAGTTTTGCAATCGAATTCCATTGCATGAAGAACAGAGATTTCGAAATAACTGTTCCTAGAGATGTTCATGGCTGACTTGGCTAGTCTTGTCTGATAAAGGCAACAAGAAGTCAGGAAAAATATTAAACAAGGGTTCTTGTCATTTCAAATTACAGTGACTTAGTTCACTAAAAACCCAGGAATCTAATTATTTAGGTTGGCAACACTTCTTCCCAAAGGTTACAAAAAAATGACGAGATTGAGGCTGGAGACTGTTGCTGTGAGGATGGGAACAGAGTTCTAAAAATGAGAGCTAAACAGAGAATTTATTTCTCTACAACAATAAACTACAATAAGTTAAATTTACTTAGTTTATATTTCTTTTAGATTCCGAAATTATTTTAATAACTAAATTTTTACAACAGACAAAAATAAGGGAAACCACATAATTATAAAATAAAAATATATATTTGAAAACACTATGTAAAATAAAAAAAAATCTATGAGACTGGAAATAGTGAAACTAACAAATGAGAAATTTACAATAGCTTGAAAAATAATATCTTTTAGTAAATATTTCAAACTATGTACTATGAGTGCAAACTTTTGATATGTCCTATGGCTTATATAAAAAAAGATAAGAATGTTTTCTGTACTATGGGAGCGAAGTTCACCTGACTAAATAAATAAAATACATATAATGTTTTTCTTTAACACTGTGTAGTAACCATCCTTTGAAAACCCAAAAGTTTATAAAATAAATGAGATTTATATATATAGAATTGTTACTGCAATTCAGAGTTGAGATTATATCATAGAACAGGGTTACCAAAATAAGACTTCAAGAAGAGAAGGTGCATGAGGCCTATAATAAAATATAACTGAGGTCTAAATAAGCAGAAGGAAAGATGTACCAGTCACTCTTTTGGAATGGTTCATTTAGGAGTTCCAGTATCCCTTTATCAATCTTTTGAAAGGTAAAGTGGGAACTATCCACCACTACTTCAAAACTTGGTTTTGGTAAAGATCAAAACTAATTCTTCTCTAAGCTTCTTGTTATCACTAACATTTTTTTTTCTTCTTCTTCTTCTTTTTTTTTTTTTCTTGAGATGGAGTCTCACTCTGTCGCCAGGCTGGAGTGCAGTGGCACAATCTCGGCCCATTGCAACTTCCGCCTCCTGGGTTCAAGTGATTCTCCTGCCTCAGCCTCCCAAGTAGCTGGGACTACAGGCACCCGCCACCATGTCCAGCTAATTTTTTTGTATTTTTAGTAGAGATGGGGTTTCACCATGTTGGCCATGATGGTCTCGATCTCTTGACCTCATGATCCACCCGCCTCAGCCTCCCAAAGTGCTGGGATTACAGGCGTAAGCCATGACACCCAGCCTTTTTTCTTCTTAAATCTTCTCTTTCTTCACTCCATAGCCCAAACTCTCATCTTTAGTATTACCTGGAAACTCATTCAATCTGTGATGACTCTATCAAAATTCTTCATTCACGTTCCTTGGCATATTTTAAGTTTGCCTTTCTGACAGTATCTCTAACATACACTGTTTGAAAATATATTCCAGGAAATGAATCCAATAGTTATTAGCAACCCAAACTTCTTTAAAGTAGTCTGTGGTAGGGAGAATTTTACGATAGGCTCCACTATTCCTATCCCTGGGTATAAATGCTCTTCCTAGCTATTTAATCAGTCAGTAACCTAGGTACCTCTGTAGGAATTTTGAAAATGTAATTAAGTTCCTAAATCAGATGACCTTAAGATAAGGAGATTACTTTTTGTGTGGTAGAGGTACTCAGATGAGTTGTTAAAAGAGGCTGGGACCTTCCCTGGAGGATATTTGAAGCATGAGAAGGATTTGATGCAAGGGAACGTCTCCTTTGCTGATTTATAAGGATAAAGGGACCTGCCTAGCAATGTGGGCAAATTTTAGAGGCTGAGAGTTGCTCCTTGATCAGAGGCAACAAGGAAGTTAGAATTTCAGTACCCTGAATTGTACCCCCAACCTAAATGGTCTTGGATGCAGATTCTGCCCTAGACATTCCGAAAGGAATGCATCATGGACAAATTAATCTCAGACTTGTAGCACTCCAAGCAGGGAACCCACACACTCATTGCTTGTATTAATGATCTATAAAACCCTTAGAAAATAAATGGATGTTCTTTTAAACTGCAAAGTTTGTGATAACTTGTTATATAATAATAGAAAACGAATACACAATCCAAGTACTGTCTTAGTGAATATAATTAATTTTTCGGGTAATGTATCCTTCAGTTACGGGTCATGATGATGAATTAAGAAGTGCCTTAAGATAATAAATGAGTTACTTATAAAGTTATCAAGTGTGGCATTGTTTTGTAATATAAGAGACTGGAAATTGCGCAAAGTCCATCAGTAAGAAACTGATTGAATAAACCATATTATATTCACATATTGAAATACAATGCAGTTATAAATGGTATGGCATGATCTCTATATCACTCTCCAGGTGATCTATAATAACTCCAGGAGTCATTAAGTTTAAAATATAAAAAAGACATATATCCTTATATCTTGTATGCTATCTTTTGGGTAACAAAACAGAAAAAATACGTTTATATTACAAAAAGACACACTAAAGAGATAAAATTAAAACTAACAAAATTTTCTTCCCAAAGGGAGAAAGGAAAAAATTATTGAAAGTGTTCACATAGAAATAACACCTCTATGAATATACCACTTGCTGTGTACCTTCAACTATTCTACATATTATCCAAAGTAAAACTGGATAAAAAAATCAGCTGTAAGCATTAAAAACAAGCTTCAATAAATAATTCTCCACAGAGCTGTTAACATACCAATTACGTTAAGGTACTTTAAAACACAGCTTTTGAATTTATACTCATAGGAGAATAAATTCTAAGGACAAACAGCTAAAAATAATACTAAAGTTTGTTTAGATCTCTAATTGTTGGTGTCAATACACACACCCTCATACATCCATACGTAATATATACACACATATACATATACATGTATATGCACATATATTTATGACATATTTATGAATGTATGAATATCTATAAAGCAAAGAAGTAATTACTTCACTTTCAGTAGTTTTTAATCTAATTGAGAAGGTTTAGTTTCATATGAATTTTAAATCAGTTTTTTCTAATTCTGTGAAGAATGTTATTGATAGTTTCATAGGAATAACATTGAATCTATAAATAGCTTTGGGCATTATGGCCATTTTAATGATATTGATTCTTCCTATTCATGAGTATGGGATGTTTTTCCATTTGTTTGTGTCATCTCTGATTTTTCTGAGCAGTGTTTAGTAATTCTCATTGTAGAGATCTTTCACCTCAGTGATTAGCTGTTTCCCTAGGTATTTTATTATTTTTGTGGCTATTGTAAATGTGGTTGCATTCCTGATTTGGCCCTTGGCTTGGCTGCTGTTGATGTATAGGAATGCTAGTAATTTTTGTACATTAATTTTGTATCCTGAAACTGTGGTGAAGTTGTTTATTAGCTGAAGGAGGCAATAGTAAGCAAAGAGAACAAAGCTGAGGCATTGTGCTACCCAACTTCAAATTATACTACAGGGCTACAGTAAACAAAACAGCATGGTACTGGTACAAAAAGACACATAGACCAGTGGAACAGATAGAGAGCCCAGAAATAAGGCTGCTCACCTACAGCCATCTGATTTTCAACAAAGCTGACACAAAAAAGTAATGGGGAAAGGACTCCCCATTCAACAAATGGTGCTGGGATAATTGGCTAGCCATATACAGAAGATTCAAACTGGACCACTTCCCTATACCATACACAAAAATTAACTTAAAATGGATTAAAGGCTTAAATTTAAAGCCCAAAACTATAAAAATCCTGGAAGACAACCTAGGTAATACCATCCTGAACACAGGAACAGGCAAAAGTTTAATGACAAAGATGCCAAAAGCAATCACAACAAAAACAAAAATTTACACATGGGATGTAATTAAATTTAAGAGCTTCTGCACATCAAAAGAAAATATCACCAGAATAAACAGACAACTTATAGAATGGGAGAAAATATTTGCAAATATTTACAAACTATGCATCTAAAAAAGTTCTAATATCTAGGATCTGTGATAAACAAATTTAAAATTTAAACCCATTAAAAAGTAGGCAAGGGATATGAACAGACAATTTCAAAAGAAGACATACAGTCATGTGAAAAATGCTCAATATCACTGACCATTTGACAAATGCAAATCAAAACCAAAATGAGATACCTTCTTACACCAGTCAGAATGGTTATTATTAGAAAGTCAAAAAATAACAGATGCTGTTGAGGTTGTGGAGAAAAGGGAGCACTTATACATTGTTGGTGAGAGTGTAAATCAGTTCAACCATTATGGTAAGCCGTACGGTGGTTCCTCAACGAGCTAAGAACAGAACTACCATCTGACCCAGTAATCCCATTACGGGCTATATACCCAGAGGAATATAAATCATTCTACCATTAAGAAACATGCAAGCAAATGTTCATTGCAGCAGTATTCACAATAGCAGAAACATGGAATCAACCTAAATGTCCATCAATGACAAATTGAATAAAGAAAATGTGGTACATATATACCATGAAATACTACATAGCCATAAACAAGAATGAGATCATGGCTTTTGCAGGGACATAGAGGGAACTGGAGGCCATTATCCTTAACAAACTAACCCAGGAACAGAACACCAAATGCCTCATGTTCTCACTTATAAGTGGGAGCTAAATGATGAGAATTCATGCAGACAAAAAAGGGAATAATGGACACTAGGGCCTCCTTGACAATGGAGTGCAAGAGGAGGGAAAGGAGCAGAAAAAATAACTATTAAGTATGAGGCTCAGTACCTGGGTGACAAAATAATCTGTACAACAAATTCCTAAGACATGAGTTTACCCCCAAACCTAAAATACAAGCAAAAAAAATGTAAATTCAGAGGAAAATGTATAAGAATAAAGCCAAAGAAATTAAACACTAAAAAATATCAGTATAGAATATGCTTTAAAATACATGCCATCATTCTTTCCACTTAGAAGACCTAGAAACAATGACAATACAGTAGCAATAAGTTTGCCTCAGGTTGTTGTTTCTAATCAGTATATCTCACTATTAGGAGATACCAAGGCTCTTTGAATAAATAACAGTTTCTGGAACTGTGGAAGGAAATATGAGATGAACCCGGACAACATTTAGTTTCAAAAAGTAAGGAAGGTATCAAAAACAATGGGTCATACCAACAACACAAAGAAACCAATGTGAATGTATTAGGGTTCTCTTAGAGGAACAGATCTAATAGGAGATACACACACACACACACACACACACACATATATATACACATACAAGAGTATATTAAGTATTAACTTACATGACGGCAAGGTCCCACAATAGGCTGCCTACAAGCTGGGGAGCAAGGAGAGCCAGTCTGAATCCCAAAGCTGAGGAACTTGGAGTCCCATGTTCGAGAGCAGGAAGAATCCAGCACAGGAGAAAGATGTAGTCTGGGAGGCTAGGTCTATCTCTCCTTTACATGGTTTTCTGCCTGCTTTATATTAGCTGGAAGCTGATTAGATTGTGCCCACCAGATTAAGGGTGGATCTTCCTTACGGAGCCCACTGACTCAAATGTTAATCTCGTTTGTCAACACCCACACAGACACACCCAGGATTAATACTTTATATCCCTCAATCCAATCAAGTTGACACTCAGTATTAACCATCACAATAAAGGTGCTTCCATTTGGCAAATGACAGGGAAATTTGAAGATAAAAAAAAAGAAGAAATCCAATTAAGTAATTACATTGATTAGATAAAAATCTATGAGTTTATAATAATGCTCTACAAAAGGGAAAACAATCACTTCTCACTGGAGGTAACTAGAGTATCAGCTATTTATTCTAAAAATAAGCTATTGAAAAGTAAGCATATTTGATTTTTCTTCATCTACTATATTTCAGAATAAATTAACAGAACAAATTAACTGCTGTTGATAAGAGAAAGTCATTTTTCATAAAAATTCAATGAACAAATTTTTTTAATGACTTAATTTGGAAATCACTATAAATAATCACTGATAAATATTGATTAGTGCAGAGATTATTAATGTTTGAAATTAAGTGAAAGGTTAATAGAGAATTCTGTCCATAAAACAGAAAACATACTGGTTATATTAACAGAGATAACTTAATATAGGGAATTGGTTAAATATATATGTATTACAGGGCAAAAAGTGTTTCTGATATGGATGTGCATTTCCTTTCCTTGCCCACAGTGCTTCTGCCTGAACTAGTTATCAAAGACAATGTGCTCAGCTGCTATAGTCTTCATTTCTGTAACTGTTGATAATGCTGTCATTGATATTTGTATTTTCCTTCTTTCACTACCCATTCCATATTTTATTGCCTTAAGCTAGGACCTTAACTGATCAGGGTTATTAACTTTTAGGATAAACAAAATAATAATTCATGAAGTATCTTAATCATCAGTGGTCAGGAATATATGTATATCTATATCTACATAGTTATAGGAGTTTCTTAATTTTTTTCATTACTTCTTACCATCTAATTTCTACTCTTAGATATTAAAATACTAAATTTATCTCAAAATATTCCCTGGGTTCCAAACATAGATCAGGGAGTCAATATGAGCATCCCTCCAGTTGCTGAGTATGTCTATTACAAATATATTTATTAATTTATAAATATATAATTACTATGGAAGACAATCAAGTACTATGTCCATAGTTTTACTGAGCCTATAATATGTTGAAGTTGCTCCTAAATTCTACTTTCTTTTTTTTTTCTCTATTTCTTATTTTTTTATTTTATTATTATTATACTTTAAGTTTTAGGGTTCATGTGCACAATGTGCAGGTTTGTTACATATGTATACATGTGCCATGTTGGTGTGCTACACCCATTAACTCGTCATTTATCATTAGGTATATCTCCTAATGCTATCCCTCCCCGCTCCCCTAACTGACCACCTTAAACTCTCATTTTAATTAACAAAACATAATTATTCTAAAATCAATTCAAAGCAAACATCTGAGTATTTATTTTTTGTACCCAATATGGCAAGTCTCTCTTGTAGTTGTGTTGTCACTTACCCTCTGTTTCTTTGCAATTCCACCATCATAATAGAATCAGGTGGCATTTTCCACTGCCATCCCCAATCTAAAAAAAAAAAAAAAAAACAAAAAGTAAAACCAAAAGACTTTCAAGAATACTGGTGATCCCCTCATTAATGTATCCCTCAAAAGCCTTAGTAAAGGGAGTGTCTTCTTGAGATATGATAGGTAATCTGTAAAAACGTGATGTTCATATACTATAAATACATACCCATATCAATATCTCTCGAAGCCTCTAAAATTCTCTCGCTGCATTATTTCAGGGTAGTTCTGACATTTAACTTCACTAAATGTAGGCCACTTTTGTGTTCAAGTTTCAGTCAATCAAACAAAGCATTATAGCTACTTCCAGTTGTACAAACTAATGCACAAATGCATACCCCTAGTGGATAACCTAATATTTATGATTTTGTTCCATTGTATTTTTCTTCTTACTCTAGAAGTCATAGATTTTACTCATACATTTATCAAATGGGCTTCTGCTGATAATCATTTGGCAAGACAACACAATTCTGTTGGTGGCCATTTCTTCCTGAAGCTACTTCTCCTTCACCAAATTTGGTATTGTCTCCCTGAAATATACTGATGGGTGACTACAGTTATAGATCTAGAAGCCAGGAGAGGTGTTTGAGGTGGCTACAAGTACACATGCTCTTGCAAGACCATTGACCCAGGTGTGTTTATTAAAAGATTTTCAGGCAAAAAATGAATGTTCTCTGCACACACAGAATGTTGTACTCATTCCACTAGCAAGGGATGTTCAGAATGGCTCAAGGGGTTAAGGCTCCAGCCTCATCTGAATTTATTCAGATAACCCAATTCAGGCTCTCAGGTTACAGCTCCTTGTCTATCAATGCGCCAATTCTCACTTCAGAGACTTAGGAAGGCCATGATTTCAATTTATAGTTATGAAAGTATACAACTAAATTTTATAGCCCCGTGGCTATAAGAATTAGTAAATTCTCTTAGAGACACAGAAGGAACTCTGTAGTTGTCTTTTTTAAAGGTATTTTAAAATTCATTATTTTATTTCATTTCATTTTTAAGACAAGTTCTTGTTCTGCTGCCCAGGCTGGAGTGCAGTGGTGTGATCATAGTTCACTGCAGCCTTGAAGTCCCGGACTTAAGAGATCCTCCTGTCTCAGCCTCCCAAGTTGCTGGGACTCTAAGTGCATGCCACCATGCCTGGATAACTCTGTAGTTTTCTGACCATGACTGTTCTAAAGACAAGCTCACGCTTGTTCTTTCATTTCTGTCAGCTCTCTAATACGGGTAGAAGCAGCTGCCACATTAACAGTCCTGGTAGTTATAATTACTGCTTTAAAGACTACTTGTTCCTGCAAGGGACTCCTTCATTAAGCACTTCACCACAATCGACCAAACCTTATAAGTTGGTTACTCACAAGGCCATCAATTAATATTATGATTCTTCTCATTGGCAAGGAGCTTAGTACCAGATTCAAAGCTAGGGACATGAAAACGACAAAAGCAAATCAGTCTTCTGTCGTTGAGGATGTTTTCTAGGACTATTTATTTTATCAAGTAACTGTATTAGGCAGATTCTAGTTAGTAAACAGAAAGTTTCTAGTAAGTGAATCCAATAAAACAGTAAGATAAATTGGTTAAAAAGGTATGGGAGGAAGGAGATGAAGAAGAGGCATTGAAGTAGCACAGAGACAGTAACTGCAAGTGTCAGATAGAAGGGCAATGAAAAAGAGGGTTAGGGGTTTTAGAATCAGGGAGCTTGGAAGTGGTACCCAGACTCTATGGAGGAGGCACTGCCAAATGGTTACTAATACCTCAGAAGTTTGGAGAAGGGCTCTTAGGAAATTAAAACTAAAATTTCTGGAGAGAGGACGCAGCCCATCTGGTACTGCTGTCATAGAGCAGACACAACAAAGTTGGACCTGAGAGTCTCAAAAATAAAAGATAAAGAAAAATAAAGCTGGTTAGAGAGGCTAGTTGCTTCTGGAATCAACTTCTGTTTCATTGGCAAGGGACCATTTCTGGGAAGACACTAAAAGAAACAGCAAGCAAACAAGAAATAGTCAAGGCATTTTCCCTTTTCTCTCTTGCTCTAGACCCCCTTATTAACAGAACCCGATAAAAAGCTAAATGACAAAAGTCAAGTGTGATTTTCAAAATTTCTGCCCCAGCATCACAAAACTCAGTAGAGAGAAGTGGGTTTGAAGCCGAGAAACAATAGGTTAATGATGGGAAAAATAGTAAGTTTTTAATGGAGGCATCAGGTTGTTACTACATTCACCAACTGATTGGTCTTAGCATCACTCAGACAGAAACACCAGATACTATGTGTCTCCCGAGGGACATAAGTGCAAAATATATAGTACCACATACAAAGCATTTTTGGCTCCAGCCAAATAGTAATAATGATAATGATAATAATAAGTAAACCTGAACCTAGTCAAGACTTGTGAGTTAACTTTGTAAGAAATACAAGTGGTAGGGAAAGTAGCTAAATGACACCATGATGAAACCAACAGTTAAAACATAATGTGGATGGTTTTTTCAAGGTATGGAACACAGTTATTGCAACAAATTAATCAAAAAAGAATTGTATAGAGAAAACATTTGGGGAACAGAACCTGTTTTACTTTAAGAAAATCATAACTTCAATGTTATGGATGAACTTTGTTTGAACCATGATTTGATTTGTATAAAACATTTTAAAATTTTAATTATTTTTAAAAATTGGTGTGGTTACATGATTTGAACTAATCAACTATAAATATAGATATCACAAATATTAATATGGGCTGGATATTAGTTTATAATAATTATTTATTTTGAATTATGCTAAGTGGAAATTGCAGCATTGGTATGATATAAGAAATATTTTCATTGTATTTTTAAAGGTATATACTAAGTCTGTAAAAGTAAAATAACATGAAATCTAGAATTTGTTTAAAATAGCTCAGAAAAAAAAGAGAAAGAGAATAGATGAAGCAAGAGTCGCAAATCTTAATAATACTAGAATCTGGTTAATAGTGTAGGATTTATTAAATTATCCTATTTTTGTTTGAAATTTTTAATAATAATGTTTACAATGTTTTTAGGTAACTTCCAAGTTCATGCTGAATTTAGTACACAATTTCATATAACTGCTATCCCAATTTCTTATTAAAAATCTTAAAAATATATTAAGAAAAGTAAAAAACCATCAATGAGACTACACATTGGAGATATAGCAAATGGGGAGATAACTTCCTCTAAGGTCCATACATACCATGGAATACCATGCAGTCATAAAAAATGTCCTTTGGAGGGACATGTATGAAGCTGGAAACCATCATCCTCAGCAAACTAACACAGGAACAGAAAACCAAACACCGCATGTCCTCACTCATAAGTGGGAGTTGAACAATGAGAACATATGGACACAGGGAGGGGAACATCACACACCAGGGCCTGCCAGGGGGTGGGGGGCTAGGGAAGGGATACCATTAGGAGAAATATCTAATGTAGATGACGGGTTGATGGGTGTAGCCAACCATCATGGCACCTGTATACCTATGTAACAAACCTGCACGTTCTACACATATATCCCAGAACTTAAAGTTTAATTTAAAAAAATTAGTACAGCTGTTTGAAAAAACACAACCAAATGTACCTGAAAGATTCAAGGGCGACAGTTAATATATACGGTCATTTTAGATTGCTTCCACTAATATTGGTTTATCCATATTATAAAATATTTTAGTGAGTATAAAATTGTCTGCATTCATAAAGATGCATAAAATTAACTACAGAACCAGCTTGAGTAATGCTTTTCTCTTCTTTTCTTCTTGTCAATCAGATATTATCTTTATACATTGTTTTAGAGTATACATCTATCAAAATGCAACATTGTTGAAGGATATGTAATTTATACAGCAAACGTGTAATGGATAAAAATGTGCAAAAACAATCCTTAAAGTATTGTATTTGAACAAAAACAATCTTAAACCACATAATCTGAAAAAAAGGGGTACATATTTTACCAAATATACTAATCCATACAAGACTGCTTGAGAAAAAGAATATGCCACCTCAGAGGAGAAAATGTTGTAGGTAATACTGGCTAAGGACGATGCATATTTACCTGTCTATACAGTGTCATTTTGAGAAAAAACCTGCCAA
Organism: Homo sapiens; assembly: GCF_000001405.40. Taxonomy (NCBI): domain Eukaryota; kingdom Metazoa; phylum Chordata; class Mammalia; order Primates; family Hominidae; genus Homo; species Homo sapiens. The sequence continues at coordinate 77,894,394 of NC_000008.11, forward strand.
TAGCTAAAGGGTTACTAGGAGCAATGTAGGGCGTTTACAACAATTCTGAGTAACCCCCTTCTTTATGCATGAATATACAGGAGAAAAAGGACATATCTGGGCAAAAATTCTGCAGCATAAACCAAATACATCCTTTTCATGAGACTCTGAGGAAATGCATTTCTCTGAATTTTCATTACTATGGATAGCAGAAAGAAAGTTTAGACAGTTTCTATTTGGTATCAGGAAGACACAGATTTTAAAAAAAAAATCTAATAGATATGGAGAGAACAGAGACTCAACTACAAATACTAAGCAATACATAAAAATAAATTAGAATAAAAGTGTGAGAAACAATAACCAAACATGCAATGAATGCTTTAGTAGGAGAAAGAAAAGGTTCGTTTTCAATATGAAGTAACTCACCCTGTTCTATTCACATGGTGCCCTGGGACAACTGTACTGAGAGCATAGAGTCACCGTAGATGACATCTTTCAAAAAGCGCTTACTTCATTGCAGACACACATTAGCTACCTCAAGACAAGCAGCAACAGCACTGGTCTTGATTGTAGAGACCATTACAATTATTATGGAGAACCATCTTAATGCTCATCAGCAACACTTCACGACAGAAAGGAGCAGTAAAAGAATGGCAGCTGCAGAATGATATAAACCAGAGCCGATTTTTCCAGCCACAGACAGTACTTCTGGCTGAAATTTGTGCCTCTGGTTGTTTGGACAAAATAAGACAGAACAACGTGCAGGAAAGAGAGTCAAACTGCCCATATGGCAAGTGGACATTTAAACAGATATAAGTTTAATGTGGAGAGTCCAAAGAGCTGCAATCTTTCTCAAAATATGATTATAGAACAGTCCATAAAAGTTCATAATATTACACATTGGGATGGAACCAGGCCATTTACTTTTGCTTTGTTTTGTTATTAATTTTTAGATATTTTGGAATCTTAGTATGTTTTTGAGTATATTTAAAAGTAATTGCAGGTTGGTAAAGCTACTAATTAGATCTTTACATTCTAATGCAGTACAGAAGGCAAACATTAAACAAATAAAATCCAGAAAACAAAGGAAACATCAAGGAAGCACTTAAAATGGAAATAGAACCAAAGCATAGAACGTGACAGAAATGCAGGTAATTGCATAATTTATAACAATGATAGTCAGTCAAACTATAAACATATACTGCTTTAAATAGCACCTAAAATAAAACGACTTACAAGGTCTGAAAACTGCAGTGGGAAGTGATAACAAAACAAATGCAAACAGAAAGAAAATGAGGTTAAAATAAAAATAGGATAATAAAATGTCAAGTCAAAAGGATTAGTGAAGCAAAGAAAGTTATTTTTTAGCAGTGAACACTGAACATTTATATATGAAATAAATAAATATAATTTATTTAGAATATGATATTATTGAACTTATATGTGCTATACATGCCACTGCATCACCATTATAAAATAGAGAAATAGCAAGAGAAATTAGTGTAAGTTCAAATTTTCTGGGGAAATATTAACATCATACACTTACATTACTATAGACCTCCTGGAAAAAATCTAATTCAAGAAAAAGATATGAATCATGTAATTTTTAAGGTGTAACACATATACATCAAACTTTATAACTAATAAGCCATGCTTCTAAGTGTTTAGAAACAGTTACAAATCTATTACACACTAGATAATAGACAACATTTTAATTAATTTGAACAGTTATAAATTGTAGGGGTCATCTTTTCTGAAAACAAAAATACAATAAGACTTACTAACTCTGCAAGAGTTTTTAGAAAGGGTATGCCATTAGTAAATGTTAACACATGCAACTTATTTAGGAGACTAGCTCAAAAGGTTTTAAATTTTAAAAATTCATTGCTTATATCAATTTACTAAATGCCTCAAAGTCAAATCTTCATGGTAAATTCTACACTTTGGTTTTTATGTGTCTGCCCTTATCAAATAGAGTTATTAGTGCCTATTCTAATTTGTTTTCAATGCTTGTTTTCTAACATATTTGTTATCTTTCATCCCAAATAAGTAAACTTATAATCATATCGTCAGGACTATTTTATATCTGTTATCCACATGTTCCTGTCTGCATTTATAGATTTATTCATCGAACATGTAGCAAGTGCACATTCTTATCAGGTACTGTGCTAAATGTTTCATTAAAGAAACGAGTAGAACAAAGGCTGATGCAAGAGATGCAGAATGGAATCCACAATTGCAATATCACCCTAAAAATATGATGACAGAAGTGTATACACCGAGTCTTGTGGGATTTAAGATATTATCTAACAGAATTGTGAACCAGCTCTCATGGGCTTAGGGGGGTGAGAAAAATGACAATGAAGAAACAATGCATAAATTGAGTGTTAAAAAGCAAGAAGGAGTCACTCAGCTTTGGAAAAGGAATTAGACATAGAAAGAAATGTATGTTCAAAAGCAGGGATGTTAGTTAACAAGACACGATTACCACACTCAAGCATGGGGTGCCTATGGGAGAGCATCAATTAATAAAACTTGATGAAAACTTTTGGGGAACACTCTTGTTTATACCCAACCTTATATACTTTGGGGTATAAAGTAGACACTTAACAATTCTTTCAGTGAAACTATTTATATGATCAGATTATAAGATTTTTGTTTCAAATAATAATACAGGCATACTTCAAAGATATTGCAGGCTCAGTTCCAGATCACCTCAATAAAGTGAATGTCAGAATAAAGCAAGTCACACAAATTTGTTGCTGTCTCAGTGCATATAAAAGTTATATTTATACTGTAGTCTATTAAGTGTTAAATAGAATTATGTTTAAAAACAGACACACCTAAGTTTAAAAATCCTTTATAGGTAAAGAATGTTAACGATCATCAGAGCTTACAGTGAGTCATAAGTTTTTTAGTGGTGGAGGGTCTTGCCTTGATATTAATGCCTGATGACTGATCATGGTGGTGGTTGCTGAAACTGTGGAAGTTCCTTAAGGTAAGACAACAATGAAGTTTGCCAAATTAATTGATCCTTTCTTTCATGAAAGATTATTCCATACCATGGGATGCTGTTTTGATAGCATATTGCTGAGAGCAGAACTTCTTTCAGAGTTGAAGTTAAGCCTCACTCTACCACTGCTTTATCAACTAAGTTTATGGAATATTCTAAATCCTTTGTGGTCATTTCAACAAAATTTGCAGCATTTTCACCAGGAAGATATTCTATCTCAAGAAATTACTATATTGCTCATCTACAAGAAGCAACTCCTCTTCTATTAAAGTTTTATCATGAGATTTTAGCCATGCAGTCTAATCTCCAGGCACAACTTCTAATTCTAGATCTCTTTCTATCACATGCGCAGTTACTTCCTCCACTGGAGTCTTGAACCCTTCAAAGTCATCCATAAGGTAGAAATCAACTTCTTCCAAGCTCCTGTTAATGTTATTTTGACTTCCTCTCATGAATCAAAAATGTTATTACTGGCATGTAGAAAGGTGAATGCTTTACAGAAGGTTTTTGTTTGACTTCCCCAGATCCATCAGAGGAATCACTATCTATGGCAACTGTAGACTTACAAAACATATTTCTTAAATAATAAGACTAGAAATTCAAAATTACTCCTTGGGCTTTAGAATGGAAGTTGTGTTAGCGGGCCTGATAACAGCATTTATCTCTTTGTACATCTCCATCAGAGTTATTGGGTGACCAGGTGCGTTGTTAATGACCAGTGATGTTTTAAAAGGAATCATTTTTCCTGAGAAGTAATTCTCAACAATAGGTTTGAACCAGTCTGTAAGAGATGTTGTGTCATCCAGGCTTTGTTGTTCCATGTGTGCAGCATAGACTGAACAAAATTCCTATTTATTTTTTTTTATAGAGGTACTCACTATGTTACCCAGGCTGTTCTTAAACTCCTGAGCTCAGTCTATCCTCCTGCTTCAGCCTTGTGAGTAGCTGGGATTATAGGCACGCACCACCATTCCCAACTTTTAGATTGAGCATAATTCTTAATTGACCTAGGATTTTGGGAATAGTAAATAAGCACTGGTTTCAACTTAAAGTGACTGGCTGCATTCATTGCTAACAAGAGAGTCAGCTTTTATTTTGTACCCTTGAAGCCAGGCCTTGACTTTTCTTCTCTAGCTAGGAAAGTCCTGAATGACATCTTCTTCCAATATAAGACTGTTTCATCTACACTAAAAATCTATTGTTTAGTGTGGCCACCACCTTCACCAGTGATCTTAGCTAGATCTTCTGGATACTTGCTGCAGCATCTACATCAGCACTTGCTGTTTCACCTTGCACTTTTAGGTTATATAAACAGCTTATTTCCTTAAACCTCATGAACAAACCTCTGCCAGCTTCAAACTTTTCTTCTACAGCTTCCTCACCTTTCTCAGACTTCATAGCATTGAAGAGAGTTACAGCCTTTCTCTGGATTAGGCCTCAATGTAAGAGAATGTCATGGCTGGTTTGATCTCCTATCCAGACCACTATAGTTTTCTACATATTAGCAATAGGGCTGTTTCACTTTCTTATCTTTTTTGCGGTCTATCATTTTGTGAAATTGGCACTTTTAATTTCTTTCAAGAACCTTTTCTTTGCATTCACAATTTGGTTAACTGGTTCAAGAAGCCTAGATTTCAACCTATGTCAATCTTCAACATGCCTTCCACATTAAGTTTAATAATTTTTAGATTTCGATTTAAAATGAAAGACATGCAACCCTTCATTTCACTGAAACACTTACAGGTATTAGTAGGGGTATTCATTGGTCTGCTTTCAATATTATTGTGTCCCAGGGAATAGAGAGGCCCAAAGAGAGGAAGAAAGATGGTAGGAATGGTGGTCACTAGGGCAGCCAGACATACTACATTTATCAATTACATTTGCTGTCTTGTATGAGTCAGATTCATGGCATCCCCCAAAAATTACAATGGTGATGAAATGGGAAAGGTTCCCTTGCCCCACTCACAGGGTGTGCAATGGGGGTATGGCTCACTTCTCCAGTGCCCTACTGCTCCAACCTCTAGGGAAGCATACAGGTGGGCAGGCTGTGGGGTTCTGACCCCACGACAGTGTCTAGGGGTGAATGTTTACAGCTGAAGCCCCACGGGGTGTGTGTTACAGGGTGCTCTTTTAGTTTGCTGTCTATAGATGTCTTGTGTTAACCAGCTCAATTAGACCCCCTTTCTTATCACAAGGACAGAGGGATTTCTGTATCCCAGGGTTTCTTGCTTTGGTGTACTGGAAGAATTGGATCACACATGGGCTTGGAGAATGAGTGAAAGGTTTTATTGAGTGCAAGTAGCTCTCAGCCGATGGGGGAGCCAGAAGGGAGATGGTCTTCCCTTGGAGTTGGGCCATTCACTGGCCAAGTCTCTCCTCCGACTGCCCTGGCCAAACTCCGCCTTGTTCTACTGGTTGATGGCCTGCCAGCATGCTGGTGCCTGGCAGTGTGCTCTTCTGCTGGTGTGCTCCTCTCCAGGTCCTCTCAACAACCATTTGAGTCTTCTTCTGCCGATGTGATCCTCTCAACATCTGACCGCCTGTGGCTGCCTGCTAGGGTCTCCAGGGTTTTTATAGGCACAGCTTAGGGGTGCAGCAGGCCAGGGTGGTCTTAGAAAATGCAACATTTGGGCAGAAAATGCCTGTCCTCACCCAGGTCCATGGGGATGGAGCCCTAGCCAAGGACCACCACGCCCTCTTCTACCCAGCACTTCCCTTCCTCCCTTCCCCCTTTTCGTATCATTTAAAGAGACCACACTCTTCCCTTCCCAGCACTTCCCTTCCGTATTAGTGACACTAAATCACTGATCACAAATCACCATAACAGATTTAATAATAATAAAAAAGTGTGAAGTACTGCAATAATTACCACAATGTGACACAGAAACACAAACTGAGCACATAGAAAAATAGTGCCAATAGACTTGCTTGATGCAGGATTGCCACAAACCTTCAATTTGTAAAAAAACTCAGTATCTGTAAAGCACAATAAAGCAAAGCCCAATAAAATGAAGTATGCCTGTAATAATTTTTAATATCATTCAACATTTATTATGAGTTCATGTCACATTTTTACTTTTGATTTTTCCAATTTCTTGTTCACCTATGTATTCAGTTACTTATTCAATCATTCATTTATTAAGCAATTTATGAAGTGCTGTCTATAAAACAAGAATTGAGCTAAGCTTTAATTATTCAACTGTGAACATGAACATTTTTCCAGTATTCTCTGTAAGTCTTAGTCTAGTCATTCATTGTCTGCATGTTTCCAAAATAATTGTAAACACAACATAGTTCATAGCAGTACAACTCGTGAGGTAAACAGTATAGTCAGTGAAGAAAATAAATGTTAAATAAACATTATTAGAACATGTGAGAAAAACATCTCTCTGAATTTTCATATTTCTTTCTAGTTATGTATCAGTTGACTATGTCTAAATTACCATGTTAATAAAATACCTTTCTTCTCTTTATATTAATTATGAAATATCAATATTTTCTCATGACTCTATGTACTCACATTATTTAACCAACAGAACATATTTTGGTTAAGTAAGATTTTTTGGTGTTGTTTCTGAGGCAAAACATTCAACCATGTACCATTTCCCACCCCACTCAGTGCATTCATTTCTTATTAGATAGAAGATGGTGTCTAAGCAAAGCCTCTTTACATCTGGAGAGGCACAGAAGCAGAATTGTAACAGTAACAAATTCTATAGAAGACAGACTTCAATATATCCAGAAGACAAAGGACCACAGCTCAGGAAAAGCTTTAATTTCCCTACCTCAATAGTACATATAATGAAATTGATAAAAATATCATCACCATAAACAAAAAAAGTACATATTAAAAATTCGATCTCACAGTGCTCATAAGCAACTCCTTGCTTTCCCAAACTACCAAGTTATTAAAACGTAAATTACCCTGATTTTTTTTTGTAATCAATATTTTTGGATATATATTTAGCTTTCACTTGTAAAATGATGAATAATAGTTATATATGTATTTATGGGGTATAATGTGAGGCATATATGTTACACACACACACACACATTGTAAAAAAGGCAGTCAGAATAATCTTTCATCTCCAAGTATTCTGTGCCTTTTAATGTGATAGAAAGAAATAAAGAAAGAGCAACCACTTTCTGTTACTCAGAGAAGCTTTACCCTGAGATTAATAGTAGGTGTAGTATACTAAAATTGCTTTGCCAGATGACTAACCACCTCCTGCTTTCCATTTGGAAGGTATACATGCCAGATGTGGTGAAACTTTGTCCACGGCACATGGCATTGAAAATTGTAAGCAAACCCAAAAGAAAATATTAAGATCCAATTCATAACTAAGCCCTAAAGAATACTGTTGTTTATTCCTTCTCCCTTTCCTCAGTATTTTCCATAAATAATTTAAAGATCAAGGTTTTCAGTAATTTCCCAAAGATGTTAGGATTATTTGAGTCTCTCAAATAAGAGGTGTCCACAAAAGATATATTTTTAATTGTGAAAGTGTATCAAAAGGGGTCAAAATTTGCTCTCTCTATCCTGGGAAATGAGACTTTTCTCTAATATTTAGCCAATGTGCTGAATATCACCAATAATGCAGCCAAAAAATGTCACTGTCAAGGAAGGGACTGGGGAGAAAAGAGGAGAGAGAGAGAGACAAAGATAGACTAAGTTGCATATCACCAATCAAACATTGTTCAATTTTTCTACCTTGGAATTGTCAAAACTATGGTACAATGACTGCTTAGGTATAAAAATAATTTCTTTTGCTATGCTTCGTTTATTAGTGTTTTATCGTTTCTAGGTCGTAATTTTTTGTTATTGTTTTTATAACTGTTAAATGTCCACTCAATATTAAGATGGCATTAGTGATATATTCAGTGGTTACAGGTAATCAAGTAAAATGTAAATTAAAATAGAAAGTAGAAAATATTCAAAACAAATTTTAGCCTATGTATCGTGGAAATGGCATTATCTTAGAATCTCTGTGGCCAATGTCCACTGACCTGTAATGTTAGTGTGCAACTCTGTGTAACATTTCCTAAAAAACTTAACCCCATCAGAAATCTTGGGGTAGTGGGAGCTTAATTGTCTACTGGACATCTGATATCTTTCACCTGCTCATAATGCTGTCATGATGCTTTTCTTTTAAAACAGCAAGAAGGAGAGAAAAAGAAAATCAGCCTGAAGTATATGTCGGCAAGAATCCTTAATGTCCGTTTCAAAAGTCACAGATTACAGTTTAAAATGGAAATCCCTTTTGAACAAAGAAGGAAAGGTTATGAGAAAATACAGTTTGACTTTATTGATGAACAAGCCAGCTCTGATTGCATCAGTCCTGTAGCTCCCCCACATGCACCACTTGGATATTGCCTAAACCTCTGGAAATGCAAGAGAGGAGCTTCAGCCATAGCTCTTCCTGCTGCTGCTGCTAAGAGAACCCATCTTGACAAGCATCACACCCAACCTCTGTTTTTCTCATTTAACATACTTTATAGACTGCTCGTCAGGTGGCCTCTCTGTGGTTTGCTCAGCTAATCCTAGAAACATGTAAGAGTCATACAGATTATAATTTAAGAAAAGTAAATAAAGTCAATTGACCACTGATTGTTCTTTCTTCTTATCCCAGTATCTAGTAAGAGCATCCAAGTATAATGATTGTGAACTCAAATAATTTGTTTCACTGCAATTTATCTTTGCTAGTAATAAAGTTAGTGGTTTCAGCTTTAGTCTATCTCTCTCTCTCTCTCTCTCTCTCTCTTTCTCTCTTTCTCCTTCGCCCCAACTCCATGCCTATCCCTCTAGCACAGGGCACTTCCATCAAAGACACATAGTAATTATGAGGTTTTAGTGCTATGGTTGATTTTCTTTCATTCCTTATCCTTTGGTAAATGAGGGAAGGGAGGAAAGGAATGAGAGGAACAGAAGCAGACTTCTTATAGAGCAAAATCTACAGTTTTGTTCTAAAAAGTGCCAATGTAAAGATCACAGCACTGATTTTCATAAGCAGAATCATTTCCCTAATAGCTATTACTCATAGCAGGGTTTGTATTTTATATTCTAGTTTTTCCCAAGTGGCAGTCTAACTCCTGCCAACACCCATACCCTTCTGCTTGGGTAACAAATAATATTAACTTGTTTAAAATGTTTTTGCTGTTAGATTGTTAAGAGGCATGCAATCATCCACCAGCATCCTCTTCTGGATGCTGGCAATAGTGGTTTGAAAACCTTTGCATTTACACTGATTTCTCCATCCCCTTTTTTCCTCTATGTCACTATTCATTCCTAAGCATATTTATCTACATTTTGTTAATTGCAATTTAAAATTCCATCTGAAAAGATGTACATTTATACTGTAGCAATTTTGAAGGCGAGCAGTTATTTCATTGGGTTGTCATTCTTTCCAGAAATCAAACCCTCCCTGTCCCATATAAATAGATTGCTTGATATACATGCAATATCCTGTCGGTGTCATGCACCCTTTTCTTTAATCTGACTGACATGTCACATAATAAAATGCTCACTTCAATGTATGTCTGTTGCATTTTGCTTAATTCTGGGCTTAGTTTAATATTAGTCATGAATATTTCTTCCAACTAGGCATGAATTTGAATATATATAAGACACAGTTTACGTTCATACTAAAGCACAAGCTTCAACCTTATTTTTTATTGCTTACCCTTGTTTGTGATGAATTAAGTCATCTCAAGGAAAGAACTGAAAGCAACAGGGACCACAACTGTTATCTTTATCCACAAGTCAGGTAGAGTGTGAGTGGGTGAAATTCAACTGCTGTGCTTTACTTTCCCTGAGCATCAGAGCTGAGAGTTGGAGAGGTCTGCTCAGTGGGAGAAAAATAACAACAGATGAAACCTTATTACATCTCTGGATTTCTTTGAGGCTAAAAAGCCACAGTACTTTCTAGTGCCCCCAGTGCCATTATATTTATTTTATGCTCCTTTTATTCACAGCTAGAAATGACATTGTTGTCATTTCTTATTATTTTTATGTTAAATATCTTCGAATAAATAAGAAAAGGAAAAACTCCTTAAAGTGATTTGTATGTGAATGTACATATCAGTGTACATATATACACACCCATAACAAACACATATACATGTTTGTGTATATATATGTGCATGGGTGGATTATAGTATTATAGATGCAAGTCCTTCTAATTTGAGTACACTTTCTTCCAAGTTTAAAATAATTGTAAAACCTTTTGAGAATTTACTTGATGTATTCAAATATAAAAAAATAATAGCAAACTATACACATTGTCTTTGGAAGTTTTTATTATGGTTTTTATATGTGGCACATTTTAACAACTAAGATATTGGATTGACACTTTTTATATTTAGATATCCTGTAATGTCTTCTATAATATTTCATGACTGCAATGCCCTAATCCCATTTTTTGAGTTAAGTATCCACAGTTGATTGGCTGGCATACATTGCTGTAAGAGCTCTACCTAGGAATCTAAATAGACACATGCTCAGTGAAACCCCATTACAAAATGACCTTTTTTTATTCTATGAGTTTAAAAATCTTATAGGGAAAAACATGTTCCTCATGATTATTGTATATTTCTGCAAATAAAAAAAATTAAAAAGTGCTTTCCAACACACTCTAAAAATGCAATGGACTTTTTTTTGCGATTGGTGATATATGTGATATGTGTAGTATTCTGTGTGTGTGTGTGTGTGTGTGTGTGTGTGTATCTTGCTTTTGAATACTTTTTTCTTAGAGATTTTTCTGCAGTTTTTTTATTTTATATGAACATTTCACATGGTATATTTATCTCATGTGAATATATTATATATTTTATTTTGTATTTCATCTTTGAAACAAAATCTGTACCATTTCTACAAAGAAATAGAGCAAACATTGTTTTTATGATGGGCAGCTTGGACTCCCAATAGATATAGACAATGGATAAAATGAACTACTGGCTAAAAGAGATTAGATGCCAAACTCAGTTAGGCTTTGCCTAATTCTATAAAAGTATGTCAGTTAGGGACTTACTTGACCTAAGGAAAATATAAATCTTGAAACAATATCCTAGCTGATTACTTATTCAAACTGATTGTGCTGCAGCCACTGCTCTACTGGAACAAAATACAGCCATGTAAACTTCGCCCATTCCCTTGGCCAGCCTGCAGAAAGAAACTACCATGACAAGGTGCTTTATTTAATGACACCAGCAACATAGAGCAGATTAATGACAAAACAGAAAAATGAAACAAAAATTAATTTCAGTTTAGACCAGATTCTGGATGAGCTTGACATTGTTCTTGTTGAGTGCTTTCAACATGCTTCAAGAGTTTCAGGGCACAATTGTTCCAAAAATCTTGGGATCATCTAAATCTATTAGCTTAATACCATGGGTTTTCTTAGATAACTATTTATGGCACCTGAGTGCTAGGAGGCTTATCAGAACTAAAATGTCAAATATTTTGGAGAAAATGGGAAACATGTATCTACCAATCTGAGTAGCTAAGCCCTTGTACAAGAAACCATTGGACACGCATGCTGGAATCACTGTTCTGAGGGTAGATGCTATAACACTCAAATTAGATGATCCAAAGGGGATGAGAAAGGAGTTTAGAAATGGAAACGGTACTTCAAAAAATGAGGCTGGGTCAAGCATTATATGAGCACTAACGTGAGTATGGAGTATAATATAGCAACTAGTTTTTTGAAAAGCAAGGCACAGTCTAAGGTAAGCCTATTGTTCCCCAAAGGCCACTTGCAGTTACTGTTAACACACTTCCGTCCTTTCTCCAGAGCCTTCAGAAGCTGTGACAGTGCTTGCAAATGTGATGCTCATGACAAGTCCATCTGCTTCTAAAGCATGTCATGAAAGCTGAACACTATTAACAATACTAATGGAGAGATTATCTTTAGCACTGATTTTTTCTCCTTTGAAAATAAAAGTGGGAGGTTTGTTTTAACACCCTGCCCTTTTCATAAAGGTTGCAGGAAGCAATTGAGCCTCTCTGCAATAGGCTTCCTTTTCAAGTTTTTCACTTAATTAAAAGACTACATTTACTTGGTTAAAAGTGAGCTCTTTACTAGTAAGTTTTAAAGATACAAAATATAATGGTAATAAAATTATCAGTAGCCCTTTGTCAGAAGAACACAGTATTTATAAAAAAGAGTGGACAAAGGGAGAATTATATACTTTTAAAGTACCCATTAAAGAGGCAACATTGTGCCAGAGTTTCCCTATTAGAGCAGTCTCTTCTGCCAGGATATCATAAAGACTATATAGTAGCCAATTAGATAGAATTAATGTTCAAATTTCTCCAGAAAAATATGTAAGCAAAATTTTTAGGGATCATTGTCAGATAGAAGAAAATAAAGTTGTCAAGACAAAATAAATATGCTGTAGTTTGGTATGCCAATATGTTCTGTCTCTAAGCTGATAGATAGTGTTTAATATTAAGATATTACATGTGCACAAAACAAGATATTCAAACTAAGGCCCTTTTAAAAATGAGTTCCCAAAGTCATCCATACTGATTTCAATTAACTCTCTAAAATGGAAATATTTTTCATATTTTCATAAAATATGACATTACACATAATACATATTTCAAGAATTTCATAATTCTTTGGCGGAGCCACCTCCCCGAGAACTTACAATAAAGACCATATTTCCCATTGCACAACAAGAGCTATTTTGTGCACTTTCTCCCTGTTACACTTTTAAAGCTAAAAGTTAAACAAATCATTTTGTAAGACAAAAGTAGGAAGGTCAAATTGTTTTCCTTTATCTGGAATGGTTACTGAACCCTGGTGTTTGTCTTCTGCACATGTTGACATTCTGCCTGCCTTTCTCTTTTGTCATGGATTTCAGCTATAAAGTGTGTTCGTCTTTAAAACTAAGCCTCCCTGTGTCATATGTTCAACCCTGCTCTATACAACCCAACACAACTTATCACACTCTGACAGCTAATATTTAAAAGAGAACACACACGTATTTTGAGGTTTGATAACTGCTATCAATCTCGATAATGGGTATCCAATCCAAAATTGTGACAGATACCTAGTGGATTGAGCATCTACCGTGAGCAGCTAATGTTGAAGTAAATGAATCAGTGAGGCAGCTACTTCACATCTATAATTAAAAATAAAACAAATACATGCCACACAAATAATGGAAGCCAGAGAAATCTGTCATAGCTGCAAAACGCATGAAAAGATGAAACTTATAGTTGTCAGTTTCCAATTTACCTTTCTTTGATTTGCTTTAAATAAAAGATGGTGAGATTTTTTTCTAAAGATTTTTTATGGTAAAAATTTCAAGATTTCCAGTTCAATATGTCATTGCACCTTGTTTTCACAGAATCTGAGAGTACAGAGTACAGTGGGCCCTGAAACAGCATGGCTTCGATGCTTAGAAAATGCTCTCTTCCAACCGAGTAAATCAAGGTACAGTAACCTCCAAAAGCCAAATTGCAGCACAGGGCATAATGGGTAATGCTATGTAAATTGCCATGTATGCAACTGGGATGTTATTACAGCAAAACCAAATGGTGATAGCTAATGACCTCAACGTCTGATTTCCTAGGTGCATTTTAGTTTTTCTTTGTTTGAAAATATTCTATCTGAGATCACAGCTACACTACACTGATGAGCCTGAATAAAAAGTGCAAATTTCTCTATAGTCACTATTGTACCTTAAACAAAGCAAATTTGAAGACAGTAGCTGAGTAGCCCCCAAATTGCTCTAATGGAGGCCACATACATTTATCAGGAAAATATTAAATTCTGATTTTCAATTTAGGGGTAAATTTCTTCCCTTAGGAAAATGTGATGCATAACATTTGGTTTTGGCCTTTAAATTATTCAGACACATAAAAGAGGAAAGGGGGAGGCATAAATATGTTTGTCCTGGCCTTACAGTGTCCATCCCACATTTAGTAGTAAATTATTTGGGGATGGAATGGACTGTATTCTGTGTTTTTAATAGCCATTTTTTCTAGGAAGTTCAGTTATTGAATATTGTAGCATCATTTTTGTACCTGAAATGAGTTTCACTCCATAGCTGGTATGTTTCAGTTGAGGTGAAATAAAACAAAAATGTTTCACTATGAAGTCTTTCCTATAGCTCTAGTTAAGATTTTTAAAATAAATCATAACAAGAGCTCCAAGAAAATATTTATTGCTCTTTCCAAGCATTAGGAGAAATGCTTCTCCAGACCTGTCATTCAGAGCGAATCAAGATACCACTGTTCAGACATTGCTAGAAGAATCGCTAAAGGATTGTTAGGAATAACACACCTGGAAAAAAAGATTCAATTGTTTCTTAATTCATTAACAATTTAAAGTTGACTGATACAAGTAAGCAAGGAGAAATTTTTATTTTGCTGAATCCAAAGGCTCTTCAAAATAGCGTTAAACTATTTTTTGCTATAATTATATGGTTTCTTCAATTATCACATTACTTATGTCACACTGGACTTCCTCTCTAAAAAATGACCATGTAATTTGTGTGACTTAACAAAAAACCCATGTTTCTGACACATAACTACTTCTTTAAAAATTGTATGTCATAGGGAAACTATATATCCACCTCATTTAAGTATTCTTGTTTTTGTTTTATAGCAAGGTAATCAAATTGCTTATGAGGTCAACAAAAATGCCACTTAATGTTTTCTTCTTCTTAAATTGTCATTACAGAATAAGTGATACTTTCTATTTTAATAATTATAATCCATAGGTAACATTTTATGGATGGAAGGAATATTCTTTTTCTATACTGACGTCTATGCCTATGCATCATGTATACTCACTTGGATTTATTTTATATCCCATTATTGGTTTAGTTCAAGACCAAATAAATTAAACAATGAATAGTCTACAGATATTTCCCATGGGGCAAAGGCACTTGATTTTATTTTTCCCTCTTCCTACATAATATTGCAATAAGCGTCTTTTGAAACTCATGGCAAGCTGTCTGTGTTGCTGCACTTCCTTTCATTCCAAAATACAGCATATGCATAAGTAGTGTTGGACATGAAGACTTTTTCATTAAACTTGTTTGCACATTAAAATTACTTGGGTAAAATTTTAAACACATTTGGTTAACATAACCCATGTGTATTACTACAGCACAGATAATCCCCCTGCACACATTCTTGGAGAGACTGTAACAAAGGAGCAGCAATACAAGTCAGAGAACAATTCTGCTTGATTTTCCTGTGCAGTCATTTTATCAGGGACAAGGAATATTCCACAGTGGTGCCCAGATGAAGGCTGCATGCATTCCCCAGCATTGCATTGTAGAAGAAAATGAAAAACCTAATAGCCTTTTGATGTATTCCAGTTAGGTTTTCCATTAAGAGAAAAAGGTGATATGTTCACACCATTTGTCAGGAAAAGAAGAAATGAAGAAAATGTTGACAATTTCATTACACTCTGGTTATGGGGTGATCTGAACTTACCTATTACAAGATAAAAAAAACAATTCCAGATATTATTAGTTGAAAACATTATTGTTTATAGTTACTTCAACGTGTGCTACAACTCTGGAGTTGATATAACTGTATAAGCTCAGATTTAAAAGGAGATATTTTATATCATTTACAACCTCACTCAAAAAATTTGTATGCTTTTGAATGCCATAGTATCACACAAAGTCGCACATTGCTGGACATTTCTCTGATAAATTCAGTCTTGAAAAGAGGATGTACAGATACCATAAAAATGCTTTTAAGTATATCATTTTGTTCGTGACCTATGTATTTATTCAGAAGATCTTTTTCCCATTTGTCACATTTTTTTTCTTTATTATTGACTATAGGACTCTCGGATTTTCTGCTGAGAATATTTCCCTAGGGAGAGCAGTTGCTGTCCATTTAAAATCAAAGTTAAAAACCTGAACATTTTTTTTAGGGTGTCAGAGAGACAAGTGGTAGATTCAATCTGTTCAGGTAAAAGTCAAGATTATACACAGCTTTCCTTATGCTTACCTTACTAATTATCGTTAACTATAATATTAGGGTCTTTTATATTAAAACATATTTGCTGTATGTATGCTAAAGTATATTTACTAAAATGCTATTTGAGTCTGTGGTTTTGGAAAGAAAATTTGTTGAAAAAAATGCATCATTTATGTACGTTAAAATATACAGAGCATGTAAAACTGCATAGGCATAAAAGACTTTTATCTGATTTTTAGTAAAATGACTAGTTTATTGAAAAAAAATCATTAAATGGCGAGTTGATTAAGTGCTTGTTACCTGAGGATAGCCATATATGTTAATGACTTCTCACAAAAAGTATCATAACAAGTATTACTGCATAAATATATGAGACCTGGAGCACCAACCAATAAAGAGAGCACAGATTAGTCTACTTGTATGACAATTAGGGAAAAGCTGATAGGTTAGTGGAAAACAGAGGGTATGAAAAGAGGCAGCAGAGATGAGGAGTGTCAGGAGAACTAAGCTGACCATGAAATAACTTCCTAATCAGTATGGAACATCATGTTCACTTACACTAATGCTACCTTCTTTCAGCTTCATAATATTTCTGCAACATATAATGTTAGCATACATACATTTTATTTGTTACTCATTTTCTAAGGCAGTTATCAGAGATTCACAGATTCTAATCAAGAAGGAACTAAAAAATGCATCAAGTTCTTGCACAGCATTCAGAAGGGCTTTCTTATCCCTATACAGGAACCAAAGTACTGTGTCTGAGGAGGCTCCTTTGAAATCAACCATGAGTGTCGTTTCCATCCAATTGCTTAATTAATGCTAAAATATTTACCTTCTTACAAAGTAAAAATATCATTATTTCAAGTAAATCTCAATTAATATATCTCAAGTAGTGTTACAGAATGCTGGTTTAAAAATATATGCAAACTAAACATAAAATAAGGAATTTATTTTTTCCAAACTGTAATAATAATATGCACAATGTATATTTTTTAATTTACAAAATGCTTCTTCTAGAAATGATATTTTTTTAATTTAAATACACATTTTTGTAGATTTTGGAGCCAGATACCGTTGTTTGATCTTCTTCTGTCCAGGTACATGATAAACTTTGTTCATTCCTGCCCATTTAAAGTTAAGTGCAGCCATATGCCTTACTTTGTTCTATGAAATGTAATACTAAAATGATATGAATCTCTTTCAGATAGGTATTTTATGAGTTAGCGTGTGCCTTCCCATGTTTTTCCCTTTTTTTGCCTTGGTGAACAGTAATATCTCTGATAGTGACCTCTCTATCATCTTGGGTCCCAAAAGAAAGTTGGCAATGACTTGAAGCAGAGTTTGCTACTGGCCTGTAATGGACATGTGACATGAGTAGGAAATAATCTTTTATTGTCTTAAGCCATTGAGATTTGGGGGTGTTTCATTACTATAGCTTAATGATATGCTGACTGATATATTTCTGATGTTATCAGTATAATTATCATTTGTGTTTTCAAATCAGAGAAACTAAAGATCTAGAAAAAACAGAAAGATTTTACAATATCTAGCCACCAAAACCTAGTGAAATAATCAAAATGTAGATTTTCTGACTTCAGATACTATGGTTTTGAAGTACAACAATAACTAAAACACCCATGTACATATATTGTGATCCATGAGCCAAGAACCCATTTCAGCACCCTTCTATTTATAATATCATGTTATCTTCATAATAGTCATGGGAGGTGCCTGATACTGTACTTGTTTTCCAGATGAGAACATTGAGACTTCATGAGGTTAAATCACTTGTTCACCATAATAAAAATGATAAAGGTTGACATAAAAATGACTTTCAAGTCAATCTGACAATGGATTTCTAATCGTAGCCAGTCATTTTATTTCATCCCGTGATACAATCTAGTTTCCAATTTGTAAAAAATTAAACAAGTTTAGAAGATTCACTTTTTCTAATGAGCAATTATATTGAATCGCCTATAGCAAAACTTATTTAAATATTTAAAAAATGTACTCACTTAGTGTCTGTAACCTTCTTTTTTCCCCTTCTTTCTGGGAAGGTGAGTTACCATGGGAAATCAACTGAAGCAATTGAGAGGAAAGAAGAGGAAAGTAGGCAAATAAAAGAAGAATGGTATAAGGAAGATCAAAAGCCAAATATTTATTACATATCAGCATCTGTGATATTGTGTGACAGGGTCTGTCAGACTATATTACCTGACTTAAGGATTTTAATATGCCCTTTCCCCACAAAGTCTTCAGGTAGACTAACTAAAATATTGCACAGTCAGGATAAAATCCCAGCATTGTGACAATTTCTCTAATGTCCTATTCTGGCTTCTTAGCTGGATATTAAGAGATCTTTGTTTGTTTCTTTAAGTTAGCCCATGGACGTCTCAATTGTTAATTTGAACATCTATTTAATTTACAACACTTTTAGTAGAGTTTGTTATGGTCTAAATATGCACATGATCATAGAGCCTTGGAAATTGTTTTTAATGCTAATGCTATTGCAAAAAGCTTGCTTTCAGACCATTGTATTTCTTAAAACAAAGCAATAAGAAAAGCTAATGAAAGCCCTTTCTCATAATTTGCCTTTTTTCAAAAATAATTTATCATTCTGCATACACACACACACACACACAACTGGCACATCCTAGAAAGCCTCTCAATGCTTCCTGCAAAGAAGAAATAAACAGCTAGTTCAAATAAATGAACTTCACTTTTGATCATAACCTATGAGATCCCAATGTGGTCAGTGACACAATTATATGCCATTGCAAGTGGCTAGCTTTCAGAGTTTTCTAATTTTTGACCTTTATTTCTTGTTAACCATCCATGGAAAAAGGGAAAATGAGTTAGAGACATTGAGGCAAAAGGATGAGGATGAGCCATTCAACCCTGATTGCTGCCCTAAGAAGTAAGCATCAGCACATCCACCTAGTAAGGGTTATGGCTACTGAGAGCAGATGGCAGTACTAGATTGGACACAGAGATAGTCAAGACAACACTGCAACTTCCTTTTTCTCCACAATAACCTCTCTGGTATCGATGTTTTAGGGACAAGGGCATTTCATATAAATATGCCAATCATCTGTAATAGTCATGAATAATGAAAACTAGAATTCGTGGAGTACTCTACAGTGTTAGAACATTTTTTTTCTTAGACATTATCTCTTTTCATCTTCTGAAAAAAAAAAATCATTATTTCAAAGATGAAGGTATTGAGTGTCAAAACACTTAAGTGACTCCAAGTGCAAATCCCAATTTTTTTCACCCCACTACCTGAATATTTGACCGTACTTCATCACCTGCCATCATGGGTAGTGACTTCTTGGAAAACATATGAGCTGTTGCCACTATAAAGGGGATATAGTGTAGTCTATGGAAAGTGGTCTTAAACAAAATGGTTCTTATTCAGACATAATATTCCAAATGCTCCAGTATAAAAAATTTTGTAGAGAACGATGGGAAAAGTGTCTTTAAAATAATTGTAGGAAAGAGAGAATAATTTAGCCTATTTCTTTCTATGGAAAACCCTGTTCATCCCCACATTGGGTGAGCACCAGAATCTACAATGCCAAAGTCTTTTGAGACTCAACTAATTAAAGTATTTTTCTTCAGGAATACCCAAAGGAGTTAACTTCAGATTTTTTAAAAAGCAACAAAGATTTATTGAAAGTGCTTTATCTAAAGAACATCATATAAAACTGTCTTAGTTAACTTAAACATGAAGAAGTTTTAACCAGCACTAAATGATTTACAATCTTAACTTCCAGTTCCTTCTCATTTAGTAACTAGTAAAATCTATGGCTGGGAAGGGATATGGGAAATATCTGTGTATCATCCAGTTTAAATTCTTTTTCTAATGTTCTCTGGATTATTACAAGTAAAAACATGTTAATAGAAAAAGAGGAGAAGCAGTGGTCACAGCAAAAGTTTCCAGTGGAAGAATGTAATATAGCTGATACATAATACCAAGGAAATATTATAAGAAGCCTCAAAAGTCTACTTTTTGCCCTCTATCACATTAGTGGAGCTTCAAGGTTAAGTTACACACATAAGGCATTATTTCAGAAGAGTCTACACAGTACAAGAAAACTGGGAAATACTATATATATGTGTATATATAGTGCGTATATATGTATATGTGTGTGTGTTTGTATATGTGTGTGTGTTTGTATATATGTGTATGCATATGTATATATAATTTTGAATACAAGCATATATATAATAATGAGTACTTATATTTCTTGAAGTGTTAATTAATATGCATAATATGTTTCTGTGATTTTCGTGCTGATTTTTCTAGTGTCCCATTAGTTAATGGCTTCTTTCTTTTTCAAAAATGTTATATCAGACAATATAATATACAGACACTGCTCATATGAGTTAAGAAAAAAAAATTAACACTGAGAACATGAAGAGTTATCAGCTTCCATGTAAGGGCATTTGTAGCAGAAATCATTAGTATCATCAGTTAATCAAAGCAGGATAAAAACAAGCTCTACATAACAGTTTAGATTTAACATGGAATAAAGTAGACCACAAAGGCTTGAGTTCCTTGAGTGTCTCAATGTAACAGATAACTGTTGTCCCAGGGAAAAGCTTTAAGTTGTCCTATTCCATGCAGAAATTTTTAAGGGTAGAAGATGAATATAGTATCCTAGCTTTTTGTGGAGGAATAAAATGTTTGACTAAATCAGTAGATGCTGGCCAGGTAATGGCCAGAACATCTCAGGGAACCCTGTGGGTCAGTGGCTTAAATCAACAATTCATTCATTTTACAGTATGTTTCCCTGACAGAACAGTAAACAGACCTTTCAGAAACACATATATATTTGGAAATATAAATAATAAATCACTTCTGACAGGCAAATTGAACTTCACAAGTACTTGGGCAGTAACAATCCAGGTATCTAGATTTGTAAGAGTTGTCTATCTGCAGTACATGCCCCAATGTGTCTTGAAGTCAATTCAATGTAATCTATTCACCAAGGAGTTAGTTTATCATTCTCATGAGGGCAGATCACCAAGTATGTGCTGAGGAAACCAAAAGGTTGGACTGAGGAGTGGATCACCTAAAAGAAGGTCAAAAGGATAAAAGGAAAATGCAATTTAAATGTAGGCCACCAGTTTATGGTCTTAACAATGTCCATCCATTTAAAGTAGGGCCACAGTTTCCACCCAAAAATATTTGTTTATTAATGTCCGTGAGTTCTGCAAATCTCTTTTCTGTCATCATGTGTTGGTTGCTCTGCTCTTCCACTCCTGCTCTGTCTCCTACTTGTCTTCATGATCCCTGAGCAAGGCCACTTGGGGAGCCCCAGGTGCTTCCATCATCCATCTCGGGATCATCAACGTTGAAAGCCTAGTCATACTATGATTTCAACAGAGCCTCTAATGTGTGGACAAAGAAGACAGCATTGAGGTATGGAAAAACAATGTTTTTGACTTTTGAATCCTCTTGACTAGTTTCATCAGCTTCTGCCTCTAACTTCCCATCTCTATGGTGTGCTTATTACCACTCCAAGACACCTAGTGTACATCAGAAGCCTTTCCATTTTAGTCTATACTTCTCATTTCCTTTTTTTTTTTTATTATACTTTAAGTTTTAGGATTGTTACATATATATATATATATATATACATGTGCCATGTTGGTGTGCTGCACCCATTAACTTGTCATTTAACATTAGGTATACCTCCTAATGCTATCCCTCCCCCCTACCCCCACTCCACAACAGGCCCCGGTGTATGATGTTCCCCTTCCTGTGTTCATGTGTTCCCATTGTTCAATTCCCACCTATGAGTGAGAACACGCGGTGTTTGGTTTATTGTCCTTGCAATAGTTTGCTGAGAATGATGGTTTCCAGCTTCATCCATGTCCCTACAAAGGACATGAACTCATCATTTTGTATGGCTGCATAGTATTCCATGGTGTATATGTGCCACATTTTCTTAATCCAGTCTATCATTGTTAGACATTTGGGTTGGTTCCAAGTCTTTGCTATTGTGAATAGTGCTGCAATAAACATACGTGTGCATGTGTCTTTGTAGCAGCATGATTTATAATCCTTTGGGTATATACCCAGTAATGGGATGGCTGGGTCAAATGGTATTTCTAGTTCTAGATCCCTAAGGAATCGCCACACTGACTTCCACAATGGTTGAACTAGTTTACAGTCCCACCAACAGTGTAAAAGTGTTCCTATTTCTCCACATCCTCTCCAGCACCTGTTGTTTCCTGACTTTTTAATGATCGCCATTCTAACTGGTGTGAGATGGTATCTCATTGTGGTTTTGATTTGCATTTCTCTGATGGCCAGTGATGATGAGTATTTTTTCATGTGTCTTTTGGCTGCATAAATGTCTTCTTTTGAGAAGTGTCTGTTCATATCCTTCGCCCACTTGTTGATGGGGTTGTTTGTTTTTTTCTTGTAAATTTGTTTGAGTTCATTGTAGATTCTGGATATTAGCCCTTTGTCAGGTGAGTAGATTGCAAAAATTTTCTCCCATTCTGTAGGTTGCCTGTTCACTCTGATGGTAGTTTCTTTTGCTGTACAGAAGCTGTTTGGTTTAATTAGATCCCATTTGTCAATTTTGGCTTTTGTTGCCATTGCTTTTGGTGTTTTAGACATGAAGTCCTTGCCCATGCCTATGTCCTGAATGTCATTGCCTAGGTTTTTTTCTAGGGTAATTACGGTTTCAGGTCTAACATTTAAATCTTTAATCCATCTTGAATTAATTTTAGTATAAGGTGTAAGGAAGGGATCCAGTTTCAGCTTTCTACATATGGCTAGCCAGTTTTCCCAGGACCATCTATTAAATAGGGAATCCTTTCCCCTTTTCTTGTTTTTGTCAAGTTTGTGAATTAGGTGTTCAATTAGGAAAAGAGGAAGTCAAATTGTCCGTTTGCAAATGACATGATTGTATATCTAGAAAACCCCATCATCTGAGCCCAAAATCTCCTTAAGCTGATAAGCAACTTCAGCAAAGTCTCAGGATATAAAATCAATATGCAAAAATCACAAGCATTCTTATACACCAATAACAGACAAACAGAGAGCCAGATCATGAGTGAACTCCCATTCACAATTGCTTCAAAGAGAATAAAATTCCTAGGAATCTAAATTACAAGGGATGTGAAGGACCTCTTCAACGAGAACTACAAACCACTGCTCAATGAAATAAAAGAGGATACAAACAAATGGAAGAACATTCCATGTTCATGGGTAGGAAAAATCAATATCGTGAAAATGGCCACACTGCCCAAGGTAATTTATAGATTCAATGCCATCCCCATCAAGCTACCAATGACTTTCTTCACAGAATTGGAAAAAACTACTTTAAAGTTCATATGGAACCAAAAAAGAGCCTGCATTGCCAAGTCAATCCTAAGCCAAAAGAACAAAGCTGGAGGCATCACGCTACCTGACTACAAACTATACTACAAGGCTACAGTAACCAAAACAGCATGGTACTGGTACCAAAACAGAGATATAGACCAATGGAACAGAACAGAGCCCTCAGAAATAATGCCACACATCTACAACTATCTTATCTCATTTCTTGTTTTTAACCCATTACCTCACAGCTAACATGAAAGAACATAATTTATTTTCAATTAGCTGACAGACAAGTGCCCCATGCATATATAAATATACAGAAACAAATTCTGCACTTGTTTGAATGGAGAAGAAGTTGGTATAGCCTGTACTAATTAATGGATTAGTTTTGATTATGATTTAAGGTTATAAACATGTATTTTGATTTAAGAACATAAACATGTATTTTGTAAAATGTTATGTGATTTATAAAAGTGAATTTTCTGGATATGTGAGACCCACCATTCAGCATCCACCATTCAGCTTTCCTATAAGAAAATCCAAAGTCTTTACTTTCTGCTTACATTGACAATATTTTTTGAAATTATTCATTTTTCTGACTTTTTTTTTTTTTAGATGGAATTTCACTCTTGTTGCCCAGGCTGGAGTCCAATGGTGCGATCTCGGCTTACCGCAATCTCTGCCTCCAGGGTTCAAGCAATTCTCTTGCCTCAGCCTGTCGAGTAGCTGGGATCACAAGCATGAGCCACCATGCCCAGCTAATTTTGTATTTTCAGTAGAGATGGGGTTTCTCTATGTTGGTCAGGCTGGTCTCGAACTCCCGACCTCAGGTGATCCCCCTACATTGGCCTCTCAAAGTGCTGGTATTACAGGCATTAGCCACTGCACCCAGCCTGTTCTGACTTCTCATACAGAATAAAATAAATGCAATTTTTGGCTGCTTCTGAAATATATTATTTCATTTTTATTACTATAATAGAGTAATATTGTTAGAGTAGGTAGTCAAGAAGACACGAGTAGGGGAGGAGAGGGCCACCCTCTCCCACCAGGAATGTCAGGTGACTCTCAGGTGATGGTCAGGCAGTTGATATACCGTGTCTCTAAAATAATAATTGGTCACAGCCAGCACCAGGGAAAGGCAGCCTCCCCATAGAAAACATCTGAAACCTGTGGTTACCAGCTTCCAGATCAGATCTCAGGAGTCTGGCGAAGTGGGCTCAAGCATGTACACTCTGGGGCAAAATGGCAAAGTTTAACTGGCATACTCGACTGGTAAGGGAAGAACAGCTTGAGTGAGCATGTGCATAGTTCCAGTGAACACATTGCGCATGCGACCTCTCCCAAGCACTGGCAGGCCATGACACATGTGGACAGCCCATCCCTAGGGAAAAATCAGGGGAGAGGAGACTGGACATATGCCAACTTATACAACACCAAGTCGAAGGTGAAACCACAGACTTGACTCTCTCAACTTGCCTGCTTGGCCCTCTTCCAAGTATGCTTTACTTACTTTCATTCCTGCCCTAAAATGTTTCAAGAAACTTTCACCCCTACTCTAAAATTTGCCTCAGTTTCTCACTCTGCCTTATGCCCCCTTGGTAGAATTATTTCTTCTGAGGAGGCAAGAATTGAGGTTGCTGCAGACCTGTATGGATTGGCTGCCCAAGGGACTCTCCACATTGGTAGTTTTTATCAGGTTGTATTGAATGTTCTGGCCCTGAGCTACACCTGCCTACATAAGAAGGCACAAACTGTTGCCCTTTCTGTGGCTGTATGGGCTGTATGCTCTCTCTCTCTCTTTCTCTCTCTCTCTCTCTCTCTCTCTCTCTCTCTCTCTATATATATATATATTTAAATATATATATATTTAATTTATATATATAAATATATATTTAAAATTATATATTTATATATTTAAAATATATAATATATAATATAAAATATATATTATATATTATATATATTTTATATATATTTTAAATATATATTTATATATATATTTATATATATATATTTATATATATATTTATATATATATTTATATATATATTTATATTTATATATTTATATATATATTTATATTTATATATTTATATATATATTTATATATATATATTTATATATATATTTATATATATATTTATATATATATATTTATATATATATTTAAAATATATAAATATATATTTAAAAATGAGATATTTGGGAAGCACTTCTGAAATGTCAGAATAAGAACCTCCAAAAAAATCTACCCTTCCATCCATCAAACAAGCAAGAACACTGGCACAAATTTTCAACATTAACTTTTTAATACTTTGGAAATAAACCAAAGGCTGGCAAGAGTTTAAAGAATGTTTATGCGATAAAATATAAATTTCTGTAGGAAGAGTGAACATTGTGTTTTTAACTTGTCTTATACCACCCTTTTTCTCCCCAACTCCGTAGGATCCTTGAGAACTAGAAGCCCTGAGCCACTGTTGATGTGAAGACCAGCAGCCTGGCAGCACACACACAGGAAGAAGGGATTAGGAACCTCCCACAAAACTCCATTCTCAGAATATTTTTCCTTTATTTTTGTTTTTCATTTTAAATGTTACCTGCCCTGTCCTGTAGGTATTTGAGTTTGTGACCATTAGTCCATATATTTAACTTTTCCTTCATTTCTTTTGGTAATTTTTTTTAAACTTTTACTCAAAATTCTCTACTGTTTTAATCCCAACTATTGCTTTCATTTCCTCCCCCATGTTTTATAATTTAGTTACATATTTTTACTTTAACAACATTACAACAAATGTCTAAAAGTCCTTAGAATTGTCCAAGTAATATCTTAATTCTTAAAAACTTTTTAATGTCTGTTATCAAAATAACAAATAATTTTAGAGTTAAATAAGACTTCAAAGATATCATAATGAATTTATACAGAGACCCCTTAGCTTTCTTCTCTTGGATTCAGTGTAGCTGACACTTACTCACTTAAACATTTGTGATTACAAATTGAAAAGAAATAAAATAGGAGCGCTTAAACAAGAATGAAATAAATTATAAATGAGTTGAATAATTAGGTTTAATGAAAAAAACTGAAATGCCAGAAAATTTGGTACGGATAATATTAATGAATCAAATATTTTTCACCATTATGAATCAATTGTAATGCTGAAAGTGAGCAACAGGTATTTGATTCTTTTTCTCCGTTTCGTGTTGGGGTAGCAGGATCTTTTCATTCCTCATAACAGCTCAAATGCATGTGAAATACCTTTTCTTCTGTCACGCATTCTTTGAGAACCAGATTCTACAATGACCCTCAGTGATCTATATCTCCAAGTATTTGTGCTTTTGGATAGCGCCTTCCACAGAGAAAGGGGCTGATGTCCTTTTAGGACCTCGTTGAAACGATGGTGTCTGACTTTTGAGGCTATGTCATAAAAAAATTTGCCGCTGACACCTTTCTCTCCGGGGGTAGTCAGATTTCAGACTTCAAAAAATCCTGTGGAGTGACCCACTGAGGAAAACACTGAGTTTTCCTGACAACACCAGTACCACCTTGCCAGCCATCTGAGAGAGCCATCTTGAAGGCAAATACTCTAGCCTCAAAACAAACCTTCAGATGACTGCAACTCCAGCCAACATCTTGAAGTCTCATGAAGGGCCCTGAGACAGAACCACCCCAATTATCTACTTTCAAATTTCTAACATATATATGTGAGAAACAATAAAGATTTCTCATTGTTTAAGCCACTATGCTTATGAGTAATTTGTTGTTTTGAAATGGATAACTAATACAGAATTTGATACCTGATATTAGAGTGCTTACTGTCAAAAAACACTTAAAACTTTGGAGACTTTGGGAAAGGGGCAAGGGAGGAATCTCAAGAGATTTTAGGAGAGTGATAGTAAAAGCCTAAAGCACATTGAAAAGACTATTAGCTTCTGCTCAAGGTCATCGAAGAGTCTTCCAGTGAAGACTTATGAAGAAGTGAATAAAATGTTATTGGAAACTGTAAGAAATATAATCCTTTTTATGTAGTGGCAGAAACTTAGCAGTACTACTGCCTCTGGTAATGCGAAAAGTAGATAATGTGCCTAATGAACTGATTGACACAGGAAATGTTTCCAGCCAGAGTTTTAAGTATGTTGCCTGAATACTACTTACTGCTTTGAATAAAATATGAGATGTGAGTGGTAAGATAGAGGTAGAACTATCATACATAAAGGAGCTGGAATTTGCTGACTTTGAAACTTTCCAATTTTTCTAGATGGTCAAATATACTAAAAGTAAGAAATAATTTTGGGACAAAAAAACAAATCCAGGGTAGTCTTTGGAATGTATAATAAAGATACAGCTAAGAGTGTGGCTGTAAAGTATTTGTTAAGATCTAGAAAGATCCAAGACCATGCCTGAACAAAGGACTCAGAGATATGGCTTCTAAAAGGTTTAAAGGTTTTGTCATTCAGCAGACTTGGTAGAAGCCCACAGGAGGGAGTGTTCATTTGAATATATTTGTGAGTGTGGCATTTGATTAATGAAGTAAACCCCAATAAGATTCATAGATGACCACAGACATTTTAAGAAAAAGTGTATGCACAAAAACACCATCAACTTGAACTAAATGGGGAAGAGAGATTAGAAAATGAAAAGAATATTTCAGAAACCAGTTTCCGTAACACGAAACCTTGTTTATAATTACTCTGAGATGCATATATTTCAAGAGATATATCTCTTGAAAAAGTAACCATGAATCAGAGGGTGTAACAAGAGCCTGTGGGCAGAGCAGCAAGCCATGGAGACATATGCCCGGGCCTTCAAGTCTTACTGAAAGAACTGCTAATATATTCCCTGTTGGATTTTAGAACTAATGTGGACCAGTAGCTTCTGTGTGATTCATTTATCCTAGCATTTAACAGGACAATCTGTAGCGATTATATCATGTTTGTTCTATTACTGTATATTGGGTTTATGAGGGGAGAATACTTGTCTCTTCAGTTCATATGAGCTCAGATTGAGAACATTTCAGATTGACACACCTATAGCAGTCTGCACAATTATATTTAAATTAAAATAATTTCTATTATGCACTTCATAACATACTTGACTACTTAAACAATAAGAGCATTCTTATACTTTATTTCCAAGCAAGCAACCTCTTACTTTTTGTTTTGTGTATAAGTCAGCATACTTTGGTCACAATTAGCAAAAACCCAAATTTGATCTGTCTTTTAAAGAGAGAAAGAGAGGATATAATAGTCAATTAACTTAAAATATGAAACACTGGACTGGGCTTAGGCATCACCAAGGGTATAGTTTTTTCTGATTGCCATTATTCATTATTTGGATCCTCATTGAGTTTCATCTTAAATCCTCTCTCTTTACAATCAAAATCAGCAGTGAGGACAACAATCTCCCTCATTTAGTTCCCATAATAAGAGAACTTACTGATTCTAAATTCCTGAGAGTAGGAAGACTTAAGTCTCATACCCATCTAAGAGACAGGAAAATGAAATGTATTCATTGAATTAGCTTAAAGTATATATGGTTCTTATTTGGAATAAGTAATGGTGGAAAAAATTCTGCCTAGTTTCTATATAAAATTCTGGATTTTAAAATCATGGGTTGCTATTTTAATTTTAGAAAAAAACAGACCTTATACCAACAAAGGTCAAAAAAAGACAAAGAAGAAAATGGTAAAGGGTTCAATTAAACAAGAATACCTAACTGTCCTAAATATATATTCATCCAACACAGAAGCACTCAGATTCATAAAGCAAGTTCTTAGAGACCTATGAAGAGACTTAGATAACCATACAATAACAGTGGGAAACATCAACACTTCTCCGAAAGTATTAGACAGATTATTGAGGCGGAAAACTAACAAAGATATTAAGAATCTCAACTTGACACTTGACTAAATGGACCTAATAGACATCCACAGAACTCTCCACCCAAAAACAATAGAATATACATTCTTCTCATCTGCACATGGCACTACTCTAGAATCAACCACACAATCAGGTATAAGACAATTCTCAGCAGATTAAAAAATATATATATTATACCAACCACACTCTTGGACCACAACACAATAAAAACAGAATCAATGTTGGGAAAATTGCTCAAAACCATACGATTACATGGAAATTAAACAACCTGCTCCTGAGTGACTTGTGGGTAAATAATGAAATTAAGGCAGAAATTAAGAAATTTTTACGCCCACATCAAAAAGTTAGAAGGATTTCAAACTAATGACTTAACATTATAACTGGAAGAACCAGAAAAACAAGAGCAAACCAACCCCTAAAGCTAACAGAAGATAATAAATAACAAAAATCAGAGCTGAAATGAAGGAAATTGAGATGCAAAAATCCATTGAAAAGCTCAGTGAATCCAGGAGTTGGTTATTTGAAAGAATTAATATTACAGATAGATAGATCACTAGCTAGACTAATAAAAAAAGAGAGAAGGTCCAAATGAAAACAATCTGAAAAGACAAAGGCGACTTTACCACTGACCCCACAGAAATATATATTAAAAAAAAAAAACTCAGAGACTACTACAAACACCTTTATGCACACAAGCTAGAAAATCTAGAAGAAATTAATACGTTCCTCAAAACATACAACCTCCAAGATTGAATGAGGAAGAAATATGAATCCCTGAACAGATTAATAATGAGTTCTGAAATTAAATTAGTAATAAAAGCCTATCAACTTAAAAAAGCCAAGGACCAAACAGATTCACAGTCCAGTTCTACCAACTGTATAAAGAAGAGCTGGTACCGTTTTTACTGAAACTATTTCAAAAAAATGAGGAGGAGGGACTCCTCCCTAACTCATTCTGTGAGGTCAGCATCATCCTGATACCAAAACTTGGCAGAGATAAAACCAAAGAAAAATAAAGGAAAACTTCAGATCCTTCAGGCCAATATCCTTGATGAACATAGATGAAAAAATACTCAACAAAATACTAGCAAACCAAATCTAGCAGCACATGAAAAAGCTTATCTACAATAATAACCAGGCTTTATTGCTGGGATGCAAGGTTTCTTCAAAATATGCAAATCAGGCCAGGCGCAGTGGCTCAAGTCTCTAATCCCCACACTTTGGGAGGCAGACAGATCACCTGAGGTCAGGAGTTCAAGACCAACCTCGCCAAGATGGCAAACCCTGTCTCTACTAAAAATACAAAATTACCCAGGCATGGTGGTGCATGTCTGTAGTCCCAGCTACTGAGGAGGCTGAGGCAGGAGAATCGCCTGAACCTGTGAGGAGGAGGTTGCAGTGAGCCGAGAACGTGCCATTGCACTCCAGCCTGGGCGACAAGAGTGAAATTCCATCTCAAAATAAATAAATAAATAAATAAAATAAAAAGCAAATCAATAAATATGATTCATTACATAAAAACAACTTAAAACAAAAATCACACAATCATTTCAATAGAGGTAAAAAAAAAGGCTTTCAATTGAATTCAACATCCCTTCATGTTAAAACCCTCAATGCACTAGGCATTGAAGAAACATATTTCAAAATAATAAGATCCATCTTTAAAAAAGCCAAAGGCAACATCATATTGAATAGGCAAAAGCTGGAAGCATTCCACTTGAAAAGTAAGACAAGGATGCCCTTATCACCACTCCTATTAAACATAGCTCTACAAGTCCTAGCCAGAGCAATCAGACAAGAGAAAGAAATAAAAGGCATCAAATAGGAAAAGAGAACGTCAAACTATCCCTGTTGGCAGATAGCATGATTCTATATCAAGAAAACCCCATTGTTTCTGCCCAAGTGCTCCTTTATCTGACAAACAACTTCAGAGAAGTTTCTGGATACAAAATCAATGTGCAAAAATCACTAACATTCTTATACATCAAAAACATCCAAGCTGAGACCAAATAAAAAAATGCAATCCCAATCATGGTAGCTGCAAAAAGAATAAAATACCTAGGAATATGCTAACCAAGGAGGTGAAAGATCTCCACAAGTAGAATAACAAAACACTTCTCAAAGCAATAAGAGATGACACAAACAAGTGAAAAAACATTCCATGCTCATGGATAGGAAAAAATCAATATTGTTAAAATGGCCATACTGTTCAAAGCAGTTTATGGATTGAATGCTCTTCCTCTCAAATGACTAATGACATTCTTCACAGAATTAAAAAAAAAACCTATTTTAAAATTTATATGGAACCATAAAAGATCCAGAATTGCCAAAGCAAACCTAAGCATAAAGAATAAAACTGGAGGCATTACACTACCTGACTTCTAACTATACTACAAGGCTACTGTAACTAAAACAACATGGTACTGTACAAAAACAGATACATCATAGACCAATGGAACAGAATTGAGAGTTCAGAAATAAAGCCACACAACTACAATCATCTAATCTTTGAAAAAGTCAACGAAAAATAAGGAATGGGAAAAGGACTCCCAATTCAATAAATGATGCCAGGATAAGTGGCTAGCCATAAGCAGAAGATTGAAACTGGACCCCTTCCTTAGACCATACACAAAAAATCAACCCAAGATGGATTAGAGACTTAAATGTAAAACCTAAAACTATAAAATCCCTGAAATATAACCTAGGAAATACCATTCTGGACACAGGACCAGGCAAAAATTTCATGACAAAGTTGACAAAAGCAATTGCAATAAAAACAAAATTTGACAAGTGGGACCTAATTAAATTAAAGAGCTTCTGCACAGCAAAAGAAAATATCAACATAGTAAACAGACAATATACAGATGGGAGAATATATTTGCAAACTGCTTCTGTCAAGCTTAATATCCAACACCTCTAAAGACCTTAAATTTACAAGCAAAAAACTAACAACTCCATTAAAAAGTGGGTGAAGGAGATGCACAAAAACTTTTCAAAAGATGACATACACATAGACAACAAGTATATTAGAAAATGCTCAACATCACTAATCATTAGAGAAATGCAAATCAGAAACACAATGGAATACCATCTCACACCAGTCAGAATGGCTATTATTAAAAAGTCAAAAAATAACAGTTGCTGTGAGGTTGTGGAAAAAAAGAGAAAGCATATCCACTACTGGTAAGAATGCAAATTAATACAGCCACATGGAAAGCAGTTTGAAGATTTCTCAAATAACTCAAAACAGAATTACCATTCAACCCAGCAATTCCATGATTGGCTATATACACAAAGTAATATAAATTGCTCTACTATAAAGAAACATACACTTGGATGTTCATCACAGTACAATTCACAACAACACAACAACAAAAACATGGGATCAACCTAAATGCCCAACAATAGACTGGATTAAGAAAAATGTGATACATATACACCATGGAATACTATGCAGCCATTATAAAGAATAAGATCATGTCATTTGTAGCAACGTGGATGGAGCTAGAGGCCATTATCCTAAGCAAACTGATACAGGAACGGAAAATCAAATACCACATGTTCTAACTAATGAGTGGAAACTAAACACTGAATACTCGTGGACACCAAGAAGGGGTCAACAGATGCAGAAGCCTAATTCAGGATGGAGGAAGAGAGGAGGGTAAGGATTGAGAAACTACCTATCAGGTACTATGCTGATTACCAAGGTGATGAAATAATCTGCACACCAAACCCTCAAAAAATGAAGTTTACCTATATAACAAACCTGCACATGTACACTTGAAACTACAATAAAAGTGAAATAAAAATTCTAGATTTTGAGAAAATTGAGGACTGCACAAATGAAGATTATATCCTGGCCTTTTGTTATGCCTTAATATTTTTCAATTGTCTTGAAAATATTTTATAAATGTACGGGGTATAAATGCAATTTTGTTACATCGACACATTACACAGTTGTCAAGTTAGAGCTTTTAGAATACCCATCACCTGAACAATGTACATGATACTCAATATGTAATTTCTTATCATCCATTCTTCTCCAACCTCCTCATCTTACAAGTCTCTATTGTCTATCATTACACTCCCTACATCCATGTATACACAATTTTTAGCTCTCACTTATGAGTAAACATGCAATATTTGTCTTCCTACGTCTGACTTATTTCACTTGAGGTAATGACCTCTAGTTCCAACTATGTTTCTATAAAAGACATGATATCATCTTTTATGGCTGAGTAGTATTCAATGGTGTATAGATGTCACATTTTCTTTATTCAATCATTCATTGATAGAAACTTAGGTTGATTCCATATCTTTGCTATTGCAAATAGTGCTACAATAAACACATGTGTGAAGTCAGCTTTTTCATATGTTGATTTTTTTTTCCTTTGGCTAGATACCCAGTAGAGTTATTGCTGGATCAAACGGTAGATCTACTTTTAGTTTGCTGAAAAATTGCTATGCTGTTTTCCATGAAGGTTGTATTAATTATATTCCCACCAACAGTGTATAAGTATTCCCTTTTTTTCCACATCCTCACCAACATCTATTGTGCTTTAACTTTTTAATAGTAGCCATCTTGACTGTGGTAAGATGATACTACCTTGTGGTTTTACTTTGCATTTCTCTGATAATTAGTGATGCTGATCCTTTTTTCACATATCTCTTGGCCATTTGTATGTCTTTTTTTTTAAAAATACCTATTCATGTCTTTTGCCTGCTTTTTAATGGAATTATTTCTTGTTGTTGTTGTTGTTATTTGAATCCCATGTATATTCTGGTTATTAGTCCTCTGTCAGATGCATAGCTTGTAAATGTTTTCTTCCATTCTGCAGGTTGTCTGTTCACTCTGTTGATTAATTATTTTGCTATGCAGACACTTTTGTTTTTGAGAGTAAATAGGGCTCGTTTTTGGTCTCATGGCTTATTTATTGGAGGTGAATAATGGAGACAAGTTTTTGACTGAAGAGGGAAATGATTCAGATATGATATGGTTTAGATATGATTTCAGTACTTGCTTATCAGACTTTATCTGCTTCCAAAGTAATTTAATCTAGAGGAAAGAAAAAGTTAATACAGATGGCCTGTGATTTATTTCTTCCACGGTCATAGGGATGCAGGTGGATGTGCAATGTTCACATCAGAAGGAAAAGAAGGTTATAAAGTTTAATCTCCAACATGGTAACTAGATGTATTAGTCAGTTTTCATACTGCTATAAAGAACTGCCCAAGACTGGGTAATTTATAAAGGAAAAAGGTTTAATTGTCTCACATTTCCATGTGGTTGGGGAGGCCTCAGGAAACTTACAATCATGACAGAAGGAGAAGGGGAAGAAAGGCACCTTCTTCACAAGGCACCAGGAAGGAGAATGAATGCAGGAGGAACTACTAAACACTTATAAAACCATCAGCTCTCGTGAGAACTCACTATCATGAGAACAGCATGGGGGAAACTGCACCTATGATCCAGTTATCGCTACCTGGTCTCTCCCTTGATAACGTGGGAATTATGGGGATTATAATTCAAGATGAGATATGGGTGGGGACACAAAGCCTAATGATATCACTAGATCTTCAGGTAAATACATTAATATATGCTAGGAAGAGAATCTTGGTTTTTATGTGTTTTTTAGTATTTTCTTATTTGGACATTGCTTATGATCAACGCCCCTAGAATCTGTGGATGTTTTAGACATAGATCCCTAGAGAATGTCGCATACTAGGTCTTTTTATGCACTAAACCTTATATAATATGACTCATTATGGAGCATGACTGCTTTAATCCTTCACTTCACAGACTGAGCCTCAGAGCAATTAAGTAACTCACCTGGTTCATGCATTTATTAAGTGCTAAAAGCATAATTTGAATTTCAACTGTTTGGTGTTTGAAGTGATGTTAGCAACTATTATACTAGGATAATTCATAGCATAAGAAAAATACAGAATATTTTGCTTTTTATAATTTATTTACTATTTTGGCAACACATTAAAAACCTATACTTCAGGTCTTGGTGTATTTTAGAGGCCCCATTTCTCTGAAATTAATATTAACTCTAATTGTCCTCAAAGTATAGGCTCTAAGGTAAGAAGACTATATCTTTTGTATTGGTTGAAGTTAAGTCATTTTACTGAAACTGGTAAAATTAAATGAAATCTACTGATTGCATATTCCCTATATATAATATAAAAGTATAAAGACTTGTACAAGCTATAAAAGGATATGTTAGAGAAGTCTTCCTCCTCCTCCTCCTCTCCTCTTGCTTTTCTGAAACATTACCCTTGATTGGACTTATGCACGTAATGGTTTGGAGGACAGAATGTCATGCCTTCTGGAGCAAAAGCCAGATAACTTATGGAATGCAAATCTGTATGTATAGATAATATAACCTTTAGTAAATTTAAGGTAAATAAAAACAACTCATCAAACAGAATGCTTCAGCATTTCTGCTTTCATTCATGTTTCAGAGATTTATATATTTTATCCTGATTTTCTCAATGACTGAACTACCCCTTTCTTGGGCCCCCCCTAACAAATAGTTCTGATTTAGAAAATAAATTTTTATTCTGAAGTTTTTTAAGTCAAAGGTAAAAAGAAACTTTTTTTAATAATTAGAAAGTATGCTTAGTTAATTTTCTCACCTTTCTCTGTTGTCATCATCAGAGAAGCCAAGTCATTTAGATGGTCATTATTTCTTTTTCATAAGAAATTAATGTAAATACTTGAAAGTGAGCCCTCTATTGTTGTGAAAATACCAGCTCATCAAAACCAACTGAAAATCAAAGCTGTGATAACTAACGACCACCTGCACAATAAGTAGAAGATTGTCTCTAATTCAGTCTCTGTTGGATTCCCTTTGAAATGGTCAGTTTTACTAAATATTCATAGCTTTCAGTAAGCTCTAAACAACAAAAAAACAGAATCAAATCTGCTGAACCCATTTGCATTAACATCTATACTCAGAGACATAAAGGTTAGAAGCTCTCCATGGTTACCATTAAAGTATTCAGAAAAAGATGACAATTTTAAGTATAACAGAAACAATAGAATGAAAAATAGAATTTATTTTAATAGCACATTGGCATACACCATGTCAGGTAATTTAAAGTCTAGAGATACTAAAACATAATAATAACAACGCTTAGGTAGAGTTAGCTTAATTACATGTCAACAGCTAATACCACAGAAACACTACTAGATCCATTTTTATTTGCCGTATACCTGATTTTTAATATTTGCTTTAAGATTAAAACTTTGTATTAATGTATAGTAGGTACATTATTAAATATAGGCATTAGAAAGCCTTTATGTTAGTAGAAGAGAGAAATCATTTGGAGCTGAGAGTTAGTTAGCCCTACTGGATTGCCACTATTATGAGACTGGCAACATTTTTGTGACATTTGTTTTTTCCTGAGGAGTTAAAAGTCTCAGGAGGAGATGCCATGTAATATCTTGTGACAACTGGTTGCATTGAGGGTAATGTCTTACATTTTAGGAATTTATACAAATCTGAAGATTTCTATTCTTAAAATATAAGACATTAAATTGAGAGCACTATAAAGAAACGCATGGAACCAACATTTCATTAATACAAATATCTCTGAATAGAATGTATAATTAAAAGGATTCTGAGGCATATAATTCTATTCTACAAATTCTTACATGTACATATTCTAAGAGGTCTTTAATTAAATCAAAGTTCTTAGAGGTAACTTAAATAATGTTAATGCAAACTCTCCATCTCTAGATTTACACCATGTTGATGTCACCTT
The DNA here is from genome assembly GCF_000001405.40 of Homo sapiens. Taxonomy (NCBI): domain Eukaryota; kingdom Metazoa; phylum Chordata; class Mammalia; order Primates; family Hominidae; genus Homo; species Homo sapiens. The sequence continues at coordinate 77,931,333 of NC_000008.11, forward strand.
TCGACACTTACTACTGCCTTTAGTTGTGTATTTTTTGTATCAGTGGAAATAAATTTTAATTTATTGCACACTGTCTCACTTTTTCTCAATTTTGAAAACTTGTAGGGTGTAGAACACAATGTAATTTTATGATTGCTGACACTGATAATATAATTAAGAAAATTCTTAGCTTAGAGAATTCCTAACTGGATTACTCAGAAAAGTTGTCACACTTGACTGGATAAAGGCCCATATTATTTGAAAATGCATGTCATACTTAATGTCTGAAAGCTCCCTACTGAATGATATAGCAGGCATTGCATCAGCTTTTATAATCCTGGATACTTTAGAGATTTGTACATTTTTTCCAATAGATTTTATCAAAATATTCTTGTAAATTTCTGATGTTATTTACAAGATTTTTTTAGCACATTTTCCTATTTAAAAACAACAATATACAGGAGATACATAGGGGACCTCTTGCCTGAGGTCTAAAATAGGAGGAATTTTTTATATTAAATATATTGATTGTTTTGTATATACTATATATGTGTCTGTGTGTGTATGCATGTGTGCATGCACGTACACATTTTGGCAAATAATGTATCTGAGAAGTTGTGAGAATGCAAGACAAGTAGACAAGCAGAGTGGTATTTGCTTCACATTCTGGAATAAAGGCCCATTTGGATCGAATAAAAAGAGGAGTTTGCACCTGCAAAATAATCTATGGCACTGCTCAGCTAAATCAGTGATGTTCTATGACCCAAGATACCAAGGTTTCACTGGACAGACAAGTCCGCATCAACCTTACCTTATGCTTTTGGGGTGACCAAGCTGTAGATATTTTGTGACAGTGGGAAGGTGAAGCCACAACCACAAGCAAGAACTTTCTGGGAAACATGGAATTTACCACTGCCAGACAATCCTGGAGGAGCTCCTAAGGTTGATTTTCAGGGAATATAGTGGTCTGTTTGTCTTCCCATTCATTTTTCTAGTCTTAGCTTTAAATACCTGTTTCTCAAGGAGACTTTCTGTGTGATTTGTCTGAAATCTAAAAGTCACCTATTTTATTACTAGAGCACACATATTTTATAGCATTTATGTGGAACTTTTGGTTCCATATGGTCAGGAACAATTTATAATTAGTTCTTACCTGCCTATCCAGTAACAAGCATATCTGGCTACTAAGATGCTCATTTTAGATGCTCAAAATTTTTCTGACATGCTAACTGACTAAGTGAATAAATTACTGAATGAATGAATGAATGAAAAGGCCCGTATGATTCCTTCATCTAAAATTATTGTAAGAATCCTTCGTATCCACTTCAATCCTCATTAATCAATTCAATTCAAATCAAATCAATTCAAAACACATTACCCTGTAAATACAGCCGCAAAAGTACTGGGTAAACTAACGTATACTCATTCCATTTATCTCACTTACATTTTTTGATTAATCATTATTTGCTTTATATCATTAATTTCTTCTTTAATATACAGATTATTTTCATAAACTATTGTATACTAGAGTATATAGTCTGAGTCTTAGAGCAAATACTTTTATATTTACTGTCTTATCTGTAAAGAAGAACTTTTCCCCATAGCATATGTCACTAGATTAGATTTTTTACTCACCATTTCATATGTATTACCACAATGTTCCCATTGCAGCATGTGGGCCATCTTTCATTTTCAGTCACATATCCTCTTGTGGGTTGAAGGGGGTGTGGCTAGCAAATGTGAAGGAAAAGAGAAAGGAAATATATCTAACCAATTTCACTCTATTTTAGTGACAGCAAATAAGACTCAAAGTGTCAGCTAAAAAATAAAAGGTATTTTTACTTCAAAAGCTTTCTTATTCTATCAAATTTTGCCATTCTAACAGAGAATCTAATCTCAGAAACTTCTTTATTTTTTATCTTATTAATGGAGGCAACACTTTTGCAGATAGATTTTTGCAGATAGACAAATACCTATCTGCAAAGAGCTACCACAATTTCAAGAGAATCTCTCTCCCTCTTTCTCTTTTGGTGTGTGTATAAATAGCATAGATGGTAGTTTGAATGGTATCCAAGAGGGAAAGAGGGAATGTAGCGACTTTGCTTTGAGAAAAGCATTCACATAAATCACGGTCCACGAGATTTCACACCTTTCTCTTGCCTTCTACAGCCCTTATTACACAGATGTATTAACACATAACTTGTAATTCACAATACTTTGATTATTTGATAATAAATCATTCTCAAAGGAATTTATTTATCTTCTCAGGTTCTATTCCAGTTCTTGGCAGTTGGCACATAGTAGGTATGAAATGATTGTCTAAATATCTTATCCATCATAGACATTACGTAACAGCACAATGTGAGTGTCTGTATTGTGTATAAGTGTATAAACATACATGTATATACAAATACATGTATAGAGAGATATATATGTGTATATATATGCATATATACTCCATATCCATTCTAATTATTATTAAAACCCATTCAGAAAGTGGCACCTGTAAGCAATTAAATGTCACAAGGCTTAGTAAAACTGATCTAAACTAAATAATTTATAATTAGTGTAAGATAACGTATCTTTATATGCATTAATAAGGAAATTATTAATAAGGTAAAAATGTAACCACTGAAAACACACACTTGCACTTCTGTTTAAATATTCTATTTTACTGAGAAAGTTTATCTAATTTTGTTATTTTCCAATATAGTTGTTATAAACTGTGGATTAAAGGGATTAAAATATCTTTGAACAATATATTTAGTATCTATTTAGAAGCAGTAGGAATAGTACGTAATGCAAATGTCCTCTGGAAAAACTTCATAACTTGTAGTTCTGAGCCAGTAACTTTTCTAATAAAATGTTACTAATGTTGTCTAGATTCATAACAATTTTTAGGATACATGCATTCTGTCCATATTTGATATTTTATTAAAAATAGTTCAAACATATAGGATATAATGTAGTGTGATTATTCACCCATAAAACATCTTGCTTTGTTTGCTCACTTTTTCCTATTGATTTTTAGAAGAAATAGCTAAGTCTCCTTGCCTATAATATTCTCCAACCTTTTTTCCTTAAAGTAACCAAAGTTTTAGAATTGGTGTATGTGTTTTACAGTTTCTCTACATATACATGTGTGTGTATGTATGTGTACTTATAAACTATATGCTATTTTATACTTAAGGATTGACATGAATTTCATTTATGGTTTGGTATCTTAAACAAATATATAATCTAGGTAGATTACAAAATAAACAAACAATACATGCATATAATGTTCATGTCTTTTCTCCGGAAAGCCAAGTATTATAATAATAGTTTTTTTAATTAACATTTACTCTGTACCAAGAAACACCCTCAATGTTTTACATGAGTTTTACCATTATCTCTCACTGCAAACCTAAGAGGTAGGAGCTATAGAGTTCATATTTTACAAATAAGTGAAGGGAGGCACTGAGAAATTAGAATGTGTCTGTGGTCACCTGGTCAGTAAGTGGCAGCCCTAGGATTCAAACCTTGGCAGATAGACTCCAGAGTTTTTTCTTTTAACCACTTTATATATACAAAGTTTAATTTTGTGAATGACCAAATATTCGCTACCATCTAGAGATTAACATGAGAGATTGTGGTACCTATGGAAGAAAAATTAACCTATAAAATTTTAACTCTATATCCTTGGCCTTTAACCTTTCCAAGATCCTAGATCCGTTGGAATATCTGGTGAATACTAACCACTTTCTCTTCAGAGATTTTAGTGCATATGTGTATGTACAAACATATCTATGTACATTGTTTTGTGTTACATTTTACAGTCTCTTCATATAGCCTAAATGTCAAGTTATGAAAGTAGAATTAAACAAAGTCTATGCATTATCCATCCTTTTCCAATACTTTTAAAAAATCTATTTCGATTAATTTTGGTTTTAGCTGCAAAATATTTTTAGATAAATTGTTGGTAATGTTTTTAAATACAGAGCATATTTTTCTATTAGCAGATGGTATAATCAGTGTTTAGGTAGTTCTCAAAGGCTATTTGATGTTCCACATAGTTTAATTTCAATAAAAATATTTCTAAGTGAAAGGCAGTCGTTGTGTTTTGGGGGGTGTTTTGTGGACTAGCTGGAAAACGTTGTTATTTGCTGTAACATTAGTTTTTTTGTTTGTTTGTTTGTTTTTGTTTTTTTGAGGGGAGTAACCTTACATTAAATCAGCATGTTACACTTGCCCCCTTTTTTTTCTCTTTTTCTTTTTTTCTTTTTTTTTTTTTGAGATGGAGTCTCGCTCTGTCGCCCAGGCTGGAGTGCAGTGACCCGATCTCTGCTCATTGCAAGCTCAGCCTCCTAGGTTCACTCCATTCTCCTGCCTCAGTCTCCCAAGTAGCTGGGACTACAGGAACCCGCCACCACACCCGGCTAATTTTTTTTGTATTTTTAGTAGAGACAGGGTTTCACCGTGATGGCCAGGATGGTCTCGATCTCCTGACCTCGTGATCCACCCGTCTCTGCCTCCCAAAGTGCTGGGATTACAGGCGTGAGCCACCGCGCCCAGCCCACTTGCTTCCTTTGACTCAGATACAGGAGCCACAATATCCCTATGGATATATTAAAAAAAAAAAAATCGAACAGTTTCTTGCAGTAAATCTTTGTCTCTTTCCAGAGCCCATTCAAATCTTAATAATGAACATTTACAGAAACAATATATTAAGTGCCAATAATAAGATAGAGTTATAAACTTCATATCAACAGTCTATAAAGTCACTCTAATTATAAATATACACAGATAACTATTAGCTAGACTATTTCTAGTTCTAAGTAATAGAAAACCCAGTGCAAATTAAATAGGTTAGTTGAACACAACTGCAAAGTTTCAAACTAATCTGTGTCTAGGCATAGCACCTGACTGGTGATCCAAACTAATTTCTTAGGAATTTTTTCTACCCTCTTGTGTGTTGCAACTTCATCTGCAAACTAGGTTCCGTCATGGTGGTCTAGAATGCTTGCTGCAACTTAAGAGTACAGAACGGTTTTTTTCACTATAGGAAGAGGCTGCTTCCTACAACGAATAAATGAAGGTTTATGCTTCACTCTGATTTCACCAAAGATTGCCACCAGGGAAATATCATATTCTAGTAAATATGTAAGAGTTTCGTAAAGCAATATCAAACCTGGTGAGTGTCAAAACTCATATTTGTTCTTGTTGCTTTCACTGAAAGATTTTACATATATCTATCTATCTATCTATCTATCTATACATATATTTAGATGTTACTACTAAGACAGTCATGGCGTCCTTGTCTTTACTAGTCTACCTCAAGTTCTATATAACCAAATTTATCTGTGAATCTTTTTATCTGATTGTAAAGTGGAAATATTCCCTTGTTTGCACTCACTCGAGTTCACTGTAAGAATGGGGTGCAAGTCAATGGTAATATGACAGTGGCCAATCGGCTTCGGATTTGCAACATTTAGTCTTATCAGAATAGGCTGCCAACATCAGCCGTTGAATCTCTTTTGGAAATGGCATTTTACCATAGACATCCTCACAAGAATCCCTTTGAAGCCCTCATTCTCTGCTATGTGAAGGAAATTAAAAGGGACATAATGGAGTTAAAAAGGACCACTCCCTTAAAACTTTTAAGCAAATTGTACCGTATTAGTTTGTTTTCATGCTACTGATATAGACATACCTGAGACTGCGCAATATTTAAAAGAAAGAGGTTTAGTGGACTTACAGTTTCACATGGCTGGGGAAGCCTCACAATCATGGTGGAAGGCAAGGAGGAGGAAGTCACATCTTACATGGATAACAACAGGCAAAAAGACACAGACTGTGCAGAGAAACTTCCCCTTATAAAACTGTCAGACCGTATGAGACCCAGTCACTATCATGAGAACATCAGAAGAAACACCTGCCCCCATGATTCAATCACCTCTTACCAGGTACTTCCCACAACATGTGGAAATTAAAGATGAGATGTGGGTGTGGACATAGCCAAGCCATATCATTTTGTCCCTGGCTTCTCTCAAATCTCATATCCTCATATTTCAAAACCAATCATGACTTCCCAACAATCCCCCAAAGTCTTAACTCATTTCAGCAGTAACTCAAGTCCACAGCCCAAAGTCTCATCTGAGACAAGGCAAGTCCCTTCTGTCTATGAGCCTGTAAAATCAAAAGCAAGTTAGTTACTTCCTAGATAAAATGGGGGTACAGGCAATGGGTAAATACAGCTGTTCCAAATGGGAGACACTGGCCAAAACAAAGGGGCTACAGGCCCCATGCAAGTCTGAAATCCAATAGGGTGATCAAATCTTAAAGCTCCAAAATGCTCCCCTTTGATTCCATGTCTCACATCCAGGTCACACTGATGCAAGAGGTAGGTTCCCATGATCTTGAGCAGCTCCACCCCTGTGTCTTTCTAGAGTACAGCCTCCCATGTGGCTGCTTTCATCGGCTGGCGTTGAGTGTCTGTGGCTTTTCCAGATGCAAGCTCTCAGTGGATCTACCATTCTTGGGTTTGGAGGATGGTGGCCCTCTTCTCACAGCTCCACTATGCGCTGCCCCGGTAGGGACTCTGTGTGGGGATTCTGACCCCACATTTCCCTTTTGCACTGTCCTAGCAGAGGTTTTCCACGATGGCATTGCCCCTGCAGCAAACTTCTGTGGGGGCATTCAGGTATTTCCATACATCCTCTGAAATCCAGGCAGTAGTTCCCAAACCCCAATTCTTGACTCTTGGGCACTGGAAGGCTCTATACCACATAGAAGCTGCCAAGGCTTGAGGCTTGCACCCTCTGAAGCCATGGCTTGAGCTCTGTGTTGTCCCCTTTCAGCTTTGACTGGAGCAGCTGAGACTCAGGACACCAAGTCCCTAGGCTGCACTCAGCATGGGGACCCTGGACCTGGGCCACAGAACCACTTTTTCCTCCTAGGCCTCCAGGCCTGTGATGAGAGGGGGTGCTGTGAAGACCTCTGACATCCTCTGGAGAGACATTTTCCCCATTGTCTTGGGGATTAACACTCAGCTCCTTGTTACTTATGCAAATTTCTGCAGCCAGCAAGAATTTCATCTCAGAAAATGGGATTTTCTTTTCAATTGCATTGTCAGGCTGCAAATTTTCCAAACTTTTATGCTTTGTTTCACTTTTAAAACTGAACACAGCTGGGCACGGTGGCTCATGCCTGTAATCCTAGCACTTTGGGAGGCCAAGGCAGGTGGATTGCCTGAGCTCAGGAGTTCAAGACCAGCCTAGGCAACATGGTGAAATCCTGTCTCTACTAAGATACCAAAAAAAAAAAAAAAAAAAAAACACAGCTGGGCATGTCAGTGTGCATCTGTAATCCCAGCTACTCAGGAGGCTGAGACAGGAGAATCACTTGAACCTGGGAGGCAGAGGTTGCAGTGAGCCAAGATTGCACCACTGCACTGCAGCCTGGGTGACAGAGCGAGACTCTGTCTCCAAAAAACAAACAAACAAAATTGAATGCCTTTAACAACACCCAAGTCACATCTTGAATGCTTTGCTGCTTAGAAATGTCTTCTACCAGATACCTTAAATCATCTCTCTCAAGCTCAAAGTTGCACATATCTGTAGGACAGGGACAAAATGCCACCAGTATCCTTGCTAAAACATAGCAAGAGTCACATTTACTCCAGTTCCCAACAAGTTCCTCATCTCCATCTAAGGCCACCTCAGCCTGGATTTCATTGTCCATATTATTAATCAGCATTTTGGTCAAAGCCATTCAACAAGTCTCTAGGGAGTTCCAAACTTTCCCACATTTTCCTGTCTTCTTCTGAGCCCTCCAAACTGTTCTAACCTCTGCCTGTTACCCAGTTCCAAAGTCACTTCCACATTTTCAGGTATCTTTTCAGTAATGCCCCACTCTACTGTTACCAATTTACTGTATTAGCCCATTCTCATGGCTCTCAGAAAGACACACCTGAGACTGGGCAATTTACAAAAGAAAGAGGTTTAATGGACTTAGGGTTCCAGATGGCTGGGGAAGTATCACAATCATGGTGGAATGCAAGGAGGAGCAAGTCAAGTTAAGACATGGATGGCAGCAGGCAAAGAGAGAAATTGTGTAGGGAAACTACCCTTTTAAAAAAATCCATTAGATCTTCTGAGACTTATTCACTGTCATGAAAACAGCATGGGAAAGACCTGCCCCCATGATTCAATAACCTCCCACCAGATACCTCCCACAACACGTGGGAATTCAAATGAGATTTGGGTGGGGACACAGCCAAACCACATCATGTAGTTTAATAATAGCCACTTTTTAAAGGTTTGTCATGTTTTGGCAGAGTAAGACATGTATCTATCAGGAACACTATTTATTAATTTCCAATATTTTGAAACTATTAGCAGTTAGACCATTCTTAATAATAGATTTAAATGTGAAGGTAAATAGGCTTGTCAGAACTGGTTAATCAATCAACCAACAAATCAGTCAATCTTTCTTTCACCAAACTAATTTTTTGTGCCAGTGATAGAATAGGCATATTATGTCTTAAAAAACTTGTTTTATTCACCAGTCATTTATTTGAAATAAGGTTGTTAGCTGATATCAGTGCACTTGTAGTATGTGTTTTTTTGTGATTTAATTAAGAAAGTATCATACTTTCTATGTCTGTAAATTGGGAAGAGGTATGACTGTTGTAACTAGTTGCTGGAGTTGTTGTAAGAACCTGGCTCCAACTCAGTATTCAATATAATCAACTAATATTATTTTATTGTATTACGATTTTGATCATGACTATTACCTTTCAATTTGATGCTTTTATGGCATAATCAATCTATTGTTAAAGTGCCTATTTTGGTACACCTTCCATCTTTGTCTGAGAAAGCATTCTTTTCAAGAGATTATTTATTTCTTAATAGTGGATTGAATGGTGAGAAAGAGAGATTCTGTGGTATGTCTGGCAATCAACAAAATATGAGAGTTTTTCTGAAATGCTTATTTTTAGGCCTCAGAGTTTAAACACTGGACATTTGCTTCTCTGAATCATCTTCCTGATCAAATAATAAAAAATCTGTTTTGACATTTTCTTTTTCATATTTCATACATCTGTTATGACATAACAAACAAGGGAAGCACTTGGTGAGAATCTGGAGGAGGATGTATATAAATAAACTGAATTTCTACTTGAAAAGTATTAATTGTACCTTAGTATTAAAGTGGATGAGTTGAGGAGCCAAGATGGCCGAATAGGAACAGCTCCGGTCTACAGTTCCCAGCGTGAGCGACGCAGAAGACGGGTGATTTCTGCATTTCCATCTGAGGTACCGGGTTCATCTCACTAGGGAGTGCCAGACACTGGGCGCAGGTCAGTGGGTGCACGCACCGTGCACGAGCCGAAGCAGGGCAAGGCATTGCCTCACTCGGGAAGCGCAAGGGGTCAGGGAGTTCCCTTTCCAAGTCAAAGAAAGGGGTGATGGACAGCACCTGGAAAATCGGGTCACTCCCACCCGAATACTGCACTTTTCCGACGGGCTTAAAAAACGGCTCACCACGAGATTATAACCTGCACCTGGCTCGGAGGGTCCTACGCCCACAGAGTCTCGCTGATTGCTAGCACAGCAGTCTGAGATCAAACTGCAAGGCGGCAGCGAGGCTGGGGGAGGGGCGCCCGCCATTGCCCAGGCTTGATTAGGTAAACAAAGCAGCCAGGAAGCTCCAACTGGGTGGAGCCCACCACAGCTCAAGAAGGCCTGCCTGCCTCTGTAGGCTCCACCTCTGGGGGCAGGGTACAGACAAACAAAAAGACAACAGTAACTTCTGCAGACTTAAATGTCCCTGTCTGACAGCTTTGAAGAGAGCAGTGGTTCTCCGAGCACGCAGCTGGAGATCTGAGAACGGGCAGACTGCCTCCTCAAGTGGGTCCCTGACCCCTGACTGCCAAGCAGCCTAACTGGGAGGCACCGCCCAGCAGGGGCACACTGACACCTCACACGGCAGGGTATTCCAACAGACTTGCAGCTGAGGGTCCTGTCTGTTAGAAGGAAAACTAACAGAAAGGACATCCACACCAAAAACCCATCTGTACATCACCATCATCAAAGACCAAAAGTAGATAAAACCACAAAGATGGGGAAAAAACAACAGAAAAACTGGAAACTCTAAAAATCAGAGCGCCTCTCCTCCTCCAAAGGAATGCAGCTCCTCACCAGCAACAGAACAAAGCTGGACGGAGAATGACTTTGAGGAGCTGAGAGAAGAAGGCTTCAGATGATCAAATTACTCTGAGCTACTGGAGGACATTCAAACCAAAGGCAAAAAAGTTGAAAACTTTGAAAAAAATTTAGAAGAATGTATAACTAGAATAACCAATACAGAGAAGTGCTTAAAGGAGCTGATGGAGCTGAAAACCAAGGCTCGAGAACTATGTGAAGAATGCAGAAGCCTCAGGAGCCGTTGCGATCAACTGGAAGAAAGGGTATCAGCAATGGAAGATGAAATGAATGAAATGAAGCGAGAAGGGAAGTTTAGAGAAAAAAGAATAAAAAGAAATGAGCAAAGCCTCCAAGAAATATGGGACTATGTCAAAAGACCAAATCTATGTCTGATTGGTGTACCTGAAAGTGATGGGGAGAATGGAACCAAGTTGGAAAACACGCTGCAGGATATTATCCAGGAGAACTTCCCCAATCTAGCCAGGCAGGCCAACGTTCAGATTCAGGAAATACAGAGAACGCCACAAAGATACTCCTTGAGAAGAGCAACTCCAAGACACATAATTGTCAGATTCACCAAAGTTGAAATGAAGGAAAAAATGTTAAGGGCAGCCAGAGAGAAAGGTGGGGTTACCCTCAAAGGGAAGCCCATCAGACTAACAGCGGATCTCTCGGCAGAAACCCTACAAGCCAGAAGAGACTGGGGGCCAATATTCCACATTCTTAAAGAAAATAATTTTCAATCCAGAATTTCATATCCAGCCAAACTAAGCTTCATAAGCAAAGGAGAAATAAAATACTTTACAGACAAGCAAATGCTGAGAGATTTTGTCACCACCAGGCCTGCCCTTAAAGAGCTCCTGAAGGAAGCGCTAAATATGGAAAGGAACAACCGGTACCAGCCGCTGCAAAATCATGCCAAAATGTAAAGACCATCGAGACTAGGAAGAAACTGCATCAACTAACAAGCAAAATAACCAGCTAACATCATAATGACAGGATCAAATTCACACATAACAATATTAACTTTCAATGTAAATGGACTAAATGCTCCAATTAAAAGACACACACTGGCAAATTGGATAAGGAGTCAAGACCCATCAGTGTGCTGTATTCAGGAAACCCATCTCACGTGCAGAGACACACATAGGCTCAAAATAAAAGGATGGAGGAAGATCTACCAAGCAAATGGAAAACAAAAAAAGGCAGGGGTTGCAATCCTAGTCTCTGATAAAACAGACTTTAAACCAACAAAGATCAAAAGAGACAAGACCATTACATAATGGTAAAGGGATCAATTCAACAAGAAGAGCTAACTATCCTAAATATATATGCACCCAATACAGGAGCACCAAGATTCATAAAGCAAGTCCTGAGTGACCTACAAAGAGACTTAGACTTCCACACATTAATAATGGGAGACTTTAACACCCCACTGTCAACATGAGACAGATCAACGAGACAGAAAATCAACAAGGATACCCAGGAATTGAACTCAGCTCTACACCAAGCGGACCTAATAGACATCTACAGAACTCTCCACCCCAAATCAACAGAATATACATTTTTTTCAGCACTACACCACACCTATTCCAAAATTGACCACATACTTGGAAGTAAAGCTCTCCTCAGCAAATGTAAAAGAACAGAAATTATAACAAACTATCTCTCAGACCACAGTGCAATCAAACTAGAACTCAGGATTAAGAATCTCACTCAAAACCGCTCAACTACATGGAAACTGAACAACCTGCTCCTGAATGACTACTGGGTACATAAAGAAATGAAGGCACAAATAAAGATGTTCTTTGAAACCAACGAGAACAAAGACACAACATAACAGAATCTCTGGGACGCATTCAAAGCAGTGTGTAGAGGGAAATTTATACCACTAAATGCCCACAAGAGAAAGCAGGAAAGATCCAAAACTGACACCCTAACATCACAATTAAAAGAACTAGAAAAGCAAGAGCAAACACATGCAAAAGCGAGCAGAAGGCAAGAAATAACTAAAATCAGAGCAGAACTGAAGGAAATAGAGACACAAAAAACCCTTCAAAAAATTAATGAATCCAGGAGCTGGTTTTTTGAAAGGATCAACAAAATTGATAGACTGCTAGCAAGACTAATAAACAAAAAAAAGAGAGAAGAATCAAATAGACACAGTAAAAAATGATAAAGGGGATATCACCACCGATCCCACAGAAATACAAACTACCATCAGAGAATACTACAAACACCTCTACGCAAATAAACTAGAAAATCTAGAAGAAATGGATAAATTCCTCGACACGTACACTCTTCCAAGACTAAACCAGGAAGAAGCTGAATCTCTGAATAGACCAATAACAGGATCTGAAATTGTGGCAATAATCAATAGCTTACCAACCAAAAAGAGTCCAGGACCAGATGGATTCACAGCTGAATTCTACCAGAGGTACAAGGAGGAACTGGTACCATTCCTTCTGAAACTATTCCAATCAATAGAAAAAGAGGGAATCCTCCCTAACTCATTTTACGAGGCCAGCATCATTCTGATACCAAAGTCAGGCAGAGACACAACAAAAAAAGAGAATTTTAGACCAATATCCTTGATGAACATTGATGCAAAAATCCTCAATAAAATACTGGCAAAACGAATCCAGCAGCACATCAAAAAGCTTATCCACCATGATCAAGTGGGCTTCATCCCTGGGATGCAAGGCTGGTTCAATATATGCAAATCAATAAATGTTATCCAGTATATAAACAGAACCAAAGACAAAAACCACATGATTATCTCAATAGATGCAGAAAAAGCCTTTGACAAAATTCAACAACCCTTCATGCTAAAAACTCTCAATAAATTAGGTATTGATGGGACGTATTTCAAAATAATAAGAGCTATCTATGACAAACCCATAGCCAATATCATACTGAATGGGCAAAAACTGGAAGCATTCCCTTTGAAAATGGCACAAGACAGGGATGCCCTCTCTCACCACTCCTATTTAATATAGCGTTGGAAGTTCTGGCCAGGGCAATTAGGGAGGAGAAAGAAATAAAGAGTATTCAATTAGGAAAAGAGGAGGTCAAATTGTTCCTGTTTGCAGATGACATGACTGTATATTTAGAAAACCCCATTGTCTCAGCCCAAAAGCTCCTTAAGCTGATAAGCAACTTCAGAAAAGTCTCAGGATACAAAATCAATGTACAAAAATCACAAGCATTCTTATACACCAACAACAGACAGACAGAGAGCCAAATCATGAGTGAACTCCCATTCACAATTGCTTCAAAGAGAATAAAATAGCTAGGAATCCAACTTACAAGGGATGTGAAGGACCTCTTCAAGGAGAACTACAAACCACTGCTCAAGGAAATAAAAGAGGATACAAACAAATGGAAGAACATTCCATGCTCATGGGTAGGAAGAATCAATATCGTGAAAATGGCCATACTGCCCAAGGTAATTTACAGATTCAATGCCATCCCCATCAAGCTACCAATGCCTTTCTTCACAGAATTGGAAAAAACTACTTTAAAGTTCATATGGAACCAAAAAAGAGCCTGCATTGCCAAGTCAATCCTAATCCAAAAGAACAAAGCTGGAGGCATCACACTACCTGACTTCAAACTATACTACAAGGCTACAGTAACCAAAACAGCATGGTACTGGTACCAAAACAGAGATATAGATCAATGGAACAGAACAGAGCCCTCAGAAATAACGTCGCATATCTACAGCTATCTGATCTTCGACAAACCTGAGAAAAACGAGCAATGGGGAAAGGATTCCCTATTTAATAAATGGTGCTGGGACAACTGGCTAGCCATACGTAGAAAGCTGAAACTGGATCCCTTCCTTACACCTTATACAAATATCAATTCAAGATGGATTAAAGACTTAAATGTTAGACCTAAAACCATAAAAACCCTAGAAGAAAACCTAGGCATTACCATTCAGGACATAGGCATGGGCAAGAACTTCATGTCTAAAACACCAAAAACAATGGCAACAAAAGCCAAAATTGACAAATGGGATCTAATTCAACTAAAGAGCTTCTGCACAGCAAAAGAAACTACCATCAGAGTGAACAGGCAACCTACAAAATGGGAGAAAATTTTCACAACCTACTCATCTGACAAAGGGCTAATATCCAGAATCTACAATGAACTCAAACAAATTTACAAGAAAAAAACAAACAACCCCATCAAAAAGTGGGCGAAGGACATGAACAGACACTTCTCAAAAGAAGACATTTATGCAGCCAAAAAACACATGAAAAAATGCTCATCATCACTGGCCATCAGAGAAATGCAAATCAAAACCACAATGAGATACCATCTCATACCAGTTAGAATGGCGATCATGAAAAAGTCAGGAAACAACAGGTGCTGGAGAGGATATGGAGAAAAAGGAACACTTTTACACTGTTGGTGGGACTGTAAACTAGTTCAACCATTGTGGAAGTCAGTGTGGCGATTCCTCAGGGATCTAGAACTAGAAATACCATTTGACCCAGCCATCCCATTACTGGGTATATACCCAAAGGACTATAAATCATGCTGCTATAAAGACACATGCACACGTATGTTTATTGTGGCATTATTCACAATAGCAAAGACTTGAACCAACCCAAATGTCCAACAATGATAGACTGGATTAAGAAAATGTGGCCCATATACACCATGGAATACTATGCAGCCATAGAAAATGATGAGTTCATGTCCTTTGTAGGGACATGGATGAAATTGGAAATCATCATTCTCAGTAAACTATCGCAAGAACAAAAAACCAAACACCGCATATTCTCACTCATAGGTGGGAATTGAACAATGAGATCACATGGACACAGGAAGGGGAATATCACACTCTGGGGACTGTTGTGGGATGGGGGGAGGGGGAGGGATAGCATTGGGAGATATAACTAATGCTAGATGACGAGTTGGTGCAGCGCACCAGCATGGCACATGTATACATATGTAACTAACCTGCACAATGTGCACATGTACCCTAAAACTTAAAGTATACTAATAAAAAAAAAAGAAGAAAGAGAAAGTGAAAAAAATAAATAAATAAAATAAAGTGGATGAGTTGCATATATTATGGAATCTTTTGGTCAAACAACTCCAGCAAATTTTAAATAATGGCTCCACAATCACTATAATATCTAAGGGAGGAAAGGCACATAGTCAATAAAGTATATTTTACTAAAAACTCGTCTGGCATATTAAGTGTCGTATCTTTATGAATTTTTCAAGATGAAAATTAATGACTCATAGAGGCAAATTTTCCCAAAATAATTAGAATCACAACCATTTTCATATTATTTTTGAAGTATGTAAACTTTAACATAGGATCAGCTTCTTTCAAGTTCAAACCCTTTGTCATTTTTTTCAGCATACTTTATATATACCTGTTTTCCATTCAAATAAGTGCACTTAAGCAGATATATTAGCTTCCCAACCTATAATAAAGATGGTAATCATCCACTCCTATTAATTTGCTTACTGAAAAAAACAATCTCACAGTAGTAGGTTTAATAGATTTTAGTGCACCAAGGGCTCCTATTGACCCTTAAAACAGCAGATGACACATGGTGATATACTAAAGCATCCCCCTTAGTCACAAGCTCCCAGTATTTTAATTGCATTCATGATAGTTCTTGTTGATTCCATTTTTAAATGTCACTGCTGGCCAGGGTTCATAATAAGCTCCTTTTTTCCCCTCTGGTGATTTTCTAAGCCATTCAAGACTTAGAATCTGAACACTCCTAATCAGAGTAAATAAAAAATAAATACATAAGGCCTAATGAGGAAAAAGCTGCGCTGAAAATAAATCATCATAAGTATTATCATTTTGTAGACATTCTGATTTGCACTTTTAGGAAGTTTTTTCTGAAACAATGACCAAAGTTTTGTCATTCTTTCTCAAATTAAATCAGCCAACTAGTCAACAAATATTTATTGAGAAACTACTTCGTTCTCATAAATGAGTTTGAAACTTTTTGCTGTTCTCAGCCTGTAGAAAGGAAAACTTTTTATCTTGCAACCCAATACTCAAACTTACACGCATACACACACACACACACACGTACACATGTACTCACAGGCATTTATACATACATCTGAAAAATATGCCTCAAAAACAATACTTATGGGTTTTGTGTGAGACTAATTCTGATATTTTCTATGTTAATTCATTTTCTATAAATTATAATCACAAGGTACTAAACTGATTTAACAACCCACCAATGTATCACAACCTAAGGATTGGAAACCTTGTTCTAAAAGTGATTCAGCAAACTGCATACTCTAATCCATTATGTATATGTATATGTATATATACATAGAGAGAGAAACAAAAAACACTACACAAATTACTATAGACTAATTAAAGCTTTGTTCCTTCAAAAACAAAATATAGCTCCTTAATATTTTGAGTTGAAGAAAGAAAAAAGTCAGAATTAAGCTTTTATTTGTGTGCATAGCATGGTAACTCTGTGTTTGCTAGGAAGATAATACTAATATTTAATAAGGTAATAGAATTTCTTATTTATAAGAATAACTTATTTTCTTTGTGGTCACTCTTGTTCCCACTTATTGGCTTTAATTTTCCCCTAGATGAAGAAAAAGATAATTTAAGAATTTAATAGAATTATAGTAACAGAGAAAAATGTTATAATTTAAAAAACTTCATCACAATAAATCTAATATCTACAAAATAAACTTTTCGCAGTAATTCTTTAAATTTCTACGTAAATTTAATGCTAAATTTCTGACCACCTTGAGTAGGAGCTTCACATAATGGTTTTTTCTAAAGCAAAGTCTTACACAAACAAACTTTGGCTTTGGAATATGTATTTATACAAATATTGGATGTTATGGGACTTACCCACACTCCACAGTAAAAACATAAAATTACATTTTGAGTGCATGGATTGCAACCGGCTGAAAACCAGCCTCTGTGCTTCCTTCTTTTTCCTTTCTCAACTCTGACCTTGTAGAGCCTTCTTTTTCTCATTTGTTACATTGAAATTGTTTTTTCATTTGTTACAAACATGTTGTTTAAAAAATTTAATAAAGCTGTAACCCAGAAAGTGAAATGAGTTCTACAGATTTATGTAGAAAGAATTGTTTTACAGACAAACCTCTGGGCCTACTAGGATGTCTGCTGCTTTACACTGAGTAGACTCTTCTAGACTGACTCCTGTACCTTTCCTAGCGTGTCTTCTATTTTGGGTCACCCTGTACTAAGTCACCAATTCTGCCACAGACACGTAAAGGCCCTGCTGTAGACTTAGTGATGTGAAAGAGTCCCATCGTATACACCACACAGACTTTCCACAGCTGCTTACTCCAATCACTCTAATTCAGTCTTCCAATTGGCTTCCTATGGGAAACAACAAGTTCCTTCCTTTGTCTCATGTAGAAGGATCTTGCCATATTCATCTTGCATATGACATGCTCTCACCACATGGCCTATCATGAAGTTTTTCAATAACAGATCTCTTTTCTAAGAAAATTTCTCAAACACAACACTCCATATATACATGTACTGAAAGCACCTTATGCAGAGCTCAATAAAAGTCACTTCGCTTTTCTTCAGCACAACCTCTGTTTTCAGCTCTTGTTGAACTGTGGGCTGTAGATACTTCAGTACTTGGGAACAAGAGACTTTCAGCAAGTCCACACAATTTATTTGTGTTGTTTTAAAGAAAGGGTGTCCAAATATTTTTATGGTGGACTATAAGAGAAGAAATCCATGTATAAAGGTGCTTTTGATTGGTTTTCTTTTTTAAAGCCAACTTTATTGAAGCATAATTTACACAGAATAAATTGCACCAATTTTGAGTATACAGTTGCATGTGTTGTGACACATTTACACACCTGTGTAACCACCAACAAATCTTGACACAATAGTCAAGATAAGAACATTTACGTTACCTAGAAAAGTTTTCTCATGGCACTGTTCATCGCTCATCCCTGGCCTAAGACAAACAAAGATCTGCTTTCTCAATCTATGGATGAATACTGCCATATTCTGAAAATTCATATAAATGAAAGAATATAGTATATACACTTTTATTTCTGGCCTCTTTCACTCAGCTTCTTGTGGAGATTCATCCATGTTGTTGCATTTATAAGTAGTGTGTTTCTTTTCATTGATAAGTATTATTTTGTTACACAGATAAGCCACACTGTTTATTCACTGTTGATGACATTTTCAATTTGGGGATATATAAACTTTGTACCTCTTCTAAAATTTAGTATAGTATATGAAAAGTTGTGCAAACCCATATATTATGGGAAACACACTTTTAACTCCACAACAATCTTATCAAGTGAATTTTGAAAAATATCCTGATTTTTTATTGCATTCTATTAACATAATTTAGACAGGAAAGGGAAAAGAGGATTGAGATTTATATTGATAAAAAGCTCTAAATTTCTACTCATATTCTTACTTTATTTCCAATATACAATTCTGCAGTTTTTACAAATGAGGGCTTCCATTGAGTGCAGGACCATACAGCAATGGTAAATGAATGCAGTCTCTCGTTTCCATTAATTCAGTGTATTTGAAATTTGAATTCTTACCCTTCCTTGAACAATCAACAATGGCATTGTTCTTTTCCTCACAAATTACAATTCAGCATGTTTAAGCATCTTGTTACATGAGTAAGAAAGTAAAAAGCCCTTGATCTGAGGAAGCAGCTAAATAAATATCAGTTGGTTTCCAAGAACTAGTCATCTGAAATATTAAAATAAACCAAATGTCAATTCTCTGGTTCATCTTAATTCAAATATCACATAAATTGATAATGATAGAAGGAAGAGTTACTAAAAAAAAAAAAAAAAAAACAGAAGCTTCAGACTTATGTAGTGAAACTGATGTGCAAACTTCACAACAAGAAGCTTATTGATGAAAACTTACCTTTTAAATTGAATGCTGTTAAAAACACATAATTCTATATTATTTCATTACAGGACTCTATTTGTAGCAAAGGAGTTCAGCTTTTCCATGTTTAGAGCAAACACATCTAATTCCTTTGTAGCAAGTAGTTAGATCTTACTAGGAGAAAAAAGTAATACCAAAAGTAGAAACAGTGTGGTTTATATTTTAGATACTCATGGCTTCAAGGCTGGAACTAAATCAAAGGAGAGAATAAGAAAATGATTGGAAATATGAGTCTGAAAAGAATCATGGCAGAAAGGGATGGGGACTATTAAGCCTTGTTTCTTAGGTAGAAGGGAACTGAGAGTGATCACCTTTTCACACCTTCAAATACTTCTATGAATGAGTCATAAAAGATTATCTCACCCTGTACTCTCTTGCACTCATTTCAAACTCTTCTCCAGCTACATTTCAAATCTGGATTTATTAAATTCATGAATAAGTCATTTCAATTTTGAAGCTCTTCAAAAAAAGAAAACATAGACGTATTATGAACTTTAAGAATTAAGCACACGCTTCCACTTGTCCTTCTGTTTTTTAGTACTCATTCTGCATGCAACTATTCATTCTCTTTACTAGCTTCAAGTCATCTACAAATTAGATCAAAAGAGCCTTCTACTTTTTTCCATCCCAATTACTCACACATTATGAATAGAAGACAGGAGATGAAGCCCTGTGACTCACAACTGGACATCTCTTTGTAGGTTTATTAAGGTCAGCAACTTTGGGAAAAATCATGGTCTTCTAATCTATCAAATTTATAAGCACGGAGTCTCATGTGTCACTTATAACAAAGACAACACTACAAAGAATTCCCTAATTTTCCCACTGTCTCTCCACATCTTTTACTTCCTTGGAGGAAGTGTAATTTTTACCTTAAAAACAAACAAACAAACAGACAAAACACTTCCCTCTTACTTCCAGGTCCTATTATCTTTCTACTGCACTAGAAGGCAGAGTGGCTGAAGTAGAGTCAGAGAGGAGATGGGTAGAAATGCCAAATCCCACAAAGGTACTGTGTTCTAAGTGTCATAAGAGGATTTTTAAGGAATGTAAACAGGTAATGATATGTCTGATTTCACTTGATTGAACAGGAAAAGAAAATCCACTTGATCCACGAATAGCATCTTCCTATTCACATGACTTGCTTTTATGGGGTTTTCTGGCTGGAAAAAGTTGCAGAGTATAGAATCCAGAGGCCTAAGATGATGCTTCCCCATGCTTGTGTATGAATCTCAGTCAATGGAAATTTAAAAATTCATGTTTCATTCTGCTCCTCTCTTTCTTTCAAATGTGCTTTGTGTTATGTATGATATTTAATATGTGCATTGATTTCACAGAAAGGGAAACAAATAAGAAACAAATTCAGACTACAGAAGCTGTATCCAGGCATATCCTCCTCATGCAACCATCTGTCTCATCTGACCCCAAGAGGGAATTCTAATAATGTTATCATTCGATTCCCATTTCAGGCACTTTGCATTTTTATATATGCTAAAGAATTCAGCAAGTCATCCAACTGGCATAAGCAATAGGAAAACTTCCTTTAGAGCACAGGTGTACAAGCAAACAAACCCTTTCTGTGCTTGGAAATGGATCCTATCAGTGTAGCAAACTTCTCAGCAGTGTGCTAAGCTAGCAAGAAAAGGTGGAAGAGCACATCAGTCAGGGAGAGTGAACAGATGGGGATCACCTCTTCTCACCTTCTAGCACAGAAGGAAATAGATACTGTCACCCCAAACTGTCTTTTTTTCAGCCGTATTGCAGAGCAAGCAAGCAAGCAGTGGAGTATTAAAGTATGTTAGGGTTAACCAGCTGGTTAGCTCTGGGTGCCCTGGAGAGAGAACCTCATGCCACAGAGGCTGTATGGGGGCAGTGGGTTGTAAATATATTTTAAAAACAAAACTATATCAGGAATATATCCTAGCAGAATTAGCATGAATAGTTAAACATAATGCAAATGGTCAAACTCAGGTTCTGAACTTATCACTGAAACCTAGATGGAAGTCTCATGATATTAAAGAACTTTCTTTATGACCAGCTCTCAGCATGATTTTGCTTTGTTCCGCCACCTTGTTGCAAAAACTGGGATTCCATATTCAGAAATTAAATCCTTAACTTCCTAAGTCTACTTTTATTTTTTTTTTCAAAATACAACGCATATCTAAGTTAGAGCAAGCAGAGATTAATAACACAATTTTGTTTAAATGGATTAGATTAATTGGCATCTAGTCCTCTTTCACCTGCTGTTTTTTATAACAATTCTCTTTGCTTCTTCAATATGGATCTTAAAAAATTCCTGTGGTAGATGGTGACTTTGAGGCAGATATGTCTACCATTTTCACCCCTCACTGCTTTCTTCAGCCGAGCATTAGAGCCACAACGCCATAGCTGGATGCAATGTAACTATTAATACTTGGCTTTGCTTTCAAATACTGATAGTGCACAGGGTAAGCCAAGACAACAAGCCAAGCTCAGCTCTCTGGCATGTATGTTTTGCAGATGCCTTTGACCTTTCTTTTGCATTCCCGTCTTATGTATTTCCGTAGCATGGACAGTCAAAGAAACACCATCACCCCGCCCCCACCATGCCAATTCTTTCTAAGAAGCTAAGGCGTCTTTAGGGTTTGATGGTGATAAATTTAAGAGATGTCAAGCTTTAATCAACATTCTTCTTTAATCCCTCAACTAAGAGCTCCACATATTAAACACCATTTGAAATCAGGCATGTGTTAGTCGCTTAACTGGTGTTGAAAGCTGAATTACAATATTTGCTCTTACAACACAACAAAATTAAATTTTGCATGGACAATAGCTAACATTTTATCATTTTTAAAGCCTCCTCTATGCCTACATTTCTATCTAAACTTTTGTTGCCAGAAGAGTGAAAATGTCTGCCAAGTCCAGTTTAACTTAACCCCACAAGATTCAATAAATACAGCTCTTATATTTTATCGATGTTTATCAATATGAATCTTCTATTCTCCTTTTCTTTTTTTTTTCCTATTTAAAGAGGAGATAGCAAACATTTTAAAGTAAATTTTTGGTTATGCAGTATTTTCAGGCGTAAATAGAAATTGTTTCTTTTACAGGCATTGTGCATTAACATAAATTCTGCTGCATTTGAAAACCTGTCAGCTTTATTTTGTACTGGTATTCAGAATCTTCTCCTTTTGACCAATATTACATAAAGTTCCTCTGGGAAGATAATGTGCATGATTGCAGGCTTGCCTTGTTAAAATCCATGGCTTTTTATGCAGTCATGTTTTCACCTATGAATTATGCATGAAAGAGTATCTCATTACATTTCATTTTCTTTACAGCAGCATCCTCTCTTCTAGACATACTCGGGTTCCCATCAGCCAGGCTCCCCTCGCCCTGTAGCTTGGCTCCATCTTGATACCTTCACAGCATTTTAGACAAAATGGGCGTGTTTAACTTGTCGCCTCATGTCTGATATAAATTATTCACTGGAGCTTTGCACAGGTTTGTGAGATAACCCGCCTGGACTGAGAGAAACTTCACAGGCTATGTGGGAATCTGACAGAGACATCGAAGGCAGTTTTTTTCCAGCAGTTGTCCAAGGCAAAGGAGAAAAAACTGCCTTCACTCCAAAACTCAGCCTCATTTTAAAGCTTAGACATCCCTCACTCTCTGTCATAACATAGAAATTAGCTAGAAATGTTTGCCACTTGGGTGTGTTTGGGTGTTGTACTATTTTTTCTCAGAGCTACAGGTCAAGGAACAAAGCCCCGTTTTTGTTTGAATTTTTTTTTTCTTTGAAATGAGGCCATTGGTTTTCCATACCTGACAAGATGAATTAAATGTGGAAAAAAGATCACAGAATTTAATCAGTATAGTCATTCAGTGTATTTGGTTGGGAACAATCACTCAGAGAAGCATATGGACAACTAGGTTAGTATGTTTGTATATGTGAGTGTCAGTATGTGTGAGAGAGTATGTATTATGATGATTCCTAATTAAGCCTATGTCTCCAATTTCAAACATTTGCTTAGAAGATAATCCAGTTAGAAAATGATTAATTTTGTCTGTGTCCAACTATGTCATTCACTGTAATACAGTCATACCATTGAGGGAGTCAAGTAAAAGTAACAAAGGAAATAAACCCCCAAAATAAAATTAATAGGAAGTAATTTGATTGGACATTGGCTTCTTATTTTTCCTACCTTATTAAATATCTTCTTGGAATTACTGAGAATTATTTAGGTAACTGAAGGCAACCTTCTATGAGAATAGGAAGTTGAAAGGCTCACTGAAGTTTATTTCTAGACAATAAAAATACTTGCTCAACTTTCTTTAGTTCTTCTTGGAAGAATGTGGTCATGGTGACAAAAAACTTCCATACTCCAACTGTCATATAGTCTCTCTGAGAATTGAAACTTTCTTAAAATGAAACCCAAGGAAAAGACTCATAAGCTCACTGATCCAAGAGAAATGGCAGTAAAGCTTATGGTTCTGACAATAAGCTTTTGAAATATATTCTTTACATGTGAAATTCTGCAATATGGGAATTCATTAAAAAATGTTTATACTTTGTAAAGCAGATATTTTGCTCTTATACCCCCATATTCTTTTTAATAATTATATGTGTAAATCATTGTCTGAATACACACACATACTTATATTAATACATGTGAAACATATTTCTATAGCATTTGTGCACGTGTAACACACATATGATCCATACCCTCAATGCTCAAATATTTTGCTGAGTGATGTTGATGTGACTGATGACAAATATAATATGTCAAAAGACTCTGGTCCACTTACCATTATCAATTGTTAATCTCCCAAAAGTCATAGGTATTTCCATGTGTCCTCCTGAATCCAAGGAATCTTCATGAGAACATTTAACAGTAAAGTGGAATGATTTTTTTTACATTTAGATACATTTTTTACATTTAGATAAATACATATAGTATTTATCTAAGTTATTATGTACTTTTGTGACAAATATAGCATGACTTCTCAACTTAACCACTGCTTCTTCATGTGGTAGTAACCTAGACATAACTTATAGATCAAATGGATCTGAGTTGCAGTCTGTTTTTATGCAAGTACAAAGAGAAGAGTTGACATTTGCAATGGCTCGCAGTTTTCTTTGAAAGCTTACTATTTGGCACAGTGATTGGTATTAAACAAATGTTATTTAACTGTTGGTTGAATGAATAGATGACCTGTTATTATAGGTGGCTCCATAACATGTTGTAAATACACATAAGATATGAATAGAGTTCAGTATCAATATAGGCGGGGGTGAAAGAGTCAGGTTCTGATTTCTCTTCAACATCTCTTACTGTTGTTTCCTAGCAGCAACTACCCACTGAGTTCCTGGGAGAGGATTTGTTATAACCTGTTTGATTTCTACAAAAATTTTCAATGAAATTACCTGAAAAGCTAGGGCAAAACACACAATTGTTGGTATGTATTCCCTTGACAGAGCACGGGCTTCAGAGTGTTTAATATTAAATATTATCAACTGTAGTCTAGATTTAGATTTCTTCCAATTTGTCTACACTTCTGCCTGTTCTGTATTATTTAAAAATTCAGGATGATTTAGTTGGAATAAAATCTTATCTAAAGATTGCTGTCATATTTGCTTGTTTATTTTGTCTCTTCTATAAAGCGTTGGTTTACATCCTTCACAGTGCCTGCAAGATAGGTACTATTTTCTCTGGGGAGAAAGTACGTCAGTACCTGTGAGTATGAAACACATGATTCACAGCTCTATATGACTTTATTCCACTTGTTCTCTGTTTCATACCTAATCTTCTCCCGCTTTGAGAGGTGCAATAAACATGAAGGAAAGTTTTGGTAGGGAGGGGTATTTTTCACTCTTTCACCCTCATGTATTCATGCCTTGACAAAAAACCAACAACAATGTATTTAGCTAAGAAACATAGCTAGAGAAGGTTTGATTGTGTTACTACATAGCGATAATTTTATATTTTAACAGTGACTTGAAGGAATAGAAAGAGAATAGACAGTTTACATGCACCAGTCAGGGTAACACAGTGGCATAATCCTCACATAGACATTTCATCCCCAGGAAAGAAAATTCCCTCAAATAATTTCTTTCAGATTTATGTGCTTTATATTGAAAAGCGTTTACAGGTAAAATGCTCTTTTCTCTGACACGGTAGTCTTTAATACTGACCTCCTACCCAAATATGTTTATTTCTATTTCTGTTTCAGCAATATGTATATTCAGAAATCTAAGCTGCAAGAGAAAGTGAACCAAAAAGAGGATTCTCCCTAACATTTTATAGTCTAGAATTAGAATCGATTAATTAAACGAATGATCTATCAATTATAAGGCAGGGTGAAATGCTAATAAGGCCAAGGAAAAATACAAATTGCATATACCCTGTGCTGTTGTTTGGGTAAAATATGAGATGCCGGTACTCTTATCTTGATTAATTCACAAATGCCTCTTTCACTTATTCTGGTGCCTCACCCTCTTTTCTAATCACGTTGACTTGTGAACATTTTTGTCCCCGCCAAGTGAGTTATTTGCAATGGCAATACTAATATATTTGAGCTGAATTGAATCAAGTTGCTTTAGGGAAAAAAAAAAAAAAGCTATAGTTATGGAGTCAGAGCACATATTACTTCAAAAACGTATTGCATATATTTGAGATGAGGAAGGCTTACCTTGGTTCAAATAAGGTTAAAACTGATTTGGGGCCGGGCACGGTGGCTCATGCCCGTAATTTCAGCACTTTGGGAGGCCAAGGTGGGCGGATCATGAGGTGAGGAGATCAAGAGCATCCTGGCTAACACGGTGAAACCCCGTCTTACTAAAAACACAAAACAAAAAAAATTGGCCCGGCGCCGTGGCTCACGCTTGTAATCCCAGCCCTTTGGGAGGCCGAGGCGGGCGGATCACGAGGTCAGGAAATCGAGACCACGGTGAAATCCCATCTCTACTAAAAATACAAAAAATTAGCCGGTCGTGGTTGCAGGCGCCTGTAGTCCCAGCTACTCAGAGAGGCTGAGGCAGGAGAATGGCGTGAACCCTGGAGGCGGAGCTTGCAGTGAGCCGAGATCGCGCCACTGCACTCCAGCCTAGGAGACAGAGCAAGGCTCTGCCTTTACAAAAAAAAAAAAAAAAAAAAAAAAAAAATTACGAAAAAATTAGCCAGGCGCTGTGGCGGGCTCCTGTAGTCCCAGTTACTTGGGAGGCTGAGGCAGGAGAATGGTGTGAACCCGGGAGGCCCAGGTTGCAGTGAGCCAAGATCACGCCACTGCACTCCAGCCTGGGCAACCCAGCAAGACTCTGTCAAAAAAAAAAAAAAAATGATTCGGAAGTCATAAAGAAGGTAACACCGTGGATTCAACTATGCTGTTTAAACATGAGAAGTAATCTTTTCATTATTTTAAAGTTTGATATATCAAAAGAAATTTACATAAAGCATAATTGTAAAGAAATATAGATTATTTGACATATAATCACTGAAACCTAGAGGAAAAGTTTGAAGGAAGGTTTAGAAGTTGTAGAGGGGGTAATATCTAACATTGAAAAAATCGAGGGAAAAAAAAAGATACTTGAAACTTGCCAGTTCTAGTGATCCACAAAAGACTAAACCAAATAAAACTACCTTTAGTTATATAAAGAGAAAATTTCTATTGAATGTCAAGATATATTTCTCTCTTCTCTGAACTCTAACATCATGTATTACCTGAACCAAGCATTTGAGAATAAATCAAATATCACTTTATGACTTCTGTAATGCCTTATTAAAATGTTATTTTGCATCTTGTATTGTGTTTTTAGTTTTTCCTTTGATTGTGAGCTTAAGACCAAATGCTGATTATTTTACTCTTCACAAGATATAGCTCAATTTCTTTTACATACCAGTCTCCAAGGAAATATGCTTTAAAAATTGATTGATTTAATCTTCACACCTGGTGTCTTGAAAAATTAGAGAGGGAATCATAGTTTTGAATGATCTAAGGTTGTCATGCTTAGACTCAGAGGAATAGACCAGATGATCTTTTTGATGACCTAAGAGTTGTTTATAATATATAAGGTATGATTACCAGCCCCTATAATAGCCTCTAAAAGAATAAAAATTGAGGGTTAAAAGTGTAATGAAATGCAAATGAAACTGTCTTGAAAACAGACTGCACATTTTATTTGTTTTTTACAGAATCTAGGACGCAGGGAGTGCTAATATTAAATACTATCAACAGTATTCTAGCTTTAAAATAATGGTGAAAATAATTCATAGTCAAAGCACACTTCCTAGTTTTAAAATGAATGCTACCAAACATTTTGGAAACCAAATATGGCTGCATCAATTCTATATTCAAAAATATCTCTAAGCTCTTATATTCTCTAGTTTTTGTATTTCCTGGTTTTGTCAATGTATTGAGTAAAATTTAAGTCTGTTAGTAACTTCATATACATGTAGCATACCCAATTAAAATCAAATACAATTACATTTCAAGGCTTACACTGAACACTCTTGCCCAAGAGAGATCTCGCTCTCTTTTTTCCAAAGATTTCTCCCTTTAATGAGGAAGAAGTAAAACATATTAAAAACTCATGACTTATAAAGTCCTTTTGACATTTACTCCATTTCAGGTAGAGGCTATTTTAAATAGCTTTTTTAAACAATGCATATTTTGTGTTGCACTTAATTAAATAAAAGACGGAATAGCACAGTCTAAATATCACTGGACTTGAGGAGCTTTAATTCTGCTATATCCATTCATTCTCTGCAGGACCTCACACAAGTCAGTTAACCTATCTGGGCTGCAGTTTTCTCAACTGTACATGAAACTGTTGCATTAGAACATCTTTAAGGTCTTTGCCAATTCTAGACTTGTATAGTTTCATGTTCTATAATTACTTCAAACCTCCATTTTCTCATTTAAGCAATGTGCTTTACAATAACATCTTTCCCTTCTTTACATTTGTTTTAATAATCAAAGTAGTTAAATTATTAATTTTTTTCTGAAACCCATAAATTATCATTGTAAATTATTGTTATTATCATAAGTCACAGCAGGTATTAGTAACCTAAGAAGGACACAAAGGTATCTTGAGAATATAGAGGGATTCAGAAGAATGATGATATATTGTGTGACCTGTCCCCTCCCCTTTTTCTATCTCATTCAGTTGAATTTGCCCTTCAGCCAAGGTTCCCTTTTTTTTTTTTTGAAGAAACATTATCAGCAGAACATTAATCAGTTTTAATAATTTACATTATACATGAGAGGCCTGTGGTGCAACTGAAGTCTTGTTTTCCTAGATGTCTTTCTATTAGCTGAAATGGTTTGGAATGTCAAATTAAGTAACAGCTACAGCCTGTGCTTTCACTATATATAAAGTATCTTGCTAAGCACTCTCAGGAGATAATTTGCTATAGATATAGATCCTATCCTCAAAGAGCTTACAATTTAATTAAAAAAAGAAAATAAATTTTGGAAATTTATGATGATAAGAAATATGGTAGAAAAGATGCTGTGAGGCTATTTATTAATATCAGCAGGGCAATTTTATAGGAAATGGTATTCAATTTCAGAGGAGAAAAAGATTGCTTTACATTGGTCTAGCAGGTTAAGCTTTTACAGTAGACGTTGGTTGTTATCTGTGTTTATAGAATTGACTAAGACTATGTGCCCCAAATATGTCATTCGTTCACCTACTTTCCATTGTTTCCTTCTCAGTTAGGTTCAAACCATTGAACCATGCCAAAGGACTCTGCAAGGAAGTGGTCTGTGTCTTTTTGAGGCCAAGGCAGGTAAGCGTCAATAGACTGCCCCCATCATTCCCTTCTCCTGCCTTTGTGGCTTTGGAAGTCATATATTTCTTCAGATTGTATGGCTACAGAATGGAAGAGAGCTACCTGCACTACCTGACCCAATGGACTTCACCTGCAGGAGAGTTAAATCTTGCTCATCATAAGCCACTAAGACTCAGTGTTTACCCATTGCAGCAACTAGCAGGAGTTACTCTAACACAAGTGATGAGTAGAATTCAATTAGGTAAAGAGAAAGGAGAACATATTTTGGAATCATACAAATTATGTGTGGGGTTGGAAAACGCAAAAATATTTTCCAGGGATGATTAAAACACCCCTGCCACACACATACACATAGATACTTGTACTTGATTGAAGAAAAGCATGTAGAAATATAACACTTTAACCTAAAAAATGAATTGTGATAAGTTTTTGGAAAATTTATCGACAGAAAAAAAGCATAGATTTTATTCTGTGGATTTTAGGCAAACAACAGAGATTCCTGAGTACCATACAGGAGTTGCCAAAGAAACTCAGAGCCTTAAAAAGGGAAGAGAAAGAGAAAGGCCAATTAAACTATTAAATAGTCCTTGGAAGAGGTAATAATCTAGTGTGTTGGAAGTAGAAATGGAAACAAAGGGAAAGATAAAAAAATGTGTATGAAAGTATTCAAACTGCTGTTCCATATGCTTCTGTTATCTTTGTGTAATAAATACTCACTGACTACAGTATTTAAAAATAATAAAATTTCTGTCAAATAATGTAAAATAATTGATCAAAGTAAAAATATAATAAAAACATCAAAAAGTTTTCATAAAAAATAAGAATTTTAATAATAACCACTTAGATTTGTGCTACTATGAAAATAAGTGAATTATCCAAATCAATATATTTTTTTTCAATTTTTAGAAATAAAATAATATTTTGTACATGTAGTGTTTTTTGAATCCTCTGGCTCCACCATAAGATATGACATCCAGAAAACAGTAATTAAAAACACATATTTGCATTCAGAAAACATGTCACCCTTACATCTGCCAAAATCAATCAGAATTTGACTGAATTGACTTTTATAAATGACGGACAATTCGAACAAATATCGATCGATTTAATTCAGAAGATCATATTCAGGATTTGGGGGGCATTTAAATCACTCTGGGGGTTGGGAGAGAGGCAGAAAAAGATCTGTTTCTAAAACTTATTCAAGCTGACATGCCACACTAACACTAATCCTATTGATATTGAGTAAGAGTTTCGTCTTTGGGAAGCATTATGGAGAAAAACAGTATACATTCCCTCATCTAAAATTTTACTTTACCTAGGGCTACCTCTGAAAGTAGCAGTTAACTTGGTAGAAGCTAGTACTAATCTTAGGGTACCAAAGGAAGAGTTTCTACTCTGAACATGAATTCCAAAAACCTACAAGACTCAAATGAGTTATTTTGGTGAAACTTTGAACATCGATGGCAAACAATGGAGGTGTTTAGAAAAGGTAACCTGCCTTCCTGGTCTTATCCTCTCCATTTAGGATAATTTTTCTGACACCTAGTGGGACTGAGTCCAAGGAAAACATGTTTTCTCAAAATTATTACTGGAGTTTCAAAATTATTTTTTTCATTGCAGATTATTGTATGTACCCCTTTGTGGAGAAGAATTAGGACAGACAGGATTTTAAAACTCCTCACTTTGAGGATCATCACTTCTCCTTATTCAGAAGTTAACTTAATCTGCCTAAAAGTTTCCTACCGGTTCACAGTTTCAACTTCCTTAAATACACTAACAGTCCCCACTGATATGACTCCAGGTCATTACTTTTAATTATATTCTATTAAGACAACAATGTAATTTATCTGCAAGGACAATACACACACACACACACAATCACACACAGACACAGACACATCAGTGTACCAGATATAGACATGAAGACAACTTTTAAAACAAAATAACACTCTGTGTTTGGCATACATAGGTGTTCATCTGAAATTTCTAAAGTTATAATAACATGATAATTTCCTTAGTATCCACCACTTAGCTCTAATTTAAAGATTATTTATTTTTATAAAGTGATAATAGACAACATATCTTATTACATTTCTGCAATTTCAGCCACAGAGGCAGCACCACACAGGGAAGTAAACATCGCTATTTCAGATGTTCCCCTCAAAAGCATGGTCACCTTCTATTGAAGGACTGGAGCCAGTTCGCATATTATCACTGTCGAACAAGATATTTTTGTAGACAAATCTGAGGTTGTGCTATAATAATAAGTACAATACACTTCTTGGATAATAAGTACAATATACTCCTTAAATAAATTACCTCATAATATATCTACTTCATTGGATTTGCAAACATACAAAAGTTGGTCACTTGCCACACTACTCAGGTGTATACTAACAAACTTTGTAGTTTTTAACATTTTCTTTGATTTGACTTAAGCTACATCATAAACTCACTAAAAAAAAAGTTACACTCATATTTTGATTTATACTCATCTATGGAGTTTTAGGCTATTTGGCAGACTATATGCAAAATTCAGATAAGTAAATATTCCAAAATTGTCAAGGTAGTCTCAGAATACTGAAAATGAAGATCTGTGATTCTAAACATCAAGGAATGGCGCCAGCAATATTTAGTTTGCTGTGATTGCAAGACTGAGAAAATCTAAAATTGATTTTGCTGGGAAACCAGTAAACCTAAGACATAATTTTTTCATAACATGTAAAGAAGTACAGTAAATAAGAAAGAAAACCTAATACAAAGCCTGCATAAGATAAATGAGCAGGACTGTAACATTCTCTAAGGAATTCGATTAACTGAATACATTAAATATTTTCAGAGGCAGTTAGAGCTGACACCTGCTGTTTAGGAGAGTGGCATGGTTTGAAGCTTTTTACCTTTTTTCAGTAAGCTGAAGCAGCTCAATATCTAATTAAAATCAAAGCCTTTAAAATATTCAGCCAGGCTGTTTGAAGACTTTATAATGTTTAAAATTGGCTACTTTAAAAAATCAGGTTAAAAATAATCAAATGTTGTTGGAATGGTCTATGGGCTTAACAATATCTCATTTATGAAAAGTATCCTGTTGTTTATAATTAAAATCTGACTAATATATTCATTGAATTTAACACCTGAAGAGAATCTTTCATTAAACTGATATATGGTTTAGACCTTTTTCTCCCAGAATAAATGAGACAAGAATTAGTAATTTTAATGACTGTAGAGTTTCAGAGAAAAAAAAGAATATAAGTATATATGCACAAGCTGATACAAATTTAGTAGATCATAGAGTCACAATGAAAAAAAAGCCAAATAGCTGGGAAGAGAAATTTAAAATAATTTCAAAGTTTTGTTAAGGAATCAAACATTAGGTACACCATATGACAAGACACGTAACTTCAAGTAAGCGGAAACTAAATATCATCTAAAAACGTTATTTTTTTCCCAAATAAAGTAGATTATTCACCCACTCTTAGTAAATTCCCAAACAATAATAAATAGTGCTCAATTGACTCTGTTTACCTTTTCCTTTTCAAAATGTATTTTTTATTTAGCTTCTGTTGTACTCCTGTCTTGGTTTCCTCTTATCTGTTTGGGCTGCTATAACCGAATACCACAGGCAAGGTGGTTTAAGTGACGGATATTTATTTATCTCAGTTATGGGGACTAGAAGTCCGAGATGAAGGCAGTAACATGGTCAGTGTCTGGTGAGGGCTCTCTTCCTGGTTTGCAGATGGCTGCCTTCTCACTGTGGCCTCGCATATTGGAGAGAGTGAGCCCTGGTGCGTCCCCTCTTCTATAAGGCCACTATCTCAATTGAATTAGGTTCCTAACCTTATGACTTTATGTAACCTTTATTACTTCCTCACAGGCCCTGTCTCTAAATACAGTCATTTTAGGAATTAGGGTGAAAAAATGTGAATTCTGTGGGGGATGCAATTCAGTCCACAGCAGCTTTCAAAATGTTGAATCTGTGTTTCAGTGGGCTTTTATTTTCTCCCTCTGCGTCATGGTAGCCTGTCTCCAAGATGCTCCCCAACCCCAAACCCCTGCATCTGGTACTCACAATTTTGTGTAGTTGTGTTCTATATTATACAGGGTTGAACTGTGTGAGCAAAGAAAATACAGAAGAAATGATGGCCACTTCCCAGATTAGGTTAAAAAGACATGATTTCCATCTTTGTTGTTCTCCCTCTCCCTTGAGTCATTTGCTCTAAGCAGCAGACATATCATGAGAAACCTCGCA
The DNA here is from genome assembly GCF_000001405.40 of Homo sapiens. Classification (NCBI taxonomy): domain Eukaryota; kingdom Metazoa; phylum Chordata; class Mammalia; order Primates; family Hominidae; genus Homo; species Homo sapiens. The sequence goes on from NC_000008.11 coordinate 77,964,462, forward strand.
GAGAGAATCCATGTGATAAAGAACTGAGGTCCTCTGTTAAGAACAAGCAAAAAATGGAGGTCTACAGCCAGAAGCCACATGTGTGAGTGCTCTTGGAAGTGGATCCTCCTGCCTTCATCAGACTGTCAGAGGATTGTAGTTCTGGCTCAGAAACTTGACTGAGAGTTCATGAGAGGCACTGAGCCAGAAATACCTAACTAAGCTGCTTTTGGATTCCTTATACTCAGAAATTGTATGAGATAACACATACTCATTGTCATAAGCTGTTAAATTTTGGAGTAATATTTTATGTAACAATAGATAACAAAGACATGGGCTGACATTTGAATCACTGAGTCTTTTCCGTGACCGTCCAGCATCTTCTCATTTCAAGTCCCCCTGAATATTTAATTTAACTGCCTCTATTAGAGTACACGCAAAAACAAAACAAAAGAATCAAAAACCACTTTCCTAATCTGGCCCTTTTTTCTCTATTCAAATTCATCTATTGACTACTATTCTCCAGTCAGCTCCACCTTATGCCTTCACAGTACAAAACCGACAAATGAACTCCTTGAGTATGCCATGATTCTCAGAACTTTGCAAAAGTTACTTCCCTCTGCTAAGGAGGGCCCACCCCTTCTTTATCTAACTTGTCCTTCAAGATTCAGCTTCAATGCTACTGCTTTCAGAAAGCCTTCTTGGACAATTTAATTTGATGGTGAGCTTATTTTACTTACAGTCACAGGAGCTAGATTGTCTTATCGTGTGCATAGTCTGTTAAGCTTGTCTAACTCATTGTTTTGCAGACTTCTGTATCACAGGTAAACTAACATTTACTGCAAGAAAGAAGAGAGAAGGAAGATTATTCCAAAACGGCTGAAATTCTAGACATAGAGGTGTCAGTATAAATTTTCAATGCTAAGATCAATAAATAAGATTTAGCCAATTAATACCTCTGGGGTCAGTAATAAAATTACTAAAATTTTTGTCTAAAAATATTTTTATGGTAAGGAGTATACTTTATCTCTTCCCCACTTTTATTGTAATATTGTAATTCTTAAATCATCTATTAGTTACATATTTGTATGTTGTCTGTTAACCCAAATTTATAATTAATGCTGGGATTGAATTAAAGTTTGGAATTACAAAATATTGATAGTTTTGTTTTCTTATCCAATACACACGAACACAAGTGCTTGCTTTTAGCTTTATTAACTTCAGTTAGAAATTCTAGATTTAGTGATTTTCAAAATGCTCTGTGTATTGCGCCAGTGTCACAGTGATCCAGGCAGTGACATGTCCATCCAAGGTCTACACATAAGAAGGCAGTTATCTATTGGGTTTAATTTTTTTTTAAGATGAAAAACAACTGGCTCCCCAGATATCCCTGTGGAGATAAAGCCTTCTTCCTATGTCTCTTAGATGACTGAAAATCAAGCATTTTGGTACTTAGAATCCCATTTTCATATATATTATAATTAAATGTTTTTACCTGAAAATGACTTATTTCTCAGTATATAAAATATGTTTTAAAGGAGAAAATCTTTCATGTTTTTCCAAATATGTAATGGGGTTGAAATTCTGTATTACAATTAAAAATAAAAATAAAAACAAGGGCTATACATTTATTTGTAGGAAAATGGTAAGTACTTCCTTTCCCAAAAAATACTCTTCTTAATTACAACTGCTAATGTAGTATTCACTGGCAGATTGTTTACATTTATAAATTCTAAGGAAATAAAAAACATGGAAATAGAAAGAAATAGTGAAAAAGAGAGAGAAGCAGGAAGGGATGGAGGATATTATGAGAGCTGTTATTTTGTAATGAAGACTAAATCATTATAATTCCAATGTACTTTAAAAATATGAAGAAATCTAGTTTATTTTCATTTTTTTACTCTTTTCTCTGAATATGTGTCTTATGTTAATAGTTCACATTTTATAGCATTGGCCTTAATTTGTCTTATGGTGAAATATGCATGATGATACATCACATGATAATGCAATAATGATTGGTTCTGTCCTTTACTAATGACATGCTTGGACTTTACACAGAACACGTTCTGGTGCTTTTCCAGCATTAACAATGTCAAAGGCATGGAAAAAACAAAATAGGAACAACAAAGATGCAACAAAGGATACACTTAACAAATATTTATCAAGTGTTCACTATGTGCTAGACACAGTTCAGTGTGCTTGAATATATTAGTGAACAAATCAAAACAAAGTTTCATATCTAAGGAGTTTACCTTCTAAACAATAAGCAATAAACATAAGCAAATCATATGATAACATAATACTTCATATTTGGTAGTACAATAATGTGACTATAATCAAAATAATGTAATTATACATTTTGAAATAACTAAAAGAGTATAATTGGATTGTTTGTAACACAAAAGATAAATGCTTGAGGGGATGGATATCGGATATCTTATTTTCCATGATGTGATTATTATGCATTGCAAAATATCAAAATATCTCATGTACCCTATAAATATTCTTCTACTATATATCCACAAATGTTAAAAAATTTTAAAAAATTATACAATCATATGCTAGCAATTGATGAATGCTATTAAATAATAACACAAAAAGTAAACCAAGGAAAGGAGAAACATGAATGAAAAACAAAATTTGGACAAAGATTTAAGTGAGGTGAGAGTATTTCAGGAAGAGAATGCTACAAATATAAAAGGTTATGCCGGTGTGTGTGTGCGTGGTGTGGCAATGCAAGGAGCAAATGTGACTTGAGTAGAGTAAGAGGGAGGTATGTAGGAGAAGAAGAAGTGATGATGTTGGATAATTAAGGGCAAATGACAGCCGTTGTAAAGACTCTAGCTTTTACTTGGAGTGCAATGGAGAGCAAAAGCAGGGTTTTGAAGAAAAAGTGGCATTATCTGACTCATGTTTGAAAATAATTACTTATTACTCCTATAATAATAGACAGTTGGGCAACAACCATGGAAAAGAGGTGGGAGGAGGGCATTTTAGGGGTTATTGCAATAATTTATATGACACGATGACTCAGACCAGGCTGATAGGAGTGAAGGAAGTAGAAATTGATTGGATTCTGATTATACCTTAAAGTTAGAACTGATAAGATTTTCCAATGAATTAGAAGTAGGATATGATGGAAATTAAGAAGTCAAGGATGATGACAAGCTTTTTGAACAGAGTAATTGGCAGAATTGATTTGCCATCAACTGAGTTGGTAAACTTGTGGAGAGTCAGAGTGAAGTTTAAAAATTATTCGTTGTTTTAATTTAAAATGTCTTTTGGACATCTAAGGTAAAAGCAAATGAACAGTTGAATATATGCATCTAGATCATAAGAGAGACATCTGGACTAGAGTCATAAGTTAGTGAATTAATGAATGTTAATCCATATACATGCTATTAAAATCATGAGACTGGATGAGATCACCAAGATGGTGAGTATAGATACAGAAGTAAATAGGAACAAAGGATGAGCCTTGGAACCATCCACTATTAAGAGATTATAGAGAAGAAGGGAAACCTGCAAAAGCTAAGAAATAAAGAATTAAAAAGTAAGAAAAAAATAGGGAAAATATGTGGCATCAGAGTGTGTGAGGAATCCATTGTCAAATGTTGCTGAAAGATCAAGCTAGGGAAGGACTGCTGGATTAACTGATGAGAAATGTTATTGATGATCTTACTATGAGTAGTGTGCGCAAAGGAATAGAGGATACTGAAACTATTCTGTATGATAGTTTAATGGTAAATGTATGTCCTGATACTTGTCAAACCCATAGAATGTACAGCACAAAAAGTGAACTCTAATGTAAACTATAGACTCTGGTTACTAATATTAAATCAATATTAGATCATTAATTCTAAGAAATGTACCCTCCTAATTCAAGGTGTTAATAATGAGAGAAATAGGAAAGAAAGCATAGAAGAACTGTACTTTCTGCTCAGTTTTTCTGCAAACCTGAAACTGCTATACAAAATACTCTATGTGTATGTGTATTTACACACACACACACACATATATATATACACATACATATATACACACATACATATATATGGATTTTAAGTGAGGTAAATTGGTTATCCATAAAAATTAAATAAAATAATATACTATTATCATTAGCATTGCACGTGTTATCTGTGAACACAGTAAACTGACCAGGATTATCAAAAGGTAAAATTGCATGAAGCTTGAGAGATTCAATTCAAAAAGAAATATATACTTATGAAATTGTTAGATAATGTGATCACTTCTGCCATGTAAAAAATTTTTTCATTAGTTTTAGTTACAGGTCTAGTACCCATACTAAACATGCACACTTTCTGCATATGGTGAGTATTTAATACAATTTACAATTCAGGTAGCCTTGAAATGTATCTAGGTATTTATACCCTTTAAGAATGTCTGAGAATAATTACTCTAAATGCTTAATTTTTAATGGACTGTAATTTCAGTACTTAATGTAAAAAAAAAATACATTATGTGCTCCAGAGATAAAAAGACCAGAAGGTTCAGATCTTATAGGTTACTGCCATAAAGCCTCTTATGACCCTTTTTGTGCAAGCAATAATCTTAGCATGATAATTACCTCGAGGAAGATCACTGTGCTCTCCATTCAGTATAATTGCTGACTGTAAATGAACTTTATCTGAACATACCCATAAAAATGAATGTATTGACATATCTACCTTTGAATTCTGTAAGTATAATGCAAACAATAGGCTGATATTGACAGCTGGATAGGAAGATAAGCCATAAAAACAAAGTTTAAACATGAAAGTGTTGATACTGCCAGAAGGAAAAAAAGAGAAAGAAGTGAACCAGTCCAAAGATCTTTATTGAGTAAGGTGAACATATGTTCCAGTTGGCCTGAAAACATTCTGATTCAAGCCTCTTGTCCTTACCTCTTTCACTTTCAAAAGTATTACAGTTGGACACTAAATTTTATGGTCACTTGAAGGTTAAATGTTGCTACTTTATAGAAAGGAGTACTATTGGGGATAGATACATATTTTGCCCTATTATAGTTACAAATAAATTGTGCTTATTGTGCTTTAGTCCTTAGATGTTGAATACTCATTCCATTATTTCCCAAATCTACTCTGCGTAAGCAGGGCTAAACTTCACAGACAGACTAGTAACAGAAACCCTCACACCACTATATAAACAGTGTGTGAGGCCAAAGGAAATGGACCAAAAATGATTATTTTATGACTTTTGCCATCCGATGTTTACTCTGACCTCTCACAGAAGAATTATACCTTCACACACCACAGAGTAATTCTTGTTATTTCAAAGAAAGAATTTGATGGGATTTTTTCTTTAAAAAAAGAAGCAGCTCAGCCTAAATCAGTCTTGTTCATAGTGGCCAGACTTTCCTAACAACAATCTTCACAGTGTCCTTTCAAAGCTCATCAAAACTCTATGTTATTCATAATAAAAACAGTGACAACATAGTTGGTACATTTGTCTTCAATACAAAGTTTAATTTGAATTTTTTTTACTAACACATTGTTCCAAAAGTAATCTAGTAAAGGAACAGGAAGTTTTAGGGTATTAAAAAGTACATTATGTTAAATGCAGCTATAAATGTTGTATGGGTTAATGGTTGATTTTAATGTTGTTAGCTTTAAAGATGTATTTCCATAATTATTCTAAATAAGCTGTTTTTTACTATTTTAATATTTATATAAAAAATTTATCCTAGTGTTGTTAAGGTTCTGTTAATGTTGTTAAAATATGTTAATGTGTTCATGTTTTTTTTATTTTTTTCCAGGCATACTGTATTAAGCATTTCAATAAATATTTAATTAACTGCTCCACAATATATCCATAGAAAAGAATTTTTCTTCTGGGAAATATTGATGGAAATTCTGTAGAGATATATAAATTTGTACATGAAAATTGTTTGCCATTGGCAAAAAAAGAAAAACACATGATTTTGTATGGTGAATAATGTAATGTGCTAGTCACATTTTATGTAACACAACTGGCTTTCTTGATTATGTTCACATAACTTCCTTTTTGGTTTTTGGTTTGAGATGAATGCTACTTCTCCTACTGAGGAAGATGGAAGATTTATTAATTTAAAAACTAAGAAAGCATTACTTCAAAACTAAGTCTTTGGCCATTGCTCTTCATACACTCACATACACTCCATGATGTGTATATTTCATAAAACCATTTGTTATGTTGAGAAACTTCATGACTGCTTTTCCTTCATTTCATACAAATTAGATAAGTTAGACAAAATATGCATTTATATGTAAAGCATATTATAAACTTGTATTTCCATTTTTTATTCTCATTTTGTTAATGATAGCCTTCTCTGAGTCAAGAAATAGTCAAAAGTAGAGCGGAAGACAGTGCAGAAAATATCTTTTTGCAGCAGGACAGTACTCCTATGGACAAGTGTGGGACTAGGGCTCATCGCTGTGCTATCTAAATAACTCAGGAAGCTGCAGAGAGAAGTCAGTTCATGCCATTAAACCAGAGAAAGAAGACAACTCTGAAAAATGGAAGATTCTCCTTTCTAGAATGCCAGAAATTCTGCCTTTGATATCTTAAAATTTGCAAAGCCCCTTCTGTAATTTTTAGATATCTTGAGTTCTAAATGTGCTGATAGCCAGCGCTCATGTGTTAACTACACATGCTCAGCATGAGGATTGCGCTAGGAAGAACAAAAATATTATACAAGGAGGCAAAAAAGAACTTTTTCTCAAGAGGCTTACAGTCTCGTTAGGGAGACAACATAGCTGTACATGAAAAATAGAATATGAACAAAAAATATATAATAGTGTATAATGAGAAATGTAAAGTGAGAAAATAAAATCTGAGAAAGGTTGTTAAACTTTACATAAACCCTACTAATAGTGAATGCATGATTACTGCTTGCAAAGCCGCTTCACACAAATTATTTCATTCAATATTTCTTACCTTCCTCACAAAAAACTCTAAGTATCATGGTATAATTAGTTTTTATTTATTTTATTATATTTATGAGTTATTTTAAGGGTCAAAATTAAAGTGAAATTAGACAGAAAATAGTGTTTATTTAAATAGCTATTTAATTTGGGATCTTCCCATTTTATTTTCACATTACCTCTTTCATAATTTTGTTTTATCTTTCTTTTTCACTTGTGCATTTATAACATAATGAATAATACCATGAATTTTTAAAGCCACTCCAAATCCTTTATTGAATAATAAAATGAAATAAATATAAATTAAATATGACATTATTTGCTCTGTTTTACAGATAAAGAAACTGAGTATTTGTGAGAATAAATGACCATTATAAATAACCTACTAGGAGTAATAAGTCATATAGTATGGACCTTCTCTTCTCTTGAAGCCACGGTCTCTCTCAAAATGGGAACAAATTTGTGAACAACGTTCATTTATTCAACAACTATTTACTGAACAGCTACTATGTGCTAGACATTGTGCTAGGTACTGAAGAGCCAGTGGTGAATAAGGTATAGAAGATCTTTCATGACGCTTATATTCTACTTAAGAGAGTTAGAAAATAAACTAACAAGAAAATAAACAAAAACTTCAGAGTAGTAATTTAAAAAAATAGACCGATAATGTGATAGCAACTACTGTGTGATGGACAGGAGAGATTTCTCTGAAGTTGTAGTATTTGAATTGCTACCTATGGAATGGGAAGGGACCTGATATTTTTTTAAACAGTGGTGAAAAGAGTTTTCACAAGATTTAGGAACATGTTGAAGGGCTAGGAGACGAGAAAGTACTGGCAGTATCTAAGAAAAGGGAAAGAAGTTTAAGGTTTTGGAGTCTGGTGACCAGAGAGACAGTAGTCTGAGAAGAATCCTGTGAGGTAAGCCAAGGTCTGGTCATCCAGAGCTTTGGAGACTGTGGTGATAAAAGAGTATAACTTTGCTTTTGTAGCAGCGGGTAGCTGTGTACGGGGTTTTAAGCAATCCAAAGGCATACCATGAATAAGCAGAAAGTCAGCCAGGTTAGGATCTGTAGGAAACATCACTGAAATTTTATAGGTGATGGATAGAGAGAAACATCTCTCTCTCTCTCTATCAATTAATCAATTGATCTATTGATCCAATGATCTAGATAGATGATAATTAGAGGGCAGTTTTGATTTGCCACTTAGGTGGGAGGTGAAGCACCCATGGGGATATTTAAGAAGCAACAGATATTAGCATATTAGCTAAACTACATTTGATGAGGATGAATCTGTTAACTAAAGACCTTTAGTTTTGTGACTAGGGTCTGCAGGCAGCATTGATACACACTCCTCAACCTCTACCCAGCACTAAGCTGTGTTCAGCCTCTAGGCATGTGTAGAGGAAGCACTTAAAGAATATCAGTTTTAAGAGTGTCCAATGATTAACATCCAGTAGACTTTCAAATCTTCAGCTAGTTCTGATGTTAATATAACCTTTCCCTTAAAATGTATGCTGATGGTATTGCCTAGGTTTTCTTCCAGCGTTTTTATTGTTTTACGTTTTACGTTTAAGTCTTTAATCCATCTTGAGTTAATTTTTGTATAAGGTGTAAGGAAGGGGTCCAGTTTCAGTTTTCTGCATATAGCTAGCCAGTTTTCCCAACACCACTTATTAAATAGGGAATCCTTTCCCCATTGCTTGTTTTTGTCAGGTTTGTCAAAGATCAGATGCTTGTAGATGTGTGGTGTTATTTCTGAGGCCTCTGTTCTGTTCCATTCATCTATAAAAATGATGAGTTCATGTCCTTTGCAGGGACATGGATGAAGCTGGAAACCATCATTCTCAGCAAACTAACACAGGAACAGAAAACCAAACACTGCATGTTCTCACTCATAGCTGGGAGTTGAACAATGAGAACACGTGGACACAGGGAGGAGAACATCACACACTGAGGCCTGTTGGGGGGTTGGGGGCTAGGGGAGGGAGAGCATTAGGAGAAATACCTAATGTAGATGATGGGTTGATGGGTGCAGCAAACCACCATGGCACTTGTATACCTATGTAACAAACCTGCACATTCTGCACATGTATCCCAGAACTTAGAGTACAATAATAATAAAAAAATCAAATAAAAGTAGTTTGGGCACTGACCAATGATAAAAGTATCATTAATAATGAAATATTATGAAGCCAAAAAAAGTATGCTTATAGAATTATTGGAAATCAATAATAGTTTACTGGTGCATTTGCCTTAGTGCTTTTTCAGCCATATGTGGATTTCAGTTTCTCTTAAGCTTGAAACCCCAACACTTTTTCAAAGATAGTGAAAGACTTCTTAAGTATTATTCCAAAGTCATTCAATGCACTGCTTACTTAGAAATAGAAATTCTTTTTTTATTATTATACTTCAAGTTATAGGGTACATGTGCACAATGTGCAGGTTTGATACATAGGTATACATGTGCCATGTTGGTTTGCTGCACCCATCAACTCATCATTTACATTAGATATTTCTACTAATGCTATCCCTCCCCCAGCCCCCCACCCTTCAACAGGCCCCAGTGTGTGATGTTCCCTGCCCTATGTCCAAGTTATCTCATTGTTCAATTCCCACCTATGAGTGAGAACATGCGGTGTTTGGTTTTCTGATCTTGGGATAGTTTTCTGAGAATGATGGTTTCCAGCTTCATCCATGTCCCTGCAAAGGAAATGAACTCATCCTTTTTTATGGCTGCATAGTATTTCATGGTGTGTATGTGCCACATTTTCTTAATCCAGTCTATCATTATGGACATTTGGATTCATTCCAATTCTTTGCTATTGTGAATAGTGCCACAATAAACATACATCTGCATGTGTCTTTATAGTAGCATGATTTATAATCCTTTGGGTATATACCAAGTGATGAGATTGCTGGGTCAAATGGTAATTCTAGTTCTAGATCCTTGAGGAGTTGCCACACTGCCTTCCACAATGGTTGAACTAATTTACACTGCCACCAACAGTGTAAAAGTGTTCCTATTTCTCCACATCCTCTCCAACATCTGTTGTTTCCTGACTTTTTAATGATTGCTGGCATGAGACGGTATCTCATTGTGGTTTTGATTTGCATTTCTGTGATGACCAGTGATGATGAGCATTTTTTCATGGGTCTGTTGGCTGCATAGATGTCTTCTTTTGAGAAGTGTCTGTTCATATCCTTTGCCCACGTTTTGATGGGGTTGTTTTTTTCTTATAAATTTGTATGAGTTCTTTGCAGATTCTAGATATTAGCCCTTTGTCAGATGGGTAGATTGCAAAATTTTTCTCCCATTCTGTAGGTTGCCTGTTCACTCTGATGGTAGTTTCTTTTGCCATGCAGAAGCTCTTTACTTTAATTAAATCTCATTTGTCTATTTTGGCTTTTGTTGCCATTGTTTTTGGTGTTTTAGTCATGAAGTCCTTCCCCATGCCTATGCCCTGAATGGTATCGTGTTGGTTTTCTCCTAGGGTTTTTATGGTTTTAGGTCTAACATTTAAGTCTTTAATCCATCTTGAATTAATTTTTGTATAAGGTGTAAGGAAGGGATACAGTTTCAGCTTTCTACATATGGCTAGCCAGTTTTCACAGCACCATTTATTAAATATGGAATCCTTTCCCTATTTATTGTTTTTGTTGGGTTTGTCAGACATCAGATGGTTGTAGATGTGTGGTGTTATTTCTGAGGCCTCTGATCTGTTCCAATGGTCTATATATCTGTTTTGGTACCAGCACCATGCTGTTTTGATTACTGTAGCCTTGTAGTATAGTTTGAAGTCAGGTAACGTGATGCCTCCAGCTTTGTTCTTTTGGCTTAGGATTATCTTGGCAATGTGGGCTCTTTTTTGGTTCCATATGAACTTTAAAGTAGTTTTCCAATTCTGTGAAGAAAGTCATTTATAGCTTGATGGGGATGGCATTGAATCTATAAATTGCCTTGGGCAGTATGGCCATTTTCACAATACTGATTCTTCCTACCCATGAGCATGGAATATTCTTCCATTTGTTTGCATCCTCTTTTATTTTGTTGAGCAGTGATTTGTAGTTCTCCTTGAAGAGTTCCTTCACATACCTTGTAAGTTGGATTCCTAGGTATTTTATTCTCTTTGAAGCAATTGTGAATGGGAGTTCACTCATGATTTGGCTCTCTGTTTGTCTGTTAATGGTGTATAGGAATGCTTGTGAATTTTGCATATTGATTTTGTATCCTGAGACTGCTGAAGTTGCTTATCAGCTCAAGGAGACTTTGAGCTGAGATGATAGGGTTTTCTAAATATACAGTCATGTCATCTGCAAACAGGGACAATTTGACTTCCTTATTTCCTAATTGAATACCCTTTTTTTTTCTTTCTCTTACCTGATTGCCCTGGCCAGAACTTCCAACACTATGTTGAATAGGAATGGTGAGAGAGGGCATCCCTGTCTTGCGCTGGTTTTCAAAGGGAATGCTTCCAGTTTTGGTCCATTCAGTATGATATTGGCTATGGGTTTGTCATAAATAGCTCTTATTATTTTGAGATATATTCCATCAATACCTAGTTTATTGAGAGTTTTAGCATGAAGGGGTGTTGAATTTTGTTGAAAGCCTTTTCTGCATCTACTGCGATAATCATGTGGTTTTTGTCATTGGTTCTGTTATGTGATGGATTATGTTTATTCTTTTACGTATGTTGAACCAGTCTTGCATCCCAGGAATAAAGCCAACTTGATCGTGGTGGATAAGCTTTTTGATGTGCTGCTGGATTCGGTTTGCCAGTATTTTACTGAGGATTTTTGCATCGATGTTCATCAGGGATATTGGTCTAAAATTCTCTTTTTTTGTTGTGTCTCTGCAAGGCTTTGGTATCAGGATGATGTTGGCTTCATAAAATGAGTTAGGGAGGATTCCCTCTTTTTCTATTGATTGAAATAGTTTCAGAAGGAATGGTACCAGCTCCTCTTTGTACCTTTGGTAGAATTTGGCTGTGAATCTATCTGGTCCTGGGCTTTTTTGGTTGGTAGGCTATTAATTATTGCCTCAACTTCACAGCCTGTTATTGATCTATTCAGAGATTGAACTTCTTCCTGGTTTAGTCTTGGGAGGGTGTATGTGTTCAGGAATTTATCCATTTCTTCTATGTTTTCTAGTTTATTTGCATAGAGGTGTTTATAGTATTCTCTGATGGTAGTTTGTATTTCTGTGGGATTGGTGGTGATATCCCCTTTATCATTTTTTATTGTGTCTATTTGATTCTTCTCTTTTCTTCTTTATTAGTCTTGCTAGTGGTCTATCAATTTTTTTGATCTTTTAAAAAAAACAGCTCCTATTTTCATTGATTTTTTTGAAGGGTTTTTTGTGTCTCTATCTCTTTCAGTTCTGCTCTGATCTTACTTATTTCTTGCCTTCTGCTAGCTTTTGAATTTGTTGGCTCTGGCTTCTGTAGTTCTTTTAATTGTGAGGTTAGGATTTCAATTTTAGATCTTTCCTGCTTTCTCTTGTGGGCATTTAGTGCTATAAATTTCCCTCTACACACTGCTTTAAATGTGTCCCAGAGATTCTGGTACATTGTGTCTTTGTTTTCATTGGTTTCAAAGAACATCTTTATTTCTGCCTTCATTTCTTTATTTACCCAGTAGTCATTCAGGAGCAAGTTGTTCAGTTTGCATGTCGTTTTTCGGTTTTGAGTGAGTTTCTTAATCCTGAGTTCCAGTTTGATTGCACTGTGGTCTGAGAGACAGTTTGTTGTGATTTCTGTTCTTTTACATTTGCTGAGGAGTGCTTTACTTCCAATTATGTGGTCAATTTTAGAATAAGTGCAATGTGGTGCTGAGAAGAATGTATATTCTGTTTATTTGGCGTGGAGAACTCCGTAGATGTCTATTAGGTCTGCTTGTTGCAGAGCTATGTTCAGGTCCTGGATATCCTTGTTAACCTTCTGTCACATTGATCTGTCTAATATTTACAGTGGGGTGTTAAAGTCTCCTATTATTATTGTGTGGGAGTCTAAGTCTCTTCATAGGTCTCTAAGGACTTGTTTTATGAATCTGTGTGCTCCTGTAATGGGTGCATATATATTTAGCATAGTTAACTCTTCTTGTTGAATTGATCCCTTTACCATTATGTAATGGCCTTCTTTGACCTTTGTTGGTTTAAAGTCTGTTTTATCAGAGACTAGGATTGCAACCCCTGCTCTTTTTTTTTTTTTTGCTTCCCATTTGCTTTGTAGATCTCCCTATATCCCTTTATTTTGAGCCCATATGCGTCTTTGCATGTGAGATGGGTCTCCTGAATACAGCACACTGATGGGTCTTGACTCTTTATCCAATTTGCCAGTCTGTGTCTTTTAATTGGGGCATTTAGCCCATTTACATGTAAGGTTAATACTGTTATGTGTGAATTTGATCCTGTCATTATGATGTTAGCTGGTAATTTTGCCTGTTAATTGATGCAGTTTCTTCATAGCATCATGGTCTTTACAATTTGGCCTGTTTTTGCAGTGGCTAGTACCAGTTGTTTCTTTCCATGTTTAATGCTTCCTTCAGGAGCTCTTTAGGGCAGGCCTGGTGGTGAGAAAGTCTCTCAGCATTTCCTTGTCTGTGAAGGATTTTATTTATCCTTCATTTTGAAGTTTAGTTTGGCTGGATATGAAATTCTGGGTTGAAAATTCTTTTCTTTACGAATGTTGAATATTGGCCCCCACTCTCTTCTGGCTTGTAGGGTTTCTGCTGAGAGACCTGCTGTTAGTCTAATGGGCTTCCCTTTGTGGGTAACCTGATCTTTCTCTCTGGCTGCCCTTAACACTTTCTCCTTCATTTCAACCTTGGTGAATCTGATAATTATGTGTCTTGGGGTTGCTCTTCTTGAGGAATATCTTAGTGGTGTTCTCTGTATTTCCTGAATTTGAATGTTGGCCTGCCTTGCTATGTTGCAGAAGTTCTCCCAGATAATGTCCTGAAGAGTATTTTCCAACTTGGTTTCATTCTCCCCATCACTTTCAGGTATACCAATCAAATGTAGGTTGGTCTTTTCACATACTCCCATATTTCTTGGAGGCTTTATTCATTTCTTTATACTCTTTTATCTCTAACCTTGTCTTCCCACTTTATTTCATTAATTTGATCTTCAATCACGGATACCCTTTCCTCCACTTGATCGAATTGGCTATTGAAGCTTGTGCATGTGTCATGAAGTACTTGTGCCATGGTTTTCAGCTCCATCAGGTCATTTAAGGTCTTCTCTACACTGTTTATTCTAGTTAGCCATTTGCCTAATCTTTCTTCAAGGTCTTTAGCTTCCTTGCGATGGGTTTGAACATCCTCCTTTAGCTTGGAGAAGTTTGTTTTTACCAACCTTCTGAAGCCTACTTCTGTCAACTCATCAAAGTCATTCTCTGTCCAGTTTTGTTCCATTGCTGGTGAGGAGCTGTGTTCCTTTGGAGGAGAAGAGGTGTTGTGGTTTTTAGAATTTTCAGCTTTTCTGCTCTGATTTCTCTCCATCTTTGTAGTTTTATCTAACTTTGGTCTTTGATGTTGGTGACCTACAGATGTGGTTTTGGTGTAGATGACTTTTTGTTGATGTTTATGCTATTCCTTTCTGTTTGTTAGCTTTTCTTCTAACAGTCAGGTCCCTCAGCTGCAGGTCTGTTGGAGTTTGCTGGAGTTCCACTCCAGACCCTGTTTGCCTGCATATCACCAGTGGAGGCTGCAGAACAGCAAATTTTGCTGCCTGATCCTTCCTCTGGAAGCTTTGTCTCAGAGGGGCAGCTGCCTATATGAGGTGCCAGTCAGCCCCTACTGGGAGATGTCTCCCAGTTATGCTACATAGGGGTCAGGGACCCACTTGAGGAGGCAGTCTGTCCATTATCAGAGTTCAAACACCATGCTGGGGGAACCATTGCTCTCTTCAGAGCTGTCAGACAGGGATGTTTAAGTCTGCAGAAGTTGTCTGCTGACTTTTGTTCAGCTATTCCCTGCCCACAGAGGTGGAGTCTAGAGGCAGTAGGCTTTGTTGAGCTGTGGTAGGCTCTGCCCAGTTTGAGCTTCCTGGTGGCTTTGTTTACCTACTCAGGCATCAGCAATGGCAGATGCGCCTCCCGCAGCCAGGTTGCTGTCTTGCAGATCCATCTCAGACTGCTGTGCTAGCAGTGAGCAAGGCTCCGTGTGCATGGGAGCCGCCTAGCCAGACACGGGAGAGAATAATCTTGTCTGCCGGTTGCTAAGACCTTAGGAAAAGCACAGTATTTGTGTGAGAGTGTCCCATTTTTCCAGGTAGTCTGTCATGGCTTCCCTTGACTAGGAAAGGGAAAGCACTTCCCAGGTAAGGCAATGCCCCGCCCTGCTTCAGCTCACCCTCCATGGGCTGCACCCAATGTCCAATCAGTCCCAATGAGAAGAACCAGGTACCTCAGTTGGAAATGCAGAAATCACCCATCTTCTGCATTGATCACACTGGGATCTACAGACCAGAGCTGTTCCTATTAGGCCATCTTGGAAGGCCTTCCCAAAATAGAAATCCTTGTATTCTTTCATTTTTCCAAGATTAAGAAGGAGTAATATATATGGTAAATAATAGGGAGATACTAAAATTAGGTCAGCCTCCATAACCCTTAATAACTTAATGATGATTCAATCCACTTGAAGCCTTAAAAACCAAGTACAAATATACTATAGTACATGTTATAAAAATTTTTGTCTGCTCTTATTCTGAATAGCTGAAGGTATGAGATTTCCTTTTAGCATTAAGCACACTGAAACATTTCACAAAAATGTTGATTTTAGTATTAAAGAAAATGGTACTCACATGATTTTAAATAAATGTAAGTTAAATTTCCATCCAATTCAACGCACATACCATTGTGTTTCTACCAATATTGTCTTTCTACCAATAGTGCCTACTTTCAACTCCTCACCAGGTCATTTGCTTGTCTTATGAATTTAGACGAGTCTCTTAAACTTCCTGCTTTTTACTGTATTTCCCATATAATGAGAATAGCAGTAGTTCCTACTTTATAGAATGGTTGAGCATGGACTAAAAATACGAAATGTAAATTACTTAAAGCAGTTTCTGGAACATAGTGCTCTCTATATAATGTTTGCTCTCATTATTTTTCCAAATGGGAACTATCAATAGATAACCCTTTAATTGATTCCTCAGTAAATATTTATACTAAAACTAAATCTAAATAATGCATATAAATCAAGGACATTTACATAACATTATTAAAATGTCAAAAGCCAGGCACAGTGGCTCATACCTGTAATCCCAGTACTTTGGGAAACTGAGGAGGGAGGATTGCTTAAG
This sequence comes from Homo sapiens, assembly GCF_000001405.40. NCBI lineage: Eukaryota > Metazoa > Chordata > Mammalia > Primates > Hominidae > Homo > Homo sapiens. Next base: position 77,980,669 of record NC_000008.11, read on the forward strand.
GCCATGAATTTTAGTTCAGCCTGGGCAGCATAGTGAGGCTCCATCTCTACAAAAATAATTTTTTAAATTAACTAAGTGTGGTCCATATGCCTGTAGTCCCAGATACTTAGGAAGCTGAAGGCAGAGGATCACTTTAGTCCAGGAGTTCAAAGTTGCAGTGAGTCATGTTGGTGACACTGCACTCCAACCTGAGCAATAGAGTGAAAGCCTGTCTCAAACAAACAAACAAAAAGAGTCAGTTACATGTAAATGTGTGTTGCCATATACAGAATATTACTAGATATATTTACAGACTGTAGTTTTCTAGGTAGATTTTTTATGTTGTTAGTTATTATAGAGTAAATGTAAGATAATGAGATAGGAGGCTTCTTGGACTTCATTAGAATTGCTCCTAATGAAGGAAAAAATGAAAATAAATTATAATCATTTAGAACTTAATATGAAGCTAATGTGGTAGAAAGAAAAAGTGAACAGCAATTTACTTATAAGTAAGGGTCAGTATTACAAAAGTCCAGACCATTATTAAGTACATTTCTTAAACGTATAGAAAACTTCACTTTTGTCTAATATAGTGTCATGAAAATAAACCATCAAGGTTACAGTGCCATTTATAGAGATAGTCATCCAAGCCTCTTAAGTCATCAGCTAGAGAGATAGGGAATTATGAAAGTTCCAGAAGTACAAACTGGGCTGAGATAATAAAAAACAAATTCAGCTGAATTTGAAAAGAGAAAGAATTAGACAAGTGTGAGAAGATGAATGGAGGGATGGGAGGTGCAAAGGCATAGAGATAGATGAGGCTGAAGTCAGAGAATAAGGCTGAAGGTGAAGGCAGAGGCCAGCTCCTAAAAGCCCACACACCAAAATGCTTAGAACAATGCCTAGAACTGAGTAGGGGTTTAGGATGGTATGTAATTATTGAGTGAATAAGCCTTTATTGGCTTTCTAAGCATTTTCTATGTCTGCTCCCTGCCATCCATCTTTCAGTTTCCACCCTAGCAGGGTCAGAAAACACAGCTAGCCAGTGAAAGTAAAGGAGGCAGAAAGACATGGTCCCCAATCTTACAGGAAGCAGCACATCCCTCCCTTCCTCTTGAGGCGCAGGACTCAGCATTTTTCTGTTAATCCAAGAATTGAAAGTTTGATAAACATCCAGAGACAACACATCTTGTGATGAGCAGTAGCAGCAATGGAGTACATGGACGAGTAACAAGGAAGGAAGAGAAGCAAGCACTGTAGTAGACCATGGCATACAGACTGGTTTGAAGGTAATGGGAAGTTTTCCTTGGAGACACTTGTGAATAACTGGGGCATATAGGTGGGAAGCTGAGACCCTGCTAATACATGGAGTAGCATGGCTGGGAGCCTCACAAGATAGTTAAATATGCCTGATTTAACTTACATAAATAATGCATGTACATTCAGTCTTTTCACATAAAAAGGAGGAAAAGGCAGTACACCACTTCAAATGGTGGTTGTAAGGATCAAAATTAGAAAGCACCTTAATAGTGTCTGGCACCCAGAGGTCACTCAACATGTGTTAGCTCTTATGATTTTTCAATCAGCACATACACCCTTATTATACTTAAGGGTTCTGCTTGGAAGGATAGAAATAGTGACAAGAAAGAAATATGGCTGTAGGCTTTTTGGTTCATGAAGTCTGGTGAGGCAGGCAGGCATGAAAAGCTGAGGCTAGGGTAAGATTTAATTTAGTTCCCAAAGAGAGAGCTCAGCACGCTGCTGTGGAGCAGAAGGCCATGTACTTCTCCTCTGCTTTTGAGCTTTTGGGCCTCCGTGGATTTTCCACTGTAGCTCATAGTTCCAGACCCCTGGCCCAATATCCCTCTAATATCCTTCCCTCCAATCTGTCCTCACTGATTGGCAGTCTAGATTGTCTCTTACCTGGAATACACAAGGCAGCTTGGAGCCATGTTTCCTGTGACATGGCATACTGCAGCTTTCTAGATGAAGAGGCAGCCAGCTGTTAGCTTTCCTATTGATAATACTCCTCTGTATTCTGTTTGTTATAGATGATCCTGTGACAAATTTCACCCAATTTCTTATGGCCTGCCTACAGAAGTAAACTTTATAGGAAATTCTTGTTGGCATTGATAAATAAGTTGATAATGCAATCATCAGTTCAGTTATCCATACATCCCTCTGTGTCATACACTATGATGGAGAGTGTAGATGCAAAGTTCTCCCTGTTCTGGAGGAACTCAGGGTCAGTGTTAACTTGCCAGCAAGTAATTGCATTGCAGTGATGTCATATAGTGCTGTGTAGTGTTTAGGGTTCTTTTGGGCACTGAAGCCAGACAGATGAGGTTATAGGATGTCCGATAAGGAGTCACAGAGGAGGTTATATAAGAACTGGCCTTTTCAGACTGATTCAGAACAAGTAAACAAAAAAGGATCTGCCAGGACAGTAAATGGCGACTGTGTATACAATTCAAGAGATTTTTAGAATATCACATCTTGGGAAGAATTTTTTTAATGGGTGTAAATAATGTAATGAATACTTGATAAAAGCAGAGTCTTATGATTAGGTTTGTATTTTAGAGAAAGAATTCTGAGAGTCACATGGAGGATAGATATAGTTAAAAATATTGTATGACATATTTCCAGTTTCCTGAAAACATGGTCCTCAAAATCAGCACAATACCAGATTTTCTGAGAATATTATTTATCACTGATGATTTCAGCAGTTTGAAGCACATGTTTTGAGCTTGTACTTGAGGAAAAGAAAAAACAGTACTCACATAAATTTTTTTCTTCAAAAATTCACCATAGTCTGACCATCTTTAATGAAATATGTACAGTTAGATTTATTTTTAAAATATTTCTAATGTGCATATACTTATATATTAACTGAAAATGAGAGTTCATAGAGGGAAGAGTTCTAGAATTTATGCCATGGATAAAGACATAAATCATATTTTATTAAACATTAATAACATATTTTAGTAGAACCTACAATACTTAACAAACTATAACTGATAAGGTGGCACACAGTATTATTGGATATGAGTCTTACTATGCTACAAATCAAATGTTGATAAAAAAATTATGCTCTCTAAACAAACGAGTAAAGCAAAAACCTACCAAATTCATACAAGTTTAAAAATGCCATGGTCAAATTGCTTTAAATAGCAAGCAGTTGAAGATACCAAGCATTTGGTGAGCTTTTCTAACTTTTTGGCATAATTATTTTGTTTTATCATTTTTTAAATGCAATTGATAAGAGGAAATACATTATATATGGCACAATGAATGGCAAGAATTTTAAGCATCCAAACATGAATTTGAGTAAATGTGCATCATCTAGAGAGTTTAATCAGTTTTATCAACACCCCCACCCCCGGCCATGTCAGAGTTCGTGAAAAGCATGGTTATGTGGCCTCATTAAATTAATATGTGTGATGAGGATGAAAATGACCACTGAATATCAGAATAAATAATGCATTGTCTTGTGTTTCTTTGCTACCGCTGCTTTCAGCATCTGGGGAAATTAATAAGGGTTACTTGTGTCAATCAGGCAAATCAGAAGTAAAAAGAAATCTTCAATTAATCATGGTATTTTACAACAATCCCTTTGGAAAAAAAAAGAACCCTATTAATAAAAGAGCATTATGCTTTCTGTTGCAGTTGACAAACAGTGATAAGCTTCTCAGGGGACTTGGTGTATGAGAGATTCATAATGAAGTTTTCCTTGTAAATTTCTCTAAAATCATTCCAACTACAAAATCTTAGCAGTTCTGAGGCATGAAACCCTTCAGGGCTTCATCTGAAGAGGTTTTCCTTTTGGCTTTCACAGAGTGAGTGGGTGATTACTGCATAGGTCCTTTGTAGCATGCTGCCAGCTGCTGTCACTGTTAAAAAACTGAAGCATGCCTCTTATACCAGCAAATTTGGTTAATCAGGAAAGTTCCAAGGACCCATACAGGGATTAACCAGTAATTCTCCATCTATTGCCAACCCTGAGATACTCTCAGTGCAAACAAATTTCGGCTGACTTGCTACACCTTGTTATATGCAGCTTCTTGATCACGATTTTAGGACTTATTCTTAGAAGTTTCAGAATAACTGGCAATAGGGACTGAATTGAAATGAGATGGGTGGAGCTCCAATTAGTGAAAACCTCTTCTGCACACACAATGCCATTTCTTTGAGGGTGTTAGCCTTATTTCTGTCATCATTAAAAGCACATATTCACTTCTACTTAGAATTAATTTTTCCTCTCTTAGCCATCTCATAAATCCTAAATTCCTCCTTCCCCTGATGATTTTACTTTGATCATTGAGAGGGCAAACAAACTGTCGCTACACATTTTTGTTCTAGAGGCGGAACATAGAATAATAGGAGACATTCAGCACTGAAATAATCATCAAATTCAGGACAAAAGAGATAAATTAAGAGTGATTAATTATTAAACACCATTCTGAACATTTTTGGGAAAAATCATATTGTGGCCATATATTAATATATTTCAGTTTAAAGAAATAACGAGACCTGGACATAGTTTCTTTGCCTTATTTTACCAGGTTGTGAGACAGAATAATTTTAAATGTCTATTTTGAAACAGAAATGAGTCTTGACTTTGAGGATATGACCACATTAAAAATATTAATAAATATCAAGAAAATAATCTGCACTTTTCTCCTATAGTCACCTGTAGAATTGATGCCTACCACACAAAGGATATTATATATATATATACACACCCACACACATATATATATACACACACATATATATATACACACACACACATATATATACACACACATATATATACACACACACATATATATATACACACATATATATATACTTTGGCATTATTTGATATGCTAAGAATTTGTATACATATATATAATTTCCAGTGAACAAATTAATTTTAGACTTTTTATAGAGTATTTTGTGTACTAATTGAGATTGATGTTTTCACAATGGTAGCTCTCACTTATTTGGTGCAACTAACATACATAATTTTATATGTACTATATATGGTTATATTTAGAAAGACAGAAAGTTGTATATTGCTTAAATAACAGTATTTTTATTAGGTTTCATTTTATTGATAGTGTTTTTGAACTTCTTGAAACAGGAAAATACATATGTTCAAAAGTTTAATCATTTATCAAGATGTCTGAACATAAAATTCAGCTGTGAAAAAAGTAATATATATTATTGATGCAACCATGCTCCTCAACATACATATACAATAATCAGGGCTAACTTTTTAAAAATATAGGAGACATAAGTTAATATTTTATTGTCACAAAATGTAATATTTTATTACAAAAATAAAGTAAGAACACAGTGAATTGTGTGTATAGTTTTCATCACCATAGGGTTATGATCTTGGAAACTCATTTAAAGCTTTCTTCTCATAAGTTACATGATTGAATCTGCAGTGGAGTAACAACGTATGTGACGCAATGCTATTATTTCTATTATTTATCTATAGTGCTACCTATATCTTTACCTATCTAAAGCAATTTGGGGGTTATAGTAAGGCGTAAAGGCAGACTGATTCATTATTAAAAGAATTATTTTGTATAGAATAGCTTTTAAAGATGCCAAGGAGAAAATATAACTGAGATCTGAATATAAGGACAGGAATTAAGTGTGGATCTTGACCAAATTGCAAGTTTCCTACAGTGCAAAAGAGCAATAACGTTTATAAATCCATCTACTATGATTTTCTAGTTGTCAATGCACAAGGATATACATAGTAACAGCATTAGTCCTTGTCTTTTGTTAAATGTAATTATTTCTCTTGAAGAAGTAGGTCTTTAGAAGAATGGTTCCCCAGAGAGAAAGAGAAAAGAATATTAAGAGAAAGTTCAGGTAGGAGTTTCTATAAAAATTCATGAAAAGACCATCACACAGAAAATGTTATTTTTCTCATCTCAAATCAAGAATGTTAAAACTATTACCTAAAAAAATTAGAGCTTTCTAAGTAAACAGGATTGAGTTTTAAAAACGACTTTTAGCAGTTATGTGACTTCAGGCATTATAATTTGAACTCATAACTAAAGCAATAATGAAGGCTATTTGTTTTTGCCTATGGAAAAATGAATTGACTGTTTGTTTTGTATGGCTATAACAAAATAAGACTCAGTAATTTATGATAAACAAATATGTATTTGGTTCATAGCTCTGGAGGCTGTCAAGTCCAAAGTCAAGGGGTTAACATCTTGGCAAGGTCCTTCTTGTTGCATTATTCCATGGTGGAAGGCAGAGGCCAAGGAGCATGTTGGAAGGGTGAATGATGGCTGAACTCATCAGGAACCCATTTCTGCAATAACTAACCCACTCTAGGAATAACATCATCTCTTAAAGTCCTATCTCCCAACACTTGTAGTATTGGGGACTAAGTTTCCAATACATGCACTTTGGGGGACATATTTAAACCATGGCAGAATTCATTCATTAATTATTTCTTGTCATATATCCATGCCATAGGTCAGTCAAAAGACATTTCTTGAATGTTTTAGTGCAAGGCACTACATTGTATTTTTGATTTTTATATTAAGTAATATTTAGGTAGATAACTGTGGCTACTAGAAGAATTCAGACATTTTTTCAATTTAGATTGTGAGGTAGAAGACTCTAGTCACATTTATTGATCATTTTCTGCATGTCCCAAAATATTCTATATAAATATTGATTTCAACCTATTTCAAAAGTTATCCCCAGTCCTACTTTGGCATCTGTCTCCCTAGTTTCTTCATCATTTGATGTCACTTTATCAGGCACTCTGCTAGGTCTGTAAATTAAACTTCTTGAAACAGAAATATATATATATTCAAAAATTTTATCATTTATCAAGATGTCTGAACATAAAATTCATCTATGAAAAAGGTAATGTATACAATTGATGCAAGCATGCTAATATATATATATATGTATATAAAATCAGAGCTGGCTTTTTAAAACTGTAGGAGACATAAGTTAATATTTTATTGTCACAATAAAATAAGTAGTTTATTGGGATAGGCCTGCCTGCACATGCATAACTTCTAGTGGGAATAAAACTACAAACGATTATTATATAGTAAGATCATAGCGTTACAGGGATGTGTCAGATGTGGTCTGTGTTTGGGATGAACAGTATTTGACCTCTGCAGTTTAGAGAAGGGTGCAATTCAGAGCTACTTTCCAGCCGTCATCATTCAGCAGAGAATCACTTATTGTTTCCTACCCATATAATCTTTCATTTAACATTAGTGTTTCCTCATTTTTGCCTTTTCCCATCAATCTATTCCAGTCCTCCAGTGACATAATTGGAAATTAGACAACAGATGAAGTCCATGGTCTTTTCTGACTACACCACAGGAGTTAAAGTCATACATTAAGGATGGATTGTTAACATAACTTGCAAAATTTCAGTTCACACAGTATGCTCATTTAGCAATATTTACTTGCAAATGAAACATGAAACAACAGTACTATGGCTACTGTATAAAAAAACCTATATATAAGCTAATAAGAGGAATAATATTAATACTTTTCTTTTTTCAATTACCAGAATCATGAGCTTTTCCCTAGTAAGCCCAAAGCACACATCTGACATTGATGAGGATTACTATTGCACAGAAAAAAATGTTAAAAAAGGAAAGAGTATTATTTCATGTTACTTTGATCAAAACCGAAGAAAAGTTAAGCAATTGATTTAGTCACCTAGTGAAATAGAAATAGAATTGGGAACAGAGGCAAGTTTCACCTGGCTGCAAAGTCCATGAATGTTTTAATGACTATGCCACACTGTTGGACTTCGTTCTTCTAGAGCAAATTCTTTGTCTGTACATTATTGCCAGTCTAAGGATTTTGGACTACTGAGGACCAGGTGAGACAAATTGATACCACAAAAAGAAAGAGAAATAAAAACATACTGAAGTTAAAGAGCTTAGAATTTAAAGGAAAAAATGACCTTTCTTTCTTACTCTTGGGTAATGACATTGAAACATTGAGTAGAGATCAAAAGATCAAACAGAGAACAAAACTGGGAGACCTTTAGTCTGGATATTGCCCTTTGGAAGACATCACAGGCTTCTTCATCAAAACTCTGTTGACCTCAAAGAGATCAGTTTCTGTCACTTTTTTGTATTTATGATGATTCTTGCATCAATTCTTCAATTAATTCCAGGTCACAGAGAAATCATGCTCTGAGACATGGTAATTTCTGAAGTAAATTCTGTATGATGGATTGTTGTTCTGTTGGGCATCCTTGTGATAAGCTGTTTTATTCTTTTAATAAGCATAATTTAACAATAATCTGAAACTCTAGAGGCAAAACCAAACTGCATATATATCTAGTAATCAGCTGCCAAAAATCTTTGTTTATTAATTATATTATCTCTGTTGTGAGGTATGGCTTATCAGCTAAAAAAAAAAAAAGGGATTGTTTTAAAAAGAATATTACAATAAGCATACTTAGCTTCTTATCTGAGATTAAATTTATAATTCAGTTTTCATACATTTGACTTTAAATAATAACATTTATGTTAAAGAGCTTATTTTGGTTTTGATTGGCATTATTAAATATACTAAGATATTTTGTAATCATTACCAAAAACATTGCAGTTATTTATGTCCATTTATATTATAGCATTTTACCTCTACTGTTTTTATATGCATGTATTATTTATCAATTATTTAACTATCTTGAAAAAATGATTACAGTATTTCTAGTTTATACCTGATGACCATTCTACTTCTTTCCTAGCATCCACTTAGGTTTTATTGAAAAACAATTCAATAAATGATATTTCCAAAATTCTATGGAAGCAATAAAATAAAGATAGATCAAAATATATTAAAATGAAAACCTTATTTTATTTAGACATTGCAGGGGACATAGGGAGAAACAAATAATTAGGTTTAAAAAATGTGGACTTTAATAGTTACGAGATGAGATAAAATTATTTTAGATTTATAATAACAGAAAAAATACTAAGATTGAGCAAATTATTAAAAAACCTTGCTTAATAAATTCATTATTACTCAAACGTCTGGATTTTTGAGTATTGGATTAGTTAGAAAAAAATTGATGTAGTTCTCTTTAATATATGGATTCTCAGCCAGGCGCGGTGGCTCACGCTTGTAATCCCAAGCACTTTGGGAGGCCGAGGCCAGTGGATCATGAGGTCAGGAGTTTGAGACCTGCCTGACCAACATGGTGAAACCCCATCTCTACTAAAAATACAAAAATTAGCCAGGCGTGGTGTCACACACCTGTAATCCCAGCTACTCAGGAGGCTGAGGCAAGACAATTGCTTGAATATGGGAGACGGAGGTTGCAGTGAGCCAAGATTGTGCCACTGCACTCCAGCCTGAGCGACAGAGCGAGACTCTGTCTCAAAAAAAAAAAAAAAAAAAAAAAAGTGGATTGTCTTACACTAAACAATAAGCTACTAGTGAATCTGCCTATCCAAAGGTAATTATCATCTATTGTTATTACATGTAATAATATGAAAAGGATACCTTCAAGCCATACTTGTCATCATGAAAACCTAAAGTAATAGCGGTCTTTATTGGTGAGTCTCACCTGCTATATACTATATTCTAGAGACCTCTCTCCATTCAGCTCCAAGTTTGAAGGAAAGGGTTGTGTCATATGTTGAATTGTTCCCAAGTAAATTCATAGGTTGAAGTACTAAACCACAGTACTACAAAATGTGGCCCTGTTTGAAAATATCATTGTTGCAGATGTAATTAGGTAGGATGAGGTTATTCTGGGGTAGGATGGGTCTCAAATTCAATATGACCAGTGTTCTTACAAAAAGAGGACATTTGGAGGTAAACATACATGCAGAGAGAACTTCATATGAACATGACAGTGAAGACCTGAGTGATGCATCTACAAGACAAGGAATGCCAAATACGGCCAGCCAGACACCAGAAGTCAGGAAAGGATCATGGGACAGATCTTTCCCTAGTGCCCTCAGATAGAACTCAGCTCTGCCAACACCTTGATCTTTGACTTTTATCCCCTAAAACTGTGAGACAAAAAATTATGTTGTTTGAGCCACTCAGATTGTGATACTTTGCAACAGCAGCCCTGGCAAACCAATGCAGGGGCATATTATACATGATATTTTGTGAGGGTCTGTAGCCTGTTGTCCCTTAATTTAGAAGGTAAAGATGTCCAAGCAAAGAACCTTTGACTTGATGCTCTAAAGGATCTACTGAATTCCTTTTCTTTGCTAGTGCTTTTTTTGCCTGTAGCTACCCAGTAAGTCAGAAAATTAAACTTACATTTTGTATGGCTTTCCCACTCTCCTTTACTTGTAATGATACTTTGTAATTGCTAAAGGTTTCTAGTTTAAACCTTAGCATTCATTCACTTTTTTGCAACCACTATCTGTCAGGAATTTTTTTTGACGTTGGAATTATAGTAATGCCTGGGAGAATGGGGAGTAGAACTATACAGATAAAAGCTCTGCCCTCACAGAGTTGACATTCTAGTCTCTATAGCACTTGTCTACACACACCTATAATCACTTGTTCAGTGTCAGTCTTCACCAGTAAATTGTTAGCTATCTGAGGACAAGCAACATGCCTCACTTGTTCACCATTACTGGGAGATTGTAAGGATGCAATAAGTCTTCATTGAATGAGTGAATGAATGAGACCTTTATTGTCACTTAATAAGTTTTTGTTTTTTGTGTGACTTCTCACAGAAACAGACACTGAGACAAGTCAGTTTTTTCGGAGATGGTGGCAGGAAGCAGAAGTGAAGGAGCAAGAAAAGTGAAACAGGGAAAGGAGGAAAGCCACACATTGGAAGTCAATGTCAAGGAGCAGATCATCACAGGAAGCAAGTGTGGCTCAGTCCTGCTGGGATCCCCTGAGTAATCAAATAGAACATTGTTCAGAACAGTCCCAGTTGGGTGTTTATCCATCAACCCACATCCTTCCTTAATTGAAGATTACCCTTGGTTGCAGAGATAAACAAGAGAACCCTCAAAATTGAAGCAAACAGACCTCAGTGTGAAAGCAACTGGCTTGAATGGGAACTGTCAGTTGTAGATGCAGATAGACTCAAAGGTAGGCCAGAGTGATATGTAACATGGTATTCAACATCATCTGCTTTACTTTCCTTGAAAAAAAAAATAAAGAAATCCATAAATGAAGCCACTTATACAAATACATCGAAGCAAAAATGAGTTTCAACAGAAAAAATTATATTTTTATGGTTACAAAAATAAGCTTTCCTCTGTAAGAAAATAATTTTAGTTATAAAAATGAGAAAACAGTTTATTAGCAAATAAACATTGTGCCAATAAAATGTCTTTGTTTCTAAAGAAATATGTTCTCACGGTTGTACCTGTATTTACTACTGAATGTAATTAAGTAATAATTTCTTAATCCTTGATTAATGGTGTCATGACAGTATTTGTAACCACAGCATTTTCATTTGAGACGATCCACTGAAGCACCCATTGCTAAGTTCCATAGTCAGCCAATATTTGTTTTATTAAGATCTTACAGAGCATTTACGATAGTCCATTGTACATTGCTTCATAATTAGATCAAGAACAGTAACAGGCTCTCTAGTATGGTAGTTTTCATTGACAAAGTTGATTATCACAAGAAAACATTAGGTAAGTATCCTTTACATTTGACTCAATTCCTTTCAAAAAATCAACTTCATATGTATAATTTCACAAAAGCCAGTTTAGAAAATTTAGAGACTGGGAATATTTCTAGCTAATTGTTATGGGATACCTCTTTAACAATTCTGAAGATGTGGAACCACTGTCATTCTCATAAAGTGCTGATGGGAAGGTAAAATATTATGACTACCTTCAAAAACTATTGTGCAGTTGGTTAATAAAGTTAACCACATATTTATTGTATGACATACAGATCCTTCTTCCAGGTACTTACCCAAAAAAATAAAAATTTATACTCACAAGAAAATTTATATGGTATTCATAAGAACTCCATGAAAACTCCAAATGTTCATTAGCAGATAAATGAATAGGCAAATTGTAGTATACATATACAACAAAACACTATTCAGCAATACCAGTAGTGAAACTCTAATACCCAAATCAACACAGTGGCAAGGAAGCCACACACATGAGTACATTCCATAGGATTTCAATTATATAGAGTCCTACAACATTTAAATCTAATCTTTTGGTGACAGAAATCATGAGCGGTTGACTGGAGTGAGTATTGTGCAAAGTTGATTGAATAGGGATACCAGAAATTTTTGAAGGTGATGAAAATGTGTACCTTGATCAGAATGATGCTTACATGGGTGTACACATTTGTCAATACTCATTGAAGTATTAATATATATTTATATTAAATGGAAATTATACTTCAGTAAAGTTGACTGTTTACAAGAACTATATATTTCTTATATTAAACACAAAAGCATAGCTGGTCATGGTGGCTTATTCCTGTAATCTCAGTATTTTGGGAATCTGAGGTGAGAGGATTGCTTGAGGTCAAGGGTGTGAGATCACCCTTGGCAACATAGAAAAATCCCATCTCTATAAATAAATAAATAAACACAAAAACATAAAAACATTTAGCTGAAAGTCTCTCTCACAAGATGTTTGGCTTGTATTAAAGATCTGTTCTGTCATTACACATATATAGCTTTATGTATTTCAGGAAATAGGAGAAATTTGGGAAAAAGGGCATATTGTATTCACAGCTATACTCTTATTAAAAAGAAATGATCTGTCCTTGTTTTAAACCTCATGTTCTTGCGTTTAACATAGGTTGTTTTCAGGTAATCTAAATGTTAGTTATCCAGTAAATCAAGCCACATATATATGAGTGATCCTTAAATTTATCCCTTGATGTATCTATCGCTTTGAACTGCTCCATAGATCTATGGATCTCCTTTCTTTGCAGAAAACTCATTGCTCCCTATTTACTCTCCACTTAGGTGTCTAAATGTACCCCAACTAGGATTTTGCTCCTGCTACACTAACCAACGCTACTCTTTGTCAAGTTCCACAATGTTACCTAATCTGATGGTCCATTATTTGTCTTCATCTTGTCTGCTAAGTCATTATCATTTAAACCAGTGGATTACTCTTGCCTCCTGGAAACACTTTCACTACTTTGCTTCTGGAATACCACTTTTTAGTTTCCTTTTAGAAGTTGGCAACTGCTCAATCTACTCTGCTGCTTATCCCCTAACTTCCCAACCACAAGCAGATTTACCATGGTGTTAACAAAATTCAAGCTTTGAAGTTCTCGATATGGATAGGACCCCTTCAAAACTTTGTACTTGATTATTTTAATTGCCTATTATTTTTATCAAAAAATAATGACCAAAATTATGAAGCTTCAAGCTCCATAAAACCTGGTTTTCATCCTGGTCAAACCCTTTTTTCTCTTACTTATTGGATAATCATATTCAGGCCCATGATTTTAGATGTCATCTGAACCTTGACGATTTTCAAATCTATATGTCCAGTCTGGACCTATTTACTGAGCTTCACACATAGATATCAAACTGCCTACTCAATATTTCAAATGTAACGTCTCCAAAGCTAAACTTGTGGTTTTACATCCAGTCCTATTTGTATTCTCCATCACAGTAAGTAAAAACCTCAGTTATTGATATGTCAGGTCAAAAATTTTGGCATAATCATTCATTGATCTCATTTTTTTCTACTCCACCTCTAATGCATCCACAGATACCAATAGATCCTGTCAGCTCTAATGTCCAATTGCATTTTGAATCTTTCAATTCCTGCCCCCTGGGTCCGGCCACACTAGTCAGGCTGATTTCAGTTAACACTTGTTATTGAAATCACTTCTAACTGATCTTTTCCCTTCTACTTCCTGGGAGTTTATTCTAAAGCCAATAGTCAGAGCTACCCTCTCGAATTGTAAATTACATCATTTCACACCTTGCTTCTGGTCAGTTAATTCTTTTTGAAACTTCCTTAAAGTGCAATTCAAACACTTTACAATAGTCCACAAGGTTCTACCTGTCCTGCCTACTCTCCTTCCACTTCTATGAGCTTATCTCTTATCCCTACTTATTATCTACTCTCTTATCTCTTCACTTCTGACCTCCTCACTCTTTTCTGAAAAATCCATGTAACTTTTGGCTCAAGGCATATCCTATTTTTGCCTAAAAATTTCTTCTCCTAGAAAAACTCATAGCTAAAAATCTTACTTTGTCTTGGTCTCTGCTCCAATTTCACATTATCAGAGAACTCTCCCTTAAATTTTGTTATATTGGTTGGAGAAAAATACTCCCATGGCCAAAAGTACTCCTGTTCTTACCAAACTATTTTGCCATAAAACAATCCCTACTGGAAATTATATATTATATATATTTATTTATCTATGTGTTGTAGTCTCCTATCAAAATGAAAGCACCATGCGCACAAGTACTGAATTGCAACTCCCTTACACAATATCTGGAGTGTAACACATACACATATAAAATTAATTTATTAATGACATATTGTGATTAAGTATAATGAACATATTCTGGGGTAAAGTACAAGTAGCCTTATAGGTTTCACAGTAGCATTGGAGAAGAAATAAACAGAGATAGGCTAAACTTTTTGAGAACTTAGAATCTTTAGGTTGCTAATTTTCCAATATACCCACATATTCTAATAATTTGCTTAGAAAATAAATGGTCGCTCTTCTCATTGACATTTGCTATTGACAAAACACTTGGCCCATGGGCATTTTCTTCAACACAGAAATAGGTATAGTTATTCAAGAAGACAAAAGTTTGTACACTTTTTAGACAACTTTGGTATTCCTGACCTGTTGCTTTTGATAAATGAATAGAAAATTAATAAACCTATTTTTGAGAACTAAACTGGAATGACTCAGGAAAGTACTGAGGGATCACGCCCATCTCTAGGCCTCAAAAACTAAGGCCAACAGAAATCTTGGGAAGCTTGAAATGATGGTGAACTATTATTATTATTTTTTTTTTTTTGACAGAGTCTCACTCTGTCTCCCAGGCTGGAGTGTAGTGGCGTGATCTCAGCTCACTGCAACCTCCAGCTCCCTGGCTCAAGCAATTTCCCTGCCTCAGCCTCCCCAGTAGCTGGGATTACAGGCACCTGCCACCAAGCCTGGCTTTTTTTTTTTTTTTTTTTTTTTTTTTTTTTTTTGTATTTTTAGTAGAGACAGGGTTTTACCATGTTGGCCAAACTGGTCTCAAACTCCTGACCTCAGGCAATCCACCCACCTTGGCCTCCCAAAGTCCTGGGATTACAGGCGTGAGCCACTGCGCCCGGCCATGATGACTAATTTTAAAAGTTTTTTAATTGTTCACAGTGGAGAAATCCAAACTTCTGATGATTTTCAGTTATTAAAACATATTTATTTAACAAAAGTAAGTATATCTCTAGAAACTTAACTTTTAAAAAATGATTGCTAAAAGGATTTTTCAATATGGGCTTAGTTTCAAACTTTCTTTGAATATTGCTCTAAATTGAAATGAGGTTCCCTTACTTTGCTCACAGTATATATAACATAATACACATTATTAACTTACTTATACTTGGTAATCAACATTTATTTTCTAAAACTAAACCACAGTTTTTTATATATCACATTGTGATTTACCTGAAAATAAATCTTCATTTCACTACTGCAAAATTATAATATGAAAGATAATATTTTAAATCTCTATACTGTTTTCACATTACCTTTATTCTTAATTCTATCTCACTGATTAATAATAGGATATGTACTAAACAACCAAGGGATAAATTTTCATAATTTTCTATATTCTGTCCTAGAATATAGATGTAGAAAGAGTAATTCTGAACTTGTATTATGAGGCCAAAATTACCTTAGCACCAAAATCAGATAGGGATATAATGAGAAAAAAAAAACTATAGACAAATATCTTTCAAGAACATAGATAAAAAATTCCTCGGCAAAATAATAGCAAACAGAATTCAATAATTTATAAAAAGATTATACACCATAACAATGTAGATTTATCCCATGTATGCAAAGCTGCTTCAATATTTGAAAAATCAATTAATGTAACCCATCACATCAACAGGCTGTAAAAGAAAAATCACATGATTATAACAGTACATTTGGAAACTGTATTTGACAATATCTAACACTTATTGTTGACAAAAAATAACAAACTCTCAGAAAACCAGGAACAAAGGGGAATCTTCTCAATTTGATAAAGTTCATCTTCAATGAAACTATAGCTAACATTATCACAATGGTGAGAAATTATTAAAACTTTTCTGCTAAGATCAGAAAAAAAGGTAAACATGTCTTATCTCACTAGTGCTTTTTAGCATCATACTAGAAGTCCTAATTAATGTAATAAGACAAGAAAAGGAAATAAAATGTATGTAGGGTAGAAAGGAAGAAATAAAACTGACTTTGTTTATAGATGACATGATTACTTATGTGGAAAATACAAAAGAACCAACAAAAACAACTCATAGAATAAATAATGATTATAGTAACATTGTAGAATACAAGATTAATGGACAAAAGTTGCTTTCCTATATACCAGCATTAAACAAGTGGAATTTAAAATTAAAAACACTTTATCATTTATATTAGCACCCCCAGGAAGAAAAGCCCTAGCTATAAATCTAAAAATAAAATATACATGATCTATATGACAAAAACTCCAAAACTCTGATGAAAGAAACAAACAAAAAAAGAATTAATAGAGATATCTTCCATGTTCATGGGTAGAAGGACTCAATATTGTCACAATGTCAATTTTTCCTGACTTAATCTACAAATTCAAAACAATTCTAATCAAAATATCAGAAAGATATTTTTGTGGATATTGACAAACTGATGCTAAAATTTATATGGGAAGATAGAAGGCTCAAAATAATCAACATAATGTTGAAGAAAAAAACAGTGTTGAAAGACTGGTAGTATTCAACTTCAAGACTTACTATAAAACTACAGTAATCAAAATAGTGTGGTATTAATGAAAAGCAAGACAAATGATTCAGTGGAGCATAGTAGGAAGATCAGTAAAAGACCCAACATTACCTTAATACCAAAATAATACAACTGATTTTTGAGAAAGGAACAAAGACAATACAATGGAGCAAAGATAGTCTTTTCAACAAACGATGCTGGAACATCTGGATGGCCACCAGGGAAAAAATTTACCTAAACATAGACCCTACACTTTTCACAAAAAATAACTCAAAATGGTTAGTAGACTTATGTTTGTATAAAAACATAAAACCATAAAACTCCTAGAAGATAATAGAAAGTCTAACTGACCTTGGGTATGATCTTGGGTTAGATACAAAACCAATGCCTGGTCAATTAAATAAATAATTGATAAGTTGCACTTCATTAAAATTTAAAACTTGTTTTGTGAAAGAAAATGTCAAGAGAATGAGAAGATAAGCCACAGGCTTGGAGAAAATATTTATAAAAGATATATCTGATAAAAAAAATTATCCAAAAAGACACACAAAACTCTTGAAACTCAAAAAAATGAACAACCTAATTTTTAAAAATGAGCCAAAGACATGAGGAGAAACGTTATCAAAAAATATATAAAGAGGGAAAATAAGCATATGAGATAATGTTCAACATCATATGTCATTAGGGAAAGGCAAATTTAAACAACAACAAGATACCATGACACACCTGTTAGAATAGCCAAAATCCAAGTCACTGACAACACCAAATACCATTGAGGATGTGGAGAAACGGGGACTTCCATTTATTGCTATGGGAATGTGAAATGGTGCAGCCACTTAACTACAGTTTGGTAGTTTTTAAAAAAAAAAACAACTAAACCTACTCTTATCATACTATCCAACATTCATGCTCCTTGATATTTACCCAAATGTGTTTGCCTACACAGAGATGTTTATAATAGCTTTATGCATAATTGACAGAATTTGGAAGCAACATGATGTTCCTCAGTAAGTGAATACATCTAGACAACTGCATATTATTTAGCAGTAAAAGACATATGCTATGAAACCTTTAAAGACATGGAGGAACCTTCAAATGCATATTAGTGAATGAAAGAAGCCAATCTGAAAAGATGACATAGTGTATGTTTCCAACTGTATGACATTGTGGAAAAAGGCAAAACAATAAAAAGAGTAAAAAGATCAGAAATGTACCACTCTGGTGCAATATGTTGATAGTTGGGGCAGGAGTAGGGGTATATGGGAACTCTTTGTACCTTCTGCTCAATGTTCTTGTAAAGCTATAACTTCTTAAAAAAAATCTGTTAAAAAAATCCCAGGATAATCAGAAATGAGGTGCCTCAGAGATGTTTTCCCGAGGTCTAATTTGTTACCCCTTTTCTACGCTAAACACCCTATTGTAAGGTTGGAGTGATTGCATTTGTTTACTTTGATTTTATTCATGAGTTTAGTGTGTTGCTTTCTATGAAGTGTATGTTGATGTAAAATGACTGTTTCTAATTTTCATTTGGAAGGCTGAGTATGATACCTGAATGTCAGTATTATAAAAATTGGTGTATTCCATTTCTAGGGTTTTCACAAGTTACTACAAAGTTGACGTACAAAAATATCCTCTCATAGTTCTGGAGCCTAAAAACCCAAAATCAAGAAGTCAGCAGGGTTGGTTTTTTCTGGAGGTTCTGAAGGAGAATCTGTTCAAGGCCTCTCTCCTATATTCTGGTGGCTGTCAGCCATCTTTAGTGTTCCTTGGCTTGGAGATGCATTGCTCCAATCTCTGCCTTCAGCTTCATGTGTCTCATCTTGAGATCTTTTGCTCAATTACATCTGCAAAAATCTTTTTCTAAATGAGCCAGATTCATTGATATTGGGGGTTAGGACTTAGACATACTTCTTTTTGAGAAGCCATCATTCAACCTACTACAATCAGTATTAATATCCTGTCCCACAATATGATATCAATATATTACTCTCTCCAAACAGCTTGCTTATATGACTATGCTTATGGGAGGAACAACAGCAACAACAAAAACACACAGTAAAATTAAAAAACATTTCTTTTCAAGCCAAGATTCTTTTTCCTTCCCTTGCACTCTTTTAAATTGAAAGAGTATACATTTTAAAATCAGAACAAACTAAAATAATATTTATGTTCATAAGATTTTTTTCACAGACAAGAATATCCTAATCATCTATATGGAATCATATATTTTATTTTTTGCCTTCCCCAAATTATACAAACTCATTATTTCACATTTATGTAAGTAATAAACTTTAGGATTTAATTAGACAAGCTGCATCACCACTATTATCTATTTCTCTTGGTTATCATTTTATACTTTATACATTTTTAACAATGACATCTCAGGAGTGCCCTACTGTCAGGATTTCTATCATACCCTATTGTATTGTATTAGTCTTCTAGAAAACCCTCCTAAACTTCACATAATAATGGAAATTAACTATAAAATAAAAGGAAAAATTATCAAATATTCTTTGGCTCTAACTGTGCTTTTAAAAGTTACACTGGTAAGTAAATATCTCAGCAGAGTCATCATACAAACAGGGTTATAACTTAGTTTTGAGTTTAAATAATCGATTTTTTCTCTCTTTTTTTCTTATTCTACTTTTCAGCACTATCGCCATAATACAAGGCAGGAAAAGTATTAAATTCACTGTAGGAAATGAGCCTTCATTTTGTTCTTTTAAATAATAGGCTTATAACTATGCAGGACAAACCCTCCCTGACACTGACAACTTTAAAGCATCTCTCTCTCTCTCCATCTTTAGCTGAAGGAAGGAAAGCCATGGTTATTGATGTATATGAAATTCTGGGAAAGAAGTGGAGCTGGGGAAAACATGCATTCTGTCTAATCCCAGTTAGGGGACCAATTTGCAGTGTGCCAATTTCCATACAGATGGTTGTATTCATTCCTCTGCTTTGATTATTTGCCCAGTTGCAAAACCACATACACATACACGTTGCTTGGATTTAGTCAATGATGAGGTCTGAATATTGCTGGAATGAAGAATGGATTGGATAAGTATTTGGATGTCATTATATTTGTCAGTGGGCTATTCAGGAGACCTAAGTTAGCTATGATTGCTCTTCCTTATCATCAAAAAACTACTCTGAGTGTGTCACCATGCGGTGGAAGGAAGATACAAAATTAGAGAAGAGAATACTATTAGTGATTTAATAATATTATACTCCAAATAAAGCAGCTACGTATTTTCATCTGTTTTAGAATATGATCTGACAACACTGTGAAGAGTTTTGTTTTTTTTTTTCCTTTAGGGATTCTGGAAAACCTTGAGGATCCAATGTAAAGTCAGTTAGATTGAGGAAAGAGCACAGGTGCGAAGGAGGTCTAAATTCCCAATAGAATTCTCTTGGACAAAGTTTCAGATGAAACTACCTTAGTAAATGCAAGATTCTATAATTACATTTAATGAGGTTTTTAAAACACATAATATGCATGCTCCAATTAGCTCAAATTAAATGTGAATTTCCTGAGATGTCTGTGGATTGCAATGGATCTAAGTCTATCCTGTTATGACAGAAAATTAGTAACTGAAAATATATAAGTAAAGGTAACAAGAGACCCTTACCTGATAGTGAATGATTATCCAATATATACACTAGTTAGTGGGCCAAAATCAGCTTTTTTTTTTTTTTGAGCAGTATCAAAACTCTAATACATAGTCTTCCATATACTAAAAATTTTAGTTTGGTTCAGTCCTTACATTGTTTACTCCTAAAAAAAATTACTTTTTCCTTAGGAAAAATTTTCATGAACCTCTTTACACTTTTATTAAACCAGGTCTGTCTCTTTTTTTTATTCATCCAACAGATTCAAACTAAGCAGTATGATTGTTTATGTGAATGTTTCCAATAGTGACTTATAAACTCCTTTGAGTCAAGACTGTGACTTAATGCATCCCTCTAAATTCAGCATTTTGCACTCTGAACATAGAAGCATTTAAAACTAGATGGATAAATAATACATAGTAAGACAGCAAGATGGCAAGATATAGATGATACATAGATAGAGAGATAGATAGATAGATAGATAGATAGATAGATAGATAGATAGTTAATAGGGTAAAAAGAGAATGAAAGAGAGACAGATGTTTTGGGTGTCACCTTTTAAGAGAGGTGGCAAAACTAAAAAAATACACAGAAGAAAAGGAGGATGGGGGTCTTGAAATAATATCCAATGGTGATAACTTTATGACACTGTTGGACGAGACTTTAAAATGTTTACAGGACTTTCTTGGTTTTTTTTGTTGTTGTTGTTGTTTTGTTTGTTTGTTTGTTTTTGAGACTGTGTGTCACTCTGTGGCCTAGGCTGGAGTGCAGTGGCGCCATCTTAGCTCACTTCAACCTCTGCCTCCAGGGCTCAAAGGATCCTCCCACCTCAGCCTCCCGAGTGGCTGGGACTATAGGTGCGTGCCACCATGCCCAGCTAATTTTTTTTTTTTTAATTTGGAGAGACGTGGTTTCACCATATTGCCCAGGCTAGTGTTGAACTCCTGAGCTCAAGTTATCCACCAGTTTACCTTGTGTGTGATTTGCTCAAAAGTAACACATCTTATGTTTGATATATTTTTGATATTCAGGACCCACAAATGGCAGCATCACATAATAAACTTAGTCCTCCACACTCCTGTGGACTTTAAGGAAAGTCATGAGATTCAATAATAACTGAGAAACCCTCTCCCATGTCTTTGAAATCTGAATTATATTCTAACTCAAGACAGTCCCAAATAGGGACCTGCATGTTTTCTCATGTTATGATTGTTGGAACTCTTCACAGTGGTTAGGCTTATAAAGTCTAGCATAATGGAGTCACTACTTCAGTGCAGTTAAAAAGAATAATGTTCATGCTTTTAAGATGAATGGCTAATCACCTCTGATAAGTGTGCGTGCACTTATTAACTGATTTAAAATTTTGCTTTTATGACACCTGTACTGCCTCACCAAGAAGGTAAAATCAAATGAATCACGCAAACAGATAAAGGTCAAATGATAAAAGCAATGCTAAAAAATTATTAGGATAAATCTAGTTTTGTCAGGGCCACATTTAATGAGGTAGCATTAATGGTATTATGTTTTTAAGCAAGAGCTAATGTGCAATTTCATTTTTTAAAATTACCTAGGACATATTGTTTCTGAACCGTTAACTTTTTTTTTTTTTTAGTATTTAGATCACAACTCCTAACGGCTTAGGTATATTTTGACAGGTACTGACAAAGAATGCCATGGAATTGTGACTTGATTGTCACCTTCAGAGTGTTCAAGCTGAAAAACTCAGGATGAGTGCTAGGTACTAATTAGAACTGTTATATTAGGAAAGCAAATACAATGGTGTCTAACATTAAACAAAGCACAGTTCTCATCAAAAATGGTTTCTTTTGTGTGTGGGTTAGTCTATAAAGCCATTTTGCATGTTAATGAAGCACAAACAATTATTGCCAGAGTAACTAGTTTCGCGCAATTACAAAAATCACATAAAAGCCCTATTGTTTGTTGTCTTATGATTTTTTAATGCTAATTTTGCACTTGATAATTTCAAATTCCATTTGTATCACAGTGCACAATTAGGTTTTTATATCTGTGAAGGTGAAGGCTAGTAATGGGAAAAATAACTCCTCATGTTAAAAGAAAAAGAAATAGTCATTTCCAGAATGAGAGGATCAGATAGACTGAAAAGATGGAGAAGAGTGATGAGGAGAATTTCCATCAAATGAAAAGATAACATTTATGTAGCTGAAACAATGGGGAAGTCTAGATCATTTCCTATAGAAATTGTTGAGAGACAGAAACAGGGAATAGACAGACACTGGAGAGAACAGAAAAGAGTTCGGAAACAAAGGAAGACAAAGTATGGGGAGTAAATTAGAATTAAGACGGGTTTTATGATCAACAGCCACATAATACATGGTAAACCGGAGTACTAGCTGTTAAACCAGTGAGATGAATGTATAAGTAAAAGCCCATGGAGACAATTAGTTGTCAAAACCGGTTAAGCAAAGAAATGTTGCTATCAAACAGTCAGTCCAAGCCCTAGTTGAAATTAAAGAAAACCCTTTGCTAAAATGTTAATTGATGAACTTAATTGATGAAGAATTCTCTGTGATAACATGTGAAAGTGCCAGCATTGTGTTATGCATATTTGTCTCACATGAGTGCAAGGGAACTTACCCCTCAGACTTTGCCTTCAAATAACAAGATAACCTTTTATTCCAATAATGCAGATGGTTATCTGAATAAACAGTTTTTACCTAGAAAAAAATGTGAGAGATATGTGGCATAGTGTATTTAATTTGTTTATGAAGTGTCTTTTTAAACCACAAAGTGTTTGGGATGACTTTGATTAGTGTTTGTTTACCTCCTGCAATGTTTACGAGAATTCTGATTTTCTTGTTCCTGTTGCTTCTCAGACAATGTGAGATATTTTGGGTAAACGTTTAGATTAAATGCTATCTTAGATGCTGTTGAATAGAACGCAGTGTTCAAAAGCTCAGAATTTATTTTTCAGTTAAAATGATTCTTTTTAGAAATTTACCATAATTTAAAGAATATACAATTTTTATAATTATTTTTCATATCACTATTTAAAATATTGGAAATATAATTAATGTGTTTGTGCTATCAGAATAAGACCTTCAAACCCCCAAACATTTTAACATAACTATCTTAGCTTAGCCATTTTTATGGCATCCTCATATTCTTACTCTCTTCCCTCTACTTCCTTGGCTGCAATTAAAAGCATTTCTCGGAGCATTAAGGTTTTCCAGTGGCATACCACTGTATGCTTTACCTTTTCTTCTTTTTCATGGGTTTTGTTACATTTACCAAAAATAAAAAACGAAGAAGAAGAAGTAAAGATGAAAGATGAAAGGAAAGAAGAGAGAAAAAGAGGGAGGGAGAAAAGGAGGGAAGAAAGAAACGAAAGGAGGCTTGGGGCAGAGTTTAAATTACGTTTTTACTCCAAAAGGCAAAGAAAATCCTTAGGGTTTTCCTTTTAGGTATTGATAGCACTGTTGTTTAACTTTGGCAAACATGTTAAGTCACATTCCTTAATAATTCGGAACTCTATAACAAATATTTATGGATTAATTATGTGCATTTTCAATGTAAAGGCTGTTTAAACTCTCCAGACAAATAATTAAATCTGTTTTATGCAAACATGTTTGAGGCAAAAATAAGACTGCCTGTGTTTATTTAAATACATAACAAAACTGCCTCTCTTAATGAGAAAAATCATTTTATATCATATGAAAATAATTGATGGCTAGATACAGTGTAATAATCTGGGGCTTACTTTCATAACTTATTGCTTTTGGTGTTTTAAAATATTTTTTTAAAATATTTTAAAAATTTACCTGCCTTATTTCCTAGATATTAAGAAAACTTACTTAGTATAAAATAATTATTCAGTAGTTCAGCAGTGTCACTAACAAGTCTAAAATATAACTGAGTATGGGACATTAATAGTTTGGAAAGTCAGTAAACATTTTGAAGAATGCACAGTTAAATAGGCAATACAATAAATAATCATTCATAAAATGAATCAGTTACAGAAAACATCACAAATCATTTTCATTGTAAATTAAAAGCCAGTAGTACATTTTTTTCAATATATTTTCTAAGCCTTTAGTTAAAACAGAGATGGTTAATGTTCACTGAAAGAATACCTACTTCTTAAATCATAAAATTATTTCTCTGTTCCAAATTTAAATGATAATTATGAAATAAAATATGAAATTATGAAGAAATCCCACTTAATCAAAAGAATATGCCCTTTCCTTCCCAAATTTAGTCCCTTGCTCTAAATTTGATTGTTTAATGCCGTATAAGAAAGCCACCACCCAGCCTAGCTAGGAAAATTGGAATGAGATTCCCTGTAGCATCTCTGTGTCTCGGTGGTTATCCCTTCCTCTCCATTACTGTTTTGTCTTCCTTGCTAGGGGTTCAAGAAACTTCCTTCAAATAATACTTGGTTAACAAATTTCTGGGAAGGAAATGCCATGTACAAGCTATCACCTCCACTTCTTTCTCTTTCTCTGCCACTTCCTCCTTCCCAAACTGCACACATCCAGGCTTTATGTCACTCCTTAATCTTTACAGGCCCAGGCCCTGGGAAGAAAACTCCCTTTGTCTCACCAATGCCCAATGCTGTGTGGCTGTTCTCTGGATGCATCCATTCCACAGCTGGGATGACTGGTCCTACTAGTTTATTTATGATGCAATCAGCTGCTATAAGAAGGTGACCAGTAACTGCTATTCCATTGCATAAAAAGCCTTTTTAGCTCTATGTTATAAACATTTAAAAGTCTCTCTTTTACCCTTTTAGAAAAAGCCCCACAGGAGGTAGATAGAGGTCACTAGGAGTCTCTAATTCATCTACATTTATAGTAGGTGTTACAAGCTCTATTAGCAGAAAATGTATGACACTGAGACCTAAGTTTAATGTTTTACTTAAAATATCTGCCTCTCTAGCTAATGCCAGAAGCTGTGCCCATGATGGCTTGGTGGCATGTAGACACTTACAAGCAAAAGCTTCCCCTTTGACAGAAACCATCAGTTGGAAAACTACTGTTGCAAAAATATTTGAGTACCAACCCAGAAAATCCTACCAAAGGAGATTTTTATTTTCCCAGAAGCTAGTACTAACAGTACACAATATTTTCTGCTAGTATGGACATTGGCATGCACTAAAATGGTGTATGGTAACCAGACATGTATGTATATTATCTTTTACTAATAGTTCACCAGTGGAAATTATTTTGTACAGAGATAATAATATTTTTCCCACTGCACCAGGAAGAGTTTCCTAAAAGTAGCTACAGCGCAAATACTTCAACTTGGTACCCTGAAAAATCTTGCCAAGTACTGCATACTAACTGACTTCATCCTGTAATTACAATGGCTTCCTTACTGGGCCCATTTCTTCTTCGGACACTGCCATCTTGTGAGTACTAAATACATCATCAGTGAGTCTCATTCTCATGTATTGCACTAATATATCACTGGAATGACAACTGCTTCTGATGATCTATTA
Source organism: Homo sapiens (assembly GCF_000001405.40). NCBI lineage: Eukaryota > Metazoa > Chordata > Mammalia > Primates > Hominidae > Homo > Homo sapiens. The sequence goes on from NC_000008.11 coordinate 78,006,662, forward strand.
ATGCAATACATCAGGGTGAGGTGTTTGAATGGAGTATTACTCAGACACCAGTGCTGTCTACACAAAGCAAGGTCCAAAATCCAATTTCATTTAATTACACAGAATTCATAGCATGCTAGCAGCAGACTAATACTTACTACCAAAATTCTGTCATCTCAAGAAAATAATTTGCATTCTCATTAGATTACCAACAAAAACTTTTCTTTTCCTGGAAATAGATATGTCTGGCAAGTCAGTGATTCAGATTCCATGAGCCCACCATTCCCTATGACACACAAGAATTATTTTGCAATCACCCATGAATAAAACAAATACCCTTTTTCCTATCCTGACTACTTCAATTCTATAGTTGTTAAAAAGGACATCAGATTTTCCCATCTGAAACACAATTTCTTTGGTAAACATACACACGGCATTGAATGTTCTTTGTTCGTAGTCACTAGACACAGTGTAAACATTTGTACTTCTGTACATATTATATACAGAAAAAAAGAAGACGCAAGAAAAAAGCAGCTGAATTTGCTTTAGAGTCAGTTCTACTGCACTCTACGCATGTGTCATTTGTCATAAAGCACTCCCAGTCACTGTGTTCTTCATTTCTGTGTAAGACATGTCTATTTGTGTTTGCATAGCTTACCATGAAATTTAAATTGTGTAATCTATTGCTCTTGGATCATGTTATGAACAGGATTTTGGAATGTCTTTACAATCAAATTTCAAAAAAAATGTAGCTGACCTTCATTAAAATAATTTTTTTTAGAAATTCAATTTTTGTCTTCAGTTTTTTTGTTGTTCAAGTTGGAATCCCTTGAGTGTTTTTCATGGTGTTTCATAATAATAATCTAATATAATCTAAATGAAACAGGTATCAAAATTTTACAGCATGAACCTCTAAATTTTTGGTTATGTTGCTCTCCATTAAAGCTGAGACCAGACAATAAAATAATATCACTGAATAGCATCATGGTTTATGACACAATTGAAGTCCAATTACAGAACACCCTCCTACCTATGTAATAGATTTTTCAAATAGACTCTTTTGTTTAAAAAGCATTTATCTATTGTTAATGTCTGTGGGGAATTCATCTTGGGGCTTATACTGAAGATAAATGCAGGCATGTGAAGGTTTATGAAAAATGCTTCAGAAAGTGACATGTGGCCAGATATGTGTTGCCACAGTCCGCTTCACGTGTGGGGCAGTTCACTGTTTGCCTTGCATTTATTATATTTTATTATCATGTATTTTTCATTCTGTTATTAAGACCCTTTGATATTATATACTCTTAAATACCAAAATTCTGAGAGAAAATCTGAAAATAAGGCAGTATGTATGTGTGTATATATCTATATATATACAATATTATATAGATAAAATGTAAAAAGAGTCACTTCAATATCAATTGCATACCTCAAACATGCATTTCATTTAAACTCAGGAAAAAAGTTAACAAATAATAATTAAAAACTACTCAATGAAATTCTATGCAAAGACGTTACAACCTCGTGGGCAGGGAAGTTTGTGTGTGTGTGTGTGTGTGTGTGTGTGTAAGACAGACAACAAAAGGAGAAAAACAATGGTAAATAATGCATGTCTTCTAGAAATATGGATTAATCAATCTAGTAAGAATCAGTGATAAGGCTTCCTGTCACCTAAAAAATGAATATAGATGTTTTTAAACATGTGAGTCTTTTATTTAAACATATATTTCCTCAAAACTTACAGTTCTGTTTCCTTTTTAGTTTTCTCTACTTTTAACTAAAGGTTTTCTTGGTCTCAAGTCTCAAGATTTCCTTTATGTATATTTCTTTTAACAGTGCTCACAATTAATTTAATTTTTTAGCTCTAGTTAATTAAAGAGTTACCTTGAGATTTAGATGTACATAGCACGTGAATAATATCCAATGATTGAAAAGAAGTTTGCTCATGATTTGTTCCATATGTTTTTTTTAATTTTTTAAAAATGGTCTTCTCTAGAACTTAATAACATTTTCCCATCTTTGCAACTTTTAGGTTGACCATCTTAAAACTGTAGTTCTGTACATGGTCAGGCACACATGAAAACCTTATCCCAACATGTTGACAGCATTGGGTTCATACAGGGAAAGTGCCTTCTGTGCTCTGAAGCCATGCTGGAAGTGAGTTCATGGTGACAGATATCCCCTGTGCAGCTTCAGGATGTCATGAAAAAGGGGAAAAATGGCTGGACTCCCATGACTCTGGAAGCACTCAGGGGCTGAATGCATTTGAATTATGACCAAGTCTGAATGGAAGAGTGGTCAGAAAGCCAAGAGCAATTACTTCAGCTTGCAAAATGTTTAAACAATATACTTCACAGGACAAATGCAGAGTCTTCATGTGCTGGGAAACTCTTAAAACTATATTTGGACAAAATTTGGTGAGGCTCTTTTCACAATCTATTGAGAGGAGCCAAAAGGGGAAGAGGAATTATTTGAGATGCCTGCCACATTTAGTCAGGAGTTTCTGAAACCCGAACCTCTATCCTATGTCATCTTTGTTTCAGAAAGTCTGATTCGTTAACATTTCCCATCACCTTGGGAAGAAAGCTGAGGTAAGTAGCTTAATTTATAGATTGATGGAACAAAGTTATTTAAAAATTATCAGTATGTTATCATGAATCATGTAGGACTATTAAACTAATTGCTAAGTAAATTTAAGCAGTATTACAGTAGAATTCAGTAGAGTTTATCATCAATCTGAAGAGATCTTTGGTGGTCTCATGCTGCCCCCCACAGATATGTCTCAGAACATTCATTATGCCATAATTACAAAGTCTCTTTGAAGAGGCTAAAAATCCCTAGACTCCTCTCATCAATTATTTTCACCTGTTAATTCATTTTGTGTGAGGTAATAACCTCAGCATAATAACAAATGTGCAAGTACTCCGATTTTGCAATTAAAAGCAGCAGGGCTTCTATTTTGATCATACAGACTGTGACATCCATCATAGAAAACAATTTGGGCCTAGCAGGATGACAGATGCCGCACTGATGGCTCTACTAACTAACTGCCTGTCCTAGAAAAAAAAAATGGTCGGGCTTCAGCCTGCAGCTGCAAGCTATCTGATAGCTTCTGACCAGTCAGCAGGACAAAGCCTGCAGTGACTAAATTACTGAAAGGTAATTTTACTTCACAAAATGAGGATTTCTGAGGCATAAACGTATGCATTCCAGTGGCTGCTGTAATTTGGAAACAAATAGCCCTTTTCATTTGAAAATGACTGGAATCACTGCCAGTGTTCAGGACATTTTGTTTCTCAGGCTTTTACATGAAAAATACAATGTAATACTCATTATTTCTGCCCCCATTCATATCTTATTAGACACAGAAGGCAAGGGGGTTATCTCTGCTCGCTTAGGCTAAATCTACACTAGGAAATTTTTTTTTTTTTTCTCTCCAACCTCTGGATAGGTGCCTAAATAATAGAAGAGTGCTCATTTTTACCTTTCAGTTTGTATCAAGCACAGTGAGCTCTGTCTCAGAATTGGATCCTGCTACCCCAGCTCATCTGAAAGACACCACACCTAACTCTCATCACACTAATGGGATGAGGGATGAAGCTGATTACCTTTACATCCTAGCTGTGAAAAGGGAATTAGATGCTAATAGATGCAGATAAAAGGTTTCTGCCTTTATTTTTAAAATCATAATATTTAGAGAGAGTTCATAAAACATGATATGCCTTTTCTTTTCACTTCAAAATTGAGTATTTGGAATTTTACTCTAGTCTTTATCGTAGTAATGATTGTCTTTTTTGGAGACATATGCTATTACATGATTGCCAATCTTGTAAAGACAATCATTCAAATGTAAGATTTAATGTTCATTAATTGAAAATATAAATATTATCATTATTACATTCAATGGGAAATGATCTCAATAGACACTGAGGGGCTTTGTGCAAACTAAATTCAGGGAATAGACTATGGAACATAGACCACTGAGTATAATAAAAGCAAACATGAAATGCAAAGAGAAACCATATTAATGGAAATTGCTGTGTTTTTAGGATTATGGGTTCATATTTCTTCTGTGTGAAAGAAGATAACAAAGGATAAGGAAAAGACAAAATGGTAAGTGCGGGATGAACTTTCTCAACTGCCATGTACCTTAAGACTAGAACATAGTCCTGTTTATGGTATTAACAGACCATAATGCTCACATTTTACACTTTGCCCCCACATTCCTTACAGACACACAAAGAAGGGCACTTGTTTGTTGGGGGAAAATCTACAGTTTCTTAGTCCATTGTGTCAGACTCATAAACCCTGTCAGCAAGAAGGATGAATAAACAGTGAAAAGGAGTGATGCACTGGCTGCCAGAGAAACACGGAGCAAAAAAGGAGAATGCTTCATTTTCAACGCCCCAAACTGGAGTCTTCATAAATATTTTGAAAGCAGTCGAGGGTTGGACATGCTTTGATTTTCATTAGGGTAATCCCTTTACGTTTGCTATTAGTAAATCCTTTACACTTGTGCAAAATACCTCTGCATAAGGGAAAAAGTCTCTGTGAGCAGCCTAGGAAGTTACAATTACACAGTTCTTTTTATCAGAGACCACAATACAAAAATCAAATGAAAGAGACGCATTCAAATAACTCAACTGCAATTACCCATCCCAGATCTTCTTTAATGGAATGCCAGGAGGACTTGGCCTTTATGCGTACGCTCTGACTGTAACTAATGCTCACTAGCCATCAACAAATTATGACTCGTGACACTTTTGCTGCCGCAGTATTAAGCCCAAAGTCCAATGTACAAAATATATGGTTTTTATTACAAAATTGTTCTTGTTTACAATTCTAATATCCTCTTCATTATCTACTTTTCCAGACATTTTAGGCAGTTCTGAAGACCTGGGGCAGCACTAGTTCTGTCATAAAGAGAAATTAATGTTGTTAAAGTTGGCCTAGCTGCCCTCTGGGACAGCTGAAGATGTGAAAATATAAGCCTCTGTTTTTAAAATGAAAATGATTAAAGGCACAGACACCTTGCTCTTTGAACAGCCACTAAAACTTTTGGTAAAATACACAGGCACATACAAAATAACTGCTTTTCTTTTCCTTTCTATCAGTCATCATCCTCTCTCTCTCTCTTTTTCTCTCTCTCACATCCAACTTTGTTCAATCAGAAACAGCTTTCTTTAAGGACTAATAAGCATAAAAATGACCTCATTCATTATAAAGAATGCATTCATTTCACCAGAAACTCACTCAAAAATGACCTGCTACAGAGAAACCAGAAGAGCGCTTTCTCCAAATAGTCAGTAAGCTAATTAGGAGTGCTCTAACAGGTAGCTCTTCATGAACTAGCAAGCTTAATTCAGCTTCCTAAAATCATTTAAAATGGCCTAGCAGTCTCCACAGTTGAAGGTATGCACCCTAGCTTGCATCTTTCAGGATTTTAAGAAGGGGTTTTATCAGAGGGAAGCAGGGAAGAATCAGCAAGTTGGTGGAGGTTACTCAGAATCCTCTAAGAGGGAGCCTACCAAAGTGTCTTGAACAAAATGATTCATATGTCAGGAGAAAAATGGCAGGAAATCACTCAGAGGAATTGAACATGACCTTTGCCTCCCAAGGGCCAAAGAAGAGCAGTCAAGATTTCACCTCCCTGATCCTCCCAACCTTAGTCATTTCATCTGGTTAAGTGAATGCTATCAGAACAGAGTTTGAAAGTTAAGTAACATATTCACTCTGCAAGTGCTCAAATTTTGTTATTTTATTTCAAGGAGTTTTGTATTTCCATGATTTTTTCTCTGTCTTCCTCCCTCCCTCTCTTCCTTCCTTCTTCCTTCCTTCCTTCCTTGTCTTTATTTCTTCCTTCTTTTGTTTCTTTCCTTTTGATTTTCTAATTGCTTTTTCATTTGTCCTACTTGCCAGCATTCAGTTCAGACACAAGTTTGTAATTCTAAATAATATGGAGGAATACAAGTTCTACCATAATCTTAAATTGCTTTTACTGTTTTACTGTTGGATTGGTTGGTTGGTTACTCCCAAGTGTTAATGTAGCTTCCTTACAAACACGAAAATACTTTCAGATAGTCAAAGGTCACTGAGGTTCTTTATTGACATTCACATATCTCTCTTTCGGATAATTTTATCAAATGTCTGCTCTGCAGAAAGACTTAGCAGTGAATTTGAGTCACTCTCATTCCCATAATTCAAGTAGAATTGTACAGAAGCCATGCGAAAGCACAAATCAGGACCATTTTAAAACTATTTGAAGAATATCAGAACTTCATTTCATTAAGCAGCCCGAAGATGCAAAACACAGCTGTACTGTTATGACATTCTTCCTCTGAGTTTCCTCAATCTCTACCCTTTTCCTCCCATGAGTTCAGGTTTTATTTTCTCTTTTGAATCTTTGTTCTGGGCCCCCATTACAGAAAGATGGAGAAAACACTTTCTCAGGCACAGTAATTTGAGGGGTGCCAACCCCATCATACTGCTGCAATAACCACCAGTCCTCTCTCTTCTGAAGCCTGATGCAAACTGTCTAGAATTCCACAATTCTATGTCCTATCCTTTGGGCTTTGAAGGTTTTCTAACCTTCAGGAGTCACCTAATTAAATTTTAATACCCGTTTAGTATAAACACCTTAACTGAAACAGCTAATACCTTGTTGGAGATTAGCTGGCAAGTGGCTTTAAAGAAATCTAGCTTTGGGATAATCATATCAATAATATTAACATTACTGAGAACCTGCTTTGTCCTGGTCACCATTCTAATTGCTTTACATGTTTGAACTTACTTAAGTACCAAAGCAGCCTTTTGTAAATGAGAAAATCAAGGCACAGGGAGGTTAAGTCACCCAGCTGCTAAGGACTAAACCATAAATTACACACACATATTTTGGGTCCAAAGTTGACATTCTGAACAAAATCAAGTTCCACAACGAAGTTCAACTCCAAAGTTAAAAAGTGAGGGAGTTGCCCTTTGAGGGAAAGAGCACTTAGGGTCCAAAATTATACTGCTTTCTCCAACCTCTGCTGAAAGCCCATAGCATGACCATATCACCACATGAGATGATCATTATATACTGCTATCACAAAGCGTTTCTCCAGTAAATAATATAGCATTTTGCTTATTTGGCTCTACTTTGCTATGTAGCCTTTTCTAGAGACATTATGCATCCAATCTCATTAAGATCCCAGCACATGTTTGGAAGGAGACTAGGCAAGGGTGAAAAAGGTGTTGCTTTTTGAGAAAGATGTGGTCTCCTCATAAGCACTATTTGTTTTATTCATCCCAAGTTATATTTCAGGTCTGCACTTACATATACATGTGCTTCATTATGGGGTGAATTGCATAAACCGAAAGATGGAAAACAATGAATATCCCTAGTAGATGTACAATGTTCTCATCATTCACATAGAACAATAGCATAACAACATATAAATTTAGTTGAGCTTCTGGTCTTATGATAAGCTACAAAAAAGACAGTAATTGCCTCTTATTAAATTCAAATCATGTAAGTTTGTGATTATATGTTATAAGAAACTAATGTCAGAGATTCTAATACAAGTTGTCAGCTTGCTGAACAGTCCACTTCATGTATATTTCCATAAAATATATATAAAATCTTATTTCATCAACAACCAAATGAATAAATGCTATGCATATGAAAACAAGAGATATTAACTAAGAATCTGAAGTGGAATACTGTATTTTCTAAAGCAACAGCAATAGAGAATAATATCCATGAACTATGATCCTGTTACTAATTCATGCTAGCCTTCTGACCATGGCAAAAGTTTTTAATCTCTTTGCACTTTTAATTTCTAATCCATCAAACAGGAAAAAAAATTCATATTTCATATGGTTATGTATGAAGTATGATACATTAAGTGAGATGTAGCTTGATTTATTACATATAAGGTAGGTAGTTGTCACATTAAAGAAATAAAATAAATATTAATTTATATGTTTAAGGTTTATTTTCATTGATTCTGCCAGGTATAGGTAACAACTCTAAATTTGCAATTTGTTATTTTTATATCAGATAAATTTTATTTTCTATATCTCAGGTCAGTGCTTTTCTAATGAAGTTTTATTTTTGTATAAATATATAAACAAGTATACTTTTTCTATATTTTCCTGTATTAGCCAGAGTTCTACAGAGAAACAGAACTAATAGGAGATAGATAATATAGCTATAGATAGATAAAGACATAGACATAGATATATAAGAAGGGATTTATTAGAGGAGTTGGCTCATGTGATTATGGTGGTTAAGAAGTCCCATGACATGTCATCTGCAAGCTGGAGACCAAAGGATGCTCGTAGCATGGCTCTGTCCATGTCCAAAAGTTTCAGAACCAGAGAAGCTGATGGTGTAATTCTCAGCCTGGAGCTGAAGGCCTAAGAACCTGTGGGGGGTGATGCGGGCAACTGTAAGTCCCAGAGTCCACAAGCGAAGAGCCTGGAATTCTGATGTCCAAGGGTAGGAGAAGAAGAGTGTCCCAGCTTCAGGAGAGACAGGAGAGAGAAAATTGCCTTTTCTCTGTTATGTTTTGTTTTGTTTTGTTTTGTTTTCTCTGAGCCCACAACTGATTGGACTGGGCCTATCCACAAAGAGGGTAGAGCTTCCCCACTTAGTCCACTGACTCACATGCCAATTTCCCCTGGAATCACCCTCATGTACTCAACAAGAAATAATGCTTTAACAGTTCTCTATGTATTCTTTAATTCAGTCAAGTTAATACCCAAATTAACACCACATTTCCTTTTTTTCCCATATCACTAACCTTAACCCTCTTATGAGTCTTTTATTTTTCTCTGTATTGAGGAAGAGCTTTTAAACTTCATTATATTACTGATTCAAATTTCTACAGGACTGGCCATTATAGTTTGAAAGCTCCCTTCACAACTTACATTGATATTTAATTGCCATTGTTATGGTATTAAGAATTGGAACCTTTAAGAGGTAATTAGCCCATGAGGCTCTAATTTTAGTCCTTGTAAGTGAATTAAACTTTTATTGTAGGAGTGGGATATTTGTCAAAGGATTAATCTCCTAATAAAAAGATAAAGTTCAGCCTCCATTTCCATTTCTATCTTGCCCACTTATTTGCCCTTCCACTATGGGATAAAGCAGCATGAAAGCTCTTGCCAGATGCCAGTGCCATGCTCTTGGACTTCTCACCCTCCAGAACTATGGGCCAAATTTCTATTCTTTATAAATTATCCATTCTGTCATCTTCTGTTATAGCAGCAGAAAAAGTATGAAGACACTGATCAAGAAAAAAGAAAAAAGATTCGAATTAGAAAAATGAGGAATGAAAGTGAAAACATTACTACCAACCTTGCAGAAATAAATCAATTGTAACAGAATACTATGAAAAGCTGTATGCCAACAAATTAGATAATCTAGAAAAGTGACATATTCCTAGGCCTATATAACTACTGAAACTGGCTCAAAAAAATTACAAATCTGAATAGACTTCTAACAAATAAGGAGGCTGAATGAGTAGTTTTAAAACAGTACAACAACAAAAAGTCCAGGACCAAGTGGCTTCCCTGGTGAATTCTATCACATGCTTAAAGATGAATTAACATATAGACTTCACAACTTGTTCCAAAAGATGAAAAGAAAGGAACACTTTCAGCTCATTTGATGATGCCAATCTTATCCTGGTACCAAAACCAGACAGAGGCATCACAAGAAAATAAAGGTAGAGACCAATATTTTCAAAAAACACATTTGAAAAAAATCTTTATTAAAATGCTACCAAATTGAATCTAGCAAAATATAAAAGGGATTATGTACCTGACAAACTTGGATTTATTCCAAGAATGCAAAGTTGATTAAGCATATAAAAGTAAATTCATATACCAGGTTAACAGAAAAAAAAGGACAAAAAACACACAGTAAGGTTATCTTAAGAGATGCAGAAAAGACATTTAACAAGATCCAACACCCTCTCATGATAACAACATTTAACAAACTAGTAATAGAAGAAAATGTCTTCAACCAGTTAAAGAACATTTATGAAAACCCCACATCTAACACTATAATTAATGAGGAAAAACTCAAAACATTTATCCTAAGATGATAAACAAGACAAGAGTATCCACTCTCATCATTTCCATTCACATTGTACTGGGAGTTCTAGCCAGGGTAATTAGGTATGAAAAAGAATTAAGAGACACCCAGGTTGGAAATTAAGAAGTATAATTATCTCTATATGTAGATGACATGATCTTGTTTTATAGAAAATCCTGAGTATTCCACTTATAGAGTTAATAGAGTTAACTCTATAAAACACTAATAGAGTTAATAAACAAGTTTAACAAGTTTATAGAACACAAGATCAATATAAAAAACGTCATTATTTCCACATACTAGCAATGAATAATGTAAAAATTCAATTAAAAAACAAATCTATTTGTAATGGCATCAAAAATAAAATTCTTATGAATAAATATACCAAAAGAAGTGTAAGACTTGTACATTAAAAATGACAAAACATCATCAAAATAAATTAAGCAGATCTAAATAATGAAAAGCCATTCATAGATTGAAATACCTCATATTATTAAGACGGCAAAACTGCCCAAACTGATATACAAATTCAACAGAATCCTTATTAAAATCCCAGTTGCCTTTTCTACAGAAATTGACAAGGTGATCTTAAAATGTATGGCAACTGAAATTCTTAGCATCATTACTCATTAGGGAAATGCAAATCAAGATTATAATCTCATACTGGCTAAATTGATATAATCCGTATGATGGACAATATTAAGAGTTGGTGAGGATGTGGAGCTATTAGAACCCTCATAAATTGCTGAAGGTAATGTAAAATGTTGCAGCCACTTTGGAAAACAGTCTGGCAGTTATTTGAACATAGAGTTACCATCTAATCCAGAAATTCTACTCCTAGCTATATAAGACAAGTAAAAACCTATGACCGCACAGAATCTTGTACATGAATGATCATAGAAACATTATTCATGCTAGCCAAAAAGTGAAAACAGCTCGAATGCCCATAAGCTGATTAATGGACAAACACAAAGTGATGTGTCCACACAAAGAAAGTAAGTATTGATACATGCTACAACATGAATGAACCTTAAAAACATTATGCTAAATGAAATAAGCCAGACACTGAAAGCCACATATTGTAAAATTTAATATATGGAATTTTCGTAGGTAAATCCGTAAAGGCAGATAGTGTATTAGTGTTTGTCAGAGGTTGAAGGGAGGGGCATTGGGAGTGACTGCTAATGGGTATAGAATTGCCTTTGGGGTAATAAAAATGTTTTGGAAGTAAATAGCAATGATGGCTGCCCAACCTTGTAAATACACTAAAATCCTTGAATTGTACACTTTAACAGGCTGAATTTTATGTTTCCCAATTAGACCTCAATAAATAATATCTTTTAAAAATATAGTGGACACAATAAAGGAATATAGTGGCAGATTTCTACTACAATAAATTTGGTTGGAAAATAAACAAACACAAATTTATAAAGTGTCAATTCCACCTCATCCAGGTCTAAATTAACCATATTCCTGACTTTGTTGATTTTTAAAAAAATTTTCTCAAACTTTAAGAAAAATTTCTATTGTAATCATCTAATCTAATCTTATTGTCTTGTTTCATAGCTTCCAAGTTTTCATAATTTTTATTTAGATCAAAAAGTTAAATTTTTTATTTTCGTTCCTTTATTAAGTTTTTTTTCAAATCTATCATTTCTTTGTGTTTCTAGTAGGAGATTTTTCTCACATTTCTAATGGAATGGTTTCAGGATGTGTTGTCGCTGTTGCTGTTGATGTTATTTATTTGCTTTAGTTTTTAGTCTACTTTCTTTCCTCTGGGTGCTCATCTTAGATGCAAATTTTAAACAAAGTTGACATTTATTTCAAAGGAGAAAATTCTCAAACAGCAGTTCCCCTGCAGCTGTACATTAGAATCACCTAGGGAACTTCTGAATTATTCTCATGACTTGGCCACACCCAAAAGAAATTCTGATTTGATCAGAACCCAATTCAAATAGGAACCTAAACATATGTATTTTTTATAAGTTTTCCAGTGACTCTAATTTGCATCTAGTATTAAGCATACTTTGTTTCAAAAGGTGATTAAATACTATCAGTGATCCAGCAGCTTTCAGAAAGTTTGCAGAGACCTAGGCCAGAAACATGCCTAGCAAATAACTATCACTTTTGAACTTTACAAATTTAATCTTCATCAAATTTCAGTTTATTATTGTCTCTACTCCAGGATTGATTAGCCTCCTTTATTTTCCTGCTTCCTGGCTCAATGGTGAGAAAACCAGATATCTTGATGCTTTCCAGTTGGTAGGAAGGCATCTCCTCTCAGGCGCATTATTGCTGTCAAATGGTGATTTTCTTAAAACCTTTTCCCTTCTTCCTCAACTCCACACACTCATGGCCTTCTGGTCATTCTTTGAATATTTTATCCCACTCTCAGCATCTTCACATTCATAGAGCTCTTTGTCTCATCTCTCCAGGAATGCCTTTTTTCAGGATTTTCAGAAGACTTGGTTCTTCACACCACTCTTTATTAGAGACCTGTAGTCTCCCATTCTTTTCACTTTCTGTCTCTTGGCCATGTCTGTTTACTTTCACAGCCCAGACATTATTTTCTGTAATTATTTGTTCATTTGTTTACTTGTTTACTGTCTTCTCCACATGAGTGTGTAAGATTCATAAGAACACTTTGCTTTGCTTTCTGCCTCTTCTCTGGTATCTACATTAGTGATAGTATGCTTGCTGAATGAAAACAAGGATACATTTTCAAAAATATTACAAATGTATGTGTTTTCTATCTTTTCCAGTGTCCTCCCACCACCAATCCTTGACTCTACAATTGAGGAGTTGTCAATGGAAACACTGGTAAGACCCTTTTGTTTCCTTCCCCATGGCATCAGACCACCGTGTGGAATGAGAAGATATTTTTTGGCCCTAGGAATTTTTTTTTCATTTTGTTTCTTTATTCATGATCTCTTGCTAAATTCCTTGAAATATGTGGCAGCATGACCCTTTCTTACTTTCCAGTCCTAAGGCAGGTTTTCTTCCCTTACTTGATATAAATAGAGTAAATAGGTATACGTATATATACATATGTGTGTGTACATATACGCAAATGTATATGTGTGTGTATAAATATACATAAATGTGTACGTGTGAATACACAAATGTATATATGTATGTGTGTATATGTACACACAAATGTGTCTGTGTGTATGTGTATATACACAGATGTGTATGTGTGTATGTGTATCTACACAAATGCTTATATGTCTGTGTATATATATTCACAAATGTGTATGTGTGCATGCAAAACATGGATTTGCATCGGTGCACATGCACACACAAATGTGTGTATATATATATGTGTAGATGAATGTCTGTATATGTGTATATATGTATGTGTATATATATTTGCAAATGTGTATAAGGTGTGTGTATGTATATACACATTTGCCAATTAAAATTAAATTTAAAAATTTTTGACTTTTTAATTGTAGCAATTTTGACTGCTGTGAGACAGTATCTTACTGTATTTTTTTGATCTGCATTTCTCTAAACATCAGTGATGTTGAGCTTTTTTCATATGCTTTTTGGCCACATGTATGTCTCCTTTGGAAAAGGGTCTGTTCATGTCCTTTGGCCACTCTTTAATGGAGTGGTTTGTGGTTTTTGCTTGTAAATTTGTTTGAGTTCCTTATAGATGCTGGATATCAGACCTTTCTCAGACGGAGAGTTGACAAAAAATTTTCTCCCATTCTGTAGGTTATCTGTTTACTCTGTTGATACTTTCTTTCGCTGTGCAGAAGTTCTTTAGTTTAATTAGATCTCATTTTTCAATTTTTGCTTTTGTCAAAATTTCTTTGGGTATGTTTATCCTGAAATCCTTGCCTGTATCAGTGTCCAGAATGTTATTGCCCAGGTGGTCTTCCAGGGTTTTTATAGTTTTGGATTTTACACTTAGGTCTTTAATTCATCTTGAGTTAACTTTTGTATATGGTGTAGGGGAGAGGTCTAGGTTCAATATTCTGCATGTGGCTAACCAGTTAATGCTGCACCTTTTGTTGAATAGGGGAGTCCTTACCCCATTTCTTATTTTTATCATCTTTGTCGAAGATCAGGTGATTGCATGTGTGTAGCCTTGTTTCTGGACTTTCTATTCTTTTTCATTGGTCTGTGTCTGTTTTTGTACCAGTATCATGCTGTTTTGGTTACTGTAGCCCTGTAGTATTGCTTGAAGTCAGATAGCACGATGCCTCCAGCCTTTTTCTTTTCGCTTAGGATTGTCTTGGCTATTTGGGCTCTTTTTTGATTCCACATGAATTTTAAAATAGTTTTACAAACCATCATTAAATATGTGAATATTCATTTGGAATTTCTTCTCAAAAGGCTGATGAAGGTTTCTTATCTGAAAAAAAAATATGCAGTATTTTCCCATAAAGCAATTTTAATTAAAAAATTATTATTTGGAATTATACAATATGGATCATGTCTAAAACTTATCTCAAATTATCAATAAATATTTCCACATTAAGAGCATCCAATTTGATTAAATGTATTTTAGAACTTTACTAATGTTATTTTCTCTTTAATATGTGAGAACCAGATAAAAATTATACCCAATAGGTTAAGCTCTGGCACTTTCATTTTTATCATCTCTTTTTCCCCATTTAATTGCTAAATCATTGTCTGGATATTTTGTAATGATGTTATTAAATCCTGCCAAATATATTTAGGCTTACAATTAAGCAATGATTAATATACAATAATTCATTAGCATGCCTGGTTAAAAAAAGTCTTAAATCTAGCTTCCTGTTTGCCTAAGTGTTCTTGCTTGTCTAATATATATTTTATAGTTTACTAATGTAAATAATTACCATAGATGTTATTTCAAAATTAGTTGTTTCACATCTTTATCAAAGCCTGTAATTGCTCTCCTGTGTTAATCCCTACTCTAATAGTTAGATAATCTCCTAGTTAATCCCTTGCTTCTGATGTTCTTTTTTCCTCCAACCTCTCTGCACCAAGCCTCCATTTCCCACTATTAATCCCTGAATACCGAATAGCTGGATGGTCTGGATGAGTCTCAGGTGGGACTTGATGAAGAAAATTTCCTCTCAGAACAAAACACTGCCAAATGTCCGAGTCAGAAAAAGAAAAAAAAAAACTCATCAGAATGTTCAATTATTAGCAATTCCTGGACAATTGTCTTCATCCTTTTCAAATATTATTATCATCAGTCCCACAAAATAGCTTTCTAATGTCTGTCAGCTTATGGCAAACGATCTTCTTGCCCTCTCCTGCCAGGTATCATGAGACCTTTCCTCCTCCACCTATGGTTCAAGAGGATGCTCCTCCATTTTAATTCCATGGCAATTTGGGGAAGGGAACTTGTTTCTTTCTATTTGAAGGAGTGTCTGTAACCTGTCTAGAATAAGGAACTCTAGTGTGTTGGTTCTCAGAGTACTCTCCTTGTCTTGCAATGCAGTTCCTATAAGTGGAAAATTTTGAACCTGGTTTTGTTTCCACAATGAGTTATTATCAAATTCATTTCATAAAGAGAACATTCTTTGGTCATAAACAGAAGTGAAAGCCTTTTAATTATCTCCCATTCTTTTGCACAGTCATTCCATGTGGGAAGGGAGATGTGTGGTCTTTACTGAAAAATGTATGCTCTATCCAGTGACAAAGTTCAAGCATGGCCCTAGGAATACGCCATCAGGCACATACAATCAGCCTAAATATGTATTTAGAAATGTCACTTTGGCAAAATTATGATGTATCCATCAGGTTGCCATTCTTCCTCTCTTCATTAACATAACCCTCATTTCCTGGGGTATCCAGAATAATAATTTTTAAATATATATATATTTTTAAACAGCCTTGCAGCTGATCATATGATCCAGTTCTGGCCAGTCAAATGTAAGCAGAAGACGCTTGAGCATTTTTCTATTAAAGTGACTCCTTTACCCTTACTCCTAATTGGAATGCAGAAGTGAAGACCAAAGCTTCAACATTCATCTTGTGATCATAAGGTCACCATAAGGGAAAGTCCAGGGGAATAATAGATCTTGTCCCTAATATCTAGGAGCCACTGAAGCAATATCACGTAAAAACTTTTCTGTTATCCAGAAAAAATAGAACTCCAATTTGATTACGTTATTGTATTGGGGTCTCCTTTACCTGCAGTTAAATCTAATTTCCAACAGATACATCTAATAATAAAATCGAACTGGTGTCATTATTTCTGCTCCTTTATCACAAGTTGTTCTTTTTATCTAGTATTATTTGAATGATTTTCCCATACACAACACTTTTTAAAATCTGGATGTAAGATATGTTCTCACTTAATACAGCATAGCAATCATATTTTTTAAAATAAGAGTTAATGGAAAGATATGATACTGTTTCATAAAAGAGATATAAGTTAGTAAAGGAGAAGTTCATAACAATGTTCTTCAAATAAATTGTACTCAGGAATTGGTTTGATATATAATCAAATAAAAAGTGAAATCAGCAAGTGAGTCAAACTTCCTTGCTAGTGGAACTAATACATATACAAAAAAATATTCAAAGAAAATCAGAATACACCATGCCAACATCATACGACCTCAAAGATTTGACAATAGTACTATGTTTGCAGGAAGATAACACTATGCGATAATAATTTCTTTTTACTTAAGCATCAAACTCAGACTTCATTATGCTGATGTTTAGTTTTCAAAGGGACTAAACTATTTAAATGGGTCTTATCTATATGGGTGTTACTTTAAAGCACCAACCAGTAGCCCCGTGTATCCATCCATTGAACAAATATTCACCAAATATCTATCATGTGCTAGGGACCCCTTGGCTTGGAGCCAAGTATCACAGGTAATTAAAACATACTTTCCCCTACCTTCATGTGGTTTACACTGTAGGGTAATATGGCTCAAGGAAGCCCAAACACATTGAAAACACTATTAAAAAGTGCTATGAAGTAAACACAAAAGCTATAGTTCAAGTTATAGAAAAAAATTTTTCCTGAGATGAACTTCCTTGGCTAGAATGACCATATTAAAGTATCTCTGAGAGGGGACATTTAAACTGAGACTTGAGGGGTAGGAAGAATAAGAAAACAATGATGTAATGAAGTTGGCAAGAGCTAGGAACAAGTGGATATGACAGCCATTGAGGTAACAATTCCAAGAAAATGAGACAGAAAAAAAAGGTAGTGTTTCTCTGTATGCAAAGAAGTACAGCAAGAAGTGCAGTAGCCAGGACTCTATTGTGGGAGATCTTTTATGTGATTTTAAGAATTTTTCAAATTTTGTGAGAAGTTATTTATATTAGTTAAGGATGCTTTTGATTAAATGTAACAGAAAACCTAGACATCAATGTAAACCATAAGAGATTTTTTTTTTATGTCAATGACATTCTGGAGGTCAGTTGTTCCGGGATTAATTTTGTGGCTCAAAGACATTAACAAGCATCTTGCTCTGTTCAAACTTCCACTTGCTGTCTCTGGAGAAATGGTGTTTTGTCTTTGCCTTCATAGTCACAATAAACAAGTATGTTGTCCTCATCTTGGACCCTAACGGGAAGTAAACGGCCACACCAGAAGGCTTTCTCCCTTAGGATCCATGCAATTCTTTGTTCCAGTAGTAACATTTAGGTTTAGGTTTAGATTTAGGTTAGTGCGAATGCTGATATTGGAGCTGAATACATGGATGCCTACAGAAATGGTCAAAGTTTTTCAGCAAATCTTTCTCTGCATGAAACACAGTATCTTAAGGATTTGGGTATTTTTAAGAGAAATTGAAAGTGAAGCTGAGAAAAAAAAGAGAAAGAATGAAAGATGTGAATAGCATAATTTCTCATTCTTTCCATAGTTCACTGCAGTTTTAGTGCCATCTATTAGTCTTTTGTTAATGGAAATATAGTGAGGATTCTGCTGAATACTTTTCTTGATTTTTCCCTCCTGTTTTTAATCTTAGTTCTATCTATTTACGTGATGTAAAGAATATTTTACCAGTATTATTCACAGCCTGAGATATAAATTACCTAATTCAGAAGAATGTCTGGAGCTTATCAAAATTTTTGTAATTACTGAGGCCAAAGTACTACTATGAAATCATTAGGAGCAGTGCCTCTAATATTTCTAGCACTTTATTTTTAACAAATTGGAAGACTTTTTTGAAAATCAACAACCTATCTTAATGTATCAAGTTCATCAAACTCTGATTTCTCTTAAGTTTTGATTCATTTTTAATCTATAAAAATCTGCATACATTAAAGAAACAGGATTCATTTGACTTGAATTAATTTTCCCATCTAATAGGGCCTCCTTATTATCGTAACTTTGATTATCTACTTTCTGTTCTTTGCTTAAAGGAAGTACAGCCTTAGTTTTCAAAAATGCATTTTCAGATACAGCTATTTAAAATCAAAACCACCCCTTTAGAATATTCAGTGTTCTACATGAGAAGTCTTATAGCTGGGCTGCAATTCCCGGAAAATATTAAGGTATAGTAAGATGATGCTTTCTTCTGTGTCACTTTTTCCTTTGTTTTTATAAGATGCAACAGTAGTTTATACCATATATTCCAGAATTTCCCCAATAAGTCAGAGTTACTTTTGGAATGATACTTATGATTCAGGAGCAGGTTTACCAGGTTATTATTCAGATCATTGGAAATGTCTCATATGATGTCATCACCTGTCAAGAGAACTTAATATAAATACAGTCTCTGTCTGCAGATGTCAACCTGGCCTGATTTTAATTGCGATATCAACCCATTTATAACATCTTGAAAAGGGGCACTTACCTAGACATTTAAACTTTGATTCTTTCCCCCTGAAGAATTTGCCTCTGGACAAGATGCTTTGGGAAAAGAAGCTAACAAACTTAAAGAATAGATAAATATGAGTTTTCTAAAGGGTAAGGAAAAATAAGAGGAAAATTTTGATTTTCCTGTGGCTTTCACTAAATATAATTTCAAATGAGCCAACCTAGATAAGTTGCTCAGGAAGGTAAATTGTCTGGTGAACTTAAAATGCTGATGTTTTTATAAATAATGGGTTTTTGCATATGTTGTTGACAGCTGCTATCATTTCTGACACAGAAGAACAGACAATATTCCATAACCCTGAAAAAGTAGTGTATTCTAAGAAAAATAGGAATACAGGGTAGAAAATGTTTATTTACCTTTTTACTGGCTGGATTTGGAGTTGATACCCGTTAGTCAAGTTCTGACAGAATCCATGTGGATGTGGATGCTTAATAGATTTTGTTTGGTGATGGTGGGGGAGCGGGGGATATTCCTGCAGCTGTTTTTCCTCTGAGGCCAAAAGAGTATCAAATCCTTTTAACTAGACTCCCAGCCCCCATTTGTGATAAACATAGTAGGCTGCCTCACCAGCACAGGCAACACATAAGGTTCAGTTTCCTTCCGCGGGGAGATAAGAGGATCTTAACGGTGGCTCTGAGTGCTGCATTTCCCATTTCATGCTCGGTGCATATAACTTAGGTGAACTCTCTTCATGTCATGGATTTTTTAACAAGCCCACACTGCCCTTTCTAAGATACAACACTCCCCATTTCCCCCAAATGTGTCATGCTAATTGCTTTAAACTATATTGAATGCTTAAATTCAGTAATCCAAGTTGTATATTTTTAATTGTTTGTATCCAACTGATTAAATTCTGCTGTCTCTACGTAAATAGTACTACAAAATATCTATGTTTACCTTTCTGAAATTCAAGATATAGTTGTCAGTTTTATTATGAAATCACTTAACATGTATTGATTACCCAGATGTGAACTAGTGCCCATTGAAACAAGATGAAACATTAGGGCCCCAGTTAAAATTATACAAGATGTTAATCCTGCCAGGGATGCATTCGCCATGCACACCAAAAGATCCCTGTTTTATTAAGCCTCTAACAAATAAAAGTGATGCCTTTCATTGATCAAAATTGTATGGGAAACATATTCCTTATTTGCCACTAGATGCTACAGTTGCAGATTTAATAGTTTATGAACAAGAGCACTTTTTAAATAAATAATTATATTTAGTAATTATGATGAGCATATATAAACTTGATTTTTAAAAATTAAACAATGTAGTAGACTGTTCAATATGAAATATTAAACTCTCTTTTTTTTTTAAATTTGAGAACCAGTTCCTGGAAGTCATACCACTATCTCTTCCTTGTGTATTTCCCAGATAGCTTTCTTTATGCATATGAGCTCATCACATACACACATACACACCCGGGAATATATACCCAAATTGCTCTTGACTTAATATGGTTCTACTTAATGATTTTTCAACTTTATGGTGGTGTGAAAGCAATGCACATTCAGTGGAAACCATACTTTGAATTTTGAATTTTGATCTTTTCCCAGACTAGAGATATGCAAGCATGATACCCTCTCTCAATGCTGGGCAGCAGCAGCGAGCTCCCAGTCAACCATGTGACCACGAGAGGAAATAAATGATTCTCTACATTTTTCTCATGATTTTGTCCAACTATAGGCTAATGCAAGTATTCTGAGAACATTTAAGATAGGTTAGACTAAGCGATGATGTCCAGTAGGTTAGGCTTATAAATGAAATTTTGACTTATACAAATTTTAGCTTACAATGGGGTTATCAAGAGGCAACCGCTTTGCATGTGGAGTAGCATCTGTACACAAACACACACACACACAGAGACACACACACACACACACACACACTGCCTCTTTGACTTGATAATGTATCAACACAAGCAATCTATCATGCAATATATTTCATGATGCCTGCTTACTATTCTATTACATGAGTTTATTATATTTTAAGTAAATGCCCCTCTATTAAATGTTTTAGGTTTATAATGCAAAGAATTTTGCAATGGACATCTGTGGAATATATCTTTGTATTCATGGGTAAATATATCCATAGGCTAAAAATGTATTCTAAAAGCTGAAATACAAGATCAAGGATATAAGGGCATGTGGAAGCTTTTTGTTTTATATAGATTATTTTCTTTATCACCTGATTTCATAATATATTGATTGTTTATCTAAATTTGAAATCTATTAAGTCAGATGAAACAAAAGGAAAAAATCTAGTTTAAGTAAAATAATGTTATAGAACTTTTTTATTTTTAAAATGCCTATGTTGACACAATTAAACTTAACACTTCCTGTAAGGCCAGAAAGTTAAAGCATTATTCATAAAACACATTTTCTACCCCATTATTTCCTGAGACATGAAAGACAGTAAACTTTTTTCTGTCTTTGGATTCAGAATTTATACTTTCCAGGATATATACAGGGTAACAGTCCTTCAAGCCTAAGCTCTTTATATTTGTTCTCCTTGGGTTCACTCCTAATTGAACTCTCTTGTAGTTACAAACTAGCTGCATTTCCAACAACATCCATAGAGTGAATTTGTGACCAAATTATAACCTTTTATGACTTCCCAGGAAGTGAGAATGCTAACAGGTTAACCATTCCCAACATATTTCAAACCCCACATCATTCCATTTCAGGCCACAAAGCTTGGGTAAGAATGTAAATTTTTTTTAAAAAAATGTCCTAAAAAAATAAATAGGTAAAAAGACTTTATTCAAGACTATAGTAATAGAGGACGGAAGTTGAACTCAACTCTGCTAAAACAAAAAGCAGGAATTATTTTTAAGTGCTGGAATGAGCTAATTAAAAAGAACCTGAAGGACTGGAGAGGCAAGGTTGGTTGATGTGATTAGACCATCTGCGTTTGCTAATTGTCCATTATAGAAGTTAGACTTCTACCCTCCTGCAGACTGGGAGATAGGGTACTGTCTTCCCTGATGATTCCATTTCAAAGGGATGGCTCCCAAGTCCTTAAGAAAGACATTACTGGGTCGTAGAAGATTTACATTCCAAAGGGGTAGAGAAAGAATTTACAACTACAAGTTTTCTAAAGCAAATGCTCTAAGTAAAGAGAAGTCAGAGCCTATAGTCAGGAAGAAACCTGTCTATGATTCAGTCAAACTGAGAGGAACAGAAAGGTTCTCTTGGTCATGTGGAGGTTATAAAGACCATGAAATAATCAAAGATTAGAGAAATATGAGAATGTCTTAATTCAGATTGTGATGGTTTACACTAGTAAAGTACACAAAATTTATGTAAATGTAAAGTGTATGCTTAAATGGTGCATGATATAAATTATGTAGGAGTCATTTATAATAATTACATGTCATTTATATCTTTGGTAAAGTTGGCAAACCATTATTTGTAAACCCACACTTAAGGATTTGGTATTTTAGTGAAAATTTTTAAGATTACACAAAATGAAGTTTTAATGTAGTCCCTGGAGTTATAAATATATTTCACCTAAACCTAATATAAGTGACAATTAATATTGATAATTTAGCAGACATATTTAAATAAGTTTGAACTGCCAGCTGCTTGATAGATTAGAAACATATTTTCTAATTTTTGAATAAATTTTAAAAATACATGGATACTTCTTGACTTTTCAAGAATTACGTTCTTAAGCTTTCATAACAAATCTAGAAAGTCAAAGTCCTTGTAAACTAATAATTACATAAGAAAGGAAAAGCATCAATTTATACTTCTACAAAAATTGTCCAACTTCTATTTAAAGATTAAATATATTAGCTGGGATTAACATTTAAATTATTTTAATAATGAGAACAAAATCATTGGTAGGAAATACAACAAATTAGACCTTAACAAATTATATTCTGAATTATTGCAAACTTCTGTTTCTGGGGAGAATAAATTTCTGTCAGTGTTACCAGAAAGAGGTCCTGATCCAGACCCCAAGAGTGGATCTCGCACAGGAAAGAATTTGGGACGAGTGCACAGTGCAAAGCGAAAGCAAGTTTATTCAGAAAGTAAAGTGGTGGCTGAGCATGGTGGCTCACGCCTGTTAATCTCAGCACTTTGAGAGGCTGAGGCAGATGGATCATCTGAGGTCAGGAGTTTGAGGCCAGCCTGGCCAACATGGTGAAACCCCGTCTCTACTAAAAATACAAAAATGAGCCGGGCCTGGTGATGCGTGCCTGTAATCCCAGCTACTCGGGAAGCTGAGGCAGGAGAATCACTTGAACCCGGGAGGCAGAGGTTGCAGTGAGATGAGATCGCGCCATTGCACTCACTCCAGCCTGGGCAACAGAGCGAGACTCCGTCTAAAAAAAAAAGTAGTGGTGAAATAGCTACTCCACCGACAATGTAGGGTGTTCCTGAAAGTAAGAGGAGGAATGCGCCCACCTTAGGTACAATGTTTATTTATATAGAGGATAACAAAAAAAAATAAAATCATGGGGAGATTTGCTCTGCTACAAAGGTTTGTGATAAGGATTAACTTTTGTAATTACTATATTTTGCAAAATCGGATATAATTGTCTTTAAAGCAAATTAAGAATGCTTCTGTTCTCAAGATGCCGGGATATCAGGACATTCCTGAGTCTGGGTCTGTTTAGTAAACATTATCAATCTGTTCCATTAACCATAAACATCTAGCCGCTAGGAATACCTAACTTCCTGGGAATGCCGCCCAGCAAGTCCCAGCCTCATTTTTTCTAGCCCTCAATCAAGATGGAGTCACTCTAGTTTGAATGCTTCTGATTAAGAGAAGCACTTCAAAACAAGTTAGATATATTTATTATGTAACTTATGTCAGTATGCCAACTGCAAAAGCAAAGTTGTGTTTTTCACCAAGATTATACATTGATAAACATTTTTTTATGATTAAACATGAACTCCGTGGACAATTTTATAAAGAATGTGATTTTTTTTGGAAACTGTAATATTAAAAGACATACTTGTGCCAGATTTTTCCTATGTTTTATATAATTATAACTTTTAAAACCAATTGTTTGGAATTTCCAAAGCTTTGACATAGTTCTAAAAAATCTTGAATAACTTAGCTCATTTCTAACATAAATGTCTACAAAAGGGAGGGAAGATTTAAAGCTTTCATTATGGAAAACAAAAATCATTATGGAAATGTCTGTCTACATATAAATGATCTAATATATCACTGATTAGGAAAGGATAATTGCACTTTTTCAAAACCTTACAAACTCTTTACAAATCCAGACACTCAAACAGGTTTACAAAAATTGCATTTTATCAGGAAACTTCTAGTCCTTCTAAGATAATTGGTATAGGAAGGTGGGCTCATATAATATCATAGAAAAGAAAAGCATGGATTTACCATCAGTCTGGAAAGTAAATAAACACTTCTGCAACAACTCTTAATGCCTATGGCACTTTTTCTGTATTGTTTAACCAAGTAACTTTATATTTAATGAAGTATTAACCCATTTATTAACTGTATAAATTAATGTTGGAATGTCCAGTCTCACTCAAATCTAAAAATATGAGTTTTAATACCTGTTTGAAGTATTCATGTGAAAATAAACATTATGCCAGTTGTTCATGAGGATAGTAATTTGTTCTCTACAAGAATGCTTGATCATGTCACACATCTTTCTCAAGATGGATAAATCTATTTTGTAGAACTTACTTGAAACATTTTGTTTTGTTGTTATATGAAAAGATTGTCCCAGCACTTTGAGAGGCTGAGGCGGGAGGATTACTTGAGCCCACGAATTTCAAAACCAGCCTGGGTAACATGGCAAGACCCTGTCTCAACAACAACAATAACAATAATAATATTAATAAAAATATCTGGGTGTGGTGGCTTATGACTATAGTCTGAGGCAGGAGGATCCTTTGAGCCCAGGAGGTTGAGGCTGCAGTCAGCCATGTTTGCACCACTGCACACCAGCATGGGTTGCAAACTGAGGTCCCAGAAAAAAAAATTTATATGTATTATATAAAGAGACTGTAAATGTACATGAAGTATAGATCACTTTATGACATAAGCTAAGTCAAATCCACCCAAACAATGTCAAAACTTAAAACAAAGGCTTTTCTTGTAATAGTGGGTTGGGCTTATATGCTCTTAGAGGGACTTGTATGAGCTACTGGCTTCATATTTGGAGCGAAAAATTCTTTCCACTGTCATTACTATATCTTTCAAATTAACTTTCCTTGGCTTAACTACACTCCACTCAAAGTCTTTTGTGAAAGTGGAGATTCTGATCACTCAAAACATTGTGTGCATACGTGTGTGCAGCTTTTATTGGAAACCCAGTTAGTTCTTTGAAGGTTTTAAATTATGTGGTTTCAAACTCAGGGAAATGATGATTTGTATCTATTTGTCTTTTTAATCATTACAGGTTTTCTTAGTTTTATTTCTAATGGCATCTTATCCATAATTTATGGTTCATTTCTAGCTCTAAATCTGAATAAATCCTAAACTGTGAAAGATCTCATTACATCTGGTGATGGCATTTATTTGTCAACAACAAGAAATAAAAACAGTTTCACTATGGTTTACACATCATACCACTTCTGATTTCCACGTATTTCTCGTCTATTTTGGATAAACAGCATAACTTTCTATCCCTGCTACTTCTTGATCAGCATATCTAATGAAAATGACTATTTTTAAATTAAGATTTACACCTAATACTTGTAAGATAACAAGTTAGTTGTAAAATATAAGATGCTTTATCTTTCAAAGTATGATATATGACATAGAAGAACTCCCAAATGCTTAGTATTATAATTTTTAGTCAGACATCAGGTTTCATATTTGGTTATAAATTAAAGTTATATGAAAGGGAACAGAATTTATATTTTTTAAATATCTTTTGAATTCCACTAATGTTTTTTTCCATTAATATTTATTTAGCATCTATTATATGCTACTTCTTGAACTAGGAACTGAATAAGCAATAAATATTTTATCCATTTGAACAGTGACTTAAATTACATAATATAGATACCACCAAAATACTGTGAAATCACAACATAGAGATGATTGTAAGTATGTATAAACATTAACTGTCTACTTTAACACCAGGCCATTTCATGGTGAAGGACATTAATTGATCTTAATCTTCAACTGACAACAAACCTTCTGTCCTCATCTGAGCTTTGAGTCCCCTAAAGACAAACCACGAGATGAGAGTGAAATACCATAAAAATGCTAAGTTTCAGGATATCGCTTCAGTGTACGTCAATAATGGTCTTTTAAAATCCTAAACTTCAAAATTAGGCTGATGTATTTATTTACTTGGTCCCAGGAAGAGAACAACTTCAGGCCATACTATGTGATGGCCATATCTATAAAAACTTATGTCATGAACAGGTCCCCAGAAACAAAGTAGGAGCAAAAAGCTGAGCCATGCATGCCAATTCCTCTCCCGAACTCATCAATTTGGTAATTTATTTCAACTCCTTGAAAGGAATAGGATGCAGCCTATGACCAGGAACTATTAAGGAATAGCATTTCTTGTGGATACTATAGGAGTATGGAAAACAGTGTACCACAAATATGTATGTAGAAAATCCTAAATGTTAGTGTAATTACTTTTATCTGGAAACCCCAGTACATCCACATCAGCCTTTAAACATCACCAGATATAAGCATGGTGCCACTATAGCTTAATTGATTGATCTTCTAGATTTCAGCACGAAAGCAGTTCTCTTTGCTCAGCTACTATCAAATCTGCACTATCAAATGTTTCAAACACTCTTGGTAGCCTTCCACTGCCATCATTTATAAGTAAAAATGAGAAAAAACATGTTTTCTACTCCTTGAGTAAATGAAAATTAACCAGTCTTTTCTCAAAAGAGGATAATTTGAAACTCTTCCTGACAGCTGAAATGTTTTATTCCTGCTGAGAACTGTTTAAAACTCTTCTCCAACAAAAATAACCATCCATAATTTCGTTATCTGTGCTACTGTTTATAAAATAATAAAGTGGAAACTTAAATAAACAAAGATAAATAAAAAGCAGATGTTTGACTAAAGCCTTACATAATTCTGCAGAACAGAGATTTTTAGGGGCAAAGGCTGTGGCAATTGAGAAATAAAGGCTTTTGTTTTGTTCTTTATGAAAAGATAAAGATGGTTTTTTTAAAAAAGGGAAAGGAAAGAAAATCCCAGTACACATTTGCACAGTGGCTTGTGAACATAACACTTTTTGTGGATCATATTTTAAATTCCCTAAGGAAACATCTAAGTACTCGCGACTACCTGACAATCATCATTCCCAAATATAGATCCAGTTGACTGTTGCTTCCATTCTCCACCACAGATGTTGTAAGACTTTTTCCAAGCTTTCCTCTCATCCTGGTGCCCTTTCTACTTAGCAGATGACCTATTTCCTGCCTTATCAAAAATAAATACTAGCATGTGCTTTCTCCAGTTCCCTCCCAACTACTTTCATCTCTTCACCTGGTCTTAAATCTTTCTGGTCTTCCTACTTTTTTCAAAAGCTAAAGTTGCATGTGGGGGCTCTGCCCCCATCTCCACATCATTGCTGTTTCCTCTCAATGTCAGCCCCATGTATTTTTCTTTTTTTTTTTTTTTAATCATACGGTGTTAATTTCTACTCCTACAGTAGTTCCTACCGTTATTATGCCTAGGTCTTCCTGATCCTTGAAACTCTTCCTCATTTACCAAGGCTTTAATACTACTGATCATGTCTCCTTATGAAATCTCCCCTGAGCTTCTGCAATGCTCCTCTATTGATTCTCTTAAATGTTTTTCTTTCTTTTTTTTTTCAATAGCTCCTTTTACTCTGGAGGTTTGTTAATTACTATTGTTCTATTGTAAACACCTTTCTATTTGACCTATAAATACTATCTCTGGATCATCTCAAATATAATCTTTACTTGACTGACTACCAGGAGTAGTAGACTTCCAAATTAATTCCCAACAGATTGTTCCAAGTCCTGTCTCTTTTGAGGTCCAGGCAAGCATTTCTAATTACTGACTAGACATCTCTACCTTGATATTCCATAGATACCTACAACTGAGCAAGCTTTAGGAAAAGGAACAAATATTTATTCTCCCACTGTTTCCATTTCCAACTGGAAAAACACCCCTTAGTATAAGCCTTTCTGTGGAGAGGCAAAACATCTGAATTAATAGGTGACTTTGATAGACATTGTGGGCCTCCAGGTCTCATTTGTTTTGGGGACCTGTTTGCCAGCAGGGAGCATATTTTCCATTCTGCTGCTTCATACCCTTAATTTTTGAAAGTTCAGACGATACGCTATGAGAGTTGGCATAAAGTTCTCTGGGAACACATATATAAAATGAATAATTGTGCCTGGTCAAAAGTAGAGGTCAGGAAATACCAATAAGAACCAGTGTAATTTAAAGACCAAGTACGTATTTTCCAGTACAAGGATAAAATCTCAGATATTTTAAATATAAGAAACAAAAAGTCAAGAATTAGCAGCAGAATAAATGATGTTTGAGGAAGATAAATCTTATTAGGTAAAGTATGAAACTTAACAGTAAGATACCTAGAAGCTTGAGGAGAATTTCTGTAAATTTAAGGATGAGCTGCAGATGAGGTCAGACAGGAAGACTGAAGGCTGATTACAGAAGTATTTGTATGCCGGGTTAGGGAATTTATATCCTAACTTGTAAGAACTGTGAAAACATAGGAGTCATTTAGTCTGTTATATAACAATAATTCATTTTGAATTTTCAAACAATATTATATCAGAATGGAATGGTAATTTAAAGCATCACTGTTATATGTCCATGTCTAAAAGCAGTACCTGATTTACCACAGAGCTTGTTAAATACAGTTGCTGGTTGACTACACTGAGAAAATGGGGTGCGGGAGGCCAAGACACTGTTGAGAATGGTTTAAGGGATAGATGATGAAGTGCTTTACCCAAGTGGTGGTAGTAAAGACAGAGAAAAAATAAGGTATGGAGTAGACTACTTGGAAAGATAATGGAGAACACTTTCAATAAGAAAGGGAGACTAACATGATGTAGTATTTGTTACATGTCAGAAACTCTGTTTTGACATGTTCATTATTTAGTCCTCACAATAATGCTGTGAGGAAACTGAGATTCAGAAAGATTTGATTTGCTAAAGCTGCACTACTAGGAAGTGGTAGAGCATAATTTAACTAATACTGTGGATTTAAATCATATACTCTTTTCACTTCAGCATTACTCCAATGGTGTCAATGTAGCTGTGCCCCTTAAAGAAAATGTCCATAGTTTCTGAAACTTGCTAAAATATTCTTAAGAAGATATCTTAATGGATTAGCAGCTTGTAGAGTGTGTGTTTCCTTGTCTGTTAGATATCCAAAGAGTCGTAACCTAAAAAGTCACCATACTTCAGCTAAAATCATGATCTCTCTTTAATACATTTTTTATTCTCCACAACTTCAACTAACATGCCACTCTCCAAGCGATACTCCTAGAAATAACTTCAGTCTCCCTAATTACTTTCACCCTCTCCATCCAGATAATCAACAAATCATGCCAACTTTTTCCTGGAAGTTCCTCAATCCATCTTTTCTTTTCCATGCTTGCACAGCTACAACCCCGGTTTAGACTCATCATTTCTCACACATATTACTGAAAATTCTTACTCTCTCATCTCCACCCTTGCTCCACTCCAATACATTTTTATCTTACTATGTCTCTATAAAATATATGAATCTAGCTTACTTAAATTAAGAAGAAAAACTTTTATTTAAGAAATAAAAAACATTAAAATTTTATCTTATAAGTTTTTCTTACAGAAAAAAATTTTACATTTCCTTTCCAAAGTAGTTGCAAGTAAATAAATGTAAACAAATACTAAATATAATTTTTTATTTAAATCTACCAAAGTTCATAGACCCTTGTGCATTGTGTCTTAGGATGGTTGAATATCAGTATTAGTTATAATTGTTATTTTACTTCATTATCTAATCCCCCTACAGTCTTATCAATACTCATTTCTGAAGTAAAAGAAATAAAGACACCTTTCTTCATTAAAGTCTACAACATTTTGACTATCCTCCCCACTGAAATTGTGATCAAAAATATGCCAATTTTTTTGAATGCTTAACAATGCTGTATGTCAGGTATAGGAAGTTGGAAGAAGAAAACTGGTGGAAAAGAGAGAAAGAGGAGGTAGTCAGTTTACAAACTTGGTTAAAAACAGCATTTATGGTCTAAACATTTTATTCCCACTTCTGCTTTATTGAAGGCTATAATTTTGTCCGTGAGGATTCAACAATTCTTGAGGATGTAATTATTTCTATTTCTTCTAGATTTAATATGCAAGATTTGAGATAACTGAAGATTTTGTTTATTAAAGAGAATAACTTTAAATAAAAATCCAAGATACATAGTTATTTAAAAATTTGATAAAGCTTTATCAAACCCTAGTCTTTTGGTTTGATTAAAGTATACCACATTTTTGGCCAGGCGCGGTGGCTCACGCCTGTAATCCTAGCACTTTCGGAGGCCGAGGCGGGCGGATCACGAGGGCAGGAGATGGAGACCATTCTGGCTAACACGGTGAAACCCCGTCTCCACTAAAAGTACAAAAAATTAGCCAGGAGTGGTGGCAGGCGCCTGTAGTCCCAGCTACTCGGGAGGCTGAGGCAGGAGAATGGCGTGAACCCAGGAGGCGGAGTTTGCAGTGAGCCGAGATCACACCACTGCACTCCAGCCTGGGCAACAGTGCAAGACTCCATCTCAGAAAAAAAAAAAAAAGTATACCACATTTTTTTTCTTATGGCATTCAGTACATAGTTACCAGAAATTTTGCTCTCTACAGTAACTAATTCACAAAATAATCATCAAAAGAATCATTAAAAATATTTACAATTCAAGTTTTATTATTAATGACTGCAACCATAAATTCAATTCCACAAAGCTACTATGCTAAGTATATATTGTCATTTTCTAATAGGTTTTTTGTTTTGTTTTGTTTTGTTTTTTGAGACAGAGTCTTGCTCTGTTGCCCAGGCTGGAGTGCAGTGATGCAATCTTGGCTCACTGCAGCACCCGCCCCCAAGTTCAAGTGATTCTCTTGCCTCAGCCTCCCAAGTGGCTGGGATTACAGGTGTTCACCACCATGACTTGCTAATTTTTGTATTTTTAGTAGATACGGGGTTTCACCATGTTGGCCAGGCTGGTCTTGAACTCCCGACCTCAGGTAATCCACCCACCTCAGCCTCCCAAAGTGCTGGGATTACAGGCTGAGCCCAGCCTATTTCTCAATAGTTTATTTCGCTTAACTTTTACTTAAGGTTCAGAGGTACATGTGGGAAATTTTTATGTAGATAAACTCGTGTCATGGGATTTGATATACAGATTATATTATCACCCAGTAATAAGAATAGTACCCAATAAGTATTCTTCCTGATTCTTTCCCTCCTCCCACCTCCCCCATGAAGTAACCCCCAGTACCTGTTGTTTCCTTCTTTGTGTTCATACGTTCTTATCATTTAGCTCCCACTTATAAGTGAGAACAGGTGGTAATTGGTTTTCTGTTCCTGAGTTAGTTTGCTAAAGATAATGGCCTTCAGCTCCATTCATGTTGCTGCAAAGGACATGATCTCATTCTTTTTCATGGCTGCATAGTATTCCATAGGGTATATGTATCACATTCTTTTTAATCCAGTCTATTGTTGATGGGCATTTCAGTTGAATCAATGTCTTTGCTATTGTGAATAGTGTTGCATTGAGCATTCATGTGCATGTATCTTTATGGCAGAATGTTTTTATATTCCTTTGGGTATATACCCAACAATGGGATTGCTGGGTTGAATGGTAGTTTTGTTTTTAGTTCTTTGAGGTATTGCCACACTGCTTTCCACAATGGTTGAACTAATTTGCATTCCCACCAGCAGTGTATAAGCATTGTCTTTTATCTCCAACCTTGCCAGCATTGGTTATGGTTTGACTTTTTAATAAAAGCAATTTTGACTGGAATGAGATGGTATCTCATTGTGGTTTTGATTTACATTTCTCTAATGATTAGTGATGTTGAGCATTTATTTATATGCTTGTTGGTCACATATGTGTCTTCTTTTGAAAAGTGTCATGTCCCAAATTTGCATTTTCGACATTAAAGTTTACTTTTTAATAAAAAAAAAGTATCATGTCTTTTACCCACTTTTTAATGGTGCTGTTTTTTTCCTGTAAATTTGTTTGTGTTCCTTATAGATGCCGGAACCTTTGTCAGATGTATAGTTTGCAAATATTTTCTCCTATTCTGCAGGTTGTCTGTTTTTTATTGAGATACTTTCTTTGTCATTTATTGTTTTCCAAATATAAAAGCAAATATAAACACAAGGGATAGTTATGTTATATATAAATAAAGAAATGGTAACATTTTGCCTTTGTGTAGCTTCTATTGACCACATTCCAGGTTTAGAAGTCTTTAGAAGTCCTATGTCATTGCCTGTTTCTTTGGATTTCCATAAACCTCAGACATTTTTGCCATTCAGGTTCCAAACCAGTTTCTTCTTGTTTTGAACTTCCTAACTCAGACCAGCTATGTCACACAGTAAGAGAGACAAGAAGAATTGTTTTATCTCTGGGATAAATCAAACAATACTAATGACGATTACAGTGACTTCCAATGGAAAAAAAATGTATCAAATGGAAAAGAGCTGCTTTCAGTGACATCATATTATAAAAAGCAAATAGTTTCATTTTATTGGATTTAGTAAGAAGCACCTGACGTAGAGAACTTCATGGTGTTATCACCAATAGGGCATATTTATGGGAGCAGAAAAGCACTAAGCCTATCATAACAGTGCTGGCTGAATTTCAGAAAAATAATAAAACAACTCACTTGGGATTTCCAGGGCATATTTCTTCCTGTACTTTCATATTCTCATTTCCTTATTTGGGTACTCATGAAGTAGCATTCTCAACTGGAATCATTTTTTTCTTTATGATGAGAAAATCAAATCTCAGGCTAGAGGGCTGATATTTAATCATCCATAGAAAGAATTTTTTCTTATAGACAAATACATAATTAGAAAATTGACTAATGCTTTCTGTTTATTTACTAAATATCTTATTAACTTGGTTTCAGTTCTACCCATAGCAACAGTGTATATACTCAGAAATTTATTTAATAACATAGTGCAAAATTATCAAATTGTCCAATATTGACATTCTTTGGGCAAACCCAAGCCTTTTAACTATTATAACCTATAAGGGATAATTTAACAATGAAGAGGACCTTATTTACATACTCATAGTTCTACTAGCAATTCATACAAATAAATTATTAAAACAAACCCATGAGATTTTGTTTTGTATTGCCTTTTTTAAAAAGAAAATAAAATCTGCTGCTAATGTGATAAAGATATCACATGTAGATAAAAACACAGTATATATGAATAAATACTACAAATAAGTAAATCTCTGAATAAGCATTAACATACAAATGTAACATGTAATTATAATATACATGAAGACTAAAAATGTTAAGAAAAAGCCCAGCAAAAAGGTCCTAATTATAATCTTAATTCCATATAATATCTTGCTGTTTTAATCAAAATAATTTGACAACGGTATAACTAAGATTTTGTTTTTATAACTTTTTAAACGTTTTCCTATATGTATAAATCAGTAACTTTTTAAACATATTCATATCCATATAAACCAGTATCACAAACTACAAAACATATTATAAATCATACGTCTTATCTCAATTTGGCATTTGTGAAGCTTGAACTCATTGATAATAATAAATATTCAAATATAATTTATGTTTGTGCAAAATTTTGATTTTAAATGGTTTATATTTCTGTATTCTCTTTTGCTTGCTAAAAAAATTTAGACAGTGACTGAATTATTTTGAAATTTAGTATAACTTCTTTTATTTTATCTTTCCAATATCCAGAAAATGCTTTTTATCACAAGAGTTTATTTACACTGACATCACAGATGTTACTCTCTTCATGTTCATA
The DNA here is from genome assembly GCF_000001405.40 of Homo sapiens. Classification (NCBI taxonomy): domain Eukaryota; kingdom Metazoa; phylum Chordata; class Mammalia; order Primates; family Hominidae; genus Homo; species Homo sapiens. The sequence goes on from NC_000008.11 coordinate 78,040,488, forward strand.
GCATCTTGGAAAGTACTGAATATTTATTTCTACCTAGTTGGATGTATTGAGTCAAGAAGGTTTCGCCAACATAGTGAACATTGACTAGTTATTTGTATAATAACAACCACTATAAAACTATCTTGCTTAATGTATAGAGATACAATATAGAAAATTTCATTTTCGGTAAACTATAAATAATTTAATTTAATTGCATATAATTTGGAATGAGTGAGTGTATGTTTTCAATAATTTATTTAAGAAACCTAGGAAGGAGGATGAAATACTAACTCTGATATTTAAAAAAATGTTGTGATACTATTATATGTTGGGGTTCTCATTATACATTTAGGCTTTTCAATTTAGACTGCATATGGATTCAGATCGGTAAAAAAGTCATTCTGAGTATGCATCCTTGGTAAGACTATTGGTGGGTTAGACGCCAGCTTCATTTACAACCATGAAGTTCAGTTGACAGAATATATATAACCAAACAACAATTGTTAATAACTGTACAGAGCTTTACAGTTTGCGAGATGCTGTTGGATGATTATTTCATTTGTTGCTCACATCTACTATGTGATATAGTGCAGAAATCGTTATTATCTACATTTGGAAAAGAGATAATTGAACAATAAAGATGTTGCTTTCCCAGGATACCTGAAATAAAAGGCTGGAACAGGACATTGAACCAAGATCTTTGGACTTTTGCCTAGTGCCTCTTGCTCTACTAGGATTTCACTGCAAAGCATACTGAGATCATTCAAACATATGGCAATATTGTTTGGGGATGCAATATATCTAAACATAAACAGGCAACAAAAGAAAAAATAATCATCATATGGTTTATCAACTTTATGAAACATGTTTAAAAGCTAATGTCTCAGTTTTTGTATTTTTATGCTTTTAAGAAGGAAAAACTTCAGAGTAGATCATAAAAATGGATCAAAATATGAATGAAAAATATAGACAATGAAAATTTTTGATAGACAATGAAGAGGATTTTATTTACATTGATTTCAGTGAAACTGGGATTTTAAAAAATCCTCTTAGTAGACTTGAGATTAATTTCTTCCATTTCAACACGGATGTGATGATTCTGGCCTACCTTCACCCCATAGTGTAATGTATTTGTGCTCTTTGATATGGATTAAATATACCGTTTTGTAATGTATAGGTAATATCATTGTCTGCCTCCTTTGTGTTCGAGAAGAATATTTTCTTATTCCTTTCAGTTTTGGAGTTAAGACAGCCTACTGTTACCTCTTATATTCTCCATGAACACTATAGAAGGTAAAGCAACTGTTATTTACCAGCAGCTGTAGGCGTATGCACTACCTGAAACATTTTGTATGCATTACTTAAATCCCCTTAATTACTCCATAAGGCTGAAATTATTATCTTGATATGACAGAGAAGAAAAGTAAGGCTCATAAAAGTTAAGATTGTTTCAAATATCACATTATTAGTGCAAGAAGAATAAGCCAAAATTTAGGCTAAATTTTATGTTGAATTTTTTTAACTTTAAAGTCTATTCTTTTCCTGCAAGAAGATTCACATAATAGACATCATATTAAAGTATATCCTGTTTTCAATTACTTTCAATAGTAATAAACTTTTCAAAGGAAACAATCAACAAAGTGATGAGACAACTCATATAATGGGAGAAAATATTTGCAAAGTATGCATCTGAGAAGGGATTAATAAGCAGAATATATAAAGAGTTCAAATAGCTCTACAGAAAAAACCTAATAATCCTATTCAAATATGGACAAAAAATCTGGATAGACATTTCTGAAAAGAAGACATACAAATGGCAAATAGGTACATGAAAAAGTGCTCAACATCGTTGATCACCAGAGAAATGCAAATCAAATAAATATCTTTTGAAAGTGAATGTTTTAGAACAGTTTATAACATTTTTTGATAAAAATACAAGTCCACAATTGAACCAGAAAAGAAAGATAAAAAGAGAGAGCATGATAGAATATATTTTTCAACCAAGATGCTTATTTCATAAACAAATCATAGACACTGGGGGCTTGCAGCAGAAGCACTTGCTTAGCCTTATCTGTGGTATTCCCAGGATGATCAGGTAATGAAAAGTCAACATGTTGTATAGTGGATGTATATGCATGTTCATACATGTTTTTTTTAATATTTCTTTGAACGAAGGGATTTCCATCTATACTGACAGCCCTTATAAATATGCAATTAATAAATTATACTAAATAATTTGGAACTTCAAATGAACTTCAATTTTGGCTCAACATAAAATAGATTTCAAAAATGTACAAAAAATGTGTATATGTATATATATATATGTGAATATGTTTCATATAAAGAAAATGTCCACTGTCATGTTTTAAAAAAGAACCTCTGGAATTCAGTAACTTTATTCTTTCTCTATGAAAGGAGCAGTTTGCATCCTCAGGTTCCATATGTTCAAAGGATTGTTTCACATTCTTGACCCATTGAAGGAATAACCTAGCAAGTCAATTAACGTGGAATGAATGGACTTACGTGCAGATAGATGGTGTCTTCAGATCTTATGAGAAGATTTTGCATTTTGTCCTTCTAACCTATTTATAAATTCTAATTTTGCCTTAAAAGTTACAAATAATTCTAAATTATAGACTGTTGCTGACCTTTAAGGAAGCATCCTTTCTAAACTAAAAATAAAAAATACAAAAAATACAAAAGTGTCCTTTATCCTTCTCTGATTAAAAGATAATTTCAGTTATCTCACTTTTTGATAAATTTCTTCTTATCTAACAGTTCATGTATTTCTCTGTGGTAGGCAGAATTTGAAGATCGAACTGGTGACATTTACATTCTGGGGTTACTCCTATAATTACATGCCAAAAGGGAGATTACAGACCTGCACTTAGTCTAAATATATGAGCCATTTAAAATCAAAGAGTTTTATCCACTTGGTGGAAGAAGAGTAGAAGAGAAAGTCAGAGGGATCCAAAATGTGAGAAGAACTCAATTAATTCCTGTTGCTTTGAATGCTAGGTCCATATCAGAAGGAATGTGGGTAGCATCTAAGAGTAGAGAGTTCTCCCTCCTGATGACTAGCAAGGAAGTGAGACTGGAGACCATCAGCCACAACGAACTGGACTCTGGCAACACCTTGAATAAGCTTAGAAGTAGATTTTTCCCCAGAGTTTCCAGATAAAACCCAGTCAATGTGACACCTTGATTTGAGCCTGGTAAGACTCTAAGCAGAGTTCAGTTCAACTTGTTCAGAATTCTGATGTAATAAATGGGTATTTTTTCAATTGCTAAGTTGTGGTAATTTATTTTTGAAGCAAAACCAAAAAAAAGCCCTAATACATTAAGATTTCTTTTAAAAAGCTTATCTCCAGAATTTATTATTTAATAGTAAAAAGTATTAGTGAACTCTTATCATGTGTCAAGCACAGGACTAGACAATGGTAATACAAAGATGTGCATCACAGTCACTACTGTGAGGTCTTCATAACAGAAGAAAAGTAAAAACATAAACTGCTCCATAGAGTGATGACTGAAAAATGTGAATCATTTCAAAATATGAAGGTGTCACTAAGAAGCACACATTTATTTAATGGCTGTTTTATCTATGTGGTGAGGTTTTTGAAATTATTGAAATACTTATTTTCTCATGAGCTGATACATATTTCTAAAGACTTTCATTTCCTTTACTTATGACGCTTTGAATTGTACATTTTATGAATGCTATCTCCTCTATAGTCTTACAAAGTTAGTAATTTATTATGTAATGTATTGACTTTCATTGTCAGTCACTTAATCTCTATCAATAACGAACTCAAAGTATTTTCATTCCAAAGAAGGGCTTATGCATCTTTTTGTTTTATGGAGTTTCTAGCACCAGTATTCAACTGAGTTCAGGGAAGTATGCAATACATTCTGAGAACAAAATTTTGAAACTGAACAGAGATATGTACCCCATGGAATCAAGATGACATTTAAACATTGAGAAGAATAACATATTTAAAATTTTAAACGAAACATTACTTTGTAAAAGAAGGATGATTCATTCAAATGTTAATATGTAGACATATGGCTTCAGGCATATCATTCCCCATAAATAAAACATGCAAAGTGCTTTTATTCTACCCCCCAAAGGACCCTTTTATATAATTGATTGAGATATCATTAAAACCATTTTTTATAACATTAAACAAAAAATTTTCATACTATCTGCATTTTAGATATTTCTCCATGATGTGTCACAAGTTACTGAAATAGAGGTTACGTGTAAATATTAACCAAAAAGCAATCTTTTGTGAAATTATAATCTTTCTCTTCTGTACTTCTGTCTTTTATGTCTGTTTGGTATATTTGAAATTAGTTTAATACTCAACTTCTTAAGGACAAAAGACAGAAAGTCTGCCAGTTTCCAGTATGGCAAAGTGATGACTCTTACCCCCAGGCTAATGAGTTATAGTTTATTTCTTTGACCTCTTCTGGAAATTACTGTAAGATCATTTGAAGAGAAAGTTGAGTATTGTCATCATCCATTCTGATTTCACATTTTTCATTAGGCCAAATATATTCTAATCAAAATATTAAAAACAATGTTAAAATACCCTAAAACAAGCAGATTTTGAGATGATGGCACAGTCACAATATGATAAAAATAATGAATTAAAGAAAGCTTCCTATTAAAACTTTTTTATATAAAAAGAAAACCATACAGAATAAAGTAAATGAAGTGCTATTCATCCTTTGGTAGTCAGGCAATACATACTGGTTCAGTGTCTCCTTCAAATAAAGAGGAAATAGTTCAAAAAAAAAAAAAAAGAGAGAGAGAGGGAGGGAGGGAAGGAAAATCTTATATTATAGCAGATTATCTCCTATTGATTGTTGTTAGTGGGAAAATAAAAATTTCTCCATTTTAATAGAATTTTAGTAACTAGAAAATTGGCAAATAATTTTTCTTTAAGAGTCAATTGGATTAACTGATACAATATTTCATAGAGATGATTTCTGTAAATATGCGACTGATAAAGAATCATTTTTAAAAACTGGAATCATGACTTACCAATATAAAATGAACAAGTGTCAAATGTTAACACATGAATAAGTTAAGGAATCAGAAAGATGTTAAAAATGGTTCAATAGAAATCTGAAGACTCTCATTCTATGAGTCCAGCATTACCCTAATACCAAAACCAGACAGGAACACAACAACAAAAAAAGAAAACTACAAGGATATCCCTGATGAACAGAGATACAAAACATCTCACAAAATATCAACAAATTGAATTTAACAACTTATTAAAAATATCTTTCACCATGATCAAGTGGGATTCGTCCCAGGGATGCAAGGATGGTTCAACATAATGCAAATCAATAAATGTGATACATCACATTGACAGAATCAAGCACAAAACCCATATGATCATTTCAATAGCTGCTGTAAAAGCATTCAATAAAATTCAACACTTGTTTATGATAAAAAATCTCAACAAACTGAGTATTGAAGAAACACCTCAAAATAATAAAGGCCATATATAACAAACCCACATCTCAAATCAGACTGAATATGGAAAAATTAAAGGTCTTTTCTCCAAGATCTGAATCAAGACCAGAATGTCCACTTGGACCACATTTTTTTTCAATATGATATTAGAAATCCTGGCCAGAGCCATTATACAAGAGAAAAAATGAAAGTGCATCCAATTTGGAAAGGAAGAAGTCAAATTATCTTTGTTCACAATTGACATTATCTTATATTTATAAAACACTTAAGACTTCATCAAAAAACTATTATTAAAAACTGATATATTAATTTAGTAAAGATGCTAGGTACAAAATTAATATATAAAAATTAAGAGCAGTTATATATGCCAACAGCAAACAACCTGAAAAAAAAATCGAGAAAGCAATTCAATTTATGATAGCTACAAAAATACAAAGTACTACGGAAAAAATTTCACCAAAGAAGTGAAAGATGTCTACAAGAAAAAATACAAAACACTGATAAAATAAATTGAAGACTGCACCAAAAAAGGAAAGATAACCCATGCACCTGGATTGAAAGAATTAATGTTTTAAAAATGTTCATACTACCCAATGTGATTTGCAGATTTAATGCAATCCCTATCAAAATACAAATTACATTCTTCAAATAAATAGGAAAAAAGTTCTAAAATCTGAATGGAACTACAAAAGACCCTGAATAGCCAAAGCAAACTTGAGCAAAAAGAACAAGGTTGGAGCCATTACACTACCTGATTTCAAAATACACTACAAAGCCATAGTAACCAAAAATCATGGCACTGGGCTTAATAACAGACACATAGAACAATTCAAGAGAATAGAGAATCCAGAAATAAATCCACACATACACAGATGACTCATTTTCAACAAAGGCACAAAGAACATACATTGGGGAAGGACAATCTCTTTAATAAATGGATCTGGAAAAACTCTATAACCTTTGTAAAAGAATGCAACTAGACCCCCATTTCTCACCATATACAAAAATCAAATTAAAATAGATTAAAGACATAGACCTGAAATCTAAGACCTGAAACTATGAAATCTAAGGGACCTGAAATCTAAGACCTGAAACTATGAAACTACTAAAAGAAACCATTAGGGAAGTGCTTAGAATACGTCTGGGCAAAGAATTTTTGGGTGAAAGCTCAAAAGCACAGCCAGCAAAAGCAAGAACAGAAAAATAAGATTTCATCAAGTTAAAAAAGTTCTGCACAGCTAAGGAAACAATCCACAACCCACAGAATGAGAAAAAAATATTTTCAATTTATGCATCTGGCAAGGGAAAACTACCAGACTATATAAGGAACTCATACAAGTCAATAGCAAAACAAACAAACAAATAATCCAATTAAAAAATGCACAAAAGATCTGACCAGACATTTCTCAAAGGAAGACATACAAATGGCCAATAGAATCTTTTTTAAATGTTCAAGATCACTAATTATCAAGGAAATGTAAATGAAAACTACAATGAGATATCTCACCCCAGTTAAAATGGCTTTCATCAAAAAGACAAAAAAATAACAGATTCTCTTGAGGATATGGAGAAAGGGGAAAGTCATACACTGTTGGTGGGAATTAATGCAGCATGAATACAGCATGGAGGTTCCTCAAAAGGCTAAGAATAGAACTCCATGTAATTCAGCAATCCCACTACTGTGTGTGTGTGTGTGTGTGTGTGTCTATTGATTTCCTTTCTTTTGCGTGTGTGAGAAATCAATATATCAAAGAGATATCTACACTTCCTATTATAGCACTATTAACAATAGCAAAAATGTGGAACCAACCTAGGTTTCCATGAATGGATGAATGAATAAAGAAATGTCTTTTACACACACACACATAATGGAACGTTATTTGGCCACACAAAAAAAAATGAAATCCTACTATTTACTGCTACATGGATGGAACTGTAGGTCATTATGTTAAGTGAAATAAGCCAGACACATAAAGGGAAATATCACATATTCTTACTCATATATGGGAGTTAAAAATTTAGATCTCATGAAGATAGAGAGTAGATAGCGGTTACCAAAGGCTGGGATGGGAAATAGGGAAGGAAGGAATAAACAGAGTTTGATTAGTGAATACAAAAAGACAGTTAGGTATAAGGAAAAAAGATCTAGTGTTCGATAGTTCAGTAGGGTGACTATAGTTAACAGTAATCTATTATATATGTCAAAAGAGTCAGAAGAAAATAATTCAATAATTCAGTGTAAAGATAAATGCTTGAGGTGATGGATACTCCAATTACCCTTATTTGATCATTACACATTATACGAATGTATCAAAATATCACAAATATCCCTAAAATATGCTCACCTATTATATTATGTATCATTTTTTAAAACATCCAAAGACAGACACACACACAAACACACTCAGGAATGCTGAAATTATTTTGCGAATAAATGCACAATGATTAATATACAAAAAGCAATAAAATGCAATGTTTGGAATCATCTCTTGGTGTGGGGAGAATGTCATAAAAACATTCTGACCAGGCGCAGTGGCTCACGCCTGTAATCCCTGCACTTTGGGAGGCTGAGGCGGGCAGATCATGAGGTCAGGAGATCGAGACCATCCTGGCTAACACGGTGAAACCCTGTCTCTACTAAAAATACAAAAAATTAGCCAGGCGTGGTGGCGGGCTTCTGTAGTCCCAGCTATTCGGGAGGCTGAGGCAGGAGAATGATGTGAACCCGGGAGGCAGAGCTTGCAGTGAGCCGAGATAGCACCACTGCACTCCAGCCTGGGAGACAGGGCGAGACATGGTCTCAAAAAAAAAAAAATAATAAATAAATAATAAATAAATAAAAACATTCTGGCATCTCTACTAGAAAAAAAGTGTACTTGCATCTTTACCATTTTTATCACCATCAGCATTATAAAAGTTAACTTCTATCTCTAAGAATTTCAAGATAGAACATTCAGAAACAAGAGAAACAAATTCCTATAGAACTGGAAAACTCTAAGAGTATTCTGGACAATGTCCAGTATTCCATTGTAAGAATAGCCTGTAATCTTTTGCCTACTTCAAAGACTTCACCATTTTTTCAACACTATGACCCTTTTATTCTAGAAATATATTCTTGTATTGGAAAAACTTTTTTCATTTAATATTTACATTAGGTAACTGTCATTACAGGTTATTGAACATGCCAAGTTGAATAAGTTATGGATCCCTCAATCAAAGGATATTTTACTAAAGATATATAGAGTCAAGTGAATTATGAATTTCAGTGCAATGAGATAAATAATAGGTTAAAGGAATATTCTTAGAAGCAATAGTTGAGCTCAACACATGTATATATAAATATATATATATATATATTTCCACCTTGGTCTTTTTTAATATAAATTTAAGGGGTACAAATGCAATTTTGTCACAAAGATATATTGCATAATAGTGAAGCCTGGGCTTTTAGTGTAGCCATCACTCAAATAATGTATATTTTATCCATTAAATGATTTCTCATCATCCAACCCCTCTCACTCCCCAAACCTTGGGTGTCTCTAATGTCCATCACTTCACACTCTATGTCCATGTTTAAATATTACTTATTTCCCACTTATAAGTGAAAGCATGGTATTTTTCTCTCTGTTTCTGAGTTAATTTTTTGAAGATAATGGCCTCCAATTCTATCCACCTTGTTGCAAAAGACATGATTTCATTTTTTATGGATGAATAGTATTCTAATATGTGTATATACCACATTTTCTTTATCCAGTCATCCACTGATGGACGCTTGGGTTGATTTCATATCACTGCTATTATGAACAGTGCTGTGATAAACATTTGAGTGCAATTATCTTTTTCTTATAATGATTTTTTTTCCTTTGGAAAGATACTTAATAATGGAATTGCTGAATTGAATGGTAGTTCAATTTTTAGTTGATATATCTTCATACTGCTTTTCATAGAGGTTATACTAATGTACATTTCCACTAGCAGTGTATAAGTGTTCCTTTTCTCCACATCCTTGCCAGCACCTGTTGTTTTATGTCTTTTTAATAGTAGCCATTCTGACTGGTGTAAGATGATGTCTCAGTGTGTTTTAACTTGCATTTATCTGATAATTACTGATGTTTTTATGTGCTCATTGCCCATTTGTTATGGCTTCTTTTGAAAAATATCTATGTCATCTGCCCACTTTTTAATAGGATTTTTTTATCATTTCTTGTAAATTCTGGATATTAGTCCTCCGTCAGATACATAGTTTGCTAGTATTTTCTCCCATTCTGCTGATCATCTTCCCACTCTGTTATTTGTTTTGCTATGCAAAAGCATCTTAGTTTAATTGTTTCACTTGTCTGTTTTAGCTTTTGTCTCTTGTGCTTTTGAGATTTGTCATGAATTCTTTGAGTAGACCAAGATCCAGAAAAATTTTCCCTAGGTTTTCTTCAAGAAATTTTTATGGCTTCAGGTCTTACATTTAAGTCTTTAACTCATCTTGTGATTATGGTGAGAGATAGGGGAACATTTTTATTCTTCTGCATATAGCAATTCAATTTTTCCAGCACTATTTATGAAAAAGGGTGTTCTTTCCCCACTGTATGCTCTTGTTGGCTTTGACAAAGATCAGTTGGCTGTAGATATGTGGCTGTATCATGTATTATTTATTCTATTCCATTGATTTATGTGACTATTTTTATACCAATACCAGGTTGTTTGGTTACTATAGCCGTGTATTATAATTTGATTCAGGTAATGTGTTACCTCCAGCTTTGTTCTTTTTGCTTAGGATTGCTTTGAATATTCAGGTTCTTTTAGAATGTGTATGTATTTAAAAATTTTTTGGTAATTCTGTGAAAAATGATGTTGGTATTTTGATAGGCATTGCATTAAATCTGTATATTTAAGTAGAAAGTACAGTCATTTGAACAATATTAATTCCTCTGATTCATAAGCATGGGATGTTTTTCCACTTGTGTCATTTACAATTTCTTTCATCAATGTTTTGTAGTTTACTTTGAAAAGATTTTTCATCATCTTGGTTAAATGTATTCCTACATTTTATTTGTGTATTTATGTATTTATTATTTATTGTAGCCATTGTAAATGGATTGCCTTCTTGATTTGATTTTCAGGAAGATCATTATTGGTATTTAGAAATGCTACTGATTCTTGTATGTTGACTTTGTATCCTGCAAGTTAATGAATTTGTTTATCAGGTCTAGAGTTTTTGGTGTAGTCTTTAGGGGTTTTTTGGATATAGGATCATAGTATCAGCAAACAGAAACAATTTGACCACCTCTTTTCCAATTTGGATATCTTTTATTTCTTTTTCTTGCCTGATTGTTCTGGCTAGGACTTTCAGTACTATTTAGAATAGGAGTGGTGAAAGTGGGCATCCTTGTCTTGTTCTAGTTCTCAGAGGGAATGCTTTCAACTTTTTAAAATTCAGTATGATTTTCACTGTGGGTTTGTCATATATTACCTTTCTTATTTTGAGATATGTTCCTTCTATGTCTAATTTGTTGAAGTTTTTTTGTCATGAAAGAATGCTGAATTTGTCTATTGAATTTGTCAAATGCTTTTTATTTGTCTATTGAGATGATTATATGATTTTTGTCCTTAGTTCTCTTTATGTGATATATAACACTTATTGATTACGTATGTTGAACTATCCTTGCATCTCTGGAATAAAACCCAGTTGATCATGGTATATTATCCTTTTCATGTGCTGTTGGGTTTGATTTTGTAATATTTTGTTGAGAATTTTTGCTTCTATGTTCCTCTGGAATATTGGTCTGCAGGTTTTCATTTTTGTTGTGTCCTTGTCTGATATTTGTATCACAGTGACACTGGCCTTGTAAAATGAGTTAGGGAGAAATCCCTCCTTCTTGATTTTTTTGGAACATTTTTAGGAGGATTAGTATTAGGTTTTTTTCGTATATTTGGTAGAATTTAGCTATAAATCTATCGGATGCTGGGCTTTTTATTGGGATATTTTATTATTACTATTAGTTATTAAAATTATTATTATTTTATTTATTATGTATAATAAAATATATATTTATATTTTATTTATTATTTATTATATTATTGTTATTAATTATTAAAATTATTATTAATTTTCTCACTACTAATGAGTCTCACTACTCATTAATGGTCTGTTCAGGAATCTGGTTCTTCCAGATTCAATCTTGGGAAGCTGCATGTTTCCAGGAATTTCACCATTTCCTCTAGGTTTTCTAGTTTGTGAATGTTAGTTGTTCATGGTAATACTTAATGATCCTTTGTATTTCTATGGTATCAGGTGTAATAGCTCATTTTTCACTTCAGACCTTTTTTGGGGGGTTCTTCTCTCTTCTTGATTAGCCTAGTTAGTGGTTTTTCAATTTTGTTTATTTTATTAAAGAACCATTTTTTACCTTTTTTATCCTTTCTATTGTTTTGGGGTCTCTATTTCATTTACTTTTGCTCTGATCCTTGTTACTTCTTTTCTTCTGCTAACTTTGCTTTTTGTTTGTTGTTATTTTCTAGTTCCCTAAGTTGTGACATTAGGTTGTTAATTTATAATGTTTTCTACTTTTTGATGTAGACATTTAACGCTGTAAATTTCCCACTTAGCACTGCTTTTGTTGGATCCCACAGGTTTTGGTATTATTGTGTTTTGATTTTTATTTGTGACAAAAACATTTTTAATTTCTGCCTTAATTTCTTTGTTGACATAATGATTGTACAGTCTTTAAACCATTAAGAATAAGCCCCAGGGCTAAGGCCCATTTTCTCAGGAAAGAGAGGCATGACTTAAAATAACGAAGTTCATTGTTTCTTTTCCAAGTTTTGAATTTTAAAATAAACATTTCAAACTACACCGTGAATATTGTCTTAGAAACTTGATTTTCCAGATGAAAACAAAAAAGCACTTACAGAAAGAACTTGTAGTCTATTGCAGCAAGGTGCATTTTAAAATGAGAGAGAATGAAGAAGGCAAATGTGTGTGTGGGAGAAATGTGTGATAGAAAAACTAAATGAGAAAATATTGCTTTTGTTTCTCAGGAAAATATGATACTTCCAAGACAATGATATGAAATTAGCTGAGGAAAGGCCTAATCTAAAAATCATGGTCCTGAGAAGTTTGCAGGTCTTCTTGCTTATGTGTGGTGATTCTCTTAACTCTTTGGTTTTGGGACCACTTTATATGTTAAAAATTATTGGAACTTCACAGAGTTATAACATTTACCATATTAGAAATTGAAAATCTAGTATTTAGTGTATCCGAAATTCAAACAAAATTTTAATGCTAACATAAAAAATTTTAATAAAAAATTCATAAATTCCCAAAACAATAAAAGGGCTTTGATTTACATTTCATATATCACTTGAATTTTTGGTGTGATGAGACAGCTGGTTTCTCTTATTCATTTCCTCAGTAAACTACATATTTTTGTGATATGTCGTTGTGATTAAAAAATTTCAAGCCACACCCTGACATTTAGATGACAGAGACAGAAGTATTTTAATTGCTTTTTAAATATAATTGTAAATATTCTTCTATGTTACTATACCAACACTACACACATGGTATTTATTTATTTAATTATTTATTAAATTGTGATAAGAACAGTTAACATGGTATCTACTATCTTGACACACTTCTAAGTATACAATGCATTATTCTTAACTAAATGCACAATGTTATAGATTTATCTAGAACTTACTCATCTTGCATAATGTAAACTTTATACCTGATGAAAAGCAACTCCTTATTTCTTCCTCCTCGCAGTCCCTGACAACAATTACACTCTCTGCTTCTATAGTTTGACTATTTTAGATTCCTCATGTAAGTGGCATCATGCAGTATTTGTTCTTCTGTGACTGGCTTACTTTGCTTAGCAAATGTCCTCCAAGATTCAGTCATAGTGTTGCCTGTGGCAGGATTTTCTTCCTTTCTAATGCGGAATTAGCCAGACATGGTGGCTCATGCCTATAATCCCAGCACTTCGGGAGGCCCCTCCTCACCTGAGGTTAGGAGTTTGAGACAGCCTGACCAACATGGTGAAACCCCATCTCTACTAAATACAAAAAATTAGCTGGGCGTAGTGGCGCATATCTGTAATCCCAGCTACTTGGGAGGCTGAGGCAGGAGAATTGCTTGAACCTGGGAGGCGGATGTTGTGATGAGCCGAGATAGCGCCATTGCACTCCAGCCTGGGCAACAAGAGCGAAACTCCGTCTCAAAAAGGAAAAAAAAAAAAGAAAAAAGAAAAAAAGAAAAAGATCTCCTCATATCTAATGCTGAATAATATTCTAATGTGATATAAATATCACATTTCCTTTATCTATTCATCCATTAATAAACTTTTTTTTTCTCTCTGCATGGATAGGTTTATTGATGGATAAGAATTCGGGAGAGGGAAGCTGTGTGTATTAGGAATTTGGCCATTTCACTGGGAGACCCTCAATTGTTAATAAGCCTTTTTTTTTTTATACTTTAAGTCTTAGGGTACATGTGCACAACGTGCAGGTTTGTTACATATGTATACATGTGCCATGTTGGTGTGCTGCACCCATCAACTCGTCATTTAGCATTAGGTATATCTCCCAATGCTATCCCTCCCCACTTCCCCCACCCCACAACAATCCCCAGTGTGTGATGTTCCCCTTCCTGTGTCCATGTGATCTCATTGTTCAATTCCCACCTATGAGTGAGAACATGTGGCGTTTGGTTTTTTGTCCTTGCGGTAGCTTGCTGAGAATGATGGTTTCCAGCTTCATCCATGTCCCTAACAAAGGACATGAACTCATCATTTTTTATGGCTGCATAGTATTTCATGGTGTATATGTACCACATTTTCTTAATCCAGTCTATCATTGATGGACATTTGGGTTGGTTCCAAGTCTTTGCTATTGCCAATAGTGCCGCAATAAACATACATGTGCATGTATCTTTATAGCAGCATGATTTACAATCCTTTGGGTATATACCCAGTAATGGGATGGCTGGGTCAAATGGTATTTCTAGTTCTAGATCCCTGAGGAATCGCCACACTGACTTCCACAATGGTTGAACTAGTTTACAGTCCCACCAACAGTGTAAAAGTGTTCCTATTTCTCCACATCCTCTCCAGCACCTGTTGTTTCCTGACTTTTTCATGATCGCCATTCCAACTGGTGTGAGATGGTATCTCACTGTGGTTTGCATTTGCATTTCTCTGATGGCCAGTGATGATGAACATTTTTTCATGTGTTTTTTGGCTGCATAAATGTCTTCTTTTGAGAAGTGTCTGTTCATATCCTTTGCCCACTTTTTGATGGGGTTGTTTGTTTTTTTCTTGTAAATTTGTTTGAGTTCATTGTAGATTCTGGATATTAGCCCTTTGTCAGATGAGTAGGTTGCAAAAATGTTCTCCCATTCTGTAGGTTGCCTGTTCACTCTGATGGTGGTTTCTTTTGCTGTGCAGAAGCTCTTTAGTTGAATTAGATCCCATTTGTCAATTTTGGCTTTTGTTGCCATTGCTTTTGGTGTTTTAGACATGAAGTCCTTGCCAATGCCTATGTCCTGAATGGTACTGCCTAGGTTTTCTTCTAGGGTTTGTATGGTTTTAGGTCTAACATGTAAGTCTTTAATCCATCTTGAATTAATTTTTGTATAAGGTGTAAGGAAGGGATGCAGTTTCAGCTTTCTACATATGGCTAGCCAGTTTTCCCAGCACCATTTATTAAATAGGGAATCCTTTCCCCATTGCTTCTTTTTGTCAGGTTTGTCAAACATCAGATAGTTGTAGATATGAGGCATTGTTTCTGAGGGCTCTGTTCTGTTCCATTGGTCTATATCTCTGTTTTGGTACCAGTACCATGCTGTTTTGGTTACTGTAGCCTTGTAGTATAGTTTGAAGTCAGGTAGCGTGATGCCTTCAGCTTTGTTCTTTTGGCTTAGGATTGACTTGGTGACGTGGGCTCTTTTTTGGTTCCATATGAACTTTAAAGTAGTTTTTTCCAATTCTATGAAGAAAGTCATTGGTAGCTTTATGGGGATGGCATTGAATCTATAAATTACCTTGGGCAGTATGGCCATTTTCATGATATTGATTCTTCCTACCCATGAGCATGGAATGTTCTTCCATTTGTTTGTATCCTCTTTTATTTCATTGAGCAGTGGTTTGTAGTTCTCCTTGAAGAGTTCCTTCACATCCCTTGTAAGTTGGATTCCTAGGTATTTTATTCTCTTTGAAGCAATTGTGAATGGGAGTTCATTCATGATTTGGCTCTCTGTTTGTCTGTTATTGGTGTATAAGAATGCTTGTGATTTTTGCACATTGATTTTGTATCCTGAGACTTTGTTGAAGTTGCTTATCAGCTTAAGGAGATTTTGGGCTGAGACGATGAGGTTTTCTAGATATACAATCATGTCATCTGCAAACAGGGACAATTTGACTTCCTCTTTTCCTAATTGAATGCCCTTTATTTCCTTCTCCTGCCTGATTGCCCTGGCCAGGACTTCCAACACTATGTTGAATAGGAGTGGTGAGAGAGGGCATCCCTGTCTTGTGCCAGTTTTCAAAGGGAATGCTTCCAGTTTTTGTCCATTCAGTACTCTTAAGTGTTTTTCTGCACCTCAGTTATTGTGAATAATGCAGCAATGAACATGGGAGTATAGATGTAGCTTCAAATCCTGATTTTAAGTCTTTAAAATTGATACCCAGAAGAGGGATTGCTGGATAATATAGTATGCCTATTTTTAAGTTTTTGAAGACTCTCCATTCTGTTTTCCAGAGCAGCTACTCTATTTTACATTCCCACCAACAAAATACATTGTTTTGAATTTCTCCACATATCCTACAACATTTGTTATCTTTTTTTAAATAGTTGTCATCCTAAAATACATGATGTTATATCTCATTGTGGTTTTGAGTTAAAGAATGGGTAGGAAATTCTATATCCATGGATTAGAAGACTTAATGTTAAAATGTCCATACTACCTAAAGCAAAAAATTCAAGGCAATCCCTATCAAAATCTCAATGGAATTTTCTACAAAAATAGAAAAAAAGTCCTAAGATTTGTATGAAACCAAAAGGATTCCAAACAGCCAAAAGAATCTTGAGAAAAAAAAAAAAGTAAATCTGGAGGCAAGGATACTTTCTTAACCACACACTGTTTTATCAAAATCCATTCATTTAATTGTACTTTGATTGGATATTTTACCCATGCATTTTGTAACTAGTCATTTGCAAGATATTGGTTTGCGATGATGAAGAATAAAATAGTTACTATTATGGAATTGTGCCAATGCCTTGATTTATGCTGGGCAATCCCCTTTCTCCTGCCCCATTGCTTTTATATCATCAAAAACACTAATCTAGGAGATTTAATGATTCCTGTGTGCTCCAGTAGAGACATAAAAACAGTGAAGAGAAAGGGTTTTCAGAAGAGAAAAGTGGCAAAAAATAGGCTTCATGACTTGAGACTGGACTTCATCAGTGTGTGCCAGCCTGGTGTACAAATGAGCAGGTGGTCCCAGGAACATTTTAGTAGCTATCAGTGAAGGAATTTCAGAGATCAGATAAGATAAGCTAAACCTCTGAATAAAGCACCTAAGAACCAGAAATCTTCTTCCTTTGCCAGGATGAAATTTATACTTGCTGAAAATTTAAATATCTGCCAGACAGATGGGCAGGAGAAGAGGGAAGATAAGAATCAATAAATGAGCAGAAATTCAAAATTGGCTGAGATAATAAAATTGGCTGAGATAATGACACATAAAAGATGGCTTCAAATCTAAGAAGGAATTTAGTTATTTTAAATGCTCATACTTAGGGTTGGGTGATTTTTTTATTGTTTATTTGTTGTTTGTTTGCTGTTGTTTGTTTCATCCTCTGGGTATAAATATTAGCTCAGGAGATAAAATCAGTTTTTGAAAATAGCCAAACAATTGTTGTTTATTACAATTGACAGAATAAATATAGCCAACCCCTCTTACACATACAGCATAAGAAAAATAAGAGAGCTAGAAAGAGTATGACATGTGCATGAACTGGCTTAGAACAAAAGTTTTGGTGAGTAAATTTGTGTAAATAGTACGTCCTGTCTATATAGACTGCTCAAGACAGGCCAAATCTGCAAGATAAAACTCTAATACAAAATATCTACTTTTAATAATACAGACATAAAATAATTTTTGGTATCTCTATAAAAAATAGGAACTCACTTTTCCCAATATCTGTGTTTCCACCCCAATAATTTATTGACTTGGAAACTAGGAACAAAACATATGTCAATAAGAAGATTTGCTAATATGGTAATTTTTTTGAATACAACTTTAAAAATTTTAAGAACAAATTCTTTTATCCTCAAATAAAGCTTCTCTGTAACTTGCTTTTCAGCTATCTATAATAAAAATTACTTTCCTTTACAAAAATTTTTATTTCATTTAACATATTCTTTCCTCAATCCGATTCCTTTTGATGTAAAAAATTCCAATCTATTATATCTAAAACACCACGTGCCAAAAATGAAAGTTTTGTGTATACACTAACCTTTAAACACACACATACTTATATCTATATACATATCAATATCTATATCTATCTAAGCTTAGACTATAAGAAAATCTCAAATTCAACTGCTAATAATTATTAATTCAATTTATTATTATTGTAGTTTATTAAAATTTCTTTTAATTCTCCTAATTTATATCCTAGATGTACAAAAATGGAATGAGAGGAAGTAGGTCCAGTTATTGCTTTAATTGATTTTGGAGTCATCTCCAGAATATATGTATATTATAACTGCCTTTGAACATGAATGTAAAATTTAATTAAGACTCAACATGTACTCAGTAAGTGATATGGAATATTTTAAACTCCTTGTCCAAAGAGTAACACATCTCAGAAATATTTAAGCCATTCAGAAGCTTCTGTGAAAAAGTAGCAAATTACCTTTATAAATATAAATTAAAACGATATATACAAAGATATATACTTTGCTAAGTATTATGAAACAATCATAAGCTTGTAGAAACTTGAAGAATCTCTAACCAGAGATTACAGTAATACCACAAGTGCAAAACTACTAAGATAAAAAAATCTGAGATTTACTAAAGGAAAGATAAAGTTGGAAGCAAGATACTCAGGATGTAAATTGAGAAGATTTCAGTATACTATAACAAGAAGTAGAATTCATTGCAAGGTTTGAAACAGCAGTGTCACTTTGACAGTTGGGTTTAGAATCATTCTGAGGCAGCATTGCAAATAATGGATTGGAAGGAATGAAGGCTAATGAAAAAGACATAATTTAGGAAGTTATTGAAACATTTCTCATAAGAAGCAAGGAAACTCAGACAAAAGCAGTGGGAACTAAAGGAAGAGGATGTATTTAAGTGTATTTGGAGGAAGAATTAATATGACTTAGTGATTACCATATTTCACCAATTTGAAGATGTGTGTATTTTATATTTTAAAATCTTTTAACTCTAACAATATCTTCCAAACAATGTCTTATAATCACTAAAGGACAGGTGGCTATCATGACATAATTATATTAAAATATGATTTCCAAAAAAGGAAAATTCATAATTCACATGCAATATAAAATTAACACATGATTAAGATTTCTGCAATTCATAAATTAATAAATAAAGCAGTAAGATGTTAAAATCACTTCAACAAGGAATTTGAAGAAGAAACATATATATTTAAGCAATCTGGAATGCTAAAATGAGTGTACTAATAGATGTAAAACTGGTAAATATCTTATAAGACAATAAAGTATAATGGGTGGACTCATTTTTATCACTAGGCGGAAATTTATCTCTACCAGAAAAAATAATGTTTGTTTTTATGGATAAATTTGTGTCCTTTGTTGTCTTTTTAACTTCTACCTCAGTATCATTCTGGAAGAGCCTAGGTAATATAAAGACAAACACATGTGTACACCTTCATAGAATCAACTAATCTGCAGAAAGTCTAATAGGTAACTCTCAGCCCTGCACTGGAAATGATACCTAATAATCACTTTTGGCATTTCTAAGTCTGGACAATTTTCCCCGACAGGTGTCATTGCCTGGAGCATGCTAAAATATGAAAATCACCAACCCCAAAACGTGTTATTAAGATATGTCAGAGTCTTGCAACAAGATCCCAGACACCAAAGTAGAATATTCCAATAATCAGTAGGAATCAATTGGTTACTTGAGAGGAAGATTAATCAGATGTGTTAGCAGCATTTCTGAACTTCAGCTAGTGACTGAAAAGCTGACTTCAAAACTCAACAGCACCATCAATTGATTGGATACAAATGATAGCTACACTTCATTCCAGAACACCGATCATACGATCTTCTCAAACACACATGGGACATTCACCAAAATAGATCACACTCTGTGCCACAAAACATACCTTAATAAGTTCAAAAGAATAGAAATCATACAATGTTTTCTCTCAGACCAAAAAGAAATTAAACCAGAAATCAATAACAGAAACATAGATTGAAAAACCCCAAATATTTGGAGATTAAAAACCACACTTTTAAATAAAACATAGGTCAAAATCAAGACAAATTTTTAAAATATTTTAATGTAAGTGAAAACGATGAATCCACAGCCAACATCATACTTACTGGGCAAAAGCTGGAAGCATTCCTCTTTAAAACCAGAACAAGACAAGGACACTCTCTATCACCACTCCTATTCAACATAGTGTTAGAAATCCTGGCCAGAGCAATCAGGCCATAGGGGAAAAAAAAAAAAAATCCAAATAGGAAGAGAGTAAGTAAAACTACTTCTGTTTTCAGACAACATGATTCCATATATAGAAAACCCCATGGTATCTACCCAAAAGCTCTTTGATCTGAGAAACAACTTAGGCCAAGTTTCAGGCTATAAAATCAATGTACAAAAATCTTCAGTATTTCTGTACACCAGCAGCCTCCAAGCTGAGAGCCAAATCAGGAATGTAGTCCCATTCACAATTGCCACAGAAAGAATAAAATACCTAGGAATAGAGCTAACTAGGGAGGAGAAAGGCCTCTACAGGAAGAATTATGAAACACTGCTCAAAGAAATCAGAGATAACAGAAAAAAGCATTTCATGATCGTGAATAGGAAGAATCAATATCATTAAAATGGTCATACTGTCCAAAGCAATTTACAGATTTAATGCTATTCCTGTCAAACTACTAATGACACTCTTCACAGAGCTAGAAATAACTATTTTAAAATTCATTTGGAACAAAAGAGGAGCCTGAATAGCCAAGGCAATCCTAAACAAAAAGAACAAAACTGGAAGCATCATGTTATCTGACTTCAAAATATATTATAAAGCTACAGTAACCAAAACAGGATGGTATGATACAAAAACAGACACATAGACCAATGGAACAGAATAGAGAGCCCAGAAGTAAAGCAGCACACCTACAACTATCTAATCTTTAACAAAGCTGACAAAAGCGATGAGGAAAGGACTCCTTATTCAATAAATGGTTCTGGAATAACTGGCTAACCATATGCAGAAGATTGAAACTGGACCCTTCTTACACCACATAAAAAAATCAAGACTTAAATGTAAAACCTAAAACTGTAAAATCTCTGTAAGATAACCTAGGAAATACCACTCTGTATATAGGACCTGGCAAAGATTTCATGATTAAGATGCCAAAAGCAACTGCAACAAAAGCAAAAATTGACAAATAGGAGCTAATTAAACCAAAGAGCATCTCCACAGCAAAAGAAACTTTCAGCACAGTGAACAGACAACCTACAGAATGAAGAGAAAATACTTGCAAACTATGCGTCCAACAAAAGTCTAATATCAAGATTATTTAAGGAACTTACACAAATTTACAAGAGAAAAACAACCCCATTACAAGTGAGCAAAAGACATGAACAGACATTTTTTTAAAGAGACGTACATGAGACCAGCAAGCATATGGAAAAATGCTCACATTGCTAATCATTAGAAAAATGCAAACCAAAACCACAATGAGATACCATCTAATACCAGTCAAAATGATTATTATTAAAAAGTCAAAAAACAACAGATGCTGGCAAGGTTGCAGAGAAAAGGGAATGCTTATACGCTGCTGATGAGAGCATAAATTAGTTCTGCCATTGTGGAGAGTAGTGTGGTGATTCCTCAAAAAACTTAAAACAGAATTTCCATTCAACCTAGTAATCCCATTATTTGGTATATACCCAAAAGAATATAAATCATTCTACCAAAAAGACACATGCATGCATATGTTCATCATAACGCTATTCACAATAAAGACATATAATCAATCTAAATCCTGTTCATCGGTAGACTGGATAAAGAAAATGTGGCACATTTACAACTATGGAATTCTACACAACCATAAAAATGAAAAATATCATGTTCTTTGCAGCAGCATGGATGAAGCTGGAGGCCATTATCCTAAGCAAACTAACACAGGAACAGACAACCAAATACTGCATATTCATACTTATGAGTGGGAGGTAAATAATAACTCATGAACACAAAGAGGGGAACAAGCGATTCTCCTGCCTCAGCCTCCCAAGTAGCTGGGATTACAGGCACCTGCCAACACACCTGGCTAATTTTTTTTGTATTTTTAGTAGAGACGGGGTTTCACCATGTTTGGCCAGGCTGGTCTCAAACTCTTGACCTCAAGTGATCTGCCTGCCTCAGCCTCCCAAAGTGCTGGGATTACAGGTGTAAGCCACCGCGCCCGGCTTAAGTGTATATTATTGAATGAAAGAAGCCAATATTAAAGGGCTGTATAGTGTACAATTCCAATTATATGACATTCTGAAAAAGGCAAAACTATAAAGACAGTAAAAAGATGAGTGATTGTCAGGGTTTGAGAGGAAGGAGAAATAAATAGGCAAAACACTGACAATTTTGGGGGCAATAAAACTATTTGCCATGATACTATAATGGTAGACATACATCATATATATATATAATAGTTATATATAAAATAAATGATAAATATATATAATGGTATCAACATATCATTATATATTTGTCCATATCATAGATTTCAAGACAAGGGAAGAGATTTGTGAATATGGGATTGTTCAGGAAAGGGAGGTAGTGAGAAATGAAGAAAACTGAGGTGAGATTTTGATAAACTATTTTGAGATATAGAAATTAAGAAGAAAATAATACTCTAGCATTAGTAGCTATGACTTCGGTAGAGTAACCAGGTTCCAACCAAATTCAGGCTTTATGATCAAATGATAGATCAGGAGGTAATGAAATATTCTAATTGGCTGTGAAAATTGAGTTATGCTTTTCCCCAAACCATATATTAAATAAACTCACTATGCCCAATTAACCAAAATTAATTTAATTAATTTAAATGAATTTATTTTCAGTTGAAAATGAATAGACATTGCTAAATTTGATTTTTTTGGTTCTTTTTATTACATATGTAGAGTGTCTATTCCTTTTTATACACTTTTTTGTATGCATGTGCCTAATGTCTCTTTTAAAAATTACTACAATTGTGCCCCTAACATCAAATACATATTTCCATATCAACGCTTATCACAATGCACTCTAATTTTCTGTTTACTCATCAGTTTTCTTCCATTAGAATCCTTGGTTCTTGACTGTTCTAACAGTGTCTTAATGTTTTACCACCAGAAATACAACACAGTGTCTGACATAGTGGATGCTCAATATGTGTCTTTTTAAAGTATATGTATGAACTATTTTCTATTACTGTACTTAGTCAGGTAAGGGCCATTGCATGAGTTATAACAGGGGTCCTCAACCCCTGGGTCACAGACTACAACCAGTCCCTGTCCTGTTAGGACTGGGCAGCACAGCAGGAGGTGAGCGACTGGTGAGTAAGAGAAGCTTCATCTGTATTTACAGCTGCTCCTCATCACTCACCTTACTTCAAAGTACTGCCAGAGCTCCACTTCCTGTCAGATTAGTGATGGCATTAGATTTTCAGGTGTGAAACCTATTGTGAACTGTGCATGCAAGGGATCTAGGTTGCATGCTCCTCACGAGAATCTAATGCCTGATGATCTGTCGCTGTCTCCCATCACCCCCAATAAAATAATTATTTTAATGACCTTTCAAGATAGGTGACATTATATCTAATTTGTTGATGGGGAAACTAGTAATTAAAAAGTATACATGATTCTCTACAGATCACACAACATTTAAGTGTTTCTAAAGTTCCTATTCTTTCCTCTAGCTCAACAGTCCCCAACCTTTGTGGCACCAGGGACCAGTTTCGTGGAAGACAATTATTCCATGGACTGGTAGTCAGGTGGGGTTGGGGTGGTTTCAGGATGTTTGAAGCACACTATATTTATTGTGCACTTTATATTATTATTATCTTGTAATATATAATGAAATAATTATACAACTCACATAATGTAGAATCAATGGGAGCCTTAAGCTTGTTTTCCTGCAACTAGATGGTCCTAGTCAGGGGTGATGGTCCAATTTAGGGGTGATGAGACCATCCAGTTGCAGGAAAACAAGCTCAAGCCTCCTACTGATTCTACATTATGGTGAGTTGTATAATTATTTCATTATGTATTACAACTTAGTAATAATAGAAATAAAGTGCACAATAATAAATGTAATGTGCTTCAATTATCCTGAAACCATCCCAACCCCACCCCACTACCAGACCATGGAAAAATTGTCTTCCACGAAACTAGTCCCTGATGCTAAAAAGGTTGGAGACCATTGAGCTAGAGGAAAGATCAGGAACTTTAGAAACACTTATATGTTGTGTGATCTGTGGAGAATCATGTATGCTATTTAATTACTAGTTTCCCCATTAACAAATTAAATATAATGTCACCTATCTTGAAAGGTCATTAAAATGATTATGTTTTATATGCAAATAGTGTAGTCCACTTCTGATGCATAGTAATTGCTCAATTGATAATAACTTTTATTATTGTTATGATTAATATATATTTTTTCAAGGACTAACTCTTAACCACATAGTGTCCTGTGGGTACAATTTCCTCTTTTTATTTGACACTAATTAACAAAACGCTTATAAAGAATTGACTATATGAAAAAAATGGTGTAATCTCTGACTAGAAAGGACACCATGGACTAAAGTGTCCTCAATCATTCTCAGCCATGGTCTATCTACTTGGCTGTAATAACAGAAAAGAAATTATTTGGTAATAAAAATGTTGTCATTTTCATCCAGTTCTATATCCTCAATCTTATTCCACATTCTCAACCTATATCACATTGTTCCTACATAAATCCTAGACTGGCAATAGAAAAACTTGAATTCAATATGGATATAGAGCTCTGAATTAGAAGAGCTAATAATTCCTCTTCCTCTTTAAGGAAACATTTCTACCTGATTCCTGAAACTGATATCAGTTCCCAAACCTGAGTTCCAGAGAGCACATCTCAGGCCATGTTTTTGCTTCTGTCTTGCTTACTGCTTAAGGTTTTTCGTCTTAACTTGAGGCTTCTGAATTCTTCTAAACTTGAGGCTTCTGAATTCAGGTAATAGCTTGACCAAGAATATTTCTTTGGCTCTGTCTCCGACTCACAACCATAGGTCTCTTAAGTAACCTCTAGGGCCTTTCTAGAAATTAAGATTTTCGTGCTTACTCATCTCCTATGTTGAAACTGACATCAATGCAAATCCATCAGTACCAAATGAAAGCATGAAGTGAAAAAGTATAAAGGAAATAAAAACTCTATGTCTACAAATGTATGGGAAAGATACTATGTCCATAAGCTATAGGGTAAAACTAGATCAAATACTAAGAGATCACTATTAAGATAAATAATTCAAATAGAGCTGGTTGTGGAACTAAAAATAGTGAACAAGTTAATATCCAAACTAAAGAAGAGATTGGAAAATAATACATAATCTTCTGGAAACAAAATTGTGGGTCTGTGAACTATCTTTATTATTTTTTAAAAGTTCAAAAACATTCAGCAGCAATAAAAGAAATAAGCATTTATTCTGCTAACGGTGTTAATTCTGAAAAATATGTAATTGAGGGAACCTAGCCAAATCATAAATAGAACAGATAAAGTCATTCTCAAGTAAGAATGGTATTGAAACACTAAGATTTACTGATTTTAAACAAAAAGTTTACCTAGCATGATCTGGTTTGGCATTTACTTGTAGCCATTAGCAGTTGACATTGATATTAAACAAATCCTTCATTAGGGTTGTAGCTCTATAGAAAAGGATTGCTTTCTGGTGTTTACTTTTTTTTTTTTTTTGCACAGAATTTAAACAGTTTGTCTATTTCAGCTCTTTGTGAAGCATCAGGAACTTGTCCTTGCCAATTTTGGCTTTGCAATTGGCATTTCTTTCATCAACTTTCTTTTATTAACTCACTGGTTTCTTGGAAGAATAGTCTTATCTTCTTAGCTTTATTCGTCTATGAAGATTTAAAATATATAAAAGCAGACTTCAAAAAAACACAAAAAGTTGAAGTCTGAAATTTACAAAACAAAAAAATTGATAGAACTAAAGTAAACTGGTCATCAAAGATCAGGTGAAAGGCTAAATACAGATGAATACAAAGAGGTCACATAGTGAGCTGTATCCAATCAATTCATTCAGTTCCCATCCAAAAAGTGAAGGGAAATACATGTGCCCATTATTCGAAGTTAGGGCAAGAAGATGCCTATGATAAATGCCCTTATTCAATAAAATAAAATAACTAAAGCATTCATTGGTATAGTTAGCCTGTTGCTAATTAAGAATGATAAGAGTATGTAGGAGGCCGGGCACGGTGGCTCATGCCTGTAATCCCGGCACTTTGGGAAGCTGAGGCGGGCAGATCACGAGGTCAGGAGATCAAGACCATCCTGCCTAACACGGTGAAACCCCGTCTCTACTAAAAATACAAAAAAAATTAGCCGGGCCTAGTGGCGGGTGCCTGTAGTCCCAGCTACTTGAGAGACTGAAGCAAGAGAAGGGCATGAACTGGGGAGGTAGAGCTTGCAGTGAGTCGCTATTGCGCCACTGCACTCCAGCCTGGGCAACACAGCGAGACTCCGTCTCAAAAACAAAACAAAAGAATATGTAGGAAACCAATTCATGGATGTTGCTTCAGCTCTTCAGGCTGACACTAACTTAGCTCTAAGAACTTCAAAAATTACCATTGACCTATGCCTTTTCTACAGCCCTCCAAAAAGTCAGTCTCCAGGGCATTCTTACTGGAAAGGCCTTGGATATGATACACATTTCTTTCTTCCAAGACATAGTACAAACTCTTGCTGGCACAGCAGCCTCACTGTAACCTCTTCATTTGTATACTGGGAATACTAATACTTGTCATGTAGGATTAATTGGTATAATATTCATAAAATACTTTGAGTTTCTCAAATAGAGGATTCTATAAATATGAAATATTAGCATTACTCTGGTAGTATGTAAAGGTACAGTTACTAAACAATTGAAAAATCAGTGATCCTTTTCACCAATCCATGGATAATGGCTATATTGTATTACTGTAAAGTGCATGGAATGCCTTACTAAAATAAGAGCTGAAAAGACATTTTTTGGTTCAGGTGCTAGTAGCATATTTTCTTTCTTCCAAGCCAAATACAGAACATTATAAAGAACACTAAAAATGGGCTAATCTGTAGGGATTATTCAGCACATAAGATGCATGGATCCTAAGGGATAGTGTTGTAGAAAGCTAAAACCTCCTCTAATAAAAATTTCTACTAATTTATAAAAATATAGCTCAGTGGTTTCTCTGACTTTTCTCTAGAGAACTCTTGCTATTTTTTTCTTATTCGTGTAAACTTTGAAATTTTTTATCTACCAGATGAATATTTATTACATAATGATGTCATTTCACTTTCTATTAATATGTGTTAGTTGGTTCCTAATGAGTCAGAACTAATCAACATGCCTTTAAATAAAATTGTAGTATTCAAAAAACAATAAGAACAATAGTAGCTGCAGAAACATAAAAAAGAAAAGTATATTCTTACCAGTGCATTCTATTATGCATAAATTTATTGGTGTTTTTATTTATACAGAAAAATGGAAATACCTTTATTAGCTAAAATGCTTCTAAACCTAAATAACTCCAGTTTTGTAATCAATGCTGTAAGGGCTAAATCTGACTTCAGGATAATGCCTCCTATAACAAATGCTTTTCTTGAGACACTGTATAGGTAATATAGGGCTTAAGAAGTGCCTAGTACTCTTTTAAGTGTATAAAGTATATCAACACACTGAATCTTTACAAAATTCCTATGAGATAAACTATCATTATTACCATTTTTATAGATGAAGAAATTGCAACACCCAAGAATGAACTCATCTCAGTCACCAAATTAATAAGACAAAGAGTCAAAATTCTTCCTATGAGTATTTTTTATCTTTCCAAAATTTTAGCAAATATGGTTAGCACAAGTTTAAATGTGAGAGAAGCATTTGTGGAAAAGTCAAGTAACTTCTGGTTTTTGTTCTGATGCATAAAGGCCATGGATGCATTCACATACCATTTTTACAAGAAAAATCTGAACAAATTGAAAGTCAATGAGAACTGAGATCACAGGGCACATGATCAACCAGAATTCTGAAGAGACAGGTGAATTCAGAGTTATAGCCAATTATTTACCTGAAACAGAATCCACTGAAGCCATAAGCAATTAAATTATCATTTTGAACTGTTGGAGGCTGTGTTGGACTAGCATGAGGATGAGAAATCCTGGGAACCATAGGGCCTCCCCATTTTTAGGTTTTATCCCCCAGAACATTAACAAGTTCTCATGGTCAAGAACCAAAAAAGATTCCCTCATGACTCTGACAGAGAAAGCAAAAGAGTAAACATCGTGAATATTCCCAGAGAGTGCTCCATAACAAAGTTTTACTTTCCATGGAAAATGATTTTACCAGAGCCTTATCCTAGTTGGAGAAGAACATTACTTCTACAACAACTCTCTCTAGACCTCCTGTCACTCCTAAAGGGGAAGGAAGAAGCTATCCTACTGAAAAAACACTTGTGAAGGGCACAGCACAGAGGCACAGTCCCACTAAAACATTGGGATGCCATCATAAGATTATAGAACTCTCCTTGCCCCCTACTTTACCACAATACCAATAGTACTCCAGCATACAGCAGTGGACTCCAGCTGAAAGGATGCAAGGCACAGACTATAGCTGCTGAACAGTATTTAGGAAAGCCCAAAGACAACGAGGGAGGCCAAAACAAGGACAATAGAGGAATTTGAAATGTCTGTTATCTACAGCTACAGCAAATGTTAAACAAGTCCAACTTCTAGTCATATTAATATTAATCCTCCTAAAAAAGGCCTATTTATTTCAATTTCTTTTACTTGATATATCATATCTGACTTTTAACAAAAACAGTACAAAGTATATTAAAAGGCAAAAAACAAAAACAAAAAACAAAGTGAGAAGAGACAAAGGAAGCATCAAAACAAGACAGATATGGCACAGTTGTGAGGATTATCAGGCAGGAAATTTAAAATAAGTATGATTAATAAGGTTTCTCAAATCTTCTTTGCAAAATTATGACTGAGACAGTGAAAGAGATCCAACCTAACTGACTCTCATCTTGCTTCTAACCTTTAAGCTGTCCTTGTTCCTTCCAGGGTATAGGCAGAACTAACTTTGGGAGGAACTTAGTTTATAGTTTATAGTTTAAAACAAAGACCATAACACCACTTTTCCAAAACAAACCTCCTTCTTGCATGGGGACTAGACTCCCCTAACCTGCTCCTAAAATCAGTGCTGAAAATATTTGGCAGACCCTGCGCTTGATGGATTAGCTGGCCCCACCCAGATCTATAAACTGGCTTATCTGATCTTGTGGACTCCACCCAAGAACTGACTCAGCACAAGAGGACAGCTTCAACTTCCCATGATTTTATCTCTGACCTGATCAATCAGCACTCTCAACTCACTAGCCTTCCCCCACCCACCAGATTATCCTTAAAAACTCTGATCCCTGAAAGTCTGGAGAGACCAATTTGAGTAATAATAAAACTCTGGTCTCCTTCACAACCAGCTCTGCATGAACTACTCTTTCTCGTTGGAATTCCCCTGTCTTGAGAAATCGACTGTCTAGGCAGCGGGCAAGGTGAACCCACTGGGTGGTTACAGAAAGAGAGACTGAAACTCTAAGAAAGAATCAAAAGGAAAGGCCAGAAATAAAAAATACTGTAACAGAAATGATGAATGATTTAAAAAAAAAAAAGGTGAATAAGAAAAAAATAATTGAAAATAAGAATATTCAGTATGTGTTGGACAATTTCAAGAATTGTAACTTACATGTAATTATAATACCAGAAGGAAAAGAAAGCAAGAGAGAGAGAGAGAAAGAAAGAAAGAAAGAAAGAAAGAAAGAAAGAAAGAAAGAAAGAGAAAGAGATAGAAGAACATCAAAGAAATATTTGAAGTGTAATGGTTTAGAATTTTCCAAAAATTAATGATAGATACCAAATTATAGATCTGGAAGCTCAGAGTACAACATCCAGACAAATATTTTTAAAATCCACACTTTGGCAAATTATATTGGAATTAGAGAAAACCAAAGTCAAAGAGAAAATACTGAAATAAGCCAGAGGAGAAAATTTTTTAAATATATTTTACCTATAGAAAAATTAGGATAAGGATTATAGTAGATTTATCATCAGAAACCATGCTAGCAGGAAGAGAATGAAGTAAAATATTGGGTATTTAATATCAAGGGAAATTGAAACCACATTTGCAAAATTTTAACTAAGGAAATTATGACAGTGAAAGATATCAGAAGTAACCAACTCCATTTTGCTTCTAATCTCCAAACTGCCCTTGTCCATTCTTGGGCATAGGCTGAACTAGCCTTGGGAAGTAATTTAGTTTATAGTTTAAATAATAGCCCTTCCCCAAAACTGAACTTTTCTTCTGAAATGAATGAAAGGCCACCAGCCACCAAGTTAGGATGAGAGGGGCTGGAATTCTAAATATTACCAGCCATTATTCACAATTACTCTGGAAGATAATATCATTATTGTGAACCTAAGATTAGCCTTTTGAGATGTCTTTTCAGGTTTTTGCATTTCTGACAATCAGATTGCCCCACTCGGACCTGCCAAGAAATTCTGTGGCTCCCACCCAGGAGCTGATGGGCATGAGAGGATAGTTTTGACTTCCTGTGATTTCATCTCTGACCCAACCAATCAGCACTCTCGACTCACTGGTCTGCTCCTGACCAAATTATTCTTAAAAACTCTAATCCCCAGTTTTTAGGGAAACTGATCTGAGCAATAATAAAACTCTGGTCTCCTGCAGAGCCAGCTCTGTGTGAATTACCCTTTCTCTATTGCAATTCCTCTGTCTTGAGAAATTGGCTCTGTCTAGGTAGCAGGCAAGGTGAACCCACTGAGTGGTTACAAAATTATCATTTAAAAAAAAAAAAAGATAAATGAGGACTTTCTCAGGAAAACAAAATCTGAAAGAATTCATTGCCAGCAGAAGTCCCCAGAAATGTTAAAAATAGTTTTTCAAAGAAAAGGAAAATGATATAGGTCAGAATTGTGGATCTACATAAAAAAAAAAAAGGAAGAGCACTATAGAAAGAATAAATAAAGCATTACTTGTATGATAAATAAATAATTCACTTTTTTTTAAGTAAGAATAATGACTCCCAATAACAGACATCCAGTGAGTGAAGTAGCATCATCTGTCTGGCGCAATACCCCAGGTTCATTGCTTTACACCAAGGAAATAGAGGACATGGACACACACAAGGAGTGAGTTTAAGGGCAGAGGTTTAATAGGCAAGAGAAAAGAGAAGAGAAAAAGCTCTCTATCCTGCAGAGAGAGGGGCTCCGGAGTGGGTCTTCCAGTTCCATGATGGAATGCACGAGGTTTTATAGACGAGCTTGAGGAAGCAATGCCTGATTTACATAGGGCACAAGAGATTGGTCAGACCAGGTGTGCCCTTTGCATAGCCTAATCTTTTATCATGCATATGGGTTCTCTACCTGCCCAGGGCCATGTTGCCTGCTTCATTACTATACACGTGCTTGACAAAGAAAAGGGAAGATGGAGCCTCCATGTTGAACATTGCTGGCCCCCAGGGACTTTTACTATTGGCACAGCTGCCAGCATTCACCCATGCAAGCTTCCAGCTTGCTCATCTATGTCTGAAGTTTGGTTTTACAGACTGCTCTTTGTTAGAAAAGAAATGATTTGGGGACAGCTTTTTGTTACAAGGGAAGCCTTACCGAGGACTCTCTTACCCTTACCCTCACATGCTACCTAAATAATTTCTTTTTAGCTCCTATATCATTAGTACTCATTAGACATTTAAGTCAATAGAGATTCCATTTTCTCTCTGATGAGGTCCTCCCTCTCCACTGACTTTCAATAAGGATGATGTTGCTCTTGAGGAACTTCAATGTCTTCCTTATTCTTTACTCCCCCAACCCCATCTTTTGTCCAAACCCAGTAATTGTTAGCACTAATTTAACTACTCCTTTCTACCTTCAAGGACTATACCGTAGGCATCAGCAAATTCAACTTGAGGAAATACGAAGATGAATCAAAAAGAATATGATCCTGATTAAGTGAGGAACATCCTGAAAGACACTTGAAGTGTGACACTATGTGAACACTATACTAAATTCATTTGCTTGTCAAGTCACTTTGTATGGCAGCCACAGTAGAAAGCTTTATGAGGGGTGGTGGGTGGTAGGAAAGAGAAGAATAGAACACATTTTGATCTTAAAGATTCATGAACCTGAATAAACACTCTACCTCTCTCTCTTTCTCCCCTTTTCCCACCTTTCCTTCTTTTCTTTTTTCTTTTCTTTTCTTTTTTTTTTTTTTTTTTTTTTTGAGACAGAGTCTCACTCTATCACCCAGGCTGGAGTGCAATGGCATGATTTCGGTTTACTGCAACCTCCACCTCCCAGGGTCCAGCGATTCTCCTGCCTCAGCCTCCCAAATAGCTGGGATTACAGGTGCACACTACCATGCCCAGCTAATGTTTATATTTTGTAGTACAGACAGGGTTTTGCCATGTTGGCCAGGCTGGTCTCAAACCCTTTCACATCAGGTGAATCCTCCTGCCTCGGCTTCTCAAAGTGCTGGGATTACAGGCACGAGCCACCATGCCAGGCCCCTTTTATTTTCTTTATTTATTAGAAAGTACTAGACTCAAGACTGGAAGTTAGAATTATTATTGATGAATGAAAAAGTGTGGACATCTGATAGCTACTGTTCTTTTAATAAACTAAAAATAAAATAGTAATTCTATATAACTTTTCATGCTTCCAATGTTCAAGCTATAGATTTTTAAAAAATTTTTTCTCACTTTTGTAATGTGAGTATAGGCAAGAAAAAGTAAAATAGCATTATTAAAAAAAAAACAGGCAATGTGAATTCAATATTGAAATTAAGAAACATTTCTCTTAAGTTTTTGAATACCTGCTCAGAATCAAGTGAAACAATTCATTATCTCTCATAGAGACACCAGAACTCCTATTATGCTGTCAATACATATATTTATTAATTATGAAATATACTCAAGTCTTGGAATTTACTGTGTAATCTTGTATGTATTGCATTTGTCTT
This sequence comes from Homo sapiens, assembly GCF_000001405.40. Classification (NCBI taxonomy): domain Eukaryota; kingdom Metazoa; phylum Chordata; class Mammalia; order Primates; family Hominidae; genus Homo; species Homo sapiens. The sequence goes on from NC_000008.11 coordinate 78,073,487, forward strand.
AGAAATAAAATGCTACAGGCTTTTCATTAAGTCGATAGTGTACAAATGCAATGTTACTAAGAATTCAAAGCAGTATGAAAAATAATAAACATAGTCATGTTAGCATGAACGGCATGCCTAACACTATTTTACAATAATTACTTGCTGAACTCACCATACTGTAAGTATCATGACTATCTTTCAGAAATGTGAAAAAGCAGTTTGCTATTCTCTCCTACATTCTCTGAGTTTTTATAGGCCAGTTCATTTTGTCTCCACTGTGAAATACCTTAAAGGGTAATGTGCTATTCTGACTCTAGTAGTAATTTATTACACCAGTTAATCTTGTAAAATTGCCCTCTGGATGTAATAATTTGTTATTCTTCTATGAGGCCTTCTTTTGCATACTGTGTTTATCATAAAGATGTCACCATTGTGATGCCTAGCAACCATTTCAATGTTCTGGAGGTGTTTGCATATATTTTCCTGGGGGAGAGATCTGCATGGTCCCTGTATGGAAGAGCTGTCAGTGTATTCTGATGTATGAGGATAAAAGGAGCCCCTGCTGCAGACTCCAATAAGCTCCAGTCACAGCCTGAAAGCAGTGACTTGGGCATCACTATACCATGTTAGAAAATGTGTCAATTATCACATGGATTGCCTAAGGGTATTGCCTGGGTCTGGGTCATAAAACCATCAAGACTGAAGGGAGAAAAAATTGATGAAGAAGTAAGTTGAATTAATTGATAACAAGGAAGCCTGTATATGGAATGTTCACTGTAACTTGAGACCCCCAAATTTTTGTCTGAGAAGCTTTCCTGTAGATGATCCCATGAGTAAAACAAAAACTGTCGATCTTCTTCTACCTAAAGTATGTGTAACTGGCATTTTCTAAAAGCCAGTAGGTAGTCAAACTAGTCATGAAGCCATAAAAATAAAAATAAAATCATGCTAATAATGTTACAGCTATTTTGGTATTATTGTGATTATTAACATACGGTGCCTCTGTTTATATGTGAATACAGTGGAGACCACTTAAATATGTAACCTAGGGCCAAAGTCATGAAGCGTTATGCACCATTTGTGTAGGTTTCAGTGCAGTTTACTCATGGAAGAGGAAAATTACATATTTTTTATACATTGACAGTTGTTTCTGAGCTGCTTAAATGACATCCTTTTCCCACTTCCTTGTGTTCCCCTTGAATTACAGAATCAGATTTAAGGCTTTGTGTCTGATGAGTTCCCTTTAAGAAATCACTATTTACTAGGCATGAGGATGTTTATTAAAGACACTGGCTGTCTACAGCAGGTGTCAAAACTACTATCCAAACAAACAGTTTCGAGGAAAAAAAATTATTAAGCCATAACACTCCATTTTCTGATAATAATGAGTAGACTCTTTGCTCAAAATACTCAGCCAGCCAGCCACACATGGATCCTGAGGTGCTCAGGAATACTGCCTCAGATTTTTCAAATGGAAATATTGTTCTGAAAATACATTATTAGGGCATATGCAGACAGAGCAGAAAGTTCTCCATCGCTTTATTGGTGATAAAAAAGATTCTTCCATCTTACGATTATGGAGTAAATACCAAATTTTCAGTTTTATAAAGAACACCTAAAAGGGTATGGCTTCTCTCACTTAGCATATAATAGGTGATATATTTTTATAATGATAGTGTTGGTTATAGTGATGATAATTATGTGCTATAATGCCTAATATAGATTTATCTTCTGGCACATGATGCTTTCTATAAAGGTAAAAGCAAACTTTGCATTAGTAGAATCACAGGAGAAAAAAACTAAATTAAAAGATTTATCTAATGCTTTCATCTATCCATCTTGAAGCATGTCACTGCCACTGGACAGTTTTCCAGTGAAATATGCAGAATTCTTACTAAGTCATGTCTCTTATTTATTCTATTTATATATAAATTGGTAATATTTTTCAGTATATGCAAAGTTAGACAGGAATACAGTCTTCCAAATAGAGATTTTAAGTTTTTAATTTAAATTCTATATGCTAAGTAGGAAGATGACAGGCTCTGGATCTGAAAATTTATCTTTGCCACATATTAGCTATACAGTTGCTTAAATTATAAAAGTCTTAAGTTACACATCTTTTTTTAAAAAAAAAAATGTATGTAATATGATAATCTCTCCCAAGCTACCTCATAGAACTACTATGAAAACCACATGGAACCATTACTATTAAAATGTTCAGAACATATATATGCTTCAGAATAATATTTTTTGCATCACAAAATAGTTATAATTATCTATGAGGTTTAAATTATTTTGATTCATCACTATTGCCCCTTAGTATTATTTTCAAAATACAATAAATTACAAATTTTCTAGAATGTTTCAATTTGACCCAAATCTTTCTTTTACTAGCTAAGTAAAATAAGAGAAGGGTCGTTCTAGATAGATGTCAGGTTATCAATTTAGTTGTTTCCTCTTCCTTTCTTGATCATGATAACAGGAATTTGTTCTGAAATAAAATGGACTCTAAGGTTATTTCCCAAATATATGAAAAATTCAAATCGTGGCCTGGAACTACAGGAGACAATTTAGGTCCCATAACTTAGAGAGTCCCACATAATGACACTAAAGGAGAGGTAGGGTGCAGGGGTGATTGTGCAATCTGAAACTCTGAAACAGAGTTACAGAGGTAATATTCTATCAGATTCTCTGTCAAAAACAACAGCAAGAATCGTCTCTGGGCACTGACTTTAGATGAACCCACCCTAGTAATGTGTGTGTATAGAAAGGAAGAAGGGTAAAAATATACTTTCAAACTGACCTGAGTTGTTTGCTGTGGTTTTCAGTGGAGTTTCCTTTATCTTATTGTAACAAATTAATCTTGTCCAGGGATATCACATGAAAGGCATAGCAACTCTTCCAACAAGATAAATGGAAACTTTGTAATGAAAACCCCTGCATCTCAGGTTTATAACAATACCCACTCATTTGTACATGTGACAAAATAGCTCATGAAGAAGGACTGCCTGAAGAAGAACCATGTTCTCTTAGATAATAAATAAAGAATGTGCTGATATCCAGACTTGGGGGAATGGCCATGATAGCTTCTGAGCTAGCTCTATAATAATTGACAGGATGCAAATAATTCACTTACTGAGAATACAACATGGTTTAAGTTGGAATCAGATTTAGCTCAAGTGATAGAAACTTAAAATAAAAATGGCTAAAATAAAGCCATTTGTTCATTCTTCCACATAAACAAAGTCTAGGGACACGCAATTCAAGACTATTATGCATTCCATGATTAAAAGGAATTGGGATGGTTTTATGTCAACATGAGGCTTTTACCTCATGATCTAGGATGGCTGTTCAAACTCTAACATTTCATGTTCACATTCTAACCAGAAGGAAATTCGAAGGCTGAGGAAAGGTGCACAATTTAGAGGAAAAGGCTAAGCTACTGACTACAGATCTCAAATATGTGATTAAAGAAGAAAGAATTTTATTTTCTTCCCCTGCATCATTTCAAGTTGATTAAGTTGGTTGCTCTGCATTTATGTAGTCAATAAGGAATACAGATTCCATTCATCTTTTTCTTCCATCATTCCTAGGGTGTGGTCTTCATCTGTGTGACCTGACCTGAGACATAGACATGTCCATCTTGCAGCTCTTGGGAAGAGGATAGGGGGAAGATAACAAGTGCAATGTGTTAAGTCCCAGACCTGAAAATGACACCTCTCAATCGTTTTGACTCATCTTTTATTGGCAAGAATGTCATTGCATGGCTACATTCAAGAGTCTGGCTGGGTATGTATGTCCCAGCTACAAATATATTATTATACAAAAAGAAAATAATTTATATTTAGGAGCCTCCATCACAAAGAGTCTAAGCATTCCTCTTAAAGACACATGTGACAGAAATACACAGCACTTCCATTATTGGAACATAGTCATATAGCCCCAACTACTTAGAAGGGAGACTGGGAAATACAGACTTTATTCTGGGCAGCTATTGACCTCCTTTAAGAAAAAAATACATTCTAGTAATAATAAAAAATGAAAAAAAATTGAGCATCTTTTATCCCACACAGTCACAGGAAATGTACTAAACAAAGGACATGTAATTCGAAGTTCAAGTATAATATATTGAGAAAACATGTTCTTAACGCTGTCAAAAGTGAAATGTCTGTGGAACAATAGGGTAAGAGTATGCTTGAGAACAAATGGTGAATGGCAAACTTGAACAGTTTAGATACATGTTAATAACCAATCTAAATTGCATTCATTAAAAGATAAAGGCATTGCATTTTATAACAATATTAATTACTTTGGTAATACATACTAACTTATTGTTTCTTTGTTTAACCAAGCTAGTGGGTTCCTCTAGAAAATTATCCATCCTTACTGTGCCTTGGTCCACTTTCACAGAAATAATAACTAGTAGATTTGGGAGAATTCTCAAAACTATTTGACTGATCTATTAACTTACTCAGCTAATAATTATTGTTTATTTAATGCAAAACAGAGTTTAGGCATTCAGAATTCACCAGAAAAAAAGTAGAAAACCGTATTCCTATGGAGCTTCTACAGTTGTAGGGAATAGAGCTATAAATTTAAAAACTAGAGTATATTAAAGGAAAATTAGTACAATATAATGAAAAAAATGGGGGCATGGAGTGATAGAGGTGTTAGTGTTGGTAGTGAGGAAAGACCATTTTGATAAGGATGCATTACAGAAAAGATCTAAAAGAAATGAGGTAGAAAAGGGTGAGTTAAGAGAGTGGAGGAGAGGCCAGGCGCTGTGGCTTACACCTGTAATCTCAGCACTTTGGGAGGCCAAGGTGGGTGGATCATGAGGCCAAGAGATCAAGACCATCCTGGCCAACATGGTGAAACCCCACCTGTACTAAAAATACAAAAATTAGCTGGGTATGGTGGTGTACACCTGCAGTCCCAGCTACTCAGGAGGCTGAGGCAGGAAAATCGTTTGAACCCAGGAGGCAGAGGTTGCAGTGAGCCGAGATCACACCACTGCACTCCAGCCTGGTGACAGAGCAAGACTCCATCTCAAGAAAAGAAAGCAAGAAAGAAAAGAAAAGAAAAGAAAGAGTGGAGGAGAAGGGCCTGAGATCTGGATGGGGACTAGATCATGAAGCTCTTTTTGGCCATATTATGGAGATCACATTTTATTTTGAGTGAGATGAGAGGCCCTAAGAGGACATCAAGCACAAAGGTAACTGATTTTTCTTTTTATTACAATAGGGTTGCTCTGCCTGCCTTGCAGTAAATAGATTGCAGGGTTACCAGGTAGAAGGATATTGCAATAGTCTAGAACATAGATGATGATGATGATGCTGGTCTTGAGATGTAGTCAGATACTGAACAAAGTTTACTGATGGTTTGAATTTGATGTGCAAAATAATAAAAGAAAGCTAGGTTAATCCAAGTACTTTGAAGCAATTTGGAAGAAAGGATGTGCCATGCATTGGCATGGGAAACTGGCAATGGATTGGCTGTGGTAGGGAAATCCAGAGTTCAATTTTGGACCTCATAAGTCTGGGATATATATATATCCCAGACTTATGAGATATATAAGTCTTATATATATATAAGACTTATAAGCATATATATATATACTTATGAGATATATAAGACTTTTATATATATATATATCTGTGTAAACTTGAGCAAGTAACTAGGTCTCGTATTTGTATCTACAACTTGAAAATAGTAATATAGTCAATTTGATGGAGTTATGAGGATTAAATAAGCTAAAACATGTAAAAAGAACTGTGCCTGAACCACGGTAATGGTTCAGTAGGATTAGAACCATTGAATTAGGTAGGATTAGAAGGACAAAGGGAGATACTGGGAAGGCAGTTGAATACCTGAGTCTAGATTCAGTAGGGAGTCTAGATTCAGTAAATATATAAAATATAATCTATATTATTTACATAAAATGTATATATAATGTATTTTATAATATACTTAATATATAAAAATATATTAAGTATATACTAGATTCAGTAGGGAGGTCCAGGGCTAGGGGTAGAAATTTAGAAGTTCAGCATCTGGATGGTGTTTAAAGCTGTGAGAGTAAATGACATTACCTGGTGTCTTAGTAAATTTACACTACTCTAACAAATTACCATAGACTGGGTGGCTTAAACAACAAACATTAATTTCTCACAGTTCTAGAAGCTGAAAGTCTAAGATCAAGATGCCAGCAGATCCAGTGTCTCATGAGGACTCACTTTCTGATTAACAGACACCTTTCTTCTTGCCATGTCCTCACATGACAGAGAGAGGGAGAGAGAATATACATAAGCTCTTTTGTGTCTCTTCTTATAAGGGGAATAGTCCCACCATGAGGGTTCCACTCTTAAGGCCTAACATCTTAAAAGGCTCCATCACCAAATATCATCCCATTAGCAGTAGGGGATTCAACAGTTGGATTTTAGAGGGACACAAACATTCAGTCCATAACACCTAGAGAATAGGTGTAAAAAAGAAAGAAGATCAACTGTTTGATACCTCGAGAATTCCAGTGTTTACAAGTGAGGACAATAAAGAAGACCAAGTAAAGAAAATTGAAGAAGAGTAAGCTTAGAGGAAAGAGCAGATCCCAGTGAACAGGAAGTAAGACATGTTTATATTTTCAGCTTGACATACAATAGGTCAGAATGACCAAGATAAAATTAATAGATGAAATAAACTGGGATTTTCATACTGTAACACAGACATAATTGGTTCAAATTAAACCCATATGGGAAAAGTATGTTTTCTCGTCCCTTATTTCAATTGTGTCTCAAGAAAATTTATTTGAAAATGCACTTTAGAATTTTGTCAGAGATGTATATTGGGGTTACATGTTACACATTTGCAGTTTCCAAATTTCAGCCTGGTATTTGCTCATATTTAGTCTTCTAGCACCATTATATTCTATAGTATCCCAAAGATCGTCAGAGGTATTTCTATCCATATCTATATTTGATATCAAGCTATGTTTAATGATCTTCATTTTATCGTACTTTACCTTATTATTAGAAGCTCACACTCCCATCAATGGAGATAGAAGGTGTAAGAAATACATTGAGATTGATATACATAGGTCTTGTTTTATTACCACACCTTATAATAATTCTGGCACTTGGAAGTCCTTCAAAATACAGTTTATGGGAAAGAGAAAAGCCATTTTTTTTTCAAAATAAAAAACAGTTTTGATTTCTATTTGAAGTGAAGAGTGTGGGTTAAATTGTGTGCTATCAAAATCAATTTTCTCGATATTGGGTTCTGTGCTTCAGAAGTGATAGCCATGAAGTCCAAACAATGCTTGATTTTTCTGTCAAAACATGTAGGGCTGATCATGGTACCTTGGAGGGCTCTGAGTCCAAAATAGAATGAACCAGAATCAACTAGCAACTGAGGAATGATCGGAAAATATTAGTTTCCTTCAGAAGGGCAATAATTCGATTTAATTTAGCAAAAAAGCTAATTTAGAACACAGTCTCTGTGTTCATATACATGTAAGCAAACACACACACTTAACATGTTTATAAAAGGTAAACTAGGACACAACAGGACACTGTAAGATGCAATAAGATGAATATCTGACAGAACATTGCCAGAGATACAACATAAGGGCAAATATTTAAGTAAATATAATGTTATAGACCAGGAACTCTTTTTCTCTAATCAACAGCAAGCAGTTCAGAGATCAGAGACTTGTTCAACCTCATGACCTAAGGTGATAGATAATTCAGAGCAAACTAAAACCATCTGTATATATGTGTAGAGTACACACTAAGTGATGGAATTTTTGAATGGATATACACACAAATATATATGTGTGTGCACGTTATACTTCTGCTTCTTCTCAACTGCCCTCATTAGGTGAGATAAAGGCTCAGGCACACATTTAATATAATTGCTAGTAAATATGGTAACTATTTTCTTCTACTAAAGTTACAAAAATTCTTTGAATTTTATATCAGGGTCTAAATTTGTAATGGAAAATGATGTTTGATGATGTTTAAATGCAGAGTACGTCATTTTATAAAGCATAGGTCTCTTTTAAGTTTTTTTTTTTAACTTCTTGACATGTGTCACAATTTGGAATTCTGCTCTCATGGGATAAATGCCAGATTACATGGTGTAGTATTTTTATCCTCTGTACTTTCGCTGTAGAAGCATACAACATCAAAGGAGAGGCAGATCACTCACATCAGCAGAAAATGGAATAGGACTATAATATGCCGGCTTTGATCTTGCCTTCTAGTAATTATCTTGGCTGCATGCATGCATTGAAAGTAAGATTTGAATTAATAAGGCCAAGAAATCCTAGAAAATGTAAGAGGTATCCCTGAAGATAAACTTCTCCTATCTTCAGCATGATAGATTGCAACCGAGTGTATGAAGTAGTGAGCTGTTAATTTAAAGCATTAATCCTGAAATGTTATTCTCTCTTAAACTTGTCACTGATGTATTTAGGACTGCAATCTTGTCAATTAAGACATTATCACTTTAAATTCCCTCTCACCTCTACTACAGAGCATTTAGCTCATATTCATCTGCTTCCATCTAGATTTTCAAATAACAGAAAGGTAAAAATAATTAAATTTATTTTTTAAAATCATCATCACAGCTTAGTTCACTGCCATTAAAAACTACTCTAATATTGCCTTAAGAAAGATTGCTTTTGATTTAAAAAGTAAATCAAATCATCCACATATACACAGGATTTATATAAAGAATTTGATGACATTATGTTCTGAGTCAAACTTTTCATGTTCCTATTTGTTTGTTTACCAGCGTTTATAGCCATATTCTATGGAAAAGATTCTATTTTTCCCTTATGTCAATAGAATTTACCATGTCTGTTGGAGTTTAATAAGGTGGATAATTTCAGAAGTATCTAAGACTAATATGCTCCAGAGATAAGAAAGCTTTCAGCAGCAAAATATTTCTACAATATTTGAGGATTTAATTCACTTTGTAACTGATTAGCTACCATACATGAGAAGTGCAGAACTCAATTGACATTAAGTAGTGGTGTTTTGCTTGTATAAAACTGTCTCAAACGAATTGTGTATTATTCTAATTGAAAACTGTTTCATCTATAGTAATATCAAGACTGGTATCATAACTTGTTAATTAAACTTTACCTGCAATAAATTAGACCCAATCTATTTCATTCCTACCTACCAAATGCAAGTTAAATGCACACAAACGAGCCATCATATACAATCACAGGGAAGCACACCACTATTCCCTTCCACATCATAAGAAAAGATGTTTTAAATCTTATGAAGAAGGTTTAGAGGCCATTTGTGTAGTAAACTAACAAAAGAACAAACTTCTTTGAAGAAACATTCTCTCTCAGAGTTGAAAATAATTTCTGATTTCCTCTAAAAGTACCAAATGATTGTGTAATAAATGAGGGTTGAGAAATAGAGGATTACCTTCCAAGAAAACATCAACCACAGCTTGTGTATTTTTTAAGTGTTGTGAATTGTACTTTGTGGTACAAGCAGTAATAAAAGTAAGTATCTACTTCTAATAGTGGTGTTCAATCGTATCTAGTGACTTTTTAGGAGAGCTGAATATACAAGGACACCTTTTTACTGATGTTCATATACATTTCACTGGCATCGTTAAAAAGAATGAACATTCCAGAGTTGTGATAGGAAATGATAGATAACTTTGTCTTCTATCTCAGACTTCCTATATGCCCGATTTGTTCTAGCACATTGCACACATTTGCCTGTTTCCTTATCTGTAAGGTACAACCAGAGCCAAACAAGAACTAGAGTTCCGTGAAAAGTGAGGTTTTGTTTGCACCCCACCTCCTAAAGTGCTGACAAGCAGGAAACAGTCATTCTTATAAGTATGTGCTAACTTCTTGGGGAGGTTTTCTTTTTCACTGTGGGTAAAATGAGAAATGTTGGATGCCTCTAGACCGACAATTAGCTAACCAAAAGTAAGCATCCAGTTTTCAGTAGTATGAAAGCATCTGAAAGGGGAGGCACCTTTTATCACGATTGAAGTGAAACGTTTAAGGAACTTGTTAATTTAGAAAGATAAAAGTATGTGAGCAGGCGTATGCACTGTGATCAAAATATTCTTTTAAAAAGACACATGCCATCAGTAAGTGGTTTATCTATGCTAAAAGAAGTGAGCCTCAGCACTCGCAGTTGGCCTCTTGCAGCAGAATTCATATGGCCTCAGTAGCTTGCAGCCCTGCCAACCAAAATTCTAAAAACTGTTCTTTTTTTTTCTCTTGCGTTGCCAAGTTCCTTACAGCCTTAAATGTTGGAGAAGAGGTCACTGGAGTTAAAGCAGTGGCTGGGAGGACTTCCCATATAAGCAAAGCCCATTGCCAGTGGCTGTTACATGTTCGTTTTTCCAGCTGAATGAAATCCAGTAGGGGCGGGCTTGCATTTAGGCTCACATCAACCACCAGTCCCTTCAGCAGGGCTGGGTTATTAAAGTACGAGGTGATTTAGGGAGCATTGTGTGTCGGCGTCCATCAGCCTGGGAAGTGCTGCTCAGATCTGGGAAGTCATTTAGCTTGGCTGTGTGTTCTCACCACTGCGGAACAGTATTTAAGCACAAGATTTCTGGCCCAGGTCATTGAATGATTGTGGTGCACTCTGAACAGAGGGAAATATAAGACATCCAGAGTGGTTTAGGAACACCAAAAGCTTCCTTCTCTGGTTTGTAGTTGGAACATCAAGTATATTTCAAAAGCCTAAAGTTATTTTGTACCAAAAATATACAGATTTCAGTATCAGCACCCGAAATAAAAGTAAATTATTTCAGTAATAGAACATTGTGGTGTGAAAACCCCACAACAAACAGCTTCTTCATCATCTCTAAGCCTATCAATTACATTTCATTATTTCTCTGAATTGTGGCATTGAACACATTTTAGTGTTAGGTTGTTCATGGCACTTGCATATTTCTTCAGAATGCCTGAAACAAAGAGATGTTGCTGCAAATGGCAGGCTGAAATTTCTATGTTCCAGAAAATCTCTTTCATTCCCTAAATAAATAAACAACAACAAAAAATTTCTATCTGAGGTCTCTGTGACCTGCTGACTCAGCCAGTAATTCAAACTCCTGCTGCCTCATCTAAGCATTTCAGAGACCTGTGGATTTAAGAGTCATGATGGAGAGAACAGGCATTTCAGAAAGACAATGGGTGGATTTTCATCCCCTAAAATAGTATATGCTGTATCAGCTGCTAGTTGACTCTCTTGTTTTATGTTAATGATTTAGAGAGAAACTGAAGGTAGTGGAAGTCCAGTATTTATTCATCTGATTTTCTTCATATACTGCACTGAAAATATAGAAATCAGGGACATTCTATTATGAGATATTTAAGGATCAGGGTGTGTTATTGTTTTCTTGTGGCTGGCAACCACATGGCATAGTTTCATAGATATAATTATTACCCTGATCTAGGGCTTTACTGCTGAATTAAATGTTGCAGATCTCTGTTTCCATACCATCTAAGATGACTGTTTCTTTCTTTTTTCTTTTTTTTTTGCAATTTTACCAATATTATAGTAAGTCAAAACAATAAATATAAAATGAAAAGAGATTATGATTTTTAAATTTGTGAAGCTTAACCTTGGGTAAAATAATGTTAACAAATAAAAAAAAATGTTGCTAAATTAACTCCCCCACCTTCAGGGTTCTGTTACTAAAAGACACCTGACAATAATATTAAAAATTCAAAATATTTCTGGCTTTATTAAAAAATGAAAATAAAAGTTTGAGATTAGAAGTGTATGTGTATGAGAGACTGCATAGAGGTACTTTATGTTCAGTAAAAGAAAATAGGAAAAAGCAAATTAAATAGTATAGCCATGAGAAGTAATATATTTTGGAATACTTACAATTAATTTTTAATTGCTATCCATTGAAAATGTTTTAGGACCTTTCTTCTACATAAATTCAATAGAAATCATTCTAAATGTGTTCCTTTTAGTGTGTTTTCTAGTAGAATAATTTGCATAAACCAAAATGTTTGACCTAATTTGTAATCTTTGGTTGTGGACTCCTGCCCCTTTGATCCTACTATGGTTTGAGAAACACCAAGTAACCTGAATTCTTGAAATGGAAAAGGTTTTAGAGACCATTAATTACACTATCAAACTGAATAAGTATTGCTCAAATACCTTCAAGATAGCACTAGCTTTTCCTGTGATAACTTTATGCCATCACAGTCATCAGCCACTCTGCAGATGGCTGGCTTACATTCTGTAACAGAATCAGTCCACAAGCAAGGTTCTCTCATTGTCTTCACTGCCTCTGACTTTGGGCCTGGCATATTGGCACTTAAGAAACAAAATATACATTTAAAAGGAATACAGAAAAATTGTTTTTTGTAAACAATGTAAATTCATGGAACAAAAATGAAAGAAATCCCTTCCAACCAGTGTGGGCACAATAGTTTGTTGAATTAGCACGGTTACGTATCCCCCTAAAATATTAAAATACAATTACCATCTCTCTTGTATTTCAGTGTACAAAATATTAAGAGACTGATTTGTGAGGTTCTATCATACTTCTAAATACCACCATTTAACACTTCTGCATTCTTACACGACCTGTGGCTATTCCAGATCCTCTCCCGCTAATACTTCTGGTCATCCAAAATGATCAGTAGTATTCTCTTGAATCCTCAACTTTGTCTGAAACTTGATGTCAGGCTGTGGTGAGGTTGTGGAAGCAAATGCTTTCTTCTATTTATTTATTTTTTATTTCAATAGCTTCTGGGGTCCAGGTGGTTTTTTTGTTACATGGATAAGTTATTTAGGGGTGACTTCTGGGATTTTGTTGTACCTGTCACCCAAGCAGAATACACTGTACCTAATGTATAGTCTTTTATCCCTCACCCCCCTCCCACCTTTCTCCCACAGAGTCTCCCAAAGTCCGTTATATCATTCTTATGCCTTTGCATCCTCATAGCTTAGCTCCCACTTCTAAGTGAGAACGTACAATACTTGATTTTCCATTCCTGAGATAATTCATTTAGAATAATGGTCTCCAGCGCCATCCATGTTGCTGCAAAATACATTATTTTCTTCTTTCTTATGGCTGATTAGTATTTTATGGTGTTTATATACCACATTTTCTTTATCAAGTCATTGATTGATGGGCACTTAGGTTGGTTCCACAATTTTGCAATTGCAAATTATGCTCTCCTCTAAATATGTGTGCATGTCTCTTTTTCATATAACAACTTCTTTCCCTTTGGGTAGATACCCAGTAGGGGGATGCTGGATCAAATGGTAGTTAGTTCTACTTTTAGTTCTTTAAGGAATTTCCGTACTGCTTTCCATAGTGGTTGTACTAGCGTACATTCCCACCAGCAGAGTAAAATTGTTCGCCTTTCACCACCTCCAAGCCAACATTTATTATTTTTGACTTTCAATTACAGCTATTCTTACAGGAATAAGGTGTTGTCTCATTGCGGCTTTACTTTGCATTTCCTTGATAACTAGTGATGTTGGCAAATGTACTCTTCTTGACCTGAACTTTGTTTATTTTATTAGAAGTACCCTTAGGTAATCCTGAGGAATTAGGAATTTTGGTAACAATATTTACTTTGATGCTTCTTCCAGTGTTCTTTGTTTTGTTTTTGTTTTTCAGTGGGGGAGGGGATTTCTAAATGACGTTAATATTCTTAGATTACACATCTATTATGCCTGGTTATCTTTGTAAAATAGATCATATGTTTTGTGAGTCCTTTCGGGCTTCAATTGCTAATCTCCATATGCTCTTGGATCTATAATAAGCTGGAACACACAGACCAATTCTTGTGCCATTAAGTTCACAAAATATTTATATGTCAGATCTAATGCTTTACCTCCAAAAAGAATCAGTGAAAAACATAGATATTGCATCTGACCATAAGTGCTTAGTGTCTCATGGGAAACACAAATGAGTAGACAGAAAATTGTCACCTAATCTGAACTCTGGAGGTTCAGGGGTATTTTCTTAGAGAAAAATAGTTGAATTTGAAATATAAAAGATTAAATTAAACCTGAGGTAGGTGAAAGTGGCATGGCTCATTGGAGGAAGGGACAGCTGAGGTACAGGTGAAGGATTGGGTGGATGATAGAGCCTGTAGGCAAAGGTTCAGTGGATATGAAGTTCCTAAGAAAAGATGAACCAAGGGCAAGGGTCTGTAAGGTAAGAGACAAGGCAACTTGAATCAAGTAATAATTCAGAGTCTTAAAAGTAAAGTTAAAATATTTACACTTCAGTTTTAAGGGCAATGCAAAATTGTTGAAGGGGACTTTAACATAGGAGTGACAGGATAAGCCTTGTTTTAGGAGGATCACTTTGATGGGGCTGTATGTGTGGAATATATAGGAAAAAGACAAGACAGGAACAAGAACAGTGAAACAACAATGATGTTGCTAAAGACAGAAGAGTTGGGAAGCAAGATGGCCTAGATTCAAACAGGAAGTGGGACTGTCTAACTTTTGATCCTGGAGGGCAGAGGTAAGAGTGAACAAGGGGGAGATAGGCATTTTCAATTCAATACCTTAGGGTCTCCATTTTCTAAAAAAAAAAAAAAAAAAAAAAAAAAAAAAAAAAAAATCTATTATAGCACATTAATAGAGTTAAGTGTTAAATAGAGTTAACACATCAGGTAGGAAATTAGAAACTGTGAATTTGTAGGAGGAGCAGTGTTCAAGGTTCTGGTATGTTTTTTCCAACATTTCACTCAGTAACATAGGTAAATGAGGTGAAAAGGATGACTGCCTTTAATCTAGAATTATACTTTGCAGGGATACTGAAGCTTAAGGAATGCTGTAGAATTTGGGAATTGATGGGTGTGTGGTTCCCACAACCAGCTATGACAGGGGCAAACAAATATATGTTGGGTCTGGGAATAAGAGCGAGCAAATCACATGAAGGTGTTTTACACTTTTATGGGGATGAAGGATGATGTAGTTTTGGTTATCTATATTTTAATACCCTTTTCATATGTCAAAAAAACGGGCAGGTTATAATCCCTGGAGCCCTGAATACTGCAGTCTAAGCTTGGTAGAGATGTGAGAGCAAGAGATTGCTGATGAGGATGTGTGTTGGGTGGACAAGGTTGGAGGTAGAGTTGGTGAAAATGGAGATCACTAAAGATTCCATTAAGTGAGAGCATAAAATTGTTAGAATGAGTAAGCTGTTTTGGATGAGTTAGGAATTTAGAGGTTGAATATTTTAATCTGATGGCATTTCTAGAAGACAAACCCAGGATCTAGCCATGAAAATGGATGGTTAAAGTGAGCATGTAGTCTGTGTATCTATGGATGTGCGGGCAAGAAGGGCTGTTCAGTGGGGAGGTTATCAGGGAGGTCAAAAGTTAAGAGCCATGAATGTGGACTACTGGATGGACAACCTGCATAGAGAGTGTTGTCACAGTGCACAGTGCCTGGGCATTGCGAAAAGTGACAAAAATCCGTAGCTGTGGAGAAGTTACCAAGAGAATAGAAGATGATAGCATTAGGGAATGCAGAGTAGTAGTGTTGGGTAGGCAGGCATCTTGAACAGTATTGTGCTTTGAAACTGGCCATTAGGAAGTGGAAAAATGCCTTTCCTAACTTTGGATCCTGGGGTAAATAATTACTTAAAGATGAGTATAAGAGTGTTTAGTATTGCATAAAGTTTCAGAATATTACTTAGGAAGGTTTGAAAGGGAGGTAAGCAAAAACAGGAAGAAACAAAGAAAGGAAACAATGGGTATGGGAAGGGAAAACAGGATAGGGGACAACTGGAGTGTTTAAAAGCTTAGGCAGTGACCAAGGATTACAGGGACATAAGGCATGATGTAATTAGGTCACGTGCAATTAAAAAACCAAAACAATACTTGAAGTTAATGAAACAAAGGGATTAAGAGAATTTTGCCAAAGGGAATGTTCCCCTCAGTTGCTAATGCTTCTGGTAGCATGTGAACACACCAAAGAACCTTGAAAGACTTTTCTCCAAGCAGAGCAGAGTCTGACATTTCTTTCACATGACTGAAACAAAAAGATGAATTGAATTTAACTGGAACCATAAGGAAGGCATGATGCATTCTACTATCAATTAGGAAAGAACTTTTACTAGTATAAGCAAGCAAGAATTCTGATTTCCTCACTTGTTTTTCTGCTTTTTTTTTTTTTTCCTTTGGCTGTGGAGAGATCAGAGAGCTATTTAAGAATGTTGGGATTTGGAGAAAGTAAGGGAGTCTTGCAGTTCTGGTCTCAGGCTGAGCTTCATTGTAGTTTCTCACCCTCTGCTCTTCACTCCTACTCTAAATAAGGACAGTGTCAAGAAAATGTGGTACACATATGCCATGGAATACGGTGCAGCCATAAAAAAGGGTGAAGTTATGTCCTTTGCAGCAATGTGGATGCAGCTGGAGGTCATTATCCTAAGTGAATTATTGCAGAAACAGAAAACCAAATACTACATGTTCTCACTCATAAGAGGGAGCTAAACAATGGGTGCACAGCGGCGACATAAAAGTGGTAAAAATAGACACTGGCCACTTCAAAAGGGGAGAGGCAGGAAGAAGTCCAAGGGCTGAAAAACTACCTGTTGAGTACTGTGTTCACAATCTGAGTGATGGGTTCAATAGAAGCCCAAACTCCAGCATTAGGCAATCATATATACATGAAACAAACCTGCACATGAACCCACTGACACTAAAATTTAAATACAAATAAATAAAAATAGATAAATAAGGAGGACAAAGGGAAGGCAGAATGAAGTTTATCACTGAGGAAATTTCAGTCCTATTTTCTCTCTCCATTCTCCTTATTAGTAATTCTAAACTAGAAGGATCTATAAATTGACACACAACCTGCTTTTAAAGACTCCTAGAATTGAATAAACAACTTGTTTGAGTGAACTTTCATACTTTTGTCCTAAGAAATATCTTAACCATGAAAAGATGGTGATGCTTAAAGGAAAGATAATATTTAAAAAAAATTTTTTATTGTTATTACTAATTTTTTGCTGTCCAGCTCCTGGTCCTGGATTCCCACAGCCTTGAGGAGGGCAAGACTGAGAGGCCCACTGCAACCAGTATAAACCCCCCTTACACAATCGTGTATGCCTGATTGTGTAAGGGGGGTTTATGCCAGAGTTTATGCCTGAGCACACATTACATTGCTACTGGGACAATGCCGTAGGGTAATTACCAGTTCCACTTATCCTGATTAACTATCTTGAGAGGTGTAATTTTTGCTAAACTTTGCTTTACTCTGATATTAGGTTTGCAGGAACTGTACATGTATATGGGCACACTGGTCAGTATACGTAAAGTATAGGTGCCATGTATCTGGCAAGTCAAAGTTTTATGGCCATTACAAAGCAAAAATATATTTTTCCCTTCTTTAATATTGTCATTAAGGTAAAACATTGAATACTATTATGTAGAAGGGAAATACTCATCAGAGACAATATTTTTCATTAATCATCTTGTCTAATTTGTATTTGCACAACGAGAACATCAATGGCATGTAATTCTGCCTTTCCATGCTGGAAGCTTTTCCCATTAAAGCAGTAATTACAGTGATAGAATTTTAAGAGTTAAAGTGTGTTTAAAGCTGTAATACAGCATATTTAGATAATTTTTAACATGTCAGTCAGTGTTGAACTATGTATGTCGGTCACCACGTTTTATGTGATGATTCCTTTATATGTATAGTTCAATAAGCATTTCTTAAACTCTTCAGACTAGAGTGGAATCTCCTTTAATTCTCTAATTTCCTTTGCTGGAATCCATAAGAGACTATACAATTAATTCTCCACTGTTACTAAAGTTGTCAGACTAGGCAACTCAACAAGTTCTTAGGAGAGCATATTTCAGTGTATAACAGCCTCTATTTAAAAGAGCTTTCCCTTTCTTTAGTCAGCATCTTTATAAAACTGAATCTATGTTTTGTTGCTTGTTTCACTATGAACATTATGATTAACAAGACAGACAAATAAAAACAATCTCTTTCTTTCAGGGCCTAAATATAAGTGGTATTAACTTTATCTCATTAAATTCTTTGTAGTGATTCTCTGTAGGTTTGAGATTGCTTTCTCAGAAGAAGCTTAAATATATATTATATATATATATGTATATAAGCTGAAATATATAGTATATATAAGCTGACATATGTATATATGTATATAACAATTTAAGTAAAACAAATCAAATGGAATTGTACACATGGACAAAAACTCAAGTATAAGTCTAATTTATTTCTCTTCAACAAATAGTGGGTCCCACCACTTCTCAGCAAGCTCTATTCATTGTTAAGGGTCTCATTGTTAACAGAAGTAACAGAGTTACTTCTCAGTAAGCTCTATTCATTGTTAAAAGTCAAGTATGTTAATATGCTTTGGCTCTGTGTGCCCATTCAAATCTCATGTTAAATTGTAATTTCCAGTGTTGGAGGTGGGGCCTGGTGGGAGGCGAATGAGTCATGATGGTGGTTTCTAATGGTTTAGCACCATTTCCCTAGTGCTGTCTCCTGATAGATTTCTCATGATATCTGATTGTTTAAAACTGTATGGCATGTGCCCCTTCACCTTCTCTCTCTTGCTCTGCCAAGTGAAGATGTGCTTGCTTCCCCTTCAGCTTCTGCCATGATTGTAAGTTTCCTGAGGCCCCCGCAGCCATACCTCCTATACAGCCTGCAGAACTGTGAGTCAGTTAAACCTCTTTTTTTCATAAACTACCCAGTCTCACATAGTTCTTTATAGCAGTATGGGAACGAACTAATACATGTGTAGATAATATTTTAGGCAGATTTGCAATAATAATAAACCTAAACCAATCTGGCATTCTACCGGCAGAACAATCAGGCAGTAACTAGAGCCTATCATGATTTTGCTATTTTCTCTCCAAACTAGCTACTAGGGGACCAGAGAGCTCTATACACCAGGTGGCTGGAGAAAGCCAGAAAGAGAAAAAAATTGAGGGGCAGTTAACTTATTCTATCCTTCACCATCTTTTCTACCTAACTTTTCTCTCCACCACTTGCAACCAGTTTACCCCACAATTCAGTAGTCTGAAAACAGCAGTCAGCAAAACATTAATTATTTGTTTGGTCTATTATAACTCAAAATTATTCTATCTTTATGTAAATATACTTTTATTTGTGGGCTTTTTATTTCACAATTTGGAAAACAAATGTGGACATTGTCATTGCAAATTCATTTTTAACATTTCTCAATGGAAGAAGATATGTGAGGAGAATCAATATGTAAGTTCAAATATTCAACTGAATGGATTATAAACTGTCTAGGCAGTCGACAATGAATTGCTCCCACGGATTAGCCATTTGTCATTAGGCAAGTTACATAAACTTTTTGTGCTTGAATTTCTTCATCGATAAAATGAGGATAATAATATTTCATAGAGTTGTTTTGAGGAATGTTATGTAGTTTTAAAATGTTAATTCATTAACTTAAATCAATAATTGGTTTGCAGAAAGAGCTCAATTAGCATTAGCTGTTATTATTATAATCTAGTCCTTCAAAATCTAAAATCTTTCTACTAAGGATAGTTAAAGATAATTTATATCCTTAAATTATCTATGATTTTATGGTAGAATCATTTAAATAGGTTCAGCCTTTCTCAGTTAATAAAATATTTTCTCATTTGAAACCTCATCTTGTTATCTTAATTTTTCCTTTCGGTTTTTCCTAAAAAAATTTGGCTTTTTTATATAAAAAATGTTCCCTTTTGGTGGTAGGTTTATCCACATGATTGCCATTTTGAATTCACAGTGGTTGGGTTGATAGCTAGTGCTATACTTTTGCTGTTTAGACTTTCTCTATTTATGTCCAACCCAATCAAAGATTTTTGAATTCTTTATAGTAATAAAACTATCTATATTTGGGTCTATATTTTCAATACAACCCCAAAATAAATCAGTTTTAACTGGACCAGCTCATTGACATAATAAACTGACCTTTCACTGAAGAAATCTAAGATCCCAAATGAAATAGTTTATTAGAGGAAAAAATAACATTTCTCAGCGGAAGAAATAATAAGAACCTTGTTTCTTCCAATCAATCCCCTTCTTACTGTTGCCTATCCTAACTCTAGTATTCCACTTCTGCTTCCTCCAAGCGTATATAAACAAACTACACACACAGAATTTGGTGTGATTGACAGTTTCCATTCACAATACCAGTCAAGTCATGTTTAAGATGAATTGGATTATGTGAAAAGATAAGTTTTCTATTCATCTACCTATATGCTGTCAGTCATCTCTCATAAATTCCAGTGACTTCTGCTGCCAAAGGCAAGAAAAGAATAACATATATACTCCTTGCAGATAAGCTGACCATGGTAATTTCTTAAGAATTATGAATGGAATTGAGAAAGGACAACCTTCATCACCTTTACAGCCATTTAATAATCTCTAACTCTGATTAGAATCTTCCTATGTATGTTGGATGTTCTGCCCAATGTCTTCCTCTGTAGTTATTAATTAATTTATTTATTATATTTTATTTTGCTATTCCCTTTGAAATTGAAAATGTGTAACAACGTGATGTATTTGGCCTGCTCTGGTTAAAGTTAAATACCGCCTTTTTAATTTTCACTTTCAAAGAAGATATGTGACAAATGACATAGTAATTTTCCTATTTCTTCATGTTCATAAAACATTGATAATATGATTTTTACCTTCCCTTTGTTCTCAATTAAATGAAATGCTCCAATACAATTAACGTGCTCCTGCAATTTAGGTTTTCTTTAGAGGTTTCTCTTGTCTCTGATTAACAGCATTTTCCATCCATTCTGAGAACCCCCGACCGCTATTCAGAATGTTCCATTATGCCTGCCAGCTATAAATACAATTGTGAACCAATATAATTTTAATTGTTTCACTAATAACTTGTTTTAAATGATTCAACAGTCATCAGGAAAGATAAGTGCTCTTGAACCCTGCAGGCTTATGGGCATGATGGTATGAGGCAATGTGGAGTGCTGTATCAGAATAATGAAACCGTATGCAGAAGATAATGACAAAGCACTCACATTGCTGTAAAGATAAATGAAAACAGTAGATCTTCTTTTCTCAGTAATATAACATCCATTTCTAGCTCCCATTTCAATCATTAGACCTTCCAAACAGATTAATGTACAAATACACATATGCAACATGTCCCATCGTAAGAGCCATATGCTCCCATTTTTCCAGACAGACTGTGAATGATGGAATTAATGAGCTTTACAAATGCTCCTGTTAATTAACAAAAATTGTTACTTTCTCATTTGAGGGGGGGGTTATAAATTAGACTTAATTACAGCAAATAATTGCAACTGCCAGGCACTGAACAACTCCTCATTCGGTTCTTTCAGTGGCAAATCAACAATTGCAACCCTTGCCTATTTGTGTAGATGAATTTAATAACCAAACAGCCCTTTTATGTTAATGGTTTACAGGCATTCATGGGCCTGGCAGGAGAAATGTGCTGGGGGAGGGTTTCCTAATGGCAGCACATAATCACATTAATTAAAATATAACTGCCATTTAAAGATTTGTAGTGTGGAATTAGAGCATGTTGGGAACTGAGAAAATCAAGCTAGAGTGCATATTAGCACCATTACTCTGTGTTCCCTGCACAGCAGTCAGCAACCTCATGTGTCATAAATGTAATTTATGAGTGCTATTTGCTTCGAAATATATGTTTTTAGTTCACTCATTAGAATGTAAAAATTTGCAGTGTCTGCTTCAGGAGGTTCAAAATAAATTCACTAAAAGCTGAGACTCATGATGTGTTTTTAACAAATTCCTCAACAATGATTTTTTTTTTAATTGTGACTTTTGTTATTTCTTAAGATAAAAGCAACTGTCTTCCTTTCTGAAGACAAATTTAAGTCTCAATGCTACAATAAATTGTGCACGTTTAGTCATGCTTATATAATTCAGTCTAATTTTTATTGAGTCTTTAATAAACAGAGTCCTCAATTTTGTCTCTTTGTTCCTAAGAAGGTTGGTGGAAACTGCTAAACGCTTTAAAGTTCGGCACATGCAGAGAAGACAGTTGAGAAAATGTCTTGTAAAGCTTTTCATTAGTCTGTCTCTGCGATCCCCTCATTAGTTTTAAAGCTATCCTTGATCTAAATCAGTCCCATTTATATTTCACCTACAAAGAGGCTATGAATGTGCCCTGGATAAATTACCAAGGGACTATAGCAATACCTAGGGAAACTATGCTTAATTGATTCTTAATAATGTCAAAAGGATTCTAGTTCCAGGAATCAGCTGAGTGTAACCAAATTGCACCTTACTAAAACCTCACACCTTTAACAGTGTAAGAATTTACAATAAATTTTTATTTTTCTTTGTTTGAACAACCCATACAGTTCTCCAATTCTAGAACTACAATCTTAACCTTCTAAATAGATGGAATTAACTGAAATACAGTGTGCATGATTCTTCAAGACAATGTGTTGCTGTATTTGTAAACTGCTTAGACAGCTTTCGAACACACCAGTAATTCGAGTATGTTATAACTAAAGAGAGGATTGCTTCTGTCAGCCCCAGAAAACTGACATCCCAGCTTCACTAATGAAGGATCTATTTATGTGGAGTCCAGGGCTATAGCTGATATTGTTTCTCAGGCTAAACCTTGTGCCACTGAGGAAGCAGTTCATCTTGGAGCCAAGGATGACTCCTCCTGAGTCTTCAGCCCTTCAAGGTTTCAATAGGCTTGTTAGGTATAAAGGTAGAATGCAGGAGCATTCCGGCAGTTTTCATGTAGAATAAAATAAGGCATTAAAATGCGTTAATGCAATTATATAGTCCCAATGTTTAGGATTTTCTTTCTACTTAGGGTGCTGTGTTACAATTTTCTACCCATATGTTCTTACTTAGTCCCTTTCACTAGTGGCATGTCATTTTAGGATAGATAGTTGGGTATGGGGAGCTGTTTCTGCCTACAGAACAGAATTTTAATTATGTCTTGCTTTTACTTTATGTGTAGATTTTGTTTTGATTCACATCTGTGGCCTCTAGGAAAATTTGAAATATTGAAATATTATTTCTAGTGTGTAGGGTAATTAGTGCAGCAACTATAGACTTTTGGGGACTTTTTAGCCTCGGTCCAAGAATGAGCCAATACAACCATTTAACTATGTAATTAGGAAATTGAGACTCACTCCAAATAGTTAAGTGATTGGTCCAAGGTCACATAAAGGTGATTGCAAAGACATAATCAACCTGGAGGAAGTACCTGTATCTTTTCTCCCCCAATTTTCAGTAAGTGTTTTCTATGTTCTACTAGGAAAACTGAGAATATCTCTATTTTTGTTGTTGTTATTGTTTGGTTTTTAAAACTGTCATTTTGTTTTAATATAGTTTAATAAACATTTATTTTATGCCCTTGACTAGACACTGAAGGATAGTACTTGGAAAACATATGGACTTGCACTTAAGTTTTCTAGTTTGCTAGGATAGAAAAAAAGACACAAACATTGGTATATTAAATCTCACTTGGCAAATGCTTCGATAGAGATGTGTGCTGGGTGTATTAGAAATATAGAGAGGGCTTTAAGCATCTAAGGATAAAGGAAGAACATGTTTAGAGGAAAGGATTATGAAACAGTATATTGTGTGCTGTAAAATATATATGTCTTTATACTACCAGAGACTCCAGTGGGGAGCAAATGTGTGACAGGAGGTGAGGCATAGGCGCTAAGCCCCATGCCATATATGGGGCATTGGATCAGATAATGAAGGGCCATTGGCCAATTATCCACATGAAGGTGACGTGATCAGATTTTTATGTTAGATTGATCATTATGTGATAATTTAAAGGACAAATAAATGGTACAAAATTTGAGGCAGAGAAACAAGTCAGGAAGCTGTTGATAGGACAGCAATAGTAAGAATAGAGTGGAAAAAACACATATTGAAAAGATTTGGAAAGAAAAGTTTCAGGACTTGAATACATTTTTATATGTAAGATGAGGAATGAGGAGAGAATAATCTCATGTTTTCTAGGCTTCTGATGTATAGGCTAGCTTTATGACGTTTTCACCTGATCGACTGCCTTACCTGCTTTGGCATTTGCTTTACTTTCAAAATGCAAGAACTTCGGTTTGATTTAGTAATTTGAGGGCAGTATAAAATAAGTTAAAACAAGCAACTTTGGAGTAAAAGAAACCTGAATCAAGGCCCTCACTCTGTCATTTTACTTAATAACTGTGCTACTACTTTAGTTACTGGCTATGTTACTTTGGGCAAGATATTAACCTATCTTAGACCCAGTTTTGGAATCTGCAAAATTGTGTTTCTTTGTTAAGACAATGCTATCAATGAGCTGATTTTGTAAGCTGCTTAGTGTGGTGCCTGCAACCTAAGTGATTAAAATGTGGTGTCTATTATTGTTGCTGCTCACTAAGAAGTGAGGTTAAGGGAAACTTCAGATGCAATTGAAGGTGTCAATATAAGCATCTTCTCTCTTGGGATCATGACTGACACTTCTTTTGTCTCCCTAAGCAAAGAGCATTGTGTTGATATAGATCAGGTTCTTTTTTTGTTTGTTTTTTTAAGACGGGGTTTCACTGTGTTGGCCAGGATGGTCTCAATCTCCTGACCTCGTGATCCGCCTGCCTCTTAAGAAATATTTGTCTAATATTTGCAAAAATGAATGAATGTCCCTATCCAACCTCCTGCAGAAAAAGAGGATTCTGACTTACTGTTACAGTCATGTATTTAAACTGAAAGAAAATGTTACTTGCAGTACTGCATGCTCTGCTAAATGTTAAACGACAAGCAGAGCTTCCAATAATGAAATTGGGGAATGCCATCACTCCACAGGTACGAAAGCCAGTTCATTGCAATTCAGCACTATAGCACAGGGACTGGGCTGCTTAATTTAGTGCTATCATCATTGTTTTTATAAGAAAAGAGACTTAAAATTGGAAATAGCCACTTACCACTTTTCCTGGAGTGCCCTTGTTCCAGGAATGGGTAAGTGGTTTCTTTGGACCCTCACTGACATCTAGGTTACACGTACCAACTTTCTACATTACAGAAACCTCGTAACAGATTACAGCTGTCATACTGGTAAAAGTGAGGATAATTTTCCATTTCTGAGTGTAAAGGTGAGGCTGAGTCACTATAAAATTTACCCTCCATTTAGAAAAATTTTTCAAAGTAAAAATAGAAATCTTCTGGAGATCTTATTTTGGCCTTAGTTCTACCCTTCACATTATTCCAAAGTGTTTTCAAATGGTTGTGCAAGCAGTCAATAAAGTTTTTAAAATGAATAGCTGTGTATTAATTGGGTAGCCCCACTGCACATAACATAATAATATGGTAGGAGCACTATATACAGCCTATTAGATGCCACAACACTAGTCACCTAATGCGCACACAACAAAGCATCAACTGAAAAAAGGCAATGATTGAGAAACTTTTCAGAATGCTTAGGGAAGATTCAAGTATAAAGTGACTTATAGTTGTAAGCTGTCTAGTTTTTTACCAAACAGACTTAACCTCAAGGTCTTCATTTCATGTCTTAAATGACACTCTCAAAATACAGAATACCATATGGCAGCAGATTTCACTGCCATAGCTAAAAAAGTGCCTACCTCACTAACTCTGACAGCACCAAGTTATGGCTCCTTTATAAACTTGGCGGTGCTTCTAGAATTCTCATTCAACTAGAAATAAAATGATCTCAGTGAACACTTGACCCAAGATCAAGTGTCAAGAGGTGAAAACTAATGTCTAGGGAAGTTCCTGTGTTTAAGATTTCCCTTCTGCTGCTCACTCGCAAACACATGTATGTACCATTTGGCATTCCGTGTATTATGATTGCATGTTACTTTGTCAGTTCTCCTTTATTGAAATAATTTAGGATGTATATTTGTGTGTCAATGTTCTATCTATCTATATATATATGTGTCTGTCTACCTGTGATATTTTGTCATTTTTTAAGCATTAGAACACTGAAAGAGTACCTGACACATAGTAGGAAATCTATAAATAATACCATGTGTTTAATGGAAGGAATTCATTTATATACTTAAGTGTTTTAAGATATGGTTTGTCAGAATAAAATATGTAGGTATCTTGTAGGAAAATTACCATATCTTATGAGCAATAAAGCCACTGAAGAACTTCCATTTTAAGATTATGGACTGAGTCCATGCTTCCAGCTTTCTACTCCTCTAGATCCCTGGAAATGATTGATCTGATGAGATACTTTATAAACCACAGCTGTGCAGAAAAACAAGCAGTGTGCCTCTTAACCAAAAACTCATATGAAAAATCCCACTAGATATATAGAAGACAAGATCAGATTGAAACTTTTGACAAATGTAACAAAATATTATAATATTAAAATTAGTTTATTTCTGTCTCAGTTTCAGCTAAGGACCCAAAAGAAGAGAATAAGATATTTGTTAAGAATACTTACCTCATTATTTGGGTGATGGTTACACTACAAGTCCAGATTTCAACACTACACAATATATCCAGGTAACAAAATTCCAATTGCACCCCTTAAATATGTAGAAATAATTTATAAAATAGCTTAAAAAATAATACTTACCTCCTAAAGTCTGAAGTGTTATGTGAAACCTTGCAGGAAGGGCATGCTGCAGAATTATAAAGTGTGTTCTGCCATATATTGCTTCCCACTAAACTGCAATGAGAATTGATGGGAGAGACCTGTGTGGAGGAATTATCTGAAGATGCTGGTCAGTATCCATTCTGAGAGAAGCAGGGCATCTGAAAGGAGGAGCACTGTGTGTGTTCAGAAAGCTTGGATATATCTTCTCTGGAGTTTAAAGGCGTGGACAGGTGTTTGACATATAGGCGAGTTCTAATGATGTTTGATTGACTTGAGCTGGCAGAGAAAAGAGAAGGAAGGCTGTTAAGAGAAAACTGCTTCCTACTGGTGACTTGTTTTCCTAGGGACCAGATGTGGGCCCATGTGAGGAATCCAATTTGGAGTTGCTTTCAAAGGAAAACTGCCCAAGAAAAAGTCTTGAAAACTGTGAACTATCCCAAACTAAGTAAGGGATATTTTGCTAAAAGCCCAGGGGAGGGGAGAAATTTTAAGTGGCCAGCTGGAGGAGATTATGTCCCATAGCCTAGGAACTGCAAATCAAGGTCTCCAAGGGCACTGCAAATGCAACCCCAGAAAGGAAGAGTTGTTTTTGGAATTGTATAATACCCAGAAGGCTCTGTTGCCAGATCATAATGGAAGACCCTATATGCTACTTTCTTACCTCTCTCTCTCCTAGAATCAGACTCGGGAGGATCCCAAACAATCTAGGCGAGAGTATGACAGATGAGAAAATTGAATTAGAGTTTGGACAATTGTCGTATTAATTTAAGTTTGATTTAGATGTTTTTAATACTTGGAAAAAAGAGTTGTTTAATATGTAACAACAGCAACAAAAAGCTGTTGGATCTCCTTGAAATTTTATCTGAAAGGCAGGACTGAGTTGGTGTACTGAGAAGATTGGAAGGTAAAAACCAGTAGGTTAACTGATTGTGTTGTTTCTTATGTGCCCTTCAACATTCAACTAACTCCATAAATTGTCCATATATTTATAGGAAAATAATGTTGCAGAAAAAAGCTCCTTGCCTAAAGTGGAGGAATCTTGGCACGATAAGTAATTCAGTTCCAATTAACATGAATACAAGATGCAGTTCTACAGTAAGATAAACTCTTATGTGTGTATGTATACCTATAAACACGTGCATCCACGCACATGTCATAGGCCAGGCAGCTCTAAAAAGATGGAGATTTAGGAGATTTAGGTTGATTTAGGAGATCCTGTAGGATACAGGACAGTGGTAGCGTGGGAAGCTAATTTCTAGGAAAAGCCCTCACACTAAGGACTACCACCTGAGCATTCCTCGCCAATGAAGAATGGAGGAGGGAGAATGTCTTCCTTTTCCATTCTCGATTCTCCCTCTAAATGAGCCAAAATATAATCCGTGACAGAACATCACATCCCGACCTCCAATCAAAGTTCCACAAGTAGTTTCAGGAGACAGCCTAATATGAATACCCTGGTGGTAATTACTAACTATTTAAGGAAAGGCAACACCATAACAAAGGTGCACCATTAACAAGTGGTGTAATTACTATCAGAGAAAACAAAGTCAAAAGAACAGTTACAACAGATTCTAAAATGAACATTTTTTTTATTCTGAGAGAGATATGGACCATTCAAAAAGCCAATAAATATTATAAAATTAAGTTTTATTTATATCGAATACAAAAGAAAAAGTAGATGAAATAAAATAGCAGGATAGTTATAGCTGAAAATTATCGAACAGGAAATTGGGTAGAACTGTTCTAAAATAATAGAACATATAGAAGTTTAAAAAATGGATGAATAGGCCAGGCACGGTTCCTCACACCTGTAATCCCAGCACTTTGGGAGGCTGAGGTGGGTGGATCACCTGAGGTCAGGAGTTCGAGACCAGGCGGATCACCTGAGGTCAGGAGTTCGAGACCAGCCTGGTCAACATGGTGAAACCCTGTCTCCACTAAAAATACAAAAATTAGCCGGGTGTGGTGGTGGATGCCTGTAATCCCAGTTACTCGGTAGACTGAGGCAGGAGAATCACTCGATCTTGGGAGGCGGAGGTTGCAGGGAGCTGAGATCGTGCCATTGCACTCCAGCTTGGGCTACAAGGGCGAAACTCCATCAGAAAAAAAAAAAAGGATAAATAAAGAAATATAAGGGATATGAAGGATTGATTAACTTGAGAAATTTTTTTATAGTTAGTATTAGGCTAGAAAATAAAATTCCCCAAATTTCAGTGGCCTATCACATTGAGCTTTGACTTCTCAGTCTCCCAAATCTGCCCCATGTCCAGGCTGCTCTTCAGAGCAGTGTTCCATCATCTGCCAGCTTTGTAATTCAGACAAAAGGAAGTACGGGATCATAATGGCACCATGCACCACCTGCTCAATGCTTCCACTGGAGAGTTCATTGCCCACAGCAAGGTACATGGCCAATTCTAATTTCAGGGATGGAGAGATGCACTCCTTGGTTGTGTCTGAAAAGAAAGAAAGCATCACAGTGTCCAGATGGGTCAGAGAGGGAGAATGGACAGAGGTAATATTCAGAGATATAATAAAAAATGTTGTCTTAGAACTGTAGCCAAACATTTGTCTTCATGTGAAAAGAATTCATAAAAGTTTACACTATATGCCTAGCACTGTTCTGAATGCTAGACGTCACCTGTGTTTCAACAGTGATCAAAAGAGACACAAGCTTTGACCTCATGGCATTCAAGTTATAATAGAAGAAAACAAATAACATTGGCAAGTGGTTGACAAGTTTGATCAAGATAAAAACAAAAAGAGCGTAAATAGCAAAGAATTATAGAATACATAATTATAGAATATAACTTCAAAAATAAAAAGTATTACAAAACTAATAAGGAATATTCAGAGGTATTTACCAACAATTTGGAAATTATTACATTACTACTGGAGAATGTAAAATTCCACTATCAGTATAAAGAAAAGTAGTATTAGAGCCAAAGAGAAAAGTAAAACGCTTCTCAAGGTCAGTAATCAGTATAACCTTTCCCCGTGATTTATCCAACAACAGAGATTTCCTTAATTTTTTGTATTTAACTGTTCACATAAAAGAATTATCTGTTTATTGAAATGTTAAGAATTAAGTTCATAGCCACATGGGTAAGTAGTTCTTTTGTTTTACACATGGCCCATTCATATTTCTCAATATATTCTTGAAACCCTGTTATATTTTTAGTTTCCAGATAATTTTCCATTTAATTTAAATGTATATATCATGTGGTATATATACTGTCTAAAACAAAAAAGATCTGTATCTCATAATTTGTTTTCTCCCTATTTTTTACTATTTGTGTTTATTCTTTTCTCTTGATTAGCTTTGCTAAAAACTATCCTGATTTTATTATTTTTACAGTTTAACCTCTCATATTCTCTTACTTTTATCTATTTGTCAACAGCACTTTTATATATTTTTTGTTGCTGCTTTCAGAGATTATTTCTTAATTATTATTATTATTTTATTTTACTTTAAGTTCTGGAATATATGTGCAGAACGTGCAGGTTTGTTACATAGGTATACATGTGCCATGGTGGTTTGCTGCACTTATCAACCTGTCATCTAGGTTTTAAGCCCTGCATGCATGAGGTATTTGTCCTAATGCTCTCCCTCCCCTTGCCCCACATCCCCCTACAGGCCCCAGTGTGTGATGTTCCCCTCCCTGTGTCCGTGTATTCTCATTGTTCAATTCCCACTTATGTGTAAGAACATGCAGTGTTTGGTTTTCTGTTCCTGTGTTAGTTTGCTGAGAATGATGGCTTCCAGCTTCATCCATGTCCCTGCAAAGGACATGAGCTCATTCTTTTTTGTGGCTGCATAGTATTCCATGGTGTATATGTGCTGCATTTTCTTTATCCAGTCCATCATTAATGGGCATTTGGGTTGGTTCCAAGTATTTGCTATTGTAAATAGTGCTGCAATAAACATACATGTTCATATGTCTTCATAGTAGAATGATTTAAAATCCTTTGTGTGTATACACACAGTAAAGGGATTGCTGGGTCAAATGGTATTTCTGGTTCTAGAGCCTTGAGGAATCACCACACTGTCTTCTACAATGGTTCAACAAATTTGCACTCCCACTAATTGGGTAAAAGCATTCCTATTTCTCCATAGCCTTGACAGCATCTGTTGTTTCCTAACCTTTTAATAATCACCATTCTAACTGGTGTGAGATGGTATCTCATCGTGGTTTTGATTTGCATTTCTCTAGTGACCAGTGATGATGAGCTTTTTTTCATATGTTTCTTGGCCACATACATGTCTTCTTTTGAGAAGTGTCTGTTCATATCCTTTGCCCACTTTTTGATGTTTTTTTTTTCTTGTAGATTTGTTTAAGTTCCTTGTAGATTCTGTATATTAGACCTTTGTCAGATGGTTAGCTTAAAAAAATTTTCTCCCATTCTGTAGGTTGCGTGTTCACTCTGATGATAGTTTCTTTTGCTGTGCAGAAGCTCTTTAGTTTGATTAGATCCCATTTGTCAATTTTGGCTTTTGTTGCAATTTCTTTTGGTGTTTTAGTCATGAAGGCTTTGCCCATGCCTATGTCCTGAATGCTGTTGCCTAGGTTGTCTTCTGGAGTTTTTATGGTTTTGGTTTTTATATTTAAGTCTTTAATCCGTCTTGAGTTAATTTTTGTATAAGGTGTAAGGAAGAGGTCCAGTTTCTGTTTTCTGCCCATGGCTTCTGCTTTCAATATTTAGTGTTTCCTTAAGGAGGTCATGTAAGGCTGGCCTGGTGTGACAAAATCCCTCAGCATTTGCTTGTCTGGAAAGGATTTTATTTCTCCTTCGCTTATAAAGTTTAGTTTGGCTGGATATGAAATTCTGGGTTGAAAATTCTTTTCTCTAAGTATGTTGAATATTGGCCCCCAATCTTTTCTTGCTTGTAGAGTTTCTGCAGAGAAATCCTCTGTTAGTCTGATGGGCTTCCCATCAGACTAACCTGACCTTTTGTCTCTGGCTACCATTAACATTTTTTCCTTCGTTTCAGCCTTGGAGAATCTGACGATTATGTGTCTTGGGGTTGCTCTTATCAAGGAGTATCTTAGTGGTGTTCTCTGTATTTCCTGAATTTGAATGTTGGCCTGTCTTGCTAGGTTGGGGAAGTTCTCCTGGATGACATCCTGAAGTATGTTTTCCAGCTTGGTTCCATTCTCCCCGTCACTTTCAGATACACCAATCAACCGTAGGTTTGGTCTTTCCACATAGTCCCATATTTCTTGGAGGCTTTGTTTGTTCCTTTTCATTCTGTTTTCTCTATTCTTGTCTTCACACCTTATTTCAATAAGTTGATCTTCAATTTCTCATATCCTTTCTTCCTCTTGATCAATTCGGCTATTGATACTTGTGTATGCTTCACCAAATTTTCAGGCTGCATTTTTCACCTCCACCAGGTCATTTATGTTCCTCTCTAAACTGGTTATTCTAGTTAGCAGTTTCTGTAACCTTTTTTCAAGGTTCTTAGCTTCCTTGCTGGGTTATAACATGCTCCTTTAGCTCATAGGAGTTTGTTATTACCCACCTTCTGAAGCCTACTTCTGTCAATTCATCAATCTCATTCTCCGTCCAGTTTTGTGCCCTTGCTGGAGAGGAGTTATGATCATTTGGAGGAGAAGAGCCATTCTGGTTTTTAGGAATTTTCAGTGTCTTTGCCCTGGTTTTTCCTCATCTTCAGAGATTTATCTACCTTCGATCTTTGTGGCTGATGACTTTTGGATGGGGTTTTTGTGTGGGGATACTTTATGTTCATGTTGATGACGTTGCTTTGTGTTTATTAGTTTTTCTTCGAACAGTCAAGCCCCTCTTCTGCAGGTCTGTTGCAGTTTGCTGGAGGTCCACTCCAGACCCTGTTCACCTGGGTATCACCAGCGGAACTGCAGAACAGCAAAGATTGGTGCCTGCTCCTTCCTCTGAAAGCTTCATCCCAGAGGGGCACCGGCCTGATGCCAACCAGAGCTCTCCTGTATGAGGTGTCTATCAACCCCTTTTGGGAGGTTTCTCCCATTCAGGAGGCACAGGGTCAGGGACCCACTTGAGGAGATAGTCTGTCTCTTAGCAGGGCTGGTGTGCTGTGCTGTGAGAATCCCTCTTGTCAGGATCAGTTGCTCTCTTCAGAGCCAGCAGAAAGGAACAATCAAATCCGCTGAAGCTGTACCCACAGACTCCCCTTCCCCCAGGTGCTCTGTCCCAGGGAGATGGGGGTTTTGTCTGTAAGTCCCTGACTGGGGCTGTTACCTTTCCCTCAGTGATGCCCTGCCCAGTAAGGAGGAATCTAGAGAAGCAGTCTGGCCACAGCCACTTCGCTGTGCCCAGCCCAGACCTCCCAGCCTCCTTAGCACTCTCAGGGGAAAACTGCCTACTCAAGCCTCAGTAATGGTGGACACCCCTCCCCACACCAAGCTTGGTAGTCCCACATTGACTTCAGACTGCTGTGCTGGCAATGAGAATTTCAAGCCAGTAGTTCTTAACTTGCTGGGCTCCGTAGGAGTGCCACCCACTGAGCGAGACCACTTGGCTCCCTGGCTTCAGCCCCCTCTCCAGGGGAGTGAATGCTTCTGTCTCACTGGGATTCCAGGCACCACTGGGGTATGAAAAAATACTCCTGCAGCTAGCTCGGTGTCTGCCCAAACTACCGCCCAGTTTTGTGCTTGAAACCCAGGGCCCTGGTGGTATAGGCACGTGAGGGAATCTCCTGATCTGCAGATTGCAAAAACCATGGGAAAAGCGTAGTAACCCGGCCAGGAACACAGTCCCTCATGGTTTCCCTTGGCTTAGGGAGGGAGGTCCCCAGCTCCTTGCAATTCCCTGGTAAAGTAACACCCCACCCTGCTTCTGCTCACCCTCCATGGGTTGGACCCACTGTCTAACCAGTCCCAATGAGATGATCTGGTTACCTCATTTGGAAATGCAGAAATCACCCACCTTCGGTGTTGGCCTTGCTGGGAGCTGCAGACCAGAGCGATTCCTATTCGGCCATCTTGGCCCCTCCCTTTTTGTAATTATTTCTTTTCTTTTGTGTTCTTAATTTTATTTTGTGGATCTTTAATTTCTTAAATAAAATCTTAATTATTTTCATTCCGTTTTAAAACTAATTCAATTATTTAAAGTTTTGTGTATCCAAAATAAAATTTTAACACTTTTTTTTATATACTATAATCTGCAGCATTCTTTTTTCTTTTCTGATATTGAAGTTCTGCTTTTTCCCCAGTAATTATGTTGGTAGGGATTTCTTTTTAACTTTCAGGTGATAAATCTGGTTATCATACTTTTAAAAAGTATTTATCTCTTGATTTCTTCAATTGTCATCAAATAATGTAGATTATGAAAATTTTAACTTTTAGGCTGAAAGAAAGCTGTTCTTATGGCCTAGAACATGAGTCATTTTGTAAAAGATGTGCAGACAATACAAAATAATTATCCTCACATTATAGCATGCAATGTTTTATGTATTATAGACATTAATTCAATCCAATTCCCTATCTTACTTTTTTTTTGTACAGGTGAACTGTTACAATTAAAAGAAGGTGTAACTCCTGGAAAATTGACTGTTTATAAAACTTGCCCATTTTTGTAGTTGATATTATGTTATATAAATCATAAAGGGTGATTACTATTATGTTTTCATTTGTACCTACAACCTTTTAATATGAAGTTTTCCATTTAGTATTATTTAATACATTGCCTCCAATTTATCATTTTAGACAACGTTCAGCATTCCTATTGCTGTTGCTGTTCTTTTTATGTTTCTCACGAAGCAAAAATTTATAAAAATCTCTCAAACAAAAGAGAGTGTACCACAAGAAGACACCTGCATTGAAACCCAATCTAAGAACCCCTTAGAACAGAAGTTTACAAACTTTTTCTCTAAAGTAAAACAAACAAACAAAAAAAACCCACACGTGTTTCTATTCACTATTTAAGGCTTTACAAGCAAAGTCAAAATTAGGAATAATATAAATGTACTTACATAAGAGAGAAAACCAGTTTTCACAAAATTCAAAATGTAGTAATTGAACAAAATATTTTATTATACAGATTGACTAATAAGAAGAATAGGATTATTTTCTGAGGAGACAGCATTTTGCTTAATTGGGGTTCAGAGTTAGTTTCCCATCATGAAAATCAATTGTTAATTGCAGATGTTCATCTGTTAATAATGATCTGTTATGAGATTTTACATATTCCGTCTTTGAATATGAAATGTGTGTTCTTTCACAAAGCATGTCTTATAACACCGTGGTTTAACTGTAGTGATGTGATCACCACATACAGTTTCTGTCACAAATATTCCACTCTGCCATGATAGCATAAAAACTGCCATGAACAATTCATAAATGAATGGATGTGGTATGTTCTAATAACTTCGTTTATGAACTCCGAAATTTTAATTTAATTTGATTCTTATGTGTCACCAGGTATTTTTTTATTTGGGTTTTTAAAATAATTTAAACTTGTTAAACTATTATTGGTTTGTGAACGGTACAAAAATAGGATGTGGGCTGTATCTGGCCGATGTTCTGTGAATTGCTGAGCCATTCTTTAGAAACAGGAATTCCTGATGAATGCCTCCTTTTCAATCTTTCATGGGCCACTTACTGTTTTTCTCATGATGTCTCTGCTTCTCTCAAATTTTCATTTCCTGATACTATTTTTCAGACTTCTCATCCCCTCCTCAAAATACCTTTTCTCTTTCTTATCCCTTTCTTCTTAATTTCTCTTTTCATCTTTATTTTATTTTATTTTTTGTAGAGACAAGATCTCACTATGTTACCCAGGTTGGTCCCCAACTCCAGGACTCAAGCAATCCTTCTGGGAACCTTGGCCTTGCAAAGTACTAGGATCATAGGTGTGAAGCACTGTGCCAGGCCATTCTTATTAATAATTTCTTAATGTCTTCTCCTTCATGTTGCATTTCCTGTTTGCCTCCCTTATGAGCATGCCCTCATTCTGCTTCACAGAATTTATTTGGCTTTAGTTGCTACCCTGCATTGCCCCATTAACTCAGCTGTATTTCCTAATTCAAATTACTAAGACAGAGGGAATTTGATTGCTCTCATTTATTATCCCATAATTTTCATGTCATACATAAATCACAGATATTCCCAAGAAATGGTTGTCCCTGAGTCCAGAGTACATCCTCAGCCTAACGAACCATAAGGAAGTGGTAGTGGGTCTCCTTCAGTCCTATTTATGGCCACCTCCTTAACATGGGCCATGTAGCAGACATGTCTACTTAGAAGGAACCTCAAAGTGAGACAGGCATTTTGAGGCTCAATTTGTCCCATGCCTTTTTTTTTTTTTTTTTTTTTTGAGATGGAGTCTCACTGTTGTCGCCAGGCTGGAGTGCAATGGGGCGACCTCGGCTCACTGCAACCTCAGCCTCCTGGGTTCAAGCAATTCTTCTGCCTCAGCCTCCCAAGTATCTGAGATAACAGACGCCTGCCATCACGCCCGGCTAATTTGTGTATTTTTAGTAGAGACAAGATTTCACCATGTTGGCCAGGCTGGTCTCAAACTCCTGACCTCAGGCAATCAACCCGCCTTGGCCTCACAAAGTGCCGGGATTACAGGCGTAAGCATGCACTTTCTTTTGTTGTTTATATTTGCATGTCATATTTCATCCAATCCTTTCATTTTAGATTTTCTGAATCACTTTGATGTTAGGTGTGCTTTTTGTCAAATATTACGTGGTTACCTCACCCTTGGTATCTTTGTCTTTAACGGGTTTCCTGACCTTGCACTATGGTTATCATTTACTCTTCTTGGTGGCTTTTATAATCATCTTGCCAATTCTCATAAAGTTGTAGTTGTAATTTTGTTTTTTTAATTAATTTGGAGATAAGTGACATCTTCACCAAATTTTATCTTTTCATCTCGAAACCTAATGGAACATTTTATTTATTAAGGCCTCAGGATATTGGGTGCAATCCTGCAGTTTATTTTTATTGTTACTTCTATTTTAAATAAGATAGTTTTACTGAATTTTTTAATTTTACAAAATTGTTGATTAATCATATATATGGAATATATGCATACAAACATGCACACAAACACACAAACACACACACAGTTGCCCTTGTATATCCATGGGGATTCAAATCCAGGACCCCTGAATCCCTTATATAAAATGGCATGTAGAATTTTTGTATAATCTACATACATTCTTGCATATCCTTTTTTGTTTTTTTTCTTTTTTTTTGGAGACAGAGTCTCACTCTGTCACCCAGGCTGGAGTGCAGAGGCGTGATCTCAGCTCACTGTAGCCTCCGCCTCACGGGCTCAAACAATTCTCCTGTCTCAGCCTCCGGAGTAGCTGGGATTACAGTTGCCCACCACCATGCCCAGCTAATTTTTGTATTTTTAGTAGAGGTGAGGTTTCCCCATGTTTTAAATCAACTCTAGATTACTAAAAATGTTTAATAGAAAGTCTACACATTGCTTCATTCACTTGGATTCAAATTCAAGGTTGGTGTTATGAAACTTTGTGGAATTTTTTTTTCTGATTATTTTCATTCCACAATTGGTTGAATAATCAGATGTGGAACCCACAGATATGGAGGACCAACTATATATATATTTTTTTTTTCTGCTCTTATTTCAATTGTCTAGAACCTCCACAGTCGTATGTAAAAATAGTGGTGATATTATGCCTCTTTTTTTATGAGAATGTTTTCTATGTTCATTCCTTTTTCCCATTCAGTGAAAATTTTTGAGTGTTTAGCGGATGTCCTCGGATTTGGAATTCTAGTGAAAACACCAGTGAAAAATACCTTGGCCTTTCGAGTCTGCAGTCTAGTGAGGGAAACAGCCACAATAAATGTAATAAATAGGTAACCATACAATATCTTAGCTGTAGAAAATAAAGGGTAGAGCAAGGTCTAGGGGATTATGAGAAGGAAATGAGATGAGGGACTACAATTTCAAAAAAGTGTGGTCCAAGTAGAACTCATGGAAAATGATCACTTCTCAGTTATCCCAAAGATCTCAAATTGAAATGTCGAGCTGCTGCAAATCCCACGGTAGGAGACCATACAACTACCAGGAGAATGGCACAAGTGAGGTTTTGGAACTTAGAATAAACCTCTTACCATCACTGAAAATGTTGTCATTAATGAAGCTGGAAGTATGTTGTGACTTTTGATATGTTTCCACCAATGAAACAGTGTTGATAGAACACAGCGGCTCGACATAGTTAATATAGTTTGTATGTTGTCCTTGCCAAAATTTTATGTTGAATTTTACTCTCCAATGTTGACGGTGTGGCCTGGTGGGAGATGTTTGGATCATAGGAGCAGTTTCTCATGAATAATTTAGCACCATCCTCTTGGTACTGTCCTCAAGATAATGAGTTAGTTCTTGCAAGATCTGGTGGTTTAAAAGTGTGTGGCACCTCCACTCTGTCTCTTGTTCTTGATCCCACCATGTGAGATACCTGCTCCTCCTTCACCTTCTGCCAAAGCTGTAAGCTTCCTGGGGCATCCCCAGAAGCAGATGCCAGTGTTATGCTTCCTGTACAGCCTGAAGCACCAGAACCATGAGCCAATTAAACCTCTTTTCCTATAAATTACCCAGTCTCAGGTATTTATAGCAATGTAAGTATGGCCTAATACAACAGCATAGACTTATTATTTTTGACCTTGGTCTTCTGAGAAATGAGAGTAAATGGACACCTAGTAGAAAGCTCTCCTTTGGTTCTGATGGCCTAATGCTGAAAAGCATTTTTTTTTTTCTTGTTACTTTTTCTTTCCTTTTTTGTTTTAACACCAGTTCCTCACCCACATAGCTGGGGAAAAATTCCTTCTGCATTTTGCTAATATTTTCAATTAGGAGGATCATGCCTTTCAAAATCCAAATGAACTGTAATATCAGCACTATTTAAAAATGTTTTTAATTCTAATTTTTGGTTACTTTGTGAATCATGTATACATATCTTTAAATAAAGTTGGGAGAAGGCAGGAGTTACTTGCCAAAAGCAATTTTAATGTAGGATATTTTAATTATTACTTCAGCCTGAAATATTCATTAGTTCTATTGTTCTTTAATATTCATAACATCAGAATAGTTTAAGTGCTAATATGCACATTATATAACTTCTTTTTACTGTATAAAGTGATTATGATAGTGGAATATGCAAATTTTTGTCCATTTTTATTGACAAATTCGAACTTGTTACGTAAAAAAAGTTAAACTTGATTCTATTTTTACATTTTGTTTAAACCATTTTCAGATACTATTTTTATATGTAGAAGAATAAGCACATAAATCTTTGAATTTAGTAAAGATACTCTAAAATTAGGCATGCTGAGTTTTAAGATAGTTTAATTAATAGATTATGAATTCAATAAAATATATTAGGTTTTAAAACATATTTTTGAGGGCTTTTAAAAATTAATTAGACTTTGGGAGGAAGAATTGTAAGAAATAGATAAAATTCCATATTACTAAAAAGATGTCAAATAAGCAAGTTTATATATTGAAAACCTAATTGTGAAACTGAAATGCTTAAGTATTTTATTTAAACACCTAAAATACTATTCCATAGCTATTTTTATCTCAGTTTAACTGAAAGTTTGTCTTTGAAAGCTTTTCTCCTACAATTAGATTACATTTCAGCTGGGAAAATTCCAGATTTTTTCTGACTCACTCAATGTAAGTTTTATTCCCAAATTTTAATCTTTCATGGTCTTAATATACTGTTGCAATCAGTGGCATAAGTTTAAACTTATATTTCCCTCACCTAATTGAAGAATACAGTTGGCTGTAAATCTTGAAATAAACTGCATGAAAGTCAAAAGAAAGGAAGCAGATGGAGTGCTAAAAGTAATAACTAGGCTGGGTGCGGTGGTTCACGCCTGTAATCCCAGCACTGTGGGAGGCCAAGGCAGGTGGATCATTTGAGGTCAGGAGTTTGAGACCAGCATGGCCAACATGGTGAAACCGTGTCTCTACTAAAAATACAAAAATTAGCTGGGCATGGTGGT
Source organism: Homo sapiens (assembly GCF_000001405.40). NCBI lineage: Eukaryota > Metazoa > Chordata > Mammalia > Primates > Hominidae > Homo > Homo sapiens. The sequence continues at coordinate 78,113,032 of NC_000008.11, forward strand.
GCATGCCTGTAATCCCAGCTACTCGGGAGGCTGAGGCAGGAGAATCGCCTGAGCCTGGGAGGCAGAGGTTGCAGTGAGCCGAGATTGTGCCGCTACACTCCAGTCTGGGCGACAGAATGAGACCCTGTCTCAAAAAAAAAAAAAAAAAAGTAACAACTAATTAAACTATGCATATACTCACATGATAAATTATTTTAGTCACAATTACAATTTAGTTTGTTTCATCACATCTATTGTTCACACATTTGCTTTTGAACAGAACAAAAATGCAGTCATTCCTGCTCTACCACATTTAATCACAATATAATCAAAGACAAGGTTTACCCTGTGGCAAGGTGGTAACTTCACTATCAGTGGAAGGCACAAAAATACTGTAACCACCATGGCTAAAATATAAATAAATGTTAGTATCCTGAATTAGTATGATGAACTGAACACATTGGTCAAGGAAACAGAAAAATGGACAAATCATTTTTTCTAATTTTTATACATTATTTTCATCAATAACTATAAAACGAATGTAGCCAGCAAATTCAGTAAACCAAATGTATGAAAATCTACTGGGATTTAAATGTTTAAATGTGTTGTTAGAATATGTGTGATCAGTTAAATCACTCTCTGATGTGTTGATTTTTCAAGTAGATGTGAGACAATTGATAAATTTAATATTAAGATTCACACTGATATTTAATAAGCATTATAATGTTAAATCAGAGCAAATATTTCAGTCATAAAAAAGTAAAAAATAAAATGCAAAAGTCATCAGCCCTCCCCCCCAATTAGTGACAGGAATAAAGAAGGTTAAAATATTTAATCTTCATTCTCTTTTTTGTATGACTTTATTTCTTTGCAACATATGCAGGAAATGCAAGAAAACAAAAGATATTTACTTATCAGAGTTGTGTATGAAACAAAAAAGTGCCCTGTCTCCCATGGACGGACAGTAAATGTGCATAAGACTAGTGAAGATTCTTGGGTTCAAAAAATATTCTTAGGATTAATTTTCTTTCAAAAAATAATTTTACTTCATTTGCTAGAGCTTTATGTAATTATAGACATTAATCATTTTGCATTTGTACAAGCTAGGGGATCAATTTATGCATTTTAATTGTTAGCACAAATAAAGTCTATATATTTAATGTGCTTGTTTCAGAGTAAAAATTGACAGCTAAGATTAAAAGAAAATCTTAAGCAAGCTGTTTACATAAAACAACAGAGAAATCCAATTATATTTTTAATATAATATAATTAATATGAAAACAATACTAAGATGAGTCCTTGCAAATGCTCAGGAAAGCTTGACTGCTGTATCACTTGAAAAAAGAAGTGTCTATGTGTCTTTGGATTACTTCTAGAATATGGATTTTCACCAGTGAAAGTTAACTCTCATTCTTAGTAGTCGATGTATCTGAGATCATTCTACATATACAGAACAGATTTTTGAAATATTAGGCAAAGAGGAATTCAAATTATAGAAAAGCCCTACTTCCAAATTTTAATTTAATATATAACATTGTGGTAGAAGTACAAATGAACAACAGTTCATAGATTTATGAGTAATTCAAGAGGAATAAAGAACATGAGCCAAAAACAAGTGAAATTTTAATATTTGGAAATGTAGAACTTGAAATGTTTTTGAAAGAATGTGGAATACAATGGCATATTTGAGATGAAAAACTGTCTCTTGTATACACCCATCTTTGATCAATCACAGCTTCTTCCCTCCCTGCCTCATGATCCTCTGTTGAATACCTTCTCCCCACTGTCATCTACCTTCTTTCTCAAGGGTTCGTCCATGCTCCTGTGGTTCTTCTAGGTGCATCCTGATAGCTCAGAACAGCCATGAGGCAGGCAACTGAAGCTTGAGCTCTTCCCTATGCAGTAGCACATTACACCGCTCCTTTCCTTTCTTGCTGATGGAAACAGAAAGTTAATCATGAAATACTGTCTGGGCTTGCCTGTCTGTGACCATTCATGGCAAAGAATGAACCTGACTAAGCAATAAAATAAATAAATAAACAAATCACACTGATTGGTTTAATATGAATTATCTTAACAACTTGCATATTCATAAAAAACTTCAAGATTAATAACCATTGCTTAAAGCCTCTTTTATAATAAAAATAAACCACCACTTGATCATGCTTGACAGTTTGAAAAACATATTCACGTATTTTATGGATCATAGTTATTCGCTTACCTAAAGATGTTGCCAAAGTTCAACCCTGGTCAGTTAAAACAAGAGCAGTTGACACAGTGTGTGCCTGAGGAACCAGCACTTAAGCTAGCACTCTCACCTCTCTTCAGATTTGTTACCTGCTCACCACGGGGCAGGCCTGTGCTACATGCAAGGAATTCAGGGACAGATAAAACATGGCCCCTTTCCTTGAGGAGTTCACAATCCACCAGGGGAAAAAAGACACATAGACACTAATTTTGAATACTATGTAATATGAAACCTGTCCTGATAGAGGAACGCCTTAGGCACTACCAGAGGACAGATGTTACTCACAAGTAAGTGTGTGTGTCTTTAGGGGCAAATCCTTCATGGAGAGGTGATGCCTTACTTGAATTTTAAGACGATAAAGAAAAGAATAATAGTAGGTGAATTAGAAGGGAATGACTGAGCCAGAAGATGGTGGACCTATACAAAAAAAATAAAATGATATAAAGTAAAATAAAATAAAAGTAAAAGTGTATGCAGGGGGAAACACAGAATTCCTTACTACAGGAACATGAAGCAAAAAGGGTAGGTTCAGGATGAAGTTGGAGAGAAATGTAGAGATAAGATCAAAGAGGATTTTATCACCACCAGCAAGGATTTGGAGACTTAATCAATATAAGCAAATTACAATGTTTATCATTTTAGATAGAATCCTTATAATTTAAAAGGAGAATGAATTTTAGGGAGACAAAACTACTCATGAACGTATAATAAAAGTTATAATTAAAAATACTACAGGAGACAAAATTAAGAAAAGACACCCTCCAACTCCCTAGGTCTCAGGCAATACATTTGATAAGAAAAATAATTACATGCATTGGCACGTGCAAACAGACAATCTAGTTACAACAGGGAACAAAATGAGTCATATATCTATTAAGTGCTTGCTATTAAGCCTTGTCTGAAATGATTAAAGAACATGTCATAGAGGAATTCAAATATAAAAAATTGCTAGGATTGTCATTGAGGACAGGAAGAGGAAGAATATTTCAGAGAGCAGATGGAATACACAAACATGAAGAGTGGAAAATAAAAAAAAATAAATTTCTGTGTTGGAAAAATGAGGAAGTCTGTCTAGCTAGACAGATAGCAGACAACTGCCAATTCTGCTAGGTCATTACTGAAAACAGGATTCCAATTTCTCACCAATAGAAAATGCAGTCATAGCCTCTCTGTGAACAAGCCACTGGTCTCAAGCAAACATTATTGAAGATGTTTTTAGCAATGATCATCATAGTCAAAGTTAATGAAAAAGAAAAGAGGAAAAGATAAGTAGATTAAAAAGTAATAGAAGAGGTACTGCAAGAGTTAACTGATATTTGTAACTCTAAGATGCACTGGGGATTATGGGAAATAGGCATAGGCAAATGTTTGACAAAAATTCTTCTTCAAATTGCCTTTGCTTTCAAACTGGTTATATCACCACTGTGAAGACATTGTTTACGTGCAAAGCCACAAGTCATAACAAGGGTCTGTGGCATGACCTACAGTTATTCAACTTTCTCACTGAGACTGTGAGTCAGTATTAGTACCAATGGCTGAATATAGGAATACAAATGTCCCTGATGCTTTGATTGAAAGGTTTTGATTAAATTGCTTGAGGAATTCTTTTCCTATAAGTCTTTGTTTCCCTGACATTTAGCTCATTATAACATAGTGTTCATCAAAGAGTTCACATCAGATCTAAATACTGGCATGTGGCTGTAAACTTTTAAATTTCAAGAATGTTGCTTAGCTGTTCATAACATAACATAAAAGCTAGTTTATTTGGGGGAGAATGGTCAGAAAAAATAACTAGTAATTTTCTTTCACTGACATCAGTGAAAACTGCTTCCTGCTAGGTCAATGCATAAAAATGTAGTTCTAATACCTTTGCAGTACCTTAACATTGACATCTCTATGTTTAGAAATCAGTGTTGTAAATCTTCAGAATTTTATAAATGAAAAGAAAAAAGGATTTTATTATAGGTAGTGTATAAAATATTGTGATTATCATTGTTAGTGATAATAACAGGGATAAATTATCCAAGGACAAATGAATATATATTTTTCCAACTTATGTGTTGATAAAGTCACGTAAGTGAATTAAAACTTGGTAATCTCTAAGGGAAATCTGTTATCCTCTATACACACAAATAATAATAAAAGAATAAGTCTATTTTCAGAATTTATTGAGTACAGTATACTATTTTGCATCTATCATGCAATGAAGAATTAAAAGATAACTTACAGAGAAAATAATATTTTAAATTTTTAGTCGTACTTTGCTAACCATTTCTTTTAACGAACTAGTTTCCTGATCAGAACAATGCTGTGTAAATTTTGATCATTGTATTTTTTTTCCATCTGTACTTCTTTCAAGTCTGGATATCTTGAGTTTGTTGCTCGTCCCCCATTAAATGGCCTGAACCTTATCTCAAAGCTTAAACCACGCTTATGTTACATAACACCCAAGGGGAAATTTGTTTCCTGCAGGGCCTCAGTTAAAACGATGCCTTTTCCACATAAAGATCCTTAATATTTCTGAAATCACATTTTCCCTGAATGTTAAAATCTGCTTTCCATTACGTTGTAATGGTAAAGGTTTTTGCTTGGGCCTGTGTGATCGAAAGCTTACCTCAGCAGGGTCACTCCGCACTCTCTTAAAGTCAACCTGAAGAGTGACATTTAGGAGGAGGTGCTGTTCACCAAGCTCCACTTCAGCTGAGGCAGTAGCAGGGCTGTGCTGCTCAGAGTGGAATCACATCATTCTACCAGCACAGAGGCTTTTACTGGGCTGGGATATTTCTTAGCTAATTGTTTTTAATTAAGTTCACACTTCCAAAAACAACAAAGTTAAACATTTACATTTCCAGCAGGTGAAAAGTGAAGGAGAAAAAGCAAATCATGAGTAGCTTTAATGATCACTGTCAACCAGCTGCTAAATTTTCATTTTATCTGAATTTAAAAAAAAAATGTTCTTGTGTTTTTCTTAGATATCATTTGTTAATAAAGGCCAGGAAATAGCTAGGTGACTTGGAGATGTAACCCCTATGGAGGCACTCTCTGATTGAGTGGTTGGCACCTTAATTTCCTATGGTAGACGGTTTCATGCTGACAGCCCCAAGGTTTTAGGTCCTACAGTTTCTAAAAGCTGATTGCTGGGGCTCTGGCATCAGAGGGAAGCATGCTGCTCTACAGTCCAGATGGGTAGAATCACTTCCTCTTGAGTAATGTTAGCAGCCTATAACGCAGAGGGGGCCATTGAGAAAGTTAGATATTATTTGAACTCATTAATATGCTGCTATGAAGGCAATTATTATTAAAATGGGCAAATCTGTGGCCTCATTAAAAAACTATGTTTAATGAAGCTTGCAAGTGGAAATTTCTTTCTGCTATTTATTGCCAAATATCAAGGCAAGTCCTTCTTAAGCAAGGGAATAACCTTAGTCCAAAGAAAATCTGCCATGGTACAATCACATATATGTAAAGGTTAAGCATGCACCTAGACCAGAAAGACAATTCTGGTTTGATTCTAACAGGAATAGATTACCATTCCTCTGTAATCTTTTCTTTGAAAAAAAGAAAAAAAGATTATCCAAATAATACATTCACAAGTTCTAATTTCAGTACCTCTTCATCATCAAGAGGAAAGGTGATTAAATATTTAGCACTCGCAGCTCCCCATGGAGTAGTTATTATCATCCCCATTATAAAATGAGGAAAAAACACTAAGAAGGATTAAATAAATTGCCTAAGGAAAAAAATCGAGACAGTGACACAGACAGGATTCAAACTTATATCTGCCCTAAAGCAGAGCCTCTTTTACTTCCCCATGTTTCCTCCCAATAAATAATTACTGAGATTATATTGTATGAAGGATACTGTGAACAGCCCATGTAGGCTACAAGTAAACATAAGATCCTTTATTCTGTGCATTAACTGATATAGAAAATTTTATTGATACAGTGTTACAATCACTGTGTATGTAGAGGAAGGACTGATCATTAAGACTAGGCCTTTCTAGGAAAATCTTCAAGTGAAGCTTGGAAAGGAGTAGACAAAGAACTCCTGGCTGGAAGGAGGGCATGCTCAAAACAGATGTGGGCAGGGGCTGCTGCCTTGCGTTCCTTTCCTCTTCATTGTGGGCACATGAGACAAGATCTTACGTGTAGTGGATGAGAAGTAGATAATTGTTTAATGAATGGGCATGAGGAAAAATTACTAACATAATCTGGCTGAAGTGAAGGTTTCATGTCGAAAACTGGTCAGAGATAAAATTGCGCGGATAAGTAAATGGAGCTTGTAGAATGATCTTATTACATGACTCTGGATTTTGACCTTTAATCTCTCAAAAATGGGAGAACATATTAGTTGGATGGTAGAAGACAAAGAGGGGATGTGTTGTCTAGGAGCGATTGAAAGGGGAGAGATCAGTGAGAGAGAGACAGAGCCCAGGTGTAAGATAATGAGAATCTGATCTGAGGGAGACAGGGGAAGATTTGAAGAATACCCTTGCTCTGAAATAATGGAAAACTACTTCAAGACTAAGTATGGCCAGTATATTCCAACAAAATGAACGCATCCCTTTTAACAATTCTCCTTTACAATTGAAAATATAGAAAAAAATATTAAAATGAATTTATTTAGAGTCTAAGAAACAAATTTTGAAGCAGTTTGCTTTTTAATTTGATTAATATTTACTATTCAATTGCAGTCTATATTCTTTTGTGTGTATACTAACAATGTGATCTGTGGATGAAACCTTATAGAGTCTACACTGAAAAAAGGCACCAGACTTTTCTAGTAATTTAGCAAAGGATTTGGTCTTTGCATTTTAAGGGGAAAAAACATGATAATAAAATCTTAGGCCAGGAAGATAACTTCTGACCACAGCATTTAATCAAATTAAAAGTTTTAAAAAAAATGAAACCCATTGGCTTCTCTAACTTCTTTTCATTGTGAAAAAAAACAAAAAAAATTTAAAAATTATAAGATTATCTGTTATTTGTACTCAATAGCATTCAGTCTTTAAGTGAATATTTTGTTTTCAACCCTGTCCACTATGACAAAAGAAGGTATGTTGGTGACCTGCCACAAGTCAAGTCTAATGCGGTAGTAACAAGTGCATTATTCTTATGCTCAGGCCTTTCATAGGGCAACCAGGGTAAACTGACACCCAGAAGTCATCCAGAGTTGCCCTTCAAAATCACTTGCAGCTATTTGTTATTTAATCTCCACAACAACGCATTTGTGACATAGGTCAAGATCTCTTTGTAGGCAACCAGATGGCCGAGTCAGGCCACATGAAATTCAGAGTTTTAGGGCTTTATTCAGCTGCTCGATTTTCAACTCTCTGTTTATTAGACCAAAGTAAGTAATAAGATCTAACCCAACTATGTATTCAAAATGAATGATCACAAAAGATAGATGTCTTGGCTGCAATAAAGTTTTTAAACCAAAAAATAAATAAAAAGATGTTTCATACAGGTATGGAGTTTGAGTTTACAGAATAGTATTTGTTAACACAATAACAGTCTTAGCATTAAGAGCTTATGTTTCTTAAAACCTCTTTAGAGCCCAGAACACTCACTAATACAATGCAGCAGATGGCATATAAATGGGCCTGCTTACGACTTTGTACAGCTTTTGTTTTAAACTGTATTAGTCCATAAAGGAAACAAGGAGAAGTGTTATCTATGGAAAAAATGTAAAAGCAGAACTTATGAATGTGAAAAATAAAGACTGATATAAGAACCAACCATGAAGTAATGGGAAATAGATAGCTGTCAAAAAGCAAAGTGACAATAATAATAATAAGGGGAAAAGTCTGAATTATCCACCATTGATGCGAAAAGGGAAACACTGCTCATTGTTTTCAGTTAAACCTCACCTCCCACCAAACACATCAATGCTGAGTTTTAATATTCAATGTCTGTCAGTATGGTAGCGATAATGAGGTCTATCTGTCTATCTATATATCTATCTATACATATATATATTTACATTTAAATTCATAACATACTATCATTTGATGCATTCATGTTTTAAAATGACAGTGTTTCACTTTATATATAAAAGGAGAGAGACAAAAAAACATTAAGGGAATAAAAAATGGTCAGAAACAATGTGACACAATAACAATGACATGAAGGTCTCCAGGGAGTCAAACTAACATGCTATCATTTGATGCATTCAGGTTTTAAAATGCCAGTGTTTCACTTTATATATATAAAGAGAGAGACAAAAAATATTTGGGGAATAAAAAAGGTCAGAAACAATGTGACACAATAACAATGACACAAAGGTCCCCAGAGAATTATTCAGCACCTTTATGTACCTGCAAGAAGCCTGCAGCTTCATTATTTAAGATAGATACTAGTGTCTCTGTGCACATTCATGAAGCAATAGACTAGGAAGCAACACACTAACCATGAAGATTTTGTTGTTGTTGTTATTTAATAAGAATATACCTTTTGCATAGCCATTGAAATTATCTGTGTCTTAGTTTAGTCATATGGAAAATCAAGGTACTGTACTATAATCTTTTGGGTTTCTTCCATCCTTAAGAGTCAAGAAGTATAGACTAAAATTAAAGAGATTTTAAGTTAAATTCGGGGATTTTTCTTATAAACAATAAAGGTATCTTTAAGAAAAGAGGCCAAGTTCTGACAGCAAATGAAGTCTCTAACCATGTGTGTGAGACAAAATATTTTCAAGTGGAAGGGCAAGTGTGTGTGTCAGTTGTGTTCGTGTATGTGTGGTATGTGTCCACATCTACATGCATGTGTAAGAGCAAATGGATGCAATAGCATATTGAATACTATATGAGTATAAAATCTATACCTTTTCTGTATACATGTTAAGTGTGCTAATTATATGGGATAGTCTACTGGGCTTGTAAAATGTAAAAGATGAAAGTCATCTAAATGCAGCAGTTCTAACTGGAAGGTGGTTAAAATTGTACATGCAAAAATTGCTCTTAACTTCCTCTAGAATAGATGGATTTATTAAAGACATTTAGGCTTATAGAATAAGCTTATAGTCATCTTCATTGAGAATAATATCTTTTTTAAATTGATTATTCGTGACTTGGTATATGTTGCATTTAAAGAGATAATGCCAGTGTGGCAGAGTCACAATAATTTCAGAACTAATTATTTAGGTTTTAAAGTCCAGCAATTTCATCAAGTCAGGAGTAGGACACATGGTTCTCTTGACCAAACAGTATTCAAGTTTATGGAGAAGGGAAAACCCTGAGCCAACCTGCGTTAGTTTGAATTCCAGCTCCAGCATTTTTGAATCAAGAGACTTGGACAGATGATTTAATCTCTTTGAACCTTGGTGTCCTCATTTTTTAAAAGGAGTAAGTATGTGACTAATGCTAGAGGTCTATTTTTCAATTTTGTGTCCCTCAACAGGCTCTGTATAGTCCTGAGAGCTCATGACTAAAGCTCTTCTTTTGGTGTTTTCTTTATGGATTCTTTCCTACCTACCACCTTCCCTTAGGCTAGAGCTTTTTGTGACTAGGTCAATACTTGATAATACTTTCAGGCCTTCACTTTTCTTCATTTGCAACGAAGGAACTAATTCATTCAATAAATGTTTATTGAGTAAATACTATTTTCCTGGTACTATTCTAGACACTGTGGATGCATGAATGTTGTATCAGACTGATGCAGAGCTACAGGGTGTTGCTTATTCTACAAGGTGACATGTGAGCAGAGACCTACAAGAACAGAGCCAGTAATCCAGAAAGATATTTGAGCCATTAGTTTTTTAAGGGAGAAATAGCAGCAAGTGCAAATGCCCATTAGTAGGATTAGTAGGATCGTGTAGGATCCTACTAGTAGGATTAGTAGTAGGATCATTCTTGGTGTTCACTGCATCCCAGAAGCCAGTGTGTCTGAAGCAAAGTGAAGGAAGAAAAGTGATTATGAGGCACTAAGGGATGAGATCATGCAGACCTTCATAAGAAATGTGGCTTTTACTCTGAGTGAAGTGTGAAACTATTGAAGGGTCTGAGAAGAGAAGCAGCATGATCAAACATGGTTTAAAAAAGAAACAAAACAAAACAATCCTTTGACTATTGTATTACACACAGGTTATAGTAGGATAAGTGTCAATGCAATAAGTGTATTACAAATATCTAAGCAAGAAATAGTAATATCTTGAACAAAAGTAGTGAAACTGAAGATAGAGAACAAATTTGGGTCTACATACACAGCATCTGAGAATAGAACAACAGGATTTGTTCACAAATTCGATGTGGATGTGAGAAAATGAAAGAGGTTAAAGACTACCTATTTTTTTTTTTTTTTTGCTACAAATATCTGGGAGAATGCAGTTGATGTTTAATGAGGTGGAAAAATTGTGGGATGGGTAGGGTTTGGAGAATCAGGGAGAATCAAGTTGTGAATTTGCCTAAATTTGAGATGACTATTAGATATTTATGTGACAGTATTAGGAGGCAGTGGAGTAGAAGGTCAAAGTGTGGTTACTCAGGGGTGGACTCCTCATTTTCATGCATATGCCCATTATTTTCATGCATTGACCCCATATTGCTAGTCATCTCTCTCATTACATCCATGCAAGTAAATATGACAATAAGTAATAAGAATTTCCTTTCGGCCTGGCGCGGTGGCTCACGCCTGTAATCCCAGCACTTTGGGAGGCCAAGGCGGGCAGATCATGAGGTCAGGAGATCAAGACCAGCCTGACCAACATGCTGAAACCTCGTCTCTACTAAAAACAAAAAAAAAATTAGCTGGGCGTGGTGGCATGCACCTGTAATCCCAGCTACTTGGGAGGCTGAGGCAGGAGAATTGCTTGAACCAGAGAGGCAGAGGTTGCAGTGAGCAGAGATGGAGCTACTGCACTCCAGCCTGGGTGACAAAGGGAGACCCCATCTCAAAAAAAAAAAAAAAGAATTTCCTTTCAAACCCACCCAATAAGGTATTGGTAGAACTGTAAGTGGTCATCTCTGTGAGCAAGATGGATGGCTGCCTGGGGCAAGGTACAGGGACAGCCTTGCCAACTCTTGGTTCCATTTTTTTTTTTTTTTGCCACCAGTCCACATTTAGACATTATTCTCCTTACATTATATCTCTGTATCCACAATTCATTGTACTTCATTCTCATAGGCAGCAAAATGTATAGGGTGATTATTGACCCTGAGCAGAAGAATAAAAAAGAAAACAAAATAATTGACTAATTTTGACCATCCAATTTAGTCAAAATGGTGATCCCTGCAGATGAAAGTGAGCATAAAATCATGTTCATTTCATCAGTCCAAAGGTAAATGTTCCTCCTATTACCAGTTTTTACTTTTTCCCTTGGACTTATTCTTACTTTTAATGTCTCTCTGGCCTGTTCTAAGTATATTTAACAACATGAAAATGGAATTTTATTTACTCCTGAGTATTCTGATGATTCATTAGCTGAGATTATATTGTATGCTGCATTAATGTGCTTGTTATTACAGACTGTAAGATAAAAGCATGTTTTTTTATTTAAAGGTTTTTTCTAAATATGCACAAAGTCACATGCAATGCCTGCGAGAACTAGAATAACTACACGTTGTATTTCATATATTTTCTTTTCTTGCTATATCTGCTCTTTCTCTCATTATGTCATCTTTTAACTAATATAACTATTTCTAACTAGAGTTCCTTTTTTTACGCTAGAATGATGCCTCTAAATTCTTCAAATTTTCAAAATCCACTAAACATTTACTACACAATGATATCCATTCTTTGGAATGTCTCTGAAACAATTCATGTTCCACACACCAAATCAAAATATGCATACCACTATCCCTGTATTTCCAAAGCTGTTTCTGATTACTGGTTGAAAATTCCCCTGTTCTTCATTAAAGACTGAGATTCTTTTAAAATGCTTATTTACGGCTGCATGGTCCTCAGGGGCGGACTGTGGATTTAATCGCCTACAGCACCAAATCTCTTTTAACATTTGGCCAACTGAACATTAGGTAACTTGTTGGCTGAGGGGCACCACGTTCCTACTCAGTGTGTGGATAAGGTAGCCACGATCCGATATGCTTCATTTACTTCCAAGTATTATTAACGCTAATGAGCATTACATCCACACATCAAGAAAAGATACAGAATGGAGTCACTGCTTCTCAAACTTCATTAAGCACAGTATTATTTTATTCAGGGGCAAGTCTCTAATACTAGAATGTTCTCTAAAGACGGATGAAAACAAATATGCTGTAATTAATAAAAAAGTATTTCTTCCCTGTATAATACGTGGCATGTATTGAGATCCAACTGGAAATTTAAAAAGATGCTTCCTGAGGGTGAAAGGAAGAGATAATTAGTGCACTATAACAGAAAATAATTCATTAAATTACAATGAGTTTTATTTTCTCTTGATATAAGGAAAGCCGGCAGGTGTCCACATTAATTTTGTATGTTTTTTTGTGACTGTAGTTTACAACATGTTTCTCATTTAGATGTAATTTTCATTATGTGATTAATATTATGCTATTTACTGTACATGTTTATATGCTTTTAGCTCTGCATGTGCAATATAAAATTAAAAGAAGTCTTTCCTCTTGGAAATGTCAGTTTATTTTATTTTTTTTACTCTAAATCCAGAGTATGTTTTCAAGGTCTCTTCTAAAACGATAACCTTCATATGAGTCATAGGCATTTAAGTACATCTGTGGATTAGTCTGGCTTCAGTGAGGTTAAACGCAGGAAGAGTGTGCCTACAAAGAGATACGATAAGCAGTTATAATGGGTATCACTCAACACAGCACCAAATATAAATCAAAACTAACAAACACCCTCCCTCACAAATACTCTCAAGTGAGGTTCCTCAAATTTAATTATTACAGCAAATGGTAATGTAACAAGGGTGTCTACTCTCAGGAAAAATATGTTTAAAGCAGATGTGAACCATATAAACCATATGTGAAACACATGTGATCCACAGCAAGGTCACAGGACCCATTGAAAGAGCACATGTGGAGTACTTGAACCACATGTGGACACATGTTGCAAAATCACATGTTTCTGTTCATTGCCAAGATTCAGATCATATTCTAAAGAAATCAGGGGCACTTAAATAAACTTTGTACTTCTTAAGGTAAATGGATACCTTTTTGTTTAAAAATCCTTTAGTGTAAGCAGACAAGAGTCCTCAAATCTAACTCTGTGCTTGAAAGTACTCAAATCTTTCTCTCACTCCTGTTTTCCTATTCCAGGGTAATTCAGTTGATTATTCCAACAGAATAAAGAGTCCTTTCTTGCCCACAGCTAATTCTTTGAGGATGCCATAGCTTAAAATAAAACCAAAGTAAACAGAGCCTAAGTGTGAGAATTACGAGCAAGTATGACTAAAATGGGCTTTGTCTTTCTTAAAACAATCAAACTAGCAAGGTACTGATGCTTTATCTTATGTATCCAGAATTAAATTAAACTCTTCCACACTAATAAACAATAGTCAAAGTGTAAAAATCCAAGGAGAATGTTTATTTTATAATATGAAGCAACACGATAACAAATTTGTTACATGTCTTTCACTCTTATTTCCCAGAACATGATAATAATAACAGCACCTTATTCATGAGCATTCATATACTTTGAAGCTAAATATATTATTTAATTTGATTACCTCCACAATCCTAAAAGAAATGTAGTACAATTAGAAATAGGGATGGTAACTGCTTGTTATTGTAGAAGGAACATAGCATAAAACAACAAAGAGAGTAGTCATAATTTGGCTCCCTTAGCTTTTAGACCCATGGCTTCAAAGTATATACTTTCTTAAGTCTCAGCTTTTGTGTTAAGCAACATGTAGATTATACCCTTATTTACCTGGTAAACTTGTTATAAATTTTACAAATTATCGTATGCAAAATCCTATTGTAAACAGCAATATATGTTTACATGTTAGTTATCTTTGCCTACAATTTTATACATGAGAAACATTGAGATGCAGAAAGATAAGATGATTGTCACATGAATACTAATGAGTAGGACTAAGACTAGAAATACACACACACACACACACACACACACACACACAAAGGTTCCCTTATTCTCCTTCAAAAGGCAAAGTTGAGCAGAGTGTGTTTTCTATTAACAGGACATTCATTCTAACTTTAATTAAACAGACATGTATTGATCTCATAGGTAATCATTATTATAATAATATCACATTCACATTTGTGGTATTTTAGATTTTCCAATGTAGAGAAATACCCAGGGAACATTTGTCTTTTCCACTTTTCATATTAGATAAGCAAGAAGTATTCTTGATTTTCTATAGATTAAAATACTAAGGATCTGAGCATACAATAGGTTAAGTTCACACACTTATTAAGAAACAAAACTATTAATCACATTCAGGAGATGAATAAAATTCTAAGTTTAAAAATTATTTTCCACTAAGCAAAAATATTGAAATATAAGATTGGCAGGCTTTTAATAATATCTATCTGTATACTTTTATGCCAAATAATGTTTCTAATGATGCTGCCATTCAGAATGACAGCCTGATGGAAGAAAAGCAAAGGAATTAAGAAAACACAATTTAGCACTGAATGGAAGAGAAGATTTTTCTTTGTTACTATTTCTGGCAAAATGCAGTAGACTATCCAGCACATTTTGAAAAGATGGATACTCCAAGCTACTTATTGCACTTCAAGTGTATCTCTTCCTACTTAGTGGTTTTTGTTGTTTTAAAAGTAATACTACATTAGAGCTGAATATTCTTAAACTATTTTCAGAGATATATTTTTGAGCTACAATGTCTTTGCAAGTATGACTTTCTTCTTTAAAGGTGGCTCACTGTCATTCGTACTTCAATAAAAAAAATTCTAATATAACCACTGTGAATCCTTCCTGGAGGATCCCATACAGTTGCTTCCATCTTTCTATGGAACTTGCCACATTTTGTTACAAATTATCTATTTGTATGTCTATCTTTTATCTCTACTTGTCTGCAAATTCTTCAAGGACAGAGTTATCAGTTTTATTAACTTTATATCCACGGTGTTTAGTAAAGTTTTTTAAAATGGCAAATTATGAGTAAGTATAAAACGAATGAATAAATGATACTTTGTTGCCTTTCCATCCTGATATTAGTTGATTTAGAAGTTCACATGCTCAGTTCAGGTGCAATGTAGTGACCAGCCATACTGAATACTAACTCATTTTCACCCTAAAATAAAATAATTCAAGTAAGCAGTCCACTGGATTTGCACTCATTTCTCTTAAGTTGTCTAGTTTATGAAACATTCCTTAAAATAAGTGGCCAGATATGTTGTCTGTCTCTTTTAGGTGAAAATGTGTTACACATTATATACCACCATTTTTCATGAGACATGCCCTCCATGAAGCTGGGAAGAATATTTACGTCAGGATAAGACATAGACTTGTAGACAATATCACTGCATCGGGTTGGAATTATTTTTCTGGATTTTGACACTAGATTGTGTACAGACTTTTACTACAGCCTGTATACTCATTAGGAGTACAGAAATGAGTAATACTTTGTCATTCCAATTTGCTACAACCCACTGACATCTCATTAGAGACGTGGAGCTGAAAATGCGAGTCTCGACCCTTTCTGTATCATTTTAATAAGCCATGAGGAATGAGACTTAACATTTTGTCTGTACATTTTTTACCACGTGCAAGACAGACACAGCATCAGCCAGCCTTCCAGAGGGTATGCTGATCTTGCATGCTTTCACATTTGATCAATGCAAATTTGGTACTATACTGCTTTGTTTTGTCCAAGGTTGGGTCTTATATGTTGCATTACAACAGGAATAAAGTTTCCAACTCAATCAGAACTGATTGTTCTATTTCTCTTCTCCCATCTATATCTCTCCCTATCATAATTTCTGCACATCCGGATGACCAAAATCATGTTCAATATGTTTCATAACTTTCAATTATGCATAAGGTGAGGTAGAAACTACTTTTTACAATACAAATGATTTGTTCAATCTAGACCCAATCTATATTATCATGCTTATCTTTAACCATTTTTTTCAGTCTCCTCTTACCTTCATGTTCCAAACACATGAAGTTTGTGTGGCTTTGAAATATGAGTTCTATTTGATTGGCTGGCTTCTCCAATAACCACCTCTGCCTGTAATAATTCTCACTGATTCCACAATGATGAACTAACATTTTACCTACTCTGTGAATCTCTTCTTTGCAATGCTTTCTTAGCACTTTGCACTACTTCCATAGAATAAATCACTATATTGTAATAAAAGTATTTGCTTATGCATTCTTTCTTGTGCTAGACTGGAGAATTTGTGACAAAAAGGAATTATATCATATTCATATCCCATATTCTTTTGTATCCACCAAGTGATTTAAAAAGTACATGGTAAGGGCTTGACACATCATAGGAAGCAATGGAGAGAAGGAGCACCTTCTCGTATATGATGAGGTGCAGTTACTGCACACATCCCTAAATATGGTTTAGATGAGAATTTAACATATGTCATTGTTAATCTCTTGAGATTCCTTTTTAGATTAAATATCCCTGAAGATATGGGATATCCTTTAAATTCTGAAAAGATCTGTTTCCATTTTTGTAAAGTATTGTGTGTGTTGGGTGGAGAGCTCTTTTCCGGTATAGAATGATTTTTAACTTTTACTTTTATTACGACATCAGATCCCAATATTTGACCAATTACTAGAAGCAAGAAATATTTGTGTTTATCTTTTTTTTCTTTGTGTATATCACTATCATAGTCAATGTATCACTGAATTTTGTCTCGCTTACAGAATCATGAAGGTGAGCCTCAGGAACTCACTTTAGGATAATATCAGACAAAGCATAACTTGCCAAAGTGTCACTTATGTAATAAATAAACAAATACAAACTGAGTGTTCACAATGTGCAAGGTATCTTGATGAAGAATAACTCCATGAACGATGTGAGATCCTAATGGTTAAAGAGAAATCCTGAAGACCATTTATGAATAGTTAAAAGTTATTTTTTTCTGACAGTGTTCTGAGGTTGTGGATGCTGAATGGTGCAAATGTGAAGGAATTTTGATTTGAGGAACTCCCAGTGATAGGATTGTTCTCCAAAATAGAAGAGTCTGCAGTCTCCGTATTATGTGTTATGCCCCAAGGTAATTCTGTACTGTGCCCAAAATAACACACGTGCATACATACACTCATTAGGGCTTTCCCTTTATTTCTGAAATTCACAATGAGATTTAAGCCAAATAGACGAAGTGCACTTTTTAAAATCCCGAAAGCCCATAAGAGAAGTGACGTTTAATCCCTGGAAGTTTAAATGAATTTATGTTTCAGAGAAAGTTTGTTAAGAAGCAGGCTGAAAAAATGCATAACAGAAATTGGGGAAGGAGCAGATAACGGTAAATTAATGTAGATCGAAAACACTTTACCTTTGTCACAGTGTTCCTATTGGGAGAAACAGTACTCTCCTCTATCTAGAATTACCAAACCTGAGAATTAATAGAAACATGAACAATCACAGCCAAAAAGACTTTCTTCAAATCCCCCCAGCAAAATGTAGGGAACAATACTTTTTAACACAGATCCTACAGGTTCCACAGTATTGTAGCTTCTTTCGATGTGTGGTAATTTATCCTATGGCGACTAACTACCCCTTTCCTGGACTAACAGCAAATGTTTTTGTGGCCCTTCTATTACTAATATCTTGAGTTTTTTTGATGATAAACAAAAATCCCCTACTAATATTTCCCCGTAGAAGCCCATAGTATGTTCCAATACAATAGAATTTACATTTTAAAGCAAGTTAAACGTTGTTATGTGAGAAAAGGTGTACTTCTCATGAGGATACACAAAACAATTGATTATGAATCATCAGAGGGAACAGGGCAAAGGAAATGGAAGAAGAATTATTTGTTATAAGGGTAATATGTTTGATTTTAATTTCATTTTTTTCTTATTGGCTTTTTCCATAGGGCACTTTAGTGAAGGGCATCTAAAATATGTACATTAAGGCTTTAATATTTTTTTGCTACTGAAATTAGTAGTTTTGTTTTGTTTTGCTTTGTTTTGAGACTGAGTCACGCTCTGTTGCCCAGGCTGGAGTACAATGGCATGATTTCGGCTCACTGCAACCTCTGCCTCCCTGGCTCAAGCTATTCTCCTGCTTCAGCCACCCAAGTATCTAGGATTACAGATGCCCGCCACCATGCCCAGCTAATTTTTGTATTTTTAGTACAGATGGGGTTTCACCATGTTTGCCAAGCTGTTCTCAAACTCCTGACCTCAGGTGATCCACCTTCCTCGGCCTCCCAAAGTGCTGGGATTACAGGCGTGAGCCACTGCACCCGGCCATAGGATTCTTACTTGAAAATTAACAACTGCACAGAGAGTGAATAGGAGACTACATTGTTTTAAAGCAATTTGTGAAAGAAATTTTTGTGTCTGCACTATTCAATGAGCTAAATTGATTTTGTCTATGTCTCTCAAAAGAAAGCACGTGTTTGGGAGTATTTGGAAATTATGTCCCAAAATTTTATTATGTTGAGGTTTTTGTAATTTTCTTGTAAAATCATCTATAAAAATTATCTTATGTGCTAATTTAACTGCAATTGATTTTTAAAGAAATACCAAAGATTCCTTAAAACAAATCGGAACTCCCTTTTCCCTATCACACACAGACACATACACACACACACACACACACGATTGATAATGTAAACATATTGATTTTGAAATTCAGTCTTTTATAAAGAAAGCAAAGTGCACTGAATTGTGCACTGAAAGCTACATGTGCACTTAATTGTGCCTGAAATATAAGACTTGCTTTTTCTCAAAGCTCTCTACATTATACTGTGAGGTTCATAAACAAAACATTTAAAACAATTAGATCATATCAAGCCATATATATATACGTATATATGTATATATACATATATATACACGTATATATGTATATATACTTATATATGTGTATATATTTAAATATATATAATTGAAAATATGCTATCAACACGCATTCTTAAAACCAGGAAGCGCTAGATTGTGAAGGCACTGCTTACTGTAGTGTCACCACCTTTCAGTAACCTCTGCAGTCTTCAAAAGGATTTCACCGGGTCAGAAACTAAAATGGAGTTACTTGACTAAGGTTTGCTCTGTTGGAATACACTAGGGTATTCCTGATGACAATGTGCATATCTAAACCTTTATAATGTTGAAAGGATGTGAACATAAGGCACCAGAAGGATGTTTATCTTGATATTGTTTGATGCTACCATGGTTTAAAAGCATTCTCGTAAATGAGGCTGGAAGAAATATTTCCAAGACAGTGTGTGAAAATTAGGCACATAATTCTGACTACAATAGTGGGAGTGGTAAATTTAATTCCACCCACACATCCTTATTAACTGAAACCATTATTTCTAAGCTGCAATACTTCAAATTCCTGGTTCCAGCAGCAATATTGTCCACCAACATCCCATACAGCTTTATTTCCCCAAGGTTTCTGTGATACGAGAGGATTGGATGATACTCAGTTCCTAACTTCCCCTGTGTACATTCATTGTTTGTATTTTTATTGTTCTGTTAATTATCTATACATAGATATTAATTCCAGAATGTACAAATATGCTCCTATGTGATTTCTCCACCACACTTTATATGATAACATCACTTATGAATTCTAGTTGCAAATTTCCAGCCAGATGTGTGGTTGAACTAAGTCTGTGGGACAACAGCATGTAGATATCTGCTTTCAATTTGTGTGCATGTTTTCCCCTGTTATTTTCTCTTTTTATGACTGTATTAATTGTTACCAGAACTCTCTGTGAAATGACTGAGCAATTCAACAATGGAATGTAGCAGATTAGAAATTATTGTTTTGCTCTGTCCGAGAAACGTGTTAATGCAGCCTACTCCTTATGTCTTGGAGACACTCATGGAGTGTTACACCACTTGATTCTCAGCATGTGGACACTAGCTGACCACTGGGACATGAACTGTCCTAATGTTGATGCTTTTATCGATTCATTTGACACTGATGATACTTGCTGAAATTATGAAGAGAAAACTAACCCATCACTAAGGGAAACGGGACATAAGGGAATTGGCATGTTGCAGCTCACTAAGTCCTAAGGCACTAAGGCTAAGGATTAATCCAAAGTCTAAAGTCTGTAGCTGGCATCAAAGCCATATACTAGCAGCATTTCTCAGTGACCTAGCAGCAGAATGGGGAGCAAAGAGCCCTGAAGTCTAATCCGTGGGCATTCAGTTACTCTTTGGCCAGGTTTAATTCCATAAATGTTTTTTTTGGCACAGTACAATATGTTCTTTTATCTAAAAGAAGAACTTTTTAAAAAGTATAAATAAAATTACCAGTCAGCTGGAATCATGATTTAAAAGGAAATAAATAAAAACCACAATTTGTAATATATGTAACTCCCATGGATCTAGACGGGAAGACCCTAGCAAAGTTACAGTGGGTTAAACACTAGAGTTTTGGATGCAATCAATTAAAGAGTATGGCATGGATCTTCAGTTTGAGTGGAAAGTGTAGTTTGATTTAGTTAATCAAGAAATAACATGGCAGGGAGATACCTCAGAACCCTCCCTAGTGTGATATTAATTGTTACTGTCACCTCAGCAAACAATTGGAGTGGACATATAACTTTCTTTTAATGTAGAAAAAGGAAGCAATAATTAGTTCCTGTTGTTGCTGTTGTTCTTCTTTTTCTTCATCCTCCTCCTCCTTTCTCACTCCTCTCTTTCTCTCTCTGTTTTTCTCTCTCTCTTTCTGTTTTAACCTTACCAATTTTTCTTAATACCGGTTGCATACTAGAAATATCCAAGAAGCATTTAAAATACTGATGCCTAGACACCAACAAGAAAAATAAACTCAAACTCATCGGAATCTTCATGGGTGTGACCCAGGAATGAGTATTTTTTAAAACTCTCCAAGTGACAAAAATGAGCATCCAACACTGGGAACATTTTGGAGATACTAATCAACAGCTTGCTCCGTGTAAACAGCAGCATGAAATATGTGATGTGTGTGTGTGTTTCTATGAACAAATCCTGGAGTAGATGACAAGCTCCCACATAATAATTTGTTCCAGAGTACTGTAATGTTAAACAGTCATTGCCAACTACTTAGTAGTAATGCTATGCTTGACTAGCTTTTTTTGGCCTGCTTTCCATCTTTCCCCTTTACTTTCTCAACCAAATCAGAGGGAGCATGCCTCCAACTTTCTTTAAAAATCATGTTTGATTGACAATACCACACTTTTGCGTAAATTTCTTTGACAGAAAAATGTTTCTGTATTGTGCTACTGGGTGACAAATGGCTGTCATTGCCTTACTAGGTACAACTCTCAACACCCACCTACAAAGTCAACTACTATTTTCAACTCACTCGTAAAATCAAGAGTTATTTTTTTCCTTATGTCTATACAGGCTGTTAGCTAGCTACATTCACTCAGTACTAAAGGTGGATATGCAGTAACATGGGGTCTCAATGTTTTTGTCCCCTAGCCCAAGGTGATGGACTTAGAAGATGGGGCCTCTGGAGAGATGATTAGGTCAGGAGGGCAGACCCCTCATGAAGGATGTTAATACCCTTATTAAATAGGCCCAAAGGAATTCATTTGTCTCTTCCACCATGTGAAGACACAGCAAGAAGTTGCCATCTGTGAATCAGAAAGTGAGCCCTAACTAGACACTGAATCTGCCAGCACCTTGATATCCCAGACCCCAGAAACGTACATGTGAGAAATACATTTCTGTTTTCTCCCAGCTTATAGTATTTTGTTATAGCAGCCTGGACAAACTCAACAGCAATAAATGTTGGCTGCTGGTTTTTGCCTTCGTGTGCATTCCAAAAAATGTTCACTCAAAAAATATTAAAGAAATGTTTACTGAGTGCCTATTATATGCACAAGAGAAGACCATATTGGATTCTGTTAGGTGACTCCATGAATTTACACTCTGAATTATTCTGGGAAGCCAATGGCAAGACAGGATTAGACTTGTGAGACGACTTAGGGCAAGGAGCATGAAAGGTAAGAAGGACCTTCAGAAAATGATATGGACTTGATACCCATTGAAGGATAAGGGAAAGGAAGGGAAATTGAATAGAAGAGTTTCAGACTACATCATATTTCTAGGAAAGGTTTGGTAGGGCCAATAGGGCATCCTTGAGCCCAAGTCACCTGTTGAAGCAATCTCATATTTCACAGAAATGGTCAACCTTACTGCCCATAAACAAGCTCAGCCCTATGCTGCGGGTACCCTGTACAAAGTGTAGCAGTAACTGGAGCCATTGGTCAATAAGATCCAGGAGTCATGTTTCCAAGCTACCACAGTCCATCCCTTATGCCACACACATCCATCACATCCATTTCCCCATGATGTTTGGAGGAAACATCTCTGTGGTTCCTGTGGGCCTCTTTTTCAGAGGGGAGTCTTAAAAGTAGAAGGTCAATGAGATGACTACAGTCCCTCTCTCTACAAATGGTCTCAAGGCTACAACCAGTACTCATCCCTGCTCTTTTTCAGTATCAACTCTAAAAATCCCTTACCTGAAAATGTTGGCCAGATGTCACCTGAATGTGCAGGGATTGCACCACAGTAGAGAGCCTCTGAAATTATGACACTTGGAGCTTATATAGGGTGGCTCACATATTTCTTATTCTTCCTCTCTGGAAGGGAGAGAGGGGAGCAGGTAGGAGGAGAAGAAGAACAGGAATAAAAAGAGACAAAAGAGAGAGAGTTGAACTTCAAGGTATACACATCTTCTCTCTTTTCAGAATTCTACCCTGAATTGCAATCAAATGGCTCTGGGAGAGGTAAGAAAAGAGTCTCCTGGTTTATACATTCTATTAAAATAGAATGCAAGAAAATGGCTCTGTAGCAATTCACAATCTCTAATTTCCAAGGCATGTTTGTCATTCAAATAGGCTTTACCCAGATTTCTAGTAATCTTTGCTCAGAAAGCTCTGACTTTAAGAAATATGAAAGTATTCATGTAAACTTGTTTCCCACTACCACTTCAAAATTTCTTGGTAGTATGACTCAAACTTTCATTTCTGAGATTCTGAGATTTTGTTAATTATACTTTTCTCAGGTCAGAGCTCCTAAACATATCTGTTCACTACTACAGTGGGGCTAGGGAGTACGAAGAAGTGCTCAAGGTTATTCCACTGGGTTTCCACATGAATTTGTCCTTGACAAAATCTTGTGAAAATAAACCTAATCCCTTCTGCTGATGATTGATTACTCCTACCATGATGGTTTCTCCTCATCACACCTGCTGGTCATCTAAATGTCCTGGCAATATTGGGACCATGAAGTCATATAAAACATACACTCTGATTTAATGCATACACTGCATCCCAAAAAGATAGTATCCTATCCTTTAAGATTTGCCTTCAAGATGATGTATCCATGCCTTTAGAAGGCCATTTAACCATTCTGTGGAGCCAGATACTTCTGGCTGATGTACCATATGAGGTGACTAGTGGATTCCACAGTCACAGGCCCACTCTTGTGCTTCCTTCAATATAAAGTTAGACTTCTGATCAGATGCTATGTTGCATGGAGTTCTATAACTATACAGGCATTATATACTCCCCCAGAGAGTTTCTCTGAGACCCTGAAAACACAAAAGGCAAAGTCACACTCAGAATAAGTATCTATACCTGTGGGGATAAATAGCTGGCCCATCTTGAAAATAAAACAGGTCCTCCACAGTCAATAGTGGCCAGCTGGTCTTTTAGAACAATAGAGCCATGTCAAAGGTTCAGCATTGGTCATCTTTTTTTTATACTTTTAAAAGCCTCTCTAGCAATGAATTTGACCAACTTCTAGAGTTTCCTGTCAGGGTGTTATACCCCACTCTCAGAGAATGTTTCTAAGTAAACTAATTCTTACTTACCTAGTCTTAAATTTCAACCCTCTTGATCAAGCAAACACCTTCAAAATCCAATCCCAAGGTTGGTTGCTTTCTTGGCCCCTGCAGTCCATACCAGCTAATTTTTGTGTTTTCTCTAGTATATCATCTCTTTTTTTTGTTTTCAACCCTTGCATGTTCCCAGTCAAGTTATGCTGGAATTTAATCTTAGTTATTAGCATGAGAGTTAGCAAAGATGCTATTGGAAGTTACTGAGAGGTTCCATGTCTCCTCGTGAAGGAGACGCTTCTGCAGCATCTTCCAAAACTGGAAAAGTGCTAGTTCAAATGAGGAAAAAAGTGGGTAACCTCTAAAAATATTGACGGTTGGTTCAGGAGTCTGCATAGCCACATTCTCAGGGACATATTTCCAGAAGCTTTCATCCACAGTTTCCAAATGTCTCTGGAGCTCTGCTCTACTCTAGTAGATCTATGTATGCTGCTCAGCCTTTACTATGGAGAAAAGGGCCTTTTTTTGTAAGCTACCAAATAGGGGTTTGTCTGTCATACATAGCTTTTATCTATTTGTTCATTGCCATTGGTTTGTCATTTCTCTACAAGGCATCAATACAGATTAGCAGGAACCAGCAACTCTACTTTCTTCACAAGCATAGTTCCAGGCGTTTTACATATGGCTGAATTAGCTACAACTTCAGGCATTTCTCTCCACCAGCATAGTTTTCCAGGTCTTAATCAGGGAACTGTTTAGCAAGTGGGTGACCATCTTTTGTCAGGGGGTAACTATATCCCAGTTACCACTCAGGATGGGGTGCTTTTCATCAGCATTGTGAAGAGTGAACAAATTCAAAATCTGCATCTTACCACCTGTTTTCTTGGACCATTCTAGTTATCACTTGTATTAGTTTGGATTCTCCAAGAAGCAGATAACAAGATAGAATTAAAGATGCAAGTGAGATGGAGGAGCAACAGAAGAAAGTAAAGAGAACCTTCAGCCTATGATATAAATATGAGTTCTATGTAAAAAAAAAAAAGAGTGATGTAATGAGGATTGTAGTAGAGGAGTCTCACATTGTAGCACAATTCCAGGAATGCTTCAGTTGGGTGGTTTTGTGCTCTTGGAACATATCTGTGTCTTGGAGGAGCCATACTTTTCACTGGAATGGATCTGTCTTAGTCCCTCTACTGTGTTCAGACACTGATCAGGAAAAAGCTATGGAAAACATGGCCTTAGTGCTAATGCAATTGTGAATTCATACAGGCAGCAATAGGGACCATTGGACAATTACATTCCTCAGAAAGTAATGTCTGAGCAGCATATTTTCATAGCCATCATTTACCCTATTTCTACGTATAGATCTAAGTAAGCTACTCACGTAGGTTCCTGTTAGTAAAACCAATGAAGGAAATTCAGAATGTGCCAAATAGACAGAATATTGAGAAGCAGAAAAGCACCATGGGAAATAAACTTTACTCTTACATTGAGAAGTACGCATACCATTCCCATACTTTTGGCAAGACTCCCAAGGCCACACCTACTCAGAGATAAAAAGAGAGAGAGAGAATTACACTGGACACATATTGGGTTCAAGGTACTGGTAGAAATCTGAAATACACGGTCAATATTCTAATGAGAATTGGAAAAGTGGAAAGCAAGCTGGAGATATAATTCTGGAGAAGCAAATCCACTCCCTATCTTCTAGTGTAGATGCTTTGGCAGAATGCCTAGTAGATGTAAGGATTCAAAAGACTGATGTAAATACTGTGGGTGGGGGGCAGGGGGACAAAATTTGGCATAACCAATTTAATGTCATAAATTCTAATAAATTAAAAGTTGGCATGCAGAGAACAGTTTGCAAATAGAAAAATAACATGATACTTTGAATAAGATTATTTTTAGTCCCCAAAATTGTTTATGTATGGAATTCTAAAATAAACAATGTTTTGAGACACATTAGAAGCTGGGAAACAGGCTACATCCTTCAATAAACACATTTTCAAAGAAAATAGATACGGAAGCATCCCTTTTAATTTCTTATTTTGACAAAAACATTTTAGTTAACCATAGGTAGAACATACTCAATATTTCTGTTTTAGAAAAACAGATAGAAAAACATGTACCATTGAAGAAGCATTTCATCACATGATAGAAAACATGTACCACTGAAGAATCATTTCATCACTCCTAAAACCGCAGACAAATCTAGATCAACACATTGTAATGCAGAATAAATTACTGTGGCCAAGAGACAAGTTTGGAAAAGTCATTGCAGCACTAGTAACATTAGCGAATTCTCTTTACAAAATACGCAAACACAACACAAATACAAACACACACACACAACCACAAATATTCATATGTAAGTATACATATTAATATATATCTATTCATGAGAATTATTAATAAGATTTTTTGTTTGAAACCAGGACGTAAGTACATGAAAACCCTACAAAATATATGTAATGCAAAGGTTTTATGATAGAAAAGTCTCAAAAATATTTCAGTCCTGGAAATAGAGCAAATAGGGCATTTGAAATTTTCAGGTATGTAAATGAAAATAGACAAGCTTAAAGGGTGAAAAAAGAAAGCCAGTTAAAAGCATCTTCTCAAACATTCTAGGGTGCCCTAGGATGAACCATTTAGAAAGCCAAGATCAGAGCAGATCTGTGAATATAGATCAACTTTTATCAAAGGCAACTGCTTGGTCTGCAAGTGGAACAAAAGGCACAGTTTAACAAATGCAGAAATAATGAGGGTTTCAGATTTCTAACCTAGGCACCAAAAGATACTCTAGTCTAAAATTTCAAAGCATGGGAGTTCACAACTGAAACTGCACCATTGCCACATAGAATTTCTGCATACCATTTGGCAGGATTTGTAAAAGCAAAAATTTCAGTCACTGCCTCTCTACATTTCTATAATGAGAAGAAAATGTATGCTAGATCAAACCTACAAGAAATTTGCAAATTCTAGTCTTTATGTTGCTTGACCAAGGAAGGGTGTTTATTCCATGGAAAATTAAACTCATTACTTATCTTGGGGATTCTCAAGATTAACTAAAGTTTGAAACGCTGGCACACGTCACCAATGACCATTTCAAAGTTTCAGATTTGAAGCTGTAATTTGGTTGATGCTAATGCATTACAATGGGATGTAAAAGTTAAATAAGTAAATAAAAGTAAAGCTGTCTTTTTTTCTTTGTATGATCCCCAAGGTAATTTTACCATCTTCCTTATTCATACTGGTTAGGAGCATGGGAAATGGAATGAAATCGACATCTTCGTGGATGGGTATGCTTGATCTTCCCCTTGTTATCTAGAAGACTTAATCCATGTAAATCTGTTTCCACTTGTTACAATTGAGAATACTATTTTTTACCTACAGTGTAGGACTACTGTGACATTAACATGTGACCTTTCAACTAAACTACTGTGGCTTACTGTATGCTTTTTAAAAATGTAGTCATCATGATTGCATTAATACAATTACATTAAGTATATAGCAATTTGAAAGTTCAAATAATCATATAATGACTTCCACATTAAATAATTATGCATTTTCTAGAGTATATCCCTTTTGAAGGTGTCTCTTGGCTGCTAAAATGGCTGGACCTTTCAAAACATACAAAGCTATACTTACTCAATATTAATATGAATAAAATCTTGTAAAGATGTGAATTTGGGGTCAATGAATCTAAATGTTAAAGAAGCACTGCAGATATTTTGATATAGACTGCGTTGGGATAATAGTTATAAAAGAGTTTACTGAAAAATTTACCTAAAGTACAATAATTGGTGTTCCAATGTAAACAATAATACATTTGAACAAATAAACCCAAAGTGTTTGTTCTACTTAAAACATGGAAATATAGATGGTAGAACAATTTAAATTATATATTCTAATTTCTGAATATATTGATTTTATTTTTATCTCCCTTTTCACTTCTATGTCTTCCATCATGTGTTTTTAACCAACACATTTAATTTGTTCTCAAGAATTTTACTTTCTTTTACTTGATCTTTCCATCATCACACACAGGGAACAATGTGCTTAAGTCTAGATTGTATATTAGAATTTATGATTGTTATTCAATTTTATTTCAGCCTATATATTATAAAGTGTGAACAAATGCCTGCACAAACATTTTAAAAATACATTTTTAAAAAGAAATTTTGATAGAAAACACTTGAATTCAAATGGCAAATAAATTCACAATAAATTTAATGGTAAATATTATTAAATGCCTCATTTTCTACTACTTTATAGAATAATATTAAATTTTTGAATTATTTTTCCATCTTATATTTTTGTAAGTTTAGTTTGATAATGTTGCTTGAGAAGAAGTTGGCTGGAATACACACACACATGCACACACACATATTTGTGTATATATATGTTTGTGTGTATGTGTGTTATGTATGCATATACAGAGATAATTCCTGACTTACAATGGTTTGTCTTACAATTTTTCAACTTTACAATGGTACCCTTACAACCATTGTTTTTTACTGTCAGTACAATATTCAAAAAATTACATAAGATTCAATAATACATTATAAAATAGGCTTTTTGTTAGATGATTTTGCCCAACAATAAACTAATACAAATATTTTGAGCACATTTAAAGTTGGCTGAATTAAGAAGCTATGTTGTTCAGTAGGCTAGGTGTATTAAATGCACTTCTGATTTAAAATATTTTCAATTTACAATGGGTTTATCAGGACATAATCCTATAATAAGTCAAAAAGCATCTGTATTCCTTCTCTCCATTGCTCAGAATCCTCCTCCTCCTCCCATCTTCTTCCTCTTTCTCCTTCTTTGCAAACAATGTCTAAAGCTTATAACTCTACTTAGTGGAAGATTTAGAGAGAAATGTGTCTACTCCATATCATCTTTGACTAAAGGACTTTGAAATAAGAAAATGCTCTAAATTGCCAATAAAAATACACAGCACAGTTATAAATGAGCATACACTTTTGTCTATCTAGTGATATGTTCATTAACATTGAACAAACAGCAGTGTGGGATTTAACAAAAAAGAAAAGAAATACTACCACAATGACCTATTTTAAAATATCAACATGATACTATGTCAGTAAGACTGAGTCCAGCATAGCACTGGTTCTACCTAGATTTAACTTCCAAACATCAGCAATAGAAACAATATCATTCTTCCATCCAATATAATGAGACTATCCCTCACAAAAATTAAGATATTTAACAATCTCATACAAAGTTCATTCATTTACAACACTCATTTTTGGCCTACTTTTTTGTAATGCTACCGTCTTTTATTTATTTTTTTCCATGTAAGCTGCAAGTACTAAACTGTGCCCCCAGAGAAGATTCTGTCTTTCAGACATACTCTTCTAATTCCCCTTTGTGGCTACAACACTAGGTTTTGTTTGTTTGTTTGTTTGCTTGTTTGCTTGCTTGCTTGTTTTGAGATGGAGTTTCACTCTTGTTGCCCAGGCTGGAATGCAACAGTGTGATCTCGGCTCACCGCAACCTTCACCTCCCGGGTTCAAGCGATTCTCCTGCCTCAGCCTCCTGAGTAGCTGGGATTACAGGCATGCACCACCACGCCCAGCTAATTTTTGTATTTTTAGTAGAAACGGGGTTTCTCCATGTTGGTCAGGCTGATCTCAAACTCCCAACCTCAGGTGATCCGCCTGCCTCTGCCTCCCAAAGTGCTGGGATTACAGGTGTGAGCCACCGTGCCCAGCCCACAACACTATTTTTAATTGCTATTCAGGATCAGTCATCTCAGCCATTATGGTGGCTCCTTCCTTGCCTATTGATTTAGTGGGATGAGGAGTCCAAATGAGCCAGGTGGCAGTCTCTGGATCCAGTGTATTGAACATATTGCTGTATCTTCTTGATAACTGGCATCTGTAACTGTAAGAGTCCCAAATTCTAGGGAGTGGAATTAAACCTATAGAAATGTTCCCTAGATCTATATCCATCTATGGCCACTGTCACTGTAGAATCTCTCCTCACCTCCCACCAAGATTACTGAGACAGGCCCTAATATTCATTTCTTTTTCTGTTTTTCTTATCAAATTAATCTTCCATAGAACATCTACTGATATATTAAACACACATACACGTGCGTGCACACACACACACACACATTACTCCTCTGAACAAAACCCTTCAATAATTTTCCATGATGTCATGGAAAATTTCCACACTTATTAGAAGCTGTGGCACATTTGATACTTACCAGACCAGCATCTTGACCTCCTCCTTTGGGGGGTATCAGCCTTTTCATTCTTTAGAGGAAGTTTCTGCTCATCTCCATATGATTCTAGTAAACATCATCAATTCCTTTATGCTCAGAGAGGTTTGCTATATAAGAGAGAAACTGAACCAATCATATCGCTCCCCTGTTTGGCCTCAAAGACATATCCAGATATTGTCAAATGACCCGAGTAGAGCCAATCAGTGCTCCTGCATAAAATGTTACTAACTGAACTCTCTGGGGAACACTGTCCTGCCTCTTGTATCATGCAGATGAAAAAAAGTGAATACTTGTAGTCTTGATTTTATTATCTGATGTAACCATTCTGTTTTTTAAAAACAGTAAATCAAAATTCAAGAAATAATAGAGAAGAAAAAGAATTCCGCCCTTGGCTCTATACATACTTATGCCATTGTCTTTCTCATTGTTTGGATGAGAGCAAATGACTCATATGAATTGAGTCAATTCAATTCAGTTTAAGTCAGTTTTGTTGAGTTCACATCATTTCAACAGCACATATTGAACATTTACTATGAGGCATACAGTTTGTAGGCACAACAGGAGATAACAAATATAATGAATTATCTATACACAAATACTAACTTTGGTGAAGCATGTAGGAATAGAGTACACACTTTTGCATCTGCATCTCAAAGTTCAGTTTATATGCAAACATGCATATACATATATATGTATATATACATTGTTGTATGATTTCTGTTCTCATTAAAATCTTTGTGAAAATAAAGAAAACAACTTGAAACTGAGAAGTTTCTTTGTACTTAAGATTGTTTGATTTTAAATTCTTATCATAGTATAAAAAAACCAAAACCAAACAACAAAACCACCTGATTAATACCACAATGCAAAAGAAAGTTAGTGATCTAGATATGCAGTTTCGTGTTTACCAAGTTTATGTATCTTTTCCTTCTGTGGGATGTTTTTTCTGTTCCCTTTATCCTCTTATCTTGATCCCACATGCATTTCTTTTAAGAATGTGCTCAAGTGTCATCTTTCCATAATCTTTCCCCCCTCTCTCTCTCCAGGCAGATTTCCTGTGCATATTTCCAACACTATCCTTACCATAATATATTATGATTTATTCCCTTTTATGTATGGACCTCTCATACTTACTTACATATCATCCTTTGCGGATCTTGGAAGGAAAGGGCCATCTCATTTGTTTTTCTATCTACTAGGAAACTATTTTACACAAAGTAATTGTTCAATATCTGTTTGTTGAATAAATTAATAAATGAAGGAAAGTGAGGTACACCATGTTTATAGAAAAATATACTTTTTCATATTTTTCTAAGGCAGTATTTAATTTTTCCATTTATTAGTCGATTTTTAATATGTAAAATTTTTAGCGTAATTTGTTCACACATTAAATATTAACTTAAAAAAGAAATTAACCATCATGTATATCTGTGGTAGTGTATTAATTCAGGTACCTGACCCACACTTTTTTCACTTTTATTTCTTTCTGCATATTAATATTTGTAAAAAATTATAAATGACTAACAATAAAATATATTTGCCAATGTGAGGGTCATAGCACAAAGACCAAATGCTAACTCACAGGGCCAATTGCTTAGAAGCAATTCAATTCTATTCAGTTGTAATCAACTTCGTTCTATTTCACGTCATCTCAACAGCATATTTTGAACATTTACTACAAGGAATATAGTTAGTTAAGCACAACAGGAGACATAAATATAATGAATTATCTGTAGACAAATACTAACTTTGGTGAAACGTAGGGATAGAGATCACACTTTTGGATCTGTGTCTCAAAGTTCAGTTTTGAAATACTTGCCCTTCCTAGATCAACATATTTCAAATAGATCATTAGTAAGTTCAACCAATAACTGGTCAAGGTTTATAAGATTTGAAATCGTGCAATGCAGTACATTGATGATTTTAATATATGTAAGCAAACTATTACAATTGTGACAAAGCAAATTGAGCAATGACTTTTACATTAATATGTACTCATTTGTAGCTGCCTCCAACTGTTTTGGCAAGACTTTCAAATGTTTTCTTGCTCCATCATCTTCCAGCAAGAAAGCCAATAACTGTGGCCAAGGCAATATTTTTGGCAGTGGTAGTGCCCAGATGACAACCTCTGGAGTACGTCTCCTCAGCAGTAGCAGTGACATCTGGATTACTTTATCCACTTGAGACTATCTTGGCTCACTTCCACATGTACAGCTGTGGAACCATCTCCAGTGCTATCTTCAAGTTGGAAAGCAGTATTGTGAGACAAAGATATTTCTATGATGTCCTCTGATTATGAGACTATTCCCAGTGCATGTATGTATGTGAATGCATAATTGTGTGTTTGTCCTTTATAGGTAGGGTTTAGACCATAGTTTGTTCAAAAAAATAAAAATATAAAATACACTCAAAACTTTTAATGCATTTATATTATGCCCCTATATACAGATATATGTGTATGTGTTTGTATACATACATGCATAACTTTTGAGTCAATGATTTAGATAATCATTATTTGAGAGCTTTTGTCTACTATAGGATATAATTATTGTCTTTATGAATTCATTTGGTACATAGATACAATGTATTTACTGGCAAACTCTAGATACTTTGAGGAACAAACAAGTGAAGATGCAGATTATTTAGACATATTATAGCTACTATTGAGATGATAGTCTTGCCACTGGAAAAAGGCATAAGAAATTCAAAAGAACTGGTAAACAAAACAGCACTTCAAAACATCCATTATGCAAAAGCCTTGAGCTACAACATCTATTTTTAATTACAATTACAGTTCCCATTTATCTATCAAGAATTGTGCTAGTCATTATACATAATTTATCTTATTTAATTCTCACAACAACCCTGTAGAGTAGATATTATTTCCTTTTGTGGATGAGAAAAATGAAGCTCAGAGGTATCAACACAACTCATAATTGGTGAAGTTGAATTCCAAACCCACATCTGTCTGCTTCCCAAGGTCACAACTGTGTTTCCTTACCTACGAATACAGGAGCTTGCAGTCAATACATTTTCTGAAATATATCCTATTTTAAACATTCAATCTGTAGAAATACAAAAGCAAGAATTACGGAAGGATTTCCAATCAAAGTAAACTCTTAAAGTGTAATAGAGAAAAATAGGGACAAGAGTTTCCAGGTAAAAACATTTCCCACTGATAAGCAAACAAGAAGTTAACAAGGCAGGTTAGCAAGGTAATTGGCTAGTCAGAAACCACAGGGCCCAAACACACATTTTGATACCTGTATTCATTGAATGACACCCTCTGGACTATCCCTTTTTTGTAGTAGTATTCTATTATAAAGTTTTTAATTTCTGACAACTATTGTTATCAGATCTAGTATTCCTTTTTTTCCCCTCATTTTGCAACTATTCCCAGCGAAAATGTGAGTACCCTGCTTCACAAATTCCAATAGAGTCATGTGTGAAGTTGTTTCACTCTCCCTTTTATGCAAGTCACTTTTCATTTGCTCTCGGTTTCTAAAATTTATTTCTGATAGAGAGACTTCACTTATAACACTGAGGAAAAATTGGTGATATACATTATTGGATAGTTTTTACTAGCCCAACTAACAAATAATAATCCCTAAAATTACACAAAAACAGTTTTCTGTTTTAAACAAAAATATTAAAAGACCTAGATTTTTAAGATGATATACAATGATATAGCTTTGAGTCAATTTGTGTCAAAATGGAAAGTAATACATAAAATCAATACAAATTAGACTAACAGACCATCTCAGCATTGAATTCAGTATTACAGGGAGTTTACAAGCACGTGCCTTTATTTTACTGTCTGTGTTCTCAAGGTCTCACATTTACCCGTCTAGAATTTGCTCATTAAGGCCCTGTCCAGTCTCTCCTGAGTGTCTGTGTAGCCTCGTCTATGCTGTAACCTTCCAGTTTAGGATTCCATCAAGGCTGGCTTTGACTGTCTTATTCTCCAGGTTTCTCTGTTAAATTTCTAGCTGATCTGCTAATCTATTGCTTACCCTGATCATTTGCTGCTAAGATCTCTATTGGTTTTGGCAATACCCCAGGTCATGTCATTTTTAGCATCCTTCTCCAAATAAAGTGAGTCTCCTTCTGCTTTCTTGGTACCACTTGTGTCATGGATCTGGATCTGGGGGTTGGGGATGGTTGAGAGTAGACTCAGACTAAAAAGTCACAGACTCCCACTGTTCTTATTGAGGCTCAGTTTTCTTGAAGAAATACTTCACATTTTGCTACACAACTTTGATCAATTTCAGACTCTTTAAATGGCTATTTTTGATAATTTTAGATGATTTAAATTTCATTTTGAAGAAAGTGAGAGGTGAAGCCAGCTGGACTTCTTGGTCAGGTGGGGACTTGGAGAACTTTTCTGTCTTATAAGAGGATTGTAAAATGCACCAATCAGCACTCTGTAGCTAGGATTGTAAAACGCATCAATCAGCACCCTGTGGCTAGTGAGAGGTTTGTAAAATGTGCCAATCGGCACTCTGTAAAAATGCAACAATCAGTGCTCTGTGGCTAGCTAGAGGTTTGTAAAATGGACCAATCAGCACCCAGTAAAATGGGCCAATCACTGCTCTGTAAAATAGACCAATCAGCACTCGGTAAAATGGACCAATCAGCAGGATATGTGTGGGGACAAATAAGGGAATAAAAGCTGGCCACCCCAGCCCGCAGCGGCAACCCTCTTGGGTCCACTTCAATGCTGTGGAAGCTTTGTTCTTTTGCTCTTCACAATAAATCTTGCTGCTGCTCACTCTTTGGGTCCATGCCATCTTTAAGAGCTGTAACACTCACCGCGAAGGTCCGGGGCTCCATTCTTGAAGTCAGCAAGACCATGAACCCACCAGAAGGAACCAACTCTGGACATATCTTGGCAACCCAGATGGGACTATCTCCAAGCAGTGAGTACCACTGGACCCCTTTCACTTGCTATTCTGTCCTATTTTTCCTTAGAATTTGGGGGCTAAACACTGGGCACCCGTCGGCCAGTTAAAAGTGACTAGTGCAATCGCCGGACTAAAGACACAGGTGTCAGGCTTTCTGGGAAAGGGCTGTCTAACAACCCTCGACTCTTCAAAATTGAGAGCATTGGTTTGTCTGGAACCAGCTTCCACTTTTTCTGTACTTCTGGGCTGAGATGAGGATTGACAGAGAGGAAAGCCATTCAGCTCTGCAGTCCCAACAAAGAGTTGGTTGACCCTGCAGCCATGAGCAGAACTCTCAAAGTCATGTCGCCCAAGTGAGACTCACCCATCTATCCTATCTATCCTGACCCTTGCCTCCTGGGTCCTAACGCCTGTCAGACAAACTTCCTCCCACCTGTCTTCTCCGAGGCTAGTCCCACTTCTAAAAACCACTCCCTGTTTCTGGTGCTTTTCTAGTTTCTCCTATAAGAATGATTTCTAGTATAAATTTCGGGACCCTGTTCCTTTCTTTAGGCAGCCAGGCTCACCAATTAGAAAGACATAATTTTTGCCCAAAACCCCAGTTTGGAGGGGACTATCTGGAATTTTAGGATCCCTACTCAGACTAGCAGGCCTAACAAAGGCTATTTCCGAAGCTAGGATATGGGGAGCTCCAGAAATGATATCCTTCCTATTTGTATGATGAGAAGTGAGGACAAGAGGCATCACTCTTCCAACCCTGGAGATCCCTTCCCTCCCTCAGGGTATGGCCCTCCACTCCATTTTTGAGGCATATCATCTTTATACAACAGGGGTAAAGTCCCAATACTAACAGGAGAAAATGCTTAGGACTCTAACAGGTTTTTGAGAATGCATCAGTGAGGGCCACTAAATCCAACCTTTCTTGGTCCTCCTTGTTGTCTAGGAGGAAAACTAGTGTTTCTGCTGCTGTGTCAGTGAGCGCAACTATTCCAATCAGCAGGGTCCAGGGACCGTTGCGGGTTCTTGGGCAAGGGGGGAACAACAAACAAACCAAAACCATGGACAATTTTTTTCTTTCACATGGGAAACACTTAGTCATCAACGGGCTCACCCTTGAAATGCATCCTAAGCAATTGGGACCAATTTGACCAGCAAACCCTGAAAAAGAGGCAGCTCACTTTTTTCTGCACTACAGCCTGGCCCCAATATTCTCTCTGATGGGGAAAAATGGCCACCTGAGGGAAGTATAAATTATAATACTATCCTGCAGCTTGACCTTTTCTGTAAGAGGTAAGGCAAATGGGGTGAAATACCCTATGTCCAAGCTTTCTTTTCATTGAAGGAGAATCCACAACTATGCAAAGCTTGCAATTTACATCCCACAAGAGGACCTCTCAGCTTACCTCCATATCCTAGCCTCCCTATAGCTCCCCTTCCTATTAATGATAAGCCTCCTCTAATCTCCCTCACCCAGAAGGAAACAAGCAAAGAAATCTCCAAAGGACCACAAAAACTCCTGGGCTGTCAGTTATGTCCCCTTCAAGCTGTAGAGGGAGGAGAATTTGGCCCAACTCGGGTACATATCCCCTTCTCCCTCTCTGATTTAAAACAGATCAAGGTAGATCTGGGAAAGTTTTCAGATGATCCTGATAGGTATATAGATGCTCTACAGGGTCTAGGGCAAACCTTCGACCTCACTTGGAGATATGTCATGCTATTGTTAGATCAAACCCTGGCCTTTAATGAAAAGAATGCAGCTTTAGTTGCAGCCCGAGAGTTTGGAGATACCTGGAAAGGAACAAATTCCCTACCAGTCAGCAAGCCATCCCCATTATGGATCCCCACTGGGACCTCGACTCAGATGATGGGAACTGGAGTTGCAAACATCTGTTGACCTGTGTTCTAGAAGGACTAAGGAGAATTAGGAAAAAGCCCAGGAATTATTCAATGATGTCCACCATAACTCAGGGAAAGGAAGAAAATCCTTCTGCCTTCCTCAAGCAGCTACGGGAGGCCTTAAGAAAATATACTCCCCTGTAACCCGACTCCCTCAAGAGTCAATTGATCCTCAAAGATAAGTTTATTACCCAATAAGCTGCAGATATCAGGAAAAAGATCCAAAAGCAATCCTTGGGCCCTGAACAAAATCTGGAGGCATTATTAAACCTGGAAATCTCAGTGCTCTATAATAGGGACCAAGTGGAACAGGCCAAAAAGGAAAAGTGAGATCAGAGAAAGGCCACAGCCTTAGTCATGGCCCTCAGACAAACAAACTTTGGTGGTTCAGAGAAGACAGAAAATGGAACAGGCCAATCACCCAGTGGGGCTGGTTATCAGTGTGGTTTGCAAGGACACTTTAAAAAATTGTCCAAAAAGACATAAGCTGCCCCCTCGCCCATGTCCATTATGCTGAGGCAATCACTGGAAGGCCCACTGCCCCAGAGGACAAAGCCTCTCTTGGCCAGAAGCCCCAAACCAGATGATCCAAAAACAGGACT
Organism: Homo sapiens; assembly: GCF_000001405.40. Taxonomy (NCBI): domain Eukaryota; kingdom Metazoa; phylum Chordata; class Mammalia; order Primates; family Hominidae; genus Homo; species Homo sapiens. Next base: position 78,150,766 of record NC_000008.11, read on the forward strand.
GAGGGTGCCCGGGGCAAGCACCAGCTCATGTCATCACCCTCACTGAGCCCTGGGTACATTTAACCATTGAGGGCCAGGAAATTGACTTCCTCCTGGACACTGGTGCAGCTTTCTCAGTGTTAATCTCCTGCCCCGATGGCTGTCCTCAAAGTACGTTACCATCCGAGGAATCCTGGGACAGCCTGTAACCAGGTATTTCTCCCACTTCCTCAGTTGTAATTGGGAGACTTTGCTCTTTTCACATGCCTTTCTTGTTATGCCTAAAATTCCCACACCCTTATTAGGGAGGGACATATTAGCCAGAGCTGATCTACATGAATATGAGGAAAAAGTTACCCATTTGTTATCCCCTACTTCAGGAGGGAATCAACCCTGAAGTCTGGGCATTGAAAGGACAACTCGGAAGGGCAAAAAAATGCCCACCCAGTCCAAATCAGGCTAAAAGATCCCACCACTTTTCCTTATTGAAGGCAATATCCCTTAAGGCCTGAAGATCATAAAGGATTACAGGACATTGTTAGACATTTAAAAGCTCAAGGCTTAGTAAGAAAATGCAGCAATCCCTGCAACACCCCCATTCTAGGAGTATAAAAACTAAATGGTCAGTGGAGACTAGTGCAAGATCTTAGACTCATCAATGAGGCAGTAATTCCTCTATATCCAGTTGTACCCAACCCCTATACCCTGCTCTCTCAAATACCAGAGGAAGCAGAATGGTTCACTGGTCTGGACCTCAAGGATGCCTTCTTCTGCATTCCCCTGCACTCTGACGCCCAGTTTCTCTTGCCTTTGAGGAAAATCTCTTTCCCCGTGGATAATCTGTGATCTGACCAGTAGTCCTTATTTAAGTTCCGTTCTCAAAGTCTAACCTAGGCTGCATAGGGTCAGCTCAATGGATACACGAATAAAGGGTAAGTAAAGAATTTCAAAAGGGGGGCACTTTTCCAAGCTTCTTTCTCTCCACAACCTCTCTGGTATTTTCTGGCACACTGGGATCATCTTTTTGGTTCTCTGGCCAGAAAGGTAGGACTTTACCCTGATCTTCTGTGTACCTTCCTACAACTCTGGGACAAACAATGAGAGGTCAGAAGGAAAGAAAAACAACATGGATATGCACAACACTCTTGGAAACACAGCTCTTCCAATTAGAAAGAAGGCTTCCCTCCTTTAGAGTTACAGGCTCTTGAAGTCAAAATGATGCCTGTGCCATAAAAATGCTTGGCGGCTAAGGAAGAAGAGAATAAAGGAAAGACAAACAACAATGGGGAATTTACTTCAGAAGGTTGTCACCATTGATATTCAAACTCTACTTACTCAACTCTGCCTATGCATATGCACACACACACACACACACACACACTCAAAACATACCTAGAAACACATCAACATTGTTTGACAAGGTTTTACATAAGGTCTTCTTTATCCTTTTCCACTAGAGTTTAATCTGAGGACAGCATTGTCAATCCATAGGAAAAAAATTGTGAATGTAAGTGAACTCTTTTGGTTATGAGATTGGCAGATAGAAAACTTTCACTCCTTTTTTCAGCATGCAAGCCTAATTTTTCCTGGAATTGGTGCCAATTTACTCATGAAAGGATAACTATACGAATCCTTCCTACCCATCCCCTGTAGTGGAATGCATTCGCTCTAAATCATGATGTTCCTGCCAAAAAATATATTTTTCTGAGGTACGATTATTTGCAAAATACGTGATTGTAGCCTGTAGCTTGAAAACCATCATGTCACTTTCTTCTGTCTAGGTATTTGACAAATTAATCACTGTGAATAGTTTAACTCAGTGAATAGCCAGAATGCTGATTCTTTTGGAGGTTAGGCAACTCGGAAGGACTTGACATATTTTTTAGGCATGATGATTTCTGTAATAGCTGATCCTATTATTTATAAGCTTTAAGAGGCAGTGACATATCAATAAACAAATGCCTTAAAAATCAGTTTCCTTTGGATCCAGAATGTTTTTAACAATTTTCTATTAAAGAACATGGCATATACAAAATCTGTTTTATTGGTATTTTCAAATATCACCCCCAAGTTTCAGTATTTGCAGGACATTTGGAAATGTTTATAAGCAAAATTTTTGTGTCTCTAAATGAGCATAATAAAATCTAAAATAAAAACACACTTGTTGGCACAAAAGCTGTCATGTTTCATGTAGCTTTTCCTTTCCTAATTGGAAGAGAAAAATATAGAAATTGCAGGGTAGTTTGCATCCATCTTCACAAAAGGTGTTGAAGGAATAATTTTGGAAAATCAAGTTTATATACAGTTCTCTTGGTATTTAGCATTTCTTGCACACATACACATGTTCATGATTATGGACTACTATTTGCCAATAGTAGAAAATATTGATTTGATTTACCTCGTCTAAGAAAAAGAGAAAGAACTCAGACTGTGAATATTTTAGAATGACAAAATGATATTTTAGAATTATGATTAAAGTTGTGACTTGTTTTATATCCAATATAAATTTACTTAAAATGTATTTCTTACTTCTTGATATAAAACTTTATGTTGTAAGCTTTATGGTAAATCTTTTCAGAGAAACTGGGACATGCAGCAGAGATGGCTAGTGGCTTGTCCACTATCCATTCTTATGTTATTTCTTTTATTATGGATTCCCTATGTTCTTAGAAGATCACAACGAACCTAGCTAAAAATTTTCCATCATTAGGTAAGTCTTTTGTGAAAGCTCCTAAATATGTCTCTGGTAACAAATTCCTTCTTTTTCTCTTGCTAATTTCTCCCTTCATTCAGCATGAATTACATGCATAAATACTGGACCTCCAGCGATCATCTTGAGGGTGTGAAAAGAGCTTGCAGATGCAAACTACATAATAAGAAAACACAACAGAAAGATGTAAGGAGCCATGGTCAATTAGGTCATCGTGATACCACATTACAATGCTGGGCTGCTTATCACTGCAATTTTATTATGAAGAGGAGAAAAAAATAAATTTTATTGAAGTTGTTTCATTGTATCTCTGTTATTGTATCAGCCAAATTGATTTTCTAGCAGATACAAGATATGTAGTGTATACCAGTTGTTGTCTTTCTATAACAGTAATTTTCCTTTGGTGGAAAAGTTTGCTTCCACTATGCATGATTTTAATAAATATAATCTTTCTTTGGAGCCTGTCTTTCTTTCCATTATCGATCAGCTCATAGTGTACATTTGAATTAAGCTCTGTAAAACAGCACAATTCATCCTTACCCCCAGCCTAAATATTCATCTTACAGTGAGCATGTGTATAAATTGTACCTGTTGAAAGATTTTCAGGATCTGTGCACTTAGCATGAGAGAGAAAGATAGAAAAAAAAATTATACTCTCTCCCATAGGTGGTGTTATGAAGAAAGATGGGGTCTACTAGGGGCCCTATTTCCTATCCAACATAGAGCAGACCTGAGAAAATGAAGTATACTCAGAAAGAAATCAGGTTTAAGATACTGGAAGAAAAAGGAGAGTTCTGGTATTTTTCAAGTCCTTAGTGCCAGTTGTCCCTGAAGCTAAATTACACTTTTTTACAATAGATTCCATCTTGTATTTCTTTTACCTAAGCTTCTTGGGATGCAGGTACTTGTCATTTGCTTTCAAAACATAATAACCTAGTAGACTAATTTGAATCATTTTCATTGTTTACATAGAATACAAATGCATGTTCATTTTGGTTTAGAGATTCCTTGATTTATAACTTAACTTGGACAATAAGTGATTGACTCTTAAATTAGCTCTTGCCAGAGGCCTTCATTGTTGAAAAAGTTTAAGATGTTGTTCATTCTTATTCACATTCTGAGGTCAGTATTTTATCCCAAGTCTTACACTTTGTCTTGAATTTTGTATTCTTTCTCAATATCTGAATTTTGTTTGTTTGTATGTTTACATTTTCTTCTTCACTGTGTGTTTGTTTCCTGGCCGTCTATCTACTTGACTCAATATGAAGGGGGAAGACATGTTCTCTCATTATTCTATATTTATTTACCTAACTAAAAATTCTTAGGTGTCAATGAAGGGACCAAATGAGGCAGGCGATTACAAATATGACCAAGACACAGTAATAGAGTGATTACTTTTAATGTGCTTAAAGACAAGTGCATACAGTTATGTAAAGATAAATGCCAATAAATACTGATGCTAGAAACAATTACAAGGAGCCATGGGGTATGAAAAAGGAAGTGGTCAATTTACCTTAGAATGGAGGAGTGTTCAGTAAAGACTTCAAACAAAAGCCATACTGGAACAAAATCTTCAAAGATAAGTGGAGATAAGTGGTTAAGGCAAATTGTTTTCTTCATAGAATTTTCAATAGTTTATCCAGTCTGAAGATTAGGGTAAATTTTGGGGATGGGTGACAAATCAAGAAATAGCATTGGGTAACTAAGCAGCAGCAAGATCATAGATGCAGTGGTATACTTTGCCAAGAATGGATATTTCCCTATTAGGAACCATTGAATGGTTTCAACAAGTTGACCCTGATTACAATGTAGCTTAATTAAGTTACGTGTTTTGAAAGCTGGAGTAAGAATGTGCCAGTGCGGATGAGCGGAGTGGATACATTTAAGAAACCATAAGGATACTAGAAAACCAGAAACTATAATACTTAGTAGACACATGTGGTTGATCAAACATGGCCACAGATTCTTTGCATCTACTCAGAGTTGGAGTTTCCTGTCTTTCAATATGGGTTTGTCTGTATGGCTGATTTGACTAAAAGAGTGCAGGAGACGTGATACAATGCTATTTTCATACATAGGCCTTGGGGAAAATAATGTGTTACTCCCTGATCCTTGGAACACCCTCTATGAAAGCACTGAGCTACATTGTAGGCAGTCCAACCACTCTAAAATCACAAAACATAGATGTTCTGATAAACAATTCCATCAAGCCCAGTTTTCTAGCTGTGATAGTTAATACTGAGTGTCAACCTGAATGGATTGAAGGATGCAAAGTATTGATCCTGGATGTGTCAATAAGGATGTTGCCAAAGGAGATTAACATTTGAGTCAGTGGGCTGGGAAAGGCAGACCCACCCTTAATCTGGGTAGGCACCATCTGATAAGCTGCCAGCATGGCTAGATATAAGAAGCAGGTGGAAAACTGTGAAAAGACAAGACTAGCCTAGACTCCTAGCCTACATCTTTCTCCCATGCTGGATGCTTCCTGCCCTGGTATATTGAACTCCAAGTTCTTCAGTTTTGGGACTTGGACTGGCTCTCCTTACTCCTCAGTTTGCAGACAGCCTATTGTGGGACCTCGTGATCCTGTGAGTTAATACTTAATAAACTCATATATATATATATATATATATAGAGAGAGAGAGAGAGAGGAGTTTTTGGTACAGGAGTGGTTCTAGAGGAACAGAATATTAAGAATGGAGTTCTTTCGTTGGTTCTGGGGTTTTAGGAGTTGGCTGCTTAATATGATTAGACCCCAAAATGTTAAGGCCTCTACTTCTAATAGTATGGAGAACACTGATAGTCATTGGCAGGCATTAACTGTTTAGAGAGTTATGCAAAATAAATGCATTTGACACTCGTGATTCACTGCTCATGAGTGGCAAGGAGTTTAATGACTCCATACATAATAACTTTGACCATATGTGAAGAACCAAGGAACATAATGAAGCTGGTTGGTTGCTCCTAAGTTCAGTGGACAAAGTGATGAAAGACAATGATGAACTCAGGATTCCATCTCCTAGCTTCAGAAGCAGATGCTGAGCCTGACATCTGCTAAGATTGCCCTGAGTGAGAGTCTTATCTCCTGTAGAGAAAGAGCTGAAATTGTGGAAAAACAGATACAAACTCTTATCATGTGAGTGGCTGACCTGCAATGAAAGGTGCATGCACAGCCTCACCAGGTATCTACTGTTACAGTAAGGGCATTGATTGGAAAAGAATGGGACCCAGCAACTTGTAACGGGGATGTGTGGGAGGACCCTGCTGAAGCTGGGGACACTGAGTTTGTAACTCTGATGAACATTTCTGCCAGAAGAAACAGCTTCCCCATCCCCAGTAGTGGCAACATCCCCTCTTTGACCCATGCTGCCATCAATCTTTTCACCTTTGCCTAAGAAATAAACCCTGCGCTGCCTGAGACAACAGTGATGGCCTTCTCTGAGGCAGTTGCCAGGAAAGATAATGTAAGTTCTCCTTGGGAACCACCCACAACACCCCTGTTTGCTTTTAGACCTATAACTAAAGTCTCGGCAGGCCCCAAGAGGTGAGTTTGAGAGTGTGACCCATGAGGAGGTGTGCTATACTCAAAAAGAACTGCTTGAGTTTTCTAATTTTGAACTGCTTCTGTTTCCCAGAAATCTGTAGAACAGGCATGGGAATGTATATTAAGGGTGTGGGATAATGGAGGAAGAACATAGAGTTGGATCAGCCTGAATTTATTGATTTGCATCCACTAAGTAGGGACTCTGCATTTAATGTTACAGCATGGGGAGTTAAGAAGGTTCTAATAGTTTATATGCTTTGTTAGCTGAAATATGGATTAAAAGATGGCCCATTGTGAATGAGCTGGAAATGCCTGATCTCCCTTGGTTTAATGTAGAGGAAGGGATCCAAAGGCTTAGGGAGATTGGGATACTCTTCCCAACTGGGAGGGTCCTGAAGATATACTCTTCACTATTGTCTTGCAAAATAGATGTATGAGGGTAGCACCTGCATCTTTGAAGAGCCCAGTAATTGCTCTTCTCTGTATGTCAAATCTAACAGTGGGAACCGTGGTCACTCAACCACAAAATTTAAATACAATGGGAATAATTAGATCCTGAGGTGGCAGGGACTAAGTGGCAGCACTCAACCGTCAAAGGCATGGTGGGCATAGCTACCGTAATGGACAGCAGAGGCAAAGTGGGAATCAGAATAGTCTGACTTGTGTAGAGCTCTGGCATTAGCTAATTAATCACAGTGTTCCTAGAAGTGAAATTGATAGGAAGCTGCATTTCCTACTTAATTAATACAAGCAGAAAACTTCTAGGTCGAATGGACAAAAGACTAATTTAAATTATAAAAACAGAAATCACAGCCCCTCAATCAATTTCCAGACTTAAGCCAGTTTACAGAGCCAGAACCCCTTGAATAAAGTGGAGGCCGGGTCCCCTTAAGAAAGGACACCACTACATTAGTAAAAATTTATGCTGTCAATCTTTCTCCCATCCTTCCTCAACGAGACCTCTGGCCTTTTACCAAGGAAACTGTCCATTAGGGAAAGGACAAAGACATTTCAGGGACTACTGGACACTGGCTCTGAGCTGACATTGATTCCAGGGGACCCAAAACATCATTGTGGTCCTCCAGTTAAGGTTGGGGCTTACAGAGGTCCAATAATTCATAGAGTTTTCGCTCAGGTCCAACTTACAGTGTGTCCAGTGTACCCCCGGACTCATCCTGTGATTATTTCTCCAGTGCCAGAATGCATAATTGGCACAGACATACATAGCAGCTGATAGAACCCCATATCGGCTCCCTGACTGGTAGGGTGAGGGGTACTATGGTGGGAAAGGCCACTTGGAAGCCATTAGACCTGCCTCTAGCTAGAAAAATGTCAATCAGAACCAATATCTCATCCCCGGAGGGATTGCAGAGATTAGTGCCACCATCAAGGAATCAAAAGATGCAGGGGTGGTGATTCCCACCACTTCCCCATTCAACTCTCCAATTTTGCCTGTGCAGAAGACAGATGGATCTTGGAGAATAACCGTGGATTATTATTAGCTTAACCAAGTGGTGACTCCAATTGCAGCTGCAGTGACTCCAATAGCATATGTGATTTCATTGCTTGAGCAAATTAACATATCTCCTGGTACCTGGTATGCAGCCACTGACTTGGCAAATGTCTTTTTCACCATTCCTGTCCATAAGGACCACCAGAAGCAATCTGCCTTCATCTAGCAAGGCCAGAAATGTACCTCTACTATCCTACCTCAGGAGTATATCAACTCTCTGGCTTTGTGTCATAATCTTATTCAGAGAGACCTCAATCGTTTTTCGCTTCTGCAACATATCACACTGGTCCTTTACATTGATGACATTATGCTGACTGGATCCAGTGAGCAAGAAGTAGCAAACACTGGACTTACTGATGAGACATTTGCATGCCACAGGATGGAAAATAAATCCGAATAAAATTCAGGGACCTTCTACCTCAGTAAAATTTCTAGGGGTACAGTTGTGTGGGGCCTTTTGAGAAATTCCTTCTAAGGTAAAGGATAAGTTGCTGCATTCGGCCCCTCCAACAACCAAGAAACAGGCATAAAGCCCTGTGAACCTGTTTGGATTTTGGAGGCAACACATTCCTCATCTTGTGTTACTCCAGCCCTCTATTTATTGAGTGACCCGAAAGGCTGCCAGTTTTAGTGGGGTCCAGAACAGGAGAAGGCTCTGCAATAGGTCCAGGCTGTTGTGCAAGCTGCTCTACCACTTGGGCCATACGATCCAGCAGATCCAGTGGTGCTTCAGGTGTCAGTGACAGATAATGAAGCTATTTGGGGCCTTTGGCAGACCCTCACTGGTGAAACACAAAGAAGGTTGTGCACTTTGCATGGGAGGAGAAATGGCCAGATGTGTGATCATATACTAATTCACGGGCTGTAGCGGGTGGTTTGGCTGGATGATCAGGGACTCGGAAGAAGCGTGATTAGAAAATTGGTGATAAAGAAATTTGGGAAAGATGTATGTGGATGGATCTCACTGAGTGGTCAAAAACTGTGAAGATGTTTGTATTCTATGTGAGTGCTCACCAATGGGTGACCTCAGCAGAGGAGGATTTTAATAATCAAGTGGATGTGATGACCAGTTCTGTGGACACCATTCAGCCTCTTTCTCCAGGCACCCCTGTCATTGCCCAATGGGCCCATGAACAGAGTGGCCATGGTGGCAGGGATGGAGGTTACAAATGGCCTCAGCAACATGGACTTCCACTCATCAAGGCTGACCTGGCTATGGCCACTGCTGAGTGCCCAATTTGCCAGCAGCAGAGACCAACATTGAGCTCTCAATATGGCACCAGTCCTTGGGGTGATCAGACAGCTACCAAGCAGCAGGTTGTTATATTGGACATCTTTTCTTATAAAAAGGGCAGAGATTTGTCCTCACTGAAATAGACACTTACTCTGGATATGGGTTTGCCTATCCTGCATGCAATGCTTCTGCCAAGACTACCATCCATGGAATCACAGAATGCCTTATCCACCATCATGGTATTCCATACAGCATTGCTTCTAACCAAGGCACTCACTTTACAGCTAAAGAAGTGCAGCAGTGGGCTCATGCTCATGGAATTCAGTGGTCTTACCATGTTCCGCATCACCCTGAAGCATCTGGATTGATAGAATGGTGGAATAGCCTTTTGAAGTCACAATTACTGTGCCAACTAGGTGAAAATACTTTGCAGGTCTGGGGCAAAATTCTGCAGAAGGCCATATATGCTCTGCATCAGCATCCAATATATGGTACTGTTTCTCCCATCACTGAATTCACGGGTCCAGGAATCAAGGGATGGAAGTAGAAGTGGCACCACTCACCATTGCCCCTAGGGATCCACTAGCAAAATTTTTTTCTTTTTTTTTTTTATTATACTTTAAGTTCTAGGGTACATGTGCACAACATGCAGGTTTGATACATAGGTATACAATACTTTGAAGTTAAGCTGTTGCAATGTAATCTCAAATGATTCTAAGCCCTGGAAGTGTATCCTAGAGATGATGAAGTCTCGTTTGTCACATGTACTTACAAGGAAACAGGTTCCTTTAGGTGATGTGACTCACCTCAAATTGCAGTGCTTTGTGTTAAGATCTAATTTAAAATGTTGTACTCGTTACAATCAAAAAAAGTCACTGAAAACCATGAGTAAATTCTGTAAAAAATAACTGGACAATTTATCATATGTATACTGATTAGTACTATCATTTTCTTTCAAAAAGATTAATAAAATGTAAATACAAGCTTCATATACAAACATACTTTCCACATATGCTTAAGTCAATCCTCATAATACAAGTAGAATATAAATTTCAACTTATGATGAAATGAAATTACAGAAAATATATATTTCCTGTAAATTAGATATTGTATCATAAAGTAATGCACAAGAAATTGGCATAATTTAGTTGTACTGAGTACCTTTAAAGGCTGACTTCTACCTTGTAACTCAGACTCAAAGAATTCCATTTGAAAAGCTCCTCCTTAGAAGAGTGTGTATTTATTACATTTAATTTCCTCTAATATCCGTGTACACATATTTTTATATTTCTCCAGAAACACACAGATGTCCAGAACAACATATCTACAAAGAATGTGGACCCTCCAACCCTGCAACTTGTTCTAATGTGGCTCCTTTTCAAGACAGTGAATGTGTGAGCGGCTGCACCTGCCCAGAAGATAGTACACCAATGAGAGTATTTACACTAAAACAAAACAAAAGCTAAAGACAAAGTGGGACTCAAGTCATGTCAGAGTGGTGTCTTATTTATAGCATGACATTCCCACAATTTAACTATTTCTAATGTAGGGACATGGATGAAATTGGAAATCATCATTCTCAGTAAACTATCGCAAGGACAAAAAACCAAACACCGCATGTTCTCACTCATAGGTGGGAATTGAACAATGAGAACCCATGGACACAGGAAGGGGAACATCACACTCTGGGGACTGTTGTGGGGTGGGGGGAGGGGGGAGGGATAGCATTAGGAGATATACCTAATGCTAAATGACGAGTTAATGGGTGCAGCACACCAGCATGGCACACGTATACATATGTAATTAATCTGCACATTGTGCACATGTACCCTAAAACTTAAAGTATAATAATAATAAAATAAAATAAAATAAATAACTCCTTAAAAAATAAAAATAAAAAAAAAATTCTCTCTAACTCTCCTCTGCAGTTTCCACTAGCAAAATTTTTGATTCCTGTTCCCATGGCATTAGTTTCTGCTGGCCTAGAGGTGTTAGTTCCAGATGGCGGAATGCTGCCACCAGGAGACACAATGATTCCATTAAACTGGAAGTTAAGATTGCCACCTGGACACTTTCCGCTCCTCCTATGTTTAAGTCAACAGGCTAAGAAGGGAGTTACAGTCCTAGCTGGGGTGATTGACCCAGACTCTCAAGATTAAATCAGTCTACTACTCCGCAATGGAGGTTAGGATGAGTATGCACAGAATATAGGAGATCCTTTAGGGGTCTCTTAGTATTACCATTCCCTGTGATTAAGGTCAATGGGAAACTACAACAGCCCAATTCAGGCAGGACTACAAATGTCCTAGACCCTTCAGGAATGAAGGTTTGGATACTCCACCAGGAAAAAAAAAAACATGACCTGCTGAGATACTAGCTGATGGCAAAGGGAGTACAGAATGGGTAGTAGAAGAAGGTAGTCATCATTACCAGCTGCAGAAACGAGGACTGTACACATTAAGAGTATTTCCTCCTTCTTTTGTGAAAACATGTTTGTGCACGTATACACGTGTACTAAGAAAATATCTTCATTTTATTTCCTTTCTCCTTTATCATATGACATAAGATTTATTGACTTCTTATCAGCATTTAAGTATTGTTAACTTTATGTAACAAAAAGTTGGGGACTGGTACATTTCTGGTTGTATGAAGTACAGTTTTATTATGTTAGGTGTAATTATGATCTTATTATTCACCATATTTGAAGATTATTTATGATCCCAGAAGATGTGTATGGGTTTAAGTTGACAAGGGGTGGACTTGTGATAGTTAATTCTGAGTGTCAACTTGATTGGATTGAAAGATACAAAATATTGATCCTGGATGCTTTTGTGAGGGTGTTGCCAAAGGAGATTAATATTTGAGTCAGTGATCTGAGAAAGGCAGATCCACCCTTAATCTGGGTGGGCACCATCTGATCAGCTGCCACCATGGCTAGAATATGAAAAGCAGGCAGAAAAATATGAAAAGATGAGACTGTTCTAGCCTCCCATTCTACCTCTTTCTCCTGTGCTGGATGCTTCCTGCCCTGGAACACTGGACTCCAAGTTGTTCAGTTTTGGGAATCAAACTGGCTCTCCTAACTCCTCAGTTTGCAGACAGCCTATTGTGGAACCTTGTGATCATATGAGTTAATACTTAATAAATTCCCCTTTATATATATATACACATATATATATGTATATACACATATATATATATACACACACACATATATATACACACACATATGTATATATATAAAGCGCAGAACTCCCCCTTATATATATAATATATAATTTATATATACATAAATATATATATAAAGGACAGAACTAATAGTAAATACATATTTTTTTCTCTAGACAGGGACAGAACTAATACATATAAAGCACAGAACTAATATATATAAAGCACATAACTAATAACTATTATATATATTTATATATTATATATAAATAAATATAAATATAAATATATATATATATATGTTCTGTCCCTCTAGAGAACTCTAATACACAGACTTTAAAGACTAGAACATTTAAAAGTCACTGCATATATTGGAAAAGCAAGGACATCACATGCAATACGATCACAAGTTATACAATGAAACAGGAAAGTTTCACGCACACACACACACACACACACACACACACAGAAACATTCCCCAAGAAGAAATATATGGCAGACCTAGTATACAATGACTTTTAAATAGCTGTCTTAAAAGTGTCCAAAGAACTAAAGGAAAATGCAATGGAAGTCAAGACAATAATATATGAACAACATGTAAATATCAATAAAAGAAAAAGAAGAAACCAAAAAGAAATTATAGTGTTAAAGAGCATAATAATTGCAATAATAAATTTACTAGAGGGATTCAAAGGCTGCTGTTAGCATACAGATAAAGAATTAGTGTACTTGATGATAGAACAGTTGAAATTATTGAGTCTAAGGAATATATGGGAAAAAAGATGTAGAAAAGTGAACAGAGTCTAAGAAACTTGTGGAATATCATCAAGCATAATTGATGTGATGCACATCGAGGGAATTCCAGTAGGAAAAGAGAGAGATAAAGAGACATAGAGATTATTAAAGAAATAATGGCTCAAAACTTTCCAACTTTGATGATAGACATAAATATCAAAGAAGCACACACACACAACAGAACAAAATTAGAAACAACGAAAGAAGGCCCACGCTGAAACATTATAATCAAAAGGGAAAACCTTGAAAACATAGAGAAATAAGTGACTCACCACATACAATTGACATTCAATAAGATTATAACAGATTTGTTTAATACAAACTTGGAAGGCCAGAAAGCAGTGGGCTAATATCTTTAAAGTGCTAACAGAAAAAAAAAATGTCAACCTAAAATGCTACTTTTGATAAAACCGTATTTTGAAAGTGATGGAAAAATTATGACATTCCTGAACAAATTAAGGCTAATGTAGTTTATTACTACAGGATTTGTCCTGCAAAAAGTGCTAGAGTTCTACAGGTTGAAATAAAAGGATGTTAGACAGCAATTCAAAGAAATATGAAGAATAAAACATAAGTAAAGGTAAATACATGGGTATGTATAAAAACTAGTATTACTTTAGCATAATTTGTAACTTCACCTTTTGTTTCCCACGTGATGTAAGAGATTAACATATTAAGTATAATTATTAGGCTAAAAGCTAGTATTAGTGTAACTTTGGTTTATAACTCTATATTTTGTTTTCTACATAAGTTACTAATGCATTAAAAATAATTAATTTATGTTTCAAAACATGTTTAAGTTTTGTGACATGAATAATTGAAATTTGTGACATCAATAACTGAAAGGGGCAAGGATGGAACTGTAAAGGGCCAGATATTTTGTATGTTATAGGTAAGCTGGTATAAATCCAAATTAGAGTATTGCAACTTCTGGATTTTAATGTAGTCTTAATGTTAACCACAAAAAATAGTTATATGTAGCATATATACAAAAGCAAATGATAAGTGAATTGAAACCTTTCACTACAAAAAAATTAAGCGTAAAACAACACATTAATGCAGAAAAGGAGAAATAAAAAAGCTGTAAGACATATAGAAAACAAATACCAAACATGAAATAAGTAAATCTCTTATTATCAATCATTACATTACATGCAAATGGATTAAACCTTCCAATTAAAAGACAGAAATTGGCAAGAAAAAAATTTAAAAAAAGGCCCAATTCTGTGCTATTTACAGGGACTTCCATTAGATAAAAAAACACAGGTTGAAAGTGAAAGAATAGAAAAAATATTCTGTTTTAATACTAACCAAAATGGAATGAGAGTAACTAGGCTAACATCAGAAGGAAAAAAAGCTTTTAATGAAAAAAGTATGCAATAGACAAAGAAGTCATTGCATATTAATTAATGGTTCAATAAGATAAGAATATATAATAATTATGAACATTCATATACACTCATGTATCTGATAATATATCATCAAAAAATGTGAAACAAAAATTGACAGAATTACTGTGAGAAAAATACTGTTGTATAATAGTATTTGGAGATGTCAGCACCCCACTTTCAATAATAGGCCAGACAAAAGATAAGAAAATAATAGAGAATTTAAACAACATAGTAAACCAACTAGATCTAGCAGACATATATAGAACACTCTACTCAAGAACAACAGAATATCCATTATTCTCAAGTGCATGTAAGTCATTTTCCAGGATAGACTATATGTTAGACCACAAATTAATTCTTAATATATTTAGATATATAGAGCTATATATATTATATAAAGTATAATTTCTAATCATAAAGGATAAAGTTAAAAATCAACAACAGAAGAAAAACTGGAAAATTCACAAATTTAATATTAAATATTAAACAATACACCCTTAAACAACCAATGGATAAAAAAATTATGGGACATGTAGATATTACTACAATAGGGATAAATGAGAATGGAAACACAACATACCAGAATTTATGGAATACAACAGAAGCAGTGCTGAGAGAGAAAACCATAATTATAAATGTTTACATTAACTTACATTTTAAAAGAGAGAACTCAAATCAAAAAAGAAACTAGAAGAAAAAATGAAACCCAAAGCTACCAGAAGAAAGTGAATAATAATGAATAAGCAGAGATAAATGAAATAGAAAGTAGAAAACTACAGAGAAATTTTCTTTAAAGCTGCTTCTTCAAAAAGATAAATAGAATTTACAGCCATTTAAGAAGATTTACTAAGAAAAAATACTAAAATCAGAAATGACAGTGGGGACATTCCTACTGAATCTACAGAAATTAAATGGATTATATGAACAACTATCTACCAAAAAATCGGATAACCTAGATTAAATGGAAAAAATTACAGAAACACAAAACTTACCAATACTGAAATAAAAAATGAAAATTCTAAGTAGACTTATAGCTAGTAAGAAGATTGAATCAGTAATCAATAATTTTCTGACCAATAAAAGCCCTGGACCTATTACCTTCACTTGTGGGTTCTACCAAACATTTAAAGAATAACTAACTCTGCTTTCTCAAACTTTTTCAGGAATTTCAAGACGTGGGAACGTAAACACTTTCTGACTCATTATATGAGGCCAGCACTGTCTTGATACCAAAGCCATAAAAAAATAGTACACAGGGAAAAACAAACTAAGTAAACACCCCCCCAAAACTGCCGAACAATATACCTTATACTCATTGGTTAAAATATTCTTATCAAAATACTAGCAATCCAAATTCATCAGTATATTAAAAAGATTATATATCATGATGAGTGGGATCTATTCTTGTAATGTAACGATGGTGCAAACTATGAAAATCAATTAACATAACACATCACATTAACAGAATGAAGAACAAAATCCACATAATAATTCCACTGGTGCAGAGTAACCATTAGACAAAATTCAACGTCTCTTTCCAGGAAAAAAAAAAGGTTAATAAACTAGGAACAGTAGTAAGCTAACTCAACATAATAAAAATTATATATAAAAGCCAATAATCAAGATCACACTCAATGATGAAAGACTAAGAGCTTTTTCTCCAAGATCAGAAACGAGACAAGGCTACCTGATTTTACCACTTCTATTTAGCACAGTACTAGAAGCTCTAGCCAGAGCCAATAGTCAAAATAAACAAATAAATAAATAAATAAAATAAAATAAAGAAAAAGAAAGAAAGAAAGAGAAAGAAAGAAAGAAAAAGAAAGAAAGAAAGAAAGAAAGAAAGAAAGAAAGAAAGAAAGAAAGAAACAAACAAACTGGAAAGGAATAAGAATTATCTCTATTCTCAGATAATATAATCTTATATGTAGAAAACCCTAAACATTCCACCAAAAAATCCCCTGTCAGAATAAATAAATTTAACAAAGTAGCAGGTTACACAGTCAAAATGCAAAATTAGTTGCATTTGTATACACTAATGATGAACAATTTGACAAAGAAGTAAAGAAAGCAATTCCATTTACAATAGCATCAATAAGAATAAAATACTTAAGAATTAACGAAGATAGTGAAAGATCTGCACAATAAAAATTTTAAAACATTGCTAAAAGAAATTAAATACGACATAAACAAATGGAAAGATATTCCATGTCCATGGATTGGAAAACTTAATATTGTTAAAATTTCAATACTACCCAAAGTGAACTACAGATTAATTGCAATCTCTGTCAAAATTCAAATGGTGTGGAATTTTTTGTGGAAATAGAAAAATCTATCCTAAAATTCATATTTAATCTCAAGAGAATCCAAATAGCCCAAACAATTTTGAAAAAGAACAAAAGTTAAAGATCACACTTCTAGATTTTAAAATTTTTTTTCAAAGTTACAATAATAAAAACAGCATTGTACTGGAATAAAGATAGATATATAGGTAAATAGAATAGATGGAGAGCAAGAAATAAACAATCACATATATGGTCAAATGACTTTTATTTATTTTTTAATTTAACTCTTTTTTTTTTTTTTTTTTGAGACAGGTCTCACTCTGTTGCCTAGGCTGGAGTGCAGTGACGCAATCTTGGCTAACTGCAACCTCCACCTCCTGGGCTCAGGGAATCCACTTATCTCAGCCTCCTCAGTTGCTGGCCACCACAATGGTGGGAATGTTGGTGAAAATGTAAACTGGTACAGCCCCTGTAGAAAACAGTATGGCAGCTCTTCATAAAGCAAAAATATAATTACCATATGATCCAGTCCTTCCACTTCTGGATATATACCCACAATAATTTAAAGCAGAATCTTGAAGAGTTATTAGTACAATCATGTTCATAGTAGCACTATTCACAATAACTAAAGGATGGAAACAACCCAAGTGTGGACAGATGGATGGATAAGCAAAATGTTGTATACACATACAGTGGAATGTTATTCCTCCTCAAAGGTAAGGATTCTTTGACATATGTTACTACATGAATGAACTTTGAGGATATTATGCTAAGTGAAATAAGCCAGTCATGAAAGTTCAGATACCGTATGTTTTCACTTTATGAGGGCACCCAGAGTAGTCAAAAGTTATAGAAACAAATAGTAGAGTGGTCATCGCCAGTGGCTGTTGGGAGAGGAATGGGATTTATTGTCTAATAGGTATGCAGTTTCAGTTTTATGAGATGAAGAGTACTGGAGAAGGATGGTGGCAATGATGCACAACAATGTGATTGTACTAAATTCCAATGAACTATACTATTAAAAATGATTAGGACAGTAAATTTTATGTATATTTTATCACATAAAAATTTGAAAATATTTTCCATAAAAATGCAAATTGTCAAGCATAGCCAAGAAAATCTGAAAAAAAGAAGAAAGCTAGAGACACCACCAGACGAATTTAAAGCTGTAATAATTAAAGAATGAGATACCTGTGCAAACAAAGAAATAGATCAATGGAAGGAAATACAGAGTTCAGAAACAGACTTTATATATACATCGATATGTTTTATGAGAAAAGTGATGCTGCAATACATTAGAAAGAAGGTAATTATTTCAATAATAACCTGTGCTGATTGTTTTCTATATGGGGACAAAACATATCAAACCCCTATCTCACACCATACACAAAAATAAATTCCAAATAGATTGTGTATTAAGCGTAAACCTTACATAATAAAGTTTTTAGTAAGCAACTGGAAACATATCTTCCTAAGTCCTTGAGAAGACAGATATCTTAAAATCGACAAGATGTTGTAAATATACAATTTTTTAAAATGGGTAAATCGATCTATTTTATAATTTACAACTTACACTCATCAAATGTCAATGAAGAATTTATTATAATTTACAACTTTTACTTACCAAATGTCAATGAAGAGAGAATTGGGGATAGTTTCCTCTCCAATCACATTTATCTGAGAAAGGAACAAACAAAGGACTCCCGCAAATTTGTAAGAGAAACATAGATAACCCAATAGAAAAATAAAGACTTTAACAGACACTTCCTGAAATGATATTCAAATCCCCATATTAACATATAAAATAGATGCCCAACTTCATTAACCATTTTACAAATGAAAGTTAAAGTTATATTGAAATACTAATGTAAACCAACTAGAATCACTAAACTGCAAAACGTGGAACAATTCAAGTATTGTTGAAAACGTACAGCAGCTGGTACGCATTTTTAAAAACTCCGAGCATCTGCTAAAATTGAACATATACAGAGTCGATGATTCAAAATTTCCCCTATAAGGTATAGTACCAACAGAATATATTCATATTTTCAGTAAAAAACGTGTATCAAAGTATGCATAGAAGCCAATTCACAGAGTTGTATACCTTTCTGTATTTATATTATTATTCAATAATAAATAAAATTCTCTGGTGAAACTCCAGAATGTTCTAACTTGTGAATACATCTTGCATGAGCCTTACTTTTCTGACCGTCTCTTAATCCTTTAGACACATCTCCTGTCTCTTCTTTTCCCCATCTTATTATTCTGTATTCGTGGAATTCTATACTTTAGCAATAGTGAATTTCTTATATTTCCCCAAATGAATTATGCTGTAGTATTTGCTAAGTTATATTTACAGGCTCAACTTTTCCTATTACTCTTCACACTTTCATTCCACCTCATCTTTCTAACTGCTGTCTTCCAAATTCATTATTTGCTTTAATATTTTAACCTGCCTCTTCTGATAAATTTTCCTTCACATCTTTTCACACTGTCTCACTCAAATATAAGCATGTACTGTTCCTATGCCTATCTCTGTCACCTTTTGTACATAAATACCACAACACTCATCATGGCTTAGTGTCTCATCATTTATGTGTACAAGTATTTTCTATCAGAACATAAATCAATTGAGGGAATGTTGGGGGAAGGGTTCATGGACACATGTATTTATTTTTGGACCACCAGTCCATTGTCCTATATCTGTTAAAAATAGTTATTAAATAGATATTTGCTCAATGAGCAAGTGAATTATTAAAAGATGCATTTCCTTAACTAAGGAATAGAATTGGCTGTTTCAATATAGTTTTTACTCTGTCTAGGAAATGTATGAATCTTTTTTTTTTTTTCGAGATGGAGTCTCACTCTGTTGCCCAGGCTGGAGTGGGATGGCATGATCTTGGCCCCCTGAAACCTTCGCCTTCTGGGTTCAAGCGATTCTCCTGCCTCAGCCTCCCAAGTAGCTGGGGTTATAAGCCCGTGCCACCACACCCAGCTAATTTTTGTATTTTTTTTTTTTTAGTAGAGATGGGGTTTCACCATGTTGGCCAGGCTGATCTCGAATTACTGGCCTCAGGTGATCCACCCTCCTCTGCCTCCCAAAGTGCTGGGATTACAGGTGTGAGCCGCCATGCCCGGCGGGAAGTGCATGAATCTTATCCTTCGATTCAAAACAATGATCCAGAATTAAATTAGAACAACAATTTCAATATGCTGCTCAGAGACTCCTGGGGGTCTGTAAGGCTAAAACAATTCTCATAATAATACTAAGACATCATTGCCTTTTTTTATTCTCATTATTTCACAAGTAGAGTTTTCCAGATTGTATACCTCCTGAGATTTGTAAAAATGTGAAATAATGCCAATTTTATCCTTGATATTTTTGTCCTTGAAAATATGGTCATTTTTATGAAACTACATTATTTAGACTTATATGTAATAGACTTCTTATTTTTAATTGAATTAACTTTTAAAAATTGATCTATTTTATAATTTACTAAAGCTGTTTTAATTTCAATGGAGAAAATATTAATAAAACCCACAAAAACTAAAGTAGGATCTTCAACAAAAGTGTAATAAAGTTCTTAGATTGCTAATCTAGAAAATTCAATTAACACTCAGGGCTCTGAT
Organism: Homo sapiens; assembly: GCF_000001405.40. Classification (NCBI taxonomy): domain Eukaryota; kingdom Metazoa; phylum Chordata; class Mammalia; order Primates; family Hominidae; genus Homo; species Homo sapiens. The sequence continues at coordinate 78,171,015 of NC_000008.11, forward strand.
TTGATGTACTTCAGTAATATGAAGTTTAGTGATAACTTTCTGTAAATATGTCCATTGTGTTACTTGGAAGGGAAAAGGTAGACACTTTCCTGGGGAGATATTTACTTTACAATAATAATTTTTAAAAATACTACTGAACAAAATAATACTTTCAAACACAAAGAAACATGGAAATAAGTTTACATTATCCTCTAGAAAGTGCATTTACAGCTATATAACACAAAATGATTTTGTCCTCTGTTTTTCCCTAATTTTGTTGATAATTTGAATATGCATAAGAACAATATTGGTTATGCTATTTTACACGAGCTGCTCTGAAGTGTGCTGAAGATATGTTTTATGTGCTACATGCATGGAAATTGTCATTTTTTGTCTTTCAAGTTAACCGTGCTGTATCTGTAAAGCCCTTTGAACTTTCATGTGAAGGTATTTTTCTATTCTGTTAAATATAGAAAAAGAATTTCACAGTTCTGTTTACACACAATAATACAAATTGACCATTATTTTCTGAGTATTTTGAGAATTACCCAATTTAATGTTAGTTATTCCTGTTTCAATGATTACTAGCTCTTTGATTCTATAATCATAAAATATAGTACACTTTAATATTGATTTCTTGCCAAGGTGAATAATAAAATCTCATTTTTAGAGTTATGTTTTAAGTAATTATATTATTCTGAACCACAACTTGTGTTTATACATTAAGGCTGAACAGTCTAGTAATTTCATGACATATTTTTCCACTTTATCATAAATTTTGGGAAAAATTATCCTTATTTATTAAATTTTCTACCTTCCAGTATACTCTTTAGTTTAAGTAGCATAACAGCTTATTTCCTTTTGACATTTATATAGTAGATTTGAATTTTAAAATTATTCAGGTTTGTGGGAATTGAACAATGAGAACACATGGACACAGGAAGGGGAACATCACACATCGGGGCCTGTTGTGGGGTGGGGGAGGGGGGAGGGATAGCATTAGGAGATATACCTAACGTTAATGACGAGTTAATGGGTGCAGCACACCAACATGGCACATGTATACATATGTAACAAACCTGCATGTTGTGCACATATACCCTAAAACTTAAAGTATATAAAAATAAATAAATAAATAAATAAAAATTATGCAGGTTTCAAAGACAGAGCAAGAATAAATGCAGAAGAAATTATACAAATTTGTCTGTTGAACTTTGAATCCTGTGTTGTATTTTTCAAATATTATTTTTAGATTTAATAATAAAAATTTCTAAAGCATATCAAAGTAGGAATAATGATACAATGAGTTTTACATGTCCTTTCCCCAATTTAACATTTACGAAAATTCTGCCACATTGTCTTCCATAATTTTCTTTGTCTTTTCTTCTTTGTTGGAGTTTGTACAATCAGAACTTAAAAAAAGTTAATGCCCATAAAAATTACTTGAGGATTCTCTTAGAATGAAAATTATGATTCAATATATCTGTGGTGGATATTGAGATTCTGCATTTCTAATAAGTCTACAAGTAGGGCTGATACTACTGGTCTAAAAACCATATTTTAACATATTTATAAAACATACATCAGATAATATGCTTTGTCACCTCTACCTAGTTCACTATGCATCTCTAAAAATGTGTACATTTTCTTACACAACCACGTGCTATTCACACACTAGTAAATTAACACAAGAACAGAAAACCAAATACTGCATGTTCTCACTTATACGTGGGAGCTAAGTGATGGCAACACATGGACACACAGAGGGAAAAAGCACACACTGAGGCCTTTCAGAGGGTGGAGGGTGGGAGGAGAGAGACGATCAGGAAAAATAACTAATGGGCACCTGAGTGATGAAATAATCTGTACAACAAACCCCAATGACATAAACTTACCTATGTAAGAAACCTGCACTTGTACCCCAAACTTAAAACAAAAGCTTAAAAAAACCCTAAAAATAATTCTTTAGTATCATCTAATTCCAAGCCCATAATCATATTCACCCAATTATGTTAATAATTTAGTTTTCTCAATTTGTTCAAACTAAACTTAGGACAACACAACACACAATTTGTTTTGCTTCTTGAATTCTTCTTGATATAGGGCAGTCTCTCCATTCATTTTACCTAATTCTGAAATCCACTGACTGGTGGCAGTCATCCTACGGAATAGAACTCATAGTGTTGGTATTTTCATGACTTCCTTTATCAACTTTCTGTTCTCGAAAGTTCAGTTTTTGGCCGGGCGCAGTGGCTCATGCTTGTAAGCTCAGCACTTTGGGAGGCCGAGGCGGGAGGATCATGAGGTCAGGAGATCAAGATCAGTCTGACCAAAATGTGAATCCCCATCTCTACTAAAAATACAAAAATTAGCCAGGCGTGGAGGCACATGCCTGTAATCCCAGCTACTCAGGAGGCCGAGGCAGGAGAATTGCTTAAATCCAGGAGGTGGAGGTTGCAGTGAGCCAAGATCTCGCCACTGCACTCCAGCCTGGGCGACAGAGCTAGATTCCATCTCAAAACAAACAAACAAACAACAACAGAAAAAGTACAGTTCTTGTACAAAAATATGAAAAAATGCTTGCTTACTCTTACATCTTCCTTCTCTCCCTCTTTTTTCCTCCTTTTACCCATATTCAAAGTAATAAGTTGATTCTCTGTTTTCTTCTAAAGGTGACCAACCAGGATTTTGTTGCTATTGTTGTTTCTTAATAGCAATAATAAACTCCATGAATTTAAACAAGTTTGATATGTTTCAATTTAATGTATTTATTTATTTTTTAGAATTATTATTCCATACTGATGCATTTATTTTTAATGATACTTAAATTGTGCTTTATCCATTTTCAATTTATAGAAATTAGCTTTTTGAATCTTTTTGACAAAACAATAGTAATTTTAGATGGATTCCTTACTTTGTTGTAATAACGAGTAAAGAAAGCTGGATCTTTGGGGAAAAACATTGTATAAAATATATATTTTTAATTTCTATATTTTTGCATGCCATGGGGTGATGTGGAAAGCATGTTTAAGTAATTGTATTCAATAAAAGAAACAAAAGGAAAAATGGTGCAGTATCTTTAATTTATCAGTTTACATGAGATTCTTTCTGGCAGTTGCCTTTGGATAACAGCTTGCAGTTCTTCTACCCAATAACATTCTAATGTTTCACTTACGAGCTATATACCAAATTCTCACTTCCATATAGGTCAAGTTTCATGGGACATATGCTTCAGTGGCTCTATCTGTAATTTTTTTTTTACTAAACTCAACTTGGTAACAAAGCCATTGACTGTATGATAAACTGTTTTCACTCAATAGTATACCAAAGAAGCTGATTTTTCTAATAATTAAACCGGGCTACTTAGGTACAATGGCTTCCAATGAGCTTAAAGCAACTTCATAAAATATTCTAACACACCTTACCATGTGATATATAAGGTTCCTATTTTATTAAAACAAATACGTTTATCTATTCCTCATTTTCTCTTCAGGCAGGGAAAGTTTTTCTCCTGAAGGAAATTTTGACTAGCTTTAATAGTTGTACATATTTAGTAAAATATATACAATTTAGTGCCTTAGAAATCATTTGTCAAATGGAAGTTCAAACCTAAGGAGACTTTTAAAATGGAAAACATTGTTAATACAATACACTGTGTCTACATTATAGGTATCAATTATATCATAATGGGAATCATTAAAATAAAGTGGAAATATTGCATCTGCTATAAAATAATCAATTCTAGTTTGTTTTTCTTATATTTCCACTGGAAAGACTTCCTTTTAAGAAATATTTCTCAAAAAAGCAAAATAGCTTAAAGATGTACTGAGAGGTTATTGTTCAAGTTGCTCCACTAAAGTGCTGAAATAAGAAATAAGAAAAGCAAGATAACATAATAATAAGTATATATCTAAGTCGATCATTTAGCTGAACACCCACGACATATGCCTCTGCACTGTTTTAAGTGCATTTGATAAAATAAACGATTAGAACTGAGTTCTTCCCTTATATACTTTACTATTAATACATTAGTCTGCTGTTTTCATCCTTTCAACCTATTTTCAGTGCAAATAAACTCTGAGATTTTATCTCCAGTTGAGTGATGCTTGGTTTCTTCTAGGGGAAGAAACAGCTGAAACCTCTTTACGTTTACAGTTGTTATCCAAGAAATGATTTTTCAATAGAGAAAATATGGTTGATCATTGTAGGAGAATTGCCATTGACACGGCTAGTAATTAGTCTCAAATTATCTCCAGCTTAGCTAACAGTCACACCTCATGAAACCAAAAATGGGAGTCTTAGACAACAATCCAGGCAGAAGATTATTAAGATTCCCACTGTGACATGCTACGTGAAACCTTGTAGATTCACATTAGTCATCTTTTTTTTTCTGGATTTTACACTGTGGAAGGTAACAACTCATTTTGCAAACTCACAGCTGTTACACACTTATGACTTGAGTGGTTGCTGCATATTTCCATTAAAGAATTGCACTGCGAGTTTTCTAATATGCTTCATTAATAAAGGTCAAACAACCTTCTGGGGTTTAAGGACCCTTTAGAGTATTCCTATTGGTTATACCCTATGTTAATTGAAGACTTGGCCCACGACCAATCAGAGGCTGAAGTGAGGTTGCACACTATTCAAATAAAGACTTGTCCCATGACCAATTGGAGGCTGAAGTGAAGGCTCCTTGTCTCCAGATCTTATTCTCCTGCATCATTTCCTCCTGAGAGATGTGATCCCCATAAATCTTTATGGGAGGCAGAGTGACTAACTGTTTTTCTTCTGTAACTGCTTCATTCTAATTGGGGAGCAGTTCCTACCTACTGGGGACAATGGTACTCTTTCTACTGGGGACAAGGTGACTTCTTGAGGGCCAGGGCTGGCATCATCACCTGGAACTGGCTGAAAGACCTACTGCATGATCATTTGAAGCCTAATGGTTTTTAGGTGAGAAGAAATAAATCTGGTTAAAAGATTTAACATGGTCCAAAAATTAATGCAAGTATAATTATTAAAAATGGGCTGGCTAGGGGAAGAAGACATGAAGCTCAACTAAGTGCCCTTTACCAGGAGCCCCATAACTCAGACAGCTGTGTTTATATTTTAGAGGCCTGGTGAGTGATTTTCATGTGACAGTTTTTACTAATCCTGATGGTTGACATAAAAACAACATTCTTCTTCTAGGAAAAGATATAAGCCACTTTTTTTTTTTTAGCAGTTAGGAGATCCAGTTCCCTTCTATTTTGTAAAGCAACTATTGCCAAAGAGTCGATCTGATTTCGTAAGGTGACAATATTTTGGGCAATGTCTTCCAAGCTGTCTGAGATATCCTTGGACAAGTGTTGGTAACAGGGTAGGGAAACTGCAAGCCCACTAACTCCTGATCCTACTCATGCAGTTAATCCTAGCCCTACCAAAATGGGTATGAGTTAGATGGCTCTTTTGTGCCTGGTGTTTGCAGTAGAGACTGGCTATTGTGGAAGCTATATTGATTTGGTGGGCTAAACAAACACTTGTACAGGTTCCAGTTCAATTGGCTGATAAACATAAGCAGGAACTGGTTGCATACAGGAAAAAGACTCATTGTTTTTCAAAACAAAAAATTTTTCTCTATGGTGAACATATGAGTTAGCTTGTTGTTTTCGCTTTCCCAAGTAGTTAAGGTCCCTGCTAAGGTGGCCCCTGCTAAGGTGGCCCCAGCTAAAGGCTGGAAAGGGCCTTAGGAAGTATCTGGAGTTGCCCCAGCAGTTCTGTTTTCCCAGTGGAGGTAGTTACACTTAGTGTCCACCAGCAACTACCAAGAGGTATTTTCGTACTGGGGCACCAAAAGGCAACTAGATGTCTCAGGGTTAGTACAGTCTTCCTAAGGGAATATGTGAACACTGCTAGCGGGTCTACCTTGAAAGTACTTAGACTGTGTATCCTCTGAAGTGCCCTTAACTAGAGATGGTTTCCATGAAAACTGTATAAGTTTTCTAAATGATGCAGCCTGGCAATTGCATGGCTTACATGATCATGTGACAGATTAATCTCTAGGGGGTAGCTTTTAAGCCAATTAATTAGAGTTACTTTATATAAACATCACACACACAGCACTTGTATACAAAGGAAAATCCAGCAGTTATTAACTTTTTCTTTCCCATTTTATGAATCTTATCACAACTTCCACAGGCCATCTATGACATGCTTGGATTTTCTGACCTATCCTATATTTCCCTCTTTCCTAAATAATTAGTTATTCTACTTTAGGACAAGAATTTGCCATACAAGATCCTTTCTCATATAAAATTTCTTTTCTTCATAAACTTCCTTACCATAAATACATATTCATATCCATAACTTTCTTTATATCTTTTTCCCCTACTAAAGTAATTTCTGATGCTCTCAAAAGTCAAAAAGGTCAGGTAACATGATGCAAAACAGAGCAGAGCCTTAGATTTTGAAAGGGACCTGTCAGTTTAAAGTTCTTGGGGTTCCATGAGGAAAACAGAGTTTTCTCCTAAAATAATTTCTGTGGTGTCTTCTGTTTTTTCTAAGGAGCCTCCTGCTGTTAGAAATTACCTTAGTTCTTCTCATGTGGGCATCGAGAGTGGCAAGAAGACAGACTGAGGAAATAACCCAGTCAACTGAGAAGAAAAGCAAACAAAAACTTAGTACTATCCCCATTGTAAAGATGGATAAATGGTGGCACTATATAGTTTAAATATTCATGTTCACATAGAGTTAGACTCCACAGCTCACTCCCTTAACCATCCTGTAATTCTCCCTACTCTCCGCCCAGTCGCTGATGCACATGGTTGGTAGTTCATGGTGCACTTAACACTTTTCCTGCCCCCTTAGAACATGGTTTTTATTTTCTGCTCTACAGCTGTATAATTTAACAATTTTTATCTTAATGTGTTGTATTTCAACCCTATATATCTCAAATTTTATTAATATTACTGAATCTTAAAAGGGGCTGTAACGTTTTTAATCCTTACAAATATTAGCCTACAAACAAATACATATGGTTAAACAGTATTCAAATTTTTATATGCTTTAAAACATTGAGGCAAGGTATTGAGAACCACACCAAAGAAATCGCAATCAATCTACTCTGGACAAAAATTTAGAGAATCTCTCTTCAAAATAAGCTAGCTAGTGGTATTTATATGTATTCTCACATATAAACAGTATTTTACATGCTTATAACCTTAAAATAATTGAAAAATATCAAAATTATAGGCCTTATACATTTCTTTGGGCTTGAAAATGATACGATATAGATTATTTGTTTATTTAAAGCATCGATAAAATATATAAACTTCCGGATAGAGTAATCACTTAAAAAAAAGACTTCATACTGGAGGTAGTAATACTAGGAATAAAAGAGGGCTCAACACCGCCTTCTGAAAAGGAAGGGTCCAGATTGGTATATTTTCTAAAGGCTTCCCCAGCCTGCAATAAAATATGGCTGGATTTTCCTCCTTGCCTGTGTAACCTCCTTTACTTTATTATAATCTACCAACTTATTCTTTTTTTCATTCCTCCAATAAGAGCCTCAAGAAATTTGGTCTGGTTGTCCATTCCTATGGAAGTGTTATTGTCCCAATTAGGATCAGTAGTGGTGACTGTGTCTGAGCCTGGGTAATTGCCCTGAGGGTTTCGGGTGAATAAATTGTCTGCTTACCAGTGGGCAGCCTCAAAGATTCATTTCTGAGGCTGAAGCAGGCGAATCACTTAGGACCAGGAGTTCAAGACCAGCCTGGCCAACATGGCAAAACCCCATCTCTACTAAAAATACAAAAATTAGCCAGATGTTGTGGTGTGTGCCTGGAGTACCAGCTACTCAAGATGCTGAGGCAAAAGAATCACTTGAACCCAGGAGCTGGAGGTTGCAATGAGCAGAGATTGCACAACTGCACTCCAGCCTGGGCAATAGAGTAAGACTCTGCTTTTTTTAAACAAATGTTCCCTTTTCAAGGAGGTGCAACAGGTTGCTAGAATGAATTGGACGTCTTTCCATGAGAGAACAAAGACTAAGGTCAAAGTTTGGAACCATCTGCAGATTTTCTGCAGTTCTGTGAATAGCTTCCTAGCTTTTCTTTGCATTGTTGTATGTCAGTTAGGGAGAATGAGCATGCACTTAGACTTAACCCTCGGCTCCTGCGACTTCCCTAAGGTGTAATAGGGCTGGAGTGGGAGTTGAATAGTTTTTTTCCCTCTGAGTGGGATGAGAACTTAGTATTATTACGCTAATCCCTTATAATGGGAAGGGGACTCCCATTATTCCTGGCTGTCCAGCTGATATTGGAGCCATATAGTATTACAGTAAAAAATCAGATGTTTTCTCCTTAGATTATCAGGGTTAAATTGATTCCAATTGTTGAGGATGCAGCCAAGTGAAGAATTAGGTGGAATGTATGGAAAGTTGTCCATAGTGGTCTGGAAGAAAAAAGTGTGTCTAGCTTATTTGGCGACCCAAATTCTACCTGGGGTGTCCCCCTGGAAAAATTCTGGGCCCCGAGGTCCCCAAGGGTGTCCTTATTTAGGCCTTCATCTTAGTGTGTCAGACATCCCTGACCTTAGATGGGAGCCAGTACCAATTTGGGAAGGTTCTCTCCACCATTGATGGCCCAGTATGAGCTTTCCTTTTGTCCATAGATGAAGGCCTTGACTTCTAATGTCCCTATAATTTTATAAGACTATGCTTTCCCATGCTTCCCATTCCACTAGAGTGTTACCTATAAACTTTAATGACAGGACCTGGAGGCTGGTTGAGTTTCTTTTCTCATGGAGATTATGACTAATTTCTCAGGTGGATTTTGGTCATGAACATTGAAAGAGTAGGGTTGACTATTCCACTCAGGCCCTGGACAAGAGAAGGAATGTTTAAAAATCCACCACCATGACAGTGGGTCTTGTGCAAGGGCAGGCCAATCTATACAAATAATATGATGATACCAAAAGAGACAAGATCCCTTCAGTGGAGGTCCAAGATGTAGAACGTATTCTAAAGCTTGCGGGCCCCAAAGATCCTCAGCCAAGTGAATACATTGAGTAGGAGAAGGGTGGTCAAAACACCTAAGAGACACTATATTTTGCCATTACAGGCTAATCCTATAGGAGAATTTAGCATGAGAAACGAGGGTTTAAGTCACCCTAAACATGTGTGAGTTCACACTAGATGAGCTACCTCTGTCAACTGCATCACATGTAGGGATCATGGACTATAACCAGGAAAGAAAAGAGTCTTTCCCCCCTCAGGGAAGGGCAGCTATCCCCATTAACTCACTGGGCGTCAGGTAACAGCAGAGAATGGACCCAGCCAGTTGCCCTCAATTACCAAGGAGCTACTGGGAAACAGATGCTGAAAGACTGAAAAAAAAGTAAAGGACAGAAACAAAAAGGCAGGGGGGAGAGGAAAAAATAAAGAAAAAAAAATCCCAGAATTTTGGCTTGCCTTCTGGCTGGCTCACCAAAATATATTGCTGGTGAGGGAGGGTCTTGACAAGAGTTGTCCAGGTTCTTGGTGAGTTAAACACAGAATTGAACAAAAGACACAAACAAAACAATAAAAGAAGGAATCAACAAAAACACACATTTATTGCAGCAAAACTACACTCCACAGAGCAGGAGCAGGCTCAAGCAAGTGGCTCAAGAGTCCCAGTTGCAAATCCTCTGGGATTTAAGTACCCTTTAGAGGTTTCCTATTGGTTACACCCTATGTAAATGAAGACTTGGCCCGCAACCAATTGGGGGCTGAAGTGAAGGCTTGGCCCATGACCAATCAGAGGCTGAAGTGGTTACACCCTATGCAAATAAAGACTTGTCCTGTGACCAATAGGAGGCTGAAGTCAAGGCTCCCTGTCTCCAGAACCTATTCTCCTCCTTCACAACCATAAACATATAAATGAATTCTTCTAAGTACTTGATACTTGTTTGCACTTAAATCACAGAAACAAGTTCTTTCCTCAAGCCTAGAATTGAATATAGGTTTCCCTAAATAAGTTATATAGCTCCAAATTATCTATCTAACGATCACTTTTTTAAGGCAATGAGATTTAGAAGTGTAGATCAGCCATGTAAATTTTTTTTAAATCCCCTAGTAACAATCCCAGTTCATATTGTTAAATGTCAAGTGACGTGTTGCTGAAGAGGGAAAAGCAATTCTAACATGCTATTTCTCATATTTATAGCCCAGCATCCTAGCTTAAAATCCTTTCTGGCGGTTATATGGGAAGAGTTTGAAGGAGATCTGGAGACTACCAGATTACAGCACACAGGGAATCTTTAACATAGGTAACCTCTTGAATCCCTCAAAAGAGACAGGTCATGTGTTCCTGAGGCCAACAGAATGAAAAATTTGATTAGATAGGGTTTTTTTTGACGAGATCCTCCTTTTCCCACTATTGTTTACAAAGTATAGCCCAGTCCATAATTAAATAACATTCATTAGAAACTACATAGAACCTACATATACTGAAAATCAAAAGGAGAAAGTTAAGCAAAAAGCAGATGAAAAGCATATATAAAAAAGGAATAGCCCTCAGAGAACAAACATTTATCAACAATATATGCTTTCTAATAAAATAATAATAGTGTACAAATGTAGAACTAATATAGGCTCTTATAAGAGCAGAAACGTTGTTAGAAGACATCAGTATAAAATTAGAAAAAATAAATAATAATATGATTCCAATAATATAAAACATTAGAGAGTGAAAATAGTATGGATATGACTTAAATGATATGGAATATAAAATGTATTTAGCCTATGCCCAATTGAATGAATATAGATCTTAAAAAAAATAGAGGTAGAGCTAGGGAGGAGGGAGAAGGAAGAGAAGCAATAAAGTGCATGGGGTAAATGTTTAACAATGAATGGGTGTAAGTAAGATCTGTATGAGGGAATAAATATGCTCAATATACTGTTTTTATAATTACAAATATTCTGTAAAATTTTATTTATTTCTAAATAAATAACCTTCCAGGCAGAGTTTCTGATTTTTTAATTGCAATTAAAAAATAGTTTAAAAAATTATCTTTCACCCTGCTTTAGGAATGATCAAACATGACCAATTGTGGTTTATTTATATCTTTACACACTTACATTCCTCTTAAATAACGGCTGCGAAGCAATCCTAGACACAGAGATTCTGATGTAAATTTAGGGAGTTGGGTCCAAGCACAAAACTTTTAAAGAACTTTTTCCAATTGATTTGAAGCCAGGTTTGGAAAACGATACCCTATATCCTTTTAAATGTATCTATTAGTCCATTTCATCTGAAAAATATACCACTATGAATGCAGTATTTTTAATCAACTTTCTATGTCTAATAATTTTTACTTTATATATTTTTGGATATGTACAAAGACAGTCCTTGGATAAAGATTAAGTTACATTTCATTTCTGGTGAACTATAACTTTTATTAATTTTCCTCCTAAATAGGGCAAATCATATATCATTGTTATATTAAGTTGTATTCTTTAATTATTAATACAGTTGAGTGACTTTGTTTTTTTTTTCTTTGTGAATTGGCTATTTATTTTTGCCTATTTTCCTATTGGTTTGTTCTTTCTTAAGTAGGAGCAGATATACTTTATATATTATGAACACTAAACTTAGTCTTTATGGAAGTTGCAGACATGGTCCCCAAACTTAAACATTTTCATATTGTACTTTCCACCAAAGATTTTAATTAGTACAAAAACAATATTGCAATCATTAGTTAGAAATAGGGTACCAAATTAACTTGGCCAATTTTAAATGGAGACACATAATTCACTTACAACTTAATTTTATAATCTTTAAAATTGACGTATATTCAATTTCCTTTTGTACTATTTTTTTTTCTTGTTGGCTTATGGCTATGTATTTTAAAGTTTTCAATCTTATCCATGAGGCCAGAATACTTGAGACTAGAGAGGGGAAGAAGTAGAGAGAACCAGGGAAGGCAGTATAGGAGCAGGAATGACACTGAAGCCAGGGCAGTTGAGAAGAGATAAGACCCAAGGAAACTACACGCACTTGAATGCCCTGATGGGGAAGTAAAGATGGCATACATTTGATTTGTCATGTACTGGTTGTGATTAAATCTGGGGAGTACCTGAGATGCAACTTTGGTATCCTAGTGGTGTTGCTCTGAGATTCCCCCTTTAATCTAGAATATGTTTCTGAATTCTGGGCAGCCAGAAGTTCAGAAGTACCTTCACAGGGTATTTCAGTTTCCTTTTCACAATTGGCGTATTGTGTCATTGATACATGAAATAAAAATTGAATTCAAGTAGGATTGAACAGTGAAAAGAAATAAAACATATTGGGTGGCCATAGGGAGAGAAAAGACACCAGATAGACAATGATTTTGGTCATCAACATCATTCCAAATGTGATATATGTATATATTTGTATTATTTGTATATTTGTATTTGTAGTTTACATCTCAATTGATTTAGGTTTAGCAATTTTTGCTATTGATTACTCCCTTCTTTGGGAAATCTGCTCTATGTTAAAATATTACTCCCTAATGTTTTGTCTTAATACCTCCTCCATATTAAGTGCTTTTTCTGATAACTCCAACCATTTTATAATTAAAAATAAGATATAGAAATTTGCTCACTCGACTGAGTCAGAAATGTGGAAATTTTCTTAGACTTTTCTTTCTATTTTATCTCATATATTGTCATGGTTACCCATTACTATGCAACATACTACCCCAAAATTAAGTAGTTTAAAACCACCAGGTGTACTGCTGGAACTTCTGCCCACTGGGAAGATTTTCCTTCACTGCTGTCCTTCAGGGATATTCTAGAAGCGGGCTGTAGTGCTGCAGCTGTCCACTTTCAGGTGGTGCCTGCAGATCGTGCATAACCATCTGTGAACCAGGCTGTAGCCTTCTCTTCCTCTGTCAACTGATCATAGGGAACTCCCCATGAGGCCATTGGAGCAGGCTAGGGGAGAGAAGGCACGGTGGAAGGAGCGGAAACCAAGGGCATTTGAGCCACTTCCCCATGTACTTACTTGTGCCTTCAGGACCTGTTCGAGCCCGATCACGTATATACCACTTACATTTGATGATGGAATGCCACTGTGCACAACCCACTTTATGGTGAGGTTGGTCCAAAAGCACCTAGTTCATAATAGGCAGTTCAGGTCACATGGTGACTTGTTGACCCATAGTCAAACGTTCAGTTTCCACCAAAGCCCAGTACCAGGTCAAGAGCGCTCTCTCAAAAGTAGAGAAGCTATCTGCAGAAGATGACAGGGCTTTGCTCCAAAATCCTAGAGGTCTCTTTTGTGATTTACCTATGGAGGCCATCCAAAGTCTCCAAACAGCATCCCTATATGCCACTGACCCTTAAGTACCATTGGATCTGCTGGGTCATATGCCCAAGTGGCAGAGAAGTTTACACAACAACCTGGACCTATTGTAGAGCCTTCTCCTGTTCTGGACCCCACTCAAAACTGGCAGCCTTTTGGGCCACTCAATAAATAGGCTGGAGTAACACACCCAGATGAGGAATGTGTTGCCTCCAAATCCAAATAGCCCCACTGGCCATTGTGCTTCTTTCTTGGTTTAGGAGGGGCCAAATGCAGCAACTTATCCTCCACCTTAGAAGGAATATCTAGACAGGCCCCACACGACTGGACCCCTAGAAATTTTACTGAGATTTATTTCCCATCCTCTGGCATGGATGAGTCTCACCTATAAGTCCAGTGAGTTTGCTTCTTCTTGCCCACTGGATCCAATCAGCATAATGTCATTAATGTAATGGACCAGTGTGATATCTTGCAGAAGAGAAAAGCAATCAAGGTCTCTCCACATAAGATTACTACACAAAGCCGGAGAGTTGATATACCCCTGAGGTAGGACAGTAAAGGTATATTGCTGGCCATGCCAGCAGAAGGCAAATTGCTTCTAGTGGTCCTTATGGACAGGAATGGAGAAAAAGGCATTTGCCAAGTCAATGGCTGCATACTAGGTACCAGCTGGTGTGTTAATTTGCTCAAGCAATGAAACCACATCTGGTACAGCAGCTGCAATTGGAATCACCACTTGGTTAAGTTTATGATAATCCACTGTCATTCTCCAAGATCCATCTGTCTTCTGCACAGGCCAAATGGGAGAGTTGAATAAGGATTTGGTTGGAATCACTACCCCTGTGTCTTTCAAGTCCTTGATGGTGGCACTAATCTCCACAATCCCTCCAGAGGTACAATATTGTTTTTGATTTACTATTTTTCTAGGTAGAGGCAGCTCTAATGACTTCCATTTGGCCTTTCCCATCAAATAGTCCTCACCCTACCAGTCAAGGAGCCAGTATGGGGGTTCTGCCAGCTGCTATGTATGTCCATGCCAATTATGCATTCTGGCACAGGGGAAATGGCCACAGGATGAGTCAGGGGACCCACTGGACCCACTCTAAGTCAGACTTGAGCTAAAACTCCATTAATTACTGGACCTCCATAAGCCACTACTTTAACTGGAGGACCACAATGACGTTTTGGGTCTTCTGGAATCAACCTCAGCTCAGAGCCAGTGTTCAGTATTCCCTGAAATTTCTGCCATTTCCTTTTCCCCAATGCACAGTTTCCCTGGTAAAAGGCCAGAGGTCTCATTCAGGAAGGATGGAAGAAAGATTCACTGCATAAATTGTTGGAAATGTAGTGGGGTCCTTCCACAAGGGGACCCAGCCTCCCTTTCATTCAAGGTTTTCTGGGTATGTGAGCTAGCTCAAGTCTGGAAATTGATTGAGAGGTCATGATTCTTTGTTTTTATAATTCAAATTAATCTTTTGTCCATTTAATCTAGAAGATTTCTGCTTGTATAAAAAAAGTAGGAATGCAGTAGGCTTCCTGTCAATTTCACTTCTAGGAACACCACGATTAGCCAATGCCAGAGGACTACATAAATCAGGCTATTCTGACTGCCACTTTGTCTTTTCTGTCCATTACAGTGCCTTTGACGGTGGAGTGCTGCCACTTGGCTCCTGCCACCTCAGGGTTCAATTATTCTCATTGTATTTAAATGTTGTAGTTGAATGACTGTGGTTCACACTGTTAGATCTGACATACAGAGAAGAGCAATTACTGGGCTCTTCAAAGATGCAGATGCTGCCCTCACAAATCTATTTCATAAGGCATTGGTTAAGGGTATATCTTCTGGGCCCTCCCAGCTAGGATGTGTAGATCTAAAGTGACTAATACACTCCAACATCCCAATCTCTCTAAGCCATTGGATCCCTATTCCTACATTAAAACAAGAGAGATCAGGTCTTTCCAGCTCACTCACAGTGGGCTATCTTTTAATTTGTATTTCAGCTAACCAAGCACATAACCCATTAGAACATTTTTTAACTCCCTGAACTGCAACATTAAATGCAGAGTCCCTACTTAGTGAGCCCAAATCAATAAATTAAGCCTGATCCAATTATATGTTCCTTCCACCATTATCCCACACCCTTAATATGCATTCCCATGCCTGTTCTACAGATCTCTGTTTATATAAATTAGAAAACTAAAGCAGTTCTTTTCAAGTGTAGCACACCTCCTTATGGGTCACACTCTCAACCCCACCTCTAGGGGCCTGTTGGGACTGTAGTCTAGTTATAGGTCTAGAACAAACAGGGGTGTTTGGGGTGGCTCCTGAGGAGAACTGACATTATCTTTCCTGGCAACTACCTCAGAGGAGGTCATCACTGTTGCCTCAGGCAGCGCAGGGTTTATCTCTGCAAAAAAAACGTGGAAAGGCTGATGGCAGTATGGGTCAAGGAGTGGATGTTGCCATACTTGAGATAGGGAAGCTGTTTCTTCTGGCAAAAATGTTCATCAGAGTTACAAACTCAGTGTCCCCAGCTTCATCAGGGTCCTCCCACACATCCGCATTCCAAGTTGCTAGGTCCCACTCTTTTCCAATCAATGCCCTCACTTTAATAGTAGACACCTGGTGAGGCTGTACATGCACCTTTCATTACAGGTCAGCCACTCGCATGATAAGAACTTGTGTCTGTTTTTCCACAATTTCAGCTCTTTCTCTACAGGAGATAAGACTCTCACTCAGGGCAATCTTAGCAGATTTGAGGCTCAGTATCTGCTTCTGAAGCTGGGAGATAGAATCCCTGAGTTCATCATTGTCTTTCATCACTTTGTCCACTGAACTTAGGAGCAACCAACCAGCTTCATTATGTTCCTTGGTTCTTCACATATGGTCAAAGGTATTATGTATAGAGCCTAAAAACTCCTTACCTCTCATGAGGGATGAATCCCGAGTGTCAAACGCATTAATTTTACACAACTCTCTAAATAGTTAATACCAAGGACTATCAGTGTTCTCTATACTATTAGAAATAGAGTCCTTAGCATTTTGGGGTCTAATCATCTTAAGCAGTCAACTCCAGAAACCCCAAAACCAACAAAAGAACTCTATCCTTAATATTCTATTTCTCTAGAATCACTCCTGGTACCAAAACCTGTATTAGTCCAGGTACTCTAGAGGGACAGAACTGGTGGAATATATATATAAAGGGGAGATTATTAAGTATCAACTCACATGATCACAAGGTCCCTCAATAGGCCATCTGCAGGATGAGGAGCAAGTAGAGCCAATCCGAGCTCCCAAAACTGAATATCCTGGAGTCTGATGTTTGAGGGAAGGAAGTATTCAGCACAGTAGAAAGATGTACGCTGGGAGGCTAGGCTAGTCTCATCTTTTCACATTTTCCCGCCTGCTTATATTCTAGCCATGCTGGCAGCTGATTAGATTATGCCCACCCAGATTAAGGGTGAGTCTACCATTTTAAGCCCACAGACTCAAATGTTAATCACCTTTGGCAACACCCTCACAGATACACCCAGGTTGAATACTTTGTATCCTTCAATCCAACCAAGTTGACACTCAGTATTAACCATGACAGTCTGGTTCCCAAAAAAAAGGAAAAAGAAAAATAAATGAGGCGAGGGTGCTTGTCCTTTAAATCCTCTTGAAGTCACTTTAGTCAGAGGGGAGGTACTTGCAAGAATAAAAGTAGGGTACATAAATGGCTGCCCACCTCTGCGTCTACACCTACTTGATAAGAAACACAAATCAGAACACAGATCTCCAATTTCATGAAGGACAATGTTCCTATGTTCACTCGGATTAGCACAAGCTACATGGAAGTGACTTCTAAGATGCATGCGCAGCTGCTTGTCATGGGACTGGAAAGTGCAGAATAAAGTTGCTGCTACTGAGCTAAGGGCTATAATTGACCTAAATTAACCACAATTTACTATCCACACTGTTTCCTGGAAGTTGCAATCTTTAATAGACTCCAGAATTCCAAAATAGTTTCATTAGACAGATTCTGCTTGTGTAGTTGTTGGCTAGGTGTGGAGAAAAATGACTGGTGCTTCCTACTTTACCATCTTCCCAGAATCTGTTTAAATATTGTAATTAGCTTTTGGCATTTACTGTAGGAAGAGAGAGACAGGAAAGAAGGAAGGGGGAAGAAAGGAAGGAAAAAAGGAAGGAAGGAAGGGAGGGAGGGAGGGAGGGGAGGGGAGGGGAGAAGGAGAAGGGAAGGAAGAAGGAAGAAATAAAGAAGAAAGAAAGGAAATATGTTAAGATTTAAATTGAAATTGCAATACATTTATAGGAGATTCTAAAGATAGATCTTTAAAATATCAAGTCATTAAATTATAAATAAAACATATCCTTTATTAACTTAGGTCTTTTAAAAATTATCTCAAACATATTTTGTGGATTTTAGAGAAAAGATTATATATGCTTTTTGTTAGAATTATTCCTAGACGTTCGATTTTAATTGTATAATGAATTATATATATTCACTTCTTAAAATATTTCTGGATAATATATGGAAGTGGAATCAAGGTTTGCATAATGAAGATTTGTTTACTGATGTCGATTGATTCTTATTTTCAACTAAGTTTCTTCCTTTTTCAATTTTCTAGGTGCACATTATTTTATCTGCAAATAATGACAATAATCTTTTTTCCACTTTAATTTTCATGTCTTCATCATAAATATGTTTTCTCTATTTCATAAGACAGTACCTTCAGTACAATGTTGCAGAGAAGTGGTAGCCATGGACATTATTCTCAGTGGAAATCTTTTCAGATTTCATCTTTGAGTCTGATGTTTTCTATAAGATTTCATGCAGATATCCTCAATCACAAGAAATAAATTCTAATGTTTTCTTAGTTGATAACAGCTTTTATACATAAATGGGTGATTTTTAAAAATGCTATTTGTGCTTTTTGTAGATTAATTTATTTAATAATTTTAAAGTTTTATATTTTTGATTTGTCTATAATTTTATTTTCCTATAATAGTCTTGTCACATTTTATCATTAATATTTTCCTAGCTCTACATAAAGAGTTTGAAAATATTTATAATGTTTTATTCTCTGGGACAAATTGTTTCAAAAATATTATTATTTCTTTCTTAAATATTCAGATTAATTCACAAGTAAAGCCACCAGTGCTTGAGATATGCTTCATGGGGCAAGTTTCCTTAATAGATTTTGTTACCTTTGTAGACTTATCTGCTTATCAGATTTTGTGTTTCTCTTTCTGTCAGCTTTGCTAAGTTTTGTGTCTATGTGTGTTTTTACTATTTTGTCCCTTTCATTAAAAATGTCAAAATTAGTGCCTCAAGAATTGTTCATAACATCTATGATATTCCGATATTAATAATTTCTGTCTGTATTAATGTCCTCTTTTTTATTCCTGATGTTGATAACTTAGATTTATGTTCTCTCTCTCTGTCCCTATACTTCTGTATTTCACTCTTCCATTTATTTCAGACTGAAACCGACCTACATTTTATCTACAACAGATATTGAAAAAAGTAGCTCATTTCTTCTTACTCACTTCAGTTACAACAGGCAAGAAGCCTCTTCATCAAAAGTCACACCAGTCCTGTGTCTCATCTCTCCTTACAGGTGTGTCTCTTTTTATGTCTATATTACTTGGTTCATGTAAAGTATCAGCATTCTGAAGGGTTCATGAAAAATGACTATTTTGTATTTTGTCTGGATTTTTTTTCTCATTGTGTTAATATTTTTTTTTCTTCTCTTAGTGTTAGTATCTTCCTTTCCCTGAAAGAAAACCGCACATCATCAAGAGTCCTGGCAGAAAGCTTGCTGTCAGCTTTCAGGGCCAGATATTCATGGGTTTCTAGGGGCCCCTAGGAGGGCCACTGGTGTGAGAGAATTCCCCTCCTAGTGCCTACTAAATGCCTGCCTGCAAACTTCTCTTAGTGTTAACATCTTCCTTTCCCTGAAAACAAATAAAAAAAACCCAAACAAACAAAAAACACACCAGTCATCAAGAGTCCTGGCACCATGCTTGTTGTCAGCTTTCAGGGCCAGATATTCCTAGGTTTCTACCAGTCCCTAGGAGGGCCACTGGCATGAGATAATTCTTAGTCTGGGAGAAATATTTTTGAAATTTTTTATATTCTATGCAGAGGCAAAACTCCAGCAGCATAGAAATTAAAATCCCAATTCTAATCTCAATTTCAATTTTTTTAAAGCAAAACTGAAGATCTCATTGTGAATTCAGAGTTGCAGAATCATTGAGCTAGGAAAATGCAGCCGAAAAAATTCTCACATGCTCATATAACTTTTCTCCCTTACTTCTAAATATTTTTGATTGGAAAGGCATACTAAAAATCTATTGGTAGGCTCTTCTGTGTTTTCAAAGCTGTTATTTTGTTGGCCTTTTATATATTTCTAGTGAATAATTTGTATGTGATGTAGAAGCAGGTGCTTGTAAATGAAAAGCTCAGTCCTGTTTCAATAAGGACAAATAATTTATGAGCATGTCTTTTGTGTGTGGCAATATTGTAAGCCCTAGGGATAAACAAGATTCCTACTTTAACAGAGTATATATTCTTGCTGTTAGAGTCAGAAAACAAAATATATACCTACAAGTAGAAGTTTAAAATAATTTTTAGGTATATCTCCTAATGCTATCCCTAATGCAAATGACGAGTTAATGGCTGCAGCACATCAACATGGCACATGTATACATATGTAACAAACCTGAACATTGTGCACATGTACCCTAAAACTTAAAGTATAATAAAAAAATAAAATAAAATATTTTTGAGCAGAGGTACCTACTATTTAACAACAACAACAACGACAATGAAAACAAAAATAAAAACCAAACAAGTGACATCATGGAGAAGGATGGAGTGAGGAAGTTCTAATTGTGTTGTAGTAGCGTCAGAATATCTTATTAAAAATAGTTTTTAAGCAGACACCTGCATAATGTAAAGAAATATTTGTAAAACCTGTGGAAGGGTGACAGAGAAAGCATAGAACAGAAGTCAGGGTGTCTGGATTGTAGTCAGGGAGGTAAGGAGAAATAGGAGATAAAGCGAGATAGGCTTCATAGGTCATATACAGTCATGCAGGTATATATAAAGAGGTTACAGAGTTTAAGAAAGTTAGTGACTGCATAAAATCTATAAGGTAGGATAAATGAAAGAACTCACAAGAGTCCACAGAATACTGTAAGGATACAACAGAACATTAATCGTGTTTTTTTTTGTAGGTGATAAGATTACAAGTTTTCATTCCCTTTCATAATTTCCTGTATATTACAAATATTCTACCATAAATATTATCTCATTAAAATTAGAAAACAATGTTATAAATAGGAATGTATACATAAAATGATTGTTAGCTATGAGTGCTAAAAACTATTTTGTATACAACTTCTAAACACTATTTAGAAAGTTAAATTTACCAATGTTTTTTTCAAAATGGAATTAATTCTGCAAATCTGACAGATTTTTAGGCCTTTTAATCACCTCATTCACAGTAAGATTTCTATATCCCTGTATGATCTTTTTATGATGAAATTAATTTATCTGAAATTAATTATATTTAGCTAATCAAGAAGGATAAACAAGATACAATACAGAAAAATATTACTAGTTCAATTATTTTAATGGAAACCAGAGTAATCAAATTTTTTTTTCTTTTTTTTTAATTAAAGTTTTAGGGTACATGTGCACAATGTGCAGGTTACATATGTGTACATGTGCCATGTTGGTGTGCTGCACCCATTAACTCATCATTTAACATTAGGTATATCTCCTAATGCTATCCGTCCACCCTCCCCCAACCCCACAACAGGCCCCGGTGTGTGATGTTCCCCTTCCTATGTCCATGTGTTTTCACTGTTCGATTCCCACCTATGAGTGAGAACATGCAGTGTTTGGCTTTTTGTCCTTGCGATAATTTGCTGAGAATGATGGTTTCCAGCTTCATCCATGTCCCTACAAAGGACATGAACTCATCATTTTTTATGGCTGCATAGTATTCCATGGTGTATATATGCCACATTTTCTTAATCCAGTCTATCATTGATGAATATTTGAGTTGGTTCCAAGTCTTTGCTATTGTGCATAGTGCCACAATAAACATACGTGTGCATGTGTCTTTATAGCAGCATGATTTATAATCCTTTGGTTATATACCCAGTAATGAGATGGCTGGGTCAAATGGTATTTCTAGTTCTAGATCCCTGAGGAATCGCCACACTGACTTCCACAATGGTTGAACTAGTTTACAGTCCCACAAACAGTGTAAAAGTGTTCCTATTTCTCCACATCCTCTCCAGCACCTGTTGTTTCCTGACTTTTTAATGATCGCCATTCTAACTGGTGTGAGATGGTATCTCATTGTAGTTTTGATTTGCATTTCTCTGATGGCCAGTGATGATGAGCATTTTTTCATGTGTCTTTTGGCTGCATAAATGTCTTCTTTTGAGAAGTGTCTGTTCATATCCTTTGCCCACTTTTTGATGGGGTTGTTTGTTTTTTCTTGTAAATTTGTTTGAGTTCATTGTAGATTCCTGATATTAGCCCTTTGTCAAATGGGTAGATTGCAAAAATTTTCTCCCATTTTGTAGGTTGCCTGTTCACTCTGATGGTAGTTTCTTTTGCTGTGCAGAAGCTTTTTAGTTTAATTAGATCCCATTTGTCAATTTTGGGTTTTGCTGCCATTGCTTTTGGTGTTTTGGACATGAAGTCCTTGCCCATGCCTATGTCCTGAATGGTATTGCCTAGGTTTCTTCTAGGGTTTGTATGGTTTTAGGTCTAACGTTTAAATCTTTAATCCATCTTGAATTAATTTTTGTATAAGGTGTAAGGAAGGGATCCAGTTTCAGCTTTCTACATATGGCTAGCCAGTTTTCCCAGCACCATTTATTAAATAGGGAATCCTTTCCCCATTTCTTGTTTTTGTCAGGTTTGTCAAAGATCAGATAGTTGTAGATATGCGGCATTGTTTCTGAGGGCTCTGTTCTGTTCCATTGGTCTATATGTCTGTTTTGGTACCAGTACCATGCTGTTCTGGTTACTGTAGCCTTGTAGTATAGTTTGAAGTCAGGTAGCATGATGCCTCCTGCTTTGTTCTTTTGGTTTAGGATTGACTTGGCAATGTGGGCTCTTTTTTGGTTCCATATGAACTTCAAAGTAGTTTTTCACAATTCTGTGAAGAAAGTCATTGTTAGCTTGATGGGGATGGCATTGAATCTATAAATTACCTTAGGCAGTATGGCCATTTTCACGATATTGATTCTTCCTACCCATGAGCATGGAATGTTCTTCCATTTGTTTGTATCCTCTTTTATTTCATTGAGCAGTGGTTTGTAGTTCTCCTTGAAGAGGTCCTTCATGTCCCTTGTAAGTTGGATTCCTAGGTATCAGAGTAATCAAATTTTAAATACGAATAGAAGAAAAAGCAAAAAGCATGCACACAAATTACAAACCGAGAACTTATCATTTCTTGTAGTCTTAAAAAAGGTGCTGTCATTATGCTGAAGCTCACCTGTAGCCATTAAGCATCCATCAGTCCCCTTCTGTCATTAAGATATGACTTTCGTAAGCACTGTAGTGTTGTGAAACTATTACTATTACTGTAGCCTAGGACATAATGTGATGATTTTGATACCATTCTTGGTCCATATTAGAAACTGTTGTTGTTCAAAGGACTATTTTTAGTGGATTTCCTTTTGATGCTAAAATTTTATCAAGTGGCAACATCATATGAATGAAAATAAAGGATTATATAGGGAAAAGGAAACCTGAGCTGAGCAATGTTACAGCTGAAAATATTCAAATCAGTTGGAATATCTTGATCTCATCACTGTTATTAGGATGCAATTTTCTGTAGTAAGATAGTGGTGACAGTGTAATCAAAGAATGAGCAATGTCTGGGCTCACACATGCCTGATCATATGCCCAGTTGTCTTAATTTTTGCAGTGTTAATTTGACGATGGTTGTCAGGTGATCACAGTGTTAGACAGAACATGCACAGTTTACACCCTCTTCAAGAGTTTAATGAAAACCAGTGTAATTCTTGCCAGAATCTTCTTAGAAGAACGCCAAACCATTTCCCTTTAACAGCCTATTTAGAGATTTATATCAGATGGAATTCACCTTTATATTTTCTTTCCCAGAATATCGACAGTGACAATGGGAATGCCATTTTCTTTCACTTGGAGAGAAAAACTGATAAATAATATGTACTTATACTTTTATGTTGCAATAACATTTGGAATCAATTATACAATTAATTATGAAATATTCCTATTTTTGTTTATTTAACCAAAAATAACCAACCTATTATAATAGTGTATATATTTTTCTAATAGTTTGCCAGTGATACACTTCTTTTCATAAGATGAGAACCACTGATGTTATCTTCTTGGACAAGCCTTTCAGATTGATTCATTTTGATTCTATCTAATAAATGAAAAATATAATCGTTTATAATAAATCAATCATCTTTCCTAAAATTACTGAAAACACAACTACAGTCACAAGATGGTTTAAATCTTCAGCTCATTTCTCTGTTCTTGCACATTTTTAGATAAAGGGGACTATAATGAACAGTAATTCTTACTTTGCCAGGAACTACCACAATAGCTGTGTCACAAATACGACTTTATTATATATAACACAGATCTTTAGGAGATATACATGTAGATATTAATATAGATAAATAGCATATATACACACACACATATATATACACACACACACACTATATATATATATATGTATATATATATATACACACACACACACACATACATATACACATACACACGTATATGCAGGATAACACCAGAATAGTATACTCTATTGTTTTTGAACTGCTCTGAAATACAGTTACCTATAATAAGCTCACCTTGGCAAAAGGGCATGATTTTCAAGTTCAAGTATTCAAGTTCAAAGAAACAATTTACTGACCCTCATTTCTACAGCCATTAAAAATATTGGCATCTTACCCTCCAACTAATATCCTGAAAATCTTATAATTTTTGCAGGGAGTGTTGTCAGTGAAAAGACAAATTGAGTTTGATAATATATTAAAATTAATTGTTTTTAAAGATTATCTGCCCATTTAGATTTTATATTGTTGCCTGTTTTTCACAAAAGGAAATATAATAATTTTATATCGCTTTTTCCAGGGGACAGCTTAACTATATCTTAAAAATTAAATAAAATAATTTTGGGATCATTTTATAGCTTTTATTTCTCTCTTTATGGTGTTGATACTTTCCTTTAAACTTATGAACCAATAAAAATTAGTCACAATTACTGTTTGAATGTCTGTTTACATATATATATATATGCATCATTTTTTTCTATCTTTCTATGATTTTTCTCCTTCTTATGGGTTATATTTTCCTTCTTTTTATATTTGGTAATTTTAGATTGTATATAATTCATGTTATTAATAAATGTAAAAATGGAATCTAGTTTTATTTTTTTACAGATGACCAGGGACTTGTCTTAACATTTTACTGTCTTTAGACAGACATCATCCCACTGGCTTATCAATGGTTATCATAATTTCATAATTAACAATCTAATAAAATCCATTGTCCTGTGCTGCTTGTTGTCCAATATCTACAAACCATTGCTTAATATATACATTTTTTTTCTTAGTTCTGTTAGGCAGGGGGGCAAATCCAGTTCCTATTGCTCAATCTTGGCCAGGAGCAGAAGTCTAAGTGAGATTTAATACCAAGGAACAATTCCAAATTTTACCAACCAATCCATTACACCTAGTTAGCCACTGAGTTAGCATACTTTCCCACACTCGTGTCACCTAGATAACTCTTACTCATTATTAAAGCTTTAAGAAAGCAAAACTTTCACAATAGTGTTTTCTAGCATGTGAGCACATTTCTAATTTACTGGTTATTAATATGCACTAATTATCAGAGTTTTTCCCCTTCTCTTTGATTAGATACTGATTTTCAGATATTTTCCAATAGTTCCCAAAAATTTGTATCAGTAACAACAACAATGGAAATGACAATGAAATCACCTTGGGGGACAAAATTTATGTCACATTACCAACTTTTTATTTTGCTCCATGAAAACTTTATAATCATCATTCATCATCATTATTAAAATTAAAACAAGGCTTTCAATCTCAAAAATATTTATGTAATTTATTAAATTTAACGTTATGAAATAATTCTTTACAGAATTATTTTTAGGTTCTTTAGCATAGATTAATATTTGATCATTATGTCTTTCAGTGATTTGAGACCGCAGACTATGTTATTTATCTCTGTAGCCCAGTACATGCCCAATGCATAGTAAAAGGTAGATTTTCCAAAAGTTTGTTGAAAAAATGAAAATATGCATGTGATTAACAGAATTGAAAATTTTAAGTTACCCCTTAATTCTAAGGGAAAATTGGATACTTTTAAGCAGAATTTCCAAAACTCGCTAAGGTGTCAGCTTTCATTTTCTTATTGAGAGAAATAGGGGTCTCTAAAATTCTTCCAAGCTCTTCAAGCTTCTATGTTTGTGATATGTCAATCATTTTAATCCTTATCATTTTCAAGTTTTGCTCAACTATTTGAGGTGATAAGTCCATTTTTTAAGATTACAGATTTTATATAATATACTGTGTATTTTAAGAAATAAGTTATTGATAAATGATAGTCATATCAATTTAATTTGATTTTCATTAAATAAACATGAGTCACAACTTCAAATGTATTAATTCATCAAATAAGTGTTAAGATATTTATATAATATTGCCTAAAATTTTTTCTTATGCTTTAAAACAGTTTTCCAAAATGATGCCAAGGGAAGACAATAGAAAAGAAAAAGAGAATCTTAATGTAATTCCAAAGTAAAAGGAGGCTCCATGTACAAGATATTTGGGAAAACTAATTCACCATTATAGATTCAAATATATGGCTGTATGTATGAGATACCTGGAATGTAAACCAAATCATAAGAAGTGGTTTTCTGGAACAGAAGAATCTGTTGTACATTCTACCTATGGAAAAATATAAAATCTTAGTTCACTGAAAATTTGCTTCATTGCCCTCTGATGGTTTGTGCCTGCCCAATCCATAGGTCCCCAGTTAAGTATGATTCTATCATCTATACATCAGAGGAGAAAGTGCCTGTGTGCTATGTTGATAGTCATTCTAAACAAACATTTATACAGTTGAGATCAGAGATAGAAAATGTCAGTTCCAAATCCACCCATGATGGCACATATTCCAGACAGATGACAAAGTCTGGCTGAGGTTATAAAGGCTTGTGAAATACTTGAATCATATTTTGCAACCCTTGAAAGAATTCAAGTTGGAGATTAGCAGAAACCAGGCTCAGTTCTGTCCGTAATCCCCTTTATCTGTCTTCTAGCCAACAAAATGAAAACCTTAAAGCCAAACTGACAAATAGAGTGTGAAGGGCCTTCTCCTGCATTAAAGAAAAGACTGAGACTGCTATATGTGGAAAATTGTTTTTTATATTACTATTATTTTTGTTGTTGATGTTAATTGTAGAAATAATGAAAAAACCCTAAATGACAATATTCTGCTGAATATTTATTAGATGTAACAGTTAGCAAATTAACTCCCTTAATGTTACATTAGACATATAACATGGAAATATGCACAAAGAATGTAAATCAGTATAAAGACAAATGACTCTGTGACACAGAAATTTATTTAAGTCCTGACTATTGGATCCATTAAGATATAAAAGTTTTAGGCACAGTCCTTCTGCTGGAAGTAAAACTGAGAAGTCAATGAAAACAAAGGAGAGAGGATGCCAGTTAATTTGATATAAAGTAGGAGATCGTTCTATGCATATGGGAACTCTGTGAAGTTGCGTGTAGAAAAAAGCGGTGCTAGTGATGGTTTAAACTATATTCTAATCAAAAACAGATATTTCAAGAGAGATGGAGGGTATAGTGAATGCAAGATTCATATTATTTAAGTTAGTGATATACCAAAAACAAACTAACAAGCAAACAAAAAGGCCAAGCATTCAGTCAATAAAACAGGCTGAGCTGATGCTAGAAATTCCTTCTCTCATCTAAACACATAAAGTGACCAAAACATGGCAACATAAAAAAAAAAAAAATAACAAACAGTAACTGAACAAGCTTAGGAAGAGAAATGGAGAAATTTGTGATCCAAGAATTTAAGGGGAAAAGCAAATTCAACATTGAAGTAATACTTAATAATTCAAGGGGGAACTGGAAATAAGAGGACTGGAGGTTTTTTCTCTTTCTTTTAAGACAGGGTCTGGCTCTATTACACAGGCTGGAGTAGAGTGGTGCAATCTCAAGCGATCCTCCCACCTCAGCCCCCCAAGTAGTTGGGACCACAGGTACATGCAACCACGCCCAATTAATAAGACTGGATTTAAAAAAAACAGTTGTTGTTTTCTCAAAAACAAAATAGATGCTGAAAAACAATACAATATCTTCAAAGTACTGAAGATACGTAGCTGTCCATATTAAAATCCTATATCCACTTAAAAACTCATTCAGGAACAAAAAGTAAATAAAGACATTTTTATTAATGGAGCAACAAAGAGTATTACCACCAACAGACTCTAACTGAAAAAATGACTAAGCAGTGGTGTTAACCATCCATTGGAGTTGTGTGGGGAGCATTAAAAATATTCTGATGCCTGAAACAGCACCCTGATAATTTTTTATTTAATTGATCTGGGCTGGTAGCTGAATGTTGGAAGTTTTTAAAACTTCCCACATAATTCTCATGTGTTTTAGCTAAGATTAGGGAATCATTGCACAAAGAATAGTCTTCAGTGAGAAAGAAAAACAACAACAAAAAAGAAGTAAGGTGATATGATCAATGGCAAGCTAAGACATTAGCAATTTGGGGTGAATTTAAATAAGAGATAAGTATAAAAAATAGTAAATAGGACATAGGTAAACAAAGTAGAACTAGAATATCAGAAGATTAGAACTCAGACTTAACATTTCTGGGTCCTATGTACTGTTTAGGAGGAAGATGAGATAATAATTAGCTTTAGACTTTATAAAGTTAGAAATGCATGTTGAAATTTTCTGAAAATACTAGAAGTGGATATTGCATATAGGATTCAAAAACATTAAGGATCACAAAAATAAAGAATAATTTTAGTTTTTAAAAAGAGAATAAAAATGTAATTAAACAAGAAGAATGCAGGAAAGAAAAAACATGCCAAAATAAATAAGGAATTAAGTCAACATATATCAATAATCAATACATGTGATTTTAGACAATAAAAATAGATTTAAGAATTCCAGTTACATGCTGCTTACAGAAGACACATATGAAACATTTATAAGATGCAGTTCCATACTCAAAATAATTAATTATACATATTATAAATGTTTTTCAGAATTATGTATTTGGTATAATAACATGCAAATTTTAAAGACTAAGAACAATTGAAGACTCAAAGCAATCACACATTGTTCATAAATTCATTTGAATACAGTAAAAATATTAAAGTATTATTTGGAAGCATTCATATCAAATTAATGATACTAGCTGCTTACGAAAATGAAAAATGAGAGTGATATTAGAGTGGAGAAGAGAAAAAAGGTGACAAGTTCACCTATAATGCCTTATTTAATGTGCGTGTTTGTGTGTTTGTTCACACACACACAACATTCAAATAATAAACGTAACTTTAAAAATTAGTTTGGAAAAGTGGTCTTGGTGATAAGGCTATTGTAAATATGACCTCATTATTTTTTGTTTTTTATTCCAAAGTAGAGAATAAAATTCTTGTTTCAAGTACTGAATTCTGTACCATAAATTTGAGAAAACATACCTACATGACTTGACAATATTATTTTCATATTACCCAATTTCTGTAGTGTTCCTCATTTCTTCTTTCACAGCATGAGTCATTGTACAAACAGTATTAGTAAAATTTTAAACAATATGGGCATGTGTGTAGAAATTATAATTGTCGCATGAATACCTATATTATGAAATAAGTTGACCTTACTATTTCTATACATTCTTTATTAGAATTTAGAAATGAGAATGAGCTGTTATAGCTTAGTTGAGCCAATTATTTTTATAAAACATGCTACTTATGCACAGCTTTTCTTTTGTTTAATTATGTTTAAAAATATCAGAATTCAGTTTACATCTTTAATTGATGGTCACCACAAACACAATTTGTTTTAAATTCTTTAGAAATATTGTTAAAATATGCTTTAAAATATTTGTTGAATCACTGGTATAAACTTTTTTTTAACTCTCCTTGAAGTAGAATATATTTATAACTTCCTACTAAAAATGGCATTTGTGCGTTTAGCCTTCTTGAAAACGACAGCACATTTACAAAAACAAAGTAATTATCTTAGGATTATTCCTAATATTAAGTTAATTAAATATTTGTTGGAGTAAATTTTCTCATCAAAATTTAGTTGCCTGATAGAAAAAAGTAGAATTTTACTTAAAGCAAACTTGAAGATTAGAAATCAAAATCCAAATTCTATAGTGAAAGAAAAGAGATTATTTATTATGGAAGAAAAGGCCAATAAAATACTAAAATTATTAAAACATATCTTGCTCAGGTATAAATAATATAGGGTAAGTTGCAGCATCCACTGCTGCAACTTTAATTAGACATTACTGCAAATATTTAAAGAAGTCATCTGTTGTTCATGGAAAGCACCTAAAGTGGTAAAAATAATGAATTTTTGTCTTTATATTTTAACATGCAGCCCATGTTTCTGCTATGATGAATTTTAGATAATATATTTAAATGGCAGTAAAAAAGACTTAGAAATACCTAAGCTTAGTTTTTTATTGAAAGTTTGCAAATCAGTAATGGAAATATTTATTAACTTCATTTTTATTTTAAAAATGAATGAATTTTAATTTTAATTGAATTTCTAATGAATGCTAATTTTATATACATATATGCATCTTATTACATTGATTAGTTTTTTTCTTTTGTAAGCCAGGTAAAATCCCATGAAATCTAGATCTGTTGAAAAATGTAAATAAGTATGTTTTTCATGTATTTTTCCATGTAGTTTAGAAAATGAAAAAAAAAATCTACTGTTATTTTCCTTTAAAATGTCTTGGCTTCCTGAAAATGATGACATTAAGATATTAGAGAAATATTCTGAGGAAGCAATGGAGGCCATGAGCCTGGAAACCTACACAGTTACCTAGTGAGCATCAAAGAGAAAAAAAAAGGCACAAATTTTCAGATCTATCTATTTCAAGGTGCATCCAGGAATATTCATAATATAACATTTTAAAATTGAATAAATACTAGCTGTCAACTAGTCAGCCTGTTTAATTATCCATTCCATTCTAAGTATCTTGTATTTAGACTGCAGAGGGGCCCTTTAATTTACCTTATGTTGACTATCTAGAACTCCCAAATTTTCCTGCTTGATTTTATAATAGTATTTAATTTATTAAACAAATGTTTATTAGAAGCTACTAAGTGTGCTAGGCACTAGGAATCAAAGATGAATGAATATTTATTTGTCTTTAAGGAATATACAAACAAGAAGAGAGAGGCAGAACTGTAAAGATGCAAATTCAACACAATACCCATCAAAATACCACCATCATTCTTCACAGAGTTAGAAAAAACAATTCTAAAATTCACTTGTAACCAAAAAAGAGCCAGCATAGGCAAAGAAAGACTAAGAAAAAAGAATAAATCTGGAGACATCACACTACCTGATTTCAAACTATACTATAAGGCCATAGTCACCAAAAGTGTGTGGTACTGGTATAAATAGGAACATAGACCAATGGAACAGAATAGAGAACCCAGAAATAAACCAAAATACTTACTAGCCAACTGATCTTTGACAAAGCCAACAAAAACATGAAGTGGAGAAACGCCCCCCTTTCAACAAATGGTGCTGGGATAACTGGCTAGCCGCATGTAGGAGAGCAAAACTGAATCCTCATTTCTCACCATATACAAAAGTCAACTCAAGATGGATAAAAGACTTAAACCTAAGACCTGAAACTATAAAAATTCTGGAAGATAATATTGGAAAGACCCTTTTAGACATTGGCTTAGGTAAAGATTTCATGACCAAAAACCCAAAAGCAATTGCAATAAAAACAAAAATAAATAACTAATCTAAAGAGCTTTTGCACAGCAAAAGGAATATAGTCTGCAGAGTAAACAGACAACCCACAGAGTGGGAGAAAACCTTCACAATCTGTATATCTCACAAAGGACTAATATCCAGAATCTAAAATGAATTCAAACAAATCAGTAAGAGAAAAGCAATCAATCCCATCAAAAAGTGGGCTAAGGACATCAATAGACAATTCTCAAAAGAAGATATACAAATGACCAACAAATGTATGGAAAAATGCTCAACATCACTAATGATCAGCGAAATGCAAATCAAAACCATGATGTAATAGCACCTTACTCCTGCAAGAATGGCCATAATCAAAAAAATTTTTAAAAAGTAGATGTTGGTGTGGATGCGCCAATCAGGGAACACTTCTACACTGCTGGTGGGAATGTAAACTAGTACAGCCATGATGGAAAACAGTGTGGAGATTCCTTAAAGAACTAAAAGTAGAACTACCATTTGATCCAGCAATCCCAATACTGGGAATATATATAATATTTATTATATTATATTATATATTATATATAATATATAAATATATATTATATATATTCCCAGTATTGGGATTATATATATAATACACATAATATTATTATATATATATTATATAATAAATATATATAAATGGAATACTACTCAGGCATAAAAATAAATGAATTAACAGCATTTGCGATGACCTGGTTGAGATTAGAGACCATTATTCTAAGTGAAGTAACTCAGGAATGGAAAACCAAACACCATATATTCTCACTGATATGTGGCAGCTAAGCTATGAGGATAAAAAGGCATAAGAATGATACAATGGACTTTGAGGACTTGGAGAAAAGAGTGGGAGTGGGGTGAGGAATAAAATAAAACAAATACGGTGCCCTGTATACTGCTCGGATGATGGGTGCTCAAGGTTCTCACAAATCTCCACTAAAGAACTCACTCGTGTAATCAAATACCACTTGTACCCCAATAACTTACGGAAAAATAATTTTAAAAAAAGAACTGTAAAGAGATGACTGCATAAATGAACAAAATAAATTTTTGTTTATTCAGAGAAAGAAGTCCTCATAAGCAAGCAACAAGTGAAATAATTTCATTCTCTAAGAGACAGATTTGTGATTAAGAATGCACAAACATATTTATCTTATTTTCCATCAAAGATTATAGCCTATTATAATCTCAAAGACTTCTTTGTGGCATGGCAGCTGGGAAAGGAAGTATTGCATGAAGCTGTCATATTCAGAGTAAGAAAATGAGACAATGGGAACAAAGCAAGAAAGAAAATCAACATGACAACAGGCAGAGATTTACTTTATTCTACTATGATAAATCTATTTTGTTAAGTAGTAGGCATTAATGTTAATATGTTTTCATTCACAATTTGAAATCAGAAATTAAATATTAAAATTATAAAATTATTAATAATTGAATTCATTCACAAATTGATCCAAATAGATCAGCACCATAGATCTATTTGTTGGAAACAAAATAGGTAGAACAATCAAAGTCATTAATTATTCTTTGTCATCCAAGGTGGACAGAAGTTTTATTATGTAGAGGTCAGTTGTGGGCCAAGGGCCATTTATTATTTTCTTCAATGACTTGGATGATAGAAAAGTCTGTGAACTTGGTAATTTACAGTTCTCTTTAGTTGGAAAGACTGATTAACACTTTGAATGTCAAGATCAAAATTCAACATGACCATAATATGACCTCAACAAATTGGAGTAGTTTAAAACAATGCAATTCAATAGGATCACATGTCAAATATAGACTTTAAGGGAATTGGGAAGGAAATTGAAATTATAATAATGTAAATGATACCAAGCTAGTGAGAATGTATGACTGTTTGTGTATGTGTATGTATGTAATAAAAGATATAATAAATAACATTAAATATGACCTGAGTCAAGAATATAGCACTAGCTTTTAACATTTTTTCTCTTTCCTTGGCATAACTCTTACCCATTTATAAATGTTTCTATACATATTATCACAGTATACTCAAGAAGTTATATCCTATATCCCTGCTGATAAAATTAAGTGTAATTCTAAGATATATAAGTAATGAGAAGGATATAAGTATAAATGTGTTTATGAAATGCTTGGAATATTATGACTTCGTAAGTGTATCACAACTTCTAAATATTATTCATCAATTTATCTTATTACTAACACATTTATTCATTTGTTTATTTATTCATTTCATCAATGACTTGGATGATAGAAAAGTGTGTGAATTTGGTAATCTACAGTTCTCTTTATTTGGAAAGACTGATTAACACTTTGAATGTCAAGATCAAAATTCAACATAGTAATAATATGACCTCAACAATTTGAAGAAATAGTTTAAAACAGTACAATTCAATAGGATCACATGCCAAATATAGACTTTAAGGGAATTGGGGAGGAACTGGAAATATACTATTATTTTTAATATTTAATGTTTGATTCCGAATTGTGGATAAAAACATGTTCACATTAATACATACTACTTACCAAAATAGATTTATCATAGTAGAATAAAGGAAATCTTCTGTCTGCTGTCATGTTGATTTTCCTTCCTGCTTAGTTTCCATTGTCTCACTTTCTAACTCTGAATATGACACACTTATTCATTTGATTATCATTAACCATTAGGTATTTATAAAACGTCTACTATGTCCCAGGCACTGTATTACGTGCTAGTAATACAAAGTTGGGGAATGCAAGCATTGTCCATACTTTCCTAGCACCTACAGACTAATAAATAATTACAATTTCTAGTAAACACAGATGGGTACTACGAGGTCATAAGACAGGGATACTTGTCATCCTCTGTCAGAGGAGAAAAGGCATCCCTGGGCAAATGCTTTCTTACCTGATATATGAGGTAGACAGACTAAGGGAATAAAGTAGCAAAGGAGTATTTTCTGCCAAGGGCACAGCAAGTATTAAGGATTCGAGCTTTGAAAATGAATGCTTTTTGTTGGTATTATATACTCAATTAATACAATTAAATACTGCTTCTTAATACATTTCACAAAAATAGAGAAATAGATGTCTGCCAAAATTGGAAGACATAGTCTGGACTAAAAAATGTGCTCTGTGATGTAATGGACTTTTTAACATTGCGATGAGACTGGGTGGGAAAAGAATACAATCAAAGAGGCTTTTTGTCTGGAGCGATGCCACTGGTGGGCAACAAGGTCTCTATGAACTGGATAATCTGCAACACAAATCGAGATGCTGTTGAATGAGAAACAATAACGTGAAGTAAGAGACCCAAACTAAAAATTAAAAAGGCAACCACTCTGACTTGATTTAAATCTGAGCAGCTTCTCAGATAAGCAGTTTATATTCCAGGGAAGCTGGGGTTGCTTTCTTTAATGATAGTAGTGATTCATTTTACCACTAAATTTGGTTTAATATTTTCATGGTAGAAATCCTTGACCTGAAAAACCCTCTAAGGAGAAAGGGATAGGACTATCTTGTTTAGTCCCTTTACTTTAAATTTAAATTGAGCTATGCTATCTCCATCAATGCCTAAGTAGAAGCATGAACAGTTAGTAAAGAGGTAATGGGGGAAACTGGTTAATTTCAATTGCCACATTTTATGATTTCAGAGAAATTAGGTAAAGCACATCTTTGCAAAGCTTATAGTCAATTATTTGTATTTATAGGAAAAATGCAGAAGTCCGGGCAATTGTAAATGATGAATAATCTATAATATTCACATTTTTTAGGAGTTCCTGGATTGTATAAACCAGATGTTAAACACATAAGGGTTTTGAAATACGTGTTTCGAAAGTTTACTCGAGGTACTCTAAGAAATGCCTTCATTTAAAAATAATCTCCAAAATATTTTATGAAAAATACTTCTTCCTTGCCTGTTGAAAGATTCAGACTCTCGCTGTCTGTCTGTCTCCGTGTATATATACATGCACATACACACGCACATAAATATATATAATTTTTCCATCTATCTAAATCAAGATGGTTTTAACATTTCTATCTATCTATCTATCTATCTGTCTGTCTGTCTGTCTGTCTGTCTGTCTATCTATCTATCTATCTATCTACCTATAAACCAAGATGGCTTTAACATTCCCTTAGGTTGACTAAGCTTAAAATTTAGACAAGTCCTTTCCTGACTATACAACCCTGACCTCCCTTTTCTTAGAGCATTAACATTTGAAAGCTTGCAATTGTAAATTCCTTCTGTGGCCCTTTTTACTGTAACTCTTTTACAAGCCTCTTGCCGGTTTTACAACTCAGGAATATCTTTCTCAAAAACCTGGAAGTCAGGTTATTATCAAGAAAAATAAAGCCACTATCTCCCAAACTCTATAGGTAGATAGGAACCTAACTCCTATGAATAACTATTAGCAAACACAGATGCCTAATCACATGACCAAACTTCCCTATCACATAATCTGGCACTTTCCCACTAGCTCACCCCAGCCCTTAAAATCTTTTCTGCCCTTAGTTTTAGGGAAGTTGAGTTCAATCTCTCTTCCTTATTGCAGTGTCCAGAATATAGTCTTTTTCACTTAACTCCAGTGTAATTTTTCTTCACAGCACATATATGTGTATACATACATACACATATGTGTGTATATACGCATACATACATACACATATATGCATACACATATGTATATGTGTATATATGCACACATGTGTGTATATACGTAGGCATATACACATGTGTATATGCATACATATACACATATGTGTATATATGTATATATTTACACACACATGCACATATATACATAAACACACATACCCCCACACATGCATACATATTTACACACATACAGGGGCCACTATTGTCTAATTTTATTTGCATCATTCAGTTTCCTATAATTGTTGCACTCATTTTTTCTAGAGTATTAAAAATGTTGCAGAGAAACTTTTCAGCAACGAGAGATTAATTAGGAATCCTTTTTCACTAAAGGTTTTCTAAAAGTTGCTGTAGACCTGAGCAAGTATAAGAAATCTAAAATTGCCAATCTCTAACTTATTGATTAAATTTGGACATATATAAAGTAGATTATTCATTTAGTACTCCAGTCTCTGAAGCAATAGAGAAAAAAAGAACTACTTATATTTAAAATGCTTATTGATTTATTCTACATTTTCAAATATTTATACAGTGATCTATAGGGAAATATATTTTACATAGTGATTTAGAGCAGACATACATACATATATCCATTTATAGATAGATAGAAATATGTAGATGTAACTGAAAAACTATTTCACAGTAAGGAGCTTATTTTTACTTACAGCAATGCATGCCACTTTTCCATTCAATGCTCACTGCTACCAACATACAAAGATCATCTTCCCTGTATGCAATGCACTCTGGTCTTGTCTTCTCATTGCCCGTCCCTACCATCCAAATTGATTCCATAATGCACTAAATAGTGATCTACCCGTAATTCTAAAATCACTGGCATCACAGAATTTACAACTCATTTTTAGCATGGCCATAAAATGTTGGTAACTAATAAATAAAATAAATATATATTTTATGCATAGGCCAAATACTATTGGGTTGCATTTCCCTAAGAAATAGTTTCTTAGTGATTTCCTGGGGCTTTGCCAATGAGAGTAGTTCTTTAAAAATCCTTTAGATCCAGTGCAGAGCATTCCCTTAAATTAAATGATAAGAGCAGTGTGAATTCCAATTTGCTAAAACACTTAAAGCTGATGCTTGCAAGCAAAAGGTTCATTTACAAAATGGCAGCTAATGAACTCAGAGGGAAAGTATGTTGGCCTAAAAACAAAAACCACATATGCCTGAGGAGTTATTGTTTTCACTAAGTTCTCTCCTCATGTGTTAATTGTAGGGTCGGAAGTGACTCATATATCTCTTATTCTTTCTCGACTGGTTCTTGCCAGAATTCCCTTAAGGCTGTTACAGAAATGGGAGAGATGTTTGTGGGGGCAGATATGGAGAGTAAAAACAGAAGCAGCATGGAATAATATAATATCAAATGCAAAAATATAATAATTGGCAAAATGTTTTTATAACTTTAAACCATAGGATCATGATAAACAGTATTACTAATGAAACTGATAAGTAGATCTTGATGACACTTTTCTTCTTTTCTCAATAGTGATAATAAAATAAAAAGACAATTCACATTGGGATACAAATGAACCATTTGATATACCTATTTTAATAATTTGAATTTGATTAAAAATTATATTAATGTTCATAATTTTATATTTGTATGCATTATAGATGTGGAAAATAACATCAAAAGCAAAAAAATAATCAATTATGTGGTCATGAAATGTTCCCAGAAGGAATTTTATCATTACTATTATAAAAGATAATTGTAAAAGAAGGCCACCTTCCTTACTATCCAGCATATTAGTGAACCCTTTAGGAAACTGTTAATAGACAAAGATTTTGCAATGATTTTGTCAAACAATGTTCCCCCTTTAACCCAACAGTTTTTCTCTTCAGTGAATTGGAGTGGAAGGATAGGTAAATGTTCTCATATCCTCTGCAGTAATTCTCTGGTTACGAATAATGTTTGCCAAAAAAAGACTAAGTTGAGCGAAATTTGAAAAACTGGTTTCTCAAGTAGATTGATTTTCTGTTTATAGAATGAAAGAATGTAACAGAAAAGGTAAGCAATGCAGTATCAGAGGAACCTGAACTCAAATTACATCACTGCCCATGACTATCTGCTTGAACTTACACAAAAGAACTTGCTATTTTTGAGTCTGTTTAAGCAAATGCAAAATGGAGATCAACAACGTCCTTCTTGGTGGCTTCATTTAAAGATTACATGCAAATACCTGAAATATATTATATTCTCCATAAATATAGTTCCTTTCTCTATAAAGAAATTAATTCATTATTACTTAATTATCTTATCTAACCTGCACACCTTTAGGATACAAAGGCCACCAGGACAGTAACAAAATATTGGCTGGGTTTGATCAGATTTTTTGGTGTTCGTTATTATTACTTAAATCTAACACAGGGATTTAGAGGGATAGCAAAACAAATAGTTAGAATGGGCTAAAGCACTGCTATGGGTCAACCCATTACAAGTTTAGTAAATAGTTATCACTGGGTGTGGTAGGGAGAGGGAAAGAGAGAGGAAGAGAGGGATGAAGAGAGAGAATGAGAGAAGAAAATCAAGGTATAAGTTTTTAAAAGAGAGAGGCAGGAACTGTTTCTGCCCCCCTCCTGTCACTGTCTGAAGGAATCGTTGATATGTTTATCCCTTTTCTTGCA
This sequence comes from Homo sapiens, assembly GCF_000001405.40. Taxonomy (NCBI): domain Eukaryota; kingdom Metazoa; phylum Chordata; class Mammalia; order Primates; family Hominidae; genus Homo; species Homo sapiens. Next base: position 78,209,674 of record NC_000008.11, read on the forward strand.
CAAAGCTGTCCTTTATCCAGGGCTCATTGGAATGGGGTGTGTACTGGGCAGTCAATTCATATACAGCCAATTTTCAGACCGATAAGCCTAGCCAAAGGAGATGATTTGGGTAATTTTACTTTCTTGGGACTTTGGAATTGGGCCTCTGAACACTGAGAGACTATTTGATAAATGTACTTTGGAATCAGGCCTCTGAGTAATGAGAGATTATTTGGTAAATGTAGACAACAAAAGATCTGCACAACTATTTGAATAGCAGTTCCAGGCAAGAGGAGTGCTAAAACCCAGAGTCTAGTGGCAAAGGGAAGGCAGTGGCAAAATCAAATCTTGAACATGAGTTTGTTAAAATACATACATTTTTGTGCATGTGTGTGTGTATCTACACAAGTGTATTATCTTTAGTCTCATGTAAATAAATTAATAGTTTATGTGGGTGGAGCACTATTTTTTTCAACGTGTGATTCACGAAGGGAAACATTCTGAATTACGCAGACAGAGTAAAATGTGGTGAGGGTTTTAGAAAAGCCTGTATTTTGTGTGTAAATTAAATATAGGCACTGAGAAAGCCCTTACTGTGTACCCAAGGAGAGCCTGCATAGTGAGCAGATGGAACTCATTCTTTCTTGAGTAAACTACACAGGACTTTCTGTCTGCCACATCTCTCTCATACAGACAGTCAGCAAAAGAGATGTGTGGATGTCACCCTCCCTTTCAGCATACCTCCTAGTTTTACACCAAAGACTGTCAAAGGCCAGTAACATGTCAGTGGGCATGACGCAACCAGAAGAGCTGCAGGAAATCTAGAAGGAGCAGTTTACTCAAAAAGGATTGCATCTGCAATGACTGCTGATTGAGCCCACTTGAAGCCCTCCAGTGGTTCCATCACCACGAGCTTCTGAGGCTGTGAACGTCATTCAACTTCCACTTCTCACTTGTAGCCTGGGGAGAATGTTTCCCATTATAGTGACTTCACGAGAATGCCAGTAAAGATATTTTAGGTTTTTATTTGAAATATTTTTAGCACCTTATGGATAAAAAGTAAGTGTATTAGTGTTTGTAAAGCTAGATGATCTGTTTAAATAATTCTATATAATTATTGGCAAAATCATAAACAAATATTCCTGAAAAAATAAATTATCCACTATAAACAAATTATGTTAAATTTTTAAAAGAATACTGTTGCCAGCTGAGTGAACTACCTTACAAACATAACTTTCTTTTTCCTTTTTAAAGAAGAAAACATAAGTATGTTGGAAGGAATAATGATATCAGATACAACTTTGATTTCTTAAATTAACATGAAACCAGTAATTACTAAAATGTGGTAGGCTTGCTCCTGAACTCAACCCACCACACTTCCCACCCACAAATCAATTCCCTTTTTGATTGATTCAGTAGAAGGGCCAAGAATTGCATAGATAAAATCCCTTTGGGGCAGTGTTAAGGTACATCATTTCAAAAGAACATCGTGTGCTTATGCAACCTAAATCTATTCTTATAATAACATTCTGACCGCAAAAATATTTTAGTCCAGAGATATGTCAATTCAGCATTCTTTACCAAATTCATACAAGCAGTAAAAAGAGAAAGAAGAGGACCTAACTCAGTTTTATCAAAGATTTGGCCAAATATTAATAATAGTGAAGTAAAGAAGTAGGAACATAATGTTGAGATTGAAAACTCTGCAGTCACAAGCTAAATTCAATATCTGGCTTTAATATGAATGTGTGAATTTAAACAACTTAATTAGCTTCTCTGTGTTTCCCTTTCTTCATCTGTCACATGGAATTAATACAGACCATTGTGAGATTTATAGAGACATGCAACACTCATGTGCTTAGAACTGTGCTGGGCTGTGGAATAGACACTAGTCACCTGTTGTTATTGATCACTCCAAATGTAGCTCATGTGAACTGAGACATACAGTGTTAAAACACAATAGATTTCAAAGACTTAATAAAAAAGAAGGATGCAAAATATCTCGTTAATATTTTATAGTGATTGCATGTTGGATACAAAATATCTCATTAATATTTTATAGTGATTGCATGTTGGAATGGTTACATATTATATATACTGAGTTCAAATATATTATTAAAATAATTTTACCTGTTTTTCCTTTTTTTAACACGGATACTGTACTACAAAATTTTTAAATTACATAGTGATTTCTCATTATAGCTCCATTGTACAGTGCCAGCATGGAACATAGTAAATAGTAAATAAATTTTTAAAAGTTCTTACAAATTTTGACTCATGTTATATTTTTCAAAAGTAAGGCAAAATCAAGCTGTATGGAATAGGAAAAGTAAGGGTCATTTGTACATTTTTATCTCAAATATTTGACATAAACATCAGAAAACAAAGAAATATTCGTTTCAAAACTGTCTTCAGCTTATATGAGTTCACTATTTTAAAAAGCCACATTTCATTTGGGGATAGAACTGTTCTACCTTTTAGGCAAAAAACAAAAGCGAAAATATCAATACAGGCTGTATTGTTCTGTTAGTTTCATTTTCAGAGCAGTTTAACAAGTATAGTGCTTCTTCTCCAAGAAGGCCAAAACAGGACTGGCAGAGAAGTGGAGGGATGGAAGAAAAGCATTGCTAAGGAGAGAAAGATAGGAAGACAGCAGTCATCATCTAAAGAAAACAGGAATAGCTAAGAAAAAAAAATCTACCAGGGTGCAGAAGGTTCATTGACTGTTTTCTTTTTATTTTTACACTAATGATTGACATTCAACTTTTGAGTTTCTACCTAGTATGCATTCTAAAATTCTACTTGAAATCATCATTCTAAGTCTGTTTTGCAGAAGATTTTTGCGCTACTCTTGTCTTATGAGATGAGTCAATGTGGAGGGGGTATCACAGAGTAAAGATGTTTACAAAGATCCCTAGAGATACAGGAAGCAAGAGAATATCTGATATAATGAATTTATCAGAGACAGGAAATCAGAGTAAGAAATGCAGGAATAAATATAATCTCTTGGAAAATCTGGGATGCTAAGCAGTCCCCATCATACTAGGAATAAAATATCAATCTATTTAATAAGATTAAAAATTAATTAAGCTCAGACAAACAGAGAATATAGAGTCTTCCAGAGAACCAGCAATTAAATTATATTTACTCATACCTTTGGAGCAGAAATTACAGGAATAATATTAGCTAGCATGGATATCTTTAATATTTATGGTTTACAAAGGTCTTTTAAAAAGAATGTCCTATTTGATCCTTAGAAGAGATGTATTTGGGAATCATAATTTTTCCCATTTTAAAGATAATGAAACCTAAATAGGTTAAGTGGACAGAGCCAAGATCATTCAGCAATTATGTGGCGGAAGCAGGCATACTGATCTTCAGAAGGTAAATCTCGTATTCTTTCACAATAAATGTATGATTCTTTTCTCTTTGTTCTAGTTATTATGACCCACTCTGATTCATGTTGTGTTTTTATCCTCAGTTTGAATCTGTCTTAGTTATCTTTTTAGAAGGTGGTGGTGGTGATGATGACATTGTTGATAATCTCAAAAATGTCAACAATAATCATAGTTATCATTATCAGTATCATCAAAAAAAGCCTATTTTAAGTAATCAGAAATTTTGAGGTTCTATCAATAACTTAACATAGTCATTGATATTATCAATAACAGATAGAAATACGCAATGCAGGTAGACAATGAAGAACTAATGCAGCTTCAGATCTTATCATTACATTGTTGAATTTAAAGACATTCATTCAAGCAGCAATTTTTGTACAAATTCTAAGTGTTAACCATTTCTATGTGCTAGGAATACTACCATGCACCTAACAGTGAGAAAAGGAATAAGAATCTGCCAAAACCAGTCTTTGGTCTCAAGATACTCATGGTGAAGTTGGGAAAGAGGTAGACAAAATATTTGGAATTCAAATGGGAAACATGTAAAAATATAAAAAGTTACCAAGAAAGCATAGAGAATCACGGTCATTACTCTGCCAGTGAAGACAAACAAATATTATTCTGGGTTATTCATCCCTACCCATATTTATCTGTGGAATAATGTCTTCTTTCACCGGAGAGAAGATGCCACAGCTGATATATTTAATAAGCAATGGGTGTACAAATGCTGAGGTGCTAGCTTTTTAAATTCACTGTTTATTTTTTATTTTTTGTGTCTGAAGAAAGCAATCATACAACTCATCAGACATCAATCTGATCAATGCTGTGTTTACATTTGACATTTTGGATGGTGATGAAATAACTAATTTTACATTATTTTTGTGGTCTAGATTTAATATTTCCTTTTTGGAATTATATAAGTTAAAAATCATAAAGCTACTTGTAAAAATAATCAGTAACAAGAGGTTTCTCAATTGGCAACATAAATATATTGGAGTAATTGCTCTTAGGAAGATCATGGGAGCACAGCAAAGTAAGCAGATGATTTAGAATCAATCAAAGCTGTTTAAATTCTGGCCTGCTACTAGCCATGTGAACTTTGCCAAATTACTTAACTTCTAGAGGCTCAGTTTCTTTCTTAGTAAAATAGAAGAAAATAATTTTTCAACAAGCTGTATTAAGATCTAAATGATACTATGTTTATAAACACCACTGGCATACACTATACATCATATACTATGTAACACACAGTGATATGATGTTAGCATTAGTCTTGTTTACCACAGAACAGATCACACAAGTTGATTTTCCTCCTGAAGGTGTTAGGAATATCACAATAACATTAAGTATAAGAACAGTAATTTAAAATATGGAAATATTCTAATATTTGGGACAAGCATTCTAGAAAGTATTTCTTTTTTCCTTCTTGACGCCATTATTTTTCTTTGACAGTGTGATATAAGCTTATTTCATTGGGTTTTTTCATTTGATCACTGACTGTATTTATCTTTTCTCTGTATATGGATAAAAACAGCTCTTTCACAATATGTGTAATTTGTAAGAAAGCAATAAATACCTCCAAAAAACACAATCTGGACCATCACCACAAAATAAAAACATTGTAGCTAACTATGCACAGAACCCACTAAACTAAAAGCAGCCCTTGCAAAACAAACCATTCTTTTCTTAAGCAATCAGTGCAAATTGCAAAGGCAACAAACATTTTAGCCCCAGATGAAGAAGCCACAAAACAGCCCCAAAAAGCCTCATATGAAATTTGCCACATAAAGCAAAACGAGAAGAAACCATTTGGTGGTGGTAAAAGGTGACTGCACCAGGATATTCTAAGAGATTCTTAAAACTCTCAAACACATGAACTCTAGCCATCAAAGTCATTATTTTACTGGCACAATAGTACATTCTCCATAGGGTGGGGTGTGGAAAGCATCTTTATTTAATTATGAAATATAATCATTGAGAAGTTATAAATTTTAATGAAATAAGAGAAGGCTTATTATGAAATAAATATAGAAGATTTCTTGTTGCCAAGAAATTGACCACAATTAGGTATTTAAGATATATTTGAATATATGTGCTTCAGAATCTGATGTGACAATGAGCCCAGGAGACTCTAAGCAGTGACAGTATCTCCCTTTTACAACTATATTGGGGGTTCAGGGGACCAAATCTAAATTCATGGGGCATCATGTAGGAATTTCAGACATCCGTCTAAAACATTTGAGGAAATGTGAATAAAGAAGTTATGACAAATTGATATTTGAATTTAAAGGAATTCTATTTTCTTTTAAAGACCAGGAAACATAACAAAATAGAAATTCACAAGAATGCTCAAATTAGTACAATTTAGTAAATACACCATATTTATGTAGTGTTAACATTTTAAAAAATAACATGGTCTTGTTAAATTCTGAATCCTACCCTCAGTTTTTCACTTCTTACTCTATATGGAATTTTATGTTAATACGAAACAGATGGCCTGGTTTTCTTTGGTATTCATGTTTTCTTCACAGAGTTCAGAATTCCTCTTATTCCTCCAGACTCTTCAGCATTCTCACCATGGCTTTCTCAACAATGTTAGGCATATCAAACTAAGCATCTGTCTTTTCTTCTCATAGAGGAAAAAGGAGACAGAAATAGGCTAAGAGACTTACCTAAAGGTTACCTGAAATTTATTAATAACTAGCTAAGAAATTCTGACAAAGATTTGGAGAAAAAAATACCACTGACAAGCACACTGACAGTGAAATGGACTAACCACCCCTCGCCTATAATTTACTGTGTTCAACTCTTGCATTGGAAACAGCAAGTACTATGTTTTCAGCTCAGAGAGACCAGCACACACACACACACACACACACACACACACCTTTCATATACCGCACTAATCTGGAAGATGTTAAGTTGGTTAGTATCATCATGCTTTGATTTTTCTCAAATGTATTCTTTAAAGTATATTATCAACTATGGTAGCCACAGTTTTTGGATAAATATTTTCTAGAGGGTTGCAACTCTAGGGTGCTAAACCATAGGCAAGCATTTAAGTATTAGAGACAAATTTTATATCTTCACAGTATTACAGGTATGGCACTTTCTAAGCAACTGATATTTATTTTTAAGATATTTAATATAAATATTTAAATATATTTTTAATAAAATTTATATTGAATATATATTTTAGTATATTTTAGTTAATATTAGGTGGTTTAATAAAGGAATCTAAGCATCAAGATTTCTAACTTTCCCTAATGATCATACCTAGTGGAGTTTTCAGAAAGTCTTGAGGTGTCTCTATTTAAGAATAATCTTAACCTGGACTGGCCAAGATATGCCAGAACTCAAGCAATAAGAGTTCCAAGTAATGTTTAATTTTACTCAGCAGTAATTTGTATAAACTCTCATAGCTTACTGTGCTGGTAAACTTGTAGATAAGTAGAAGTACTTCTTATACAACTGTGTCATTATGTGAGGGATAGAGATGAGTAAGTAAAGACCAGAAAGGGATTCTCGACTCTAAATTGAATTCAAAAGAATTCCAGGCTAACTTCTTGTACATCCATGTCTCCATTACCTACTATAACCCCTTTTTCTAGCAGTTGACTCCTTCACAAGTACAGAACTAACATCCAGGTAGGATGCATTTATTGTCATGAGAGCACACATGTCTCAATTTTCTTATTTTATAAACTTTTAAAAGGACTAAAAGAGAAAAGGAAGGTTTTGTTGGATGAGACACAATTCCATACCTTTCTTTTAAGGTATTTATAATATTTAGGTAAGCAGTAAAATGACCAAAATTGAACTAGCATTTTATTACCTTGAAGAATACATGATCAACTCATCCCAGTTTCTCGAAAAGTTTCCAACATGGACGAAGTAACCAGGTGTGACAAGGAGCAATATGCATGCTAACATTTTACAAAAACGACACCTGAATAATCTGGCACAGTTGTCACCACTGAAATAATGGGAGAAAGAAGATGAGGAAGAGGGAAAGAAGGGGCAGGGAAATGGAAAGGGGAAAGCGAAAGGGAAAGGGAAGGGGACAAGAAGCAGTAGCAGTTGTGGAAGTAAAGATGTTCCAAATTATGTGAACTAGGAAAACTTACAAGGTTATATCAGGCAAAAAGTACTATAATTCCTACAACATACTTGACAAATTGGAGAACAAAGCACCCAAATCACAAGAAAACCCTTCAAGACACAGCACATTCTTACCTGTGGAAAGCAGTTTACTTGGACATAAGAAAAATTAAAACAAATTGACTTATAAAAAATTCTGATGGAGTGTTTTGAATTACATGAGAAATCCCCAAGATTTGAAATGCCATTAAAAAATGTTCATTGTTGGACAGGAGATTATTACAACAACTGTTGTTTTCTTGAGCATAATGCTTAATTATTACTGACTTACTTTACTTTTAAATAAACTTCCACTGGTATAATACATGTTTATAAATCATTATGCTAATATTATCATCTGGGATAAACTATACTTTAGAAAAGTTTTAAAATAAACTTTATTCATGTAATATAAAGCAATGGGAAGTGATAAAAAATATTTAAAAATTAGACAAAAAATGTTGGCATTTCAGAGAAAATTTGTAAAAATCAAAAATAAATGTGGAAACATAGGTCCAGATTTACTAGGGATAAACAAAAATCAGAAACTAAAACCTAAATATTACTTTGTAAGTTGTGGATGGTGAAATTATAATGATAGTTATCTTACACATTATAATGTTAAGGATATAAATGAGTATAATGTTTTAGAAGCAAAATCAGCATGACTATTTGACACAGCAATTTTAGTTTGGAAATTTATCATATAAGAATATTCCCATGATCAAGAGAGATTTCCAAAAATATGTTGCTGCTGCAACATTGTTTATAATGGAAATTCATTGGTTGTAGTCTAAATGCCCATCTGCAGAGTATTTATTACATAAATTATGGTGCACTGAGATAGCTCAGGACTAGAAAAAAATGTACGTTCATGCATATTTTCTAACAAGTATAGGCATCAAAATAACTTTTTAAGTGAAAATAATATGCAAAATATTTTGTAGGGTATAAACCAATTTAATAACTGAATGTACACATTTGAAAAATACATGCAGAAATGAAGAATTATATGTTTATTTAAAATATCTTAAATCATGCAAACCAAATTCTTAGCAGTGTCATTTCTAGAAAGGGGGATTTCTGAACTGTGTGTGTGTGTGTGTGCACTCATGTGCATGTATACTCATATATATACACACATATATACATAAAATATTCATAGATCATTAGTTATTGCCTTTTTTATTTAATAGGCTGTATAAAGAAACATTTGTTAAAAACCTTGCCTTGGCCGGGCGCTGTGGCTCACGCCTGTAATCCCAGCACTTTGGGAGGCCAAGGTGGGCGGATCACGACATCAGGAGTTTGAGACCAGCCTGGCCAACATGGTGAAATCCCATCTCTACTAAAAATAAAAAAATTAACTGGGCATGGAGGCACACGCCTGTAATCCCAGTTACTTGGGAGGCTGAGGCAGGAGAATTGCTGGAACCCAGGAGGCAGAGGTTGTAGTGAGCCTAGATCCCACCACTGCACTCCAGCCTGGGTGACAGAGTGAGACTCCATCTCAAAAACAAACAAACATACAAAGATACAAACAAACACCCTTGCCTTTTGTTTTATATACAGTGTTTTGCATTTTTATTGTGTGAGCAATCCAACCAGAAAAAAAGAACAAAGGAAGAGCTATCATTCAAGATCTTCTTCTTAATAATTTTTACTTTAAAAGAAGGACAGGAAGTAAGAAAGTAACTCAACGAAAAGGAAAAAGTCAAAACAAGACAAACACCAAATTATTGAAAGAAAAAAAATGCTTCAGGATGTCTAGTTACTTGTGGCATGACATGGACTCATTGCAAATGAGAAAAGATGATAAAATAAACAAAGGCTTAATGTTACATGAAAATAAAAGACATGGAAGAATAATAAAAATATGAGGTTATAAAAATGTAAAATGAAGACATATACAAACTTGATACACTATATATTTCTGTTTAAAAATACCAATATGTATTGTATTTGTCTATTTCATACTGCTATGAAGAAAATACTGGGTAATTTCTGAGACTGGGTAATGTATAAAGAAAAAGAGGTTTAATGGACTTAAAGTTCCACATGGCTGGGGAGGCCTCACAATCATGGTGGAAGGTGAAAGAAGAGCAAAAGCATGTCTTACATGGTGGCAGGCAAGAGAGCATGTGCAGGGGAACTGCCATTTATAGAACCATTAGATCTTATGAGACTTATTCACTATCATGACAACAGCATGGGAAAACCTGCCTCTGTGATTCAATTACCCTCTACCAGGTCCCTCCCATGACACATGGGGATTACGGGAGCTACAATTCTAGATGAGATTTGGATGGGGACACAGCCAAACCATATCATTCCACCCCTGGCTCTTCACAAATCTCATGTCCTCACATTTCAAAATGAATTATGTCTTCTCAATAGTCTATCAAATACTTAATAACTCATTACAGCATTAACTCAAAAGTCCACAGTCAAAAGTCTCATCTGAGACAAGGCAAGTCCCTTCCACCTATAAGCCTGTAAAATCAAAAGACAAGGGGGATACAAACATTGGGTAAATACACTCATTCCAACTAGGAGAAATTGACCAAAATGAAGGGGCTACAGGCCCCATGCAAGTCTGAAATCCAGCAGGGCAGTCAAATCTTAAAGTTCCAAAATGATCTCCTTTGATTCCATGTCTCACAGCCAGGTCATGCTGATGCAAGAGGTGGGTTCTCACAGCCTTGGGCAGCTCCACCCCTATAACTTTGCAGGGTGCAGACCCTCTCCTGGCTGCTTTCATTGAATGGAATTGAGTGTGGCTTTTCTAGGCACACGGTGCAAGCTGTCAGTGGATCTAACAGTCTGGGATCTGGAGGACGGTGCCCCTCTTCTCACAGCTCCACTAGGCAGTGCCACAGTGGGGACTCTGTGTGGGGGCTCACACCCCACATTTCCCTTCTTCCCTGCCCTAGCAGAGGTTCTCTACGAGGGCTCTGTCCCTGCAGCACATCTCTGCCTAGACATCCCAGCATTTCTATACATTTTCTGAAATCTAGGTGAAGATTCCCAAACCTCAATTTTTGACTTCTGTGTACCTCAGGCCCAACACCACATATAAGCTACCAAAGCTTGGGGCTTGCACCCTTTAAAGCAATTGCCTGAGCTGTACACTGGCCCATTTTGGCCATGGCTGGGATGCAGGGCACTAAGCCCCGAGACTTTGCAAAGTAACAAGGCACTGTGGCTTGCCCATAAAACCATATTTTCCTCCTAGGCCTCTGGGCCTGTGATGGGAGGGCTGCTGTGAAGACCTCTGATATGCCCTGGAAACATTTTTCCCATTGCCTTGGTGATTAACATTTACCTCCTCATTACTTATGCAAATTTCTGCAACCAGCTTGAATTTCATTCACCCCAGAAAATGGGTTTTTCTTATCTATCGCATTATTAAGCTGCAAATTTTCCAAACTTTTACGCTCTGCTTCCCTTTTAAATGTAAGTTTCAATTCCAAACCATATCTTTGCGAATGAATAAAACTGAATGCTTTTAAGAAGCACCCAAGTCACATCGTGAATGCTTTGCTGCTTCAAAATGTCTTCCACCAGATACCCTAAATCATCTCTCTCAAATTCAAAGTTCCACAGATCTCTAGAACATGGGCACAATGCCTTCAGTCTCTTTGTTAAAACATAGCAAGAATCACCTTTGCTCCAGTTTCCAATAAGTTCCTCATCTCCATCTGAGACCACCTCAACCTGGACTTTTTGATCAAAACCATTCAACAAGTCTTTGGGAAGCTCCAAACTTTCCCACATCTTCCTATGTTCTTCTGAGCCCTCCAAATTGTTCTAACCTCTGCCTGTTAACCAGTTCCAAAGCTGCTTCCACATTTTGGGGTATCTTGATCACAGTACCCCACTATACCAGTACCAGTTTACTGTATTAGTCCATTTTCATACTGCTATGAAGAAAATACCCGACTGGGCAATTTATAAAGAAAAAGAGGTTTAATGGACTCACAGTTTCACATGACTGAAGAGGCCTCATAATCATGGAGGAAGGTGAAGAAGGAGTAAAGCATGCCTTACATGGCATCAGGCAAGAGAGTGTGTTCAGAGGAACTGCCCTTTATAAAACCATCAAATCTTGTGAGACTTATTCACTATCATGACAACAGCATGAGAAAACCTACCTCATAATTAAATTACTTCTCACTGGCTCCTTCCCATGAAATATGGGAATCATGGGAGCTATAATTCAAGATGAGATTTGGGTGGGGACAACGCCAAACCGTATCATGTATATTATAAATTCTCCCTAATTGATCTACCCTGTTGAAGAAATGGAGAATGATGAACAAAAATAAAATGTTATAATGTTGGTGGAGAATTACCTTAAGTAAAGAAAAAGAAGGAATGTGGGGAAAATGTGGAAACAGTACAAAAGAAGCATAATTATGGAAGAAAGATAAAAGTCTGGACATTTTTGATCAGTAATATAGTATAAAATGAAACCTGTTAAAATTTCCCTCTGTGTTACATATTATATTGGCAAATATTTCTCTCTCTCTCTCTCTCAGACACACAGAGAGAGAGAGAGAGTGTGTGTGTGCGTGTGTGTATTTTTGAAAGGGCTCCATCAGTAGATAAAAATAAGGTTCATTAGGCTTTTAAAAATAACTTGTCTCCAATTATCTGCCATAGCTTTGCTTTTCTCGACATGCTCCCTCAAGAGGATATGGACAAGTCCTTCTGGATCACAGACACTTGAAAAGCAGAAGGAAAAGAGGAAGGAAGAGTGGGAATGAATATGTATGTTGCAAACACTGTTAGAAGACTGGTTAGATTTGAGCCTGTAGCATATATATCATCCCTGTCAATTTTCAAAGTGAATTATCCCAACCAACTATATAATTACATATTTCTCTAAACATAATTTTACCATTTGAATAACTTAGAATTTCAGCTTAGAAAAATTAAAAGGAATAGGGTGGTCATTCAAGAAAAACTATTTACCATGAGATGGTTATTCAAGTATCTCAATCTGTTTATGGAAATACATCATTTTAAAATAGACAGTGGTTAAGTTTTTTGATCATTAAATATGAAAGAAGGGAGTATTTAATAGAATTAGTAACACTTGTAGCCTATCAGACTGCTTTCCAAAAGAAAATGCAATTTAGCAAAATGAGTGTGGTTGGAAACTCAGGCAAGAATAACTACCACTTTCTTCAGATCCACCCAAGACTTATACAGTGGCCATTCCAATTAGCATAATGGTCCAATGTTCAGTGGGATGCAAGGTCCTTTGTTAGGGATGCTTCCTCATTTAAAAAACCTGTTTGAAGTGGGGTCTAATTTTAACTTTGCAATGCCAAAATATGGCTTGAAGGGTCTATTTTCAATTCAATAAATGTTGGTATTGCATTTCCAAGTTGAGATAGCTGTCATCAACTGTCTAAAAGACTCATATTTAAGACAAAATGGAGTGACAGAGTATGGAGTACCAGGCTTAAAAAGCTGGTTCTCTGTTCATGTTAATTATACTGAATTGATTATTTATTCTATTAGAATGCTTCTTATTTACAAATGAAGTGCATGTACTAATAGGAATCCCCAAGCTCACTGTAAATGTTACCTGAAGATTAAGAAAATGGAATTAAGAATTTCTTTCCAGTAAATTGTTAAAATATATCTATGAACCCCAAGTGCAAAAGTGGCTTTAGTTGTTTTTATTTTTGTTTAAAAGTTGTGGGTAATATGAACACATGGGTGATTTCAAAGCACTACAGAGAAGTGCTTTAAAAAATTGTTATTCATAGCCCCGCCATTGGTAAGCTAAAATTGTTGCCTTATTTTTATAAATGAGAAAGAACCAGCTATTTGGCAACTCTCTAAGCTAGAGTCAACAATAGTAAGTACATGATGCATCCAGGATAAAAATAAACAAGACCTCTCATTTTCCAGTCACACCATGAGTCACTTTGCTCCAGACAACATTTAAAATGCTAAAATTTTGACCAAATTTATACAGATGAGGGATCCTTGGAAAACAATTATGATAGACATTATAGAAAATATATCAAAAAATGTAGCCAGTAAAAAAAGGCAGTGTTATATTTAACATGTTACTATTGGTGCAGCATAGTAAAGAGAGTGCTTCTCAATCATGACTGGTGTGGTGATCAGTCTCTTAGATGACTCCAGTGATCCCTGCCTTCTTGTGTTCATGCTCATCTATAATCCCCTCCCTTTGAGTGAAGATTGGAGTTGGTAACTTGTTTCAAGTGAACAGAATGTGCAGAGAATGTGATAAAGTAATGAAATGTCACTTTGCCATATTGTGAGTTGGTCTGTGGAGAAACCCGTATGGCAAGGCACTGAGGGAGGCCTCTCGCCAATTTTCAGTAAGGACCCAAGGCCCTCCATATAATAACCGAAGAGCCACTGAATCCTTGCAACAGTCATATGAGTCGCTTTGGACACAGTTTTCCCCCAGTCAAGCCTTCAGATGATACCTGATGTGGTTTGGATGTTTTCTCCCCTCCAAATCTCATGTTGAAATGTGATTGCCCATGTTAGAGGGCAAGCCTGGTGGAAAATGTTTAGGTCATGGGAGTGGATCCCTCATGAATGGTTTGGTGCTGTCTTCATGGTAATGAGTGATTTCCCACACTTCAGTGTCACTGAAGTGTGACACCTGCCCCCCTTCTTTTCCTCCCTCTCTTGCCATATGATGCACTGGTTCTCCCTTCGCCTTTCACCATTATTGTAAACTTCCTGAGGCCTCACCAGGAGCAGATGCCAGTACCATGCTTCTTCTACAGCCTGCAGAATCATGAACCAAAATAAACCTCTTTTCTTCATAAATTACCCAGCTTTAGGTATTCCTTTATAGCAATTCACATGGACTAACACAAGACCTTTGCTTCAGATGAGAATGATAACCTGGCTACAACCTCATAAGGGACCTTTAACCAGATGCACTCAGCTGAGTCATGTCTAGATCCTTAATCCACAAAAATTGTGAAACAGTATACGTTTGCTGTTTTAAGCTGCTAAATTCGTGTTAATTTGTACCACAGCAATATGTAACTAATACAATGGACCACCTTCAACTCTTTCTCCAGCTTTACTTGAAGAGAAAACGTTAAAGTCTGGGGCCTGAAAGATGATAATCTTGACTCAGAGTTTGTGTAAGAGACAGAGACTATAAAAACAGGATGTAGCTAGAGGAGATTTCACAGAGTATCATAAATAAAGGCATAGAGAAGTGAAATGGGGAAGAGTGGATGGTGAAGATCTAACATGAGCATATGGGTACAAAATCTCATTTTGTGTCTTCTATTTTATTCCATTGATCAAAATGTTCAAGATATCTGGAAGGAAGATTTGCATGACTATGTTCTGACCTAAAGCCTTTTCCTAAAAATATTTCATTCTATTTAAGGATCTACATTCTTTATAATTAGAAAAAATTAAAAAATAGTAAAATCTTAGAAAGGTGTTTGATTTTCATACCACTTTAATACAATATTATACTCTTCTCTCTACAATAGTTAATTCATGATTTTGTACCGGTAATATTTTGATATAATAATAATTCCTTAATCACTGCATTAAGTGCTTTGTATTCATTGTGAGCCATCAAGCTTCCAATAACTCTGGGATATAGATAGCTACAATTCTAAATTTAAAGTGGGGAAAACTAAAGTTCAGAGGAATTAAGTGATTTGCCAAAGTCACCAGCTGGAATCTTGTGGTTCCAGGATTTGAACTCAAGTTTGTTGTAAAAGTGCTACCCACTAACCACAGTTCCACGCCCAAACTAAACTTCCTTTCTATAGAGTAAAACATATAATTTGTATCATGTAGATTTCAGCCTTCTTTTTCACAGATTAACTACCTGTTATTGTAAGAATTGATTGATTGTTGTAGGTTTAACGACTCCTATACTACATACTCTAGTGAATGGCAAGAATAACAAAAACATTTTTAAAAATTCTTTCATCTACTTTTGGAGTTGTGGAAACAGTAAAGGAAATTAAGTCAATATATTAGCAGTTGCTAAGTCATAATGGTTTTACCACTACCAGAATTTCAAAATTGAAGACAATCGGGAAGAGAATGGTCTAGTCAGAAAAGGGTTCTGGCATATGGTGGAACTTGAGCTAGTATTTAATAATGGCTATGAGTCAGTAAAGATTCAGAAAAAGAAATAAGTATCACTTAGTGTCATTTTTAGTTCCTTAGTAGTAGCCATAAGGATACAACTTACATCTCTTCAATGATGAAAAGTCGGATATTGAAGACAGGTTTTTCCATTAGTGACTTAATCAAATATTGACCAAAATCTAGGGGAAATACGAAAAAATCTAAGACCAATCTTGGGGTTGATGTTGGTCTGAAACAAGCATAAAGTCAAATTTAAGACAATACTTGAAGATGATTCTTTCTTTAAATTAAGTTCAGCCTAGAAATTCCAAATTGCTCTCTGGAGAATAACATATTTTATAAGAATTATTCTGAGGATTTTTAGAAATGTTTTCTAGGCTTCAAGAGTTGTAGCCCAAATCTAGAAGGGACACCTTGAAATGACTGAATGACTAGAGGCAGAGGATAAACCAAATTGATCCTGTATCTCAGGGCCCTTGAGCTTAGAGGAGCATACTTAATTGTTCATGACTTCAGAAGCAGTGAAAGTCAAACACAGACACTTCTACCATTACTAAAGCTACCACTAGGTTTATCTTAGATTAGGTTATCAGGAAAAAATCCTTGAGTTTCATTCAGGTTTATTGGGGAGGTGATTAGCAGCTCCACTGGTTAGGAAATGAGGAAAGCAGGGGCAGAGAAAGCAAGAAATTGACCCTCCATGTGATACAATGGTGGACTTAGCCAATCATGTGGAGAACTTGGATGTCACTACAGAATTATTCCTAATTGAGGCAGTGGATCGCTATCCCACCATCACCTAGTGAAGGAGCATTAACCTTGGGCAATTCTCTGTTGCCAGAGCAATGCCCAGTGAATAATGCAGCTGTGAGTCTTCAGCAACCAATTTACCCAGCAATTGGTGGAAGGCTGGGTCAGTCCTTGAAGAAGGTATCTGGACAGAGCGCTATAAGGTAATACTGAGGGCTGATGGTAAACTCCTGGTTGAGAGAGAAAAGGAAGAATCAAAATGGAAGAAAGATAGGGTGAGAGAGAATTCTGTTCCAGCAACCCAGATTCTCATTTCTGCAACTACGCATGCATCACAGCCTTGCCCAGGACTATGAAAACATTATTATAAGCTACTATACTTTCTATTCTTTTTTAACCTTGCTCCATTTACCAGTAATAATAATGATAGAAACTATAGCTTATGCTGTTTCTCCTCCTTCTCCGTCTAAGGAGTCTTTATTTATTCAAACTGATTGATTTCAGGACACATGAAGAAAGCTCTTTTTCTTTTGTACAGTGTGGAGCCATCTCAGACAAGGCATTAGAGGTCATCACAGTTCTGACCCTGGTTTCATCTGACCTAGTCCACCTTCAGTCATGCAAAACCCTCATATAGATTGCAAGCAACAGAGTTGCCAAGAGTTTTAAAGTATATTCTAGCCAGTCCTTATAATGTACTATGTTACCATAAATATGAAGCAAATAGCAACCAGAAATTAAACAGCTGCACCCATGTCTGCATTTGTATTTATCTAGGGCTATCATTTGTCAAGTGTTTTCATGTATCTTTTATGCAAGTATGAGTGAGGGGAAAAGCATATGGTGTCTTTGGGTAACTGCCAAGATAATCCCATGACTTCTAATGAAATGGATACACCAAATAATGAAAAAAAAAACTAGACTTTCTTTTCCCTAAAGGAAACTTCTAGATAAATGTTCTTAAGTTGATTCTTCCAGTAACCATAGTAACAGCCAAAGTAAACAGCCTTCATTTTAACCTAGATGGTATAATTTTATCTTCACATCAATCCTGTGAAGCACTCACAATTCCATTTTAGCAAACTGAAGTCTAAGAAAATATATTATTTTCATAAGGTCATACAACTACATACCGTAGACCATGTGTGCTTTTGTTCTTGTTGTTTGTTTGTTTTTGAGACAGGGTTTCACTTTTGCGCAACCTGGAGTGCAGTGGCACAATCACGGCCCACTGCAGCCTCAACCACCAGGGCTTAAACAACCCTCTCACTTCAGCCTCCCAAGTAGCTGGGACTACAGGCACATGCCACCATGCCCAGCTAATTTTTTAAAATTATTTGGAGAGACAGGATCTCCCTATGTCGCCCAGGCTTGTCTCAAACTCGTGGGCTCAAGTGATCCTCCAGCAGCAGCCTCTCAAAGTGCTGGGATTACAAGCATGAACCATTGTGCATGGCCCCTGAATTTAATGACAAGGGCTGCGTTTCGTGGGAACCATACATACTATATGACAAATTGCTCCCATTGTTTATATTGAGAGCCACAAAATTTTCATGAAAGTTGTGAAAGAAATTTAATAATTAAATATTAGGGAGAACAGTAACTACTACATATGAATACAATTTATTCCATTTAATTTTTTGAAAAGCACTACATTGAAAAGACATGGACTATAAAAAGCTCCAGAGTACAAATTTTACTCTTACTCCTTTTCTGTTCCCATCACCTCCAAAATAACATTTTTATTATACTTTTGGTTTGTCTTTCCACTATTTTCTTACATAAATACAAATACATGCAAGTCTTTTTCCTTACATTATGACACAAAAAATAACATGTAACCACAGTTGTATACATTTTTAATCTTAATATTTTATGAAGAATTTTCCATTTCCCTATATTTTCTCATTTTTTTAAACAGCTTCATAGCATTCCACTGACTAGGTATATCATAACTTAGTTAACTATCCCCCTATTAATGGACTTTTGGGTTGTTTCTAGTCTTTTCCATTTATAAATCATGCTTGTAAGTACATCATGTCACCTTGTATATAATAAAAATCTAGACCATAAATTTATACGTTTGTTTTTGTTTTTGTTTTTTGAGACGGAGTCTCGCTCTGTAGCCCAGGCTGGAGTGCAGTGGCGCAATCTCGGCTCACTGCAAGCTCCGCCTCCCGGGTTCACGCCATTCTCCCGCCTCAGCCTCCAGAGTAGCTGGGACTAGAGGCGCCTGCCACCACACCCGGCTAATTTTTTGTATTCTTAGTAGAGATGGGGTTTCACCATTCACAGGATGGTCTCGATCTCCTGACCTTGTGATCCACCCGCCTTGGCCTCCCAAAGTGCTGGGATTACAGGCGTGAGCCACCACGCCTGGCCAAATTTATAAATTTAATATGTAAATCACTAAGATCAAATAACCACTGGATGTGTAAGAAAGAAAGTGTGGACTACAAGAGGTATCTTTCAGTTTGCCTTTGTTCTAGACTTTTAACTTTCACAAATCTAGAAAAGGATCTCCTTGAGGTCTAACTTAATCCATCCAAGGAATGCTTTCAGATCTGATGCTCAATAGCTCAGATGGTAATGCAGTGCCATTTTTACCCTGTTTCACTGCCTTTGCATATAGTCCTCAGGATGAACATCCAGATTCTGGGCAGAATCTGTATAACTGTATATCCTCATCAAATAGCATCCCTAAACACAACTTTAATAGAAACCCTCCTCATTGCATATTTTTTAACAGCAAAAGTGAGCTTCTGCTTGAAAATAGACCCAGTTGTTAATCATGTGCATCCTTGCTGACTGTTCATTGGAATTTATGTATTATCTTACTTGCATCAAGCTATAAGAAAGTGTGGTAGTAACATTTAAAAAAAAAACAGCTTCTGATCCACTGACAGTTGGATATTCCTGTTGTGATTCTCAAAATTCTTATCACAATTTAACCAAAATTGGAATTTCCATTGTGGGAAATGTTCAGTGTTGTCCTCTGTTATACTTTCTAGTTATCTAGCTAACAAGAACATGGCACAGTAAGAACTTTGTCACCAAGGGGTCATCAAATCTATTCCTCTCTCAAGGACATTCCATTCAGAGAATAAATCAAGTACAATATGCCATTGTTAGGAAGTAAAATACTGTTAGCTTTCCCAAAATTAGTATTAAAATGTATACATTTAGAATGTGCTTGCTCTATTCATTCAAATACTAAGGAATTTCAGTACTATAAATGAAAAGTGCTAATCAGAAAGCAACACTTCCGTATCTTGAGTAGATATTATTTACTTTATCCCTGCTATATTCCTTAAAGAAAAATATGACAGTTTAATATTTATATTTACACGATTCATAAATGACAGAGTAGAGTTGTGCATAAAACCAAGGTTTTCCCCTTTGGGACCAGTGCTATGAATGAGTTGCCAAATTTCACCGTGACGGAAGAGTGTTGATCGAACTAGGGATAAGTTCCAATCAAAAGGAATTCTGTCTTATCTGGATTCAATTTTAGAAAATGTTGGCAATTTCCCCACAGTAAGTCAGCTATCCATGTAAACAGATCCACTAAAATGAACTTGTACAATATTGCTTAAAGTGGAATAAATGATCTGTATGTCATCTACATGTATATGGCTAAGCAGAATGCATCTTCCAGAACTGTGTATGTGTTAATGTATAAATCTTTAAAGCATTCAGCTCTAACCCTTAAGGGACTCTGTTATGCAAAGGACATAATCTGTTGACTAGTCCTGGCTAAAGGAAACTGGAATTAAATGAAAAGCAAAATTAATAACCAATGCCAGATAGACTTTTGTAGGATTGAAATGCATTTTAATAAATTTCCTGTTGGAAGGCAGCAGCTGCCCAGCCAAAAGCCTAGAAGCAGAAACTATAAGAGCCTGAGAGTGTCAGTAAGACAGCCAGACCATTTCTAACTTTAAGGAGTGCAATTTATGTGCTATGAAAGGACAAAAATCCTGACTGAAATTCATTCTAGATCTGATGACAGTTAAGATATTCCTAGAGCTGATCGGCAGTGACTTTCTTCCACCGCTCTTAGTTAAATTAAAAAATAAGATGATATAAGTTAGTCATATTGTCCTTCGTGAACAGGATTTTTTTAAGAGAGTTACAATTGCAGATTTTAAACATGATGGCAATTTACCAGAAGTCAGAGATTAACTAGGAGGGTTAAACTGAACCAAGAGAACTGAGAACAGCCTTTTACCAGTGAGGAAGGCCAAGGATTAGGGGCTGGAAGTGGTTGGCTAAAGCTTCAGGATAATATCATTTAAATCCTCAACAGAAAGCAAATTAAACTGAGAGAAATCTTGATTGCCAGATTTATATGGACTAAAGGATACAAAGTAAATTCAAAACTGCTAAGAATTCCTATGTGTTGAGAATCAAAAATGTCATCAGAGTAAATATTGAAATCTCTTCGAATAAGCAATTTCAGAGACTTTAGGGTGACAGATCCAAAACTAATTGAAAGAATTCCAGAAAAGAGGATCAGGCAATCTTAGGAGCCAGGGAGACAAGCAAAGCTGCAAAGGATAGAACATTTAAAGGGACAACATCACATTTAGCTTTATAATATGTAGTTTTTCTTAAAATTTATAGTCAGATTTTATATTCAGATGAAAATAGTTATCAATTTGCTCTATCATTTTTACATCTGAAATAAAATAAATTCATCTGCTATTCCATGCTTTTTTACCCACACTTTTTAAGAGAAAATATATCAGCTTTGTTTACCTTTCATTTGCTCGTGTTCTTTCTATAGAATATTTCTGACATTACATATATATACTATCCAACCTTTTCTCACACATAAAGCCAAGCAGACTACAAAATATCATAAGTATTGCAAATAATGGTCATTATTTTAAAGGCACAGAATTAGAGTGACAGAACACTGGATTTTTTAAATAGGTGTCTAGTATATAGAATCTAATCATCACCATCTGACATTTGTAGGTAGGATATATTTGGTGACCAAAATACTTGACAGATTTTCTTTTAAGTGTGAAATAAAAGCCTGGTGTTCAAAAGAGCCAGTGAAGACTAATGGAAAACTGACTGATTTTTTTAGACTGGAACAAAAGAGATCTGTGAGGCTGTCACCTTTACCAGCACTTCAAGGGACACAGAAAAAGCCAGAACACTCTTAGGACAAGCTTCAGGACAAGCTAAACATATCACCTCGGGTTATCTGAATTTCAGTCGATGTTAAAAGTCCCCTTTAAGTTTGGGTAGAATGTGGTGAAGCCATCCTGCACAGGAATTAAGAGAGCTCTCGCTAACAGGGTTACACAGCACACACTTGGCTGTAATAAATTAGGCCGTTGTCATTAGATACAGAACCGTCATCCAGCATTTACAGTAAAGACATTGAAATGGAGATTTTAAAATACAAATGGTTTTAAGTCACTCCTGCCTTGATCCACTTAAACTCATTAAACAGAAGACATTTAAGGAGTCTCCAAAATACATGGAGGAAATGTGTATTGTGTTGACTGGAGGAAGGCTCTGTGACCTCATAAACTTTTCTAACTTGTCATCTTCCCTGAAAGTACACGACTTAACCCCAGGTGAACTGTTGCAGAATGAGGAGTGCCCACATGAGATTGAATGAGGCTCTTGGGTGAAAAGAAATGTGCTTTTTGTGGCATTTGCATTTCAAGCTGAAGCTGCTCACGAGAGAATGGTTTATTGTATATGATTTGTAAAGATCACTAAATGAAGAAAAATGTTGGAGTAGAGCATGTGTACACACACACGCACACACAAATACACACACAAACAGTACTCAGGTATAGTGTCTTTGAGATAAGCAGAAGAAAAAAAATTAAAAACCAATAATTCTATTCACCCTGTGAAAGACAGAGAGACAAGAGAAAGTGCCCACAACTGGCACCCCTCACTGCCCCCACAGCTCCTAAACGGTAGCAGTAGAAACAGTACACACCCTCCCCCAGCAAATGTTTCATATTCAGTGTAAACCCAGATCACAAAGTGAGTCGAAGTCCAGGCAAGGGTTAAAAAGCAATTCCAGCCACTTGCCAAGGGAGCAACAGGCCCAATAAATCCAACAGGGAAGTAAAGCTGGGTAGCTACAGGTCCTGACAGCATTATGCTGTCAAAGCCACGCTCCCGGGACCCTATTAGACACACCCTTCATCCTGGCAAGAATGTGTAGGATTTTGTTTAGAGAAAATTAAAACCCAAATTATCTAATGCTTTACTAAAATACAAAATTTATCACTGATGAGCTTTCTCTCTCTCTCTCTCTCTCTCTCTCTCTCTGTGTGTGTGTGTGTGTGTGTGTGTGTGTGTGTGTGTGTGCGTTTTAAATTGTGTCCTTTGTGGTTCTATCATCCTAATCAGCTCTGAGCCCCTAGGGTATTTCTGTTGCTTGGGGCGACATCTACTGGTCGAAACAGAGACCTTCCTAAGCGGGCTCCTCTCTCAACAATCAAGCTGAACAAGTTTGATTTGGACATAACGAAGGCTTTTTTTTTTTCTCCTCCATTTTACTCCTTAGCTAATATAATATATAGCACTACCTTAGAGGAAACTCATAAGATTTCTTTATAAAGATCCAAGAATTGTTTAATTTTCTACCATTTCTCCTTGTCGTTATAATCTTTGCCACGAGAATGGCTACATTCTGAGAAATGTTCCGTCCTCAGTTCAGTCATTGTCATATGAATGAGCTATCATTCAATCCTAATGCCTGAGATGTTTTATTCTTACTTCCATGACATTTGTATTATAGTAACAAAGGCTAAAGCAAGAAAAGGAAATGATACAAATTCCATTCAGGCTTTATGATTTTAAATTCTCATTTTGTGCTTCTTTCATGCCTAGGTACTAAAAAGTAGTTTTCCCCTTAAAAAAAAAAAAGAATAAAAGAAGAGAGGAAAAGGAAAAGAAAAATAACGAGTTTATGAAACCAAACCTCTGGTGTGCACCGCTTTTAATGGTTTTACCTTCACATTTAACACACCAGGATAAATTGCTACTGGAGACATCAAAGCCAAGAAAGTGAGTCAGTCATTTCCACTCACAGATCTATAGCAGGAACAATGCTTTGTTAAAGTTATGGTGAGATGTAGGGTGTAAGTGGCACACCACTGCAGAATGAACTACTGAATGTAGAATACCTTGTACCAGACACCATGTGAAAGCCACTAACGACTCTTATTTTAACCATATTGGACCCACCCGTTTCTCAATATTCTTCAACATGTAAGACAATATTTTAAGTCACTAAAATTTCCAGATGTTCAATTATATGTTTTTCCCCTCTTCCCAAAAACATGTGGATAGTTCTAATAGTTGGGGATGGATAGAGGGGTAAATAGCAAAGCTTTAAAATAGAGTTGTTGTTGATGCTGTTGTATCCAAAAGATGCTTTAAAACAATAAATTTAAAATAAAACATAAGCTAAGTGATAAAGTACGTTACATATGTTGCCTATGTATCACATCCATAAACTAATTTAGATGGGTTATACAAAGAGGTAGTTTTTCTTTTAAAAATTTCAATAAAAATTTCTAAATGTTTTATTTTTAGGAATATGTTTCCACAGGAACTTGCATTATTATAATGGGACTGTTGTTTGAAATACACAGCTTTTGTGAGTTTTCTAAATTTTACACTGAATGCAGAAAAATACTAAATAAATTAATATGTAATACAAAGAAATCTTTCTGAAAAGTATAAAATCGAACATAGGACTGTTAAATTTTTAAAAAAATAAATAATAATATCTAAAGGAAAAATATATTGCCTTAGAATTAATTTGCAAATAAATGCAGAGGCATGAAAGATTTACCAATCATCATATCTTATACTTGCTATTTCTCTTATTAATAACTACCTCATGTGCAGAAAAAACTCTATTTCTCTAAAGTCATATTTAAGAATCAAAATTTCTATTGTACAATAATTCAGAAAAAAGAACACAAGATTTTTTTAGCCACGTAATTCATACTATTTGCAGCTGGAAGATTTTTTTAGATTTTTCTAGCTTCAATAATTAAATGAAGAGTGAGAATGTACTTTATTTAATTGTAAAAGTTATTTTGTTTTCTTATAATAATGTTTTCAGAAGTTGAACGATGATATTGACGTATGCAACTACATTGAATGAAATAATATTCATTGTGATGACAACAAAACAAAATAGAACACTTAAGTAAAATATTTTTAAATAAATAAAACACGCATTTTACTATATCTTTAGTGTAAATACATACTGTGAGCATTGATTATGTAATACATTTCTGCCTGGTTATATCCATAAAGTTGTGTGACTCTATTTCAATTCAGTTTGAGCTTAACTTGCAGTTTCTTTTGGTTGTGGAAAACATAATGTTTAGTAGGCAATTTTGTGGGTTTTTGCAGCACACACATCAAGGGGTCAGTTATCATGATACATCAAATAAAACATTTCTATTTTTAATGTTATATTTTGGTGACTTTTTATCGCTTTTTCTTCCAAAACTATGGTTATAAAATAACTGCCCTTCAATAATTAATCATGCTACTCAATAGCTGTCAAATTTCACTTAGCTAGCCAAAAGTTAAGCAAGTGTTAAAAGAAAAGTATCAGGAGAATTTAGGTACATTAAGAAAGATGAAAAACTTTAAAGTGTCCTACTCTATGTTTTCTCAACAAATAAACTTCTTTCATTTTTAAAAATAATCTGTTAGGAGAATTACATTATTGTTTTCTTTTCTAGGTGAATATCAGACACCAGCTTTTATCTGTGTAACTGCAGATTTTATTTTTAAAACTGAAAGGTCTCAATTTTTTTAATTATCAGAAGTTGTAAAGCTGTAATCAACATGCAGTCTTTGAAAGTAATTTTCATTAGCCTCATCTACTCCCTTTGGTAAAATAAAGAGTATTTTTAAAAATATTTTTAAAAATCTGTCATCCAAGATATACACTTTCTTTTAAGCATTACTCAATGTCTTTCATCCGTAGTACTTTCCCAATGTGTATATGTGTGTGTATGTATGTACATATGTATGTGTTTCCTCAAGTCAGAATAGACTGCTTTCAGTCCCACAAAATACATATAAAAGTAGATACAGAGCTACAGATATAGAGATATGCAGAAAGACATAACCTTTTAAAGATACCTATATATTTTAAATTCTCACTAAAAAGTCCTAGTAGTTGATAAAAATTTTCCACAATTAAAAATTAAAAACAAAAACCCATAATGCTACTATGTATTTTTAATTTTGCCCCTCTCCCACACAGGGCTTTCATTTTTTTGAGGCAAGAAGAAGAAATTCTTCCCATTTATATATGCCAATATTTATTTATTCATTTATACATGCATATATGTTTATGGATTTATTTAGATAACTTACTTTAACATAAAACCAAGATAGAATAAGGCCAGTGTTAATTATAGCACCATACAGGGATGGTGCTTTGTAATGCAGTGTAGCGCACGCACACACACACACACACACACACACACACACGCATACAGAGTTGGAAAATCTGTCTTGCCCAAGCAATACTAACAGTCCAATAGCCTAAAAAGAAGTACTTCTGACACAAGACTACAAAGTAGTGGCCATACTTCTCAAGTAGTTGCCTGCATTACAGCCATACGGTATTTTCATTTTTGTTGACTCTGAATAAATCGGTGAAGCCGTAGCATTTATGGTAAACATTTTGCTTTATATTTGGTGCATCACATGGGACAAAATGCCTTACTTGTTAATAAAGGCAAGATTAATGTAGTGTTCTAATTCACAGGGGCAAAGATAAACGATAATGTTGCACCTTTTTCATTAGTAACAATTATCTAGGTAATATTTCCCTGACAGGCATAAAGTAGCATCACATGCTGGAATAAACTTATAAGCTATGATGAGAGAGATCAGCATTATCATTTCCCCTCATCCATCCTGAGACATTTACAGCACCCACCAATAAAGGGGGAGAGCCTTCTGGTATGCATGCACAAAACATGTGGATTAAGTTAAGATTTCTCTGAACTGCATAGACAAAAGCAAAAAACTGTAAATCAATTCCATCAAAGGACAGTCTGAATTCAGTTTCTGAACTTTGTCACTAATATCAGTTCTGTCTTCTAAGCAAAGAGTTAAGCTTCTCCAGGTAGCTATAGAAAGATGAATAGGATATACAGCACATATAACAATCTTTACACATTTCATAAATTGTATATTTCTTAAAAAAGAAGCGTACTTCTATTACATCCATTGAAGTTCATCAGATAAAAACAATACAATGAAAAATCAATACTTTTATGTTATTTTCAGTGAAATAGTACCTGAAACTATTTCATTATTGCTTTGTCACTATGACTTACTAAAAGGATAATAAAATATACAAGAGAAAAAATAAGAAAGAAAAATTGAAGAATCCGGAAGGAAAATGTGGAACACATCAGTGGAATTGGAAAGGGAATGAAAAAGTTAAAATATAGGAAACCTGCAAAAGGACCAAAGAAAGAGTCAGAAAAAAATATACCCCATCAGAGAAATACACATAGGATCCAGAACAAAAGAGTCGGAGAAAGCAACAGAGAAATAAGAGAAATAAAAATTCAATTCAAGTAAGACCGAAGTAAAGAACAAGAACTAAAAAGCAAATCTTAAAAATGAAAGAGAGTAGGCATATTAAGCACACTACAAGGGGAAAAAAAGAGACAAGGGAGACTCCAGAAAGACATAGCCCTGGAAGATGGATAGGGAGATAAAACAAATAAGAAATTAAACAATGGAGAAGAAAGAAAACATGGAGAGAGACACAAAGGAAAGACAGAATAGAAGAGAGTGGGATGGTTAAGAACAAATGAGAGGGAGAAAAGAAACAAAGGTTAAGAGGAAAAAAAATCCACAAACTGTATTTATATAGTCTTTTTACGGAAAAGAACTCATTTGTATGTTTGTGTGTTTTTGGTGACATAGCAGCAAAAGTTTTGGTTTCTGTAAAACTATTTGGAAGTCTGTTCTGAGTTCAGATTTGGAAATATGAAACTATGAGCCTTCTCAGGTTTTACTACATTGGTTTTATATTGGCCAATTGAAAAATTTTATTCTTAGAGAAAATTCTTTTATAAAATTCTAAAATAATTCTTATAGAAAATACAGGCTTTGTAAAACTATTTGACACGCAACATGCTATTAAACAATTTATGAAACATAATTTGAAGGTAAATATAGGTGATTTGTTTATTGTGGCTTTGTTTGTTTCTATTGTCTATAAAGGAACTGGTCCTTCCAGACGCTAAAATAAGATTGTTCAGAAGTATGAATTTTAATGAAATATCAAAAACTGAACAAGTCTTGTATTTTTGTTTTGGTTTTGACAAGCCTCTCCAAATGATTAAACAAATCAAAACTGTACTTTGGAAATAATTTTCCTTTTAGAGTTAAAGCAAAAGTCAATCATTTCAGGCTGGGTGCAGTGGCTCATGCCTGTGATCCCAATATTTTGAAAGGAGAAGGCAGGAGGAACGCTTGAGACCGGGAGACAAGACCAGCCTGGGCAACATAACGAGACCCTTGAGTCTACAAAAATTAAAAAAATAAAATAGCCAAATGTGGTCATTCATGCCTCTAGTCCTTGCTACTTGGGCGGCTAAAGTGGGAGGATAGCTTGAGCCCAGGAGTTTGAAGTTACAGTCAGCTGGGCTTGGATCACCACACTCCAGCTTGGGTGACAGAGACCTGGTTTCAAAATATATATATATCTTTCTACTATTTCAATATTCATGGAAGATATATAGTGTGTGTAAATATATACATATGTATGTGTATATATGTACCTACATAAAGACATATTGTTCACAACTTAAAAAAAAAAAAAGGTGTTTAAGGCCAGGCGCCGTGGCTCACGCCTGTAAGCCACTTGGGAGGCCAAGGTGGGTGGATCGCCAGAGTTCAGGAGTTCAAGAACAGCCTGGCCAACATAGTGAAACCCCATCTCTACTAAAAATACAAAAAATTAGCTAGGTGTGGTGGCATGTGCCTCTAATCCCAGCTACTCAAGAGGCTGAGGCAAAGGAATCACTTGAACCCAGGAGGCAGAAGTTACAGGGAGCCAAGATTGCGCCACTGCACTTCAGCCTGGGCCACAGAGCGAGACTCCGTCTCAAAAAAAAAAAAAGTATTTAAAAATTACTTGCAGTCTATGTAATAATTTGAACCTACTGTTTTCAATGGAAATTAGTTTCCTTTTCAAAATTGCAAAGAAATGAGGACTTGTAACAGGTACAATTTCACAATTCTATTCTATCTTTATAGATTAAATGCAAAGATATAAACAGAATGATAATAATTTGGGTGAATTTCTAGCTGTACCAAAATATAATGATAGATAAGTAGTAGTCAGCCTGGAATGGTGTCTCTGTTTCTAACAGGGAGGTATTATAGGGAATTACACAAAATAAATCTTTTGATCAATAATTTTGTATGTATAATATGCAGAAAAGATATAATTAAATGCAAACAATACCTTAGTTCAGGCCTTCATCATCTGTCATCTAAAATATTGCCATAGCCTTTTAAATGGTTTCTTTTTTTATGTTTAATTTTTTAATTTATTTTACATATATAACAAACCTGCACATTGTGCACATGTACCCTAGAACTTAAAGTATAATAAAAATATATAATAATAAATGATTTCTTAATCACTAATTTCCCCTACTTCATTGTGTACTCTAAGCTATATAAAATATTCTAAAAGGTTAAATAATGTCTTCATGACCTTGAATTCTTTTTAGCACACTCCCACAGGTAAATATGGGCCACTTATTTATTTACTTACTTATTTTGTCATTCAAGCCCCTTCACCTTCTGGATTGATCATTTCCTCTCAAGTAACAGCCATGTACCCAAACCACATCCAAATTGAACTTCACCTCTTCTTTCTTCATCCATGCTTCATTCTCTGCCTAGTATGCCCCATCCTTACCTCACTTCACTCCACCATGGATTTTTGCTGACCCCTTTATACACTTTACTCAGCATTCAGTCCAAGCCTTCTCAAATTCTCAGAGGCATGTCAGTGGTTGGAGTCTTTGAGACTTAAAGTGAACATCTACAGCACCAATTTTAGCTTTTTACACATCCATTCTTCTATTTGCATGTGAGGTCCACATGGGCATGCCTGTATCTTAATTTTCTTTTCAAACTCTGTATGCAGAGGATTGCCTAAACTACAGTTGCCATATAGTGGGTATTCAACTAATATATGGGATTGGTTAATGAAGAACTGAAATGTATTGTATATAAAGATATTCTTTGTTTCAAAAACCAATCGTGAAAATAAAAGGATGACAAGGCATAGTCTTCAGAGAAATTCAGATAAAACTAAATGAAAGATGATTAATTGACCGTAATTCAAAATGTGTCAAGAGAGTGTCTAAGCTTATTTAAAAAGTGTGTCTATACCAGGGTTATCCTTATAGACATCCAATGGCTTAAAATGAGATAAATGATCAACTGGTTTTACCTTGCATAAGTCAGATCACTTCCAGAACATTGTGTTCAGTGACTGAACCACATTGACATGAACAAACTAAAGTCCTATCAGATGCAACCTATCTGTGTCTGGTGAGTAAATGCTTTACTGTAGAGTTTAAGAACACATTGAAGGATTTAGAGAAATTTAGTGAGAAGAAGAGATGACTGTAAAATATGTCAATAATTTATATATGGATAAAGGATTTTTTTTTCTGTACAACTCTAAGGAGCAGAACTAGAACAATGAATGAATAGTTGCTATAGGTAAAATCCACCAAGTAAATTAAAGAGGGAAAAAGAATTTTCATTCAGTGATATGCCAGGAATTTGCATCTACTTCATATCATTTAATCTTTAAACAGCCCTGAGAGCAAATTATTATCTTCCTCTGAGGAAAATAAGGTTTGATGAGATTATCTTAAAAGGATGTATTCATTTGGTCATGCTGTCTGTTATCGGGAATTTCAAATTGAAAGCAATGGAGTATCTATCATGGGAAAATGAAAGGCTGTTCTACTGCAAACAGACAAAAAAAAGCATCTGCTCCTTTTAAAAATGTTTTAATGTAAGCAGGATTCTTCAGCAACTATGGCTGTGCCATATCCAATATTTGTTAAATAAAAATTTAAAAGTAGGCAACACAAATGTCCAAATATCAAAAATTAGAACACTAAATGTAAATGTACTTTTTTAAGTCTGTAATCAAATGCTGAGAGCAAGATTTCAACAAACTGAGCACATGGGGGGGAAGAAAGAGAAAGAGAGAGGGAGATGAGAGATACGTAAGTTCTATGACTATAGAGAACTAGTTTATTTGTTCACTGCAGTGTACCCAGAACCTAGGAGTGTTCTTACACATTTTAAATATTTAATTAGTATTTAACCAGATATGGAAAAGAAGGCTGGATAACTACTTGTTAAAGGGATTAAAAAAATACAGAAAAGTACTTGTTAAAATGTCACTTAAGGTTCTAAAATTCTTTAGTATACAGCCCTCTCACATGAAAGTTAGGATTTATTAAATATAGTATATGAAGAAACCAGAGGGGCCAACAGTTACAAAATTAGGGTATATGTATGTAAATGGATTTCAAATTGGTATGAGAGTCTATCAAGAACGAAGTTTCAGAAAAAATAACAGAATATGCTTTTAAAGGCACTGCTCTTTCTGTGAGCACTACAGAAACACACTGAAGGGGAGAACAAAGGTCTTTTTTTTGTTTTTGTTTTTGTTTTTGTTTTTGTTTTTGTTTTTGAGGTTGAGTCTCTGTCACTCGAGCTGGAGTGCAGAAGCATGATCCCAGCTCCTTGAAGCTTCAACCTTCCAGGCTCAAGCCATCCTCCTGCCTCAGCCTGAGTAGCTGGGATTATAAGCATGCACCACCACTCCCAGCTAATTTTGTTTATATTTTATAAAGACAGGGTCTCACTATGTTGCCCAGGCTGGTCTCAAATTCATGGACTCAAGCAGTCCTCCCACCTCAGCCTCCCAAAGGGTTGGGATTATAGATGTGCACCACCACGCCTGGAGAGAACAAAGGAGTTAATTTTTAGGTAGCATATGTGAGTTAAACTCTTTTACTTTCAATCATCCTCAAAACATAAAATAAATGGAATACAAAAGGCAATATAAGCATTTGAGATTGTTGAAGCTTCTTAATATTTGCAACTCTTAAACCAAAAATATCCAATAAATTGGCTTCAATTAAATATATACATATATATACAAAGTTACCTGTTGTAAACTAATACTTTTCCTTCAAATAAATATCATTCTAAAAAACAGGATTATCATAGGCAAAAATCATAAAATCATAATAATTTTGGCTAACAAGACATTGACATTATAGCTTTTTTGCATACTAAAAAAGGAGTCTGAAAGATGTTTATGGAAACAATCAATTTGAAAAAACATTTATAATAAAATTCTAATTTACTGAATCTGATATCATGTTGACAATGACACTATTTCTTCAACGGATCGTATTTAGGATATACATCTTAAGGTAAAAGAGGGATGGTGAAATCAGAATAAACTCATGGTACTCATTGACAGTTTACTGGTATCATTTTAGGCTACTAGAAACAAGAGTTTATATGCAGTATTTTAACTGTAGAAGGCATATAGGCCTTTTCAATTAAAAGCTCATTGCCCTTCTACAAAGGCAAATGGAGGTTACATGATTTTATAGTGGGGAAAGTCATTATCAGTCATCAGCTTCCGATTCCTTGTCCTATGTAGAAACCTACTGTTTCTTATTTCTGCAGCATATATGAATTGAAGTTAATTTTCAAATGTGTTCAGTTACAAAAAGGCTTCTATTAATGATGCATGCATGCCACATGCCTCATATAGACAAAGACCAAAAAAAATTCTACAAAGATAACATAATTCAAGATTCATTTTGAATCTAAATGAATTTGCCACAATTTGAATTATAGCTTGGGTAATTTCTATTGTCAGATTAGAAGAATCAGCACACTGAACACTAGCATCATCACTAAGTTCTTAAAAAAGAATGGATGTGCTCCATTGGAGGGAACACATAATTGAGCATCATAATTGGATAGGAAACAGCTTGATTTCTGAAACTACAGTCACTGTCTACCAAAACTTTCACTACAGTTACAATTGAACACTAACAATAACAATCTTGGAGAAGAGAACATAAAACTTTAATGTACAGACATTCATATCAAGTTGACCAAAACTCTATCAGTAGCAAGTACAGAGCTAGAAAAAGAGAGGTTCTTGTTAATTTATAACTATGTTTGAGCTAACTTTAGTCTTCTGTGGGTAAAGAAAATTAATTTAATCTGAAATTATTTTGACCTAAATTTTTAAAGCAGAAACAGACCTAAAGTGCTTTAAAAAGTAAGTGGAAAGGAATTTAAAATGGTACCTCAAAGGTAAGTATTGAAATTTCATGTATTCTCTAAAATAGTTAACCCCTCTCAGGCTGTATCTGCATTACATTAAAATCTAATAAGGCTTTAGTTTTCTTACCTCTTTGTCTGAATCAACTTTTAAAAAAAATTTAAAATGAAGAGAATATTTGGAAGTGAGCCCTTTCACCCATCTGCTAATAAGGGACACTAACTTTAAACCACTCTAATTATTGGTCCTACCCAAACACAAACATGTCTGCTATACGAGAAATTCGATATTATACAAGGCCATGAGATCAAATGTTCATGGAAGATAAAAACTATAGGACTGTCTTCAAAGAGCTCTGAAAAATGGAGCCCAAGATGGAAAATGAGAATCATTTTTGAGACTAATTATAGAGTACTTTTATTGAGCAATTACTCTTTTTTAAGCTCTGTGATAAGTAAAAACACAGTGTAATATTGTTTTTTGGCCTACTGGAACCAACTATTTCTATTCACCTGTTTACTATGATTCTCAGGCCCATGAATTAGTAACTGGAGTTTGCATAAGGCTGAATCATTAAACTTTTTGTACATTAAAATATCCTAAAAAATTTCCGGTTTTGAAAGGACTCATTTTTATATCCTGAAAAAAGCAGTCTAGAATATTAAACTGATTGAAATAAGGTGATCCTTATTTAGATTTAGAAGGGATTTTTAGCACCCAAAACTCTGCTTTGCTGGCTTAACTGCGTAAAGGCAAACAAATAAGGAATATTTTACATTTTAGTGACTATCACTATTGCATGCCTCAAAATAATTCAATGTGCACCTATTTATTCTAATCCAAAGTCTGAAAGGTTTCCTAAGAATAAGCCGTGTTTAGTAATAGTATGAGATGTAGGCAATACTCCTTCTGTTTCATGATTATAATATTAGACACACGAAAAACCAGAGAGATCATAAATGGAACTATCTCTTCTCTGTCCATTTTCACCTCATTACAGTTTTCCCCTAAACTAAAAAGAAAATTGAGTTCAGAAGGGCCTGTTATACACAAATAATTAGCTACCACCATCCATTACTATCTGTCCCTCAGTCACATTTTTCTATTGGAAGTCATCCCAAATTCCCATATTCAAGCACTCTCTTGTAAAAGGACTTACTGATACTTATGCAATTAATTAATTTTTTACTACCATATGTTCTGCTTCTCTATATGTTGCTTTTATTTATCCATTCAATATATGTCCACTGCCCCTTGCACAAGATGTCAAAGATAGAAAAACATACAGTCCGGATTCCAGTCCAGGAGAGTTTGCAGTCTACAGTCATGTAGCTGAAGCCACTAAGCATATGTGGCTATTCCAATTTAAATTATTTGAGATCAAATATGATTAGAAATTAAGTTCTTCAGTTGTACTAGCCAAATTTCAAGTGATCATTGGTTATAAGTAGCTAGCAGTTACTGTATTAGTGCAAAAAAAAGAACATTTTCATAATCACAGAAAGTTACATTGGGCAGCCCTAGTCTAGAGAAGGAAACAGTTGTGCAAGTAAATAAAAGTGCACTCTGGTAAACAATGTCCTAGAAATATGTTCAAAGTCTTAGAGGAGATAATGCAGGTCCCGCACATTTCACAATGTGGTCTGACTAAAACCACTAAGGCGGTACTGAATATGAAAATGCCTGTATCATACAAACATCATATCATTATATGTTAATATGCACATTCAAAGGATGATTCCTGGCTACCTTAAAGAATTTTTTGGTAATTTCAGAAATTAAAAGGGGTGAGGATGATCTCCTTTACAAGGCTCAGGTCAGTTTATCAAGATGTATATGTGGTACATAGAAATAGAAACTCGAAATCTTGAAATTATGATTTTAAAATCTGACTCATTATTTGATTATTCAATAGTTCTGAATGATGCGGGGATCTATTGAATGAATAAGAGTGACTGGATGAGAAAAGGTTGTGTGGTGGCAGATAAAGCATAGGCATTGGAGTTAAATAGGCCTAAATTTCAATCCAAGTATGACCATGTGTCAGAAGTAACTTTCATTTTTCCCTTATAGCACACCTAGACAATTCATCTTTCTCCTCTTGGATCTATCACATCAGTTCTGGGATTGCTGTCACATACTTAAATACCTACACGAGTCAAGCTGATGACAAATGAATGAAGTGGGTACAGTATAAGATAAGCAGAAGTACAGATGTGATAATGATAAGTCACAGCTGACACTGGAATACAATGCTGGGAGCAATGAGCTTGGGAACCCTGGTAACCTAAAGAGAGATGTTCTTTGTAAAGGGCAGTCATCATGTACTTTTTGCTGACTGT
Source organism: Homo sapiens (assembly GCF_000001405.40). Lineage (NCBI taxonomy): Eukaryota > Metazoa > Chordata > Mammalia > Primates > Hominidae > Homo > Homo sapiens. The sequence goes on from NC_000008.11 coordinate 78,244,833, forward strand.
TGCTTTGTGGAGAAGTGAGTCCCGTGTTGTCAGAGCTTCGGATTTCTTAAGAAGAAGCTGCAAATCTGCTTTTCTATGTAAATCTTCTAATTTTATATGTTGGCAGCTATTTTGATATTTTAAATACTCTGCCTAGAAAAGTACTGTGAAAGCCAATCAAAACATGCTTCTAGACGAGATTGAGGTCTCAAGCTTTCAATTTTCCAGTTCATGTCTAGAGCTTCAGATTATTCTTTACCAGAGCAGCCTCTTCAAAGCTGAGGCCAATTTTTGCTAAAAACAAAACTACCAAAAAAGTAATTTAAATATTAAGATCTCCTTATAAAAATCCACTCAATTTTCAATCCAGAAAATGTTTAATGTCAATAAAAGTAGTGCTGGTGACTTTAGGAGAAATGTCACATGCAAAATCTTCCTGGGCTTTATCTTTGAAAAGGAAGGAACAAGGAGAAAACCACTGCTGGAACACTCTGTAATGGAGTCTCCAATAGGGCAGTGGTTTTCAATACAGCGTATAAGGGAGCTACAGAGGCTCTTCCTCATTCCCAGTTTGGTTTACAATTCATCATTGGGGCACGTTATGCCATAACACTAACAGTGCTTCTCCTGCTAGCAATAGTACTATACAATAATCTGTATTATGTACAGATACTCTTAATCTAGATAGATTTGATTCTTTCCTATTTTACAGTATTTAATTTTTGGATTTAACAATGTTAAATAATTATATAAATTGTATTAACTGGGCATTTAATAAACATGTCTAACCTTTTCAAAAAGCATAGAAGACTTAAGTTAAAGAAATCATTGACAACATGAAGCCAAACTGTGTTTTAAATTTCAAAACTGCACAAAATAAAATCATGCTATTCTCTGAATTGCTTATCATACAGAAGATTGCAGCATTCAATTGTTTTAAGAGCATTACTTTTAACATGTTATTTAACATTTTAGCTATGATTTATTTCCCTGTGATCAGGATGTATGACCAATGGAGCAGTTCAAGCTTAAAAATTATATTTCTATTTCTATTGCCATTACTTGTCTTCTGTTGTTAATATTTATCATTTTTATAGCTGTGATTTCCTTAATAAAAAGACCCATATTTCGTTGATGCCACAGCTATTTCCCCCTTCACAAAACACAAAATGGAGAGGTTAAAATGATTTTATTTTTTCAAAATCCCAAGAAAGGTAACCTTATATGTTTTTATGTTTCTAGCAGTGAGGTGTTACAAGGGAAGAGATAACTGATATATTTTGACTGGTAACTTTGTATGCATAACATGCAAAGGACTTTATACACAGACTCCTACCCACTGAATTCTAATGAGAAACCTTGGTCACAAGCTATAGAAGTGCTAGAAATGAAAAGGATGAGGATGTGATCATCACAGGTTAAATTTGTCCACTAGCCTAACAAGGAAAAGTGAGAGAAGAAAAGTATGTGGAAGAAGAGAGGAGAGAGAGAGGGAGAAAAGTGAGAGAGAGAGAGAGTTCCCTGAGCTAATTTTCTAGCCATCAGTCAGTTTATTGTTTCCACTGAAAGAGATTGAAAGACAGAGTAAGAGTCAGAGTTATTACAATAAATATAAAGTAGCTTTAGCCAAGGGAAATTACACTTGTAAGGTCAAGGGGAGAATCTGGGAGAGGGATCCTGAGGGGGAAGGATGAGCAGAAAGTTCAGGGTCAGGATTTTGAAGGAAAAAGGAACATTATCCATGTCAATAACTGCGATATATATGTTACATGGTACATTAAAGTATGTTTGATTCATATTATATTTTTTATTAAACATTCCAAATAATCATGAGTGTGTGTATGTGTTTTAAAGGTTTTGTGTGTGCACACCTTGATACAGGATTTACTGTCAACATATTAATCATATCTATGTGCTTCGTGGAGAGAGTTTTTCTGTTATTACATGTTTTATTTAGATATGACCTACATTGATATGAAGAAGCACATAGTCACTATTGCTGGACTAGTTTATTGTATATCTTTAGCTACCACAATTCTATGATGCACTTATTGGGCAAGTACATTCAGGTGAATTTTATTGGCCAAAGTCATTGTTTTATTGTCCATATTGCCTACAGAGCAGGTAATGTCTACGATACAGGAACACAAGGACTTTTCTGTTGGTGTACTTATCCTGTTCATCAAATGTTTGAGACTAGGGTCTCTTACCAGCAAGAATAACCCAACGGAATCGGCCATTCAATTAAAAATTAAAATATTAGCTGAACAAGTAGGGGCTTAGTGATGTTGATTGGTAAGGAGAGAATATGTGGAAATTCATAAACAGCAATTTTCTCCATACAAAGAGAAACAAGTGAGGAAAAAAGTCCTACATAAGAAAGAACCTGAACAAATAAGGCTTATTTAAGGCCTTACTCAATTTATGCAACCACTACCTTTCCCCTCTGTAACGTTTTTTTCATTTTTAAAAGTCTAAACCTTCCTGAAGTCTTGGAAAGCACCAGGGATTTAGCCATACTTTCATATTTACTTCAGAACATCTTTCTTCTTAGGAATTTTACATTGTGCATTTGCAAAAGCAATAGAACCAATAACAGTAGTCTAATGCATACATTGGAATTATTAGCCAACTTTAAATGAAGAAAAAAGAGTATACATTGCATATTTCTCTAAATTCTGTTTCTTGGATATTTCCATTATACTTTTTGATAAACTGGGCCAGTTGACTCAGTCCTCCCTTGGAGTATGGTCGTTTTGAGTTCTTTTATCATTTTATAAGGAGAATTTAAAAGATATGACTTGAAGTCCATGCTAAATGATAAACAATTTTTAGAAATTTGAACCGACTGTAACAGATTTGTATTTCATGTTTGCCCACACACTTACACGTGCATTTCAAAATGTAATTGGTATTCCTGTCATGCACCATTTTACGTGATTGATGAAGAATTCATGTCCATTATTTTGAGATGTGGTCTTCTATCCAACTGCCCAAGTCTAATATTTCTACCGTCTTTTATACAGCTAGTATTTATATCCACTATACATTTAGTAAATGTTTAAACTAAATCACTATTTTAGACTCCAGATAAATTTGCAGTCCTTCTCTTTTAAAAGACAATAAAATTTATAGATTAGTGCAAACAGTATCAGTTCTGGATATCACACAGATATTTCTGCAAATACATATTTTAATAAAAAATTTTACTCTATTGAGAAACCACGAATCAAGTTAGTAATACAGAAAAGTCAATACTTGAGGGAGAGAGGAAAAAGTATATAATGGCCAGGAAATATTTATTTCATATTGATACATTTGGATTCACTTGAAATTTTAAGGTATGGGTGAGTCCATGAGAAATCCAGATTAATTTTAATAACATGAGTGTTTAGTGAGTATGAATTATGTCATAGTCACCGTGCTAGGAACTAATGATATAACGGTGATTAATGACATTCTGTCTTACGAAAGGATGATCCTATATAATCAGGTATGGTTCTAAAATGTATTAGTGAGAATTCATGGAAATTCAGGAGGCATTCTATGCTTTCAAAAAAATTAAAGAACAAGTGACCTTATTTCCTCCATGTTCAACCTCAGTAAATCCATCCCACACAGCAATGAATTTTTTAGACACCCCTTAAATTTTCCTGCCTATGAATCTTTAGTATGACATAATTGCTGATTGGATAATTTTTGAACATTTCATCCTAGCCTTCCACCAAAGGCCTCAATAGATAATAATTTTTTTCATGCCAGGTTAGAATCACCACTTCCCTAGGATCAGTGCCTCAGTATGATGTTTCTTATTTTCTTTGGCTTCCCTCAAGAATTCTTTAGTTCTATCTGCTTTGAATGCTTTGTATCTGAATGTAATGCGTTTTACTTTAATACCTTGCCAGTACTTGACAGATGGATTCTAAATACTTGCTGAATAAATGGTTTAATTAATGGCTTCTATCCTGAATGATAAATTGTTATCCAACAATGATTTTTTCTTCTCTGAATGCCAAGAGGACTTGAATATTTACCATATAATGAAGTACCTAATTTCTTATTGCTTTCAGATACTTTCTGAAAGTTGCTATCTCTTTCCCCAACTTTATCATACATATTTCAAGGTTAGAAAATTTATTTTTTGGTATTTATAATCTCATTAGAGTTTGGCATGGAGTAAGTGCTCAATAAATGCACTTTGATTGAGCCTGGAGTCATGGAAAAGTTTAATTAAAAAACATTAATTTCTCAGAGTTGTAAGAGCAGACAACAAATTTAAGTTGAAATCCTAAATTTATTTTTCACTACCTTGGAAAATGCTTTAACCACACTAAGCCTCATTTTTTATATGTAACACTGGGTATAATACTCTCTTCATTACATTGATAGTATGAGTCGTATGAGATAATGCATGTAAAATACTTCCCAGGGCAATTGACAAATAGTAAGGGCTCAGGAAAGAGAAGATCCCTAGTAAATACATGTATTTTCCCATTCAATGTTTATTGAATGCCAATCAAATTGCAGCTACTCTACTGGTCATATTTTAAGTGTTTTAAATGTTGGACAATAGCACCTTCAATGAGAGTCTAAAGGAATAGGCATACTCAAAAGAGAAAAAGTAAAAGAATATATAAACAACTTTTAAGTTCACAAAAAAATTAACTTCAATTTTTTTTTGGAATACAGTTTGAAAGGAAACTGACCAACTACACTGTGTAGATCAGAGCTTGACTATAAAGGGAAATGCTGACAATGAAATAAAACTATAAAATTTCATTTCCTGGAAACTGTTAAAAATGAATGCAATCTATGTGTCTGCAAGATATAAAGGTAAAGCCTTATCTAAAGATAGTAGCCAAAGGAAAGCAGCCTTTTGGGGAAAATTTTAATTACACAAATCCCACAAGGCCTTTATTCCAAAAAATGAGACACATGATTTTTCATAAGCATAATTCCTAAAGTCCATGTCATATGTGAGTTAATACACATGCAATGTATACTTGTATAATTCATTGGATTTGTTTTCCCTTCTGCCCTTTGATCCAAAAGTTTATCAGGTTTTCATTGTTATATTCATAAAACAATAAGAAATTAATTAGGTAGCTGAAAGTTATTAGTAAAATATTCAAAACCTTAAAGTAGGTCAATTACCAAATGTGGGACTTACATCAAGCCAACTGAAATAACCAGTTCCAGACTCAGGTCTTTCTGATGACCTATTCCCCTGAAAAGTTTTGTGATGGTGGTAGCCAATAGTTCTGGTCTTCATTATGATTGTCTCAGCTTACTGCCCTAAAGAGATGAGGGATACAAGAGGTGCTAATCCATGAAGCAAAAATTCCCATTGATTTACACCAGAACTAAAGGAGTAGCTTTTTTCCCACCTCCTACTAGATTCTCTGTAAGTAATTTCCTTGATAAAGTACAGCCCATATGTAGACTGAAAAGTATGCTAGCAGATACAAGGGAATTGCTACAACTGTTCTGTTAATAAGGTTTGAATAATATGAACTAGTATAAAGGAACTCTGCTTCTATTTATTCATTCATTAATTTATTCATTCATATAAGAAGATCAATATTTCAAATGATGCCATGGGGGAAAAAGGAATAAATGAGATAGCCATAATCACCCACTTAAACATAGTCATTAGCCATCTCCATGTGACACCAATAGGAAAATCTATAGTTCATCTTCATGGAATTTTACATTTCAACAATACCTGATTGTAGAGGAAAAATGATGAGAAACATTAGATTTGCCACTTCCTGGAAGGATCAACATCTAAGGGAATATGAAAGGAGGCCATTTCATCTTGGAGGACTGTTGACCAACATTTCTTCCCTAACCTTTATTCACACCCTTTCCTTCACTACAAAAAATAAAATTTAGTGTGTTTTGCCTACCTTCAAGGAAACTCTACACAAATGTTCAAATGTCAGTTTTCCTATCTTAATCTTCTTTCTTTCTGTTGGTAAAATCAGCATAATAGCATTTACAAGTTTCTTCACAGCATGCAGCTATGCTTATGCGGCAGAGCACAACAAGCATTGTTTTGTTTTTCTGTACAACAGTGCAACCTAGTGGAAGAAGCAAAGAGCCCTGCCCTTCAGGGCCAACCAAGGCAGGCCATGAGAGCTCTTCAACAGATTTTGTTATTTTAAAGATCATTCTCAACTTTCCTAATGCATTTATATTTCCTCACAGTGGTAAAAAGAGAGAAATCCCTGCATTTTTTATGTTGAGAATACAAGTGATACCATAACATGTCTAGAAAAACAAATCTAAGGCTTTAAAAATTAATAATTGAACACTCAAGTGAATGTTTTTGAGGTATACTTTCTGAGATCTTAATTTAAAAATACTGAATTAACTATTCACAATAAAAAATAAACACTATACATCATTTACTGAAATTACTTTTATGTTAACTATTGCTTGGCATACTCTGGTAGGAATTATGTGTATGCGTGTATTTGTAAGTGTGTGTGTGTTTGAGAGTGTTTGTGTGTATATGGTACATTTTATATCCCTAAAACATATACACTGTATATATATATACACACTGTATATATACCATGTGTATATATACTCTATGTATGTGTGTATATATATGCATATATATACACACACAGAGAAAAACATGACATATCTGTGACATATATATTGATATGACATATATATAATATATGTATATATTATATATTATATGTATATATCTATATGTGTACATGTGTATATGTGTGTGTATATATGTATATATACACACACACATACACAGACACACATAGATAAAAAGATTACATATCTATCTAGACTATATATTGCATACACACACAAGTATAGTAATATGATTTGCTCATTCAGTGACAATTTAGAACAGAAAGTTTATTTTAGTGCCTATATATATTAACATCAATGTCCCTAAATAAAAAGTCAAAGTCTTCATGAAGATTACTTATTCTTTTTAAAGCCACTCAGTGTTCTGTTTCAGGGTAACATCTAAAAGCTAAATACTTAATAGTTCTTCTTTCATGTTGATTTGCTTGCTTTTATTGCTTCTGTTAAACCATTAAACAAGCTCATTTTATCACTGAGATTTTTTAATCCACTAAGTTTTAAGCAGGCTTTAAAATACAAATTTAAAATTTAAACATGTAAATATGGATTTCTGAACTATATAGAGAAAGGTAAAATGACCTTCTGAGAAGACATGCATAAAAACTTAACAATTTTCCTTTGCACGAACATGGTCTAGAAGACATCATTCACTGTTCTTGTTTATAGGATATGCTATGGTAAGAATTAAACGTTAATTTAGTGAGACAATAAAATCTTCTCAACTACTGTGCTCTTGTATTTGGGATGGATTTGGAGATGATTAAATGAGTAAATCACACAGATCTGAAAGCTTTTTTTTCTCCTTTCTTTCTTTCCCTTTTTTTACACCTCCTTAGATGGCATCTTGATCGTGCATGCACTGTGAACACAGAAGGCCTATAGGTCAGACCTGAAATTATAGCTAAACCTCAACTCCTGAGGTACACAGGCTGTTTATATAGATGAAAATTTATGATCTCTATACCCTAAATCCCTGGCCTCTCTTTTACATTGACTTCTTTACTATTTGCTGCTTTATTTTATGGTGATCCCTTGCCCTCTATAAATATATCACGGTTACTTAACCCCAGATCTCACCCCCAGACTTCAGGACTTCAGAAAGGATCTATTTCTTACTTATTCTGCTACTGGGTGTTTCGTAATCCTCCACATTAGCAGCTATTATTTTATAGCAGTTAGCATTTTCCAAATTTTCATCATCTCTTGATTGTTAGCCTTCTAACCGCTTAATAACACCAGTCTTAGAACTGCTGTTTAGAGATTATGCTGAAGTAGAATTTTTTTCCTTAAGCTTGCACAATGATTGAAGTATTTTCTATTAAATATTTATCTATAGAAAAATGAATATTTCAACTCTAAAAAATTACATTTAGGCAAGCTTAATTGCCTTGTGTTAAATATATAAAATTTATAAAATCCTGACCTAATCTTAATAACATGCCACTGAGTAATTAAAGTTTTCCATGGGTTAGATTCTAATAACCATCTTGTTTTGACTGAACTCCTTATTTGAGCCCAAAAAGTGAAGCTAGAATATAATAAGGGATTATAGATTTGCAAAAGCTATTGTCTGATATTAAAATTGTTAAGAAAATATGAGTCAGTATTATGCAAATTCTGACCTAATCCCAGCAGCATTCTCGTAGGTAATTGTATTTTTTCTTTAAAGGAGGACAGACCCTACAATAATTATGCCTTGTTAGTGTCCACATTGCTACATTTTTGATTTATGTATTTTTCTGGGAGTTGACAGATAAGCAAGAAAAATTGACATATTATAAACTAATAAAAATAAATAATATCAGAATCTGCCTAGCAGCAGTCTACATTGGGAAGTTAAATCGATGCATTAATCACACAAATTTTTGAGCAAAACATAGTTTGTACTAAAATTTTTTTAAATTACATATATCAAACTAAACTAAATACTTAAGTGGCCATGTTTGTGTATGTTTGCGATTTCTAAGGTTAATCATTGTACACAATATATAAAAGCCATTTTTGTTTTATTTGCTTGTCTGTTTTTCTTAGGAAGTCAAGATGTTTGTAATCTCCTCCTACAGATGGCAACATGTAACATTCCTGTGAGACTTAGCATTTCCAGTCTTCAAAGAATATGCCTTAATGGAAAATTTGTTTACTATACTCTTTTCAATATTTTTGTTAAAATTCTTACTACTTAAAATGCTGACATTTGAATGCTATTATTTTATATTAAATACTACAAAAAATATAAAATTTTCAGGCTCTGGCAACAGCTAGTGCTAAGAGGCATGTTTTATTGTACCACAAGCTGGACAAATTGATGAAGGAAATATAACATCGATGAGCCTAGGGCTTGGTAAAATCTAGCAGTTGATACTATATCCATGAATGACAAAGAGTTATGAACTATGAATGTTGTTCTTCCCTTCAAGTTTTTGTAGTTGTGCAGTTTGTAATCTCATGTTTTGTTTTCTTAATCCATATTTTCCTTTAAATATAACCCAGGTTTTGCAAACAAATGCTTTAGGAATAATCAATCTAATAGTATTGATTCATTATCGATGTTTCTCTGTTAGGAAAATGAAGCATTTTTAGCTTGATGCTAAAATTTCAGTATTTTTCTACTACTGGAGTCAGATACATGATCAAAAACCCTTAAAAGTTAATTTCTTGTATTTTGTAAGTAAGAAATAATAGGGCAAGAAATAATGGGCAGAATCAGCCTGCAAAATTGCTCATCAAAACACTAATTATGATAAAAAACAATATACTATTTAGCACCAGGGTTACATCAAACAGACCCAAAGAATTTAACAGGAACCTCAGAAAACTATAACTTAACTCCTATCTCAAAAATGTAGTGCCAAATGAATTTCTTAAACCCAGTAAAAGGCATGAACAAGAAATCTACTAAGGACTTTTAACAACTGCAAAGTGTGTTATTGTTCAAACACCAACTCCAGATAATTGACAGAGCCATGAAAACTCACAATACTTAACTACACACTCATATACACACACAGAGATATAAGTACATGTAAGTGCTAGGTTATATGTGTGTGCATGTGTTTATATAACATATATAGTAGGTTTAAATATGTATAATGCAAAGTATATTTATATGTGTATGTGTCTATACATATCTTAAAAATATATATATAGTAAAACACACACATATAAATGCACACACAGAAACTGAGCACTTTGTATATTTCCTACCATTTCTGAACACTTGCTCTGAACCAAGCACTTTATATCCTTTCACGTGATAGTCCCAAATAACTTTCACTTAAGTGTCAATATCTCCATTGTACAGAAGACAAAAGAAATTAAATAACTTTCTCAGGAATCAAGGCAAAAAATCCAATTCATTTCTATTAACTTGATTAGTATATCAATTAACACTCTTTGGATTAAAAGCGCTAGATATTGTCCCCGGCTATATTAAGCAAAAGGTAATTTTTAAAGGGAAGTCAAGTGCTCACATAGACTAAAACTTGCAGAATTGGGGAAATAAAGACCTGGATGCAGAAACTGCCACAGTAGTTCTATGGATGGAACAGTAGAGATCATGTACCACAACATGGAAAGTTAAACTCCAAACATTTTCAGTCGCTCACTCTCTCTGATCAAGTTTCAAGTTCCAGGAAGGGAACTTCCACTTACCTAGTTTGTCTTTCATGAGCTCCCCTTGACAATGTCCCTAATTACACACTGACCACAAAGTATAGAAAAGGGAAGAGAACCAATTTGAAATCCTATTGACAAAGGAATAGAAGTCGGTCATAAGCAGCCAAAAAGGGAAAAGAAAAAAACAGACACTACGCAAGCAACCGAAAAGGTAAAAAAGAAACACCTATGGTCTATAAGATCAGACATGCATTCAGGAATGTGGCTCTACTTCATGCAATTCAATCATTCTGAGAGCTGGTTGCAAGTGACTTCCTAACTGCAGAAAGAATTTCATGCAAAATAAAACAGACAAATGTGAAGCTCCATTATTTTGTTCCTGTTGTTTGTTTGTTTTTAAATATCTGCTTAATGACTAATAAGTAGGAACAACAATAATAACAAAAAAAAGGCTATGAAGAAGAATGTGGGATTGGGATAGATCTCTGATATATAGAAAGACATGCTTCTGGATTATAATCAACAAGTAATAAAGTGCATATCTAAGACTTCAGAGAGTTTCCCTCCACTACCAGAATTAGGGAGACTGGGTCATTAAACATTGGGTAAATATTATATACTTAAACAGAGGGTGTCCAGCTTATTAATGGGTTGGATATCTCTGATGCCCCATCTAGGTTCATGGTCCATCACCTCCAACCTGCTCTCTGGTTCTTAAATTCATCTCATCAGAATTAATTCACATCTTACTTACGTTCCTCAAATACTTTCTTTAAAATTTAGGACTTCTGTCTCCTGTTAGGATTTAGTTTTCCTAATAAATTGGTTGTACCTATCCTCTACACACTCTGTAATAAGCTTCCAGAAAACAAAAAAATGCCTTCTTTTCCTCTGAACATATTATATTCTTTGGTTTAGGACAAATTTAATATAGGATAAGTCTTCAGAAAGGTTTTTTTTTTCTTTTTTGCTTAAATAGGATCTCACAGGAGAAGAGAATCCACGGTGTCACAAATTTCCTAGGGTTACACATTTATTGTTGACAATGAAATTATAATACACCTGCCCAAATCTCCCCTGATAAATGCTGGCACATTTTCTCTTATTAGATCTTTGCTATAGAAAGAAGATGAATTTTCATCATATATCATAGTCAGCCTTTGAGTCTCTTCACTTAAAGATGAGGACAATGGCTTGGTGTGGTAGTTCTCTCACATCTAGTCCCAGCTACTTGGGAAACTAAGGCAGGAAGATCACTTGAACTCAAGAGTTCGAGGTTGTGGTGTGCTATGATCTCAGCTGTGAACATCCACTGCAACATAGCCTAACCAACATAGCAAGACCCTGTCTCTAAAATAAAAATAACAAAATGAGGACAAGACTCATACCAATAAGAAATTCCAAGCAACAACCAAAATAATGGAAACAGTTAAGAGGAACTTTAGTGAGCAAATAAATATTGCACTGTAATTAGAAAAATCACGAATCTTAGAAAAAAATAATATAACACAAAATAGGCTTATGTCTTTAGGAGACTCCAGGGAAAGGTATATAGTCAAAGGAATAATTTCAATTATATGTTATTTATGATTTGAAATAGAACAAATCGGAATTCAATAAAGGCTATGAAACAAGGAAATGGTTTCAGGTTTGCCTACTTTTGAAAGCCATTTGTGAGTGCAATTCAAAAAGAGTCCTTTATTTTTTAGAAAATAAAAATTTCTAGGAAATATGCAATTTAGTTTAAAAATTATTTACCTGGAAGTCCAAATTCTAAAATCTAAACTTCATAAAATATCACTATAATAAAAGATATGAAAAGAAAGGATTTTAATACAATTGGAATTGTTTAATTTCCATCTCTTTTTGGCTGTGTGAAGTGACTTATACTTCCTGGTTTTTAGTTTTCTCATCTGTAAAAGGGAATTAATGATAGATTCCTCACAGGATGGCTGTGAGAGTTAAATAACATACTGAAAATATTAGCCCAGCATTGCTCAGTAAGGAAACCTGTACCCACAAGAGGCTATCGAGGACTTCAAATGTGGCCTGTCTGAATTAATTTGTACCGTAAGTATAAAATATATATTAGGTTTCAAAGACTTAACATGAAAAAAATAGAATATGAAGTATATCATTAATCAACCACATGTTGAAATAATGTTAGAAATATAGCATTAAAATTATTTTCACCTTTTTCACTTTTCTAATGTCACTACCAGAGAATTTAAAAGTGCATGCATGGATTACATTGTAGTTCTGAAGGAGAGTCTGGACCTAAATAAGTGGCTGGTAAATATTTTAAAATCTTTTAATTTCAATAATTTTGGCAGTTGTGCCAGATTTTGTTTTCTTTAATTTCAAGTCCTTATTCCGGGTGCTGTAAACTTTTCTGAAGTTCAATGAACATGTACTTCAGAAAAATTCTGTTTGTTGAGAAACTTTAGAAACATAGGATCTTTGATTGGTGGAATTATCTATATCTCAGCAAATACTAAATTGTCTATTTTGACAATTTTGGGGGACATAAAGGGGGACAGAAAAAAAGGATAAAATAAGAAAAGATATCTACTAAAAGTTAAGATCAATGATTTACTTGAAGCTTATGTATCACATCAATTTTTTTAGATTTATTAGAATAACCTGAATTAGAAAACTTTGGTCATCCCCAAAAAAAATGTAAGGCATAACAATGCTGATAGAGTTTATTTTTTCATGGTCTAAAACAAAAACAAAACAAAACAAAACAAAAAACAAAATTCAGGTTGGGCGCGGTGGCTCACTCCTGTAATCCCAGCACTTTGGGAGGCTGGGGCAGGTGGATCACCCTAGCTCAGGAGATCGAGACCAGCCTGGCCAATATGACAAAACTCCGCCTCTACTAAAAATACAAAAATTAGCCGGGCGTGGTAGAGGGCACCTGTAAGTCCAGCTACTTGGGAGGCTGAGGCAGGAGAATCGCTTGAAGCCAGGTGGGGAGGTTGCAGTGAGCCGAGATCACGCCACTGCACTCCAGCCTGGGCGACAGAGTGAGACTTTGTCTCAAACAACAACAACAAAACCCAAACTTCTTGAACATTGAGAAAGGTATGCAATATTGGGTAAGACATGGGTAAAGGTAACTAGGTTCAAAACACAATTATTGATGAAATGCGACCCAAACACAAAAGATTTTCATCTGTCATTATTGTAGATATGCCATATTGTTCTTTGTATTTATTTCCTATATGACTGTTGGAACATCTTATCTATATGTCCCTTAAAGCCCTTATTGTTTTCAGCCTGTTATTATAGTAAGACATACTCATGTTGTAACTTCCTCCTTGACCACAAACTCTTTCAGGGAAGGATTTGTATCCATTGCATCTTACAGATACTAAGGAACTTAATACCGAACCATAGGAATTACAGACAATCTCAGACACACAAAATAAGTGCATGAATTATTTAATTCTAACTTAAAATAAACTTTCCATAATTAAATATTCTAATTTATTAATAATCTTGAGTCTGGTAACTGGGCCCAAAATGTTATAAGTAAAATAAAATTCTAAAACACTCATTCTTTGTCAATATCAACCAAATAAAAATATTCTCCAAAAACTCTATTTTACTTAATGTCAAAATCAAAAGCTGAAAATATTATTACATTACAAAGTTAAGTTAGGATTGAATATTTTTTTCTCCTTTTCCACTCCCTTACCTCCCAAAGAAGTTGACCTATGTATCATTTGGGTTTAAGACCTTTTCCTGTTTTAATTCAACTGGGTTTTCCATCTCCAGCATATCCTTATATATTGCCTAATCTTCAAAAGGCATTTTATTAGGTTATATTTTTTGATGTGCATTGTGCAAGCACCGTATTTGTACAGTAGTATTCATTCTAAAATACATATTCACGTGACAGCCCATAATATCCCTGAAACAGCCATTACAGTCTGTCAAATAAATAATGCGCATTTTAAAGATGGTCTTTATGTGGGATGACTCTCTTGCATTTTCATGAGGCAGATTTTTTTTTTATTCTTTAAGAAAGAAAAGCACACAAAGGAAATGAACATGCAGAAAAATATGTTCAGGTAAAAGTGATACAAACAGGAAATTCAAGCATCTTTTAGTTTCTTCCTCCTTCTACCATTCCAACATTTTACTCTATAATGTTCTATGAAAAAAGACTTAACAGAGATTACATCATCTTCTGTAACCTTCTATACATGGACATTTGAAAATAAAAATGTCTTCTTTTGTGTATTTATGTAATGTGAATCATATTTTGCATTTAATAGGTGACTATTTTTCTTCAAAATCAGGGTTTACTTGGCAAATGTACCTATTAAAAGAAGTGACATCTTCATAGAGTTAGTACATTGTATCCCTGTTATGTTAAAATGGCAGTCTTCTTTCTATTGTCTATAACAGCTACAGATATATGTACACTGATTTTCCAAAGAAGTTACCTGCATTCACAGGTAAAAAACAAGGGGTAATCCTCTTTCTTGCTTTGATCTCTTATCAGTGGCTATAATGACTATGAGAAAATAAGAAACATAGAAAACAACATTTATTGCATGCTTACTACATGTCCAGTACGATGATGCACACTCTTAATATATTTTCCAATTCAGTTCAAGACAGCTCTCTAAGGTGTGTCTAGTTGTTATGAACATATGAAACAATTAAATAAGCAACTTATAAAAAGTACTATCAGTGGTATTGTTTGACACCATAGCTCGAGCTCAAAGGAAACAAAGTAAGAATATAATGTTTACTTCATCCCAGTTCATGTTAATTGTATTATTACAATTTTTATATATTACAGGGGCATTACTTCCATACAAATATTTTTTAACACTGTAGAAAACATTTTTTTCAAAAAGTGCTTTTAATTTATCGTATTGCATAATATTTCTGCATTTTATTGTATTCTTATTATATTTTACTTTTACTTTATTGTAAACACTAAAGTGCCCCAGGTGATAGTTCTGGATAAGAATGAACTGATAAAACTAGGAAAGATTTACTTAGGCCTCTATATGACACAGACCTTTTAGATTTGTGAACTACCTTTCTTCTCACAATTCAACATCTTCGCCCAAATCAACACAAAAGAAATAATAAAAAGAATTATCCATGAAATGACTATGGTTTCATATTAGTTTTTAAAATATCACAGAATCTTCTATTTGGAAGGAAATTTATTGGGTATCACATCTAAACTTGGATGGGAAATGTTCCATAGCGGAATGCGGTATAGAACCCAAGTATCCTGTGGGGCCCAGTCACAGATTAAGTTAAAATTATTTTACTAAAATCAAGTTTTTTCACATCCAAAACATTGGGACAACTGTGAAGCTTTGTAAGCAGATACAACTTGATTTGTTAAAAATCACTATCCCTCACAAGTAACATTGTAATGTCTACATGGTGGCCATTGGCCACATGTCATCATTTATATTTGAATTAATGTTAGTAAAAATTAAACACAATTTAAAAACCAGTTCCCCAGTAACATTAGCTACATAAGTGCTAGCGAGCCACATATGACTAGTGGCTACCATCCCAGATAACATAGGTTATTGGACATTTCCATTAACACAGAAAGTTCTATTGGGCAGTGTTGATCTAGGTAGTTACCAGGGCCAATATTGATTCCTTTAGATTTCAATATACAGGTCCATGAAAATTTTAAGATGCTATTATGCATTCTCTAAAAACACCTATCAAATCCCTGTAATGTGAAAGGAACTAAAGTACAAACTCAAAATCAGACAAATTATTTTTAAATTTGAATGTTGGGATATGTAAGGCAATTGCACCACACTAATTAATTTGCCTGCTTTGACATTCATGGTCATTAATGTTAAAGAAAAATTGACAATTTTTTCTAATTCCAAATTTGGTATGTCCTTTGACAATTGCTTACCTTCTCCATGTAACCATATAAATTACCATATATTCATATATAAAAGTTGAATAGAAATAGAAGAATCAGATTAAAGAATTTTAACCAATAAAGAATTTTAACCAATAAAAATTCAATAAGCTGCTTCTGTTTGGAACATGTTTTTTTCTCTTAAATTTGTATTAGTATTTCTAAGACTGGAAAATTCTGATGTTCATTTAAGGCAGATAATGTCATTGCCTTATCTCAGTTTCAGTGAAAGGAATTGGAACTAGTAATCATTTTCAGGAGACTGAGATGGTAGCTTTAGTAAATAAATGTAATATTTGCAATATTTATTATTTATGTTAGTGGATTTATTAAGGCAAGATAACATGGATTAATTCATTGATCAATTCATTCATCCATTTATTTGTTCAGTCAAAAAATTATTTTGAGTATCAAAAATGTTCCAGTCACAGATATTCTAGGTAATGCAAATAAAGCAGTAAATAAGATGCAATGTTTTTATTTAAGGAACTTCATGCTCCAGTGGGAGAGAAAGACAATAAGTCACTAAATAAAAATAATGTCAGATATTGCTAAGTGTCACAAAGATAGAGTGGGTGCAGAAAGCAATGTTAGAAAGATTAATCGGATAATTCCTCACAGAGGAGGAGAAATTTGAACAGAGACCAGATGATGAGAAACAGTCAGTGGAAGAAGTGTATTTCTGCAGAAAGAATAGCATGTGAAAAGCCTAAGAGACAAAAACCGGCTTGACAAATTAAAATAAATAAATAAATACATAAAAAGGGGCCAGTGTTACTGAAGCAGGGAGAACAATTAGAGTGGTAAGAGATATCTTCTCATTTCTTCTTTATTTTTGATGACTAAAATAGTACAAATCAAATAATTGAAAACTAGAGTACACATATAAAGTTGTGATGATGTATCAAAAATGCCAAAGACCTTTTAATATGCAAAACATTATTATTCTAAAATAAAATGTGTAATTTAAAAATTATATTAGAATGATGATCTTAAAATGTTTCGTGATATAGACTGTGATGAGCTAAAAAGGAAAGAATGAGCATTCCCAATATATTTAAAAGAACTTTTGAAGTTTAGAACTATAAGAATAATACTACCCATAGGAAAATCTCCCAGATTCTCTGAGGATCTGCTTCTCTTCACCAGATCCCATTCTATTTCTATATCTAATTGGGTGGTGCTGATTAGGAGATACTAGGAAAGATCTTATCCTGTAAGCAATATGTTCCACAATGCCATGCAGAGGGTAAATGGCATTCTTGCCCTTTTCCTCTCTCCTAAACAGGATGTAAACATTAGTAGGTGACACTGATGATGGAGGAAATTAATGTTTCCATAAAACCAAAGCATGCATCCTGTTTTATTATACACTTGTTACATTATTTATGATCATTATTTTCATGACCAAAGTGAAATATATATGTTTTAATAATACATTTTGCAAAGATTGAATATAATATCAATAATGGATTTCTTATATAAACCCTTCTTCTCCTAGTGACAAAATAGAAATATTAGAGTTGACTTGATGAAACATATCAACATCCCAGCTAAGTCTACTTAAGATCCCTTGTGGTCTTGTACAAGCCATTGGTTAATAATCCAATTCTAAACTCTAAAATCAAACTCATATGCAACATATACAATTTTCCTGTCTCTTTATTCTGATATGGTGGTGAAAGCATCAAGTATTGAAATCAGTGCTATGGATAAGTATTATGTGCAACCTAAAGACACAGAAGTTTAGTTCTCATTCATCTTGAAGTTTAATTTAATAATTCTTATAAAGTTAATATAAATTATGTGTGATAAAAGCTTAGAATTAGAAAGGATAGAAAATTTGTTGACATAAACATGAAAACTATGACCTTACAGTCAATCCAAGCAAAGTTTTCAGGTATTTGCAAAACCATGTACACCCAATTTTTAGAAAGTACAGTCTGAATCTATTTTCTTACATAATTTTGAGATGTATAAAACCAAAATTTGGTCAAATTAATAAAAAAGAGAAATCCTAAACAGTACTTATTATCTCTAGATATGTGACTGTCTAAACAGCTGCCAAAATTCAGAATTCAAAGCTAAAGATTGAGAGGATATGGTCATAAATCTACTACATACAAATGCTTTTCTTAACATTTGCTATCGTGTAATTATACTAAATTGTTTTCAAAGAGAAAACATCATGACCCTATATAAACAAGAGCCAAGAAATTGAGCTCCTGTTCAAGAAAATGCTCCTTTATTTAACATCAAAATTCTGGACATCTGGTTATGTCATGTGAATCTATTTTGTAATTCATGTCTGGCTCCTGCTATGTTTACAGCAGCCCAAGAAGAGTTAACCAATAAATTAATCTAATAGAATTATGTCTGGTCAGAGGTTTGTTCTGCAGGTGTGTGACTGGCATAATTTTTCTCAGAATAGATTTTAATTCTAAAAAGTGATGCATTGTTTTCATCCTAAGTCTTTATTTTCTAGACAGGAAAAAAAAGATAATGTTTCTTTATTCAACTATTATAACTGATTTTAAATTAATAGTGACTGTTTCTCTAGCATCTCCAAGAGGTAACCATGGTGAGCTATTAAGTAATAATCAATTTCATAATGAATAAAAAGTATATGGTATTAAATTAACCTATAACAACATTTAAATGATATAATAAAATAAACCCTTCACATTAGTTTATCTATCATACATGACTAATATGTTTCCAATTCTGTAACGAATCATTTACATGTATAATGTATAACATGAGAGATTAATGACCAAATATCATATTGTATTAGGATCAATACTATTTTACTGATGAGTAGACAAATAATATACTTTAGTGAATCAAACATTTACACTTCAGCAAACATAGTCACTGGGTTTAAATTTCAAATGGTAGTTAGTTCTAAAACATTCCTTTAAGAAATGTTTGTTTATCTTCAGAAAAAAATGTTGAACTAAAATCAGAAATCCTGGGTTTTAATTTTTGGGTATGCCACTAGTAACTCTGTGAGCTTGAGGAATTAAGTTCAATTCAATTCAATATCACTTCATTAAATATTTATGGAGCAACGTCCTTTGTGCAAGGATGGGAAGACAAAAACATATTTGAAAGCACAGGGTAGGAATCCAGTGGAGAACAAAAGATGAAAGATGCTAGCAAGAATAATTGACACAATAAGGGTCTAAGACAGGGAAGATAAGACAAAGAGCACAAATCTAGGAGTTAGTCCCTAAAGAAAAGGAGCAGGTCCTCCTATAAGATCAGAACAAAAAACGAAATGTAAACTAAAGACAGACAGAGTTTCAGGTAGAGAGAAAGCAAAGTAAGGGAACTCATACGAGATTGATTTTTATCTCAGAAAAGAAGGTGATGAAGCCATGTGCTGAGGTCAAAAGTCACTTGGGATGTTGAGGTAGTGGAGACAGTTAGAGAGAGTTTCAGTGAAGAATGCAATGAGGAGGGAAAATGAGGCATAAAAAAATTGCCTAGAAACACTAAGGGGTTGGCATCCATTAAGTAACAGGATTTTGTACTGGTCCCAACCAATAGAGTTTTTTGACTTTCTCCATCAAAACTGAAATAAAAACCAATGTATAAAGCATGGAACAAATCAGAATTTCCCAGCTCTCAATGTTGAAAACACAAAATGAGAAAAGACCAAAGAATGGATAGTGATCTTCCATTAAGTGGTGACTTGTAGATACTTTAGTTAGCAGTGGAATTATTGAAATTGTTTAATTATATTAAATTGTTTCTGAAAAGAAAGCACCATGACCCTATGTGAACCAGAAACTTCTTAGAAGTTATGATGTCTAAAGTAAGAAGAAAAATGAAGTTGGGGCTGGAAAAATGACCTGAAAATGTTGGGCATAGTGGCTCATGCCTGTAATGCCAGAACTTTGGGAGGCTGAGGCAGTGATCATCTGAGGTCAGGAGTTCAAGACCAGCTTTGCCAACATGATGAAACCCTGTCCCTACTAAAACTAGAAAAATTAGCTGGGCGTGATGGTAGCACCTGTAGTGCCAGCTACTCTGGAGGCTGAGGTGGAAGAATTGCTTGAACCTGGAAGGCGGAGGGTGCAGTGAGACAAGATCATACCACTGCACTCCAGCCTGAGTGACAGAGTGAGACCCTGTCTCAAAAAAAAAAAAAAAAGAAAAGAAACAAAGAAAGAAAAAGAAAAAGAAAAAAATAGAAAAATTGCCTGAAAGAAATAAAAGTGATTATGAAACTATGCCTCCTATGCCTCATGGTGAAAGAAAAGAGGATGAGATTCAATGAACAGGAAAGTTAAATACCCAGGGTTTGGGCACAACAGAATTTCAAAATTTAAAAAAGGTTTACGAATAGAATTACTAGGTCTAGAGCAGCAATTCTCAAACCACCATCAGGAGCAACTCTGCAGCTTTGCAATATTATCGATTCCCAGACCCTATCAAGAATTTCAGGGGTAGGAACTGTACATCTGTATGGTTAAAAAAATAACACAAAGATTCTGATGCATAACCAAGTGAGTATTACTGGTCTGGATGAATTCTAACTTCAGAATTCTTCTACTTTATAATTAATGAATAAAATAATAAGAACCCCAACTCCCACAGTATTGTAGTCAAGGGGAACCTAAGCTGGTGAGGAAACATTCTGCAGGACTCCCTGGAGTTGAGGTCTCTGAACAAGGCAGAACTGAGAAGTCAAGAAGATTACATTGGTGGCAGTTTCCGTTTTCCACACATCTTCCCATTAACCGTGCCACTACTTTTATTTACCCAACTTATATCTAAGGCTTTTCTTTGTTATTACAATTAACAGAAGCTACATATATCAACAAACATTAAGCGAAAGGAAAGGTTTTATTAATGGATGATGTGGTTTGGCTCTGTGTCCCCACCAAAATCTCATCTTGAATTGTACTACCATAATTCCCATATGTTGTGGTAGGGACCCAGGGGGGATAATTTGAATCATGGGAGCGGTTTCCCCCATACTGTTTTCATAAGTCTTATGAGATCTGATGGTTTTATCAGGGGTTTCCACATTTGCGTCTTCCTCATTCTCTCTTGCCACCACCATGTAAGAAGTGCCTTTCACCCTCCGTCATGATTGTGAGACCTTCCCCAGCTACATGGAACAGTAAGTTCAATTAAACCTCTTTTTCTTCCCAGTCTCTGGAATGTCTTTATCAGCAGTGTGAAAATGGACAAATACAGTAAATTGGTACCAGTAAAGTGGAGCGTTGCTGAAAAGATACCCAAAATTGTGGAAGAACTGGGTAACAGGCAGAAGCTGGAACAATGTGGAGGGCTCAGAAGAAGATAGGAACATGTGGGAAAGTTTGGAACTTCCTAGAGACTTGTTGAATGACATTTTGTCAAAATAAAAATGCTAGTAGCGACATGAACAATAAGGTCCAAGCTGAGGTGGTCTCAGATGGAGATGAGGAACTTGGGAACTGGAGCAAAGGTGATTCTTGTTTGTTTTATCAATGAGAATGGCAGCATTTTGCCCCTGCCCTAGGGATGTATGGAACTCTGAACTTGAGAGAGATGATTTAGGGTATCCCATGGAAGAAATCTGTAATCAGGAAAAGATTCAATAGGTGACTTTGGTGCTGTTAAAAGCATTCAGTTTTATAAAAGGGAAACGGGATAAAAGTTTGGGAAATTTGCAGCTTGACAATGCAATAGAAAAGAAAATCCCATTTTCTGAGGAGAAATTTAAGCTGGCTGCGGAAATTTGCATAAGTAATGAGGAGCTGAATGTTAATCCTCAAGACAATGGGAAAGAGTCTCCGGGGCATGTCAGAGATCTTCATGGCAGCCCCTCCTATCACAAGTCTAGAAGAAAATGGTTTTATGGGCTGGGCCCAGGGTCCCTGTATTGTGTGCAGCCTAGGGACTTGGTGCCCTGCTTCCCAGCCACTCCAGCCATGGTTGAAAGGGACCCATGTAGAGCCCAGGCCATGGCTTCAGAGGACCAAGTTTTGGCAGCTGCCATGTGATATTGAGCCTGTGAGTGCACAGAGGTCAAGAATTGAGGTTTGGGAAACTTTACCTCAATTTCAGAAGATGTATGGCAATGCCTGGATGTCCAGGCAGAAGTTTGCTGTGGGGGCAGGGCACTTCATGGAAAACCTCTGCAAGGGCAGTTCAGAAGGAAAATGTGGGGTCAGAGCCCCTTCACAGAGTCCCTACTGGGGCACCACTTAGTGGAGCTGTGAGAAGAGGGCCACCATCCTCCAGACCTCAGAATTGTAGATCCACCAACAGCTTGCACTGTGTGCCTGGAAAAGCTGCAGACATTCAATGCCAGCCTGTCAAAGCAGCTGGGAGGGAAGCTATACCCTGCAAAGCCACAGGGGCAGGGCTTTTCAAGATCATAGGAACTCAACTGTTGAATCAGCATGACCCAAATGCAAGACATGGCGTGAAAGGAGATCATTTCGGAGCTTTAAGATTTGACTTCCCTGCTGGAGTTTGGACTTGCATAGAGCCAGTAGCCCCTTTGCTTTGGCCAATTTCCCACATTTGGAATGGCTGTATTTACCCAATGCCTGTACCCCCATTGTATCTAGGAAGTAACTAACTCACTTTTGATTTTACAGGCTTATAGGTGGAAGGGACTTGCCTTATCTCAAATTAGACTTTGGACTATGGACTTTTGATTTAATGCTGAAATGATTTATGACTTTGGGGGACTGTTGAGAAGGCATGATTTGTTTTGAAATGTGAGGACATGAGATTTGGAGGGTCCAGGGGCAGAATGATATATTTGGCTCTATGTCCCCATCCAAATCTCATCTTGAATTGTTCTACCATAATTCCCACATGTTGCAGGAGGGTCCCAGTAGAAGATACTTTGAATCTTGAGGGTGGTTTCCCCCATACTGCTCTCATGGTAGTGAATAAGTCTCACAAGATCTGATGGTTTTATTAGGGGTTTCTACTTTTGCATCTTCCTCATCCTCCCTTGCCGCTACCATGTTAAGAAGTACCTTTCGCCTCTGCCATGACTGTGAGAACTTCCCCAGCCATGTGGAATTGTAAGTTCAATGAAACATCTTTTTCTTCCCAGACTTAGGTAAGTCTTTATCAGCAGCATAAAAATGAACTAATACAATGGGAGTGCAGGGGTGCCTAATTGAAGGCTGAAACCAAAATGCAGGTTGGCCTTTGGAGTTTGCTTATCAGGCAGGCCAACAGTACACTCCAATATTCATAAGAGCTTCTCTTCGTGTGTCTGTTCTGTTATCTCTTTTTGTAGGTCAACTTTATTGATCATCCAGTCAGTATAATAAAAATAGTATCTCAGAATTCCAGGGTTTATATATTACATATTCAACTCTTTGGAGAAAATAACCATTATTTATGCTTCCTGTTTAGAGTTGTAAGAAGAACATACCTCCCCAAGTTTACCCATCTTTGTATTGGCTCAGGTCATGGGAAGGTAACATACAAAATGAAGAGTAGGTTCCTTATTCTGAATGAAGGGAGCAGTTGTGAGAGGCTCTATGTACTGGGCACTACCCCATAATGGACTTTTGTCAATACCTAACACATACAACTTAACAATGTGATAAAAGAATAATATTATTATAGTTTAGATAAAGAACTGCTCATGTCATGTTTATATTTTCTAGCATATTATTTATTTCTGTGCAAGTATAGGATATGCTATTAATTATAACAAAGGCATTAACACATGTATTTGAATTTATAGTCCAATTTTCCTTAGCATTAATACAACCATTAAGAAAACAGAAAATATTTGAGATTAAAAAACACATCACAAAGCCTATATGCTACATTGTATCTCAAAAGAAAATTACCTCATTATTTATCTACTTGTAATTTACTTCTCTTTTAGACATAATTCTATAGAACTTCACAACCTCAGAGCAGAGTTGGTAGTTAGGGTTGATTATGACTGTCAGAGTCAGGACCATGCCAGTTGTAAGAAATATCAGAGCCTGACATGAAGGAGATAAAACAAGATAAAAGGTGGAGAAAAAGTTTTCCAAATCTCAGTGCGTCATTATGCTACAACACAATTATTATTATGATTGTAATTAATTATCATTTATTGAGTCATTTAAGTGTTCTAAAAATACTTTAAATGTATTATCCCAAGTAATCCTACCCTTATTTTGTAGGCACTATCATTAGTTCTACTTTACAGTCAATAAAACCACAGAGAATTTAATTAGCCTAACAAAGGTCACCCCATGTAAGTGGGTACATCAAACTTTAGAACCAAGAAAGTGTTATTCTAAAGACTATTTTTAGACAATTATAATAAAGACATTATTATTGACAATCTAAAATGGTCAAGAAAATATAATATTTTGTTTAAAACCATAGATCTAAATGCAAAACAAAATCTGTAAAATATCTAGAAGATAATATGTGAGAAAATATAGATGACTTTGGGTTTGGCAATGACTTTTTAGATACAACACCAAAAGTACAGTCTAGGGAAGAAAAATTGATAAATTAGACTTCATTAAAATTAAACATTTCTGCTCTGTATAATACTGGTATTAAAGACTATTAAGAGAATACAAAGACTCAGAGGTAATTTCAAAACACTTATCTGATAATCCATAATATACAAAGAACAATTAAAGCTCAACAATCAGAAAATTAACAACCCAATTAAAAAAAAATGGGCAAAAGATACAAACACCTCAAAATCTGAAACAGTGACAATGCCAAATACTAGAGAAGATGTGGAGCAATAGGAATTCTTATTCATGGTTGGTTGGAATGTAAAATTGTGTCACCCCCTTGGAAGACAGTTTTACAATGTTTTACAAGGCTAACCCTACACTTACAATACAGTTTAGCAGTTGCACACTGTATTAGTCCATTCTCATGCTGTTAATAAAGACATATCCAAGACTGTGTAATTTATAAAGGAAAGAGGTTTCATTGACTCACAGTTCAGCATGGCTGGGAGGCTTCAAAAAACTTACAGTCATTGCAGAAGTAGAAGCAAACATGTCCTTCTTCCCATAGCGACAGGAAGGAGAATGAATGTCCAGTGAAGGAGGAAACCCCTTATAAACCATCAGATATTGTGAGAACTAACTTGCTATCATGAGAACAGGATGGGGAAACCACCCTCATCATACAATTATCTCTACTTGGTCCCTCTCACAACATGTGGGGATTATGGGAACTAAAATTCAAGATGAGATTTGGGTAGGGACACAGCCAAACCATGTCATTCCACCCTAGCCTCTCCCAAATATTATGTCTTCACAATTCAAAACTCAATCATGTCCTTGCAACAGTTCCCTAAAGGCTTAACTCATTCCAGTATTAACTCAAAAGTCCAAGTCCAAAGTTTTATCTGAGACAAGGCAGTTTCTTTCCACCTATGAGCCTGTAAAATCAAAAACAAGTTAGTTACTTCCAAGATACAATGGAGCTACAGGTATTGGGTAAATACACCCATTTCAAATGGAAGAAATTGGCCAGAACAAAGGAGCTAGAAGCCCCATGCAAGTCCGAAATCTGACAAAGCAGTAATTAAATCTTTTTTTTTTTTTTTTGGTCTGGTGTTTTACACGGTCTGTCCATCAAAATTCCCCTTTTCAGTCTGGCAGTAATTAAATCTTAAAGCTTCAAAATAATCTCTTTGACTCCATGTCTCACATCCAGGTCACACTGATGCAAGAGGTGGGCCCCCAGGGCCTTTGGCAGCTCCCCTGCTGTGGCTTTGCAGGGTACAGGCCCCCTCCTGCCTGTTTCACAGGCTGGTGTTGAGTGTCTGCAGCTTTTCCAGGCATGCAGTGCAAGCTGTTGGTGGATCTACCACTCTGGGGTCTGGAAGATGGTGGTCCTCTTCTAAAAGGTCCACTAGGCAGCACCCTAGTGCAGACTCTGTGGGGGGCCCTGACCCCATATTTCCCTTCTACATTGCCCTAGCAGAGGCTCTCTATGAGGTCTCTGCCCCTGCAGGAGACTTCTGCCTGGACATTCAGACATTTCCATACATCCTCTGAAATCCAGGTAGAGGTTCCCAAATTTTAATTTTTCTCTTCTGCACACATGTAAGCCCAACAACACATGGAAGCTGCCAAGGCTTGGGTTTGCATCCTCTGAAACAATGGCCTGAGCTGTACCTTATTCCCTTTTAGTCATGGCTGGGTCAGCTGGGACACAGAGCACCAAGGCTCTGAGGCTGCACACAGTAAAAGGAATCTGGGCCCAGCCCAGGAAGCCATTTTTTCCTCCTAGGTCTCCTGGCCTGTGATGGGAGGGGCTGCTGCTAAGGTCTCTGACATGTCCTGGAGGTATTTTCCTTATTGTCTTGGTGATTAGCATTTGGCTCCTCGTTACTTATGCAAATTTCTGCAGGGGGCTTGAACCTCTCCCCAGAAAATGGGTTTTCTCTCCTACTACATTGTCAGTTTGCAAATTTTCTGAACTTTTATGCTCTGTCACATCTTGAAAGCTTTGCTGCTTAGAAATTTCTTCTGCCATATACCCTAAATCATCTCTTTCAAGTTCAAAGTTCCACAGATCTCTAGAGCAGGGACAAAAAGTTGCCAGTCTCATTGCTAAAGCATAGCAAGTGTCACCTTTGCTCAAGTTCCCAGGAAGTTCTTCATCTCCATCTGAGACCACCTTAGCCTGGACTTCATTGTCCATATCACTATCATTTTGGTCAAGACCATTCAACAAGTGTCTAGGAAGTTTCAAACTTTCCCTCACCTTCCTGTCTTCTGAGCCTTCCAAATCTCTAGGAAGTTCCAAAATTTCCCACATTTTCCTGTCTTCTTCTGAGCCCTCCAAACTGTTCCAACTTCTGCCTATTATCCAGTTCCAAAGTCACTTCCACATTTTTAGGTATCTTGTCAGATGCACCCCACTTTCTGTGGTACCAATTTACTGTAATTAGTCAATTTCCACACTGCTAATAAAGACATACCCAAGACTAGGTAACTTATAAAGGAAAGAAGTTTAGTTGACTCACAGTTCACCATGGCTGGGGAGGCCTCAGAAAACTTATAATCATGGCTGAAGGGGAAGGAAACATGTCCTACTTCACATGGCAGCAGGAAGAACTGCTGAGCAAAGAGGGAAAAGCCCCTTATAAAACCATGAGATCTCATCAGAACTCACTCACTATCATAAGAACAGCAGCATGGGAGTAACTGCCCCTATGATTAAATTACCTCCCACCAGGTCCCTCCCACAACATGGGGGGATTATGGGAACTACAATTCAAGATGAGATTTGGGTGGATACACAACCAAACCATATCACATACCTTGGTATTTAGCAAAATGAATTGAAAACTTATGTCCACACAATAAGCAGAATATAATAGCAGCTTTATACATAATTGCCAACCATGAAATTATCCAAGATGTCCTTTGATAGGTGAATACATAAACTTTGGTACATTCATACAATAAAATATTATACAGCAATCAAAAGACATGACCAACCAGATACAAAAATACATGGAGAATCTTAAATGCCTATGGCTAAGTGGAAGAAGTTAATCTGAAAAGGCTACATACTATGTGATTTTAACTACATGGCAGTCTAGAAAAGGCAAAATTATAGAGACAATAAAAAAAGATCAGTAGTTGCCAGGTGGTTGACAAAGGAATGGGAGGGAAGAATAAGGAAAGCATAATGTATTTTTATATTGTTTAAATAATTTATTTATTGTTGAAACACTATAAAAGGGAGCAAACACTATAATTATTAACTTTAAACTTATTCTTAATTATATGGTAGGCATTAAGCAGGCGCTTTGTGTCTAAAAATTAGTAACATTCCTTAGTTTAAAAAGCAATTCCAAAGCTGAAAATCTTTCAACTGCCATAGACATTCATGAAATAAATATTTATTTATAATATCATGAAAGCTACACCTTTTCAGATGTCACTATCAAACTAAATAGCCTAGATGTCCTTGATAAATTTTATGAATTTTATGTTTCATATTCTCTTGCCACAGCCAATGGGATTGGCATGAAATACAAGCTGCTAGCAGGGATCTATGCTGAACAATTAAGATGGGCAAAGCACAGGGCAAGAAGGATCACTGCTATGATCACGGCCAAGTACACAGCATTGATCTCAAGATGTGTTTGAAGAGTGAGCCAAGAGGTTGTTCAGGAATAAAAGAGAAGATGGGTTTGGATAAAAGGATTTTGATGCCTTGGAGCAAACTGATAAAACATTTCCATCGTTAACTTTTGGCTTCAGATGTATGTCTTCAACAAGGAGGTCTCAGTTTCCCTCTAGTAATTCCATCCTTTAATAAAAACATTTATTTATTTATTTATTTATTTATTTATTTATTTATTTATTTATTTGAGACGGAGTCTTGCTCTGTCGCCCAGGCTGGAGTGCAGTGCTGCAATCTTGGCTAACTGCAAGCCCTGCCTCCTGGGTTCACGCCACTCTCCTGCCTCAGCCTCCAGCGTAGCTGGGACTACAGGCGCCCGCCACCACACCTGATTAATTTTTTTGTATTTTTAGTAGAAATGGGGTTTCACCATGTTAGCCAGGATGGTCTCAATCTCCTGATCTCATGATCTGCCCGCCTGGGCCTCCCAAAGTGCTGGGATTACAGGCATGAGCCACCATGCCCAGCCAATAAAAACAAATTTTGAGGGGTTGGTATCCAAAAGCATTTCCCTTCTTTCCTTCTTTTCTTCTTTCCTTCCTTCCTTCCTTCCCTCCATCTTTTCTTCCTCCTTCCCTCTCTTCTTTTTTCTTTCTTTTTATACTTTCTTCTATTCTTTCTGTTTTTCTTTCAAGGTCATTCACTAATTGACTGTCTTATGATGGCTCTGCTAAGCACCCAATTTATAACAATAGAGACACAAAGAAATACTGAGTTGTAAGTGATAGAGATATAGAGAGACAGAGATGTTATAGAAATGCATTAAAGGCAAGGGTGTCCAAAGTTTTGGCTTCCCTGGACCACTTTGGAATTCTCTTGGGCCATACATAAAATACACTAACACTAACGGGAGCCAATGAGCTAAAGAAAAGGATTCATGGTTTTCATTATATCCACCACCACAGATAAGCAAAAAAGTCCTTGCATTCAAAGAGTTAGACACAACTGCTAAAAGAACTTAATCTAGAGTCCTTGAGTCTTGAAGAACAGAATGAGCTATCATATGTGTGGGCAGGGAAGGGTGGGGAGGATAAAAAGGGTGAAAGAAACCACTTCAAGTAGAGAAAGAAACTTCTGCAAAAATATTTAAACAAGATTTGCTAAATATCACACATTTCCAATATAGTTAGAGCATATGTGTATAAAGTAGCTGAGAGATGAAGCTAAAGAAACAGTTAAAGATTAAGCAATAAAGTATCTTGTAATAAGAAATAGAAAGATATTGATATGGTTTGGTTGTGCTCCCACCCAAAAGCTCATCTTAAATTGTAACCCCCATAACCCCCAAGTGTCAAGGGAGAGACCAGATAGAGATATTGAATCATGGGGCAGTATCCCTCATGCTGTTCTTGTGATAGTGAGTGAGTTCTCATGAGATCTGATGGTTTTGTAAGTGTTTGGGAGTCCCTCCTGTGTTCATTCTTCTTCCTGCCACCTTGTGAAGAAGGTACCTTGCTTCCCATTCATCTTCCACCATGATTGTAAGTTTCCTGAGGCTTTCCCAACCATGCTGAACTGTGAGTCAATTAAACCTCTTTCCTTACTAAATTATCCAGTCTTGGGCAGTTCTTTATAGCAGTGTGAGAATGGAGTAATACAGATACAAAATTCAGTTATAATTAACTTGGCAGGGTCTAGAGAGAGACAAAGCATTGTGAAGTTCAAGGTTTGATAATAATAGTGACAAGTTAATTCAAGATTTATCCTGTGCAAGGCACTATACTTAGAAGGATATGCATAAAATGTCATTTAATTCTCACAAAAACACTATCAACAATAATCCTATGCCTATCACTATTGAAGAATGCAAGATGTTTAAGGATTATATTTCTTAATTTGTCACAAATATAGCACTAGTTGATTAAAACTCAGGTCTTCCTAACTTTAAAGTCACAGCCCTTAATGTAGTGATATGATAAGCCTGAAAAATGTATAGCTATATTCACTTTCACTTGAATATAGAACACGTATGTATTCATTTCTAAGTGATGTATAAATGTGCAAATATTTTCCAATTGCAGGTTAAAGGCAGAATTAGAGGCAGAACTTACATTTTTATATAGCATAGGTAAACTGAGATTATAAATTAGTGCAACTGATTTAAAAATAATTTAACTGTTTTCCCATTTGCCCTGAGAATACTTCCCAGTGCCACTTGCAGCTGCAGCATTTACCCCGCAATAAACTTGCCACAAAAATATCTCACTTTTATTATTAGTTTTGCATTGCTCTAGTATATTGACTTTGAGAACAGGAGACATCATTCTATTTATAGCATTCTGGTTTTGGTAGCAGTACTCCCATTTACAAATATAGTGATTCTTGATTGCTGAAAGTGTCAAATTCTAGAAAATGTGGCATTCCTGCGCATGATGTTAACATCATTCTCGAATACTTGTTTCATTTGATGAATCTGATTTTTCCAAAATAGATGATTCTGATGATTCAGACTATTCTGATGTTAGTTCTATTAAGAAATAACTCCAAGAACAATTTTTATATTTTATTTTCACATTGAAAATCAGTCAGATTTGCTTCAGCCTCAAAGCACATGTTTACGTAAAATTAAATGAGCTCTGGGAGTGAGCTACACATTTTGTTTTTTGTAAATGAAAAAAAGAGTTGAAATAAATAAAGCATAGGTGTGAATTACTTTGTGGAGACAATTGTTATTTGTTTCCATATTTTGGATTATAAGGGTTTCTTCTGAGTTTTTTAGTATGTTGCAGATTCTCTGACTGTATTATAGCTCCTCTATCTATATTTCCTATAAGTCCTTTTACATATTAAAAATAGAATTTATCAATTCCTAAATTATTGTAGCCAATATTGCTTTATATTTCCTACACCCCCAAATCCTGGCTCTTAGAACCTTTATCCAATCCCCATGATTCCGTGAGATTTTTCTAGGTTCCACTAAGCTGTTTCTGCCAGTCAGGTATGCAGGGGTCAATAAGGCAGCCAAAATCAAACATATAGTTAAAACTCTTTGTTTATTTTTCCTTTGGGCCTTATCTCTCTTGCTTTGAGACCCACCTATAGGACACCAACTTGTTCGGTTACTTTCAAAACAGATTATTATTACTTAATTAAAATTAATATATGTATGTATGTGCATACATATATGCACATATAAATAATATTATATTACTTACTTTTTCTTTTTTATGAATGAATGATTGATAAAATAATGCAATACCTTCAATTCCAGAAAATGGCATAGTTTTTTAACCTCTTGTGGATATGCTGCATGATCAGTCTATTACATAGGATTAATATAAGTTCATGCTATTTGTGTTATGGTGAAACAACATTAAAGAATCCAATTTAAATAGGTTGAAGTCTAAGTATAATAAAATAATCATTTAATATCATCAAACCTATATAAGACACATGTTTGAATCCATTATCTTGAGTCTTAACATGGTACCATAGTGCATTCATCTTGATTAGTTTCATTTCTATTACAATTTCTATTACAATGAAGAGATCCCCTACCTTTCTTAGCTCTCTGTTAGGTCTTCTCTTTTTCACCTTCTCTGTCTAGATTTCTGTTTCTTTCTTGATCTCTTGAAAGAACTGGAGAGGAACACAATTAGTGACATCCTGTTCTTCTGACCTGTTACTTTTTCAGTCCTCAGCAAGTATCCAAGAACTTGCGCCTTCGTGCTCTGACCTAGAGACCTCAGCTGTCTCTAGCGTCCTATCTGCCTTTGTGTTAGATGGTGGAAAACATCTCTCTCACAACCATAGTCATCCCTATCTCCATCATCATGGTCACTTGCATGTCTCTAGCACAGTTTCCCCAGCTAAGCCTTTTCTCCAGCCACCTTCAGGTATTACTGTAGATACTTCATGGAGTAGCTTCACTAGAGGAGAGTAACACAGTCTTTAGTATATGATATAACAAGTGTTTTTGTTTCACTGGTATAAATAGGATCAAATGTATTTTTCATTTACATGTCAATATTAGCAGTTCTTGTTAAGAGCTATGTTAACTTTTCTACTCTCTCTCAGAATACAGTCTGAAAAAACATTGATTGATTTGATATTCTGCAGCACATCACTCTGGTCTCATATATGGACACCATTATTGTAATTTTACCTGGTGAAATGTTCATGGACACGATCTTAAATGTCCTAGTAAGAAACGTTTATACTAATGAGTAGAAGGTAAACCCCTGAAACATTCAGGGACTGCTACTTGAATAAAACTTTTAGGGGCACAATGTTGTGAGGCAGGCCAGTACATTTCATCTAAGACAAAGCACAAGTCATCGCACATATATACCCTACCAGTATGAAAGGGGCACAGTGCGCTTCCTTGAGTTTTGTAGGCAGAATATACTGCACATTGAAATACTCCTCCAAACTGATTATCAAGGGATTCAGAAGTTACTTTTTTTAAGCAGCTGTTTAGAACAAGACCTACTGTGATTCAGATCCAGGCTGAGTTGTAACCTTTCTTGCCTCTTGAACCATGCAACCAGATAGATTTAATATGTTTAAACATTTTACTAGTAAAAAATTAAAAAAAAAATCTGTTTTTGGAATCTCTGGGAAGACCCAAGAGGGGAATCACATTAAGAACCCAAGGTTCTTAAACATCTGAAAATGTGTTTTATTTGAGGTAGTAAAATGGTTTTCATTTGAAAAGTCGATTTTAGAATTGTATGGAGTCATTGATGAAGATGAGTGTTTTATTATTGGTTATAACGTAATTCTAGAACTGCAGCTACCTATCATGTATCGGGTATATAGCAGTATTTTAAGAGCATAAATTTTTAAGAGTTCAACATATACTGCCTCACCTGAAAGCAGCCACTCTTCTAGAATATGTGAATGGCCTTTTAAAGTTTCTACTTAGGGACCAACTCAGGGACTATGCTTTATGGGGTTGAGGTGCCGTACCCCAGGATGAAATATAGACATTGAAACAACCGTTCCCACAATATGCAATAGACTGAATTGTGCTCCCATCCCCACCGCATCCCCCAATTTATATGTTAAAGCTCTAATATCAATGTGATTAAATTTGGAGACAAGGCTTTTAAAAGGTAATTAAGGTTACATAAAGTCATAAGGGCAGAGTCCTAATTCTATAGGAACTGTGGCCTTATAAGAAGAAACAGAGATATCTCTCTTTCCACATGCATGCCCTGAGGAAAGGCCAGGTGAGAACACAGGGAGACTGTGGCCGTATGTAAGCAGAGAGCTCTCACCAGGAACTGAATCAGTGGGCAACTTGATTGTGTACTTCTGAAACCGTCTTTGCAAAATTATGACTGAGACACTGAAAGAGATCAACTTAACTGACTCCGTCTTGCTTCTAACCTCCAAGCTGTCCTTGTTCTTTCCTGGGCCTAGGCTGAACTAACTTTGGGAGAAACTTAGTTTATAGTTTAAACAAAGACGGTAACTTAGTTTAGTTTAAACAAAGATGGCAACAGCCCTTTCCCAAAGCAGTCCTCCTTCTTGCCTAGGAACTAGATTGCCTTTGTAGGACTAATATTCACCATAAGATCAGAAATTACAGTTTAGGAGTCATGCAGCTGGAGGCTACAAGATTCTGACCCTCCCTAAGCTGCTCCTAAGATCAGTGCTTGAGATATTTTGCAGACCCTGCACTTGATGGATCAGCTGGCCCCACCCAGATCGATAAACAGGCTCATCTGATCTTGTGACCCCCATACAGGAACTGCCTGGGTGCAAGAAGACAGCTCTAACTCCCTATGATTTCATCTCTGATCAAGCACTCCTGGATCACTGGCTTCCCCCACCCACTAAGTTATCCTTAATAACTGTGGTCCCCAAATGCTTGGGGACACTGATTTGAGTAATAATAAAACTCCAGTCTCCCACACAGCAGGCTCTGCGTTAATTATTTCTCTATAGTGATTCCCCCGTCTTGAGAAATCGGCTGTTTAGGCAGTGGGTAAGGTGAACCCATTGGGCAGTTACACTTCTGAACCTTGTGAACTGTGAGAAAATTAATTTCTATGGTTTAATCCACCCAGTCTATGGTATTTTGCTATGGCAACCCAAGAAGACTAAGACAAAAGGACTGAAGTTTCTCTATAAAGCAATTAATAGTGAATGAGTAATTGCAGCAACCACATACTTAAAAAGGCAAGGCAACCAAGAGCCTTCTCAGGGAAGGTCTAATTCACTCCACCGGGAAAGCTACCTACATGCACCAGAGGAAGTGCCAGCTGGAGGGGAGATAAATCTGGAATGGTTGTGGAGAAGATTAATGACAATTATTAAATATAATTAAATATAATTTATGGATCAGCTGTAGCAGTAAGGATTATAACTTGTCAAATAACTCTTTGATCTTAAGTCCTTTTGGGAGATTGCCACTGGGTTTTATTTGAAGGGTTAGTAAGAGAATGGAATAAATACATGCAGCATAAGTAGATCTGAGAAATAAGCAGGGAGGGACTGGGGCACAGGCTTTTGATGCTTCCCGTCACATCACCTTGACCCACCCCAATGTCACTTGCAGTTCCCATGTACTCTGACAAAATTTCACCTTCTGTGCCTACCAATTCTTTCTACTTTTTTTGCCTCAAGTTTATCTGAAACCACAAGTGCTCACTTAGGCTTACTGAAGCCAGTCAGGTGTTGAGTCACAGAGGCGTTAACACCCTTGGATACAAGCCACAACCAATAAGTAAATGCTCCATTCTCTTCTATTTCTGAAGTGGCAATTCTGAGGTGTGTTGTATTGAGTCCTCAGAAGACCCCCCAGTGAGACAAATACACAGTTGTTCACAATGATAAGAGCACAATAGAGCTCCCTTTGCTAGTTTTCTTTCTTCCTTGTTTTATACCTCCACCCCTCCTTTACACCTGCTCCTCAAAACAAATGCCTGCATCTGAGTCCTTCTCTCAGGCTCTGGTTTTGGAAGAAACCCAACTAAGACCATTAGAATATTAATCTTCAAGAATCTAAATGTAGGCTTGGTGTGGTGGCTCACGCCTGTAATCCCAGCACTTTGAGAGGCTGAGCCAGCACATCCTGGCTGACATGGTGAAACCCCGTCTCTACTAAAAAAATACAAAAAATTAGCCAGGCGGGTTGGTGCGTGCCTGTAGTCCCAGCTACTCGGGAGGCTGTGGCAAGGGAATCACTTGAACCCCGAGAGGCAGAAATTGCAGTGAGCCGAGATGGTGCCACTCACTGCACTCCAGCCTGGTGACAGAGCAAGATTCCATCTCAAATAATAATAATAATAATAATCTAAATGTAAATTAAATGATATCTCCCCTCCACCTTTGTAAAATAAAATGAAAGAAAGATGTTGTTTAGACTAGAACTTCATCATTAACTATAAATTTGAACTCTTCAAATGTTAGAGACAAGCTTATATTACTTCATATTGGCAAAACTGGACTGGAGGCCTTCTTTTGGAATGTTAGGAGAACATTGAAGCATTTCTGCCAACTCGAAGAATAGGGTTATATCATTTAACTCTTCTTTAATGAAATCTATAGATCAGTTTTTGGCTCCAGGATCTAGTATTCTTAATAGAAAGGTTATAATTCAGTAGTTGCCTAGGGAGCCTGTATTTCCTCAGCTTACTTATGACTCTGTTTCATAGCAGCATTGTTAACGCATGGCACAACCAATAAATGTCCTGCTCCCTCTCTGTAGCACAGGAGTACTCTCAGGATACCTAATGTATTTAGAATATGTATAAGCACTAAATATAAAAATGATATAAATGTATATTGATTGTTTATGAAATTATTATAATTGTGATTGTAAAATTCTTACAAATCCCTAAAGCAGGTACCCATAAGGAACATTTGTACTTAGGGCATTTGTTTCTGTACCAATCTAGATATTAGAAATAATTCCTCTAATAGTTTCCTCTTTACAGCCTTGTCAGAGCCTCAACCTGTGAGGTTAGCCGTTTTATGGCCTTTTAGTACACATTGTTGTTGCACTCCTTTTATCACTGGAAACTTACCACTTATGAAGACAGTTATATAGCTAATATATTCTATTCAGCACTCATTTGCTACTCCCCTACAATTTTTTTTCCTGCACCTGTCAACCAACAAAGTAGTTAATGAACTTACATCCTTGGCTCAAGTTCTGCTTCTGGGAGAACCCAACAAAGACAACAATTTTCAACACAACACCATTGGTCCCATAACCAGGCCACATGTGAATGAATGTGTAAAAACAGGTGTTCAGTACACAGACAGCAAGTGACATACAATGTACTCATAAAAACCTGAACTTATCAGATTTTTCTTTCAGAAAAGTGAACTGAAATTGAAAGATTATACAAATAGATCTCCCCAAAACCCTTATTGGTCAAGGACAAACCAACACTAGGAGTATTGTTGGATAACTTATAAGAAACTATTAGTAGGCAGAAACTGAAATAAATAAGAGAAAGTAAAAAATAGATAAGAGAGATAGAAACACAGAGAGATAAGAGTAAAGAGAGAGGAAAAGACAGTGAGAATAAGAGGAAAAAATCTTTCAGGTAAAAAGGGAAAAAGAATCAGGTAAAAGGAGAATATTATTGATGTTTTTATTTTGCCTCAAACTCCAATATAGCTCAGGATGGCTGTTACTGATCCTGTCTTTTCTTAAAACTTTGATATTTTGTTAACAGCCATAAAGAAACACAAGTCATATACCCTAGTCTAATGTGAAGCATGAAAATATTCACATCATTGCATTTTACCTCCATTCTTATTGAACTGTTTTAAAACCCCTAAGAACTACCTCTATGGGCAGGAAAGCACCATTGTTTCATAGTGTTTTACATTTCTCATTCACTTATTCATTCATACATGAATTCATGCATGCTTTTAACTCATTCCTTTAACAAACATTTTTGAGCTCTTGCCATTACTCACAGCAATGAAACACAATAAATAATCTATTCAATCTATTCTACTATTTTAGTGAGAAAAGACAGATGATAAACAAATAGATACATAATATGACAAGTGGTCATAAGTGCTGCTTAGATACTTTTCTTAAAAACCTAAAGATATTTATGAAAGTTGTTTTAAACCCCTTGTCTGCTGCAATTGTTAGTATATTTAGGTATATTGAGGGAAAGACATGAAATATGATGGAAATTAGCACTAGCTTTTGTCATGTAAGAATTATACCTGATGCCAATGACATTCCCTATGTTACTTCTGGGACTCAGGAGAGGAAAGGGAACATTCTTAATTTTATTACTAGAGCCACAATAATTATTTGGGATGCTACTTGATTCAGTATGTTTATAATTTTTCATTACCTTGGAGTATATTATATTGACTATGATACCTAATATTAGGATTATGGATTTTTTTTTTGAGACGGAGTCTCACTCTGTTGCCCAGGCTGGAGTGCAGTGGCATGATCTCGGCTCATTGCAACCTCCACCTCCTGGGTTCAAGCGATTTTCCTGTCTTAGCCTCCTCAGTAGCTGGGATTACAGAAGCCTGCCATCATGCCCGGCTAATTTTTTTTATTTTTAGTAGAGATAGGGTTTCACCATGGCCAGGCTGGTTTTGAACTCCTGACCTCAAATGATCCAGCTGCCTCGGCCTCCCAAAATGCTAGGACTGCAGGTGTGAGCCACCATGCCCAGCCAGGATTATGGATGTTAAGTCATTCCTTCAATAAGTATTTTTGAACTCTTGGTAAGTACTTACAGCAATGAAACACAATAGATAAGTTAATCTATTCAAAGACATGCTATTCTAGCGAGAAAGGACAGATTATAAACACATAGATATATACTATGGCAAGTGGAATGAGTACTGCTTACTCTTTAAGAATCTAAATATATTTATAAAATTTATTTTAAAGCCCTTGTCTGCTACATTTGTTAGTAGTATATTTAGGTCTATTATATGTGAGGTTATGCTGAGGTGTGTTTCTGTTTTATTATCTATTATGAGTCCCAATTCTCACTTCTTATGTCTACTTATATTTATTAATATATTGGAAACCATCAATGTCGTATTTAAGTCACTTTAGATTATGTTGTCTCTCTCTAAAAGGTATTGAGTTTCACACTAATAGGAAAATAAATTGCTAGTGATTCCTTTTGATTCTGTCAAGTTTGCCTTTTTTCTTTGACAGAGTGGATCTACACTGATTTCATGCCTAGTCCTAGGGTGTGTTTCTTACTACTAAAGCACAGTCTTTCTTGGGGTTTGACAGCATGCCCAATGTAATTAGTGAAGTCACTTTAGTCTGGCTGGGCTGGAACTCCAATTCAACTTCTGATATCTCTATTATGCCATCACTGCTGCAACAGCTGTTCCCTGGTAGGCCTCATAGAGTTTCACTTTGCCCACTTACAGCCCAGCTTTTGACCAAGAACATGTGGGAATCCTTGTGTAAACTTATGGACCCTTATCCAGCACTTGCACATCTCCCTCCTTCCTATTCTTTGCCCTGCAAATCCAGCCACTTCATTAGCTCAGAAGTTTAATCTCTGCCTTTTCAAATAAGTTTGAGCACCTTAATCTTCTTGCAATCTTACTACTTGCATTATAATTAGGAAAATGTATCAAGAAGGAAGTTTATGCAACTGGGAAGTTTACTGATTTTTTTTTCTCTTCTCTTAAAAATCAAACTTTTGTATGTCCTATTTTTCATTGGCAGGGGAAGAATTTCCTTGTGCATTTTGTCTGTTTTATGGTTGGATACAAGATGAAGGAAAATTTAATATCAGTCGTGTCATAGAGAACAGTGCACATTACAGACATGACATACTAAAAAGTAAAATTTTTATCTATTTGATTGTAGCACAATCTATGTGTTAATAGACCACAGTACTTTTCAAGAAAAACATAAATATTAATACTTAATTTTAGCAGTCAGAATTTATTATAGTTCTGTTAGCAATCATTTCCTGATGTCTTTTCCCTGAGACCAGAGATGACTTATTTGTCACTTGCGAAAAGGTCAAGATTTAAATACCCTTTGTTGCTTTTGTTTATATTGGTATTCTTTTTAATATGTAGATAAGAAATACTTGCAACTTTGAACCATGTTGTCTCCGAGTTTTTGCATTGTCTGTATTCTCCTATTCTTTCATCTCTGTTGCAGCTTTTCTCATTTTCCCTCCCTTAGTTCTTTTCTCAATTCAAGTCCTTTTATATTCTTGTCAGTAGCAACTAAAGCATCCTAAGAGCATTCTATCCCAATCTCCTCATCTATAACCATAAGTTCACTTGGTATATTTTACTGGTTATTATAATTGACAGCTACACCAAATATTTTACTACTCATATCATATGTTGTCATATTTCATATCAAATCCCAATAATAGTTTTCTTATCATTGTCCACCTGTCCTTGAAATCAAATCCAAATAATTTTTTGTTAGTGTTTTTATATCAACATCCCACTCCTAGTACTAATTTCTGTATCAATAAGCTTTTTAATATAATGTTTCTTTAACACACAATTCAAAAATTTCCTTTTTTTAACAATAAATTTCTCTTGTATCCAGTGTGCACCAGCTACATGTTAGCTGCAGTTCCCCTCTATGTTTTCTTTAGGATCCAGTATGAAACACCAGCACTTATTTGTGACTACTGCATTATGATGTGGCAAAGAGAAGATAGATGATGAAATTGGGCAATGGTTATTTAAACTTCTGTTTAGAAGTAAAAAAAAAAATCACCTATACTCATGGTTCATCTTTCAAATTAAATAATATGTCCAAGTCTGACATAAGAGAGATGAAAAGTACAATCCTCACCCAGCAGGAACCCTGTGGTGAAGGACTTTGAAGGAAGGAAGGAAGGAGCCCATACAGAGAGACAATGTATATTTTGACATTAATTCAATACATCACATCAGATTTATGTTTCAGAAATATCTCTTTGGTTACTGTGTTGGGACTACATTTTAAGAAGTCAAGGTAGAAGCAAGGAAACCTACTAAAAGACTAGTTTAATAATCCAGGTAAGACATAGTGGTAGCCTGAAATAGAGCTGTGGTGGGACTTGAACAGGAGGTTGGTTTCTGGATATGGATATGTCAGCAGGATGTATTGATTGCTTATTTGTTGGGCATGAGAGAAAAACAGAAGACAAGAGTGATTTGAAGGCTTATACATTGGCCTAGATTTCATACTATCCAGAGTTAGCCAAACTATGAGGTTTGAGAGCAAAACTCTCAAGAATTCCCTTACTTCTGAGGCCAACTACAAGTTTGGAGAGTTCCCCAATCCGCCCTCAGATTTGACAGTTTGCTAGAAAGACTGACAGAATTCACTGGGAAGCTTTAAAGTACTTATAGTTATAGTTTAGTATGGGGAACAGAAACAGATCAAAATTTGTCCAAGGAAGAGCATAAGGCAGAGGGTTCCAAATGCAGAGCTTTCATTGTCCTTTTGATAAAGCTGGAATGTGCTCCCCTCCCAGCACATGCCAGTGAGGGAAAATCACCTGAGCCTTCGTGTTCAGAGATGTGTTTTTTGTTGTTGTTGCTTGCGGGGGAGGTGGAGGGTGGTTGTGGTCCTTTTTATAGGCATGGTTGATTGATTGCTTACATGTTTTTTTCAGTCTCCAGATTGACTGGTAACATGTGAACCAAATCCCCTATCCTCAACAATTAGTTTGTCTTTCTGGTGTAGGCAGCCCCCGCCATATAAGCCAATGTGGTCAGCCCCTTACCTAAAAAAAAATACTCTTATCTAGCATGTTATACATTACCAGCTAGAAGCCAAGGACAAAGGAAAGTTCTGGTTTTGGGTAAGGTCAAATTCTTTAATACACACATGCCTATTTTCAAACGAATTATTATGGCCAGGGAGACTGGATTGTCCTGTGTTTTTAGACCCATCATTGGTTTCTAGACCAACCACTCTCAAAGTAGAGTGCATTGATTCTACGAAATGCACTTCTGCAACACAAGGTGACAGTGGAATACATCTTGTTGAGATTTATACCAAAAGACTTTCCTGAGGAGGTGAAATTTAATCTGAGTCCTAAAGAATAAGAAGTAAAAAGAGAAAATGAAATAATTTAAATGTAAAAAAAGAATTTAAAATATAAATGAAGCTAGTACTTCCAGAGCATAGTAAAATAGGATTGAGCAGCATGAGATTAGAATGGAAATACACACAAAAATCAGATTACACAGGGCAAGCATTGTGAGTGCCCATATAATTTGAACTCCACCATTTCAGATACTCAGCAGGTCAGTGGTTGTACCGATATTTTTGTATCTGAGGATTTTTTCTGCCAGCCAGAGCAATAGAGAATAATACACACCAATATACCTCAAATAGTAACTAATGGCATTTGAAGTGTGTGTGTGTGTGTGTGTGTGTGTGTGTGTGTGTACCATTTGCCTCCCTTTGCAGAGTGGGAGGGTTGGTATTCCCCAAAGTTAGTTCTATCCCCATGGGATACAACTCCAATCTTCTGCATCTTCTCTGGATTATTAATACAGATTTTCTTGGCTCCTTCAGTTTCTAGTGAAACTGAAAAAATTAGCCAGGCATGGTGGCGCGCACCTGTAGTCCCAGCTACTCGGGAGGCTGATGCAGGGGAATCGCTTGAACCTGGGAGGCAAAGGTTGTAGTGAGCTGAGATTGCGCCATTGCACTCCAGCCTGGCAACAGAGTGAGACTCTGTCTCAAAAAACAAAACAAAAAACAAACAAACCAAAAAAAAGGGAGAGGGGAGAGGGAAAGGGAGAGGGAGGAAGAGAGGAAGGGAGGAAAGGAGGAAGGAAGGAAAGAAGGAAGGAAGGGAGGGAGGAGAAAAGAGAGAAAGAGAGAAAGAGAGAAAAAGAAAGAAGGAAACAGAAAGAAAGAAAGAGAAAGAAAGGGAAAGAAAGAAAGAAAGAGAGAAAG
The DNA here is from genome assembly GCF_000001405.40 of Homo sapiens. Classification (NCBI taxonomy): domain Eukaryota; kingdom Metazoa; phylum Chordata; class Mammalia; order Primates; family Hominidae; genus Homo; species Homo sapiens. The sequence continues at coordinate 78,286,991 of NC_000008.11, forward strand.
AAAAAGAGAGAGGGAGGGAGGAAGGAAGGAGAGAAGGAAGGAAGGAAAGAAGGAAGGAAGGAAGGAAAATAAATGATTTTAAACAAGGGAATAACAACATCTAATAAGTGTTTTGTTTTTTTTTTTGTTTTTTAAATCACTCTGTAAGTAGAAGACATTAATGGAGACAATAGCAAAAGCAGAGACACTATTTAAGAGGCCAACGCAGTATCTGGGTAAATAATGATAGTGATTTGGATGAGGTAGAAGACAGATGATACAAACAGAAGTGGTCAGATTCAAGATATACCTTGAAGTTAAAATTGATAAGACAGCTTGTTGAGTTGGATTTTTGGGGTGCAGGCAATGGAGGGATTAATAGTGATCTCTACATTGTTCAGTGATATTACTTTATGAGATGACAAAGTCAGGTGTAGGAAATTTGTTTGTTTGATGCAGATGATCAAGAACTTCATCTTGAGCATTTTAAGTTTGTCTACAATATGCTTAATTGGAGATTTCTTTTAAAAAAACATTTAAGTTCAGGGTTACAAGTGCAGGTGTGTTACATAGGTAAACTTGTGTCATGGGGGTTTGTTACTTCATCTTTCAGGCATTAATCCTAGTACTCAGTTATTTTTCCTAATCCACTCCATCCTCCCACCCTCTACCCTCCCAACACATACCCCCGTGTGTGTTGTTCCCCTCTACATGTCCATGTGTTCTCATCGTTTAGCTTCCACTTAAACATGAGAACATGCAGTATTTGGTTTCTTGTTCCTGTGTTACTTTGCTAAGGATAATGGCCTCCAGCTCCATCCATGTTCCTGCAAAGGACATGATCTCCTTCTTTTCTATGGCTGCATAGTATTCCATGGTGTATGTGTGCCATATTTCCTTTATCCAGTCTATCACTGATGGGCATTTAGGATGATTCCATATCTTTGCTATCGTGAATAGTGCTGCAATAAACATACATGTACATGTGTTTTTACAATAGAATGATTTATATTCCTTTGGATATTCAAGAAGGCATTTGAACATATGCTTAGCACTAGGAAGAAAGACTCAAACTGGAAATTTAAATTAGGGATCAGTTTATAGATGCTTTTCAGTCAGAGGACTGGATGAGATTGATTGCCTAGGCAATAATCCACATTAAGAAGCAAAAAAGAGTAAATGAACAGATCTATGATTTAAGGTAAATAACTAACGTTCTCGGGATTCTATAGATTAAGTTTATATATAAAAATGTGAAATCAAAAAGTATAGTAAGAAAATATGTATAATATTAGGCTGGATACAGTGGCTCATGGCTATAATCAGGTCAGCCCTTTAAGAGGCCAAGGTGAGTGAATCGCTTGAGCCCAGGAGTTCGAGACCAGCCTGGGCAACATGGTAAACCCTTGTTGCTACTAAAAATACAAAAATTAGGTGGGTATGGTGGTGCACGCCTGTAATCCCAGCTACTCTGGAGGCTAAGGCATGAGAATCACTTGAACCTGGGAGGCAGGAGTGGCAGTGAGCCAAGATCACACCACTGCACTCCAGCCTGGGCAAAAGAGTGAGACTCTATCTTAAAAAAAAAAAAAAATAGATAAATAGGCCAGGAGCGTGGCTCATGCCTGTAATCCCAACTCTTTGGGAGGCCGAAGTGAGCAGATCACATGAGGTTGGGAGTTCGAGACCAGCATGACCAACACGGAGAAACCCCATGGTTTCTCTACTAAAAATACAAAAATTAGCTGGGCGTGGTGGCACATGACTGTAATCCCAGCTACTTGGGAGGCCGAGGCAGGAGAATCGCTTGAACCTGGGAGGCAGAGGCTACAGTGAGCTCAGATCATGCCATTGCACTCCAGCCTGGGCAACAAAAGTGAAACTCCGTCTCAAAAAAAAAAGACGAATAAATAAAAGAAAATATACATAATATTATGTACACAGAAAATAAAGAAAGCCTTTATAGGTTTAATACCATAGTCAGAAGCTATAAAAAGTTTTGTCCATAAAAACAAAAAGTAAATGAAATAAGTACATCAGGACAAACTATTATAATAATATAACTAAAAGGTAAATGTCACACTGAGAAAATGGTTTTATTATATTATGTATTTATTACATTATGTATTATATGTGCACTTACATATATACACATAATATGTATATATTCTCTGTATATTCATTAGAATCCCATATATATATAACATTATACAGAGAAGTCCAACATTTTGATAGAAAAAAGATATGGAATATGAATAAAAATTAATGAAAATTAGAAATTTTAATCTCTAACAAGGATATTCAAAATACAAATGAATAAAAAGGTCAAGTTTACTGTTAAACAGAGACACCAAATTAATTATTTAGTGGCTATTTTGCTTCATTAAAATTAAAAATTTGAAAATTATTATATCATATGTGGGCAAGTTTATGAAATGGAATCTCTGATTTTTCACTGATAAAAATGTACTTGTTACAATGTTCTAGGTGGAATTTTTTCAATCGTTTTTATAAAAGGTCTCAAAGTTTTGATATAGCAATTTCTACTCTAAGAATTTATTTCCAGAACAATGAGGGACATATTAAAAATTTTACCCAAAGAAGATAAAACCAGAGATGTACCTTGGTAAATTTGGGGTTTATACAATTTTTTTTTTTTTTTTGAGCCAGAGTCTCGCTCTGTTGCCCTGGCTGGAGTGCAGTGGTGTGATCTTGGCTCACTGCAACCTCTGCCTCCCTGGTTCAAATGATTCTCCTGCCTCAGCCTCCTGAGTAGCTGGGATTACAGGCACACGCCACCATGCCTGGCTAATTTTTGTATTTTTAGTAGAGACAGAGTTTCACCATGATGGTCAGGCTGGTCTCAAACTTCTGACCTGGTGATCCACCCGCCTCAGCCTCCCAAAGTGCTGGGATTACAGGCGTGTGCCACCGCGCCCTGCCTGGTTTATACAATTTTATTTGGGTAATATGACGAGAATATCACTAGTTATCATTTTGATATCAATAATGGTGAAGCCATCTTTCATGACTCCATGGTTGAACTTCATCATAGAGCTTGTAATAGAGTTAGACTCAGAAATATTAAACTTATGAGTACCTAGAAGAAGGAACAACTCAAAGAGCAAGGATACTGTAATGGACTCTAAAAAGGAAAGCTTCTCAGTGTACATGTTGATGGCTTCTCTTTAGACCACAGTCTTAGGCATTTTGATTTCCAATTACAATAAAATGTAATTTTATAAATTTATTTATAAATAAAATGTCAATGAGGTCAGAAGACTGAGCATTACAGGGACAATTAAAATACTAAATGGCTAATGCCAATAGGGTTAATTTTATAAAGCCTTGCAAAAATTGATTAGTCCTTAATGCGGGAGACACCCCTTCTAGGAATTAATGGTCTATTGAGGGTGTGAGGAAGAATAAGCAAATTTGAGCTTTTCTAATTCATACTTAATTTCATGATAAAATCATCCCATACCTAGCATCTAAAAATACAAATTCAGAAATAGAGTTTGTGTTAGGTTTTAATTATTTTATCTCAAATTAACTCCATGCCTAAGCAAATAATAAGAGCTTTTAATGCATAAATGTTTGCCAAACTGTTAACTTCTTTTATATTCTGTCTCATTCAACACATAATAAATATTTATTGTGTGTTGTGTACACTTCTCTGAACAACTTGCAATTAATTTATTGCTAGACTAAACAAATTATTTTGACTCATAGTTAATCCTTAAATTATTAAACATATTGTTTCTAAATGATATATATAATTTATATTTATAATTAAATGTATTCCAAAGGAGAGAGATAGCAAACAGAATACTGTTAATATTTCTAATAGGCACTTTTCTTTTCTACAAACATTGTTTGAAGATAAATGAGTTCAGCATAATTTGTATTCTCTGTTTTAACATTTGAGAATCTCATTTAAGTAAACCAAAGTCTTAAAAGTAAGTGAAAAAATTTGAAGTGATTTTAGAAATCATATTCTCTTTCAAATAAATTACTGTAGGTCTCTATTTCTGCATAAAACATTCCACATAAAACATTCTTTTGAATGCAGGGCTGACACGTATGATTACACAGTTTATAAACTACACAAAAGGATAGGACCAAATGAGATGTTTGGGGGCTGAAATCCCCCAAACCTCTGCTAGTCCAAGCCCTATAGGAGATACTGGCTAAAATCTGGATAAAAATTCATAAATGAGCCAGGTAGCCTAGAGATGGTCCTGATTTAATACATTTTTGTACTTTACAGAATTATTGCAAGTATAGTACATACATATAATTTTTTTCATGAACCGTTTTGAGGTTAAGTAGCCAACTAGGTACTCGTTCACTTTGTAATAATTTAGTGTCCCTTTGCTATAATCTGGGACATCCTCCTATGTAACTACTATACCATACAAGCAGAAAAGTATACATTGCTCACCACCAGCAAATCCTCAGACTCCACCCAAGTTTCACTAAATGTCCCCAGAATGCTAAGATTTGCACATTGTCTTTAGTGGTCATGTCTCTTTTGTCTCCTTCACTCTAGGACAAAGCAAATTCGACTCTCCCAAGTGGCATCAGCCTTACCCTGAGAAATCCTGTGACGGTATTCCTGCATTCCTTCCCATCCTAAGGGGAGCTCTGATGTCTCATGCCAGTTGGTTTCTGCTCATGGATGTCCTTCTCTGTTAGAGAAACCAACTGGCATGAGACATCAGAGCTTTGCTACTACACAACCCCACACCCACAAATACTGCATGGTTACCTTGCTTCCTATGTTTGGGCCTTAACAGCCTGTGCTAAGAAAACTCCCACATGGACAGTTTCTTTACCTCACCACACCCCTTCCAAATTGTTCCAGGCATAGATATGCTTACCTTCTCCTGTGCAACCTAACAGCTTTAAAACGGACTTGTTCAGAAGGAAATGGATGGGGGGAATAAAAGGAATGATAAACTTTTGTATATTTGTTTAAGTTACTGCAGTGGGTCACGTTAGTTATACTCTGCATTTTATGACACATTATCATCCAAAGCAAAGCCTCATCTTGTTTTATTTATTTTTAATGTGTTTGATAACATGTTTATATGTCAATTTGTTTACCTATATTATATTGAATGATATATTTAAATTTTATTACAAATTATGTATTTCATCATTTTTTATTGGCCCCACTCCTTCCTAGAGTTTTAAAAAATATTGTCTTTTCTATTTTACATAACCAATAGTTTGCACTTTGAAATCTGTTTTTGATACTCAAAATTTTCTCTCTATTGGCTTGGGAGTTCACTCATTTGTTCTTTTCTAATAGTGATTATTCTTAAAAATGTACAATGTATGTATATCAAAGTATAATGTTATATCTTAACCTTCTTTCCAAATAACTTTTTAGAATTCTTAACTTTGATTCTCCATCCAAATTTATTGATGGAGAAAATTTATTGGCTATTTTTCTTTATTTTTATCCATTTAACCATTCCAAGTACCAATGATGATTATTACTGTATGTTATTATAAACATTGCTGTCACACCAAAAAGAATTTCAGTTTATCTTTACACAGTATTTTAATAATTTCTCTGTGCTGTATTTCTTTTTGCATCCCAAATTTGTCTTCTGGGATCATTTTCCTTCAACCTATACATGTTATTTAGATATTTCTTTACTTAAGATATATTAGAAACTATTATTTTGAGATAATTTGCCTTCTTTTCATGAAGTTCTATTTAGGTACACTGAATCTATATTGTGGTTTTATTCTCATAGTCCCTTTAAGATGTCATATTTATTTTTTTTTTTATATAGAGATGTGGTCTCACTATGTTGACCAGGCTGGTCTCAACTTCCTGGCCTCAAGTGATCCTCCTATCTTGGCCCCCCAAAATGCTAGGATTAATAGCGTGAGCCATCATGCCCAGCCTAAGATGTCACGCTTTTATCTTGTGAATTGTTACATGTTGGCTGTGCTGTTTTTATTGGTCATTCGTAAGTGGGTAATCTAACTTTTCCTCTCAGGCTGACTTATGAATTTCTATTTGCCTTTGGTGATCTCTGACTTCTAGATGTATCCAATCTCTAGATATATATCAATATGTCTAGATGTAGATTTAACTTTTTTGTGTGCTTGGTATAAAATGTTGAGAAGGTGGTTTTGATAATATTTAAAAGTCATTTTTGTTAAAAAATTGAAACATAGGGGTAAAAAATGTTTGAACTGATAAAGAACTACCTAATCCCTACACAAAAGTTAAGAAAAAAAAAAGGTAAAAAGGCATATTAATGATGATGTTAGAAACATTCCTTTAGGTCAAATATTTTTCACTTCCGACACAATGCAATAAATATTCAATAAGTATTCAAAATATTTTTCAATTCCTACAAATGCGATAAATCCAGGATAAAAATATTATTAGAAGTAGAAAGGCAGGAAAATTGCCGTTTTCTTCCATCAATATCATTACTCCTGCTGGACACGAAAAGAATCTGCAGGCAGTCTGTTGGAATTAAAAAGTTGTCAGCAATTTCATGGATTTATGATCCACAAAATAAGAAGTTTGTTACACATCAGTAAAACTCAATCAGAAAAAATATAATAATACAATGTATACAATTCACAATGGGAACAATAACAAAAAAGTACTTAGTAATAAACTGGTATAGCGTTCTTAGGGGAAAAACGTGAAATTTTATCCTTAAAATTTTATAGAAGATTAAAAGGCTAAAACAAATTTTATACGGCAATTTCTATGAAAAAATAATAAGTAGAGAGAATTTGACTTTTCAAATATCAGAATAGATTTTGCAGTAATCATTAAAATAGGATGATGGTTCACGACATGCTGATTTACTACTGTACTTGAATACAGAACCCATAAATAAACTACTCATCACTATTCAGTTATCTACTCACATTGAAAGGCAATTATCCTTACCTCTGTCTGTGTAAAAATAAGTTACAGATAAATTAAAGATATAAAAACACGAATGTTGACAAAAATTTTGAAGAAAATGTAAAGAATATTTTTATATGTTTGTACAAAAATATTAGGGAGGGACTTTATGCATTTGTATAAAAAATACAGTAATATTTCCTGAACAAGTCACAAAAAGCACTAATAAGAAAATAATTGACATCATTTATTATTTTAAAAACATAATCTTTCTACAATAAAACTCACTGAAACAAATATAGAAGATGATTCTCATATTGGAAAAATATATTTTAATGACAGTTGTTATAAGATTAATCTCTTCAGAAATAACCTCTTATAAATAAGAAAATTACAGCTATGGCAAAATAATAATAGAACAAAAGATATGAATTGGCAGGTCACACAACAGCATATGTGAAGTGAGGATCCTGGGTTCTGAAACTATACATACTAAGTTCAAAAGCAATTCAATCGCTTACTAATTACGTAACTTTAGGCAAAGTGCTTCTGTTAGGGCCCTCTTCACCAAAATGGAAGTGACAATACTATCTAACCTAGAGATTTGCTATGAGAACTAAATGGTTTATTACTTGCAAAAGTGTAGAACAGCAATTGGCACAAGGTGAAAATCTCAATAAATGGTCCTATTAGTAAGCTGTGTGAGACAGGTCACTAGAGGCAGGCAACAGGAATAGACCTCATTGAACAGAATCAGTGCAGTTAAATGCAAAACTTTGGGAAGAATGGAACATTGAAGGAATAATATTATAGGAAAAATTATCCAAACAATACAAAAACATAGCATTCATGTTAAATTTGAAAATATATAGAACCATATTTTGTTGGAGTATGACTATATAATGAATACATTAAAAATGGTGGGAGAGATGACTTATCAACCTCGGGAAAGAAGTTACCTTAGGGAGAAAGATGGGATCAGCATGGAATAGGGATGAGCTTTAATGGTTTATGTGGCATTATATTTATTTAAAAAAATAAAAGGACAAGTGGTAAATAAGTCAGAATGTCAACATTTGTTAAAATAATGTAAACATGAATGTTTATTATTCACTAAAATAATCTGTATGTTTTAAATATTTCATAATTTCAAGATTTTTTAAACATGCTCAATGCAGAGCATTATTTTTTCATGCTTGTCAGAAATATTCCTGCTTTATTTTATAGTTATGTGTGTACATATTTTGACTCTCTTACTAAATATAATTCCTTGACAACACAAGCAATTTTTTTTCTAAAATATCATTCCATAACTCAGATGACAGTGTTTGATACACAAAAAGAATACAATAAAAGTTTGATAAATGAATGAGTGAATGTTTTACTGGGCACTTTGGCATTTAAAATTTTCAGTACACATGTCTGTAAATAATTTACAGAAACACCTACAAAGAACCTTCCTTATTTATTCTAAAAATAGAAAACAACCCCACAAATATTTTTCATTATGAAATATCTACTTAAAATATTCACAGGAAAAGAATTATTTGTGTAGCTCCAAATGATTTCCCATACTTTTCCTTCAATTGCTTTTTTTATTTTAAAATAAAGTTTTAAAAAATTTATTCATTAAAATTTATATTATACTTTGTTACATTTTGACTTTCATAAAATCAGTCCTAGTAATATAGATAAATGCTGAGAAGTTTTTCAACCTCAACTGAGTATCCAGGAGTACTTGGAGGGAAATAAATTAGAGGCTGACAACAATGAAAGGGTTTTTAATTCTTTAGTGAATAATTTGTGTTTTCCTCTCAACAAAAGCAAAGAATGCAGTGTGTTTCCCACAGGGTCAGATGGTTAATTATTTTAGGCTCAAAAATATTCTTTCGTTATTTTATTTTAGTTTAAGTTTATTCATGCAAGTCATTTTTTTCTCTCATGATAGAATAAAGTAAAACTAATCAAAATGAGAAAGGTCTTTCAAGATAAAACAGAGCAAAATCAAGGGTTACTCTTGGAAAATAAAAATGGTGCTCTAGGTTGGCGACACACACACGCTTAGTTTAATGAGACCCAAAGCAATCTGATCTGACCTGAACATTTGTTTGAGGAACGAAGATCTAAGAGAGTTCTTTACTATTTTACATTGGGGTGTGTGTTCTTTTTCAGGTCAAAATGTGTGAAATACTGTTAGAGCCTCCAATAAGAATTTAAGCCCTTGTCTCTAAAGAAAGACAAACAAACTGGATCTAAGGCTATAAGGTGGAAGAGAAAAAGGACTATGTGTATTTGCTTCACTACTATGTGTCTAGTGCTTTACACAGTGTTGACACATTGCAGGTTATTGATAAATACTTGGTGAATAAATAAAGAATGATATATCCAGAAAGGTAACTTCAAAGCACTATGAATAGAGAATAAAGAGTATCCAATTCTTTCTCTGTGGTTGTCAAGAAGTGACATTAAACCGAGGGTGAATTTGACCTCGGTTTAATTCAATTTGAGAAGACTGAGTATTCTGCTTTGGAGAAAATGCCAATCAATTCAATTGTATGGACCAGTCATAGGAACTTGGCAACCCCTTACACACACACACAGGCATCCACAGGGTGGACACTAACCCCAAGATCAGGCAATCAAATCCATCTTGGCAAACCGACCCTAATAAAGTGAAACTGTCATCCAGAAAATGATTTTTTGACTTATAGAAATTTATGTTTTGGTAAACTCAAATATGGATTTGTAGCAGAGAAAAGATGTGACAGCATCACCAGAAATTCAAACTAGCCAGTTATATCTCCCTGTTTGATACTATGCAATATGAGAGTTTAAAATTAGGACCTTGTGTTAGGTTTTCCTAATGAAATGATTCACATCTTAAAAGTCCCCTTTGCTTCTATCATCTCACAGAATCTTTAAAACCCTTCATGAAGAAGTTGTAACATCTTTCAATACATCATCTCCCTTTTTTTAATCCAACAACCTTTATTTGCACTGTGGAAATAGACTCTCAACAACCTTCTTTCAGGATTCCAACCGTCCTACTCCAAATTCTATCCTCTTTAGCACTACTATATTGCCACAATGCAAATTTTATCAAATTCTTTAATAACTACGCATTGACTATAAGATAAATTCCAAATGGTTTAGGATGATATCATCTCTTAAACTCCTGTCATACAATCCAAGTTTCAAATACTATAAACTTTTTGAAATTTCACAAACATATCATGTTTTTGTTTAACTTTCCATTTTTGTATAGATTGTATTACTCTGCCTAGAACATGTATAATAATGTTTGTCACATGGCAGTGTAGTTGCTTACATGATTAACATGAATACTAGATAGGACAGCTTGAGTGGAAAATGATTCATATTTACCTTTCTAACACCTGAACATAACACAATGTCCAGTGAATAGTCGGTGCCTGATACATGTTTATAGATCATGGTTTATTTTCCATCATTATGAGATTCAGGAAGGTCATGTGATTAACTAAATACTTCATAGATTAAAAGATCAATATTAAAACACAGTTCTTATCATTCTTAGTTTGAAATTCTTTGAGTATACCTGTTTCCCAAACACCAACAGGGCAGAAGAATGTCTCAGAAATTAATGCATAAAGAACCAGCAGTAGATTCTCTGAACTTTCTCAAACTCAAGCCATTTGTCACTAAGGATCAGATAGAGGGGAGGATTGAATAAGTAAAATAATCAACTTCATGGCTGTTTGTATCCTCAGCTTCTTTCTAGCACCAGTTCAGTAAATTCTGTATTGTGAACAAATGAAGTGAAATTGAATTTTTTTCTAGTTAGCTTTTCATCCTATAGATGAGTAGTGCCTCAATAAATGACTGTCAGCTTATTTCTGCCTGAGCAACCATCTTTATTCTTTCCTTAGCGCATTTCTCTCTTCTTATAAGTGGGTATTTTAGGACTTGCAAACTTAATTTTTATGTCCTATATGATATCTGAATGCTGATATTCTTGCTACGTTTCTTGCTTTATGAATTCAGTGAAATGGCCTGGATTGAACTTCCATTGAAATACATTTTAATTATTTCCAGATTCTTTGGATCAGGAGATCTTCAACTTTTGGCTTTTTTGGGATTCAATTTTGTCTTTGGCAACTTTCTGTGGACTTTGATCTTCAGGGTTTCTCTTAGATGCTATTTTCTTCATTATCATTTTGTGCTCAAAAGAAATAAAAAAAACAACCTGGCAAAGAATAACTAAAGCATATCTTCATTTTAATTTTGTAACAACTTCTGAACTGTGAAAATGAAAATATATTCAATTCACTTGTTGACAACAAGCTGACCAATAAAGGCATTTATGTAACTAAGTCTAAACATTTAAGAAATGTCTACATTTATAGATGATGGCACAATTATTAAAATATCCAATACATGTCATGGCACAAGATAATAGAATTTACTACAGAAAGTTACAAGAGAAGGAGCTTTTTGGGGATGCTTATTAAAATAAACGTGGTATTTCAGCAATGTGTGAATAGGGAATATTACTAAAAGGGTAAATGAATAAGAAAAGGAAGAGAATAGATGGTTTCTAATATTCTTTTCTGCCCTGAAATATTATAATTCTATGACAATGATACCCATGATTGGTTCTCAATTAATATTTGACTGTTTACTTCCATATAGCTGTATATGTATAAAATAAACAACAAACACATATATACTCAAAGATGTCTAATAGGTGTGCAGATAATATATTTAAAAATGAATTTACCACCCAAGGCCATAACACCTAAAGTGTGTAATAAGCGTGTTTTCAGGAAGGTGTGAACCTGGAGTATTATTACTGTTTTCTCAAATAATTTGTATATAAATATGGAAGCAGAGGAAATGATGGAGTCTCACAAAAGTGGCCTAGAAATCCAAGAGAAAGAAATTAAGTATTTTCTTAGGTGAAGTGAAAATGATTTGTGCAAAAAGGAGAATTTAAGAGCTGTGCAGCAAGAATGATAATTAAATGTGAGTTGACTTTGTACTTGGAGTCTAGTAACTCCTTTAATATCAGGTGAGAATGTCAATATTGTCAATATGGATTATAGTTAGAGACATCAGTGTGAACTCATGTGTATCTTAATACAGATGGTTTCATATAGAAATATTTATAGACATGTACATATAAACATGTTAGTGTATATATAGGTTAGTATATGCATACACAATTATTTGTTCTGTCAGCTGAGAGGGCCTAAAAGAAATGACACCCCAGTAGCCATGAGCATAACTAGTACCCAACTATTGATCTATTGATATTTAATGCTATTCTCCAATAAAACATACCAAGGTGACTTGGAGAAACTGCAGATTCTAGGAGTAGAATAGGCAATGATTCTACTAGTAGAATAGGCAAGAGCCAGGAGCATCTTGTATTTAATTATAAGAAAGTTATAAGAAATTATAATTACAAGAAAGTGGATTTTACCAGAATTAACAAGGAACTTAAACAAATTTACAAGAGAAAAACAAACAACCCCATTAAAAAGTGGGTGAAGGATATGAACAGGCACTTCTCAAAATAAGACATTTATGCAGCCAACAAACATATGAAAGAAAGCTCATCATCATTGGTCATTAGAGAAATGCAAATCAAAACCATAATGAGACACCATCTCACACCAGTTAGAATGGTGATCATTAAAAAGTCAAGAAACAACAGATGCTGGCAAGGCTGTGGAGAAATAGGAATGCTTTTACACTGTTAGTGGAAGTGTAAATTAGTTCAACCATTGTGGAAGACAATGTGGTGATTCCTCAAGGATCTAGAACCAGAAATACCATTTGACCCAGCAATACCATTACTGACTATATACCGAAAGGATTATACATCATGCTACTATAAAGACATATGCACACGTATGTTTATTGCAACACTATTTACAATAGTAAAGACTTGAAACCAACCCAAATGCCCATCAATGATAGATTGGAAAAAGAAAACATGGCACATGTCCACCATTGAATACTGTGCAGCCATAAAAAAAATAAGTTTATGTCCTTTGCAGGGGCATGTATAAAGCTGGAAACCATCATTCTCAGCAAACTAACACAGAAACAGAAAACCAAACACCACATGTTCCCACTCATTAAGTGGGAGTTGAACAATGAGAACACAGGGACACATGGAGGGGAACATCACATAAGGGGGCCTGTCAGGCGGTGTGGGGCCAGGGGAGGGAGAGCATTAGGACAAACACCCAATGCATGTGGGGCTTAAAACCTAGATGATGGGTTGATAGGTGCAATAAACCACCATGGCACATGTATACCTATGTAACAAAACTGCACATTCTGCATATGTATCCCAGAACTTAAAATAAAAAAAAAGAAGAAGAAAGTGGATTTTTAAAATCTTACAATGCAGGGATATCCTAAAATGACATAAGAACTAACCAAAAGAGGTCCCAATAGCCAAAACTAAAACAATTTGAGAAACTAAATAACAATAGTATTGAATTATAACCCAAAGTGTAAAGTAAATGGTCATGAGTACATGCTTATATAAAGGAATAATTAAATAAATAAATAATAAGCAAAGGAGAATAAACAAATTCTAAATGTTTTACGTAGATAATCCTCTTAGAAGGATAACTCCTCACTCCTTAAGTGTGGGCTATGCATAGTGACTGTTTTCCAAAGATTAGAGTAGGGAAAAGGAGGAAAGAATAACTTTACAGTAGAGAAACCTGAGAAACCTTACCTCAGCCTGGTGATCAAGGTCAACATCAACAGTGATAAAGTCTTGTTAATAGTATGAACCCTTGAAATGACTTGATGAGAAGGGTATTTTACCTCTGTGGTCTTCTTCCCGCTAACATAATTCCCAGTCTAATCATGAGGAAAACACTAGGCAAATCCCAAATGAGGGACATTCTACAAAATATCTGACCAATATTCCTCAAAACCATCACAGTAATAAAAAACAAGAAAAGTGTGAGAAAATGTCATAGCCAAGAGGAGCCCAGGAGAAATGATGGCTAAATGTAAGATGAAATCCTTTATGGAACCCGGGGACAGTAAGAAGCTATCAGGTTAAAGCCAATGAAATATGAATAAAGTATAGACATTATTTAATTTTATTTTTTACTTAATTTTTTAAAGAGAGGGGGTCTTGCCCTGCCGCCTAGACCTCCTGGGCTCAAGAGACACCTGCCTCAGCCTCCCAAAGTGTTGGGATTACAGCCCTGGGCCACAGCATGCAGCCTGAATTTTATTTAATAATAACAAATCATTTTTAATTTGGTAATTGTAATAAAAATGCCTTACTAATGCAAACTGTTAATGAAAGGGGAAATTGAGTGTTAGATATATGGGAATGTTCCATACTATCTTTGTGTTTTTTCTGTATATCAATAACTGTTACTAAATAAAATGTTTATAAAATGCACATGCGAATATATTAAAGTAAAAAAAAATGGAACTTACATGTTTCTGCTGGTGTTAGTAGAATTATCACAACACATAATGTTGGCTTTTATATTATTACCCCCACTGCCTGACAGCCCCAAACCCCTCACTTCCACTCTGGTCAGACAAATCACTAGGGACTTTTTAAACTGGACATCTGTAATTTGCTGCTAATAAAAGGATTTGATAATAAACAAAATTTTTTAAAGTTGGTTTGGAGACAAGGTATATATTTACAGTAGCATAGAAAATTCACAGCTGAGCAGAGTCTTGAAGGTGTAATGTCTTTGAACAACCAACAGGCAGTTATAACTCAGCAAAGGATGTAACAACCATTAGCAAGACAGAAATGAGAGATGGGAAAGCAGTATTTTTTTTTTCTTGGACTATTTTATTCTATTATTTTATTTCATTTTATTTTATTTTTTGAGTCAGGCTCTCTTGTCACCTAGGCTGTAATGCAGTGGTGCAATCGTAGCTCACTGCCACCTCAAACCTCTGGGCACAATTGATCCTCCTGCCTTAGCCTCCCAAGTAGCTGGGACTACAGGCATGCACCAGCACACCGAGAAGGAAGCAGCAATTTTAAAAAAGCAAAACATACCCCTTACTCTTTACCAGAAGAGAAGTTGTTTCATAACCTAAAAGTGATGAGAAATAATGGAGGATGGTTTATAGCAGGAATACTTGTTCTGAATGACTTGGAGGGAAAGTGTGTGTGTATATGTGTGTGTGTGTGTTTGTTAGTTTTTGTGAGGTAGGGGAGACTATTTTTGTGGTTCAGTCACTCCAATTATTGCCACAATGCACTTTCCTTCAGAACTGCCTAACCAGTATGGCACAGTAGGAAAAGCTACAGATGTATGTGCTAAGATGATGCATCCCAATTCTTCAGCTCTTGTGGTCATAGAAAGGCCTAGACTTCCAGGCAAGTCTCCTTTGTCCCAAGCATCCTCTTCTTTGACTCTACTGATACATACAAAGGCCATAATTTCTATGCATGCCCTCTGTGGAAAGGCTGAAGGTCTTTTGGAAACACCAGTCACTCAGAACAAGAAGGTTTGTAGTCTGAACATGCTTTTGTAATAGTTTCATGCTGAGGAACATTGTCCTTTGAGACAATTAACTTAATGTTTTATCAGTTAATAGAAGACCTGGGTTTTGCAAAGGACATATAGTGTGAAAACGGACGGCAATATTGAGATTTTATCAGATATTTGCTAATTATATCTTAAGCTCAAGACAAATTTCAATTCATATATAGTTATGATATAATGTTTGTTATGAACACAAATAAAAGGAATGAAATAACTTTTATTTTAGTCTTATATAGCCTAACCTCGCTTTGTGTTATACTACTAATTTGATTGAGTCAAATTAGAATCTACACCAAAAAGTTCTTGCTTTGGGATAAAACACAGTAGACACCATAAGGTCTCTCTCTGTCTCTCTCTCTAAGGTGTCTCTCTCTCTCTCTCTCTCTCTCTCTGTGAGTGTGTGTGTGTGTGTGTGTGTGTTTCTCCAGCCTAGCTGTCTAGCTGTTCCTTACCTAAATATGCTGTGCTATATGTCCACATGGTTTTGGGCACCTTGCTCTGCTCATCTAGGTTAAACATCCAACACCTGAAAATACGTACCAAATAACTCCAAAACTGGGATTAACTGTGGAGTTTGTATTTCAGGGATATTATAAAATGCATTCTATGAAGTTCAGGTTAACCAAAAAGATTACCCAGTGGTTCTTGGATTCTGAAATAAACATACAATAGACTAGACAGAAATTGTCAGCCTGCCATTATAATACTGGCTGTTAACAACCACAATTAAGGCAGACTGCATATCAATGATTATTTGTCTGGAACATCAACTTCCCTAAGCATAAAAGGAAGTGAGGCAGCCTGCATTGCTGTCGCCTCTCTTCAGCTAATCAGTACTGTTTTTAATGGCTTCATCTGCCCAGGATCAATTGTCTAATAGGAACAGTGCTCTGTCAGTTAATAAGGTGAGGAACTGCAGAATGTGATTATGTCTGGCTCCAAAATACTGCTTCAAACACGCTAAAGCAATCATGTGAATAGACCAAGGCAGTACTTTTTGTCTAATTCTTGTGCAAACATAGCGTTGTAGTAACATTTATGGAACAAAAAAAGAAAAAAAGTTTGAGAAAGAAAAAAATGGGAGGTTTAAAGACAAACACAAGACCACACACACACACACACACACACACACACACACACACCCTCTGGAAACCTCAATTAAGGAAATAAAGGAGCCAGCAGCATTGTAAAGTGGTATTTAAGGAGAATTACCATAATGAATGTTGATGCAATGATAAAACCTGTTTTCCAAAAATGCTTTGTGCAAAAATAAACTTATGTGGTTGTCCTGACTGGAACATAAACTATGCTCATTTTCCAGTCACAAAATGCAACTCAGTGAAGAAATGGGCACTGGGGATATTTATTTGTACTCAATTGGCTTTTAGCATCTATTATCAGATTTATATAACACCTCTGATTTGAGTACATGTGCTAAATAATAGACTGCCCAGTAAAGACTTATCTGAAAATATAGTTTATGCTATACTTTTTAAGCTAATATAAGACTGGGCTCATGGAATAAACCCAAACAAATTGAGACAAATGTTAGAAAGAAGTCATTATCTTGAGAAGTAGTATAGTGTAGGGGTTATGCACTTGGGGTCAGGAGCCATACTCCCTGGATTTAAATCCCAACATCATCACTTACTGGCTTGCATAACTAGGACAACTTTACTTTTCTGTGCCTCAGTTTGCCTTATCAGTAAAATGGGGATGGTAATCACAGGAATGTTATGAAGATTGAATGAGTGTGTCAGGTAACTAGAGCACAACCTGGCACAAAGTAACCCTTATAGAAATGTTAGCAATTACCAAGATTATTCTAAAAATAGTTAATCTTGATCAACTAGTTGAACAGATGCTTGTAGATATTTTCTGAACCAACAACTCCCATCATGTACCATCTCTATAGCTTACTGACATTGCAAGAAGAGTCTGATTGACTCTACAAATATACCTTGAAATGCGCCATCCTCTAAAACCATGGTTTTCAAAATATTATCCTCAGATCAGCAGTGTCAGAATTATTTGAGAACTTAGAAATGCAGATTATCAAGCACCCTATCCCCCACACCAGGTCCGACTGAATTAAAAATTTTGAGAGTTGAGTCCAGCAATGTGTGTGTGTGTGTGTGTGTGTGTGTGTGTGTGTGTGTGTGTGTGTGTAGAGGGAGTGAAGGGGCAATGTAATTTTAAATCCTGGAATTATACTTGTTACAAAACAAACCTAACATTTGTTAAAAATAAACACACCTGAGACTTACTTCTTTCAATTCCAATAGAAATCCAAGCATAGAGCTTTCCAATGACATCTCTGCCTTTCTTCGAAACCATTTCGATGTCGGTTTTAGAGAGCAGGTTCTGCCACTGAGATCACCTAGGCTGAACTCTCAGCTCTATTTTTTTAAGTTTATAATTGATACATAATAATTGTACAAAATGATGGAGTACAGTGTGATATACAAAGCATGCATACATTGTATAACAACCAAATCATGGTAGTTAGCATATCCATCATTTAAAACATTTATAATTTTTTTATGGTGACAAAAAATCAAAAATTGTTTCTTCTGGCTATTTTGAAGTATACAGTACATTTTCTACTGCCTAACACCAGAATTTATTCTTCCTGTTTAAATATAACTTTGTTCCCATTGACCAGACTCTCTCATTCCCCTCACCCCACCCCCTCCCCAGCTTCTGGTTGCCACTATTCTCTAATCTCTACTTCTATGAGATCAACATTTTTATATTTCATTTATGAGTGAGATTTGTGCGGTGTTTTTCTTTATATGCCTGGATTATTTTACCTAACACAATGTCCTCCAGGTCTATCTTATTTCCTTCTGTTTTATGGCTGAATAGTATTCTATCGTATATACATATGGACCACATTTTCTTCATTCATCTACGGATGGACACTGAGGTTGATTCCATATCTTGGCTATTATGAATAGCATTGAAGTAAACACGAGTTCAGGTATCACTTCAAAATACTGATTTCATTTCCTTAAGATGTATATCCAGTAGTGGGATTACTGATCATATGGGGGTTCTATTTTCAATTTTTGGAAGAATTCCTGTTTTCTATAATGGCTATACTAATTTACATCCCATCAAAAGTGTGTAAGTTCCTCTTTCTCCACATCCTCATCAGCATTTGTTAATTTTTTGTCTTTTTGATAATAGCCATTCTAACCAGGATGAGGTGATATCTCATTGTAATTTCGTCTACATTTTTTGATGATTAGTGATATTGAGCATATTATTATGTGTTTGTTGGCCATTTGTATGTCTACTTTTGAAAAATATCTATTCAGATCTTTTGTCCAATTTTTCATTTTTTACTCTTTAGTTTTTTGAGTTTCTTATATATTTTGGATATTAACCTCTTGTCAGATATATAATTTGAAAATACTTCTCTTCATTGTGTAGGTTGCCTCTTTGATTGTTTTCTTTGCTGTGCAGGGGCTTTTGTTTTGATGTAATCCCACTTGTCTGTTTTCGATTTTGTTGCCTATGTTTTTGCAGTCTTATTTGAAAAAAAATTGTGCCTAATCCAATCTCATGAGATGTTTCCCCTATGTTTTCTTCTAGTGGTTTTATAGTTTCGGGTCTTAATTTAAGTCTTTCGTCAATTTTTAGTTGATATTTTTTAATGTGGTGAGAGGTAGGAGTCTAGTTTCATTCTTCTGCATGTAAATATCCAGTTTTTCCAGGACCATTTATTTAAAAGACTGTTATATCCCTAATGTATTTTCTTGGTGTATTTGTAAAAAATCAATTGGCCATAAATGTATGAATTCATTTCCATTGGTCTGTGTCTGATTTTATGCCAGTACCATGCTGTTTGGTTACTATAGATTTACTGTATAGTTTGAATCAGGTATTGTGATGCCTCCAGCTTCGTTATTTTTCCTTAACATTGCTTTGGCTCTCTGAGTCTTTTGCATTTCATATAAATTTTAAGACTTTTTTCTATTTCTGTGAAAATTATCATTAGTATTTTGATAGAGATTGTAGACTGCTTTGAATAATATGAACATTTTACGACAAACTGTGTTTAAAAAGCCTACCCAGTGATGCTAATGGCTATGTGCTCTGAAGTTCAAAGAAGCTAATAAACCCTAAAACTCCATATGTGTTCCTTATTATGAAGAATAATGTTTAAACTACTTAAAACATAAAATTCTTATTAACTGGATAATATAATTGTTCAAAATAACAGGAATTTATCCCTGAATCTATGTTCATGTCACATATTTTAAGATTCTTTTTTAAAAATTCAAATCTACTAGCTAAAACCCCTAACTGTAGTTCAAAAACATTTTTGAAAAGAAATAATAAATTACAAAGAAATAAGACAATAGTGTGAATCAAAACCTTTTTTTTCTACTTTGAGAACTTGCATAAAAGTGGCATAGATCATACATTGGTTTAAAGAATCCTAGAACCCAGCAGTTCCTTTATTGGTTAATTATTAATTAAATATTAATTATATAATTAATTGTTAAACTCCGACTTTAGTTTTCTCAGCTTTTATGAAAACATGTAGTATTGCTTTTATAATGGTACAGTATAGTATGCAAATGCCTATGGCACTATTAATCTGTTGACTTTATCTGGCCTGCAGAATTGCTTTATTTAACCTAAACGGTGTTTTAAAAATCAGGAAAATTTCTCATAAAAATTACAAATTCCAGCTTCTCTTGAAACTATAAGGTCTTACAATATTGGACCTGCATTACCACCAGCCATCTGTCCTCTAGGCCCAATAGTAGCCACTACTCTCTTGGGTTCAGAGCTTGATGGCCGCTAGCTCAGCTGAGCTCACTCTTCTCACCTGCCTGGGCACTGCAGGCATCTGATTTTGTACCTCATTCTAAAACAAGTCTGGCAAGAGATCCCCTCAGTAAATGCCAGAGGTCTTCCAAGGCCATCTATTTTTCCCATTTATCCATTAGTAAAATATTTAAATATATCACAATATAACTTTTCCAATGGTTTTTTGGAATAGAGGGTGGGATAATGTGTTGGTAAATCTTTAAATCTAGATACTGTACTATCTTCATTCCCTTCACATGTATAGTCAACCAATGAAGCTATTATATTTCTGTAGATTGCTTTGGGCCCAGCAGAAAAGAAGGAATTTGGCATACAATGGAAATCTGTTACTGGAGTCAATATCAACTGTGAAAGTTAGTGTTCTGAATGTGAAAACCTAGATTTGACCACTTCAAAGTTAGAATTTTAAAAATTAGGTCACAAAAAATAAGTCAAATCCAAACGTGTTAAATATAATGTATAGAATAGGCTGTTACCACAATATTTTTTCAAACAAGAATTACTTGCTAGAAATAGCAGTTTAGTTATGTCTGGAAACTTTGGTTTTAATACTAGTCCAGCTGTGAGTGGCTTTGTGGATTTGAGCTAGTCATTTAACCTCTCAGGTCCTTAGGGTACTTTTCTACAAAATGAGGAGGCTGGGCTCAGGTACCTTCCAGCTCTCAAAGTCTATTCTATCATTCTAGGATGCTGGGGGCAGACAATTCATTTCAGTTTTTTGTATAAATGACATCCAGTGTCATGAAATAATGTGTCAAGAGCAGCAGCAGGGTCTTTCTATCTTGAATTTGGTTTGAAGCCAGCAGATAGGGTTGCTTGAATTCATTTTCTTTCTTTGGTGAGGGGATAGGTTTGATGACCTAATGGGCCTTTTCCATCTCTTGTATCTTTGATGAGGCTACTAGGCCTCTGAGTTGGGAACTGCAAAGAGTTACCGTGGTGAATTCTCCTTTGTAGTGATTTTCTCTTTTTGATCATGTTTGATATTTTTGCAATTGTGCTTTGATTCAGATTATATCCACTACATAGCTCAGTGTGCTAGTGAGCTGAGACTTTGCTAAGATATAGACGCACAAGTATAGAAATTAAAAATGACAAGCTAAAGTATTGCTGCATGCTGTTTATATATATTATTTGAAGTAGTTGGTTGTAGGTCAGTGAAGTTCCATAATGGTTATATGGGCTTCAACAAAAAATAGTTATATATATTTTTCTGTAGAGTAGTTTACTAGAAATGACAACAATATCTCTTTCCCTTCTGTTTTTTTTTTTTTTCTCTTTTTCTCTGAACAATTCCTGAAGTGCATATTTCATTCAGTCCATTCAGGAAAATAAAATGGATATTTCAAGAAAATGGAGTCTGGCTTTAAGATAATTTTGACTGCATGCAAAATTAAAAAAAAATAATTTTTTCCAGGAAACACGAGTTCAGGAAAAAAAAAAACAAATTTTTTACATATCTTACCATCAAAAGTAATTTCTACAGCATTCTAAACAGTGGGGAATAGAAAAATCCTATGAAGATGGACAATTACCCACAATATAGAGTAAAGCCACCAAGCAGAAAAAGAATTTTCATAGATAGTAAACAGTTTGTTGCTGTCTACTAATTCTGAAAATTATGTGTGTGTGTGTGTATATATATATATATATATATCAGTGTAGTGTGTGTATATATATATACACACACACACATACATACACATAAAAATGGATCTATCTATCTATCTATCTATCTACATATTCTTACCAAAGTCACTATCTAAAGTTGAGTTCTCAATAGGGCTTTCAATTCTATAAGTAATCTGGAAAAACACTAAATTTCTTTTTATATTTTGGAGCCATCTCCAAAACCAACTTCAATTCATAGGAGCTAAAATTGAAAGAATAAGACAGGGCACAAAAGAAAAAGCTCAAACAGGAGAAGAAAGATGAAAAATTTGCAACTATTCTCCAAAGTGAGTTGAAATTATTTAAAAAAACCTAAGAATTAAATGTCAAATATGAAACGATAGGAATTTTTCTTTTATCAACATTCTCTTAACATTAAGAATGACAGTAACATCAAATTTCTATGAATTAAGTTTACATTACTCAGAAAGCATGACAAATATATTAATAGTAAATGAATTAAACAAAGGTCTCAAATCCAATTATAGTTGCAAATATTTGTCAAATTTTTTCTTCCTAAAATTGCCATTTAAAGTTCAAATAAAAACAAAATAAAATCTTGAAATTCCCTTTAAGTAATTTTAATGCATAATATAGTTAAATAAATTAAAAGTAATTTTAGTATTAAGTCTTTAGTTAGAAGTAACCTTAGCCAATACCAAGATTGTGATGACTCATAAACACACTCTTCCATACTGTGCCAGTTAACAAACTGTTGAAATTATGGTCTGTTACTGTTTTGGAAAAAATGGTATTATTTTAAAATACATATTTCAGGGATACAAGGGCAGGTTTCTCACATGCATTTATTTCACAGTGGTGGAGTCTGGGCTTTTAGTGTTCTCATCCCCCTAGTAGTGACCATTGTACCCAATAGGTAATTCTTCAACCCTCACCCTCCTCCCACTCCCTTACCTGTGGTAGTCTCCAATGTCCATTATTCCACTCTCTATATCTACATGTACCAATGGTTTAGTCCCGACTTATAAGTGAGAATATGGAGTATTTGGCTTTCTGTTTCTGTGTAACTTTATTAAGGATAATGGTCTCCAGTTCCATCTATGTTGCTGCAAAGACTTTCTTTTTATAGCTGAGTTGTATTCAATGGTATACATATACCATATTATCTTTATCCATAGATTAAATTTTGACTACCATTGTTCTTGCTTTAAAACAGAGGTCTTTTGTTGAAAAACAATATTTCTATTCTTGGAAAAGCATGAAGGCTAGAATCAGACTCACGAGAAAATAAAACTAGTTTAAGGAAAGTTAACGTTTAAATTAGGCAAGGAAGATATGCTTGACAAAGATAGTTTCCACTGAGCCACTCTCCCTATCTATTTTTCTAAATTCAAGTCATGGCCAATAAATAGAAGTTCCTATTCCAATGGGTATTCTAGTTCTTATTGTTAGCTTTTACTCACTAACAATAAAGAAGAGTGTTTTTCATGACACTCTTAACTTTTGCCAAAGGAATCTGTTTTTTTTTTTTTACACGAAGATGTACATCAAAATAATTCTTCACATTGATAGAAACAGTACATGAAAATTTAGTCAATAATCTTTGTTTGACACCAAAGCAATCACATTGCCCAGCGGTGAGAAAGAAGCTTCTTCAAGAGCAATAAGGAGCTACATTATACTATACTTTTAAAATTCAAGCTATTTCTAAAATTTTATGGCATTAAATAAGCTAAAAGCATGTTTAATTAAATTAATACAGTCAAAACACATTTTGAATAACCTATTGTATAGGAGATGAGAATCCAAACAATTTGGCTAATTTTAAAATTCTCCTTGGGAATTGAATGATGATGAAGAAGAAATTCAACTCTGTAATTGAGTCAAGTGTCATTAAATAAACATCTAGGAATATATTTAAAAATCTTGAATCAAACATTTAAAAACTAATAATATAAATAGATAAAATGAAAAGAAGTAATGAAATGAGAGATAATTGGCCTTGGGATTAAAAAACATCAGAAATGGAGATTAAACTATAAGGTATCTATAAACAACAGATTTGAAAGTAAGTTCAATAAAGAGTACAAAATTAAAATGAGAAAACTATCATGAAAATAAAAATAAAATAAGAACTAAGTAAATGTGATCAAAATGATTAAAATAAGAGAAGTAAAAAAGATCCAAATTAACCACAGAGACCTTGAAAAAGGAAAAACAAAATAAAGTAAGGTAAGTAATATGTAAAACTATTATCTAAGAAAATTTTCTGTATATAAAATGGGAAATAAGTTTAATGAAATGGGTATATTTTTGTTCTATGCTGCATAATAAATTAGCATGAATTCAGCAACTTTAGGTTATCATCTCATAATTGCTACAGATCATGATTCTGGCTATGTCTTAGTGAGTCTTTAGCTCAGTATCTCAGAAGGCTGCAAAGTATCAGCTGAGCTGTGTTCTCTTCTGAAGGCTTGGCTAGGAGGGAAGTGCTGTTGGCAGAATTCATTTTCTTGCAGCTGTATTACTGAGTGCCCGGCTTCTTCATTGATATCAGTCTGAGACCACTGTCATGTCCTAGAGCCCACACACGGTTTTCTGCTACCTAACATTTCCACCAATATTTCAAAACATGGCAGTTTGCTTCCTTAAATATCAAAGGAAAGTAAGAAGAAATTTGCTAGGAAGATGCTATCTTATATAGCATAACAAAATCGTGGAAGCGACATGCGTTTGCTAAATTCAATTGGTTAGAAGAAAGTCACAGTTCCCTTCCATATTCAAGGAGATATAATTATGTATGAGCGTAAATATCAGAAGGCAGGGATCATTCATGGTCATCTTAAGATCTCTGTTACATAAGCCAATCAAGTTTAAAAGATTCAACCAGCAACAAACTAAAACAAGTTGAAAATCCCCGTTTTACTTTGCCTTCGTAATTTACAGTGTCTCCGTAAGAAAATGCTATTCAAACAACTGTAGAGTATAAATAAATCAAGAGTTACAACATGAAGTAAATTAAAAAATAAATTAAAGTGTAAAAAGAAAATGCATTGAAATTAAAAACCAAATTAGCAATAAAAATTCTCAACAAAAATTTTACAAAATAATTTTTAAAAGAAAGAAAAAAACTAAATATCAGCATATTGGAATATATTGGTTAATAGTTTTTATCTTTTTTCTAGTTATAACCAAAACTTCCATCTTCTTTGTATATTCTCTACTTTCAAATATTTTGTTAAGTAATACTTCATCTGTAAATATGTATTAAATATTTGCTGTTAATTACCGTATACCAGGCACTGTGGTAGGCATGCCTTCATGTCTTCAACTCTTAACAATATAATATCTTTATAAGCTGGAGCCCTCAATTTTTAACTGGAAGTACATTCCGCACTTACAAGTAAGTACAAATACAAATTCCGGAGAAGCAATCTAATACTTTGCTCTTTGTTTCCATTATACTCATACTCTTTGCCTCATTTGGTGATGATGATACTTGTTTCCTCTTTGTCTCCGCCATACTGCATTTTCTCAGGACTTGACTCCCCTTATTCATACTAGAATATCTGCTTCTAATTAACCTTTTATCTCTGCTCTCTGCTCTGGATTTGCCATATATCTAGAGCCACAGAAGAGAAGTTTCTCCATCTTGAATCACATGGGATCTTACTAGATGGACAAGCATCCCTGGTTGTCAATATGGGGGAAAGAAGATTAATGTCAGCCTGAGCACCAAACAGCCTAGCTCGGAAACATCTCCAATATATTTCTTTCTGCTTCAATCAACGTCACCTTCATTATCATCTCCCCCATCATCATCATGAATACCACTGAACGTTTGTCATGTAACTCCAAATATTCAGGACAAATTGAATGCTAAACACTTTGAGTACATTAAATTAAGTCAGATGATTATCTCTTGAAATTTTATTATCACCATTTTAGAACAACTGAACAACCCCACTTTCACAGAGGTTAAATGACTTGTCCAATATCTAGTTAATGTCAGAGCTAAAATTCAAGTACTAGTGTCTCTGTTTTTAAATCAGTTAACCACCGCACTCAACTGCCTCCAGTTACCAGTGTTTATTGAGTGTTTAGGGTGTATTACAACTTAAAACTGTATTTCTTTCAATATTTAGTTATAACAATCTTTTGCCACATACATTATTGATTTAAGAACATTAACTTCATTTTAGAACAGAGTTGATTTCTCAAAACTTTGTAGTAATAATTTCATTGATAAAAGTTAAAGTTATAGGGTTGTAGATAACAAAGTCACATAAAATCTCTTTGCCAGCTTTATTGAAAATAGATTAAATCTATATATAAAACCTCAAAATCCATGATTATGAAAACTGAGACAATTATTAAAAGGAGCTGCTTTTCTGTAATGAGAGGAGACTGCAAAGTGAGCAAAATAATTCAAAGATGTACACAAGTTGATGTTATAAATTAAACCAAATCTCTTTGACCTCTAAAATATAAAGAGCAAAAATGAAGACCTGTTGTTAAGCTCAGTGAAAGATCTCAGTAAACAATAAGATGAGAATGTACTCTGTGTCATATACATTCAACACAGGTGAGTCACATTACATGGACTGTTGATCTCCAACCTGCTACATCTCCTGGGTAAAGTAAGAGTTACCCCAGAACTAACTTTGAAATAACTCAAGATTTTACTCCCAAGAAAAATTTTCTAGTCCTTCAAAAGGAAAAAATAATATCAGAATAAGTTATACATGACAACTAAGCCTAACAATTACCAACATAACAGTTAATATGAAGGTTTTTGAAAACACAAAAGCTACGTATGTTCATCATGTACATACACACACACACACACACACACACACACACACACACACATCCAAAGAACACAGTGCATTCAATACTTTATGATTCATTGGTAGAGGAAGATCCCATTTATAAATTGATTTCAGTAGACTATGCATTTTATAAACTATATAACATATCATTGCCAAATCACTAGTTATGTATACAGTTGTGTTATTAGGAGTAAGAGGCTGATATAAAAAACAGAGATAGGCCAAACAGAAAAGGGGTATGGATCAGAGAAGATATACAGAAGTAAGCAAACAAGTTATTGTGTACCCATTTGATGTCCCTAAGGCCTGGAAGAGTGTAAGAATGAAGGAATAAGCGTTCTTGTACATATTGCATGCCAACATAAATGATGAACATCAGGGTGGCAATGCTTTTGTGTGGTCTTTGGTAATTGAACAGAGTGTTAAATATACTATATAGTATATACTATATGCTAATATACTATATAGAGTATATACTAATATGCTATTAATATACTATATAGTATATACTCTATATAGTATATTTAAGGTTCTCATTAAGCTCTGAAAGCCAAAAAAGGTAAAATTATAAATGAAATTATTTAATAATTGGGCTTGTGGAAAAATTTGATTTGGGAGCCTCTTTCTCAAGCCCTCCTTCATAGGTAGATGGCTCGGTTGTCTACTTCTCTGTATCCTCTAGCAGAATGTAATTAGATGATGAAAACATCTTTTTTTCACTTTATATATAATCTGGCAAATAATAATCATTCAATAAATGTTTACTTGTGAATAAGATTATGTCAACAGATGGTTACTGTCATAATATGGGTTTGCTATAGAACATTAGATTCTATATACTAATATTCAAGTTCAGTAAACTACATCTGAACATTTATGAGGCTGCCCACATGCAGAAGCATAGAATAGAATACACCCTCTCTGTGCATTCTGGCCTAGAATAGTGAAGCCCAGGAGACATGAGCTATGCACATCTATCTCTTCTTTCAGATTCTCTAATAGGTTAGGTTATTCTTCCTTCCTTAGGAAGAAATAGAGATTGGTAGAAAGCTAAGTCACAAGTATTCTCACTAAAGTCCCTCCTCCATGAGAATATAATATGAGGAAAATGGAGGATTTCCTCTAATTTTCGCCACTAGGTGTTGAGACAAAGCCAGAGTATGATGTGAGATCCACATGTGTGCTTTTACTTCTTTCTACCAAATTCTTCTTTAAAAACTTTTATTTTAATTTCAGGGGTACAAGTGCAGGTTTGTTACATAGGTAAACTTTTGTCATGGGGATTTATTGTACTGTAGGTTATTTCATCATCCAGGCATTAAGCCTAGTACCCATCAGTTATTTTTCCTTTTCTACTCCCTCCTTCCAACCTCCTCCCTCTGATAGGCCCCAGTGTGTGTTGTTCCCCTCTATTTGTCCATGAGTTCTCATCATTTATATCCCACTTATACATGAGAATATGCAGTATTTGGTTTTCTGTTTGGGTGTTAGTTTGCCAAGTATAGTGGCCTCCAGCTCCATCCATATTCCTGAAAAGAACATGATCTCACTTAATTCTATCATGCATTGAATGGAACAAATTGAAGAAAGCATAAGGTTCATGCATGATGTAACTTAAAAGAGAGGTATATTTATTTCAATTCCGATGTAGCAAATTGCTGAAACTAATACAACATTGCTGAAACAACTGTAAATTATCATCAGGATCATCAGGGTTAGCCCAACATCTGTCTACAGAGGGAAAACCTCAGCTACCTTTTTAAAACTTTTAAACAAAATATAGCATAAAGTCTTACATATTTTAGAGGTACAAAATATTTATTGGCTGTCTAATGAACTGATTCCATAATGACTTAAGAGACTAAGAAGCTATTGCTCTTAGCAGTGCCAATATATATAGTGTTTATAAGCTTACATGTCAAAAATAGGGATACATCACTAAGCACTAATCACTATGATTAACATAAGATCCCTCAACGGGGCAAAAAATAATTAAATGTTACAGTATATGCAAAAAAAAAATCCTGTGGATTTTAATATCAGTACAATTTAATTTCTTACCATCCATACACATATTTTCACCTCTCATAAAACTAGGAAAAATTACACATGTAGAAATAATTATAGTATTTAAACATTTATTTCTCAAATAACTCATACATTGTTAGTCTAGTCATCACACAACATGAAAACATATACAAACACCAACATACACATTCAAAATCACGGTAACCATCTTTAACCATAAATACAGTGAAAGATATTAAAACACTTGCAGTAAAGGAGGGAATGAAGTACAGACTCTAGCATGTCTAATCAAAATGCCACAAATGGCATTTAATTCATGTTTCAGACCCACAGAGCTCTACAAGGATATTTATCCTGGACACAGTAATTGATACCCTTCATACCTTCGTGACAGCATGCACTGTGACTCTGTTATACATCTGTATCATGTAAATATGTGCCCAGAATTTGTTCATTCTATTTTTCTTTTCATGAGGACCTAGAATGGTCCAGACTAGTATACCTCCTTATTGTTTCAGACATCAGAGTTGATACAAAATGTCCAGCGTGTGTGTATTTGAAATTTCACGTTATGCATGTGTAATTGATAAGTGAAGGGGAATGTGTGAAATGCATAATTTTCCTTAAAATGTTAAGCTTGCACAGCTGTTTTTGTCATCTTTTGTACAGGGATAAAAATCAGACATATTTTACATTGATAATATCATAAATGCCATGAAGTTTCAAAGATACAAATAGTCCACATATGAAAACACACATAAAATTTATAATAAAATAACTCCCTTTCAACATACAAAATTAATAAAATGATTGAACATATACAGAAAGGTAAGTGAACATATGGTACACTGTTTTTCATAAAGGAGTATAATCATATTATCTTCCCAATTTACATATTATGTTCATTTAAAATGAAGCCAGATTGAATCTTACTTTAGCGTTCTCTCGCTACTCTTCTTGATTTGAGGAAAAAAATCATATATATGTATAACTAAATTTAGAGGCTCCACAGGATAGTTAAAAATAATCTTTGCTCCTCAAAACTTTCAAAGAGAATTTCCCATAGCATCCATAGACTTGCAAATATTTTACCTTATTTTATTTATTGAAAAAATCTGCTGTGATAAACCAGTCATGCCATAAAATGGTTATAAAACTAGGTTTTTTGTTGTTGGTGGCAGGGGTGTTTCTAATCAATAAAAGGAAAATTACAGAAGAAAGAAAAATAGGAATACAGAAAGAGAGAATAGAGAAAAGAGCATAGGAAGAAGAGAAGGGATAGAGGGAGGAAGAAGTAAAGAAAAATAAGAAGGAAAAAGATTTTTGAGGTAGATTCATCAGTCATTATTTGTTTATTTGTTTATTTTCAACTTTTATTTTAGATTCAGGGCCACGTGTGCAGGTTTGTTATGTGGATATACTGCATAGGATGCAAGATTTGGGGTATGATTGATCCCATCACCCAGATAGTGAGCATAGTACCCAATTGTTAGTTTTTTCAATACTTGCTCTCCCCCTTCTTCCTCCCTCTAGTATTCTCCAGTGCCTATTGCTCCCATCTTTATGCCCATGAGTGCCTAATGTTTAGCTCCCACTTATAAGTGAGAACATGTGGTATTTGATTTTCTGTTTCTGGGCTAATTTGCTTAGGTTAATGGCCTCCAGCTGCATCTATGTTGCTGCAAAGGACATGATTTTATTCTTTTTTATGGCAGTGCAATATTCCATAAGGTATACATACCACGTATTCTTTAATCAGTTCACCATTGACAAGCAGCTAGATTGATTCCATGTCAATGTTATTGTGAATAGTGCTGTGATGAACATACAAGTTCCTGTGTCTTTTTGGTAGAACAATGTATTTCTTTTGAATATACATCCAGTAATGGGATTGCTGGGTCAAAAGCTAGTTATAAGTTCTTTAAGAGATCCAGGAGAAAATTTAATTCAAGACAGGAAAGAAAAGATCTTCTATTCTTATTTAAGGCCATTTATTTCTTTCAATATTTTTTCAATATTTTTATTTCAATATTTTATTATAAATTATCATTGGAAAATAAAATAACTATTTCTTATTCACAATAATATATTTTATTAGTAAGATCAAAATTAGGACATTCCTACAAGTCATTATCATTTTATCATTTACCAATTAAATTACAACTTATCTAATATTAATGGCTGCTCTGTTTTCAAACTCTCCACATAAACCATTAATGCAACCACTAAAACTGAAATGATAAAAGCCAGGAAATGTACAGTAATAATTGTATTACTTTAAAAATATTTTATTAAAGCTGGAACCATGTCACTGGCTCACAAGAATTGAAAAAATTTTATAACTTTACTTTTTAATTAAAAGTTTTAATATATGTAGAAACCATTTATTTGCATTTATTAATTTGCCTAGAATTTTAGCCATGTATGGATGACTGTATTTTCCCAAACTGGCTGTAACAATGACTTTTTACAATGTGTCCTAAATCCTGTTACCATATAGTGAGGAAACCCAAGCAGCCTGTAGAGAGGTCCTGTGAAGGGTAACCACTGAGGGAGCAGAGGCAGACTGCTCTAGAGCCCAGCCCAAACTGAAGATAATTGATCAAAATAAATGATCGTTATTTTAAGCCACTAAGATTTAGCATGGTTAGTTATGTAGAAATAGAGAACTAGAACTTCATTATACTCAAATGCTTTAGCCTCAATCACAATTAAATACATTTCTCAATCTGACTAGGAGACAAAAGGGGACCAAAGTTATGTTCACCTTGGAAATTATATTCAATAGAAAGGGGCTTTGAGCAATAACAAATTTCTGGGGAACTAGAAGAAAAATATATTACTATCAGTGGGATCAGCAAAGAAGGTGACTGTTAGAATTTTAGTATTAAAAAAGACCAGACATAATGGCAGAAGTGAGAAAAGACCCAGAACAGAAAGAATCATGAATAGCATTCATAATATTTTGAACTTTATTTTCTAAGCTATAAAATATACTTAAGGATTAGGTATGATAAATCATGAAGCTGAATGAAAATGACAAGACATACAGAACAAAATTAAAGGCAATATCAAAGATCTGGATGAGAAGTAAAGACAACCTAGAGAAAGCAATCACATAATATGAGGAATAACAGGTTGTACAGTGTAAAAATGGGTAAGAGCTTGAGGGGCAGAGTGGAGAATCACTACCCTATGACAGCTTGAGTGACCGTTTGCGTTATGATTGTCATTAACCAGAAGGATAAAATGGAGGAGGAGCATATTTGGAAAGAAAATACAGATTTGGCATCCCTAATCCAAAAATCCAAAATCTGAAATGCTCCAAAATCTGATGAGTGCTGACATGATGCCACAAGTGGAAAATTCCACATCTGACCTCATGTGACCTGTAACAGTCAAAACGCAGATGCACAACATACAGATTATTCAACATCCTCAAGGAAAAAATGCCTTCCCAGACCACTTCATCTGCAATATATCTTTTCCACGCCCGCCAATATTTTCCCACAAAGGGTAATAAAATGATCCATGTGCCGGCCGAAATGCCAATGGCAGGTGTCCCACCATGTCCCATGTGGGGCCAAGACTTACGCACATTTTTTCACTATGTTTGTTTTGCTTATTCTCTGCTCTGTGCTATAAAGGTGCTATTGAAAAATGTCAAAAAGATCTACAGATACCCCTATGAGTAATAATGATAAGAAAAAGAGAAAGCATTTATGTTTATAGTACAGAAAGTCAAGCTGTTGGAGAAACTAGACAGTGGTTTAAGTGTGAAACATCTTATAGTGGAGTATGGTGTTGGAATAACCACCATATATAACATGAAAAAACAGAAGAATAAACTGTTAGAATTCTGAGTTGAGAGTGATCATCATAAGTTAATTTAAAAATAGGAAAATATTACATAAAGCTAAAAATGAAGATCTTCAAAGTGTATTGAAAAAGTGGATCCATCAGCATCACAGTGAATACATGCCACTTAGTGATATGCTGGTCATGAAACAAACAAAGTTCTATCACAGTGAACTTAAAATTTAAGAGAACTGTGAATATTCAACAGGCTGCTTGCAGAAATTTAAGAAAATACACAACCTTAAATTGTTAACAACTTATAATGATAAAATATCTGCTGATCACAAAGCAGTGGCGAAATTCTTTGACAACTTTGCCAAAGTCATCCCTGGTGATATTCTGATGCCAGAACAAGTTTATAGCATGATGAAACATCACTACTTTGGCCTTATTGCCACAGAAAGACACTGACTATGGCTGATGAGAGAGCCCCTACAAGGGGCTTATACCAAGGATGGAATAACTGTCCTGGGATGTGCTAATGCATCAGGTATGCATAAAGTGTAAACTTGCTGTAATAGGCAAGAACTTGCATCCTTGCTATTTTAAAAAGTGTATTTCTTACCAGTCCATTACTATGCTAATGAAAAGGCATGGACCACCAGAAACATCTTTTCTGATTGGTTTCACAAACACTTTGTACCAGCAGCTTGGTTCACGCTCCCTGCAGGTAAGTTGAACAGGATGACAACTGCAATATTGTGTAATTCCTTGACAAATGTTCTGCTCATCCTTCAGCTGAAATTCTCATCAAAAATAATTGTTATGTCATGTACTTTCCCCTAAATATGACTTTATTAATTTAGCCATATGATGAGGGTATCCTTTGATCAATTAGGAGTAAATATAAAAACACTTCATTAAACAGCATCCTAGCAGCAGTGAATAAAGGCATGGGCATGGAAATTTTTCAAAAGGAGTTTAGCCCGATGCATGCAATATTGCTGCTGTAAATGCTCGGAACACAGTTTCTAAAGACACAGTTAGTTATGCATGCATGCCTGGCACAACCTCTGACCTCTTACTATGACCAGTGATGATGATAAACAAGGTGATGACTCTAAAGGATTCTGTGTCAACTGAGAAAAAAATGATGTCTGATCTCCTTATATATGTAAAAAATATATACCATCAGAGTCCATCAGTAGGCCAGAAGAATTGGATATAAGAAGATTTTAACATCAATAATAAGGACTTAATTGTTCATTCATTGGCCATTGGTGAAATAGACAAAATGGTTCTGATTCAAGGTGATTGTGATAATAGTGGCAACGAAGATGACGTTGCTAAAATTGCAGAAAAAGTGCCTGTAGACCATATTTATTCTTTTTTAAAACAAAAATTGTCACCAGACTACAACAAATTATGTTTCAAGTATTGAGGTAAAAGAATTGTGAACCTACAGTTTAATATCAGTTAAATTTTCATTAAAAAATGAGGTCTACAAAACAGTGTTTTCTGTCAGAGTGAGATAATTTGACACATGCCTCTCTTAAACTGATATATCCATATTATCAGAACAGATTATAAATATTAATAATAATATAAAATTTGGGGAATAAAGACTTTGATCTGTGTATTAAAAGACCACAAACATTAATAGGATGATCAACAATAATGCATATTCTAATATCACTAGATTTCCAAGTTAAGAAAATCCTTGGGGCATCTGAGCAAAATGGTCAAATTATTCAAAGAAAAAATACATTCGTCTCAGATTCTCCACAGCAAAATTTAATTCTAGCACATATTTAAGAAATATCTAGAAGTCTTCAGAAAGAAACAGTTGATCTTAGAATATCTGGAGCTCAGTCTAACATTTTTCAATTAAAAAAGAAAGATAAACACTTTTGAAGACTCAGTAACTGAGAATACATTTTCAAGGTATTCAGAGAGACCTTTAGAAAATAAAATTCATACTGACTTTTTTAAATTCTATTGAAATAGTGTCTTCCTGCCAATTACATATTCAGTTGTTTGCTGTTAGGGCAGAGATGCTACTGATTTTCATATATTAATCTTATATTCATTTTTTGAGTAAGAAGATTTATTATTATGAATATATTGTTTCCAAATGAATCTATAGTCTCAACAAAACACCACTGTAATCTGCAAAAAAAAAAAAGTTTGTTGAATTTAACAAGAGTATTTTAAAATATACATGGAAGAATAAGGGGCAAGTATAGCTACAATGTTTCTGAAGGACAAGTGACTTCCCCTAAACAGATAAAAGGACTTATTGTGAAGCCACAGTGATAGCAATAGCAATTGGTACTGTGCAACACTGAACAAGAGGAGATATCTATATCTATATCTATAAATAGATATATCTATAAATAGATATATCTATATCTATAAATACATATCCCCTTGTTCAGATATATATATATATCTCCCATATATATATATATATATCTCCCATATATATATATATATCTCCCCTATATATATATATATATCTCCCATATATATATATATATATGAAATATATATATATATGAAATATATATATATGAATAGGGAACTCAGAAAAATATGAATCAGGAACTCAGAAAAAGACCCACATATGTATGGGACTTCATATGTAAAAATGGCAGCCTGTCACATCAGTGTGAGACGGGTGATAATAAATGGAGCTGCAAAAATATATTCGCTATGAGAATTATTAAATTCCAAAAAAAAAGAGTCAACAAATTAACTCTGTAGATTAGGGATTTATATATTCTTTTTAAAACATTTAAAAATTCTTAAGGAAAATATATAGGTAAATATCTTTTAGACATTGTAATAGAGAAAGTTTTGGGTTTGTTGTTGTTATTGTTATTGGTTGTCTTGCTCTGTCACCAGGCTGGAGTGCAGTGGTGCAATCTCCGTTCACTGCAACCTCCTCCACCTCTAGGGTTCCAGTGAGTTTCCTGCCTCAGCCTCCCGAGTAGCTGGGACTACAGCACGTGACACCATGCCTGGCTAATTTTTGTATGTTTGTAGAGGTGGGGTTTTGTCATGTTTGCCAGGCTGGTCTTGAACTCCTGGCTGCAAGTGATCTGCCCACCTCTGCTTCCCAAAGTGTTGGGATTACAGGTGTGAGCCACCATGCCCAGCTGAAAAATATTTCTTAAACAAGGAGCAAAAGCATGACCATACAATAAAGTGTTACTGTGTGTTTAACAATATTTTAAAAAACTTTTCTCTTGGCTCTGGGTAAAACTTTTTCTATAGCCTCATGGGAACCTCCTATGACTTAAGAGGATAGTGCCCTGTGAGACCACCTAAGAGAGTGGGAATAGAAATCATCCCAATGGTGCTCATTCTTCCCAGAAGGAGAACAGTTGAGATTAGAATCCTGGGATCTGGGGAATTTACCAGTCAGTTATTTAGGAAAAACAAGCAGAATATTGGTGAGAAGGAGTGTGAGGGAAGAGGTATGTGATGCACCACTTACAATGGAATCAGAATGTGAGAACATTAAGTAGCAGCTCATAATGTTCTGTAACTCTTCCTCAGCTCCTAAGTCCTCCAAAGTTCTGTAACTGGCTCACTATCTGGTAACAGATGGGTTATACCAGACATCTTTCATCATGCAGAAATAATATTTTTTCCTTATTCCATTAATCAGTTACTATCTGCCATAATACTCCTCTAACACCTGGGAATTCCACAGTGAATAGAATGGAAAAGGTAAATACTCACATGAAATTTACATTCCAGTAAAGAGTCAGATAACCTAATAGAAAAAATAATTTATAAAATTTAGACTTACAGTAATGCCAAGAATAATTTTATTTTATTTTAAATAATTTAATTTTCACCGCACTGGTACAGCTAAGAAGAATTTCAGACTGAGAATAAATGTCAACTGTGGATTTGGATCTTCTTTCCTTGCTCTCCCTTACTCCATCAGCATGGATTGTCTTGGTCTTCCACCCATCATTATATTAAACTCAGCAACTCACTTCACAGAGAAGTTCATAAGAGAATGGCTAAGGGGAAAATCATACAGCCATTATCACTGAAAGTTTCATAGCAAATGACTAAAGCAATCATTATTCAAAAGCTGCTGGCCTTATAGAAAAGTAAAATGGCTTGTTGAAAATCGAGGCTTGGAATCAAGGAGGGGACTTCCCTTGAGAGCTTATGAGGCCATCTTCAGCGTAAGGATGCGCTCTGACCAGCACCCCATATATAGTACTTTTTTGCATTGACAAAATACTCAGTTCTGAGAACGGAAAGAGCCTACTTGCCCTACATAGCTTTGAAAACCTAAAACCCAAGCCTTTAAATTTCTGCTGTAGTCAAATGCCTTTGGTACAAAAGTGGTTTTAGTGCTTACTTAGTATTATGGCCTGAACTTTTCTTTGTATTTTTAATTCTGATCCCTAGGCATTTTCCTTAAAGTTCTGGAATCACAGCTATTTATACTATTTACATAAAAGAAGGTTTATTTTATTCGACACTTTGATGTGTTATTAGTAGGAAGGATTCTTGAGACTACATTCTCAATATTTCAAGAAGCAAACATTCTAAATTTGTACAATGTCAGCATGAAATTATAATATTAAAAGAGAAGTAATAGACCTTCCCTAAAGACATTGTTAGTTGTATTGAAAGAACTAGGTATTACTCATTTGAAGAAAGGAAAGAATGTCTTTTTGGTTTTATATGAGATACTTACATTATGTTGGCTGGAATATTTAAAACATGAATAATCAAGTAATTGCTAATTAAGATCAGATAACATTTTTGTATTATTAAGTTGGATAGCTAAAAATAATGCTATATCCAGTACCAGGACAGGATCAGAAAAATGGCATTCATGAGGAGAGTTGAAACTCCCCAAAAATGTAGGAAAATAAATTGTAAATCTGTATGAAAAACCTAGAAATGTGTCCTAAAAAAATCCTCTGATATTTCCAACTAGAATTGCTACAAAAATATCTTAACTTATATGTTATTTGTAAGAGGAAATCTGGAAATTAATTCATTATTCACCCAGTAAATATTTTTTGAGTTTCTGCCATGAGTCAGAGATATATAGGCAGACCCTGAGATATGTAGCAGTGAACAAAAAAATGATGCTCCTGGTCTCTAGAAACTGACAAATAAAGTTGTGGGGGTGGGGACAGAAAAAGAAACAAACAAATTGGTATATGTGATGCTATCAGCACTATAAAAAAGGGTGCTACTCCACATAGGGTGGTCAGAAAAGATATCTCGGGTAAAATGATATTGGAGAAGAATCCTGAACAAGGTTGCAGGCTTCTCCCTTTGGGCAGCAGTGAGAATAGCTGTGCTGTTTTGGTTTGATTGGCAGTGAGGTAGCCCATATGCTCAACCAGTATTGAGACAAAACAATATCAAGTTTCCTATAGTCTGGCACAGTGGACAGTGGCTTTAGAATCCAGCCTCAAGAAGGAGTCAGAATCTCCATCTTACTAAGAATTGATGGGATTGATCAAGAAAGTCATCTTTCTTGAGGTTTTTGCAAATATTTGAGTATAGGGATGGTGGGGGGAAGGTGACCAATATGGGAAAGACATCATTTCAATGCCAGGACTGTAGTCTCTAATTTCAGTTTAAATGAGAGACATTTAATCCTGTCCCAGCCCCCAGCTGTGTGAACTGCTGACTTCAGTTCTAGCCAAAATGTCCTGCTATTCAACTAACCAGGAAAGTTAAAGACTACTTAGAATACTATAACATTGACAACAGACAGATTTAGTTATTTTGGAAGCCCATCAGTACAACAAATAAGCCCTAAACCTAATATCACTATATATATCCCGGTATAGACAATACACTTTTCAATGTTGCTATATTGCTGTATACCTTTAAATGAGGGAACTTAACACATTTCATTTGTTGCTGGTTGCTTTTCTATTTCTTTTTTTCCTTCTCTACCCATTCATACAAATTACCCTTTCTAAGATGTACTTGTTTTTAAATTTCTCCGTCTGAGGCATTTTTTTTTTAGATTTGCTAAAAGGCATTATTTTGCTCTCTGTATGGCTAATAGATACTTGAACACTTGCAGTACACAAAATCCCAGAAACACACATTCAGAAAGTTCTAAAGTCAAGGATTTCAAAAACAAAATGAAAACACTGAAATACCAAATTTCAACAGATAGATGTATTGAATCCTGGTTATTACTCTGATTCAGTACAATAAATACCCTCTACAGGGGATATTGAAAGATAATGAAGAGCTTTTGAAATCCCATATCTTGTGAAGTGTTATATTTTTACACTCAGAAAATTCACACTTTTTTTCTGAAATATTAGAAAAAACCCCTTTCTCTCTTAATGAGCTCTGCTAGCAAATTTCCTACCAGATGAACTGTTTGGAGAAATAAATCTCTAAAGTTTGGAAATGGAAAATTTAATCTGGTACACTGGCTCTTTTTCTAATAGAATATTGTATCCAGCAGTCTCAAAATACTCCTTCCCCTGTCCCTCCCTGCACTGTGGTTCAAAAGCACATGGCCCCCTTTGAGTTTTTTAATAATCAAAAGCTAGATATAAAGGAAGAAAAAAGAAACAAGACTATTCTGCTGAAATTTTTTAATGAGCTTAAGATTTTATAATATACTATTGATAAAAGAAGATTGTATTGTTGTTGTTATTTAAAATAAAAAAGACCCTCTTTCCCTGCTGACTGTACAAAAAAGTCTCTCTGAAGCATCACACTCTTTTCCTGCTGACTGTACAAAGGAATCTTTCTGAAGCATCACACAACCAGAAGGGTGCCATCTTAGTCACCTCAGTCAGCCACATGAGTTCCGTCACCATCTGATTCTTTTTCCTCCTTCCTCAAGTTTTTCAAACAATGTCTGGGGATCAAAGGTAATATAAATCCACACAAAAATTACCATATATATATTATATATATATATATATATATATATATATATATATATATAGTGAGAAATGTGCTATTCCCAACTCTGCAAGGATTCCTAAAAGACAGAGTATAACCAGGTTACCATCTCTATAAAACTTCCCCTGCAGAGGGGAGCTTTCTTTCTACTTTTCACACCACAATGAAAGAGGAAGAAACAAAGTATCTGAGGACATGATTTCTAGTCATAAGATGTGAAGACATCCTATTATTTTCTCTCCTACTGAGCTTGGTAACAATCTGGATTGCTTTATTAGCTACTGTTATTCCAATAAAAGTAATTAAAACAATCACCCTGGCGAAACTTTCCTAACGAAAATATAAGCCTCACTTGGCATTTGACTGTGAATTGAAGAGTCTTTACTCATCCAGGCTCCTTAGATATTATTATTAGTTGGCTTAAATGACTATAAACTCCCATTTTTAAATCCAGACTTGTCTAATAAATACAAGTCATTAGAATGGTATATATCTAAAAAGATTTTCTTCGGGAATTTTAAAAGCCACCTTAGTCATTTATGTCTATAAATGCAATTCTTTTTAAAATGGGAAAAGTTATTATATAATAAGATATTCATAAGCATAATCATCTCAATAATCTTAGAATTCACAAATGATTTATACAGCAATCCTGTGGGAAAGGCACAGTAGCATCATTTTGTCCATATTGTGAAAGTATGTGACCCTACAGGTAGAAAGGGCCAAAGTCAGTCTAAAACCCATGTCTTCTTTGTGTAAGTATGGCTTTTGCCAAAAAAAATCTTTCTTGAGACCTGTTAAATATCAAAAAGTCTTATGAAGTACAATAACAAATTTTTCATTGGAGGGCTCTAAAAATGAGATTAAGTCTCATTTATTATTGGGTTAAACTTAAAGTAGGTGTGGGCAGAGGTGGACAGGTAGGTGTGATGGTAAATTTCATGTGGCAACTTGATTGGGCTCAAGAATGCCCACATAGGTGATAAAGCATTATTTCTCGGTGTGTCTGTGATGGTGTTTCTGGAAAAGATTAGCGTTGGAATCAGCAGACTGAGTAAACAACATCCGCCCTTCATCCGTGTGGGTGGGCATCATCCAGTCTGTTCAGGGCCTGAATAGAACAAAAAGGCAGAAGAAGGGTGAATTCACTCTTTGAGCTGTGATACCCATCTTCTTCAACCTTAGACCTCTGTGCTTATAGTTGTGTAGCCACCAGACTAGTACTGAATTACATCACTAGAATTCCTGGTTCTTCAGCTTACAGGCTGAATATTGTGTGACTTCTCAGCCTCCATAATTGCCTTCATCAATTCCTATAATAAACATATCTCTATCTCTATTTATCTATACATCTATCTACCCATCTATCTGTATCCTATTGGTTCTATTTCTTTGAGGAGCCCCAAATAATATGATGAAGGAAATTTTAAAAAATAGAGAAGCTTCCTTTCAGTCCAGAAAGAAATATTTATTTTGACTATTTTCAAATAGAGCTGAAAGAAAATTAAGTCGAATTGATAAAACAGTCACAGAAGTCCAAAAACCAAACAATATCAAAATTCTTAAGTAGAGAAGAAAGAGAATGTGTTCTTGAATAAAGTGCTAATTTAAAGCAAAGACTAGATTGCCTCATGTTAATGGAGCCAACCTTATTTGTGAAATTATGCATTTATTTCAATAAAATTGAGTATGTTTTTCATAAACATTTGTAACATTCATTTAAAATCATTGAAACAAGAACATTTTGTCAGTACACCTCTCATTTTCTTATAGATCAGATATTAACTTGCTGGTTTTGTAAAAAAAAGTGACATATAAAATACTTGGTCAATAAATACTAAATATAATTCAGGAAAAAGTATACTTTTTTCAGGTAGCATAGTACAAATAACATACTTAAATAATTTTGACACCTTCTAATGAGTTCTTTAATTCCCATGGTGACACTGCCAAAAGCTTTGGCAGAGAAACATCAGTTTCTAGGACGTTATTACTTATTGGAAAAGTTTTCCAAATGTTATTGATTACATCAGTGTAATTACATTCAACAAACATTTATTGAATACGAACTATGCTAAGACCTAAGAATATAAGTAGGAATCTTCATCACTGTTAGTAATTATCACTGATGTTTAATTAGCAATTATTTTACACCTACAAGTTGTTTAATAACTTCTTTCTTCAATCAGTTTAGAATTATGATCAAGAATACGTGAGTCTGCAACCAAGTTTTAGTATCATAGGATACTACATTAAAGGCTCCATGTTCCCTCTCTTAACTCTCTGGCGAAGTCCACCTGAGCCCTCCCACTGGATGCGGACCCAACTGTGTCCAGAATTGGTTCCTTCCAGTGGGTTCTTGGTCTCGCTGACTTCAGGAATGAAGCCGTGGACCCTCGCGGTGAGTGTTACAGTTCTTAAAGATGGTATGTCCAGAGTTTGTTCTTTCAGATGTTCAGATGTGTCCGGAGTTTATTCCTTCTGGTGGGTTCGTGGTCTTCCTGACTTCAGGAGTAAAGCCGCAGACCTTCACAGTGAGCATTACAGCTCTTAAAGGTGGTGAGTCCAGAGTTGTTCATTCCTCCCTGTAGGTTCGTGGTCTCGCTGACTTTAGGAGTGAAGCCACAGACCTTCACAGTGAGTGTTACAGCCCATAAAGGTAGTGCAGACCCAACGAGTGAGCAGCAGCAAGATTGACTGTGAAGAGCAAAAGAACAGAGCCTCCACAGGGTGGAAGGGGACCCAAGCGGGTTGCCACGCCTGGCTCCGGCTTTTATTTTATTCCCTTATTTGGCCCCACCCATGTCTTGCTGATTGGTCCATTTTACAGAGCGCTGATTGGTCCATTTTACAGAGTGCTGATTGGTCCGTTTTTACAGAGGGCTGATTGGTGTGTTTACAATCCTTTAGCTACACACAGAGTGCTGACTGGTGCGTTTTTACAGAGTACTGATTGGTGCATTTACAAACCTTTAGCTAGACACAGAGCACTGATTAGTGAGTTCTTACAGAGTGCTGACTGGTGTGCTTACAAATCTTTAGCTAGACAGAAAAGTTCTCCAAGTCCAGGAAGTTCTCGACCCAGGAAGTCCAGCTGGCTTCATCTCTCACAACTATTGTGGCCATGCATCCTGGGCCTGTTCTGCCAGCCCTGTCTGCTCCATACAGGTGGCTCCCTGGTGTGACCGGGAAGACTCTGAGGCCCCTGCAGCCAGTGCTGGGCCCTCAGTCCCTCCCAGGCCCCGACTCACCCTCCTTGTGGTCCCTGGGACCCTGGAGCCCAGCCTGGATCACCCTGTCAGGGACTGGGGTGTACCAGCAAGTCTGTGTAGATTTTCATATTTAAAATACAAGTTCAGACCAGAGGATCACCATGGTGGTCTGGAGGCAGGACTAGATTGCAGCTCCCACTAGAACAGATAGAGCAGTGTGCAGAGGCTCATGTGGTAGATTTTAGCTGCAGAATGACTACAAGAATAAATCAGGAATCCCAAGAGGACCTATACACCCTATGAAGGAAGTAGCTGCTCCTGCAGGACCCAGGAGACACCCCAAATACTGTGCTGGTATCCATGGCTGAGAGATCCATAGATGGTTCACATCACAGGACTCCATGCAGACAACCCCCAGTACCAGCCTGGAGCCTGGTAGACTTGCTGGGTGGCTAGACCCAGAAGAGAGATAACAATCTCTATAGCTTGGCTCTCAGGAAGCCACATCTATAGGAAAAGAGGAAGAGTACTATATCAAGGGAACACCCCATGGGACAAAAGAATCTGACCAACAGCCTTCAGCCCTAGACCTTCCCTCTGACAGAGCCTACCCAAATGAGAAGGAACCAGAAAACCAACTCTGGTAATATGAC
The DNA here is from genome assembly GCF_000001405.40 of Homo sapiens. Taxonomy (NCBI): domain Eukaryota; kingdom Metazoa; phylum Chordata; class Mammalia; order Primates; family Hominidae; genus Homo; species Homo sapiens. The sequence goes on from NC_000008.11 coordinate 78,330,347, forward strand.
AAAACTAGGCTATTTAACACCCCAAAAAAATCACACTAGCTCACCAGCAATGAGTCCAAACCAAGAACAAATCCCTGATTCACCTGAAAAAGAATTCAGGAGGTTAGTTATTAAGCTAATTAGGGCGGCATCAGAGAAAGGTGAAGCCCAATGTAAGGAAATCCAAAAAACTGTGCAAGAAGTGAAGGGAAAAATATTCAAGGAAATAGATAGATAAAGAAAAAACAATCAAAACTTCAGGAAACATTGGACACACTTATGGAAATGCAAAATGCTCTGGAAAGTCTGAGCAATAGAATTGAACAAGTAGAACAAAGAAATTCAGAGCTCAAAGACAAGGTTGAATTAACCCAATACAAAAAAGACAAAAAAAGAATATGAAAATATGAACAAAGCCTCCAAGAAGTCTGGGATTATGTTAAACAACCAAACCTAAGAATAATTGGTGTTCCTGAGGAAGAAGAGAAATCTAGATGTTTGGAAAACATTTTGTGGGGAATAATTGAGTAAAACTTCCCCAGCCTTGTTAGAGACCTAGACATCCAAATACAAGAAGCACAAAGAACACCTGGGAAAGTCACTGCAAAAAGATCACTGCCTAGGCACATTGTCATCAAGTTATCTAAAGTCAAGATGAAGAAAAGAATCTTAGGAGCTATAAGATGCAAGCACCAGCTAACCTATAAAGGAAAACCTATCAGATCAACAGCAGATTTACCAGCAGAAACCCTACAAGTTAGAAGGGATAAAAGCCGTATCTTCATCCTCCTCAAATAAAACAATTATCAGCCAATAATTTTGTATCCAGTGAAACTAAGCCTAATATATGAAGGAAAAATACAGTCTTTTTCAGACAAACAAATGCTGAGAAAGTTCACCACTATAAAGCCACCACTACAAGAACTGCTAGAAGGAGCTCTAAATCTCAGAACAAATCCTGGAAACACATCAAAACAGAACCTCTTTAAGTCATAAATATCACAGGACCTATAAAATAAAAATAAAATTTAAAAAGCAAAAACAAAAAAACAAAAAACCAAGATACATAGGCAACAAATAACATGATGAATAAATGGTACGTCACATCTCAATACTAACATTGAATGTAAATGGCCTAAATGCTCCACTTAAAAGATACAAAACTGCAAAATGGATAAGAGTTCACCAACCGTCTGCTGCCTTGGAGACTCACCTAACACACGAGGACTCACATAAACTTAAAGTAAAGGGGTGGAAAAAGGCATTTCATGCAAATGGACACCAAAAGCAACCAGGGCTAGCTATTCTTATATCAGACAAAACAAGCTTTAAACCAACAGCAGTTAAAAAAGACAAAGAGGGACATTATATAATGGTAAAAAGCCTTGTCCAACAGGAAAATATGACAATCCTAAACATATATGCACCTAACACTGGAGGTCCCAAATTTAGTATCATAGGATACTACATAAATGAAAATTATTTATGTTCTTTCGTGTTATGTGCTGATAATTTATAAAATGATTTTGGTACACAAACTATTCAAAACTAGATATCCTCAACTGCAAAAATATGTAAATGAACATAAATAGTTCCTCTTGCATACCATATTCAACTTATGTGAATCTGTATAAGCTACAAAATATGCATTAGTTTAAGGTTAGTCATTCATAGTATAGGTGTTTTTTTGGTTTTGTTTTGTTTTTTTGTATTTGGGAAGAGGAAGGCAGACCAAGCTGAATCTTTCTTTTTTTTTTTTTTTAAAGACCTTTCTACCTGACCAAGAAAAATAAAACATTTTCCTAATTGAAAATAAAAAGAAAAATTGCGGGGGGAATGGGGTTGGGAATATTGTCATATAGAGAGAGAAAATTATGAACAAAAGACCAGAGATAGAATAAGCTAACAAGATAATGTAACAAAACTACTTAATGAGTGACTAAGAGCCAATTTGCAATGGTGGAAATGTTCTGTATCTGTGTTTTTCAATTGCCATTGACTATATGTGGCTATTGAGAAATTAAAATTTAAGGACACTGAATAACTAAATTTTTAATTTTACTTAATTTTTATCAATTATATTTTAGATTTCAAAGTTAACATTCTATTCAGTTATTATAAAACATTTAGATAGGCTTGCATAAACTTGGATGTGGACATCCATGTTTTCAACTATGTATTTCACAAAATCTAAATATAGATGAAAAGCTTCAGTGAAAATGTAGTACTTAACTTGAGATGTGTTGTAATTGTAAAATACTTAAATTTCAAAGACAATATTGTAAAACAAAATGTAAAAGATCATTAATATTTGTATATTTATTACATGTTTAAATGATAATATCTTGGATGTATTATGTTAAATAAAATTATCAAAATTAATTTTAACTATTTTTTAATGTGCCTACTAGAAAATTTAAAACTTACAATGTGGCTTACATTATATTCCTTTTGCACAATGCTGACCTAGAGCATTTTCTTCTCTATGAAATGACATCTAACAGGCACTCGCTTTCTAGTTCCCTCTCATAATCTTTCTCTTGACTTCCTTTCTTTAGGATAAAAAATGTCCTACCTTATCTCTGTGATCTCATCCTCTTATCTTCCTTTCATCTAGGCCAAAAAAATCACTACTATGGTTGTAAAATTGCTTATTTGCCCTTCTTTCAAATGATTAATACCTGTAAATACCTAAGTTTGGAGAAATTCATAGTTGAGCATCTTAATCTTTGAGATAGTCACATACTCTTTTGAGAATCAAAGAAAAGCTATGGATTTTGTCTTAGTATAAGATACACAAATGTATAAACCTTTATAGTATGTACAAAGCTCAGTCCCTAAATGTTTGTAAGAAATAAAAAAAATTCTTCCTGGTTTTCTAAATAATCTTAATTTTATTTTACAACTTCATACCTCCCAAGTATCAAAAACTAACTCAGTTATGTCAGTATTCTTTCTTCCCACCATTTCTGTTACATTGGCATTCTAGAGGGAAAAATAAAATGCGAAGTTTTTGGAACAGATGTGTTTTACCCTCAGTGTTATCTGTTACAAAGGTATTTTCTAAGATGTCCATGTGTGCATCCACACCCCAGGTATCAGTCAACTAATCAATACTGTGTTGTTCCAGGTTGCTATCTGCAAAGCCCCTTTCAGGCTGCACTCTGAGGCTGTTTTCCCTCAGTTGACTCTGTGACATTTATAGTCACTACAGCTTTCTGAAGCACATGGGCCATCCAGGGCTTGTAAGAAATTCTGTGTAACTGTCTGTGGTCTTTTGCTACCTAGGCACATTACACGTTTTTTTATTTATATACATCTGGAATATCACTGTCCACTACACAACAGGATTCAAATTCTGACTTCACTACTTACTAGCTATGTGACTTTGGACAGATTAATTAACTTCTCTGTCCAATGTTTATTCATCCTTATAAGAGAATAACAATAGTATATGCCTCATAAGCTGGTTCTAAGGATTTAGAGAGTTAAAAACTTATAAAGCTTATGGAGCTGTGTCCTATACATTGTAAACTCTCAGTAACTTAGCTGTCACATTTTGGTTACTGTTAAATTACATAGAGTAATAAGTGATTTTTGAATGTTTGAGATTTCTGGGGAAAAATATTTGTTTGTTTAATCCTAGTTTAAGAGGTATAGCTTAGACTCATCTATGATACACAGAATAAGAATTAATTCTGCCTGTGATAACTTTATGTCAAGACAAATGTGATCAGCTAGTATCTCACCCATGCGATGTCTTAGTGCATTTAGTGTTGCTATAACAGGATATTGAGATAAGGTAAGTTATAAAGAAAAGAGGTTAATTTCATTCACAGTTCTTCAGGCTAGGATGTTCAAGGACAAGGCTCTGGTTTCTGTTGAGGGTTTTTGTGCTGCATTTTAACATGGTGGAGAAGGCCAAAGGAGAAGTAAGCCTGTGCTAAGAGACAAAACCAGAGCAGTATACTGACTTTATAAAAACCCATTCTTGTGGGAACTAATCCATTCCCATGAGAACTAGCATAGTCTCTCCTTAACAACAACTCACTCACTACCAGAAGAATGGTACCAAGCCATTCATGGGGAATCTGCCCCCATGGCCAAAACACTTCCCACTAGGCCCCGCCTCCCAGCACCACCACACTGGGAATCAAATTTCAACATTAGTTTTAATAGGGACAAACACACATATACACATATATACTATATATATAATATATATACATATATAAATACATATAATATATATACATATATAAAATATATATAATATATACAGATATACACATAAATTATATATATAAACACATCAGCAGCCACCATCCTACCTAATGTAAGTCATAATAACAAGATTTATTATCTTTCGTCTTCCTGTGGAAAATCTCTGTGGCTCTATTATCTGCTTTACCTTTTGTGTCAGCCACTATAGGTGACCTGACTAAACTTCTATTTCAGTCTCTTTATCCCTTGCCTAATTCCATTATAAGAATTTAAAAGCTAATAAATCACCAGTTTTCCTTTCAGGGAGAGGATAAGCCATGCAACACAGTACAGAACAGTAAGATGTAAGCAGGACTCCATGTTCTGTTAGATTTTTCCACTTGAAAGAGAAACAATTGAAAGGATTCAGAGTTAGTATCAATTCCATGACCATAAGGGAGAAGCCTTCTCATTTCTCAAGAAATTCGTTTTTGAAAAAAATGAGGTATTGGCAGGAAAAACATTCCAGAAAGAAACATTAGCATGTGCAGTTGACGTGGGGCAGGAAAAATCATTGGGATAAAAGCAAAATCTTCCTATCCTCCAAATTCGAGAAAGGAAAAGACTGATTATCCTTTGGCTAAAGCCCCATACTGAGCTATGAACTACCAGATCTGGCTTTAAATTTGTCCCATTTCACCTGTAACCATGCAATTATTTCAATAACCACACCTCTGAATGCCAACCAATCTGCGACACTTTTCTGACACTTAGTCTATCAGCAAAAGCCTCACTCCAGTGCTTACACTTCTGAAAGTCATTGAGCTACAGCCATATTCAGAAACCACGCTCGCACATCTGACAGCCAGCCAATTCCTAAACTTTTTGGACCTACAAATTCTCCACCTCCAGAACTCCTTGATTTCTAAAACCCCATATAAGATAACCATTATGAGAGACAACATGCTTTGAAATTACTTGGCAAGAAATGTTATGTTTTCTTTCTTTTTGTTGTTGTTATTGAGTGGTATCTGTTATTTTGGTAGTTGCTATGAAGAACTAATAGAAGCCAGAAAGAGGTCCCAAGGAAAAGATGAAAGATAAACCTGGAGAATCACCGGCAGCCAGATAATAAAAGACCATCTAGGCTATGTTTTATAACTTTTAGCTATGTATCAAGATTAATGAGAAGCCATTGAAGGATTGCCAGGTGATGTGGCAGGGACTGTTATGATAAAATTTACATTTATATAATCTTATTTTAGCTTCAGAGTAGATATAGAATTGTGAACATTCAGTGGGGGTACTTCTACAAATAAATCATGTATCTATTTAGGAAAGGTTGCTGGCAGCTTGGATTATTGAGATACTGGTAGTGATGCAGAAAATTTATCACATTTGAGAGTTAGTTACAAAGTACAATTAAAAGGACTTACAGATAAATTAGAGAAGTGATATGAGGGAGAGCAAAGTATTAGGGATAAATCCTTGTTTTTGGACTTTGGTGAAAAAATGGAGTGCAGGCCATTCACCAAGTGTAGGGTCAACAGAAAAGAATCAGTTTGGGAGTGGTGAAAGATTATGGATGCATTTTGAATATAATGAGTTTGAGGTGCCTTTGAGTATTTAAGAGAAGATTTCGAGGCGGTCATGGAATGCATGAGTCTGGACTTCAAATAAGAGACATAGGCTGAGAATATACATGTAGAGTCTTCTATCTTGAGGAACTCCATACATTCCTGGCTTTAGAAAAAAGATGAATCTGTCAAGGAGCTACAGAAGAGATAGCAGGAATTGTCAGGAGAAGGAGAAAAATAGAGTTTGTTGTCGTGGAAGCCAAATACAGAATCTTTCAAGAAGAAAGGAAGTCAATGATGTTAAATGCTGCTGAGAGGTCATATAAAGTGACACCTGCAAAAATGGCCCAAGGAATGAGTGATCTGGAGGTCACTGGTGGCCTGAGCCAGAATTCTTCTGCTGAAGTGATATGAAAAGAAGCCGGATTGGAGATAATTAAGTAAGGAGTGGGAGGTTATGAAATGGAAATGAAAAACACAAGGGTAACCAATCTTCTTCACACATTTCATTGCTAAGAACAAGAACTGTCTAGGGAGACAGCTGAAAAAGGAAACGGTTTTTTTTGGATGGGGGTGTTTTGTTTCTAAGGAGAAACTTCCAGTGTATTAAAAAGCATTAAACTTGCCTTTTTGATAAATTTTTTACTTTTTCTTAACAATTATATTATAGCCAATTCTCATATAAATAATTTTATATAGATTCCCCAAAGAGATACATTATAGACTCCAATTTAACCTGAAGCAGCTCATGTCCAATTAGAATTGTAATAAAAAAGTAGACAGTTCTATTTTTTGCGTCTTAGTCTATTTTAAAGTTTTTTCAGCTTAGAATTGTGGCTTCTACTTCTTAATGATATTTAATTTCTTAATAAAGTTTTGCTTTTATTTCTTAACTGTTAAAGCTTCCATTAACAATTATATCTTGAGAAGATCACAGCAGGTGGCAACTGAATTTAAACACACTGATTTCCATTAACTACCAGAAAAAAATATATATAAGTGAATTTTGAAAACACAGACTTGTTATTTTGCTTTTTTTTTATTTTTCTTAATAGCATTGTTCATTGGTTGGATGGCTCTTCTGTGGAAATGTAAGCTAGAGCAAGTGATTGCTTTTGAGGCAGAATATAACCCCAACACAGTTCAAAGGGCCATGTTATTGTAATGCCAGAAATCTAAAAGCTAGTATGTAATAAAAGGAGAATCAATGAATAGATAAAGTTAGATCCTGAAAAGAGAACAAAGCCTCAGTGTTTGCTCCCATAACTAACTGTGAGGAAAGGACCACAAAATTTTAGGCACATATGAGGACTTATCATCATATTTGCAGCGCCCACAGAAACAATCATGCAATGTAATGAATGAAAAAAATCAATGAATATGGCTGACTAACCATGGAGTAGCATTAGTTAAACTAAAAGTCATTGTAATATGCACCTTTTGAATGCTTTGCCGAGGAATATTTGAAGTTCTCCTCTGAGCAAGCAAGTATCCTACTGGTTTTGACCTAGCAAGCAAGACTAACAGAATACCAGGAATACAAGGAACAAAAGATTTTATAACATTGTCAAGGCTTTCAGTCCTGTCAGAATTTTAAAAGAAAGTTGTATTACTACCATTGAAGCTTCCCTATTGGACTGTCTGCCACTATTGCTAAACCTCAGGAACCTACCAGCAGCACCTGTGCAACCAGGAGATCACAGCTGAAAGCCAGTTATGTTTTAGATCTGGTACAAGTGTGTCTAATTCCACAGAGAAGTGTGGATGCCTGGACTTTGTTGCCAATATTAAACACTTTCTCCTCTTCTAAATTAATAATCAAACCAATAGTTAACATTTACTAAATTTTTACTAATAATATATACTACAAATTGGCTGATTTCTTTCTCTATATTATATCATTTATCCTCCTAAAACAAAATATGAATCTGCTATTATAATAATTCTTTTTCCTATGAGGAGACTGAACTGCACAGTAATTAAATATACTTTAAAGGTCACACAGAGAGAAATATGATAAAGCAGGGAGTTAAACTCACACAGTCTAAGTCTAGTATATGTATCTTAAATAACAAATTTAGAAGAAAATGTAGGCATGTTTATAGAAGAAACTATTTTAATATGTAACATTATCTTGTAGCAATAATTTTCCAAAGTAAAGTAATATTATTTTTCTTTGCAAAGTTTTAATACTTAAGGTTTTATTACATATTTATTCTTTACCATTTTACAATTTTGATGAATGTATATAAATGTTTTCATTTTTGTATTCTATAAATAAAAACATTTCTAATCATTTTTTACTGTATCATTTTTATCTGTAGTATTTGAGTTTTATTCACTTTAATTTTATAGTTTAAAATGTGTTTATTGGCCAGGCGCGGTGGCTCACACCTGTAATCCCAGCAGTTTGGGAGGCCAAGGTAGGCAGATCACCTGAGGTCAGGGGTTTGAGAGCAGCCTGGCCAACATGGGGAAACCCTGTCTCTACTAAAAATACAAAAATTAGCCAGGCATCATGGCGGGTGCCTGTAATCCCAGCTCTTGGGAGGCTGAGGCAGGAGAATCGCTTGAACCCAGGAGGTGGAGGTTGCGGTGAGCCGAGAGCGTGCCATTACACTCCAGCCTGGGAGACAGAGCGAGACTCTGTCTCAAAAAAAAAAAATGTGTTTATCATATATTCAATTACTCTTTAACATAACTTTTATGATAGGTTTTTTTCAACATAGCAGACTAAATGTCTTAAAAGACCTCTTCATAGTAATAGGAATAAAATGGAGCAAAAAAAATTTTTTTAAAGCATTGCTGAGCTGTAGAAAAATAAAATCTGCTGTGAATAAAAATTAAATGGAAACCAGAGTAGGAGATTGAAGGTCTACCTATGTGTTTCCTGGGGGTACTTGTTGACTCCTGAAATCAATGGACTTGAACATTAAAAAGCCTAAGGCCCAGAAAACAAAGTCTTAAGCCTATTCAAAGAGTGAGTCCAGAATGTAGACTCCCATATACAATCAGGACCCTTAGAGAAAGCAGGGAATAGAAAAATTGCTTTTGCTTTATAGCGAGGCAAGATAACATACTACCAGTGTGATTTAAACAACCCTAAACCAACAAATTTAATTTGTCCTGGATTAATAATTTACTAGGGCACACGTGAGCTGCAAAAAAATAAATCTTTACTAGAGGGCATTGAGCTGCGCATATAAATTGTTACCAAAGGGTAGCTGCGGGAAGACCCAGCTCCCAGTTCCAAATGAAGACTCCCACCACATGGCAGATGGCACAGATCATAAGAATGCTAATCACTAGAAGTAGAAGCACACAGACATAGGCCCCCTGCATTCCCTGCAGGTTCGGAATCGCCAGTGAGGACTCAGTACACAGGACACTGGTTGAAGCAGTGCTTTACTCACAAAGAGATGCAGCAAAGCCAGCATTTGTAGTATGCATTGGTCTCCCATAGTCAGCGGGTCCCTTGCAATAGCTGAGGCATGGCAATGGACTACATGTACCCATCTCAGTGCAAAGACCCTGTTTTCTTCCCATTGGAGGCAGATATACTGGTGGGGCTGGCCAGGTGCCCTATGACCACTTAAGCAATACAGGGAAGTTCACTGTGTAGACAGAGCAGAGAAAATGTTTCTCCTAATAAGGAAGAAGAGCCTGAGGTGAAGCGACGGACCAGCACCCTGCTTCCATATAAAGGAATGTCTAGGTACAGGGTACTGATTGGGTAATCCTGAAGAGGGGCAGCAGGTTAGGTGATGGCTGCTTCCCCTACAGGGGGGGAAACATGCTAATGTAGATATCCTAATATGTCCATTGGTAAAGCCTTCCTCCTTGCAATAAGTTTATAACCCCAAATTACAAACCAGGAAAAAAGAAAAGCAGTATAGGCAAGAGTTAACAAATCAATAATCAATGTGATTACAGCAGCAGTAATTTCAGATGTCAGTTTGTTGAAGAATACAAAATATATATGTCTAAAATGTTTAAAAAGTAAAACATACAAATAGAAACATGAGCCAAGCATAAGATATGTATCTACTGTTGACCTGCTACTGTCTATCCTGAGAGCAGAGTACAGAGTGATCATTTTAATATAATGTGTGAGATCTGGTGATTTCTCTGCATAAGCCCTGTGATGGCTCCCATCTCACTCAGAACAAAGCTGAAGTCCTCACAATGGCCTGCATAGCCCTAAATGATCTGGCAGCAATTACCTCTCCTACCTTTTTTCCCTCCTTAAATATATGCTCCAGTCGTCTCCTTGCTTTCTTTCCACCAACTTTAGTAACTGCATTGGCTAACACTTCTGCTTGGATCTTTCACCCAGATATCTACATCTTTACTTTCTCATACCTTTAGCATCTTGTTCAAATTTCACTTTCTTAATGACACCTTCACTGACCACTCTTTTCCAAATGACAGGCATCTTTTGACCACAGCACTACCAATACCTTGTACTGTGCTCATGCTTTACTGTGTGTTTTCTTTTTTCATAACAGTTCTCACCTTCAATTGACTCTTTATTTTTCCTAAAATTACAGCTTATCTTGTCACACAATGTATCCAATGGGTGATCTTGTTTTGTCTGTTTTTATTTTCCACTAAAGTATTCCAAGTGCCTACCAAGTACCTGGCACAAAGTAAACCAATTTGTGAATGAGCACTGACATAAAGATCAGGCCAATTTTAAAACTAATCATGTTTCTGGAACCCAAAAATACAACGAACAAAATTAAATCTTGATGGGTTAAATAGTAGATTATACAAAGAAAATTACTGAACCAGAAGCATAATTCAAGTGTAGTAAAATTAAAGAAATTGCAAAGACTAGACAACAAGATGGGGAAAAAATAAGAGGTTTAAATATATGGAGAATAGAATGAAAGAGTTGAGGTTTAGTAGAAGTTTCAGACAAGAGAATAGAGAAGGAAGATTGGGCTAAATGTAAAGCAGATAATGGTTGAGAATTTTTCAGAAATGACAAAAGACAGGGATAATTCCATTCAGGAAACCTAGTAAATCCTCGGCAGAAAAGAATTTTACTCAGCCATATGGATATGAGGGCAGAAGAGATAAAAAAGAAGCTTTAAAAAAAGCCTAAAATGACCAGATTACCCATAAATAATGACAATGGCATCTTAACAGCAACAATGAAAGCTACTATGCAATACAAAATATCTTCAAAATATAGAGAAAGGATAAATTTTAAGAATATCTTGGAATCCACTCAGGGGAACTGAGACAGGAACAATTCATGGTGGTGGCAGGATAATGGAAAATTCCAGGCAGTAGTTTTACATGACATGCATAAAGGAACATGTTGAAACAGCTGCATAAGCTACAGACTGATAAGAACCTGAAAAACAGTGTGTGGGCAAAGCTGGCTAAGACTTACCAGACCCAACTTGGTGCTGGATTTGACCTAACTTTCATCTAGGACCTCATTATATGCTCATTAATATCTTAAATCACACACCCACCAGCTCCATGGCAGTTCCAGGAACACTCATATTTGGTGTAAAACTGAGTGGCACCACACTTCTGAGAAATCTTCACCTTTTTCTGGGAATCTTCATGAATACTCCGCACCTTGGTTAAAGTGGACCAGATAGGTAGAAGCCCGAAACTCCATTGTGCAACTCTTTCTCTTGAGAACACCCACACTCCCCTTTCTTGAATATGTACTTTTCACTTTGCAAGAATGTTTGTATTTTCACTATTTTCTGACTCATGCCTGAATTCCTTCTTGTGATGGTGTCAAGAGCCTGGACACTGGCCAGAGTCAAGGTGCCACTGGCATTTGGGGACCTCCCCTAGCCCACTGGTATCAGGACTATCATTAAAGAAAGAATGTCAAATAAAGACATTTTCAGGAAAGTAAAAACTAAGAAAGTTTACCAATAAGAAACGTTAATCAAGAGTGTTTAAAGACAAAACTTATAGAGGAAAACATCTACAGAGGATGTTATGATAGTAAAGAAATTACAGTAAACAAAAAATTGGTAAACCTCCATGGGAATCTTTAGATTTACAAGAGCCATATACACTCATTGTATAAGATGGTAACTACAATTTTGCATGTAGGGGCTCATGAAATAAGGTAGTACTAAATATCGGACAATGTAAGTCAAAGGAAAGTTATAGGAATTAAAGTATTCAAAGTCATTGTATTGCTTTGGAGGGATGTCAATTAACTTTAAATATTAACTGTGTTAATTTGAGCTTTTTGGAAGCAGAGCCTAATATATTAATTTTTATAAAGTGATTTGAGGGAGTATAATACTTTAAAAGTTTTGTACCTTACAGTATATATATATTGTATCTTATCCTTTGTTAGTTTTTTTTAAAAAAAGGATAAAAAACTAAAACAAAATTTGTATTGGCAATTAACAAGGTATTTTGAAGTCAATTATAATCTTATATACTTAAATAAACATATATTCCTATATAGGTTGTTGCAAAAATATTGTGGTTTTTGCCATTAAAGGTTTTTAATTACTTTTAAACAATCTATTTTACTTTTGCAATTACTTTTGCAGCAACCTATAATTACACCAGAAGAATAACACACTGGAAATACACTCTAAAAGAGAAAGAAACAGAGAATACAAGAAAACAATACACTCTAAAATAATACACTAGAAAATAATTACACTAGAAAGAATGAAACATGAACAATGCATCCAACTTAAGGAATTTAAAAAGTACACCACCAATTTATAGAAGTAGACAGAAAAAGTAAAAAAGATATTAGAAATTACAGGAAAAAAAGACAAAAATACAATATAAAGTATCAGTAAAAGCAAAACTTATTCCTTGCAGAAATTATAAGATACACAAAATGTTATTTTTGTCATTAAAATGTATTTTGTCATTAAATGTATTTTGTCATTAAAATAGATAAAAAGTAAATAAATATATGCATAAATACATAATGAGATAATGTCTCTCCAACTAGAATATTAATAAAAAATAAGGCAGTTTTTAAAGAAATAATGAACTATGAATACCTTCATGACAAACCATTTAAAAATAAAGGATGTAGTGTTATAAATAATAACGTTTAAAAATTCTCAACAGGCATGCAGAAGGTTATCAGCTACCACTGGAAGACAGTCAGACCTCCCCTTCTTCTCTGAACCCTCCTATAGGACCGAAGAGGCTTCATTGACTGAGGGAGGAACAATAAATCCTATTATTTCTTGGGCCGTAGGGAATGGTAGCAGCAAAAATCTATACCACATTTTGGGGAAAGGAAGAAAAATCTTCTCGTCCTCAGGAATCAAGCAAAAATCCATTGCTTCTGGGGAAAGGTAGAAATAGAAAGTGTATGTATGTGTTACTAGAACAGGGGCAAACAACCCCTTAGGCTCAGGGTTCTGAAACGTTACAAAGCAGGTTTTGCTACCGCCGAGAAAAGGGGCGAAAACTCATGCAAGGCACCCACGGATCAGAGACACTGCAAAGGATGGGAGAAGGAAGCGTAAGGAACTCTGTAAAGAACTATCCCCGAGAGGCCTAGGCACACAGGCATGGCCTGTGAAAGACTGGACAAGGTGAACTGAGAAGCCCTTCTCCACTGACCAGCATTCCAGGGCCAGGTGAGAGGCAGTAGCACTCCACCAGCGGGGGAGGGGAGGAACATGGGGAGACACCCTTCAATGAAAGCAGTAGACATCCTTTGACTGAAAGCAGAAGATAGAGCAGGAACACTGAAAGAAATCCTTCAGCACCCATGGGTCCACACAAAATATGAGATAACAGCAACCTGCTGCTGAAGGAATTTGAAGCCTGTGGTGGATGTCGAGTAATAATAGCAACAAGAAAACTCAAATCAAGCTCGGCTATAAGTAGATTGAATCAAATGCAGATTCAAAGGGCTTGAAAGAAGTAGCTTGCCCATTTTTAGTTATAAATAATATTTATTTCAGTTCTCACAATTATTCTACACACAATGTCTGACAATCAATTAGAATTGAAAAACATACATAATTTGTTTAAAATAACCCATTGTGTAGATTTAAGACAATCAACAAGGCCAGATGCAGCAATGAGCCAAATGTTGAAACTATCAAACAGGGACATTAAAATAGCTATAATTACCAAATTCTATGTTATATCATGTTAGTACAATAACTTTTTTCAGAAAAAAAAGAAAAACAAGGCATTAGGTATAATTATTAATATAATAATTACTAACTTTAAAATACTATTTTTAAAGGCTCTGTTAGGAAATGTGAACAAGCATAAATGGATGAGGAGTTTCAGCAGAAAGTTGAACTATAAAAATGTTAAATGGAGAATAAAAATGCTGGAAAATTATTAAAAGTCAGAGATGAACTAACCTTTTGCCAGACATGAGAAAAGTGAACACAAGTAAAGAATCAATGAACTTGAAAATATGACAATAGAAATTAATCAAAGGGTAAAATAAAGAGAAAAATTAATACAGGGAGAGAGGGAGAGAGGGAGAGGGAAAGAGAGAGAGAGAGAGAGAATTCAAGGGCTCTGGGACAAAACTAAATGATCTGACGCAGAAATTAGAGTTCCATGGGACAAGAGAGAGAAAATGGAGCAGAAGCATTAAACAGGTAACGCTGTAAATTTTTTTAATTTAATTTTATTATTATACTTTAAGTTTTAGGGTACATGTAAATTTTTTAAAACTAATGAAAGACACCAACATGAAAGAAGCTCTGAGAACCCAAAGTAGGACACACACACACACACAAACACACACACACACACACCCCAAAGTCAAATCAAAGGTCAAGAAAAACATCTTAGAAGCAGTGCTATGCTCTGAATGTTTGTGTCTTCCCTAAATTCACATGCTGAAACATAATCCTTGATGTCAGGATATTTAGGGGTGGGATCTTTGGGAGGTTATTAGATCATGAGGATGGAGCCGTCATGAATGGAATTTGTAAGGCCCCGGAAAGATCCCTCACACCTTCTACCCTGTGAGGTAATGGCAAAATTTGGCTGTATATGAATTAGGAAGCAGGTCTTCATTGGACATAGAATCTGCCATGTCCTTGATCTTAGATGTCTCAGCCTCTAGAACTGTGAGAAATAAGTATCTGTTGTTTATAAGCTACTTAGTTTAAGGTATTTTGTTATAGAAGCACATACAGACTAAGACAAAACACAGACTAACAGTAAAAAAATGTGTATAAAGTAAGCAAAGGTAAAAGTGAAGCAGAGTTCTTGTTAGAAAGCATGCAAATCTGAAGACAATATAATAATATTTTTAAATACTGAAAGAAAACAAGCTAATATCCAATCAAGGATACTATACCCAGTTAAAAAAAAAATCTTAAAAAATTAGAGCAGAATAAAATATTTTCAAACACGTAAAATCTGAAAAACATTATTATGTGTAGATTTGGAATACAAAATATATTAAAGATTATCTTTAGATAAAAGAATTGAGATACGAAGTGGAACGCTGAATCTACACAAAAAAAAGAATACTAAAACTTGTATGTATTAATCAATCAATTAAATAATAATAGTTTTTTTAATTTTTAAAAAGTATAAAGATCATTTACTGTAGAAAGCTAAACTGCTAACCATCTATTGCAACATTTCTAACATATTTAGAAGTAAAATGTTTGGCAAAATAGTATAATAGAATGAGGGAAATGCAAATATACTCTTAAACTACACATGAAGTAGTAAATTATTTAAAGGTATTCTCAAATAATTTAAAACTATGTATTATAAGCCCTGGAAAGACCACAAAAAATAAATTAAATGAATAATGAGCCAGTGGTGAAGATAAAATAGAATTAAAAATGCTTAATTAATTCAAAATAAGGGAAAGAGTAGGGGAAAGTAACAGAAGATACTAAAAGTAAATAGCAAGATGGTAGACTAAAATTGAACCATATCAATAATTTCATTAAATATAATGTTTAAAGCACCTCAAATTAAAGGCAAAAATTGTCAAGCCCCAACTCATTGCTGACTACAATATATGTAATGTAAATATAAAGATATACATGTTACCTATAAAAGTAAATATGTATATATCAAAAGATATATCAGAAATTATAGCTAGAGTAGCTAAATTTGTATAAGACAAAATAAACTTTAAAACCAGGAATGTTACTAGGTATAAATATGAATATTACAACATGATAAAAGGGAGAAATAATCAGAAACACATAAAAATTTTAATTGTGCCAGGCGTGGTGGCTCATGCCTGTAATCCCAGCACTTTGGGAGGCCAAGGCAGGCAGATCATGAGGTCAGGAGATCCAGACCATCCTGGCTAACATGGTGAAACCCCGTCTCTACTAAAAATACAAAAAATTAGCCGGGCATGGTGACGGGCACCTGTAGTCCCAGCTACTTGGGAGGCTGAGGCAGGAGAATGGCGTGAACCTGGGAGGCAGAACTTGCAGTGAACTGAGATCCTGCCACTGCACTCCAGCCCGGGCGACAGAGAGAGACTCTGTCTCAAAAAAAAAAAAAAAAAAATCTTAGTTGTGTATGCACCTAACAAAAGAACTACACAAAAATATCAGTAAGGGTATAGAACATCTGAACATCACTATCAATCAAATTGACCCAACTGACATTTATAAGACAACTACCTAAATACAACATATAACACCTTTTTACGTGGAACATTGACTAAGACAAGCTATATTCTCAGCCATAAAACAAATGTAGAATAATTGAACTAAAATAAACTAGACTTTCTGATCATAAAAGTATTAAACAGGAAGTCAAAACCAGAAATCAGTAACAGAAAGACCACTGGAAAAAAAAATCACTAAATGTTTTTTACAAAAGCAAATTAAACCTAAAGTAAGAAGAACATAATAAAGATGAAATTACAAATCAATGAACTTAGAGAAAACCAATGAATCAATCAATACAATTCATAAAATAAAAGGCTGAGTATTTTTTTAAAAAAATTAAAAATAGATAAAGCATGGACAGGCTGACCTGCAAAAGACAAAGAGAGGGGCAAAGAGAGAGAGAGAATGACACCAATTACCAACACCAGGAATGAAAGTGAAGCATCACTACTGATCCCACAGACATTAAAAAGACATAGATAATAATACTGTCAAGTAAATACAGCTGCTGTGAAATTCAGTGCAACTGAAACTCACATACATTTCTGGTGGCAATGCAAAATGGTAGAGCAAGTTTGGCACATTGGAAAAGAGGTTTGGCAGTTTCTTCCAAAGTTAAACATACATTTACCATAGGATCAAGCAATCACTGTTCTGGATGTTTACCCAAGATAATTGAAAACACAAATCCACATAAAACCTCTACAAAAATGGTTATAGCAGGTTTATTCATAATGACCAAAAGCTAGAAAGAAGCCAAACAACCATTTGTAGGTAAATAAATAAGTCATTGTACATCCCTACAATGAGAATCTCAGCAAAGAAACAACTGAGCAATAAGTAAAATCAAACTACTGATGTGTGCAACAATATGAATTAAACTAAAAAACATTACACTAAGTGAAAGAAGCCAGATACAGAAAGCTATATACAATGTGATTTTATTTATATGACATTTTACAAAAGGCGAAACTATTGGTTTTGAAATAATTGGTTTCCAGGAGCTGTGTTTGGGGAATTTGATCAGTTTTGCCTGTTATTTGAACTTTATATAAATATAACAATATAGCATTTCTGCTTTTATAGGTCTATTTTTTTAGTCAGCATCGTTTGTGATCTTCATTTATACTTTAGTGTATAGAGTTTTTACATTCTCATTGCTATATGGTATCTTAGTGTGTACATATACTACAATTTACATATCAAATAATTGACTGCTGTTGTCCCATACTAGCCTAATTGGCTAATATTCTCATCTAAGCCTTATCTATATCTCACAAAACCTAAATGGAGTTTTCATTACCAAATCAACTCTTAAACAGACATGAGAATTCAATATGTATCTATCAAATGCATTGACTTCTTTTATGAAAAATATTAATTTCCCTTTATCATTCAGACAGTTTGGGATTCCCCCCCCCCCCGAGTTATTATCACATGTACCTTGCCACTACCTACCCAATCCCAAGTTTGTTTTCTATGGAATTTCCTTTATCCCAATATAATTCTAATTTAGAGTCAAAGGTATGTTCATCCTTTTCACCTCTGAGAGTCAATAATTTCAAAATATTCATCTTCTAGATTATGGTAGCCTTGGCACCCTCCCCAAATACAATAAAATATTACTTTAAAGTGAAGGAAAAGGGAGTGTTGGCTTTCAGTTTGAATACAACCTAGCTGATGAATTCTGTCCCAAACAATGACTGCAGTGAATCAAGGTATCTGGGCTACAAGGTAAAACGTTTGAGAGGGTTACCTACATTTACTATGTAGATAAAGCCACAGATATGTGGGCTCATTTTAAATGTAGAGGTTCTGGCAGGAGTGCAATGAAATAATCTTTTGAACCACACTGTAGTGAATGTTTCTGAGTCACAGAAACATGCACACATCAAGGTAACACAGGTTTAAACTTGATTGAGTATTGAGTTTTTGCATTTTATTGTTGCAGTGAAAATCATGTCATGAATACATCATCTATTTCTCCATATAAAGATGTTCCTAATTAATCTGTTATTCAAAAGCTTATGTAAGTAACTGCATTTTTTTCATGACATTGACTAAAGCCCAGAAACAGGTTTCTGTGTCCTAATTAATTCTTTTAAAGGCTTTCCTCAGCGGGATGTCACCTACCTGGATCTTTGAATGAAAGGATATTAATGAAGCTGCAATGCAGATGATTATATTGAAAGTGATGAAGAATTTATTAGGAAGACAGCCATCACAGGCTGTGTAGTATATGAGGCATAAAACTGCTATAAGTAATGACAGAGTGTAGTTTAGGCAAGTAATGGGCAGCAGGGCTACAAAAGGAGAGCTTGGAGATACATTATTAAGTAATAAAGTTCCCATAAAAATTGAAATATGAGGTGGAAAGATTAACATGGTCATACAAGTCATCTTTAATGTTCATAGCCAAGTTCTGCCTTTTAGAAAGAGTAAACTGAATTTATGCCTGCGACAACATGTAAGTCAAAACCCTTATTTATACATTTCATGCAAGTGACTGCAGTCCTTTGGCTTACTGTTACCAACGTAGTGTTCAGTAGCATTTAAATTTACTACATTAACATTAGATCAGGAGCTGTATTTCTACCTGTCAAGTTGCTAATGTTTGTAGGTCATAGCATCAGTAGACTGTGGCTTACAGACCCCCTGCACTGCTAACCCAAATCTATGAACAGAATATTTAGTGTTTTGTTTTTCCTCCTTAAACTGAGTCTAGATGTGTTCTCATTTATTCAAAACTAATGTTCTGATATTATTAATTGATGCTGACATCTGTTCCCATGGCATGATCACTTCTACAGAGGGGATGCACAGTGCTCTAATTAAGGTCATGGGCTTTTGACAGAGGTAGACCTCAGCTAAAACCCTGACATTCACCAGCCTGGTGACCATGGTCAACTTACTTAAGCATATATATATATATATATATATATATATATATATATGCTTTTATAGGTCTATATATATATAGCTGACTATATACAGTCTGACTATATATAAATCTCCTATGGAGATTATATGGAGATATATATATATATATATATATATATCTCCTATGGTAAGTGGTCAAGCAATTATTATTATCATTAATATCAGTACATTCTAGGTATTTTCATAATGGATATTGGCGTCGCAGTTCTGGATGAGCAGCAAAGTACAATTTAATTTCCATCAGAAATTCTCATCCCAGCTTTATTTCTAAAGTTAAAGTTCTGAAGGTTAACTTGTATCTCTAAGGTATGTAATTAAATTGACAGCTAGTAGGATTTTACCCAAATGCTTTCCAAAAATTCTTGTCTTTTGTGATATTTCGAAAGTGAGTATAAAATAGGACTATAATCTGAAGCAAAATTGGATCTTAAGAGACAAAACAGATATTTACCAAACATTCTATTCTGAATTTAAAATCTCTCTTATTTAAAGTCAATCACAGAGAGAACAGGATCAAGATAGTCATTTTAAGTAGATAGTCACAGGGAAATTATTGAGAGAATGACATCTTAGCCACTGCCTGAAAGAAGTGAAAATACAAGGTGTGTGAGACTCAAAGGAAAAAAAAAAACAAAACATTTTAGGTAAAGGGAAAAGCCAGTGCCAACACTCTACTATAGAAACAGAAGCATGCCATAAGTTGGTGGGAGAAGTTCACCATGGGTGCAGGTGATCAGGTGTGCATTGTCTATAGAAAATTGTACAACCATAATAAAATTGATTAAAATCAAATTATCTCCTGCACTGACAATTGTAAACATTATCCCTGATAAAATACTTCATGAAAAAAAGGGTTAGGGAGGTGGAGCCAAGATGGCCAAATAGGAACAGCTCCGGTCTACAGCTCCCAGCGTGAGCCACGCAGAAGACGGGTGATTTCTGCATTTCCATCTGAGGTACCGCGTTCATCTCACTAGGGAGTGCCAGACAGTGGGCGCAGGACAGTGGGTGCAGTGCGCTGTGCAGGAGCCGAAGCAGGGCGAGGCACTGCCTCACTCAGGAAGCGCAAGGGGTCAGGGAGTTCCCTTTCCTAGTCAAAGAAAGGGGTGACAGACGGCACCTGGAAAATCGGGTCACTCCCACCCTAATACTGCGCTTTTCCGATGGGCTTAAAAAAACGGCGAACCAGGAGATTATATCCCGCACCTGGCTTCGAGGGTCCTACGCCCACAGAGTCTCCCTGATTGCTAGCACAGCAGTCTGAGATCAAACTGCAAGGCTGCAGCGAGGCTGGGGGAGGGGCGCCCGCCATTGCCCAGGCTTGCTTAGGTAAACAAAGCAGCTTGAACTGGGTGGAGCCCACCACAGCTCAAGGAGGCCTGCCTGCCTCTGTAGGCTCCACCTCTGGGGGCAGGGCACAGACAAACAAAAAGACAGCAATAACCTCTGCAGACTTAAATGTCCCTGTCTGACAGCCTTGAAGAGAGCAGTGGTTCTCCCAGCACCCAGCTGGAGATCTGAGAACGGGCAAACTGCCTCCTCAAGTGGG
This sequence comes from Homo sapiens, assembly GCF_000001405.40. Taxonomy (NCBI): domain Eukaryota; kingdom Metazoa; phylum Chordata; class Mammalia; order Primates; family Hominidae; genus Homo; species Homo sapiens. The sequence continues at coordinate 78,351,199 of NC_000008.11, forward strand.
TCCCTGACCCCTGACCCCTGAGCAGCCTAACTGGGAGGCACCCCCCAGTAGGGGCAGACTGACACCTCACACGGCTGGGTACTCCTCTAGACAAAACTTCCAGAGGAACGATCAGACAGCAGCATTTGCGGTTCATGAAAATCCGTTGTTCTGCAGCCACCGCTGCTGGTACCCAGGCAAACAAGGTCTGGAGTGGACCTCCAGCAAACTCTAACAGACCTGCAGCTGAGGGTCTTGTCTGTTAGAAGGAAAACTAACAAACAGAAAGGACATACACACCAAAAACCCATCTGTACATCACCATCATCAAAGACCAAAAGTAGATAAAACCACAAAGATGGGGAAAAAACAGAGCAGAAAAACTGGAAATTCTAAAAAGCAGAGCGCCTCTCCTCCTCCAAAGGAACGCAGTTCCTCACCAGCAATGGAACAAAGCTGGACGGAGAATGAATTTGACGAGTTGAGAGAAGAAGGCTTCAGACAATCAAACTACTCCGAGCTACAGGAGGAAATTCAAACCAAAGGCAAAGAAGTTAAAAACTTTGAAAAAAATTGAGATGAATGTATAACTAGAATAACCAATACAGAGAAGTGCTTAAAGGAGCTGATGGAGCTGAAAGCCAAGGCTCGAGAACTACGTGAAGAATGCAGAAGCCTCAGGAGCCGATGCGATCAACTGGAAGAAAGGGTATCAGTGATGGAAGATGAAATGAATGAAATGAAGCGGGAAGGGAAGTTTAGAGAAAAAAGAATAAAAAGAAACGAACAAAGCCTCCAAGAAATATGGGACTATGTGAAAAGACCAACTCTACATCTGATTGATGTACCTGAAAGTGACGGGGAGAATGGAACCAAGTTGGAAAACACTCTGCAGGATATTATCCAGGAGAACTTCCCCAATCTAGCAAGGCAGGCCAACATTCAGATTCAGGAAATACAGAGAACGCCACAAAGATAAACCTGGAGAAGAGCGACTCCAAGACACATAATTGTCAGATTCACCAAAGTTGAAATGAAGGAAAAAATGTTAAGGGCAGCCAGAGAGAAAGGTTGGGTTACCCACAAAGGGAAGCCCATCAGACTAACAGCGGATCTCTTGGCAGAAACTCTACAAGCCAGAAGAGAGTGGGGGCCAACATTCAACATTCTTAAAGAAAAGAACTTTCATCCCAGAATTTCCTATCCAGCCAAAACTAAGCTTCATAAGTGAAAGAGAAATAAAATCCTTTACAGACAAGCAGATGCTGAGAGATTTTGTCACCACCAGGCCTGCCCTACAAGAGCTCCTGAAGGAAGCACTAAACATGTAAAGGAACAACCGGTACCAGACACTGCAAAATCACGCCAAATTGTAAAGACCATCGAGGCTAGGAAGAAACTGCATCAACTAACAAGCAAAATAACCAGCTAACATCATAATGACAGGTTCAAAGTCACACATAACAATATTAACTTTAAAGGTAAATGGACTAAATGCTCCAATTAAAAGACACAGACTGGCAAATTGAATAAAGAGTCAAGACCCATCAGTGTGCTGTATTCAGGAAACCCATCTCACGTGCAGAGACACACATAGGCTCAAAATAAAAGGATGGAGAAAGATCTACCAAGCAAATGGAAAACAAAAAAAGGCAGGGGTTGCAATCCTAGTCTCTGATAAAACAGACTTTAAACCAACAAAGATCAAAAGAGACAAAGAAGGCCATTACATAATGGTAAAGGGATCAATTCAACAAGAAGAGCTAACTATCCTAAATATATATGCACCCAATACAGGAGCACCCAGATTCGTAAAGCAAGTCCTGAGTGACCTACAAAGAGACTTAGACTCCCACACAATAATAATGGGAGACTTTAACACCCCACTGTCAACATGAGACAGAACAACGAGACAGAAAATTAACAAGGATACCCACGAATTGAACTCAGCTCTGCACCAAGCGGACCTAATAGACATCTACAGAACTCTCCACCCCAAATCAACAGAATATACATTTTTTTCAGCACCACACCACACCTATTACAAAACTGACCACATACTTGGAAGTAAAGCTCTCCTCAGCAAATGTAAAAGATCAGACATTATAACAAACTGTCTCTCAGACCACAGTGCAATCAAACTAGAACTCAGGATTAAGAAACTCACTCAAAACTGCTCAACTACATGGAAACTGAACAACCTGCTCCTGAATGACTACTGGGTACATAATGAAATGAAGGCAGAAATAAAGATGTTCTTTGAAACCAACGAGAACAAAGACACAACATACCAAGAATCTCTGGGACACACTCAAAGCAGTGTGTAGAGGGAAATTTATAGCACTAAATGCCCACAAGAGAAAGCAGGAAAGATCTAAAACCGACACCCTAACATCACAATTAAAAGAACTAGAGAAGCAAGAGCAAACACATTCAAAAGCTAGCAGAAGGCAAGAAATAACTAAAATCAGAGCAGAACTGAAGGAAATAGAGACAGAAAAAACCCTTCAAAAAATTAATGAATCCAGGAGCTGGTTTTTTGAAAGGATCAACAAAATTGATAGACCGCTAGCAAGACTAATAAAGAAGAAAAGAGAGAAGAATCAAATAGATGCAATAAAAAATGATAAAGGGGATATCACCAGCGATCCCACAGAAATACAAACTACCATCAGAGAATACTACAAACACCTCTACGCAAATAAACTAGAAAATCTAGAAGAAATGGATAAATTCCTCGACACATACACCCTCCCAAGACTAAACCAGGAAGAAGTTGAATCTCTGAATAGACCAATAACAGGCTCTGAAATTGTGGCAATAATCAATAGCTTACCAACCAAAAAGAGTCCAGGACCAGATGGATCCACAGCTGAATTCTACCAGAGGTACAAGGAGGAACTGGTACCATAACTTCTGAAACTATTCCAATCAATAGAAAAAGAAGGAATCCTCCCTAACTCATTTTATGAGACCAGCATCATCCTGATACCAAAGCCAGGCAGACACACTACCAAAAAAGAGAATTTTAGACCAATATCCTTGATGAACATTGATGCAAAAATCCTCAATAAAATACTGGCAAACCAAATCCAGCAGCACATCAAAAAGCTTATCCATCATGATCAAGTGGGCTTCATCCCTGGGATGCAAGGCTGGTTCAATATATGCAAATCAATAAATGTAATCCAGCATATAAACAGAACCAAAGACAAAAACCACATGATTATCTCAATAGATGCAGAAAAGGCCTTTGACAAAATTCAAAAACCCTTCATGCTAAAAACTCTGAATAAATTACGTATTGATGGGACATATCTAAAATTCATAAGAGCTATCTATGACAAACCCACAGCCAATATCATACTGAATGGGCAAGAACTGGAAGCATTCCCTTTGAAAACTGGCAGAAGACAGGGATGCCCTCTCTCACCACTCCTATTCAACATAGTGTTGGAAGTTCTGGCCAAGGCAATTAGGCAGGAGAAGGAAATAAAGTGTATTCAATTAGGAAAAGAGGAAGTCAAATTGTCCCTGTTTGCAGACGACATGATTGTACATCTAGAAAACCCCATTGTCTAAGCCCAAAATCTCCTTAAGCTGATAAGCAACTTCAGCAAAGTCTCAGGATACAAAATCAATGTACAAAAATCACAAGCATTCTTATACACCAATAACAGACAAATGGAGAGCCAAATCATGAGTGAACTCCCATTCACAATTACTTCAAAGAGAATAAAATACCTGGGAATCCAACTTACAAGGGACATTAAGGACCTCTTCAAGGAGAACTACAAACCACTGCTCAATGAAATAAAAGAGGATAGAAACAAATGCAAGAACATTCCATGCTCATGGGTAGGAAGAATTAATATCGTGAAAATGGCCATACTGCCCAAGGTAATTTATAGATTTAATGCCATTCCCATCAAGCTACGAATGACTTTCTTCACAGAACTGGAAAAAACTACTTTAAAGTTCATATGGAACCAAAAAAGAGCCCGCATCACCAAGTCAGTCCTAAGCCAAAAGAACAAAGCTGGAGGCATCACGCTACCTGACTTCAAACTATACTACAAGGCTACAGTAACCAAAACAGCATGGTACTGGTACCAAAACAGAGATATAAGATCAATGGAACAGAACAGAGCCCTCAGAAATAACACCACATATCTACAACTATCTGATCTTTGACAAACCTGAGAAAACAAGCAATGGGGAAAGGATTCCCTATTTAATAAATGGTGCTGGGAAAACTGGCTAGCCATATGAAGAAAGCTGAAACTGGATCCCTTCCTTACACCTTATACAAAAATTAATTCAAGATGGATTAAAGACTGAAATGTTAGACCTAAAACCATAAAAACCCTAGAAGAAAACCTAGGCATTACCATTCAGGACATAGGCATGGGCAAGGACTTCATGTCTAAAACACCAAAAGCAATGGCAACAAAAGCCAAAATTGACAAATGGGATCTAATTCAACTAAAGAGCTTCTTCACAGCAAAAGAAACTACCATCAGAGTTACCAGGCAACCTACAAAATGGGAGAAAATTTTCGCAACCTACTCATCTGACAAAGGGCTAATATCCAGAATCTACAATGAACTCAAACAAATTTACAAGAAAAAAACAAACAACCCCATCAACAAGTGGGCGAAGGATATGAACAGACACTTCTCAAAAGAAGACATTTATGCAGCCAAAAAACACATGAAAAAATGCTCACCATCACTGGCCATCAGAGAAATGCAAATCAAAACTACAATGAGATACCATCTCACACCAGTTAGAATGGCGATCATTAAAAAGTCAGGAAACAACAGGTGCTGGAGAGGATGTGGAGAAATAGGAACACTTTTACACTGTTGGTGGGACTGTAAACTAGTTCAACCATTGTGGAAGTCAGTGTGGCGATTCCTCAGGGATCTAGAACTAGAAATACCATTTGACTCAGCCATCCCATTACTGGGTATATACCCAAAGGATTATAAATCATGCTGCTATAAAGACACATGCACACGTATGTTTATTGCGGCACTATTCACAATAGCAAAGACTTGGAACCAACCCAAATGTCTAACAATGATAGACTGGATTAAGAAAATGTGGCACATATACACCATGGAATACTATGCAGCCATAAAAAATGATGAGTTCATGTCCTTTGTAGGGACATGGATGAAATTGGAAATCATCATTCTCAGTAAACTATCGCAAGAACAAAAAACCAAACACCGCATATTCTCACTCATAGGTGGGAATTGAACAATGAGAACACATGGACACAGGAAGGGGAACATCACACTCTGGGGACTGTTGTGGGGTTGGGGGAGGGGGGAGGGATAGCTTTAGGAGATATACCTAATGCTAAATGATGAGTTAATGGGTGCAGCACACCAGCATGGCACATGTATACATATGTAACTAACCTGCACATTGTGCACATGTACCCTAAAACTTAAAGTATAATAATAATAAAATAAAATAAATAAAAAAAAATAAAAATAAATGGGTTGGTCTAAGTTCTAAAAAAAATTGCTGTAATTTCCATTAAACGAGGTAGTCTGCTTCCACCAGTCCATCTTTGGTATCCCACTTTGTGGGAACATATCAGAAAGGAACAGCAAGAGGGCAAGTGTGTCTGGATCAGACTGAATGAAAGGAAGAGTGTTAGGTAAGGGGATCAATGAAAAATATCATAGCTAGAATGTGTAGGGCTTTGGCCTCTGTGAGGACTTTGGTTTTTACTCTATGTGAAAGGAGTAGCCATTGGATGGATTATACCAGAGGACTTTCAAGATGTAAGATGTTACTTATGTTTCAACAAACTGATTGTGATGTTGAAAGCATTTAGTAGGGTAGGGGGAGAATGTCTGTGGCAGCAAAAACAATAATGAATGACAATTATTCTGACCATCTCCTATTCACCTCATTGGTGAAGGATGGATTACTTATCCTACATACTATGAAATGGCCAAACACATGACAGTTAAGGTTGACGGCAGTTTGCTAGTCACAGATGCAGCCCAGGAGAGGAACACACCACACACCATGCAGGGCCACGTGGAGCTTGCACTCAGGAACCTACAGCAGGTGCTGTGGGAGGTGGGCTTTGCAGTAACAAGTGGGTGATATGCATCATGTGTTTTTCTGAAGGTTATGATCACTTTGTTTGAATAACTTTGTAGACTGGCAGGGAAGTGAAAACTGCTAGACTGAGATTCAGTTGGGGGTACAGCTGGTCTTACCGATACAGAAAATAGCTGGGTGGGGACCTTTCCCATTGGGTATGGGGCATATATAACAAGATCAGCGGAACTCACATTTAAGCCTTCGGAGCCCAGTGGGACTCAGAGATGTCAAGGCATGACTTGTCACTGTATTTTATTCTTACAATACAGTGACAGTGTGGGATAGAGTGGAAGTGGTGAAACTAGTGAGAAGTGAGTACATGTTGAATGTGTTTGCAAGGTAGAGCCAAGAGTTGTGAAGGAATTGAATGTGGTGTTTGAAAGGGAGGAGTCAAGCATGACACTAAGGTGTTTAACTATATAGCAAATGGAAAGGTAGAGTGTACATTCACTGAGAAGAATAAAACACAGGAGTAGGTTATGGTATACCCATACAACTGAATACCATGCAGTTGTAACATGCACTGAACAAATACACTATTACAGATAAAGAAATATCTTGAGATACAGTAAGTGAAAGAAACAAGGTATGTGGTATCCAATATGGCATTTAGAATTTGTGTTAAAAAGAAAGAGAAAAAAATATATTAACATTGGCTTGTATGTACATTTAAAAACTAATGGCTACAGAATATGAAAATAAGTAATAACTAGAGTTACCTTTTGAGGGAGAGGATAGAAACTAAGTGGGTAGAGGTAGGAACAAAAGTGGAATTTACTACATTTTTAATAGTTTCTGATGTTTGTACGATGTGAGAGCATTTTTACTTTAAAATAATTAAATGTTTTAAAACCTATAGGCAGAAATTCTGTTTTAAGAAGGTATGTAGCTGACAGTCCTGATACAGTATCTTCCGAAACTACTATCTGTTGGAGAAAAATGATCATATTCATCATCATCACAAGAAGGAGGAGGAGTAAGAGCAGTAGGACAAGAAGAAACAATAACAACAATTATAACAACAATAACATACTCAAACTTAAGACCAAGGAAAGAAACGGAAACTCATTCCTGAATTGTAAATATGGCAATGCACTATCTATTGCTATAATTTGGAGATGTATTCCCATAAAATCAGACAGAGAGATAAAATTATTGGCTCATGTATGTATTACTTTGAAAGATAATCACCTGAAAAACAGAAGAAAAGTGGAATAAGATTTGCATCATGTGGGTGGTAGTAAATCTTCAACAAACCTTTCAGCAGGGACAGAGGATTGTAGCTCTGAGTCTCTTATTTGTAACATTTGACAATTTCCTCCATGAACACACTTCCATCATGGCTGATTTCAAGCTATCAACATGACTTCACTAACTTTCCTCTAATGGTTTTCCTTTCTTTATGTAGATTTAAGTTTTTGACTCATATCATTTTTCTTCTTTCCAAATAACCTCTTTTAACATTTCTTGCAAGGCAGGTCTGTCAGCCACAAATTCCATCAAATTCCTTTTCATTTTACTGAGAAAGCATTTATTTCTCTTTCACTTTGGAAGGATGATTTCTCTGGTTCCCAAATTCTAGGTTGTTAGTTTTTCATTTCAATATTTTAAATATTTCACTCCCCTCATCATAATTGCATTAAATTTCCATTCTAATAATTCCATCGTTTCTGTCATACCTAGGTCTGGTTCTGATGCTTGCTTGGTCTCATCATGCCGTGCTTTTCTGTCTTTCAGTGAGTCTTTGCTTGCATGGTTTCTTAATAGATATTTAAAGTAATTCTTCACTTTTTAATCACAAAAAAGTAAGATTTTCTTTCTCCTATGGCTTCTTTCAAGACTTTCTCTTGTTTTTAATTTTATTCAGTTTGAAAATAATGTGCCTAGGTGCAAATGTTTTGGTATTTATCCTGCTTTCTCTTCTCTGAATTTCCTGAAACTGTGTTTTGGTGTCTGTTAATTTTGGGAAATTCTTAGTCATTATTCCCTCAAACATTTCTTCTGTTTGTATGTTTTTTCCAACTTTGGATATTTCTATTACACATACATTGCACCTTTTGTAATTGTCCCACAGTTTTTACATTTCCTGGGTTATTTTCATTCTTTTTTCTCTTTGCATCTAAGTTCTGAAAGTTCTTCAAACTCACTGATTCTTTCCTCAGTTGTCTAGCCTATTGATGAACTAATCAAATACATACTCTATTTTACAGTGTTTTTTATTTCTAGCATTTCTTTTTTATTCTTTGAGTTCCTATTGTTCTTCTTTATGTGATCCATTTGTTCTTATATGTTTTCTGCTTTTTCCCTTAGAGCTCTTAGCATATTAATCATAATTGCACTAAATTCCCAATCTAATAATTCCATCATTTCTGTCATATCTAGGTCTGGCTCTGATGCTTGCTTGGTCTCATCATACTATGTTTTTCTATATTTCAGTACATTTTGTATTTTTTCGTAAAAAGCTGGTCTTGATGTGCTAAGTAAAAGGAACAGAGATAAACAGGTCCTTAGTATGAGGTTTTATGTTCATCTGAGTAGAAGTTATTTGGTGCTTATTGTTTGCTGTAGCTGTGACTGTTAGAGGCTAAAATTTCCTCTGGTTTCCTTGATTTTGTTTCCCCTTTTATCTTTTGGTTTTTCTAATGACTTCTTAAATAAGGTCTGAGACATGTGGTTCTTTAACTTGTGTCCCCCTGTTATTACACAGGAGCATTACTGATGTGGTGGTAGAATGTAGGGAAAGGGAAGTGTTCTATAGCACCATGATTAGGTCTCAGGCTTTTGTTAAGAATGTGCCCCAGGCTGTGACCTCATTAGTGCTTCTCAGTTTTTCCCTTCTTGCATAAGACAGAAAGACTAGAGAGGGCTGTATTTGGATATTCTCTATCTGGTCATACGTTGTTCTCCACATTTTTTGGTTCTTTAGATATGGTTTCCTATAGATTTTTTTCAAACATAGTTTTAATAGCTGCTTTGATTTCCTTTGTTACTGACAAAATATAGTTTGTATAATATACTTTATTTCTTTACATGTCTCATAATTTGTGTTGAAAACAATAAATTTTCATTAAAATAATGTGTCATATCTGGAAACCAGAAATCTTCCCCCAACATTTGTTTTTGTATCTGGTGTTTTCCTGAGGTAATTCAGCAATGTCTACATTATTTTATTATGCAGCCACTGAAGTCACTGTTCATTTTAGCTTAATAGTCAGATAGCAATTGGACAAAGACTTTTTAAAATACCTTAAACCAATAAGGCTCCAAAGTTTTTGCAAAAGTCTCTGTTTATGTATCGGGGCACCCCTTTAAAACTCAGGAAGACGTTTTCTAACTCTGCCTTAGCCTTCACTTGCTGCTTCTGAAGAACCTCAAGGTCATCTTTAATGAGAGTTTAGGACCTTCTGGGCCTTTCCTGAGCATGCACACAGCCTTGATATGTGCAATCTTACACATGCATGTGGACTTCTGCTTTTCCAGAAATTTGTTGGAGCTTTTCAAAGCCCCATTTGACATCTTATACTCTGTTTTTCCCTTTTAGGTTTTTTGGTGAGCTTCTTCTTAGCCCAAACTGGTAATGTTACCTCAGACACATTGATGTTAAACAATTGCCACTGATTGTTTCTGAAAACTGTTCTATGCATAGGACTACGTGGACACAGTAAAATCTCTGTCATGTCAAATAGAAACAAACTGATTAGGTCTTTATAGAGACCTGCCAGGAAGTCAAATCGTGATAATTTTATTTGTAGGGGGCTTTTGGGGAGATCTAAACCCATCCTGTTCCTTCCAGTGGCTGCTACATTGTTGGTTTTCACAGCTATAGTAGTTGTGAGGCTATTGACTTTCAAGAATACCACCAAGGTGGGGAAAGGAGTTGGGAGAGTTAGGGCAAGTTAAAGCTCCACAAGGTTTGCTATTCTTATAAACATCCAACCATTTGGGAGGTAATAGCTCCTTGGATTGTTGCAAGACTTTGGTTAACTTCTGGAGTTCTGAACATAATCATTTTGACAGCTTTTGCCAGTGTTCTCATTAGTTCTATGGAGAAATGGATTTTTCTAAGACTTTACTCTGCCATTCCAGAAGTGAAGCTCCCCATGCTTTATATTTTCACAGCAGTTATCAGAGTACTTTTTTCAAGTTCTCATCTGAAATAATATACTGATTATTTAATTGCTTATTGTTCACTTCCAATTAGAATTTAAGCTATAGGAACATAAGTATTGTTTGTCTTGTTTACTTTTCCATCTGTTAGGAATTATGAAAGGTCTATGAGTTTACACGAACTGCTCCCTATCAAATTAGCCTTTAACAGTTTTATGGATACTGGCAGAAGACACAGATTTCTGGTTCAGTGACAATGGACTCTATTACTCACTGCATAGCAAGAAGCATAAGCTAATGTTTGTATCAATTCCCCTTGCCTCTCCGGTCCCTCAAGAATGCACTGCAACCCAGGTAGGTACTATGTACATGGTGAATTTACATCACAGATGAGTGTATTAGTCAGGGTTTTCTAGAGGGACATGACTAATAGGATAGATGTATATATGAAGGGAAGTTTAATAAGAAATATTAATTCTTATTAATTTAATAAGAAATATTGATTCACAAGATTACAAACTGAAGTCTAGTCTGTCTGCAAGCTGCGGAGCAAGGAAGACATTAGTAGACATATGTCTAGTAAAATTACTAGACATATGTCTACTAATAGGCTGTCTGCAAGCTGCCCAGCAAGGAAGCAAGTCCGAGTCTCAAAACCTCAAAAGTAGGGAAGCCAATAGTATAGCCTTCAGTCTGTGGCCAAAGGCCTGAGAGCCCCTGACAAAGCACTGGTAGAAGTCCAAGAGTCCAAAAGTTGAAGAACTTGAGTCTGATGTTCAATGGCAGGAAACATCCAGCACGGTAGGAAGATGAAGGCCGAAGACTCAGCAAGTCTGGTCCTTGCAACTTATTCTGCCTGCTTTATGCTAGCTGCACTGGCAGCTGATTAGGTAGTACCCACCAAGATTGAGAGTGGGGCTGCCTCTTTCAGTCCACTGACTCAAATGTTAATCTCCTTTGGCAACACCTTCACAGACACACTCAGGATCAATACTTTGCATCCTTCAGTCCAATCAAGTTGACACTCAATATTAAGCACTACAATAAGAAACCCCCAAATTAAGAACTCAAATATTTTGCAATGGGCTACAAACAAACCTTTGCCCTGGGGGGAAGCATTATTTTTCTTATGCAACAAACCTTCCTTTTGTTCTGGAGCGGGGGAACTATCTACCTTCCAAAGCTACTTACTATACAAATACCTCTGAAAATACAGTCTGGAACGAAATGTTTTTTTTTTTTTTTTTTTTTTTTTGAGACAGTGTCTCACTCTTTTGCCCCAGGCTGGAGTGCAGTGGTGCAATCTCAGCTCACTGCAACCTCTGCCTCATGTGTTCAAGCGATTCTCCTGCTTCAGCCTCCCCAGTAGCTGAGACTACAGGTGCCTGCTACCACGACCAGCTAATTTTTTGTATTTTTAGTAGAGACAGGGTTTCACCATGTTAGCCAGGATGATCTCGATCTCCTGACCTCATGATCAGCCCACCTTGGCCTCTCAAAGTGCTGGGATTACAGGCGTGAGCCACCAGGTCCAGCCTGGAACAAAACCTTTCAATACATCTGCTTGCAAGATATGCAGAAATACAAGGAACCCATGGACAACTGGCTTCCAACATCCTCCCAGGCCTAAAACAATATATGACACAATGTATAAATTCAATAGATGTCTTTTGAGTAAAACCTCCAAGAATTTCTATTTATAACAATATATTCTATCTCCACAAGAAAGATAAATCTTTTTTTATATCTTGGATATAAAAGGAAGTCTGAGATAAGAAGTTAAGAATCAAAACTTGTAGGAAGATTTGCTACAGGAGAGTGGCAAGTGGAAATTACAAACTATATTGCCTTTCTCATCTGTAAATAGAAATTATAAATTTACCTGTTAACTTTTCAAAGGATCTCTCAAAGTAATCTCTCTTAGTCCCTTCTTGACTCAATCTGAAAAGGATGTACTGCTATGTTTTATTAAGGCAAGAACATTTAGTTTAACCATGCAGCTGAGGTCTTTTATGCTTATCGTATGCAATTCCTAGATATTACATAAAAAGTAGATAATTAAAGAGGTCTAGAATCCAGCTTCTTTGTGGACAAATGGGAAAATATTCAGCTAACTTTCTATTTCTGTCTCTTTTCAATCCCAGACCCCCAACTTAAAAAGAGTAAAAATTAAATTTTGGCCTTCAATGTAGATCAAGACAGAGTGGGACTTTTGGCCAGGCTTTTTCTGGGTCCCTCCAATCAAAATCCTCTAGACAAAAGAGATCCATATACTAGTCCAGTCACACTCTTTGTTATTCTTACCTGGGACTTTGAGCCAAACCCTTATATTAAGCCATACATAAATTCCCCCTCAGCCTTGCTTTGTCCTTTGAAAAAGGTAGATGGTTAAGAACAGGATCTGATTTCCAGGACCTTTTCTGTATAAATATCTATTGGCAGTCTAATTCTGTGCAATACCCAGCACGTAATAGAACAACTATGAAAGAGATGGCTTCTGTGTCTTACAATCATTTTCTGTATTCTGCCTCATGTTTTTTTAAAAGCAAATAGAAAATGCTATAAAATACTTATTTACATAATTTAGCAAACAGCAAACATGACAGTGTTCTTTTTCCATATCTATATAGTTTTATCTTCAAGAATACTATGCCATTTTCAGTTACAAATTACTTTGTATATATTATACTGCCTTTCCTTGGTATGTTTAAAATTCATATAATTTCAGTTGTTGCTTATTTTTTTTTTGTCATTGAGTTGGATTCATTTTGTGTTATCCTGAGAAATACACTTACATTGTGGATCATTTATATGTTCCCTGTACAGCTAGCTAGTCTGACATTTAAATTGCTTATTTCAGTAGTTTAAAATCATAAATGTCTAAATTTCTTTATTTAACTTTTATTGAGATTTCTTGTTTTTCCTCGTGAATGTATTTCTCAGATCAGTAATATTATTTGGAATAATTCTAATTTTATTACTGAGAATATTAATTTTTATATTTTTTATTTTTTTATAATTCAAACAAACCAATTATTTATCACAAGTGTTCATATGTTGGCAATTACTTTTAAATTAGTTGCTTCTTGTCTTAAAATGTATAATAATTATCTTCAGTGCTCAAAATATCAAAATAAGTAATTATTGCATGACATTACAATATTTTTATATTCTATACTTTTATTCCTCCTGTCTTTGACCTTTTGTTCAACCATAAATATACCTCAAACTCCTTAACAAAATCTTGAAATGGTTAATGATGGAATAAATAATTAAAAAGTAAAGACAAAAGAAAGATGTTGCCTCATGATCTTTTGTAGTCAATATTTTTCTGTTCTTCAAAGGACAATTAAAATATTCTATCAAATCTACACTTGCTCTGCTTATTAAAGCCATTTTTGCATGTAATAGAGAAATATTTTTAGCAATTCAGAACTTAATTTCTGATTTTAAAAATGCAACAACACCATAGTTCCTAGATAATAATAGACCCTCAAAAATATTAAAGGAACAATTGCTTTATTAGCCAGATGTACTGTACTATAAGTACTTTATATCATTTTCTGTAAATTTCCTATTGGATCTGTATAATAATTTTCCCAATTTTTCAGACAAAAATTTGAGACTCAGATTATACCATCTATGGTAGATAAACCAGAAATTAAAATCAAGTCTTTCCATATCCAAAGCTTATGCTCTTTCAATATACCATGCCACACATTTCTGTGTATCTTAATTTGGAACAAAGTCTATAGAAAACTTGAACAATCATTTTTTGATGGCCAAGTTATTTAAAAAAAAAAAAAAGGAAAGATTTTTCCTATTCTGTTCAACTTTAACTGTCTTTTTTACTTTTAAAATTTTCCAAAAAGTAGCAGAGGTAGAAAAACACTGAAATAGGGACATCACTTGTAAGGTCTCCTCTTATGAAAGTACTATTTATAGCTTGCAGAATATTTAGTTAGCAAGAGATACTTGTCTTCTTATTATGCAGAGAGTGCTGCATTTTCTGTGACTGACCTTCTTTTGCATTTCAGCGACGATTAAAATCACGATGATATTGCGGTCAGGCCCACTCCCATGATTCTTCCCCACCTTAGCCCAAACCAGTAAGCCCTGCAATTTCTTTTCAAAATGTCTTATTAGGTGAGAGATACAGTTTGAATTTTAAGATCAAAAGATATGCTAAAAAGAAAGAATCTTTAGTGTTTTTTTACTGAACATTCAAACCCTTGGAGTTTTTCTGTCACTTGCTTTGTGTCTTTCCATACGCTACCTTGTATTTCAAATTTTCTTCCTGGAGCTTTTATAGTTTGTAATCTGTCCCAGGAGCAGGTTTAAATGACAGGCCTCATGGAATATATTTTTAAGATCTAAAGAGGAAAAGATGGAATACTGCCCAAAGGGAAGAAGTATTTACTCGGAAAGAGAAATTCTCTAAAGAACACGTGCACCATGAGTAGGTCCACTTTTACTATCCCTGTAGCACCGCTGTGTAGACTTAACAGGCCACGTTAGGTGGTCAAAGGAGACTTAGGGAAAAAGCAGAGGAGCAGAGCAGGATGATCTTAGGATGGAGAAGAAAAAGAAAAAAAATACATGAAAGCAGTATGGCATGCCTGTTAAATATGAAAAGAAACCCCAAACCAGTAGATATAATACAGGTGTTAACAATGGGGACCTTAGGTGGGTCAGCCCTGGGGCACCAAACCTTCTAGTAGAAAAAATATTCAAAGAGAAAAGAACCCTTTCTTTTGAGGCGAGAAGGCTTCAAACACAAAGCATTCTCTCCAGAATAAAATATGTTTGAAAAAGGGAAGATCCAATTAAGCTTCCAGAACTGGAATATCTATTAAATTTCCTAAAATGTTGAGTTTAATTATCATCCAAGGTGAATCTAACATGAGAAAAATGGTACCAGTTACTCAGTCGCTTTGGTAATGACAGGTAGTAGGAGTATAAGAAACCAAAGACTTTGTGGAAACTTGAGACTATTTTCAGGTGAAATACACTGAAGCAAAATATAAACATGGTGTTTAGAAAGCTATGGGAAATAATAAAGTTTAACATCACACCTTCCAATTATAATTAAAAATATAATTTTCAAATAAGTAAAATGAGTCTATACTATGGTCTCAAAATTTTTAAATGTTATTTTTTGAAGTGATTTGTTTTCAAAATGCCAAACAACCTTTTTCTCAGAATACAAATGCTAAAATTAAAATCTTTGTTAAAAAAATCACACATCAAAAAAATGAAAAAAAGTAATGTTCAAGTAAACTTTAAAATTTTTATTTATATTTCTCTATACTCCCCTTTATAATGACATAACATTTTGCAGATGATCTCCTGTGACTGTCGTGAAGACAGTATTTTAGTGGTGTGCCTTTCAGTGGCTGCTATTGTAATACTGTTTCAAAGAGAGAACTTCATCGTGCTTCTCTCAAAACCTATCCTCCACCCTCTAGGTCACTTTTATAAGGATGAGAAAAGTCCACTTGCAGAAGTGCTATTTGACTGCCTCTTTTTCACATCTCCCTGACAAAATGCATAAAGTCGTAAATATCACATGTTGATGCACTTTTGTTCAAGATACAGTCTCTGGCTCACAATATTTTTTTTCCTTTATATGTTACAATGTATGTACATAAAGGTCTGTATTAGTCAGCTTGGGCTGCTATAACAAAACAACACAGATTATGTGATTTAAACAACATAAATTAATTTTCCTACAGTTTTGGAGGCTAGAAATCAGAGCTCAATGTGCCATCAGGGTTGGTTTCTGGTGTGGTTTCTCTTCCTGGCTTGGCGATGGCTGCATTCTCACTGTGTACTCAGGAGGCCTTTCCTCTGTATGTACACAGTGGGAGAGAGACCTCAGGTGTCTATCCCTCTTATACACACACTATTAGGCCCTAATCCTAATACTGGATTAGGGCCCCACCCATGTGACCTCATGTAACCATAATTACCTCCCTAAAGCTTCTTTCTGCAAACACAGTCACACAGGGAGTGAGGCCTTCAATATATGAATTTGATGGACACAATTCAAGCCATAATGATTTCCTAAGATAGTTTTCTCTATCTTTAGTCTCTCATTACTAACTTTTCTTTGGCCTAAAAATTGTCCAAGTTTCCTTAACTAAAAAAAAAAAAAAAAAAAAAAATTTAAAGATAATGTTTTCTTTCATTAGCCCTTTCCTTGAAACGCCCTCTGTACTGCTTAATTGTCATTTCTTAGAAGTGAAGTCAAACTTTCCTCATGTCATATTCATAATTCCCTTGCTATAACAATGCATCTGCTCCCACAACTCTACTGAAGTGGCTCCTTTTATGTTGATTTGCTTTGTTCATCAAATCAAAAAGTTTCTTTTCCATTTGTGTAACCCTTTTGGAAACAACTGAATCTATTGATATTTATTTTTAAATTACATTTCTATACATCTCATGGTAATGTTATAATTTCTTCTGACATATCACCTGAATTTCTAACCATTCTTTTTTTTTTTACATTGTTTCTCTATGTAATCCTTAATTCTTGGTATTGTATACAGATGGTCTTCTTCTCATCTCCTATATACTCACTCTCTCTTACTCCAGTGTCTTAGCATACCATTTAATATATTTGTTTCTTCAATTGCCTGGCACCTTTCATAGGCTCCCAGCATCTCTCTCTCTCTTTCTCCTTTCATTTCCCTACTTTAGTCTTCACCACTCTCTTCCAGCTCCCACAGGGGAGGATCTATTTAACTCAAGACTCTCAGTAGAAAATAATAAAAAGTTATTACTCTGCTAAGTAAAGCCCATTACAGATCAGGTAGTTCCGATTCATTTTAGAGCCATGCCATCTGGAATACATGGCCTCTAGTATCTCTGGGGTAGGGGACTAGACAGATGGAAGGACAATGGTTCCCATTGACCTCAACTCAGAAGTGATAACATCATTTTTCACATTTGCCATTGGCCAGAATTAATCAAAGAACATCAGTCTAACAGCAATGGAGGATGAGAAATGTAGGTGAGCATGTAGGGTATTTCATGAGCACAGACTTTCCAGGTGACACCACCTCCCACCAAACTCTTATTTCACAGAGAAGACATATGCCATAAGGCAAAAACACCCCAACTAATTCTCTTTATGTACAAGCACAACTTTTCTATGTAATTTTTAATATCTATTCTCCCTTTGTTGGCTTTTTTTTCCATTTATTTTCTCATCTCACTTGTATCTTTAAACCTTTCCTTTATTAGCAATTTCACTTTGGCATATGAACACATGAAAGCCCACTCCTTTCTCCCATTAAAAAGTGGTCATGCTTGATGATAAATCATCCTTCCAATACTTTTTTCTCTCTTCCCAATTTTACAGCAGAACTTACCAAAAGTTTCACTTATTCTCATTGTCCATATTTTCTCTCCTTTCATGTACCTCATAACTCACTGCAATCTTGCTATTTTCCTCTTACTTATCTCCACTGGAATTGCATGCACTCGCAACTACTTTGCAGCTAAACAGAATGAATATTGTTTGTCGTATGTCAAGTTTCTGCAACATTTAATGTTATTGATCAAAATTTCCATCTCAAAAGTCTCTCATGGTAACAACAATAACACATCTTTATCTACTACTTTTTCCTCCTATCTCTGGACTTTCTTTATCATTCTCTTCCACTGGGCACTCTTTGTTGCCCAAGAGGTAAATATGTTGCTTTTTAACTGTCTTCTGCCCTTTATGGATGATCTCAGCTCTAATGGCAAGGATGGTATCTTATTCATTACTGTATTACCACAATTTAGTACCATGTGTGGAACACATTAGATTTCCAAAAAATATTTGTTAAGGGACTAGGTGAATGAACGAATGGATAAATAGAAATAATTTCAATTGGAACTTTGAATTATCTTCTGAACTCCAAAAGTTCACCTTCTTGTTGATCTCAACTAACAGGAATCTTTTCCTAAACTTCCTTCATAGCATTCATGATCCCTCTGAATTCTTGACAGACCATAGAACTATGGTTTCCAAAAGCTATCTGTGCACTATAATCATCCTGTCATCCGAATTCAATATACATATTTCTGGGTATCTTCTGAGAGCTACTTAATCAGAATCTGTGGCAATGAGGTTTAACAAGTTACTCAAATGATTTTTATGCAATAAGCCTAAAATTGGTCCATTTTATGGTCCATGTATGGAAATGACAAACATAAGAGATAAATTTTTTTTACTTTGCAAACTTATACAACCCTTCCCTTTAACCCTATCATGTTAAAGAAAGAATATGAGCAGGTACTCCAGGCATCCAAACTTCATAATGATTAGATTTTGCATTTTTAAACAGAGTAAAAGTTAAAGCAAAACTTCCCAAGATAAAAATAAAAAAAAGACCACACATTTTCACTAAATGGCCTTGCTTCAGGAAAAAAAAAAAAGTTAAAGAATTGTAATACTGTCTAACATGGAAAACAAATTTTAAAAATTTTGACCAATAAGCCATATGCTTGGTATTACTTTGCTTTAGTGTTCTTTTACACCTTACTCAACAGCTTCTATTTTATAATATTCATAAGTAACCAATTTTGTTGAAAAATACCTATCATTTTCATAGAAAATATAAAATTTTATTATACTTCCAATTCAACCTACCTTTGATGCTTTATTTTCCACCAAGCAGAAGCATACACCCTATGCTGTAATCAAAAAAGTCTCTTTTGTAATTGTGTGTGTGTGTGTGTGTGTGTGTGTGTGTGTATGTGTGTTTCTCACTTCCAGGTTGTCCCTTCTGGTTGATATGTCCTTTACCTTTTCTTCACTAGAAAATTCCTACTCACATTCAAAATTCAATTTAAATATCTCTTTATTACTCATGTCCTGTTCCACATCTCTGAGCAGGGTTATCTGCTTCCTCCTCTGTTTTGCAGAGTTATGTTTTCATGATGCATTAAATAGCATACCCCTATTGGCTTATAATTAATTGTTTATGTAGCTCTTACAGTACCTTTGGAGTTCTCTGAGCTGTTTATCCTGGTAACCCTGACACATAAACATAGTGCTTGCCATATAGTAGGTGCTAAACAAATCTTGTCTAATTGAATTCAGGTACCTTGTAACCTCATAATTTGCAAACCGTTAATTTAAATGACTTCAGATTATTCTTCCTTTCTTAACTTCTATTACTATAGAATGTGCCATCAAAATACCAAGGTCACTGAGGTGGGAGGATCACTTGAGCTCATGAGTTTGAGACCAGCCTGTGCAACATGGCAAAATCCCATCTCCACAAAAAATGCAAAAATTAGCCAGGCATGGTGGCTGGTGCCTGTAGTCCCAGCTACTCAAAAGGCTGAGATCAGAGGATGGCTTGAGCCCAGGAGGCAGAGGTTGCAGTGAGCCAACAACCAAGATCACGCCACTGTACTCCAGCCTGGATGATAGAGCCAAATCTTGTCTCAAAAAAGAAAAAAAAAAAAATAACAAGATAAGCATCCTGCAAAGTTAGTGTTCTTACGGCCTTCATGTATATAGTTGCTTCCTTTATAATTTTATCTTGTAAACAACTGCTAAACATAATATTAAAAAAAAACCCTTGCCTATTAAAAAACTTCTGTTAGCTCTTTCCTCCACACTGCACCAAACTTTTCTACTTATTTTCTAAAAAATATCCTGTCTTATTTAACGTATGCAAAACTGCCTTTTCCACTCTTGGCTCTCATCTTCAATGGTATCACATCATTACCTATGGACCACGGACCAGCACAACCACTGACTTATGTTGGTTTCCTCGCTAAAGGTTGAAAGAGGCTAGGATTATCATGATCAAATATTAAGTGAACAGAATGATGACAGGATTCGGTTCCATGGGAAAATTTTTACTTGGGACAAAATTGTTCTCAGAACTGAAGGTATTGCCTAAGTCAGTTATGTTTACTTCAGACTCAAATCAATGTTTTGTGTTTACCTGAGCCTTGGTTACATGTAGAAAAAGTGCTATAAAGCTCTTATTGTAAATACAGTCAGTGTGCAGGGCCACTCTCTGAGATGCCCCTGGGTCCTCAGCATAACACCTGGGGGAGTGGTAAACATTTGTCAATGTTTGGTGACTGACTTGATAGATCTTGTTAAACCTCACCATCAAACATCTGAATTATTGAACAAGCTTCTCAAAGCTTTCATTCTCAAAGAAGAAACAAAAGAAAAACAGATGTAAAGAAATTTCAAATTGTACAATGTTCTGGTTGTCAAATTTAAATAGGGATCCTGTGTAATGGAGAGGCTGGCTGGTGCCAATTTCACATTTTGTTCTTTGGTATCTGGTCAAAGCCTGATCTGCCACAGAGCTGACAAACTGAGAGCGCTCCATGCTCCACAGGCACATGGGAATATTCTACTTTTCTCAGTGTTTCCACACTACATAGGTCAAGGACTACATTCACAGTGAAAAGAGTTAAGAGTAATCATCAGCAGAGAGTTTCTTCCATTTTCAAGGTGGCCACATTAGAGTCTGGTTTAGTCAATACTGCCTCTAAAATAGATTATGTATTAAAATGAGAAATCTATCACCTAATATGGCCAGAGAGATTAAGGGAGTTGGACCAGCTGACCGCAAGAGACACCTTTAATTCAAAACCTAAACCACGAACACAGTGATTGTGATTGAGGAGCTTTACAGCACATAAGGGATTCAAAAAGCATATTAATCCACCTCCAGTAACACTGCCAATTTAAAAGGATGATTAACCTTCTCTCCCACTTGATTCAACCTGGCATATGTATTATTCCACTCTAACTGCTAGCAGACCCCATGCTTATGGCTTCCATTAGGTAGCATTTAGTATCCATGAAAACTTTCTTAAAGAAGTAATTACTTTTGAGACCATAGGCATTTCAGATGGGAAAAGAGAAAAAGAAAAGAGGTACAAGTAGAGGAAACTAGGAAAGAGGAAAATACCAAGAAAATGTGGGCAGGCTGATTCAAAAAGGTAATATAAAGGTAATTTAAGTAATATTAGATGAGCATATGTTCTGTCTCTACTTCAGATGAAGTGCTCGTCTGTATGTCAGGAGTTGTGTTTGTCTGTTTTGCCATGCTATAAAGAAACAACTGAGGCTGTGTAATTTATAAAGAGAAGAATTTTATTTGGCTCAAGTTTCTGCAGGCTGTGCAATCATGGCGCCCACATCTGTTCAGCTTCCAGTGAGAGCTTTAAGATGCTTATAATCATAGTAAAAGGCAAATGGGGAGTCAGCATGTCACATGATGAGAGGGAGCGAGAAAGGAAGGAGGCGGTTCCAAGCACTTTTAAACAATCAGATCATATATAAATGATTAGAGGGAGAACTCAGTCATTCCCCTTGGAGAGGGCACCAAGCCACTAATGAGGGATCAGCCCCAAGACCCAAACACCTCCCACCAGGCCACACCTCTAGCATTGGGGATCACATTTCAATATGAGATTTGGAGAGGACAAAACATCCAAACCATATAGGAGCTATACTTTCCTATTATCTAATATATGTCAAAAGCCTCTTGAAAGAGTTATTTATTGATTCTAGCTTCCTAAGCACCTAGTCTATGAACAGCACAAGCAAGGGAAGTCTGGGGTAGAATGGACCCCACAAAGGCTCTGGAATTCTCTTACTCATTACCTTTGAGACTAAGCATCCTCTTCTATGTAGTGTTCATAGTACCAAGTGTAGATAGGACATGGAACTACAGAAGGTACCCAATATGGTGGATTAATAAAAAGTAGGTATTCAATATTACTTTTCCAACAAAACATCTTGTTTTAGGAAAACAAATACGATTTCTTTGCAATGAGGCTTTCCTGCAAACTCTACACTTCTAAAGAATATGTTTTGTGAACAATTTATTTGTTTGCCTCCCTCTCTTACTCTACTGACAATATTCAGGCAGGGTTACTTCCATGGAGTTTGACTTGTATTTCAGATCTACTTTCCTGCTCTTCCTTTCCACTCACCCTCATTCAAAACATTATGATCCTCTGTTACAATGCAAACAAACCTGGGAAAATTTGAAGCAAAATATCACTAACAGCCAGCTCTATTATGAATATACCAGGGGTTAAATTGTAAGTGATGAAGCCAGGATGAAAGCCTGTATTTGTCTGACTTCAAAAATCATCAGTCTCACTGCTGTATAATGCTGCTGCTCTGAAACTCAGATAAAGGCAGAGAATCGAGAGGAGACACCTGACGAAAAGGAGAAGGCAAACCAAGAGAAAAGCTTAATTATTTTAGAATCAGAAAAAGATTTATATTGTTTTACAGAATATGGTATAAGATAGTGTTAAAATAAAATGCCTCAGTCAGGCGCAGTGGCTCACACCTGTAATCCCAGTACTTTGGGAGGCCAAGGCAGGAGGATCACCTGAGGCCAGGAGTTCGAGACCAGCCTTGCCAACATGGCAAAACCCCATCTCTACTAAAAATACAAAAAATTAGCTGGGTGTTGTGGCAGGTGCCTGTAATCCCAGCTACCCGGGAGGCTGAGGCAGGAGAATCACTTGAACCCTGGAGGCTGAGGTTGCAGTGAGCCAAGATCATGCCATTGCACTCCAACCTGGGCAACTGGAGCGAAACTCAGTCTCAAAAATAATAATAATAATAATAATATTAATAATAATTCCTCAAAGTGAGAGAGCAACCTAATGGAACCCTGTTGAGGTAGGGCCCTTAATAAGCCACACCATACTGTTGGTCCTATCCTGCCAGAAAGTCGAATGACAGGGGATACTGATTTGCATCACACTGGCATTAGGAGCTGACCTAATTTTAATAAAGTTTTACTTCATGGACTGAAGTTCATTTAATGAAAGGGTGAGCTCTTTCCTCAAGAAATGCCTTTATGAAATAATCAAAGAGGTAAGATTGGTGATATTAACTGCTCTAAGTACAGAATTTTGTTTGGCAAAAAGAGGTATCAATCAGAAAAAGAAGTGACCAATAATTATTTTATATCATCGTTTCACAAGTAGGTATTAAACCTATTTTTAGATTAATTAACTTCTAAGTAAAGTTTATCAAATATATTCATTTAAAGAAAACCTGTGCAAGCCCCTGAAAACAATAGGTATTTTATCAGAAGTGACCAGGCCACCAGACACCTACCCCAGAGTTACTTCTGCAAATGGCTACCATATAGTAATTTCTGACAAGAAGAAGTAATAATCAAGTTTCTTTAAGAAGCCGGTAGGAAAAAAAATTTAACATTTTATGATAAAATTTGTTCCAGCTGATTCCTCAGATCTTAGAGGCATGCATTAGTTCCCCCTAGGTGGGAGTGAATCTTGCCTCTAGAAAATGCTTCTTGAAAAATAGCATTAAAATCTTTTATTTCTTATTGTAAAAACTGCATATGTTATTAGAAGACCACAAAAATGCTGATATTCACTATAAAATTATGTTATAGTAGTGGAAATGAAGGTAAAAGCAACTTGCATTTTATTGTAATTCTACCAAAAAAAAGGAGGTTCTTTTCCACAAAGACTCTCATCAATGCTAATTTGAAGAGAAATATTTGTAGCTGTCTTACAGCTTAGTAGTGACAGATTTGCACTTTTTTACCTGCCTGTCATGTGGAAAATGGTACACACTTTGGGTGGGGCTTCATGCTGCGGTAGGAAAAGAAAGAAAATGACACTCATTAACTCTGTGCTTTAACTAGCTCAGCTAATGGTCTTCAGGATTTCTAAACAGAAGCAATTAGAAAGAACTTTAAATTTTACGTGTTTCTTCAGAAGGATGAAAAGTTGAGATATTTTAATCCTGGCTTTATTATTTGGAGGACACAAGAGTTACATTACTCTCTGTCAAAGCAGAAATCAACCTCTTGCAAGGAATAAATGTTAATTAGGACAAACAGATTAAGCATATTACATTAAGTATATTTGTTTCTTTCCTGAGCACTTCAGCTGCAGAAGCTCTAACCACAGTTTCCGGAGTGACCATCAATGCTTCTTAAAAATGCCAATACAGTTACAGTGTTCTATCCAATTAGCAGATGCATAGACCAGTCAGAATGCTGATGTATTCCTTAAAGGAGGTGCAGGTGGGAACCAAATGGAATCAGAGAATATTATCTGTCTTGTGTGCTTTACAAACCAAGACTCCTTCTATTTCTATTTCTTCTCATGACTCCTCCATCTCGTCCTTTTCCTACATTGTCTAGTATGCGTTTTACAAGTCTCCAATAAGAGAAAACAGAAAATGCTCAGGAAAAAGATGACTACTTCAATATAGAAAGTTTCCCCGTTCAACATGAGGAGAACCTAGAGTTACCGGGGAACATCCCCCTCCTGAAATAACTGTGTGAAACACAGAGACTTCCAAAATTTTCCCAAGTTCCCACTGAATGGGCTATAAGCGATTATAATTATTATTTCTTAAGAACAGTAGATAAAAGGATTCTGTTGTATGCTACAATCCTTAATGATTAAACGTGTTTACCTTCCTTTTTTGTTTTTCTTGTCCCAGGTTCCAGGTGACAGTGGCAGTAACAGATACCCAGATGATATGAGGACAGAACTACAATGGTGCATTGAATGCAAAAAAAAAAAAAACAAAAAAAAAAACAAACAGCCAGTAAAGGTACCCGTAAATTTCTAAGGTGAATCAGTGTCAAACAAAGCAACAACCTTCCCCCAAGGGAATTAGGAGCAAATTTTTGCTCCTATTAATAAATTCAAGAAACAATTTTGAGCTTATCAGTGACCACTATTTCTAAAGCAACCAATAGCTTTATAACTATTAGTTTACTTAGACTTTATTTAATGCAATCATTCAGAAATGTTAAACAGTTCTCTAGAGCAGTGTTATGGATACAAAATGCTTTCATAAGCTCAATGTCTGTGTTTTTATGTTGTGTAAACACTGGAATTACAGTAGAAAATCTGGTAAACTTGAGAGGAAACACCAGATGTCAGCAATTTGCTGTGTAAGATTTAGAGTGGGCAACGCTGTTAACCTTCATCAGAAACAATATTGGTGGGCCAAACCACAAGGGCTCTCCCATCCGTCACATTCACCGGGGATAATGTGAATAAAGACCTGAGGTCAGTCAGACATGAGCCACTATGCACAGATTCCACTAGCAAGAAATGGCCTCAGCCGGCTCTTGTTATTGGAGAAAATAACCCTCTAGGAATCAGAAGGATTCTTATTTTCAGTTTTAGAGAAGGAAGGATGCTATTTAAACTTTGATCAAATGTTGTTCTTAATAGCTCTTAATTGTGCTGGGTACACAGGATTTCACATAGTAAGAATAAAAGATTTCCCAGATAAAAGATTTTTTGTTGTTGTTTTGCTATAGTATGTTCATTGTACAGCACATAGAGATGAGGTCAAAATTTCTTTGAAAAAATAAGTTTATAAAGAGTTCTATTAGGTTCCAGCCCCAGCTGAAGTCTGAGGGGAGTGGGCGGATTAGTGGCTAATAGCTGAAAGAACCCCTGGGGGGGGCCACAGGCAATCAAAATATGGTTTTATTCAGCAGCAGCTCTCTCAGCAGCAGCTCTCTCACCCTGTCTGCTCTGTCTCAGCTGCTTGCTCTGGCCGCTCCCACACACAGCTGCGCAGCCGGCTCTTCCTTTAGGATCAGTAGCTTAACTCTTCTCTCTCTGGGCATGAGCAAGCCCAGCTGTGTCCTGGCTCTCCCCTGTCCATCCGCAAGATGAACACAGCTCTGGCTGTCTCTATCTGGGCACAAGTGCATCTATACAGAGTCAGCAAGGCAATTACACCTTTTACAGACAATAGTGGTGTAGAGCCAAGTGATGGCCTTCCCATGGTATGGCTACTTAGCTGTGTTTACATTATACATGGAATTGTGTGCCTGCGATCCAATCCCGCTGAGTCATGAGGATGTTCACCTCGGCCACTCCTTGATTGAAGTGAATCCATGTACCTTACAAGTACATGATGATCTATTTTTCAAATATACCAAGTGAAAGGAACATGATGAAATTGAAAAGATGGAAGAAGAGAGATGAACATCCCTGATGTTCAATTGTGTCCCATCCTCTGGTGTAAGAACATGGCTACTACATAACTACTTTAATCCTGATAGATTTTCAAAAAATAACAGAATCTTCCAGACTTTGGTAGCCCTTGATAATTGCCTCTTGCCTCATGCCAACCCTCTCACACATACTTATTTTCATCAGCTACCTTCAGAGTTGTTTTCCTTTGTATAATTATTGCAGTAGATTGTTAGAATATTGGCCCCCAATGAATCATGCCACACTGTATTCCTCACCATTGTGTGGTTCTCACCCACATTACCCTAGGTTCAGTCATGTGACTCATTTTGGCCGAATGGTATGTTAACATCTGAGGCTTGGACGGCTCTTCTGAACCAGAGCTTATCCTTATGGAACACTTGCCATCTGAAGAAGCTTGAGGTAGCCTGATGGAGACACCTGGCCTGGCCAACAGTCAGCCCCAGTGGCCAGACCTGTGAGAGCAACCAGCCTCATCTGATTTGCTAGCTGATAATAGACTAATGGGTAACCTCCAGTGAAATCAATGTAGATCCACCCAGCGAACATCAGCTTGAATTGTTAATTCACAAATTATGAGCAGATAAAATGCTTGCCATTTTAAACTACCAAGTTTAGGTGTGATTTATAATATAGCAATAGATACAAGTACTTTAGCATTAGATTATCTCCCAATTTTATACCACCTTTTTCTTCAAATGAGTATCCCTTTCTCCCAGATTCCATAAAAGAGATAACAGCTAATATAGCTTTAACACCTTTCTTCAATTTAAATATATATATTCATAGGCTTAAAAATAACTGTTTTAGTAAACTCTAATTCCTTGTCACAAATTGATTTGCTTCATTTACCATAAAAAGTAATGCAGAATTATAATAACCTTGTAAATTTTGAAGCTCTAAAAGTGTTTTACCTCTTGCTTTCAAGTCGGGGTGTACTTTATGTGGACATTCACTTTTGCAATGTGATTCCAGGAAAGGAGAGGTTTCATTTTAAACCCTGAGTCTAAAGCATCTTAGGATATTTTACCTGAGAAAAATGACATATTAATCCATTATCGGCCATTAAGCCTGCAGTTTTCTTTATTTTCTAAATTCCCTATCTTATGCAGACGGTACAAAACTGCCATGATTAGGAGAAACGTAGTACAGAAAGAGCCCCCCAAATGGGATAGTGCCCAATCATGTCATTATACTGAAGCAGGGGAGCTATGGGGCAACTTGCCGCCAGGAAAAGGAACAGGTAAAATGTAATGAGGATTAAAATAATGAGTCCTATAATTTAATTTTAAATATGAATGTCAAAGGATTCTGGGAATTATGGTGGCTACAGAGAAGGTGTTTCTGTCTCAGAATATCCTACTCCTTCCCCATAAGATACACCCACACACACAAAGAAAGAAAAAAACTACGATAGCAAAACCAAAAATTTGCTGACAATATCAATAATATGATGTCCAAATGAACTGCAACATACTACCACGTGAGGACAAAGCAATGACAGCAAAAAGACCTACATGTGGTATTCCACTGTGCAAGGAAGTTGGGGGAAGAAGATGTAATTATATTATTTCAGAGAGTAGGAGAATTCCACAATTGCCATGAAGAATTCACTGAGAACAGCAGCAGAAACTAAGAGTTGGCATTAAAGACTCCAATTTGCAGGTGAGTGCAAGAACTGCAAGATGGTCTGAGAGTGCTAAAGTGGTCTAGTGTTAATGAAACCTTGACACTTTACCAAACCAAAGCACCCTTCCAGAACAAATTCCCATGCTTAACAAGACAGAGAAAGTGAAGGTCCTGAAAAAAGGAGGGCAAAGGAGGAAGATTTTAGAAATTATAAGGCCTTTTTTTTTAAAAAAAAAAATCACATTATGAAAACAATAGAAGAAAGTGAACACTGGTGTTTTGAAGCTAGGAAATATATTCTGATCTACCTTTCCCTCCTAAAGGGGAAATCATTTTATTTAAAACTGGGCAACAGGCCAGGCGCAGTGGCTCATGCCTGTAATCCCAACAATTTGGGATGCCAAGGCGGGCAGATCACTTGAGGTCAGGAGTTCGAGACCAGCCTGGTCAACATGGTGAAACCCTGCCTCTAATAAAAATATAAAAATTAGCCAGGCGTAGTGATGGGCACCTGTAATCCCAGCTACTCAGGAGGCTGAGACAGAAGAATAACTTGAACCCAGAAGGCAAGTGTTGCAGTGAGCCAAGATCACACAATTGCACTCCAGCCTGGGCAAGAAGAGCTAAACTCTATTTCAAAAAACAAATTAAATTAAATTAAATTAAATTAATTTAAATTAAATTTTTAAAAGTGGGCAACAGAAAAGTAGTCTAGTTAAATTCTAAAGAAATTTAGTAGTGGGGAAATAAAGGAAAATAAGAATGGGAAGAAAGTCCTAATACATACTGAATCACGTCAGAAAGACATGCTCACAAAAGAGACAAAATCTGTTACCTAATAATTCAAAAAAGGATATAGGAATTTAAACAGTGATATAGCGAATTTAAACATGACTGTTGAAAGGAATGTAAATTAGTGCAACCATTATGAAAGACAGTATAGAGGTTGCTCATAAAATTAAAAATAGGACTATCATATGATCTAGCAATCCTATTACTGAGTATATATACAAAGGAAATGAAATCAGTATGTCAAAGAGATATCTGCACTCCTAAATTCATTGCAGCATTATTCACAATAGCCAAGAAACAGAATCAAATTTAGTGTCCAACAATGTATAATGGATACAGAATATGTAGCATATATACACAATGGAATACTATTCAGTCATAAAAGAGAAAGAGGCGGGACGCTGTGGCTGAAGCCTGTAATCCCAACACTTTAGGAGGCTGGGGCGGGTGGATCACGAGGTCAGGAGATTGAGACCATCCCGGCCAACATGGTGAAACCCCGTGTCTACTAAAAATACAAAAATTAGCTGGGCGTGGTCACACCTGCTTGTAGTCCCAGCTAGTCGGGAGACTGAGGCAGGAGAATCGCTTGAACCCAGGAGGCGGAGGTTGCAGTGAGCCGAGATTGTGCCACTGCACTCCAGCCTGGTGACAGAGTGAGAATGCCTCAAAAAAAAAAAAAGAGAGAGAATGAAATCCTATTTGGAATAGCTTGAATAAGACTGGAGGACATTACATTAAGTGAAATACTGTATGATTTCACTCATATATGGAATCTAAAAACAGTTGATCTCATAAGAGTAGAGAATATAACAGATACATGAGACTAGGAAAAGAAGGTAGAGAGGGGATAGAGGAGAGGTTTTCGAAGGGTACAAAGTTACAATTACCAAAAAGAGTAAAATCTGGTGTTCTATTGTACAGCAGAGTGACTGTAGTTTACAGTAAGGTACTTTATATCTCAAAATACCTAGAAGATAGGATTTTGAATGTTCCCACCACAAAGATTTAGTAAATTTCTGAAGTGATGGATATGCTAATTACCCTGATTTGATCATCATGCAGTGCATACAAATATCAAAATATCACATTGTACACCATAAGTACAATTGTTATGTGTCAACTAAAAATTTAAAAAAAAAACATAAAACAGAATTAGCAAAATTCAGAAATAAATGATTGAAGAATAGGAAGATTTAAAAAGAAAGTTGAAAGAACTCAGTAAATAATCTTTTTTTTATTATACTTTAAGTTTTAGGGTACATGTACACAATGTGCAGGTTTGTTCATATATATACATGTGCCATGTTGGTGTGCTGCACCCATTAACTCATCATTTAACATTAGGTATATCTCCAATGCTATCCCTCCGCCCTCCCTGCACCCCACAACAGGCCCCAGTGTGCGATGTTCCCCTTCCTGTGTCCATGTGTTCTCATTGTTCAATTCCCACCTATGAGTGAGAACATGCGGTGTTTGGTTTTTTGTCCTTGGGATAGTTTGCTGAGAATGATGGTTTCCAGCTTCATCCATGTCCCTACAAAGAACATGAACTCATCATTTTTTATGGCTGCATAGTATTCCATGGTGTATATGTGCCACATTTTCTTAATCCAGTCTATCATTGATGGACATTTGGGTTGGTATCAAGTCTTTGCTATTGCGAATAGTGCCACAATAAACATACGTGTGCATGTGTCTTTATAGCAGCATGATTTATAATCCTTTGGGTATATATGCAGTAATGGGATTGCTGGGTCAAATGGTATTTCTAGTTCTAGATCCCTGAGGAATCGCCACACTGACTTCCACAATGGTTGAACTAGTTTACAGTCCCACCAACAGTGTAAAAGTGTTCCTGTTTCTCCACATCCTCTCCAGCACTTGTTGTTTCCCGACTTTTTAATGATCGCCATTCTAACTGGTGTGAGATGGTGTCTCATTGTGGTTTTGATTTGCATTTCTCTGATGGCCAGTGATGATGAGCATGTTTTCATGGGTCTTTTGGCTGCATAAATGTCTTCTTTTGAGAAGTGTCTGTTCATATCCTTCACCCACTTGTTGATGGGGTTGTTTTTTTCCTGTAAATTTGTTGGAGTTCATTGTAGATTCTGGATATTAGCCCTTTGTCAGATGAGTAGATTGTGAAAATTTTCTACCATTCTGTAGGTTTCCTGTTCACTCTGATGGTAGTTTCTTTTGCTGTGCAGAAGCTCTTTAGTTTAATTAGATCCCATTTGTCAATTTTGGCTTTTGTTGCCATTGCTTTTGGTGTTTTAGACATGAAGTCCTTGCCCATGCCTATGTCCTGAATGGTATTGCCTAGGTTTTCTTCTAGGGTTTTTATGGTTTTAGGTCTAACATTTAAATCTTTAATCCATCTTGAATTAATTTTAGTATAAGGTGTAATAATCTGTTTTTTTTTTAAATCACTTCTTGAATGAAGGTTAAACTAAAAGGAACTCAAGTTTGTATAAACACAATGGATGACGTCTCCTTGGAGAAATAGCTAATTTTAAATCCAGAATACGAAATGAACAAGATGTTTCCAGAAAGCTTAGAAGACAACCAAAATCTCCTGAGAACATCTTAAAAGGACTCCAGGGCCACTTGTATAGAATCTATGTTTCTAAGATGAGACAGTTTCAGGACTGATAATTATAATAACCTCATTTAAAAAAATAAAAGAAATGAAACAATTGATCATCTTTAGGAAAAGCTTTAAAGTCTTTTTTTTTTTGTAAACTGATAAATCTTTTTTTCTAAAGAAGCATTCTTTTCTTTTAAAAGAAGCAATCACCCAGCCATTCCTATTTGCACTGAAACTCAGAGAAGCCAAATACTTAAGGACAACATTCTAGCTAATAAAGAAAGAATAGTAATACAATTAGTAGAATATCTCTTGGCATTCTTTAATAGGTTATGGATCTAGCCATTGATCATTAATGGCTGTGACATCAAAATCAGACAACCAGATGCTTGAAAACTCCTTTGGAATTAATCAACATCACCTACAAAGTAAAAATGCCAAAAAATCAAACCTGAATCTGGTTCAACCCTATAGATTTTTTGACCAATTGACAGCATATAGAGGTCAAAAGAGCATGGTAAATGTACAAGCGTGAAGGGGAAGCAATCAGCATAATCCAGCCAAGATTCTACAGGATGACTGTTTTGGATTCAACAACAAATAAATAATTGCAAGAAAATAAAAACAGATGGAATTTTTTAAATTTTATAGTTTAAAATATATTGTATTTGGATTTGTATTTTAAAAATGGTTAAGAAAATTAAAGTACATCTATAAGACCATCAAGAAAATGTGAAATGTCTGAATATTTATTGATTTTAAAGAATTATTGTTATTTGGGGGTGTGTGATATTGACATTGTGGCTACGTTTTAAAAAAATTGAGTTCTTACAATATAGAAATATACATACTAAAATTTTTACTGAGAAAAAGAAGTTTGGAATATGCTTCAGAATTTCTGGGCTTATGGTGATGGTAACATAGGGTATAAAGAAAATACATTTGTAATTTGGTCAGTAATTGATATTAAAGAGACTGATTGATGAACATTTCTACTTTTTTCTAATTCTGTAGCTATTTGGAAATTTGCATACTAAAACATTTTTTGTAAATGCAGATAGATTTGAAATTTGTTCTTCTGAGCTCTATGAAAGAATAAAGTCATTCTTAAGCTAGGAGTCTTCTTTTCTAGCCAATAATTCTAATTATAATTCTGTCTCACATCTCTAAATCTGGAACTCTGGAACCCAGACTGACCTGAGGTCTGTGAGTGGTAAAATAGACAAGAACAATAAAAAGGATTTTAAATCTTACCTAGAAGAAGACAACAAAGAGGGATGGCGTGTGCTTGGTCTGGGGCAAATGGAGTAGTATCAATATAATACAAAAATATATGCTTTTTTTCTGAAAACCAGTATAGATTTTACTGTGACATTTTTTCACTTTTAGTATTAAAATAAATTTACTGTTTGGGCAACATTTAAATTATCATATATTCAAAGCCTAGAAATGACCACCTAGGCTGAAATTAAGTTAAATCTATGATATGGTTTGGCTGTTTCCCCACCCAAACCTCATCTTGAATTGTAGCTCCCATAATTCCCACATGTCATGAGAGGGACCCAATGGGAGGCAATTGAAGCATGGAAGCAGTTCTTTTCTGTGTTTTCTCATGATAGTGAATACATGTCATGAGATCTGATGGTTTTATAAAGGGGAGTTCCCTTGCACACGCTCTCTTGCCAGCCGCCATGTAAGATGTGACTTTGCTCCTCATTTGCCCTCCACCATGATTGTGAGGCTTCCCAAGCCGTGTGGAACTGTGAGTCAATTAAACCCTATTTCTTTAAAATTACCCAGTCTTAGGTATATCTTTATTAGCAGCATGAGAACAGGTGAATATAGTAAATGGGTACTAGGTAGTGGGGTGCTGTTGTAATGATACCTGAAAATGTGGAAGCAACTTTGGAACTGGGTAACGGGCCAATGATGGAACAGTTTGGAGGGCTCAGAAGAAAAAAGGAAAATGTGGGAAAGTTTGGAACTCCTAGAGACTTGTTGAATGGATTTCACCAAAATGCTAATGGTGATATGGAAAATGAAGTCAAGACTAAGGTGATCTCAGATGGAGATGAGAAACTTCCTGGGAACTGGAGAAAAGGTCACTCTTGTTATGCTTTAACAAAGAGACTGGAAACATTTTGCCCCTGTCCTAGAGATCTGCAAAATTTTGAACTTGAGAGACTTCATTTAGGGTATCTGGTAGAAGAAATTTCTAAGCAGCAAAGCTTTCAAGAGGTGATTTGGGTGCTGTTAAAAGTATTCAGTTTTATGTACTTCCAAAGATATGGTTTGGAATTGGAACTTATGTTAAAAAGGGAAGCAGAGTATGAAAGTTTGGAAAATTTGCAGTCTGATGATGCAATAGGGAAAAAAAAAACATTTTCTGGGGAGAAATTCAAGCCTACTGCAGAAATTTGCATAAATAACAAGGATTTGAATGTTAATCATCAAGGCAATGGGGAAAATGTCTCCAGGGCTTATCAGAGACCTTTACAGCAGCCCTTCCCATCACAGGCTCAGAGACCTAGGAGGAAAATGGTGTCCTGAGCTGGGTTCAGGGTCCCTGTGCAGCTTAGGGACTTGGTTGCTTCCAAATTGCTCCAGCCATGGCTAAAAGGGGCCAAGGCACAGCTCAGGCCATGGCTTCAGAAGGTGCAAGCCCCACGTCTTGGAAGCTTTGACATGGTGTTGAGCCTGCAGGTGCACAGAGGTCACGAATTGAGGTTTGGGAACCTCTGACTAGGATGTATCTCAGAAGTTGTATGAGAACGCCTGGATGTCCAGGCAGAGGTGGCCTGCAGTGGCAAAGCCCTCATGGAAAGCCTCTGCTAGGGCAGTGCAGAAGGTAAATGTGGGGTACAAATCCCTCACAGAGTCCCCACTGGAGCTCTGCCTAGTGGAGCTGTGAGAAGAGGATCACTGTCCTCCAGACCCCAGAATGGTAGATCCACTGACGGCTTACATTGTGCACCTGGAAAAGCTGCCAACACTCAACACTAGCCTGTGAAACAGCCAGGAGAGGAGCTGTACCCTGCAAAGCCACAGAGGCAGAGTTGCCTAAGGCCATACAACCCCACCTCTTGCATCAAGGTGACCTGGATGTGAGACACGGAGTCAAAGAAGATCATTTTTGAGCTTTAAGATTTGACTTCCTCACTGGATTTTGGACTTGCGTGGGGCCTGTAGCTCCTTTATTTTGGTGAATTTCTCCCATTTGGAATGGCCGTATTTACCAACCCCCTGCCCCATTGTATCTAGGAAGTAACTTGCTTCTGATTTTACAGGCTCATAGGCAGAAGAGACTTGCTTTGTCTCAGATGAAACTTTGGACTGTAAATTTTGAGTTAATGTTGAAATGAGTTATGACTTTGGGGGACTGTGGGAAGGCATGATTCATTTTGAAATGTGAGGACATGAGATTTGGGAGGGGCCAGTGGTGGAATGATACAGTTTGGCTTTGTCCCTACCCAAATATTATTTTGAATGTAGCTCCCATAATTCCCATGTGTCATGGGAGGGACCCAGTGGGAGGTAATTGAATCATGGGGGTGGGCCTTTCCCATGCTGTTCTCATGATAAGTATCATGATAAATATCACAAGATCTGAATTTTTTATAAAGGGGAGTCCCCCTGCACACGCTCTCTTGCCTGCCACCATGTAAGATGTAATTTTACCCCTCATTCACCTCCTGCCATGACTGTGAGACCTTCCCAGTGATGTGGAACAATTAGTCAATTAAACCTCTTTCCTTTATAAATTACCCAGTCTCAGGTAAAACTTTATTAGCAGTGTGAGACTAATACAATCTATTCTGGCAATTATTGTGTATTCTCCCATCTTGTTTGCATTGACAACACTGTCATGAAAAAGTATAAAGAGTTCTCCAAGTCATTAGTTCCAGGATTCAACATAGGATTTTTGTAACTCATATCCTCCATTCTCTACCCATTTTCAGGAACCTCTGCTTTCAGACCCATTTAATTAATTGATCCCTGAGATTACTGTATATGGCACATCTTTCCAATGAGATCAAAATCTCCTTTAAGAAACCAGTATTATTCACATAAATTCACTGTTATCTCCCCATTTCCACACAGCTGCTTTCAAAATTATTGTTGCTCAGTATATGATTGACCATAAAGAAATTACAGAAACAAATCTATTATATCTAAATTAATAGTAACACATTAGAAATGTGGAGGTAGAAAATAGAGGTAGCATTAACAATCTCAGATTATAAAATGAATTATCCCAAAAACTATTGCCCAATCTATTGCTTATAAACAAATGCTTGTGGGCTGGGCTCCATTTAAATTTAAAATTAAGGGAAGTGTTACAACAAATTTCATTACAAAAATGTATATTTTAATACCTAAAATTTTTAGCTCATCTTTTAGTTTTAATAGAATAGATAAGATACAAAGTATTCATTCAGACTCATAATGATTCATTTTCTATTTTTTCTTATGAAACAATCAGTTAGAACTATTATACTAATTGAAAAAAAAATGGTGAGTTCTTGAATTGAGTAAAAATTCACCAATTTCTTCTTTCTCTGTTTTCCAAGGTTTGGTATTTGGTGTCAGTACAAACATCAAAGCCTTGACCCAAAATTGAACCTAGCAATTGTAAAATCCTTCATAAGTATTACTTTCTAAGAGTACAAAATAAAATCGAAATTGGAAAACCACTGAGTATGTGCTGGGGCATGACTCATCAGTGATTTACCTAATGTGAAATAATCTTCACACTGCACAGACTAGAATTTGAATTTCCAGGTAGACCATTAAACCACACCTTATCTTCCCTCCTTAAAGCCATTGGAAATGCACCTGCCACCTGACCTTTGAGATCTGCAAAGATACCACATTTAGATCCTTTGTCTCTTTCAACTTCCCTTTCTCACTTTTCTGGTTTCAGAGATGGCAACTCCCAGATCTGTAAGAGTACAAATAGTATAGTTAAAAGGGCAGTTTAGTCTACTCTTGCAGCCAAGTCACTCACAGAATAAACAAGTTGGCTTACAAAATTGTTAGTTTCTTCAAGAGTTTTGTTAAAAGGAGTCTCAGCTTAAGCAAACAGCCTTGTCTGCCATCTGAAATAACTGTGGAAATTAAATTTCATAATTATGAAATATGTATATGAATTCAATCTTACATGCATAATTTTACTACTTCTTTAAGCCTGGGAAAATATACAGGCAAAAGAAGACAAAAGAGAAAATTTGTCTGACACCTCATGCTCTCCTCATCATCTAGCACCCTGTTTTTTTCCCTTTGTCTTCAGAAAATTATATGTTTCACAGAAGAAAATTTTTACAATTATTTGCTTAATTGTCTCCATTGTTAGTAAAGTTCCCAAAATATTATTACTTCCTCAATACTTTCTAAAAGAAAACAAAAGGCCCAATTTTGTTTTGCTCTTAAGATTCAAGGTATAATATATTGCAACCACAAATAAATGATAAATGTTCGAGGTGATGGATATACTAATTGCCTGATTCATTCATTACACAATCTATGCATGTATCAAAACATTACATTGCACCCCCTAAAAACGTACAATTATGTGTCAATTAAAAATAAAAATAATTTTTAAAACCTCAAGGTTTACAGATATATTATTTTGAAACCCAAACATGTAGAACTATTTAATCTCATTCTAAATAACATTTTGTTCTCGTCTGCTTTCCACTGATATT
The DNA here is from genome assembly GCF_000001405.40 of Homo sapiens. Classification (NCBI taxonomy): domain Eukaryota; kingdom Metazoa; phylum Chordata; class Mammalia; order Primates; family Hominidae; genus Homo; species Homo sapiens. The sequence continues at coordinate 78,388,153 of NC_000008.11, forward strand.
TTTCCTGCTGCAATTGTACTTTACTGTTGGTGCTACATGTCATTGTTGGATTTCAGGTTCTGAAGCTGAGTTGCATACTCTCCCTTTTACAGAAAAAGAAGAATGGGTTTTATGATGACTGTTTGCCTTGAGAAGCCTCCTTTTCTACTCTCTCCCTGTTCATATCTACGGTGGGATGCCTAAGACAGATGAGTGGACTCTTGCCTAGTGATCTAGGAGTCAGTTTTCTAATTATTTGATCCATATTCAAAGCAGCTCCTCCCTAAATGGTGGGCTTTCTACCTGTGGGGTGTAGCCCAAATCTTATCTACTGCTGGGATCTATCACCAGCAGCAGAGATTTCTCTCCGTGATAAAAACACTTAGGTTTTGCCTATTGTTACTTTGGCCATTTGCAGGACCTGACTGAGTTTTCATGATGATAAAGAGTCAAATGGTGAGGCTGGTGGAGAAAAGCCGCTGCCCTGAGCATACCAAAGACCAGGAGTGAGCCTGAACAGCTGGCCTGGCTCCTGCTCCAGCTTGGGATGAGTCTGGGAGCAGTAGAGCTGTGATCCTTGTGGTAGATTCTCGGCAGCCTCAGGCAGCTTTTCAAAGTTAGACGCTGAAAACCAACAAATGGAACTATGAGGAAGAATAACGTAAATACCCTTACTCTACTTACAGTTCTCTTTGGGACTTTTTCCATCGAAATGCTACTCTCAGCAATTCTCAAATCAGAAAAATTAACATGGGACAATAGTTTCTAAGTTGTTCATTATCAGTCCCTACACTAAAGCAAAAGGTAAAAATTTGAGGTACTCTGGTAAGTAAAATATCTTTTAAATTTTTATTATTTACGAAGATAAGATTTAACAAATACAAGCAGACCCCCTTTTATTGAGCTTTCCTTTATTGTGCCACACTTTATTGTTGTATTAGTCCATTTTCATGCTGCTGATAAAGACTTACCTGAAACTAGGTAAATTATAAAGAAAAGAGGTTTAATTGACTCAGTTCCACAGGGCTGGAAGGCCTCACATCATGGCAGAAGGCAAGGAGGAGCAAGTCACATCCTACATGGTGGCAGAGAAGAGAGAGCTGGTGCAGGAGAACTCCTCTTTATAAAACCATCAGATCTCCTGAGATTTATTTACTATCATGAAAACAGCAGGGAAAAGACCTGCCCCCATGATTCAATTACCTCCCAATGGATGCCTCCCATGGCATGTGGGAATTGTGGGGAGCTACAGTCCAAGATGAGATTTGGGTGGGTACACAGCCAAACCGTGTCAATTGTGCTTCACAGATAATTGTGTTCTTTAAAAATTGAAGGTGTGTGGCAACCCCGCCTTGAACAAATTCATTGATGCCATTTTTCCAACAGCATGTGCATGTGTCTCTGTGTGACATTTTGGTAATTTTTGTAATATTTCAAACATTTTCATTACCATGATATCTGTTATTGTGATCTGTGAACAGTGATCTTTGATGTTACTATTGTAACGAAAGGGGCGCCATGAATCATGCCCATATGGGACAGTGAATTTAATTGACAAGTGTCATATGTATTCTGACTGCACCACTAACCAGTCATTCCCTTATTTCTCTCCCTCTCCTCAGGCCTCTCTATTCCCTGAGACACAACAATATTGAAATTAGGACAATTAATAATTCCACAGTGTTCTCTGAGTGTCTAAAGTAAAGGAAGAGTTGCACATCTCTCACTTTAAATCAAAAGCCTGGAATGATTAGGTTTAGTGAGGAAGGCATGCCAAAAGCCAAGATAGGCCCAAAACTAGGCACCTTTTAACCAAACACCGAAGTTATTTGTGAATATGAAGTAAAAGTTCTTTAAGGAGATTAAAAGCACTAATCCAGTGAACACACGAATGACGATAAAGTGAAACAGCCTTATTTCTGATACGCAGAAAATTTTAGTGGTCTACGTGGAAAAATCAAACCAGCCACAACATTCCCTTAAGCTAAAGCCTAATCCAGAGCAAGTCCTAAACTCTCTCAAATTCTATAAAGCCTGAGAGAATAAAAAAAAAAAAGTGCAGCAGAAAAAAAGTTTCAAGTTAGCAGAGGCTGGTTCTTGAGGTGTAAGGAAAGAAGCCATCTCTATAACATAAAAAGTTCGAAGTAAAGCCTCAAGTGTTGATATAGATACTGCAGCAAGCTATCCAGAAGATCTAGCTAAAATCATTAATGAAAGTGGCTACACTAAACAATAGATTTTCAGTGTAGACTTAACAGTTTTATAATGGAAGGAGAGGCCATCTAGAACTGTCTTAGCCAGAGGAAAAGTCAAGGCCTGGTCTCAAAGCTTCAAAGGACGAGCTTTTTTTTTAGAAGCTTATGTAGCTGGTGACTTTAAACTGAAGCCAATGTTCATTTACCATTTTAAAAATCCTAGGCCTCTTAAGAATTATACTAAATCTAATCTACCCTGCCTATGCTCTATAAATAGAATAATAAAGCCTAGATGGCAACGCATCTGTTTACCACACAGTTTTCCAAATATTTTAAGCCCACTGTTGACCTACTGATCAGAAGAAAAGGATTACTTTCAAAAGATACTGCTCATTGACAATGTGCGAGTAATCCAAGGGCTCTGATAGAGATGTACACAGAGAGTAATGTTTTTATGCTAACACAACATTCATTCTGCGGCTTATGAATCAAGGAGTAATTTCTACTTTCAAGTCTTATTATTTAAGAAATACATTTTATAACACTACAGCTGCCATAGATAGTGATTTCTCTGATTGATCTAGGCAAAATAAATTTGAAAACTTCTGAAAAAGACTCACCATTCTAGATGTCATTACGGACATTTGTGATTCATGAGAAGAGTTTAAAACATCAACATTAAATAGATTTTGGAAGTTGATTTCAACCCTCATGATGACTGAGGCATTTAAGACTGCAGTGAAGAAGGTAGCTGCAGATGTGGTAGAAATAGCAAGAGAACTAGAATCCAAAGTGGAGCCCGAAGATGTAACTGAATTGCTGCAATGTTACGATCAAACTTGAATGGATGAAGAGTTTCTTGTTACACATGAGCAAAGAAAGTGGTTTGTTAAGACAGAATTTACTCCTGATCAAGATGCTACGAACATTGTCAAAACAAGAACAAATAATTTAAGTATATTCCACACACTTAGTTGATAAAGCAGCAGCAGAGTTTGAGAGGATTGCCTCCAATTTTGAAGAACATTCTACTCTGGGTAAAATGTTATTAAATAGCATTGCATGCTATACAGCAATAATTTGTGAAACAAAGAGTCAATCAATGTGGCAAACTTTATTGTTGGTGTATTTTAAGAAATCACCACAGTCAACACCCTGATCAGTCAGTAGCCATCAACACTAAGGCAAGATCTTCCACCAGCAAGAAGATTACTACTCAGTGAGTTTTGTGTATTTTAGCAATATTTTAATTAAGGTGTACATTGTTTTTTTAGATGTAATGCTATTGTGAACTTAATAGACAACAGTATAGTATAAATATAATTTTTTTTTGAGATGGAGTCTCACTCTGTCGCCACGCTGGAGTGCAGTGGCGTGATCTTTGACTCACTGCAAACTCTGCCTCTGGGTTCAAGCGATTCTCCTGCCTCAGCCTCCCAAGTAGCTAGGATTACAGGCGCACCACCACACCCAGCTAATTTTTGTATTTTTACTAGAGACGGGGTTTCACCATGTTGGTCAGGATTGTCTGCATCTCTTGACCTCGTGATCCGCCCATAGGCCTCCCAAAGTGCTGGGATTACAGGCATGAGCCACCTTGCCCCTCCAGATATATCTTTTATGGGCACTGGGAAACCAAAAAAAAAAAAAAAAAATTGTGTGACTTGTTTTATTGTGGTATTTGTTTATTGCCATGGTCTGGAACCAAACCCACAGTATCTCTAAGGTACACCTTTATCTACTATGTGCCGGGGAAAATAAACATAATAACATGCCTACCTTAAACACAGACTTTTTTCTAGTATTACTTTTTTAAACTTTAAGCTATTTGATATGTGTGTAAGGGGATAAGCAGACAATGATGCAATCCAAGATATATCTTCCCACATTTGAACAAGGTTAGACTTCAAATTACTCAATAGTATTGTACTATGATCTTAGTGGATACTGAAAGATCTTCCTGTCTCAAAGTATCTCTGTTACATGAAGCCTAGAGGTGCTTCACACTTGAGTCAAGATACTCTTTATTTGTTTGAATCATTAAGTCAGACATTTCTTGTTAACAATGAGTACAGTTTTTCACCAGAAATCTACCTATCACGTAGCTCAGAGAAAAACTCTCAGAGAAAGGAAACCCGAATAGGCAAAATGTCAAGGTTCCACCTCCCACACATAGGCTACTGAGAGGTTTGTAAGACTCACAGAGGCACCTAGGGACACTGGGCATTTAGTAAATAGATCATGAAAGAATCCTAGAAAATAAGACTACCCCTAGGCAAGGAGAAACTAAGTAGGTTAAGTTTGTCTTTTATACTCTTCCCCCCTTTTCTATAGCACTGCTGTTTCCATCCAGGGTCTTTTTTGTATCCTCAATAGATTTACACACACACGCTCATGCCTTCACATGCCCAGACACACACACACATACACATATAACAGAGAGACTCCAGTTTGCGCCAATGAAATTCAACTCATACCAACTCAGAAAAACACATAATGCCCTATATTTTACACACTTTGAAAATACTTGCATTTTTATAGAAATACTTGCATTTTATCAACTCAAAACCCTTTCTAACGAAGGAAATCTTTTTCTAATACTGAAAGTTGGCAGTTGGCAAAGAAAATTTGGGTTCCACAGAAACAGGCCTAGCCTCTTCCCACCACCATCTTTCATACACTTGGGGGAAAATGTATCACCACATAGGCTGCAAAGTCAAAATCAAGCTTTACCAACATTACAATTTCACATAGAGCTCCTTGACTTGTACTAGACATTCAACATATATTTGTTGAAGGGAAGAAAAATATATGAAGGAGGGAATTGTCTGAAACTATAGTATACAACACTTAAGTGACTATACATCAATTTATATACCTAATTTTAGGTAGAATTAAATTATAACTTGAAATTTTAAAAATATTTTTGGATGGCAAAATATTTTGAAACATTTTTGAGATGTCAAGCCCCAATGTAAGTTTATATATTCAGAAAAAAAATATTTGGTCCAAGTGAAGAAAATCTTTAATTATTGTTCTTTTACTCTGAAGGAAAGAAAGATTTCAATATCCTTCCCATGAAATACGATTATGTGACAAAAAGACAGTAAATATGTTATATTTTTAAAAACTTCTACAATCAAATTATTGGCATCATTAATCAGTTTCAATAACTCTGAATGTTTCCCATCTACTCTTTAGCCTTACCCATGGAGTTGAGCAACCTACTTTACACCTTAAAAATACGCTGTCCCAGACATCTAAATATGCAGTTCACAGATTCCACCACTAGAGGGCAATAAAAGTTGATTCCACGCCATACCATGAAAATAAAAGGGAGTTTAAATTTCACAGGATGCTTTTCTGACCAATATTATATGTAATAACTTAATGGATTATATATACATTGATTATGAAAAGTCAGCAGCACACATCACTGGTCAATTTCTATTGCAAGGGAGAAGTAATTTGAGTCTAGAAAAATCTTATACTTACAACATAAAATTCTACCTCCACAGAACTTACTCACCAATGAAAAATTGTAGGAATAATAGCTTTCTGTGACTCAATAACCAGGTTACCATTATCAAGAATAGAATTTATCTTCCTATGATGCGCAAATGCACAGGAAAAATGCATATCTAGGAGAATGGATAAACTCTGAGTGACATAGGAAAATAAATAATTCTATAAATGGAAAAAGCATGAATGCATTCAGGAAGGGGCAGTTTGCTCTGCTCTACTGTGGATACACACGTAAAGAGTCCAAGAAACATGAAATCACTTCCAGAAAGTAATTGGCAAGAGAAGAGCATTATCATGGATGGAGAAAAAAGGAAGAGATTTTTATGTTTGTGTTTGTTTATTTTTAGAGACAGGATCTCATTCTGTCACCCAGGCTGGAGTGCAGGGGCCCCAATCATAGCTCACTGCAGCCTCAAACTCCTGGGCTCAAGTGATCCTCCTGTCACAGCCTCCTGAGTACCTGGGACTACAGGTGCAAGGAGAGATTTTTTTATATTTTTATTACTTACTTATTTCTCTACTTGATTTATCTTTGAAATATAAGGAAACAGTGGCTTTCAGGTAAGTATCCCAATGGAATAAAGGAACTGAGGATGCTACTGGAGCCCAGCCAATGGTTGAACACCTTGTAATAATGCTAGTGAAATATAGCCAAATCATTTGAACTACAAACATCCTCTCTGAAAACAATTTTAAAATATCTACCTTAATTTAGGTGTTAAGAAAGTTATATTTTCTTTAATTGGGTCAAATAAATAATAATGTCTAAACCTCATGGATATAAACTAATCTGACTCCTACAATTTGGAAAATGCTTCTTTAAAGGAGTACTCTGACTCCTGTTTTAAACCAAAATAGTAACCGTTGTAAAGCATCATTGCTACAGAAACTGTATATTTTATATTATATTCAATAATCACTATATAAAATGAGAAATTAATCATCATACACTAATTTAATTGGTGGAATTAATATTTAACTACTTTTATTGAGATACACTTCACATACAATAAAATTCACTTGTTTATAGTATACAATTCAGTGATTCTTTTAGCATATTTACAAAGCTGTGTGAACATCATCAGTCTAATTCAGAGTACATTCATCACTACAAAAAGAAACCCCAGACTCATTACCAGTCACTCCCTAAACCCTCTTTCTCCTCAATCCTGTGCAACAACTAATCAGTCTGTCTCTAGGGATTTGCCTATTCTGGACCTTTTATATAAATTGAATCATACCATATGTGGTTTTTTATGTCTGGCTTTATTCAATTAGCTAAGGTTTTTAAGGCTCATCCATGTTATAGCATGTATCTGTCTTTGAATGCTTTACATGGCTGAATTACACTCTATTGTATGAATATACCTCACATTTATACATGCATCAATTGACGGAAATTTGGTTTGGTTCCACTTGCTGACTATAATGATTAATGTTTCTATGAATATTTGTGTACAAGTTTTTATGTAGATATGTTTTCAGTTATCTTAGTATATACCTAAGAATGGAATTATTGAGTCATATTACTCTGTTTAATTTTTTGAGCAACTGTCAAACTGCTTTGCAAAGTGTCTGCATGCAGGATTTGAGGGTTCCAACTTCTGCAGTCCTCATTCCTCGCCAACACTCGTTATTGTTCATCTTTTTTATTAGAGCCATTTCATAAGCATTTTAGAATCAGCTTATAAACAAGATTGCAAAAACAATTTGTGAAGTGGTATATCATTGTAGTTTTGATGTTTATTTTCCTAATGACTAATAATGTCACACACCTTCTCAAGTGCATATTAGCCATTTGTACCATATCTTTTTGGAGAGACTCTTGTTCAAATTCTGATGCCCAGTTTTAAATTGGGTTGTGTTTTTATTGTAGCATTATACAAATTATTTTATATTCTTCATTCTACTCCTTGATATCAGATATATGGTATATGAATTGGAGATATGTTCTCCCATCCTATTTATTGTCTTTTCACTTTCTTAATGGTGCCCTTTGAAGCATAAAAAGTTTGAATTGTAATGAAGTTCAATTTATCTATTTTTTCTATTGTTGATTATGCTTTTGGTGTCATATTTAAGAAACTGTTGCTTAACCCAAGGTTATGAAGACTTATGCCTATGTTTTCTTCTAATATATATGTGTATACATATTTATATTTAGATCTGTGACCTATTTTAATTTTTGTAGAACATGTGAGGTAGGCATCAAATTCTTTTGCATGTGGCTATCAGTCACTGAAGAACCATTTGTTGAAAAGATGATTCTTTCCTTCATTAAATTATATTGGCAACCTTGTTGATAATCAAATTGATCATAGATGTATTGATTTATGGACTCTGAATTCTATTCCACCAACATATATATCTACTGTCATACCAGTATTACACTATTTTGATTACTGTTGCTTTGTAGTAAGTTTTGAAATTGGGAAGTGTAACTTCTCCAGATTTGGACTTCTTTTTCATATTTTAACTATTCCAGGTTCCTTGCATTTCCATACAAATGTTCAGATCAACTTTTCAATACATGCAACAAAGGCAGCTGGTATTATACTAGGAATTGTGTTGAATCTGTAGATCAATTGGCAAGTATTACTAGCCAAACAGAATTGTCTTGCAATTCATGAACACAGGCAGGCTGTTTTTTCACTAATTCAGGTCTTCAATTTCTTCCAATGATGTTATTTAGTCTCCAGTAAACAAATCTTGCACTTCATTTCTCAAATTTATTTCTAATTATTTTATTCTTTCTGAGGCTATTGTAAATATATTTTTTCTCCTACTTTTTAGATTGTTCATTGCAAGTGAATAGAAGTATAATTGATTCATATATATTACATTTTGCAATCTTGCCAAATAGGTTCATAAACTTTAATAGATTGTGGATTGTTTAGAATTTTCTACATGCAAGATCATATTATCTGTGAATAGTTTTATTTCTGGATTTTCAATCTAAAGGCCTCTTATTTTTCTTGTCTAATATTCCTAGCTCGAGCCTCCAATACAATGTTTTTGTTAATTTTGCTGACTTTTTCAAAGAACCAACTTTGGCTTCCATTTATTTTTCTATTGCTTTTTTATTTTCTATTTCATTTGTTTTCATTCTGGTCATTGTTATTAATTTTTTTCCAATTGCTTTGGGTTTTTCTTTTTTAGTTTCTTAGGGCAGAACATTATGTTATTGATTTGAGATATTCCTTTTAATAAAGATGTTTATAGCTATAAATATTGCTTTCATTGTATCCCATGAGTTTTTATTTGTTTTTAATTTATCTCAAAGTGTTACTAATTCCACTTTAATTTTCTGATTTGACCCATTATTTATTTAGGACTGAACTGTGTCCACATTTTTGTGAGTTTCACAATTTTTTTCTGTTAATAAATTCTAATTTAATTTCATTGTTGCCAATGAGCATACTTTATATTGCTTACATCCTTTTACATTTATTAAAGTTCATCATATGACCTGGCATATGTTCTATCCTGAATAACATTTCATGTAAACTTGAAAAGAATGTTTTTTCTACTGCTGTTGGTTAGTGTTCTATAGATATCTGTTAGGTCTAGTTGGTTTATAGTGTTGTTTAAGTCTTTTTCTTTTGCATTTTGCGTCTAGTTGTTCTGTTATTGAAAGTGAAGTACTGAAATATTCAGCTACTATTGAAGACCTGTTAATTTTTCCTTTCAATCATGTCCATTTTTTCTTCTTGTATTTTTAGGTTCTGTTGTTAGGGGCATATATATTTATAATTCTTATATATTCTTGTTGGGTCAATCATTTCACCATTATTAAAATTTATTTGCCTCTAACAAAAATTTACATCTTAAAGTATATTTTGTCTGATATTTGCTTAGCCACTTCCAATTTTTTTCTTTTTTACTATTCTAATGGCATATCTATTTCCACCCTTTTATATTCCACGTGTCCTAGAATCTAAAGTGTATCACTGTAGAAAGCATATGTTTGTATATTCTTAAATCCATTTTAAAATTTCTGCCTTTAGATTGAAATGTTTAATTCTATTACAACAAGTGTATTACTAATCATTTAGAATTTATGTCTGACATTTTGCTATTTTCTATATGTCTTGTATCTTTTTTGATTCCTCTTCCTCTATCACTGCATTCTTTGTTGTAAAATAGTTATGTTCTAATGGCCACTTCTAAACTCTTATCTGTTAACTACATTTCTGAGATAAGGATTACAATTAACATCTTAACTCACACTAATTATTTTTAATTCCAACCTAATATCAATGATATTAAAAAAACTTGCTTCTAAGAAGTTTTATTCCATCAGCTGCCTTCGTGCTTGTATTGTCATAAAAACTACATCTATATACATCATATACTCAAAAACACAGATTTATAATTACTGCTTTATAAATTTGTCTTTTAAATCAGAAAGGAGAAAAAAGTATTACATACATTTTATAGACTTGTCTTTTAAATCAGAGAGGAGAAAAAAAGTATCACAAACAAAAAGTACATTTATACTGTTTTTAACTTTTACCTATATAGTTACCTTCATCAGTGCTCTTCATTTCTTTATAAGTATTCAGTTTATTGTATAGTTTCCTTTTATTTACATCTAAAGGAATCTCTTTATTAGTCCTTGTAGAACTGGTTTGCTAGCAACAAATTCTCCTAGTTTTTATGTAAAAATATTGAAGACTTCACAAATTTTCGCAGCATCCTGGTGTAAACACCATGTTAATCTTCTCTGTGCCATTCTAATTTTAGAAATATATTCTGTGGACATGAGCATTTAATATCTACTCATATAGTATAAAATTTGAAACATTATAGAGGATAAAGTTATAGACACAGACTTGCTATTTGTTTAGGGGCCATTTCAAGAGCATACTTGGGCAATATTAATATTGATGTTGCAACTTCAATGTTACAATGTTGCTGAAAGATAAATAGACGAACCTCAAGTCATAGATGAACATCATCATGCAGCAAGATGACTAGCAAGATAAACAGATAAGCCCTAAGGTATCAAGATAAATAGATGAACCGTGAGTCATGACTTTTTGCTGATATGTAAGATTAAGCTTAATTACAAGTTGTCACATTTTTGCTGGTTTTCTTTAGTTAAAAAAGATCCTCTATCCTTTAGCATAAGTGAAATAAAAACATGGTAAATTTTGCATTAATTCCTAAACAAAAACATAAGCACTTTCAAAAATGAAACCCATTAGCAGAGCTTTGTGTTTCCTGTGAAAATTAAATATATTCCACTGCCTTAAAAATTCATACATATTTTGAAATTTATATGTAAATTATTCCAGCATTTTAAATGATTTCAGTGCACACATAATTTCTTCTACCACCATCCTCTTCATTCCTTCCAATTAATTTTGTTAAGGAATTTTTTTTTTCTTTCTTTACCTTTTGTAGTTGTTGTTCCTTATTACATTTAGGTATATTGAGGCCTCCTCTTCTGAACTCATTTTCTGCTGACAAATAAATAAGGCCTAGGTGCCTGTTCTGGCTTCCGAGGATGTTTAGGCTCAGACACGCTGGACTAGGCATAACCTAGCATCACTCTGTTTCTGAAGAATCTTTGTGGAGCTGATGAGCTTCTGAACACCTCAAACAGACATTTAAGAAGACTAAACACTCTGGGGGGTGGTGCATTTTATTTCCATCTTTTTATTTTCATCATTTGTCTGGATAATACATGCCTTTGGAATAAAATTCAAAAGTAACTGGTGAATGAAAAGTAATTCTCTTACATTCTTTTTGCTTTAGATACCCAATTCCCTTTCCTAGAGTCAGTCACTGCTACCAGTTTTTTGTTTCAAGGGTAGTTTAGGCATATATGAGCGTGTGCCATATAGAGGCTGCTTTCTTTGATTAGAGTAAATTTGCAGGTTTTTTCTGAATTATACTCTGCAGGAATCCGAAGTCTCTTGCTAAAATGAGACTCAAAAGGTAGAAGCCAGCTTTAGCGTGACCTTTATTGTCTCCTCATGGTCTCATCCAATCGGTATCGTCTTTACATCTCATCAATTAAAGTGAGATCCATTCACTTTTACTGTGCTGATCCGCTCATCAGGGGGAAAGGATGTTATGTGGTGAGGTTTTAAACTATATGGATTGACACATTCATGACCTTGTTGAAATCTGGGCTGGGTCTCTCTGTGCTTGGGGCACAACCCTCAGGTTGCTTTCTGCCTTTAATAGCACCCGGGGGGTTCCCTTAACCTCTCTCCGGGGTTGAATCTCTTACTTTCTTTGTCCCACATGTTTCTTATTTTTGGTTTTCTACTTCATATTTGTGAAGAATATATTACAGTTGCTTCCTGGGAAATGGCATGTGAAAAGCAAAATGTTTAAAGATCCTTTATCTCTCCAATAACTTTATTAAGTTTGCACATATATAGAATTCTAGGTTAGATCTCATTTTCCTTGAAAATGTTGAACATATGAATTCATCAATCTAGGTTCCAGAGTTGATGTTCAAAATTCTAAAGTAATTATAATTCTCAATACTATACATGTTTATTATTTGTTTCCCTCTTTTTTGTGAACAATTAGAACCATATCTTTGCTCCTAAGTGGTGTTCTTAACTTTACCATGATTTGTTTAATTTAATCCATTATCTTGTGTGCTTGGTGGGCCTTTTAGGTAAAGAAATTTATGTCCTTTGTCTTCAGAAAACTATTTTCATGATTTCTCCCTCTACCTTTTCTCTGCTCCATCTTTCTGAAAATTGTATTATGCAGATATTGCATGTCTTGTATGAGTTTTCTAATTTTCTCTCTTTTTTCTATTTGACTTTTTGTTCTATTTCTTGATAGATTTCCCAAACTAATCTTCCAAATCTATTTTTTTCCCATTTACTCTCTAATATGTTTTAATGTTTTTGTGAAGAAGGCAAAGCGTTGAAATAGGGATACCTATTTGAGTAGGTATTCCTAAACAATAGCATGTAAAGCAAGGGACTGGGAACTGTAATATACATGCATTTTCATGCAAAATGCTTAACACATAGCAGACTCTCAATAAATGAATGGCCATGGGATGGATGGATGGATAGATACATAGATAGATAGACAGATAGATAACATAGCCTACATTCTAGTCTCAATTTATACATCTTCCTCACATCATCTTTGGCATGTCATGCCCTCTCTTGGTTTGTTTCTAACTAGCAATTTCAGACTACATTTTTCTCTCTGCCATTAACAGCTCTAACATTATTTGATACTATCAATCAATTAATTTGTATTTTTATTAAATGCATAAGCTTTGATCTTTGTGACTATCCCGAATAACAAATTATATATGACTGATATATATATAACATATATGCATATGTGCACATATGTTTTTCTAATTTACAAAGATTTAAGTTATCTCATATATAAGACTTACTATACAGACAGACAATAACTAGTAACTTAGGATAGGTAAAAGAACTGAGCTCTTTATTATTTGAAATAAATTAAAAATCCACCTGAATTTACTTTTTTAATTTTCTGCAACACCTTAAAAATTTACTTTTAGTAAATAAATCAGAAAAGCAGCAGTACTGTGATTTGGTAAACTGAGTTCTTTGCATACATTTCAAAATGATTTCTTATATAATATATTATACACAGACGCAGCTATCCATACTGGTTCATTAAAATGTGGAACAGTTTCATACAACTCCAGTCATTTAGCAAGGGTCACATGAAAAATTTTCTTGTGACATGGAACATTGCAAAAGTTTTATATCTCTTGATACTGATTAAACAAAGGCTATCAAGCCTTCTCATACAATAATTTCCTATTTTAAAATAGTTTAAAAGTAAGCCTTCTAAATTCAATACTTTCACATATTTAAATCAGGCAGACAACAGCCAGATTTTTAAAAATCTTTGAGTCTGTTTGCCAATCCACTAGTTAAGAAGTATGTTTTTCATTCATCTTTCTAAATGAAAGCAGCCTTGTCTGCACTGATTTCATCATCTCCATTGAAAATGTTTATCTGCCAAATGAAAAAGAAGAGTACAAATTAGAAACACTGATATATCTTCTGACATTATTTATGTAGGAGCTAGTTCTCAAGTTGTCATTACATTTACCACATGCAAATTAGGAATGATTTGTTTGGAGACCCATAACTATTTCTAGATTCAAGATGTTTGGACAACTGTGGATAAAGTTTCATTATCAGACTGAACTAAATATGCTGTAATTATATATAAATGAGGATAATTTTTGCTCTATGAGCTTAAGTTATTAATCTACACAGGCCAAGTATACAGAATACAATCATTCTCCAAAATTATACAAGAGTTTTTCCCAGCCAACTATTTGAGAAGTGGTGTTTGAAAAGTAAGGTCAATGATTGGTTGGACAGACAATGTCCACGTTTCTATCTGACTTTCCATGTTTCTTCTGGTGTGTGAAACCCAGGCTAGCTTTGTACTTCACAAAACCTTGTGTTTCCCAGTTTTTTATCATTGATAGTGCCTGAAATTATTAGTTAAATGTCTATTTTATCCAATAAACAATAGGTTCATAAGGTCCAAGGGCTCTGCTGTCTTATTCTCTTCTATACGTCTAATGCTACCATATTTGATTTCAGCAAATGTTTGTTTAATTAATGGATTAGTAGATGAGTGAGACATGAATCAAAGAGAGGAAACCTAACGTGGGCTGACAATTAAATTATGGTATGGAAATTAGAAAGTTAAAGTTTTAATTAACGCTGTGTTTTATTAGATTTTTCCATGGCAATAATTTGGTTAACTTTGATATGCAAAATGTTATGTCCATGGGGTTTACAAATAGTAAAAAATTATGGTATAGGTACATTTCCAGTTACCTGAGTCCTAGAGAGAGTAAGGAATCAACAACTAACAATAACAACAACAAAACCATTCAAGTTCTGTGCTGTATTTAAGAAATAGGGTTTAAGCATCCACCAGTATACTGAATTATGATTGCTAGACTAATTAGCAACATAATTCACTTAAATCACCTATGAGATGCAGACCTCTCAGAATACTTATCATATTAATCGAATTAAATTTCACTGAATTTTGAGTTTTTCCAGTACATCAAAATTTTGTACTTAGGTAAAGATGAGATTGACATTTCCAACAACGGTTCTTTTTTCAGTATAGAAAATTTTTGCTAACTTTGCATTTTGTGCTCTTTTTAAAGCAATTTTCTGTTTTCTTTTGCTATGTTAAGGAAATTTTGTTTATAAAAATATGCACTGTTTCCCTGCAGACATATAAACATGACTAGAATGCTACAATAGCAATGCTTTAGATATAATCTTTAAAAATTCCCTTATGTGCAACAGCATAGCCCAATGATTCATGAAATTGCTAAGTGCTGGGCATATTCCTTCTTATAAGACTAAGAGTTTATTCAAAACATTTTTCTTTAAACTTGGAAATAAAAAACACAAACTCCACTCAGTGTGTCAGCATTTATATTAGGATGAATTTCTTACTCATGGGAAAAGCTTTAATTAAGTGCATTGGAAGTTTGATAATATAGATGGCTGGGAATAAAACAGAAAACACAGAAAAAGAAAAAGGAAAAACAGAAGGGAGGTCCTTTATCTGCCTATCAACAAAACTATTAACCTACCTGCTTCTGTACTGTGTACTCAGCTTCCCTCCTCTGGAAAGGAAGAAATGTCTATTCCCTAAAAAAGGTCTTGTTCTCTCTTGGTGCTCAGGATCCCATCCCAGATTGCCAACCAGACTTTCCATTTGAAACTATCTTCTTTGTTCTACATCATCAATTTCTTCTTCTATACTTGCCTATTTTTCAAAAAATGTAAGAATGCTCTAGTATGTCTCATTTTACTTACTTTTTTTTAAAAAAAGCATGTTCCAGTATCTCATTCTGAAAAAAGCAAATTTCCCTTAATTGAAAAATCTCTGTCCAGGTACTATCTCATGTCTCTTCTAACAATCACAGCAAAATATATAAACACATTTTGTATCTCATCAGATAAGGTTTTCCTTGAGTACCCAAGGTAAGGTCTTCATTACTGTCTATCATGTTTCATTGTTAATTTCCTTTATTTTTACCTATCACAGTCAGAACTTATTATATTTATCTAATTCATTAACTTTTAGATTTTATTTTCTTTCTCCTCCAAGTACCATGTAGGTTCTTTGGGGCAGATTCCTTTAACTCTCTTGTTCATCACTGCATCTTAGGCTCCTAGAAGGGCTCAGAACATAGTAGTTCCTCAACAGGTATTTATTGAGTGAATGAAAGAACCTACACCAACCAGTTTCTTTGGAAAAATCAACAGTATCTGAACCCTGGGATTAGAGGTCAACGCTAATTACAGTGCAAACGAGGCAAAATGTTTTGTTACCACCTTGTATTTATCCTTTCTCCTTCTTTCTTCCAGATACCTAGTACCCTTTTCTCTTTTCATTGTAATATTCTATCTAGTATTTTGCCCTTTATACAGACCTCAATTCTCAGTAATCATTTGTTTCAATAATCACACAATTAAAGTAGTCCATCTCTCTTTAGAAGAGTATTAAGAAACAAGCTATTTAATTTAATTCATCATATTTATAATAAATTTAAGTATTTTTTCTGCCTACTTTCCCTGAGTGCATCTTAAATTTTTCAAAGAAACAATTACATCATAGCTGTGTTTGGTAGGAAATCAGGTTTTGTCCGATTCTTCAAACATCTTCATTAATTCCCAAAAAGATCTATTTAACTATTTCCCAAACAACTTTTACCACTTTTTCCACTGTCCTTGTATATTGGTCCTCAGCATAGCATACATAATTTCTAAAATTACTTTCATAATTTTTATCTTTCCGAACCTTCTTTTCTTACTTTTCTCACTTCTGTGAATAGGACCGTCATCTACCTTTATCATATTTGACAATCATCATAAGACTTTATTGCTCAAGGTACAAAAGAGTTATCAACTTACTTCTCTCTCTACTTATTTGGTTGTCAAATGATGTTAGTCCTACCTGCAAAATGACATAAAATACATAAATTCCTCTTCTTACATATAACTTTTACTTGTTCCATTTTAGTGGTGAACCTTGCACCATGCCTTCCAAGGTAGGCCCTCCTTTTACATAAATAAGCCTTGTCCACGCAATCAGTATATCTTGCTAAAATGCAAATATTTATGTCATTCCCACAACAAGAAAATAATCCCTTCACAATCTATACCTTGCTTTACTTCTCAAACCAAACTCTCGACCTTTTCATATACAACACATGACAATTATAACTAAAATGTCAACTTTTATTGAGCATTTATCCCATTCCTTGTGGCATTCTAAATGTTTCACCTGGAGAAACTCATTTATTTCTTACAATAACACATTGAGAAAAAAGCACTATCATTAGAATCAATTTAAAGATGAATAAAGTGATTCCTACAAAGGTTAAGTAATTATCCCATGTAGTGAGGGGAATCAGGATACAGTGTTTAACTGTTTCCAAAAAAAAAAAAGAAAAAGACAAAATAAATAAAGACTGTGCTTTTGCTCATTTCCATCATCACTGTTGTGTAAAGAAACTTAGGCTCATAGAGGGTAGGTAAAGATCCTAATATCACAATTTCAGTAAAACTCTTGAGTAGCTGAGCCCAGGCCAATCTGAATCTACCTTGTGTCCCCTTTACTACTCCAGCTCTTAGAGCATCTAGTCCTTAAGATGAGCCAGAGAACCCCAAAACACTCACTCTTCCAACACATTTAGGTATTGACTGCAATTTGATGACTTCATTAAATGCCTTGGGCTATACATGACAACGTTCGAAAAGGAAAAATGTTATGAAAACATCTGGTCTACTTCATTCTCTCCAAATTCCATCTACCAACAGTTTAACATCAATCTGTGAGAACGTTAAATGTATGCAATTTTCTTTAAAACAATGAGGAAAATATTATTTTTTATGAAGTAAAATGATGTGATTAAAGCACTAAATTCAGTCCAGTTATGACTATGAGCAAGGTTAGAAATGAATTGAGGTCTCCATACCATAGGGCATTAGTGAAGTCATTCCAAGGGTCAATAACCAGGAATGCTTCAATGGCTCAAATATACCCATGAGTGCTCACTCAGGCTGCATGTAGGTTCAGAAATGACTTCTGTTTTGAATGAAGATGAAAAGAGGTACTAAAATTCAACAGAATTTTGTAATTATAAGTCAGACTTGGCAAATAGTTTAATAATCTAACACAAACAACAACCCTAAAATTACTTTACTTTTTTCCTACTAGGCACAAAGAGTCAGAAAATATTTTAGACATTCCTCATACTGAAAGGAAAGTAAGCACAGCTGAATGTCACTGTAGGCTAGGAAATTAGCATACAGATTTTTTGCTGTTGGTGATCACAGACCATGTAATTCCAAATAAACAGTAATAGAATAGTGTCCACAGTCCTAACACAAGGTCTACATTAATCATCAGTTAATTTTTAAAGTAAATTCATTGCCAGTAGCTATGAATCATAAGAATCCTTTAGCCCAATAGAAAAATACATACTTTTATGTTGTGTAAATGTTCTCTATCTTGGTAAACAAGTTTAGCTATTGATAATTGGTATGGTACACCTGCACACATTCTCTAAGTATTTGGACTGACAATCAAACTGTGTAACTTTGAAGAAGTTTGAGAAGAGCAGAGCCCAGCCCAGATGATGAACACTGATCTTGAATATACTGGAGAAGATGTAAATGTTAGCACAGCAATTCTTTTATTGCATTGAGCTTTTTTTACTTTTAGAAACTACATATCAATAAAGCTACAGGTGTTCAGTCTCCCAACAGGCTGTTACCAAGTCACTCGAGTTTATTTTTTCTACTTTTCAGTTTCTCCAATAACATTATTCAAACGATGAACCAATTTCACTTTTAACTATTAAGTAATTTAACATTGACCATCTGAATAATTCTAAAATATATTTTTGTGAAAATTTATTATTTGGAGTTTCAACATTTAATAAATGACAATCTAAATAGTTATTACTCATTGCAAAATGGTCAAACACAAGGTTTAGTTGTTTCAAGGTGAAACCTTCCTTACTTCCAATAATTCTTCCATTAAAGGGCCAAACATAATAATGCCAATTCCAAAGGCAGAACATATGAGCAGAGCAATCTGTTTAAAAGAGTATTCCTGTGGGGAAAATAGAAAAATACAAGAAAAATATCTCTATTAGAAGGAAAAGGCAAATAGCGAAAATAATGAGCTTTGAAGTTAGAGACAGCAACTCTCTTTAAAAATGGTCTAGCAACTACTTATATACAGCATTGATGGAACATAATTCACAATAAGACCCACAAGAAAAGTCATAATTTCTGTAATTGTTATTGTCAGTAATAATTTTTT
Organism: Homo sapiens; assembly: GCF_000001405.40. NCBI lineage: Eukaryota > Metazoa > Chordata > Mammalia > Primates > Hominidae > Homo > Homo sapiens. Next base: position 78,407,214 of record NC_000008.11, read on the forward strand.
AAAACCCTTCTTTTTTAAACTAAATTTTGCAACATCTACTTACAGGTGCTGACAGCATCTTGTGTTTCACTGACTTTTTTTTTACTAGAAGTGCTATTAATGTGATCATAATCAGAAAAATTCACACTGAAATGCACTAGTTTGAACGTGAGATGTGCTGGCAAGCCACTCTCATTACAAGTGACAAGGGATCTGATGCCTTTGTCACCCCATGAATGTTCTAGGATGATTCTATCAAGCAAGATACTTTTTCTCCTGCAGCTCCACATTTCTGCAATTTAGCACATTTCAAGATAAAAGAGGTCACGTGCGTAACCATCACCAACATTACTTATTACTTTTCTTCTGCAGTCTTTCATATCCAACTTGAGCGTAAACCTCATGGGGGCAGAAGCAAGAACTATTTTGATTTTGCTCACTGGACCATCTCTATTGCCTAAAATAGTATCTGGTGCATGGAAAGTGCTGAATGTTTGTTGAATGAAAAAAAATGAATGAACAAATACTATTGCAAGTTGATAACATCTGTCCCTTTTAAATACTTACAATTTTTTTAATAAAATAATAAAAACAGAATTAAAAGTTCAATAAGCATTTATTCCATTCTACTTGAATGGAAGTCTTCATATTTACAACAACAGCAAACTCTAATGTTCTATGCTGGGTACTGTGCATATAGAACTTTTTATACCAACTGTGAAGTAGATATGACTATTGCTCTTTTACAAATGGGAAAATGAACCTTATAAGAGACATGTAAATAGACCACAGAGAGTAAGTGGTACAGTTAAGATTGTAACTGATGTTGGAAAAGCTCATATATTAAGTCAAATTAAGTTTGGCTTTATAACAATCATGACTTAAACTCAAAGCTGGTGTGGCAGCTGTACTCTCTAAGGTTCTTAGGAACTGACACTTCATCCTGCTCCCTTGTCTAACGTACTTGAAGTGTCGTTTTTGTTCTCAGATGCCAGGTAGCAAGATGGAGAGAGAATTAAAGATGAGTAGTGAGGAATATATAAAAATTGCCTGTTAATAAAGGCTTCTAGAAGCTAACACATTTGCTTACATTTCATTGACCAGAATGCAACCACTGTAATAGGCCGAGATATGTCCTCAAAATTCATATGTGGAGGTCCCAACTCCAGTACCCCAGAATGTGACCTTATAAAATAGGCTGAAAACAGGGCATTGTGGATGTAATTTGTTGAATTTATACGAGAGTAGGGTGGGCCTCAAATCCCAAATGACTGGTGTCCTTATAAAAAGAATGCCATGTAAAGAGACAGACATGAACACAGTGAGAATCCCTTGTGAAGACTGGAGTTATGCTACCACTATCCAAGGAGCAACCAAAAGCCGGAAGAAAGGCCTGGAACAGATCCTTTCCTAGCACCTCAGAGGGAACATTGCCCTGCTGATACCTGGATCTTGGACTTCTAACACCCAGAACTGTGAGACAACACATTTCTGTTGTTTAAGCTACTTAGTTTATGGTACTTTGTTAGGGCAGCCCTAGCAAACCAATACAGTAACCTTTGAGGTGGTTTGGAAAAAACTAGCTCTTTGGCTCTAAACTAGCTAAAACTTTTTTTTAAAAAGAGGAAAATCATTATTACAAGGTGAAGAACACTTTCTGTCAAACTGTCCTACACTCTGAAAGGCGGTCTTAAAACTGAATATGTCTTTGAATCTGTCACTATCAATTGTGAAAAGTATATTAGTATATTATATTTTGATTCACCTAGAAAGAAAAAAATGCTAGCAATTGAATTATCATAGGTCATCCACTGTAAGTTTCCTTCTTATTTCAGAGATATTAAATGTAATAAAAAGAAATAGACATCTTAGAATCAATGAAATACAGTAAATGATCTATATACAATTTAGTTATAACAGTGAGCACAGAAGACATGTTGTTTACATGGGCTGGGATTCAATTCTTTAGATTGTATAAAACTTAGACTTATTTGTCTTACTACAGGATTTTATAAAGTATATATAAGACGATAAGATACAGAAGATATAAATATGTCAATATGAGTGTTGATATAGATACAAACATATAAAAAGAAAACACTTCTTTGATTAACCTTGTTCAAAATGTTTCCAATATATTAATGGAATGTAATATCAATGGTATTATACATTCCATTTAAAATAAAGTAAATTTTGATAAAAATTATGCTTATTCTAGAAAAGGATAATTTTTTGTGTGGTGGTTTTATGAAAGAAATTCTATACTTCTTTCCCTACCAAATAAAAAATAATAATACTGCTGTAATTGGGAATAATAAAAAAAACTAATAAGTAAGGTCATAAAAACTGTAAAGTCATCAAATGCAGTAATAATTAATTTCCTTGTTAAAAATTTTTGCTTTTATTTTCCATTTCTTTATGAAACTCAGTCCCATTTACTTGAATTATTCTTCTCATTATATATTGGCTTCCTTAGAAATGACTGTGATTCTTTCTCTTTAGTCCCAAAGGAAAGTTTTAATTGTGTGTTGCCATGATAAGTTGAATTATTAAGATACATATTACCATATATTTCTACAACTTTCTAATTTTAGAGGGTTTTATCAAGAACACCACTTACTTTAGATGTAGCTGAGATCCAGAAAAAAAGCAAAGCAGACCATTTGTATTACCATTCACTTACTCAACCAGGGCTGGAGAATGGAAGCCAGGATCTCCCACCATGAAAGCTTTGATAACTTTTCACTGATGAGCCTACAATTGTAGCAACTGAGCTGTGAAACGAACCAGCTATTCATTCTAGTATTAATAACTATCATAGTATTTGGAGGTAATAAAAACAATTTGAGATTCAACTCCATCATTAAACAGCTAAAACTTTAGTAAATATATTAGCAAATACAAACACAAAAAAATGAAGAATTTGAAGAGTGAATTTGTGAGGTAAAAAATGCATCTGTGAAGCAAAGAGTTGGGTTTCTCATAAAGATTGTTAGATGTTGTGGCTTTAAGCAAAGCAGCCTCTGAGCAGACACAGGGGTGGGGGTAGAATTTGGTGGTGATAGTAATTCTAGTAAGTGAAAGGGAGAAGGGGCAGTGGAGACATGCATAGCATAATGGAGGTAAGAAGAAATCCATTCTAAAAATTTTAATTTAATCATTGGTAAAAATAAAAGTGCTACAGAAATGATGACATTGGGGGTACAGTAAATTTAAGAGCTCTAGATAGCAAGAGGTTCATCTTTAGCAGAAATTTATTATATGAAACAAATAATTTAAATCACGAAATTAGTATCAGAGTTTCTATCCTTAAGATTTTAAGGAATCAAGCAAAAAAAAAGATTTCTCTTTTTCAAATTTTTTACAACAGAATTCAATTTGAAAAATACCGAATGAGGAAAAAATTCAGCACAATAATTCTGTTGGCACATGGCCTGCCAAGGAATCTCTTCTTACTTCTGAGATGCCTAATCTTATCTCCATTTCCTTGAAAGCTCATCTCAATGTCAGCTGCTTCATGTAGCCTTTCCTGATCCGCATAAGCAAATGCAATTGCTCTATATGGCATTTATTCAATTATACATATTCTCGTGAACATTTATATGCTTGACTTATCTGCATTCTAGATCTGGAGTTGGCATCCTTTTTCTATGAAGGAATAGGCATTGAATATTTTAGCCTTTGTCAGTCATTTGGTCACTTTTCCAGCTATTTAATTTGGCCATTTTCATATGTAAGCAAGCATAGATGGCACACAAATGAATGAATGTGGCTGTGTTCCACTTAAACTTTATTTATGGACACTGAACTTTGCATTTCATAGACTTTTTACAGGCCACACAATATAATTCTTCTTTTGATTTTGTTTCCAACCATCTTAAACGGTAAAAATCCTTCTTAGTTTGCAAGCCACACAAAAGCAGATGGCAGACCAGATCTGGTTCCCAGACCATGGCTTGCCAACCTGTGCTTGTGACCTTTTAAGGTGAGGTATCTCCTAAACTCATCTATACTATCTCTGTGTACCTATTGCATTGCTTTGCACTTAGTAGATGTGCTATACATTTTTTCAAGTGAATGCTATGCTGACATTATAGGGATAAGCTGCAGTGAAGAAAAATGGAATATGGAGAAAGTTCATCCTTTGTTCTGTCCTGAGTGTCTTCAAGCAGGTTGCCTTATTTTCCTCTTTTGTAGTGTGCTGTTCTTTTCCATTAAGTAGTTACCACAATAATTAATTATGCATTTATTTTGTGGGTTTTCATGTTTATTACTATATCCATTTATATTGCTGCTATAATAAATTACCACAAACTTAATGGCTTACAGCAATACATATTTATCTCATAGTTGCTGTAGGTCAACAGTGAGATGGCTTGGCTGAGTCTCTGCTTAGATTGATACAAGGCCAAAATTGTGGTGTGAGCAGGGCTGTTCCTTTTTCACAGCTCTAAGGGAGAATCTTCTAGACTCAGGGAGGCTCTTAAAAGAATTCAGTTCCCTGCAATTGTAGGACTGAAGTTCTTATTTCCCTCATGGCCGATGGCCTGGGATTATTCTCTGCTCCTAAATGCTGCATCATTCCTTGACCTGTGGACATTTGCCTTCAAAGGTAGTAACCACTGATCAAGTACCTCTCATGTCTCATCTGTCCTGTGTTTTCTTCTGCCCCTTCATCTCTCTCTGACTTCAATCAGGAGAGTCTCTGCTTTCAAGGGTTATTATAATTAGATTGGCCCCCTCATATAATCTAGAGAATAATTAGCTCAGCCCCCTCATATAATCTAGAGAAATCTCTACCATATCAAGATCAGTGACCCTAATCACAACTGCAAAGTCCCTTTTGCAACGTAACATAACATATTCAGAGGTTTCAGAATTTAGGGCATGGATATTTTGAAGGTGGTTGGGAGAACTTGCTCATCATACTTTTGGGTACAATGTTCAATATTTCAGTAATAAGTACACTAGCAGCCCAATCCTCACCATTTTGCATTTAATAACCATGTAACAAACAAGCACATACTGTAAAATAAAAATGTTTTAAAGTCGCTTATTCCTATTCTAAATAGTAACCCCATGTACATTTCTCAATAGTATTTGTCAATGTTGAAATTTACATTACTTTATGTAAACTTCTACACATGAGGGAAAACACTGTAATATTTGTACTTTGAATGTAAATATTTTATATATAAAAACGATATATTATTAAATGTGCTATATGAAAAAAATCATCCTATCATTCAGTTTGAGAAATACATTACTATTATTATTATTATTGAAGTCCTATTCACACCTCTCTCTTAATGCATCCTCCTCTCCAGCCCTTTATTGTTGGTAGGGACTATTTCCTACCATTGCGATTTTACAGATGCACATGTGTAGCTATAAACAAACAGTGCTTAGGTTTATTTGTTATTGGACTTTGTATAAATAATTTATTTTCAATATTGCATAGCATGCCATTATATCTGCACATGTGTAAGCATGCATGTATATAATATATAATGCACACAGTTTTACATATATAATTTTATATACAACATATTTATAAATTATATACATAATTTTATGCATTGTTTTGTCAATGGATATTTAGATATTTAGATTATTTCTAGCGTTTTTTGCCAAACAATATGGATATATTCATTCATTTCTTCTGCAATACATGTGTAAGAATTTCTCTCAGGATTACACAGAATAAATGGATTTTACATATCAACATTATTAAACAACAAATCTTTTCCCAAAGTAATTTTACAGAAACCAATTCTCATATAAAGAGTATAAGACTTAATGCCCTTCCACCAATACTTGGTTTTATTAGACTTGTTAATTTTGGTCTGGTTAGAAATAAAATGGGTTTTTCTGGTTATTAATGAAGTTGAAAATATTTTCATATTTGTATTGGTCTATATGTTTTAATATTTCATATGCTTCTTGAAATAATTGTCATTTTTCCCAGTGTTTTATTCTTATTTTTTGTCTCATAAATTAGATTTTTGTGTGAGGTAAGGTCTCTTAGCATCTCGCTTGCTTGAAATATCTTTGTTTCACCCTGTTTTGGAAAATTGTCACGTGAAATATGCAATTCTTTGTCAACAGATATTACTTCTACAACTTGTAAGTATTTTCCCACTGTCTTTTGATGTTGAGAAGTTCAATTTCAGCCTGATTCGCTACTTTGTAGATGATATTTATCTCTAGTGGCTATGTCTTTGGTGTTCTGTGGCCTCACCATGCGGTGACTACATATGTATATCTATATATTTATTATGTTTAGCTTATGTGGTGGTTTTAGAGTCTGAATTTTTACTTCTTATCAATTGCCAAAAAGTTGTAAACATTGTATATCCCCCATTCTTCTCTGTTCTCTTTTTAGAATAGTTAGATACATGTTAGCTCTTCTTGTTATCGTTTTTGCCACTTAAGCTATCTTTTAAAAAGTTTCTACATCCTAGCATCTATGTGCAGCACTTATGTTATTATTAATTCTTGCATAGTAATTTATAATTAGTTTATAATTTTTTAGTTTATGGTTTATCTTTTATGCTACATTCTCTATTTAACTCATCCATGGAGATTTTGATTTGAATTACTATAGGTTTTAGTTCTAGAACTCTACAGAAGAAAATTATTCTCTGTGTTCCCACACATTTTTCAGCCTTCTTGATAATGATGCTGTCTGCTGGGTTTTGAGCAGTGATGGTCAGCCTAGTTCTGACTACCCAAGTATTATAAATGTTGACATTCCTCTACAAGTGCTTCAGTTTTCTTTGAAGAGGAACCTGCTTTTCCTCTACTTTGAAGAGGAACCTCAGATGAGCCTGTTTGCTACCCTTCAATTATACCTTAGCTTTAGCCAAGAGGAGAACCTTATGTTGAGATGGCAGAGCTGTGAGGTTCATTCAGCTTGGATGTCTAAGTTGCTGCATAGAGGACAATTGCCAAGGGGAGTTACCTAACTCTTAGCAGGCTTTAAGTGAGTACAAGGAAATTTTGTTGTTGGGGTGGCTTTTTGCTGCAACATAGCCTTGCCTACCCTGATTAATCCAAATTTTCAATGTTTCCTTCTCCAATTCTACTTGTTTATCTCTTATTTTTTACTTAATTTTTTAGACACAGGGTCTCAGTCTGTCACCCAGTTTGGAGTGTGGTGGCCCAATCATAGTTCACTGCAGCCTCAAACTCCTGGGCTCAAGTAATCCTCCTGGCTCAGATTCCCAAGTAGCCGAGACCACAGGTGTGTGCTACCATGCCTGGCTTATTTGGTTACTTTATATATCCTCTTAACCTTTGTCCACTTTTTTGAATATATATTTAATTCTGTGAGCATTTTATTCTTTTTGTTTTATATTCTATAAGCAATGACTTCAATCTGATGTCCTTGGGGTTTAAATTGTTCCCTGTTGGTTTTTTCACTGCATGTATTTGATATTTCTTATAGTTATACATTCATATTTGATTGCATTTCATCTGTGGAAGAATACAAAGAACCTAGGTTAAGAATGATTCCCTCCAGAAAGGCTTCTGCTGCAGACAGAATATGCCAACCAACTGAGACCCCTGTTACTTAGTATCTCAGCTTCCAGTTTTCCTGACCACTCAGCTAGTATAAATGAAAGCCCCAAACTGGTGTGAGGCAAGCAAGCCTATGATATATATTCCTAAGAGCCACGTGCCCCGCCATCTCTAGCTATTGGCAAGAAATCCAGGTTTTAATGTCTGTTTCCTTTCCTTGCCACTGGATTTTTCCAGCCTGCTCTTTCACTGAGGGTATACACTTTTGGAGAAGGAAGATTTAATTACAATTTTCAGATCTCATTTCTCTTCTTCCGCAGGCCTAATAACTTGAACCTCATTTAGCTAGTCCCTGAAATTCCAGGTTGTTGTATTCTCCCCATGCCGAAAGAAAAGCTTCAGATTTCATGTTGTCTTGAAATATTGATTTCAGCTTTTAATTCCTTCTGTGTTGTTGAGAGATTTCCTTTATTGTCTTGATAACTCAGCTATGCACTTAAAAATATGTTTATTTTAGCTTAGCTCATGTTTATATGTTTTTAACGGAAGACACTGAAAGAAAGAAAACTATATATGTCTTTATAGGCAGTTATATTCCTACCACTTAGTACTATATGAACACAAAAACATACTAGTAAGTGTTATAGAACAATTTAGATTGAAGAAAAAAAACACAAAAATAAGACAAACTAAATATTTGCTGATTTCTCGATGTTTTAAGAATAAAAACATAAAGATTAATATAAAACAATCAGCCTAGTTCTGACTACCCAAATATTATAAATGTTGACATTCCTCTGCAAGTGCTTCAGTCTTCTTTTAGAGTAATACAACATTACCAAAACAAATACTTCTAATTAGAGCTAATTGAAAAGTAAAGGATTTATTCATGCATTCTTCCAATTAACATACATTGATTTACAATTAAATATCATATACTGTGCTTAGCACTGGAGATTCAAAGATAAACTATATGATTTAAATTACTTATATTTTAGGTGAATACTGGAGTTATACCTTTCAAAATAATATTTTACTAAGACTGTGTTATTGATGATTCAATCTCGTTCCATAAACATTTATTGAGCACCTAGGGAAAATCTAGCAGTGAAAATAAAGGAGGGGGAAAAATGCTATAATTATATAGAATCTTCTTTATTACTTACTGACACTGTATATCTTAAAAGAATTGACTCATCTATGTATGTTATCCCTTGCCTTTCACCTCTATTTGGATTATTTATTAATCCTTGACAAAAAAGATCAATATATTGTGAATTCATTTATATACACTTAATATCAGTGAGATAAAATATAATTATGAAAGTTCTATTACATGAAGAAGTACAGATAGAACTATTATAGATACTTAGAGATGAGCTATGCCTCTCCCATTTCCTGTACTTTGCTGTACAAGTAGATATACTATATTTCTTCCATTATGAATTAAAATATTCTTAAATTTGTTGAAGAATTTCAATAAAGCCAATGAAAAGAATTATTAATCCCCTTGGATAGTAGTGGGAAATGTACTGTAATTGGTAGGCTTCATATCAGAGTTCTTGGAATTTCTCCAACCGCATTAGCAATTGGTCATCTTAATTACATGGCCCATTAGCTGAAATCTGCATCACCAAACTACCACGCACAATCCTTGCCAACTCTGATCCATTCATTGTGAGGTCAAAGTTTCCTTGCTCATTGCAAAATGAAATGAGATATATTAAGTTAAAGTATTTCAAGCTCATTAAATATACAACTTCAAGTTATTCACCATATCACATACAGAAAATAACTGCAATTCTAGAGACTATGCTTCCAGTACTTTCAGAATTTTTATAATGTAAGATAGTTCTACAAAAATCTGGACACATTCAAAAAATTTAAAAAGAACATGTCAATCACTGAGCTTCCACTTTCTATGACTTATAATTACCCACAATATTGACACAAATGTCTCAGTCTCACTGATCATAATCATTAGTGTGTTTCTAAATAAAAAGTAGATTCAGAGCCAACTTCATCATTGTCATCAGGCATTTGGACAGAAATATCCAGGGAATCTGAAAGAAAGCCACTTTGCAATGTTTCTTTTAGCACTGTCCTTACCCAAAAGTGCTTATATAACAAATTATTTAATGAGTTTATTCAATATTTATTTCTTCACTCAGATATTTATATTTCCGAGTATTTACTATGTGCTCCATGCTGGTACATCAAGATAAATACAAGATACTCCCTGAATCCAGGACACCCATGACCAAGCCCATTTTATGTAACAGAGTGCAAATTTATCAAACGTTTTTATCTAGTCCAGAGACTATTCCTCCATTTCCTCTCAAAGGACATAACAGAAAAATTATTCTGATTTCTTGCAAAAATACAAAGACTATGTTTATACATTTCTTGAATTTGTTCTAATGTATCAAAATATTGAGCTTAACCTAGAGTATAGTATGTGATGAACTCAGGCTAGCATTATTCTAAATCATTCATATTTTTGCAAATTACCCATAAGATAAGCCATTCTAGAATTTGCTTGGTACTGAAGACATGTTTATTGATTTATATATTATGACCCCCAGTTTTCCTTTAATAAAGGTGGTAACAAGTATCTGTTTCCTATATTCCCATATTTCCTTCTAGTTCCCCCGAATCCTTAGAGATCACTGAGAACATTTCAAACGCATGTGCAAGTTCTCATAGTAACTGAGCTCCATTGTTGTGAGTTGGAAGAGCTGCTAAGTAGTCACTTTACACTTTTCATTCAATCATGATTTCATATGAATGCTTATTCTAAAATAAGATAAAGATTCTAAAAATATTTCCTTTTGACATGAAGCAAAATAGAAATGGTTGAGTAGAACTACTTTCTTGAACTCTTTGCATTACAACTTTTGTTTCAGTGAGTAGTCATGCCTTAATATTCTTCATTCATTGAACAAAATAACCAAAAAAAAAGAAATTAAAAAGCATTTTTGTTGTCCATATATTTTTTCACTGCAGATCTAAGCATCCTTGGTGTATCTTACATTGCTCTGTGTTACTGTAAAGAACATCCTCAGCTAAATGTCATCCAGGCCATCTTTTCCACCAATTCTTTCAAAATAATGCCTTATTGGATTGCTGTCTATCTAGCTATATCTCTCTACATATATTACCTTCCCCATTTTCTTTATCACTAAGATCAATGTAATTTTAGAGTCTAATATGCATTTTGGGAGCCTCCCAACCTTTTTAACTCATCCCCCCTTTTAGTGGGTCAAGCAGTGGCATCAAATCTGTTGTGGTGGAAGTTTTAGAGAGTATATAACTAAAGTCGAATCATCTTATGCAACTCTGGCTGTCTGGAAACAGGAATAAAGCAGTTTCCTGAAAGAAACTGTGTAGATAGGATGAGCTCTATAGAGTTCAATCTAGTTTCTTATCCTATTAGGCCTAGGAAGAAGAGATAAAAGAACCATTAAAGTGGTACAGACATGTCCTGACCTTGTGATTGCACCCTAATCTTTGACAATGGTTACCTCCTGTGATCAGCGAAGAGGCTGCTAATGCTGAGGAATTTCAGCAATGATGTTCTTTTTTGGCGGTGGCAAAGGTAAAGGGAACAAAATCACACTTTGTGTTATTTTGTAGGCTATGGCTACACAGTGTTATTGAAATAGGTTAGAGGAAACTGAGACAAACTTCTACCACCTTGGAAGCTAAGACACAAGTGAGAGCAGGGAGAGGTGACAATTTTAAAGAGATAGCCAAAGAACAATAGGGTATTTTATTATTATTAGCATCATCATCATCATCATCACCATCATCATCTAGTACTATGACCATATTTCTAGGTTGATATTGCCTGGGAGCTCCTTATCTCTGCAGAATTTACACTTTTCCTTTTATAGCATTTTTGACACATGTCTAATTCCGTCCAGCATTCCATTCACTAGTAATTGAGAACTCTAAGGTGACAAGGCCCTTCTCACAAGAACTCCATTACTCTCTTATTAAAAAACAATTTTTCCTGTTTTAAAAATTAGGTTAAGAGTAGGTCACATCACTCCTTCTATCTTCTATTTAAAATTGAATAAAAATTTCAGCAGCTACCTGAACAGTTGAAGATACAGAAAGAGAAATAAATGTTATTTGAATGTCCATTATGTTCCAAGTACCTGTATTTTAAACTTTTACATATATTATATTTAGTATTTTAATATCTCAAACTTTATATTTTGAGATAAACTGATCGGTGTTTAGGAAGAGAAGAGAGAATATGGGGGAAAGATGGATGAGACGGAAAGATCAGAAACTCTGACCCTCACAGAGTTTAGAATGCAGAAACACAATTACATGGCTCTCCACTCTACTGCTGAGCCTCTTCTCTCTTTGGGATGGCATCATGCATTTCTTCGTCTGGGTACACTGGCACACTACCATAGTCAGAAAATGACCATTTTCTTTCTTTTTTTTCTCATTCCTAGTAGACTCTTTGCTTAAAGGCAGGGAGCGACCATTCAGGGCTAATTAGCTCTTCTCCCTGGCAGACTGGGTTCCATTCCTGTATCTGTCTCCCTACCTGCCTGTCTAATGTGAATATAGCTGCACCCCATGGAAGTTTCTGTTCTTGTCTCCACACCCAGGACTTAGCCTATCTCATTCCCTACCATACCAATAATAATAATAATAATGATAATATAAATAAATAACTGAATCCTTCTAAGGAATGGAGTATTTTTTGGCTAAAAATTAAGAGAGTTCATGGAAGGACTTTTTACAGCTCAGAGCACAAAACTTTGCTTCAAAATTTCTGTTTTCTTTCCAAGCTAGGTCCACAGCATCAGCTCCTATCCCTTTTAAATTCTGCCTTTCAGTTTCTCTTTCTCCTTCCTCTGACATTCTTCACTTCCACCTTGGCCCTTTCATGTCTTTTGTTTGCTTCAAATGTGGATTAATTTATCTCCTCTAATACACTGCATCCTACAGTCATCATTTATAAGTCTCCAAGTTGACAAAAGGACAGCAAATAACAGATCCTCCCATTTGTTATCTCAATCCATCCTCCTTATAAAGTGACTGTAAAATTATCATATGACATACATTTTTGTCACATATTTAACACTTTTTGAATGTCTTTTATGTACAAGACTCCTTGTGAAGTGTCAAGAAGGTAGAAAGAAGTAATATACAACCACTCAGAAACTGCCTCCATCGATAAAGGCACTCACAGATAAATGCATAATTAGATGAACAGGATATACACAGATACATATTCAATGATACAGGTAGCTTAGGTGTTAAAGGATGAGAGATGAGAAAGGTTGAGTAAGATAGCAGTCACATGTAGAGCTATGAACTAAAAGTTTGGTCAGCGATGTTGCCCCACTTCTGAGTAAAAAGAATTCTTGAAGTCTTAAGCACAGACAACATGAGGAATGGGAGGGACAATGATGAGTGGTGCATCATTAGGCTCACAGTGATTCATATGAGCTGTGCTTGTGTTCCCTCCAGTGAAATCTCCCTTGGTTTCTGATCCACACTTTGGATTTCCATACCATAAGCAGTCCCACTGTTCCTGCCCCCATTTGTAATTATTTTGTCCTGGGTACTTCCTCCATTTTTATCCCCTTATCACATCATTCCTAATATTTTCAAAAAAATTACATTTTGTAGATTTACCCAAGTCTTTTTTCTCCCTCCCACCACTGGCCACTGAATTTTCATATTGAAGGGGTCTTCATAACATAATATTTTGATAAATATAAAAGATGCAGTCACCCTCGGGAAAAGATTCCTTCTTGAAGTATTTTAAACCATGGCCCAAAGAAGCACATTTTTGTTTATTAAAATAATATTTGTAGCCAGTCATCTTTTCCCAAATTTTCAATTGTTTTCCTAAATCTCATGCTTTATGAGAAAGAATAAATAAAATGCTCCCCTTATTTCTAAATTATTTTTCCCCCAAGGTAGCACATATGCCATAAAAATTACTTTCTGGTGTTTCTTCATCCCTATTCTTCCTTACCACTTGTATGAGTGATTGTACTCATTCAACAAATATTTAAATGAACCTTTGATTCTGTTAGCTTCTGGAGATATTGGTGCAAAAGAAGACTTCAAAGATCCTGAGTCAAATGGGAAAAACCATGCAACATGATGACTAGAATGAACATGGTATCCTCAGAGTGTTATAAAAACCCAGAGAACAGGTACGTACTTCTTAATTCCATGGGGGTTAAGGCGTGTGTGGAGGCAGCAGGCTCAGGGAAGGCCTCCAAGAGGACATAACACTTGAGCTATTGCTACTGCAATCAGTTGCACCATCATCTATCAAAATGTTTAAGTTGGAAGCCAAGAATTCAGCCACTTCAACTCATTCTCCCAAACATTTCCCTCAACAAGTTCTGTTGATGCTGTCCTTTGCCTCCTTAAAACCACTTGAAAATTTGCAGTTTTCTCCATCCTTGTGCCCTATCTTATTTACACTTCTAAAAAAAAAAGAGAGAGAGAGAGAAAGAAAACTATTTCTGGTGTATATATTTGTGTAGGAAGATAGTTTTTGGAGATTGCATTTATAAAACACAATAAACTTTCTCCCTTTGTTGACATGAAAAAAAAATACACTTCTATCTTTCTCTAGAATACAGGCAGTCCTTGACTTATACTTCTGCTTATGACTTTTTGACTTTATGATGGTACAAAAGAAATAAAGTTTTTATCCATTCATCATTGATGAACACTTAATGTTGATTTCATATCTTGGCTATTGTGAATAATGTTACAATGAACATGAGAGTGCAATTATCTCTTCAAGATACATTTCAATTCTTTTAGATTTATAACCAGAAGATTGCTAGATCATATGGTATTCCTATTTTTAACTTTTGAGGAACCTCCACACTATTTTTTATAATAGCTATAACAATTTACATGTCCCAAAACAGTGTGCACATGTTCCCTTTTCTCTACATCCTCATCAACACTTGTTTTCTTTTGACTTTTTGATAATAGGCATTCTAACAAGTATCAGGTGATACCTTATTGTGGTTTTTATTCATATTTATCTGGTCATTAGTAATGTTGATAATTTTTTCATATAATTGTTGGACATTCATGTGTCTTCTTTTGAGGAATGTTTATTTATTTCCTTTGTCCATTTTTTAAATTGGATTCTCTGCTTTCTTGCTATTGTTTGAATTCCATATATTGTTTGATATTAACCCCTTGCCAGGTGTATGATTTGCAAGTATTTTCTTCCATTTCATAGGTTGTGTCTTCTTTTGCTGTGCAGAAGCTTCTTTGTTTGGCACAATTCTATATGTCTATTTTTTCATTTGTTTTTGCTTGTGCATTTGGGATCACACCCAACAAATCATTGCCCAGACCAATGTCGACACTTTTTTTCTATGTTTTATCTAGTAATTTTAGTGTTTAGGTCTTACGTTTAGTTAATCTATTGTGAATTGATTTTTGTACATTATTATGGGTTGAATTTTGTGTCATGAAAAGAGATGTTGGAGTCCTAATCCCAAGTTTGTCCTCAAATTTGACTGTATTTAGAGATAGGGTCTTTAGAGAGGGATGATGATAAAATGAAGTAATTGGGGTGTGCTATATTCTGATATGACTAGTGTCCTTATAAAAGGAAAAAAACATGGATGCTGGGATAGACATGCACACAGGGAGAATGCTGAGTGAAGATTAGAGTTCTGCTGCCACAAACCAAAGAACTATCAGAAACTAGGAGAAAAGCCTAAAAGCAGATCCTTTCCTAGCACCTTCAGAGGAAGCGTGACGCTGCTGCAAACTTCATTGCAGACTTCCAGCCCCCTGAGCAATTAGATAATAAATGTCTGTTGTTTAAGCCACACACTTTGTGGTACTTTGTTATGGCAGCCTTGTCAAACTAATCATACCTGATGTGAGATACAGATTTAATTTTATCTTCTGCATATAGATATCCAGTTTTCCCAGCCTAATTTTGAAAGAGATTGTCCTTTCTTCATTATGTGTTTCTAGCATTTTTACTGAATATCAATTGATCATAAATGTGTGAATTTATTTCTGGGCATTCTATTCTGTTCCACTGGTCTATGTGGCTGTTTCTATGCCATTATCAGGCTGTTTTAACTACTATAGGTTTATAGTATCTTTTGATATCAGTTAGTGTACTACAACCAGCTTTGTTCTTTTGCTCAAGACAGCTTTGGCTATTTGGAGTCTTTTATGTTTCCATATGAATTTTAGAGTCTTTATTGTATTTCTATGAAAAATAACATTATAATTTTGATAGGGATTACACTGAATCCATAAATCACTTCAGGTAGTATGGACATGTTAATAACATTATTTCTTCCAATCAATGAACGTGGAATACCTTTATGTTAGTGTTTTTCCAATTCCTTTCATCAATGTTTTATGGTTTTTAGTGTACAGATCTTTCCCCTTCTTCCTTAAATTTATTCCTAAGTATATTATTCCTTCTGATGTTATCGTAAATGGTATTATTTTCTTAACTTCTTCTTTGTATAGTTTGTTGTTAGTGTGTTGAAACTCTACCGATTTTTGAATGCTGCTTTTGTACTCTGGAACTTCACTGCATTGATTAATTAGTTCAAACAGTTTGTTGGTAGGGTTTTAGGCTTTCCTCCTTATGATATCTGCAAACAGAAACAATTTTACCTTTCAGTTTGAATGTATTTTATTTATTTTTCTTGACTAATTTTCTGACTGGAACCTACAATACTATATTGAATAGAAAAGTTAAGAATGAGCACCCTTGTCGTCTTCTCTTCTTCCTGATCTTAGAAAAAAAGTTTCAACTTTTTACCATTGAGTATGATGTGATCTGTGAGCTTGTCATATATGGTCTTTATTATGTTGAGGCATGTGGTTATATTTATGTTCTATACATTATTAAGTATTTTTATAATGAAATCATGTTGAATTTTTCAAATTTTCTTATGCATCTATTGAGATGATCATATAATTTTTATTTTTCTGTTAATGTGGTATATCACATTTATTGACTTGCATATGTTAAACTATCCTTGCATTTCAGGCATCAGTCTCACTTGACCATGATGGCTGATCTTTTAAATCTGCTGTTGAATTTGGTTTCCTGGTATTTTCTTGCAGACTTTTGGATCTATGTTTATCAAAGATATCGGACTGTCAGTTTTGTTTCTCACAGTATTCTTGTCTGGTTTTGGTATTAGGGTAATGGTGGCCTCATAAAATTGAGTTTGAAAGTATTCTCTGCTCTTCAATTTTTTTGAAAAAGTTTGGCAAGCATCAGCATTAATTCTCCTTTAATTGTTTGGAAGAATTCTCCTGTGAATTCTTCAGGTCCTGAGCATTTTTTTGTTGGGTGGTTTTTGACTCCTAATTAAATCTCCTTATTGGTTATTAGTCTGGTCATACTTCTCTTTCTTTATAATTCAGTCTTGTCAACTTTACCTTTTCACAAAGCCAACTCTTAGTATTATTGATCTTTTCTAGTCCTTATTTATTTCTGTTCTAATCTAGTCCTTATTTATTTCTGTTCTAATCTTTATTATTTCCTTTCTTCGTCTATCTTTGTGCTTAGTTTGTTCTGCTTATTTTATTTTTCTGAGGTGTCAAGTTAGCTGTAAAGAAAGATTTGAGGTTGGGCATAGTGGCTCACACCTGTAAATCCAGCACTTTGAGAGGCCAAGACAGAAAGATTCTTTGAGGCCAGGAGTGCGAGACTAGCCTGGGCAACCCAATTTCTACAAAAAATAAAATAAAATAGTAGGTATGGTGTTCCATGCCTGTAGTCCTACCTACTTGGGAGACTAAGCTGGGAAGATCATCTGAGCCCAAGGATTCAAGGTTATAGTTAGCTATCATTGCACCACTGCACTCCAGCCTGGGCAACAAAGTGAGATCCTGTCTCTAAAAACAAAAACAAAAACAAATTAATGTAAACAACTACCACTATAAGTTTTCCTCTTAGAACTACTTTTGCTGCATTTCATAAGTTTTGGCAGTTTGTCTCAATATATGTTTTATTTCCCTTTTGATTTCTTCTCTGACTCATTGGCTGTTTGAGAATGTGTTGTTTAATTTCCACATATTTGTGAATTTTCTAATTTTCCACCTTTATCAATTTCTAGATCCATACCATCATGATCAGAAAAGATACTTGATATGATTTTAATTTTCTTGAATTTATTAAGAGTTTTTTTGTGGCTTAACATATCATGTATTCTAGAGAATGTTCTGTGACAGCTTCAAATATATATATATTCTATATATATGTTCTATATATGTCTATTAGGTCCATTTGGTCTCTACTGTCATTCAAGTCTGATATTTTCTGATTGATTATTTTTCCCTGGATGATCGATATATTGTCGAAAGTGGGGTATTAAAGTTCCCTATGGTTATTGTATTGCTACCTCTTTCAACCTTCAGTTCTGGCAATATTTGCTTTATGCATTTAGGTGCTCTGATATTGGGTACATATATATTTACAACTGTTATAGCCTTTTGATGAATTGATCCCTTTATCATTATTAATGACCTTGTCTCTTGTGATAGTTTTTGACTTAAACTCTATTTCGTATGATATAAATCCAGCCTGCCCATTCTCTTTTGATTACCATTTAATTGAATATCTTTTCTAGTGCCTTCACATTCAACCTATGTGTGCCTTTAAACCTAAAGTGAGTCTCTTGTAGGTGGCATATAGTTGGATCTCATTTTTTTAATCCGTTCAACCACTCTATGTCATTTGAATAATCCATTTACATTTTAAGTAATTATTGATGGATAAGGATGTACTGCCATTTATTCATTATTTTCCAACTATTTTGTAGTTTCTTTTTCTCTTGCTATCTTCTTTTGTGATTTGATAATTTTTATAAAAGTATTCTTTTATTCCTTTTCCCTTAAATTTTGTGTATCTACTACAAGTCTTTTTTGTGGTTATAATGGGGCTTAAGCAAAACATCTTGTAGCTATAAAAGTCTGTCTGTTTTAAGCTGATACCAACTTAATGTCAACCATATTTTAAAACTTTGGAAACTTTAACTTTTCCTCTCCCAATATTTTATTCTATTGGCATTACAATTTACATCTTTTTATACTGTGTTACCATTAACAAATTACTGTAGCTATAGTTATTTTTAATTGTTTTGTCTTAACATTTGTTTTCATAGAACAATCTAATTTTCAACTTTATGTTAAAAACAGAAATTTTGATTTAACTAAGAGCTATATTATTAGTATAAGCTCTAGAATAGCCAAACCTTACAGAGTTCACTTTTATTTATTTCAAAGTCTGTGTCTTGTTCACTCTTACCTTCACTCCTCAACAGTAGGAACTTGACAAGTTAATTCTATAGACTAAATATTCAAAGACAACAGTTAAATGTAAATTAAAAAAAACTAAATTGCACAACTTGAGATTCTTTCTGTGTAAATACAGCATGAAAAAATAAGTTTGGGATCCAATTTATTTTTCTCCAAATAAATTTCACTGGGTTTTATGTCTTTATTCCTGATGGTTTGTATCATTTTAGAGTGAACATTAAAAAAAAAAACAACTAGTGGGCACAGTATTATTCATAGAGAAATTTGAAAGAAAAAAAATCTGAGGATTAATGTCTGCAATATTCACTTTCGACAGCCTGTGTTCAAGCTTGGGTTGTCTGGTCAACATTTGGGTCTGATTCGTAGTTTCCAAATCATGGTGCATAGTGTTCTAAGTCAATTCCCTAGGAGAGATTTAAGGATAACTTTTCCACAGATTTTCTCAATTAAAGATGCATCTAGCTCTTTGCCCACATCACCCACATCTGCTCATAAAAAAAAATGAATAATGGAATACACATGTGCTGACTTATTATTCATTTCAGCCTTTTGCAGGTGCAAATGCAAGTTTTAAGGTGCAAAGTGGAGCCACAAACATTGTGGGCTTGTCCAGCTGAAATTCTAGGCTTTAATCACAACTAAGTAACTCCTAAGGTGATGTGATCATAGGATATTTTACTCACAAAAAGGGTGTAATAAATATTACAGATTGAACTGGTGTAGATTAACAGATGAGGCTACATTATTTAGAGAAAATGAAATGCAGATAATTTTCACCATATTTGGTATTTGATAAAGAATTATTTTTATATGTTAACCTAAAATTTACCTTAGTATGTTTCATAAAAACTTTTACCAAATAAAACAGGAAATAAAATACTTTTATATGTATACATAACTGAGTCAGGGATTTATATTGACAATTAACTTGAATCTACCATCATTACTTCATCTCTTTGCAGCTGGAGTAGACTTCTAGCAGACAAACTAAGTCAACATTTGGTTACAAGAAGGAATAGAGGGGCTCATTGGTGCAGATAATCCTAAACAGCAGAAAATCCCAAAATCATTTATTTTCAGCTTGGATATGTATTTAAAGTATTCTCTTTTTTTCCCCCAACAGATACTCACTTGTAATTTCATTTTCCGAAGATTCTTTCATAATATGTCTTACTAATGATTAAATTGCCAAAGAACTTTCATTAGCCAGCACATAGAAGAGTATGCAAGAATGTGTCCCTTGCCAGTTAAGAAGATATAGGTGACATGGCTGTTGGAAGATCAAGAACAGAGCTTTTTTTTCTGAGGAAACAACTATATCCAGAACCACCTCTTGTGACCAGATTTCCATGAAGTTTATTAGACATGGTATGCTCTGCAACTTCCAATGCCCAGCTATATTTCAATCGGTATTTTGCTTGAGAAGAGAAAATGCCTTTCTTCCTACTCTGATGAAAAAAAAAGAAAAAAGAAAAAAAGAAATATAGCTGTCTGGTTTCTTTATGAATTAGAGAAACCCAGTTTTCATAGAATGACACACACCACACACCATACCACACCAACACAACACAACACACACTCACTTGCTTTTATTTCACATTGTAAATATAACATAGTATCATAATTATGGAAATATTTTATTTTCCAAGCAACAGATGTGATTATATCATTATCCAATAAAATATAATAGAAAAGATATTGTCCAGGGACACTTATTTTTAAAAAATTATAGGCCGGGCGCGGTGGCTCACGCCTGTAATCCCAGCACTTTGGGAGGCCGAGGCGGGTGGATCATGAGGTCAGGAGATCGAGACCATCCTGGCTAACAAGGTGAAACCCCGTCTCTACTAAAAATACAAAAAAATTAGCCGGGCGCGGTGGCGGGCGCCTGTAGTCCCAGCTACTCGGGAGGCTGAGGCAGGAGAATGGCGTGAACCCGGGAAGCGGAGCTTGCAGTGAGCCGAGATTGCGCCACTGCAGTCCGCAGTCCGGCCTGGGCGACAGAGCGAGACTCCGTCTCAAAAAAAAAAAAAAAAAAAAAAAAATTATAGTGATAGTGGAAGAGAGTTCAAAAGTCAATGAAAGAGAGAAAGGACATTTCCCTCTTGACTTCATACTTAAATATATTAATCTTATTTCATCAAACCCAAGGCAGAGAAAACTGAAAACTTAGCTCTGCTTTTACATTTTACTCATATTATAAAACCTCTCAACACAGTCCTCCCTACTCTGCTTCTCCAAATCTAAATCCTGCCCATTTTTCAAAATACAGCTTAAATCCTGACTCTTGTAAAGCGTTCCCTGACTGTTTCATCTGGAAGCAATCTTTCCTTCTTTTAAACTTCCACAAGACTTATTTTCCACACCACTCATTTAGCACTTATTATTTACTGACTGGTAGAGATATAATGCTTTCAGAAATGTTGAAGCCATAATAGAGATTTTTATCCTTTTGTATTGTACACAAAGTTTTATTTTTAAAGTAAAATAAAACTATGTTTTTTACTTTTCTTTATGGATCTAAAATTTAGTTAGATTATCGACTACATCATCATAGCTAAATGGAAACATGTAATGCTTATTGTATGCCAGATATTCTTCTGAGGAACTTAGAAATATTAGCACTGTAACTACTTTATGAATATTAGATTAATAATGGAAGTTATATATATAGTAATAGTAGATGCATATGTAAATATGTATTTTTGTGTGCACTATATATATATATATACACATACACATATGCATATATGTGCATTTTTATATAAACTTACTTTGCTTACATAAATATCCTGGAGAATTGAAGTAAAACAATATTTATTCTGGTTTTTAATTAAAATACATCAATAAATTATTAATAATTATAGATTTATTATTTATTATAGATTTATTATTTGCTATAGATTCATTAAAATTATGCTATTTTTTCACTTTTGTAACAGATAATAATAAAGACTGCTAAATAATAAGAAACCCAAAATATCTTAACACTTTACATCTTTGAAGAAGATAAATTTAAGAAGAAAAAATAATTCATATACTTTGTGTCACACAAAATTAGACTTTATGTCTCTGAACTTAGGATACCCTCCTCTTTATCTAGCAAACATATGTTGACTTTACTTTTCTAAGGAAAAAAATGTAGACAAAAACGAAACTTAAACAAAAAATGCTCAAAAATAGTCTGGAAGTCCTAGATTTTAGTCTAGCATCAGACTTCAAACAGGTGTAAGTGGTTAACTTCTTTCTTCTTTGGTCTCTTCCGTGGTTTCTTCCTCTAGAGATGGGCACCAATTTGACTAATAATATTAAAGTATTACATCTTCAAATTTCAAAATCTATGTTATGATTTTGCCCACAATGGATGAAAACCTACTCAAGTGAATTTTAAGAACCATATCTATCATCAATTTTTTAAATCATGTAACTTAATTTTAATGAAATACAGGCAAAACTTTCCATTTCCAGAAGCTGATACAGATAAAAGTAATTATAATAAAATTACAGGACTCATATCTTATCTACATTAGCCTTCTATAGGTTTAGAAATTTCTTGAATCAGTGTCATTATTAGAAGTGTGCTGAAGACAATGGAAATGATTTAAAGCAGATGAGCAGAAAAAGGTCATTCAAAGTCCTGGTCTCTGTTCTGGGTGAATCCTTGGAAAATTTCCAAGGATTCTAGACTAACAGATACTCCGCCTTCTTTCCATGTGCCTTTTTAATGTCTAGTGTTAAATGCATTGCTTGCTCTGCAGTTCAGTCAAATGCAATCACACTTCTATCACTGTTAATTCATGAATTGTGTCTCCAACATCTCCTAAAAGAGGGCTTTGAATTTGAAATATATTTGTTAAAAACATGTAATGAAATGAATAGATGGCAAGAGCATAGCTCAGTGCCTGTACCAAAAGTCAGCGGGAAAAGTCCACTGCAAACAAGGCTTCAGACTTTTCTTTTAAACATTTCTTATTAAAATAACAGTGAACTTAAAAGAGGAATATCATTTTTATCTCTGTTTGTAAACTTTCTCTTTGTTGTGTTACTTTACTATCATCTGAAACTATAGATTATTTCCAATGAAACAAAAACTCAGAGTGAGAGTCTAGGCTATGTGAGCTCTCTAAGAATCAATCAATCACTCTCTCCTCTCTTTCTCTCTCTCTCTCTCTCTCTCTCTCCATCTGCCCATCTATCTAGGCATTTCTGGTTGTCTGGCAAGCTGGTTCCACTAATAATTGCTTTTTAAAGAGAAGACCAATAAGCCTCATGGATATGGTCATTTAAAGGCTAACCAATACAACCCCCCAAAAATAAATATTCAAGCTATTGAGGCGCAAAGCCCATCTTTTAGCCACCCAGGCACTGTACTCAATTAAGAAGGAATTTCCTTTAAAGAGAAAAGTTAGTTGAGGGACAAACCTCAACTATGACTCAACTTCGGGGGTTGGGAATCAGGTGGAGGTTTTAGTTCTCAGCCTACAAATCATAGTTCATATGTCTGCCTAGGTAGTTCATTGAGTAGAATAAAGTGTACCTTAAAATTGTAGGCAACTGTACCCTCTTGCCTAACCTCAAGTATCTGAAACATCATAAGGGAGAGAGAATATATAAATTGACAAACCCAATATTTAATAAGAAGCCAACAGCAAAGAACAATTCTGTTGTTTACAAGTTTTAGTAATGGATTATCTTTTTACTATGGTGATGCAAGAGCACAAAAGGGAAGGACAATGCCCATTTCATAAAGACAGAGAATATTACTTGAGTAAGCTCACCTGGGTCATTGAAGAAGCAGATAAAGGCCTTACCTTATGTAGGCTGGTTATAGGCAGTAGAGAGACACGGTGGATGGGAGGTAGAAGACAACAGGAATGTACACAAACATTATGAGATGGTCCCAGCTAGAAAGAACAGAGGAGAAGGTGTGTTATAAATTATTTTGGTGATCTTTGCACCAACCCAAAGGATTATGAAAACTGAAGAAACAATAAATGTAGCAATTTTTATATTACATAGATTGATGAAATCAAGTGCAGGTTATAAAAGCTGGGTAGCCAAACATAATTTACTTATCGTAAAAATGTCTTTTTGTTTTACATTTAGGAGGCCAAAAGGCCATCATACAGCATTTCAAGATTTTTTCTTAGTCAAAAGCCATCTTGTACTATTTTATGTACTAACATTTAAGGCCTTCAGATTGTTACTGACTTATTGTTAATTATTTTTAGAAGCACTTACCTTTTCTCACTAAAACTAGGTTACAAGCACCTTTGAAGAAAAAAGGAACACATGTAGTATCTATTTGATTCTCTCGCAATGTATAACAGAAACCTAGTACAGACGTTTGACATATTTAGGTTCATACATAGAGGGATATTCATTTGAACTCACACATTAACTATGTCTTGTCTACCAATGAAAAATACAAGACAACAGCTGAGATCGCTGCCATTAATATTAAGTAAGATTTATTATGGTGCCAAATTATATTCTAAATTTCTACTCTATAATAAATTAGAAAATGAGTGAGGTATCACCTCACAAAACTTTTGTTTCTATATTTTACTTATTTCCTTTTATGAGTGTCTTGTTATTAACCATCTGCTAATCCTGTGTCTTTCAAAGCCATTAAAACAGAAGTTCATGGTTATGATTAGATTAAACTATTTTTAAAGTATTTTTTATCAGCACCTTTTCCTTTCTGCAACACAGGACATAATTTAGTAGAAAGGATACTGGGGAGGTGACTAAATAATTTGAGAAAAAGGCTAGAGCAAGTGTATTGTGTATAGAAAAGTTGAATGGTAATAATCCATACCAGGGAGGGCATCCCCAAAAGTGGACCAACTCCCCCCACCCCAAACTTCCTTATTTGAAAGATTTTCTAATTCAGCTGCTTTTTGCTTATTGTATTTATTTTTGTTGCACTTTGGGAAGTAAACTGGAATTCAAAAAAGAATTATTTCCTGCCCTTTGGTGCCATCATGAGGCCAGAATAACAAAATACTAAGAAAAGTTGATCTCCAGGGGAACCCAAGGTTTTGATATTTTTCTTTAGGGGAACCCAAGTTTTTGATATTTTCTTTTTATTCCAGATGTAATTATCCAGAGAATGAGAGTTTATTTCAGCAATGTAATTACCTTCACCATAATTGAAACCCTACAAACTACAAACCATAGCTCATATGCCTACAAGGGTAATTCAGTGAGTGGATTAAAATGTACCTTAAAGTTGTAGGCAACTGTGAAATTCTAGTTTTGTCAATTTGGAATCAATAAAATATTTATGTTTTGATGTTACATAACCATATACTAAAGCTTTTAGAACCAAAGCTTTTTAAAGTATTTTAAATCAATCATAGCAATATTTTAGCTTTATATATTTATTTAATGTATTCACCCTGTGGTACTGTACAATAGCATATAAGACAGTATGATATATTATCTGAGATGCCTCAAAACACAAGGTTATGATATAATAAGAGAATATGCTATTTTGTAAATAAAAGCAATGACAATAGGAAGAATATTGCAAATCAATGCACTAGAAAGAATGGCTAATGAACATCCAAAGACTTTCTACCCAGACAAAATCAAAGTAGTAGAATAAATCAGATGATTTGGTATTTAAAATAGTACCACAAAATGAATCTGAAAATTACAAAAATATGTTTTATTAAAAGTTTCAAACTTGAGGCAGGCAGATCACAAGGTCAGGAGATCGAGACCATCCTAGCTAACATGGTGAAATCGTGTCTCTACTAAAAATACCAAAAATCGTGTCTCTACTAAAAATACCGGGCAGGAGGTGGCACCTGTGGTCCCAGCTACTCAGGAGGCTGAGGCAGGACAATCGCTTGAACCCAGGAGGCAGAGTTCCAGTGAGCCAGGATCGCACCACTGCACTCCAGCCTGGGCAACAGAGCGAGACTCCATCTCAAAAAAAAAAAAAAAGTTTCAACCAAATATATCTTGTTCTGCTTTCTCTGTTCTATCTGTATTATTATTCTGAGGCTCATACTACATGTATTCTCAGCTTTATTTTACAAGTATATCAATAGAGTTATAAGATGTTCATTAGACATCTACTTTTTCAGACTATATGATTTTTTTCTGAATTGTTCAAGTTTTCTCATATGATGAAAATGTGATACTTACATGATGCCTGATAATGCCTAAAGCTGAATTCTTCCCACTCACTCTCAAAATTCTGTTCACTTTTCTCTCATTTTGCCTTCGTGACGTTTAGAAATTGAAGAGCACTACAAATTCTATCCATACAATATGGGCTCTCTCTAAAAGATGGAAAGTTTCACTAGACATATGTCTTCGCTTCTCTCAGTTTTTCTTATTTAGTGGAAAAGCCACAGGCAGAGGAAAATATAAAACTGCTGAACTGGTTTGCATTTGCTTTTATTCTTACACTATTCTCTTCTCATTTTGTTTACCTAGCACCTCTATGGAATATAACCATATTTTCATAATTATCAAACAAATAAACACCATCATCAACTTTAGTTGTAGTAAAAGTAGCCTGAATTGCTTTCTTTTCCTTTTTTTTTTTTTTAGTCTCAGAGACAGGCCTTATATATGGAAATAGTAGTAATTTGTTCTCGTTTAACATCAGTCACGATCTCCTTTTGGGACTTGGTCTCCAGCATTCTTTCAGTAGAATCACAGTGCTAATCTCAGCTTGGCTTTGGGCATATGCTGCCCTCCTTTGGCCTCTGTAACACTGTTCAAGACAGATTATTAAAGCTAACATTTATCCCACGGATGAACAAAAGTCTCCCTCAGCTGTAATGGTATTAAAGTTTCCTATCACCAATGGGAGTTATCAAAAAAGAGATGGTTTCTGCCCTGATAAAATGTTCACAGACCTCCCACTCCCAGTCTGAGACTAGCACTTATCATGGAAGCTTGGGAACCATCGTCACTGGAGATGAAAGAGAGCTCTCTGGTCACCTATAACCTCCTTCTGGCAGGGCAAGACGATTCCTATGTTAGACGCTATATAATGTTCAAATATTTAAATTCCATCTTATCATAATTCTATTCATCTCACATACTGACATGGTCTCTTTCCATTCCAATGACATCATATCTTGCTTTTACTTCGTTGTATTAAGTTTCCTCAGAGAAATAGAACTATTAACATATATATACACTATTTGAATATATTTAAATATATTACATGTTAAGTAACATATATTTATATACTATTTGAATTCATATATGTATACATATTCATATATCTATCTATATATATATATGTTGCTTAACAACAATATTTTCTGAGAAATGCATTGTCAGGCAATTTCATTGTTGTGTGAACATCACAGAGTACACTTCCAAAAACCTAGATGGTTTTGCCTACTACACACCTAGACTATATGGCACAGCCTATTGCTCCAAGACTACAGATGTGTACAGCATGAATACTGTAGGTAATTGTAACACCATAGTATTTGTATGTCTAAACATATCTAAACTAAAAAGGTACAGTAAATATACAGCATAGAATATTTTTTCATTGTACACCTGTATAAGATGCTTGCCATGAAGAGAGATTGCAGGACTAGAAATTGCTATGAGTGAGTCAGTGAGTGGTGAGTGAATGAAGTGAAGGCTTAGGATATTACTATACACTGCTGTAGACTTTAAAAACACTATATCCTTAGGATATACTATATTTTAAAAAGTATTTTTTATTCATTAATAAATTAATCTATTATAGTTACTTTTTAAATTTATAAGCCTTTTAATATTTTAAGTTTTGACTCTTAAAATAACACTTAAATCACAAACATATTGGTATAGCTGTAAAAAAAGTTTTCCTTCTTTACATCCTTATTCTATAAGTTTTCGTCTATTTTTAAGTATTTTTATTTTACTTTTGAAACTTTTTGTTTAAAAACTACCACACAAATACCCACATCAGCCTAGGCCTACACAGAGTGAGAATAATCAATATCACTGTCTTCCACTTTCACATTTTGTCCCACTGGAACTCTTTGGGGGCAATAACACATAATATCTCTTATGATAATAATGCCTTCTTCTGGAATACCTCCTGAAGGACCTGCCTGAGGCTGTTTTACAAATAACTATTTTTAATAAGCAGAAGGATTATATACTAAAATAACAATTAAAAGTATGGTATAGTAATTGTCCATTCATGTCCTTAGCCCAATTTTTGATGGGATTGTTTGTTTTTTCTTCCTCATTTGAGTTCCTTGTAGATTCTAGATATTAGTCCTTTATCGGATGTATAGAGAGTCAAGATTTTCTCCCACTCTGTGGGCTGTCTGTTTACATTGCTGATTGTTGCTTTTGCTGTACAGAAGCTCTTTCATTTAATTAAGTCCCACCTATTTATCTTTTTTTTGTTGCAATTCCTTTTGGGTTCTTGGACATGAAGTCTTTGCCTAAGCCAATGTCTAGAAGGGTTTGTCCGATGTTATCTTCCAGAATTTTTATAGTTTCAGGTCTTATATTTTAAGTCCTTGACCCATTTTGAGTTGATTTTTGTATAAGGTGAGAGATGAGAATCCAGTTTCATTCTCCTACATGTGGCTTGCCAATTATACCAGCACCATTTGTTGAATAGGGTGTCCTTTCCCCACTTTATGTTTTGGTTTGCTTTGTTGAAGATCAGTTGGCTGTAATTATTTGGGTTTATTCCTGTGTTCTCTGTTCCATTGGTCTATGTGTCTATTTTTATACCAGTACCTTGCTGTTTTTGTGACTCTGGCCTTGTAGTATAGTTTGAAGTTGGGTAATGTGATGCCTCCAGATTTGTTCTTTTTGCTTGGTCTTGCTTTTGGCTATGCAGGCTCTTTTTTGGTTCCATATGAATTTTAGAATTGTTTTTTCTAGTTCTGTGAATGATGGTGGCATTTTGATGGAAATTGCATTGAATTTATAGGTTATTTTTGGCAGTATGGTCATTTTCACAATATTGATTCTACGCATCCATGAGCATGGGATGTGTTTCTATTTGTTTGTGTCATCTATGATTTCACTCAGCAGTGTTTTATAGTTTTCCTTTACAGGTCTTTCACCTCCTTGGTTAGGTATATTCCTAAGTATTTTATTTACAAATGGCCAAGAAACATATGAAAAACTGCTCAACATCACTAATGATCAGAGAAATTAAAATCAAAACCACAATGTGATACCACCTTACTCCTGCAAAAATACCCATAATAAAAAATTTAAAAATAATAGATGTTGGCGTGGATGCAGTGAAAAGGGAACACCTCTGCACTGCTGGTGGGAATCTAAACTAGTACAACCACTATGGAAAACAGTGTGGATATTCCTAAAAGAACTAAAAGTAGAACTACCATTTGATCCAGCAATCCCACTACTGGGTATCTACCCAGAGGAAAAGAAGTTGTTACACAAAAAAAAGATACTTGCACACACATTTATAGCAGCACAATTCATAATTGCAAAACTATAGAAGCAGCCCAAATGCCCATCTATCAATGAGTGGATAAAGAAATTGTGGGAGATTATTTATATATATATATATATATATATATATATATATATATATATATATATATATATATGATGGAATACTACTCAGGCATAAAAAGGAACAAATTAATGGCATTCACTGTAACCTTGATGGAATTGGAGACTATTATTCTAAGTGAAGTAACTCAGAAATGGAAAACCAAACATCACAAGTTCTCACTCATAAGTGGGAGCTAAGCTATGAGAATGCAAAAGCATAAGAATGATACGAGAAACTTTGAGAACTCGGAGGAAAGGATGGGAGGGGGGTGAGGGATAAAAGGCTACAAACTGGATTCAGTGTATACTGCTTAGGTGATGGGTGCACCAAAATCTCACAAATCACCACTAAAGAACTTACTCATGTAACCAAATACCACCTGTTTCCCCAAAAACCTATGGAAAAAAAATTTTTTAAATGTAAGTAAAGAGAATAAACAGAATTATCCTGATACAAAGTAAAACATTCATAGAGGACATTACAGGCAAATGTATAGAGTTTTCATCTTTGGAAAAGACCACCTGCAATTTTACACCAAAATTTATGCTCTTAATTTGTCTTCTACTGTAGAAACATGTACTGAGAGATTTTTGAACTTTTGATCATATAATACACTCCAACATGCTTTAATGATGATGTGTCAGTTTAAAAAGGTTCCAGTAAGAATCAAAACATATAGAATGAAATTTAACATTAACGTTTCTGATTTTGCAGAAATTTTAAATTCATTGGATGAGGTATATATAAATGGTGCTTCAGTAATCAAGGATTCAAATTTTTAAAAAAGTATAGTACAGTAAATATATAGCAGACCAGTAACATTGTCATTTATTGTCATTATCAAGTATGATGTACTGTATGTAATTGTATGTGCTATACTTTTATTCCACTGGCAACACAGCGGGTTTGTTTACCTCAGCATCACCACAAACAAATGAGCAATCCATTGCACTACAGTGTTCTGATGGCTACAACATCACTAGTCAATAGGAATTTTTCAGCTTCATTATATTCTTATGAGACCATTGTCATATATGCAGCCTTTCATTGACTGAAATATTGTTATGCAGCACTTGAAAGAGAGAGAGGTTATAAAAATTAGCTCATGCAATTATCCTGGCCAAAAAAATCCCATGATTTGCTGTGCAAGCTGGAGAACCAGTAAAGTCAGTAGTGTAATTCAGTCCCAGTCTGAAGGCCTGAGCACCAGGGGAGCTAACAGTGTAAGTCCCAGTCTGAATTCAAAGTCCTGTTAATCAAGGGCGCTGATGTCCAAGGGCCGAAAAAGATGGATATCCCACTCAAGAAGAGAGAGCAAATTTGCTCTTCCTGTATGTTTTTGTTCCAGTTGAGCCCTCGGCAGGTTAGATAATGAAAGCTATTATCTATATTCAGTCTACTAATTCAAATGCTAATCTCTTCCAGAAACATTCTCACAGACACATCCAGAAATAATGTTTTATTGGATATCTGGATGTTCCTTAGCCCAGTCAAGTGACATAAAATAAACTATCACATTCATTATGTAGTTTGGGGAAGAAAAAACCAATTTACGAGACAACTGAATATCTGATTCAACTGAAATCTAAGAAAATATTTCAATTTATAACAGAAGTTATTACACAGATTATAGAAGGGAACAGGGAAAAAAGTCAGAGATTATCAAGAGCAGGGAGCCATTACTAAATCCTGGGTGGAAGAGAGAAATGGGTGAGGCAGTGTGGGAAGAGCCCAGGGGCTGCTGTCACTTGGTAGAAGGTGGAATTACGTAACTATTAGGTTGGTGCAAAAGTTATTGCATTTTTTGCCATTTCTTTCAATAATACTATCTAAGAGGAGCCGGAACAATTCAGGCTCCAGACACAAATGGAACACCTGAAACTTCTCTTCCCTTTCTTCTCTCTTCCTGCTGCCTTCCAATCTCTATCCAATGACTCTTACTGAATAGACCCCTACCAGATCTCTCAATAAGGAAACTTGAGATACAAAGAAATCTTAATAAGAAGACTTGACAGCCTGCAGGGATTAGCCTCCCAGGCACATAAAGCAGAGCAGTGGAATGGGGAGAAATGGATCTTGAGCCAAACTGTGCCAGTACTGGCACAGAAGCTTAGGCTAGTAGGGAAGGAATATCCTTGGATACTTGTTGCCAAAAGAACAAAATTGTAAGGCTATAAATGTCTAGTATATATGTGGGGAAAAGAAAGAGAGATCAGACTGTTACTGTGTCTTTGTAGAAAGAAGTAGACATAAGAGACTCCATTTTGTTCTGTACTAAGAAAAATTCTTTTGGCTTGAGAGGCTGTTAATCTGTAACCTTACCCCCAACCCTGTGCTCGCAGAAACATATGCTGTGTCGACTCAAGGTTTAATGGATTAAGTTTTAGGGCTATGCAGGATGTGCTTTGTTAAACAAATGCTTGAAGGCAGCATGCTTGTTAAAAGTCATCACCACTTCCTACTCTCAAGTACCCAGGGACACAAAACACTACAGAAGGCCGCAGGGACCTCTGCCTAGGAAAGCCAGGTATTGTCCAAGGTTTCTCCCCATGTGATAGTCTGAAATATGGCCTCCTGGGAAGGGAAAGACCTGACCGTCCCCCAGCCCGACAACCGACAACCCTAAATGGTCTGTGCTGAGGAGGATTAGTAAAAGAGGAAGACTTCTTTGCAGTTGAGATAAGAGGAAGGCATCTGTCTCCTGCTCGTCCCTGGGCAATGGAATGTCTCGGTGTAAAACCCGATTGTATATTCCACCTACTGAGATAGGAGAAAACAACCTTAGGGCTGCAGGTGAGACATGCTGGTGGCAATACTGAGATGTTTACGTATGAGCACATCAAAAGCACAGCACCTTTTTCTTTACCTTGTTTATGATGCAGAGACATTTGTTCACGTTTTCCTGCTGACCCTCTCTCCACTATTACCCAGTTGTCCTGCCACATCCCCCTCTCCGAGATGGTAGAGATAATGATGAATAAATACTAAGGGAACTCAGAGACCAGTGCCAGCGTGGGTCCTCTGTATGCTGAGCACCGGTCCCCTGGGCCCACTTCTCTTTCTCTATACTTTGTCTCTATGTCTTTTTCTTTTCTCAAGTCTCTCGTTCCACCTGACAAGAAACGCCCACAGGTGTGGAGGGGCAGGCCACCCTTTCAATATACCGTCTCTAGTTCACCGTTTTGTGATTGGCATCATTGTTTATGAATCATGCTGCTATAAACACACATGCACACGTATGTTTATTGCGGCATTATTCACAATAGCAAAGACTTGGAACCAACCCAAATGTCCAACAATGATAGACTGGATTAAGAAAATGTGGCACATATACACCATGGAATACTATGCAGCCATAAAAAATGATGAGTTCATGTCCTTTGTAGGGACGTGGATGAAATTGGAAATCATCATTCTCAGTAAACTATCGCAAGAACAAAAAACCAAACACCACATATTCTCACTCATAGGTGGGAATTGAACAATGAGATCACATGGACACAGGAAGGGGAATATCACACTCTGGGGACTGTTGTGGGGTGGGGGGAGGGGAGAGGGATAGCATTGGGAGATATACCTAATGCTAGATGACGAGTTAGTGGGTGCAGTGCACCAGCATGGCACGTGTATACATATGTGACTAACCTGCACAATGTGCACATGTACCCTAAAACTTAAAGTATAATAAAAAATAAAATAAAATAAAATAAAATAAAATTATCCATGGTTGGTTCTCCCAAATCAAATTAATAAAAAAAAGTTTTCTATAAAAAATGGCACATAAATATTTTTTATTTCTTTGACATTTTGCAATTAAGAATAACATAATTTATTAATGTTAGTTTTTCTTTATAAAAGATATTTTTATCTGGTTAAAATGGAGTTACTGTGAAAATAATTTTCACCTAAATTAGTTTTCCATTTTATTCTCTGCTGCTAGTAATAAAAGCACATCTCCCAGAAGTGATGAAAGCATAATTTCAAATGGTTCATAGTAAGGGAGTTTTCACTTTTGATAAACTGTGTATAGTCAAAAGCATGGTCGCAACTTTAAACCTATTTTATTTCCATTAAATCCATCTTTAAATTACAATATTAAAGAACTTCTTGTCCCACTAATAATTATACTATACTTTTTTAAACTTTTAATTACTGAATGCAACAAATTTTTAGACTAAGAAAACAAACTCATTTCTAGTGTACTATTTCTGTAATATATTAATTTTTATAAAATATTCTGTTTTATTTATACTATCATAATTATCATTAATTTCAAATCTTGTTTTTTGTTGGAGTAACAGTTCATGTGATGCATAGTAAAACACATAAAAAGACATATAAAATACCCCCAGAATATAGCCCATTCTAATTGCCTATTGCCTGTCTTTTCCAGATTTTTGTATAATATCCATGAAGTTTAAACTGATTTTAAAATTCTATGATTTTGGTGGTAATCTATCAGAAAATATAAATTGAAAAAAATAGTAAGCTGACCCTCTAGACTATAAATTCCTAAAATCAAAAGCATGCCATATTCCCCCTTTCCTTAACTAAATTGTCTGTAGTTCAACCTGAGGGTAATTAAGGCAATGCTTTATGTGCTATTTTGATGCTAGCCAGGGTAGTCAAAATTTTAGTCATAATAGGCAAATTATATTCTCTGACCTCAAAACATGGAACCCACCTTCCTCCTTTTATTAAGTTACTGTTCTTTCCTTGTTCTGAGCAGTATCTGTGCTTTTTCTCAGAACTACTTTATTGTTACCTGACTTCCCAACCTTCTTGTGTTTTGATTGTTACAACCTTGGTAATAAAGTAAGATTAAATAATTCATTGGCTTACCATTGTGTTAGAAAATAAAGTTTAATTTTACTAAAATGGCACAGAAAACTCTTTATAATCTAGCCCTATCAGCCTCATCTCCACTGTTTCCCTTTCTCATTTTTACTGCAACATTATCATATTGCATACAGTTCTCAAAACATGCAAATTAGTTATTTTGAACATGTTGTTCTTCCCAGCTGAAATGGTCTTATCCATATTAGTTCTTCAGGGTGATTTCTCATTCTTCAACGACCATGTAAATTACCATATCCTCTGGGAGGTCCTTCGTAGACAGTAACTCCTCTCTTCTTAAATCACCAAACAGCATGATGATTACTCATTTAGATGTAAAACTTCCCAGTGAGCATCTTGAAGACACAGTCCATGTGCTTATCATTGTACTTGCAAATGATAAGGTGCTCAACAAGTATTCTGATGAATTAACTAAGAAATTTGTATTGTAAGCTCCTAAAACACAGTGCATTTGAATTGAAAAAGATTTCATACGTATTAAAAGAATTTTGTGATGGTTTTTGATAAATCTATTTTTGAACATTTGTAAAAATAGGAAAATCATTTTATCAATGGTCTATAAAGGAAATAGAATTGCAAATCTTCAGCATTTTAACTTTAAATACTTAAGCCAGACATACGCTGCCACCTTTGAGCCTATGGATTTTTGTGCTACTTTTCTAGATGAAATTTGAAGCATGTGGCACTTTAAAATGATCAGTAAATCTTTAGTTAGGGTTAAGGAAACTCTAACCTTCCTTTGACATCTAGGAGTAATTGAGCTGGTAAGAATCTGTGGGACACACGATTTCCTCAAAATCAAGGAATCTTTATTAGTATGATCGATCTTCATATGCTTTCATCGAACATTTTCTATAGTGAGTAACTCATCCCGTTTTTGGTCAGTTCCAACTATTAAAACATTTCTTCCTTTACACAGCAAAATTCTACTCTCATGATGTCCCACAGCTGTTTTGTCCCACACAGAGGTCAATGATTTTCATCTGACTCTTCACATGTTTGAGGTTTAGTTGCATTAATTCTTGAAGTTAAAATGAAAAAAAATAAGACTATATATATCACTCTGGATCAATTTTGGCATCAACATAAAGAAAAAAAAGATATCTTTCTATATATAAAAATAATAATTTGTATAAAGTTTTTAACACATAAAACCCATTATATTTTATTGGTATATAATATTTGTACATATTTATTGGGTACATGGGATATTTTGTTACATGCATAGAATGAATAATGATCAAGTCAAGGTATTTAGTGTATTAATCACCTGAAGTATTAATTATTTCTATGTGTTGGGAACATTTCAAACCTCAGTTTCCTCAGTGATCATATAAAATTAGCCCTTGACTACTCTTCTTCCAAAAACAAAGCAATATCCAAAAGACCCAACTGTTTCAAAGTGACTTACCTATGTCACTGAACAAATCCCAAGAATACTTTCAGAAATAAAAAATATGCAGCACAGAAAAGGTAAATTCATAATATCTAATAACCCATCAAAATGTACCAGGCAAACAATCAAGCTGAAAAATACAACCCATAATGAGAGGTAAAATCAATTAATCAATTGAGACTATATATTTTACAGATAAAACACTGTAGACAAGATCATTAAAGTAATCACTGTAACTATAAACCATATGTACAATAAAACAGAGTGGAAATGAGCATATTAAGTAGAGAGATGGAAGATAAATATCAAAATTACCCTTCAAAAGTTTCAAACACAATGTTTGAGATAAAAACTACACTAGGTGAGATTAAGTACATAAGATTTTTGATAGAGTTGGTTAAATTCTCTATGATCTGAATGATTTTCTGTCTATCTGTTTCACTAATAATAAAACAGGGAAGCTGAATTCTTCTGTAATTGTAGGTGGTCTCATTTCTCATTTTTCCTCAGGTATCTTAAATTTCTCTTTTCAGGAGCATAAATATTTGGAAGTATTATTTCTTTTTGATTAATTGACCTATTTGCCATGTTGAAATAATACTCTTTATTCCTGCTCTATTCTTTGTGCTGTGGTATCTATTATACTTTGCCTGATGTTATTACAGGCACTCCAGCTTGGTACATATGTCTTCCAATCCTTTGCTTTTAACTTAAATGTTTCATTATATAACTGGTTACTTTTGTTATATAACTGGTTATTTAACTGGTTAAAGTGTGTTTATAATAGGCAGCATTTTGATAAATATTGCTTTTATATCCTATTTGGCAATCTCTTATATTTAACTGAAGTATGTAGATCATTTTCCTTTAATGTAATTATTGATAATGGTTAGGTTTAAATCTGCCACCTGATATGTCTACTCTTTTTCCTTTTTTGTTCTCATTTCTCTATAGTCGTTTTTTATTTTTTGAGAGTGAGTGTGAATATTTGTGTGTGTGTTTAGTGTATACTATAGTGGCAATCAAAATTAAACAAAACAAAATATGGCTTTCAAGTGATATTAAATTGCCATATATATAAAATAAGAATCTTGAAATAGTATGCTTCCATTTCTCTCACCTTGGCTTTTGTGTTTTGTTATTCTATCTTCTAATTTTATTTATGTTATAAACTCCAAAATACAGTACATAACATTTATTTAAAGAGTCAACAATTTTTAAAAGAGATTTAATAAGAAATAAACATCAGAAAATAAACAGCAAAACAAATCCAAAACAATGTAAAGTAAAAAGACCAGTGTGAATCAAATAAAGAGAAAACAGAAAAATAACAGAGAAAATCAATGAAACCAAAAACTAGTCCTTTCAGAAGAAAAATAAAATTGATGAACTTCTAACGAAGCACCTGGGAAAAACCTAGAACTAACATCATACTTAATAATAAAAGACTGTATGATTTCCTACCACTCAGGAACAAGGTAAAGATATCTTTTAGATGAGGGGTTAGAGAAAAATAATCAGGATAATTATTCATAATATTAAATACCCTAAAATCTGTTTTCAACTCACTTACTGATCCAAATTACCTACATTAAAAATTATAGATGGATGATACAATGCAGATAGATAGATAAATTCAGTTTGTTCTTGCTGTTTCAGAAATGACTAAAAATAATACTCCACTTTTAACAAAGTCGTGATTTTAAAAGTGCTAGATAAAATGCTATTATCTTACCTAAAATCTGATGCAAAAGCAGAGAAAACCATTTAGCTCCTCCTCTCTTTCCTTCTCTGTCTAAAACAAAGTGATTTAGTGAAAACACAATCTCCTGAAAGAATAAAGACCTTGGTCTTACTCTGAGCATTGGCATTAAATTTGATACCTAAGTATATAAGCTCATTTATCTGGTTTCAGTTTTCTAATTTAAAATATAAAGAAGTTAGAGTAAACAGTGCTTGTAAAACTAAAGTCTCAGAGTAATCAGTGGACATATTCCTCCTGACTTACAATTCCTACCTCAGAGTTTTATTCTTTTAAGAATATCAGCATTTTTCGGGTTCCAAGATGGCCAAATAGGAACAGCTCCAGTCTGCAGCTCCCAGCATGAGCAACACAGAAGACCAGTGATTTCTGCATTTCCAACTGAGGTACCAGTTCCATCTCACTGGGGCTTGTCAGACAGTGGGTGCAGCCCACGGAGCAGGGTAGGGCATCGCCTCACACGGGAAGCACAAGAGGTTGGGGAATTCCCTCTCCTAGCAAAGGGAAGCCATGACAGATGGTACCTGGAAAATCAGGACACTCCCACCCTAATACTGCGCTTTTCCAATGGCCTTAGCAAACTGCACACCAGGAGATTACATCCAGTGCCTGGCTCAGCGGGTCGCATGCCCACAGACCCTCGCTCACTGCTAGCACAGCAGTCTGAGATCGAACTGCAAGACAGCAGCGAGGCTGGGGGAGGGGCGTCTGCCCTTGCTGAGGCTTGAGTAGGTAAACAAAGCAGCCAGGAAGCTCGAACTGGGTGGAGCCCACCACAGCTCAAGGAGGCCTGCCTGCTTCTGTAGACTCCACCTCTGGGGGCAGGGCATAGCTGAACAAAAGGCAGCAGAAACTTTTGCAGACTTAAAAGTCCCTGTCTGACAGCTTTGAAGAGAGTAGTGCTTCTCCCAGCACAGAGTTTGAGATCTGAGAACGGACAGACTGCCTCTTCAAGTGTGTCCCTGACCCCCAAGTAGCCTAACTGGGAGATACCTCCCACTTGGGGCCAACTGACACCTCATATAGCTGGGTGCCCCTCTGAGATGAAGCTTCTAAAGGAATGATCAGGCAGCAACATTTGCCGTTCTGCGATATTTGCTGTTCTGCAGCCTCTGCTGGTGATACCCAGGCGAACAGGGTCTGGAGTGGACCTCCAGCAAACTCCAACAGACCTGCAGCTGAAGGTCCTGACTGTTAGAAGGAAAACTAACGGAAAGGACATCCACAACAAAACCCCATCTGTATGTCACCATCATCAAAGATCAAAGGTAGATAGAAAACACAAAGATGGGGAGAAACCAGAGCAGAAAAGCTGAAAATTCTAAAAATCAGAGTGCCCCTTCTCCTCCAAAGGAACGCAGTTCCTCTCCAGCAATGGAACAAAGCTGGATGGAGAATGACTTTGACGAGTTGAGAGAAGAAGGTTTCAGATGATTGGTAATAACAAACTTCTCCGAGCTAAGGAGGACGTTTGAACCCATCACAAAGAAGCTAAAAACCTTGAAAAAAGATTAGACGAATGGCTAACTAGAATAACCAGTGTAGAGAAGACCTTAAATGACCTGATGGAGCTGAAAACCATGGCATGAGAACTGCGTGACACATGCACAAGCTTCATTAGCCAATTCGATCAAGTGGAAGACAGGGTATCAGTGATTGAAGATCAAATGAATGAAATGAAGTGAGAAGAGAAGTTTAGAGAAAAAAGAGTAAAAAGAAACCAACAAAGCATCCAAGAAATATGGGACTATGTGAAAAGACCAAATCTACGTCTGATTGGTGTACCTGAAAGTGATGGGGAGAATGGAACCAAGTTGGAAAACACTTCAGGATATTATCCAGGAGAACATCCCCAACCTAGCGAGGGAGGCCAACATTCAAATTCAGGAAATGCAGAGAACACCACAAAGATACTCCTTGAGAAGAGCAACTCCAAGACACATAATTGTCAGATTCACCAAGGTAGAAATGAAGGAAAAAATGTTAAGGGCAGCCAGAGAGAAAGGTCGGGTTATCTACAAAGGGAAACCCATCAGACTAACAGCAGATCTCTTGGTGGAAACACTATGAGCCAGAAGAGAGTGCGGGCCAATATTCAACATTCTTAATAAAAGAATTTTCAACCCAGAATTTCATATCCAGTCAAACTAAGCTTCATAAGTGAAGGAGAAATATAATCCTTTACAGATAAACAAATGCTGAGAGATTTTCTCACCACTAGGCCTGCCTTACAAGAGCTCATGAAGGAAGCACTAAACATGGAAAGGAACAACCAGTACTAGTCACTGCAAAAACATGCCAAATTGTAAACACCATCAATACTAGGAAGAAACTGCATCAACTAACGAGCAAAATAACAAGCTAACATCATAATGACAGGATCAAATTAACACATAATAATATTAACCTTAAATGTAAATGGGCCAAATGCTCCAATTAAAAGACACAGACTGGCAAATTGGATACAGACTCAAGACTCATCAGTGTGCTGTATTCAGGAGACTGATCTCACGTGCAGAGACACACATAGGCTCAAAATAAAGGGATGGAGGAAGATCTATCAAACAAATGGAAAACAAAAAAAAGCAGGGGTTGCAATCCTAGTCTCTGATAAAACAGACTTTAAACCAACAAAGATAAAAACAGACAAAGAAGGCCATTTCATAATGGTAAAGGGATGAATTCAACAAGAAGAGCTAACTATCCTAAATATATATGCACCCAATACAGGAGCACCCAGATTCATAAAGCAAGTCCTTAGAGACCTACAAAGAGACTTAGACTCCCACACAATAATAATGGGAGACTTTAACACCCCACTGTCAACATTAGACAGATCAATGAGACAGAAAGTTAACAAAGATATCCAGGAATTGAACTCAGCTCTGCACCAATCAGACCTAATAGACATCTACAGAACTCTCCACCCCAAATTAACAAAATATACATTCTTCTCAGCACCACATCACACTTATTCCAAAATTGACCACATACTTGGAAGTAAAGCTCTCCTCACCAAATGTAAAACAACAGAAATTATAACAAACTGTCTCTCAGACCACAGTGCCATCAAACTAGAACTCAGGATTAAGAAAATCGCTCAAAACTGCTCAACTACATGGAAACTGAACAACCTGCTCCTGAATGACTACTGGGTACATAACGAAATGGAGGCAGAAATAAAGATGTTCTTTGAAACCAATGAGAACAAAGACACAACATACCAGACTCTCTGGGACACATTTAAAGCAGTGTGTAGAGGGAAATTTATAGCAGTAAATGCCCACAAGAGAAAGCAGGAAAGATCTAAAACCGACACCCTAACATCACAATTAAAAGAACTAGAGAAGCAAGAGCAAACACATTCAAAAGCTAGCAGAAGAGAAGAAATAACTAAGATCAGAGCAGAACTGAAGGGGATAGAGACACAGAAAACCCTTCAAAAAATCAATGAATCCAGCAGCTAGTTTTTTGAAAAGATCAACAAAATTGATAGACTGCTAGCAAGACTAATAAAGAAGAAAAGAGAGAAGAATCAAATAACGCTATAAAAAATGAAAAAGGGGATATCACCACCAATCCCAAAGAAATACATAATATCATCAGAGAATACTATAAACACTTCTATGCAAATAAACTAGAAAATCTAGAAGAAATGGATAAATTTCTGGACACATACACCCTCCCAAGACTAAACCGGGAAGAAAGTAAATCCCTGAATAGACCAATAACAGGTTCTGAAATTGAGGCAATAATTAATAGCCTACCAACCAAAAAAAGTCCAGGACCAGATGGATTCACACCCGAATTCTACCAGAAGTACAAAGAGGAGCTGGTACCATTCCTTCTGAAACGCTTCCCATCAATAGAAAAAGAGGGAATCCTCCCTAATTCATTTTATGAGGCCAACATCATCCTGATACCAAAGCCTGGCAGAGACACAACAAAAAAAGAGAATTTTAGACCAATATCCCTGATGAACATCGATGCAAAAATCCTCAATAAAATACTGGCAAACCGAATCCAGCAGCACATCAAAAAGCTTGTCCACCAAGATCAAGTTGGCTTCATCTCTGGGATGCAAGGCTGGTTCAATATACACAATTCAATAAACATAATCCATCATATAAACAGAACCAAAGACAAAAACCACATGATTATCTCAACAGATGCAGAAAAGGCTTTTGAGAAAACTCAACAGCCTTCATGTTAAAAACTCTCAATAAACTAGGTATTGATGGGACATATCTCAAAATAATAAGAGCTATTTATGACAAACCTACAGCCAATATCATACTTAATGGGCAAAAACTAGAAGCATTCCCTTTGAAAACTGACACAAGACAGGGATGCCCTCTCTCACCATTCCTATTCAACACAGTGTTGGAAGTTCTGGCCAGAGCAATCAGGCAAAAGAAAGAAATAAAGGGTATATTCAATTAGGAAAAGAGGAAGTCAAATTGTCCCTGTTTGCAGATGACATGATTGTATATTTAGAAAACCCCACCATCTCAGCCCAAAATCTCCTTAAGCTGATAAGCAACTTCAGCAAAGTCTCAGGATACAAAATGAATGTGCAAAAATCACAAACATTCCTATACACAAATAACAGACAAACAGAGAGCCAAATCATGAGTGAACTCCCATTCACAATTGCTTCAAAGAGAATAAAATACCTAGGAATCCAACTTACAAGGGACATGAAGGACCTCTTCAAGGAGAACTACAAACCACTGCTCAATGAACTAAAAGAGGACACAAACAAATGGAAGAACATTCCATGCTCATGGATAGGAAGAATCAATATTGTGAAAAAGGCCATACTTCCCAGGTTATTTATAGATTCAATGCCATCCCCATCAAGCTACCAATGACTTTCTTCACAAAATTGTAAAAAACTACTTTAAAGTTCATATGGAACCAAAAAAGAGCCCACATTGTCAAGACAATACTAAGCCAAAAAAACAAAGCTGGAGGCATCATGCTACCTGACTTCAGACTATACTACAAGGCTTCAGTAACCAAAACAGCATGGTATTGGTACCAAAACAGATATATAGACCAATGGAACAGAATAGAGCCCTCAGAAATAATACCACACATCTAAAACCATCTGATCTTTGAAAACCTGAAAAAAAAACAAGATATGGGGAAAGGATTCCTTATTTAATAAATGGTGCTGGGAAAACTGGCTAGCCATATCTAGAAAGCTGAAACTGGATCCCTTCCTTACATCTTATACAAAAATCAATTCAAGATGGATTAAAGACTTAAATGTTAGGCCTAAAACCATAAAAACCCTAGAAGAAAGCCTAGGCAATACCATTCAGGACATAGGCATGGGCAAGGACTTCATGACTAAAACACCAAAAGCAATGGCAACAAAAGACAAAATTGACAAATGGGATCTAATTAAACTAAAGAGCTTCTGCACAGCAAAAGAAACTACCATCAGAGTGAACAGGCAACCTACAGAATGGGAGAAAGTTTTTGCAATCTACCCATCTGACAAAGGGCTAATATCCAGAGTCTACAAAGAACTTAAACAAATTTACAAGAAAAAAATCAACCCTATCAAAAAGTAGGCTAAAGATATGA
This sequence comes from Homo sapiens, assembly GCF_000001405.40. NCBI lineage: Eukaryota > Metazoa > Chordata > Mammalia > Primates > Hominidae > Homo > Homo sapiens. The sequence goes on from NC_000008.11 coordinate 78,450,189, forward strand.
ACAGATACTTCTCAAAAGAAGACATTTAAGCAGCCAACAGACACATGAAAAAATGCTCATCATCACTGGCCATCAGAGAAATGCAAATCAAAACCACAATGAGATACCATCTCACACCAGTTAGAATGGCAATCATTAAAAGGTCAGGAAACAACAGGTGCTGGAGAGGATGTGGAGAAATAGGAACACTTTTACACTGTTGCTGGGACTGTAAACTAGTTCAACCATTGTGGAAGACAGTGTGGAGATTCCTCAAGGATCTAGAACTAGAAATACCATTTGACCCAGCCATCCCGTTACTGGGCATATACACAAAGGATTATGAATCATGCTGCTATAAAGACACATGCACACGTATGTTTACTGCAGCACTATTCACAATAGCAAAGACTTGGAACCAAGCCAAATGTCCATCAATGATAGACTGCATTAAGAAAATGTGGCACATATACACCATGGAATACTATGCAGCCATAAAAACGGATGAGTTCATGTCCTTTGTAGGGACATGGATGAAGCTGGAAACCATCATTCTGAGCAAACTATCTCAAGGACAGAAAACCAAACACCACATGTTCTCACTCATCAGTGGGAAATGAACAATGAGAACACTTGGACACAGGGTGGGGAACATCACACACTGGGGCCTGTCATGGAGTGGGGGGGAGAGAGGAGGGACAGCATTAAGGGATACACCTAATGTAAATGATGAGTTAATGGGTGCAGTACACCAACATGGCACACGTCTACATATGTAACAAACCTACACGTTGTCACGTGTACCCTAGAACTTAAAGTATAATTTAAAAAAAAAAAGTTGATCTCATAGAAGCAGACAGTACAATAGTGGTTAATAGAGGCTGGAAAGAGTAGTGGGGGAAAGGGGATATGAAGAACTTGGTTAACCAAAACAAAATCACAGGTAGATAGGAAGAATAAGTTTAGTGTTCTGTAGCACTGTACAGTGATTATAATTAACAATAATTTTTTGTATATTTTCAAATTGCTAGAAGATTTTTAATGTCCCCAACACAAGGAAATAATAAATGTCTGAGGTCATAGATATGCTAATTATCCTGATTTGGTCATTATGCATTGTATACAAATGTTGAAATATCACATTGTACCCCATAAGTATATATAATTCTTGTTTAATTAAAAATAATAATAAAAGTTTTAAAACCCCCTAAAAAAAGAATATCAGCATTTTTGTATTATCTGTAAGATGCTTCATAACCCACAACAAACATGAATTTGAGAACTCATAGTTCCATCTGTACTTATGCCAAGCAGTATCTCATTAACTGAAATAGTCTGGCAAAAACAGTTCATGGAATAAAATGCAAACAATTTCTTCCCACCAATTGAAGAATAACACATATCAAGACAAGCAGTAGACATAAGATTTCACAGGAGTACGAGATAAAATTGTGAGAGAATTGAGCCTTCCCATATATTAGTATAGGCAATATAAATATGCCGAAGAAAAAATAATATGTAATAATTCAGGATCATTTTCAGCTTTTACAAGTTTGAGACAAAATTGAATTTTAGCAAAAGAACCACATGTAACATATTAAAATCATCTGTCACTTATCACATTAGTATTATTAATCTGAGGTCCTCAATACAATTTTATTTTATTAATTTGTCTTGGTAGTATAATTTTATTGGAGCTTAGAATTATACTAATTTTATGTTTATAAATATTTAGAAGATAAAAATTATTTAGGTCAACACCAAAGAAACTACAAGAATTTTGTTTGCTGCTTTTAAATTTCATAAATCACCCAATCTAAGAAACATTGATTTAAATATTCTCTAAGATTCTTTTCTCCTCTAAAGTACTATGACATTCACCTCTCCCTACATATATACCACATATAACCACTAGACATCAGCAAGACACTTGAATTAAACGTGATTTTCTTTATCTTCCTCCTGTTCTCCATGAAATGTAGGATTAGAAGAAGTCTGTTATATCTACGCAATATATTTAAACTACCAACCTTTTAATCAAATGCTCTAGGAAATTTTCTACACCTCTCCCTAATCTTTGCTTTATCCATTTTTTTCTATTATAATGCAACTCTATTCTTTTGCTTTATCTTTGTTATAACAGCACACACACACATACACCCACTCACATGCCTCACTACCTATTTGTAATACTGTTGAGCTAAAAATTTAGTAGGTAATATGGAAATGATGGTAAAAAATGAAATTTGTGTATATTTAATAGATTGAGATTGATCAACCTGCTTTAGAAAAGTAAATCTAGTAAGAGTGGAATCATGAAACAAAAGAGGAAAGACTGAAAATAACAATATTTAATATTTACTGAACATTTACTATGCCCTGATAACTTTTCTAATCATTTTTATAAGTTATTTTTTAATGCTCGTAAGACTCCATGAGGAAGATGTATTGGTCACTCCATTTTGCAGATGAAGAAAATTAGAGACTCAATCACGCTGCTAATTAAAAGCAAAGCTAGACTTTCCAGCCAAAATATCTGACTCTCATCTATTATTTCCAGATCACTCTAGAGGTATGATATAGTACAAAGTCAGATGAAGAGATCCTACATGAAGACAGTGGCAATGAGTTACAAGAAAGAGTAATATGAGTTAGAAAGATACTTGAGGTAAATCGAGAGGATGTTTTTACTGACCAACAATAAGACCTTACATTAAAGGATGTATTAACTCAGAGAATTTCAGCTTAGATAGTTGAATGGATATGTTTGTCATTAATCAAAATGAAGAATTCAGTAAGAAAAGTAGGTTTAAAATGGTGGTAGCTAATGAGCTTTGATTTGGGTTTCTGCAAAAGCATTCTGATTTAACAGTTATTTAGTGAGTGCCTACTATGTGTCAGACACTATTCTAGGCAATTGAAGTCTATCAACTAACAAAAACAAAATTCTCTGTCCTTCTGGAGCTTACATTTTTATAGGAAGAGATGGACAATAAAAAACAATCACCATAAATAAGTTTTAGATGGAGAGGAGCTGCATCTTCAATGCCATTTAAAAGAACCAACTTAGATGGAGCATGATGGCAAGTGGGGCTCTCCAGCAGTCATCTCTTGACAGAAACCTCAATTCCAACTGTTCATGCATGAAATTATCTTCACAAAAGCTACAGAAATCTGAACAAACAAGCAAAGCTGTAAAACCTCCTTGGACTACAAAGACATGTAAATCTGTACTTGGACAATAGGGGGATTGATTCTCTATGACTATGATACCACTTCCCCTGAGCCATTATGATACCATATGTGGAAAGTTCCCTTGTACTTATGGTTTCTACACTAGAAAAAGTGAGATGGAGGCAGGCTTTAGCTTTCTGACCATCCTGGGTCCCTCTGCTGGAGACTGGTTCTTGCATTAAACTATGAGAAGCATGCAAAAACTGACAGAGCTGAACCATCTGAGGCCAGCTAGGGACAAAGAGAGAAGGTAAGTCTAGCAGCTGCCAGTGCACAAAATTTTACACGACTCTAGGAGTTGACAGTGCACAAAATTTGACAGTGACTCTTCATACTTGCCAGAAGAGATGCCACAACAGAGAGGCTGTTTAGGGGCACCTTGCTGCAGGAAGCATGGTCCACAGATCTTCTGGACTTGAAGACCTGGCTAGCTCTCCCACATGGCCCAGGTACCCTCCATTGATGTCCCATGGACACATCCTGGTAATACATTGCATTAGCAGCAGAAACATCACAAGATTCATATGTAACCTGGGCTTAGGGCCCCTTTAAGTGCTAAATAGAATGTGACAGTCAGCTCAGAACTTGTCAACAAGCCAACTAAAATAGAAAAGTCACAAATTTTGGCCACAGATACTGGAACGCATACCTGATTCATCAATGCATAGGCAGTGATGAATATTTGCAAGGAATAAGAAAAGCCTAGAAGAGATGGCCTAACCAAATGGACAAAACAAAGAACCAGCAACTGAACAAAAGACAGACAGATGAATGCACTGGCAGACAAAGTATTCAAAGTGGTTGTTTTAAGGAGACTCAGTGAATTTCAAAAAAAAAAAAAAAACACACACAGAAAAACAATTCAGAAGTTTAGCAGAGAAATTCAAAAGAGAGATTGAAATATAAAATAAATTCAGAAGCATTAAAGTTCAATAAGCCAAATGAAAATGCAATAAAGTCAACAGCAGAACTGATAAAACTGAAGAAATAATTTGTGACTTTGAACATAGACTTTGTGAAAATACAGTCAGTGGAGAATAAAAGAAAAAAAGAATGAGGGAGAACGAAGAAAATGTATAAGATCTATGGGACACCACCAAAAAGCGTAATTCTACATGTCATTGTCTTTTAAAAAGCACTAGAGAATGAAAATGTTGAATAGCTTATTCAAAAAAATGAGAAAACTTTCCAAACCTAGAAAAAAATAAAAATATCCAGATACGAAATATCAAAAGTCACCAGTCATATTTAATCCAAATAAGATAACATCAAGGCATATTATTATCAAACTCTCAAAGATTAAAGACAAAGAGAGAATTCAGAAAGCAGCAAGAGACAAAAAGCAAGTGACACATATAAGGGAATTCCAATATGTATGGCAGCAGACTTCTCAGCAGAAACCCTACAGGCGAGGAAAGAGAGACATGATAAACTCAAAGTGCTGAAGGAAAAAAGCAACCTCTCAACTGGGAATACTGTATGCAGCAAAGCTATACTTCAGAAATAGCTTTGGAGAGATAAATACATTTCCAGACAAATAAAATTTAAGGGAATGGGTTGCAACCTGACCTGCCATACGAGAAATGCTGAACAGAGTTCATTGAACTGAAAGAAAAGGACACTGGTGTGTCATGCAAAAGCAGCATCCAAAGGTACAAAACCCATAAGTAAAAGTAAGTATCCAAATGCAGAATAAGCTAACATGGTAAACCACTTATATCTTTAGTAGAGAGATTAAAAATAATAATAATAATAGCTACAATAACTTGGTAAGAGATAAGAAATATAAAAAGATATAAATTAGACATCAAAAACTCAAAATACAGGGAGCAAGAGTGTTTAAGGCAGAGTATTTTTGTTTAATTTTCTTAACAAATTAAATTGTTAATCAGTTTTAAATCACCTGTAAACTATAAGATGTTCTTTCGCCAGGCGTGGTGGCTCACGCCTGTAATCCAGCACTTTGGAAGGCCGAGGCGGGCAGATTACAAGGTCAGGAGATCGAGACCATCCTGGCTAATACGGTGAAACCCCGTCTCTACTAAAAAATACAAAAAATTTGCCAGGCGTGGTGGCGGGTGCCTGTAATCCCAGCTACTCGGAAGGCTGAGGCAGGAGAATGGTGTGAACCCGGGAGGCGGAGCTTGCAGTGAGCTGAGATGGCACCACTGCACTCCAGCCTGGGCGACAGAGTGAGACTCCATCTCAAAAAAAACAAACAAACAAACAAACAAAAAAAACAAAGATGTTCTTCATAAGCCTCATGGTAACCACAAGGCAAACACATTTAATAGATACACTAAAAATAAAAAGCATAAAGTCAAAACATAACAGAGAAAATTACTTAGCCACAAAGGAAGACAGTAAGTGAAAAAGAAAGAATCTATAAGACATCTAGAAAACTAGTAACAATATGTCAGTACGAAGTCCTTACCTATCAACAATTACTTTGAATATAAATGAATTAAATTCTTCAACTAAAAGATATAGAGTGGCTAAATGGCCTTTTTAAAAAAGCCAAGATTCAATTACATGATCATATGCCAACTACAAGAGACTCACTTCACCTGTAAGCATACACATAGATTGAAAGTGAACAGATGGGAAAAAATATTCTGTGCAAAGAAAACCAAAAAAAAAGCAAGATTAAATATACTTATTTTAAATAAAGTAAACTACAAGTCAAAAACTATAAAAATAGACAAACATGGCAATTAATAATAAAGGGTCAATAAAAGAGTATATCACAATTATAAATATACATTCACCCAACATTGAAGCACCTAATCAAATAACACAAACATAAATAGATCTGAAAGAAGAGATAGAGTAATACAATAATACCATAAGACTTATTACATTAATAAGATCATCCAGATAGAAAATCAACAAAGAAACATCAGTTGTAAAACTCACTCTGGACAAAATTGACCTAACAGATATTTATAGGGCATTGTATCCAACAGCTGCAGAATTCACATTTTTCTAAATTGCACATGGAGCATCCTCAAAATAGATCATATGTTAGGCCATGAAATAAGTCTTAAATTAAAAAAAAAATCAAAATCATAACAAGGATCTTTTTGAATTAAAATGGTGGAAAAAATAGAAATCAACAACAGGAGGAACTTCAGAAACTGTACAAATACATTAAAATTAAATAACATGCTCCTAAACAATCAATGGGTCAATAAAGAAATTAAGAGAAACCGTAAAATGTTTTAGATATATAAAAATGAACACACAACATACCAAAACTTATAGGATACAGCAAAATCAATTCTAAGAGGGAAGTTTATAGCAATAAACACAACAACAAAAATAATCTCAAACAACCTAATGGTGCATCTCAACAAACTTGAAAACAAGAATAAACTAAACCCAAAATTGCTAGAATAAAAGAAATAATGAAACTTAAAAAGAAATACAGAAGATCAACAAAACAGTTGCTATTTTGAGAAAAACAAAATTGAAACACCTTTAGCTAGACTAAGAAAAAAAAAAAAGAAGACTCAAATAAATAAAATCAGGGACATTAAAGGAGACATTACAACTGATACCACAGAAATACAAAAAATGATAAGATGCTAAGCAATTATATGCCAACAAATTGGAAAACCAAGAAGAAATGGATAAACTTTTCAGCACATATAATCTACCATGACAGAATAAAAAAAAGGAAATCTGAACAGATCAACAATGAGTTAAGAGATTGAAGCAGTAGTAAAAAGTCTCTCATCAAACAAAATTCCAAGATCTGATTGGCTTCACTGCTAAATTCTACAAAACATTTAAAGAGTAACAAATACTAATTTTTCACAAAATATTCCAAAAACTTGAAAAGGAAAGATTTCTTCCAAACTCATTCTACAAGGCATTACCCTGATACCAAAACCAGACAGGGATACAGCAACAAAATTATTGGCCAATATTCCTGATAGATATGGATTCAAAAAATTCTCAAAAAATTATATGCAATCATAATTCAATAGCACATTTAAAAGATCATTTACAATTATCAAGTGGGATTTATCCGAGGTATGCAAGGCTGGCCTTACATATACAAATCAATAAATGTGATACATCACCTAAACAGAATGAAAGGTGAAAACCATAAGATCATTTCCATAGACACTGAGGAAGCATATGACAAAATTCAACAGAACTTCATGATAAAAACTCTCAACAAATTAAACACAGAAGGAATTTACCTCAATATAATAAAGGTTATATATGATAGACCAACAGCCAACATTACAGTAAACAGAGAAAAGTTGAAAGCCTTTCCTCTGCAATCTGGAGCAAGACAAGAATGCTCATTTTCACCATTTTTATTCAACATAGTACTGGAAGTCCTAGCCAGAAAATTGACAAGAGACAAAATAAACAAATAAAAGACATCAAAAATGGAAAGAAGGAAGTCAAATTCTCCCTATTTGCAGACAACATGATCTTATATGTAGAAAACCCTAAAAAATATATAACTAATAAACAAATACAGTAAAGTGGCAGCACACAAAATCAACATGAAAAACTTAGTAGCATTTCTATTAGCTAATAAAAAACTATCTGAAAAAGAAATCAAGAAACAATCTCATTTGCAATAGCTACAAAAAATAAAATGTCTAGGAATACATTTATCCAAAAAGGTAAAAGATCTCCACCATGAAAACTATAAAGGATTAATGAAAGAAATTGAAGAAGATGCAAATAAATAGAAAGACATCTTGTGTTCATGGACTGGTAGAATTATTATTGTTAAAACATCTATAACTACCCAAATATATCTGCAGATTCAATGAAATTTCTATTAGAGTTCTATTGTCATTTTTTACAGAAATAGAAAAAAAGAAAATTCTAAAATTTATATGGAACCACAAAATACCCTAAATAGCCAAAGCAATCTTTAACAGAATAAACAAAGCTGGAGGCATCGCACTGATTTCAAAATATACTACAAAGGTATAGTAACTAACACAACATCATACAGGCATAAAAACAGACACATAAGCCAGCGAAAGAAAGGAGAGAACCCTAAAATAAATCCATGCATTTATACAGCCAAATGACTTACAACAATGGTGCCAAGAATATACAATGGAGAAAGGACAGTTTCTTTGCTGGATGATGCTTGGAAACTGGATATGCATATACAAAGAATGAAACTACACTCCCATTTCTCATCATGTACAAAAACCAGTGCAAAATGAATTAAAGACTTAATTGTAAGACCAATAACTATAAAACTATTAGAATAAAACATAGTGAAAATATTACATGACGTCAGTCTGGCAAGGATTATTTTAGACAAGATGTCAAAAGGACAAACAACAAAAGCAAAAATAAACAAAAAGTTTGCGCCAAACTAAAAGCTTCTGCACAGCAAAGAAAACAATAAACAGAATGAAGAGACTAGCTAGATATGTGGGAAAATAATTGCAAATTATACATCTAAAAATGAGTTAATATCCAGAATTTCTTAGGAACCCAAACAACTCAAAGCAGTAATAATCATCATCATCATTATCTGTATACGAAATGGACAAAAGACCTGAACATATTTTCTCCAAAGAAGACATACAAATAGCTCACAGGTATATGAAGAAATACTCAACATCACTAACCATCAGGGAAATGCATATCAAAACCACAGTGGGATATCACCTCACCCCAGTTAGAATGACTACTATTGAAAAATTTAAAAATAGCAAATGCTGAAGAGGATGTATGAAAAAAAGAACTCTTGTGTACTTTGGGGAATGTAAATTAGTATGAACATTATAGAAAATAGTATGGAGCACCCTCAAAAAATTTAAAATAGACCTAGATATAAAACAGCAACCCATCTTATGGGTATATACCCAAAGGAAATAAAATCAGTATGTTGAAGAGAGATCTGTACTTTCATGCTTAGTGCAGCACTATTCACAATAGTAAATACATGAAATCAATGTAAATGCCCATCAATGGATGAGTGGGTAGAGGAAATGTCATATATATATATATATATATATATATATATATATATATATATATACACACACACACATATATATACACACATATGCAACAGAATATATTTAGCCATAAAAAGATGAATTCCTGTAATTTTGCAATAGCATGGATGAGCCTGGAGGACATGTTAAGTAAAATAAGCCAGACACAGAAAGACAAATACTCCATGTTCTCATTCATGTATGCAATCTAAAAATTTGATCCCATAGAAGTTGAGAACAGAATAATGATTACCAAAGACTGGGGAGAACAGAAGGAGAAGGATATGGGGAGAGGCTAGTCAACAGATACAGTATTACAGTTATGAGGAATATGTTCTCATACCTTACTGCACAGTAGGGTGACTATAGTTAACAATAATGCATTGTATTTTCCCCATAGCTAGAAGACTTTGAATGTTCTCACAAAAAAGAAATAATAAATGTTTAAGGTGATAGATATAAGTACCATGACTTGATTATATTATACGTACATTTATCAAAACATCACATTGTACCTCATAAATAGGCATAATTATTCCTCAATAAAAAAATAAAGAACCAACCTACTTCACAATCATAATTATCATCTTTCTTACATCTGTTGCATGCAATAGATACCATGCTCCAAATAAATTAACTCCCTCATCTACCTCATCACAGATAGTCATAGGTAAAATGTTTAGTAATTGCCATGCCAATTTACCTTTTTGCTCATAATATTGTCTTAGCCAGACAACATGGAAGCTGAGCCTAAAGATAAGCTTACATGCTAATGCTCTAGTCTGTAGTATCTCAAGTCTGGTCTGCCCAACAGGTCCATCTGCATTGCCTTGGAACTTGTAAAAATGGCAAGGTCTTGGGCCCCACTGCAGATATATTGAATCAGAATGTCTAAGGACAAGCCTTGACATGGGTACTTTAAAAGTTCTTCAGGTGATTCTTTCATTTACTAAAGCATGAAGGATAGTGCTTTATAGGATGATACAGTTAAAGTAATGGAGAACTGAGGCAGGGAGGGAAAGGAAGCAATATAAAGCTGCACAATAAGATCAGCCAGTTGTTTTGTCTGCAAAATACAGCTCCAAACAAGGTTTACAGAAACCCTAATCCATTGAAAGCATAAAAACTTCTCTCTTACCTTTTTCTCTCATTGCTCAAACTTGACCCCATGGTTTATTGCTTCTGCGGCACACCAGGTCCCTTCATGTGGCTACTGTGAAAAGTATACCCCATTCCATAAGTGTGAAAGTAGTAGGAGGGGCAAAATGTATGCTCTGCAATTTTTCAGATTACATCCAAGCATGTTTCCTTATTTGTACATTTTATTTTTTCGTTTTATCTTATTTCTGAAAAAAGATGAGAATTTTGTAAAATGAAATAAAAAGGCATTCTTTTGTTTTTCTGGAGACAGAGTCTCATTCTATCCCCCAGGCTGGAATGGAGTGGCATGATCTCGGCTCACTGCAACCTCTGCCTCCCAGGTTCAAGCGATCCTCATGCCTCAGCCTCCTGAGTAGCTAGGATTACAGGCGTCTGCCACCATGTCCAGCTAATTTTTGTATTTTTAGACGGGGTTTCGCCATGTTGGCCAGGTTGGTCTCGAACTTCTGACCTCAGGTGATCTCGCTTCCCAAAGTGCTGGGATTACAGGCGTGAGCCACCGTGCCCGGCTGACATTCTTTTGTAAATGATGATCTTGCATCTCTCCTAGATAGTGTCAGTAATTGACTTCTGTTACTTTTCCCTTATGCAAACACATACTCCAGTGATCCTTGAAAGGAGAATTCCAGCTCTCAATTCCCATTTGCATATTTTTACCTGGAAATGGAAGTAAAACTATTGCCCCTTTAGTTTTAGCTTTCATTGTTAAAAGTTTTTTTCACTGCCTTCAAAATTCCTGCAGGAACTTGTGGAGAATGGGGGTCGGCAAATCTATTATAAGCTTTGTGTATCTTTACTGAGCATGTGAAAAGCTGAAGAAGCCAAGATGGTAGCAGAGACCCCTCATTACCTATTTCATATGTCATGAATTCTTCCTTCAAAGGCATTCTTACTTGCTCCTTCTCTTCCTTTCCCACAGTCACCTGTCAAGCAGAAATCCTGATCATCACCCCAGCTGGATTAATGCAAATGTCTTTCTACTCAGAGCTCTAGCACTAGACTCACCACCTCCACTTCCAACTCTTCCACTGCCCAGCTGAGAATAATTTTGAAGAATTGGTACTTCCTACATTGAAAAAAATTTTGACATTCTTTAGCTTAGTTTCAAAAACCTCCTTTTAGATGACCCTGCTCTACCACCTACCGCCTAGTTTGCAAATCTACTCTAGGCAATAAGCCAGATGATTCTTCAATGTTTTTCTCTAAAACACAGGCTATTAATATATTCATAGCATGATTCCAGAGGATAAACACGGTTATCTGAACTTGCTATAGTACTTTAGTTAAGAAACTAGGCTTGCAAACGAGGTAGAAACAAGAGATAAAATCTAAAGAAAGCTATACCACTGATAGAAAAATTAAGTGCTTCAATGCTAGGGTAGTGTCATCAGTTAATTGTGAATCCTTTCTATGCAGGCACTTGGATTCCTCTCCTTTCCTGTCCTCTCCTCTTTTCAGTGGTTGGTTGTGAACCTAGGGGTGTGTTATCACCATTTTGAGTCTGCTCATTGCCACCGGAAAAAAAAAAAAATTTCCTTAGAAAGTGACAAGCAAAATGCCAACTTGGGCCATCTGGTACCTACATAATTAATTTTAAATACCAATCAAGCTAAATTCAGCCTGGACCATTAATGCAGATGGGCTTACTGCCCAAGAGTTATAGTTTCCGGAATCAAATGAAAATGGGACTTTGCCATTGTTGCAAGTGTGATCAAGTTTTAAAACATGCTACTAAGAGTTACTGAAAAAAAATATTTTACTAGTGAGCATATGGTTTTATTTACTGTTACTCTTTCATCCCTAAATAGTTATATTCAATATTCATTTTGAAATTGGTACGAAGCCATGACAAAGAGTCCTAGGTATTTGGCAGCATAAAGCTGCACAATTTATCAATATTTGGTAAAACAGAAACAGCTATTATACAGACCAGATGGTCTTTGCATATGAAACTTTAAATAATGGATATCATTTATATATAAATTATAGGGTGAGAAATAGAGTATAAACAATGCTTTAAGAGCATAGCAGAAGAGTGATTTTTTTCTGTTTATCCCTCTGTTTCTGATTCACAGGGACCTAAGCAATCTTCAGCTGCCTTTATGTAAATATGCAGTGAGAATAGATCATAAATATTACTACAAAAGTATAGATAATAGAGCTATTGATAGATATTTAAGATTATCTGATCTCTCAGTTTTAGAGATTACAAAACTGAAGTACAGAAATTTTAAATGATTGAGTTGTCGATTTTCAGGTCTGTGGGTTCCGAGTTGGTATGCTCATTCTTTTTGCCAACCATCCTACTCATGCTTCCTCTTTAGATAGAGTGCTAAGGTTAGTATATTATAAATATTCACAAAGTGGTGACAACTGATTATGTACAAGACCAAAGACATAAAGACAGAAAAACATATACGTCATCTGCTTGGTACAGAAGGTAAATAAGGAAAAAATTAAAAGACCATCATTTTAGAGTAGAGTAGACTTGAGATGGCAACAAGGTAATGTCATCATTATTACTTAAGTCAGCCACACTCTGTCCAAATGTGTTAATAGCCAGGGAGAGCTTTTAGAAGCAAATTTAATAGACGATCTCTTTAGAGGTCAGGCCTGAGTTTAATATTGCCAATGTTCTAAAATTTTCACATACATACATACATGAATAAATTATCTGTGTTTTACTTGTAAGAATACCAACAATTATTTAAATTTTTATCTGAAATGACAATAATTTTTGTCTAAAATTTGGAACACCAATTCCACTTGCACAACTCTCTGAAGAATAAAGATGAACATAATTGATCCAAAAAGTATTCAAAATAACATTCCTAATGTAATTTTAAAAGTCCAAGCTACAATAAATAAAATATCTTTAAAGTCCTAGAGAATAAATTTAAACTGGATTAAACATGTTTAAAAACTAGACTGAATATTTTTTCAAAAAAATACACAAACTCTCATTTAAGGCACTGATATTAATATGTTGTACAGATGCTTATTCCCTTCCAAATCCAAAATTTAAAAAAGGTAACCCAAGCAAAAACATTCCATTACAATGAAAGGGAAATTATAAAGTAGTAAGGAAAAGCAAAAAATGAATCTAAATGCAAGAACAATATACTCATCCCTACTTCAAATAAATACATAAAATATATCATATACCTCTTCCCTCATTAATAAAATAATTTTTGAAATTGTGGAGACTGCCACACAAAGATATCTGAGGGAAGACATCTTTATTCCCTTAATTTGTGCCAACTAAAAATAAAAAAAAAGAAAAATAGACAAGAAACTTTTTTTGAATGAAACCAAAAGACAATCTTAACACTACACTGCAATCTGTGAACAATAGCTGCCAAATACAGTTAAGGCAACAAAAATATAAATGGGGAGCGAGCTCTAGAGATATTGTATGTGACCAAAGTTAAGTCGCTATCTACTTAAAATTGTCTATTACAACTACAAGACTCATTATGTTAGCACCATGATAACGACAAGGAAAGAAATCATAGCATATAACTTATCAATATTAGATTCTGAAGAAATAGAAAACTTAAACAGACCAATAATAAGTGAGGAAATTCAATCAATAATAAAGAGTGCCATAAGAGACACACCCAAACCTGATGGCTCCACTGCTGAGAGAGAGAAAGGAAAAAACCTTAGCACCAAAAAAAAAAAAAAAAAATTTCAAGCCACAAAGGTAAACAAGAGAGGAAGAAAGAAACAAAGGATCTACAATGCAACTAGAAAGCAATTTTAAAAATAGCAGCAGTAAGTTTTTATCTAACAATCATTTTTACATGAATGTAAATGGATTAAATGATCCAATTAAAAGATACGAAGTTGCTGAAACAATTTTTTTAAAGCAACAATTATTTGTTGCCTACGGGAGAGTCACATCACTATTAAAGATATAGAAAAAAAGTAGAGGCTTGGAAAAAAATATACGATGCAAATGGAAACCAAAAGCAAATAAAAGTAGCCATATTTGTATCAGATAAAATAGACTTTAAGTCAAACACTGTAAAAAAAAAAAAAACAAAGATTATTATATAATGATAAAGGGATCAATTCTATAAGAAGACATAACAAAAATAAATATATATGTACTCAGCTGGGTGCGGTGGCTCACACCTGTAATCCCAGCACTTTGGGAGGCTGAGGCAGGTGGATCATGAGGTCAGGAGATCGAGACCATCCTGGCTAACACGGTAAAACCCCATCTCTACTAAAAATACAAAAAATTAGCCGGGCATGGTGGTGGGTGCCTGTAGTCCCAGCTAGTCAGGAGGCTGAGGCAGGAGAATGGCGTGACCCAGGAGGCGGAGCTGGCAGTGAGCTGAGATCGCGCCATTGCACTCTAGCCTGGGCAACAGAGTGAGACTCCGTCTCAAAAAAAATTAAATATAAATGTACTCGACACCAGAAAACCCAGATAAAAAGCAAATATCATTAGATCTACAGTTTAATAAATAAAGAGATAGACTACAATACAACAAAATAATAGAGGACTTCAACATCCCACTCGCAATGACAAACAAACCATCTAGACAAAAAATTGTCAATTAAGCATAAGACTTAAACTTAGGCCAAAGGAATCTAAAGGACGTTACAGAACATTATATCTAACAGCTGCAGAATACACATTCTTCTAACTGCACATGGAATGTTGTCCAGAATAAACCACATATTAGCCCTCATAACAAGTCTTATCAAATTTAAGAAGACAGAGATAATATCAAGTATTTTTTGTGACATTAATGACATGACCAAAAGTCAACAACAAGAAAAACTTCAGAAACTTTACCAATATGTTGAAATTTCAAAATTTTCTCCTTAACCAGTGGGTCAATAAGTAAATTTAAATGGAAATTTAAAATGTCCTTGAGACAAATGAGAATGAAAACATACCATACCAACTCAGCAAACCCCTGGACAGAGCCTCCAGGGGCAACTGAAAGCTCTCTGCCACTGCCTTTGCAGTGGAAATGCCCTTGCCACCTGTGAACTAATGAAAGAGCAAACGCTGTAAGTGCCTTATCCACACCTCCAACAAGCTGCAGTCAACCCTAGGAGAGGAGGCCAGTCCATCTCCCATGGTTCCCACACACTCCCATGACCTTTCACCAGACAGGGCACACCTGGCTTAGGCCCACAGCACAGAACCTCCATCTTGGGCTGATTGCCCTGAGCAATTGCTGACCTGCATCTCTCTGGGGTCCCCAGGAGTCAAGCAAATGACTCTTGGCCACAACCACTACTAAGATCTCTTCCTCTGCTGCCTCTAAGCTGGGGAAAGAACATAAACAATGAGATTACACCATAGTTGCAGTGGGCAAGCCCAGGAGTTCCAAGTAATGAATGATAGCCAGCACTTAAGCGGGAGAGAAACCCACACTTTCAGAGCACTGAGAGGGAACATGGCTGCAACTGGGAGGAAACATGGGGGAGCCACACAACTGAGCAAGAGCCTACCAACTGACAAATAAGCCTATGTATCACCTGCTGGATCACACCCCAAAGCTTCAAAACCAAAAATACCTTACTAACATACCCCGCACTGAAACCAGAGACAAGTCAGCTTCTGATAACTCAAATGGGCTCCAAAGAGTGTCACATGTCCTCCAAATGACCTCACAAGTTCTCCAAGAAGAGTCCTTAACCAGACTGAACTGGCTGGAATGACAGAAATAGAATTCAGAATATGGATAGGAATAAAGATCATTGAGATTCAGGAGAATGGCAAAACCCAATCCAAGGAAAATAAGAATCACAATAAAGTGATACAGGAGTTGAAGGACAAAATAGCCAGTATAAAAAAGAACCTAATAGGTCTGACAGAGCTGAATAACACAAGAATTTCAAAATGCAATCACAAGTATTAACAGCAGAATGAACCAAGCTGAGGGAAGAATCTCAGAATTTAAAGACTTGTTCTCTGAAATAAGACAGTCAGACAAAAATAAAGAAAAAAGAATTAAAAAGAATGAACAAATCCTTCCAGAAGTATGGCATTATGTAAAGAGGCTGAATCTATGAATCACTGACATTTGTGGTCCACATAACTGGACCACAAAACAATCCTCAACAAATTTAACAGAACTGAAATTATACCAAACACACTGTTAGACCACAGCACAATAAAAATAGAAGTCAACACAATGAAAATCGCTCAAATCCATACAATTATATAAAAATTAAACGACTGCTCTTGAATGACTTTTGGGTAAAAAATGAAATTAAGGCAGGTATCAAGAAGTTATTTGAAAATAATGAGAAGATACAACATATCAGAATCTCTGGGATTCTGAGCTAAGGCAATGTTAAGAGAGAAATTCATAGCACTAAATGGCCACATCATAAAGTTAGAAAGATCTCAAACTAACAAAATAACTTCTCAACTGAAAGAACTAGAGAAGCAACAACAAATCAACCACAAAGCTAGAAGATGAAAAATAACAAAAGTCAGAGCTGAACTGAAGAAAACTGAGATAGAAAAAAAAAAAAAAAAATCAAAAGACCAATGAATCCAGGAGTTAGTTTTCTGAAAATAAAATTAATAGAATAGGCCACTAACTAGACTAAGACAGAAAGAGAAAAGATCCAAATAAACACAACTAGAAATGATTAAGGGAATGTTACTGCTGAACCCATAAAAATAAAAATAACCATCAGAAAGTACTGTGAATACCTCTATGCACACAAACTAGAAAACCAAGAAGAGATGGATAAATTTCTGGACACGTACACCCTCCCAAGACTGAGCCAGGGAGAAACTGATTCCCTGAACAGACCAATAATAAGCTCCTAAATTGAATCAGTAATAAATAGCCTACCAACCAAAAAGAAAAAAAAAAAAAAAGCCCAGGACCTGATGGATTTAGACCTGATGGATTTAGAGCCAAATTCTGCCAGATCTACAAAGAAGAGCTGGAACCATTCCTACTGAAACTATTCCAAAAAAGTGAGGAGGAGAGACTTCTGCTCAATTCATTCTATGAGGCCAGCATCATCTTGCTACCAAAACCTGGCAGAGACACAACAAAAAAAAGAAATCTTCAGGTCAATATCCTTGATGAACATCAATGTAAAAATCCTCAACAAAATACTTGCAAACTGAATCCAGCAGCACATTAAAAATCTAATTCACCATGATCAAATAGGCTTCATCCCTGGGATGTAAGGTTGGTTCAACATACAAAAATCAATAAATGTGATTAATCATATAAACAGAACTAAAGACAAAGAGCACATGATTATCTCAATAGATGCAGAAAAGACTTAATACAATTCAAAATCTCTTCACATTAAAAACTCTGAATACATTAGGTCTTGAAGGAACATACTTCAAAATAATGAGATCCACCTGTGACAAATCCACAGCCAACATAATGCTGAATGGACAAAAGCTGGAAACATTCCCCTTAAAAACCAGCACAAGACAAGGATGCCTTCTCTCACCACTTCTATTCAACATAGTATTGGAAGTCCTTGCCAGAGCAATCAGGCAAGAGAAAAAATAAAGCACATTCAAATAGGAAGAGAGGAAGTCAAACTATATTTGTTTGCAGTCGACATGACTTTCTATCTAGAAAACCACATAGTAGTCTCAGCCCAAAAGCTCCTTCAGACAATAAATAACTTCAGCAAAGTTGCAGGATACAAAATTAATGCACAAAAATCACTAGCATTCCACTATACCAACAACAACCAAACTGAGAACAAAATCAGAAAACCAATCCCATTCACAACTGCCACAACAACAACAACAACAAAAACCTAGGAATACAACTAACCAGGGAGGTGAAAGATCTCTACAATGAGAATTGCAAAACATCGCTCAAAGAAATCAGAGAAGACACAAATTAAGAAACATCCCATGCTCGTGGATAGAAAGAATGTCATTAAAATTGCTAATACTACCCAAAGCAATTTACAAATTCAATGCTATTCCTAGCAAACCACCATGACATTCTTCATAGAAAAAATTATTTTAAAATTTATATGAAATCAATATATAGCTGAAATAGCCAAGGTAATCCTAAGCAAAATGAACAAAGCTGGAGGAATCATGTTACCTGACTTCAAACCAAACTACAAGGCTACAGTGACCAAAATAGCATGGTATTGGTACAAAAACAGGCACATGGACCAATGGAACAGATTAGAGAGCCCAGAAATAAGGTTGCACATCTATGACCATCTGATCTTTGACAAAATTGACAAATACAAGCAATGGGGGAAAAAAAACACCCTATTCAATAAATGGTGCTGGGAGAACTGGCTAGCCATATGCAGAACATTGAACCTGGACCGCTTACTTACACCATATACAAAAATCAACTCAAGATGTATTAAAGACTTAAATGTAAAACACAAAACTATAAAAACCCTGGAAGACAATCTTGGCAATACCAACCTTGACATAAGAACAGGCAAAGATTTCACGAAAAAGATACCAAAAGCAATCACAAAGAAAGCAAAAATTGATCATTGGGATCTAATTAAACTTAAGAGCTTCTGTACAGCAAAAGAAACTATCAACAGAATAAACAGACAACAGGATGAGAGAAAATTTTTGCAAACTGTGCACATGACAAAGGTCTAATATCTTGCATCTATAAGAAACGTAAACAAATTTACAAGAGAAAAACAAACAACCCATTAAAAAGTGGGCAAAGGACATAAACAGACACTTCTCAGAAGAGGATATGCATGCAGCCAACAAGCATATGAAAAAAAGCTCAATATCACTGATAATTTTAGAGAAATGCAAGTCAAAACCACAATGAGATACCATCTCACACCAATCAGAATGGCTATTATTAAAAAGTCAAAAAATAACAGGCGCTAGCGAGGCTGTGGAGAAAAGGAACTCTTCTACACTGTTGGTGGGAGTGTAAATTAGTTCAACTATTGTGGAAGGCAGTGTGGCCATTCCTTAAAGAGCTAAAAGCAGAACTATCATTCAACTCAGCGATCCCATTACTGGGTATATATCCAGAGAAATATAAAACATATCCAGAGAAATATAAAACATTCTACCATAAAGACACATGCATGTGAATGTTCACTGCAGCACTGTTCACAATGGCAAAGACAAGAAATCAACCAAATGCCCATCAATGATAGACTGGATAAAGAAAATATGGTACATATACACCATGCAATATTATGCAGCCATAAAATAGAATGAGATCATGTCTTTTGCAGGAACATGGATGGAGCTGGAGGCTATCATCCTTAGCAAACAAAATGCAGGAACAGAAAATCAAATATCACATGTTCTCACTCATAAGTGGGAGCTAAATAATGAGAACTTATGAACACACAAAAGGAAACAACAGACACTGGATTCTACTCGAAGGAGCAGGGTAGAAGGAGGGAGAAAAGCAGAAAAAGTAACTATTGGGTACTGAGCTTAATATCTGGGTGATGTAATCATATGTACAACAAACCCCTATGACATGTGTTTATCTATGCAACAACCCCTCACATGTACCCCCAAGCCTAAAATAAAATATGTTTTAAAAGAAACTTTAGAATAAAACCAGTAGCAAATTTAAAAACTAAAAATTATACTTTTAGCACCAGAGAAAGCTGCTAACATGTTTATCAGTTTTAAAAGGTATAATTGTCATAGTATGAACTGTTGCGGGAAGTCAGGGACCCCAAATGGAGGGACCGGCTGGAACCACAGCAGAAGAACATAAATTGTGAAGATTTCATGGAAATTTATCAGTTTCCAAAATTAATACTTTTATAATTTCTTAGGCCTGTCTTTACTGCAATCTCTGAACATAAATTGTGAAGATTTCATGGACATTTATCACTTCCCTAATAATACTCTTATAACTTCTTATGCCTGTCTTTACTTAAATCTCTTAATCCCGTTATCTTCGTAAGCTGAGAATGTACGTCACTTCAGGACCACTATTGTACAAATTGATTGTAAAACACGCGTGTTTGAACAACATGAAATCAGTGCACCTTGAAAAAGAACAGAATAACAGTGATTTTAGGGAACAAGGGAAGATGACCATAAGGTCTGACTGCCTGCAGGGTCAGGCAGAATAAAGCCATATTTTTCTTCTTGCAGAGAGCCTATAAATGGATGTGCAAGTAAGACAGATATCGCTGAATTCTTTTCCCAGCAAGGAATATCCTGGGGAAGGAATTCCACTCCTGAGGGGAGGTCTATAAATGGCCACTCTGGGAGGGTCCATCTTATGCAGTTGAGATAAAGACTGAAATACGCCCTGGTCTCCTGCAGTACCCTCAGGCTTACTAGGATTGGGAAATTCCAGCCTGGTAAATTTTGGTCAGACCGGTTCTCTGCTCTCAAACCCTGTTTTCTGTTAAGATGTTTATCAAGACAATACATGCACAGCAGGACATATACCCTCATCAGTAATTCTAATTTTGCCTCTGCCTTGTGATCTTTATTGCCCTTTGAAGCATGTGATCTTTGTGACCTACTCCCTGTTCATACACCCACTCCCCTTTTAAAATCCCTGATAAAAACTTGCTGGTTTTGCGGCTCAGGGGTCATCACGGACCTACCAACATGTGATGTTACCCCTGGAGGCCCAGCTGTAAAATTCCTCTCTGTGTACTCTTTCTCTTTATTTCTCAGACAAGCCGACACTTAGGGAAAATAGAAAGAACCCATGTTGAAATATTGGGAGCGGGCTCCCCCAGTAATGAACTATCCTCCTTTAAATTGAAAATTTGACATGCTATAACATGTGTACAGCTGTGAAACTAATTCAGCCCTCAAGATAAGAAACACATCAGTCAGCTCCAAAGTTTCCTCATGGCCCTTTGGAATCCCACCTTCTTTCCTTTCACTGCCACTCGTCAACTCTAGGCAAACAGTGATCTCTTTATGTCAGTATAGATTGGTTTGCATTTTCAGAAATTTTATTACTTTTACTGTCTCAGTTCTTCCATTTATCATAATTATTTTGAGTTACAACCATGTGATTTTTGTATCAATAGTTTCTTTTTACTGATGAGTAGAATTCTATTTTATGGACATACTACAGTTTGTTTATCCTCTCAGCTGTTGGTAGAAATTTGTGTTGCTTCCTAGTTTTTATCTGTCACAAGTGAAAACGTCATGAATATGCACATATATGAATATGCACATATATGAATATGCATATATGTATGACGTAATTTCACTGGGTAAATGCCTATGTGTGGAATGGATGCATCATATCATCAAATTATTTTTACATTTTTGAGAAACTGACAAACTGCTTTCCAAGGTGTATTTAGCATTTTACTTTTCCACAGCAGTACATGAGAGTTTTCAGTGCTCTAGATTCTCATCAATACTTTGGATAGCCAGACTTTTAAATGTCAAATATTCAGATAAATATATAGTGTCATCTCCAATAGCAAAGACATGGAATCAACCTAAATGCCCATCAATGACAGACTGGATAAAAAAAAATGTGGGACATGTACACCATGGAATACTATGCAATCATAAAAAAAGAATGAGATCGTGTCTTTTGCAGGAATATAGATGGAGTTGGAGGTTATTATCCTTAAGAAACTAACTTAAATATTGCATGTTCTTACTTATAAGTAGGAGCGAAATGATGGGAAGTCATGAACACAAAGAAGGAAATAACAGACACTGGGGTCTACTTGAGGATGTAGAGTAAGAGGAGGGAGAGGAGCAGAGAAAATAACCATTGGGTACTAGGCTGAATATCTGGGTGATGGAATAATCTGTATAACAACTCCTCGTGACACAGGTTTACCTATATAGCAAACCTTCACATGTACCCCCAAACCTAAAAGTTTAATAAAATATATAGTGGTATTTCACTGTAGTTTTAATTTGCATTTCTAAATGACTAATTATATCAAGCATCTTTTTATATGCATTTTTGTCATTCATGTTTCTTCTTTGGTAAAGTGCCTCCAATTTTTTCACTATTTTTATGAGGTTTTTCTTACTATTGAGTTTCGAAAAACATATGTATATACACAGTTGATCCTCATTATTCTTGGATTCCGTATTTGTGAATTTGCCTACTCAATAAAATTGATTTGTAACCCCAAAATCAACACTTCTTTCCCTTTCACAGTCATTAAAGACATGAACAGAGTAGCAAAACATTTGAGTTCCCTGAAATGTGCATGTTTCTAGCTGACACAGAATAAGGCAATATTCTGCCTTCTTGCTTGAACTCTTATACTGTAAATAAATGTCCTTTATGAAGTCTATGTTTTTTTCACATTTTTGTGCTTTTTCAGGGTAATTTTGCTGTTTGAAAATGTCACCGAAGCATAGTGTTCAGTGCTATCTCATGTTCTCATGCATGAAATCTGTCATGTCTTAAAGAGAAACTATGCATGTCAGATGAGTTCTGTTTAGCCATAAGTTATGGTGCAGTTGGCCATGAGTTCAATGTTAATGAATCAACAATGTATATTAAGTAAGATGTCTTTAAAAGAAACACACACAAAACAAAGTTTGCATTTATCAGTTGATGAAGGTATTGTGACTGGAGGCTCACACGTATAAAGTATCTAACCCTGTATTTCCCTAGGAGCAATGGCTTACTATTCACTAATTCAGAGTTCACAGCAACGTGACATTACAGAATTTAACTACAGCGAATACCAAGTATATATATTATATAAATACTTTATCATATATATCCTATATGATATATATCCTATATATATAAGGATCCTTTTTTATAAATATATATTTTTATATATAAAATTTATATTTATATATATATAGAATTTGCAAATATTTTTCTAGGACATAATTGGTCTTTTCATGTTCCTAACAGTATCTTCCAAAGAATAAAATTTTGTAATTTTGATGAAGTCTAGTTTTTTTTCTTTTATGAATCATGATTTTGATGTCTTATCTAATAAATCTTTGCCTAATTCAAGGTCACTTTCTCCTTTCCCTAGTTTTGGGGGTATTATAGGTGGTGTCTTGACAATAAACAATGTCAGAGAATGAGAAAACAATGAGTTTCCAAACTATCCATTAACAGAATATATAAACAGAAACATACCTTCATATGATTGCTGAACAAATAATAGTGTGAATCATGAAGACTGAGTGCAACAGCTGTTTCTAGACTCTAATTGTTTATTAATAGTTTCTAATAAACTTACCTTAACCCAATTAGTATACTGATTAGATATTATTAAGACCTTGTATCCAAGTCAAAATAAATAATGCAGGGAAAGCACCTAGATACTATCCACCCTCAAAAACTGATTTATTTACATGACAACTGTTTTTGTCAAACTTTAAGTTTCCCAAATTTGGCAAATGAGAAAGTGTAGACAAGAGATAGTAAATTCTTACAGGGTTTTAAGTAATGGTACCAAGAGATACATAAAATCAGGCAGAAAGGGAGTTAGGGCAGGAGAAAGACAGAGGCAGATACAGAAGAGACAGAGTTTAACACTGTCTAATTGAATTATGGTGATGAGGCAAGGACAATAAAATTCTCAGTATATTTAGTCTGAAGTAATAAATCCCAGAGTGATATATATATATATATATATATATATATATATATATATATATATATATATATATTTTTGTCTGATTATCTCTTATATTTCACAAGGTGTTCATCTATAAACAGAGAATAATATGAATCATCTCTGTGAGAGAAAGTATACACAACACCCCCTAATATTCTATCCTTAATTGTGGACTTTCTGGATGAAATAGCATTTGACATAGTTTTAATTTGGGCACTTGACAGTATAGGCAAGAGGAAAAACATAGTTCTAGGATTTGCCTAGGCAACATGGATACAAATCAGCTAAGAAGTCACTTTTAGGCCGGGCGTGGTGGCTTACATCTGTAATCCCTGCACTTTGGGAGGCCGAGGCAGGCGAATCATCTGAGGTCAGGAGCTCGAGACCAGCCTAGCTAACATGGTGAAACCCCATTTCTACTAAAAATACAAAGAATTAGCTAGGCATGATGGCACGTGCCTGTAATCCCAGCTACTCGGGAGGCTGAGGCAGGAGAATCGCTTGAACCCAGGAGAAGGAGGTTGAAATTAGCTGAGCTTGCTCCATTGCACTCCAGCTTGGGCAACAACAGCGAAACTCCATCTCAAAAAAAAAAAAAAGTCATTTTTTAAAGTTAACTAAAAAAGAAATAACACTGGAAACCCATGAAATGAAAAGTATCACTTGAAACTGGTTAGGCTAAAAAGGAATAACATAAAGTTGGAATGAATAACTATACATTTAGGAACATCACTATTTCCTTAGAGCCTAATATATTTTATTATCTTTCTCATTTTCTTTTTCAAAATTCAAAGTATTATGTACAACATGAATTTTAGGATTGTTTAACTATAACTACACACCTATGTATATTTTTGAAATAGAACTCTGATCAATTTTGAATTTTCAGTTTCAAAATCTGAAAATTGAGGAAACAAAAAATGAATAAAATATTCAATATGGTTGTCTAGACCAAAATTCATGCCTTCTTTTTAACCTAAATAATGCATAACAGAACTGAGAAAAATGTCTGTTTAGCAAAGCACATACTATCATCACTATAATATTAGGAACAAATTATAAATACGGTGATGATAAATTTTAAATGAAATTATTTTCATCAGACATCTTAACACCTAGAAGTCATACTTCATTTAATATATATACTTATATATAGATAATATATATACATTATATATATATAAAGAACAATGCCTATCACTATATTTGAAGTTAATGAAAAAATACAAAATAAATGCTCATTAGGTTTAGCCCTTAATGTCACTAAACAGATGGCTCTAACTGCTGTTCCCACTTTAATGACAGCATAATCTGGAATCTAAAGGTCATACCAGGTATAGGTCACCTCTGGACACTCTCTACATCTTAAAAGTAAGTCAGCCATTTCTTCTAACTTTCCTTTCCAAGGGACAGATTAACAAGAATCTATTTCATTTAATATGGCTTCTTAAAGACAGCTTTAGCAGAACAAAAGTACTTTTTTTCTAAGTAAAACTTCACGGTCTCTATTTACTTTTAACCAAAGAAACCATTTCTCTCTATTTAATTACTATTAATATGTCATTTTTCCCTCCTTCAAGGCTCAGCTTAAGTATTGCCTCTTAAATTTTATTATCCTATTTTAACCATGATGCATAATTCTGTTTTATAAATTTGTGTAGCACTTATTTTATTCATATTGCTATATAATTATACAAATTTATTAGAGAAAAGGAAGATATTCAATTTTTCTATATTCTGTATGGCAAATGCAAGAATAGCAGGCATATAGTAGAGAATAGTTATTTATTAAATTAAATTAAGAGAAATGTTTTTTTTTTTTTTTGGAATACTCTAGCTACTGGAAGTCCTCCATGCATGCTAGAATAATCATGACTCCAATATCTATCTTCTACACATATTTCCTCTGCCCTTATTATCCTACCCTGTACCCGCAAACAAAACCTCATCTACTTGCCAAAGCTTTGTTCATCTTTCAAGGCTTCACTGGGTTACCTGATAACCAGCTCAATTAATGAAATGAAAGGGCGTTCTGGAGTATGGGTATATTTGTCTGATTTGGCTGCCATAACAAAATTCCATAGGTTGAGTGACTTAAACAACAGAAATTTATCTTCTCAGGATCTGGAGGTTGGAAGTGCAAGATCAGTGTGCCCAACTTAGTTAGATTCTGGCTTGCAGATTCTCTTCCTGGCTTGCAGATGGCCAGCTTCTTTCTATGTGCTCAAATGGCCTTTCCTGGTTTATTTTCATAAGGGCACTAACA
Source organism: Homo sapiens (assembly GCF_000001405.40). Classification (NCBI taxonomy): domain Eukaryota; kingdom Metazoa; phylum Chordata; class Mammalia; order Primates; family Hominidae; genus Homo; species Homo sapiens. The sequence continues at coordinate 78,476,373 of NC_000008.11, forward strand.
CCATCATAAAAGCCTGACCTTCGTGATCTTGTTTAATCCTAATTACTTTCCAAAGGGCCCATCTCCAAATACCATTACATTGGGGATTAGGGTTTCAACATACAAATTTTGAAGGGACACAAACATTCAGTCTATAATAATTGGAAAAAACAAAGACTTTGGATTAGCTGGGCCTGGGTTTAAATCTTGTTCTACTATTTCAGACATATGTGACTTTGGCTGACTTATACTCAGAGACTCTGTTATCTGTGAATGGAGACTATCAATACTAACTTCATAATTATAATAATCACAACCATCATGATAATTTTTGAGCATTTACTATAGTTTTTTACTATATAGCATTCACTAATAGTTTTTTCAATGACTCTATAAGTATTAAATTATTTAATTATCTGAATAATCCTATGAGGCAAATGATATTGTTAGCATGATTTTATATTGGGAAACTAATATGGAAAAGAGCATAAATTACCTCACAGATCTGATATAAATATTAAATAAATATGTAAAATACCCAGTATATAGTGAAATGTATAGTTCCATCCCTTTTACATATGCAACAAGCTGTCAAAGAAATAAAAATACTAAGTATTTATATCATCAAAGAAAGAACCGTTATGACTGGCATACTTTAGCAATTCACATTATCATCCCCTAAAAATACCAACTTGTCTTTAAAAACTGCCCAAAAGGACTTAATCACAACACATTTTTAGTTTTAAGCAAACAAATAATGTAGTAGCAAGAGGGATTTGAGTTTTTCTTCCATTTTCCATGATCTTAAACATCAAAAGTTATCAGTGTCAATCCTTATCAATTTAAAGTGTTCTCCATCCAATAGTTCCTCCTAATAATTCTTGCCATTTGAAACAATACTTAATTAGAAACAACATATAATACCAATATTAGAATATCCCTGCTTTATTTATATGTTTAAAGCTTCCATGTTGATCCAGAAGCAAATTATCCTTATGATTGCCAATCTAAAAAGAAGAGATGGAAAAGGATATTTGCTAAAAATGTTTTGAAAAAACATTTTTAAATTCAAGGCAATGGTTTATATGTTTAAGGACTTGCCTACCCCAATGTATTTTCTTTAAGTTTATGTTATTTCTTTACATATTCAGATATGCTTCTTCAGAATGCTAGTAGCATATTAATTTCATAAAGTAGATTAGAACTTCATGATCTTGGTTGCACATCAGAATCTCTAAGAATCTTTCAAAAAATGCCCATGTTCAGGCCTTACTCTTCAACAATTGATTTAAAATATCTGTAGGTAGAGTCTGGATATGAGTATTTTATAAAAATATTTTAGTTGAATTTGATGTGCAATGATTAAGGTAAATGTTCAAGTCAACAACACTCATATGCATTGATATCCATGACGAAGCACTTTTCAGATTACGCAAACCACTAAATCTTGGCTTAAATAACAGAAATAAATAATATAGTCGCAAAAGTTTCCCTGTAATAAAATCAGAATCCTGACAGAAAGTAGGACCAAGAGGCTTAATATGGTAATAAACTTGGCAGATATATCTAAGAATCCTGTGCCACAAGATTTTAACTTTCTGAGATACTTTTCCACTTGCTAGGGGAAAACAGCCTCCTTTTTCCTAGTCAATATATAATTTTGTCCTTTTCTTAAATCACCTGAACTATTCAGGGCTTCCAGGCAATACACAGGAATAAACACCTAGAGAAATAATGTCCCCACTAAGAAAAAAAGTACTTTACTTTTTACTTTTTTATGCGATTTGGCATATAAAAAGCTTATATGTATGGGTAAAATCTTAACTTACCCTGAAGTGGATCCTAATACAATGCAGAAATGGCTTCTTAAAGTTTGAACATGTAATTCAAATGATATGATATGATATGGTAGAACAAATGATATAATATGGTAGAACAAATGATATGATATGGTAGAACTGGCTTGGCAGATAACTGAGGGAGGTGTTGGAAGGCTTAAGATGAGGGAGAAGTTAAAATAAATATAGTACATGAGAACAGAAAATCTTCCACACAACTATAATCACCAGGGCATCCCCAGGTGTGTTCTTTTCATTAAGACAAAAAGGGGCACAGGGGTAATTGAGAAACTCAGTACAGGTTGTCTTTTCATGATAGAGCTGGCAGTAGACAATGCTGAAATGTTTCTGGGTCCTTCATATGAAAGAGGATGATAGAGGTATTGATTAGAGACCTTATGGTGACATGTAATTATCAGAGACAATGTGAATATAATACACCACAACAGGAAGCAAAGCCAGAGTGGTACTTTTTCCTGAAGTCTTTGGTGGAGAGTAATAAAACACTTTATCTCCAGGTATAAGATGGATGGGAAGCAGGCTGTAATATTTCATGATTTATATAAAAAAGCAAATCAAGAATTGACAGGCAAAAGATTGGTGTTATCTACATAGATTATCAAAATCTCTCATCCAGGAGAGTCTCTTCAATAAATGGTGCTGAGAAAACTAGATATCCATATGCAAAAGAATAAAACTAGACCCCTGTCTCTTGCCAAATACAAAAATCAAATGAAAATAGATTAAAGACTTAAATCTAAGACCTCAAACCATGAAACTACTAAAAGAAAACATTGGGAAAACTCTCCAGGACATTGGTCTAGGCAAAGACTTCTTGAGCAACACCCCACAGGCACAGGCAACCAAAGCAAAAATCAACAAATGGGAGCACCTTAAATTAAAACGCTTCTGCACAGCAAAGGAAACAATCAACAAAGTGAAGGGAAAACCCATACAGTGGGAGAAAATATTTACAAGCTACCCATCAGACAAGGGATTACTAACCAAAATATATAAGGAGCTCAAGCAACTCTATGGGAAAAAATATAATCTGATTAAAAATTGGACAAAAGATCTGAATAGACATCTCTCAAAAGATGACATACAAGTGGGAAACAGGCACATGAAAAGGTTCTCAACATCATTGATCATCAGAGAAATGCAAATCAAGACTATGATGAGATATCATCTCAACCTGGATAAAATGGCTTTTATCCAAAAGACCGGCAATAATAAATGCTGGCAAGGATGTGGAAAAAAAAGGAACCCTCATACACTGCTGGTGGGAATGTAAATTAGTACAATGACTATGAATAAAAGTTTGGAGGTTCCTCAAAAAGCTAAAATAGACCTACCATATGATCCAACAATCCCAGTCCTAGGTATATATCCAAAAGAAGTGAAATCAGTATATTTAAGAGATATTTGCACTCCTATATTTACTGCAGCACCATTCACAATAGCCAAGATTAGGAAGCAGCCTAGGTGTCTATCAACAAATGAATAAAGAAAATGTACATATACACAATGAAGTACTATACCCACAAAAAAGAATGAGATCCTGTCCTTTGCAACAACATAGATGAAACTGGAGGTCATTATGTTAAGTGAAATAAGCCAGGCATAGAAACAGAAATATTACATGTCCTCACTTATCTGTGGGAGATAAAAATTAAAACAATGAAACTCATGCAGATAGAGAGCAGGAAGATGATTACCAGAGGCTGGGAAGGGTAGTTGGGAGGTGGGGATGAAGGAGGAATGGTTAATGGGTATAGAAAAATAGTTTGAAAGAATAAATAAGACCTAGTATTTGCTAGCACAACAGGGTGACTCTAGTAAAAAATAATTTCATTGTTCGTTTAAAAATAACAAAGAGTACAATGAGATTGTTTGAAACATAAAGGATAAATGCTTAAGGTGATGGATACCATATTTATCCTGATGTGATTATTACGCTTTGTATGCCTGTATCAAAACATCTCATGTACCTCATAAATACATACACCTACTATGTACCCACCAAAAATAAAAAGTATATTAAAGCAAAACAAAATTACTCACCCAGTTTCTAGGTCTGAGTCAATTCTTATGCCCTATCAATAGAAAAGGAGTCTAAATCCTCTTGAGAAAGAATTCTGTAAAGCTGTGTCAAATAAACAAAAATAGAAACAATAATATATATGGTCTTTATTTTTCAAAGAGAAGTATAATAATTTACAGAGTAACTGTTCCCTGGAGAAGGGGAATACCATGATCCTTTGAAGTCTATGGATATAAGTGCTGAGCTGACACTGACAACAAGAGAAATGAAATGTCACTATAGTCTTCAGATTAGAGTGTGGGTAATGGAGACCAGATACTAGATGAAATCCTGCCCCAAAAGTATCTTAAAGTATTACTAGTTGGTCTGGGAACCTATATTTTGGGTATTTTTCTGTTTCTTTTCTTTTTTTTTTTTTTTTTTGAGATGGAGTCTCGCTTTGTTGCCCAGGCTGGAGTGCAGTGGCGCGACCTTGGCTCACGGCAACCTCCACCTCCAGGATTCAAGCGATTCTCCTGCCTCAGCCTCCCTAGTAGCTGGAATTACAGACACCTGCCACCATGCCCAGCTAATTTTTTGTATTTTTAGTAGAAACGGGGTTTTACCATATTGGCCAGGTTGGTCTCGAACTCCTGACGTTGTGATCCACCCGCCTCAGCCTCCCAAAGTGCTGGGATTACAGGCATGAGCTACCACACTTGGCCTTCTGTTTCTTGAATTCATAATTAGAAGAGGTATACTTGCTTGCTGATATTGCTCCTATTACTTCTCAGATCTCTGAATTAAGAGATATGTTGCTGGCCAGGCCGGTGGCTCACACCTGTAATCACAGCACTTTGGGAGGCCGAACTGGGCAGATCACCTAAGGTCGGGAGTTTGAGACCAACCTGACCAACATGGAGAAACCCCGTCTCTGCTAAAAATATAAAAATTAGCTGCGCGTGGTGGACATGCGCCTGTAGTCCCAACTACTCAGGAGGCTGAGGGAGGAGGATGGCTTGAACTCGGGAGGCGGAGGTTGCAGTGAGCCAAGATTGCGCCACTGCAATGAGGCCTGGTGACAGAGCGAGACTCCATCTGGGAAAAAAAAAAAAAAAAAAAAAAAAGAAGTATGATGCTATAAATGACTAACAGGAAGTCTCTAAAATTTTGCTTGCTTGGAAAAAATAGTAAGTCACAACAATATGGTATCCAGATAAAATTTCAGAGATTTCTGAAACTGAAGATTTAAAAGAGTGTGAGGTAATGATTCCCTTCTTTTCCTCTTTCAATCCAACAGTGTATTCCCTGCAAAAATGAGATGGACTGATGCAAGTTAATAACAGACTACTAGAAACTTGATCACGGGGTACTTTTAATCACAGCTACTAAGTAAATGTGTCACTTTTACTGGAACAAAACAATAGTTTCTGATAATTGATATGTGATGAATAATCTTGTGAATATGCTCTTTTCAACTCCCAAGAACAAAAAAAAGATCAAAGCAGTTTGCCTTCACATTTACATGGGAAGGATAGTAGTATGGATTCATGACTACCCTGAACCCATGTTGATTCATATACTCTTGTTCTCAATATATTTTACAAAGACATTAATTATCTTGGTATGTTATTAGAGTTTTAAATCATCTAGTTACTTTACATGAGATTAAAATATTTTTAAATAATTTTTTAGCCCAGCTGTTGTCCTTTGAAAATGTACAACAGAAAGAAGATATATTGCTATAAGGACAAATGAGTTAGGCAACATAACTATCTTCTAAACAAACCCTGCTCTTGGTATTTCTTCATCACCTCACTCATTACCACCCTAGTTTAATCCATTCTCATCTCTTACTGTGACTAATGCAATACCTCTAACTAATCTTATGATTTCTACCCTTGAGTTTCAAACCTTCAAACAGATGCCAGAGTGATCTCTGAAAGAGGGAAATTAATATACAGCAGTCCTCTTCTCAAACTCCTCAATGACTATTCCACTTCCATAGAATTCAATCTAAACAATTCACCATGGTTCTGGTGTTCAATGTCAGTGAACTCATTTTCTACTACTTTGTATTTTTCTGAACTTATCTTCTGCTACCCTCCCCTGAATCAGTCTTCTCTATGTTCTTGCTTCCCTCAAAAACACACCAAGCTTATTCCAACTTCAGGTGTCTTTCACTTGCTGCTCTCCTGGGCTGAGAACTTCTTGGCTTATATTTTGCATAGCTTATTCAATCATTTTATTCAGGCCCCTATTCATATGTCAGCTCCAGAGACAGAGTCTCCGGGACCCTATTTAAATTGGCCACATCCATTTCCCTTCATATATATTATCATTTTATGCCTTTACAATGCTTTATTTTATTAGAACCATCAAATCTTATATTTATATTTATTTTTTCATTTGTAAGAATCTAATGTATGCTTTAGAATGTGAGTTTTATAAAGGCATGGAGGTATTATTGATGTTTATCACTATATTTCTAGGACCCAAGATAATGCCTAGAGCATAAATTTTTGTTGGATAAGTAAATGAACTAAGGCTATTCTATAACAAAGGAAACACAGTAGACTTAAAAATTTACATCAGTTTGTACTCAAATGTACTTGGATAAAAATAAACATAATCCATTTGTTTCTGATGGTAACATATTTTGCCCTTGTCTACAAAGTATATTTTGGCTAAATATAATTATTAGGATTTTAGAATGCAAGTAACCTTTTCTCCTTCCCGGGTTGGATGTTGAAAGAGAAAACATGCAAGAATCATTGGTGAAATGGAGAGTAAAACATTGAAGTCATTAATAACTTTAATCAACATCCTAAAATTTCTATTCCTAAATTCTGAGAAAACTCAGATTGGAGGACATGACTTGAGTAAGAGGCTGAAGTGGAGGTCTCCTACCTACATATTTACTCTATATGGTGTGTTAAAAAGAAAAACTTCAGCTGAATTAAATTTAAAGGAGCTTAATTGAGCAATGAAAGATTCACAAATTGGGCAGCCCCCAGAAACACAGAAGATTTAGTGGGATTCCAGAGCAGCCACATGGTGGAAGAAGATTTATAGACAAAAAAAAAAGGGGAAATGACATACAGAAATCGGAAGTGAGGTACAGAAACAACTGGATTGGTTACAGCTTGGCATTTGCCTTTTTTGAACACGGTTTTAACAGTTGGCTGTGTTTTGTTGGCTAACACTCAGTGATTGGCACAGATGTGGGCTATAGTCTGTTTACATCTCCACTTGTTATAATTCATGATGTACAGAAAAAACCTTTAGGCTGAACTGAAACATGTAAGAAGGCAGCTTCAGGCTAAACTTGATTAACAGGTGAGACCTACATTTACAAATGTTTCTAAATTATGATTTTGTTGGTAGAGCAAAATACTCTAAGACACACCTCACATACTCAATAACCAGAAGATCAAAGAAAACTGTCAGTTTCTGCCCAAGAAAGACCTGCCAATGTCAAGCCTTTCACTCTCCCTGCAAACATGTAATATGCTCCCACTTCAATCTTATTTTCAGAAGATAATTTCACATGCTAATTTATAGAGAAAAAGCATTCATATAACAGAAACTCCCTCAAAATTATTTTTACTAACTCCCCACATCTACGTGTATATTTTTATACCTACCCTATTCTTAAAGTGGAGAACGTATTCCTTCTCAAGTAAATTACCCAGGTTGTGGTCTGAATCCCTCTCCCTCTTGTTTCCTGAGGAGACTTGCCTCATCATTTAAGCCATCCTTGCTAATTTCAGTCATTCTCTCTCTGCTAGATTCTTCCTACATCCAACATGTTCTCCAATATGTTCAAGTGTATCTAATATTGAAAACGAAAGTTAAACTAACTTGTTTGCAAAATCCCTCTTCCAGATACCATCCGATTTTTCCTCCTTTACAGTCAAACTTATTCTAAACAGTTAATTTTGTCTGGGAACAGCGGCTCACTCCTATGATCCCAGTACTCTGCAGGGGCAGAGGCCAGGGGATTTTGAGGCCAGGAGTTTAAGACTAACCTGGGCCTCATAGAAAGACTCCATCTCTGCAAAAAAAAAAACTTTCAAAAATTAGCTGGGCATGGGTGGCATGTACCTGTAGTCCTAGCTACTCGGGAGCTCGAGGCAGGAGGATCACTTGAACCCAGGAGTTCAAGGCTGCAGTGAGCTACTACTGTGCCACTACACTATAGCCTGGGCAAAATAGCAAGACCCTGTCTGTCTCTGTCTCTGTCTCTCTCTATATATAAATATATATTTTTAAATATATATATATTTTCTCACTCATCACTCATCTGCTACTCTAATCTGGTTTAAACCCCTTTCGCTTCATCAAAGATCTTGATGAAGTGATTGAATCCTATGGGCTTTGATTACTCCTTATGTCAGTAAGTTACCACTGGTTTTCCTCTCCCTTTTTCTTACAACCATCTTTTTCTTTCACTTCTGTAATACCAGTTTACCTGATTTTTCTTCTATTTTTCTGGTTTCTTCTTTTTCATCTTCCCTTGAGACTCATCTTTCTCTACCAAATTAATAAATATTGTTTCTCAGGTCTCAGCCCTACACCATCATCTTAGTCTGTGACCTTTCCCTCACATGATTTCAGCTACCCTCATGATTTCAGTTATCCTGTTTACACTGGCAATTCCTAGATGTGTATCTCTACAGACTTGTTCTGTAAGCTTCAGAAACCTATATCCAACTAGTAATTCGGCACCTCCACTCTGGTGAGACAAATATGTCCAAAACGAAACCCATAACAGTTTTATTCCTAAAACCTGATCCACTTCTGTAGCTTCCAATGCAGTAATGCATCATAGCCATTATTCTGCAAGCCAAAGATCTAAGGGGCATCTATGAAATCTCAGTGTCTCATTCCCCATAGAAGTCTTATTATTTATACCTCCAAATTACTCCCAAATCCACCCACATCTATTTCCACTACTCTTACCCTAATTGAAGCTGCCTACACATTTCTCACTGGGAAAACTGCAGCAGCCCCTTAACTCGTCCCATCACATCCACTTTTGCTTCATTCCAATTTGTTTTTCATGTTGCACCCAGGTGATCTTTTCAAAATTAAAACCTAATTATGTTTCTTCTTACTTGAATTCATTTTCAAAGATTTCTCAATTACCCTCTGGAGAGAAAACAGAATCACTATTGGCTAATAGAGCTTCACTCCTAGGGTTGAGGAAAGGTCCTGAAGCACATGGGTTACTATTAGCTGAGCAAAAAGAACATTCTCTTATTCAGGAAGAGGAGGATTGACAGCCAACACTGTCTGCTACCCTACCATTTAGTGAGGAACCCCTCTGAAAACATCTACTGTACTTTGCTTGGTGGCTATTCAAGTGGTTACAGATGGACATATGTAACCAATTTTCATTGACAAGAACAACCTTTTGTGGGATTACTAGTGACACTGAAATGGCCCACACTTTTAAATAGTTCTTCTGAAAGCTGACCACTACAGTCACAGCTAGGACACAAAATGCATTCCACCACCTAACCGGATTGCCTTTATTTCAAATAGCACTTCCCTGTCCTGGAAATGTAAATGGTCCACAAAGAGCGGCTACATTTCTTTATTGTTAGTGTGCTTGCACCTTTTTATACGACAGCTCTAGTCATTCAGCTTTCTCTGCCTATTTCCTTGTTTTCCTACTGACTCTATTGCGCACACCACAGCATGTCATTTCTCTCACTTTCTGTTTGTTCCTCACTGTTTCTCCTTTTCCTATAATGCATTCCAGACACATATCTCTGTGTCCTCAATATATGCAGAAACAGCATGAATTCCAATCATCAAGACAATAACAAAACCTTAGAACAGACAAAAAGAACATCCTTGCAATGGTGTCTTGTTTACTGAGTTGGTGGTTTGAATAGACTCTGCAGGGGATTATCTCTATAAAGCTATTGTACATGATATTGAGTTTTAAGGTCACTAAACAGTATGATTGACTGTAGATAAATTGAACCAGAGATGAACTTTTTTTTTTTTGCCTTTCCAATCCATATTCTTTTTTCATATTCTATTTTTCAGTACCACTCCCAACCAACCATTGCCCCACTTCTGGATCTCACAGCTTTAAAGGGTCCAGGCCATAGCTCCCTACTGAGCCTTTACCTCTGAATTTTGTGTGTCTATCTATGGCCAGTGGCAGGTCTCTGGATTTTGTGTATCTCTATGGCCAGCCATGAGATCCACCTATGATATAACGTTTGGCAATATATATGTAAACTTATCAAAAATTACTGGCTATGCTTCATTTAACCCCTAATATCTGAATAAGATGAATTAAATAAATTTGATGTATTAAGTCAAGATTATCTATGAGTTATTTTAATAGCTTTCCAGATTATGTTTTCGTTTTAACAGCAGGCCCTTAAAAAATAACCCAGTGACCTATATATAAATTTAAAGTGCCCTACTGTGGTCAATAAGTCTTACATCACATAGGGAAGAGAGTGGTCATAGCTACTGGAATCCAGAGGCAGGTCTCAGAAATTTGCTTTAGTCATGTGTGAGTTAAAAAATTGTGTAACTACCACCATGCTACAGAGTGAGTGTGGAACCTGGTAGTCAACTTTGCACATCACATTTTGTACTAGTAAGATTATGTGGATAAGAGACATAATAAACACAAACTGAATAAGGTAAATCTGAAAAGTAGATTCACATTTCAAAAAAGGAAAATTGAGTTAGTACCTGCTAAGTATGCCATTTTCTTAAAGAAACTAATAATAATTTAAGCATATTTTAATAGATGTAAATTAACTTTTAATATGAATACATTGGCTAAAGTATTAGTTACTCTTTAGGGGAAAGTAATGATAAGAAAGGGACATGACAGAAGTTTCTAGGGTCTTGATAATATTCTGTGAAATTTCATAGAGCTCTATTTTATAATTTGTGTGCATGTGCACAAGTGTGTGTATAGACATATATTTAATTTACATTTTTTTAATATGTCAAGAAATTTGAAGTGATATTTTTTAAAGAAGTTTGTCTCTTTTCCATGTAGGCCTATTCATTCTAATTTTGTATTTCTTTTAGTCTCTGTATTCAACCTGTGAGTGGTCAATAACCAACTTTAGCAGGTTTGCTGAACTAAAAAAAAAAAATCAATAAAATACTCAGTGGTAAATCTGCCCAGACAGGATAAGTTCATAAATCATTGCAACCTCTCTGCCCATGAGGCAGCGTCAACATGGATCAGTGATAAGAACCACTTATATCTGAATGCAGTAAAAACATTGATACTAGACCTAAAGTGTTCAAGGCTCCTCTATTTCTTCCATTACAAGTGAGGGTAAAAACCCAAGAGCCAGACAAATTCATAGGAATTGAGAATTTCAAAACATTTTAGAGATCATTAATCACAACCCTTTCATTTCATAAATGACTAAATAGTAACCAAGAAATTAAATAACTTGTGTAAGGAGTCTCCCAACTTTGTGACAGAAATAGAATCAGACCTCAAGTCTCCCTCTTCTCAAGTCAGCACAGTTTCTGAGTTTCCTCTCCCCCAAACCAAAGAAAGCTCTTAACACATAGTTTCCCCTTATCTGCAGGGGATATGTCCCAAGACCCCAGTGGATGCCTGAAACCACAGATAGTATATACAGGGTTTGGTACTATGTGCAAATCTATTTTTCCTTCCTCGCAATTTCATGGCTAGAAGATTCATTCTTACCGAGACTTTAGCAACTTCACCATAAGATTTTTTTCTTTATTAAATTTAGAACTTTTACCTTTTTGGTTAAAAGAAGCACTTTTATGGCTTCTCTTTGGCATATACAAATTTTCAGCATGACTAATCTTGTGCTTTGGGTAATTTAATTTGAGTAATTTTAGGTAATTTAAGTAAAATAATAGTTACTTGATTATAAATACTGTGATCCCTCAACAGTCTATCTGATAATCAGGAGGGCTACTAAGTGACAGGCAGATTGTGTATGCAGCATGAAGACACATGTCCCAGGTGGGACGGAGCAGGATGGCAGGATGGTGTGAGACTTCAAAATGATATTCAGAAAGTTGTGCAATTTAAAACTTATGAATTGTTTATTTTTGGATTTTTCCATTTAAGGGAAGACCAATGTATGTGTGTATATGTGTGTATGTACATATTTTCCATGTATTCCCACCATATTCTTTTTTGAAAATAAAATGCTTCAGCTGCCATGGAGTTTCTCTATTAATTACTCTTCAAATAACATCTCTAAAATTGCTTCAGAATCATTTAGCTATTACAATGTGTATAGGTCAACTATTAAATTGTGGCTTCATTCATTAATTGACATTATTGAGTATCTAGTTTATGCCACACACTGCAAGTAGTGTTGATACTCAGAAATAATCAGGGAAATGGTATTTGTCATTGTAGTACATTAGGTCAATTGAGGAAACAGATAGATATTAAAATATTTATCAAAAAAGAAGTGCGTGTAATAAAGCATTTGACTCCATTTATGTTTGACTGCTGACAGCTTTTGAAATGTACCACTTTCTCTTCCCTTTCTGCCCTACATCTGGGCAAGCAGGTAAGAAAGCCCCAGCGCTCCCCACTTTGGTTCCAGTGGGATACACCCATACCACCTCTGACACACACACACATTAGACATACATATATACATGAAAATTGCCAAGAAGAAAATAGACTTCATTTTTAGCAACCACCCAATTATTCCAGAGTATTTTTGAGTACCTCCTATGTGCTGGAAACAGTACTAGGAGGTATGGCAGTTAGACAGTAAACAAGACAGACATGGCCTCTACCTTCACAGAATGAAGGAGGAGATTAAAACAAATCATTACAGTGGAAAGATAAGTGTTTTAATAGATACGTACAGAAAACTGTGGGAGCTTATACATAGGCTAATAAGTCAAGTCTAGGAACTCATATCAGGCTTCCTAGAGGAAGTGATGTTCATTTATTTATATGTAGCTTTTAAGTTCAGGGGTACATGTGCAGGATGTGCAGGTTTGTTACATAGGCAAACATGTGTCATGGGGGCTTCTTGCATAGACTATTTCATCACCGAGGTCTTAAGCCTAGTATCCATTAGTTATTTTTTTTCCTGATCCTCTCTCTCCCCCCACCCTCCACCCTCCAATAGGCCTTACTGTGTGTTGTTCCCCTCTATGTGTCCATGTGTTCTCATTATTTAGGTCCCACTTATAAGTGAGAACATGCAGTATTTGGTCTTCTGCTCCTGCTTTAGTTTTCTAAGGATAATGGCCTCCAGCTCCATTCATGTCGCTGCAAAGAACATGATCTCTCTCATCAACTCAAATGTCCATCAATGATAGACTGGATAAAGAAAATGTGGTACATATACACCAAGGAATACTATGTAGCCATAAAAAAGGAGGTGATATTTAGACCAGGACAAAAAGGGTAAGAAGTGGAGGAAGGATAAGAGAGAAATGCAGTAACTCTTAATACCTCCTTCTCACTGCCCACCCCCACCACCCCTAGCTAAAGTTTATTTATCTCTTGGAATTTTGCAAAAGGAAATTTCCTGTAACAGTGTGGCGAACTGTTTTCCTGAGCTAGGAAGGAGGAAGGAATAGAGAAAGTCCCTAGTGGGCAAATGAAGAAAGAGCAGAAGAGGAATTTGAGTGTGCCCAAATTCAAAATATAATTTAAAACATTGCTTTAGAGTGATGTCAGTAAAATGGTGGAGTAGACAGCTCCAAGCTCTCATCTCTCCAGAGATTGCAAAAACAAGCAGAACAGTCAGAACCAATTTTTTCAGAACTTTGAGTAACAGTCAAAGGTTTATTGCAACCAAAAAAAAATGGTGGGAAAGCTTGGTAGCATTTTTACTTGCTTTTGAAAAACCCCATCTTCTAATATCATTTAGAAGAGGAAATCTGGTATTCACAGGTGGCAACTAGAAGGAGCAGAGCAGATCTGATTCACAAATGATTGTGTCTGCTCTAATTTGGATGGGCTACATAAAGAGCTGATGCAAGGTGTTCATCTCTATATTACCTAATTTAAAACTCAGGCCAAAAAAAACAGTGGACATTGCTCAAAAGTACTGAAAACTGAACGAACAACCATCAGTTGTGTGGAACAATAATGTTTTGACAATATAGTCAAAGCATTATTATCTTTGTGACTGTCTAAGGCCTGTATCAAGTGAGATTTATCCTAGGAATGCAAGAGTGGTCCAACAAAAAATATAATCAATGCAATATACCACATTATTAGAAAGCAGGAAAAACACCCACATGATAATTTCAATTGATGCAGAAAATACATTGGCAGAATCCAACACCCTTTCACAATTAAAACATAAACTGGAAAACTAGGAATAGACAGGACCATCTTCAACATGACAAAGGGCATTTATGAAAACTACACAGCCAAAGTAATACACAACAGTAAAAGACTGAAAGCTTCTCTCCTTAGATTAGAACAAGGCAAGGATGTCCACTTTTGCCACTGTTATTTAACATTGTACTGAAAGTTCTAATTGTACCCATAACTTATACCATATACAAAATTATGCAAACTGTTCAAAACTGAACTGTTGGTTCAGTTTGTAGTTTTTTTTTTTAATCAGTGTCTACTGTTTTTCTGGCCTGAGTTTTGAACCTAAACATAAAAGCTAAAACCATAAAATTCTTTAAAATACATAGGGATAAATCTTTATGACCTAGGATTTGGCAATAACTTTGGCAATAAATTCTCACCTCAAAAATGCAAGCAACAAAAGAAAACACATAAATCTGACTTTGTTAAAATTGAAAACTTTTGTTCGGCAAAGGACATTACTAAGAAAGTGCAAATACTACCTACAAAATGGGAGAAAATATTTGATGTCATATATCTGATGAGGATTCAATATCCAAAACATATAAAGAACTCCTACAACTCAACAATGAAAAGACAAAGAAAATTAAAAATGGGCAAATAACTTAAAATATTTTAACTCCAAAGAAAATATACAAACAGCAGTAAACACATGAAAAGATGTACAACATTATTAATTATTAGGTAAATGCAAATAAAAACCACAATAAGATACCACTTTACACCTACTAGCATGGCTATAATAAAATATGAAAGGGAAAATAGCAAGTAATGGCGAGGAGGTAGAGAAATTGGAACCCTCATATTTTGCTATTGGAAATGTAAAATGGTATAGCCACTGTGGAAAACAGTTTGGCAGTTCTTCAACAAGCAAAACATGGAATAACTATTTGACACAGCAATTCTGCTCCTAGATTATACACCAAAGAGTTGCAAACAAGGACTCAAACAGATATTCTTACATCAATGTTTTGTACCATTACTCACAATAACCAAAGGTAGAAACAACCCAAGCGTCCATCAACAGATGAACAAAATGTAGTATGAAAATATGATGGAATATTATTCTGAAATAAAAAGAAATTAGTTCTGATATGTGCTGCACCATTAATAAACCTTGAAAACATGAAATATGCTAAGTGAAATAAATCAGGCACAAAAGGACAAATATTGTATAATTAAATAAAATATATAGAATATGCAAATTCATAGAGACATAAAATATTGGGTACAAGAGCCTGGGAGGAAGATGAATAGGAGAGTTATTACTTAATGGGTATAGAGTTGCTATGTGGGGTGATGAAAAAGTTTTGGAAATGGTAATGGTGATGGTCGCTCAACATTGTGAATGTACTTAATGCTACAGAACTGTACATTTGAAAATGATTAAAATGATAAATTTTATGTTACTTGTATATTATCACACTAAAATATTCAAAATAAAAACATAATGGGTTTATACTGTAAGAAATGTACATTTTTTAAGATCAATAGTTAGAGGAATAGGTCTCCTTTCAAAGTCTTTGTCTTCTTACTTGAAAAGTGTCTTCCCAATGTACACAGAAGCCCAAATGCAGTAGACAGTGTGTTTGGAACATAGAATATATGTAAATTCTTTAAAAACTATATAAAGTATTTCAAAAAGAGATGACTAATTCAATGTAGGCGGACAGTTAAATAAAATATGTTGAAAATATGTAGGTCTCTGAGAACTCCTTAACAAGGTCTTAGGATCAACACACTGAAAGGAATGTTCTAAGTTTTTGTATTGTCCTTTTAAAAAAAAAAATAATATCCAGATGCTCATTTTGAAATAAAACTATTTATTATTAAAAAACCAGTAAAAAGATAAATTCTCCAAATACTGTATTTCCAAAAGTGTGCTTGGCCAACTATTTCCTATAAAATTGCACTTACAAGAAAATCACAAATATAGTTATTATTTCTTTGTTATAAATTGTAATACGATTTCTACGTGCTATCACTTAAAATGTAAAGGGCTTTTTAAAAAATGTTCAATACTGATACCTTAATTTTTTACGTTCTTTTCTTCTTTTTAATCTATAAATACATTTTGATACTTTTTGAAATATACGTTTTAAATGTTTCTCTTGAAAAAACTTGTACCTAAACAATAAACACCGTGTATCTATACACTACAACACATTTGAGAAAAATTAATATCAGCAAAATCATACTATTACTGAATATCTTTTCTCTGTGGCTATATCACTTAACTCTATGTGTCTTTATGATTCTTATTTATAATAACGGCAATATAATTTTGTAAACCTATTTTGTAAGGTAATTAAAAAGAATTTAAATTATGGCAAAACCACTGATAATCAGCATATAATAAGATGTTTGATGAAATATGTAAACTCTCCTTTTTTTAATCAATATTTATAAAATTGTAGCTTTTTTTCTTCTTTTTTAACTTTCCTGGTCTAGTAAATTTGGCAAGAAAACAATAAACAGATTTTATTCAATCATTTGTCAACACAGTAACGAATTCCCATATTGCTTCAGGATGTAAACCATGTGTCCTGTGAAGGATTCATTGACAAATGCATTTATGCTTTTCTGCTCTATTGACAAGCTTTTAAACATAAAGAATTGGTCTCTATGATTTATATTCTGATTTCATGTAGGAAGTAGGCTATGCTAGATAAAAATTTAAATACACTTTTGATGCTCGAGGCTAAATGTACATATCCATCTAAATGAAATTGTGCCTTCCCATTAGAACAGGTATGAATAAAACCTAATACAATATTAAAAGATTCACAATTAAGGCAAATATTTATATTTATATAAATATGCATATTTTGAAATAGTTCAATAAAGATAGCTAGATGGAAAATGATAAAGATTAAATTATCTACAATTTAATCCAGTTATAAAATATTAAGCATTAATCTATGATAATGTTCACAGAGAGAGGAAAAAAATGTGTCTCTTCTGCAGCTCCCTCTTAGGATTGAAGTGTCATTTCTCCAGAAGACCCCTTCAGATAAACATTCATTTCACATTGGACAGCACTGTCTTAAGACGTGTTAGTAATTTTAGGCCTCATACCATGAAGATTTAAAATTTTTTTAAAAAAACTTGTTTCCTCTCTCACTTAAGCATTTACATGTAGACAGTTTGAGACTAGCACAGTGATTCTGGTGTTGAATAAGACAGAGTCAACTTCAGCTTTTTAATCCATTCTCCCTAGGATGTGATTCTAATCCTCATAATCTAAGATCATTCTCCACCTTTCAAATCCATAATGAATACACCAGGATGGAGGAAATGGGGATAAAAGGACCCATTCCTCTCTTTGGGACATAACCCAGGACTTCTACAAGTCACTTCTGCTCACACACTAGTGTCCAGAACATAGGCATAGGGAGATGCTAACTAAGAGGAGAGGCAAAGGGAAGTATCTTTATCCTGAGTATTTTTGTGTCTAGGTAAAAATTACAAATTCCATTAAGGTATAAAAAGATAATAGATACTGTGGGGAAACCAGTAGTCTTAGCCAGTCCACTCCTTTTGTCATTCGATTATCAACGTGTATTGTTTCTTCTACAATAAAAACATTTTCGCTTTCTTTCTAAGAGAGATAAGCACCAAGCCTCATCACCTTAGTGCATCCAGCAAGAAATCCAGGATCCCGTAGTGATTCTTCTCTCTACAAATGTAGCTCTTTGTGGATAATTAATTTATAAATTAAACTTATCTGCTCCCAAAACAAATATAGGATAAGAGTTCACATTTAGAAAAGTGTCATGGCAATTTATACATCCCACTGGACAGCAGTAGCAAACATGTTCTTTTCTGCAAGTAGAATCAATTTCTTTATAAGTTACTTCGCAGCTGCTGGTTCTACTTTCTGCAGATAACTCTTTTGCCTATCACCTTCCATAGCTATATTTGACAAGAACTTCAAAAAAGAATGTATTTTTAGGGGCTTTTACAGGCCACTTACTGCTGGTGCAGATTTAGGAATCAGACATTGTCTTAAGCCAGGCTTGTAGTGTCATTGGCAAGCAAGTCCCTCAAACACTTGATAGAGTTGAGATTTGTTTCCAGTTAACTCCATGTGCGAATTATCACAGGCAAAGTTATCATCTAGCCACAACTTTTTCAACCTCAGTACACGTACTGGCCTCTGTATTGCACTCATTCCACTCCATCCCAACTCTCTTGAGGTTCTCTAAAAGTACAATTTTGGCTAGTGTTTTAGGCTAGGTCTTCCCTACACCCAACACAGAGCCCAAGATTTTTCTTATGTTCAAGTAGCTTATTTGGAAATCTGTTTGCAAAGTGCAAACATGAGAGATTGGAAATTGAATAGGGAAGGAAGAAAAGACAGATACACAGATAGATATAGATGTATATCCTATTAGTTTTGTTTCCTTGGAAACCCTGACTAATACAGGTACTAACAGGCAAAGTGAGTTAAATCTTACACAGAAAGGCTGGAATCAGAAGTCAAGTTAGGAGGAGGTGAAGCACCTGCAGAGGTGTTGTCACAATGGTAAAGTACTATCCTTAATCTGATCTTTGCTGCTGAATTAGCTCCCATTGTCTTGTCTTAACTTTTAAAGGAAAATGCTTGAAAAAGTTTTTAGGCCACAGTGATATTTCCTACAAAGACTACTGTTTTGTAGCCATGGCATGTAACTGCTTCCATTCCACGTAGCATAACAGTCAGATTTTTGTGCCCTGAATGGTCCTGACTTATCATACTCTCAATCAGTTTCAATTACAGGCTGCAGGCAGATAGCACCTCCTTTTATCAAAGCAATATTCCCTTTCATCTCCGCTTGCAGGTTGGCTAGCTCTAGCCTGAGTTCATCTCACTTCTGAAGAACTTGTTTCAAACAATAAGAAACAGCAAGACAACAGCTTTCTGAAGATTTCCTTCCATATAGGGAATAAGAGTTAAATAAGCCCATTGCTATCCTTTAAAATGTGAGAAGCAATAGTTTTACTAACAACTTTGCCACAGCGTAACAAATATCACGAATTCTTCAAAACACTGTATGAGTTACATAGGGCAGGGCCTATACGTAAAGAGAAGAGGTCTAATGTTTGGAAGAGGAGAACTAACTAATACAGGAGCCCCAGATGAAGTGATTAGTGAAGTCAGAGGGAAACTAAAAGAGAGTGGCATCGAAGTGATAGGTATCAAGTGCTTCAAGGAGGGAGAAAGTGACTGTGCCAAATGCTTATAACAGGTTGGAAAGTGAGTTCTTAGAGCTGACTACCAGGTTCAGCAATGAGATAGCCATGAGTGACAATGATGGGAAATGCTTCTTATGAAAGTAGATTCCTAGGCTCCTTGTTTTTTAGGGGATATTCATTAATCCCATGGAAACTTTCTACACTGTCTCCTGAAATATAACAAAAAGAGTCCTTGCTTTTCAGCATAATTTGAAACAAACACTTCTACTAATAAGACTAGTAAAAAAGAAAAAAAAGGCCAATATTAAACCTAATGGCATTATTTACTCAAAATATAACTTCAAAAGACCTATATGTGTAAAATAAACTATTGCTAAAAGAGACATTTTTTAAATCAAATATTTGCCAATAACAGGAAAGGGCATCAAGTTTTAATTCTTAAAATTATAAAATCATTAATATAATCTAGTTTAATGAACCAAGTCAATATTTAGAAAACAGAAATTTTAGTAATAAATAATGTTAACTTTATGAAGAAAGTCAAGCAAACATGAAACTAAATTCTGATTTTCTAATATTCCTCTAAGTAGCTCAAGAATATTGTGCTATTCACAATTTTTCCTTTAATCAAAAACTAAAAATAATTATCATCACTCAGTATTTGGAGAGGAGGGAAGGGAAATGTGTTGGGAGACTAATCAAAGAACTGAGGATTGGATACCTTGTTGACATTGTATACATATATAACTCTATATTACATTTATACAATTACATATATTATGAAAAATTATGGTAGACTTTGAATTGGGCCATTAAATGAGTATGATTTAAGCAGTTAGTAGATCTGCCCTACTACATGCAAATAACTTCCCTGGTCTCTCTACTCTTTTTATGTAAAGGACAGACCAGTTTTTCCAAGGGGAATTCTTAAACTCATTAGATATGTGGTATTCATTATAATTAGTTTCACTTAACACCACAAAAAGGACTTGTTCACAGGCTATTTTACCCTCTTCTTCCTCTCTAGTTGATTAGCTGTGTTCATTTTTAAATGGAAGATATACTCTAGATATTTAAATGTAGGGCATCTCTCCCTTTCAAATCTCAGAAAGAAAGGCATGCTTCAGTTTCTGTATGGAGAGCTCTGATATCCTGTCCCTCTTGTGAAGGAGGAAGGAATGCCGCTTCCCCTATTCTTCTTTGTCTTCCTCCTTTCAACAGCATTGAGCCTCTCTACGCTTTTTCAGATCAAAAGATAGTTTGTCTCATTCCAGGACATTCAATATTTATACTTTACAAAGTAAATGGAAAAGGATAATATTTAATAATAAAAATAGAATAGTGATGGTATTAGTTCTTAAATAGTATAAAATGTAGATGCCTTACTACATCAGAAAGCCTTCTTAGGACTTAAGGTTCAATGAATGGCAGTTAATGAAAATGTTTTGGCAACTTGACAGTTTTACCAACAGGTTTTGATTCATGATGATGAATCTAGAGCATATACTGGTGCTAGGCATTGAAAATTAAATAATATCAAGACATTTTAAATTGCCTTATTTACATCTTAAAACTCACCTATAAAGGAAACTATACTTTTACAATTTATAACAAGAAAATCATGGAAACGTGCATATATGCAAAGAAAATGTAATTACAATACCAACTAATGTTAACTAGTCACTTTGTTAATTGCCTCATGCGTACTCAGCCCTAACATGCATTTCTTTCATTAAATCTGAATATTAATAATTTTAACATGTCCATTTTATAAATGAAGAAATTAAGGCATAGAGAGATAAATGATTCACCTAAGGTCACCTTGTAAGGAGCAAAGTTAGACTCAACCCAGATGTCTAATTCTAATTCCCATGCTTTTAATCACTATGATACACTGCAGTTGATTAAAGTTAGAATTTGAATTTGAAAACTTAGATTCCAGTTTCTAGTGTGACTACATCACCATGCATTCATGTTCCAGGAAAAAAAATTAATATGTACTGACATTAATGACAATATTACTTTAGAGGAACGTTCCAGAGAAAAAGAATACTATCCAAATGTATTTTTAAAGCTTATTTTTTTGGGGTTTGACTTTGTTTCCTAAGTTTATCACACTAGAATAAAAGGAAAAACAAAAACTAAAAAATTAACAATCATGGGTTGTGTGTGTGTGTGCATGTGTGTGTGTGTGTGTGTGTGTATGTATGCTTACAAGAAAAGACAAGATTTGCAAGAAAAGACAAGATCTAAGTTTGCATTTGTGCAAATAGTAAATACCTGGAAAACCAGCGATCTCCAGTACAATTAACTACCACTTTCCTTTTGTTATGAATCAAACTGAGTGTATTTAAAATTTACTGCATTTCAATTGAGGAAAGTATGTCTATGTTAGAATATTTATGAATGTAAAGTATGTTCATTCAGAAAATTTAGTAAATATCAAAAAATAAAGAAAATAAAAATTATCTCTTAATGTCCACAATACATGCTATTATTGCCAACATATCATATATACTTGTATGTATAAACATACATATACATAAATGATACATGTACATATTATACATTATAAATATATATTTATATTTTTAGATATTAAAGTTTTATATACTTATATATATTAAAATCATATTTATTGTGATTTATCTTATTTTTAGGATATTATTAGATGTGATTTTTTAAATTTCTATGTAAGAAATCACTTTTAGAGATGACTTTTAATAACTCCTATATACGATCTAGTTATGAGCCCTCATGAAGATGTGTTTCAAATGGGAAAAAATAAAATTTTCTAACTAAATACCTGTGGTATAGATCCCAAGGAAAATAAAATAGTCAGTGGCTCTTGATCCACAGGAGCAAATGCCTAAAGAGCTCTAATTTTTTAGGTTGGTTGAGCCATGGACAATGGTTATCTGTGGGAATAAATTATGTGAACACTAAGAATTGCAACGCTGGGAGTCCAGTGAACCTTGGTCATTCGATAAGAGATAAGCAAAACTCTGGAAGCTCAATGTGGTGGGTGCACAAAGATCTGGATCAACAGGGGGGTCTCGATCAGTGGATAGCATTACCTAACTGGTGTGGAAGACCATATGTCTGCAGCTACCAATGTGGTATCAATAAGCAGTGACAGGAAGGACCTGATCAGAGTTCATCCTTGTCACACTTAAGCAAATGTTGGCCTGCTACCCTCTTGAAATGCATAAAGTCCAGAGTTTCAAAATCATTCAGAAGAGAAGGTTTCCACAAGAGAGGAATATTGACATACACAATCTGGCAAATAGGAACCTGAGTTCATTTTAATGTGAAAAACAAAAGATACATGATGGTATTGCCCTCTCAAGTTAATGAACAGTTCAGAAAACTTATCATATAATGCTTTCACTAATATCATTTTTAAGAAAATTTTGCTACATTTTGATATTAAAAAGTATCTGTTAGTCTACACTTTATTGGTGGTAATGTAAAGTAGCAGAGCCTTTATGGAAGACAGTATGGAAGTTCCTCAGAAAAGTAAAAATAAAACTACCATATGATCCAGCAATTCCACTGCTGGGCTTAGATCCAAAAGAAAGGAGACCAGCATATTAAAGAGATGCCTGCACACTCATGTTTATTGCAGCAAGATATTCACAATAGTCAAGGTATGGAATCAACTTAAGTGGCCATCAATAGATGAATGAATAAAGACAATGTGGTATATCTACACAATGGAATACCATTCCACCATTAAAAAAGAATGAAATTACATCATTTGCTACAACATGGATAGAACTGGAAGACATTATGCTAAGTGAAATAAGCCAGGTACAGAAAGACAAATATTGCATGTTCTTACTCAAATGTGGGAGCAAAAGAAATGGTATCATGGAGGTAGAGAGTAAGAATGGTGTTTAACCAGAGTCTGGGAAGGGAACAGCAAAGGAAGGAATAAAAATAAGTTGGTTAAGGAATACAAAAATACAGTTAGATAAAGAAATATAGTCCAGTATTTAATAATATAGAAGGGAAATTTTAGTTAATAATTTATCGTATATTTCAAAATAGCTAGAAGTGAAGAACTGTAATTTTTCTGACACAAATAAAAGTTAAATGTTTGAGGTGATGGATATCCCAGTTCCTCTGATTTGATCGTTGTACATTGTACACAGGTATCAAAATATCACATATACCCCAAAGTTATGTACAACAATTACATATCAACCTAAAATTCTACATTTTATTACTTATATGAGCTGCTGAGGAGGACACAAACTGACTAACGAATGACTGAAGGGGTGGTAACCTATTTCAGAAAAGGTGGCAGCAAAGGCCTTTAGGAGGAGGCGACATTAAAGCTGAAACAAAAGAGTAAGAAGCAAGATAAAGAGAAGGAATAAGAACATTACATGAAAAAACTAGCTACTAAAAAGCCCTGCAATGGGAAATCTTAGAGCGTATCTGGGTAAATAATCAAATACCCGCATGAAGGAAATGCAGACAAGATGCAGTTGGGAGGATTGATAGGGGCTAAAATCTACAAGGCTAAGGATTCTGATTTTATTTTAGATGCAAGTGAAAGCCATTAAATAGTTTTGAAAGAAAATAGTTGAAATGGTCAGATTTGTATGGTACATTACATAAAAATTTCTCAAAGTAGAACAAGGGAGAAATTGTGGTAGCATAGACTAAGATGATGACCATGAAAATGAAGAGAAATAAGAACATATATATTAGATATATATATATATATACACTTGAATATAGATTATAGAAAACTCACTGATGTATTCTACGTTAAATGAAAAATGAAAAAAAATAAAGAATAAAGCCTTATTCCTAGGTTTTGCTTTGAGTCAGTATACAGATCATGATGTCATTCATTGAGAGAGAAAAGATTTGCAGAATATCAAATGATATAGAGTGATCACCACAATACCTTAAAGACAAAGTATATATGAGTATCTACAAATATATCACCTCCCATGTAACAAAAAAAGGAAATGTAAGAAAATGGACATGTATCTGCTCATTTGTGCAAAAAGAAATGTAGAAAGGTAAACCAGAAATTAGTGCAATTGATTATCTACAGGAAGCTGACAGAAACTGGGCAGAAAGAAGAGTAGAATGAGAATGGAGTAGAAGGGATGAAAAGGAATGACATTTCTATTAGTATGCCTTTTTGTATAATCCTGAGATTAAAAAAATGGAAAATCGTACATTTCCAGGTAAATATTTAAAATCAAGCAGGATTTGGAAAGATCTCAAAATGGAACACAAACCATGACAAATTAGCCTAACTTGATTACAAACAAATAACAAAATTACATTGAAGTGCAGAAAAACTAACCTAAACTTTAGGAAACAGTGTCTTGACAATACACTTTTGAGCTTACACATACTGTAAGGCTAAAGACAAAAAGAATTGTACACAAATATTGTACTTGTGTGTTAATCCATTTTCACACTGCTATAAAGAACTACCTGAGACTGGGTAATTTATGAAGAAAAGAGGATTAATTGACTGAAAGTGCCGCAGGCTATACAGGAAGCATGCTGGGAGAAATCAGGAAATTTCCAATCATGGCAGAAGGATGATGAGGAAGAAAGCACCCTCTCCACATGGTGGCAGGAGGCAGAGAGAGAGCAAGGAAGTTCTACACACCTTTAAACAACAAGATCTTATGAGAACTCACTATCACAAGAATGGCTGGGGGAAATCTGCCCCCATGAGCCAATCACCTAACACCAGCTCCCTCCCTAACACTGAGAATTACAATTCAACATGCAATTTGGATGGGGACACAGAGCCAAACCATATCAACTTATTAATTTTTTTCACAATTCTTAAATTATTATGTGTATTCTAGGACTAAACAAGTAAGTAAATAGAATGTGGATCATGAGAATCCATTTCTCACTGTTAAAGAAAGAAGTATAAGGTATAAGGAAGGGGTCCAGTTTCAGTTTTCTGCATATGGCTAGCCAGTTCTCCTAACACCATTTGTTAAACAGGGAATCCTTTCCCCATTGCTTATTTTTGTCAGGTTTGTTAAAGATCAGATGGCTGTAGATGTGTGGCGTTATTTCTGAGGCCTCTGTTCTGTTCCATTAGTCTATATATCTGTTTCAGTACCAGTACCATGCTGTTTTGGTTACTGTAGCCTTGTAGCATAGTTTGAAGTCAGGTACATGATGCCTCCAGCTTTGTTCTTTTTGCTTAGGACTGTCTCAGCTATAAGGGCTCTTTTTTGGTTCCACATGAAATTTAAAGTAGTTTTTTCTAATTCTGTGAAGAAAGTCAGTGGTAGCTTGATTGGGATACCATTGAATCTATAAATTACTTTGGGTAGTATGGCCATTTTCACGATGTTGGTTCTTCCTATCCATAAGCATGGAATGCTTTTCCATTTGTTTATGTCCTCTCGTATTTCCTTGAGCAGTGGTTTGTAGTTCTCCTTGAAGAGGTCCTTCACATCCCTTGTAAGTCAGATTCCTAGGTATTTTATTCTCTTTGTGGCAATTGTGAATTGGAGTTCCCCCATGATTTGGCTCTCTGTTTGTCTGTTATTGGTGTATAGAAATGCTTGTGATTTTTGCACATGGATTTGGTATCCTGAGACTTTGCTGAAGTTGCTTATCAGTTTAAGAAGATTTTGGGCTGACACAATGGAGTTTTCTAAGTATACAATCATGTCATCTGCAAACAGAGACAATTTGACTTCCTCTCTTCCTATTTGAATACCATTTATTTCTTTCTCTTGCCTGATTGCGCCGGCCAGAACTTCCGATACTATGTTGAATAGGAGTGGTGAGAGAGAGCATCCTTGTCTTGTGCCAGTTTTCAAGGGGAATGCTTCCAGCTTGTGCCCATTCAGTATAATATTGGCTGTGGGTTTGTCCTAAATAGCTCTTATTATTTTGAGATACGTTCCCTCAATGGCTAGTTTATTGAGAGTTTTTAAAAATTAACTCAAGATGGATTAAAGACTTAAACATAAGACCTAAACCCATAAAAAACCCTAGAAGAAAACCGAGGCAATAGCATTCAGGACATAGGCATGGGCAAAGACTTCATGACTAAAACACCAAAAGCAATGGCAACAAAAGCCAAAATGGACAAACGGGATCTAATTAAACTAAAGAGCTTCTGCACAGCAAAAGAAACTATCATCAGAATGAACAGGCAACCTACAGAATGGGAGAAAATTTTTGCAATCTATCCATCTAACAAAGGGCTAATATCCAGAATCTACAAGAAATGTAAACAAATTTACAAGAAAAAGCAAGCAAGCCCATCAAAAAGTGGGCACGGATATGAACAAACACTTCTCAAAAGAAGACATTTATGCGGCCAACAGACATGAAGAAAAGCACATCATCACTGGTCATTACAGAAATGCAAATGAAAACCACAATGGGATACTATCTCATGCCAGTTAGAATGACGATCATTAAAAAGTCAGGAAACAACAGATGCTGGAGAGGATGTGGAGAAATAGGAATGCTTTTACATTGTTGGTGGGAGTATAAATTAGTTCAACCATTGTGGAAGACAGTGTGGCAATTCCTCAGGGATCTAGAACTAGAAATACCATTTGACCCAGCAATCCCATTACTGGGTATATACCCAAAGGCTTATACATCATTCTACTATAAA
The DNA here is from genome assembly GCF_000001405.40 of Homo sapiens. Taxonomy (NCBI): domain Eukaryota; kingdom Metazoa; phylum Chordata; class Mammalia; order Primates; family Hominidae; genus Homo; species Homo sapiens. The sequence continues at coordinate 78,503,387 of NC_000008.11, forward strand.
GACACATGCACACATATGTTTATTGCAGCACTATTCACAATAGCAAAGACTTGCAATCAACCCAAATGCCCATCAGTGATAGACTGGATAAAGAAAATGTGGCACATATACACCATGGAATACTATGCAGCCATAAAAAAGGATGAGTTCATGTCCTTTGCAGGGACATGGATGAAGCTGGAAACCATCACTCTCAGCAAACTAACACAGGAACAGAAAACCAAACACCGCATGTTCTCACTCATAAGTGAGACTTGAACAATGAGAACATATGGACACAGAGAGGGGAACATCACACACCATGGCCTGTCGAGGGGTGAGGGGCTGGGGAACGGATAGCATTAGGAGAAATACCTAATGTAGATGAGCGGTTGATGGGTGCAGCAAACATCCATGGCACATGTATACCTATGTAACAAACCTGCACATTCTGCACATACATCCCAGAACTTAAAGTATAATAAAACAAGAAAGAAAGAAAATAAGAAGTTACAAATAAAGAAAGAGTGAGAGAGGAGGGAAAAATAAACCCTGAGTTGGACTGGAATCCAGATATAAGTTTGAACTCATACTTTTATACAGATAATCATACAGATATCTATATATAAACATACATTCATATAAATAAATATAAAAACAGATGTTTATGTGTATATGTTAGTTTTGTCTGCAATTAGGTAACCTGGTTAGTAATGAATATAATTCATGCCAAGATGCTGGGGCTATGGGCTACAGGTGTGTGCCACTACATCTAGCTAATTTTTGTTTTGTTTTGTTTTTGTTTTTGTTTTTTTTGTATAGACGGGGTTTCGCCATGTTGCTCAGGCTGGTCTCAAACTTCGGGACTCAAGCGATTTTCCCACCTCGACCTCCAAAAGTGCTGGGATTATTTATAGGCCTGATCCACCATGCCCAGCCTGTAATTACTATTATATAGTTCAAGGAACCAGAACACCTTGGAGAAATAATGGATTAAGAACTGGGACAGGGAAAGTAAAAGATAGGACTGGAGCATTTTCTGGTGCAAGAAAGGAAAGTACTACTCAAAAAATTGTATGGCCCTGTAAAAAAAAACACACAGGAGATGATTTGAAGGAGTCCAATGATCAAATCTGGAACAATTTGAGCAATGATGTAATTAATAATTGTAATTGATTTTAACACAGAGAATAAAATAAATATCCATAAGTATACACTGATATAAATAATATGCAAATGAGGGGAAAGGAACAGTGCTTCCTTACAGTTAAATTAATAACTGTTGAAGGAATTATGAGAATAGAAAATGACCATTTGTGAAACAACAAAGTAACTGGTAGAAACAGGAATTATTGGCAGTTGCTAAAATTGGTATGGGAGGATGAAACAAGAAATAGAATAATCAAGCAATCCAAAATTATCTCCCCAGAAAAATGCATATTAAATGGTAAAATAATAATTTTGCTGCTATCCTTATAAACAAGTCATCCAAGTTAATACCACCCAGTAATAAGACATTTCTTGTATTCCCTAATATGGCACACTGAGAAGGGCATAACATCCTTTGGTGCTCCTGCCAGTTATCACATAACCTCAGTCTAACCATGAGAACATATCAAACAAACTCAAAGTGAATGAGATTCTACAAAATAACTGCCTAGGATTCTCCATAAACTCAAGGTCATGAAAGACTGAAAAACTATCCTAGATTGAAGGAGAATGAGGAGGTATAGCAAATACTGAGATAAGTGAACCTGGATATGAACCTAGACCAAGAGACAGTAGGCAGTATTTGAGTATAGTCTGTAAAGCAGTTAGCAGAATGGTATCAGTGCAAATTTTCTGACTTCCATAATTGTACTGTGGTTATGTAAAATATAAACACTTGAGAAAGCTGAGTAAAGGCTATATGGGAACTCATGCCTTTATGTATGAAGTGTTTTGGTAAATTAAGCTTAATAATACAGTTGGTAAAAACTTAGTTTGAAAATTTCTGAACCTCTTTTAATTTCTTATGAAGAGAAGCATCCTGTTTAGGAATATTACAAATGTGATGTAGAAGATAATATTTACAAAAGATTCAAAAGGTGTGGCAGAGGAAAATGTCAGCTTTGAATGATGGCTTTTCAAAACCTTATACAATTAAGTGTCATGATGAGTGGAATGCATGAACTACACGAATTTATGAGGAGTTAGAAAACCATAGAATTTTCTCACTGTAAAGACCCTTAGAATTTACTTTCTCAACTTCTTAGCTTCAATCTCTGCTGAAATATTAAGAGACAGGGAGTTTATAATTTTAAAATGTGGTCTATTTTATTTCCTGAAAGGTTCCAATCATTAAAATGTTCATCCTTTTATGAACTTAAGCCTGGCTCACTGGTCTAACTTCTTCTGTTTGAAATAGCCTAACCCTTTTTTCAAAGGACAATGCCTCAAATATTTTAGAGCTGCCACCTAGTTCCCATCTGGTCTTGTCTCATTTCATCTATTCCCAGTTCCTTTAGCTATTTCTCATTTATTTTAGATTCCAGACACATTATGGCATTGATTACTCTCTTTAGCATAACAACTCATTTGTCAGATATGGTATTTTAAAACTGAAAGAGGTTGTTTATTGTTATCTGTAGAAAATTCAAACATAGTATCTCCAATCAGGCAATAATTCTTCACCTAAAATGATTCATATACACCAGTTGACAAATAAAATAAAAAAATCCCAAAGGGTTTTATTCCTAAAGAGTTACAGTGTGCAGGTAATGTCAATTTTCTTTCCATGCATCAACAACATTGCCCTGTCACAAAGGAGAAGGGAACACTCCATTGATGTTGCCTAAGTGTGTTAGTATAAATATCGTACTATGAACTGGAAGTTAGATATTAGAAAGGATTCTTTTTTTGCCATAATACATGCATAATACAATTTTCCCTATTCTTTGAGCATTTCTCATCTTAATTACTCATCCATAAGCCCTTAAGCATGTTCCCTAACCTGCATCATAAATGTCAAAGTGGACTACTTTGCTTTGCTTTTTATGAAATTATTATGCTTACTAACCAGTATTTGAGCTCTTCCTATGGACAAATCATTCTAGCTAGCAAAGTGCAGAGGTTCAGAGCATAAAGTTTAAAGTGTAACACCTAGGCTCAAGCAAGTAACTTAATCTAACTAAGGTCTCATTTTCTTGTGTGTGAAGTGAGAATAATTGTAATATAAAGTGGATGGTAAAAAACATTTAGGTACTATATATTAAGAGCTTATTTGACTTGTGGCAGTAAGTATGTATGTACTAGTGCCAGCATGATGATGATGATGATGATGATGATGATGATGAGGATGATGATGATGATGATGAAGTTACCAGCAGGTGTACACAATAAGAACTGGTGACTAAGCCACAAGATTACCTCTGTGTATATTTCCTTCCTCAGGCTAAACTCCTCTGCTTTCTATCCCTTGGCTCCAACTCTTCAACTATTAAACACTTCACAAGGCAGCTTAGGTCCTCTCTTCTATGATGCTTTCCTTAACTACTCTTCTAGAATTAACTTAAAATGTGTTGTGTATACTCATATTATGTACAAAACTCTGCAGCAAAATTTATAACACTTTATTGCAATTGGTTTGTTCCCCATCGGATTGCAACTATTTTGAGGAAAGAAACTGGGTCTTATCCCTGGAATATAAAGTAGTTCCAAGCACACAGTAAGTGATCAATAGATAATGTTTTATAAATAAAATAGTAAATAAAAATTACTGATTGTTTTATGCTACTTCTTGCTCTCTAGGAGCCAAGTCACAAATGCTTAGTTAAGTGCATTAAAGATATTTTTTCTAATATGGTATAGAAAACTATTAATAAAACGTCAGACTTATTGATGTATGCACAATATCAAGGATGGGATTTCTCATAATTTGTATAATTCCACATGCAACCCTAGCAAGTGAAGATTAATCAATTGCGGGCTGCCTTGTATTTATATTTATATAATCTCAAGCTAATTTAAAGAAAGCCATCATATCCTACTAAGTTGAAAAGTTTGAGACTTTTAATGTAAAATAATGGTGAGACTAGCTTTTTTAATTCTGTATTCTCTTATTATAAGATAATATTAACATTTTAACTTATTTGACTATCATCATTTCCAAATTCAGTTAGTGGGGACCTTAACATAATAGCAAATTTGAAAACTAACAGAAGAGAGGTAAATGTCCAATGATTTGAACCTCTTTTGGTTAGTCTCCACATTTCTTTAAAAATAATTCCCGTTTACGACAATATCTACACTTTCAGTCTTTTTTCCTACTAAAAACAAGAAAAAAAAAATAATGTTGACAGTTCCGAAATCATCCACAAGGGGGCAAACTTACAACACATGCACAATGCAGGGAAAATTAGTAATAAACTGGATTCCTTGGAGAAAAAAAATGGAGTCATTAATGACATTAAGCCCATATTAGAAAGAAAACAATGCTAGTATAGCTCATTGAGGATAAGATTTTTGTTTAAGTTCTACTTTTTATTCCTATTTTCAATGCCAAAGGAGGTATGTATATCTGAAAGTTGGAGTCAAATGTAACAAAATCATATAAATGTCTCTTTAGTGATAAGGAAAGCACTTGAAAACACTGTAAGCTCTCTTGTACTTATTTCTATTCTGACAGCTTTAAATTTTATTTTTAAAATATATTTCTGAGATTACTTTATCAAAAATGTATATATCACCTAAGATGCTATCACCGTCTTAAGAGTCAAGAAATTACAGACAGGAATTCAACTAAAAGAAAAATGGAAAATTTCTTTACAACACAGTAAACTGAGTTCTAATTGCGTTTGCCCTTAACACACTGTTATGAGTCAGGGTTTTCAGCCCTTATGATTCATAAAGTTAAAATCAAGTATAAGACTATTGCTCACAGTCTAATGCTGTTCCCTGTTTACCCAGATCAGAGTCCGTGGTTCCTATTGGAATCATTCGCTGTATTCACTCCGAGCTCCGACGGCCATCATTCTCGGTTGTATTGGCTGTACAAAATGCCAACCCCAGCGAAACAGAACCCTAGGTCAACTCAGCACCCGCACCAGGCAGCTAACCATGGCTGGAGAAAACCCAGCAACTTTGTTAATTTGTCTCTTTTAAATTCATAATCATAAGCCTGAGTGAACTTGCTAGTACTTATTAGAAAACTCAGCGCAAATCAGTTCTCTTTCACTCCCTACTAGGCAACTGTTTCAAAACTTCTCTTTCCTCACATCTCCAGTACCAATTCATCTTTCTAAATTCTCAGCTGCTTCTTATTTCATTGGGAATACAAGTGAGAGCAAGGCAAAATTCCCAGAGCTCTGAACATCAAGTTTACCAACCTATCCGGGTCTACTTGAAGCCAAATGCTCTGCCTCCCCTCTCTTTTAGGGGAAGAAATACTTGTCCTCTGATCTAAGGCCAAATCCTCTCTCCTGCACTAGATCCCTTCTGAGTATCTCTTTTTTCCTGCGTCATCAGTTACTTGTTCTCTACTAGTTGTTCCCACAGCATACAAAAATGTCCATCTCAAAGAAAAAAAAATCCTTTTTTATTCCTATATCCTGCTCTAATTATTATGCATTTCTTGCTTATTTTTATAACAAAACTACTTTTAAAAGGCTGCCTTTTATTTTTTCACTTCATTTACTCATTTACACTATTTTTTTGTTCTTTGATAAGAATACAGAAATTGTTCTTATCAAGGAAATTAGGTATCTCCATGTTGCAAATCCTACACTCAGTTATCACGTCTCATATTAATCTACTAGCAGTGTAAGAGCAATAAACCCTCCCTCCTCCTTCTAACCCCTTTTCACTTTGCTTCTGGGACAACTTTCCCTATCTCCCTGCTCACTTCTTTTTATACCCTCTTCTGGATCCTCTGGCATGCCCCATGGCTCAGTCCTCAAACATCATCTATTCTCTTCCTACGCTTACCTCCAAGGTGATTTCACCCGATCTAAAGACTTTAGGTACCATGACGATTCATAAATTTTCATCTACAGCCATGATATCTCTCCCATGAATTTCAGACTAGTACATCCAGTTGTCTACTTCACATCTCCACTAAGATCTGATCAGAAACACAAAGTTAGCAAGTTCAAAAACAAAGTCTCAATCCCCCAAATCTCACTGCCTTTTTAGGCTCTAAATGAACATTCACTCACCTACCTTTCTAACCTCATCTCCTAACAATTTCCCCGTTTGATCATTTCACTACAAAGAAAGTAAACTTTCAGTTCCTGGAACACATGATGTATATGCTCACCTACTTGTATGTTGCATGTGCTGAACCTCTTCAAGTGTTCACATATCTTGCTTTCACATTGTCTTCAAATCTCTGCCCAAGTGTCCCCTACCACCTTATATAACTACCCCTATACCTGTATTCTCTTTTTTTTTTTTTTTTTTTTTTTTTTGAGACAGAGCCTCAGAGTCTCTGTTGCCCAGGCTGGAGTGCATTGGCATGATCTCCGCTCACTGCAACCTCCGCCTCCTGGGTTCAAGCAGTTCTACTGCCTCAGCCTCCCGAGTAGCTGGGACTACAGGTATGCACCACCATGCCCAGCTAATTTTTGTATTTTTAGTAGAGATGGGGTTTCACCATGTTGGCCAGGCTGGTGTCAAATTCCTGACCTCAGGTGATCCGCCTGCCTGGGCCTCCCAAAGTGCTGGGATTACAGGTGTGAGCCACGCCCAGCCCTGCATTCCTACTCTGCTCCTTCATGGCCCTTTCCATCAACTATCATGCCATATTAGTTGATGGAAAGGGCCATGAACGAACAGAGTAAAAATTCTGTCTCCTTTTACTTGGACAAAATATCCATGAAGAAGAGCTTTATTTGTCCATGTTTGTATCTTCAGTGATTAGAACAGCAGTACTAGTACACTGTACTCCATAAATAATCTGCTGAATGAATATCAACTTGTCTGATGAACACAGTTCATTGAAGCTTATTTTAAACTTATTTACCTTTTTAGTAGCCTAAATTGTATATAATGGATGAAAAAAATTATGATAGAGACATAATTCTTTATTAAAATTATTTGATAATTTACTAAATTGTATATGGTAAGAAATTGATGAAGAAATTTGTCATTGATGACAAATGATAGAGACATAATTCTTTATAAATATTATTTGATAATCTACTCACTGCAGTAGAAAAGTTTTCATTAAACCATACCTTTCTTGAGAGGGGGATTTTATTGGTTTCATCATATTCTTAAAATAAAAAAAGTGAAAAAAATGTAAAGCATCACCTAAGTAGTTTGTTTTATCCCATGCTTTCATAATAATTTTTTAAAGGTTTATTTGAGTATTTCTTACACCACAGTATGAAATGCATCATGTGCCATTTACTAGGTATGTCATCTAAGCAAATAGACATTGCACAATTAAATATGGAGTTCCAATTACAGCATAGTAGCTGTGTTACATAGACCTAGAATTTTATGTCAACTCCTTACCAGTATCAACAAAGTGAATTCTTCCTAATGTCAAAACAGTTTCTGTTCTGTTTGTAGTCACTTCCCCTTCTTGCATTGTCCTATTTCTGTTCAATCTGCTGAAACTCTTCAAGATCTAATACCAATCTTCACATAAATGATAGATTTTTGTTCCCTGTATCATATATCAAAATGTTTTCATATTAGTATAGAAAATTCTTACTACCTATGATTACTTGAATGCAACTGTTTCTATTGCTAGCTTTGCATTACATTTGTATGTATTTTACATGATCTACTTTCTGACCTCATTAAAAGAGTAGATGCTTTGTCATAAAATTGTAAGACTTCTGTAGCACATGATTAATCAGCCAAAGCCTCGCAGACACACACAGACACACACACACACAGTACCATTACCATGGAAATCCTTCTCCTACCCTTTCTCTTAAGTCAAAATTATGTAAAACAATATTGATTATTATTCACTAAGTGCCCAATTCTTTCCTAGTAGACCAAGCTCCCAGTTTCAGGCAGACCCCTACGGAGTGACGAGAACAGGAGACCTGGCAGGAAATGGGGTGACAGATGCTGGGGCCAAATCACCCTGACAACTCCTCTCAATAATAAATCTGAGAATCTAATCTCTGCTAAATTGTTAATGGCAGCAAATGAGATACTCAGTTACTCCTCCTGATAGTGTATTTGCATTTAAATGAGTCCTTTCTGGAAGGACTCCCTTAACCCAAAGGAGTGTTTCTAAATGCTGACAGCTCCCAGCACACAGGGCCTCTGGCTCTGGTTTCACATTTTCCCTTGCTGAGACTCATGATATCACTAGGCCATTTGATCTCTAATTTGAGAATATCAGAAAGGAAGCATTGCAGACCTCAAAGTCAAGATCCAAAGTTTAGGGTTTTTTAAAAAAAAATTTGTGCAATAACAAGTCATAGGTTAAAAAAAATTACATATTGCTGTATGTAAAGTTCCAAGAAGACAGATTCAAACCCTATATGTTGACATAAGACATTTCCCAATATCTTTCCCCTTTTCTTTCTGGTTTCCCTATGCCTCTTACCGTGCTGGAGTATCAGAAGCAGTTCAATCCTGCCATTTAATGTCTTTGACTGTTGTCTTTAACACCATCAACACACTGATTCCTTTCCATGAATAAAAAGTACCTGATAAGAATACTTTGATAGATGAATGTATCTATATTATCACAAGAAACTATCTTCAGTGAGTCTGGCTTCGCAGATGGAAACTACACTGGGGGGTCAAGAAAACATGTTCTGGGACTGTCCCAAGTCGCCACAGTTGCATCCCTACTGCCTCAGGCAACTTGAAGGAAAAGATCAAACATCTTTCACTCTTGAGACAATTGTTGTCTTCATCTCAGAAACAAGACAAAGTCAGGCTGTGAGTGGTGGGGATCCAAGCCCAAGTCTGTTCAACTACAAAATCTCTAACCTTCACAGTCATCTCAACCTTCTGGTTCTCTTCACCTTCTCATCCTCCTGCCTCTTTACTTTATAAGGACTTTTATCTTCAGCATGAGATACCTAGCAAATCCTTCAACTAAATGATAAATTATGAAGGCTGAACATGTTCTCTCATTCAAGGTATTTAGAACTTGCAAAGGAGAAAGGGGACAGAAGCCTGCCCAAGTATGCAAGGATAACACTGACAGAGTATCAGCTCCCTGAAGCTCTGGAGTGGCAATTTCATGCCATCTCATTATAGCCTCACAGTAACAGTCTACAGTTTGTATTCTAAGTTTTGCCATGGCTCCCTTTGACAATCTGAAGCAACCTACATAACTCTTCTTAAAATGATGCTTTTCAATGCATAAAATATAATACGTAGAATTGGAAAGGAAACTACGAAGTTTAAAATACTGTTATCAAAATATTTAAAAACAAAATTCATGATATACAAAGGTATGGGCATTTAAACTCATTAAACACAGTATAGGAGAGTTATATATATTTACTTAAAAATTGTGATATTGTGGGAAAGGGTTAACAATTTTTATACTGCTTTACATGTACACTGAAATTGAACAATTATAACAGTGAATGATGGGAGCCATGATTCTCACTATTGGAATAGGAATTTACAGACAAGCAAAGGGAGGAGGCTAGAATGATCTATGTGTTAAAGGATTAAAGTTGGAAACATAAGTATGTGCTCATATTTAGCTTAATACAGACACAGAATGGTCACATATAGAAATACTTATGTATATATGCATGGGTAAGTATACACATATATTTCTTCACTGTCTTAGTTGAAAGGCCTAAACAAAATGACCTGCCAATAATGACTGTGTCTGGGACCCAGATCTTGATTTGTATTACCATTCTCCCATAAAAGGAACAAGGGCTCCATGAAGAAATGGCTGATTCTTGGAATGAAGAAGGAAGTATACAAGTTGAGACTGGAGGAACTTATAATACCATAAAGTAAGGGATTGTTAACAGCCCTGCTGCTCCTGCCATACACACACACACGCACACTCACACATCAAAGGGGGTATGTCAAAGGAGCACAGGAACCTACTGAAAGAGCTTCCAATGGGCAAAACTGGAACAAATTGAACAACAAAATAAAGTAGTAATTGATTATTACCAAAGGCATAAAATATAATACATCTCCATAAGTCTATAATATTGATATCAATAAGTAATTGAATACTTGGTAGAGAATAGACAGCTCTCCTGTACAGAATTCCATATACTTTATGTACACACTCTGCCCTCAGGGAGGTAGAGCCAAAGTCCCACTCCTTAGGTTTGGGTTTCATGTAGTTACTTCCTACAAGTACAGTATGGAAGGGATGGGCAATAACGTTACAGTAGAGAAACCTGACAAACACTGCCTCAGCCAGACAATCAAGGTCAACACATCACCAGTCATAAATCACATCGGTACTATAGCACCTTGATATGATGTGAGGAAAAGGGACTTTACCTCTTTCTTTCTCCTGCCAATAGTTCGCAACTCCAGTCTTATCATAAGAAAAGCATCAGACAAATTGCAACAGTGAGGCCTTCCAGCAAATACTTGACCACTACTCCTCAAAACTGTCAAGGTCATCAAAAACAAGAAAAACTATCACAGCTAAGAGGAGCTTAAGGGGACATGACAACTAAATTTAGTGTGGTATCCTGGATGGATGCCTGGAACAGATTTAAGGATATTAGGTAAAAACCAGGGAAACTTAAATGTAGTTAGACTTTATTTATAGTTAGTAATAATGTATCAGTATACATTCATTGATTGTAACCCAATGATATGGTTCAGATTTGTGTCCCTACCCAAATCTCATGTCAAATTGTAATCCCCAATTTTGGAGGAGGGGCCTAGTGGGAGGTGACTTGATCATGGGGGAGGACTTCCCCCTTGGCTTTCTGGTGGTAGTGAGTTCTCATGACATCTGGTTGTTTAAAAGTGTGTAGCACCTCCCCCTTCTCTTTCTCCTGCTCCAGCCATGTAGGCCCTGCCTGCTTCCCCTTTGCCTTCCACCATGATTATAGGTTTCCTGAGACCTCCCCAATCATGCTTCCTGTACAGCCTACAGAACCACCAGCCCTTCTTTATAAATTACCCAATCTCAGGTAGTTCTTTATAGCAATGCCAGAATTACACCAAGGTACCTTACTATTGTATGATGTCAATAGGAGACACTGGGAATGGGATATATGGGAACACCCTGTATTATTTCTTCAATTTTTCTGGACACCAAAGCTGAAAAATATAGTCTATTAAATAAAAAAAGTAGTGATGATTTGATTATAACATCAGTGTAGTGATAGAGATATCTATAAAAACAGCAATAAGGAATTAGCTGTTGTTTCTATTGGAAACAAAGTCCCAGGTACTCCTAACATTCTTGTGGTTTGTTGCCTACATTATGTTTAAAGGACATGCTAAATGCTAAATTTCAGTTAGAAGTTAGTGAAACTAAAAATGAGATTTTTCCCATTATACTTAATCTGTATAAAAGGAGTATATGAATAGAATTCCATTTATACAGATTAAGAATCTCCTGCTCTATGGTAATATTAACGGGCTAATGTTATGAAAGTGAGTCTCAGAGCGATGAATTAAGCTGTTCTAGCTTTCAAAGAGCATATATTCTATGACCAAGAATTCTAACTAAGTTTTGTTGGAAAGCTGTTGGCTACATTATCACCTAACTTTGGGACTGATAGATGGATGGAAACATCTCATTTAGCAAAGGTGCTTCCCTGGCCTTGTGCAATTGCACTGTTTAGGTTGCTGGACAAATCCATAGTGTAAAGCTGGCCTGTATCAAGTGACGGTCAATTCAAACAGCAAGGCAAGTTAAAAGAGGGAACTCCATTCCACAGAACCCTAGTGTCAAGGAACCTCCCGACTGGAAAATGACTCAACAGCTAGGCGGAAACCCTGGCTCAGCTACAAAGAGAGCAAATTTAGTCCCATTTTTCCTTAAACATTCAACCCTCAAACCTGAAGAGATTTGGGAAAGAAGCAAAACGGGAGGGTGGGGGAGAGAGAACAGTCTTGTTAACAGCTAGTGTTAATTTAAAAAGAGAAGGAAAGGGCTTATATGAATACATGCTTATTTCATTCCCAAAGCAAATTTTCATAAATCCTTAGGGAAAGAGAGATAGTCATTTGCTAATGTAGACTCTGCTTTTTGATTCCCAAATGTTACAGCTGTCACCACAACAGTTTGCCCAATTATGTGGCAGGGAGGGGAGGGGGTCCAGAGCAAAGGAAGTAGGAGGAAGAGATGTTAGAGGGAACATCTGTGCACAAGTGCACCATAAACACAACAAAATCATGGGGCCACCCCACTGTTTCTTTGAGCGCTTTCTCTGGTTGGCCCCACTTCTCCAGTCTTTTAGGAGATTCCCGTTCTATTACGTAGGTGAGAGGGCGAAAGGTTCTAGCTTTCAAAATTGTGAGTGGTTTGGCTGTGTGCATACGTGTGTGTGCGCGCGTGTGTGCGTGTGTGTGTGTGTTTGCGTGTGTGTCTGTTGGCGGGGGCGGGGGTGATGGAGAGAGCTATGAAGGGCTTAGAAAGCTTCATTACCAATTTAAAATGTTTTTGTAGTGCTTGAATGTTTATCTTAAAAGACAATTCCTGCTCTCAAATTCAGCCAAATGAACAATGCTGATAAGGAAGATGAAGAGGGTGGGAAACCCACAGGGGCAAATGGAACAGTCCATGCAGCCGGGGTGACGGGGGAGCGCTCGGAGGAAGGACGCTATGCAGAGAAAGCCCCCCTGGCTCTTCTCTCTCAATCCATAATCCAGCGATGCTGCAGCTGTAAAAGCATTAATAGAAAATCAATCCACAACCTCGCGGGGCAGCGATCGTCGAGCGCCGTTTCCAGGCTGCCTTCCCTGGGGTCGGGAGCGGCCCCGCTCCCCCCGTGGCTGGCGCGGAATGTGGTGATCCGTCCCGGGGCGGGGATGACTTCATGCAGCCGGAGCTCCGCGGCGGGAGCGGAGGCTGCTGCTGGCAGGTGGGGCGCGGGCCGGCGCGAGCTGACCGAGCACTCGGCGGGCGCGGCGGGACTGCGGCCCGTGGCGGCGTGCGCGGGGACCTGCGCTGACTAGGTCCGGGGAAGGTAAGCAGCCCGGCACCGGTGCGCCCTGGCCGCACTGCGTGGAGCTTTCCGCTTGGTTAATAATGGGGTTTGCAGCACGGAGGGAAGAAGGGGAGAACCCCGCTGCATTCTGCAATGAGAAAAGGAGCAACAACTAGGATGGAAATGTTGGGCGGCCAAGTGCAGAGGTTGGAGGAGCAGTGTTACTGGGCAAACAAAGAAGGCGTTCTTGCCTCTATACTCTTTTGAACGTGATCTACCATTTCAGTGCCAGATTCGCGTAGACAGTGAAGAGGACTCAAAATTTAAAATAATTTGAGTTACTCTTTTGCTTTCTGTGCCTTTTACCTTCGCTTGAGTATTTTGAGGATTTGGAGCAGTAGGTCCCTGGCAGCAGCCTGAGGTAATCAGAAATCGTCCCTCTTCCTGTAGTCCTTGGTCCTCTCCCTTTCCAGTTATCAGAATGGGTCTGTGCCCCTCTCAATGGCAAAACACCTGCTTCAAGACTGAACCTTTAGAAAGAGCCTCTATCTGGAGGGGAAACTTCTCTTATCTCCTGGAGTTCAGCTTGGGTTGAGCAGCACTTGACATCGCTTCTTCCTTCAATTGCCATTTTCTCTGTCAATCATTTCATTGATCTTTTTCGGAGATGCTGTGCCCATTCACAGACCAACTCTCGTCAGCTCTTATCCACCACCTGGGTTCCATGACTGATTTTGTCAAGGTCCCAAAAAGGGCATTGCCTCACACAGATTTCTTATTCGGTATTCTCCCTGTATACTGTTACCTGTGTCCTTCCCCCAAATGCATGGAATGAAATATCCTGCTTGTGGCCCTGTACCAACATGTTATCCCATTAACTCCCTTCGCTGTAGTCACTGTGGCTACTTGAAAGCTAGAGAGGACAGATAGAATCTACTGGAGTGTGAGGGATGTTCCCTATGCATAGGCATAGGTAGAAGTAAAAATGTGAATGCCAGTCCATCCAGTTTTTCTTGAAGCAATTTTAGTCCAGTTGGATTTTGAGACAGCTAGCTGTTAAGATTTGGGACAAATCCTTTCCAAAAGGCAGAGGAGTCCGTTTGCCTCTAGGATTCCTCAAGAACCTCAAAAGAGTTTCCAGTGAGGTTTTCCTCGTAGGCAGTCAGAAAGCCAATGGAGCTGCCCAATCTAAGCCTCTGGTTGAGTATCCTCTAGTTTGTCTTGCCATTTGCAGGTTCCTATCCCTCGTCCTAGGATTTTCCCCACAGACCCCTTGCTACTGAGCCCAAGTGCCTATCCTTGTTGCCACCTAGAGATGTACATTTGAATAATATGCTGTGAAATGGTTAAGATGGCTGTTATGGGGATTGCAAACGTGCCACTTCACCAACAGAGAACAGTTGCAATAAGCCAGATTGTGGGGTATCTGTGTGCCAATGTTCTATTTAAAGGAAGATCTGTTATCTTTAAACTTAAAATTACAGAGACTGTCTGACTCAACAGCCATGCAATTTTATTTTAGTAAATTAAATTAGAAGATCAATGAAAAAGAGGGGCAGAGTTGGTAGCTTAAAATTTTACCTCTTTCTTTCCTCTTCAAATATTATTTTTAAGCAAAGACACTAGTATGGAAAATCGTGTTAATCATATTATATATCATTATTGCCTTTCTATTACAAATTTCGTTTTTACAAAATGCACTTTAGAAAGATTTGAATTTGTTTCTTTGTCTCCATCTTCAGTATATGAGGCATAGGGTGAGGGTGTAGGGGGTGGGCAAAGCCCACTACTGAGTGATCCACTCCAGGAACTGCCCCTTGGGGTCTTAATAACCTTATGTTCCTTTTTTGTTGTTGTTATTATGTGTTAAACAGGGTTTTGGTTTGAAATATTAACTTCTTGAGATTCTAGAATTTTTACTCAGTCACATTAACTATGAGGTAACAAAGAACAAGATCAACAACAAACCCTGTATTCTACCACCTTTTTTCTACTATTAAAATACTTAACCATATACATCATTATTCTGAATAATACTAATATAGAATAATAATGAATTTTAATATAGTTATTCTAAATAACCTAAGGTATATGAAATACAGATTAGTACAATTGATCTTAGAAATACAATGCAGTTTCTGTAATGTTGACAGTCACCTTTCTGTTGAAGAGCAAGTGCGTGAGAATATCCTAATGATGGTTAGAAATTCGAAGTGTCTATCATTTAGTTTCTGAAGAAACTAAACTCTTTGGCAAGAAATAGGTTCAGGATTAGGAGACTGGTGCTGCCTAAGGTGGAATAATACTTGCTAGTGATTTTGCAGGTGAGTTGAACCCACTAAGTTATGGACTGGAGTTGGAGAAATCTTGTTGAGAAGAAAGAAAACAAGTTAGAAAATTTAATTTTCATTTTAGTACAACTGAGGAAGATAATCAAACTGAAGGGATTCCTGAATTTGGACTTTGTTGTGTTTAAACAAGTTTGAGGAAAGTTTCTAAATTTAGAAGGCTAAGCAGAAATATATGTATGATTTTATGTCTGAAACTGATTTATGACTTTATATCCTTTCCTTAAAATGTTTCCTAGGGAGAGGAAAAACTAATTGGCTGGTGTTCAGAATTGAAAGAGGAATGAAAAATGGAAGGACGTGCATGATTAGATGCTAAATGATTAGATACTAAATGAACTGCAGGCACTTTTGTGTTTGACAAGATAGAACTGAAGTCAGTCTACTGCTCTCCAATTGTGTAAAAAAAAAAAAAAAAGTTTTGTCTGCTAGACAGTGTTACCAGATATTTAGAGAGTAAAAATTTAGGAGTTAAAGTTGCCCTCTTCTAACAAAATATCTTTTTCTGGTGCTGCATTACTGCCATTAACTACAATTGAAATAGCCTTAAGATTTGAGGCTGAGGCAGGAGGATTGCTTGAGCCCAGGAGTCTGAGGCTGCAGTGAGCCATGATGGCACCACTGTACTTCAACCAGGGCAACAGAATGAAACCCTGTCTCAAATTAAAAAATAAAAACTTTTTTAAAAGTTCAGAAATGTTGAAATGGAAAAGGAAAAAGAATAGCAATAATAAGGCTCAAATAGAAATGTCATTTCTATTCAACCAGTGACTCCACTGAGAATGGGTAGAAAAAAGTGCTATTTTGAAAGTTGCCAATGACCTCTTAATTGCCAGATTTCTATAATATTTCACCCTGTTCATTTTATAAGTCCTCTTCTATGTTATTCTTGGATTCAATATTTGTGTTTAAAAGGTAATATTAAGTACTATGTATCAGGCACTGTGATATCTCTTAATCTAATTTGTCACTAATTCCCTTAAAGTACCCCATGCCCAACCTAAACCAAGTGGATCTTCTTTCCAATTTGTACCCCATGGTGGCATGCCTATGTGTTTTCATTTATTCTGTTAGCCCATCCTCTTACATGTCGAAACCTTGTTCACCTCAGATACTGACTCACTTATGAAGCCTTCCCCATACCCATCTTCCTTCCCCAACCAGATGTGCCCCTCTCTTGTTTAAATTCCCATAGCACATTCTATTTTGGGTTATCCTTTCATGTGAACATGCTTTGTCTGCTCTTCTAAAAAAAACTCTTGAAAGCAGGGTCTGGGAATAAGTTTTTATTACCTGCAACTCTATGGTGTCTAGCTACATATATGTATTATAGGTGTTCAGCAATTTGATTTTAGTGAAGAAATAAGTTATTTTCCAGAGTTATAAATCTATCTACCTACACTCCTCTACCAGCCAAGTTAAGTTCTCAATATATGTGCAAATGCTAATTTGGTTTTTTAAAAATCATTATAGTAATAATAAATATACTGAGAGTACATTCAAATCATTATAATCTACAAAAGGTATTATGAGCTTAAATGTCCTTAAATGGATACTAAAAGCATGGTGAGCATAGCAAAACCAATCTTTAATGAAGACATTGTACCTGCTTTCAGTATTATTGCATTGAAGGCACCTTATGCATATGAGCATTTATCTTGTTTCAAGCCACTCATCTAGGGACTTTCATCTTTGGTATCTCATTTGATGTTTATACTATATGTGAATTTTACACTAAGAAAACTGAGGCTCAGAGATGTCACCTGAATGGCAGAGATTTTTTCCATATTACCACCCGCTCTTTGAAGTGTAACAGAGTGAGGGAAAACATTGTAAAAACATAAAGTCAGAGCCATCAGAATAGTTTCAAGTTGTTTTGTGATTAATCTTTCCAGTGCTTTTTAAACTTTTAGGTTAACATCTCAAACTTTTGATAACTCAGTAAAGTCTGTACATCTTCTCCCCAAGTACATACAGAAGCATACACATATTAATTTTGCATACAAATGCAGGTGTTTGTGGATTCACTAAAGCTCTCTTTACAGAATAGTTAAAGAACATCTATTTGTGCTCCCTTGGACAATATGTGTGTCCTTTATTAGCCCTTACATTTCCAGTACTTGAGATGAGGTTTTCCTTCTGTTTTTCTCCTTACTTTAAGACCTGAAATGAGAGCCCTTCACCAACACTGACATGAAGACAGCTGATGACTAGGAAGCAAGTGCTAGTGAAAATAGTGACTCAAAGAACCTTGATTCACAAAAAAGGCATGGAAAGGGAGCTCCGAACGTTACACATTCCAAATGACTTATTTAAGGTTTTCCAATCAAAGCCATTTTTACAAAAAAGAAACTGTTCTCAGACTTAAGAGTATTGTACTACCACATATGTGGGAAAACATTGCCAGCAGTTGATTGGTGTAGTTTACTTTGGAATATATTCAGTTCTCTTAGGATGGACTTATTAACTGTCTCAATATTAATATTTCTTTATGGTAATGCCATCTTCAGTAATATATTTGCTTTTGCCAAGTTAAGGAAAGAATGATAATTTATGTTCATCCCTCCTAGGTTCTAAAACAAGTGCCATCCTGAAAGAGCTGCATATCATTTTAGATTCATAAAAATGCATTCAGATTCTCAGCTGATACTTAAAGGGACTGGTACTAGCAAGCACGGTTCCTGATGTATTTAAAGAGCGTTCAAAGAGGTGTGACAAGAACAACATTAGTCTGGAAAAAAAAACAGAGATGGAAAGATAGAAAACTCAAAAGGACAACTTAAGCTGTTACCTTCTTTACATTTCCCAAATACCTTTTTTTGTACCAAAATAAGATTATAACTATATAAGTGTCTAAAATAAGTAAAATGTTATGAAAACTTTATAATGTGCTCCATATCAGGTAAGTTTATATTTTATAGATTTTATAATTAAAATTTTTTTTCTGGTAAAATATACGTAACATTTACTATTTTAGCTATTTTTAACTGTATAATTAACAATGTTGGGCAACTATCACCACTATCAGTTTTCAGAACTGTCTCATTATCACAAACAGAAACTCTATACACATTAAACAATAACCGTTCATTTCCTCAGCCCCTGGTAAACACTATTCTACTCTCTGTGCCTATGAATTTGCATATTCTAGGTACCTCATAAGTGGAATCACTTATGGAATGTTCTGGAACCCTTTCATACATATTTGTCCTTTTGTCTCTAGCTTCTTTCACTTAGTATAAATGTTTTCAAAGTTCATCCATATTTCAGCATGTATCAAAATTTCATTCCCTTTTAAGGCTGAATACTATTTCATTGTATGTATATAACACATATGGTAATTTTGAATTGCAAAACACTTTCAGTACATTGTCTATTACATTAAACATGGCTAGCATATAACACCACCATATTATCTTCCATAGATGTCAAGTAATATACACTATGAAGGTGCCATAATTTATTTGGTCAAAACCCATTGAAAAACATTTACTTAATTCCAAATTGTTTTGTGACTTCAAGTTATGTGGTAATAAACAGAGTATATTAATCCATATGTCTTTATATGTCAGTACTTTTACTTTTGATCAAAGAATGCTTGGAGTGGAATTATTGGGTCAGAGATTATGCCCAGATATTTATAGTTTGAGTACTCTAGATACTGTAGTTTATAGACTATAAAAATCCTAACATTCTGTAACAGATAGTATTACTGAATGTTCTGGAACCCTTTCATACTATCTTAAAAATGAATACAGATACTATAAGGAAATCAACTGAACATGATCCGAGCAAAGAAATATTCTCTCTTTTTTCATTTCCAGTTCATGGAGGAAAAATGCTATACACAAGTATTGAGAGAGAAAGTCTCTCAATCATGCATTTTTTTATCATAGATGACAAAGTGCATCATAGATGTCAGTTAAGTCTTGTAATAACAATGTGGAATAGTAGAAACATCTCTAGCTAGTTTTTAGGGTTTTTGTTTGTTTGTTTGCACCAGCAATAGGTTATTTGCATCAAACCTAATCTAAAATTTGGTCTGTTTGTTCAGATTTATGTACCTACATTATGGTAAATCTTTTATTTTTTTTTCTTAGTTTCTCTTTAATGTATTATTTTTAGTTTATTCTGAAATAGAATAATAAAGCCCAGTGATAACAGTGTCTTATTGAAGCTAAACTACAAAATATTTGGCGTATGTGAAGTATAAACAGAATTGGCAAGACTTTTAACCATCCTCCTCAGCAGAAGACAGTCTCTATTGCATCGGCCAGGAGAGGAGAAACAGAAGGCTTGCTGGAGATTGCATTAGTTTTTACTTAAACATTAAAATGCTAAAAGGACAAAGATGAAGCAACATGTCTTATAATATATGTTTGAGTATCTACTTAAAACTAAAGGGTTGCTAGAACATTTATTTAGTTGGACAGACACACTCCACAGTGTAGCTGACCCTAGACATGTCACAACTGCATTTTAAAGTATGCTTTTTCTTCAGTTGATTGGGGTGGGGGGAATTATTAATAAACATTTCTCCTATGGTTTACCTCTATCTTTATGGTTGTTTGATTAAACCCTCTTTGAAAAGCAGACGTAAAACAAATCAGCATTCTTATCTTTGTCTGAATAAGCAACACCATGGCCATACCTTCTTAATGCACTGCTGTGGTTATGAGACCAAAGGGTAGAAGCAGCAGTTTTTTGGTCATTGCAATAGTCACAGCAACACAACCTGCTACATTCCTCACTTATATACTGCAGAATCTGACCAAATAAACACAGAAAAGTCAGTAATACCTTTAATGCAATTCTTGCACAACTCTCCATGATCTTTCATACACAGCTTCTCTGATAATTGAAATGTAGAGGAAAATAACCTGAATGTTAAGACCCCTTTTCCATTTCCAAAATGTAATTTTGCTGGGACTTGCAGAAATAACATTGAATCTGAAATTAGTGGGCATCCAATGGAGTCACTAGAAATAATCTGTCAAAATCACTCAAATACAAATTTAGATTTAAAGACCAGGAAATTCTAAAGAGTAACTATGGTAATATATTAACAATTTAGGAAAGGAACATTATACATATATATTTATATAAATATTTATACATATTTATATTTATACATATATATTTATATATATATAAATATATATAAACATTTATATTTATATATAAATATATAAACATTTATATTTATAAATATATATAAACATTTATATATAAATATATATAAACGTTTATATAAACGTTTATATATATAAATATATATAAACATTTATATTTATATATAAATATAAATAAACATTTATATTTATATATAAATATATGTATAAACATTTATATTTATATATAAACATTTATATTTATATATAAATATATGTATAAACATTTATATTTATATATAAACATTTATATTTATATATATATAAACATTTATATTTATATATAAATATATATGTTTTTATATATATGGGTTTCTACTTATAAGGTATAATCACTGGAGAATAATGGATTTTTAGAAATGATTCATTCTGAAAAGACTATTTTACCACTTTTTTAAACTAGTGCCATCAAAAATAAATTGTGACAAGTCACTGTCATCCAAGTTAGTCTCTCACGTGGCTCTCAAGGAAGTGAGTAGTTCTTGGGGAAATGGCTTTCTTCAAATTTGTGCTTTCCTGCAGTGAGTCAAGCTGAGATAAAATGGGGCTGATGTTCTTAACTATTTGTTACATGCCCATATTTATTAGAATTACCTAATAATCAGTAAAAAAGAGTTTTATGATAACTAAAAATGTACCTATTGAGACTCTCCATTGATAAAAGTTGGCTAAGATACAGCTGGTGATCCTGTAGAAATCTAAATTACATTTTTTTCATCTTCTCCATATTAGAGAATAACTCAGGATTTCAAAGCAAAGCATGAAAAAGTAGCATTTGATATATTTTATCAATGTTAAGATTTCTGGGGAGCTTATCAGCATCATATACTAAGCATTCAATAAACGTAAATTGTTATTTCATAAGTAAAATATCAACAGCATAAAAATTTCTGTAACTCAAATGGCCAGTATGGTACATGGCTTTAATACAGGAGATTACAAAACATTAGTTGAACAACAAAATGAACTAATACCATTTATTTCTGAAAGCTACCCCCCAATACAAAATGATTGGTATTCTACACAAGCTCATTGTGATTGCTTTAGTATATGTGGTAGGAGTAAATTATGGATAGAACTACCCTCTTCCCTGGTTCTTTTAAAACCATACTTTCTTCCCTCTGGGGTATTATAAGTTGGAAATTAGAGGTGAATCATATTTTAGTCTGGAATTTATCTAGTAAGCAGTTCAAGACACTTAACCATGCACCATCTGTTTACCCAGGGCAGGAAAACATGACATTCCCCTTTTCAACTATAGCAGATGGGGACTTTTAGAAAACTCAGAATGCAAGATAGAGATTATAATGATGGAGTATTAGTCAGCACTTCTTTTGTCTGCATCTCTTTTTCAATCTCATTGATTGTAAAGAACACAATCAGAGATAAAGTACAGTTACTGTCAATTGAAAATGTTTTCAACCTGCATATAGGTGTGAGATAGTGGGCCTGTCACATCTTCACGAGATATGTTGGAATGACTATTTCACCACAAAATTCAAACGTGACACTAAAATTATCTGACACTAAACAGTCCATTAAATAAGAGGATGAATGTTGGCATCTTGCTCATCTATTTAGAAAAGAAAAATCACTAACAGTTTTAGGCAATACTTAAATGTTTAAATTTTTTCTAATAAAATGGAAAATGAAATAAAATGGCATTACGGTGTTATGAAAGCAAAGCAATTAGGTTAATCTCAAAATGTCTGACTGTAAAGTTGTAACAATTTTATTCTTAGAGCTCTCAGGCAGCTTTTAATCATTTTCAAGTTCAATCAAAAAGCTCTAACCATTATCATGAATATATTCTGATCACTGGGCTTTCCTCCTCCCTTTTGCTATTTATTTTTAATTTATTTATTTGGGGACATTTTGGCTACCACTTATGTCTAGATCATGTTTTTCAGGAAATGAATGTGGGCTTTGAATCATACCTTTACCATTTACTAGCTGTGTGATTTATACGTTACTCAACCTCTGTGAGTTGTTTCCTGATATTTAAAACAGGAAAATCACCGAGTTGTGGTGAAGATGAAAGAAGATAACATAAAGGAGAACTCAGTGAAGTGTCTGAAATATACATGGTAAAGGTTAATGTTTTCCATTTTTATCATTTTTATTTCCACTGACAATTTACACAGCCAGACCTCATTACTACATCTTTTCCCAAATGTTCATGAATTATTTTTTCTACCCCTCCCCATGTAAGTTAAACTTAGCCTTGAAATGACCCTGAATCTCACTGGAAAATGTCTTAATGCAGACACTGCCAGTGTCAGGAGAGGTTGGGTCCACTGTAATGCGAGGTTGTTAGGCTCTGATCAGCAGTGGCTGTGGGAATTAAACCTAGCTTCTATATTTAACTCTTCAAGTAGTTGATTGGATCACCTGGCAAAAGTCAATTGGCTAGCAATCCTTCACCTTATTTTCTTTGAATTGTACCACATGTCTAATCACTCGTTTCACTGGCTCATTATCAGAAATGATATTACGGGCATTAAATAAGGGTGCTTATTTCAGAAGCAAAGTGCCATATAAAATAGGAATGTCAAAAGTCTTTGAAGATCCTATTTGGCTAACTCAAATAGTTGTTGTTTCCAATATGCAACTATTGGAGAAGTTTCATATTATTAAGTTGTCCAAAAACAAAAATTAAACTAACTCCATTGTAGGTCATACTTTTGTTGGTCTGTGATACATTTCTATTTTATTGAAGCCCGAAGAATTTACAGAGACCGTGCAAGCATTATTATTCAGGGACTTGTTTATTATTAGGTGCTACTGATTAGATGTGATGAATAGCAAAACTGTTAAACAAAATAAAAAAAAAAAATAGAGCCTCACTTACTGTGGAATCTTTACTAGGAGAAACACCAGCCTATAAAAGTTGCATTTTTAATGACATATTTACATTAGTATGATGACAATTTTTGTTGGGCTTGAAAAGCACACAATTTTACATTTTATTTTTCTTATATGGATTTCTGTTATTGATATGGGCCATTTGGGTTTTAAAAAACAAGTACAAAAACTGTGTAGGACCTTATATTTAATATGTAAATCACATTTATTTACAGGGGAGAATTTTGTGGTGAGCAAGAACTGCAGCCAAATTTGTGATAATTTATTGCAGTTGGTAGAGTCTCTTCATGTATTCCTGGGAACAGAATAACTTCACTCTTTCACGTAAAAAGTATAAATCATCAGTGTAAGTTTGTCTTAAATTTCCAAGCCAATATTGTTAATCCCTATTTAAATACTGAACTGATTGGCTGTTTACCAAAGGCTTGAGGGGTAAATTTGGGGCATAGTCTGAATTAAGATGAGATGTTGGAAACAATGAAAATACCTGCTTTAAACATGTATGTACATACAAGTATACACATATATTACACATATTTTATGTATATTATAAACTATAATTATGTATATGTGTATCTATGTATGTATTCATTAATATTTTCTTCCTATTTCAAATATTTGATTCCTTGAAAGTTGGATTTCATTTAAAATAAAGAGACAAGTGCTTGGAAAAGCATGTGAAAAATCTTTGTTTCCAGAGCCAAGTTTAACAAGGAAAACTTATTTTTTCACTGGCAGTTTGTTTTTCAAAGTTATGAGAATATGTTTAAGATTTTAAAGTGATTTATTTAATAAATGAGTATGAATATGAATTTACCTATTTCAGATTGCTTTATATGTCATATTAATTTTTAAGTATATATTTATCTGTTTAAGCTTTTCTGAACTAGATCTTACCAGGTTATAACTACTGTCCAATTATATAAGAACAACAATATAGTTGCCTTTCAGCTTGAAAAATGCACCTGTTTCATTTTGTTATTTTTTTAACCCATAAGTTATTTGGCCTTCCATCAGCTTTTCTGTCTTGAGGAATACATTGTCCTATGCATAATAAATTATTTTGTACATCTATGTTTCATGCCATAATTTTTTAGTGTCTCACAAAGTTCTAACTTGGAAGGTACTCTTTTAAATCAAGTTTTTCAGAATATAGACTTGTTCTTTGTGAATTGTCAGATCTGTTTTTTAGGTATTTCTCCCATTTTGGAGAATGAGTAGAGAAAACTGTACCATGGGACATTTCAGTTCTTTTTCTATACTTACTGCTAATAACATGCCTTCTCTTAGTAAAGCTAGAAAGCTGAGAACTGCAGTTAAATAGCCCCAAGGTAGGACATAGGCGAAAAATACTAAAATTTGTTCAAGTACAGTAAGAGAACCAAATTTGGTCTGGCATTTAATTTAGTCTTCCTCACTACCCTAACCCAAGTAGTATACTAGTAACTAGACTTTTAAAAAACAGCCATTTGTTGATTAATGGTGCCTATTTTTGTTTCTGCTTCATTTTAACTTTGTTTCATAACACTATTATACAGAGGCTTATTTTAACAAATGCCATTAGTTGGATCATTGAGTTTTTCTTCCGCTTTATAACTGATTAGCTCTACAGTTCAAAAATGCTTAAAGGCCAGACCTGTCAATTAGAAGATATAAGCACAATAGAAGTGATGTTTCTAAAATTAACTCTGGAATACATCTCTCTTAATGTTAAATACATATAATCTGGGACTGGGTGCAGTGGTTCATGCCAGTAATCTCAGTGATTCAGGAGGCTGAGGCAGGAGGGTCATTAAGGCCACAAGTTCAAGACCAGCCTGGCCAACATAGTGAGACCCTGTCTCTAAAAAAAAAAAAAAAAAAAATTACAAGTCCAGGCATGGTGGCTCATGCCTGTAATCTCAGCACTTTGGGTGGCCAAGGTGGGGGGATCACCTGAGGCCAAGAGTTAGAGAACAGCTGGTACTGTAGCGAGACCTCGTCTATAAAAAAAAAAAATTCCTTCTGGATCATTTCTAGAACACAAATATTTGTGACATTTCTTTAGTGTTTTCATTTTTATTAAGTGTTATATACTCATATTTCATATAAACTTTGTATTAATTTTAATACTAGTTTAGAAATTTTAATTTAGTATAAATACATCAACTAATGTTGAAATTGCTAAAACTTTAGGGTCAAAATTAATTTAAAGGTTACTGGAGTTACTGTTCTGGTTTCTAGTAATTGGTGTCTCCAATAAATGCATCAGAAAGACAAAAATAGCCATGGTTCAGAGTGTCTGCCCTATTAATAACATACCATGATATAGCTTACAGATATGGATATTAACAAAATGATTTATTTTAGAACATCATTTATAGCCTATAAAATGATTTGCCAACTGACAGGCAACCTTTGACAATAAAATATACCTGCTACTTCCTTTTTTTGCAAATTCATTGTACCACATCAGTGTTATCTCAATAGTGTGATCAACAGATGACTAGTAATGCTCATTCTCTGTAATTCACATTTTACCAATTACTAACAAAATATGGAGTGGGCAACAATTCTATAGTATTTAATCAGATTTTCCTTTAAACTGAAGTATGATCTATATTCCTATAATGCTTTTATATCTACCACTTCACTTAAGTAAAAGAAAGTTTTCTAGAGTTTCTATGTCAGTTTTCAAGTGGATCAGTCTTTTTTAAACATTTTTACTTAAAAATTAAAAATACTAATTTGTGCATGCTTAAATATAAATATTGAAATAGTCTGAAATATATGAAATGATCAAACAAACAAAAGTATGGGAATATCCTTTAAGACATACAAACTTTGAATATATTTAGATTATTTAAGCTAAACTTTATTCATTTACATAACAGGTCACAGGTGTTGCCTTTACTATTAAATAAGATTCTTAGAGTAGAAAATAACATATAATTTTTTTTGTAAAATGTTAAGTGCAAAGACCAGAGCATTAAACAATAAATGATGCATACATGGAGGAAAATATTAAAAGGAAATTTAAAATGTAAAAGTCAATTATCAATGGTTAAATCAAGAAGCAGAGAGTCAGTGAGATCACGTTATTTCCAAATTTATTCAATGTGTATATATTACTTGTAGAACTGCGTAAAAAGAAATTCATGTTTGGATGTTCTTTACCATCTAAACATTGCTGAGAGTGTGGTTGAAATGTTCACTTTTTAGTAGATTTCTGGAAAATCTAGGCTGGCCTTGAAAATATTAAATATAGTAGAAGAAGGTAAGTTTTCCCTCATCCTAAAATTATGATAATAAATTATATTTTTAAATTATCACATAATTTTCAAAGCATTTTTATAGTCATTGTCTTATTGGACAATACCAACTCTCTAAAGTTGGCAGAACTAGAATTGTCCTTATTTTGCAGACAATGAATTCAAAGTTCATGAAATGTAGTAATTTGCTCTCTTAATCAGTATACACAATTACTAAGTGTTAGAGCAAGAATTCAAGCCTGTTTTGTGCCATGGCCAATCTAGTGCTGCCCTCTATCCTATAGGAACTGGTATGTTTAAGAGTTAAGCATAAACATGGAAATATGCCTGGTCTGCTTCTAGTTATAAATTCACTTACAAACCTCACTGGATCCTGAACTAGGAAAATCTGTAAGGGTTATTTACTTTCATCAACCCAAAGATGAACATGTTAAACAGGTTCTTAGATTTAATTAAACTTTTTTTTTTCCACCATATCTTTGTGTCTATCAGCAGCTCCTCTTGAGTATACCATGGCTTCATTTAAAGAGTTGCATTGCTTAAAAAATAAACATTGACATTGCTGATCATTTACCTGTGTTAAATATGCCAGTCTAGTTTGCATTGACATAATGCTGACATGAGATTGTATCATTTGATTATACACACACACATTTACTAGTTCTAATTTAAGTAGTAAGTTTTGGTCCTTACTAGAACATGATTTATATAATTGGCAACCTAATGGTAAGATGCAGTAATATAATCTATCATGTTAAAAGATAACTGAAATTCACAGAATTCTCTCCTATAACTGCATTAGGAAGTTTTAATGGATTTCTACTAAGCTTCTCTTAAGGATAAAATTTTTTGAAAACAGGTCACTTGTAAGATCTGCCTTAGTTTGTTAATGCTTCTGAAATATCACCACTATAACCTGCTTTTTAAAATAGCCTGACACCTACTAAGTACCCTTTCGCCGCCTACAAGAAAGCATTTATATTTTTAATTTTAGTGAAGAGTTCCTGATTTAAGAATTAGTCATTTGCTGTCATTTGAATTTCAAGTATGTTGTAAGTACTTGAGGTTCTTTCTGTATGAATTTTCAGCGGAGTTTTTACATTTTTCATCATTAATTTCATCTTTCACTTGGGATCAGCCAAATCAAAAAGTTTATGTTCTACCCTTTCTTAGTTCTCTTCATTGCAAACATTCAGAACCTTCTCAAAAATAATATCATGGCTTGAGACTGTTTATTGACAACCGATAATGCCAGAAATTAGTGATTATGGTTTTCAGTTTAAAAAGCAAAATGAGAAACTGAAGAAATGGCGTTTTTCCTCCATTTAGCTGATCAGCTATTCACATCAGTGATCATTCGCTTTTGAGGCTAAGGATACAAATGTTAATGTTTTGTATATTCATAGAAGTGAAAAATAATATAACAGTTATTGTGCTTAGTCTGTGCTAAGCACTATTCTAAAACCAAATGAATTTCTCCTAACAGCAGCCCTAAAAGGTAGGCATTATTATTACCTTTTTGACAGATGGGCAAATTGAGGCACAGAACAATTGAGTAAAGTACCTGTAGTCACACAGCTAATAAAGCACACAGATAGGATTTAAACACCAGGTGGTCTGTTTTGAGACTCCACACTCCACCCCTATAGTTAATATAAGGGTTTGGATCCCTACTCTTTGTTGTATGGCCATTTAATTGCTTTGTGGAAAGAAAGGGAAGGAGGAGAGAGAGGGAAGAAGGCAGGAGAGATGGCAAATTCCTGCTAGCTGGTTGACATGGTGTGCTATAATTTATAATGAAGTTCAATTTAAGGACTTGTAAAGATTTCAATAGAATAGTCTTAAATGTTCACTAATGAAGTATGTGGTAATATCAGATGGAGATAGCAAGTGAATTTCAATTTAGTAATAACCATAATTGTAATTCAATAGCAGTCTCATATTTGGAACAAATAAAATTCAAGTAACTTTTTAACTTTTAAGTTCAGGGGTACATGTGCAGGTTTGTTATATAGGTAAACTTGTGTCATGGGGGTTTGTTGTACAAATTATTTCATCACCCAGGTATTAAGCCTAGTACCTATTAGTTATTTTTCCAATTTGAGTAATTTTCACAGCAATAATTCTACCTTTTCTTAAAATTATTAGGTATTTTTTCACCCCAACACTCAAAGCTTATTTAATATTAATAAAATTTTACCTTTTATAAAAGTCCATAAATTTTAGTAAGGTTGTAAATTAGGCTGAAATTACAAAACAAACAAACAAACAAATTTAGAGCTTTTAGCCAAAGGAAAGCACCCTCATCCCACTCCAGCTCACCCCTGCTCATTTCTATCATAACTGCTTCCCTAAGAAAGAAGAAATTTTTCTAGGCGGAGCTTGCAGTGAGCTGAGATTGTGCCACTGCACTCCAGCCTGGGTGACAGAGCAAGACTCCATCTCAAAAAAAAAAAAAAAAGGAAGAAATTTTTCTGATTGGTCAGATTTAATTGAACATTCACTGAGCCATATTTTACTATTGCATCGGGTCACTGTGTATTTAAAGATACAAAGCAGGCTGGACGCAGTGGCTCACACCTATGTAATCCCAGCACTTTGGGAGGCTAAGGCAGGCAGATCACTTAAGACCAGGAGATCAAGACCAGCCTGGCCAACGTGGTGGTATCCCTTCTCTACTAAAAATATTAAATACAAAAAATTAGCCAGGCATGATAGGGTGTGCCTGTAATCCCAGCTACTTGGGAGGCTGAGGCATGAGAACCACTTGAACCCGACAGGTAGAGGTTGCAGTGAGCTGAGATGGCACCACTGCACTCCTGGGTGACAGAGCAACAGAGCGACTCTGTCTCAGAAAAAATAAAAATAAAAAAAATACAAAGCAATGGTGCCCACATTCTTATTTGTCCAGCGCCTGGTCTTGTGAGAGCAAGTGCAGTGAGTATCCTTGAAGCCTAGACCTTCAAGGTCCTCTCCTCTCTTTCATTCCGTGCACCAGGGTGGGCTTCATCTAGGAGAACAATGGACTCATTTCTGTCTTTTGCCTGTTGGTCCTTGCAGATGAGTCAGGTTTCATTTGGAGCCCAGAAAATCTTACATGCCCTCTTCTCAACATCTTCCTTTACACATGTCTCAGTAAATATTAACATGCTCTAAATATGCCCTTGCCATAACTCTGAACTCAGGATTACCAGAAAGTAATTCCAAAGCTGAGACATTTTCCATATCTTAATCAGCAGATAATTTGTACTTACATTAACACTGACTTGATTATTCACATGTTCGTTTGCAGTTTGAATCTATTTCTGTCTTCAAGTACTTAAAATAGATATAGATTTTAATCAAGATACTTTAGGACTTTTATTACATATTTATTATGTACCTTATTTCAGGCATTTATTGTACTAGGTGCTGGCAATAGAATGTTAAACAGAATGGTATACAATCTACATTCTAATTTTCAAATAAGATTGTTATGAAAGTGTACTTAAAATTCAAACAGGAAAAGAGGGCTGGGCACAGTGGCTCACATCTATAATCCCAGCACTTTAGAAGACTGAGATGGAGGAGTGCTTGAAGCCAGTAGTTCGAGACCAGCCAGGGCAACATAGCAAGACCCCATCTCTACAAAAAGCACTTTAAAAAAATTTGCCAGGTGTTGTGATGCATGCCATAGCCCTAACTACTCTGGAGGCTGAGGTAGGGGTGTCACTGGAGCCTAGGAGGTCCAGCCTGGGCTGCAGGGCAAGACCCTGTATCTAAACCAACAAACAAACAATACAAAGCAAAACAAACAAACAAAAAGACACAAGAAAAGGGTACAGAAATTGCATGCAAAAAAACTCAGTTTAATATGCATGTTTGGCATGTTAGAGATAGAAAATATCTAACACAGAAGCTTTACAAGATTAAAGGTTGATTGTCACTTCAGCTGAACTTTTACTTAAAACAAGCAAGTGTTTATTCAAACCAAGCCACAAACTCAAATAGTAATTATCCAACTTTATAGTTTCTCACTTAAGATAGAATGCTTTTACTTATGACTTGTAGTAATATTAATATTTCAAGAAACTAACCATCAGTGTTTTCAAAATTAGGTTATTCCAGTGATAAAAATTTCAAGAGTTTCCCATCAGTTTTATTTCACGTCTCCAAAATTAGATTAAAATGTTACAGTTTTAAGTAAAAAACTAGTATATTGACTATTGACTCGGGTTCAAAGTTCTATCAGAAGGTAGGTCAGAGAAATCCCCAGCGCAAGAACACACCCAAATTTTAATTCTGAAATTCTTTCTTGGCGGATTAGATGTTGGTATCTCAACATCTGCAATGCCAAAGGACGTTGTCAAGTTATTATCAGCATTCAGTTCAGCACTAGGTTTTGAGAATTTAGAAGTTTTTTCACTACTTTTTCTCCTCCTACTCCATGACAGATTGCTTCCAACGCTAAAGGTATCTTGACTCATTCATGCACCATACATTCAAGAAATACATACATTTGAGTTACTGATCACATATACTATTCCAGGTATGGTACTGGTCACTAAGGCATCAAAGATGACTAAGACACAGACTTGGCTCTCAAAGGGTCCCCAGTGTAGTGAGACTCTGCTTCTTACTCTTCAAGTAGTATCAATTATATGCAACCAGAAATAACAGGGAGTTAAGTAGCATTTGTATCATATTAAATGTAGATTGGGCCATGTAATTTCTCAAAAATCAGATTCAATCAAGGAAAGCATAGACTATTCTTTGGGATTTGCCCTTGCTGAGTATCATTATCTATTCTTGAGACGTAATAATAGAAGTTAGTGAGCAGTTCATCAAATACAGCCCTATGGAAGCCAAAATGAATATTTTCTTTAGTCATTGACTTTCTAGACATTGCTAAGGCATTTAAAGTTTCCCTGCCAAGAAATCACCAGTAAACAGCAGTGATGGTAGATGCAGGCTATTTACTGCCATGAGTTGAAAAAATTAGTGAGCTACCTTTTGATTGCTTGTCAAGCATTTTGACATGTTAGGACAGAAAGCACTGTTTAAATGTAAAGAGCAGTTCATGTAGAATTGCTGTAGGTCATCCTAATGAGGAAGTGATCTATCAAGTGAAAGACTGGAGAATGGGAGAACTGCCATGATGTAAGATTGATTTCTGCTAAAGAGACCTTAAATTTGGCTGTGTTTGAATTTGTGGTTCCTTCCAATAGTTTGTAAATTACCCACAGTAAGTACCCAATATAAAAAGCTATTCAAATTTACTTTCCAGCATACTCACATTGGGGATTTTTTTTCCTTCTTTTTTCTGTTTCTCTCCCAGATCAAAAGAGGAGCAGTGAGTCTCAAGGTTTAGGGATGGGGTCCACTTGGAGTGACTGACTCAGTAAGCCTGAGTGCAACCTTGGGCCTTCCAGTTTTAACAAGTTCCTAGAAAATGCTTTTGCTGCTGGTTTGTGGTTCACATTTGACCAAATCACTGCTGAAACAAAACTGCTGGGGGAGGAGGAAGAAAGAACTATGAATCACTAAGCCAGCCCCTGAACTTGCTCACCAAACTGTCCAGTCTGCTGTGACTATAATCACTGCTGCTCAGGAACCTATCGAAAGTACATTCAGCCCTCCGAATCTGGGGTTCTGCATCCATGGATTCAACCAGCAGACTGAAAATATTCAAGACAAAAAAATAAAAGATAACTATTACAAATAAAATAATAGAGTATAACAACTATTTACATCGCATTTACTTTGAATTAGGAATTACAAGTAATTTAGAGAGGATTTAGAGTACCCGAGAGGTATGCATCCCTGGATTTTGGTATCTGCGGGTTTTGATACAGGGGTGACCTGGAACCAATCGCCCCATGCACGCTGCCAGGTGATGACTGTAAATGGTCCTCTGAATCAGTGACTCGCTGAGGGAATCAGGAAGAACAATCTTACCTTTCTGCTCAAGCTCAGGCTCACAGTTTAATCTTTTAACCTCCCTCTGCATCAGTCTAAGTTTCAAATAATAATGGTAATTTATTTCCTCTGTTATTAAAAAACAAGACCAAAAAAACCACAAACAAAACCCTATCAAGACTGGTGGGGTATGACCTGTATATTTTTAGCTTCTGAAATTTGTCCTATTACTATTTAAAATTAAAAGAATACATTTTTCTATTTATAAATATATTTAAGACTGCCAAATGATAGCTGTTCCTTACCCAACATTAGTTATAAAGAAAAAAAGCAATTCCAAACAAAAATGATATTGCAACAAAAACATGATATATGTATTTTGTGAAAGAAGTACAGCTGCCTCAGAGACAATGAGAGGCTATGAAAATAAAGGAAAACCATCTGAGCTCTGGTTAGAGACTCTGGAAGTAGTGAGCACAAATTTCTTTGAAAGAAAAAGAAGAGGAGTCTGATGTAGGTAGACAATCCAATTCTAGTTACTGTCTTTATTTGTGATAGTCCATAGTCTAAAAAGGTGCAAATACTATTAACTAGCCTGAGGACAAGGTGGCAACTGCATTTCATTCTGAAATGGAAAAATCCAAGGAAGGTAGAAGAAACAATTGCATGAGAATTATTACTCAATTATTTTTCCTCAAAAAGCTGTGTATCTTCTTTTTTGAACTTTGGGAAAGCATATATAAGAGTTTCTTTGACCCCGAATAGTCCATGTATTTACCCAGAAATATTTGTGTATCTTGCTACTGCAGCAGGATTACAAAATAGATTACAACTCTACTGTAGAAAGAAAATATGTTTTTATATAATCTGTAACTTATCTGGGTAGCTAGAAAACATACACACACACACACACACACACACACACACACACACACACACACACACACTACATTTTAATCCTGGCATCTCAGTCAACTCCCATATCTGAGTGGTTCTTTCAAATAATGCTTCTGAGTCTACAACTTTACCTTTCCTTCTCTAAGAAGTGTCAGGGCATATGGCTGGAGGAACTTAGTATATAGACCTAGATAGAGCTCAGGGTTTTGGGGACCAGTTATGAAGGGGCTGAGGGATCTATAGGCCACTTCCTTTGATAAACCTCTGTACCAGCTCTTTTCTTCCCAAAATTTCCCCAAGTAACAAGGTTTAGTTTAGTTTTTTTTTTTTTTAAGCTTCTTACTCATAAGCTTCTTTCATGGCAAACCCTGATATTTTTTTCCTAGGTAGAAAATTATTTGGATTTATCCATCTAATTCTCTGATACAGTAAAAGATAGCTATAAACTTTTAGCAAAATTTATCTCTATGAAGATTTTAGACTTTGAAGCTTAACTGACTAAATTTTTCCAATACTTGCTCTCTATTGTCTGAAGGGTAGACATTTCCTTGCCTTTAAGAGGTGGAAAGCCACAAGGGAACAAGTCCTTAAAGAGATAGTCTAAAAAGCCCTTTCTAATCTACACCACCTCCAGCACCACCAAAAGTCTTCAATTTTATCCACATATTTGTTTCTATGCGATAACCGATATATTTTTGAGTTACTTTATTTCCCAACCCCCTCTCCGTCCCACCCCCCACCGCCAACAACTAGAGTGCAAATTCCATGAGATCAGGGTCTTGGCTTTTTATTATTTTTTCATTGCAGGACCTACCTACAATAATTACTGGCACATAGGAGCCACTCACTAAATACTTCTAGAATGAAAGAAAATAAAAATGTGATGCATCCTTACAGTAGATTATCCACTGCAAATTTTGGTTGCTAGCAAGCATGCATCTTTTGTGCTACTGCCTCAAATGGGCCTTCTGCTGCAGACATACTTATCTATTGACAGTTCTTTTGAACCACCATTGCTCTTCATGTTTTCTTGCTTTAAATCATGCTGTTGCCGCTGCCTAGAAGGTTCACTTGTGAACCTTCTTGTCTTTCACACTCCTAAATTTCCTCAAAACATAAATCAGGTGTCCTGGTCTCCAAAAGTATTTCATGATAAACTTTTTCTTTCTCTAAGTCCCTGTGCTGACATATAACCCTCATACCCTATGCTGGCCCTAAACTTGTTCTTTCTCTACGTCCCTGTGCTGACATATAACCCCCATACCCTATGCTGGCTCTTAACTCACTCTTTATACTATTCTCTCTGATGGAAACTCATGGACTTTGTTAAGGGAGGCATTGAAAGCAGGAACTGTTTGCTATTTCTGGCATCAAAAGCAAAATGCCTGGTGCATGACAACTATTCATAAACATTGAATAAATGAACAACAACCCACCTTATTTCTCTCTCATGGTACTACTCTTTATTGTTTTAAACTTCTATAGTTATCCTGGGGAAATATGAGAGTAATGAGTTTTCTTGAAAGTCAGGTGCAGGGACATTTATGGCAATACTTGTCTTGAAGATCAACTACATCAAAGTTTCAAGACTAACTAGAATAATTCTCAAGGAGAAGGAAAGAGGCATTCAAGCTTATTTTGGAGTAGTAAATAACAGTGATTCTGGTGTCCAAACTGTCACAAAGACAACCACTGCCATATTAAGCTTCTAATACTAAGAAAAGTGTCAGGTATACGGTAGTAGATCCTGATGAAACTCTTCAGAAACTGTTTCTGCACTTTACCTCATCTGGCAGCTCTTGGTGTGCGCTGAGGTAATATATTAAATTTGTGGTGTAATTAGTTTAGAAATTATTCCCCTAGGGAACAAAGATGGTCAAGAGACAAAGCTTGATCTAAAGTTGACAGCCTGGGAGACAGGCCGAATTTGGAGGTGTTACCGTAGCATATGTGGCTTAGTATTGAATAGGTCAAAATATTAATGACCCATCCTACACACAACCCAGGGAAAAATGACTGGGCATTGTGAGAGAGTGTGGGTGTCTTGGCAGAAAGGTATTACATCTGTTTCTTCCACATCTATGAGTGAATTATGCATGCTATGACAAGGAGGCTTTTTTAAATATGAGAAATTTGAGGCAAAAATGATAGACCAAAAAAGTGCAGAGAAACAAGGTGAGTAATGAAAGGCAGAAGTGGTATATTGGCAGGCCTGGAAATCAGCTGTGAGTAATTTGAGTTAATTAAATGTGGCATAAAACATTTGGAGGAAAAGGTTGATGAGATCCAATTAATGGGCAAAAGAAATAATTTTCTGAACAGTAACATTTGGGCTATATCAAAGATAAAAGTGGTATGTGATAAGAGATTGAGAAAATGAACATGATAATTCTTTTGTCACATGAGGAAATCTGAGGTGAGGCTGAGAACCCTGTCTCGATGTAAGGAAGAAATCATCTTCAGGAAATGGCAGTTGCATAAAACAAAAAGGGAGACTCAGGGGTATAAGCAAGTGGATTAAAAACTTGTCTGATTTATTCATAAATGATCTGACTCCATTTACTTCTGTTTCTCAGATTTCTTGGGAATTGATAAGTATATTTTCTCCATAGTACTTCTTGAGATGTAGAACATCTAACATCAATACTGATTATTGAGTTTTGTTGTTTTTCTCTAACTCAGAGATTTTTATTTTAAAGCAGCAGTAAGCAATCTATAATTCACAGCAGTAAACTATAATCTACAAGCCAAACCCATTCTTAGCTAAGAATGCTTTTTACATTTTTAAAAGGTAAAAAAAGGAAAAAAAATGAAGAATATGTGATTATGTAGTCCACAAGGACAAAAATATTTATTACCTGCAGTGCTTAAATTTAAAGGGTAAAATTAATTAAAGAAATCCTCACATTAGAATTACATGTAATATAATTATATGTAATAAACCTAATTATATTACATATAATGCATGATCCTCTACGAATTTAATTTGAATGTGAAGATTTCTCTAATTGCATATATATAAACATACACCTACAGTTTTATGTGAGAGAACAATTCTGTCTTACACATTATATGATTTCACACCTTTGAGGATAGATTGCTAGATAAAAGAGATAGGAAAAAATATTTAGCAGTTTCATAGTTCATTGGGGTCAAGAAGAAAGAGGAGTGTGGCAAGTTCATTTTCTTCTTACAATTACAACATCAGAGAAGAAATGAAGTAAAAAAAAAAAAAAGTGAATCAGAAGCCTGATTGTAGGAGATGCATGGAGAGAATGAATAAGGCAATAAAAGGGTGTAACTTGCTTCCCTACGAGTTCTAATGCTAGGAGGAAAACGAAAAATAAAAATATAGGTCTCGAGGGTGCCAGCTCCACTGCCCCCCTGCTACCCCTGCCCCTAGCAAGTATTAGGGAGGGTAAGAACTCTATCTGCTAAGCTTTTGCTGTCTTCTCAAAAGAGATATTGTATAGATAGTCCCTCAAATAGACATAAATATATATCCACATCTATTTTGGATGGTAGTATTTAGCTTCTTATGATTGTGTGTATAAAGCACTTCAAGCATGCTGCTCCTAGTCAAATCCCTGCAGGGCCAAACAAATTGGGGCAGTTCAAAGCCAAGAGAGATGGGAGAGGCTGTGACATACTGGGAATAGATTGTGCTCTTCCTAAAAGGATTAAAATTATATTAAATTAACAGCAAAGAATATAAAGCAGTCAGAAGTCACCAGTTGCAACTCCTGCTCTTTTTCCTGTGAACCGTTCCCCTTTTTCAGGTAGAGGGACAGAGGGGGTGGGGCAGGGACTTCTTTCAGTTGTTACTTTCTGGTTTTCCTTTTTTCGCAAATTTTTTTTTTTTAGACATTCTGTATGTGTTCATAAAAGTCACACATATGTATACTCTAATTACAATGATTCCATCTACAAAAATCTGTATTACATATAATTATTACATTTTATAATTATTACATTTGAGAAAAATTAGTTTTCTTCCCAAAGGAGGCCTATATAACTTTAATCTATTAAAATAAAATTAATTTTGAATAGCACATTAACCAGATGTTTTGCTAAGCTATTTCTGGATAATTCCAAACTAAATTGGCAAATTTTATTTATTTTTAATTGACAAAATTATATATATACAAGGTACATTTACAAAATTTTAAAACAGTTGTTACCTTCTTGAAACTATTTATTCTAATTTTATTCTAATTCAATTCAGCCCAACCTCAACATCTCTGCATTTCCCCTATGAATCCATCTACTATCATCGTCTACTCTCCAAATTCTTCCTGATAAATAATATTCTTATATTTTTTAAGCAGTTAAATTTATACCACTTACTATTTATCAGTGGCATTTAACTCTCACAAGTATTATCCACATTTTACAAATAAAAGTTGCACAGTTGGCAAGTGGCAATCTAGAATTCAGACCCAAAGGCTTCAACCCAATGGGTCATGCTCTTAATCATGAAGCTAAACCCACCTCAAAGAAGTATGAGGGAAATGAAAGGCAGATACTGGATCCCATATATACAACAGCTGTCAGGTGGAAATATCTGACAGAAATGTATTTCCACTGAACTCTTTTATTTCTCTAACCATTGAATTAAGCAATAGCACATCCTTATTAAACATGATCTCTCTTTAAACTTTTGATTATTTCATAAATTTACATATATATAGTAATGTGAACTTTTGTTAAAACATTGCAAAATATCAGTTGAATTGTATTTCAAATAAATATATCACTTTCCTCAATGTTGACTTAATGTGCACTACTGTTCATATTTTTCTGGATAGTCCACAATTATTCAAATGGTAATTAAAGTGTCAAAACCATGTTTCAACACTTGTTTTTATGTCCATGCTCCTAACAAAACAGCCCTCTTTGTTCTTCACATTTTCTGGCTTCTTCAGCTCAACTGAAATTTGGATTTCTCTTTTTTTTTTTTTTTTTTAGATTCCCTCTACCATCTCCAACAGAAGGTTAGCTTTCTCTTTCAAGAGTATAAGAGGCAGGGGCTGGGTGTGGTGGTTCAGACCTGTAATCCCAACACTTTGGGAGACCAAGGTGGGTGGATTACTTGAGCCCAGGAGTTCAAGACCAGCCTGGACACCATAGTAAGACCCTATCTCTACAAAAAATATATTTTAAAAAATCAGCTGGGCATGGTGGTGTGCATCTGTAGTCCCGTCTACTCAAGATGATTGCTTGAGCCTGAAAGATAGAAGATGCAGTGAGCCATGATGGCACCACTGCACTTCAGCCTAGGCTACAGAGCAAGACCCTGTCTCAAAAAATACAGTAAGAAGAGCCATGCCACTCCTTGTATTTATGCCACTTTGTTTTTGCTTCTACTACCATACTGCACTGCCCTAGTTTGAACTTAATGTTAGGAAGTACTATGGCCCTCTCTCTGTTCAGGCCACTTCCTATTCACCCCAGAACCAGTGTCCATTTGTAGTCAACTACAGTTCACCAAGCTTTCTATTATTTCTTTAGCTCCAGCACCTATATTCATCTATCTCATAACTTCATATGTCATCCACATCTCAAAATTCAAACTTCTAAACTCCACTGCAACAATAAGAGATCAAATGAGCTTATGTGAGGTGATCAGAAATTAAGATATTGTAAACGTCAGAAATGTAAAAGGCCAACCACTATCTGTTCTGCAAATTAATATATTGTTAATACTAAAATTTGTAGTCCCAGCATATGTTTGCTTTTTTTCCAGAATTTGCTGTATCTCTATCATATGCTAGGCACTGATTATTTGGTTTCATTTTTCTTCCTATTAAATAGTGACAATTTTTTTTAATTTGTTTTCCAGACAGAATGACAGCTTGACAAAAAGATGTTGTGGTGTGTACCAAATACCAAGATGCCCCTCCTACCTGTACTCTCTTTTGTATTCCCAGTCATACCACCATAGTTTAGATTCTATTTTTTATTTCAACTTTTACAAAAGTGTCTTATCTCCTTCCTGTCTCGTATCCATCTGAAGATGAAGAGTGTTGGGCTCTTCCTTCAGGGGAAGGCTGTCACCACCTGCTGAATTATGCCCAAGATTTCAGCAGCGAGAACTTCCTCCTTCAGAAATGAAGAGAACCAACACAGGAAGTAGCATGAAGATGTGCCATAGAATTAAAGCAAGGTGATGCTTAATGAATCTTTCAGTGCCCTCTCAGAAATGTACACGCAAATATACGTGTGCCCAAGATTTTCAGTGTAATTTCAAAGGGATTCTCAGAACTCTACATGCCTTGAACACTGAGGTCAGAACCCTGGTTCCAGATATTTTAAGATTTGCTTTTAAATAATGCAACCCAGAGAGCTGTGTGCTTGGATCAAATTGTTCAGATTCCTTGTAGCATTGCTTCTAAGTGTCCCACCCTATGCCTTTGACTTGCATTAATGGGCAAATTGTAAGTTTCTTTTCTGTCTTTTGACAGAGGTCATCATCCATCATATCCTTCGTATGTGGTCTGTATAAATGCACACAATGTCTTACATATTATTTCACCAGGCTAACAGATACCTGGAGTACAAACTAAAGTTTCAGGGACTCCAGGCTAGCAATCTTCTAAAAGGAATAAACTAGCTTTTATAAAACAGACCTTATTTTTCTCATACTCTGTTTTTTCTAGTTATTCTCTTATTTTCCCATCAATTCTTTAATGTTTCAACTATATCATATGTACTGAAGTGAAATAATGCAACATCCTTTGTTCACACCTAAACCCAGGCATTAACGTGGAGGCCTAGAGGCTGGTATGGTGGTGCCAGTGATAATCAAAACGAGAATTCCTAAATGGATGCAGTTTTCCTCCGTCACCTACCTGGAGATTGTTTTCCAATGCTAAAATCAGGCCAGTTTCAATTTTGCTTTAACTAAGAGAATTGGTGTTTTCTTTCATTGTTACTTTGTTTTCTCTAAAATTACGATGTCGTGTTGCTGCCCATTGAATATATCCAGAGTATACTCCGTATCCTGGCACTTCAGGCATTTCTACTGTTCCAACCTATGGCTGCAGCTCCGTTATTTCCAATTTCCCTAATCATAGGCCTGTGCTGCTGTCGAACTCCACAAGTCTCCTTTCAAGCACTGGGAAGTTTCTGATCTTTGTGGCACTTTTCATGCTATTAACTATGCCAGGAATTTGATGTTCTCACATGCAATGCATATTAAAACCCATTTACTATAATATACTTATATAGCTAATAAATCAGACAAAAATTATTAAATGACACTTAAGGATTGCTATGCTGTTATACAATGTAGATGTATACTACCTTCTACCTCGTGGCAAACAAGTGCCTTCATGTTTTTGCTCCAACTTACTTCAACAGCCTCATGTCTTCTAACACTTAACTTTAAATTCTGTGTTCTCACAGTACTTGAAATTTCAATGTGCTTTGCTCTATATTTTCTAGGCCATTGCATGTGGTACTCTCTTTGCCTGAAGTTCTCTTTTTCCTCCATACTTCACCTGCCCACCACCCTTTCTCCCTGTAATGGGCCACAATCTACTTTGGGAAAGGCTGGTTTCTGTCCTTCTCATGGGTTCACCTAACATCCTATTCTGAATCATATTCCAGCACACTATATTTTGAAATTCCCTGTTTGTTGTCTTATTGCACTGTTTCCAGTGCCTACACTGCACCTAGCACATGGAAAACACTTGAGTGAATGTTGCTGACATTGAAATATAGGTATTACTGGTTTTGAAGAGCTATTTGATAAAAGTAATTGAAAGCCATAAAAATACTTTTCATCTATTAATCCAGGAATCAAAAACTTAAATGCTTTCAGAGGTCAGGCAGGTCATGTAAATGTCCAGTGTAGTACAGAAGATAACAACAGAGAGTACAGACTAATGTACGTACCTTATCTAAACACATTCAGATTCACATTTTTATAATTACTGTCCAAGCCAAACAAATTATAACCCCGTCTTCAAATAATTTCTTAGAAGGAAAAAAAGATATATTTATTAAAATGTTACCTGCAGATTTATTTGTAATAAGGAAAAAGTAAATACACATTAAATAGCCAGTAATAGAGGCCTGATTAAATATGGATTATATCCATTATATGTCATATATTCTTTATTATTAAAGAATCTCCCAAACGGTAATATATGGAAAATGCTT
The DNA here is from genome assembly GCF_000001405.40 of Homo sapiens. Taxonomy (NCBI): domain Eukaryota; kingdom Metazoa; phylum Chordata; class Mammalia; order Primates; family Hominidae; genus Homo; species Homo sapiens. The sequence continues at coordinate 78,545,026 of NC_000008.11, forward strand.
TCACTATTGGAAATAATAAAGAAAAAAGCTAAATTACATGCTTTCTATAATTGCAACTAAGTAAACATATGCTTCCTTATTAAAATGAAAAGAAAGGATTATGCAAAATGAAAATACCTATAATAGGGTGCTCAAAATAGAAATGATTTTTTTAAAAATTCAACATTTAGTAATGCTTTTGTTTTTCCAACCCCAGTCTTTGGAGAAAATGTTGGGACTATCTTTTGGAATCTTAGAATTTGACACCTAGCAAGCAAAATCATGTTACTTTGGGTAAGAGCTGAAGAATATCAGTTGTGGGCTGAGATAGAAATACCATTGTCATGGCAACCACCAAAAATTTCATAGAAAAGGCATAGCTTGGATTTTTTTTAATGGAGATGACTAACAAGATTGCTTTTGAAATAGTTCTGATATAGTGTGGGATAATATACAGTAACTCCGATAAACAGTTTTGCTGGAAAATTGAGATAAAGTGGCATAACCTTAAGATCAGAACTTAGAATCCCTAGTGTAAGCTTAGCATATTTTGTATACTAATTAGCTTTTACTGACATAATACTAATATGATACCAGTCTGTCTTCCCTGAATACAAAAATTACATATTTAGTAACATTATAATTCTATAATGATAATAATTCTCATCAATAAAAGAGCTTGGGTTTTCTTGTCAAGGGAGATTTAAAGTATTTTTCTGATTCTTTATGAAGACTCAATTATGTGTTTTCACTGTTCCTCTATGATACTATATATAACCTACTGGAAACAGAAGCTTGTGGAAATACTGATAGCATCAATAGAAATCATCGTGACTCCTTCCTTGGAAAGGGCATGTTTCATCAGTACCGTTTGCCTCATTTATTAAGCTGAATTGTCATCTTAAGTGACAGATATTTTCAATGTCCAAACTTCCTGCAAAGATTTATGTATTTTATCCCATTCTGTTTGAATTTAGATCAAGAATGCTCATTAGATTATTTTGTGAGCCCAGGTTTGCTAGAGTTTACAAAATCTGACCTAGCTCACTAGCCACAGAGAGGCTATCTTCATACAATGAAGGTTTCCTGAAGAGTGAATGAAATCCATGGCTTTGTCGAATACATCAACTAATACATTGAAACTGCTAATTGTGTGATTGTCCTGGGGACATGACTAGTTTATTTGGAAACTACTTGTAAAATCTGCTTTGCCTTGCAAAATTGCTTCCCCTGAGAAATTGCTTCTTCAATGGCATATCCAGTGGAGACCTTTCGGTATCTTGCACAATTAGTCAGCCTAGATATAGGACCATATAGTTAAGAAGGAAGAGACAGACGGTCAGTAATTACAATTTTAAATTATAATTACAAAATTGTAATTATTTTAAGGGTGAAATTCTAATTGGCATTTTTTGTTTCATGTAAACTTCTGTAGAGCTGCATTTATCATAAATAGCCACATATCCAAAGTATCACATTTCTCATGTCACATACAAACTTTTGACTCTAGCATTCAATGTAACGTTAAAAAAAATCAAATCCTATTACCTCAAAATAAGGGCTGTGTGCCAGGATTGGGAAGCATTACAAAATGAGTTAAAATTAAATGAGATGTGGAGCGGAGTTTGAAACCCATGCCGTTAAAACCTCATAACTGAAATTGGCACCTGATTGTTTTTCATTCAGCTCTCGAACCAGTTAAATAGATGCCATAAATATGTTGATTCTTGTAACCCGTTTAGTCTATTTATTGTTTTCTGAAGCCACCAGTAAAACTAGTCTTTTTCACCAGCTACTGAAGACAGAGGTCATGTTATAAATCAAATGGAATTATTAACTTCTGTTTCCATTTTTAAGCATTTGACCACAAAATTAAACCTTGTATTTCTACATAAAAATCCAAGCATTATAATGTGAATGAGATCTGTCCACTCATTCATTCAACACCCACTTACTAAAATGCTATTTCAAAGACTATTCTAATAAGTTAAAAACTGTTTGAGGATCTTACTGTCTAGTTAGTCATACAGTTAATCATCACAAATACTGAAGGTTTGAATCAGAAAAGAAAAAAGAGAAAAAACAAAAACAGTTTTGTTTTTTTTTGTTTGTTTGTTTTTTTGTGATTGGAGTCTCGCTCTGTCGCCAGGCTGGAGTGCAATGGCAACATCTCGGCTCAATGCAACCTCTGCCTCCCAGGTTCAAGCAACTCTCCTGCCTCAGCCTCCCAAGTAGCTGGGATTATAGGCGCCACCACACCCGGCTAATTTTTGTTTTTTTATTAGAGACGGGGTTTCACCATATTAGCCAAGATGGTCTTGATCTCTTGACCTCGTGATCCACCCACCTCAGCCTCCCAAAGTGCTGGGATTACAGGCGTGAGCCACCGCACCTGGCCTTACCAGTATTTTTAAAATGTTGCACACAAATAGCCATAAATAGCACAGGGGTAGGACTTTTTCCATTGAAAAATATATGACTTCTCTATAATTAATTTATATATCTTAACCACTTATGTTACAAATGAGGAAAATATAAATCTACCAAAATCATTCTGTAAAACCATTCCTGCTTTGAGTCATATGAATACTTGTTGCTAATTTGAGGCTTTCTAAATTTAAAGACATAAGATGAGTAGTTAATGACTTTGAAATTTAATTAGGAAAGTGGTGACTGAGAGAGGACTAGACAGTATGTTGTTTGCACTAATTTGATTTATATAACCCTTTTCTAGTCAACCTTTTAAAAATCAGCCAGAGAGTAGAAATTCTCCACCTTCAAAAATTAGGAGGTTTACTAATTTTTGAATCTGGGTGAAGTTTCCCAGATTAATCCAAATGCAACTAAAATGTGATGAAAGATGAAGCTCATCTTAGTTTTCTTAATCTACATGACCTACTTTGTCCAGTTACTTAAATTCAGAATTTTCATGTTCACAGTTTGAACCAGGAGAAGTACCTCTCTAGGTTCACTTTTCTCTGAAATTCTAAGACTAAATAAAATATTAATAAAATGTCTCAATAATTATCTCACAAATATATTAAGATAAATAGTATGAAATAAGTTTTAAAAAATATTAGAATAACAGTATTATTAGAAAATATATCTTAAAAGGGATTAAACTACACAGATATAAGGTTTGATGTATTTTCTTAAAAGATGAGAACTTACTACCAGAAACATGTAGTATATTAATAGCCTCATTATGGAGGTGAGATTCTCTCTTTAGCAGAACACAATTAGGGAATATGTGAGTGATGTTTTATTTTTTATACATTGCCTTATTATGCATTTCCAGTCATGATCTCCTAGTGTAATTGCATTTAAATTGTGTTCTTAACCATATGTTAATTAAATAAACTCAATGTAAAGACCCAATCTAACTTTCCTTAGTAATGTGGAGTTAATAAAAACTGCAGCTCATTGGAATCTAGAGTATTACAGGATCTTTGCATACCTAGCTCTTAAACTGATTTGTTTTGGATTCCGGAAAACTTAGCACCTTGGTTAAGTGGCTTGTGAAGAAATTTTGATACATACATCCACCTCACGTAGATCTAATAGCTATGTGTTTGGAAAGTATTTTGTGGAAACAAAGAATTAAACAGCAAGGAAATTTGGTTTTCCTTAAGAACACTGAATCGTATAGAGATAGGATAATTTCTGGAGACAAATAGGCCTGTCAATAAAGGTCAAATATATGCAACTCCCTCCTTTTGCTGAAAATCTGTTATTCCATGTTGACTTAGATATTAAGAGAATACTATACTTTCCAATAATTATATTGTTATAATGCAGGGGATATAGTTCCCACCAGTGACTCTACATCTACAATATATGATGAAATAAAAGATATAATTATAAAATATCATACTATCATACTCAATTCATTGAGATAATAAAGTACATTCTAAACCTTATTTAATGGACAAATACATGCACTATCAGGTGGTTACATGAATCTCCATTATATTTGAAAAAGGTATATGTGTTGACATTAAAACCACATTTCTACGGTGTCTTAAATTATAACTACACAAAATTAACACACTAACTCTGTCACTTATTTACACCAATAAAAGTCTGTTTCCAAACAAGAAAGCTGCACTGGGTATATGTATATGGGTGTTTATGTGATTTAGATGACTGGCATATTTTTAAAAACTGTCCAAAGGAGTTTGAAGTCATAATTTTAATGTAGCAGGAAAAGATAAAGTCATTCTCCCATATTTCCTTAATGTTCAGATGCTATGTGTTGTATGACATGATGTATATAATGTAAGTTACTAAAACTTTTTTTGGAAGAGAAAAAGCTAGAGTAGCAGATATGCACACTAAAAGGCAAAAATCTGGTTTTACAAGTTTTATAATAAAAAAGGTGGCAAGATGAACGTTTTTTTAACTTAGAACTAAATTTAAGCTTAACTTTTACAGCAATCTTTAGAAAATTTTGCTATATGGTCTTTCTTGAAGATTATTTGTAATTTTGTATAATTGATTTAGAAATTCCCATCAAATTTTAAAATTCAGAGTTCTAGATAAAACCATCAATTATCTGAAATCCTTTCTCAGTCAAGACTGCCCATGAAGCCAAGTGCCTTATTTGATCCTATAAGCTTCACTGAAAATCAGCAGAGTCTTTATTAATTTATAAATGATGGGCATGATTAACTGGTCTCAAGTTTGCTCACAATTCTGAACCCTTGAAATCACTGAAATACCAAAAAAAAAAAAAAAAAGTAAGAATAAAGCTATTAGGAAAAGCGATTACTTGAGCCTACTCAGAGTCTCAGTGAAACAAAGGTCCATTTTGTGCATAAGTGTAAAGAAATATATTTTTGAAAAAATTGTATTTACAATTAGAAAATGAACTCTGAGGTTTCATTTATTGCTAGTCAAAGAGTTTAGAGCCATTGTAAATAGTTTCCTCTAGACCGTAATACAATGAGTTTATTTTAGTCAGCAATTACAATGACAAAATGCTAGGTATCATTGAGTAGAACATTAGGCAAAGATCCGTTTCTTCCTCTTGTATAAAATCTGAATGCATTCTATTAAAGAACAGAATTAAACAGGCAAGCAAAGATGTATTCAAGACTATTTCAATAGGGGAGAAAGACTGAACTCAATTCTGCTGAAATAAAAGGGAGGCAAGTTTTTAAATGATGCTGTGAGCTAGTGAAAAATACTGGAGGATATTAGGGTAGAGTTTGTCAATGTGATTAGACATTTGTGTTTGCTAATGGGTGCTTAGCCAAGTTAGGGTCCTATCCTTCGTGCAGTTTGGGAAATAGGAACATTATTATCTTTCTTGATTATTACATTTCAAAAAGATGGTTCCCAGGTCTATCAGAAAGACATTCTTGGGTTGTAAAATATTTACAGCTCAAAGAGTCAGAGAAAGAATTTACAATTCCAAGTTTTCTAAAGTAAGTGATCTTGAAAAAGGGTGGTTAGAGGCCTAGGGTCCCAGAAGGAAGAAACCTGCCGGCAGTTCATCAAGCTAAGTGGGAACTTTAAGGCTGTCTTGATCAATCCAAACCTGGAACACAGATTCAGATCTGATTGCCAATGCAAGAAAAAAGCTTGAAAAGACAGACACTCCCCTGATCACCCATCCTCCCTTATCTGAGTTAAATATTTCATTTATTTATGTTTTTTTAATTTTTTCATAGGTTTTTGGGAGAACATGTGGTATTTGGTTACATGAGTATATTCTTTAGTGGTGATTTGTGAGATTTTGGTGCACCCATTACCCAAGCAGTATACGCTGAACCCAATTTGTAGCCTTTTATCCTTCACCCCCTTCCCACCCTTTCTCCCTCAAGACCCCAAAGTTCATTGTATCATTCTTATGCCTTTGCATCCTCATAGCTTAGCTCCCACTTATGCGTGAGAACATACGATGTTTGGTTTATGTGTTACTATGGAGGCACAGGATTGCCAATGTCACAGATTTTATCTGGATGAATTGCAAGTTTTTGTCTGTTTATTACTCTTGACAAGAGACTATGAAGTTTATGAGGGCAAGAATCTTGTGTGTTTGTAATCTCAGGATTTACAGTAATGCCCCTCACCTCATAGTAATTCAATTAATACTTGACTGAATTTTAAAGATTTCAGAGAATAAGATAAGAAATAAGGATATGGGAATAAGAGTGTGGATATTACAAAAGAAGAGTCTTTAGTTTGGTAATATGAATGCTATAAAGGAATATGATCAGAGACATGTTCCTGGAGGTATGAACTGTTCTAGTAAATCCTAGACAACTAAAAGTGGGCCATACCCAGTGAAGATAGGAAAAGGAGCTTATGTCTAATGTATGGTATATGGTAGACACCATGTTAGCATATCTAAATAGTCCTTCGTCTGGAAGAAAAGTATTACAGGCTCCACTTCATAAGTGCAGAAACTGACAGAGTAGCCATATAGCTACACTCACCCTCACCTCTGTTGCCCAGTTATAAAGCCATTAGACTTTGTTGCTGTAAACTTAAACTGTAATCGTTTAATTTTTAGAGAATAGAAGAAACAGAACTTTTAACTTTACATATTAGATGACACCCCCAAGAAAGGATCATCCACAAAATAAAAATAGAATCTATGCAGTATTAGATATATATTTAAATGCTAGAGACAGGGAAGGATAAAAATGGCTAATGTTTTGGGGTACCTTCCAAAACATCTGAAGGGAGTGTCAACACAAGGAGAATCTGTTTCTTGGCAGAACCTTCAGCAATTAAATTCTGGTTTGGATGGTCATTGAGATGGAAGTTAGTGGGGCTCTTCCCGGTATTTAAAACATTCTCTGTGATTCTTTGCTAATGAAATATCTCTGTTTCCTTGGTTTTATTATCACTGGAAAGACGTTTAAGGGAACAATCTTTCTGTGTTTTTCAGATGTGCATTGAGAATGCTGTTTAACTCCTATTATGTGCTGGAGAGGTATTGATAGTTCCTGTATATGTCTCTGTATGTCAGGACAAGAAATATTAAAGCTGCTTGGTGCCATTCCTATCTGGTTAAAAAAAATTATAAAGGAAGATATTCCTGAATTGAAGGGAGATGTCTGGAACAAGAGCAAGCAAAGTGGAGAGAATTTAATTAACAATTTAGTTCAATCTGAAAGTCCCATAAAATTCAAATACCCATGTTGGGCTGATATGATACTTATTTTCAAAACAATATGGCTTGAAACTTTTTCTAAAGAATTTGTGGTGAGAAAAAAAACTAATGGTAATCTACTGAATAAAAGAAATATCTATTTTTCTAACAATTCTTTGAAATCCTTGACTTGTCATTTGACCGATTTTACCATTTTCTTAAAAAAAAAAAAAAAAAGGAAGTTGCATACTGGAAGGAAGGAAGACTTAGTGCTTTTCTGGTGCACTGTTGGCATTCTTCCAATTCTTCTGGAAAACATCATTCTATCATTTATGCTCCCGTGAGTCAAAATGAAAAAGTCTGTATAGCCTCTTAGACAGAAGTATCAGGATATTCTTAAAGGGGCCTTATCCAAACAGGCATATTTAAAATAGTTATTAGTTTATCATTAAGCCCTAACAAGACTGCAAAGTTGCTTAGCAACAGAATCAGGCACCCTTAACAGGAACATGCATGGGAACAATGGTGAAACATAATTGAGCCTTAAAAAGGCAAATTCTTTGAATTAAATCGTGAAAAGACAATGTGTCATGGGAAGAATGAGTATTTTAACCTAAGACTTGTTCTCTAAGCATTATTTTATAGCTAGACCTAAGTGTCTTTCCATAGAATAAATAATGATACTTTTAGTCTTTATATAATTTAAGGCACTTAAAAAAGATTGTTTATCCAAGTTAGCTCAACAATGCATAATATCTCTATTTTGACCCATTAATTATCTTCAACATTGTAGAGATACATAAAGAAAGGAAGGCTCTTACAAAAATAAACACTACAAAATATTTGATGACTGCAAGGGTTTAATTTTGATGTTATGTATAATTTAAACTATCAGAAACTCAAAAACTGTACTTTTATTTTTTAAATTTGAATATACATTTACATATACACACATAACGTATCTAATTCCCATTTGCAGGAAAAAAAAAAAAAAAAGCCTGAAAAGCACTGTCTCTTTTAGAGTTCTTTTGACTAGTTTGACATTGGCTGACTTTATACTCCAGTACCCGTAAAAGCACTGTCTTGCTTCATTTAGTAATAATGGAAACAAATCTGGTGCATGTGGGCTGTCTTGATATAATGCATAAACACCTAAAAAGTTCAGTCAGGGAATAAACTCAGGGTCCCGTCTGTGGAGGCAGAGAATCCCGGCTTGGATCCTAGTCCTATTTCTGGCTTTATCAAATCACTTACCCACTCTAGACCTCATACTCCTCATCTATAAAATAAGACTTCTAAGATCCCTTCACATCTAATAATTCTATGTCCATCAACTCTTAAGTGGTGTCATTCTTTTTTTCTCATAGAAGAATTGTTTGTTTTATTGAATTGGTTATTTGACTGCTGTCTCTTATGTAAATACTAGAAGTAGTAGGCCTATTTACCAACACTGTTAGAATATTAGGCAGAAAAAATTCCCTACTGGCTTCTTTTTGGCTTTCCTTTATGTCTGATTATATGTTGCACTGCCAATTTTTGGTCCCTGAAAGCTGAAAACGTGCAGATGCAGACAGATGTAATATGCCGCAGCTTTTTGTATCAAGCCACTCTATTTTAAAACAACTGGATTTTTTTTTTTTTTTTGCAGTCTTTGGAAGAGGGTTAGATGACCAAATCTATTTTCCTTTTCTTCAGAGTTTTATAACACCACAAAAGGTCATCCTTAAACAGTCAGATAAGATTAACAACAAAATCTTGGAAAACAGCCAGTGCATCAACAAAACAAACCCAGTGGACTGTTTATAAATGTTAAGTTTAAACAGGCAGCAGAACACGGGATGGGGAGGAGAGGAGAGATACTTCATAGACATAGCAAAGAAATAATTTCCAGAGATGACCCATGACACTGCAGTGTTGGGAACCAATATCAACAAACAAACTTGACACCCAGCAATATGTAGAGTGCATTTATAAAGATGTTAGAAGGAGCAAGTCGTAGATCACAAGTCACAGAAGCAGAATCATGGGCCATTCCCATACTGGGTTCTTCATGCCATTTTTAATGAAAAGATAAATTGGTGGAAATATTTTAATTGCAAAGAAGTGAAAAAGTGATTTTTAATGCCACCAGTTGACGCCAGGCCAGGGTTTTCACTATGCAACCTAGCATGTAGCCCTAAAGTCCTGACAGCTAAATAGTAGGGAAGACACTGTTCTCTTCCTTGCAAATACCACTTCCTTTACTAAGGATTCTAAAGGAAGAGAAAGCTTTTAACAGAGAACACCTGAGAGGAAAGCCACCAATATTTAAATCCAGGAACTTAATATTGACCTAAGGAGCAAGTAGGCTTAGGTAAAGGGCAAGCTAAGAAATTGTTGAAGGCCTTGCACATTTAGTTAAAATTTTTAAAATTCTGAATAGAAATAGAGAATTCCCTGCAAATTGTATTTTATCCATGATTCAGATGTGGCCTGTTAGAAGTTTACCAGGATGAAAAGTAAGCTGCTGAGGATTGCAGATGATACTAATACAGACATAATAACAAGCAGAGACTGATATTTGTAACAAAGGATTTCACCAGCTTTCTAAGAAAGGCTTTCATGGTTGACACAAGAATTAGATTGTAGTTATACCTGATATGAATTTTAGATTATGCAATACATAAAGATGCATTTAGGAGACATTCTCAATAAATTGCACATCATATATTGCAGTAGTAAATGTTACATTCTTTTCAATGAATAACTTTACAGTATTTTGTGGTTTAAAGAGACTAGTTTAAAAATAAAAGATTGTTTTAAATTTGAGAAATGAGCAAGTTAAAATAAGATGAACCAGATTTCTACAATCCACTTTCTGATGCTCAAAGTGGAGAGGGTACAAAATGGTGCATGACTGAGTCTATGGCAATCTGCGTTTTCTGCACTGTGTGAATCATATTATACATTCTGTAATATGAAGGGGTACAAGGCACTTACAGGTTGCATTTTTCAAACTTTTACAAAGGAATAGTAGTCACCTTCAGAGACTTCTCTTCTAACTAATTAGACCTTAGACAAACATATATTTGCATAAGTTTCATCAAGCTGCACTTTCTGAATTTCTTTCTCCCTTGAGTCTATTTATTACTCAATTCACTCTGTTATCTAATACCCCTTACAGTAACTGTATGCCCTGAAATTCTCTTCCCTCCTCCACATCATCAAAACTTGCTTTTGGATCATTCAGACTGAGGTAAAAAAAAAATGACTAAGATCTTAAAGTACAGATATTTGAATTTCAATAGAAAAGAAAGGCTAAAGGATTGAGGTTCTCAGGCAAAGAGACAAGAGTCTGCTAGGCATCAGAACTTTTTGGCTTCTCCCAGTTACAAGACTCATCTTATAAGCCATATAGTTGGAGAGAAGTAGTCATTCAAAAGGCTCAAAATATAGGAAAACAAAAATAAAAATCACTTCTTAGTTCATAAATACAATGTAGGTCTATTGAAGAGAACATTAAAATTGATCCCTGTTTTCTGATCTCAAACTGGCCAACAGTGAGAAGGAGTTGGATAAAGCAGCCTTGGTGTTGGTGAATGCAAGAAGAATTGAGTGTATAATTACAAAAGGAAAGTGAGTGTCAATGTGTGTGTGTGAGAGAGTGTTTGTATAGAAACCACTCTAGAAAAAGACATTTAAAACTGCTAAAGTTATTAATGCACTGAAAAGAAACTATTAACTTCAAAATCATTCTATTGCTATATTAAGTCATATTTGAGGGACAAATCAATAGCAATGACTTTCTTGAAATGTCTCCCAACACTATGATTTTGTTTTATGGCACTGGTGGGTAAAGGGGTTTGGTCTGAAAGGACACAAACAGGTAATACTATCAGTTAAGAATGTTGGCAGTAGTTGAGCAAAAAAATAAAATATGATAGAAAGCACAGTTTGTTTCCTTTGTCCTTTCCTTTTATGTTTAGCAGTTATGTAAATTAAAAGAAATTGATCTTACTACCTATTCTTTTTATTCAGTTACCAAAAGAACATTTGCTTTGAATGAATATGGATGCATTTTTCTTTTAACAGAATCAGGCAGCCAAACATGACTCACTGTTATTTACATGAGTCAGTATCTACTTGCCCATGTAATCTTGTTTCACTAACTTTACAGTCAGATCATTCTTGTTACGATCAGGGAAAATGCAAGCAAGAATAAATGTGATGCCAATTAATACAACTACGAATTAGTATTTAGTAGTAGTTATTGATCATTTTATATGGGAAGTAAAAAAATCAATTATCTAACATTCCATTGTTTACTATTATTTTTAACAAAAATGGGATTTTGTTTTTTTTTACACAATGTTCTGTTCTTTGTTAAGAAGTGAGGAAAAAAGCACTTACTGATCCTAAGCAAGTCAGCTCCTCGATTTGCCTGATGACGATGAATATGAATACAGGCTTTCTCTCCAGTACAGTTGCTCTTCATCAAAAACAGGCTGGCTCTAACATATTTCACAAACACAGAAAAGTGTGCCAAGACACAGTCAGCAATTCTTTTTAATTTTTGAGATTTAAAATATTACTGAACTTTGTTTGAGTTTTACATTTCTCATGGATAATTTTACTGTGAAATTTATGATGCTATAAAACTATGTTTATGAAGATACTATAGTAGGTTTCACATATCTCCATATCTTATATTGGTAACATTTAAATTTGAATACTACATCTTTATCCTTTCATAAACTAGAAGATAATTGTTCTGATGACTAGCAGAAGAAGCTGGCAGGAACGATAGATTTGCCACTCTTTGCTTTCTGTTATTTGTGAGTCTAATTACTCTAGTTGGTCAATTAATGGCAACACATGACAAAATCTTCCTACTAATTGACTCTCACTATTTTGTTACTGCTGAAGCTTCCTCTAATTTTGTATGTGCATATGTTACCCTACTTGTCATTTTTTTCCTCCTAACCTTCCTTATCAGAAAGCCCATCTCACCAACTTCACAGTCAGATAATTCTTGTTATGATCAGGAAAAAAGCAAACAAGAATGAATGTGACGCCAATTAATATAATTACTAATTAGAAGCCACATTTTGAGGGCATTAAAACAGAAGAAGAGTAGAAATGATAATAACTTGGTTTTAGGGAAGCTGTTAACATATAAATAGAACCCAAAATGGCACCACTGGTAGTTTTCCAGGGACTTAATATTTCTGACACACACTCAATTTGTGCCCATGGATAAGACATACTATATTATAGGAGAATCAAAGAGTTACATATTTGGAAAAATCAGGTTACCAAAAAGAATAATGACATTGTTTAAACAATAATGCATTAAACTTTCCTTGTTTATTATGCTAGAAGTTGTATGAGATTATCTGAGTAAAAGCATTTCAATTACTTCAGCATTGTGGGACATGAAGTGTAAAAGAACTCAGAACATGGGAAAAAAAGGAAAAAGAGAAAGGAAATGGCTGAAAGATTAATTACTTGGCTGTCAGCTGCTAGGGGAGTTTATTTATGTTCTCTTAATATTCATAAGGCTCTTGTCAAAATGGTATTATTAAATACCCATTTTATAGAAAAGGGACTGAGGCTGTTCAACTGCAGTTTATTTGATGGGTATTTATGCCTGTGATGGGGACAGCTATGTCAGGAACTTCAATTCCAGTTAAAGTGAAACCTGGCAGAGACATAGTTTTGATCCAAATTTTGACAGTAGTACAATGTTGCTTGTCCTTCTCCGGGATGGTAGTCTGTGTTTCCCTGTAACATTTTGTCTGATTTGTTTGTACCAACTATTTGGTTTTGTAAATTTATGTGACACTTTGTTTTAAGCTAATTATAAATGTAAATTAGACTCTAAGATGTCTTTTTTCCACTAACTGGTTTTGTAGTAGCAAAAATCTGAAATTACATGCAAAATGCTGTTTACAGTTGTTTTAGTAAGGGGATGCAGAGCAGTCAGAGTGAGTTGTCAGATTCTCAAAACAAAATCAAATTATCTAATATTTTACATTAAATCAGGTAATGAATACCGCTTCTGGATCCAAACATTGGTTTAATTATTTATAATCTTTGCAGTGTCCCTAAAATATCTATTATCTCCAATTAACACTAAGGAAACTGAGGCATAGAGAGGTCCAAGTAAGTGGCAGGGATGGAATTCAAACCCAGGTCAGTTTCAGGCTTGAACTCCACTAATTCTATACCTTTCACTGCCTCTCTCACTGTAGGTAATTGTATTAGTCTGTTTTCATGCTGCTGATAAAGATATACCCGAGTCTGGGAAGAAAAAGAGGCTTAATTGGACTTACAATTCTACATGGCTGGGGAGGCCTCAGAATCATGGTGGGAGGCAAAAAGCACTCCTTTCATGGCAGCGGCAAGAGACGATGAGGAAGAAGCAAAAGCGGAAACTCCTGATAAACTCATCAGATCTCGTGAGAGGTACTCACTATCACGAGAACAGCACGGCAAGACCACCCCCTTCCCCCCCGCCCGACCACGATTCAATTACCTCCACCTGGGTCCCTCCTGTGACATGTGGGAATTCTGGGAGATACAATTTAAGTTGAGATTTGGTGGGGACACAGCCAAACCATATTAATAATCAACAAATGTTCACGTATTTCCTTTACATCAGGTGGAGTAAAAGAACAGGTGTGTGAAAGAAACAGAATCAATCATTAAGCGATACTTAAACCAGTGCAGATTAGTTTTAATGTAAATGTTATAATAATAATGCTAGTCAGCAGTTACTGGATATTCATATTATGTTAGAAACTGTGCATTTAATACATTATGGGTTTGTTTGTTTGTTTGTTTGTTTTGAGACGGAGCCTTGCTCTGTTGCCCAGGCTACAGTGCAATGGCGCCATCTCGGCTCACTGCAACCTCCGCCTCCTGGGTTCCAGCGATTCTCCTGCCTCAGCCTCCCGAGTAGCTGGAATAACAGGCATGCGCCACAACGCCTGGCTAATGTTTGTATTTTTAGTAGAGACAGGGTTTCACCATGTTGGCCAGGGTGGTCTCAAACTCCTGACCTCAGGTGATCCACCCGCCTCGGCCTCCCAAAGTGCTAGGATTACAGGCATAAGCCACCGTGCCCAGCCCTTTATGGGTATTTTTAAAGTTAAATCTCACATATATACTACCGACTCTAGGAAGTAGCTAAGGTGATCAAAACATCAACATGATCAGCAATTAAGTGGAAAGGGGTTCCTGGGGGATGGTTTTGACCAAGACATTAAGGAGAGAAGGGATGGGCAGTGGTGGGAAGACTGAGAAGCTATTTATAGCAGGGAGATAGCACTAAGCATGCATTGCTTGCTTAAGAACTGTGGACCCTGATAACCTAAAAAGTGTGGTTTTGATGAAAACTGAAGAGTTATACCTTTATGCAGTTTAAAAATAATAGACTGATATCTATCCATCCCTTCATGTTTGAACATAACTGGTTTGGAGATGTGTTGAAATGACTGATCTCAAGTTCTCTTTCAAATCTGAACTAAATGTCTGTGTGATGGAGATAGAGGCTATGGAGCTGCTTTCCCGAGCTCATTGATACAGCCCCCTCACTTTCGCCAGTGTTTTACATTCTGGCAAACCAGCATAGTTCTTTTTATCTGTAGTTATTATACATCTAGTTGAGAAAACCCAGTTTGATCTATTTATACCAAAGTACAAATGAAATCTGAATTCATCTGATTAGTTCTTCCTGTAAAATTGTGTTCATTTCTATCACATATGTTGTAACATAAAGATTTTTGGTGATATCCTAGTCCCAAAGTGATAACCTAGATCATCTGACTCTACATTCTCCATAGGAATAAATCATACGAATCTCTCTGAAGTAATGTTATAATTAATTCCTAAAGGTAATTTATAATTATATATATGCTACTTTCATGCATATTTGATATCATTTTGACTTTCACTATTCATTTATCATGTTTGCAAGCCTTTTGTTAAAAATAGCTGGTACACAAATCATTTCCTGATTGCCACATCTGGAACCCTGATTATATTTGCATTTCACAGTCGTTAGCCTTTAAAACTAGAGCAGAATCTGGGAATTTGCAGACAAAACAGTGCTTCCTTCTGGCAGTTGCATAAAAAGACATTTTTAAATCTGCATTTCTGTTTAAAGAAAACTGATTTATTTTCATTCTAAATTTATATAACACTTTCTTTAAACTAATCATAAAATGTAAATTAGGTTAACTCTAAGCTTTTTCCCCACCAGAACAAATGACAGTAACATTTTGTACAAAAAGAAAACGTTTTTCTATTCACACCTTGAATCATTGCTCTCCCTGTCTTTGAAAGTTAATTCTGATTAAGATGTACTGGTAGCTCATTGAAATCTTTGACAAAGCCAGCTTAGCTATTCTCTTGAGTAATGATTTACCTTACATTAAAATATCTTAAACATATGAACATTAATAACTAAAGTGATGAATATTACTAATATTGGGACTCAATTCATCAAGGAGAATACTTTGGGGAAGCAGATGGACTGTGAAGGGACAGGGATAATTTTTAACTATGGCCTTGATATTTAGACCAATGGCCGAGGAAAACCATGAAGAACATGAGAATGGGCTTCATTCATGTCAAGGAAGCAGAGTATTTGCTGATGGCTTAACATTTACTGGGCATGTCCTAACAGGATAGCCTGAAAAGATACATAACATTTTATCTGAGTCATTTAATTTAACCACATCCCTCTGTGTTAGTGTTATCTCTATTGGTAGATAGAAACCAGGCTCAGGAAGATTAAGAATGTTACCTAATTCTAGTAAGCTGCAAAACCTAAACTGATTTAATTCCAGAGCAAAGATCTTTCTACCTTATCAGCATGGGTCTTTACCTCTTTGAGAATATATGAGCTCTATGAGCCTTCTTCCAGAAAAATCCATAAATAAACAACATGAGACGTGGTATATCAGTACAAATCTCACTAAATGATTAGTGTGTTTGGACTTGCATCTGCTGGTAGATCTTTTGCGAATTTGCCTTCCTCTGAGATAGGGGGCTTTAAGTATTTTTTCTGAAGACACTCCCAAATTATACATATAAGAAACTATTTTCCTTTCAGGCTAAAGATAAATTAAAATGTATTTAACTACATATAGGTGCCACTGTTGGTCTAACACTCTACATATACCAGGATACAAGCTAAGATGGGTTCAAAAACTGTCCATTATACTGTAATTTGTTTCTGATATCGTGACACAGATATAATTTAATCAATTATAAGACAAGAAAAAAGACAGAAATGCTCCTTCTTCCTCCTCAACATCATGTAATTAGCCTACCCCACTGCTCTAGGCTAGGCCAAGTTTTTTTGTTTTTTTTTTTCTCCTAGTACAGGAAGCATATTTTAGTGACTCTCTGTCACAATCTTCTCCACTTCAAGTACATCTCACATAAATCTAGCCTGTCCCACAAAGTTTGTGCCAGGCAGTCTTAGGGTCAGTTGTACCCACGTATGTATGATTTTGAACTTCTCAAGTAGGGCCATTGTAGTCAGTAGAGCACAGTGGTTGGTACTGATGTCAAACTTTCTGAGTCCAAATACTGCTTCCATCTCTGACTAGCTATGTAACCTTAGATAAATCACTTAATGTTTTGAAAAGCATCTGTTTTCTCAGGAAAAGAGGATAATAAATACACCTACCTCACAGGGTTAATGTGTAAATTCATGTAACATGGGATAATGCACGTTAAGCATTGCACAGTACCTGCCTCTTGTTAGTAATAGCTGCTCTATTATTAATTATCCTCTTTGTATCCCCATTCTCAGCTCCCTTCTAACATATAATAGTTCTTCAGCAAATATTTACTGGCTTGAATTAGTTCTAAAACTTAGGCAATGCACCAACAGCAGAGTAATCACCCTTAACCATCACTTCTCCCACTGAAAGGGAGAATAGACAGAAGCCAACTATCTACCCTTTTTCTACATAAAACCTCTTATCGAGCCTCCAGTTAATAAAATAATAGTTCTGAAACCCCAAAAAATATTAGCAATTGTTGAAATCATGCTAGTTTGAAAATAGTTGAGTTTTCCTAACAAAATATGTCTCAGGATCCCAGGGTCACCAAGCTTATATTAATATAGTCTAGTTGGGACTAATGGTAATCATCAGTGAACTAGTCATTTTTTAGCTTCTTGGGCTCTTAAAAAATTTGTTATCATTAAGCCCACACTTCATAGAGTCACAGCTATTTTATTTTTATAGGAGACTCAACAGTCAAAGTAATCTCTTTAAAACCACAAAGCATATGATACATTTGTCCTGCTTAAAACTTCTAATGGTTATCTAGTGCAAAGACACTAAAACATAAACCACTTAATAAGACTTATAGGCCTCAAGTGCTCTGGCCCCCTTCAGTATCTCTTCCAGACCTTCATGGGTTCCAGGCATGTTTGCCTTTTTCAAGTCCTGGGATGCAGCAAGCTTGTAGCTATCACGTGGCTTTGCATTTACTGATCCTTCTGCTTAGATCAGTTTCCCTCTAATCATTTCAGTGTCATTTCAGATGCCAACTCTACTACCTTGGCCAGAGAGACCAGCCTGCTCTGTGTCTGTCTATCCCATTAACCAGTTTCACTTGTCAATTTGTTTACTTATGTACTCTACCACCCTCCCCCACCCCACTCCCAACAACTAGGGCATTTGCTTAAGAGCAAGGACTTTGTGTTCATTCACCACCAAATCTTCCAAGGCTTTCAACAGAGACTGGTATCTGGTAGATGCTCAGGAAATGAGTGTTGAATTAATGAATGAATATGTGAAGGAATGAAAAAAAAATGAGAGACACTATGAAAAAAATATTTCTCTTTTGAAAGAATAATGTAACAAGGAAAAAATCTTCATTCAATTAAAATCAATCATACATCGTTACTAACATCACTTAGTAATTCACATGCAATACAAAATTTTTCTCTACTTTCTGGTTCTATCCATGTAATTAATTAAATTTTGCTGACTCTAAGGCCAATCTGTGAGACATTATTTAACTTCCTTACTCTAAAATTTCAGCATTAACTTGGCAAGAGGCATCATCAATTAGTGGTCATCTGATCTTGCATAAATTATAATTAACCTTTCAATGCCTCAGTTTTCTCATTTGTAGTGTGGGAATTATACAAGATGTATAAGTTTATAAGAATAATCACATTAATAAAGCTCTTAGAATAGTGTCTTGCATCTGCCAAACAATATAGAAGTCTTGACTACTGTTACTAGTATTATTATTATGAGAATTAAATGTGGAGAATAATCCTTCATACAGTTGTATATTCCACTGAATGTAAATGGAACTAACAAAATATTTAGAAATCAGATTAAAGGTGGGGTGGTAAAATATACCAAGGTAGAAGATTATGAGGGTATAAAAGCATAACAGTATTTTTGTCTTTTGTTTTACTTTATTTTTAAAAGAAGGAAAGAGTCTAGAAATAAAAAGACAAAAACTCTCCATTGGCTGTGGTGAAATGGAGATCACCGGTGTCCTTCATAAGTGAAATTTCAGAGCAGTGGACAAAGGTGTTGGAGTGAGGGAAGCCAGAAGAAAGTAAACTATTGAGTAAATAGGACATGAGGTGTGGAAAAAAAATCTATAAAGATAACAATTTTGAGAAGGACAGATGTGAATGAGACAAAGAAGATATTGGATGACCAAGGAAGGTTTCATGTTGCATATATACTTTTTACTATTTTAAATAGGAGTTAGTGGTCTAGAATATGTTTGAATTTTTATGGAATAATCTATAAGGAGTAGGTCGGCTGTGGAAGACTCAGTGCTGTGAAGTTCTTGATCAGATGAGAGAAAATGGAATAACCACTACATACAGTGTGAATGGCCTTTCACATTAACTCTAACAAAAAGGGAATACGAAGATCACTGAAGATGCTAATGGATAAATGGATTTGACAGTGGGCCATTTACTGGCTTCTATTTTCTTAATGAGATATAAAGCAACACATCAGCTGAGAGAAGGAAGTAAAGAAGAAAGATGGGAATTTGAGGAAAGTGGGGAAGCCTTATTTAAAAAAAAAGAAAAAAGAAAAAAAAGAATGGCCCTTAAGTAGAATGAGAAAGAATTTACTGGTTAGTCAGAGCAGTATTCCCAGTCTTGGAAGCCCATTTGTGGTTGGTGTTTATTAATTTATTGGAATACAGATGTGCCCTGTCACGTGATTTTTCTCCAGCTACCTAGGAATAAGTTATGAAGAGGCAGAAAAGAGTGAGAGAAGACAATTAAGAGAAAATACAATTAGTATTTTAAATATATATGTGATGTTCAACTTTAATAGTTATCAAAAAATTTAAAGAAATGGAACATGAGGGTCCAGTTGATTAATTTATCAAAATCAGTAATCACATATCACAATATCTTATTTTGGTAATGTACTTCATCTAATTTGGTTCAACAACTTGAAAAGTAATTTGGCAATGTCTAGTAAGATAAAAGTGGTCATAGCTTTTTACTCATTAATTTTAATTCTGGAAATTTACTAAAATAATTTATATTTAGAAAATCATTATATAAAGGTGTTCATTGTCCTGTCATGTGTAATAACAAAAAAAATGGAAACACATTTAATTTCAACAATAAGAAAATGATTGAGTAAAGCAAATTATATCCAATTAGTAGAAAATTACAGTCATTAAAATTATAATTATGAGACTATCTAGCAAAATAGAATAATGCTTACTGAAGAGAGCTGATTTCAAATTTGTCAGCCTTGTGACAACTATGTAAACATGACTATTTATTAAAAATCAAACAAAAATAAAAATTTAAAAGCTCTGCAACAGTAATGGGAATTTTTACTTTTGTTTTAAAATATTTTTAGTATGGTTCTTTTTTATAATTTTGTTCTTTAAGAAGAATGTTAAAGGAGATTTTTTTGGCCCCTTTTTAAAGACTCTCTGATTATTACGTCTTACATTTTCAAATAAATAATTATTTTACCAGAAAAGATCAGACTTATTTGACTGATTATACTTCCACATTATTTGGCAGAAAAATAAGAAATGTCACTTATAATTGTTTTTAGAAAAAATTTCAAGATTTTTTTTCTTTTTTGCTGTATTTTTCCTGGAATAGAGATTAAGCAAACTGCCTAAAATTCTAGTCATTATTTTTCATTATTTTCATTTTTATTCATTATCCTGCCCTTCACAGGAACAGTAATGAATCTGCAGGTTGCATCTGCCAATTTCTTGTCTCTTATCCACATGATGAAGCCATGCTGATATGAACACATCCACTATTTTAAAAACTCTTCAGTTATTGAATTATAATTTGGTCTTCTGTTATAAGGATTTTATATAAGTGTAAAATTTGGACTCAACTTCTGGAAGCCTTTTGTCTTCTTAGTCTAAACCTGAAAGATCCTTAATATTCACCCATATGACAAATAATTATTTGCATAGTTAGAAGCTCCTAAATTATTTATTAAGGATACCTGGCAGTGCTCTTGCTATTTCTCAGTAGCCCTTTATTGAAGTTTCTCTCTCCCTCTTTCTCTTGTACCTACATACACAACCCTAAAGTAATTAGGGTTTTTTTTTATGAGGATTGCCAGTATAATGTTTATAGTTTCTTTTACAGGACCAGATACAAAGCAGGCACTCACGGCATTGTTAGTAATGTTATCACTTTTCTGTTATTATTTAGGTCTTCATTTTCCTGACTGTGAGTTTCCATAAGGAAATACAATTTCCACTACATAGGGTAACACCTGTTATCTGGAGAGATTTTAATTGACCTCATTACTCAAAAGAAAACCCCAAAACCAACAGATCAGTTGCCTGCCTTTTGTGTTTGCCTTACACCAGTGTTCGATAAAGATTTAATTATTTAATAAGTTCTACTTTTCAAGAAAGTAGAACAAATTGATATGGTAAAAGAGATGAGAAAACTGTCCATGGAAAAAAATGATCAACTCACTTATGTGCTGAAAGCCCACCTTAGGAGAACTGCTGTTTTGAGAAACACAAAGGAAACGTGTAAAAATGTATTGAGTAAGTTATAGTAATTATTTTTAAGAGCTAAGCACAAAATTTCCTGTTGATTTACATATTTGGTACCAACAAAAATCATATGGAATTAGTCATATTAAGATACAAAGTTGAGCTACAAATTCATAGTCTAATTTATGAAACATGTCTTTGTTGGCTGTTAAAAAGTAAGATGGTGAGTGATCTCTGAGTAGCAGAAGGCAAAGAGAAAAATAGCCTTTTTTACATTATATTATACTTCTGGGTAAAATGTTTCATAAATCTAGCTACAAAGCTATATGTTCTGTAGCTTTTAGGTACCTGCTGTTTCAAAGATTTCCCCTGTGGAGATTAGATTTTGCCAAGGAAGGGATCTGTAAAAGTAATACAAATGCCAGTATCATTGGCAACCACGAGTGCCAGCAAAGTGAGCCTCCAATTCAAATTGATGAGCATACTATCCTGTAGTATCTTTTCCTTGTGAGTTTTCTGTTTTGGAAAAGGTGGGTAGAAAATGTATTTTAAAAAGGCTTTATAGGCAGAAATAACAATACATCATTCTGAAAACATAAAATACTTTAGCTAAAGTTATTACAGCATCTTACATTAATATTTCAGCGTACATTAGACATTGCCTACAACCAATGTTTATGATAATCACTGCCCTCTGAAGTGGAATCATGCCCGTGGCAAACAATAATCTTAAAGAAGATTAAACACCGAAAAGACATTTAGCATTTAAAGACAGTTTGCTTTGATTTATTCAGTGAGTTCTTCCAAAAACATGTTACCAGGAATTATTGCTTATTGAATTGGAATTACCAACCATTTTAGAATTATTTAGTTTTTTTCTTCAACATCAATATCAGTAAGGTAAAGCAAACTCAAATATTTATTGGGGACTGCAGAAACACAACCATAAAACAAGAAAACACTTGACTTTTTAAATAGACTTTATATTTTAAAACAGTTTTAATTCAGAAAATTTGAAAGTATATTATAGAGATTTCTCATACATACTATACCCATTTTTCTCTATTATTAACAACTTATATTAGTATGTTACATTTGTTTCAATTAGTGAACAAATATTAATATATTATCATTAACTGAAGTTCATACTTTGATCATGGTTCCTATATTTTTACCTTATCATGTCACATTTGTGTTCCAAGATTCCATCAGGATACTGTATTACATTTAGTTGTCATGTTTTCTTAGGATCCCCTTAGTTGTGACAATTTCTCATACTTTCCTTATTTTTGAAGACCTTGACAATTTTGGATAATACTGGACAGGTATTTTGTACGATGCCCCACTGCTAAAATGTGTCTTATGCTTTTCTCAAGATTGGGAGTGTGCTTTTGAGGAAGACCACAGAGATAAAGGGCCATTTTGTCAAGATGACTTATCACTGCTGATGTCAACCTTGATCACCTGGCTGAGATAGTCGTCATCATCAGGTTTCTTCACTCTTTCTTTCTCTTTCTGTATTATACTCTGGAAGGAAATCACTACGCTCAGCCAACAATAAGAAGCAGAGAGTTATACTCCGCCTTCTTTGGTTTGAATAGCTACAGAAGCTATTTGGAAGTTTTCTGCACTGGAGACTTATCTATCCCCCAGCCATTTATTAATTTAATCCCTTGTTTACGCCAGTAAGAATCTGTGGACATTAATTTTATACTTGGGATTATATACCACTTTATTTTGTTGCTCAAATTGTTCCATCTTAACCATTATGAACTCTTTCAATTGTTCCCAGGCTCAATAATTGTGGGTTTTTAAAAATCACTTCCTTAATTTCTCACACTACCAGATGGTCTACTTCCATCTTTTATATTTCTTGCCCTGGTTCTAGAATTGGTCCTTTCTCCAGGAAGCTCTAGTTCCTTTACTGGGGAGTGGTATTAGCACCAAGATCTGGGTGCTATATTTGCTCATTGTTACTGGGGTTTCATTGTTTCTAGGTTGTCTTAGCTGACTGAGTGAAGAGATATGTGTATGTATACTAACAATGTGTATACACATATCTATAATTTTTTATGTATGTTGCTATGCATATGTACATCAAGCTAAGGATGAGTTTATATTAATGTCTCCAACCCTAATCTACTACCTCATGAATCAGTCTAGCCTTCCTTATCTACAAATTTCACCTTCAACAGAACACTTGACTTCTGCAAGTGTGAAAATCAAATCGTAATAACCTTGTGAACCCTTAGGAAGCCATTTGTCTAGCAGAATAATTCCTAAAGGGCATGGTGTATATAGTCAAACTTCAATTTATAGCCAGCAGCACTTTTTAACATTAATAGACCACCGCAATTCTGGTTCTGATAAGATGGAGTGGCTGCATTTCTCCCAGGTATTTTCACTTTCCACTAAAACTATGAAATGAATACAATAAATAAGCATAGGAGGCACCAAATAGTGAAAACTGGAAGGCAGACTTACTTCGGGACTTAAGAAATGACCTGGCAATGAGTTCCCTGTTTTCTTTTTGCCTCCCACATAGCTCAGACAGGGCACCACAGGAGCCTCCATTCCATAACCACCAACAGACACAGACAAAAAAAGCTCCAAGAAAACTCTGTGCTTCTTAGCCAAAGTATGAGAAAAGAGATTTCTAACAACAGAAAACCTTTCTGGCAGTATGTACACCTCTCCAGTAAAACCCTAATGAAACCATAGGTCATGGTTACAGACATGATCCATGACTTTTGTTTCAGAGGGACCAGGTAAGGAGTTGATCGTGCATACCACCCTACTCTTGCCCTTCACAAGCAGGCAGCACTGTGGTTCCCCCACCAGAGTTGTTGCAGTGTGGTTCAATGGAGAGCTGAGCCTCCACCCCACCCGTCAGGAAGGAGACTTAAGGAGATCATGCCAGACAGAGCTAATTACAAATGGACTCCCTGCACACAGCCATGGGGTCCAGTGGGGAGCTAAGCCCCCGCCTCTACTTGCCATCAGCAACAGGATGTTGCAAGTTGGGTATAGGAGGCACTGTACTTTCCTTCAAAACCTGGGGTCAGGGGAGACCAGTGAGGAACTAAGCCTCTACACACACCTAACACCAATAGGATAGAATTAAGGTAGTGTAAAGAAAGAGAGTTGACACTTCATTTCCCTCTGCCTTGGTTCAGGGGGTCTGTTAGAGTGCTGAGCCTCCATTCCCATTTGAAGGCAACAACATGGTATGAGTGGTCCCATTCTCCTTGGGAAGGTGTCAGCAAGGCCAAAGGCGGAGCTAAACTTCTACCTCATCTGTCTGCAGTAAGGCCATGTGAGTCAGCGTCCCTCTGTTGCCAGTATGGTGTCAGCAAGGCCCAGTGGAACCTGTACATTCCCACCCTTGTAGCTTTCTTGCTACACCCCAATATAGGGGAGCTTCCTTCTAAAAATAATAAGTTAAAATAAGATCCAGAGTCATATACTACTCATAATGTTCACAATACAATTGAAAACTACCAATTATACCAAGAACCAGGTAATCACAAAATAAATGAAAAAAAATTATAGTCAGCACACACTAAAACTGAGATAAATCAGTTGTTGAAATTATGTGACAGGGATTTTAAATAAGATATCACATAAATGTTTCAAAAAGCAATTATGTATTTCTTAAAATAAATGAAAAAATAGAAAGTATAAGCAACAAAATAGATGTTATAAAATAAAAACCAAGTGAAAATGATAGAGCTGACAAATACAACAACCAAAATAAAAACCTTTGTTGGGCAGGCTCAAGAGTAGAGTGGAGATGACAAAGCATAGGATCAGTGACCTCAAGAACAGATAAATAGAATTTACCAAATAGATAAATAGAATTTATCAAACTTGAAAAACAGAGAGGAAAACATAGGCTTAGTGAAGAAGTGGGTAGGAACTCAGGAACCTGTGGAACGAAAAATAAAAAGCTAACATCCATATCATCAAACTCCCAGAATGAAAACAGCCAGCCAGTGAGATGGAAAAATTATCTGAAGAAATAATGACAGAGCAGTTCCCCAAAATGGCAAAAGACATAAACGTACAGATTTAAGAACCTAAGCAAAACTCAAATAGGGTAGACACAAAGATATTCATGCCGAGGCACATCATAATTGAACTTCTGAAACATAAAGAGAAAGGAAAAAAGTCTGAAAAGCAGATAGAGAGAAACAATGCATTACTTACAGAGAAACACCAATTCAAATGACAGCAGATTTCGGATCTGAAACTATGGATGTCAGAAGTATTGGCATAACATTCTTCGAGTACTGAAAGCAAACAACTGCCATGCACGAACTTCATATCCAGTTTCTTCTTTGGCTTATATTAATGAACTATTAACTAAACTTTCTGTGTCTAGGATTGCAACTACCCTTCTCCAACAATCAAGCCCCAGTATTTCCAAAGTGACCTTTCTAAAACAAACAAATATCTGATCATGTTATGCAAATAAACCTTTCTATCTTCTTTTCCTCTAACTTGAACTTTTCTGTTAAAAATCATTCAATGGCTTTCCATCTTCCTTACAATTAAATTCCACACTCTTTCATACATACACAAACCATTCTTTATCTGGCTGCTACCATGCTCTCTGTTGTCTTCTTTTTTTACACCCCTCTAAGCACTCTTTATACCAGTTGTATATGGCATTTCTTTCTGTTCTGTTCCTTAACCATTCTTTTTCTTTCTACTGTGAATTTATCTCCTCTTTGACTCAAAAATTTACCTCTCCTTCACATTACACATCCATCTCCAGTATTGCCTTCTATAGGAAGACCTGCTAATATTTCTCACTTATTATTGGTCCACAGAATGAATTAAGACTGCTCTCTCTTCCATTACACTATGTAATAATTTGTACTATCTGGATGCCCCAATAAAGTAAATTCTTGATGCTAAGATAATGATTTTAATAAAGGTTACACTGAAGTCTAGCTTAATCCTTGGTATACATTAGGTGTTCAGTGAGTGTTAAATGAGTGATGAATGAGTGGTCAACTTGAAATCTTAATTTTTCCTTTTTTTTTTTTTTAACTAGGACTGTATCCAAGATACAAAGTTTTCCAGGAGATTAGACACTTAGGACCTTTGATTTGATTTAATAGAGGACATTGTTATCAATGCATTAGTACTTAATTACCTCAAAAGAAAACTGTCAACCCAGGAACTAAAGTTTATCCATTTGGACTTACAAGATAACCTTTAATACCCCATTGCCACTGTATCCGATGCTGTCAGAGGCCCACCTACATCTCCCCCTACACTCAGCATTTCAGTGCATACTGATAGAATTGTGCTATCACCTGCAAATACCTCTTTAGGGCACGCCAGAAGTGTGCAGGAGATAACATATCTGGCTGAAACTTTCAATCCCTGACAGAGGGGATTTGGGATATAAATACTTCGACTTTCTCACCCACTGGTGGGGATAACCCTGAGGAATGTTCTTCAGGGTTCCACAGGACTCCTCTAAGGGACTTGTAACAGTTCCCCCCAAGAGTAACCTGTTCAGTGCTGTGCCTCTCTTGGCTTTCTTTCATGCCTCTATTCTCAATTCCAGCTCTACTCCTGAGTTTCCTTGCTCACTTTCCAGGAACAGTTTGAATTCAAATTCTTCTCTCAGGCTCTGCTTCTGAGGGAAATCAGTCTAAGACAATCCCAAATCACTTCTAGTCTCCTAATAGGCCAATGTGCCTTTCAGGGTCATCACTGGTACAGATGCTGAGGGCTGGCTCATTGTCTGTCGCTCCTAGATTCTAATGTTTTCAATCAGATAGAAAAGAGTATGACATTAAAGTTAGAAAAAAGGTATATGAGAATGGCCAATAAGTGGAGGGAAAGAGAGATCATGTCATTTGTTTTCCATAAATGATGAATGATAGTATAGAATTTGTGAACAGGTGGTCTATAACAGGTATGAGTATAATTTGAGAAGACTACTCCTTAGTCACCCAGAAGTCTGCTATTATTGTTTCAGAATCACAGTGTTGGAACCTTTTTGCATAATTTGCTTCACTTTAACCTAATATCCATCTTTCTAAATCTGTCCATCTTTCTAAATCTCTAAGTAGTAGTCAACAGATTTATTCTCTCCCTCCATCTCATCACAAGAAAAGCCAAACACAAACACACACACACACACAAACATTTTGTGTGTGACAACGCTTGAACAGACATTAAAAGTCTCTGTAAATATCCTTCAACAAATTCCAATGTTTATGAAGAACTAAATTTAGTCAAATTAATTTTTTGAAGATCTAAGTGAAGATAGAAGAGAAATCTAGATGAAGACTGAAGAACCAAAGTGAATATTAAAGAAAAGACAGAAAACTTGCCTTTTTTGCCCGCTAAATCACTGACTAGTAGTCAACAGATTTCTTTCCCCACCACCCCATCACAAAAAAAGCTGCACGCACACACACACACACACACACACACACACACAATTAATTAACAAAGGCTAACCAGGCCTCTTTTGAAGACTGCTTGACTTGAAATCCCAAAATTCAACCTATACTCTCATCACGTGTTTGTGTTGTGAGAATTCATACTCATAACCACGAAAGTTCCTGAAGTTATGATACTGTTCAAATGACGGATGCTTGAACATTTGCTTAAAATTTTTAAAAATGAAACTTATATGTACAGATAATTTCCCTTTCTCTTGCTATCTGCATTTCAGTTTCCTGACTTTCTGAGAAGCCCTGGTTTCCCCAAAGAAGTGATTTCTGATAGAAATCTGAAGGTCATCTCCAAGAAAAAAGAGATCTAGTATAGTCAATGAATTAAAGACAAGAAGGTTTCCAATCAGGTAGGAACACTAATTCTCAAACATTTAATTACCTTAAAATAAGTATGCTGAGAACTGGTTATGGTGTGACTGTCTGAAACAATAAGTATCTAACCTACCCTACAAGGAACCTGTTCACAATCCCCTTGGAGGTTGTGATGTTTATCAGACAAAACCTTGGAGGGAAACTCATACAATAACAGCATGATGCTTTTTTCTATTTTTAGCTTGTTGTTACTAAGTACACTTAGTGAGCTCCATGCATGTGGTTTAATCCCAGGAGGTTAGGCCTGTGGAGCAGCAGATTAACCCTTTCAGTATTTTCTTTTAAAACAAATCATTTTCGTGGGTTGTCTCCGTGACCCTCTGTGAAGGTCATGAAAATTATGGGTCATGATGGCATTTAGTTCTTTAAGAGGAACAGTCCTAATGAATGATGTAAGGAAGTTGTTTTGGTTCCTATGGGGCACTTCTCATCTTGGTCTTGGGACAATCAAAGTGAGCACGTATAGGGAGTTGAAAGGGAGGTGAATGGAGCATGTGAAAGGGGAGCTCTGTTTTCATTTATCTATGCACATCAGCATCCCACTGAGAATTTTCTTTTCATTTGCAATTTAAGTCCAAAACTTGGGGCAAAAGGACATCCCATTTTATGGAAAGAAAAGAAAAAAACAGCAGTAACATCATAATAAGTGGCTCATCTTCTCATTTGCAGTTATATTAATATATACTTATTAATATATACATTTAGCACAGCACTTGATCCCTAGTCAGTACTCAAAATGAAGACACATACTGAATAATGGATGAATGAAGAGAAAAAGTTTGTCCTTGGATTGCTTTGTGTGTTGGCTTCTGTAGTCTCAGAACCCAGTACTATAACTAACACATAAAATATGGGCCATAAATCTTTTTGAATTAATGAATAAGTCCCCATGATTCTAAGGACAATTATAAGACCAACACAAAACACATATTTGCCAAGGTCTGTGACAGAAGTATCTGTGACATGAAAGCCTGAATCTGAGTCTGCTGATATAGCTGACAATTTTTCTAGTTCTGAGACTGCTTTTTAATAATTTACATCTTATCCTTTACATTTAGGCATAGTACCTTCATTAGATGTACTATTCAATGATTAGTGCTTGGGGAGAAAATCCATCAGATAAATTTCTTAACTATATTACTTGCAAACTTTTCTTTTCTTCAGATTTATAACTGATAACAGTAATTGTACATATTTATGGGGTATAGTGTGATGTTTAATGCATATATACATTGTATAATGATCAAATCAGGGTAATTGGTATATCCATCATTTTAAGCATTTATTATTTCTTTGTGGGGATAACATTCAAAATCTTCTCTTCTAGCTATGTTGAAATATACAATACATTGCTTTTTGCTATAGTCACCTTACTGTAAAACATATTTGTTAAAGCATTTTTATAATGACACAGTTAAGGGCAATTTCAGAATCACTAGCTGCTAAAATTGTTATTTATACTTTTCCATGGGTAGTACAGCTGCAGCAGCTATTTCTCTATATTCTGCTGTTGCTATCTGCTGCATTTCCAAGAGAGAACAAAATCCATTTCATTAAAGAAGGAAATGTAAAATTTAGCATAATCCAGTTACCACAAAACCAAAACACTCACACACACTCTCCCAGGTGTGAAAGTGAACTAGTGATCTAAAATAGCACACTGAAACTGGTTTCAAAATAAGAGGACATTTACTCATATTTGATTATTTTATTATTTTATCAATTATGATATTCAGATATACTTCTAATAACAATTCTGAATTGCTAGATGGAGCATTCACTATGCACAATTTTTGTCTTTGTATGTACTTATCAATAAGCTACAAGATTGTCTCCCACACCTTATTCTTTTCCTGCATTCTCTTGGGAACAGGAGATGTAGCTATCATTTTTTTTAAAATTTCTACACAGCCAAAAGACTAGTATCACTTAAATAAAGACAGAAAATTGCCCCAAAGTAGGGAGCTTCATTAGGTAGCATAAAGTTCTCATGTGAGAAAGGAAGAATTTCTTTTCTTAGCTGAAAGTTCTCTAAGTACAAAATTTTCATAAATAAATGTATCTGTGGTTTTGGATTAGATCTCCTTCTCCACAATTAATGTCTAAGGGTTATCTTCGGTAACCGGGAAATTTTTATTTTAAAAACATTATTATATAGTATCTGATACATGCAAAGTAATGCATGCAAATCTGTTATATGTAAGTTATGAAACATAATAAAAATAAACTCTTGCAAACACACCACCAAAACTAAGAACTGGAATCAACGCTGCAGAATCTTTCTTTGTGCTTTTCTCTGGTTCTTTTTTTGTCATAAAAAGTGTAACTCTGCTCTTGGTTTCATATTAACATTCATTTAATTTTTATGTATTTTTTATTAAGTATGGGTTGTTTTGTGGCTTATAAAATTGGCATCATACTTTCTGTAACTGTGTTTGCTTTTTTTTCACTCAACATTATTATGTTTCTAAGATATCTATTTTGTTTCAGCTAGTGTTTATTCATTGTTATCACTGTATAATACAATGTTGTACAAATGTAAAAAATGTGTATATTATCCTGTTGATGTTATTTGAGTTGTTTTGGATCTATTCTTAACAATGTTTTATGAGCATGTATTTTAATGCCTCCTATTATACACGTGCAAGATTTATCTTAACATGTGTAACCACGATTAGAACTGCTGGGTCATGGGGAATTTGAATATTCAGCTTTAAAAGATAATGCCAAAATCTTTTTCAAAGTTACGCAAGTCAACTTTGAAACTCAAAGTAACTCAGTCAAGTTGCAGTCCTATGATTCTACAGCCTCACCAGTTATATCAGCCAATCTAGTTAGTATAAAACCTCAATTGGTCTTTGTGCTAGTTTGCTAGGGCTGCCATAACAAAATATCACAGAGTCTATGGCTTCAGTAACAGATTTTATTTTTACACAGTTCTGGAGGTTAGAAGTCCAGAAAGGTGTTGGCAGGTTTAGTTTCTCCTGAGGCCTCTCTCCTTTACTTGAAGACTACTGCCCTCCTGCTATGTCATCGCATGGCTTTTTCGCTGTTTGCACGCATCCCTGGAGTCTTTTTCTTCTTATAAGGAATCCAGTCATATTGGATTAGAGCCTCATGTTTAAGACCTTATTTAACCTAAATGACTTCTTTAAAGGGCCTATCTCCAAATGCAGTCACACTGAGGACTCAGGCTTCAACATATGAATTTCTGGGAAACATAATTCAGTCTCTAATAGTTTTAGTTTGCATTTCCCTAATTACCAATAGGTTGAAAATCTTTTCATCTGTTTAATAGTCACTATATTTCCTATTCTGGAAAATTCTGAAGAATATCTTATGTTCATTTTCTATTTATCTTTTCATACTTATTTCTCATTGTTATTTAAGTTCAATCAAGTTAAATAGGTTTTTGGAGCTTGAGCTTGTATCTACCATCTTGCTAATATTACCTGTTAATAAGAGTCGATTTTCTTAACAAAGAAGAATAAATGTAAAAAGTTTTTAAATGTTGTAGATCAACTCTGTTCCATAGAAGTTTCTGTGATAATGGGAATGCTCTCAGTGCTGTCTAACGTTGTATCCATTAGCCACGTGTTTTTTTGAAAAAATAGATGTAAATAAAATAAAATAAAATTAAATTAAAATTTCAGCACCTGGGTCAAACTAGCCTGCATTTAAAGGGTTCAAAATCCACATGTGGCTAATGAGTGAACTGTGCAGCTTTAGGTGGTTAGGCAATGGACCTCTACAGTCCCAGGATTTTGTCTTTGACAGTGGCATAGTGAGATATTTTATGTAACAGTTATTCTGGCATTAAAAAGAAAAGTTAACTACCATTAGACCCAACAATCACATTACTGGTTTTATATACCTAGAGGAATATAAATCATTCTATTATAAAGACACATGCATACAAATGTTCTTTGCAGCACCATTCACAATAGCAAAGACATGGAATCAACCTAAATGCCCATCAATGATAGACTGGATAAAGAAAATGTGGTACATATACACCATGGAATAGTATGTAGCCATAAAAAAGAATGAGATAATGTCTTTTGTAGGAACATGGATGGAGTTGGAGGCCATCATCCTTTGCAAACTAATTCAAAAGGAGAAAATCAAATACCATATGTTCTCACTTTTTTTTAATTATACTTTAAGTTCTAGGGTACATGTGCACAACGTGCAGGTTTGTTATATATGTATACATGTGCCATGTTGGTGTGCTGCACCCATTAACTCGTCATTTACATTAGGTATATCTCCTAATGCTATCACTCCCCTAACCATATGTTCTCACTTACAAGTGGGAGCTAAATGATGAGAATTCCTGAACACAAAGAAGGGAACAACAGACACTGGGGCCTTTTGAGGGTAGAGCGTGGGAGGAGGGGGAGGAGCAGAAAAGATAACTGTTGGATACTAGGCTTAGTACCTGGGTGGCAAAATAATCTATGAAACAAATCCCTTTGATATGAGTTTACCTATATAACAACCTGCACATGTACCACTGAACCTAAAATAAAAGTTTGAAAAAAAAAGAAAAAAAGTTAGTTAACCTGGTCATTTCTTACTTTTCAAAGTAACCTAACATAACTTTCATGACATACCTAAATTTACTAAGTTGTATTCATATACGACTACAATTTATATACTAAACTACTTCTTGACATAAATGTTCACTTTGTAGTAAGGTTCATTCTCCCAAAACGGCACTTACCAAAGTATCAAGAGGTATCCTTATTCCTGATATGCTGTAATAGAATGAAGACCTTATCTGGTCTTTAGTGTAATTGGATGTTAATCTGTACCAGTCTTCATATTCAAAAATTCATATTCAGAATTATCTGCTAGTCCCATGATGGCTGTCTTTGTTTCATTAAGCTAATATAAACATGTATAAATAAAGTTTTGATTGTTTTCTCTCCTAAAATCTCCTATCTGTCCATGTGGAAATGTATCTCTTACTTTTTCCCCCTCTTATA
This sequence comes from Homo sapiens, assembly GCF_000001405.40. Lineage (NCBI taxonomy): Eukaryota > Metazoa > Chordata > Mammalia > Primates > Hominidae > Homo > Homo sapiens. The sequence continues at coordinate 78,577,956 of NC_000008.11, forward strand.
AGCTGTTCTTACAATTTAATCCTCATGAGTCTTATTTCTCCTAGTTCTAATTACTTAGAATTTTATTTTAAAATGTAAGATATCACTGGTAAGCCCCTTTTTAGTCATTTTATAGATGACTTATAGATGGTTGGAAGATATTCAAGACAGTGTGTTAAAGTAATAAATAATACTCAGTAATCAGAAAACCTGAGTCTTAGTCTTCACCCATAAAAATGAACCATGTGAATTCAAGTAAGTCATTTCATATGTAAACTTTATTCTGATTCTAAAATTGTTATGATCGTTTATGAAATTCTGTTTCACTTATGACAAGTCTCAAGCCTATTTTTAAAATCTATTTAAAAATTATGAAGACTCAAATATTTTCCCCTGAAATTGATATTAAACTGTAATCATTCATCTTCACTTACGGCATGCTGTAGCTGCAGTTGATAGACAAAATATTATGTCTCAACATTGTGTACTTGTATCTTAAATGAACACTTTTGTTTCAAATCATGTTCTACCTAAATTCTTGATGCCTTTTTCACATTTCCAGTTCCTATGCTGTTACAATCAATCACTTGTAGTAGAAAAAAATCATTATTTTTTTGTTTGCTAAAAGCTCTCGTTAGAATATCAAGTTTTAAGTTATTAATACAACAAACTTTGGAAAATAAGCTCTCATAATTTCCAACATTGATGCTTTGTTTGACTGGCTTTTAGAACACCATACTCTCCTAGTTTTCTTCCTTTCTCACTTCACATTTCTTTCTGGTCTCCTTTGTGATGCCTCCATTTCTTAGTGTTTATTGCTAGAGTGCCCTAAAACTCATTCTTGGCCCTCTACGGTTTTCTGTCTGTGCACATGAGTTTTATTCTAGTCCCATTGCTTCAATAGGCAGATGACTATGACTCCCATATTCATACCTCTAGCCTTCACCACTCTCCCAGGCTTGAGATTCATAATTCCCATTTCCCACTAAATATCTCTACTTTATATATCATAGACATTTCAGAATTAGCAAATACAATGAAATAGTTTACTTTTTTCTATCACTTTCACTCCAGTTGTTTCCATCTCCATTTGCTCAAGCCAAAAGCTTGGGATTCATCCCTAAACTTTCACTTTCCAACAATTTCTACATGTAGTCCATAAGAAACTCTTTCCACCTCTAACTTTAAAATCTGTCCTGGATCCCTCTACCTCTCACCGTCTTCACCCTACAGCAAGCCATCATTGCTTGCCTCACCTAGTGCAACAGGCAGTCTCTTACAGGATCTTCCTCCTTCCCCTCTTGCCACGGTCCTTCTAGTTTATAACAAGTACAATAGCCAGAATAATCTTCCAAAGAAATTTAAACCAGGTAACATTCCTGTCCAAAACCCTGGCTCCCATCACTTTTAAAATAAAAATTAAACTGCCTTCTTTGACCTACATGGCCTTAGTCAATGTTCCTTCTGCCTTACTGTCCAAACTCATTTACCACTTTCCCCCTCACACACTCGCCTCTAGAATGTTTTTCCCTAAAAGACTTTTCCAGCATTAGGACCTTTGCACTTGTTATTTTCTGAACCTGGAAGACCTGTAAGATTCCTCAAAATAAGATCTCAGAAGATAGTTGCATTTTCATTTTGTGGAGGCATTTGGTGAGAGACATTTTGCGAAAGATAGATACATTTTACTTTGGAGGGTATTTACACGTTTAGCAATGAGCAAGTTTATTAAATAACAAATGCAAAAGTGATAGAGCAAAGGTGTGTATTTTAAACAGAGAAATCTGAGGAATTGTAGACATGTGAGTTACACCATGGCTTCAATATTTAATGCATAAGAATCACCTGAGTTGAGTTCCAGACAACCATTTCCACCCATAAAGATTCTGAACAGGAAATCAAGATGGCCTGGGGACATCCCTTTTGACAAGGTCTTCAGGTGATTCTGCTGCATATGGTTTACAGACAACCCTTTGAGAAATACCAAGCTGGTATATTTGTTCAGATAAACATGGGCTGGTGCAGAGCACCAGTGGTATGCAATTGAGGACCAGCAGATTACATGAATCCTGAGTGGCAAAAGAGGAAGACAATCCAATAAAGACCACTACAGATACTATCCCAAGCACTCTTGGCATGGAGACTTGAAAATCCATTCATAGAAATGAACTGTTAATCATTGAATTGTGCTATATAATTTTTTAAGTTGCGAAGTATTAAAATATTTAGATAAATATTATAAATTTTGTCACATATTGCTATAAAATGATGCATACATATGTCATAGGTATAAAGATACAGAGCATATAGATACAGATATGTAAAGAATATGTAATCTAGGCTTAATTATTTAGCTGATACTGCATATTGTCTTTATAACTTCCTAAAGAACCACTTCTAATATTCTCTAGGAAAAAATATTGTTTCTCTCCATTCTTTACCACTTTCCTTTCCTCATCCTCTTCCTTGTCCTTTCCCTTCTTAAACAATTTAGTACAAAAGCCATTCGATGAGGCCTAGTAAGCCTTTGTCACCATGGGCAGGGTGGGTATACAGGGTATTGCAGAGGTTGGGCATTTGCTATTAAAGCCCAAGAAGTAGAAGGAGGGTGTCTGCACCGAGGAGCATAGTGTGAGCTGTTGAAAGTTATTGGAAGGAGAAGGACATCTACATGGGGAAGTGGCCACAGCAACCACTCAATACAGATAGTTATAGTCTGTGCTAGGTGGGGAGAATGTTATAATGGGGTAGAAAAGTGGTAGCAACAATAATTTGTTAAAATACAGGGAGATTGATCTAATAAGTGCGAATATTAAAGATGAAGGTAATCAGTGTTTGTCACTGTCTGAGGAGGAAGTTGAAGTATGATATAGGCAAAAGCTAGAATGAACTCTGGTGCTGGATGAAAATGGGGGAATGAAAGTGCTGGTTTTCAATATATTTAGCAAATATAGAATTAAACATAGATGTAAGGTATATATGTGTGTGACTATATAACTGTAGATGAACGTGTTTTCACATGTATGTATGTATGTATGTCTACATACACATAAATCCCGTAGCTCAGTCTATTGCAAAGGCCTGGGACAGCTATTCCCCAATAACAGTGAGCAAACCTAGTGTCCAGATCTTGGTGTCTAGATACAATTCTCCTAGTGAAGGAACCAGAGCTTTCTGGAGAAATGGCTGATTCAGATCAGAGAAAGCATAAGATGACCCTAGAACATATTGTTCCAAGAAGCAAGAAACATATCAAAGAATGACAGAGAGATGTCAAAGGACATATTGGCCAAATTGAAAGGATTTCCCCTGGGCAAATCTCGAACAATCTGAGCTTCAAAATAAATAATAATAGAAACTCGTTGTAGTTAATTTAATAAAATGGTCAATGAGTTTATATCAATATAAATAAATTGAATACATTATGTTTGGTGAGAAATAGGATATTTACATAAGCACAAAGTATCTTGCCACAAAATGTATTAATGTTAAAAAAGAAATAAATAACTTTACAGTGGAGAAGACTGGGTGGCACCTTTTAATCAAATGAGTAAAATTAGTATCCCAATAAGGGTACAAATTAAAAGTTTGCCCAAATTGTCTGTTGATAGGATGTGGTGAGAATAGAGCTTCACTGTGATTTTCCTGCCAAAAAACACATCTTCTGAATCTAATCATGAGACAAACACAAACAGCTAAATCCTACAAAATAACTAGTCTGTATCTTTAAAGGTTTTAAGGCTATGAATTTCAAGGGAAATCCAAGAAAATGTACCAGATAAAAGAAACTAAGACAGGACAACTCAATGAAATGTGATTTTAGGCTAATCCTTTTGTTATTAAGGGCATTATTGGGATAATTGACAAAACTTGAAGAAGTCTGAGGATTAGACAGTACTATAGTAATGTATCAGTGCTAATTGTCAGATTTTCTTGTTAATATTTGGATATGTTTGTAGGAAGCGTTTGGGGTTGACAGGGCATTGTGTTGACAGCTTACTCTCAAATGGCTTGAGAAATAAGCCATTTTTACTGTCTTTTTTACTGTCATTTCAACGTTTTTGTAAGTGTGAGATCATATTTTTAAAATTATGAACAAAAGACAAGTCATCCCTGAGTCAGATAATCCTTCTTCAGGCAGCTAGTACAGTTAAAAGCTGTTTACAATGGTAGTGGGCTTCTAGCCTAGTGGTGCTAATCTCTCTTGCTAATACCATGTAATCCCAGCAATATTTCGTGTTTTTTTTTTTTTTTGAGGCTTTGGGATTTTTTTTCTAATGATGTTTGTATTAGTCCATTCTCACGCTGCTATAAGGACATACCCAGGACTGGGTAATTTATGAAGGAAAGAGGTTTAACTGAGTCACAGTTCCACATTGCTGGAGAGGCCTCAGGAAACTTAAAATCATGGTGGAAGGCACCTCTTCACAGGGTGGCAGGAGAGAGAATGAGTGCAAGCAGGGGAAATGCCAGACACTTTTCAAACCATCAGATCTTGTGAGCACTCACTATCACGAGAACAGCATGGGGGGAACCAACACCACGATTCAGTTACCTCCCTCTGGGTCCCTCCCACAACACGTGAGGATTATGGAATTACAATTCAAGATGTGATTTGGGTGGGAACACAAAGCCAAACTGTATCAATGTTTTTGTTTTCTTTTGATGTTCTTACTGTACAAATGTCTATAAAATTAGTAAAGTTCTCTGTATTACAATAAAATCAACAAGATTCATGAGAATGAAAATACGTTCTTCAAGAACTTTATATATTTCTACCTGCACTCAAATTGGAATAAATGGGCATGAAATTCATAAGAAAAAACAGATCATAAGGAACTTTCACACTCGCAAACTCAAAACAGTTGAACATGTTTACCCTGTAAGAGGGCGATGATAAAGCAGCAGGGTGACAATTATATATCCAAACAGAAATGCAACCTTTTAAATCATCCATGTCAGGCCATGTAACAACTGGGCAATTCAGCAAACAAGTTCAAAAAAATTCCTGTTTTCAACAATTTCTCAACTCCACACTTAGAAAAATGAAAAACTTCTCTTTAACTCTCAGAAACCTGGGCACTTATTTAGTTAAAGCAAAGCTGTTGTCTACTGGCCTATACCTGGTTATAAATAGCAGCAAGACATGAGAAGACCCAGGGACACTGAATGAGCTTTCTAAATATAGGTTTTTCTTACTTCAAAGGCCTTTTAGAAGAATACCATACTTTGTGAAAACTTGCCCTTTATGAAGGGCACACAGACACTAAAGTCAGCAATTTTTAGACCTTGAAAAGTTTTGAAATATGTCTTTAGTTTGAGAACCCACATTTTGGAGGCATGAAAACTGAAGTGCAGAGAAATTAATATTTTTCCCAACATCAGATGGCAAGCAAATATTGTAAAAATTATGGCACTGAAACCCCTGTCTTCTAGTCAATTGAATGCAGCTTGTAACAGATTGCAGTAACTGCTTGTTTTCATTGCCCTCAAAACCACGTTCCTTCTATGCCTCATCCCTCTTGCTTTTGTGAGAGGCATAATAGCATTACCTGCAAGTATTAGCTGTAAGAAATATTTTTCAATTTTACTTTTTTGTAAGTCTCGAAATGCTGTTTCTGTGTTAAAAATTGGTGAGAGCATTTTCCTTTCTTCTTTAAATGACTCTGCTTGCATTTGCAGTCTTTTACAGTTGAATTACTGTATAACAGTAAGTCTAAAAACACATTTTAGTAGAGGAGATTATAGTTGGAGACAGCAAGGTGGGGACTGGAGTTGTCATACCTTAGAGGGAGGTGGGAAAGAGACAATGTTGGCTTGACCTAATCTATTATAACCTTCCTTAACCCATTTATGCCTAGTGTTCCATTATCGGAACGGTAAGTTTGTGGGAGTCATTTATATCCCACTGCTCAAAGTCATCACCAAAATCTGATTTTTCAAAAAAGAAATTTGCAACCTCTGGCATCAATGGGCTAATTGAAGTCCCAGAATGATTTCTGTTGTTTGCATTGCCACAGGCGAGGGAGTATAGAAAGCAACAAGATTTTCATGTTTTCCCATTTCATATTAATTTCCTAAGGATTTCTATAAGACTTTTAAAAATATATGTAAAACAGCTTATTTTTAGTTTTCCCCTACTCATTTGCATTTTAACATGTTGATAAGTAACATTTAAACTCAGTAGTTATGATTAACCCTGTTCTACAATTCTAAAAGTACTGGGAAGTGTGTGTGTGTGTGTATGTGTGTGTGTGTTTGTGCTGCCTTTGCAACCAATCAAATATAGCTCTCAGTTGAAAAACAATTATTATCATATAGACAATAATTAGATTTGATAGTGGGGCCAGCCATTGGTAAGTTTAAAAGTCACCCTAGGTGATTTATATATGCAGTTGGGTTGAACACCTCTATTCAGATGAAGCACTTAGATGGAAGTATAGCCAAGCATGGCTATAATTTCACATCTGAAACCTGTTTTATCCTGAGTCATTTGCATAGTGCTTATTATATGTGTTTATAGAGTCTTTGGTTGTGTTATAAGATATTAAAAGTTGGTGTGAATTAAAGAAGTGACATGCAATGATGAAAGCCTAGAAGATAAGCACCAGATCTTCTAATTATAACTCAAATGAGTTTGGTTGATACAAAATATTATGGGAATTAGACACAAACATTACTAATGCATAATGCTGGAATAAAAATCTTAGAGTTATGTAAATATGAAAGACATTCTATCTAATTTGTACCACAAGGTAATAGGTTCAAGCATTTTTATTTGTATGTATTTACTTTGTACCCTGAATTGTGCAGAAAACACTTTTCTAAAATTTAGAGTGCAAACTAGAAAATATAAATCTCGAGTAGTTAATATTGTAGTCAAAGGAAAGATTTTGAGATCTTTTAACGTCTCAGTTCACAGAGACCTCTTCCTCAGATGGATTGGTTTTTATTTGTTAAGATTAATGTTTACCATTTTAAATAGTTTCTTGAATATTCCTGGTAATGGAATAGAGTCATAATAATAATTTCTAGTTCTGCTAAGAGAGTCAATAGTAGAGCTGCTTGATATTGATAGTAATTTTGATAATATACAACATGTCATGATTTTCCAGATAACAACTTGTCTCTTGGCCAAAATAAATACACATATTGTTTATCTTGTTACCTTATAAAAAATTTTTTTATTTTGTTAGTATAGCGATTTGACCACTTTTTAAATTAATATTTTAAAATAGTTCAGTGGATAATCTCATTTTGAAATGTCTATTGATTGATATATCCATTATATATTTTATATATATGGGTATATTTCTCATTAGCCAAATTGATACTTTCTTATTTACACTTACATTTAAATCACATTTCTGCTCTACAGCATTTTCTTTTCTCTAGAGCCTATTCTACTGACTTAAACTAGCCTGAAAGATTTGAAAATTCTATTTAAAACAAGTGTATGGAAAATCTTTGAAATAACTTATAACAGTGTCAGAGAAGAAGAGTATTACACATTGTACTGAAGAGCATTCCATTAATAAAAAGATTAACAAAAAATTCTAACAACGTTCAGACATGTAATAGCAATGAAAAACATTAATTATAATACTGAACAATTACATTTTCGGTAGTTAAAGGGGATAAAAAATGCTATATAGGAAATTAGCATCTGCAGAGAAGATATTATAAATTGGCAGTGATTATGTGTAGATTTAAAATATGTTGAAACATGATCATAGCAACTGTTTTTCTTTTTGGTTGAAAAGAGGCATATTAAAGTGTTTAAGCACTTTTTCGATTGGAGTAGATATTTAGACACTGTACAGAAAATACTTGCTTGCAGAATAGCAGATATTAACATGTGTATGAAATGTGTGTTTTTAATTAATGCATTTTCATTCACTCAGAAAAGAAAAGATCGCCGAGTTTAGCTTAAATGTAGCATTGTGGCATATTAAAATGGCATTCTTAGACTTTCCACGTTGCTGTTCCTTTTGCCTTCACTAAACAGTGCTGGCCTCTCATTTATCCAAGTTAGAAATCTAGATGCAATTCTAAAATTGTCAACCTAGAATCCTCTACCTTCATGCTTCCCACTCAATAAATCACTAATATCTGACTCTCCTATTTCACCAGGCAGTCTTCTCCACTGCACCCCTGCTCCCTTATTCTCAGGGCCTACCATCTCTGCCTCAACCTGCCAATCAAAGTCACTTCTATTTCATTATGAGCAGGGCCATTTTTAAGGTTTCTCCCATCCTGGGCAATTGCACTTTTGGAAGCTCCACACTACATTTTATCAAATATATTAAAATGTATCCAAATCACATATTTAATATAATTTATTACATAACTAAGTAGGAGATGCATTTCATGAGTTGTAATATTAGTGCTGATAATGTTAATAAAACATGCTTTTAATCTCACTTTTGCATTTTCAAAAATATTTTGGAAGCTTTTTTTTAGGTGTCAATATTTTCATAGGTCTTTCTCAAACTCATAGTCTCTACAGAGTGTGCTTTTACTATCACAAGGCAAAACAGCCCTAACAGTGAGGCAACTGAATATGAGGAACATCACCTGGATAATTAAACCAGATTTGTGGGAGATGGAATAGGAAGTGTTTGTAGAACAAATACAGAAATCAAGGAAAAGATGGTGGTGTCAATTAATACTCTGCATAGGAGATCATAATATTCAAAACCCAGATACTGTTGAGATATCAATAGACTATCACCCTATAGAGTAATACCTCAAAACATAATGTAAACTACTTACATATTTAAAAAGAAATATTGATGGCAAACCATTAACAGAAAGTGAAGGAAGTTTATACCCCACTGCAAACATTGGAAAATGGTAACTGTAAATGGTTAAATCACCTATTAGTTTCATGACTTAAGATTTCTAAACCTTTACTATTTCATCTTTTAAAGTGAGATAATGAGAATACTGTTTTGAGAGAGTTGTTAAGAAATTTAAATTATATAATCCATATACACAGATGTGATATCTGGCACATATGTAATATTTGTTTTTGTTATTGTTATTATTCATAAGGCACTATTAAACCGTAGCTGTTTTGTTATTCTTATGGTCATTATTATATCTTGGAACAGACCAGAAAATATTACTGAGCTTGATTGGATCCTTTTTTTGATTTTAAAGATGAAAAAGTTAATATGAGTTATTTTGATAACTGTGTCAGTGTTCTAATATCCTTTGAAAATCTAAGTATTTATTTAACATAGGAGGGCAAGTCATAGATTAATGAGAGGTTATAGATTTTAAAAGTATCTTTCTTCCTTGGACTCTTACAGAGCCAGTAAAGGAAAAGATAAAACAAATAATTTGGCAAGTATTATATAACAAAGAACACCACCAGCCCCAGGCCCTTAATGCTTTTGTGATTTTGATGTGAATAAACCCTGGTCCCCTCTCTGACGTCAGTACTGCTGCTGACTGGGTAAGACATTGGTCAAGTCGATTAACCTTTCGCTGCTTTAGTTTCTTCTTTTGTAATGTGCAGGTAATATTACTTGTCACTTGCCAACCAGCAGTACTTCTGCAGCTAATTGACTTTCTCAGCAGGGGTATTGCAAAGATTAGTGGATAAATGATTTATAAACCCTTTGAAATATTAAATATATGATATAAAAAGCCCTAGCAAAAGGACAGAAGAAATTATTCCATGCTTTAATTTGCTACTTTCGTCATATATATTTGATAAAAAACTTAAAAGAGGAAGCCATCAACGAAGTGAAAATAGGTTAGATTACTCGGGATTCTAGATGCTTTCTATTGCTGTTATTTTAAAAAATCTTTTGTTATAATTGTGAATATAAGAAAAGAAAGTGTGCTAGAGATCATAACTGTGTTTATCTTCTTAAGTTTATAAAAAATATTTCATTAGACAGGAAAATGAACTGGGTAAGAATAAGGACACATACTCTCAGCCTAGTTTTACTATGAACAACTGTATGACCTCGATCAAGTTACTTAAACAAGGAGGATCTTGAGTAAGATAATCAAGAACAATCTACATAATACATTTTGTGGATTTAGGAACAAAATACAAAACTCTGTGCCATACATTGTAGTGGATTCGAAAATCAAAGACCCAGAAATATAATATAAAGAGGTCAACATGAAAATAATAAATTCTCACATAAGACAGAATTAAATCAACACAATAACAAAGTTATTTATTCTACCTGGAGATGGAGAAAGAGTGTGACTGGAAAGATAAGAACTGGTTGAGAAGACCAATAGGAGAATACCAAGAGCTTTGGTACTTTAAATACTTTGGGAGGCTGAGGCGGGTGGATCACCTGAGGTCGGGAGTTTGAGGCCAGCCTGACCAACATGGAGAAACCTCGTCTCTACTAAAAATACAAAATTAGCTAGGCATGGTGGCGCATGCCTGTAATCCCAGCTACTCAGGAGGCTGAGGCAGGAGCATCACTTCGACCCAGGAGGCGGAGGTTGCGGTGAGCCAAGATCATGCCACGGCACTCCAGCCTGGGTAACAAGAGCAAAATTGCATCTCAAAAAAAATATAAACAACAACAACAACAAAGTGCAGTGTAAAACGCTAAATACAATTTGATATGGATGACTATTGTGAAAAGACTATTGCAAGAGTGAATAATTATTTGGTGAATAATTATTTGGTGAATAATCTGTAGTGATTATTTAGTGTACAGATTATTTGGTGTACAGATTATTTGGTGAATAATCTGTAGTGATAGTTCCTGAGAAAACAGTCCTCCTAAGTTAATAGATACATGTGTAAAATTACAAGGGGAATTAAAAATAAAGCAGTGTAGAGGAAGCAGGGAAAATTAGTATCTACCTCTTTTCCTATATGGGAGTAAATGAAAGAAAAAGCGATGAATGTCTTAAAGAACATGCAGGGTTGATTGTTCCATTGCACCCCAGCCTGGGCAACAAAGTGAGACCCTGTCTCAAAAAGAAAGGAAAAAAAAAAAGAAAAGAAAGATTTAAAAAATGCAGAGTTAAAAGATAAAAGATTTTATAACAGGGAAGATGTAAGCAATTTGCAAAGTGTTAAAGAAGTAGCTGAAGTAAAATTGTAACTCCAGAAGCAAGAGGCAGAATTGAAGGAATGATAATGAGGAAGAAGATAGAATCAAGAGCACCAGTCAGGTATTAATAATGGTGGGCAAAAGGACTCTTGAATAAAGAGATGGATGACCTTAAATGTGATAATAAAGAAAGAGGATTGAAGATGAATGATGACCTTGGTCTCCACAAAGTTATTAGGTAAGATTTGCTATGGAGAGTAAGAAAGCAAGATACAAATAAAATTTAAAGAGCATACAAAAAAAAGAAAGAAAGAAATTGTTTTTATTAGGGATAGTATAGGGGTAAACCAGGAATGAGTATAAGAATTTATGAGTAGCTTTGAGGTCACTCGTTGCCCAATTATAAAAGTATTTTCTAAAGAAAGATAGTACTTCTAACATTTTAAACATTTACAGGTAAAGAGTTCTCATTTTAAAGTTTTTACGTGTTAAACATTGTAGGGGGAAAAAGTATTTGAGTCTGATCTAAAGAAAGTTCGAGAGGAGAAATTAAGTAATGATGCCATTCGGGGTGGGGAAGAAGGCTGACATTTGCAGGAATGATGCAAAAGCAAGGTGGGGGTGGGCAGGGAACTGCTGGAACTTTTGCACTAAGCAAGTCAGTGGCACTGAACTCTCCTAGTGATCTATGTATTCTGCACCCCTACACACTCACAATTAGTATTTTTTTAGTTCCAGGTTTACCTAAGAATGTACTTGATGAAGCAGTAAAAAAAAAAATTCATTTTCTTGAATCTCGACCTTTGAGTACACATGTTTTTAATATTCATGTGATGAAATGGGACATCTCATGAAGCACTTCTGTTGTGTATCAAACATGTGGTTATCACAAGTAAAGCACCTTGTGCAACTGTGGGTTGAGAGCTGAGCCAGACATTATTTTCATGGATCACCATTTTTACTTGAACGAACAAGTGACAGGCAAACTAGTTGTTCAAACTTGGACATTTGGCAGAAATTTTCTTGAAAATGAACAAAGTGAGCTTGTCACTTCTAGGAAAGCAAAATCTAACAGTGTCTTTTGCCAATGAAAAAATCTGAACTTTCAAACAAAAATTATAATTTCAGAAAACCTATTATCTGCCCCTGTGAACTTGTCAGTTTCCCAATTCTTAAAGACTCTTCAGATGACATAGTTGGTGTTGCCAACAAGTGTGATATTGTATAATTAAATGTGCTACCGTTTGGGAAATTTACATAACCCAGTGTACCAATATTTTCCAGATGACCAATGTCTGATAGTTAAAAAAAAAAAAAGAAAAAGAAAAAAATTGCGTGGACAAAAGACCATTTCAAACTGCAAGAAAGACAATGGGAACTTTCTAAAGGCAGAGTATGGAAAGCATATTCATATGACTTCAGATTCCACATTGAAAAAAAGCCATAATTATCTGAAAAGGCTATTAAAATTCTCCTCACTTTTCCAGCTAAAAAAAATAATATCTCTGTTAAGCCAGATTCTCTTATGTACTTCAACTAAAACAACATGTTAAGAGATACTGAATGCAGAAGCAAATATGAGAAACCAGATGTCTTTTATTAAGCCAGACATTTGCAAAATTAAGCCAGAGAGTTGCAAATGTAAATCAATGCCATACTTGTCACTATTTTTTTTTTTGCTTTGGAGAATATATTTTATTTTCATTAAAATATTTATATAAAGTGTAATGGGTTTATTCATAGTATTTGAGGTGAATTAATACTTATTTAATTTTTTTCAGTTTTTCTAATTTCCCATATGTTAAATATTGGTAGATTTATCCCTGGAGAATGAAAGCTAAGTGGGGTTCTTCATAATTTTTGAGCATGTAATAGATATCTGAGACCAAAACAATTCAGAAATACTAATGTAGACCAAACACTAAACACACAGTAAACTACTCAAGGTCTTTAAACATACTTCCCATGATTTCACAAAGTCAAAGTTGAGAAGTTATATAATTGCATTTTGTAATAGTGGAAAAAGGGGAATTTTCTTTCTTTCTTTCTTACTTAAAAGGAATCATAGTATTCAGATTAAAGAGAAGTCTTCAGCGCATGCTGATGACATTCTCTCCATTCTTTCCTCCAAGTCTGTGAGTCTCATTTCATGTGTCCCATTTACAGGAGTAAAATTAGCATGTTACCCAGTCACCATTTGGCTCATGACTCAATGTCACTATAAAAATCATTTTAGCAACATCATAGGCCCAACTTCTAGAATCCATCGATGTGGAACACTTCAGTTTGTTTAACGTAGGAGACGTAAGTACATGCTTTTCATAGCCTCTTGAAATCTGTCTAAATCTGTAAATTCTACTATAGTAATACCTTATGCTTCATTCTCTCAAATAATTTGTGTGTATGGAATTTTAAAAAGAAGGCACAAAAAGGAAAAGATCAGCACAGATCATGAGTCTCAGTTTTGAAATCCATTATATAAAGAATTTGTAGAGCAGCAATATTGCTTCTGTTGCTAAAGAGTAAGAGAGTGAGGCTGTATTAAGAAAAGAGAGAGCAAGATTATTTCTAATTCATAGATTTTGATTGAATTTTTAGATGTCAGGTTTTAGAGATTTATGCTTTAAAATTTAATACAACTTTAAATAGTTCAGTATTTAAATAATAAAATGTCCATTTCCCTCTTTTCCCTATCCCATAAGGCTGAATATTAGTATAATTGGATCTTTTGTATAACTGGATACAAAAAAGTAACACCATATTACCTTGTCTGTATTCAATACTATCATTTGGTCATGTCTAGAAAATTCCAGTTATAGCAACATAGACAGGAAACTCTAGTAAAGAATCAAAGTCTACTTTTAATAAGTTTTCCAGATTTTGTCCTGATTATTTTTATAAAGTCAGAATATGTGCTAGTTGCTGGTCTACTAAACTTCCGTCTGCTGCTGACATTTATTTGACTCTTTTTGAATTTTGTAATTTTGGGGGGTGAATATCTGTCAAACATAATTTTTATGGCTGTTCTCCAGAATTTCAAAGCAAAAGTACAAGTCGTCTATACAGGTATGCTTGATGTAAAATATATTTATCTCTCAGAGTCATATTACTAAATTAGAAGACCTGTGTCTAAATGCTTGACTGAAAAAAAAATAGCCACTAGGCAGGTAAAAATATCTATTTTTGAGCACTTAAGGGGAATTCACTAAAAGCACTATAATCATAGAGAAAATCTGGAGTATACAATATATATTTTGTTTAAAAATGTAATTGTATGTGTTCCTTCATTCACATATTTGTTGTGTGCTATTTGTTAGCTATTGCTCTTTTATTGGAAAATAGATCTATTGTCTAGGGAAAGAAAATATAATAAGCAATGAAATATTACTTTTATAGTAATAGCTATTTCTATTATAATAATTATATTGGCTACTCTAACTGGATATCCAGTGCTTAGTTTCTATGTTACTTTAAAGGTTCAGAATTGGATGCACATGGAACTAAAAATATATTTCAACTTTACAGGAATAATCTCTTCTCACAATTGTCTCTATTGTCTTTCATTCAATTGAAATGAAAGCTATATATGAAGATTTTAAAAGTAAGCACAATATACTTTTATGTCTTTCATAACCTCATTTCTTCCTTCATGTGTTCATTACTTGGGAGTGCACTAAATGAAAATTCAAAGTAAGTTGTTGCTTACCCTCATATAAGTAGAATTGCCACCAGGATCTTTTAAAATTCCCACATAGATAAGTCATAACACAAGACACTTTCTTTTATATATACCTTCTCATGGAAAATGTTACCACATTTCTCTGCCTCATTTTTGGTATTTCAAATCTTTTAAAAACTATTTTCAGCAAGGAGAATTAGATATAAACCCCTACAAGGATATGTATTATCATGGCAGTTAGAAATGATAATGGCAAAAAAACAGGGACCTTTACTGCAAAGTACAATGCCCTTTACACAAAACCCAAAGACATATACCCATAGTTTAAGTCATGGTAATATGTATGATTTAGTGGTTACTTAAAATCTCTGAGACTTATTTTCTCCATCTGAAAAATGAGGATTTGTTTTCCTACTTTACATCATTGTTATCAGATGAGAAATAATAGCACTCGTGCTTTTTTCAAGCCTGTTTGTTTGTTTGACACGGAGTCTTGCTCTGTCACCCAGGCTGAAATGCAGTGACCCAATCTTGGCTCACTGCAACCTCCGCCACCCGGGTTCAAGCGATTCTCCTGCCTCAGCCTCCTGTGTAGCTGAGATTACAGGCGTGCACCACTACGCCCAGCTAATTTTTGTATTTTTAGTAGAGACAAGGTTTCACCATGTTGGTCAGGGTGGTTTCGAACTCCTGACCTCTTGATCAGCCTGCCTCGGCCTCCCAAAGTGCTAGGATTACAGGCATGAGCCACCATGCCTGGCCTAAGCCTATGTTTTTAAAAGCCATAGAAAGAGACTAAGAGTGAAAATCATTGTGAAAAGAGCTTGAATATCTCTTGTGACTCCACCTCTCCTTAAATATTTATAAGATGTATTTGCTAGATTGATGTGCATGTTCAGTTCTAAACCTTTGAAGTAATGCAGAAACCAAATACTGTGTTGGTTAATGGTAATGCATATAATGAAAATATCTTCACAATTAATAACACTGAATTATTCCAAGTTCCAAAAACTTTATTCAAACTCTGACTTACTCATAGACAGGCTGCCTGGTAAAGTAAAAAGCATGGGCAGGAACTTTGCAGACTTAAGTTCCAAGTACTTAATTCATTAACTATGCGATTATGGGCAGATTAATTTATTAACTATGTGAATATGGGCAGATCACTTGAATTATCTGGTACTCAGGTCCTTCATCTATAAAAACTTCTAGACTGAAGTAGATGAATTTTTAGGATTTAGTAATTTAGTACAATCAGGAAGCAGGAAAGTTTTCTGTGGCCACTGATAAAAGGTGATTAATATATTTCTTCCTCATTGGTCAGTTCTATTTAACATATTCTTATTTAACAATGGCTATGTGCAAACAACTCTGCTAGAAATTGTATGTGATTAAAATATTAACAAAATGCAGTAATCTATTGAGAAGGAGAAGTAACTATAGCTCTAGTTAGAATTAAGTGCCCTGTAGGGTACAAATCAAACCTTTAGATCGCTACCTGAAGAGATAGGGAAATTAGGTAAAAGAGAAGATGGTGTTTGACTGAGTTTTGAGGGCTAAATCTACTTTAACAAGAAAGTTTGTTGGGGAAAAACTGTTACGGGTGGAGTAACAGACTTGAACCAGCACAGCAGCAGAGAAACTCTGGAAAAATATTGCTCATTATTCTAAAACATACCATGTATGAGAGCAAGTGGTTGAAGTTAAAAAAAAAAAAAAAGTGAGTCCTTTCCAGATCATGGAAGGCTTTAAAAGAAATGCTAAAAAATTCAGAATGTGTTCTATAGGCTGTGCAGCAGGCTTGAAAGGCCTTTGAGAAAGGCAAAATGGTAACACTTACTGCAGCATTTTGGATAGGTTGGGACGTGGAGAAACTCAGGGAATAGAAAAACTCAGCATTTGGTTGATATGCATGTTCCTATGTTTTTCCTGTGTTTTACAGGGACTAAATATGACTGGCATCAAATAAAAATCAGTATGACCTGGCAAGTGATTAGACATGGATATCAAGGGAGAGAAATGGGGGGAAATATATTCTCCAACATGTGTCATGTTAATGAGCAGTGGGTAATGGCATTAGAGGTGGAAGGAAATAAAATCAATAGCATGTCTTAAAAAGGCAGGTCAATTCATCCGAAAAAGAAAGAATGGTGATTACACATAGAAATGTTGTTTGAAAAAGGAAGAATTTTTAGAGAATTTGTAACAGATGTCCCGTATCTTCTCAGAGGAAGATGCAGAGTCATCTCTTAAGGTAGGTGGTGTCTGGTGTGTAGACTGGAAAGGGTTTGGAATCCTTCCCAAAGAGAACAGCATAAGGAAGAGTCAACTAGAGGTGAACAGAAGAATTTCTGAGCAACTCCATCCAAGTGTATACTAATAATAGAGCCAGAAATTTCTAGTTGAGCCAATTGGCACAATTTTGTGACTTTTTCTGGTAACACTTAGCCACCCAGTACTGAGATCAGAGAAAATATACTGTAGTGTTTTCCCAGCAGTGAAGTGTAGGTACGAAAGTAAAGATAACAGTAGATCAAAGGGACTTCTTGATGCTAATAAAAAAACTACATAAAGTAGTGGGTAACTGATTCACGTAGGACTGGACCTAGAGGAAACTAAAAAGTGATTCAAGGAATTAAAGACAGCATCAGTATAAAGAATTGGTTCATTGAGTATAAGAGGAAAAGAAAAAGAAAAGGTGGCTGTGACGAGGGGAGAGAATTTCCAGATTCAGAATTTTACAAATGAGGTGGTTTTGGTTTATTTTTGTTTGTTTCACCTTCCAACTTTTATTTTAGGTTCAAGGGGTACATATGCAGGTTTGTTACATGAATAAATTGCATATTTCGAGGGTTTGTACAGATTATTTTATTACCCAGGTAATAAGCATAGTACCCTATAGTTTTTTGATCCTCACCCTCCTCCCACCTTCCATCCTCAAATAGGCCCTGGTGTCTATTCTTCCCTTCTTTGTGTCCATTTGTACTCAGTTTTTAGCTACCACTTATAAGTGAGAACGTGCAGTGTTTGGTTTTCTGTTCCTGCATTAATTTACTTAGGATAATGGCCTTCAGCTCCATCCACGTTGCTGCAACAGACATGATCTTGTCCACTGTTGATGGGCATTTAGGTGGATTCTGTGTCTTTGTTATTGTGAAAAGTGCTGTGATGAACATACGTGTGCATGTGTCTTTATGGTAGAATGATTTATATTCCTTTGGGTGTATACCCAGTAATGTGATTGCTGGGTCTAATGGTAGTTGTTAGTTCACTGAGAAATCTTTAAAATGCTTTCCACAGCGGCTGAACTAGTTTATATTCCCATCAGTAGTGTAAAAGTGTTCCCTTTTCTCTGCAACTTCACCAGCATCTGTTGATTTTTGACTTATTAATAATAGCCACTCTGACTGGTGTGAGGTGGTATCTCGTAGTTTTGATTTGCATTTTTCTAATGATTAGTGATGTTGGCCAGTTTTTCGTATGCTTGTTGGCCACATGTGTGTCTTCTTTTGAGAAGTGTCTGTTCATATCCATTGCCCAATTTTTAAGGAGCTGTTTGCTTTTGGCTTTTTTTTTATTGTATTTATTTATTTTTTTAAGACAAAGTTTCACTCTCGCCGCCCAGGCTGGAGTGCAATGGGCGTGATCTCACCTCACTGTGATCTCCGCCTCCCGGGTTCAAGTGATTCTCCTGTTTCAGCCTCTTGAGTAGCTGGGATTACAGGCACCCAACACCAGGCCTAGCTAATTTTTGTATTTTTAGTAGAGACGGATTTCACCATGTTGGTCAGGCTGGTCTCAGACTCCTGACCCCAGGTGATCCACCCACCTTGGCCTCCCAGAGTGCTGGGATTACAGGCGTGAGCCACCGCTTGTTGATTTAAGCTCCTTTTCAGTTCTGGATATTAGAATTTTGTCAGATGCATAATTTGAGACTATTTTCTGCCATTCTGTGGTTTGTTTGTTTACTCTGTTCATAGTTTCTTTTGCTGTGCAGAAGCTCTTTAGTTTAATTATGTCCCATTTGTCAATTTTTGCTTTTGTGGCAATTCTTTTTGGAGTCTTTGACATAAATTATTTGCAAGGGCCTATGTCCAGAAAAATATTCCCTATGTTTTCCTCTAGAGTTTTTACAGTTTCAGGTTTTACATTTAAGTCTTTAATCAATTGAAATTGACTTAGTCCTTGAGTTGATTTTTGTACATGGTAAAAGGAAAAGGTCCAGTCTTCAATCTACATGTGGCTAGCCAGTTATCCCAGCACCATTTATTGAAGAGAGAGTCCTTTAGCCATTGCTTGTTTTTGTCAATTTTGTTGAAGATCAGATAGCTTTAAGTGTGGCTTTATTTCTGGGTTCTTTAACCTGATTCATTGGTCTCTGTATCTGTTTTTATACCAGTATCATGCTGTTTTAGGTTCCCATAGCCTTGTAGTATAGCTTAAGTTTGGGTAGCGTGATGCTTCTGGCTTTTTTCTTTTTGCTTAGGGTTGCTTTGGCCATTTGGACTCTTTTTTGGTTCTTTACGAATTTCAGAAAATTTTTTTTCTAATTCTGTGGAAAATATCGTTGGTAGTTTGATAGGAATAGCATTGAATCTGTGAATTTGGGCAGTATGGCCATTTTAATGATAGAAATGAAAGGGTTTTGAGTAATCAGTTTTTGTACCTTTTGACATTTTATTTCCAAGATTTAATCAAGAGTGTTTGTTACTCCTCTCAAGTAATGACTTATCAAGGGGAACGTGGGGAGCTGTTTTTCTGGACTGGAAGCGCTATTTGATCACTGAAAATATTTAGAATTGCTGGTGCATGGTGCATAGTGGTAATAAAAAGCAAACTGAATTTTGGCCCATTTCATTAACAGACTGTACAGACAATGCTCTCACTTAGTGCTTACCCCTAGGATGAACCACTTTTTACTTAGCACCCCCCACCTGATCTCAAGTTCTCTCTGGAGTTGAAGAATGACTAAAATGGTATTAGAGAAAGAAAATTTTATAATGTAAACTAAATGTCAACAAACTATGGCATGCAGGCCAAATCTGGCCCATTCTCTATTTTTGTTAGTAAAGTTTGTTTATTACATTTGTTTTACGTATTGGCTATGGCTGCTTTTGTACTGTAAGGACAAAGTTGAGTAGTTGGGATAGAGATCATATGACCCTCAGAGCCTAAATATGTACTATCAGGCTTGATAATCCTACCTAAATGCCCATCAACAGTGGACGAGATCATGTCTGTTGCAGCAACATGGATGGAGCTGAAGGCCATTATCCTAAGTAAATTAATGCAGGAACAGAAAACCAAACACTGCACGTTCTCACGTATAAGTGGTAGCTAAAAACTGAGTACAAATGGACACAAATATAATACATAATACTGTATATTATGTAAAAATACATAATAATATGTATTATTAATTATTAATAATAATTAATATTATTACATTTAATATTAATATATTAATATTAAATGAATATTAAATATTACATTTAAATATGTAAAAATGTACATATTTAAATATGTACATTAAAGGTTCCCAGACCTTTGATCTAAATACTTAGGACCAGAAAAGGCATTACTTGTTTTGTGAACTTGTAAACAGGACAATTGTTTCACATTCATATACTAAGTCGGTAGTTAAATGTTTAGCATTGACTACCATTATATTCACCTATTAATTTTCCTTTCTTTTGTAGTCCCTGCTATGTGGATATTTGGTAGCAATGACTGATGTGGAAACTACATATGCAGATTTTATTGCTTCAGGAAGAACAGGTAGAAGAAATGCAATACATGATATCCTGGTTTCCTCTGCAAGTGGCAACAGCAATGAATTAGCCTTGAAATTAGCAGGTCTTGATATCAACAAGACAGGTAAGTCATCTGGCACACATTTCTCTATGAGCATGGAATGATTTGCGGCATTTTACTAAGAGGGATTAAGGCACGAAAAGCCATCTTTGAAAGTAATCTAATGTAAAGAGTTTTAAACAATCTAAGGCAAGATGAAAGTCTGAGACTAATCTCTTAATCACTCCTGCTCTATTTTCAATGATGTCTGTTTAGAAGGCTTCCCACTCAAATGCAGAGTCCTTAATCTGATTTTATTAATGCAATCAATAAAACACATGGTGTGTTTTTTTAAATCCTAATTTCTATAAAAGCTGAAATTGCTTATGTACAGTATTTAACAAAGTTGGAGCTCCTACCTTTGACAATATTGGCCACCTCTAACATTTACTAGGTAGATATTTAACAAGATTCACAGGTAATTCTGATAGACTTCAATTCTAAGAACAATTTTAGTAAAAAAGAGTCTCCAGGGCTAATTTTATTAAGAATGGAAGTAAAATGATCTGTTACATTAGTAACTCTTAGGTAAAAGGGTCTTTGGTTTCCTATTCCAGATAGAATGGGTTTGTGAAAAATTTGTCTCCTTACTGGGCCTTGAATTCTTACCCAAGGAGTCTATCTTCATTAATGAAAGAGAAAAACAAGTTTGATGGATTAAAAAACTTGACAGTTTTACTTCTGAGTATTAGAATAAGTCCCCTGATAGTTCCTCCACCCATAGCTTTTGCAGATATCAAAGCTGAATGTGTTTCCCTGAGAAGACTTGTGTAAAAATAACCCTTAAAAGTAAAAAGAATTCATGATTAGGGAAACCCTGATATTATGTGCATGGAAAGCACTTATCACAGTTTCTGACTCTTAATTATTCAATATGTCTTCGCTGTTAGAATTTTTAAGGTAAAACCTTTAGATTATTAGAAAACTGAGTCAGAGTATATGTATATATAGATTAATGAAATGGCTCAGCAACATTACTTTAAAATATATAAGGATGGTATTTTATTCAATGGCTAAAGCTCAGTATTTCCCAGACTGGTCTTTTCAAATTCAGATTAATAATAAAACTTTAACATCACCACTTTGGAATATGTAGACCTGTATAAATCTTAGGTTTCATTGTTGTGCTGTTATTGCTACCAGTAGTTACTTCCCAGAACAGCTCTGAGAAAGACTGTATGGGGAATTATTCCAATTTCATAACATGAGATGGATAAATATATTTTTGCTGCAGTCTTGCATAAGATTTATATTTTATTTTTCATACAAATATGCTACTTTAAATAGTCTGCATTAATTTTAGCTGCTCTTAATATTAGGATATTTTTATTCATAGTACAATTTAATTTCTTCTTTTTCTATTTTTCCTGAAGTTGAGAATTGTTAGCCCTAAGACTGTTTTATTTTCCTGAAAACATATTAAATTATTATAAATTATTGAAATAATAAATTAAAATGTAATATTAATAAATATAAATAAAATAATTTCATATGCATTATTTTACAATTAAATAATTTAAAATAATTTAAATTATCTTTATACTTCCAAATGTCTTCTTTTCTAAATATTTTTGCATGTTAATTGCAATTCACTAGGCTCTTGCAACATTTTCTGTTTTTCTTAAAATTATAAAGTCCAAAACCAGGAACAGTATACAAAGCAATAACTTTGTTTATTCTAAGTACAAAAAACTAATAACTGTATAATATGAAGATCTAAAATAGAAAAAATGGCAATTATATAATGACAAATTCAACGTCACTAAGAATTGTGAGGAATTTTTTTTGTAATTCGTAAATGTTTCAGCTTCATTTTAGTTTATACTCAACAATATTGTTGCTTCATGTTTACCTTTATTTGTTAACAGGCATCTATTTAGCAACAGTCTCTATGTTTTCAGCATAATGCTAAGCCCTGAGAAGTGTCCCCAGACATCTAGAGGGTCCCAAGCCCCATGGGAGTCAAGTTCCTCATCTTGTATTTATACAATCACTTTCATCCTGAAATATTCTACTGTCTTACATATGCCCTAATTTGACTTCATTTCTTTGATTACCAAAAGCTTCTCCTGTTTACCAAGTTCTTGTTGCATGCTTAATTTACACATCTCAGAACCAGGCCATCTGCACATCATGCGAGCCTCTCACAATAAAATAGTGCATGAAAATTATATATAATGTCTGGTCATACCCTTGGTACTGCTTTAGAAGAAAATATTTTTATGTAGAAGAATTGGTTTTAATTTCCCTAAAGATTTAATGTTGTTGGAGTATGGTGAGGTGCTTTGTGTGTACTTGCTAAGAGTAGAGGAGAAACTGCCTTATAACATTATGGTCCAAAGAATAGGCCATCCAACTTACCTGCTTTTATTTGAATTATGATAACAAACCCTCAGCAAATATTGATTTGTTTATATTATTGCAACACCTGAAAACATTTTGTTTGCCAAGCCATACTGGCTGCCTGATAACAAAATATCGCATGCAGATATTTGAATCTGAGTCTAGAATTGCCAACAGCTTGCACTTATATAAAGTGACCTAATATGGAGTGAAAGCATTGAAATGTTTGCCATACCACTGGCTAAGATTGCTACTGAGGGTGCAGTTATGAGGGTGGTTTTATTGGAATTGTGCACATGTTCTCTAAGGGCAGACCAGAGGCCATTGTAACTATTTGACAAGGGACTGGCCAGCTGACATAGTGTCCTTTCATTTTCAACTATTGCTTTTACTTTGAACTAATAGAACCTCTGAGAAATTAGCTGGGTTATCATCAAGTGCTATAAAAAGGAGAAAATGCAGTTTTAAAATATTTCTTCAAATAAGACAATCAGGCATAAAAAGGTAAACATGCTCCCACTTCTGATTTCTACTTAAAGACATTTCTGATTTCTGCAACCTGTGAAACTATACCTAAGTGACATGACCTGGCCTTGAGATTTCTGAGCTATTTATCCAAAGCTTGGCTGATCACTAACTACTCTGAAAATTTGAATATTATTTTGTTTTTGAGCCGTGCTGTCCCAAGTTCACAGAATTAATCAGTCCTTGAAAACTTAAGCTGTTTTCTTAGTGGTGAACTGACTACCAAGAAAATATACTTGTTCCTTCAAGGTTTCAGGCCTATTTAGTATTTCTGAAGTTACCAATATGACATATTGACAGTTGGTAAATAAAAGCAATCATTTTTATTTTGCCTTTATTCTGTTTTCGTTTTTCTTTTGCAGAAGGTGAAGAAGATGCACAACGAAGTTCTACAGAACAAAGTGGGGAAGCCCAGGGAGAAGCAGCAAAATCTGAAAGCTAACACCCCACTTTGACCCTCGACCACACCTGAAAATGTCTCAAATCTCCAGGAGTATCTGGAATGCATTTGTTTCCATGAGTGAAAAGAGGAAAAAGAAAATGGCTGTGCTGCATTGCAGGAACCTGCTCATTATCATGTTAAAAATGAGGGCAGAGGCTGTGGCTGCAGGCAGACTTTTCCCTACCTCTGTCATTAGCAATGGTTGAAATCATGTGGCTTGTGTTTGGGCGTCATTTTTGTATGGATCCTTTCACTTGATCATATGACGAAATGCTTATAGAGAGTAGCTCCGACCTAGATGATGATTCTTCCTGTAGCATCTGGCCCCTCACAATGTCAGAGGATTTAATTGTGTCTAATTGCGAAGGGTTGATTGAACCCCAGAGTTTAAATATCTCTGGCTCAAGTGTTCACCCAGTAAAAGAAAGATCCAGAAAGCACTGTTTTTAGCATTACGTATCTGTGTGTTACTGCTGTGTTATTTACACTGTTTTGTATTGTACAATATATATGCTCAGCACTGCCCCCTTCTCTGATTGCTTATGAAAAACAAAATGATGTACATTACTGTGAATTTTTATACCACTCATTTTTAAAAGGGCTGTCTTTTCATTTTAGTTTTCCATACTGTGGTGGTGTACACAGGATAGAACACCCTTTTTTAAAACACAGTCTTTCCCCTTGCTCATTGTATGTTGATGAGTTGATTAAGTCTAACAGATTCATCAAGACTCCATTGCTTTATTATAGAGACATTTGAAAATATCCATTAATGTGAATATCACCTGAATTCAGTCTGTTTGGTGTCTGCACAGACTGGAATTCAATCTGTCAAATTTGTTTTATTCTCAAGTGGAGAACTTCTCCCACATAATATATATATATATATATATTTTAATTTATGAGAATTTTGGACAATTGGAAAGGTAGAAAAGAAAAGCCAAGATCATACTAAGGACTGGAAATATTTTGTTCTATGGAATCAAATTTCTCACAATGCTGTATGATACTATTTAAATTTGGAGGACAACTTATCTTCACTAAGCTGAATCAGGTGGAGAAAGTAATCTCCTTGCAATCATGTGGACACCAATCACAAAAGTAAAGCCCTGGTGTTGTGTTTTCATGTCTTTTTTCAGCCCTCTCAGATCCAAATGTTATTATGCACTTTTTAATGTTTGTAAACTTTTACTAATAATTAGTGTGAATTGCATTCTGATACAATAATGATTATCATTAGAAGCTAACAAAATTCTCATTAATACTGTGTTTGATGGCCTCTGCTGTGTTTTAACATCGTGCTTCTTATATGGAAAGTTTTTGTGAGCTGTGTAATCCCTCTGGTCAGTATTATGAAATCATTTGTCAGTGGTAATAAATAAGGAACCAGTAATATGCCAATGGTTCATGAATTACTGGACAAATAGCAGACAATGGGAGTCCCTTTACAATAACGAGCCCACTTAGCTGTCCTTGAGGGCTTAGATACCTTGCCACGTGAAGTAGGTAGAGCAGCATTTCAATAGGTAATTTGTGTGGTTGTGCCAGAAACTCAGCCCTTCTATGTAATTACATACAGGATAAAAGGTAAGTCTGCTCACTTCTCCTTCTACAGGGCATTTCAACTGACTGGAATAAGGGCATGGTTGCATTTAGTACTCAATCAGATATTACTAGAAAAAAAATTAATAATGTGAGCCTTTCCGAGAGCAGAACGAGGAAAGATTAAATTTTAGAATGCTTCCTTCTGTCTAATCCATCAGGGGCCAAAATGCCCAGTAAAATTCAAACACATCACCTATTAATAGACTTACAAGTGAGAAAAGAGGTTCCTAGGGTTATTTTAGGCAATCCCTGGTAAACTGTTTAAACCATCAAACCCCTACAGTCAGTTTTCAGTATCCTCATTTAATATTTTAATAGGTTTCTTGTGAATTTAAACTTCTCTTCTTTCTTAAGGTTGTGAAATTCCAAACTGATTTTATGTGATTTTGAAAAGTTTAGAACCAGTGCTGAGTCTATGTGGAGGGTTTATATTCCTATGTGATATACTGTTATTAATGCATGTGGTGCCATGCTTGTCTTTAAATATATAAATAGTGCTAAATTGCAAAGTCATATGGAGCTTTGGATTTAGTTTGACTTCTTACTACTGCTTTGTCTGCTATATTCAAACCCAAAGGCATTCCCAAGCTAGGGAGATAAAAATTAATTTTCTAAAATGTCCACATCCTATACATTTTGCTTATTCATGGCATCTTTCAAATTTTATTTTAGTTTCCTTTATTTGCCAAGAATACATATGGATTTGAATTTTTAAGGAGAGAAGGAAAGGGTAGGAAACCAGGGCCTTGGGTTTAGTAACAGGCATTGGATGTCTATTAACCAACTATTCTTACGCTAATGGCTTTGCAGCTCCTATTCTCCCATTTGATCCTCAAACAATTCTATTAGAGTGGTATTTTTATCCAATTTCACAGATTAAAATATAAGCACTCAATAAAATATAACCTTTAGAAGCTTAAAAAGCTAGTAAGTGATGAACTGAGGATTTGAACCCATGTTTGTCACCAAGGAGCTTTCCAGGGCACATGTCATAAAATTAGAGCCAACTGCAGAGCTGTAAGGGAACTTTTAGAGATGAACTTCTTCAGCCTCCATATTTTACAGAAGGAAACTGAATCCCAGAAGGAGAAATTGCCGTTCTCAAGGCTCCCTGGATGGGTAATAACACAGATATGAGTAGGTCACATAAAGTATATCTTTTTTAAAAAAAAGAAATTCAATTATGTCTTATTTGGGGGGTATATTTCCCAGAAGATATTTTTCTGGCATGTGGTCTGTAAACACAGCATGATTCATATTTTTTATGTTTCATGCTACTCATTTTGTTTAATTACCAACAAACATGGGGACTTTGGCTTTTTGACTTATTTGCAACAAGCATGAAATTGTTAAATTTACCTTTTATCAATTGTAATCATCCTATGCCAACATATTATCATAAATTCATAGAAATATTTTTAAAAATAAATAACAGACATTGAAATCCAATTCTTAGATAATACTCCCAGAACAGCCAATGGTAAATGCCCTATACTTGAGTCTTACTTAGATGCTGTGGTAATGCACCATTTTAGAAGATGAATGATACTGCTATTTCTCTTCAGGGAAACAATAATGGATAAAGAAATGTAACTGCCGGGCAGCAAAGCTTCTAAGTGAAACCTGTAGTAGCAGTAGTAGTAGGGAGAAAATGTGTAGTCATCAAGTGAAAATAGGAAAGGATCTATGATTTATGATGTCTTAATAGACCCTAAATTGTTCTTTAATTACAAGAGTGGCAGTCTCTGAAGTCATTTGTGAGCTTGTATGACTTTTGTATTTAGCAATGTTGCATGCTCACATAATTGAAAATTAAAAGTAACACATTTTTCTGAAATGTACACAGTCTATTAAGAGTATTTATTGAATTCACACTATGTACTTTGTGCTAGAGAGTGCTGCAGGTGATAAAGGAGAAATTATATGCCTCAGTCATCCCGCAGTGGACAAACCCAGGACTCCAGCTTCACTCTTTCCTGGCCTTTATTCTAATCATTTTCAACTCCATTCCACTCGAGTAGCCCACTTCCTAGTCTTTGTCATCTACCAGAACCATCCCACCTCCTAGATCTTAACCCCCAATACCATGCCTATGGTTCTTACTTGCTCATCTGTAGGGAGATGACATTCAGTCAGGAGAAAGACAGGTGTTTATCAGAATTCTTGGAAAGTTTTTACAGCACCCACCCTCTACCCACCCCCCACATAGATACATTCATACACAAACACTCTCTCTTAAAATAACTTTCTGCATGACTCTGATACCTTTCTTCCACCCACCTGCACCCCCACCACTTTAGAACCACTGATCTAGAAGTTCAAGGCTTCCTGATGCACCCACCCTGCCCACTCCACTGCAAGGCTTTGAAATGAGTCAGGAACAAAATGCAATCCTCACATTACTGCATTAAGGGTAATGCACATGGTTTTACTGCATTAAGGGTAAATTTTTAGGGTAAAGAAGCAAAGAGAGCTCTTCTTTTATCTTAGTGTTTCTCTCTTTCCATCATTTTATTTTTACCACACACAGGCAGTAATGACCAAACAGAGACCAAGGTGGAGCTCAAGAGAAAGTAAGCATCAAACAGCACTCAGCCTGAATCCAGGCACGTTCTTCAGTCCAAAAAGCAAAGGGGATGTAAATACTTAAGTTCATCTTACTCAGATCGCAAGAATAAAACACCACATAGGGACTTGGGACCAACAAAATGCTAACCAGTGAAATAAGTTGTAGAGCCTCTAGTGTCTCTACTCATTGTGTATTTCTTGTATCTGTCTAATTCAGGTGTGGGGATTCAGGATCCTTTTCATCTTTAATACTAAAGTCAAAATTAACAAAATTATATGACTATAACCTATTAACTTTCTAATTTGCACCACATCTTCTTTCTGATTGGGTTAATATGGGTGCTTCCTCAGCAACCTTCCTGCTAGTCTGGACTCTATTGTTCATCTTTCTCCTAGGTGCTCCTCAGGTTCCACATTTTCTTGCCTTTCTGCCATCTCTGCCCCATCAAAGTCAATTAGGCCACTCACTTCTCTTTACTTGTCTTCTGGATGACTGTAAAAAGTTTAAAACAATGCTTATTCATTGTCTGCAACCTCAATCTAGACATAAGTGCTGCACAGCTCTCTCTTTTCATGTCCCTGGGGACAGAGGAATCTTCCCACTTTCAGGCTAAGATTTATTCCTTCATTTGATGTTTTTAAACCACTTTATTCTGACTTTAACAGGATGTCTTAATTATCCTTTTTCTTTACTGACTTTACCCTTTTTCACAAATGTGCTCAAGTTTTCAATTTCCCATTTGCTTCATCACTTCTGTTTCTCAAAATAGTAATGTATACTCCCTATTTTCATGCTTCTTCTCCTCCTTATTTCTTATTCTTTTGCAATTTGGCTTCCAATAAAATTTTTCTCATTATCAATGACATCTTTAGTAGCTCATCGTCTCTGCCATAGTCATTGAATCTCTGACCAATGTGGAAATTAAAAGGTGATGATGATTCAGAGGACTCAGATTAACCTAAAATAAAATTTAATGTTTTTATATTTTTAATTGATACTAGTATGACAGAGTATCACTGAATAATATAGTATTTTTCAACTATATAGAATCGACATATATCAAGAAAACGTCAGCTTTCTCTCTAGTATAGAACTTCCATAATGTATGGATATGTCCTTGCTCTATGACCACAGTCTCCCCGTAATGTTTGCTTGCTATGTACTCAGATCCTATAGTGCTCATTTCTTTATAGGAGTGGTTGTCACATATCTGGGCACCAACACAGAGCCTAGACATTCATAGATGGGCAAGATTACTTTGTGATGTTGTAAAGTTCTGTGTTCCATTCTACTCTTGGATAAATGTTAGTGATATCACTTGTTCCTCTCAACAGCAGCCATATATGTGTAAAATCCCAGTCTTGCTCTACTTCTCTGAATTATACCTAAACAAATATATCTACCCGAAATAGAGTGGATCATTTTTGTATATTTTATTAGCTTACTCAATGACATTTAATCTGGTTCACCATGGAATCTTTTTGATATGCTTCATTTGCCTTCCTTTTTCTTCCAGATGTTTTTTATTTAGTGAGTTCTTGTTTGTTTCTCTCTGACACCTCCTCACTAACCTAAGACTGGTTCCTCCTTGTCTACCTCTCCACTAAATTTCATGGTTCCCTGGGTTTCCATTCTCATTCCTCTCCTCTAATCTCTCTCTCCAGATGACTTCCTCCACTCCCACATCAGCAACTATATTCCTATGGCGAATCTCATATCTTGATCTCTAGCCCAGGAGTCACTCCTCATTATCTGACCTATTGGATAGTTGAACATGGATTGCTCGAAGAATCTTAAAATTCAATGTTCTAATACTAAATCCAATGCATAATCCCATTTTCAAACCTGCTTTTCCTTATATGCTACAGATTTCAGATCATGGTAGCACTGATTTTCCACTGACCTTAAATCAAAATTTTTGGAGCCCTTTTAGCTGTTACCTCTTCCTCTGATTTGTGTGTTTGTTTGTTTTTTGGTCAATCGATTCTAATTCTTCACTACTGAAACTGTTCACTTCTTTTTATCTGCACTCCAACCCTTAAATCATTACTTATCTATTATTATGCAATGGCCTGCTCAGCATGACCTGCCTCATCCAGCACTCTTTCTAGCCATCTTGCCACCAGATGTATTGCTCTGATACATGATTTTGATCATGTATCTCTCCTAATTAAAAAATCCTTAAGTTTAGCCAGACAAACTTTACGGTATAAGTACCACATTGTATTTGTGTATAACTCCTTGCTCTGTGTTAGCTTTTATCCTGTTCCTAAAATGTGCTTCATGCTTGTGGGCAAAGTCTCATTGATCCTTTCAGACTAAGCCTCATTTCATCCTTTTCGGTAGTCTTTCTGACTCATCTCCATTCCCGAGCCCTACCCTAGGAAATCAGCCATTCTATACTCCTTGCTCTCTAACAATTTATCCACAAATGGATCTCTATATCATAGCTATTTATTTGCATGCATATCTCTCCACCTTGAGTGTGAGCTTTTTGAGGGCATCAACTCCGTTTTATTCATCTTTGTATACTCACTGTTTATCTATGTAGGTTATTGCTAATCAGTACAAACATCAGTAGATATTTGTAAATAAATAATATCTGCCCTCCTGAAGCTCATAATGAAGTTAAGAGAGAGAATCTACACATAGATCGATTAGGGAAAATGCAATTCAGAGATAAAATTCATGGTTGAAAATAGTGACGTCTCAAGAATATTGCATTGCAGAGGATAAAAACTTAATTCCTATCACCATTTTTTTTAGTTTATACAAGAGTAACTATTTTAAAATTTCTATTGCAAACTGGTGTGCTGCATTTGTACACACACACACACACACACACGCACAAAGATTTGATAAGACATAGAGAAATGAGATGTCCAATAGGACAACACGTAACTAGATGGGCAAATTAAGGTAAGCCATCCAGCTAAATAAGCCTTTGGTAAATTTATTTCTGGGAATTCTGTAGCAGGAATTATCTTCAGTTTGCTGGAATTAAGATGAGCCAAAAGGGGGTTATATCTTACTCTTTTGGCCTAAGCAATACATTGTTCAGAGAGGAGGATCTCCAGGAAGGATCTTGCAGGCCTTGAACAAAAGTTCACTGGAGTTTCTGAGAATATGCCTTACAGAAATGCACTCAAACAGCCTAAAGAAATGAGAGTTCTAATAACAATAGAATAAACCTCAGTGTCAGGAATTCACAGAAAAAAGGGGGAAAAATTGTAGAAAGGGATTAAGAAACACATTTTTATATACTCAAGAAAGAAAGCTCACTGATATACATGTATAGAACCTTAAAGACCTTTTCCTGAATAGTGTTATCTTTTAAAAAAACACTGGTAATAAAATTAACTTTGGAGATCTAACAAGACTAAAGAAGTACTGTGAACTTTTGGACTCTGAAACTAAGAAAAAGACTGACAAAGGTGATGATGTAGGTTACTGCTAATAGAACATGTTTAAACTTTGGCTGCCATGATTCATTTTACACCTTGTTTGAGTAGGATGGTGTGACTATTATGACTGTCCTGTTGAATTTCTAAGTTTTCTTTTATCCCATATCCTCTTTGAAATTCACAAGCCAAGATATAATCATGAAGTTTTAAGGGTAAAAAAACCTATTCTGCCTTCTCAGATAGTCCTAAATACAATTCAACAAATCATCAAATTTGTCTAGGAAATAAAATTTGAGCATTTACTAAGTTTAAGTCTTTTTTTATTAGGTGTAATAAAAGAGAAATTTTTAAAAGACCACAGAATCCAATAGACCAATAAAAACTGAAATAATAATGGGGACAATAGTTTTCCTATCAGTATTTCCAGTCTTCCCCCATCACCACTCCATCTTCCTTTTAAGAACCTATTATTCAATTCTACCATCTAATGAGAATTTAGTTTTTTCTCAGCTGATTACTAGGCCTTTTGCAACACAGAATTGGGAGAACAGATATACAAGTTAGAGAGATAAGAGGAAAAAGAAGATTCTCAGATAAACAATGCTAGAGGTTTCCTTTGTTGAGAATAAACCAGGTAAAGGTTGAAACAGATTTTTAAAAAGTTGTTTAACATGTTTAAGTCAACATGCGTAATTTAGAATAAAGAATTACAAGGAGGATTTTTAAAGCAGTGATATGGGTTTTTAAAATAAGTTTGAGAGGTTTGACAAGTAAGACATTTAAATGAAAATACAGAATGAAACAAAATTGGGAAGGAGAGAAAAGGACCTTTTATAGGTTCTGAATAAGATCTTTAATATCCTAAAAGGTATGTAAGTAAATATTGGGAATTCTCTTCAATTATTTCTGGATTTCAGATGAAACTTTTTTGAATTAGGCTCTATACAAAGAGGAGGCCACAGGGGACCTGATGGTTTATTAAAGGATATTCATTTAATAGACATGGTAACAGAAGCACATACATATCTATGATAAATGTCTGAAACTGCTAAATAGTAGCAAATGAACATGGAACATCCCATACAGATTCTGGGAAAGAAACCTCACTTGACAGGATATATTATGAAAAATGAATCACTGAAATTATTTATTGGAATAAGTATTTCACTGAAGAAAGAAAAATTAGGCATTCTGTGTAGAAAAACTGACATAAACTAAGGTACACAGGTAGGAAAACAAGATCATATAATTTAAAAATAATCCCTGTTAGCCAGAGCACAGTGTGTACATGCTAAGCCTGAGGAGAGACACTAGACTAGGTGGAGAAGATATCTGAGACTCTATGGAGAAGGACCTGGAAGCCTCCAAAGCTAATGAAAGTCAGTAAGGATTTGAGGGTGTGCCTGAAATAGTTCAGAAGTGGCTGGCAGGCCAGCTCCCAGACCAGTCAGAGAAAACTGTAAACATCAAGGCATGTCCCACACACAAGGACCCTGAGCCGCAGATAAGGCTCGTGCTGAGGAGCCTAACACAGAAATGAAAGAATTCTGAAAGTGAGAGTTAAATTTTTTAAGGTAGGCTAAGGGCTAGAGATGAAAGTAGACATAGGACTTATTCAAAGGTTAATAATTTAGTAGCTGGAAAAGCCAAAGAGATGTCAGAGGGTAAATGAGAAGCAGCAGAGGTGCATACAATGAGGCACAGATAGGGTTCTTTCTGGCAAAGCAGCTGCTGCTGTCCTTTATCCATATCCTACTCATGCCCTTGCCCTGATTCACTCCTCAGTTTTTAAAGGCACCCTCTGTCTCCACTCATAACATGTGGTTCAAGTATAAGAGAAAGATGTCTTTTTATATTGCACCATAGGAAGGGGGTAGAAGACTTTTCTCAGAGTAGTAGTAACTATTATGTTCTGAATATGTTTCAGATGCTTGATTATATTACCTCTTTCTCATAGTTACTCTGAAATATGAATATATTTATTTCCTTATAAGTGAGCAGTCTTAGACTCAGAGAACTTAAGAGCCTTCTCTTAGGCCATGTAGGTTTTATGTTGCAAAGGCAGGACTAAAAATTATGTCCATCTTCTCTGATCCATCTCAATCCAGACCAGCCAAATTTCAAATGTCTTGGCTACCATATTATACAGCACAGAACTCTATACCGTATTCTGCTTTCTGACAATTAAACAAGGAGAGGATTCACTTTTGCAGGATGGAGGTGTACAGTGTGCATGTATGTGTATAGTTATTTCTCAGTGATGCTCAACTCTGGTTTCCTGTCCAAATCAGCTGGAAAACTTTTTAAAGATTAAGAACTCAGCCAAATTTCCGTAGATTTTGATTTTATTGTAAGGAGAGGTTCAGGCATAGGTATTTTTTAGCTTTGTATTAAAGTATAATAAATATTTTAAAGTACCCATAAATGTTCAATTTGATGGATTTTTCTAAAATGAACACTCAGGTAACCAACATCCAGATCAAGGATCCAAATATCTTAACATACTGGAAGCTCCTGTCATGTTCCTTTCTAGTCATCACTCACTAGAAAGAACTGTATCCTCTGAGACTGGTGAATGCTAAATCCTCATCTGTCCCTCCAGAGTAGGCTCCGAAGTTCAGCCCAGAATGGTCACCTAATGCATTTATGAAGGCTCATTGCAAGTCACTCTTCTGTGGAGTTCTATTGTCATGTTTCTCAGGTCAACCTGAAGCTCCCAAAATCATAACTCACCTGCAAACCTATTCATATTTTAGAAGTGTTTACCCAAGGAAGTACAGGTCCTTCAAACCACTATATCCCCTCGTCCATGCAGGTCCCATCTCCATTCAGTTCTGAACCATCAAGCTGGCTCCACCTCTGTTCAGCTCTTCTTAGCTGCATGATCCCAGGGATTTGGTCCTGTCCTTGCCTTTCCTGAACTATCCATCTATTTTTTCATCTGAGTTTCCTTTCCCTCATTATCAAAAGATCAGATGGATGACAACTTTGTGAAGCCAGTATCACAGATGTCAGTTCCCTGCTGAACAGGCTATAAGTCCCAGGCTTACTCCCCTTTTCTTGGTACATAATTTCCCAACATTTTGCTCTAGCCCATCTCATTACCACACAGATCCTCTGGTCCCATAAGCTAATTTCTGTAGAAACAGCATTTGTTCTTCCTGTTGGTCATTTACCTGCTTCAGATTTAAGTAATTTAAAATATATTTACTATGAAAACTCAAAATTGTTGCCTTTAATACAATAGCATTCCCTCACTGACATAATCAGAAAGTTATCATCAATTAAAATATTTCCTAACTCTAGCCAATCTGAAAAGCATAAAAGTGGACTGAATCCTTAGGCTCTATGATTTAATAAGTCCTGAATAAACTGCTTCTAGATGTATTAAACACCCAGCAACATTTGGCCTGTCATTTACTGGAATTACAATTGCTTCACAGTCTCGCTTTTTTCTGTGCTCTCAGAACAATGCCTTGTTGTACTTCCAGCCCATACAAGAATATTTTGAATGAGTCTGACTTTGCAAAGACAGCACTTGCTGTTGAGAAAGGGAAAACATGACCATCTGTTCTCTCCCTTCGTGGATCAATCTGACAATATCCTAATACAGCTGTCTTCCTTCTTGACTCCATCCTACTCAGCCCACCTGCCTGCTTCTGCCAGTTTCCTACTTGAGCTTCCTCACTTACATTGTGTCTCTCCACATTCCTCTCCTCCTACTCACATATCACTATTCTCCTTCATTTTATCTCTTCATGATTTTTATAATTTTCAAGAATGCCTAATCAGTTGCTCTCCATTCTGCATCCTCCCAGTTTCAACTTTCTTCCTCAATCTCTCTACCCGGCACTTCCTGCACACCTCTCAGCCACTACCCACCTTTACTTGGGAGGAAGAGAAAAAAAAGAAATGAGCTCCAGACTCAAGCTGCTAGATATGATTCAGTCTAAAGTTTGTTGGAAGTATGGAGCCCCTCGGTATTGGCGAGGAACAGGTGGTACAAGGCAAAGTAGGAGAGGAGGGATGCATAAATAATGCTGGTGGTAAGAGTAGTCTTCACCTCTATTATTCATCAACTGAATGACACCTCTGAGTCATTCATCAACTAGGAGAGAGGTGGTGGGTGGTACCCAGTTCCACTAACTGCTGCCACCATGAGAATCAGAAATTTTACGAGTTCCCCAAATATCAGAGAGACACCTTGATTTGTCATCTGTCTATCCAGTGGAATTCCAAATGACTGACAATTTTAGAAAACACTTGGAAAAAAAATATATGAAAAGCTTATTTTAATCGCCATAGCCTCAGAATCTATACTCCTTACTCATTAAATGTATGATTTTAGACAATTTACTTCACCAATCCCAGTCTCAGTTTCCTATCTGTAAAAGGAAATAATATAGCATCTCTTAGGAATGTTGACTGATAGCTCCTAAGAAGAATGTTAAAAGGTTGAGATTAATCAATAAATGTAAAGTATTGGGAACAGTGCCTGGCACTTTATGTAAATAAATATTAGCTTCTAATATGGTTGTTGTTTTGTCGTTATATGAGATATGTTGATTATAGTCTTAAATGACTCAGAGAGCAGTCAAATGGCTTTTAGCTCTCATAAATTAGTACCCTCATCTGCACAGAGATTTTATTCATTTATTTACTGAACAGATATGAAGGAGTTCCCACCTAATATGTGTCAGATATTTTCAAGATGCTTGCTATCCAATGACTTAACCACAGTCATAAAACTCAGTTTAATTGCATCCCAGCAAATCAAATATTTATATTAGAGGGTTTCCTCTAGTTTAGTGTAGAAAATCCGAATTTGGTGGAGCAAAGTATTATTAACTATTTGAATCAAGAGTTATGAAATGAAGAGAAAGAAATGCAGAGACAGAGAAAAAGAGACAGACAAAGAGAGAGAGAGAATACTTCAGGACTATCTTCAAGTCAACATAAGAAATTCAGTCCTAACTTTTTCTTAACAACTGTTATCTTTGCAGTTTCACAATGTCACTAGATAGTAGAAAGGGGCATAAATTCTCTTAATTATATAAAATATAAAGCCATCAGAGATTGGCACTGGAAGGACAATAAGAAGCATCGGACAGACTTAGTCATTTGATGACATTTCCTTTGGCACCTCTGACAGCTACTTTCTTGATAATTTTCTGATTTAAGTGCAGATAAAATCCCATTCTCTTGGCTCCCTGAGTAAAACTGAGACCAGGCAGAGTCTGGTAAACATTGAGGAAGAACAAAAGGAAGAAAAACAGAAAGTATAGATTGACCAGCTGACTAAAGGAAGATTTTTCTTTTTAATTTTTTAAAATTTTTATAATCTAGTTAACCTCAGCCCAGGATCTCCAGGCCTTTGTTTTTGTGCATGGGGTCCTCCAAAGAAAGATTAGGTACTGTTTAGAAAATTTCCCCTTTTTAGCTGTAGGCTCTTCCTCCCATTCCAGTTTCTGGCCTAAGAGAGACTCCTCTTCTGCTAGTTAGATATATCATGAAAGCTGTCTTTAAATAAATACCTACTTTCACATATAGTATTAATTATGTGATTAACGTAACACTGACATGTTATTCATTCACACTGATGAAGTATTTTCTGGCTGAAAAGTTAGTCCTGAAACTCACATATTCTTAACAAGATATATAGGGGCTATGATGATTGTCAATCTATTTACTCAACTAGAAAAGCTAACTTTTAAAATTATTTATACAATAGTAAAATAAAAAGTATTTTCCTCCCAGACCTAAGAAAACTCCACATAACAGACATTCTGGGTAATCAAATATTTACTATAAGTGTCTTTGAATAAATACCTGTGTTTAATAAAGCATATTTCTCAATCAGATAGGAAAGCCAGGTTACTTAACAATAATTAAACCAGTCTTTCATATATCACAAGTAAAAAATAAAAGTATATCTTTATATATTTCTGTGTTTTTCTATGTTTCTATATTTCTATTTTATAATCTTTATTTCTATAAATATGACAAATAATAAGTAATAGATATCTGCCTCCTGGTGGCCATATGCAGTTCTAAGAGAGAAAAAAAAGTACCCTGTGTCTCTTAAAGCACAACAAAAAGATTTTGTTTTAGAAAACTGCTTACTCAGAAAAGCAATGTAGGTTGGCTTGATACCAATCAGGGAACAAGTCAACTGTGGTAGCCAATATGACTGTCTTCCAAGAACACTGTGGAACACAACAGGTCCCCTTTTTCACTCAATCGACTTGTGAGCCATTAATATATGCACATAAGCTTCAAAATATTCTTAGGAAAACCAATTTGAAATGAATTAAAATGTTTGCCTGGCAATTCTAATATATTTATCAAGAATATCTTCCCTAAGACTCCAAGATCTTATAGTACAGTTTGCCTTTGTTATCTTTAGCTAATCAGAATATGCTTCATGTAAGTTTTCCTGATCTAAAATCTCCTTGGTCAATCAGATATGGCCAAAAAAATACAGGCTTTTTTGTTTGCTTAAGTGTCTTTACTTGGCAACAGAATAAACCTCTTGGGAAGTACCAAACATGCCTTGACAGAAACATAGCACTGGAACTACCTGCTAGAAATGAAGGAGACTTTGCCAAAACAATAATTAACTGAAGCAAATTTTTAAACTATGAATTATCAACAATCTTAATTTTTGAAGCATTGCCTTAGTAGAAAAAAAAGGTGAAATATATTGCATTTTGAGTAAGTAATAAATATTTGACTTAAATACTTATAAACTTTACAGAATATTTTGAATACAAGAAACACATATCAATAGACAATAAGAGCAGCTAAGATTATCACATAATTTTTAAATGATTAGATAAATTAACCCAAGACTAATTAAGTACTTAAATCACTTTTTATTGGAATATGAAGATGCTGTTGGGAAAGTGACACAGAACATATTTATGTTTTACTCAAAACACGTTAGTGATTAGTGCTGGTCTGCAGATGAGAGAGGATTGAATGGTTATTATTTTAACACAGGTAACAAACATAACAAACAAGTTAACTGAACCCATGCCACTGAACACACAGGTATACAAGATATTTCTTTAAACTCTATCAGAAATATTTTCTTTCTCCCTTTTTTAAATTATTTTTTGAGAAATACAGCACAGTTATATTATCATAGATGAACGCTTGCTTAAATAACTGAAGAAACAATTCACAAGAAGAGATAATATATTTGATTACTAAAGACAAACACTCATTATAGCTCTCTAATATGAATTATAATTTTTAAAAATATTGATAGAAAATGGTAAGCATATATCAAGTAAAAAGTAGTGTAATGAACTTCCATGTAGCCATTATCCAGCTCCAACATTCTCGGACAATCTTTTTTTGTCTATATTCCCACAGGAAGTATAACCCACTGGATTACTTTGAGGACGATCCAAACATCCTATCATTTTAGTTTTAAATACTTCGGTTTGCATCTCTGAAATAGTGTTTTGCCCATAATCATAATAGCATTATTATAACTTAAAGAAAGAATAATGCCTTATTATAAAATAGTCACCCTTCCAGTTTGCAATTGTCTCATAAGTGACTATATAGTTAGTTGGTTAAATCTGGGTTCATAATAGATCCATACGCTGT
This sequence comes from Homo sapiens, assembly GCF_000001405.40. Classification (NCBI taxonomy): domain Eukaryota; kingdom Metazoa; phylum Chordata; class Mammalia; order Primates; family Hominidae; genus Homo; species Homo sapiens. The sequence continues at coordinate 78,617,020 of NC_000008.11, forward strand.
AATTATTATTAAGTCCCTTGAAACTCTTTTTATTATTAGGTTGGTGCAAAAGTAATTGCAGCTTTTGGCCTTAAAATTAATGGCAAAAACCACATTACTTTTCAACCAGCCTAATAATAGGTTTTATCATTTAGCACAGTTTTAGATTTGCAGATTGATTGAGTATACATTACAGAAAGTTCCCATATAAACCTTGCACACAATTCCCCCAATTATTAACATCTTACATTAGTATGGTAAATTTATTAGAACTAATGAACCATGCCTGTAATCCCAGCACTTTGGGAGGCTGAGGCGGGTGGATCACTTGAGGTCAGGAGTTTGAGACCAGCCTGGCCAACATGGTGAAACCTTGTCTCTGCTAAAAATACAAAAATTAGCCAGGTGTGGTTAGGGGCGCCTGTAATCCCAGCTACTCAGGAGGCTGAGGCAGGAGAATAGCTTGAACCCAGGAGGCAGAGGCTGCAGTGAGCCGAGATGGCACCACTGCACTCCAGCCTGGGCCACAGAGCAAGACTCTGTCTTGATAGATAGATAGATAGATAGATAGATAGATAGATAGATAGATAGATAGATAGATTAATAAATTATTATTAACTCAAGTTCATATGTTATTCAGATTTTCTTGTTTTCACCTAATGTCTTTTCTCTATTCTAGGATCTTACTCAGATTACCACATTGTGTATACATCTTGTCACAGCTCTTTAGGCTCTTCTTGCCTGTGGCAATTTTTCAGAGTTTCCTTCTTTTTAATTACTTGATGGTTTTGATGAGTATTGAGTCAGATGTTTTGTAGGTTGTCCCTCAATTTAAATGTTTGATGTTTTTCTCACTATTAGACTGAGGTTATGGGTTTGAGGGAAGAAGACTGTGAAAGCAAAGGGCCATTTTCATTATGTCATATTAAGGATACGTATTATCACTCTGACTTATCACTGTTGATGTTGACCTTAATTACCTAGTAGAAGGCACTTTTGTCAGGTTTCTCCCTTGTAAAGTAATTCTTTTAATTTCCCTCTTTGCTGTACTGTACCTTTGATAAAGAAGACATGATTTGAAGCTCACACTAAGTTGTGGGGACTCATGCAACTTCGTTTGGGGTGGAGTTTCTGCATTATTTCTTTGGGGTTCTTCTGCATGGGAGATTTATCTCTTCTCTCCCATTAACTTATTTATTCAGTTCTTATAGATTCAGATATTTATGTTATGTTTTAGATTATAATACAGTGCTTCTTTATTTATTACTCAAATAGTTTTAGCTTTGGTCATTGGAAACTCTTTCAGTGAGCTCCTGTGCCCCTTTGACATACCCCAATCACAAACCAGTGTAAGATATTTTGGGGGTTTGGTTTTGGTTTTCATTTTGGTTTTGGTAATTTAATACTTTCTTACTTTCTGGCACGACAAGATGATCTAGGCTCCTCTTGAATATTTCTTCCCAGTTCTAGAATCAGCCATTTTCCCCAAGGAGCCCTGATTCCTTAATTGGAGAACGATATTAGAATTCAAGATCTGGGTACTAGATCCACCCATTGCTATTGGGGTCTCATTTCTTTTAGGCTGTCTCATCTGACACAACAAATAAATATATGTATGTGTACCAAGCTATGTATATATGCACAGAAGTTGGGTATCTCTTATCTGAAATTCTTGGGACTGAAAGAGTTTTGAATTTTGGAATTTTGGGGGGATTTTGGAATATTTGCATTTACAAAAATAGATATCTCTGGGATGTGACCTAATTCCAAACATGAAATTTATGTTCATGTATACCTTATACACATAGCGTGAAGATAACTTTGTACAATTTTTTTTTTGAGACGGAGTCTCGCTTTATTGCCAAGCTGGAGTGCAGTTGCGCGATCTCCACTCACTGCAACCTCCGCCTCCTGAGTTAAAGCGATTCTCTTGCCTCAGCCTTTCTAGTAGCTGGGACTGCAGGCGCGTGCCACCATGTCCAGCTAATTTTTTGTATTTTTAGTAGACAGTGTTTCACCGTATTAGCCAGGATGGTCTCAATCTCCTGACCTCGTGATCCGCCCTCCTCAGCCTCCCAAAGTGCTGGGATTACAGGCATGAGCCACCGCGCCCGGCCTTCATATAATATTTTAAAATATTTTTCTGTATGAAACAAAGTGTTAACTGTGTTTTGACTGTGATCTGTCACATGAGGTCAAGTGGGGAATTTTCTACTTGTGGCATTATGTTGGTTCTCAGAAACTTTTGGTTTTCAGAGCAGCTTGGGTTTTAGATTTTCAGGTGATGGATGCTCAACTTGTACCTATAAGTATTTCTAGATGTTATCATCTGTATCTATATTACATTAGACATAAGTTCATACTAATGTGTCCAACTCTAATCCATTATGACTTGAATCATTTTAGCCTTTTCCCCTTATTTATATAAAAATTCCCATTCCAGCAATGAGAAAATTGGCTCCCACTATCTAACATCCATTTATTTATTGTCCCATTCCAGTTTACATGTGTAACTATGTCACAGTTGCTAGCCTATACCTACATGGGACACAAATTTATCAACTAGAATACAACACTTATGCATGCTGTTCTTTTTGCCTTTAATCATACAAACTCCATTTATTTCTAAAGTTACTAAAGTAGATACCACTACACTAAGTGAGATTGTCTTGTGCGTTTTTAATTCAGTTAGATTGTCTTGTGACAGCCTGCATTCTTTCCTGGGATCCTCTGACTCCTTAAATATATATGTGTGTGTGTGTGTGTGTGTGTGTGTGTGTGTGTGTGTGTGTGTGTGTGTTTATATATGTATATATATACATATATATACACACACATATATATATGTACTCATAAATTTCATGTATTAAAGCTAAATCTTTGGGCTGTAAACTCTTGTGGGTTTTAACAAATGCATAATGGCATGTATGTATAATGGCATGTATGCATCATTACGGTATAATACAGAATGGTTTTACCAGCCTAAACATCATCTACGCATCACCTATTTACCAAGTCCCCCTATCCTAAGCTCCAGGCAACCACCGATATTTCATTGCCTCTATAATTTTCCCTTTTCCAGAATGACATATTTTTAAGCAGAGTATGTAGCCTTTTCAAACTGGCTTCTTTTGCTTAGCAATATTCATTTAAGTAATATGCATGTGTCCATGTCTTTTATGATTTGATAACTTTTTATAGCTGAATAATATTTCCTAGTATAGATGTACCACAGTTTGTTTATACATTCACCTATTGAAGGACATTTTGCTTGCTTCCAGTTTGGGTCAATTAAAAATAAAAGACCAGTAAACATTTGCATGAAGGCTTTTGTGTAGACAAAAGTTTTCAACTCAATTGGGTAAATACCTAAGGGCATGCTTGCTAGAGTAAGTGGTTAAACTATGTTTACCTTCCAAAACAGTTGCCAGCCTTTCTCCAAAGTAATTGTACCGTTTTGCCTTCTTACCAACAAAGAATGAGAATATCTGATGCTCTGTACCCTCACCAGCATTTGGCATTTTTTTTATTTTACTCATTCTAATAGGTGTGTAGTGATGTCATTACTGTTTTATGTTGTGAAGTTCCAATTTTTTCCTTTTTTTTGAGACAGTCTCACTTTGTCCCCCCAACTGGAGCACAGTGGTGCAATCATAGATCACTGTAGCATCGAATTCCTGGACTCAAGCGCTCCTCCCACCCTTGGCTGATATTTTTATTTTTTGTAGAGGTGGGATCATGCTTTGTTGCCCAGGCTGATCTTGAACTCCTGGCATCAAGGGATCCTCCTACCTCAACATCCCAAAATACTAGGATTACAGGCATAAGCTACTGTGCCCAGCCTTAAGTTGTAATTTCTTAATGAAAAATGATTTTGTGTATATTTTTATGAGCTAAATTACCATCTGCATATCCTCCTGGTGAGGAGCCTGTTCAAATCTATTACCCATTTTTTAGTTGGGTTGTTTTCTTATTGAGTTTTGAGAGCTCTTGCTATCATTGTGATACATGTCCTTTATCAGATAGGAGTTTTTTAAAATAATTTTTCCCAGTATATGGCTTCTCTTCATTCTCTTTACAGTATCTTTTACACAGAAGAAATTATTAGTTTTAATAAAGTTCAACTTACCTATAATTAAGTATTTCCAATTCTTCCCTCCCTTCCCTTTAACACTGCTGTCATCCATTTTACTTATCCATGTGCTATAATAACCCAATGCATTGTTACAATTATTCTTTTGAGTAGTTTTCTATTAAATCAATTTAGAATAAGGCAAGAAAAAGATTTTATTTTACCTTCATTAATTCCTTCTTTGACCCTTTATTTTTCTTTATGTAGATCCAAGTTTCTGACCTCTTTAATTTTTCTTTTATGAATTTTTTTAACATTTCTGGTAGGACAGACTTGCCGGCAATGACATTCCTCAGCTTTCATTTGTCTGAGAAAGTCTTTATTTCTCATTCACTTTTGAAGGACAATCTTACTGGATATAGAATTCTAAGTTGGGTTTTTTTCTTTTAATACTTTAGATATTGCATGGTACTCTCTTGTTTGCATAGTTTCCTCTATAGCTAAGGTCATAAGGTATTTTGCTGTTTGTTTTTTTCCCTCCGCCTTCTTTCAAAAATTTTCTTCTTGTTTTTGGTTTTCTACAGCTTGAATATGATAGACCTAGGTACAGATTTTTTGGTATGTATCCTGCCTGGTGTTCTCTGAGATTCCTAGATCTGTGGTTTGATGTCTGGATGTCTGTCATTAATTTTTAAAATTCCCAGCCATTGTTATTTCAAGTATTTTTTCTGTTCCTTTCTCTCTTCTTCTAGTCTTCCCACTATGCTTATATTTATTTTTTTCTAAATGTTCTAGTTCCAGGATATTCTGTGCCATTTTTCATACTTTTATCATACTTTTTTGAATTTCATTAGGGAAGTGTCTGCTGTCATATGGAAGCTCATCAACTCCCCTGCCATGTAGGTATTCCTAATTTCTGTCACAGCGCTTTTGATTTCTAGCATTTCCTTTCGTTCTTCCTTGGAGTTTGTATCTCTATATTTACATTATCCATCGAGTTTTGCATATTATCAACTTTCGCTATTAGTAACTTTGGCATATTAATCATAGTTTTTTGTTTGTTTGTTTGTTTTGTTTTTTTGAGACAGAGTCTCGCTCTGTCGCCCAGGCTGGAGTGCAGTGGCACGATCTCAGCTCACTGCAAGCTCTGCCTCCCAGGTTCTCGCCATTCTCCTGCCTCAGCCTCCCGAGTAGCTGGGACTACAGGCGCCCGCCACCACGCCCGGCTATTTTTTGTATTTTTAGTAGAGACGGGGTTTCACCGTGTTAGCCAGGATGCTCTTGCTCTCCTGACCTCGCGATCCGCCTGCCTCCGCCTCCCAAAGTGCTGGGATTACAGGCGTGAGCCACAGCGCCCAGCCTAATCATAGTTATTTTAAGTTTCTTGTATAAGATTTTTGAAATCTTGTCACATATAAGCCTAGTTCTAATGTTTGCTTTGTCTCTTCAAACTCTTTTTTCTTGCTTTTGAACAAGCCTTGTAGTTATTTGTTGAAAGGCTGATGTGAAGGGTCAGGTTCTCGAAACTCTTTTGAGGCACATGCTTTTTTCTGACTCCGTTTTTCTATCTCTGTTTTTCTCTTAATAACATTTCATATATAATATGTCAAAGAATACAATGTACTATGTTATTTATATATTTAGAATATATTCAGGTGTATATGTGTGCACACGCATACAAAAAACATACCAACATAATATGATTGTTGGGATTGTGCAAGTCTTTTTAGCCTCAGAATATAGCCTACTCTGTACCATTAAATTAAGGTCTTACAAAATCACTTGAGATTATTCCTATGTAGTTATGAATTCACATCCATACACAATTAGGGTCATTTATTTATGTATTATTCATTTATTTATTTCGCTTTAATTTTAATATAGTTGTTTACTGAATTTTGTTAATGTTTCCAAAACAAATTACAGTCCTCCCTGTAATTTGGGGAGAGGATTGTAATGGGGGGGTTATTTTGAGTACCATTGTGCATACTAAAATCCACAGATACTCAAGTCTCTTCTAGCATATTTAGAGAAATTCAAGTTTCTATCTTTGTGCCTCTATACAATTTCCTCTCTTCCTCATAAGTAGCCATTATATTTTTCATATTTTGTTCAATTTTTACTCTAAATAAATGCACATATGCATTGGGATGCTTGGGATGCACGTCTTTTTTTTTCCCACCTGGCTATTTTTGATTTACAATACTTGCTGGAGTTCACTGCATAGCACCACATAGAGATAGCCATCATGCCTTTTTACATCTCAGAGTCTCTCTTGTCTGAATATATCATCACAGTTCACTATTGATGGACACCTGAATTATTTCCTATGTTTTGCTCCTACAGATAATACAGTAATAGATATCATTGGGAATAATTTTGTGTGTGTGTGTGCATTTAGGAATAGGAGCTATGAATCTGAGTGAAAATGCATATATACTCTTGCTTGATATTGACAAATTCCCCTCAATAGGGATGAACTATTTCACATTTCAATTGGCAATATAGGAAAGTTCAATTTCTACAGAGATCACTAAGAGAGTATTTTAATTTTTATTTTATTTATTTAATTTTTTTTAAGAAATAGGATCTTACTCTGTTGCCCAGACTGGAGTGAAGTAGTGCAATTAAGGTTCACTGCAACCTAAAACTCCTGGGCCCAGGAAATTCTCCCCTCTCAGTCTTCTGAGTAGCTAGAACCATAGACGCATGGCACCATGGTCAGCCCAGCTTTTCTTTTTCCTTTCTTTTCTTTTTTTTTTCTGAGACAGGGTCTCACTATTTTGTCCAGGCTGGTCTTGAAATCCTGGCCTCAAGTGATCCTCCCACCTCTGCCTCACATAGTGCTGAGATTACAGGTTGGGCCATAATGCGTGGCCACTAACACAGTATTTTAAGTGAGGAAAGGTATGACAGTAGAGTTAGAATTTGTGTTTAATTAGTTATACACCATTTGCCTTTGCTTTTATTAGAACTGTCCAGATACATTGTCCATTTTTCTACAGTACCATTAGTCTTTTACTTTAGTCTTTTGAGAAGATAGATAGATAGATAGATAGATAGATAGATAGATAGATAGATAGATAATATACAGGTAGATAGATATTCTGTTAGTGATCTAAGTTGGAAATTTTTTTATTCCCAGGTTGTCCTTTAAAAAAATTGATTTTGGCATTTTTGTAAAATGTAAAAATGCTTTTTATGTAGTCAAATGTGTCCATGTTTTTCAGTATTACTTTTGGGTGTTGAGTCATAGGAGAATTTTTCTATTTCCCAGTTTATAGAAGAATTCACTAATGTTTCCTCTGGTTCTTTTATAATCTTACTTTTTACATTTAAGTTTCTGATTAATTTGGAATTTGTCATGACAGAACAGATGCAATTTATCTTATTTTATATGGATTTCTAATACCATTTATTAAAATGTCTGTCTTGACTTCATATATTTGAAAAGCCACCACTGTCCTATTTTAAATATTCATATGGAATTGGGTCTATTTCTGGAGTTTGTTTTCTGTTCTATTTTTGGTATGTCCAGTCAATTAAGCACACCATATTCTTTTAATGATAGAGAAAAAATATAAGATGCTTTAATATCTGCTAAGGACAATAGTTTATCACCTATGCTATTGTACCCCCTTCCCAAGGTTTTTCTTAACCATTTCTTGTTTATTTATTCTTTTAAATGAACTTTATAATCAATTTTCATCTCCAGAAAAAAAATTATAGTGGTATGGTTATTGGAATTATTTAAAATTTTAAAATTAACCTAGAAGGGATTGACATCACTTTGAATCTGTTTTTCTCTTCAGCAATATAAGTTGTTTTCTATTTATTTATTTCAACTTTTGCACCTTACAGGAGTATTTTATAGTTTTTGTCACGTAGGTTTGGGACATTTCTTTTTATGCTTATGGCAAGTTTGGAAATTTTTTTGTATTTTTGTTTAGCTGACTATGTTTTGTTTTTTGCTACATAAGAGGGATTTCTTTTTATTCCATTAAATATTCTAACTGGTTTTATTTACCTGTATGAAGACTATTTATTTTTATATATTGACCAATTATTTGTTGTATTTTTGCATTGATACTTTCTTAGTTTTTCTGATATATGATTGTAAAATCTGTAAAAAAAAATAGTATTAACTCTTCAAAACTGTTGTCACTAAATGCTTTTGTTCTCTATTTTATAGGCTACTATTTACAACTTAGTGTGAAATAACAGTGAAGCTAATAGGCATCCTTGTACAGCTCATTTTACTAGAGAGTCTCTGCTACTTTACCATTAAGTAAGATACTTGTTCTTGAGTTACTGTATCTGTAAAGTATCATGTTAAATAGGAGTTCATCAATTTCTATTTATTTGGGTTTTTAAACATGTATTGGCATTTTAGGCCTTCCTACACCTAAGAAGAGGCTAGTATTATTTTCTTACTATACCCTTTTGAATTGATAGATTTCAATTTACAGTTTTCTAATATTGAATATCCCTTAGATTCCTATAATAAATATCACTTTGTCATGTTTTTTTCTCATTAGTTTTTTTACTTTTAATTTTTTTGAATATCTAACACTTAAATATTTGTGGGTATATGTGACATTTTGATGCAAGCATATCGTGTGTAATGATCCAATGAAGATAATTCAGATAACCATCACCTCATGCATTTATTATTTCTTTATGTTAGAAATATTCCAATTCCACTCTTCTAGTTATTTGAAATATACAATAAATGATTGTTAATTATAGTCCTCACACTGTACTACTAAATGCTTAAACTTATTCCTTCTATCTAGAGGTTTTGTGCCCACTAATCATTCCGCCTTTACCCTCCCTCCCCACTACCCTTCCAAGCCTCTGATAACCATTATTCTACTCTCTATCTCCTGAGTTCTAATATTTTACCTTCCACATTTGAAGGAGAACACATATCTCTCTTTATCTACCTGGTTTATTTCACCAAACATAATGTCCTCCAGTTTCATTCATGTTGTTGGAAATGACAGAATTTCACTTTTGTGGCTGAATAATATTCCCTTGTGTAGATATACCATATTTTTATCCATTCATCCACTGACAGATACTTAGGTTGATTCTGTATCTTGGCTATTGCAAAAGGTGCTGCAATAAACATGGAAGTGGAGCTATATCTTTGATATACTGATTTTCTTTTTTTGGGATATATATTCAGCAGTAGGATTGCTGGATTATATGGTAGCTCTGTTTTTAGGATTTTGAGAAACCTTCATATTGTTCTCCATAGTTGCTGTACTACTTTACACTCTCACCCACAGTGTACGATGATTCCCCTTTCCCTGCATCCTTGCCAGTATCAGTTATGGTCTGTCTTCTTAAGAAAAAGCCACTTTAATTGGGATGAAGTGATATCTCATTGTAGTTTTGATATGTATTTCTCTGATGGCTGGTAATGTCAAGTATTCTTTTTCATATGCATTTTGGTCATTTGTAGGTCTTCTTTTGAAAAATGTCTAATCAGATATTTCCCTCATTTTTGCTATTGAGTTGTGTGAGCTCCTTATATGTTTTGGATATTAATCTCTTGTCAAATGAGCAATTTACAAGTATTTTCCTCCAACACCTAGAAACAAATTTAATCAAAGAAGTGAAAGATTTCTGCAAGGAATACCATAAAACATTGATAAAATAAATTTAAGGGGACACAATAAAATGAAAAGATATTCCACGTTCATATATTGGAAGAATCAATATTATTAAAAAGTCAATACTATCCAAAGCAATCTATAGATTCATTGCAATACTATCAAAATATCAATGACATTATTCACAGAAATGGGAAAAAAGGCTTAAAATTTGTATAGAACCACAAAAGATCCAGAATAGCTAAAGTAATACTAAGCAAAAAGAACATCACATTACCTGACTTCAAATTATATCACAAAGCTATAGTGGCTACAGTAGCTGAAACAGCATGGTACTGGTATAAAAACAGACACATAAACCAGTGGAACAGGGTAGAGAACTCCGAAATAAGTCCATGCATTTACAGTCAACTCATTTTTGGCAAAGTCATCAAGAATATATATTGGGAAAAGGACAGGCTAATAAATGGTAGGGGGAAAATTGATATTCACATACAGAAGAATGAAGCTAGATCCCTATCTCTTGTCACATGCAAAAATCAACTCAAAATGGATTAAAGACAAATATAGGACCGGAAACCCTAAAACTTCTAGAAGAAAACATTGGAGAAGCACTCTAAGACATTGGACTGGGCAAAGATTTCCTGAATAAGAACTCCAAAGTCCAGGCAACCAAAATAAAAATAGACAAATGGGATCACATCAAGCTGAAAACCTTCTGCATAGCAAGGGATGCACTCCACAAAGTGATGAGACAACCTACAGAATGCTTTATTATTTTTAAATGTGGTGATAGATTTTGTTTGCTAATATTTCACTTAGTATTTTTTGAATTAATATGTGTCAGCGAGATTGGTCTCTTGTAAAATTTTCTTATTTTTCTACCAAGTCTGGCAAGGTTTTCATTAAATTTTAGAAAATCCACATTTCTCCATGTGTTAGCCTACACAAGTTATCTGAAGAACATTTTTTGCCTTCTTCAGCTGGACCTGGAACATATCTCAATGGAGAAGTGGAAAACCTCCTACTCTGAGGTGGAGAAATAAGCCAATGTCCAGTCTCTGCTTCCAGGGGTCCTGGTTTTGGATGACTATAAGTCCCATTTCAAACTCTAAAGAATATTGGTATTTCACATTTCAGGAAGTATAAATAAGAATACATTGTGATTCAGCTTTTGATAAAGTCTTCCTTGGAAAAATAAGTTGTATGAGAGATGCAGCTTTATGAACTCACTGAAATAGTACCTCCTTGTGACCTAAAATCTTCGGCTCTTGGTGAGATTAAATGCTCAATATGCAATACACTTGAACCACATTATTAAAATCTCCCATTTCAAAAATGCCTTCTCGGTGTTAAGATTGTCTTTCAACCCAGCCGGGCGCGGTGGCTCACGCCTGTAATCCCAGACCTTTGGGAAGCCGAGGTGGGCGGATCACGAGGTCAGGAGATCGAGACCATCCTGGCTAACATGGTGAAACCCCGTCTCTACTAAAAATACAAAAAAAAAATTAGCCGGGCGCGGTGGTGGGCACCTGTAGTCCCAGCTACTTGGGAGGCTGAGGCAGGAGAATGGCGTGAACCCGGGAGGTGGAGCTTGCAGTGAGCCGACATAGCGCCACTGCAGTCCGGCCTGGGCAAAAGAGTGAGACTCCATCTCAAAAAAAAAAAAAAAAGAAAAGAAAAAAAAAAAGATTGTCTTTCAACTCTCAGCATTGATGAAAGTATAAAAATCATCCACTATAAAAATGTTTCTGCATTTTTACTGAAAGTCATAGTTGAAAATATTGAGCAATGTTCCTGGCCTATAGAAAAAAATGTATCCTAAAGTTAATGTAAGGTCAGACAGAATGCATGTTTTAAAGACATTAAATATGGCATATGCTTCCTAGAAAATCCAGCCTGAGAGACATGTGAGACATATAAGTTTTGAATAAAACAAAACAAACAAACCAGGGATTCATTCAGAACTAAAGAAAATTATGGAACTCAAGGGACCTCTCTGACAAGCGGGACCTCTCCGACAAGCGGCACCTCACTGACTCCAACATTGAAACAACTTCTTTCCCTAACAGGGTTCCACAGCTCAATTTTATAATTAGCGACTACCTTAACCCTAACCAAACAGAGTTTAAGTTGCTTGGCACATCTTAGGCACTCAGCAAACAGTTATCTTTACTGCCAATTATTCCTCCATATTCCACTTGATTTTTCACTGGGCAGCATTTTTGCTCACGCAGACAACATACATATAGCTCACAGCCACAGCCCTTGAATGACCAAAGTATTTCCACAGTCACAGACTTGGAAAGGTTCACATTTGTGGAGAACTAGTGATCTGTATGAAGAATTTTAATCTAAAATTTATAAGTTGTCTACATTCTAGTGTTTTAATAGAAGGGATAGTATTTCTTGATTGTTCTCTTCTACTATTTCTGCTGAGTTTAAGAAAAATAACAGGTAATCGTGATTTCTCTTCTCTACATCTACCATACTACACTTTTGCTCACTTGAAAATGGACACTGCAGTACTGCTGAAATAGTTTCTTCTTTACAAGTGCCAGGGTAAACTCTGGATGATCTGAATTTTCAAGCATTGCACATGTCAGCATTCCAGTGAAAAACAAGCACAGAAGGGAGTTATTTCCATTCACCCAAAAAATCCACAGGCTTGAGTTGACTTGTCTTGTATGCCTAAGGAAACGACAAGTGGTGTCATACTGCTGTAAACTAAAATATTTCCTGCTATTCTTAACAGGATATAAATCTGTCTTTTGGCTGCCCTGCAGTTGTCTTTGTCTGTTACACAAGACACCAAATGGCCCCTTTATGTCCCAGGTTGCCTAATAGGACTGTGTATTTGCTTTTGGGATGGAAAGCAGCTTAATTTAAAGAGAAACATAATTATTATGCTTTCCTAACTTTGGTTGAGAATGCCACATTTATTTCATAAAAAAAAAACATATCATTGAGAATAAGTAGAGTTTAGTAAGGAAGATTTTATTATAAATGTCACAGAGAACATTCTCTCATAGGAAATTAACTAGTGTCTACAGTTGCCTTAAAAGATTTACTATTCTGAGGATATGGCAAAAAATAATACATCTCTGTGGTAATTATTTTGATTTCAATTATGGTTGAATCTACTGTGTCTCATTGCTCTGAAATTGTCATAGACTAAATATTTTGCATGTTTTATGGACTACAAAATTTGACTGTAAGAAGAGTCATCTACTCGTGTTTCTGGACAAACTATGTTGTACATTCTCCTTTTTAGTCCCTAAAATTGTGCAGATAAAATTAGTCTAAAAAGAAATATCAAGGACAACCTTAAGAGAATAAGTGTGTTACAAATGGATAATTTAGAAAATCAGGAAGCAGAGGAGGGGTCAATATGTGTTAAAAGGTCTTCTTTGCACCTGGTCCTCATAGCAGCCTTGGATGTTGAATGCTTGTATCCCCTTTTATATAAGAGGATATGCAGATGTAAAGAAATTAGTTCATTTTCCCAAGGCTATCAACTATGAATGGCCTATTACATATTCAAATTCAACTATGAATGGCCTATTGCATATGCAAATAGAAAGAATCTTCCATGCTCCACAGAAAGGAATTAAACAGCTACCTTTACTTTTGGTATAATGGTTGTATAAGCATCAGGTTCATATTTAGAAGCTACTGTTACCGTCATCTCTCCAACTCATTTCCAACTCCATGCCTCCAAAACAGACACTGGTCCTGTAACAAAGGACAGAGGAGGACACTTAAATATGCTATAATAAAACAATAATTTTTGCAATCGTATACTATTATGAAATCCAATTTGTAATCTCTCTCTAATTCATAAAGGATTCAGATATTTGTAGTAGACATGTCTTGCTTTAACAATCTAAAGCATATTCAGAACCCTGTACTTCCCACTGTCAGTCTATGTTTGTTGCTTTTTGCACTTGTGTATACATTCATCTTCCAAATTATAAGTTCCTTTGAGGGCAGCTATTGTAATATCAAATTCTATTTTCCTTCTGCTGCAAAAATCATCTCTTAACATCCTATTTGACACACATATATATACACATACATACATGATATATTTAATATTAATTGTTCTAATTTTATTAAATAAGACTATAGTAGGAGCCCTCTTGTAAGAAGCTAATAGGATTTAGTTATTTTAATTCCTGTTACTTCAAAAGTTCTAATATTCAGTTTTATACGTGCTTTGTTGGGTATAACATGTGCTCTGAAGTAAGAAGGTTTTTTACTAATTTTGATGTCCTCTCTGGTCTCTGGCCAATTTGTGACACCATGTTTATTTTTAAGATCTGACAGAGGAGGGCTGAACATTTTTGTTTGTGTAAATGAGAATCTAAACATGATCCTTGGCCTATATTCACCACTAATGAGTGATTAAACCAGAAGGAGATTGTATTCTAGGGGTGCAGCTATTTCTGCCTAAAGAGGACATGGTTGGAGAAAATAGAGCAGAAATATATACTATAAAATTAAAAACAGTTAATTTAACATGAACAGAAAGTGGATATGGTTAACATTTTCTGCATATTTTGAGTTAGTCTGGAATTTGTAGCATGATCAATGAAGCATAGTGACACACTTTGAGAGAGATATTGGAAGCCAATATTCATTCATGGGTAGAATGATAAATGAGGCAGCATTATGAATAAACACATTACCAGATTTTTAAAATTGTATTTGGAAAGCATAGTGGCAGCAAGATCTTTTTTCAGTTGTTTGAAAATTGAAACAGTTTTCAAAGAGGCATGGCATTGTAGTAACAGCTACCTTTTTATTGTGATGGGAGGTATGACTTTAATCAAGAATGACACATTTGACAATAAAGAACATGAAGACATTGTTCTGTAACATGAACAGGAAGAGATGGGGGACTGGATACTGCAAAGGATATTCACATGCAATAACTGTACATCAAACACACAAATGAGGGCACCTTCATTACCTATTATTCTAAATCTAAATAAATAAATCTCTATCACATGGACCCATGAAATTTTTTACACAGTTTTTAAAACTCAGTTGTTGACATAGACCTCATTTTTGACTAAGGTAGAGGAAGCAACAGGAACTAGATTAATCCTCATATTTTGTACATAATGACAACATATACTAGCTATTTTTAATCTAAGAATATTATAGATAGAACAAAATATAAAGATATACACAATAGAATACAATTTGACATTATCACCCTTATCACACTCTCCTCTCCTACAAGGCATACTCTGTTCTCTTTTGCTTTCCATGGCAACATAACCCTCATTTTTTGTTTCTTTCTCTTGCTTAGGCTTTTCAGTGTCAAACCTTTCAGACTCACTCAATTCTTCTGATATCTTTCAGAATTAGAGTTCCTGAAAGTATCCTCACAGCTATGCTTATAGCATGTATGATTAAGAGTGGAAAAACTCCAGGAGGTAGGAGAAGCTCTACATCTTTCATGTCATTCTAAAAGATACCGTCTCCTGGTTTTCTTCCATGTGTCAGAAAAAAGAAATTCTGAAAGTATTATTAGGATTGTTATGTTTCAACTTTTAACACAGAACTTTGGCTATCCGTATATCAAGCTATTTTCCTCTCTGAATGCAAATATTACTGCTGGTTACAGTGTTTCCTAAAAATTCGGATTAACTTGCTTTTCTTAGAAACCTTTGGATTATTCCAGAAACAATCTTACATATAGGCTCAGCTATCCTTATTTTCAGAGATAGAAATGGTCTTCTTGTTATACATTTCTATCAAGTAGAACTCTTAAAAATATATAATCAAAATGCTTAACAGATTCAAAATTTGATTTTCAAAATAACTTTACCACAAGGAAAAAAATAAACATAGATGGAAGTTAATTTTGCTTTCTAGTTCTGTAGAGTGGTACTAACCATAGGTAGAAATTGGAGAAGCTCAGAAGGGAGATTTTGGGGGGAATTGTGATGCGTTTAATTTTAAATATATTTTCTTTAGGATTATGAAAAAGTATTTAAGAGAAAATATCCTCCAGATTATGGGAAATGGGAATGCCTAGAGTTCTGTTATCTTGGTAACTATGTTGGCATTATTGCTACTCTTTACCTAATCCCAAGAACTGGGCATATGTCATTGCAGAAGTTTTAAAGATTACACTCCTTAAATGGTTTCTGTACTATGAATAAAGTACAGAAATATACTTCTAAGATTGATCTAGATTCTTTTTAGTCACAGGTTCCTGTTTTCTTGCTCTAAAGTAAACAATAATGAATAAAATAATGTTCTACCTATGGCATCTACATGACTTTCCCACTTTCCATCTCTTATTAGAACTGTTGGCAAAGGTGACAAACTACAGTATTTCTAATGCCCTCTCCAAACATCTACAATATTTCATCCTTCCTTTAAATACTATTTTTTACCAATTTATATTTTACACAAAATCCTCATATTTTAGAGCAACAGAGAATTTTTACAAACCTTGGAAACTGTAAATCATGGCAGATGGAACACAAGTTGTCCACTTTATATGTATATTTCATAACTCTTTATGAGCATAGGTTAAACAATGCTAATTTTAAAATAAATATAAAAAATTAAATAACTCTAAAGAACAAAACAAATTCCTTTGTTTGAAAATAAAAGAAAAACCCTAAACTCATGCTAATGCGAATAGAAATGCATTCAGAAAAAATCCTAAAATTATCTTTTCTCACTTGTTAAGAGATATATTATACTATTTGCTTCTCAGAAGATATACATTTCTGTCTTACAGATGAGAATGCAGGCATAGATAAATATATTATTGTTATTTGCTTCAAATCATAGTAAGTAGCCAAAACAGGATTCAATAACCAGAATTAGAGTTTTTACTTAATTTCCAAATTTTAAGAATTTATTTTAGCCATGCTTTATACCTTGATCAGAATCAAACAAAATTTAGGAAATGTGAAATTTAAATATACATATATAAAATGGCACTGACAATTATGTATTCATGAAAAACACTATTTTTAAGATCTAGAAAATAACACTATGAACTCTGGTTACATTATTAAAATATAAACACATAATTCCTAAATATGTTAATTTTAAATAAGAATAATAAAATAAAATGAACTGAACATTCCCTAATAATCATAAGTATAGAGTAAGATTATCCCTTCTCCATGAGCAGCTGTTAAACATGTTTTCTTTCCTTTATTTAAAAGAAAAAACAAGTTAACTTTTGACAAAACAGTGTAAAGTTATTAACTATTTCTACAGTGGTTTACTTACATCCTAGAAAGTGATGAAGTTTAAATGTAACCAACTAAGCCCCAATAACTATAACTATTTTAATAAAAGAAATTTTGCAGATGTTTTCTTTTTGTGTGGTTCTCATACTACTGCAGTTTCCCCTAGCTAATTCCTAATGAAAAGCCACTAGAGGGTGACCAAGCATCATTACCTTTTCTTCTCTTGCTCTGGTTACTAATATTATTTAGGTTATATTAACATTGTATATATCTCTTAATATGAATTATTTCATACGTATTCTTGGAGATTTTTCATTACTAGAATTGTTTGAACAAAAGTGAATTCAATACCAATTAGTCAAAAGAAGTTTAATTATTTCTAACACTCTCATTTCACTTGGTCTTAAATAAAAGATATGACGAAGCATTTGCAATCCTTTTAAAGTTTAAATAAAGGTCAAATGAGAATTATGAAATTTTTACTCCACAAGAAGTGCATTATTCAGAATTCTCCAGAGAAACAGAACCAAAGGATATACATTTTGGAAGAAATTTATTATAAGAAATTGGTTCATGCTAACTCTTATATTAACAGAGGCAATTATGGAAGTTGAGCAGTTCTACAATCTGCCCTCTGCAACCTGGAGATCCAGGCGAGCTGGTGATATAATTCAGTCCAAATCCAAAGTCCTGAGAACCAGGAGTGCCAATGCCAAGGCTGGTGAATATAGATGTTCCAACTCAAACAATCAGGCAGAAGGGAAAAGTGAATTCCTTCTTCTGCTGCCTTTTTTTTTTTTTTTTCATTCTTTTCAGGTACTCAGCGAAGTGGAGTATGCCCAGGCACACGGAGGAGGAGTACCATCTACTTTACTGGGTCCACCTACTCAATACTAATCTTATTCGGAAACATCCTCACAGACAGACCAAAAAAAACGTTTAATCTGGGCACCTCTTGGCACAGTCAAATTGAAACATAAAATTAATCATTGCAAGAAGTAAATTTTTATTCCCTCTGGACTATATACATTATAAAATTAACCACAATTTTGAAAATAAAATATATAATTCTGAAAACAATGTCTTAGCATTTCTTAGCCTTTGAAAAATTATTTGATAACATAATAATTATAAGCAGCAGGTATATTTTGAGAAAATCAATCAATTTCTTGGCATACAATTAAATTTTTGTTTTATTCTATTTTTTTCCTGAAGTATATCCTGAGAAGTCTTACTAAAATATATATTAATAATTACAAATAAAAATAATAGTATAATTTTATAGTATAATTATATATATAATTTAAAAAGTTTTAAAAAGAAGTCGTTTTAATCTCAAGGGTCTGAAGTGTATTAAGAAACTTGACAAAACACAAATTATTGACTGACATTTCTACAACAATGATCAACTATACAATAAATAAATATTTTATTTACAAAAATTGAATGAATATTTATTATTTAAATCAATGACAACAGAAAGAGAAGTAGTTAAAAAATAAGTATTTACCTGTCAATTCTCCCGGTCTTTAGACCATGAAGCAGGCTATTACTAAAAAGGAGGTCAATACTTTATTCTTGTTTTTCAGACAGTATGATCTGGAGTTGAACTACTGAGCTTTGTTTGAATCTGAGCTGTCATTTGCTAATTATGTGACCTTGAGAAAACTAGTTAACCTCTTTAAGTCACAGTTATCTCACCCCTAAAATTGGGAGAATAAATAGTTCCTATCTCAGGGGATTGCTCGGTGGATTCCCTAAGATAACGTGTATGATGCATTATGCAGTATGTGCGGCACAGAACTCCTACTCAATAAATGTAAATTATATTAATGATGAGCTTTGCATCTTGATGAGTAGGTTGGGCAAAAGATATCATCTTTATAGTACTTCTAGCCTTGGTTTGCAGACAGATTAGTTACTGCTATAAACTATTCCTTCCTCTCTTAGCTTTCAAATTCTCCTTCACGGTTCCTCAAATTACCCATTTAAGGATTTTGGATACCTAATTTAATTTAACAAACATTTATGAAATCATGTATAATAATTGCAATGCTTATAAACCCTTGCTTAGGGCCTGGCAGTATGGTAGATTCAATGAGACACTGAAACAAAATATAAAACGGTAGTCTATCATAAAAGGTGAGAGGAGAGTGAGCTGGAGTAGTTGAGGGAAGGGGAAGGGAAAGAAATGAAGGGAGGATGAGAGAGATTGAGAGAGGAGGGGAGGGGATGGGAGGGGCGGGGAACTAAGTTTCCTCACTCAGGCAATGCAAAGAAACCTTAAGATTATAACCATGTTCAACATATGATAGCACTACCTATCATAGCACTCTATATTTAGTCACCTGCTTAATGGCTATGTTCACTAAGTGACCTGAGGTCTATTAAGGTAAGATCCCTGACTATTCCTTACCTCTGTATCCTTGGTCTTTGCCTGGCTCCTGCCACTTGGAAAGGATACAAAAATATTTATTAAACTAATAAATAAAAACTATCTTATCTCCTGCGGGTGATATTTTTGATAAATTTTATTTTTAGCACAGTTCAATTTGCAAAACATTTGGGAAGATAGTACAGAATGTTGCCACATACCTCCTAATGTTTCCCCTATTACTAACATCTTTCATTAATATGTTACATTTGTTACAATTAATGAACCAATATTAATACATTATTTTTAACTAAAGACTACACTTTTTTTCAGGTTTATTTAGTTTCAACCTAATGTCCTTTCTCTGTTCCAGAATTTCATCCAGGAAACCATATACCATTTAGTCACTCTGTCTTTTTTTAGCTTTCTTTCATGTGACACTTTCTCAGATTTTCCTTGTTTTTGACAATCATGAAACTTTTGAGAAATACGGGTCAGGTATTTTATAGAATGTCTTTCAACTGGAATTTCTTTGATGTTTTTCTTGATGAATTTTTTGATGATTGGTCCTGGGCTATAGGTTATGCCTTCAGGGAAAGAATACCACAGAGGTAAAGTGCCATTTTCATTACATCGTATTAAAGGTATCCACGACTGATCACTGTTGATGTTGACCTTAACACTAATCTTGGCTGAGGTAGTGTTTATCAAGTTTCTCCACTGTAAAATTATTATTTTTCTAGAACTCCTGGGCTCCAGTGATCCTCCTGCCTCAGCCTCCCAAAGTGCTGAGATTACAGGTGTGAGCCACTGCACCTGGCCAACTTACACGTTTTATCAAGTGATTTATGTTCAGATCCAGTTTATGTTGATCTGTCATTTCACTACTCAAGAAAAATCATAGTTCTTTAACTTCTACATTGTCTGGAGGACTCTAACATAAACCTCTTCATAGTTGTAGGATGATTAAAATCAATGAAGAGAAATAGTTGGACTAGTGACCAAGGCCTTCACCATCATTTTTTTTAGACTACAGTTGCTTACCTTAGCTTTTGAAAAACTGGTAACTCCTACTCAGTCATTCACTTAAATTTTCTATCAGGCATGATAATTGATGGTGGTAAAGAAAAGAAAGGAAGTCCGAGGAGAACATGAGAAGTAAAGGAATAGAGATTAAAGGAAAGACCCTATAGCTGAAAGACTATCAGAAACATGTAATTTTCAGGGTATTGGAGCTGAACTGTGACCCTCAAAAATATATGACTATGTACTAAACCTTGGAAGACTGTGAGTGTTACCTTATTTGGAAAAATAATCTATACAGATGTAATTATGTTAAGAGTCTTGAAATAAGAAGATCATCCTGGGTTGTCCACATGGTCCCTAAATCCAATGTTAAATGTCCTTATAAGAGACAAACAGAGGGAAGACACACAGAGGAGAAAGCCATGGGAAGACAGAGGCAGAGACTGCAGAAATGCAAGAAATGGAGTCTCCCTAGTCCACCCCAAGGACGCATGACCCTGCAGCATTATACACTTTTGTCCTCCAGTACTGTGAGAAAATAAATTTCTGTTGTTTAAGCCACCACGTTTATGGTTATTTTTAATGGCCCCTTGGGAAATTAGTACAGGAGGACTTCTTTACAAATCATCACAGTTATCAATAAAGAATACATAAATGATCATAGCTAAAAACTGGAAGATTTATGTATGAAATGTGTGTGCTGAGTAATGCAAAGTTTTGCAGTGGAATAGGATGGCCTAATTAAAGTATCAGTGACTTTTTAGTTTTTCAAAGTGCTCCTAGATCTTCTTTGGTTTTATTTTTATGTTCATTTTCATGGACATTATTGGTACTACAGAACAGGTGAAACTGACTTAAGTTTCTCAGTTTAAGGAATTGATGTATTTTCTTTTTCTTTTCTTTCACAGTTTCAGCATATTTCTGACAAATACACTTTTCCTGGCCCCCTTCTCCTACAAAGGTAGAGGTGGCAGTACGTGTGGTTTTGGATGAACCTCTGATGCTGTGCTTATCATTACTGTGTATTGAAAATACATACTGTTCAGTGCTCAATTATTTCATATCAAGAAAAAGTAGAAATTGGAGTTTATAAGACTCTAATAATAGTAAATTATTATGCATGAGGCATTCTGTTAAGTATATTCATGTACTGTTTGATTTATTCTTCACAACACCCTTATTAGGGGCTACTGCTGTGTCTTGTAGATGGAGAAATTTAAACCAATGAGCTTGTTAAAAGTCATACAGCTGAGAGGAGATAGGATTACAATTCTAACATGGATCTGTCATTGTCCAGAAATATATCATTTAATCAAAATACCCTTTATAAGCAGATAATCACCCTATCTTAACAGTTTGACACAGAGTCAATGTTTAACTAATAGTACTTGAGATTAACTTTATATTGCCTAATGGGGCAATAAATAAGGCAATGAAGAGGTAGGCCTTCAAGAACATGTCTTTCTTAGAGGAAAAACTGCCCAAAGCTGTCCCTCCAAAATAGGCTGCAGTATACTACTAGGATCACAAAATGTGGATGTTTTCAGATAAAATGTGTCCTAGAGTTAGTATAAAACTCTTGTTTTATGAATGAGGAAAATGAAGGTAGAGGTATTTATTGATTTGCTCAGGTATTACATAGTGATAGAACTTGGACTAGAAGTACTGGTATTCAGCAGGACTAAGGTTATTAATGTTGCACCTCTTGGCATACATACTTTAAAACAGTCAAGTCCAAACTACTGTGGAAGAAACTTTATTTATAAAAAACTTTTTACTAAAAATGTTTGTAATGGAATATTTGAATTACGGTGGAAAAGCATATGCACCAAGAGACTCCAGATGTGACCATTAAAGAGAAGAATTTTATCAAGTAGAAGTAATTTATATGGTTTGGGCTCATTATTAGTTATATTACAGCCATTTAAAAATGCACGCTTACTTCCAATATTCTGTAAAAGGGTCAACCAAGTAGGTCTGTTATGCTGCCTGAAGAAATAATAAGTTCGTCTTTGACCTAGTCTCTGCCTGCTTCTAGTTTTTTGCCTATTCTAATTAATAAAGCAAGTAAGCTAAATTAAGAAATCAGGCCGTGTGTGGTGGCTAACGCCTGTAATCCCAGCACTTTGGGAGGCCAAGGTGGGCAGATCACGAGGTCAGGAGATCGAGACTATCCTGGTTAATACGGTGAAACCCCGTCTCTACTAAAAATACAAAAAATTAGCCGGGCATGGTGGCCGGCGCTGAGACAGGAGAATGGCGTGAACCCAGGAGACAGAGCTTGCAGTGAGCCGAGATAGTGCCACTGCACTCCAGCATGGGCGACAGAGTAAGACTCTGTCTCAAAAAAGAAAAAAAAAAATCACAAACTGGTATTTTGTTTTGCCACCATAATTTTTAAAAATTTATATGCAATAAAATAATTTGGTTTTCTGTGTACAGTTTTTTAATTTTCAGTACATGCATAGATTCATGTCATCACCATAATAATCAAGATACAGAAAATTTCCATCATCACAAAATATTCCTTGTATATTTTGTATATCCCTTTATAGTCATACTCTTTCTCCTCTGCCACCCTTACTCCCTGGCAACCACTGATCCGTTCTCTGTCTCTGTAGACTTGCGTTTTCTGTCATATAAATGAATTA
The DNA here is from genome assembly GCF_000001405.40 of Homo sapiens. Taxonomy (NCBI): domain Eukaryota; kingdom Metazoa; phylum Chordata; class Mammalia; order Primates; family Hominidae; genus Homo; species Homo sapiens. Next base: position 78,639,975 of record NC_000008.11, read on the forward strand.
ACAGAGAATGAAACCTTTTGAGACTAGCTTCTTTCCCTCTGCATAATGCCTTTGAGATTTGTTCATGTTATGTTGTTGAGGGTATCAACAGTTTTTTTTTTTTTTTTTTTTAGATCGCTGACTAGTTTTTCACTGTATGGATGTGCCAGAGATTATCTATTCAACTATTGCATGGGATTAGAGTTGGTTCCAGTTTTGGGCAATTATGAATGAAACTACTGTAAACATTCATATACACGGTTGTGTTTAAACATAAGTTTTCATTTTTCTAGGATGAGTACTTAGGAGCATCATTGCTAGGTCAAACAGTTAAGTGTATATTCAACATTATAAGAGACCTCTAAACTATTTTCCTGAGTAGATGTCACATTTTGCATTCACAACAGCAAAATATTAGACTTCAAATGGCTCTTTATTTTTACCAATCCTCAGTACTGTCAATATGTTTTTATTTTAGCCATTCTAAGAGGTGTCTAATGGTATGAAGTGATATCTCAGTGTGGTTTTAGTTTGCTTTTGCCCGGTGGGCTATTCAGAAACATGTTTGATTTCCAACTATGCCTGGGTATGTACGTGTGTTGGGGGGATTTTCCATACATCTTTTTAAATGATTTCTATTTAATCCCACTATGTGTAGATAATGCATTGATTTTTTAAATTATTTTAATTTGTTTTAGCATTATGGCTTATTCTGGTGAATTTTCCATGTGCCCTTGAAAATTATTTGCATTTCTTCTACTATTGAGTAGAGTGTCCATAAATGCCAATTAGTTCCAGTTGATGGATAGTGTTGTTTAATTTTTAAAACATTTTTGATGGTTGCTTTGTCTCTTTGTTCTAATTTTAATTTAATTTTTAATTTTTATGGATACATAATAGTTGTATATTTGTTCTATTCATTACCCAGAAAAGACAGTTTAAATCTCCAACTCTAATTTTTAACTTCTCCATTTCTCCTTTCAGTTCTATCGGTGTTTCCATCATGCATTTTTGAAGCTCTATTTTTTGGTACATAATCTAATTGATATGACTTCTTGGTAAATTGATGCTTTTAATCATTGTGTAAGGTCACTCTTAATCTCTCACAGTTTTCCTTGCTGCAAAGTCTATTTTATTTGTTGATATAGCACTCAAAGTTTCTTAAGATTAGTGTTTTCATGGTTTATATTTCTCTACCCTTTTGCTTTTAAACTACAAATCATTATATTTACAGTGAATTTCTGGCTGGTTGCGGTGGCTCATGCCTGTAATCCCAGCACTTTGGGAGGCCGAGTCAGGTGGATCACTTGAGGGCAGGAGTTTGAGACCAACCTGACCAACATGGTGAAACCCCATCTCTACTAAAAATACAAAATCAGCTGGGTGTGGTGGCACATGCCTGTAATCCCAGCTACTTGGAAGGCTGGGGCAGGAGAATTGCTTGAATCCAAGAGGCAGAGGTTGCAGTGAACTGAGACCCTGCCACTGCACTCCAGCCTAGGCAACAAGAGCAAAACTCCATCTCAAAAAGAGAAAAAAAAAGTGAATTTCTTATAAACAGCATATAGTTGCTTCTTTTTGTTGTAATAATTTTATAGTCTGCCTTTTAAGTGATCTATTGAAACTATTTACATTTAATGTAATTTTTGATGGATTTGGAGACATATCAAACATTTTACTATTTGCTTTATCTTGATATCTTCTGTGTTCTTGTTTCTCTGTTTCCTATTTCCTACTTTCTTTTGGATTGCTCGAATATTTGTTAGTAATCCATTTAAATTTATTTAGAGTTTTAGCTTTAACTATTTCTATAGTTATTTAGTTGTTGTTCTTTTTCTTCAACTTATATTGTGAATATTTTAGGCATTATAGGCCATGCAATCTCAGTTGTAAATACTCAGCTTTGCCGCAGCCATTTATAAATTAATGTGGATGACAGTGTTCCAATAACATTTTATTGGCAGCTGGTCTATGGGCTGTAGTTTGCCAAACCCTGCTCTAGAGACCACAGGCCTAGCCACCATTCCCTACTTCTCCATGCGAATCACTTTTTCTCATCCAGCCCTATAAAATTGACCTTGCTTTCCATTGTTATAAGTAACGAGAGTCAGTTATGATTATATTACTATTTTATCAGAAATTCATGTACTTATTAGAATTTAAATATTTATTTAAATTGACAAGTAAAAATTGTATATATTTATAGTGTACAACATGATATTTTGAAATATGTATACATTGTAGAATGAGTAAATCAAGCTATTTAACATATACCTTACCTCCCATAATTATCATGTTTTTTTTGCAGTGAGAACATTTAAAATCTACTGTTTCAGCAATTTTCAAATATACAATATATTATTATGATCTGTAGTCACTAAGATATACAACAGCTCTCTTGGACTTATTCATCCTAATTTAAATGTTGTCCTTTGACCAATATCTCCCTATTTCCCCCCTGCCCCTCAGCCTTTGGTAACCACGATTTTAGTATTTCACTGAGTTCAACATGTTTACACTCCAAATATGTGAAATCATTAGGTATTTGTGTTTCTGTGCCTGGCTTATTTCACTTAACATAATGTCCTCCTGATTCATCCATGCTGTCACAAATGACAGAATTTCCTATTTTTAAGGCTTAATCATATTCCATTGTGTATATATGCGACATTTTAAAAATTCATTCATCTGTTGTTGGAAACAATGTCCATTTCTTGGCTATTTTGAATATTGCTGCAATGAACATGGGGATGCAAATATCTCTTTGACATATCTATTTCATATCCTCTGGATCATATGGTAGCGGTAGTTCTATTTTTAACTTTTTGAAGAGTCACCATACTATTTTTTATATGGCTGTACTAATTTACATTCTCACCAACAGTATACAAGGACTCCCTTTTCTCTACATCTTCACTTGCTTTCTTTTGTCTTTTTAATAATGCTGTAGAATGGACTTTAAAAAAAAAAAAAAGGATCTTTCTCTGTAGCCCAGGCTAGAGTGCAGTGGTGCCATCATGGCTTACTGCAACCTCAACCTCCTAGGCTCAAGGGATCCTCCCACCTCAGCCAACTAGCTGAGACTACAGGTGTGTGCCACCATACCCAGTTATTTTTTTTTTCTGTAGAGGCAGGATCTCACTATGTTGTCCAGGCTAGTCTTGAACTCCTGGGCTCAAGTGATCCTCTTGCCGTGGCCTCCTAAAGTTCTGGGACTACAAGTATAAGCCACTGTGTCTGGCTGAGAATGGGCTTTTTAAATTTGAGATTTCTGTCACTGTTTTCCTTTTTGCTGTTTATTTTTATTACATCAATTCCCTTTAATTTACTGAATATCCAACTAACCACCTTTGTAGTAAAACACAGCCAGCCAGATAATATTTCCAGGAGTGGTTGCTGACTTTATTGCCTTCTGAAATTTCAGACAATGCTTATTATTATCAGTACAAAGTTACATTGAAGGCTGATGTTAAGCAAACAGCCAATTCAAATTTTTGCCTTGAGAAATTGAGAAATGGTAAAGAGAATGAGGGATTGAGAAAGGGTAAAGACAAGTCAGATAAGAGAAAATAAAAGTGAATTCAACATTTATTAAAGAAAGTAACATGAAACATTATTAGCCTCAATCTTTTTATTAGTTTTTCTAAAAATCAACTCAAGATGGATTAAAGATCGTAAACCCAAAACTATAAAAACCCTAGAAGAAAACCTAGGCAATACCATTCAGGACATAAGCACTGGCAAAGATGTGATGATGAAGATACCAAAAGCCATTCTAACAAAAGCAAAAATTGACAAATGGGATCTAATCTGACAAAGGTCTAATACCCAGCTCTATGAGAAAGTTAAACAAGTTTACAAGAGAAAAACAAACAATCTCATTAAAAAGTGGGCAACAGACATGAACAGACACTTCTCAAAAGAAAAGACACTTCTCATACTTTCGGCCAAAAATCACATAAAAAAAGCCCAACATCACTGATTATTAGAGAAATGCAAATCAAAACCACAATGAGATACCATCTCACACTAATCAGAGTGGCTATTTGTGGGGAGTGTATGACAACACATTCAAGCTTATGTGCAAGGCATTTGAGGTCGAGGCATGGAAAAATGCTGAGGCACTATGTGCATATTGTTTGTGCATGAGACTGTAACTCCTTGACTCTCAAAACAGGACAAGGAACAGGATGTGTGATAAGGAGTGCTGAACACAACACCTAAGAATGTGGTTTGAGTGTTTTTAGATGTAATAAACAAGGCCATTTGCGTCTCATGACCCGAGCACAAATAGCCACCTCGTAGATATTTCTTGTTTGCCTGAATTGTAGTTCAACAAACCTTCTCAATAAATACGTGGCAGACGGATCTTTTTAGATCCATCTTTGTAGATGCTTTAGCTCAGGCTCAGGTGGACGGCCGTCTTTTTCCTCATTGCTCGCAGCACTCCCTTGGAGGAGTTGCTCCTCACCCCATTCAGCTATAATTGTCTGAATACTTATTTCTCGGTGTTCACTGCAGACCAACCTGCAAGTGGTGACCCTGACATGATTGCCTTTAAGTTAAACGCATGGAGTAGGATGACTCACCAGTCTTCGGGGAATACCGGTAAGGGACAGTCCCGACCCGTTTTCAGGACAGGACCAACCCGTATAATACTAGGGGTTGGGTTACCATGGGCTAGGAGTTGACCAAAAAGCAGAAAGTATTTTTTAAAACAGTGCAACAATTACTTAAGGCTATCCAGTTCACGGTAGAGTCTGGAGCTTTGCATAAGCTTGTGCTTTTAATTTGGCAGGAATGCCCTTGGTTCCCTGATCAAGGAACATTAGAGTTATGGGAGCAGGTGGGATGCTGCCTGAAAAGAGGATTTGAGCAGGGCAATTTTACCAAACCACCTGGAGTCTGGTACGCTCTGCGTTGTACCCTCTTTATATTCCAGATCGTAGTCAGTCAGATCGCCCATTTTCTTCACCTGAAGGGAATTCAGAAGATTTACAGGGAAAGGAAACACAGGAACCAGAACAACAGGGAGGGGCTCCTCCCCCCACTTTATTCCCTTCAGTGCAGCATAAAGAAGAGACTTTTTCTCGCAATGATGAGGACGGACCAGAGCCTTTTCCTCCCCCAAGAGAAAAGCCATTGCCCTCTTTTCCTCCACCCTTAAGAAGACCTTCATTCATTGGCCCCGTTCAGGCAACAGCATCTCCCACCCACCTTGAGGAGATTGGAGGCCACCCAAGAGACGGTTCTTGGATAAGACCTCCAGCCAGCGAACATCTATCTATATGACTGGGTGGCCGCATCCCCTCGACAAACTTCCCTACTAGAGAGATGCCTCCAGGAGGGACTTAGGGAGACCCTGAGGCGCTTTTTGGTGCATTCCCTGCCATTGTTCAAAATAACAGGAGACAGCATGAAAGCTTGCCTGTCACTGTCTTTAAGGAGTCAAAAAAAAGTATCTGCGAAAATGGTGTACATTCATCCTTTACTCGGGATGGTTGAGGCTCTGGGAAATGGTTATGAGATGATTCTGCATGATTGGAAAACTCTGGTAAAAGTTTTGGTCTCAGCTGCTGAATATACTGTGTAGTGGAGTGAGTATAGTGATCTAGCCATGCAGCAATCTTTGCAAAATTTGGATAATAATATCCCAATACAGCTTGATATGCTATTGGGAACAGGGCCTTTTGCTTTAGCTCAGGCTCAGGTGCACAGTCATCTATTTCCTCAATGCTCGCAGCTGGTGATACAGGCATGGAAGAGAATACCCATGGGACAATCCCAGGGTTCCTCTGTGATAGTTAGACAGAGTCCCACAAAAACATACATCAAATTTATCATCTGATTGCTGGCTGCAATCGAAAGACAGGTACCCCATCCTGAAGCCACCAAACTTCTTATGTTGCAATTGGCTTTTGAAAATGCAAATAAGGATTGTCAGGCAGCAACAACCCCAGTCCGAGCCACTGCCACTGCCACTGCCACTGAAATTGGTGTGTTTACTGAACTGTGCCAGGATGTAGGCACTACAACTCATCTGGCTCAGACTTTTCCTGCAATGATGACCAGGGCCACGTGTTATAATTGTGGTTGAACTAGGCATATGGCCAAAGAATGCCGACAAAAGGGAGTCCCAGAGAAATCAAAGGCCCCTAAAATACCCACTAAAGAATGCCAGTGATGCGGTAAATGTAAACACTGGGCTAACAAATCAAAATTTGATAAGGAAGGAAACTCATTATCGGGAAATGGGAAAAGGGGTGAGACCTTCAGCACCCAGAAAAGTCAATGGAGGAACACCAATCTCCAAACTTGGGGGATGGCTTTCCCTCCCGAGTCAGGACCAGAAGTAGCATCCATGACCTCTCTTCCACCACCTCTGGCAGCACAGGGCTGGACCTCGCAGTCATAACGGACATGGTGCTTAAAGAGCAAGATGGGGTCCAGCTGATTTCAACTGGGATCTATGGCCCATTACCCAGAGGGACATTTGGATTGATTATTGGAAGGTCTTCTAGTACACTTAAAGGAATTCAAATTTTCCCTGGAGTTACAGATTCAGATTATTTAGGAGAACTAAAACTTATGGCACAGGTGTCAGGGGTCCACACCATCTCTAAAGGAACTCACCTTGCTCAGATTATTCTTATTCCTGATCTTCAAGGTAATGCTCAACAGAGACCACAGGGCTTCAGGATTCGGCCACTCAGGCATGAAAGTTTTTTGAAGTAGTTTAGTGTCATCTCATAGTCCATACTTGGAAGTAACAATTAATGGAGTTATTTTTATGGGAATTATTGACACAGGGCCAATCAAACTATTATAGCTAAAAAACAGTGGCCTTCAGATTGGTCTTCCTCTCCTGCCTTATCATGTGTGTTGGAGGGTATCAACAGCAGTTAAAAAGTAGGCATATCCTTCCACTTTTGGGTTGGGAAGGCAAGGTCGCCCATCTTCAGCCCTTTATCTTAGAAATTCCATTTTCTCTGTGGGGACAAGATGCCCTAGAAAAGGGGGGCTTAAACCTCTCTGTCCCACCGCCCTTTTGGTAGGGGCCACGGCTCCTTTGAAAATTATCAAAATCAAGTGGAAAACTACCAGTCCAGTATGGGTGGAGTAGGGGTCCATTAAGAAGGAAAAACTGGAGCATATTCAATGTCTAGTACAAGAACAACTAGATGCTGGCCACATTGAGCCTACTACCAGTCCCTGGAACACTCCTATTTTTACTATTCCAAAAAGGTCAGGAAAATGGAGGTTATTGTATGACCTCCATGCTATTAATGCTGTGATGTTTCCTATGGGACCTTTGTAACCAGGATTGCCTTCTCCGGTTATGATCCCCAAAGACTGGCCTCTTATTGTAATTGATCTAAAGGATTGTCTTTTTTTTTTTTTTTCACCATACCCTTGCATCCTGAGGATTGAGACAAATTTGCCTTTACCATTCCCACTTATAATAATCAGCAGCCAGTTGAACGCTATCAATGGACAGTTCTGCCCCAAGGGATGATGAATAGCCCTACTATATGTCAGCTTTACGTACATGAAGCTTTACTTCCTGTGTGTCAATCCTTCCCCCAGGCAAAAATCTTCCACTATATGGATGATATTTTGATAGCTGCTCAGCAACAGTCATTACTGCATCAACTTTATGCAATGGTAGTACAGCATATGTCACAGTATGGTCTTGTTATTGCACAAGAAAAGATTCAGCTGATGGCTCCGTGGCTCTATTTAGGAAGTCTTATTTTGTCTACTACTCTTAGGTCGCAACTTACAAAAATAATTCTCCCACAGCACTTAAGCCTTAATACGTTACAGCAAGTCCTAGGACAGATTAATTGGATACACCCTTATTCAGGCATTCCCACAAATTCTTTGACTAATCTTTTTGACACCTTGAAAGGTGGCCCTGCTTTAAATTTGCTGTGAGACCTCTCTCCACTAGCATAGGCAGAGCTTAACGCTGTGGAGCAAGCTTTGGCCCAACAGTGAGTCTCACATTTAGATTCTGACAGACCTATAGATCTTTTTATCTTTAATACCCTCATAGCCCTACAGGGATGGTTGGGCAAGTTGGAACAGATGTCTCTCCTTTGGAATGGCTTTACCTGTCTCATAACCCTTATAAACATATGCAAAAGACTACAGATTTAATAGCTTCTCTTCTCATAAAGGGACACTGACGTTGTGTCCAATTGTCAGGATATGACCCTGCTACTCTTTTCCTACCTTTAAGCAAGGAACAATTTCATACCCTCTTAGCTTGTGATCTTGATTGCCAAGTCGCAATGGCTTACTTTATTGGTAATATCAGTTTCCATTTACCGGCCTCTAAGCTCCTGAACTTTTTATAAACTGTGCCTGTTAAATTGTATCTATTGTTGCCTCTGAGCCCTGCTTCATGCTACTACTGTCTTCACAGATGCTTCAGGAAAAATGGGAAAGGCAGCTATAGTGTGGCAAGATGCCATGCAAACTGGCAGAAAAAAAATCCACAAAGATTTCACAACTACACAACAGGCAGAGTTAGGTGTCCTAATATTGGCCTTACAAACTTTCTCTCATCAAGACATAAATATAGTGATTCCAATTATGTGATGTATAGTATTATTCATTTAGATCTCCCACATCTGAAAGGTATTACTAATGAACCCCTACTAACCCTATTTCTCAAAGTGTAGACGCTCCTCTCTGCCCATCATCACCCTCTTTACATCACACATATTCACTCTCATTCTGGACTACCTAGTCCCTTATCAGAAGAGAATGCTCGAGCTGATGCTCTGGTACCACCACATATGTCGTTTGCAGACTCTCCTGCATTTTTGCGAGCTCAAGCTGATCATTCCTTTTTTCATCAGAATGCACACAGTCTTAAACAGCAGCTTCTTTGACACTTGCTCAAGCTTGCATGATTATTAAAACTTGTCCTGATTGCCAACAGCATTCTCTCTCCTCTTTTTCATTGGGACTTGGGGCCAACCCACGAGGTCTGGTACCTAATGCTATCTGGCAAACTGATATTACTCAGCATTCACCCTTTGGACGCTTCAAATTTCTCCACGTTACCATGGACACTTATATGAGCCTGACACATGCTACTCCCTGAACTGGAGAAAAAACTAAAGATGCAATTGCTCATCTTTTTAAACTATTATGACCTTGGGTCTTCCACAAACTATGAAAACTGATAATGGTCCTTGCTATCGTAGCACTCGATTTGGATATGCATCGCAATTTTGGCACAAACAACACAAAACTGGTATTCCTTATAACTCAACCGGTCAGACCATTGTTGAACGAGCTCATTGAGCTTTTAAAGTATATCTTATATAAACACAAAGGGGGAATATGGGGCTCTCTCCTCGAGAACAGATAGCAATGGTCTTATTTACTCTCAATATTTTGAATATTGCACAAGATGCCTGGACGGCTATTGATCGTAGGATGAAGCCAGTTGAAGTCACAAAAAGAAAGGTGTTAATTTGAGACATTTGTACAGGGAATTGGGAGAAAGCTTATGAGGCACTGCAGCGGAGTCAAGGTGCTGTTTGTGTTTCACAAACTACAGGATTAGAGTGAATCCCCATAAAATGAGTGAAGCCATATTATTAGTTAGAGACCACCAAACAACCCCCTCCTGATGATAAGGAGCTGTCATTGGAGAATTGACCAACAATGATGATGATGAGTCGGAAGGCACCTGACATTACCTGGGGACAGCTAAAGAAATTGGATCAACAGGCAACTATCCAGTCGCAGCCATGGGAGCCCCTGCAACTGCAGAGAACTGGTTTCTTATGTATCTGGCAGTAATTGGGGAAGCTTCTGAGAAAGTACACGGCTGGTAATTCTTGTTCTTTGCCAGGTGGGCTCAGCTCAAGAACATGTTTATTGGAGTCATGTTCTGAATCCCCCTGTTTTCAATGTTATTACATGGTGGGATGCTGACCCGCCTTTGTCATCTAATGATACTTCTTGGGAGGGAGGTCGATGGATGCCCCTGTCTTACCCCCTCACTGAAAATTTGGGATGGGTCAAACTTAATGACTCCTTGACTTTATTGTCTAGCAATTCTCCTCTCTGTTTTTCCACATTGGCCCAAGATAAGTGTATTACTCTCATTCTTCAGGAGTATCTTTACTATCAGCCTAAAAGGGATGCTAAGCTTGCAAACCTGACTTTTATTTCTGCTGTTACTACTAATCTTACTGAGATTTCTAATGAAAGGATCTTCCTATATGCTGTCCAAGAAGGGACTGTCGATATGTTTGAGGCCATCCAGTGGTCCCCATGCAGATAACCTGCACCACATCAAGGACCTCTGCTCGATAATGCACCTTACTTGATTGGGGTCCCCATGGGTATGTCATGTCTGCAAACCAGACTATTGGATTTGGGAGTCCCTCCAATAGTTCCATTACCCTTCAATAGTTCCATTAGCTGCTCCCCACCCCATTCAGCTGTAATTGTCTGAATACTTATTTCTTGCTGTTCACTGCAGAGTAACCTGCAGCTATTATTAAAAAGTCAAAAAAACAATAAATGCTAGTGAGGTTGTGGAAGAAAAGGAAGACTTTTACACTGCTGATGGGAGTGTAAATAAGTTCAACCATTGTGGAAAGATAGAATGGCGATTCCTCAAAGACCTAAAGGCAGAAATACCATTCAACCCAGCAATCCCATTACTGGGTATACCCCCAAAGGAATATAAATCATTCTATTATAAAGACACATGCACACATATGCTCACTGCAGCACTATTCACAATAGCAAAGACGTGGAATCAACCCAAATGCCCATCAATGATAGACTGGATAAAGAAAATGTGGAACATATACACCATGGAATACTATGTGGCCATTAAAAAGAATGAGGTCATATCCTTTGCAGGGACATGGATGGAACTGGAAGCCAATATTCTTAGCAAACTAATGCAGAAACAGAAAACCAAGTACCACATGTTCGTATTTATAAGTGAGAGGTAACTAAATGATAAGAACACATGGACATATAGAGGGGAACAATGCACACTGGGCACGAGACGAGGGAGAGGATCAGGAAAATAACAAATGGATACTAGGCTTAATACCTGGGTGATGAAAAAAAATCTATGCAACAAATCCCCTTGACACACATTTACCTATGTAACAAACCTGCACATCCTGGACACGTACCCTTGAACTTAAAATAAATGTTAAATTTTTTTTTCTAAATCCTATTAATTTCAATATGATGTTCATATCTAACCAATTTATAGAATCCTCGTTTTCTAAAATTTACAACATGTATTAAACTTTACCACATTAGTCTGTATTCTGTGTTTTAGTCTATTTTATCCTATGTTTACTCTCTGAGTTAGAAAACATGTAATATTAAATGTCATTCAATTTTATATATTACATTCCTACAAATCAGGATACGATTGCCTAGATGACTCTCAGCTGTGTAAGAGTGAACTATTGGACTAAGATGTGGAAAGTTCTGTGACTCACTTGAATATTGTAAATGATCTACATGAAACTATATCTAAAACAACAAAGGAGACATACTTTTTTCATTTTTATCCATATTTTTAAAAATTCAAAGATGTGACTTAATTTAAAATACAACTTTCTAATGATAATGAATGCTAATGATTTCTGAGTTGGCTTTAGTATATGCTTTTAATTTCACTGTGTAATGAGTTTGTTAAAAAACTTGTTATTTAAAATCAAGATTTAATAGTTGTTGTGTATCAAATTATGAAGGCTTCTACTAGAGTCTTCAACTATGTCTTTAACATTTTAGTTTTGAAGTATCATGATCAGAACTTGCATTTTCAGTGTACTATTCTTAAGATGCAGTTTTTACAAATCTACTCTACATACAGATGCTTATGGAAACAGTATTTAGGGAATACAAAAAAAGAGTCTGACTTCCACATTGAAATTACCATGAAGCATCGGGAAGAGACCAAGCATCAGAGGTAAAGTTGATATTTCAGCACTACTGTGTCTTTGGAGTCAGATATGACAAGTTGAATATAAAATCTGTAAACTGCAAAAATATTGTACTTCCCACAGCAGAGTGTTTAATTTAAATAACAACTCTCAAAGAACAGGTTGACCTCATATGCCTAAGAGCCTGGGAAAAAATTCACGACTCTGGTACTACTTATCCTTCTTTTAATTCAGTTCAACAGGGTCCAAGGGAGGCTTATCCAGATTTGATCGCCCATTTGCAAGACACAGCTCAAAAGGCTATTTCGGATTCTCATGCTAGGAATGTGATCATTCAGCTGCTTGCTTATGAAAATGCTAATACAGAATGTCAGGCAGCAATTAGACCTATTAAGGGAGAGGCAGATCAAAATTACACTTATTGGGCATACATTCCATTCCCACCACTGATTAGGCCTGTTACATGGTTAGACCCCCAGGTGGAGGTTAATGTTAATGACAGTGTCTGGATGCCTGGACCAACAGATAACCGAGGTCCTACTCATCCAGAGGAAGAAGGAATGTTAATGAATGTTTCCATTGGTTATTGCTTTCCTCCCATCTGCCTGGGGCTGGCAGCAAGATGTTTAAATTATGATAAACAAAGTTGGATGGTTTATGTCCCTGCAAATAATGGATCAAAAGCCTCTATTCATGCAATCAGTGGAAGAACATTTCAATCTTTGGACACTATTAAATACCTTGAGCATGGCTATGTTATGACACATTGCCAGATTAATAAATTTAAACCTAATAAGAAGCCCTGCCCTAGGAAGGCCACTAAATGGTCTGGAAAGCTAGAGGTGCTAACCTAGGAAGGTTGTATTGCAAATAGTGCTGCTGTACTGCAAAATAATTCCTATGGAATCGTCATTGATTGGACCCCTAGGGGACACTTTGCAGTAAATTGTACTGGACAGCGCAAAGATTGTAGAGGGACTCCTTTTGCAAATGACTCCCCAGATAATGCACCAAAATTATATAGAAGAATTGAAACAAATTATTACCCTATTAAGTGGGAGGAGAATGGTATGGTTCCTCCAAGCCCCAAAATGATTGATCTAATTATAAGTCCAGAACATCCAGAATTGTGGAAATTAATGATGGCTCAAACCCCAATTCGGATTTGGAAAGGAGAATATAAAACAGAGATCCATAGTAAAAAACTTCCATTTGTTGTAGTCATGACCCCTAATCAGACTGTCCCATTGCAGAGTTGTGTTAAACATCCTTTTATGTTGGCAGTGGGAAAAATTAATATCCTACCTGACTCTCAAACCATATCATGCCTCAACTGTCATCTTTTTACCTGCATTAATTCCACCTTTAATAAAGATAATAGCATTTTATTGGTTAAGGCCCAAGAAGGAGTTTGGATACCTGTTTCCCTCAATAGACGTTGGGAGGCCTCTCCCTCCATACGTATTATCACTGAGGTACTAAAAAGGAATACTTAATAGATCAAAGAGATTCATATTTACTTTAATAGCTATGATCATGGGCCTTATAGCTGTCACAGCTACTGCTGCTGCTGCTGGTATTGCTTTGCACTCTTCTATTCAAACTGTGGGCTTTGTGGATAGTTGGCAGAAAAATTCTTCTAAGCTTTGGAATTCCCAAAGCCAAATAGATCAAAAATTGGCAAATCAGATTAATGATCTCCATCAAACAGTAATTTGGATGGGAGATCGGATTATGAGCTTGGAGCATAGAATTCAAATGCAATGTGATGGGAATACTTCTGATTTTTATATTACTCCTAGCTCTTATAATGCCACTGAACACCACTGGGAGATGCTTAGACGTCACGTACAAGGAAAAGAAGATAATTTAATATTAGATATTGATAAACTGAAAAAGCAAGTTTTTGAGGCATCTCAGGCTCATCTCACCCTGTTACCTGGAGCTGATATTCTTGCTGGAGCCGCTGATGGCCTTTCTAATACCAATCCTTTAAAGTGGATTAAAACCATACATGGATCAACAATTGCAAATTTTATTTTGGTTTGTGTCTGTTTATGCTGTTTGTTTTTAGTCTACAGATGCAGACGGTGCCTTGGGAGAGAAGCCAGACACCGTGAACGAGCCATGATAGCAATGGCTGTTATTAATCAAAGAAAATTAATAAAGACAAAAAAGGGGGACATGTCAGAAGGAGAGTTTCTGGGGTGCCAGTTGATTTGGTCTCCCCAGTGTGAGACACCCATGGGAAGCCATGGGTGGCCTCTGAGGAGAAAAGTCTCCTTATTGCCTTCATGTCTTTATGCCCCAAGAGCATAACCACTCAGCAGCATTCCACAGGTTGCTCAGGGAGATAACACTCCCTTGAAGCAGTGTGGTATAATCAAACATCTTGGCTCCTCCTGAAGCCTGCTCCCACCGATTTCAGTCCTGATAAGTTAAAGATCTCAAGTAGTTTAGACACATGCCTTTGCTCAAGGAAATTGACAGAAACCACCACTGCTATACATCTTATCGAATGACTCACGAGTTCTCCTTCACTGATTAATCCTTTTCCTCATCCCTTCCTCCCCCTCCCCTCTGCCCTAAGAACAAAGAGCTTGTAAACCATTAAATTGGGCAGAGCCTGAGAGCTCTGGGCCGTGAGCAAGGCTCTGACACTCTGGTCCCCTGGACCCACATTTTAAATGCTTATTCTGTCTCTTTCTAGCTCCTCTGTCTCTGCCGGACTTGGGGTACACACTGGGTGGTGTGGGGCTGGTTTCCCTAACAATTGTCTTTATTCTATAATTTCCCATATACAAGTAGTTAATTAATTAGTCAGAAAGCACCAAAACATTTAGTTCTTCATAATCTTGCTTGTGGAAATATCTCTTAAAAAAATGACCTTAACAATTCATTTCTAAAAAAGCAACACAAATAAGTTTTTCTTTGTCAAATACATCTCATCTATTACTGAAAATACCATAAATATTTGGCTTTATTTTTCATTTTGTAAGGTTTCTTATTCTTATATATTAACAAACATATATTTTTGTTTCAAACAAACTTCTTTGCCAATTTTGCTATTTCTCCTAGTATAATTGCCATGCTTTTAATCATTCAAACTGGAAAATATGAAGTCATACTGCTTTTCTAATTTGTCTTCAATCCAATCCCAAGTCTCACCATAAATTGCTTTTTTATAAATAAGTTTTAGGGAAAATTTCCTGAAGAATCAGAACACTTCCTAATCTCTGATAAAGAGATCTTATAACTCATTAGTTCTTCTCAATTGAGACAATCTTAAATGTCAGAAAGCATGTAATCACAAGATAACAACTTGTATTTCTCACATAAGTGCTCAGTACAAACTTGTGTAATTAATTTTCCATTTTTTAAACATATTTTTATTATTTTCTGAAAGTAACATTACTATGCCTGCTTTTTTAACCTTTGTTCAGCCTATGATCAGTCCTTTGCTCAAAATGCCTGTCATCATCCTACATAGCCTTCAAGAACAAAAAATACAAAATCCATCTCCTACAGGAAACTATCCTAATTCTAAGACATGTGGACATTTTTGCATGTAACTCTTCTGCCTCTTTTGACCTGAATTTTCATTCTGGCATTATATGTGTTGGTTGCATAAGCATGTATTTTTAAATCATTTTTATATCTTATTACATCATTTAGATTATAAACTACTGTAGTACTTCCATCTTCAGTGCCTGGTTTTGCTCATTAATCCTTCCCTGGTAAAGCAACCCATAATAACCTCTTTAATTAGAATATTTAGTACTTATTTTCTGTAGTCTTCATTTGGCCCTTAATTATATTCAATATGATATTTATTTATTATGTATTATTACCATATTCTTCATACATTCTTGCTCAATTATTTACATTTTAAGTTCCCTGGGAGGAAAAGCTTTTATTATTACAATTCCTAAACTGAACTACGTAATAATTTGTTTACAAAAAGGCACAAAAATACAGCTTGAAGAGCAAAGGGTCAGAAGGTAGAAGATTTGAGTTCCAGTCCTTGGTTTAGCCAACCAACAACTCATTGTTGAATAGTCTTTTAATAAACCTTTCTGAGTCTTTCCAGAGTAAAGTTGTTGTAGGAGAAGATTGTTAAATTTTTTTAAAGATTTTTTGTGTTTTGGAAACGAGGCAATGAGTTTGTCTCTATCTGCAGGGTCCAAATTATCATTATACTAAGAGATAAAGTAGCTACTTCTGAAAATAGGATGGGAATAAAGGAGACATCCAACTAGAAACAGACAGTAGGGTATTTGAATAAGGACACAGGTCATATTAAGGTTGCACATTCTTTCAGAGCATATTCTTGTTTGTGCTTTGTGCTTTCCAGGAATTGGTTGCCTACTTACCTTGGTACGCATTGCAAGCACAGGGTAAGCATTCAGAACTCCTCAGAGAAATAGAGCCAACAGGACATGTATATATAGAAAGAAAGAGTGAGAAATTTATTTTTAAGGAATTGGTTGGCTCATATGACTGTGGAGGCTTGTTAAGTCCAAAATCTGCAGGGTTAGCACATCAGGCTAGAGAACCAGGGAAGCATTGCAGTTTGAGCCTAAAGGCAATCTGCTGATAGAACTTGTTTGTGAACAGAGAGAGGTCAGTTTTTATTTTATTAAGACCTTCAACTGATTGGATGAAGCCCATTTATATTATGGAGGGTAATCTGCTTTATTCAAAGTCTACCAATTTAAACGTCAGTCTTATCCCAAAACACCTCCGCAGAAACATCCTGAATAATGTTTGACCAAATCTCTGGTTACATGACCATGCTATGTCAACACATAAAATTATCCATCATGCATTGATTCTGTCATTGAGGGAAACGAAGTATAACTCAAATGGCTTGCTTTTACTTCAGTTTAAGGACAATTTATCAGTTATGATTTGAAACTCAAGAGAGCTTAAATCCAGGATCTTCCCTTTTGTCATTCTCCACAGACTCAGTGTCCTCAACTAGAAAAAGCAGTTATGTTATGACAAATGGGATCTCAAGTCAGAATATTTATTTTCATTATCCAACCCTGCCACTTACTAACTATAGCTTTGAAAAAGTCACTTGTTCTTAAAGTAAAACCAAGTAATCAATTATATTCATAATTAGCATATGTTTGTAGGGTGAATTCTCATACGGCTTTTTCTATTAAAAGGCAGCTTCAGAAACCACAGGATCTGATTGTTTTAAGAGCCATAAGGTTTTTAAAACCATGAAGAAGTGCCAAGATATTCATGTAAGTGATAATAGGAGAGTTTTTCTTCTTCATCTTTAGTATAAATCCTCTGATGTCATCGTTAACATTACATACTATTTATTTGTAAACCTTAGTTTCTACAACATAAAAATGGAAAGAATAACACCTACTTCACAAGTAGGTTATCACATGAGTCTATATGGGAAATGGTGTGCATAATAACATATTAACCATAACCATTAGGAGCTAAATAAAACCTCTCTGCTTACCTAAATTAGCTGTTTTGAAGACCATACCCATTCACTCATATTTATCCAGTCATTTAGCAAATATTTATTGAATATCATTGACTGAAGTATTAAACTAAGCTTTTAAAAACAATAATGTTCTATGAAAATGCAGAGAATTACTGTCAAAGGTACTGAATAGATAGTTGATGATCTGTTTATTTACTATGAGCTCTTAGACATCTCCAGGGGTAAAATGCAGTCTGTTTACATATTGCCATCAGTATTTTACATTCTTGGTTTCAAGAATGTAATTCAGGAGAGCAGTGAAAGTCAGGGCAAATTTTTTCATCTCAGACCAAAAGTATAGCTGGGCATGGGATCGAATAACATTTAATAGTAGCAGTAGGCCATTCAATTGGTGCTATTATCGCTTTGTAAAGGAGTCTTAGGTCAGTTTTCTCAGAAGCTGACAGGATTCTTGTGGAAGTTATTTATTTAAAAATAGCTCCCTTTGAGTGAGGACAGCAAGTTAGGTCCTGAGGGCAGGAGAAGAAAGGTAAGCAAGAATGTAGTCTTACGTGAAGACCAACTTCAGGCAAGCCTGAATCAATGGAGTCCGCCTGTTAGTCATTGGCTGTGAGCTTCCCATCAGAGAGGAGGGTCTTAACCTCTCAGATATGGCAGTACCCTTTATGAGAAGGGCAAAGTTATAGATCATCAGCCAACATTCTCAATAGTAGGGGTGAACATCCCTTCCAGAACAGGAGATTTTGGAAAGGCAACAACAACCTTCACTTCTGAATGGCCATTAATATTCATAATAACAACAGAGGCACTGCAAAGCTTTAAGAGCTCTCTTACTTTTAGAGAAATTTCAAAGAAGTTTCAAAGAAAAACTGACTGATAACCACGATAGTCTTTTATAACATTCAAACTGTTTGAAAATTAGTGTTCCTTTAAATTATATTTAAATTCATTTTCTATAAATAAATTCATATAAACAATTTGCATATAACTTAAGGAACGCTAATGTTTTTAGATAATATTTTGTACCTAGAATTTATTTTCTTATGAAAGCATAAACTTTACTATGTTTTGAAAACAGAGCCAGAGGAGATTCTTATTTCTGTTTTGTTGATTATCCATTAGCTGCTAAGAAACATAAATGTACATAGGCTTAAAAAACTCTGCCTCTTAGAAACGTCAAGCAGACAATTGTTAGATAGACAATATGCCAGGTGCATACTTTTGATATACACTCTAAGAAATCAATACATAAATGCATAAAATGGTATATTTTCAATGTAAAAAATGCAAGCGAGCAACTTTTCTAGAATGTTATGTTTGCAAACATGGCATTTGTATAAATAGCTAATAACACATAACTTTAATTACATGTGTATCTACAATAAAAACTGGAGATTTTTCTTAAAGTAAAACGAAGTAACCAATTATATTATTAATTAGCATATGTTTATAGGGTGACTTCTCATATTGCTCTTTCCATTAAAAGGCAGCTGCAGAAACCAAATAATCTGGTTGTTTTATTAATACGGTTCTTTAAGAAGAACCATAAGGGTTTTGAAACCAAGAATAAGTGTCAAAATATTTATTTAGGTGATTTGATAATAGGATAATTTTTCTTTGTCTTTAGTATAAATACCCTGACATCATCATCAACATTATATAATATTTGTAATATTTCATAGCATTTTAAAGCAAGTTTTCAAGGCCCTAGGAAGCTGCTATGATTAATAATGAAGTAAGGGGGAAAGGACTTTTGATAGTTTTCTCTTGTTTTGTTGTTTCTTTTCCTCCAAAAGGAAAGATACATCCGAAAACACTTGGCTGTCCTGGAGACAAAAGGCAAAATTGGACAAAGCTGAAGTGCACAACTTCTCAAAACAGTTCTGGGTATTGATACCTATGCAAATTTTTAGAGTTACCCAGCAACACAAAATAAACTAGGAAAAACAGTTTTTGTTGTCTTCTTACCTCTGTATCTAAATCTCTGTTTTACGAGGATTAAGTTTGGCTATAAATGTAGAACAATCCCCCTTACCTCTTCTTTTCTTTCAAAAAAAAATTGCTTAAGATAAAATTATTTCTATCCCTTGTATAAATTTAGAGATTGATGGTCCAGATGCAAGAGATCCATGCTTCCTCAGTCTTTTACCTCTTCTATGAATGGACTCTATTCCCAAAGTCACCTTATGGTCCAAGATGGCTATTCCAGCCTCAGGCATCCTGCCCAAATGCCAGCCAACAGAGGAGAACAAAAAGAAGGAGAATGGCTCACCCTCTCTTTTTTTAAAGATGCTTAAAAATTATGCACATGGAAGTTATGAATTCTTTGTCATCTGGACTTCTTAGCTGCAAGAAAGACTGGGGAGTAGAGTTTTTATTCCACAGCCATATGCTCAGGTATATATCAGTAATACTCTTCTGAGAACAACAGAACAGTTAGTGGCCTCTGCAGATCCACCTATCTCTGTTCTGTGTTCACTACCATTCAGGCCTCCAGTGGATTCATGCTGTGTTCTGGTCTTGTAAATCAGAGCCCTTCTCCCACATCAGTCTATCTGTATCCCTTTTTCCAGGCCTATTGCCAATCTTCTGCTGCAGTGTCAGATGCACCACAAAGCTAGTTACAAGGTAAATGTGTTTCAAATTAAGATATGAATGCCTAAATATGTAGAATCATCCAAGAGGGAATTTTGTCTTTAAAACTAGAAATACATTTTTATCTTTTGCCTATCCATTCCCCACCCAAACTGGTTGTTTTTTTAGAAGGAGTACAATTAATAAAATAGCATTACTACAAATTATCTAGACACCAACCACATTTCCTTGTCAATACCAACCCTCTTTTTTCCACCATCATTAATCATATATACCTATCTTTGGTGAATTCAGCAATACAAAGAATAACAAAACTTGTCACTGGAATGTATCATAAATATTTCAAATGCAGAATTCATTGCTTGTCAATTGTTCTTATTGATTAAACAAAATAGTAGAAAAAAGCTAAAATTTTACAGATGTATTTTCTGATATTAAACTATACTTTCATTCTTGGTATAGATTTTATTTAATAATAATTTGGTTGAATATGGTTTGCTAACATCTTTTTTATGACTTTTGTATATACAATATACAGACAATCCTATAATTTTTCATATATTGCTTTTATATTGCTTGGAGTCAGAATTATGCTAATGTTAAAAAATTAATTATAAGCTTTTATAAGCTTTTCCTCTTTTTAAATTTTATTGAAAATGTGGACACAATATAAATTATCTGTGTCTTAAAGTTTGGTAAAACTCACCTGCAAATCTTTCTCCACCTAGGGCATTAAAGTGAAGAGATGTCTTTACCATTTCAATTTATTAACAGTTTTCATTCTACTCAAGTTTCTTGTCACAATTTTTAATTTTATCCAGAATGATATCCATTTCCTCTGAGTTTTTACATTTATAGAAACAAAGCTGTTCATAATATTTTTGTATTTGTAATTCTGTGACGTCTATATTTACTTTTTCTGTTTAGAGATAGTTTTGGAAAAATGGACTCATTATATGCAGAATACAGTTGATTCCTAACACATATAATATACAAAGGTGACTCCTGATGGGTTGAAAACCTCATTAAGAAAGATAAAAAGGATAGCATTAATACAAAAACATGTGAGCAAATACCATCAATAATCTAGAATCTGAAGAAAACTTTAATTAAAAAATGCACAATTCATAAAGAAAATATATTGACAGATTTTATAGAATTAATGTTATGGGCTTCTGTTCAGTGAAAGGTATCATAGACAAAATTATCAAGTATTTGGCAAACTGGAAAAGATTTTTTAAATAATTGAAATTAGCAGGGGTCAACATCTAGAATACACAAGGAATTTACATATCCATAAGAAAAAGATGAGAATTTCAATATACAAAACCAGGCAATTCATTGAAAGTCAAATCTGAATTAGCGAGTATATGAAGAAAAGACCAACTCTTGATTAAAAAATTAGAGCTAAGTCAGCTATTACTGAGCCATAGAAAGATGAGTGCTCTGCACTGCTGATGGGAATGTACACTGGTATAGCTATTGTAGAGAGAAATCTAGGTGTACTTAGTGGAAGTGAATATGATCCAGTAAACTATTCCAAGGATGCATCTCAGAGAAACTTGAGCCCAGGTTCATAAGGGGACAAGCACAAAGATGTTCATTGTAGCAGCAGTTAGAACCAACTCAGTGCCCATCACTACAGAAATGAGTAAGTAAGATGTGGTGGTGTATGCATACGGTAAAATGCTATTATCCAACATCAGAAGCAATAAACTTGTATTTCATACAGTGGCATGGATGAATCTCTGAATGAATGACAAAAAACATTAAATTCAAAAATTAAATAATGAAAATTACTTAAAAATTAAAATTACAAACAGAATGAAAGTCATAGACTAATGCCATTTATGTAAATTAAAAACAGATGCATATATAAAACAGCACCATATGTGTTTCAAAGAATCACACCTATCCAAAGACATCTATATGTAATAGAATTGTGCCTATAGTGAGGAGGCTGGTAAATTGTGTGAAAATGGGGTATGAATGACAAATAATAAAAAGAAAATAAAAGAGATACCTTGGCATGGATAGTTGAAGTATGTACTGTGTGTTAGTGAGTATCATTAACTCAACACCTTGCCCCTAAGATTAAAAAGATATAAATTATATAGCCATAATGCTTGTGCTGTATAATGTAAAGAGAAACAAATGTTACACATGAACCAAAATAGATACAAATATTTTCCTTGCTTCTTTAGATTGTCCCAAAACATGCCAGGCTTGCATCATTTTCTTAAGGAGGATTATGCCATGTTTCCCTCATCCTCAGTGATCTCTACCTATCCTATGACACTCTTCAAGACACAATTTAAGTTCTACTTCTAAAAAACCTTTAAAATTGTTCCATTCATGTAAATGACTTCCTGTAACCAATTGCTTTTATAAGCTGTACCACAACATCTAAAACTTAATACTATTAACAACTCTTTTGCCCTGTATTATGTCTTGCTCACGGTTTCCTTTACTAGATGTTAACTTTCTAGAGATCAGAGAGATTTCTTTGAAGCTTTCTGTTGTGCCTAGAGCAGTGTTGTACTCAAGGTTGAAAGATCTCAATTTCTTATTGGTCTATGAATGTTATTTTCAGTTAAAAAGATCACATGGCAGGTAAAAAAAATATGCACAGACAAATACTTAAAAACGTAAGAAAAGAAGCTGAGCTTCATTCATTTTGGTAACTGGCTAGTGATATAATAGACTTGAAGCACAGAAGGTACTCAACAAATATTTGTTGAAAGAATGCATCAGAAAAATGGACTAGTCTAGAGAGGACCTCAATAAACATTTTGGTTAATAGATTTTTAGTTAAGATTTGAAATTGTGATGCAAAGGGATGGATAGGCAAGATCATAGCCGAAACTTGAAAAAAAAAACTGATCTTTTTGCAGCTGAAAATTAGTTTGAAAGTAGGGAAGCATAGAGCTAGAATAATTGCTATCACACTATGAATGGAATAGCCTTTCAATCAATGTAGTAGGTAAAGTTTGCTTTAAGTTCCTCACTTTTTTAAAGCCCCTCTTTCTTTTCTTGATGTTTCTTGTCTAGGACATTTTTCCTTCAATAAATCTTCACCCGTGACAGCCTACCTATATGCTTTCTGATTATTCCAGGCCATGAGAAACTATCACTATTTTCCCCCTGAACACTTAGAAAATTTTATTTTTACTTCAAATAAAACTAGCAAGAGCCAACTCAGAATATGCTTCCTCCCTCTAGAACAGTTTTAAGGGAAATATTTTCTTATGTTTTTGATGAAAATTATCATTTTCTTATGATTACCAAATGTATGAATTATTTTTATATGCTAAATTGTGGTAGGTTATTCCTCTTCTGGTCATGGAAGGAAGAAATGTCCTACATAGTGGAGGTGATAAACTGAGTTCTCACCGAGACTCAGAATCTCATTTAGTTGTGCTCTGCAAATGATATGAATGAGAACCAATGGCTTTCTCTAAAAGGGGACTTGAACTTCGTGTGGGATTTAAGAGACTGGAGCTTTGAAACAAGAAGCTATATGCAGCTTGCTCAGCTTTTTGGGATGTGCAGAATAGATGTGGATCTGCTTAAGGGAATGGTGGTTGAAAGCAATATAATGCAAAGTGGAAAGAATCAAGGTATGATGTAATAAAACACAGATACAATATCTATTTCAGTTAAGTACTAGTTTTGTGATCTTGACCAAGTCAGAAACATCTCTGAAAGTTTGTTTTCCTTTTTGTATGATAAGGAGGTCAGAAGATCTCGAATTCTTATTGATCTATAAATGTTATTTTCAGTTAACAAGATCACATGGCAGGTAGAAAAATTATGTACAGGTAAGTGCTTAAAAACATGAGAAGAAGCTGAGTTTCATTCATTTGAGTAACTGGCTAGTGATAAAATGGACTTGAAGCATAGAAGGTACTCAACAAACATTTGTTGAATGAATGCATGCCGAAAAATGGATTAGACTGGAGAGGAAGTAATGTCATGATACAGTGCCAAGACAAGACTCTCAGGCTAGGTATGTAGGCGGCAGAGGAAAGAACTTATTGAAGGCAGATAGGAAGAAGTCCTCTTTACTCAGGGGTCAGAATCAGGGAAAAGCTGCAGGAGCCAGGGTAGCTGTAGCGTAAAAGTTATGAAGAGACCAAAAGCATAAAAGTTATGAAGATACCTGTAGGGAAGACTAGCAATCATGTTTTAGAGAATTAAGATTCACAATAGAAATGCCTACTCAAATATATGTTAAACAACATGTCTGAACGCTTGGGTTTACACTTGAGGCAGCTATAATAAAAGGCAAGGCAAGGAAAGGGAGTGAGGAGCCCAATCAAATCACCATAGGCTTTAGAATTTAACAGACAAGAGTGTAGCCAAGCTCTACCATCCACTAATAATACAAATATTGACAAAATATTAATTGCTCTGAGACATCTAGAAAATGAACATTTTAATTCTGATAAATGAAGATTGTAGTATCTACTTTGTAGATTTCTTTTGAAGATTTGTGAATATATGAAAATGGCCTAAAACATGCCTCACATGATTTATTCTTTAATGCTATTTTTATTATTTTTAATGTTACTGTAGATTTTATGTCGAATAAGGTATCAGCCAACTCAATATTCGTCTTGCCTTCAGTGAAAGAACTTGTAATTTGTAAAATAATGGCTTCCTTATTTTTGTATTTTCTTCTGTGTGCTTTTTTTTCTCCTTAATGCTCTTTTAAAAGGCCTTCCCTCCCAACCAAAAATTCTACCTTTGCCTTAGTAGCACTAAGGAAGAAAAAGGACCTTTCCGCAGCACCCAGTCTAGAGTAGCTTATTGCCTGCAAGGCTATGGGTTGGCCAAGGAGGCCCAGGATCTCAGAGAAGCAGAAGAGCCAGGGGAACCAGGGAAGGGCGGAGGGAGTCATTGAGGCATGGTTGAAGTGGTCTTTACATGGCTCCACACAACAGATGGACTCTACCACATTCAAATGCACTTGGAGCACCTTCTCAGTAAGAGATGATGCCCCCTCAAGTGTTTGCTTGTTTAAACATACCTTCATGTGAGTGGAGAGTAGGAGGAATCCTGCTTCCTGAAGGTAACTGATTTCATAGTAGATGAAGTTAGATATGAAGTTAAACTCTTCAATTAAACAGATTAACAATAACATTAATCCGAGGTTTGTTATGGACAACACATTAATACTGGTAACTTGCCAGTAGATACGCTATAGTCAGCAAACAGTACAGCTTGTTTACGATTGCTAAATCAAATTTTCAAAGAAATGTAGTTCTGGTAATTGTAAGCAAAACCGTTAAAATGGTCTGAGTTAGTTTTGAAGTTACTTTCATCTTCAGGAGGTTTTGAACTCTGTTAGAGACGGGCGGGCCTCATTCTGTCAGGTTGTAGGTTAATTCCCCAACTCAAACTTCCCCGATCAAACATTGTCAGGCCAGGCGACTGTTTTGGTTTATGGATGATAAAGTATAGGGCCAAGGTAGGCCAAGAGTAGAAGACAGAGGGAGGGCTGGGTTTCACTTCTAATTTTTGGCCCAAGCTTTCATGGTGAGGAAACTGTTTTCAAGGGCTTAGAGCAATCGCAGTTCCACAATCGCAGATAGAAAGTATGATTTCTCTGGAAAAAAAGTGTCTTAACCTATGAAGCTGTGTGTGAAGATCAAGTGTAGGGGATACGCTGAGGTCAAGTCATGCGACCAAAGACCGGAAAACGGAGATTGCTGCATGCAAGCGTGCTGGGCGTTTGTTTGGTTTGCTTGCCTGCTTAAAGTATCCACTGGGAGGGATGGCGGCTAGAAGTCAGAGGCATTGACTGATTGAGGAACTGGTGAAGCGGAGCCCATGAGGTGCTGAGGTACTCTAAATAGGAGGATAAGGTATGAGGCAAAACAAGGCTGGAGTCAAACAAAGGCGCCGTTGCATCGCAGATTGCAACCTGAAGCGGCTCCCGGCTCCCTGGAGAGTAACCCGGAGAGACGGACAGGGGTGGCAGCCAGGAGGAGACCGCAGGAACCTCGCCTCCGCCGCGGCCCCGCCCCCACGGATCCCCGCCCCCGCAGTTGCGGAACCAATGGGAGCTCGGAATGTTAGCGGGTGGGAGGTGCGGCTGGGTTGCTACAGCCAGAGCTGGGCGGTGGCGGGCGCTGCTGAAGGAGTCTCGCTGAGCTCGAGGAGGTGGCGCGATGGAGGGACTGGAAGGTGAGGCGATGAAGGGATGAGGGCAGGACGGCTAGAGCGGGCCCGAAACAGCTGGGGACCCTGGACACCAGTAGCAGGAAGGCGAGGGCTGGTTCGGTGCGGCGGACCTCGCCGCGTCCCGCCGCGCCTCCGGAGGCTGGGGCCGAAGGGAACCGGACAGTCCCCGATGCGGTGGAGCTAACGCTACCAGGCTGCCCCGCCTCAGACGGTCTTCAACTGGGCTTTCCCGCCCGGAGCCAGATCCTGCCCCTGGCAAGACGCCTGCACGTCTCTTCCTACCATTTTCTGATCTTGCTTGACTCCTGAGTGCCCTTTTAGTGATCCCAGTCTCTGGCCAGATTTTGTTTTCCTTGTACTGGACTCTCTCCATTATTGTCCACGGCCTTAACACCAACAGGCCACTTTGTGCTGCAGCCCCGGGGTGTGTCTCCAGCCTCGAGCTCCTGACATTCCTTGGCCGATTTCCCTAGGTAACCGGCTTTTTACATTTCGACAGCATCTTCTGTCGGAGGGATGTCAGAGCATCTCCTAAGGAAGTGTCACTGGCCAGCTTTAGAGCCGGTACAATAGATTACCCGGAGGATTTGATGACTTATTCACGGCCGCTGTGTGAGGAAGAGCCTGTATTGGTTCCTTATCTTTGGGTTTATCTTTGTACTGTAACCATGACTCCAGATTTTGCTTTGTTCCCAGTTCTTTCACTTTTTCTCTATTCTGTTTACCCATTTTATCCTGTGTAATGAAAGCATTCACCTAAAAACAAAGGAAGGACAAAAACCACAATAACTAGCATTGGCAACAACAGTTTCAAGATTTTTTAATTTGTTATGATGAAGAACAAACCTTCAGAATTGAAAGATCCTATTGTCTTGATTTAGCTCCTTTCCCCCGTCTCCTAGTTTACACGGATTCAGTTGGAATTAAGAATGAGCAGAAGCTTTTGAGTCTTGTGTATTGTTGCATGCCAGGGAGTAAAATATTCTACATTGTGTGATGAAGTGCAAAGTGGTAGCCGGTAACTTTTTCAGTCACCTATTCACCAAAAAGCAGATGTAATAACATGAGTAGAAGTTTATTTCGTGCTTTTGCTCTGATAAATGATTCTGATAATTTTCCGTTTGTGGACAGCTGCAGTATGCTATGGCCTAATGAAGGTCTTGTTTTTTGCTTATGTGTTTTTGGAAGATAATTCAAGTTTCCATGAAATAAGGAATTGTAATGATAGTACAGTATATTTTACTTTCAAGATACTTTTGTATCTTGGTGGGATTAAAGCATGGGTTATGGAATTCTCATGAGATTATCATATATAATATGATAAGGTTTTATTACATATTATCTATAAAGTGTTTTGAACAGTTTGCAGATTTTTATTATTTTATTCAACATTTGTTATTAAGACAAAGATCATCATCTGATTTTTCACTTATGTATCCTAGGCACCTAAAACAATGTCTGACACAAAGTAGGTACTCAATAAATATTTGTTGTTAAATAAATGTCTATTATGGGCATCTTTTTAGGTTCTAGGTTGCAGCAAAGAATAAAAATGATAAAGCTTTACTCTCATCGAACCTACATTTTAGTGGACCTTACATTTTAACAGTGCTAAGATATTACTATTGAAACCTTACTACGAATGTTTTTAAAATATAATGGAAACCTATTATGACACTCAGTTGCATAGGTGGACAAAGGTAGGATTCTGTATTTATAGGCATATTTTATGGGTCCAGCTTATGATGTTATAGGGCCCAGCTTATGATGTTAATAGTGCTTGCCCTTTACTTTTAGATTTTTTTTTTTTACAAAATAAGATGCTATCATTAACTATAATGTGTTTAATTGTGATAAACTGAGTTGAAATATGTGAAGTTGCCCTAAATTATGTAGGGCAAAACAGTTGAATTCTGGTAATTTCAAGCAGTTCAATCTAATAAAAGCTCTTGAGAATTTTCTGTTGAAGTTAGGATGGTGCCTTTCTCTCCTTCCTCCTTCTCCCCTCTCCCTCCCCTAAGAGATCACACCTTGCAAATATCAAACTCTGAGTCTTAAGGTTACCGTTCATTAATTCATCCATTCTTTCATTCTAGAAACATTGATACAGTGATAGATTAGGTAGTTTCTTACCTCTATTGGAAGTTAAAGTCTAGTACTTTGAAGGTGTTTAATAAATATTATATTGCAGTATCCAGTAAGAAATATTCAAAAGTTTGCTTAATGTGTCAGAGTAATTGCGTAAATATTGTACTCTGGCATTAGACATATGTTTCTAGTTGAAACCAGTTACCAGACATTAATCTTGGCTATAAAACAAGAAAATATATGGACTCTTGAAAATTTCTATTAAAGATAATCTTACTCTTTCTTATAACTTACGTTATTTGCATGTAATCATATACCATTTGTTTTACTTTTGGTCTTCAGGGTCTTTATGCTTCTTGAATAGTCAATAGATGAGGTATTAGGCTCAAACACTATACTTTGAAATGAAATATAAGTTATCTGTTTTTGTAGAATCAATATCTGAGCACTTCTACATTCTGTAGATAGTTATAGCAAAACCTTTTAATTCCTTTTCATCTAATAAAATTTGTGCCCCACAAAATCTATCTAAGGATAATAGAAGTAGTTCTAGACTTGAGAGAGTTCCAATCTCTTATAAGCTTTTTTTATTTGTAAAATGGAGAGATGGTAAAATCTAAGCAGATTTTATCCTTATATACAGTATTGTCATTCCCTTCATATCCCTGATAAATGGTTATAAAAATTGTGGCAGAGATCAGACTGTCCGTTCCTCTTGTGGATTGTTGAAATTATTAGATCTTAGTACTGCCCTCTAAAACTTGATTAGAAGACTGATTGCTCTTCAGTGTAGCCCTTGGTTTAAAGATAGTCGTGTCTCATCAAAATTTCTGTTTTGTTTTATTTTTTCGTAGTATAAATGTATACTAGTTTACTGTATAATTCTTTATCTTTATTAATTTATCTAGCATTTACTGCTTTTTGGTAGTGAGTTGGATGCCAGATATTTTAATAGACAGTATATTGGAGAGGACTGTGTTTGAATCCTTGCTTTGTTTCTTTTTAGCTCTATGATTTGGGCAGTTTACTTAATCTGAACCCTTATTTTCCCTGCTATGAAAAAAATGGAGCTATTAAATATGTAACTACCTAAATTATATTAAGTATTAAATAATGTAATATATGTAAAACATTTAGCTAAGTACCTAGTGCATAGGAGGCCCTCTCAGTGTGTGTTTGTTAGATGGCGAAAATCACAAAAAGCATGTTAGCAGGTCCAGTATAGGTAAAACATAGCATGCTTGGGAGGAGCGAAGGAAACATTGAAGCCAAGAGAGAAAGGACTTTAAAGGTGAAAGAGATTTGTCAGCAGTGGCTCAGACTGTAGAAAGGCCCAGTAGGATGGGGATTCAAAAGAGAGCTTCAGATTTGACAATTAGTAAATAGTAATCCGTTACCTTCCTTTTTAATGTCATTATTGTGTCCTTATTAAACAAACTTTCCCTGATTATCCATACTTCTCCAAGACAGCATTATGACCATCTCTTCTCCCCTTACTTTGTTCTACCTTCATTGTGGTTATCACCATGTAACATTTTATATATTAGTTTTTATTCATTTTTTCCCTGTTAGATCAGTGAAAGCTCTATAAGATCAGAGTATTTGTTTTTTATCATCCTTATACTCCTACCTCCTAGAACAGTTTCTGCCTCATGCTAGGTGCTCAACAAATACTTATTGAATCAAGGAATGAATGTATTTCTTTCTTTCTTTCTTTCTTTCTTTTTTTTTTTTTGATACGGAGTTTCGCTTTTGTTGCCCAGGCTGGAGTGCAGTGGCATGATCTGGGCTCACCACAACCTCCGCCTTCTGGGTTCAAGCGATTCTCCTCCCTCAGCCTCCGGAGTAGCTGGGATTACAGGCATGTGCCACCAAGCCTAGTTAATTTTGTATTTTTAGTAGAGATGGGGTTTCTGCATGTTGGTCAGGCTGATCTCGAACTCCTGACCTCAGGTGGTCTGCCTGCCTCGACGTCCCAAAGTGCTGGGATTACAGGTGTGAGCCAACGCACTCGGCGGAATGGATGTATTTCAATATAGTGCTTGGCCTGATAATGTCTCCCTGCAGTTCAGACAGTGAGTGAATGAGAGGCAGAGAAGGACTAAGCAGAAAATGTAAGTTAGTGTTTCAAAAAATGTGCTCATCAGGACATTGGTGGAGAACATTGGTTTTGGGAGTACAAAGGATTTCTGATAAAATAAATTTGGGCAAATAACAACATACTAAGCTTCTTTTTTTAAGACTAAGGGAGTTCTGCTCTAAGAGAACCCATTTAACTTAGGTTAATGTACCATTTTCCAAACATTTGGCCATGTAGCAAGGGATTCGTGGATAATTCCTAGTATAAATGATGGGTCATGTTCAGACTGGGTAGGAAAGGACATGCAGCCAGGAATGAACTTATTAAGAAAAGCAAGTCACTCTGAGATCAAGATAGTAACTTAGAGAAAGGTAGGAGGTAGAATTCTATGGTTAAAGAGGAAACTTGAGTGTTTTAAAGTCCAGAGTTGGTTGTTTTGGCAGTAGTTTTGCTGAACTAGAGTGTAGGTGACTAAAATGCTGTGAAGGATGAAGGTTGTGTGTTGAGTCGGGTAGGCATTGACTAGGTTAAGACAAAAACTCTTCTAGGATGAGCTGAAAAGGGTAAATCTTCTGAGACACTGGATAATATTGATCTGAAAGTAATTCGATTTTGGAAAGGATATTGGGAAGAAAGTGATATAACATATTTAGTGCTTCAGAAGAAAGATTTGTTGAGTGTTAAAGGAGTCAAATGAACGGTGATAGAATATAAGACTTACCAGCAGTGAGGAGATGGACATGCCACAAGGGAGGCCAGAACTGTTCTTAATTTCCAAGATTTCTTTGAAAATGTTCTCTCATAGTTCTTAAATGTATGCATTTTAAAATGTCACAACTATTTGAAATAAAATCTTTATTTCTCATCACTTATAGTGTTAGATAAAGATACCATTTCAAGTCTTACCATCATGCAGGTTTTGAAGTTGCAAAACATAAGCAACTCATAACAGAATCAACAGTGTGTGCCAGATAGATTTTGTAAGGAGAGATTGGCTTCTTAAAAGTTCTAGAATATTAAAGTACTTTATTGACTTGGTTGTATCCATCACCTTGAGTGCTTATTTCAACAGTATTTGCTCTCTGATATAATATTCACCAATAATCACCCCTCTGAATATCATCTTTCTCTTGTATTTTTATAAGCTGCAAAATTTGCTAGTTTTTGCCACTTAGGAAAGGTTAGTGGAGATTGCCTGCATGCCTTGGAAAGTAATATTTTTTATTTCTGTAGGTTATGAAACATTTTTATATGTAATAATTGATCCTCTGAAATTTTAAAGTAAATTGAGCAGATATTAGCCTCATTTAACTGTTGTTAAACTGAGTCTGCCTATATGATTATCATATATTTCTTTCTAATTCATGTCTTAAAGGCTTCTCTAACAAGGAGTTCTTTGCTGTAGGTCCTTTCAGGTTCTCAGTTCTCTGTGTAGATAAGTGGAAGTTATTTCCTTAATGTGGTGTACACTACCTGAAGCATTCGTTCTACCATCTGCAGTTGGTTTAATCATTCTTATATATAAACTTTATTTAAAAAGTCAGTAAGAAAGATGTCTTCCATGTACTTTTCTTGCTAATGTAGTCTTAAGGTAGATTTTGTTAAATTACCGTACGTTACAGATAAAAAGGGACCGTATGTCATTTAACTTAACTTCCTTATTTTATGTAAGGAAATCTAAACCTTAGAGAGCTTAAGTATCTTGCCTGAGGACTCATAGTTCTCAGTGACAGAGCTGGGGACTTGAAGTTAGATAATGTAAGACAAATTCCAGTGCTTTTTCAACTATACTGTCATGTCTTTTAATGAATTTAATTAGAGCAAAATGTGGCTTTTGACTCTGAGGCCTAAGGTATTTATCATGATCTGGGTAGAAGATTCTATTAATATTTTTTTAAAAATTATTTTAGTAATAAAATTTATATCCAGGCACATGATGATTATTTTAATTGAGAGAAAGGTACAGCCACTTTATTATTTAATTAGTTGTGTGTGTGAGGTCAGAATATTTTAACCCCTTGGTCCAATTAATCTTAATATAAGTATCATATGTATAAAATAACAATTCAAATAATACATGCGGTTTGCATAACTAGGTGATCTTAACCTTATAGCAGTATGCTTTCTATTATCTGGTGATAAAGAGAAAACGATTTTTTTTACCCTACACTCTGCAGATCAACTCAGTATGTCACTTAACTGATCACCAGCAGTATTTCTTCATGCCTTGGAGATTAATAAGATAAATTTTGTTTTTAAGGTTTAGTAATTTACCGTAGAGATAACCTTTAAGATAAAAGAACATGACAAATTGATTTGGTTAAAATAATTACAAGAAAACTACATATTTCCAACTAATCAGCTTGGTTATCCTTAAATTATGACTTTTCTGTGTTTATTCTGGTCTTTTTGCCCACTGGTAACTCTTAAGCCCATTTTAATTGATAATTTTTCTTACTTCAAATTACAGTAAGAAATTTGTTTTACAGCAACTGACAACTTACCAATGAAACTAAAGAAAACATTATAATGTGAAGTTTCACAATTTAAACTACATAAATTATTTTTAATTTTTTTTTTAATTTTACTTTAAGTTCTGGGCTACATGTGCAGAACGTGCAGGCTTGTTATACAGGTATACATGTGCCATGGTGGTTTGCTGCACCCATCAACCTGTCATCTAGGTTTTAAGCCCCACATGCATTAGGTATTTGTCTTAATGCTCTCCCTCCTTTTGCCTCCCACCCCCTGACAGGCCCTGGAGTGTGATGTTCCCCTCCCTGTGTCCATGTGTTCTCATTGTTCAGCTCCCACTTATGAATAAGAACATGCGGTGTTTGATTTTCTGTTCCTGTGTTAGTTTGCTGAGAAAGATGGTTTCCAGCTTCATCCATGTCCCTGCAAAGGACATGAACTCATTCTTTTTTATGGCTGCATAGTATTCCATGGTAGACATGTGCCACATTTTGTTTATCCAGTCTATCATTGATGGGCATTTGGGTTGGTTCTAAGTCTTTGCTATTGTAAATAGTGCTGCAGTAAGCATACGTGTGCATGTGTCTTTATAGTAGAATGATTTATAATACTTTGGGTACATACCCGGTAATGGGATTGCTGGGTCAAATGGTATTTCTGGTTCTAGATCCTTGAAGAATCACCACACTGACTTCCACAATGGTTGAATTAATTTACACTCCTACCAACAGTGTAAAAGTGTTCCTATTTCTCCACATCCTCTCCAACATCTGTTGTTTCCTGACTTTTTAATGATCGCCATTCTAACTGGCGTGAGATGGTATTCTGTTTTAGAGAATGAAAGCGTTGTCCAAATTGGAGAATTGTTACCTTGCTACCGGGTAGAAGTTCCCTCCGTAGGTCTTGACATCAACACACATGCACATGCCATATTTTGTCAATTATAGTGCTATGCTCTATGACCAGCTAATATTAGAGGACATTATAAATTTATATATGTGTTTTATATATATCTTTATTTTGGGTGAAGTAATGACATTCTTCTCTAAACAATATTTCTTTGGGGGATAATTGCTTTTAAATTATCCCCAAATAGCATTATTTTAAAATGGTATTGTATCTGTTTATGCCTTATAGTGATAATAATTTTCGTTTTTTAAAAAAACATTTTAAACATGTTTGATAACTTGTGGAAATTAATGTCAAGAACTGGATATTATTATATGGTAATATTTGGTTGCTTTATGTTTTAATTTTTTGTATGAAAAATAGGAGTTGATTTGGTTCTTAGATCTATTTAATAAGTAAATAATATAGATTATGTTAGCTTTATGAGAGCAATAATTGTGTTATTCTGTCCTTGTGTTAATATTACTTAGTACATGCTTGGTACGTGGTTTTTCTATGTGCTGAATCCATTTTTGTCAATAGTTAATTTTTATAAGATTTTGCTTTGTCATCTAAGAAGTAGATAAGCAAATACACTTTTAAGCAAGTATAATATGTGGTGCTTTTTAATATTTTGTATTGATGAATTTTAAAATCATTGCTTAGTATTTAAAGGAATACGTTAAAACTATAAGCAAGCTTAATAGATTAGTTAGCGTGTGATGTTACTGAGACCATCATTTTGAAGACTGTCTTATCTAAATGAACCTAATGGTTTCCATTTAGTAACTCTGGATTGTTAGTGGACTTAAGTGATCCAGATAAATGAGATTGCCCTCCCTAAATAACTTAGCTCCTGGTGTTGGAGAAGGACAAGTCAGGCAAATCTTAGCTTTGCTTTTGTAGTGTTGACTGCTTAACTGCTACTACACAACATTGCCTCCATCTGAGATGAAAAGTAATCACTATCCACCAGTCAAGTAGGGCAGTGGAGTAAGAAATGAGAAAACAAAACAGTTCTTCTGTTACTGTATTTGAATGCATTCTTACCAATATCTATTTTGGTTTGCCTGTTTAGTTCTCTGTGAACTCACTAAATGTCTTGGATCAGGTTATATGGAGTTATATAATTGTACTTTTTAAAATTAGTTTGTTACTTCTAAAGAAAAATGTTTTTCTATTTGTCTTTCATATGATAAAAGAATTTTAGCATCTCTAAAATATTCAGCAGAAACTATGGGGAACATGTTACATGTTTAAGTATCATTTTTAGGAAATTATAGCTATGAAAACAAGTTTATGTTTGATATTTGGAAATAAAATAAAATGACAAAATGAATTATGCAGAATCACAAAGAATGCAGTTTCTTTTTTTGTAGTTTCTTTTTTTTTCTTTTTAGTAATAACATTTGTTGTATTCAGTTACATGATAGTTATATTAATTTTATTAATAATTGAGTGAAAGTTGTAGCTACCTCTTTATTTAATTTTGTTTGTAAGGTCAGAATATCTCCATTTACTAGTCCACTGACTCTTAATATAAGTATTATATGTATAAAATAATAATTCACATAATACATGTAATTTGCATAACTAGGTGATCTTAATCTTATAGCATTGTACTTTCTATTGTTTGGTGGTAAACAGAGTAAGATTCGTTTTATTCTAGATTCTTCAAATCATCTCAGGAAGTCACTGAACTCATCACTAATGGTATTTCTTCATGCCTTGGAAATTAATAAGATAAATTTTGTTCTTAAAATGTAGTAATTTACCATAGAGATAGCCTATAAGTTAAGAGAATATGACAAATTGATTTGCTTAAAATAATTACAAGAAAACTAGATATTTCCAGCAGTATCAGTTTGGATATCTTTAAATCATGACTCCTCCATATTTATCCTGACCTTTTTCACCACTGATAACTAAGTATTATGCTCCTTTTCATAGATAATTTTGCTTATTTCAAAATGCAGTAAAACATTTTTCACAAAAACTGATAATTTACCTATAAAACTAAGAGAAAACATTAAAATGTGAAGTTTCACAATTTCAAGTTATATAAATTATTTATTAAATTCCTTCCTGTTTTAGAGAATGGAGGTGTTGTCCAAGTTGGAGAATTGTTACCTTGCAAGATTTGTGGAAGAACATTCTTTCCAGTAGCATTAGTGAGTAGACTGATTTTGTACCTTTATGGTTTTACAGATCTGTAATTGTTCAATAATTCTGGTCAATTCTCATGGGAAGAATTTACGTGGAATAGTTTTTGAAGAGTTAATGGGTACTATTCTTTGTTCAAGGGTCTTGATTTCAGCTATGCCATTCTTCCAGAATGCTTTCTTTCCTTCAGAGTTTGGTCTTCAGAACTCTTCTGTTAAAGTTTAAAGGTATTCCTCATTTTACGAGACTCTTACCAAAAACAAACAAAATAAAAAAAAAAAAACAAAATCAGATACCTTAGAAATAAGTAATTATTTACAGATACAAAATAATATAATGTCTGTAATTTGCTTTATAGTACTTCAGGAAAAAATCAGGGATAGATGAAACAAAATAGCTAAAATGTTGGGAGTTGTTGAAGCTGGGTGATGAGTAGTAAATGGTAGTTAATTATCCTTTTCTGTCAGCTCTTATTTATGTTTGAGATGTTTCAAAGACAAAGACTTTTTCAATGTAAAAGTACACCTAAAATTTATTATGCATTCTTAAGATATGTTAGCTACTTAGTAAGTACAAATAAAAACGCTTTTAACTAATCTTAATAAAGTTAGCTAACTAAATAGGGAATAATAAAAATTATGCCTATGTACCTTACGTATTTTAACTTCAAACACAAATACACATTTATTAATACTTTAATGTAAGACAGAATTTTTCTGTGAATGTATATCTGCTGATTAAAGTTCTGCCATGATCCACTGTGCATCCTCTTACTATTTCTAGTTTGTTTCTTTAAAGCAAAGTGAGGAATTAATGATCCAAAGTGTCCTTCTGACTGTAGGCACCTTTTAAATAATGATGGCTTTTTTGTAATCTTTTAAAAACATCTTGCCCACACATTCAATGATTTTTTTCTTATCAATTTATTATTTTTCAGAGTGTTCAGCTGAATTTCACAGCAAAAAAAAAGTGCCTTTTTTGGCTCTCATTTATGTGGTATTTAACTTAATGATGTTATTATAACACCTGAAACTTGAATTATGTTGGGAAACAAGCACCACATACACTTGACATATATAACTTAATAAGGAACATATGTACATGGGTCCACTAGATAGTCATCTGCTATCCTCATTTTTTAAAAATACTTAAGAGCTGTAATTACAGTGCTTGGTTGTTGAAATGAAAACTGAAAATAAGTATGTAAAACACTTGATTGCTAATTGTGTACTGAAAGCCTAAGAGGCTGCAAGACACGAAATAATCCAGTTTTGAGGTTTTATTTTTTCCCAAAGTTTGACAGTTCTACCTTCTTTAGTGTTTGTCAAAATACAAAAGAAAAAAGAGTATTTAGTTTACCGATGTCATCAATCATCATGCTTAATATAGTGGAGGGAGAATGTTTATCCAGTTGGCTTATTGGAGGTCATTTAAGACAGCTTCCATTCTAATGTCCCTAAACTGAATAACTGAATAAATGAATGAATGGACAACTCTTTAAAAAAAAAAATCTGAATAGTAGTAGAACACTAGATAAGCTCAAGAAAAATCTTAGGCGAAGAAAACTGCAAAGTTTGAGTTCCAGAAGGGAGGAAAAGAATTAGTATGGGAGAAGGACACAAATCAGACCACCTGTCCTATTATTTTGTGTTAACTTTATATTAGCATATTACTATTATGTTAACTTTAGTAATCCAAACTACTACTCTTACATTAACTTTTGTAATCCTAAAACTAATGTATTCTTTGTATTTTCTTTTTCTAGTATCTATGTTCAGGCATTTAGTGGAGACTTTTTTTTTTGCAGTGTAGTAACTTTGACTTTGTTACTTTTTCTTATTCTTAGTGTTACAGGGCAGATAAATATTTTACAGAAAAAGGGTCCCAATCCAGACACTAAGAGAGAGTTTTTGGATTTTGCACAGGAAACAATTTAGGGCGAGTTCGCAGTGCAAAGTAAAAGCAAGTTGATTAAGAAAGTAAAGGAATGAAAGAACGGGTACTCCATAGACAGAGCAGCCCTGAAGGCTGCTGGTTGCCCACTTTTATGGTTATTTCTTGATGATATGCTAAACAAGGGGTGGATTATTCATGCTTCCTCTTTTTAAACCATATAGGGTAACTTCCTGATGTTGCCATGGCATTTGCAAACTGTCATGGCGCTGGTGGGAGTGTAGCAGTGAGAATGACCAGAGGTCACTCTCGTCACCATTTTTGTTTTGGTGGGTTTTGCCTGGCTTCTCTAGTGCAACCTGTTTTTATTAGAAAGGTCTTTATGATCTGTATTTTGTGCTGATCTCCTATCTTATTCTGTGACTTAGAATGCCTTAACTATCTGGGAATGCAGTCCAGTAGGTTTCAGCCTCATTTTACTCAGCTCCTGTTTAAGATGGAGTTGTTCTCTTTCACACACTTCTGACATTAGTAATGTACAAACTAGGAGAAGAGTATTAAATAACTTAATGACATGTTAGAAGAGTGTTTATAATTTTTTTTAGTGAGAAAGATAACTTAGAGCGTGCATTATATATACGTTTTACAACTTAACATTTGGTTAAGGCAAGGTGTATCTTATTTATTTATTATTTTGTATTCAGGTTTTTCATTTGGTCTCAGATTTTTAAACTGGTCTCAATGTAAATAAAGTTCTGTAGTCTTACCTTCTGTAGAAAAGAAAATGATAGGCTGCATTTCTTTATCTTAACAGAAAAAACATGGACCCATTTGCCAGAAGACTGCAACTAAAAAACGGAAGACTTTTGATTCAAGCAGACAGAGAGCTGAAGGAACTGATATTCCAACAGTAAAACCTCTCAAACCGAGGGTAACTATATAACCTTTTGAACAGTATGAACTTTGGTGTTATGTATGTTGAAAAATATTATATTATCTGTTACAGTAAGGTTAAGAATAAACACAATTATCTGCTACATTAAGATTAAAGAATAAATACAATTCTGTGTTATATGTTCAGTTTAGAAATTATCTGAAGCTTATAAAACAAATTTTATTTTAAAAAATAAGCTTCTAAACTTCAAAGAAGAGACCAAGGTGCTGTTTCAAACTCCATCAATTACAGTGAGATTTTTATAGCATTGGAGAGCCAATTGCTGTCCCACATTCTTTTCAAGTCATTATTAAAAACTTTTGATATAACTTAAGTTTTGATTCATTTCATCTTCTACCATTATGATAATCTCTACATCCAAAAAGTTAAGCCATTATTTACAGACATTTTAGCATAATAGATACTGCTTATTTTGACATATTGACTGCCAGGATTTGTAATCTATATTATGTTTCTAAGGAAAAGTTTTATCTGTTGTTCAGTGTCCAGATATAGTTATTGTCAGCTTATTTTCTTTCTTGAAACCAAAGCAATGAATCTATTGTGATAATCTCTCCTTAATATCTGTTATATATTATAGTAATCCCTTGGTATCTGTGGGAGATTGGTTCCAGGGACTCGCCTCTGATATCAATATCTGTGGATACTCAAACTCCTTATGGCATAGTATTTGCATATAACTTATGCACATCCTCCCATGTGCTTTATGTCTAGATTACTTATAATTTAATGCTATGTAAATAGTTGTTGAATTGTGTCTTTAATTTATGTTACTTTTTATTGTTATATGGTTATTTATTTTTTTCCTGAAAGTTTCTGATTCATGGTTGACTGAATCCATGGATGCACAAGCCATGAATATGGAACCCATGGGTAGTAAGGGCCAACTGTGTATTGCTAAGAATAAATTACTTAAGAACTTATTCAGCATAGTTGAAAAGCATCATTTCAGTGAAGTGATTTAAGCTAAGTACCTGATTGAATAGGTTTTTTAAACAGAATCCTACTGTTAATGGTAATAACTTCTTCCAGTGGTATAAGAACATTTTTCTAGGGGGAAATTAATCTTACTAATAAAAAATCATTTGATGATAGAAAAATTAGATGTTCATTTTTGTTTTTTACTGTGAACATTTAAAGTAAGGATGGTGGGGTTTGAATAAGCTGTATAAATCAATATATGACGTTTTTCTTAGTTACCTGCTGCCTATATTAGCTTTAATTTGCTTCGGTAGATAAAATTGCCAAATCTTTGGAAGCAGTGTAATATAGTGGGTGTTAAAATTGGCTCAAGAGTCAGACTGTCTGAATTTAACTTTCACTTTGCTACATACCGTATTATTCTGGGCAAGTTATTTAATGTAATTATGCTTCTGTTCACTGTAACATGGTGATAGTAGTAGTATTTATCTTGTGTGGTTATTGTAGGGATTACATAAGATTATCCATGGTGATTTCAATGAATATTAGTCATCCTGTTTCTTTTATAAGGAATTGGGGTTGTAAACTTAAAAATTGAATTCTAGAAAAAAGCAAAGTACAGTCCGCAGTCCGGCCTGGGCGACAGAGCGAGACTCCGTCTCAAAAAAAAAAAAAAAAAAAAAAAAAAAAAGCAAAGTAAAAACCATTGCTTTGTATTAAGTGGTTTATTGCCTTGTTACCTAAAACTGTGGCCCACAGAGCAGTAATAGTGGCAGTATTTGGAAACTTGTTAGACATACAGAATCTCAGCCTCCTCCCAAACATACTGAATTAGAATTATTTTAAGAACATCCTTGGGTGAGTCGTATGCACATTAAAGTTTGAGAAGCAGTGTCTTAGAAGATTTGAATGTTGTAAGTGTAGTTCTTAATATATTTACCTGTATCAAGAAAATCCTACAAAATCATAAGCAGAGTGGGGCAAAGCAACTACAAACTTCATTTTTGGAAAAACAAAAGGTAGGCATAATTCATAGATTATCAAATATATGTAAGGATTGCCCCAAAGCAGTTGAAATCCAGGAGAAATTACCCGTAAGAGGAGGTATAGGAAATTGCTTGGGGGCCTGTGGCTGGATTCTGGAAATCTGCTACCTTAAAGTTGAGGGGTTTCCTCATCTTAAAAGTGATTCCTTAAAGGTGAGAGATCTTATCAGATAGTATCTTTATCTCTTGTTTAGTATAGGCAAGACAGAAACTGGGAGGAGCTGTAGGAATTTGGATAGCTACCAGCTGGAATGAGCAGGGCTGAAATTGTATAAAAGTCAGGAGGGAGAGAATGGTGGGAGTAGGAACAGAGAGTTGAGGAGGCCTAGTGGCAGAGGCCCTTAGAAAACATTAGTGAAAATCCCTTTCCTGAAGATGAGGGGCCTAAC
This sequence comes from Homo sapiens, assembly GCF_000001405.40. Lineage (NCBI taxonomy): Eukaryota > Metazoa > Chordata > Mammalia > Primates > Hominidae > Homo > Homo sapiens. The sequence continues at coordinate 78,681,060 of NC_000008.11, forward strand.
ATAAAAGGCTGTGACCTTTTTTTTTTTTGAAGTGGTTCTCATAGGATCTGAGGGAAGCAGGGTGTAATTACACAGAGACGCCTTATTTGCAGGAACTAGTCTGAATCTGTTGCAACAGAGAGGAGAGCTGCTAGTTTGTATAGCTACCCTGGGCCTCTCCTCCCTAAAACTTCTTGCAAATAGCTGTACCAGGAAATCTATGCTGAATAGTAGAAATGAATAATAGAAGCGATGAATAATAGAAAATATATTAGCTCAGCATTGATAAAAGATACTATGAGAAAAAAGGTAGAAAAGAACAGCAGAACATCAGTAGATGAGTAATAATCACAGAGCAGATGAATGTTGTGATCAGATATTTTGCTGTAAAATAAGAAATGTTAAAGAGTCAGTAATCTCAAACATCTAAATTTGCTGACGTTTAAGATTTTTGCATTTATATTAATCAGAGAAGTAGATAATGTCATTCTTTTTGTCAGAGTTTTGCTGCTCTCGGAACACTGTTTGGAAAGTTGTTTCGTTGTTTTCTATTCCCTGAAAGAGTTTGTGTAATATTGATGCTAGATTTTTCTTATATGTCTACAAAAATTAAAAATTAAAGGTAGCTGAGCCAGGAGGTTTCTTTGTGGGAAGGAAAATATTTTCTAAAATAAATGACATTTTGATTTTATATTTGTTCTGGTATCTGTTTTGTTGTGTTTTCCAAGGACATTGCCCATTTTGTCATAATTATTAAATTTATTGGCATACAATTTCTTTATAATATCTTCTTGTCTTTTTCATATTTGTGTATTATTTTTAATTCCTTCATAATTTGAGTTCTCTTTTTTCCTTTTTCTTTCTTTTTTTTTTTTTTCTTTTTTTTGAGACAGGGATCTTACTATGTTGACCAGGCTGGTGTTGAACTCCTGGCCTCAGGTGATTTCTGCCACTTTCACCTCCCAAAATGTGGGGATTACAGGCATGAGCCGTCATACCTAGCCATCTTTTAAAGTACCATCTTTTGACTTTGTGGATTCAACACATAATTCTTGATTTTAAAAATATAGACATAGTAGGAATAGTTGGGTATCTCAATAATATTACAAAATAAATCTTTGTAGCATGTGAGCCAGCATCATGTTTAGTGGAGGACACTAGAGGCAGTTCCCATTAAAATCAAGGAGAAGGTTAAACTGTAACCAATACCATAAGTGCCAGCCAATACAGTTAGATAAGAAGAAGAAATTGGATGCATAGATGTATTAGTCCATTTTCCTACTGCTATTAAGAAATATCGGAGACTGGGTAATTTATAAAGAAAAGGAGGTTTAAGGGACTTAAACTTCCATGTGGCCGAGGAGGCCTCACATCATGGTGGAAGGTGAAGAAGGAACAAAGTCACATCTTACATGGCGGCAGACAAGAGCAGGGGAACTTCCCTTTTTAATAAAACCATCAGATCTCGCAAGACTTATTCACTATCACGAGCACAACACAGGAAAAACCTGCCCCCGTGATTCAATTACCTCCCAATGGGTTCCTCCCACAACCTGTGGGGATTATGAGAACTACAATTCAAGATGAGATTTGTATGGGGACACAGCCAAACCATATCATTCTGTCCCTGGCCACTCCCAAATTTCATGCCCTCACATTTCAAAACCAATCATGCCTTCCCAACAGTCCCCCAAAGTCTTAACTCATTTCAGCATTAACCCTAAAGTCCACAGTTCAATCTGAGACAAGGCAAGTTTCTTCTGCCTGTGAGTCTCTAAAATCAAAAACAAGTTAGTTACTTCCTAGATACAATAGGGATACAGACATTGGGTAAATACACCCATTCTAAATTGGAGAAATGGGCCAAAACAAAGGGGCCACAGGCTCCATGCAAGTCTGAAATCCATGAGGGCAGTCATTAAACCTTAAAGCTCTGAAACGATCTCCTTTGACTCCATGTCTCACATCCAGGTCATGCTGGTTCAAAAGATGGGCTCCCATGGCCTTGGGCAGCTCTACCCCTTTGTCTTTGCAGGGTACAGCCCCCCTCCTCCTGGCTGCTTTCTTGGGCTGGCATTGAGTGTCTGCAACTTTTCCAGGCACACAATGCAACCTGTCGGTGGATCTACCATTCTGGGGTCTGGAGGATGGTGGCCCTCTTCTCACAGCTCCACTAGGCATGCCCCAGTGGGGCCTCTGTGTGTGGACTCCAATCTCTTATTTCCCTTTTGCAGTGCCCTAGCAGAGGTTCTCCATGAGGGCCCCGCCCCTGAAACAAACTTCTTCCTGGACATCCAGGTGTTTCCATACATTCTCTGAAATCTAGTCAGAGGCTCCCAAACCTCAACTCTTGATTTCTGTGCACCTGTGGGCTCAACACCATGTGGAAGCTGCCAAGGCTTTGGGCTTGCACCTCTGAAGCCATGGCTCAACTTGTACCTTGGCCCCTTTTAGCCATGCCTGGAGCAGCTGGGACGCAGGGCACCAAATCCCTACGCTGCACACAGTAGGGGGGCCCTGGACCTGGCCTAGGAAACCATTTTTCCCTTCTAGGCCTCTGAACCTGTGATGGGAGGGGCTGCCCTGAAGGTCTCTGATGTGCCCTGGAGGCATTTTTCCCTTTGTCTTGGTGATTAACATTCCATTACTTGTTACTCATGCAAATTTTTTCAGCAGCCATGAATTTCTCCCCAGGAAATGGATTTTTCTTTTCTGTTACATCATTAGGCTGCAAATTTTCCAAACTTATATATTCTGCTTCCTCTTGAATGCTTTGCTCCCCAGAAATTTCTTCCACCAGAAACCTTAAATCATCTTTCCCAAGTTTAAAGCCACAGATCTCTATTGCAACAGCAAAATGCTACCAGTCTCTTTGCTAAAGCATAACAAGAATCACCTTTGCTCCATTTCCCAGCAAGTTCTTCATCTCCATCTGAGACCACCTTAGCCTGGACTTTGTTGTCCATATCACTATTAGCATTTTGGTCAAAACCATTCAACAAGTTTCTAGGAAGTTCCAAACTTTCCCACATTTTTCTGTCTTCTGAGCCCTCCAAACTGTTTCAGCCTCTGCTCGTTACCCAGTTCCAAAGTTGCTTACACATTTTGGGGTATCTTAATAGCAGTACCCCACTCCACCAGTACCAACTTACTGTATTAGTCCATTTTCATACTGCTATGAAGAAATACCTGAGACTAGGCAATTTATAAAGAAAAAGAGGTGTAACAGACTCAGTTTCACGTGTCTGGGGAGGCCTCACAATCATGGTGGAAGGTGAAGAAGAATCAAAGGCACATCTTACATGATGGCAGGCAAGAGCGTGTGTGCAGGGGAACTGCCCTTTGTAAAACCATCAGATCTCATGAGACTCATTCACTGTCATGAGGACGGCATGGGAGAAACCTGCCCCCGTGATTCAATTACCTCCTACCGAGTACCCCCATAACAGGTGGAGTTTATGGGAGCTACAATTCAAGATGAGATTTGGGTGGGGACACAGCCAAACTATATCAATAGATATTTGAAAAGACTAGATAAAATCATCTTTATTAGAAGATATGATATACCTGGAAAACCCGAGAATTAAGTAAGAAATTACTACAAACAACAGGAGTAAAGGGAAGTAATGTGGTAGGTTACTATGCAAAAATAACTAAGCTTCATATACTCAGCAAACAGGCTCTTGAGACATAGCAATGAGGAAAGGACCCTCTGCAAAAGAACAACACAAAGTATGAAATATTTAGGAATAAGCTTTATAATAAAGATACAAGACTTCCACAAAGTAAAAAAATACTACTGAAAGATAAAAATGAACTGTTTTTCAAATAGAAATATATCCCATATTCTTGTATAGGTAGACTCGACCTAATAAAGATTTTAAGTTTCTCAACTTGTTTATAAATGTGATTCTTAATTTTTAAAAATTAGACAAGTTGATTCAAAAGTTTACATCAAAAAATTTATATACATGAACTAGGAAAAGATTAAAAAAGCTTAATAAAATATTAGCCTATCAGATGTTAAAATATAATGTCTCAATATTGAAAATACTGGTACTAACAAAGGATAGTCAGAACCGTGGAATGGAAGAGAAAGTTCAGAAATAGGCCCAAATTCAGAAAGGAATTTAGTGATTATACAGGTGTTATTTCAATTCTGTTGTGGGGGGACAGGGAGGGGAGAGTCACTAAAGGATAGGACAACTGCATAGCCATGTTAAAAAAATAAGCGAAATTTGATTCAATTTGTCACTCCACACAGCAGAATAAATTCCACATGAATAAAATATTTAGGAAATTTTAATTGAAACTGGAAGTTGTAGAAGGAAGCATGGGAAAATTTTATTTTTCCTTGGTGTGAGGTTGCACCTGGCTAATGCAGATCCAGAGGCCATAAAAGATCAGTAAATTAAACTGTAATTAAAACATAATTATGCATAGTAAAAGACTACCCAAAGACAAGGTCAAAAGACAGATTGTTGGTGGGAGGGAGGGAATAGTTTCCTATAAACAATTACTAGAAATTATTACATTAAAGGCCAATAACTCAACAAATAAGTTGAGCAGGAATATAAATAGTCCACAGTAAAGACAATACATTAAATGATTCTTAGTAATTTAAAAAGGTGCTCAGTCTCAATCATTATAAGAGAAAATCCAATTAAATCCACAAAGTGAGGACTATTTTTCATATTTCTAATCGGTTCAAAACCCAAATGATAGATAATATATTCTGTTAGAGGATCTATGGAAAAACAGGGAAATACACTGTGTTAGTCTCTTTTCTGCTGCTGTAATAGAGTACCACAAACTGGATAATTTATAAAGAAAAGAAATGTATCTCTCACTGTTCTGGAGGTTGGGAAGTCCAGGAGCATAGTGCTAGCATCTGGCGAGGGCCTTCTTGCTGCATAATCCCATGACGGAAGGGCAGGTGTGCATGTGAAACAGAAAGTGGGGTCCAGACTTACTTTTTTATCAGGAACCCACTCCCTCAATAACTAATCTGCTACTGGGATAATGGCATTAATCCATCATGAGGGCGGAACCATAATGACTTAATCACCTTTCAGATGTCCCCACCTCGTACTACTGTTATAATGGCAATTACATTTTAACATGAGTTTTGGAGGGAACATTGAACCACAGCAACAGTCTTAGTGGGAGGATAAATAGATGTAACACCTACAGAAGGCAGTTTAGTAGTGTCTTTCGCGATGACACTTACATTAAGAAATTGAATATAAAATTGCAATGTAGTTGCATAAAGTTTCTCTTTAAAATTATAAATTTGAGAAGGATATCATTTAAGGACTCCTGATAAGAGAACATTTAAAATGATATGGAATTATCTGATGTTTTATTTCAATATACTAAAAAGATACTGTTTGTTTATTTATTTATTTATTTATTTATTTATTTATAGCCAGAACCACCAAAGAAACCATCTAATTGGAGAAGGAAACATGAAGAATTCATTGCTACCATAAGAGCAGCTAAAGGCCTTGATCAGGCCCTCAAAGAGGGTGGCAAACTTCCTCCTCCTCCTCCACCTTCTTATGATCCTGGTATTTGGAATATTGTTGACAGAAATGTTCATGTGGAAAGAAAATAATGATAGAGTTTTTATAAATTTTCACTTGTTAAGCTTAACTTACAATCATGGAGTGTTATGAGGCATAATCTTTAAAATTTGGTGTAAAATGGTGGTGGTAATCTAGTCATGTAGGCTTATAAAGACATTAATTTAGAACATGGAAGTGTATTATGTTTTTATTTTAATACTTTTATTTAAACAAGGCATTATAATATCATTTAAAAATTATTATAGTAACTATTAAATGTGAGTATTCCAGGAAATATTTTAACCATGCTCACTGCGGATTGAAATGTAGTCATTCAGCAGGAGTCATATAATTATGTTGCCTGGTTCCTTGGTATCTTCTCATCTGAGATTGATATAAAAAAAATCATAATTTTCCTAAAATGTATAATTCATGTGGCTCGACTACATTTATGGCTTAAATTTGTATATTGTTAAATTTTTTCTCATTGAGCAGATAAAAGTTGCTTGAGTCATTGTTACTAAAAGCAAAGCAAGATTTTTGCAACCTTGTATGAGATACTGAGATACCGAAAAACTTAAAGTGACAAAGTTGACACTTTGACATTCCTTATTAGAGCAGCCTAAAGAGGTTGTTAATGTAACAGGGTAGCCACATTAATGCTATGTTAGTACTCTAGATTGGGATTTATTTTCTAACAAAGAGAAAGTTCTTTAGCAAATCTAGATATGATCGTTTTTGACATTTTATTGTAGAGGAGAGATATAGTATATCTACAGATATAGTAAATATCTTAGATTTTATATGCCATAAGGTTTCTATTGCAACAAATAAGCCATAGACTATATATACATAATTATATATATATTTATATATAATTATATATGTTTATATAATAAATTATATATATTTATATAATAAATTATATATTTATATAATAAATTTTATATTTACATAATAAATTATATATATTTACGTAATAAATTATATATATTTACATAATACATTATATATATTTACGTAATACATTATATATATATTTACGTAATACATTATATATATTTACGTAATACATTATATATATTTACGTAATACATTATATATATATTTACGTAATACATTATATATATTTATGTAATACATTATATATATTTACGTAAGACATTATATATATATTTACGTAATACATTATATATATTCATGTAATAAATATATATATTCATGTAATAAATTATATATATATTTATATAATATATATCTATATAATAAATATATATTTATATAATAAATTATATATATTTATATAAATATATAATTATTTATATCTATATTTTTATATATAAACTATATCTATATTTATATATAAATATATATAAATTATATATATATAAATATAAAATGAGCATGGCTGTGTTTCCGTAAAACTTCATTTACAAAGACAGGCAACAGGCAGGCTGGATTTGGCCCATGGGCCATACTTTGCGAAACCCTGTTCTAGAGTATTAATAATTAACTTATATGAATGAATGTTTCTGGTATGCTTTAACTGATCCTGGGCCTCTTTTAATACTACCTTTTATTTTCTTCATGAACTTGAGTTTTCTCTCTGCTTTGAAGATATTTAGATATTGTGTCTTAACTCTACATAGCTACATTTCTCATGTCTAATATAAGAGAGTGAGAGGGTACCAGTTCTTCAGGATCGTTTGGGCTTTAGAAGTTTTTTTAATCTTTTGGGCCTGACAAAAACAGCTTATTTCTTTCTTATGAGAGGTTTAAGACCTACTCCAGTAGTAAGGAGGACAAATTTTTGAGCTCAGATGAATATAAATTGAAAAGGGCAAACTCTGTATCAAAAAAGTAAACCTGTTAAAATAAGTTGTAAACCTGTTAAATTAAGATTCTTTTTTGACACTACCAGATTTTTACATTTATTCCCAGTGTCTCATTTAGTTATTTTACAATGCTACAAAATATGGTTCTGGAATAATTTCAAAAGAAGTTTAATTTACAGTATGCTTTGCATTTTGGGAAGATATTTTATCTTGGAAACATTTGCTGTTTCTTAAATTTGAATTATGTCAGTGAGATATATTTTAATCACTTCTTCCATCTGTTGGGACTTTTAAGAGAAAATAGCACTTTAAAGATAAGTAAACTATTTCTTGACAGTTTTCCATTTGATGAAATAAAAAATTTTAATAGATGAGCCTGTATTTTAAAATGTATTTTAACGTCATGTATTATTACTTCCTAACTAGTCTGCTATATAAAGTATGTATCCATTATAAATGAAAACATAAAGGCAAAAAAGAAATAACGTTTTTCCTCTGCTTACTCTTTTGTACTAAGGATTTATCTTTTGTTTTTTTTCCTTCACACATTTGATTCAAAGCTAGAAGAAAATTGGAAGTCATGTACCAGCAGACTTTTTTTTTTTTTAACTCTTTACTAAGTTTAGACAAGTAAAACTGGGTAGTTATAAGGATATGGGAATTTTTGCTTATCAGATGTTATTACTTATATTTTTTGAATGACTGCATAGAAACTTAAGATTTTTTAATGTCCGTTTCAAGTACTATGCTATTAATCTGTTTCCGTTTTTATCTGTTATAGATTATATTCAATGTCCATATTGTCAGAGGAGATTCAATGAAAATGCAGCTGATAGACATATAAATTTCTGTAAAGAACAGGCAGCACGTATTAGTAATAAAGGGAAATTTTCTACAGATACCAAAGGAAAACCAACTTCTCGGACACAGGTGGTAAGTTCAGTTTTAATAATTGCTATAAACGAGAAAATGGCTCATGGACATTCATAGATTATTGTTTATGCTTTTCATGACATTAGACTATATTTTTCTCACCTGCTTTTATAGATATATAGTTTTATATATCTATAAAAGTTGTATGCTTTTAGCTCTTATATCTGTAAATCATTTCAAGCTAATTGTGTATAGTGTGAAGGGGCAATTGTTCCCTTTTTCTATGTGGATATTCTATTGTCTTAGCACGTTTTGTATATATAAAATATATAAAAACATTATATATATGTATACATGTTTTTAGATTATCGAGTGAAAGACCTTGTTACATATTCTTGGTCTTTTCTCAGATGTATATTAAGAATATTTTCTCCCATCCTGTGACTTGGCTTTCCATTTTCTTAAGGATGTCTTTTGAGGGGCAAAAATTTTAAAATGTGATTAAGTCCAATTTATTAATTCTTTATGATTTATGCTCCTTATCTTGTATCAAAGAAATCTTTGCCTATACTAGGATTGCAAAGATTTTTCTCCCATGTCTTCTATAAGTTTTATGCTTTTAGCTCTTACATCTGTAAATCACTTCAGGCTGGTATTTGTGTATAGTGTGAAGTAAGGGGCAGTTTTTCCTTTTGTTTTCTATGTGGATATTCTATTGTTTTAGCACGATTTGTTTAAAGGACTTTTCTTTCCCTGATGAATTGCTGAGGCACCTTGGTTGGAAATCAGATGAATATAAATGTATGGGTTTATTTCAGGACATGCTGTTCTGTTCCATTGATTTATATCCCTGTCCTTTAGTCAATACCGCATTATCACTATACTGAATAGTGAACCTTAATAAGCCTTAAAATCAAGTAGTCTAAATTTTCCTACTTGAATTCCTTTTAAAATTTTCTTTGGCAGCCGGGTGCAGTGGCTCCCGCCTTTAATCCCAGCACTTTGGGAGGCCAAGGCGGGCAGATCACGATTGTCAGGAGATAAAGACCATCCTGGCTAACACGGTGAAACCCCGTCTCTAATAAAAATACAAAAAATTAGCTGGACGTGGTGGCGGGCGCCTGTAGTCCCAGCTACTTGGGAGGCTGAGGCAGGAGAATGGTGTGAACCTGGGAGGAGGAGCTTGCAGTGAGCCTAGATCATGCCACTGCACTCCAGCTTGGGCGACAGAGCAAGAGACTGTCTCAAAAAAAAAAAAAAAACTTTGGCCATTCTTGATTTACATTTATATATACATTTTATAATTGACTTGTCAACATCTACAAAAAATGACTTCTAGCATTTGAGATTATATTAAATTCATAAATCAATTTGAGAAGAATTGACATTTTAACAATATTGAGTTGTTCAGTTCATGAACCTGTTATATTTTCTGATCATTTAGGTTTTATTTTAGCAGTGTTTTGTAGTGTATATTATATAGGTCATACACATGTTTTGTTAGATTTTCCAAGTATATCATGTATTTGGATGATCTTGTAAATGGAATTTTATTTTATTTCATTTTTAGTTGTTTTTTGCTTGTTTAGAAAAACTGGATTTTTGTATATTAATCTTATACCCTGCTATTTTCCTAAATTCATTTACTAATAATAGTCTTCTTGTAGATTTCTTAGGACTTTTCTATGTATACAGTCATGTCACCTATAAATAAGGACAGTTTTATTTTCTTCCCTCCAACCTTTTGGCTTTTATTTCTTTTTTGTGATTTACTGCATGGGCTAGACTAATGTTGAATAGAGGTGATGACAGTGGACCTCCTTGCCTTGTTTTTCTGTTCTTAGGTGAAAAGCATTGTTTTTCACCATTGTGTATGATGTTCCATCAATTACTGAGGGAAATATGTTAAAATTATGACTTTTCTTACATTTCTCTTTAGTTTTGCCAGCTTTTAATTCAAAATTTTGAAGTTCTCTTATTGTTTGCATAGCATTTATAAATTGTTACATCTTCCCCATTTATTGGCACTTTTATCATTATAAATTGTTCCTTTTTGTCTGTGGCAATATTTGTTGTGTTGCAGTATGTTTCATGTGATAAGAATATAGCCATTTTAACATAATTATGCTCACTTCTTTTCTCTCTATTCCTTATATATGTGTTTTTGCATTGCTATAATTGGTTTTTGTATTTCTTTTTTTAAAATCAAATCTAGTAACTTCATCTTGTTGGTCAAAATTGCCTGTCATTTACATTTGGTGCAATTATTGATTTGCTTATGTTTAGGTCTGCCATCTGTTTTCTCCTTTTGTAATTTTTTTAAAAATTCACCATTTCTTTTCCCTTTTGTCTTCATAAGATTTCATTTTCTTTTTTGGCTTTCTAGCTGTAATTCTTTGCATTTTTGAAAAGTGATTGCTCTAGGAATAAAAAATGCATCTTTGACTTACCCATATCTATGGATATTTTTATTTACCTCTGACAGGTTTGTGCTATTGTTTCATATATGTAACTCTAGATATTATAGGCCTATCAGTACTCTTGATGTGTATTGTTATACTTACTGCCTTATTTATATATTTATTGAAATTGTAAACGTGCAGATTATAGATGTATATATTTATGGGGTACAAAGTGATACCATGATTCATGGATACAATGTGCAATGACTAAATCAAGCTAATTAACATACTATCACCTCAAGTACTTACCATTTTTTGTGGTAAGAACATTTGAAAATTTTTTCTCTTTGCAATTTTGAAAGGTATAATACATTATCATTTACTGTATTCACCATGCTATGCAGTATATCTCAAAATAAAAACCACAACAAAAACTTACCCCTTTGACCATCATCATCATCTCCTTGTTCTTTCTTCCCTTTCCCCCTCCCTTTAGCCTCTGGTACTACCATTCAGTTCTCTGCTGCTTAGAGTTCCATTGTTTTAGATTCTACATGTAAGTGAGTACATGTGGTATTCACATGCCTGTGCCTGGCTTAATTTCTCCAATTCCAATCCCTATAGTTCAGTCTTATTTATTATTACTATTTTTTAATCCTTAACTACTAAATCTGCCACCTGTGGTCATTTGCAGTTAGTTTCTGTTGACTTGACATTTTTGCTAAATATGGATCATGTTTTCTCTTTCTTTGCTGGTAATGTTTGGTTGAAAACTAGACATGACATGGTAGGTAATATATAACAATTTCTGTTTTGTTCTTTTGCAAAGTGTTTTTACTTTCTTTCCTTTTTTAGGAGGGGAGCAGTAAGGAGGTCTAAGTGTAGGTGGTTAAATCCAGGGTGTACAGTGTAGGTTTTCCAGTGGTTTCCAGTAATCTTTTTGTTGTAATTGCTGCTACCTGTAGGATGGTTATATAGCCACTTCACCCCTCCAACATTGAGCTTCTAATTTGTTTTTTTTATTATTAGTAGTATACTTTAGTTTTAGGGTACATGTACACAACGTGCAGGTTTGTTACATACGTGTACATATGCCATGTTGGTGTGCTGCACCCATTAACTCGTCATTTACATGGAGTATATCTCCTAATGCTATCCCTCCCCACTCCCCCCACCCCACAACAGGCCCTGGGGTGTGATGTTCCCTTTCCTGTGTCCAAGTGCTCTCATTGTTCAATTCCCACCTATGAGTGAGAACATGCGGTGTTTGGTTTTTTGTCCTTGTGATAGTTTGCTGAGAATGATGGTTTCCAGCTTCATCCATGTCCCTACAAAGGACATGAACTCATCATTTTTTATGGCTGCATAGTATTCCATGGTGTATATGTGCCACATTTTCTTAATCCAGTCTATCATTGTTGGACATTTGGGTTGGTTCCAAGTCTTTGCTATTGTGAATAGTGCCGCAATAAACATACGTGTTTATGTGTCTTTATAGCAGCATGATTTATAGTCCTTTGGGTATATACCCAGTAATGGGATGGCTGGGTCAAATGGTATTTCTAGTTCTAGATCCCTGAGGAATCACCACACTGACTTCCACAATGGTTGAACTAGTTTACAGTCCCACCAACAGTGTAAAAGTGTTCCTATTTCTCCACATCCTCTCCAGCACCTGTTGTTTCCTGATTTTTTAATTATCGCCATTCTAACTGGTGTGAGATGGTATCTCATTGTGGTTTTGATTTGCATTTCTCTGATGGCCAGTAATGATGAACATTTTTTCATGTGTCTTTTGGCCGCATAAATGTCTTCTTTTGAGAAGTGTCTGTTCATATCCTTTGCCCACTTTTTGATGGGGTTGTTTGTTTTTTTCTTGTAAATTTGTTGGAGTTCATTGTAGATTCTGGATATTAGCCCTTTGTCAGATGAGTAGATTGCAAAAATTTTCTCCCATTCTGTAGGTTGCCTGTTCGCTCTGATGGTAGTTTCTTCTGCTGTGCAGAAGCTCTTTAGTTGAATTAGATCCCATTTGTCAATTTTGGCTTTTGTTGCCATTGCTTTTGGTGTTTTAGACATGAAGTCCTTGCCCATGCCTGTGTCCTGAATGGTATTGCCTAGGTTTTCTTCTAGGGTTTTTATAGTTTTAGGTCTAACACTTAAGTCTTTAATCCATCTTGAATTAATTTTTGTGTAAGGTATAAGGAAGGGATCCAGTTTCAGCTTTCTACATATGGCTAGCCAGTTTTCCCAGCACCATTTATTAAATAGGGAATCCTTTCCACATTTCTTGTTTTTGTCAGGTTTGTCAAAGATCAGATAGTTGTAGATGTGTGACATTATTTCTGAGTGCTCAGTTCTGTTCCATTGGTCTATATCTCTGTTTTGTGTTTTTAATTTCTTGCAGTTGGCTGGCTATTTTTCTAATTTCCTATTTTTTATAGTTTGCAATTTTCCATTAATATTTTCATAGTTGTCTGCTATTTCTTTAAATGTAGTACTCATAGTTGTTTGTAATGTGTGTCTGATAATTATAGCAATATCAAGTGACTTGTATGGATATGTTCCTTGTTTTTTTTTTTTTCTCATTCAGTTTCCTTATATCCTTATTTCCCTGATTATTATTGACCTTTGCTGCTTGTTACAAGTAAAACGGTATTCATGATTATCATTCATGCCTTCTTCCAGAGAAGATGTGTGCTGTGCTTATTCCTTTTAGGTATCTATGAGTCTTATCAGTCTGGAAACATTTGAAATTAAATTATTGGCTTAGTTTGCTTGACCAGCCTAATAATGCAAATTTATACAGCAAATCCATGTGATGTTCAGGTCGTTATTACAATTCCATATGGTTTGGCCTGGAAATTTCTTTTCCTCTCATTTGACATTCAGTGCTTTTACAATGATTTTTTATTCTTTCCTGAGCATTTTTAGTTGTTAATTGAAAGGTTGGTCTAAATAGTAAGTTCTACCATTTTGTCAGAAATGGATGTCCTACAAGTTCTTTAGACTTTTTCCAATTTCATTAGTCATTAGTCTTTGTATAAATATTTTTGTAAGGAAATGTATGAGATTTGTGAGCAGCATAAAAACACAAAATAATAATTACCAAATAATAATGAATGAAAGAAATACGTTGAATGTAATTGTATAAAATCATTTCATTCTCCTGGTCATTAAAATGGATTTATACAAAATTGTTGGTTGATAGAGTCATTCTGAAAGTCTTCATAATAGCACACAAAACCGTTGATTGATAGAGTCATTCTGAAAGTCTTTATATACCAGTAGACTTTCAGCTTGATGTTGTAGAATAGATAGAATATAGCTCAGAAAGGAAGGAGTCAGATTATCTAGGTCAGGGAAAACAGCAAGATACCGAGGGGGAGGTGAATAATGTTTTAAACAAGCAGTTTTCGGAAAGGAAACTAACCTGACTAGTTCTTGTCTAAAGTAATGGGAAATATTATAGGATATAAGTAAGGTTGTTCTAGGTTCTGAATAGCTCAGAAAACTCAACAATAAAATTTAGTAAAATAGTGGGAAGTCTTATATAGAGAGGGAGAAAGCAAAACATTTTTTGGAGACATGTTCTGCCTAAGTATTTGGAAGCCATTAAGTTGTTAATAATTCCTATTATATACATAAAAATCTTTAGTCTCCATTATGTAATGCTACCAGGAACCTTTCTGCCTGTTTCCTGCCTAAAGACTTGACCTCTCAATATGTAATAGGCCACATCAGCGCACTTTGTTTATGCTAATCATTTTGCTCTTTTTTGATTGTACAGTTTGAGTGGGTCAGCAGTCTTGTTTCCTAATCTGATTTTATTAACTCTGTTTTTATAGACATAACTCTCGTAGTTTAACAAATTTTTGTTAGAGCTTGTTTTCCCTATTGCTATAATTTTAAGTCTTTTCTAATGTCTGTCTTTCTCTCTCTATATATATATAGTGGCCCAGATGCCCTTTTAAACCAGAAGCACCTCTAAGGTTTTAAAAAATCAGTATCATTATATGGTTCATCTCCCAAAGTCTCATAGACATTTGTTAATTTGAAAGACATTTACTGAAGGTTTTGGTTTTCTATTTTTCAGGTGCTGGCATAATACTGCAAAACGTGAATGCTACTTTTTTTGTGTGACCGTTTATCAAGATTTAACTTTTTAAAAATTCACATACAGAGTTAGAAGGATATAATGTTTGACTTCAAAATTGGTTTTAGCTAGCTATTTTTGGTAGTAGTGCATCTTAAATTTTATATTGATTATTGGTTATAAAATATGATTTGATTTTTGAAAATGATAATTTAAAACCAATTTTTCTTTCTTTTTTTTTTGAGACGGAGTCTTGCTCTGTTGCCAGGCTAGAGTGCAGTGGCGTGATCTCGGCTCACTGCAAGCTCCGCCTCCTGGGTTCACGCCATTCTCCTGCCTCAGCCTCCTGAGTAGCTGGGACTACAGGCGCCCGCTACCACGCCCGGCTAATTTTTTGTATTTTTAGTAGAGACGGGGTTTCACTGTGTTAGCCAGGATGGTCTCGATCTCCTGACCTTGTGATCCACCTGCCTCGGCCTTCCAAAGTGCTGGGATTACAGGCATGAGCCACCGTGCCCAGCCCGTTAAAACCAATTTTTCACATGAAATCTTGATACCGTATTGGGCTACATTCCAAGCACATATGCAAGTATGATTTTCACCTTATGGTTGAAGCATTGGGCTAGAACCAGCATGAGTCTAAATTCCTGCTCTGCTGTGAAGTTGGGGCATAACCCTGGGCAAGTTCATTTCTTGCTATTGAAGCAGGTGATCAGTAAGATACTTTTATTGTCAGGTAACTGAGCAAAATTTGGCTCAAAAAGAGAAAGTAAAATAAAATTAATAAAGATGTCTCTTTAGAGGAGTAGAGAAATATAAAAATCCAAGATAAGCTGAAAGATCTTAGGTCAATGCATACTCCATTAATTTAAGATGGTCTGGTGAGGATCGTGAAGCCAGAATTAGCTCTTTCTCTTCATATCAGGGAAATCCATAATGCAGCTGTTGTAAAACTTGTTCAGGTCCTAGGTCATCTTACGGTTTTTATCAGTAGGAAATATGGCTGAATTATATATATGGAATATAAAAACACATCCAGGAACATATAAAAATCTTGACCTTTAAAGCTGCACCATAGCTGTTTCTAAGTTTTTCTACTAATGTTTGTTTGGTGTTTAAAATCTTAACTTTGAGGAAGTTTTTTCCGTTAGACCTTTTTTTCTTTTTCCTGTGAACTGAAAAAGTTGCTGTTAGTTTGTTTTAGCAGTGGAGCATCTGAGAGGGAGTCTAGTTTGGAAAACCTTTGAGGTGATATATTTTAATCTATACTTCCTCAATTTGTATAATTCAGTAGAAAAGACTGTTCATTTAAGGGAATGTGAGCTGTTTCTTTCCAATTATTTTTTTACTGTGGTATAATACATGTAGCATAAACTTTACCATCTTAATCGTTTTTAAGAATACAATTCAGTGTATACTTACAAGTGTTTTAATACATTAATGATGTGCAACCATCATCACCATTCATTTCCACAACTCTTTTCATCTTGTAAGGCTGAAATCCTAAACCCAAAGAATGTTAAGTTTTGAACCACTACTTTACAATCCATAATCAAAAAGTGATGTTGATTAATATTTTTTTTCCATTATTTTAGTATAAGCCACCCGCACTTAAAAAGTCAAATTCTCCTGGAACTGCATCATCAGGATCTTCACGATTACCGCAGCCAAGTGGCGCTGGCAAAACTGTTGTAGGTAATGATAGCCGAAAAGCAACTTGATTTGTTTTTGAAACCATGTTGGCAGAGCAGGAAATAAAGATAGTGGTCTATTCTGGAATATTAAGATAGATTTATAATTAAGAAGAGATGTAGAAGTTAAGTAATTATTTTTTAAAATAAGATAACTTTGAGTAGTTTCTACTTTTAACCTTTTTTTTTTTTTTTTGACGGAGTCTTGCTCTGTTGCCCAGGTTTGAGTGCAGTGGTGGAATCTCAGCTCACTGCAACCTTCGCCTCCCAGGTTCAAATGATTCTCCTGCCTTAGCCTCCCGAGTAGCTGGGACTATAGGCGGGTGCCACCATGCCCACCTAATTTTTTGTATTTTTAATAGAGATGGGGTTTCACCAAGTTAGCCAGGATAATCTCTATCTCCTGAACTCGTGATCCCCCAACCTGAGCCTCCTAAAGTGCTGAGATTACTGGCGTGAGCCACCGTGGTGCCGAGCCACTTTTTTGTTGTTTTTTTCAGCTTAAATGTTGGCCCCAGATGTTGTTATTGATGTCATCTGTTCAGAATAGTCAGCCCAGTACTTCCTTGATTCTTTGATCCAGCATTTTCCTCTCATTTTATGCTAGCTCTTCATAGCTTTCTGAACTGGGCAATTGTTCGTAGTAGTCAAACACTTAATAGTTAGAAGAAGATATTGACCACTGACATGTACCTTTATTTATATATCAATTATAAGAGGGACATTTAGAAACTAGAAATGAAGGATGCTATATGTCGTCCTCTGGAAATGCCATTTAAAAAATGTCTTCAATGAAAACTTGATTTATAGTTGCAAAGATTATTACTAAAGCATTGTTTCCTTTGTTAGATGCTCTGTTTTATGTAACCTTTTTTAGAGTATTGTTAAAAATAATGCTTTTTTATTATAAGGTGTTCCTTCAGGTAAAGTGTCTTCAAGTAGCAGCTCTTTGGGAAACAAACTTCAGACCTTATCTCCCTCTCATAAAGGGATAGCAGCCCCTCATGCAGGGTAAGTCTACACTGGATATAATTATTAGTGGTATATAATTAAACGATACTAAGGTTTTGTTATGTTTTGATAATTGCTTTTTCATTCATCTTCATTTCCTAAGTTCATTTGTCTTTTAACATTTTGCTGGTCAGGAGCACACTCACTGCTGTTGAGTATCTAAATTTGTATAACCATTTTAGAAAATAATCTGGTATTAAAAGCCTTAGAAATCATAGCTTAAATTGAATAATTTTACTTCTGGGAATTTAGTCTAAGGAAATAATTTGAAATGTTGACGATTTTTATACTAACTATAATTTACTAAGCACTATGTATCAGGCACTGTGCTAGACATTTTGCATATATTTTTGTTAAAACCACTTCATAATCAAGAGAAAAGAAGATCAGAGAAGCTCAGTTTGCTCAAAGCCACATAGCTGTTAAAGTTAGACGCAATATATAAATTGGGATATCTTTGACTGTAAACACTGGACTCTTTTCACGTTTTTATTATAATGTTAGAAATAAATAAAATCACCAAAATGTCTAGCTTTGTTTGAATAGTAAATTATGAAAATCTATAAAGGGATATTTTGCAACTATAGTATGTATATAAATTTTAATAAGGTGATTCTGTTAGGAAAATGTTAGCTACTGAACTCCATGTGTAGTATGATAGAAGCAGTGGGGTGATTCTCTTAATTTAATCCTTTTTTATATTTTTCTACTGTTATATTTACATGGCTTTTAATGAAGTATATAATTAAACTTTCAATAGTTATGGGAAAAATTGTAACAGTGGAGATATTAATATAGAGCCATATATTTTTAGAAATTTACTTATTTTTTATTTTGATAAATCAGAAAATTAAGGGATTACCACAGGACCATTAGAATGAAGGTGTATGTCTATATCTTTACATATACTGGTTCAGTTGATTAATGAAATACAGCACACATTATTTTCTTTTTTTAATTTTAACTTTTAAGTTCAGGGATACAAGTGCAGGTTTGTTACATAGGTAAACTTGTGTCATAGGGAGTTTGTTGTATGCATTATTTCATCATCCAGGTATTAAGCCTAGTACCCATCAGTTATTTTTCCTGATTCTCTCTCTCCTCTTATCCTCCACCCTCCAAAAGACTCCAGTACGTGTTGTTCCCCTCTATGTGTCCATGTAGTCTCATAATTTAGCTTCCACTTATAAGTGAGAACATGCAGTATTTGGTTTTCTGTTCCTGTGTTAGTTTCCTAAGGATAATGGCCTCCAGCTCCATTCATGTCCCTCCTAAGGACATGATCTAATTCCTTTTTATGGCTGCATAGTATTCCATGGTGTTTATGTACTATATTTTCTTTATCCAGTATATCATTGATGGACATTTAGGTTGATTCCATGTCTTCAGTATTATGAATAGTGCTGCAGTGAACATATGTGTGTGTCTTTATAATAGAATGATATATATTCTTCTGGGTATATACTCAGTAATGGGATTGCTGGGGGAAATGGTAGTTCTGTCTTTAGGTCTTTGAGGAATTGCCACACTGTCTTTCACAGTGGCTGAAGTAATTTACATTCCCACCAGCAATGTATAAGCATTCCTTTTTTCTCCACAACCTCACCAGTGTCTGTTATTTTTTGTCTTTTTAACAGCAGCCATTCTGACTAGTGTGAGATAATACCTCATTGTGGTTTTGATTTGCGTTTCTCTAATGATCAGTGATGTTGAGCTTTTTTTCATATGACAGTTGACCGCATGTATGTCTTCTTTTGAAAAGTGTCTGTTCATGTCTGTTGTCCACTTTTTAATGGGATTGTTTGTTTTTTTTCTTGTAAGTTTCTTTTTTTCTTGTAAGTTTGTTTTTTTCTTGTAAGTTTGTTTGTTAAATTATAGATGCTGGGTATTAGACTTTTGTTGGATGCATAATTTGCAAATATTTGCTCCCATTCTGTAGGTTGTCTGTTTACTCTGTTGATAGTTTCTTTTGCTATGCAGAAACTCTTTAGTTTAATTACAGCCCATTTGTCAATTTGTGTTTTTGTTGCAATTGCTTTTGGCATCTTCATTATAAAATCTTTGCTGCTGCCTGTGCCCTGAATGGTATTGGCTAGGTTGTCTTCCAGGGTTTTTATAGTTTTTGGTTTTACATTAGTCTTTAATCCATCTTGTGTTAATTTTTGTATATGGTGGAAGGAAGGGATCCAGTTTCAGTCTTCTGCATATTGCTAGCCAATTATCCCAGCACCTTTTATTAAATAGGGAATCCTTTTTCCATTGCTTATTTTTGTCAGGTTTGTCAAATATCAGATAGTAGTAGGTGTGTGGTCTTACTTCTGGGCTTGCTATTCTGTTCCACTGGTCCATGTTCCAGTACCATGCTGTTTTGATTACTGTAGCCCTGTAGTATAGCTGGAAGTCAGGCAGCATGATGCCTCCAGCATTGTTCTTTTTGCTTAGAATTACCTTGGCTAGTTTGACTCATTTTTTATTCTATATTAATGTTGAAATAGTTTTCTCTGGTTCTGTGAAGAATGTCACTGATAGTTTAATGGGAATAGCATTGAATCTATAAATTGCTTTAGGCAGTATCACCATTTTAACAATATTGATTCTCCCTATCCATGAGCATGGAATATTTTTTCATTTATTTGTGTCATCTTTAATTTCTTTGAGCATTGGCTTGTAGTCCTCCTTGTATAGATCTTTCACCTCCCCAGTTACCTGTATTCTTAGGTATTTTATTCTTTTTGTGGCAATTGTGAATGGGAGTTTGTTCCTGATTTGGCTCTCTGCTTAGCTGTTATTAGTGTATAGGAATGCTAGTGATTTTTGCACATTGATTTTAGAATCCTGAGACTTTGCTAAAGTTGCTTATCAGGTTAAGAAGCTTTTGGGCTGATATAATGGGGTTTTCTAGATACATGATCATGTCATCTGCCAGCAGGGATAGTTTGACTTCCTCTCTTCCTATTTGGATGCCCCTTTATTTCTTTCTCTTGCCTGATTGCACTGGCCAGAACTTCCAAAACTATGTTGAATAGGAGTGGTGAGAAAGGGCATCTTTGTCTTGTGCCAGTTTTCAAGGGGAATGCTTCCAGCTTTTTCCCATTCAGTATGATGTTGGCTGTGGATTCGTCATAAGTGGCTAATATTTTGAGGTATGTTCCTGCAATACCTAGTTTATTGAGAGTTTTTAACGTGAAGGGATGTTGAATTTTATTGAAAACCTTTTCGTCATCTATTAAGATAATCATGTGCTTTTTGTCTTTAATTTTGTTGTGATGAATAGCATTTATTGATTTGCATATGCGGAGTCAACCTTGCATCCCAGGGATGAAGCCTACTTGATCCTGGTGGATAAGCTTGTTGATGTGCTGCTGGATTTGATTTGCTAGTATTTTGTTGATGTTTATCAAGGTTATTGGCCTGAAGTTTCCTTTTTTGTTGTGTCTCTGCCAGGTTTTGGTATCAGGGTGATGCTGGCCTTATAGAATGAACTAGAGTTGAGTCCCTTCTTCTCAATTTTTTGGAATAATATCAGTAGGAATTGTACCAGTTCTTTGTGCATCTAGTAGAATTCAGCTGTGAATCCATCTGGTCCTGGGCTTTTTTCAATTGGTAAGCTATTTATTACTGCCTCAGTTTCAGAACTCGTTATTTGTCTGTTCAGGGATTCAATTTCTTCCTGGTTCAGTCTTGGGAGGGTGTAGGTGTCCAGGAATTTATCCATTTCTTCTAGATTTTCTAGTTTATGTGTATTGAGGTATTCATAATATTCTGTGATGACTTGTATTTCTATGGGGTCAAGTGGTAATACCCCTCTTGTCATTTCTGATTGTGTTTATTTGAATATTCTCTATTTTCTTCTTTTTAGTGTAGCTAGCAGCCTATATATTTTATCAATTTTTTAAAAAGCAGCTCCTAGATTTGTTGATCTTTTGAATGGTTTTTCATGTATCTTCTTCAGTTTAGCTCTGATTTTGACTATTTCTTGTCTTCTGCTAGCTTTGGGATTTGTTTGTTCTTGTTTTTCTAGTTCTTTTAGTTGTGATCTTTGGTTGTTAACTTGAGATCTTTCTAACTTTTGATGTGGGCATTTAGTCCTATAAATTTCCCTTTTACACTGCCTTAGCTGTGTTCTAGAGAGTCTGGTATGTTGTTTCTTTGTACTCTAAGTTTCAAAGCACTTCCCGATTTCTGCGTTAATTTCATTATTTATCCAAAAATCATTCAGGAGAAGGTTATTCAATTTATATGTAGTTGTAGGGTTTTGAGTTAATTTCTTAATCTTGATTTCTAATTTAATTGTTCTGTGGTTTGAGAGAATATTTGTTATGATTTCAGTTCTTTTGCTTTTACTGAGGATGTTTTACATCCAATTATGTGATCAATTTTATTTTATTTTATTTTATTTTTGAGATGGAGTTTCACTCTGTCGCCCAGGCTATAGTGCTGTGGCATGATCTTGGCTCGCTGCAACCTCTGCCTCCTGGGTTCAAGCGATTCTCCTGCCTCAGCCTCTCGAGCAGCTGGGATTACAGGGATGTGCCACCACACCTGGCTAATTTTTGTATTTTTAGTAGAGATAGGGTTTCCTCATGTTGGCCAGGCCAGTCTCAAACCCCTAACCTCAGGTCATCTGCCTGTCTCAGCCTCCCAAAGTGTTAGGATTACTGGCATGAGCCACCGCGCCTGGCCCATGTGATCAATTTTAGAGTATGTGCCAGATGGTGATGAGAACACTATTCTGTTGTTTTAGGGTGGAGAATTCTGTAAATATCTATCAGGTCCATTTGATCCAGTGCTGAGTTCAGGTCCTAAATATTTATTTGTTAATTATCTGTCTTGATAATCTGTCTAATATTGTCAGTGAGGTGTTAAAGTCTCCCACTATTATCGTGTGAGAGTCTAAGTCTCATTGAAGGTCTCTAAGAACTTGGTTTATGAATCTGAGTGCTCCTGTGTTGGGTACATTTGTATTTAGGATAGTTAACTTTTCTTGTTAAATTGAACCCTTTACCATTATGTAATACCCTTCTTTTTTTTTTTTTTTTAAATCTTTGTTGGTTTAAAGTCTGTTTTATCAGAAATTAGGAGTACAACCCCTGCTTTTTTCTGTTTTCCATTTGCTTGGTAAATTTTTCTCCATCCCTTTATTTTGATCCCATGTGTGTCATTGCATGAGATGGGTCTCTTGAAGACAGCATACCAATGGATCGTGGTTCTTTATCAAAATACTTGCCACTCTGTGTCTTTTAATTGGGTCATTTAGCCCATTTACATTTAAGACTAGTATTGATGTGTGTGGATTTGATTGTCATAATGATGCTAGCTGGTTATTTGGCAGACTTGTTTATGTAACTAACAGTTTTACAGTATTACTGGTCTGTGTACCTCATTGAGTTTTTGTAGTGGCTCGTAATTGTCTTTTCTTTCCATATTTAGTGCTTCCTTCAGGAGCTCTTGTAAGGCAGGTCTGGTGGTAACAAATTCCTACAGCATTTGCTGGTCTGAAAAAGGTTTTATTTCTCCTTCACTTATGAAGCTTAGTTTGGCCTGATATGAAATTTTGAGTTGGAATTTCTTTTCTTTAAGAATGTTAGCCAGGTGTGGTGGCTCACGCCTGTAATCCCAGCACTTTGGGAGACCGAGGCGAGCGGATCACCTGAGGTCAGGAGTTCAAGACCAGCCTGACCAATGTGGTGAAAGCCTGTCTCTATTTAAAAAAAAAATACAAAAATTAGCCGGGTGTGGTTGTGTGCACCTGTAGTCCCAGCTACTTGGGAGGCTGAGGCAGGAGAATTGCTCGAACCCAGGAGGCAGAGGTTGCAGTGAGCCGAGATTGCGCCATTGTACTCCAGCCTGGGTGACAGAGTGAGACTCCATCTCAAAAAAAAAAAAAAAAAAAGAATGTTAAATATTGGTCCCCAATATCTTCTGGCTTGTAGGGTTTCCACTGAGAGGTCTGCTGTTAGTCTGATGGGCTTTCCTTTGTAGGTGACCTGGCCTTTCTCTCTAGCTGCCTTTAACATTTCTTCTTTCATTTCAGTCTTGGAGAATCTGATGATTATGTGTCTTGTGGATGATCATCTCATGAGTATCTTACTGGGGTTCTCTACATTTCCTGAATTTGAATGTTGGCCCATCTAGCTAGGTTAGGAAAGTTCTCATGGATGACATCCTGAAATATGTTTTTCAAATTGGTGCCATTCTCCTCATCTCTTTCAGATATACCGGTCAGTCATAGATTTGGTCTTTTTATATAATGTCACACTTCTTGGAGCTTTTGTTCATTCCTTTTCATCCTTTTTTTCTCTATTCTTGTCAGCGTGTCTTATTTCAGAAAGCCAGTCTTCAAGCTCTGAGATTTGTTCTTCGCTTGGTCTCTTCTGCTATTAATACTTGTGATTCCATTATGAAATTCTTGTAGTGTGTTTTTCAGCTTTATCAGGTTGGTTATGTTCTTCTCTATACTGGCTATTTCATCTGTTTGCTCCTGCAGTGTTTTATCATGATTTTTAGCTTCCTTTCATTGGATTACAATGTATTGCTTTAGCTCAGTGAACTTCGTTCCTGTCCGTATCCTGAATTCTGCTTCTTTCATTTCAGCTGTCTCAGCCTCAGCCTGATTCTGAGGAGATTCTCAGCCTGATTCCTGTTGGAGAGGTGATGCGGTCACTTGGAGGAAAAGAGGGCACTCTGGCTTTTTAAGTTTTCAGCATACTTGTGCTGATTCTTTCTCATCTTTGTGAGCTTACCTAACTTCAGTCTTTGAGGCTGCTTACCTTTGGATGGGTTTGTTTTTTTGAACAACTCTGGCTACTTTTCCATAGGGCTGCTTGTGTATGCTGGGTGTCCACTCCAGTCACTAGTCACCTTGGATTTTTCAGTAGCTGGAGGTGTCACCAGTGAAGGCTACAAATCAGCAAAGGTAGTGGCCTGCCCCTCCTCCTGGGAGCTTCATTTTAGGGATGCCTCAAACCTCTGTCAGCCAAAGAACACCTGTGGGTGTGGCTGAAGACTCCAGTTGGGAGGCTCCACCTGGTGATGAGGAATGGGACTGGGAACCTGCTTAATAAAGCAGTCTGGCCACATTTTTATGGGACCACTGTGGTGTGCTGTTGTACCACTTCCACCTCTGGGTCGGCATGGGCTCTCCAAACCCCAGAGACTGAAACTGCTAAGTTGCCCAAACAGCAAAGATGATGGCCTGCACACCCTGTGGGAGTTCTATCCCAGGGACTTTGCAAATCTCTGTAGGCCAGAGAACACCTGCAGGGCTGGCTGGAGGTCCCAGTTGGGAGGTTCTTTCCAGTGAGGAGGGGCAATATTGGGGACTTACTTAAAGAAGCAGTGTGGCCACACTTTCCTAGAGCAGCTGTGTTGTGCTGGGTTACCACTTTCGTCCCAGTTGGCTTTGGCTCTCTGTGGGCCAGAGAATACCAGCAGGGATGGTTGGAGGTCCCAGTTGTGAGGTCCTGCTCTGTGATGAGGAATGGATTGGGAACCTGCTTAACCAGCAGTCTGACCACATTTTGGTAAAGAAGTCATGCTATGCTGGGGAATCCTCTCTGCCTCTGGTTGGTTTGTACTCTCCAAAGCCTGCAGAACAGCTGAGTCACCCAAACAGCAAAGATGGCAGCCTGTCCCTTCCCCTGGGAGTTCCATCCCAGGTAGGCTCAAAACTGCTACTGGTGGCTGGCTGGAATTCCAAGCCAGTGGGTCTTATCCTGTGAGGTGTTATGAAAGTGAGACCTGCAGACTGTCTCTACTTGGTCCTCTTGATTCAGCCTTTTTTCCTAAGGGTATGTACGGGGGTCTAACATCCTGCTTTGCTGGAGTTGCAGTTACTTTTGCTGGGAAGTTTGGAGTTCCTGGGTCTTTGCCTGTGCCGGAGCAGCTGCTCTGCCAAGACTCCCCATATCTGTATGTCAGACTGAAGGCTCTAGTGGAGTGGCTTCACAAGGGCGTCTCTTGACCCAAGGGTTGCAAAGATCCGTTGGAGAAGCGTGGTTTCCCAGGGTCACACGTTCACTCACTGCTTCCCTGGGCCAGAGAGGTTCACCTTGCTCTGTGTCGCTCCAAGGTGGGCTGTCATCCTGCCTCTCTTTTCTTTGTTCTCTGTGGGTCAAGTTGTTTCCTTGATTAGTCCCAATGCAAGTACATGGATGTTTCAGATGAAGGTGCTGTATTTACTCACCCCTTTTCCTGTTATTTTCAAGTGTAAGTTATATGTGGCTCACATTCATTTTGGTTTTTATGTGGGAAATATATACAAAGATATCTGTCAAATGATAGTAACTACATTTTGCTTCTCAATTCAGACTACATAGAAAATGGAAGACCTAAAGGAATATAATGTAATTATCATTATAGAAAAGGAAAAAAAAATCAACCAACAATATCTTTTGAGTTAAGTGATTTTTCTTATTGTTGTGCTTCCAAAAACAAGAGACAGGCTATCCATAAGAAAGAGACAGTTTATCAGTAGATCAGGTAGTTGAAAAGTAAAAAAATTTTATCTTTTAGTGGTAAGAAACTGATCTGATTTATTTTCTTCTCCAATGAGTTGACTCATTGGATGATTAAGTGAAGTATAGACATAGCAATATGTGCTTTAATTTTACAAAGTCATTTTACCATATCACAGAGAATTGGCCTCCATGTTAGGTAACAATATTTGTTCATAGTGTTGTTTATAGTTTCACTTACAGTTGATCATAGATTAAAAGCTGATATTTTTCAGTATTTCTATAGTACTGGCAATTTTATCAGTTGGCAATATTAAATTGTACTGACACAGTATTCCTAGATAGGACGTGTAAAGCTGGCTGGTGTAATGAAGAGAGGCGCTGACCTTGGAGTTAGAAGACTAGGTTTCTGCATCATAATCTGCCACTAAATAGCTTTGGGCATGTATCTCTTTGTCATGCTGTGACATATTGTCTGACTGTGACAACATCTGTGACTCTGGTTAGACCTTGACAACTGATCCAAGAAAATCTGACCAACATACCTGGTTACTAATGGAAAATATGCTTTTGCTAACAAGCAGAGATTTTGAGTACAATAATTTTGTCAGTTGTGCATTGCTTATGATGAATGCCATGAAGAATACATATTTTTTGGCTATCCCACATCATATATAACTGTCAATCATACCTGTTCAAATTCTGATTGTCCATTCTGTATAAGATCCTTGCAGATTAAAGGAAGCTTTCCAACTACTGGAAAGAGAGCTGTGGAGCTCATTTCTACCAATATATTACTATATTAACTGGAACATTGTGTTACTGTATTAAATTAGAACCATTCATAGCTGTCTATTTAGTGACAGAGTTCCTTCCTTTTTTTTTCTTTTTTTTTTTTTAAGAATTAGTGAAGTAATGATTTGTTTCTCTTGCTAGATTGTAAGCTCCATGATGGCAAAGACTATGTCTGCCTTGCTTCCATTTGTAACTAAAATCTAGCAGAATGCCTAGGCTAACAAAAAATTTTTGGTTAAGTGAAAAAAGATAATAAATTAATTCCCTCATCTGTTAATCTATTGGCATGTCACAGAATTATCATCTGGTACCAGTGAAAGAATTACTTAAAGTTTGTATGACAACTGTTATTTCGATTTATACAGATGATTCAGGATTGAGTAAAGGTTGAATTAAGACATTTGGTCAGGTGTAATGCTCAATAAATTGAGCATTCGCTGAGATTAGTAAATGCTGTTATTTCAGTGGATTGCAATTATTTAAAGTCTGGTGTATGTAATCTTTATTGTAGTCCACTTTAATCAGGCATACCAGTGATCTGTAATAGAATCATGCCACAAAGAGATTTATTTTTACACTCAGAAAAATTCTCATATGTTTGGTTGTTTGCTTCTAGACAGTTTGTGGATTAGGCCAGGTGCAGTGCCTCACACCTGTAATCCCAACACTTTGGGAGAGTGAGGTGGGAGAGTCGCTTGAACCCAGGAGTTTGAGACTTGCCTGGGCAACATAGTAAGAACTCGTCTCCATTAAAAAAACAAAAACAAAAACAACCTTTTTAAACCTTTTTTTAAATGTAAAAAAAAGCAATCAAATCAATTTCTAGGTCAATTTTAACAGATTTGTTTAAAAAACAACAAAACACACCCAAGTAGAAAGTTTTTCCCTTCTTCTAAAAGATGATTATCTTTTTTTTTTCTTTTTTTTTTTTTTGAGATGGAGTTTTGCTCTTGTTGCCCAGGCTGGAGTGCAATGGTGCGATCTTGGCTCACCGTAACCTCCGCCTCCTGGATTCAAGTGATTCTGCTGCCTCAGCCTCCCCATTAGCTGGGACAGGTGTGTGCTACCATGTCTGGCTAATTTTGAATTTTTATGGGTTTTCACCATGTTAGGCTGGTCTCAAACTTCCGACCTCAAGTGATCCATCCACCTCGGTTTCCCAAATTGCTGGGATTACAGGCATGAGCCACCACGCCCGGCCAAAAGATGATTATCTTTAATACCAGGAAATTTTAGAAATACAGTGAAACACAGATCTTTTAAATAAATATTTCCCCATTTGAATTGTTCCCTAGAGTTTACACAGTTGTACCTTATTACCAGTTTAAATGGATATCTCAGTTAATAATTTTCAATAGTGAAACTATCAAATATCAGAGATTTACTTCCTTTTAGTTACTATGAAAAGCACATTTACTTTGGAGAGCAACTGTAATACACCTAAAATTAGAGCAACCAAAGGCATGTATGGAGCATTTTTTAATTTAAAAAATTGCATTTTGTTTCTCATACCTTATTTAAAACATTAAGAAGTAAATGTCTTTAGTTTTTGAGTACATTTTTATATGAATAGGAAACATGCTGTTTTCATAATCCAGTCTTTTGATGTGTGTGAAATGAATTTGTGTGGAGCGTTATGTGAATTTTTATGAACTTATCTTTTATTGTTGATCTAGAAATGCTTGTGATAACCTAGAATTCCAGACCTCGGTTTCTTATGTGGATAACAATGATTGGAGATTTTGGATAGGGAGCTAACTTTGCTGTGGAATTGAGATACTAATTATTTGTGTAGGATTGATAAATTTAGGATCAAAAGTAGAGGTATGACACATTTCAAAACTGCCTTAGAGCAGGGGGGTGTTCAATCTTTTGGCTTCCCTGGGCCACACTGAAAGAAGAATTGTCTTGGACCACATATAAAATACACGAACGCTAATGATAGCTGATGAACTAAAAAAAAAAAAAAAAATTTCATAATGTTTTAAGAAAGTTTACGAATTTGTATAGGGCCCCATTCAAAGCCATCTTGGGTGGCATGTGGCCTGTGAGCTGCTGGTTGGACAAGATTGCCTTATAGCATCATAACAACAGAGGTGTGCAAAGATACAAAATACCATCCGGTAAATTCTTTTCCCAATATTATTTCAGAAATCATCTTTTTGTTATATCTCAATCTACAGTACTTGCTACACTCCTACAAGGTACCTAGTAAGCCACACTAAAATTACTTATTTCGTAAGTGAATTCACTCTCCTGGTATCAACAGTAAATGACTTTTCCTATGTTAAAGTTTATTTCAAATCAGGGATAGGTTGATATCGTCACCATACTCATTCAGCTATGAGTATTTTGAAGGCCTGTGAAAGTATTATATGTATAAAATCTTGATTGTTATTGAGATTTATAGATTTTGTTTTTGATAGCCTAATGGCAACTTAGAATGTAAGTTATTAAGTGATTATAGCCTAAAAATAGCATTCATTAACTTTTAGCCTAAGTAACATTTGAGTTTTGAATGTACATATATATATATGCACACATATAAATCAAGTTGAATGTTATAATACAAGTATGGTTAAAATCATTACTGGAACCTGTCCTTCAATTAGGTTTTCAAAATCTGAAAATATTGGCAATCTTTTTATATATGTAATGTTTCCATTGGATAATTACCTTTAGGTTTTTATTATATTTTACACATCTTTCTTGAACTGAACTTTGTTGTATCACATGTAGGATTTGACCATTTCTTATCATATAAGAGGAATATGTTTTTAAAATATAGTCAAAAATTTTCTAAATTTTAATTTCAGGAAGTTTTTTCTGAGAAAGAAAAATTTTAATCCTTATTTCCAGAATCATGTAAGATAACCACTGTTTGGAAGAAAAATGTTTTGATAATTAAGGATTAGAATAAAATCTGAATGTTTAAAATTCCAATAGATGGGTTTCTTTGTACTTTAACAAATTAAAAACAAATTTTAATTTAAAATATTTTAGAAATTTTACTTAATACATTTATTTAATGAAGGCTGCTTTTAAGAACTTTAAATCCTCACGTAAACACCACCACCTGCAAAGTATTAATATCAACTTTTTCAACAAAATGCCTGCTATGTATAAGCTACTGAAAGAAGACAAAAATTAATAAAATGTGTCCCTCCTCTTAGATATCTATAATCTAGGAAAATGAACACATTCTTTTCAGACACTAAACTCCATAAGAACAGGTATCAGATCTATCTTATTTACCACCACATCCTGAGAATGGAGCACAGTGCCTGACACATAATAGATGCTCATAATAGATGCTCAGGGTTTATAGTCAGTGAATAAGTAAAGAAATGAGTGAGCAAATATCTCTTAAAAAGAACAGACTTTTAAAGTTAACAAGCAGTGATGTGTTATTCAGTAGCAAATAAGATTGTTTCCTAATGTCATAATTCAATTTTCCCTGCTTCCTACTATGACTAGATGTTGGTTGGTGATAGTTTATATGATTCAGTTATTTGGTTGGTTGATTTAAAACAGTGAAATATCCTACAAACCTGCAGTTTGTCCTGCTATCCTCTAGATGGAGAGCCTTTATAATTTTGGTCAAAATGTGTGTGTGTATATATAGGCCCCTTACCATTATTATATGTGATTTTTAGAATTGTCATCCATGTTTTTTTTTTCCATGCCGAGTCCTGTTTTACTTTGGATACATTTCAGAAATAAAGTCACTTTTTTGTTAGAAGTCAGTGGAGTTAGAAAGTCAAATGGAGTACATGTTATTTAGTCAATTCCTTATTTTTGGAATTTTAAAAAGCACGGAAATAAATAATATGAAGAGTAGAGAAAGTTTCCATGAATTCTGGGAGGAAGAAAAATCATTTGTGAATAACAGCATTCAGTTCACTTATAGCTTCATGATTTTTTTTTTGAAATAGTTGTTCTTCCTAAGTTTCTTCATTGATTCCATTGCCCTGCTGTGTATAATTTGACATTTGTTTGGATGTGTAGGGTAGCCTGTGTAGTCAGAATTTTCAGACCTAATAATGGACATTGTATGAACTCTCTGAGGATTCTTTTGGACATTAGTTCTTACCTTGACAGTCAGATAAAATTAAGGACTTGGGGAGTAGATATCTGATGAACCAGAATAATGTCTTTTAAAAAAACTTTATATAAAGAAGCAGTAGCAATCTCCTTATGGGTACACCTTTATATATTTTAATAGTAATATGGACAAGTTAGGCCCTCCACTTCGAACGGGAAGACTTGTGCAAAGGTTGTATGACAGTGATACAAAATCAGACAGTGCCATCAAAAGACATGAGTTATTACCTATTTACAAGTAAGTATTTGTAACTCAGTTTGGTTAATATTTTTCAGATATTTCCTTAAAAGCTTTATATAATGGAATAACATAACTTTTACTGTCCTATACTTAAAAAAATCTGTTGAATAATTTCTAAGCCAAAATGTGTCAAATAATCTAGGATTTAAAACATTTTGATTTTTAGTAAGCATTTCTGTTGTACTAAATAAAACTTTTTAGGTTATACATTTTATTCCATTAAATATTAATTTTTTGAGGTTTCAAATTGCAGTCACATTTAATAATTATTTTTATGAAGTTTTTTTTAGTAGTAATTAGGGTTTTTTGTAATAGTAGTTTTAAAAAGCAGAGTTTGAGAAAAATAATGTCTTGTACAGTATATAATATTGTTAGATTATCTCTTAGATAAGCCGATGGTGAACTATTATAAAAAGCCCAGAAAAAGAAAAGATTTTAGGAAACTTTCAATCCAAGGGTCCTTAGTCTTTTTGTTAGATGGTTGTAAATTCTGCCTACAACCGGGAAAAAGTATGACACTGCCAAAGAGTCAAGCTCGAGGAAGAGTATGACACAGCCAGTTCTGACCTGGCTGGCTGAAAAGAGTGTGTGGCAATGGCAGTTACTTTGAAACTCTACAGCATGAGTCTTCAAGGTTTACTAATTTGGGTCTCAATTCTAGCCCACATTTTAAATATGAAATTAGGGCCTAAAAATTAATATACCTATTAATGGTGGAAAATATTAAGCAGAGTAACTTAGTTAACTTTTAAACCAACACCTACTACAACAGTCTGCTCAGTATGTATGTATGAAAAGTAATAATAAATTTAACTAGATAAACAAAGGTAGGAGAAGTCTTTAAGATACTAGCAGCAGCCATTTGCTATTTTTAAGTAGTGATAAATCCTAGCAGGAAGAGTTTGTGCTGTGAGCCGTTTTTCATTTTGCTGATTCTACTGTCAGAACTCTCTGATGCAGATCTCACAGTAACAGTGACTAGCAGTAAGATGGATTAAGTACAATTCCAAAATTAAACCTTCTTTAATTATTCATATGAGCTGTTAACAGGTAGATTCTAGATACAGAGTAAGAGTAATGCTTTGCAGATTCTGAACAGAAAGAAAAATTTGTGGACTGTGTAAGACTGGGGCAAGATGTTTTAAGTGATCAAGGCCATTCTAGATGTTACTAAAAATAAATGACAGGTATTTAATATTGGTAGCTATTAATGATGATAATCTCTTATATTTTCCTCTAAATATAAACATTTTGAACAACCTCAAGTTACCGATATGGTGACATTATGTGTATATATTCATGGGTGTGTTTGTATTGTTTGTATATCTCATGCACTTAAGACGATTCTATAGCCAAAAAAAAAAAAAGTGTTCTTCCTATTTAAAGTCCATTCTTTGACAATGATTTCCTAAAGATTGAATTTCTAGAAAAAGACTCTAGTAGTTCTACAACATCCCCAAAGAGGCTATACACAAGAGTAGAGTAAACCTCATGAATGGACTTGGAGTGAGCATTTGAAGAGGTGCAGGGCATTCCATTCATGCACCAAAGTGATTCTTTGCTTGTTGAAGTTTAGAAGTAATTTAAAGAAGTAACTATGCAAAGCAACCACTTTGAATGACAGCATTGTGTATTGAATATGAGTTCTGTAATACAGCCCACTTAAGTTCAAGTACTACTCTGGCCACGTAGTAGCCTCACAATTTATATAATCTCTTTGAACATGCTTCCACTTTAAAATGGGAATAATATCTTCTGAGATTTGGGGGACATTAAATAAGGCATGTGTAGTATCTGGCTTCATAATTGTCATGTAGTGGCTGTTTGAAAAATAGTGGATGTTGTTATTACCTGCATGTACTTTGGAAGCAGCTATTTACAATTTTAGGGTACTCTCTCCTACTTTGCCATATAAGTAGAGTAAGAAAAATTTCAACTAAAGTTTAAGAACCTCTAATCTGGAGGTATTTTTTAAAGTATTCTGCTGTTCATATAACACTGTTCACCTGTGAAATTTAAAGATTTGATTAAAGCTCTATAGAGAGGGAGGGAACTATGCTTCAATGAACATCTAAATCCTAGCTTTGGAACACACTAGCAGGGTCACCTTGGGTAAGTTACTTAGGGGCTCTTTACCTCATTTGTCTTATCTGTAAATGGAGTTATGAACGCTACCTATTTCATAGGATTATTAGGATAAATAAATTTCTATGGGCAAAATAATTAGAATTGTACTTGACATGGAGTAAGCACTATTATATAAATGTTAACTTATAGTGGCAACAACAGTAGTAATAGTATTAGCATCAGCTATCTAAATGTTTATATGAATTGTACTTTTTTTCTCATAACCTTTCTATAAGTGATCATTTTATAAATGATGAGACTCAGACTTGCTGTCACAAAGCTGTCAGTAGCATTAGCATTTGAATCTAAATTCATTTGAATTCCCAAGCCTCTGCTTTTAGTGTTATATCATCATCATTTAGTTTTCTAACCCTTCTTTGATTCTTAAAGTTTCAAAATGGAGACTCATGGATGATCCAACCAGAAGTCCCTCTGATTTCGGATAGCCCAGGCTGTGCAGTTGGTAAAATTAAATCTTTAAAGGGAATATTATATTAACTCATTTATTTTAGTTGCTGCTTTTTAGAACTTTCATAAGTTGAATATTATTCTTTAATGTGACTAGCAAAAAAATTCTTTTTTTAACTACATCGTATATGCCTAGAATAATGAAACTTGTTTGTTTATTTAACCATTATCCGTAAGCATTTATCAGAATATATGTTTTGAGGGAAATATAAATTTAAACTGTTTTTAAAAATGTATCTTTCAGAATGATTACCTTATAAATTTCATGTAAAGCATATATACATATTTTAGTTGATTTTATTTACTATCAGAATAGTATTAGTAAATGCAAAATTATTTGGTTTATCTTTAATATTAACTACTATTTGCTTTCAGATTTAAAATAATTATTGGGACTTTAATCTTTTGAACTTCTCTGAAGCTTCTAAGTATTCTTTCTAGTCATGTGAATAGGTAATTTGAGAAATACATGCTCACTGTTCAATACTTTTCCATTATTTTTCCTCTTTTTTATAGAGCTAATGTCAAACCCCGAAATTCCACACCACCTAGTTTGGCAAGAAATCCTGCCCCAGGTGTGCTTACAAACAAAAGAAAAACATATACTGAGAGCTACATAGCCAGGTATGTTTAGCTCTGCTCTCCCAATAACTAAAATAAAATTGAGTATATGATAGTTTTCCAAGGACCATACACAAAAGTAAGTAACAAGCTATTTATAGAAAACCTGATTTTTTTCTTTTAATCTGGCTTTTAAGTTGTACACCTCTAATGGATTTGGGCAAAGTAAACTGAAAACCTTCTGTAAAGGATTAACCCTTCTACATGCCACTAAGAACGTATGTGATTTATGGGAGGAGGTCAAAATATCCACATTAATAAGAGTTTGGAAGAAGTTGTTCCAAACTTCATGGATGACTTTGAGGGACTTAAGACTTCAGTGGAGGAGGTAACTGCAGATGTACTAGCAAAATAGCAAAAGAACTAGAATCAGAAGGGAAGCCTGCAGATGTC
The DNA here is from genome assembly GCF_000001405.40 of Homo sapiens. NCBI lineage: Eukaryota > Metazoa > Chordata > Mammalia > Primates > Hominidae > Homo > Homo sapiens. Next base: position 78,715,719 of record NC_000008.11, read on the forward strand.
ATTGAACTGCTGCAGTCTCACGATAAAACTGGAATGGATGAGGAGTTGTGGTGGCTCACGCCTGTAATCCCAGCACTTTGAGAGGCTGAGGCAGGTGGATCACCTGAGGTCAGGAGTTTGAGACTAGCCTGGCCAACATGGTGAAACCCTGTCTCTACTAAAAGTAGAAAAATTAGCCGGTTGTGGTGTTGCACACCTGTAATCCCAGCTACTCAGGAGGCCGAGGCAGGAGAATTGCTTGAACCTGGGAGGCAGAGGTTGGAGTGAGCTGAGATGGGGCCACTGCACTCCAGCCTCAGTGACAGAGCGAGACTCCATCTCAAAAAAAAAAAAAAAAGGCTGTTATAGTGTATAGTTCATCTAGCATCTATTTTACCTTTATTACTGTTTTTTTTTGTTTTTGTTTTTTTGGTTTGTTTTTTAAGACGGAGTCTCGCTCTGTCGCTCAGGCTGGAGTGCAGTGGCGCAATCTCGGCTCACTGCAAGCTGTGCCTCCCAGGTTCACGCCATTCTCCTGCCTCAGCCTCCCGAGTAGCTGGGACTACAGGCGCCCGCCACCACGCCTGGCTAATTTTTTTGTATTTTTATTAGAGACGGGGTTTCACCATGTTAGCCACGATGGTCTTGATCTCCTGACCTCATGATCCACCCACCTTGGCCTCCCAAAGTGCTGGGATTACAGGTGTGAGCCACCGCACCCGGCCTAGTATGTTTTGTTAATAGATAATAGAGACCTCCCTGTGAGTGCATGCATAAGAGTTTGTTATTTATTGCATCACAATAATTTAATATCATTAAATAATAAAACTAAAATAAATACTAGAAGCATCACCTCACAATCCTTGTGACCAAGGAGAGAGACTTGAAACCTAAGGATCTCTATCTTTCCTCATGGTTGGGTTCTCTTTAGAGATGGGTTTGCAGAAAGGACATCATAAATGTTCATTCTGCTCCCAGTGTAGTAAATTCCTAGCACAAAGAACAGATGGAAAGCGATGTGGTTTGGATTTGTGTCCTGCCCAAATCTCATGTCAAATTGTAACCCTCAACGTTAGAGGAGGGGCCTGGTGATAGGCGATTGGATCATGGGGGTGGACTTCCCCATTGCTGTTCTTGTGATAGTGAGTTCTCAATGTATCTGATTGTTTAAAACTGTATAGTACCTGCCCCTTCTCTTTTTTCCTCCTGCTCCCACCATGTAAGACATGCTTGCTTCCCCTTTGCCTTCTGCTATGAATAAGTTTCCTGAGGCCTCCCCAACCAAGCTTTCTGTACAGCCTGCAGAACTGTGAGTCAGTTAAACCTCTTTTCTTTATAAATTACCCAGTCTCAGGTAGTTCTTTATAGCAATGTGAGAACAGACTAACACAGAAAGCATGGCTGCATTTGGTCATGGTAAATTCTCGTAACACAGATAAATATAATGTTAAAAAAAAATGTTAGAATTTTAGTATTTACTAACAAGGATTTTTTAAAATTTGAACTAGAGGAATATTAAAAACGAGATTAAGCAGGCTAATTGTTATATTTATGTCCTGTTTCTCCAGGGTTATGGGTTGAAAACTACTGATACAAACTTTATCTTTTCATTGTTTCTTTACTTTTTTAGGCCAGATGGGGACTGTGCATCTTCCCTTAATGGTGGAAATATTAAAGGCATTGAAGGACATTCACCTGGAAACTTACCAAAATTCTGCCATGAGTGTGGGACTAAATACCCTGTAGAATGGGCCAAATTTTGCTGTGAATGTGGCATTCGAAGAATGATTCTATGAATAGAATCTCAAAAAAAAAAAAAAGCCAAGTTCAGAGTTTATGATTATTGCTGCTTGGACAGCTAGAGCACATCCTCTAGTTAGTTTGTGCTAAAAATACTCGAAATACCATTTCCAGTTAATTTTGAAGTGTAATCTTTTGGCTATATAATGTGTGTATGTTTATATGTGTACATATACTGTATATAATAAATATCTGATACCCCAGACTGTGTCATTCAAGGAAATATTCACTTATCTGTCAGAAAATAATTTCAAATGGAACAATTAATTTAGGTGTTACTTTTCTGTTGTTGTTAAAGCACGTTAAGTACATTTCCACAAACTCTCATACTCTAGTGCTTAGCCCTTCAAGCTTTAGGATAAGTATAACTTTGAGCAAAAAATTTGGATAAACATTTGTATTATTGGTGCCTATCTTCAGATAGTATCATAGTAGGATAGATGCTGGGAATTTTGTAATTAAAGAGAACAGTTTTAGTTACCATTAGGTATGTTAAGGTCACTCCTGTAGAGCATGTCAACAAATTATTTCATAAATCCGAAAAACTAAGAGAAAAAAAAACCCCTCTATTAGTTACGTAATTTAAACATCTTACTTGTTTTGTAAAAGTGTAATTATGCAATTTCCTTTTCAAATACACAAGACTAAAAATACAAATCTATCTTGTTCTATTTATAACTGATTTTTTTTAGTTCTGTATGTATTCGTTGAACATATTTTTTTACTTCCAATTGTTTTTCCAGATTTCACTTTTCCTCTTTTTCCATAACCCGTGAAGATAGTTTTAATTTGCTAGTTCATTTTTTGCTGTATTTGAAAATGTAATTATTTAATATAGAAGGCACAGAATTCCCTGCAAAATCTTACATGTTTAAAAACATATAATTTTTTGTATCTGAATTTAGAATAAATCATTTTAATGCATCTTAAATCACGTCACCTAATCATAATAGTTGTGGTAACTAATCATTAGTGCAGAGCATGCAGATAAAAAATATTTGAATTTTTTTTTCTTGGAAGTACATGTAGTTATGAGTAGGTTAAGAGAATATCTAATTTTCCTACTCTTTTTTTCATCTTTAGCATTTAATGTTGAAACACCATTCACGTCACATTAAGGACCCACTGAAAATGTATTGTTTTAATGCATAATTGACTTACCTAATTAAACATACACACAAATTTAATTATTTTTTTCTCTTTAACCTGATCACGACACAGCTCTTAATCATTGTCACTTTCAGTATATCATAGTAGTTAGTAGTAGATTGCCTTGATGGCAGTAATTCTGTAGTAATTTCTATTCAATCAAACCTAAGAGAGCTTTGATCTTACTGTAAAGGTACAAACAAATCTCTTATATAATTCCTAGCTTTTTTTTTTGTTTATGATTCTGATCAACTATAAGACACAATGTAAAGAATTGTGGCTTATAATTTATCTGAAATTTATTAGCTTAGTTTAGTTTGGGCAGGAGTTACAAACTTAATAGGAATTGTCATTTTACTTACAGTTTATTTCCTGATTAGTTGTTAATTTTTTTCCCCTCAGTTATCTTTATTCAGTCTTATTGGTCAAAACAAAGAAACAAATAGTCCATCAACTAAAATAAGCTGTAATGAATTTAGAAGATGAATGCATATATTAGATTTCCATTTAAATCACTTCTGTTATAAATCATATAAAGAACTTTAAACTTGTTTTATCTAATACTGAGCACTGTTTTTTTGTCAAGTATTTTTTTAAGACCACATAATTCTTTTTGTCTGCTCAAGGAAAGGATAGATAAATAATTGGCACACATTTGTTTCTCACTGAATTTTACAGTAGTAAATTAATGTTATAATGTACCACATGGAGATGAGTTGGTAAGAAATCATCTAGTTCCAGAGCCCAGAGATTATAAACAGTAGGTGAAATAGATTTATGACTTACGAAATATGTTGTGACAATATATTTAAATGCATTTTTATATTACTTGCATATTCTCACATTGATTTGTGCAATAGTTCAGTTTTAAAAAAAATCTTCCTATGCATCATGTATTTTATTTTTATTTATTTTCACAAGTATTTGACAGTATGGTAGAATAAAAGATGATTGTAAGATTAAAAATGTAAAAATTGCTTATGTATTATTCTGAATTGTGTTAGGTTGAAAAAGATGATTGTGGTGACTATTATTTCTTGTCCACTATTTGTTTTTTGTTTTTTCACCAATAATGTCTTCATATTTGAACCTATTCAATAAAGACATGAAGCATAAAAATGCTAGTTCGTATTCACTGATGTCTTTTAGCCATACATAGAAAGATAGGAACCTAATGAAATATAAATAAAATATTTGAAGTCAAAAATAACAGATTTTTACAAATAAAAAGTAGCTTTTCATTGGCTGTATTCTTATGCCATCAGCTTTTTAAAATGTATTACCATTTTATTGAAGTGTTTTCTGACATCAAAGTATTAGAAATGTTTTTGTTACAAGTTTTTTAAGGCATTATCTTCATAGACTATTTAGCAGTCACAAACATTTGTGATGTCAAGGTTAATAGGAAACATGGACGTTTCTAGTTAAGAGCTATACAGTTTAATGGCAAAGTTATTTGTGATGAATAATATTTTAGACCACATTTAAAATTAAAAAGGAATTTAGTGAAATTTCAGATTAGACATGTTTGATTTTTTTCCTTAGGTTAGAGGTGAACATTTAACCATGAGTAGAAGCTCTGGAGATGAAAAAATATTAGAAAACACAGATAACAAAGAATCATCAGAACACTTGGGTATTTATTTTCATTGAATGTGTATGTATTTTACATGGTAAGTATTTTTTAGTATTGAGGTACGTTGATTTTTTTCAAATGACTATATTATTAAATAGAGCTGTGGAGAAATTAAAGCCACAATTTTTATTTTCATTTAGAAAAATTTCAGTTAAATGTTACTCAATGCTCCTCATTTTAAACACAGTTTTGCTTAGCTCATATGTGAATTGCTTTTTAGCCACTAGAGGGTGCATTTGGATAATTATTTCATAATATTACGGCCTATTCTTTTTAAGGGCCTCTCAGCAATATACATATGATTTTTTGACAACACGAAACTACAGAGATTTATAAGGGTAGTTTTCTTTGTTTTGTTGTGATTTTAATAATGTGTTTATATTTTAGAAATTTTGCCCAGCTCAACTGGGGCACCAGGATTGCAGTAATTGATAGAGATATTTAATAATTACACTTCATGATATTTTGTTAGCAAAATTATGCATCTCAAGCATATCACTTATGGACAATACATGGATTAGTAAATACTCCTTGAAATATTACTTTAATATTTCATCTTAGTTCTACCACAGTTTAGTAGGTTATAGTTTCATTTAAGATAAGGATCTTTTTTTCCCCAATCGTCTATTCTAATTTAACATTATCTAACACAAAAGAGTGTCATCTATTTAAATAGGAGCTAATAAGTGGTTAGATCAACTACTGTAAGGTGCACAAAGCTAAAGCTTTGTACTTACCATTGAAAAACGCTTTATGTGCTCTTTCTGGATATGCAATGATGGGGATCGAGATAATAAGATGTAATTAAGTGTCTGCCCTCAAGTTGATACAATTTATTTGGAGAAACTGATACCTAAACAGACAATTACAACATGGGACAAAAATAAGTGATTTATTTTAATGGAACTTTTGTTTATCATGAAGATACCAAAAAGTGCGGCAGAAATATTAAAGAGGGAGCTTCTTATAACCATAAATTATACAGCTCAGCATTTCCCATTTTTTCTTTTCTTCCTTGTGCCAATGCTTGGGAGGAAACCAGAGTATGAACAAGAACTGTTTTACCTTCTAGTGGAGAAAGGACAATTTGCAGTGGAAAGAATGTGTGTGTCGTCCGTTTGATCTGTAAAATGTGAACTGCTTCTGTAGTCCTGAGGACTGAGGAAAAGAGATGTTGAGTAAAAGTTACTGATAATTCCAGCTATTCAATCTTATCTCACTTTTTCCTCTCTTTTATCTCTGCCCAAATACCTCTACTTATGCACCTACTTTGAATTTGCAACAGTGAGGCTGGGGATAGGAGACGGCCAGTAGTGCTGAGTAGTGTCAAGTACAGTTAACAGTGAAATGCGGATTTTCACTCATCAAATCAGCAATCTTAAATTATAAAACTTAAAACCTGTCATGGGGCGTTAAGATGAATGCCCTTATGTACTGATGGTGGAAATATAAATAGATCATACTTTTTGAAAAGGTCGATTAAATTTACGTTAAAAGCCTTTACAACATTTGTGCTTCATAACTTAGTAATTTTATTTCTAAGACACACTTAGGGAAATAATCTGAAGTATAGGAAAATATTTATGCAAAACATGATTAATAGTACTATATAGTGATAAAATTGAAGAAATTGGCCATTAAATCAATTTTAAATAATTTTAATGGAATCACAAGGTTGTTTTATTGCTAAGATAAAAATTTTCAAATAACGTTTGTATATAAAATATTCCAATTACATAAAAAAGTGCAAAGACAAAAGGCTAGAAATATATTTCTCAATATTATGCTTATTTCTACCAAAGGATATTTGGTAAGTTATCTTTTATATTTTGTATATTGTCAATTTTTAAAATAAATGCACATTACCATTATAATTTTTAAAAAGCAAATAGGTTTCTGTTTTTCAGAGTTACTCATGTTCATCTGCAATATTTAATCTGAAACTGCCGCCTTTTACGTTGTTTTCTAATGTCCACAAATGTCCTGTGATCTACTTAAGCTAGTTTATTTTTATAAAAGCTGTATTGCTGAAAGTGGCCTGTCAACTAGAGGTATAATTTTAACGAAATTATTTTTCCTAAATTTCATTCAAGAGGACATTCTATTTTTTAATTTTAAAATTTTTATTTTTTGCTTTCAATAAGAATTTATTTTGCACATTTTAAAAATCGCAATTTTCAGGATGTGTAAGAAAACTATTTTTCTTATACTGAAATAAGCATGTCTTTGGTATAGAAACCACACCCTATGTGTGATCTTTAACTAAGAAAACTAATCAAGAACTATGATCTAATATGATAAACAAAACTCTTCTTTGCCCATCCATCTGTCCCCTTTCATAGCCCCATTGTGGGGCTTTAGAATATAGTTATGTACATATCTCCATATCTACAAAGAGTTAAGATGCCATATCAAAGATGTTCAGAAGTTATATATGGTAGAGAATTAATTGGCTTATCCTTGACACATAATACAAAACACCAAAAGTAATATATATACAGGACAAGCAAAATAGAACATTGTCACTAAGGTCAAATAATAGAAAAACAATCACATCATTTAAGTTTGATGCATTGGAAACAAAGTAACTTCTTTATTATGTAAACAACTTGCAAAGCTCAAAAGGTAACAGCACAGAGCCATAAATTTGATAAGGCACTTTAAAGATAGCAATCAAACATATAAAAATGTCAACCACAAAAAAACTGTAAAAATAATAACCATAAAAAATAGGGGGGAATACATGCATTCTTTCTAGATAGTCTTTCATTTTCCAAAGGAAAGCCTTCTATAAAAATATAGAAGTACAAATATATATATATATATATATATTTAGAAGCCATCATCAAAGTTCAAATCTCTGTAAAGAGAATGTTTTTCCTCAAGTTAGTAAAGTTTGGATTCATACATTTTCTAGAGAAGCAATTACAATCTTCATGCTATATATAGGAAGAAAAATAGCTTTTAATTATGTTTGTCGACTCTTTTATTCAATAAACATTTAGTGACTATTGTGTGACACTGTTTTAGGTGCTAGGGATATAGAAATAAATCAGAAACAATCATTAGCCCTAGAGAACTAAACCTAATGGAACTGGATCTATCACTGGCAACCTTAAAATTACCTCCGTTTGTACTTAAGCTGAAGCTCAACTTCAAACTCTGACATGCTTGGCATCTTGTTGAAAATAAATAACGATCTACCTAGTTTGCCACTGGTAGCACTTTGGCACTATTAATATTAACTATATACTGATGAAATTAACTTTCATAAAGGATTATACAAAAGTTTAGAGGGCAGAAAATATTAATGGATAAACAAGTACTGGTCAGCAACAAAAATAGCGTCAGCCTTCTGCTTTCACAAAGGCCAAGAAAACCAAGAAAAATTTCATTCTGAGTATATACAGAACTGCTGGGAAGAGATCATTCTATACATGTAGTACATATGCAAATATCATATATGAGGAAGTATGAGTTATTACACAATCATTAATAACTAAGCATGCCAAATCAGTCATCAGGTTTCAAAGAATCATAGCCTTGTTTCAAGAGGTCCTGCCAGGTTTTAAGGAAACATGCATTTTCTGTACATTGGAAGACAAGCTATTCCACTTGAGCTGGTACTGCAGATGTGACCTCAAGAAATTTGGTTAATGAAAATGCTGCATCTCTGATCTGCATCTCCACTTTCTCCAGCAGGTCTACCATTTGGCCCTTGTTCCTGCTCAGAACTGGCCAGCCCAAACTCACTGGTTGCGTGGGAAAGATGCTAAAAGGTGTTTGAAGATGAGGAAGAAAAGGGAAGTTCTGGGAGCTGGTGAAGAAACCCACAACTCCTCAAGGTCAGCCATGGGGAAGAGCTAGGAGCTCAGAATCCAACCAGCAAGAGGACATTTTAAAACAGGTTCTTTTTTCTTTCTCTTTTTATCACCTATGATTTTAAGAGTCCAGGTAATACAAGCAAAGGTTTACTCCATAGAGCATAGAATAAAAACAGTTAATCTAAATATTTAAGAGGTATGTTGCCATGCTATTGTTGGGCTTGGGTGAATATATATTTACATTTCTGTATATCTACATATGTATGAAATATTTAGATCTGTTTTCATATATTTGCCTATTTAAAGCTTAATTTTTTAAAAAAGTTTTATTTTTCTCCTAATTATTGTTAAGGGGAACATTTTAAGAACTAGAAAGTTTTAAAAATATATATTTTTACTTATCTTCTCAAACTTATATTTCTTATAGGGAAAACTCATAAACTCTTCAAGAAACATCAGGAACTTAAAATTTTATTTTAAACATTAATTCCTTAACTGTGATTCATTTTGGAAACATGCTATTCAATTAACTATTAATTTGAAAATTCAAAAATAGGTTTTTCCATATGTCTTACTATCAATGAAATCAAAACGCCATTTGAATAAGCAACTTGTATGCTAGAGTAGCTTTATACCCTCTCTGAGGCAGTCTATTCTCATGCCGTTCCCTTTTAGTAAACACTGTCATGTTTCTCCCTCTTATATCAGTAGAAAGATTTTTTCTCACTGATGTCATTACCCGAAAGCTATTTTCAAGGAGGAAGAGGTCTTATCGTTTATTGGCTCAGATACCATATTTTAAGTAGAAAACATTGGACAATATAAAACACTGCCCAACTCCTGTCTTCTAGTGAAAAATTATTTTGATTTGTGATGTATTTCAAATCTAAATTTTGTTATTATCTGTAATGGGCATTTGTCATCATTGTGGCTAGCACCTTTTGAAAATCATATGTTTGGCAAATTTTCCATGGTGAAACTCTCACTGCATCAAAATTGTAGCTAGAATTTATAGTTTTCTATACTTTCTTACAGCGAGGGAGTATTCATGTGACTTGGGAACTACTGAACAGACTTGGATTCTGAAACAAATAATATGAAATGGACACTGCAGCCTCCATTTCCTAGTGAGGATGGTGGAGTTTAGTGGAGAGACACAGAGCTTCTAAGGTAGCTGTGGCAGAGCATCAAGAAGTGACACCCTTATTGCAACATGTGGCCTGTTCCCCATGGTAGCACTTTAACTGACTGTCCTCCCCTCCAAGTTTGGAGCTGTTCAGCCAGAAAGAGTGCCAAGTTGGTGATTATAACTTGGGCATTGTTTCTGGCTGAACAGCCTCCAAACTTGACTATCTGGCTCTCCCAGAGATTCTATGCATTTCCCAATAGCTTTTAGTTATTATTATTATTATTTGCTTAAACTGATTAGACTCGGATCTGCTGTTTGCACTCAAAAACTCTTCAACAACCAAATTTGGTCTAACTTGTGCTTTCCTTTTACAGTGGCTGTAGTAATGGGGGATGTGTTAAAATCATATTTTACAGGAAAGAATATTCAATATACTGAAACAAGACATCTTCCTTAACCCAATCGTAGTGTTAGATAACCACAGACTGAATTTAAGAAGTATGCTTTGAGTATAATTATATGTATCTTGCAGGATGAATTTGAGGATTATCAGTAACATGTATAAAATCTTTGCCACAATCTGTGACATTTAATAGGCCTCAGTAAATGTTATGAATTATTTATTACATAATGTTAGATATATGTTCATGTTAGATGTTGATCAAAACTTTATTTTATTTAATTCCCACCAGGCACTATTTTAGGTGCAGTGAACAAAGCAGTCAAAAATCTGTTTTTTTTTAAGTTCACATCCTAATAGATGAAGATTGAAAAGAAATATGTCAAGCAAGTAAATATGCTTCATATTAAATTCTGACAATGCTATGGAGAAAAAGCATGGGGGTGGTTAGAAGGGAAATGTGAGGGAGGGTGGAAGAGGGTTACAATTTTAGATAGAGTGTTCAGGGATGATTTCATTGAAAAAGTGATATTTGAGCACAGACCTGAAAGAGGGGTGAGCCATTATTGTATATCTTTTTTGTTTACTATACTTGTTTCTTGGATTATTTTCCTTTAACATTTAGTGCTTTCTGTTAGGGTATTCAATGTGATTGATATGTGCAAATGTACAAGAGAGGAAAGAGTATTTCATGAAAAGGGTTAAATAAGTGCACAGGCTCTGTGGTGAGAGCCCGGTACCTCTGGAATGGTGTGTGTGTGGAAAAGAGTAGAAAATTAGTCATGTAACCAGCCAGCCAGATTATGTATGCTTTAGAGGCCATTCATATGACTTTGGCTTACTCAGAGTAAGACGGGAATAGGAGAGTGACCTGATCTGGCTTAAACATATAACCTGAATATACTTTTTAGCCCCTTAATTAGTGAGACATAAAAGCAAGAGAAAATAATTGTCTCCCATTCCTCCCTAAAGTGGTCACAGGTATTGATCAAATTAAGTATCCTTAGCACTCAGTTTTAAAGTATTACATGGTATAATGTAGAGTTGAAGCAAACTGAGACTTTCCTCCCCCACCTGAGTGTAAAACAAAATGATCAATTTCCTTAATAGTGCACTCCAGTCCCCTAATCTCTCATCCTTAGTCCCACTCATTAGAAATAAAGGCGTGTTTGTTATCGACTCAACTACTTTGTCTTGTTTAGGATGCAAAGATTAGTCATTAATTCTAGTTTCTTAATATAGTACCCTAATGTTCATAAATTTGCTTTTCATTCTCATTTCCTCCTTCTTCAGTGTAAAATAATCTCAATAGAACTTTCATATATAAGGGACAGAGATCCTTTCAGTTACCTTGAGAAAAAGGGTTTGACAGAAGGTGCATATGGATTAGAACTGGTCCTGAGACCATTAGGTCCTGAGAAAACTCCAAGGACTGGTACATCTGTGGGCCTCTATGCCTCTCTTAGTTATCTGTCCATTCTCTGTTGTCTTCTTCACTGTGGTGTATCTTTTTTGCTTCCCTTTTCTTTCAGCTTGCCAGTGCCCAACTTAATTAAACCTTGCAACTTCCTCTCCTTTTCATTGTGATTTGGAGCAAATTCATGTGAGACTGTGGTTGTAATTCCTGGCATAGAACACCTAAATCACCACATCTTTTCAAGCTGCATGACATATATAATAGATCATTAGCCAGCCTGTTAATTAGTTGCACTTAGGAGAGTTGCCCTATTCTCTCTTCCCTTTAGTTGGGACAGAGGAATGAGTTCACATGATTAAAGAACATGGCCACTTAGAAGAATAGTACAGAATCCTTTTCAGGTCATGTTGACATTCCAAGGAATGATTGACATATTTCAATAACAAGTATTTGTTTACATTTTAAGAGTCAAACTAGAAAATTTGAAATTTGCTTGAAGTGGAAATGTAGAAATGTATCATAACTCTTTATGACTATTAATTTAGTGCTGAGTTTCTTAATAGCAGTAAAGTGACAAACTCCTGAGAAATATGTATCCAAACCTTCTGATAAGGAGGCAATGGGTAATTTTAAAACACAAATTCAATATGTCTATTATTTTTATAATATAAACATCAGAAAGTAAGTTGACAACATCTTGGCTGGGGGAGGGGCTATGCAGAAGATAAATTAAGAATTTTAAAAGTGAGATTTCAGAAGGTTCTATGTTCACAGAAGGCATGATTTCTATTTTGCAGATGTCATTACTGTCTTTGTAGAAAATCTCACTCCATAAACGCTACAACTAATAAGTGAGTTTAATAATCCTATATCCATAGGATATAAGAACAATATACAAAAGTGAGTCATTCTTATATATCAGCTATGAATTCTGAATTTGAATATTACAATACCATTTGTAAAAGCACACATGTGCATACAAACCCAAATAAATAGTCATGCATATATCTAACTAAATAGTTGTAGAATATGTATGCTGAGAACTATAAAACACTAAGGAAAGAATTCAAAGAAAAACTAAATAGAGAAATATACCATGTTCCTTAATCCCAAGGAAGAACAGAGTACAGTACAGATGCCATTTCTTCCCCAGTTTAATCTATAGTCTCCATTGCAATCTCTGTTGATATTCCAACAAGCTTTTTTTACTGATTTGATAGACTGATTCTAAAATGTACATAGAAAGGCAAAGCAACTAGAATAGCCAAAACAACTTTGAAAAATAAAAACTGGAGGACTCAAATGACCCAATTTCTAGAAATGTTATAAAGCCATAGTAATCAAAACTGTGGTATTGGAGAAAGGATACATAGATCATCAGAACAGAGCAGAGCAGAGCATCCATAAATATGCACACATAAATATAGTCTACCAAAATTTACAATAGTGCAAAGGTAATTCATTTGAGAAAGTAGTCTTTTCAACAAATGGTGATGAAACACTTGGATATCCATATGCATAAAATGAAACTTGATACACATTTTATGTCTCATACACAAATAAGTCATGAACCTAAATGTAAAACATAAAACTATACAACTTCTAGAGCAATGGTTTCAAGTGGTAGTAACTTTTGTCTCCAAGAAACAAAGTATAGAGACATTTTTGACTGTCAGTACTTGGGGGGAGGAGATCACTGGCATCTAATGGGTGCAGACCAGGGATGTCACTAAATATCCCACAATGCACAGCACAGTCACCATCACACACACGAAAATGCCAATTTCTAGTCTGGATAAATATACCATGGTTATGTAACTATCTCTTATTAGAGGAACAGAAACTTGGTAAAGAGTGTATGGGAATGCTTTTTACTCCCTTTGCAACTCTTCAGGGCAATAGACTATACTTCAAAGTCTAACATTTAATAATTTCCTATTCTATTTCTGTGAAGGCATCATGTACTGTAGCAGATGTATTCTGCTTTGATGTCTTGCAAAATCACTTTGATTCTTCAATTAAATTTATTAAATGTGTAAATATTGCCAGTCATGTATTATATGTTAAAAATTTGAGACCAATAAAATATTTTCAAATGTCTCCTCTTTATAGGAGCTTTCCTGTTTCATCTAACCTAAAATACCACCTTTCTCCACCAATCTTTCTGATGTTCTCCCCATGGAACTTTTTTCTGACTGTTTTCCCTTTTCTAGGGTATATGCTCCATGAAGGCAGGGACTTTGTTGTACCTCCAGGGCCAGAACTGGCACACTAGAGATGGATGCTTAATAAATATTTGTTGAGTGAATGAATTATATGTATTTGTGTTGCGTCTTCCCAATAAGTGGTCTTTATTCAAACGTTGGAGCTTCAGTAAACCCCTATTTGGCTGTGAACAGATTAGTCTCAATCCTAGTATTTAATTTACCCCGAGTGAAAGTAACACCTTTCTCTTAAGCAGCAAGATGCATTAATCTTTACGTTAAGATTTTTCATGGCAAAAAACAAATCCATTTTTTTTCTTCCCTTTCTTCAGCTCTGGGGATGCCAGGCAAGAAGGAGATGACGGGGTAGATAATGGTTACTTTGTAATTTTCTGGAAGATCATGCTGGTTCTACTAGAAGACTTTTACCTCACATGATTGGATGCTCCTCAAGCTGAACTTCTTCCATTTGTGATAGTATTTGGACCATTTCTAGAATATGTTATAAGATTTTTATAAGATTGTCTTTCCAATTAAAGTTTTAGGTTAAAGTTCTCATTTGAATCAGATTATTTCAAATATAAGAAAATTTGTGATAAGCATTGAAGATAGAAATTGGCAAACATATGTCCCTCTCCCAGAGATAACAGGTGGTAGGTTATTAAGAGTTACTTGTTGAGCTGAGCAGTGGAGGCATACATGAAGGAATGATCAGTTCCACCTGGGAAAGCATGGGAAAGCTTCAGAAAGAATGAAACACTTAGATTGAAGAAAAAGAATAAATCAGTAATCAACAATAATTTAAACAACTAAATTTTAATGTTGCCCCTTGCCTTAACTTTCTTCATGTAAAATATGAATATGAAATTAGTTCACTTTTAGAACAGTATCTTAAGTAACAATGACCTCTCCCCCATTTAGAAAATTGCTGCCTTTCAAGAAAAATGTACTTCATTCTTACCACTTTTTATGTGAAGGATGCAAATCAAACCCCAGATTATTCCCAATACAAAACGATGATTTAGCACCTTTCTCAAATATTAACTTTATGGGTCTATGACTGCATGTATTTTTATATTTAGACATTAAAAACTGTTAGAATTTATAATTATCAATACACCTACTTGTTTCATTGTCTTGTCCTACGATATTTCCATAGATTCTATTATTTGGTCAGAATCAAAGCCAAAAGATGTTTCACAACAAATGAAATTTAGAAATCAAAGAAAATTCTGCCATATCATCCTGAATGCACCCAGAATGCATGGTGATTTTGAGTACACAAAGTTGGGCCATATTGTCCTAAATTAGTTATGTTTTCTGGTGCTATCATACCCATCTTTAAGTAAATTATTGTAGAAATGTGTTTTCTAGATGATTTAAATGGATATTAATAACAGAATGGCACAATGCAGTTCCTGTAGACTTGCTAACTACCATATGTCTAGCTTTTCCCCTTAGGAGCTGAAAGGAAGACAAAGATCATAATTCTTTTAGGGTAGATAAAACATTTCAAATGAACAGATTATTTAAATTGTATTTAAGATAAAGTACTAAGATGAATCTGGTCAAATAATAATGAATGATGCAGGCTTAAGTGCTATGAACAACTAAGGGAACATACATTAATATTATCTAGAATTATCATGGAAGTCATAGCAATTGAGGAAAAGGAATTGAGATGCCCTTTGAAACTTAAGCAGGGTTGGCGTAGAATTTGCAACAACATTCTAAGCAGTAAGAACGTGATGAATGAAGATTGCCCGTACAGAACACCATAAAGATTATCTGACCTACAGTACAAGATACGTGTTTCTAGAGAAATATTTATATGGCGTGGTAGGGTTAACAAAATGTCCTTCTTAAGTTGGCTGTCAATGAAAGTATGGCCTAAAGCAAAGAAACTTTTCTAGTTCAGTTTTCCCATGGATCAATTTTAAGAAAATTATCTTATTCCTGAAAAGAGTATTTCCTTCAGCATATTCCCTGAAAACCTGTTTTAAAATACTTTTAACCGTAACTCTTTGTATAAAGCAGATTCTCCTTGCTGTTATATTAGCTTTAATTCTATGAATTATATTAACCTCGTGTTAGGTTAGGGATTTTTAATGTAAAAATGTTTTATATAATCAATTAAGTTTTAGAAATGCTATATTACTATTAAATTTTTTTCACAGCTACATGAATGAGTTTTTAGGGATTTTAATATACTTATAAGAATTGTGAACCTCCAAGAGAATATTTAACTCACATCAAAAATAAGTATCTTCCCTCCTTATTTTTTTTTCTTTTTGTAGCATTGACAAGGATTAGCATTTCTTGGGGCAAACTTTAGAAAATGCTGACTTAAAGCATTTAAATATATATTTAAAAGAAAATGTTTATTGAGATAAATCTCTAATTGTGGAGTAGATATACTTATACTCTCCCAAATCATTATTAGCCAACCTATCTTGTTAGAGGCTAGGAAACAAAGAAGGGAAATGCAACCATAAGTGTGTGGGTAATTTTTCCAAACGTTTGGCACACAGTACAAGCTGAGTACACTGTTTGAGTCCAATTTTTCTCAAAAATTCAAATCTACTATAACAAATGACAGAAACCAAGGAAGAAAATTTTAATAGCGTTTTTAAACAAGCATTTAAAAAATATTGACCCTTATTTTACCATAACATCAGAGAGAATATATTTTTTTAACACTGTTAGGGAACATTATAGATAGCCTTGAAGGAAACATTTTCAAGGACAGTTTCAAGAGTTTACCTTTAGAAATGTAAATTCCCTCATTTCTCTAACTAATGGTTTACCAATATCTCCAGTAATCAGGGTAGAGGTGTACCACATGGTTGACCATGTTTTATGATGGAAGGAGCATAACCTACTTAGAAAAGTCCATCTGAAGAAAGAAAGCTTGGTGAAGAGTCATTTGCTTCTAAAAAATGTTAATCAACTCATCTTTCTGGAGTTAACAGTGATAACCAAACAGAAAAAAATACTTGACTCAAAGTCCTGTTAATGGGGCAGTTCAGTAAATTGTATGGAAGTGTATACAATTCTATACAGCTATCGCACCAGTGAAGGTGAAATGTCATATGGGTCAAGGAAAGTGAGAGAAGGCAGGAAGGTGTTACCAACACACACTGAGGGTGTCACCAGAGCATCTTCTGTAGATCAAATAAAGCCCATCAGCACATAACTAGATGGTGATGAGGCTGAGAGAGCATGAAGGATGTGAGTTCAGTGCAATGCAAACTGACAGCTATTTGTAGATTCTGGCCTGCTTAGAATAGTGTTTCCATTTCCCTTTATCAGTGAATGAAGACTGCAGACATTTCCAGACAAGTTTCTTTTAAAAGACTAAAATTTAACATAGAAGGTAATGTCTCATATTCATTGTTGGTAATAGGCTATTAAAGGTCATATATTCAATGAAAGTAGAAAATTAAAGAGCAGTGAAGTATTAAAAATCTCATCTTAAAAATTCTGTTGAGATTTATTAACTGAATCTGGCAGTGTTAATACATAGCTCATTTATTTTATCAAAGGAGAAATGTATTCCAAAGTAAGCAATTTGTAATGCTGTATGAAAATATTTTATATACAGATATAGTGTCAAAATTAAATACAGATATTTCATTAATTAAAAGGTAAACATATATTATTATCTTAAAAATATATCTCCCAAATTGCAAACTTATTTAGACAAGTTATAATCTATATAAATGACAATGTAACTCAGTACTAAGGTTTAGCATCCTTAGACTAGGTGAATTTATTTTTATTTTATTTTATTTTTTTGAAATTGTCCTTTTTTCATGTCAAAACATTTGCTATACCATTTATTGAAGGCACTGTGTTACACATTCATGATTAATTAAATCTCTTGAAATCTCTTTTAGGTATCTTGGACCTTGTTATGCTGTTGCTTACTTAAGGTTTATGACTCTCTTATTCTCACCGGCATTATCCATATATCATTGTTAACTCTAAAACATCTCCAGCACAGAAGAAGACAATTTTCACTCTTAATACAGTATAATAGATTCATAGTGAGCCATAAAATTATTTTGACAGTAAAGCAATGTCAATTTTGAATCTTTGAAACCATTATATACTTCATAGATTTAATGTCTTGAAATATTTAAACAGGTTTGAGAAGTATTATTGCAACTGATACCTTACATGGATTGTCTTACAAAAATCAGTACAGAATTATACTGATTGATAAATGTTCACATATATAAGAAATAGTTTGTTGACTGGAGCATTCAGTTTCCATTGTTTGTATTCATCTTCTAGTAATACAATATGCATTTCTCAAATGCCCTAATCCGTTTTGACCATGGTGCATTCAGTAACTTCTAGGAAGCATTCCACTCTGAAAAACTGCATAAGCAGATAGATTCTTGGAGGATGCAGCTAAAGTTCGTGTTTCTATATTGCCACTCCATATTTTTCAGTGTTCTTTAGTGCCCATCAAAATTTTATTCCAACAAGTTTTTATCTCTTGTAATAGTCTCTTTAGGAAACACAAGTCATTCAGTTTTTTCTGTTCCTTTAAAGATTTATTTTCTTCCTAGAGAATAGAGTTTTAAAAGTTTAAACTTCACATTTTTACAAAAATATATATTTTAAAATACTATTTTTCATCATATTACTTTATACTGAAAAACTGGTGCAATGAAAAGGTAGAATCCTGTGTGACATTTTAAAGACGATGATTTCTAACTATCTTTGTGATAACTGACATGTAGAAAATTCAAGGTTGGTGTGATTAAAGACTTAGGATTCTCCAAAGAGCTATATCAGCTGACCGCCATTTTCACAGTTTAACAGTGGACATAATAACACTGTTTGGAATTTCATGAGAAAGGTAATTGTAGGTTACTCAGTTGAGTTTCTTTAATGTAGAAAAATGTATTTTTAGTGGGAAGAATAATCAACATTGAAAATACTCAGATTATTTTGCCAAAGATAATAAGGATATAGCTGATGGAACTTGTACCCTAAGGTCTCCTCCAACAACTAACCTTCACCAGAGTATGTCAGATGCCTGCCTCATAAGCTAGGTTTTAGCACCTGACAAGAATCTTAAAAAGGGCTACCTGTACAACCTGTAGGAAGAAAGAGATACTTGGCATGAACAGACATATAAAGGAGTAACTCTGTATAGACTCAGTTATATTTCTCTGAGTCCTCTGACCTGTGAGAATGGGAATAGTGCAGGGTAGAGTAATTCTTCACTTAGATAACAACTAGTTGATCACAAATATAAAGCATACCAGTGACTTTTACCCCTTCCTAGACCAGGAGGTGATATCAGTTGTTTGTTTTACACTCTTCACAGTTGAGCCCAGACTTCAGGGTTAAAATCAACATAGTGTTTTCAACAATCACTAGCAAGTAAATGGATGTGCAAGCAATATAAAAACTATTATAACTAGTTATTGGGTAACTAGATAATTTAGATAACAAGTTATTGGGTATTCTCTCAGTCATATATTGTGCTCAGTGTTTAACATAATTTACTTCATTTTATTTGCTTAATCATCATATGAACTTGATGATTTGAACTCATTTCACAGATGAAGAAACTGATCCGCAAAGAAGATAAATAAGCTGCTAAGGTCAAGTAAATAAATATATGTCAAGTAAATATAATGACTGAATCTTGAGCTCCTCTGTCCTATTTTTAATTTGGCCACAAATTCAGATCTCTTTTTGTCATGTATTTAGTAACACTAGCACATACTTTTTAAAGAATACATTTCAAAGATTAAACAACAGATCTCAAAGGGAAATATAAAGGCAAACTTTTCATATTGTTTTCAATAGGGGGTCCTGGACAATTTTTTTAAGTACAAGTTGAAGTTGATTTGCCTAAGCAGATTTGAAATATACAGATGTGAAAATTTCATACTTTTCCTTGCACACCGAGAATAAGCATTCACTAAAAAGTAAAAAACAGAGAATCTTGGTTTTACCCCTGCATCCTGGGAAAATAGTTATCTTTTCTTTTCTTTTTTTTTTTTTTTTGTTTTTTTTTTTTTGCTCTGTTTTTTGTTTTTTGTTTTGAGACGGAGTCCCACTCTGTTGCCCAGGCTAGAGTGTAGTGGCGCGATCTCGGCTCACTGCAACCTCCACCTCCTGGGTTCAAGTGATTCTCCTGCCTCAGCCTCCTGAGTAGCTGGGACTACAGGCGTGCACCACGCCCAGCTAATTTTTGTATTTTTAGTAGAGACGGGGTTTCACCATGTTGGCCAGGATGGTCTTGATCTTTCCACCTTGTGATCCGCCCACCTCGGACCCCCAAAGTGCTGGGATTACAGGCGTGAGCCACCGCACCCAACCTTTCTTTTCTAAACTTTCCAAATTCTCTTAGTGAAAAGCCTTCAGGGTGATTATATTGCTTTTAGCTTCTGTATTCACTTCAGATGTTCCACTTTGCATAGAATCCCTAGAATTTCCTAAATCTCAGAGTGTACAGGCTCACTTTGCTTTTCTGAAAAGAGTAAGGAATTTCCATGTTGCCATGTAGCTATTGGTCAAATAATGGAAATATAAAAGAAGAATCCATCACTTTTATGAACCAGGTGTGCTCATTTTTCCATGCCTCAACTTAATTAGTACCTATATCATTTTAAAGTTTAGTCAGATCCATTTAAGTATTCTGCCTTATTAAGTCATTCATAAATATTTTCCATATTATTGTATAATTTATCTAATAATGTCTAGTAGTATATGTATAAATATATGTTTATATACTATTATATATTATTTATACTGTACAATCTACACTAATAAAAGAGGTATATATAAGATAAGTCCTTATTGTTTAATTTTTATTTCTTTACAAACTAACAGGGATGGCTTTTTTTCTTCATGTATTTGTCATCTAGTTTATTTTCTCCTATATAAATTATTTGTTCATTTCTTTTACGTGCTAGCTGCAATATTTTAATGCTGCTTCTTCTAAAAAAAAAAAAAATCATGCTTTTGTATTTGCCCTAACAGCTTCTATTTTAAAATAGTGGGTTTAAAAATGCAATTTAAAGGAATCAAATTTTTGAGGGGCACCTCGCTTCTCCTTTTATCAATGTTATAATAAATTATTTCAAAACCAGCTATAAGAAGGAAACAATTCAAAATGAAAAATTAGGAATTAAGTTGAGTAAAAACCTGATGAACCATAAGGAAAATTATACAATTATTCTCACCAAACTCTTTGTTGGTTGGGCTTCACCCAGGGCAGCTGGTTTTCTTCCTTTAACCTTAAAAACAAAGTCACATTTATAATATTGAATATTTCTTCATTGCTCCTCCAGTTGTTTGTAATTGCTAATTTTCATATTGCCTTCAGCTCATCTAATCTATTTGAGACTCTACTTTAAATTTCTTATTGTTAAGAAAGTAAAATATTAATATGATTTAGAAATGGAATATCAGGGTAAAGGAAGAAGCAAGATAGTTCAGTCTTCTGAATACCCAGAATCCATAATTTTGTAGGTCTGCCTAGTACTGTGTTAACTACTGTGAGGTATGAAAAATTAACATAGTAGGGTATAGTAGCAGAGATAAAACTTGAATTTTAATCAATATAAAAATAAAGTTAACAAGAAATTGTTAAATCCTGGCCATACATTTTATTAAGCTTCACTTATCAGAAACAAAATGAAATAAAACAATAGTAAAAAGCTTGTAGCGTGCCTGGCTCATGAAGAAAATTCAGTGTAGCTGACTGCTTTAACATCTTGCCTTGTTATTTCAAGAAAAAGGTGACTTGTATCAAGTTAATCAATGTAATATAATTTAATTTCAAAGATTTAAATTATTTGCATATTTTCTTTCTCTACAGTTAATTTTGGAACATGATGATCCATATAAAGCTCAATACATAAGAGAAAGAATCACAAATATATAACATACCTAAGACCTTTACCTCTTAGTAGACCAAGAGGTGATATCAGTTTTCCGTTTTACACTCTTTTCAGTTGAACCAAGAGTGGAGGCTTATAATCAACACAGTATTTTCAACAGTCACAACTAATTAATTGGATGTGCAAGCAACATAAAACCTATCTGCATTAGACAGTACTTTGAAACCGCTGTTAAGTAGGAATGAAGAAATGGTAGACTAGAGTAGGAAGTCTTCATGAATCTTGAGCCGAGCCTTGAAGGCATAGAACAAAATAGATCCAATTTATAGAAAAAAAAAGTAGAAATGCTCTCTAGGGGACAAACGTAAGGACGCAAGTTTGGAAATAAGTTTGGCAAATCCAGCACACTAAGAGGAGACTTGCTTCCATCAAGTACATAAAGCAATGATAAATGAGGCTATCCAAGTTATATAATAGATAATCTACATTTTTATCACTGTCAATAGGATTCAAAGATAATCTTACCATTTTACCTTCTATGGGAAACTACTAGTGCTCAAACAAAACAAAATTCTTTTTTAAGTCATAAAAATGTTATTTAAGAAAATATTTAAAACCATAAAATAAACTTTTGGTTTTGTGTGGCAGCTGGTAAAATCCAAAAAGAGGTAAATAATACAAATAAAATAAAGCACTGTATTAAATATTGAAAACTTTTTAGTACTAAGCACTTTACATGTGTTATGCCATTTAATCCTTTCAAATCCCACAATGTAGATATGTTTTTCTGCATTTTGTAGATAAGGAAACTGCTGTCTAGTCTCTAGATGATGTCTTCCATATTTGGTTTTGTTGTTTTAGTTCATAACCACTAGTAGAAAAGTAGGAAAATATTAGCCCTATTTGTATCAAAATTATTTAAAGAAGGGAAAATTGTTGGACATGTTTATGTCTAGTTTAAGCCTATAAAGATATTTGTTAAATACATTTGATTTCCTGTTTTATTGACTAGGAGTTCTTGTAAATGTGTACATATATGGATTAAAGCTATTAATAAGTTTTAGATATAGAAATTTACCATTCCCCACCCAATATATCACCCTAGTATCCTTGGAAGTTATTATGGCAATGAAGAATTTATTTATTTATTTTTTACTCCCCTTTCACAAACAATTCACTCTAGCCAAGAGATAAATAGGTATTTCCAAACTGAGCCTTTCCTCTTCTAGGATTGAGTAAACATACTTCAACTTTAGATGATAATAAACACTTAGGATTCTATGATAATGGATGTGATCATCAGAGAATAGTGGTATCTTGGCACAGGAGTATTTAATATTTTTATTCAAAGTAAATAGTCCTTAGCTTACCTGGCCAGTGCAGTTCAACAGTATTGTTGTGCCTTCTGAAACTTTTAATAAGTGGAGATCAAAATCACCAGTGCTATTCATTTTAAGAAATTGCCTCAACTTGCGAGCAGCACGGAATAAAAACATACCTTCCTATTATAGGAAAAAGTCAGAAGGGCCATGGTTCAAATAAAATATTAAGAAATTATAAGCTTTCTTAAGGAGCCTAGAGCTTGAGCTATGTTGCTAGGTAATGCCCCGCCTCCACCCCAGCTTTCTATTCCAGTTAATCATGTGATTGACAAGTAACAGAACTAAAACTGTTTGGCTCCTAGGTGACAGCATGAAGTTCTTAGAACTTGGTTTAATAATTATCTTGACTTTTAAAGTTTGTTTTCTCTATTATGCTTATGTGATCTTATCGCTTATGTGTGAACATATTAGAAGATTATTCAATTTTAAACATGATAACCGAAGGAGAAGACTTCTGGAAGCAACAATGTATTATAAGAGGTATGTGTGGTTTTTTCTTAGTATTTCTTGCATCTTTTGAGCTATGGAAGAATAGCTGATAATAAGAAAATAAAGGACTGTAGTCACCTAAAACATAAGTTTTGCAGATATTTAAATTAAGAAATTTAAAAAAAAGAATTTATGGTTGTGAGATGCCATGAGGCTAACTTAGCTACTGTGAGTTTTTAAAAGACTATGAAATAGCACACTTGTTTCTGTAGGGAGAAATGATATAAACTTTTTAGGTTTTTTAAAGTGTAATATTATACCAACTAGATGTGGTAATCATTTAGAGATAAGCAAATATTGAAAGAAAAATTTTCAAGACGCTTCCAACTAAATTATACCAATGACTTATATTTGTATGTGTGCAAGCATTCACATTAACAAGTATTTTTCTGTATAAGAAATTTAGAGGCCAGGCACCGTGGCTCACGCCTGTAATCCCAGCACTTTGGGAGGCGGAGGCAGGCGGATCATGAGGTCAGGAGATCGAGATCATCCTGGCCAGCATGGTGAAACCCCGTCTCCACTAAAAATACAAAAATTAGTTGGGTGTGGTGGTGCATGCCTGTAGACCCAGTTACTCGGGAGACTGAGGCAGGAGAATCGCTTGAAACCAGGAGGCGGAGTTTGCAGTGAGCTGAGATTGCGCCACTACACTCCAGCCTGGTGACAGAGCGAAACTCTGCCTCCAAAAAAAAAAACAAAGAAAGAAAGAAAGAAAGAAAATAAGAGATAGGTGTGTCTTTGAATTCGACAATTCTAGTATTTTCAAGGTAAAAAATAGAATGGTGAAACAAAAAAAACTTGTTATTTAATAAGCACAGGACTATTTGTAAAACAAAAATATAAAATTGGGCCATAGTATGATTTAATCAATGGGAATTATGTGATCAGGCTGCAAATATTAATAGTATTCATATAATTGTCTAACAGAGGCACAAAAAATAGAAGCTTCTATAAAATCAAGCTTGAATGACAAACTCCAAATAATTATCATTACCTTATTAGCATCACAGATATGTCTTTTAAAAAAGTTAAATTCATTATTCAGGCAATTGCTACCAATTTCTTTCATGCTGTCCTGTAATAAATAACATAAAATAATATGGTTAAAACTGAGTACTTTTCTAATATCTTGTAATTATAAAAAATAATAATCTTATAATATCTGATATTTATATGTGCATTTTAAGGAAAATAAGTTTTGCCTGGCTCAGCTGACTAAGCATGAGGAATCATTTTCTATAGTTGAAGGATAAATAAGTGTATACACAAATCCTCCCATATTTAGAGCCCCTCCCAGATCCCATAATTGAATCCCAGAATTCTCTAAGAGAATCTGGCTCATCTAGGGAAATAGAAGTACCTATTTTAGAAGTTATGCTTTATAGACAAAGTATTATAAAATGTGAAGTCATTAAGTTGAGATGAACTTAAGAGGTTATTCAGTCAAATTTCCTGCCATCAACAAATAACAAGAAAAGGAATTTATATTAGAATGAAGGGATCCATACAAAGCTCAACACATAAGAGAAAGAATCACAAATGTATAACATACCTAAACCCTTTACCCCTTCATATCAGTTGTCTGTTTTACACTCTTTTCAGTTGAGCTGAGACTACAGGCTTATAATCAACATAGTATTTTCAACAGTCACAACTAATTAATTGGATGTGCAAGGAATATAAAACCATCTGCATTAGTACTTTGAAATTGACAGTGAGAATTAAGGTTGAAATTTGTTCACAACATTTTTAGCAATCCAATTTTCTGGGATGGTTGAGGTAGAATTTTCCTGAGACAGTGTAATTATATGTGTGTATTATAAACATAGGAGTGAGAAAGCAGACTGATATGTGCGCTATTTTTTTTTTCATTTACAAGGAATGTAGTAGAAGAAGGTAGAGATTATCTAAATCAATAATTTAGTTGATATTAGGAAAAACCTCCTAAGGTTTCAGATTTTCTTATGCACCGGGTTGGACTAGCTCTGTCCAGCAAACTAGCAACTCCATGCTATCAGAGCTTCTGGGACTGAAAGCAATCTTAGCCTATGTAATGTCTCCAGAGAAACAGGATAAGAAGTGGAGCAATGGCAGGATTTAGTCATGGGCTTTGAATCCTCATCTGCCTCTCAGAAAAGTATTCATTACTCTTATCACCTGTGAAAAGCATGATGATGTCTGGGTTTACCCTGATTTTAAAATGTATATACTATCAGCTTTATCTGCAAGAAGTGTCTGAATACATACATCTCAAGTGTAAAAGATACATTTTCAATAACTATCTTCACATTGCCATTGTACATATTCCTGAAAATTTAGTGGATAATTAATATTTGCCTATTAAGTCATTTTCATGTTGACTTCCCCATACCCCAAGGACAATAACTCATACATAATTTTTTCTTTGATAAAACATAGAGTATTTAATTTTTACCATGTCATCCTTCAAAAAAGAAGGTGAAACGTGTAGCTACTCTATATGTTATCTTCCAATTCACCAAAAATATCGTATGAGACAATATGTCACATAATGAATGCCAATTTCTTGCAACATGTTAGCAAATTGCATGACACATGAATATTTAAAAAGCCATATTGGTTAGGTGGCTGTTCTAGGTTATTAATAAAACTTATTTTTGGCAGATCCACAGAAAGATAATGTTATACCAGTTGATTATTTTTTACCTAATGCTTGATATGGAATGTAAATGTGTTACTATACCCTTAAAAGGTTGACTCCTATAGAGGTCACAGTTATTAATTCATCGACCTTAGTACATTTTATTAATGCATCTAATATAGATCTATATGATTGCCAATTACTGTTGCTTTCTAAAATTCTTTTCATTCATGCCCTATCAGAAGAATGGCTCAGAGTAAGAATTATAGATACATGGTGTTGAAAAGAAACTTAGATGGCCATCTTTTGATTTAACAAAGAATAGAATTACTTGACCAAAGTCCCAATAATTGTTTCTTATTCACATGTCACATATGTCCAGATGCAAATAAGAAACAAATCACAGCTAGGCATGGTGCCTTATGCCTGTAATCCCAGCCCTTTGGGAGGCCAAAGTGGGTAGATCGTGAGGTCAGTAGTTCGAGACCAGCCTGGCCAACATGGTGAAACCCCATCTCTACTAAAAATACAAAAAAAAAAAAAAAAATTAGCCGGGTGTGGTGGCACATGCCTGTAATCTCAGCTGCTTGGGAGGCTGAGGCAGGAGAATCGCTTGAACCTGGGAGGCGGAGCTTGCAGTGAGCTGAGATCACGCCACTGCACTCCAGCCTGGGCAACAGAGCAAGACTCTGTCTCAGAAAAAAATAAAAAATAAAAAGAAACAAATCATATATCACATATGTCAAGATGTACATAAGAAACAAATTTCTTCAAATATTTTATAAATATGGAAAATCAGAAGAGAAAAGCCAGGATTATAAGACTGAACTGCAGTATTTTCTAGTATAAAACATGACATTGGCTAAGTTCTTTTTTTTAGGTGAAGTTATTTTTTAATACTTTTGTCTTTTAACTCTTATAGTAGAGGAAAAGTAACTTATAAACTATAATTACAGTATACACTTAATTACATACAAATTCATTACAGCCCTCTGAATTTGACTATATTTTATCTTTATGGTGAATTTTATGCTTTATCTTTACAGTGAGTTATATGCTTTCATATCTTTTCATGTTTTTAGTGTCTTTTTCTTTCTCTATTTTTTAAACATTTATTTTAAGTCCAGGGGTACAAGTGCAGGTTTGTTACATAGGTAAACTTGTGTCATGGGTTTTTTTTGTATAGATTATTTCATCACCCAGGTATTAAGCCTAGTATCCATTAATTGTTTTTTGATCCTCTCCCTCTTCCTACCCTCCATCCTCCAAAAAGCCCCAGTGTGTATTGTTCCCCTGTATGTGTCCATGTGTTCTGATCATTTAGCTGCCACTTATAAGTGAGAACATGTGGTATTTGGTTTTCTGTTCCTGCATTAGTTTGCTAAGGATAATGGCCTCCAGCTCCATCCATGTCCCTGCAAAGGACATGATCTCATTGATCTCATTCTTTTTTGTGGCTGCATAGTGTTCCATGGTGTATACGTACCACATTTTCTTTATCCAGTCCATTATTGATGGCCATTTAGTTTGATTCCATGTCTTTGCCATTGTGAATAGTGCTGCAATGAACATACATGTGCATGTGTCTTTATAACAGAATGATTTATATTCCCTTGGTTATATGCCCAGTAATGGGACTGCTGGGTTGAATAGTATATCTGTCTTTAGGTCTTTGAGAAATTGCCATACCATCTTCCACAATGGCTGAACTGATTTACATTCCCACCAACAGTGTATAAGCATTCCTTTTTCTTCACAACCTTGCCAGCATGTTATTTTTTGACTTTTTAATTATAGCCATTCTGACTGGTGTGATATGGTATTCCATATTTCTCGGAGGTTTTGTTCATTCCTTTTCATTCTTTTTTCTCTACATTTGTCTGCCTGCCATATTTCATTAAGCTCTGAAATTCTTTCCTCTGTTTGGTCTATTCTACTATTAATACTTGTGATTGCATTACGAAATTCTTGTAGTGTGTTTTTCAGCCCTATCAGGAGGATTAAGTACTTCTCTATACTGGCTATTTTGAACCCTTGCTGGAGAGGTAATGAGGTCAGCTGGAGGAAAGAGGGCACTCAGGCTTTTTGAGGTTTCAGCATTCTTGCTCTGATTCTTTCTCATTTCTGTGAGCTTATCTAATCTACCTTCAATGTTCGACGTTGCCTACCTTTTTTTTTCCCCCTGGCACAATTTGGCCAATTTTCCATAGGGCTGCTGTGGTTTGCTGGGGGTCTACTCCAGTCCCTAGTTGCCTTGGATTTTCCGGTAGCTGAAGGTATCACCAGTGAAGGCTGCAAAACAGCAAAGATGGCAGCCTGCCACTTCTTCTAAGAGCTCTGGCCCAGGGAGGTATGAACCTGTTGCCAGGTGGAACGCACCTGCAGGAGGTGGCTGGAGATCCTGGTTGGGAGGTCTTGCCCAGTCAGGAGGAAGAGGATTGGGGACCCACTTATAGAAGCAGTCTGGCCATGCTTTTGTAGAGCAGCTGCGCAGTGCTGGGGTAACGCTTCACCGCCTGTTGGCTTGGGCTCTCCAAAGCCCACAGGCTGGACAGGTTCAGTACCCAAATAGCAGAGATGTCAGCCCACCCCTCCCTCTGAGACCTCTGTCCCAGGGAGTTTTCAAATCTCTGTAGGCCAGAGAACACCAGCGGGGATGGCTGGAGGCCCTGGTTGGGAGGTCCTGCCCAATAAGGAGGGATGGCTCAGGGACCTGCTTAAAGAAGCAGTCTGGCCACGTGTTGGTAGAGCAATTGTGCTGTGTTGGGGGATCCCTTCTGCCCGATCGGTTTGGACTCTTCAAAGTCTGCAGGCTGAAAAAGGTGACTTGCCCAAACAGTGAAGATGGTGGCCTTCCCCTCTCCCTGGGAACTCTGTCCCAGGTAGGCACAACACTGCTGCTGGTGGCTGGCTGGAATTCCAAGCCAATGTGTCTTATCCTTTGAGGCACCATGGAAGTAGGGCCTACAGACCATCGCTGCTTGGCCCACTGGATTCAGCCTCTTTCCTAAGGGTATGCACAAGGATCTAATCTCCTGCTTTTCTGGAGTTGCAGTTACTTTTGCCGGGAAGCCTGAAGGTGGAATATCTACAGTTCCTGGTTCTCCAACATGTGCCTGAGCAGCTTCTCTGCCAAGACTCCCGTATCTCTGTGTATTAGACTGAAAGCCCTGATGGAGTGGGTTCAAGAGGGGATCTCCCAACTCGAGGTTGCAAAGATTCGTGGGAAGAGTGTGGTTTCCAGGGTCACACATTCACTCACCGATTCTCTGGGCAGGGGAGGTTCACCTGGCTGGGTGTCGTGCCCAGGTGGGCTGTCGTCCTGCCTTTGTTTTCTATGTTCTCCATGGGTCAAGTTGTTTCCTTGATTAGTCCCAGTGCGAGTACTTGGATGTTTCAGTGGAAGGTGCTGTATTTACTCGCCCTTTTGTCCCTCTTTGTGAGAGCCACTCACACGAGCTGCTTCTAGTTGGCCATCTTGGCCACTTCCCCACTCCTTTTCTTTCAAGTTCTTAAAATACATAATGTTCTTTACATTTGTAGAATTATATCTTCTTTAATTTCAGCATAGTTTTCTTCTATCTTTGAATTTTTAAATTACATTTTAAGTATCTTCTTTAGAAACACTAATTACATAAAAAATGAATCTTCTATTGAACTTTTTCTTTTCGTGTATGTGTGTACACACGTATATATACACAAACACACAATTTCGTTTTGTGTGGTTTTTACCCATCCTGTCTTTCATATGCCTGTTTTAATGGAGTATTCATTTCTGGTTTTTATTTTAGTCTCTGTATTTCTCCAAAATCCAAAGAACATTTGTTTCTTTCTGGTTTCTTTCATACTATATTGTTTTTAGCTCTTTTTACATTGGTTTCTTAGAGACTTCACATTTTCCATTGCTTTCATGGATAATTAAACTTTGGTCTAGATACTTCATTTTCCTTTTGCCTATTTTGTGTTAATTCATTTGTTCATTTATTTTGCTAGTACCAGTGCATAATTTTCCTTTTAAATTTTGTGATTATTTTTGAAAAGATGCTAAAGTAGAGTAGATTATTGTTCAGCCAGTATTTAACATCTAAACTCAACAAATGAGAGGATGTTTTCATTCCATATGGCTGATGTAACAAATTACCAAAAATTTGGAGGCTCAAAACAATAAAAACTTATTATCTCACATTTCTAGAGGCTCTGGGAGAGCATGCATTGTTTGCCTCTTCTATCTTCTGGTGTCTGCCAGCATTCCTTAGTGTTCCTTGGCTTGTGGCCTAGTGGCTCCAGTCTCTGCCTCCATCTTCACATCACCTTCTTTGTGTGGGTGTCAAGTCTTCTCCTGCTTTTCTCTTAGAAGGAACTTGTGATAGCATTTAGGGCCCACCAAGATAATCCAAAATAAACTTATCACACCAACATTCTTAATTCAATCACATCTGTAGATTCCTTTACCTTATACATTTTCAGATTAGAATTTTTTTATCTGGGTGGCCATTATTTAGCCTACTATAGAGAAGTATGCTCCTCTGTCCATTAATGTTGAGTTTGTCCAAAAGACATGTGGTAAGAAATTGATGCTTTCAGTACAGTTTCTGTGGATCAAGAATTTGGAAGCTGCCTAACCGGGAGCTTCTAGTTCATCTTTCATGAGGAGGCAGTCAAGATGTTGGTCATGTCTGTAGTCATCTGGACTCCATCAGGATTAGAGGATCTATTCCCAAGATGACCTATTCATGCAGGTATTGGCAGAATGCCTCAATTTCTCACCACATGAGTTTCTCCACAGGCTTTCTTCAATATCCTTCCAAGATAGTTGCTGACTTTCCCCCAAGTATCAATGTAAGAGAAAGCAAGGAGGAAGCCATGTCTTTTATTACATGGAAGTCACACACTGCCATTTCCTCATTATTCAGTTGCTTGCAGTGAGTCACTAATTCTAATCCACACTCAAGAGGAGGGAATTTAAGCTGTACCTCTTGTAAGGTGGAGTATCTTTGTGCATATGTTAAAACTCCCATACAGCTGCTCCTTCCATCTTATGACTTAGAATGAAACACATGGAGGTAATCGAACTCAGCCAAACTGCATACCTGTGAACCTAAGGTAAATGCATATTACTGTATGCCTTTCTCTCTTTCTGTGTGTGTATGTGTTTGTAGCAAAAACTGACTGATAGAGAACTATTGCTTTTTAGATCAACTAATTGTCCAAAAATAAAGGTGGAAAAGGGCAAAGGTAATGAAATGAAACAGCTGTTCATTCTTACCCAATTTCTGTATTCTTTGTGATAGGACAGTTTTCTTCTGAATTTTTTTCATATTTTTCTTTTCAGGAGAGAAAGTCAATATGGTTCACAGTTACTCTTCATGGTCACATGTGCTAGAGCTAGCAAACGAATGTCTAATTATTGCTCATAGCTGATTGCTGCTTCCTTTCTGTTCTTTTTTCTTTCTTTTTGTAGGGCTGATTCTAAGGATTGGAAAGTTTTGGCATAGAATATATTCAGTCTCATGTCTCTTGCTATAAATAAAGTTGGTCCCTATAGAAATATACTTCATTGCTTTTTTTTTTTTTTTTTTTTTGAGATGGGGTCTGTTGCCCAGGCTGGAGTGCAGTGGCATGGTCTCGGCTCACTGCAACCTCTGCCTCCTGGGTTCAAGCAATTCTCCTGCCTCAGCTTCCTAAGTAACTGGATTCCAGGCATGCACCACCAAAGCCAGCTAATGTTTATATTTTTAGTAGACACTGGGTTTCACCATGTTGGCCAGGCTGTCCTCAAACTCCTTACCTCAAGTAAAGTAGAAATATTTTTCATTTCTGATCATCACTATGACAACCTATCCATGGCCTTGTGCCATCTGAAGCCTTATTTAGGGGGCCTTTTAAAATGCGCTGCTTATTTTTTAGAAAATCTACTCTGTATGAAATTTGAAAAAGGTGTATATTGTTCCTGGAATTCTATCTCAATTGCTACAATTTTTACCATTTGTCAGGTAGCTTAGCAGATTATAGTATGACTTATTAGTTAATTCTTAGTTTAAATTAAAGTCATTTATTCTTTGATCAAATATTTGAGCATTTACCATGTGCCATTTAGTATTAGGAATACAACAGGGATCAAAATCATACGTGGCTCCTTCCCTCAAGAAGTTTATTATTTGGTGGCAAAAACATTAATCCAATAACAGCAATCAATTCCCAACTTGAGAACTGTTATGAATACAAGATATATGCTGCCATGAAGCCTATACAAGAAGATTTTACTTAAAAACCTCAATGAATACTTCCCGGAGAAGGATACTTCACAAGAGATCTCAATCATAAGTACCTTAGGGAAAAGGGGGATTCAGTAGCAAATAGTATAGGTGACTACTTTGAAGAGAGAGGGATCATGGCCTGTATGTGGCTAGAAAGAAGAGAGCAAGGGAAAGTAGGAATATGGCTGAGAGAGGAAGAGACAGAACTGGTTTGACATAAAGCCAGAGCTGGAAGAGACCAAATTATGTGTGGCCTTAAGGATATTTTAAGAAGTTTTGTATCAATCCTAAAAGCAATAATTAATGTATTTGTACTTACAAACATGGGAACAGTTTTTCTAGTTTACTTTTTTCAATGGTCATATTAACAGCCATATGCCAGATGGTTTGGAGAGATTCAAGAAAGTATATGGGTGAATCTTTATGAGGCTATTACATAGTCAGTGCTTAACATAATTATTTATTGCACTTGATAGTAAGAGAGAATCTAGAAATACATGAATAGATTTGAGAAATAAGCAAATTTAATGTGATTTGAAAATAAAAATTAAGCAAGATGGACATATCAAGGATCATTCTTGAGTTGTCTGGTGAGTACAACAAAAGAGTCAGATGCTCCTTAACTTACAATGGGTTTACATTCCAATAAGCCCATTGTAAATTCAAAAATTATAAGCCTAACTATGGTAAGCTGGTTACCATCAGTATTGTGTTGCCATTGAGATAGGAAATAGAAGAAGAGGTGGAGTGTATAAATTATGTGTTAGGTTTTAAACAGATGACGTTTGAGCTGACTTTCAAAGATTCAGGAACAGATGTCAAATAGACAAATAGTAAAGCCAGAGAGTTAGAAGGAAAGCCAAGAGAATGGATTGTTTTGAGGAAGTGGTGGTCCATAGTAAATGCCAATTAAAAGGTCAAGTAAATTGAGTCTTGTTCAAAATTTATCTACATAAAGAAAACAGCTAAAATAGAAAAGAAAGCTAATAATGGAATGGTAAAATAGATGATGGAAAATAAAATAAAATATTAAGCAGATATATTTGTTTTCAGGTAATGTTCATAAACAAGTGGTAAATCTATAATAAAACATTAAGAGAAAAAGGTACTATGTAGAAGCCTATATTTAAATGTGAATGCATATGTAGACACTTGAACACACTTATCTACCAGAAGTTTAACTGTCATTTAACTGACTTTCTGGATGATCAATAGTTTCTATTCCTTCTGTCAAAACATATTCACTAATGCCCAGAGAACAATGAAGACTCCAAACTAGTAGTTTAGTTTCTTATGTACTCGTGTATATTTTCTCCCACCATTTCAGTTGCTTATTGACTAAGTCAATTCCTTAACACTAAGTTATACTTAGCATTTAATTATAATACTTAATACTATATAAATCAATAAAATATTAGTATAAAATAGTTGTTTTGAGAACTTCTACTTTTCCATTTGGCATATAAGAAGCTTAGAAGTTGCCAATCCATACTTAAAAGTAAAAAGCTAAACCCATTAAAAAAAAATCAACAACTCTTCTTAGATCAGAGAAGTGAGGTCACAGGGCAAACCACTGCCCTAAAGTTGGAGAGAAAGAGAGGATCCCCAAATTAGAGAAACAGATAGAACCACAACTTACTGAAGCAGAGATCCATGAGCAGAAACCTCCATAGCAACCATTGTGGGGGTAGAAAAAATTAAACTGTAATTGGCAAATTGCTGAAGGCTCAGTGTGAAACAACTTAGAGAATTAAAAACTCCAAGGGTACCCAGTCATAGTTGTGGGGGCTATATACTTTTATGAGTTTGATCTTTAGGAGCTCTAACTACTAGGTCCTCACAGTAAGTATCAGATGAGAAAGTCCTCTTGTGCTTCTGGTAGGAGGAGGGGAAAAAACTATTATAAAATAAGCCAGAGGTGGGAGGATCACTTGAGCCCAGAAGTTTGAGACCAGCCTGGACAACATAGTGAGATCCTATCTTTACAAACAATTACAAAAAAATTAGCCATGCATGGTGGCACATGCTGGTGGTCCCAGCTACTCAGGTTGAAATAGGAGCATCACTTGAACCCAGGAGGTCAAGGCTGCAGTGAGCCATGATTTATATCACTGCACTCCAGCCTGGGTGACAGTAAGACCCTGTCTCAAAAAAAAAATACTAATTTCTAAAAAGCTGAATAGTCTGTTCTCCTTTAAAGGGCCTAAACTCAAGGGTGACTATTTTACCAGAGCCTAACCTTCTGAGGTTTTATCAGAGTCTGATCTGCCTGGGGAAAAAAATACCCAGCTCAAGGGTCCTCTAGTTTTTCACATGTTGGAAGGCTGCCCTGTACCACCTAAGGAGGGGAAAAAAAAGAGCAGCACTGAAAGTTCACAGTCCAGGTCACAGGCTCGCCAAAAGACTAAGACCTAATCACAGGCTTATAGAACACATCCCCTTTTTCCACACCGTATTGTGACATCACTAAAGGCCTGTTTATCACAGTTTCTTTTACTCAGAACATTATAATCAGCTATGAAAAAAAAAATTACAAGGCATACTAGAAGGCAAAACACACAGTTTGAAGAGCCAGAGCAAGCATAAGGACTAGACTTACCTATGGCCATGAGGTTGGAATTATCAGAACAGAAATCTTTTTAAAAGTCTATGATTGAGGCCAGGCGTGGTGGCTCACGCCTGTAATCCCAGCACTTTGAGAGGCCAAGGCAGGCAGATCACGAGGTCAGGAGATCGAGACCATCCTGGCTAACACGGTGAAACCCCGTCTCTACTAAAAATACCAAAAAATTAGCTGGACATGGTGGCGGGCACCTGTAGTCCCAGCTACTCAGGAGGCTGAGGCAGGAGAATGGCGTGAACCTGAGAGGTGGAGGTTTCTGTGAGCCGAGATCGTGCCACTGCACTCCAGCCTGGGCAACAGAGCGAGACTCCGTCTCAAAAAAAGAAAATAAATAAAGTCTATGATTAATATGCTCAGAGCTGTCAGAGCTGTAATGAAAAAATTAGACAACAGACAAGAACAGATAGGAAATTTAAGCAGAGAGATTAAAATTCTAGGAAATAATTTTAAAATGATAAAGATCAAAAACAGAAAGAAAATATGCCTTTGATGGGCTCATTAGTAGACTTCACATAGCTGAGGAAAGAATCTTGGAGTCTAATGATAGGACAACAGAAACTTCCAAAACTGAGAAGCAAAAATTCAAAAAAAAAAAAACTGATAAAAAAGAACAGAATATCTAAGAACTGTGGGACAACTACAAAAGGAGTAGCATACATGTAATGGGAATATAAAAAAGGAGAAGAGACAGAAAAAGAAAAATCAAGGGATGAAGAAAATATCTAGAAAAGAATGCAAAGTGGAGAAAAGAAACAACTTACTTATAGAAGAGCAAAGATAAGAATTACATCCAAATTCACCACAGAAATCATGCAAGCAAAAAGAGAGAGGAATGAAATATTCAAAATGTTAAGAGTAAAAAACCAGTGTTTAAATTATGTACTCTGTGAATTTAGCCTTCAAAAGTGAAGGAGGAATAAAGCCTTTCTCAGACAAACAAAAATTGAGAGAATTTGTTACAAGTAAACCTGCCTTGCAAGAAATCTTAGCAGAAGCTATTCAGGAAGAAGGAAAATTACATAAGTTAGAAACATGGATCTAAATAAAGGAAGGAACAACATCAGAGAATAAGTGAAGGTAAAATAAATACTTTCCCTTATTTTTACTTTTTTTCCTTTTATTTTTAGTTGACACAATAGTCGTACATATTTATGGATGACACAGTGATATATTTCCATATGTGATATACAATGTGTAATGATCAAATCAGGGTAATTAGCATATCCATCCCCTCTAACATTCATCATTTCTTTCTGTTATGAACAATCCAAATCCTCTATTCTAGCTTTCTGAGCATATACAATAAATTATGGTAAACTATGTTCACCCTGCAGTGCTGCAGAATGCCAGGGCTAATTCCTCCTATCTAGTTATAATTTTGCATCTGTTAACCAACTTCTCCCTATCGTCCCCTCCCTCCTACCCTTTTGTGCCTTTAATACCCACAATTTTATTCTCTACTTCCATGAACTCAATTATGTTTTAGCTCCCACATATAAATGACAGCATGTGGTGTTTATCTTTCTGTGACTGACCGATTTGGCTTAATATAAAGTCCTCCAGGCTCATCTGTGTTGCTGTGAGTGACAGGATTTCATACTTTTTTTATACCTGAAGGTTATTTCATTGAGTGTATATATACTACATTTTCTTCATCCATTTGTTTGTTGATGGACACCTAAGTTAATTCCATGTCTTAGCCATTGTGAATACTGCTGCAATAAACATTAAGTTACAGGTGTCCCTTTAATAGACTGATTTCCTTTCCTTTGGATAACTGCTTGGTAGTGAGATTGCAGGAGCACATGCTAGTTCCATTTTTAATTTTGTGAGGAAACTTCATACTGTTTTCAATAATGGCTGTACTAATTCACATTCCCACCAACAATTCCAATGGTTTCCTTTTCTCCACATCCTCATCAACACTTATCTTTTGTCTTTTTGATAATAGCCATTCTGACAGGTGTGATAGCTCATTGTGGTATTGATTTGCATTTTTTTCCAGTGATTAGTGATCTTGAGCATTTTTTCTCATACTTATTGGCCATTTGTATGTTTTAGTTTCATAAATGTCTATTCACATCCTTTGCTCACTTTTGTTTTATTATTATACTTGAAGTTCTGGGATACAGAACGTGCAGGCTTGTAACATAGGTATACATGTGCCATGGTGGTTTGTTGCACCCGTCAACCCGTCATCTACATTAGGTATCTCTCTTAATGCTATCTCTCCCCTTGTCCCCCACCCTGCGACAGGCCCCAATGTGTGATGTTCCCCTCCCTGTGCCAATATGTTCTCATTGTTCAACTCCCACTTAGGAGTGAGAACGTGCGGTCTTTGGTTTTCTGTTCCTGTGTTAGTTTGCTGAGAATGATGGTTTCCTGCTTCATCCATGTCCCTGCAAAGGACATGAACTCATTATTTTTTATGGCTGTATAGTATTCCATGGTGTATATGTGCCACGTTTTCTTTATCCAGTCTAACATTGATGGGCATTTGGGTTGGTTCCAAGTCTTTGCTATTGTGAATAGCTGCAATAAACATATATGTGAATGTGTCTTTATAGTAGAATGATTTAAAATCCTCTGGGTATATGGGATTGGTGGGTCAAATGGTATTTATAGTTCTAGATCCTTGAGGAATCACCACACTGTCTTCCACAATGGTTGAACTAATTTACACTCCTACAAACAGTGCAAAAACGTTCCTA
Source organism: Homo sapiens (assembly GCF_000001405.40). Taxonomy (NCBI): domain Eukaryota; kingdom Metazoa; phylum Chordata; class Mammalia; order Primates; family Hominidae; genus Homo; species Homo sapiens. The sequence continues at coordinate 78,753,219 of NC_000008.11, forward strand.
TTTCTCCACATCCTCTCCAGCATCTGTTGTTTCCTGACTTTTTAATGATCGCCATTCTAACTGGTGTGAGATGATATCTCTTTGTGGTTTTGATTTGCATTTCTCTAATGACCAGTGATGATGAACTTTTTTTGATATGTTTGTTGGCCGCATAAATTTGAAAAGTGTCTGTTCATATCCTTTGCCCACTTTTTGATGGGTTTGTTTATTTTTTTCTTATAAATTTGTTTAAGTTCCTTGTAGATTCTGGATATTAGGTCTTTGTCAGGTGGATAAATTGCAAACATTTTCTCCCATTCTGTAGGTAACCTGTTCACTCTGATTATAGTTTCTTTTGCTGTGCAGAAGCTCTTTAGTTTAAATAGATACCATTTGTCAATTTGGGCCTTTGTTGCCATTGCTTTTGGTGTTTTAGTCATGAAGTCTTCCCATGCCTATGTCGTGAATGGTATTGCCTAGGTTTTCTTCTAGGGTTTTTATGGTTTTAGGTCGTATGTTTAAGTCTTTAATCCATCTTGAGTTAATTTTTGTTCTAAGGCATAAGGAAGGGGTCCAGTTTCAGTTTTCTGCATATGGCTAGCCAGTTTTCCCAGCGCCATTTATTAAATAGGGAAACCTTTCCCCATTTCCTGTTTTTGTCAGGTTTGTCAAAGATGGCTGTAGATGTGTGATGCTATTTCTGAGGCCTCGGTTCTGTTCAATTGGTCTATATATTTGTTTTGGTTCCATTACCATGCTGTTCGGTTACATTTCCTTTGAAAACTGGTACAAAACAAGGATGCCCTCTCTCACCACTCCTATTCAACATAGTATTGGAAGTTCTGGCCAGGGCAATCAGGCAAGAGAAAGAAATAAAGGATATTCAAATAGGAAGAGAGGATGTGAAATTATCTCTGTTTGCAGATGATGTGATTGTATATTTAGAAAACCTCATCGTCTCAGCCCCAAAACTCCTTAAGCTGATAAGCAACTTCAGCAAAGTCTCAGGATACAAAATCAATGTGCAAAAATCACAAGCATCCCTATAAACCAATAATAGAGAGCCAAATCATGAGAAAACTCCAATTCACAATTGCTACAAAGAGAATAAAATAACTAGGAATACAACTTACAAGGGATGTGAAGGACCTCTTGAAGGAGAACTACAAACCACTGCTCAAGGAAATAAGAGAGGACACAAGCAAATGGAAAAACATTCCATGCTCATGGAAAGAAGAATCAATGTCGTGAAAATGGCCATACTGCCCAAAGCAATTTATAGATTCAATGCTATTCCCAACAAGCTATCACTGAAATTCTTCACAGAGTTAGAAAAAGCTACTTTAAATTTCACATAGAACCAAAAAAGAGCCCGTATAGCCAAGACAATCCTAAGCAAAAAGAACAAAGCTGGAGGCGTCACGCTACCTGACTTCAAACTATGCTACAAGGCTTTGCTCACTTTTTAATCAGGTTTTTGTTGTTGTTTTGTTTTGCTGTTGAGCTGTATGAATTCCTTATATATTCTGAAAATTAATCCCTTGTTGGATGAATAATTTGCACATATTTTGTCTCATTCTATAGGTTGTCTCTCCACTCTGTTAATTATTTCCATTGCTGTGTAGAAGTTTTTAGTTTAATACAGTCACATTTGTTTCTTTTTGTTTTTGCTACTTGTGCTTTTGAAATCTCAGCCACAATATCTTTCCCTAAAAATGTTCTGAAGCATTTCTCCTATATTCTCTTCTAGTGGTTTTATATTTCTGGGTTTCATGTTTAAGTCTTTTATCCATTTCAAGTTGATTCTTATATATGGTGAGAGATAGGGGTCTAGTTTCCTTCTTCTGCCTGTGAACATCCAGTTTTCCTAGCACTATTTATTAAAGAGACCATCATTTTCCCATGTATGTTCTTTCATATTTGCCAAAAATAAGTTGGCTGTAAATACATTGATTTATTTCTGGCTTCTCTATTCCATTCCCTTGGTCTATGTGTCTGTTTTTATACCAGTGCTATGTTGTTTTGGTTATAGCTTTGTAGTATATTTTGAAATTATATAGTATGAGACCTCCAGCTTTGTTCTTTTTGAGCAGTATTGCTTTTGCTATTCAAGTCCTTTGTATTTCCATACAAATTTTAGGACTGTTTTTTCTCTTTCTGTGAAAAATGTCATTGGTATTATGATAGGGATTGCATTAAAGTTGTAGATTGCTTTGTGTAGTATGGTCATTTTAACAATATTAATTTTTCCAATCCATAGGCATATTATATCTTTACAGTTGTTTGTATTCTCTTCAGTCTTTCATTAGTGTTTTGTAGTTTTCATTGTAGAGGTCTTCACCTCCTTGGTTAAATTTATTTCTAGGTTTTTATTTTTATTTTATTTTCCTGGCAAAAATTGTAAATCAGATTGCTTTCTTGATTTCTCCTTCAGCTAGTTCATTATGATATAAAAAAATGCTACTGATTCTCGTATGTTAATTTTGTATCTGGCAACTTTACTGAATTCATTTATCAGTTCTAAGAGTTTCCTGGTGGAGTATTTAGATTTTTCTATGTATAATCATGTCATCTGCAAAGAGGGACAATTGACTTCTTCTTTTCTAACTTGGACATCTTTTATTTCTTTCTCTTGCCTAATTGCTCTGGCTAGGGCTTCCAGTGAGATGTTGAATAGGAGTGGTAAAAGTGGGCATCCTTGTCTTATTCAGTTATTATAAGAAAGACTTTCAGTTTTTCCTCATTCTGTAAGATGATAGCTGTGGGTTAATAATATATGGCCTTTATTGAGTTGCAATACTTTGTTTCTATGCCAATTTGTTAAGAGTTTTCATCATAAAGAGTTCTTGAATTATATCAAATGCTTTTTTTCTGTGCTAGTTGAGATAATCATATGGTTTTTGTTCTTCACTCTTTTGAAGTGATGTATCACATTTATTGATTTGTGTATGTTGAACCTTCTTTGCATCCTTGGGATAAATCCCACTTTATTATGTTCTATTATTTTTTAGATGTGTTGTTAGATTCAGTTTGTTAGTATTTTGTTGAGAAACTTTGCATATTGGCTTGTAGTTTTCTTTTTGGTTGTCTCTTTATCTGGTATTGCTATCAGGGTAATGCTGGCTTTGTAGAATGAATTAAGAAGAATTCTCTCCTTTTCGTTTTTTTCTTTAAGAATAGCTTGAGAAGAATTGGCATTTGTCTTGCTTTAAAAGTTTGGTAGAACTCAGAAATAAAGCCATCTGGTCCTGGGCTTTTCTTTTTTGGGAGAATTTTATTATTGATTCAGTCTTGTTACTCGTTATTGGTCTGTTCATGTTTCCTATTTATTTCTGGTTCTGTCTTGACAGGGTAGATGTATTTAGGAATTGATTCATTTCCGCTAGGTTTTCCAATTTGTTAGTGTATAGTTGCTCAAAATAATCTCTGATAGTCCTTTATATTTCTGTGGTATCAGTTGTAATGTGTGCTTTATTTGTTTCTGATTTACTTATTTGGGTCTTCTCTCTTTATTAGTTAGTCCAGCTAGTGGTTTATTTTTTATCTTTTCATCTCCTTGGTTAAATTTTTTCTAGGATTTTATTTTTATTTTATTTTCCAAGTGGTTTATGTTTATCTTTTCAAGAAATAAAATTTTGTTTTGTTAATAGTTTTATTATTTAGTTTAGTTTAGCTTTTAGTTTCTATTTCCTTTTTTTCTGCTCTTTATTTTTGCCTTCTTTGTATTAATTTTGGGCTTGGATCCCTCTTGCTTTTCTAGTTCCTTGTGGTGCACTGTTAGGATGTTTATTTGAAATCTTTCCACTTTTTTGATGTAGATGGCTATTGCTATAACATTCCCTCTTAGCACTACTTTTACTATATTCCATAGGTTTGGGTATGTTGTGTTTACATTTTCATTTGTTTCAGATTTTTTTTCATTTTGATCTTCATTTTTTCATTAATCTAATGATCACTTTGAAGCCTATTGCTTTATTTCAATGTATTTGTACAGTTTCCAAAATTTCTCTTATTATTGATCTATAGTTTTATTCCATTGTACTCTGGGAAGGTACTCAACATGATTTTGATTTTTAAAAATTTTTTGAGACTTGTTTTGTGGACTAGCATATGGTTTATCCTGAAGAACGTTCCATGTGCTGGTGAAAAGAATGTGTATTCTGTAGCTGTTGGATAAAATATTACGTAAATACCTGCTAGGTCCACTTGGTCTATAGCACAGATTAAGTCCAATATTTCTTTGTTGATTTTCTCTCTAGATGATCTCCCCAGTGCTGAAAGTGGGGTGCTGAAATTTCCAACTCTTACTGTATTGGAGTCTATCTCTCTCTTTAGCTCTAATAATATTTGCTTTATATATCTTAGTGCTCCAGTGTTGAGTCCATATATATTTACAATTGTTATATCCTGTTAATGAATTGATCCCTTCATCATTACATACTAGACCTCTTTATCTCTTGTTATGTTCTTTGACTTTAAGTCTACTTTGTCCGATATAAGTATAGCTACTCCTGCAAAGTTTTGGCTTTCATATGCATGGGATATGGTTTCCGTCACTTCACTTTCAGTCTATTTGTGTCTGATATGGTTTGGCTGTGTCCTCACCCAAATCTCATCTTGAATTGTAGCTCCCATAATTCCCATGTGTTGTGGGAGGGACCCAGTAGGAGGTAATTGACTCATGATTGTGGGTCTTTCCCATGCTGTTCTTGTGATAGTGAATAAGTCTCATGAGATCTCATGGTTTTATAAATGAGAATTTCCTTATACAAGTTCTATTGCCAGCCCTCATGTAAGATATCCCTTTGTTCTTCCCTTGTTTTACACCATGACTGTGAGACCTTCCCAGACATGTGGAACTGTGAGTCCATTTAACCTCTTTCCTTTATAAGTTACCCAGTCTCAGGTATGTCTTTATTAGCAGCATGAGGACAGACTAATATAGTGTCTTTACCCATGATGTGAATTTCTTGTTGGCAGCATATAATTGGGTCTTTTGTGTTTTCTTTTCTACCCATTCAGCCAGTCTATACTTTATAATTGTAGAATTTAAACCATTTACATTCAATGTTGTTAATAATAGGTGAGAACTTACTACTGTCATTTTGATAGCTGTTTTCTGAATGTTCTGTATATCCTTTGTTTCTCTTTCCTCTTTTAATATTTATCTTTACAGTTTGGTCATTTTCTGTAGTGACAAGCTTTGATTTCTTTCTTGCTTTCATTAGTGTATCTGCTCTACCCGTGAGTTTAATTCTTTCTTGTGCTTTCTAAATAGTAGACATCATCCTTTTACTTATAGATGTTGTACTCCCTGAAGCATTTATTGTATGGTTGATCTAGTAGTGATGAATTTCCTTCAGTTTTTACTTGTCTGAAAAAGATGTTATTTCTCCATCCTTTTTAAAGGATAGCTTTCCTGGGCATAGTATTCTTCATTGGCATTTTTCTCTCAGCACTTTGAATATAGTTTCTCATGCTCTCCTGGCCTGCAAGATTTTTACTGAGTAATAGGCTGCTAGTCTGATGGGATTTCCCCCAACATGTGACTTGATGTTTTTCTCTTGCTATTTTTAAAATTCTCCCTCTGTCTTCAACCTTTCACAGTGTAACTTTAATGTGCCTTGGAGAACACTTATATTTTTATTGAATCTACTAGTAGATATTTTAGCTTTCTATATCTAGATGTCTATATCCTTCACAAGAAGGAAGAATTTTTCAGATATTATTTCAATAAATAGGTTGTCTATGGCATTTCCATTTTCTTATTCTTATGGAACTTATAAAATTCAAATATTTGTTTGCTTTATGGTGTCCTATATGTCATTAGGCTTTCTTCATTCTCTTTTATTCTTTTATTCCCCCCCCCACCTTTTTTTTTAATCTGGCTTTGTTATTTTAAAAGACCAAGTTCAAAAATTCTTCTGCTTGATTTAGTCTATTGTTGAACTCTTGATTGTATATATATATTTTAATTTCATCCACTGAATTATTTATTTCCAGGATTTCTGCTGGGTTCTTTTTTTTTTTTAGCTTTAAACAAAACTCACATTTTATTTAGATTGAAATAAACTATACAAAATTGATTTTCTTCACCAAAAATAACAGCAATATTTTCCATATTTTTCTAGATAAACCACAACACTTATTTTGTAGGTTTTCCAGGTTTTGCTTATAAATCAAGATGAGGCAGTAGATAAGAGTCATGGAAAAAAGACAGAAAAAAAAAACCAGACAAATCAGTTGTCAGTATCCATGGCCTCTGATTCTGTCTCAACCATGAAACAGAAGTGTTCAACATATACCTGCTAAAAAGCTTAGGAAGATGTAGGCTCCACAAAGGAATGTAAACAGCAATGAGATGTGGAACAACAGCAGGCTTTTCCATTCAAACTTTGTCATTTGTTTCTTTAAGTTTGAGAAAGACAAAATCTACACTGAAATCCTTGTTTGGTGAGCTCACAAGCTTTTCTCTGGTAATTTCTTGCAACTGTCCAGTATAGATTTTTAACATACTTAAAACTCCTATTAGTCAAAGGTCAATTGTGGGCTTAACTATAACATTTTATAAAATGTATTCCTTCCTCCCACACCTCTTCAAAATATATTTTTTCAAAGAATTCATAACACCCAACAAGTAGAGATCCACAGTGATAATAAATGCTATGTCTAAAATGACTTAACTGAAACAATTCCAGAGTGCCGTCAACAGAGATCACGCAAAAGGAAACATGGAACTTTCAACGTTCTCTTCTGGAAGAACAGGTAGGTCTTCAAAGCTTGAGAGTTCAAACAGGGGCCATTTAAACAGGTAGATTATCAATGGCTAATGTATTCAATGGAGTCCTATAGGCAAAGATATTTAGTGATTAAGTGGCCTACATACACCTTACGGCTTTTACTTCCAAATATCAAATATAAGAAAGCCTGTTTTTAAAAGTCTCTTAGGTATTTTCCACAGTTTCGGAATTATCTGTAGGAAGCTCTGACTTACTTGTATAGAGTTTAATATATGTGTCCACCATTAAATCCAGGTCGTGTTTTATATCAAAATTTATGTTAAGCAAAGCCAAGTTACTTGACCTTTGGTCTGTCAAAGTGTTCCTCAAATATGCTTTAAGACGCTTTCATCCATTTTCATACCGCTCATTCTCAACCTTCATCACAGAAGAATACACAGGACCTTCAGCAATGCATACACATTAGGAAAAAACTTGATGTCAGGCAGTTGGAGGGCTTCATAGATGGTGGACGGAAGCTCTATATCTTTCCCCCTGTGTTTCCATTTGATTCCCCAACAATGAAGCTCAGCTGACAGCGTGTCAGGATTGGGTAAGTCACTTCTATACATGTCAGCATGGTGTTCCTCCAAAGTATTGAATTTGAGTTGTCCCATGACTGAGGGTACCAGAGATAAGCATTTAAGAGCTTTGAGGTGCTGTTCTGAGAATATATCTTTAAGTTCCTGAATAATGTGCTCCACTGTTGGGACACTTAGGGTTTCTTTATAGTAACTCTCAAAGGTTAGCTGAGATTCCAAGTTACCCTGGTGAGCTCTGCGGAATTTCCCAGGGAGTTTCATTTGAATATCAAGTTTGGTTGCCAAATTTGTGGCTTCCTCAAACCAAAATTCATTATAAACTTCAATATTTTCCATCACTTCGTTGAGTGAATGCAGTACTGCAGTCAAGCTACCGGCTGCAAAGAAGACATCAGAGGTTTGCCCCTGGAGGTTTTTCCCAAAGGCTCTTGTAAAAGATAGGACATTTTTAAGAACAACAATAGTAACAATGAAATCAAAATCTGTTACTGCACTGCAGAGTACAAATGCTCGGCCAGCTATACAGTTATTCCATCTAATATTTGTGTCACTATTTATACCATCTAAACATAAAACAAGTGCTTGCAGGAGTTCCACTAAAATTTCAAAAGCATCATGCCTCCCTGTCCACTGAGAATGGCAGATTTCCTTCAGTTCTTTACCCCTTTCTTTACTGTTCTGAAAAAGAACAGAAATTACGTTGTCAAGTTCTAAAAGCAGTTGTGGTGATCGATGGAAAAAAGAACAAACTTCCTCGATTGTTCCTAATGCAACAGATACTCCCATAACAGGTACTGATTTTGCCAACCACATATTTAAGGCACAGAAAGAGCAGAGTGTGTAGATAGCTTGGGGATATTTCTCTAAAAGTCTAGAAGCAACAACTTTCATTTTGGAAGAAAATCCACTAGAGACAATGTAAGCCTGGCCACGACAATACTCCATATTTAATCCCCACTTCTCAGTTATCATAGTGTGAAATTTCACAGCCAAAATTTCTGCATCAGCTTCATAAGGCAGGAAGCCTATAAATTCCTCTCTTAGGTTATGAGATTCATCAACAAACCTCACCAACACAGGTAGGTGCTCTTCCCCTGCTATGTCCACTACATCGTCAGTGATAATGGAAAAGACGTGTGAGTCTCTCACTTCCCTGAGAGTTTCTTCTCGAATACAGCTCTCACAGATCTCTAGCATCTGCCTCTGCTGTGTTTTTGAACAAAACAACGTGTTAACTGCTGTTGTCTCAAACCGCTTTCTCAGAACCTCTTCACCAGAATTTATCCGACACTCCAGTAGTGCCTGAAAGTTATCTGGAGTAAAGAGACCTTCTGGGATTTCATCAGCCTCATGTCCGTCCAGAGGTATGTTTTGCCTTCCCATCAGAATCAAGATTTCAAGTAGATATTTGAGGTATTCTTTGTTTTCCTTCTCTTCAAGGGTTAGAGGTAAAATGTCCTCATCTTGCCCTTCACCCTCTTCTTCGCTGGGGTTCTGAGCATTGCTATTGTTGGTTTCTTTATGTTTTTGTTCCTGCTCAGAAGTTTCATCAATTTTTTTCTGTTTCAGTGTCCTGATTTCATCTTCACTCAGTTCTTTTATTCGTTTTCTGTGTCTACTATGTGGGTTGTTCAAATGACTGTTAAGATCAAATATTGTTGGTATTGCATTATCTCGAAGAACTGTCCTATAAGGACCAGTTCTACAGATCATAGAGGTCTCAAAATGTTTGGCACATAATCGATAATGTTTATTTAGCTGATCAGGTGTTTTATCTTCTAAGTCTGCTCTCCTACAGTTCTCCACCCACTTCTGGCATCTGGCAGGGTCCCGCGGGAAGCTGAAGAAGGCCAAGTCAAGTCGGACTGCGTGCTCTTCCGCGTGCAGTTGGCGGCAGCGCAGAAGTTCGGCATCGTCGCCCGCCCGCCGGCCGGTCCAGCCCTCCCCTCCCCGCCTCCTCAGGGCAGTCCGCCCGCCCGTCGGGGCCGGGGAGGGGAGCCAGGCCGGCCGGCCGGCTCGGCAGGGCCGACGCGCGGGGGAGGGGCGGGCGGGCTAGAAGCCGCCGGGTTCTTTTTTATATCTGTCTCTCTTTCTTGAAATTCTCATTGAAGACATGAATTGCCTTCCCAATGCATTTTTTTTTTTCTATTGTGTCCTCTTGTATTTGTATCTGTGTCCTCTTGTATCTCGCTGCATTTTCTTAAGAACATTATTTTGAATTCTTTTTCAGGCTTTTTAACATATTTACATTTCTTTGGGATATTTTACTGAAGAAGTATTGTATTCCTTCAGAGGTGTCATTTTTTTCTTGAATTTTCATATTTCTCATGTCCTTACCTTATCTGTGCATCTATTTTAACAGTTTCTCTTTTAATTTCATGGATTGGCTTCTTTCATAGAGAAAGACTTTTCCTGTAGCTGTAATTATAGTATTGTTTGGGGAAGATGTTTTGGCTTTAATTCTGGGCTAGCACAGTAGTGTCGTCTCTGTATGTTCTATTTGGATGCGATCAATGTCAGCATTGTCTGAGAGTTCTTCATTGGCTTAGGCTCTGGTTGTTAGTGAAAATTATGGTGAGGTGCACCTGTCCTCATGCCACCAGATGCTGCACACAAGCACTGTCAGTGGTGAGTAGAATTGGCCAATATGCAGCCCCCTGGACAGCATTTGTTGGTGCCAGTGATGGCACATGGGGTGGTTAATCTTCACGCCCCCAGCCTGTTTTTCTTATTCTTAATTGATATAAAAGTTAATACCTTCAAATAATGATAGCAACCATGTATTCAATTATGCTTATATGTTTATTTATAAGTGAAATGAATGATAGCAGTGATAAAAGGTTAGGAGGGAGAAATTAGTAATATTTTATTACCATAAATTACTTGTACCTCCTATAAAGTGGTATAATGTTATTTGGAAGTAGATTTAGATTGGTATTAAGTGAAAATTGTTCATATAAAAATGATACAGAGACATCACTTTAGATCCAATAGACATTAAACAGATAATAAACAAATATTATGAGCAACTCTAAATCCACAAATTTGATAACCTATATGAAATGCATCAATTACTCAAAAGGCACAATCTACCAAAACTCACACAAAAAGAAATAGAAACTCTGAATAGGACTATATCTATTCAAGAAAATAAATAAAAAATGATGTTACAAAACAAAAAATACTAATCCCAGATGAGTTTATTGCTGAATTCTATCAAATAGTTAAGGACAATATTGTATCAATGCTCCACACTATCTGACAGTGTGTGTAAGCAGGAGCAGGAGGAATACTTCTCAACTCATTCTATAAGGCCAGCATTACCCTAATATCAAAAATCAAAGACACTGCAAGAAAATAAAACTATAGACAAGTACCTCTCATGAACATAGATTCAAAAATCCTCCACATAAAACTGTATACTTTTATACATTATTGGATTCAATTTGCTATTGGGGATAGCACTTATCATCTACACCACAATTGAGTGGATTTAATTTCAGGTATGCAAAGGTGTTTTAACATTGGAATATTGTTTAATCTAATCCATCACATCAATAGGCCAATGAAGAAAAATCACACAATCATATCAATAGATGCAGAAAAAGCATTTGACAACATTCAACACCCATTCATGATAAAAAATTTTAACACATTAGGAATAGAGAGGGACTTCCTCAACTTAAAGGACATCTACAAAAGTCCTATAGCTAATATCATACTTAATAATAAGAAATTTGTAGGTTTCCTGATAATAAAAAAAAAGCTATCTCCCTTCACTTCAGCTTTCAACATCTTACTGCAAAACTTAGCTATTGCAGTAAGACAAAAAAGGAAATAAAATGTATACAGATTGGTAAGAACAAAATAATACAGTCTTTGTTTGCAGATGATATAATTGTCTATGTAGAAAATTTTTTTAAATTGGTAAAAAAGTCTCTGATAACTAATAAGCAATTATATAAAAGTTGCAGGATACAAGAGAAATAAGTCAATCACTTTTCTATGTACCATCAATGAACAAGTGAAATTTGAAATTAAAAACCCATTGCCACTTTATGTTAGCAGCCCTAAAAATAAAATGCTTAAGTGTAAATCTAAAAAAAAATGTCCAAAATACATATGAGGAAAACTACAAAACTCTGATAAATAATATCAAAAAAAGAAAAAAATAAATGGAGAGATATTCCAGGTCATGGGTAGAAAGACTCAATATTGTCATGATGTCAGTTCTTTCCAAATGAATGGACAGACTCAATGCAATTCCAATCAGAATCCCAGGAAGTTATTTTGTAGAAATTGACAAATTGGTTCTAAAGTTTATGTGAAGAGGAAAAAGACCCAGGAGAGTAAATTCAATATTGAAAGAAAAGAGCAAAGTTAGAGGACTGACACCACTCAATTTCAAAACCTACCATAAACTTACAGTAATCAAGACACTATAGCATTAGTGAAAAAACAGACAAATAGATCAATGGACCAGAATATGAGCTGAGAAATCGACTCACCTAAGTATAATCCATTGATTTTTGACAAACGGGCAAAGGCAATAAAATGGAGCAGTCTCTTTTCAACAAATGGTGCTAAGACAACTGGACATTCACATCCACACCCCTAACATTAATCTAGACACAGACCTTGAACCTTTCACAAAAATTAGCTCAAAATGGATCATAGACTTCAATGTAAAATGCAAGATTATAAAAATCTTAGAGAATGACATAGGAGAAATTCTTGATGAACTTGGGCATTGAGATGACATTTTAAATAAAATACCAAAGGCATGATCTATGAAAGAGGTGATTGATAAGCTGAGCTCCATTAAAATTCAGAACTTCTGCTTTGCAAAAAGCAGCATCAGGAGAATGAGATTACAAGCCACAGACTGGAAAAAATATTTACAAAAGACATATCTGGTAAAATAATATTATCCAAAATATTATACAGAACTCTTAAAAATCTAAAATAAGACAATTTACAACCCAATAAAAAATTGGCAAAAAACCTGAATAAGCACCTCAGCAAAGAAGATACACAGATAGCAAATAAGCATATGAAACGTTATTCAACAGCATATGCCATCAGGGAAATGCAAATTAAAACAACAATGAGATACCATGACACCCTATTAGAATGGCCAAAACCCAAAACACTGACCACAGTAAATGCTGGCAAGGATGTAAAGCAAAAAGAATTCTCATTCATTGCTGATGGGAAGGTAAACAGTACAGCCACTTTGAAAGACAGTTTGGTGGTCTTCTACAAAACTAAACAATCTCTTACGACATAATGCAGCAATCCTTGCTATATACCCAAAGAATTTGAAAATTTGTGGCCACACAAAACCCCCATGTGAATAATTATAGCAGCTTTATTCATAATGACCAAAACTTGGAAGGAATGAATATGTCCTTCAGTAGGTGAATGAATAAGTAAACTGTGGTGCTTCCAGACAATGGAATATTTTTTCAGTTCTAAAATGAAATGAGCTATAAAGCAACAAGAAAACATGGAAGGATCTTAAATGCATATTATTAAGTGAAAGAAGCCAAACTGAAAAAGGCTATATACAGTTTGAGTGCAACTATGTAACATTCTGGAAAAGGTAAAACTAGAGACAGTAAAAAGATTCGTGGTTTGTCAAGATTTAAGAGGGAGCAAGTGGATGAATAGGAGAGGCACAAAGAATGAACAGTGAAGTTGTTAGGAGAGTGAAACTATTCTGTAATATAATTTGGATTGAAGACATTTGACAAAACCCATAGTATGTACAACACCAAGAGTGAATCTTAATCTAAACTATAGACTTTGGGTGACAATGATGTGTAGAGTCATTGATCATAATAAATGTACCACTGTGATAGCAACTGTTGATAGTGGGGAAATTTGTCTGTGGGCACAAGGAGTATATGAGACCTCTATACTTTCAGCTCAGCATCCTATGCCTATGCGTGTTAGGTCTGCAGGCATAGAAAATACACATATATACATGCATATATAGGGTTTTATGAGGGTATTTTCCTTTTTCATTTTGTTAAAAAATAGGATCACAGTGTATACATTACACTTTGATTTTTGTATCATTCTCACTTTATATCATGACTGTCATTCTAGGTCAAACATACTAGAACAATTGTTTTATAACTGCGTAATATTCCACATTAAGTGTGTTCCACAAATTATTCAATACTTATTGATGAATAGTCAAATATTTGCTCCTACCAACAATTCTGTAACAGACATCTTTGTATGTGTATCTGTATGTGTTTGTTATCTCATTTTATATTAATGCTTGCATTTCTGTAGACTTAGTTCCCAAAAGTGAGATTTGCTGAATAAAATGGTATATGTATTTTTAAAATAATTTGTGCTTCTACCAGCATATAAAGGAGGCCATTCTGTTACATTCTTATTTGGATCAGATGTCATCAGTCTTTACCATTTTTACCAATCCTGAGAAGTAAAAAATTATGCCTCATTATAGCTTACATTTGCATTTTTGTAACTACTTGAAGATGAACATCATTTCATGTTAATTAACAATTTGCATCTTCTTTTCTATGAATAGTCTGTTCTTATCCACTTTCTTATAAGTTTTTTGTCTTTTAATGATCAGTTGATAATTTTATATAAGGGATTAAAAAAATTTTTGATATTTTACTTTAGGTTTATCTCTTATATAGTGCATACAGTGTGAGTGAGTGTGTGTGTGTGTCTGTGTTTATCTCTTATATAGTGCATACAGTGTGAACAAGTGAGTGTGTGTGTGTGAGTGTGAACAATCAGGTTAATTTTGGAGTTTAACATAATTTATATTTATTGTCAGATAGTCATTCTATTTCTTTTTGTTCCTTTTCCTTTATTTTATAATTTTGGTATAATTTTGGTATTTAAGTGACTACATTGTATTTTCCTTTTTCTTTGTAATTTGAAAGACTATAATTCTTTTAAGAGTGTTTTCCAATAATTATTAAAATTATATTCTCTACCAATCTAATTAGTATACATATCCACTAATCATTCTAATGAAAGGGAGGGATTTATCATCTTTTTAGCTTTCTCAGTCCTCCCATAACCACGCACTTTTTATATTCTTAGGGCTTAGGTGAAACAAGTTATTTTTGTGTTTTAATATTTACAATAGCTATCTAGAAATCACCAAATACTGCAGCATTTAATAGTGATTGTTTTATATCACCATTTCTCTATTATTGATATTTATTAATATCTTGTTCAAATGGAGTAATCTTTTTTATTTTATTATTATTATACTTTAAGTTTTAGGGTACATGTGCACAATGTGCAGGTTAGTTACATAAGTATACATGTGCCATGCTGGTGTGCTGCACCCATTAACTCATCATTTAGCATTTGGTATATCTCCTAAAGCTATCCCTCCCCCTCCCCCCACCTCACAACAGTCCCCAGAGTGTGATGTTCCCCTTCCTGTGTCCCTGTGTTCTCATTGTTCAATTCCCACCTATGAGTGAGAATATGCGGTGTTTGGCTTTTTGTTCTTGTGATAGTTTACTGAGAATGATGATTTCCAATTTCATCCACGTCCCTACAAAGGACATGAACTCATCCTTTTGTATGGCTGCATAGTATTCCATGGTGTATATGTGCCACATTTTCTTAATCCAGTCTATCATTGACGGACATTTGGGTTGGTTCCAAGTCTTTGCTATTGTGAATAGTGCCACAATAAACATACGTGTGCATGTGTCTTTATAGCAGCATGATTTATAGTTCTTTGGGTATATACCCAGTAATGGGATGGCTGGGTAAAATGGTATTTCTAGTTCTAGATCCCTGAGGAATCGCCACACTGACTTCCACAATGGTTGAACTAGTTTACAGTCCCACCAACAGTGTAAAAGTGTTCCTATTTCTCCACATCCTCTCCAGCACCTGTTGTTTCCTGACTTTTTAATGATTGCCATTCTAACTGGTGTGAGATGGTATCTCATTGTGGTTTTGATTTGCATTTCTCTGATGGCCAGTGATGGTGAGCATTTTTTCATGTGTTTTTTGGCTGCATAAATGTCTTCTTTTGAGAAGTGTCTGTTCATGTCCTTTGCCCACTTTTTGATGGGGGTGTTTGTTTTTTTCTTGTAAATTTGTTTGAGTTCATTGTAGATTCTGGATATTAGCCCTTTGTCAGATGAGTAGGTTGCGAAAATTTTCTCCCATTTTGTATGTTGCCTGTTCACTCTGATGGTAGTTTCTTTTGCTGTGCAGAAGCTCTTTAGTTTAATTAGATCCCATTTGTCACTGGCAAACCGAATCCAGCAGCACGTCAAGAAGCTTATCCACCTTGATCAAGTGGGCTTCATCCCTGGGATGCAAGGCTGGTTCAATATACGCAAATCAATAAATGTAATCCAGCATATAAACAGAACCAAAGACAAAAACCACATGATTATCTCAATAGATGCAGAAAAGGCCTTTGACAAAATTCAACAACCTTCATGCTAAAAACTCTCAATAACTTAGGTATTGATGGGACGTATCTCAAAATCATAAGAGCTATCTATGACAAACCCACAGCCAATATCATACTGAATGGGCAAAAACTGGAAGCATTCCCTTTGAAAACTGGCACAAGACAGGGATGCCCTCTCTCACCACTCCTATTCAACACAGTGTTGGAAGTTCTGGCCAGGGCAATTAGGCAGGAGAAGGAAATAAAGGGTATTCAATTAGGAAAAGAGGAAGTCAAATTGTCCCTGTTTGCAGATGACATGATTGTATATCTAGAAAACCCCATTGTCTCAGCCCAAAATCTCCTTAAGCTGATAGGCAACTTCAGCAAAGTCTCAGGATACAAAATCAATGTACAAAAATCACAAGCATTTTTATACACCAATAACAGACAAACAGAGAGCCAAATCATGAGTGAACTCCCATTCACAATTGCTTCAAAGAGAATAAAATACCTAGGAATCCAACTTACAAGGGACGTGAAGGACCTCTTCAAGGAGAACTACAAATCACTGCTCAATGAAATAAAAGAGGATACAAACAAATGGAAGAACAATCCATGCTCATGGGTAGGAAGAATCAATATCATGAAAATGGCCATACTGCCCAAGGTAATTTATAGATTCAATGCCATCCCCATCAAGCTACCAATGACTTTCTTCACAGAATTGGAAAAAACTACTTTTAAGTTCATATGGAACCAAAAAAGAGCCCACATCGCCAAGTCAAACCTAAGCCAAAAGAACAAAGCTGGAGGCATCACACTACCTGACTTCAAACTATACTACAAGGCTACAGTAACCAAAACAACATGATACTGGTACCAAAACAGAGATATAGACCAATGGAACAGAACAGAGGCCTCAGAAATAATGCCACACATCTACAACAATCTGATCTTTGACAAACCTGAGAAAAACAAGCAATGGGGAAAGGATTCCCTATTTAATAAATGGTGCTGGGAAAACTGGCTAGCCATATGTAGAAAGCTGAAACTGGATCCCTTCCTTACACCTGATACAAAAAATAATTCAAGATGGATTAAAGACTTAAATGTTAGGCCTAAAACCATAAAAACCCTAGAAGAAAACCTAGGCTTTACCATTCAGGACATAGGCATGGGCAAGAGCTTCATGTCTAAAACACCAAAAGCAGTGGCAACAAAAGCCAAATGGACTAATCTTAAGGTCAGGTTTTTATTGAATAAAGAAGCAGTACCCTTGCTGGCCTATCTGTGTCTTTATTATTCTTGGTACATTCAATAAAATTTGCCTGGGTCTAAGACTGTGAACCCACAGTAACAAAACTTAGTAGTTATCACAAAATTCAGTAGAGCTTGGTCAATTGGAGCTAAACATTGGTAAAAAAATAGAGGCTAACCTAATTGTATCCTTTTGTCGACATGTTTCCCCTCTCTTACTGGAAGGATGCTTCCTTGAAAAAATTCACCTTGATATATCCTAGTGTTTGTCTCTTACCCTTGAGTCATAATCAACAAGTTTAAGATTTTAATACAGAAATATATCTCTCTTTTATTCTGAACTTTTGCTTCTGTTTTGATGGGCTATTTTCTCTTCAGAAACACTTATTATTTATAGATTAGCTCTCTGCTCTGTCTATGGTATCAATCATCTTCTCTTAATTATATATACATATGCATACACAGACCAATATGCAAAGACACGCACACACACACACATACACACGCACACGCACACAAGTGAGATAGGTAGGAAGATAGTATGTAGACAGATACACAAATTATTTCCTTTTGCTTTATAGGAGATCTTTACAGTTTTGTCTATCCAGTGATTATATAATAAAATCACTCTTCTTTTTTTATACACACATTATTATAATTTAAGCCTTTAAGTTCCTATCTGATGGAGATAAACTCCTCTGAAAGCACCATGTAATTTCTGAAAATTCCCATAATGTTATCTAATGTGTGTTCTGTAATAAACTCTTCAGGTTCTTCTCCTTGGTCTCCACAACTTGCTGTCATAGAAATGACGAACTTCATGAAATCACCACTTTCCTAGGTAAAGCTACTTCTCTAGTGGGAATCACTAATGTTCCCACTCCATTTGTGGAGAGGGGACAGATCTTATTATGTCAGAAAGTGTTTTCCTAGCTGTTTCCTGGCTGTTGGAGCTCCAAAACCTCCCAACGCAATAGACATTGTGGTTTTCATTGCATATCATTCCTATTTCTCTCTCTCCATTATTTAGCAGTAATTTTTTTAATGAAAGTTAATACCACTTCCAGCTCTGGCTTGAGTTTTGATTGGTCTAAGACTTAGATACTAAGTAAATAAAGGTTATCCCATCTCTCTGACCAAAGCAACTTGCTCAATTAAACAAGGTCTAAGGCAGTTAAGACCTGGGTCTTCCGCTGACATAAGGATTTTTTCATAGATAATCCAATCAGAGTACATCTAAGAACTTAGTTAATTATAGGCAAAGGAATTATCATTCTGCTGGATATGGAAGAATAAAGAAACCCTGGTGGCTACTGGTAAGCCACAACATGAAGATTAATGCCACATGGAGAAACGCAGAGTCAAAAAATTGCAAAGAAATTAAGTTGAAATTCTAAGCCACAGTTGAAAGCATTCAACTGGGGTCTTTTCAGTTATACAGGCCATTAAATAACTCTTTAATGTTTAAGTCCATTTATGTTCAGTTTTCTACTAATTATACATGAAAGCATACTGACACAAATACTTACACATGCTGAGGAAGCACACATTCTTCAGCCTGGAGGATTCAAAAACTAATACCCTGTGCCAGGCCGCTCTAAAAACTGCCCCCCTTTCTGTTGCAGCCACTGCTACAAATGAAAGGCTTGCTCCTGCTGTACCTTCACATAGTTAGGGGAATACAATCATAACATTGGAACAGCTTTAGTCCTCTCTTAACTGAGATTTTTAAAGTAAGTCATTTCTAGCCCCAAAGAGGAGAGGAAGTGCCTTCTTCTCCTGTGGGAAAACAATCAGTTATATTTCCTATTCCAGGAAACTTTCTTCCTAGAATAATGGACAGTGCAAGCAATATCTAACAACTGTCACTATCATTACACTCCACAATCCCAAAGAAACCAGATTCACAAAAACACTAAGTGGAAAAACTAATGATTGGCAGGGCTAGCATGCAAATACTGGTTTGCCTGGTTACAAAGCCCATGCTTTTTCTATTACCCGAATTTGTCATATAAGTAATGTGAGCTTGATTCAAAATTTTCAATCAACAGAATTTAATAGAAGAGTTGACAATATAAGTGCTAGCAAAATTCAAGACAACATATTATTTTCTGAATCCTAAGCCCTGACCACATGACATAGCCTGTAATACATTTTGTTTGCTTAGTCATTTACATGTCTACTTTAAAAAAAATATTGAATGTATATGCATATTCAGATTTTATGCATAAAATATAGAATGATACCTTCCTTAATAGTGTTCAAGATAAAGTGCAACAGTAAGACTACTTTTGACTTGCGTTATGAATAAAGTAGAACCTGAACTTGACCTTAAATGGCACAGTAAGTCCTCATCTAACATCACGGATAGGTTCTTGGAAACTGCGACTTTAAGTAAACTGTTGTACAAAGAAACCAATTTTACCGTAGGTTAATTGATATAAAAAAGAGTTAAGATCCTGTGGCATATTTCTCATCACAAAAACATCGCCAAATTTCTAAATGAAGACCCCAAACATTTCTAATATTAAACACTGAATTAAATATGAGCTACACATACATTTAAGAAAGATTAACAAAAACAAGATAATTACCCATGTTTTTGTAAATCAGTGAGTGTCGATGGTCATAGTGGTGGTGGATTAAGTCAAGAAATAAGTGTTTGCAAAGCTAAAACTGTCAGGAGCACTTCCACCACACAGTTAAAAAAGAATCACAAACAAGTAAGGCTGACTCACAGCTGGATGAGCACCTTCGTCTTGCATCATTTATTGTTGTGTATTTGTATAATGACCATTTACTTAACAAATTTTTATTTGACAATAATTTACATTGATTGATTTGTTCATTTTCCAAACTGCTTATTCTAGTTCAGGGTCACTTTCCAAACTGCTTATTCTAGTTCAGGTGGCTGGAGTCTATCTCAGCAGCTCAGATTACAAAGCACGGACCAGTCCTGGATAGGACACCCTCGATCACAGGGTGCATTCACACACACCTACACTCAGACTAGGACCATGTCGACATACCCATTCACCCAGTGGGCACGTCTTTGGGATGTGGGAGGAAACCAAAGTACCCAGAGAAAACCCACACAGACACGGGGAGAATGTGCTAACTCTACACAGACAGTGGTCCAGGGCCAGAAATGGACTTTTTTCTCATCAATGTCATAACGAACGGTATTGAACAAAGGATGTTATTCAATTCCTGCTGTCTTTAAATTTGGGTGCGGGAAGATTTGTGGAGCAAGACAGGGGAAGTAGAAAATTCCACAATGAGAAAACAGCAAAGGCACTGAGGTACAAAAATGTGGAGCATATTTTGGAAACAGTAAGTAATCCAATTTGGTTGTGGTGCTGGGCGTGTAAGGGGCAATACAGAGTG
This sequence comes from Homo sapiens, assembly GCF_000001405.40. Taxonomy (NCBI): domain Eukaryota; kingdom Metazoa; phylum Chordata; class Mammalia; order Primates; family Hominidae; genus Homo; species Homo sapiens. The sequence goes on from NC_000008.11 coordinate 78,773,591, forward strand.
GCAAGTAGGCTAGAAATGTAAAGAACAGATTTTCCTTCTCCAATGCCCACATAAGGAATTAGTCCTGCAATAGCCAGTGAGTGGTAACCTAAGGAAAGTTGTTGAGCAGCGATATGGCATGATCTGAGCCTTGGTTTGTGGCGATTAGTACATGTTTGGGAAGTTCTCATAATGTATTTCTGACTGAGATGCTTATCCACTTTGACTGGAGAAGCCAATTAGGTAGAGGGTAGATGTGAATTATGGGAGAAACACAGTGTGAGGAGGAACAAAGGCAGAAAAATCAGAAGGAAGGCTGTCTGTAGGAATTCTGCCTCATTGCAAATATGCAACTGGGGTAAATCTAGCTGAATGAAGGTACTGGCTCCAATTTGGCCATATTAGGTAAACAAGCATTCTTTAGTTTGGAACGCCACTGTGAAAAAAATTATAAAGAAAAAACTCCAACCTTATTAATCATGTTCTACATTTTCTACCAAAAGAGCAGAGAAAAGAAAAAAAAACATATATTTGTGAGTTCAACTGTGTTTACCCTATCTAACATTTTGGATTTCATTACTTATAATAATTTTCAATGCCTAAGTTTTGAGAAGGCAAGAGATACCAAGTATTTGCAAAGACTAAGACTGCAGATCCTTATCTAACCCTGTAGCCTTGCCTCTTCTTCATCTAATGCCCAACATTGCTAGGTTAACAAGAAGGAAAAAAAGTACCTGGAATTTTTTGACTTTAGCATTGATTCTTTGTGATGACAATAAGTATATATTAATTATATTCTAACATGTATGAAATAGGACATATTTAATACCAAAATTTAATATCCCAAAAGTGTTTTGTACTAAATTTTATGTTAATAACAAAGGTGAACATATACTACTAATTAACAACTGTATGTTAATTAATAAAAGCTCTGCATCTATAAAAACGTGACTATATTAATTTCCCAGTCCTTCCTATGACCAAGAATAGCCCAAGTAAAGCAATTCTCGTGCAATTTATTGGCACTGTGCTTCTCATTTAACTTACACCCATAACATAGCGTGTTTTCTAATACATGTCTCTGTGGTACATAAAACAATGGCAGAAATAGAAAGTTAATATTTTAACAATTAATATTGATGGAATCCACTGTAGAGAACATTAGGACATAAAGAACAAACAAAGAATAAAAATGACTATATTCTTAAATATGGTGTTTCAGAATAATATCATCATGAAAGTGTCCTCAGTGCTTTTTTATGCAAAAGAGTTAGAAAACTTGTGATTGTGAGTTTTCATTTGTGAAAATACCTCTACAGAATTTCTCTGATGAAGCTCAACTTAAGAAAAATCAATTGGTGAAATTCACTAGAAAATCTAATAATGTAATGAATACAGAACAAAAGAATGTCTCATGAAAGGGTAATGAACAAATCTTAGTTGTTAAACCCATTCTTTAACTTGTGTAAAGTTGTGTATGCATTACATTTATTTTTCTGGAGGTAATATATATTTTTTATTCATGAGTTGCCTTTTCCAGCTTTACCAACACACCTTAGGTACACAACGTAGTATTTTATTAATTTACTTTAATCCAGGTGTGGTTATATAAGTTTGGGGATAAGAAATGGTGTTCCAGGAACTATATGATTCAACAATTGGCAGATTTGCCTAGCTATCAGTGTTCATGTTAAATACACACACTGCATAACTATTGAAAACCTGACGGCATATTCACCTGTACTTGGTACAGTGCCATACGTCACAAAATTATACATATCCTACTCTGGATGTGCAGAAAGGTTATTATGGAATTCATCCAGGGCATTCATTCTTTGGTTCTCCTAAGTAGTCGATACTTCTACATCAGTGCAATGAAAAGAACACCAAACTAGAGTTTGTGGATGACTGTGTGCATTTCTGACATTGAATAGTTTTACAGCAGGAATGGATCTCAGAGATTATGAAAATCAAAATTCTAATTGGAAAAATCAGGCTTTCAAGCAGTTAACTGAATTGTCCAACATCTCATAGCCAAAGGGGCAAAGTGGGGACTCTGACCAAAGCATTTCATTTCCAGTCCTTTTTCTTCCTGTAGCGTTTTACTGACTTACTGTAACCTCTCCTTGAATTTTCTCATAAGCAAAATGAGTACATTGGACTAGGGCAGTGGTTTTCATAGATCATATTCCATGTAGTCCTAGGATTTCATAAGGTAACTGGGGGGGCGCTTAGAAGTAAGCGTAAGGATGATACAGGATAGTCAGGGCTTGGGACTTCACTGGACCTCTGTGTAAGATTTTACTTCAAACACTTCCATGCTAAATAAATATTTAGTGGTTATTAAATAGCCACTTCTACATTCTCTACAGTAGTACCCCTTATCCTTGGAGGATACTTTCCAAGGCCACCAGTGGATGCCTGAGACCATACATGGTACCAGACCCTATATATGCGGTACTTTTCTTCCTATGCATACATACCAATGATAAAACTTTAATTTATAAATTAGGCACAGTAAGAGATTAATAACAATACCTAATAATGAAATAGAGCAATTATGACAATATTCTAGCATCACTACTCTTGCTTTTTGGGGCCATTATGAAGTAAAGTAAGAATGACTTGAACATAAGCACTGAGATACCTCTGCAGCCAATCTGATAATCTAAAAGGCTACTATGAGACTAATGGGCAGGTAGCATCCACAGCCCGGTTCTGCTAGACAAAGGGATGATTCACCCCTTGGATGGGATAGAGTGAGACAGTGCAAGATTTCATCATGCTACTCAGAACGGCACACAATTTAAAATTTACGAATTATTTCTGGAAGTTTCCATAGAAGATTTTTGAACCTTCATTGATTTTTGGGTAACTGAAACCACAGAAGCTGAAATGTTGGATAAGAGGGGACTAAAGTGAATGCAAAATCATATTGTGTATGTTTGAATTTTGCTCTCATAAATCACACAATTTCTAGCCATTTTCAAATATTACAGGTTTTTATTTGCATCTGTTCTTAAGGATGTGAGATAGGAAATTTAGAGAGCATTGTTGCAGACATTATTTCTAACATTAATAATATGACAAGAACTATGACTTGTTGAATGCTTAAGTTCCAGGCACTGTTCCATGAGCTTTACATATATTAGCCCATTTAATTTATTTAAAATAACCCTATGAAGTATGGGTCCTAATTTTATCCCCACTTTAGAAATAAGGAAACTAAGGCACAGAAGGATTAAGTAATTTATCCAATGTCACATAGCTAGCAAGTGGCATATTCAGATTCAATATTGACACAGGGTCCACACGGGTCATAACATAAGTAGATGCAGTATAAATTACTCCCTGGCAGATGAAAACATCTGTGATCTTCATGGTGAATAGAAACTTTTCATCTCTATAAATGACATTCCTACTCTCACATTCCTCAATACCAATGATGGTCTTTGAATTAATAACCTGCATAATAAGCACCATTAAGAGAAAAACAACTGAAGCACAAATATTATCATTATGTGATCGACAATGTCTTCATCGGTTGTCTAGTTGAGATTCACCTCTATCTGCACATGGTAAAGAAGCTAGATAATAAAGTTTATAATATCTAATGCAGGCATAGATGTGGGTTCAAAACAAATAAAAATACCAATATAGTAATTTTCATAAAATAGCTATTCAGGCCTGGGAGTATTAGACGCATCATTGTCCTCAAAGTTGAATGCACAGACTTAATGGAAGTCTGGCCAGGTATGAGAACAGGCCTTGACAACAACAGGCACCTATAAAAAAGGGCAATCTGAAAGTGCCTTCCTTCTTCACTAGGACGGACTTTGTAATTATGTTGTGGCATTAGCATTCATCTCATTGCTCCAACTTGCAGTTTCTCCTTTTTCTCTCCAGGTGCTGGGGGCCATTTCAGTTTTACTCTTCCTTTTGGGAAACTACCTTTAAGGACTCCATGCATTCACTACTGCCTTTTATTTGCTTGTTCCTAATGCAAGAACTATATTTTATCAATCTTTGAGTTTTCCATTGTATTTTCATGTAATAAAAATTACTGATTGAATGACAATATCATCAATCACATACTCCCAAACTTTCAGAGGACATCAGCTGCCATCTGTAAATTTTACTATGGTTTTTAAAAAGAAACATGCCATACTCAACAGTGCCAACTACGAATGCTGAAATAACCTATCTTTCTGAATGCTTTTCATCACAAATTTATTTTATATGGCGCATATGAATTATCTTTCTAAATCCCAGATTTAATTCTACACTGCTGCAGTTTAAAAGCCTGATCGCTCCTTATTATATAGTCCTAAAGATCAAGTTCACATTCTTCGGCCTGGTATGTAAGGTCTTGCAAAATCTAGCCATACCCTACCTTCCAACTTTTCTACATCCAAATCTCCTCTAGAGCTACATGGGGCCATTGACTTAAATCTAATTACCAAGCCCCCAGGTCAAATTAGTTGGTATCCCTAAACATTTTCAACTGTAATTATCAGCATTATCCCATTGCATTGCAATTCTTTATTTAAGAGTCTAGCTCTCTTTCAAAACTAAACCTCATAGTCTGGTAAACTGGTCTTTTTTATACCTGTGCTCATTATTTAACAGCTTGCACACAATCTTTAACAGCCATTTCATAAATGCATGCAAAATTGCATGGAAAGGCAGGATTCGAAGCTTTGACTCAAATAGTCCTCTCTGATGAAATGGCATTCCCTTTCATTTTTGCCTCCTTAAGAACTATACATTCTTCAAAGTCCCATTAAAATTGTTATTCCACTCTGAGTCACTAGAGTTCTTGAAGAGGGGAATACATCATTCAGATTTGAGTTGACAGATTACTATTAGCAGATGCTTAATAAATGTTTAAAATAATGGAATATTAAGGAAACATTTATTAAATAGGGAATCCTTTCCCCATTGCTTGTTTTTGTCAGGTTTGTCAAAGATCGGATGGCTGTAGATATGTGGTCTTCTTTGTGAGGTCTCTATTCTTTTCCATTGGACTACGTGTCTGTTTTTGTATGAGTACTGTGCTATTTTGGTTGCTGTAGCCTTGTAGAATGTAGTTTGAAGTTGGGTAGCATGGTGCCTCCAGCTTTGTTCTTTTTGCTTAGGATTGTCTTGACAATACTGGCTCTTTTCTGGGTCCATATGAATTTTATGGTAGTTTTTTCTAATTCTGGGAAGAATGTTAATGGTAATTTAATGGGAGTAGCATTGGATCTATAAATTACTTTGGGCAGTATGGCCATTTTCACAATGTTGATTCTTCCTATCCATGAGCATGACATGTTTTTTCATTTGTTTGTGTCCTCTCTGATATACTTGAGCAGTGGTTTGTATTTCTCCCTGAGAGGTCTTCACTTGCCCTTGTTAGCTGTATTCCTAAGTATTTTATCCTCTTTTTAGCAATTGTAAATGGGAGTTCATTCATGATTTTGCTTTCTCCTTGTGTATTGTTGGTGTATAGGAATGCTTGTGATTTTTGCACATTGATTTTGTATTCTGAGATTTTGCTGAAGTTGCTTATCAGCTTAAGAAGCTTTTGGGCTGAGACAATGGGGTTTTCTAGATATAAAATCACATCATCGGCAAACAGTTTGACTTCCTGTCTTCCTATTTGCCTACCTTTATTTGTTTCTTTTGCCTGATTGCCCTGGCCAGAACTTCCAATACTATGTTGAACAGGAGTGGTGAGAGTGGGCATCCTTGTCTTGTGCTAGTTTTCTAGAGGAATGCTTCCAGCTTTTGTCCATTCAGTATGATATTGGCTGTGGGTTTGTCATAAATGGCTCTTGTTATTTTGAGGTATGTTCCATCAATATCTAGTTTATTGAGAGTTTTTAACATGGGGGGATGTTGAATTTTATCAAAGGCCTTTTCTACATCTATTGAGATAATCAAGTGGTTTTTGTCTTTAGTTCAGTTTATGTGATGAATTACATTTATTGATTTTTGTATGTTGCACCAGCCTTACATCCCAGAGATGAAGCCAACTTGATCATGGTGGATAAGCTTTTCGATGTGCTCCTGGATTTGGTTTGGCAGTATTTTACCGAAGATTTTTGTATTGACGTTCATCAGAGATGTTGGCCTGAAGTTTTCTTTTTTTGTAGTATCTCTGCCAGGTTTTGGTGTGAGAATGATGCTGGCTTCATAAAATGAGTTAGTGAGGAGTCCCTCCTTTTCAATTGTTTGGAATAATTTCAGAAAAAATGGTACCAGCTCCTCTTTGTACCTCTGGTAGAATTCAGCTCTAAATCTGTCTGGTCGCGGGTTTTCTTGGTTGGCAGGCTATTTATTACTGCCTCAATTTCAGAACTTGTTATTCGCCTATTCAAGGATTCAACTTCTTCCTGGTTCAGTCTTGGGAGTATATATCTGTCCAGGAATTTATCCATTTCTTCTAGATTTTCTAATTTATTTGCATAGAGGTGTTTATGGTATTCTCTGATGGTTGTTTGTATTTCTGTGGGGTCAGTGATGATATTTATCTTATCGTTTTATTGTGTATATTTGATTCTTCTCCCTTTTCTTCTTTATTAGTCTAACTAGCAGTCTGTTTTATTAATTTTTTTCAAAAACCAGCTTCTGGATTCATTAATATTTTGAAGGGTTTTTTATGTCTACATCTGCTTCAATTCTTTTCTGATCTTGGTTATTTCTTGTCTTCTGCTAGCTTTGTGGTTTGTTTGCCCTTGGTTCTCTAGTTCTTTTCATTGTGATGTTAGGATGTTGACTAGAGATCTTTCTAGCTTTTTAATGTGGACATTTAGTTTTATAAATTTCTCGCTTAACACTGCTGTAGCTGCATTCCAGAGATTCTGGCACACTGCCTCTTTGTTTTCATTGATTTCAAAGAACTTCCTGACTTGTGCCTTAAGTTCATTATTTACCGAGGAGTCATTCAGGATCGGGTTGTTCAATTTCCATGTAATTGTATGCTTTTGAGTGAGTTCCTTAAAATTGAGTTCTAATTTGATTGCACTGTGGTCTAAGAGACTGTTTGTTGTGATTTCAGTTCTTTGGCATTTGCTGAGGAGTGTTTTACATCCAATTATGTGGTTGATTTTACAGTAAGTGCCATGTGGTGCCAAGAAGAATGTATATTCTGTTATTTTGGGGTGGAGAGTTCTGTAGATATCTATCAGGTCCACTTGATCCAGAGCTGAGTTCAATTCCTGAATATCCTTGTTAATTTTCTGCCTCAATGATCTGTCTAATATTGACAGTGCAGTGTTAAATTCTCTCACTATTATTCTGTGGGAGTCTAAGTCTCTTTGTATGTCTCTAAGAATATGTTTTATGAATCTAGGTGCTCCTGTATTGGGTGCATATATATTTAGGATGTTAGCTCTTCTTGTTGAATTGAACCCTTTACAATTATGTAATGCCTTTATCTTTTTTGATCTTTATTGGTTTAAAGTCTGTTTTGTCAGAAACTAGGATTGCAACCCCTGATTTTTTCTGTTTTCCATTTGCTCGGTAGATTTTACTATTTTGAGCCTATATGTGTCTTTGTACATGAGATGTGTCTCTTAAATACAGCTCACTAGTGGACCTTGACTCTTTATCCAGCTTGCCACTCTGTGCCTTTTAATTGGGGCATTTAGGCCATTTACATTTAAGGTTAATATTCCTATGTGTGCAGTTGATCTTGTCACCATGATGCTAGCTGGTTATTTTACAGACTTGTTGATGTAGTTGCTTCATAGTATCATTGGTCTGTGTACTTCAGTGTGTTTTTGTAGTGGCTGGTAATCATTTTTCCTTTCCATATTTAGTGCTTCCTTCAGTAACTCTTGCATGGCAGGCCTGGTGATGACAAATTTCCTCAGCATTTGCCTGTCTGGAAAGGATTTTATTTCTCCTTTGCTTATGAAGCTTAGTTTCACTGGATATGAAATTCTGGTTAGAAACATTTTTCTTTTAAGAGTGTTGAATATTGGCCCCCAATCTCTTCTGGCTTGTAGGGTTTCTGCTGAGAGGTTTGCTGTTATTCCGATGGGCTTTCCCTTGTAGGTGACCTGGCCTTTCTCTCTGGCTGCCCTTAATATTTTTTTCCTTCATTTCAACCTTGGAGAATCTGATGATCATGTGTCTTGGAGTGGTTCTTCTCATGGCGTATCTTACTGGGGCTCTCTGTACTTCCTGAATTTGACTGTTGCCCTGTCTTGCTAGGTTGAGGAAGTTCTCCTGGATGATATCCTAAAGCATGTTTTCCAAGTTAGTTCAATTCTCCCCATCTCTTTCACGTACCCCAATCAGGCGTAGGTTTTGTGGGTTTACATAATCCCATAGTTCTCACAGGTTCTGTTCATTTCTTTTCATGCCTTTTTTCTCTAATTTTGTGTCTTATTTCAGCAAGATAGTCCTCAAGTTCTGAAGTGCTTTCCTCCACTTGATCTATTCAGCTATTGATACCTGTGGTTGCATTGGGAAGTTCTTGTGTTGTATTTTTCAGCTCCATCAGGTCATTTATGTTTCTCTCTAAACATTATTCTGGTTAACAGCTTCTATAATGTTTTATCATGGTTCTTAACTTCTTTGCATTGGGTTAGGACATGCTCCTTTGGCTCAGTGAAGTTCATTATTACCCACCTTCTGAAGCCTACTTCTGCCAGTTTATCCATCTCAGCCTCAGCCCAGTTCTGTGCCTTGTTGGAAAGGTGTTGCGATCATTTCAAGAAGAGGTACTCTGGCTTTTGAGTTGTCAGTGTTTTTTCATTGACTGTTTCTCATCTTGCTGAGGTTATCTACCTTTGATCTTTGAGGCTGCTGACCTTTGGATGGGGTTTCTGTGGGTGCCTTTTTGTTGATGCTGTTGTTGTTGTTGCTTTCTGTTTGCTTTTCTTTTAACAGTCAGGCCCCTCTTCCATAAGGCTCCTGTCAGTTGCTGGGGGTTCACTCCAGACCCTATTTGCCTGGGTCTCTCCCACCCCTGGGGGTGTCACCAGTGGAGGCTGCGCAACAGCAAAGATGGCTTACTGCTCCTTCCTCTGGGAGCTCCATCCCAGAGGGTTATTGACTTCATGTTAGTGGGAATGTCTCTATATAAGGTATCTGGTGACCCCTGTTGGGGGTGGTCTCACCCAGTCAGGAGAACAGGATCAAAGACCCACTTAATGAAGCACTCTGGCTGGAATCCCACTCGTCTGAACTGCCTGGATTCCTCAGAGCCAGCGGGGAAAAGACTAAGTCTGCTGATCCACAGAGACAACAGCCGCTCCTCCCCCCAGAAGCTCCATCCCAGGGGTATCAGAGCTCTGTCCGTAAACCCCTGGCTGGAGATGATGAAATTCCCAGAGGGAGGCCACATGCAGTGAAGATGGATGGGTCCGGGTGCAGCCTAAAGAGGCAGTCTGGTGATTATCTGCCACAGCTGCTGTGTTGCACTGTGGAGAATTCCTCCTGGATCTGAACCACCCAATATCTCTGGCACCAGCAGGGGAAAAGGCAGACTGGAGCTGCAGTGATGGTTGCTGCCCCTTTTCTAAGTTCAGTCATCTTAGGCAGCAGGTAGCCATAGCGATGGTGGCTACCCTTCCCTCTAGGAACTCTGTAGTCTTAGGCAGACCCCAGCCCAGTGGCCACTGAGAGAATATGCACTGCTCTGTGCTTGGAACCCAAGGCCCTTTTGGTGTGGGCTTATGATGGGAATCTCCTGATTTGCAGGTTGCACCCATCCACGGAAAAATATGGTTTCCTGGGCAGGATGGCCAATCACTCACTGCCTCCCTTGGCTGGGGATGGGAGTCCCACTTACCCCCTGCAGGTGGGCCATTACTCCACTCTGATTTCTTTGCTTTCTGTCAGTTGCACCAACCACCTAGTCAGTCCAAATGAGAGAACCTGGATACCTTAGTTGCCAGCACAGGATTCACTTGCTGTTTTTGTTATTCTCGGTGGAGGCCTCCAACTGCAACTGTGTCTAGTCAGCCATCATGGCCCAGCTCTCACTCATTAGTCTTAAGGTTAATATGCAGTAATGGTTATATACCATCCTACAAGCAGCGATCTAATTACCAATTAACATATGTGGCAACTGTAAATTTATAATCACAAATGCTTATATGCTGTACTTTATAACTATTTACTTGAACTTTAAATATCAATTTCAACTATATAACCTGTGATTAATGAGACAATTTGAGAGATGAAGTATGAGATGGATATATTCGAAGATTCTAGTGAGCTGAAGTGGGGTGGTAACAGGCAGATCAAAGATAAAGATTTATTAAAGAAATATGTAAAGCAAAGCAGCCAAGTATGATAAACCAAACTGTCAGAAGAGAGTGTTCTGTTTTGAGAGCATAACTCTAAACACCACCTGGTTAAGCAAAAATAAGCGAGCCATTAGGTAAACTGCAAGTAAATATATGAGTAGCACATAAACCAATAGTGAGAAGTCACTGATAGAGCCAATATGGTGAAGACTATAAGTCATATAATGATTTTAAAATGTCACTGTTATGAACTGAACATTTGTGTCTCCTCGAAATTCATATGTTGAAATCCTAACCCCCAATGTGTTGTCGTTAGAAAGTGAGGCCTTCGGGAGGTAATTAAGTCATGAAGGTGAACCTCTAATGAATGGTGGTAGTGCCTTATAAAGAAACACCAGAGAGCTCTCTAGCCATCTGAAAATTTCACATTCTGCCACGTGAAGATATGAGAAGCTGGTAGTCCACAACCTGGAAGAGGTCCTTCACCAGAACCCAACCATATGCCACCCCAATCCTGGACTTCCAGCCTCCAGAACTGTGAGGAATAAATTTCTCTTGTTTATAAGCCACCAAAGTACCAAAGTCCATGGTTCTTTGATATGGCAGCCAGAAGTGTCTAACACAGTCACTTATGTATATCAACATCTTTACAACATAATTTTGAATTATACTATATACACGATATAACATATAATTTTATGCTACACTGTAATTTTATAACTTTAAAATAACATTTAAGTTTTTTTTAATGTAAACTATGTTCATTCACTCAGTCAGTCAATAAATATTTATGAAGGGTCTTGTCTGTACCAGGTAACATTCTAGATGGTGGGGATACAAGGATTATCAAGACAGAGAGTCTCTGTCCTAAAAATATGATAATTTGAGACAGTAGCAAGAACCATGAGGAAAATAAAAGAATATAATATATTTTGAAGAGGCTACTCTAATTCTACAAGGAAGTGAATTTTGTGCTATCAATTGACCTTTTACTACAGTGTCTTCACTTTTCTCTTGGTTGGTTGGATTTTATATCCAGTAGCTCCCCTCCCCCTCCATCTTCTCCTTGAAAAGGCTCATGAGTGTTCTATTGCCTAAATTCTGACATACATAAATTTCTGCCTGTGCACTTTATATTTGAACAACATCTTGTCTAGGTATCAAATTCTGAGCCACATTTTTATCTCTCAGAATTTTGTAGACATTATTCCATTATCTTTTGCATTTAGATGTGAAAAATCTGAAGCCACTCTGATTCTCCTCCAACTGACTTGCCATTTCCACCTTTAGAATTATTCTTCCTTGCTCTTGAAATTCAGTCACTTTTCCAAGATATAACTTAGTAACAATCATGTTGAATCAATTTTTATAGTACATGATATACTACCTAGCACTGTTCATTCCATTTTGCCTCAATTTGTGGAAAAAATTTCCTCTATCATAGGTTGTTTTATTCTTCCATTCGATGAATTTTCTTTGGTAGGAACAATTATTCATAAAATGGATCACTATCATCTCTTCTTATCTTTTATTGTTTCAGCAACTGTTTGGTATTTGTATTTTTACTGTGCATTTATGGTGATTATAACAAATCTATTTCATATTTTTTGTTCATTCTTCTTGTTGTTGCTAACACTTTTGTCACATCTAAAATGGAGGGAGTGCATAATTTTGGATTTCAATGTATTTCCTTGGTTGTATAATATTTTTTCATCTCATTCTATTCTTTTATCAACTACTCTTTGATATTCTGTTGTAAAATTCATGTGTACTTTAAAACTATGGCGTGAAGTACAAATGAAAGTTTTTATTCTGTTTCTTCGTGTCTGCCCCCTTCCAGAATGGATGCTTATATTCTAGGTTTCTTTTAGTCTTTTTATTTTGCTGTGGCATTTCTGTATCGTTGTATGTTATTTTCATCTTAAATTTAAAGTGGACCACTCTGTGCTGATATTTATTTGACTCCATATCTCATGATCCTCTTCTCACTTATCACAGTCACTTCTCTGTTGAATTTCTAAGTGAAGCCACAGTATTATCTGCTCTGTGTGCTCTTGGAAAGCCTGGGAACACAGCTATATGCGAAGGGGTATGTGGCAATGGTAGTGCACTGAGAAGTGGGAAAACCTGTGGTCAATTTTGTTGGTGGACAGGGACTGTCCTCTTTCTCTCTTTTTATTAAAGACTATTTTATAGAGCAATTTTAGGTCCACAAAAAAATGAGAAGAAGGTATAGAGATTCCTCATGTACATTGTGATACTGTGAAATACAGTTATGTGTCACTTAATGATAGGGGATATATTATGAGAAATGTGTCATTGTAATGGTGCCATTAGATGATTTCATCATCGCACAAACATCATAGAACCCAAACCTAAATGGTATAGCCTATTACATACCTAGGCTATAAGGTATAGTCTATTGCTCTCAGGCTACAAACCTGCATAGCATGCACTAAATAGATAATAATAACACAATGGTAAGTATTTGTGTGTCTAAACATATCTAAATATAGAACAGGTACAGTAAAAATATGGTATAAAATATTAAAAATAGTACACTTGTATAGGGCACCTTCCATGAATGGAGCTTGCAGAACTGCAAGTTGCTCTGGATGAGTCAGTGAGTGAGCCATGAGTGAATGTGAAGGCCTAGGACATTACTGAACACTACTGTGCTATACCTTTATATGACTGGCAGTGCAATGGGTTTGTTTACATCAGTATCATCACAAACATGTGAGTAATGCATTCTAAGACATTACCACAGATATGATGTCACTAGGCAATATGAATATTGCAACTCCATTATAATCTTATGGGGCCATCATGGTATATGCAGTCCCTCATTGACTGAAACATTGTGTCGTATGACTGTATGTTTGGTCTTTGTCCCAGATTCCTGACACACAACCCATAAAATCCTTGAAACCTCCAAAGGAATGTCTTTTTCTGTGCTAATGAGATGACTGGTATCTGGCAGCCCCTAGGCAGCCCCCAGCTCCAGCCCCAGTCCCAGCCCCTAGGATAACAAGGCATAAATAGAGGGTTGGGACTTTCGGCCCCATCCCCCAGCTTCTGGGGAGAGGAGAGGGGCTGAAGGTTATGTTGATCACCAATGGCCAATGATTTAATCAGTCATGCCTAACTCTCCAGAGAGCTTACAAATAGCTGAACATGTGGAGGTATTTGGAGGGTGGCATGCCCAGAGAAGGCAAGAAAGCTCCAGACCTGTTCTCCCATATCTTGCCCATGAATCTCTTCATCTGTACCTTTGTAATATCCTTTATAAGAAATGATAAATATTAGTATTTCCCCAAGTTCTGAGAGCTGCTCTAGCAAATTAGTTAAACCCAAGGAGCAGGTTGTGGGATCCCCATTGTACAGCCAGTTGGTCAGAAGCACAGGTTAGACATCCTAGGGTTTGTGATTGGCATCTGAAATGGGGGTGGAGGGGGAAGGAGGAGTCATGAAGACAGCCTCAACCTGTGCTATGTGGTGCTGTCTTCAGATAGATAGTGTCATAATTGAATTGACAGCCAGCTTGTGTCCTTTGCAGAATTGATTCTTTGCTTAGAATATGAGGAAAAAAACTCTCACACATTTGGTCATAGAAGTCTCCTATGTTGATTGTTGTTGAGGGAGAGAATAAGAAAACTGTTTTTTTTCCCACAGATACTCTCTGTCCCCACACATGCATAGCCTTCCCTGTTATTAACACTGTGCTCTCTTTTTAACAATTTACCTTTTGTTAAAGTGCATCATGGTGTATGGTGAGCTGGCCTGCATGAGGAAAGAGTGCTCATTTGGTCTTCAAGTTTCCTCCCAACTGAGAAAGAGGTGTTTTGCTTTTCATAGAGACTACCATATTTAGGGGTCATTTCCCCAATTCACTTGCTTTTCCCCAGTAGACATTTCCACGGCCTCTCTTCAAAGTGGAGTGTTAGTGAATTTTTTTTCAGGATGTTGTCCACTTTTGTCACCATTTATTTGAGTTTCCTAGGGCTTCTATAACAAATGTCCATGAACAGGGTGGCTTAAAACAACAGAAATTTAGTCTCTCAGAGTTCTGGAAGCCATAAGTCTGACATCAAAGTGTTGGCAGGGTTGGTTCCTTTTGGAGGCTCTGTGGTGAAACCACTTCATGACTTTCTCCTAGATTTTGGTGGCTGCTGGCAATCCTTGGTGTTCCTTGGCCAAGATAAGTTAATGCATAAAATTAACCATCAAAATACTTTTACCTCATTATCTTTATAATATCCATGGAATCAGTAGTGATGGCTCTCTTTTCACTTCTGATAGTAGTAGTTTGTGTCTTGTTTCTTATTTTCGTGGTCAGCCTGGCTGGAGGCTTATTAATTTTATTGATCTTTTCAAAGAACCAGTTTTGGTTTCATTGATTTTCCTCTACTAATTTCTTGTTCTCAATTTCATCTCTAATTTCATTATTTATTTTCTTCTGATTAATTTAGTTTTAATTTTCTTTCTCATTTCTGTTTTCCTAAGGTGGAAGATTAGACTATTGATTTTATATCTTTTTCTTTTCTTTCTATGCATTTAATACCCTAAGCACTGCTCTCACTGTATCATGCAAATATCTATTTTCTTTTCATTTAATTCAAAATATTTTAAAATTTCTTTTGAGACATTTTGTTTGACCCATATGTTATCAAAAATTGTGTTTTTAATTTCCAAATATTTGGGAATTTTCCACCTATTTTTCTTATTTTATTGATTTCTACTTCAATTACATTTTGGTTGAGAGCATGTTGTGCATGACTTGTACTTTATAAAAATTTGTTAAGGTGTGTTTTACGGCTCAGTACATGTTCAATTTTGGGGAATATTCCATGTGAGTCTGAGAAAAATGTGTATTATGCTGTTGTTTGATGAAGTATTTTATAACTGTCAATTAGATCCAGTTGATTTATGGTGCTTTCAAGTTCATCTGTAACCTTACTGATTTCCTCCCTGCTGAATCTGTCAATTACTGACAGAAGGCTGTGAAGTTTCCAACTATAATAATAGATACATGTATTTCTTGCAGTTTATCAGTTTTTGCTTCACAGAGTTTGATGCTGTTTTTAGATATGTACAGAGCAAGGATTCTTATGTCTTCTTGGATAATTGGCCCTTTATTATTATGTAATGCACCCTCTTTATATCCATGATAGTCCGCCTTGCTCTGAAGTTGACTTTGACTGAAATGAATATAGCTACTCCCATTTTGATTAGTGTTAACATAGTGTATCATTCCCCATCCTTTTACTTTCAATCTATATGTATCTTTATATTTAAAGTAGGTTTCTTTTAGGCAACGTAAAGTAGGGTTTTTAAAATCTACTCAGGCAGTCTCTATCTTTTAATTAGTCTATTTTTCTTTAATTTTTATAACTAGAAAAAAGTTATTCATAAAACAAAAAGCCTTGCCTCTTAAAAAGCAATGTCTCTTGTTAAATTGCAACTGATTAGTCATGCTACTGAGTCATATAAACAGGAAATTTATATTTTACTCTAGCATAAATTGATATTAAAAAACTAATTTTTATTGTAATCAATTTACATTTTCCTTATTTGTTAACTACAATTATTTAAACATTGTCCATTTATTTACACATATTTTTGAAGCAATATTTGGCTAGAATTTGATCCTTCTTTGGCTACTTCTGTTAGCAAACCAATCAAATGCAAGACCAAATCCTGATAGGTGCTGGGGGAGAGATACTTCATTAAAGAGTTTTTAAAAAGAAGAAAAATGGTAACAGATTTGAATCGGGACAGATAACTCAAGCATCATTAAAAAGGCCAGATGCACAGGGGAGGCAGGAAGGTTAGTCAGGGCCCACTGACAGCTGCAGAAGTGGTCCCGGTGAGATCTGACAACTACTTGAACTAAGACTAGTAGTAGAAGTCTATAGAATAGATGGATAATACAGGTGTTAAGATGATATATTAAACTATAGAATTTGGTGATGGATGAGATGAAGGCCATCAAAGATGATTCTAGGCTTTCAGAATTGAAAGACTAGGAAAATGCTAAAATTACCTAAGATAGAGAATACAGAAGCAGGAACAGGCTAAATGTGATGGCAATTAGTTGACTATTATGCATGAGGTGCCATAGTACATCTGGGTAGAGATATCTACTAGATATTTGAATTAAATGGTCCTAGAGTTAATGGGAGAAATGTAGACCTCAGGCTATATGAGAGCTGTCAGTGCAAAGACAGAAGTTGAATCTGTGAAAGCCTCTGGAATAGAGTCACAGTTAAAGATATTGGAAGTTGTGAAAGTATATTATAACCGATTAGTCATTAGATTTATAAGTTTACAACTTAAAATAAAGGGATAGCCCTGTATTTGCCTACAATTAGACTGAGTTATTCCTAGAAAGCGTTTGGCCATTTCTAGCAGCCTTTATATTTTGAAACAGCCTTTGCTGTGGTGACTAAGAGTTATGTAGTTCAACCATGTGAGTTATATTTAGGTAAAATAATTTTTTATGGATAAAAAATATTGTATAACATCCAAAACTAGTTCATATTGATATCAAAAAGTACCTGATATTTAATTCATAACAAATTTCCAAAGAACATATGTTAAAAAAACAGGCTTCCTAGATTATTCAAAATTAGCTCTGGGTTTTCATTAATTTATGGTGTTGATTAACAATCCATAAATTATTAATTAAACATTTGAAAAACTACTACGTGTAAGATGCTGGGCTAATAGTCTGTGAGATACAAAGATGACTCAAACATAAAATCTGTCCTTAATATACATATGGACTAGTACGGGGAAATAAGACACATACTTAGGTAAGTATACAAGGAGTGGAGAGTTAGAAATCATAGATAATTTTAAAATAAAGAAAAAATTCCATTTGCAATAGCATTAAAGAGACATAAGATACTTAGGAATAAATTTAACAAAAGAAGGGTAAAACCTATATTCTGAAAACTATAAAATATTGTTAAAAGAAAATTTAAAAGATACAAATAAATGGAACAAAAATCCCATGTTCATGGACCACAAGCATTTTTAAACATTATTACGAAAATGATGGTCCCAAATTAGTTTATGCATGAACCAAAACAATCTCAAAAAAAAAAAAAGTAAAATGATTCATATTTCCCGATTTCAAACTTATCCAAAGAAAGAGTAATAAAGACAGTTTGGTACTGACCCAGGACAGATATACAGATGAACAAAATGGAATTGGAGAGTCCAGAAATAAACCCATACATCTCTGGTGAAGTGATGTTTGATGAGGATGCCAAGATTATTCAAGGGGGAAAGACAAGTTCTTTCTTCTCCAAGTATCACTTATTTGTGGCTTTATAGGAAAACTATTTCTGTATCAATTTCACACCAGTCCCTGATCCCTCCCACCTTGGTGCCCAAATTGAACCATCTGAAATTTTATTATATAGATGTCACTACATAAAAATAAAATTATATATCAAAAGTAAGAAAATAAGGGAATTATGAATGGAAAGATGTTTTAAACAGATAGGACAATTACAGAGTTATACTTAGGCCAAGCACAGTGACTCATGCCTGTAATCCCAGCACTTCGAGAGGCTGAAGCAGGCAGATCACTTGAGGTCAGGAGTTTGAGAACAGCCTGGCCAACATGGCAAAAACCCATCTCTACTAAAAATACAAAAATTAGCTGGGTGTGGTGGCACATGCCTGTAATCCTAGCTACTTGGTAGGCAGAAGCACAAGAATTGCTTGAACCTGGGAGGTGGAGATTTCAATGAGCTAAGAACACACCAGTGCACTCCAGCCTGGGTGATGGAGTGAGACTCTGTCTCTAAATAAATCAATAACATTATACTTAATATATTATCATGTGCTCTTACCAAATGATGAGCATATCATCAAAATCTAATGGGAGAATGAAAACGGATCTTGAGAGCTATAAGGAAGAGAATACTCTTAAGCTCCCCACCACTTCTCTACAGTCTGTCATTACTTCTGTCCATGCCACTCACTGGACCATACTTACTAGTATATGGAGTCACATGGTTTAGTAATTGCTCAGAGATATGACATCACCAGAGAGATTTAGATTGCATTTAAATTATAAAGCTATTTAATATACTAATCCCTAAAAAAAGGTAGTCAATCCATAAAATAAATATCAGCAATTTCATCAGTATAAATGATTTTAAGAAAATAAAAACATAATTGAAAGACAAAACTGATTTCAAAACTAAACACCAAGCTACAGTAATTGAGACTGTCTGGTCCTGGCATAGGGATTATATATCAATGGATTACCATGGAGAGGTCAGAAATAAACCCATACATTTGAGTTCAATTTATTTTCAACAAGGGTGTCCAGACATTCAATGAGGGAAAATATAATTTTCAATATCAGATGCAGGAACAACTGTATAGCCACATGAAAAAGAATGAAGTTGGACCCCTACCTCACACCACGTACATAAATTAACTCAATATGAATCAAAGACCAACATGTGAGACTGAAACTATAAAGCTCTTAGAATAAAACATAGATGTAAATCTTTGTTGTCTTGGATTAAGCAATAGTTTCTTTGATATGAAAACAAAAACATGGGCAACAAGAGTAAATGAATTGGACTTCATAAAAGTTAAAAATGTCCTTCAAAGGACACTATCAAGAAAATAAAAAACAATACAAATGATGGGAGGAAAAAATATAATATCTGATAAAGGTCTAAGATCCAGAGCATATAAAGAACTCTTACAACTATAAAAATGAAAAGACAAATAATCCAATTTAAAAGTGGGTGAAAGATTTGAATAAACAATTCTCCAAAAGAAGATATATAAAATGGCTGATAATAACAGCCAATAATGAAAAGATGCTTGACATCATTAGTCATCAAGGAAATGCCAATCAGTATCACTATGAGATACTACTTCACACCCACAGAGATAGCTAGAATAAAAAGTTAGATGATAACAAGCTTTGGTGAGAAAGTAGAAAAATCAGAGCCTTAACTGCTGATAGAAACGCAAATGGTGCAGCCTCTTTAGAAACAGTTTGCAGTTTCTCAAAAAGTTTAACAGAGTGACCATATAATCCAACAATTTGACTACTAGGAACATATCAAGACAATTGTATAAAAACTTGCATAGCCAAACAATGGAAAACCCAAATGTCCAGAAATTGATGAATGGATAAACAAAATGTGGCATATCCATACAACAGAATTTTATTGAGCCATGAAGAGAAATGAAATACTAACTCCTGTTATCATATGGATTAATTTTAAAAACATTATACTAAGGCAAACAAGATCAATACAAAAAGCTGCATATCATCCATATGAATTATATACAAGACAGATGTGAAATGTCCAGAATAGGCAAATTCCTAGAGACAGAAAGCAGAATGCAGAATAGTGGCTGCCAGAGGCTAGTGATGGGGAATAAAGAGTTACTGCTAATGGGTAGAATATTTCTTTTGGCAATGATGAAAATATTCTAGAATTAGATAGTGATAATGATTGCATAATTTATTGCAGGCATACCTCAGAGATACTGTGGGTTTGGTTCCACTGCAGTAAAGCAAGTATCACAATACAGTGAGTCATACAATTTTGTTTGGTTTCCCAGCATATAAAAGTTATGTTTACACTATACTGTAGTCTATTATGTGTACAATAGTCTTATGTCTAAAATAACAATGTATACATTTTAATTTAAAAAGAATTTTTTGCTGAAAAATGCTAACAATCATCTGAGCCTTCAGGGTGTTGTAAACTTTTTTGCTGGTGGAGGGCCTTGCTTCAACGTTAGTGGATGCTGACTGATCAGAGTGGTGGTTGCTGAAGGTTGGGTGGCTGTAGTAATTTTTAAAATGAGGCAACAATGAAGTTTGCCACATAGATTAACTCTTTCTTTCATAAAAGATTCCTCTGTAGCATGTGATACTGTTTGAAAGCATTTTATCCACAGTAGAACTTCTTTTAAAATTAGAGGCAATCCTCTCAAATCCTTCCATTGCTTTAACAACTAATTTTGTGTAATATCCTAAATTTTTTCTTGTCATTTCAGCAATGTTCACAGCATCTTTACTCAAAGTAAAATCATTTCAAGAAACCACTTTCTTTGCTCATGCCTGAGAAGCAACTCATCATCCATTCCAGTTTTATCCTGAGATTTCAGCATTTCAGTCACATCTTCAGGCTCCACTTCTAATTCTAATTCTCTTGCTATTTCTACCATATCTGCATTTACTTTCTCTATTGAAGTCTTGAACCCCTCAAAGTCATCTATGACAGTTGGAATCAACTTCTTCCGAACTCCTGTTAATGTGGATATTTTGACCTCCTCCCATGAATCACAAATGTTTTTAAGGACATCTACTACAGAACAATGAATGCTGTTCACAAGGTTTCAATTCTTTGCCCAGATCTATTAGATGAATCATTATCTCTGGCAGCCATAGCCTCAAAAATACATGGCTTAAAAAATAAGGCTTGAAGGTTGAAACTACTCTTTGATTC
The DNA here is from genome assembly GCF_000001405.40 of Homo sapiens. Classification (NCBI taxonomy): domain Eukaryota; kingdom Metazoa; phylum Chordata; class Mammalia; order Primates; family Hominidae; genus Homo; species Homo sapiens. The sequence goes on from NC_000008.11 coordinate 78,794,328, forward strand.
ACGGGCTGAAAAACAGATGTTATATTAGCAGTTATGAAAACATTAATATCCATCAGCACTCTTGGGTGACTAGTTTTGCATTGTCAATGAGCAGTAATATTTTGCTAAAACTTAAAGTCACCAGCTGCATTTGTCCCTAACAAGAGAGTTAGTTTGTCCTCTTAAGCTTTGAAGCCAGGCATTGACTTCTCTTCTTTAGCTATGAAAGTTCTAGATGTCGCCTGTTTCCAGTAGAAGGATGTTTCATCTACATTGAAATCTGTTGTTTAGTGTAGCCACTTTTACCAATCATCTTAGCTAGACCTTCTGGATAACTTGCTGAAACTTCTACACAGGCCAAAATTGCTTCTTTACTACTTCCAGAACACCATTTACATCTTTTTGTTTCTGAGCTTGTTTTACAACCAGTCTATTTGTTAGATGATAAGCAGACATCTAACAAACAGGAAGTCACTCTTCCTACTTTTAAAACTGTAACTTGCATTATTCACCACCAATCTTTAACACTCACCAAAATGTAAGCTTCTTGAAAAAAGATCTGTACTTGGTCCATCATTCTATCCACACCCAAACCCAACATCACCTACACAAATGGGTTTTTCATAGTAACTTGTACATATCAGGCCCTAAATAAATGTTTGCTGATTGAATAAACTATCACAGAGATTGTCCTTGGGAGGTAGGAGAGTGGGGTAGAGAGCATGGACAAAGATTCTGGCTCGGTCACTTATAAACTGGATAACCCTGGGCCTCAGATTCTTCTGTTGTGAAACGGAGGTAGTAAGAGTGTCTTTCTCAAGGGCTGTTGTAAGGATTAAATTAGTTAACACATGGAAAGCACTGAGAACATAACAAGCACTTCATAACTATTAGTATTATGGTCTCCCCAAGACTTAAACACAGTAATGTCTGCAAAGCATCTAGTCCACACTGAATGAATGAGTAACTAAATCTGCTCTACCAGTCATGTTGACATTAATAATTCATTGAGACTTTCTTTCTCCTTCCCTCAAATTTATCACCTTCTATGTATAGAAAACATTCTTAAGGTTACTATGGAACTACTCAGTTGGACTGATTAGCTGTGTTCTCTTCCATGTCTTGTGAATTAACCTCCTTAAGAAGAGTAGCCATGTTTTGTTTTTTGAAAATAATATAATTATTGCTGCTGATGTACTTGTTCTTGTTTTGTGTGTTAATGAGATAAGCTCCTCTATATTCTCCCACCAAAAAAATGTGTCATGAGTCTGTTGGATGAAACTCTCCTTTTACTGAATTTTTAATAGCATATTATTTTGCACTTTTATACACATATAGTTATTTATAAATGTTGAACTAGCACTAGTTTGTTCTCTGCCCAGATAACAAAATTAAATGAGAAATATTATCTTGACTCAAAAGATTAATTTAGTAGCATCATCAAATGCAATGTCCAAATTAGCAAGAAATCTAAATGGAGCAATTGCCATTTACTGTGCACTATTTTTTTTCTTGTCAATGGGCAAAATCAGGAACCTCTGGATTACAATGTACAGTGTAGCACAGTATCTCTTTTTAGTTTCCATATTCCTACAAGAGGTATAACACTAAATTCCTCAAGGCATCATGCCACTTCAGTATGAGTATGTGGAAGAGACAGTGGAGTAAAAGTCGGGGGACAGATTAGACAATTTCTCCCATCTTATGAACATTTGAGAGAGTTTTCCTTTGCTATTCAGTTTCAATCTGATTGAAAAGAGACTAATTATCTGTTAAAACAATAAATCAATCACATTGTATTGATACAGCTCTGAAACCTTGGAAAAAATTAACTCTTGCAGATGACATGATTGTCTATGTAGAAAATTCCTAATAATCAACAACAGACTTCTAGAACAAACAAGTGATTATAGTAAGGTTGCAGGACATAGGTTAATATACAAAAATCAATTGCTTTCCTATGTACCAGCAATAAACAACTAAAATTTGAAATTAGAAACACACCATTTAAAATAGCACTAAAATATGAAATATTTAGGTATAAGTCTAATAAAATATTTACAGGATTTATATGCTGAAAAGAACAAAGCTCTGATGAAAGTTTGCATTTTCAATTGCATCTTCTTTTGCAGAGTTTTACACACATATAATTATTTACAAATGTTGTCACAGTAATACTCATTTGTTCTCTGTCCAGATAATACAATTAAATGATGAAAAAAATTAAAAAAGAGATAGTGCATGATAATGGCTAAGAAGACTCAATATTGTTAAGATTTCAGTAAAAATGTGAGTTCAGACACCTCAGCAAAGCAGATATACAAATGGCAAAAAGTATCTGAAAAGATGGTCAACATTGTATGTCATTATGGAATGGAAAATTGAAACAACACTGAGATACTATGACAAGCCTATTAAAATGGTTAAAATCTGCAAAACTGATAATACCAAAGGCTGGCGAAGATGGAAGGCATTAGGATCTCATTCATTGCTGGTAAGAATGCAAAATATTACAGCCACTTTGGAAGAAAGTTTGGCAGTTTTGTACAGAGCTAAACACAGTCTTACCATATGATCCAGCAGTCATGCTTGTAGGTATTTACCTGAGTTGAAAACTTATGTCCACACAAAACCCTGCACGTATATGTTTATAGAAGTTTTATTCATAATTTCCAAATATTGGAAGCAACTGTGACACATTTTTCAATCAGTGAAAAAATAAACAAGTTGTGGTATATCCATTCAATAGACTGTTATCCAGCAATAAGAAAAAATGAAATATCAAACCACAAAAAATCATGGGGGATGCTTTGATTCACATTGCTAAGTGAAAGAATCCAGTCTAAAGAGGCCACATACAGACCGCATGATTCTAACTATATGACATTCTAAAGAAGGCAAAACTACAGAGACATAAACAAATCAGTGGTTACTAGGAGTTCAGGGGAAGAAAGAGAAGGATGAGTCGGTGGATAGGAGATTTTTACCATATGATTTGTATGATATGTAATCACGGATATGTGATGGTATACATTTATCAAAACCCATAAAACTATAAAACATAAAGAATGAATCCTAATGTTAACTATGCACTTATGTAATGTATCAATGCTGGCTCATCAATTGTAATAAATGTGCCATACTGATGTAAGATAATAAGGGAAACAGTGCAGAGAGAGAGAGAGCATATGGGAATTTTCTACTTTCTGCTCGAATTTTCTAGAAACCTAAGTTGGCTCTAAGGTATAAAATCTATTAATTAGAAAAGCTTTAACCATCAAAAATAGAAAATTTAACTCATAACAAATTATTGATTACACATAGATATAAAATACACACATATAAATAACTATGCATCTACACACAGCCAAATAAAATACACATCTATTCACCATAAGTCTTAACTATTTACTCTGTTATTTTCCCACTCTTAATGTAATGCTTCTACAGGGACTAACATGGTAAATGGGAGGTGAGGAAATTTAGGCAGTGATACTGAATTATGCTTACAAGAAATTTACTAAAAGGGAAATAGGACTGAAATGAATAGTTGTGAGAATCTTAGAGTCGAGGAAAGAATTATTTTTAAGCTACATAATTATGTCAGCTATAAAAATATACAGTTAGTAGCTCATTAAATTTTATTCTATAGTTACTTCACTTTCTTGTCAAGAAAGATGAATACTTGATTATAAAACTGCATACCAAAAAGGTTCAAATTTTCCCAATGCATGAAAATGTGAGTAAAACAAAATAATCACATACCAATAATTGATCGATGCTGACCATTAGAACACTCTCATATTGTTTGCCATCTTTACCTTCAATATCACAATCAGATGATGCTACTGGCAACAGAACAAGGATCAGGGGAGGAAGTCCAAAGATATACCTAAAAGAAACTAAATTTGACAGTAAATAAGAATGAGCTAAATGTTATATCGTATTGCATTTGATTGTGGGGTTTCAATGGACTGGACCACTAATTTCTAATAATTTTAAAAATACATCTTGGTTTGGAGATACTACAGGAAGAACCTCAAAAGTTGAACTTATGTAACAACCAAAGTGGAACAGCATTTTGGAGTATAGCGTCCTTTCACTTTTTTATTTTGCAATTACTCTTTAGGAAAGTGCAAAACAAGGGTGATGAAATCATAGACTGCTTCTGAAAAACACTCCAGGGTGTTAATCAATTTGAATTTATGTTGAACATCCCCATAAGAAAAGGCATATACAGGTAAAGAGGTGCACTACAGTTCGAAGAGTTACATATTGTTGGAATTTTATGATGTACTGCACGTAATTGTATATTTTTGTAAACCTTGATGGTAGTCCATGTCTATTTGCTTCTTGGAGGCAACACTGTGGGAGGTTAATCTCCCTGGGATTGCACTGTAACTACTGTAAGTGCACTCTTTCTTTTTAATAATGAACCCTGAAGGGTTTACATTCCCAAAAGTCTTACAAAGTTTATGTTTGTATTTTGGGACTACTCTCCTATCCTTTCACTATCTTCTGTCTCTGAGTCCCCAGAGACCCAGATTCTTTTCAAACACAGCGCTATCCAGCTTCTTGTCATGTTAGAAAAACTCTGTAAATAAATTCACATCCTCAGATAGAAACCAATGATTTCTATCTGTTTTTGATAACTCTTCCCAATTAGGAGCAATTGTCTAATCAAAAGGACTGAAATAATGGTATTATTTCAGGCAGAAAGATGGAAAGCCAGTGGTTCCCACAAACATTAAAATCTGATCATACAGGGACCTATTTCTTCATAAACCTGCCATAGTGTCTTATTTGTATCTTTTTGTAAACTCTGAGGCATGTTGACAATGTATTTCCTGTGAATTTCCCAAATGAACTTCAATTGTACTTGAATGCAAGATATTTCACTTGTGTGCCTTCTCTGATTAAGAGTACAAGCAACACTCCTTCAAACCCAAGGAACTAATATTGTGACAGCCTGAAGACTGTTAGGGATATCATAAAGTTTCCAGTAACATTGTCATCTATTATATCATGATCTGTCATATAAAACAATCAATAACACCTCCCAATAAATCAAGTGACCCATGTTGTTACAAATAGAGAAAATTTTCTGGGTAGCAATTATGAAAACAAACATAAATCTAACTTCTCATCTGCATATGTGACAACATAGTAAGAGAAACAAAAATTGATAATTTTATTTATACAAATATATTAATAACTCTGCCACTAAGTGCCTATATGCATGATGAGCATGAATTAACTTAGGAGACAGATAATGATGATGATGCTAGTTACCTTTAGTTGAGTACCTACCATGTGTCAGGAACTTTATATATAAAATCTCATATATATATATATGATTTATAAATATCCAAAAAGTTCTGCAAGTTAGTCTTTCTGTAACACATACATAGTAGGTGCCAGGTTTGGATGCTAACCTGAATTTGTTGCTTTACCAGGATTCGATTAGAAATGGCCATAATCTATTGATAACATGTAATCACATTTGTCTTCTGAATGAAGTTTTGCCTCTCTCTTCTACTCCTGTTCCTTCAACCTAAAGATCCTCAGTGATCAATTGCTAATTTAAAAAAAATATTTTGGCAATTAAAAAAATGTACACTCATAGATTTAAGGGGGACCAGAGCAGATTTCTTACTAATACATATTTAATATACTGTACAGTGGTGAAGTCTGGGCTTTAGTGTATCTATCACCTGAATAGTGAACATGGTACCCAATAGGTAATTTTTCAATCCTTATCCCCCTCCTACTCTCCCACCTTTCAAAGTCTCCAATGCCTATTATTCCACCCTGTATGTCCATCTGTACCACTGTTTAGCTCCCAGTTATAAGTAAAAACATGCAGCATTTGACTTTCTGAGTCATTTCACTTAGATAATGGCCTCAAGTTTCATCCATTTTGCTGCAAAAGACGACTTAACTCTTATGGCTGAGTAGTATTCCATGGTATACATATACCACATTTTCTTTTTTTCTCCCTCTCTTTTTGAGACAGGGTTTCACTCTGCTGCCCAGGCTGGAGTGCAGTGGCATGATCATAGCTCACTGAAGCCTCAAATTCCTAGGTTCAAGCGATCCTCCTACCTCAGCGTTCTGAGTAGCTAGGACTACAGGGTGCCCCACCATGCCCAGCTAATTTTTTAAAATTTGTTTTTAGCAGACGGCTCTTACTCTTTTGTACAGACTGGTCTTGAACTCCTGGGCTCAAGCAATCTTCCTGCCTCAGCCTCCTTAAGTGTCAGAATTACAAGCTGTAATTACAAGCCCGGCCATACCACATTTTCTTTATCCAAACCTCTGCTGATGGACATTTGGATGATCAATTGCTAATTATTCACCAGATTCTGACCTTGTAATCAGATTTGTATAGATTGTATGAAATCATACTTTTTATTTTCTCTGTCATCTTACAGGGGTCCAAAAGGTATACTTCGGGAGGAGTAGATGATAGAGGAAAAATTATATAACATATAACTTGAAATGAGCTTAAAGGAGAATATAATAAAATAATTAAATGCTAGAGTGAAAGGGATACTTTTACCATTATCATAAATATTCCAAAGGTCCACCTTTTGTTTTAATACATGAGGTTGTTTTACTTGCTATGAGCATTAGCTGTCTTCTTCACCTCAATTTTCAGTAGTTAAGTGCTCCTCAAATTTAAATCAACCTATTTATTCACCGGATGGCATTTTGTGCATTCTTTCCAATGAGGGTTGCTGGAAAATTCAGTCTTTTTGTATATTACACGTACTTTCTCAATTTTAAAACATAATTTGCCTTGCCTGTTAAGAGTGTTTTCTGTTGCCATTGTTGTCATTGAATAATTAGCCCCAGACAGACTATGGCAATATAAAGCACAGAGGTTTTGGAATTAAAATTCTCATAATAATAATTATAATGCATGGCTTCCTGCAGTTTGTTTCAAGAGATTTCACTAGAAGCTTGTTCCATTAAGAGTGCACATAATGTTACTCTTTACCCTTTGTCTATGCCATTTCTTTTGAGAGTTGAAGTAGTTGAGGATCTACTATGTGGTCTCCAACTGTCTTATCTGGTTTGGGTAATTTCATCATATTTGAGGACCAAAAAGTTGAATAGCAATAAAAACAGACTCTACTTGGGAGGCTGAGGCAGGAGGATTGTTTGAGCCTGGAAGTCAAGGCTGCCATGAGCCATGATCTTACCGTGAGCCATGGCCGTAAGCCATGGCCGTGAGCCACGATCTACTGAGCCTAGGCTGAGTAGTCAAGTCAAAACTTGAGACTTTTGACTTGCCAAGACAATGGTTTGTGTGACTGTGTAAATGACACAGCATCTCTTAAGGTCACTTACCTGATTTCTAAAATGAAAACTTCAGACTAAATGATCTTTTTCATCTTGCAGACACCTTATTCTAAGAATCTACCTGGTCCTCCAAATGCAGAAACTCTTTAGATCTGAAATTGCCTCACGGACAATGCTGCAAACATACCTAGGGCCTTGGACCCACATCTCATAGGTTCCCAGCTCTCCCATTAATGATGTAGCTTGGTAGTTTGGTCCATAATTGAAGACCTTTCTCCTACATCACATAGAGAGTAACATATTAAGAATGGCTGGTTTGAGAGTGCTTTTGGCATTGTTGTCACACCCACACTCCCCACCATCCTGAACTTTTCATTAGGTTACCGAAAAGATAAACCATAGGAATAACGCAAGGCAAGCGTGGCTTGTGGGATTGCCCTTACTTCCCCTGAAGAGGCTGAAATTGGAGAATTTGTTTTCAGTAGGGAATTTGGTTAAACCAGAAGGAGGTCTGTCTAAAAATTCTTGTTGGTTTTTAATGTAAGCCAAATAATACATTCAATCCTCAGCTGCTTAAGTTATGGGGGTCAAAGTTAACATAAATAGTTTTCTACAATCCATCAACTCCAGTCTTTATCAGTCTTTAAAACCAGTGTTTACTGAATGTCCATTGCATAGACCTATTTTCACTGATAATTTAATTCCATAACCACTTCATGAAGAAGTAGGTAAGTACTACAAGTTATTCACATTTATAGATGGAGAATCTGGGGCACAAAGACAGTCATGTAGGAAAATTCCTTTCGTATTTTTCTCTCTCTTTTTTTTTTTTTTGATATGGAGTCTCATTCTATCATCTAGGCTGGAGTGCAATGGTGCGATCACGGCTCACTGCAACCTCAGCCTCCCAGGTTCAAGTGATTCTCCTCCCTCAGCCTCCTGAGTAGCTGGGATTATAGGTGCCCACCACAACGCCTGGCAAATTTTTTTGTATTTTTAGTTGAGACGAGGTTTCACCATGTTGGCCAGCCTGGTCTCGAACTCCTGACCTAAGGTGATCTGCCCACCTCAGCCTCCCCAAGTGTTGGGATTACAGGCTTGAGCCACCATGCCTAGTCAGAAAATTCCTGTACATAATATAGATATGGAATTCAAATCCAAGACTGTCACATTGAAGAGTCTAGAACCTCAGCTTTTAGGCACTGAACTACATTGCTTCCTTAAAAAATAACCATATATGTGTAGTCAAGGGGATTGCATAAAAACCCATCTTCCTGTGCATGAACCTCACTAAGGTACTTCCTGGCCAAACTGTGAAACTGCATCATATGCTTTTATTTCAGAAAAAGAGACTAAATATTTGTTCTTGTTACAGTAGGTTATGTGTCAGGGTTAAAAGCAGAAAAAAAAGTCACATAGATGAGTGTGAATATGACACGTAAGTTCGTTCTATGAAATGGCCTTTTCCATTTTTTAAAAAAATATTCAAACACTAACGTGATGCAGTTTGTAATTCTCCTTTATGCTTGTTCAGGGTTTCTAATATTAGTTCTCTATTATTATTTTTTGAGACAGGGCATCACTCTGTTGCCTAGGCTGGAGGACAGTGGTAAGATCATGGCTCACGGCAGCCTTGACTTCCAGGCTCAAGCAATCCTCCTGCCTCAGCCTCCCGAGTAGAGTCTATTTTTATTGCTATTCAACTTTTTGGTCCTCAAATATGATGAAATTACCCAAACCAGATAAGACAGTTGGAGACCACATAGTAGATCCTCAACTACTTCAACTCTCAAAAGAAATGGCAAAGACAAAGGGTAAAGAGTAACATTATGTGCACTCTTAATGGAACAAGCTTCTAGTGAAATTTCTTGAAACAAACTTCAGGAAGCCATGCATTATAATCATTATTATTAGAATTTTAATATTTTGTCTGCTAATGAAAACTTATAGCCCATGATTCATATAACTGTGCTTCAGGAAGTAAAGGCTTTTTCTGAAAAATGCACACGCTAGCTTCCTTTTCTCAGTTTACCTTTCTACTTTAGAGCAGAGGTGTTGCAAGGATTAGAACCAAGGGTGATCCAGAAGAAGAAACTGCAGAACTATGGGCATTGCAAGGAAAATAGGGTTGTGCTCAATTTTTAGTTTTGTATTAAGCTCCGGGAGGACATTCCTTAGAAGTCCTCCATAATTACGTTGGCTATTCTTTCCGCTCTCTCTATCTTTGTTTTGTTACTGAGCTGGCACTCCTTGGTTGTGTCAATTCTTGATTCTTTACCCACGAGAGTGGAAAGAAGTCTTGATCTAACGGAGTAGCCATCAAAAGAAAGAGCAGTCAGTTTCCTATTCCCGCACCCTCCCCCCAGCTGTCTTCTTGCTTGAGGAAGTACTTACTGTAAAGCATTCCAATTTTCCTAAGCAGATCTTTTCCCCTCACAATCCTTTTTCCTCTTTTTTAATTCCAGTAAGTTTTTTGGCTCTTTCATTGGTCATATATGACTGCCATCCGAATCCAACCCTCCTGAATTCTGTCCCTGTCCATTCTAAATCCGTATTCTGCACAAATAAGATATATTAGGTCTCAATACTGGTCTGGAAGTTAGAGTCACGCCTATTTCATTCTGCCTCCATCAAGAAGCGCCCGTAGGAAAAAATAACAACAAAAACAAAAACAAAAACAAAAAAACCCAGAAGCTGGCCTTCCTCAGCGCCAGCCCCAGGACTGGTTTCCCAGCAATAGGCGCAAGGTACAGCCCTTGCCGGAAACTCCCAGTCTTACTCAGGGGGGAAAAATGGGGTTTTCCGGAGACCTGTTCCCCTAGGGTTTAAAAGCGCGTCCCGTGGGAGCTTCGCTTTCACTTCTCTAGGGAGTTCTGAGCTGCAAGAGCCCAGCTACTCGCCGAACCCGGGCCGCCTGCGTGAGTAACTTGGGGCGGCCAGGAGCACGGGAAGGGCGCCAGACAGAGAGCCTTTGGCTGCTTCTGAGACCGGCTGTGGGCTGCCACCGCTGAGCGGCGCGGAGGCTGCAGCGTTCCCTCTCAGGACAGAAAGCAGGCGTTGGGGACTGTTACTCGCAGCCTGCCAGGGGCAGCAGCCGCCCCAGGTTCAAGTGGCTATGTGCCAGGATACTCAGGCGCGGCTGTTGGCTGCCCATGGGAGAGCCAGTGCTCTCCGCAGGTCCAAAGTGCAAGGCCGGGCTATTCCCGGACTTGCCTAGGAGCAGGGGCCCCCAGCGCGTCTGGGATTGCCCCGGCGCGTCGGGCGCGCGAACTTGTGCGCAAGGGAGAAGAGCGCTTACCATGGAACATGGTCTGCGGGAGGCGGGCGTAGTCATGATGACCGCAACTGGAGCAGGAGCAAGCTCTCACCGCCCATAGTCACTCCCAGGACCCTGGTCTTCCGCGGAGTTGCCGAGTCTGTGTTGGGCAGGGTGATCTCTGCAGCTGGTTCCTCTTACCCACGCCGCGACTGCAGTTTCATCCATCCCAAGGGGGGCGGCACACACTACGGCGTGGCTCTGCGCTTTGCCTTTTCCATAACTTCCGTAGGATCCGCCAGCAGTGTACTTTCAGTTTCTACTTTGCGCTTGGTCTGCAGGTTCAATCTTTGGGATCATCAGCATGGAATCTTCATTATCCCCTCTCTCCTGGGCACCTGCTTCCCGCGCACCTGGATGAGGACCAGAGGAATTCGCGAATTTCCGAATCACCGCAGGAAAAACCAGCTGGCCTGAATCAAAGCAATTCTGGGTAAAAGACTTCCCAGATGATCTCTCAACGCCTTGGCAACGCTTGGCGACTGGGAGCTAGAACCATGAGTTGTTAATGTGTGCACGGAAGCCACAAGTGTGCAGGACGCAAGCTGGGTTATTGGAAGCGGACGACACCAAGGAGGCGTTGCCGCGGATGTGGTGGACGATGCCAAGTCGTCTTTTAAAAAAGGAAGTGAAGAATGATTAAGAGGGTCACGCCCTCTACCACTCCAACCTCTCTAATCAGTCTCTTTCTGCTCCGTCTGCTGTACATGCACCTGCTCAGGTGAGACCTCAAGGAAAAATAATCCTGTGGGTCCACCTAATCTGGTAAGTGTTGTATTTGGAAAATCAAACCCCAAATTAAACGCAGGACGTGGAAACTGACGATAATATTTAACTATGACTTCCACGTGCACATTTATCTGAATTGGCTAATAAATCAAACTATTCGTCTTGAATGCATGCCACTGAAATGTTAACTTTTTCCTGGGCTTGAATTATGTAGCTTATTTGCTACATTAGTTTGGTTTCTGCTATTCTGCAGAAACCCTGCTTAGATGAAGGTGGATAATGTAAACCAGTAACAACAGCGATAATAATAACGACTATCATTTATCTAGCATTTGCTCTCTGCCAGTTTTGTGCTAAGCATTTTATGTATATCATCTCATGCAAAACTTTGTGTGAGGTAGACCATTTTCTTATCTGCACTTTACAGATGTGGGGACTGAGACTTCCTTAAGTAACTTTCCAAATTTCACTTAGCTAACTGAGCTTAGACACAGACTTGCTGCATTTGGGCTGTAGAAACTCCTGCTTGGAACTCCTGTGAATAAAGTAATAATGTGCACACTGATGCCGGGAGGGAGATGACAGTACGTGTGTGGCTTTGCCCCAGTGTGGGGACTTCAGGAAAGTTTCCTGGAGTCTGTGACTTCTAAACTGACACTTGAAGAGGAATGAACTTGGGGCTGGTAAGGAGTATGTCACATTCTGCTATAGCGTGAACAAGGAAGAGGAGGGAAGGAGAAAGGAAAAAAAAGGATGGCAATGAACTAGGGAGAACAGAGTTGCTCAAGCCTGAAACTTGGGTCTCTGATTCCTTTTTTGGTCTCATTTCCCACATCAAATCCATAGACAAGTCCTGTCTGCCCCACCTCCAAAATTAACCCTAAGGTGACTATAGAGACTGTCTAAGGGATCTTCCAGCTTTCACTTTTGCCCACAACCCCTTCATTCTTCTCAGAGCAGCAGGATATCTGATTCTATTTTGTGCCCCACCTTCTGGTCACTTCCCACTGGGTACCAGGCCCTCAGTGCCCTGGTGATCTGGGCCCCACTGCCCTCTCTGACGTTTCGTGGTACCACATCACTATCCTCCAGCCACAATGGCCTTTCTCTTCCTGCCCAGCGTCCACTTACTATGGTCTTTAGCCCATGGCTGGCATTCAGTAAGTACTGGGGGGTGACAGAGTAAGAGAGAACAGGTGAGTGGGAATGCATCAGTGAATATGTGTGAAAGAGAAAGTTCATGAAAGCAGAAGGAAATAGAATGAAAGAGGAAGCGAAGGGGGTAAGCAAATGGAAAAGAGAGACAGAATGGAGTGAGAAAAGCCACATATTTCCATTTGACTGGAACCTAGAGTGGGAGGTGGGGAGGAGGACAGACATGACACTGGAGTGAGTTTTAAAAATGATTTCTATAATGAAACACGCCTAGGTTGGGGATTTATTTATTTATTTATTTATTTATTTATTTATTTATTTATTTTAAATCCCTGACAGCAGCATTGAAGTATGTAACTGTTCATAGCCTGCACCTTTTTCTTTTTTTAACTTTCCAGGAACAAAGTAAAAGAGCATCCATCAATACTTTGCACAAAAGGAAATCCGTCTTCCTTTTATCACAATCACCATAAATCCAGGTAGAATAAGGGTTGTACATATCTGAACTTTTGGGAAGCATGAAAGGAAGTTATTCAGAGCTGCAGGAAAGGCAATGTAAATGTTACACTGGATTCTGCCCCCAACTATAAAGAATCTTTCTGAAGAGAATATTCATAAAGCTTTGGGAATTGTTAGGGTTATATGAAATGGGCACATTCTAACAACATCAAGTAATGATTTTTTTTTTCTGTCTGTGAGATAATTAATACCATTTAGAAAAAAATCCAAAATGAAGTCTTAAATTAGCTTTTGATATTTTGATAAACTGAATATTATTTTTTATAAGATAGATGGACAAGAATAAAATGTTTATAAATTTTTAAAATGCTAATGTTTTATGATTAAAGAAATGGAATGGTTACTATTATGTTTGCTCATAGACTCAATGAACTGGACAGAAAAGCCTTTAAGGGAGAAAATAGTAAATACATTTTATGAATTATGGTAAATAAATTTTAAAAGAGAAGACAACATTCTCAGAATGATCAATATAATGTATTAGAAGAAGTTCAAATAAAATTATATGATGTCAATTTAAAGAGAAAATTATTGAACATTAACCAATATCTTTTAATGTTCTACAGTCTTCAGTCAGAATAGTCAATTATTGTAAACCAGAAAATATTTTTTGATTAATATCTGAACTATTTTTACCCAACTTAATATGACTACTTTTTGTAGTCTGTGATATGAATTCTATCTATCATTCTATCTATGGGTAGTATGAAGTTCTTTTTATTTAACTTTCCAGTAATAACATTCAACATATTTAAAACACACACACAGCGCCACACAGCCAACATTATGGATATATGATCTGTGTAATTGGCACAGGGCCTTGTACTTCATTTGATGCTCTGCTGTCACTGTATTGAAATTCCTCATTTTTAGATAAAGGGACTCTTATTTTCATTTTGCACTGGGTTTCAAAATTCTATAATGGTCATGCACACTCACACATGTTAAGTTACACATTGTGGATAGCAGTGTATGTCTTTGAGGTGATTTCAGTTTGGTGGGAAAAACAGATGTTAAATATCTAATTTCAAAGATGAAAAATATCATTAAAAGAGAAACATGATATATTATTTGAATCAGAAGTTTAAAGTAGTATAGGCCCATTTTCATAGTTAAATGAGGATCAATAAAGGTTAATTTATCTGTCCAATAAACAAGCAGCTATGAGAGGATGACCTGTAATTTGATAAAATTTAAATTTTACCAAATGACTAATGAGCGTCTATTTACATGGTCATGGTTTTTTTGCTGAATTCCTAAATAAACCATAAATTTAACATAATGCAACGTTCAAATTGGTAATATTTAACCTAGAATTTTACAGTTATAGTCATAATTGGGTTATGTTTATTTTTAATTTTATATTCAACTGATACTGGGCTAGTTTTGTCCAGTTATGCTAGTTTCATAAAATAAATTGGAAATTCTATTGTTTTCTAAAACTGTCAACTGTTAAACATGTGAACTATTTGTTTCTGGCAGACTTACTAGAGTTCAACAATAAAACTTACTTGATTCCGTGGATGAAGCCCAGGAATAGGACGAGACTGTCAGTTTTGAGCATTACAAGTGAGAAAATGAAGAAGGGTTTATTTTGAAGGCTGAATCAAAATAGCCATGTCAGACTGTCAGAACTTTGCTGGAGATGGGTATGTTAGCATATCAGTGATGGCCAGAGCCATGGAAATGAATGCAATTACTCAACCTGCATGTTAGAAGACAGAAGAGAGAACTAATGCTAGCAGGAATCTTGAGGCATGAGCAACCCTAAAAAGTAGCTGGAGAAAGGGGTGCCCATCAACAAAACAGACGAATACATAGTAGGCAGCAAAGTGGGAAAGTCAGAAGTCAGTGTCTCAGAAGGCAACGGAAAATAGAATTTCAAGATAGAGTAAGTAGCCAGTATTTCCAAATGTCACAAAGAGGTTGAATAAGATAGAGACTGAAAAGTGTGTCTATTAAATTTGGCAGAGCAGAGATTGTCCATGATCCTCATGGCAACAGTTTGAGAAGAGCAGTGTAGATGCAAATAATATACTAGCTTGCAGGGGTTGAGAGAAGAAAGAAATAAAGTAAGAGAATATAACTTTTACAAAATGTTTGGTAATAATAAAAGGGATAGGGTAATGATTTGAAAGGCATGGAAGTTTTTATTTTCAATTATTAGAAACACTTGAGCATATTTATATATTAATGGATAAAATTAGGTTCTGCAGAACGGGGAAAGCATGGAACCAAGAAACCCAAGATACTCTGTTGATTTCTTTTCTTATTTTCTCTCCATTTCTCCCTCCTCTTTAATTTCAGTCCCAAAATTCTATAATTCTAAACAATCAGAATCCACTCTCTATCTGGGGTCTAAATTTATGTTCCTTACTGAAATGTTCCCATCGGCACTCATCTAATTCTGGATTGAGTATTGGCTTGTCTAAGAAAGAAGTCTAATATTTCCCAAATCGCCTTTCAGAGAGGGCCGCTGTAGCTTTTACATAGATTTGCATTATCCAATCCCTTTATATGCTAATGTTGCATTGTTGGCAATCAGGGCTTTCTTTTATATACAGTCTTGCATCATTTAACAATATATTCCGAGAAATGATAAATTAACCTTTGCTTACTCTAACTATTTTTACTTTATAAACTTTTATTTTTTTCCAACTTTTTGACTCTTGTCATAACATTTAGCTTAAAACACAAACACATTGTACAGCTGTTGAAAATATTTTCTTTCTTTATATCCTTATTCTATATGCTTTTTTCTTACTTTTTAAACTTTTTTGTTAGAAACTAAGACACAAACACACATATTAGCTTAGGCCTACACGGGGTCAGGATCATCATCACTGTCTTCCATCTCCACATCTTGTCCCACTGGAAGGTGTTCAGGGACAATAACATGCATGGAGCTGTCATTTCCTATGATAGCAATGCCTTCTCCTGGAATACCTCTTGAAGGAGCTGCCCGGGCTGTTTTACTGTTAACTTTTTTTTTAATAAGTAGAAGGAGTACAATCTAAAATAATGATAAAAGTATAGTAAAAGCATAAACCAATAACATAATTGTTTATTATCAGGTGTTGGGTGCTGTACAGTATTGCATGTGGTATACTTTTATAGGACTGGCAGTGCAGTAGGTTTGTTTATGCCAGCATCACCACAAACACATGAGTAATTGGTTGTGCTAAGTTGTTACAATGGCTACAATGTCACTAGGTGACAGACATTTTTCAGCTCCATTGTAATCTTAGACCACTGTCCTGCAGGCAGTTCTTTGTTATACAGTGCATGACTGTACTAGATTTTGGAGGGACTATGCTTTCAACCACTGCCTTTATAGAAGATTAATTAGAAAAGAATACACCTACAACAAATTTCTTCATGCAAACTGAAAAAAATGTAAACATATTTTGTTTAAATCACTGGATAGATTCCCTTTATATGATCCAGTTACTATATGAAGATGTCAACTTGTTCTTATGAGCTCTTGGAGAGCAGTTACTATCTTTTTCAACCTGGAATTCTCTGTAGTCAACAGAATATGTTTCAGTTTACAAATTCTACCCATGTATGACTTGTGGAAAAGGGAGACATCAGACTGCACAAGTCTTGACTCGCTGTTATTACACAGAACCATATCTGAGCGAACTTGTGTTCACATCCAAGAATGTTACAAAACCAACTACTGATTGATATTGATATATCTAAAGTTGTGACAAGCTTGTTAAAATTTTAATATTTAATATAGATTTAGACTTCTTTTCCTAATATGGAAGGCTGTCTAATATGGAAGCCTTCTAATATTTAATATAGATTTTAGATTTCTTTTCCTAATATGGAAGTCTTCCTAATATGGAAGGCTGTCTTGTTGAAATCCTTTTATTTTTAGATTAGAAATTAATCCAATCTACCTTTCCTTCAGGCAAGCCAGGTTTGATGCAAGCCAGGTTTGGTTCAAGCCAGGTTTGTCTTTGCCTTAGACTATTATTGGACTCTTAGTACATCCATTAACTCATATACAATGTAAAATGATTAGGTTTATTGCAACAGTAATGACATCATAATCTAGAAATATAGTGTATGTCCCTGAGTTTCTGGGGTATCAGTCATTTTTCTATGTCAATAACGTGTCAATTAACTGGCATCCTACAAGCCTGGAACTACCATTAATGTTTTCTCCAAATAATTTAATATGTTATCTGGCAATGACATATATATTTCAATGAGAAAAGCACAAAAAATGAAATTTTTAAGAGACGAAAACACTAAGCCATGGAGTTTCATGTGCCAATGATTTCTTCTTCAAACCATGGAGCAGTGTGTCATCTATTTCTTGAGTAACATTTTATTAAATGTCGGCTGTATGCTTTCATTTCCTTGTTTCTTTTTCTAACAATTCTCCACTATGTTTTACTAAAATGTTTTTCAATTATGTCTTTCTCATTTTTAATGTTTTTAATTTAATTTTACATTGACCGATAAAATTGTCTGTTTTCAAGTATATATAAATTGTGAAATGAATAATCTAGTTACCATATGCACTACCTCACATACCTATCATTTTTGTGATAAGAACACTTACCTTCACTCTCAGCATTTTTTAAAAATATAATATATTGTTATTAACTGTATCACCATATTGTACAGTAGATCTCTTGAACTTATTTATTCTGTCTAACTGAAATTCTATATCCTTTGACCAACATCTCCTCAACTTCCCCTACAACCACTCCAGCTCCTGGTAACCATGGTTCTTCTCTTTATTTCTAAGAGATCAGCTTTTTTAGATTCTATGTATGAATTAATAAGATCAGGCAGTATTTGTCCTTCTATGCCTGGCTTATGTCACTTAACATAATGTCCTCCAGGATCATCAATTTTATTGTAAACCACAGAATTGCATTCTTTTTGTGGCTGGATAGTATTCCATTGTGTATATACAACATATTTTCTTTATTCATTCATCCACTGATGGACATTTTGATTCTACATATTGGCCATTGTGAATAATGATGCTATAAACACAAGACTGCAGATATCTATTTGAAATACTGATTTCATTTCCTTTGGATGTATACCAAGTAGTGGGATTACTGGGTCATATGGTAGTTCTACTTTTATTTTGTTGAGAAACTTTCACACCATTTTCCATAATGGCTGTATTAATTTACATTCCTACCAACAGTGTTCAAATGTTGCCTTTAATTCACATCCTAGCTAAAGTTATTATTGTATGACTTTTTCATAATGACCTTTCTAACAGGAGTTAGGTGATGCCTCATTGTGGTTTTAGTTTGAATTGCCCCAATGATTAGTGATGTTAAACGTTTTTTTTCATATATCTGTTGATCATTTGTATGTCTTCTTTGAGGAATGTCTGTTCAGATCCTTTGCCCATTTTTAAATCAAGTTATTCTTTTACTTGCTATTGCGTTGTTTGCATTCCTTATATATTTTGGATATTAACCTCTTAACAGATCTATCATTTACAAATATTTTCTTCCATTCTGTAGGTGTCTTCTCTCTCTGTTGTTTTGTTGTCTGTGCAGAAGGTTTTTAGTTTGATGTAGTCCTATTTTTCAATTTTTGCTTTTGTAGCCTGTGTTTTTGGAGTCATATCCAAAAAGTCATTGACCAGGTCCATGTCATGGAGTTTTTCTCCTATGTTTTCTTCTAGTAGTTTCATAGTTTCATGTCTTACATTTAAATCTTTAATCCATTTTGAGTTAATTTTGTATATAATCTGAGATAAGAATCTAATTTCAATCTTCTGCATTTGGATATATAATTTTCCTGAAATCATTTATTGAAGAGATTGTCTTTTCCCTGTTGTGTGTTCTTGGCTCCTTTGTCAAAAATTAGTTGGTTATAAATATGTGGATTTTTGCCTGGGGTTTCTATTTTGTTCCATTGGTATACATTCTGTTTTTATGCCAATACCATGATGAGTTTTGGTTACTATAGCTTTGTAGCATATTTTGAAGTCAGAGAGTGTGATGCCTCTTGCTTTGCTCTCTTTGCTCAAGATGGCTTTTGCTCTTTGGTGTCCTTTGCAGTTTCATACAAATTTTAGGATTTCTTTTTGTATTTCTGTAAAGAGTGTCATTAGTGACTTGACAGAGATTGTGTTGTATGTGCAGATTGTTTTTAGTAATGTTGATATTTTAACAATGTTAATTCTTCCAACCCGTAAGGATTCAATATATTCCCATTTATTTGTGTCTTCCTCAATTTATTTCATCAATGTTTTATAGTTTTCAGTGTAACTATCTTTCATCCCCTTGATTAAATTTAATCCTGAGTATTTAATTCCTTTTGTAGCTATTGTAAATGGGATTCTTTTCTTGATTTTTTTAGATTGTTTGCTGTTAGTGTATAAAAATAATAATGATTTTTGTATGTTGATTTCATATCCTGCAACTTTGCTGAATTCCTTTATTAGTTCTAATATATTATATGTGTATAATTTCTGCATATAAGACCGTGTCATTTGCAAACAGAAAATTTGCCTCCTTTCTTTCCAGTTTGGATCCTTTCATTTCTTTCTTTTGCCTAATTGTTCTGGCTAGGACCTCCAGTCCTATATTAAATGGACGTGACAAGAATAAGCATCCTTGTCATGTTCTAGATTTAGAGAAAAACCTTTCAAGTTTTCCCCACTGAGTATAATGCTAGCTGTGGTTTTGCCATATATGGCTTTAATGTATTGAGGTACATTCATTTTATACCTATGTTTTTAATGGATGTTGCATTTTTTCACTTTTTCTGCATCTATTGAAATGATCATATGGTTCTTGCCTTTAATTCTATTAATGTGATGTACCACAATTATTGATTTATGAATTTTGTACCATCCTTGCATCCCTGGGCTGAATCCTATGAGATCTTGGTGAATGACTATTTTAAATGTACTGTTGAATTTGGTTTGCTGGTATTTTATTGAGGATTTTTTGCATCTATGTTCATCAGGGATATTTGCCTGTAGTTTTCTCTTTTTGTAGTGTCTTCATCTGGTTTTGGTATCAGTGTAATGCTAGCCTCATAAAATGAATTTGGAAGTATTCCATCCTCCTTGTTTTCTAGAACAGTTTGAAAGAATTGGTATTAGTTCTTCTTTGAATGTTTGATAGAATTCAGCAATGATGCCACCCAGTCCTGGGTTTTTATTTGATGGGAGGCTTCTTTATTGCTGATTCAATCTCCTTACCTGTTTTTGATCTGCTAAGATTTTCTACTTCTTGATAATTGACAATCTTGGAAGGAGGTATGCATCATTTTTATCCATTTTTTCTAGGTTATTCAATTTGTTAATGTGTAATTGTTCCTAATAGCCTTGTATGATCTTTGTATTCTTGTTTTATTGGTTGCAGTGTCTCTTCTTTTTTATTTTGGATTTTATTTGAGTCTTTTTTTTTTCTTACTCTCTTAAAGGTATCAATTTTGTTTGCCTATTCAAAAAAAAACCTCTTTGTTTATTTTTTCTAGTCTATATTTCATTTACTTTTGTTCTAGTCTTTGTTGTTTTCTTCCTTCTCCTAACTTTGGGCTTAGTTTGTTCTTCTTTTCTGGTTCCTTGAGAGACAGTGTTAGGGTATGTATTGGAGATCTTATGTTTTATTGCTATAAACTTCTCTCTTAAAACTGCTTTTGCTTTATTCCATAGGTTTTGGTATGTTGTGTTTTCATTTACATTTGTGTCAAGACATTTTTAATATCTCTTTTAAATTTTTCATTGACCCATTGGTTGTCCAGGAGCATGTTGCTTAATTTGCATGTGTTTGTGAATTTTCCAAAGCTCCTTTTGTTACTGATTTCTAGTTTTATGCCATTGTAGTGAGAAAATAAACTTGATACAATTTTAATATTTTAAAATGTGTTAAGACTTGTTTTCTGGCCTAACACATCATATATCCTGAAGAATATTCTATGTGTAGTTCAGAAGAATGTGTATTTTGCAGCTGTTGGATGGAATGTTATGTATACGTTTGATAGGTCCATTTGATCTATAGTATATTGGTTAAGTGATTATTCCTCATTAATTTTCTATGTGGATGATCTCTCTGTTGCTGAAAGTGGGATGTCCCTATTATTATTGTATTGCAGTCTGTATCTACCTTAAGATCTACTAATATTTGCTTTATATATTTAGGTGCTTTGATATTGGGTGCATATGTACTTACAGTTGTTATATCTTCTTACTGAAAATGCCATTATATAATGATGCTTTTTTGTCTCTTTTTACTAAAGAGGTCATTTATATAATGACCTGTGTAAAGAAGAGTCATTAATATAATGACCTTCTTTGTCTCTTTCTACAGTATTTTACTTAAGGTTTATTTTTATTTGATAGAGGTATAGCTACTCCTGCTCTCTTTGGATTCCATTTCCATGCGATGTCTTTTTGCATCTGTTTGCTTTTAGGTGAAGTGATCTTGTAGACACAAAATAGTTGAGTCTTTTTTTATGCATTCAGTCACTCCGTATCTTTTTATTGGATAATTTAATCAACACAATTATTAATAAGTAAAGACATTGCCATTTTCTAGTTGTTTTGTAGATCTTTTGTTCTTTCTTCCTTCCTTGCTGTCTTCTTTTGTGGCTAAGTGTTTTTCTCTAGCAACATGTTTTGACCCCTTGCTTGTGCGTGCATGTGTGTGTGTGTTTGTGTGTGTGTGTGTGTGTGTGTGTGTGTCTGTTTCTACTTACAGGTTTTTGCTTTGTGATTGCCATGAGGGTTACAAAAAACTTATTGTATTTATAACAGGTTATTTTAAACTGATTAAAATAAAAAAAAGAACAAGAAAACCAAAAAACCTCTATGACTTTACCCCATTTCTCCCTCCACATTTTAACTTTTTGTGTTGCAATTTGCATCTTTTCATATTGCATATCCCTTAACAAATTATTTTAGCTATTATTTTTAATAGTGTTATCTTTTAACCTTCATCCTAAAGATATAAATAATTTCCACACCATTTTTACAATATTAAAGTATTCTCAATTTGTGTACTTTTTCCCATGAGTTTTATACTTTCAGATGTTTTTGTGTTACATATCAGCATTCTTTTCTTTCAGACTGAAAAACTATCTTTAGCATTTCTTATAAGACAGTTCTGGTGGTGATGAGCACCTTCAGCTTTTGTTCATCTGGGAAGGTCTTTATAATGCCTGTATTTCTGGACAACTTTGCTAGGTGCAGTATTTTTGGTTGACAACCGTGTAGCAGGCTTTTTTTTTCCCCCTTGTATAAATCATCCCACTTTCTACTGGCTTTTGTAAAGTTTTAGCTGAGAAGTCTGCTGTTAGCTCTATTGAAATTTCTTATATATTATTTGTTTATTTTCTTTTGCTGCTTCCCAAATCCTCTCTTTGTCACTGATTTTTCATAGTTTTGCCATATATGTTGGGGTAGTCTTATTTGCATTTAATATGATTGGAGACCTTTGATCTTGCGTGTCTAGATATTTACAACTATGTTCAGGTTTGGAAAATGTCCTGCTGCTATTTCTTTAAGTAAGATGTCTGCCTCTTTATTTTTCTCTTTTTCTTCTTGAAGTCTAATGCCTTGAACATTTAATGTTCTTTTGAGACTATTCCATAAATGCTGTAAGCTTTATTTATTTACTTATTTATTTATTTATTCTCTGATGGTATATTTTCAAATAACCTAATTTTGAGTTCAAAGATTCTTTTCTTTACCTGATCATTCTGCTGTTCATGCTCTCAAGTGCATTTTTTATTTCTTTCATTGTATTTTCAGCTCCAGAATTTCTGTTTGGTTTTTTTATTACTTTCATTTTTCTACCAAATTTTTCATTTTGGTCACATTGTTTTCCTCATTTCATTGAATTGTGTTTCTGAATTTTCCTAAAGTACTCCAAGCTTCCTTAAAATAGTTATTTTGAATTATTTTTCAGGTAGTTAATACACCTGAAAAATAATTTATTTAGCATCTATTTATTTAGCATCTATTACTGGTACCTTATTTTGTCTCTTTAGTGATATATTTCATTGATTGTTTGTGATCTTTGTGGTTGTGTATTGAAGTCTGTGTATTTAAAGTAGGTACTCATCTTATTCTTTATAGACTTTTTTTTCTTGGAAAGCCCTGTGATAAGCATAGCACTGATGTATGCCAGAAGTTGGGGAAATTGCGACTAGCTTGCTGTTTCCAGAAGTTTGGGGTCCACTGTCATTGGTGCAGCACTGGGGTGGGCTAGAAGACTGGGGCAGATGCCACTGCAGTGCTGGAGTAGACCAGAATTCCAATGCAGCTGTGGCTGACATGGCACTGCCAGAAAACTGGAGCCTGCTATGACAGGCACAATGCTGGAATGAGCTGGAAGTCCAGGGCCATTGAGGCCTGCCTGCTACAGAGGGCTGTCTGGATCCTGGGTCTCCTGACATCAGCTCAGTGGTGTGGGATAGAGATTGAATTTGCCACGTAAGACTGAAGGCTTAGCCTGTGTGGTCCCACTGGTTATGAGGGAAGGCAGGCCTATAAGTTAATTTCAGGGGTACAAGTCTGGAATATGGGACCATGGGGCTCTCCCAAGTGCTTGATTTACTGTGGTGGGCCCAGTGTTGGGGTCCAAGGCAGAGTCCTGTGCTCACTTCCCTCTGTTTCCTCTAAGTGTACAATATCTCCCTACATGCTGTGCTGCCTGGGTTTGGGGGAGGGGTGATGCAAACAATCCAAAACTGTTCTTCTTACCCTCTTCAATGCATCTTTTCCTATTATTGTGCCACTATCAGGAACTATGATCTCTCACCTTGCTTCCCTGGCTCTTATGAAAGTATGTTCCTATGTGAAGAGTTATTCAAATTGATGTTTCTGCAGAGGGATTATCACTGGAGAGTTCTACTCTGCCATTTTGTTCCCTATCTGGATACGTTATGAATAATTATAAAGCCATCCTTTAAATGGGAAATCAGCAGAAGAATGTGATTGTAGAGGCTAAGAAGTTCCACAATAGACCATCCGTTTGCAAGCTGGAGAACCAGGAAAGCCAGTAGTATGGCTTAGTCCAAGTCTGAAAGCCTTACAACCAGGGAAACTAATGGTGTGTACCTATCAGTACAAGGCCACAAGCTTGAGAAACTTGGGGCCACTGGTACTGGACTCTCAGTCTTGGAGTCCAAAGTCTGATGAACCTGGGGTTCTCCTTTCCAAGGGCAAGAAAATAAGTCTGTCCCAGTTACAGAAGAGAGAAAGAGATAATTTGTCTTCCCTCTGTTTTTTGTAACCAAATAGTTTTTTTTTTTTCTGATCTTCCTTGGTAATACATTGCTTTAATCAGCATAATGTAAAATTTTATATTTTCTGTTATTTTCCTCATTTCAAAATGATATTCTGAATTATTTTCATTCTCTGAGACCTTTACATTTTTATCTAAATTAGATAAATGAGATCACTTTGATTCTATCTCTAAACTAATAGAAACTTTTATAACTTTCCTATTCTAAAATAAATTTCATGAAACTAGGGCTTTTTTTTTTTTCTTTTTGGCAGAGTTTCACTCTTGTTGGCCAGGCTGGAGTATGGTGGCGCGATCTAGGCTCACTGCAGCCTCCGCCTCCTGGGTTCAAGCGATTCTCCTGCCTCAGCCTCCCGAGTAGCTGGGATTACAGGCATCTGCCACCACGCTGGGCTGTTTTTTGTTGTTGTTGTTGTTGTTGTTGTTGTTGTTTTGTATTTTTAGTAGAGATGGAGTTTCACCATGTTGGCCAGGGTGGTCTCAAACTCCTGGCCTCAGGTAATCCACCTACCTCGGCCTCCCAAAGAGTTGAGATTACAGGTGTGAGCCACTGCACTTGGCTGAAATTAGGGCTATTTATCAAACATAAATATATCTGTCTATATTAAGCTATTTGAGTTTTATTTTTAAGCTTTTCAATACATGTAGTTTTCCCTTTATTTGAATGGTCTTATAACCTACAATGAGGTCTAACTGAAAAACAAAACAAGAACAAAAATATTGCATGTTCAGGTGTATTGATCATTTAAGAATAAGCCAATGGTTGAGACTAGAGATTTTTGCAGTCATTCTCCAATAATTACCAGATTTAAATCAGTGATTTAGAAATAAAATCCAAAACCAAACAAATCCCCAAAACATAAAACAATAAAATGGAAGACTTTCAACAGCCACATGGATCAGTACTAAAAGGCCAAAAAAAAAGAAAGAAAAGAAAAAAATCCAAGGAAAACTCCAAGGGTTAACTCTAGAAAAGATCAGGAGATACCAAGCAGGGCAATTTCCTGTTTGATGTTGTTTTAATCTTGACTAAAACTACTGTCTTCTTTATGACGTTAAATTTTTTATGAGTCTTTTTAGGCCCTTAATATCCTCAATAAATATTTGTTTTCTTGGCCTGAATTTGAATTAATACAACTTCTTCTTTTCTTCATCCTGTAACATCTTTATTGAATATGAAACTGCAAAAGGAAATAATTGAACTCTATCACAAAACTGTTCTTGCAAGTACACTTCTTTGGAAGTTCTCTTTCAGTACTTTCCCATTGTTTTGGTGCAGCTATTTTTTTTTTTTTTTTTTTTTTTTTGAGACAGAGTCTTGCTCTGTCGCCCAGGCTGGAGTGCAGTGGTGCGATCTCGGCTCACCGCAAGCTGCACCTCCTGGGTTCACGCCATTCTCCTGCCTCAGCCTCCTGAGTAGCTGGGACTACAGGCGCCCGCCACCACGCCCAGCTAATTTAATGCAGCTATTTCAATATACTATATCAGGTAATGGAATTAACTGGAATTTTGATTATCATGATAATAAGTAGTGGTTCAAACATTGTGTGTTTCCCAAACATTATTGTCAAGACAATGAGTTTCTTTCTCTGAAAAAGCACCACCAAAATTTTTGCATAGCTATTTGTTCTAGCAGTGTGCATCTTTCATTACTGGAAATAAAGGACAGGCTGGGTGCAGTGGATCACGCCTGTAATCCCAGCACTTTGGGAGGCTGAGGTGGGCGGATCACAAGGTCAGGAGTTTGAGACCATCCTGACCAACATGGTGAAACTCCATCTCTACTAAAAATACAAAAAATTAGCCTGTGTGGTGGCACACACCTCTAATCCCAGCTACTCAGGAGGCTGAGGCAGGAGAATTGCTTGAACCCATGAGGTGGAGGTTGCAATGAGCCAAGATTGCACCACTGCACTCTAGCCTGGGCAACAAAGCAAGACTCCTTCTTGAAAAAAGAAAAGAAAAGAAAAGAAAAAGAAATAAAGGCCAAATGGCAAAGACACATAATGGTAATCAGTTTTACTCTTTACTGGCCTATAAGATTTCCTGAACAGGTTTTATCTGTTTACTACTGTAAAAGTACTATATATACTGTCTGAAGAATCAAAGGAAATCTCATAAGGATTTCTTCTGTTGTCCTGCACTTCATTGATCAGGCTCATCCTTCTTTCTGGAAATAGTAAAGTTCAGCTTATAAATGTGCTCAAGTCTCTCCAATCCGAAATAACTTTTCTTTTAATTCAGCACACAGTTATCAAGTAATCTTATGTGCCATACACTGTTCTAGGTACTCAAGATACCTCAGTGTCCAAAAGACAAAAATAATATCTTTGAAACTGAGTTCACCTATTAGTGAAAGAGCTACACAATACATAATAAAGTATCAATTATATAAAATGCTAGATAGTTATTAAGTTCTATGGGGAAAAAGTAGAATCAGGGTGGGGAATTTGTGTGTGAAGTGTGGAGGAAGAGTGTTAAGATTTTAAATAGGCCTTAGTGGGAAACTAACTTTTGAGTAAAGATGTGAAAAACATGAGTGAGTGAGCCATGTGGATGGTGGATGCGAATAAGAAGTACCTTCTGGAGAGAGCAAAGCCAGCACTAGAGCCCTAAGGCAAGTGCCTGCCTGGAAACTTCGAGCTGTCTGCTTTCAGTTACTTTCCTTTCTCTTTCTGTTCTTACATACTGGGCTCATTCTGCATAGTTTTACACTTACTGTTTCTGCTCCTATTATTCTCCACTCCACTGCACCCTGACTTCTGTCTACCATGTCTGAAATCACCAATGAACTAGTTGCCTAGTTGTTTTTGATGTTGCCACTTAAATAGCCATTTAAAAATTATAAAACAGAAACATGCAAAACATAAGTGTTTAATAAATGGAATTAAAATTTTAAAAAGTAAAACTTCATATAATTTGTGACAATCATGCTGTTAATACCCTACTACATAATTGCTCTCTGCACGCATAAATGTTTATGTGCAGTATGATACCACATAACAGTATTTCGGTGAACGACAGACCACGTATATGACAGTCATCCCATAAGATTATAACACTGTATTTTGACTGTACTTTTTTTTATGTTTAGATACACAAATACTTACCAGTGTGTTACAACTGCTTACAGTATTTAGTACAGTAAAATGTTGAACAAGTTTGTAGCCTAGGAGCAATAGGATATGCTTTATATCCTAGGTGTGTAGTAGGCTCTACAATCTAGGTTTGTGTTAGGACACTCTGTGATTGCACAATTACAAAATTGTCTAATGATGCATTTGTTAGAACAAATAGCTGTCATTTAGTGATGTATGACTGTATATAAATTTTTTCAACCCTAATGAGAGCATATTGTTCTGCAACGTGGTTGTTTTCTGTCAATGATCTCCAATTTATATTTCAATAAGTTCTTTATCTAATATTCAAATGGTTAAATTTCCAAAATTGCTCCCAAAATGTTACTTGCATTGGAGATCTGTTTCTGGGCCATTTCTGTGGTTATAGCTAGAAAAGTTATGAGTTTGTATTCATGTTTCCAATTGTATTTTAATAAATAGTTTAGTTTTTTACTTTATTTAAATTAATAACTTTGCTCTTTTCACTTTCATTGAAAAGATTGATTTACTTATTAATAATAGATTCTTATAAATAAAGTTCTTATGAAATATCAATACTGATATTACACCAAACAATATAACTTATAAGGGAAGTTTAAATTGTCTTCATAGTATTTCTGTTCCTTGAATGCACCTGATATGGTTTGGCTGTGTCCCCACCCAAATCTCATCTTGAATTTTAATTCCCATAATCCCCACATGTTGTGGGAGGGACCAGGTGGAGACAATTGAATCGTGGGGACAGTTTCTCTCATTCTGTTCTTGTGATAGTGAGTTCTCACAAATTTTATGGGTTTATAAGGGGCTTCCCCCTTCACTGGGCATTGATTCTTCTCCTTTCTGCTGCTGTGTGAAGAAGGATTTGTTTGCTTCCCCTTCCACCACAATTATAAGTGTCCTGAGACCTCTCCAGCCATGCTGAACTCTGACTCAATTAAACTTCTTTCCTTCATAAATTACCCTGTCTTGGGTATGTCTTTATTAGCAGTGCGAGAATGAACTAATAGAATAAATTGGTACTGGTAGAGTGGGGTGCTACTGTAAAGATACCCAAAAATATGGAATTGACTTTTGAACTGGGTAGCAGTCAGAGGTTGGAACAGTTTGGAAGGCTCATAAGAAGACAGAAAGATGTGAGAAAGTTTGGAACTTCCTAAAGACTTGTTGAATGGCTTTGACCAAAATGATGATAGTGATATTGACAATGAAGTCCAGACTGAGGTGGTCTCAGATGAAGATGAGGAACTTGTTGGGAACTGGAGCAAAGCTGACTCTTGTTATGCTTTAGCAAAGAGACTGGTGACATTTTGTCCCTGCCCTAGAGATCTGTGGAACTTTGAACTTGAGAGAGAAGATTTAGGGTATCCAGCAGAAGAAATTTCTGAGTGGCAAAGCATTCAAGAGGAAGCAGAGCAAAAAAGTTTGGAAAATTTGCCTGACAATGCAACAGAAAAGAAAAACCCATTTTCTGGGGAGAAATTTAAGACAGCTGCAGAAATTTACATAAGTAACAGAAGCCAAGAATGTTAATCACCAAGACAATGGGGAAAATGTCTCCAGGGCATATCAGAGACCTTCTCAGCAGCCCCTTCTATCACAGGCCTTGGAGTCTAAGAGGAAAAAATGCTTTCATGGGCTTAAGGCCCCCCCTGTTATGTGCAGCCTAGGGACTTGGTGCCCTGAATCCCAGCTGCATCAGCCATGGCTAAAAGGGGCCAACTTATAATTCAGGCCATTGCTTCAGAGGGTGCAAGCCCCAAGCCTTGGCAGCTTCCATGTGATGTCAAGCCTGCAGGTACACAGAAGTCAAGAATTGAGGTTTGGGAACCTTCACCTAGATTTCAGAGGATGTATGGAAATACCTGGATGTCCAGGCGGAAGTTTGCTGCAGGGGCAAAGCCCTCAAGGAGAGTCCTGCCTTTCATGTATTTATTAGCAGTATGGACATATATACATAGGTCCATTCTAATACATATGTAATTTTAACCCAAATGACATACTATACATATTGTTCTGCAACACAGTTGGTTTTCAATGATGTCCACATTTATATTTTAATAAATTCTTTAATATCCAAATGGTTAAATTTAGAAAATTGTCCCCTAAATGTTAATTGCATTGGAACTCTCATTTTTTTTTAGTGGATTATTGAATTAGCAACTACAACCTGGGCACCAGAAATGTTAAACATTTCTGGGCCATTTCTGTGGCTATAGCTAGAAAAGTTATGAGTTTGCATTCATGTTTCCAATTGTATTTTAATTAATAGTTTAGCTTTTTAACTTAATTTAAACTAATAACTATCTTTTTTCATTGAAAATATTAATTACTTATTAATAACAAATACTTAAAAATAAAGTTGCTATAAAATATCCATACTGATATTACACCAAATAGTATAACTTATAAGGAAGCTTAAATTGTCTTCATAGTTATCTGTGTTCCATGAATGTATCCTTTTAAGGACATATGTGACATCAAAATCCTGTATTCTAAAGTGGCTTATAATCCAGCATTCTATTTATGGTTATTTTGTCAGCTTAATATATGATTAGATTTATTTGCTTATGTTTGTTTTCTATGGTATTTTTGAAAACTTTAGTTGTATAGAAAGTGATATCACAGAAGTTTTGTATGTTCAAGTTCTACCTGTTTTATACCTTAGACCCTTTTTTATCTTCTTCCAAAAGGTAAATATTTTCCATAGAAGAAAACATATATATTTTTGCTGTTGTTTCATACTGGCTGAATTATATATGAATGGCCCATAACTTTTAAAACAATGCCCTGTGTCTAACTACTTGGTTTGGAAGTGGTCTTGCAAAAGCACTTTGGGTACATTTTAACACTTAATTTACTTGATATCTCTGAGGCATTTAGCACTTGCTCTCTCTTTCTTGGATATTTTCCCTCCTGTGTTTGCCCTGAGATCACTCTCCTGATTCCAATTTTACAGACTTAATCTTTCCTTCTCATTCTTTGGATTTTCTTCCTCTGCTTGTTGACCATATTATTTCTATTCCACAGAGTTTTGCCCTTGGCATTATCATGTGTCATTTTATCCACACCAATGCTTTTAACCACAGCATCACACTTATTGTGTACATGTTGTATTCTCAATCTAGTCATACATGATTTCATGTTCCAACCCTATAATCCAATGGACTGCTCTACCTGAGTTTCTTAAATATATCTTAAACTCAACATGCACAAAAATGTGCTCATGTTTTCTACCTCATTCTCCCCACCCTATATCCTCCCTGAGTATGTACTTTGACTATATTTATCACCTAGGCTATAGACCTGAGTATAATAGAATTAATCACTAAATCCTATTGATACCAACTGCTTGCTAGTAACTCCCATTTCATCCATTTCTGCTGCCTTTGATTGAGCTATTTCTCTATTTCTCCTCAACTACAAAAACCTCCTTAACAGATGTTTTTGAGAAAATTGTCTGTTTAAAGTTTTTCCATGGCTTCCTGTTTCCTGAGGTACTGTACACGGACACTCTGCTTGGAATACAAAGTTCTTCATAATTTATTCTGCCATCCTCTAATCACTTACATGTCCTACCAGACAGAACCTCAATTCTTTCATACTATCAAGCTTCCCAACGTCTGCACATGGTGTACTTTTAGCCTTTCCCACTCCATGCTTGAGGTTAACTCAGGTTTTATTTCCTCAGGGATGTTCTGTGTAACATTACTTGTATGGATTAGATCTTTATTCTCTCAAGTGCTTCTTGGATATAGTTTAGTTGTTTTGACAATTGTATCCCCACAATGTGGGATCTTTGAAGGCACAGACTTCCCTTTTCTTTGTGGTATCTTTTGAGTCTAGCACAGTACCTGTCTTGCCTTAAGTGTTTAAGGTAAGTTTGTTGAATTAATGAGTGGCTGCTTCTACTGTTACATGTCAAATTGTTATACTTTCACAGTCTCCAGAGGGCAGATACATATCTTATTTGTGGTTCTATTCTCAATTTAGTACAGTCTTTGGATATCATGGTTACTCAGTAAGGGTATAATCAATATCACATTTAAATGTATTAATTCATTCTGTTATCATTAGCTGGCAACTGGGACGTAGATTAGAGTAACTCACTACTAAGAAATTCTAGATGTAGACTGACTCCCCCTTTTAGACATATTCAATTTAGTCATAAATTTAAACAACAAATCCACTATTATGATTCCATCATGCATATCTGATATCAACAGTGGTATCTAGCATATATGGCTATGTTCAAAAGGCAGCTCTAAGCATAAGAAAGAGTTCCTATCTTGGGATATTTAATACTCAGAAACATCATACAATCTAGGTAGGACAACACTATCAAAGTAAAACAAGACTTTATTTTTAAAAATGGTCTCCAGATGGATTTAATGTTAGCCAAATATGTGTGTGTTTGTGTGTGTGTGTGTGTGTTTTGTTCCAGAGTGAGAAATAGATATAATAAAATAGGACTGTGAGGAGGAGCAAAATTTAGCTAAATATGAACTAGCTTCTTGTGTTAAACATTTATTTAAACATTTCCCTTTAAATAGTATGATTAAATTGAAAAAGATTTTAATTATTAGATCAGCTTTAGATTTTATTTTCTTCCTATTCCTTCTCAAAAACAAACAAACAAATCATTTTAAATTGAGGATCCTGCTCCTAGAAAGTATTTCAGAATCACTTGTTTTTATTTGCCTGTTCAGTTTGTGGGAATTATTTGTTATAGCAATATTTATGATGACTAATGGTGGTTTCTAGGCAGCATTATAAATAGAATTTTGTGTCTTGGCAGTTGGAAGTTTATGTTGCATAAATTGAGTCCATAAAATATGTTCTATAAACTAGTGTAGGTGTTGGTTTTGAAGTTTATTTATATTTTAGAATTGTGAATTTAAAATATTCTAACTGTAATACAGTAATAGTAGGGGACTTCATAACCCCACTTTCAACAATGGATAGATCATCTAGACTGAAAATCAATAAAGAAGCATTGGACTTAAACTGCACCATAGACCAAATGGACCTAACTGACATTTGCAGAACATTTCATCCAACAGCTGCAAAATACACAATCTTCTCAGTAGTACATGAAGCATTCTTCACAGCAGATCATATGTTAGGCCACAAAATAAATTTTAACAAACTTAAGAAGATAGAGATCCTATCAAGAATCTTTTCTGACCACAATGGTGTAAAATTAGCAATTAATAACAAGAGGAAACTCAGAAATTTTATAAATACATGGAAATTAAACAACATGCTTTTGAATAACCACAGAGTAAATGAAGAAATTAAAAGAGATATTTAAAAAATTATTGAGACAAATGACAATGGAAACACAGCATACCAAAAGCTATGGGATACAGCAAAGCAGTTCTAAGAGGAAATTTTATAGCAATAAATGCCTACAGCAAAAAATAAGAAAGATTCCAAAAAAAACCTAACATTACACCTCAAGAAACTAGAAAAATTAAACCTAAAATTGATCAAAGGAAGGAAATAATAAAGATAAGTGCAATAATAAATGAAGTAGAGACTAAATACATACAAAAGATCAACAAAACAAAGAGTTGGCTTTCATAACTCAGGGCTAATGATAAGATCAATAAACCCTTAGTTAGACTAAGTTTTTTTAAAAAGAGGATACTTAAATAAATAAAATGATAAATGAAAGAAAAAGACATTGCAACTGAAACAACAGCAATACAAAGGATTGTAAGAGACTATTATGAACAATTATATTCCAACAAATTTAATAACCCAAGAGAAATAGATAAATCCCTGGACACATATAACTTAACAAGGTTAAATTATGAAGTAGAATAGACTTGTAATGAGTAAGAAAATTGATTCAGTAATTATAAGTCTCCATCAGAGATAAACCCAGAACCTAATGGCATCACTGCTGAATTCTACCAAATATTAAAAGAAATAATACCAATTCTTCTCAAACTATTCCAGAAAATTGAAGTGGAGGGAAAACTTCCAAACTCATTTGACAAGGCCACCATTATTCTGATACCAGAAACAAAGACACTACAAGGAATACTGCAGGCCAATATACCTGACAAACATAGAAGCAAATGTCCTAAACAAAATACTAGCAAACCAAGTTCAACAGTACATTAAAAATGTCATCCACCATAATCAAGTGGAATTCATCCCAGGATGCAGGAATGATTTATTGGAAGTAAAGCAATATATGTGATACACCACATTAACAGAAAAAAAGGACAAAACCACATGATCATCCTAACGGATGCAGAAGAAGCATTCAACAAAATTCAACACCTCTTCATAATAAAAACTCTCAACAAATTTTGTAGACATACCTCAACACAATAATGGCAATATATGACAGACCCACAGCTAACGTCGTACTCAGTGGAGAAGCTTTTCCTCTAAGATCAGGAAAAAAACAAGAATTCCCACTTTTACTGCTTCTATTCAACATGTGCTAGAATTCCCCATCAGAGCAATTTGGCAAGATAAAGAAATAAAAAGCACCCAAATTGGAAAAGATGAAGTCCAATTATCTTTATTTGCATATAACATATCATATATAGGGAAAACCCAGATAGCTAGATTAGATAGATAGATAGATAGATAGATAGATAGATAGATAGGTAGATAGATAAATGATAGATAGATAAATAGAGTCTGTTAGAACTAATACAGAAATTCAGTAATGTTGCAGGTTAAAAAATCAACACATGAAAATCAGTAGGTTTTTAATACATTAGTACTGAACTATCTGAAAAAGAAATGAAGAAAAAACAACCCAATTTACAGTAGCTACAAAAATAAAATAAAATAAAATAAAATACCTAAGGTTTTTGTTTGTTTTTTGAGACAGAGTCTCAGTCTGTTGCCCAGGCTGGACTGTGGTGGTATAATTCCAGCTCACTGAAGCCTCAACCTCCCTGGCTCAAATGGTCCTCCTACCTCAGACTCTTGAATACATGGGACTTCAGGCAGCCATCGCCATGCCCAGTTATTTTTTTTTAAAGTTATATATATATAGAAATGAGGTCTCGCTATTCTGTTCAGGCTGGTCTCAAACTCCTGACCTCAAGCAATCCTCCTGTCTCAACCTCCCAAAGTGCTGAGATTACAGGTGTGAGCCACTGTGCCCAGCCCCCTAGGAATATATTTCACTAAAGAGGTGAAAGATTTCTACAATGCAAATTTAAAAAAATGAAATAAATTGAGGAAGACACAAATAAATGGAAAGATACCCTGTGTTTATGGATTGGAAGAGTTAATATTTTAAAAGTGCCCACATCATCCAAAGCCACCCACAGATTCAGTGTAACCCCTATCAAAATACTGATAACATTTTTCACAGAAGTAGGAAAAAAAATCCTAAAATTCATATGAAACCACAAAAGACCCTAAATATCCAAGCAATCCTGAGCAAAAAGAATGAAGCAAATCACACTATCTGACTTCAAAATATATTACGAAGATATAGTAACCAAAACAGCATGTACTGACCCACAAAAAAAACAGACATATAGACCAATAGAACAGAATAAAGAGCCCAGAAATAAATTCATACACCTACAACAAAATTTTTCAACAAATTGCCAGGAACATACAATAGGGTAATGACAGCCCCTCAATAAATAGTGTTGAGGAAATTGGATCTCTCACCATATCCAAAAATCAACTCAAAATGAGTTAAAGACTTAAATGTAAGATCAAGAACTATAAAACTACTAAAGAAAATATAGGGAAAATGCTTCTCAACATTGCACTGGGCAAATATTTTCTGACTAAGACCTCAAAAGCACAGGCAACAAGAGCAAAAAATAGACAAATGGGATTACCTTGAACTAAAAATCTGCTGTGCAACAAAGGAAGTAGAGTGAAGAGACAACCTATACATTGGGAGAAAATATTTGCAAACTGTACATCTGACAAGGGTAAATATCCAGAATATATGAGGAACTCAAACAACTCAACAGCAAAACAAAACAAAAACCTGATATAAAAATGGGGGGAAAGATCCTAACAGACATTTCTCAAAAGAAGACATAAAGATGGCCAAAGGGTATTTGGAAAATAATCAACATCACTGATCATCAGGAAAATGAAAATACAACCCAATGAGATATCACGTTACTCTGATTAGAATGGCTATTATCAAAAAGATGACAAAGAGTGTTGGCAAGGATGTGGAGAAAAGGAAACCCTTTTACAGTGATGGTGGGAACGTAAATTACTACAGTCATAATGGAAAGCAGTATGGAGTTTCCTTAAAATATTAAACATAGAACGATTATACAATCCAGCAATCTCACTACTGGGTATATATCCAAAAGAAATGAAATCAGTATGTCAAAGGGATATCTGCACTTCCATGTGCATTGCAACACTATTCACAATAGCCAAGATACAAAATCAAACTATGTGTCCAACAATGAGTAAATAAAAAAGATAATAAAATATATACATATAATGGAATACCATTCAGCCATAAAAAATGAAGTCGTTATTTGAGACAACATGGATGGACCTGGATGACATTATATTAAGTGAAATAAGCCAGACACAGAAAGACAAATACCACATGTTTTTACTCATCTACAGAATCTTAAAAAGTTGACCTCATAGAGGTGTTGAATAGAATAGTGATTACCAGAGATTAACAAGGGTACGGGAGATGGGGCATAGAGAGAGTTTGTCCAATGGGTACAAAGTTAAAATTAGAAAGGAAGAAAAAGTTCTGGGATCAATGGCACGGTAGTATGAAGGACTATAGTCAACAATATGGTATTATATATCTCAAAATAGCCAGAAGGGAAGATTTTGAATGTCCCTAAAGAACTGGTAACTGTTTGAAGTATGATGTATATATTAATGACCCTGATTTGATTATTGTGCAATGTATACATGTATCAAAACATCACATTGTGCCCTACAAACATGTACAATTGTTATGTGTTATTGACAGATAAATATTCTGCCAGAATTGGATGGATGATGATTTGATAATTTTCACATTACACATTGATGAATTAATATTTGCACTGATTTATAACTAATCTGGTCATACTTCCCCACATTGTCCAATATATATTAAATAATTTCAAAATATACAATGTCATTCATATTTTATTATATTTCCATAATGCTGATAGTGTAGAAATGATCACAAGAAGAAACTGTGCTCTAAAATGAACCAATGAACAATATGTGTCGGGATAGACACACATTAAACAATAATATAAGTATCTGCACAATATGTATCTCAAATTATCATTTTAAGGTATTATGAGTATTTTAACACACTGGAAAATTTACTTGCTAACAGTTTCTTCCATTCACACTGGTTACCTTTTGAATTTATACTTTTGTACTCATGCTACCATCCCTCAAAATGTTTCTTGGAAAGCTCTCTTAAAGTAGGTTTTAGAACCTCCAGCAGGTTATTTTTTAAATTCTTGCACATGGATCATGAGTTTGATTTTTGAAAACAGTGAGAAAAAAACTCAGAAACAAAAGGAAATAATGGAATTCTGAAAAAATTATGAATTAATTTTGGTAGAGTTATAAATTCAAATGCCTGCAAGTGCTGGGTAGGTAATGTAAAGTGAGTACAGACAGCATGCTGGACACTGTAGTAGCTGGAGAGTTCAGGCTATGTCTAAAGGATGCTGGAATGCAGGATCAGCATAGCCTGGTTTTCCAGTCTTGCAGCCTAGGCTGAAAATTTACCTATTGTCTGGACCATCTCAATGTTTTAAATGTTGGCTCAGTTCTTTAAACACTTGATTTGCAAACTCTGCTTTACAATAGTACATTTTCATCGTGCTTATATTCTATGCAGATTTTTCTTAAACTTTTCATAAATATAAATGTCTTCACACTATTTTTTTCTCACTAATTCATCAATAGCATATGACAAAGAGTGAGAGGCAGAATGGAAAGATATCATATGGTCTTCCCCCATATAAAATAGCATTTTCCTTCTACTTTACCCTCACATATTTTTGCCATCACATTATCAGCATTTGACAGATTGTGCATTTACTTATTTGTCTTTTTCGCTACTGTAACCTAAGCTCTATGAAGATTTTTGTTGTTGTTGACTGATTTATACTTAGTTCTTAGAATATTTATTGGCAAATAATAGACTCTTAATAAATATTCATTGAATGAATGAATATTACACAGATAGGCAACTATATGGAAGAAGTAACCAGGGAATTATGGATATTTAACTTTGACAAGAAAATACACAATCAGGAATACATCCGATGGTATGTTGGAGCTGGCTCATACTGGCCTGCAAGAGGTGATGGTGTGCATCTCTTCTCAGCTCTGCATACAGTGACGTCCCATTGGTTGGCTGAAGTAAGCCATAGTGAGATTAATTCCACCTCAGAAATCAGCAAATGATACAAATATTGTCTCATTTACCAGCATACTATTGGATACAAGAGTTATGATATATTGGCTTAGTCAAAAGAAGCATTTTCTAACATTTAGAGCTCTCTAACAACAGAATGGCCTATCTCACAGTATTTGGTCCTGCATTAAAGTTTCACTTACTGGAACTTAACATCAGCTGTCCCCAATCTTTTTGGCACCAGGGACTGGTTTCATGGAAGACGATTTTTCTACAGATGAGGGAAGCTGATGGGTTTGGGATAAAACTGTTCCACCTCAGATCATCAGGCATTAGTTACATTCTTATACGGAACGTGCAACTAGATCCCTCACATGCACAGTTCACAATAGCTTACTGCTCCTATGAAAATCTAATGCCTCGGCTGATCTGACAGGAGGCGGAGCTCAGGCGGTAGTGCTCTCCTGCCCGCTGCTCGCCTCCTGCTGTGCGGCCAGGTTCCTAACAGACTAGGAACCCATATCCTTCCGTGGCCTGGGGGTTGGGGACCCTTGCTATACATCATAAAACTTATTCAAGCTTGTAGAATCGCTGGGACATAAGATATTTTGCTCCTTTGAATATAGTGTCATTTTTCCTATGGCTGCTTTTAAGATTTTTCTAATCGTCATTGGTTTTTCTAATGTTTTAATATGGTATGTCCAGGTTTGGAATTATTTTTATTTATAATTTTTAATAATATTTTAGTCATTTACTTTAGATTCTTAGAACTTCTTGAATTTGTGGTTTGGTATCTTTTATCAGTTCTAGAAAATCTCAGTTATTATTTCTTTAAATATTTTCTCTGCCACATTCACTTTGTTCTATTTCTGAGATGTTACACTTTCTCATTGTACCCTCAAAGTCCCTTCCCCTTCCTCTATATTTTTCCATCCCTTTGTCTACTATTTAGTTTCTTCTAATCTTGCTTCTAGTTTATTAATTCTTTCTTTAACTATATCTAATCAAATTATAAATCCCATAGAAATTTTTTTGCAAAGTTATTACATTTTTCTGTTATTTATTTTCTATTTGGTTGTTTTCCAAATTTGCTATGTCAACTTTTATAGTTTATAGCACCATACTGAAATATTTATACTTGATATTTTATTTTTTTCTAAATAATATAAGCATTTATGTTTTTATAGCCTTATACTTCATTTATAATAAGCGTAGTATATCAAGAATAGTATATATCAAGCATTTGTGGGTATGTTTCTATTTCCTGTTGTATCAACTTGGTTTCATTCCTGGATTCTTATTTCCTGTATTCCTGTTTAAGTGTGCTGGACATTGTTTTTGAGCATTATTTGTAAGAATAATTGGAAATCTATGATGACAAGCATATTCCTTCAAAGAAGACTTTTGTTTACTTTTTCCAAGTAACTGGAAATAATAGTCTGGGACCATCTTAATCTCAGTTCAAGCTTTAAGATTTTCTGGATTATCCAGATGACAAACGACCAGGCTAAAAGTCTGGAAACATTGGTTTATTTATAGTTACTGTTTATGATGGAAGTACAACATTTTTATGTCTCAGTTTAATGAAATAAATGATTAATTAGAGTCTCCATTTTTAGTGGAACCCAGGCTTTGACTTTTCCCTTATAGCCCCATGACATTGCAGAAAGCTCAGCTCCACTTCAGAGCCTTTTCTCTGCAGTGTTAGAATTTACTTATTTTGGAGTTCTTGTCTTCTCACTGGCTCTGCTCTGTTAATTCTCCACCTTCTTGTTAACTCATAGCTGCTTTTAAGATTTTATTTTTATTTCACTTAATTTGTTGTTTTCCTCATTTAAAAGGCTTTTCTGAATTCTGAGTTCTCCATCACTCTAAATTGAACAGAGATTAATATTTTGAGAATTTGTATGTCTTAAAATACTCTTATCCTTATTTCACTCTTCTACTTAATGGATAGTTTGGTTGGTTATAAACTACTGTGCTAAA
The DNA here is from genome assembly GCF_000001405.40 of Homo sapiens. Lineage (NCBI taxonomy): Eukaryota > Metazoa > Chordata > Mammalia > Primates > Hominidae > Homo > Homo sapiens. Next base: position 78,834,054 of record NC_000008.11, read on the forward strand.
ATAATTTTTCTTAGATTTTTTGAAGGCATTCTCCACAGTTTTCTAGATTCCAGTATTGGTGTTGAGAAGTCTAACTCTAGTCTTAGTTCCAATACTTTGGCTTTATTTCTTCTTAGTGTAAGCTATTAGGATTATACCTTTGTCCTTAATATTTTGTAAACTTTCATGATAATGGGCCATTCTATGGGTTTCATTTATTGTGCTTTAATCTCTCTAAGTGTGGAAATTTATGTCCTACAACTGTGGCAAGCTTTCTTTGATAAATTTTTATTCTCCATTTTCTTCCTCTCCTCCCCTGAATCTTCCATTAGTCAGATAATGAGGCTTCCTAGGATGATTTTCTAATTTTTTATACTTTCTCTTCTATTACCCACACTTCTCTTTTTGTTTTAATGTGTGAGAGGTTTCTCTGATTTTATTTTCTAATTCTTCTACTGGATTTAAATTTCTGATGTATATTTTAATTTCCAAGAGCTCTTATTCTCTGTTCCTATTTTTGTATATCAATCTGCTTTGTTTATTTGTTTGTTTTGTTTTGTTTTGTTTTTTTGAAACAAGGTCACATTCTGTTGCCCAGGCTGGAATGCAGTTGCACAATCATGGCTCACTACAGCCTTGACCTCCTGGGCTCAGTTGATCCTCCCACCTCAGCCACCTGTGTAGCTGAGACTACAGGCATGTGCCACCATGCTCAACTATTTTTATTTATTTTTGGTAGAGATGGGGTTTCGCATGTTGGCCAGTTGGCCAGGCTTGTCTCGAACTCCTGGTCTCAAGCCATCTGACCACCTTGGCCTCCAAAGAGCTAGGATTACAGGTATGAACCACCATGCCCAGCCAACCTGCTTTTTTTTATGGCTGTGGTATTTTCTTTTTTGTTGAGAGAGAGACAGAGAGAGAGACAGAGAAAGAGAGAGAAACAGAGAGAGAGAGAGAGATATTTAAATGCCAATTTTGTGCTTGTATTATCTCCATATATTTGTCTTTTTTTCCTCTTCCTTTATTTTTTTCTGTTTCTGTGGTTAAAAGCAGAGAAGATTCTTCCTGTTTCTTAGAAGGGGGTAGTTGGGATAAGCCTAGCTATCAATGGTGGGAGAGAAGAGTCTGAAGGCCTACTCTTCAGCATGCAGACTTTCCTTAACCCCCTTGATTTCCTCTGTCCACAATTGTCCTTCCTGTACTCTTCTTGCTATTCCAAAGTTGAGTCTCTCAGGTTCTATTTTTCACTAAATTTCAGACTCCTGTGAGGCAATTGGGAAGATGAATGGAAACAGTCATAGCTTATCTTTGTATGGCAGAGTTGTGAGAATGGAATCAACACTAAGCTGCATAGATACTTGTCTTCAGAATCTTGATTTTTAGCCACAATCCTCACTCCCACCTTCTATACAACCTGAAAAAGAGCTTTTTGCTAAGAGAAACCCATTGTCTTCTAATTAGATCACCTCTGAAGGCACTTTTAAAAAATCACTTCTTTTACTAAGTCTGTTACCACTCTCATCTTTCGAAAATTTGTTGACATCTATTCTCTCCCCTTCTATTCTCATTGCCTCAGTGGAATTTTATAATTTTTATTTCTTTAAATTTGGGGTGGTTTCTAGACAAAGCAGAAATAAAGGTATATTTCAATTTTCTATCAAGGGATGTGAAGGACCTCTTTAAGGAGAACTGCAAACCACTGACCAAGCAAATAAGAGAGGACACAAATAAATGGAAAAACATTCCATGCTCATGGATAGGAAGAATCAATATCGTGAAAATGGCCATACTGCCCAAAGTAATTTATAGTTTAAATGCTATCCTGATCAAGCTACCATTGACTTTCTTCACAGAATTGGAAAAAACTACTTTAAAGTTCATATGGAATGAAAAAAGAGCCCATATAGCCAAGACAATCCTAAGCAAAAAGAACAAAGCTGGAGCCATCATACTACCTGACTTCAAACTATACTACAAGGCTATACTAACCAAAACAGCATGGTACCGGTACCAAAACAGATATATAGACCAATGGAACAGAACAGAGGCTTCAGAAATAATGCCACACAGCTACAACCATCTGATCTTTGACAAAGCTGACAAAAACAAGCAATGGGGAAAGGATTCCCTATTTAATAAATGGTATTGGGAAAACTGGCTAGCCATAAGCAGAAAACTGAAACTGGATGCCTTCCTTATACTTTATACAAAAATTAACTCAAGATGGATTAAAGACTTAAAGTAAGACCTAAAACCATAAAATCCCTTGAAGAAAATTTAGGCAATGCCATTCAGAACACAGGCATGGGCAAAGACTTCATGACTAAAACATCAAAAGCAATGGCAACAAAAGCCAAAGTTGACAAATGTGATCTAATTAAAGTAAAGAGCTTCTGAATAGCAAAAGAAACTATCATCAGCATGAACAGGCAACCTAGAGAATGGGAGAAAATTTTTGCAATCTATACACCTGACAAAGGGCTAATATCCAGAATCTACAAGGAACTTAAACAAACTTACAAGAAAAAAGCAAAAACCCTTTCAAAAAGTGGGTGAAGGGTATGAACAGACACTTCTCAAAAGAAGACATTTATATGGCCAACAAACATAAAAAAAAGGTCATCATCACTGGTCATTAGAGAAATGCAAGTCAAAATCACAAAGAGATACCATCTCACACCAGTTAGAATGGCAATCATTAAAAAATCAGGAAGCAACAGATGCTGGAGAGGACATGCAGAAATAGGAACACTTTTACATTGTTGATGGGAGCGTAAATTAGTTCAACCATTGTGGAAGACAGTGTGACGATTCCTCAAGGATCTAGAACCAGAGATATCATTTGACCAAGCAATACCATTACTGGGTATATACCCAAAGGAGTATAAATAATTCTACTTTAAAGACGGATGCATATGTATGTTTATTACAGCACTATTCACAATAGCAATGACTTGGAACCAACCCAAATGCTCATCAATGATAGGCTGGATGAAGAAAATGTGGCCCATATACACCACTGAATACTATGCAGCCATAAAAAAGGATAAGTTCATGTCCTTTGAAAGGACATGGATGAAGCTGGAAACCATCATTCTCAGCAAGCTAAGACAGGAACAGAAAACCAGATACCGCATGTTCTCACTCATAAGTGGGAGTTGAACAGTGAGAAGACATGGACACAGAGAGGGGAACATCACACACCAGGGCCTAGTGGAGGGATAGCATTAGGAGAAATATCTAATGTATATGATGGGTTGATGGGTGCAGCAAACCACCATGGCACCATAGGTATTGTTGTATACCTATGTAACAAACCTGCACGTTCTGCACATGCATCCCAGAACTTAGAGTATATATATATATATATAAAAATCCTATTGACCTTAAAAAAAATCAGATGAAATTAGCTCTTTAAATGTTTTGTCCTAGCTCCCATCCATTGTCATGTTTTCTGTGGCCACGTTTAGGCTTGTTCTCAGATCTGTATTTCCAATCTAAATCCCATTTCTATTCTATTATTATTACTACTACAAAAATAGTAATAAAAACAAACATTTAAATAATATCTAATAAATACCAACTATTCTTCTAAGAACTTGACATGTATAAACTCATTTAAGCTTCAACTCTGTGAAATAGGGTATCAGTTATGTATTGCCAAAATAACGCTATATAGCAAACTACCCCAAAACATAAAACTGTAAAAACATAATTACAACAATAGACCTTTTTATCCTTTCTCACAAGCCACTGTTTTTGCTGATCTGGGCCAAGTTCAAAAGACATTGACTTGGCCCACTCACCTGTGGACAGTCAGCTGCCTTGTTGGATGGGTGCTGGGAGTATAAGATGGCCTCAGTTAGGACTGCTTGGCTGTTCTCTAGAAGTTCTCTCATTTTCACAATGCTAGCCTGGACTTATTTCCATTGCCATAGGAGGGTTCTAACAGAGAGAAAGAGAGCGGAAGCAGGCAATGCTTCTTAAAGCCTAGGTTTGGAATGCACACTGTTACTTCCCACGTATGGTATTGGACAGAGCAAGTGAAAACACCTAGTGCCAAGAGTATGCATCCAGGAAGGGGTAAAGAACAGGACTAGTTTTGCCATTTATTAAGGTATTATTATTAATCCTTATTTTAGAAGAAACTGATATATAGAGGAGTTAAGCAACTTGCTCAAGGTCGTGGACTAATGAAACAATGGCACTAGTATTTAAATACTGTCAGTCTGGTTTCATTCTGTGCTGTTAACTTCTACATGGTGCTGTCAACTTCTACATGGTGCTGTCTCTCAGCTGAAGGAACGATAGAGGAGGAAAGGCAAAAGGCAACAATGGGCTTTGAAGTAACTCTACTGAGATAATTAAAAGACCACATAAAAGAAGGAAAACGTATCTTACTTCAGGAATTCAACACTAAGAATCCTACTCCCTTCGTGAAATCAGAAAAGGTTTGCATGAACCCTGTGGGCCTTTGAAAGAGAGAAGGCATACTGTTGATGGTCACCAACTTACTGAAGCCTGCAGCTTGCAGGAACCCATCTCATCAGAGTAACTGAAAGAGAACACAGTATCCAAAAACAAAAACAACAAAAGTCACGTGCTGGGATAAGTTCTTGATAGTGTGAATAGTCAGAAAAAAATGTTCTGAAACTTCTTGTCCCAGCTGCGTTATTAACTGTGAATTTCATCATATGGTTGATTAAGTTGCTTTATAAGACTAAATTTTTATAAGATGTGTACATAGGAATATGACTTCCCTCTCCTAAGTTAACATAACAGGTATTCCCAAATGTGTTGTGAAGTCGACATTCTTGTTCTAATTTATAGTTGTATTGCTCCCTGCAATAGCATCTTCTTTCATTTCCCAGTCTCCAGTTTTTCCATTTTGTTTACAGTAGCCAGAGAAATCTATCAAGATGCACACTTGATCACAGCATCCTTCGGTAAATCACCATTATCTTCATACTGACAAAGGTCAGTCTTTAAGGACCTTTATCAGGTGTCCTCTCTTTAGTTCCCCAACCTATTTCTTACCATCCTTTATCCCCCAGCTAAATAACTTGGAGAATTCCAAGTGCGTCATCCACTGTATTAGTCTGTTCTCACATCGCTAACAAAGACATACCTGAGACTGGGGAATTTATAAAGGAAAGAGGTTTAATGGACTCACAGTTCCGCAGGGCTAGGGAGGCTTCACAATCATGGCAGAAGACAAAGCAAGAGCAAAGGGAAGTCTTACATGGCAGCAGGCAAGAGAGCTTGTGCAGGGGGAACTCCTGTTTATAAAACCATCAGATCTTGGGAGATGTGTTCAATACGATGAGAACAGTGTGGGGGAAACCACCCCCATGATGCCATTATCTCCACTTGTCTCTGTCCTTGACACATGGGAATTATTATAATTCTAGGTGAGATTTGGGTGGGGACACAGAGCCAAACAATATCATCCACCTTCATGTCTCTTTCTCTTTACTCACCTGCTTTCTTGACAAGAAATATCTTCATCAGCCCTTCCTTCCTTCCCTCCCTCCCTCCTTTCTTTCTTTCTTGCTTGCTTGCTTTTCCTTCCTTTTTCTTCTTTATTTCCTTTGCCAATTTGAGAGATTGGCAAGGAGAGTAATGCTGGAATTGGAGACACATATAACTAATACCAGCCAAAATAATTGTGAGCAGAAGTGATATGCCTTCTGAGCCAAGGCAGAGAAAAGATTATATGTGATTCTCAGACCTCTTCTCATCCTCATTGGCTAAGAAGGGCATAGGTCCCAGATGGAACAGCTATACGTTAATGGGGCCTTCCTCCATTTGGATCCCTAAGTAACTGAAATGGAGCCCCTCTCCAACCTGTGATAAAATTGTGCTACAAAGGAGAACTCAATTTTCTTGTGCTAAAATACTGAGATTTGGAAATTAATGTGTGCTGCATTATAACCTAGGTTATTATAAAGATATTATTGAAAATTACTTTTAATATTCATTTTTGTCATTATTGGTGAATTTGAAGTTTCATATAATTATTGAACACTTATATGTCATTTATATATTTATTATACTTAGTTCTTTGGCAAAATGCTGTTTATGTCCTTTGCCTATTTTTCTACTAGACTGTTTATGTTGATTTATAAAACATATTTATATATTAGGCTACAGTAACCCTTTCATGTCATTGGTACTGTTTCCAATTTATTAACTGCCTTTTATTATCACTTTATGATGTATTTTATGTCCAAAGGTTTAAAAATTATATACTGAGTAATCGATAATTATTTAAAAATTTTGTTCTTATTTTATGAGAAAGGCCTTCTAAAATCTGATAGGTTGGTTTTTCTCTGGATATACTATTTTCTATTTTTTAAAACATGAAATTCTATACTCCATTATGATTTATGTTGTTGCATGCTATCTGGTCGGAATATAGCTTTGTAATGAATACATTCGTCTTAAAACTGACTTGGCTTTTTCTCCTAAATTAAAAAGACAACTCTGATGATCTGCTTTTGAGTTATTTCTTAAGCTACCTTCTCATGATGTTAAATATCCATTCAGAGGATTCAGGACACCTTGGCCACTTGGCTCCCCCCGGAGGTCTGTCCACTCCAGAGTTGCAGAGCTCACCAAAGGTGTACAGGCAGGAAGCAGGGACCTTTGTGGAAGTCAAAAGGGGAAATGCCTGACTCGGCAATGCAAGCAGGTTGTGAGTAGAACAGGAAACAGTTCTCTTCCTCAGTACCTCTTTAGTCAGCAATTTATTTATTCACTGAGTCATTCAGACTTTTCTGTGGTAGTAAAATAAACTGAAAATCGAGAAGAATTTTGCCAGGCGAATGAGAAACACCCTTGATTTTTTTTGCAGTTGTATAAGTGAAACAATAAGTAATTTACAGTCATTGAGACTTCCACTATGCTTAGAGAAAAACACACATAGATATTAAAAACTTACCTCACTATATTTTTCCTTACATGGTGTGTTCTAAAATTTATATTAGGATATAATACTTGGTTCTCTCACCAAGTACATGTAGATGTTCCTCCTTTAACACAAACGTCTAATGAGAATCACAAGATCTATAAAAGCCTATAAAACTGAGATTCTACAAATCTCACTCAGAAATGTGTAATTAGAAGTATGTCTGAGTTATAGTGGTGAGGTATGGGTTTGTGTGTGCATGCTTTCACCAGAAAGGGGGAGAGAGAGAGAGAGAGAGAGAGAGAGGAGAGAGGAGGTAGAGTGAAAAGAAAAGAGAGTTATAAATAGAGATGATAGAGAGAGACTGAGAGACAGAAAGAGAGAGGACATAGAGGAGGAATCAGAGAGAGACTGAGAGAAAAACCTAGAGACAGACAGAGATAGGCAGCAAGACAAAGAGTCAGAGACACACACACACACACACACACACACAGACACACACACACACACACACAAAGAAACAGAGAGGGCAGAGAGAGAGAGAGAGAAAGAGGGGAGAGAGAGAGAGAGACGTTGAGAGAGAGAGTGACACAGGTATACACACAGGGGCCCAACCAGATGCAGCCTGGTCAGAGGTAGGTTTACTTACCAAGTCAATAGTCTTCTGCTTTAAAAGCAGGTCTTCCTCATTCATTAAATGGACCATCCCACCATCTTACCTTAGCCTGACTCACCTTACAAATAATTTTTGATGGCACTGGGCTGTGATAGTTCTGGAAAGAAGGAAGATGGATGTTCTTAGTACCGCCAATACAGAGAGCTGATAATAGCAACCACATTACCAGTTTGGTTTTTTTTTGCATTTGTAGAAAACAAATGCAAAAACAGGTCCTATGATGCTAGCTCAAAGCACTAATCTTTATTTTGATTTCCCAGGAAGTTGCAAGTGAAACTCTACATGGAATTGGTCTGTTGGTTTAATATTAGAGAGAAGTAAAAATGATGGGCTTTAACTCTATCCGTTATTGTTTTGTGAATTTCCTTGTGTTTTAATATCTAGAGGAAGGTGACAAAAAACACACACGCAAAAACGATATTTTGTGCATTAAATACAAGTTTTCCAAATATTGACAGAGTTATATTTCTAAACTTAGTGCACAAACCATTTTTAAACATCTTGTTCTATTTTTCCAATTTTATCTTTTTGAAGATTATTAATTATCTACTATGTTTCAGGTATAGCCCTAAGCAGTGGGGATAAATCAGTGAACAAATCAGCAAATATTTGTGCCTTTATGGGGCTTCTATTCTGGTATGGGGAGATAGACAATGAAACTTAATAAATGATTAAGTTGCATGGTATTTAAGAAGGTTACAAGTACTATGAAGAAAAATAAAGCAACATAAGGTGGCTAGGGAATAACCAGAGGGTTAAAGGTTGCAGTGAGGATTCTGGAGTTAACTGAAAGTAGAGTCATAAGAATTTGTTAACAGATTGGGTGTAGGATGTAGAACAGCAAGTGCAAAGGCCCTGAGATAAAAAAAAATTTCCTCATTTATTTCAATAACACCAGGAAATCCATTGTGGCTGAAGAAGAAAGATCAAGGGGAAGAGAATTAGCAGAGGAGATCAGAAGGGTAATGGTGGGGCCAGAAAAGTAGGACTTTGTCGGCAATTGTAAGAATTTGAGGGGGTAGGTATTTATGGCACTGGTTTAAGCAGAAGAGTGACACGATATTACACTTTAAACTGATCACTCTGGTTGCGTTGCTGAGAACAAGCTGGAGTGTGTAAATGGTGAAAGCAGGAAAACCAGTCTGGAAAATGGTGTGATAATCCAGGTAATAGAAGTTAGTGCTTATTCCAGGGTAGTAACAGTGAGGATATTAGGAAGAGGCCAGATCCTATGATTATTTGAAGGTAGGGTAACCAGAATTTGTTATTAGATTGGATGTAGGGTGTGAAGAACAAGGGGGAGTCAAGGATTAGTCCAAGGTTTTATATGTCAGCACCTGAGTGATGATAATTTTATTAACGGAGATGAGAAAGGGGAGCGGCATTTGGGAGAGAAGAAAATGTTTGTTTGGATATGTTCATCCAACGTGTAGGTGTCATTTTAGACCTTCAGGTATATGGATGTGGCATTCAGAGGAGAATTGTGAGCTACAGATAGAAATTTGAAGGTTGTCTGTGACTGGGTGATGTTGAAAACTATGAGTCAGGATAAAATGACCAATGCAGTGAAAGTAATTAGAGGAGAAGCTAAAGGACCGAGCTGTGGCGCACTTGGGCATTAAAAGGTCTAGGAGAAGAGGAAGGGCTTACACCGGAAACTGAATAGAAATAACCAGTAGGAGAGGAAGAAAATAAGGAGCTTGTCTTGAAAGCCAAGTAATGAGCCATTTTAAATGTTTCTAGGTAATCAAATAAGGTGAAAGCTAAGAACCTGCCAGTGGTTTAGCAATATGGAGGTCACTGAAGACTTTGATCTAGCCATGGTTCAGCAGAGTGACAGGAGTAGGAGAAAGGGAGGATATGAAGGTACAAGGAGCAGAGAAATGAATGTGTTTCATTTAAAAAATTAGTTTCAGCTGGGCAAGGTGGCTCACGCCTGTGATCCTAGCACTTTGGGAGGCCAAGGAGGGCGGATCACCAGAGGTCAGGAGTTCGAGATGAGCCTGGCCAACATGGTGAAACCCCATCTCTACTAAAAATACAAAATTAGCTGGGCCTGGTGGCGTGCACCTGTAATCCCAGCTACTCGGGAGCCCGAGGCAAGAGAATCACTTGAACCTGGGAGATGGAGGTTGCAGTGAGCCAAGTTCGTGTCATTGCACTACAGCCTGGGCAAAAACAGTGAAACTCCACCTCAAAAAAAAAAAAGAAAGAAAGAAAGAAAGAAAGAAAGAAAAAAGTGTTTCATATGGTAGAAGTAACAGTACACTTGTATGCTGATGGAAATGATAACATATAGAGATGGGGAAATTGATGTTGCAGGAGAAAGAAGAGAGATTTGGGGAGCTGGTTCCTTGAATAGGTTAACCGTAACCTAAGGCAACATAGTGAATAATTGAGGAGTTGCCCTTGGGTAAGAATGCAGGCAGTTTATCTATAACAAAGGAAAACAGAGTGAAGGTAGTTACTAGGTGCAAATATAATGATGAGAGCTTGTTAGAGTGTCTTCTGTTGCTTCAGTTTATTTATATATATTTTTTTGAACAAAGTAGAAAGCAGAGCCATTGGGTGAGAGTGACAATAGAAGAGGTGTTGAGCATGAGGAGGGAGAAAGACATTTATGAAAATAGTCATCCAGAGAATGGATTAGATAATCAGCACATGCAAGTAATGTAGAGGTGGGGCTGCATGACGGGTGTCCTTCTGACCATTGTTGCTCAGGGTAGTTCAGTACTTCCAGGCTGGTCAAAAATTAGTAGAGTTCTGCTCTTAGTCTCTCTCCTCTTCTGCCTCTGCTTCCCAAGGAGTTCAGCCAGAACCTCTGTCTCTTTCCCTGCCTAAACTGAGCTGCTTGCACTCCTGTGATTTATATACCATCCTTGTCTCCAGTTGTTCACACTTTGTAACTTACTGTTATTAGTTATTATATTAAAAATTAATGCTGTCCATGGAGGTTATGATTGGCTAAGCTTGGATATATAACTAGATTTAAAAGAAGGAACTGTTATCTCTGAATCAAGTTTGTGGATTGGAATTATGGAAACATGATTATAAGTTAATGTAACCATTTTAAAATAAGCAATAGATAGCATCTGGCCATAAAGACCTTTTATTCTGGATATTTAATGAATGGGCAAGAAGGATATATACTTTTGTGAATGTGTAGGAAATGTCTTCTTTACATATTTCTGTTCTTTGGTGAACAGGAAAGAAAGTGAGGGCTAGAGGAGCCCCCAGAAAGTGGAGCATTTTCCCATTTTTACTTATATCAACTTAGCAGAAAATAAATGCCTTATGGCTGTAGCGGAATAGTCAGTACCAGATGAGCGAAGCTAAATGCAAGAATTTGCAGTGCCAAGCTCCACCGAATCCCTAAACAGCCACTGACCGATCTTGATTCCAAGTTCAACGTATTAGTGTGAGTTGAATGAGTGTTTCATTAATACTCTAAAATCTAAGTCAAATTGAACAAAGATCATGAATAGCTAAGAATTACTCTTGTAAGTATAATGAGGAGTAGAACGGGTAAGAGAAGTCAGGAAAAAATAAAGAAACTGTGGACTCAAAGTCAGAAGTCCTGAGTTTTAAACATGGTTTTGCCATTGACTAGAAACCTTAAACAAATCCTGTAACCAGTAAAGCCCTGAACTTCTTATTTGAAAATGCAGGCTTGAGTTAGATGTCTTCTAAAGACTCTTTTAGCACTAAAAAGTAATTCTATGAAGTTAATCTTTATTAAATTGTCTTATCTATTAAAATATAATGATAAAATATCTTGATGTTTATCTTAATGTATTTAGTTTTTTAGTTTTTAAAGAAAATAGGTCTTTAGTTTTTGATAATTAATATGTTTTGTTTTTGTTAATAAAATTAACACTTTAAAAAAATACAGAAATCTAAACAATAAGAAAGTGAAGGAAGAAAGCACATCCAGTCCTATGTCTCCCTAGTAATGTTTGATGTTTGTAAGGCTACCATATAACAGTTGCTATTGTGAATGAAATATCTTTGTTTTATTTTAACTAGTTGTTTCCTTATTATAGAAAAGCTACCTTTAAAAATACTAATTTCTCAACTGATTGTCTTTGCTGAACTCTCTAAGTTACTTTTAGTCAATATTCTTGTTTTCTTTATGTAGCAAACTATTTTGTCTACAAATAAAATTTAACAAATTTTGAGTCTTTATCATATAATGCCTCCTTTTGATTGTTTATACTTAATATTCTTAGAAAACATTTTTCAGTGATTCCTTTGGCTAGCTTTCCTAGAAGAATATTATTAGTAATGGTGAGAGAGAAAATTTCTGGCTGTTAGTTTAAGCTTTTTTTTTCTTTAAAAAATATGCTAAAGGTCTTTATTAAGAAGTTTTAAAAAAAGTTGAATAGGCATTTGATGACTTTTTAGAACATATGGTGACTACAGATTCTTTTCCTCAGTCTATTTGTGGGAGAAATTATATTAACAAATCTTTTAGCATTAAACCATTTTTATGTTCTGCAATGAACATCAGTTGGTCATTAATAGAATTTCAGTACAGCAATGGATTACAAATATTAACATCTTATTACTAATTTTTGCTGTTAAATTTATGTTGAAATGGGTCTGGGGTTTTATTATTTGTAGGTTGTTTTGGTTGAGTTTTGCTTCGGGGTTACATGAATTTTGTATAAAATCATGTGAAGCCTTCCTTCTTCCTCTGAGCTCATAGAAGTAAACTCTTCCCTGAAATCTGAAAGAATTCTTCTACAACATTTTGTTGTTCTATAATAGCTCTGTCAGTTTTCTTTTATTATTGATTTATTTTGGTCCACTTATATTTTTCCACAAAAAAATGTCTTTCAAACAGATTTTTAAACTTATATGAACAGGGTTGAATACTTTACACAGAGTTAATAACTTTCCTGGGAACTTGAAAAATGGAGAATTATCTGTATATGATAGCTTATATTATTGTACAGCTTTATAATTACCTTGACACTACAGTTTCTCCTTAAAATTTTATCCTCTTTCCTGAAATAAATCTATTTGCAAAGAATACGCCTAATCTATGTTTCACATGCTGTGCTTTCTGCCATATTTTTAAAACATTTTTTTTTTTTGCTTGTACTCATCTTTGAATAAAGACTGTACAAGACAGCTTTTGTTCCTAAAATAACATGGATAGATCATTCATGGTTTCTCCTGTTTACCTGGCTGCCATTTTAATTCATCCTTCAAATTTAAATATAAATTCAGTCATGCTGCACCTGGGCAGGTAGGAAAAGAGCTATGGCCATGCAAAGCTTTATTTCTGCATTTTTTCTCTATATATTTGCTAGGAAAGAATGCACCAAATTTCAGTTCTAGTGTGTTGTGTGAGATCTAGTGTGTGTGGGTTGGTGGAGGGAGCTAGGAGGAGAAGAGGGGAGTGGGTTGTGTGTGGCCTGCGTTGAAGGTACTAAGGAGTATGCCTTTGATTTTGGATTATTCAGGTATGTTAACTAGATAGATTATAAGTCAGGTTGGTTAAAAGCCCTGGGGCCTGTGGGCTTTCAGCGTGCTGAAGCTACATTTTTTCTCCCATTTCTTGAGTAATAACTTTTACATCTGTGAAAATTGCTCAATCTTGCTTCAAAAGTCTCTAGATTCTGAGGATCCCTTTCCCACTGCCATGTTGGAGAAAATAGTTACTTTTAAGAAAAGTGGAATCAATGAAGAAACAAACAATAACAATATACGGAGGAGTGGTTGTTCATTTTTCTGAGTTTGATTAGCTTGGGGCAGCGACAGTCTATGGCAGAGACCCATTTCCCCCAAAGCTGTCTGTGCTTCCAGCCAGTTCTCCAATTACTTACTGTTAGTGAGAAGTGTCAGAATTTGCTCTAATTACTTCCCTGAAAACTGCACATTTTCAGGAAGGGAAGTTGCATATCAATCTTCGATGTTTTTCTTCACGCTGATTCAAATTTACTGTATCTAGCAGAGATTCCTGCCAGAAAGTTGTGATACACGGTAAGTGTCCCTTATCTGAAATGCTTGGGACCTCAGTGTTACAGAGTTCAGGTTTTCTTCTGGATTTTGAAATATTTGAATATACATAATGAGATATATTGGGGATGGGACCTGAGTCTAAACACAAAATTCATTGATGTTTCATATACACCCCATGACCCTCGTCTGAAGGTAATTTTATACATTATTCTTAATAATTTTGTACATGAAACAAATTCGTGTACATTAAGTCATCAGCAAGCAAAGGTGTCACTATCTCAGCCACTCATGTGGACAATCTGTGGTTGTTTGGTATAACTGTCATGATGTGCTCAGAAAAGATACATTGCAGCAGAAGCAGGTGGGGGGGGGGTCTTTTTTCTCTTGGGGATGCTTGGTAAACTGTGTGCTGTGTGTCTGTGCTTTGACTGTGACCCATCACATGAGGTCAGGTGTGAAATTTTCCACTCGTGGTGTCATGTCACTGCTCAAAATTTTCAGATTTTGGAGCATTATGGATTTTGAATTTTTGGATTAGGGATGCTCAATCTGTGTATCATTGGCAGTATTTATTGGTTTAAGAATTGATGAACATTTTGTTTCTCATTTGTATTTATTTTTAGTTATCTCTCTCAGTTTCTCAGAGGAATCCTTTATAAGAAATTCTCACAAGAAGTAACCTATTTTTTTCTTTTATATAAAAACAAGTGAGTAAAACATCTATAGGGCGCTTGATTATTTGAACCCTGAGACAGTTAACATTTCAAGTAGCAGTTCTCAAAATATGTTCTACAGAAGTCGGTTCCAAATCGTGTTAACAGCATTTATAGGAGCAAAAGTTTCCATGGTCAAAAAAATGTTAATAACAGAAGTGAAACAATATTAAACATGATTCTTTACTGAAGGACGTTTTTTTCAGATAGGGAGCTTGGTTGTTAATTTTTGTTGTTGTTGTTTTTTAACCTTTATTTTAGGTTTGGAGTTACATATGAAGATTTGTTACATAGGTAAACAGGTGTCACGTGGGTTTGTTTGACATATTATTTCATCATCCAGGTATTCAGCCCAGGACCCAGTAGTTGTCTTTTCTGCTCCTCTCCCTCCTCCCACCCTCCACCCTCAAATAGACCCCAGTGTCTGTTGCTTCTTACTGAAAGACTTTTCAGCACCATGAATATGCAAAAGAACACTGTGAACTTACAAGACAGACATAATATGCAGTATTTCCTAGAACTTATTTAATTTAGTGCCCTTATTTTTTCTATAAATTATCAGAAAGGAAAAATAAATTAGTATAACAAACACCAAAAACTACTGGTATAACAGCATCATTTCGCAATTATAGGTGAAGCAGTTAAGAAGAAATAAAAAGTCTTCTAAATGTTAGCCTTGCAAATTTAATTATAAAAGTAATCCCTCCCTCCCTTTTCCTGTATCTGTGCAGCAAATATTTGGCCCATGCTTAATTCATGATCCCATAAATGTGTGAAAGGAAATTGTAATACGAGGGAAATGATATGTTCACCTGCTACTTTATAAGGATATTGTGAGAATTGAATGAAAAATGCACGTAAAGTGCTATAAAAATCCCATCACTTTACAATGAAACCTATAGACCAACACTTTTAAAACATGCTCTTTTAACATAGGATGTGTGGTGAGTCATTGTGAGAATATGTTGCAAATTACTAATATTTCTAAGTTTGTGATATTATATGGTTTTTAAAAATACAAAATGTAACGTGTTCTAGGTTATGTTTATTATGATGTCATTGTCACTGATTTCTGACATATTCTCTCAAGTGGGAGGAAAGGGAAAAAGTTTTAAGTACTCTGTTGGAAATTGACCTGGGAATGGAATGTCTCTGGTGTTGCTATTTAGCATATGCTGTGATTTGAACGTGTCCCCCAAAGTTCACTTGTTAGAAACAATCCCGATGCAATGGTGTTGAGAGGTGGGACCTTTAAGGTAAAACTAGGCCATGAGGGATCTGCCTTCCTGTGTGGCTTAACACCATTATTGCAGGTGAGTATTCCTGATCAAAGGATGTGGTTGGCCTCCTTTCCTCTCTCTCACCTGAGTGCTCTTTTGCTCTCCTGCCGTAGGATGATGCAGCAAGAGGGCTCTCACCAGGTGCCAGCCTCTTGATCTTGGATTTCTCAACCTCCAGAACTTTAAGAAAATATATTTCTGTTTATTACAAATTATTCAGTCTTAGATATTCTGTTATAGAAGCACAGAATGAACTAAGACAGCATATGAGCTGTAGCCCATAAAGGTTCTGAATTAAAGCAGCAGAACCCTCCACCTTGAAGCAGCAAACATTCACAATTTTGATAAATCAAGAGCAACCCCCTAATTGCCCAATGTGGTGACTGGTAATATTGCTGACACATGGCTTTGAGTCACATGTGTTGTGAGGCTGCAAAGTAGGATGTGTCACTTGGCTTTTGGCAGATAATATGATTTAGGAGAAAGTCTGAAGTTTATACCAGTTGTCCTGATGAAGGCACTCATTTGGCTACTATATTTTTCTGTGAATAGAATATGAACATTTGTAGAAGACAATTTTTGTTTGCATAAGTTCATGTTAACAGAAACCATTAGGCCACATGTTCCACAGAAGGGTTTTTTTTTTTTTAGGGGCTAAAGAATTTTTTATATTGGAAAAGTTATAAGGTAGCTGAAACGTAGGCCTGTGAGGATGAAATCAGACAATACTGAAAAATAGATGTGAACACACATATGCACACATCTACTGCGGAGATGCCAATCTCAGTATTTAAAGGCATAAAGGCACACTGACTTTTCTACTTAGCTGTGTTTTAGCAAACTTTGTGATTAAGGGCAGACTTGCTCTACACTTTGACTAACCTAAGTGCATCTAGCCAGAAAAAGAAGGGCATTGTGCCTACGTATTAGCAGCCCATTACATTAAACTGTGACATGGCACAACCCCTTTGGACAGATTTCATTAGGGCATACTCTCTTGCAGACATCAGAAATACAAAGCCAAGTAGAACTTTGTATGCTAATTCTCCATTGTATGCTAATTCTCCATTGTCCCTTATTTATTTTGATTGGCAGATATTCTTTTATATACACTAAAAATATCAAAATGTTGACAGAATCTTGTTGTTTCACACTTTCTCTTTGGAAAACATGTTGCAACAAAGCACCTTTTACCTACGTCTACCAAGTGCTATTGCATTGACAGTTTGACTAGCTATTTGGGAGTGAGCCCTGCCAATGGCTGCTTCAGGATTTAGCACATTTTGTTTGAAAAACATTTGGTCATGATAGTCAGAATCTCAGGAAGACCCACAGATTCTATTTAGCACACAGTGTATCTGATAGGACTACTGCATTAATGGAAATGAAAAGCTAATTGCTGTTAATATGTAATGTACATGGGATTTACAGTTTGTAGAATGTTTTTCTCATACTAACTCTCAATGTTGTTGTGGTAGAAATAACTTGGAGTTATATGCTTGGATGCAGGTATCCCAACTGAATCTTTGGCATTAGGCTGGCTGAGGTCTTGTTGGAATCTGGGGATTCAGCCAGAGTCGGGTTGAGAACACTGACCTTACTGTCAAAACTACCCCATTGGAGGGTATGACCGGAAGGAGTTGTGACTGGAGTAACTGGAATACTGAATCCCTCTCATTCCTAACTCTGGAGGTGTGCACACCAAGTGATACCACCCTACAAGTGAGGGCACAAAAAGTGTGATTCACAGCATGGTTGGAAAGGTGGCCAGGCTGTCAGTCTTTCCTAGAGAGCTAAACCTTGATAGCAGGACCCTCATCCTATGGTACTGACTCAAAAAGAAAAGGACTGACCTACATATGGTCTCTGGACTCAGGCACACGACCCAGAGTTCAGAAAAGCCTTCAAATCCTAGCGGGAAACAAAGTGTTAGGCAAAGGGACAGGGCAGACTATGGAGTGGAAGTCAGCATTTCAGGAGAAAATCAGGTCCTGTGCTTACAGGATCAATCACCAGGGCTTGGCCATGGCAAAGCACTTCCTGGCATCATTGTGTAAGTACTCAGTCCTATGTAGTAATGGTAGAGGGCTATAGACAATGACAAGACCTGATCCAGTTAAAGGGCAGAGGCTGCACATTAGGATTCCCCCAGGAGATTTTAGGGTTAAGAAGTGTATCACTGAAATACTTCATTCTGCTTGCTACTCTGCAGAAGAATTGATAGAAGAATTAGGTAAAACAAAAAGTTGTTGAGACACATTTGTTGTAATAATGGAAATGTTATTATGTAGTATCTTCATTGTTCTTGATGCCCTGTTTGTTTGTTGTTTGTTATACTTTGGAATATATGTTATACTTTGTACTGTTTGTGAGTCCTAGGATGTTTTCTCAATTTCCATTTTACTTTCTAGAATTTAATTTTAAAATTTTGCACTATTTAAAAACATACAATTTGTTTCTAAGGAATTTGCCTTCTCTGCTTGTTTTTGCCAGGTTGTTTCCAAACACATTAACTACTATTGTGACAATAAACACGAGTCAGAGTTGAATAAAAAGAATTCTTTTTATCATCATCATCATCATCAATCACTGTCATCACTATACCATGATGTCTATCATATTAAAAATAAGAAGGCTTTCGTAGTCTACAGGAAGTAATTTCAATGTAGATCATAGCTTTATATTTTATTTAAAAGTTCTTGGTATTACTAATATGAAAATTATATTTTATTCAACCACCAGAGGGAGCTCTCAAATATATGGATTCTAAAAGGGAAGGAGTAAAGTAATTAAGTAGGCAGCTTTGTATGTTTTATAGTTGAAAATCAAAGATTTCATCAGCTGTGTGTCATGGTTTTTGTGGGATCACATGTTGTGTCTTCGTACATCAAGTGCTTAAAATCTTGTCCTACTATAGATGCCACATCATTTTAATTAACAGCTATGAAATAATAATCTTGTTTTTATGTTTTTTTTTAAGTTTGAGTAATTGTTTTATTTTAACTTTATATTTTAATTTTGGACAATATTGATTGATGCCATGCTTTGCAAATATAATTATGCTTTCAGACCTCCTCTCTTAGGTCCCAGTTTTTCTTAAGTTGTGTTTTTATATTGTCCAATTTATAAAACTTATATTCTTTTTTATAACCGTAAATTCAATGCTGAGACATCTCCTTTTCATATTTCTTTGTTTTGATGTATTGCTTAACTTGCTAAATTTTATTGTCAAATAGTTTATTTGAGAAGGGTCTTTGGGTTCTAGAATCCTTGATATCTTTCATGTTTGAGAATGACTACTTGTTGCTTTACACATGTATGACAATAGAGTGGGTATAATATTGTGAGGTCATATTTTCTTTCTCTCATCTATGATTTAATATTCCCCCTAGGAAAATCAAGTCTTCCAATTTTTTTTCACTAATATTATGTGGGTGTGGAAGGGGAAGGAAGGAAATTATCCAACTGTTTCCTGCAGGCAGAGCAAGTCCTTACAGAGCAGGCTGCCCTCAGTGATGATGAGTTTTGGATCTCCCAGAACATCCCACCTCTTAAATGTGTAGCGTCTTGTAAGTATCCTTCCCAATCAAGTTTATTCATAGCTTACTGAGTTCTGTCTCTCCTTCTCTGTTAAATGGCTTTATTGAGATATAATTCATAAATAAAAAAACTGCACGTTTGATATGTGCAGTTTGATGTGTTTGGATCTATGTATACATTGGCAATACTATCACCACAATCAAGATAATAAACATATCCATCATCTCCAAAAGTTTCCCTGTGTCTCCTCAACTCCATACTTTTTTGTGTTAAAAGCACTTAGCAGGACGATCTGGGGAGGAGCAGTCCCTGGGATCACTGTGTTTATCTGTTGTCTCTGTACCCCACTTTAAAGTGTCCGAAAGTTTTCTCACACAGTAATGTAATCAACCCCATTTTGTGGCTGTGGAAATTGTCAGGCACAAAGGTTAAGCAAATTAGCCAAGGCCATGAAGCAGATGAGTGAGACACCTGGGAGTGGATCCAGGACTCACAACTGCTCAGTTGATATATTGCCTTCCATTGCTTCACAAGGCTGCGAGCTGTCCTGCTTCTTCCCAACACACTTGACTGAAGTCAGGTATTTAAGTTTCTATATCTAAGCTGAAGTCAACAGTATTTCCATAAGTAGGATCTTGTCACAACAGAAAAAATGAATTATAAGCAATGAATAGAGGTGAAATATATTCATTCAGAGTCAGTGTGAATACATTCCATCTTTCTTCACTTCCTTTAACCTCTCATTTTCTCCAGGCTGCTTACAAATGTATTCAATGTGTTAACAAAAAAATTTAATAAAGACATTGCCAGAATATCAGCATTGGGAACAAAGAAAAATACTTTCTATTTGGTGTTAGCATAACTGTGCATTTTAACTAGGTGTATATCTCTCTGTGTATAATTAACATGCTATTTGTAAATAAAGTCAAATATTAAATATATGAAGTCACCATTTTGATTTATGTTTTTCTACAAAGCACAACCACTCTCTAACAAATATGTATCTGACAGATTGATCAATTATGGTCTCTACCAGGTCAAATGAGCTCACTTCCCTTCAAACCTTACAAGCCTAAGCAATAATGTGGTCTCCCAGACACAAAGAGGAAACAGCAAGCTTCTCTACTCCATCGTGATTGTTTCCTGGGCAAGCGTGTTTCCCAGCTGCAATCATAGATGCCCCAAAATGATGCCAGTGTCAGACCCTGCCGTGCTGTAGCTCCCTTCAGGGGACATCTCAACTGCTATTTTCCCTTCCCCTAGTCCTCCACTGAACCTGCCACACCTTCTAAGAAAACGAGGGTTGGCTCTGTGCTGAACTGCAGGGGCCCCACACACACTGTAACCTGCAGGAACATAGAACATAGGCATTTGACTGCTGGCTCCTCAGCTTACCACAAGGGGCAGACACTGACTGAATAGAGGTCCAAGAAATAAATTCCTAAGGAAAAGCAGGGAGATACAAAAATGCAAAATATAAATGAATAAAATAAATTTTAAAACATGTATTCTGGTGCCGCCTTTAATAGTACATTTCGTGAGATGGAATTTATTTCACTTATTTACAAATAAACGACTCTTCATTATTGCTGAAGATGTATGAATGTAAGATTTAAAGCTAGAGTGATTTAAAATTTTTCTGCAGAAAACAACTTCTGGATAGTGTTCTCTTTTTTACATTTTGCATTTCAAATTCAATAATTCTATGAATATGTTTCATTCAAATGTCCCAGCTTTGTTATAATCCCCCAAATGAATAATGCATTTCTTAGAAAGTATCTTTTCCAAAGGAGAAAGCACTATGAACATTCATTTTAACTTCCTTTACCAGTCAGTGATTTTTATCCTTCACTATACATTTTAAAAGACCTGACAAAGGTTCATAAAACATTGTTATTCTTTATCAGTGGAGCTACATGCAAAATTCAAAATTCTCAAATCTGTGGGAAAGATTATGAAGAAATATTACTACTGCTTATCAATCTGCACAGACTTGCCTATGTTATCCTAACATTGTTTTTAGCATGGTGAAGACAAGGATAAACCATGAAGCCTACCTGCTGGGATCTGAAATTTTGCTTCACCACTTCCTATCTTGAGCATGTTACTCAATTTTTCTATACCTCAGTTTTCTCATGTCTAAAATGGAGATAATAATATTGCCTCTGTTGTTATGAAGACCAAATGAGTTACTAATATAAATTATGCCCACTAATTAAAAAAATAGAACAGTGCCTGATGGTTTTATTTTTAAATAAAATAAAACACGTATTTTTTACAGCATCACTATGCTCCAGGTCAATATTTCCATATTAGTGATCAGGTCTCTTTTCCTTACCTATCCAGAATTCTTGTGTTAGAGTTCCATTTGACAGTGAGAGGCATTAGGAAGCTATCTGGGTCGATTTTCTCATCTACAAAATGGTGATGATGATCTATCTTGTCTTGGAGGTCTAATGTGAAATGGAGTGAGGTTGCATAAATGAAGTGCTTAGCAAAGGATCTTACTGGTAGAAGGCACTCAATAAATGCTCACTGATAAATAGAAGTAACTATGTGCAAAGTCATCATAGAAGCTCAAGTTTCAAGAAGGTAAAATGACTAACATGGAAACAAAACAATTGTTTATTGAAAGGGTCAGATTGTTTTATCCTTTTATTATCAGATTGAAATTAGATATTTTCAATTCATACTTTCTAAAGGGACTATTCAGAGAGAATTTCTGAAAAATTTCATCCCTCCAGGGTTTTATAGACATTTCTTGACTTAAATACAATAAAAATAACAATAAATTTCTACTTACTGGGAAAGCCTTGTAGAAATACTGTTAAGGTTTACTTAGCAGTAAACAAAAGAGATTGAGCTACTTTTGTGTTTCTTGCTTATTTGTGTTACTCAGTGGTGAAGAATAGCCACTTATCATTTCCTTTGTGAGAATGATTAAGGAAAATGAAAAACATTTGTCTAAGCACAGTCAATTGCTAATAGCAGGTAAAGTCATGTGGTATGGAGTAGGCACCATCTCAATTTTAACAAACTAGTTTTTAGTATCAGATGACTGGCAATGAGCCTGAAAATCCTCCCCTCGTACATTATAGCATATTCAGTTAATGCCTTTGCAAATACTTATTGCTGCTGCATAAAAACTTTAGATACCCATAGGCAAATCCAGATAATTGAAAATTGCCTTAGTTCTGGTAAAAAATAAGTGTGATATCAGAACCGAGGGCTTGGTGGATGGCGGAACAGGTTGGACTTAGGAATGTAAGTTCTTGGGAACACATTAAGTCCACTGAGTTACGGCAAAGTATCTGGGAAATCCCCTGAAGCGGGCACTTGGTAGGAAATGAGCAGGCTCTGATGAAAGCTGCAGCCAATGAGCAAGAAATGCATGGAGAACAGGAAGCTGAGAAGTACTGGCCAGGAAGGGCTAATCTCAGGGCAGTCCCTCTAGCACCAGATAGAAACCATTCTGTCATATAATTTTGAGTTTATGGAAAGCACCTTAATACCCAGGAAGGCTGGTAAGGACAAGACAGAACAAAGACCTGCTGGGAAAGATATAGCCTTACTGGGGCATGATTCAGTTACTAAAATTGAGTTACGAGACAATAGTGTAAAATTGAAGGTTAAGACATAACACAAGAACAGTATTTAAAATTTATCTACTTAAGGAAAAGATAGGTTTTAAAATCTAGGTTAAGGCTGGACCTGCAGGTGACAGCCTTACTGTGAAGCATAATTAAAGCTACCGTCACCAATATCTTACCACAAATAAATGTGTGAGTTTCATAGAATGGTTTCCTTTAATGTCCTTCAGAAAGGCAGATGGTATAGAAAACCAAAGTGTAGTTCAGTAAAAGTCAAAATAGACCCATTCAGAAGGTATTCCATGGATCTCTGAGATCTGCTTTTATGCTAAGGAGTTTTTGCTTTGTGCTGGTAGTGCAAGACTACAGCCTGGGCCACACATCTCCTTTTATGAAGAGCAAAAGTTAGATTCATAAGTATACATGAATATGGAAGACTGGGGATTGGGAATAAAATAGTTTTCACTACCTAAACCAGGTAGTGAATGATGGAGGCAAAGTAGACTTGTAGTCTTCAGGGGGCAGACAACTTGGATTGCTTTTCTCTTTGTTGAATGTATTATTCTGGGTGCCACCAGTAGAATTGGAAGGCTGCTGAAATTCTTTCTAGTATAGACAGTTCAAATTAAGCACAGAGTTGACAGCATAAAGGATGACATAGGTGGGCCCTGGTGGCACCACGCCTTCTCTCAGGTGTGGGCAGCTATGCGTATAGTAAAAGCCTCATCCTGTGAAGGCTTGTTTGTTTTGCAAGAGAAGACAACACAGAAGAAATGGAAGAGAGGCAAAGGCTGGTACCTGAATTATTATGCAGGGTTCTGATACCCTCACTGTTTCCTTCAAAACAACTGGATCTCTGATCTGATCATTTTAAAACCACATTAAAATACAAAATTATTTAAATGCTGACATCAAAATTGTCCTTTCATTACTAATTGCATGGTGGAAAAAAATAGAATAGTGTTTTTCAAGAGAAAACGTTACCACTGAAAATCCCTATACCCAGCCAAATTATTGGTCTTGTGCTTTGGCAACAGAAAGTTCTTTTATCACATGACGATTCTCAGAAAATACACTGGCCACATTCACTTTTGAAAAAAATATTTCACCAAACAAGAGATTAAAATAGATATCACAAAAATGAGGAAGTTATAGTATACAGCTGGTAAGCATTGAAACTATTTGAACGTTGTTGTATTTAATCAACAGCTATAAAAATTCATGTAAATATAAAAACAATTATAAACAAAAAGATACATTGTATACATTAATATTAAATTGAACCTAATAATCCAGAATATTGTTTATTAAAACTAACAAGTGGGTTTGGCTTGGTGGCTTGGGTAGAGGAAGTAAAGCATGCTTCATTTCTCATCTATGATAGGAGGAAGTCAATAGTTAATACTTCTGTACTGATGTAGACAATTTTAAATGTATATATTACAGTATACATTTTAAATATTAAATTTTTAAGTAATCAGTAGAAACATAAAACAGGGTAGCTTCTAAACTGCTATAGAAATTAAGCAAACAAAATATCCATATAGGGAAAAACAAAGGAAACAGAAAGAAACCACAAAATAAACCGTGCATGAAATACAGTGATGTTAATATGATTAAATATTTCAGATACAACCATAAATTTAAAAAGATTAAACTCACTATTAAATCACAAAGATTAAAATGTGGCAACTCCAGTGTATCTAAATATGCACTCACTATACACAAGAGTTACTCCAAAACAAAAATAACAAAAAAGTAAACAATAAAAGGATGGACAAAGGTATATTCAGCAAACAAGAACTAAATAAAGGAGTGAGACTATTAATATTCATTAAAACGTAATTCCAAAACAAAACCAGCAAAGGGAAGAAAGATAAAAGTTACTATCTACACTGAAGATATAATAGACTCAAACTCCAACGAGCAAATAACATGGTTTTGACATATACAGAACAGAAACTGCTAGAGAAGAAGGAAAAAAAGTAAAACAATGCAATCATTTCAGGACATGTTATCACCACTTTCAATTTTTGACAGGTGATTGGACATAAAATAAGTAAGCATACATAATATAATAGATTTAATTATTAGAATGACAATTGACATTTCTTTCTTTAAAAATGTTTCATCCTTTTCATTTTTCTTAAAATGTTTATCAAATTGATGATACTCTAATGAAACGGAAAAAGTTCCCTTGTCCCCTTCTCAGGGTGTGCGACAGAGGGACTGGCTCGCTTCTTCAGTGCCCCACTGCTCAGACCTCTAGGGGAGTGTACAGACGGGCGGGGAGTGTACAGACGGGCAGGCTGTGGGGCTCCGACCTCACGGCAGTGTGTGAGGGTGAATGTTTATAACTCCTCAAGCCCCAGTGGGCGTGTGTTACAGGGTGCTCTTTTAGTTTTGCCGTCTATAGGCTTGTGTTAACCAGCTCAGTTAGACCTTCTACCTCGTCGCAAGGACAGAGGGCTTTCTATATGCTGGGTTCTTGCCTTGGTGTGCTGGAAGAATCGCATCACACCTGGGCTTGGAGAATAAGTGTAAGGTTTTAGTGAGTGGAAGTAGCTCTCAGCAGATGGGGGAGCCAGAGGGAGATGGTTTTCCCCTGGAGGCCTCTCTGCGGGCTGGGCTCTCCTTTGACTATACCAGCCAAACTCCGCATAGTTCCCCCTGTTGATGGCCTGCCCGCCTGCCGGTGTCTGTCGTGTGCTCTTCTGCTGGTGTGGGCCCCTCCAACGTCTAGCCGCCTGTGTCTTCTTCTGCTGATGTGTTCCTTACGACCCCCGCCGCTTGTGTGTCTGCCCAGTGGGGTCTCGGGTTATATTTATAGGCCCAGGATGGGGTGTGGCGGGCCAGGGTGATCTTGGAAAATTCAACATTGGGCGTGAAGGCAGGAGCGCCTGTCCTCACCTAGGTCTGTGGGCACAGGTCCGAGGGTGAAGCCCTAGCTAGAGACCACGCCCTCCTCTAGCCAGCACTTCCCTTCTCCCGCTCTGCATCATTTAAATGCACCACCCTCTTCCCTTCCCAGCACTCCTCTATCAGTAGACCATACAAGAAATCCCAATAAATTCCCCAATTTGGGAAATGTACAGGTCATATTTTAGAATAACGCTTGAATAAAACTCAAAATCAAACAATAATACTCACAACTTCTTAGAAATTAAAAGTTATCCTCTAAGGAACTCTTGAATCAAAGATGAATTTAAAATTAAAATTGCAGGGTTGCTATTTCTGGCAATAATGCAGAATACATGTCTGGAAAAGCCTCACTACAATGCAGATTTGTATGTGGGTAAAGTAAAACCATTTTTTTTTTAATGTGTTGACTATAACGTAAGGGGATCCTTGTGAGTTAAAAAAAAGAGAGTTAGCAAACTGATTGGGAAATAGAACTGAAATCTATAACTACCCAGCAGAATAGTTTCAGAAAAACAGGAAGCTTTCCCAGAAGACCAGGCCTTGGACCTAGGCAAAGAGAGAGAGGTTGAAAATAAAGCTCTTGAAGAAAGTTGAAAATTAAAAGGGCTAAAATATTAATAAAAGAGTAGATGGAAAAAAGCCAAGCAAAACAAAAACAACCAAAGAAAAACTTCTTAGGAAGAAAGGTAGAATACAAAAATACTTATTTGTTTTGGTTACTACTTTCAGTGGGCAAACAATAAAAAGGTTCTGGGAGTGTGTAACCACATTGGTTTGGTGTTCAAATTTACACTATTTCTGTGGATTAGGGAAACACAAGCTGAGAAATGAACTTAAGTTCCTTCAAAAGCAAACAAAATTATAGCATGCATAGCAAAAGACAAGTAAACAAACAGAAAGAAAGAACAAAATAAACATCATGAAATAAGATGCTGAGTTATGTTAGAAGGAAAGTGTAAATCTTCTGGAAAGGGATGTAACCTTATCCAGGCCTGGTGGACATTCCACCAAAAGGTTATACTGGATATAAATTCACAATCAAAATTAAAACACATACACAAAATTAGCCACACTGAATGAGAACAACTGCAACAGAAAATATGAAAAATAAGGATATGCAATAAAAATATTTTATAAAGAAACCAAAAAGAACTTGTAATGAAAAATATAATTGAACATATATCTAATAGGACTTTTAGAAAAAAATAATTGAGACAAGGAAAGAGAGGATCTATTTAAACAGATAAAGACTAAGATTTTTCCTAATCAATCAAAGGCATGAATCTCTGTATTAAAGAAGCATAAATGACTCTTTTTTAACTCTTAAGTTCAGAGGTACAACTACAAGTTTGTTACATAGGTAAACTTGTGTTATGGGGATTTGTTGTACAGGTTATTTCATGACTCAGATGTTAAGCCTAGTACCCATTAGTTATTTTTCCTGATACTCTCCCTTCTCCTACCCTCATTTCTCTGAAAAGCCCCAGTGTGTGTTGCTGTCTGCTATGTGTACATGTGTTCTCATCATTTAGTTCCCACTTATAAGTGAGAACATGCAGTATTTGATTTTCTGTTCCTGTGTTAGTTTGCTAAGGATAATGGCCCCTAGTTCCATCCATAGACAAAACCTAAATAAGTCTTAAGTAGATATAACAAAGATGAAATCCATACCGAAATTCATCCTTGTTTTCTAACAGATCACCAAAGGTAGAGAGATCTCTAAAAAGCCACAGAAAAATGATCCTACACATGTATAAAATTGACAGCAAATTTCTTAACAATAGAAGCCAGAAGACAGTAGAGGAATCTTTCCAAGTGTTGAGAGAAATAATCTGGCATTTTTGTATTTTTTCAAGAATGATGGTGAAAAACATTAGAGCAAGTAAAAACTGAATTTATCTCTAATAGACACTCACTAAAGCATCTTGAAAAGGATGTACTTCAAAAGGAAAGAATATTATCCTAGGAAGACTATGAATGCAATATCAAATGGAGAAAAAAAACCTCACATGCTAAAGAATATAAAATATAACCAGTATAAATAAACATATAGAACATATATTGAACATATAAAACAATAATGTCTAATTTTGTGTTAAATAAGTCAGATATAAAATGCTGCACAACAGTATCATGAAAGATGAGTTGGAGTTGATCAGAGTTAAAGTGTTGTAAGGTCTCTTTTGTTGTTTGAAAGAGTAGGAAAAGAAAATACTAACTTCATTTTCATATTAAAATTTTCAGGAAAACCATTAGAAAAATAGAAATAGGGTGCATAAATTATGAAAGAAGAGAGAAAAGAAATAAAAGAAGAGAAATTAACCTTAGACAAAGGTATAAAAGGAAATAAAATATGCTATAAAAGCAGGACAAACAGCAAACACAAAATAAAATGGTAGAAAGATTCCAAATATATCAGTAATCACAATAAATATAAATGGATGATTCTCACCACTGAAAAAAGATTTACAGATTATGTTAAAAATTATCAACTATATGCAAGTTAAACCCAATAACTTAAGGTTCCAAAAAAGATGACAAAAGGAAAAAGTACCCAGAAGAGATTAACCAAAAGATATTAATATTGACATATTAATATCAATAAATTACATTTAAGTCAAAAAATAGAAATAAAGAGAACTACTACTTAAATATTAAATGCTGAATAAATCAAGTTACCCTATATTTTTGGCCAGTTCCCTGTATACAACTGGCAGTTAATATGCTTTGCTTATTTTCTCTTGTGTTGTTTGTCCTTCTTTTATAAATTGTTGAAATTCATTTTTCTATTCTAGATATTAACCATTTATAGTTAAATGCATTGCAAATGTTTTCTCCCAGTATGTGTTTGTCTTTTCAAACATTTGTATTGTGTTTGGGGATTGGTTCAGTTTTCTTTTCAACTAAGCTTGACTGCAGTGCTCAGATCCTTACTGAAAGGAAATGGTATCCAAATAAGTCATGAAATGCAGGACATATTATTGGCAAACTTATCATATACAGTTGATGGTGGTGAAGTGTTCAGTGAAGCAAGTATGTGCAGCACTTGATGCTTGCTGTGCTTACCTCTTATGACTGCAATAATTACTAAAAACACTGTGACATGAGATGGTTGCTCCTCAGTGCAAAGAAGCACTTTTAGAAAGAAAATATCTCACATCCTTAAACTTTCAGGTGATGGGACTCTCAGACAGGTCCCATAGGTAAAAACAGATAAATCCTATGGAAAATCTAAATTTATCTCTTGTTTCTTGATGTGCTATGATAATATCTCTGAAAAAAAAAACAGAAACTAAAGTTAATTGTATGGATTGCAGAGGGTGAGTTTGCACCTTCATTAAGTGGCTCATGTGAAGTTAGGGCATTGATTGAGAAGGAGTGGAACCCTGAGACTTGGAATAGAGATATTTGGGAAGACTTGGATGATATTGAGCATTGCATTGGATCATTCTGAATTTTCTTTGCTAGTGGAAGCAGCCCTTCTTCCTGTGTTTAGCATCTTATGATTAGTGTCAATTTTCAGCATGCCCCAGGAGGTTATTTAGAAAGTGAGTTGGAAGGAAGTAGCTTGTATTCCAAAATGAATTGCAAAATGCATACAAATGGATAAGGCCAAATATATTGACACAGGTACATCTAACAGAGAGTCTGAATTTCATGTGCTAGTTTGGCAGGTGGAAGAGGCTCTAACATTTTACCAGAGGGGTTGAGTGAAACTTAGACTCAGTGGTAACTCAATGATGTTGAGACACAAGAACTTCCTTCATGTAATATAGAGGAATGAATCCAAAGGTTTAGAGAAGTAGGCAAACTGAAATGGCTTTATCACATGCAACTAGTTTTTCCCACAGTTTGCTTTTTCCTGAAGGGGCCCAAAGGGCACTCCCTTCATTAAGTTATTGAGAAATTTCATTAGTTAGGGGAATGTCCATCTTCTTGAAAAATGGGGATGCCCTCTATAGGCCAGGTATAATTTGGGAGATGCCATCATTGAGTTGGGCTTTCGGTAAAGATAATGCACCATTTAACTGCCAGAGGCTAGGTGGGCACATTAAGTATAATGTGCACTGGGGTTGAAGTTTTTACCCATAGAGGTCTCTGTGGGATTGACCTCTATCAGGGGTCAGTCACATGTGCCTAAAACAAAGTAAATGTTCAACCCAGTAAAGCATTATTTGATATACATAATAAGAAAACTTTCAGGTTAAAGGCCAAACCCATGATTTGAGTCACCACAATGAAGAACCACATCCTTTCCCCTAATTCTAGACTTAAGTCAGTTTACAGAACTCAAGCCTCTTGATTGAAGGAGAGTTTTGCTCTACTGCCATAGGAATCTGCCATTTCTCTTCCTCTGACCTCATCAAAAGTGACCTGAGGACAATTATTAGGGTGATTGTGCACTGGAGAAAATGGCATATCCAAACTTTTAGGGACCAACACAAGTTTTGGGTTACTCACAATACCAATGTGCAATTATAATAGTTAAGAAATGGAGGCGTGTACCAAGTATGAATCACCCAGTGTCCAGTAAGTCCATGGACCCTCTCTGTGTGGGTCACTATATCCTAAATGTATAATTAAAATGGACCTACTTGGCACTGGCATTGGCAGTATTCTCAGACTGGCTCTCTAAGCCAGGGAGTGAGGGTTATTAGTACAAAAAGGATAAATGAAAGTTGCCAGAACTTTCCCTCCCTGCTAGCTCTCACAGGTAGAATACTGAACCCAAAACAACACTGTACTCTTTTGGAAATTGCAGAAATAATTGTAGCCCATGAAAGACCTCAAAAAAGAAGGGCAGTGATGCTGTTCACATCCTCATTGATATCTTCCTGTTGGCCCATATAAAATGTGATGGTTCTTTGAAAAGGACTGCATTATTTTAAACCACATCAGGTGATAATCACAATTGCGCTCCTTTTCCAAATGCAGATTTTTTTCTAAGCTTTTCCTTAGAAATTCTGATCAGCCACGATTTTGAAGAATCTGTTTTGGATGGAGTGGACTTAATATATGATGGGAGTGGATCTAAGAAGTTCAAAGCTTGGACTGAAGTGGACAATTTGGGTATTCTGCAAAGACCTCCTTAATATTTTTTATTTACTATTTTTATGTGCCATGGCTCTAGTGTGCTTTTGCCCTAAAAGCTAGCATTTGTAACACTTATTTTTGTGTAATAGCCTTCAGGTTACTGATGCCTACTTTGCTTGAGTGGACATCCAGAAGTGGCTGGGAATGTGTACTTTGTGGGTGCATCCATTTATCACTGATTGACACATACTGAGGTAGGACAGTTCTAGCTTCCTTGCCATGACTCTCAGCTAACACTCCACAGTTCCCTGCAGGATCAAGTGGAAGTTATCTTTTGCAGGCCTGAGATTCTACCCTTTCTTAGCTTTGACCCCTTCCCTTCCTTCCTTTTCCCCACTCCTTTACTGGTTTTACCCGGGAACAATTCCTTAATAAATTACTTGCATATGAATATGAATCCTTGATCAGCATCTGCTTTTGGGGGAAAGAGCCTAAGACATAAGCAATGGCCTGTTAGAAAATATGACGGAAATTTATTTTATTCATAATAAATTGCAGCAAAAATGTAAAATACTTGTGAATAATAATAGAAAGTAATCTATAAAATATTAATGAGCAACATTAAAAGAAAGGTTGAAAATGGACAAGCTATGTACTTATGTAGAATGATTAACTATCACGTAAATATTTTCTCCTAAATATACATTTATATTTTTTTAATTTTTAATTTTTATATGCACATAATAGGTTTATATCTTTATGGAGTATATGAGATGTTTTGGTACAGGTGATAATTGTATCATGGAAACTTGAATATCCATCCACTCAGTCATTTATTCTTTGTCCTATAAACAATCCAATTATACTTTTTTAGTTATTTTAAAATGTGCAATTAAATTATTATTGACTATAGCCCCACTGTTGTGCTATCAATTCGTAGGTCTTATTCACTCTTTCTATTTTTTTTGTATCCCTTAACCATCTCTACCTCTTCCCACCCATTGCTCCACTACCTTTCCCAGCCTCTGGTAACCATTCTTTTACTCTGGATCTCCATGAGTACAATTGTTTTGATAATTAGATCTCACAAGTAAGTGAGAACATGCGATGTTTGTCTTTCTGTGCCTGGATTGTTTTACTTAATATAATCACCTCCAGTTCCATTCATGTTGTTGCAAAAAAAAAAAAAAAAAAACGGATCTCATTATTTTTTATGGATGAATAGTTCTCCATTGTGTATATGTACCACATTTTCTTTATCCATTCATCTGTTGATGGACACTTAGGTTGCTTCCAAATATTGGCAACTATGAATACTGCTGTAACAAACATGGGAGTGCAGATATCACCTTGATATACTGACTTCCTTTCTTTTGGGTTTATACTCAGCAGTGGGATTGCTGTTGTAAGCTCTATTTTTAGTTTTTTGAGACACCTCCAAATTGTTATCCCCAGTGGTTGTACTAATTTACCTCTCCACCAACAATGTACAAGGGTTCCTTTTTCCCCACTTCCTTGCCAGCATCTGTAATTGCCTGTCTTTTGGATAAAAGCCATTTTAACTGGGGTGAGATGATATCTCATTGTAGTTTTGATTTTCATTTCTTTGATGATCAATGATGTTGAGAAGCTTTTCATATGCCTGTTTGTCATTTATATGTCTTCTTTCAAGAAATATCTATTCAAATCTTTTGCCCATTTTTTGATTGGATTATTAGATGTTTTTCCTATAGAGTTGTTTGAGTTCCTTTATACATTGTGGTTATTAATCCCTTGTCCGATGGGTAGTTTGCGAACATTTTTTTTCCCTTTCCGTAGGTTGTCTTTTCACTTTCTTGGCTGTTTTCTTTGCTGTGCAGAAGCTTTTTAATTTGTTGTGATGCCATTTGTCCATTTTTGCTTTGGCTGCCTTTGCTTGTGGGGTATTATTCTAGAAATTTTTGCCCAGATCATGTCCTGGAGAATATCCCCCAATGTTTTCTTGTAGTAGCTTCATAGTTTGAGTTCTCACATTTAAGTCTTTAATCCATTTTTATTTGACTTTTGTATAAATCAAAATGATGATGAGAGATTGGGGTCTACTTTCATTCTTCTGCACATGGATATTCAGTTTTCTCATCGCTGTTTATTGAAGAGGCTATCTTTTCCCCAGTGTTTGTTCTTGGCACTTTTGTTGAAAATGAGCTCACTGTAGTTGTCCAGATTTATTTCTGGGTTCTCTATCCTGCTCCATTGATCTATGTGTCTGTTTTTATGCCATATTGTGCTGTTTTGATTACTATATCTCTGTTGTATAATTTGAAGTAAGGTAATATGATTCCTCCACTTTTGCTCTTTTTGCTTAAGATAGCTTTGCTTATTCTGAGTCTTTTGTGATTTCATGTAAATTTTAGAATTTTTTCTATTTCTGTGAAGAATGCCATTATTATTTTGACATGGTTTGTCTTGAATCTGTAGATTGCTTTGGGTAGTGTGGACATTTTAATAATACTGATTCTTCCAATCCATTAACATGGAATATCTTTTCATTTTTTAGTGTCCTCTTCAATTATTTTCATAGTGTTTCATAGTTTTCATTGTAGAGATATTTCACTTCTTTGTTTAAGTTAATTTCTAGGTATTTAATTTTATTTGTGGCTACTGTAAATTGAATTACTTTTTAAATTTCTTTTTCAGATTGTTCACTGTTGGCATATAGAAATGCTACTGATTTTTGTATGTTGCTTTTTTATTCCACAATTTTTACTGAATTCATAAGTTCTAATAGTTGTTTGGTGGAGTGTTTAGGAAAAACTTTAAGTCTCCATCAAATTTATATTTTTCAAATATAAGGTTATATCATCTGCAAACAAGGATAATTTGACTTCTTTCTTTCCAATTTGGATGTCCTTGATTTTTTTTCTCTTGTCTGATTGCTCTAGCTAGGACTTCCAATATATTGAATAACAGTGGTGACAGTGGGCCTCCTTATCTTCTTCCAGATCTTAGAGGAAAGACTTATAGTTTTCCCCAGTCAGTAGGATTCTAGCTGTAGGTCCATCATATATGACTTTTATTATGTTGAGGTATGTTACTTCTATATCCAGTTTTTACCATGAAGAGGTGTTGAACTGTATCAAATGCTTTTGGGGCATCAATTGAAATGAACATATGGTTTTTGTCCTTCATTCTGTTGATATGATGTATCACATTGATTAATTTGCATATGTTAAACCAGCCTTGAATCCCCGGGCTTAATCCCACTTGGCTATGATGAATGATCTTTTTAATGTATTGTTTAATTCAGTTCGCTAGTATTTTTTTGAGGATTTTTCATCAATATTCATCAGAGATATTGGCTTATAGTTCCCTTTTTTTTTTGGTTTTGGCATCAGGGTAACACTGTCCTCATAGAATGAGTTTGGAAGTATTTCCTACTCTTTTTTTTTGGAAAAGTTTAAGTAGAATTGATATTAGTTATTCTTTAAATATTTGATAGAAATCAGCAATGAAAACATCAGGTCACAGTTTTTTCTTTTTTCGTTTGTTTGTTTTTTTTTTTTTTGATGGGAGAATTTTTATTACCGCTTTGATTTTTTTACTTGTTGTTGGTCTGTTTAGGTTTTGGATTTCTTCATGGTTCAGTCTTGATATGTTGTATGTTTCTAGGAATTTATCCATTTCTTCTAGATTTTCTAATTTATTGACACATGGTGGCTCATAGTAGCCACTAATGATCATTTAAATTCCTGGGGTATTAGTTGTAATATTTCCTTTTTTATCTCTGAGTTAACTTATTTGAATCTTCTCTCTTTCTTTCTTAGTCTGGCTAAAGGTTTATCTTTTCAAAAAACCAAATTTTTGTTTCATTGATTTTTTGTATTGCTTTCTTCATTATAAATTTGTTTATTTCTGCTCTGATCCTTATTATTTCTTCTCTTGAGGAAATTCTGTGTTTGATTTGCTCTTGCTTTTCTAGTTCTTTAAGATGCATATTAGATTATTTACTTGACATTTTTCTTCTTTTTTATGTAGGCAATTATGCTATAAATTTCCCAATTACTATTGCTTTTGCTATATTCCATCGGTTTGGGTATGTTGTGTTTCCATTATCATTTATTTCAAGAAATTGTTCGATTTTCTTCTTAACTTCTTCATTGATTCACTGGTCATTCAGTAGCATATTGTCTAATTTCCATGCATCTGTATACTTTTCAAAATACCTTTAGCTGTAGACTTTTGGTTTTATTCCCTTGTGGTCAGAGATGATGCTTAATATTATTTCAGCTTTTTCAAAAGTTTTAAGACTTGCTTTGTGACCTAACATATGGTCTATCCTTAGTATTACAGAAGGACCCATGTGTTGAGAAGAAAATTGTGTATTCTGCAGCCTTTGGAAGAAGTGTTCTGTAAATATCAATTAGTTCCATGTGTTCTATAGTGCAGATTAAATCTGATATTTCTTTGTTGATTTTCTGTCTGAGAGATCTGTTCAATGATCAAAGTGGGGATGGTAAGTCTCCAGCTATTATTGTATTGAGTCTAGCTCTCTCTTTAGTTCCAATAATATTTTCTTTATATGTCTGGGTGCTCCAGTGTTGGGTGCATATGTATTTACAATTGTTACATCCTCTTACTTAATTGACCCTTTTATTATTATATAGTGACCTTCTTTGTCTCTTCTTATGTTTTTGTCTTGAAATCTATTTTGTCTGATGTAAGTACAGCTACTCCTACTCCTTTTTGGTTTCCATCGGCATAAAATATTTTTTTCGTCCCTTTATTTTTAGTCTATGTGCATCTTTATAGCTGAAGTGTGTTTCTTGTAGGCAACAGATCATTGGGTCCTATTTTTTCGTTCATTCAGCCACTGTGTTTTTTGATAGGAGAGCTTAGTCCATTTACATTAAATGTTATTGTTGATAAATAGGGACTTACTCCTGCCATCTTAATTTTTATTTTCTGGTAGTTTTGCAGTCTTCTCTTTCTTCTTTTCTTCCTTACTTCTTCTCTTCCTTCTTTTCTTCCTTACTTCTTCTCTTCCTTCTTCCTTACTGTCTTCCTTTTAGTGAAGGTGATTTTTCTCTGGTGGTATGCTTTAATTTCTTGCTTTTCATTTTTTGTGTATCCATTGTATGTTTTTTGATTTGAGGTTACCATGAGGATTGCAGATACTATTTTATAACCCATTATTTTAAACTGATGACAGGTGAATGCTGATTGTATTTACCAACCAAAAAATGCAAAAGGAAAATAAATAAAAACTCTACACTTCTTTTTAATTTTTTGTTGTTTCTCTTTATATCTTATTGTACTGTCAATGACTTGAAAAGTTGTAGTTATTACTGTGATTTGTTCATCCTTTAGTCTTTTTACCTAACACAAGTGTAGTTTACACATTACTATTACAGTATGATAGTGTTCTGTGGTTTTCTATATGCTCACCATTATCAGTAAGTTTTGTACCTTCAGATGATTTCTTCTTGCTCATTAGCATATTTTTCTTTCTGATTGAAGAACTCCCTTTAGCATTTCTTGTAGGACATATCTGGTATTGATGAAATCCCTCAGCTTTTGTTTGTCTGGGAAGGTCTTTATTTCTCCTTCATGCTTG
Source organism: Homo sapiens (assembly GCF_000001405.40). NCBI lineage: Eukaryota > Metazoa > Chordata > Mammalia > Primates > Hominidae > Homo > Homo sapiens. The sequence goes on from NC_000008.11 coordinate 78,870,261, forward strand.
AAGAATATTTTGAATGGATATACTATTCTAGGGTAAAAGGTTTTCATCTTTAGCACTTTAAATGTGTCCTTCCACTCTTTCCTGGCCTGTAAGGTTTCCACTAAAAAGTCTGCTCCCAAAGTTATTGGAGCAGACTTCAGGATCCTTTCTTTATCCTTGATCTTTGGGAGTCTGATTATTACATCCCTTGGTGTAGTCTTCTTTTGGTTAAATCTGCTTACTATTCTATAATCTTCTTGCACTTAGATATTGGTATCTTTCTCTAGGTTTGGGATATTCTCTGTTATTATCCCTTTGAGTCAATATTCTACCCCTGTCTTTCTCCACCTCCTCTTTAAGGCCAATAGCTTTTAGATTTGCCCCACTGAGGCCATTTTGTAGATCTGGTAGGTGTGCTTCACACTATCTTTTATTCTATTTTTTTTTGTCTCCCTGACTGCGTATTTTCAAGTAGCCTGTCTTCAAGTTTACTAATTATTCTGTTTGGTTAATTCTACTATTAAGTGACTCTGAAGCATTATGCAGTATGTCAATTGCACTTTTCAACTCTAGAATTTCTACTTGATTCTTTTTAATTATTTCAATTTCTTTGTTAAATTTATCTGATAGAATTTTGAATTCCTTCTCTGTGTTATCTTGAATTTCTTTGAGTTTCCTCAAAAGAGCTATTCTGAATTCTCTGTGTGAAACATCATATGTCTCTGTTTCTCCAAGATTAGCACCTGGTGCCTTACTTAGTTCAGTTGTTGGAGTAATGTGTTCCTGGATGTTGTTGATGCTTGTAGATGTTTCTCAGTGTCTGTGTATTGCAGTTAGATATTTATTGTAGTCTTCACAGCCCGGGCTTCTTTCTGCCTGTCTTTCTTGGGAAGGTTTTACAGGTAACTAAACGGACTTGGGCTCCGAGGCTGATAACACTGTGTAACACTGTGGTTTTTGCATAATTGTAGAGATACCACCTTGGTAGTCTTGGATAATATATGGAAGACTCCTCCGGAATACTAGACAGTGACTTTTTTTTTTTTTTTTTTTTTTTTTTTTGAGATGAAGTCTCGCTGTGTCACCCAGGCTGGAGTGCAGTGGCATGATCTTGGCTCACTGCAAGCTCCACCTCCCAGGTTCACACCATTCTCCTGCCTAAGCCTCCTAAGTAGCTGGGACTACAGGCATCCACCACCACGCCCAGCTAATTTTTTTTTTTGTATTTTTAGTAAAAATGGGGTTTCACCATGGTAGCCAAGATGGTCTTGATCTCCTGACCTTGTGATCCACCCACCTCGGCCTCCCAAAGTGCTGGGATTACAGGCGTGAGCCACAGCGCCTGGCCAACTTTTTTTGTTTTGTTTTGTTTTTAAGTTCCAGGATACATGTGCAGAACATGCAGTTTGTTACATAGGTATACATGTGCCATGGTGGTTTGCTGCACCTATTGACCAGTCCCCTAAGTTCCCTCTCCTCACCTTCCCACCCTCTAAAAGGCCCTGGTGTGTGTTGTTCCCCTTCTGTGTCCATGTGTTCTCATTGTTCAACTCCCACTTATGTTCAAACCAAAACATGTGGTGTTTGGTTTTCTGTTTCTGTGTTAGTTTGCTGAGGATGATAACTTCCAGATTTATCCATGTCCCTGCAAAGGACATGATTTCATTCTTTTTATGGCTGTATAGTATTCCGTGGTGTATATATACCACATTTTCTTTATTCAGTCTATCATTGATGGGAATTTGAGTTTGTTCCATGACTTTGCTATTGTAAATAGTGCTACAATAAACATATGTGTCCATGTGACTTTATAGTAGAATGATTTATATTCCTTTGGGTATATACCCAGTCATGGGATTACTGGGTCAAATGGTATTTCTGGTTTTAGATCCTTGAGGAATCACCATACTGTCTTTCACAATGGTTGAACTGATTTACATTCCCACCAGCAGTGTAAAAATGTTCCTATTTCTCCACAGCCTCACCAGCATCTACTGTTTCTTGACTTTTGAATAATTGCCATTCTGACTGGAATGAGGTGGTGTCTCATTGTGGTTTTGATTTGCATTTCTCTAATGATCAGTGATGTTGAGCTTTTTTTCATATGTTTGTTGGCTGCAAAAATGTCTTCTCTTCGGAAGCGTCCATTTATTTCCTTTGCTCACTTTTTGATAAGGTTGTTTGTTTTTTCTTGTAAATTTGTTTAATTTCCTTATGAATTCAAGATATTAGACCTTTGTCAGATGGGTCAATTGCAAAAAATTTATCCCATTCCGCAGGTTGCCTGTTCACTCTGATGATAGTGTTTTTTGCTGTGCAGAAGCTCTTTAGTTTAATTATATCCCATTTGTCAATATTCGCTCTGGTTGCAATTGCTTTTGGCATTTTCGTCATGAAGTCTTTGCCCATGCCTATGTCCTGTATGGTATTGCCTACGTTTTCTTCTAGGGATTTTATGGTTTGGGGTTTACATTAAGCCTTTAATCCATCTTGAGTGAATTTTCATATAAAGTGTAAGGAAAGGGTCCAGTTTATGTTTTCTGCATATGGCTAGCCAGTTTTCTCAGCATCATTTATTGAATAGAAGATTCTTTCCCCATTGCTTGTTTTTGCCAGGTTTGTTGAAAATCAGATGACTGTAGATGTGTGGTGTTATTTCTGAGTTCTCTGTTCCATTCCATTGGTCTATTTGTCTGTTTTTGTACCAGTACCATACTGTTTTGGTTACTGTGGCCTTGTAGTATAGTTTGAAAACAGGTGGTGTGATGCCTCCAGCTTTGTTCTTTTTGTTTAGGTTTGTCTTGGCTATACAGGGTCTTCTTTGATTCTATATGAAATTTAAAGTAGTTTTTAATAATGCTGTGAAGAATGTCAATGGTAGTTTGATGGGAATAACATTGAATCTACAAATTAGTTTGTGCAGTATGGCCATTTTCACAATATTGATTCTTCCTATCCATGAGCATGGAATGTTTTTCCATTTGTTTGTGTCCTCTCTGATTTACTTGAGCAGTGGTTTGTAGTTCTCCTTGAAGAAGTCCTTCACATCCTTGTAAGTTGTATTCCTAGGTATTTTATCCTCTTTTTAGCAAATATGAATGGGAGTTCATTCATGATTTGGCTCTCTGCTTGTCTATTGTTGATGTAAAGGAATGCTTGTGATTTTTGCACATTGATTTTGTATCCTGAGAACTTGCTGAAGTTGCTTATCAGCTTAAGGAGTTTTGGGGCTTAGATGATGGGTTTTCTAAATATAGAATTATGTTGTCTACAAACAGAGACAATTTGACTTCCTCTCTTCCTATTTGAATACCATTTATTTCTTTCTCTTGCCTGATTGCCCTGGCCAGAACTTCCAATACTCTGTTGAATAGGAGTGGTGAGAGAGGGCATCCTTGTCTTGTACCAGTTTTCAAATGGAATGCTTCCAGCTTTTGCCTATTCAATATGATATTGGCTATGGGTTTGTCATAAATAGAACTTATTATTTCAAGATATGTCCCATCAATACCTAGTTTCTTGAGAGTTTTTAACATGAAGGGATGTTGAATTTTATCAAAGGCCTTTTCTGCATCTATTCAGATAATCATGTGGTTTTTGTCTTTGGTTCTGTTTATGTGATGAATTGTATGATTGATTTGCATATGGTAAACCAAACTTGCATCCCAAGGATGAAGCCAACTTGATCACGATGGATGAGTTTTTTGATGTGCTGCTGGATTCAGTTTGCCAGTATTTTATTGTGGATTTTTGCACAGGTGTTCAACAGGGATATTGGCCTGAAGTTTTTGTTGTTGTTGTTGTTGTTGTTGTTGTTGTTGTGTCTCTGACAGGTTTCGATACCAGGATAATGCTGGCTTTATAAAATGAGTTAGGGAGGAGTCCCTCTTTTTGAATTGTTTGGAATAGTTTTAGAAAAAAATGCTACCAGCTCCTCTTTGTATCTCTGGTAGAATTTGGCTGTGAATCTCTCTGGTCCTTGGCTTTTTTTGGTTGGTAGGCTACTAATTACTACCTCAATTTCAGAATTTGTTATTGGTCTATTCAGGGATTCAACTTCTTCCTGGCTTAGTCTTGAGAGGGTGTATGTGTTCAGGAATTTATCAATTTCTTCTATATTTTCTAGTTTATTTCCATAGAAGTATTTTTTAGTATTCTCTGATGATAGTTTGTATTTCTGTGGGGTCAGTGGTGATATCCCCTTTATCATTTTTTATTGTGTCTCTTCTTCTCTTTTTCTTCTTTATTAGTCTAGGTGGTGATTTATCTTTTTAAAAAATTTTTTCAAAAAAAAAAAAAAAAAAACCCAGCTCCTGGATTCATTGAGTTTTTGGAGGATTTTCTGTGTCTCTTTCTCCTTCAATCCTGCTCTGATCTTAGTTATTTCTTGTCTTCTGCTAGCTTTTGGATTAGTTTGCTCTTGCCTCTCTAGCTCTTTTAATTGTGATGTTAGGGTGTTGATTTGAGATTTTTTTAGCTTTCTGAGGTGGGCATTTAGTGCTATACATTTCCCTCTTTACTTTGCTTTTGCTGTGTCCCAGATATTCTGAGTCATTGTCTCCTTGTTCTTATTGATGTCAAAGAACTTCTTGATTTCTGCCTTAATTTCATTATTTACCCAGGAGTCATTCAGGAGCAGATTGTTCAATTTCCATGTAATTGTGTGGTTTTGAGTGAGTTTCTTAATCCTGAGTTCTAGTTTGATTGCATTGTGGTCTGAGCGACTGTTTGTTATGATTTCAGTTCTTTTTCATTTACTGAGGAGTATTTTACTTCCAATTATGTAGTCAATTGTAGAATAAATGCCATCTTGCCCTGAGAAGAATGTATACTCTGTTGATTTGGGGCAGAGATTTCTGTAGATGTCTCTTAGGTCCACTTGATGCAGAGCTGAGTTCCAGTCCTAAATATCCTGTTAATTTTCTGTCTTGCTGATCTATCTAATATTGACATTGGGGTATTAAATTTTCCCATTATTATTGTGTGGGAGTCCAAGTCTCTTTGTAGGTCTCTAAGACCTTGTTTTATGAATCTGAGCACTCCTGAATTGGGTACATATAAATTTAGACTAGTTAGCTCTTTGTTTTGAATCTTTGTTGGCTTAAAGTCTGTTTTGTCACAGACTAGGATTGCAACCCCTGCTTTTTTTTTTTTTTTTTTTTTGCTTTCCATTTGCTTGGTAAATTTTCCTCCATCCCTTTATTTTGAGCCTATGTGTGTCTTTACATGTGAGATAGGTCTCCTGAATACAGCACACAAATTGGTCTTAACGCTTTGTCCAATTTACCAGTGTGTATCTTTTAGCCCATTTACATTTATGTGTGAATTTGAACGTGTCATCATAATGCTATCTGGTTATTTTCCACATTAGTTGACACAGTTTCTTCATAACATTATTGGCCTTTATATTTTGATGTGTTCTTGCACTGGTTTGTAGCAGTTTTTCCTTTCCATATTTAGTGTTTCCATCACTAAATTGCAAGGAGCTCTTGCAAGGCAGGTCTGGTGGTGATGAAGTCCCTCAGCGTTTGCTTGTCTAGAAAGGATGTTTTTTGTCTTTCACTTATGAAACTTAGTTTGGCTGGATATAAAATTCTGGGTTGAAAATGTTTTTCTTTAAGAATGTTTAATATTTGCCCCCAATCTCTTCTGACTTGTAGAGTTTCTGCTGAGAGGTCCGCTATTAGTCTGAGGGGCTTTGCTTTGTAGGTGACCTGGCCTTTCCAGGCAGAGACTGTTTTTCTTTTCCCTTCCTTTCTCCCAACTAAGTGGAGTCTCTCACCTGTGCTGAGCCACCCAGAGTTGGGAGTGTGATGATGCAAGCACCCATGTGTCCACCAACACTTGGACTGCACTGGGTGGAACCTGAATTCAGCATAGCTCTATGTCTTGCTCAAGGCCCTGCCCTTTAATATGGTAAGTTCCCCAGGCCCCAGGCACATCCAGGGATGTTTTCTGGGGGCCAAAGATTGGAGTCAAAAACCTTAGCAGTTTACCTTATATTCTATTCTACTCCATCTAAGCTGGCACTCACACCACAATACAGAATTCTTTCTGCTCTTTCTTCTCCTTTCCATAAGAAAAGAAGCCTCTTCCTGTGGCCACCACCACCACTGACCCACAGGGGTTTTGTCAGGCCACTGCTGATGTTCGCTTGGCTCTTCTGTCAGCTTGCAGTGAATGCTGCCATGACTGGGACTCACCCTTCAGGGTAGATGCCTCCCTTCTGTCCCAGGATATGTCCAAAAATGCTGTGCAAGAGCCTTAGCATGGACTTGGGGACCCTAAAAGCCTTGTTGTTGTTTTACTTCATTGTGGCTGAGCTGCAGAGAATACGTTTTGTCACTCCTGAAGTCAGCGGCACATCTCAGATCTCAAGGGCCACAGCATACTCCCTGGGTATCACTGCTGGTTATTCAGGGCCCAAGAGCTCTTTAGACAGCAGGTGATGAATCTTGCCAGGATTGGGTCCTTCTCTTAAAGGCAATGGATTCATTTTTGGCCAAGGGTGTATCTAGATATATTGTCCAGGAGGAAGGGCCTGTAATGGGGACATTATGACTCTTTCTGGTGGCCTATCCTACTGTGGCTAAATTGGTACCAAGATGCAAGACAAAGTCCTCTTTACTCTTTGCTCTCTTCTCCTTAAGAAGAAGGAAGGCATCACTTTTGTTGCTGTGAATTGCAGTGCCTTGGATTGGGGGATGGATGATGTAAGCACTCCCTTAGTCATGCCAGTCGATATCTCTGAGGTCACGTGCTACCTTATTTCTCTGACTCCAAGTGCAGCCTAGCACTAAGAGTTGCCTCCAAGTTGCAGTTTTTGTGTCCTAGACTGCCTTTCAAGTTTACATAGGACCCCAGAGCACTTCAGCCCACAGTGGTCAGGCTTGCTGAGAAACTTGGAACTTTATTCTCTGCTGTGACAGGGTAGCACTAAGTTCAATGTAAAGACCCCAGTCATTGCACTCGGCCTTCTGAAAGTGCAAAGAATCTCTCACTGTGCTGCCCAGCCACTGCTAGGAATGGGGGACGGGTGATGTTGGTGGTTCAAGACTGTCTCTGTGGCTCTTCTCAATGTCTCTTTTGGCAATATGAAGTTAAAACCAGGTACTGTAATCGCTCACCTGATTTTTTGTTCTTGTGAAGGTGCTTCTTCTGTGTGCAGATAGTTGTTAAAATCTGGTGTTCTAGTGGGGAGGATCATTGTCATAGGTTTCCATTTCACCATCTTGCTCCACCCCTCTCAAATTTATATAAAAATTTAAAAGTCATTTCAAAATGATTCTAAAACAATGTGGAAGAAATAACAGGCAATAATTATTATTCACCATACTGAGATTATCATATCAAGAATTTTATTGAAATTATTATATTAACTTTACTTCTAAAAAATTGTAATTTTTAAAAACTATACTTATGGTTAAAGACATTATTTACAAAGCAAAAAGTAAAATAAGTTCAGAGAAAATTTCTCATCAAAAAATATTAAGAGAAGGATATCCTGTAATTAAGTATAATAATAATGGCAAACATTTATATAGCATGTTACATATACACAATTATAGTATACACACATATTGATATGTAAGTGATTATGTGAATGTGAATGTACTACTAGCAACTTCTCTGAAAATTATGTACAGAGTTAGAGAGGAATAAATTTAAGTATAGATAAGTTACTCATTCAAAGTCTTACAGGTCAAAATTGGTAGAGTTGGGACTTAAACACAGGTATTTTGGACTCAGTCTTTGTTTTTAGCCACTTTGCAATGGATACATATATGCTAATAGCATATATTACCAAAACAATAAAAAATTAGAGCTCATCACTAACAGGTAAATTTGTCATATGGAAGAGGTATATCTCTACCAAAAGAAATATTTCCAAATTGTTTTGAGCAATGTCACTTATAGAAAATTTGTATATCTGTTCAAAATGATTACCCTGAGGAATGGCACTCACATGAATGTAGGAACAGAACTCAATTAGATGTATAATTCTTGGGTTTATTAAAACCATCTATCTCAAAAATCGTGTGTTGTTGACAGTTATCTTTGTATGTTCAATTGCCATTACTGCAGAGTCAGTCCTCAATATGTACTTTAAAAATTGAAATGAGAGTTATTCTTTGCTCTTCTTCATTTTCCTTTTTATCTTCAAACATGTGTAGCAGTATTGAACAGAGATTTATTAATTTTTTAAAACTTAGGGCCAATATAAGGTTACAGGTGTCTTACTGAAAAATTTCTCCTCTAGTTTCACCCAGATACAGAAGCATAGCCACCATAAAATATTTTTTATTCCTGGTATTATATTACATGATTCATTGTCACTATGGGTATTTCAGTTTCCTACAGAATTACCACGGACATTTAACCTGCACCTAACATTCAGTCTGCCATGTGCTGAAATGAAATGGGTGTTGATATGAAGACCAGGTTAGACTCAGCTATAAAATTTTAGCACCTTTTTTGATAACCTCTTCAATTACATTTTCTCAAAAGGCAACACTGAAGAAAAGCATGTTCTTATATAAAACATATATCATGATTCTATTCCTATAATATTTTTCTTTTAAAAATATTTTGATACCAGAGATTACTTACATTTTAATCATTAGAATTTCACTTAATATCCCTTTTATCCTAAATATTAAAACAAGTAAATCATTATTAACCAAATAATGAAGACAATAGCAATTTTAGTTATGTTAAATAAAAATTATACTTATTAGCACATATATTTTCCCTTACGTGTATGCTGTTATAGTCATATAAGTTTATCGTGATCAAATGTTTTTCAGTATCTATATTTTTTCCATAAAACTTATGAAAAATAAATCAAGTTAATAGTTAATAATCCAATTTTTTCAGAGGTTGATTCTGTTATAATATGCAAGTAGGAAGACCAGGGACTAACATCTTTTATGTGTTCTCTTAATCTGATCATCTTAATCTTAAAGCCAGATTCACTGAAAAGCGAGAAGAAATAGAGTTAAATACAACAAAAATAAATGATCATCTTAATCTTAAAGCCAGATTCACTGAAAAGCGAGAAGAAATAGAGTTAAATACAACAAAAATAAATGTTTTTCATTTGGTATGGAGGGAGAATTACCAATGAGTGTGATGATTATGTATCTCTACTGATGAAAAATGATCCAGTGGTGAGGAGTGAACATTCTGGCAGGAAGCAGAAAGCAGACACATAACTCACAAACCAGACTGTGAGAGAGAAGCCCCTGAATAAAAATAAGCTTGGACATTATAAGTAGATGGCAGAGTGTGGTGGCAGAGGCTGCCGCCACTGTAGGAAGGGCAATGGCATCAGGGCTCTGAGCACATTTCATCTGCAGATACTAACAAGCCCCATAAAATGTGAATGAATGTTTTGCTGTAGAAAAGTGATGGAATTATTTCCAGGAAGAATAATGGAGAGGCATTTTTAAATAGGAAAATATAGCTTAACTTTCTCCTCATGCATACTTAATAAAATGTGGACTTAGCTTGGCATTCAGTATGAATAAACTTAGAGAACTCATCTAATCTAATCTGTGTGCATATGGACAGCATTAGGCATGTAAGGTAACTGAGGCCCAGAGAAGCTAAGTGGCTTTCCAAGGTCCTGAAGTTTAGTCGTGGCAAAGTTTAGACTAATGACAACACTTTTGAGATATCAGATTATGTACACCTGTTTGCATTTGGATACTAATGTTCCATCTCCACCCTTTGATACAAATTAGAAATGTCTCAATTAGGAGATATATTTATAATCTTCACTGTACTTTCATGTTCCTTAATTCAACTCCAAACATTTATTGCATGCCTAATATGTGTAACCAGTATGTTAGGAAATATAGAGTTAAAAGAAACACTGTCCCTGCACTGAAAAGAGTTCATAAATTAGTAAGAGAATGTAATATAGAAGTACAGTCCTTGGTTGCTTAACAACAGGGATATGTTCTGAGAAACATTGTTAGGTAATCTCATTGTCGAGTGAACATAGAGTGTACTTACACAAACCTAGATGGTATAGCCCACTACACACCTAGGTTATATGGTCCAGCCTATTGCCCCTAGGCTACAAATCTGTACAGCATGTTATTGTACTGAATACTCCAGGCAACTGTAACACAATAATAAGTATGTATGTATCTAAACATATCTAAACATAGAAAAGATACAGTAAAAATACAGTATTATAATCTGTCCTATATGAGGCCTATTGTTGACTGAAATGTCATTATGGGGCATATAACTACACATCCAGTCTACTAATAGTGTGTCTCCAGACCTGCCTGATCATGAGACTTACTTATGATAAATCAAAAATACTGATTTATGTGTCTCTGTCTTGGAGATTCAGATTCTTAGGTCTGGGGTAGAGGCTTTTAACATTATTTAATAAAAATTCCAGTTGATTCTTATGATCAAGCAGTTTGGGGAACTATTGCCATAGTTCCCAGATTTGTCTGTACATTGGAATACCGAAAAAACTTTAAAAATTACAAATGCTTCTGTCCCACCCACCCCAATCCTAGAGATTATAATCCTACATTTGATTCTAAGATACAAACAAGTTTGGAGACTACTACTTTACTATGCTGTGGAGATCTGGTACTCAAGGAAGGTGTCATAAAGTAAATACCATCCAGTATGTTCTTAAGCTAATATATACTGAAAACATACAATGTTAGAAGCATTTTTCACATATTATGTCTTTTAATCTTCAAAATAAAAAAGCTAATATGTATTGAAAACCTACAATATTAGAAATATTTTTCATATATTATGTCTTTTAATCTTCAAAATAAATCTATCAGGTTAACATGATTATTACCTGTATTTTATAGGTTAGAAAGTTTGTTTAGAAACCTCATTCAAGCTCACAGAGTTTGAAAGTGACTAAGCAGGTACATAAAACTAAATTTGTCTGAAGTCAGAGCTTTAGCCTGTGTCATTGTGCCAGACTGACTTTCAGATGCAGCTTGAAGGATGGAGAGGCTTGCAACTGACAGAAATGGTGATGGAAGACATTCCAAGGAGAGACATCAATGTCAGCAAGGGAGGAAGTGTGCTAAGCCAAGTTGGGAAGCTTGGCTCCAGATAACGGAGGACTTGACTTCATTGACTGCATGGCTAATTATCAGATGATTGATTGATTTACTCATTTATTAATTCAGTATATTACTGTTTTATAATGACAAATATTATATATTTAAATTTTTTGAAGAATAATCACTATTTGATTGGATATCATAGGTTAAATACTTACCTGGACTTTAGAAGTTAAATGTGTTTCAATTTTTCATTGGTTGTTTCTATGTAATGTAATGTTATAAAGAAGACATTAAGGCCCATGCCATAAATGCAGTCAGGGTGCTGAAAAGTGCTGAATAATCACTTTGGCTGGGACTTTAAATGACCAGAGATAATTGGTTTAAAAAAATACAGGGATCATGTTGGTTCTTCCTAGCCAGTGAGACTTTAGAGGTGTTTAGACTAAACAAATTGTGTTAACATTTATTCCAAAATAAAATGCTTCCAATAGGCAACGACTTTCCATCCAGAGCCCTCATTCTTCAGGACAATTTGAGTTATTCTGGTTATCAAAGAGAAAATGTCAGTTATCTAAAAATAGCTAATCTCTCTTTTCACAGAAAGTGGTTATCATAAGACCTGCAGACAAAAGCAGCCACTGTAAAATAGTGAATATTTTGAGAGGTAGTGGAAGTATGTCTTAAAAGCTCTGAATCTTGACTATTTGAGTGAGAAGAGTTTCTTGGGCACAGAATCATTTTCTCTGTTGATTATTAAGTTGCCTTCATTTATATTAGTCGTGTGCATAGGGGACCTGTATTTTATCAATATCAACAAGCCCTAAAATGATACAACAAAGTGACTCTATAAGATTACTTTTCCAATTATTTGTTTCTGTATAAAGGAATGAAATGTCCATGGTGTGATAATTTTAATGTTCAGTATCATATTCTTTAAAATCTAGAAATTTGTATGTGCATTCAATTGTTGTTTATTCATCTAACATATGTCTTTAAGTATCTGCAATGTTCCAGGCAGTGTGCTATGTGATGGGGACACAGAGCAAGCAAAAGAGAACATTTCCTATTCTCATCGATCTTACAATCTAGAGGGAAAAACTATCAAATGATCATACAAGCATATAACTAATACACGTTAAATGTCATCTGTTAAATTACATAATACAGACAATAGTATACTCATTAAAGAATTCCCAATTTAGTAGGAGAAATATATTGCAATTGAACAGTTTTTTATTGACACAAAAATGACAAATAGATTTACAGTTCAGATTAGAGAGTCCAAATTTAAATTCATATCTATGTGGGGAACTTCATTTGTAATGAGAGTAGAATTAAAATCTACTAGGAAAATGTTGCTTTATTTACTGAATGTTCTTGATATGTTTTGTTAAAATTTTATAAAAATAACAGAAAACCACTTATGTATATATACATATATTAATATACGTATATGTGATATATGTATATATTACACATATCATATACATATATGTACACACATATATTAATATATTACACATATTATATGCATATATGTGTATACATATATTTATATATGCATATATGTATATGTATATATGTATACACATATATAAATATATTTATATATACATCTATATACATAGATGTATATAAACATACATGGCTTCCTGGTATTCTTATAAAATTTTAACATATATTGTATATGTTTATATGTATACATATATATGTATATGTATGATATGAAAATGGCATAAGCAAAGGTTTGGAGACTTGAAAGATCATATCCAGAGAATAGTGAATAGGCTGAAGTAGGAGGAGAGTAGGTTAGAACTGTAAGGCATAGGAATAAAAGTTAGTTAGGGGACAAAACTTAAAAGGCATGGAATACCAAGGAGTCTGCAATTTGTTAGGCATAGCGAACCGTGCAATGTTTTGAGTACAGAATGCCAGGATTATGTCTTCCTTTTAAGAAAGACAATTCCGGTGGATGTATAGAAGTCGGATTGAAATTGACTGTAGAGATGGATGAGAAGATAGACAAGGCACATGCACTAGTTAGGCAGCCGTTGTACTAATGCAGATGAGAAATAAAGAAGTTTGCCTCATTATGGAGAGGTGCTGAGAACAAAAAGGGCTAAAAATTTTCAAAAGTAAAGTAGAAAGGTTTCATAAATGGATTTGAATTGGGGGCGATCAAGAAAGGGTAATATAATAAAATGACTCTGAGCCTCCTAATGTAAATAATGGAGGGCAAGTTTGTCATAATTTCAGAAACAGTCTGGAATTTGAGCATGGAGCTCTAATGTAAAAAGGTCATTGGCTAAATGCCTGTTAGAAAGGATACATGGAGTATAAATTAATCTGCACACTTTATGTAATGTATAAACTACAAATCAATCCGTGTTTTAGCACCACATATAAAATATTAGTAAATGTAGGGAAACGTATAAGTCAAATTACCTATTTATGTAAGGTCACATGCAGCATTGTCTTTTTAGCACATTGTCTGGTACAGATTAAACAGCTATGTAGAGAAGCTATGAGTATGAGGAGAGCTACAACAAAGAACCTCTTTTTTTAAGTCCAAGTAATGAGTATGAGAGCTACAACAAAGAATCTCTTTTGTCAAGTCCTTCTCTCAGTATCTCTAATAGATATTTGCTTCAATTATTTAATGGGAAAGAATAATGAGAAAAACATGTAAGGAGAGATATTTTTTGTAATTCTAGATATAGATCATTTGTTAAATGACATCAGTGAACTTAGTCAATGCTGAACTAATTTGTTATTTACAAAGAACTAGAAGTCGTTTGATCATTCAAAAGATGTATGCTAGATTTGTAGTTTTTTTAAGATCAGTTTTTAAAAAATCCAACCTGTCTCTTCAACCTAACAAATACAGTGAATGTAATTATAATAAAAAAACCTCCTCAGAAAAAATCATGTTAGTATGTTATGTGAAATCTGGGTAAAGTCAACTTAGTAACTAATGAAACTGCATTGTATTTATGTGAGTGTTTGCAAATACATAGCAGAAAGTCAAGTTTCACTGTGGATTTCAAGGAAGTTGCCACAAAGCAATCTCCCACAAAAATCTCTCAGCCAAGTTCTATGATGTCAAGTGTAACAGACTCGATAATTGCATGTTTATCCAACATGGAGATAAGATGGCTTCTGATCTAGTGTTACACCAATAAAAGCATGTCATAGGTCAGCAAGAGCTGTTAAATTAGATTAAGTACATGCTCCGTGTGTGTGAATGTGTTTATAAGCACACTAGCTTTATGAAACTGAAATCCCATCTATGCTATCATAGTTACCATAAATAGCCCCAAACTAGGCTTAATGAAGAGTAGTAATATTTCTATCTTGGATATGTTATAGTATACTTGAATATAAGGTATAACAAGATATTTTCAAGTTTTTGAATATTAAAAAGATTCTTATTAATCACTGAACTGGCTGTTAACTTCTCACTAGGCAAAATGGAAATGTTTTAAGAAATAAAGGGAAAAGCAATCATTACTGAGCTGAAGAAAATAATTCAGCTTTAAAGCAAGTGATTCTATGAACTTAGGTTGTTTTACCACTGTGAATTGAAGATGTCTTGTTTGTTTCCACCTCTTTAATGTATAATTGTGAAAGTAGTAATGCTTAAAATGTTTCCATTATAAATTTTCCCATTAACAAATTAATACAGTCTTATTAGACCACTAGATGCAATGTTGTTGATTTTTCATAGTAGAACTTAAAAGATATTCTAAGGTTGCTTCACATTCTTTACAGAACTCTCAAATATAGTGTGTTAGTTCTTCCTCAAAAATCTCATAACCAAACTGGAGGTATTTGAGGCATCATGGAAGGCATGAGGCAAAGAAAATGGGACTCTGATCATTTATGTGGCTTTCCTGAAATAACACAGCAGTTTAAGTGACTTGACTCTTCAAATTGTTTCTTTTTGGGGGGATGAATTTTTGTAACCTGCAGAAAGAGACACTATCTCTTATAATGATCATACCAGTTTGCTAAGATTGCTGTAACAAAGTACCACAAACTAGGTGGCTTAAACAGCAGAAACTTTTCTCTGAGTTCTGGAGGCTAGAAGTCAGAAATCAAGGTGTTGGCAAGGTGGGTTCCTTCCGAGAGATGTGAAGGAAAGTTCTGTTCTGGGCCTCTCTTCTTGGTTTGTAGATGGTTGCCTTCATGTTCACATGGCATTCTCCCCGTATCTTCACATCTTCCCTCTGTGCATATTCGTGTCCAAATTTTCTCTGTTTATAAGGACTACGGCCATATTGGAGTAAGGCCTAAGCTAACAACCTCATTTTAACTTGATTACCTCTATAAAAATCCTGTTTTTCAATGAAGGTCACATTCGAAGGTACTGAAAGTTAGAACTTCAACATATGAATTTTGGTGGAGCACAATTCAGCCCATAGCAATGACCTTTGGCCACACACCCAACAATGTGATATGGCTGTTCTCCGAATTGCTAGCAACCTCAGTGCTGGGATGGATGGTGGGTACCTGCCAGTCCCACCTTTCAGTTGACCTGCTCCTTTACGGAGTCACTTTTTTGCCCTGTGAACCTGCTCCCCTTGTCCATAGTTTACTGTTCCACAGCAGTCAGCTGAGGTGATCATATTCTCCTTGGAATTTGGAATGGGGGACAAAGAGCCACTGATCTATAGAGGCTGAATTATTGAAATGTAGGCAAATAAATGCAGAAGCTCTGGGGCAGCTCTCCAGTCCATGGCCTTTGCCATACTCACTCCAGGCTGTTGGTATTCTTCTTGGGATTCTATGAGAAACCCCATCCCCCAACTCCCTCTCTCTTTCCCTCCCTTACTCTCTTTCTTCTTTTTTATCTTCCTTTTTTCCTTCCTTCCTTCCCTCCCTCCCTCCTCCCTCCCACCCTCCCTTTCTTCCTTCTTCCCTCCCTCCCTCCCTTCCTTCCTTCCTTCCTGCCTTCCTTCCTTCCCTCCCTCCCTCCTCCCTCCCACCCTCCCTTTCTTCCTTCTTCCCTCCCTCCCTCCCTCCCTTCCTTCCTTCCTTCCTGCCTTCCTGCCTTCCTGCCTGCCCTTTCATTATTTTTGAGTGTATTCGTCTTGAACTTGTTTAAAATTTATTTATGTTTCTTACAACAACAAAAATCTTGGTTAAGAAAGATTTGTCATCTTTCCTAACCAACAAAAATCTTGGTTAAGAAAGATTAATAGATTTGTCATCATTTAAATTTTTTAAATATATACTTTTCTCTGAATCCCAATATACAGAAAAAATAAGCAGAGTCTACTATGATGAAAGGAGGAGGTGGGTGCCCTCCCAGGTGCTCCTTCCAGTTTTTTCTTACTCCTCACCATCTCCACCCCCACAGGCATCCTGTTGCTGAGGGCTGTCTCTGGAACCCTGGGTCTGTGGCTTGAAAACCATGACGGTGTCTCACCCAGCTCCCAATTCTTGGGGCTTTAAACATCTTCCTCTATCTGTCATAAAAAATCCATCGATTTTTTAGAAAGTAACTGAGTTTGGGAAAATTATTTTCTGTCTATGAATAACCAGTGTCAAAAATATGGCTCCCCAAGAAGTTGGAGCCAATGAGTTTCCAAATAGGTGAAAACATGCCTTGAGATTTCTAACTAGAAATCCAAGAGCATAACTTCCCCAAATTACTTAAAAACCAGGGATTTTCCTATTTCTGACTGTGCTTGTTGTTTGTTCAAATTTTGGGGGGTTATTTGTTATTTTCAGTACCGTAGAGTTTGATAAATGAAGGAAAGTAGATTCCAATTACAAGTAAGTGATCATCAGTATAAGAGAACATTTTTTTCCCTAAAAAATCATGTGAATGAAATTGTTATTAATTGAGCAAGATATGCTGATAATATCTTTCCCTTATTTTTGTGAAGAGAAATTTAATGTAGCCTGTCTGCAACTCTTAAGACATGCAGGGAATATAAGGAAGAATAAAATGATCTCATTAATGGGTCCTTGTTTTAATTATAAAATGTTAAACACTAGTATTAAACAAGGGTCTTATGTTCTTCATCCTGAATAAAGTATGCATGAGGGGTTGCATGCAGAGGTAGAATTAGGGTCTCCATGTGGCAAAGGTAAGGGAATATCAGGTGGGACGTAATCAGTATTTCAAAAAATCTAATTTTCTTCAAGCACTCCTGACTTGCTCCGTGATTCACATTTTCAATAGAAATGTGCCATGATGTCTCATCTTTAATCGATTATACTTGTTTTTGAATTAAAAAAAATCACCAGGCAAGAACTGAACTGCCTTTGACCATCTAAGGAACCTACTGGGTCTTACTTTCCTTGTCTATAATAAAGCCTCTAAGTTATAATATTTTATATTTCTACTGATTTTGGAAAGCACATGCTATAAATCAATTTCTGATCAATGATGCTGCATTGCATGAGTCCAGGTGCCACTTTTTATGTAGAGCACATGGCAACCCAGATTTGATAAGTCAATATTTTAATCAATTATATCTTATCCTCATTGCAATTAGTTAGCATGATGCCAGATTTTACTAAGCACACTGAGTTCAATTTACATACACATAAATCACTGACAAATTCCTTTGGCATTTCAATATGAGAGAAACTAAGCTCTCTCAATAATCTTTAGAATATAATTTCCATTTTGAAAAATAAATTAGCCAGAAATCAAAAATTTTTTTAAAAAAAACATCTATAATGAGGAAGAGAATGTTACAACATTAATTCATTTCCTAGACTAATAAATATTTCCTTTTCTTGTTTGGTCAATTCTTTTTCATCTGAAGATAAACAATAAAGAGCAAAAGTAAAACTTAGAGAAACATTATTCGTTCAGACCTTCCCATAAGTGATGCCTTCTCCTCAGTTAGATCTTCTGTGAAAAAAGTTGTTTTACAGACAGGGTCTGGCTATGTTGTCTCGGTTTGAGTGCAGCGGTCAATCATAGGTCATTGCAACCTCAAGCAATCCTCCTACCTCAGCCTCCCGAGTAGCTAGGACTACAGGCATGTGCCACCATGCCCAATTAAGTTCTCTTAATTTACTTTTTGTGGAGACAGTGTCTTGCTATGTGGCCCAGGTTAGTCTTGAACTCCTAGCCTCAAGCAATCCTCTCACCTTAGCCTCCCAAAGTGCTGAGATTACAGGAATCAGCAACCATGCTAGGAAATGGATCTTGTTTCTAATATCATCCTTCATTGACCAATCTACAGCAGCTACCAGTTACTTTCAACCCTATTACTTCGGTTTAATTATCTTCCTTGAATTTATGACTAGCCTATGTTTTTGATTATTAATTAATTTATTATATGTATCTCTACTAAAATAGACTTCGTGATTATGGGAACATTGCCTTATTCACGTCAATTATATTCTCAATGTTTACTACAGTGTCTAGCACACAGTAGAGATGCAGTTGATATTTGTTGAAGAAATGAATACTAGCGTCCTGCCTATCTCAAAAGAGAAGGAGAAGAGTGTATTGATTAAGAATAAACTAGAGAATGACAACCCAGTTTCAAATCCAAGAAGGATTAGCTACATAATTTGAAGAACCTAGCACAAAATTAAAATGCAGGACACATTATTCAATATGTATTAAGAATGTTGAGACAGCAACAGTACAGCATTAGTTAGTGTGGACCCATTTAAAGGATGGGTTCTTTTCAAAGCAACTGCATAGGTTACATGGCCATGAAGCTGGCTGTAAATGATCTTGGGCAAGACTCTGGGGATGTTACCAAGGATTTTCATTTGTGCTCCTGGATGAAAGGATTTGTTATTAATAAAGAATTCTGAGGAATGCTGGTAAAGGAGAGGTTTTTAATTTTTAAGTTTTTAAGGCGTTTTGGGGGACTGTTCTTCAGAAAATCAAGTGATCAGTTTTAGAAATGTGAACTTTTACAATGTTGAATTTCAAAAGAATTTAAAAGATGGAGACTTCAAAAGATTTCAAAAATTTGGACCTTCTCTGTATGATGCAGAAGAAACTACTAGTGCTATCATCCCAATGTGTCTTTTTTGTTTCTCCATGTAACTGTGCATCCAAAATAGAGTATATATTACATATTTTCAACCTTATTAATGGACATTATACTGGATAGATAGTGTTGCATTTTTAACTCTCTCACTATTATATTGTATAAAATGTATCTGGGTTTTGTATGTATTTTTATTTATTTCAACTACAGTATACTATGCCATTGAATGAATATTATTATTACATTCTTTTTATGACAGATATTTAAGCAGTTTCCTCTTTACATCATAAAGTGCTACAGGTATTATTGTATATGTGTTTCTATGCACCTATGCTAGAGTTTCATTAAGAATTATATCTGGATGATAAACTATTGAATTGAAGGATATGGACATCTTCAGCAAGACATGGTATAACTGTTTTTATATTTGTTACATAAACTCATTCTCCCATTAGACTCCAGAGTTGATAATTATTCATACCATCATCCGTGTCATTTTAATTTTGTCAGACCTCTTTTTCTATTGCCAGTCAGATGAGTTGGAAAAAATACTTACTGAGTTTTACTCTGCATTTCTCTTATTTCTACTGAGTTGGGCATTGTTTTATATTATTTTCATGAATATTCTATTGCCATTGTCTGTAAATTCCCTGTTTATATCATCTGCTGATCTTTCTATTGGATTGTTTATAGTTTTTTATTAATTTATAAGTACTTTGTTTCTGGATGCTAATTCTTGGTGGTTAGATGTATCATGAATAATATCCTGAATCTATTGCTTTCTTTATTTGTTTTGGATGTCTTTGTCATGAAGATCCAGAAGCAAGTGAAAACCTCAAATGGCTTAGACATGTATAATATATAATTTTCTTATACAGCAAGGATTCTAGAGTAGCTATCTTAAGGATTTAGTCAACTCAGTGGTTTCCGTAATCATCCAGGATCTGGGTTATTTCCACCTTTCAGCTCAGTCAGCCTTAATGTTTCTCTTTTGTCCTTTGGCTTGTTCCCTTCTTTCCAACTGGGTGGCTGCCACATGGGCATCACATACAGACATGGAAAGAACTAGTTGAAAAGCTGCTGGTGTAACATTTTAAAAGCAATACATCTTTCTGATGAACACCGTTACATTTCTCAGTCTCACTGGCTACCCAAAAACCAATCCTGTGTGAAAAGAATGGTAAAAGTCAATGATTAACTTAGTCTTCTATAGGATTTTCTGCTGAGCTGAGAATGGTGTCCTCTGCTTTGAGAGATAGGAATCTGAACACCACAAGAGTTCTGTTAGCAAGGAAGATGGAAAAGTTGTCTACTTTGTAGATGGGTGCTTTTCAAAGCAACTGCATTGGTTACACGGCCATGAAGCTGGCTGTAAATGATCTTGGGCAAGACGCTGGGGATGTGACTAGGGATTTTCATTTGTGCACCTGGATGAAAGGATTTGTTATTAATAAAGAATTCTGAGGAATGCTGGTAAAGGAGAGGTTTTTAATTTTTAAATTTTAAGGCGTTTTGGGAGGCTATTGTAAATAAATCCCTGGTCAATTGTATTTTATAAGCATTTATTGCTGATTTATATGGATACTGATGATTATATGTTGATCTTTTTATAAGGAAGCTTGCTGCATTTCCTTTTTAACCAAATATCATAATACATTTGTACAGAACTTTTACGAATACTGTATATTTGAAGGGCAATTTTGTATTTTTCTTTTTATTATTTATTTTCTTTGTTTTATTATATTGGCTAGGACTTTTGATATGATGTTAAGTAATAGCAGTTACAGCACATTTGTCTTGTTTCTTATTTTAATGGGAACTTTTATTTTCCAAATGGATTCATATACTAGAACTAATTTCAATCTGTGGACATTTCTAAGAGATGTATATCAGAGCCATGTATATAAAATTTGTAATGGTCATGCACAGAAGAAATTGGCTATCTGGTAAGGCCTTAGGATTCCTACTGCAAGAAGTTTCCAAGCAATAGCTTGCCAACTTCTTTGTAAGTATATTGTAAGAATAGTTCAAGATTACCTCAAAAACAGAACCGTCCCATCCCTGGCTTGTACTCACAGGATTAGATATTCCTTTTACTCACAATAATGGGAAGCAGCAATACATCTGTTGACAAGTTTATTTATTTATTTTCTTCATTAAACAAACATTTTAAGAAGTCACTAACTCTGGGATAAACTTTGCGAACTCATTATATATTCTATGTGGAGATATAAATATGTACACATATTAATAGTTACCAAATTGCACCATAACTGCTGCAAAGAGCTATATACAAAGATTTCAGGGAAAAAATGTTGAAAAATACACCCACAAGTAATGAAACAGAGGATGCGAAACAGTGAACCAGCCCATTGTAGCTAGTGTGCAGTGAAAAATAGCAGCAGAGTCAAAGGTTGCAAACTGATGCTGATGTGAAAAATGACAGTTTTGTTTTTCAGCAAACCCTCAGGATTTCTTATTCCATCCAGGTCCTGAGGAAAACGAAGGGTTTCGTGTGTCCCAGTAAGTCCAACAACCATTGCTCTCCCTCTTCTTGTTCTTTGGTTACCTGTGGTTGCTTTGCTACAATCAGGATTTCAAATTGGTTGATGCTTCTAAGACAATATCTGAGAGTGTAACAGAAAGAAAAGAAAACAGGTTGGGGGCTGGATAAGAAGAATTGATGTTGTATTGTTGTTTTCTTTCTTCCTTCTGGATCCCAGAACCAGGGAGTTTATCACAAATGCTTTTATGATCCCTGAAGCCTAATGCTTCTGTAATAGAATATTGTCTTAGTAGGTAATTAATGAAGAAGCCCTCATGTTGTTCTTGTCTTGCTTATAGCATTAAAATCCAGGTAAAAATTTATTTTCTGGCAACCCACAATCACCTTCGATACACACTATTCACATTGTGCCCCATTTACAAAAGGAAAGAAACGATTCAGACTAAGTCTCGTACTTATAGTTGAAACTCGGCAAGGGTTGATTTCTGAAGGTTTTACACACTGGGAATCCAAGTCCATCTGGACAAAAAGATAAAGCTTTTCATAGATCATGTAAATGAAACACATAGATGACATTCCAGAATTGCCATTAAAAGACTTTTAACAAGTTGGACATGTTCAGTATCATCCAAAAGTTTTCACTACCCTGTGACTTCTTAGAGAATTAAATTGCCGTCAGAGAACTTCAATAAGCCAGTGTTCAATTAGTACCTTTGTTTGTTTTTCCTTAGTCTTGTCAAAAGGAAGATTAATGTGCAGTTTTTCTGCACTCAAAACAGCTTTTCTTAAAAGGAATATGGTGTCTAAATCAAAATTCCATTTAGATGCAGGGAAACTGTGATTTTTTTTAATAGTGTGTGATGATCATTTCACCTTTCCTCCCATCTCCTTCACTCTTAAGTTTTTTCCCTTGTAAGCAAACATTTAATCCTGCTTAACCCTTCTTCTGCACCATTCCCCAGTCCTGTGATGCTGAATACTATAATCTTTGAGTTTTAATGCATAGGTGAAAGAAAAAAAAGATTTCTGCAAAGGTGGAAGCTAAGAGAAAAAAACTGTAGGGTCATTTTACAAATGGAATCACTAAAAAGCCATGCATCTTGCTGGGTAATAGCACAGAACCTTTAAATCACAGAAATTAGAGACAGGAGACCTGTCAGGTCACCTTGTCCACCTCCTATAGCAGCTTTATGTATTTTGTGTGAAATGACATGCAGTGAAGCATTTACCGGAGCCCTGGGGAGACTCTAGTCCTCAGTAATACATCTCCCTGTTGAGAAAATGTCATAGAGAACAGTCCAGCTTT
Organism: Homo sapiens; assembly: GCF_000001405.40. NCBI lineage: Eukaryota > Metazoa > Chordata > Mammalia > Primates > Hominidae > Homo > Homo sapiens. The sequence continues at coordinate 78,893,094 of NC_000008.11, forward strand.
TCTTTTGCCTAATTTCACATTGTTCTGCTTTGCTATCTCTTTTAAAAATGCAGCCACACATTCTTTTGCTCCTCCATCTTTAAAACCTACAACTTTGTAATATTACGTTATTATTGTCTTCCTTTGTAATTATTTGAGCCAAGCTATACAATTTGCATCTTAAAATACTACTTTAATCAGTCACCAATGCACCATGTAGTGACTTCCTAAAGGCTTATTCATTACACTCCCATTTACCCTGATCAGAAGCTGTGTTTCATGTAATTTCATTTTTTTCATGTGTGTTTGTAGAATCAAGGAGTTCGCTCAATTCTTACGACAAGGAATGTGGTTCTCAAGCTAGTGACTGGACATCACAATTCCATTAAGATTCAGATAACTCCTACAGCCATTACTTATTTTCCTACACAAGTTTCTAGGACACCATCAAGTCCAGTATCTCACAAATCTAAATACTTCCTGGTGTGTCAGCTTGTCCAAGTGAAACCACCTTTGCAAAACTGTGACAGAAAGAGAAATCTGACATGGCTGACTTCATCTTGCTTCTAGGCTCACAGGCTGGCTGTCTTCACTCATTCCTGGGGATGGGCCAAGCTAACTTTGGGAGAAATTTAGTTTATAGTTTAAATGATAATAGCTCTTCCCCAAAACTAAACTGCCCTTGTAAAACTAATGAAAGACCCCCAAGTTAGGAGGATGAGAAGGGCCTGCATTCTACTATGATGCAGGTTTAGCTAAATAATTATCAGCCATTATTCAGGAGGTCACAAGATTTGCAAATTACTCAATTACTCTTGTAAATAACATCACTATTGTAGTATAGTAACTAGCCAGGCATGGTTGCCTGCACCTGTAGTCACAGCTACTCAGGAAGCTGAGGTGGGAGGATTGCTTGAGCCTGGGAGGTCAAGGCTGCAGTGAGCTATGATTGTGCCACTGCACTCCAACCTGGGCAACATAGTGAGACACTATCTCAAAATAAATAAATAAATAAGTAAAACCTAAGACGGGGCTTTTGAGATGTCTTTTCAGGCTTTTGCATTTCTGACTACCTAATGACCCCACCCAGACCTGTTACTCAACCAGTCCTGTGGCCCCAACTCAGAAGCAGACCCAGCTCAAGAAGACTGTATTCTACATCCCTATTATTGCATTCCCCAATCAATCAGCAGCACTCATGCCTTAGCCCTCTGCTTACCAAAGTAACTTTGAAAAACCCCTAACCTCTGTGCCTATGGTGAGATTGATTTGATTAATAACTCCATCTCCCGCGTGGAGTGGCTGGCCTTGTGTCAATTAAATTCTTTCTTTACTGCAATGCTATGGTCTCCGTGAATTGATTTTGTTTTTGCAGTAGGTAGGAATAACTTACTGGGTGGTTACACAATTGTATGTGTGAAGAAACACTGTTTAATACCTCTTGGGCAAAGCATGAGCACAGCTATATGACTGACTCTTTCTGGATAAGTTATTTTGTCTACATGTATTTCAAAATGCCATGTATTACACTACCTTCTGGAAGATAAAACTTCACATTTTGCAGATCCAAAAACCTTACTTCTCCTAGGTAGGAAATGGAGACACAATCTCCACTCAGGTTTCTAGGGTGAGCCAAAGTCAATTGAACTTAAAGATCTGATTTTGATTCCAAGATGCTGTGCATTGGAAGGTAGAGACGCTCTTGTAATTATTCCTTCTCCACCCACCACCAGCACCCCCAACACCATCACACTGGCCTCAAGTGGGTACACTGCTCACTGTTTAACATCCTGCCGTAGCATGGGCATGCAGTCTTTCTCACAATGCCCCAGGACAGGGCTGCAACATTTAGATAAGACTTTAGTAAAGGCTTTTGGACAACCACAGGGACACACACACAGAGAATCAGGTATGCAGATTACAACTTGAATTACTGGAATGGTAGATCACATTCCATATGAGTTTTTGGCCTATCTCTATGATATGGTTTGGATGTGTCCCCACCCAAATCTCATCTTGAATTGTAGCTCCCATATGTTGTGGCAGGGACCCAGTGGGAGATAATTGAATCCTGGGGGCAGTTTCTATTCTCATGGTGGTGAATAAGTCTCACAAGATCTGGTGGTTTTATAAGGGGTTTCCTCTTTCACTTGACTCTCATTCCCTCTTGCCTGCTGCCATGTAAGACATGACTTTTGCCTTCTTCAGTGATTGTGAGGTCTCCCCAGCCACATGGAACTCTGAGTCCATTAAACTTCTTTTTTTTTTTTAATAAATTACCCAGTCTCAGGTACGTCTTTATCAGCAGCTTGAGAACAGACTAATAAACTCTACTTAGAGATTTTTTTCTTCCACCCAGGGCCCAAAGTATAGATATTATGATGCCTCAAATTTAAGACTCTTCTGAACCTGCCTAGTAAGAGTAATGCTGAGAGAGGAGTTACTTGTCCTACCCTCTAGAGACTTTACTGAAGCTAGGAGCTGGAACATGCCCATGCATACCAGATGGACAAGGATAGTAAGCTTTTGTGCATTTTTTTTTCTCAGAGGGGATCAGAATATTACTGGGCCAAAAAACAACCTAAAACTTCCCCACAAAACCTGACAAACTTGTCTCAACATGCATTACTCTATAACAAAAAAATGGGGAACAGGATGTTGCAGGAGCAGTGGGAGGGAGAGAATGGCTGGTGGGCAGAGAGATAGAAAAGGAAAGAGAATTATGTGTTGAGTACTTACCCTGCAGGCATGTACTTTATGTACATTATCTCATTTACTCATTACCTAAATGATTTCCAGGTAGGTAAATGGAAAACAGTTCTGTCTCACTCTCTGGCTTATACCCTTCCATCCACACAATGCTACACCATTTTTCAAAGACATGAGGTTTAATGAGACAATAATGTTGGTAAAGTGTTCTAATTTCCTCTGAGAAAAGGAGCCATAAAATTTTATTGTTATTGTTACACTTATTATTGAAGCTCAATGAATGCTTTAGTGGTGTCATTGATGTAACTAATATTACTCTCATTTATTTCATTTAGGGAACTAATGTCTAAAAATAAGAACAAGCAAATTTAGTGGGCTATAGATTCAGCTGGTTATCAAGTGCTACTTTGCAGATAGAGACCTTGAGGACTAACTCAACAACCCAACAATCAAGGTCGAAGATGGTCTTGGGGGCAAAAGTGAAAAGTGTAACCACTAGGGACTCTTTCTAATGCTGGGCTTTCCCAAGGGGTGAGAAAGGGATGGATTAAAGGTGAAATGCTTGAAACATTGTATTCTCGGTCTGTAATTGCTGAGAAAGGGATGGAATAAAGGTGAAGGGCCTGAAACATTGTATTCTCTGTCTGTAATCGTTAAGGAATATAGCAATAATTCCTCCACTTGTTTGTGGAAATAACAATGGACCCAGTTTAGATAATTTGATTCTCCAGAAGGGCAGGCATTTTCTCCTTTCTATGAAAGAGTTTATTGTGTTAAGTATATAAAACAAAATTATGTCAAGGACAGGAAGGCACTACAAAATGACATGGAGTCATGCATATATTTAAGCACGAGCAGGAACCTTGGCATGATTAATTTTAGGTTTGCCATCTTAAAAATTCTTTACAGTGGGAAATAATTCAATTTCCTCCTAAAAGTTACATTTTTGCTTAAATAATCACCAGCTTGAACTGTAATTTAGAATGGAAGAATGAGAATTCTACCTGCCTTTTTATTTGTCAATTATGTGTTTAATTATCATTTGTCTAAGCTTGGACTTCATTGTGTTCACATTTTTTCCTGACGTGCTATGTTTGAAGAAATGTAGAATTCTGCACTTTATTCAGACCTTACCTCTGATTAAAGCAGAAAGGGATGTCCATGTGATCCACTTTCCTTGTTTTCAGAGAAGAAAACTGAGACCTAGCGAAAACAAGTGCCTCAGCTGAGATCTCACAGTTGGTTAGCAGTGCTTGGCATTTAATCCAGGCCCCATTCCACGACTACATTTGTCCATTTCATTTATTAGGAATTTGTGTAGACAAGTCTTTCTGTTAAATTACTTTACCTTGAATTTGTCTCATCTTTTTCCTAAAAGGGCAATGCAGAATGAACACAAGGACTCCTTTGCTATCTATTGCTAAGTATAGGGAAGGTGGAAAGTACCTGGTTGCCTCTACAGCTCTTCTCTGTGTCCTTGTGTGTGGCACCACTGTTTGACAGCAAAACTAAGCCAATGCCTTGCATTGAGGCACACTGGGGATAAAAATCTCATTCATTGATTGATGAAAAACATGCAAGAACAAATTATTCCTTCATTGTCATTCATAAAGCATTTCCCTACCACCAAACTTCACATCTCCTCTTTTCCTTGCCTAATCTTGCTTTCCTACAGAAAATGTTCAGCATGGATAGTTGGGGGAAACAGGAGGGAAAATATAGGAAGTGGTTAGGAGAAAGGCAAGATTGACCCCAGCAAATGATTTTGAAGCATGCCTGGAAATAGTTGGCATCTCAGGCTAGACATAAATTCATTGTCTTGAGTTCACAGCACTTGCCTTTTATTTTCTGGAAGTCACACTTCTTCAGTGAAATAAAAAATGTCCCTAATGGTGGTAATCTCACTTCTTCCATGGAAAAAAAAATTCTCATTATCACCTCCTCTGCACACTCCTAACCAACCTCCCAGTAATCTTGTTCTCTTTAATTAACCTACTTCCTGTAATTGAAAAAAAATGAAGGAAATCTTTTTATTTGGCCAGCTTATAATTTAGTTTATATAGAGGAACATTTTATTTTTTAAGCTAAAACTATAATACAATATCAAATAGAGAGTAGGTGCTAAAATATCTGATGAGCGAGTGGATTGATTGGATGATGAGTTTAGTAATCATTTTTTTGGTACTTAGACTGGTCAGCCTTTTTAGGAGGGGGAGACAGATAGATAGTTACTGTGATAAGAGTTTGTTGTAGTTTAATGGAGGAGACATACAGGTAAACGATAAAAACAGTGTAACATGATAAATGTCGTTAAGAGATAGAAACAAAGCACTGTGGAATCTTTGAGAAGAGAATGAGAAATTCTCTTGGGGTGTCAGGAAAGGCTTGTAGCAATGTTAGCATTTGAGTTGGATCTTAAAGGATGACTAAGACTGTCCTAGGATTATGAAAATGGACAAAAGTGGAAAAAGAAAGCTTTCAAGCTTATGCAAAGACTTGGAGGTTATAGAAACCTGGCATGTTTGATGAACACTTAGAAATTTTAGAAATTTGGTGTGGCAGAAGCCTTGAGGGAAGTGGCAGGAGATGGTGTACGCTGGAACCAGAGTCTGAAAAGTCTTGAATGTCAACTGGGGAGGTTGGATTTTATTTTCTGGGCAGTAGGCAACCAAGAGAGGCTTTAAACCTGGGAATTTACATGCTTGATTTTTTTCTGTTTAAAAAAGAAATCTAGGGATGATATCTATAAGGGTCTTGTTACAGAAACCAGTTAGGGAGTAATTTTAACAGTTCAAGTGAGATGTCTTATTCGGTTTAGCCTACTCTCACAATGTACCATAAACTGGGTCATTTATAAATAACAGAGATTTATTTTTCATAGTTCTTGAGGCTGGAAGTGTGTCATCAGGGCATCAGCATGGACATATTCTGTTGAGGGCTGTCATCCATGTTACAGACTGCTGACTTTTGTTGTGTCCTCACATGGCAGAAAGAGGACAAGAGAGCTCTCTGGCCTCTTCCTGTAAGGGCACTAATAATCTCATTTGTGAGGGACCCTCCCTGGTGACCTAATTACCTCCTAAATGTATCACCTCCAAATATTATCACAGTGGGATTAGGGGCTTGAGATATGAATCTGGTGGCACACAAACATTCAGTTCATTGCAGGTAAAATGAAGATTGTCAGTGACAGTGGAGACAAGGAGTAGAGGTCCCTAATGCAGACTCAACAGATTTCAGTGACTGACTGAGAGGGTAGTTGACAGTAGAACTGAGGTTCTTATAGTGGGAAGTCATTAACTTGAGAACATAAAATACAGATAAGGTTTTCACTTATTCCACACACGTTTCATTAAAAATCCTTCATGTATCAAGACCTACTTGGGAATCTTACGAAAGAGAAATATTTCCTACCATTATAGAACACACTGTTTGGTGGGGCTATATAGATTTAAAAGTTAATTATGTTGTGGTAACTACAATGATGGCTAAAAATGGCCACCTTTATAGTGATTATTATGTGCTTGACACTATTCTAAATATTTTACATGAACTACCCCTTTTAATCTTGAAAACACTCTTAAAAAGGAGAAGCTGTTATGATTCCCACTATACATGTGAGAAACTGAAGCACAAGGAGGTTAGGTAATTTGTCCAAAGTCATACAACTGGCAATGCAAGAGCCAATATTTAAGCCCAAGCAGTATGACACCAGAGTCCACGCCAGTGAACACAAAACAGAATTCCTCTGTGATAGAAGTATGTGTAGAATAGTGTGTGTGTGTGTGTGTGTGTTATGAATTTTGTTGTCAATATTAAGTTGGAGCTGTGCAGTCTCAAAGTTTATTGTTCCAGTAAACAATTAGAAATTTTGGCTTACAGGTTGGAAAATAGATGAAAGCTAAAGGCATAGTTGAAATCTGCATAAAATTAAAGCTATGGGAGTGTATCTCCAAGGGAGAGTAATTTTTCCACAATTAGAAGGTCATAGCTCTGGGATCCCCAACACATATGGGATGTGCAAAGAACATGAAAGAGCAGGAATGGCCAGAGGATTGCTAGACGATGTCGAGAGTGGAATATATAGATATCAGAATTAGCGTTTCTAGAAAGAGGGAGATACGATGAACAGTGCCAAGTGCTGCAGGAAAGTTATGTAGGACTGAATATAGATGAATACAGATGGTTGAATTTAGCAATTGGAAGGTTATTGTTGGTTTTAATGAGAATAATTTTTGTTGTCTGATAGTAAAGGTAGCCACATTTGAGAGGCTGAGAATGAAAGGTCATGCAAAGAGGGATTGATATTTTTTGTTTGAAGAAAGTAGTTTCCAGAACAAAGGAAGTAACAGTCTGTTAATGCCAGATTATCAAACAGAATTTGGAAATAGTATGGAGGAGGAAGGAAACAGAGAGATCATTTGCAACTACTATTCTTACAAAGCAGCTAAAGGAATGAGTTAGCCCACAAATAAAAGGTGGTTAATCACAGTGCTTATTATAGACTTCAATTTCATTATGTAGCAAATCAAGAGTGCATCCATAATATACCTTTATTCAGTCACTCATTCATTTGTTTGTTCAGTAAACATTAAGCACTTGGGAAGCACTATTCATGTAGACTGTATGCATGTGCAAGTATTGGCATGTGTTCAGGGCAATGCAGGAGGAAAAGGGTGGTAGGAGAGACAGCTGACCTGAAAGCTTGCCTGGCATAATGATCAACACTATAAAGCCAGGGAGAGCCCAGCAGTCCTGTTTGTTAAACAGTGTGAAGTGCAATGGACCTAGAGTATTTGGGGGTTGGTAGGTCATATTGTTATTACTGACAAAAGACAAGAAAGCCAAAATCAAGAGCTGAAAATAAGAATGTAGTTTTGTATTAGATTTTATTTCTTAAAATTTAAAAACTGTATATTTACATTAAAAAGTAAAAAATAAGAGCTAGCAATACTAATATCACATTCTGTTTCTCTCTTTGAAAATATGCTTAATCATCACATTGATGAATGCAGAATGCATATCCCATACAGAGATTGTTTTGTTAGCAAATTTTCTTTTTCTCAAGCTAATATCTTAATATTTTTTATTTTTTATTTTTTTGTCGTTGATAACAGCTGTCCATCATGCATGAAGATGGCATTGACTGAATATTGTTTCCCATGCAAAGCTGTTGATAGAGATGGTTCAAGAAATAGCAGATTTCTCTTCGGATCTTGACTCAGCTCATGTGATATAATTACTTCTAAAACAAATTTACTGTCATGCGCCAGAGAAACAGACTAAATTACAATAAAAATAGATCTATGAACCCACCATAATAATCATTTTTCAGGGAGGACAGTTGAAAAGGTTATTTTTAATGTCATTAGAAAAAGTGGAATGAATGGGAGTCAGGAAAAGGCTAGGCAAGAAGAAGAAAGGAGAAATGATGAACAGAACATATTGGCAAGAGGAGCTGCAGCATGAGAACCTCTGTTATAACTGGCTTCAGGAGTGCATGTTTGAATAGACACAGACTACATATTTCGTTTTTGGTTTTCCTATTATGGCGGATGGTATATAAAGTGTTGATTTGGTGCAGATTAAAACTTGAGATACCGAACATCATTCTTTTATTTTCCTGTGATGCCCCTTGCCCCATAAAGAAAGAAAACATAACTGCTCATCATTTGCTGTAGGACAATCAGCACACACACACACACACACACACACACACACAGACACACACACACACAGAATTAATGCAGAGTTTTTACTTCTGATGTAAAATGTTTATGTATGTGTGTGGCTGAGAAATGAGAAGCTTCCCTGAGAAATATGGAGGGGAAGGGAAACTGACCTGTTGTTTAATGGAGATCATTTTACAAGCTGACTTCAACAGCCTCTGTTCTTACTTGGATATGGGAAAGGAGGTGTTTCAAGGTACACCCGTGCTTCACAAGAAGTTATCACAGAATTTGGGACGTATGTCCCTGTGAGTTGGGGAGCACATGACAGATGGTAACTTCTAGACAGGTTGGTTTGTTGGTAACTGAGTAAGGAGGCCACACTGGGAGCCAGTCACAACAGCACCAATGATGGATGATGGAGGGAGATGTCTTGAGATGGTCCCACTCAGAGTGAGGGGAATGCTTCAAAAGGAGCCTGGAAACAGATTTCCAGATGCAGAAGTGAAAGGTGATGGGCTTTGAACAATGAGAACACATGGACACAGGAAGGGGAACATCACACTCTGGGGACTGTTGTGGGGTGGGGGGAGGGGGAGGGATAGCATTAGGAGATATACCTAATACTAAATGACGAGTTAATGGGTGCAGCACACCAGCATGGCACATGTATACATATGTAACTAACCTGCACATTGTGCACATGTACCCTAAAACTTAAAGTATAATAATAATAAAATAAATAAATAAAAAATAAAAATAAAAAATAAGAAAGGTGATGGGCTGTTGTAAGCTGTCAGCCAGCCTGAAGGAGGCATTTCCACCTCCAGGAAACTGTAATGAGAGATCCCCATTGATGACAGACATTCCTGAGAAATCCACAAAAGCACCTTATGAGAGAAAGAGCCAGAAGACCAAATTAAAATCCTGCCAGTGTCTTAGCACCTTTGCTGTCCCCTACCCTCTCCCTGACACCCCAATTTACTCATTCTGAAGGAGCCAGAAACTAGAGCAGGTAAAGAAAAAACAAGCCAGTACCTTCCATCTTAGACAGGCCCAAGCTAAGGAGTGCAAATGTTTTTAATTGGCAGAAAGTTCAGTTTTAATGTTGGACTTTGCTGGTCATATTAATAATTCTTTATTATGCCGTAGCTGGTGTTAATGGGAATGGTAAGTAACAACTCAATTGCTTTCCGTTAGTATCCTACCAAGTCCATTTCATTCTATTTAAGACAGTAAGTCAGTATTCTATGATATCACTAAATACCTTATCTTATTGATGTCTAAAAGATAAGGAGTGATACAATGGAAAAATCTTTCAAATTATTTAAAAGAAAAAGGGACAGAGATTGGAGTTTGAGTGTCAGATCTCTTTATCGGCCATGATGCCTCTACTAAGCCCTAATTTTCTCATATGCAAAGTGGAATCATAAATGCCTGTTTCACTGAGTTTCTTTAATTCCTAGTTTTTAGATTATGTTTTCTATTTAATGTACTAAAATGTGTGAGAAAAATACGTATTTCTCTCCGTGATACCATTTTCAATTGTGAGTCTTCAGTTCTCAGGTCTTATACATTAATCTCACTTGTAGTCCCTCTGTGTGCCCTCTTTATCTGTGAATCTATTTTATTTGTGTTTAGTGAAATTGGACCGTATTTCTTCATTGTACCCTCTTTCTGCATGTGCCATCTTTGATTTATTTGAGTTCCTAAGTTTTAAAAACTATAACAACTTAGCCATTCAACAGACATTCTCAAAATGATGACAAATGTTATGCATATATAGTAATATATATGTGTATATATATATATATTTATTTATTAATTTCCAAATTACTGGCATCACATCCATCTATCTCCAAACATCTTTTCCCTCCCCTCAACCTCTGCTCTTTCTCTCTCTTTCTTCCTACCTTTCTCTCTCTCTCTGTCCTTCTGGACTATTGACCCCTTCAATATTTAATATCACCTCCAAAAGGATAATTAAAAGGTGATTTGGAAAGATTTGCTTTCCTCAGTCTCTTCTTTATCTACTTCTTTTCACCAAATCTCTTTTTTCTCCTCCTTTGAAATGATTTTGTAATCTATCTACCCTTTCACCTCACTGTGCTACTTCTTTATATGTTACCTAAACTATTACCTAAAATCATAATGTACATGCTCATCTCCAGGCTTGCACACTCCAATCTGTACTTCTAACTGTTAAATTTCTAGAGTGCACACCTGATTCTCTCATTTCCTGATTTAAAACCTTCATATTTTTCTGCATTATATTTAGGATGATTTCCAGCTTCTGACTTATCATCGCACTTGAAGCTGTTTATAATATGCCATAATTTGCCTTGCCTATGCCATCTCTGGTGCTTTCTACTCCTGTCAGACTGTTTTGCTGCTGTTTTCCATGCATGCCATGAAGCTTCACACCTCTCAGCTTGTGCTCATACTGTTCCTTCTGCCCAGATTACTCCTTCCATTCTTATCTAGTTGTCAAATCTTGTTCCTCACATTCTGCTCAAACATCAAATATAAAATACCCTTTCTATGCAGCTTTTCACAGAGCTCTAGCAAAATTGTTATTAATCACCCATACTGTGCTTCCCTCCACTCTCCCACTCCTCATTTTTTTTAGTTAGTAGTCCTTGTGATCCCCCAGAGATAATCAGGGCCTAAGAGCTGAAAATAAGTTCTTTTACTTCTAAACTCTCATAGGCAAGGCGAATGCCAAATGTTAATTACTAAAATGGGTAGTAATGTGTTTTTAGAGTTCAGTATGTATCAGCCAAATGTATGCACGAGGGTTTTACATGCATGAAAAAAACTTAATTGCAACAACATTATGCTGTAATTTTCCTGAAGAAAGAGACTTGCTTTATTCATTGTAGGTTCTTTGATGTCTAGAACTGTACTTGGTCTGGCAGATGCTCAAGAACTCTTTGTTGACCTGCAAAATAAATTAATGAATGAAGAAACAACTCTGTAAGAAATGGACTAGCATGATATCCATAGCACAAATAAGGAAGACAAAGCAAATGAAGTCAAGTGATTTGGTTGTTACACCTAAAATATGTGGTAGTTGAAAGCATATGTGCTAACACCATATTCAATGCTTTTAAAACATTAATACAACACTGCTCTATCCAGTTGGACTGGGAAATGGCAATTTTTTTAGAAGCAAACTTTGGAAAGGTGGCAGCACAGAAATTAGTCCCTACACAAAGCCAAACAAAAAGCAAACAATAAAAGACACTACCACAACGACCATGACCACAAGTTTAATCTGAAATGAGATTTAAATGCTACAAGGATTTTTAAGTGAATTTAATTATTACCAGTAGAAATTGAAAATTGGAAGAGTAAGTAGGATTTCAGAACCCAGCCCCCGACACCTCATCCTCCACCTCAATCCACACATATACCAACCGTCGGTGCTTTAATACCCAGAGCATGCTCACCAGGGTCTGGGGCCAGTTAAAGGCTGGGCTTTATCATGGAAGCAGATGTACTTTCTATTGCAATGAAAAATATTAAGTTGTATTTTAGACACATAGAATAAATAAATAAATAAATAAATAAATAAATAAATAAATAAAAAGACATATTTAACTATGTCTTCAAATATTTCACTCTATTATATCCCTCATATAGTAGGATTTCCAAGAGGACTGGTAGAAATACTGCTTTAAAATTTTATCTTAAAAAAGTAGAGCCTATCTCTCATTATTAGAAGTATTTAAAGTTTGCAAAGTTGTGTGCTATGGGAAAGAGATTTGTTTTAAATTTATTAAAAGATGAGAAGTCTAGCGAATTATCGGTAAAGTGATCTCAGTGAAAAGCTAAAGTAATAAGAGATAATAAACTGCTTAGATACTGAAACTTCCAAAAATTTTTGAGAGGCGCCAGTTTTGCCATCCTCCTTTTAACTCACTTGTGCCTTCAATGGCATAGAGAAATGTTTAAGAACCCAGCTCCAGACCCAAGCTGCCTTAGTTGAAGTTATGGGTCATACACACAATAACTACAGTATCTTGGGCAAGTTACTTAATCTCTTTCTGCCTCAGTTTACACATTTGTGTGGAGGTAATAGTAGAATGTCCTAATGTCATTATAAGGATTCAATAAGTTAGAATCCAAAGCAATTAGAATATTGCCTGTCATGTGAAACCAGCTAATACAATAGTTGTTATTATTTGTGAAGAAGGAAAATTGAGCCAAAAAAATGTAGTTCTTATGACAGTCTAAATCTCAGTGTCTTCTTTCATTCATTCAGATTTGATTAAGTGTTAATAAGTGAAGTATGAGCCTATTAGCAAGGCACTGTGGAAGGCAGTGGGCATGGAAGAATGAATAAGGAATGGGCTTTGGCCTCAAATGACAAGCCATACAGACTCAACAACCTGTAATAATATGCACACTCAAAGTGGATGCATTTTAAATTGCTTGTAAAAGCCCCCATGAAATTCTATCAGCTGACATGAAAATAGCATTCCATTAATTTTGATAGAATTCATATCCCTTTCCTTCCCGCCTCACAACAGACATTGCAATGGAGAGAACATGCACGTATCCCTCCTATCTGCATTTTTCCTTATTTCACATCTGTAGAAAGAGGGGGCTTTTAGGCAGATCTCTGAATAATGACTCTGAAAGTACTTATGAAATAGTCCTAAAATAAAATAAAAACTTCTGTTAATTCAGAGCAAAAGGTAGTTGTTTCTGTAAACTTCCAGGAAAGCAGGTTGGTAAGCAGATAATCTCTTCTACCCAATGCCATCAATATGGCCATTTAAACTTGGAAAGATTGATGTGTATGGTGCCTTCCTACTTGGGAATGCTATAATTTACTTTTTTACACTTGTAAGACTAGCCCAACCTGGTGAAAACACCACTATGATTATCTCAATAGTGCTGAGTCAGATTAGGTTTTTTGGTAAGGACTCTTGGAGTCTGTCAAAGGAGTGACTTTCCCTTACTTGACAGCACACAGGTAGAATTTGGTGCTTTGAGTCCTAGTTACAGGGTTTTAAAAAATTATTTATTTTTATTTTTTAGAGATGGGGTTATGCTAGGTTGGCCAGGCTGGCCTCGAACTCCTGGCCTCAAGCAATTCTCACACCTTGGCCTCCCAAAGTGCTAAGATTATAGGCATGAGTCACTGTGCCCGGCTCCAAGGCATAGAATTTTAATAATGTTTTGTGTTCTTCTGTAACGGGACAGCACTTGAGAAGTTTTCATTTGAGCATGAATGTGAAACTTGGAACTGTAATATTGGTAAGTGACGTATTTTTTTTTTACAGATCATACCATGTTTTTCACATTGTACTTAAGATATTATGTATTAGACCTACTTTTGCCTAAATGTTATTTCCCCCTCTCTACATCAGTGGAATTATTATTATTTTAGCACTTTGTGACATTGTAATTTTATATAATACCACAATTGTTGTGCATTTCTGTGAGTTTTAAACTTGACTTCTTTGCAGAATAGGGACAAAGGGGAGACTAAAGCAAAATACACTAAGGACATCCTAAATTCTCCTTCACCCTCAAGATAATGTAATCATTCATCAGTTCTCCATAAAAATTCATTCAGCAGAGCAGGGAGAAGTCTGGCATTTCATATTTAGCTACCGCTGAGAATATGCTAAAAGCTTTTTCTCAGACACACTGTCATTTCTAAAAATGTCAGGCTTACAGACATGACATGCTCCAGAAACTCACTTTAATTTGAATAATAACTAAGAGCCTGTCACATGCTAAGTCATTGGAACTATTTCCTACTCAGTTCTGCAGTAAAGAAAACAACAAGCTCTCCCCAAGCCTATTCTATTTTCCTTCCCACCTCCCACCAACAAAACATTGTTTTTTCTATCACACAAAAAAGTTATGAGTACTTTAGGTCTCCTATGAAACATTACTGTGTGTGTTTTATTCCAACTATTATAGGCTTCTTCTGCCTTATTCCTTAATAGCAGCTTCTTATTAGATACATAATTTTGTGTCTCTCTTCTGAGAAAACATGAAATTACTGTATTAATATATGTTTTATAAAGGAAAACAAGATATCAAGGAGAGGCTATGCTAGCATTTCATGTGGGTAATCTGAAGAATCTTATGTGTGTTTCATCGACTGCCGTGAAGATTTGATATTTCTTTCTTATGGATTCTGGGAAACACTGTCTTGAAGATAAGATGGCCCCTCTTTTTTTTAGGAAATGAGAACTCAATAAGGAACAATATTGATTCGAGTTCATGCATCTGGGAATTGTAAGGCTTTATGTCCTTCATTAAACATGGTCAGCAGGGGCCCAGATACTCCTGAGCTACAGGCAATTATATATGAGTGGTTTCATTTACCACAAAACAGTAGGTGGCTCACACTTTAGGAATGCTTCCTTGATGTTGGATGTCAAATTCTCATTTAAATTCCTTCAATATCTTCAGTGACTACCTAAGCAGCTTCTTCTACTCCATTGCCTGTAAACGGAGGCTGGCTCTTGGGAAAAAGTGAACTACCACAGATGGGATAGATGTTAGTGGCAGCCGGTATTCATAGACCCAACAGCCATTTTCAGAAGGCACTTGGAAGGATGTTGGTGTGGCCAATGAGATATTCTAACCCCGTAGTTTGAATGTAGGGTGAGCAATGCAAAGGACTGGGGAGAGGGAAGATGCTATTTCAGGGACAGTGAGTGACAGCAACAGACCCCCTGAGGTCCAAGGTCTGGTTATATTGTGATAGCGGTGGCAGCAACAACATTAGTGCCAGACTATTATGAGGGCTGATTTTGGTGGTGATTCTGGTCATTTAGTTTATTTTAGTTTCTAACACTCATCCAAGCCTGAAAATTCATTCACCTCATGGATTCCGGAAAAGCCAATATGCATATGACACATTCATTTTCTGCTAAAAGAATGTTACAAAAGGTTCAGGCAGGTCTAATCACCTGTGGTGGTTCTTTCTTTTTTTTTAATTTCTGATCTGTCACAGATGGATCCCTTCATTACATTAATAAAAAATGTTAGAAAAACCGAGTTAAGAGAAAAAATAAGCTCTAGTTTTTATAACTAGATTCATCAAGCTTAAAATTAAATGTTGTGGTAATCTTCAATGGCAATACAAGTTTCTAAATGGTTAATATCTATTTCTGTGCTTTTCTTATTGTTGGCCAGAAATAAGCAGTTCATGCACTGGCAGACCACAATTCGATTAGTAATGTGGTAAGAAATCAAAATTTAACTCTGTCTGAATCATACTTTTAAATATTACACAAATGTGAGAGAGAGAGGAAAAGGGAGGGGGAGGAGGATAAAAGGTAAAAAGAGGAAGATAGAAAGTTGAAGACTTGAATCAAAACTAGAATAGACATTGCCATAGGCACCTTAGACGTAAGAGTTTATTGGTACCCTAATGAGATTTTTGAGCCTGGATTAGTACTCATTTTGATTGTGCAATTATATTTACAAAGTTGTACCTACATCTTCCCACTGTAATCCTACTTGGATGTTCCAAAATGTATTTTGTGTTTCACTGACAATTGGCGTATGACTTTATTTCAGACAACTACTTCTTAGCCTCCCCAAATTTCCTCCCAAGTATTTCTGGGAGTCCCCAATTTGTGCCTCCCTTGTATTCATGGTCAAAATCAGAAATGATGGGATATTTTCATCAGAAGTATATTCACATGAGGAGCAAAAGATCCTTGGGAGAGAAGCTATCCCAACCAAGCCTGCGCAGGTAACCAAATTTCAGATGGGCAGAACTAATGAAACTGAGAACAGTTTTGGCTGTCACTTGCTTATGCCGAGATGATTGTCTGGTTCCTACAAAGAAAGATAACCGTATATAAAAGTTTAAAAGCTCTATTTTACTAGAAAACACAAGATATTGGGATGTAAACTACAGAGTTTTGTTCCCGTTCTAAGAGATGAGAAGGAAAGTATTCTCCCGAACTTTGCCAACAGAATGCTGCATAATTTTGGCAACATGATGTCTTTGGTACAAAGCAGAGATGTCTACTAAGTGCAGAGTACCCTGTGGGTCTAGCAGTGTCCAAGAGAGGAGAGAAAAATGCTCGAATTAATGGTGCTCCTGCCCAAGATTGGGGAATGCCTGTGAAATAGTGTCTTAGTGGATAGGACAATAGCCAGGGTAATGAGTTTGAGAGGTAGAAGAGAAAAAAGAAAAAGATAATTGAGACCTTCTTGGGCTGAAAAGACTTGCTTGTAAACCCATTTTAGCAACCTATCAGGATTTCAAAGATAAATAATTGGAGTGAGGAGAACTCACGGTTTTCTGTTTCAGTGCTTCCAAAACACATCTTGTGTTTCCTTTTTAAAGTCTTGTATTAGAAGAATAATTGGTTTGATTTAAAAGAAGCCTTTGAATTTCATGGAACCAACTGATACACATAGTTAACATTTCATGTACAGGGCAGAAATACTAGGGAAGCGATATCATGGAACCACCCCAAATCTGCTCTAGGAGTGAGACAGGTTTGGGTATGCCTGATGAGCTAGTGTGATGGTTTCCAGAAGGCAATTTTCATGAGATGTTTTGTTGTTGCTGTTGCCTTGGAAGAGAGATAGTGGAGAGGAAAGGAAGTGGAGTGGCTAGTGTTGCCTTTTCAGATATTGATTCATTTTATTATTGCTTGAGCTGTATGTTGAGAGAAGCAAAATGAAAAAGAAGCTATTATTTTTGAGGGATTCTGTGAATACAGGCAGTGATAGGATCATATCTCCTTGCACAATGATAATTGTGAACCAGAGAGAAGAAGAAACAATTAATTCCCAGTAAGGACATGATATAGAGCTGACTCTGGGATGTGCTAGGAAACCTTGGTGTGTGCTCAAAAGATCATGCCCATTTACTTATTTACGACATTACAGTGAAAACAATACTACTAGACTATACTGTCTCTGATTTCTTATATCTTAAAATTATCAAATTCATACTTTTTTTTTAAGACAGAGTCTCACTCTGTTGCCCAGGCTGGAATACAGTGGCACGATCTCGGCTCACTGAAACCTCTGCCTCCTGAGTTCAAGAGATTTTCCTGCCTCAGCCTCCCGAGTAGCTGGGATGACAGGTGCCTGCCAGTGCACCTGGCTAATTTTTGTATTGTTAGTAGAGATGGGGTTTCACCATCTTGGCCAGGCTGGTCTCAAACTTCTGACCTCGTGATCCACCCACCTTGGCCTCCCAAAGTGCTGGGATTACAGGCGTGAGCCACCGTGCCAGGCCCATGTTCATACATTTTAAATCTACTAGGAATAAGAGCAATCTGTGTACACTACCTGTAATCTGAGCTAGCTGCCTTCTTATAGTTAGAACATAAAATATTATATTGCTTTTAATTCACATTTTTGAAATAGCTTTGGTATGTCTTGAAAACCTGCAGTTTCAAAGTTATATGATTGTCCTCTTGCTTCCACTTTGTTGATAAGATGAAGAAAAATAAATCTGGAATAATAGAGATATTTTATATAAAGCAGATATATTGAGAGCTAAGTCTGTAAACATGGAAAAACACAGCCATTTTAGAGAATCAACAACCCAATGAAATAGCAAACATTTCACAAAGGAGAATTTTGGAGTTGGAAGTTGGGGATGGAATAAATAATTTGGCACTAAAATAGCATGTTATGTTAGAATTAGGGTACTTTGTGCTAGGTACCCAATGTGAATGGAAAATAATATTTAAAATTATCCTACTGCTTTCTTTTTGTGTTACAATCAATGGATTTGAAATATGCCTCAAAGCAGAAGAGCATTGATTATCTCAGTACCTACTTTCTGTCATTCCTTTTGATCTGTTTTTTCATAAGTGTTTCTCCATGTTCACTATTAACATTTTGACTTGGACAATTCTTCACCGCATAGGACTGTATGTGGCAGGTTAATTTGCATCTCTGGCCCCAGAATGCTAAAA
The DNA here is from genome assembly GCF_000001405.40 of Homo sapiens. Lineage (NCBI taxonomy): Eukaryota > Metazoa > Chordata > Mammalia > Primates > Hominidae > Homo > Homo sapiens. Next base: position 78,911,383 of record NC_000008.11, read on the forward strand.
ACCAAAATAAAACCCTAGTTATTATGATGATCAAACTATTTCCTCACAGATTCCCAAATACTCCTTTGGATAAACATTTATTTCTCCTTTATTCTGAATACTCAGCCCACTTTAAGATGAAATTTATGAGTCTGTAAGTGATGCTATTTAATATTTATTGAGCACTTACTCTATGTCAACACTATGCTAAGACCTATACCGACATCATTTCATTTATTTTTCTCAGGAAACTATGAATTTCATGCTATTATTTTCTTCATCTTACAATTGGGAAAACTAAGTTTAGAGATATTAAATTGCTTAAATCCACAGAGCTGGCTGGCTAAGTGTTCTGTGTTTATATCTGATTACAGAATGTCAGAGTCTTGACCTGTAGGGTGATCTTTAAAGTGCAGTTTGTTCACGAAAAATTAGTGGGACAGATATAGGCTGAAAAGGGAAAAGCATGCAAACATTTTTTTCAGGTGTTCCTTCATTGTACATAGGCCTTGACCAAAATGTGTGCTTTTGAATATTCTGCTAGTTCGGGCTTCAGAAAACCAGGAGAAGATTTAAGTTATGAGAAAAGCTCTGTCATATTACTGATTGGGTTCAAATCCTAGCTCTTCATGATTTTAGACACATTTACTCCGACTACTTTGCTTCTGTTTTTTTTTCTTCTGTGAAATGAGTAAGAAGGAGTAAAGCTAGGAAACACATGTGAAGACCACAGCCCTGAGAGACAGAACACTAAATGACCAGACTTAATTGGAAGATTGTAGAATTCTCTCCATCCTCCACATTTTGCTGCTACAGTAAGACTCCATATAATTCTACATGAAAGAGCTGCAAGAGCTCTCTGAGGAGGACTTAGAGAATCCCAAAGTAAAGAAAGAACACTTTCTAGCTCAATTTGTTTATCTGATACCCCAAACAGATAAAGACATTACAAGAAAAGAAAACTACAGAAAGAATTACAAGAAAAGAAAACTATATCTTTCATGAATATTAATGCAAAAATATGTGACAAAATATTTTAAATCAAAACTACATATTAATATATTTAAAAAATGCCATCCCAAAGTGGCATTTATTCCAGGTATAAAAAGACATTTGAAAACTAATCAATGTCATCCACCAAATCAGAAGCCTTAAGGAATTAAATTACAACATTATATCAACTGACAAAAAACAAACTCCAACACCCATTCATAATAAAATATGTCAGCAAACTCGGAATAGAAGGGGAACTTCCTCAACTTGATAAATTACATTTATTAAAAAATTGCAGCTAATATCATTCTTAATGGTGAGAGGCAATACATTTTCTCCCCAAGATCAGGAACAGGGCAAGGACATAGACTCTCACCAGTTCTATCTGACATTGTACTGCCAGGTTCTAGCTAATGCAATAAAACATAAACAGTAAATAAGATGTGTGTGTACTGGAAAGGAAGTAATAAAACTGTATTCACAGATGGATTTACACACACACACACACACACACACACACACACACACACACACACACACTCCTGGAGCTAATAGTCAAGCATAACAAGGTTAGAGGATACAAAACCAATATGCAAAAGTTAATTTTTTCTTACATACTAGCAATGAACAATTGGAATTTGAAATTTTAAAAAATCTACAATAGTACCAAGAAATACTTAGATATAAATCAAACATATATGTATAGTTCCGGTATATAGAAAACTACAAGACATTGATGAAAGAAGTAGACTATCTAAATAAACGGAGAGATTTTCTATGTTCTATGCAAGATCTATATTGTTAAGATGTCATTTTTTCCCAACTTGAAATATATACTCAATTGAATTCCAAAGTTCCAGGACAGTAATTTTTAAATATTATCAAGCTTGTTGTAAAATGCATATGAAAAGTCAAGAGACCTAGAATGCCATATACAATATAGAAGGAGAAAAAAAACCAGAGGAAAACTCAGACTAAATGATTTCAAGACTTATTTCTCTACACATCAGTGTAAGAGAATAGGTAACCTAGAGATAGACCCACCCAAATACAGTAAACTGGATTTTGATAATGACAACTCAGCTGAGAATAGGTAATATTTTCAATAAATGATGCTGCAGCAATGGAAATCCATATGCCAAAGGGGAAAAAAGGACCTAAATGCAGACAATACACATTACATTAAAATTAACTCGAAATGAATTATTAACCCAAAGAAAATTGCAAAACTATACATCTTTTGGAAGAAAACACAGAAGAAAATACACAATCTTGGGTTGGATGATGAGTTTATAGTTATAACACCCATATCACAATCCATGAAAATAATTGGGAGGTTGAACTTCATTAAATTAAAAAGTATTTGCACTGGGAATGGCATTGTAAAGAAAATAAAAAATACAGTGAGGACTCAAAATACTTGCAAAGTACATATTTTATAAAGTACGAGTATCTAAATAGAGGGAAAAAAACCCTTAGAAAACAAATAACCCGATTAAAAAATGGTGAAAAAATTTGAATTAGGCATCTCATCAAAAAATTTATACAGGTATCAAAAAAGCATGTAAAAAGATGCTCAACATCATGCCATTAGAGAATTGCAAATTGAAATCCTATTAATGTATATCTATTAGAATAGCTAAAATCCTAAATAACGGACATAACAATCGCTGGCAATTATATAGAAAAAAGAAAAAGACTGTCATTGCTTATGGGAAAGTAACATTCTGCAGTCACTTTGTAAGACAGTTAGGCAGGTTTTTTTTTTCAAAGCAAAATGGTCTTATTATATGACTCTGAAATCACACTCCATAGGCATTTACCCAACTGATTTGAAGATTTATGTCCACAGAGAATACTGAATATAAGTGTTTATAGCAGCTTTATTCATAGTTACCAAATACTGGAAGTAATCCTTTAATAGGTAAGTGGATAAATAGACTGGATGTATTCATATAATGGAATGCAATTCAGGGAAAAAGGGGAATTAACTATCAAGTCATGTAAAAGCCTTGACAAATCTTAAATAAATAAGACATTAAAAGGCCACTCTGAAAGGACTACACAATATATCATTCCATTTTTATGACATCCTAGAATAGGCAAAGTTATAGGGGCAATTTTTCCTAGGAGTTTGTGGAGGAAGTGTTGAATAGAAGAACTTACAGCATTGTTTAGAGTTATGAAACTATTTTGTGTTTTATTTTGATACTTTAATGGTGGATTCATGGAACTCTACATTTATCAAAGCACATAGAAGATTACAGCACAAAAGGTAAACCTCAACATATGAAAAAACATCATTAGGATATTGGAGTATTCCAACGTAGAATGAAAAATGTGACAAAAGAATAAAACTGTATTACCCATTTATGATATATCCTCACTGAATGGAGTGAAGAAAAATGTCTTGAGTCATTAAGTAACTGAAAATGAGTGGAGACTGACTAAAGTCAAAAGGAACTGTACATAAGCACTGTGTTTTAGCTGATAAAGTTATTTTCCATGAGGGTAGAGACTAAAAAATCTGAAAACACTATATATATATACTCTCAAATTGAAGAAATAAGTAAACGGATGGTAGATAGTCAAAGCCAGGATTTTTACTGTAGTAGTGAGAATTTACAGACATGCAAGGAGAACAGGCTAGAATGATCCATGTGGTAATGGATTAGAGTTGGATATATCAGTAGGAAAACTCATTTAGATTAACAGAGACACAGGTAGTTACAGTCAGTGATTTCAGGCTGCTATAACAAAATGTCATACACCAAGTAGCTTATAAACAACAGAAATTTATTTCTCACAGTTCTGGAGGAGAGGAAGTCCAAGATCAAGGCAACAGTGGATTTTGTGTCTGGTGAGGCTCACTTCCTGGTTCATGGAAGATGTCTTCTTGCTGCATTCTCACCTGGCAGAAGGGACAAGACAGGCCTCTGGGACCTTTTTAATAAGGACACTAATGCCATGCATGAGGCCTCTGCCATTATGATCTAATCACCTCACAGAGGTCCCCACCTTCTAATATCAGCACATTGATGATTAGGTTAAAACATATGAATTTTTAGGGAGCATGAATATTCAGACTATAGCAGTTAAATATAGAAATACTTATAGATATGTGTATATATGTGCGTTAGTATAAATATATTTTTCTTTTACTCTGTCATCTTGAAACACTAGGAAAAAATTCCAATAACAATGAACACATATTAGCACCCAGATTTTAGTTTCTCATAACATTCTTCAATATAAAGATCCAGAGATAATTACAGGAATGACTGATTCTAGGGTTGGGACAGGAGATATACATGATGAGACAAGTGACAGAACTCCCAATGACCACAGTTACAATCATTTGAACAAAACAAAGTGATATTAGATTATAACCCAAAGTGTAAAATAAATTTCCTTGATTCCATAAGCAAATGAAAATAATAAATAAGGGAGAATAGAGAGATCTCCTGTGCAGACATATTCCAAATAATTTATGTAGATACTCCACCCTTAATGAGATGTAATATAATTCCTCTCTCCTAAAACATGAACTAGGTATAGTGACTTCCTTCCAAATAGTATAAAATGGGGAATAGCGGGCATATCTACACAGAATGGAAACATAATAAACATCACTTCAGTAAGGTGAGCAAGGTTAATTATCAACAGAGTTAGATCATGTTGATAGTATGCACATAATATATATGATGTGATGTGAATAACACTTTACTTCTGGGTTCTTCCACCAAACCTGTGACCCCAGTGTAATCATGAGAAATATAGCAGATAAATTCCAGCTGAAGAGCATTCTACAAGCTACCTGACCAGTATTCTCCTAAACCCAAGGTATTCAAAGACAAGGAAAGTGTGAGGAACTGCTGAATCCAGGAGAAGCTTGAGGAGACATGGCAGCTAAGTGCAATGTGATATCCTGGAAAAGGGTGTTAGATAAAAACCGTTTGGGAGGCTGAGGCAGGAGAATTGCTTGAACCTGGGAGGTGGAGGTTGCAGTGAGCCGAGATCGCACCATTGCACTCCAGCCTGGGCAACAAGAGCAAAACTCCGTCACAAAAACAAAAACAAAAACAAAAACAAAAACAAAAAACCATTAAAATAGCTGGGACTCTAGTGGGTAATGATATATCAATATTGGTTCATGGATGAGATTACACTGGGATCACACAGCTCTGTGTGTGTGTGTGTGTGTGTGTATCTATCTATCTATCTATCTATCTATCTATCTATCTATCTATCTAATATTGCCTTTCTAAAATCCAAAATATTTGGAATTCCAGAACTGATTTTTCTCCAAGGGTGTTCATCCAGTAATTGTGGAACTTTAGAATCTATTCCATAGGGTCTTGTGAGAATTAAATGAGATAATTCACATGACAGGCTTACCCTCACTACATGGCATATACTATATGTCATCTATAACAGTAATATTATAATTGTTATTATCAGTTACATGTCCTAACATTCCATGAATCAAACAAATTCTCTTCTCTGTATCCTGAAATCCTAGGTGGTCTCAGCTATTTGGAGAAGTTGGAGGAGTTCTAGTACCCAAAACCTAGAAACATACTTTTCTAGTGAGGATTCATACCCCTAATTATATACACTTTCATTATGTGGTCATTAGAGAGACATTGGCTTGTATCCACGCATTTAAGATCTTATGTTATGGATTGTATCTGTGCAATAATGTGATTAACTGTTTGAACTGCGTTGAACAGAAAGATGTCCCAAATCTGTGGCTTATTTTTTTTTAATTTTTAAATTTTGTAATTTTAAAATGTTTTTTTCTGGGTACATATCAGGTGTATATTTATGGAGTATATGGGATATTTTGATGGAGACATACGATCTTTTAGTTATTTTTAAATGTATAATTAAATTATTATTGACTATAGTTGTGCTACCAATTACTAGATCTTATTTATTCTTTCTATTTTTTGTACCCATTAACCATTCCCACCTCCACCCCGCTATTCTCTTCCAACTACCCCTCCCAGTCTCTGATGACTATCATTCTACTCTCTATCTCTATGAGTTCAATTGTTATAATTTTTAGTTCCTACGAATAAGCGAGAACATGCGATGCTTGGCTTTCTTTGCCTGGATTTTTTCACTTAGCATAATGACCTCCAGTTCCATTCATGTTGTTGCAAATGACAGAATCTCATTATTTTTAATAGCTGAATAGTAGTACTCCATTGTGTATATGTACAACATTGTCTTTAATTTTTTTTTATTTTTCCATAAGTTATTGGGGTACAGGTGGTATTTGGTTACATAAGTTCTTTAGTGGAGATTTGTGAGCTCCTGGTGCCACCCATCACCCGAACAGTATCGCTGCACCATATTTGTTGTCTTTTATCCCTCGCCCCACTCCCACTTGTCACCCCAAGTCCCCAAAGTCTACTGTATCTTTTTTTTTTTTTGAGATTGAGTCTTTCTCTGTTGCCCAAGCTGGAGTGCAGTGGCACGATCTCGGCCCACTGCAACCTCCACCTCCTGGGTTCAAGCAGTTCTCCTGCCTCAGCCTCCCAAGTACTGTATTATTCTTATGCCTTTGCGTCCCCATAGCTTAGCTCCTACACATCAGTGAGAACACAGAAGTAACTCAGGAATGGAAAACCACACTGTCTTTATCTATTCATCTGTTGATGGACACAGGATGTTTCCAAATATTGGCTATTGTTAATAGTGCTGCAATAAACGTGGGAGTGCAAATATCTCATAAATATACTTATTTCTTTCTTTTGAGTGTATCCCTAGCAGTTGGATTACTGGATTATATGGTAGCTCTAGTTTTAGTTTTTGGAGAAATCTCTAAACTGTTCTCCATAGTGATTGTACTAATTTACATTCCCACCAACAGCATATAAGGACTCCCTTTTGTCCACATCCTCGCCAGCATTTGTTATTGCCTGTCTTTTGGCAATAATTAACTGGGGTAGATGATATCTCATTGTAGGTTTGATTTTCATTTTTTTGATGATCAATGATGTGGAACACCTTTTCATATGCCTGTTTGCCATTTGTATGTCTTCTTTTGAGAGATGTCTATTCAGATCTTTTGCCCATTTTAAAATTGGTTTATTAGATTTTTTCCCTATAGAATTGCTTTAGCTCCTTATGTATTCTGGTTATTAATCCCTCGTCAGATGGATTGTTTGCAAATAATTTCTGCCATTCCGCGGGTTGCCTCTTTACTTTGTTGATTGTATCCTTTGCTGTGCATAAGCATTTTAACTTGTCGTGATACTATTTGTCCATTTTTGTTTTGGTTGCCTGAGTTTATGGGGTATTACTCAAGAATTTTTTGCTCAGTTCAATGTCCTGGAGAGTTTCTCCCATGTTTTCTTGTAGTAGTTTCATAGTTTTAGGTCTTAGATTTAAGTCTTCAATCCATTTTCATTTGATTTTTATATATGGTGAGAGATGGCAGTCTAGTTTCATTCTTCTGCATATGGATATCCAGTTTTCCCAGGACCGTTTATTAAAAAGACTGTTCTTTCTGCAATGGATGTTTTTGGCACTGTTGTCAAAGATGAGTTCACTGTACATGTATGGACTTGCTTCTGGGTTCTCTGTTCTGTTCCATTGGTCTATGTGTCTGTTTTTATGCTAGTATCATGCTGTATTGATTACCATAGCTCTGCAGTATAACTTGAAGTCAGATAATCTGGGTCCTCCAATTTTGTCCTTTTTGCTCAGTATAGCTTTGTCTATTTTGTGTGGCTTAATTTCTACCTCATAAATTGTGGTTTCTTCAAGATTTTAATGGGCTTTGAAGCATGATTATTCTCAATCTGTGAAGAATCAGGCATGTTATTGTCATGAGGGCTTTACAGCTCTTGTTTTTAATGATATAATTGTGCACTAAGAACTTTTCTTTCCTAAAAGAGTTACAAGAGAACAGAAAGTGGCATGAATCCATCTCTATATCATCACCTTGTTCTGGCGGCGATCCAGGGGGCACCACATTTATTTTCATTTAGAGATAACCAAACACAATGAGGACATACACACTGTTGTCCTTTTTTGGGGGGGACCTGACTCAGATGCTTCCTTTTTTTCCTGTTTGTAAGCCATGGTGTTCAGGAGAACTTGATACTGACCCAACACTCACAGTTATGGTTCATTGCCAAGAGTGGCCTGACTAGGGGACATATTTTCCACATGTTTTTGACTGAACCTGACAGTCCTGGTGCATGTGATTCTTCCTGCTCTGAAAACAAAATTCCTTTATTATGACTCTCTTTTCTTTCTTCCCTTGTGTCGATTGCCTTTCCACTATTTTCACTGGTCTTACTATCTTTTCCCTGTTGTTAAGTCACATTTTGACTTTAGAAGTTTCTCCATTTGGGAGAGAGCCATTGCTGTGTGATGGAAGCAAACACTCCAAAGCCAGCTTAGATCATTATTTGTTTTTAGAGAGGAAGTCTTCAAAGGCATGAATGTTGCTGTCGACTTTGTTCCTTAAGACTGCTAAATTAGAGATCTACTTTGCCATTTTTAAACCTGTATTCTTCATATCATTTCAAATGAACCGTTCCGGTTGTATTGGCCATGTGTGTCTATTATAAGCTTCAGCTTGTATTGGCTGTGTGTGTGCGTATTATTGCAAATATAGAAGTCATGTGTCTTGCAGACAAATACCATGGCCATGTCTGAAATGAGTTTGACTGTGTGTAACTGCAATGGTTTCAGCCAGTTGTATGTGGAAACAGAGGAAGAGGCAACTACATGATTTAGTCTCAGTTCAATACCCTTAGCTCTCCCATGTGACTTCATGTCTTTTAAGTCCCGCTCCATTTGACAGTTGGGAGCATGAAATTCTGCTCAATAGAACTTTAACACAAAGCTTTGGCCTCTGTTACAACGTATTTATGTTGTGTGTGAATGTGGGATCTCAAAGTAAGTTTTAAAGAGTAGGAGAAAGAAGAACTAGGAAGGCACGTGGGCCTGAGGTGGGTAATGGTGGCATTACTAGGAGGAAAGGATGAGATGATGAAAGGAAATCTGGGGACTATAAATGCATTACTGCTTATTTTATAGCACTGCATGGATCTTCACCTCTCCTGAAATCATCTTGTCATCTGGCAAAATTTCTCCCTTCACACTTCCAGTTTAAAAAAGAAAAGAAAAGTAAAAAATAAAGTTGCTATAAGCCATCTCTAAAATCCATTTCTAAAAGTGCAGGTTATTTATTTTAAAGAAAGAAGATGGGAGTTACATTTATAAGTGGATAGGAAGTCTTAAATGTATCAGAACTGTACTGATAATTAAACTTGAGTGTAGCTTTCAGTGTGTGACTTGTAATCATCGTTACTTTTGGTACATCTGGAGCTACTTCAGTGATTTGGTATAACTATTCACTATTTTCTTTCTGCTCCCCTTTGAGTAAAAAGAGGATTCTTCCCCCTCAGACCTTAGCTTCCTCTACAAACAAGACTACATATGAAAGAGGATTTCACTAACAGAAAGAGCTGTTGTCACTGCTACAATTGCATAAATAGAGAAAACATATTAGTTTATGCAGATAATTCATATCAAAGTGCACTTTAAGCTCAGGAATTATTAGAATCAATGCTATTGCTCTTTTAATTTTCCAGATAAATCCTGATACCTATTATACTACATTAATTATCTTTATTCAACTTTAGCATTTCCTGTCAAAAGATTTTAGTTCTGAATTTTAAAAAACAACTTATACCAAACCTTACAATAAACTAAATTTGGTGATTTGAAAACAATGAAATGTTGCTGTGACGGACAGATTGCTTTATAGGAAGAGAAAATTTGGCCAATGCAAGAGAGAGGTTCTGTGAGCATTTGTTTGGAAGCTAAGCATCTGTTTAGTTGGTTTATGTTTCTTCTTTTTAGATCTACCAAAAAGTGACCCGTCTTTTTAAATGAAGGTTCCAAGGGAACTCTTAAAAGATCCACATTTCTGCCCATTTGTCCTACAAACAGAATTATTTTAAAAAGCAGAATATCTTATAACATAATTACTAAAAATCTGTATACTGATATTTCAAAAATTTTATTGGTTTTAAGACAGGATTCAAAATGGACTTCCAAAAGCAATTTTCGGTTCCAATTATTCTGAAAAGTAGGGATGCCAATATTACCCCCTTTGCTGCCACCTGTTGTTTCATCAAAGAAATGACTCACTTGTAATATTTTTTTCCTTTAACATAAATTACTCATCAAAATTGTTATTTCCAGTATTAAAATCAGATTATCTTCAGGATATATATATTTTTTTTTACAGAGAATCTTTTTGTCTCTAACAGTTGGAGAGACACGTTTTCAAGTAGTCACACATGATATCCAGAGATTTAGATTCTGCCTTTGGCATATGCAGTAGACATTTGAAAAGGTTGAAAAGACAAAAACAAAGAAAGCCAATGATTCCTAAACAAGCACATGATAACCCGAAAGGGCTTTGTAAACTAAGCTTCATAATGTAAAAGCACTGAGCTTAATAACAACACTCTTAGCCCTGGAAGTAAAATTAAAAATAAAAACTCCCCATACCCGCACTCCTATACCCTCCAATTATTGTATATCAGGTATTAAAACTGATAAAAAAAAAATGGAAATATAGAGATGAATATAACATGGTCCTTTTAAAATTATTTATTTATTTATTTGTTTTTTGAAACATGGTCTTGCTATGTTGTCCAGGGTGGTCTCAAAATCCTGGACTCAAGTGATCCTCCTGCCATGGCCTCCCAAAGTGTTGGGATTACAGGCTTGAGCCACCACACCTCGGCCTGGTCCCTGTCTTTGAGCAATTCAGAATTTAAAAGAAAAGACAAATTATGTTGAGAGAAGAAAGTCCCTTGTTCATGTTGAAACTGGATGTACTGGTGATTAATTAGGAAATCAAGATAGGAGACTGATAGTAATTCTGCTATCATAAAAACATCAGTAAAAAGGACAATATTGGTGATAGAAATGGAGAAGAGACTATAAATGAGACAATTAAAAGGCTGAGATTTGGTGACTAAAAGAGTTGAGAGAAAAGAGATTATTCCAAGTTCAGAGTGAGGGAGACTGGAAAGAATTGTTGGTTAGCAGGAAAAAATTGTTCTTTAGCTGTATTTCATTTACCAGAAGACCTGTACAACTACTGCAGCTATCTAAAATATAACCCATTCCCTCATCACCCAAAATAGATAAACCACAATAATAAACAAATAGGAATTATATGGCAAACAGTTGAGTAGCTCCAAAACAAACATATCTTACATTAAGCTCTTATGTTCTATCCATGTTAGATTATTTTTGTGTCTTGCCAAGACATTATTTATTTTTATTTTAGAAACAATTTTAACTTTAATCCATAGTAGATTAGGATGAACGAGAATGTCAGCAAACAATTTCTGGAGGCAAACGGGCAGGTAGCTGTAAGAGTAACGGCTGACAATCTAACTTTCTAAGTATTTTAAACTTAATTTGTTTGTTTGTTTTTTTATTTTGGTTTTTTAAATTTCACCTGACCCTATTTCATTCACCTTGGCCTTAGACTAATGTTTCAAACCAGGAAATCTCAGTTTCCGAACGTTCTGACACGAGGTGGCCCATGATCTCGTGGGAAGGGTGCTGGGTCCACTCTGCTTCTGGTGCCGGATACTGGTGCACTGAATGACAGCCAACTACACATTAACTACAGCAGCAATGAAAATAATGTAAATGCTCGTGTGGCACTAAGTTGGTGACAAACACTGTTCTAAGTGCATTATGTACTTATTTAACCTTCCCCATCACTCTGTGAGGTGAATGCTCTCAGTACACTGGCTTTACAGATAAGGGATGGGACATGGAGACCACACAGGTAAGAGGTGGATCTAAGATGCAAATCCAGCAGGTCTGGGGCCAGAGTCTGTGTTCTTGCACACATACACTACAGTTTCTCAGTGATGAACACCAGGGAAGAGTCTTTCCGAAGTAAATCAGGTTAGTAATTTCTAAGCAATTCAGTTTGCAAGGTATAGACAAATATTTAAAGCTAAAGTCATTAGGTCAAAGCTGGTATTTTCTTTCAAACCACAGTTTCATTTTATGGTAGAAATGGTGTATACCATGATTTACTTTCTCACAGCCGATATTACAGGTAGGTACAGTAATTTAGTGAATTAACCTGTTTCTTAGTAAATGGATTATATATTCATAAAATGTTACTATGTGTTATTCTCATCAAGTTACTGTCTCATTATTATCAGAGTTAATGAGGCACTTTATCAAGTACCCTCTACCCCACCATTTCTGATTAACCTCTGTTACATGGCTCAAGATGGATTTGTCAAATACATTTTTATTACTATTTTCTTAACTTTTATTTTAGGTTCAGAGGTACAAGGGCAGGTTTGATACATAGGCAAACTTTTGTCATGGGAGTTTGTCGTACAGATTATTTCATCACCCATGTATTAAGCCTAGTACTCATACATTTTAAGTTACTCTTAATGAAAGGTGATTTGGAAAGTGTCATCTAGCCTTCTTTTGTAATTTTATTTCTGGAGATTGTAAAAATTTTCTCTTTCTCTTTGCATGTCTGGAATGTTAACATGCAATGTCAAGGGGTGTGTGTGTATGTGTGTGTGTGTTTGTGTCCATTAATACGGCCCAGGGCACATTGTCTCTTTTGATCTGAAGACTCAACAAATTACGGTAGCTTCCTCCTCTTTTTTTATTTTAACTTTTGTCTAATGATTCATTTCCTATCTGTAGTCTGGCAGCTCTTTCGAGGACACCTATTATATTCTCCTTAGATCTTCCAGATCTGTTCACCTGCCTCATGTTCTTTTACCTATAAATTACAGCTCTGTAGAACTTCACTTTTTGTTGCAACTTTTTTCTCTTAATCTTTGAAAACCCTAAATGGCTTATTAACATACATCATTCTCTCTTTCCTTTCATTTTAAAAATTTAATTTCTTAAATAGTAGAAATATATTTGTTAACTCTAGAAAGTCTTTTTGGAACTGTAATTGTCTCTTTGAAGAACCTCATGTTTTGCTTAAAGATTTTGTTCATCTCTTCTATCAGTTTTATTTATTTATTATTATTATTGTTATTATTATTATTATTGAGACACTATTATTGAGACAGTATTATTATTATTGGCTCTGTCACCCAGGCTGGTATGATCTCAGCTCACTGCAAACTCTGCCTTCCAGGCTCAGGTGATCCTTCCACCTCAGCCTCCTGAGTAGCTGGGAATACAGGTGCAGGCCGCCACGCCCAGCCAATTTTTGTATTTTCAGTAGAGATGAAGTTTCACCATTTTGCCCAGGCTGATCTGTAACTCCTGGGCTCAAGTGATCCTCCCGCCTCAGCCTTGCAAAGTGCTGGGTATTCGTTCTATTTCAATGGAAGCTATCTGTTTTTGCTTTTACAACTTGATTTTCTTTCCTTATATGAATCAATACCTTAAATAAGTTATATTTGGCTGTCGTTGATGATGATTTGTAGATATTATTCCTCTTAATGTTGTGAGTCATGCTTTTGACTTCTTTCCATGTAGGGAGAATGTAGTTGTTTCTTCCAGGAACAGAAATGATTGCCCTCTGCTGGCACTAGGATTGAACTGCCTAAGCCTCTTGGGGTGTGCTTGCTGCAGTCTTTTCCCTCCCAACTGCTGGAGTGGGAACTCTTCCACTCAGCAGCATATAATCTGCCCCCACCACCCCAGTTTAGTGCTGTCTGTGGGTTTTGGGCTACTCAAAGACAGTAGGCAGCAAGTGGTCAAGAACGTCCTGTTTTGGGACTCCAAAGAATTCTGCTAGCATGTCTTTTTTTGGTTGGTAGGCTATTAATTATTGCCTCAATTTCAGAGCCTGTTGTTGGCCTATTCAGGGATTCAACTTCTCTCTGGTTTAGTCTTGGGAGGGTGTATGTGTCCAGGAATTTATCAATTTCTTCTAGATTTTCTAGTTTATTTGCATAGAGATGTATAGTATTCTCTGATGGTAGTTTGTATTTCTGTGGGATCGGTGGTGATATCCCCTTTATCATTTTTTATTGCATCTATTTGATTCTTCTCTCTTTTCTTCTTTATTAGTCTTGCTAGTGGTCTATCAATTTTGTTTATCTTTTCAAAAAACCATCTCCCGGATTCACTGATTTTTTTGAAGGGATTTGTGTCTCTATCTCCTTCAGTTCTGCTCTGATTTTAGTTATTTCTTGCTTTCTGCTAGCTTTTGAATGTGTTTGCTTTTGCTTCTCTAGTTCTTTTAATTGTGATGTTAGGGTGTCAATTTTAGGTTTTTCTTGCTTTATCTTGTGGGCATTTAGTGCTATAAATTTCCCTCTACACACTGCTTTGAATGTGTCCCAGAGATTCTGGTATGTTTTGTCTTTGTTCTCATTGGTTTCGAAGAACATCTTTATTTCTGCCTTCATTTCGTTATGTACCCAGTAGTCATTCAGGAGCAGGTTGTTCAGTTTCCATGTAGTTGAGCAGTTTTGAGTGAGTTTCTTAATCCTAGTTCTAGTTTGATTGCACTGTGGTCTGAGAGACAGTTTGTTATAATTTCTGTTCTTTTACATTTGCTGAGGAGTGCTTTACTTCCAACTATGTGGTCAATTTTGGAATAAGTGTGATGTGGTGCTGAGAAGAAGGTATATTCTGTTAATTTGGGGTGGAGAGTTCTGTAGATGTCTATTAGGTCCACTTGGTGCAGAGCTGAGTTCAATTCCTGGATATCCTTGTTAACTTTCTGTCTTGTTGATCTGTCTAATGTTGACCGTGGGGTGTTAAAGTCTCCCATTATTATTGTGTGGGAGTCTAAGTCTCTTTGTACGTCTCTAAGGACTTGCTTTATGAATCTGGGTGCTCCTGTATTGGGTGCATATATGTTTAGGATAGTTAGCTCTTCTTGTTGAATGGATCCCTTTACCATTATGTAATGGCCTTCTTTGTCTCTTTTCATCTTTGTTGGTTTAAAGTCTGTTTTATCAGAGACTAGGATTGCAATCCCTGCTTTTTTTTCCTTTCCATTTGCTTGGTAGATCCTCCTCCATCCCTTTATTTTGAGCCTATGTGTGTCTCTGCACGTGAGATGGGTCTCCTGAATACAGCACACTGATGGATCTTGACTCTTTATCCAATTTGCCAGTCTGTGTCTGTTAATTGGAGCATTTAGCTCATTTACATTTAAGGTTAATATTGTTATGTGTGAATTTGATCCTGTCATTATGATGTTAGCTAGTTATTTTGCTGTTTAGTTGATGCAGTTTCTTCCTAGCGTTGATGGTCTTTACAATTTGGCATGTTTTTTCAGTGGCTGGTACTGGTTGTTCCTTTCCATGATTAGTGCTTCCTTCAGGAGCTCTTCTAGGGCAGGCCTGGTAGTGACAAAATCTCTCAGCATTTGCTTGTCTGTAAAGGATTTTATTTCTCCTTCACTTATGAAGCTTAGTTTGGCTGGATATGAAATCATGAGTGAACTCCCATTCACAATTGCTTCAAAGAGAATAAAATACCTAGGAATCCAACTTACAAGGGATGTGAAGGACCTCTTCAAGGAGAACTGCAAACCACTGCTCAACGAAATAAAAGAGGACACAAACAAATGGAACATTCCATGCTCATGGATAGGAAGAATCAATATCGTCAAAATGGCCACACTGCCCAAGGTAATTTATAGATTCAATGCCATTCCCATAAAGCTACCAATGCCTTTCTTCACAGAATTGGAAAAAACTACTTTAAAGTATATATGGAGCCAAAAAAGGGCCTGCATTGCCAAGACAATCCTAAGCCAAAAGAACAAAGCTGGAGGCATCAGGCTACCTGACTTCAAACTATACTGCAAGGCTATAGTAACCAAAACAGCATGGTACTGGTACCAAAACAGAGATATAGACCAATGGAACAGAACAGAGGCCTCAGAAATAATGCCACACATCTACAACAATCTGATCTTTGACAAACCTGACAAAAACAAGAAATGGGGAAAGGATTCCCTATTTAATAAATGGTGCTGGGAAAACCGGCTATCCATGTGTAGAAAGCTGAAACTGGATCCCTTCCTTACACCTTATACAAAAATTAATTCAAGATGGATTAAAGACTTAAACGTAAGACCTAAAACCATAAAAACCCTAGAAGAAAACCTAGGCAATACCATTCAGGACATAGGCATGGGCAAGGACTTCATGTCTAAAATACCAAAAGCAATGGCAATAAAAGCCAAAATTGACAAATGGGATCTAATTCAACTAAAGAGCTTCTGCACAGCAAAAGAAACTACCATCAGAGTGAACAGGCAACCTACAGAATGGGAGAAAAATTTTGCAATCTACTTATCTGACAAAGGGCTAATATCCAGAATCTACAAAGAACACAAACAAATTTACAAGAAAAACAAACAACCCCATCAAAAAGTGGGCAAAGGATATGAACAGACACTTCTCAAAAGAAGACATTTATGCAGCCAAAAAACACATGAAAAAATGCTCATCATCACTGGCCATCAGAGAAATGTAAATCAAAACCACAATGAGATACCATGTCACACCAGTTAGAATGGTGACCATTAAAAAGTCAGGAAACAACAGGTGCTGGAGAGGATGTGGAGAAATAGGAACACTTTTACACTGTTGCTGGGACTGTAAACTAGTTCAACCATTGTGGAAGACAGTGTGGCGATTCCTCAAGAATCTAGAACTAGAAATACCATTTGACCCAGCCATCCCATTACTGGGTATATACCCAAAGGATTATAAATCATGCTGCTATAAAGACACATGCACACGTATGTTTATTGCAGCACTATTCACAATAGCAAAGACTTGGAACCAACCCAAACGTCCATCAGTGATAGACTGGATTAAGAAAATGTGGCACATATACACCATGGAATACTATGCAGCCATAAAAAAGGATGAGTTCATGTCCTTTGCAGGGATATGGATGAAGCTGGAAACCATCATTCTCAGCAAACTATTGCAAGGACAAAAAACCAAACACCGCATGTTCTCACTCATAGGTGGGAATTGAACAATGAGAACACTTGGACACAGGAAGGGGAACATCACACACCAGGGCCTGTCATGGGGTGGGGGAGGGGGGAGGGATAGCATTAGGAGATATACCTAATGTAAATGATGAGTTAATGGGTTCAGCACACCAACATGGCACATGTATACATATGTAACAAACCTGCATGTTGTGCACATGTATCCTAGAACTTAAAGTATAATAAAATGAATAAATAAATAAATAAAAAGAATTCTGCTAGGATGTCACAGTGGAATCCTAGAGAAATAACTGAAAAAGAAAAGATGCCAATTGCAAAAAAAAGTTTTGACATTCAGATTCTGTCTTGAATAAAGATAATTTGCAAAGTTCAGCAAGAATTCTTAACTATAACATCTGTTGATAACTCCAAGTTATATAGATTTCACAAATGTATAAAATACATAAAATTATCATTTAACTGTGCTTCAAACAATTCAACTCTTCAACTTGAAGTAAAATTTTTGTTTCCCGATGTGCAGAAGTAAACCTGGAAAGTTCTTTAAAAAGAGAAGATTTGCATTGAGCTTTAAAGTAATTTTGAAGGAATATTTATAATTTTAGTTATTGCTAGGCATCGTTCAGGAGATCTAGACTAAATGCACCCCATCTATCCGCCACTTATAGTCCCAGAACAAGTCATTTAACCTCAACATGACTTAATATTTCTCCTCTAAAATATATACAATATAAACAGGGTATTGGATAGTTAACTAAATTCACTCAGGAGCTACATACCTTACTCTTGCAATGCAAAACAGTTTAAAAAGTTTTTTTGCCTCCACTTAATCAAAAATCACAAGATTTCATGGACCTTTGGAGTTTTGTTTTTTGAGTAGTGAAAGTCTGGGATGCTAAAGTGGTGAATACCAAGAGTCCATGCTATAATGCTGGTCCATTTTAAATGTTCAGTCTGTGAGTGTACACGTATTTGATGCTAAGCATGGGACCTTAATAAAAATTACTATCAGGTCAATATTGAGCCAAGAAAACATCACAGAAATCCCATAGAAGAGAAACTCAAATTTAGGAAAATCCACCTCAGCCTGCTCTTTTAAAATACTTTATGGAAGATGCTAGGGAGGAACAGAAGCTAGAGTAAGATTTAAATAAATGATAGATTGATAGCTCTAATGCTAGAATTTTTTTTACCAGATATTTCTTTTTCCTTAAAGTTCTCTTTCTATTAGCAGTTTCTATCTGCTTTTGAGTGATTTATTGGAACTACTTTAATTTCCCCCAGCTGTCACAGCTGAGTGAACTAACAGGCCTTTGAGAGGTTAACCACATCCCATTACAATTATTGCTTTTGTATCCAATTAGAGCACCTAGGTCTAGCATGGATATTGGCATAAATTAAAGTAGGTGACAATCATGCACTTAAAAACAGGAGAGATGTGTGTGTGTTTGTGTGTGTGTCTGTGTGTGTGTGTGTTTGGAAATGGGTGGGGTAAAAACTTGCACCCTTATTGAAAATCTTCAAAGAGATTTAGAAAACAATATACTTTTTTTGTTATTCACCTTTTTAAACAAATATATTGATTTTTCACAATTTAATCTGTGGTGAATAAATATTGCTATAAAGCCTCCTGATCTTAATAGTTCTAGCCACAATAGATATTTTCTTCTCAGTAGGGCCATTGGGAAATATGCCTTTGTCAGGTCTTTTCTTCCAATTATATGCTATGGCACATACAGAGAAGATAAAACTTGGCCTCTGACCTCTGCAGTTTTACTATGGGTTGGTTTTCTCATTTCTGCATTGCTGACTTTTGAAATAGAGGCAATGATTTCCTTTGTGACAATCAATATTTTTAAAAAATCAATTTCGTTAATGCCTTTTCATTATTATATTCACCAGCAAAAGACAGTTTATTGCAACTAATCATTTAGAATTGAAGAGACTTTTGTATTCTCTCTACCTTGCTTACACACACCTTCACACATACAATTTTATTCCCAAGATGTTACATCTTTGTTTCCTAACAACTTTATTTTATTCTGAAATAAACTCAGGTAATTGGATCAGGATATTTCTCAGCAGGGCTAAATTTGTTTCTAAATATTGCCAGCTCACTTCCAAATTTTCAATAGGTTGTTGCCACATCTATGCTGAAAACAAAGACAGACTTGGTATTTAATAGAATATTTCTTTGTGTGTGTGTGTGTTTCCCATATCACCAACTCATTTCTTTACCTTGGGATTCTTTCACTCCATGTATACCACCAATTAATCAGCAATTGTGTGCTAAGATACTTCTTTCAGCCCTCCTATAACATACAAAATATGGTAAATATTTCTTGGTAAATGCATAAGTGTTGTGTTGCATGTTGATTCTAGACAGTATTGATTTATATTGAAGTCAGTCTCTTGCTTTATTTACCTTTTCCTTTGACTCAGTCAGCACAGCCTCATGACAATCAGCTGAACAGTGAAAGTTCTCTTTATCTGTTAGTTAGTTTGTTTACACAGGACTAAAATACTATTTTGACTAGTTGTTTTGTCACAGTTAAATGATGTAAGTTTTAGTGGGAATTTAATTTGGGGCAGTAGCATTGAATAAAGAAATTCACTGTTGTGATAAAGACAAAATATTTTAAAAAGAAATATTCAGATCTATATGTTTTGCTATAATTAATAATTAAGACACAAGACAATAGCATTTTTTTGAAACTCACAAAAAAATGTAATTATCGTCTTGCAGTAGAGGCAGTACATGGCATTTAAGTAGAAGACCTGGCATTGCAGTTCAGGCCTGTATCCCACTCCCTGCTCTGTCATAAGTTTGTATGATTTTACTATTTTTTTTAAAAAGAAAAACTGTTTTACTTTTCTTTTGCAAGATAAATTTAAAGAAAATCTACTTTATCAAGTCCCTCTATTTTACATATTGACTCAAGTACATCCTTTATGACTAATAATTTGAAATAAAAATGATTTTTTTAATCTGGGGAGGAGGTAAAGGAACTAATTATGAAATATATATTAAAGTGAATTGATCCAGTGAGCCACTGAATTTGAGGTGATGTTTCTATTTCACTCTGCACTACCTAGACCATATGCTATCAGGAGCCAGTAAGAAGTAGAGAGAGGGCCCTCCTTCTCTTGGCTGGAGAGGCTGCACCTGAACTGATCTTTTTATATAATCAGATAAAACTCTGTTCTTCTCACGGACTCCAAAGTCTTCCATTGTTGGACACAT
Source organism: Homo sapiens (assembly GCF_000001405.40). Taxonomy (NCBI): domain Eukaryota; kingdom Metazoa; phylum Chordata; class Mammalia; order Primates; family Hominidae; genus Homo; species Homo sapiens. Next base: position 78,931,599 of record NC_000008.11, read on the forward strand.
AGTTTTCCAAGCCAACTCTTGCAGCATTGAATTCCAGAATAATTGGAGTTCAATTCTCTTTTCATTCAGAAGGATAAACAACACATATAGTAGACAGGATAACAAAGAGAGGACAGAATTCTTCCACTCAGAGACTCATTATGTGTCCACCAGTGCCTGGGTCCAACTCGTTTTCTGTGGCTGATAGAAGAAATGAGAGGCCTTGATCTTTTGTTGGAAGAGATGGAATCATGAACTATGATTAGGGAATAAAATGAGTAATTGATACCAAAATAGTCTGTTCACCTTATTTCTTAATGTTTGCTATATGATAGACATAATGGTGGTAAGGAAAATACAAAAGAGTCCTTGTTTTTGCTAAGGGAAATTGGGGAGGGTGATATAGAGAAGTGAAAAAGCAACTAGAATGCTAAGAGCCCCAGGATAACTACCAATTGCTATAGTTGTTTTAAAGTCTCTCACAAACTTGCCCCAATCCAGGTTAAAAACAATCACATCCCCCAGTGTTGAAAGCCAGCTACTCTAAATCTTCTTCCTTCCTTAACATTTACTGAGTAATTTGTATGTGCTGGGCGGTGTGATCAATAACCAAATTTTGCCCCTGTATAAGGGAAGTGCTATCACAAGTGTACAGAAGAGAAAATCAAGGCTTGGGGTGGTTGCAATCACACAGTTGGAGGCCTCTGAGCCAGGATTTGAAACCAAGTAGTCTGGCTCCTAAGCTCTTAGTCACTGAATGAAATTGCATGGTGTGTGTGTGGTTGGGAAATAACATTCCTTCTTACATGCGCATGACTTTGAATTTTCACTCGGACATCTTGTGCTGTACATGTCATGGGAGCTCACAATTATGCATTTATTTTAGAGCTATCTTTAGCTGCAGGGCATTTCAAGGTGCCAGTTACTTAAATTCCCTTTTTCTACCAGAGTAACAGAGCGCATTTAATCAGACAGTATTCTAAAGGGAAAGCCTGGCAACTAAGGGCTCCTCTCCCATGATCACTCAGGGTCAGAATTAGACTGGATTAAATACCGACGGATATCTTGCGAATCGGAGGGGTGGAGCGCCATCTCCAATTGCCATATTTGGCTTACATTCCAAACTGAGATGGCAAATTCTATGGATTCCGTTGCATGCTTTACCATACCAAACATGGCGGCTCTTCTCCCTGATCTTCCCTGTTTATTATTCCCCGGAGTTATTACAAAGAGCAGGTTGAAATACCCTTATAATTCCCTGGGCTAATAAAGAAGCACCAGTACTAAAGTATTTCCATTGGCCGCATGATCTCCCTGGAGAAACATAGCACTTCTAGTCTTGCTCCAATGCCACTTTATGTTCCCATTCTACATTTCCTTTCTTGAATGGAAGAGAAGAATGAATGTTAAACAAGAAGGGGGTCAGAGAGAGGAAGAGTTGCATACAAATACAAGGACAGGGATGAAAGGAAAGGGAGGAGACAGGGAATATACCTCCTGAAGAGACACTGAGCCATGTTGCTATGGCATAAACCTCCAGTTAGGTAAACATATTAAAGTGCACTTATATCCATAATTTCTTTCTTAAAAGGGGGAAGCAAAAGATGTTTGGAGAAGGAGAATAGTCAAGAAGATGAAAATAATGACTAATGTTGTTCTTGTTACCTGTTTGCCAGTCTCACTCAAATGAGGATGACTATTTAGAGTAATATTGAATTATAGAAAGCTTTATGTGATTATAAGCCCGAGAAAGAAGCACCCAAACGTACATGTAAAAGGTGGGCTAATGAGAGGCAAAGGGAAGGAAAGATGAAGGAGAGAAGGAAAATAAGGAAATGCCAGTTATTAGTTTAGAATACCCGAATACCACTCTTCTTCTTCTAAAATATTTAATTGTGAAAATAACTTTATTCTTATCTTAGAAATTTGAAAACAATACATTTTGCATTATGTTATAAATCAGAAATGGGAACACTTTATTATTGTTTATCAATTTTGTAGAGGAGAAAAAATTGGGATCATAGCAATAAAAAAATGCTTGCTTTATTTGCTTTTGAAGATAATAAAACATTAATTTATACACTTAAAAATTAATCATTAGGACATTAAACACTATGAAATGAAAATACCAGATTTAACTTATTCTATCTTTAAATTAATTACAGACAACCACAGTTGCTAACAGTATGAGTTCTGCAGTTATACAGAACTAAGTCCATTAGCTGTGTGACCCATGGCCAAATATTTTCCTTCTCTGTGCCTGCATTTCTTCATCTGCAAACTGGAATAATGATAGCAACTACTTCAGAGGACTATGTGAGTATTAAATGAAGTAATCCTTGTGATGAGTTTCTCAGAATGCCTTGCATATGATAAATTCTTAACATGTGTTGGCTTCATCATTATTTTGTTATTTTATTATATATATATTTTTAAATTTTAACAGCTTTATTGAGGTATAATTGATATACAAAGAACTGCACATATTCAGGGTGTATAATTTGATGAATTTGGATGTATGCAAATACCCACACAACCATCACCACTCAAGGTAATAGATGTATGCAACTTCTCCAAGTTTTTTTGTGTCCCTTTGTTTTTGTTTTCTTTCATTTTCCTGGGAAGAACACCTAACAGGAAATCTACCTTCTTAACATATGATCCAGCAATACCACCTCTGGGTATATATTCAAAGGGATTGAAATCAGGATCTCAAAGAGACATCTTCATTCCCATGTTCATTGTAAAATTAGTCACAATAGCCAAGATATGAAAACAACCTGTTTCCATTGACAGATAAATGCATAAAGAAAATGTAGTATACAATGGAATTATTCATCCTTAAAAAAAAGAAAATCCTGCCATTTGAGACAACATGGATGAACCTGAAGGACATTATGCTAAGAGAAAGAAGCCATTCAAGAAGGGTAAATAGTTTATTATTACACTTATGTGAGGTATCTATAATAGTCAAACTCATAGAAGCAGAGAATATAACAGTGGTTGTCAGGGGCAAGTTAAGAGAGGTGAGGAGTTGTTCAATGGTTATAAAGTTTCAATTATGCTACATGAATGAATTCTAGAGATCTACTATACAGCTAAGTGCCTATGGTTAAAAATACTGTATTGTGCTTATCATTATTATTTTGAAGAAAATATTAAAAAGTATATTATGGTCACTTTAAGGTCAACAACAGATAAGCCACCAAAGTAAAGTATCATTTTTAAAAAACCTCAAGAAATAATCGAAGCTATTTCAGCAAGACTTTAAAAATTCATTTCTAACTATGGAAATCTCATGGGATTCAGAGGACTATAATGAAATCCTAATAAAGCTTGTTGTTCTCCATAATTAACCAAATAAAATCAAATCCTTCCTGAAATTTGGTAGCTAGAAAATTATTCTAAGCTTAACTCTATGCTAGGCAGGCCAAGTTATCTCAGAAGTGGTTTTGTAGGCTACAAATTTAATAACCGATATATTCAATAATTTATAAGGCAATGGGCCAAATCTTTGGCAGTGATTTTCTTATTTTCCCACAGCTGAAGTTTCTGGAGAATTGCTCTCATATTAGAAAAAAAATACAGTAAGTGGAACTGCTTATGAAGAATATATTGTTTTTGTCTTTAAACCACTTTATTCAGGTATGATTGACATGTTTAAAAACTGTACCTATTTTATATACAATCTCACAGTGACTTTGGAGATAAGTATAAACCCATGAAATCATCACCACTACCAAGGCCATAGTACACCTGTCATCTCCCAAAGTTTCCTCCCAGCTCCTTTATTATCATTATTGGGATTTTTGTTGTTGTTGTCACTGTTTTTCGATATGGACAATTAACATAAGGTAGATCTTACCCTCTCAGCAAATTTTAAGTATAAAATGGAGTTTTGCTAGCTATAGGCACTACACTGTATAGTAGATTTCCAGAAATTACTTCTCTTACATATAACTGGAACTTTGTACCCTTTAACTACCACCTCCCCAATTCTCCCATTTTCCTAGACCCTGGCAAGCCCCATTCTACTCTATCCCTCTAAGAGTTTGTTTTAGATTCCACACATAAGTGAAATTGTAGAGTATCTGTTTATTTTGTGTCTGGATGACTTCATTTAACAGAATACCCTCCAAGTCCATCCATGTTGTCTCAAATGACATGATTTTCTTTTTTTAAAGGCAGGGTAATATTTCATTGTATGTATATACCACAGTTTATTTTTCCATTAATCTACCTATGAACATTTAGGTTGTTGCTCTATCTTGCCTATTGTGAATAATGTTGCAATGGGCACGGGCTTGCAGATGTCTTTTCAAGGTCCTAATTTCAATTTATTTGGATATATACCCAGAAGAGGGGCTGCTGGATTGTACAGTAGTTCTATTTTTAATTTACTGAGGAATCTCCATACTGTTTTCCATAATTGCTACTCCAATTTCCATTCCCATCAACAGTATACAAGGATTCCCTTTTCTTCACATTCTCTCCAACACTGGTTATTTTTTGTTGTTGTTGTTGTTGTTTTTTTACTAGTAATAGCCATTCTAACAGGCATGAAGTGATATTTCATTGTGGTTTGGGTTTGCATTTTCAGAAAAACAATAGAAAAGATCAATAAAACAGAAGGGTTGGTTTTTTGAGAAGATAAACAAAGTTGACAAATCCTTAGCTGGGCTAAGAAAAAAAGAAGACTCAAGAAAAATTATAAATAAAATAGAATGCAAATGATACTATAGAAATACAAATGATCATAACAGACTATTATGAGCAATCAAATACAAACAAATTGGATAACCTAAAGTAAATGCATATATTTCTAGAAATATACAAGCTACTAAGACTGCACCATGAATAAACAGAGAATCTGAACAGATCCATAATGAGTAAGGATATTTTTTCGGTAATCAAACATCTCCCAACAAAAAGACGCTCAAGACCAGATGGCTTCAGTGGTGAATTCTACCAAACATTTAAAGAGGAATATGTTGTTAATAAATATTTTCTCTTTTTTTGAGTTTTTCTCATCACCAATTCAGGTTCAGTAGTCTCAGACAGGTGATATCTGTCTACACTAGTTTATAATATGGTTTGGCTGTGTCCCCACCCAAATCTCATCTTGAATTGTAACTCCCACAATTCCCACGTGTCATGGGAGGAACTCAGTGGGAGGTGATTAAATTATGGGGGCAGGTCTTTCTTGCACTGTGCTCATGATAGTGAATGAGTCTCATGAGATCTGATGGTTTTAAAATGAGAGTTTCCCTGCACGTTATCTCCCTTGCTGCTGCCGTGTAAGAAGTGCCTTTCACCTTCCACTATGGTTGTGAGGCCTCCCTAGCCACGTGAAACTCTTAAGTCTATTAAACCTCTTTCTTTTGTAAATTTCCCAGTCTTGGGTATATCTTTATCAGCAGTGTGAAAATGGACTAATACAGTCTAGTTCACCAGATAAAGCAGAACCATTAGGAGATACATACTGAGAAATTTGTTACAAGAAATTAGCTTATGGGGAATGCCTAGAAAGTTCCAAAATCCATAAGGTGAGTCATCAGTAAGGGAAGAATGGGACTATTGGGCATAGGTGGAAGCTGTGGTCCACAAGCATAAGTTTATTCTCAGGAATGCCTCAGCTCTGCTTTTAAAGCCTTTCAACTAATTAAATCAGTACCCACCAGATTATCTAGTAAAACCCCCTTTACTAAAAGTCAACTGATTTTAGGATTTAATTACATCTACAAAATAGCTTCATAGCAACATCTAGATTGGTACTTGAATAACTAGAGGATGAGGCCTGGCCAGGTTGACACAGTAAAACCACCACCATAGTCCACCTGTCAGTCTGGCACCCATTAACATTCCTAAAGTCAAACTCTAAATAAAGTGAGTAACAAAGTCATGCATCCACCCAAAATAACACAACTGTCTTGTTTTGTTTTGGTTTGGTTTTGTTTGTTTGTTTTTTGGTTTTTTTTTTTTTTTTGAAACGAAGTCTCACTCTTGTCACCCAGGCTAGAGTGCAATGGCGCAATCTTGGCTCACTGCAACCTCCACTTCCCAGGTTCAAGTGATTCTCCTGCCTCAGTCTCCTGAGTAGCTGATATTACAGGTGCCTGCCACTACACCCAGGTAACTTTTTTTATTTTTAGTAGAGATGGGGTTTTACCGTGTTGGCCAGGCTGGTCTCAAACTCCTGACATCAGGTGATCTGCCCGCCTGGGCCTCCCAAAGTGCTGGGATTACAGGCATGATCCACCGTGCCCAGCCTGCTTTTTTTTTTTTTTCCACAAAAGAACATATACTTACCTTTTTCCCAGAAGAGGACTCCAAATCCTTGGATGATGTTCACTCTCCTCCTTTGATATCCTGTAACTTACTGCAAAATAAAGTTAACAGCCATTTAAGGGAATAAGACAGGGAAGAAACTTTTAAAAAATGGTTAATAAGATATGCAAACATATTCAAAATAAAATAAGGAAGGAATACGTATAACTCTTACAATCCTTGTTTCTGTAACTGGTCATGCTCTTGTAGCTGGTATTTATAACTACTTTCTTCCTGTACTCTTTTGATATTCCCTTTGCCCTCAGCAAGCAGTGCTGCTAGTCATGGTTCTTTGCCTGGTGAATTGAACCAAACTTTCATGCCTGAAGCATTCGTCCACTAGCAGTTCTGCCTGGATTGGGTTGTGGGTATCCATTGATTTGACATGGTTTGGCTCTGTTCCTACCCAAATCTCATCTTGTACTGTAGTTTCCATAATCCTCACGTCATTGAAGGTACCTGGTGGGAGGTAATTGAATCATGGAGGTGGTTACCTCTATGTTATTTTTGTGATAGTGAGTGAGTTCTCACAAAATCTGATTTTTTTTTTTTTTTTTTTTTTTTTTTTTTTTTTAGGTGGAGTCTCGCTCTGTTGCCCAGGCTGGAGTGCAGTGGTGCCATCTCGGCTCACTGCAATCTCCACCTCCCAGGGTTCACACCATTCTCCTGTCTCAGCCTCCCGAGAAGCCGGGACTACAAGCACCTGCCACCACACCCGGTTAATTTTTTGTATTTTTAGTAGAGACAGGGTTTCACCATGTTAGCCAGGATGGCCTCGATCTCCTGACCTCATGATCTGCCCACCTCAGCCTCCCAAAGTGTTGGGATTACAGGCATGAGCCACCGCGCCAGGTGGTTTTATAAGGGAATTTTCCCCCACTTTGCTCTGCACTTATCCTTGCTGCTGCCATGTGAAAAAGGATGTGTTTGCTTCCCCTTCTGCCATGATTGTAAGTTTCCTGAGCCCTGTGTCCCAGCTGCTCCAGCGGTGACTAAAAGAGGCCAAGGTATAGCTCAGGTCGTTGCTTCAGAGGGTGCAAGACCCAACTCTTGGGTTGGGTCTTGGCGTTGGTGTTGGTCCTGCAGAGGCACATAAGACAAGAATTGAGGTTTGGGAACTTTCGCTTAGATTTCAGAGGATGCATGGAAATGCCTGGATGTCCAGGGAGAAGTTTGGTGCAGGGGTGGAGTCCTCCTGGAGAACCCCTGCTAGGTCAGTGCAGAAGGGAAATGTGAGGTGGGAGCCACCACACAGAGTCCCCACTTGGGCACTGCCTAGTGTGGCTGTAAGAAAAGGGTCACCATTCTCCAGAACCCAGAATGGTAGATCCACAGACAGCTTGCACCATGCACCTGGAAAAGCCACAGACACTCAATGCCAGCCATGAAAAAACCCAAGAGTGGGGCTGTACCCTGCAAAGCCACAGGGGCAGAGCTGCCCAAGATTGTGGGAGCCCATCTCTTGCATCAGTCTAACCTGGATGTGAGACAGGGAGTCAAAGGAGATCATTTTGGAACTTTGCAGTTTAATGACTGCCCCGTTGAATTTCAGACTGGCATAGGTCCTGAACCCCCTTTGTTTTGGTCAGTTTCTCCCATTTGGAATGGGTGTATTTTCTCAATGCCTGTCCCCATTATATAGCTAAATTGCTTTTGATTTTACAGGCTCCTAGGGACCTGAGAAAAGGCACTTGTCTTGTCTCAGATGTGACTTTGGACTTGGACTTTTGAGTTCATGCTAGAATGAGTTAATACCTGGGAGGACTGTTGGAGGGACATGATTGTGTTTTGAATTTTGAGGACATGAGTTTTGTGAGGGGCTAGGGTGGAATGATATGGTTTGGCTATGTTGCCAGCCAAATCTCATCTTGAACTGTAGTTCCCATAATCCTCAGGTGTTATAGGAGGAACCTGGTGGGAGGTAAGTGGATCATGGGGGCGGTTACCTCCATGCTGTTCTCATAATAGTGGGTGAGTTCTCATGAGATATGATGGATTTTTAAGGTGCTTTTCTCCAACTTCGCTCTGCACTTTTCCTTGCTGTCGCAATGTAAGGAAGGATGTGTTTGCTTCCCCTTCTGCCATGATTGCAAGTTTCCTGAGGTCTCCCCAGTCATGCTAAACTGTGAGTCAATTAAACTTCTTTCCTTTATAAATTACTCAGATTTGGGTATGTACTTATTAGCAACGTGAGAATGGACTAATACAGGTTTTAGCTATAGGATGTGGGAGACATCATAAAGAATTTCTTACATTTAAAAAATCTTATTTCCCGCCATGTGTAGTAGCGACCCAGCATCCCCTTAATAATCAGAATCTATTATCCCAGACAATAGATTAACTTCCTCTTTGTATATTGATTAGGAAGGACAAGGAACCCAAAATGGGTAGGTAGTAGCCTCAACATCCATTTTGCTGCAATCATTGTTCTGTCTCCTGGTGGAAGTATTTCTCCTTTTGGAACAAAGATCTGTAGACCATCATAGGCTACAGTTGAGGAGACATAATGCAAAAATATATCTGAGAGATCATTAAGGGTAATAATGCATAGAGTTACTCCCATTTCCACTCCTTAATTCCTGGACAAATAAACCCTGGCTGTAGGGAAAACAGCACCATATAATGGATGGTGATGTAGAGCATTAACACATCCTAGAGGAAAGTGCTCCTATCCTGACTCCTGCTAGGTATTTCCATTTAGCTGAAAGTGTAACTGAGTCTTCAAAAGACTGTCCAACATTCTATAAAGTCAGCTACTTCAAGACAATTTGTAACAGGCTAGTGGATTCCATGAGCATGAGATCATTGCCACATTTAATCACTACAAAGTAAGTTCCTTGACCAGAGCTGTGTATAATACTGTGATGGTGGATAAGATATTCTCTAAGTCGACAGGTGCTAATTTTGGCAGAAATATTGTATGCAAGGAAAGCAAGTCCATGTTCAGAAGAAGTGTCTACTCTAGTAAGAACAATGTATCTTCTATGATGAAAGCAGTTCTCTGTAATCAAGCAACCATCAGGTAGTTGGCTGTTATCTTGGGGCATGGTTCTATTATGAGGACTCAGTGTTGGTCTTTGCTGCTGGCAGAGTATAGACTTAGGTCAGGAAAGCCCCAGTGAGTATAATTTCATGTTTCTGAGCCCATGCATCATCTCCATTCCTGACATCATAGCCAATTTGTTCAGAGCTCGTTAGTGGCTGGAGTGTCTGAAGAAAGAGATGACTGGCATCCAGACATTTTTTCCTATCCACTTGATTATTAAAATCATTCTCTGTTGACGTAATCCTTTGTTGAAGATTCATAAGAGATGCCAACATGTTCACCCACTTTATTCATTTTGTGAGATCTATATACATACTGCTTTCCAAGACTTCTTTGTCACCAATTTTTCCAATTATGTTTCTTCCAAGTTCCTAACCATCCATCCAAACCATTAGCCTCACCCCATTGAATAATACAGAGTCATATATCTGACCATTTCTCCTTCAATGGAAAGTGAACAATGAGGTGAACTGCTCTAAGTTCTGCCCACTGAAAGAACTTTTCCTCACCACTGTCCTTCAAAAATGTCCCAGAAAAGAGCTAGAGTGATGGAGTTTTCTACTTTTGGCTGGTGCTGCATGTTGTGCAGAACTATCTGTAAACCAGGTCTGAGTTTTCACTTTCTCAGTTAACTGATAAGAAACTCCCAATGAGGCCATTGGTGTGGGCTGAGATTGAGAAGATAATGTAGCAGGAGTAGGGCCGTGGGCATTTGTGTTACTTCCTTATGTAACTTACCATTGCCCGGAAAGCCACCTCAAGCCTCACATATACCACTTCCATTGACTGGCACAGTGCTGCTGTGCATGCCTAACTTCCATGCTTAGTAGATTAGACAGCAACCAGTTCATGATAGATAGCTCAGATCACATTATAACTTGGTGGTCCATGATAATATATTCGGTCCCTATTAAGACCTGGGACCAAGCCAAAAACTGTTTCTCAAAAATAGTATACACCTCTCCTCAAATAATGTCATTTTGTTATAATGTTGATAAGAAAAAAAAATCAATTCCCTTTCAGGCTACTGTCTGTGTGGAGTTTGCACAGTCTCCCCATGTCTGTGTGGGTTTTCTTCAGGGACTCCTGTCTTCTCTCACTTCCCAAAGTTGTGCATGTTAGGTGAAGTGGAGTGTTTAAATCATCCCCACTGGAGTGAGTGTGGGTGTGTGTGAGTGCACTCTGTGATGGATGGGGTCCTGCCCGGGTTGCACCCTGAGCTGCTGAGATAGGCTCCAGCCACTTGTGACCCTGAACTGGAATAATTGGGTAAACAATTATCTTACTTGTTTTCATTAACCTTTCTTAAATATGTGTATAGCCCATATTTATTTTAATATTTAATATTAGAAGCGTTTTCATCTTTATTTAAAAGTTGGGTGATGTTTCTGTGACCAGAAACATGCGTATTGCTTGAAGGTGCAGTTTTTGAGAATCTATAGATCAGGTCAAGTGAGGACTTACTGTACATATCTGCAGAAAATAGCAGAGTTTTACTCTAAAATCCTGAGTCTGTGTTATGATTCACTTATAAGAGGCTTCCAAAGACTCCAAAAAGCATCTCTCTCTGACACTGACATTTTAAATGTCATCAGATCTTCCGGATCATGGCTTGCTGGTGACACATGGCCCAAATGTCAGAACAGCTTGCACAGCAGGCTAGACCTGATGCAGAGCCCTTTCTTGATCTTGCTTCTACTCAAAACTAGTAGCTTTTCAGGTCTTTCAGTAAATGGGCTGGAGTAGTACACACAAAAAGAACAATGTGCTGCCTTGAAAATCTAAAGAGGCCTCCTATGCATTGTGCTTCTTTTTTGGCTGTAGGAGGACCAATCAGATACAAAAATCTTATTTTTCACCTGAGAAGGAATACTTTGACCTTCCTTTCACCATTAGACCCTGGGAATTAGTTGATACGGAAGGCCTCTCAATTTTTGCGAAATATATTTCCCACCCTCTGAAACACAAGTGTCCAGAGCAGTTGCTACTTTCTGGTTACCAGGTCCAATCAGCATAATGTCATCAATGCAATGGAACGGACTGATTTTCTGCAGAAAGGGAAATCAATCAAGGTCCCAGTGGACTAAATGATGATATAAGGCTGAAGAATGGACGCATCCTGTAAGTAGAACAGTAAAGGTGTATTTCTGGTTTTTCCAACTGAAAGAAAACTGCTTCTAATGATCTTTACTAACATATATAGCAAAACAAAAAAGTCATTTTTTTTTCAGGTGAATAGCTGTATACCAAATACCTGAGGATGTGTTAATTTGCCCAAGCGATGAAACCACCTCTGGAACAGCAGCTATAATTAGAATCACCACCTGATTAAGTTGACAATAATCCACTGTCATTCTCCAAGATCCATCTGTTTTGTGCACAGGCCAAATAGATGAATTGAATGTGGATGTGGTGGGAAGTCACTATGCTCACATGTTTTACGTCCTCCGGGATTGCAGCATTACTTTTAGTTTACTATTTTCCTAGGTAGAGGCAGTTATAGTGGCTTCCAATTATTTTTCTTTCCATAATATCCCTTATTTCACAAGTCGGGAAACCAATGTAGAGATTTTGTCACATTCTGAATGTGTCTATTCCAATAATGCTTCTGGAACTGGAGAAATAATCACAGGACTTGTTCAGGGACATGCTGAACCCACTGAGACAAATATGAACTAATGATCAATTAATCACCAAACCTTCATAAGCCTCTATTATGCCTCCACAGTGACATTTTGGGTGACCAGAAATTAGTGTCATTTTAGTCAGTGTTCAGTAATCTTCCAAAAGTCTAATTATTTCTATTTTCCAAAGCAAAAGCACACTGGTAAATAACTAGATCTCTTTAGGAAAGACCAGAAGAAAGATTAACAGTATAAACACATTTTTTTTGGCAGTGCAATGGAGTTCTTCCTCAAAGGGACTTAGCCTCCCTTTCATTTAAGGGGTTCTGGGGTGGTAAATTGTCTCAGCCTGGAAATTAATTGAGGTGTTATGTCTCTCTGTTTTGGTGATTTGAATTAGACTTCTGCTCACTAGACCTGGAACTTTTCCACCTATACACATCATTCATTAGACTGCCCATCTATTTCTTTTCTAGTGACATCATTATCAACTAGCTAATGCCGTAGGTCTTTGGGAGTTACAGTATTCTGGTAACTGCTTTGACTCTGCAGTTTATTGTGGTGACTATCTGGTTTTTGATGATCCCTGTCAAATAGCAGCAGTTTCCACTGTAATATCTGACTTGCAGAAAAGAGTAAAGAGAGAGCTCTCAAGGATGCTAGGATTCCCCCTATAAATTTATTTCTCATAATTGTGGTAAAAGGTATGTCTTCTGGACTCTCCAATTGGATGAGCAGTTCTTACATGATAAATCTATTCAAACATTTCAACCTCCCTAAGACTTTAGATGCCTTCCTCCATAGTATACCAAGGCAATCCTGACATTTCAACTTCATTTATTGTAGGCCACCTTCAGTTTCATGTTTCAACCTATGGACAAAACAAACTGTTAGAGCCCTTCCTAGACCACTGACCTTAGTGAGCCATAGTAATACATCAGACTAATCCAACTTTATATTCCTTCCACCATAATGCCACACTCTTAAGACCCATTCCCACACCTATTTCCCCAGATTTATGTGTGTATAAATTGGAAAAATCATTCTGTTCTTCTTGCAGGTCATTCATTGTACCTTACCGTTTGGGCTCTGCTGAGACTTAAGTCTAATTGTAGGTCTAGATGCAGAGAGGGGTGGGTGGAGATAGGTCCTAAGAAGAATCAGCAGTACCTTGCAAGGCAATTATAGATTCTTCAGGAAGAACAGATAACCTCCTTAGACAGGGGTGGATGGCTGCTTCTCCCAGCAAGAAAACTGTCCAAATTCAAGGGTTCAGTGTCCCCAGCTTCATTGGGATCTGTCAATATGCCCTCATTCCAATTTTCAGGATCCCATTCCTTCCCAATCATTTTAACAGAAAACACCTCGTGGGGTTGGAAATTCAATTTGTGTTGTAATTAAGCCACTCACAGGGAGATTCAGGTTTAATTTTTAGAAATCTCAGACCTGTAGGTAGAAAAGATAACGGTGACTTTTAGGGCATAAAAAACAGACTATTACATTATTTAGGTGGAACTTGAGCTGGAATTTGAAGTCCTGCACTTCTTTTATTTCTGGAACAGTGAGGAGTAACTGACCAGCTCCACGATACTCTTAGGTTTGATAAAAATATTCTAAGGTAGCAAATACATGGTGACCCACAACTTCAACTTCTACAGGTATTTGATCACAAGTGTCCAATGGTTATATTTTCCATATCTCTTTTGTCATATTATACCATGGATTTCTAATGCTCTATCACCGGAAATAGTCATTAGTGCCTTTAAATATAATCACATGAGGCAACTAAATTCTCAAACCCCAGAAACAATTCAGAAAACTCATCCATATGATTATGTTCCTTTAGAACAATGTCAAGAAGCAACATCTGTATCCATCATCATTTATCCAGGGAAACAGACCAGTAGGAGAGATATTGTAAGATTTTTTTTCAAGAAATTGGTTTATATGATTGTGGGGACTGATAAGGCTAGTCTAAAATCCATACGGCAGGCTGGAACTCTTGGTTATGGGCTGCAGATTCTGGCCACAAGTTGAATTTCTCCTGCCTCAGAGAAGCTTCAGCTTTGCTTTTAAGGCTTTCCAACTGGTGAAATGAGGCTCTGCTAAATTATCTAGGATAATGTCTCTTAAAGTCAACTGAGTATTGACTTTATTTAACTCTATAAATTACCGTCACAGTAACACCTAAATTAGTATTTATTGAATAACTTGTGACTGTAACTTACCCATGTCAACAATAAGTCCATCACAATGTCACATAAAAAACTCCTACTTTATTAGAAAATGGGATATAAGTGGCCCATGAGTTTGCAGCTTCTCCTCTGTTATATAAATTTTCCTTTTTTAGTACTTAAAAAAATCCTCCAAATCTCCATATATCAGTGTGTTTAATTTAAGAGACTGCAACATGATCAAGTTAAATATCAATAGTAAAATTACTATACCAACATTTCAATGATAACAGTTAGACATGAAATTGTTAAATATAATTTGAAAGGATTTTATATGTTATTTGGCCATTTAAATTTATTATTATATTTTACAAAGTCATTGAAAAATATTATAATTGAATATAATGTGAAGTAAAGAAGGGTGCAAAATAGATAGAATATGCTCATATTTGTGTGTAAGATAGATGCCTGAAGAAGGAACATTTAGGACATTATATCAATATCTTCTGTGTGTGAAGAGAGAGTTGCAAATCACCTTAGGACTAAATTTTGAAATTTTTATTTAATCACTTAAGTGATTTTCTTTGTTCAAGCCACTATGAAACTCATTACTCCAGACCAGGTTGAAACAGCAGCTTCTGTGGCCTGAAAAGATGGCAATACCACTTGGTGTAAGGAGCCGTCCCTGTGCGAAGAAGTTAGCGATTTACACAGGGACTAGGATTTATCTTGGGAGGAAAAGAACACCAAACTTGATCTTTCCTCTTATACAAATATTTCTGTTGAATTGAAGTGGGCTGGATCAGGTTCTTTGGTAAGAAATGATATCAATGACTCCAAAGAGGCACTCACCTTCAGAGAAGAGGTCACTGGTGCGGGTGACTGGAGCTGAACACAAGAACAGAAGTGACCCTGGCAGTGGCTGGTCCCGCAACAGCCTGTAACAGGGAACATAATCAACCACAAATTTTGTGGGTAGTTTAGGTGTTGAAAAACAATAGTGATCATTAATATTGTATATACATTACCTTTTACTAGATGTCCTACGTAGTTTACACACGAAAAAGAGGAACTAAAGGCTGTGAAATTCCAACTCAGAATATAAATCAAAAACGAGAAAGCCTTGGTGGTAACTTTGAACCAATCCCTTATCTCCTAAAGTGGCAGAGCAGATAAACTGAGGACCAATATCAAGACTGGACTGTCAAAATTGCAGTTGCAGTGCAAACGAGATACTCAATTCAGTTATGTCTCAAAGTAAGAAGAAACCACTGCTGGGGAAATAATATAATCCCAAGAAATAGGATGTAAATATTGTGGCAAATGCAACAAGGTTGAACACTTTGAATCTCCACATCTTTCTAAATTTCCCTTGTCTTCCATTTCACAACTCTACATCCATACTCAGCACAGGAAAAATATCTAATCTGTTCTTGTCAAGTTGAATTATTGGTTAGGGATTTCTGTGTTAATCTCAGATGGAAAATGTTTAATTACAAGGTCTTTCCTGTATCTAAGAGTTATTACATGACAGAACAAGTGGACCAACCTCTCTACCTCCAACAGCCTCTTTATCGCTGAGATTTTCTGTGTGCCCATGGCAAGCAGAATTCCAAGACAATCCTTGAGATTTCTACCCCATTGTGTATAATGCACTGCTTTTGAGTACGGGTGAAGCCTGTAAATATGATGCATTATCAACCTCATCATTATGTTCTATTATATGCAATAGAGACTTTAGCAGATATAATTAAAGTTCCACATTCAGTTAAGTTAATCAGATCGGAAATTATCTAATCAGAGTCTGTCCTACTCAGGTGAGGTATCAAATGGGGGTCTAGAGTTTTAAAATGCAAAGAATCAGAGAGACATTCTCCCTATGGCCTCAAACAAGAAAGCAAATAGCCATATTTTGAATTTCCGTGAAGGTGAATCATCATTAGGGTCTGAGTGTCTCAGTCCTAAAACTACAATGAACTAAATTCTGTCAACAACTTAAATAAGTTTGAAAAAAGACTTCACATTCCAAATGAGACTCCAGTCTGACTGACACCTTGATTTCAGTCTTGTAAGACTTTGACCAGAGAACCCAGCTGAAACGTGGCTGGACTTCTGAACTACTGAACTCTGAGCTAATAAATGGATGTAGCTTGTTTTGAACCATGAAGTCTGGTGGCTTATTATGTAGCAGTGTAAAACTAACTCAGTGCCTCTGACAATCTGCCCTTACTTTGTAGAATATGATACAGGGCCACCATTTGCTAATCTGTTGTGAGTTGATATAGTTACTTTTCTTCATTTTAACTGAATAGGGCTCATCTCCCTTCCTCTCTCTCTCTCTGTCTCTCTCTCTCTCTCCACCCCCCCACACACCCCACACAATTTTACTTATAAATATTAGAATTTTGTTATATATCAAATATAGTCTCCTTCACTTTATATAAGAAAAAATGGGTATCAGAATAATTACTGAGTTTATTCCAAATTACACAACTAGCCAGGGACCAAGGTAAAATTTAAGTCAGTCTTAGTTACAAGGTTGGTTCTCTTTTAACTGACAGAAATAAAAATATTCCAAAAATATTTCTAAACTTTATCAAAAACTAAGGAATTAATGGAATGTGTTTGTCATAGATAGTGTGCTGCCCAGATCCCTTGTAGAAATAAAGGGCTTGTTTTTTAAACTTCTATAAGTACTTCCCTAAGGCAGGTCTCCGCTATTAGCCTTCTACAGAAAATGTCTTTGTTGGAGACACACCCCTTGCCCAATATTTTGCCCCCTTCCTTGGGCAGCCCATACCCAATGACTCATCAAGGAAAGATATGAAGTCTGCCTTTCTCCCACAACTTGAGACAATTCTAAAGGGTCATGTCAATTTTAGAACTTCCCTAAGATCAACTGTATCCTTCATCAAGACTATAATTCTCCCTTTGTCCAATTTTGCTTCCTCTTTTTCCATGTGTTTATGCCCATAATACTCCCTGATAAACATCCTGTATGCTAATCTCCATTTCAGAGTCAGCTTCCTAGGGAAGCCAACCTGTGACAGGGAAGAGATAACCACCTCTCTGTAAAACCGATAATGTGAGATTAAATGAAATAATACATTTAAATCAAATTCACTTACAAAAAATATAATGTATAAAAGTAGGTGTTATCTTAATTTATGTATAATATTATATTCTTATAAATTATAATTCAAAGAAATAAATATGAAATTAACATTTGTATAAGGCATAAATTATGGGATGGAGTCATTTCATTGCTTGTGCTAGTGACTTTCAGATAAAGCTCCATCACCTTATCATGGCAAAGTTATCTTAGGAGAGAAGACCTAAATATAAAATCAGAGATGAAAATAGAGATATTACAACTGTTACCACAAATATTCAAAGGATCATTAGAGACTGTTATGAGAAATTGTATGTCAATAAATTGGAAAACCTAGAGTAAATTAATAAGTTCCTAGTCCCATACACCCTACCAAGATTGAAGTTCAAAACCTGAATAGACTAATAACAAGTAAATAGAAGTAGGAATAAAATGTCTTCCATCAAAGAAAAACCCAGGACCTGATGGCTTCACTGCTGAATTCTACCAAACTTTTAAATATCTAATACCATTTCTATTACAGCCATTCCAAAAAAATCAATGAAAAGGGAATTCTTCCAAACTAATTCTATGAGACCAGTATTATCCTGATACTGAAACCAGCCAGATACACAAGAAAAATGAAAACTATAGGTCAATATCTCAGATGAACATAATTGTTAAAATCCCCAACAAAATATTAGGAAGCTGAAGCCAGCAACACATTAAAAAGGTCATTCATTATGATAAAATGGGATTTATCAAAATGACACAAGGATGGATCAACATATAGAAATCAAAAACGTGATACATCACATCAACAGAATGAAAGACCAAAACCATATGATCATTTTAATCAATGTCAATTAAGCATTTGATAAAATTTCACATCACTTTATAATAAAAACTCTAAAAAAATGGGTATAAAAGGAACATACCTCAACATGATAAAAAAAAAACACATTCACCAAACCCACAGCTAGTATCATACTGAACAGGGAAAAACTGAAAACCTTTTCTCTAAGATCTTGACCATGACAATAATGTCCATTTTCACCACTGTTATTCAGCATACAGCTGGAAGTTTTAGGAGGAGCAGTTGAACAAGAGAAAGAAGTAAAGATCATTGGATAGGAAAAGGACAAATTATCCTTATTTTCAGATGATATGATCTTATATTTAGAAAAACCTAAAGAATCCAACGAAAGGTGACTAGAACTGATAAATTCACTAAAGTTGCAGAATATAAAATCAATGTTAAAGAAAACTAGCATTTCTATATGCCAGCAGTGAAACCAAGAAATTAATCTTATTTACAATAGTTACAAATAAAATAAAATGCCTAGAAATAAACTTGACTAAAGAAGTGAAAGATCACTACAAAGAAAGCTATAAAACATTAATTAAAGAAATTGCCTAGGTTTTCTTCTAGGGTTTTTATGGTTTTAGGTCTTACGTTTAAGTCTTTAATCCATCTTGAGTTAATTTTTGTATACGGGGTAAGGAAGGGGTCCAGTTTCAGTTTTCTGCATATGGCTAGCCAGTTTTCCCAACACTATTTATTAAACAGGGAATCCTTTCCCCATTGCTTGTTTTCGTCAGGTTTATCAAAGCTCAGATGGTTGTAGACGTGTGGCATTTTTCTGAGGCTTTTGTTCTGTTCCATTGGTCTATATATCTGTTTTGGTATCAGTAACCAGTTTTGGTTACTGTAGCCTTGTAGTAAAGTTTGAAGTCAGGTAGTATGATGCCTCCAGCTTTGTTCTTTTTGCATAGGATTGTCTTGGCTATATGGGCTCTTTTTTGGTTCCATATGAAATTTAAAGTAGTTTTTTCTAATTCTGTGATGAAAGTCAATGGTAGCTTGATGGGGATAGCACTGAATCTATAAATTACTTTGTGCAGTATGGCCATTTTCACGATATTGATTTTCCCCATCTATAAGCATGGAATATTTTTCCATTTGTTTGTGTCCTCTCTTATGTCCTTGAGCAGTGATTTGTAGTTTTCCTTGAAGAAGTCCTTCACATCCCTTGCAAGTTGTATTCCTAGGAATTTTATTCTCTTTGTAGGAATTGTGAATGGGAGTTCGCTCATCATTTGGCTCTCTGTTTGCCTATTGTTGGTGTATAGGAATGCTTGTGATTTTTGCACATTGATTTTGTATCCTGAGACTTTGCTGAAGTTGGTTATCAGCTTAAGGAGATTTTGGGCTGAGATGATGGGGTTTTCTAAACACACAATCATGTCATCTGCAAACAGAGACAATTTGACTTCCTCTCTTCCTATTTGAATACCCTTTATTTATTTATCTTGCCTGATTGCCCTGGCCAGAACTTAGGCAATATCATTCAGGACATAGGCATGGGCAAAGACTTCACGACTAAAACACCAAAAGCGATGGCAATAAAAGCCAAAATTGACAAATGGGATCTAATTAAACTAAAGGGATTCTGCACAGCAAAAGAAACTATCATCAGAGTGAACAGCCAACCTACACAATGGGAGAATTTTTGCAATCTATACGTATGACAAAGGGCTAATCACCAGAATGTACAAGGAACTTAAACAAATTTACAAGAAAAAAACAAACAACCTCATCAAAAAGTGGATGAAGGATATGAACAGACACTTCTCAAAAGAAGAAATTTATGCAGCCAACAAACATGTGAAAAAAAGCTCATCATCACTGGTCATTAGAGAAATGCAAATCAAACCCACAAGGAGATACTATCTCATGCCAGGTAGAATGGCAATCATTAAAAAGTAAGGAAACAACAGACGCTGGAAAGGATGTGGAGAAATAGGAATGCTTTTACACCATTGGTGGAAGTGTAAATTAGTTCAACCATTGTGGAAGACAGTGTGGTGATTCCTCAAGGATCTAGAGCCAGAAATACCATTTGGCCCAGCAATCCCATTACTGGGTATATACCCAAAGGATTATAAATCATTCTACTATAAAGACACATGCACGTGTATGTTTATTGCAGCACTAGTCACAATAGCAAAGACTTGGAACCAACCCACATGCCCATCAATGTTAAACTGGATAAAGAAAATGTGGCACATATACACCATATAATACAACGGAGCCATAAAAAAAGGATGAGTTCATGTCCTTTGCAAGGACATGGATGATCTGGAAACCATCATTCTCAGCAAACTAACACAGGAACAGAAAACCAAACACTGCATATTCTCACTCATAAGTGAGAGTTAAACAATGAGAACACATGAACCCAGGGAAAGGAACATCATTAACCAGAGCCTGTCACAGGGTAGGGGGCTAGGGGAGGGATAGCATTAGGAGAAATGCCTAATGTAGATGACGGGTTGATGGGTGCAGCCAACCACCATGGCACATGTATACTTATGTAACAAACCTGCATGTTCTGCACATGTATCCCAAAACTTAAAGTATAATAATAATAATAAAAGAAATTGAAGAGGACACAAAAACTTGAAAGATATTCCATATTCATGATTTGAAGAATCAGCATTACTAAAATATCCATAATACTCAAAGCAATCTATAGATTCAAATGAAATTCCTATCAAAATACCAATTATATTTTTCACAGATATAAAAAATAATTCTAAAATTTGTATAGAAACACAAAATACTCAGAATAGCCAAAGCTATCCCAAGCAAAATGAACAAAGCTGGAGGTATCACATTGCCTGACTTCAAATTATATTACAAAGCTATAGTAACCAAAACAGCTTGGCACTGGCATAAAAAACAGACACATAGACCAATGGAACAGAATAGAGAACCCAGAAATATATTCACACATTTACAAACAATTAAATTTACTAATAACATATATTTGGAAATGTCAGTCTCTTCAATCCAGGAAAATAGGGTATTCATACACAGAAGAATAAAACTAGACCCCATCTCTCCCCATATACAAAAATCAAATCAAAATGGTTTAAAGATTTAAATCTTAAATCTAAGACCTGAAACTATAAAACTACGAGAAGAAAACATTGAGGAAACACTCCAAGAAACTGGTCTGGGCAAATATTTCTTTAGTTAAGACCTCAAAAGCACAGACAACCAAGCAAAGATGAACAAATGTGGTCACAACAAGTTAAAAAGCATCTGCATAGCCAATAAAGCAATCAACAAAGTGAAGAGACAACCCACAGAATGGGAGAAAATATTTGCAAACTATCCATCTGACAAGAGATTAATAACCTGAATGTATAAGGAGCTCAAACAACTCAATTGGAAAAATAAATAAATAATCCAATTTAAAAATGAGAAAAAAAACTGTATAGTCATTTCTAAGAGAAGACATGCAGATGGACAACAGGTATATGAAAAAACACTCAACATCATTAATCATCAGGAAATGAAAATGAAAGCTACAATAAGATATCATCTCATCCCAGTTAAAATGGCTTTGTATTAAAAAGACAGGCAATAATGGATACTGGCAAGGATATGGGAAAAAGGGGAGTCCTCATATACTGTTGGTGAAAATGTAAATTAGTGTAGCCACTATGAGGAACAATGGCAGTTCCTCAAAAAAATGAAAAATAGTACTATTATATGATCCAGTAATACCACTGCTTGGTATACATCTAATAGAAAGAACATCACCATGTGAAAAGACATCTGCTTTCCCATGTTTATTGCAGCATTATTCACAGTAGCTAAGGTATGGAAACAACTTAGGTATCCATGAATGGATGAACAGATAAAGAAAATGTGGTATATACACAAGGGAATATTATTCAGTCATAAAAGAATGAAATTCTGTCATTTGCAGCAACATGGATGAAACTGGAAGACATTATATTAAGTGAAATGAGCCAGACTCAGAAAGACAAGTATCACATGTTCTCATTCATCTGTGGGAGGTAAAAAAGAGAAAAATTGATCTCATGGAGGTAGAGAGTAGAATGGTGGTTACCAGAGGTTGAGAAGTGTAGTGGGGTGGGGGAGATTAAGAGGGATGGTTAGTGGGTACAAAACTATACTTAGATAGAATAAATAATATCTAGTGTTTAGTGGCACAATAAGGAGGCTATAGTTAACAATAATTTATTGTGTATTTCAAAATAACTTAAGTGGAATTGTAATGTTCCTAATACACAGAAATGGTAAATGTTTGAGGTAATAGAAATCCCAATTACCCTGATTTGATCATTACACACATTGTATGCTTTTATCAAAACATCACATGTACACTATAAATATGTACAACTATTATGTATCCATAATACTTACAAATTTAAAAATATTTAAAAATTCACAAAACTGAAATAAACATACTTATTGGGAAAACATCTTCAATAACTCATTCAAAAATTCATATTGAGAGGCTATTACATGGCAAGAATTATGCTAATCTACTATTCTCATAAAAAATATAATGTTCCAGTATGAGAAACAGATAGGGCAACCATAATCCTGCTATAAGCCTGGCTTACATGTGTGGTCTCAGTATCCCATATGGCGTAGGATTTTTTTCTTGAGTTTTCATATTTTAAAGAAATATTTTTACTAATGTTTCTTTTGACTGGAATGGTTTTGATAGAATTTCACTTTTTACTTTCAGCACCATCTTAATTAGTAATGTGTGAGATGCATGCAATGAACAGAGTTTTCAGATTAACATGTGGTTGAATCTCAGAAATAATCAGCAGTAAATTGCTTCCCTTTCTCCCATCCTTTTCTGATGCATTGAAAAGAATAGTGTTCATCATACTCTCTAATAAACCAACTTAATATGGCATACCCACACAGTGGAATATTATTTAACAATATAAACAAAGTACTGTTACATGGTGTGAAATGTATGAACCTTGAAAATATTATGCAAAATAAAATAAGCCAGTCACAAAAGGTGACATATTATGTAATTAGATTTATATGAAATGTCCATAATAGGAAACTATAAGTAGAAATAGATCAGGGATTTCCTAGAGCTGGGATGGGGGAAGGGATGGAGAATGACTTGTAATGAATATGGGTTTTTTGGGATGATAACAACATTATAAAATTACAATAGTGATGTGATGGTTGCATAACTCTGAGTATGCTACAAACCATTGAATTATACATTTTAAATGGGATACTTTTATGATATGCAAATTATATCTCAATAATGCTGTTATAAAAACTAATTCTTTAATATGAGTGACCTGGAGATAACCAACTTCTTGTGGATCCTGGTGGTGGTGGGAGAAATATTGGAAGCTATTGCTTCTAGGTCATTTGGTGAACCAACTAATTTGTACCATGGTTGTGTATGAGATGTGTGAGAAATAGAGACTGAATAGTCTTACCATGGAATATATAGAAAGTAGTTCATTATTTACTATATTTAATTCAACCACTATCCTTTCCAAAACGATGTCTTTTTCCTTGAAAAATGCATATTTAATGAAAATTTAAAGATACTTCGATTTCTCAAGAAAGTTGATGAATGTGTAAATTACACAAAGTATTTGTTGACATTTACTATAACAATTGAGTCTGTAGTGATATCATTGAACCTGTGGAAACAAGGTGATGTATATCATCCCCCAAATCACTAGCACCTACAGTTATTTAGAAAGATTATGCACAAGATGATAATTTAACATGTGCAACTTCAGATGGTGTATTTACATATTTCTTTCTTTTCTTTTTTTTTTTTGAGATGAAGTCTCGCTCTGTCACCCAGGCTGTAGTGTAGTGGGGTGACCTTGGCTTACTGCAACCTCCACCTCCTAGGTTCCAGCGATTCTCCCACCTCAGCCTCCTGAGTACCTGAGATTATAGGCACCTGCCACCATGCCCAGCTAATTTTTGTATTTTTAGTAGAGACTGTGTTTCACCATATTGGCCAGGCTGGTCTTGAACTCCTGACCTCAAGCGATCTGCCCACCTTGGCCTCCCAAAGTGCTGGGATTACAGGCATGAGCCACAGTGCCTGGCCTACGTATTTCTTTTTAAAGACTGACTTTTCATTTAGATTAAATGATTGCTCTTCTAAAGTAATTTACTCTTTGTTGGTTTTAAGAAATCTTTTGCATGTATAAGGTATAAAACAACAACTGTTTATATGTTACTTCCATTAGCCGATGAACTAGCGGTTAAATGATGCTTCAAATAGAAAATAAGTTAATTCCACTAATAGATTGTGTTTTCATTAAAGTCATAAACATGAAATAACACTTTACAAAGTTCATTTTGTTGAGTATCTTGCATTACTGTGAATTATATTGTAAAGTAGTTTAAAGTTTAACATTAAAGATAAAATTATTATTTTTGCTGTTATGGTATGAATAAAAAAATTTGATTAACTTTTTTATCATGTTTCAGTAAACAAAGCATGCAGAATGGAAACAATAATCTTACTAAGTTAAAAAACTTTTTTGAACTTTTCTGAATAGAAATGTTCTTGGAATTCGTCGTGCACATGATTGTTCATAATTACTAATTACAAATATTACTAATTATTATTTCTATTATATATAATATGTATAATATTATTAATTATTCATAATTACTAATTGAAATAGAGACGCTAGTTGTTGGGGTAACAAAAGTAGTGCATTTTTGAGATGAAGCTGGCTTTCAGTACAAACATATTCTAAATTATGCTGGTGGCTATGCAGTTTTTCTCTGTGCTGGTCATCAACAATTAGATTTAGATGTGTTTGAGCACTTGAAGAAGTACTATGAAACTGAACTTAAATAAAAGTATTTAGCAATTGTGATGCCAAAAAGCTTTAGCTTGTGAAGCTTTATCAATTTCCAATTCTTAAAAGCAAAGGTTGTAAAGAGGAGGACATTGAAACTGATCCTTGTAGAAATGGAGCCAATTAAATAATAAAGGCACAAACTATGTAAAACATTTAATTTTTAAATTATATTATTGGACTCCAGAATATTTAAACTTGTGAGATGTAGTCTGATAAATCTCCTATTTTTAATTGGATAAACTTGCAATATATACCAAAAAGGATAAAATTTACAAAAAAAAAATTTGCATGATCTCCATAGTCATAAATTGAGACATCTGCAATGACTTTTGTCTGATAAAAAAATCTACCAAAGACAAGTACTCTGAATGGAAGCAAAAACAAGAGCTCTTTTAAGATATTTGAACTAAATTGGACCCTTATCTTGCACTATGGATAAAAATCATCTAAAAATGGACAAAATACCTAAGTGTAAGACCTGAAGCCATAGAACTCATGGAACATAGGGGAAAAACTCCACAACATTGGTCTTGGCAATAATTTTTTTGGGATGCCATACCAAAAGCTCAGGCTACAAAAGAAAAAATAAATCACATCACACACTGGGCCCTGTCATGGGGTTGGGGGAGGGGTAGGGATAGCATTAGGAGATATACCTAATGTAAATGACGAGTTAATGGGTGCAGCACACCAACATGGCACATGTATACATATGTAACAAACCTGCACATTGTGCACATGTACCCTAGAACTTAAAGTATAATAAAAAAAAGAAAAAATAAACCAATGGGAATACATCACACTAAAAACCTTCTACACAGCAAAGAAAACAATTTAAAAATGAAAATGCAGGCTACAGACTGGAAGAAAATTTTTGCAAATCATACATCTGATAATGGCTAATATCCAAAATTTATTTTAAAAACCCACATAATTCAATAGCAGAAAAACAACCCAATTAAAACATGGACAAATGATATGAGCAGACCTTCAAAGAAAACATAAAAATGGACACTAGGTATATGAAAAGGAGCTCAACATCACTAATCATAATGGAAATGCAAATTAAAACCACTATGAGATATCACCTTACACCAGTAAGGAAGGCTATTATCAAATGGATAAGATGAAAATGTTGGCAAAGGTGTGAAGAAAAGGTAACCGCAGTGCACTGTTGATGGGAATATAGACTGATCTAGCCATTATGGGAAGAAATATGTAGGGTCTTAGAGATACTAAAAATATAACTGCCATATGACTCAGAAATCCTTCTTCTGAATATATACCAATATACCAAAAGGAGATTATCACCACCTTGTAAAGATTGGCATTCCCATGTTCATTGCAGCATTATTTGCAGCAGTCAAGATATGGAAAGAACCTAAATGCCCATTGATGGAGGTATAAAGAAAATGTGGTATATATACACAATGAAATATTACACAGCCTTAAAAAGGAGATCCTACCATTTGTCAAAACATGCATGAACCAGGAGGACCCTATGCTAAGTGAAATAAGCAACACAGAGAAAAAAATATTGCATGATTTCAATTATATATTAAATATAAAATAATAAAAGAGCTCAAATACACAGAGATAAAGAAGGAAACAGTGGTTACCATTGGTGGGAGAGGGAGAGAGGAAATGAGGAAGATGTAGGTCAAAAGATGTACAATAGCAGATAGGTAGGATGAACAAATCTAAAGATCTAATGTACAACATGAAGACTAAATAAAATTGAATTGTGTTAAGGATATTTGTTAAGTAGATTTTATCTGCTGTTGTCACATCAAAAAACAAGTTATGTGAGATGATAGATATACTAATCTGCTTCACTCTAGAACCATTATATTTCCTACGATGTATCTATATGTACTCCATAACATTATGTTGTAAACCTCAAATATATACAATAAAATACATTTAAAAAAAAAAATAGGCCAGGCGCGGTGGCTCATGCCTGTAATCCCAGCACTTTGGGAGGCCGAGGCGGGCGGATCACGAGGCCAGGAGATCGAGACCACGGTTAAACCCTGTCTCAACTCAAAAAAAAAAAAATACAAAAAATTAGCCGGGCGCATTGGCGGCGCCTGTAGTCCCAGCTACTCGGGAGGCTGAGACAGGAGAATGGCGTGAACCCAGGAGGCGACACTTTCAGTGAGCTGAGATCGCACCACTGCACTCCAGCCTGGGTGACAGAGCGAGACACTGCCTCAAAAAAAAAAAAAAAAAAAAAAAAAAAAAAAACAACAACAACAGTGGGACTAAAATATGTATACATTTTAATATTAAAAGAAAAAGCTGTGATACATAATGATTATACATATGTATGGGGAACATTGTTCGTTTCAATACATGGAGAGATTGTGTAATCATCAAATCAGAGTCATTAGAATTTCATCACCTCAAATATTTATCAGTTTTTTGTGGTGAGGACATGCAAATTATTTTCCTCTAGCTTTTTTTGAAATATACAATATATTTCCATTATCTGAGAATATGCTGTATTTAGCAAAAAATAATTTGCGATTACTAGGTACTTCAGTGCATGTAGAGAGGGTATTTTCTCAGTTAAAAGTAATGTATTCTATGGAGACCAGTCAATTGAAGGTTTCAACAATTTCAAATTTATTAGCATAAAGCACAGCTTTGAAAACAAATGCAGGCAATTTTATGAAAAAATGGAAAACAATAAAACTGTATTTCAAAAATACATTGTCCACAAATAGAATAATAATGACCAATATTACTTGTACAACTAAGATGGTGTTTAAATTAAATGAATATATAACATAAATAATCATACTACTTGTTATTTAATGTGCTGATAATCAATACAAATATTCTTTTGCTTTTATGAATAGAAATAGATATTGCTTTCTTAAAGAAACATTTTATTTCAAAAATATTTTATAACACTTCCATAGGCCCAAACCCCACTTGTTAGTAAATACTTATTTTAAACTTGTATAAGATTATAGTTATTTTAATACTCTTTTTAATCTCAAAATAGACTTGTTTGGCCAATAAAGTATATGAACCCCTTTATTACAGAAAAATAAGCAGACAGTCATACTACAGCATGATTTTAGAGTAGGGAAAATACAGGATTCTTTTGCAAAAGAATAAAAAGCTGTCTAATCTACTCCCTGGTGGAGAGGGTGTCATGGAATATTTATTAGAGGAAGTTGATGACATTTATACCTAAAAGATAGGATAAGTTATCCAACTGAGGAAACAGAGAAGACTGTTTCAGGGAGGGTGAACAGCAAAAAAAACTAGCTCAGGGGTAAAGTTAGGCCCTCCCCATGAAATAAGCAGGGTCTTTGGAGTTGCATAAAATAATTTGGAATTAAACCAAAGATAAGGGGGAAATCAATACAGTGCTTAAATAAAGTAGTGTCCTGAGAAGGATTTTCTGAAGGGCATTTAGAAGATTGATTCTAAAACACACATAAGTTTCTTAATTCTTTTATTCTGACCTGATGGATTTTCTAGTCCAGCCAGTTGTACCCCTGACCTTGTGCTCTCTTTTTCTGGTATGGCTTTCCTAGGCTCAAAAATCCCAAAGTGCTACCCTCTAAAATTATGGATAAAAGGCTCTATTAATATTTATGTCTCCTTGTGGCAGGCCACAGATATGAATTAATTACTGCATCTGCACAGATGTGGCCTGATTACGCAAGGCGGAACTAAGCTAAACAGCCAGCATGATAAACCCAAGACTGGCAAGGTAGCAGGAGAATTTTGAGATATATTCAAGTTGAATGCTTTTATCGGTTCTAAGTTGTTAGTTCTTGGAGGAGAGTATTGTTCCCTAACAAAGCCTAACACAGTGTGCAGTACACAACAAGTACTCACTAAATATTTGTGAGATGAATAAAACCAAGAATCTTGAATATGTTTTAGGCCTATCACTATAAAAAAATTTTAATGTCTTATTGTAATTGTTCTATTTTGTTTTGACAGGTGATGAAAATAATGCTTCCCTTAGTTGAAATTCTTAGGAAAATGGCTCCATAAATATGTATGTAGGATGCTATTACTCACTCATTATTGACAGTTGTATCAAGTGTGATATAAAACACAATTTTCAGTGACAATGGAATAATTACAGTCTTGTAGTCTTGGAATAGCCCCTGATCACTACTGTTGCTGATTCTGTCATTATATTTTGTGTCACCTGGTTCCCAGTGGACTGTCAACACTCTTTACATCCTGGAATCTGAAATCAATTTTGTTGAGTTAACAAAGCTACATCATTACATGTATCAACTGGGGGATCTCAGATAAATTCATATGGGTCTGATTATCCTTAAATAAACCATATAAACAGTAGATTGTTATAACTGACAAGGGATCGTGTTCTGTCTAGTCAGAGAACTTAAGTTAGGGAGGCATGCTGTACAAAGTATAAAAATGTTTCAAAGGATAGAATTGTTAAATTTCTGTTGTTTTAAGCCACCCATTGTGTAGTACTCTGTTATAGTAGCCCAAGAAAACCAATACACTGTATAATGGAACATTATTTAGCCATAAAAAATGAATTAAGGGCTGATACATGCTACAATGCAGACAGACTTTAAGAAAACATAATGTTAAGTACAAGAAACCAGACACACAAGACTATTTATTATGTGGTTCCACTTATATGAGACGTCTAAAACAGAAAAATCTATAGAGATAAGCAAATTAGCACATGTCAAGGGCTGGGGTGAAATGTAGAGTGACTACTAATGAGTACACAATTTTTTTTGAGATGATGAAAATGTTCTAAAATTGTCGTGATAGTTGCATAACTCTGTCATTATACCAAAAAAATCATTGAATTGTATAATTTAAAAAGTATGTGAATTATATCTCAATAAAATATTTTAAAAACAGAATTATTTAACATAGTTGTGGTTGTATTAGTGAACAACAAGCTATCATTGAAAGTCAGCTTCATGAAATTTCCTAAGTGATATTTTGAAATACTAGGTTATTCACCCATACATTTCCTTAAATCAAAGGAAATCCCTGCACCTGGAGTAAGACCACCCAACTACCAGCAGGAAAAGAGTATTCAAAGACTCACTTGGAGTAATAATTATCTAGTAGGAGTCAGGTGGGACTCCTAGAAATTTGTATGTGCTCCTTGGAGACCGTCCAACCCTCTCTGTTGCAATATTCACAACCCTATCCCCATTACCTGATTTGGGACCATCTGTTCTTAAACACTTCTGTGAATCTTTCTTTCATTGTATAACATTAATTGAAATGAACTTTTTCCTTGAGGACACTGTTTCCCATGTAGACCTTTCAAGCAGTGGATTTTTTTTACTTCCACATACCACAACACAGAAAAAAAGGTTTACTTTTCATGTATTTCTTTTCTTTTAAGACCTACTCTAAGTAGTAGAATTTTTTATCAGTGAGATTTATTTGCCTTGCTTATGGAGACTCACTTTGACTAACATTAGATACTTAATTTTTTATGTGGATTAGTACACAATTATATTCAATTTTCTCAAAGAGTACACATTCTCTCAAAGCAGCGTATTAAAACCAAAATGTTTTATGTGACCCTAAGTTCTCTTTTCCCCAAGGTGACATAATAACAATATTTCTTAGAAATTTCTTCATGCACAGGGAGACAGCTGATCTTTTATCATGTCTCAAGGACATATCATCATAAATGGATGGCATTCTAATAAATGGAAATTAAATGGTGCGATAGATTGTTCTGGTACTGAGAAGGAAGGTCTGGGCTAGTTAATTAGACTTAACAGTCATTTAGACAAAAGATAAAAAGATGATGGAACTTCACTGGAGTGAGGTTACTTGCTTTCCTTCAGCCTACACTCTCAGTTCTGCTAATGACCTATTTGTTTCTCAAACCTAGTCTACCCTGGCCATATCGACCCCAAAGAGAAACTAGATAACTTATGCCAACTTGAGGCAATAACTGGGAGATTAGAGAGATAACCAGCAATTGGTACCTTCTTTTCTTTTTCCTTCTTTCTTTATCTTCCTCCCCTCAAATAGTCCAGAAGTTAATATGGCTCATTTTTTTCCTTTGCTCCGTGTGAATGGATTAGTAACGATTGCTTTGAAATAACCTAAAACAATGCCCTACAGATACATTAGCCGCCATTTCCTGTGCAGAATTCTTCATTAGCTCTGCTCAAACCTTATACTTTGATGACCTCTGCCTCCTTCTACATTTTTCTCTCATGATTATTGCACCAAAATTCCATTTTGTTATCAAATCTAGGACCTTAGGGGGAGTCATGAAGCATGCTGTCTCCCTTGCCCATTCTCTCTTACATAGCCCAACAAATCCACCCATTAGAACAATTACCTTTTTACTTCCTGAATTTGTCCCCAACCACTTATCTTGTCTATTACCACTGTCTCAGCTTCATGCAGGATCTAATTTTTTTCAGAACTATTGTAATATTCTTCTAATTGGGCTCTCTGCTTAGTCTTGCTTTTAACTAATACATCGAATGGCTGTCAATGTGATCTTAAGTAACATATATCAATCACTATGTTACTCCCTTTGTAAACTCCTTCAGTGAATTTCATATTTTTTTAAAAAAAATCTAAGTCTCCTGGAATAACACATAAACCTGAACTTATATGAATAATTCTTTTTCAGAGTTTGCCAAAAGAAAATGAAAAAGTCAAGTAAAACAGTTTAATTAAAAATAATCACCTTTCTCACTTCTTAAAAAATTCAGACCTTATCTCGTCATTTGGTCTCATAGCTTTTGTTTTTCCCTTTTTAAAAATTGCTCTCTCTCCATCTCAGTCTACAGTAGGATCTTGATGCATAAGAGCTTTTATATTTCCACACATTTAAATGTTATTATTTCTACTCCATGGAATGCCCTTTCCTTTCATGACGCTGAGGTGAAATTCAAATCATTCTTCAAGTCCCAGATGCATTGTTAGCTCTATCATAAGATCTTCCACAATCCTTTTAATCAGAGTTTATCACTGCCTTCTTGATCTACAAGAATAATGGATTATATTTTATTACAGTACTTTAAATTTTTATCATAATTATATATTTCATGGCCATTGCTACTATAGAAGAGCAAGGTTGGTCTCTATTATTATGTCCTCAAAACCTCACATAGAGCCTGGCCTATATGTGATCTGTAAATGTTTGTCAAATGAGTGAATGATTGAATGGATCCATAAATTAATGAGTGAGGTCAGGTAGAATGACAATCAATATTATGTGGCTCGAGCAACTAATACTAGAGATTCAGGTTTGGTATTTGAAGACCAAGGACTATATCTTTGTTTCTGCAAAAAATTAAGAGCAAAGTGGGATAACAAATCCAGAGTACTGAGATATTAGGCAGAGAGTCAAGTGAGTGACTCAGGGACAATGGGATAGTGGGACATGTGGTACAGAAAATAAAGTAAAAATTTAATTACTTGAAACAGAGAGCTAGTTAAGGACAAACTATGGCCAAGATGGACTACAACAAAGGAGCTGAGTGGATCTTTGCAGTTACACCAAGACCAGGCTGAATAGCACTGTTTAAAAAAGTGACTTCAGCTTTATTAATTATTAGTGTGTGACTAGAGAACAGGTCAATGAAATCAATACCCATTTTTTTTAAAAACAAAAAAAAACCCTATTCTCTACTTGTTAGCAGCCAGTGGGAAGCATGTTTGTGAAAATAAATAATTTCTATTGAGAAAGAAGAAATTTTAGTGTTATTTATCTTTTAGCTGATTATAGTGCATGCATTTTGGTTGATGTGGGTGCATAGAATACACACATTTGGATGTATGATTATCCATGTATGTATGTACACATATATACCATTTTATCCAATAAAGGATGTGATTTCAAGTGTTTTAGTCATGTTGCATTGATAGGAGTTACCTTAAAGATCTGAATTTTAACATTTGAAAATCGAACTGTAAGCTCTACATCCTATGTAATTTTATCACAGAGATCACAATGTTTAAGTTAAATAAAGAAGAGACAAATAAATTTCTTTTTTGATTGAATCCATTACTTTATACAAGAGAAAAAAAACCTTTTTTCTTCAGTTTTATTCAAACAATTCAGTTAAGTACTGAATTAATACAGTTAAGTACTGAATTATAATCTGATAACTTTAATTTTCAAATTATGTTTTATAAAATAACTCAGAAAGTTTTAGTATACAGAATGGCTGCCTTTAACACCCCATCTTCTTGATTTAATGCTGTGATTACTTTCCCATTTTTACTTTATTTTTTATATGTGATATCTGATATAGGTGAGATATATATATATATGTTATCTCACATATATAACATAACATAAATATAGCACAATTATAAAATTAATACTTATAAACCCACCATACAGCATTAGAACAATACTATCAAAGATTTTTTTCTAAATATAGTTTTTAAATTTGAGGAGCACAAAGCTCTTCAAAGATATATATGCATAATATTATTGGATTTCTCCATACACTCCAAAGAAGATGTGACCATGAAATATAAACAGTGAAATATGAACAGAAGTGTAGTAAGAACCAGATAGTGATTCCTCATGTTTCCTTCCTCCTGCCATGGTGATTATGGAAACATCTGTTTGTTGAGATGAATCCTCTGTGAGTCTCGGACCACAAGTGACTACTATGAGCAGATACCCTTTGTTGACCCACTTTATACAGGTAATGAGAATGATAAATAAAATTTTGTTTAAGTCATTAAATTTGAGATTTTTTTTTACTATAACTTAACCCAGCCTATCTTGAACTCATAACAAGTGGATATAATTGAGATTTTTCATCTGCATTATATTGAAAACACTCCAACCCATGTTGCTAAATGTTCTCCAAGTGTATGGTTTTGATAGTTGTTCTACAGATGTGGCATTATTTTAAAAATCCAATAATTGCAAAATACTTGGATGTTTTTACTTTTTAATATTTTATGTTACTTTGCAACATATCATCTTGAACTGAAATGTATCCATCTCCATTTCTTTATGAAAAAGAAACAGAAGTTGAGTAGATGTAGGAACCCTGTTAAGACTTTCAATGCAGTTTGCTTTTTTTAAAAATGGATGAATTCATAATTCCACTGGCTGTGTTTGAACACGCTCATTTCAACTCATTCTGACACTGATAATTATAAAAATAACACTGTTGGTGGGACTGTAAACTAGTTCAACCATTGTGGAAGTCAGTGTGGTGATTCCTCAGGGATCTAGAACTAGAAATACCATTTGACCCAGCCATCCCTTTACTGGGTATATACCCAAAGGACTATAAATCATGCTGCTATAAAGACACATGCACACGTATGTTTATTGCAGCACTATTAACAATAGCAAAGACTTGGAACCAACCCAAATGTCCAACAATGATAGACTGGATTAAGAAAATGTGGCACATATACACCATGGAATACTATGCAGCCATAAAAAATGATGAGTTCATGTCCTTTGTAGGGACATGGATGAAACTGGAAATCATCATTCTCAGCAAACTATCACAAGGACAAAAAACCAAACACCGCACGTTCTGACTCATAGGTGGGAATTGAACAATAAGAACACATAGACACAGGAAGGGGAACATCACACTCCAGGGACTGTTGTGGGGTGGGGCGAGGGGGGAGGGCTAGCATTAGGAGATATACCTAATGCTAAATGACGAGTTAATGGGTGCAGTACACCAACATGGCACATGTATACATATATAACAAACCTGCACATTGTGCACATGTACCCTAAAACCTAAAGTATAATAAAATAAAATAAAATAAAATAAACTGTAACAATTTGAGAAATGAAAATATCTTGTTTTCATAAGGTATAAGTGTGAATTACTAGTGATGGCAAATAAGTTTTCCATATACTTGGTGGTTTACATTTATATTTTAATAAATTTGATAATTCACACACAACACATATCTTGTGACTTTATAAGGCTTTTATATATTAAATATCTTAAACACTTTCTGCTGTTAATTTGAAAAATATGTTTTCACTCCAATACTTGCTTTTAATTTGAATTATGGTATTATTTTCAATGAACAGAAATTTAAATTTTTTATGTTGTGACTTCTTTTTGTTGTTTTTGTTGTTGTTTTTTGATGCTTACAAATCTTTCCTCATCTTGATATTCAAAATTTTCTTCCATATTTTTTCATCATCTTGAGGTTTTATTTCCATATTCAACTCTTTGACACATCAAAAATGTGTTTAGTTTTAAAGAATAAAACAAATGTATTTTCTCCCAAATAGTTTTTAACTTTACAAAAGCTGAGATACGTGCATATCTGTGTGTATTAGATGTTATAATGTTATATACTATGTATTGATAATACATATGTTATATATTCCCTGGTTATATATGAATATTTGTGTGTGTATACAGTTACTCCTTGAACAACATGGATTTAAACTGCCTAGGTCTACTTACACACAGATTTTTTTCAATAAATATATTAAAATTTTTAAAATATTTGCAGTAATTTAAAACAACTGATAGATGAACCACACAGCCCAGAAATAAAAATAAAAAAATTTAAAAATGTAAGGAATGTCATGAATGCATGATATATTAAATATTAGTCTATTTTATCATTTTCTGCTGTAAAATACGTACAAATCTATTGTAAAAAGTTAAGTGTTATTAAACACAAACACAGACATTACATGTTGCCATTTGCAGTCAAGTTAAGTGGATGCAATGATGCAGTATTAAATCATAACTGTATAAAATTGACTATAGTACATGCTATACTACCGTAATAATTTCATAGCCACCTCCTATTGCTACTGCGGTGAGCTCGTGTTGTGAGTATCCACTTTAAATGCAGTGTGTCTCTAATCATCTCTACGTTAGCAGCTCGTCTCTCCAGTAAATTGTGTATCACAGTAAAAAGTAATCTCTCGCAGTTCTTGTGTATTTTTCATCATGTTTGGTACAATACCGCGAACCTTGAATAACACCGTGAGACCCATAGGAAGTGCCACTAGTGATGCTGGAAGTGATCCCAAGAACCAGAGAAAAGTCACGACATTACAAGAAAAAGCTAAATTGTCTGATACGTGACATAGATTGAGGTCTGCGGCTGTGGTTGCCTACCATTTCAGACGGAAGTTGCATCTTGTAAACAGACAAGGTAAACTTATGGTATCAAAAAATATAGTACAGTATTGTAAACCATTTTCTCTTTTTTTAATTAATTTTCCTAATGATGTTTTCTCTAACCTAGTTTGTTGTAAGGATATGGTTTATAATACATATATCATACAGATACATGATGATTGACTGTTTATGTTATTGGTAAGGCTTCCAGTTAACAGTTGGCTATTAGTAGTTAGGTTTTGGGGAAATCAAAAGTTATATGCAAATTTGACTGCATGAAGGCTTGGCACTCTTACCACTGTGTTGTTCAAGGGTCAACTATACATATATGCATATATATATATATACACATACATATATCTTATTTAGTGTATAATATTGTTTCAAAATTATTTAGTATATAATATTGTTTAAATTTTTCTGATTAATTCCTGTTTATCCTTTAAGCATGCTTCAAACTACTTCTTATGCTTTATTGCAATGCATAGTACTTCCAGAACATATTAAATAGTAGTAATGTCAAACATCATCTTTCAGTTCCTGATGTTAAGAAAAATTTATTCACTTTTTAGACCAATATTTTTGAAGGCCAGGCAATGTTTTGAGGCCCCATGTCTTAGGATTTGGTAGATGTACCAGGCAATGTTTTTAGACCTGGGAGTACATTGGTGAAAAAGACAGACAAACTTTCTCTTTTGTGGAGCTTAGTTTCTAGTTCTGGGGAGACAGTCACATAGTAGACAAAGAAAAAGACAAGATAATTGTAGATAGTGATATGTGGTGTGAAGAAATAAAGTTAGAACAGTGAAGTGCAGGGTGATTGAGGAGTGGTACTGTGGTTTCATGGTAAGGAAGGGCCTCCTTGAAGGGGTAACTCCTTAGGTGTAGGGATGAGACATAAAACAGACAAAGATTTTGGCCAGTAAAGATAAGGAATGGGAAGGAATGAATAGTAAATTCATAAGTGCTGAGGTTCATAGTGTGAGAAGAGCAAGAGAATGATTACTGTGTCTGTAATTGAGCGAATAAGGAAAGGAGGGAAGGGAGAAAAGCGGGGAGAGGGTGAAAAGGTTGGCCGGAGTAGGCTTATGTAAGCTTGGCGGGACAAGAAAAAGACTTCAGATTTTGTTTAGAGTGCAAGTCAAGTCATTTGACGTGGTTTACATTTTTAGAAAGGATCATTCTGGCTATTGTGTAAGGAATGGATTTAGGAGGGTAAAAGGGAAGCAGGAGGCCACCTAGGAGTCTGCTGGAATGTGTAGGTGAGAGATGGTGATACTTCAGACAAGCAAGGTAGCACCAAGTAAGGAAAAAGTGGATCCATTTTGCATATATTTTGAAGGCAAAGTTGTCATGACTTGCTGATTGTTTTGCAATTGTGACAAAGAAAAAAAAGAATGTAGGATTATTGCCATGGGTCGACTCCTGGGTAGATAAAGTAAAATGAGGGAGACTTAGAGAGGAATACATCTGGTGCAGCAGTGTGCAGCAGTGAAGAGTTTCAGCTCTTGTGAAGTTAGAACATCTATTTGATATTCCAATGTAGTATAGGGTAGACACTTGTGTATAGAAATCTGGACTTCAGGGGAGAATTTAGGATTGGAAATAGAAATACTTTTACTGTCTCTTATGGAGCACCATTAAGAATGAAGCTGGTTAATGGCTAAGTTAGTTATCTTTTATGGGGAGATACTAATAAATAAAATATAAACATTTACAACCATTAGGTTATTGGCCATGTACTTTTGTTTTTGTTTTTGTTTTAGTACACTGCCAAACAGAACTATTTCTAGATTTCAGGATAGAGTTTTCTTGAGCAAATAATTATATTGGTTTAATCACACGTACGAAATGGATGGCATGTATAAGCACAAAGCCACGTGTCAAATAACAAATAAGAGAGAGTTAACGGAGTAAGTAAAAATAGGTAAAAGGTCTAAATTTCTAGTTCTTAAATAAAATATAGCATTGTTTGAATTAGTAAAATACGTTTTGATCTTCACTGACAGTAATATTTTGATACAAAATTTGGGGACAAGATTCTTTAGTACTCAAAAATAGTGTTTCTAACTGGTTATTGCTTTTTAACATTTTGTAAAAAAAAAGACCTTATTGTCCTCTCTCATATTAAATAATTTTTGTAAAGAAATATTTGTAATGATTCCAAATTTGTCCCATAATTATTAAAAAATACAGTAATTAAGCTGTTAAAATGTTATTCTGCTTTTATTATTAAATGTGGAATATTACAAACACATAAACTTACAGACAGTATATGATAGATCCTTAGGTACCTACTAGAGTTGAAAAATTCTCAAAATCTGTTCTTATATGTCTCAGATCTTTTTCACTCTCAGAAATAATAATCGATAGGTATAATTTGTTTATATTTATGTATGATGCATAATGGGTACAGTTTTTACGAACACAGATGTCTAATTCTCCCAATATAATGTGTGTGTGCCACATGCCAAGTTCTGCATATGTATAAATCTGCTTCAGTACTCTTTGATTCTTCCAATTCATCTATTTGTCTATTCCTGTAACAGTATCATACTCTTTATTGTTATAGCTTTATATTAATTCTAAGACAAGTGTTCATTCATCCTTTAACTTCTTCAAAATAATATTGTCTGTTCTTGGACTTAATACTTGTATATGGATTTTATCATCAACTTATTAAGCTCCATGATGAACTGTGTTATATTTTTATTTAAATTGAGTTTTTAAAAGAATAACTTTGGGAAAATTGCATTTTTGTGTAAAACATTTCACATTCACTAATACATCCCTCCATTTATTCTTTTGTTGTTGTTGTTGGTTTGTTTGTTTGTTTTTGTTTTGTTTTGTTTTTGAGATGGGGTCTGGTTCTTTTGCCCAGGCTGAAGTGCAATGGCGTGATCTCGGCTCACTGCAACCTCCGCCTCCCGGGTTCAAGCGATTCTCCTGCCTCAGCCTTCCAAATAGCTGGGATTACAGCGCCTGCCACCACACCTCGCTAATTTTTGTATTTTTAGTAGAGACAGGGTTTCGCCATTTTGGCCAGGCTGGTCTTGAACTCCTGACCTCAGGTGATCCACTCATCTCAGCCTCTGAAAGTGCTGAGATTACAGGCATGAGCCACCACACCTGGCCTTTGTTGTTGTTTTTAAGGCTCTTTTACATTTTCTGTTGGATTTTCTTAGGCATATTCTGTTGTTATTGTGATAGTCACCTTATTATTTTATTATATTTATCACATTTTAACTGTTTTAGTCAGGTGTGTAAAATTCTATTGATGTGTATACTGACCTTGAATCCAGCAATATTACTGAACTCCCTTAGTTTAATAGTTCATCTCTAAAGTCAGTTGGATTTTCTATGCTGCAAACATATGACCTCTGAATAATAAAAAATTTTTCTTCCAGGCCTTATTTGACATATTTTGTACTCTTACTTTAGTGAATTGGCCACAACTCATATAGGGCAATTTCAAAAATTGCAACAGTTGGAATGAGATTATTCAAATGGTAGGGGGGTGGGTAGTAAGAGAGGATAAAAGAGTTGAGAACAAAGTTTTATAGGATTTTTTATATTTAGGGAGTTCAAAAGTGAGCCAGAGAAGAAGGCCAGAAATGATCAGAGCAAAAAGTAAATCTGGATATTACAATATCACAGAACTGGAAGGAAGCCTTCCAAGAAGAAAGCTGCTATAAGCAGTATTGCAAGTTGCAAAGAGGCAATCATTTTTGAGCAAAGTCTGCTGGATTTTTCTTGCTGAAGTCCTTGATGATCACTGAGAATCCAATTTAGAAGAAGAGTGATAGCAAAAGTCAGCTTCTAATACATATATTACTAAAAAAAAAAATAGTGATGAGTTCAAGTTGAGAATAAAACTATCTTTCAAATTGTTTTGGGGTAAATAAGGAAATGCAATGGGATAGTCACTTAAGGGGTTAAATATTTGAAGAGAAATTTTCTGTTTTTAAAAACTAGAGATCAGAATTTACTATAAGCAGAAAGGAAGTAGCCATTTGGGATGGAATGACTGAAGAGCAAGATCAATTTCCATAAGAAGATGATGATATAAAAACATAAGATAAGGTAGGTGTTAAGCCTGACAATGAGAAGAAGAAACTTCTCTCCAGAGTACCAGTGTGAAGAAAGAAATAGAGAATGATGGTAAACAGATGTGAAGAGGAATGGAGAAAACACCTTTGAAAGGTTCAAGGAAGATTGCTGGGGTTAATGTGAGTAACTGAAAGTGTTGTATCAAGATCGTCCCTCCAATCTGGTTCTGATATTCTCATATTTGAGAGAGGCTACAATACAGGACAAGGCACTAAAGCTCAGTTCCACTAGTATCTCTCTAGGACCTTGCGAGCACAAGATGGCACCGCTGAGTTCAGCAGCAAAGACCTAGCAGGTTTAGAACAAGATAGACAAAACCAAATGGTAAAATATATTAAACTGGTGAAGAACACATATTGGAAAGTGTATTTCCCATTTAAAAAATTCAGGTTCACAATCTTAAAATATCTAACTAAAGAAAAAAGCACAACAACAACAACAACAAAATGGCACTACTATCAACAAAATCTTTGGCCTGGATGTAATCTGTGAGCCACCAATTTTCAGCCACACTTCTGGAAGGAAAGATGACTGTGAGGTCAGCCTGGGAGAAAGCAGCAGCATTCACAGCTTTGGCTTCATGTACCTGTAGCTTTGTGTAGAATTCCCTCCCCCTATCATCTTTGGTTTTCAACAACCAAAGATTGGACAAACAGAAGCCAGCATGACAGGCTGAATCAAGACTTATTTTAGTATTCTCAGGGTCAGGATATGTTTGTGGAGGGTGAGGCTTGTCAGAAGGTTGCAATGCACTAAAACAAGGGTTCTTCCAAGAAGTTATCCAAAGGCCAAAGAGAAACCATTATCAGGTCATCTGCATAAAGGAGTTAGGCAGGACAGAATAATGCTTAGGCAGCAATGGTTGGAAATCAAAGGAGGGAGATTAGAGAAACAAGAGTACAGAGCTCAGGAAGGGAGGTCTTTTTGAGAAATTTGGCCATTGCTGGAACCTAGTAAGGCATGTTAGAGGACATCTATCCACTTTTTGTATCTTTAAAGTGGAGTTTTTAGGGGAAGATAACACTTTCTCTAACATATCAGATCAAGGCCATTCCCATCTTTCTTTCAACATGCCCTAGAGGCTTGAGAGCAGGTATCTGTGCTGAAAGTTTAAGAAGAAAAGGAGGAAAATGCTGGACACCAGGTGGCACTATGGTGTACCGCCTGTAGGATTTCCAGGTGTAGTAAAGAAATTTGAAAAGGCTGTAGACCACATGAAGCCTTTAGGAACGGATGGAGAGCAGAGGTATTATGTTTCCTGCTTAACTCCAGGAAGCTGCACCCTAGGGAAGAAGCATGGTTACATTTCAACAGGGATTAGAAAATTCAAGCTGAGTAGGAGGCCTTGAAAGATGGGTTTATGACAGGGGAGGAAATTGTAAAATATGCAAAATTTAATTGCGGAAAGTTGTTGAACTAATCTTGCCTAAGGGGCAAGTGGAGTATTAGAAACGCCTTGCTTTGAAAATCTAACTTGTTGGGTAATTCACAACTTGAAAGGCGAGACATTTTGTTTTGTTTCGGTTTTTAGACTATATTAAGGATAGGAAGATAATTAGACCTATTTTATGAATCACTGCTAAATAATGTTAAATGAAACAATGTACATAAAGTGGTTGAAACATTGTAGGTATTCAATAATTAATGCATATTTATAGTAGTATTGCTGAATGCCATTATTGCCATTTAAAAAATATGATGCTTATGGTTAAATACAAAAAAAAAAAAAATGTCCAGGACTATACCATTAGTGCTGCACTGGTTAATTTGTCATACAGCCACTGTTTGTTTTGGTTTGTTCCTATTTTGAAACTAATTCATACTGAAATTTGGATTGAATTCTTGGCATCACAAATTACACAATGTGTCTCAGGCTCTAAAGAGGCCTTAACAGGGTGCAGGGCTCATCATGTCTAGTTGTTACAATATAGCAAAATAAATATTATGGTAAGACATTAGGCCAGAGATAGTAATGCTCACCAAACACGGTGTTTGTTACCCTTAATTTCTCAGCAAACTTAATGAGTTAGGAACATATCAACAATTCTGGCAACTGTTCTATGGTCATAACTGATTTCTGGGTCAAAGCACAGAAGTGCAGTTTGCAAAACTCTAATCAACCATGCATTTAACACCATGAGAGTTATTGGTAAACTCGATGAAAATAGTTTTAGGAATAGAAAGGAACTGGAGAAATTGCAGACATACAGACAATTCTTTGAAGGAGTTTTTTATTGTGAAGGGGAGCAGAGAAACGAACAGTAGCAATTTTGGAAAGAGAGATCAAAAGATTATTATTTTTTAACTACAAGGGAAGTATCATGTTATATTCTGGTGGAAATTATTCAGTAGAGAAGGTCAAATAAAGAAAACTAGTAGATAAAAGCAAATAATTTCCAGATCCATGTTCTTGAGCAGGCAGGAGAGGTGGGTTCAGGAGTCCAGCAGAGGGATTGGCCTACAGATCACTGACAGTTCAACTATAGGAGGAAGGAAGGAAGAGTGGATGGGTACAGGTTCTAGTTAGAGGGGATGCTCTTCATTTAATGGGTATTCACACCAATGTACTTTTTAGTAATGAGCTTTAGTAGTATTTTTAAAATATACTTTGATTTACACAAAACAAAGATGAATTTTAGATATAAAATGAGCTACCTATTAAGAGTAAGGAATTTTAAATGTAATAAAATTTTAGAGCTAAATATTATTGTCTTCCCTTGAAAAGGGAAAAAATTAATTGGGATTGTTAATAATAAGTTATTCCACAAGTAGCCATACTCTCTGGAAAAGTTTTTCCAGCTCAGTGTTTGCTGTATAGATCAGGGTTTGGCAAACTACAACCTTTGGGTCAAATTGGACCGACATGTGTTTATAGAAATAAGGATGTATTGTAACACAGCCATGTTCATTCATTTACTATTGTCACTAGCTGTTTTCATGCTACAAAGGCAAAGTTGGGTGTGACAAAGATCTATTTTCTGCAAAGCCAAAAATATTAAGTTTCTAGCTGTTTACAAAAAAAAATTGCAGACCCCTGATTAAAAATGATTGGCTCAGTTGAGGCTGGCCTCTGAAATTTAGATTAAAATAATACACTAGCATAAATATCAAAATAACTGCCAAGAGTTAAAGAAAGAATGTGCCAATCACAAGAAGAGAGTTTGGTTATCAATGGTATCTTAAGACAGTTTCACTGCAGTAAATACTACTCATTCAAAGCCCCGTGTCTCAGTCTGTTCCTGCTGCTGTAACAAAATACCTTAAACTGGGTAATTTATAATAATAGGCATTTATTTCTTATCATTCTAGAGGCTGAGAAGTCCAAGATCAAGAAACTATCAGATGTGATGGCTGGTGAAAGCTTTCTTATTCAAACATGGCACCTCTTGCTGTGTCCTGACAAGGCAGAAGGGACAAACACTGTGTCTGCATGTGGTAGAAGAGTTGAAGGAACAAACTTGCTCCCTCAAGTGTTTTTATTGAGACATATTCCATCCATGAGGATGCAGCCCTCGTGGCCTAATCACCTAATTAAGAGGCCCCATCTCTTAATACTTTTGCATTGGGAATTAAATTTCAACATGTGTATTAGTCTGTTCTCACACTGCTAATGAAGACATATCCAAGACTGGGTAGTTTATAAAGGAAAAAGGTTTAATGGACTCACAGTTCCTCATGGCTGGGGAGGCCTCACAATCATGGCTGAAGACAAAGGAAGAGCAAAGAGAGGTCTTACATGGTGGCAGGCAAGAGAGCTTGTGCAGGGGCAGTCACATTTATAAAACCATCAGATCTCATGAGACTTATTCACTAACCATAAGAACAGTATGGGGGAAACTACCCCCATGATTCAATTATCTCCACCTGGCCCCACCCTTAACATGTGGGGACTGTTACAGCTCAGTGAGATTTGGGTGGGGACACAGCCAAACCATATCAACATGAATTTTGGAGGAACACAAACATTTCAAACCATCACACCCCATTCAGAAAGGAAAGGCTTTCTTGCTGACTTGACCAGGCCAGGTCCAATGATATAAATACATCACTCTGAGATAGATTCAAATACTGTTGAATTTTGATTTGTCTAGTGTCCCTTCTTGTTCCTTCTTGATGCTTTAACTTTCTCTGAGCTTCATAAGTCTCTCTGCTTAAGGTAAGAATAAATATGCT
The DNA here is from genome assembly GCF_000001405.40 of Homo sapiens. Classification (NCBI taxonomy): domain Eukaryota; kingdom Metazoa; phylum Chordata; class Mammalia; order Primates; family Hominidae; genus Homo; species Homo sapiens. Next base: position 78,975,941 of record NC_000008.11, read on the forward strand.
GACGTTTGATTATTTGGCACATTATTCTTTCCTTAGTTTTCTTTATTTTTAAAAATTTCAATAGAATTAATACTTTTAGAGAAGTTTTAGATTCATAGCAGAAAGTACAGAGAGTTCCCACAGACCTTCTGCACCTACAGATGCAGAAATTCCTCCATTATCAATATCCTACACCAGAGTGGTCATTTTGTTACAATAGATAAAACTACCATGACACATCATTATCACCCCAAGTCTATAGCTTACATTGTGGTTTACTTTTGGTTTACATTCTATGGGTTTTCCCAAATATATATGGACATGTATGTATCATTTTAGTATCATACAGAATAGTTCGCTGCCCTAAAAAATCCTCTGTGCTCTGCCTATTCATCCCTCTCTCACCCATCTCCTGACAATCACTAATTTTTTTTACTGCCATCATAGTTTTACCCTTTCCAGAATGTCATATCTTTGGTACAAAATAGTATGTAGACTTTTCAATTTGGCTTCCTTTGCTTGGCAATATCCATTTAAAATTCTTCAATGTATTTTCATTGCTTGATGGTTTATTTTATTTTATAGCTGAATAATATTCCATTCTCTGGATGTACCACAGTTTATTTTTCCATTAATCTACTAAAGGATATCTTGTTTGTGTCCAAGCTTGGGCAATTATGAAAAAAGCTGCTGTAAATGCTCATGTACAGATTTTGAGGTGGATATAAGTTTTCAATTCCTTTGGATAAATATTGTAGAGTGCAATTGCTGTGTCATGTAAGAGTATGTTTAGCTCTTTAAGAAGCGGTCAAACTGTCTTCCAAAATGATTATACCATTTTTCATTTCCACCAGCAATGAATGAAAGTTCCTACTGCTCCTCAATCTTGTCATCACTTGGTGGTAACTGTTTTGGACTTTTGTCATTCTAATATGTGTGTAGTGATATCCCATTATTTCAATCTTTAATCCTCTAATGACACACAATGTTGAACATCTTTTTTATGTGTTTATTTACCGTTGTCACGTGCTATTTGTCAAGGTGTCTGTTCTGGTCTTTTGTTTTTAATCAGGTTGTTTATTTTCTTTTTTATTTTTTAAATTAAATTTTTGTAGAAATTGAGTCTCACTATATTGCCCAGGCTGATCTCGAACTCCTGGCCCTGAGAACTTCTGTCTCAGCCTCCCAAAGTACTGGGATTACAGAATTGAGCCACCCTACCTTGCCTCATTTTTAAATGTGCTAATTAATAGTTTATTAATATGCTAATTGTAGAATAATTTGAAAATACAGAAAATAGTATAAAGAATAAAATTAGTATTGCCCATGATTCTATCACAGAGATAACCATTGCAATATTTTTGTGTTTTCCTTCCAGCTTTTGTCTTTCTAAGCTGGCTCCATATCTATTGCTGTGTTTTAACAGTTCCTTGTATATTTTAGAATTTTTTTTTTTTTTTGAGATGGAGTCTTCCTCTGTCACTCAGGCTACAGGTGGTGCAATCTTGGTGCAATCTTGGATTTTTTTTTTCATGTGAATGTCCAGTTGTCCCAGCATGATTTATTGTAAAGACTATTTTTTCTCCATTGTATTGCCTTTTCATCTTTGTCAAAGATGATTTTACTGTATTTGTGTGAGTCTATTTCTGAGCTTTCTATTCTGCTCTATTGACTATTATTTTTGTCAATACCACAGTGTTTGGAGTACGATACCTTTATTGAGTCTTAAAATTGATAGTGTCAGTCTTCCAACATTGTTTTTCTCCTTCCATATTAAATTGGTTATTCTTGGTCTTTTGCCTCTCCATATAAACTTTAAAATTAGTCCATCAATATCCACAAAATAATTTGCCTAGATTTTGATTGGGGTTGCATTGAATCTATAGATAAGTTTGAGAAGAGCCTACATTTTGACAATATTGAGTCTTCCTATCCATGAATATGGAATATTCTCCTCATTTATATAGTTCTTCTCTGATTTTTTAATCAAGATTTTGCAGCTTTCTATATACAGACCTTATACATATTTTGTTAAGATGTATACCTAAGTATTTCATTTTGGGGGATGGTAATGTACATGGTAATGTGTTTTTAATTTCAAGTTTCACTTGTTGATTCTTGGTAAATAGGAAAGAGATTGACTTTTTTATATTAACCTTATATCTCTCAAACCTGCCACAATTGCTTATTAGCTCTAGTTTTTGTTTGTTTTTTGCCTTTCACATTTTCTGCACAGATAATCTTGTCATGAGCAAACAAAAACAGTTTTAATTCTCCCTTCTTAATCTATATAGTTTTAATATTTGTTTCTTGTCTATTGCATTAGATAGGACTTACAATATGATGTTAAAAGGAGTAGTGGGAGGGGACATCCTTGCTTTGCTCTTTACCTGAGTGGGAAAGCTTCTAATTTCTCACCATTAAGTATGATGTTAGCTGTAGGTTTTTAGTAGATGTTCTCTATCAAGCTGAGGATGGTTTCATCTATTCCTAGTTTCTGTGAGATTTTATCACGAATAGGTGTTGGATTTTGTCAAATACTTTTTCTATGTCTATTTATATGATGATATGATATTCCTTCTTTAACCTGTTGATGTAATGTATTATATCAATTAATTTTCAAATGTTGAATCAGCCTTGCATATCTGGGATAAATCCAACTTGGTCAGGTTGTATAATTCTTTTTATACATTGTTAGATTCGATTTGCTAATACTTTGTTAAGAATTTTTACATCTATATTCATGAAAGATATTGATCGGTTACTTTTATTTCTTGTAATGTTTTTGTTTTTGTATTAGGGTAATGCTGATCTCACATGGTGAGTTAGGAAGTATTCTCTCTGCTTCCATCTTCGGAAATGCATTGTAGAGAATTGGTATAATTTATTCATTAAATGTTTGGAACAATTCATCAATGTACCTATCTGTGCCTGGTGTTTATGTTTTGGGAGGTTATTAACTATTGATTCAATTACTTTAATATACATAAGCCTATTCAGACTGTCTGTTTCTTATTATATGAGTTTGACACATAGTGTCTTTAAAGGAATTGGTCCATTTCATCTAGGTTATCAAATTGGTGGGTACAGAGTTACTCGTGGTATTTCTTTATTATTCGTTTAATGTCCATGGCCTCTGTAGTAATGTCCCTTCTTTCATTTATTATATTAGTAATTTGTGTTTTCTCTCATTTTTTTTTAGCCTGGTTACAGACTTATCAATCTCATTTATCTTTTCAAAGAGTAAACTTTGGATTTTATTTATTTTCTTTATTGACTTCCTGTCTCAATCTCAATTGACTTCCTGTCTAATCTATTTCACTAATTTCTGCTCTAATTTTTATCAGTTATTTTATTCCTACTGCCTACTTTTTTATTTTCTTCTACTTTCAATGTAGTTTGCTGTCCTTTTCTAGTTTCCTAAAGTGGAAACATGGTTTTTAGATATCTATTCTTTTCTAATATATGCAATAAACACCATAAATTTCCCTGTGAGCACTGCTTTTACTGCATCCACACATTTAGATAAGTTGTATTTTTATTTTCACCAAATGCAAAATACTTAAAATTTCTCTTGAGCTTTCATTTTAACTCATGTGTTATTTAGAAATGCATCCTTTATTCTCCAAGTGTTGGGGGATTTTTTTCGGCTATCTATCTGTCATTGATTTCTACTTTAAATCCATTGTAGTCTGAGATAAGACATATAATTTTATTATTTTAAATTTATTAAGATGTGTCTTATAGCTCAGGATGTAGTCTATCTTGGTGAATGTTCTGTGGGAACTTGAGATGAGTATATATTCTGTTGTTGGATGAAGTAGTCTGTATATGTTAATTATATCTATTTGATTGATGGTGCTGTTGAGTTGAACTTTTTGTTTTTACTGTTCTTCTGCCTGTACATTTTTAATAGAAGTTTTTATTTTTAAAAAATAAAAATATGTTTTGCCAAATTAGGAAAGTATAATTAGCTAATTTTTATCTCGTTCAGCTAACATATATTAAGAACTTATTATGTGCTAGGGACTAGGGATAAATTTTTGAGCAAAAATAGAGCAAGTGTTTCTTTCTCTTGGTAAACTGGTAAGTTTTATAAGAGATATGTGTGGTCAAATGTGCACACAGTGTTATATGTAGAGGTAGAATTCATATCTCCTTACATGCAGCCCAAGGTTCTTTGGATTATAAGCTCTTGTGAACATTTACCAATTTCCTGAAAACCATATACATAATAATAGTTTTGAGACATATGAGATATTGGCCAGACAACATTTTTTCAAAGAATCATTTTTAGAAAGTAGATCTCTCCAGAAAGGAATATATATTTTCTAAGGCATCATTTTTTTCCTTCTCAAACCCACTGTGATTATGTTATTTTAGCATAGAAGTTTCTGAAATGCCTATGCAGCCATAAAAAATGATGAGTTCATGTCCTTTGTAGGGACATGGATGAAATTGGAAATCATCATTCTCAGTAAACTATCGCAAGAACAAAAAACCAAACACCGCATATTCTCACTCATAGGTGGGAATTGAACAATGAGAACACATGGACACAGGAAGGGGAACATCACACTCTGGGGACTGTTATGGGGTGGGGGGAAGGGGGAGGGATAGCTTTAGGAGATACACCTAATGCTAAATGACGAGTTAATGGGTGCAGCACACCAGCATGGCACATGTATACATATGTAACTAACCTGTACATTGTGCACATGTACCCTAAAACTTAAAGTATAATAATAATAAAATAAAAAAAGAAGTTTCTGAAATGTCAATTCTGTAGATTTTTTATGCAGCACAAGACATATTGTAATATGTAAGTTCTCCCTTTCTCCTAAAGTTTTCAAGAGTAACATGACTTGCTAAGGTGAGACAAAAATAATCTGCTCTTTCTCCATCTCATATTTGCCCATTTTATAGGATGAAAAAGTTATGCTACTCCTCACTTGACCATGAGGCTGCTAAACTGAAAAAAAAAAAATGAGCCTGTATTATACACATATTTTAACAGGGGCAAACTAAAGCCTGCCTGAAAAAGTCAGTCTCCATTTTCAAATACATTTGAGCACCTCCTTTTTCATCCTCTTCTTTGGCATCACAAGGTCAGGCTGTAGAGAAATGTCTTCTACCTGATTGTCACTGTTAGCCTCCAAATTCTTGGAAAAGATGTATTTTTGGCCCTGAAATAACTCTTGGTTATGCTTTGGTTGAGACTCAATCATCTGAACTTACAGGGCAAGGGGCACCCAAGGAGCTGGAGATAAGTAGATATTGTTTATTTTAAGAGATCAGCTTAGTGTATCCCCCCCTCCCACCATGAAAAAAAGTCCACATTGAAGTAAAAATAATTTGTGTGTCTAAGGGAAAGAGCTGGAAGAAGGTAACCTCCAGTGAATCATCTGCTATGGAAAGTAATTTATCAGTCCCAGAAACATCATACTTAGTTTAGAAAATCTAAACAAAAGTGAGGGATTAGGCAATAAACAGTTAACAAAGAATTAGCTTTAAACATGTTTTCCATTTGCCAACCATGCCAACAGTGTGAATTTTAGTGTCATGTTTTTATTTCTTTTATTTAGTGTCATGTTTTTATTTCTTTTGGCAAACTAAAATTATTTTAAATGTTGCCATTTATTCTTGTCAATTATATAATTTACTATTCAGTAAACCAAAGATGTAAAAGTAAATTAGGCATACAGAAGAATATTCTGTTCCCTATACAGAACTGTGGAAAGATAAGCAGAAGAAAGTCACAATCATCTTTCCTGTAAAGCCCAATTTCTCTCAGAAGCCATTTATAAACATTATTCATATTTTTTTCAAATCTGCTTTAAATTAACATTTTTTGACAGTGCTGTCTTTTGAAGATAGCAAGATCCTTGATTTTTATTATACATTGTATGAAGTGAATTTGTGCTTTTATTGGTCCAAAACTTTGTCACTCAGATTTCAAAGCTTAATCTCATTTGATTATGTAAGGGTTTGGTAAAGGCGTCTGTGTTAACTTTACGCAGATCATCCAGGGTGTTATCTACTTAGACGGTTTTGCCCTCTTAGGCTCTGACTTTCAAGGCTTTCAGGGATATAGAGAAATAAGAGTACTCTTAGCAATATTGAATAAATTGTAAATTAGTTCATGTTCTTTGAAAGGGTTCAGACTAGCATTATCTATCAAAATTTAATGTGTGGACATCATTCGTTTACTCAGTAATTGCAATTCTAAGAATTTATCTTACATAAATGGTCATCCATATTTGCCAAGAGTTATTCAGTCCTACATACACACATGGTATATATGTATATAATGTGTGTATATAATGTATATTAGCTGATGTGCAAAGATCTCAAAAAATGGTTCTAGGTAAACAAGATAGTTATATAGAAAAAGTATACCTATATAAGAATATGTAAAACAAATGAAATATATGTTTGTATTTATAGTTTATGAAATCTTCGGGTATTGAGACTGGGAGTAACAGAGATAGTTCATATTATAAAGATTTTTCTTATTTAATTTTTAATTTATATGATTTGCTTTGGTTCTATGTGTCTTGCATTCTGGATGGAATGAAGGGTTTCTCTCCAAGTTTGTGTTGACTATGCCTGCTGTAGAGCTTCTCTATCTGGGATTATTAATTATGTGTTTCTGATGTTTTGACATCTGGGGCCTTGCTGACCCTGGAGAGCCTGTCCCTTTCAGAGCTAGCCAGCTCCTGGAGATGGTAAACAGCTCCCTTGCTGGAGCCCACCATCTCCCTGCCTGCTTTATCAGGATCTTACACTGTGGGCCACCATTCCCCTACCCCAATCACTCCAGGAGCTGGAGACAGCTTCTACACCCCAGAACCTGCTGAAGTTATTCAAACTGGCCAATCCTAGACCTGCTTAAACTGCTTCAACTGTTTCTTCTCACAGAAACCACTGGATTCTTCTGCTGGAGAATCGTGTGGAAGGCTGCTGCCTCTACACTTGGCAGTGGACCTGGGTTTACCATTGATCCCAGCAGTCAAGAAGGAGAGATAGATGTGGAGGATGAAGTGTGAGGACAAGCTGAAACCCACAGGCCCCACCCTCCCCCCGATAAATCTTTCACTGCATCTAATCACAAAGATCTTCAAAAAGAGATGGCAACAATTTACTGCTGACTTTTAAACCTTATGTGAATTTGTTGCCAACTCTAACTCAGAATCATAAAATAAAGGAAATTCTTCAAAACATAGTCCTAGCTTAGTTAACATAGTCAACCCAAAACATCACAACCACCTTCCAGTTTTGCAAGACATGGCCTGGAATTAACACATACATTTCCATTTATAGCCCATTGGACAGAATCAGCCATGTAACCTCCCATAACTGCAAGGAGCTAGGAAATGTGAGAAAGCTCATGGATGCTAATTCAGCAACCATTAAATGTCCCTGCCACACCTACTACATCAGAGGAAACATTTATAGATCTCAGGGTGGAAAAATTTGTATACGTTGTCAACTTGATCTCTAACAAAAATATTTTGTATGAGTGCATGTATTTGTCTTATTAAAAATTTGTAATTAGTATTAGAACTATTGTCACTGTAGCCAAGATTTTAATTGCTACTCTGAAGCTTCTGGTTTTCACTCAGGTTTTTTTCAGGGAAAGCCTCTCTATAGAGAAATCTTCATCTCCTTATTCCCTTATGCTTTTCTTAAGCATTATTAGATCTAAGTATTATGAAAGGAGTTTCAAGCATTGAGCTTTCCTAATTGCAGCATTCAGCAGCCCTTGAAGTATGGACTCAACTATATTTCATTTAGTGGGTGGAGAGTAGGAAAGAGAGAGAGGAAACTGGAAGTTGAAAGAAACCTTGCAAATTAGAAAACTAATAGAGCACCTCTATTTGTATTCTTGGGACAAATTTGATGTTACCTGAAGTGGAAATATGAGCATTTAGGGAAAAGTATATTTTTACAGCATCTTATAAATGAAAGAGTTGGCCATTTTATACTGATGAGTCATTCTGGACATTATAAGACTTTTCTTTTAAGGCTGTTTTGCAATGGTAATAACAGGAAGCTGACACAAAGCAATTGCAATTACTCCTCAGATGAAAGGAAGAAAGAATTAATTAAAGCTCTTTTCTTCTTTAATAAAGAAAAGAAACAGAGACTTGCTTATTTGGGCAAAGAAAATTTTCACAAATTTCTGTTGAGCTAGCCCAAATTTGTGTAACAAGAACAAATTAGTGCATGGTTTGATTCCATTTGAGATTAAAATTAAACACTATTACAGCATAAAATTGATGGCTCTTCTGACAATTACTCTTTCAGTATATATAAAAATAAAAAATGCAGCAACATCAATAGAGAGTTATTGCTGAAACTTTCTCCACTCTGATATAGCACAGCATTAAGCAGCTGACCATCAAGGTGTTTTATTTTCTAGGAAATCTGAACTGGAAGTCACAAGCTCTAGAACCTGGCCTTGACTCTGACTAGGTGTGTGATCTTGGAAAAGCCCTTAACTTCTTTGAACTTTGCTTTTCTCACCTCCCAAATTATCTATTTTGATGTGACATTGCTATAGAAGCATGTCCAATGAATATATAAGGCAAGCCACATATGTAGTTTAAAATTTTATAGTAGCCACCCTTTAAAAAGTCAAAAGAAGCAGGTAACATTAATTTAAAATATTTTATACTGAATGACTATATCCAAAATGGTATCATTTCTACATGTAATCAAAATTTCACGTACAAAATTTGTACAAAATATAAAATTTCACATCATTTTACTTTGCAATCTTGTACATATTACACTTATAGCACATTTAATTTTGAAGGTTAAATTGTATTGGAAATACTTGATTTGTATTTAGATTGAATAAAAATTACAGTCAAAAAAGATTTATATACCTAAGGCATTCCTAATATACTTAACATTTTTTCTAATAACAATAAGATATTAGTTTTAAAATTTAAATTAAATAAAATTAAACATCTACTCCCTGAACAACTCTATGTCAAAAATTATATAACATGAAGAAAGGAAGAAATTGCTACATGTAGAACCTAGCAAGACTGAATCATGAAGAAACAGAAAATCTGAATATCCCAACAAAAAATATGGAGATTGAATCAGTAATTATGTCTTCCATCAAAGAAAAGCCCAGGACCTGATGGCCTAATTGCTGATTTCTACTCAACATTTAGAGAAGAACTAATACTAATTTTTCTAAAGTCCTTCAAAAAAAATTAAGAGCAGGGGGTATTTCCAAAGTCCATTTACAAGGCCAGCATTACCCTGATAACAAGGCCAGACAAGGACACTACAAGAAAAGAAAATCACAGGCTAATATCCCTAATGAGCATAGATATAAAAATCCTCAAGAAAGTACTTAGCATGCTGAATTCAACAACATTTTAAAAGGATTATTCACCATAATTAAGCAGGATTTGTCCCATAGATGCAAGGATAATTCAACATATGCAAATCTATAAATGTGGTACATTACATTAACAGAATGAAGACAAAAACCATGTGATCAACTCAACAGATGCAGACAAAGCATTTGACAAACTCTCAACAAATTAAATTTGGAAGGAATATAAAATAATGGTCATACATGACAAGCCAAAAGCTAACATTATACTCAACAGTGAAAAGATGACAGCTTTTCCTGTGAGATAAGGTACAAGACAAAGATGCCCACTCTCATTTCTTCTACTTGATATAGTGCTGGAAGACCTAGCTAGAGCAATTAGGCATGAGAAAGAAATAAAAGGCATTTATATTGGCAAGAAAGAAGTTAAATTATCCTTGTTTGCCAACAATATGACCTTATATATAGAAAACCTTGACAACTCCTCCAAAAAACTGTTAGGATCCATAAACAAATTCAGTAAGTTGCAGGATATGAATTCAACGTACAAATTCAGTGGCATTTCTATAACCTCACAATGAACTATTTGTAAAAAGAAATGCAGAAAACAATCCCCAACCTTATACACAAATGCTACCAAAAAAAAAAAAACAAAAAAGAATAAGTTTAACCAAGGAGCTGAAAGACCTGTATGCTGAAAATTATAAGGCATTGACTAAATAAATTAAAGAGGACACAAATAAATGGAAAGATACACCACATTCATGAATTGAAATAATTAATATTCTTAAAGTGTCCATCCTACCTAAAGCAATGCCTATCAAAATTCTAGTGACATTATTTCACATAAATAGAAAAAATCAATCTTAAACTTTCCATGAAAACAAAAAACAACCCAAGTGACCAAAACAATCTTGAATAAAAAGAACAAAGCTGGAAGCCTTTCACTACCTGACTTCAAAATATACTATTATACAAACCTATTATTGCCAAAATATCAAGGTACTGTCATAAAAACAGACACATAGATCAACGAAACAAATTACAGATCACAGAGATAAATCCTTACATTTATGGTTAATTGTTTTTTTTAAAAAGTTTCCAGGAATACATAATGGGGAAAAAAAGAGCCTCTTCAATTAGTGATGTTGGGACAATTGGATAGCCACATGCACAGGAATGAAATTTGACCCTTATCTCACACCATATACAAAATTAACTCAAAATGAATTCAAGGCTTAAATATAAGACTTAAAACATAAAGCTACTATAAGAAAACGTATGGGAAAAACTCCATGACATTGTTCTAGGCAATGATATTTTGGATATAAATCTGAGAGCACAGACAACAAAAGCAAAAGTAGAAAAATGGAATTATATCAAATTATAAAGCTTCTGCACAGTCCAACAAAACAATCAACAGTATAAAGAGACAACCTGTGGAATGAGAGAAAATATTTGCAAAACATATAATACATCTGATAAGGGGTTAATATTCAACATATGTAAGGAACTTGAACAACTCAATAGTGTGCAAACAAATGGGCATAGATCAAAGAAGACATACAAATGGCCAACAGTTACATAGAAAAATGCTGAAAATCACTAATCATCACAGAAATATAAAGTAAAACCACAGAGATATATCATCTCACCACCATTAGAATGGCTGTTATCAAAAAGACAAAGGATATCAAATGTTGGAGGGAATGTATAGAAAAGAGAACCCTCACACATTGTTGATGGGAATGTAAACTAGTCATTATGAAAAACAGTATGGAGGTTTCTTGAAAAAATCAAAAATAGAACTACCATATAATCCAGCAATTCTACAATTGATTATATATCCAAAGGAAATAAAATCAATGTCAAATAAATATCTGCACTCTTATATTCACTGCAATATTATTCACACATAGTCAAAATATAAAATCAATCTAAATGTTCATAAGTGAATAAATGGACAAAGAAAATGTGGTACATATATTCAAGAAAATACTATTCACCCTTAAAAAAGGAAGAAATCATGCCATTTGCAACAACATGGATGAACCTGGAAGACATTATGTGAAGTGAAATAAACCAAGCACAAAAAACAAATACCACATGGTCTCATTTATAAACGGAACATTAACAAGTTGAACTCATCGTAGATAGTAGAAGGGTGGTTACCAGGGGCTGGGGTGGGGAGCTGGCACCCCTTTGATGAACATCTCCAATGAGAAATAAATAATGGCCGGGCATGGTGGCTCACGCCTCTAATCCCAGCACTTTGGGAGGCTGAGGCGGGTGGATCACCTGAAGTCAGGAGTTCAAGACCAGCCTGGCCAACATGGTGAAACCACGTCTCTACTAAAAGTACAAAAAAATTAGCCAGGCCTGGTGGCGGGCGCCTATAATCTCAGCTACTCGGGAGGCTGAGGCAGGAGAAAGGAGAATCGCTCGAACCCGGGGGGCAGAGGTTGCAGTGAGCCAAGATCACGCGACTGCACTTCAGCCTGGGCGACAGAGTGAAACTCCATCCCAAAATAAATAAATAAATAAATAAATAAATAAAATGAAGAAATAGAAAATTTGAATAGCCCAACAAAGAATAAGGAGATTGAATCTGTAATTATGCCTTCCATGAAACAAAAGCCCAGGACCTGATGGCCTAACTGCTGATTTCTACTGAACATTTAAAGAAGAACAAATACCAATCCTTCTAAAAATCTTTAAAAAATTAAGAGTAGGGAGTATTTCCAAACTCCTTTTACAAAGCCAGCATTACCCTGATACAAAGCCAGAGATGTTCATCAAAGGATTTAAAATTTCAGTTAGAGTAAGTTCAATAGGTCAATTGGAGAATATGGTGACTACAATTAATTACAATGTATTGTATTCCTGAAAATTAATATCTGAGTAGATTTTAAGTCTTCTCCCCCCAAAAATGATAAATATGTGAGATAATGCATATGTTAATAAGCTCTATTTAGCCTTTTCTACAATGTATACACCTTTTTAAACAACATGTTGTACACTGTAAATATATACAATCTTCATTTCTCAATTTAAAAAATTCTACTTTCTAGGTTATATTAGCCACATTTTAAGTGCTGAATATCTTCATGGAGCTGCTACTCTTTTGCAGAATGTAGTTCTAAAATTTCTGCTACATCTGCTTCTACATCTATGAAGCTCCTATGGAGTAGATGCTTCTTTACAATGAGAAAGATTAACAAGATTATCTCCATATTTCAGGGGGTACTGATTACGAAGGCAGATATAGTTCCTTGTGCTACCTTTCTTCTCCACCCTAGGTACTGTATTTTGTGGGTAAAGTTCATAAATTTTCCTGCTTTTCCAATTTCTGGATGAAAACATTTTCAGTTTGGTGGGTTTAGTAAAAATTATTAGATAAGGAAAAAAAAAAACCCTCAACTCTGTCTTTGACAGATTCTTAAAGAATCCGTTTCCACACTACTATAACGAACTGCTTGAGACCGGGTAATTTATAAAGGGAAGAGGTTTAATTGATTCACAGTTCCATGTGGCTGGGGAGGACTCAGGAAACTTACAATCATGGTGGAAGGCAAAGGGGAGGCAGATACCTTCTTCACAAGGAGGCAGGAAGGAGGATGACCAAATGAGGAACTTGCCAAACACTTACAAAACGTCAGATCTCGTGAGAACTCACTCACTCTCAGGAGAACAGCATGGCGGAAACCGCCCCCATGATTCAATTACCTCCACCTGGTCTCTCCCTTGACACGTGGGGAGTATAGGAATTATGGGGATTACAATTCAAGATGAAATTTTGGTGGAGACACAGCCAAACCATATCAACACATATACAGGAAATCACAATTCTGTGTAATAAATTAAAACTGTGGCATAATTTACAAATGTCCTTTATGGTTAAAACAAGGGTGTATCTGGGCCGGGCGCGGTGGCTCACGCCTGTAATCCCAGCACTTTGGGAGGCTGAGGTGGGCGGATCACAAGGTCAGGAGATGGAGAACATCCTGGCTAACCCCGTCTCTACTAAAAATACAAAATATTAGCCGGGTGTGGTGGCAGGTGCCTGTAGTCCCAGCTACTCGGGAGGCTGAGGCAGGAGAATGGCGTGAACCTGGGAGGCGGAGCTTGCAAGGAGCTGAGATCGCGCCGCTGCACTACAGCCTGGGTGACAGAGACTTCGTCAAAAAAAAAAAAAAAAAAAGGTATGTATCTAATGGAGAGAGCTTATTTTAGCTTATTTTTCTTTAAGCGAAGCTCTCAAAGAAACAGAAAATAAATACATTATCACATACCTATTTCTGATATTAAAAAACACCTCTGTTTAGCTAGTGTGATGCCCATTTTTCTGTTCTACGTGTTGCTATCAAAAACAAGAAAAACTGATGGGGAGAACGCTAACACTCTGTGAAGACCTAGTCAGTGCAAGTGAGACTGCAGGCAAATTAGTTTATAGGTGATTATATTTTATCTTTTTAGTGACTCTCTGAGATAAACATTATTATTCCCATTTTATACATAACAAAGAAGCTTTGGGGAAGTTGAGAAACTTGTCGCTAGAGTCACCTATTTAAAATTATACAGCACCATGTTATTATTCTGTTTAAATTCTCTAGCATTCCTTCAGAAAAAAAAAAAAATCAAATTCTTTAGATAAAAAGGAAAGGCGCTCCAAACACACACTCCAACTTCCACCTCCATTCTCTTTTGTCTAGAATGGTTATTTCTCTTCCTGACTGACAATTGAGTTTTTGTTCTTCAAGGCGTATTTGAATAACACCTCTTGGAAGCCTTCTCTGTCCTGATTTACGAGGGTAGGTATTGTATAATTTTCTTCTGTGCTTCCTGATGCCCTGCACATGAACTTTCTCATGCTGTGTTATAATTATTTTTATTTACTGATCTGTCTCTTCCATTTTCTATGTTTCTATGTTTTTCATTGTTAATCTCAGGAATAAGTACAGTGTCTGGGGAAGAGCTAAGCAAATATTTCTTGAATGGTGAAATTCATTTAATGGAATGTAATCTAAATATAAACTAAGTTTTTCCTGTCTGTATTTGTCCAGATTCTTTCTCTTGGATCCAACCCTCTCATCATCTCTACTCCAACCCACATTTGGCTTCAGGGAGCGGAGAGAATAACTGCTTACCTGATAACTCTTACTCTCTTTTTCTCTTCTTGCTCAGTCTGTATACTATCTATATACCTTTGACCAGTCAATATACTATCACACTATAATCTCATATATACCTGCAGCCATTCTCTGTTTTCAAGTAAGAGCTTTCCCACTTTACACCCAATGCCACCTCCAGAGATGATGGTCTCTAAATCTATTATCCAAGACCAGCATCTACACAGAATATCTTTGCCTCTTTATCTGAGTAAGATCTCATCTTGATATGCTACAAATCAGGATAGTGGTGGTGATTGGCAGGGCAGGAGTAGAAAGGAGGGATTAGGTTGATGGTTATGGATTGAAGTGTTAGTTCTGTTGTCTGTCGATAATTCATAATGGAAGAGCAGCATTCAACTATTTTTATAATATGAAATACTGTATCATTCTCTTCAGCTTTAGCCTCAGTCATCAATTCTTGTACAGTAGGAAAAATCCCACTATTATGCTATAATCTTATGTATATCTGCAGCCATTCTCTGTTCTCAAGTAAGAGTTTTCCCACCTTGCACCCAATGCCACTCCCAGGGATTATGGTCCCTAAATCTGTTCTCCAAGACCAACATCTACACAGGAATATCCTTGCCTCCTAATCTGAGCAAGATCTCATCTTGATATACTACAAAGTATAAACCACATGAAAATGTAATGCTGCCTGCCAGTGCACTCTAGTCAAATAGTAGAAGATGAGTGAAGAACAGAGACGAAACTAGTTATACATTAGAACAAGCTAGTAAACACAAGTAGAGGCTATGGTTTCCGTTTCTCTCAGCAATTATTTCTAGCCCTAAGTAAGCTAGCTTATTTATAACTTTCTTCATGGTAGTACTCTACTCATTTTTCCTTTACCTTAGGCTGGCACCTTGATTGACTGAGGTTCTTTTTCTTATGAGGTAGCCTAATTTTTCATTCCTGAGGAATCTGTGCCCTTACTGGTATTTCATGAATATAGCAATGATATATGGTCAAACTCTTGTACTGATCATGGCAGTGGAAGAGGTATGCCAGGCACCTGAGTTTTCCTCTTATACTTTCCTGCTCAATCCTTGGAAATCAGGTTTGGTTATCCCAGCCATTATAATTTATGCCAGTTCTCTTAATGATACACTGTACATGGCCAGCTGGTATCTGAGGTTTCTATTTAGCGGAACCAAAAAAAAAAAAAAAAATCAAGTATCCTTTTGGAATTATTTCTCCCCTGAATTCTTAAATCTCTATAACAAAGAAAACATAATAAAGACCATATATGAAAAACCTACAGTGACTGCTATATTCTATGGTGAGAGACTGAAAACTTTCCCTTTAAAATCAGAAAAAAGGTAAGGATGCACATCATGCCACTTCTATTCAACATACTACCGGAAGTTATATTCAGAGAATTGGGCAAGGAAAATAAATAAATATATCCAAATTGGGGAGGAAGAACTGAAATTATTTGCAGATGACATAGTCTTATATATAGAAATTGCTAAAGATATATATATATCACACACACACACTGTTAGAACTAATTAACAAATTTAGCAAACTTGTAGGATACAAAATCAACACACGAAATCACTGGCATTTCTATATGTTAACAGTGAACAATCCAAAAAGGAGATTAAGAGAACAATTTCATTTATTATAGCATCAAAAAGGATAAAATAATTAAAAATACAATTAACCATGAAGGCAAAAGATTTGTACACTGAAAACTATGAGATTGCTGAAAAAAAAATAAAGAAAACCTCTTGTAGAAACTTATCATGAAGACTGGAAGAATTAATATTGTTAACATGGCAACAACACCCAAAGTGACTTACAGATTCAATGCAATTGTAATAAAATACTAATGCTGTAGGGGTTTTTTTGTTTTTGCAGAAATAGAAAAATCCATTTTAGTATTTATATGGAATCTGAAGGCACCCTGAATAGCCAAAACCATCTAGATAAAGAGGAACAAAGTTGAAAGTCCCACACCCCATGGTTTCATAACTTATGACAAATCTATAGTAATCAAAACAGTGGGGTTTTGCCATAAAGACAGACCTATAGGACAATGTAATTGAATAGAGTGCCTGGAAAGAAACCTTCACATATATGGTCAAATAATTTTCAGCAAGAATACTAAGACCATTCAAGGGGGAAAGGGCAATTTTTTCAACCAATGTTGTTAGGAAAGCTGTATATCCACATGCAAAACAACCAGGTTAAACCCTTACTTTGTGCCATATTGAAAATTAACTCAAAATAGATCAAAGACCTAATGTAAGAGCTAAAATTCATAAAACTCTTAGAAGAAAACATAGCAGGAAATCTTTATGATATTGGATTGGACAATGATTTCTTAGATATGACACCAAAAGCACAAGCAGCAAAAGAAAACTAGATAATTTGACTATATCAAAATTTAAAACTTTTGTGCACTATCAAAAGAGTGAAATGGAAACTCACAGAATGAGAGACAGTATTTGCAATTCATATATGTGATAAATAATTAATTTTCAGAATATATAAAGAACTTCCATATCTCAACAACAACAAAAAACAAACTATGTGGTTCAAAAATGGTCAAAGTATTTGAGTACATATTTCTTCACAGAAGACATACAAACAGCCAATTTGTATATAAAAAGATGCTCAATATCACAAATTATTAGGGAAATGTAAATCAAAACCACAACGTGTTCCACCTTACACCCAGTAGAATAGCATTATCAAAAAACAAACAAAACAAACAACAAAGAAAACAACTGTAGACAAGGATATGGAGAAATTGATTGGCACCCTTGTGCACTGTTGGTGGGAATGTAAAATGATGCAGCTATTATAGAAAACAGCATAGTAGTTCTCACAAAATTGGAAATAGAATTACTACATGATTTAGCAGTTCCATGTGTAGGTATATACTCAAAAGAATTGAAAGCAGGCACTCAAAGAAATATCTGAACACCCATGTTCATAACAGCATTATTCACAATAGCCAAATGGTAGAAGCAACCCAAGTGTCCATGGATTGATGAATGAATAAACAAAATATGGCATATAAATACAGTAGGGTACTACTCAGCTTTCTAAAAAGAAAGGAATTTTTTTTTTGAAACAATGTCTCACTCTGTCACCCAGGCTGGGGTGCAGTGGCACAATCTTGGCTCACTGCAACCTCCATCTCCTGGGTTCAAGCAATTTGTCTGCTTCAGCCTCTCGTATAGCTGGGAGTACACGTGTGCACCACCACTCTCAGCTAATTTTTTGTATTTTTGGTAGAGACGGGGTTTCGCCATGTTGACAAGGTTGATCTGGAGCTCCTGGCTTCAAATGATCCACCCATCTCACCCTCCCAAAGAGCTGGGATTACAGGCGTGAGCCACTGCGCCAGGCCAAAAGGAAGGAAATTCTGACACATGCTACAACATGGATGAATCTTAAAAACATTGTGATGAGTAAAATAAGCCAGTCACAAAAAGACAAAGACTATAGATTCTACTTATATGGGGTATCTACAGTAGTCAAATTCATAGAAACAGGCCATGTGCAGTGGCTCATGTCTGCAATCCCAGCACTTTGGGAGGCTGAGGCAGGTGGTTCACTTGAGGTCAGGAGTTCAAGACCAGCCTGGCCAACATGGTGAAACCCCATCTCTACTAAAAACACAAAAATTAGCCGGGTGTGGTGGCATGTGCCTGTAATCTCAGCTACTCAGGAGGCTGAGGCAGGAAAATAGCTTGAGTCCGGGAGGCGGAGGTTGCAGTGAGCCGAGATCGAGCCACTGCATTCCAGCCTGGGTGACAGAGGAAGACGTTGTCTCAAAAAAAAAAAAAAAAAAAAAAAAAAAATCATAGAAACAGAAAGTAGAATGGTGGCTTCCAGGGGTTCAGGGTATGGGGAAATGAGGAGTTAGTAGCTAATGGGCTTGGAGTTTCAGTTTGGGAAGATAAAAAATGTTCTGGAGATGGATGGTGATGATGGTTCAACAATATGAATGTACTTAATGCCAGTGAACTGTACACTTAAAAATGGTTAAATGCTGAATTTTATATTGTGTATATTTTACCACTATAAAAAACATCAAGAAAAAATTTTCCCAGACTAATATCCTTGAGGTCATTGGGGAAAACATTTCCCCAATGTTTTCTTTCAGTAATTTTATAGTTTCAGGTCTCATATTTAAATCTTTAAACCATTTTGAGCTACTTTTTGCACATAGTGAAAGATGGGGATCTAGTTTCATTTTTCTGAATATAGATATCCAGTTTTTACACAACTGTTTATTAAAGAGACTGTCCTTTCCTCAATGTATGTTCTTGGTACCTTTGTTGAAAATGGGTTGTCTGTAATTGTGTGGATTTATTTCTGAATTCTCTATTCTGTTCCATTGGCCTATGGGTTTGTATTTATGGCACCACCATACTGTTTTGGTTATTATAGCTTTGTAGAATTTTTGAGTAAGACTTCAAAAGCATAGACAACAAAACCAAAAATAGGCAAATTGGATTACATCAAGCTAAAGAGCTTCTGTACCATAAAGAAAACAATCGACAAAGTGAAGAGATAAATTATAGAATGTGAGAAAATATTGGCAAACTATCCATCTGAAAAAAGATTAATTGCCAGAATATATAAGTAACTGAAACAACTCAATAGCAAAAAAATCAAATAATCCAGCTAAACAAATGGGCAAAAGACCTGAGTAGACTCTCTTAAAAGAAGACATACAAGTGGCAAACAGGTTTATGAAGAAATGCTCAATGTAATTAATCATCAGGGTAATGCAAATCAAAACTATAATGAGATATTATCTCACCCAAGTTACAATGGCTATTACCAAAAAGACAAAAAAATAACAAATGCTGGTGAAGATACCAAGAAAGGAATGTCCATGCACTGTTGGTGGGAATGTAAATTACTACAGCCATTAAGGGAAAACATTGTGGATGTTTCTCAAAAAACTAAGAATAGAACTACAATATAATCCAGCAATTCCACTGCTAAGTATATAGCCAAAAGAAAGGAAATCAGAATATCAAAGAGCGCTAATCTCATGTTTTTTACAGCACTGTTCATAATAACTAAGATATAGAACCAACCTATGTGTCCATCAACAGGGGACTGGATGAGGAAAATGTTGTACATATTCAAAATGAAATATCATTCAGCTACAAAAAGAATAAAATTCTGTCTTTTATGACAACATGGATGGAACTGGAGGTCTTTATGTTAAGTAAAATAAGCTAGGCACAGAAAGACAAATATTGCATGTTCTTACTTATATGTGAGAGCTAAGAAAGTGTATCTCATTGAGGTAAAGAGTGGTATGGTTATGACCAAAGGCTGAGAAGGAAAGGAGAGAGAGAGGATGAAGAGAGGCTGGTTGAGGGGTATAAAAATACAGTTAGGTGGAAAGAATAAGTTCTGTACTATTGAATAGTAGTACAGTAGATGTATTGGTCCATTCTCACACTGCTGTAAAGAAATATCTGAGACTGGGTAATTTATATATATTAAAAAAGAGTTTTAATTGGCTCATGGTTCTGTAGGCTCCACAGGAAGCACAGTGGCTTCTGTTTCTGGGGAGGCCTCAGGAAGCTTTCAGTCATGATGCGAGGCAAAGGCGGAGTGAGCACTTCACATGGCCAGAGGGGGAGGAAGCAAGAGCAGGGGGTAGGGCTATACACTTTCAAACGACCAGATCTCAGAACTCACTCATTATTGCAAGGACAGTACCAAAGGGGAAATCCACTCCCATGATCCAATCAACTCCCACCAGGTCCCACCTCCAACACTGGGGATTACAATTTGACTTGAGATATGAGCAGAGACACAGATCTAAACCATATCAGGAGGGAAATTCTAGTTAACAACAATTTATTGTATATTTCAAAGTAACTAGAAGAGAAGATTTGTAATGTTCCCATCACAAAGAAGAGATCAATATTTGGGGTGATGGATATCCTAAGTACCTTAATTTGATTATTACATATTGTATACAGGTATCAAAATATGGCATGTATTCCAAAAATATGAACAATTAATATATATAATTAAAATTAAATAATTAACTTAAAATATAAAAAGGAAGAGACAAAATCTCTATAATGGTAGAACTCAGTCATAGAAATAAGAAATTGTTAAGTGTCATTAAGTGTACTTATGAATATAGATTTTTTTTAACATTTTGGTATGGGACACTTAATGTGACACTGAGCTACTTAACACATTTTTAAGTAAAAAATATGATGTTGTACAGAGATCTCTAGAATGTATTTATAGTGCATAACTTAAACTTTATCACCATTGAACATCAACTTTCCATTTCCCCCTCGCTCCAGCCCGTGGCAGCTGCTATTTTACATTTTGTTTCTATGAGTTTGACTGTTTTAAATAGTTCATGTATGTGGAATCATGCATCACTCATCCTTCTGTAACTGATTTATTTCACTTATGATAATGTCCTACAGGTTCATTTTTATTGTCACATAAGCAAGATATCCTTATTTTTTAAGGATGAATAATATTCCACTTTGTGTTGTACACACACACACACACGCACACACATTTTCTTATTCATTCATCCATTGAAAATTTAGGTTGCTTGCATGTCTTGGCTATTGTGAATAATGCTGCAATGTAGATATCCCTTTGAGATCCTGCTTTCAATTCTTTTGGATATATTCCCAGAAGTAAGGTTGCTGGATCATAAGATAGTCATATTTTAAAATTTTTGCAGACCTTCTGTGCTGTTTTCCGTAGTGGCTTACCATTACACGTACACCAATAATGTATTAGAGCTCTAATATCTCCCCATACTGTCCAATCCCCCTTTTTAAAATAACAACCATCCTAACGGGTGTGAAGTGACGTCTCGTTGTGGTTTTTATTTGCATTTTAAAGCCCACTGCTAGCATCATAGTCGATGTTGAAAAACTGAAAGCTTTTCCTCTGAGATCCAGAAACAAGGCAAGGATGCCTACTTTCTTTGCTTCTATTCTACATAATAGTCGAAGTCCTAGCCAGAGCAGTTATGAAAAAAAAAAACATGAATAAAGGGCATTCAAATAAGAAAGGAAGAAATAAAATTGTCTCTGTTTGCAGATGACATAATCTATACACAGAAAACCCCACAAAAAATCCTATTAGAGCTAAATAACTAACTCAATAAAATTTCAAGATATAAAATCAACATGCAAAAATCAGTTGCATTTCTGTACACTGAAAATGAACTTAGTGTATTGATGAAAAAATTAAAGAAGTCACCATTAAATGAAAAGGCAGACTGTGTCCATGAAGTAGAAGAACAAATATTGCTAATATTGTTAAGATGGCAATAGTACTCAAAGTGATCTACAGATTCAATACAGTTTCTATCAAAATAGAAATAATTATTTTCACAGAAATAGAAATGAAACACAATAGAAAGCCCATATCTGGCTTCTGATACCTGATACCCTTATCTGCTGTCTGATAAGGGTTTAATATCCAATATATATAAGAAACTCCTATAACTAAGTAGCAAAAACAAAGCAAAACCAAAAACCCAATTTAAAAATGAGCAAAGTACTTTAACAGACATTTCTCCAAAGAGGACATAAAAATGGTGAACAGGTATATGAAAAGATGTTATATTCTGACTAAGTGAATATACTATATCCTACAAAAGAGCACCCCAGTTCTGAAGAATGTTGACTTTCAATATGCTGCAGCTGGGTCTTTAATAGCTTATTTCTCTGTTACCTGAACCTAGTGCTTTAGGAAAATGAAGTGTAAAATAAGATCAGGAAACACTACTGACATCGCTTTACTTGTTTTAATATGAAATTTGTGGATGACATTAAGATGCATAATTTTAAATTTAGACGTGGTCATGGTCATGCTGCTGTACAAATCAGAAATAGAGAGTGCAAATCCAAATCAGATTTGTTGAAGTTTTTATGCTGGAGAAAACAAATTGTTGCCCACTTCTCATTGAAATATGCATAATTTAATCTGTTTTACACCAGCAGCTGACATGTCTTCTGAAAGCATGTGACAGCTTGGAAACCTGGAATTGTTGGCTGTTGTTACCATATTTGATGCTCAGCAGAAGTAGCATCTGGAAAAATTTAGAAAAAGTTTCATTTCCATTTCTGCATAGTTTATCTCTAAATTCTGTAAAACATACATTGAAAATCCCTGAAAAAAATAGAAAAACTAGAAGTCATCAGTCTTTTTTTTATTATTATACTTCAAGTTCTGGGATACATGTGCAGAATATGCAGGTTCGTTACATAGGCATACATGTGCCATGGTGCTTTGCTGCACCCATCAATCCATCATCAAAATTAGGTATTTCTCCTAATGCTATCCCTCCCTTTGCCCCCTACCCCCTGACAGGCCCCCCCGGCGTGTGATGTTCCACTCCATGTGCCCATATGTTCTCCTTGTTCAATGAGTTTGTTTATGAGTGAGAACATGCAATGTTTGGTTTTCTGTTCCTGGGTTAGTTTGCTGAGAATGACGGTTTCCAGCTTCATCTATGCCCCTGCAAAGGACACGAAGTCATTATTTTTCATGGCTGCATAGTATTCCATAGAGTACATGTGCCACATTTTCGTTATCCACTCTAACATTGATGGGCATTTGGGTTGGTTCCAAGTCTTTGCTATTGTGAACAGTGCTGCAATAAACATACGTGTGCATGTGTCTTTACAGCAGAATGATTTATAATCCTTTGGGTATATACCCAGCAATGGGATTGCTGGGTCAGATGGTATTTCTGGTTCTAGATCCTTGAGGAATCGCCACACTGTCTTCCACAATGGTTGAACTAGTTTACACTCCCACCAGCAGTGTAAAAGCGTTCCTATTTCTCCACATCCTCTCCAGCATCTGTTGTTTCCTAACTTTTTAATGATCGCCATTCTAACTGGTGTGAGATGGCACATCATTGCGGTTTGAGTCATCAGTCTTTTAAGCACAGTTTTGCTACTAAAAGCTATTGTGAAATTATTCAGTCTTTCTAAGTTTCCTCATCTGTAAATTGAGACTTTTGATGCCCATCCTATTCACTTTGAAAAGCCCATGATATACTACTGATCACCCATATATACTAAGAACCCAAAAGGTATTCATTGAATAATGATGAGTCAGCCAGACTGATCCACATTTTGTTATGAGAGTAGGAACAAACCTATTATAAGTATTTCATTTACTCTTTAGAAGAAGGCCACACTTGGTGTAAAACATTTAATTTAACTAATGAAGGTTGGTGGTGACTCTTTTTTGACTTAGGGGCTTGAATACATGTAAAACAGCAAGTTTTGTTTATGTTATGCTATGTAGTTGATTTTTTAGTCACATGTAAAAAAGCCTTCTTTTTATGTGTGTGTAATGATTGAACAGACTTCATTGGAAAGAATGAAAATTCATTTTTCCCTTTTGTCTAAATGGGCTCTGAGATACTAACACATCTCCTATCATCAAAGACTCTCTTTGATCCTTTCCTTTAAAAGACTTCCCACTGCCCCCTCTTCTTAGGGGTTTTCTGATCTTTCCAGCTCAACATTTTATTCAAGGTACTGTATTTAGCCCTCTCTTTCTCAACTGCTCATATTTGTGGGCAAATCTTAGACACTCTCACATATATATAGCACTTTCAGGAAAGGCAGACTGGCTTAGAGTCTTATTTTTCCTCCATGTGTAGCCTAAGGAAGGTAGAAAAGCTCCCTATGCACTTTGTTTAATGGAACTTTCTTCTAGGGATGGCTATAGAACAAAAACATTCCTCCTGTCCATGTTCTGTTCTATAATATCAACAGCAGAAAATGCGGCACAATGAAGAATTTTTTCTCTCCTTGTCGATAAAACTCCAAGTAATAGTGAGTGATAGACTTGGCATCACATCTAGCAAAATTTACAGTCATAACACCTAATTTTAAGTTTATTGACTTTGCTAATTATTAGTTCCAACACTACGGGAAACTATCTTAACCTCTTTTAGCTTCCATTTTGTCCCCTTTTCATGGGGAATCAACTTTTTACAATAATTAGAAAAAATGTATTTAAAGTTGCTAGCAAATGCTTTGACTTGTATAGGCATCTAACAGATCTTTTCTCATTATTATTCCACAGAATACTATTCCATGGAAAGCACCCTACTTTGAGGATGTATTTTACTATTTTTTTTCAAAGAATAATAATAAATGGGCTGCTTTGAGGCCTGGTGTTTATTGTAGCTGCTGCATAGTTGGGCAAATCATTTTTTGCAACTTTCTAGGTTCCCATTTCGCATTATAGTCACTGCTATTTTCTGCAGTTACTAGGAAAATTTCCAATGAATGACAATAATTTGTTATTGGCTGTTCCTTACAGATACTATGAACGCCATGTCTGGAAGCTGAATTTCATTAAATCATTTTTCATGCATGTATCATTCAAAAAATGCATGTGCCTGGGCCACACCCTGGGCAATTCTGACTCAGTGGTTCCAGCGTAGAGTTTGGGAGTATACAACTGGAAAATACTCCAGAAGTGATTATGATTTGTGCCTCTGGTTAATAAAAGCTTAATTAAATCAGTGCAGGAGGAGAACATGGGCTGTTACCAAGCTCAATAGCTTTTTCAGTGTCATTCTTGATTCTTGGACACTTGTGCACAGTTTCATAGATATGAGAATAGAATTTTAATTGAGGTCATATTTCCATGGGAACAAGAAATCCCGTGCTCCTTCATATTCGCAGTTATCTGTAAAAAGATAAGCCATTGTTCACTACAAACTGCTGCAATGCAGTGAACACCATTGAAGCTAATTTGCTGCTTCACATTGCCTGTAATAGAATGCAGCTTGCACATTTGTAATTGTAGAGAATTGTGTATTTGTGCAAGATTTTCCGTCTCCATGGATTTTCTTCATAAACAAAGATTTTAAAGCTGATGACCACCACTCTGGATTTTAAAAATAAAGAATTAAAACCGACAGTGAGTAACGACTTTGCCTAAGGTCACACAGCTGGCTGATTTTTTTTTTTTTTTTTTTTGGTACACTCTATGTAATTAGCTACTATTTGTCTTGCAGGGTAGAGAAATGAATACATTTTACAGAAAGTAACAAACAGAAATTAATTGTCAAAGCACAAAAGACCTGTCAGCAAGCTTCAAAGAGTTTATGATACTTTTCTGATTTGTTTTTCTACAAATCCTATAATTAAAATAAAACATACTGGCAACTTTTAAAGGGTAAGGCACAATATAATCCTGTTCTAATTTCCTCTAGCCTCAAGAAGAACAACATCTTATCAACAACTATTCAATCACAACAAAATAAGAAGAGAAACTTGAATTTATTATTATTTTCTTTCCAACCAATATGCAAAACCTATAAAACACACATAAAGTAATAAATAGAATACTTGGTTTTAGAATCCAATTTATTTTAATATAGTCTCTCATAGACATTCACAGAAAATGCTGGTTGGAGAGTGAATTGTCAACGAAACAGATACAGAAGTGAATATCTTCTTTTCCTTTCTTTTTATGTTTTTACTTAATGTCTAGTACATTCAATAATGTTTATATACTATATGTATGTAGAAAGGAAAACATTGTAACAGACAGCTGTGAAACCACTACCATCTTAAAAAATAGAATATTACCCTTATCTTTGACCATTCTTTCTTTACCCTACACTTATTCTATTTGCTCTCCTCCTTCTGAAATAAAAAATATACCAAATTTGGGGGTTTATCATTTCCCTGATTTTCTTCATAATTTTATCATTTCTGCATCTTTTAAAATTTTATATAATAGGGATCTTACTACTCTATAATGTTCTTCTATTGCACACTTTTTTCGCTCAAAATATCTTTCTTATTTTCTAGCGTATTTTTGCATAAAGTCCTGCTTCATTCATTTTCACTAACACACTACTCTCCATGAATTCACCATTTTTTTTCTATTAGACATTAGCATTTGCCTTTCCAGTTTCTGTTACAAGTGATATTTCTCTATTCATTGTTGTTCATGTCTCCTAGTGTCCATGAGCAAAATATCTTGAGGGTGCATTTACCTAAGAGTGAAATTATCAGATTTTAAGACATGTGAACTTCCCCTCTGCTAGATATTATGCACTGGCTTTTCAAAGAGATTTTAGCAATTGGCATACTCACCAAAACTGTATGACAGTTTCTATTGCACCACAATAGTAGGAGTGACAGTTGATCACACTGCAGTTTAAATTTGCATTTCTGTGATTCCTAATGATATTAAACATATTATCAAATGTTCACTGGTCGTTCCTGATTCTACCTTTGGCAAGTGGCTACTTAATTCTTTTGCTCCTTTTTCCACTGAGATATTTGTCTTTTAAAAACTAATTTATTAGAGTTCTTAATATATACTGTATTATAACCTCTTGTCAGTTGCAAACATTCTTATTGCTTAATTTTTAATTTTAGGGGTGTCTTGAATAAAAATTTTAAATTTTAGTATAGCTGTATTTATCAATCTTGGTGCCTCTTGGGTCTTACCATGAAGATATTGCCTTATATTTTCTTCCAACATTGTTTAGCTGTCTTTCACATATGCATGGAATCCATATTAAACTGATTTTTCTATAGGCTCCATTTCATTTTTTTCTACACGGATAACCAATTTTCCTAGCAATATTTATTAAAATGCTAATGATCCCTTCATTGAATTTTCATATCAGTTTTGTCATAAATTAAATATGTGTGTGTTAATTTTCTCTGGGGTCTATAATTTGTTTAACTGCACTATTTGTCTAAACCACAGCTTATAGCACACTGCCTTTAAAATAAGTATTGATACTTGGGCACATTCTCATACATTTTCTTTCCTCAAAATAATTGTCCACTCTTGGACTTTCGCTGTTCCATATAAAGCTTAGAGTTAGTCTGTCCAATTATAGAAACAAAGCATTGTATTACATAAATTTGGAAGTATTGATACATTTATAATATTGTATCTTCCAATACATATAGCGTTCCTTGATATTTCTTTAAGTTTTATTTAATTTAATATTTTCCAATTAATTTCTATAATTTTCACCATACAGAGATTGTACATCTTTTGTAAGATTTTTTCTTACCTATTTTGTTGTGTGGCTTGTTGTTACTGTCTTTTTACAAATTATTCTTTTTACTTGTTGCTGGAATGGAGAAAGTAATAGTTTTTGTAGGTTTATAGTCAGTAACCACATTAATACTAACAATTTATTTATTCATTCTCTTGGAATTTCTTCAATATAGACACACCAAGTTAAAATAATAACAGTTTCGTTTCTTTGCTGCTAATCCCTTGGCCTTTCCTTCTTATTCCCTTATATCATAACCTAGTATCACCAGTAGGCTGATGAAAAGGATGATGACTGGTGAAGATTTGTGTCATGTTCCTGAAATCAACAGGAAACCTTTACTTTTTCCATAAACTTACATGCTGTAGGATTTCGGAGTTATTTTTAACATACCAAGAAAGCATTTTTTTTTCCTAGTTTGGTAAACTTTTGATTTTTTTATCATGAGTGAATATTGAATGTTAATGTTTTCCTTTATCTACTGAGATGGTCACATAATTTTTCTTATTTATTAATATATTGAATTCACATTTGAATTCAACAGAAACCAAATTTGAAATATTTGAGTTAACTGAAATGTGTAATAATATATTATTTTTGTAACAACTTTACTGAGACATAATTTTCGTTCCATGCAATTTACCATGTAAAGTGTGCAAGTCAATGGTGTTTAGTATAGTCACAGTATATTCACAGTTTTGCAACTGTCACCACAATCAATTTTAGGATTTTAGAACTGATTAGTTTCATCACTCCAAAATGAAAGCCTGTACTCTTTTGGTGTCCAACACTTTTCAATTATTTTGGATTTCTGTTTTATCTTATTTTCTCTTTAACCTAAACAATTTATTATTATTATTTTACACAGTACCTGTGTGTTTTGATTAATCCAAATATTTTTTACAGTATTCAATCATCACTCCTTCTTGTATTTCAGACATCTCAGATATCCATGTAGGAACACTTTCCTTCTGCTTTAATTTTAATTAATGGTAAATGATTGGCAGCAAACTCAATTTTTGTTTTTGCTTGTCTAAAACATTTGTCTTTTCTTCTCATTTTTAATGGTATTTTGATATGTATTCCAGATTGAAAATCATTTTCTGTGAACATACTGAAGATATAATCTTATCAATGTCTTCTGTCTTTTATTGTTGCTGTTAGAAGTCTGCTTTCAGCCTAGTTTTCATTCATTTTGATTTTATGATCTCTTTGGTGTTCCACAGTTTTTGCTACTTATTTGTCTGTGTGTGACATTATGTTGTATTAGTCATACTTGGGATTTATAGGCCTTCCTGAATCTCAAGATCATCATTTTTTATAAATTCACTTAAAGGCAAAGCTTTATTTCTTCAAATATTTCCTCCTACCATTATTTTATTTCTTTCTCTTCAGTCTTTGCTTAAGAATATGCTAGTCATTCTTAATCTATTTTCAAGTGTCTTAATATTTCTTTTATTTTTTCTCCTCTGTGATATATTCCAAAGATTTCTTTAGCTCTAATTTCAGTTTTTAAATGATGTTTAAAGGGGTGAGTCTAAAGGCTGTTGTTGAGTTTTATATTTTAATTGTTATAGTTTCTAAAGATTTTTTTCTTTAGTTCTTCTCTGTATCTTCTTGGTCACTTTTTGTAGCCTCTTTCTCTTTACTCATATTTGAATTAAAAAAATCTTTACGCTTACAAAATATTCTCAATTTATATTTTGTGTCTGATAAACTGAATATATGAAGTTCTTGACTTCTGATTTTGTTGTCAATGTTTCCTCAACATGATGAGTTTTTATTCATTATATTTTTGATTCCTGGTGTATTTTGTATGTGGGTGTCTTTCCGTTTGTTTTTTTGTGTTTGTCTCTACCAACCCATTGTCCACCACTTTGGAACATTATCTCTGAGTATTCATAGAGGATCACGTTACATGTCTGCTGCTCATGGTTATTCAAGTTTTGCTTTGCATAAATCCAAGAGATGCTTTCTACATTTTGCATATAGAATTCTTGTATAGTTACAATAAAATAGGTTTTTCACTCAACCATGCCCTCACATGGAGGAATGAGAAACTTTAGCTAATGTTTACTAAATCACATTAGGATTAGCTGTGGAATTGGGAGGTTTGTGTTTGTTTCTGCAATATGCTTGGAAGCAACAGCAAGCAAGCCAAATTACTTTAAACCCAATTCCCTGTAGTGTGTGTGTGTGTGTGTGTGTGTGTGTGTGTGTGTAAACTCAGGTAGTATAAATGTAGACTGCAAATCTCTGAACTTTCGAAAATTCTGTGGTTTCAACATCTCAAAAAAGATTTTTTTTCCATCTTCACATATCAACAGGTATGCAAGTTTCTTTCACTGAGGATTGAGGTTAGTGGGGGATCCCCTTTAGTGAGATCTCCAGTTAGACTTCCTATCTTGGGCTGGCCCTGGGTTTTGTTTTCCATCTGATTGTCTCAATCATCTGTGTCTTAGTCCATTCAGACTGCTATAATAAAATCCCATAAACTGGATAGTTTATAAACAATAGAAATTTATTCCTCACAGTTCTGGAGGCTGGAAAGTCCAAAATCAAGGTGCCAGCAGATTTGGTGTCTGGTCAGGACTTGCTTTCTGGTTCATAAATGGCACTTTCTAGCTGTGTCCTCACATGGCAGAAGGGTAGGGCAGGTCTTTGGAGCCTCTTTTTAAGGGCACTAGTCCAGTTTATGAATGCTCTGCCCTCATTACCTAATCATCCCTCAAAAGCCCCATCACAAACATTCAGAGGATAGTGTTGTGTGAAAAAGTTAATAACAATTCACAGGGGTTCACCATATGTCATTAGGACTAAAAGCTACTTTTATGTTCACCATGTCTCCATAATTTCTTACTTTCTAGTCAACCTATGTGTGCATTTAAAGCTTTAAAAAATTTTATCCACCATTTCTAGTTATTTTCAACGGAAAAGAAAGTATCTGGAAAATTGAAAGCAATAATTTGTTTATAGAAAGGCAAATACCTGATATTTTTCAGGAAAATAAATGGAAAAAGCAACTCTAACAAAAATATTTTGTTACTAGGACTTATGCTTTAACTGATGATTTTAAAAATATTACAGTGTTAATTATTTTTAAAAAGAGACTTAATTCATTCGACATAAAATTGATTAAAAGCAATTATAAGAAGTTATGCTGACACTGAACAGGCACTAAATACCCATTGACTGGCTTTACTAATGAAGATTGCTTTACATCCCAAGACACTATTATATATTGAAGCAAAATATAATGTCATAAAATGAGTATACAATAAAAGATTAAGCATGTCCCTTGAATACAATAGGCATTTTAAAAATATGTCTGAATTGCCTGATTGACTTTAAATGGGAGAAATAGAATTTTCAGATTTAGATAGGTCTTAGAGAAAGTCTAACCCTACCCTTTCATTACACAAGAGAGTAAACTGAGGAGCAGAGAAGTTACATAAATTGCCCAAAGACATACACCAGCTTAAAGACAGAGCAGAAGCTTCAACCTAGATCTTCCAGTGCTCAATTTGTTCACTGGAAACATTACTCTAAGTCTGGTCATTATGAGCTACAAAATTCTGGGTGGTTTAAATATTTACTAAGAAACTTTACTGATGGTACCATCTCTGGATCTTGGGGATCTGCTTAAATTCCACTTACCATGTAGAGGAGAAAGCATCAATGTTTAATTTTAAAACATTTGTCTTAAGATCTCAAACCCAATAGCAGGTAGTAGCCATGTTCTTAACTGAATATAACTTTAATTCTATTTTTAAATATCACTGTATTTTCCCAAAATTTATAAGGGAAGCTACGAATCAGAACAAAGGAACAATCAATGGGATGACTCTTCTAGGGAGTAAACATGCAAAGATTTTGGAACTCTAGGGAGTAAACATGCAAAGATTTTGGAACAAGATTATTTATTCATCACAAGTCTATTAACTCAAAGGCAGAACTGGGCACACTATGATGATTAATTTCACGGTAATTTATGAGAAGGAGCTTCAGACTCTCATGCCACCACAGATCTATTGCCAGGAAGGCACTCTGGAGACTGAAGAGTCATCAAGGCAGTTCAAAGCTTCCAGAAGAAGTCAGAATATCTGAATGCAGTCATCAACGTGGAACAGATCATGAAACTACTTCCATTTTGTCTTTATTTTATCTTTATTTTTTCAGTAATAATGACTTTAATACTTTCTAAGGGGTACTGACACAGGCCAAGAGGCATCTGGTATAGGCAATATATTCAAGTCAAGCAACGCTCTAAACTTCCTTTTCTGATGTTGGGAATGTGTTGGCCTATTTTACATTTTTCTGGCTCTAGGAGAATGGCTGTCAAGTATAGGGCTGCTTTCACTGCAATAGTTTTATTGAAAGTTCATAAAAGTATTTATATTTTAAGAGCCTAGCCATGCTGTGTCACATATAGAATCTAGAATATTTTACTGATTACGTTCAATTAGCCAACCACTCTACTGTGTGTTTTTATATGTTTTATCACATTTAATTCTGAAACCTTATACGCACCATCTCAATTTAAAAATAAAGGAGACATAGAAATGCTAAATAATTTGCATGAGGTCACAGAGCCAATAAATGGCAGAAATAAACATTTGAATTTGGGGCTCTTTCCTCCAAATTGTGTCTCTCACCCTATGTCAATCCACCTCTAAAAACAGGAATCCAGTAAGACCAAATATTGGTTTCTGTGATATTTTTCTCTTATCTTTCAGAAATTTTGGAAACAAATTCTTATCACAGTTACAGATTACAGATCAGTTATTTGACAATGCTGATGCCAAACACCAATTATTCTGACTAAATGGAGAGAAGGAAATCAATTATTTGTGGAATGAGCAAGCACTTATTTATACCATTCTTTCATATGCCTCCTAATTCTATCTTCCTCCTCTTTTCTAACAGAAGGACTGTACAATTCAAATTTCATACCAATGTGGAATTTTCTCCAACAGTCTTTTATCTTCTAAAACTGGACAATTCTGTGAGTGAAAGAGAATACCTAAATCACGAAACAGTCATAAGCAGCGATTATTCTGGGAAACCAGGTTGTGTGACCTAAGCAATACGAAATTTTGCCTTTCTCTGATCTAGGTTAGACTTTCTAGTCTATAACACACTGTCAAACATCTTGGTCTACTTTTATGCTTCCATTCCTTTCCACTGAAAATAGAAGCACCATAAGGGTCAATATTGGATTTTATAATTCTTAGTATTTATTTCACAATTATTTATATGCATAGCTCCTGACACTTGTAAGAGGGTAAATAGATATTACCTACTAGATTATCTACAAATTAGAGTTTGCTATATACTGTGCACAAATTTAATTCTTGAGGTAGAATTTTGGCCAAATAATCAAGAATTGAAATCAAGTTTAAAGTGTGTCAGTTTATAAGGGAATAATCCATGATGCAACAACAAATAACCTAGTGAAAAACAGACATTCCTTCCAACTAAATCTACTTTGAATTAATGTCATCTTACAATCATGTGGGACCAAAAATAAATTTCCAAAAATTAGAGAGATATATCAATGATACAAGATGAGGGTCAGAGCTGAGTTATATATACCCAAATGTATAAGCCATATTAAAATAGTCCAAAAACTGTATTCAGAATATAAAATTGAGGCATAGAAGAATATCTGCTCACCTAAAGCATGATGATAGCAAAATCAAAGAAAGTCAGGTCTCCCGACAGTTGATACAGAGCTAATCCTGAGATTTCACACCGCTTCTCATGAGTTTTTGACAAAGAGAAAGTGAGGTGGAAAAGGAGAAAAAGGGCAATGTGGAAAGTCTACGTTCTTTCTTTCCTTCCTTCCTTCACTGTCCACTCCCTCCCTCCCTCCCTCCCTTCCCCCTTCCCTCTTCCCTCCCTCCCTTCTCCCTTCCCTCTTCCCTCCCTCCCTTCCCCCTTCCCTCTTCCCTCCCTCCTTCCCCCCTTCACCTCCTGCCCTCCATCCCTCCCTCCCTCCCTTCTTTCCTTCCTTCCTTCTTTCCTTCCTTCCTTCTTTCTCCAGTAGGAGTCCAGGAGCTCAGGACAAAATCATGGATTCTTTCGCATTTCCTTTTTTCTTCTTCTTCTTTCTTTACTTTTCTTTTCTTTTTTTTATTTTTTGCACAGTAGATGATTATTTCATAGGTGTGCATGATTTTGTTTTTCAATCTGTGCCATAACTGCAGTGTTTTCCTCAGCTGTGTCCTCGGGAAATGACAATATTTAAATTAAGTAGGAGTTTTAAATTGCATGTTTAATTTAATTCGTTTACTCCTTTGATTCTACTAAATGGGTGTGACTGTACAAAAAGACAGCAAAATATTGGAACGTTGAAGGATATTCACTAGAGCATAGACAGTAGCTGATTTATTTTATCTCTCAGGTAATGGGGCTATTTCCACATGACATCAAAACAACCTTTGAAAGAGGGAGAAAAATGATCTAACATGTTTTCCCCTATAAAGGCGATAAACCAAATATCCAATGTATTTTTCCTCCTAAGAGGTTTATTTTTAGTTGAGTTACATGATTAGTAAGGGAGAGAGTGATAAATGTTGCAAAGTCATAGTGGTATATCATGTTTCTTTAAAAATACAAATGTTTTCTCTCATTAAAGCTTTTTCTTGTCTAATTTCCATTATCTACAAAAATAATCTAAATACAATGCTTATTAAGATGGCACATGCACTTGAGAGTTAAAAGGTTTTACAAAGTGGGTATTTTGTTTTATTTTTTATTTGGGAAGGTTTATTTAATATAATTTCAACTTTTATATTAGATTCAGGGGATACATGTGCAGACTTACATGTGCAGATTACTTTGGTATACTACATGATGCTGCGGTTTAGGTTAAAACTGATCCCATCACTCAGGTACTGAGCATAAAACCTTATAACTAGTTTTTCGACTCTTGCTCCCCTCTATTCCTCATCCACTAGTAGTTTCCAATTTCTATTGTTGCTGTCTTTATTTACATGAGTACCCAATGTTTAGTCCCCACTTATAAATGAGAGCATGCTGTATTTAGTTTTCTGTTCCTGAATTAATTTGCTTAGGATAATGCCCTCCAACTGCATCTATGTTGCAGCAAGAAAACAATTTTGTTCTTTTTTTGTGGCCGTATAGTATTGTTAAATGTATGTACATTTTAACAATATTGATTCTTTCAATCCATGCATGTATAATAAATTTCCATTTCTTTCTATTCCATAGATGTTCAGTAGTTTTCGTTTTAAAGATCTTTCACTTATTTGATTAATTCCTAGGTATTCCTAGGTATCGTATATACCATGGTGTATAGGTACCAGATTTACTGTAATGTCAACAACTCCATGGGTCCATCTATTATTTATTTACTTATATCTTTAAGGCATAGCACAGTATGTGGCATATAGAAAATGCTTATTATTGCCCTGTTAATAGTGGAGACTTTAAAAAACTACTCAATTACACATTATACATGCTAGACCTTAAGGAAATAACCTCTGGAATATTATAAGCAGGTTATTGGCTGAAGACATAGGTAGAATATTGCTGAGGAAAGCTACTCTTCCAAAGGTCCTAATTAAAATAGTGGTTGTGAATAAATTAAACCAACATCTCACACTGAGAAAACTGATAAGAAAATTAATATATGAATAGTGTTAAATAAAATGATTTCTTCTTTTTTGTTTGTATTAATTTTTTATTTTTGCAGGCATGTAATAGGTGTATATGCATAGGGTAGATGAGATAATTTGTTACAGGCATGCAATGTCTAATGATCACATCAGTATAAATGGGGTATCTATCAACTCAAGAAATTATCCCTTTTGTTGCAAAAAATCCAATTATACCTTTTAGTTATTATAAATTGTATTATTAAATTATTATTGACTGTGGTCACCCTTTTGTGCTATCAAATACTAAGTCTTATTCATTAGTGTTATTTTTTCTAAAACGATTTTTATGTACCCATTAGCCATCCCCCCATCACTATCTCACACTACCCTTACCAGCCTCTAGTAACCATCTTCTATTCTGTATCTCCATGAGCTCAATTGTTTTTGATTTTTGGCTTTCACAAACAGTGAGGACGTGATGTTTGTCTTTCTGTGCCTGGCTTATTTCACTTAAAATAATGACCTCCAGTTCCACTCATGTTGTTGCAAATGATAGGATCACATTCTTTTTTATGGATGAATAGTCCTTCCCTGTGTATATGTAACACAATCTCTTTATTCATTCATCTGTTGATGGACACTTAGGTTGCTTCTAAATCTTGGCTATTATGAATAGTGCTGCAATAAATATAGAAGTGCAAATATCACTTCGATATAATGATTTCCTTTCTTTTTGGTATATCCCTAGCAGTGGGCTTGCTGGATCATATAACTCTATTTTTAGTTTTTTTGAGGAATGTCCAAGCTGTTCTCCACAGTGGTTGTACTAATTTACACTCCCACCAAGTACGAGTGTTCCATTTTCTCCACATTCTCACCAGCATTTGTTATTGCCTGACTTTGATATAAGCAGTTTAAACTGGGGTGAAATGATATCTCATTGTAGTTTTTGTATTTCTTTGATGATCAGTGATGTTGAGAAGCTTTTTATTTGCTTGTTTGCTATTTGTTTGTCTTAATGTCTATTCAAGTCTTTTGCCTATTTTTTAATCAGATTTTTAGATTTCTTTTCCTATAGAGTTGTTTGAGCTCCTTATATATTCTGATTATCAATCCCACATCAGATGGGCAGTTTGCAAATAATTTCTGTCATTCTGTGGACTGTCTTTTCACATTGTAGACTGTATCCTTTGCTGCGCAGAAGTTTTTTAATTTGATGTAATCTCATTTGTCCATTTTAGTTTTGGTTGCCTGTGTTTGCAGGGTATTATTCAAGAAATCTTTGCCCTCTTCAATGTCCTGGAGAGTTTCTCCAATGTTTTCTTGTAGTAGCTTCACAGTTTGAGGTCTTAGATTTAAGTATTTAATCTATTTTGACTTTATTCCTGTATATAGCAAGAGATAGGTGTAGAGTTTCATTCTTCTACATATGGATATCCAATTTTCCCAGCACGACTTATTGAAGAGACTGTCCTTTCTCCAACGTATGTTCTTGGCATCTTTGTCAAAGATAAGTTGCTGTAGATGCATGGACCTATTCCTGGCTTCTCTATTCTGTTCCACTGTTCCATGTGTCTGTCTTTATGCCAGTATGATGCCATTTTGCTCACTATAGTTCTGTAGTTTAATTTGAAGTCAGGTAATGTGATTCCTCCAGTTTTGTTCTTTTTGCTCAGGATAGCTTCGGGTATTCTGGATCTTTTCTGGTACCATGTAAATTTTAGAATTTTTGTTTGTTTGTTTCTGTGAAGAATGTCTTTGGTATTTTGATAAGGATTGCCTTGAATCTGTAGATTGCTTTGGGTATTTTAACAATATTGATTCTTCCAATCCATGCACATATAACAAGTTTCCATTTCTTGTCTCCTCTTCAATCTCTTCCATAAATGTTCAGTAGTTTTTATTTTAAAGATCTTTTACTTATTTGGTTAATTCCCAGGTATTTAATTTATTTGGAGCTATTGTAAATGGGATTATGTTCTTGATTTCTTTCAGATTGTTTATTGTCAGCACATAAAAATTCTATGAATTTTTGTACGTTGATTTTACATTCTGCAACTTTACAGAATTTATCCATTATAGTACTGTTTTTTGATGGAGTCTTTAGATTTTTTTTCCAAATATAAGATCATATCATCTACAAATAGGGATAATTTGATTTTTGACTTCTTCTTTTCCAATTTAGATGCCCTTTATTTCTTCATTTTTTTTCTGATTGCTCTAGCTAGGACTTCCAGTATTATGTCGAATAACAGTGGTGAAAGTGGGCATCCTTGTTGTCTTCCATATCTTAGAGGAAAAGCTTTCAGGTTTTCCCCATTCAGTAGGATGCTAGCTGTGGGTCTGTCATATTTGGCCTTTATTATGTTGGGGCATGTTTCTTGTATACCCACTTTTTAAGGATTTTTATCACGAAGGGATGTTGAATTTTATCAAATGCTTTTTCATTATCAATTAAAATGATCTTATGGTTCTTGTCATTCATTCACTTTATATAATGTACCACATTGATTGATTTGCATGTGTTGAACCAATCTTGCATCCTGGGGATAAATCCCAGTTGGTCATAATAAATAATCTTTTTAAAGTATTGTGAATTCTGTTTGCTGGTATTCTGTTGAGGATTTTTGCATCAATATTCATCAGGGATATTGACCTGTAGTTTTTGTTGTTGTTGTTGTTGTTGTTGTTGTGTCTTCGGTTTCAGTGTCAGGATAATACTTGTCTCAGAATTAGTTTGGAAATATTCTCTCCTCCTATATTTTTCTTCATAGTTTAAGTAGGATTGGTATTAGTTATTATTTAAATGTTTGGTAGGATTCAGCAGCGATGCTATTTGATCCTGGGCTTTTCTTTGCTGGGAGAATTTTTGTTACATCTTCGATCTTGTTACTTGCTATTTGTTTGTTTAAGTTTTGGATTTCTTCATGATTCAGTCTTGGTAAATTATATGTTATCTAGGAACCTATGTATTTCTTCTAGGTTTTCCAATTTATTGGCATATAGTTGCTCATAGTAGCAACTAATGATGGTTTGAATTCTGTGGTATTAATTGTTATGTCTCCTTCTTCATCTTTGATTTTATTTATTTGGATCTTCTCTATTTTCTGCTAGGTTGGCTAAAGATTTTTCAATTTTTTATTTTTTATTTAATTATTTATTTTACTTTTCAAAAAACCAACTTTTTGTTTTGTTGATCTTTTGTATGTTGTCTTCATTTCAAATTCATTTATTTCTTCTCTGATCTTTATTATTTCTTTTCTTGTGCCAATTTTTGGTTTGGTTTGCTCTTGAATTTTAGTTCTTTAAGGATGCATCATTAAGTTATTTATTTGAAGTTGTCTTTAATTTTTGAGGAAGGCATTTGTAGCTATAAACTTTCCTCTTACTACTGCTTTTGCTGTATCCCATAGGTTTTGGTGTGTTGTGTTTCCATTACCATTTGTTTCAATAAATTTTTCAACTTCCATCTTAATTTCTCCATTGACCCACTGGTGTTTCAGGAGAATACTGAATTTCCATGTGTCTGTATACTTTCCAAAATTCCTTTTGTTATTGATTTTTAGTTTTATCCCATTGTGGTCAGGGAATATGCTTGATATTATTTCATTTTTTTGAATGTTTAAGGGCCTGTTTTGTGATCTAACATATGGTCTATTTTTGAGAATGATCCATGTGCTAAAGAGAAGAATGTGTATTCTGCAGCCATTGGATAAAATGTTCTGTAAGTATCTATTTGACCCACTTGGTATACAGTGCAAATCAAGTCTGATGATTCTTTGTCTTCTATTTGGAAGGTCTGTCTAAAGCTGAAAGTGGGGTGTTGAAGTCTCCAGCTATTATTGTATTGGGGTTTATCTCTCTCCTTAGCTCTAATAATCTTTGCTTTATATATCTGAGTGCTCCAGTTTGGGATGCACATATATTAAATTTGTTATATCTTCTTGCTGAATTGACCCCTTTACCATTATATAATAACCTTTTTCATCTTTTCTTATAGTTTTTGTCTTGAAATATGTTAATATTTTGTCTGATATAAGTATAGCTACTCCTGCTCTTTTTCAATTTCTATTGGTATGGAATATCTTTTTCCATTTATTTATTTTCAGTCTATATGTCTGTGTATAGTTGAAGTGTGTTTTCTGTGGCAGACAGATAATTGGGTCTTGATTTTTTATCCATTCAGCCAGTCTATGTCTTTTGATTGCAAAATTTAGTCCATTGACATTCAATGTTATTATTGATAGGTAAGGACTTACCCCTGACATTTTGTGATTTTTTTATTCTGGTTGTTTTGTGGTCTTCTCTTCCTTCCGGTATTCCTTTTAGTGAAGATGATTTTCTCTGGGGGTATGATTAAATTTATTACTTGTCATTTTCTGTGTATCCATTGTATGTTTTTTGATTTGAGATTACCATGAGGCTTGCAAATACTATCGTAAAACTCATTATTCTAAGCTGATGACAACACTGAGTGCATAAAGAAACAAAGCAAAAAAACCTAATAAAAGCTCTACACTTTTATTTCATCCTACTGCTCTTTAACTTTTCGATTTTTCTATCTATCTATCTATCTATCTATCTATCTATCTATCTATCTATAAATATCTAGATATAAATACCAATCTATCTATAAATACAGATATATCTTATTCTACTGTCTGTGTCTTGAATAGTTGGAGTTATTATTTTTTTATCAGTTCATTCTTTAGTTTTTCTACTTAAGATTAGTTTGCACACTCCAATTACACTGTTATAATATTCCGTGTTTTTCTATGTACTTACTATCAGCAGTGAGTTTTGTATCTTCATATGATTTCTTATTGCTCATTATTATTCTTTTCTTTCTGACTGAGGTGTGTAGCATTTCTGATTGAACGCTTCAGTGTTTCTCATAGGACAGGTCCAGTGTTCATTAGGTCCTTCAACTTTTGTTTATCTGGGAAAGTCTTTATTTTTCCCCCATGTTTGAAGGACATTTTCCCTGGATATACTATTCTAAGGTAAAAGTTGTTTTCCTTCAGTACTTTAAATATGTCATGCCACTCTCTCTCAACCTGTAATGTTTCCACTGAAAAGTTTGCTGCCAGACATGTTAGCAGCAAACTTTGTTTTTTTTCCTTTACTGCTTTTAGAATCCTTTATGTATCCTTGACCATTGGGAGTTTGATTGTTAAATGCGTTAAAGTAGTCCTTTTTGGGTTAAATCTCTTTGATTCCTAATTGCACTTGAATATTGATATCTTCCGCTAGGTTTGGCACATCCTCTGTTATTATCCCTTTGAATAAACTCTCTATCCCTATCTCTTTGTCTACCTCATTTTTAAGGCCAATAATGCTTATAAATGCCCTTTTAAGGCTATTTTCTAGATCCTGCAGACTTGCTTAATTGTTTCTTATTCTTTTTTCTTTTATCTTCTCTGATCGTATATTTTCTTTTTTTTCTTTTTCTTTTTTTTTTTTTTTTTTTTTGAGACAGAGTCTCGCTCTGTCACCCAGGCTGGAGTGCAGTGGTGCGATCTCAGCTCACTGCAAGCTCTGCCTCCTGGGTTCACGCCATTCTCCTGCCTCAGCCTCCACAGTAGCTGGGACTACAGGCGCCCGCCACCACACCCGGCTAATTTTTTATATTTTTAGTAGAGACGGGGTTTCACCATGTTAGCCAGGATGGTCTCGATCTCCTGACCTCATGATCCGCCTGCCTCGGCCTCCCAAAGTGCTGGGATTACAGGCATGAGCCACCGTGCCAAGTGCCTTGTATTCAAGCTCACTAATTCTTTCTTCTGTCTGATCAGTTTACTATTAATAGTCTCTGATGCATTCCTCAGTATGTCACTTGCATTTTTCAACTCCAGATTTTCTCCTTGATACCTTTTAATTAATTCAATCTTTCTGTTAAATTTTTATTTGACAGAATTCTGAATTTCTTCTCTCTATTATCTTGAATTGCTTTGAATTTCCTCAACACAACTATTTTGAATTATCCATAGGAAAGGTCACATATCTGTTTCTCCAGGATTGGCCTCTGCTGCCTTATTTGGCTCATTTAGTGAGATCATGTTTTTCTGGATTGTCTTGATACTAATAGATGTTCATCAATGTCTGAGCATTAAAGAGTTAGTTATTTCTTGTAGTCTTTGCAGTGTGGGCTTGTTTGTACCTGCCCTCCTTGGGACAGCTTTCCAGATATTTGAAGAAACTTGAGTGTTGTGATCCAAGCTGTATTTGCATTTGAGGACACCAGAAGTCCAGTAACACTGTGGTTCTTGCAGACTTACAGAGGTACCACCTTGGTGGTCTTGGATAAGATTTGTGAGAATTCCCTGGATTACCAAGCAGAAACTCTTGTTCTCTTCCCTTACTTCCTCTAATAAAATGGAGTCTCTCTCTCTCTGTGCTAAGCTCCCTGGAACTAATGGTGGGGTAACAGAAGTATCCCTGTGGCCATCAGCACTGGGACCACACTAGGTCAGATGTGAAGCCACTATAGCACTGGGTCTCACCCAAGGTCCGCTGTAACCACTATCTGGTTACCACCTATGTTTGCTCAAGGCCATAAAGCTTTACAATCAGCAAGTGGTGAAGCCAGCCAGGTCTGTGTCCTTCCCTTCAGGGTGTTGAGTTCTCCCATGCTCTACATGGGTCCAGAGTTGCAGTCAGGAAGCCAGGGACTAAAGTCAAAAACCTTAGAAATATACCTGGTGCTCTATTCTACTGCAGTTAACCTGGCACTAAAACAATGAGACAAAGTCCTTCCCATTCTTCCCTCCTCTTTTTACAGGAAGAGCAGCCTCTCCCCCTGGCCACCATCAGCACACACCCATGAGAAGTACTGCCAGGCTACTGCTGATGTTCTTTTAAGACCAAAGGGCTCTTCAATTAGCTTGTGGCGAATGCTGCCTGGCCTGGGACTCACCCTTTTGGCAGTGAACTCCCTCTGGCCCACAGCAGGTCCAGAAATGCGATCCAAGAACCAAGGCCCGGAATCAGGGATCCTAGGACTCTGTTTGGTGCTCTACCCCGCTCTGGCCAAGCTGGTACCTGATTTTTCATTTTATGGAAGTGCTTTTTTTGGTGTACATAGTTTTTAAATTTGGTGTTCTTGTTGGGGGAAATGATTAGTAGAGGCTTCTATTCAGCCATCTTGTTTGACCCCTCTCCCGGTATTTCTTCATGATTTAGGTAAAAAGTCTTTGCCAGGGTGGAGTGAAAAAATAAAATGGAGATGAAAATATGTTATGTCTCCTGAAGAAAGATAATCTATACTACACTCAACTTCTTCTGGTGTTTTTAAAGTTGTAAATAAGACATTCTGTGGGAAGTATGGTTAGATAGATACATAGATAGAAATATGTAGATATTAGGATTTGCTTTTATTAGCTTAAAGAAACAAATCAGTTTGTCAGCATTGAGAACTGACTCCAAAATAAAAAATTCCAAAGTTTTTGTGTTCCAACTGAAACTTAGGAACTTTGTCTAAAAAACTATTTAAAGTTATTTATAAAGCTACAAATTGCTCACGTGCTTATTCTTTAGATGAGTGTTTTCCCTAAAAAACAATTATCTGTGCTACTTGTTTAAATTGTTTTGTTCTTTTAGTCAAAAATTAGGTAATATATGCTCAACTGAGCCAGAAAAGTGTGACAATAGCTTTAACTTAGTTTTATTATTTTCTATACTTCTCTTAATTGTTGAATTTGTAAGCTTGATTACTTGAACTGTATCTTCAATGATTAAGAAATGAATAACTCTTTTTTAAAGAATAAATTTAGTAATCCCAGCACTTTCGGAGGCCAAGGTGTACAGATCATATGAAGCCAGGAGTTCAAGACCAGCCTGGCCAACTGGGTGAAACCCCTTCTCTACTAAAAAAAATACAAAAATTAGTCGGGTATGGTGGTGCATGCCTGTAATCCCTTTACTCAGAAGTCTCAGCCACAAGAATTGCTTGAATCCAGGAGGTGGAGGTTGCATTGAGCTGAGACTGTGCCACAGCATTCAAGACTAGGAGACAGAGTGAGATCTTGTCTCAAAATAAATAAATAAATAAATAAATAATAAAAATAAATAACTAATTTACAAAATCAAAGACCTTAAAAGTAGCAAATATGACATTTAACATTCTTATCATTCTGCAGATTTTTTTTGAGTGTCCTTTTGGAGCAATTAGTCTCAGTCTTGATTGCCAGTTATAGTCACACTTGGGGCTTTATAAACAAATTAACAAACAAACAAAGCAGTGATGCCTGGATTCTATCCTTAAAAATCATGATGTATTTGTCTGGTAAGTGCATAGTCATCAGGCTTTTTAAAAGGTCCTCAGATGGTTCTAACATTCAGACAAAATGGGAATACTTTTTAGAGAAGTTTCCAGAGATACATTTCTTTGCCTATGAGATGACACATTTGGAAGCCAATTGAGCTGCTCAATGCTTGCTTTCATGTATTTATTCACGCCTAAGGTGAGGTAACTGAGTATGAGAAGTATTTACCACTTCCTATATTTCTCTATTTAAGATAATATCTGAAGAAATCAGATTTTTTATTAAATAGGGAGAATATGAGGATATAAAATTACTGGTGGATGAAGACAGAAATTAAGACTCTTTTAAATTTTAAAAAGGGTCATTAGTAACTCCTTTAGAGAATGTAGAACCAGTAATCAATAAGCAGATCTCATTGTGATGCATTAGTGTTAGAAATTTCCAATTATTTTAA
Organism: Homo sapiens; assembly: GCF_000001405.40. Taxonomy (NCBI): domain Eukaryota; kingdom Metazoa; phylum Chordata; class Mammalia; order Primates; family Hominidae; genus Homo; species Homo sapiens. Next base: position 79,019,843 of record NC_000008.11, read on the forward strand.
ATGTGCACACTAAAAATCTCTGAGGCAAAAACAGAATAATAAAATCCTCCTTACTTAATTCTAAAATTTACAAAGAAATGTGAAAAGCCAAAAATGGATCAAATTTGGAAGACTCATGCTCACTTAAAGTCTTACTATTAAGTTATTATGATAGTCAAGAATAGTATTGGCATAAAGCAGAAAAATAGATGAATTGAAGAGAAATGAGAGTTTAGAAATAGACATACATATGGTTAGTTGATTTTTGACAAAATTACCAGAGGAATTCAATAGAGAAAGGATTATCTTTTCAACAAATAGTGCTGGAAAATTGGCTATCCCTATGCCAAAAATAATAATTTGATTGATACCTCTCAATCTGTATAAAAATTGCTTAATATAAAAAATCATAGACCTAAATATAAACTTTAAAAACATAAAACTTCTAAAAGAAAACATAAAAGAAAACCTTTATGACCTTAAGTTAGGCAGAACTTTTTTTAGAAATGACACCAAAATGTGATCCATAGAAGATAATATTATAAATACATTTCATCAAAATTAAGAACTTCTGCTTTTCAAAAGACACTGTTAAGAGAATGAAAAGACATAGATAAGAAGAATATATGTGCAAATCACATATGTAAGAACTCATACGCAGAATGCTTATTAAAACTCTCAAAACTCAACAGGACAAGAAAAACTCAATAAAAATAGACAAAAGATTAAAAGACAATGCCCCCGAGAAGATATGCAATTATCAAATAAATATATGAAAACATGCTTAACATCATAAGTCATTAGAAAAAAGAACAAAACCACAATAGATACCACTGTATACCTATTAAAAGATCTAAAATTTAACAGACTGAATATACCAACTACTGTCTAGGAGGTACGTAAATTGCTAATGGGAATGTGAAATGACCAAGGGTGCTGGACTACAAAGGATCATGGGAAATTTTGAGGGAGGAAAAAACTGTTCCATATTGTGATTGTGGTGGGGGTTACATGACCATGTGATATCAAGACTTGCAGAATTATACGTTACTAAAAAGAATACATTTTACTGTATGTAAATTATACCTTAATTTTTTTAAGTGGAAAAAGTTCGAATAAGAAGTCCACATATGATGGCTAATTGCTTCCCTAATAAATGTGACTCTAAATATATCTAAAAATTGCCCTATGTTGACTCAGCCCCAGCTGGATTCCAACTCAGCACTCAACAATGCCCTGGATGAGAGCTTTGCCCAGTGTTGACTCATTTGTACGTCAGCAACAAATCCTCCCATTCTGGGCTTTACTGGAGACACTAAGGATAAGCTGAGGGTGTGTAATATTTAGCCTGGGTAAGTCCAAGAGCCAAATCAAGGACAAACAATGCTCCCTCACTGTAGAACACAGTGATTATACATAGAGAATAACCCCCACCACAGGACAGTGCTATGAGACACTAGAATCATTGCAGAGGAAAGCACATTTCCAGAACCCTAATGAAAGAATATGGGTACCTGACTCTCATGAGTCCTTTCATTCATCACATATTTACTGAACACATTCTCAGCACAAGGCACAGACTGGACCCTAGGCACACTGATTCAAAAGTTGGGTGAAGTTCTGTTCTTCATGAAAGGAGAGAAACTAGGGTATTCACTTGTGAAGATAAATCCACATGCAGAGAGCTCACATGATTACTTTGAAAGCTCCAGGTCCACACAGCCGTCATTTGCAGAGATTCATTCCTCCCCAGTAGAACAAAATATTGTAAGTACTTTTAAGTAAATATGCATTTAGGAATTAAGGATGTAGCATGATCTGAAATGTCAGTGACTTGAGTCTGTGGGGATGAGAAGTGATCTAAGAAGCAAGTAGACTAACTGATTCAATAGGAAAATACATATTCATTTCTTTTTATAAGACTGCCTTGCAAATTAGAAAATATACATTAATTAATACAATTTAGCTAACTGTTAACATTACACTGCCTACTCTCCTATAAATTATGTATGGAAAAATTCACACACTCACCTACAAACATAAGATTGTGTGATTAAAATGTCTTGTGATATGCTTGTTTCATGCCAAGTTAATTTAATGCATTAGCTTGGATCCTTTTTAATGTCCTTTTGAAATTACACTTTATATAAACATAAATCATTTGGTTAAGTCAATTAGCGTAGAGTATGAAGCAAACAAGAGTACTAAACTACTGTTTATGGGCACACTTTTCTGTGTTTATGACTGTAATTCTCAAAGCACAAGCTTGTAGAGCCATCAGTTCAGGAATTTGGAAATGTCTGGCGTCTGCTGTAAAGAATGCAGTATCTATGTTTACAGCAAAGGTGTGACCTGAATTCTAACAGAGGCAAAGCAACCCAGACAATCTAGTCTCATTCAACACACACCCCATGGCTGCCGGTGGGAACACTGTTGCTATTCTCATCCCATATTCCTCCTGCAAATGTGCAGGCTAATGTTGATGTCTTGGAGGCATAATGTGATTTATTAAGAGATATAAATTTCCTAAATATGTGGCTAACAAATGGGTTTAGAATTCTGGGTTCATGGAAGTTTAAGTAGACAAGGTGGGGAAAGGAAGAAGGGAATTATCATGTATCAGGCATATTCTAAGAAGGTGCTTTCCTGTGTCATTTACATTAATTATCAAAATAAACCACAGATATAGCTAATAATAGCCTCGCATCATATGTGAGCAATCTGATGTAGCTGCAGTCTCTATGGTGTTATTTAAAGGATGTCTGCGAGGAGCAGGAAGCCTTCATCCTCAATGCTCCTCTAACCCTAGTCTTTCCATCTAAAATGCGTAAAACTCCAGATTGACTGCAGAGTTATACTGCTCATTGGGTTAAGGCAGTGTTTTGCAGTGTTTTCCACTCAAGACATTTGTATTAACATGACCTGGGGTGCTTGCAAACGATGCATATTCCTGTTCCCCACTTGTTTTTTTTAAATTGCTAGGATTTGGGATTTAAGAATGAGAAATCATAATATAAATTATAATCCTGTATAATCATAAATTATTTTCTTATTTTTATAACATGTTTATGTTTTAAAATAATAATGTGACCATAATAATAAAAAATAAATCATTTTTATGATACAGTTATATTAGAAGTTTCAGTGGTTTTCTGTAAAAAAGAATAACAAAAGCATGGCTTATTATTATTAACAAACATATTGTGGCAAGATCATATATTTCAATTGCATGCAAAATTGTTCTGTACTTAATATAGACTTTGAGAACAAAAAATATTAAAATATAGGAACACTGATGAGAAGTAAATATCATATAAAAATATTAAACATTTCACAAATATTAAATATTTAAAAATTATTCTCAAAATGAAAATTTTAAACATACAAAGCATTCATTTCCCCATCTGATAGTCTTGATATTTGCTTCTTGACAGATATTCTAGATACAGAAGATTTTCTTTCATTTTGATCCAATTGATGAGAGTGCCTCCAAAAGCATCTTCAAGTTGGGCTTTAGGATACTTCATAGATTTTCCCCTTTATCAAGGAAATTACTTGGTCTGCTTGTTCAAATTTTGCTTGTTTTTGCTGTTTTTGGTAGAAGTTCATATTATTATAATTAATTCATATTCACCCATAGTGAATATTCAGATACTAAACAATGCCAGGGAACATTACTGACTAGTATTGGAATAACAAAATATCTGGTATCATAGCAATATTAACAGCTATAAAGTGAATTACATGTAGGCAATTATTAGTTTCACTTTCAAAATTTATTTTTTCAGACACCTAGAATTTGTATAAAAGAGATCATGCATAAACACTTATAAATATTTATTTTAATTTCAAGAATGACTCATTCTGATCAGCAGACAGAGCCATAAAAGCATGCTTAAAATATGGAAACAGCTATAAGCAAGACTGACTAATGGCATCCTGACTGCTGAGCTTGTTCTTTTCTCCTGTCTTTGATCTCAGAATAGCAGACCTTGAATTTCAGCTCTGTGTGTAAGAATTTCCTACTCTTGCTTGACTGGAGTCCAGTTTCTTTGAGCTAAGATAGATTCTATGTCCATTGGTAAGCTTTAATTCTTACAAGAGAATTACAATATCCTTTCCTGTGTTCCTGATTTGTTAATGATTTTTTTAAGTATTGTGAAAAATATCTACATTTTCTGAGAACTGTCAGGAAAAAAATCCCTACTCAAAACACTGTGCCCTATCATCAGAGATTTTAGTAGACTGGGTATGAGGCAATGCCTGAGAGTCTGTATTTTGAATAAGCATCCAAGGTGATTCACATGATCACCAAAGTTTAATAACTACTTGGTTGCCTTTTGAGTGTTCTACGTTAAAATTTAAGTATCTCTAGATGGGGTATTATAATAAAGTATTATCAACCACTGTCACCTTATAGAAAACATATTACATGTTAGCTCTAGTTCAGGGCAGAATGCTGAAGGGTTTTGAAGGAGCTGGATCCCTGAAGGTGGTCCTGAAGGAGAAAGGGTTAATCATGAGACTGGGTCTAGATGAGCCTTTCTGTGTGGCATTCTGGTAAACTATGGAGAGAACTGAGTGCAATCAGTAAGAAAAAAAGAGAAGAGAGAATGTTAATGTGAGAGAGAAGAAAACTTTGGTGGTTAAATCAATTTAAGCTACCTCACTATTCTGCATAGGTGTTTTCTACTGGTGTGAGAGGTATGAAGAGGAAGGAAGTTGAGGGTCTGAGATTGTAATTGCCTTCTGGCAGGTTGGGGCAGGAGGAAGCTGCCCATGGGAGCAGAGCTTTAGCAGTGTGGGAAAGCAGATGTCTATACTGTGCAGGAGAACACCGTGATGTGGTCATCAGCTTGGACGTCAGGATTTGGAGTTTAGGATTTCTATTGAAGAAGTGGCTACTTAAAGCTAAACAAGGTAAGTTTTTGTTTTTGTTTTAAAAAGGTACTAGAGAATTAGGAAAAATCTGTTGGTGGATTTGCCAAAGTAAGTCAGAGAAACATGATGGTCTGGATGCAAAATCTCCTTTTAGATGAGCCCCTTTTAATGCTGCAAACATGTTTCCAACAATACTCTTTCTAACAGCACCATGAAATGACTTATTCTGAACAGAGGCTGAAAATAACAAGATGGAGTCTTTGGTCTGAAGGAGATGGCAATTTAGCCTCAATATTCAAAGTGTAGCTCAAGCACCAGCAGCATCAGCATCACCCTGCAGCTTGTTACACAGGCAGAATCTTGGGGCCCAGCTCAGACCTACAGAATCAGAATCTTTATTTTAACAAGCAGGTGATCATAATGCTCACTAGTTTGAGAAGCACTGAACTAGGGCTGGGGTTCTCAAACTTTAGCATGCATCAAAATCAACTGGAAGGACTATTAAAGCACAGTTTGCTGGGTCCCATTCTCAGAGATTCTGATCCAGTAAATCTGGGATGTGACCCAGGAATCTGCATTTGTAATAGGCTCTCCAGTAGGTTATACTAACATTGCTGATCCAGAGGCCATATTTGGGGAACCAATAGACTAAGTAATGCAAACTCTGTTACAGCCGTGTAGTTCCACACTTCCCCTTTTTTAATTTTAATAAGAAAACTTCTCTGTTTCCGTCGTCTGGCTCTTATATTTTATTTCATTCTGTACTATGTAACATGTCAGCTAGAATTGCCTCTTGACAATGTTTCTTTCTGTCAGTTCATAACTGAGATTTAATTATAAGGTTAAACCCCAGGATGGATGCCCTATACAGAAGGGATGTCCTACCATCAGACTACTTATAAGTAGATCTTCATCTGTCCTACATAGTACTTTAATCACAGAGGTCTGTGTCCTATTTTATATGACTCTTTCAGCTATAGATGATTAGATGAGGGCAGGTCATGAGGCTCAAGGAAACCAGGCTATATATCAAGCTGGACAGCAGCTAATGGAAACATAGTCTTTAAAAAAAAAAAAAAACCCTGTCTAAATAATGAGAATGCAATGACTAGTTGGACTTACTAAATTCTTTTACTCGGAAATTTAAACTGGCTATATAAGAAGTGAGTTTTTTAGGTAGCCAAAGCACAGGTTAAAAGACGTACATTGAGAATGCAGTTAGTTGAGCAAAATCTGCTATGGTAGGAACATATTCATAAAGTGATAGAATCATTCTGAATAGAACTGGTGTTTTGGTGAACAAAACATCCTGGAGGTTATTAATACTTTCAGTCAAATATTTATTCTGGAAGTAGGTAGATTGTACTGCTTGGTTCCCTCTTGGTTGGATGGGGTGTGTGTGTGAGTGTGTGTGTATGTCTAAATCCTGGGAAAAAAAGGTGAGGGGCACACACAAACAGAATAACAGAAGAATACTTTAATAATGAGATTATTGCTAAGTTGCGGCAGGATTTAAAGAACCCAATAAATGACAGTGCAGAATCCTAGAGCCAGCAAGAGGAAAGAGCTGCCATCCCTAGGCTTGAAGAGACAAGGGAAGGGAGTGGTTATATGGTTTATAGAACCCAGAGAGGGTAGCTGTACAGAGAAGGCTGACTGATTGGAAGAGGAGCACAGCCAATCCATTGTGACCCAGAATGGAGGAAACTGGGACAATAAAAATTCAATCTGCCTTCCCTGTGCCTTCCAATCTCCTACAGATGCTTCTATTGGTTGAACCCAACTTGAAGTCTTAAGATAAGGAAGCAGCCTCCCAGGACACAGAATAGCATGGGGAAGTGTGCAGTGTGTGTCCGAAAAGGTAAATGAAAATATTTAGTATAAGTGTGGCAGAGAGGCTAGTTCTCCCCAGTGACTAGGCAAAAGCAATCTATGTCATTTACTGGCAGAGAATTTGTTTACTGATCAGAGACCCCTTTAATGTTCAGAAATGCTTTGAATTTTAGCTCTTTTTTTCAGCCTGGGTTTTAGAATAAGGATGACCAAACAGAGTTTTCAGTTGACTCTTGGTGAGCATATACTACAAATGAGAAAAAAAAACACATAAGATCTTAAGACCCTACATTAAAAAATTATCACAACAAAACTTAACCTATACTGTTGATACAGATGGTGTTACCTATAATTGGCATATTATCATAAGCAAACAGTAAAACATCTGTCATTACTTTAGGGAACAGATAGAAAAATGTCAGAGAACTGATATTTGAAGCTAGAAGGGTGACAATTCATATTATTTGGTGATGAAATACATGATAAAACTTGATCTACGTGTTTTCATTCACTTTAAATGCAGATAGTGTACCAAATGAACTTGTAAGTCTAGGGAAAGAGATTGGTACAGAACAGTTATCCAGATGGCCTTGAACAGACCCTGTTCCCTCTCTCTTTCTTGCTTATAGTACTCCCAGAATGTGCTGGGAATGCAACATTCTCAGATAGGGAGGGAGGTACTGGCCAGAACAGCTAGGTTCTGTTCCAGTCACCAGCCTAGAAACAAGATGTTTTTCAATGCTTCAGCCCAGCAACTCCTCTTACCCCAGAGTATAAAACCCAGGGCAGGCTGCTTTCTGAAGTCTCTCAGCTGTGGTACAAGTGTGCAACTTTTAGACAAGACTCCACCTCCCTTCTAAGCTGTAGGGGGACTAGTTTGCAATAAATCATAGGCTTCTGTTGTCCCTTGCTACCTATCTGTAAATAATAAATCAGCTCCGTGTGACTTGTGGCCATGAGTATATTCTCACTCACTGGATTCACACAAGTTAGTAATCAGTGCAGAGTGAGCCTGCTTCACAACTGGAAAACAAAAAATTAGAAAAATGTGTGAGCTACTATTGATAGTTGACAAGGAGAAAGAAAGCGAGACAGAGGGGCTCAGAAAAGAATTAGCTAACTTGCAAGCTGGAATTAAAGAGAATAGTTTGTAATTTTAGCTACAGAGCCTTGTAAGCGGCAGATGATTATCATCCTCAACTGGTGAAAGGGAAAACCAAGATAACTTTTTACAAATAAGGGTCAATTAGAATGAATCCTCGTGACAAGCTTCAAACACGTGGCTGCCACGTTCATTGTGAAATCTCAGAATGGATTGAACTATCTTCAGGTACAGACTCAAATAAGCCTATGATATCCAGGAAATCTATTGATTTGAACAAAATGGCTAAAGAAAAAGAAACTAAACATATATCTCGCCAGCCAAAATCTGAAAGGGTCAAGTATTTACAATTAAGACAGGAAGAAAAAGATTAGGATGGAATATAAGTTAACAAAGAAAATAATAAGTCTAAACAAGTATAACTAGAAAATAACTGTGGGTGTGGTTATTTGCATATGAAGCTGACTTAAATAGGTGAGATGTCTACAAAGTTTTAAGGAGAGTTTTACTGCCAAAATAACCATAAGCTTGGGTTAAAAATCTTGTGATTTGGGGGAGTGTGATTGTACTTATTCTGTCCTTGTTCCAGGGCTGGATATTGGATAGAGGGTTTGATGAGAACTTTTTAGTTCATTGGTCTTCAAATCAAAAGGCGTTAGGGATACACTTGATGTAAAGACAACTGTGCATAACATTCTAGAAAAAATAAAAAACTAATCAACAACATCGGAGATACTGGGTTTACGCTTGATGCCACGACCAGATGGCATCTTATATCTAACTCCCTAGAAGAGAGGGTGACCACATCATTTCTGCAGGAGAAGGAGAAGGTACTTGAGGAACAGCATGTTGAACCGTAGTATTCATTAGTAATATTTAGCAAAATATTTCTGGCTCTCTTTCTTCTGGGCACTCGATAACTTCTCAGGATTGGAATGCCTGACTCTGTATTTGAATGGGGGCCATATGACTACTTCTGACCAATGAGTGGGGAAAAAAAGTGATGCATGAAAGTTCTTCACTGGAATATTTAATTGCTGATACAAGATCCTCCAAAGCTCTTCAGTTCTGCCTCCGGGTCCAGCAGTATTCCAGAGGGTTGCTCTTTATTCTAGCTCCAGTGTATGAACAATCCAGAACAAAGAACCACCTTGATTCACAATAGACACATCATATGAGGCAGAAAGTATCATATGGTATTTTAATTCTGTGAAATTTGGGAGATTGTCTTTTATCTCAGTATGATTTAGCTCTTCCTGACTGATACAAACATAGATACTGTTTCTTGTGGGAAAGTCAGCTTGGAGTGGAATATTCTTTGTGAAAAAATTGCTTTTCATCACCATATATTTAAGGGTGAGCAAGAAATTTACCGACCATGACTTGTTATAGGTTATGTAAATCTCTTTTCAGATTATGACTCCATAGAGTTTTAAACTGAAATTTGCTGTTTCCATTCCCTAGGTGAATGTGGCATAGAGGGAGGCATATAATGTTGTTTTTAAAATTGACTCGCATAGATGCTTATAGCTGACAGTGGCTCTTACGTTTCACTTTGATATTTTGGATAAATATGTCACTGGATAAAATGCAGTTGATTTGGCTCTGGAGCTCTTCTTGTAAAAATGTTTACCATGTAAAGGTACAGTACAATGAATGTAGACATTTTTATACGGGCATCAACAGCAAATGAATATGATTTGGAATGTTTGCCTATTTCTTTTGTAGTAGTAGCTCTCTCCAAGAGATGTTCCTTTACATAGAGCCAAAATAATAGGATGTCTCAAGGTTAAAGCATTCATCTTCCTCAACTAGAGCACAAATGAAGTAGATTTCTATATCCTATACAAGCACTCTCAAAGCTTTGCTATTGCTTCATCTCTATTCATGAGAATTTTAAGAGACAAATTCTGGAAAGAAGGTATCTCTCTTTACATTGTCTTCTTGAAGGCTTTAAGTCTCCTTAGAATGCAGGACAGAATAAATAGCATTTCAAACACTGCATCTGTGTGTAGTTGGGGGGAAGAAAAAGCATTTTATTTCACTGTAAATTGTCCTAGAAGGAAATGAAGCCTGCTAAAATAATATTTGCAACTAAACTATGACAAAAAGAAAAATGATACTATTTTTCTAGGCTTTATCATTGTAATTTTTCTGTGACTGCTATTATACTGAGATTCCTGCAGAAATGGCATAATTGGCCAATATATTTTAGGTGTAGGTGGAATAATTTTGTAGAAATTATTTGGGTACTGCTGCAAAATAATTTAGTTGTTAACTTTCTTTTATTTTCTCATTTTAGCATGTCTCAGCTCCTGACAAACTCTTTAAACCCTGTACAACCAGAAAAAATAAATATAATATGGCAGGGAGTTTAATAATAAAATTTGTAAGAAGCAGACATTGATTTATCCAAGTATTTATCCTATTAATTTTGGGGGGTAACAATAAAGGGTAATACAGATTTTCATATCCTTTGATCGACATTCACATGTTTGGAATTATAAATACTGTTAGATGTTGCAAGTAATTACTTAGAAATATTAAATATTTTAAATTATTAGCATACTAGATTTCTAATAAAAAACATAAAACAAAAGTATTGTTGGTCTAACAACCATGTCTTTCAGCAGTAGGCACTTAAAATTTTATAGTTTTAGTAGGTAAAATAATACTAACTTAAAGTGAAATCGATCTAAAAAATAAAACATATCTATACTGACTAAACTGAAGGAATATCATAATATACTATTTTTTCCCTTTACCTTTAGCTGACACATAGTGATTGAACATATTTATGGGATACATGGTAATATTTCAATACATATATGCAATACATAATGATCAAATCAGGGTAATTTGCATGTTCAGCACCTCAAACATTTATTATTTTTATTTCTTTGTGTTGAGAACATTCAAAATCTTCTCTTCCAGTTTTTGAGTGTATATAATAAATTATAGTTAATTATATTCACCCTACAGTGCTACAGAACAACAGAATTCATTCCTCTTATCTGTCTGTAACTTTGTATTTGTTAACCAACCTCTCTCCATTCTCTTACCCTCTACACTTCCCAGCTTCTAATATCCATAATTGTACTCCTACTACTATGCTTAGTTTTATTTTCACTTTCATATGAGTGAGAACATGTGGTGTTTTTCTTTCTGTGCCTGACTTATTTTGCTTAACATAATGTCCCCCAGGCTCATCCATGTTGCTGCAAATTACAGGATTTTATTCTCTTTTATGAATGCAGAGTATTTCGCTGTGTGTATATACCGCATTTTATTTTTTCATTTGTCTATTGATGGACATTTATGTTGATTCCATATCTATCCCAGCTATTGTGAAGAGAGTTGCAATAAACATGGAGGTCAGCTATCCTTTTGATATGCTGATTGTATAATATACATAAACCTTTAAAAGCAAAATTCAGGTTTTTAAAAAGCAAAATTCAATATTTGCAAAAGTAACAAATGTATAGGCATACATATAACTACTAGAGGTATATATGATATATGAGATGTTTTTATGTACAGCAATAAAGGGACTGCATCAAGGTAGTGTATATCCAGGTATATGTGTATAGATTAACTATATACATTAACTTTTTAAATAATTCTCTTTACAGTTTTACTTGTTACCACAAGCATGTAATACCTTTGCAATTAAGAATAAATAAGTAATAAAGAAAACACATGCAACTATGAAACAGAGAGCATAAGTGGAAAGATCAAGTATGCCCTACTGTGTTTGTGTTTGAAGTGTGCCTGCTTTCTTTCCATTTTTTCTCAATAGGCATAATTAAAATTAGTATCTATAATATTAATTGAAATACAATCTTATAAATTACAGGTTTTACCTCATTCTTATTAATCAAAATGAACTTACTAAATACATTCCCATACATCAATTTTTTCACATTATAAATTATTTTATATCTAAAATGAGTTTTAAAATGCTCTTATACAGAGAATATATTATCTTTGTCTTCTTAAGCTGTGATAACTTTTTAAATTCAATGTAGCCTCTCTACACCATGAATGATTTTTATTTTTGCCCTTTAAAAGAGAAGTTTGAGTTACAAATATTTTGAAAAGTGGTTCAGCTGTCTAAATAATAGTAATGAATTTTCCCCAGCAATTTTGCTTTTTTGAATTTAATCATGCTCTAAGACACACTTAATTTGTGGATTATAGCTTTGAACAATACAATCACCAGCACATTTACAGACTGCTGTGGACATTATTTAAAAGTCAAAGAAAGAGAAGGTCAGCAGAAATGCTGCACTCAGTATCAGTGAAGAATACATGATCAATAGTCAAGACTGTTTACAAACATGTTCATATATTTTTAAATTCATTTACTTAACAAATGTTTATTGCATGCCTACTATGTTTCACATACTGACTGTGCTAGAATTTAGTCTTATACGGATGAGCCAGTGCAGATTTGTCCTGTCCTCACAGAGCTTTTAAGAATAAATGGGACTGGAAACCATCATTCTCAGCAAACTATCGCAAGGACAAAAAACCAAACACCGTATGTTCTCACTCATAGGTGGGAATTGAACAATGAGAACACATGGACACAGGAAGGGGAACATCACACACCGAGGACTGCTGTGGGGAGTGGTGAGGGATAGCATTAGGATATATACCTAATGTTAAATGACAAGTTAATGGGTGCAACACACCAACATGGCACATGTATACATATGTAACAAACCTGCATGTCGTGCACATGTACCCTAAAACTTAAAGTATAATTAAAAAAAAAAAAAAAGAGTAAATGGGCTGGGCCAAGATGGCCGATTAGAAGCAGCTGCAGTCTGCAGAACTCACAGAGAGGAACAAAAGTGGTGAGTGAATACAGCACCTTCAACTGAAATATCCAGGTACTCACATTGGAACTGATTAGTAAAACAAGTTGATCCTCCGAGAATGTGTTGCGGGAAGTCAGGGACCCTGAACAGAGGGACCTGCTTAAGCCATGACAGAAGAATATAAATTGTGAAGATTTCATGGACATTTGTTAGTTCTCCAAATTAATACTTTTATTATTTCTTACGCCTGTCTTTACTGCAATCTCTGAACACAAATTGTGAAGATTTCATGGACATTTATCACTTCCCTAATCAATACTCTTATAATTTCCTATGCCTATCTTTACTTTAATCTCTTAATCCCGTCATCTTCGTAAGCTGAGGATGTATGTCGCCTCAGGACACTGTGATGATTGCGTTAACTACACAAATTGTTTGTAAAGCATCTGTGTTTAAACAATATGAAATCTGGGCACCTTGAAAAAAGAACAGGATAACAGTGATGTTCAGGGAACAAGGGAGATAACCACTGGGCCTGACTGCCTGAGGGGCCAAGCAGGACAGAGCCGTATTTCTCTTATTACCAAAAATGGGTAAGAGAAATATCGCTGAATTCTTTCCCCAGTAAGGAATATTAATAATTAACAACCCTGGGAAAAGAATGCATTCCCGGGGGGTCCTCTAAAATAGCTGCTCTCGGGGGTGTCTGCCTTATGCAGTTGCAGATAAGGGATGAAACAGGCCCTGGCCTCCTGCATCGCACCCAGGCTTGCTAGGATTAGGAAATTCTCTGGCAAATTCTAGTCAGACCGGTTCTCTGCTCTTGAACTCTGTTAAGATGTTTATCAATGACAGTGCATGCACAGCAGGACATGAAACTTCATTAGTAATTCTAGTTTCACACTGACCTTGTGATCTCACCCTGACCTTCTGCCTTGTGATATTTTGTTGCCCTTGAAGCGTGTGATCTCTGTGACCCACACCCTATTCCTACACTCCCTCCCGTTTAAAAATCGCTAATAAAAACTTGCTGGTTTTATGGCTCAGCGGGCATCACGGAACCTGCCGACATGTGATGTCTCCCCCGGACACCCAGTTTTAAAATTTCTCTCTTTTATACTCTTTCCCATTATTTCTCAGACAGGCCAACACTTAGGGGAAATAGAAAAGAACCTACGTTGAATTATTGGGGGCTGGTTCCCCAGAACCAGAAAAGAAAAGCAGGGTGGGGTGATGGCCCACCCAGGAGCTACATGGAGCCAAGAGAACCCCCTACTTCCAGTCATGGGAAGGAGTAAGTGATTGTACAACCCTGGGAAACCACACTTCTCCCATGGATCTTTGCAACCCATGGATCTGGAGATACCCTTGTGAGCCCACATCACCACAGCCTTGGATCCAACACACAGAGCTGTCTGGAGTCTTGGCAGAGCAGCTGCTCAGGAACACACAGAGACCCATTATCTTTACATACTCTGGCCCCTGTTACTCCCAACAAATGTGTCTGCAACTCAGGGAAGGCTGGAGGTCTCCACATACCCCTGGGAAGGGGGCTAAGTCCAGGGAGTCAAGCAGCATTGTTCTGTGGGCCCTACTTCCATAGCACTTCACAAGATAAGACCCAGTGGTTTGGAATTCCAGCCAGCCACAAGCAACAGGGTGGAGCCTGCCTGAGACAGAACAGAGGTCCCAGGGGGAGGGCTAGGCACCATCTCTGCTGTTTGGTAGAATCAGCTGAATTGGTCAAATTTTTGCCTGAGGGTTTTGGAGAGCCCGGAGTCCAGATAAGGAAGAGTCCCCCCGAAGCACAGCACAGCAGCTTTGCCAGATCATGGCTAGCATGCTTCTTCAAGCACAACCCAGATCTACTTCTCGTCACCAGGGTGGGTCCTCCCAGCCTGCACTTCCAGCCACCTCTAATTGTATTCTAGAGCCAGCAGTGCCCTAATTTCTCACTGGGATGGAGTGCCTGTGGAGTGGAGCAGACTGCTGCCACGTTGACCATTCAGGCTTCTAAGCTGGTCCAACCTGTGGTCCTTGGAGAGCCCAAAGCAATCAGGGGCTGAAGGGATCATCAACAGAGCACAGCAGCTCCTCCAAAAAGCAGCCAGACTACTTCTTTAACAGGTTTTGGATTCCATTCCTTTTGACTGGGTGAGAGCTGCCAACTGGGGTCTCCAGCCATCTCCTACAGGTGCATTCAGGCTGGCAATAAGTCAGCACCCCTGGGACAGAGCTTCCAGAAGAAGGGGTAGACTACCATCTTTGCTGTTTCACAGCCTTCACTGGTGATACTTCCAAGTATGGGAAAAAACCAAGGCAACTAGGATCTGGAGTAGACCCCCAAAAAACCACAACAGTCCTACAGAAGAGTGGCCAGAGTGTTAAAAGATAAAGAAACAAACAGAAAATAAGAACAACAACAACAACAAACCGCAAAACTCCCATTCAAAGGTCAGCAACCCCAAAGATTGAAAGTAGATAAGTCCACAAAGATGAGAAAGACTCAATGCAAAAATGCTTTAAACTCAAAAGGCCAGAGTGCCTCTTTCCCTCCAAATGACCACAACATCTCCCTAGCAAAAACTCAAAATTGGACTGAGGCTGAGAGGGCTGAAATGACAGGGGTAGGCTCCAGGATGTGGATAACAATGAACTTTGCTGAGGTAAAAGAGCATGTTACAACCCGATGAAAAGAAGCTAAGAATCATAATAAAACAATACAGGGGCTGACAGACAAAATAGCCAGCTTAGAGAGCAATATAACCAACCTGTTAGAGCTGAAAAACACACTACAGAAGTTTCACAATGGAATCACAAGTATTAATAGCAGAATAGAACAAGTGGAGGAAAGAATCTCAGAGTTTGAAGACTAGCTTGCTGAAATAAGACAGACAGACAAGATTAGAGAAAAAAGAATGAAAAAAACCTCTGAGAAATATGAGATTATGTAAAGAGACTGAATCTATGACTCATTGCGGTACCTGAAAGAGATGGGGAGAATAGAACCAAGTTGAAATATATACTTCAGGATATCATCCAGGAGAACTTCCCCAACTTAGCAACACAGGCCAACATTCAAATTCAGAAAATGCAGAAAACCCCAGTAAGATACTCTATAAGAAGATCAACCTCAAGACACATAATCATCAAACTCTCCAAGGTCAATATGAAAGAAAAAAATATGTTAATGGCAGCCAGAGAGAAAGGCTAGGTCACCTGCAAAGGGAAGCCCATCAGACTAACAGCAGACTTCTCAGCAGAAACCCTACAAGCCAGAAGATATTGGAAGCTAATACCCAACATTCTTAAAGAAAAGAATTTCATACCCAGAATTTTTTATCCAGCAAAACTTAGCTTCATAAGCAAAGGAGAATAAAAGAACCTTTTCAGACATGTAAATGCTGAGGAAATTTCTTACCACCCAAACTGTGTCTCAAGAGCTCCTGAAAGAAGTGTTAAATAGGAAAAGGAAAACTATTACCAGTCACTACAAAAACACATTCAAGGACACAGACAAGTAACACTATGAAGCAACCACATAGACAAGTCTGCAAAATAACCAGATAGCATCATGATGACAGAATCAAATCCACACATAACAATAATCTTAAATATAAATGGGCTAAATGCCTCAATTAAAAGTCACAGAATAGCAAGCTGAATAAAGAGCCAAGACCCATCTGTATGCTGTCTGAAAAAGACTCATCTCATACGTGAAGACACACATAGGCTCAAAATAAAAGGATGGAGGAAAATTTACCAAGCAAATGGAAAAACAAAAGCACGGGTTGCAATCCTAGTTTTTGACAAAACAGACTTTAACCAACAAAGATAAAAAATAGAAAGAAGGGCATGTCATAATGATAAATAGTTTAATTCAACAAGAAGAGCTAACTATCAAAAATAGATATGCACCCAATACAGAAAAACACAGATTCATAAAGTAAGTTCTTAGAGACTTTCAAAGAGACTTCAACTCCCACACAATAATGGTGAGAGACTTTAACACCTCACTGACGATATTAGATCATCAAGACAGAAAATTTACAAAGACATTAAGGACCTGAACTCAGCTCTGGGGCAAGGGAACCTTAATGATATCTAGAAAACTCTCCACTCCAAAACAACAAAATATACATTCTTCTCATTGCCACATAGCACTCACTCTAAAATTGATCACATAATCAGAAGTAAAATATTTCTCAGCAAATGCAAAAGAATTGAAATAATAACAAAAAGTTTCTTGGACCACAAAGCAATCAAATTAGAACTCAAGATTTGAAAATTCACTCAAAACCACACAACTAAATGGAAATTGAACAACCTTGTCCTGAATGACTCTTGGGTAAATAATTAAATTAAGGCAGAAATCAAGAAGGTCTTTGAAACTAATGAGGACAAAGAGACAATATACTAGAATCTCTGGAATGCAGCTAAAGCAATGTTAAGAGGGAAGTTTATAGCACTAAACACCCACATCAGAAAGCTAGAAAGATTTCAAGTTAACAACTTAACATCACCACTAAAAGAACCAGAGAACCAAGAGCAAACAAACCCCAAAGCTAGTAGAAGAGAAGAAATAACCAAGATCAGAGCTAAACTGAAGGAGATAGAGACATGAAAAACTCATTAAAAAATCAATGATTCAAGGAGCTGGTTTTTTGAAAAAAGTTAATAAAATAGAAACACTGCTAGCTACCCTAATGAAGAATAAAAGAGAGAAGATTCAAATAAATACAATCAAGAATGATAAGAGGAATATTACCACTGACCCCACAGAAATACAAACAACCATCAGAGAATATTATAAACAACTCTATGCACATAAATTACAAAATCTAGAAAAAAATGGATAAATTCCTGGACATGTACACCCTCCCAAAAATGAACCAGGAAGAAATTACATTCCTGAATGGACCAATAATGAGTTCTGAAATTCAAGCAGTAATAAATAGCCTACCAACCAAAAAAAAGCCCAGGACCAGATGGATTCAAGCTGAATTCTACCAGAGGTACAAAGAAGAGCTGCTACCATTCCTACTAAAACTATTTCAAAACATTGAAAAGGAGGGACTCCTCCCTTACTCATTCTATGCAGCCAGCATCATACTGATACCAAAACCTTGCAGACATACAGTAAAAAAGAGAAAATTTCAAGCTAATATCCTTGATGAACATTGATGCAAAAATCTTCAACAAAATACTGGCAAACCAAATCTAGCAGCACATCATAAATCTTAGCCACCATGAGCAAGCAGGCTTCCTTCCTGCAATGCAAGGTCTGTTCACCATAAGCAAATCAATAAATGTGGTTCATCACATAAACAGAACTAAAGACAAAAACATCATCATTATCTCAAAAGATGAAAAAAGGGCCTTCAGTAAAATTGAACATCCTTTCATGTTAAAAACTCTCAATAAACTCAGTATTGAAGGAACATATCTCAAAATAATAAGAGCCATCTATGACAACCCCACAGCCATCATCATACTGAATGGGCAGATGCTGGAAATGTTCCCCTTAAAAACTGGCACAAGACAAGGATGCCCTCTCTCACCACTGCTCTTCAACAGAATATTGGAAGTTCTGGCTAGGGCAATCAGGCAAGAGAAAGAAGTAAAGGGTATTCAAGTAGGAAGAGAGGAAGTCAAACTATCTTTGTTTGCAGATGATAAGATCCTATATCTAGAAAATCCCATCGTCTCAGCCCAAATCTTCTTAAGCTGATAAGCAACTTCAGCAAAATCTCAGAATACAAAATCAATGTGCAAAATCTCAGAATACAAAATCAATTATCATTCCTATACAACAACAACAGGCAAGCAGAGAGGCAAATTATAAATTAACTTCCATTCACAATTTCCACAAAAATAATAAAATGCCTAGGAATACAGCTAACAAGGGAAGTGAAGGACCTCTTCAAGGAGAACTACAAACTGCTGCTGAAAGAAATCAGAAAGGACACAAAGAAATGGAAAAACATTCTATGCTCATGGATAGGCAGAATCAATATAGTGAAAATGGCCATATTGCCAAAGCAATTTATAGATTCAATGACATTCCCATTAAACTATCATCATTGATATTATTCACAGAATTAGCAAAAACTATTTTAAAATTCATATGCAACCAAAAAGGAGCTCGAATAGCCAAGACAACTGTAAGCAAAAAGAGCAAGGCTACAGGCATCACTCTACCCAACTTCAAACTATGCAAGGCTACAGTAACCAAAACAGCATGGTACTGGTACAAGAACAGACACATAGACCAATGGAAAAGGATAGGGAATCCAGAAATAAAACCACACACCTACAACTATCTGATCTTCAACAAATTTGACAAAAACAAGGAATGGAGAAATGATTATTTAATAAATAGTGCTGGGAGAACTGGCTAGCCATACTCATAAAATTGAAACCGGATCCCTTCCTTACACCATATCCAAAATCAACTCAAGATGGATTAAAGACTTAAATGTATAACCCAAAACTATAAAAACCCTATAAAAAACATTTGGCAATACCACTCAGGACATATGCACAGGTGAAGATTTCATGATGGAGATGCCAAAAGTAATTGCAATAAAAGCAAAAATTGACAAATGGGATCCAACTTAACTAAAGCGTTTCTGTACAGCAAAAGAAAATATCATCAGAGTGAACAGACAACCTACAGAACGGGAGAAAATTTTTGTAATCCATCCATCTGACAGAGGTCTAATATCCAGCATCTATAAGGAACTTAAACAAATCTACCAGAAAAGTACAAACAACCCTGTTAAAACCTGGGCAAAGAACGTGAACAGACACTTTTCAAAAGAAGGTATACATGTGGCCAACAAATACATGAAAACAAGCTCAACATCACTGATCATTAGAGAAAAGCAAACCTAAACCACAATGAGATACCATCTCACACCAGTCAGAATGGCTATTATCAAAGTGTCAAAAAATAACAGATGCTGGAGAGGTTTCAGAGAAAAAGAAACACATACCATCTTTGGGAGTGCAAATTAGTCCAACCATTATAGAAAACAGTGTGGCAATTCCTCAAAGACCTAAAAATAGAACTACCATTCAACTCAGCAATCCCATTACTGAGTATATACATCCAAGGGAATATAAATCATTCTATTATAAGGACACATGCACGCGTATGTTCATTGCAGCACTATTCACAATAGCAAAGACATGGAATCAACCTAAATGCCCATCAATGATAGATCAGATAAAGAAAATGCGGTATGTATACACCATGGAATACTATGTGATCATAAAACGGAATGAGATCATGTCATTTGCAGGACATGATTGGAGCTAGAAGCCATTATCTTCAGCAGACTAACACAGGAACAGAAAACCAAATACTGCATGTTCTCACTTATAAGTGGGAGCTGAATGATGAGAATACATGGATACATGGGGCGGAATGACACATACTGGGGCCTGTCAGAGGGTAGGGGGTAGAAGAAGAGAGAGCATCAGGAAGAGTAGCTGATTGATGCTGGGCTAAATATCTAGGTGATGGGATGATCTGTGCAGCAAACCACCATGACACACATTTACCTTTGTAAAAAACCTGCACATCCTGCACATGTACCCTTGAATTTAAAATAAAAAATTGGAAAGAAAAGAATTAATGAAATATCACAGAAGCTTTTTCCTTTGACCACTATTTTACTGATATCACTGAATGTCTGATACTCTCCATTACTCTATAAAACTTACTGTGGCACAAGCCATGGCTAAGTAGTTGGTAAGAGTAGGCTACTCACTAATATGATCACTTCCTTTTATTCCCTCCCATTGAATTATGTACTTATCAGTTGAGTTTGCTTTTAAACCCATTTATTCCAGTTGTACTTGTTATTGTAATTATGTAATTTAATTAACTATAACTTGAACTAACACAATGTGATTGCAAATAGAAAAGTATTCCTTTGAATCTAAGAATGATGTTTTGGAAAGAATTGGTAAAAGTGAATTACTGGGAATAGCCACAAAGACCTAGTATTAAAGATCAGAAAACAAATCTATCTTTGAGCGTAAATGATTTTTGAGTCAATATATGTGGGGCATGTGGGGCAATTACAGGAAGGAAATATTTGGGGCAGAAGCGGATGGAGAATCTTTCTTAAAAAGAAAGAATAACATGTGAAACACCTCTATGCAGAAAAAGTTCTATGGCATTTTTGTGAGAAGGCTAGAGAAATAAAAGAAAGTGAGGGGAAAAGGAGTAAAAAATAATGCATTAGAGTAGGAAGGATCCAGATCATGCATTAACTTGAAGGCCACATTAAAGACTTTGGTTTTTGACCTAAGGACACTGGGAAGCCTTTGAAAGTCACAACATGACATGATTGGACCTGCCTGTTAAACAGACTGGCTATGTAATGCTAGAATGCGGAACAACTGTGGGAAGAAAAAGTGGGGGTGGAGCAACTGGTTAGAAGTCTGAAGAATCCAGGTAGAAGGTGAAAGACTAGGTTGCTTGTGATTAGGTGCAAAAGAGGCAGACATATTCAAGAGATTTGGGAGAATGAGTATTTAGTTGCCTTATACCATATACAGACACATTCACCTCCCTACCCCTCCATGTATTAATAGAGTTATAAAAATTTTAAAATCAATATTTAATGTTTTCACTATTATATGTAAATGTTGACCTTCACAACTGAGCAATGTAGCATACTATAGTTCTTTTATTATGCAACTTTTGTTCTCTTTGGTGTCAATAATTTTTTATATACTTAATTGTTTCAATAACTACAACTAATTTATTGTTGTGATCTCGTCCAAAGCTGTATAAACTTCCTCAGTCAGCTCAAAATACATCAGGTAACTTAGTGTCAATATCTTCTTTTGAAGACCTCTTATTGGTCTCCTCCAATATATAGTAATTGCTAAGTAGTCCTATAACACAGCTGTTGTTATATTCTCCCTTTACTCTCATTTTAGAAACTCATTTTACTTTCCTCCTATGTTATTACATCTGTGTTTTCTTTTTTGTTGTTGTTAATGTTCTTATTTGAAGAACTCTAATGTCCAGCAGCCCCTGAGAAATTATGTATAGAGAAGAATACTTTAGCAAATTTGCATATCTGAAAATGCCTTTATTCTAACCTCACAATTCATTGATATTTTGGCTGGATATAAAATTATAAGTTGGAAATAGTTTACGTATTAGACATAAAATCATAGGTTTAAAATTTTGAAGGCATTTATTTTTGTTTTTTCAGCTTCTAATATTGCAAGCAAAAAATCTGATTTCTGGTACTTTGACGTACCTTCATGTATTTTTTTTCCTACAAACTTTTTTATGATGATTCATTTTATGTATCAACTCAACCAGGTTAAGGAATGCCCAGATAGCTGGTAAAACATTATTTTTGCATGTGTCTATGAGGGCGTTTCCAGAATAAATTAGTATTTGTTTCAGTATACTGAGTAAAGAAGGTCCACCCTCAATGCAGGTGGGCATCAATCAATCCATGTAAAGCCTGCATAGCACAGAAAGGTGGACAAAGGAAGAAATCTTTCTCTCTTCTTCGACTGAGAAATCCATTTTCTCCTGGCCTAGACACGCAGCTCCTGATTCTTAGGCCTGTGGACTCTGAGAGTGAATACCAGTGGTTTTCCTGGTTCCCTACCTGTAGACAGTAGACTGTGGGACTTCTCAGCCTCCATAATTAAGTGAGCCAATTCTCCTGATAAATCTCCTCTTCTATGTCTACATATATCCTATTGTTTCTGTTTTCCTGAAGAACCCTATTACACTTTTATTTCTTTTTGTCTTAAAATTTCAAAATAATACGCATGTTATAGGTATTTTTATTTCTTTTCTAGGTATTTCACAGACCCTCTCAATCTAGAAATGTTTGTTTGTAAGTTTTAGAAATTTTATTTTCTGTCCTTCATACTTTCTTCCTTTGGATTTCTCTAGTCTCATCTTTTGGGACTCCTATTGTTCAGAAAATTTAGTCCCCCTAATTTGATTCACTTATTTTCTCAGAGTTTTTCATTTCATATTTCTTTTTTCTTTTTGGTCTGTTTTCTGGGAGATGTACACTATATTGTCTTCCATATGGTTTCTTAATGTTTTAAATATGCCTGTTTTATTTTTAATATGCAGAAACCCTACCTTGTTGCCTAAATAACTTTCTTAAATGTCAACATATTTTGTATGTTCTAGGAAGTAATGTTATTGTCTTTTGTCTCTCTATGAATATTGACTTCAGATTTATTTATTTATTGTCTTTTTCTGCCCCCAGCATAGCATTATCTCTGCTTCCACCATTTTTTCTGCTTTTCCTCCCAAATTAGAGATGTTTAAAGTGTATGATGATTTTTTTTTGTCCTGTACTTAATTTGGATGAAAGCATTTATGAGCTGGGAGCTATCTGTTTTATGAGATTAGGAGTGTGGACTGACGGGCTTTACTCTAGGGCTACAGCAAGACAAACTGGCCTTTTCTTTGGGTAGTTATAAATCTTTTCTTTGGCAACTGTCAGTTCTCTCAAATAGAATTCTCCATGATTTTCCCTGAGGCAGGGATTGAGGGAGTGTGGTTTAAATCTCTGTATGACCATTCTTGCTACAAGTTGAGAAAGGCGTAGGAGACAGACTTTTTAATAAGCAGACTTTTCATTTACTCTTCCCTCTATGAGCAGGATAAGCCTGCTTTTCTGTGAATGAAGTGGCTGAATGTAGAACTCTTTGTTTTAACCTCTCCTGATATCAAATAATCCCTGCTGTCTTCTTATGGTGGAAGAGTGGCGGTTGTCCACAGGGTCGCATTATGACTGTTGTGGACACTAAGCATTTTTACCTTCATGGACTCCTTCCTCCATAACATAAAATAAAATATAAAATAAAATTGATATTTTATGACTGTGTTTGTATAAAGACAAATATAACCCAGGTTGTATGATGCTCACTTTTTAGTTCTGACTGTAAAGTAAATTAAAACATTTTTTGTGGGCCCCTAAAATTATCATAGACCCTAGGCACAGTGCCTGATGTAAAAATTGGCCCAGGTCATCTATCTTCCTGCAGTAGGAAAGAAAATCTGGGCATCTAGTTGTTATATTTTTACTAACACTTTCAACTAAATCTATTTTCAGCCCCACTGCCCATACCTCTGCCAAGTCTCTGGTGCCTCCACTCCTTCTAAATTTCTGGGAATGCTGTGGTTTGTTTCTTATTGGCTTCATCCGTGAAGACTATTTATGTTTCTCTGTTCTGGCAAGTCTGTTATCAGCTCTTGTTTCTCAGCATTCCAGTGTCTAAAATTTGATAACATCTGCCCTCTGCTGCCACATCCTCTTTTGCTCTGTTTGTCCTTATTTTATTCATTTACGTTTATTCTAGTGGGTTTTATGTGGGAGTGGAGATAAATAACTTTGCAAAATGTTCCTGTTTTCCCTGAAAGTCAGTTGCAGGGAGAAAACAATGTGATCTGATTGGTGGCCCTGAAGGTGGCATCTTGAAGGTGGGCAAACTATTCACGCTACAGAAAAATCAACTGTTTGATACACAGACTGTTAACTCATCTTCTTATTTTTTAACTCCACATCTTAGTCTCGCTTTTCACGAGGTCCAGAGTCTCTCTAGGATTCTTCTGTGTAAATCATCTCAATCTACAGCTGTGGACACTGCAACTTCCTCTGCACACCTTATCAGTCATCACTCCCCCATCTACTTTCTCACCTCTAGAAATCTGTTAAAAACTCTTTTTTTATTGGTAGCTTTCTCCTCTTTATTTTCTTTGTTATTGTAAATGTATGCCTTATGAAAAATTTGTGCTATGATTTTAATGGTTTCTTGGAAGGAAAAAGAGATAAAATCTTATATTCAGCTCATAATTTTGTAATAGAAGCCCCTGAATAAAAAATTTAAAGTAAGATAATTATAGGTAAAGGAAAATGAGTACAATGAATCAATTCTCAATTATTTCCAGAAAGGCAGAATACTGAGTTTTTGTCAACTTATGATGAGTACATAGGGATAAGTTAACTTGCCCCAGGATTTAAAAATAAGCTTAATCTCTGAGGACTAATGAAACTAGAAAGAGGATGAAGACTATATGGAATTAAACTAGAAATAATAATGAAAAGATAGTTCAGAAAATCCCAAATATTTGAAAATTAAGCAAATACTCCTAAATAACCCTTAGGTAGAAGAAAAGTTCTCAAGAGAAATTTTCAAAAATTTAACTTAATGAAAATCCAACTTATAAAATTTATGGTATGTCACAAAAGCAGTGCCTCAAGTGAAGTATATAGCATTAGATATATATTTTAGAAAATAATAAAGATTTAAAACTATAAGCATTCACTTAATACTAAAGAACGGAGAGAAAATTAAGTCTAAAGCAGGAAAAAAGAAAGAAAATGATGAAACATAGAGTATAAATCAACGCAATTGAAAACAGAAAAAGGACACAGGATATCAATAGAACAAAAGGCCATTCTGTGAGATCCATAAATTGGTTAACTTCTACAAAGACTAAAGAAGTGGAGAGAAATTACCGCTGTCAGAAATGAAAATTACCAGTGTCAGAAATGAAAATGTTACCACCACTGATTTCGTGGACATTACAAGGTTAACAAAAGAATACTACAAATAAATCAGTGCCCACAAATTAGATTACTTGGACAAAATTGATCAATCTGTTGAAAGACAGAAACAACCAAAAATCACAAAAAGGGAAATAGATAAACTAATTAGCTTCATATCCACAAAAGAAATTGAATCAATAATTAATGATATTCCAAAAGAGAAAGTATCAGGTCTAGACGGTTTCATTGGTTTATCCTAGCAAACATTTAAGGAATAAATAAGACTATTTATCAATATATTTTAGGAATAGAAGCAGAGGAAGCACTTCCCAACCTTATGAGATCAGTACTATTCTATTAACAAAACAAGATAAAGACATTACGAGAAAATTACAAACCAATATCCCTCATGAAAGTGGAAGCAAATATCCTCAGCAAAATCAAGTACAACAATGTATAAAAATAATTATACAACACAACCAAGGGAGATTCATTCCAGGAGTGCAAAATTGGTTGAGCATTTGAAAATCAGTTAATGTAACCCACCATATCATGAGGCTCCAAAAGTAAAACCATATGACCTTATCAATTGACATAGAAAAAGTAATTTAAAAATCCAACACCCATTTGTAATAAAAACATTCAGGAAACTCTGAATGGAGGGGAATGTCCCCACTTTGATATAAAGTATATATCTAAGAAGCCTACAGCTAACATGATACTTCACAGTAAGAGATAGGACAAGTCTCCCCTGAAGTCGTGAACAAGGCCAAAATATTATTTAGGCCAGGCACGGTGGCTCACACCTGTAACCCTAACACTTTGGGAGCCTGAGGCAGGATAATTGGATGAACCCAGGAGTTTAAGACCAGCCTGAGTAAAATGGCAAAATCCCGTCTCTTCAAAAAAAAAATTAGCCAGACATGATGGCGTGTGTCTATAGTCTCAGCTACTCAGGAGGCTGAGGTGGGAAGATCACTTGAGCCCAGGAGGTCAAGGCTGTGGTGAGCCATGATCGTGCCAATGCACTCCAGCCTAGGCAACAGAGCAAGACCCTGTCTCAAAAAATATACATATATACTTTGTCACCATCTTTATTCAACAACATACTGGTAGTTGTAGCTAATGCAATAAGACAAGACGAAGAAATGAAAGGTATACTAATTGAAATGGAAGAAATAAAGCTCTTTCTAGATAAATGTACATCTAGAAAGCCTCAAGGAATCTACCAAATGTAAAATCAAAACAAAATGAAACAAAATCCTCCTGGATCTCACAAGTGAGAATGATAAGTTAAGAGGATATAAGGTTAATATGTAAAAGTCAGTTGTTTTTCTCTGTACCAACAATGAAAAAATTTGAAAATTAAAAAAAACCCATTAAGCAGTAATACCACAAAAATGAAGCTTTAAGTATTTTGACTGTTAATTTCCAACAAGATAAACATAAATATTAGAAGTTACATATTACGATATATTAGGAAAGTTATTTCAGGGAACTGATTTATACAATTGTTGGGCTGAGTAGGCAAGTCAAAAAATTCACAGGACAAACCATCAGGAAGGGCAAACTTGAACTCTCAGACATAACCTGAAGCTGCTATCCTTAGGCAGAATTACTACTTCTTTATGGAAGCCTAAATTCTATTCTTATGACTTTTACACTTCTTGACTCAGGTCCACCCAGATTATCTAATAAAAGCTCCCTTTACTTAAGGTCAACTGATTATTAACTTTAATGCCCATAAAATACCTTCATAACATCTAGATTAATCTTTAATTGAATACTAGGGACTGAATCCTAGCCAAGTTGACATATCAAAAACATCATCATAGTCCACCTGTCAATTTGGCACGTATACACATCTTCTTAACTCATCCTGAATTTCTAAATAAAGACAGTAACAAATATTTACTTCTGGCTAATATGATTCATGTATCCAAAACATAATAATCCTGTCCCCAGAAGAGAATGTAACATCACCCTCCTTTATCCTGTAATTTTTTATGCTATAAAGTTAACTATTATAAACGCATATTATGTTAAATTTTAAAGATAAAAGAAGGAAGAAAATGAAATTAGTTGTTAACCCATATACAGATATTTTCATAATAAAAAAGAAAGAAATACTCGTAACTATTGCAGTTCTTTTTTTCTGCACCTGGTCACATGACCATATATAGTATTTATAGCTACTGTCTTTCACTACCCATCTCATTTTCTTTTTACTCTCAGCAAACAATTCAGCTAGTCATTGGTCTTTGCCTGGTGGGGTGATTTAAACCTTCATTCTTGGAGAATATGAGCCACTAGTAGTCCTGTATGAATTGCATTATTATAGTTTTCTATTGACTTTAATCATGGACATGGTACTAATATGAGATGCCTTAAGATACCTCCTGTACAACAGATAAGTTCTTAGTTATATCTATTGTATATAGCAACAAAATTTGCCCTTGGATATCAAGATCACCTACCCAGGCAGTAGAGCAATCCCCATCTTTGCCTGTTGATTCAGAGGTATGAGGAGCACAATGTTGGCAGGTGGCCATCTCAACTTTCAGTGCAGTGGAATTATTGTTGTGGCTCCTCATGGAAGCATACCTCCATTGAGAGCTAAGACTTCTAAACAAGCACATCTTAAGTTTGTAGGGATGGGAAGCAAACATTTTGCTAGTGGATCATCAGTGATAATAGTTTACGGAGTCACTCCCACTAACACCTCTTGATTCCTGGACTTGTGAATCCCAGCTATGGGAGAAACAGTCCTATGCATTTGATGATGATTTAGAACATATGCAGCATCCTGGAGGACCTGCCTCAGCCCCTCAAGGTATTGACACCTGGCATTTTACCTATGTCTTCAAAAGGCCATCCAAATGCTGGCAAGGTATAGAGCACCAGGATCTCTCATTTAGTTTCAGTGGAAAGGCAAAAATGGTACAACCTTTTTGGTAGGCAGTTTGGCAGTTACTTATACAACTAAGCATCATTTAACCACATAATCCAGCAATTGTGCATGTAAGAGTCTACTGAAAAAATTCCTAATGTCTAAAGCTGGAACTATTTGAGCAACAAAATAAAGTGGCATTGGATTATAACCTACAACACAAAATAAATATCCACAAGTACACAGATGTAAATAAATGAGGGAGAAGGGACAAGTCTTCCTTACAGAAGAATTTCAAATAATCTATGTAGGTATTCTGCTCTTAAGTGTGGGCTATGCATAGTGACTTCTTTTCAAAGAACACAGCATAGAAGCAGTATAAAAAAAGAATAACATTTCAGCAGAAAAATCTAACAAAGATTACCTTAGCTAGATGATCAAGTTTAATACCAATAATAATAATCATGTTGATAGTATGTACCCTTGACATAATATTATGAAAATGGCATTTTACCTCTGTGGTCTTCCTCTTCCAAATCCATAGTACTACTCAAATCCTAAGAAAATCATCAGAGAATCCAAATTGAAGGACATTTTACAAAACACCTGATCAGTAATTCTCAAAACTCTCAAGGTTTTCAAAAATAAGAAAAGTCAGAGAAATGATCATAGGTAATAATAGCCTAAGGAAATATAACAACCACAAGTAATTTCATATCCTGGGTAAAATCCTGGGACAGAAAAAGGGCATTAGATAAAAACTAAAAAAAAGAAATGAATAAAGCATGGACTTTTGTTAATGATAATGTATCAATATTGGTTCAGTATTGTGACAAGTGTACTTTACAAATGAAAGATTAGTTAATACAGAGGAAACTGGGTATGGGGAGTAGTTGAATTCTCTGAATTATATTCACAATCTTTTTTTAATTTAAATCTATTCTAAAATAAAAAGATTATTTTAAAAGTAAAAGAAAAGTTAACATGAATAATTTCTGGTGATGATTATTTGGGTATTCATAACATTATTCTCCACTACTGTGTAAAGATGAACAATTCATAGTTAAATTATGGGTATAAAAGGATATGAAAAAATGTAGAAAACTATCTCAAAGAAGTTCAAACAGGAGAGCAGAAAAAGCACTATTAAACATCTTACCTTGTAAATTTTAGACAGTATTGACAAAATATTAGAAGATAAATGAGAGTTGTATGTTTAGTTACATTATATACGTATAGTTGTATATGATTTTATATCTATCGTGTCTATTTTAAATGCTACCTAAAATAGGACAAACTAGACAAACATTACATGTTGCTACCAAATTTGTTTTTTTGCCACTTGCAAATGGTTTAAGTTAGTTCGTTCATTGATTCAGGTGGCTTTTGCTTTTTTTTTTTTTTTTTTTTTTTTTGAGACGGAGTCTCGCTCTGTCGCCCAGACTGTAATGCGGTGGCGCGATCTCGGATCACTGCAAGCTCCGCCTCCCGGGTTCACGCCATTCTCCTGCCTCAGCCTCCACAGTAGCTGGGACTACAGGCCTGTGCCACCACGCCCGGCTAATTTTTTGTATTTTTAGTAGAGACGGGGTTTCACCGTATTAGCCAGGATGGTCTCAATCCCCTGACCTCGTGATCCGTCCGCCTTAGCCTCCCAAAGTCCTGGGATTACAGGCGTGAGCCACCGCGCCCAGCTCAGGTGGCTTTTTATTAATAATCTCTTATATGCCACTTTCAAAATGCTTCAAGTTAGTTTATTCATTGATTCAGGGGACTTTTTATTAACAGTCTCTCATATGCCAGGAATAAGGGATTATTGGTTACCTGATAAGTGAATGATCAAATTCAAAGGTTGAGACTAGCCCTGAAACCAATGGTTCACCCTCTTTCAGAAGTGAGTGTGTGTGTGTATGTGCATGCACGCATGTGTACTGACAGCAGGGTGAAAATCCAGCAAACTGTAAATCTAGAATGTGTCTTTCCATTCTGCTACTGTGGTGCCCAAACCTCTCCCAATATATTCCCATAAATCTGAGTTCAGAGACTGTGTTTGTTTGAGGGATTGTGTTTAGGGATTCTAAGATACATTGTCTCCGCCTTTGGTAGCATTTTTTGGCAGCAGTTGTGTCTCATATGTCTCTAGGTCCTGATGGACAAGCCCACTCTGATTCCAGTTTATACTGTGTGGTCCCACTCTGGTCTCAGGAAACACCACATCCTGTAGCCCAGAAATGACAGTGGCTTCCTGCAACGGCTTATTTCTAGCTTACCTTAGTGATCCTGTAGGTTCTTATATCACCTATGCATTTAGTTTTCTGAATTAAAATATCTATTTTAAATACTTACAGTGGTTTCTGTTTTCCTTGTTAGAATCTGACAAATACAGAAATTAACCAAAAATACTATTGAATTTTTGCATGTTCAATGACTTTGTCCTCTGTTGCCTAAGGTTGCTTTACTCTCATATTATAAATCATTGGCAACAAGGGTGGAACAGTCAGATGATCAGTGCTCCAAAATGGGAAATACATTCAACTTAAAGATTTTACATAAGAGAAACTGCCTGGGAGGAGGGGAGCATGACTTCTTAGTTTAGTGATTCCAGAAGTCATTGTTGAATCTTTTGAATCTTCAAACAAATTTGTTCCCACTATGATGGAAATGAAGACAATTGACAGTATGTTGATGTATGTTGTGTAGGCTTCTTGCTCATTGTAATATATGGATAAGTCATTTATTGTATTCAACTGGTTGTTCTGGAATTTAAGTTGACATTATTTTATTTCACTATTTGAATGATCAAAAAATAGGTTAGCAATTAGGAAAATTGCAGCTCAAGATTACACTAAATCTCCTTCCTCTACTGTTAAAGACTACTTTCCCATTAACTTCAATTCTTCATAAGAAGCCAATGCTTTGAATAAAGCTGTATGATTTCTTTTTTTCTTATTTATTTATTTATTTATTTATTTATTTATTTATTTACTCATTTTTGAGATAGAATCTTGCTCTGTTGCCATGGCTGGAGTGCAGTGGTGTGATCTTTGCACACTGCAGCCTCCATCTCCTGGGTTCAAGCGATTCTCCTGCCTCAGCCTCCCAAGTAGCTGGGACTACAGGTGCCCACCAAAATGCCCAGCTAATTTTTGTATTTTTAGTAAAGATGGGGTTTCAACATGTTGGCCGGGGTGGTCCCAAACTCCTGACCTCCAATGATCCGCCCACCTCAGCTTCCCAAAGTGCTGGAATTACAGGCATGAGCCACCATGCCCAGCCCCTAAAGCTGTATAATTTCTGACATGTACCTTGTCTTTTCTAATCTTTGATTTCTCTCTATATAAAATAATATTATTATAATTTGTATTACTGGTTAAAAATAAAAATTAAATAAGAAGATGTGAAGCTTTCCTTTCTTTATTAAAAAATTTCTTCAATTTGGGGTAGTTGGAATGATCTCAGGTAAATTTTAAACGTTAGTTAATCAGTGTTTCCTGAGGAGATAGCTATTGTTTTAAGACTTCATAAGATGCCATGTAAATGACTAGTGGAAGAGGAGAACAAGCAAGTGTGAAAGATTGGAATATAGTGTGTAAGACTAGAGCTGTACTAAAGGGGAACATGCTGAATGTGTTGGAAGGAGAAAGAAGGAATGATTAAAAATAGTTCTAGAGATCTTCTGTACAACATTGTGCCTAGAGTTTACAATGCAGTATTATATACCTAAAATTTTAAGAGACTAGATTTCATGTGAAGTGGTCTTATCACCACACTCACACACACAAAGGGATAAAAAAGGCAAAGGCAACTTTGGGAGGGGATGGATATATTTATTACCTTGATTGGAGTAGTGATATCACAAGTGGATGCATATATCCCAGTATGTTAAATAGTATACATTAAACATGAACAGTAGGTTTTTTTTGTACATCAAGTACACCTTGATAAAGCTGTTAAAAAAAATGTGTGGTCAAGGCATCTCAGCTTCAGTGCTATTACAAGAACTTCATCATGACCAATGAGAAGGAGAAACAGCCAAGACATATTTCTTTTGCCTCTTTCTTATTCACTGCTTGGTTTGTAATAACAATATCAGCAACATGGCTCTAAATAATAAAGGCATGTAGAGATACTAAAAACTATCGTTATGGTAGCCTACCCAAGTCTCTTTTTTTTATTACTCTTACTTCTTTTTTCTTTTCACAATTTTTTGGTATTTTTGAAAATTTTGTGGGCACGTAGTAGGTGCATATATTTATGGATACATGACATGTTTTGATACAGGCATGCAATGTGAAATAAGCATATCATAGAGAATATAGTATCCATCCTCTCAAACATTTATCCTTTGAGTTATAAACAATCCAATTACATTCTTTAAGTTATTTACAAGTATACTATTACATTATTATTGACTATAGTCACCCTATTGTGCTATCAAATAGTAGGTTTTATTCATTCTATTTTTTTTTATGGTCATTAGCCATCCCCACCTTCCCCCATATCTTTTAATTATGTTTTCATGACTAAAATGTGGTAAATAGATTTAATTTAACACTATGAAAAAGCAGTTTCAGCTTAAAATAATTTCTATTTTCAAACTGTATTTGCTTATTAAACACATATACTTAAAAAGAAGAAGAATTCACTCATAGCATCATACCTAAACAGCCATTATTAACAACTTAGTATTTCACCTACAAATATCTAATCTTTTAAGCATGTAATCCAGATGTTCTTTAATTAATAACAGATGAGGTTACAATATTTATCTTTTTCTTTAAACTTTCCATTGAAATATATAGAAATAAGTAAAAATAAGCATGCAGATCAATAAGTTTTCATACATTGAAAACAACCATATCAAAAAATAGAATATTAATAAGATCCCCAAAGCCCCTCTCAGTTCTGGTACCTACCCCTCATCCCTTCTCCAAAAGAAATGGGTTGTAACTTCTAGCAGCCTACGTATTTTCTGTTTTGTTTCATTTTTTGTTTGTTGTTTCCTTTTAGTTATTCTGGTGGGTGTGTATTCGTATCACAGTGTGGTTTAAATTTGCACTATTTTGATGACTTTTTGTGATTTATATTTGTCATTTGGATATCCTTTTTGTGAAAGGGCTATTCAAACCTTTTTCCATTTTTTTTCTCTTGAGCTATCTTTCATTATTGAATTATATATTTTATAAATATACATTTATATATTTGTGTGCTTTATTTGTTTTGGAAATTAGTTATGTGCTAGATTGTTACATAATCCTATTTTGCAGTTTGGCACTCTCTTAATGCTATCTTTTTATGAAGATACATTTTTATTTTAATATAGTTTAATTTATTCATATTTTAAATAGTGGGTTTTTTGTGTTCCATCTTTTTCTACTTTTAGGTCATAAAGATATTCTGTTTACTTTTACTCTAAATACTCTAGATATTTGCTCTATACATTTATATGTGGAACCATCTAAAACTGTTTTTGTGTAGGGGGGTAGTATTTTGCCCTGTATGGTCTAAGACTCAACTGAGCAAATTCCATGTGAAAATCTGGCTGCATATTTGAGAGCTCTCAAGTCTGCAACTTGTCATTTCAGCTCTACATGCTGCTCAAATTTTTCTAATTTTCCCCTCTGCCTAGGCCAAGGCCAAGTTTCAATTTCTACCCAGACATAGCAGCAATCCTCAGCTCACTTAGGAACAGTCCTTGCCCTCTTTGGAATTCTAGTTCATTTGGACTTTACCCCTTCCATAGCCCTCAGATGCTATATTGGTATCTATGTCTGTGTCTTTGCATGTATATATATATACACATATATATGTATATATCTTTCTACATCTATATATATATATTTACATTTATTTATATTGTATTTCTAACTTCTCTGATATTTTATGACCTAGTACATACACTTGGAAGTGAAAATTTATACCTATTTTTTATTTCAAAATTGTTCCAATCAGATTAGCAGAATCATAGTTCCATAGATTATACCCATAAATATCCCTTAATGAATGCCTCACATGCACCACTAGCTTTAAAAACCCTGGGTAAACTTACTGATTTATAATTTCTGGTTCAAACATATAAGAATGTCAAGAACATTTGAAAATGAGATAAGATTAATTTCTAAAAAGGATTATCTCTCTTTCCTAATAGGCTTGGATTGGAAGGCATTCTGTGGCCTGGTCAGTAAAGTCTCAGGGGTCAGTTGTCCTTGAAATATGAGATATGAACACTGAGACAGAGAGGGTTTTTGTCTTGGTTTGGTTTTGCCCAAAAGTTGACCTAAGAAAAAGTCTTGTATGTATATAGTTTAGGTGAGAGATGATTCTGGAAATCCCAAATAAGGGTGGAGAGATTTTAGATCGGAAATTGTGAAAAAGTAATAAAGGATGCATTAATATATAGGTTACTACTCTGGCCATCAAAGTTCAATCTTACTGGAGACTAATTTTAAAATGATGTAGAACATGACTGGTTCTTCATGTGTCCTGAGATTTTAATTCCTCTATATTTTCAGATTGTTCTTTAGTGCAGTTGAACAAGCTTTCATAGTGCTGGAAGGAGCCTTTAGAAAAAGAAGAGAAACCTTGGTGCTTAAGATAGGATCCTGTCAGCATACCATACATTGTTCTTATTGGTGCTGCAGATCAGCTTTAAGGTGGGCTGAGATGTCAGCTCGGGCATCAATAGCATCTGCACCCAGCCCCTCTACCACTCAGAGTCACTCATGCTTTACAGTGAGTCCATTCTGACGTTAATTAATCAAAATGGTTCCCTGCCATACTAAAAAAAAAAAAAAACCTTAAAATGAAAAGATTAATGGAGTTTACTGTGGTCTAAACAGTCTAAAGCTCATCCCAAGGGCATAATTAATCGTAATTATCATCTGCCTTCTCAGCTATTCATTCTAAATTTCTTCCAGACTCTGCCAGCACTTCAGTTGTAAACATTGCTTTCATCATTTAGTGTGCCCAGACTCAGGTTACCTTGCTCTTTTCAGGTCACAGGTGACATAACAGTGCCTTTCCCATTATCAAGGGACATGGGAATGCCAAGAAATATTCAGTATTTTGAGAGTTCCAGATATAGTCCTCTTTATACTCTCATTATTTTTCAGCAATCCTAGCTCTTTACAAAAATCAGAACCAATTACTGCCACCAGTAAAGAAAAGCTATTTTGTTTTACCGCTTGTCTACTAGCATGAGGAACTCAAAACGACTTGGTGGTAATCATAGATTTAGATTTAGCAGAACACATACTGTGTCCATAATAGGAGCACTCATCACCATTGCCACCTCCCCACCCACCTCCAGTGTTTCAGCACCTCTATTTTTATACATAGGTTAAAGTCTCAGGGATAGAAATCACAAATTTCCCAAGGGAGTCTCTGAGAGTAATGGTAAGAAAAGAAACCTGTGCATTTTACCTATTAGTTAGACAGTACTCTATAAAGACCACTTGTTTAACAAACATACTCGGGGGACAGTGCTCTAAACCTACAGGGTGTTGTCCTCAAACTGAAGCCACAGCTGAATCTCTGAGAGTCTATTCCAATTCTCTGTCATGCTGGTTGTATAAAGGCTATGAGTTACATGGAAGAATCAGTGGATCCACTGGTCATGGCCCGTTGTTGTACCTCCTGAGCTATAAAACGGCATCCTTGATATAATGCACTCATATTATTTGATCATCTCGTGTTGGTCAATCAAGAGTATAAGCCTCCTTTAAACTCCAAAATAGTTGTTCTAGCAAAGGAAATACCAGTATCTAAGAAACGTCACTCTTTGTAAGTATAGATATTCCTCCATACAGAAGTAGTAGTAGCTAGATTAGCCTTTATGAGAGGGAGTCCATGATGTTGATCCCATGTGTAGTTTTCATTCCAGGATATGGTGTGTCTGACAACGGAAGCTAGCTGACATCCACTGAGTGAGACATGCTCTCCACCCGGTTGTTCAGGCGATGAGATGAGACAAAGATCTGCACAATTTTTGCCAAGTTTCATGTCTGCATTCACACACATTTCCCAGATACTCATGTCTCTGATCTTCTGATCTTTTTCTTTTCACCCCTTATTAATGACCAGCATCAGGGGTGAGCAAACATTTTATGTAAATGACCAAATAGCAAATATATTAAGCTTTGCAAGCCACCTGGTCTGGTTTGCAACTACTCGTCTCTGCCACAATAGTCCTCAAACAGCCATAGATAACACATAAACAAATGAGTGTGGCTGTGTTCCAATAAAACTTGATTTACAAAAATAGGCAGCAGGCTAGATTTGGCCAATAGGCTAAATGGTAACCCCCAAATCACATCATTTTGCTAACCCTAGAAACACACCATTTACCTCTGCTCATGTGTCTGTGTATATTGTTACCTCAGAGTCCCTTCTCCCTCTACATAAAGGAGATAACCACGTATACTACACCCAAGATTGCACTGCCCCATCAGCTGGCTGTAGAAAAGAGGCCATAGTTAAGAAGCTGAGGGAGAATTATTGAATGCAAGAGTAGGTGGCTAAGGGGGGTTAGGCTGAGCCATTGGACTGT
Source organism: Homo sapiens (assembly GCF_000001405.40). Taxonomy (NCBI): domain Eukaryota; kingdom Metazoa; phylum Chordata; class Mammalia; order Primates; family Hominidae; genus Homo; species Homo sapiens. The sequence continues at coordinate 79,056,465 of NC_000008.11, forward strand.
CTTGTTCCTTATCAATGTACTAGTATCATGATATGATGAGTTGCTATTTTGCTTATTTGACATTATGCTTTGGTAGATTTGACAATATCTAGCTATTAATAGGAAGCTCTGGTTACACAATCACTGGATGTCCCATGGTCTGTTAGTTGTTTTTTGGATCTAGTTATGCTATTGGACATGGTTTTCAAATGGTAATTATTATTTTTTCTTTTTTAACAGAAGGCATGTTCTTGATCCAGAAACCTAGGATACTCACTGTGACTCTTTTGTTGAGATTTCTCAGACATGCCAGCAGTTGTTCTTATCTAGCATGAATACTTTCAGTAGTATTGTATTCGATGGTCACATGGCCCAAGAAGCAGAGCAATTTGTACTATATGTTCAGTATGCTACAGAGTCCTGTCTTGGTCTGAACCCCACTCAAACTAGGTATTGTTTCAAGTAACCTGATAAACAGGTCAAAGAAACATTCCTAAGGTAGTTTGTACTACCTTCTAAATCCAAGGAGGTCTACTAGGTGCTATTCCTCCTTGTTAATGGTAAACAATACAACATGCAAAGCAAAATATATTTTCTCTTAGAAAGCTATCTTGGTGTGCCCCTGACTAAAGAACTCCTAAAAACTTTATTGATATGGTGGACTTCTTAATCTTTGTAGTGTTTATATTCATTCCCAGTACATATGTGTTTCACTAGTCACCAGTGTATCCAGAGTATTGCTACTTCTTGATCACTAGATGATAAACGTAATGTCATGAATAAACGGGCCAACATGATGTTCCATGGAATATCAAGAAAACTAAGTTCCCTTCAGGTTGTATTATAATGCAAATTTCATGGTAATATAGATTTGAAGCAATATATTGACTGTGTACTATTGTCCTTTCCAGGTGTATGTGAACTGCTTTGTATTTCCTTAGTAATGGGAATTGAAAAAACACAAATATCAGATTAATAGTCACAAACCAACTTCAAGAGACTGTGTTGAACTGTGTTAGTAAAGATCATGTATATTCAACACAATAGCTTCAAGAATGGCTACCACTCAGTGCACCGTCATCTACCACAATTTCTTTCAGCATTATTTGTTTACCATTTGTTTCCCTTATGTTAGGATGTCATGAATGTTTTCTGGAATTTTAATATAGCTACTTTACTGAAATATTTTATAAACCCATAGGATTTTCAGTTAATTCCTTTTAATTTTTAAGTATTCAATCTTATCTTTTGCAGATAATATCTTGTCTCTTTCTTTCATATATACATATATACTGTTTTATGTCTCAATGTATTTGCAGAATGACTAAAACAACATTAATGACTAATGACAACAGTAGCTGCCCTTCTGTAATTAGCCACTATAAAGTAAATAGTATCACCAGTAAGCATAACACTGCACTTCAGCCTGGACAACAGAGTGAGACCCTGTCTCAAAAAATAAATAAATAAAAATAAATAAATTATCAATATATTTATTAATTTGCTAGGCCAAAACAGTTTTTAGCAATTGAAAATTCACAAATAAGTGAGACAAAAAAAATTAAGTATGAATTGCCAAATAGAAGATAAACTCTTGCCTGAAGATTCATAGTTAGAGACCTTGGGAAAAAGTAATTCTTTTGAGAAATCCAACTTTCCATGTTTTGAACTACTAATACAAAAAAAAAAAAAAAAAACTCCACTAAGGAAACTTCAGATATGCAATTTTTAAAACAAAACATAAATAATAACTCAAATTAATGCAAAAGTCTTGATTTATTATGATAACATTTATGGTCTTGATATCAAATATATACCTACATGGTGGATTGGAAGTGTATGCTCTCATAAAATCAATGTATGATATCAGAAAGATATTTTAGAATGAAATTTTTTGATTGTATATCTATTTTTAGTGTATATTATCAAAGAGAAATACAGAAATGTTTGTAGGGGATAGTGTGATCATGGATTTTGACTTGAAATATGACAAATATAAAAGTGAATGGTGAAGTGTTTAATGACAAAACAAATGAAATTTAATATATTTGACACGATTTTAAACTTGTTCAATATAATACATTGAGGGTATTATTAATGCAATTATGAAAATTACATGTTTATGTGTTAGGCGAAGGATATATCAAATTGCATGAATTAATTTCAGCTTTTGCTCTTCCGTGACTGCTTTGGCAATATCATAGAGGCCATGGAGCCTGTTTGTTTCTCAGAGATATTCTGGTAACAAGGGAACAGAAAAAAAATGAAAAATGATGTTGGCTATCCAGTAGGAGGTCATCTCCACTTTGTTTCAGTTTTTATTTTCTCCAGAGGAGAAATGAGAACAAACAGAAGAGAAAAAAATTAAATCTCTCCACTTGTTGGTGGGCAAAATATTTTCTTTTGTGTAACAGTTCATGTGTTTTGGGCCCCTTTCATTTGGAAATGTTACAGGATATTTCAATTCCATTTGATCTGTTGGGTGGTTAGGATATCAACCATCGGTTGGTGGCTTGGATAACAACTACTAACATACCCTGGATGCTGTGCCTACTCCCCCAGAGGGAAATTTGTGGTCTGGGTCATGCTCACCAGCTGCAGCCAAAATGCGTCAGTCTGACGAATGATTGAAGCAGGTCTTCAGAACCTCCCCAAACCTCTACTTGAAGCAAAATCGGTGGGCTACACTGATATAAATATAGCACTTATTGGTCCCTGTACGTCCTATGTGCTAATCCAGCAAATGGAAATGAGTAGGAATATACAGATTTTGTCCTGCCTGGTGCCAGGGAAGACTGGGCTAGAGGGAGGAACCCACAGCGCTCAATAGACTCTTGTTCTTCTGCTGTGATATCCACAATCACTTTTGTGGAAAATAGTCATGGAAATATGAAAGTCACAAGAAACATTTCCTAATCTGAATTCTTCTCCCTTCCACTTAAGCTTTTGTCCACTGAGGAGAAAAATGTTTCTTAGTTTTGCATAAATTACATACTTCCCTCTGCAAGAAGACAAATTCAAGGAGGCATGAGATGGAACTCTTTGTTCATAGCATCCAACAGAGCCAGGGGTTACCAGAGTATAAATAACTCAACTCTTAATTCCTGGACACTGGATTCTGATACCTCTTAGTGATTTATGAATCACTTTTTATGCAGTGATGAGATGACAGTAATTAAAAGCTGTATCTGGGAGACAGACCTGGGCTTTATTATAACCCTACCACTTATTACTTTATTACTACCCTACCAGGTGTCTTGACTTCTCTAATCTCAGTTTTCTGAGTAAAAATGAAGATTATCACTGCTACTGTGAAGATAAAATGAGATTGTATACAAACTGGTTAATTATGTATCCAATGTGTTTTTATTAATCCCTATTAAATGTTATGCATGGGGCTCAGTGCTTGAGATATACCAGTGAACAACACAGTCTCAAACCATGCTTATATTGTGCTTAAAGTCTAACACAATCCTTGACATAAATTAGGTCCATAGTAGTCAAGACTTCTTTAGCTGCAAGTAACAGACATCCACTCTTAGCTAATTTAGGCCAAAATTGGGAAAATTATTAGATCATTGTGAAGAAACAAAAAAGATTATCCAGTTTATGGCCTTGGAAGCTCACATTACCTGATCACAAACAGGAGGAGCTGCACTCAAACTTAATTCTCCAGGAGTGGTGTGTAGATGGGATTTATTCTCTACAACTCAAATCCAGACTTCATACAAAGTTGCCAGACAACCTCTCAGACCCCACAAAGCTGGCATCTAGGTTCTGAGTGCTAGGTACCTGAGCCTTTAATGTTTATTCTCCATACAAGACTATTCTCTTGCTTGTAGGAGATCAGTGACTCTCTCCTGGAGCAGAGATCGTCAGTGCCCAACATACCCACAGCCTCTGTACACATTTCCATGGGATGATAAGAGAGCAAAGAGTCCCACACCTCTTCTTGTAAAGCACAGGCTTTGAAGGTTTCTCAATTAAACATCCCCCATTTCACATGCAGTTGTGGCATTATCTGTCCCCCAATATATTACACTCACATAACCCACCCACAGAAAGGGCAGCAGTAGAATCAGCCTCATGGATGTCTGGATGTAGGGATGCTTTACTTTTTCTCATTTTATATTGTTTTCTCATCATTACTCCTTTCTGTCTCTTAGCTTTATCTTCTAAGACCCTGGCTGTCCACTTGAGCCTGAACTATGGTTGTAAGTGCCACCAAGCTTATATCCCTAGAACCCTATACCAAAAAGTAAGTAGAGAGAGTTCTTTTCCATTAGTTCTGATTATAATGAAAAATTGTGAGTAGGTACTCTTACAAAACTTGGGTTATGTGCCAATACCTGGATCAGTTACTGTGTTCAGGGAGCAATCATTGGAGGCACCCAATTTTGGATGCCCTGACTTATATTTCTTTAGCTGTTCATTCAACAAATACTAAGTGCCTATCATGAACAAAGCACTGTGAGAGGACCTGGGGATACAAATGCAGAGAATTAGTGGCTGCTATCCTCAAGTAACCCACTATCTAGTTGGGAAAGAAATAGTGCTATGTATTGAAACTTAGTAATGTGCCAGGCCATCTTATTATGCATGTCACTAACCTTCAAAAAATTCTGTGGAATAGCTTTGTTATCACCTTTCAACAGAAAAACGAATGGAAGCTTTGAGTGAGACCATCATTAGCAGCTACATATTGAGAACCTGTTATGTGCTAGGTAGGTTCCTAGCTCTAGGGATTGGAGGTAAACAGATTAAATAACTTACTTCAGTTGTTGTAGTTAGTTCTTTTTTTTATATACATACCTTCCTGACACCATGGTTTTGTACCTTTTAGAATTGACACAATTAATCATTCTACGTGTCATTAAAATGTTGTTACCGTGGAGACGTTAGAGAAAATGGCAGAGCCACGCTTTGAACCCTGATTTGTTCAGTTCCACTACACCGTGGGTCACTGTGTCATGATCTTCCCCCTGAAAAGACTCTAATAAAAAGTATTTATACTTTGCACACGATTGCTAACTTTCTGTTCAATATATCTTTTTAAAGTATACCTTTAGGTCAATGGAAAAAATCATGAAAATAACCCTATTTTACTGAACACCTGGACAAGATATTTTTAATTAAGAAGATCAGTTCAAACCAGCCATTCTTATTTCAATACATTATCTCTTTCATTTTAACTAATTCAAGATCAGTTTGAAGATCAGATAGAAATTCAGTTTTCACAGATTTCACCTCCAAATCATGACAACTGCCCTCCCCCAAAGCTCCACATACAGGGTCTTGTGGCCTTGCTCCTGAATGCTTAGAGATGTGGCAATAGTGAGAGGTATAAAGAAAGCAGTGGGGAGGTTTCAGTCCTCTTTTATCAGGTAAAAAGGAGTACCAGAATGAAAGACTTAATTAAAAGATTACAAAGAGATTTTTAAAAGCGAGGCTGTACCATAGGACACAGCACTAGGATAAGGATGAAGAAGTAGTACAGCTATCGCCCTGACAGAGAAAAAACAACAACAACAAAAATTTAGCCTCAGATTCAACTAAAAAACCTTTTCAGAGAATGTAATTATAAGTGATGAAAACATGTTGTATATATTTGTCCAATTGCCTGGTAACAACTTCAAGGGCTCAGGCTGTCTAAATCACTTTTTGGAACAAAGGGTGGGTAGAAATAAATGAATCAAATATGGTATAAGGATTAAACAAGAGTCCCTTGACGGGTTTAGTGACAACATTTAGGTACCATTTTCTTCTTGTCCCCTCTTTAATTTAAAAATAGCACAGAATTGCACATGTTAATATGTCACGCTGTGTGCTCATAAATTGGCATTGAGTCTTTCAATACCTTCTGAAAACAAAAATCCTAGAACTCTGCTGTTTCTATGGCAACCGCATTTTAAGAAGGTGAAGTTTCCAGTTTGATAGAGCCAAAAGGCTCTATTAACGTCAGGTTTCAACGATTCTGAAACCGTGGTGTCAGGAGGAGTCAATACAACACACGAGATTCAGATTGACCCCACTCGGCATTATTTTTCTGCTCGAATAAAGTCTAAAAGCCAATAAAATAAATTATTTAAATGGTAATTATTTTACTATAATCCAATATCATGTGACATTAATACTAACAATATGTAGATTGAAATTCTAATGGCAAACATGAAGAAATGTTAGAACATCATTCTCAGCAAACTAACACAGGAACAGAAAACCAAACACCGCATGTTCTCACTCGTAAAAAGGAGTTGAACAATGAGAATACATGGACACAAGGAGGGAAACATCACACACCAGGGCCTGTTTGGGGGGTGAGGGGAAAAGGGAGGGAGAGCATCAGGACAAATACCAAATGCATGTGGAGCTTAAAACCTAGATGTTGGGTTGATGGGTGCAGCAAATCACCATGGCACATGTATACCTATGTAACAAACCTGCAGGTTCTGCACATGTATTCCGGAACTTAAAGTATAATTTACAAAATAAAAAAATTAGAGGCCAGGTGTGGTGGCTCACACCTGTAATCCCAGCATTTTGGGAGACCCAGGTGGGCAGATTACCTGAAGTCAGGAGTTCAAGGCCAGCCTGGCCAACATGGTGAAACCCTGTCTCTACAAAAATACAAAAAGTAGCCGAGCATGATGGTGAGTGCCTGTAATCCCAGCTACTCAGGAGGCTGAGGCAGGAGAATCGCTTGAACCCAGGAGGCAAACGTCGCAGTGAGCCAAGATAGCGCCACTGCACTCCATCCTAGGTGACAGAGAGAGACTCCGTCTCAAAAATAAATAAATAAATAAATAAATAAATAAATAAATAAATAAAAATAAAATAAAAAAGAACTGGAACCAAAAATCTTTACCTAATACATTTCATTGCACGAAATCTGATAGTGGTTATTTGGCTTCATACAAAGAATAATGTAGTATTATTAATATCACCTGCTCCCCTGTACTCCAAGATCCACAAAGAGTCTAAAATAAAATTTGAATTTAGAAAGAAAAAAAAAACAGAAATATTTTGTAAAAGAGATATGCTCTGGTCCGGGAATAAAAAGACATTCCAATTGAGCATGGTATATTAATTTGCCAGGGCTCTTGTAACAAAGTACTACAAACTTGGTGGCTTAACAACAGAAGTGCATTAACTCACAATTCTGGAAGCTAAAAGTCAAGATGTTGGCACGGCTGGCTCCTTCTTGAAAGCTGTAAAAGGTAATTGAGTCCACGCTTCTCTAGTAACCTCTGCTGATTTTCTGACAATCTTTGGTGTTCTATGGTTTGTAGACATATCACTCCAATGTCTGCCTTATATTCACACGTGTGTGTGTGTGTGTGTGTGTGTGTGTGTGTGCCCAAATTTCAACATTGTGTAAGAACAGCAGCCGTGTTGGAGCAGGGTTCACTCTGCTCCAGGATGACCTCATCTTAACTAATTACAACTCTAAGTCCAAATGAGGTCACTTTCTGAGGCACTCCAGGGTAAGATTTCAACATATAAATTCAATACATAGTGCACAGATTCTATTTCATCCCTGAGCTAAGTGTACCACATTCATTATCTCCTTCAATCCTCACAGTAATACTGTGACTAGAAGATTAAGTGACATAAATATTCTCAAATTTTACTGTGCTTAGGCATCAGTGGGTTATCTTTTTAAAATGCAGATCCAATTCAACAGGTTGGGGTTGGAGTCTGGCATTCTGTATTTCTAACAGTTCCCAGGTTAAGTTCATGACGCTGCTTGCAGAACCCGATGAGCAGCAAGGACTGACACAGTTGTGAATGAAGGCCCTAATTCTGAAGCCCAAGACATTTCTACTATAGCATTCTACCCCTCAAAAGAAGGAGAAAGGAGAAAAAAAATAAATAGAAAGAATAAAAGAGGAGAATAAGAGAGATGAAAAAGATTAGGAATATGACATAGAAATTTTTTATCTAGCGCAATTTAAAAAACACAATGGAATCAATCATCCAAAAAAGAATAAGAAACATTGATATCTTTTTCCAAATGTAAAGTAACTACATGGCACCCAAGAATGTGGCTAGATACTTTACTAAGACACTGAGACTTTATTTCTTATATAATCTCTAAAGAGATCAGCAAATGTCTTCCTTAAAGGGGCATATAGTAAATATTGTAGATTTTGTTGGCCACAAACCACAATCAAGGCAATTATGTGGGTATTGATATAACTATTTAAAATGTGAGCATCTAAACCATTCTTAGCTCACAGGCTATCCAGAAAATAAAACAAAAAAGAACAGAACAAAACAAAACAGAAAAAACAGGTGGCTTATTGACCACCAATTTATAACGTAGCAGTTTATATCTGCAAACTTAATGAGCTACTTTGATCTATGATGATGGTTAACATTGTGCTAAGACAATATATAATGGATCCAAGATTGAATTGTAGATTGGAGTTGGAAGCCAGACATCCAAATAGAAAATAGAGGACATCGCTTGGAGGTATGGCGCAAGACGTGTTTCACTGGAGGTGAGACCCAGGACAACCTGCCTTTGGGAGACTCAGAGGCACCAGACCATGTAACCAGCTCTGTCAAAGCAGCAGGTGGTGTGAAGCTGAAAACTTCTAATTCACTTAGGACACAGTAAATAGTAAATAAATGTCAGTTAATACATTTTATTATTGTTATCTTGTATCAGAAAAGCACAGCCTGGACACTGGGTGGAAATAGGTATAACCTGAAGAAATAACAGCTTTTTCATAGATCCTGGAAAAGGAAAAATAAAAAACCAGACACAGTAAGAATGAAGGGCTTTCTTAGTGACCCAACTGCTCAGCCAAACTGGGTCAAAATAATTCTCTCTATCCTTCTCTATCAGACATTTCACTGTCCACCATCAAATAGCTGTAGTCCCCGGCGATACTTTAGTAAAGCCAGTTTGTTGCACTTAAAATGTATATAGGTCAGAAAATGTTTTCTTATGGGTGATTAACTGCTAAGTGAACTGAGAATAGTTGAAGGTCATATTTCAAAGGCACTCCAAAGCCTCAGAAAGTAGCAGCCATGTCTCCAGTTGATAGCTCTGTGAAAGGGAACATAAAACCCTGGAGTAATCACGATTTCAGTAATAATTTCTCTTTGGAATTTTTTGCCGCACAAGGTTATACACAGTGAATCAGCCTTGCAAACATACGTATATGGCTGCATCCAGTAGCAGGCGTCTGTTCTCCCATGCCTCCTGGTGCCAGCATTTGCACAATGCACTGCTCACGCCCTCCATTGCAACTACTTTTTCTGATGACTTTGTGTAGAACTCCTCTGGGAGAAGGAGGCAGAGAGGCAGCATTGGCTCCAAGACTTTGTACACAAAGGACTAGCAATACATCTTTTGTGATGATAATGTTCATCCATGACATCCGTAGCTCAAGGAATGGCAATGTCTCCCAAAGTAGGTCTACAGAATACACTGTTTATTTTTCTGTTATGTATTTCAGAAACTTATTTGGCCACAATTTTTTTCCATCAAGAGTTATTACAATCCTGCAAAACATACGTAAGAAAATATTGCAAACCAAAAAAATTAAAAAACACAGTTCACTAATTTCACCAGTAGCCAGAGTTTCTATGTATTTGTTTAGACAATAAGGGAACATGGCTTCACAAAACTGACTGGTTCCAGGATTTCAGAAATATAGTTTAAAATCTAAGGGAGAGAAACTAGATATTTTTCCCCTAAGGATGGGAATGAGAAAAGGATGTCCACTCTCAACATTCCTATTCAACATCACATTGGAAGTTTTGGCTGATGCAATAAGAAATGGAAAGGAAGTAAAATGTATATAGATTGAGAAGGAAGACATAAAATGTCTGCTTGTAGATGGCATGCTTAAACCACCACCAACAATAACAGCAACAAACTCTTGTAATTAGTAAGTAGTATAGTAAAGTTGCAGGAAGGGGGTAATATTTAAAAAGTACACTGCTTACTTATATACCAGCAGTGAACAATGGTAATTTGGAATTAAAAACACAATTCTATATACATTAGCAGCAAAATAAATGAAATAGTGCAGAGCAGTAGTATATGCCTATAGTCCCAGCTACTCAGGAGCCTGAGGTGAGAGGATCACTCGAGCCCAAAAGTTTGGTCCAGGCTGGTGAACACACTGAGCCTGTAACTAAGAAGAAAAAGAAAAAAACAGAAACCTATGTATAAATATAACCAACCATAAAAATCTAACCATATATGTACAAGATCTACATGAAAAAAACTACAAAACTCTGAGTTAAAAAATGAAAAATCTCCACAAATGGAGGGATATTCCATGTGCATAAATCGAGTCAATATTGTCAAAATGTCGGTTCTTCCTAACTTGATGAATAGATTCAATGCAATTTCAGTCAAAACCCATCAAGTTACTTTGCAGACTATCAACAAAATGACCCTAGAGCTTATATGAAAAGCAAAAAAAAAAAAAAAAAACAAAGACTAGATAAAGTAATACTGAAGGAGAAGAATAAAAAGAGTGAAATCAGAGGACTGATACTGTCTTACTTCAAGACTTACTGTAAGGCTGTAGTAATAAAGATAGTGTGGTTTGGTATAAATCTAGGCATGGTTCCATAGATATAGATTTACTGAATAATTACTGAAGTCTACTCCAGGCTTTTATGTTTCCTTTCATAAACAGAGCTATCAAGTGTGGACATGGATATTATTTTCTGAGTCTTGAGAGTGCCTTTGAAATATTACCTTCGACTTTTTCTCAGTTCACTTAGTAGTTTCCCACAGGAAAACATTTTCCAACCTATATGGTACAGAGAGCCCAGAAATAGACACATTTATAGTCAAATTATCCTTGATAAAGAAGTAAAGGCAATTACATGAAGAGAAAGAATAGTCTGTTCAACAAATGGTACTGGGACAACTGGATGTCAACATGCAAAAAGAATCTAGATAACAGACCTCACACCTTTCAGAAAATGTGACTTAAAATGGATTATACACCCAAAAATAAAATACAAAACCATAAGACTCCTAGAAGATAACATAGGAGAAAATCTAGGTGAGCTTGAGTTTGGGGATGACTCTTTAGATTCAAAATTATACATTAAAGATTCATGAAAGAAAAACTGATAAGTTGAATTTCATTAAAATTAAAAGTTTCTGCCTTGAAAAGACATTGTTAAGAGAATGGAAAGATAAGACTGGGAGAAGATATTTGTAAACCACATCTGAATAAAGGACTGGTATTTCAAATATATAAAGACTCTTAAAACCCAACAATAACAAAATAACTCGTTTAAAAAATTGACAAAAGATGTGAGAAGACACTTCACCAAGGAAGATATGCAGATGACAAAAAAAAGCATATAAAAAGATGCTCAGCATCAAATATCACTAGGGAACTGCAAATAAAAACATCAAGATACTACTATACATGATTAGAATGGTCAAAATCCAAAACACTGTCAGCACCAAATAATGGCAAGGATGTGGGGCAGCAGAACTCTTATTTGTTGCTGGTAAGAATGCAAAATGGTACAACCACTTGGAAGACAGTTTTGGAATTTTCTTACAAAACCAAACCCACTTTTACCACATAATCCAGCAATTGAGTTTCTTCATATTTAACCAAAGGAACTGAATACTTACGTCCACACAAAATCCAAAATGTGAGACCAACCAGAATATCTTTCAGTAGCTGAATGGGTAAACAGACTGGCACATCTATACATTAAAAATATTTTGGCTGGGCACAATGACTCACACCTGTAATCCCAGCACTTTGGGAGGCCGAGGCAGGTGGATCACCTGAGGTCAGGAGTTCAAGACCAGCCTGGCCAATGTGGTGAAACCCTGTCTCTACTAAAAATACAAAAATTAGCCAGGCATGATGGCGGGCGCCTCTAGTCCCAGCTACTCAGGCAGGAGCTACTGAGGCAGGAGAATCACTTGAACGGGGGAGGTGGAGGTTGCAGTGAGCTGAGATCGTGCCACTGCACTCCAGCCTGGGTGACTGAGTGAGAATCCATCTTAAAAAAAAAAAAATCAATTTAAGGAGAAATGAGCTGTTAAGCCATTAAAAAATGGAAGAAACGTAAATATGCATTACAAACTGAAAGAAGCCAATCTCAAAGGCTACATACTATGATTCTATCTATATGACATTCTGAAAAAGGCAAAACTATGGGGACATTAAAAAGATTAGCGGTTGTCAGGGATTCAGGGGAGGGAAGGAAGGAAAAACAGGTAGAATGCAGAGGTGTTTTAGGGTTGTAAAACTATTTTGTATGACACTGAAATGGTGACATATGTCATTACACATTTGTCAAAACCCATATAATGTATAACACCAAGAGTGAACCCTAATGTCAACCATGAACTTTAGTTAACAATAATGTATCAATATTGGCTCACCGATTCTAACAAATTATACCACATCGATGCAAGATGTTTATAGTAGGCAAAACTAGGGGATATGGAAGAAGTAAGTGGTTATATGGAAATTCTGTACTTTTTGCTCAATTTTTCCATAAATCTAAACTGCTTTAAGAGTTAAGTCTACTATTTATTTTTTAAAAATCTAAGAACAAAACCATAGTCACAAGTAGAGCATACTGGGTCCCTCTAAATTCTTTTTGCATATAAAGTAACTTTTCTCTATCCTATAGTATTGAATAATTATCCCTAATATTTTAAAAAGAAAACTTGGAAACAAACACAAATTTTAAACACAATTGTCTCATTCTTCAAAAAAAGAGCTTAGTATTCATAATATCAATATATGCTTAACACTAAAGTGGATACACTCTAGAGAAATCAACCAAAAGATGATAATTCTCATGATAAAATAATTTCCAGAAGACAAATGATATAAATAAAGAATTCTAAATAAAAATGGGTACTTCTTCATTTTTGCTTTGTGGGGAAGACATCAATGCTGTAGCAATCACACTTTTGAAATACCATTCTAAACCTAGCTTTGGTAAGCAATCACCTGCTGTTTTTTAACTTTGCACAAACATTAATATCAAATACATCAAATACATTCTTATGGATAGTTGGTTTAATATGAGTGAAAAATTTCCATCTTTAAAACATTGCATTTTCTATCAAATGGTTATAATGATGCCAAAGATTCCTAAGGGAGATATTACACTGATTTATAAATCCATATTACACTGCCTGGTAGAAAAATATATCAAAAGATAAGTGAAATGCAAAGCTGAAGAGATTCTCCAACTGGTGGCTTGTTGCGGGAAGCCAGGGACCCCAAACGGAGGGACCGGCTGAAGCCATGGCAGAAGAACGTGGATTGTGAAGATTTCATGGACATTTATTAGTTCTCCAAATTAATACTTTTGTAATTTCTTATGCCTGTCTTTACTGCAATCTCTAAACATAAATTGTAAAGATTTCATGGACACTTATCACTTCCCCGATCAATACCCTTGTGATTTCCTATGGCTGTCTTTACTTTAATCTCTTAATCTTGTCAGCTGAGGAGGATGTATGTCACCTCAGGACTGTGTGATAATTGCGTTAACTGCACAAATTGTACAGCATGTATGTTTGAGCAATATGAAATCTGGGCACCTTGAAAAAAGAACAGGATAACAGCAATTGTTCAGGGAATAAGAGAGATAACCTTAAACTGTGACCACCGGTGAGCCCGACGGAACAGAGCCATATTTCTCTTCTTTCAAAAGCAAATGGGAGAAATATCGCTGAATTCTTTTTCTCAGCAAGGAACATCCCTGGGAAAGAGAATACGCGCCTGGGGGGTGGGTCTCTGAACTGGCCCCCGGGGCATGGCCGTCTCTTATGGTCGAGGCTGTAGGGGTGAAATGGACCCCAGTCTCCCATAGCGTTCCCAGGTTTATTAGGAAGAGGAAATTCCCACCTAATAAATTTTGGTCAGACCGGTTAATCTCAAAACCTGTCTCCTGATAAGATATCATCAATGACAATGATGCCCAAACTTCATTAGCAATTTTAATTTCGCCCCGGTCCTGTGGTCCTGTGATCTCGCCCTGCCTCCACTTACCTTGTGATATTCTATTACTTTGTGAAGTACTTGATGTCTGTGACCACTTGATGTCTGTGACCCACACCCTATTCGTATACTCCCTCCCCTTTTGAAACTCCCTAATAAAAACTTGCTGGTTTTACGGTTTGGGGGGCATCACGGAACCTATTGACATGTGATGTCTCCCCCAGATGCCCAGCTTTAAAATTTCTCTCTTTTGTACTCTGTCCCTTTATTTCTCAAGCTGGCCGATGCTTAAGGAAAATAGAAAAGAACCTACGTGACTATCGGGGCAGGTTCCCCAATAGTGGCTCCATCGGATCTCACTCTCTTCAGTATGTTTGGAATGTTTCCCAGTGTTAGCCACCTTGTTTTAGGAAGCTTGAGTAGAACGTAATAATTTGAGGAGCTGGAAATGGTATTAATAGCAGCTCCATGAACTGCATCTTATCTCAGATTTACCTGGGTAAGACCTTTGTATCTTTCTTATTAATATCAATATTAACATAGGTACAGATAGAGAGAGAGCATCAAATTTCATCAACTACTGATGTAAATTTTAGCAACATCTAGGTCATCGTCAACACAGACAAGTGTAGGGAACTTAAGAAACAATTGAATAGATGGAAAAGACACTCAATGGGAGCAGAACGAAAGGAAGAATAAAGCACTAATTTGCACTTGCTAAGTACCTGCTCTATTCTGAATACGTGATGAGCTGGAAAACAATTAGTATACTTCTCCAAATATTTTCTCTTAATTTTATGCCATTAATTCAGCACTCAGGTGGAGCTCAGAGTAATGGTTTTGTAAATGTCATTCAAATTCTCACCAGTTCCTTACAGGTGGGTGGAGTCTGTCCAGATGCTGTATCTTCCTGCACCCAGGGTTAGAGATGAGAAAGAAGACAACCTCGGCGGTGGGGCAGCTGGGCTAGGGGTTGTAGTGCCACTCAAGTCCATTGCATTTCCATGCTGTACTCTATCGCCATTTAATTTCTTTCATTAATTGGTTGAGAGTTGAGCAATCAAACCATATATTCCCCTTTTCCCTTCATCACTCCTCACAGTGCCTAGCACAGTGTTTTATAAACACTGACTAGTTAAGTGGCACAAAATGGGAAGAAAAACTCCTTTAGATTTTAGAAGAAATATCCATTGTAAAATGTGCATTTCAAATGAAATTTTTAGCTATATTTCACATTTCTCACTTCCTTTGTGTTTGGCACACATTTTAGGTAGAGAAAGGTTTGCACACATACCAATTAGATAATTACTGTAATTGTCAGAGGCTTCTGGGAACAAGATGCATAATTGACTTTTCATGATATTATGAATATTTTCGCATCAACTTCTTTGACAAAGTATAGCAGTGAGTCATTTTAGAGATTCTCAATCAGGCATTTCTAGGATAGCAGGGTAGCCGCTACCAGAGCCCCCCAACTGGCTGCCTTGAGCCCCAGCAGCCTTGCCTGTGGAGCATGGAGGCTGCCTGTCTGTGACAGGGTCTGACAATGTCTCCCAAGAAGCTAACACCAATTAGGAACTGCCGCAGGTCCCCTAACTCTTGCTGTTCCATTGTAATGGGCTGTGCCCAGCTAGGTTAGGAGGGGCTTCACAGTGTGGCCAGCTGCCTCCTTAGGCAGATGAAGGGAATGCCACTGCAGAGGGGACAGGTGGCCTGTGGATCTGTATGAAGAGCAGTCAGTTGTGGCCATTCAGGGGAGGAGGACAGGATGGAAAGGATGGGACAGGAGAGGACCCTGACATGCACTGAACTCCCCATCTCTCTGTTTGTCACTTATGTGCCCTTTTAGAGGTGTTCTTATCTTTACAGTGACAGCTCTAAACTCACATGTACTTTGTGTAATTTAGGGCTTCATCTTTGTTTTGAAATAATATGAAAAGTTCAACTTGACTGAAAATTTCTTCATATGTTTGGAGGAAATATAATTACATTTATCATTTTTTTTAAAAAGAAAAAATATTTTACATAGAACTTTACCACAGTAAAGTTTTAAAAGTTTTAAAATTTCTTAAAACTTTGTATTACCTACTTGGGCAACCAATGTTGGCATTGATGATGACAAGCAAGCGTTTAAAAAGATCATCATTAAAAGTTCTTCACCAGGTACTGTTCTTTGTGAATGAAAGTTTAAGTTTCATATTAAAATTTATAAAATTAATTTTTGAAATCATACTCGTTAAGTAATGTCTTCTTTTAATCTGTGATTTTATTTATCTCATAATTATAAAACATAAAGAAATGTTAATAAATGTTTTACCATATCTTATAATTTTCCATGTTACTTCACTGTTCTTTACAAATGCTGTTAATTTTATCTGTGCCAGGCTCTGAAAAGGGTTGGTGGCACTTCTTTAAAAGCTCAAAGTGTAAACATTTTACATTGAGCCACAGGACCTGAGCTAGAAAGAGTTACCTTCAAAAGGGAAATATTGGGCTGGGCACAGTGGCTCACACCTGTAATCCCAGTGCTTTAGGAGGCTGTGGTGGGAGGATTACTTGAGGCCAGGAGTTTGAGGCTTCGGTGAGCCTTGATTGTGCCACCATACTCCAGCCTAAGCAACAGAGCAAGGCTTTATTTAAAAAAAAAAAAAAAAAAAAGGAGTCAGCTCTTTACACTTTGCCATAGCTGAGATTAGATAAAGCCTCTAGAGGAATCATATCTAAATTCTGAGCAGCTATGATTGCATGATTCTCACCTTATGCCTTCTTTCCCCTGCATACTTCACAGTTCAGAGTAGTGGGGCCTCTGGACTTCCAAAGCCTTGGTTTCTATACTGCAGTTTTATTTTCTCTACCTTGATCCTCTAAACACTTGACATTATAATATTTTATATCTGTATCTCTATCTCTTCAACCAAGTAATAACAAAACAAACATAGCATTTAATCTTTCTTTTCTAAATCACTGGCTGATAGATAAAACAGTAGATTAAATATCCATGCACCAGCTTGCATGTACCGAAATATTACTTAATTTAAATCTCCAGCACTGAATTAAACTTAGATTGTCAGCTTTTACTTCACCAATAATACGAATTTTGAAGTTAATAATTTGAAGCATCTCATTCACTTCTGGTTTAAATGTGATCAATTAAGGATTTAAATGTGGGCTACACAAGATAGCCTCCCTTTCCTCCCCCTCTCCCTGCTCCTATCACCTCTTCTTTCTTTTTTCTCCAGGTGATCAAAGGATGTGGTCACTAGGTCTATGTGCTATCACCTGGTGTTTTAATCAATCTCTTCTGCTCTTGGATGTTGTGCTGTGGCCTCCACTGACCTGTGGCTTGTCTCAACTGGACTTTGAACATCATGCTCTAGCATCTGCTGCTGGCAGCCATGACCTCTGCGTCAGGCATTATGGTTGGTCATCAATATCTGGCTCTCCTTTACATCTGAGTTCCTGCACAACACCGTTTCCTTACTGTCAGAGCACTATTTACTGTGAAGTTAATGAAGCTTAAGCTTCAGGGCCTGTATTAGTTTATTGCTGCCTAACAAATAACCACAAACATAATGGCTTAAAACACAGATTTATTATCTCCCAGTTTCTGTGAGTCAGGAATCCAGCATGTTTTAGCCGGGTTCTCTCACAGACCAAAACCAAAGTGACAACTGTTGTCTTCTTATGTGGAGTTTGGACTAGGGAAAGATCTGCCTCCAAGTTCCCTCAAGTTGTTGGCAGAATTTACTTCTTTCCTTGTAGTTCTATGACTGAGTGGCATGTTTGCTTTTTAACTGTCTGATGAGGACCACTATTAAACACTGGAGGGTTACTCTCAGATCCTTGCCAAAGAGTCCTCTCTATAGACGGCCCTCTCACACTTTAAATCTGCCTTCTAGAAAGACCTAATTCCTTTAAAGACATCAGAGCTGGTGCATTTCTACTTCTGCTGCATGCTCGTAGCCAAAGCAGGTCACAAGGCCAGCAAAAATCAGGGGATGAGGAAAGAGATTCTACTTCTTACCAGGAGAAACTGCAAAGTCAATGCAAAGAGCATGAACATAGGTAAGAATGAAAAACTGGGACCATTTTTAAATTACTCTAGCCACAACATCTTTTAGGTTCTAGCCTTTTGGAATATTTCAGCTGCTTTTCTGTTTTTAGTTTTTTGTTTGTTTGTTGCTTTCTTTTGCAGCAAAGCCTGGCTCTTGAAAATGAAAGATTTGCTTTCGTGTTTCTATGATCAGCTTTTAAAAGTTCATTCAGAATGTTAACTCACTGCTCTGCATGGGGCTGCATTTGCTCTCCTCTGAGCTTGGTCTATATAAAAACTTATTGATATAGTAGGAATGGTAGAGGAGGGTCATTGGTAACAAGAAAGATTTTGCAGAAAGCCTCTTTTTAATGTTTCAAAATATGATTCTATTATATAGGTGGACAATATAGAAACATTAGAAAACATAAATAAGGAGAAGAAGGAGGTTAAAAATCACTATGCAGATCACTCTTAAGAAAATTATTACTATTAACATAAATAAGTCCTTTTGTGTGTGTATATATGCGAATATAGAGACAGTCTTCATTAGAGGATGAATGATATAACAATAAATAACTTGATTTTTAATTTTTATATCATGAATATATTTGTATAATATTACATATTCTTTTACTGAACTATTTTTTGAACTGTAAATTAGACACATAGCAATGTATTTAACCCATCTTCAGTTTTAGGATGTTTAAAACATTTCTCATACTTTAAGGACATCCTTGTAGTTAAAACTGTGCAAATGTCCCACTAAACCTTTAGGATAAATTACTGAGTGTGAAAAATGTTTATAAAACATATATAAAAACTAAAAACTTTTTATAAAAATGAAAAATTTCTCTTCAGAGGTTTGTACAAATTTGCATACCTAACAGAAATTTGGATTCGGGTTGTCTAAATACACCCTGGTGGGTTATTGTGATTAAATGATTTTAAAAAGGGAAAAGCCTTATAGATCAAATAGTTCAAAAATGTATATATATTTCCTTTGATTTCTGCATATTTGTATACCTATAGATTGAATATTTTCTCATCATCTACTTTTGTGGACAATTTCATGTCTTCCGTGAATTGTCTGTTTTTCCCATTTTTATTGAAGTGTTCATTATTTTACTTATTAATTTTAAGGCAATTAATGGATTAGAAATAATGCTTATTTACATGTTATATGTATGTAGATATATAACATTTTTACAAAATCTTTATTTGGTTTTAATTTTTTTCTTGGATTTAAATTAGAGTTTAAGTAGACTAAAATATTTATGGTTGTCTTTAAATTAGACACTCAACCACTAAAAAATTCAGGGATTGATATGATCAGACCATATAGTTTTGCCTCTATGAGACTATTTTGTCTCTTTAGCAGAATGAAAAGATAATGTGTAATTTATTAAAAGACTATGATCATTGATAGAGACCTCATGTATTAATAGTGAGCTTGCTCTTAGTGTGCCCTGGGTATTTGTCTTCATTGAATGCATTTGTGACAAATTGAAGGAAAGGAGTGAGAGCAGGGTAGCTAGGCTTAATTGTGCTTTTTGAAAGGGCCCATTTATTCTCATTCTAAATAGCTGCTCACATCTATGCATTTACATTTTCATTGGTCATAATTTTGAAATAGATGCTAAGTATGCTGAGGTGAGTAAAAAGGAAAACAGAAACAGATAATATTTGGTTTTGATGATAAAAAGGCATAAATAAAAAAAGGCAGCTAAAAATAAGTAATAATTCTAAATTAATTTTATTAAGTGTTCAATTATTAAATTTGCATATATGTCAAGACAAAGATCTAGGCTGATTCTAACACAGAAAAAAAGTAGCAAACGTACTTTCATGTCTCTTTTTTATATTAACATTTTTATCACAGGTATTATGATTAAAAAGTCATATATTCCTCATTTATAGTGGCAGAAGGCCTTTATTAAACGTGTATTAATAAGTAGGCCATGAAAATGGAAGTACAAACAAAATGAAGAATAAGGAATAGAGTTGCTTCTTTTTGCTGCATGCAATAATACAAAATTTAATCTGTATCCATGTAAAAGCAACTAATAGTTTTAATTAAACGAATGATTATAATTAGATATCATGGTGGTGACTAGGTCAGCTGCAATAATCTATGAAGGTTCATTGACTCTAGATGCTCCATCATAACATATGTTAAAGCAGCAATACATATTTGCATTTTGAAGCTATCTAAAAAGCTTATGTAATATTACAAAGCTAATAGAAAGTAAAATAATGTCTGCTAATCAGATAGTAAAAATCTAAAACTGACTATAGTTAAGCATACCATGCCTGATTATCTGATCAAGGTAATGAATACTTTGATTTATAACATTACTCTTTCTACTAAACGTTTCGTGTGATCAATTGTGCTCCAGGGTAAAGACCCATCTGTCGAAAGGTGGAATTTAATTTGGGAGAAAGAAACTCTCCTAAGAAATTAAAAGGAAAAAAATCTATCTGCTGGAAAATGACTGATTGAGCATTAGATAAAATCTGCTTCGTGTTCTAAATACTTATTGTTAGAATGATTTATGGTTGAACTTGGATATTAATAGAGTATCTTCCCTTTGTCTTGCTGGATAATTACAGCAACCAATTTTCTTAACTTTAGAAGGGTTTCAGAGTCAAATAGCCAGATCCTAAAAATTAGAGCCTGTCCTAGAAACTATATAAGAAAGTCCTATAATGTGAGAGAATGGACCCACTAGTTTAGGACAAATGATAATATGCAGAAACTTATATTGTACCTCATTGCAATGAGAATTAAATGCTTTTTGAAAGCTAATTTAGTAAAAATTATTACTCAAAACAAGGCACTACCATGCTCACAGACAGATCATTTAACTGTACCTATTAAGTGGCTTGGGAATCAATGTTACGGTAACAAAGAAATTTAAAAATTGCAATTTAATCTAATCTTAATGTAATAAGAAACTTTTAAGTATAGTAAATGGAAAAAAGGTGACAATACAGGTTAAAGCATGATGTCTTCATGGAGATTATTTATGTAAGGATAAGAAGGGAGAAAAATGTTTATTTTTTCAGGCAGGCTACAGATGGCTCAGAAAAGACCATGTGAACATGATTACATCCAAATCTCTATTTACTTAGTCAAATATCCTGAAAATTACTGGAAAGAATGGGGTTCCTCAGAGCAGGATGAAAAACAGCCCATCTCAGTCAGCTTCTTTTGGCTGCAGAGTTTAGAACAGGGGGTCACACAGCACACAGTGTCAATGGAAGTGAGGTCTTGCCAGATCTGAAAAATCTCAGGTTGTTTATTTATTTATTTTTGTGGCTACGTCACAGTCGTTTTGTAACTCACTGTTTAGGAAGAATGTAAATAATGTATGCCTTGGTTGAAAATATTGCAGAAATCCAATATAGTACATATTCTTGAGCCAAATGCCATTGCCTACAGTATGTCTTAATTCTGTGGAAATAAGGAAGAACCCGTGCCCAGAGACCCCCATTAATGTCTAAAAGTCCTGGAAGCTGACTTTTCTTCAGTAAACCACAATAATCTGACTTAATACCTCTTTCTTTGGGTGGTCCTTAGGCTAAATCTGTTGAGGACCACGATCGTAAACCAAGACTTCCTGCCTCCCTGGGGTTCGCTCGATGACCCCGGATGGGGGGTCACACATGCAGGCACCAAGCATCACACACAGCTATCTGTTTGGTAATCCAGTAAGCAATTGGTTCATGTTAGTGTGTATAACTTCTCTCTCACACGTTTTCTATAATTGGTTCCCCTCAAGCATCATGAAATATTTATGTTAGCCTTTTATAGATCAAGCTTTTTTCACTTGATAGTAACCATTTTTATTGTTCTTATTTTTTAGAATGTATACAATTTAACTCTTCTAATTGTCTCCTTTATCACCATACCCAGAATGAGTTGCTTTGTCTCAAGAAAATATCCTGGGCTCACTTTGCTTTTTTATTTCACAAATTTAGAGTGAGTTTTTCTCCAAGGAGCAGATCTAGACATCAAAATCTGGATACCTGGAGTGAACATTTGTGGTTTCACATAATCATTGGGGTAAAGCAAGATGACACAGAAGATCCTAGCTATTTTAGTGAAAGAATAGAAAAGTATTTATTATAGGCCATGAATTCTTGTTTAGGTTTTCAACTTACCTCTATTTTTTAAAAAAATTTTAAATTTTGAGATGGAATCTCACTCTGTCACCCAGGCTGGAATGCAATGGCACAATCTCGGCTCACTGCAAACTCCACTTCCCAGGTTCAAGTGGTTCTCCTGCCTCAGCCTCCCAAATAGCTGGAATTACAGGCACCCGCCACCATGCCCAACTAATTTTTGTGTTTTTTATAGAGACACCATTTTGCCACGTTGGCCAAGCTGGTCTCGAACTCCCGACCTCAGGTGATCCACCCACCTCGGCCTCCCAAAGTGCTGGGATTACAGGCATTAGCCACAGTGCGCGGTCACTTACCTCTATTTTTAGTAAAATTTTAAACATGGCTTTAATCTGAATGTATATGAATACCTTTCCCCATCTTCCACAATGCGGGAGATAATAGACTATATATTCTTATATCAAACAATGTCATGCATTTAAATATTTTATCTCAATTTATAAGTCTCTTGTTCTTGTAACTCTTGCATCAGGCACCTTGGAATAGTATAAAGGTTCAGATGACTCCCCTTGATGTCATGTCTGAAGCATGGGGCAGTCGTTTACTTTATTGCTCAAGTTGAGACATTCTGAAAGTGAAAGATGACTGTTAATCATCACTCTGGGATAACAGATATAAACTAAGGCTATCCCCAGCAAACATAGACATGGGGCCACCCTTCTCAAGCACTAAGTCTGTTAAAAAAAAAAAAAAAGACTAAATTTCCTCCAGGTGAAATGTGATATATACAGGAATGGAACACCTTGTCTTTCAGATAGGAACCCATGCAATTACAGGCAAGGGTACAGACGAAAAAAGGCTCAAGAGCATTTGCCTAAAATTCTTCAACTCTTTATTTTCATGAGGACTAGAATAATTGATTTTTAACATGAGGAGCTTTACTATTAAACTCTAATTTCTTAAAGTCTTTAGAAAAATACAGATAAATGTTTATCGTCCCAATGTTTTGTAGTCCCAATTTCCAAAGACCATACAGTATGTAGTATTTTGTCAAGCTTTTTCAGGCTCAGCACAATATTTTTGACTTTCATTTCTGTTAATGTATGCATCGGTAGCTAATTATTATCTTTTTGCTCTGTATTATTTCATTGCATGAATATACCATGATTTTTTAAATTGATTCTCAAGTTTACAGACATCAGAGTTGTTTTCCATTTGGGACTGTTATGAATGAAGCTGCTATTGATAGTATTGTATAAGTCTTTCTACTGTCATATGAGCTCATTTCTTTTGGGTGTGTACTCAGTAGTGAAATTGTTAGGGTACAAGTTGAATCTGTGTGTAATATTATTGGAAACTGAGCAGAGGAGTGACAAAATCTGACATTTTAAAACTTCGAGCAGAGGAGTGATACAATCTGACATTTTAAAAACTCTCTGGCTGTTGAATTGGAAATAGAATAGAAGGAGTGAGAGGAGAAAGAGAGAAGCTAATTAGAAGGCAACTGCAATATTCCAGGAGATGATGATGATATAATTCGTGGGAATGAAAAAATTCTGGACATATTTTCAAAGTAGAGAAAATAAGACTTCCAAATTAATTTAATGTGAGTTATGAGAGAAAAGAGAATTTATGAATGACCCCAAGGATATGGTTTAATCAATTGGAAGGATGTAGTTACTATCGACAGAGGTCAAAATATGATAGAGAAAGGTTCTTCCTTGGGAGGGAAAGGGGGAATGGAGGAATTGGATGGTGTAGGAACTTGGCCAACTCCTATTTTAGATATATATTAGACATTAAATTGTGATGTTGAATAGGCAATTGGAGATATAAATCTAGATTTCAGGAAAGGGGCTAGAGCTAGAACTATAGATTTGTAATTTATTAGCAAAAAGATGGTAAATGATACCAAAAGATTAAATGGAATCTTCAAGGGAGTGGTATAGGTAGAGAAGAAACCATAACCAAGGTCTGAGCACTCCAAAATTAAGAAGCTGAGAAGAAAAGAAGGAAGCATCACAGGAATCTATGAAGGAATGACCAGTGAGATAAAAAGAAAATCAAGACAAATGAAAATGTTTCAGGAAGATGAAGTGATAAACTGTGTCAAGAGCTCTGAGTAATTAAAGTAAGGTGAGCACTGGGGATTTACCACTGAGTTAAGTCACATTGGTGGGTCCCTTGTGATTTTTACTAAGACAATAGTAACACGGGAGTGGTAGGAATGTAGGATACTGATTTTCTTTGGGAAAAACGACAGCTATAGAGAATGTTTAAAAGTTTTGTTATCTTTTGAACTTTGATTTTCAGTCGTATTAACTTTCAAGTGCTGAAGGAGCTATACCCCTTCCAGTGAGGCTGCTGCTGTTCAGAGTTCTACCTAGACATTCAGGAGAAATTCTGCTGCTGTGATTGAGCAATATAAACATGGCAGTAAATGAACTACCAATTCATGTTTATTTGGCTTTTATTTTGTAAGAGGAGGAGGAATCTCATTTCTGTAGTGTAATTTCATTCTGGAAACTTCATTATGAGAAGAAAGAATTTCAGTGAACATCCATCAACCAGTAGGGAGATTTTAAAAATCAATTGCTGGTTGATTCACACCTGATAGTATCAGGTACCGTAACATTTTCATTTTACAAATGTTGAAATTGAGGCATACAGTTGCTAATTTATTTGCCTTAAGTTACATCAACTAGAAAATTTTGGCCAAAGGTGGACCTCAGTCAGCTGGCTCCAGGGTTCATGCTCTAAAGCACTGTACTCTGGTTTTCAGAAGGTCAAATTTGAATATTTGCCTAGGACACAAAAATACAAAAAAAAAAATAAATTCCAGAGTGAGATTCCTGGCAAACTAAGATGCAGATTTTCAAAGGAAATATTAGATAACTGGTTTTACTCTCCCAATATAAGCTTATATAAGGTGTATATAAAAGGATCAAAGGGTTGTATTAGATAGGTTTTATAAAGTAGGCTTCTTTTGAGAGAACCTACTGTCTAATTCTAACCCCTGAAGATATGTGTTAGGGAGTGCTACTTCTAAACCCCAAACTTAGGGAGTGGGGCTTTGGTAGAACCCACTTTAAGGGCTGATATGTATCTCTATTTCCCAGGGACCTAGTGCCTGATGCACACAGAGAACAAAGCTAACTGCAGTGGTAGCTTAGGAGGGCCATCTTAGAAGTGATCTTTCAAGCATCTCCCAGCCAGTCAAAGGTGAGGAACCCTCACAGCACTGTAAACTCAGGTTGTCTTAAAAGTGATACATCCGAAGACACTGTCCAGCCCAAGCAGGAAAAGGCCAGAGCTTAGATGTTCTGGAGAGTACCCTGGTATAGAGCTGAGAAAGGTTCTAATGCTTTCCAGAAAGCCAGACAACACAACTCATAAGTGTGAGGGATTTAGTGCCCCACAGGGCAAACATTGCTCAGCAAAAGAGGGGAGTGAGGAATGAGCCAGTAAAAAAATTCCCTTCCTTTCTTGCTCTCAGCTCATTGTTCCAAGTATCTGTGGTTTAAGGAAATCTGTTAGAAAGGTGTCCATCATGCAAAATCTTTGTTAGATTATCATGCAAAGCTTGGACCAAGTTAGCAAGACACCCACCATCGTTACTGGCTTTCCTTCCTTCCCTGAATCATTTCCCTTGTTTTCCTCATTCTTGCTGTCCTTAGATTGACTCTACCAGTAGAGCCTTAGCTAGAAGTTTTGCCTCAACCTATTTTCTATGGAAGGCAGGCTACACCAGCATTGCTTTGAGCCTTTCCGAGGATGGCGTTGTTTGTGAGCAGTAGGTACAACAGGCATGGAATATTCAGAAGCTCATTTACCTGCAGCTTTAAAGCTACATCTTCCAGGTTGATCTATCAGTAGTAAAGCTGACGTTTTGATCTCCTTTTGCCATCTTCTGTGTTTCTCTGTTAACTGGTCTCAAACTCAGTAGGAAAAGTCATATAATTGATATCTCAAGCCCCAACAGCATAGGCTGTTTCTCTCACTGCTCTTAACTTTTAAATACTACCTAAAACTCTTACTCTATGTAAAATCTACTTTATATCATACCCCAACATTTCATGGAATATTTTATACATATACATCTATAATGTATATGTATGTCATATTATATGTGTAAATGACATATATATGTCATGTCTCATCACATTATCTGTAAGCTATGTGAAGTCAGTGGTCCTAATATAGACTTACATGAATTCATTACTATGTCTGGAACAGTATATTGCATATAACAGGTGTGTGACTACTATACTAAGTCAGTGCTTTCTCATTCCTGCAAAACAAAATTATTTTAATAAAATGACCTTTAATATGTTAGCAGCCATTTAAGAATTGAGATTTTTAAAAGAAAGATGAAGACAACAGACAATAAACCATTAAAAAAAAAAAAACATCTGGAGCTGAAATCTTTAACGAGAAAATTGTAAGCAAATATTTGAAACTAAATCCTCTGAGGCATGATGTTTAATTAAAAAGGTAGAGCTTGTTAAAATAACTACAATTCAGCATGGTTCCAGTCACTAAATTTTATCTTTGCAATTACAGTTTGTTTTCATTAGATGATAGAGGAGGGTCCAGATTTAAAGGATACAGAAAAGCAGCAGAGCTTACAAACTGTGGTCCTATCATTGCTCTTTGGCATTAGATGTTCTTAGAAAAGGGAGTTTTGAGGAATGCACTGTGTACTATTAAAGGTAGCACAATTCTGTAGGATAGATGAAAGTAATCACATTTTCCATGACGTGTGTGTGTGTTGTTGTTGTTGTTGTTGTTGTTGTTTTGCCATATATAGATGAATAACATTCTTCTACTTATTCCTCCTCCAGAGTGACTTTACAAACACCAGACAGTGCAATAGATTAATAGAGGTGTCAAATTTATAGCAGGGCATTTCTTGTTTTTGGGATTCAGTCTAATTATCTTAATAAGAACAACTGCTGCTCTTATTTTCGTTTTTGTCATTTTGAGACAGAGTTTCGCTCTTATTGCCGAGGATGGAGTGCAATGGCGCAATCTTGGCTCACTTCAACCTCCGCCTCCTGGGTTCAAGCGATTCTCCTGCCTCAGCCTCCTGAGTAACTGGGATTACAGGCGCCCGCCACCATGCCTGGCTAATTTTTTTGTACTTTTAGTAGAGCCAGGGTTTCACCCTGTTGGCCAGGCTGGTCTCAAACTCCTGACCTCACGTGATCCACCCACCTTGGCCTCCCAAAGTGCTAGGATTACAGGCATGAGCCACTGAGCCTGCTGATAACTGCTGCTTTTAGAGCTATAACTATGCCAACCATTGACCTAAGCATGTATGCATACACAAACACACAAGCACACACACAAACTCACACATAATCCTCAAAACAAATATATGAGACAGGTACTATTGTTATCTACATTTTATAGATGAGGAAACTGAAGCACAAGTAAGCTAAGAGACTTGTCCAAGATTATGCAGTTGGCAAATGTAGGAGCTCAGATTCATATGGGTTGCTCTGGCTGTAGTGTCCTTGCTATTTAGCTTCAGCTTAGAATCATTCTTTAATAATTTTTAAAATATCCTTAGAAACATGTCTCTGAATATTCTCAGGCCAAAAGTGCCATTACATTCGCTGTTAAATTTAAAATATTCTAAACTTAAAAATACTTAAAAACATTTAAGCCTTTCATACGGCATCTTCAGATTCCACCCTTATGACTTAACCCACTCCTAAAACCACCAACATGTATGTATCCTTTAACGCAGCAAATGCACTTGTAGGAAAAGATCCTGAAGAGAAAAAAATGATCTGTATCTTTCCATGATGTTAGTCAAAGCATTGTTTATAATAGAATAACCATTCCTCCCAGCAATCCCATTACTGGGTATATACCCAAAGGAATATAAATCATTCTATGGTACTTTGTAATGGCAGCCTGAACTAAGACAATAAAACTATAGCATTTTTTCTCTTTCACTGTATATGAAAGTGTCATGATGTGTGTGCATGTACAACACACACAAATACAGAACAGAAAATCCTAAAAGTAAATCCACTAAAATGTTTCAAATTGTTTATCCTCTGATGGATGCCTATAGGTTATTTTAATTTTCTTCTCAGAATTATTCAACATTTCCTAAACTTTTCATAAGGTAAATATATTATCTTTGAAATCAGAAAAACAGGGACTAAAAAGTGAAACTATTTATATTCATACTTATATACACATATATATGCAGTTTCTAACGAAATATTAACTTGGCAATAGTATAAGCAAGTCTTTATGTCCCCAAAGTAATTCATCACAGTAAATGATTCTGAAAGTACATGTCAGAAAACCTATTAGTATTTCCTGCTCTGCTATTTGTTCATGTCTCCTCATTTAATGATAACTAAGGGAATTCTCAAACATAGCCAGCTCATATTCCTATTACATAGGAGTGTTTTACCTGTGGTATAATAAATTCTCACAAAACTATATCTGACAAAAAATAATACAAAATGTCAAAAGGAGCTCATTTTTATGCTATTACTGTCATTTCTGTGACAGAAAGTTGATTTACTTGTACTCTTCACCTAATAGTGGATGATAATCTGTTTTTAATTTTTTTCCAAACCCAACTATTATTTCTCTCCCATTCTATTAGTCACCCACTTCAAATGTTTCAACTGTATCCCTAAATATATTTACCTTTTCAAAATATGTGCTATATTTTCCATGGTTGTGTTTTTTTTTAATTTATAGAAAGGTATATCATGTTTTGTTTCTTTTCGTTAATATTTCTGAGACATATCCATATTTTGTGATTGACGCATCGTATCCCATTGTGCCTGACTCTGCCATATTTTACTTACTCCCTTATTGATGGATTCCTAGGTTGCCTTCTACTTTCTATCCCCTGGGGAAACACCTGGAAGAGCAGAACCTAGTTAAAGTCCTGAGCCAGAGTTTCTCTGGGATGTTAACTCAGGAGTGGGATTGCAGTGTCATACACACCCGGTTATATCACCAAATACTGCCAAACTTCATTCTAGAATGACTGTGCCAGTTTACATTGTAAACAAGAGTTACTAATTTAATTTTTAAAGTTGCAACTATTTTCTCATTTATGTGAGGCAGAAGAATTTATTTTTTCAAAACAAATTTGTTTGAAAACCTCTTTAATGTGTCTTTTGGGCTTATCTAATGGACACACATAACTAGTCTGTAAAGGAAAGCTGGAGACAGAGAAGAGTTAAGTTGGTCAGCCTGCTAATGGTAAAGGCCTTTCTGTTTAGCATGGAAAACCTTTGTGGATGTTGATGTTTTTAGAAAAAAAAAATATATATTTTTAATATGGACAAAGACTATGCTATTTCAGAGAACTATTATTTGCTCTTGGAATGTGTGTGAATTACTAACCTTGGAGAAAAGAAATAGAGGCAAGAGAACTAGAGGCAGAATGAGGAAGCCTATGTTTTTCTTCTTTTATCACAAATCTAAAGCTGGCTAGACTTGAAATGCTAAAGCTCACTAGAGAAATTCTGCTGAACCTCTAACTTGATTAGTGTGATTCCACACCGAATTGCATTGAATATGGAAATAAGCCTCTATAATTCTTGTATAACTATTGTGCCCAAGTGTTGTTGTTCTGTGGATGGCAGAAGCAGATCACTGGAAGCTTCTGTTTTGAACACAACAGGGAGGTGTGGCCTTTTTGTAGGGACCAATTTGAAACAACAAGGTTGCAGGTAACAGAAATTCAAGTGAGCTTAAATCACAAGTGTATATTAGCACATGTATCAGAAAAGTCAAGGGATGGGCTATGCACAGCTGAATTAAGAACTCGGACACTGTTTCTATTTATCCATATTGTCCCATCTCAATATTGGGCTACCTGTGAGAAATGTAGCAAACAGCAGTGACAGCTTTAGTTTTTACATTATCTTACATTCCACGTCCAATAGGAAAGAATGAGATTTTCTCTTTGAAAAATTTCAGCAAGAGTCCTCATTTCATCTAATTGGATCTAGTTCAGCCACATGTTCATTCTTGAACCAACGATGTAACTAGGAGCCAGTCAGAGTCTCTGCCAGTTTCTGAAGGAAAGAGTCAAATTCGTCAGTAATACCTGGGCTGAGAATAGAGAAGGGGTAATAATCTGAAATCAAAATCCAATCTGAGTGTTCTGTGCACAAATGCCAAGGAAGAAACACAGTAAGGGCTTAACACAACTTTATTCTCTCAGTAAAAGCTTACCAGTTCTCTGGCTGGGCGCAGTGGCTGATGCCTGTATTCCCAGCACTTTGGAAGGCCGAGGCGGATGGATCACCTGAGGTCAGGAGTTTGAGACCATACTGGCCAACATGGAGAAACCCCATCTCTACTAAAAATGCAAAAATTAGCCGATCGTGGCCGGAAGTGTGGAGGGGCGCTGGTAATCCCAGCTACTCCGGAGGCTGAGGCTGGAGAATCACTTGAACCCAGGAGGCGGAAGTTGCAGTGAGCTGAAATCACGCCACTGCACTCCAGCCTGGGGGATAGAGCGAGACTCCGTCTCAAAACAAAACAAAACAAAACAAAACAAAACCTTGCCAGTTCTCATGCTCCTTCATCATATTTGAAGAAACAAAACAGATATTCCAGGGAGTACCATACAGGTACTTAAAGACAAAGGTATTTATCTTATAACCTGGACACATATTTAGAAATATTATTTTCAGACTGTGTGTCCATGAAAGATTTTTCTGCCTAAGAATGTTCATGCCTTAATACTCTGGCCTTTCTTCCTTTTCATCTTCAACATTATTTTACAACTAGAGGATCCTCCATACACAAAAATTAACTAACTGAATTACTAAATAAAATTACGATTCTTTTCCGTATGTTTTCCTAATGAAAGTACCATATTGCATATCTAGGTCATGAAAAGGATAATAAATGTCCAAATTATCCTAATATTTCCCGTGTAAAATAGAAATAACTGAAAGGAAATACCACTCATTCGTCACACAAATCTGTAGGTAGAAAGTAATAGCTAGTCATTAGAAGCATCTCACGTGTATGATAAAATTATACTTTCTGCTTAGAGTAATGGAAAGATTTGCCTAAGGCCAAAAGAGAAACACACAGTCTCCTTCTGTTCCTCCAAACAGTTTGCACATAAAAATATATTGCTTATTTGGTACTATTATAATCTGAACTGGGAAGGAAATCAAATGTGATATATTTTTCATTCCAAGTAGGAAGCATTTTTAGACAATATAGCCCAGAACATATAAATTAAGGACTCTGGTTAACAAGCAGTTGTTTGGGTGACTGTTTTTCTAATAAGTTTCTTAGGGGATCATCTAAATAAAATCAGAGTTTGCGCAATGCTTTTTGAAAAAAGTCTTACTGCTACAGAATAGTAGATAGCAAACTCTGTACTGCGTCTTCTTGAAGACTGATATAATTAATCTCTATTCATAAATGTCTCTGCATAACATGGTTCCTTACTACACAAAAGAGTTAGCATATAAGTTCATTCTTGATGTTGAGTCTGGGAGCAAGGTTTTAAGGAAAAAAATAAAATGAATCACTGATTGAATCCTTATTAGGTGTCCGGCATGCTGTTAGGGACGTTGCAGGTAGTGAATCACAGTAGGTATAATGAATCCCTGTTTTGCAAGTGAGGAAACTAAACTTTAGACAGTAACACCAAAGCAGAGTGAACTCATTTCATTGTGCATACATTGATTAAATATGTGGATTAATCAGTCAATGTCACTCTGTGGTAGGTGATAGGGGAAAGAGGCAGAAAATTAAATTGCATTTAGCACATAATAATGTGTCAGACATGATACAAGATGATTTAAATAAAAGACCTCTTTAAATACCGAATTGTGCAGGGTAGGTTTTAAATAAGATAATGGAGGTAATATATCAGCAAAATAACTGGCATATAAGAAGCTTTCAATATGTGTTTATTATTTTATTTACATCTTCCAGGTGGGGAAACAGGTTTACACAAGTTTCATAAATTGTCTGGGGTTACAGAAAGCCATTAAGTGGAAGAATTTGTGTATATGACTCCAGACCACATTATTTCAACTGCACTGACTGATACAGAAATTTTAAATATAAAACATTTGGCACAGTAGACTCAAAAATGGCTACTATTCTAGCATGTGCTTATAGCTAGGATATATTGAAAATTTACTTTATGCCAGGAACTACCATGTACTTCACAAACACTGTCATATTTAAGCCTCACTAATATTAAGTTTGCAAATGAAGAAAGCAAGGCAGAGAAAAGGGGAGGGACTTGTCCAAGGTCACAAAATAAGGAGAAGGAGGTATGATTGGGAAGACTATTTCATTATGCAGGCCATACCTTTAATCCTGTACTACATTGTGCTAAAAGCATCATCCTCCAGCTCAGGATTTATGTTTAAAGTGTAATAGACTCTTATCTTTACACTTTCCACTATGCCTCAACATTTAGTGGTCCATAAAATAAAATATGAGCTTAATATATGGCTCATCTGACTAAAATAATCAGACAACGAAGAGATGTTTTGGATACCTTAGTCATAAACCCAGTAATAATTCATTATCATTCACTTATAACATTGAAGAACACCTTATCAGTTAAAACATGATCCCTTTAATTTGATTATTTTAGTCAGTATCATGCTGTCCAGAATGACATGGCTACATAGTCCTTTACCATTTTTATTTATGATCCACTTCACAAAGACCTAAAATGAGCATAGACCTTGTGGTATCTACTTCAGGAGAGCATTTTACATAATTGTAAAGATAAAAACAGAAGGAAAGTGCCATCATTAAGCTACAGATAAACAGAGAGAACACAATAGAGGGCCTGACTCCATATCTCCTACACATTGGCTCATGTAACCTTGTGGAACATGAATATTCAGTAGCTTCTGTGGTTTTTAATGAATATAGAAGCTAGTATGGTGTTATACAGTAAGTACTGTATTAACAAGTACAAAGTTTGGGTTTAGTCCTGGCTTTTGTTCTTATAGATGAAGCTGTGTGATCTTCACCTCTTGGAATATTTTTCATTTGAAAATTAGAGGCCATGATATCTGTCATTCTCACAGGTTTAGTTTGAAAATCAATTGGATCAAGTATGTTAAAGTATAGGGATATAAGGAATTATTTTCAGAACCAGAGGAAAAGAATAAAGTTCAGAGTAGATGAAGCAAGACATGGAAAATTGGAAAAAAAATAGGTTTAGACTTAACTTGAAGCTCTGTTTATCTATGGGAAATAAATATGTGTATGACCCCAAGAAATAGTCTCCTTCATATCTCTGAGACCCACTACAGCAATAAGATTCTTTGGCCCAAGCAAATAGTTGTCTAAAGTTGTAGAAACTAAAACTTGTGAAAGAGTATTTAACTATCAATAACCCAAACCCAAGTACCCTAGAAGACCTTTATAAAAATTCCCAGTTATAGAGGTAAAACCCTCTGATACTCACTAGACAATTTTAATCACCTCCCTCCACTAAAGAAGGCAAAAAAATGTGACTCTTCTCTATAATTAGTGGTCAAATGCTTAAGAAGCAACATGAAACATGTATAACCCCAAAGTAAACCCTGAAAATATTTACTGTTACTGTAGTGATTTAACATATATCCACAAATCTCTTGATGCTTCTCCCTCCAGTAGGTAAAGCTTAACTTCCCTATTCTTGAGTAGGAACTGGACTTTGTGACTCACTTCTGATGAACCAAACTTGGGGAGAGAAAGATAAAAACTTTATAGCAGAGAAGCCTGACAAAAACCACCTTAGCCAAATGATCAGGATTGGTCATATGTATTGATATCCTCTAGCCCTTGATATGATGGAATGAGAAGGGCATATTGGTTATGTGGAATTCTTTCCCCAAGTTCAGAGTCTCAGTTTAATCATGAAAAAGCATCACACAAACCCAAGTTAATGGGCATTTTTTAAAATACCTGACCAATAATCTTTAAAAGTATCAATACATAAATTAGAATGAAAGATTGAAGAACTGTCACAGAGTGGTAGAAATAAGGGCATATAACATTGTGAAATCCTAGATTAGAAAAGAAAAAATAATAATGGAAAAGCTGAAGAATTCTGAATGAAGTTTGTAGTTTAGTTAACAGTATTATATCAGTGTTAATTATTAGTTTTGATCATCATACCATGCTTATGTTATCATTATGCTATGTTATGTTATGTTATGTTATGTTATGTTATGTTAACATTAGGGGAAGCTGGATGAATGGTAGGCAAAGGCTGTCTGTGCTATATGTGCAACTCTTCTGTAAGTCAAAAATTATTTTAAAACACAAAGTAAAAAAATGAAATATCAAAATTAGACATTAGTGGATGTTGATATTGCAGCACACTGCTTATAGTCTGCAAAAATGTGGGTTTCCCAATTCTTGGCTTCTAAATAGAATAAACTAACTGTCAGCCAGCTGCTTCCTGTAAAATTCTGATTTCCAAGACAGAGTAGTAAAATAAGATTTTTTAAGCCTACTCAATTTTTCATTGCAAACTCAACAATTATTTTAAATCATAGCTCTTCCTAAAGTAAAAACTGAGGTTGCAAAAAAGAGGCAAGGAACAATGTGCTCGTAAAGTTCTTATCACAAAGGAGGAATATTAGTAACAGGAAAGAATTCCTCTAGCCACAGCCATAATTTTCAACTCTAGTGCAAAAAAAACCTTTCTATTTAAGACCACTAAAAAGATGAAACTGGGGTAAGAAATGAATAGTGTTGCTAATAAACTACACATAAGGAATTGAGTACCATATGAAGAATAAATAATGTTGGAACTCTAAACCATACCAAACCAAAAATTCTACTTCAAAGGGAATCAAAAGTTCAGGATACCATTTGAAGGAAGGGAATCAAAAGTTCAGGATACCATTTGAAGGATATTGCAAGCATTTGCAAAAGGCAATGATACCTGAGTTGATATTAAAGTGCTTTTTGACCAACTTGCTTATATTTTAAAATGTCATTTCTTTTAGAAAAATTGATGGTTTACAAAGAAAAGGAAAGAAAATTCCAGTTGCACTGTGGCAGTGTAAGACTATTATGATGTATCCCTCCCAATGATTGAAACTAAAATTGCTGGGGAAAAAAATACAAAAAACACAACTATTGGAGAATTCTATAAAATACACAAAAGCAGGCAGAATATGAGAGCAGTCAGAAGTTAAAGGAGTAAATGCATGGTGAAGTGTCTCCTAGACTTTTCTTTTTCTCTCATGGATTTGCCTCAAGGGTAGGTTTCAGCAATTGAGTGGCTAAAAGGCCAATAGAACACACATGATTCTATACAAAGGATCAGGAAAAGATGGCACAAAATATGTTGGGGTATCCCTGGAAAGGAGAAAGCTGGAGAGAGGATCCCCTAATTTTCTGTATGAATCTGCAAAAATCTCAGCCTAATTTTATGATATATATGCATGGGATAGACCCAATGAGCATAGAAAAGTCTAAAGGAATGCAAAATGAGGTTTTGGTAACTACCTACAGAAGCTTATATAGAACTTATGCTCTGTTCATATGTTTTCCATTTGATTTCCTGCTAAATGAAAAACATCTCCATTACATTATAATAGGACCCAGCGTCTACACAACATAAGAATTCCAAAATTGGTTGGCATACAAAGAATCAGAAAAATGTGACCAATAACCAAAAGAAAAGACAATCAACAAATCAACTTTACACATCAGAGGTAATTCAGATGTTGAAACTGTCAAAAGGAAACTATAAAGCAGCTACTAAAACTTTCTTCATAAGGTAAAAGGAAATATACTGCAAATAAATGAAAATATAATTATTCTTAGCACAGAGAGAGAAACAATGAAAATAACCAAATGCAAATTTTAAGCCTTAAAAAAATGCAATATTTTAAATAAGAAGCTCACTGAATAACCTCAATTGCAGAAGACAGATAACAGAGGAAGTGAAGATAAAAAAGATCGACAAAAAGTATTCAATTAAAAATACAGAGAAGAAACATTAAAACATAATGAGCAGAGTCTCAGGTACCTGTGAGAAAATATAACATAAAAATCTAACACACATGTCTTTGGAGTTTCAGAAAGAGAAAAATCCTTGAAAATATGATAAAGGTTTTTCAAATTTGGTGAAACACATCCACTTATAGACTTAAGAAATCAAGTGAGCTACAAAAAAAGGTAAACACAAAGACAACCACACCTATACATACATAAATTAAATTGCTGATAAAATAAACATTTTGAAAGCTTCTACAGAAAAAAGCATAACATATTGGGGAACAATAATTTTAGTGAGTGTTGATTTTTCATCAAAATCCATGGAGGCCACAAAGATAGATATTCTCTGATGAAGGGAAACTGAAGGAAATCATCATTAACAAATGTGCTCTAAAATAAATGCTAAGGGAAGCTTCATGAGCTCAAAAGAACTAATTCTTACGGAAACTTGAAGTTTCAGGAATAAAGCAAGTTCAACAGAAATATTGAATAGCTAAGTAAAAATAAAAGACAATTCTTTTTCCTCTTAAGTTGCTTAATATGGTTTTAAAATGTAGGTTTTATTATTATTAAGGTGTGATGAGACCAAAAGATCAGATGACCGCTATTGAAAAGAGAGTTTGTTGCTCACAGCTCTCAAGAGAAGAGGGCACCTCAGCTACACGGAAACATATAGGGAAGTACCAGTGTTAGTCAGGATGCAGGAGAGACGGGAAAACAGGGGCAGGAGCCTATGTTGTGGTTTTCATGGGAAGGAAGGAGCAAGGCACAGTAAGCAGGCCAAGCAGGTTTAGGATTGGCTGATTTGAATAACTTCAGTGAGCCCTGGAGTATAGGGATGTCCCTAGTTGTCTGGTACCTGGTCCTGGGTTGATTTGGGTAGGGAAAGAGTGGCCAGAGTATGAAAACCCTGTGAAAGGCCAATAAAGGAAGTGATGGGGGCATGGGCTTCTCTTGGGTTGGTCTGCATATGAAAAGTGCACTCACAGGCAAGTTTACTACCTCAAGGAATTGGATGGCCATGGAATGGAGGTTTCCCATTCCCAGGGTCAGTAATACCCCAGACACCAAAATAACAGAATAAATGACATGCTTAATACTACAAAACATATTATTGTGAAAGGAAAAGTTACAACATTGTCTGATGGAGCTTCAGTGCTTACAGATATAATCTGTATGACAACCATAACATAAAGGTCAGTCGGAGAGGGATATTAAAAGGTCTATATTGCTGCAAGGTTTCTACATTTTATGGAAAGTATTTCAACTTTAAGTTGATTTTGAAAATTTAAACTTGTATTATATAATCTGAAAAGCAATCATTAAAAATATAATACAAAACGATATAGCCAAAAATCCAATAATAATATGAGAATTTGAAAAAGTGTCAATTCAACATAAAGAAAACAGAAAAAAACAGATGATTTTAATAAAAATAGTAGACAAGTAGAGAGTAAAAATAAAATGGCAGATATAAATTAAACCATATTCATAAATACATTAAATGTTAATAGCCTAAACTATGGGTCAGCAAACTACTAACTCCCAGACCAAATTCAGCCGACTGCTCACTTTTTGTAAATAAAGTTTAATTGGAACACAGCCATACCCATTTATTTATGTATTGTCTACACTGAATATTGTGTACATCATTACATCTACACTGAAACTACAACATTGTTGATAGAAACTGAAGAAGGCTCGAATACATGGAGAGAGATACCATGTTTATAGACTGAAAAACTGAATGTCATTAAGATCATAATTCTCCCCAAACTGATCTACTTATTAAATGCAATTCCAATATTGTACCAATTTGATAAGCTGATTCTACAACACATGAAAATGCAAAGGAACTAGAATAATAAACGCAATTTAAGAAAAAAAAAGTTTGGATTTATTATGAAGACATAGCAATCAATAGAATGTAGTATTAGTGAAAAGATAGGCATATAAATCAATGAAGTAAAATAAATAGTCTAGAAGTGTACCCACACATGTAATTTCAGTTGATTTTTAATAGTGCCCAGGCAATTCAATGGAAAAAGGAACGTCTTCTCCACATATGGTGTCATGCTAGTGGAATATCTGTATGGGGAAAAAATTAAGCCTAAGTCCTTACTTCACACCATATATAGATATAAAGTGAAAGCAAACCACAGATCTAAAAAATGAAACTATAAAACTACAGGAAAACAGAAATAAGTCTTTGCAATTTGGTAATAGGCAAATGTTTCTTAACTAGAAAACAAACAAAAAATATACAATATGAAAACAAACCTGATGAATTGAATGTCACCAAATTAAAATAATTTTACTCTAGGAAAATACCACAAACAGGAAGAAAATATCTTCAAAGCATGTATCAGGCAAAAGGCTTGTCTCCAAAAATGTAAGAGACTCTTTCAACTCAATAATAAAAAGATAACCCAATAAAAATGGAGAAAATATTTGAAGAGATATTTTACAAAAGTATATATGCAAATGCATAAGTATATGAAAAAATGCTCAAAATTATAAATCACAAAGGATATGTAAATCTAAAATCACAATGAGTTGCCACTGCATAAGAAGACCTTAAAAAACAGTAATAATAAAATATGACAGTACCAAGCATTGGTGAGAATGCAAAACAACTATCACTCTCGTAGATTACAGAAAGAATGCCAAATGGTACAGCCACTCTAGGTAATAGTTTTGGTATTATTATAAAGTTAAACATATATTTATCATATGACCCAGTCATTCACTCCTGTGTATTAGAAGTGAAAGTGTATGTATCAACATAGACTTGCACATGTATGTTCATTGTGGCTTCACTGGTAATTGTACAAAACTGAAAACAAACCAAATAGCCATTAACAGGTGAATAGAGAAACAAATTGTGGCATATTCATAGAATGGAATACTACTCAGCAAGAAAAGGGAGAAAACTGTAGATACACACAACAACACGGATAAATCTCAAAATCATTATAATGAATTAAGGAAGCCTGTCAAAAAACGACGTATACTATATGATGCTGTTTCTATAAAATTCTCAAAACTAATCTACAGTTACCAATCTACTAGTGATTGCCTGAGGATGGGGATGGAGAAGAGGATGGTTGATAAAGGGAGACAAGGAAACTTTGCGGAGTGATAAAAATGTTTACTCTCCTGATTATGGTGATTGTTTCAAAGTCTTATGCATATGTCAAAACTGATCAAATTGAGTATTTTAAATATGAATATGATATAATATTTCAAGTATATCTCAATAAAGTTACAAAACCACATAAAGGATGAAAGGGAAAATTATTTCTTTCTGTTTGAAATTGTCACACAGTAATATTTATTCTGTTGCCTTCCAGAAATCTGCCATCTCAGTATGGCATAACAACTTGAAACTTTAAACTGCAGGTGGATGAGAACACTTTCCTTTGGTAAGCAGAGGTTGTCAAAAGGATAGAAAACACTTGTGTATCTTGCTTTGCCTGTCAGTATTCCATACAATTCCACACCTAGAAATTTATTATTTCCTTCCTTGATACCTACAAACATGGACATGCTAAGCTATGTCACACACTGCCCTGTATGACTAACACTGTCATAGTAACAACTGCCACCAAAATTAGTTAGACTTGTGCTTCACAATGACCAATTTTTTCTTCACATAACAATTCTTGAAATTACCAATATAAATCCATTTTCTTTAACAACAGGTAAATGATTCAGGACTATCATCTCTGTGTCAACAGATTTTCTCCAGTTTGATTTTCCTGTTTTTCTATGACTCCTTTAACACAATACTGCTTCTTTTTTCCTCCCTGCACTGAAGTTATATTCATTGGTGCTGAAAGCCAGTAAGTTATTACATGAACTATCTAGTGTCAACTCAGCTCCTTGTTTTGAAGCTTTACTTAATTTTGGGGTGGTGGAAACATTTATTTTAAGCCACTAATAAAAACTGTACAGAAACTGAATGGATCATTTGTCTATAAGAGTAGCATTTTTGAGGAGACAAGTTTAGTTAATTACTTAATTACTTGGTATGAAAGATAAAAGTCACTTCTGCTTTTATGGTATTTACTCTGGTAATAAACAGAAAGTTTCTGTACTTAATGTTTATTCACTTTCTGGCAGCTTTCCTAAGTACCAAAACATAGTTGCATTTAAAGTGCCAAAGACTTCCTGGCAGTAAAAGTCAAATACTTCCAGTAACGATCTTATAAAACTTGGTATTTGGAGTAATTACACATCACTGGAGATGGCTCTCACGGCATTAGAGCTGGAGTAGCTACAGATATTACTCCATCCAGCCACCAGATTTCTCGGGTGCGTTAGCTGCAGCCCAGGTAGCTAGCAACTTATCTGAATTGACAAACTGAGTTATTTATTCTTCTCTTCATTTAATTGTATAACTTCTTACTCCATCACTTGATCTAATAATTTGTTAAAGAAATAAATTCTATAATACCACAAAAGAGCAAAGTAAGTAACTAATTTTAAGATATGATATTTGTACTTTGACTACCCCAAGGAATAGAGGTATGTAATGACAGATTGCAAAATAATCACACTCTCTCTATAACTACCCTCCAATCCAGTATTATAAATAAATTACTGTTTCCACTTTCTCTAATCTTACCCAAATATACTCAGGATTTTAGTATCTTCAAGTTCCTGAATAAAGGTCAACTTCCTCATACTTTATACATTCCCCATTTTCTTGTTCAAGAAAACACTAAGTGCAAGACAAGAACATTTCCTGCTTGAATGTGGTAAGTTCTAATTTAAGTTTCATTAGGTTGGTGCAAAAGTAATCACGGTTTTTGCAATTATTTTTAGTGGGTTTCGCCGTGATTACTTTTGCATCAACTTAATACAAAGCTTGTAGTCACTTCTGTGTGGAGAGTAAATTGTAGATGTGGCATGAGTAGAAATAAAGATGTAAGATAGGTGTCTACTGCCTTCATGTGTCATGAAGTGGAATAGGCTGACAGCAAAGA
Organism: Homo sapiens; assembly: GCF_000001405.40. Classification (NCBI taxonomy): domain Eukaryota; kingdom Metazoa; phylum Chordata; class Mammalia; order Primates; family Hominidae; genus Homo; species Homo sapiens. The sequence goes on from NC_000008.11 coordinate 79,097,570, forward strand.
GGTAAACATATCTGGATGGTATTTTGAATGTCAAGTTGACAGTCTGCTCATGCATGGTAAGAAAATGAGAGAAATTATTATGGATTCTGGGTTTGCATCTTAGATGGCTGAATAGATGACGGTATAATTAAATTAAATGGATAATATGGGGAAAGGTATAAATAGGTGGATATGAAGGGTACCATTATAAATAATTTAATTTTGGAAGTAAGAAATTCAAGGTACAAACTGAATGGAAAGAAGTCAAGTAGGTAGAAAAGTTCAGTGTTGAAAGTAAAAGTATGGGAGTAATCATCATGTAAATGGTATTTACAACCACACAGAAAAAAAATCACCTAGGGAGAGAATATAGGTAGAACTGTAACATTCCAAAATTTAGAGTTTGGGTGTGAGAGGAATCAGCAGTGAGACTGAGGAGGGGCAGCTGGCAAAGTTGAAGGAAATTTTTGGATTTTTGGGGGATTTTTTTTTTGAGACTCTATCTGTCAGAGCAGTTTTAGGTTCACAGCAAAACTGAGTGGAAAGTAGAGAGCTCTCATATACTCCCTGAATCCACATGTGCACAGCTTCTCCTATTATCAACATCGCCCACCAGAGTGGACATTTGTTATAATTGATGAACTTACATTGACACGTCATTATCACTCAACGTCCATAGTTTATATTAGGGTTCACTGTGTTTGTACATTCTGTGGGTTTCAACAAATGTATGATAACATATGCACCATTATAGAATCATACAGAATAGTTTCATTGCCCTAATAATGTGGGCTAATCTTTTGTTTATAACATTTTCTCTCTAATCAGCACAAGTATTACTCTTTCTTATGTTTGTAATAATTATGGCATGGTTTTCAGTTACTTGTGGGTGTAACCAAGAACCAATGCCCCGAATCTAGTTTGCGATTACTGTGACTTCTGCCCAATAATATGCAACAGAAGTGTGGTGGCTTTTGAAACTGGAAGGAAATAACAGTACAATCATACCTCGTTCTTTTAAGCTGCGTATAGAACTTTTTTCTGTCATGAAACAATAGATTAGCAACAAGGAAAATAAATACAAAAACCACAATGATATGCCACTGTATATCCACTAGGATGGTTATAATTAAACAGGGAGATAAACACAGGAATGAAGATGTGGAAAAATTGGAACCTTCATAAGTTACTTGTGAAAATGTGAAATAGTGAAGCCACTTTTGAAAACAGTCTGCCAATTTCTCAAAAGGTTAAACATCAAGTTACCATTTGACTCAAAAATTCCATTGTTAGGTATATACCCAAGAGAAATGAAAGCATATGTCCACACAAAAATTTGTACATAAATGTTCATAGCAATATTATTCATAATGGCTCCAAACTGGAAACAACCCAAATGTCCACCAACTGATGAATGAATTAATAAATGTGGCACATCCATGCAATGAAATACTATTTAGCAATAAAAAGGAATGAAGTACCTATATATGCTACAACAAGGGTGAACCTTAAACACATGCTAATGAAAGAGGCTGGTCACAAAGGACTATATAGTGCATGATTTCATTTATATGAAATATCTAGAATAGGCAAATCAAAAAAAGACAAGAGGTATATCAGTAAGCAGTTGCCTAATTGGTAGGGTGTGGCGGTGTGCAGAGAATGGGAAGTGACTGGGTGTGGGGTTTCTTTTGGGGATTATGAAACTATTTTAAAACATATTGTGGTGATGTTCATGAAACTTGGTGAAAATACTAAGAACTATTGAATTGTGTACCATAAATGGGGGAATTATATGGTATATAAATTATATATTACTAAATTGATTAGATTTTTTTAAAAGCAAAGATTTTTATGATGGCAGAGTGTTTATGCTGAATATTATCAAGAATGATGAATTCCCAGTTGTTTTCAGCAAGAAGGAGGTCATGATTTGACAAAAGAGTTGGGAATGAGAACCCACCTAGAATAAACAGAAAATGTGAATCAAGTAAAAACAGTGACTTCAAGCAACACTTTAGAGTAATTTGCTATGAAAAGATTCAGAGAAATCATGTTATAGCTGGAAGTCAGGGTATAGTTTTTTTGTTTGCTTTAATATGAGTGAGATTAAATCATGTTTTTATGCACATGTGTAGAATCCAGAAAGAAAATCTGAATTTATAATCTGAGAAAAAGTAGTAATTGCAGAAATTCCTGAGTGGTTAAGATGACATTGACTATTGAATCTTGTGGAAAGAAAAGGAGGTGGCCTTTGATAGAAGCAAGCACTTCTTCCCTTTTAATAGGAGGTAAGGCGAAAAAAAATATGGATTTGGGTTCAGGTTGGTTGGTAGATTTGCTGATGAGAAAATGAGAAAATTTCTGACATAATGTTTCACTATACTATTTCTAACGTAGTTAAGTAGTAGGCTAGAAGATTAACTTAAGTATAGAGGAGGGGAAGGTGTTTCAGAGTGATGAGATGTAAAATATTCATTTTGGAGAATTATAAAAATCAGTAAATAAGTTGTGCTCATTGAACTTTGGGACCAGAAATTTAAATTGCAATTGATGTGAATTTTTTTCAATAATGTTAAATCACTGCAGTGTAGGCAAATAGTAAGTAAATACTTGGTTTTAAACATATTTTGGATCCTTTTCACATGCTTTCACAATGGAGAAAGCAAAGAGCAAGTAAACATACGGTATTTTGTGATGATAATTTCAGGCCATGGCAGGTAAGGAAGGAAAGAGAGGAATGAGATGCATGTTTCAACTGTAAAAGAGTTATAAAATCAGTCAACAGAAATCTCAATTAGAAAAAAAGTACCTGTAGCATAGAAGTATTTTTTTTTTAATGAGGCAAAAATATACTTAGTGGTTTGTTCTGAGAAAGACATGTTTTCAAAGAAGATTTTTGAGTCCCTGAGTTATTAGAGGTAGAAAGTCTAGGGTACCACCATGAAGGTATGTAGCTAAAGTGGAGTAGATAAAGCTGACCGGGGTGGAATTCAAGAATGTGAAAGGCAAGGTGTTGGATGAATCATTAACAAATAATTAAAGTCACACAAATTGGTGCAAGAATAGTGGGGGAAGATAATCAATGAGTCAGCTTTAAAATCTCCAGGGAATAAAGGACAAGTAACCTGAAGGCTGATAGATGGTTGTGATAAGGAAAGAGAACAAGTAACATAATGTGATGACATGCACTGCAAAAAATCTGCATCTTTTGGGAATGGCGGGAGGAGAAATGATCTAGAGTGGCCATAAAAAGCAAAAGTTGTCTTCATCATGAAATCTTTACCCATTACTATGTCCAGAATGGTATTGACTAGGTTATATTCCAGGGTTTTTAGAGTTTGAGGTTTTACATTAAGTGTTTAACCCATCTTGAGTTGATTTTTGTATATGGTGTAAGACAGGGTTCCAGTTTCAATCTTCTGCATATGGCTAGCCAGTTACATCAGCACCATTTATTGAATAGGGAGTCCTTTCTGCATTGCCTTTTTTTGTCAGCTTTGTCAAAGATTGGATAGTTGTAGGTGTATGGTCTTATTTCTGGGTTCTCTATTCTGTTCCATTGGTCTATATGTCTGTTTTTGTACCACTACTGTGCTGTTTCAGTTACTGTTGCACTGTAGTATAGTTTGAAGTCGGGTAGCATGATGCCTCCAGCTTTGTTCTTTTTACTTAGATGGCCTTGTCTATTAGGGCTCTTTTGGGGTTTCATATTAATTTTAAAATAGCTTTTTTCTAGTTCCATGAAGAATGTCATTGGTAGTTTGATAGGAATAACATTGAATCTATAAATTGCTTTGGGCACTATGAGCATCTTAAAATTGATTCTTCTTACTTATGAGCATGGAATGTTTTTCCATTTGTTTGTGTCATTTCTGATTTCTTTGGGCAGTTTTTAATAGTTATCCTTGTAGAGATCTTTCACCTTCTTGGTTAGCTGTATTCCTAGGTATTTTATTCTTTTTGTGGCTATTGTGAATGGGATTGTGTTCCTGATTTGGCTTCAGCTTAACAGTTGTCAGGGTATAGGAATGCCATCAATTTTTATACATTGATTTTGTATCCCGAGACTTTGCTAAAGTTGTTTATCTAACTAAGGAGCTTTTGGGCTGAGACAATGGGTTTTTCTAGATATATGATAATGTCCCCTGCAAACAAAGATAGTCTGACTTCTTCTCTTCTTATTTGGATGAACTTTATTTCTTTCTCTTACCTGATGGTTCTGACCAGGGCTTCCAATACTATGGTGAATAGGAGTGGTGAGAGAGGGCATCCTTGTCTTGTGCTGGTTTCCAAGGGGAATGCTACTAGCTTTTGCCCATTCAATATGATGTTGGCTGTGGGTTTGTCATAGATGGCTCTTATTATTTTGAGGTATGTTGCCTCAATACCTAGTTTATTGAGAGTTTTAACATTAAGGGGTCTTGAGTTTTATCAGAAAACTTTTCTGCGTCTATTGGGAGATTCATGTGGTTTTTGTCTTTAGTTCTATTTATGTGATGAGTCACGTTTATTGATTTGTGTACGTTAAACCAACTTTGTATCCCAGGGATAAAGCCTAGTTGATTGTGATGGACAGGCTTTTGGTTGTGCTGCTGGATTTGGTTTGCCAGTGCTTTGTTGAGGATTTTTGCACTGATGTTCAACAAGTGTATTGGCCTGAAGTTTTCTTTTTCGTTGTTTCTCTGCAAAGTTTTGCTATCAGGATGATGCTAGCCTCCAAGTTAGGGCGGAGTCCCTCTTTCTCAATGTTTTGGAATAGTTTCAGTACCAGTGGTACCAGCTCTTCATTGCACATTGGGTAGAATTCGGCTGTGAAATCATCTGGTCCTGCACTTTTTTTGGTTGGTGGGCTATTTAATATTGATTCAAATTCAGAGGTCATTATTAGTCTGTTCAGAGATTTAATTTCTTTCTGACTCAGTCTTGGGAAGGTGTATGTATCCAGGGTTGTATCTATTTCTTCTAGATTTTCCAGTTTGTGGAGGTGTTCATAATATCCTTTGATGGTTATTTTTATTTCTGTGGGATCAGTGGCAATATCCTTGTTTTTAATTGTGTTTATTTGAGTCTTCTCTCTTTTCTTCTTTATTAGTCTAGCTAGTAGTCCATTTTATTAACATTTTCAAAAAACAAACTACTTTTTTTTAACTTTTGAATGGTTTTTCATGTCTCAATCTTCAGTTGCAACAAAAGCACAAATTGACAAATGGGATCTGATTAAACTAAAGAGCTTTTTGCACAGCAAAAGAAACTATCAACAGAACGAACAGATAACCTACAGAATGGAAGAAAATTTCTACAAACTATGCATCTGACAAAGGTCTAATATAAAGCATCTATAAGGAACTTAAACAAATTTACAAGAAAAATACAAAGAACTCCATTAAAAAGTGGGCAAAGTAAATAAAAAGACAGTTTTCAGAAGAAGACCTACACATGGCCAACAAACACATGAAAAATAGCTCAACATCACTGATCATTAGAGAAATCCAAGTCAAAACCACAATGAGATACAATCTCACACCAGTCAGAATGGCTATTTTCAAAGTGTCAAAAAATAACAGATGCTGGCGAGGTTGTGGAGAAAAAGGAACACTTATACACTTTTGTTGGGAGTGCAAATTAGTTTAACCATTGTAGAAAACAGTGTGGTGATTCCTCAAAGTCCTAAAAACAGGACTACCATTCAACCCAGAATCCCATTATTAGGTACATATTCACAGGGATATAAATTGTTCTATCATAAAGACCCATGCCTATATATGTTTATTGCAGCACTAATCACAACAGCAAAGACATGAAACCAACGTAAATGCCCACCAATGATAGACTGGATAAAGAAAATGTGGTACATATATACCATGGAATATGATACAGCCATAAAAAAGAATGAGATCGTGTCCTTTGCAGAAACACGTATAAAGCTGGGGGTCATTATCCTTAGCAAACTAACTCAGAAACAGAAAAGCAAATACCACATGTTCTCACTTACAACTGGGAGCTAACTCATGAGAACACATGGACACACAGAGGGGCACAACAGATACTGGGGCCTATCAAATGGTGGATGGTGGGAGGAGGGAGGGGATCAGGAAAAATAACTTATGAGTTCTATGCTTAATACCTGGGTGATGAAATAATTTGTACACCAAACCCTTGTGACATGCAATTTACCTATATAACAAACCTCCACATGTGCCTCTGAACTTAAAGTTAAAAAAAAAAAGCGAGCAAAAGGAATTCTTGCTTTATCTCTGAGATTTGCCCAGAAATTTGCTAATGGTAAACATTCATTTCCAGAAAAACAGGGGAAAGGTTTGGGAGGTACAGAATGAGTCATTAAGTGGTTTGGGATTATGATTTTCAGTGATGATCAATCAGTGTGGAGCCATGACTTTGAACTCAGTGGATGAGGTAAGCATGATGCTATTTGTTCTTAGCTCACAATAGTTTAACAGTTCACTTTTGTAGTCCTTAGGATTTTGCTGAGAAGTCATAGACTCACTATGTTATTGTTCACTCCTGAAGTTTAGAGTGAAAGGCCAAGCAAAATAAAAAATTCACCACTATATATCAGCAATGTGAGAGAAAAGATTAAATAAAATCCTCCAAGTTTATTTTCCTGTCAATAAGCCTCTTGGTCAGATTCAGCAGTCTAATTAGTTTCCATCATGAGTACTAAGAAGAATCATTGTTTCACTTAAAATGTGTGATGTTCCAAATTTACATTTATGTATAGAATATTCTCTACTATATGATTAAAATCTTAGAGGTTTTTTTTTCAAAAACTGCAATTTGAGATGTCTCTATCAGAATGAAATGTAGTTTGAAGAATTAGTGTTTTCTCATTCTTCTCCTTCTCCTTCTTGTATTTTTGGCCTCTTCTACCCCTGCCTCCTCTTCTTCTTTTAACATTAGCCTAATTAATAAGCAATTTGAAAAATTGAGATTAGTTTTTTTCTTTAAAAATCTGATAATATTTCCATCTTTGAAATGTTCTTTAATATCATATACCTAAGGTTGGGTATATGATACTTCAATATTTATATTGAAGAATCAAAGTAAAATTGTATTATATTAACAATTAAGCTTAGTGTTAAATAACATTTTTCACCGGCAAAGTTTTTTAGTGCTTTTTGATGGCTTTTGGCTACTTCTAGCCAACTTGACTTTTAAAAAATGTGAGTTACATAGAACAATCATAAAAGTTATGGAAATACATATAAATGAGTTATAAAAATAAGTCATCTTTACAGACAAATGACCTGAAACATTCTTAGCATTAGAGGCAAAAAGCAAAAGACTTAAAATGAAAATACGGCTTTGAATCAAAGTATTCTGATAGACAACTACAGAAGTTCTTAAATATTATTTATATTCAGTTTCTTCACCCTAATTACAGCCACCTCGTGGGGTGGCAGCAGAGTATTGAGACCACAATATTTACAAGAGAAAAACAATATTGGGATTGACTTTTGGAGGGGGACAAAAAATACTTTATTGCTCATCTAAAAGACAACTAATTGATTTTTTTTAAGATTTCCAAATTGGTAGCCAGAGAATTATTCACATTATTCTCTACGGCATAAAGAAATGTTCTGTTCCTAATGCCAAAGAAATTTGAATAAAACTGCTTTTTTTCTTTTTCTTTTCTCCTAGGAATAATTATACCTATTTACTCTTGCCTATTCTATTTTCCCCTACTTTATAAGACTGAGTGTTTTGTGTGTTTGATGTAGAAATTGTGACAGAATTTTAAGGACATGAAGGTTAATACTGGATTTTATATTTCTCTTCGACCTTCCTAATTTATCAATGTAAATATGGTCCACTGCTAAAACAATTAGAGTCTTGTTGTTACAAATCTTATCAAAGATAACTGCATTTAAAATAAATTCAATTCAATATATCTTTACCAGAATCTTCTCTATAGGTACATCAGGAATCGAGACACATGAGATCCTTAGTGTCAAAACACCTCTATTCTCATTAGGGATAAAGATAGTTAAAGATTAAACAAACACAAAATATTATTTCTGATTGTGACGTGTACCAGGAAAGAAACAAATAAGGTTATGGGAGTAAACAGTACATGTTACCAGATGAGGAAATCAAGAAAGGCACTTTGGGGAGTAATAGCTTGGTGTTATTAAAGGAAAGTGGAATGAATTATGAAAATGTCTTGGAGAAGCATGGTCTAGGCAAACGAAGAACAAATGCGAAGTTAAGAGCCAGTAATAAGCTTGGAATGTTTGACAAACAATAAGGTGACTAAATTGTCAAACCACTGTGACCAAGAGAGATAATGGTAAAAAATGAGATCAGAGAGTTAGGTAAGGACCTGATTACATAGAGCATCAAGGACAATATTAGGGAATTTGGAGTTTGTTCAATTTGTGATACGAAACCATTGCACCAGTGCTTGTGTTTTGATCAGGGGAAGAGCATGATTTGCTTTATGTTTTAAATAGATCATTCTAACTTCTGTGCGGAAAATAGATTATGGGCAGAGTGAGAAATAAGGAAATCAAATAGTAAATTCATTGCAGTATCCTAGACAAAATATCATGGGTTGGATTAGGAGGGTAACGGGCAGGGATGGTGAGAAGCAGCTCCAAGATAAAATGTGGAAATTAGTGCTGGTAGGATTTTCTTATTAATTGCAAGTGGGATATGCAATAGAATGAGAAGAATCAAGTGTGATTCTGGGTGTTTGGCCTGGTAAAATAAATGAGAAGAAGCTTGTGTTAAAATAAATAAGAAAATATTTATCTCCAAAGTAAAACCTTGTCATTGAAGTAAGTTTGGTCACCATTAGCTTATAGTCAAGTTGTTTGGGATATGTATGGAGTCAGTGCACATTTTTGAGCACCTAAAGTGACAGCTCAAGTACTATGTGAGGCACTTGACAGACAGCGATAAGGAATAACTTATTTCCATTCATACATAATTCATAAGTTATTTTAAGAGTATCATATATTTCAGAAGATTGAGATCCCTAGCTCTGGTTTACATTTTAAAAAAAGCAGAAACAAAATCAATGTAACTTCAATCTTCTAACTAACTTAAAATGTTTTAGCTGACCACATATTTTCTGGACTTCTCTCCCAATAGCAACAGCACAGACAGTTATTTGGCTTTGAATAGAAATCCAACCTAAACATATTTTTGAACTTTTCTCTTTATGTTTTATTGACATAAATTATGGATTTGTGTACACCAATGCCTAATTCCTAACCTGGTATGAAGAAATGGGAAATAATGACAACAGAAAGTTGTCTATACTGTGTTCTATCTCTATCACTCAGCATTAGATGGAAGGGAGATGACCCTAAACATAATACTCTATGTAGAATGGAGAAGCAGCTTATACCAGAAAACAACAGTAATCGGACAAGATGTACATCCAATAGCAAAACAGAACTGTGTCACTGAAAAAATATTCCACCAAGTGGGTTTCAGTCTTCCTTTACTAAAAGAAAAGGGCCAGACTTCTAGAAATGCAAATTCAACCCTGATGATGCAAACAAGTGACCCTTTGGTTAAATATAGCCTAGAGACATGTTCTCTTTACCCACCAAGTGTTTTTTCTTTTTAATGATTTCTTAATTGGTTGCCAACACTTGAGAATTTAAAAATTTTAAATTCTTCTTTTGCAAATCAAAAAAATCTGGCAACATGGGAAATTGAACTATATTCTTGTAAGGCAGCTGGCTGGAGCTGAATACATGCCATGACTATAAACTTAGCAGTTTGCCACATTCCCGGATACTCACTGTTTAAATGTCCCAAATGACTTCATGTTGTCCTTAGAATAAAATCCAGACTAACTCAAGGTTCTGTCTGATTTTTAGAGCTAGGAATATTCTATCAATAAATGTAATTTACGTGACTGTAGTATTCATTTTTAGTAAATGATACTTTGTGAACCTAACCTAGAATGGTTACTGTGTAATTTACCGTTGATATAAAAAATTAGAGACTTTTATATAATGCCTATGTATTGTAACTTTTTGTTATATTTTAAACAAATTTAGAAATCTGCTTTTATTGGTACTGTAAGGGGAATTTTCGTCTTATTTTAAATTATATAATCTAGGCTATATCAATACTGTTATTAGAAATAATTTTTGAGTTATCTAACAAGCTGTTTATTTTTAATAAAGGGAAATTCTTCATGCGGGAGACTGTAAATTCTTGGAATCAAAATTATCTAACTCTTCAAAGAAAGTTATAATCTAATCTTTAATACTGTTGTTGATTTTAACATAGTTTCAAATTAGAGCATAGCATTTCAAGTATTGGCTGAAATTTCAACCATGTGACTTCCACTAAAGACAATTAATGAAACAGATACTTCCCAAAATAATTCCTTGGAAATTTTCTAGACTTGTACGGGTGCCAGAAAGTGCCAGAAGTTGAGGATCTGGTAATATCTTGCTTTTCTTCATCTTTTTGTCAAAGTAGGAGCCCTAGTAAAGGAGGCATTTTTTTCCCAAGGGTGAGAGGTCATCATTTGGAGGAAGTAATGAAAGTGTATAATAATTACAGCCTCGTGATTAGTTGCTTTTCCATCTGTCTGCCTCTTCCATATATGTATACAAATCTAAAGAAACAAAGTTCTCTTGAGTAGTTAAAGCGAAAAAAAAAAAAAACATCAACATCCCAAGTGGCAGAGCCCCAGTCATTTATTAGATTTCAGTTAATGCCCTCTATGTATAAAGATTTAGACTTATGCATTTAGAATTTGTACATTTCTCTTAGTTTGTTTACAAGGAATTATTTTGGGAAATATCTATTCATTTATTGTCTTTAGTGGAAGTCACATGGTTGAAATTTCAGCCAATACCTGAAATGCTATGCTCTAATTTGAAACTATTTAAAAATCAACAATAATATTAAAGAATAGATTATAATTATACTTGGGGAGTTAGATAACTTCCATTTCAATAATTTACTGTCTGCCATATGAAAAAAATTCTTTTTATTTAAAATAAATATTTAATAGCTTCTTAGATAAATGTTTACATTTTGTTTACTACCCCACTATAGTAGCAACAATAGGCATTATAGATTTTTGTAATGCTATTTTGATATATAGTCACTCAATGATAACTTTTATTTATCTTCAAAGTGAAAACAAATAACTCCCAGTTATCATACAGGATTATTGTGATGGTCAAATGAAAAGATGCAGGCAAAAGCATTTTTTAAACTACCCAGTTAGGAAAACATTATTACTCTATGTCTTTATCAAGTATTGATTTTCAAAAATGCTTTAGAATAATAATTAAGCAGCCAGTATAAACACTGTTTGCCCAATGATTATTTAATTTTCAAAAAAAATCTAGTTGAATTATTCTTTAAAATGCAATCATCTGAAAGGCAGGAGAAAAATGTACTTTGAACACTATGTTCCAAAGCACAGCACTTCTAACGATAATGCTTTTCCCATAATAAATGTCCTTGGCTGCTGTATATTTACAACCAATGGCAGAACGCCTGAAATTCTTCTCCATATGATATACAGTTGATGCAAATATCTTTCTCTTACTTATTCCTCATTTTTATGCATTCCAATGAGATACAGTTATATAATTTTCCATATCAAGGGTGAATTAAAGACTTGGACCCTTACACAACTTTTCCTTGTAATCTGGAATGTGTGCATGCATATATATACACACACATATTTCTGGTATATATTTGAGACATATATTCTGTAATAGTATATGCAGACACATAATTTTTCTAGACCTTTGTAGTATTTCTCTAGACTCTGTGTGGTATTTCATATCTATGTCATAAATTATATATATATATATATATGGGTGTATATATAGATATAATATGGTATACATAAAAATTATTTTGTGACTTCTGATGATACATGCAAAAGATCTAGAGAAATTATCAAGCAGGCTTCATGTGAGGCCAAGTCTTTTACAGGTGATATTGCAATTGCACCAGTAATTCCAGTTGAAGTTGCATTTTTCATCAAAACTCCCCAACATAAATGGAGCCTCATGCAGTGGTAAAGCAAAGATGTGGATTCGAAAGATGTAGAATCCTTTAACAGCTCTGTCATTAACATGCATTGTCGATGGCAGTAAATCACTTTAAACCTTTGGTCCTCTCCATATTTCCCATGATAAGTGTATTAGTCTGTTTTCATACTGCTATAAAGAGCTTCCTGAGACTGGGTAATTTATACAGGAAAGAGGTTTAATTGACTTACAGTTCAGCATGACTGGGGAGGCCTCAGGAAACTTACAATCATGGCGGAAGATGAAGGGGAAGCAAGGTACCTTCTTCACAGCTTCTTCACGAAGCGACGGGTAGAAGTGCTCAGTGAAGGCAGAAGAGCCCCTTATAAACTATCAGACCTCTTGGCAACTCATTCTCCATCATCAAAACAGCATGGTGGATACCACCCCCATGATTCAATTGCCTCCTCCTGGTCTCTCCCTTGACACATGGGCATTATGGGGATTATGAGGATTACAATTCAAGATAAGATTTTGGGTGGATATACAGCCAAACCATATCAATAAGAATGAAAGGTTTGGACCTGAAGATGATCTCTAAACTTTTACATTTTATAATATTGATCAGATGATCTTGAAGTCCCTCTAGTTCTCGGTTGAAGTATTTGTAATCTTTTTCAGTCCCAAGATACTCAGCAATGGTTTACCTGTTGTAAAATTTGTCTTTCAATTAGTATGTAGCTTTAGGACATCTTGAAGTCTACAGGCTTTTTCTGTAATCCATGGATGGACTATAAGGTGTCTGTAAATTCCCTGACATTACATTTCAAATATTGTACAGATGTGCTTTATTTTCTTCTTGAGGGGAGGATTTAGAGATTTTGTCAGATTTTCACTAGTGTGACTGTAGGCAAAAAAATTTAAGTTCTATGTCTCTAAACTGCCCCATTGTAGGAGTTTAATGTTAGTGGCACTGTCTATACATGACATCATGAGCATATTCTGGTTGGTGCAAAAGTAATTGCAGTTTTAGACCATGAGTTTTAAATCACTAAATCAAACACATCTTTATTAATAAAAATAGGAACCATTACAATCCTCACATATTTGCCAACAAGATATAAGTTTGTTTATTCCTGTAGCGTAAAAATATATGCTTTGTGATTTGATGAACTCTTGGAAAGCATTTTCTCCATCCTGCTGGTTGTGGAAGGGTTTTCCCTGCAAAAAGTTGTCAAAGTGTTTGAAGAAGTGGTAGTCAGTTGGTGAGAGGTCAGGTGAATATGGTGGATGAGGCAAAATTTCATAGCCCAATTCATTCAACTTTTGAAGTGTTGGTTGTGTGACGTGCGGTCGGGCATTGTTGTGGAGAATAATTGGGCCCTTTCTGTTGACCAATGCTGGCTGTAGGCGTTGCACTTTTTGGTGCAGCTCATTGATTTGCTAAGCATACTTCTCAGATGTAATGGTTTCACCAGATTTCAGAAAGCTATAGTGGATCAGACCAGCAGCAGACCACCAAACAGTGACCATGACCTTTCTTTTGGTGCAAGTTTGGCTTTGGGAAGTGCTTTGGAGGTTCTTCTCAGTCCAGCCACTGAGTTGGCCATCACCGGTTGTCATATAAAATCCACTTTTTGTTGCATGTCACAATCCAATCGAGAAATGATTGCATAAAATAAGAGAAGACGACACTTCAGAACCAAATTTTTTTATTATTTTTGCTCAGCTCATAAGGCACCAGCTTATCGAGCTTTCGTACCTTTCCAATTTGCTTCAAATGTCAAATGACTGTAGAATGGTCACTGTTGAGTTCTTCAGCAACTTCTTGTGTAGTTGTAAGGGGATCAGATGCGATGATTGCTCTCAACTGGTCATTGCCAACTTCCAAATACGCTCATCTTTAAGGCTCTCATCTCCTTTGCAAAACTTCTTAAACCACCACTGCACTGTATGTTAGTAGCTCCTGGGTCAAATATTTTGTTGATGTTACAAGTTGTCTCTGCTGCTTTACAACCCATTTTGAACTTGAATAAGAAAATCACTCAAATTTGCTTTTTGTCTAACATAATTTCCATAGTCTAAAATAAATATAAAATAAACAGCAAGTAATAAGTCATTAGCAGAAAAACATCAAGCGGGAAATGCCCATTAAAATGATGTATAACATAAGCACATTTATTTAAGAATGTATTCCAATATCAAACAGCAAATTCCAACAATGCAAAAGCCACAATTACTTTTGTACCAACCTAATATATACATATTTTTAAATAAAGCCTATTCGGCACTGTCCTTGGTTTCAGACCATAAGACTGTTAAAATGAACTCATATCAGATTAAGGCTCTTTTTTACCATAATTGTTCAAAGCAACACATTTATTATGTCAACCAGTGGTTACTGAGCATCTTATATGTGCTTAACATTCTTCTAGACTATAAGGAGTCAGTTTGAAGAACAGAAAGTTCAGTAAGACAGCTGGCAAATAGTGAATGAGGGCAATACTGGTATAACATGAGGTCAGAGACAAAGGCACTAATGTAAATATGTGGGAGATGGCAAGAAAGTTGAATTTTCTTCAATTGGTAGCCGAAAGCCACTGGAGGATTTTTGGAAAGGAGTTTATTAGATCTGATTTATATTTTTAGATCACTCTGTCTACTATGAAGAATATATTTTGTATGAATAAGTACATCAATAGATAAAATATTTAGGGAGCAAACATAATAGTTCAGAAGTTACATATTGCAGCTTGGTTTAGGTGGCTAGAAGAAGAGATAGAAGAATAATCTATGTATGTATCAGAGCTATTTTTGAAGTAGAATAAACAGAAATTGTTGTTTGCTTAGAGACTTGAGCCTAACTGTAATAACAATACTTTTATTAGCAACACTTTTGCTTGATTTGTGTAAAAATCTGTGAAGATCACAGATTTTATCTTTAAAATTAGAAACTTTTTCAGCAAATTCTGCATAAGGCAGCATAAACTAAAATTAGGTTTATGTTTCCCCAATAATTACATAAAAGAACTTGTTTTATGGTTTTATTAATACCTGGGAGTCTCTAAAATTATTTCATCCACAAAAATGCCCTATTTCATCATAATACTAGGATGTTACTTGCTTTCTTCACTATATTGACATTTGCATTAAGGGTACAAAACAATGCTGGGTAAAAGTGCTGGTGCTTTCACTCCAGTCAAGATAGTGATGTTCAAATCATCATATTCTTCATCTTTAAACATTCATCGGAAAAGTATATATAACATATATATATAAAATATATATACGTGTGTGTGTGTTTGTGTATGTGTATATGCATATGCGCCTGTTTCACCTAAGAATTCCTTTGATGACAAAGCAAATTAATAATTTTATTAAATTTCTACCCTCCTGTGCATGTATTTTTTTCACATTCTCTATGACAAAATGGAGAGTATGAAAAAAAACTCCAGCTGCATATTTAAGTTTTATGGTTATCTTGATTTAAAAAAAATGAAATTGTTTGAATTACCAACTTAACTGGCTAACCACTTTTACTTAAAGAGTGAATAACAGACAAACTATGGATATATAGACTTGCGTTTGGGGCAGCAATAAGTAAAGTAAGATTTTTACTTCAGGGAAAACAATAGACATTCTTTGATGTCAATAATAAAATTACAGCTTTCAAGCTAAAATAGAAATTTGGAAAATGTATATCTACCACCGACAGCTTCCTGAAGACTTTTGGTTGAGATCATTGGTGAAATTAACAAATGTGATTAAAAAAAAATGTGTGACAAAATATATCAACATTTGGAAGATCAACATTACTAAGTGGATAAAAGTTTTCAAAATTATTAATAGATGGTATTGCAAAACAATGCATGGATAGAAGATCTTTTCAAAATTCAATATCTAGCATAGGTTTTAATGTAACAGAGTACAAAAGTTTACTGATATGAACTCAAATTCTACATTGCAATGAACTATTAAGAAACTACTAATTGAATTTTGATACAGTAAGCAAGAACAGCCACAGTTTTCTCTAAAGTCCATAAAAATATTATGCAACTCAAACAACATATCAAAAAAGATTGAATGCACAGGCAGATATGAAAAGCCAGATTATTCTACCTATTTTATATCTGCTAAACTAGATATTAAAGAAATGTGAAAAATGAAAACAATGACTGTTATCATCAAGTTGTTTTGCTTTGGAAAATATGGTGATTTTTCATGATATTAGGTATCAATTTAAGATAACATGTAGTGAGTCTATTATTTTTATTTTAAAATACTAATCAATTTATTTTTAAAAACTCAATTTTGATTTCTAGTATGGTACATATATCTAACTATAACCCACATAAATAGAGACTTCGAGGGTAGTAAATAATTTTTAAGAGTGCAATGGGGTGTTGACACCTAAAAGTTTGTGGCCTGTTACATTAATAAGTATATACTAAATACCTTCTATTCATTGGGTTTCATATGAAGGAATATGAAGATAGATACAATATGACATATAGCTCCAAAGACCATCTAGTCCAGTGGGGTGAAGAGATGTAACCATAGCAATTCAGTAAAATGCACTAAAATAAACTTCCCAATCTGGTTTAACCCAACAAATTATTTATTGAACATATACTATGTATCAGATGTCTTTATATAAAGTACTAAAACAACGCCTGCTTTTTTTTGCTCTCCATTTGCTTGGTAGATCTTCCTCCATCCCTTTATTTTGAGCAGGGGTTGCAATCCTAGTCTCTGATAAAACAGACTTTAAACCAACAAAGATAAAAAGAGACAAAGAAGGCCATTACATAATAGTAACGGGATCAATTCAACAAGAAGAGCTAACTATCCTAAATATATATGCAACCAATACAGGGGCACCCAGATTCATAAAACAAGTCCTGAGAGACCTACAAAGAGACTCCCACACAATAGTAATGGGAGACTTTAATGCTCCACTGTCAATATTAGACAGATCAATGAGACAGAAGGTTAAAAAGGATATCCAGGACTTGAACTCAGCTCTACACCAAGCAGACCTAATAGACATCTACAGAACTCTCCACCCCAAATCAACAGAATATACATTCTTCTCAGCACCACATCACACTTATTCTAAAATTGACCACATACTTGGAAGTAAAGCACTCCTCAGCAAATGTGAAAGAACAGAAATCACAACAGACTGTCTCTCAGACCACAGTGCAATCAAATTAGAACTCAGGATTAAGAAACTCACTCAAAACCACACAACTACATGGAAACTGAACAACCTGCTCCTGAATGACTACTGTGTAAATAACGATATGAAGGCAGAAATAAAGATGTTCTTTGAAACCAATGAGAACAAAGACACAATGTACCAGGATCTCTGGGACACATTTAAAGTAGTGTGTAGAGGGAAATTTATAGCACTAAATGCTCACAAGAGAAAGCAGGAAAGATCTAAATTTGACACCCTAACATCACAATTAATAGAACTAGAGAAGCAAGAGCAAACACATTCAAAGCTAGCAGAAGGCAAGAAATAACTAAGAGCAGAACTGAAGGAGATAGAGACATAAAAAACCCTTCAAAAGATCAAGAATCCAGGAGCTGGTTTTTTGAAAAGATCAACAAAATTGACAGACTGCTAGCAAGACTAATAAGAAGAAAAGAGAGAAGAATCAAAGAGACGCAATAAAAAATGATAAAGGGGACATCACCACCGATGCCACAGAAATGCAAACTACCATCAGAGAATACTATGAACACCTCTACGCAAATAAACTAGAAAATCTAGAAGAAATGGATAAATTCTTGGACACATAGACCCTCCCAAGACTAAACCAGGAAGAAGTTGAATCGCTGAATAGACCAATAACAGGCTCTGAAATTGAGGCAATAATTAACAGCCTACCAACCAAAAAAAGTCTAGGACCAGACAGATTCACAGCCGAATTCTACCACAGGTACAAAGAGGAGCTGGTACTATTCCTTCTGAAACTATTCCAGTCATAAGGAGGGAATCCTCCCTAACTCATTTTATGAGGCTAGCATCATTCTGATACAAAAGCCTGGCAGAGACACAACAAAGAAAGGAGAATTTTAGACCAATATCCCTGATGAACATCGATGCGAAAATCCTCAATAAAATACTGGCATCTGAATCCAGCAGCACATCAAAAAGCTTATCCACCAAGATCAAGTTCGCTTCATCCCTGGGATGCAAGGCTTGTTCAACATACATAAATCAATAAACGTAATCCATCTCATAAACAGAACCAAAGACAAAAACTATATGATTATCTAAATAGATGCAGAAAAGGCCTTCAACAAAATTCAACAGCGCTTCATGCTAAAAACTCTCAATAAACTAGGTAGTGATGGGACGTATCTCAAAATAATGAGAGCTATTTATGAAAAATCCACAGCCAGTATCATACTGAATGGGCAAAAACTGGAAGCATTCCCTTTGAAAACTGGCACAAGACAGGGATGCCCTCTCTCACCACTCCTATTCAACACACTGTTGGAAGTTCTGGCCAGGGCAATCAGGCAGGAGAAAGAAATAGAGGGCATTCAATTAGGAAAAGAGGAAGTCAAATTGTCCCTGTTTGCAGATGACATGATTGCACATTTAGAAAACCCCATCGTCTCAGCCCAAAATCTTAAGCTCATAAGCAACTTCAGCAAAGTCTCAGGATACAAAATCAATGTGCAAAATCACAAGCATTCCAATACACCAATAACATACAGACAGGGAGTCAAATTGTGAGTGAACTCCCATTCACAATTGCTACAAAGGGAATAAAATACCTAGGAATCCAACTTACAAGGGATGTGAAGGACCTCTTCAAGGAGAACTGCAAACCACTGCTCAACAAAATAAAAGAGGACACAAACAAATGGAAGAACATTCCATGCTCATGGATAGGAAGAATCAATATCGTCAAAATGGCAATACTGCCCAAGGTAATTTATAGATTCAATGCCATCCCTATCAAGCTACCAATGACTTTCTTCACAGAATTGGAAAAAACTACTTTAAAGTTCATGTGGAACCAAAAGAGAGCCCACATTGCCAAGACAATCCTAAGCAAAAAGAACAAAGCCGCAGGTATCACGCTACCTGACTTCAAACTATATTACAAGGCTACAGTAACCAAAACAGCATGGTACTAGTACCAAAACAAAGAAATAGATGAATGGAACAGAACAGAGGCCTCAGGAATAACATCACACATCTACAACCACCTGATCTTTGACAAACCTGACAAAAACAAGAAGTGGGGAAATCATTCCCTATTTAATAAACGGTGCTGGGAAAACTGGCTAGCCATATATAGAAAGCTGAAGCTGGATCCCTTCCTTACACCTTATACAAAAAATAATTAAAGATGGATTAAAAGCTTAAATGCAGACCTGAAACCATAAAAACCCTAGAAGAAAACTTAGGCAATACCATGCAGGACATAGGCATGGGCAAAGACTTCATGACTAAAACACCAAAAGCAATGGCAACAAAAGCCAAAACTGGTAAATGGGATCTAATTAAACTAAAGAGCTTCTGCACAGCAAAATAAACTATCATCAGAGTGAACAGGCAACCTGTAGAATAGGAGAAAATTTTTGCAATCTACCCATCTGACAAAGGGCTAATATCCAGAATACACAAAGAACTTAAACAAATTTACAAGAAAAAAACAAAGAATCCCATCAAAAAGTAGGCAAAGGATATGAACAGACACTTCTCAAAAGAAGACTTTTAAGCAGCCAACAGACACATGAAAAAATGCTCATCATCACTGGTCATCAGAGAAATGCAAATCAAAACCACAATGAGATACCATCTCACACCAGTTAGAATGGCAATCATTAAAAAGTCAGGAAACAACAGGTACTGGAGAGGATGTGGAGAAATAGGAATGCTTTTACACTGTTGGTGGGAGTGTAAACTAGTTCAATCATTGTGGAAGACAGTATGGCGATTCCTCAAGGATCTAGAACTAGAAATACCATTTGACCCAGTGATCCTATTACTGGGTATATACCCAAAGGATTATAAATCATGCTAGTATAAAGACACATGAACATGTATGTTTATTGTGGCAGTATTCACAATAGCAAAGACTTGGAATCAACCCAAATGTCCATCAGTGATAGACTGGATTAAGAAAATGTGGCACATATACACAATGGAATACTACGCAGTCATGAAAAAAGGATGAGTTCATGTCCTTTGTAGCAACATGGATGAAGCTGGAAACCATAATTGTGAGCAAACTATCGCAAGGACAGAAAACCAAACACCACATGTTCTCACTCATAGGTGGGAACTGAACAATGAGAACACTTGGACACAGGGTGGGGAACATCACATACCAGGGCCTTTCATGGGCTGGAGGAACAGGGGAGGGATAGCATCAGGAGAAATACCTAATGTGAATGACTAGTTAATGGGTGCAGCAAACCAACACAGTACATGTATACATATGTAACAAACCTGCAAGTTGTGCACATGTACCCTAAAACTTAAAGTATAATAAGTAATATAAAATAAAATAAAATAATAAAGTACTAAAACAATGCTAATTCTAGTAATTTTTTTAGCATTTTTCACCTGTGATGCCTACATTTTTACGAGAAATAACTTTACAACTATAATAATTAAAAATTTAAAAAGTTAAATAAGATATAATAATTTGATTTTACAACAATGTAGCTTCTGATGCATATTTCATGTTTTACCCTATTTACGGTATTTTTAAACAATATTTAAACATCCTCAGTAAAGTCTCATTCATAGAGAAAATTAAACTTTGAGGACAAAGAAATAAATGATTTTTGTTCAATATTTCTCAAAAGATAACATTTTTACTGTTATTTTAACACTAGAGTGTGAAATAAAAACCAGAAATATGAATCTGGTTTTTTTTGTTAGTTTGGCTTTATAAAAATCATGAACTACATTGGAGCTTCCAAGCTAAAGTACCTTCAAATACAATTAGTTACAGCTAGTCTCTTCAGTTGCATAATGAATATTGGCACAGGGAAACCATTCATTTTCCACAATGATTTTGTATTTATATAAAGTGGGTCAACTTTGTATCATGTGCAAGTATCCCAACCTCTCAAATCTTCAGCAATCCCATCTGAAAAATAGTAAATAATAATCATAACCCCTAGTAGGATTATTAAGAGACTACTGTGAGATAATATGGGTAATACATTTAGCACAGTGCCTGGTACATAAAAGGCATTCAACACATATTAGCAACTTTGTGTGTCTATCAGTACATATATATAAAGTATATAATAATAAATATCTCTTAATGATATAAACATCTGCAGAGATAATAATTTGGTAACTAGAAATATTTTATAATATTTTTTTCCTAAAATCCTATTAATCAGGTCTGAAAAGTCTGTTCCTTCCAATTGTTCACTTTAAATCAAATTGCCTATTTTCCTTCTACCTTTTTTAAAAGTTTCAAAAACAAAACAAATCTGCAATCTCCGCAATAGCAGAATTTATAGTCTAAAATAAGACTGATACTTTTAGTCATTGTAATGCTATGGCAGAAATAATAACATAGAACTTTAACTGGGATGCTTTGCAAGCACACGAACACAGACATCTAATAGCATGGGGCAAGGAGACAAAGAAGAAATGCATACTCCAGGAAATAATGTGTAATCCTATCCTTGAAAGATGAGGAGTTGCCATGTGAAGAAAGGGAATAATGAGAGAAATAGCATTTCAGGCCTAGGGAAAAGAATGTCAAAAACTCTGAAGTGTAAGTGAGCCAGGTAGGGGGCCAGGACCTTCCAATAGCACACTGTTACTAGAACAGTGGTGTGACATTAACTGAAATTTTAAAGAAATACTTGTGTCTGGGCTTAATCTCATAGGTGATGCTTTGGTGGGGGCTGTGTATGTGTGTGTGTGTATTTGTGTTTAAATTCCACAGTGCATATTGCTACACGACCCTAGCAGAGGATTTGGTTGGGGTAAGTTTGGGACAGCTGTAGATGATTCTGGGGAGACAGAAAATGACAGATCACAGTTAATTTCCTCAGTCATATAACAAACTAAAACTTTATCCTGTAGGTAACAAGACATCAATGACAGCTTTAAGCAGGAGGTTAACATTGACAGATTTTCATTTCAAATATATCACTTTCATATCAGAAAGGAAAATGAATTTGAGCTAGATTGGAGGTAGAGGACACAGATGTCAGATACAGTAAGTTCCTCTTCAAAGGTTTAATTTCTGACTTCCTTGTTCTTTGTTCTCGAGATCAACTTCTTTGTCCCTTCTTCTAAGCTACCTGCTCTGTAAACAACTTCTCCCGCCAGTCCCAATCTGTAATTCACATCTCTTCCTTATTTGGAAAGAGTCCTCTTTACTCCTGGCTACCCATTCTGTAAACTGCCCCTCCCGCTGAAACTACCCTTCTCCTGCCTTTGCCGTGCCCTGACAGGCCCAAACATGCCCTGTACCATAAAGGACAGCCTCTCCCTTCCCACCTAACTTGCCATATTCAATTTTAAACAGTAGCCAATTGGGTCAGTTTAGATTGTGCTGTCCAACTCGAGCAAATGGGGACAGGACACAGAAGCAGGGACTAGCCCTGTTAGGGATAAAACCCCCTTCCCTCCTTTGTTCGGTGTGCTCTTGCAGTCGTGACTGACACAGGCAGCACCCTTCTGCAGAAGTAAATTTGCCTTGCTGAGAAGTCTTTTGTTTGAGTGCTCATTTTCTTTGTGACTCTGAGCTGTTGTTTCTAACAATTTGGGGACCTGTCCCAGATCCCATTCTCCTCTGGGGAAGGGTCTCTAATCACCTCTCGTGAGGAGACACATCCTGCTGCCTCACTGTGGTGGCCTCAGGGGTAAGGAATCTGGACCCACCCAGTGTGACGAATAAACACAGACTCTCAGCAACGCAGGAAGAGGAGGCCTATAAATGCCACAGTGATCAGGTAACTCTGTGCACAGACCAATGTAAGAAAAGCCGTGGGGGCAGGGAAGTACTTCCTTGGTGGTTGAGACATCCTGGAGGTTAAAAGTGTGTGATTGAGACACACAACTGAGTGTGAAGTGAAAGTAGGGGAGTGCAAGAAATTTCCACTCGTGGGGGTTGAGGCTCCAGGGAAAATGGTGCAAGAAATCTCTAGTAGGAGAGGTTGAGCCCCACAGAGTCTCCAGGGAAAAAGTTGCAAGAAATCTCTAGTAAGAGAGGTTGGGTCCCATAGACTCAGAAAACTCTGGGAAACACCTAAAACTTCCAGGATGGGAAATACCCCAAGCAAAGCAGAAAAAAAAAAAAAAAAAAAAGACAATAAAATTCCCTCCAATAGCCCACTGAGGAAATACGAGAGATCTAAGGGAAATGATAACTAAAGAAATTAGAGACTTGATGCCCCACACCCAGAATATTACCAAAGCCTTTAATATACAGCAGGGAAAGGATGAAGGACCTGTAGAGTCCTTAGAGAGGCTTGAGGAGCAAAAGAGAAAGTAAGCTGGCCTAAAATTAGAAAACCCCCTGGAACAAGGAATGTTAAAACTCCACTTTGTCACCAACAGTTGGCCAGATTTTATAAGAAAATTACAGAAAACAGAGAATTGGAAAGACCATCCCATAGAGGAACTTTTAAGAAAGGCCCAAAAGGTGTATGTATGGAGGGATGAGGAAAGGCAGAAGCAAAATGCAAAAATTATGCTGTCCACCCTACAACAGGGTGCTCTTCAACAGGGAGCCCAGGGAAATAGAGCCTGTAAGCCTTCCAAGAACCAGGCTGCCAGATCCTACACAAGAGGCAAAGGAATCAAGCAGGAAGGCCAGGAAATAAAAAGGAGAAAAGGACAAAACGAATGTTTCAAATGTGGAAAAATAGGGCACTTTAAAGAGAATGCCTTAAGTGGGAAATAGAAAAGGAAGCCATCCCCCTTATGGTTTTTGAGGAAGAATACGGGGGTCAGAGGCTCTGTCTTTTCTACCTCTGGTCCCACCAAAAGCCCTTGATAAATTTAGAGGTGGGACCCAACTCTGAGCTTATTACTTTTTTTAATTGACTCAGGGGTGGCTCGCTCTTCTGTTTGTTATCCCCCATCAGATGTAATTTGTTCACAAGAAGAACTTCATATCTCAGGAGTAAAAAGAGAAGGATTTAAAGCAAAGATCTTAAAAGAAACAAAAGTTATATATATAAACAAATCAGTTAATATTAAGTTTCTATTAATTCCAGAGGCAGGAACAAACCTATTACGGAGAGATTTAATACTAGAATTAGGTTTAGGCCTCTATATTAACCAGGGAAAATTTCTCACCTCTCTAAACTTACTACTATAGATGAAAAGTATATCCATCCCAGTATCTGGTCAAGAGAAGGTAATTAAGGAAAGCTACAGCTTCCTCCAATCCATGTCAAGTTAAAAATTCCTGGGGAAGTAGTAAAAAGAAAATAATACCCTATTCCTTTAAAAGCTAGAATAGGTTTAAAACCTATAATTGAAAGCCTTGTCCATGATGGACTCCTTGAACCCTGTTGGTCCTCTTATAACACTCCCGTATTGCCTGTAAGGAAATGGGACAGGTCATACTGGTTAGTACAAGACCTATGGGCTATTAATCAAATAGTTCAAACCACCAACCCTGTTGTTCCCAATCTCAAAAACTACATATTTGGTCTACCCTTCACCCTTTCCTCAGTCAGGACTCAAGGCCTCCTAGTGCAGATTCCACCCCTTGAATTCCCAGTTCATCAACACCAGCCTGGAGATTATGTCCTTGTCAGAAGTTGGAGAGAGGGAAAACTCGAGCCCACCTGGGAAGGACCTTACCTGGTGCTCCTCACAACTGAGATAGAAGTCCAAACTGCTGAAAAAGGGTGGAACTGTCATACCTGAGTCAAGAAGGCTCACCCTCTCCAAAACCATGGACCATTGTCCCAGGGCCGGCTCCCACGAGAGTAACATTAAAAAGAAAAGCCTAATTTGTCTGCCTCTTTTTCCTCTTCTCTTTCCCTTAACCGCCCCCCATTTTATTCTCCATTACTATCCCTTTCTCTGGCAACTCTATATGGTCTAGGAGCAGATGTCACTGGAAAAAAAACCCATAGGCTTCTTTGAAATGCTCTTTGTTTCTCCCCCCTCCAACTACTCCTTCCCCAAGCCCACCAAATTAAACTATTTCCATTTCTTGTTTCTTACCCAATGACAAAACCAAAGTAGTTGCAGTAGAAGCCAAGGACTTAAAGCAAACCCTAGCCATAGAAACTTGGCATCAAGATGTAAATGCCTGGCTGGAATGGATTAAATATTCTGTTCGCACCCTAAATAAGAGCAATTGTTATGCTTGTGCAATGGGCAGGCCAGAAGCCCAAATTGTTCCCTTTCCACTTGGATGGTCCTCAGACCAACAGGGTATAAGCTGTATGGTAGCTCTCTTCCAAGAACCCACAGCCAGGGGCAATAAGGCATGCTGAACTCTCTCGCTGCTATTCCCAAAAGTTAAAGGCCCTGCAGGTCAGCCCCCAAGAGTCATCTGGCTTCTGGTTAACAATGTCAATTTTACCTTGTGTCTCTCATGACAAGGGGAAAATCTGGCATTCCTTGGAAGCCTATTGTTATGCAGTGAGTCCAAGCCTTTTCAGAGCTAACCAATCAGTCTGCCTTTGTTCATACCAGAGCGGATGTATAGTGGTATTGTGGTGAGCCACTATTCGGTACTCTGCCAAGTAACTGAAGCAGCACTTGTGCTCAAATCCAACTAGCCATCCCTTTCACCCTGGCATTTTATCAACCAAACAAAAAGAACAATCGTAAAAGAAGTGCCCTTCATGGGTCCTTTGACCCTCACATTTATATGGATGCCACTGGAGTTGCACGAAGGGTGCCAAATGAATTTAAAACCTGAAATCAAATAGCCACAGGATTTGAATTTATATTGTTTTCATGGGTAACTGTAAAAAAAAAATGTAGACTGGATAAATCACATTTACTATAATCAATAGCAGTTTATTAATTGTACTAGAGATGCCATAAAAGGGATAGCTGAACAATTAGGCCCCACCAGCCAAATAGCCTGGGAAAATAGAATAGCTCTGGAAATAATATTACCTGAGAATGACAGGGTCTGTGTTATGATTGGAGTCCAATGCTGTACTTTTATCCCTAACAACACAGCCCCCAATGGAACAATCACAAAGGCTTTACAGGGCCTTACCACCCTAGCAAATAAATTGGCTGAAAATTCTAGAGTAAATGACCATTTCTTTGATCTCATGGAAAAAATGGTTTGGAAGATGGAAAGGACTTATGTCCTCAATCCTTACTTCTCTTGCCATTGTAATAGGTGTGCTTATTCTTGTAGGATGTTGTATCATACCCTGTGCCTGAAGCCTAGTACAAAGGCTTATTGAAACAGCTCTCGCTAAAACCTTTTTCTATTCCCCCCTGCCTTATTCAGATAAGCTCCTACTTATAGAAAACCAAGCAGAACAACAGAGTCAAGACATGTTAAAAAGGTTTGAAGAGGAAGAATTATAAAAATCAAAAGGAGGGGGAATTGTCAGATACAGTAAGTTCCTCTTCAAAGGTTTAATTTCTGACTTCCTTGTTCTTTGTTCTCAAGAGCAGCTTCTTTGTCCCTTCTCCTAAGCTACCTGCTCTGTAATCAACTTCTCCCGCCAGTCCCAATCTGTAACTCACATCTCTTCTTTATTTGGAAAGAGTCCTCTTTACTCCTGGCTACCCATTCTGTAAACCGCCCCTCCCGCTGAAACTACCCTTCCTGCCTTTGCCGCACCCTGACATGCCCAAACATGCCTTGTACTATAACAGACAGCCTCTCCCTTCCCACCTAAAGAGACAGATTCAATTTTAAACAGTAGCCAATCAGGTCAGTTTAGATTTTGCCATCTGACTCCAGCTAATGGGGACAGGACACAGAGGCAGTGACTAACCACATTAGGGATAAAAACCCCTTCCCTCCTTTGTTCGGTGTGCTCTTGCTGTTGTGACTGATGCAGGCAGCACCATTCTGCAGAAGCAATTTGCCTTGCTAAGAAGTCTTTTGTTTGAGTGCTCATTTTCTTTGCAACTCCGAGCCCTTGTTTCTAACACAGAGAACAAATGATTTCAGCAGATTAGCCAAAAATGATTAGGATCTAACCTAGGGAAGTGAAGGTGGAGATGGAGAAAGGCAAAAAGTGACAGAAATTGATGACTGAGTCCATACGATGAAGTGTTTAACAGCAGAAGAAATTGTAAACATTAATTTGGATATTTACTTGTTCTAGATAGTGAATTAATATAGCACTGTATTGTGTTGGGTTCCTGGTTTGTGTTTAGGAAGTCTTAGGTAAGGAAATAGACAATGTTTGAAACTGCTTTGCAAGAGATAATAGATATTGATCAAAGAAATTTTCAAATATTAGCCTGCTATCAAAATTATGGCACCACCGAGAGAGCTTTGAAAATGTGGTCTAGGTACCTCACTTTATGAAGAACTAGTTTAGAGGAATGGATGTATGACATATTCATTAGGCTCAAAAAATTGATGTTTTCAGAGACATTTTGGCAATTGCTTCATTGCAATCAATTCATGGCTGGAGAAGAGATAGCCTCATTTCTTTGTTAAAGAAGAATTGATGTGCTCTGCAAGAGCTAAAACTGACCTTCTGTCGTGTAAATCAAGGAGCCCAATTTGTAAGGGTCATGTTACTGCCACCTACTGTGGAGTGGAAAGGTGTTGGAAATAGGGGCCAACATATATATATATATGTATATATTTGAACTCTAAGATGTACTTCATTCCTCTTGCTGCCTGGCCAAATTTTGCTCATCTTCAAGACTGAGATAAGGTGCTGTCTTTCACAGGAAGTCTTCCTTAATTAGAACTTGCCCCCAGCTTAGATTAGGCACTCCTGTTTTGTGCTTCTGTAGTACAGCATGGATGTCACAGCAAACTACAATGTTCTGTTTACTTATATATCTTCATCTCTAGACTGTTGATGGCAAGGAATGTCTAAGTCAATAGCATCTAGCAAATGCCTAGCACATGGATGACATTCCATCTACATCCTGCCCTTGGCAATCCTATTTTCCTTTACTCTGTTATTTTCCCAATAGCGGTTATCATCTTTTAATGTAATGCATAATTTTCTTATATTTTAGTGCTTAATTTTTTATTATCTATTTCCTATAGCAAAATGTAAGCTTCTCAGAGATAGGAATTCTTGTCTTTTATGTTTCACAGAACTCAGTACTTGGTACATAATAGTTTCTCAGTAAAAAACTCATTATTTGAATGAATGAACTTATTAGAAGGTTGTTTAACTATATACAAGGAAATATCATGGTAAAAGGAACTGTCATACCACTTCATTAAATATTTACTAAATAAGTATGAAACTTCACATTCCTGTATTATAGAAATTAGAATAACAATTTTGACCCAAAATGTTTCATAAAGATGTCTGAGCTAAATAAAAAAAATTCTACTAGAATATTGACCTTAATTAAAATCACAACCTTACCATATACAAACCTCCTCTTTCCTCTTTACAGAAGAAAATGTTAATACATCCTTACTCAAATGAGAGCAACTAGATGAAGGCAAAAAAAAAATGCTTTTCAAATATTTGAATGGATGCCCTGGTTGGTTATTTGCTAATGTTCCCCTAAATATTTCTATTAAACTTCAAACTTTAGGACTTCATAACTTCCAATCTATAATTTTCCATCTATATTGCCTCTGATCTCTAATTTTTGCTCTTAAGTTCCCTCTATTTTCATGAATATAGACTTATGTGAGTAGAGACATTTTTGCTACCTCAAAAAACAACCACTACTTAGTCAGATGAAAATACATCCCTTAAGTGAGGAGTCAGACTTTACTGGAAGTATAGACACTCCCTTATTCTCAAACACTCTTTTACTTGTGACTTTCTGAATTCCAACTTGGCTAATCACTCCTCTTTGGAGATGTCCAGTGTTCCTCACTTACCTTTGCAAAACTCCATTTCTCTGAATATCCCATAAATATCAGTGTGTCTCGAATTTTGTTCTAGTCCCCCTTCTTTCACTCTATGTAGTTCTAGAGAATAGTCTCAGCAATTTCCAAGACCTCAACTATTCCTTATATTGATGACTCTCACATATTTATGGCAATGGTCTGTCTAAATTCCTATTGTACATGTCCTCTTGTATTGAGCACAAGAACCACAAACTTAAGATGCAAAATATCAAGCTCATTGTTCAACTCCTACTTTTAAGTGAGAACATGCGGTGTTTGGTTTTCTGTTCCTGTGTTACTTTGCCTGTCTGAGGGATGGGGGACCAGGGGAGGGATAGCATTAGGAGAAATACCTAATGTAGATGATGGGTTGATGGGTGCAGCAAACTACCATGGCACATGAATACCTGTGTAACAAACCTGCACATTCTGCACATGTATCCCAGAACTTAAAGTATAATAAAATAAAATAAAAATCAAGCTCATCTTTCCCTGACTTGCTTTTGTTCATAGGTTTTCTATGTCAATGAAAGGCATCAAATGTCCAGACAGCTAAGCCACATTTGACATTCCTCTTCATTCCTACATTCAACCAACTGCTAAAGCTTATTAGTTTCATCTTCTAACAAATAAGAATCTATTTGTTAACGTTTCTTCATTTTCACCATCCAGGATACTATTATCTCATCCTTGGAGCATTGTTTATAATTGTCTTTATCTTATTATTCTCACTCTTGTATTGCTTTTCTCAAATTTATTTTTTTTCACCGAAGCCCTGTTGATAATTCTAAAAGGCAAATCTTTCTTCCTTTCAGCACTCAGTTGTCCTCCTGCTGCTTTGCAATGATTTCTGAAATCCTTAAAAAGGTTTGAAGATCCTTTCTAATTTTGCACTGGCTGACTTCTTCAATTTCAATTCTACTGCTCTCTACCTCACCTTATATAATCCAGTCATACTGAACTTTTAAAAAGTATCTAAAAGCATCTTACTCAATCTTCTTTTCAGACCTTCATACCATTGGGTAAATTGGTGTATCTCATCTGGGATGATATGCAGATGTGTAATTCTAGCAACATGTAGGAAAAGATTTATTAGACTTCTAGTCCAGCCTATTTGATAAGAAAATCTCAACATGAAGTTAAACACTCATTCTGTTGAAATAATCATAATTTCCATCTTGTCTCATTAACTACTCATTCTTTATATCTCAAATTAGATGTTACTTTATTTTGCAATCTACTTCCAGTAGATTAGTTACTCCCATGGCGTATTTCTGTAGCAGTTTGTATGTCTGTGTCATCATTATATACCTCTAAAATTGCAGAATTTCCTGAAAGACTGAAGCTCAATAAAGATAAGAATAATGGCTGTCTTTATTATCATATCCCCAGTACTTACAGTGCCAGCACATAGCAGAAGCTCAAGGCATTGTTGTTGCTGTTGAAAGATTAAGTGATAAATTAAGGGGAAATTTT
Source organism: Homo sapiens (assembly GCF_000001405.40). Classification (NCBI taxonomy): domain Eukaryota; kingdom Metazoa; phylum Chordata; class Mammalia; order Primates; family Hominidae; genus Homo; species Homo sapiens. The sequence continues at coordinate 79,128,024 of NC_000008.11, forward strand.
TGTCTGTCTTCTTTGGAGGATAAAGGGTTTCTGATGACATAAATCAAGAGCAGCCACTAATTGTATTTCTCAAATCGACCCCACCAGCTTTATATTATAATAAGGGAAATTCCTCCAAATGTGGCAATAGGTTGTCTCAGAATTAATTTTTTGTAACGTCTTCTTCTCTGATTCATGGCTAGTTTTAAAGAAATCTAGAAAGGATTCTTATGGAGACAGATTGCCAGATGTTATTTTAGTCTGAAAGTTGTCTATCCATTGATGACGAAGCTTGTGTTTGAGCAATGAACACATTCTTCTCACACTTTCAGTTGAAATGTGCTATCACTTTGGGGCAAAGAGGTAGGAATATCTCTACCTAATTGTTTATGAAGAAGTCCTGGAAAAGAAGTCTACCAACTGCACAGGGAAATTTATCTGTTTATTCTTGTAAGGATAGGCTTAGTATCCTTGAAATGCAGGGTCACTGAATAGGAAAATAATTATCGCAAGAATTAGAACCAAATAAAATGGTGTGAATGAAGGATTGTAACAAGTAATGTTTTATTCTCAATAAGCCAATTGTACTAATATTGTTATTATCTATCAGTAGATAAAGCTATTCTTGGATAAGATTTTAAAAAATCCTATCTATTTAATGTTCATTAAGAGAATAACTGAATAGATATATAGGTAGATAATTGGGAAAGATTTACTTTATAAAAAGAAATACAGTTTGAGCTCCATAAATATTAAAAATCCAGGTCTTCTATAATTGTTTATCTTCACTTACAAATTTTCTGATATGTTTAAGCATGTAAGGAAAATTCTCTTTATCTTGGTCTAGGACTCAAGAATTTTTCTCATTAAAAAAATTGAGATAGCAGATGATCAAATTTTATAGCAAAGCCCTTGTTCTTAACAGTCCCGGAAATATAAATCATGTCCGAGTTTCCAGAGTTTTTGCATGTAGAAAGCAGGTATGAAGAGAAATATAATATCTTCTGGCTTAATGATTTTTCAAGTCAAAGCTTTCTCACATTTTTTTAATGATAAAATAACTTTGGAAAGATCTAAAAAAGGGATGATTTTGACACCTTAATAAGAGATGTCCTAGAAATAGGAAGAAGATATCAAATGAGTAATTTCATATATATTTCTTTCTATAAAGCCCTCTAGAGTTCTTCAGAATCACCTAATTGTTTTTTAAGTTAAAAGAATCACATTGATGTAAGCTAGTATATGGGACAAGAGTATTTTACTGAGTTTGTGTTTTGTACCAAGCACTGTACAAGCCTTGGAAATGCAAGTGAGTTGAACTGATATAGTCCCTCCCTCTTCTCATGGAGCTAATGCTACAGTAGAAAGGAAAGACATAAATAAAATAATCATACAAAAATAAATATGTAATTATCTATGCTATGATTACTGTTAGGAGTTAAAACACTGAACTTTATGAATGCCTATACTGGAGTTCTGACAGTCCATTTAGGATCTGAAGAGGGACAAGGCATTTCCCAACAGGACTCCAGGCACAAGAAAGTCCTGGAACAATGATAAGGACCATTTTTTATCCAAGAAAGTGAAAGAAGGCTAATGTGGCTGGGGTACAGAGAGACATGGGGAAAAGGATACAAGATGATGGGATAGAGGTTGGCAGAAGCCAGATCATGCAGAGCTTTATTGCTATGCATGACTATCAGGTCTTCATCCTAATAATAATGAAAAGCCTTGAAGAGTTTAACTTTATTTTTATTTTTACTTTTTACTGGGGACCTCCTGATGTGCAGAAAGAGCTTAACATTAAATCAGCACAAGTAAGTATATTATCAGCAGACAGGGTGGAGGGTATAAAATTATTTCTAAAAGTGCTAAGGAGTAAATCTCTTTTTAGACTTCTCTATTCTTTGATTATATTGTTTATTTCTCCAGTATTTTAATCCAGCTAGCCCCCTCAAAAAATATAGGCAAAGTAGGTGGAAAAATATTCTTCATGGAAACATACATTGAACAAATCTATCAACAAATACAGATTTAGCATTTTCCAGTGCCTGCATCCATAAAAAAGCCCAGGCACTCAGAATAAAAGAGTGAGCAAAACAGACAGAACTACTGCTTTCCTGGGGCTTACAATCTCCCCACCCCCCCCCCCCCCAAAAAAAGGGAGTCAAATTCTTGTGATCTTATGAACTCTGAATAACAAGGATATCTGGCCAAAGCTAACCAAGAAGCTGGACAATCTTACCCGGAGAGAGTAATCAATATGGATAAAGTATCTAGACCTACTTAATAGCATTCATTTTCGAAAACAGATTAATGTGACCACATTGCCCTCTGATTCAGGCATCTTCAACCATTTAGTTGGAGGTTATCATTTATTGGGTCATTTTGTATTCCACATTGATAAATACTGCATCAGCTTCATCTTAAACTTGACACAGATACTGTTCTATCCTACTCCAACCTAAGTATCACTGTCCATCCTTGATGGGGGCAGCAGAGCTGAGTCACTACAGTTGCTCCAGCTGACAGTGACCCAACCCCCAGATATGTGAATGAGCCCAGATAAGAATAGCAAAACCACCTACTTGGCCATCAACAGTCCAAACATATGTAATCAATGCTCAATATTGTGTGTCACTGAGGCTTTGTGGTTGTCTTTTAATATGGCATTATTGTGAAAGCCAATAACTAAAACAATTTAAAGTCAATTTGTATATATGGAGGGCTGTATCCTAGAAATCACCAACAGCATCTTATCTGGCTTCTGTTATTCATACAGATGGCATCGTTACAGGTGGATTTCCTAGAATCACAGCTTATATTCCCTGCCACCCATGCTCTGAGTTCCAGACTTAGATATCAAACCACATGAGCAAAATCTACATTAGGATGTCTAATTGGATGGTTCTAACTTAACATGTTCAAATGAGAACCCTCGTATCCCCCCCTCAGAACTTCCCTTTCCTCAGACTTCTACATTTCAGTAAGTAGCATCATCATCATCCTACTTACTCAGGACAATACAATACTCTAGTCATCACTTTTGACTCCTTTCATTCACAATTTGTGTTCAAAACATCAGTAAGACCTGCTGGCTCTATCTTTCAAGAGCGTTGGATTCTAAATCCAATAGTGTCCTAACGAGTGTCCCGGGAGCTACTGTTGCCTTGATAGAGTTAATTGTCTTCACCACAAATAGATCAATCTTACTTATAGTGGAAATTAGGTCACATTATTTTCCTGCTCAAAGTCCTTCATACCCAAAACCAAACTCCATGTTCTTGCTGTGGTCTGAAAGACACTACATGATTGCTTCCCCCAACCCCCATTCATCTTCCTATCTCAACTTTCACATCACTTACTTATCTCCCCTCCTTGGTTATTAGGAGCTAGGATACTGGAACTCTTGCATGTCAAACTTGTTCCCACTTCGGGATATTTGCATTTGTGCTTGCAGTTTTTTTCTCCCTGGAAAGAATGTCGTTCAGATATTTTCATGACTCACTCCAATTAAGTCTCTGCTCAAATATCTCTACTATAATAACATGTCCACAGCTGACCTTAGTTGAAATCACAACCATTACCACATACGTATTGCCTCTATTCCCATCCCATTGTTTTGTGTATTTGTGTGTGGTGTATAATCCCAGCATTTTGGAAGGCCAAGGTGGGAGGGTTACTTGAGCCTAAGAGTTTGAGACCAGTCTGGGCAATATAGTGAGATGCTGTCTCTAAAAAATAAAAAAATAAATAAAAAAAATAAACAAAAATTGCTGGGCCTAATGGTGCACACCTGTTTTTCCCATATTCCCAGCTACTGGGGAGGCTGAGGCAGGAGGATTGCTTGAGCCCAGGAGTTTGAGGCTTCGATGAGCTATGATCATGCCACTGCACTCCAACCTGGGCACCTGAGACCCTGTCACAAAAAAAAAAAAAAAAAAAAAAAAAGACAAGAAAAAGAAGAAAGAAAAAAAAAGAATGTAAGCATTATGAAGTAGTAGATTTCATCTTGTTTACCATTGTAGCAACTTCCAGGCCTAGACTAGTGCCCCTTTCATTAGAGTTACTCAATAAATAATAGCTGAATGAAGTAGTAAGTGAATTAATGTATAAGAAATCTAGAAATCACCACAGTAACTTACATGTGTAATCCCAGCATTTTGGGAGGCCTATGCAGTCAGATCATTTGAGGTCAGGAGTTCGAAACCAGCCTAGCCAGCATGGCAAAACCCTATCTCTACTAAAAATACAAAAATTAGCCGGGCATGATGGTGGGCACCTGTAATCCCAGCTACTTAGGAGGCTGAGGCAGGAGAATCGCTTGAGCCCGGGAGGCAGAGGTTGCTGTGAGCAGAGATCACACCACTGCACCACTCCAGCCTGGGCAACAGAGCAAGAACCCATCTCAAAAAAAAAAAAAAAAAAAGAAATCTAGAAATTGTCCCAGTCGCTACTTCTCTCCTCTCCTCTCCATAACAAATACTTATGGTCATGAAGAATCTGCCTTTGGTTAATTGTGATTTTCCACCATGACAGTTTGAATTAATCCAAAGTATTTTAAAAATGAAAATAAAATAAGCAGTTAGCTCTAATGGCATACAGGTTAACTGCAGCTTGATGTTAGAGGCATTGGAGATTAAAAGGTGCCATTGCAGGATATGAACCCATACACAATAATAGTTACAGATTCAAAGCTGTGATTCCTCAATGTTTGAAGGTTTCTATAGGAACAACACGATTGTGTGTTCTGTTTATAAGCTTAAAATATGTGGTGGCAAGAAAGTGCTGCTGTAACAACCATGTGAGGATAATTCAAAAGATGAAAGCCTGTAAAAATTAATGATCAGAGAAGAATGTGGCCTAGTAAATCAACAACCACATTATTAAAAACAGAGGAAATATAATTGGCCACATATGGTCACACTATAACAAGGCGAGAGTCATTGCATTCTTTAAGCCAGTTACCCATTTACACCTGCACCGTGATGGCTTATGGAGAGAGCAACAGACACGCCAACAGCCTTGTGGAAATGAAATCATTCTCTTATTAATACCATCAATGACATCCAATTAGCTATTAAGAAAATGGCTTAGAAGTGCAAACAGGTACCTAAAATGAAACCATCCTAATGAATTACAACCATCACATTTGCTTATAAGTAGAGCAGGTTTTGGAAATAATAGACTCCAGGATGCAGGGGTTGAGCAGTCATGTAACAATTCAAATAAAATGAAATCACTGTGCATTTGAACTTCACTTAATTGCCTCAGCTTCTCAGGATTTAAAAAGAGAAAGAAAACAAAACTTACTCTTTACAGGCCACTCTGTTGTTTGAAAAAGAAAAAAACAATACATACCCACAAAAGATCCTTAAAAATATCTGTGTTCTCTGCAAGTTGCACAATTTTGAAGACTTCTGGTAAGGCTCAAAAAAGATTTAGAGAACCATAAAAATGCTGTTATACATCTTCTGTTTTACCAAAATGTACCACATCACAAAAGATTTACAGCCTTTTCTGAGGCTAATAATAAACAAGGCTAATTATTAAACAAGGTAAGTTAATAATAAAAAATGGAAAGTTCTTTTAAAAATTTTTCTTAGGAATTGATTTTCCACAAGTTGATTTTTCTGTCTCCTTTAAGTGAGTAGGATAATGTTAATTGCCTGGCTAGGCCAAATAAAAACAGCTGATATTTATAGAATACTTGCTATGCATAAGCTTCACTCTTCTTTTTGAATGTTTTTGTTGTTGTTGTTATTCCAGGCAACATGGTGGACAATAGCAATTACAAACTCCTGAGTTTCACAGGTTGTAGTTACTTGGGGAGATTAAATTGAGCCTGTCTTATGTCCAGTTCCAAATTTTCAAAGAAGGAACTTGAACCATGCAGGTTGAGTGCCGAATTCTGAAATTTCCTTTTTGTCTACAGAATAGAGAAAGCAGGCCAGGTGTGGTGGATCACACCTGTATTTCCCGCACTTTGGGAGGCTGAGGCAGGCAGATCATTTGAGGTCAGAAGTTAGAGACCATCCTGGCCAACATGGTAAAACCCTGTCTCTACTAAAAATACAAAAAAAAAGCTGGGTGTGATGGCACATGCCTGTAGTTCCAGCTACTCAGGAGGCTGAGGCATGAGAATCACTTGAAGCCAGGAGACAGTGGTTGCAGTGAGCCAAGATTGTGACACTGCACTCCAGCCTGGGTGACAGAGTGAGACTCCCTCTCAAAAAAAAAAAAAAAAAAAAAAAAACAAAAGAGAAAATTCAAGAAATTTTATAGATTCTGACCAGTTTTTATCATCTCTACTGCCTTCTCCAGTGGCCTCATACTTCCAAGCACGCTTCTATGCCTGTACTCAGCCAGTGATACTATTAAATACATTTTAAATCAAAGCACCCCTCTTCTCTAAACCCTTCATAGGCATCTGATCTTGTTCTGAATAAAAGTCAAATTTCTACAATTTCCTGCAATATCCTATGGAATCTCCCCCCTTCAGCAACTCATTCCTGGTACATGTCTAATCTTCTGACTTCAACTTTTCTACTACTGTCTTTTTCTCACTTGGTCTGCTCCAGCCACACTTGCCTCCTTGCTATTTCTCAATTTTCTAAACACACTCTCACTTTAGATTGTTTGCACTTTATCTGAGATGCTGTTCTCAAAAGCAGCCTTGTATCTGCCTTCCACGGTTCCTTCAATATTAGACCTAATATCATCACCTTCTCAATGAAGATTTCTCTAATCATTCTATTAAAAAGTCTGATGCCTCTGTGACAGGCTGACCTTTCAAGTGGCTTCCATGATTCCCACCTTCTGGTGTTCATGACCTCATATAACTCCCTCCCTGAGTGTGGTAGAGACCTGTGACTTGCTTCTAACCCATAGAAGATGGAAAAGATGATTGGATATCACCCTCATATTTACATCTTGCTAGCAGACTCAGTTCTAGAATCTGTCTTTCCATTATTGACAGTGAAGAAGCAAGCTGTCATAAATGCTACAACACACAATAAAGTTAATTCTGCCAACAACCTACATGAGCTTGGAAGAAGCCTCTTCCCCACTTGAGCCTCAAGATGAGAATGCAGCCTTTGTGGATACCTGGATTGCAGCCTTGTGAGACCCTGAAGCAAAAAACTCAAGCCATGCCTGGGCTCCTGACCCACCAAAGCTGTGAGATAGTGAGGGAGCATTATTTTAAGCCATAAAATTTGTGGTAGAATGTTACACAGCATAGAAAATGAATACTGCCTCTCTGGTATTCTAGAATTTCTGTATTCCCGTGTAGTAGATTTCTCTATCTACTTAGCATCTTCGTATATATTTACATTTATTTGTTTATTTGCTAAGTCTCCCTCACATGCATATACAAACACTAGAATGCAAGTTCCATGAGAGTGAAATGTTTATCTACATGGTTAGAAAAGTACCTGCTACACAATAAGTACTCAAAAAATGTTTTAAAATGATGATATCAATTATACTTTACAAGCTTAATGAATGTTAGTTTGGAATTCACAATCCATTTAGACACTTGCAAACACATACTCCACACATAATATCTAGTTGAACTCTGCCAAATGACATTTATTTTTCTTTTGTACTAAATGCATGGTTTGCATGAGCTCTTCCCTTTCGATAAATAATTTTGACATCATGTACAGCAAGTTCTCACCTAACATGATGGATCAGTACTTGAAATCTGCAACTTTAAACAAAATGACATATAGCAGGTTATCAAATAATGTCATTTTGTTAAACATCTTTTCATTATCATGTTGATTATAAAAAATGATTTCATTAGACATCTTTTTGCTTAAAGTCACAATTTCCAAGAATCTATTGCCAACATTGAGGATTAACTTTAGAAGCAGCCTTAATTTCTGCTTAAAATAAAACCCATATAAACCACAGCAGGAATATCAGGAAGGCACTAATGATGAGAATTGTTACACACAGACTAGTTTATTGCACAATCTGTGGAATATTTTTCTTTAGAGAATGTTAAAATTAGGGCTAAGTAGATGTTCATCTCTCTAGGACAATATAATTATAGCTCTGCTGGAAGCTATGGCTATTAAGATGTCACAAGTTCATTCCATCTGTATGATTTTGTAATTGGTGATTGAGTAAAAGAAACACGGTGATATTCTCTATTGAAATGACAAAAAAGAGAACACTTCTGCTTTTGCCCTGAAGAATTAATAAATTGTTATTCTTTTCATTATTTAAGAACTATTAGTAGCCTAGATAGGTCACCATGTTTTCACTATTGCCCATCGAGGGAAAACATAAATGTTATAATAAAGTGATGTATAAATATTAATCCTTATATATCAATAAGTGTCCCTATTTTCTCCCCAAATTTGCCACATTTATCCTTATATACTATGTCACACTATCAGATGAAGTTTTATTATTATTGTTGTAGTTCTCATCAAATAAAAGGCCATTCAAAAGGCAGTTGAAGGGACTTCATAACAATAATAAAATATAATGTTTTCTTGTATTTCCCCCAGGTGGTTGATAAACATTTATCTTTTTTGTTCATTCAATAAATCATTTGTTGAATATAATCCATGGAGCAGTCAATGTGCTAGTAGCTGGCCACAGACAAATGGACTCAATCATTGTCCCAGAAATCCTTATGGTAAGTTGAGAAGCAGAATAACAGCAGGGTACCTTGGGTTCTGCTGGATAAAATTTTTCTGCTTTCCACTGTGAGGACTGCAACAGACCCAAATGAATGTAAATGAGACAGACCATAGCTTCAGTTCTTCAAAGGTGATTTCTGAGAGTCCCTGTATTTTTACAATAGTTTGATAAGGGTGGACGTCAGTATTAAGATGCGAGGGATAAACTGTCTTCTTACCTCCAGATCCACAATGTAGTTGAAGGCAGCTTTCCAACAATAGCGTTGAATTTGTCCAGAATACATTGTGATGCTACAAAGGTGATGGGTACTTAATTTTATGTGTCTACTTTACTAGATAATGGAGTACCCAGATATTTGGCTAAACATTATTTCTATGGGTATGTCTGAAATGGTGTTTCTGGAAGGCATTAGCATTTGAATTGGTAGTCACAGTAAAGCAAATTGCTCTCCCCAAGGTGGGTGGGCATTATTCAGTATATCCGGGGCCTAAATAGAACAAAGAGGAGGAAGGGAGAATTTGCTTTGTCTGACTACCAGAGCTGGAACCTTGGTCTTCTGCCCTTGGACTCCTTGTTTTCAGGCCTTTGAACTCAGACTAGAAGTCTCCACCAGCTTTATGCTTTCTCTGCAGTAGACTAGTCTGAAATACCCAGACTGGTCTATAATTATAATCTATAATTAAATTGGGCTATCTATTTAAAGCAAATAGTGTATCTTCAAGAAAGATATTCTTGAATTACTTCAAGGTCTCTAAAGAAGTTAATCATAAACCATTGAATTACAGTGATGAATTTCATAGGATAAAAACAGTATCTTACAAGCAATTTGAAATATAGAAATATCTTCCGCTAGTTTCCTTTCCAAATTTCAACAAGATTCTATGTATTTTAAGTATTAAGAGGTGTTTACACCACAGTAGCTGCAAAACTCAATTTACTTCCAAATGCTCAGTGAAGTTCCTACCTGAAGTTCGTTTAACAGCATTTCTTTTTAAAATATTTGAATACCTACAAGATATCAAAAACTATGCAAAACTTTCTGGAGACAAGGATGAGCAAAACAGACTTGTCTCTGAAATAAAGAAACTCAGAAGTGAGACAAATATTTTTATAGAAAGCAGTAAATATTATCATAGAGATAAGTTCAGGGTGTTACAGGTGCATAAAGAAGAATCCTTTAGATTAAACATATATTCTAGCTGCCTGGTAAAAAATCAGCAAATACCTTTCTTTCCCAAAATAATTATTAATAACTCCTCTTTCACTCTCAATAGTTCCCAGTTTATAGAATAAATTACTTGATCACATTATCTAAAATAGCTCCAGGTTGGTGGGGTGGTGAGGAAGGTTGAAGCAAAGAAGGCTACCCTGTATTTCCACATTTGAGAACTACAAACATTTTAGCACAGTGGAGTTTTGGGATGTGATGTGGGTCACAAGCTCCTCTGAAACAAGAAACAATAGGGTTATGCAGAAGCTAGATCATGAAGGCTGTTGCTAAGAAGTTTGGACTTACAATAAAATTGTGAATGTCGGCTGGGCCTGGTGGCTCACACCTGTAATCCCAGCACTTTGGGAGGCCAAGGTGGGCAGATCACTTGAGGCCAGGAGTTCAAAACCAGCCTGGACAACATGGTGAAACCCCGTCTTTACTAAAAATACAAAAATTAGCCGGGTATGGTGGCGCATGCCTGTAATCCCAGCTACTCTGGAGGCTGAGGCAGGAGACTCCCTTGAACCCAGGATGTGGAGGTTGCAGTAAGCCAAAATCGTGCCACTGCACTCCAGCCTGGGTGACAGAGTAAGACTCTGCCTCAGAAAAAAAAAAAAAATGAATGTGATATTAATAAAAGCGTTTGAAAGCAAAATCTTCAAAGAACAGATATACATTATAGAAAAAGGACTATGGCAACCACATGAAGCATAAATCATGGATCAAAGACAGGGACACCTATTCAATGATAGTTGCAATAGTTCAATCAAGAAATAAGTCTTTAATCTGTGGAAACGGTAATGAAAATAGAAAGTGAGGTATGGGAATCAAAAAAATATTAGAAAATACAGCCTTCAGGACTTGGGGGTGGAATCAGTATAATGAAGTAATTAGGAAAGGTGAAGACTGTCTCCCAGGTTCCTTGGAGAGCCATTAGGTAAACATTTACTGTGATAGAAAACACAAGGAGAAGAGCAATTGTATTTACTGCTTTTTGGAAGAAGGACAGTGATGAGGTAATATAATGATGGGGTGAGTATGAGATATACTTTTAAGTGGCTTTATAGAACAGGTTTATGGGAGGGCTGTGAGCTACATTTTATTTACCCTGAAGGAAATACAGTATGTATCCATCTTGTGCAGCAATGTGTCCTTAGTGCCTAACAGAGGGCTTGACAAATAGTGTTGAATAAATTGTTATCAACTGAGTTAATGACTAACTTGGGTTTGTTTCTGTTTGTTTTTGTTTTTGTTTGTTTTTGTTTTGAGATGGAGTCTCACTCTGTTGCTGAGGCTGGAGTGCAGTGGCGTGATCTTGGCTCACTGCAACTTCCACCTCCCGGTTTCAAGCGATTCTCCTGCCTCAGCCTCCTGAGTAGCTGAGATTATAGGCATGTGCCACCATGCGTAGCTAATTTTTTGTATTTTAGTAGAGATGGGGTTTCACCATGTTGGCCAGTCTGGTCTCGAACTCCCGACCTCAAGTGTTCTGCCCACCTCAGCCTCCCAGTAGACTTGGTTTTAAATCCCAATGCGGCTAGATGAAAAAATCAGAGCAAGTTATTCCTATAGGCCTTTTTTTTTTTTCACTGAAAATCAGGATACAATAAAATCTGAGTTGCTAAATTATTTGTGTATGTGTGAAAAGCAAGCTATGTATTATATAGAGATGTGCCTTATCACCTATGAAGTAATTTAGAAGTATCAGAAACCACTATTATTTCCATATTAGTCACAATTCTCCACAGAGACAGAACCAATAGGGTAGGGAGATAGAGGGCTAGGCAGATATAGATATCTGAGAAAGGATGTGTTAGGGGAATAGGCTCACGTGATTATGGAGGCTGAGAAGTCTCATGATAGGCTGTCTGCAAATTGGACAAGCAAAGAATTTGTAGCATGGCTCAGTCCAAGACCAAAAGCCTCAGAACTAGGGTGAAACTCAGTCCAGGTCAAAGACCTGAGAACACAGCAGTTGCTGGTGCAAGTCCAGAAGTCCAAAGGCCAGAGAAACTGGAGTTCTGATGTCTAAAAGTAGGGGAAAAGTGTGCCCCAGCTCCAGGAGAGAGAGATCTAGAGAGAGCACATCTGCCTTGCCTTTGCCTTCTTGTTCTCTGGACCCTTGGCCAATTGGGTGGTGCTGGCCCACACTGAATGAGGGTGGATCTTTTTTACTCAGTTGCTGATTCAAATGCCCATCTCTTACAAAAACATTCTAACAGGCATCTACAGAAATAATGCTTTACCAGCTATCAGAGTATCTCTTAATCCAGTCAAGTTGATACCTTAAATTTACCATTAGAATCATATCGTGGGCATTGAAAGATCAAAGCATATAAGTCATCCATTGCTAAACCCAATTATGACATGTCTACCCCATATCACATAAACTCCCAGGACACTTCTCAGCCTCAGTCTTTACCTCCAAATACTGCCAGACTGGTAGAGGAAATCCATTCCCAACAAGCTACACATGCTCTGAAATTCACAAACGCTCAGTGCAAACTACAAGATGACAAACTGCAGTCTTTTCAGATATACATGTACATACTGGAGTATAAGCATGTGCATCCTATACTTCCATGTTGTTTGACCCAACATGAAATCATACCATTCCACTTTGGGCTCTCTCCCTAACTTGAGAGTTAAAATTAGGTGTCTTACAAATTACAGCTCCTTATCTTACACCTCAAGACTTATTATGTGTTTCTCTTGTCTCCTCTGCCCTTTAAGTCTGTATCTTGCACTATATCCAGGAGTGGATACAGAACTCAGTACGGGCCATCTTGGGTTTTTTGCTTTAAGTCACATCAGCACTTGGTGTGTTAGGAAAGCTATGGCCTTAAAAAAGTGATTGTAGTGGGTTGAAAACTTTTGTGTGTGTGTGTGTGTGTGTGACACAGAGTCTTGCTCCGTCACCCAGGCTGGAGTGCAGTGGCATGATCTCTGCTCACTCCAACCTCCGCCTCCTGGGTTCAAGCTATTCTCCTGTCTCAGCCTCCCGAGTAGCTGGGACCACAGGTGCATGCCACCAAGCCCAGCTAATTTTTGTATTTTTAGTAGAGACGGGGTTTTGCCATGTTGGTCAGGCTGAACTCCTGACCTCAGGTGATCCACCCATCTCGGCCTCCCAAAGTGTTGGGATTACAGGCGTGAGCAACCACGCCCAGCTGAAAACTCTTTGAATTAATAAAAAACATAATTTCTTCATAGTACTCATAATAGGAAAAGCCAGAAAAATTTTACCGTTTGAGGTGGTTATTATAAAACATCCTATGGCTCACACCTGTAATCCCAGCACTTTGGGAGGCTGAAGCAGGCAGATCACCTGAGGTCAGGAGTTCAAGACCAGCCTGACAAACATAGAGAAACTACGTCTCTACTAAAAATACAAAAAAGCTAGCCAGGTGTGGTGGCACATGCCTATAATCCCAGCTACTCAGTAGGCTGAGGCAGGAGAATCACTTGAACCCAGGAGGTGGAGGTTGCGGTGAGCTGAGAGCGCACCATTGCACCCGAGCCTGGGCAACAAGAATGAAACCTCCATCTCAAAATAAATAAATAAATAAAATGGTAAATGAAGGAAAAGAAAGCATTTACCTTTGTTGACCTTTGTTGATGTATAGCAAACAAACAGCTCCAGTTAATCAGGAAAGCTCTTCTTTACAAAAGGAAAAGCCAATATAATAATGCAGAGGCAAAGGCAGAGCTAAAAGATCATAACTCTGCAATCTTTATAAAAATTAGACACACACAAGAATTATCAATTGGTGTCAAAAAAAATTTGGAGGGTATGGTTGAGAATGAACCAGACATGTGTTTACTTCCACTCCAGCTACTCCATGGATTTCTAGACTCAAGGGGAAAATTGACTGCGTATTGAATGAGCCATTTTGTCATCATTCCATCCTGGAGTCAATCTTAGTATCACTAATGGTTGGCCTAGCAAATAGTAAAGTGTCTCCTGATATAACACAATATGCAGTATACAATGTCCTCAGGAAGTATTCCATCCAATTTGCCTAGTATTAGGCCTGTCTACATTTTCCAATTAACAGGAAATACAGGAATAGAAGGATAAGCCAAGCCTGAGAGGGAAGAAGCAACAAAACCTGTACTGTTCAATACAATAGCCACAAGCCACGGACGGTGGCTATTTTAATTCAAATTTAACTTAAATTTGAATCTGAATTGAATTAAATTAATCACACTAGGCAGGTTTCAAGTACTCAACAGCCACATGTGAAAAGTGACTACCTTTGATGGTTAATTTTAGTGTCAGCTGGATTAGGGAATACCTAGAAGCCTGGTGAAGAATTATATTTGGATGTGTCTGTGAGGGCGTTTCTAGAGGAGGTTGCTGTGTGAATCTGGCCAGACTAGGTGGGGAAGATCCATCCTCAGTGTAGATGGGCACCTTTCAATTGACCAGGGGCCCAGAGAGAACAAAAATATGAAAGGCAAATTTCTCTATCTCCTAGACTTGGAATACACTTGTCCTCTGCTGTTCTTGGGGATCAAAACTCCAGGCTCCCTAGCCTTTGAACTCCAGGACTTAACACCAGTGCTCCCCAAGGTTTTCAGGCCTTTGGTCTCAAACTAAGAGTTACATTATCAACTTCCCTGGTTTTGAAGCCTTTGGACTTGGACTGGCCTCCCAGCGTACCCAGCTTGAAGATGGCTTGTCACGGGACGTCTCAGCCTCCTTAATCCCATAAGCCAATTCCACCAATAAATCCACTCTCATGTATCTATGTATGTATCCTGTTGGTTCTGTCTTTCAGGAGAACTCTGAATAATATGTTACCTTGTTTTTTTTTATATATATTATACTTTAAGTTTTAGGGTACATGTGCACAACGTGCAGGTTAGTTACATATGTATACATGTGCCATGTTGGTGTGCTGCACCCAGCAACTCATCATTTAACATTAGGTATATCTCCTAATGCTATCCCTTCCCCCTTCCCCCACCCCACAACAGGCCCTGGTGTATGATGTTCCCCTTCCTGTGTCCACGTGTTTTCATTGTTCAATTCCCACCTATAAGTGAGAACATGTGGTGTTTGTTTTTTTGTTCTTGCGATAGTTTGCTGAAAATGATGGTTTCCAGCTTCATCCATGTCCCTACAAAGGACATGAACTCATCATTTTTATGGCTGCATAGTATTCCATGGAGTATATGTGCCACATTTTCTTAATCCAGTCTATCATTGTTGGACATTTGGCTTGGTTCCAAGTCTTTGCTATTGTGAATAGTGCCACAATAAACATATGTGTGCATGTGTCTTTATAGCAGCATGATTTATAATCCTTTGGGTATATACCCAGTAATGGGATGGCTGGGTCAAATGGTATTTCTAGTTCTAGATCCCTGAGGAATCGCCACACTGACTTCCACAATGGTTGAACTAGTTTACGGTCCCACCAACATTGTAAAAGTGTTTCTATTTCTCCGCATCCTCTCCAGCACCTGTTGTTTCCTGACTTTTTAATGATCGCCATTACGAGAAAAAAACAAACAACCCCATCAAACAGTGGGTGAAGGATATGAACAGACACTTCTCAAAAGAAGACATTTATGCAGCCAAAAGACACATGAAAAAATGCTCCTCATCACTGGCCATCAGAGAAATGCACATCAAAACCACAATGAGATATCATCTCATACCTTATTGTTTAGCATATATATGAAATTTTTCTATCATCATAGAAAATTCTGTTGAACAACCCTGAAAAAGACAAATTTAGAAGTTAGGGCCTTCTGCAGGATATCTAAGTAGATTTAGTCAACAAATCAGTGTCTTAGGAAAACATTATACTAGATTTAAAACCTCAAGTGGCATAACAAACAGATTATATCAAGTTTGCCTTAAAAAAGTATTTTGGGAACATCTGGAGAAATTTATTTAAGGACTGGATATAGATAAGATCAAAATTTATTAATACGGAAAGGTAAATAAAATGTTAATAGTAATCTCAGGTCAGTGAGAGTATGGTGTTTTTCTTTTCTTTTTGTTGTTTTTATGTATTTTCCAAATTCCTACAATGTACATTTGATTCATTCTATTGTACAAACTTTTAAAAAAATCATTCTAGATGATGGGTTGATAGGTGCAGCAAACCACCATGGCACATGTATATCTATGTAACAGACCTGCAGGTTCTGCACATGTATCCCAGAACTAAAAGTAAAATTTAAAAAAAGATTAGAATATTACATTCAAAAAACATAAATAAAATAAAATAAGGCATATACATTGCTTTAGACTTAATGCCATTGCATACTCAATAGACTACAGTATAGTGTAAGCATAACTTTTACATGTACTTGGAAACCAAAAATTCATGTGATTCACTCTATTGTAATATTTGCTTTATTGCAGTTGTAGAACCAGACTTGCAATATCGTCAACGTATGCCTATATATGATAAAGGTTGTATATCAAAGTAGTGTGTAAAACAGGCACTATTCAATGAATTGGATTGAGACAACTGAGTTGCCATGTGATATAGAATAAAGGTGGAAACATACAAAAATAAATCAATCTGGTTGCAATTTTTTGAGCAGTTTTAGGTTCACACAAAAATTAAGTGGAAGGTATAAAGATTTTTCCACATATCTATTGGCTTTACACATGCATAGCCACCCCCACTATCAACATCTGAGCCAGGAGTACATCTACTACAAATGACGAACCTACACGGACACATTATTAGCACTAGAGGTCCATAGTTTACATTAGCTTTCACTCTTGGTATTATACATTCTATAGGTTTGGACAAATGTATAATGACATGTATCATCATTGTAGTATCATACAATATAGTTACACCTCCCTAAAAATCCTCTGTTCTCCACCTAATCATCCCTCTCTTCCCCAAAACCCTAGAAACTACTGATCTTTTTACTGTCCCCATAGTTTTGCCTTTTCCAGAACATCACATGGTTGAAATCATACAGTATGGAGACTTTCAGGTTGGCTTCTTTCATGTAGCAATATGCATTTACTGTTCCACTGTGTCTTTTCATGCCTTTATAGCTCATTTCTTTTTATCACTGAACAATATTCCAATGTCTGGTGGTATCACAGTTTATTTATTCAATAACCTACTGAATGTCATTTTGGTTGCTTTCAAATTTTGGCAATTATGAATAAAACTGCTATGCACATCTGCGTGCAGCTTTTTGTGCAGACATAGGTTTCCACCTCCTTTGAGTAAATACCAAGGAGTGCAACTGTAAGATCATCAGTAAGAGTATGTTTAGTTTTGTAAAAAACTTTCAAATTTCCTTTCAAAGTGATTGTATCATTATGCAGCATTCCCACCAGCAATGAATGAGAGTTCCTTTTGCTCAACATCCTTGCCAGCATTCGGTGTTGTCAGTGTTTTGGATTTTTGCCACCGTAATAGATGTATGGTGGTATCTCACTGTTGTTTTAAATTTCCCTCTTGACATGATGTGAAGCCCCTTTTCATATGCTTGCTTGCTATCTGTGTATCTTCTTTGGTGAAGGGTTTTTAATTTTTTTGAAGTTGCTTTGCTCACCTGCCAAGAAGAAATTTCAATGGCTGCTCTTGACCTAGGTGAACCCTGGCTACATTACTTGTAGTAAAGAAGAGGAACGCTTTGGGGAGCTCTGGGTAGTCAGGGTCAAAATCCATGGGAGGGCAAGGATGCAAAAGTTTGGAACATAGTGATAAAGTGAAGCAGGCTTAAAGCATATATTAGAAAACAAAACCTAAGGGGTGGTGATAAAGCAATCAAATGGAGTGACTATAGTCAATAATAATTTAATTGTAAATTTTTAAATTTCTAAAAGAATATAATTAGATTGTTGGTAACACAAAGGATAAATGTTTGAGGTGATGAATACCCCATTTACCCTGATATGATTATTACACAGTATATCCCTATACCAAAATATCTCATATACCACATAAATATGTATACCTACTATGTACTCACATAACTTAAACATTGAAAAGACTGCAGCAAATAGTCAAAGCCAAACAAACATAAGTGACAGTTATTAGGGGAAGCCAATGGTTAGTTCTACAGAAATATTCAGAATAGATATGTTTCCCTTCTGTTATTCCTCTTGCTGGAATATCAGTTACCATACAGATAGATAAATGTCCAATTCAGTGTTCCAACCTTGGAGAGCATCCTTGTCTGTTTTGACCTCGAACTCTGAATTTTTCTAAATTGCTTTTCAATTAAATTACTTTTTTATCCACACAACATGGGTGGGTTCGATTGGTTGGCAGGTGATAGTCCAATGACCACGACCAGGGAGGATATAATAAGAGAATTTTTATTACTTGCAGCAAACAAGGAGGACAAGGAGGACACTTTCCCAAAGGAGAGCGCCCCCTAACAAGGGTGAAAACATGGCTTTTATTGGACTGGTGTGCTGCATCATTGCATGTAGAGGTGGAGAAAAGGCGGCACAGGCATGGTCACCCATCATGCTTCTACATACCTTGTGTGTATAGTAAGTAGCGAATAAGCTCCTCCCTGGATGTGGATTTTTAGTATGGGGAGAGTTCGCTAAAGTTCATCTCCAACTAAAGCATCTCTGGATCCAATTTTTTTTTTTTTTTTCTGAGGCTAAGCTTCTTCCTGGAACTTTTTGCAACAATAAGAACTCAAGGTAGAACAGTGGCAAGTGAGTACTTTTTCACAGTGCTTACCAAAAACCCGGGGACCCTAAAGTACACTTTCTCTAGTGAGAAATTTGTTCTTGATTGAGTGTTTTCTCCCATCCTCATTCTGCGCTTTCAAGGACACCAGAGGATTTGTCTAAACACTTACCTATTTTTGTTGCTGCTACAGATCCTGTTTTCTCAGTACAGCCACAGATGTACATATTAGTTATCAGTTATTGTCAAGGTTATTTTAGGAAACTCAGACTCATCAGCCATTCCCTAAGATACTGCCCAATGAATTCTATCACCAGCACCTAACTGCAGTGTGGCACACACCCTTAGCTGCCTACTCAAAATCCCTTATTTCCTCCTTCCTATAAAAACTTTGATTTTTGGAGTCATAATGTACTCATTTTTTTTTCTGTAGTTACTATTTTGTGACATTACTTTTAAGAATAGTTTATTTTATTTTTTATTATTATACTTTAAGTTTTAGGGTACATGTGCACAATGTGCAGGTTAGTTACATATGTATACACGTGCCATGCTGGTGCGCTGCACCCACTAACTCGTCATCTAGCATTAGGTATATCTCCCAATGCTGTCCCTCCCCCCTCCCCCAACCCCACAACAGTCCCCAGAGTGTGATGTTCCCCTTCCTGTGTCCATGTGTTCTCATTGTTCAATTCCCACCTATGAGTGAGAATATGCGGTGTCATTCTCTGTAAACTATCACAAGAACAAAAAACAATGTACTCATTTAAAAGAAGGTTATGTTCATTTAAAGGAATCCACCTGCCCAGACTCCCTTGCCTTCTGCAATTTCTAAGTGATCCAGTTTGGTATGAAGCAAGGTAAGCAACAGTGGCTGGGCTGGACTTCCAGAAAGCCTGTTAAAAGGCCTGTCCCTTCAGTCTTTCTCCCTTTACCTTTCTGTGGGCCTGGATAGCTCTCCATCTTTGTAAGCAGGAAGATGAAAGCCAGAGACTAAGGATGGTGGAGTGGAAAGACAGTGAGTGCCTGGGGCAGAGAGGGTTTTCTGCTGCTGCTGCAACTGGGGCTGCCTTCTTTTGGACTCCTCATTATGTTGTTCTTATTTGCCACTTTTCTTGACATGCAAACAAAGGCAATTTCGACTGATACACAAAGAAAGCAAGAAAGCATCTCACAAGCTGTTTTCAAATCTGATTATTACTATTCAGTAACATAGGCTTTGGCTGGAACTATGGTAGTTGAGAGCTCATTTGTGTTCAGTGTGATTGTAAAGATTGTCTGATGTAGGAAGCAGAAATTCATATTTCTAACATTTATGCTGTTTATCTAGAATCCCACAGAAATATAAAACCTGGTTGAGTCAGTATTCAAATAGGAAGATAAAATGTACTCCTCTCCTAAGTCAAAATCAAGAATGTAGTACAATTGTAAGAAATAAGAAGACTAATGTGACATTTTGTTTTTTCCTAATTACCTAATCAGAGTAAAATCACAAACCTGATAAAATGAAATTCAATTCTTACTCTGAAAAATCCATCTGAGTCTCTAAAGTCTAGGATAGCATTAATATTATCTTAATTAAGCTTTCTAATGCTTACTTAGCTACTGACAATGAAACAAAGAGTAGCATCCATTCCCCTGTATAAAGAAAATTTGAAATGCACATTAAAGAAGACTGTCTTCTAGTTTTACTGAATTATTTCAGAATCCTAGACACTGGAAAGGCTTTCAACCCCCCTGAAAATATTGCCTCTATGCTCTGTGCCATATATAAATACAAATCAATATAAAGTAGATGGTATAGGTATTCTTTACGTCTTTAAAGAAAATGACTTCAAAAAGCTTATAGGTGTATTTCTGTGTATTTCTATTTATACAAAAGATGGAAACATGTTTACCTAGTTTGTTGCATTTACAACTGAATTGAATTTCTAATTGTTGGTAAGTGGCAGCTGATTTATAAATCACTGTACTGTATTAAAGAGTCTTATCAATGTCTCTGCATCACCAATGCATTACGCATGCTGGCCTTTTGTATCAAATCTTTCATAGATGTGAACTGAATACCTTATAGATTCCCCTTTCTACATTTGCTGTTATAGAAGTTAAATTTGAACGATTATGTACACTCCCTTTTACCATCCAGCTCTGCATAAAGTTTGACACTTTTAAATTACAATGGTGAGCCTCTAAGCAATAAAGGTATGGAGGTGGTAGAAGGATACTAAAATAGTCTCTTTCCTCTAGAAAAGTTTTAATGTAAGCAGGGATACAATAAAATTAGAAATACAATTTCCTACAGCTATGTTTCCTGCACCACACACAAATCTCCAAATTATTAATGATTTCTGGGACAGACTTCATGTTTCTGCTTTAAAATTTCAAATGCAATGGCATGAAGCACCTGCAAACCTTAGTGAAGGAATCCTGTCAAGGTCCCACATCTACCTGAGTTGGCCAGAAAGTAATATTTTTAAAACTAACTTACAACAATAAAAACTGTGAGATACATCTAGGGAGTTGAAGAGCTGTTTTTGAACGGGTAGGCTATGGGTGATATGGAGGACATGCTGCTGCAACCTTGGACAGGGAGGGGACAGCAAGTGTAGCTAGGAGAGAATAAATAAAACAAAAGCTGATCTAACTCTGCTCTTGCCTTTCCCCTGTGGCTGCCATGGGACATCACTGGCAGCCTCTCACCGAGGACATCTGCAGCAAAAGTCCCATGGTACACACTCTGTGGGACTAATCAACTTTCTCCATTCACTCCTTCCCCTTCTGAGTCCTATGCTCTGGTGAATTTCTATTCTGGACTGCAGCTTCCAAATGGGGGAGGGGAAACTTCTGCCTATTAAGCAAAAATAAAAAATTGACCTGGGCAGATATTTTGTGCAGTGATATCAAATAGGCATCTTTATTATTTCTTTTTACAATAAAGGAAATGGTACAACCCTTTCCCAAGTAAAAATGTTTTGAGGTATTGGCTTATATATTTTTTCAACAATAAAAATTACAATAAAGTTTAGATATCTGTCCCCTCCAAGTCTCATGTTGAAATTTAATCCCCAATATTGGAGGTGGGGTCTAATGGGGGGTTTGGGGGTCATGGTAGCAGATTTTTACATGAACAGATTGGTGCCATCTTTGCAGTAATAAGTGAGTTCTTCCTCTATTAGTTCCCACAAAAACTGATTGTTAAAAAGAGCCTAGAATCTCCCTCCCCTCTCTTGCCATGTCACACACCAATTCCCCTTAGCTTTCTACCATTAGTGGAAGCTTCCTGAGGTCTTTACCAGAAATTGATGCTGGCACCATGCTTTTTGTAGAGTCTGCAGACCGTTATCCAAATAAACCTCTTTTCTTTATAAATTACCCAGCCTCAGGTATTGCTTTAAAGCAACCCTAACAGACTAGGACAAAAAATTGGCATGGAGGAGTGGGGCATTGCTATAAAGATAGCAGACTGTGACAACAGCTTTGGAACTGGGTAATGAGCAGAGGTTGGAAGAGTTTGGAGGGCTCAGAAGAAGATAAGAAGATGAGGGAAAGTTTAGAACTTATCAGAGACCAGTTAAGTGATTGTGACCAAAATGCTGATATAAATATTTTATCAGTCCATTTTCACACTGCTGATGAAAAGATAGCCTAGACTGAGCAATCTACAAAACAAAGAGGTTTATTGGATTTACAGTCCACATAGCTGTGGAGGCCTCACAATAATGGCAGAAGGCAAGGAGGAGCAAGTCACATCTTACATGGATGGTGGCAGGCAAAGAGAGAGCAAACTTGTGCAGGGAAACCCTCGTTTTTAAAACCATCAGATCTTGTGAGACTTATTCACTATCATGAGAACAGCATAGAAAAGACTTGCCTTCATGATTCAATTACCTCCCCCCAGTTCCCTCCAACAACATGCGAATTCAAGGTGAGATTTGGGTGGGGACATAGCCAAACCATATCAAATATATAGATCAAAGGCCAGACTGTTGAGGTTTTATATGGAAATGAGGAACTTACTGGGAACTGGAGCAAAGGTCACTTTTGTTATGCCATAGCAAAGAACTTGGCTGCATTGTGCCCATGCCCTAGGACTTTTAAAAGGCTGAACTTAAGAGTGATGATATATGGTATCTGGCAGAAGAAATTTCTAGGCAACAAACTATTCAAGGAGTGATGTGGCTGCTTCTAACAACTTAAGACTAAGTATGGGAGAAAAGGAATGATCAAAAGTTTGAACTTATGTTTAAAAGGAAGCAGAGTACAAAAATTTGGAAAATTTACAGGTTGTCCATGTCATAGGGAAGGAAAGAGCATTTCAAAGGTGCAGCTTAGAAACTCTTTGCTACAGAGATTAGCAGGAATAAAAGGGAGCCAGGCACTAGTAGTCAAGACAATAGGGAAAAGGCCCTGAAGTCATTTCAGAAATCTTCAAGGCCACCCCTCCCATCACAGACCAACAGGCTTAGAACAGAATGGTTTGGGGGACCATCCCTGCTGCCCTACGCTGCCATGGGATGCCGCACCCTACATCCCAACCACTCCAGCGGTAACCCCCATGTGGTGTTAAGTCTGCAGGTATGCAGAATGCAAGAGTAATGGAGGATTGGCAACTTCCACCTACATTTCAGAGGATATATTGGAAAGCCAAGGTGCTCAGGCAGAAGCCTGCTGCAGGACCAGCACCCCTACAAATAGACTCTACTAGGGCAATGTCAAAAGGAAATGTGGGGTTGGAGCCCCCATGGAGAGGCTCTACTGGGGCACTGTCTAGTGGAGTTGTGGGAATAGGGCCATCATCCTCTAGATGCCAGAAAGGCAGGGTCACTAGCAGCTTGCAACCTCAACCTGGAAAAGCCACAGGCATTGGACTCCAACCTGTGACAGTAGCCATGTGGGCTGTGCCCAGCAAAGCCATGGGGGTGAGACTGCCTGAGGCCTTGGGGACCCACCATCAGAACCAGTGTTCCCAGGATAAAGAACATGGAGTCAAGGGGAATTGTTTAGGAGCTTTAAGATCTAATGTCTCCCCTGCTGAGTTTTGGACTTAAGAAGGGCCTGTTGCTCCTTTCTTTTGGTTGATTTTACCTTTTAGGAATGAGAATATTTACTCAATGCCTGTACCACCATTGTATCTTAGAAGTAAATAACTCATTTTGATGTGGTTTTTTAAATTTTTTTATTTTACAGGCTCTCTGTTGTAAGGAACTTGCCTTGAGTCTCAAACGAGGGTTTGGTCTTTGGACTTTTGAACTGATACTGGAACAAGTCAGGACTTTTGGGGACTATTGGGAAGGGATGATTATATTTTGCAATGTGAGAGGGGCATGAGTTTTGTGGGACCAGGGGTGGAATGATATAGTCTGTTCCCTTCAAACCTCATGTTGAAATTTGATTGCCAATATTGGAGGCGGGGTTTAATGAGAGGTGTTTGGGTCATGGGAGCAGATCCTTCATGAATGGATTAGTGCTTTCCTAGATGTAATAAGTGAGTTATTGCTCTATTAGTTCTCACTGAGCTGATTTTTAAAAAGAGGCTAGCACCTCCTTCTCCTCTCTCTTGCTCCATTTTTTGCCATGTGACATGCCAGCTCTTCCTCGACATTTCACTGTGAATGGAAGCTTCCTGAAGCCCTTGCCAGAAGCCGATGCTGGTACCATGCTTCTTGTACAGTCTGCAGAACTGTGAGTCAAATAAACCTCTTTTCATTATAAATTATCCAGACAAATATAATTTGTCTTAGTCCATTTGAACTGCTGTAAAGGAATTATATTATCTATAAAAATATACAAATTTATTATCTATAAATTATGGAAACAAAACTATTAAACATAATGTAAATAACTCAATTCAGTTCAAGTCCATTTAAGCTGCTATAAAGGAATTATATTATCTATAAATATATACAAATTATATTATTTGTAAATTATGCAAACCAAATTATTAAACATAATATAATTCAAAATTTTGATCAGAATGATTAGAGAGTCAAAGTCACTAGAATATAATTTGTCGTGAAATAGTTACACATCTTGTCTGATGGAAATAGTTTAAATATTTACATTCTCCAATATCTTGCTTTTGATAGAGGTGGCCATTCAATTTAATAGACTTTCTTTTGGCATTGTGGAAGTGGTTTTTAATGAATTATCATTTGGTAAACTATATGCTCCACTCTCATAACATGGTTTCTTAAATGCAGTTTTGACCCACTTTTGAGTCTATGGCTAAAGCCAATTAATTATATTTCTTTAGCAGCCAGATAAGCCAGGTAAGTCCCCACCTGCCAACCACCTCTATAATTGTGCTCACATCCTCCTAAGCACCCACGTTATTTATCCCAGTGCCAGGTATCAGACTACCTAGGACAGCCCCTATGGGCCAGAGCTCACTGAAATTATCCAAATAAGCCAATTCTAAGTCCACTTGCCTTTCCTTTTCATGGAAACCACATTAAATTCCATAGTTCCCCTTTCTCCCTCTGCCTCATAACTGACAGGTGCTTCTCTGAGTGGCCCTGCATGGTGTGCCATGTTCCTCTTTGTGCACTGTGAGTACAACAAAACTGTAAAACTCTTTCCAGTTTCTCTCTCTTGATCTGCTGCCGGTTTCACCAGACCTCACCCAAGATAACAGTTAAAACAATTGTTAACTTATATAAAAATAAGTTAGCAAAAATAAATAAAAGTAAAGTTAGCAAAATAAATATCCCCTTAGAGCTACAGGAGTATTTGAAAATGTGTGCAGCAGTTTTTTTTTCCTGAAAGTAAAATGTCATATTTCAAAGGAATCAGGCTTGACATTAGAAAAAAATTTAATGTTTCACTTACTCATGTATCATTGCCTTATCAATCCACCACTCTTTACTGAGTTATCATCAGTTTGAGTTAGAATTGCAGTTGTACATAGCAAATATAATTGAAAGAATTGTAATAAACATCTAGAATGCTAAAAAGCCAAAACATACATTTAGCATTTTAAATTTTGAAGGTGAGATTTCTGTATCAAATGTAGAAAAACAATATATTTTAAAGTTTAGTTTTGGATCATAGGTGGGCTGATCATGACATTTCAGTCAAAAATGGTTATTTTCCTCCCTCTTAAAATTTTCTAAAAGGAAAAAGTTGAAAGCAATGGCAAGACACTGCAATTCCATTAGCATCAAAATATGCTTTTCTTCTTCGTTGCTTCATTTTATTCTTCACATACTTTTCTAATCCCTTTGATACTTTTGAAAATATTATATAATTAAACTTTTGTTTGTGCAATATTTCATTTGAAACATTAATATTATTAAAAGCATCATGCTAAATCAATACTTTCAACTATATGTCTTTGGTTTAGCTGCTATAATGTCTCTCTTTATTAAAATAATCAGTAATTTCTAAATGATTCTAAAGTGCCTCAGAATTTTTTGACATTAGGATTGACTACATTTTTTCATTATGAATTTGACAAGGTTTTGAAGCTAAAAAAATCGTTTTATAGCTATTGAATACTATATAAAAACCAAGGAATGGATTTTTTGCTACATCATTTTCCACAATTTAAATAATGAGGAGAAATAATAATATAAAAAACCTAAAAATTTTTGAACTTTTTCATTGGAAATTGATACTACCATGAATATTTGCATTGTTCTCTCCTTGACCCCTTAAAGAATGCATATTTAATTCAGATTTTAAGTAATTTAAAATGCCTGTATTTCTTCTCAAGAAATATATATGAGATATCACACATATAATGAAAATTATTAATTTATTAATATTTAATTGTTATTTTTATTATTAACATTTAATTAATCATTATATTTTAATTGTTAAATAATTAAATGCATTAAATTAGTTATTAATTTCCATTACAATTCTGAATTATCTGATGACTTATGGAAACATGCAATGCTTATTGTCCACTAAATGGAGATTTTCTATTTATCTTTTTGTCATTTGTTAGGGTAACATTCTTTTGACATTTGTTGACTTCTGCTTAATGGCTAAGGATAAAATTAATGATCAATTTTAGTAAAATACATGTGCAATACAAAAAGATGTTCATCATACATTTGTATATAATTTATTAAATGTTATTTATATTATTCAAATCTTCTATATCTTTACTAATGCTATCTATGCATCCTGTCAGTTACTGAAAGAACTACATTAAATTTTTTACTATGATTATGGATTAAACTATTTCTCCTTTTATTTCTGTGAATTTTTGCATCATGATCTTTGAGTTGATATAATTGGTGTATAGAAATTAAGAACTTTTATTTATTTCTGATGATTGTTCCTTATAGTATAATAAATATTATTCTTTATCTGCAGGAATCCTTCTTTACTTCAACTCTACTTTGACAAGTATTAGAATAGTTACATCAACTGTCTTTTGGTTAGTGCTTAGAAGCTATATATTTTTTCATACTTTAAATTTCAAACTTTTTGCTATCTTCACGGTCAAAATAAACAGCATATGATTATTTTTCCAGTTTAATAATTTTTAATTTTTGTATTTTAATTATACAGGGTCTCCTTAGTCTAGAAATACATATGTATATACATAATATTATCAATGACACCTTAAATCTATTTTTAAAAACTGTTTCTAGATATTGTAGTCAGCCTACAGTATTTAATTTATATTTAATGAAATTATTATAACATATGGATTTAAATGTACTGCTTTTCTATTGTCTCAGTTTTCTTGTGTTCACTTTTCTCTCTATTCTTGCCTTTTTTTGAGTTAAGTATTCTTATTTTTACCTTATTTCAATGTATTATTTTGAATCTATTTTTTATTAGTTTGATAGTTATACATTTTCTAACACAGTCTTCTTTTAATGATTAACATAGAGATTACAACGTGCATTTTTAAATTATTAAAGTCTAATTGAAATTTGTACTTTGAAAATTCCCTGGATAATTCAAAAGCCTCATAACCATTTACTCCCTTAATATACCTTGGATGTCCTCTCCAAATCTCACCTTGAGATATAATCCTGAGTGTTGGAGGTGGAGCCTGGTGGGAGATATCGGGGTTATGATAGCAGATTCCCTTATGGCTTGGTGCTGTCATCGTGATACTGAGTTCTCATGAGACCTGGTTTTTAAAAGCGTGTGGTACCTCTCCCCACCCTCTCTCTTGCTCCTGCTCTCGCCATGTGGTGTACCTACTCCCCCTTTTCCTTCTGCCATGAGTAAAAGCTCCCTGAGGACTCCCCAGAAGCCATGCAGATGCCAGTACCATTCTTGTACAGCCTGGAGAACTGTGAGCCAAATAAACCTCTTTTCTTTGTAAACTACCCAGTCTCAGGTATTTCTTTTTAGCAATGCAAGAACAGTCTAACACAACCCGCCTGATGTATGATATATTATTGTCATGTATTCACCTACATTTTCCACCATTTTATTACGAAAATTTTCAAAATACAGGAAAATTGAAAAATTACGCAGTGAACACTCATATAGCCACCATTTGGAGTCTATCAATCTTTTTGCTTTATTACAAATATAGCCATATATTCATCCATCTATCAATTCTTTCATCCACCTATTTTTTGTGTATTTAAAAGTAATTCAGATATCAGTATACCTCATTCCTAAATACTTCAGCATAAATATAAATTACTAGAGTTAAATTTTTGCATATATTTTCTTTTTTTACATGCACTAAAATGCATAAATCTTAAGTGTATCATTCAATGCATTTTGATCATTGCATTTATTGCATAATCCAAACCTTTTTAAAGACATAAACCATTACCATTGCCAGAAATTTTCCCCATGGTTCTTCCCAATAGTCACCTCCCAATCCCACTCCCTACAGTCATACACTGTTCCAATTAATTTAAAATATTCAGAAGATAATCTTTCCATGCTGCTTCATTTATTCATCAGCTTCACGCTTCCATCTGCTAATTGTAGATGTTTTCTTTAAAACACCCTTTATCATTTAATTTAGGTTAATTCTGCCAGTTCGTGCCTTTCCTAGGTTTTTTTTTTGTCTGAAAATGGTCTTATTTTCTCTTTGTTTTCATGAATACTTTTGTTGAATGCAGCAGTCTAGTTTGACTATTATTTTCTTTTAAAACTTTGAAAATAGCATTGGATTGTTTTTGACTTCATAGTTTCTATTGAATAGTCATCTTTTGGTTCATTATTGCTTTTTAGAGGGGATCGTGTCATTCTCTTTGGTTGCTTTTAAAATATTTACTTGGTTTCCTTTGGTTTAAATATTGAGTTGCCAAATAAAATACAATTAAATTACAATTTCAGATAGACAATGATTTTTTGGTGTAAGTATATACCAGATATTGCATGGAAGATATTTATACCCCAAAATTACTTGTTACTTATTTGAAATTTGAATTTAATGGAGCATTCAGTATTTTTTACTTCCTTAATTTAGCACACCTATTTCCAGAAGTATACACTAGTGATTTTAGTTGTGTTTTCTTCTATGTTTATCTTTCTAGATCTTCTTAAATCTTAGTTTGATGTCTTTCGGCAGTTTTGAAAAAAGTCTCAGACATTGTTTCTTCAAATATTGTTTTATTATGATTCCCTCTCTCCTTTACTTTGGACTTCCAATTGTATATATGCTAGATCTTTTTACATATTTTACAGGTTGTAAGATCTTTTCTGTTTACAAAAATTAGCCACGTGCACTACGGATGCACACCCGTAGTCCCAGCTACTCAGGAGGCTGAGGTGGGACGATCACTTGAACCCAGGAGGTCAAGAGGGCTGTGATCATACCATTGCACTCCAGTCAGAACAATAGAGCAAGACCTTGTCTCAAAAATAAATAAATAAGTGAATAAAAAGATTTCCTTCAGTTACTAATTATCTCTTTCTCTGTGCCTACCTCTTATTAAATTCACCCACTAATTTCAGTTACTAATTTCAGTTACTTTGTTTTTTTAATTATAGAATTGATGTTTGTTTATTTTGTTTATAAAATCTATTTTTTTGCTAAAATTCTCCATCTTATCATTAATTCCTTGAACACATTAATCATTATTATTGTTTTTAGACTCTACAATAGATTACCTCATTTACTGTATCTCTTGTGGTTTGCTCTTATTGTCTGTTTTGGACATCAGATTTTGGTTATGTTGAATCTTCTCATATTACTGTTTTCAAACTAAAGCCTGAATATTTTATATACAATTGGAGGCCTAGAACTTAATTAAACACATATGAATGAAAAATATATTTAATAATATTTTACTTGAGCTATGCCATTATGTTAAACTCTACTTTTATAGGAAATCATGAACAGCCAAAAATATACATTGTATTCACAATTAATAGAAGGTATCAATAATTAAGTATAATCTACAAATTCATATCTACTAAATCATGCTAATAATACCACCTTAGTGCCTGCAAAATACTTTTACATCTATATTTTATTTAATCTTCAAACAATTCTGAAGATATAGATAGATAGACGGATAGATAGATATGTAAATTTCCATTTTAAAGATACAAAAACTGAGTCCCAGAGAGATTAAATAAATCCCCCAACATCATACACTTACCTAATCAGTAGCATAACCAGCACTACAATTAAGTTTTCAAATTTAAACTCCTGTTTTTCTTTTTTCTATTATACTATATTTGCCCTTGCCTTCTTTATTTTAGAATACAATACAGTGAAGAAAGACACTAAAGTCATCCTCCTTTCTTGTTTATAGTCTCTGGGTTGCTTTTGGTTTGAAATTCTCCTTCAAGATGAGAAGCATGCAAATATCACAGAGCCAAATTGCAAGAAGCACTCAGCTCTTCCTTCATCATATTTTTCGGGTCACTCCAGATTGTTATAACTATAAAATGAATGTATCTGAACTTCTAATCTTCACTGTAGCAAAGGTGTTAATGGCTTGTTATACATAAGGAACATTCCAACCATATAGGTTTAGAATCCAAGGCCACATTATGTACTTAAGCTCTATACCATCCCCTGGACATACCTCCTTGGTGGTTTGCTGGGTTGTTTCTATGTATATACTTCCACCATTGTCTTTCAGCAAATCTTCTCAAACTATAACATTCTGTCTTCTATAAATACTTAAGAATGGCAGCTGCTTTCTTACTCTATTTTTCTGTTTTCTTTTTCCCCCAGTGAGTATCCATTTTAGCTTCCAACAGCAAATGTTAGCTTCCAACAGCAAAATGTGGTTCTTTATCAACCACAGTGCATGTGGTTACATTGGGGTTAATCCCTCTTTCTGGTTCCAGGAGCAGCATAAGAACCAGATAAGGGCAATCAGAGCTTTACACACACACAGAGACACACACACACACACAAACACACACACACACAATAGTGATGATACAGGACTAAGCATGTTTTACAATTAAGGCAATAAACATAGAGCCTGGGACTTCTCTGGAATTATAAGCCGGAAAATTCTCCCTTCTACTAGGTATATTAAAATGGTAAGGTGTACACCTAAAGCTGTCTCTAGATAAAGAAAGCCTATCTGAGAATAAAGGCAGTAGAAAGAAAAGCATAACTAAAAGACAGAAAGAGAGGCCAAGTTTGAAAGAAATTGTTCAGAATTCTAAGATTCAGCCTTGTCTGAAGTTGCTACTCCATCCCTGGGATTTCTATGAGCCTTTTTCCTCCATTAATCTTTAAGCCGATTTGACATGGTTTCCTTAAATGCCATTCTGCCTTGTATTCCCTCTCTCATCTTCCTCATGGAACACCATATTTAAATGGCACACTTTAATATCTCTTTCTCCAAATAGACTATGAACTCCTGTTAGGCAGAGACAATATTCATCTATAATCTACAAGTGCTTAATAAAGCTTCTGCTTCATAAAACACGCTCAATAAGTGTGGGGAAAAATGGGGGAAGGAGATAAGGGAAAGGACAGAAGGATCTCCATAGAGTTCAATTTTTAGAGAAAAAGTCATTTCTCCCGTTAGTCTCCTCTCCCAGCAGAGATCAACGAAGGAAATCAAGAATTGCACTTTGTATTTTCCAACTGCCCACACTGCCCTCACACAAAAGCTGATAATGTGCCATAAATTTTACTGATGGGAGTAATATTATATATTCCATCTAATCGTCAGAACATATGCTGGATGATGCGTCCTCAATATTTTTGATTCAGAAATCATGGACATTGTACTTACTCATTGGCAAAAACATTACACTCACCAAGTAATAAATCTTATCTGTCAGTAGAGCCCACAGGCCAATGCATTTCAGGATGTCATGAAATCCCTGCTGTATTGACCCCAAAGTGTAGGATTCCTGAGAGTAGTGACAGGCAAGCTGAAATCACTTGAGCTTGTAGAAGTCAGAGGAATGATTAAAAGCTTGGTACCGAAGCTGAAGTAAAATGTAACTAATGGAGAAAAAAAATGCTTGCTTTCAAATATAGTTACTGAAAGAGGCTAAATTAAAATGTCAGATGCAATAGCAGAGATAACATTCTCCTTAGTTAAAATAAAATAACGCATAGAAACCATCCTAGTTATTTGCTAAGATATTCTGTTTTTTTTATTGATCTTTATATTGATCTGCTAGAACAGACCTTGAAGGCAGGCCAATCCTACTTTAAATGTATCTTCAATTCTCTGCAAGACAGGCATTTCTATGAGAAGGAAGAGCTGTTCTTATATTATCAGCTTTATTATTGTGTTAGCAAACATTTATAAACATGGTCACAGTGAATATTAAAGCTCACAATTGGAAAAAAAACATGAATTGAACAGGTTGCAGAAAGTAAATTTGGGCAATTAGCATATAGGTTTTTTATTTGCTTCCTTATTATTTAAGGAATTATTAATTAGAAATATTATAGGAAACTAAAACTATCATATAGCTAGTGGTTAGATGATTGGGCCTTAGAGCTACCCTGTGTGTCTGAAGCCCAGTTCCATTACTATGGGACCTGGGGCAGGCCATGAAACTACTCTGACCCTCAGATTTCCCAGCTTTAAGATAAGAGAGGAGATCACAGCACTTACTTCATGGGGTTATGGTAAGGGTGAAACATGCTAATACATGTCAAGTTCTTGGACTATTTCCTGGCCCCAAACAGGTACTGAATAAATGTGAGTTCTTCCTGTGTTCTCTGATTATATCTATATCTGTTCGTCAGTATATGTAGTTATTGCCCTCTCATTATAAATGTTTATCATATATATTACATACATATGATAAACATATATATATATACAAACCCTATATTATAAAAATCCTATATTATTTTGGAAAGACATGTTAAAACTCTTTTATTACTCTCCTCAGACGAACAGGAACCAGAGGCAAAATACAAACCTTGTAAGGATGGGAAAGTCTAACTTGTTCAGCCTATTGAAGCATTCTCCTACTATCCATCTTTTAAAGAATCCTGAAAATTAATGAATGTACTGACCTTCCTGTGGTTTTATTATGCATTTCTGACAGCCACTGGCCGATTGAAGAGTACAGTCTCTGGAACCAGTGACCAGGTCCAAAAATCACCTTGGTGATTGTGCTTCAACGAATAAATTTTGAGAGACACAAACATTCAGATGACAGCACCTACCTGTGCTTCAGTTTTCACATCTATAAAATGGAGACATTTAAGAATTCCTACCTCATAGCATTGTTGTGAGAATTTAGTGAGTTAACTTATAAACATAGACATTGCTCAGTGCATAATAAGAACAAATTGTCATAATTTTAAATACATGCTTATTAACATCACAATATACAGTTCCTTCCTTATCTCTAATTTGAACATTGGATGACTGATAATACCACATGTCAGTAAATCTGTGATACTAACAATCTCTCATCATATACAGCCTCCCATATCTTTAAAAATAGGGTGACATTTAAGCAATTTCCAATTTTCAGTGTATACTAAGAAAAAAATCATAAGTTTCCGACCAGCCCAAAGTAGCCCTTAATTCCATTTACACGGCTAATGGCTTTTAAATAAGCCATTAAATGCCATTTGCTGGTATTGTCCTCCATCAGCAGTGAAGCCATAACTCCGTGCTTCAGTGGCAAATTGAAATCCTCTTATCAGAATTGTACAATTTACAGATAGCAGAGAGGTAAACAAGAACAGTTACCAATGGTTAAAATAAAATCTGTGCTAACATTAATGGAGCCCAAATAGTCAATTCTGTAGACTTTTCTCACTTTCTCCCTTCCAGCCCTCTCCCCAATACGCTAATGTGAGGTTTTTCCTAGTCAAAGAGAAGCACAAATGATTAACATTTTGCTTCAGCTTTCAGTTGCCATGGATATTTTTTTTCTTTGTGATACAACAAAGCATGGGAAATATATTGATTTGTCTCACTCATGAAATAGGAAGAATTTTGCTGAAACTGCGGATAACCTCACTTTTATGAGAAAAAGAATTGAGTCAGCTCCACTATTTAGGTCAGAAAAAATTAACCATCAGGAATCATATAGGAGCTTAGGATGTGTGACTGACTGCTTTACATGCAGATTTGAAGAGGCAGGCATTAAAATCTAAATCAATAATTAACTTAGTTCTTTAGGCTGTGTTTCATGATTAGTTTATCTTAAAAGGCATCATTAGAATCAGGAATATGTGGATGGTTGAAAATGAGAATTAAACCAAGTAGTTATTAAATTCATAAAAAACTAGCAGGATACAATGAAAGAACTTTCAAATACACTATTTTATACATTTGGAACACTGACAGAAAGTTTCATTGTTAGCTTGTCAGAAAAGCATGTTCATTCCTAAAAAGAAATATTATTTCCTGGTATTCAAGCACTCACATGTATTTAAAACGACTGATTTTCCTAAATGAATGGAAGAAGTCTCTGTTGAGGAGCAATTAGTAAAGACAATGAAATTATTTCCAACCACCTTGTAATTATTTTGTTCAGTTCTGCTTCCAATACCCTATTCTCCATCTTCTTTTTTTATAACATTATGAAGAAACAGGTGAAAATGGTGCTGGGATAAGCTATGTTCAAATGACTGGGAATACACTTAAAGTAATTTTCTACACTAGTATTTTGCCAGAGCACATTTCATTAAAACTCATATTTTATTTTAGGCATGGCAAATATTTTAACTGGAATGGAAATTTCTAGAAGCCAGAGTGCCTGCACAACTCAGGGAAGTGAGGGAAAGCCAGCATTACTGGGGATGGCTTCCTTTTCTGGCTCTCATTTGATTTGGTTGCAATCTGAGGCAGGCCCTGAGAGTAGGACAATACTGCTCCTCAATGAAAAAGCCGAATGAGGAGAAGCGATGATGGTAGAGAATCGAGCCATGGCCAACAGCTTGCAGAGCTGCTAGTTATAGTTTCAGTAGGTTCAAATCCACACTTGGTGATCTGAGCCTAGTTGTTGCTCTGTTTGGAAGGTCTGCTATTTCAGGGACTCAATGCTCAGTTGTCTGAAACTTACAATCAGACGTTCCCTTCTTCAGAGCCAACAAATTCCAAAAGTACCACTGATTTGTCCATAGAGCGGAATAAGGAACCATGACAAACCTCAAATACAATCTTATTGTATAATACTTTCATTTTTTAAAATACTTGCCTGCAATTCCTCTTCATTTTTAGCATATTTTGGTGACAGGAAAAAAAATGTTGTAATGGCCATGAAAGTACTGTGCTTTACCATCCTGCCCAAGTACATCTGCTCTTCTCTACGTAGAAAATCGTAAGAGTAAGGAAGAAAGACTTTCAACCCCACTCTACAAACACCACTACTGACGTCCCTGTAACAGACAGCTGTTGTTACACATAGAAGCAAATAAGGCAGCCCAGGATTAATAAGCAGGAAAAGATTTTTAATCCCCATATTATAATGTCTTTCTTCTGCTCTCCTATTCTTCAATCTCCAAAGCAACTCATGTTCCATAATGCACAACAGGAAGGAAAGTTTTTGGTCTTTGCTTTCTATATGCATGAGTTCCCTCTAACACCCAAAGCCTATTTATCTCATATGCAATTAAGCCACAGTATCTAACCACATCAGCCTCCTAGGGTCGCTAGTAGTATGCTTTGGAGATTCCAAATTATTTAATAATATTTGATTAGGAACTTGGAATAATGTTTCTTCTTCCTTTACTTTTTGTCTCTACATGAAGGTTATCAAAAATATAACTTCTAAACTTTCAACAGACCTTACATAGTTTCCCTTTTCTCCTCATTCCTAACTGGACCATCCTTAGCACCCCAAGCCTCTGATACTCTTGTCTTGATCTTGTCTTGGTACTCTTGATCTGTCTCGAGGTTTTTCTGCATCCACTCTGTTTGTGTACTAATGCCAGGAGAAAGCTTCTAGACTACCACATTCAGTATTTCACTTTTCTATTAAAATAAAAATTTATAGGCCGGGCGCGGTGGCTCACGCCTGTAATCCCAGCACTTTGGGAGGCCGAAGTGGGCGGATCACGAGGTCAGGAGATCGAGACCAGAGACCATCCTGGGTAACATGGTGAAACCCCGTCTCTACTAAAAATACAAAAAATTAGCCAGTCATGGTGGTGGGCACCTGTAGTCCCAGCTACTCAGGAGGCTGAGGCAGGAGAATGGCATGAACCCAGGAGGCGGAGCTTGCACTGAGCCGAGATTGCGCCACCGTATTCCAGCCCGGTCGACAGAGCGAGACTCTGTCCTAAAAAAAATAAAAAAAAATAAAATAAATAAATAAATAAAAATTTATTTTCTTCTACATCAATTGTAATCCTTTAACTTGGTTTGATAGTCCACCAAAATCTGTCCCTATCTCTGACACCAGACTCTCTATCTCTTTCTCTCTCTCTCTCTCACACACACACACACACACACACACACACACACCTTTCTTACCCAGTATTCCATTGTTCCCTTACTCCGTATATTTCTTAGTAGGTCTTTTCTTCACCTCGAACACACAGTAGTTAGTTCTATATTTATATCTCCACATCTTTTTTTCATTTTGTTTCCTCTATCCCCTTCTCTAAACTTTCTGCTTAACCATTCTTCTAGTTCTTCTAGCTAGTCTTCAAGACTCAATTCCTCTGCAAATATTATTTAACTTCCTCAGTTCACCTCAGTTCACCTCTTCTCTTCAGCAAGTGTCAGTAGCTTATAGGCCAGGATATAATTGTTTTCCAATTGTTTCGTGTGGATCTAACGTGCGTTTTTATTTTAATTGAGAAAGCCTAGATTCATTCATTTATTCATTCAGCATTTGATGCCAAGCACTTGTCAGGCATTGTGCAAGGAATGAAAACAGTGGTTCCTAAAAGAACATAGTTGAGGTAACATATGCAAGGCATGCCATCTTCCACTGTTGCATCTGTAGCAGGTATTGCTAATTGATCTTAGCATCCTTTCCCACTAAGCCTGAAGATGGCTTCAGAATCTTCAAACCCATTATTATCAATCAATTTGACTAAGAAGGAAGTTGAAATCTATTTGATATTCCTGATCAATAATTTAAATAGAAATGTATATGTGATTGTATGTGTGTATGTATAAAATCAGTCTCAATTCAGTTTTTCAAAAAGTGGGATCAGATTTTACTTTTTAGTTTTATATCCAGTAAAATACTTGGAGAGTTTCAATAAAGATGTGAGAATAGTTTACCAAAATGGAAAACAAAGTTTATGTTAATATTCAGGCCTCACATTGTCTACAGCAAAATATGACTTATTCACACTGAGAGTATAATAAGGACCAGTAGTTCCACATTGATTTATTTCTTCAACCACATTCAGAGATACAGAGCAACATAATTAGCAGCAGTGTCTTCAGACAAAAAGAAAATCAACTAGGAATCTTTTAGAATTTTTTTTTATAATGTCCTATCCAATAGACTGTATCTACTATAGAGAAACATAAGTGCACCCTTTCATAATATATATTGACTAATATTGAAAATGCTACAGAACTTGAAACAGAACCACAACAAACAAACAAATATAATAAAATTATATTACAGTATAATTAAAGAGTAGAAAATGTTGCTAGTTGAATTCTCAAACAGCAACCTTTTGAATGTGGTTTGTGTGCATATATGAGTTTGTATCA
This sequence comes from Homo sapiens, assembly GCF_000001405.40. Lineage (NCBI taxonomy): Eukaryota > Metazoa > Chordata > Mammalia > Primates > Hominidae > Homo > Homo sapiens. The sequence goes on from NC_000008.11 coordinate 79,165,553, forward strand.
GAGATGAAGCTAAGAAAAAACATGAAGGAAAAAAAGAGAGCAGGTTGGCAACAGGCACTGGCTGTATATTTGGAGAAAAGAATAATTGGCAACAATATTTCAGAGGCATTGTAGTACACAGGTTCAAGAAGGTTATAGTTTAGCATAGTTAAAACAATCAGTAGGTGGTTTTAAGAACTGCTACATAATAGGTATGTCTTTCCACATAAATATCTTGAATTCTTTAAATGACAGATGTTTCCTCTATAAAAAGATTAATAAAAAAGCATATGCTTGGCTAGATTTAGTTCTACAAACTATTCTTTAGACTTTAATAGAAAAATAATTTTCATTACTCATAATCTTTCTGATTGTTCTCAACCTTCTCATCGGCCTTGGGAGACTGTGAGCCTCCTACTATTAGTTGGAGTGTCATCAACCATCCAGAGTGGATGCCACAAGTGCCAAAGTAAAGCAGCCTTCTTTATACTTTATTTCAATTTGATGGGAGTATCATGGCTTCGAGACTTTTTACATAATTCTCAATTTTTATGGTTTGCACAGACATAGATGCATAATTCTGAGTAGCTGCTCTCAGTCACTGTTGTTATCTGAATATGTGATTAACTCTAATGTATGCAGAGCTTTATCCCAACTTCTAATGTATATATGTATATCCACATAGATCCAAGAGAATGCATTGTACCCAGTAAGTACTTAACATAAATCTGTGGAAAGTGAAGGTATATAGCCACTTACTTTTTATTGCTTTGCTTTAAAATCAAGACATAAAAATATAGCACCAAAATTCACCTTTAAAATAAATATTATAATGCTACTTATCTGTAATAATCTGGTCTCATTCTAAAATTATATGGACAGCAAATGTAGCTATGTCTTTTTTGCTTATAATAACTATTAATCACAAGTACATAAATGAGTAAATTAAATATTTTACTCATTTTTCTCTTTATTTTGGTATTTTAACACTGCAAAGAAGTGAGGTGGAAATGGAGAAGAGCCTTAAAAGTTACAGCCACAGACAATTTTAATATCTCATTTTTTTTCCTTGGTACAGTAAAAACTGACCCACTTTGAAGCTTCTGGAACATCAAAATGCTATTGCAATGTTCTAACCAAGAGGCTTCATAAAACTAAGTGATTGCAGCACTTCATAATTGAAGTATTTCATGTGAATTTATTGCTGTTTCAGTTTCAGCTCTCAGCTTCGTTGCTATTTTTTTCCAAGTACCCTCTAGTATAAAAGAAAGAAGAGTTCTATAAGCAAAGGGGTTGGGGGTTTACAAATTGTTGGAAAAAGTGAAAGGAAACGATAGGTTTTTTTTTCAGTCTTCTTAACATTTGAATATTTGGAGACTAAATAAGTTAGCAGAAATCTTTACTTCAAATGAGAAAACGCTTAGGAACTTAGATTAAGGTAATAAGACTGATGGAAACCTTCTGAAGCTCACTTATTAAATCCCAGGTAATGCAAGCTTAAAAGAAAAGATAGCCTAACTCTGAATTTTATATGAGGGAGAATACTTTTGAAATAAAATGTCCTTCAATTATCAATTATTATTATAGAAAAGCATAAAACTTAAAAGTCCAGATTACTATGTGGTTCTGTTATTTACTAACTTTATAACCTTGGGCCAATCACTCCATTCCCTGACACTATTTTCTTTTTTTTTTAATTATACCTTAAGTTTTAGGGTACATGTGCACAACGTACAGGTTTGTTACATATGTATACATGTGCCATGTTGGTGTGCTGCACCCATTAACTCATCATTTACATTAGGTATATCTCCTAATGCTATCCCTCCCCCCTCCCCCCACCCCACAACAGGCCCTGGAGTGTGATGTTCCCCTTCCTGTGTCCAAGTGTCCTCATTGTTCAATTCCCACCTATGAGTGAGAGCATGCGGTGTTTGGTTTTTTGTCCTCGCGATAGTTTGCTGAAAATGGTGGTTTCCAGCTTCATCCATGTCCCTACAAAGGACATGAACTCATCATTTTTTATGGCTGCATAGTATTCCATGGTGTATATGTGCCACATTTTCTTAATCCAGTCTATCATTGTTGGACATTTGGGTTGGTTCCAAGTCTTTGCTATTGTGAATAGTGCCGCAATAAACATACGTGTGCATGTGTCTTTATAGCAGCATGATTTATAATCCTTTGGGTATATACCCAGTAATATTGCTTTGCTTTAAAATCAAGACATAAAAATATAGCTGGGTCAAATGGTATTTCTAGTTCTAGATCCCTGAGGAATCGCCACACTGACTTCCACAATGGTTGAACTAGTTTACAGTCCCACCAACAGTGTAAAAGTGTTCCTGTTTCTCCACATCCTCTCCAGCACGTGTTGTTTCCTGACTTTTTAATGATTGCCATTCTAACTGGTGTGAGATGGTATCTCATTGTGGTTTTGATTTGCATTTCTCTGATGGCCAGTGATGATGAGCATTTTTTCATGTGCCCTGACACTATTTTCTTACCATAAAGTAGGGAAGATCATACCTTCTGAATTGACTTCATAGGATCAAGTAAAGACAGAAGGAGATAAGGTGTGTGAAAACACTTGGAAAACATGAAAAGTTGTATTGAAGCATAAGACTTAGTTAATATTATTATATTGGTCATCACAAGCCGAACCAAGTGGCAAATATTTGACAATGACATTAACCACAGTGTAGTAATCTGTCATTTTAAAGATGGCACAAAGATAGAGACAAGAAAGAAAAAGAAAGCACGCATACAATTTGCAACAGTATCCAATCAGTAATATTTTGAAGTCAGCCTTTTGACATATTCAAAGTAACACCAAGACCTATCTCACAGTAGTCCAAAGAAGGTGAATAGTTCATATTTTCCAACAGTATATAAGAATATTATGACTGAGATTCTCTTCTATTTGAAAAAATAATTCAGCATGGAAAATGTCAATAGAGCTTTCATTTGCAAACAACTTCACATTTGCATGCAAATCACTTTTACACACATACACCCTACTGGCTTGACCTCACATACATTTCATAAGAAGCAAGTAAAGTCAAGAAAGTCAACCATGAGGTAAACAACATCTGTATCAATAGTGTGGTCCCAGTACACTGGCCTCTGAAAACAGAACAGAAAGAGAGATGAAAACAATGATCAGGTGCAAAATGGAGAGAAGAGAACACTCTCACCTATCTCAAAGAATATTTCTTCATATCTTTCTTGTTGATTGTACCAGTGGGAAGCTTTTAAAAGATTGTAGAGCCCTGCTCTCGTACCCAGGTTTATTGCATCTTTGGATTGGCCAAAATTTATCAGAAACCCTGTTGAACTGGAGCCTATAAATGCAAGCTTGGACCCACATAGAATCATTAGCTTCTTGCTTTGTAGACTTTTGCATCTTTACATATACTAGTTCTCTTCTGTCCCCAGGAAGTCCATTATCATCATGACAATGGGGTTTCTTCCTCAAATCTAAGGTGTCCTATTGATATGATATTAGTTTATGCCATCTTTTGAAGGTTAATTTATATTTTTAAAATATAGCCTTAAGAGGTCAGTGAAAAAAATCTTTAAAGGTGAATCTTCAGATAATATGATCTCCAAATGAGAATATATATTTGGGTAGGGATCTTATTTTTACAAACTATACAACTAATCAAATACAGATAAAAGTAATGTAATGATTACATGTAGATGATCTAGTTGCAACAATATGGTAAAATTAATGTCAAATATTGATGTCCAGAGACTGTTAAATACTGCTGAAGTATCTCTGAATCACAAGTATCTATATGAGTATGATTAGTAGATAAACCTAAAATACACAGAGCTGAACAAAAATGAAGTCATACAATGATAATTAACTTGCAGCACAAACTCAAGTATGCGTGCAACCACATTTCTTTATTTTTAATAAAAAAAATTAAATCTGCCTTCAAGCCAGAAAATCAGTATCAGGCATTAATACTCTATAGCCCTTCTCACTCATATCACCTTATTCAGAACAGAAGAAGGCATCTTTTCTCACTACTCTGATAACTATTGAGATCTTTCTGTCCCTGCCTACAGAATTCTTGACGTTTGGTGGCTCTCAGTGCCTATGCAATATTTGAAACTTTGTTCTGAGGCTATGGTTCCTGCCTCATGGCCAAGCGCACAGGTGCTCTAGAAAACCATCCTTTCTGGAGTCTTGATACCACTCTTGCATGTTGCCACAAAATAGGATGTGAATGAATACTCCTTGTAGAATCTTCCAACCCCATCCTCCTACTAGTCTGTCAAAGTCTCTCTATTCCCTTTTGCTGTTCCCAAAGGTACTCTCTCCCTCTTTCTTTTTTCTCCTCCCATCTCAGGAACCAAACATAAACTCGTTAGTGTCTATGAGCTTTGCTCTTGGCAAAAGTTCCCAAAACACAAAAGTATAAAAGATCTGGCAATATGCTTGGTCATGACCATGAAGAAATAATACAGGAAGTACAACCACAGATTAAAATCTCAATACCTTAATCTTCACCAACATATTAAATGCTGCTTCCCGCCCCCCGCCCCCACCCCGCCCCACAGAGCTAAAGTTCCATCAACTCTGGATGGCTTACTTTTTTCTTTTTATGACTGAAAACTGCACCTCTAGCACTCGTTAGTGATTTGAAATAAATGCTACTTTTCTTAACTAGAATAGCACCCTTAGGGCCATGCAAGAGAGGGTCCTGCTAAAGATCCCCTGTTTTAGAGGACCCTAAATATGACAAACATACAAAACTAAATTATTACTGAATACCTATTTTACTAGGACCTGGTGCTCAGGACTGGTACACTATGACCCAGGACCCTAAAACTGCTGCCTTGACTAATACCCAGAGAAATGCTTCTCTATATCTTCCCTTACGTTCTTTTTTTTTTTTTTTTTTTTTTGCAATTAAGATATTTTAACATTTATTAATAAAAGCCTAAAGTGTTCATTGTATATCACTCTTGGATCGAATTAGGCAGATTTTAATTAAAAGATTACTACTAACAAATAACAATGATGAGATTTGCAGGGGCTAATGCTTAAACCAGGAGATTTATGCCTTATTAAAATGAATTCCTCTAGTTTACAATCATTTTCTACAAGTCAGAGCAGCACAAAGAACTGCCTAAGATCACAGAACATTTTGGATCTAAGCAGACCTTATGACCAATCTTTTCTTTTTATTGACACATAAGAGTTATACATATTTATGGGGCACATGTGATATTTTGATACATGTATATACTGTGCAATGATCAAATGAGAATAATTGGGATATTCATCACCTCAAACATTTATCATTTCTTTGTGTTGAGAACATTCCAGATTTTTTCTTTTAGCTATTTTGAAATATACAATAAATTCTTGTTAACTATAGTTGCCCCACTCTGCTACAGAAGACTAGAACTTATTCCTTCTATCTAACTGTATTTTTGTACCAATTAACCAACCTCTCTTTATCTCTCCCTCCGTGCTCCCCTTCCCAGCCTCTGGTAACCACTATTTTACTCACTGTCTCCATGAGATCAATTTTTTATTATTCAGCCGTAAAAAAGAATGAGATCCTGTCATTTGCAGCAACATGAGTGGAACTGGAGGACTTTAAGTGAAATAAGCCAAGCACAGAAAGAGCAATATTGTACATTCTTACTCATATGATCATACTTTTCGGTAACTGTGAAAACTGAGATGTATAAGGGTAGCGAATATCAGCGGTGGAATTAGATCTCAATTTCCAATTTCCCAACAATTCTGTTTGGAGGTTCTTTTATTACATCAAACAGTTGTAACAGCCCGCAAGGTCTAGGCTGAGTTTTGAAGAGAAAATTGTTTTCTCAGAGGCAAATTTCTAGAAAACTGATAAAGTCTATAGTAACTCTCTCCAACTGGTAGAAGAAACTGATGGCATCTAGTGGAGGGAACACTCAGAGTATGCTAAAGGCTTGAAAGATTAAAGAAACAATGGCTTCTAAATTATGCTGATAACCTATTAGTTGGTGCAAAAATAATTACTTTTGCACCAACCTAATAGAAGAAATTCTCTTTATTGTTGTAATACCGCATTGGCCATTAATAGCATTTGTGGTGAAGTTCAAGAAGGGTCAGACTGGTAAATTATAGCAAGGCTCACGTTGTGTAGGGAGTTGTTTTTTTTTTTTTTTTTTTTTTTTTTTTCCTTGTTGAGGTTTGTTTTTTTTTTTTTCTTTTTTTTTTTTTTTTTTTTATTATACTCTAAGTTTTAGGGTACATGTGCACATTGTGCAGGTTAGTTACATATGTATACATGTGCCATGCTGGTGCGCTGCACCCACTAATGTGTCATCTAGCATTAGGTATATCTCCCAATGCTATCCCTCCCCCCTCCCCCGACCCCACCACAGTCCCCAGAGTGTGATATTCCCCTTCCTGTGTCCATGTGATCTCATTGTTCAATTCCCACCTATGAGTGAGAATATGCGGTGTTTGGTTTTTTGTTCTTGCGATAGTTTACTGAGAATGATGGTTTCCAATTTCATCCATGTCCCTACAAAGGATATGAACTCATCATTTTTTATGGCTGCATAGTATTCCATGGTGTATATGTGCCACATTTTCTTAATCCAGTCTATCATTGTTGGACATTTGGGTTGGTTCCAAGTCTTTGCTATTGTGAATAGTGCCGCAATAAACATACGTGTGCATGTGTCTTTATAGCAGCATGATTTATACTCATTTGGGTATATACCCAGTAATGGGATGGCTGGGTCAAATGGTATTTCTAGTTCTAGATCCCTGAGGAATCGCCACACTGACTTCCACAATGGTTGAACTAGTTTACAGTCCCACCAACAGTGTAAAAGTGTTCCTATTTCTCCGCATCCTCTCCAGCACCTGTTGTTTCCTGACTTTTTAATGATTGCCATTCTAACTGGTGTGAGATGATATCTCATAGTGGTTTTGATTTGCATTTCTCTGATGGCCAGTGATGATGAGCATTTCTTCATGTGTTTTTTGGCTGCATAAATGTCTTCTTTTGAGAAGTGTCTGTTCATGTCCTTCGCCCACTTTTTGATGGGGTTGTTTGTTTTTTTCTTGTAAATTTGTTGGAGTTCATTGTAGATTCTGGATATTAGCCCTTTGTCAGATGAGTAGGTTGCGAAAATTTTCTCCCATGTTGTAGGTTGCCTGTTCACTCTGATGGTAGTTTCTTTTGCTGTGCAGAAGCTCTTTAGTTTAATTAGATCCCATTTGTCAATTTTGTCTTTTGTTGCCATTGCTTTTGGTGTTTTGGACATGAAGTCCTTGCCCACGCCTATGTCCTGAATGGTAATGCCTAGGTTTTCTTCTAGGGTTTTTATGGTTTTAGGTTTAACGTTTAAATCTTTAATCCATCTTGAATTGATTTTTGTATAAGGTGTAAGGAAGGGATCCAGTTTCAGCTTTCTACATATGGCTAGCCAGTTTTCCCAGCACCATTTATTAAATAGGGAATCCTTTCCCCATTGCTTGTTTTTCTCAGGTTTGTCAAAGATCAGATAGTTGTAGATATGCGGCATTATTTCTGAGGGCTCTGTTCTGTTCCATTGATCTATATCTCTGTTTTGGTACCAGTACCATGCTGTTTTGGTTACTGTAGCCTTGTAGTATAGTTTGAAGTCAGGTAGTGTGATGCCTCCAGCTTTGTTCTTTTGGCTTAGGATTGACTTGGCAATGCGGGCTCTTTTTTGGTTCCATATGAACTTTAAAGTAGTTTTTTCCAATTCTGTGAAGAAAGTCATTGGTAGCTTGACGGGGATGGCATTGAATCTGTAAATTACCTTGGGCAGTATGGCCATTTTCACAATATTGATTCTTCCTACCCATGAGCATGGAATGTTCTTCCATTTGTTTGTGATCAATTCAACAAGAGGAGCTAACTATCCTAAATATTTATGCACCCAATACAGGAGCACCCAGATTCATAAAGCAAGTCCTCAGTGACCTACAAAGAGACTTAGACTCCCACACATTAATAATGGGAGACTTTAACACCCCACTGTCAACATTAGACAGATCAACGAGACAGAAAGTCAACAAGGATACCCAGGAATTGAACTCAGCTCTGCACCAAGCAGACCTAATAGACATCTACAGAACTCTCCACCCCAAATCAACAGAATATACATTTTTTTCAGCACCACACCACACCTATTCCAAAATTGACCACATAGTTGGAAGTAAAGCTCTCCTCAGCAAATGTAAAAGAACAGAAATTATAACAAACTATCTCTCAGACCACAGTGCAATCAAACTAGAACTCAGGATTAAGAATCTCACTCAAAGCCGCTCAACTACATGGAAACTGAACAACCTGCTCCTGAATGACTACTGGGTACATAACGAAATGAAGGCAGAAATAAAGATGTTCTTTGAAACCAACGAGAACAAAGACACCACATACCAGAATCTCTGGGACGCATTCAAAGCAGTGTGTAGAGGGAAATTTATAGCACTAAATGCCTACAAGAGAAAGCAGGAAAGATCCAAAATTGACACCCTAACATCACAATTAAAAGAACTAGAAAAGCAAGAGCAAACACATTCAAAAGCTAGCAGAAGGCAAGAAATAACTAAAATCAGAGCAGAACTGAAGGAAATAGAGACACAAAAAACCCTTCAAAAAATCAATGAATCCAGGAGCTGGTTTTTTGAAAGGATCAACAAAATTGATAGACCGCTAGCAAGACTAATAAAGAAAAAAAGAGAGAAGAATCAAATAGACACAATAAAAAATGATAAAGGGGATATCACCACCGATCCCACAGAAATACAAACTACCAACAGAGAATACTACAAACACCTCTACGCAAATAAACTAGAAAATCTAGAAGAAATGGATACATTCCTCGACACATACACTTTCCCTTACGTTCTTGAACAAAATTTGCGTCTATCTGAATGCTTTGAGGATTGTGGATTGTCTTGCTACCCACGTTGGGAATAAACACAGCAAAAAAATTGAATGTTAGAAGGTTTTGAGCTAGAGAAAAAACCTTGTCAAATTCTTCCTTTTATAGAGCATGAATGTAATAGAATATTTCATAATGAAAAATCATTTCCCAGTATGCTGGGCATCCATCTTTTTTTCCTTTTCTTTGTATTCCAAGTCACAATTCCACAGATATCTATGAATTAATTGAATCTTTACAGCATTTATGCAAGGTAGCCTAGAAACATTTTCAATGTTAATGCATAGTACTCTTAAGTGTATGTGTGTGTGTGTGTGTATACATATACATATATGTATGTCAGTATAGACATAACATGCAGGAAGCTTGACACCAATTTTTCACATTGGCAATGATAGTACCTACTGAAAACTAGAATTGTGAGAAGCCTCCTCATAATAAAAAATTCAATAAGAATAAAATTTTCAAAAAATATTAATTTCGTTATTTAAATAACATTAGAATGGATATTTATTAATTATAAGTTGTATTTTACTTTTGAATTTCCTCAAAAAATTTGAATACTTGAGAATAAATTAATTTTTAATATGCATGAAAATTATTGTACTCTAATTTATAATTTCGTATTTTAAAGTTTATACACTGAACAAAATTATATCTTATTTTTTATCCTTCACATTATCGCTGTTAAAAAAATAAAAGTATGCAAAAGTATCTATTATAAAACCATAATCGGGCAAGTAAAAAGAATATTATAAATAAATACATAGTAATTTATAAATTATAAGTGTTTACTACTGATTTAAACATTGAACTTCTCTTAACAGAATACCTAGTTATGCACAATAAAAGTTGAATTCAAACAGATATATTTTGCTACTTTTTATCCTAAGAAACCATAGCTTTACATATATTTTTTCATTTTTTTATTATGAAGGTATATTGTTCAATGAGTTTGATAGAACATGTTTTATTTGACAGTTGGATAGTTTTACACATAGCTTTTAAATACGTATTTAGACATCTTGTATATGAGAGCCTCTCTTTGGACTCTGGCCCTGACCCCTCATTACTGAAAGCAGGCCTGTAAACTGAAATAGTAAGATAATGCAAACAGATCCATTTTCCCAGATTCCGACCTTTAGAAATAGCCAACAGGCCTAGACATGATTGATTTCCTGGCCCCTAAAGGTGAACTGTTGACATTACAGGTAAACTTCCAGGACTCATTCTGTTCCTCTCCTGCTTCTTTTAAATTCCTCTTCTATTCTGTTGTTAACTCTTAGTTCTCACCTACAGCTTGTGAAATAGCTATTTGTGCATTCTGCATTGTGTTTTGTATTTAGGTTTTGATCTTGGCTTAAGGTTGAGTCACCATGCAATTGCCAGCTTCCCTGATGGCTTGAGTAGTGAGGCTCAGTCTGGGCCACTTAGGAGCCTGTCCTCGTCTTTGGAGACTCAGCTGGAACCTGGCAGAATTAGCCCAGATTGCATTGTAGGTGGGAAGTCAGACAATTAACACCAATTCATTATTACCATGGAAACAAGATAAAGAAATCACTTTAATATAGGAAGGAAGAAGTTTTTCTTTGTATATCAAAAACCCACATATGCAAAATACTACCAAAAATTCTACATATGTCATCTACACTTACAAATGTGTCAAGGCCTCTCTGTGGAATTCCATTTCTTTACTTAAATTAAAGGATGTTTCTATCTCTGAAACAGACATGCTAAATATTATCTGTCACATGTATTTCTGTACCTTGTCTTATTAAATTTTAATGTTTGCTCAGTGAAATAACATTGAATAAATCAATGCTAATAAGTATCAACATCTAAAATTCCATGTCTTGCATATATACCTGTCACCTCAGCATTACTATTCTGTACTTTAGAGAAATAACAGGTAATTCAATTACCAAAATACACATGAGAAAAACAAGATAGGAAGTAAATACCACATTTTCTGCGAACACTTTTTATTTTAGCTATTAAGAATTAAATCCCTTCACTATTAGCCGCCCAAATACCTTCTGTGTGCAGTCTTGGTCAGAGATTGCATCTTTTCTGTTCTGACAGAAGCTGCAGGCTACAAACTCGCTAAGCCTTTTCCCATTATTTAACCACAAGTGACCCAAGCTCATCTAATGCACTGCTATTGGATAGAACTTTGGTCTTGAGCTAGAGATGCAGAAGCATGAGAAATAATTGGAGGCAAAACTTAATATCCAGCAGTCATGCACCAGTATGGCCCTACTAGGTTTTTAGTTACAGACCATTCAGAGTATTCAGTGTTTGTATTATACAAAGAGATATATATTTTGAAAATTACCTACTCCTAGTTAGAGGTAATTCAACACAGGAACAGTGATAAGTGATGGCAAACTACTCCAGATGCTTAGTGTATTTTTCCTGCTTCCGTGGATTTGTCTATTCCCTAAACCCTGTCATCTGGGTTTCTACTTATCCTGTGGACACTCAATGCTATTTTGTCTAAAATGAGCAGGACTGGTCTCCTTTGCTTGCAAGAATATCTCTGTTCTATCCTACAATACAATGCTTCTGAAAAATAACATTTTTAGAGAAGTTTATAATGAAGAATTAAAGTTGATTAATATTCAAAAATAATCAGAATAACCACAAAATTTAACAATTGTAACAACCATCCCAAGAAATTATCCTAATAAGTAACAATGAAATGCATTCATTTGGTGATTTTCAGAGTGCTTTTCCATCTATTACCTTACTTGACAATGGCAACAAGCAAGAGAGACCAGAAGGACAGAAAATGTTATTCCAATTTTATGCACTGGTAGGGTTTGGCTCTGTGTCTCCAGCTAAATCTTACCTTGAATTGAAATAACCCCCATGTGTCCAGGGCTAGACAAGTTGGAGATAATTGAATCATGGGGCGGTTTCCTTCATGCTGTTCTCATGATGGTAAGTGAGTTCCCACGAGATCTGATGGTTTCATAAGGGTCTTCCCTCTTTGCTCAGCATTCATTTTTTCTCCTGCCGCCCTGTGAAGAGGTGTCTTCCATCATGATTGCAAGTTTCCTGAGCCCTCCCCAGCCATGCTAAACTGTGAGTCAATGAAACCTCTTTATAAATTACCCAGTCTCAGGTATTTTTTCATAGCAGCATGAGAATGGACTAATACATACACATACATGATTAGATTGAGAACCAGACATTAATAAGCTTACTTTGCCACAGCAATAGTTAGGTACAGGCCTGAGCCAAGAATCCAGCCTCCAGACTGTTGGCCCAGAATTCTTGTAAAGGAAATACAATAAGTTCAATTTTTCACATGTAATCTGTAAAGGCACAAGCCACATTATCAGCAATTATTGCAATTACATGTGGAAGGAAGGTAAGCAGTTATCCTAGATCTTAGAATAATATTTAATTGCTTCACCTGCTTAATGTCTAGTTCACATGGATGGATAAGCACTCCAGCAGCGACCCTGTAGTAGTGTTCTTATTACCCAGTCAGAGTCACTGGATCATTTGTTAGATAATTTAAAACATTTATTATTTTTCTATAGAGTATATGCAGAAACTTGTATTCAAATGAAACTTTAGACAGATACCCAGAATGTAAACAGAGAAGCCCTGATGCTCTGGTTGAAACAAGGACAGTAAGACAAGAGCCCTCCGATCCCCACACTTGTGACCCCTATAACTCAGGACCATGACTCCTTCAGAAAACTATTGATCTAGCTCTATTCTCATTTTACAAGTGGAAGTATGCAGGCCCAGGTAAATGATGTTGTTTTTGAAGTCAAGCCCCATATAAGAATTTTATAAAAGACCTGCAGCCCTGATTCACAGAGAAGAGTCTTTTTTCCCAAATTCAGAGGAACATTGGATCTCCAAAGTTATTTTTTATTATTTCAATAGGTTTTGGGGGAACAGGTGGTGTCTGAGTACATAAGTAAGTTATTTAGTGGTGATTTCTGAGATTTTGGTGCACCCATCACCTGATCAGTGTATATTGTACCCAATATGTAGTATTTTATTCCTCATCTTCCTCTCATCCTTTCCTCTGAGCCCCCAAAGTCCACTGTATCATTCTTATGCCTTTGCATCTTCATAGCTTAGCTCCCACTTATGAGTGAGACTATACATTATTTCGTTTTTCATTCCTGAGTTACTTCACTTAGAATAATTGTCTCTAATTATATCCAAGTTGCTGCAAATGCCATTATTTTGTTCCTTTTTATGGCTGAGTAATATTCCATTATATATATATATAAAATATAATATCTATATCTATATCTATATAGATATATCACATTTTCTTTATCCACTGGTGATCGATGGGGGGATCTCCAAAGTTCTATGTCAAAGGAAGGCCCTGTTCAGTGTCTTGAAAGAGGAGCATGAGCAGCCACAGCAGTTACACTAGGTTGTATATTCTTCAACCAGTGTGCTTCTTGAGGGCAGTGCCTGTGCTCTCAAACGTGTTTCTCCTCATGGTTAGAAGGACTACATGACTTACCTTCCAAACAAGAAAATTTTGAGAGTGAAAAGAAAGCTGTTTATAATTACACCTGAAAAGCAGTTCAGGCCAAACAGAATGTGTAAACATCCTGCCAATGGTACCTTCATGTTCTGCATAAAAGAGCTATATAGAGGCATTCAGTATTCAGTGGGCTTCATTTTACCCTTAATTATTCAGATTGTAAAAAATTAATTCTGTACGACTCACAGATCTAACATGGCCCTATCATGGAAGAGATTCAGATTTTCCTTCAAGCACCCTCTTTGCAATATGTGTGCCTCCTTGTCCCATTTGCTTAAGTAGGCACACACCTGCGTACACATGAAAAGAGTCTAAAAAGTGAGGGGATTTAATTTTGAAATACAAATAGTGAATTTAAAAAAATGCAATTAGTATCTGTTGAACTCAGTTTTATTAGAGAAGTTTCAATGATGACATTCTGGCTACTCCCTCCCACAACAAAATTTCCACTCTGGCCACATTCACATAACATTTTGGAGGAAGCCAAAGGCCAAAAGCCAAAGAGCTCTTTTTATGGAATACAGTGACAGGATACTTTTATGGGTGTACTAGTCCATTTTCATACTGCTGTGAAGACATGCCTGAGACCATGTAATTTATAAAGAAAAAGATGTTTAATGGACTCACATTTCAGAATGGCTGAGAAGGCATCAAAATCATGGCAGAAAGTGAAGGAGAAGAAAAGGTATGTCTTACATGGCAGCAGGCAAGAGCACATATACATGGGAACTTCCCTTTATAAAACCATCAAATCTTGTGAGATATATTCACTATCGTGAGAACAACATAGGAAAAACCTGCCCCCTGATTCAATTACTTCCAACCAGGACCCTTCCATGACATGTGGGAATTATGGAAGCTACAATTCAAGATGAGATTTGGGTGAAATTTGGCCAAAACAAAGGGGTTACAGGCCCCATGAAAGTCCAAAATCCAGTGGGGAAGTCAAATATTAAGGCTCCAAAATGATCTCCTTTGACTCCATGTCTCACATCCAGGTCATGCTGATGCAAGAGGTGGATCCCCATGACCTTGGGCAGCTCCACTCCTGTGGCTTCGCAGTGTACAGCTCCCCTCCTGGTTGATATCATGGGCTGGCATTAAGTGTCTGTGGCTTTTGCAGGCACAAAGTGCAAGCTGTCAGTGGGTCTATCATTTTGGAGTATGAATAATGGTGGCTGTCTTCTCACAGCTCCACTATGCAGTGCCCCAGTGGGGACACTGTGTGAAGGTTCTCACCCCACATTTCCCTTCAGCACTACTCTAGCAGAGGTTCTCCATGAGGGCTCCACCCCAGCAGCAAGCCTCTGCCTGGACATCCAGGTGTTTCCATACATCCTCTGAAATCTAGGCAGAGGTTTCCAAAGGTCAATTCTTGACTTCTGTGCACCTGCAGGCCTAACACCATGTGAAAGCCACTAGGAGCCTGGGACTTGAACCATCTGAAGCAACAGCCTGAGCGGTATATTAGACCCCTTTAAGCCACAGCTGAGACACAGAACACCAAATCCTGAGACTGCACAAAGCAGCAAGGCCCTGGATCTAGCCCATTAAACCATTTTTTCCTCCTAGGTCTCCATACCTGTGATGGGAGTGGCTTCTCTGAAGACCTTTGACATGCCCTAGAGATATTTTCCCCATTTTCTTGACAATTAACATTTGGAACTTTGTTACTTATGCAAATTTCTGTAGCCAGCTTAAATTTCTTTTCAGAGAATGGGTTTTTCTTTTCTACCACACTGTCAGGCTGGAAATTTACTGAACCTTTATGCTCTGCTTTCCTTTTAAACATAAGTTCAAATTCCAAACCATGTCTCAGTGAATGAATAAAATACTATGCAGCCATAAAAAAGGATGAGTTCATGTCCTTTGTAGGGACATGGATGAAGCTGGAAACCATCATTCTCAGCAAACTATCACAAGGACAAAAAACCAAACACCGCATGTTCTCACTCATAGGTGGGAATTGAACAATGAGAACACTTGGACACAGGAAGGAGAACAGCACACACCAGGGACTGTCGTGGGGTGGGGGGAGGGGGGAGGGATAGCATTAGGAGATATACCTAATGTAAATGATGAGTTAATGGGTGCAGCACACCAACATGGCACATGTATACATATGTAACAAACCTGCATGTTGTGCACCTGTACCCTAGAACTTAAAGTATAATTTAAAAAAATTGAATGCTTTAAAGAGCACTCAGGTCACCCCTTGAATGCTTTGATGCTTAGAAATTTCTTTCACTAGATACTCTAAATCATCTCTCTCAAGTTCAAAATTCCACAGATCTCTAGGGCAGGGGCCAAACACTGCCAGTTTTTGTTGCTGAAGCATAGCAAGAATTACCTTTGCTCCAGTTCCAGATTAGCTCCTCCTCTCCATCTGGGACCCAGCCTGGACTTTATTACTATCAGCATATTACTATCAGTATTTTGATCAAAACCATTCAATAAGTCTCTAGGAAGTTCCAAACTTTCCCATATCATCTTGCCTTCTTCAGAGCCCTCCAAACTGTTCCAACCTCTACCTGTTACCCAGTTCTGAGGTCGCTTTCACATTTTCGGTTATCTTAATAGCAGTACCCCCACTCTCCCAGTACCAAAGTACTGTATTAGTCCATTTTCATACTGCTATGAAGAAATACCCAAGACTGGGTAATTAATAAAGAAAATGAGGCTTAATGGACTCACAGTTACACATGGCCGGGGAAGTCTCACAATCTATGAGTGAAGGTGAAGGAGGAGGAAAGGCATGTTTTACATGTCAGTAGGCAAGAGAGTGTGTGCCCTTTATAAAACCATCAAATCTTGTGAGACTGATTTACTATCACGATAACAGCATGGAAAAAACGTGGCCCCTTGATTCAGTTACCTCCCACCAGGTTCCTCCCATGACAAGTAGGAATTATGGGAGCTAAAATTCAAGATGAGATTTGGAAGCAGACACAACCAAACCATATCAATGGGGTGCCACTGCCCTCATTATTACCTGTCTGTTCTCCTTAGATACAAAGCAAATGACTTTCTGACCTGTTAACTCTGGGTCTTGGTTTGAAATAATCACTTTCTTTCACCACTTAAGTGATTTGTGTTCCCACATTTACACTGAACACCAATCACTGCAGCCCTGCATAACATTACAATTTTAAATTCAGAAAAATGAGTGATTGTTTACCTAATCAATGTGTGCTTTCATGATTCCTATATTCCTTGTACTGACAATTTGTTGATGATACTACAGAGGTAGGATAGCATTGTATAGAAAATAAAATTAACTTTTCACATCCTTTATTATTTCTTGATCATATTTTGGATTTTGGACTTTCATGGGGCCTGCGGCCCCTTTGTTTTGGCCAATTTCTCCCATTTGGAATGAATGTATTTATGCAATGCCTGCATATCCATTGTATCTAGGAAGTAACTAGCTTGCTTTTGATTTTTACAGGCTCATAGGCAGAAGGGACTTGCTTTGTCTTAGATGAGACTTTGGACTTGGGCTTTTGAGTTAATACCAATATGAGTTAAGACGTTGAGGGACTGTTGGGAAGGCATGATTGTGTTTTGAAATGTGAGGACGTGAGATTTGGGAGGGGCCAGGGGCAGAATGATATGCTTTGGCTGTGTCCCCACCCAAATCTCATCTTGAATTGTAGCTCCTATAATCCCTATGTGTCATGGAATGGACCCAGTTGGAGGTAATGAAATCTTGGGAGTGGTTACCCTCATGCTTTACTTGTTATAGTGAGTGAGTTCTCACAACATCTGATGGTTTCATAAGGGGCCTTTTCTTCTTTCGCACAGCACTTCTCCTTCCTGCCACCATGTGAAGAAGGACTTGTTTGTTATCCCTTCTGCCATGACTGTAATTTTCCTGAGGCCTCCCCAGCCATGCTGAACTGTGAGTCAATTAAACCTCTTTTTTTAACTAATTACCCAGTCTCTGGTATGTCTTTATTAGCAGCGTGAGAATGGACTAATACATAAGTATATATGTGTATGTGGATATAGATATAGATATAGATATAGACATAGATATAGAGATAGAGATAGAGATATATATGGATTAGAGCCACACACAGGAGTTATTATATAGGAAGTAGCCATGCTAATAATGTAAAATTGCTTTTTCATATCTCTTTTGGAACTTATAGATTCTCTCTGAATAAATGGCTTCGTAGAAAATGTGAATGAAAAAATGTGACTTCAATGATCTGGAAGTGAACAGTGCTCAGGAAATATCACCAAGCCATGACACCATCAGTCTACACACTTTGACATCTATCAGTGGATATGTGAAAGGGTGTTAAACACCCTTCCCATTCTACTTTTCCTCTACTCCATCCCATACTTTACAAATCTTTATTTCTTTGCTCATGCTTATAATAAAAATCACCCCACAAAGAAATGATTCTGATTGCTGGCCAAGTTTAGCATTTTGAACATGTCTAGCTTGGCACATGAACAGAGCTCCCTGTCCACAGAATGGCAGCAAATACATATGCTGCAATTTCTGGGCAGTATTTGTTCTTCAATCTCATTTCTTTCCTAGCTGTGCCAACTTCTGGGTATGCCCAAACTGAAACCCTAAGATTGCTCTAAAAACTAATTAGATAAAAAGTTGAAGGGGAATGAAAAACTGGAAAGAAAACAAAAAATTAAATATGCACTCCCATTCTTCCCCCTCTCCCTCTACTCTCTTTCTCCACTTACCACTTTTCATTTGTGTTAGAATCGTTTACTTTAAGACTGCGGAGAAAAAGATATATTCATTTCATCCTCAAAAAAGAAGCTACAGGTCCAATTCGTCGTAGATTCTTCCTAGGATAGACTAAACTAGATTACTAAAAGCAAGCAAAGCATTAAAAACAAATTACAGACACACTCATGCAGCTGGTCCTAAAGTTGCAACTGACATTATCTATTGGCTTCTTCCACCAAATATTGTATTATAGATTGCCCTTTCCTTAGGCCAAATGTTCCTGTTCTAAGATGTTTGGTTAATGGCTCAGGCTTTCATCTTAAAAAAAATAAAAAATTTAAAAAAACTTTCAGGTTTAGGGGTACATGTACAAGTTTTTTATATAGGTAAATTGCATGCCATGGAGGTTTGGTGTGCAGATTATTTGATCAGCCAGGTAATAAGCATAGTATTTGATCCTCACTCTATTCCCATCCTCTACCTTCAAGTAGGCCCATGTGTCTGTTGTTTCCTTCTTCGTGTCCATATGTACTCAATGATCAGCTTCCACTTATAAGTGAAAACATGTGGTATTTGGTTTTCTAGTCTTATTTTACTTAGGATAATGGCCTTGAACTCTATCCATGTTGCTGCAAAGGATGTGATCTTATTGATTTTTTATGACTACATAATATTCCATGGTGTATATGTAACACATTTTCTGCATGCAGTCTACTGTTGATGGGAATTTACATTGATTCCACATCCTTGCTATTGTGAATAGTGCTGCAGTGAACATATGCATACATGTGTCTTCATGGTAGAACAATTCATATTCCTTTGGATATATACCCAATAATGGGATTGCTTGGTCAAATGGTAATTCTGTTTTGCGTTCTTTGAGAAATTACCAAACTGCTTTCCACAATGGCTAAAATGATTTACATTCCCACTGACAGTATATAAATATTCCTTTTCTCTCCACAATCTCATCAGCATCTATTTTTTGACTTTTTAATAGGGGCCATTCGGACTGGTATGGGATGGTATCTCATCGTGGTTTTGATTGGCATTTCTCTAATGATTAGTGATGTTGAACATCTTTTTATATGCTTTTTAGGCGCATGTGTGTCTTCTTTTGAAAAGTGTTCATGAGCTTTGCCTGCATTTTTTATGTGGTTGCTTGTGTTTTGCTTGTTAATTTGTTTAAGCTTTTTATAGATTCCGGATATTAGATAACTTTGTCAGATGCAGTTTGCAAATATTTTCTCTAATTCTGTAGGTTGTCTGTTTAATCTATTCATAGTTTCTTTTGCTGTATAGAAGGTCTTTGGTTTAATTAGGCCCCATTTGTCAATTTTTGCTTTTGTTGCAATTGCTTTTAGCATCTTTATCATGAAATATTTGCCAGGTCTTATGTCCACAATGCTATTTCCTAGGTTATCTTCCAGGATTTTTATAGTTTTAGGTTTTATATTTAAGTCTTTAATCCATCTTGAGATGATGTTTGTATATGGTGTAAGGAAGAGGTCCAGTTTCAATTTCAATCTGCTTATGGCTAGACTTTTATCTTCAGTATGGGTAAACCCTTCCTTTTTCTGCCCATGTTGGGTTGCAATTGCTGCAAATGCCCATTAGCAATTATTACCCAGCATAGTAATACTAAAATCATCCCAGGGAAATTCCCATGTCTCAAACATACACAATCTTATCCCTGTGGTAGAATAACAACCCAAAATCATTTCAGTAATCAATATTGATTATTCCAGGCAGTGAATTATCTTCTTTTTGGCTTGCTTATTCACTGTCCTCAGGGCCTGTAGTATTAGTCACAGAACCCAATTCAGTGGGAATTACTACATTCCCTGATGAAAATATTTCTTGTCTGGAACCACAGCCTTCATCCTAGTCATGCCTAATATCATGAGCATAGGAAGCAAAAATTGTCTGAATAGGTTCTAGATGTGATGGTGAGAGGGGCCACTCCTACTTATTCTCTTTGGTTCAAAGTTCTGGGGGAGCACAATGTTATGGTAACTGTTGTGCCACATAGCAGCTATTGTTTCAATGCATGTACGGTATACTAGAGGATATGCTCCTCAGTTCCACAGAGGATTGTCCTAGTGCTGGTGCTGTATGTGAGCCTTCAACTGAGCCAACCCAAAATTCTATTAGACTGGCTACTTCTAAGTGATAAAGTACTTGGTAAGTCAGTGAATTTTATGGTCATGATCTCGTTGCCATACTTTGTTGATGTAAAATTGGTCCCCTGTTCAGACAATGTTTCCTAAAATAATGTGATGATAAGTAAGGTATTGTAAAATCTATCACTGGCAAAGAAAGCAAACCTGAGCCCAACATACATATTATTCTGAGAAAGCCAAATTTCAGCCTCTTCTGTGGTAGTCAGACAGGTGGCTGGCTTGTAATTTCTAGAAATGGCATCATGTCAGTCAATAGTTTTTGTTGGTTTCTGCTGCTGGCATGTTGGGCACTCAGGAGAGGCAGTATCCAGCTTAACCTAATTGAAAAAGAACGATTATACTGAGACTCATGTGCAGTCTGCATCTCTACTTTAATGGCCGCTCTGGTCTAGTTATGAACTGACTGGGGAAACACTGAAGTGGTTAGAGACACAGGATAGCTAATATCCACAGGATAGGTCATCTGGTCCAATTATGTTAGATGTTCTCCTCCATAATGAATGCTCTCTCCTTCACACTAATGGGAGAGGTAGTAGTTAATGTATTTTGTACTTCTCCCATATATCACTACACACCTTTTACAAGACCCTACTATCGCATGCCTTTCAGTTCAGTGACCCACCAGGGAAGCAATTAGTACTGCCCAGGACCCAGCGTTTATTCATAACTCAGGCCCTATGTCTCTTCATACAAAGTAGTTGATTGACTATATTGTCTACAGTTCTAACTACTGAAAAGATTTAACTTCCTGAATTAAGCTGTAATGAAACAACTAGTTTCTTCCTCGTGTAAACATATAACACCAACCCATTTGTAAAAGAAGTCTAAGGCCTTTCTCCTCCACATTTTGACATAGGTAATCCCCCATAAGCTCAAAAGTATGAGCCGAGAGGATAATATCATGCAACAGAAAGAGGTAACCTAGGAGTCTAGACTATCTGTTCCTGCAATTTACCCATGCCTTCTGGACCTGCTTTAGTTTAATGCCAAATGTAATATTTACATTATACAATAAATTGCTGATATTCCTACCAAACTTATCTGATAATACCTACTTTATGATGAGAAGCTCAGCTCATATAATCTTTTGGGATTCTGCGGTCAGGCACTTAATCTCCACCAGGGTCTAAAAGAAACTGGGAAATGTATTTTCCAATGGACATTAATTACCTGATAAGAACATGGCTTTACTACATAATCTTAGGTATCTGCCATGGAGCTTGCCAGAAACTCCAAACATCATCATTATCTACCACAAATACCATTAATATGCTAGATCATAGGGTCCAAGTAGCATGGGTAATTATACTGGTGCTCAAACATAATGCAGAGCTTTTCCTTACTCAAGGGCCTCAAAACTGTTAGCTTTTCTCGTTGCCAATAAATGAACCCTATCAATATACGCAAATGCAATACATGTTACTTCCAAATCCCAGAAGCTTCTTGCTACATTCATAGTGATGCCAGTAATAATAGGAGTTGTAGGAACAAAAACTTGTCCTCAACCTCAGAAAAGATGTTCTGATAAGCTTCAAAACACTGGACTTCCAAAGATATCAGCAAAGTACCAGCAGCCTGAATGTTCAATGGGTCTGTCTTAAACTATCTGGAATGTACTTGTCTTACTTGATCTGTAGGTTCTTGCCACCTTCTCCTCAATGGGTCTAAGGATCCTTATATGTTATATATAATGTTGGAACAATTGAAGTCATTGTGAAATATAGGAAGACAGCAGAAGAGTTAACATAACTCTGGAGCAAGCGTATGAATGTATATGGTTGTTTCTGCCTTATAAATATAAATACCCTCTGACTGATGATGGTTATCCAGCAATATAATGATAAATGCTTAACAACTGTATCTCAAAAGGAAAAAGAGAAGGGAGACAGAGACAGAGAGAGAAACACACAGAGAGAAAGATAAGGGGAGAGAGAGGGAGAAAAAGGAAATGAAGGAAGGGAGGGAGGAAGAAAAGAAGTCTGGATTTTAGTGTTTCCCAAATTTACTGGTGTGTTCCAGCTTTCATTGTGATATAGCTAAGCAGAGACATTGATATTATATCATCAGTGTGTTGACAACAGAAAGGCAAAAGCATCATTTGTCACATAGCCTCTATAAGACACCAGTCTCTCTATAAGACTAAATGTGGTTTGGGTTCCTTAGGGAATCAGAATTAACTTAGTATCATATATAACTATTTTCAAAAAGCCTAGATATTCATCTTTTCCTAGACAAACGTCATTCAGCAAATGGCAGGACCCTTTGAAGAAAGATCAGTGGAATATTACTGAAGCTTTTGAGGAGTTTTCCTTAACATAACCTGGCTTCTCTTTTAATCACAGGCTGCAGGTCTGTGAACTGACTTTGACTCAGAAACTATGTGAACAATCAGTTTTCTAATAGTGATATCAATATCACCCACCACCCACTGCCTTCTCTTCCTCCTCCTCCTCATATTTCCTTTTCTTCTTCAACAGCTTTATTGAGATATAATTCATATACCATGAACATCCCCCTTTAGGGTGTACAATTCAATGCTTTTAAGTGTATTCACAAACTTGTGCAACTATCACAATCACAAGAAACCCCATCCCCATTAGCAGTTATATCCCCATTCCTGTCCCTCTCCAGGCAACCATTAATCTATTCTCTGTCCTTATCAATATGACTCTTCTGGACACTTCATATAAGTGGAGTTATACAGTATATGGTCTTTTATAACTGGTTTCTTTCACGGTGGCATAATATTTTCAAGGGTTATCCATGTGGAAGCAAGTAGATCAGTATTTGATTATTTTTAATACCAAATAACATTCCATTGTATGTATATAACACATTTGTTTATTCATTTGTCAGTAAATGAATATTTGAGTTCTTTTCAATTTCTGGTTTTTATAAATAATATTACATCATCAATTATATCATACCAAATCAATGAGAGTACCTGTTCTGATTAGTGACTACTTCTGTCTCTGAAGTGCTCTTCACCAACAGCAGTCTTTTAAAAAGTAATTTTGGTTATCTTGAACAGCTTTTTAAAAATCATATCCTCCAAATTTTGTATTGGCCATATTCCCCAAATTTGGCAGAAATTCATTCAAGTCATTTTCACAGGATTAAAAAAATAGCAGTTAGAGTGTAAATCAGTTCAACCACTGTAAAAAGCAGTGTGGCAATTCCTCAAAGAGCTAAAAACATAACTACCATCTGACCCAACAATCGCATTACTGAGTATATACTCAAAGGAATATAGATTATTCCACCATAAAGACACATGCACGTGTCTGTTAATTGCAGCACTGTTCACAACAGCAAAGACCCAAATCAACCCAATGCCCATCAATGGTAGACTGGATAAAGAAAACGTGATACATATACAGCCATAATGCAACCATTAAAACAGAATAAGAGCATGTTTTTTGCAGGAACATGGATGGAGCTGGAGGTCATCATACATAGCAAACTAATGCAGGAACAGAAAACCAAGTACTGCATGTTCTCACTTATAAGTGGGAGCTAAGTGATGAAAACACATGGACACAAAAAGGAAAACAGCAGACACTGGGGCCTGCTTGAGGGTAGAGGATGGGAGGAGGTAGAGGAACAGAAAAAATAACTATTGGGTACTAGGCTTAGTACCTGGGTGACAAAATAATCTGTATAGCAAAACCCCATGGCATGAGTTTACCCATATAACAAACCTGCACATGTACCCCTGATCCTAAAATAAATTGTTTTAAATAGCAGTTAAAATCTAACTTTATTAAATAATACAGAAAATTAGATTATAGCATAGCATATGTTTTGTATCTGCACTTGTATTTAACACTATATTATGAATATCTTTATTCTTCAGTACCTATAGTCCTACTTCATTCTTTATAAGAGCTCTGTCATATTCTATATACTATATATATTAAAGATATATATTTTTTCACCTGTGACAAAGTTTCTGTAAGATAAATTCCTAGAGAAGAAATTACTAGCCAGAAATAGTATAAATATATTAATAGATCACAACAATTACTATCTGAGACAATTGAAAAACTTGGCACTACTACCAATGAAATGACTGTTTCTCCACAGCTTTACCAGTATTGAATAATATCAATAGTTTTTATTAGCTGAAGGGGCAGCAGCAACCATGGCAAACTCTCTCTGGTGCTGGCAGAAATGCAAAAGGGAAAAAGTGGAAACCCTGGAGGTCTCTTAAGTCCTACTCTCAGACTGTCATTTCAAATACATTGCATGGACTAAAGTCAGTCATGTCGGTGAATCCAAATTTAAAGGGCTCTAGAGTATACTATGATAGGTGTACAATAGTTAAAGAAATTGTGAATTTGGCTATTATTCAAATCCATTCTAATCCCATTTTTATTTTGTTTCTGTGTTTGTTTTTTTCAGGTTGAAAAGGTCTAGTAAAGTGAAGCAATTTATGCAGTTCCTTTCCTTGTTAAACTGGCATAGGAGGAAAGCAGGTTTGTAAAATGCCCTGTTACTTAATCTTCATTGATCTTCTATGAACAGCCTCTCTAAATGGTGCTTTTACCCCTTCCAAATGAAATGGCAGGTTTTACAGATTCCATGCAGTGAGTTGACCTAACTACTTAACTCAGGACAGTTCCCATTACTAAGCTTTATTCTGCAATATAGGAATGTAATATAAATATAATTGTTTTTCCATTGATGTTTAAAGGGATACTAATTGCTCAAGAAAATATCTTTGCTGAGAAAAGCAACATTTTTCAAGGTATACATGGACTTTCTCTCAAACAGGACTTCCCTTGCTTTCTGCAATGATGAGGCTTACGTGAATTTTAAGTCTTCCAGAATATATATTTTTCTAAAAGAAATGAAAACATTGGCATTTGAAGAATAGGTCCATTATAGAACAATAGATGTAGTTTTCATGAAACGCTCCATTGCATCTTACTCAGACACAAGAAATAAAAAACACAAGTACTTCTCTTACTTTGCAAATATGGCAGTCCATATCTGCCACTTGAAATATTGAAAGAAAAACCATTTTCTGTTATTGTTAGTCTATCATATCATAGGGAGTTTTGGTTGCAGGAAACAAGCCAACCATGACTGATTTAAGCACAAAAATACATTAAAGAATGTTGAATAGTTTACAGAATCTTAATGCTGGAGTGTTGAGAACAGTCAAAGAGAAAAGCAAAAAGAAAAGTCAGAGAAACAAGATTAAGGATATGAGAAAAATCTCCCCAAACACCATTGCATCTTGAAACAGATCCTAAAGCTTGTATTGCTGATTCAGCCACCGCTGGACAAAGAATGGATGTGGCCACAGGAACTGCTGCCACTATTGGCTCTCAAAATTTGATGTAACCTCTGCTACCTGTCTCCAGAATGCATCCCACGGCCCTGCTTCTTTACATTCCCACGTTCTCAGTCAAAGACTGAGAAAACCTATTTGTGGGTGCACAAATAGGCAGAACTCAAGGAGAGATTAAGGAGTAAGTATCTGGCATTATATGCTTGTATATTAGGATGGCTTTCTGTCATACAGTGAAAGATCAATCAAATGTAGAAAGAGAATTCAGAGGCTGGGAAGCCAGAAAAACTAGCAATCTATCATTTGTTCACTATAATCTCAGAATATTGGGAATATTTCTTTATGAAGGCAGAAGTTAAAATCTTTCCTTATAACTTTTTCTATTTCATAGTTATTTAAATGGAGAGACTACAGTAATATTAACCTTTTCCATCCCTTTTGTTCAGGGTTTATGCTTCCTTTTGTTTTGAGGACCACATAGTTTTTAATCCAATATGATTTTTTTGTTCATTTTACCTCTCCAGAATTATTATAAACACTATTAAAATTAGACTTACTTCTGCACCTTAGTTCATATTTTCCACTTATCATACTTATTTAACTTCTACTTTCCCTTTCTTTTTCCACTGGAGATTTTTCCTCTATGGGTTTGTATTTTATACATGCTATGTTAGTCCATTCTTCCACTACTATAAAGAAATACCCGAGGCTGGGCCATTCATAAAGAAAAGAAGTTTAATTGGCTCATGATAGTGCAGGCTGCACAAGCATAGCTCCAGCATCTGCTTCTGGTGAGGACCTCAGGAAGCTTCCAATCATGGAGAAAGGGAAAAGAGCAAGCATGTCACACAGAGAGAGCAGGAGCAAGAGAGAGCAGGAAGAGATCCCAGACTTTTAAACAACCAGCTCTCACATGAACTAACAGAGCAAGAACTCACTTATTACCTTGGGGAAGACACCAAGCCATTCATGAGAGTTCCATCCCCATGATCCAATACTTCCCACTAGGCCCCACCTATAATATTGGAGATGACATTTCAACATGAGATTTGGAAGCAACAATCATACAACCATATCACATGCTCTTCCATTTCTGGTTACTTATTAAATCCTGTGCCTATATTTCTATTCACTTACCAATATATTAAACGTATCAATATTCACATCATTAAGGATTAAGACAAAGATCACAGCACATCGTAACCTCAATTTATTCTCTTGGTGCTACTTTCACTTCCCACTGCCAAATAACTTTTGTGCTTTCCAAAACAATTCACATGTGGCCCCTAGCCACATGTGAATCTTTAAATTGTTTTAATTAAATAAAATTTTAAATTTAGTTTCTCAGTCTTACGAACCACATTTCAAGTGATCAATGGTTCCACTTTACTAATGACTTCCACATTGAACAGTACAAATAAGAAATATTTTTATCACAGAGAGGTCAATTGCGCAACACTGGCTTAGACTTTAATTGTAGATCATGTGGGCAGTTTTTACATATTTGATTCTTAGTTATTTAAGCATTAATAAAATTTACTTATGTATTATTCTATCCTATTTTCCTTATAGTTTTTCTGTATTTATTCATTCTTTCACTATGCTTCTTCAAAGCCTATTTCCCAAGAAGTTTCTATGTTCAATTTTTATGAATTCTTCATTCCTGATAACATCTTCAGTTTGTACTTATATGTCAATATTAGTTTAACCTCATATAAAATTCTAGGTTTGACATTCATTTCCATCATCTTCACTTTGACCATAATTTTCCTTTGTCTTCTGAAATCCTTGATTCTTTCGAGACATCAAGTGACAATTTCAGAGGTTAAATTGAAATACTGGCTCCAATTCTTCATTTTCCTCTCTATCCATATCTTTTGCATGTAACTTTGTAGATGCTCACACAAAATTCATAGTGCACTGACAGCCCCTTGAATTTGGATTCATCCACATGACTGACTCTAGTCAATGGAACGTGGCTGAAATGAAAGAGCACTGGACTGAGACTAAGACTTAAGGGATCCGCAGGGGGCCGGGTGCAGTGGCTCACACCTGTAATCTCAACACTTTGGGAGGCCAAGGCGAGCAGATCACGAGGTCAAGAGATGAAGACCATCCTGGCCAACTTGGTGAAACCCCATCTCCACTAAAAATACAAAAGTTAGCCAGGCATGGTGGTGGGCGCGTGTAATCCAAGCTACTCAGAAGGCTGAAGCAGGAGAATAGCTGGAACCCGGGAGGCGGAGGTTGCAGTGAGCCGAGATCGCGCCACTGCACTCCAGCCTGGTGACAGAGCAAAACTCCTTCTAAAAAAAAAAAAAAAAAAAAAAGAAACCCCCCAGGGTTTCCACTTTCCCTTTTGCATTTCTGCAACACCTGAAAAAGAACTTACCATGATGACAGCTGCCCCTCCAGCCTAGACCACAAGGAACAAGGAGTGGGTTGGCACAAAGTTGTTTGACAGGACTTCTTATTGATTTACAAAAATAATAGTGGTTACGACTGACTATACATTGTTGAACTATGGGGTATGAGTATGGCATCCAGGGTATGTCATTTTATGGCTCCTTGGCATCAGTTAGTCTAGAGTT
Source organism: Homo sapiens (assembly GCF_000001405.40). Lineage (NCBI taxonomy): Eukaryota > Metazoa > Chordata > Mammalia > Primates > Hominidae > Homo > Homo sapiens. Next base: position 79,193,784 of record NC_000008.11, read on the forward strand.
CACATAGGAAGTGACGTCAAGAGTTAATTATTTAGCTCAAGGGAGAGGGAAGTGACTTGCTATCACAGTTTTAACGTCTCTCTGGGCCTGATGACTTAAAGGGGCTCACATTCCTCAGATTACAACTTTTTTCTCAGAACACATGGTAGTCACTCAGTCAGTAATGAATGTAGCAGTGAGCACATTCTCTGAAGAATGATTATAGATCCTAACACCAACTTCAGCCTTTCCCACAGTGCTTCTTACAAGTGAGCAAACAGCCTCCTGCTACAAACCTCCGTCCAGACGTAAGCACCTTTTTCTGGGCCTTGTGCTTGTTTTCCTCTACCTCTTACCATCATGAATTTATGGATGAGTGCAACTGTGGACCCTAATAACTCTGAGAGGGAAGGGTCCTGAATTAATATTCATCTGCCTACTCCCAGTAGCTAATGTCATGCATGCTTGGAGCGTAGTAAATATTCAATCAATGTTTATTGAACAAATAGAAACAACAGAACTGTGACCCACAGCAGAAAAGTGAGGATTAAAATCAGTTCCACATGTACATATGAGGAATGGCTGCTACCTCCATGACTCCAAAATCTTTTATTTTTGTCCACTTACTGAAAATTGAGGTCAACATAACTTTCAGACTACATCTGCTTCCTATCACTCTGTTCCATGAGAAATGGAAACAAAGTTATAAGCAAAGCAAAGTGAAAACACTGTGAGGTCGTATCCCTGTTGTCAGTTCCTAGGAAAAGAGACAATGTCATATTTTATTGTCTCTAAACCAGAACAATGATGAAAAATAATTCCCCATCTTCATAACAGTAATATTCAGATACTAAGGCTGCAGTGGCATAGATTTTTGTTGGAAGATACATTTTGGGGAGAATTTGGCAACACATAGAATTGCTACAATCCATGTCTTTTAACGCCATCTTGGCACTATCCTAATTCTCTTTTCAGATGTTCCACTAGGATGGGTGAGAGTGAGGATGTCTTCCTGCTGTGGACAGTTTTTCTTTTCCTTATAAATTTAACAAATACTGTGCCAGTGTGTAGTTTGTTCTCATCTCCACAGAGATAGGACACTAAGAGGAATGCTTTGCTTGACACAAATTCAAGGACACCCACTATGCAAGGAGAAATCATGCATCACAAGAAAAGGAAATGTTAGATTTTGCATAACATTGTTCAGTTACCTTAAGACGTGTTCAGTTTAAACTCCTTCTGTGAACACTGCAGTCTTGAGAGAGTAAATGACAAAGAGACAAGAGGATAGACACATGCCAGGCAGTAAAATCTTACTCAGAATATCAGGGACAGTGCATTTTGCAAAAGCTGCAGCAGCTTGGGCATTCTTACGGCATGTGGAATGGATAAAAGGTGTGCAAAATCCTGAGCAATCTTTCAATTTTCTATCGAATGATATAGCATTTTGCTTTTCTTTTCAGTAAAATTTAACAACTTAGTGTGACATTAAAATTGTTTCCTTTATAACTTCTATAGTGTCATTTTTTTATTTTATGCCATACAATCTCTTTATAAGTAAATCTGTAATTTAAAAATAGAAATCTCCTTTCAACATGCTGACAATTAAGCCCTAATAGACAGACAGTTCTATCAAGTCCTGCCTGACATCAAATTTGGCTCTCTAGGAGGTCCTGGGAGATTTTGCCCAAAGACATTTTCTCCAGATGTGTCTCTGCAATTTAGGTTTGAGTTTACACATGCTCATGTTCATATTTTAGGCAAACAAAATCTCAGTAATGTTTTATTGATCTTACTTCAAAAAAATGAGAGCTTAATTGGAGGAAAGAGATTGTTCCATCTGGATATTTTTGATAAGGTAGACCCTTAGGGAAGATCATTAGGCCCTAATTGGGAAAAGAAATTGGTCCTACTGCTGTCCCCTCAAGCTATTTCTTCCGCTTATCTTAACAAGAAAGGCCTAGTGGGGCTCTGTGTGCAGGCATAAAGCAGGCCTGGATTTTATGGAATCACATGGAAACTGAGTGACCAATGAGACGCTGTTGCTGGGGAGAGATTGTAATATATGCTAATGAAATCTGAGTTGATATTTAGTTTTTTAAAGAAAGAGGAAGAAAAGAATCTCTCTCTCTCTCTCTTTCCCTCTCTTTTCTCTTTTTCTCTTTCTTAATCTCTATCATGGGCTTTTGATATTAGATACTCTATGCTTATATCAAAATTACTTTTGCCTTTTGTTTATCCAGACCTTGTTTATCAACTGTCCTCACTGTCATACACTTCAGACATTTTTTTTTCTTTTTTGCTACTCTATCAGCTTTTCTTTCTACCAATAAAATCACCATCTCTCATTCTATCATTGATACATTGCTGGTGATTTTGTTAATGTTAAATCTTAAGATAATAAATTTCACACCAAGTATCAAGTGTTCAAGGTGATAGGGAAGAGTGTGGGGGTCTACATTAGGACAGAGGCCTGGGAGAAAATCTGGACAGGCTCCCAGGGGCTAAAATGCCTGATATCATGTCTGCCTACAGGGTCACTCACTTTTGCAGGATTTCAACTAATGGCAGTCAACAGAAATTCTTAAAACATGCCAAGTTGCGCAACATTCTCAAAATCATACAATGCCTATTGCTCAATAATTATTTGCTGAGGATAAATGAGTGAGAAAATAGTATTTTCTTCTTTGGGAAAAATAACATAGTATAGGCCTTTTACTGCAGTCCAATAATGAGTAAAATGAATCATAAATTTATGAGCCTCAATGATTAAGGAAAATACTCCCAACCAATCTCCCACATGTGTTCATAAACCCCATATCACATTAAGATAGTGTTTCCTATTTTTCATCCTTTATTTCTATGAGTGATACTAAATCTTTAATAAAATTAAGTATTAAATGATAGATTTTTCGTTGAATTTTATCTTGTTTAAAATTCTCTCCATGATACAGAACTCCCTTTGGAAAAAAAGGCAATGTCATTTCCTCTAATTTCTTGTCTGTGCTTCGAATTATTTTAAATTGTTGTTATATATTTGTAGAAACAGATACACATAATACAGATCAAATAATGCCCAAAATATAAATTCTCAATTTTATTAATATTTACTTCAAATTAACTCCATTTCTAAGCCAAGAGACTGAAGAAAAACAAGTAAAGTTTGTTGCTGAGGGTAAAGCACAATTAGTTCTGTCTGTTATTCCACGGCGTTGGTAGATACCTTTGTCTTTCCAAACAATGCCTCTGGTCCCTGAACACAGTCAGTAAGATCTTGTGATATGCCTGCCCTTCTCAAGCCAGGAGGGCTTGAGATGGGCTTATGTTCAATTCCATTAAAATTATTTTCTTATTTACCACACATCCTTGCTCCTGTGGGATCAGAGTGTACAAGCCTGGCTCCCATCTGCCTAAGATGGGATCAAACACTGAGGTGTGGACTGACTTCCTTTAACTTCAGAGTAAGTATCCACAATGTAGGAGCATCAAGTCTGCAAATAATAATAATAAAGAAGTTTTGGGCTATCATCTGTCCTAAGAGTGATTTCATATTTTATTTGCCAGACTTTTGACTCTGCATTTGGTTCTGAGCGGTCCTGGAAGTGTGTTGGATGTTTATGAAATGCCCCGATATATTTGCAATTTGCATTTGCCAACTCTATTTGGAAATCAATATATAAGAGTAGAGAAAAAAGTAAAGGCAACTATAATGTTGCCAAATGTGACTCTTTTTCCATGGTCTTTTTTTTCTTGAAAATGATTGTTTTGATATGAAATGATGACATGAATTTGCAGGAAAATAAGAACCATCTTTGCTATGGCTTATTTCCTAGGGTATGTGTAACAGATTATTTCTATCATTGTCAATGCTTTGCCAGTGTTTGCTATTGCCAAAAATCTCAGAACTTTACATTCCATTTTTGTAAGTGTGTCCAGTATTTCTGGCTGTGGCAGAATGATGAATGAATGATGAATGAAATTTTGCCATCATTTCTTAAGCCCCACCTCACCCTGTACCTGGCTCCATACCAAAGATTCAAGCCATTTCTCTCACTTCTATTCATTCTCTGACTTATGTTGTTCTCTGGCTGGTTTTCTATACATCCCATACACTGGCCTGAATTATACTGTTCCCAACCTGGAAATTCTTTAGTTCTTGCCCTTATCCAATCCATTTTTTTCATTCATCTTTTGTCTCACCATCTAGTTTGCAAATCACTTGAGAGCAATGACCATCTTGTACCTTTTTTGCATTCTTCATGATATCCTGCACACTAGGCACAATGCATGCACTCGCACTCACATAGTCATATATTGGTTAGAAGCTGTGTGTGTGTGTGTATAATGTGTGTTTATATATGTACTTATACATATGTACCCATTATCTTATATAATGGGTATATATGTGTACATTATGTGTGTATATATAATGTATGTTATATATATACATTTTATGTTGTATGTGTATAAAATTTTATGTCTATAATCTTATAAAAATATAAATATATAAATATAATTATAAATATATGTATATATGTATAAACAATATACAGTTTACCCTTGAACAACATAGATTTAAACTATGTGGGCCCACTTACACGTGAATTTTCTTCTGCCTCTGCCACCTATAAGACAGTAAGACCAATCCCTTATCTTTCTCCTCTTCCTTAGCCAGACTATTCAATGAAAAGATAAAGATGATGAAGACCTTTATGATAATCCACTTCCACCTAACGAATAGTAAGTATATTTTCTCTTCCATATGATGCTCTTAGTAACATTTTCTTTACTCTAGCTTTCTTTATTGTAAAAATATAATATATAATAAATACAACATACAAACTATGTGTTAATTGACTCTGTTATTGCTATACCTTCCAGTCATCAATAAGCTGTTAGTAGTTAAGTTTTGGGGGAGTCAAAAGTTTTATGTGGATTTTTGACTACTGGGGGAGTCAGTGCTCTTAACTCCCTAATTGTTCAAGGGTTAACTGTAAATAATATATATCATTAATATGCACTCAACATAATGTTGCACTCTACTAGATAGTCTGTTTGGGCTGCTATAACAAAATACCACAGACTGGGTGGCTTATAAACAACAGAAATTTATTTCTCACAGTTCTGAAGGCTTGAAGTCAAAGATCAAGGAACCAGAACATTCAGTATCTGGGTGAGAACCTGCTTCTTCATAGACAGCCATGGTCTGACTATGTCCTCACATGGTAGAAGGGATGAGGGATCTCTCTGGGGTCTCTGTTATAAGGACACTGACCCCATTCATGAGGGCTTTATCCCCATCACCTAATCATCTCCTAGCACCCCTGCCTCTTAATACTATCACCTTGTGGGGTGAATTTCAACATATGAATCTGGGGGGAACACAACCATTCAGTCCATTGCATGGATACTATAATGGCATGAGAAACCAGTACATCTTCCCTTCCTGTTTTACGGGCATTTATACTCTAAGATAATGATGACAATTACAAAATTATTATCTTCCTAATTATTTCATGTATTACATGCATATTATATGAGCTAATCTCTACATATATTATCTTATTTGATCTTTATGACAGTCTTGCAAGATAAATACTGTCATTGCCATTTTAGAAGTGAAGACACTAAGTCTCAGAGAAGTTAAACAACTTTCTCAGGGTTACAGAGTGGGTAAATAACAAAGAGAAACAGGAATTCAGGTCATCTTTCTGTAACAAGAACCAGTGGAATATGTTCTTTCTCTTGCTGGTCTTGTTTTACCTGGTTTTAGGAAATAAGGTGAGGAATGCCACTCACTATTCTCCTCATTATGAGTGCCTTCATTCTCATGTTTCCAGGTACTCACAGCCACCCTACGCTGCCCAGGGGCCTCCTCTACAATGCTCAGAAAAGTGCTCTTCCCATCCTTAGGGAAAACCATTATCCTTCTTCTGACTCTGATCTCATTTTAACTTGTTTCTCTAGTTATCCTCAGTATCTTCCTAGATGACAGCCTTGCTAGGTGACAGGTAGGCTGATGTTCACACTTTACTAATGGATAATTATGGCTTAATATTTGTCATTCTTTCTAGAAAAGTGTATGTATTGCAAGTGGGTTCCAAGAATTATAATTTTTATCCCAAATGAATGAAATTCTAATAATAAGAATATCAAAGTTAATGGAAGGTTTGGAAGCCTTAAGCCTTTCAACAGTGCCCTTCAAATCACATTATAAAAGCAATAGCCTGTGCACAAGATTGAAGGACATTTGACTCCAACTTTCATTGTTTTTGCCTAATCTTTTCCTTGAAGTAAAATACAACAGGCTAAAATTGTGGTGGATACTACTGGCCCTACTTGCAGCCTTCTTTGTATTATTTTGCTCATTGCAGTAACCTGAAATTTTAAGACATTCATTCCAAGTGCCTTATGTCAGAATTAAATGACTTGATCTCAGAAACGTAACCTCCATAAAAACAGGGATTTTGTCTCATGCTCACTGCTATGGAACCCAGGTTGAGAGCAATTCCTGACAGAGCAGTCTCTCAGGAAACATTTATGAAGTTAGTTAATGAAATTAGCATATATCACAGCAATTATTCATAAGGATAATCATGGAAACTAACATTTATTGTGCTAACTATATGATAGGTATTTTTATGAGCCCTCTGCATACATTAATTTAATACTTAGAACACTATTCTTATACTCATTATATAGATGAGGAAACCAAGCCACCAAGATGTGAAATAGTTTACCTAGTCAAGTAACTAGTCAGTTCTGGATTTGATCATCATATAAAAAGATCATTTGTGATTAGAATAACAAACAAAAATAAACACTACCAGACTCAGAGCCTGATGATTCCCATATTATGTTAATGTCTGTGATTTGAATTTGCTGAGCAATCGCATCTGATTTTCTTTGTACCTCCAATTATAGTTTGTATGGTGCTATCTAGGTCAAATCAAGTATCGTTTGCCACAAATATAATTTTATTAGCTCTCTATTGTACATTAGGTGCTCAATCCTCCTCATATTTATTTGATAAATATGGATGCTTTTGTCTTTGGGAAATATGTACTCTGAGTTAGCATTAAGGAAATACAGAGTGACCCTGCCTTGGCTTATTGGGCCAGGTCAGGAATTGAAGGGTACCAGATGGCTGCAGGATCTTGCAGCATGCAGCTCTGTTGCTAGGAGACTGTATTGATCTTTTCTAGCCCCTTTGCAGATGACCCCATCTACTTTACAGTAATTGATTGCCATCATTTACAGCAGTAGGTAGTTAGCAGCTTTGCCTTGTCTTCAATATTTATAACGTTAAAAATACTAACCATTTAAGCATAAAATGCTGTACAGAATTTTATTTTTATCCTATAGCATCCTGTGATTAGGAATGCTTCCTCATTTAGTGTGTCTAATTTTGGATATGGTTAAATGGATATATAATTTCCTACCTTCATATGAGCACAGTATGATTATTAAAACTAATTTGCTTACATTAATCAAAGTCAGTTTGTTCCTTACTAATAAAAAACAATTTCTTTGTATCTGCCTTGCCCGCTTCTTTGTCCTGGGCACAAAATTCCAGCTAGAATAGCCTTTCTCAAGATGATTCTATTTCAAACATTAAATCATCTTACTTATGGAAAATAACAGAAGACATTATCACACCACAGTGCTTTAATGCCTGGCCCCTAAAGGTCAATTTGGACAGGGCAGTCAATGACTTGACAGCTAGTCCAATGAGAATGCTGAATTTCCTCTCTCACCCTGCTGGTCCAGGGTAACACAGCACTAAATTACAATGCTGTGTTAGTAACTCAGATGGAAGCCTTTACACAAGTCAGGTTTTGTGTTAAATCTCCCAATGATTAAGTGTCTGATATAAATATATTATAGTTCTGTCTTATATTTCAGGGTAAATTAAAAGAACCAAATGAGATAGGCTTGAAAAAGGGGAGCATTTAATTAGACCTGTGGAAGACTCCATGTAAATGCATACCGTGGCAGTCTTTACTTTTCCCGTCTTCTCAGAGAGAGAGCCTTTGAGATCCCAACATCTCATAAGCTTTGACTTCTTTGAGGTTTCTGGGAGAAATGGACATGTGATGGGAGCTTTTGTAAAAATAATGGTAATAGACCCTGGATACTTACTGTGTGCCAGTCATTAATCTCAGTTTAGATAGATAGATAGATAGAGGATAGATAGATAGATAGATAATAGATAGATAGATAGATAGATAGATATAGAAATGATAGCTATCTAGAGAGAAAGATAGCCACTACTTTACTTACCCATCATATCCCTATTAAGTAGATATTATTATTTTAAATCAGATGAGGAAATTGAAGCATAGATGTTTCAAGTGATTTGCCAAGGTCAATGCAACTAGAAAGGGATGAGTGAAGCCAGGATTCAACCCCAGGCAGTTTGAGGGCAGATTCAGAACTCCTAACCACTATCAAGCTTCACCCTGCTGGAATGGTGACTCATGTCTGTCTAGATCTGACCCTACAGCTCAAAATCTTTTTAGCAAAGCTCCTAGTTAATCATCAAAGAACTCCAGAGATTCTCATCACTCAACTCAATATCAGCTTCTTGATCCATTGCTGACAGCAGCCTCCATCAAATATTTTGCTAATCCCAAAACACAGCTCTGAGGACTGAATCAGGCCAGCAACACTTTGTGCATCAGGCCTCTTGAAGGTGAGGTGGGAACCAGTTTCCAAGTCACTACCATATATCAGGATTGTCGTCCCCCCAATATTCATTCACTGTGTGTGAATAACGACTGTACTGACTTACATTCCCACATATTCTTTCATATTAAGAAATTAATTATAGTAGGTACAGTCTTTACAGCTTCCTAAATTCCCCCTAATCCACTCCCATAAAAATGTAGAGATGAATAACATCTGTAAGGCATAAAGAGAAATGTTGGGATTACAATATATATCATCCCATTTTGGGGGATAGGGCAACAAAGAACATACTCTTAAGAATATAGTTCACTTTCAAATTTTGTCAATGTAATTTTATTCTAAAAAAAGCTAATTCAATTATTTACTATTTTTCAAGCTTCTAAAACATTATTCTTTGAAACTTGTGTCATCATAAAAAATTTAAAATATTTTAGAATTTGTTTTCTTTTGATCCCTTTTTTTGCTGAAGTATAATGTCTTAGACAATTTTGAGTCTGTTCTCTAAATAAATGAAACTACATAAAATATGAAGGTAAAAAGGAATAAAAGGAAAAGTGTAAATATCTCAAAAAACGTATTACTAGATTATAACAATAGTAGCTAACATGTATTGAAGGCATACTCTATGCCAGGCACTATTGTAAGTACTTTCCCTTTATAATTTTATTTCATGTTCACAACAACTACCACCCTATGAGATATGTGCTATTATTATCTCCTTTTTAGCTGATAAAGAGACAGAGGCACAGGGAGATAAAGCAACTTGTCAAAGGATACACAACAATTAATTGTCAAAGATAGGTTTTGATTCTGGGCAATAAGGCTGCAGAGACCATATTCTTAAGCACAATGTTGATATTCATTTTAACTATTAGAAAACTTTCAGTCCAGTCTACAGCTCCCAGCATGAGCGACGCAGAAGACGGGTGATTTCTGCATTTCCAACTGAGGTACCGGGTTCATCTCACTGGGGAGTGCCGGACAGTGGGTGCAGTGCACCATGCGTGAGCCGAAGCAGGGCGAGGCTGTAAACTAGTTCAACCATTGTGGAAGTCAGTGTGGCGATTCCTCAGGGATCTAGAACTAGAAATACCATTTGACCCAGCCATCCCTTTACTGGGTATATACCCAAAGGAGTATAAATCATGCTGCTATAAAGACACATGCACACGTATGTTTATTGCAGCACTATTCACGATAGCAAAGACTTGGAACCAACCCAAATGTCCAACAATGATAGACTGGATTAAGAAAATGTGGCACATATACACCATGGAATACTATGCAGCCATAAAAAATGATGAGTTCATGTCCTTTGTAGGGACATGGATGAAGCTGGAAACCATCATTCTCAGCAAACTATCACAAGGACAAAAAACCAAACACCGCATGTTCTCACTCATATGTGGGAATTGAACAATGAGAACACATGGACACAGGAAGGGGAACGTCACACACCGGGGACTGTTGTGGGGTGGGGGAAGAGGGGAGGGATAGCATTAGGAGATATACCTAATGCTAAATGATGAGTTAATGGGTGCAGCACCCCAGCATGGCACATGTATACATATGTAACAAACCTGCATGTTGTGCACATGTACCCTAAAACTTAAAGTACAATGATAATAAAATTAAAAAAAAAGAGAATAGGAGAGCCTCAAAATAGCCAGCAGATATTACTGGAAATCTTGGCAAGCCAATTTGAGAATAGGGGATGACACTGGGACAGTTTTGCTCAATCTAATATCTTGTGTGTACAAAGGGCATAAGTAAATACCTAAAAGAGCTGGAGCAGTCTAGCCACTGTGCACACTGGAAACTGACCAGCCAGGTGTGTCTTTTAGGATGGGGACTTACACCGAGGAGAAACTGGTGACAGTGGGATCAAAATGAAGCAGGTCAGGCATGGTGGGTGGTGCCTGTAATCCTGGCTAAGGAGGGAGAATTGCTTAAAGTGAGGAGTTTGAGACCAGCCTGAGAAGCATAGTAATACCCAGTCTCTAAAAAAATTAAAAGAAATAAAAATAGCCAGACATAGTGGCACATGCCTACAGTCCCATCTACCCAGGGGCTGAAGTGAGAGAATCTCTTGAGCCCAGGGTTTTGAGGCTGCAATGAGCTATGACTGCACTACTGTAGACAACAGAGTAAGACCCCTTCTTTAAAAAATAAATAAATACAATTTTTTAAAAGTTAAGCAAGATATGGACCAAAAAAAAGACAAAGGAAAGAAATGGTCTTGATCTAGAAAATTAGCGAGAAATCTCAGAAATCAAGCTGTCATGCTTCTTGGCACAACATAAAAATAAGCAAACAAACAAAAGGAGAACAGGGAGTTCTATAAAGTTGCACAGCTATCTGAACCAAGGCTCCTTCTAACATTCTCAAAAAACTAAATTAACATGAAAATGAGCAGCAGGAATGTATTGAAGTCTATATCTTAGATAGTTACTCTAAGAGAAAAGATAAATAAGAAACAATAACATCCTTATAGTTCAGGTCTGCCCAATAGAACTTTTCCTGGTGATGGAAATATTCTATATCTGTGCCATCCAACATAGTGGCTCCTAGACACATGTGAACATGTGACTATCGACTAATGAGCCCAGGGAACCAAATTTTAACTTTATTAAATTCTAACTAATTAAAATGTAAATAGCTATGTGAGGCTAGTTGGTACTATATTGTATAGCACAACTATAGAAAAGAAAAGCATGCCAGAAAAAAAATTTCAAAAAGCAATCAAAACTGTAACATAATACTTCAAAATGACTTAAAGTCATTAAGAAAGTAATATAATATGACAGTAACATAAACCAAAATTAGAATAATTGACTGAGGTAACACTCAAGAAATAATTAGAAATTAAGAAAATTATTTTAGAAGTGAAGACTTAAAAGAAAACGAGTAAATAACTACTTTGAAATAAATAGAAGAAAAAAGGAGAAAAAAATTAAACATCAAAAACAAATGAAGAAAGAGATGAAAATGATGTGGGAAAAGAGAGAAATATTGAAGTAGTTAAGAAGACCCAACATATGGATAATAGGAATACCTGAAGAAGAAAACCAGTATTGATAAGCACTAAAACAAATTCTCAAGAATATAATTCAAAAACAAATTTCTGAAATAAAAAAGACTTGAAAATACATATTGAAAATGTACAATATACACTTGAAAATATAAACCCAGAATAACCAAAAGCAATAAATAAATATTCTTGTAAAAGAACAGGAATTTAAGGAAAAAATTCTTTTGGAATCTAGACTAAAGAACATATGACTTACATAATAGATTGGATTATTAGTTTGTCATTAGAATTTTCAACAACAGTTTATCCCAAAAGAAAACTGAATAGCCGATTTAAAACACTCAAGAAAAAAAGTGCACCAAATATTTTATATTCAGAAAAACTAACATTCAAATATACAGGAGACAGACAGCAAGTGATAACAGTTCAGTTTCTATTCTCCTCATGAGTACTTCTCAAGGAATCTACTACAGAACAAGCTTCAAACAACCAAGATCAGTAAAGACTGGTGAAAAACATTAAGTGACTTATAGCATGTAGCAACTTATAGAATTAAGTGAGGATTAAACGGGAGAAATTATAGTATGTAATGGCTATGTGATCTAATAATATAAATCCAGTACAACTATTAAAAACTGTGGGGAGTACGGGACTAACATATATAAAACAAATAATAAACTGTTTTCAGTTTTTTAGGAAAAAAAAGAAAACTTTCATTAAGTTAACCTATCACAGCAAAATCTTCATTGTCATATGTTTTTGTGAACCAGCAATTAATGGCTTATTAACATAGTGCCTTTATTAGAATTTTTCTATTGGCTCAATTTTTATTAAAAAATGAAATTTTATTTATATCTCCAACTGAGAGAATGAATTTCCTTAGCAAAATTTGAGTTAAATCTGTATAGCACCTATTAAGATAAATATTCTTTTTACCTCACACAGTTACTCTAGGGTCACTATAATACAACCAGATAGTAGGGGTGTGTGTGTGTGTGTGTGTGTGTGTGTGTGTGTTATAAAGTTATATGTAGTATAACTCTATATATGGAAAGAAAGAGAGAAAGATACAGAAAGAGAGAGAGACAGAGAGTGAGTGTGTTTGCATATGTGTGTGTATGTTTTTATGTGGCCATATACCTGAGGAAAGATTGAAGTCTGTGCCCCTTTCAAGGCCCAGAAGCTGAATCATTTTTTTTTTTTTTTTTTTTTTTTTTTTTTGAGACCAAGTCTCGCTGTCACCCAGGTTGGAGTGCAGTGGCACGATCTTGGCTCACTGCAGGCTCCGCCCCCTGGGGTTCACACCATTCTCCTGCCTCAGCCTCCCGAGTAGCTGGGAGTACAGGCGCCCGCCACCTCACCTGGCTAATTTTTTGTATTTTTAGTAGAGATGGGGTTTCACCGTGTTAGCCAGGATGGTCTCGATCTCCTGACCTCGTGATCCGCCCGCCTCGGCCTCCCAAAGTGCTGGGATTACAGGCGTGAGCCACCGCGCCCGGCCCTGAATCTTAACTAAAACAAATTATGCTAATTACATTCCTTTATTCCCTTTGTCAGTGATTAGTTTCCAGGTGGCATTCAGCACATGCATGGCCAATGAGACATGTTGGAGAAGTCAGATGATTATGTTACTGGGAAAGTTCTCCTTGTTCCATGCAATTAACCAATTCTGGAACCATAAACCATGCTACCTCTAAATAGGGTGCTATGTGTGATAAATTTTTCTTATTTCTTTAAGCCAGTTTGATCAGGTTTCCCATTGTTTAAACAACGTATCCCTTCACAGAATAAGTCCAAAAAAGATGATATAGACTCTCCCTGATATAATTTTGCATTTTGGTGACATTGCTTGAAATTAACATTGAAGAAATTGTCAAAAATGTAAGTTGCTAAACTGTCATTACATTTACAGGTTTTATGAATGGGCCCAAACTGCGTTATTTATTCAAGGAAGTAGGTTTTATCCCAGAAGGCAGAAAGTTATATCAGAAAGAGCACTGGAAAGAAAGTAAGGATATCTAGGGTCCAGTCTTAAATAAAGCATTTGATGGCTATATAATTTGGGAAAGTCATTTAATGCCCTTGTACCTTAGATTCTTCATGAATAAAATGAAGAAAATGGGATCATGAAATCCTTAAACTCCATCCCAGTTTCAATAACTTATAACCCTTCTATATCTCTACGGTACAGGTGTGTGCTCAGTAAACATTTATGTGGAAGCAACTGAATTGAGACAAGTATTTTTTAAATAAGCGTTTTATTTTAGAATTATTTATAATTTATAGAAAAATTAGAAATATACTACAGACACTTCCTGTACCTACTTTCCCCTTCTATTAATATCTTAAATTAGTATAATACATTTGTCACAGTTAATGAGCCAATATTGATACAGGGTTATTAACTAAAGTCTGTGCTTTATTCAGATTTACTTGGTTTTAACCTAATGTCCTTTCTCTGTTCTAGGATCCCATCCAGGATAGCATATTATATTTAATTATCATATCTCTTTAGGTTCCTCTTGGCTATGACAGTTTTTCACACTTTTTTGTTTCATGACCTTGACAGTTTTGAGATGTACTGGCCAAGTATTCTGTAGACTATCTCTCAATTGAGATTTGCCAAAGTTGTTTTTATTATTAGACTAGGGTTATGAGTTTTGGGAAGGAAGACCACAGAGGTAAAGAGCTCTTCTCATCACATCATCCCAAGGGTACATACCATCAACATGACTTACAACCGTTGATGTGGACCCTGATCACCTGGCTGAGGTAATGAGACTTGAACCTCTTTTTATTAAGGAATTATTTTATGCCTTCTGTATATCACGTAATATGCTAGATGTTGAATAAGTAAAGATGATCCCTGTCTTCACTGAGTACTGCTAAATAAGGACATGTAGCCAAATAATTTTACATTTAAGCATGTATATATCTATGTTCATATCTATATCTAAAATAAGACTACCTAATTTAAATTGGTGGGTCCAAAAAAGCCTTTCTAGGAAATGTCATTCAAGTAGAAACACAAGTCAGAGTAAAAGGCCAAAGGGATTTGCAAAAAGCATTTAAGATAGAATTGCATATCAAGGCATCCTGCTGAGTTCATTGGGAAAGAGAGAGAGAAGCAGGGAACAACCTAAAGTGATGAAATGAAGCAGGACAGCACCCAGGAGAGCCTTAATATTTCCTTGAACTTGATTAAATTTTAGACAGATTTCTTCCTGACTATAGGCCCCTGATCTTCCTTTTCTTAGAATACTTACCTTAGAAAACTTATAATTAAAAATTTTGGGGAGACCCTTTGAAATGCAAATCTTCAACCACTCAGAAAAGTCCTTCTCAAGGATCTCAGAGCCATCCCTTTGAAATGCAATCATTGAAGGAGATAGTGCACCTATTTCCCAGTCTCTGTGAGAAGCTAGGAGCCTAAAACAAATAAGGACCATTACCAAGCAGGGATGGCCTAATCACATTAACCAACCTCCTCCCTAATGTCCTTCAGTACTTTTCCACTAGATTACTCCAGTGCTTAAAACTCTACCGCCTTTTGTTTCAACTGAGTTGAGTTCAATCTCTCTCCCCTATTGCAATAGCCTTGAATAAAAATCTCCTTGCCTATTTAACTGTTCTGGTGGACATTTTCTTTTATGAGAATTAGGCAGGGGTCAAACCATTCACTATTTCAAAGGACATGTTAAAAACATTGGATCTCAACATATAAATAATGACAGGAAGTCATTAAAGCATTTGGAGCAAGTGAGTGACACATGATTAGCCTATTAAGAAAAATCCCCATTGTTTTACTTTGAACATTGTAATGTTCAAAGTAAATGTTCAAACGTAGTAGGCATAATAGCTAGTTTTAGACAAGGCTTCTGCCCAAGCAGACCTAGAAGAGGTGGAAAAAATGTTTTAAAAACCTATCTGAAGGCATCAGAGAGTTAGAAATCCCATGAGGACTTAAGGGTCAAACTCTCTAAAAGAAAAGAGAAGCCAACGTTGGCCATCACTTTTTTCTTGTAAACCATTTGAGTAATCTATATTGGTGACTGAGTGGCTGAGAAGTTGAGTGGAATTTTCAAAAGTCTCATGTGGTATGGTTGCCCCCAATACTTCTGTCCTTCTCTGTACACACATAAGTTGGTTATTGTCCCTCCTTTTGAATCTGCTCTATATCTGTAAGTGCTTTGAACAATGGAATGCAGAAGTAATATTCTATATATGAAAGAATGGTCACAGCTGCATTATTCATAGTAGTCCACAATTGATACAGCTCAAATGTTTATCAGCATTAAAACAGGACAAATAAATTGTAATATATTCATAAAATAAAATATTAGAAACAATGAAAATAAACTACTACATGTAACACTATGTATGAATCAGACATAATGTTGAGTTAAGATAAGCAAATCTAATCTGTTAAGAGTCACTAGATAGCAGAGGTGGGAATGTCATGCCTGGAAGGTGTCTGGGGAGTACTTCTGTAATCCTAGTAATGTTCTATTTCTTTATCTGGGTGGTATTTATATGAGTGTGTTCACTTTGTAACAATTTATTGAGCAGCTTTCTATATATTGTAATCTAATTATGTTTATTCCAAAAATGGTTTCAGATTGAACCGAAATGTGACTCTTTCTTAGCTATGGCTAATGGTTTTTATCAATATGTTAGGGAGCAGGAAGAGAAATTGGAATCTTATGAAAGACACAAGTTCTAACTATATGCTTCAGTATATATGCAATAAAAATTGGGTTTATCTTAAAACAGTCTATTGTGTGATCTAATTTGTGCCAATGTCAAAAATTGTGCTTCTGTTCTTTTTCCTGGTTTATTGGTCATTTTCTTTAACCTTTCTGAGTCCATATTACGAGAAGGTTTATGTATATGTATGTGTATATACATATATATACACATATGTATACATATATACACATACACACACACACACACACACACACACACACACACACACACATATATATATATATATACAGTTTTCTTTATGGTCAAACCTCAGCTCCCTTTCCTTATCACTTACTATTCTCACTCTATTTCAGTAAATGGATTGTCTTCATGGCCAAAATAGTTCAGGTGAAAATGCTCAATTGTGTTATCCTTCAGCACATTTGTTTTCTAATTTACATTTTTCCCACTGGGCTTATGTCTTCAAATGTCATGCTCTAAAATGATGACTTTCAACCTGAGGCATGAAGCTTCTTCTTTTTCTCAAAAGAAACAACCTTTTCTGCCTATCAAACATAAATATCAGAGAGAAATGGAATTGTTTGTGAAGCTATTTCAACAGGTTCAGGGAGTTTCCTTCTCACCTATTCACTTAGAGCCATTAAACCTGACAGCTTCCAGCCTTCAAATGATTCCTGTGGCGCTAAAAGTCTGCATGTATTTCATGCCATCCAGCTAAGTTATAATGGCTATGCTTGGCTATTTCCTCTCCAGAGAGATCCTGTGTAGCCCCCTCTTAATGATAACTGGGTATTTTTCCGATATTTATTCTTTCACTGAGCTTCTGAACACATTTCTATATGATTTGTTGCCATTTCAAAAAAAAATTAGTGACATTCAGATTTTTACTCTTGGTTTTATCATGCAGTAGATTTTTACTATACTGTGCTAAAGCATAAAGATACACAGCCAAAGGTCCACAACCACTGAACACCACTGATTTATTTAGAGATTATTTTTTAGGAAGAGCTACGCAAAGCATTAATATAACAGTTTGGAATCAACTTTTCAATCACATAGACACACAACCCTGTAGGAAGATAAAATAGCACATGAATTAATCCATGAAGAAATACAGAATTCTCAAACTAAATGACCTTAAAAATCCAACTTAAATCTGCCATTTTATAGCTGAGTCAACTGAAGACTAGAATGCTAAATGGCTTCCTAAGTCCTTCCAGCTAGTAAGGACAGGTGAGACCAGCACTAAAAGCCAGGCATGCTACGTACACACAACATGCATGTTATAAACAAACACTAAAACACAACAATAAAACCAGTTGTAAAACTTGGTTAATTCTCATTATCTAACCCACTTGACATCAGTCCATTCAATTTTTATCATAGACTAATTTGACTGGTTTATTAGGCAACCTCAATTTTTCTCAACAGGTGATATTAACCACTCTGCCCTCAGCTTAGAATGAAAAACCAGAGTGACCTTCTCAGTAGTGGATTTCAGGAAGCAAGTGATCTTTATGAATATCTTTATTTCAACTTATTTTAAAAGGTTTGGAAATAACAGAGGCCAAATTATTCTGAATGGAAATAAGATGGAAATTGGCCAAACTGGAAAAACTATAATATAACAAAGAAAGAAAAGGACAGTCAAATAGGAAAGGAAAGAAGAAAAAAAAACATAAAAGAAAAAACAAAAGGATTGTCAACGAATAGTTGTAAAATGAAAGAAAAGATAGAGAAGGGGAGAAAAACAAAATCCAAATTGGCCCACTGCAAAGAGATAAGGCAAATTAGTATATGAAATAGTTACACTGAGAATGGCAATGTCTTATTACAGATGTCTCTTTGAGGCCAACCCTGAAGCACAGGTACAATGTGATATATGATCTACCGATATTAGATATACTAACTCTAGAATTACAGATAAACCTTACTACCATGGGAAATGAACGTAAAAATTAAGTTTTGCATATGTAAACATGCCACCCCAAGGAAACTTTTCTTCTCTTATTCAGCAAAGTCTCTCTCTCTCTCTCTCTCTCTCTCTCTCTCACACACACACACACACACACCAGTAAAATCTAGTTTTATTTTAAATGAAATGTTACTTTTGTTTGACATTTTGACTACTCTGTGGGTCAACATGTCAACAAAACTATCTCCTTTTGAATGTTGAAATAATACTGAATAATGGGGAAAGTAAATAGTCACGTGAATAGCAAACATGTTTATAATTGAGACTGATATGTTAGCAGGGAATCCCACATGGATTGAAATGATTAGGCACAGGAATGATGGTGAATACTTTCCAAATTTAATAATCCCAATACAGGTGTATTAATATTTAGAAGGCAATAAAACCTAGTATAAAGTTGAACAGGAGAAGAAAAGGATAATAGCATTCTTCAAGAATGAGTTGACTGACTAGACCTTTAATAATAAATTTCAGATGTGGCCGAGATTTCTGACTCGCAAAAAGAAATCATTGGAAAAATAAAATATTCATTTAATGAATTATTTGCGTACACATTTCAAGCAACATTTTTGTGTGTTATTTTAATTTAATAAATGAACTGAGGCTATAAACCCACTATTTGGTCATTATGCATGCAAACACAACAACTCTTTCCTTTCCCCCTTATAATCGAGGGAAACAAATTTGAATTAATCATATTCCATGGTTCATAATTCACTATGATTATTTATCTGTGGAATTGTCTGCTTTTATTCATTCATTTATTCACTTACTTTTAATACAATAAGAAATACCCCCAAATCTATCAATCAGCCAGAACTAAAATATTTGTGATAACTATTCACATACTCCTCTCTCATTTCCTTCTCTGCCTCTACCGAATGGCAACCTAAGGCAATTGCGTAGCATTTCTTGTTGTTCATAAATGTTTATAATTTTGTCACATAATATATGACTCAACTACATTTTCGCCTGAACTGTGAAGAACTATCCTGAAGAAAAGGATAGTTAACTAGACATCTCTCTTCAAGTAGGAACAGCAATAATAATGGCTACACAGCCACTTTGAAATCAGTCAAACCTATTCACTTCTTGTGCTTACAAGTTGATGGGAAATTTTGTGTTAATTAGCTAATTTAATTTCAATAACTTAATTTAATAAATAATAATCAAATTTTGCTAGGCATGACGGAGAGTTCAAAGATGGATAAACTGTGTTAGGCACTAGGGAGAGTTCAAAGATGGATAAATGTGGTGCCTTCATCAAGACTACGATTATAATCTAGTTATTTTTTTATTCATGCCATAAACATGTAGCTAAAGCTATTGGATATACAAATAAGTTGAATATACAGTACCCATCACAACCTTGCAGGATTGTATGATCTATGTTTGTAATCTGTTGTCTTCTGCGGCACACATGGGTTTTTCTTAAACTTGTTTCCCTTTTCTTAAGAACATATAACTAGAATATATTTCTATATGTCTCTGTAGTTACCTGCGGCCATGTGCCTAGATTCTGGTCAATGGATTGCGAGAGGAAATGATGCATGTCACTTCTGAGACCAGAAACCTCGGGAAAATTCTCTTAATCTTTACCTTTGTCTGCCAGTCAAGGACATTGAAACCCTAGGGGATGGTGGAAACCCAAATTGGAAGAAGTCTTCATCCCTGAATCACTTTACAGAGGTCTGCTGCTGAGCAGCCACATTAAAGAGTTATTGACCAATAAATAAACTTCTGCAGCATTAAAACTCTTGGAATTATTTAGGGCTTATCTGTTACCATGGCTAGCTAGCATTTACCATGTCTAAATTCCTCCTGCTCCGAAAAAATCCAAATCCAAAAATTGCCCTTTTCTTGGCATAATAAAAATTGTAATTATGTAAGCAGTGTGAACCTGCTGAGGTTGAAATTCTGGTTTTGTCATTTTCTTAATTTATTTATCCGACAGATATTTTATGCATAAACTCCTCTTGGTGCTTATGAAACAGCAGAAAAGCAAATGGACAGACTCACTATTCTCATGAATTTTACTTTCTAGGGTGTAAAGACACATAATAAACGAGTAAGCATGTTAAAATAAAACATACTGATGATAAGTGTTAGAATCATAGAGGTTAGAGGCTAAATGATAGTTTGAGAAGATACTTAAAATAAATAAAACACTTAGGACAATGAATTAAATATTTCAGAGAAATATAAAACAACAGAATATTATTAAGACTATAAAATGTATTTCAATTATTTTTATTAAATGTAATTTCACTTAGAATGTGTCAGTGATTATAGCATCTTTTTCAGCGTAGATGTAAAGGGAACAACAATATTTAACTCACAGTGGTAAAAGTTTTGGAAGGGTGAATTTCATGAGGTAAATATATACTATTTAGTAGGTACTAAAAGAATGATAACTGATTATGTACAGAATTTTCTGAAGTATGCTATTCATAAATCTTAAAGTGTCAACACCAGAGAAAAAAGGAAATATCAAGTCAGCAATGGGAAATAATTTCTAAATGGCTTGTATTAGTGTATTAATCAGAGTTCTCCAGAGAAATGGAACCAATAGAATATCTCCTTTAAAACAAATCTCTCTTCATCCATCTTCTCTCCATGTATATAGATATATCTGTATTAATATGAAGCATGTTTTATCACATACTGCAAAAAATACATAACATTATGTCTAGTGCAATTTTACACATAATAATATTACAATATTAAATAGTCTACAATATTTGTCTCATATTTATTCAAGAGTTCAAAGAAGAGGAAAGTTTATTTCTCTTTCATGTAAAGGTCTGAAGATAGGCAGGCCAGGTTGATAGGCCAGGAAGAGGTCCTCAGGGACCCAGGCTTTCCTTTTCTTATCACTGCTCTATCATCCCTAAGCAAGAGGGTGGAGAAATGGACAGAGAAGAGGTGGAAGAAAGGATACTAAGCAGCTGATTCGTGTGAAAGGAAGATTGATGGCAGCTGCCACATACTTCAGCCTTCATCTCATTGGTACACGGCCACACTTAGCTGCAAAGCCCAGAGGTCTTGGGAGGTGGGGTGTGGGCACGCCAAATCTGAGAAGCTGTATGCCCAGTAAAAATTTCTTTTTTTTTTTAATGCTATGAAAAGAAGAGGAAATGAATATTTGGAGATACCTAAACTTTCCACAACATCATACTACTAGTTTCTCAATAACCTATAAATCAGGCACTGAATTGTTAATCCTAATAAAGACACTGTGAGGAACGTATTATTGCCACTTGGAAAATAAGGAAATTAAAATGTAGATTATAAATTATTCTAAGATCACCCAGCTAGAATGAGGGAGGTATCCACTATTTGTCAGGTGAAACTTTTGATCCATGTTATCACTTACTAGCTGTGTGATCCTGAGTAAGTCCTTTAAGCTCTTTAAGCCTTAGCTCACTCATCTACAAAATAATATGAAAACTCCTACACAGAACTGCTGTTCTGAATATTAGAATAATGCCTTGTGTCTATTAGTACTCAAAAAAACAGAAAGTGATAAAAGTTGTAGTCATTGGTGGTAACGGTGGTACCACAGCAGTACGGAAATAAAGAATGCATTCTCAATTCAGCCCTAGAGCTGTCTATTTTTTACTACATTATGTTGCCTTTCAAAGCTCCTCAGTGACCTTACCAGCATTTTTTAAAAGATTTATTAAAGACAGGCCAAGAAACAGACAGATTAAAAACATTGTTTCAGTGATGCTGAGACAACCTATTGGTTCTATCAATTAGTCCTATCAATAGACATAACTGACCACTGTTTGTTTAATAAAAAACTCGGTCAATCTTGTATTTAGATCCCTGATTTAGTGCTCTCAATGAAATAACTTTCTGCCTTACTAACTTTTCTCATTTTGTCCCATTGTCATTGAAGCTTTAAATACCACTTACATATTTCATCCGCAGTAGGGAGGCTTAATAAGGGCCCATCTCAAGTATTTCTGTTATCTTGGTTGCCAATAGACCCTATTGTTAAACATTCTGCTTAAGCTGATAGGCTTTCTTTTTATCTTACTTAACAGTTCCTGGAAGGGAAAAAAGAAACAAAACAAAACCAGGGTTCTTTTTAAAACTAAAGATTCCTGGGCACCACCTAGGCCCTATTGAATTAGAATCTATTGTGGTAGAACTGAACATCTGCCTATTAATAATTATCTCATGTTAGTCCTATGCTCCTACACATATATTTCACCTTCAACCTTCTCTGCTGCCTTTCCTAGGTATTTACAGTAGCCCCAGCTGCATTAGGGACAGTAATCAATAGTCAGTCCCCTTATCTAAAGAGCATTGCAAAGTCCTTTGCCTCAACTAAAATAAAAATAAATATTAAAACAAACAATGAAGTAAAGCCTGATACATAATTCTTTACTAAGAATCCACATTCACTAACAGACAAAAGCCTCATCAGTACCTGTCTGTGAGAACTACAGGATCAGGCTAGAAAACACAGGGAGGAAGTCCAGGTCATCTAAAACAGCAAGAGGCCAATTTCAAACTTTGTCAGCATTCTACCAAAGTGATGAGAATGACTTACTGGGCAAAGCTCAGCATTCCCATCTTGCTGAACATAGAAGAACTGACTTCCAAGCACATTTTTCTGAGTCATTTTGTAAAGGTATACTTAGCTGAATTGAGATGCCTCATTCAGTGGATATCTTCACTTTTGAGTCAAGACTGTGGGCTCCAATCAGCACAACATTTACCAGGTAGAACTGACCACAGTGACCACCTCATACTCTCACCAGGATAGTAAGCCTGATCCATAAACAGCCAAAGATCTTATGCCTTATTCGTAAACTGCCAAAGCTGTTTACATGTCATGCTAACTAGATTAAGAGTTCTTTGAAGGCAGAGACAATCTCTTAATTTTTTGGTAGTAAAATGTGCACAAAGTGAAATTTACCATTGTAATCATTCTTAAGTGTACATTTCTGTGGCACTAAGTGCTTTCACATTGTTGTGCAACCATCAACAACCATCTCCAGAACTTGTTTTATCTTGCAAAACTGAAACTTTGTCCATTAAACATTAACTCCCATTCTCTCTTCCCACTATTCCCTGGCAACCCCTATTCAACTTTATGCCTTTATGATTTCGACTGCTTTAGGCACCTCATACAAGTGGAATCATACAGGCTTGGTTTTGCTCTTATTTTGTTTTGTATCCTTTACTTAATCAAGAACAATGACTTTTCTTTAAGAGACACTCAAAAAATATTTGTTGGTATAAACCATTTGGGTATTTGGGTTCTGCATGGAAAAGTCCTCAGTTCCAAAGTGCAAAATTGCATGTTCTTAAATGGGATACATGGGAAACATTGAGAAATCACACAAGCTTGAAGGGGAAGAAAAAAATAAAAAAAGAGAACACCCAAAACTTACTGGATTCCATAGGGAACTGAGTCGAGTAATGTATGAATATATAATAATTAGTTAATCAAGTCATTAAATACCAATATTTATAGAATTCTTTTGTCAAATAACTTGTCTACCATTTACAGTACCAAGTCTGCACACTGCGTTGTTCACGTCCCAATAAATTGTTTATGTGCCCATTGGTGTCTCTCTTGCCACTACCAATGAGAACTCCTTCCACTGGCACTGAAATTACACATATCATCCAAAATTCCATCAGACCTTAAAGGAAACTGTACATAATGAAGGTTCATCGATCCTTTGCGGTTCCTTTAGCTAGAATTTGTTAAACTTAAACCGTTATATAATAAAATGTCAGGTAGTCATAAGTATTTTGAATATAAATTAAACCATGATTGAGGGGTTTAAACAAAGATACTATTTCAAAAAGTTTACCAAGGGGAAAGGCTTTACTCTGGGAGGTTACCTGTGAGAATAAATCTGAATGAGGTGAGGACAGCCACCCTGGTGAACTGGTAGGAGTCTATTTCAGTCAGAAGGAACAGAAATTTGAAAGGTCCTGAGACAGGAATATACTTAGAACCTTCCTGGAAAGAAGGCAAGTGAGCTAGAGCAAAGTGATGATGGGAGGGGAAATAGCAGAAGATTGGGATCAAAAAGGTTGTAGGAAACCATATTATATTATATTACATTATATTATATTATAGTATAGTATATTACATTATATTATATTATATTATATTATATTATATTATATTATATTAGCTTTTCAGGCATGACATTCATGATGTGTGAATTGGGATGTTATTGGAGAGTTAAAGAATAGGAGCCACATGATCTGATTATTTACCTGCCATGGTTGCCTTGCAGGGGTCAAGACTAGACACAGAGAGACCAGTGAGAAAAGGAATTCAGTTTGGTCTGAGTTGAGGATATTGGAAATGGTAAGCAGTGGTGAGACAAAGGATATATTCTGACAGTGATGCATATGCAATTTCACTGGAAATGAGTGCTGAGGAAGAGAGAGGAATTTAGAGTGACTACTTTGATTCTCCCTGAGCAGCTCAATCAATTATAGTAAAATTTACTGCATTGGAGAAAATAGGGGCAGAAGGAGGATCGGAAATTTGCGGATGGGAACCAAGAAGTCAGTTTTGGACATGTCAAGATAGAGATTCCTATCTACATCTAAGTGGAGAAGTAGAGTATGAAGGAAGTTGACATAGCAGCATAGAGGTCAAGAGAAAGGTCAAACTAGATACATATTTGCCAGTCATCATCACATAAATAGTGCTTAAAGCTAAGGATCCAATTTTAGACTGCCCCTGTCCCTCATTGGGGTCAGTGCTTGTGCCTGCCCTTGGGGGACCTGAGTGCACACTTTCCCAGCCCAGCCCCATCTGACATCACCTCCTTCACCATGGAGGCAGAATATGAGATCAGGACCACTGAGTGTTCCATGGCCCAACCCAACACATGAAATGTCCTAGTACTTCTCCTGGTTAAAAAAGGTCAAGCATAAACCCGACTACTACTGTCAAACCTGTCTCCCACCTGAAAGCATCAGCTGTTATCCTGGAGGCCAACCCACATAGCCCATTACAATATCTGCTGACACAAATGCACAGTGCTCAGAAAGGAGACAAGCTTTGCATGACTTCTGCCACTAGCATTCACCCATGCCACCCCAGCTACTCAAGAAGCCTTGTACCTATTCACCCATTGATATGGTTTGCATCTGTGTCCCTGACCAAATCTCATGTCAAATTGTAATTCTCAATGTTGGAGGTGGGGCCTGGTGGGAAGTGATTGGATCATGGGGGTGGATTCTCCTCCCAGACTCTCGTATCCATCCTTCACACTCTATGTGCATGAGTTCAATTACCCTGATTTTTAGATCCCACAAATAAAGGAGAACATGCAAAGTTTTTCTTTCTGTGCCTGGCTCATTTCACTTAACATAAAATCTCCAGTTTCATTTATATTTTTTGTAAATGACAGGCTTTCATTCTTTTGTATGGCTGAATAGTACTCCGTTGTGTATATGTATCAGTACTACATTTTCTTTATCCATTCATCTGTTCATGGACACTTAGGTTGATTCCAAACCTTAGCTATTGTGAATAGTGCTACAACAAACATAGGAGTGTAGATATCTTTTCAACATACTGATTTCCTTTCTTTTTGTTATATCCCCAGCGGTGGGATTGCTGGATCATATGGCATCCCTATTGTTAGTTTTCTCAGAAACCTCCAAACTGTTCTCCATAGAATTTACATTTCCAGCAATAGTGCACAAGGGTTCCCTTTTCTCCACATCCTCTCCAGCATTTGTTATTTTCTGTCTTTTGGATATAAGCCATTTTAACTTGGGTGAGATAATATCTCATTGTAGTTTTTATTTGCATATCTCTGATGATCAAGGATGTTGAGCACCTTTTCATATGCCTGTTTACCATTTGTATGTCATCTTTTGGAAAATGTCTATTCAAATCTTTTGCCCTTTTTTGATCAGATTATTAGAATTTTTCTTATAGGGTTCTTATTTAGCTCCTTATGTATTCTGGTTATTATTCCCTTATCAGATGGGTAGTTTGCAAATATTTTCTCCCATTCTGTGGGTTGCCTGTTCACCTTGTTGATTGTATCCTTTCCTGTGCAGAAGCTTTTTAACTTGATATAATCCCATTTGTACATTTTTGCTTTGAGGTGTTGCTCAAAAATTTTGTATTTTGGGGTATTTTTGTTTCCAGGGTGTTGCTCAAAAAAATTTTGTCCAGACAAATGTCCTGCAGATTTTCCCCAATGTTGTATTTTAGTAGTTTCATAGATTGAGGTCTTAGATTTAAATCTTTAATCCATTTTGATTTGATTTTGTGTATAGTGAGAGATAGGGGCCTAGTTTCATTCATATATATATATGAATATCCAGTTTTCTCAGCACCATTTATTGAAGAGATTGTCTCTTCCTCCATGTATATGTTTGGCACCTTTGTGAAAATGAGTTCACATAATTGTGTAGGTTTGTTTCTGGGCTCTCTATTCTGTTCCATTGGTCTATGTGTCTGTTTTTATGCCAGTACCATGCCATTTTCGTTACTATAGTTCTATAGTATAACTTGAAGTCAGGTAATGTGATTCCTTCAGTTTTGTCCTTTTTTCCTAGGATAGTTTTGGCTATTCTGGGTCTTTTGTGGTTCCATATAAATTTTAGGATCTTTTTTCTCTTTCTGTGAAGAACGTAATTGGTATTTTGATAGGAGTTGCATTCAATCTGTGGGTTGCCTTTGGTAGTATGGACATTTTAACAATATCGATTCTTCCAATCCATGAACATGGATTTTTTTCCATTTTTTGGTGTCCTCGTCAATTTCTTTCATCAGTGTTTTATAATTTTAATCATAGTGATCTTTTATTTCTTTGGTTAATTCCTGGGTATTTAATTTTATCTGTGGCAAATGTAAATGGAATTACTTGTTTATTTCTTTTTCACATTGCTCACTGTTGGCATGTAGAAATGCTACTGATTTCTGCATGCTGATTTTGTATCTTGCAAATTTATTGAATTTGTTTATTAATTCTAATAGTTTCCTTGTGCAGTTTTTAGGGTTTTCCAAACATAAGATCATATCATACATGAACAAGTATAATTTGACTTCTTCCATTCCAATTTGGATGCCCTTTATTTCTTTCTCTTTCCTGATTGCTCAAGCTAGAACTTCAATATTATTATATGTTGAACAACAATGGTGAAAATGAGCAACCTTGTCATGTTTCAGATCTTAGAAAAAAGGATTTTAGTTTTTCCCCATTCGGTATTATACTAGCTGTAGGTCTGTCATATATGGCTTTTATTATGTTGAGGTAAGTCCTTTCTATCCCCAGTTATTTTAGGGTTTTTATCATGAAGGAATGTTGAATTTTATCCAACAGTTTCTCAGCATCAATTGAAATGATTATATAGTTTTTAATCCTTTATTCTGCTATCCTATATTCCTGTGTTATAATGTATCAACGGAATGTTGATTTATTTGCACATGTTAAACTACTCTTACATTCTTGGGATAAACCCCACATAATCATGATGAATGATTTTTTAATGTATTGTTCAACTTAGTTTGCCAGTATTTTGTTGAGGACATTTGCATCAACATTCATCAGATATATTGGCCTGAATTTTTCTTTTCTTATGTGTCCTTGTCGCATTTAATATCAGGGAAATACCAGCCTCATAGAATGAGTTTAGAAGTATTCCCTCCACCTGTATGTTAAGGAATATTTTGAGCAGGATTGGTAATAGTTATTCATTAAATGTTTGGTTGGATTCAGCAGTGAAGCCTTGGGGGCCCCAGCTTTTCCTTACTGGGAGACTTTTTATTATGGCTTCAGTCTTGTTACTTATTTTGGTCTGTTCAGGTCTTGGAATTCTTCATGCTTCAATTTTGGTAGGTCGTATGTGTTTAGGAATTTGTTTCTTCTGGATTTAAATTTATTGGCATATAGTTACCCATAGTAGCCACTAATGATCCTTCAAATTTTTGCAGTATTAGTTGTAATGTCTCCTTTTTTTCTGATTTTATTTCTGATTGTATTTATTTGAATCTTTTCTCTTTTTTTTTGTTAGTTACTCTGGCTAAGGGTTTGTCAATTTTGCTTAACTTAAAAAAAACTTTTTACTAAAAATACAATAATGTCATCTGCAAAGGGGGACAATTTGACTTCCTCTTTTCCTAATTGAATACCCTTTATTTCTTTCTCTTGCCTGATTGCCCTGGTCAGAATTTCCAATACTATGTTGAATAGGAATGGTGAGAGAGGGCATCCTTGTCTTGTGCCGGTTTTCAAAGGGAATGCTTCCAGTTTTTGCCCATTCAGTATGATATTGGCTGTGGGTTTGTCATAAATAGCTCTTATTATTTTGAGATATGTTCCAACAATACCTAGTATATTGAGAGTTTTTAGCATGAAGGGCTGTTGAATTTTGTCGAAGGCCTTTTAGGCATCTATTGAGATGTGGTTTTTGTCATTGGTTCTGTTTATGTGATGGATTACGTTTATTGATTTCCATATGTTTAACCAACCTTGCATCCCGGGGATGAAGCCTACTTCATCATGGTCGATAAGCTTTTTGATGTGCTGCTGGATTCGGTTTGCCAGTATTTTATTGAGGATTTGTATCGATGTTCATCAGGGATATTGGCCTAAAAATCTCTTTTTTTTGTTGTGTCTCTGCCAGGCTTTGGTATCAGGATGATGTTGGCCTCATAAAACGAGTTAGGGAGGATTCCCTCTTTTTCTATTGATTGGAATAGTTTCAGAAAGAATAGTACCAGCTCCTCTTTGTATCTGTGGTAGAATTCAGCTGTGAATCCGTCTGGTCCTGGACGTTTTTTGGTTGGTACGCTATCAATTATTGCCTCAATTTCAGAACCTGTTATTGGTCTATTCAGAGATTTGACTTCTTCCTGGTTTAGTCTTGGGAGGGTGTATGTGTCCAGGAATTTATCCATTTCTTCTAGATTTTCTAATTTATTTGTGTAAAGGTGTTTATAGTATTCTCTGATGGTAGTTTGTATTTCTGTGGGATCAGTGGTGATATCCCCCATATCATTTTTTTATTGTGTCTATTTGATTTTTCTCTTTCTTCTTTATTAGTCTTTTTAGCAGTCTACCTATTTTGTTGATCTTTTCAAAAAACCAGCTCCTGGATTCACTGATTTTTTGAAGGGATTTTGTGTCTCTATTTCCTTCAGTTCTGCTCTGATCTTAGTTATTTCTTGTCTTCTGCTAGCTTTTGAATTTGTTTGCTCTTGCTTCTCTAGTTCTTTTAATTGTGATGTTAGGGTGTCAAATTTAGATCTTTCCTGCTTTCTCTTGTGGGCATTTAGTGCTATAAATTTCCCTCTACATACTGCTTTAAGTGTGTCCCAGAGATTCTGGTATGTGTGTCTTTGTTATCATTGGTTTCAAAGAATATCTTTATTTCTGCCTTTATTTCATTATTTACCCCGTAGTCATTCAGGAGTAGGTTGTTCAGTTTCCATGTAGTTGTGTGGTTTTGAGTGAGTTTCTTAATCCTGAGTTCTAATTTGATTGCATTGTGGTCTGCGAGACAGATTGTTATGATTTCTGTTCATTTACATTTGCTGAGGAGTGTTTTACTTCGAATTATGTGCCCAATTTTAGAATAAGTGTGATGTGGTGCTGAGAAGACTGTATATTCTGTTGATTTGGGGTGAAGAGTTTTGTAGATGTCTATTAGGTCCGCTTGGTCCAATCTCCTTAAGCTGATAAGCAACTTCAGCAAAGTCTCAGGATACAAAATCAATGTGCAAAAATCACAAGCATTCCTATATGCCAATAACAGACAAACAGGGAGCCAAATCATGAGGGAACTCCCATTCACAATTGCTACAAAGAGAATAAAATACCTAGGAATCCAACTCACAAGGGATGAAAAGGACCTCTTCAAGGAGAACGACAAACCACTGCTCAACAAAATAAAACAGTACACAAACAAATGAAAAAACATTCCATGCTCATGGATAGGAAGAATTAATATCATGAAAATGGCCATACTGCCCAAAGTAATTTGTAGATTCAGTGCTATCCCCATCAATCTACAACTGACTTTCTTCACAGAATTGGAAAAAAACTGCTTTAAATTTCATATGGAAACAAAAAAGAGCCCGCAGAGCCAAGACAATCCTAATCAAAAAAAAAAAATAAAGCTGGAGGCATCATGCTACCTGACTTCAAATTATCTACAAGGCTACACTGAACAAAACAGCATAGTACTGGTACCAAAACAGAGATCTAGACCAATGGAACAGAATAGAGGCCTCAGAAATAACACCACACATGTACTACCTTCTGATCTTTGACAAATCTGACAAAAACAAGCAATGGGGAAAGGATCCCCTATTTAATAAATGTTGCCTGGAAAACTGGCTAGCCATATGTAGAAAGCTGAAACTGGATCCCTTCCTTACACCTTATACAAAAATTAATTCAAGATGGATTAAAGACTTAAATGTAATACCTAAAACCATAAAAACCCTAGAAGAAAACTTAGGCAATACCATTCAGAACATAGGCATGGGCAAAGACTTCATGACTAAAACACAAAAAGCAATGGCAACAAAAGCCAAAATTGACAAATGGGATCTAATTAAGCTAAAGAGCTTCTGCACAGCAAAAGAAACTATCATCAGAGTGAACAGGCAACATACAGAATGGGAGAAAATTTTTGCAATCTATCCATCTGACAAAGAGCTAATATCCAGAATCTACAAAGAACTTAAACAAATTTACAAGAAAAAAACAAACAACTCCATCAAAAAAGGATATGAACAAACACTTCTCAAAAGAAGACATTTATGCAACTAACAAACATCTGAAAAAATGCTCGTTATCACCGGTCATCCGAGAAATGCAAATCAAAACCACAATGAGATACCATCTCACACCAGTTAGAATAGCAATCATTAAAAAGTCAGGAAACAACAGATGCTGGAAAGGATGTGGAGAAATAGGAACACTTTTACACTGTTGGTGGGAGTGTAAATTAGTTCATCGAATGTGGAAGACAGTGTGGTGATTCCTCAAGGATCTACAACTAGAAATACCATTTGTCCCCATGATCCCATTACTGGGTATATGCCCAAAGGATTGTAAATCATGCTACTATAAAGACACATGCACACGTATGTTTATTGTGGCACTATTCACAATAGCAAAGACTTGGAACCAACCCAAATGTCCATCAATAATACACTGGATAAAGAAAATGTGGCACATATACACATGGAATACCATGCAGCCATAAAAAAGGATGAGTTTCATGTCCTTTGCAGTGGCATGGATGAAGCTAGAAACCATCATTCTCAGCAAACTATCACAAGGACAGAAAACCAGACACTGCATGCTATCACTCATAAGTGGGAGTTGAACAATGAGAACTCATGAACACAGGGAGGGGAACATCACACACCAGGGCCTGTCAGGGTTGGAGGGCTGGGGGATGAATAGCATAAGGAGAAATACCTAACGTAAATGATGAGTTGATGGGTGCAGCAAACAAACATGGCACATGAATGCCTTTGTAACAAACCTGCACATTGTGCACATGTACCCCAGAATTAAAAGTATAAAAATAAATAAAAATAAAAATACTAAACTTAATAAAAAATAAAATAAAATAAAAAACTTTTTACTTCATTAATCTTTTGTATTATTTTCTTCATTTCAAATTCATTTATATATGATCTGACATTTATTATTTCTTTTCTTCTACTAATTTTGGGTTTGGTTTGCTCTTAATTCTTCAAAATGATTCATAGATTGTTTTTTGACATTTTTCCTTTTTCTTGATGAAGGTACCGATAGCTGTAAATCTCTCTCATTTTAGTATTAGGATTGTATTTTGCTGTATTTCATAGTTTTTGGTACAGTGTGTTTCCATTGTCATTTTTTTTCAAGAAATTTTTCAATTTCTTTCATACATTCTTTATCGAGACACTGGTCAGTTAGAAGCATATTGCTTAATTTCCATGTATTTGTATAGTTTCCAAAATTCCTTTTGAATTAATTTTTAGTTTTTTTTCCATTGTGGTCAGAGAAGATACTTGATATTTTCAATTTTTTTTGAATGTTTTAAGACTTGTTTTGTGACCTGATAGTGTGTCCCCACCCAAATCTCATTTGAAATGTTAATTCTCATATCAGGGGACATACCTGGTGGGAGATGATTGGATCATAGGGGTGTTTCCTCCATGCTGTTCTTGTGATAGTGAGTGAGTTTTCACAAAAGCTGATGGTTTAAGTGTGGCATTCTCTGTCTCTCTCTGTCTCTCTCTCCTGTCACCATGTAAGACATGCTTTGCTTCCTCTTCACTTTCCACCATGATTATAAGCTCCTGAGGCCTCCCCAGCCATGTGGACTTGTAAGTCAATTAAACCTTTTTTCTTCATAAATTACCCAGTCTCAGGTAATTATTTATAGCAGTGTGAAAACAGACTAATACACTAACATATGGTCTATCCTTGAGAATGATCCTTGTGTTGAAGAGAAGAATGTACATTTTGCAGCTGTTGGATAAAATGTTCTGTAAATATTTATTAGGTCCATTTGATCTATAGTGTAGATTTCATCTGAAGTTTCTTTGTTGGTTTTCTGTTTGGAAGATCTGTCCAATGCTGAAAATGGGATATTGAAGTCTCCAGCTATTATTGTATTGGGGCCATTTCTCTCTCTAGCTCTAATAATATTTCATTTATATATCTGGGTGCTCCAATGTTGGGTGCATATAAATTTAAAATTATTATATTGTCTTGCTGAATTGATCCTCTAATCACTATAAAGTGACCTTCTTTGTCTCTTCTTATATTTTTTGTCTTGAAATCTATTTTGTCTAAGTATAGCTACTCCTGCTCTTTTTTGGTTTCCATTGGAATATTTTCTTCTATCCTGTTTGTTTTCAGTCTGTGCGTGTCTTTATAGATGAAGTGTGTTTCTTGTAGGTAATAGATCAATGGGTCTTATTTTTTCATCCATTCAGCCACTGTATGTATTTTGATTGGAGGTTTTACACCATTTACATTCATTATTATTATGGATAAGTAAGGACTTACTCCTGCCATTTTGTTATTTGTTTTCTGATGGTTTTGTCTTCTTCTCTTCTTTCTTCCTCTCCTTGCTGTCTTCCTTTAGTAAAGGTGATTTTCTCTGGTACTATGGTTTAGTTCCTTTTCATTTTTTTGTATATCTATTTGCTTTCTGATTTGAAGTTACCACGAGACTCGCAAATACTATCTTATAACCCATTATTTTAACCTGACAAGAACTTAACACTGCTTGCATAAAAAACAACAAAAAGAACCAAACAACCAAATAGAAAACTAAGAAAAATTCTATGGCTTCTTTATCCCCCAACTTTCTGATTTTTGTTTGTTTCTATTTTTGTCTTATTGTACTGTCTATATCTTGGAAGGTTGTTATAGTAATTAGTTTGGATTGGTTCACTGTTTAGTCTTTCTACATAGGATGAGTAGCTTACACACCACAGTTGCAGTGTTATAATATTCTGTGTTTTTCTGTTTACTTACTATTAACAGTGAGTTTTGTACTTTCAGGTGATTACTTATTGCTCATTTTAACATCCTTTTCTTTCTGAGTGAAGCACTCCCTTCAGCATTTCCTGTAGGACGTATCTGGTATTGGTGAAATTCCTCAGCTTTTGTTTGTCTGGGAAAGTATTTGTTTCTCCTTTGTGTTTGAAGGATAATTTTGCCAGATATATTATTATTGGGTAAAAGGTTTTCTTCATTCAGCACTTTAAATATGTCATGACACTCTCTCCTGGCCTGTAAGGTTTCCACTGAAAAGTCTGCTGCCAAACATATTGGAGCGCCATTGTATATTACTTGTTTCTTTTATCTCTCTGCTTCTAGTATCCTTGATATTTAGAAGTCTGATTATTCCATGTCTTGAGGTAGTCTTCTTTGGGTTAAATCTGCTTGGTGTTCTCTAACCTTCTTGTATTTGGATATTGACATCTTTCTCTAGGTTTGGGAAGTTCTCTGTTATTATCCCTTTGAATAAGCTTTCTATCCCTATGTCTTTATTTGCCTGCTTTTTAAGGCCAATAATTCTTATATTTGCCCTATTGAGGCTATTTTCTAGATCCTGTAGAAATTCTTCATTGTTTTTTATTTTCTCCTCTGTGTATTTTCAAATAGCCTGTCTTCAAGCTCACTAATTCTTTCCTCTGCTTAATCAATTACACTATTAAAAGGTTTTGATGCATTCTTCCGTATGACAATTGTATTTTTCAAGTACAGAATTTCTGCTTAATGCTTTTTAATTATCTTCATCTCTTTGTTAAATTGATCGGATAGAATTCTGAATTCCTTCTCTGTGTTATCTTGAATTTCTTTGAGTTTCTTCACCACTGCTATTTTGAATTTTCTGTCTGAATGATGACTTTGAATTTTCTGTCTGAATGATCATTTACCTCTGTTTCTCCGGGATTGGTTCCTGGTGTCTTATTTACTTCATTTCATGAGGTCATGTTTTCCTGAATGATGTTGATGCTACTAGATGTTCTTTGGTGTCTGGGCATTAAGTTAGGCATTTATTGTATTCTTCACTGTCTGGGATTGTTTTCAGCAGTCCTTCTTGGGAAGGCTTTCTAGATATTTGAAACAGCCTGGGTGTTGTGATCTAAGTTGTGTGTACTTTGAGGGGCAACCCAAGCCCAGTAACACCATGTTTCTTGCAGACCAGTAGAGGTACCACTTCAATGGTCTCGGACAGATCCCAGAGAATTCTCTGGACAACCAGGTAAAGAGCGTTACTTTCTCCCAAACCAGTGGAGTTTCTCTCTCTGCTCTGAGCCACCAAAAGCTGGGGGTGGTGTGACACAAGAACTCCTGTGGCTACTACCACAATAAATGCACTAGGTCAGATCTGAAGCCTGCACAGCACTGGGTCTCACCCAAGGCCTGCTGTAACCACTCCCTAGCTACTGCCTATGTTCACTAAAGGCCCTGGAGCTCTACAATCAGCATGTGGTAAAACCAGCCAGGTCTGTGTCCTTCCCTTCAGGGTGGTGAGCTCCCTCAGTCCTGTATGTGTCCAGGGGTGCTGTCTAGGAGTCAGAAACTAGAGTCAAAAATCTTAGAAGTCTACCTGGTGTTCTATTGTACTGTGGCTGAGCTGGCACTCAAATCACAAGATGCAGTCCTTCCCGCTCTTCCCACCCCTTTTCAAAGACAGAGAAGCCTCACTCACAGCCACTGACACTACAGGCCATGGGGAGTTCTGCCAGCTCACCACCAATATTTCCTTAAGGCCCAAGTTCTCTTAAGTCTGCCTGTGATAAATGCTGCCTGGCCTGGGACTCACCCTTAAGGGGAGTGGGTTCCCCTTTGGCCCAGGGCAGGTCCAGAGATGCTATCCAAGAATCAAGTCCTGAAACTGGGGGCTGCAAGAGCCTGCTTGGTGCTCTACTCCCCTGTGGCCATGCTGGTACTTGAAGCTAGCAAATCTCAGAGGCTTACCCAAGCCCCTCAACGTAGTATCTGGGTATTGTTGCTGTTTGTGCAAGGACTAAGTTCTCTTCAATTAACAAGTAATGGATCCTGCCAGGACTGAATCCTTCCTTTCAAGGCAGCTGGTTCCCCTCTGGCCTAGGTTGTTTCTAGAAATGTGAAATGGGAATGAGAGCCTGCAACAGGGGCCTCATGACTCTAACCAGTGCCCTATCCTGCTGTGGTTGAACTGGTATCAATGATACATGATAGAGTCCTCCTCTGTCTTCCCTTTGCTCTCCTCAAGTGGAAGGAAGGGGTCTCTTTTGGAGCTGCAAGCTGTGCAGCCTGGAGTTAGGGAAGGCGTGATGCCATCCCAGCTGGTGTCTCAGTAGGTCACATGGCCCACCCCACCAATTCACTGCCTGTTTACCCAGTTCAGCACTAGGACACACCTAAGAATTTCAGTCCTTATGGCATAGACTGCTTTCAAGTTTACTTAGCAACCCAGAGTGCTTTGTCCCTTGGTGGCAAGGTTTGCAGAAACTGAAGTTTGGGCAACTGGCACTGGTGACTCCCCTCTGGCTAGGACTGGTTTAAATGCTCCCTCTGTGGGTGGGCATCAGCCGAGTTTGGTAGGGTTTTTTTTTCCTGCTCTAACAGGACAGCACTGAGTTCAATGCCTCACACTTTCTGTTTTCTCCCCTCCCTGTGCCAAGAGATGCTCTCTACACCATGACATCAGTGCTGGGAGGTGGGGAAAGGCTGGTGTCAGCAATTCGAGACCTTTTTTTTCTATCTTTTTAATGCCTCTTTTAGTGATACTGACTTAAAATTGGGCTCTATGAGGGCCCACCTGATTTTTGGTTCCTATGAAGATGATTTTTTTTTTCTGTGTAGATAGTTGTTAAATTGGTATCTTTCTTGGGGGGCTGAAAGGTGCAGCCTTCTATTTCACCATCTTGCTCCACCAACTCAGAAGTCAAAGTATTCATTTTAAAGAAGCTAAATGAGATTTCAGAGAAATCTGAAAAACAATACAAAGATCATAAAATCAACTCAGGATATGAACAAGAAATTTACCAAGGAAATTGATATCTTTAAGAAAAAACAAACAAAACTTTGGAAAATGAAAAAATTATTGAAAGAATCATAAAATACACTTGAAGGCTTCAATATTAGACTAGACCAAGCAGCAGAGAAAATTTCAGAAGTTAAAAACAGGTTTTTGCATTAATCCAGTCAGACAAAAATAAAGAAATTAGATTTTAAAAGAATGAACAGAATCATCAAGAATTATGGAAACTGCATAAAGCATAAAGTAACCAAACATAAAAATCCTTGGTATTCCTGAGAGAGAAGAAACACAAAAAGTTGGAAACGCTTATCTGAGGAAATAATTGACAATAACTTCTCTAGTCTAAGAAGAGATTTAGACATGTTGATACAAGAAGCCCGCTAAACACCAGGTCAATACATTGCAAGATTTTTTTTTTCTTTTTTGATGGAATCTCACTCTGTTACCCAGGCTAGAGTGCAATGGCACTATCTCAGCTCACTGCAATCTCCGCATCATCCCAGTTTCAAGTGATTCTCCTGCCTCAGCCTCCTGAGTAGCTGGGATTACAGGTGTCCACCACCATGCCCAGCTAGTTTTTGTATTTTTAGTAGAGGCAGGGTTTCACTGTGTTGGCCAAGCTGGTCTCAAACTCCTGACCTCGTGATCTACCCTCCTTGGCCTCTCAAAGTGCTGGGATTATGGGGTGAGCCACTGCACCCAGCTGCAAGATGGATTTTATCATGATACACACTTTAGAGAGTTGACTGTCTAAAGTCAGGATGAAGGAGGAAATCCTAAAATCAGTAAAAGAAAAGCATCTTCTCTGCTCATCTATAAAGGAAATCTCAAAAGATTAACAGTGGAGTTCTCAGCAGAAAACTTACAAGCCAGAAGAGATTAGGATCCTATTTTCAGGGTGCTTAAAGAACAAAATTTAACCACAAATTTTTTTTTACCTTTTTTTAAAACTTCAACAAATTGCCTTCTATCCATCCCTATATATATATTTTCACTTGTTGTCTGTAACATAATAATGAAAAATGCAATCTTGCATTGATCTTGTTTTAAAGGGAGGCATGTGGATGTCCAGGCAGGTAAGGTCACACTGGAAACTCACCTGCCTGGTGCAAGGCCACCCTCTCCAGTAAAGGCCAGGGGAAACCCAGGGCATCTGCACAGCAATGCATTTATCAGTGCATAACCATTTTCTAATAAGAAATGTGTCATGTTAAATTGCTTGTTTAAACAGTTTGAAAAGCTTTCTAAAAAAATCTGACTCTGATACAATTTTATATCCTGCCACAGTAAGCTTCATGAATGGAAAACAATAAAGTCTTTCCCAGACAAGGAAACACTGAGGTAATTCACCACCAGTAGACTGGTTCTATGAGAAATGTTCAAAGGAGTTCTAAATATAGAAATGAAAGATCAATATTCACCATCATAAAAATCACATGAAAGTCTGAAACTCACAGACTTGTTAAACAATTACACGAAGAAGGAAGAGACAGAAATAAAAGGGCACATGATAAAATTCCACCAAACCACATGGACAAACAGGAAAAAAAAAAAAAGAAGAAACAGATTAAATATTCCACAAGACAACTAAAAAACAATTATGACAGGAACAAACCTGATTTATCAACATTAACATTGAAAGTAAATGGACTAATTGCTCCCCTTAAAAGATAAAAATTGGTGAAATGAATTTTTTTAATAAACCAATTGTATGCTGCTTACAAGAAACTCATCTTTCTGGTAAAAACACATATAGGCTGAAGGTAAAGGGATGGAAAAAGATATTCCTTGCAAACAGAAACTAAAAGCAGCAGGAGTAGCTATGTTTACATCAGATAACACAGACATTAAATCAAAAACAGTAAAAAAAAAAAGACAAAGAAGGTCATTATATAATGAGAAAGGAAACAATTCAACAAGCAGATATAACAATCCTAAATATATGTGCACCCAACACCATAACACTCAGATTCATGAAACAAATATTACTAGACCTAAAAAAGGGGAAGACAGCAATGCAGTCATAGTAGGGGACTTCAAAACCTTCCCACACACAGCATTACACAGGTCTCTGAGACAGAAAGTCAACAAAGAAATATTGGACTTAAATTGGACTTTACACCAAATGGATCTAACAGACATTTTCAAAACGGTCTACCTAACAACTGATAGACATTATTCTCATCAGCACATGGAAAATTATTCATGGTAGACCATATGTTAGACCACAAAAAAGTTTCAATACATTTTTAAAAATCAAAATCATATTACGTATCTTCTTGGGCCACAGTGAGACAACACTAAAAATCAATACCAAGAAAAACTCTTGGAACTGTGCAAATATATGGAAATTAAACAACAGAATCCTAAATGATCTTTGAGCCAGTGATGAAATTAAGATGAAAATTAAAAAATTTTTGAGAGGAATGAAAACACAGACACAACATACCAAAACCTCTGAGATACAGCAAAAGCAGTGCTAAGAGGGAAGTTTACAGTGTTAAAGGCCTACATTGAAAAAATAGGATGATTACAAATTAACAACCTAATCTCACACATCAAGGAACTAGAGAAATAAGAACAAACCAAACTCAAAGCCAGCAGAAGAAAAGAAATAACAAATATTAGAGCAGAACTAAATAAAATTGAGAGCAAAAAATAAAACAAAGAATCAATGAAACAAAAAGATGATTCTTTGAGAAGATACACAAAATTGTTAAACTGCTGGCTAGACAACAAAGAAAAGGAGAAAGAAAATCAAAATAAATGTAAATAAATATGAGGAATATGAGAAATAAAAAGGAGACATTACAACTGATATTGTTGAAATACATTGAAATACAAAGGATCTTCTGAAACTACCAAAAACAACCATAAGTTCACAAACTA
Source organism: Homo sapiens (assembly GCF_000001405.40). NCBI lineage: Eukaryota > Metazoa > Chordata > Mammalia > Primates > Hominidae > Homo > Homo sapiens. The sequence continues at coordinate 79,233,575 of NC_000008.11, forward strand.
GAAACCTAGAGGAAATGAATAAATTCCTGAAAATACACAACTTCCCATGATTGAACCAGGAAGAAATAGGAATCCTGAACATACCAATATGTAATAGTGTGATTGAATCAGTAATAAGAAAATCTGCCACCACTACCAACAACAAAAGGCCATGACCATATGAAATCTCAGCTGACTTCTACCAAATGTAGAAAGAACTGGTACCAATCTTCCTGAAACTTTTCCAAAAAGTCGAGGAGGAGGGAATCCTCCCTAACTCATTCTATGAAGCTTTGGTATCAGGATGATACCTTGTCTGGCTTTGGTATCAGGATGATACCAAAGAACACAACAAAAATAGAAAAATACAGATTAATATCCCTTATGAACATAGGTGTAAAAATCCTCAAATGAATACTAGCAAACTGAATCAAGAGTACATCAAAAAAAAAAAGCTATTACATCATGATAAGGTTGATTTTATTCAAGGTATGTAAGGGTGGTTCAACATACACAAGTCAATAAACATGATTCATTACATAAATAGAATTAAAGACAAAACAATATGATTATCTCCATAGATGCAAAAAACCATTTGCTAATATCCGACATCCATTCACAATAAAAGCCCTCAACAAACTAGGCATAGAAGGAACATACTTCAAAATAATAAAGGCTATAGATGGCAAACCCACAGCCAACATCATACTAAACAAAGAAAAGCTGATAGCAATTCCTCTAAGAATTGAAACAAGACAAGTATGCCCAATTTCACCACTTCTATTCAATGTAGTGTTAGAAGTCCTAGTCAGAGCAATTAGACAAAAGAAAGAAATAAAAGGCATCCAAATCTGAAATGAGGAATTCAAATTATCTCTGGTTGAACATATGATTTTATACCTGGAAAACCCAAAAGACCTCCAAAACACTCTTAGATTTGATAAATGAATTCAGCAATGTTTCAGGATCCCAAATCAACATACAAAAAGCAGTAGCATTTCTATTCACAAATAACAATCAAGCTGAGAACAAAGAAGCCAATCCCATTTACCATAGCTACAAAAAAATAAAGTAACAAGAGATATATTAGACCAAGGGGGTAAAAGATCTCTACAGGGATAAATTACAAAAAACTGAGGAAATCATGAAGGGCACAAATGAATGGGAAAACATCCCATGCTCATGGATTGAAAGAATTAATATCATGAAAATGGCCATATTTCCCAAAGCAATCTAGAAATTCATTGCAATTCCTATCAAAATACCAATGTCACTTTTGCAGAATTGGAAAAAAAACTTAAAATTTACATGAAGCTTAAAAAGAGCCTGAATACCAAAAGAAATCCTAAGCAAAAAGGCCAAAGCTGGAGGTATCATATTACCTGACCTCAAATTATACTACAAGGCTATAGTAAAAAAACCGGCATGGTACTGGTATAAAAATAAACACAAAGATCAATGAAACAGAACAGGGAACCCAGAAAAAAACGCTACATATCTGCAACCAACTGATCTTTGACACAATCAACAAAAATATACACTGGGAAAAGGATACTCTTTTCAATAAATGATGCTGGGAATATTGGATTGCCATATGCAGAAGAATGGAACTGGACCCCTAAGTCTCACCCTGTACAAAAATCAGCACAAAGTGGATGAAAGACTTAACTGTAAAACCTGAAACTATAAAAAGCATTGAAGAAAACCTAGGAAAAACTCTTTTTGCCATTAGTCTAGGTGAGGAATTCATGACTAAGGCCTCAAAATCACAAACAACAAAAACATAAACAGACAACTGGAACTTAATTAAACTAAAAAGCTTCTGCATAGCAAAAGATGTAATCAACAGAGTTAACAGAAGACCTACAGAATAAGAAAAAAGCCTGGAAAACTATACATTCTACAGGGAGCTGATATCCAGATTTTACAAGGAACTCAAATAACTCAGCAACAACAAAATCCAATAACCTCATTAAAAAGTGGGCAAATGACATGAATAGACATTTTTCAAAAAAAAATACAAATGGCCAAAAACAACATATGAAAAGATGATCAATATCACTAATTATCAGAGAAATGCAAATTAAAACCACAATGTAATATCACCATACATAAGTCAGAAGAGCTTTTATTAAAAAGATAAAAAAAACAGATGTTTGCGAGAATGCAGAGAAAAAGGAACACCCATACACTGTTGGTGGAAATGTAAATTAGTAAAACGTCTATGGAAAACAGTACAGAGATTTCTCAAAGAACTGAAAATAGAACTACCATTCAACACAACAATCCCACTGCTGAGTATCTACCCAAAGGAAAAGAAATTATTATATAAAAATAATTTGCACTTATATGTTCATTGCAGCACTATTCACAGTAGCAAAGATGTGGAATCAATCTAAGTGTTTATCAGCAGATGAGTGGATAAAGGAAATATGGTACATATACACAATGGAATACTATTCAGCCATATAAAAGAATAAAATTATGTATTTTGCAATAATGTAGATGGAACTGGAGGCCATTATCTTAAGTGAAACAACTCAGACACTGAAAGTCAAATGCTACAAGTTCTCATGTGTAAGTGGAAACTAAATAATGTGCACACATGGACTTAGACTGTGGAATAGTAGACACTGGAGACTTCAAAGGGTGGGCAGATGGTGAGGAATAAAGATGAGAAACTACTTAATGAGTACAATGTACATTACTCAGATGATGGTTACCCTAAAAGCCGACTTCACTACACAATGCATTCATGTAACAAAACTGCACCTGTACCCCTTAACTTTATACAAATAAAATATAAATAATAAATTTAAATATCCAGATGAGATCACATAGGGACTGAATGTAAATATTTGAAGAATGCATTTCTGTTAGCATATTAATTTTTGGCTTTCACCATTCTTCATAAATGAGTGTTGATGATTAAAAAGAGAAGCAGACCACATATTCATATATATCTCTATATCTTTATATCTCTCTATCTATTGCAACTCTCTACAAATAGTACTATATGTAACTTCAGGGAAAATATGAAAATGTGTCTTTCTATTTCTTAAATAGATTCACTAAAATTTATCTGCTTTCTGACAAGCCAGCACATTTTTCCTTATAACTCATACATAATTGAAAACAACAAACAGCTTACTGTCATAAAGAACTTTTTATGTGATAGTAAAAGATCTTCTTGCACATGTTAGTACTGGTCATAAACAGCACACTGAAGTCAAAAATAAATGACATGAGCAAGAAATTTTATTAGATTTTTAAATTAGAATGCGTAAAATTCCACCATGTTATGGTTGCTAATAAATTCAATTCAATTAAACAAACATTCATTGTGTGTCTATTCTGTGCCTGGCACTGTGCTAGGGGGAAAAATGTGAAGATAAGCCAAAAAAAGTCACAGACTCTGGAGTTTACTGCTTAGCAGGAGAGAACTTTAATAATCAGAATACTGTGTCTATAATTACATGTTGAGATAAAATATGTTAAAGGTGTCAACATGTATTTATAAAAGCATATAATAATAACTGACAGTCTGAGAAGTCACTGATGACTTCCTGAGAAAGTGACATTGGAACCTGGAAGAGGAGTTTACAACGCGAATGGGAGCTGGGAGATGGGTACTGTGTGTCCCACAGAATGAGGAATGTTCTATGTTAGATGGAGAATTAAAAAGAATGATGAGAAATAAGGCTGTAGAAACTTCACCCTGCTTTCAAGGATTTGGCAAACTTTTAAAATTTTTTATACGGTTTAATTTTATAATCTAGAAAATATAATACATTTTATCATCCCAAAGATTGTTTTCACTCAAATATTGTAGAATTCCAGGATCCCAGCTCCCAATTTTTAAGTTAAGGGTGCTGTCCATGGTGCTAGTAAATAGCTGTAAGAAAAGTGAGATGATCTAAACTGAGGTTCTCATACCTGACCTTACTTTGGAATCACCAAAAAGCCACTTCCAAGATTCGCTGTATTATAACCAGTAGGATAATGAGCCCATGAGTAAGGGATTAAAGTCCTTGAGTGTATTTTTATAGGTATCAGCTCCTAGGTGAATCTGACATGTAATCTGTAAAAGAGCTTCCCAGGCCCACCATCCAGAATAATGTTTTCAACCTTGGTACATATGAAATACATGTAAAACTTTGAAAACTATACACAACCAGATTCTTCTCCAGAATAATTAAATCAGAATTCCCAGAGGAGAAATCCAGTAATGGGTATTAACTCACAGCTCCCCAGATAATTCTAACAGGCAGTTATTGCCCACATGAAGGGATTTGAATTGGGAGATGGGAATATGGTCAATTTTATGTGTAAAATGATTTACTAAAAAGGTTATCTCTAAAGAGTTTATAATATCACCACACACACACACACGTCATATTTTTCCAGACATTTAAATAAACTGAATAAGAGCATGTAAATGCAATTATTGAGAACTACCTATTATGTTTTATTTAAATGTTAATATAAAACCTACCAAAATTATTCAATGAAGACTGATTAATTTGAATACCAATAACTTCATAACAGTATTTTTAGTCAGGATAAGTTCAAACACATATTTTGATTGAGTATGCATTATGTTACAATTTCCTTGTGAAAGTAAATCAAGCGCTAAGTGGCAATTTAAAGGCTTATTTTTACAGGTCAGCAGAAATACAGATATTTTGTGTTTGATGTTATAATTCACTACATTTCTCTCCTATACCTCTGGCTTAGGAATCATTCAAGAAGTAAAACTAGTATTCAGCAGATGAAAATAAGATAAATATATGAACTTTATTGTTTTAATAAAAGAATGTAGAGAATACAATTTAAATGGAAAGCTACAGTTCGGCTTTTGATACTTCCCTGGAAGTACAACAATAAGAGATGATCTATCCATAAGAAAGCTATTTCTCTTTCCTTGGAGAAGATTGAGTAAGAAATAGACAGAAGCTAGAAATCCTTCTTGCATTCTCTTTTTTCCTAAGGACTGAAGTATAAATTTCACCCCCAATATTAGAATGTGGAGTATGAAATATAAGTATTCTCAACTACAAAGGTGTACTTTAAATTTTTAAAATATTTAATCCAGAAAGAACTACAAATAAAACTTGAGTATAGGATAACTTGTTAGCTCAGGAATTATTTCTTTGGATGAATATGTTCATCATCAATTTACCATATGTAAATGTAAAAATCCATTTTCAAATATCAGGAGAATGTAAAAATGGGCCATGTATAAATTATTTGACATTAATCTTTAAAAATGATTTTGCTTTAATTTTAAGCCTTTTTTTGCTTTTATTCAAAGTAGCTCCTATAAAGGCTTACTCCTACTTATCACTGCAGCAAACCCAGTGACTATATTCCTGGCAAATAAGGAACACTGTATAATCTAAGGTAGAGATTTGCCTTGCATTGGCTGTGATCTTGGTTTCAATGTACTATTTTCTCATAATGTTCCAATCAACTGGTTGATCTGATACAGTTAATCAACCAATTAGTAAAAATGGGTGTATAAATTGACAGATTATTAGAATGATTTTATTCATCAGTACAATATAATTCAAACTAAATGTTTAGAAGACACATGGCTATCCACCCAGACTGTAATTTTAACATCCTCAATAGTGCTGTACTGGGTCTTTCTACAACAGGCCCCTTGCACCACTTTCCCCACCAATGCCTTGTTTATTACAGACAATCAATAATTACTGAACTATATAAATAATATGATATTGTATCGGTGACCCTAACAGCTCATATTTACTGAATCTGATTTCTGCACTTCTATATAACCAGGAGTGTTCCTTGGATCTACTCACAATTCTCTCAACTGTGAAAAAAAAAAAACCCAGCGTGAGAATCAAAATCATATGAAATAAAATGAAAAAAGGTGTTTCTCTCAGAAACACTAAGCTTCAATTCTGTAATAAATGTTAACAAAAGAAACAATATGAAAAAAATTAAAGTGGCCCAAAAGACAGATTATAAGGTTATGTAGTTGATGTCAAAAATCAACTGGATATCATTTATCCACAGGTACTGAATACTTGCTAAATGCCAAATACTGCTGGGTGTTGATAATATAAAGGTCTCAAGTAAGGACAAGTTACCAGTTGTAGATGTAGCATGTAATGGTGGTGGTAGTGGTGATAGTAATAATAATTGTAATGAGTTTGATAATTTTACAAAATTTGATTGGATATTATTAGACTCTAAGAACAAAGCTGTCAGATAGGGTGGCTCTTATTAATCCTCATGTTTCACATAAGCAAAATAAGTGTCATAATTATGGGTATACAGCAATAATATACTAATTCCATGAAGAAACAAAACTAGGGAAGAGAAAAGGTTAATAAAACTAACTTAAAATGCAAAATGAAGGTCCATGGCCAGCCAGCAGGAAAAAAAAAAAAAAATCATAGCAGAAAATCTCAGCATAGGGCAAAGACAATGAGAACAATAAAAGTGAATTGATGCGAAATTAAGCTCTTCGGGCTTCTGCCTCATTGCACATCAAATTGAACCTTTAGCCTGGGGATGGGCAAGTCCAGTTTCAGGGTGCACTGGGTCAGTGGGTTACTACTCTATTTGCATCAGCCCAGAAATCTCATTTATCAGCCCAGTCCCATCAACTAGGCTCTGAAATACGTTGGAACAAAAAGAGGAAAATCAGGGCAACTGCATTTTCCTCAGAGCAAGGAGATATGTAAATGGCTTAAATGCAAACTCATGTTTTATTTATCATGTTTCAAGTGATAAAATTTTAAGGGATACATCAAATAAGGCAGATAAGTCACGTTAATGGCCCTGGGTATTAGTGCTTTGTTTTATCTCCAGCTTTCCTTCATAGCATCATTTAACCTCCATGTTCCCTTGTCTACACTAGAAAGAAAAGCCTAATTTGTTTCTTTACTAGGACTTATAGGAGAAATAATAAAAATGATTGAAAAGGACATTTTAAAAATAATGTATTTTAAAATGCTTATGTCATATATATAACCAACAGGCACAAAGATTAAGACCTCAAAGGAACAAGAAGCCCAGAATTTAAGACACTAAATGAGGGAGGCCAAAATCAGAAGGCATACTAGATGACCAAGACAGAGCAGGGCTACCACCCCTGGTGAATGTAGCCAGCAAGAATCCACATGCCCTGAATGAGATTAGAACATTTTTGTTGAGCATAGAAACCTTTCCAGAAGTTACTCATTCCGCTACTGCATGATCCTAATCATTTTACAGTTGGGAAAAAACTGTGTCTTCCTGCCTGCCATTCTTAAGCAGTAGGAATTAAATATAGTCCATGGCAAATCTATAAAATTGTAGTTATAACACATGTTGAAATTATACCAAATGAAGAGATGTCATGACAAGTGCAATAGGAAAAAAATGGTGTTATTTATGAAAATGGGAAAATGGAGGAATTTTCAGTCCTCTGAAGGGGAGGGAAGGCTGACCCATCAGGCAGCATTTTTTCATTGTTCGTGGCAGTACAGCATGCATCAGATAAATTTGCTTATCCAGGATATGTCAGCATAAAGGTAATCTCTATTAAGACCATCCCACCTTTGGAGCACAGGCTGGGAGTTCAAGGGAACTGGATTCAAACCATATTTTCTCTGATTATGCCTCCAATTCGGCCTGGCCCTGGTGGTCCACTCCACCCATGCTGGAGAATCACCTTATAACATCTCCCCCCCAAGCCAGCCAGTCTTGACCAGACATGTGACACAAGAGTAGGTCAGGATGGCAAATTTCAGGGTCACTTGCTATGTAACTGTTTTTCAGGTTAGCCAAAGGGAATCCCAAAACAGAGTATGGAGCTCCTTTCTGCTCTTAATAAGACCTTCACTTATGTAGTGCAAATATAAAGCCCAGTGCTTTCCTGTCTCTATTATGCTTATACTCTTTCTCTCTTTTTTTTGGTAAAGCTTTTGGTCTAGTCTGCCAATTTTGGCTCTTGAGTTGTCAAAGTGGAAGATAAATAAATGTAAAGTTTTTCTCAAGACGTTCAAAGCTTTTAAAACTATTATCATCTTGCTGTAGTCTTATTTTGAAAGTTAGTATCTTTCTTATAGCTTTCCTACTAGAGAACAGATTATAACCATTAGTCTCAATCTCTAGGCACACTGGAATAAGGGTTAGGTGCTCGGGAAGACAAAAGAAATAAGTACATTAATAATTATCAAAGAACACAAAATTTCAGTTAGATAGGAGGAATAAATTTAAGAGATCCATTTTACAACATGGTAACCATAGTTAATGACAATGTATTGTATATTTGAAAATAGATGAGAGTAGATTTTTATGTGTTCTCACCACAAAAAAAGATAAAAACAGAAGATAATGCATATATTAATTAGCTCAAATTAGCTATTGTACAAAAGCCCAGCACAGAAAAACAAATATTGCATAATTGTATATGTGGAATCTAAAAAAGTCAAACTTATAGTAGTTGAGAGTAGAATGGTGGTTGCCAGTGGCTAGGGGAGGAGGGAGAATGGGGAGACAAAAGATATTAATCAATGAGTACAAATTTTTAGCTAGGTAGGAGGAAAACACTTTACTGATTTATCACAGAGAAAGGTAACTGTAATAAATAGTAATGCATTCTATATTTCAAAATTTCTAAGAGTAGATTTTAAGTGTTTTCATCACAAATATAGGAATTTGAAGTGATAAATTTATTAATTGGCTTGATTTAATCATTTCACATGAAAACACATCAAAACATCATATTGTACTTCATAAATACACTAAATATTATTTGTCAATTAAAAATAAAATTTTTGAAGCACCATACTGTACATCATATATTTAATTTTTATTGGCTGATTAAAAATAAATAATAAAATAGTAATTTTTTAAAATATCCTCTATTACATGTAAAAACACTTATCACAGTGCCTGGAATATGTTAATTATTCAATAAATCACACCTATTGCTATTTTTAAACTAATCTTTCTATCAGTATTTAATATTAATTCCAATTTAGTTCTCATCAGTCAGTATAAGTATCTTGAAATTGTGATATGAGTAGTTATCTTTTCTTGCAAATTAATACCTAAGCTATCATTCCTTGTTCATTTTATTTAGATTGAAACACCTTCTAGAGCCTGATCTGCCTCCTGTGTGCTGACACAATCACAGTGTGTGAACTCTGAGACTGGAGACAGGAAGCAGAGATGTCAGAGCAGCCCCTTGGGATGAGTGAATTCCAAGTCAAACTCTCCTAGCCAGCACCCACACTTATGACAATTGGCCTAAGGACTGATCAAAGGCTGCCCTCTGCCTTGGTCTGATATGCCCTGCTGAATGGCAAAAGAAGTTGTATAGATTATTCAAAGATGTTTTGGGAGCCAAGATGAATCTGGAATTACCTCAGAGATGCCTCTGTAAGTGGCCAAAACTGCTGATTGTTTTAGAGAGACAATGATTATTGAAAAAGAGAGCTGTGTTCCTGAAATATTTATTCCACGAGGGTATCCTGCCTCCAGAGATCATGTTTTTGATGCTTTATGAAAATAGAAATATTGGTGATGGAAAGAAATTATCTAATAAGGAAACCTACCTTGTGTTGGTGTAAATCTGAGCTCTAACTTGAGATGCTCCTACACTGCAGGGAAGAGGCAAGCGTGACAAGGCAGACAAGACATCCAGGGGTGTGACAGTAACGAGACGTGCAGGAAACACAGACCCTCTGCCCTTCATGTGTCAGAATAGGTCAGTGTGACATAAAGTGGTTTTCCCAGTAGTCTGGATCAGCATTCAAGCCTGGTCTTCCAAGAGGAAACTGTGTTATTGTCATGAGCACTTCCTATGGCAATCTGTTAATCTCCATTTGGATTAATTATGGTTGTAGGAAAGGCTTCACCCCACTAGCGAACTATATCAAAAATTCCCACAAGGCTATCTGCATTATTATTGCTTGTCTCATTTGTTCACTCATTCTTTAGCTTGCCTTGAGACATACCCAATGGGTTATCCTGAGGCAGACATTTCCAGAAAGCCCACTATAGCTTTTAAAGTAGCTGAATGAAAAGCTCTGCTCAGGGCCAATCTCTGTATCCCCCTCTGAGTATACGGATGCTTGTATCACATTCTGACACCGCATTACAATTCTCTTCCTGTGCTTTTCTCCCTTTAGGTCATATGTCTGAATGGAAATGAATTATGGATAGAAAAGGAATCAAAGATGATGTGAAATGCATTTTAAATCTTTGTCTTTATGAAAACAACTTTACTGTAAAGCATAGCTGCAGAGGGCAAGGAGGAAAGTGGCTGGCCTGCCCATACCACTTTCCCAAATTAATTTTTATCCTTCTTTTGACAAATTCTGCAGTAAAATAAAATTTAACTTGCCAATTAATGGAAAGTTATCAAGAATGAGCAAGTCACACTTATAAAATAAGATATACCTGAAAACCTCCTCCCTGTGGTAGCTTGAAGTACTGAAGGCAGACTCTTACCCAAAAAAGTACATGCTATAGAAAGAGACTAAGCTTTGTACAAAATACCTCTTTGAAAAGGGGGTGCCTGAACTCCCCCCCTGAAATTCTTTTGAGCTGAAGTTTTCAAACTTTTGCTTGCATTAAAAGGACTTGGAGGGCTCCTCAAAATGCAGCTGACTGAACTACACCTCTAGAGTTTCTGATTTAGTTAACTTGGATAGGAATAATGAACTGGCAATTTTAACAATTGCTTGGGGATGCTGATGCAGCCGATCTAGGTACACAGGGAGAGAACCATGGAGATAGAAGGATATGCCTGGTCCAGTTCACACCATAACTCACTTCTCTGAACAGCCCCTTGGGACTGCTGAATTCCAGGTCAGACTCTCCTAGGCTACACCCACTGTTACAACAATTGGTCTAAGGACCAGCCAAGGGCTGCTCTCTGCCTTGGTCTGATATGTTCTGCTGAATAGCAGGCAAAGTTGAGTCTCCAGAGTGATTTAGCAGGAGGAGTACTAATTGATCTTATTTGGAAAAACATTGGAACAGGTTCAGCTCAGCTGTTTCTTCTTTTTATTTGAGCTTAGCAGGAGAGGTTCTTTCTTTCTTTCTGAGAAAGGGTCAGGAAGTCCAATACTGAAACAATTAGAGAACTATCAAAGCATGGTTTCCAAAATTTAAAAATCTGGATTTACTGCAAATACACAGTTAACATACATCAAAGATTCACTTAAGACAATAATGAAGAAAATAGGAGTTGGTAAGGCTGGTTCAAAGGAATATAAGAGAGATTAAAGTATTTATAGCTAATGAAAGAGAAAATCCAGAAATAAGATTGCAATGTGAGATTAAAAAGTGATTAATGTCCTGTAGTGCAATCAAACTGTAACAATTGGGATTATCTTTTCTACTGGGGAGAAAACTATTACATGTCTTTTAGACAAAAATCATGTGCAACATATAAATCTATAAGTTAATATTTTACTTCAGAGTCTAGGCCTTAAACCATGGTAAATGGTAAATCAAACAAAACTACATTCCTCTGGAGCAAGGGTTGGCAAACAGCAACCAGCGGATCAAAGCCGATCCACTATCTGTTTTTGTTTTTAATAAAATAAAATAAAATTTACTGAAACAGCCACACTCATCCATCATATAAGTTTATAGCTGCTTTTCATTGACAATGATGAGAATTCAATAATCCCAACATGGACTTATGACAATGCTCCAGTATGACATTTAAAGTTCATGTGGTCATTCTTTCATTTTATTTCCAAGTTTAGATAGAGTTTCAAAACAAGTAAGAACTTAAAGCAAGCATAATCCCAATAGGAGTTTATAAAAGGTCATTGTGCTGGATTTGTACTGTATCATCTTAGCTAAGCTAAAACTAAATATTCTAGAATCCCCTTTCCTGGGACCAAGATGGTCCTCAGCTTAACTAAACTTTAGACAGGCTTCCCCCTGATTCTTGTCCTGGTCTTTTTTTTTCTTAGAGTTTCTATGTTAGAAAACTTGCGATTGTGAATTCTTTCTCTGCCCCTTTGATATGTAAATCTTTTATAAAGCTTCTTGCCAGTTTTACAATGGAAAACTGTCCTTCTCAAAGACGTGGAAGCCGTACTTTTGAAATATAATCATCAAGAAAGTTAGCATCCTTATTGCCCAGTCTCTGTGGAAGAGTAGGAGCTTAGCTTCAGTGGGCACCTTGGTCTGAGTTGTAAAACTACCTCCTGTCATGAAGATAAGAGAAAACTTACTTTTCCTTTGGGTAAAGCCAATTAGTAAACACAGGTGGCCTATGATTCCCCACCCTATCCCCAGCTCTTAAAATCTCTCCCACTATTTGTTTCAGTGTAGTTGACTTCAGATTGAGTCCTGATTTCTCTCTCCTATTGGAATAGCGTTGAATAAAATATTTTTTGCCTGTTTTATATAGTCTGATATACTTTTTGCTTGGACTATTAATAATATTTCCTTGGACTAGTATTATTAATATTATTAATATTATTTATATATTAATATAAATAATATTAATTAAATATTAATTAAATAATATTAATATTAATTAAATATTAATTAATATTAATATATTAATAATATTTCCTTGGACTAGTAATATTTGCTTGCACTAGTAATAATATTTCCTTATTACTATGGTCCACAAGAGAGATTTTGCTTGATATTTGGAAGGCAGAAGTGAGACAACAGCCATATTCTTCTTATAGTTGGTCAGGGCTGGGCATTAAATGCTGTTGCAGCTTTTTCTTCAGCTCCTGTTGAATCTCCTTCTTCGTTGTTAATAAAGTTTTGGTTAGTTTTACAACCAAACCAGCAGGAGCTGGGATTGCAAGAGCTCAAACTCCTGCCAGCTCTCCATTCATTCTCCCAATCTTGGGTATGTGCTTCTTTGGCTAATTACTACTATCATTGAAGTCAGAGGCTTGGTTGGGGGTGGTGAGAGAGAGATGTATATACCAGCTCATCCTTATTGATTCTGTTTATCCTTGCCACCTCATTTCATTATCTGTCTTTTGTTTTTTATCCCCTACTCTGCTATCTTTAGGCCCAGAACCAGACATGAAAACAACAGCTGTACAAAAACTGTTTAACCAAATCCCGCTATTGCACACTTTAATGGCAACTGAATCAAAGCAGAAGTCAAAATGGTCTAATTAGTTAGTTGATTGCACAATCCTAAAATTGAAATAGATGAGCAGCATACTAAAGTCTTACCTGTTTGTATACACAGAAGAACTTTTAATGTACAGAAGCCTGACTTAAATTATTAGAATTGAGGAATTACACCCTTCAACAAATTTCCAGATGTGAACTGGTTGCAGATATAGAGTTCCTTAAATGAAGGGAGGGTCAGGTGCCCTTGTGGAAGAACCCTATTACACAGATGAAAATTTATAATACAAATCTTCCAGCCTTCCCCCAAAGGGATGTGAAGGTTTTTGCCAGAGTAATTGTGCATCATAGAAGAGGAAATAATCATACTTTTGAGGGATTGCTAGACATTGTCTCTAAATATAAATGAATTCTTAGGGACCAACATGTCACCATGGTATACCAGTAACAGTAAAGTTGATAGAGGTCTGAGATTACCAGAGTTTTGGCTTGGGTCTATCTCATGGTGGACCAGTGAGTCTCTAAACTCACCCTGTGGGTAATTTCCCAGATTTCATAATGCATGATTGGAATAGATATACACAGAAACTGGCAGAATTTCTGCTTTGGTCTTCTGACCTGTAGAGTGAAGCTAACATGTTGGGGAAAGCCAAGTAGAAGTCACTTAACAGTACCAAATAGTACCATTTAGAACCATCTAAATCGTAAACCGAAACAAATATTGCATTCTGGAGGGAATGGAAAGATTAGTACCACCATGAAAAACTTAAAAGATGCAAGGGAGGTGATTCCTACCACACATTGTATTTAACTTGTCTATTTGGCCTGTGTGGAAGACAGATGGATCTTGGATAATGACAGTGGATTTCCATAAACTTAACCAGATGGCAAGTCCAATTGCATTTGCTCTTTCAGAGGTGGTTTTGTCACTAGAGCAAAACAACATATTCCCTGGCATATGGTATGGGCCTATTGACCTGGCAAATGTTCTCTGTTTCTTACCTGTTAGCAAAGTCCATCAGAAGTAGTTTACTTCCACCTGCTTAAGCCAACAATACATCATCACTATCCTACTTCAGGGCTGTATGAATTCACCAGCCTTATGCTATAATTTAGTCTTTAGGGACCTTGATTGACTCTACATTCAGTAGATTTACATAACAATCCATCTTATTTAAAATATATAGCTGATTGGGCAGAACAACTACTCTAAGCATTGTCTGTAAACATCTTAGCCAATGGATAAGAATTAAATTCCACAAAAGTTCAGGGAAACATCCACTTCATTAAATTTTTAGGCATTAAATTTATCTAAGGTATGTCAAGATATTCCTTCCAAAATGGCAAATTGCTGCATCTGACCTCTTCCACTACTAAAGAAAGAACACTAATTGGATTCTTTTGAATGTTGGATGCAAAATATCCCTCATTTGGACATGTTACTCTGACCCATTTACCTAGGAACTAAAAAATTTTTCAGTGTTGGTGGAGGTCCAGAACATTAGAAGGTCCCACAACATGTACAGAATGCTGGGCAAATTGTTCTATCATTTAGGCTATGGGACCCATGAGATATGGCCATACTCGAAGCATCTTTCTCAAATAGGAAGAATACACAATCTTCAGCAGTCCTCAAAAGTGATTCATATTCACAAAGACTCAGGATTTTGAAGCAAAGCTATTCTTTCTTTTGCAGATAATTATTGTCCTTTTGTAAAACAGTTCTGACTTGCTACCAGGCCTTAATAGGAACCTACCAACTAACCATTGACCACCAAGTTACCTTGTGAAATGAACTACACATCTGGGTGTTGTCTGGCCCACCAATCGGTAATGTTGAGAAAGCAAATTAAGTAGCATTTCATCATCAAATGAAAATGGTAGATGACATTGAGCTTGGTTTCTGAAGATCCAAGTAAGTTGTATAAGCAAGTGGCCCAAATGCCCATGGCCCATTTTTGTTCTATATTGCCTCCTCCTTATCAATCACAGCCTCCTTCTCAAACATGGAGAGTTGATTGAGAAAGAAAAAAAAAAGTGCCTGTTTAAACGTAGTTCTCCATGATATACTGCCTCTACCCAAAGATGGATAGCTACAACACAACAGCCACTTTCTAGTACATCTCTGAGGTACAGAGGAAGGAAAACCCATCTAGTGGTCAGAATTTTGAGCAATATATACCTGATTGTTTATTTTGCCTGAGAGGAGAGGTGAGCAGAACTATGGATCTACACTTATTCAAGGGCAACCTCTAATGATTTGGTAGGATAATTAGGGACTTGGAAAAAAAAAAACATAGTTAATGACAAAGAGGTCTAGAGAAGAAACATGTGGATGAATCTCTCCAAATAGGCACATGGTGTGAAGATACATGTATCAAATGCAAATGTTCACCAAAAAGCATTTTCACTACAAGATCTTAATAATCAGTTAGACAAGATGACTCATTCAGTAGACATTAGTCAGTCTCTTTCCTTAGCCAATGAGCTCATGAATGAAGTGGCCATTATGGCAGAAACAAAGGTTTTCCATCTGCTAGAGCCACTGCTACAGTGGTTACAGCTGGTGCTGTGAATCTACTCTGCCAGCAGAGACTTCAATATGATACCATTTCCCAGGGTATCAGTGAGCCACCAACTGGAAAGTTGATAACAAACAATCACTTCTATCATGAAAGGATAGCATTTTGTTTTCACTGGAATAGACACATCCTGGATACTGATTTCCCATCCCTGCCTGCAGTGCCTCCAGCAAAACCTCCATCTGTGCATCCAAGGAATTCCTTTTACACATCTTGGTATTTGTCACAGCATTGCTCTGAACAAGAAACTCATAGCAAATGAAGTGTGACAATTGACTCAGGTCCATGGAATTCACTTGTCTTCCACATTCCCCATCACCCTGAAGCAGCTGGCCTGGTGGAATGGTGGAATAGCATTTTGAAGTCTCAGTCATAGCACCAGCTAGGTGACAACACTGATGGGTTTGAGTCATGTCCTCAGGAAGCAGCAAATTAGCAAGCAGGAACAGTAATCAGCTGTCTCTTCCATAGGCAGTCTTGGAATTAAGGATGGAAATGGAAGTGGCATCTTTTACTATTACTGCAAGTAACCTAGGAAAAACTTTGCTTCCCAGCCATTAAACTCTGGGTTTTGTTGTTCTAAACGTCTTAGTTTCCAAGAAAATAGAGCTTCCACTAGGTGACAAAGTAAATGTTTTATTACATTTAAATTGGAGACTTCTACCTGGACACTTTGGATTCATGTCATGAATCAACAAGTTAAAAAAGGTGATGTCACTGTAATTGGAAGGTTGATTATTTCTGACTAGGAAAAATTAGGTTGCTGCTACACAATAAGGAGTAAGTCTGTAATTCAGAATACATTTTTGTATATACACACATATATAAGCCACTTTTTATCCTTCCTCTTCTATTTTTATTATCTAACAGAATAAAGAAGTATGAATAGTAATTAACCTTAAATATGTTTTTAAGTTACAGACTACCAAAGGGGAAATATAACTCTGCTACAAGATGAAAAAGAAAATGTATATCTTCCAATATGGAAGAGTCTTTCAGTTTTAGAAGGGATAGCTATATCGTGTTAGGCAGAAGCATTATTTTGCTTGTGTCTTTATTTGACAGTTAAATTAAGAATGGCTAAAAGCAGTATATATAAATGCCATGTTGCAAGGGGTAGAATGTAGATAATTTTTGCTGCACCAATTCACCTAAGCATTCCAGGGTTTTCTTATCTTCATGGTTCCTGGTTAATGTGGGCCACATAGATATAATGCACGATGTCTCAGAAGCAGAACTGAAATTCAGAAGCAGCCATGTCCAGTTTATGCTCAGAAGGTCAACGCTGGCACTAGGCCCTGTTGCCACTCACACTTGTCATCCATGATCTGGCTCTCCTGGGTGGTATGGAAAAGTAGCAGCCAGGCTCATAGCTTTTCTAGCTCCAACTGGACCCCTTTATCCCTTTATGCTTCTCTAAATCTTGGCCAGTGCTTGTTTAACTCTGTGATGAAGAGTACCAGCCTTTCTTCAGGTCTCCCATCATTAAGGGCTTGTTGATGGTAAGAGACCTGTAGAGGTCCTGTTGTCCTGTGGATTCTGTTGTTCTGTGGGTTCTGTTGCCCATGTCCTCTGCTTGTCTATTTTTCCTTCCTCACTGTCTGATCTGCTAACTTCATTCCCAGAACCAGATGAAGAACCAATAGATGTACATAAGGTGTTTAACCAGCTGTCACAATCATGTATGATCAAATTCCTATTTTTTAAAATCCCATATTCTGTATCATTCCCAATGGCTATGTTTTTCTAATCAAAATCTAACTAATACATGATCAATAGATGTGAATTAGAATCATTGGAGGAATACCAATATAGGAGATCGGTTTTAAGTTGAAATGTGAAAGAAAATATTTAAAAGGGCAAAATGTACATCCCCAAATGAGAGGAAATACTATTTTTTGAATGCATAAAATACATAGAATACAATGAATAGTGAGTTGTATACCTATGAAGAAAATAAAATATGTGAGAGAGGTAAAAATACTTTGATATAGGTGAGGGGATCAAAATGTAGCAAACCATGAAATTCATACCAAGAAATTTTTACTTCTTATGGTGAGCAATCAGTAAGATAGGTTAATGCATAGCATTGTTACAGGGGCTGAAGTGGCTAAAACCTGAGAAGCCAGCCTTTGAAAGTCCTATTAGAAAGCCCAAGACAGAGGGAGGTAACAATATTTTCTTAGGGGCAAAGCCAAGGATGATGTGCTAAGACATGACTGGAAGAAATGTGAGTCCAGAAGTAGAGCAATCATTCTCCAAGATTAGAACTATTTTAATAATCACCATCATTTACTGAGCCAGGTACAGTGCCACGCACTTTCTATACATTGACTCATGAAACCTTAGAATGGGCATTATTGTCATTTGGTCAGACAAAGAAACTGACCACTTGAATTTAAATAACTTGTCCAAAGTCACATACTTAGAATTAGAAAATCCTGCATTCAAGCAAAGTTCTCTCTGATTCCAAGTGTTTTTCCCAGAAGCACTAGGTCATACAGCCAGACAGCATTTAAATCAATGCAAGGACAGTCAACCAAAAGTCAAGGACCATTTACATTTCCTGTGCCTAATCACTGAGTTTTTTTTTTTATGTGTATGATGTTGTAGGTGGAAGTAAAAGTGGACAAGCTGAAAAAATTCCAAAGATAGATAGGTAGGAGCCAGACTGGAATAATAGAATCAAAAATCCTGGAGCACACACTACAATTCTGTATGCATGTATGTACACACAACTGTAACAGGGGTTTGTTAAAAGCCAAATAAAACACATTTTTTGTATTCATATAAATTATATGCCAAAAGCATGAATCCTAATTTTCCATCTTTAATAAAATGGAGATGAAAATGCTTTTTCATACATATCAAGACAAAAGAACAGAACATTTTGAAAGAGAAGGAAAATGTATGTTTTGGGTGGCAAGCCACTGGAAAAGGTGGCCTGGACCTTCCGCCACTCTTCAGAAACATTGGGTGGTAGTTGGGAGCCTAGATCCTGGAGCCAGACTGCATATGTTTGAGTCCTGGCTCTGCCACATTCTGTTTGTAGCAAATTGCTCAACCTCTCAGCAGAACTATGTTCCCATCTGGAAAATGGGGTTGATAATTGTTATGAGGTTTATCTATGTTTGCGTTTGCAAAGTGCTTAAAAGAATACTTGGCACATAGTAAATCACCATAGTAGATAAATGTTTGATAATTACGGTAAATACTTTTTGACACTTTTGAGAATTTACTATAGGCCAGGGTCAAGTCAACTGTCATCTTTGTTAGACTGCTTTCAATGTTTCAATCAACAAATATTTTTTGAATAACTTTCAAGTTTAAAATAGTTTTCTCAGTCTGAGAATAGAGTGGTGAAGAGAACTGATACTAAGCCTGACATAACAGAGATTGCATTGGTCTAATCCTATATGACCCTATCCATTATTTTAGAGCATTATATTAGAGTGCTATTCTAATCTATTAGAACATTCATTATATTTTTATGTAAATTTTATTTACATAATTATTTTCTCACTTCCGTATAAGGTTTTTAAGGGTCCGAAATATGTGTCTTTGTACTTAAGTGCATAGAAAGAATGGATACTCAAGAAGTGCTGATTGAGGAAGGAAGGAAGGAAGGAAGGAAGGAAGGAAGGAAGGAAGGGAAGGAGGGAGGGAGGGAGGGAGGGAGGGAGGGAGGGAGGGAGGGAGGGGTAAGCTGCATAGGTAAGAGCTCTAGCTTGAGCTCAAATCCCAGCTACTACTTAGTAGCTTTGATGTTAGACAGATTACTTAACCTCTCCAACCCCAGTGCCATCAGCTGTTAATGAGGATGGTGCAAATAGTGGCTAGTTGTATGAGGTTTTCTGTGAGACTTAAAGAGCTAATGATTGAAAAGCACATAGAATAATATATGGCACATAATGATCACATTATTTAATATACTACTATTATACACTAATTAACAAAATAAATTTTAGATAAAACATTCCCTAAAGATGATAGTATGATTCAACATGCATAGATGCAGTTAAAATTTCTTGATATGTATGTGAGTATGTAATGGTATTCCTATGATTCGAAATAAGAAGAGCAAATAAGAATGAGACCAAAAGATTCAGTCTCTCTTACTTACTACAAATTATTTTAATGCCATGTGAACAAAACGATTGTAGTTCTGGGTCTCTGCCATATTGTTATATAGACCAATTGCAGCAAAGTCAATGAATCAAATGCAATTTAGTCTGGCTCAACTAGGTCCAGCTGGAGGCTGTTTCTGCACATGAAGCAGAAAAACCATTATAGACTATAACGTCTGCTCAGATCAGTCAGTCTCAGTCATTCTACTTGGCAGGCAATTGGTCTGTCTCGAATGATTCTGTGTGAATGATTCTGTAATGGTGGAGAAAGCACAACCTTTAACCTGTAATAAAATAGACTTTGTACATTCCTCTTAACTCAATACAAGATGATCATCAGGCACGTAAGCTGGAATATCTTCTACATGCCTACCTGAGCCTCAAGGAAAGCTGCATGAATGCTGCTGCATGAAGGCCAAGAGGAGCCTTTTAGTCCTGGAAATTATATTGAGGTTTTATTACAAACACTAGGGAGTATCAGGAGAATCATTATAAATCACATTCTCTCCTCTATCTCATGTACGGTCCCCAAAGATAGATATGTAGCCAGAGTATATGAAATGAAAACTTTTCTTCTCATCTGCAAGCTTCTCAAGTGCAGATGTCATGTTATATTCATGATTGTATCTCTAGTATATACCTGAATGCTTTAGTTTACAGATATATAATGAGCACCAAGCAATTGCCAGCTACTACTATTCAAGGAACTGAGAGTACAGGGATGAATAACATAGAGAATATCCCTGTTCTCTTGGAGTTTGCATGTTAATAGGAAGATCATATATACATATATATATATAAAAAATGTGATGTATATTATGTATAGTATATATAATATATAGTGACCATATATAATATGTAAATAGAGTGTGTGTGTACAAATATACAAACACATAAATGTGTGTTAAAGAAAAAATATTCAATGACACCTATTAAAGCACAGTAAGGAAGACTTTCTTATGGACCATCGAGATAAATTCAGGGACCACTGCAACAGTCTTGCAATGGGGGAGAGAGATTGGGCTCAACTCTCAATATAGCATGAACAAGTGGAAATGTATAGCTAAGCAGCAGGGTGGAGGTCAGTGGATGGAAAATTACTAAAAGAAAACATTAGGAGTAAGAGAAATTCTGGCTAAATCAACCTAAAGGGATTCTTGCTGAAGACAGGCAAGGTGACCAGGCATCACCTGGAGGATGGTGGAGAACCAGAGACTTAATCTGATATTATGTGTGATAAGATACGGAGGGCTGTGAGTTTTTGCTAAACTGACTTAACTTAGCAGGGCTCTTTGCTAAAATTGGATTTTACAAGAAGTGCATAGATGGGCCCAGGAGAAGGTTAAGAAGCTGGACTAAACTTTGGTCAAGCAAAGAATCTTTGTAAGTGTGTAAAAAATATTGTAAAAGGTAGTCTGCAAATTTTTTGTTGAACTAAATATATCAGTGCTTCCTAACCTTTTCCACAAAATTTTCCAAGAAAAAAAAAGCTAATATTTGTACCACACACTGGGGTAAAGGAAAAGAGTGGTCACTTGCACTCACTTATAACTGATGTGATCTCAGAATATCCAACTGTGAATGACTTCCCTGAGAGCTGAGGGGATATGTGGGTTACCCAGGTCAGAAACTAGGGAAAATACCTGAGCTGCTGTTAAGATAGTCTCTAGGCATGCAGTCAGACTGAGTTTAAGTAATCATCCATCTAATAGTACAGCTGGTAGCTGTGTCCGTACTTTGTGAGTTAATAGACTTTCAAACACCACTTCCAAGTCTTTCTCACAAAACTTGATTCTATACCTTTGTTTTGGCCTAGGGTACTGACTTATAATAAAGTCAGATACACTACTTTCTATGAGTTTTATTTCTACTAATAGATAAATATTCCCTATCATTTCCTGTGGCTTTTTTCACCCAACTCAGATCTGTTTTATAGCTAAAAGAGATCCCTCTAGAATAGGGAGATGTGGAAAGTGGACCATGCTCAGTGGTTGCCTGCTTCTCCCTAGCTTATTTTCCTGCCCCTACCAGCCTTTTGCCTAGACCACAGAAAACACTGTGGATGTGGCCATCTAGCATGTGATAAAAGGTAACAAGAGCCAAGAGTTTTGTGCCTACAGGGCAGTTCTACTGTTTGTGTCCTGGATTATAGGGAAACATTTTATTCTCAAAAATGACACAGGCCAAGGAAATGATTGGCTACAGGTTTTGTCAAAACTCACTACAGGAAGCTGAAAGGTTCATCATTGTGACCAATGACAACTAAAGAACTAGAACCAAAGCAAAAGTGCCACCTCTTAGAATGAATTAAGGTGAAAAGGCTACAATAGATTGCAATATGGCCACAAATGCTTCCCATCCCAGGATGCACATTCTTTTGTTTTGTGACTTTGAGTTCCTCTCCACTCATTAAACATGGGATTGGCCATGTGACTTTCTTTGGTTCATGGAGTAATGGCAAATGTGACAGAAGCAGAAATTTGAAAAACTCTTCTAAATTGGGGCTGCCCTCTCATGCTGCCTTTTGGAATCCAGTAGTCACCTTGATTAACTTGCTAAATGATGACAGACAAAAACCTGGCCCTAGCCAACTGCCAGGTAATCCGTTAGGCCATTGAGAATCAGCTGGCCATACCTACATGAGTGAGTCTAGTTGAAAGCAGCAGAATAACCACCCAGCTGAGCCCAGGCCCAGTTGCTAAATCATAGATTTATCTAATAACCTATACTTAGCTAATAAAGTCATTGTTGTTTTAAGTCACTACTTTTTGAGATAATTTATTATCCTGCAATGTATAACTGATACAGAACTTGTTACTTACAAATGAAAGAGAGATCATGTGGAGGAGAATTGAGGTATCCATTTCAATGGTAAGCCAGCCCCCAGTCATGAGAGTCAATTGCCACATATGTGAGTGAGGCCAGCAAATGCCAGCTGAATGCAGATGCATAAATGAGCCCAGAGGAGACCAGCAAATTACCATTCAGTACATCCAAGCCCAGTTGCCAACCTTCAGAGCTGTAAGTTAATAGACAGTTGTTTTAAATCTCTAAGCTCAAGGAAGACATGTTACATGACAGCCATTAACTGATAGAAAAAGAAAGGCGATCTGGGGGCAACATCAGTGACAGGTCTTTTCTTTGGATTCCATGTATTTTTGACAACAAAGAGATTTTGGTGTATGGCAAGTTGACTTAATTCTAAGCCCTGCTCCTTAGCTACAAGACATAAAATGTGGCAGATCTCAGTACTGACTGACACAGGAGCAGGATGAAGGCTACAAGTGAAGCTCCAGATTTGAGGAGCTGGGGAATGCTAAGACAAGGGAATAAAGTCTCTGGATAATGCTGCATAAATTTAAAGCATGCTGTGAGAGGATTTCCTTCTTTTTTCAGCTTAATAATATCCCATCATGTATGTATACCACATTTTCTTTATTCATTTATCTGTTGACAGACACTTAGGTTGTCAATTAGCTTGACTGTAGTAATTATTTAATGGTGTCTACATATACCAAAACATGACATTATATACCCTAAATATATACAATTTAAATTCATCAATCATATCTCAATAATCCTGGGAAAGAAAAGTAGCCTGTTTCATCAAAGCAAATGAGATAATCGGATCAGAAAGGGTTAATTTTTAACTTAAATATTCAGTATGACTAGGAATCCGTGAGTTACAAAATAGCATGTGGCTTGAGCAGTCTTTAAAATCAAGGATGTTGCCAATATTTAAAATGGAGTTTAGACAATATAATACTTCTGTTGAGCTTTCTCTAGAGTAGTGGTAGATAATGACTTTGAACTTTGGGATCCAGATAGAAGATAACAGGGCATGTTCTGGGTTATTTGATGTAATGGCTTGGTGGTCATGCTGCCACCCATCAATGCCCACTTTCTGGCATCTGGTCCAGGGTCTGAGCCTGGCTAAATTGTGGCCCATTCCCTGATAGCAGGTGCTAGACTGGACTCTAACCCCGGAATCTGCAAATGACTCAGCATGGCCTTCTGGCCAATCAACACAGGCATCTTCACATCCATTATATCTATCACAATAATGGAAGAGATTTGTGGGTTTTATAATCCTTGTCTATCATTTTGGAATATTATGTTAGCAGAATCTAGTGGAAAGAGTGTGGACACTAGAGCTTGGGTTCAAATTCTGGGCCCACCACTTAAAACATGACTTGCCTTAAGAAATCACCAAAACATTCTGAGCTTGTTTCTTTTTTTTTTTTTTTTTGATGTTTTTCCCCACTTTATTTTTTCTGATAATGACACTTAGTTAGAATTTTAGCCTTGAAAAATGTCATATAAGCATATAAATATCTAAACATACATCTATGTATTTTCAAATAAATGTATACCAATATCTATACACACATTTAGATAGATACATGTAGACAAATAATATGGGAATATACTTACAGATACATCTGCAAACTTATATGTAAAAAAGTTTTATATCTTTTATATCTGTCAGTCTCCAAATCAATGACAGATTTAATGCAAACGAAGTTTTAAAAACTCAACATAATCTTAGAGAAAACATCAAAATGATTTAAAATCTTATCTGGATGAATAAACAAAGAGAAAGGGATTACTTGTTTTATTTGACATTAAAATGTTACCTAATGAGCAAAATAACCAGCTAACATCATAATGACAGGATCAAATTCACATATAACAATATTAACCTTAAATGTAAATGGGCTAAATGCTCCAATTAAAAGACACAGACTAGCAAATTGGATAAAGAGTCAAGACCCATCAGTGTGCTGTATTCAGGAGACCCATCTCACATGCAGAGACACACATAGGCTCTAAATAAAGGGATGGAGGAAGATCTATCAAGCAAATGGAAAACAAAAAAAGGCAAAGGTTGCAATCCTAGTCTCTGATAAAACAGACTTTAAACCAACAAAGATCAAAAGAGACAAAGAAGGCCATTACATAATGGTAAAGAAGAGCTAACTATCCTAAATATATATGCACCCAATTCAGGAGCACCCAGATTCAAAAAGCAAGTCCTTAGAGATCTACAAAGAGACTTAGACTCCCACACAATAATAATGGGAGACTTTAACACCCCACTGTCAACATTAGACAGATCAATGAGACAGAAAGTTAACAAGGATATCCAGGAACTGAACTCAGCTCTGCACCAAACAGACCTAATAGACATCTACAGAACTCTCCACCCCAAATCAACAGAATATACATTCTTTTCAGCACCACATTGCACTTATTCCAAAACTGACCACATAGCTGGAAGTAAAGCACTCCTCAGCAAATGTAAAAGTACAGAAATTATAACAAATTCTCTCTCAGACCACAGTGCAATCAAACTAGAACTCAGGATTAAGAAACTCACTCAAAACTGCTCAACTACATGGAAACTGAACAACCTGCTCCCGAATGACTACTGGGTACATAACAAAATGAAGGCAGAAATAAAGATGTTCTTTGAAACCAATGAGAACAAAGACACAACATACCAGAATCTCTGGAACACATTCAAAGCAGTGTGGATGTGGAAATTTACAGCACTAAAAGCCCACAAGAGAAAGCAGGAAAGATCTAAAATTGACACCCTAACATCACAATTAAAAGAACTAGAGAAGCAAGAGCAAACACATTCAAAAGCTAGCAGAAGGCAAGAAATAACTAAGATCAGAGCAGAACTGAAGGAAATAGAGACACAAAAAAAACCCTTCAAAAAATCAATGAATCCAGGAGCTGGTTTTTTTGAAAAGATCAACAAAATTGATAGACCACTAGCAAGACTAATAAAGAAGAAAAGAGAGAAGAATCAGACGCAATAAAAAATGATAAAGGGAATATTACCACCGATCCCACAGAAATAGAAACTACCATCCGAGAATACTATAAACACCTCTATGCAAATAAACTAGAAAATCTAGAAGAAATGGATAAATTCCTGGACACATACACTCTCCCAAGACTAAACCAGGAAGAAGTTGAATCTCTGAATAGACCAATAACAGGCTCTGAAATTCAGGCAATAATTAATAGCTTGTTTCTTCTATAAGTGGGGAAAATAACATCTGTTTTATCAGCCTAGCAGTATTGTTGTTAGGATTAAAATATTATAAGCACATATATATGTATATCTGTATGTGTCTATGCATGCATATGTATAAAGTTATTGCAGGATTTTAATAAATATTAACCATGATTATTGCTGTTATTTGATAGCCCTATGACTCTGGCATATAATCAGGGCTAAAATGTTAGAATATATTCAATCCTCTATGTCTTTGGCTTTGTATTCTAGTCCTCATATTTAGGGTAAAAATAGATCTGTGTGGGGTAAAGTGAAGAGAGAATGAATGAGCATTAACCTTGTTAATGGCTGATACAAAGAGATTTCAGATATAAACAGAAAGTCAGTGAGGGCAGTAGTGGTAATTATACTCTGAAATGGAGAACAGATTTTCATTTATCTCTAAATTTCTGTCATTTTCATTTGGGAGATTCATTGTATAAACAACCCAAAGCCCCTAACTATCTTACAAAAGAAAGACTGTAGATGTTTCAATGCAGTAACCTTGCCTAGCTGCTGTAGCAACTATCCACAAGGCAGCAGGATTGCATTCTGTAGCCGCCAGTTGATGCCAATGAATAAAACATCTCTGAAAGGAAGAAATAAATCATTTCTACTTGTAAGAATAAGTAAAAACAGAGATAATTACTCTTTTGCCAGAAAATCAATATTTTGTTCAAGGATCCCTGCCTTCTCTACTTAAATGTGTTTTGGTGAGTACTTTTAATTTTGAAAATATTTTGAAATGTATTTCATCCTTTTATCCTTCTGATATGATTCTTTTTGCAATGTCTAGAATGTGCATCTTTTGTATTCATTCATTTAACACTTTATTTGTTGGCTGGGTGATGTGTATCAGATATGGGGCTATGAAACAGAGATGCCAAATTAAGTGACCTGTGCATTCCCTAACCTCATGAGCCTGCACTTCTGCTGTCATTCAAGGTTTTCCTGCTCCACTCCCACCTGCCTTGGCATCCACAGTCCATTCCTAGGGACTGCCCTGTTCCCTGATCCCCTATAAAATTCATTTCCATACAGCATTATGAAATACTTTATATAAATTATTTCATTGAACTTTCTTAGTAATTTTATCAGATTTATTTTATAGAGATTCTCATTTACAGATGAAAATACTGAACTGTAAGTGGTAGAGCCAGTGTTTAAATCTAGATTAATGTCAAGTAACATACATTACTTGGCATTATCATCAGTGTTTACCATAAAAAAATCCAGTTTCTAAAAATGAATTTTAAGGCCCCTAAAAGGCAAAAATTATAATTTTCATTTATATGAATTGATTCATTTTACATACATTATCTCAGTCAATTAAGCAGACATTTTAAGTCCACTACAGAGATGAGGAAACTGAAGACCAAGCCATTTGAGAAACATGTCCAAGATCACTTAGCTAATGAATGGTACAACTAGCATTCAAATGATATCTTAGGTCTAAAATCTTCTTTATAGGCTATGAGGAACTTGTTACAAATCCAAAAATGGATTGTCCCTCGAGATAAACAAGGGATTTCCTCAACAGCAAGAACTTCATGACAAGAATGACTTTAAGGGTGTATGAGTAGATGGGGAAGAAATACAAGGAACCCCAATCTCTATCATTACAGAAACATTTATTAGTGAATTGCAGAATTAATTTTCTTTTCCATCTTCTTTAAAATGAGGTTAGAAATCTAAAAAGACAAAAACATGAAGCATATTTTATAAAAACATGATTGAGACAACTGGATTACAGTACAGAGAATATGAACTTAGATTTATCCCACAAAGTAAGCATGATAACTAATTCCAGATAAATCAAAGAGCAAAATTCAACATTTAAAAAATAGACAAACTTTTTAAGTCAGGAAACAACAGATGCTGGAAAGGATGTGGAGAAACAGGAACGCTTTTACACTGTTGGTGGGAGTGTAAATTAGTTCAACCATTGTGGAAGACAGTGTGGTGATTCCTCAAGGATCTAGAACTAGAAATATCATTTGACCCAGTGATCCCATTACTGGGTATATACCCAAAGGATTATAAATCATGTTACTATAAAGACACAAGCATACATATGTTTATTGTGGCACTGTTCACAATAGCAAAGACTTGGAACCAACCCAAATGCCCATCAACGATAGACTGGATTAAGAAAATGTGGCACATATACACTATGGAATACTATGCAGCCAAAAAAAGGATGAGTTTATGTCCTTTGCAGGGACATGGATGAGGCTGGAAAGCATCATTCTCAGCAAACTATCACAAGGACAGAAAACCAAACACTGCATGTTCTCAACATAGGTGGGAGTTGAAGAATGAGAACACATGGACACAGGGCGGGGAACATCACACACCAGGGCCTGTCGGCGGGTGGGGGCTGGGGGAGGGATAGTATTAAGAGAAATACCTAATGTAAATGATGAGTTGATGGGTGCAGCAAACCAACATGGCACATGTATACCTACATAACGAACCCAGACATTGTTCACATGTACCCTAGAACTTAAAGTATAATAAAAATAAATAAATAAATAAATAAATAAAAATAGAGAGCACTCTACTACTGAACAATGAAGAGTAAAATTCACCCCATAACCTTCTAATTTTTTTATCATATAACTTTATGATTTGATTTATCAGTTAAACGTCATGTAAATTGAGTGGTGCTCATTTACATTTTAACAATTTTTGATTAAAGGAACAGTTACCTTGGAGTTCATTTGAATAGTGAGTATCTCTGTACTATTAAAGTATGGTTCTGTTAAATGAAATTTAAATCTACCTTCAGATTTTGCATGAGTCTTAACTGTTTTAGTTAGGGTAAGTGAATACCAGCTGCAGCAAAAGCGTTTAAACAGCAAAAGCTTATTTCTCATGCATACAAAGTCTTGCACCAGTCAAATATCTTTCCAGAGCTGCTTTTCTCTAGGTGGTGACTCAAGCTGCCTACTTTTCAAGTAGCACCATTTCAATAAATGGCCTCCACAGTCACTGCCAAAGAGGAAGAGAGATTAAGGAGGTGGCATGCTTGCTCTTAAAAGCTTCAGCCAGAAATGAGATGCATCAATTTCACTTACATTTCACTGGCTAGAACTAGTCATATGGCCCTGAAGGATTCTGGGAAGTAGATTCTTCCTGTGTTCTCAGGAAAGCGAGAATACCCACATATAAGAAGCATCTATAGACTTTACCGCGGTTCCCTTGCAACTATCGAAATAACATTTCTTTTACTAAATATCAATTTTTCCACTGATTTTTCTATCTTATAATAATTCAACATTAAAGCATTTGCTTTCACTTTTCAATATGAAATAAAAGGATATTTGACAAGCTTCAGACTTTTACTTTTATCTACAAATTATATGTTTTAAACATAATGGCAATGCTTCAACACAGTTTGATACATGTCAGTAATAGCTCTTAATGACTCAGAAAGAATATAATCATCTACAATGATCAAAACTAATTTGCCATAAAGAGTACAGAAATATCAAACAGCGTATTCTGTGGAAACAACTCCAAATAAATTACCTTATTTGTTATATCATGTATAATATACACTTTAACACTTCCATGGCTTTGTATGGACACTTAGCTTCTCAGAGAAATTTTAGAAGATATCAATAAGGTTTCCCCTCACTGTGAAAAGAAGTAACGTGTCTAATAATGCAACTCCCAAATCTTTGTGGATTTTATTTTATTTTGCACCAATTATTTATTGAGTTATGATATCCTGGATGTAACAAAAATACAATAAAGATTTCCACTACATTCTACTTTGGATAAACAACAAACACACACGCATACGCACACCCTTTTCACAATTTTAAAATTTTAAAATTTTAAAATTTCCACATAATCTAATTATTCCACATAAAACTATGAGTTTTATGGATTTGGACACATAGCAGACCTCACTGACTATAGCTTTAGACACTCAGCTCCTGTCTAAAGACAGCATAAACTATCTATCTTTCCAGAATTTGCAAAAGTCTCTCATTCACCTTGTCTGATTCTTTCTTTCTTTCCTTCTCTTTCTTTCCTTCTTTCTGTCTCTCTTTGTCTCTCTCTTACTCTCTTTCTTTCTTTTTCTTTCTCTTTCTGTCTTTTTCTTTTTCTGTCTTTCTCTTTCTTTTTCTGTCTTTTTCTTTCTTTTTTCTGTCTTTTGTCTTTCTCTTTCTTTTTCTGTCTTTCTTTTTCTTTCTTTCTTTTCTTACTATTATTATTTGTGTTTATGAGTTTACTGTGCTTGTATCCTTTGCTGTTGTTTTAGTGAAGTTTCAAAGGGTAGTAGAGAGAAGTGCAAAATAACTTTTTAAAAGTCTAATTTGTGGCCAGACGCGGTGGCTCACACCTGTAATCCCAGCACTTTGGGAGGCCAAGGCGGGCAGACCATGAGGTCAGGGGTTCAAGACCAGCCTGGCCAACATAGTGAAACCCTGTCTCTACTAAAACTATAAAAACTAGCCTGTCATGGTGGCATGTGCCTGTAGTCCCAGCTACCCGAGAGGCTGAGGAAGGAGAACGCGGGAGGCAGAGGTTGCAGTGAGCCAAGATTGCGCCACTGCACTCCAGCTTGGGGAACAGAGAGAGACTTCGTCAAAAAAAAAAAAAAAAAAAAAAGAAAAAAAAAAAAGTCTAATTTCTTCAGCAGGAAATCTTCTTTCACAAATTCTTCATTCTTTATTTTTTTGGTAATATAAAAACAAAAAAACTCTACCACCCAGCATGGCCAGAGCATTGAATTCTGAATGTCTGAGTATGTGCAGTACTACATATACTATAATATTCTATAACTTTTGCTTAAATTGCATTTAGAATAAACATCACATGTAGTCCATTGAAGTTGTGATTTAGAATTTCCATCACAATTTTATGGAACCTTATGGTTCTCACTGAGTAATATTAGTTATTCTAATAACAATATGTGGACTTATTCCTAAGAAAATATATTTTAATTGTACACAGTCACAGTTTAATTCTATGATGGACAGCTTCTTTAACTACAGGATTTTTTCCCAAATATTTTAAGGAAATTTGTTTCTGCAAACATATATGCCTCATCATCCTTTTATTTCCAAAAATTGTTTTAGGCAAAAATATAGAAGTAAAGGTAGCTACAGTCAGTGAGGTCTGCTATGTGTCCAAATCCATTTAGATGTTTTATCTTATTAGATTCTGACATGACTTACCAAAGAAGCATTTTAGAGATAAAGAAACAGAAGTCTGAAGGAGATTTAGACACTTCCTAAACCAGCTTATAGTACATGTGTTATTTCACCATTACTTTTGTTCTATTTTTGTGGCAATAGGCCATGCAGTAGAATAAAAAAAGCTAACCATTATTAAAGTGGTGAAATGATAGACACCAAAGGGCACAGTTTTCTAGATTCCTTGCTGTAATATTTTCTTGTTTTCTTCATCGAAAACAAACTTAAAAAGGAATTTTAGGATGTGTTTCTTTCTTAGTCCTAATACCTAGCTTGGCGTATAATCTAAGGTTAGATGATACATTCTTATTCCCTAACTAGGTGCATTGGTTAAGAGCCACAAATAAAATAGCAAATACCAAATAATTTCAAACTGTAACTGCTAATATTCACTGTTATTATTTATTTTTATCTATAGCCTATAAATCATATGGTGATAAATTATTTCCCAACTATGAAAGCCAAAGGGTAGATTAGCACCAATCTGAGATTTGCTGGAGACTTGAAGAGATTCGGTTTACATTTGCAATCCATTGAGTTGCCTATTACAAATAATAACAATTAAACACAAGCAGACAAAAGCACTGAAAAACCAAAACCAGTTCCTTAAATATAGGAAATGTGGATGAAGTCAGAGATAGACGTGAAGGCTAGAAGAAATAACAATAATAAAACAATAATAAATAGCAAATAATAAAAGTATGTAACAAATAATAAAAATTGGCAAGAGATGATTATTATCATAAACAAAAAAAAATTTTATACCCATGTAGAACTGGCTACATAAATCAGCATCTAAAAGTTTGAAAGTTTTAATCTGGGTGCTTTCTGATATATTCCTTTGATTGCTTGTTTTTTCTCCATTAATGAATAAGTAGGAATTTGGGTAAAGTCATGTGACCAATGTTTGATTAAAACTGCAGCTATATTTCAGCACTAATAGCTGTGGAGTAGCTTAAAAAATAATAAAATCTGTTTTCACTCAAGTGGTCCTTTTTATTTTCCAATTTGTTTACACAGTAGGACTCTAAGATTAAAAAAGATTGATGCCTTAAGATACAACCTTTTACTTTAGCAATTTTCTGCCAGGTTAATCTCATCAAAATCCCAGAGATTTTTTTTTTTCCCCATCACTAGCTCTCTGAAGCTCAGACTCAGACAGAACAGAAGAGACTAAATCTATTCCCTTGGCCTTTACGCTTGGGCAGAGAAATGTGGATTATTCTTTTCTAGAGTAGTTATTTATTTATTTATTCATTTATCTATTTTTTAAGACAACCGAAACCCTGTAAGTTATCTCTTCAAAAACGCAGAGTAAAATAACCAACAGGCAGTGATGTTTTCAGTTGTTGCTTCAGTCATGGTAAATAACAGACAGACCAAAATCTCAGTGGCTTGCAAATACAAGCATGCATTGCCCACTCATGGATCTACAGGTTTACAGTGGGTAGGCTAAGGGGCCAGCTGGTTTTGGCTGGCTTTGATTCTAGACTGGTAGGTTAGGTCTTCTCATAGCAGAGTACAGGAACACAAGCACTCAGGTGGACATTTGCAGTGGATCTTCAAGTCTCTTCCCAAATGACAAACTACCACCTCTGCCCACATGCCATTGGTCAAAGCTCCCAAATTAATAGGGTAGAGAAGTATACTCTGCCCATAGGAAAGCTATAGCTAGGGCAGGAGGTAAGTAAGAATTGTAAACAAATAATATCATCTTGAACAAGTAATAATATGTTACATTTATCCTTTTTCTTTATGCCTGTAGAATTAACTGACAGATCAGGTCTCACAAGACTAATTGTTCACAAGAACGAGCTAGATAGCTTTTAAAATATAAAATTGGCCACAGTATTCTGGATACCTGTGGAATTAAAATTTGAGGTGTAGAAACTGAATATTTTTTTAGAATGTTCCCATATGATTTTAACATGGGGTTATAATCTTCTGGTCTATATCATAAATTTCAACACATGCTATTTCACCACATTACCAGAAAATATTTTTAAAAATATTCTTCCTACTTGTTTTAGATGTCAGCTTATTGAGATTTTTCTTTATTCACATATATGCAGCCAAGAAAAAAAATCTGAACTAAATCTCTGAAAACCTCCCTATAGACCATAAAAAATTACAAAGACAAAGCCATATTAGTAAATAATAGGTGGAAAATGCTGGAGGTTTGGGGGGTGGAATGTTTGAGGAGAATGTATTAAAGCTATTTCCTCACCTTTCATAATAGAAAGCTAATTTCTCACCTTTCAGGCCTTTGAAGTAGAACACCTTCAAAATTCTGAGTGCTTCTACAAACAAGTCAAAATTAAAAGTCAAATGAAAAGGACAACAATTGAGAATGACAGAACTTTCCAAGGAAATACTGGAAGCTAAAAGATCATCTAGATAATTTCTAAAAATTTTTTTTTATACTTTAAGTTCTGGGATACATGTGCAGAACTTGCAGGTTTGCTACATAGGTATACATGTGCCATGGTGGTTTGCTTCTCCCATCAACCTGTCATCTACATTAGGTATTTCTCCTAATGTTATCCCTCCCCTAGCACCCCCACCCCCTGACAGGCCACAGTGTGTGATGTTCCTCTCTCTGTGTCCATGTGTTCTCGTTGTTCACCTCCCACTTATGAATGAGAACATGTGTTGTCTGGTTTTCTGTTCCTGTCTTAGTTTGCTGAGAATGATGGTTTCCAGTTTCATCCATGTCCCTACAAAGTACATGAACCCATCCTTTTTTAATGGCTGCATAGAATTCCATAGTGTATATGCATCACATTTTCTTTATCCAGTCTATCATTGATGGGCATTTGGATTGGTTCCAAGTCTTTGCTCTTGTGAATAGTGCCGCAATAAATATACGTGTGCATGTGCCTTTACAGCAGCATGATTTATAATCCTTTGGGTATATACCCAGTAATGGAATTGCTGGGTCAAATGGTATTTCTGGTTCTAGATCCTTGATGAATTGCCACACTGTCTCCCACATTTGTTGAACTAATTTACACTCCCACCAACAGTGTAAAAGCGTTCCTATTTCTCCACATCCTCTCCAGCATCTGTTGTTTCCTGACTTTTTAATGATTGCCATTCTAACTGGTGTGAGATGATATCTCATTGTGGTTTTGATTTGCATTTCTCTAATGGCAAGTGATGATGAGCTTTTTTTCATATGTTTGTTGTCTGCATAAATGTCTTCTTTTGAGAAGTGTCTGTTCATATCCTTCACCCACATTTTGATGGGGTTGTCTCAGCCCAAAATCTCCTTAAGTGATAAGCAACTTCAGCAAAGTCTCAGGATACAAAATCAACGTACAAAAATCATAAGCATTCCTACACACCAATAACAGACAAACTGAGAGCCAAATCATGAGTGAAATCCCATCCACAATTGCTACAAGGAGAATTAAATACCTAGAAATAAAACTTACAAGGGATGTGAAGGACCTATTTAAGGAGAACTATAAACCACTGCTCAAGGAAATGAGAGAGGACACAAATGGAAAAATACTCCATGTTCATGGATAGGAAAAATCAATATAGTGAAAATGGCCATACAGCCCAAAGTAATTTATAGATTTAATGCTATCCCCATCAATCTACCACTGACTTTCTTCACAGAATTAGAAAAAACTACTTTAAATTCCATACGGAAGCAAAAAAGAGCCTGCATAGCCAAGACAATCCTAAGCAAAAGGAACAAAGCTGGAGGCATCATGCTACCTGACTTTAAACTATACTACAAGGCTACAATAACCAAAAAAGCATGGTACTGGTACCAAAACAGATATATAAACCAATGGAACAGAACAGAGGCCTCAGAAATAACACCACACATCTACAACCATCTGATCTTTGACAAACCTGACAAAAACAAGCAATGGGGAAAGGATTCCCTATTTAATATATGGTGTTGGGAAAACTGGCTAGCCATATGCAGAAAAACTGAAATTAGACCCCTTCCTTATGCCTTGTACAAAAATTAACTAGAGATGGATTAAAGACTTAAATGTGAGACCTAAAACCATAAAAATCCTGGAGGAAAACCTAGACAATACCATTCAGGACATAGGCATGGGCAAAGACTTCATGTCCAAAACACCAAAAGCAATTGCAACAAAAGCCAAAATTGACAAATGGGATCTAATTAAACTAAAGAGCTTCTGCACAGCAAAAGAAACTATCATCAGAGTGAATAGGCAACCTACAGAATGGGAGAAAATTTTTGCAATCTATCCATCTGACAAAGGGTTAATATCCGTAATATACAGGGAACTTAAACAAACTTACAAGATAATTTCTAAAATTTAAAAATGACAATAATTAAAGCAAACATTTATTATTTATAAATGTGGGATTAAATATCAGAAGGAATAGTTAATTATTTGAAAATGAATCTTGTAGAGAAACAGTATTCAAGGGTGAAGAGGAGAGGGAAAATGGAGTGCCGCTTAGAGTTACATGCCTTGTCATAGTTTATTCCATTATTAGACATTATTTTGCTGGAACATAATTTAAACAATACAAATAGAGTATTTAAATAAATTTAATTCAATTACCCTTTAAAATATGCACCTGAACCAATGGGTATTTTGCTCAGTAATATTGACACCATTATGATAAATGAAGTATCATAAGATACATACAGATTAATACTTAATTTTTTCATAATTTGGGCCTGATTATGTACCCAAGATGTCCTGTTTGGCTACTAAAATGACCTTATCTCATCTCTTCCCCTCTCTCTCTCTCTCTCTCTCCCAACCCCCTTACATTTTAATCATAATGGAAAAAATGTTTTGTTCATTTCATATCATTCAGAAATAAGTGAGCAAGTGGGCATTGTAGAAAATATCTAAGAAGTGTTACGCTAGTTGTTATACCCCAATTATTATTTCACCTGTATTGGGTTTGCTAACCTGCTTTAAGGAATTTTACTAAAATCTAATTTAACATGCATCTGTTTAATGGTCTTCATGCTTTACAAAGCAATGACTAATCCCGTTTGTTTCTGTGATAGCGGCCACAATTTAATTATTCAGGCAGGATAAGGTTTTAAAGGACTCAACAGTTGCTGAGTTTTGCTTGAAAGTGCTATTCCTTTAAAGGTTTTAGGAAAATTGTCCCTTAAAAAGACAAAAATGACTACAAAACATCTAACCAATAGTTACTAACTTTAAATTGGTTTTAACTCTAATGGCCCTGCAGTCTAAAATGGAAGGATCACCAAACATGGAGTCAGTTGACCCAACACTGCCCCTAAAAACTGTGCAAATTTAGTGAAGAACTTAAACTCTAAATGCCTTAATTTTCTCTTGTAGGTAATAATTATTAAACCATTTCTTCAATAAATATTTATTTAGCACTTACTGTTTTTAGGCACTTCGTAAGCATGGAAGAACTCATATTGAAGACGACAGGAATGGCCAGTGCTGCAAAGATAAAAATAATATTAACCAAGAGTATTGCTGTAGGAATAAAAAATAAGATTGTGAAAGAAAACATTTTAAAAATCATAATAAATTGTAGAAAACTAGAGTTTTATTACTCTTGCTTAGATGACAAATGAAAATGTTTAAAATGTCAAAAGGCAAATAAGAATTTACTCAATAATATAAATAGATGCTCTCAAACTGATCTTTGCCATCAGCATTTAAACATATACAAGACTCTCTCATCCATAGGGCCCAAATCTTCCTTCAGCCACAGCTCTATCTCTACCTTCTTTTCAGAACAAACTTCTTAAAAGTTGTTTATTCTCACTATGTACATTTTCTCACCTTCTACTTTGTCAACTTTTCTAATATGGCTTTCATCTTCATTATGCCACCAACTTTACCCTAAGGTTATGAGTGATCTCCCTATCAGTGAATCCAATAGATATTTTCAATTCTTTTTATATTCTCAGTAGCAATAACCAGTGAAGACACTTTCCTTGAAGTATTGTCTTCATATAATCCTGTCACATAGCACTCTTCTAAACTCCCTCTTTTCACCTGGCAGCTTCAAATCTTTTCTGCTGACTCCTCATTCATTACTCAAACACTAAATTTAGTAGATTGAGTCTCAGGCCTGAACATTGTTATCTTTTAACTCTATGTTTTCCCTGGATAACCTAATTCAGTCCCTCCAGTATACAAAGGTAACTCACAACACTATGTCTCTAGTCCAAAACTGTCATCTGGGTTCCACGCCTGTATCTCCAACCACCTACCTGGCAAATTTTCTCAAATATCTTAAAAGTACTTCAAACTATTAAGACACTATAAACTCAACCCTCTTCCTGAAACCATGTCCTCTTCCAGTGTTCCTATTGCTATGAAGGATATTACTAGATGGCAACAGTGCAAGATGGAGAGCTAAGAACCATCCTGATCACCTTTTCCTAATTATCTCTTGTCGATGTTCTTTTCTAAATACCTCTAGAAATCATTAATTTCCCTTTATGCCTACTTCCACTGCCTTATTCAAGCTACTGTCATCTCTTGCTTGGAGTATAATAACCCCCTAAACTGGTCTACATACACCTGATCTTGCCCGTCAATGATTCACTGTCATCCTGCAACCAGAATGGCTTTTGAATACTTTAAATTTTTGCACTGGTCTAAGGATAAAATCCAAAGACCTCAACCTGCCTATAAGGACGTGGCCCTATCCATTCTTTCAGCCTCATCTTGAGATACTCTTCCCTTTGCTGAATATTCTCTGGATACTTTGGTTTATTTTTGCTAACTGAAGTACTCATACACCCTCTTTCCATAGGACCTTTGCACATCCTATCCTATGTAGGGAATGTTCTTTCTTTCTCTCCTCACTGAATTTATCAACCTAAATTGATATTATAAGTTTTAGATACAGCTAAAGAGAGAATTAACAAATTCAGTCTACATTTTTACAGAGTTTAAAAGGTTGAGAATATGATGAATTCTCCTCTACTTTTGGTGTTAGCTCTTTGAAACCAGAAACATTCCCTTCATCTACACAGCAAATATTTATTGAACATTTATTTTTTGCTCATTTATCTGAAAATAAATTTTTCTAAACAGCTTCTCATCTCTGTATGTATTAACAAAAGCTGAAATCTGGAGGCATAATTTTCATTTAGTAACCTCATTAAGATACAAGTGTGTGAAAATTTTATTATTATTCTATTACATCAAGTTTACCTTACAATCTTAAGTTATATATTTTCTTATTGTATTGAGAGATCTTTTAATTTGCTTTTTCAATTTTTTATATTTAAGAAAAGATTTGATTACACAAATTAACTAAATTTCCCCAATATTTTACTTTATAACATTATCCCAAAACTAGACTATATTCCTCTACCAAAATATAATTTTTATAAGAGCAGATAGATTTTGTCTGTTTTGTTCAAGTACCTACACAAGTGCTTGATTCATAGTAAGCTCAATAAATATTTTTTGAAAAAATTAAGTAATTGTAAAAATACATTTTGGTTTCAGAATATAGCAGGAATTGAAGTCACTGATACTTTTATTACAAACCTCATTACATTAGTGTGAATGCTACAAAAAATTATTACATTTCTTTTTCCGAAAAATTTAATCCACATGTCAACAAGGATTATTTGGGGAAAAGAAACTGTCTCAAGCTGACTTTTATAGAAAGATTTATTTATTCTAAGCACCACAAATATACATAGACTCCAAAGACTACACAACAAACCCCCATGAGACAAGTTTTTTTTTTTAATTTGTTAACTTTTATTTGCATGGAAGTGAAATTGAACATGTTTGTATATTCATTTGTTAGTCTGTGTCTTTTATTTATTTATTTATTTATTTTTTATTATTATACTTTAAGTTTTAGGGTACATGTACACAATGTGCAGGTTACATATGTATACATGTGCCATGCTGGTGTGCTGCACCCACTAACTCATCATCTAGCATTAGGTATATCTCCCAATGCTATCCCTCCGCCCCCTCCCCAACCCCACAACAGTCCCCAGAGTGTGATGTTCCCCTTCCTGTGTCCATGTGTTCTCATTGTTCAATTCCCACCTATGAGTGAGAATATGTGGTGTTTGGTTTTTGGTTCTTGCGATAGTTTACTGAGAATGATGATTTCCAATTTCATCCATGTCCCTACAAAGGACATGAACTCATCATTTTTTATGGCTGCATAGTATTCCATGGTGTATATGTGCCACATTTTCTTAATCCAGTCTATCATTGTTGGACATTTGGGTTGGTTCCAAGTCTTTGCTATTGTGAATAGTGCCGCAATAAACATATGTATGCATGTGTCTTTATAGCAGCATGATTTATAGTCCTTTGGGTATATACCCAGTAATGGGATGGCTGGATCAAATGGTATTTCTAGTTCTAGATCCCTGAGGAATCGCCACACTGACTTCCACAATGGTTGAACTAGTTTACAGTCCCACCAACAGTGTAAAAGTGTTCCTATTTCTCCACATCCTCTCTAGCACCTGTTGTTTCCTGACTTTTTAAGATTGCCATTCTAACTGGTGTGAGATGATATCTCATTGTGGTTTTGATTTGCATTTCTCTGATGGCCAGTGATGGTGAGCATTTTTTCATGTGTTTTTTGGCTGCATAAATGTCTTCTTTTGAGAAGTGTCTGTTCGTGTCCTTCGCCCACTTTTTGATGGGGTTGTTTTTTTCTTGTAAATTTGTTTGAGTTCATTGTAGATTCTGGATATTAGCCCTTTGTCAGATGACTAGGTTGTTAAAATTTTCTCCCATTTTGTGGGTTGCCTGTTCACTCTGATGGTAGTTTCTTTTGCTGTGCAGAAGCTCTTTAGTTTAATTAGATCCCATTTGTCAATTTTGGCTTTTGTTGCCATTGCTTTTGGTGTTTTAGACATGAAGTCCTTGCCCATGCCTATGTCCTGAATGGTAATGCCTAGGTTTTCTTCTAGGGTTTTTATGGTTTTAGGTCTAACGTTTAAGTCTTTAATCCATCTTGAATTGATTTTTGTATAAGGTGTAAGGAAGGGATCTAGTTT
Source organism: Homo sapiens (assembly GCF_000001405.40). Lineage (NCBI taxonomy): Eukaryota > Metazoa > Chordata > Mammalia > Primates > Hominidae > Homo > Homo sapiens. The sequence goes on from NC_000008.11 coordinate 79,273,651, forward strand.
CAGCTTTCTACATATGGCTAGCCAGTTTTCCCAGCACCATTTATTAAATAGGGAATCCTTTCCCCATTGCTTGTTTTTCTCAGGTTTGACACAAGTTTACCTATGTAACAAACCTGCACTTGTACCCTTGAACTTAAAAGTTTAAAAAAGTAATAAAAGCAGAACTTTTTAAAAATAACAATGTTCAAACACAAACACCTTGTTGGCCAGGAACAAAAGAGAAACAAATTAAAAGTGGAGCAGTAAAGGACACACAGATGCTATAAGTCAACTTTTATGTCTCTTGTCTCACTGCATTCCATCATCCTTGGCTTCCTAGATGTCACGGTAGGTGGTCCTCACAATTCATGAGATTACATTCAAGGCTCCAGCCAGGCTAAAACTGGAAGAGCATAATAAAAATACCAGAAATCTTGTCGGGAGGCTTACTGTCCAAGCTGGAGTAGATGTCCATCCTTAAACAGCTGTGGCCAGAGAGACCAGGAGCATGAAACTTCATCATCATTAGAGTTTATGAATGTGTGGTCAGATGTCTTAGTCACAAAGATCTACTAGGAAAAGTTAAGGTGTATAGGTAGAAACATGTGAAAGTAAAAGATCTTCTAGTAGTCAGATCAGAAATTTTCTAATAAAAAATAGAAAAACTGACCAATGAAATTACTACTAATTCAGTCTCCAGTTGGGACCTATCTCCCTAGGTAGTCTTGGAGCACATACTTCTCATATAAGGCAGATGATTCAGCCATTGGTTGAGGGCATTTTATAGTATTAATATTAGTCATTGTTATTCTACAATAACAGCTCTCTGTGTCTGTTCATCTGCCTGTGTGTTTGTGTGTATATGTACATGTACATATATGATTATGTAATACACACATACTCATTCAACACGTTCAGAATGGCAAATAAATTCACAATTACATAGATCCATAACACTATAGAAATAACTCTAAAACAAGGAGATCTTCAAATATATATCTTTAAACACAAAATAATTAAATTTTATTTGAATTTAATGAAGAAACAGAAAAAATTATCAGTCCTATCTGATAAATATTTTATTATAAAATATTTATTTTATTTTATTTATTTTTATATTATTTTTTATCGTACTATTTTTTATTTTATATTTATTTTATTTAATTTTATATACAAAATAAATATTTTATTACAAAACATCTATGATTCTACAATATCCCTCTAAGTTTCAGGGGAAAAATTTATTTGAATTTTTTTTAAAGAACCAACTCAATTTCATTGATATTTTGTATGGATTTTTGCATTCCAATTTTTACTATGTTTTTCTCTAATTTTAGTTATTTCTTTTTTCTTTCAGTTTTGGGGTTGGTTTGTTCTTTTTTTTTATTTTCTAGTTCCCTTAGGTGCAAAGTCAGATTGTTAATTTGAGCTCTAACTTCTTAATGAAGGGATTTAAGGCTACAAACTCTCCTGTTAACACTGCTTTTGTTTCTGCCTTAAAGTTTACCCAGGAGTTATTCAGGAGAAAATTCTTTAATTTCCATGTATTTGTGTAGTTTTGATAGATATTCTTGATATTCATTTCTCTTTTTATTGCACTGTGGTTCAAGAGTGTGCTTGATATGATTTCATTTTTTTAATTTATTGAGATTTGCTTTATGACTGAACATGTGGTTGATCTTAGAATATGTTCCACGTGCTGATGAGAAGAATGTGTATTATGTGGTAGTTGGGTGAAGTGTTCTGTAGATGTCTATTAGGTCCAATTGGTCAAGTGTTGAGTTTAAGTCCAAGGTTTCCTCATTAGTTTCCTGCCTCAATGATCTGTCTAATGCCATCAATGGGGTGTTGGGGTCTCCCATTGTTATCGTGTAGTTGTCTAAGTCTTTCTGTAGGCCAAGAAGAAACTTGTTTTATAAATCTGGGTGCTCCAATATTTGGATGCATATATATATTTAGAATAGTTAAGGCTTCATGTTGTATTGTATCTTTGTCACTATGTAATGCTCTTTATTGTCCTTACTTTTTATTAAAAATTCTATTTTTAAAGTCTGTTTTATCTGCTATAAAGATAGTGACTCCTGCTCTTTTTTATTTTCCACATGGTAATCTTTCTGCATCATTTTACTTTGAGCCTCTGGGTGACATTACATGTGTCTCTTGAAGCCAGCAGATGGTTGAGTCTTTTCTTTTTATCTAGCTAGCCACTCTGTGACCTTTAATTGGGGCATTTAGCCCATTTACATTCAAGATTAATATTGATATGTATGATTCTGATGCTGTCATTGTGTTGCTACCTGGTTGTTATGTAGACTTGATTGCATAATTGCTTTATAGTACCTGTGGACTATGTGCTTAAGGGTGCTTATGTGGTAGCAGGTGTCATTCTTTCAATTCCATGTTTAGAACCCCCACAAAGACCTCCGATAAGTCTAGTCTACTTGAAACATATTCCCTCAGCATTTGCTTGTCTGAAAAGGATTTTATTTCTCCTTTATTTATGAAGGTTAGTTTGGTGGGATATGAAATTGCTGCTTGGAATTTTTTTTCTTAAAGGATGCCCAAAATAGGCTCTCAACCTATTCTGGCTTATAAAGTTTCTGCTGAGAGTTCTGCTGCAAGCCTGATGAGGTTCCCTCTATACGTGACTTGGCACTTCTTTCTACCTGCCTTTAAATTTTTTTCTTTTGCGTGTACTGGTAAATCTAACGACTATGATTTGGGGATGATCATCTTGCATAGTATCCAGCTGGAGTTCTCTGTATTTCTTGGATTTTCATGTCAACCTCTTTAGGAAGATTAGAAAAATTTTCACTGACTGTATCCTCAAATATGTTTTCCAGGTTGTTTATTCTCTCTCATTCTCTCTCAAGAATGCCAGTGAGTTATAGATTTGGTCTCTTTACATAATCTCGTATTTCCCAGAGATTGTTTATTTTTCTTGAAAGATCCTCAGAGAATACTAGGAAAACTCTATGCACACAAATTAGGAAACTTAGAGGAAATGGATATATTCCTGGAAAAACACAATCTCCAAGATCAAATCAGGAAGGGATTGAAACCCTGAATAGACCAATACCAAGCTCTGAAATTGAATTAGCAATTTAAAAAACTTACCAACCAAAAAAGCCCTGGACTGAATGGATTCACAGATGAATTCTACCAGATATAAAAAGAAGAACTGCTACCAATCCTACTGAAATTACTCCAAAAAATCAAAAGGAGGGATTTCTCCCTAACTCATTCTATGAAGCCACCATTAGCCTAATACCAAAATCTGACAAAGACATGATGAAGAAAGAAAACTTCAGGCCAATATCCCTGATAAACTTAGCTGTAAAAATCCTCAACAAAATACTAGCAAACTGAATCTAGCAGCATATCAAAAAGTTAATTAACCATGACCAAGTAGATTTTATTCCTAGGATACCAGGTTGGTTCAACATATGCAAATCAATAAATGTAATTCACTACATAAACAGAATTAAAAGCAAAAATTATATAATTATCTCAATAGATATGGATAACCCTTTTGATAAAATCCAATATCATTTCATGATTATAACCCTCAACAGTCCAGGCCTCAAAGGTACATACATACCTCAAAATAACAAGAGCCACCTGTAACAAACCCATAGCCAACATTATACTGAACAGGAAAAAGCTAGAACCATTCCCCTTGATAACAGTAACAAGGAGTGGATGCCCACTCTCACAACCCCTATTGAATACAGTACTGGGAGTCCTAGATAAAATAATCAGGCAAGAGAAAGAAATAAAAGTCATCCAAATAGGAAAATAAGTCAAACTACCTCTCTTCATTGACAATATGATTCTATACTTAGAAACCCTTAAAGATGCTGCCAAAGGGTCCTTACACTAACAAACAATTCTAGCAAGGTTTCAGAATACAAAATCAATGTAAAAAATGACTAGCATTTCTATACACCAATAATGTCCAGGCTGGCAGTCAAATCAAGAACATAATCCCATTTACAATAGCCACAGAGAAAATGGAATACCTAAGAATGCAGCTAACAAAGGAGGTGAAAGAGCTCTACAAGGAAAACTACAAAACATTACTGAAGGAAATCAGAGATGACACAAATAAATGGAAAAACATCCTATGCTCATAGATGAGAAGAATGAATATTGTTAAAATGGCCACACTGCCCAAAGTAATTTACAGATTAAATGCTATTTCTATCAAACTAAAATACCAATGTCATTCTTCACCAAATTAGAAAAAAAAATTTAAATTCATATAGAACCAAAAAAGATCCCAAGTAGCCAAAGCAATCCTAAGTAAAAAGAACAAAGCTGGAGGCATCACACTACCTGACTTCAAACTATACTATAAGACCACAGTAACCAAAACAACATGGTACTGGTCCAAAAACAGACACATTGAACAATGGAACAGAATGAAAACCAGAAATAAATCTGCACACCTAAAACTACCTGACCTTCAACAAGGCTGAGAAAGACAAGCAACAAGGAAAGAACTCCCTATTTAAGAAATGGTGCTATGATAATTGGCTAGCCATATGTGGAAGAATTAAGCTAGACCCTTACTTTCACCATATACAAAAATTAACTCAAGATGGTTAAAGATTTATATGTAAGACCTCAAACTGTAAAAATGTCCTAGAAGAAAACTTAGAGAATACTCTTCTTGACATCAGCCTTGGCAAAATAATTATGGTCATGTTCCCAAAAGCAATAGCAACAAAAACAAAAACTGACAAGTGGGACCTAATTAAACTAAAGAGCTTCTGCACATCAAAAGAAACTATCAATAGAGTAAACAGATAGCCTCCAGGATGGGAGGAAATATTTGCACACTATGTATCTGATAAAGACTTAATATCCAAAATCTATAAGGAACTTAAATCAACAAGCTTAAAATAAATAACCCCACTAAAAAGTGGGCAAAAGAAGACATACACATGACCAATAAATATGTGATAAAAGGCTCATCATCACTAATGATCAGAGAAATGCAAATCAAAATTGTAGTGAAATACCACAAGTCAGAATGACAACTCTTAAAAAGTCAAAAAACAACAGATTTCTCTGACGAGGCTGTGGAGAAAATGGAATGCTTATACACTGCTGGTAGGAATGTAAATTAGTTCAGCCACTGTGGAAAGCAGATTGAAAATTTTTCAAAGAACTTTCAACAGAGTTACCATTTGACCCAGCAATCCCATTACTGGGTATATCTCCAAAGGAATATATATCATTATACCAAAAAGGCACATGAAAAAAGAACATGAATTCATGTGTTCATTGCCACGCTATTCACAGTAGCAAAGACATAGAAATCAACCTAGGTGCCCCTCAGTGGTGGACTGAATTTTCAAAATGTGGTACATAGTTACCATGGAATGCTACACAGCCATGAAAAGAATGAAATAATGTCCTTTGCAGCAATACATTAATAGACGGAGCTGGAGGCCATAATTCTAAGCAAATTAATGCAGGAACAAAACACCGAATAGTGTATGTGCTCACTTGTAAGAAGGAGCTATACATTCAGCACACATGAACTTAAACATGGAAACAATAGACACTGCAGACTACTCAAGAGGGGAGGGGGGGAGGGGGGAATGGGTTGAAAACCGATCTATTTATTGGGTACTATGCTCACTACCCGGGTCCAATATACCCATGTAACAATTCTACATATGTACCCCCTCTATCTAAATTAAAAGCTGAAATTTTTTAAAAAAGAAAATAATATTTGAAGTACTGAGATTATAACAATTATAGCATTTAAAAATACATTTCCAGTTCAGATAGCTTTGTCTTGGTTCAACATATGCAAATCAACAACTATGATTCACTCCATAAATGGAATTAAAGGCAAAAACCATATGATCATCTCAATAGATGCAGACAAAGCTTTCAATAAAAATCCAGCATCCTTTCATGATAAAAATCCTCAACAGCCTAGATATTGAAGAAACATACCTCAAAATAACAAGAGCTGTCTGACAAACTCATAGCCAACATCAAACTGAACCAGCAGAAGTTAGAACCATTCCCACTGAGAACTCTAGCAAGCAGAGGATGCCCACTCTGACCCTTCCTATACATCACAGTACTGAAAATCCTAGCAAAAGCAATTAGACAAGAGAATGAAATAAAAGAAAAAAGGGAAAAAACTTTCTCTGATGAGAAAACTGATTGGCATTCTTGCATTTCTTTCCATTTCATGTCCCTCTTACTTTTGAGTCTTTTATATTAATATTTGCATTATTTTTACTTTGTCCAAATAAGGGGCATTTACATTCTGATCTGCAATCATAATTTATTTTATTATTTAGTCTTGGCTTCATATTTTATTGGATTAAATACCTTAAGCCATTTTGCCATAGCTGCTCCATTGTTGAATTCTTTCTTTGATATAGTTCATGTTTGGCTGAATTTCAGTGCTTTTTCTTTTTTCCTTTTTTCCAGAGTGACTTCTGAGTATCATATTTCTTTTCGCCTTTGAGAAAGTATTTTTGTGGCTTTTATTCTTGAACCATTACTTTGATGAATGAGATAAACTTATATTACAGTTTTTGTCCCTCAGTACTTTGTAGACATTACTCCATTGAAGGATGCTATGGAAAACAAATGGAATCACCTGAAAATTCTTTCCTTATGAGAAATATTTATTTTTTGCCTAGATGACTGAAGAATTTTATTTCTTTCTACTTTGAGTTCAATAACTTACCTAGTGTATCCTTCAGTTTTCACAGTTCTGAATCAATTTGTTTTTGTGTATCAAGAGTTTTTTCAAATGATTGATCTAGTCTTTTCTTCATTTCTGAGAAATTTTAATCAGTTGACTTTGAACTCCTCTTTCTGATTTCATTTGTTGAATTCCTTATTTCAAGGACTTGTATATCTTTTATGTTAGATTGTCTTTTTTTCTCCATTGCTAGGATATTATATGTTAAACCAATAGTTCATTTAATTTCTTTAGATTTATTTCTATACTCATTATAATTGCTATGTATGTTTTAAAATTTGATAGATATCATCAGAATACATACTAAAAATACTAGAGCAATTCATACCACTGGTCTTCAAGTTGGGCTTTGAATCAGATTTAATGAGAGTTCCAGCCCTCTCTTCACCTGCCCAAAATAATTTAATTTCTAGGAGGGACAGGAAAACTCACAGTGAATTAACTAAATAAAATTTCTCAAATACTTTGATTCATTGCTTAAAATGGGAATGATTTGCTTTTACCACTTTAACTCTTGAAGGAATCTTGTACCCTCAGAGCCAGGGAACTCCTCTAAGCCTCCTTTATATGATACATACATATGCATGTGTATATTCAGTGCCAGCCATGATGAGACTCACCAATACAGTCGGGTCAATTAAATAAAATCTAATGAAAATGAAACAGTGTCACAGCCTGAACACACTCATCTCTGAACTTCTGACAGGAATAATAAGGGATACTCCTAACATATGCAAAGGGTCCAGAATCTTATGGCTGAAAGCACCTGAAAACACATCATCCTGCTCATAATAGATCCTGGGCCATAAATTCCAATCATTATGATTATCTATTAATACCAGAAATTAAAGCAATAAAGATGTCAGGATCATTATCTTTTCCTGCTTTATTAAAACATTTATCTAAAATTCCAAATAAAGTAGAAAGCTAGGGGAATAAATCTTAGCAGTTTTTTACTCTAAAGGTAAAAGCATTGCAGAGCAAACTTTTCCAGTTCTTTGAACTATTGTGTTTAGATCTCACATCTGAAAGAGGTAAGAGACCGGGCAGAGAAGACATCATGGGACAGCTGCTCTGCTTGGCCAGGATTTCTTATTGCCCAAAGTGACAAAGAGTCTTAGGATCAGGCTGTTTCATGCTTGTGTTTAACCTTCCAGGGCATTTTTTCCCTCTTTCTTTGAACGTGCTTAGCTATATGATTCATATTATTTCACTGGGGCTGCAAACACAATCTGTTTCCAGTGTTCCTTAACAGGTCATCTTTTGAAGCTGCCATGATCCATGTCCTGGAAAAAGCACCATTGTCCTCTGCTTCAGCCCTGGTAAAAAGGCTTAGAAGATGGCGAGTGCCCAGATTCTCTCACAAAGTTAATGTGTTGTGGCTTTTCTGGAGTTTAATTTCTTTTTAAAAGAAGATTTTTATATCTTATATTATTACCATTAACCTAGAGATAGGTGGACACGGGTAAAATAAATGGAATCAGAATCACAGAAACTCTGATTTTTGCCTATTACCAAAGTCTCCTTATTCAACATTCTGATAGTTTTTGTCATTTTAAAAAATTTGTTCTACTCAACGTCTTGGCTCCTCTCATTTTGGTATCACTCGAGCAACTGCTACGTGCTGAGCACAGAACCAAGGGCCATGCAAGATGTGCAGGGTTGTGTAGTGCTGAGATTCCAACAGACAATTCTACCACTTACTAGCTGTGGATGCTGCACAAGTCTTTTAACTTCCACGAATCTCAGGTTTCTCACCTGTGAAAGCGGGACAACAAAAAAAGAAACAATCAAGATGAAGATGATGATGAAGACTATGATAATAAGGAGGCCCTGCAGTGCATTTGTACTACCAGAAAATGACATCCTCTCTTCGGCACAGTCTATATTCATCTCAGATATCTGAAATATTTGGATTTTATTAATGTAAGCCACTGTACAGTCATCAGATCAAAATTTGTCACAATAAATACATATGTTTATGATGCCTCCGACAAGAATAGTTTCTTTAGATGGGGTGGCCTTGTAGAATGGAGAGCCTGCACACCTAAATTCAACAACTCTGAAAGATAAACTAGATGATGTGGGTCAAGTGCCCACCCAATATGCCCAATACGGGTCTTATACTGGGCACTCAAAAAATGTTAACTATTATATCATTTTAAAAATTGTAGTTTTTTTTCTGCACCAAGAACATCAGTGAGACTATAAGTGAATTATTTTTGTATTTTAATGTTTTTGTCTTTTAAAATATTTGACCTTATAAATCCATTATTTGCTGTAATCTGGTATCAAAACCAATTGGAAAACATTGGAGTGAAACAGAGAATATGATTAGTTAGACACAGCAGATGCAGCTCATGTCATCCCAATTCTGGCCAGGGGATCTTTTTGGGGTAGTACTACTATGCTTTGGAAGAAACCCTAATTACCAGATGCTAAGGCAGGGTATGAAAATCCCAGACTTAGCAGCAGACAGACCTAGGTTTTTATTATGACAACCCTATAAAATAGGTATCACCCTCATCATCATTATTTTTGTTGCTATTATTTGTTTCATTTTACAGATAAGAAAAATAAGGTTGAATAACTTGATCACAATCATACAACTAAAAAGTAGCAGATCCAGGATTCAAAAATTCAAGCCTTTTTTTCTATCACAGCAAGCGATAATGAAAAGACATATCTGAAAGATTTGCAGAAGCTACAAACATTTTGATTTGTAGAGTGGTGACAGAGAAGAAACAGACATGATTTTCAAGTTTTAGCTTAGGATGATCATAGGGATAAAACAAAAATTAGGAAATTGTGGTGTGAACAAAGGTAAGGAGGAAAGAGTTTCAAGGAGGCAGCACTCAGTGGGAAAAATAAGATAGGAGTTGGAAAAAGATGTGACCATGTACAAGAAAAAAGAATTAACCAGTATGAAGGGCTCAACTGATATGAGAAGTCACAAACTAGAAATGGCATAAACTCACATGATTGTGTGATCTTCTCAAACAGTATTTAGTAGTTAAATGGAGGATTTTAAAAGATTCACAGAGCAAGAAAGAGCAAGTTGTTGAGATTCAGGATAAATTATTAAGTGCTGGACCATAATGGTATGGCATTAAATGACTCTAAAATAGAAATGATACATTTGATGAGGCGGCAGAGAAGGGGATGGGGACCCTTACAGCCTGAAAAATCCCCATGAGTTTGGAAAGCATAAGAAGTTGAGTGAGATCAGTGAGTAGAACATAAGAATTTAAAATTTCAGACATGGAGAAATGCTAGATGATACTAAAAGTTCAGGTACAACTTTAGTGGTCAGTAAATTATGTGAAGTAAAAGTGAAGTTTTATGGAGTTAACGAAATTGTTAGGTTGCCATTACAGATACTGAAATTTCTCAAAATGGAGACTTGAGCTCAGGAGGACCATGAGTTAGAGGCCAATGTCCACAGAGTCCACAATGTCTACAGATGAATGATGGCACCAAGAGGAAGGCTGGCAAAGCTGGAAGGAGTGAGCATCTTGGGAGGAAGATGTTTTGTAAGAGGATGCAAGGATAAGAGTTTGAAGCAGCAACAGGACCTTAGAAAATGTGCACGGTGCCTCCAAACTCTGGATCGTGGCACATGGGATAAAGAACGGTCTTATTTAGGCATATGGAATGACATCAATTATTTGGGAAGATAAATATGTTTTACTTCATCAGAGAAGGGAGAAAGAATTCTAGAAGAGGCAAAGAATTTAGGAGAATTTATTAGAGATGAAACATAATATTCAGAGAAGGCAGAAGAGACCACTATTGGGAAGGGCTGGGAAAAAGAGGACAGAGTAGAATGTATGGAAGGAGGATGGGTAAAGGTCTAAGGTGGCTTATCTCTCAGACATTGACTGAGAACTGTGAAGATGAGAAGCCAGGTGAAGTTTTGTTGTCCTAAATTTCCCACCTGTGGTAAAATGTGTTGGCGGGCTGAAGCTACTAGACAACACTTGAGTTTCTGCAGCATTTCCTCACTGTCTGTTGACACATTATATGTAGATTCCTGGGAATGGCTAATGAGACAAAATATTTGAAACCAGAACAAAAGTTCATGTGTTCCCAGCCATGCTACATGATGCCCAGCTACTTCGAAAAATAATGCGTAAGATAGAATGGTCATAGGCTTTGGAGTCAGACACTTTCAGATTGAGATCTGTCCCTGCCATTCAGTTGTGGTGTGAACAATTGGCTTAACCTGTATGAGCTTCATTTCCTTTATCTGTAAAATAGGGATGATAAAAAATATATCTCCAAGGGTTATCATGAAGATTATTAAATAAGATACAATATGAGAAGTCACAAATAAGAGTCATGGATCAGGCCCTCAATATACAACATTTAGTCTTATTACTCAAGGCCAAAAGCTCTGGTCTGTTGGTTCAAAGCCTGAATTATTGCTTCTAGAGCAAGCAACAAGGCTGAACATATCTAGTCTACTTCTTGTCAAATGGCCAATAGCTAGGAATTAAAAGCCCATTTGTATTGATAAGGACTTAAGTGTTACATCTTTTTCTGGGAAGACGTCAATTGTTTGGTCAAATTGTCTTCTAAAGCAGAGGGCTCCAGCCTGATAAAAAGTTGAAATGGAAGGTGAAATGAAAATCAGTATCTGGATCAGGACCAAGTAACTAATACTGCATGTTTTGCAAAGTTTAAGTGTTTGCATGTTTTGCAAAGTGTAATTGTTAGCAGAAGTGAATCTGTACAGGTCTGTATCAAACTCAATTCTTGCCTCCTCAAGATAAATAAATTCAGCTGAGGGGCATAAGGCAGAAGGAAAGACCGAGGGAAATTTCAGAGCAGGAGTGAAATTTTATAAAAAGCTTTGGAACAGGAACAAATGGAAGTAAAGTACTCTTGGAAGAGGGCGAAGCGGGTGACTTGAGAGATCAAGTGCATTGTTTGACATTTTGACTTGGAATTTTATATGTTGGCATACTTCTGGGGTCTTGCGTTACTTCTCCCACCACTCACCCAACTCCTAAGGTGGCTGATCACCAGTTCAGGTGTTTTCTGTCTATTAGGATATGGCCTTTCTCTGGCATTGGCTGTGACCAATTGTTACTTTAGAGAGACAGTTAACAACACCCAGACCATCCCCTGGCAGTCATCTGACACTCCTGATGTGTGTTAGGGGGAGCCCTCTCCTGCCTTGTTTATGCCATGACTAACTATCTACTGTAACATCACCCCCTCAAGAGTCCAAGACCCCAATTTTTGGGGAAAATGGGTGAAGGTCACTCTTCTGCTTCCTGCTGATAGAAGGGCAGTGGTGGTTGTTCTGTGGGTCTTGGCCTCTTGCTAGTTGTCAGGGTGGGGTTGGCTCTATGGGTTGGTGAAAGCAGTATCCAGACAGGTCCAAGATAGACAGGGGCAGAATTTTACCTCTGTCATGTCCCACTGATGGGAAGTCTAGGGATCTTCTGTAGAAGGGTGACTCTTGAATATTGAGAGGACAGTATCCCTCACTGAGGATCATCTGGAGCTTGATGGCCGATCCCTCTTGTTTCTTCTGAACTGCAGAGGTCCCTTGTTGGTTTACAGGAATAAGCAGGGTTAGCCTAAACTGCAGCCTGTGAAGGGGGAGCAGATATGAAGGTTATCTACAGACTGTAGAAGTTTATACCCCCTCAAGAGATTGCTTGGTTGGATTTTTACTAAGGCTATCCAAATAAATGTTGGCTATTTCTAAACCCCTGAGGTAGGACTGACCAAGTTGAAGTTATTGGTTAAAGATTTAGGTAGCTTTCCCAGGAGAAATAAGGCTATTATAGAGAAAGATGACTTCAGAGGTTGGGTAAACATTAAGCGAGCACCTATCTTGGAAAATATATTTGTGTCACAAAGAGGTGTGGGGTATTTAGACATTACCAAGGACTGGTGGGGAAATGGTAATTTGTCCCTTAAGTAATATAAAGGGGTGTGAATCTTTTTGGTCCCTTAAGTAATATAAAGGGGTGTGAATTTTTTCTTTTGGAGGGAGGGGATGCCATTTGCCCTGATTACCCAATAGGATTTGGAGGAGAGTTGCTCAGAGAAGGAGACAAGCACAGAGTAGGCAGCTTTTCAACCCAGAAGGGAAATTTATAATTTTACTTGCTGCATCCGGAGTTTCCCTTAGCTTTGTCTTATTGACGACAGTGTCTGATTTAGAAGTCAGCCAGAGCAGAGAGTCCTTCAGTTCAAGGCTATCAGGGATTGGGATTTTGTCCCTGGGAAACTTAGGCCCTCAGGGCAGTCCCATTTTCAGAAGCCAAGCTTGTGGCAGAGGGGGCAAGCCATTCGGGACTTTTTCCCATTTATCCCATTGGAACAATTTGCCTTCTGGTGGCCTGGTTTCCCACACCAATGGCAGTTACATGGAGGAGTGTCCTTAGGGCCACCTGGAGGGTGCTGGAGAGTTTCTAAAGCAGCCAATAATTGAACCTGCCTCTTATTCATGCATTTCTCCTTTTTCTTAGTCTTACCCTCCTTATTCTGATCTCAGTTATAAAATACTGAGGAGGCTAATCTGAAGACCTCCTGTGCAGGGGCACTGGGTTGCAAAGCTGACTTTTGTAATTTTCTTCAAGTTCATTTTTAGGTCAAACAGTATTATAAATGAAAACTAAGTGTTTTTTTTTTTCTTAAGGTTTGAGGGAATCAAACTTTTCCCAGTTTTGAGGGATGCTTCTGAGGGGCATATCCTATGGTGTGGAGACACGATTATCCATTTACAAAGAGAGAAGAGAGGAAAAAAGGTAAGAGTGTTCCCTCTATTTTCCTATTACCCTGAGTTGGGGCAACCCCCATCATCCATTGGGTTCTGGGATGAACTTGTCTTACCATTTACCCTTGGTCCCATCTCATCACAATTACCCACTTGAGAACAGGGGAGATGCTGGAGTGAACAGTGGGCCCCCTGTTCATCCTTGGGGTTCTGGAATTAACCAATCTTACTGTGTATTCCTAACCTTTCATCTCTGTTCTGATGGTGTGGTCTGTTAGCCTGGGACCACCCTTCATCTCTGTCCTATGGGTCTCTTGCACCTGCAGCCTTAGGCTCACCTATATCCTTGTTTCCATGACCTTATAGTGACTCTCACTCAGAGCATTCTAGCAACAAAATAATTATCTCTTTTCTTAGCTTCCTGTTTACCCTGTTCTTTATGAGAAGCCTGTTTTTCAGCTAACGGCCCCAAGGGGGCTAGACTTCCCTCCCTTCAAATATGACCTTGAAGGTCTTGATGCATGTTGAGAAGGGAAAGAGAGGCTACACGAAGAGGTGGGAGAAGGTGAGAGGAATACTCATGGAAAGCCTTCATATGCTCGCAAAAACAGCAGCCCTAGGATTCGAGAGGAGACTTATTTGCCCTCTTGACATAAACTACTAACCTCTGGAGGATTTGGGGCTTGGGGTAAGAACTCACAAATGGAAAACAAATAATTTCCCCTCATCCAAAAGGGGTGCTAACTCAAAAAAGGCAAGTAGGTGGGATCCTTAGAAGGCCAGAGTGAGGTCTTACGCAGCTGGACAAACTGCTTCAAAAGCCACCAGAAAACTCGGCCCTAGGGCATAACAGGAATGAAAAGCATATGATAAGTCATAAGGATCTGGCAGAGCCGGAGTTTTAATTAATGTCTGTCCCAGCAATGTGCCAGGAGACAGGGGGAGGGTTGCAGGTCATCCGAGCTGGTAGGGTAAGAACAAGTATAAATCTCGGGGGATATCTGCAAGGGAGCCTGAGTCTTTGCTGTCACACAATGCAATTAAGAGCTGCAGGCTCATGAATAACAGGGAGTGTGTGTTTTTAAGGCAGAGAAGGAAGTCACGCAGCATGCCATATGAAACCAAAGAAAAGGCCGACTTGCCCTCTGAGTCAGACAGTCTGGCTGGTGCGCAAGGCTATTTCAGAACACACACACAGAAAACAGAATAGGCAGTGCAGGTTCTTGGGAAAGAGCCGATTTTAGTTGAAAAATGCAGAGAAAACCCCAGACATTGCACGGTTTTAGGGTTTTAGGCTTTAGCCCTACCACCCTGGCAAGCCTCCTAAGAGGGCCATTAATGCCTCAGTACCACTCGGTGCAGACCCCACAGTCCTTCCAGACCCCGCGAGCCCATTCAGGGTGAGCTGAAGATCCGCCGAAGGAGCAGAGTCACTTATCCCCGAGAAGAATTGTTCTGGGGGCTGGATAGTGAACAGGAGAGTGAAAGGGGAGAAGAAAGCCATGTACAGGGGTTGAACACCTCCAGCCAAAGAAGGCAAGGCATAGAGGTCTCTTACTACCGAGTCACATGCAGCACCAAAGTATATTACCGGTGGAACATTTCCGAGTCACAGGGCACCGAAATATGTTAGCGGCAGTGGTTCTGTCCAGGTCTGAAGCAAACTCAATTCTTGCCTCCGCAGAAGAAACGATTCAGCTGAGGGGCATTAAGATAGAGTGAGACTGAGGCAAGTTTTAGAGCAGTGAAAACTTATTTAAAAGCTTTAGAACAGGAACGAACGAATGTAAAGTACACTTAGAAGAGGGCCACGGGGCAATTTGAGAGATCAAATGCGAGCTTTAACCTTTTGACTTGGGGTTTTACACGTTGGCGTACTTCCGGCTTATATTACCTCTCCCTGCTTGCTCAGCTCCTGCGATCTTATAGGAAAGCTGATGATCACCAGTTTCAGGTGTTTTCTATCTATTAGGGGACTGCCTTTCCCTGGCACCAGCTGTGACCAATTATTACTTTTGAAAGACAGTTCACAACAGCCTGAGCATCACCTGATGGTCTCCCAACACTCCTGGTGTGTGTGGTGTGTGTGTCGTGGGGAGCCCTCTCCTGCCCTGCTCGGTTGCCTGACTAGCTACCTACTGTAATATAATGAATGAATCACTGGTGTCCATAGAGGTTGGTGTCTTTGAAGAGGAAATCAACCAAAAACAGAGCCTCCAACCTTCTCCTCAAGTTTGTCCCAGGCCTTTCTTGAAAGGAAGGATGATGTCTTCAGGGATCTGGGTGTCTTGCCACCATAAGATACATATAAACTTGTCAATTTAGCCTATTTATTTTTATATCAAGAAGCAAACTGTTGAAATACTTTGGTGACCAATCATTATCCAGTATCCTTCTCCCCTGTTGCCAAGAGTTCTCTCATAAAAGACGAATAAGACTAATATTTCTTGGATGCAAATGGATACAGACCAAGATAAACATGAGTCACACTCAAGCTCATCAGGACAGGAGAATACAGCCTGTTTTATTGATCAGGCATAACATTTAAATCCAAAACATATATTGAATTAATATCTCTTAAAAATTTGAGCAACTACACATTTAGGAAAGGTTCATTGAACAGATGAAGTATTTAATCAAGTCTCTTCCTTTTCTCTCTAACATATGTTCATATCTAAGGAGGGTATGTCAAATTAGCACAGGCAAAAATCCTGCCAAAACTGAAACAAAAGAAAATAACACAAGATCATTTCAAACTTATAAAATGCTTTGTTTCTTTGCATTTCCAAAAATGAAAGTCTCTTTTTAATTTGCTGTTTCACTTGGTGCTCAAAACAGAGCTCCCCAAAACAATTTAGAAAATGGATTCTCTTACGGAGTTGAGACCTGCTGCTAATCAGTGCTTTCTCACAGAATGTGAGAAACATGCATATCATTTTCTTCTCTTTCCTGCCATTTGCTCTCCCCACTTTTGCATTTTGATTGGTCCCGCTGTTACTGTTTTCATTATCCCGATTTTAAGAATTTCACAGGTCAAAGATATATGGGTGTGCAATACCAGTATACCTTGTTTCAGGATAGATACTGAGTTTTAATAAACTCCACAAGAAAAATGCTTTCATTAAATTTTTCAAAACGATTTATGTGAAAATTACTACAACCTTGATGACAATAGGAAGAAATGCTACAACAGCACTACAGTTAACGGTCTTTCTGGGTCGAGCCTCCCAAAATGAAAATACAGATAATTGATAACATGTTTGGGTGTGGAAAAAAATCAGCATTAAGAGAACATCTGCAGAATGTTATATGCTAGGGGATACTGTTAATAGACTATTGCAGATTCCCTCCTGGGAAATAAAAAATGAAGTTAAATCTAGTAACTCCACGGAGGTTTCATTTTAGAAATGGTTTTCTCTATTCCTCTGTGTGTGTGTATGTGTGTGACTGTGTGTGTGCATTTGTGTGTCTCTGGTGTTTATTCTTGTAAATAGCAAGTCAGTCATTTCAGTGTAGCATAAAAAGCAGCTACAGCAAAGAACAATGCATTTATTCAACTAAAACTGGTATGTTCCAAGCTTCACAACTTTTGAGAATTAGTTCAAATTTAAATTAATCTCCCAAATTTTGTTCTTTCTGATGCTCCAAATACTCATGCAAGAAAGCCAAGTCTTTCCCCCAGAATCTCTTCTTCAAATACTTCCTAGTTCTCTGGAGTGCTCACAAATGCCTGAGGATCCGTTTTGATCATCCTTTCTGCCCACCAGGGACATGTGAATTACCTTTCACATCTCCCTTGATGCCAGTATTGAGAACCATTGGCCACACCTTAGCCATGCATAAAATTTGCTACTACTTTGGCCACTAGTAATGGTGAAACTTAGCACCACAGAAATATATTAACAGGCAAGGATGGAGTTGGAGTGGAGAAGCAGGAAGAAAAAGTCTAAAATAAGGTTTCTTCATCTCTGAAGGGTTTGTGGTAAGCAGATGCCTGTGTCCCAAATATGTCTGTATCCTAACCCTGGAACCCAAGAATAAGTTACTTTATAAGGAAATGCAACTTTGCAGTGTGGTTAAAGTTAAGGACCTTGAAATGAGGAGATTATTCAGGACCCATCTAATCACACAAACCCTTGGATGTGGACAACCTTTTGCAGCTGAAGTCAGAGTCAAAGGAAGTATAAGAGACATGCAACGTCACTGTCTTTGAAGACTCGGGGAGGCCATGAACCAAAGTATGAAAGTATCGCAAGAAGCTAGAAAAGATAAAAAAAAAAAAAAAAAAAAAAAAAAACAGATTCTCCCTAAGATTCTTCCCTAGTACCTCCAGAAGGGAACGCAGCCCTGCTGACATCTTGAGTGTCGCCCAGTGAGACCTGTGTTTGCCTTCTGACCTACAGAACTGTAACATAATAAAATTGTATTGTTTTAGGCCCCTAAAAATTTTGTGATAATTTGTTATGGTAGCAATAGGAAACCAATACAGGGTTGTGACAGTTTAGCAATTTGGCTCTTTTCTTCTGTCATGATCACAGACATGTGTCTCCCCCAATCTACTACCTACAGCTGGCACCAGGGCCCACACATCAGAGGTCACCCTACCATGGCCTGGCTCAGAATGGGGAAGGCATTTCTTCCCTTCACAGTCTGCTCAGACAGAGGAGCCACCACCAGCATGTGGCAGCTTTCTAGTCACTTACCCCATTCCCTGGTGTACAGTCTCACCAACCAGGTGACTGACTGCCTGAAGTAGCAAATTCCTGATTTCAAAATCAACACTGCCTTTTAACCTTCACCTTTAATGTAAAAGCCAGACTTCAACTCAAATTCTCTCATGTTCAGCTTCTTCTCAGAAGCTATCCTACTCTCTCTGTACTTTTTGTACCTTTGGAAACAACTGGGTGACAAGGTGACAATTGGTGATACCTTTGACCAATAGAATTTTGTGGGAGTTATACTGTCCCAGTTGCAGGCACAGCCCTTCACTCTTCTGTCTTGTTACATAATGATAGATAACCAGGACAGGATCATTCCCCAGGCATCTCCCTTGGTCACTTCTAATCTAATATTTCAGCACCATGTTGATATAGGCATACCAATTGCAGGGGTTCTCCAAGAGGCAAGCAGTATGTCCAGGATCCACCCGGGGAGTGACACAGCTGCAGCAGGGCACTCAGAGCCACCCAGACACATACGTTGTTTCCTCACTTCAGGTTTTCTATCTAAGAGTAATTGGATACCTGCATGTGAATTCCTTTCTCTCTTTTTCATACACACACACACACGTGTTAGCACATCTGCTTCCACTGATCAAGTACACTGGATAATACCTCTACTTCCCAATTCACATAGCCTTAAGCAAGACATTGATATGAATGTGTATATGGTTATTTATTCATGACAACCTATATCTAACTTTGATTTGATACAGCAGATACAATAACACCAAGAACCAAGTGGTAAAGTATGAGTAACAAGGAAGAGTTATAACTTCAAAAAATTCTCTGTAAAAGAATACTGGCATAGTACACACAGTTCTGTCTTTGCCATATCTCCTTACTCTTCATTACAGCCATATGAAATAATTACCATTGTCTCCAATTTTCAGGAAGGCAACCGATATCCTCAGAAAGCGTAATAACTTGCCTAAAGTCTCACATAACTAATATTCAACCAGATTTTCAACCCAGGTTCACATAACATGTTTCTATAACTTTTCTATCCTTTTACTTATCTTAACCTAGTTCCACTCAAGGGGGCTATAGCCATCCATTTGGATGAGCAACTTGGTTAGGATCATGGCTTTTTCTCCAAAACACAAACTTTAAACCTATATCAAAGCAACTGGAATTGCTCTTAATTAGTACATAGAACTCTGGCATTACAGATCCTTACCAGAGACTACAACCCTAAACTCTTTGCAGTTCAAAACTTGTCAGAAGCCAGACAAGAAGAAACGCTGTTTATGGAATAATTTTTAGCTGAGCAGTTCACTGGGTAACAGATAAATCCAAATTTAAGCAGCATTGTTTCATTAAACATTAGAGGGCAATTTAAGAACAAACTTTTATAATCTAGGGTCAGAATGCTAACAAGAACATTGTCCTCTTTACTAGAGCCTGGAGGAGAAATTTTGCTCATATCTCAGAATCTGGAAACACTGTGCTTCTTTGGAATACTGCTTAGTTTTTCATATTTTGGAAACTTTAAATCTTGTAAACAACTCTATTTTCTCTCTTCTTTGCCTTTTAGGGAAGTTTTAAGTCAAATTTGCAGGCATATCTCAGGATCATATGGTATGTTAGGTGTGTCACAATTAGTTTTAGTTTTATTATTGTTCTGTTTATTTTTTCCCTTCAACTTGGCTGCCCCATTTACTTATCTCAGCCTTCTAATTGTACATATACAATTCAAAAATTGTATGGAACTTGGTAATTCATACATTAAAAGAAATAAGAATAATTTCTAGTTCTATGAGGCCCACTTAATAATCAAGTCATGTGTTTTTCTATGTTTCTGGCTCAATATTAAAATGAAGCCTGAATAATCCTAAATTTATATAATTACTATTCTTAGGTAATCCTGTCTATATATCCACTGATTCAGTTGTGCTTTTATAGGACCTCTAGTGACAATTCCTCAAAATAAAGATTGCTGGAAAGAATCATAACATCAGATATTATTTTGGTTGTGGTTAAAACAAGATTGATATAACCTTAGATTCTACTAGGGTAGGTAAAAGGGTTGAGGATTTATTTTGAACATGATATTATAGATAAAGGCTTTGAGGTTGTTTAAATCTGCTCCAAATCTGATTTCTTCTTACTGTCTGCTTAACTTTGTGACTTACCCTCTCCTTGCACTGCAGTTTTCAATAGGAAATACCTTGCTTAGTTGGTTGGATGATTAAATGAGATAATACACATAAAACATTTAACATAGAGCCTGGCAGAATAGGTCAACAAATGAGGATTATTACTGCTATTATTAGTAGTGTGATTATCTAAAAATAATAAATATTAGCTATTGCTGTTATTACCATTATTATTTTTTTTTTTTGAGACAGAGTCTTGCTCTTTCGCCCAGGCCAGAGTGCAGTGGCGCTATCTCAGCTCACTGCAAGCTCCGCCTCCCAGGTTCACACCATTCTCCTGCCTCAGCCTCCCGAGTAGCTGGGACTACAGGCGCCTGACACCACGCCCGGCTAATTTTTTGTATTTTTAGTAGAGGCGGGGTTTCACCGTGTTAGCCAGGATGGTCTCGATCGCCTGACCTCGTGATCCGCCCGCCTTGGCCTCCCAAAGTGCTGGGATTACAGGTGTGAGCCACTGCGCCCAGCCTATTACCATTATTATTATCACAAAACAAATGACATCTGAAAGCAGGGAAAGGACTTCCTCAGAAGGCAGCAATGCATTTACTCCACTGGTTGTGCAAGTACCTACTAGAAATGTCAAAGTTTTCATGTCAACAAATCAAAGAAGCAGAAGCTCCTGAGGGTGGAAGTTATCAAAAGCTTAACTGTATAACAGCATGACTTTAAATAAGCTCTATAACAATTTGCATTTGAACATATCCTTAGAAACCTATCAAGATCAATTAGCTTCACAGCGAACCCCCGTAAAACTAAGTGATATAATTGGTTGGACAGAATCATTTAGTTCATCCATCTGGTAACCAAAGCAATTCTGCCAAAAATCATTTTAGTTTTAGCACACATCATACTGAAATATCCTTCCTAATTATTGGCCATCAACAAATTATTGAACTCCTTCTGGAGAATATTAGAGGAACATGGATATAGGATATTTAGTCTGTTTATCAATCTATTTATCTAGCTGTTTATCTATAGTTTTTAGGTAAACGAGAAATTGTGAGTCAGATTTTCAGCTTAGATTATCTATATATATATGTATATATATACATATATATATGAAGTAAAAGATCTAAAATATTGCAGGTCAGCTATGCCACATATAAAAGCATTCTGTCGCTTTATTCTTCTCAAGGAAAATGTTGTTTCCTGAAGCCTTAACATCAAGTTTTATACTAAAGATTTTTATACTTAATTGATTTTGTTCACATTAAGAGCTGAAACTCCCTGTTTTGTTCACTTCTATATGGCCAGTGCCTAAAATGGGTCTGATACATAGTGAGCACTCTATTTATTGGATTAATAAATGAATAAATAGATATGTTAGCTAGAAAAGCAATAAATAATATTTAAAATCACAGTTTTGAATAATTTTTTTAGTATTTTATTTTCATTTTTTTAATTTTTGTAGGTACATAGTAATTGTATATATTTATGGAGTACAAGAGGTGTTTGATACAGTATGCAATGTGAAATAATCACCTCATGGAGCATGGGGTATCCATCCCCTCAAGCATTTATTCTTTGTATTACAAGCAATCCAATTACATTCTTTTAGTAATTTTAAAATGTATAATTAAGTTACTATTTATTATAATTTTAATACTTATATGGTTTGGCTGTGTCCCCACCCAAATCTCATCTTGAATTATAGTTCCCATAATCCCCATGGGTCATGGGAGGGATCCAGTGGGAGATAATTGAATCATGACGGCAGTTTTCCCCATGCTATCCTCCTGAAAGTAAGTTCTCATCAGATCTGATGGTTTTATAGGACGCTTCCCCCTTCACTCAGCTCTCATTCTTCTCCTTGCAGCCACCATGTGAAGAAGGACATGTTTGTTTCCCCTGGGGCCTCTCCATCCTTGCTGAACTGTGAGTCAATTAAACCTCTTTCCTTTATAAATTACCCAGTCTTGAGTATGTATTTATTAGCAGCATGAGAACAGACTAATGCAGTAAATTGGTACAAGCAGAGATGGGTGCTGCTATTAGAATACTCAAAAATGTGGAACAGTTTGGAGGGCTCAGAAGAAGACAGGAAAACGTAGGACAGTTTGGAACTTCCCAGAGACTTGGAGGGCTCAGAAGACAGGAAGATGTGGGAAAGTCTGGAACTTCCTAGAGACTTGCTGAATGGCTTTGACCAAAATACTGATAGTGATATGGACAATGCAGTCCAGCTGAAGTGGTCTCAGATGGAGATGAGGAACTTGTTGGGAACTGGAGCAAAGGTGACTCTTGTTAGCTTTAGCAAAGGGACTAGTGGCATTTTGCCACTGCCCTAGAGATTTGTGGAACTTTGAACTTGACAGAGATTATTTAAGATATCTGGCAGAAAAAAAAAATTGTAAGCAGTAAAGCATTCAAGATGAAGCAGAGCATAAAAGTTTGGAAAATATGTGGTCTGATGATGTGATATAAAAGAAAAACCCATATCTTGGGGAGAAATTCATGCTTGCTGCAGAAATTTGCATAAGTATTGAGGAGCTGAATGTTTTCACTAAGACAATGGGGGAAAATGTCTCCAGGGCATGTCAGAAAGCTTCATGGCACCCCCTCCCATCACAGGCCCAGAGAGCTAGGAGGAGAAAATGGTTTAGTGGACCAGGCCCAGGGCCCCCTTACTGTGTGCAGCCTAGGGACTTGGTGCCCTGTATCCCAGTCACTCCAGCTTTGGCTAAAAGGGGCCAAGATACAGCTAGGGCCGTGGTTTCCCAAGGTGCAAATCCCAAGCCTTGGCAGCTTCCACATGGTGTTGAGCCTGCAGGTGCATAGAAGTCAAGCACTGAGATTTGGGAACCTCTGCCTAGATTACACAGAATGTATGAAAATGCCCGGATGTCCATGGAAGAAGTTTACTGCAGGGGCAGAGCCCTCATGGAGAACCTCTGCTAGGACAGTGCAGAAGGAAAATGTTGGGTCAGAGCCCACACACAGACTCCCCACTGGGGCACTGCCTAGTGGAGCTGCGAGAAGAGGGCTGTGGTCCTTCAGACCACAGAATGGTGGATCCACCAACAGCTTAAACTATGCACCTGGGAAAGCCACAGACACTCAATGGCAGCCTGTGAAAGCAGTTGAGAGGGGGCTGTTACTCTGCAAAGCCACAGGGGCAGAGCTGCCCAAGGCTGTGGGAGCCCACCCTTTGTATCACCATGACCTGGATGTTAGACATGGAGTCAAAGGAGATTATTTAGGAACTTTAAGATTTAATGACTGCCTCACTGTATTTCAGACTTGCATGGGGCCTTTTGTTTTGGACAATTTCTCCCATTTGGAACAGGTGTATTTATACAATGCTTGTACCTCCCTTGTATCTATAAAGTAAGTTGCTTTTGATATTACAGGCTTATAGGTGGAAGGGACTTGCCTTGTCTCAGATGAGACTTTGGACTTGGACTTTTGGGTTAATGCTGGAATGAGCTAAGACTTTGGGGGACTGTTGGAAAGGCATGATTGTGTTTTGAAATGTGAGGACATGAGATTTGGAAGGGGCCAGGGGTGGAACGGTATGGTTTGGCTGTGTCCCCACCCCAATCTCATCTTGAACTATAGTTCCCATAGTCCCCACATGTGGTGGGAGGGACCCGGTGACAGGTAATTGAATCTTGGGGGCGGATTCCCCCATGCTATTCTCATGACAGTGAGTCAGTTCTCACAAGATCTGATGAATTTATAAGGGGCTTCCCCTTTGCTGAGCTCTCACTCCTCTCCTTGCTCCCAACATATGAAGAAGGATGTGTTTGCTTCCCCTTCCACCATGATGGTGCATTTCCTGAGGCCTCCCCATCCTTGCTGAATTGTGAGTCAATTAAACCTCTTTCCAGGTTTCCCTTTAAATTAACTAGTCTCAGGTATATCTTTATTAGCAGCATGGGAATGGACTAATAGAAATAATATGTGATGTGGATCCCTTCTGCGGATAGTTAAATAAAACAAAAAAGAATGTAACATTGTATTACTTATTACTATCTCTTCTAATACTCTGAAAATTTTAAGCAACGATAAAATGCCGTTTTCAGCTGTATCAGTGTTTCTGCAGTTGCAGGCATCATAACATTGTGATATCTAGAACAAATCTTTATACCTAATAACAAACCTAAATATTCCCTTTTAGGACTTCAAACAATTTTATCTTGTAATAAATTATCTTTCTTGTTTCCTCAGATTTAAAATCATGGTCAACTAGACACTTCTCTTTGAATCTGTTTTATTATCTTTATAATAGTTTAATAAATTTCTAGATGGTTTTAAAATACCTAGATAAATTTAAGTAATTTTAATGATTTGAATTCATTTTGCAAAACAATTCCCAGCGTGTGACATAAAAGAAATATTTAACATATATTTTTTAAAGACATGCTATTAACTCAGCCGAAATGTTCTCAACACACTTCATTATATGCAAAAGCTCCAAATGTCCTGAATAAAAATGACTTGCTAATATTCAGTAATATATTATCTCATATTTACATATTTCTTTAATATATTTACATATAACTATCAAATAATTATTCTGGCTATGCTTAGAATTTTAAATTTTACTTGTCTTTCAGATAATACAAAATAATTTCCAAGGCAATTCTCTGAGT
This sequence comes from Homo sapiens, assembly GCF_000001405.40. Taxonomy (NCBI): domain Eukaryota; kingdom Metazoa; phylum Chordata; class Mammalia; order Primates; family Hominidae; genus Homo; species Homo sapiens. Next base: position 79,298,586 of record NC_000008.11, read on the forward strand.
ATGTCTTATCTGATTATATGCATACATAGCTGACATTTGGTGAATATTAATCACATTTTGAAAGAGCAAAAATATATTCTTGTTCATTCTAGGTATTACTGGCTTCTAGATAATTATTGAAAGGAATAATATTTTCTCAAATTCACTGCACAAGAAAATATTCAATGTTTCCCTTCCCATTAAGGTGCTAAATATGCTATCATCAGTAACTCTACCATAAGTATCACTGCTTTTACAGATGTTTCACTTAACTTTTGCTTTAAACAGGGATGGCTGCTGCTGGTTGGGAAAGCCCAACCTGGTTCTTTAACAAGGCGATATGATTGGTGGTCTTGGTTTTCTGGAATGACAACAAACATCCAAGAAATGAATTATGCTGGAATTCCAGGCATTTCAGGTGGTACTTTGACAATATGTACCAATAAGACGAAAAGGATAGAATTTGTAGAACTCTCTCCAAGTGTGCATGAGAACCATAAAGCACCACTTAATGTGCCTGTCCTCCCATAATGATAAGCATGAGAGAGGCTTTGAGCCTCTGTTTATGTCTGAATCTATGGGATTTCCAGTCACCAAATTCTATAAGGTGTTTTTGTTTTCTCCATCACTGTAGACTTTTATGATCCAGTTCTGCCTATAATAGAGACACTGTTTCATGTAGCAGCAACTCGCAACTTGGTTTTTAAGAGATACATATCTGCACCAAGCTAGATTCACTAGGAAACAAAATTAAAGAGATTTTTATGAAAAAAAATACTTATATGACAAAATGTAATTCTAACAAGTAAATATAGCATTATCCTTTTAAAAAAAAAATCTCTGGAAAGTAAATCTCTGGAAAAAAAAGGTGCATCAGTAGCATTCCTGTGATACTGGCTAATAGCAAGATGATTATAGAACTTTCGGGGGGATTTTTAAAAAGCAAATGCCAATAGCTCAAAATTGGCCATGAAGCAGGTTCATTGTGCACTGGTTACCAAGGCGTCTAAGTCTCGTGACACCAAACACCCACACGCAAAACAAGTTACATAAGTGAGTTTATTGCTTACAGATAGACAGGAAGCGACAACAGAAGCCTAAGGTTCATTGTGAGGCAGTCTCCCAAGGCTCAGAAAAGCTGCCTTGGGTGGCCATGTCTGCACATGCCTCACTTGCACTACAGCAGAGGGACCCTAGAAAGCAGCCTGCCCCGGGTTTTATACCCTGGGAAACACAGGACACTCTGGGATAAAGAAATGAAAACATTTTGTTTCTAGAGGACACCGGAACACAGCCCTGACTGTTCTGGCCAGCTTCTCCTTACCTCAGGATGTTACATTCCCAGCACATTCCATAGTGATTGTTGAGAACTACAAGCAAGAAAGAAGAGAGAACTAGGTGGGACCAAAGCTGCCCACAGAAGTGTACTGCAGTCAGTGGCGTGTGAATTTTCATTGTTTGCATTAGTGATTCCAATGGGACCTAATTCTTTTATAAGAAAATAAAGTTTCCCACCCCAAACTCCTCTGCAAATGGTTATAGTAATTTAATCATCTTCATTACTGCCCATAATAACTGCCATTGCAGAATGCTAGTATACCAGCAACAAACCAAAGGAAGACTGTAACATGAGATCATAATTTTCATCATAAATCAATCAGACCAACAGAGATTGGAAAGGAATGCAAAGAGTAGTTTTGGAAGATGTTCAAGATCCAATCATAATCAGTAATGGTCTGATTTACTGCATCTCCTGTATGCTTGCTCTCTCATTTAAGTGACCTATGCTTCCTTTTTAAAGTCAACACTGGAAAGATTCCAAATATAGATGACATTTAACAGGAAGGAAGACATAAACAAAACACAAATGGGTACTTGACATCCTTAATGCCCAAGCACATGGGTCAGGGTTCATTAGGTTATTTAATCCAGTCGTGCAAATTAGGTTATGCAGCATCTGAAATAAATCAGACTGAGTGCAAAGAAAATTGAACAATGGCTCTTTAAAAAAAACTTGCCTTGGTATCTTTTTCTCTTTTGTTGATATGCAAGGAACACTTTCTATGCTTATGTTGAAGGTGGATTAAATACAAACTTTAATCCTCTTCCTAAATCATTTATACAACACAAAAATAATATGGAAAAGTATTATGTCGTAGCTAATGGGTTTATAGAAAAATACAGATGAGATACATGTGAAATGGAATTCTATACTGCCAGAATACACCCAAAAGTAAGAAATATCTATCATAATTATATAAGAAGGCAATGAACAGATTATACAGCTAGAACTAAATTAGATACACAGGTTAAAAACAAGAATAATCTCACCATATTAAGTTCCTTGCACTAAAATTTCAGAGAGTCATTAACAAAATATACAGGTAAGAAAATGTGGCACATATACACCATGGAATACCATGCAGCCATAAAAAATGATGAGTTCATGTCCTTTGTAGGGACATGGATGAAGCTGGAAACCATCATTCTCAGCAAACTATCGCAAGGACAAAAAACCAAACACCGCATGTTCTCACTCATAGGTGGGAATTGAACAATGAGAACACATTGAACAATGAGAACACAGGAAGGGGAACATCACACACCAGGGCCTGTTGTGGGGCGGGGGGAGCGGGGAGGGATAGCAGTAGGAGATATACCTGATGTTAAATGACGAGTTACTGGGTGCAGCACACCAACATGGCACATGTATACATATGTAACTAACCTGCACGTTGTACACATGTACCCTAAAACTTAAAGTATAATAAAATATATATATACAGGTAAAAGTTCTAGATTAGGCTTTAGAAATAGATCAACATAGCTTTCAAATATTTTTGAAGTACAACTACTGGAAAGATAGATTAGATTTGGTTTAGGTTTCTCAAAAGGACATGATTTAAGACATGTTACAACTGTGCAAATCTATATTCAATAAAAGAACATTTTAACTATTAGAACTCCATTCAAGTAGAAATTCTGCCTCATAAATTTAGATGCCTATTTCACAAAGATTCTTGCTGTGGCTAAATGGTCAATGATATTCCTAAGAGTGGCATTCACTGGGTGGAAATTTTGCTTGGGTGAACTCTATGGTCACTTCCAATTTTTAGGTCATTAATGTGTAGATTTAGTGCAAACCTTAAGATCAATTAAAGCCCGTAAGACACAATTCAAAGTCCCATCTTCTGTGAAAACTCAACTTTTCTATATATCACTTAGTATCAGTAATCACTTTAAAATTGAATTCAGATGTATTATAAAACATACTCTTATAATTACTTATAATTTTATGCCTCAGATAAATCTGAAAACACTGTAAGGACAGAGGTTACTACTTAGTTCATAGCAGGCACTCAGTAGAACTTATTGAAGGAAAGCTTTGAGGGATGAGAGAAGAATTGTCTTTTTTTTTTTTTTTTTTACTTCTCAATCTCCTATACCATAACCAATTTTTCTTTCCTTATTAAAAACAAAACAAACATAAACAAAAAAAGAAATTTCACTCACATAAGGCACAATATTTATTCATGATAGTAGATAGAGAAGAGCCTTTAAAATTATCACAGCTATCATTTACCTACTGTCATAACATGATGTGGGGAATATAACAATGAAAAAATTCCTGTGTCAAAGACATGCCTGAAATTTCTTTCTCAAAGACATACTTGAATACAAGAGAAACAAACTAAAATCTTCTAAGGAGTGATATACTTAGAAAATAAATGTACCTGAGATTCATGAATTTAAGTTGCTCATTAAGTGGATTTTTGTGTAATTTTAACTATGAGTCTATGCATTTAAAAGTTAATATATTGTTAATTTCAGGCACATATTACAGATTTGCAGGGTAAAAGAAAAAAATAGCTCATAAACATCTACAGCCAGGAAACTACCTTTAATTAACTTCCAAATATAATTTTAATACTAATGGTTGTTCAGAAATAATTGTCTTTAGATGCTTGACCAATGTAGGATGCATGACTCTAGGTCTAGCCTGTTTAAACTGTTTATTTAAGATATCAAGTGATAAAGTCTCTGTCTGCTTAGCTTGTGAATCATTATGTGCACTACTAGAAAGCAATAACCCTTAGGATCATCTAGGAACCTTCATGATCCAGGAGCTCAGAATATGGTGTTTGATTATAATCATAAGGATAGTAAAGTGCTTGTGTCCCTTCAAAATAATGACTCAACTTTCCCTAACTCCAATACACACTCCACTGATAAGACTATATACTTAATATTTTCAGTTTTTATTAGCTTTGCCTTATTTTTAGAGATCATAAAGAGGGCTTGGAACCAAATCACTGACTTCAAGGAATATAGCCCATACATAGAAACAGCTGAAAGTTATTGTGATTACTCACTTTTGATGCTGCAACGAGTCTCTTGAACTCTTGGAATACATAGCAACAGCTAACAAGTGAACTTTCTTTTTGGTTCTACATAGCACCTAAAGTGATCCAACTGAAGTATTCCTTATATGATATTACTACCTAACCTACTATATAGCAGATGGTTCCCATTGTAATTACAATCAAATTCAAACTCCTGGCAGAGACCAAAACCCCATGTCATCTGCCTTGCTCTCCACCTCCCCACACTATACACTCCTCTTTTTGCTCACTGCCCCCATCTTTCTATCCAAGAACATGGAAGTTAATCCCAACTCAGGGATTTTGCACTTACTGTTTCCTTTGCCTGGAATACTTTTCCCCAGGATTTCTGTCCTGTAATCCAAGTGAGAGGTGACAGCGTGCTGGCAGTCCTCACAGCCCTTGCTCGCTCTCGGCGCCTCCTCTGCCTGGGTTCCCACTTTGGTGGCACTTGAGGAGCCCTTCGGCCCACCGCTGCACTGTAGGAGCCCCTTTCTGGGCTGGCCAAGGCTGGAGCCGGCTCCCTCAGCTTGCAGGGAGGTGTGGAGGGAGAGGCGCGAGCGGGAACCCGGGCTGCCTGCGGCGCTTGCAGGCCAGCTGGAGTTCCCGGTGGGCGTGGGCTTGGCGGGCCCCGCACTCGGAGCAGCCGGCCGGCCCTGCCGGCCCCGGGCAATGAGGGGCTTAGCACCCGGGCCAGCAGCTGCGGAGAGTGTACTAGGTCCCCCAGCAGTGCCAGCCCACTGGTGCTGCGCTCGATTTCTCGCTGGGCCTTAGCTGCCTTCCTGTGGGGCAGGGCTCGGGACCTGCAGCCCGCCATGCCTGAGCCTCCCACCCTCTCCGTGGGCTCCTGTGCCGCCCGAGCCTCCTCCACGAGCGCCACCCCCTGCTCCACGGCGCCCAGTCCCATCGACCACCCAAGGGCTGAGGAGTGCAGGCACACGGCGCAGGACTGCCAGGCAGCTCCACCTGCAGCCCGGGAGCGGGATCCACTAGGTGAAGCCAGCTGGGCTCCTCAGTCTGCTGGGCATGAGCAGAGTCTTTAGGTCTAGCTCAGGGATTGTAAACACACCAATCAGCACCCTGTCAAAACAGACCACTCGGCTCTACCAATCAGCAGGATGTGGGTGGGGCCAGATAAGAGAATAAAAGCACGCTGCCCGCGCTAGCAGCGGCAACACGCGGGGGTCTCCTTCCGCACAGTGGAAGCTTTGTTCTTTCACTCTTTGCAATGACTCTTGCTACTGCTCACTCTTTGGGTCCACACTGCTTTTATGAGCTGTAACACTCACTGCGAAAAGTCTGCAGCTTCACTCCTGAAGCCAGCAAGACCACGAGCCCACTGGGAGGAACGAACAACTCCAGACGCGCGGCCTTAAGAGCTGTAACACTCACCGCGAAGGTCTGCAGCTTCACTCCTGAGCCAGCGAGACCACGAACCCACCAGAAGGAAGAAACTCCGAACACATCCAAACATCAGAAGGAAAAACTCCAGGCAGGCCACCTTAAAAGCTGTAACACTCACCGCGAGGGTCCGCGGCTTCATTCTTGAAGTCAGTGAGACCAAGAACCCACCGATTCTGGACACACAAGTGCCAGCTTAAATGCTGTCTCCTCAAAGAGGTCATCTCTGACAACACACATTCACCCATTTGTCTTTGTTTTATTCTCTTCATAACATTTATCACTATCAGAAATTATTTTAAGTATTGATTTACTTGAGCAGCTGTTTATTATCCATCTCTGCTTCCTCAAGTTTTGTGAGGACAATTATCTTTAATTTTGTTTATCAATGTATTCCCAATACCTTGAGTGCCTGGCAAACAGTTGGCACAAAATTAGTGTGTGTTTAATAAGTGAATGCAAAGGAATGAATATCTAAAGGCAAAAATATTCAGTCACTTAGACCCTAGCACGTAATCGTCACCGAGTGAAATAATCATCTACATATATCCTCTAGGGGAAAAAAACACATTACTTTAAAATGAAATATGAAAATTAACAGATAAATTCTGGTCAAATGGATAGTATAGAAAAATATTTTTGAATTTTTTATAAAATTTTATAATTTTTTAAAAAACTTTATTAAAAATTTTCCCCAGCTTTATTGAAATATTGACATAAAAATTATGTATATTTAAGGCATATTGTGTGCTGTTTTGATATATAGATACATTGTCAAATTGTTACCACAATGAAGAAAATTGACATATTCATCATCTCACATAGTTGACTTTTCTTGTATGTGGTGATGAGAATGTTTAAAATCTACTCCCTTAGGATCACGTAAGTCCAGAAGTTCAAGGCTGCAGCAAGCCAAGATCATGCCACTGCACTCCAGCCTGTGTAACAAAGTGAGATTCTGTCTTAAAAATAAATAAAATAAAATATGCTGTCTTAGCAAATTTAAAGTATATCATACAGTATTACTAACCATAGTCACCATGCTGTACATTAGGTCTCCAGACCTGATACATCCTCATAACTGAAACTTTGTACTCTTTGTCCAACATCTCCCCATTTCTCCCATTCAACCAGCCTCTGACAACGATCATTCTACTCTCTGCTTCTATGAGTTCAACTTTTTTATATTCCATATATAAGTGAGAGCAAGCAATATTTAGTCTTTTTATGCCTGGCTTGCTTTACTTAGCATAACCTTCTCCAAGTTCATTCATGTTGTCACAGATGACAGGATTTCCTCCTTTTTTAAGGCTGAATAATATTCCATTGTATGCTATTTTATATATCCATTCATCCATCTATGGACACCTAGGTTGACATCGTATCTTGGCTATTTTGAATAGTGCTACAATTAGCACAGAAGTACAGATATCTCTTTGAGATACTGATTTCATTTCCTTTGGCTGTAAATCCGGAAGTGAGATTGCTGGGTTATATGCTAAGTCTATTTTTATTTTTTTTGACAAAACTCCATGCTGTTTTCTCTAATGACTGTACTAATTTACATTCCCACCAACAGTGACAAGGATTTCCTTTTTCTACATCATCAGCAACACTTACCTTTTGTCTTTTTTATAGCAGCCATTTTGACAGGTGTGAGGTGCTATCACATTGTGGTTTTGATTTGCATTTTCTTGGTGATTAGCAACCTTGGGTATTTTTTCATATACTTTTTGGCCATTTGTATGTCTTCTTTTGAGATATCTATTTTGGTCCTTTGTCCATTTTTAAAATTGGGTTATTTGTTTTCTTGCTATTGAGTTGTTTGAGTTCCTTATATATTTTGGAAACTGACCCTTTATTGGATGTGTAGAGTTCGCAAATATATTTTCCATTCCGTAATTGTCTCTTCACTCTACTGAGTCTTTTTGTTGCTATTCAGAATCTTTTTAGTTTGATGCAATCTCATTTATCTGTTTTTGCTTTATTGACTCTGCTTTTGGTGTCATATTCAAAATATCATTGCCAAGGTAAAAGTCAAGAAGCTCTTTCCCTATGTTTCTCTGATACTTTTACATTTTTAGGACTTACATTTAAGTCTTTATTTTGATTTAATTTTGTTTTTTACAAGGTATGAGATAAGGGTCGAATTTTCTTCTGGGCATGTGGATATCCAGCTTTTCCATCACCTCTTTGTGTGTTCTTGGCACTTTTGTGGAAGATCAATTGACCTTGGATGCGTGAATTTATTGCTGAGCTCTCTATCCCATTCCAATAGTACACTGCTATTTTGATTATTATAGCTTTGCAGTATATTTTGAAATCAAGCACTGTGAAGGCTCCAGCTTTGTTCTTTTTGCTCAAGATGACTTTGGCTATGCAGTCTTTTATGGTTCCATATAAATCTTACAATTGTTTTCTATTTTTGTGAAAAATGTCATTGAAATTTTGATAAAGAATGCCTTGAATCTGTAGATAGTTTTGGGTAGCACGGACATTTTAACAATATTAATTCTTTCAATCCATAAACATGTGATAGGTTTTCATATATTTGTGTCTTCTGCAATTTCTTTTACCAATGTTTTATAGTTTTTAATGTATAAGTTATTCAGGAATTTTTTCTGCTACTGCAAATGAGATTTTATTTCTTTTTTCAGGTAATTTGTCATTAGTGCATAGAAACTCTACTAGTTTTTGTATGTTAATATAGTATTCTTCAACTTTACAGAATTCAATCCCACATGGACCAGCCTGCCACTGGGGCAGGCCTGGAGACTGAATTTACAGTAGCTAGCCTGATGTCAGCATTCACTGGGGCAGCCTCAGGCTGGCGGGGTTCGTGTTGAAGACCAGTGCTCATCTCTCTTTCTTTCCCCAAGTAGATGGTACGTCTCTCCTTCATGTGCTGCCTGGGGTTGAGGAGAAGTGGCATAGGTAATGTAAAACTATACTTTCTCTCCTCTTCAATGCATCTTCTTATCTCTGTGCTCTACCCAGATACTGTAATCTCTCATTTAGATCCCTTAGGAATTGTGAAGGTGTTTTCATGCTTGGATGATTATTGTGCTCAAGCTGATGTTTCTGTCAAGGGATGAGTAGTAGAAACTCCTATTCTATTAATATCATCTTACATACATCACTCAATTGTTACCTTCTTGAAAGTTTTTGTGGTCATTGATTTGAGATGCTAAGCTCAATACAATACGAATAAGACACACTTCCTAAATTTCAAGACTAGGTTAGCTTAAATGTATTAACAGCTTTATACAAGGAGTGTCAAATATTCACAGAAGGGTTGTTTTTCTCTCCATCCTTGGCTCTCTGGGAGGAGGCAGTACAGCATGGTGGTTAGGTATATGGACACTGGAATCAGAGGTCATTGTTTTTTCCTTTGCTAACCAGAACAGTGACCTATGTGAGTTGCTTTACCTCCACAATTCTTCTTCATCTGACATCATATAGTACTTGCCTCACGACTGCGTTGTGGGCTTAAATGAAGTAACTTAAGTGCTTAAGACATTTTTGGTACATTATAAGCACACTAAAGGCATTAGAATCTATTATTAAAATATAGAGAATAATATATTTTATATTAAAGTAATATAAAGAGTTCCTGAAATAAAGTTTGAATAAAGAATTTAGATTTTACATGAGGATTTTAAGTCAAGAAAACACAGGCTGATTCCATCACTTTAGTCTCCTTAAAAAGCAGTTCATTGCACATGCTGAAACACTGTCATTAGGTTTACATTTCTCAACCAAGGATGATCAGGCTGTGGTCCCTCTCCTGCATTAGGGCCAAGCAAAGGTTGTGGAATGACAAATGGTAAACACCAGCTCTAGCAGAATTGCTTTGTCTGTCTACCCATGAGCTCAATAAACCAAAAAGAGCTTTAAAAAATTATGCTTTTGAAACTGATTCACAGGTGTTTGGTTAACGATCACCAGCAGAGATGATGCACAACAAAATGCCCCCAGGGAGCGCTGGTAATTTTTCAGTGGATGCTCAGGAGCTGACAGGAGGAAAGCACTACATAAAGTTATGTGCAAAAGCACTAGGTCACAGCCAGATAGAATCTGGGATTGTAGGGAAAAATACCCACACTTAAATGCCCCCAAACCTGGTGAGAAAGTAAATATAAGAAGTCGTGCATCTTCCCCTGATACTCATCTCCCAAAGTCTGAAGTGCCCAGAACCAACTTTATAAATATTAAAATATTATTTTTAAAAAGATGTAATTGGGATGTAGGGACTAAAAAACAGACCCCAACTTTGTATACTTATACTTTTAGAAACTAAAAAATGCAACAGAATATTAACAAAGAATTTCTGGATGTGATATTACAAGCAGGTTTATTTCTTACTTGTAATGCTTTGTTTATTCCAGATTATCTGTAGTGTACATATATAATTTTTATAATAAGCAAAACTACAAACATTATTTTAAAATCTTACATCAAGCTTATAAGTCAGGCAGGCAATGTTTATTCCATGAATTTTTATTTATTTATTTCATTTTTATTGCTTTGCTTTTTAAAAATAATTCCAACTTTTATTTTAGAATCAAGGGGTACATGTATAGGTTTGTTGTATACATTGGTATATCGCATGATGCTAAGGTTTGGGGTACAAAAGATCCCATCACCAACATAGTGAGCATAGTAGCAATAGTTTTTCAACACTTATTCCCTTCTCTCTCTCCCCACCAGTAGTCCCATGTGTCTATTGTTGCCCTCTTTATGTCATAAATATTCAATATTTAGCTCCCACTTATAAGTGAGAACATGTGGTATTTTGTTTTCTATTTCTGCATTAATTCACTTACAATAATAGCCTCCAGCAGCATCCATGTTACTGCAAAGGACATGGTTTCATTATTTTTAAGGGTGTATAGTAATCCATGGTGTATATGTACCATATTTCCTCTATCCAATCCACCACTGATGGGCACCTAGGTTGATTCCATGTTCTTGCTTGTAAGTAGTACTGCGATGAGCATAGGAGTGCATGTGTCTTTTTGGTAGAATATTTTTATTTGGGTATGCGCCCAGTAATGGATTGCTGGGTTAAATGGTAGTTCTGTCTTAAGTTCTTCGAGAAATCTCCAAACTGCTTTCCAAAGTGGCTGAATTAATTTGCATTTCCACAAACAGTGTATAAGTGTTCTTTTCTCTGAAGCCTTGCCAACATCTGTGTTTTGACTTTTTGATAATAGCCATTCTCACTGGTGTGACATGGTATCTCATTGTGGTTTTGATTTGCATTTCTCTGATGATTAGTGATGTTAAGCATTTTTTTAATATGTTTATTGGTCTTTTTTTGTATGTCTTCTTTTGAGAAGTGTCTGTTCATTTCTTTAGTCTTTTTAATGGGGTTATCTGTTTTTGGCTTGTTGAATTGTTTGAGTTTCTAGTAGTTTCTATAGGTTATCTGTTTACTCTGTTGATATTTTCTTTTGCTGTACAGAAACTCTAGTTTAATTAGGTCCCACTTGTCAATTTTTGTTTTTAGATATGGGTATTTATTGCCAGATACTACTTTCTCATCATTGTTACCTGTGATAATCTTACTTTCATCATAAAGTTTGTTTTGATTAAACTTATGTGTCAACTTAACTGGGCCATGGGATGCCTGGATATTTGGGTAAACATCATTATGGATGTGTCTGTGAGGGTGTTTCTGAATGAGATAAACATTTGAATCTATACACTGAGTGGAACAAATTGCCCTCCCTACAGTGGGCGGGCATCATTTAATTCATTGAGGATCTGAATTTTTTAAAATAAGGTTCAATAATGGAGAATTTGCTCTTTCCCTGTTCCTGACTGTCTTTGAGCGGGGATATCAGTCTTCTCCTTCCTTCAGACTAAGACTTGGACTGGTACTTACATCATTAGCTCTCCTGAGTCTCCAGCTTGTCGACTACAGATCTTGGGACTTCGCAGCCTCCATGACTGCATAAGCCAATTCATACACACACACACACACACACACACACACACACACACACACACACACACATAGAGAGAGAGAGGAGATTTCATGTACATGAAATTTTCATACACACAGACACATGAAATCTCCTATTGCAGCAGTCCCCAGTATTTCAACTTTTTGGCACCAGGGATTGGTTTTGTGGAAGACAATTTTTACATGAACAGCTTGGCTCGTGGGTGGGGGTCGCGGGTTGGGTGCCGGGATGAGGGGATGGTTTCAGGATGAAACTGTTCCACCTCAGATCATCAGGCATTGGTTAGATTCTCACAAGGAGCGTGCAACCTAGAGTTGACGATAGCGTCCACGCTCCTATGAGAAGCTAATTCAGCTGCTGATCTAACAGGAGGCAGAGCTCAGAAAGTAATGCTTGCTAGCCTGCCACTCACCTCTTGCTGTGCAGCCCAGTTACTAACAGGCCATGGACTGGTACTGGTCTGCAGCCTCGGGGTTGGGGACCCCTGTCCTGTTGGTTCTATTTCTCTAGAGAACCCAGGATAATAGAAACTCCAAAGTAGTAAGGGCGAAGATTAGTTTATCTAATCTTTGTTCTACCCTTAGTCATTCATTCATTTATCATGTGCTTGGTTTGGCCTGCCTAAGGATTCTTCTGGGCTAGAGAATACAAAGATAAAGCTGAAAACATCAGTCCTCAAGGAGTTCTCAATCTGGGAATGAGACTACGTGGACGATAAGGTAAACAATTATAATACAGGGAAGCAAATACACAGGTACATACAGATAATGGAATCCTATTAAAATAGGAAATAATGAGAGTCAAAGAAGGCTCTGAGGGGAAATGAGTAAAGGAGTCTTGAAGGTCTCTAGAAATTCTTCAGGTGAACTAAACTAGGAAAAGTCATCATAGGGAACTTGGAAACCTGTCTTAGGTAGACAAATGTGAAACAATAATTTTCTTTGTTTCTAGTAAACATGCTCTTGTTTCTGTTCAAGCTAAAAGGAAGAAACCTAGGAAATGGTTGGAGAAAAAAATTACTAAAAGCAAAAATTCATGTACCAGTTAATAGGACACACAATGAGCTACCAAGCGATGAATGACAGCTGTTAAATTAGGAGCCATATAAACATGAGTAGAAAATAGATGTGCAGATTCTCCTTGACTGATGATGCGGTCACATCCTGATAAACCCATCACAAGTTGAAAATATAAATTGAAAATACATTTGAAGCTGGCAACACAGCAGACAACCTCAAACTTATTACTATTCAACATATGTTTTTATGACTTTACAATGGTGCAAAAGTACTATTCTTTTGGTAGAAAGTCTAACCTCATAATAAGACATAAGGAGCTCCTCGACTTAACATGGGGTCACTTTCCTGATACATTCATTGTAGAGTCAAAAAATATGGGTTAAACCATCATAAGCCGAGGATTGTATGTACACGAAAAAGAGAATAAGAAATGCTAATTAGATAATCTCAAGCAAATGGGGATGATACTAGCAAAAGAAAAATAGTCAAAATGATCTATGCAAATTATTAAAAGGTAAAATGGAAAAGAGGGATAGAAGTGAATAGAAAGGGAAAAAAAAGGTGTTCCACATGGGCAACTAGAAAGCAGTAAAGATTGGCCTTGGCAGGACTAGCTAGAACAGAAAGAATGTATTTTTTAAATACAATGTATTTTCTTTTCTTCTTCATGAAGTGAATAGAAGTGCAAAAAAAGAAAAAGGCATTAGTGCAATTGAAGCAACAAAAGAGACAGAGAAAAGGAAAGAGATGCAAGAGGAGGTGAGCTGGCTGTCCATTCAACATTAGTCACAGTTTGGTGACTCCAGAGGACTGTGAGCTTAACTCTCCGTATTCTCTTATGTCTGTCAAGTGGAAACTGTAGTAGTTATAAAAATGGCAGATGTGAGAACTGCAGAAACAATTTTTAGGTTTTTTTAAAGGTGTCCAATATGATAGCCACAAACCAAATTTTCTAAAATAAAAGCAGAAGAAGTTATGCTGTGAATGTGAAATAATATGATGCAGAGTTTAAGCACAAAGACAATTATCACAAATCCTGGTTTCTTACTTCCTAGATGTATGACATGTATAACCTCTCTGTTACCAGTTTTTCCTTTATAAAATGGCTATAGCAATACCGTTTAAAGAATTGTGTCAGGTGACAATAATAAAAGAGTCTACTTCATAGTGTTGTTAATACGTAAAAAGGATTTCAAACTGTGACTAACACACGGTGAAATGATTTAAAGGTTATTGCATTATTATTGCTCTTGACTAGGAATTAACTTCATGGCCTCAGAGAGTTAGATCAACCCCTGCTCTTTTGAATTCCCTTTGTGATCTTAAACAAATTATTTAGCCACTCCAGACTTCAGTATCCCATCTGAAGATGTGAGAGTTAAATTAAATGTGCACATGTAGAGTTATGAATATAAAATCTGCCTTCTCCCATATATCCCTTTAAATTTGGAGCAAAAGGATGTCATCAGAGATGGTATAATTCCTACAGGGCAGCACCATGCATATCCAGTGTTGTTTCTCTTGTATTGCAAGCTGAGCTTAGGCTTTGTACAATTATGGCAAAATCTATTATGCTAAAAAGATCAAGGACAAGGCCATTTGGACAGGAAAAGCTTCCTTTCCTTAATGCAAATACAGACTGAATTATTTCTGAGTAAACATGATACCTCGTAAGAAAATCAGTCATGGCTAATTTACAGGGGAGTATTTCAGTAAGAAGTCTGAACTAGAACTGAACACTCAGAAATTTTAGAGCCCACTGCATTGCACAGAGCTTGTTATGATGAAGCAGAGGAGACCCCCCGAAGTGCCCATCTTAAGGTACCACTTAAGTTTGCAGGATACTGAAATACATGAGGAAGATAAGTTTTCTCTTTCTGTGGGGAGGAATAGAGTTTCCCAAAGGAGAAGGGAGGGGCACCTGATAGAGGCATTTTGAGAGACGGATGCATGTTGGGAAAAAAGGAACTTGGGGAGGAAGACAGTGAAGATGAAAGAAGCTCCTTCTTGGCATGACTTCTTGACCATGATCCTATCAGTGAACCTTCCACGACTTGTAAGGCTTGTGGTGACAGTGCATGCAACGATGCTGAAGGAGAAGTTTAAATAAACACTTTTCAGCACAGTTCCATGGGACTTATCCAAGAAATGTGCATACTCTTCAATCGAATAATCACATATCTAAATACCTGTCATGTACAGATATACATATGTAGAAGAATGTGTGAGGGTTTTCACTGCAGCATGGTTGTAATTGTGAAACAAGGAAATGATTTATTCTTCTATTAAGATGAGAATAGTTATGAAAGCTAAGAATATTGACAATATGAAATAATATGTAGAAAATTTTTACTGTATTAACATAAACTCTCTAAGTCTTTCACAACAGCAAAAATGCAACCACTAAAATCATGTTTTGATGAATGCTTAATGATATAAAATACAAAAGTAAATACATAGGTATGCATATATATGCAAAAGCAAGCATGTTTACAAGATTACATAATACAGTATACTCTCAGCTATGTAAAAAATACATAGAAAAAAATGTAATATACATCGACAATATTGCTTATGTTGCTTCTGAGTGAGAAGCTACTGATTGATTTTTCTGTTTATTTTTCCTGCTCCTAGAGATACAAGCCTCCTGGGTGATGAGAAAGACAGAGAAGCATTTTTCATAGAGAGTTGCCAGGATTGCTCAGCATCCAGATCAACCATGAAAGGCACCAGGAGAATGAACATCTGCATTTTTCTTGTCCATGATTCTTCTACATAATGCTACTGAAGCGAAGATAATCTTTAATTGTAGAAACAAGAAGAGAAGCAAATATATTACTAGTATCCAGAAGCTCCTTCACAGTTTTCAGATAATGCTAATGAGCTAGTTCCTGGTTTGTATCACAAACTTCTCCCAAATTCTTCCCCTAAACATTCCTTCATGGTGGAGCTAATTAGACTATTGCAGCTCCACCGTTCATTACTGCTTGTATTTTGTAAAAATTAGTGCATATGTCATGGGCCTAGGGATACATCCATTGCAGGGAAATGGGAGTAGGGCATTCCCAGTTTTAGCTATAATTGAAAATTATTCTTAGGGACGAAAATGCCATTGAATAATTCTGCCTTTTCTCCTCCTTGTTCTCTCTCTCTCTCTCTCTCTGTCTCTCTCATATCTATCTTCTTTCTTTCTTTCTTTCTTTCTTTCTTTCTTTCTTTCTTTCTTTCTTTCTCTCTCTCTCTCTCTCTCTCTTTACTAAGTCTGGAAACCCTTAGAGTTTCTCTTGAATATATCAAGCTAATTATTTTTATTTTTATTCACTACCTTTCATGCATTTCCTACTTCCAATAATCCTTTTTTATTAAGTCTCCCAATCCAAGTCCACCCTCACTCAAAAGTGACCTTCCCAGAGTAGGGTGTACAATGCGGAGTCCACATAAGCATCTCTATACTTCTAAGTTTTATGCCAAGAGCATGCTTATTTTAATAAGCAAAAAACAAGTAACAATGAAGAAAATAATCATAAAGTAAAAATCCAAAAAAATAGAATAACAGAAGGTTTTCCTCAGAATTAAAAATAAACCTATTTTTATGCAGACATAAAATGAAAAAGTCTTTTATGCACAGATGTGTGAACCGGGACTATAGCTGGGTAATCAAATGGAAATAAAAGACAGTTTTTCTTACTTTAAGTCATTTCACTAACAAGCCTACCGAATGCATTTGGAAACGATCTTTCATTGATCATTTTCTATTATTAATTATGGATAAGCAGAGATTTTTTCAAAAGCCCCTGAACCTGCTTAGCTTGTACAAAGATGCCACAAATCAGAGCCCACGGGTTACAGGAATTATTGATCCTTCTATAAAACGGTCATGCAATCTCCTTCCTGAATCCAGTAAAATACTGAATAATAGGCTGAAAAGACATCACCATAGTATTAATCCAAGTACTGAATTGAACAATCAGTGGGCAATCTTTAGTTTTCTCCTTATGTTAATGGTAGTTCAAACAATAACTTTGTATTATGTATTTTTCTATTTTATGTTTTTCTTGCAATTATAACATGTTTCAGAAAGTTTTTCTAGCATCTCACCATCCATAAAAATTCTCTCAGGAGGAGGAAGAATTTTCCTTGTGACAATTTCAGAGACATTCTTATTTTTAGATAGAATTTTTAATAAACTCTAACAATTTCCTGACTGAACTTCAGCTGGTACCCCTCCTTTTTCTTTTTTCTTTCTTTCTTTCTTTTTTCTTTTTTTTTTTTTTTGGTCTGAGACAATGAGTCTTGCTCTGTTGCCCAGGCTGGAGTGCAATGGCGCGATCTCAGCTCACTGCAACCTCCGCCTCCCAGGTTCAAGCGATTCTCCTACCTCAACCTCCAGAGTGGCTGGGATTACAGGCTTGCGCCACCACACCCAACTAAGTTTTGTATTCTTGGTAGAGACGGGGTTTTATCATTTTGGCCAGGCTGATCTCCCTCAAACTTTTGACCTTACGTCCACCTCGGCCTCCCAAAGTGCTAGGATTACAGGCGTGAGCCACTGCACCCGGCTCCTAGTTTCTTTTTCTAGACGTTTTAGCAAACACCTACTTAAGTATTTGCTACATTATTTCTAAAACAATATTCATTTTATATTTGGTCCTTTATATTGCGTCTTCAAATGAAGCTGAATTCTGTGAAGACTTTCCAGCTATATGGCTGTTTCCTCTGTTTCCTTGATATTCTGTGTATTCTAGTCCCTATAACAGATTTTGCATTTATACCACTACACTAAATAGTTCTTCTCAGACATTTATATGGATTTTGTGCCTATTGGGGGATAAATTCACTGCAATGACGCAAATACCAGGTAACACACTCTATTTAACATTACAAAAATGCTTAGGGGCATGTTAAATGAAGTTCTATGGAACAGCAATTGTATATTGCCTTTTAGGGTAGTGTTTAAAAGCTAATTACATATTCATCCATGCTTAGTTATTGAACCATAGAACACCTAAGTAAGCAATTTGTAGTTATCCAGTGTGAAATAGTTGTCCTATTAACACTAATTCAAAGCCTGGAAAAACAGCCTTTCTTAAAACCAAAGATAAAATAGAAACCAATACTTTCTTTAGTGCTAATGGAGCCCAATGCAGTTAAGCTAACAAATGCATCATATTCTCTACTAACTGTTCTGTTTTCCTGCTCACCTGAAACTCATATTAATACATCAAATTACAGAGGTTATTGTTAGCAATTTACATACCACCTGTTTTTATTTCCATTAACATTTTTCTTTAAATGTCTTTTTATATGTTCAGTCTTTTATATTGAAAGATAAATGTCTCCTACCTTTCAGAATCTTGAAATTAACACAATTAAGAGTTTTAATTTTCTACCACCCATGATTTTCTTTTTTAGGAGAGTTACCTACACTCAGAAGCATTCTTAATGCAGCACTGTCATTTATAAAACAAAGACCCTCAATATTTTCCTTGCTTGTCTTTGAAGCATTTTTGTTTAATGTATCATGATCTAAATGCAAAGCTCGTTCCCCAATCATTACTCCTTTCTATGTAAACTCTGATTAAACAAAACTGGATCATTTTAAATTAATGGTTATACAGTATCCAGTGCAAGACCCTGGCTTTGAATGCTTAACCAATCTGTCTCAAACATTTTTCTTTTTTCCTAAGATTAGAGGAGTGTACGATAACTGTCTTTGATGCAATAGTTATGAATCTAAAGAAAAGCAAAAGTGTAAACCCAATGAGCTTAGGAGCAAATAATCTGGGCTAAGGTCCTAACTTTGCCATTTATCAGTGCTACCAACAATGCTCCATGATCTTCAGGAACAGGCTGAAATTTTCTCAACCTCAGTGACTCATTTTTAATGTATTTTATAAAATTACCTATGTCACATTGGAATTTTTAAGACCTATATTATCATTTGAGAAGAACAATACCACTGATTCAATCATCAAGTTTCTTTGAGCCACCAGGTTGCCTTCAGTGGACCCAGGAGCTTACAGCACTGAAAAATCGGTACCCACAATTATATTAAACCTGAGAAAAGAGTTTTGCAGAGACCCAAAGCCCCTCATGACTGCAGAAGCACTCATAGATTATCAGTTCTCTTGAGAAGGGAAGAGAGCTAGCTAGTCAGTGGGAGAAACCGTTGAGAGAACAGAATGTTCCTGTTCATATCCTTTTCACTTTGGTCACTGGCATCTAATTCCTGGTCCATCTCATCCTGAGAATCAAACAAGCAAGAAACTGAGCAAAGTCAACAAAATTAAGTAGCCTAGCAGATATACTCACACTGTAACAGGGATGTGCAAAAAGAATATGTCTCCTTCATTCTTTACAACTGTTCTTATTTTCCTCAAAAGTCACAAATCTTGGATAGTAGGGGGAAAATGCTACATTTAATTTGCCCAATCTGGAAATACTAGCCAGGTACAATAATTTAAATAGTGCTTTTAGGTGGAATATGTAATCTCACAGATTCCACATCTCCTCTCCTGATGGAGGTTTGTGGCTTTTGTGACCTCAAAGAGAAAGAGTAAAGTAAATCTTGAATCCACATACTATCCTTTAATTCCTTTGGTTTCCATGGTGACATTCTTTGCTCTCCAGGTTGCTGCTCAGCCTGCTGGAATAAATCTAGCAGCTTGTATAACTCGAGGTCCATGTTTGCTTGTCTTGGTTAGGATCTGAAAGTCTAATCCTAACGAGTTTTGCCTACGTGCATTCCAGACCCCAGGTCTTACTTTAACCCCTGTGCTCCTGACACCCAGCAATTCTGAGCAAATAAACCTTTTCACATGCCTATAACCCATTCCTAATCCACCAGTATGCTGAGGTACACAGCAAATGGAATACAGAAGATCTTCTCCATATACGGAAAGCCTTTCAAATCTGTCTTCCTGATGCACAATACTGTTCTGAATGTTTTTAATTTCATTGTAACAATTTGTTCTCACTCTCATGTGCAACGCATCCCTGCGGACAAATGGATGCCATTAATTGGCTAAGGAAAATGTCATGTAGAGGAAAATCATATTGAGGTTTTACTTAGATGAAATAATTCAGGGACCTAAGATAAATGCAACATATTTCACCTCCCTTTTCTAGTTTACTCACTAGTTCACTTAAGAAAGTGAAGGGGTGAGGTGAAGGGACTGAACAGTCCCCTGATTCTAAATGAAAGAAGACAAAAGGCAACAATATGGAGGAGCTGGCAAGAGATTGGACCAACCTGGCAAAGAAAATAGGTCATTGAAAGCGCCATCATTTTATGTCAGAAAATCTATTCAAGCTTCTCCATCTTCCCAAAATTGCTTTTTCAAATAATTTGTGAAAATCGCTGATTTCTGAATCAGTACAAAGTAACTGCAGATCAAAGAGAATTCTGCTGGCTTGATTTTCTAGAAGGCTGGATAGTGACCTTGCAAAGAATCACCTTTATTGACCTCAAATGTATTTCCTTGTTCCTTTTTCCACCTTCCCTGACCCTTGCATTTTTGCCATTATTGGTGTAGAGATTAAAACATGAGAAAAAAATTTATAAACATCACTTTCTTTATCTTCTGAGTGTTATATATGCTACGCTTTCCTTTCCTGATGAAATTGTGGTTGTGGAATCATACAGCGCTGCTGAATTCTCCTTTATTATCTTTTATTATCTTGATAGTTCCTCTGGTTCTCTCTATCAGGAGGTCAAAGAAGTATTTTTTTCAATACTTTTTTTAAGATACTGTCAATATATGTTTTAAGTGAAAAAAACTATATTATGACATCATTTCACTTTCTAGATGTATGTTTAAGCTGCTTTATTTGTTTGCTTTCCTTATACTGATCATTATCTTAGGGGAATAAGATAATAAGTGTCATAAACTGTGTCCCAACCTGTCCTAAGCCCTTTGCGTATATCCATTCTTGGGGAAATGCTGCAACATTTTCAGTCCCATGGCTGTTCCAATAGAGTGAATCAATGAGTATGAAGCTTTCTAAACTGGGTATATTAGTTTGCTAGGACTGCTATAACAAACTGCACATACTAGGTGGTTTATACAACAGAAATTTATTGTCTCACATTTCTGGAAGCTAGAAGTCCAAGATCAAGGTGTATCCAGGTCTATTCCTTCTGAAGGCTGTGAGAGAAAATCTGCCCCGTGCCTTCCTCCCAGTTTCTGGTGGTTTGCTGGCAATGTTTGTCATTCTTTGGCTTCATTCTTTGGCTATCCCTGCCTTCATCTTTGCATGGTGTTATCCATGTGTGTGTATTTGTGTCCAAATTTCTCCCCTTTTATGAGGACACCAGTCATATTGGATTAGGATCCATCCTAAAGACCTCATTTTAAACACTTACATCTGCAATCACTGTATTTCTAAATAAAGTCACATTCTGAGGTTTGAGGGTTAGGATTTTAACATACAAATTTGGGGAAAAACACAATTCAAACCATAGCTTTGACTATCCCAAGGAGACACACATTTGGATAATTTCAACAGTCACCTCAAAACATTACTTTTAGAAAGAGTTCTTTGCAGCAGATTTTCTTGCATCAAAGCATTTGTGGTCTCGCAATACTTGATACTTTCACTAATTCATGAATGTGAAGGTTAAGTTTCATCTTCAAAATAATATCAAATTCCTTCCTCAAGTTACTCCTAGCAAAGAGGCTGGGTGCCAGTGATTACACAACCACCATCTTTTTTTAATCTAAATCATTTCTAAGCTGCTATGGTGTGAATGCTTGTGTTCATCCAAAATTTGCATGTTGAAATCTTGACCACTAAGGTGATGGAATGGAGGTGGGGCCTTTAGTGGGTGATTAGGCCATGAGTATGAAGCTCTCATGAATCAAATCAGTGACCTTATAAAAGAGTCTCCAGAGAGCCCTTAACCCCTTCCACCATGTGAGGACACTATGAGAGGATGACTGTCTATGAACCGGGTAGTGGGGACTCACTGGACACAAAATCTGCCAGCACCTTGATCTTGGATATTCCAGTCTCCAGAACTGTCAGAAATAAGTTTCTGTTACTTATAAGCCACTCAGTTTATGGTATTTTGCCATAGCTGCCCAAATGGGCAAAGACATAGGCCAAATGCCTTGACAGAGTTGCACAGTTATGGCTGTGTCACTAAATTTTACTATTTACCATTTATTGTAAAGGATGCCAAGAAAGAAGCTTTCTGGAGGTCCTAATCTCATTCACAAATGTTATTGAGTTTTTTTTAACAAGTATACAATTATTTTCTTAGAAACACCTAAACCACCTACAATAAGCTCAGTTGCAAAGCATCTATCTAAACTCAACTAGTCAAGTGTATATTGCCAGCATACAGGATTGTGTAACATCTCTTTTATGATGCAGTTATGGCCTTCACTCATGGGTAAGTACAATTTTAGAATTTTTAAGGCTAAGAACCACATATTATTTACTATTGTTATCAAAGCCCGACACATGCTTAGCCCCTAATAAAAATTAGTTGAAAAGCTTAATAAAAGGCAAATGAATGGATGTAAAAGTGAATTATGTAGCTGTTCTTGATTTCAGTACCAACCTACTAATTGAACTATATTTACTGAACTTTTTCTTCAAACCCACACTACTTCAGAGGGAATATATACCACCACATCTAGTTGAAGAAAGTAAATTTTAGAGGAAAGCCCATGTTTATGAGAAAAATAAACAGAGACATGTCAAGTCGGTAGCCAGCTGTTTCTGTATCTTGGATGTGTCCCGAGAAATCATCTCCTTGCCCAGGTTCAACTTCATTTAGTATGGAGTTTGGACTATATGCCTATGGACTTGGTGCTGATGGTTGTGAGCAAAGTTTTGCATTCTGATTCATTTCTTTTGTATCTGAAGTCCTCAAGGATAGTGACATGACCTTCTCTTCTTTCTTCTGTCGCCATGGTTACAAGAACTCTGCATCTCATGACTGAGACAAGCAGCTGACTGGATCTTATATCCAAGGTTTTTTCTGGTGGGCAAAGCTTTGGCCAGTTTGTATGAACCCAGAGCTGCCTATTTTGTCTAGCAGATATTAGCAAATATTTTGTTTGATTTCTTGATTGATTTCTGAGCTCTGTCAATAATTCTGCAATTGTGAAATTTAGAGGCTTTGTTCTCTTTAAGAAGGACAAATCCTTTGTAATGAAAATTTGAGGTTGCAGTAGATGTCATAAGCAATTGTTGGCATGTTCTAATTTAAGAAATCGTTTCCTGTTCCCCCAGTATTTTGATTGCTGGAAAATCCTTTCATTTGAGTTTAAATACTTTGGCTAAAAGCTCTGTGAGGAGAATGTAAGTACATATTCAGAAAATTGGGATACTGTAAAGGTAAGATTTCAGTTGAATGGAGAGGAAGAGGACATTGCTTTAATGGGAAGTATTGGGTGGCTCATCCCAGTAGGATTAGGCATTTCTGAGGGCAGTTGTAAAGAGACAGGGTAGTGCCTGGAGAGAACAGTGGCACCCAAAGATGGGAAAGGTATAAAGAAAAGACTGGTCAGTTATTCGAGGAAAATGGTAGTTAAAACATGTGCCCATTTCAAACTTTTCCTCAAGCATAACTTAGAAACAGTTTCCCACGTGCCAGCAAATGACAAAAGGAAGGAAAAGTCACTTTAACATCTAAAACAGCTCTGCAGAGGGTTTTTACAACTCCTTTGCATTACCAGTGCAGAGAGCAATTGTTTCACAAAGTGTATCGTAACACTTGACCAAATTTATATCATGTTTATATTCTTCTTAAAACAAACAGAAAATACAAATATCTGTCTGAAACAGATCTGTGAAACTGTAATAACAGAAACAAGAAATGAGTTTATTGTTCCCATTAGGCCTGCTGTTCTATCTGTTTGACCTATGCTAATTTTTGCCCTCAGTGTTCATGGATAAGGAGGAAGGCAAAATGAGTCCACCCTCCAATATAATGATGGCAGCAATCTATAATGGATCTTGAACATTTCCAAATACAAGGCTTTAGTGAGGGCAGAGGAAAATGCGAATACAAACAATACTAAATTAAAATGGAATTTTTCCTTTCTCTTCAGTGCTAACTCACCTTGGTTCTTTAGCAGCTGAGGTTAGGCTATTTCACTCATACTGCCTCCCAGCCTTACTTTGATATCTGGCCCTAGGACGTGTTTTCTTTGCAGTACTTTCATGTGGTGGTTGGTTTTTCTTTTACTTTTGGGGGTCGGGAGGTATGATCCAGATCCTCCCCAATCTCAAACACTGTTCCTGATCATCACTCCCTGATGCTCTAAAGCAATCATTTTTGAAGGACATACCTGGAAATACCATCCCCTCCTCTTCTAGTTGCTCTCATCCACAGAACTGTCACCTATACTCTTCATTCAGGCAAACTGCAACCCCTTACTTACACACTTCATGTGTATTCCAAGTTCTCCCATCATCATGGAGAATCCAGCACTCAGGTCGACAACCATGCAACTCCCTAGCCTCTGAGTTCTTCAACGGCTTCATATCCAATGACTCTACTCCATTTCAGTTGCACACTCCCATGGCCTTGCCCTTGTCATTTTTCTTACCTGTAACCACTCTAATTTCAAAATACCTTGTTTTTGATCATAAAACGTTCAATGTCAGCTTTAAAATATATATATTTCCTTTATGACTTATAGCATTCTACTTTCTGTCAATCTAGAAGTCACATATATAGAATACTCCTTGAGCAAATAAATGAATGGAAACACTTGTAAAATTAAGAGGAACATGCCAATAGCCTGATTACAATAACATCTCTTCCTCTACTGAATAGAAACCTCTAGATCCTGTGGTGAGTCTGGTCTTGAGTTTTTGTGTGCACTGCTGGGTCCAGATGAAACCTCAGCTTCCTGCCTCCCAATGTCGTTACAAAAGAACTTGACGCAGGAGTGGGTGGAGTGGAGGACAAAAGTCACAGGAAGAATCAAGACATTCATTAACACTATAGTAGCATTTGTATTTGAAATATAAAAAATAATCCTAAAATATACCTCTTTATAACTGAGGGGACCAAAAATTATATGTGGCATGAGATGCCTCTCTTTTATTTTCCCTTATTTTCTCTCCATAGAATTAGAGACACACAAATTCTTTCCCTTAGCTGGCTAATTGAGGGATAACTTTAACAAACATAGGTTATCTGAACCTGTAGAAATGGACTCTTGTAAGTGTCCAAAAGACCCCCTTACCAGGTTACATCTTAATGAGTAATTTTTGGCTCTGTTTTAGTTGTACTCTATGAGGTTCATAAACTTAGTTAGCTGGACTTATGGTCATTTGCACAATATGTTAAACTGGATTTCTTTCCTTCATTTCAGAAAAAAAAATTCATTTAACTAAATCTCTTGAGATTATTGAATAATTCAAAATCAGACAAGGTCACTTCTAATGGGAAGTCTTTCGTAACTTCTCTTTCTCTGTCATTCTACAAAATGTTCTTAATAAACCCATTACAGTCTGTAAACAACATTGCAGTGACACTATAATAGTGTCACTATTCTTTCAAGAAGCTGTAAGTTAGTATTGCCAGGTGAGTAAACATGTTTTAAGTCTAGAATGCAATGGCTCAATAATAATGTGATGATGCTCAATAATTGTATATAAACATCTTTATGAATGAATGACTAGGGCTATACCAATATGAGCTATAGTTAATTAACTTAATGAATATTTATGAACCATTCACTATATGCCAGCTATTATTCTAGGTGCTGTCAATATATCAGTGAAAAAAGCAGGTAAAATTTCCTGCCACATGAAGCTTATAATTTCTGCATTCTAGAGGAAAAAGAAAGTTTGTCATCCATGGAGGAAAGTCAGTTAGATGTCCCTTCAAAAAGAGACTATTGCAAGCATCTGCCAAATGAGCCGCTATAGCCTTTGGTTGTTCCCAGCCAATGACTGAACTGAGAGTGGGTACTAGAGATGGGTCACTTCAGCCTACAGGGGGGCTCCCTTAATAATTAATCTCTGCTTTTTGGGTCTCCCCACAGGGCACCTGGCCAATAATTTCTCGAAGCTACATTGTAGTCTGAGGCTCTTTTTACCTAATTCTTCTTCCCACCTTCTTACCTTATTCAGATGTCAGCCTTGTAGTATGGTCTGAAGGCTGTCCATATCCACTTTACTCACCCCCTGTTTATTCTAGAGGTGTTTCCCCCTCTAAAGTCTCTTGCACTTCTAATTCCATCTTAGGGTCTTGTTGAAGGCACTGCACTGATACAGAAGGTAGCAAATTTTGTTTCACTTTAATACTTTAAATATGAAATCGACTTCTAGACTTATATGACTGGCCATCATATGCTTACTACTGCTCCACCCTACTCTAAGGTTTCAGGAAATCCACAAAGTGAAAGAAAAATCATTCCAATTATAATGCAAATAACAATTATGCAGACATCTGTCAGAAAGCAACACCATTAGAATTCCAAACAATGGGGTGCTAAAGCTGGCTAGGGCCAATTCTGTGCATCTCTTCCAAAACCCTGTATTCAATGATATTATGTTGTTAGCTGGAAATCAGCCACGGTGGTGGAAGAATTTCCACTGTATAAACTGGCAAAAGCTACACATCAGATTTAATTTTGTTTTGGGGAGTATGTGTGTGTGTCAGAGTGTGTGTGTGTGTGTGTGTGTGTGTTACCAGACAGCTAGTTTACCACTATGTCATTGCTTGCAGACATTATTCAGGCATGCCTGACCAGTAGTTCAAGAATAAGAATGCATGCTTTTTCAAAGAGAAACAAAAATAGACAAGCAAAACTCTGCAGAATCTTTTTGAAAATAAACTCAAGCTTATTCTAGGTTAAAATAGTTTAATATTCTCTCCACTGGGTCCCACTTTAAACACTCATGTATTTTACAGTCCAATGTTCTTTCCTCTTCTCCGCTCTTCTAGGCTCTATAGCCCCCTTCCAGGGTAGCCCTCTCTGGAGGCAGCACATTATTATTTTGGTCCTTTGATCTTGCATTAGTACGGAAGCTCCATTGTGTTTCTGAGAATATATTGTCCAAAGAAAGTAATGTTCTGACTAATTCTTTGTAATTAAACACATTATATTGCCTCCTGATTTGCACATTGAATTACAAAATTTTGAAATACATAAACATCATTGATGCCAAATACTCAAAATAAATCATTTCTGATATCTGTGGGATTAATGAATATTAATTATCTGACATTCATTACTCTTTAAAATTTATTTTCTATTATTGCTCATGTCTTGTACTTTGATTTTTCATATTATTCCCAGGCTGTACTTGGTATCTTCTTCCTGTACAGCTTTTATCTACTATAAAATGTATTCTGGTCAATCAAGGTGGAAGTGTTTTGATTTCTTTTTTTTTCTTTTGGTTTTGTCTTTTTGTTTTTGTTTTCTTTTATACTTTAAAACAAAATATCTCATCATCGGTCTTTACAGAACCATATGAGGAAAATATTGGTTCTCTGATTTTCTGTGGTCCTAGTAAAATAATTAAAGAAATGAAAATAATGAAAAGCAAGGTCAGGCATGGTGGCTCATGCATGTAATCCCAGCACTTTGGGAGGCCGAGGTCGGCAGATGACTTGAGGCCAGGAGTTTGAGACAAGCCTGGCCAACATGGTAAAAACCCATCTCTACTAAAAACACAAAAATTAGCCAGGCATGGTGGCACATGCCTGTAATCCCAGGTACTCGGGAGTCTAAGGCATGAAAATCACTTGAACCCAGGAGGCAGAGGTTTCAGTGAGCCAAGATTGCGCCACTGCACTCCAGCCTGGGCGACTGTGACATCTCGAAAAAAGAGAAAAAGGCAATATACCTATCCCATGATCTTTATTAATGCATTTATATGAATGCACTTTTGACAAGATATCTGCCAACTTTCTCAGAAGAACAAAGAATGCATTCCTTATTTTTAGTGGTACTAGGAAAATAGTAACAATATTGAGAACACGTTTCACATGTCCTTTGACGTAACCTGATGTTTTTGAGTATGCTCATTAAGAGGAAGCCAAACAAAACACTAAATAAAGGGAGGCCAAATTGTGTTGCAACATGACTCCTCTCCTCTCCCTTACTCACACACACAAGGCCAGCCTCATTCACTGTAGTCATCCTTCCTTCTCACTGAGCATGGAAAAGCCTGCAATCCTCTTCACTATTAGAGTTTGTTATAAGTTAAAAATGTCTTTTTTACTGAGATCTTTTTTTAATGTACTATATAATATGTGTTTAATATTCTTACATGCTTGAAGTTCCTCTTGAAGATACACTAGGGGTCAAAATTTTTTTTTAATTTTTCCGTGTTCCTAGAGACACTAATATTTCTGTATTTTATAGATGTTGCATAACTTTGCCCTTCCCTGCTGGCGTTTCCCTGGTTCTATTTCATCTATATATTCTATGAGGCCTTTATTAAACATTTGTATATGTGTATACAGGCCTGTATTAAATAGATTTGAATTTTCATTAGAGATGTTTTATGCACTCAAGCTGTTTATAAAAAACTAAAAAATGTCTGAAACATTAATATCAAATGACTAAAAAGGAAGTTGCTCATTTATCTGGTATCCTCAACTAAAGTGCTATAAAAATATCTGGTTGATGAGGAATTCTGACAAATAATAGCTTTGGCTTCACATTTAAGAAAAACTTCCAGTCATTTGATTCCAAGGTTTACAGTCATAAGAGAACAAACTCACAAATGAATTTCACCAACAGTTAATATTCTGACATACCCTGTATATCCAATAATCCTCTGTCCATCTGATAGCCCGCTTCATATTATAAGAAGAGAGAAATTGCAAATATTTGCTCCTAAGCTCTTGTGATAGGCAGAATGATGATCCCACAAAAATGTCTTTGTCCTAATCCTCAGAACTTGTGAATATATTACCTTTCAAGGCAAAAAAGACGTCTGTATAGATGTGATTAAGAATCTTGATATAGGGAGAGTGTTCTAGCTTATCAGAATGGGTACAATGTGATCATTAAAGTTTTTATAAGTGGAAGAGGGAGACAGCAGTGTCAGAGAGAGATCTGAAATTGCTACCCTGCTGACTGAAGATGGACGAAGAGGTCATGAACCAAGGAAGGCAGGTGGCCTCCAGAAGCTGGAAAAAGGATAAATTTTCCCTAAAAGCTTTCAGCAGAAACATGGCCAACTCCTTAATTATAGCTCGGTGAAGACTTCTGACCTCCAGCACTGTAAGATAAGGAGTGTGTGTGTGTGTGTGTGTGTGTGTGTGTGTGTGTGTGTGTGTGTTTCAGTGCTGTGTTACAGTGTTGTAACACTTAGTTTGTGGCAACAGCAATAAGAAGGCAATATATCATCTCATACATTCCAGAGAAAGCAAAAATAGATGGCATTAACTCTATATAACCCTTTACCTAAAACATAAAAATGAATCCCTTAAAAGCAGCTTAGCTTACATACAATAAAAAGTTACAATTTTTAAATTACATTGAATTTTTCCTATTTCCTCTCAAGATGTTTTTGTTATAGTACTAAGAAATACTCTCTTTGTTAATTACATGTGAAAAGTGTATTTTCTCATGACTTTCAGAAAAAACTTCTGTGAAAGATGGAAATTAAGGTTCTTCAGACAAGCCAAGTTATTCCAGTAGTAAGACGATAATAAAATAAGCAAGGAGTTTAACTTTCCAAGGTCAGAAGATATTCTTAATAATAATTTTAGTGTTACTTTAAAATGTAACATTGTTACTTTAGAAAATATTGCTCTAGCTGCATTTTTATAGCTTGGGAGTCTTCTGTAGCTGGAAAGAGAGGGTACTCCATATTAATTTCTACACACAACAAAATTGCCATTAGCAAATATTCTCAAACAAAAATGTTCTTGTAACCCATTTAAAAGTGCAAATTAAATGGACTTTGTGGTAATAATTTGTGAAGTACATTAAAATGCATTGTATGCTGAAGGCTAAAATGTTACAGATTTGTCTATACGAGCTAAACCTACTGGTTCATACTAATGACATGTTCATACTAATGACATGTAGCATTACAGGGCAATGTGTTTCAGAGCTGGGATTGCCTGTAAATTGCCTCAAGTATGATTTAACAGATATCACGCAAAATTTTCATACACAAATGTATCCCCAGACCAACATAGTGTAGCCCTGGAGATGCACCACAGAAAGGCATTATGTAAAGATGGCATATTGCCAATATTTAAAATAAAAATGATTGTATAGTAATACATTTGCTTATTTATTCATTCACAAAAGCTTATTTATATACTCACTCAATAAAGCTTTTGTGAATGAGTAAACAAGCGAATGTATTACTTCACATTTTTTAAAAGTATAGGTACTTTTTAAAAAGTACCTTCACATTTTTAAAAAGTACAGGCACTAGAATTCATAAGTTCGGGTTAAAAATTCAGGTTTAACTTCTTATGAACATTATAGTGGCAGAAAACATACTCACCCTCTCTGACCTCTTGGTCAGAGAAGAAACCCTCTCTGGTTTCTTCATTTGTGAAATAGGGATAAAATCCACCTTTAAGAAGTACTATGTCTAATGGCTAGAGCAAAAATACACGGATCCTGTCTGGGTCAATACCCTGGCTTAGCCACTCACTGTATATGGCCATTGGCAAGTATTTCAATGAGCTTGGGAAGTTTGCCTTCATTTTCTCATCTACAATATATTAACACCTACCTGGTACAGTTGTTGGTAAGATTCATATAAAACGTCAGCACATTGTATATGCTTAATATGTGTTATCCACTGTAATATCATTGTGGTGAGGGTGTAAATAAGATCAGGCGTGGAAAACACTGAACACTTAAGTATCATTCAAATATCATTTATTTGAATGCTTTATACATTATGTAAACATGTTATACATGTTTTAGGTATGTACAATGTATAGTATACTGTAGAACGTATTTCCTCAATTTTAGAACACACGTTTTTCATATTATTACATTTCAAATACTAGAATGTATCTTCCAATTGTCTTTTATGCTTAACATAGTGCTTGTTTCCTTAAAAGCTCATAAACATTTATAATGTATGAATGAGGAAATAAAACACATCTAAGTATATCTAGAATATGCGGGAAACTAAAACAACTCAAGAGCAAAAAAAACATCTAAAATATGAGCTAAGGATCTGAATGGACATTTCTCAAAAGAAGACATACAAATGGCTGATGAGTATATGAAAAGATGCTCAACATCACCAATTATCAGGAAAATGCAAATCAAAATGCCAAAGAGAAACCATCTCACCCAGTTAAGAACCTTATCATCAAAAAGACAACAAAAATAGCAAATGTTGGTGTGAATGCAAAGAAAAGAGAATGCTTATCCACTGTTGGGTGGAATGTAAATTAGTACAGTCATTATGAATAGCAGTATGTAGATTTCTCAAAAAACTAAAATAGAACTACCATATGACTCAGCAAGCTCACTTCTGGGGGTATTTATCCAAAGAAAAGAAAATCAATATATCAAAGGGATACCTGCACCATCATGTTTATTGCAGCACTATTCACAATAGCCAAGGTATAGAATCAACTCAAGAGTCCATCAACAGATGAATAAAGAAAATATGGTGTATATATATATATATGTGTGTGTATATATATGTATATATATGTGTGTATATATGTATATATATATGTGTGTATATACATATATATATATATATACACACACATAATGAAATACTATTATTTACAGCAACATGGATGTGCCTGGAGGACGTTATGTTAGGTGAAATAAGTCAGGCACAGAAAACTAAATACTCCACTTTCTCACTCAAACGTGGGAGCTAAAAAACAAAAAAGTTAATCTCATACAAGTAGAAGGTAAATAAAGGTCCCTCAAGCTGTGAAGGAGTGGGGAGGATAAGAGATTCATTAATGAATATGAAGTTACAGTAATATAGAAGGAGTAAGTTTTAGTGTTCTCTAGCATGGTAGGGTGAATATGGTTAACAATATAGCAATTTTTAAAAAGCTAGAAGAATGCTCACAACATAAAGAAATGATCAAAGTTAGAAGTGATGAATACACTTGCTACCCTGATTTGATCATTACATACTGTACACATGGATTGAAATATCATTCTGTACCTCATAAATATGTGCAGTTATTACATATCACTAAAAATTAAAGGAAAAAACATATATGTATATAATACATGTGTATGTATGTATTGGTCAGGAAATCTCCTTATTCACCTTTGTTTCCTTAAAGCCAGCACAATGCAGGCCCTAGTGTTTGCTCAATAAATGTCTGTTAATGCAATGAATAATTAACTTATCGACATCTCCAGATTTGACCTGGGTGCCACTCTTCCCACGTATGTCAGTCTAGCTAAAAACACTTTTAGTTAAGGGTTTGCTCCTAGGCAGGCTGTCCTATGTAGACTGGACTGCTTTTTCCCTTGAAATAAATGCAAATCTCATCACAATTAATATAGTTTCTATTCTAAAACCCAGGTAGCTACTGGTCTGTCACTCTGGGGGCCCCCACAATTTACCTTTCAGTCTCCATTCAGCTGGCCAGCACCTGCTCGGGTTTCCTAGCATTCATGTCCAGCTCCTCCTTCTTTTTGCCCCTCCTTCCCAGCAGAGCACAGGTGTTGGAAAGCTGGGCACTGTGGAAAAGCAAGGGGCATAAGTTTGTGAGCCACAGTGGGTAGGGTGTCTGTGGGGCCTTTCTGTGCATTTTTCTCTATTAGTGGTTAAAAAAACAACCTATCAGCTTGAGGAAAAGCCAATTAACAAGTCTAGAGCCAAGAATTGTACTGCATCCACACTGTATTTGAAATGGTACACCCCAATCACTTCCTCTGAAATCAATCAAGTTGTTATTGTTTGTTCATGGTTTCATCTGCCATTCTGAATAGCATGTCCCTCATAAGCTGGAACTTCTCTTTGCCCATCTGTGTATCTTCAAGATCTGATTCACAGTGTGCAATGCTGTTGAATTGAATTATTAAACTGGACTGAGTCTCAAATTATTCATGCATCTTCTGATTTATTAGTTCATCATTTATTGAGAACTATGAGCTAGTTTCTGGAGGAAAAATTATGAATAGGATTTCTTTTCTGTCACAGAGAGGCTCATAATTAGTGTGGGAGATGGATATATAAACTAATAATTACAATAACAATAAGAAAACACTCTAACATATTTATGCATGAAATGTTATGAAAGCATATAAGATGCAATGATTCATTAACTCTTCTTGGGGAGTCAAGGAGTGAAAATACAGCTAGATTTTCAAGGATGACTATATAATCAAGAGGCAGAGAATTCAAGCCAAAGGAAAAGGAATAATAAGTACAACGGCATGGAAGCACAAACAATAATACTAAAACATGGATAATTAACATTTATATTACACTATGCATCAGGCTACATTCTGGGCCACACACACAGTCATTTAATACGCATAAAACCCTATGAGATAAGTACTTTTATTATTCCCAATTTACATAAATGAAGACTGAGGCACATAGGCGAATGATAAAGGAAAGATGCAAATCCAGGTAGTCATGCTCCATCACTGCTATGCAATGCAACAAATTGTCATGGAATCACACAAAATGAAATACTATTCAACACTAAAATGACTAAATATCTGTTACATACAACAACACGGATGAATCCCTAAAACAGTAGAAGTGAAAGAAATAAGGTATGCAAGTTTAAATTACAAGCTATTTCCAGGAAGTATCAACAGTTTCATACCAAAATGTATCCCCAGACCAACACTGTATGGCCCTGGAGATGCACCACAGAAAGACATTATGTAAACATGGCATATTGCCACTATTTAAAATAAAAATGATTGTATGGTAATACATTCGCTTATTTATTCATTCACAAAAGCTTTATTTATATACTCAGTAAAGCTTTTGTGAATGAGTAAACAAGTGAATGTATTACTTCACATTTTAAAAAGTATAGGCTGAAATGAATATGTATGAAATGAAAGTATGGCTGAAATGAATATGGGCTTTGTAGTAAACAGTGTGAAAGATGAAGCTACAATGGTAGGCCGGAATAAATTTGTCAATATCCTCGAAGTCAGAGCGAAAGTTAGGACTGCACCAACGGGGTAGTTTCTCAGAGCATTTACTTATAAGGAGCTGTGACAGATCATTGAGTGCTAGTAAATTATTAGAAAGGTAATGATGTTGAAAAAGTACATTTACCAGGATTCTCCTCAGAACAAGTTCTGAATGTGTTAGCAAAGAAAACTGATTAGCTACTTGTAAGAGAATGATACAGAGGAGTATGATTAAGCAACTACAGATGGCTCTAAACTGCCTCTTTTTACTGAGATAAAGTTAACATAAAATAAAGCGCAGAAATCTTAAGTGTTCACTTGGATAAATTTTGATAATTGTATACATCTGTGGAATCATCTCTGATAACAAAACAAGATATAAAATATCTCCATCTCCTAGAAAGTTTCATGTGCCCCTTCTAGCTAATTCTCTCTCCTATACAATATGTATCCATTCGTCCTATATTAGTTCTGCCTGCATTTGGGTCTCATATAAAAAGATGACTGCAATGTGGAGATTTTGGTGTCTTGTTTCTTTCACTTTCATTAATAAGTTGATAGAACAACTTATGTAAGTTTGGGGCCACAGCTGAATTGTGCATGATGAATAGAAGGAGGCTGAGTGCTTCCTTCTCCCCCTTTCTCATGGAATTCTCAGACTCATATCTAAATGATTGAATGAAAGTCTATAGCTTTAACAGAATGCCAAATTATTAACCTGGTAGAGGCACAAACAATTCCTGTCTGGCTTAAATATACCTTAGTTATGAATGTGGATTTTGTTTTAAAGATTCCAAGAAGTGACATACATAAATTTGTGTCCAATGGTAATACACTTTACACAATGTACTAGGAGCTGGGAAATAATTTAAAAGGCTGGTGAAACAGGCCAGGTGAAAAATAATGAATTAGAATAGTTAGAAGAAAACTGAGTTCAAGAGGTGCATAAACACTGCTCCTCAATGTGTGTGTGTGCATGCGCACGGGTGTTGTAGCAGAAAATAATTTTGTAGCTGTAGACTCTTTCTCTTTCCCTGCATTTACTGCATCCACACAACAGATTCTACAGATCCATTTGAACGAAAATATTCAGAGCAGCTGGTAAGCTGAGGTGTCCTCAACCTGCAAGCCCTGTGCCTCACACACACCAGTGCCTACCTGATGTAATCCATACTCTCTCAATATATCCTGGCTTTCTAGTTTGTTTCTTTTTAGAATGTCTCTGAACTCTTGGCCTTTCAAACATAGTAGCTTAGCTACAGTGCTCTAGTATCACTTCTGGAAACAACAGAACACAAAAATATCCAACTGAAATAGCATATGAGAATTATGTGAATATCAGACTCTGACCCAGGCCTAAATAGTACCTGTTTTGCTGTTTCTCAGACACTTTCTCACACACACACACACACACACACACACACACACACACACACAGGCAAGGACTCGTTGGAGATCAACGTTTTTATATCAGATTCAAAGAAAGATCAACAATTTATTATTTTTAGCTCAGAAGTTCCTGGAAAAGCTTACCTTTATCTTCTCTTTGCTATGACAGGCTTTGTCATTTTCCTAGCTGGCACATCAAACCATGAGCTCTACCCTTGACTGAAATAAAACAGGAAACTCATGGATTAGGTCACTTCAATACAATACACAGTCTCACTGTTTATTCAGTGGTATTGACCCACTATTCTAGAAGATTTGAAAAGACTGAAAGAAAAGAAGAATTGTGTTTAGAGAGAACCATTGTAACCGGTCTATTCCTAGAAACCTTACTATGCAGGTTTATCCCATAATTAAATTACTTCACTCTAGGTGGTTGGTCTATTGTTCATATTGTGTCTGCTCTTTTCCTTAAGTGATCTCTTATTTCAGTATTTTTTCAAAATTAAACATAAACCCTGAGTCAATCTTTCATTTTATAAAAATCAGGGATGTTAAACATGTGGTACTTGAGCAGAACTGCAATCCCTGATTAATTAAACATGAAGAGTACTCATAAAAGGCTACATGAGTTGGCAGCTTTCATAAAGAGAGGTTGTATGACATTTTGTGCATCACTGGCTAATCAGAGTCATTGGCCTTTGGGATGTCTGGAGCAAGAGCTGTGGCTGGGTCTGCAGAGAAGGTGACTTCATTTGGAAGGCAACATGCTTCAAAGTCATTAGGGGAAATGCATGCCAGCTCTGGCCCTGTAATGCTTTCATTGATTTTGCAAATCATTTATCTAGCAGCCATGAACACTAACTATACTGTATCAGAATCAGTAAGAAAGGAAGGCTTTATATATGTTACAGAGATTTGCTTAGTCCTCGATGGCTACTTCAGCATGCTCTGAAAGGTGCAGCCACACACAGTGAAAAGCAATACATGAGCGTTCTAGTTGGACAAAAAAGGCTCCCTCTGCCTTTTAATATAAAACTTGATGCAGGATTCTCCATGTTGGCACATCTTTCATTAAATTAAAATGCCAGGCTTCAAACAAAAATTTCTGGTGTGATGTTAGGATGCTTCCAGCCCTCTCTATGCAGGGAAAAGACTGCTAACTGATTGTAAAATCACAGCTATTTATCCAATTAGAGGGGAGCGGAATACAAGCTTCTATTAGGAAAAGAAATAAAGGCCAATATAGAATGTTTCTTCTTGCAACTAGGTCAATTTAGATACATATGAGTAGCCATGTATTTAATGGCAACCTCAGAATTCTAATACCTCCTCTGTGCTAAATAAAGTATGTGCAATAAGACCCAACACCCAATTAGCTCAATGAAAGATGAATAAGGTCAAATTCTACAAAACAAACTACACTAAAATGTTGAGAGTGAATTCACCATAATGGTAATATGTCAGCTAACTTCTGAAAATGAAATAATTTGTTTTATATTTTTATATTTCTTTTCAATTTGTCTTCACAGAAAATAGTGAATAGTGGCTTACATAAAAGGTATTTTATTTTTAAGACATCTAAGCATAAAGGTATATTGTATACTCCCACAAGAATGGCCATGATCAAAAAATAAAAATAATAATAGATGTTGGCGTGGATGTGGTGAAAAGGGAACACTCCTACTCTGCTGGTGGGAATGTAAACTAGTACAACCACTATGGAAAACAGTGTGGAAATTCCTTAAAGAACTAAAAGTAGAAATACCATTTGATACAGCAATCCCACTTCTGGGTATCTATCCAGTAGAAAAGAAGTCATTATATGAAAAAGTACTTGCACATCCATGTTTATAGCAGTACAATTCACAATTGCAAAAATTTGGAACCAACCCAAATGCCCAGCAATCGAAGAGTGGATAAAGAAACTATGATATACCTATATCTATCTATCTATCTATCTATCTATCTATCTATCTATCTATCACAGTTATCACACATATATGTGTATATATGTGTGTATATATACATATATGTGTGTATATATATTGTGCTAGATTATATATATATATATATATACACACACACACACACACATACAATGGAATACTACCCAGCCATAAAAGGAATGAATTAATGGCATTCGCAGCAACCTGTATGATACTAGAGACTATTATTCTAAGTGATGTAACTCAGGAATAGAAAAACCAAACATCGTGTGTTCTCACTCATTAGTGGAAACTAAGCTATGAGGATGCAAAGGCATAGGAATGACTCAATGGACTTTGGGGACCCAGGGGGAAAGAGTGGGAAGGGGGTGAGGGATAAAAGACTACAAATTGGGTTCAGAGTATACTGACTGGGTGATGGGTACACCAAAATCTCGCAAATCACCACTTACTCAGGTAACCAAATACCACCTGTTCCCCAAAAGCCTATGGAAATAAAAAAATTTAAATAAAAAAGACATCTAAGCATAAAAAGCAGTATTTGTTTTATAGCAAGATTTGTTACAAAGTTGTCTTCATAAAAACAATTCGTTTTTATTAAATAATATTGTGAATGATAGTATTCATAATATGAAACAAAAAAATTAAGGGTAGGATGTCTTCCAATTTTCGAAAATCTTTTTGATAGTGCTTCTCCATGAGTCAGGGGATTACCCACTCTTCTGCAAATTACACTCCTTGTGCTCCAAATCCTCCCATCTGAAGTTCCCTAAGGTCTGCTAAAATGCTTTCAGACTCTAGGTAGGTAGATTCTCATGGTTAATTTTCAAAAATAGAACCTATTTATTATTTAAAAATGCAAAAAGTGGTTTTAATGGTTTTATTTGCACAGTTAGAATTAAATCACATACACACATGCTATTCTGCTTTTATAGAAATAATAAAGATAATATTATAAAGAGTTCATAAACACGGTTTTTATATTGTATAATTTTCAGTGAAGAGCCAGCCATTACTTGACTGTTGTTGTTGGAGCTTTCCACTTCATTCCTATCAGGAAGATGAATGTCTTTGACCATAAGAAGCATCCTGTATGGTAGAAAAAGCATGAGATCTAGAATCAGACAAATACAATTTTAAACTTTGCCCACTTCTTAGAAAGAGTATCTTGACCTAGGACAAATTACTTCAGCCTTTCACAATCTCAGATTGCTCACATTTTAAATGGGTGTGATATCTACCTTGACAGGCCACTGTGACAGTAAATTAAGATGACATTTTTAGAAATCTAGCACAATTCCTGATATGTATAATTGAGATTAAATTATTTATTGCTATTATAATTTTCATCATCATCATCTTAAAGCCCTAGGACAGTTTCCATATAGGGGCATTACTGAAGGATATTTTTAGTAATGTATGATTCATGTCTACTATGTCCCCAAAATGTTTTTTTAGCAACTTGACCTGCAGTGTTTATTCTTCCTTATATTTCTACCTGTTTTAAGTTGTATATTTTTATGTAATTTATATAGCATTTTAATATGCTGTGTGATATATTAAAGTTATTTTTTGTTCAACCTTCATGATGAATTATTGACATAGAGTGAATATCCTATTTAATGTTAATGTTTTGGCCTTGGAAAATATATTTGGTATTATTATTGCCACTCTCACTCTCTGTCTGTACTTTCTTGAATATATCTTAACCCAGATCTTTATTTTCAATGGCACTGCAACATACATTTTAATTATTAACAGGATATGATCAAGTTTTGTTCTTTAATTCATGAGTGTTATCTCATAATGAGTTTTATTTTATATTTAGTTTAATAACTTCTAATGATATTTTGACTCCCAGGAAGTAAGTAGGAAGACTGCTATTGGGACCACCATACAGGTCACAAGGATCTCGGGTAAGGCCACACAGTACTGCAGCTTGAGGCAGTACTATTTAATACATTGCCCTAGTCATGGCTTCTGTCTCCAGCAGCTGAGACTGGTACAAAGAAGACAACAGTATGAAGCAGATATGAAGGGTGAGGTAGACATGGATGGAGAAAAAGAAGAACAAGACCAGAGGATGTGTGAGGAGAGGGTCAGGGTTACATTTTATTTTAGGACTAAGTCAAAATACATAATGAATCAGAGCCCTCTTTTATGATGCTTCTCACACATAATTTGGAAAACAGTTAGGTTTAAAGAGCTAATTTCAGTTTGAATATTACTGTCTTCCTGTATTTCTTGTTTAAGGAACATTTTTTTCCATTCTATTTTATTTTGGGAGGCCATATAAATTAAATTTATTTTGTCTATAACTTCTATGATAATTTAGATGGTATACATTCAGATTTTAATTTTATTAGTGACTATCTTATATTTTTAAGTGATCAAAATTATATTTATCTAATTTTCAAAATAAAACAAGGATTTTTTTTTGTTTCTAGTTAGTCAGAAAAACACTCTCATGGATTCCTCTGTATTTCTATATTCATCTACTTACCATTTCTCACTCTCCTGCAATTTTCCTAGTCTTCTGTAATCTAATTCAAAGAATATAAACCTGTAGTTTTTAAAACTCTTTTCAACATACAGATTCTTCTTCATTTAATTTTATACATTCAATTTTGAAACCAAATTCCATAATTATGTAAGTAATTCTATTTGTTTTGTCTTAAATATTTATCATAAGTTCCTTTTACCTACGATTCTTAGATTCTATAATTCTTAGATTTTTTTTATCCCCATTCTTAGATACTAAACTTTGATTCAATAATTGAAAGTCATCTATTTTGGAAGCATAACTTCATAGCAAAGCTGCTTTTATTTCTATAAACATCTAAAACAATTCTGCTATACATTTTGCACATGAAAATTAATTTGGTTATGCAAAGACAGTGTGAGTGGTATATATCATTTTATTGTTTTCTGGAAGCTAACCTTGTAGAAAGAAGTCTAATGTCTATAGAAGTTGAACTCATTTTTAATTTACTTGGATGATTATATTTTTAAATACTACCTGAGTATAGCTAGATAATAGAGTTTTTCATAAGTTTCTGTAACTATGTTGTTTTTAGTTCAGAAACAATTTCTGCTATTATTTTGTATTATGTATTCTGCTCATAAGTTCTGTTGTCTCTTGAAAACATTTATTACCTTTGCCTCATTTTCTCTATATTTATTTCGATTTGTTTATACTTTTTGTCTGTGCTCTAGAGATATATCTTCAGTTAATCTTTTGCACCATGAATTGGAATTTAAAGCTTCTGATTTATAGCACCTGAATATGCTACTCATTCACAAACAAACTTTGCTCATATTTCTCTGTTCTTATGACCTGCTACTATTCATATGGTTGGTATTTTTTTTAATCCAAAATATTCTTGCATTGCTTGCAGTAAATTTATTCCAGAGAGGCATGAGCCCTTTGAAACTAGGACAATGGTTTATGTATTTTATGTTGTGGTCCCTACGAGTTCATTTGCCATCTACCATTCCCCTCTAGTTCCATTCTTTATTTCTCTATTTAAAAGAAAGTTTCTATTTAATTCAGCTGTTATCATATGGGAAACATTACACACTATGAAAATTGTCCTGGACTTTACACAAACCCTTCAACTGAACAACTCAGTCTAGCACATTGTAGGATCAGAGATGAAGTATTAAGGAGGTGTTCTGAAATTGCAGACTCAAGCCATGTCTCATTACCAATTCCTATTGAATGGTCTAGATTAGGGATCAGCAAACTACAGCCAAATCTGGCCCACCATCTGTTTTTGTGAATAAAGTGGTATTGGAACACAGCCATGCTTATTCATTTATGTATTGTCTATGACAGCTTTCAAGCTGTAATACAGAAATGAGTAGTTGCAACAGAAACCATAAGGCCTGCAAAGCCTAAAATATTTATTATCTAGCCCTTATAGCAAAAGTTTGCTGACACGTAATCTAAATTCTCTAGCCCAAATATAAACAGGAGTGCTAAGGAAATCTGACCCCCTTCACCCATAATGTCATCCATAAACAATGTGATCCCTTTTCTGGTAAGTAACCAGAACAGCCTGGAACATCAAAAATATCTATTTATACCTTATCACCAAGGTATCCTTGTTAGGGTTGCCAGGCAACACAGGGATGTCAAATTCAATTTGACTTTCATCGTAAGTATGTCTTATGAAATATATGTTTATCTGAAATCTAGATTAACTAAGTATCCTGTATTTTTCTTTGCTAAATCCAGCAACCCCATCCCTGATGTACACCCCAAGGATATATGTAGATCAAATGAAACACCAGGTCCCATTGTAGTAAGGAAATCAAGACAGCCTATAGATAAACTACTTATAGGCTAGTATTTTGGGACTCCAAGTAAGAGAACACCCAACTCAAAATGAACTAAGCAATGATGAAATGTATTATTTTACAACATGGAGTCTAACAGAGCATAGAGTCAGGGAGATACTCTACAGCAGGGCTCCAGCTTTATGTTTCTGTCATTCTTGTTAGACTGCCCTTGTCTTTGTGCCAGAGTGATCCTCAACACATAGCAAGGTAGCTGCAGAAATTCCTAACATTATAACCAGAGCTGTAACTTCCAGAGTGAGCAGTGAAGCTATATCATATTGTATGTCTTTTGAAGAAGGAGACAACCATTTTCCAGAAGCACAATAGCAAAATTCCATTGAAGTTTCATTGCCTAGAATTGATAAAAGAAATGAGAGTACCATGATTGTTTTGTGCTAATCATTTGAGGGTAGAAGGATATTGAGAAGTAGTCCATGATTACCATTACAGTTCACCTCTTTAGCTAACCAATATCTACAAATATTTTTAGAAATTCTAACATCTACATAAACACATTCATATCTTTCCTGAAGAAAGACCAAAATCTCTTCTGTATCCAGATCCAAGTGTGAATTTCCTGGCTTATATATATTCCTCTCCATCAGGTTCAGATATTGCTCCTGGCAACCTAACGCTAAAAGATGAGGGATCTACCCCTAAAATAACTGGTACAAAAAGGGCAGAAGGGACATGATAATAATATTAAATAAAATTCCCAATTGTAATAAAGGAAGAATGAGAAATTAAACTTGAGAGTCATTAGCCACACTATAT
Organism: Homo sapiens; assembly: GCF_000001405.40. Taxonomy (NCBI): domain Eukaryota; kingdom Metazoa; phylum Chordata; class Mammalia; order Primates; family Hominidae; genus Homo; species Homo sapiens. The sequence goes on from NC_000008.11 coordinate 79,340,854, forward strand.
ATATTCTGTTGGAGAGACAAGATTTGATTCCCCAGGAAAATAATATGGTTTTTTTGTTTGTTTGTTTGTTGTGTGTGTGTGGTGTTGTTTGTTTTTTGAGACAAAGTATCGCCCTATCACTAGGCTGGAGTGATGTGGCGTGATCTCAGTTCACTGCAACCTCCACCTCCCAGTTTCAAACGATCCTCCTGCTTCAGCCTCCCGAGTAGCTGGGACTATAGGTGCGCACCACCACACCCAGCTAATTCTTTTGTATTTTTAGTAGAGACGGGGTTTCACCATGTTGGCCAGGGTGGTCTCGATCTCTTGACCTTGTGATCCACCCGCCTCAGCCTCCCAAAGTGCTAGGATTACAGGCATGAGCCACCACACCCAGCCAATAATATGATTTTTAATGAGCCAACCTGGCAGCATTGTTCTGTTCTGTGCATATAAATCCTTGTACATTTTCCCCTATGATCATACCTGAGGCAAGTGGTGTAAAGACAGACATTGTAGAGAAGAGCTTCAACAAACCGTTTTAAGTAGCTGAAATTTTTATGGCAAGGATACTTCCACCGGAAAATGCAGTTCTCATAAAAATTTATTAGGTTTCAGGTATTTTTGCTTCCAGTCCACAATTAAAGAACTTGATTTACCTGTGATCTTTGAATATGTAAATGCCTGTTTCTGGCTATGCACTTCTGTGTCCTTCCCTTCTCTGTTGGCCCCAGATGAGTAGCCTCCGCCCTGAAGGAATGTGAAATAATTGTCTTTGGTGGAGAGGCACCACAAATAATCTAATCTTTTTCTTAGGATTGGCCTCTTTTCCAAAAAAGAATGACTAATAGGAGGGACTTGAATGAAATCCCACTATGGTAACCTGAAAAACTGCTGTCTCTCTGTTGACATTTAGGTTAACTTTAGCTAGGAATAGAGAATTTGGCTATTCTACCCATCAGTGGACTTGGTTGTAGATCAAAGATACAACTTTTCTTAAAGTCACATAAGTCATGTTTCTCTCTATGTGCATTTGATTTGACCATATTCAGCTAAATCTTTTCTTTTAGGAATGTGCCAGTAGCATTGGGCAACAACACATCATTTCAATATTTCAAACTTTCCCTGTGGCTTTCCTAACACTAGAATCTGTATGGAAAATGATCTAAGTCCCAATGTACAATAGGCAACAGTTTAAAAGAATGTTGGCAAATGCTTCACCCATGGTCACCCACTTCCTAGCCTAGAATAGGTGGATCTTTTAGAGTAGGGAATTCTCTCTTCTCTCCCCTCTACTCCCTCCACTCAGCAAATATACCTTTTAGGGTATGTTCGGTATTCCCTTGAGCACTCTCCATTTTCCCACATTCTGTATCACTTAGGAAGCCTTCAACATAAGTAACAAAATACTATTTCAAATTGGCTTAAATAAGGAAATACATTTATCTCATACAACTAGAATTCCAGACGTAGGGCAATGCCAAGTTTGGATATAAGGACACCAGTTGCCCTTCTCCATCATGTTTTTGGCTGTGCTCTTCTTTAAGGGTGGCAGCTTCATGCTCTGGCTTATTTCAATAGTGCCAGGCATTACTTTAAGACAGTAGAATGTTCTCCAAAATCAGAAAGTAGTTTATCTTTCCTCTGTTTCCTTACTAAAGACAAGCAAGATGCCCAGAAACACTCTAGCAATCTTTCCTTCTTGTTTCAGTGGTCAGGATTTGTCACGCATGTATGCATGAGCCAGTCTCTGGAAAGAAAATGGGAAGGCATTGCTGTTCAGAGTAATTACTTGGGGTAATTATTACAAACCCCAGTCATGTGTCAATGCACTAAAATGTGATGCAGTGACAGAAATGTTCTTTGTAGAGATGAAGCAGTGTTGCTGGTGATGTCTTTCTCCACCCTAGTACTAATTTTCCTACACCTTATTAGTTGCAGAAAAACGTGTTATTGTTTTAGATGACTTTCTGGTCCTTTTAAGCAGAATTTAGAAATAGACAGGAATTAGTATGCACTGATATTGCTATCTTACACATGTCACCTCATTTTTAAAAAAATCTGCAATAATAAATCCAAATTCTGAAGCACATTTTTGGTGGCAAGATAGCTTAATGAAACTTTTTTTAAAATTCACAAAATATGTCTTTTGGGATTTAGGAAAAATAAGGCAATATAAAACTTCAGAAGTAAGTTTCCAACTGTAAAGAAAGAACAAAGATGAAGTCTTAAGGGGCCTTCCAATCTATAAAAGTAATTATTTTCCCTGGTAAGCTATAGTCTCTACTCTGAGACATGTGAGATGTTTTTCTCAAATTTTATTTGGCATTAGCTTCACTTCCACCATGCTTCACATACTGCATATCAGTCCAAGGCATTGAGACCTTTTCTACTTGATGTAGCAGGGGCAGCCCCTCCAGGTTGCAAGGCAGTAGGCCAAATATCTGTCTGAGTTATGAAGACATCTAAAGTGTGGAGGGTTATAAGTGCCCACCTCCAAAGCTGGTAATAAACATCCTTTGATAAAAAGTGCCCATTTCACTCTCGACACATCTAAAGTCCCTTTTTATAAAAAGACAAAAACTCAATGGGCTTGCAACATTGTATGCAATGGGAGGCCCTGATGTGTTTTATGAACAGATTGTTGAAGATGTACCTGAAAATGTAGTCCTCAGGCTCCAGCTTTTTCTCTAAACAGAACCTCTCTCCCTTATGTAAATCATACTTTAATCAAGTGAATTACCCCCCCCCCCCCAGCCATAATGCACACAATACACATTTCTTGAGTGTGTAACATGTGACATGTGCTATTCTGGGCACCAGGAATACAGAGATGAGAAAAAAAGAGGCTGATTGGCTCTCAAAGAACTCACAATCTAGTAAGAAAAACACCAGCCATGCTGACAAATAATTGCATTAGAAGAGGGCCGGTGCTATAACAGAGCTTTGCAGAGACAAACAAGGGACAGAGAAGACAGTGGTCAGGGAAAGCGCCACTCAGATAATAGCTCTACCTTATCTGAGCCTTGAAGGATGATAAAGAGTTGTCCAACCTTTTTGCTTCCCAGTACTTTGATTTTACCTCTATCTTAGGACCTGTATTCTGTATGAATGCACTCCTGGTATGCGTCTGCCTGAACGAGAGTGCAAGCATCTCAAAAGCTGATTACATCGCTTACTCATCAGTTTTACGCCCCGGGCTTCTTACCAAACTAGATTCCTAGAAGGGGTCAATGCATGTCTGTTGTGTCAATGTATGTCAGTCTTGGACCACAACTCTCTTTCTGGTCAATTCAAATTCAACATATTTAATGTAAAAGTAATCTCCTCACATTAAACTCTCTCTCTGATTTGCCAGTTTCTATCAATAATTTAGTTTCTTTCCACGTCATCATGAATCAAAAAATCTCTGAATTATATTTGATTCCTTCATCTACTTTATGCCTACATCTAATTACCTAAGACATCTTATTGATTGTCCTTTCATGGTTTCTATCTTGTGCTTCTGCCATTGTAGAATGCTACTTGAAGTCACTTCTGATGCTATGTTTATTTACATAGATTTCCAATTTCTCCCATTCTTACATACTTTTCCTTGAATTTCATCCGGAAACTCACTGCTATGTTTAAGGACTTCCACTTCTGACTCTATTTGCCATCTACCCAAACAAAACGAAAAGATATTCCTATGAAATACCCTTTTTACAAATCAGATATATTTTCCTCATAGCGAAAGATAAAGGGAGAGGACTAGAAAAAAATTGTCATCCTTTGGTATATTATCTATTGCTGCATAACATTTTACAGCACACTTAACAACTTAAAACAACACACATTAATTATACCACAGCTCCTGTGGATCAGGAGCTTGAGTGGGTTCTCTACTTCAGGGTCTCCCAGACTGCAATCAAGGTTTCAGCTGGGCTAGAGTCTTATTATCTGAGGCTCGGGGTCCTCACCAAGATTATGTGCTTGTGTTTGTTGGAAGAATTCTGTTCTTTGAAATTGGAGGACTGAAGCCCTCAACTCCTGCAGGCTGCCCACAGTTTCTGGCCATGTGTCCTTCTCCATAGGCAGCTCACAACATAAAGGCTTGCTGCTTTCAGGGCAGCAAGAGAGAAGAGAGAGTCTTCTCGGAGTCATATATGTATACACATTGTATTATAATCATGGGAGTAACATCCCATCACCTTTACCACATAATATAATGTAATCACAACATTTACAGGTCACAGTTCTCACCCACACTCAAGGGGAGGGCATTACATAGAAGCAGGGTAATCAACAGTCTCAATTCATTTTTGATATTTGATTGGAGACATGCCTCACCTCTCCTCTTTCCCTTCTGCTTGCATCTGTGTCACCTGAAAAGAAAGCCTGGGTACTTCTTCCTTTGGAGCCAGTGGAGGTTCACTCCACACAAACCCTGCTGTGTGTGGGAACCTTAACCCCAGCCACACTCTCTGACAACCATAACAACCCCCATTCAAGTCTCCTTTCCCTGTTCTCTTAGGCCATGTTTGGACCAGGATGGGAAGCTAGCCTTACACAAGAAATAAGACCTTCCATGCTGTCTGTGTGTGCGTGCGTGTGTGTGTGTATGTGTGTTTGTGTGTGATCATGTCTTGATATCTGAACCAAATTTGGGGGAGGGAGTAAATCCATCCTTTTTCCACAGAGCATTTAAATCAGACATGAAAATCAAGAGGTGGGCATCATGGGCAGACCCCTACTATTCACCACACCAGGTTTCATGTTGCCACAAGTGGAAATAACACATACTCCATCTGCTAAAAGCCATGTTCAGTCCTTGTGTTATGGGAGGTATAGGAACCAAGTTACCACAAGAATCTGCCTTGCTGCTATGAAAATATGTTGGATAACTATGGATACAAGAAAAACACATTTCTAGGATTTCATATTTTTAGACATTGGTAGGAAAAATCACAAACTTAGTTATATATGCAATTGACAAAGAATAATTTAAAAATGAAAAGGTAATGAGAAAGTTTTAAATATTTAAGTAGCATGAAATATGCGTACAAATGTGTCACAGGTAAAAATAGAAAGTAGGCTAAACGTAGCAAGAAAAACATGATTACATTTGCATCGCTACTATTAAAAAAAAATGCAGTGTTATTGTGTCCCCAGCTGTACCTGGTCATAAGAAAAATACAAATGAGATTTTTTTCATCCCCATCTCCACACAAGGAGTCCAAGTCCTTTAATTTTTATTCTGTGAAACACCAGTATCTAGAACGAGGAACTTTGGATGTCCATTGGCAGTGGGTCACTGGAAAGGAGGTAAAATATATATTGGAGAAGAACCAGTAATCATCATTACAAGCCCCTTCATCGTCAATCCCAGTGCTTGTAAGAGGAAAATTCAGCCCTTTCTTCCACTTTGAGAAATCAAGCCCTGTTTCTCTTTTCTAGGATAGTCCCACCTTCCCACTACCCTTGTCTTTTTAGTCTTTGATTACCAAAAATATGCCTCCATAAATACTTACGTGCGTCTTTCTGACTTGTGCTTGGATATGTATTTTTTGAGTCTTTTTTTCTATTTCAATATTGGCTTGAGAAAGCAAAGACTGCCCTCCCCTACCCCACTACCACTAGAGAGTAGAAAGGAGGAACAAAAACACAGAAAGTACAACAATTAATATTTCCAGCTATAATTCTGCCTCCAAAAATATATTTGTTTTAAGGTAGATACTCTTCCTAAAACAATGATAAAATCTCCACTAGTTAAAAATACTTGAATGAAGCCAAGGAATTTGAATATTCCAGCTGTATGGGAAGCTTATAGTGAGCAGGGGCCATGTTTTATTTTTCTTTACAATTACAGTGTTCATGATGGTGCCAGGCACTACGGCACTTTTTAATTAATTAGAAGAGATGTTCTTATCTATGCTAATATACCAAAATTATTTATCCTTTGATTTGTGAAATAGATTCACTACGCAAACCTTAAAACTGCATTTATTTTCAAAGAAAAAGTTTTAAAAAAAGTCTTCCATTGGTGGTGTGTAGGAAGTGATAGATTAATTTTTATCTTTTGCTGAGTAATTTGTTAACATGGTATGTTGACTGTGACTCTACCACCCAATATTCAGCTTTCCTCTGTTACAAGGTTCTATCAGTTAGGTATTGCTGCAAAACAATCCACCTTAAGACTCAGTTATTAAACGGAAGATTATTTATTATTAAATCTCATGAGTCACAAGGCTTGGTGTTGGTTGATCTTGACTGGTCTTACTCATGTTTCTGCAGGTTAGTGTTACTCCATGTGCCTCTCATCCTCCCTCTAAAAGTTGAAGGGTAGCCCAGGCATATCCTTCTTGTGGTGATGACAGAGTCTGTAAAGAGCAAAGTTTTTCAAACTCAACTCTATTGATGTTTTAGGTTGAATATTTTTTGTTGTAAAGAGTTATTCTATCATAGGATGTTCCACAGGATCTTGGGCCAGTACCCACTGGGTGCCAGTAGAATCCCCCAAGTTGTGGCCAAAAATGCTCCCAGATATCGCCAAATTCCCCTAGGGAAAAAGCTGCCCCTAGTTGAGAACCACTTTTCTAGAGTACAAGCAGAAATACACAAGGTTCATGAGTCCTGGGCTTGCAGCAGGCATACCGTCACTTCTACCTCATTCCGTTGGTTAAAGCAAGTTACATGGAGAACCCAGTCAAGCAAAGCAACAGGGCACCCAACTCATAGTGAAGTTATAACACATGAGAAGGAACACCAATACAGGAAAGTAAGAAGAATTGAGCTATTAAAACAATAAATTTATTTCAACAGTTATGAGTTCAAGAACTTTACTCTGGTATAGACTTTCTTCCAAGACTAAAATAACGTTTTCTATAATTTGGGATCTTATTAGATAGAACAAGCTCCCAGGACTTAGATGCTGTACTACTACTCCTTCCTTTTTGGTCTGATTAGTTAAAATACCTACTAGACATAATAGGCATTGAACAAATAAAATAATATCAACACCTTTATACATTAGGTTTTCTCAATATAATACACAAAGTAATCAAATCGAAAAATTCTTTATGCTGTAAAGTTCTATAAATACTAATAGTAATTTCTTACCTAAAATTGTATATTCACAAATAACCATGTATGTATACAGGGAAACATAGAATAGCTTGCTTCATGGTAGAACAATACAAATGCAGCATGTACACTCTGTGAAGGAGAGCTGTACATGTGTGTTATACAGTAAATGATGCAATTTAAGACCTAAAAATTTCCAATTGAGAAACAAAAACAGGTTGTAAATGTTGGTTAATACTTTTTTTTTTTTTTTGAGACAGAGTCTCACTCTGTAGACAGGGCTGGAGTGCTGTGGCATCATCTCTGCTCCCTGCAACTTCCACCTCCTGGGTTCAAGCAATTCTCCTGCCTCAGCCTCCCAAGTATCTGGGATTACAGGTGCCCGACACTACACCCAGCTAATTTTTTGTATTTTTGGTAGAGACGGGGTTTCACCATGCTGGCCAGGTTGGTCTCAAACTCCTGACCTCATGATTCACCTGCCTCGGCCTCCCAAAGTGCTGTGATTACAGGCGTGAGCCACCGCGCCCAGCCGGTTAATACTTTTTAAAAAGAGAAACAACTATGTTTTAGGGGGAAGAACACACTGAAACTGATTCTATTTATATGCTTAGGTAACCCTGAGCAAAGTCACTTGTTTGAGATCTATAGCATGGAGCCATCAAGTATACTAGGCTGAATCGTATTAAATTTGCCAATATTCAATTGCTTTTGTTTATCTTCAAACATAGCAATTTCATGTGGTTCAAATTAGCAGATAATAATACTAGCCCCACAATGTTGTTCAGAGGGTTAAAAGAGTCAACATTAATTGATTTTTAACCAAACTAATACATAAACAATGGTAAATAATCAGAGAAATATAGAAATCCACGATGTCAATACAGAACAAAGCAAAGGCACAACAGCATCTTCTGGGAAGCATCTGCTCCTTTTTAATAAGTTTGATCTAATTCCAAATTATAAAAATGAGATTGCACAAAAATTAGAGAGTTGCTAACAACAGTTGGAGGTGGTGAGGAAAGGGAAAAAGAAGAAGAAAGAAAATTTCCTTTAAAAATAGAACAAAAAAATAGCACAAAAGAGATTAAAAAGAAATTGGGGCCTGTTATTCTTAAATATTCCTGGGAGTGGGAGGGGATGAATCTATTATTGTTTTCTGACTCTCTAAAGCAATCAAACCTTATCCTGGAAGTGAAATACAAAGACTAAAATGTTTTCTTTTGAAGCTGGGTAAAAGATGAATCATGCTTTGAGGCAAGTTTCCTAAAAGAAGATTTTAGAAAATGAAGTGATAAAAAGGCAGTATGAACACAAGTTTTTATTAAATTCCTTCCTAATTATAAGATAAGATGGCTCAGTTGTGAGTCAGTTGGCCACTGTGTGTTATATAGTTATGCTTATTTTAAGAAGAGTAAAATAATATATTTCCTTTAAAAGCAATAAAGAGTAAACACTGCAATACTTAAATTGTGGTTCCAAAACCCAGTTATTCACCAGAATTATTTGGAGTCCTTTCTTAAAATTAAAAAATAGAGCATAGAGACTCCACCCTAGCAGACAAAATGAAAATCTCTGGGCTTGAGGTTTAGAAATTTGATTTTTCCAGAAGCTTCAAAATTTATTTTGATCACTTACATTTGAAAGAAGCTGAGCTAAAACCTATATCTTATTGTTCTTTTTCATTTATTTAAATTGATCTTATTTTCACACACCAGAGGCCAGGTGTTTAAGATTCTCATGCCTATGTTCTGCTATTCTGCAAGTAAAACTTTATGTCTTGTCTTCTTCATACTCTGAGGTTCTGCCTGACATTGTTAATAACCAACTACTTTACTTAAAAAAACAAACTCGTTGGTTTCAAGATGTGCTTGAGAGTACCATTCATAATAGAGAAAAAGTATTGAAAACAAATATGTGAACTGTGTTTACATCGTTTGTCTAAAATATGCAGGTATCCAGAACATTGTACAATGCCTAAAAACATTCAATAAGTGGTATTAATTAATGTCATTCTTTTTAGATGACAAAAGAGAATATTTATGATGTCACTCCCTGAAACACTGGGCCCTCTCCCTGTGCTCATCCATTTCAGAACCCTTTGGGTCCCCCATAGGAAGTGGGAATTATTGTGTTCCTATGGAGAACTCAAAAAGGTGCATGTTGCAGATTCACATAAATTTGGAAGGCTTTCAGAAGGAAGCTAAACAAAAGCCCTTAATTTATAAAGACAAATTATTGAAATTTTTAGAGAAAGAAAATCTATAGTAAAATGGTCTGCTGGATTTAAGCCATTTATGCTTTTCTTTCTGATTAATCCCAGATCAGACTAGCTAAAAAAGACTGAATCTTGGTTGAGGCAAAGAAAAAAATCCTGACTTTAGTCACAGGAATTTCACTTCTCAGCTTTATTTGAAAAAAAAAAAAAAAATCTGGACATGAGATCAGAGATATAGGTAAAAGATATTCATCAAACATTTAAGAACAAAAGTATAATTGGAAATAAAGTCCCAAAAAGAGAGAATAAGACAAATCATAATATACCCAAACAATGAGATACATTGTAGTCACTAAAAGTGGCAATTACAAGAAATGTTAATAATATAAAAATATTTCCTATGTAATATTAAGTAAAAACAGCAAGTACAGAAATGTACTTAGTACTATGGTAATTTTACCTAAAAATAAACAGTTAAATTAATAAACACCATAACAGCAGATTAAATAGACATGCATAAAAATCAGAATAAAATTAATTTTAAAATGCAATTGCTATTATTTCTAGATGATGGATTATTTCTGGTTGATAGATTTGTATTTTTTTCTCTTTATAATTCTTTATTTTCCAGTTATTTGGTAATAAGCATTTGTTACACTTATTATCGGAAGCAAAATGGTTTTAAAGAACAAAAATAAAATAGAACATAAACGAACGAAAGAGTCACAGCATAACTCCTTCTTAGGCAAATGGAATGGATTTTATACGTACATGCGTCTGTTGACATTTCCCTAAGGTACATTATCATTTGTCGCTCCTCCTAAAGCTGAGTTTCCTACATTCTAAGTATTTCATCTTTCATGATGATTTCTTTAACTCAAGCCAAGAGAATTGGACCAAGTTATTAAGAATATAAAAATGAGTTTTTCATTTCTCACTTCCTAAGCTCAGCTTTAAACACCTTTAGTGTGAGATACTTACAGAAGTTAAGTACAGTAATGTGTCACTTAACAATAGAGAATCCTCTTGAGAAATGTGTTGTTAGGTGACTTCATCATTGCGCAAACATTACAGAGTGTACTTACATAGACCTAGATGGTGTAACCTATTACACACCTAGGCTATATTGTCTAGCCTACTGTTCCTGGCTACAAACCTGGGCAGCACGTTACTGGACTGAATACTGCAGCCACCTATAACACAATGGTAAGTATTAATGTATCCAACACATCTAAACATAGAAAAGATATGGTAAAAATACAGTGTTATAATCTTACAAAGCCACCATCACATATGCAGTTTGTTGTTTTCCCAAACGTTGTTATGTGATGCATGACTGTAGTTGCATTGAAAAAAAAGGTCGTCCTCAAGAAAGATGACAGGAGTGGAGGCGCAGCCCTGGGAGCCATCTGCGAGAGGTAGTGGTTGAGAACAAGAAGCAGGTAAGATCAGCCACAAAAAGCCTTCCAGTCAAGAGGAGAAGGCAAAAGCCGAACCCTGAGAACTGCTAACCCTCAGAAAGAGGTGAGAAAGAAAAACAAAATAATCAAGGAGACTGTGGAATTGAGAGACTGCAAGGCAAAATGGGTGAGAAAGGTGTACTGGAGGTGGAAGAGGAGTTGTCAAAAATGGCTTCACTGAGGAGGGAGATATGATTAGATCAGTCGAAGAAAGCATTAAGCGCAGTAAGTGGTATAAGCAGGAAAAAAGAGATGGAACTCTTTTTGAAGATGGAGACTTTGAAAATGGAAAAATGCATTGGAAATCAAATTGTGAAGGATGTCAAATTCCAGGTTAAAAAGTTGAGATTTTATTCTCTAGGATCTAAGAGCTGGAGTATTTAGTTATAGTGAGCCTGGATTTGATGTGAGAAAGAAAAAAGTCTCTTAAATTCTACAGCTGCCTTTTATGTATTCAGAAAAATGGTTAAAGGTCTAAGAATAGAGCTTTACTATGAGTAATATTCTACAGAGAAGATAATAAGAAATGCCATTCTGATATGGCAGGAGTGTGAGGGGAAACATTCACGAGAAGATATTGCCTGGATCTCTGCAAAGGAGAGGAGGAAGTGATAGAAACAGAGACTTCAAATCACTTTAGAGAGTAGCCGAGAACCATGGCAGTTCTTTCACTTCTCTGACTCTTCCAAGATAGCACAAAGATATGGTGTCCAGGGGAATCCACCTAGGGCAGCACGGCCTGGCTAACTGCCTGTGTGCAGGTATCAGAATGGAGCCCTCATGCCACCAGGTGGAGTGCAGAGGTGTGGAAGGTCTGATGAATTCTGCAAATCCAGATTTAAGACCAGAGAATGGGGACGTAAAAGCTGGAAGTCTGAGGCAAGGATCACAGGTTTCAGCACGCTGTCTATCTAGAATCGCAAAATGTTGGGGCCACATCGCAGCAAACCCCAGTATGAGATGCTCAGAGACAGGAAAGAATATAGACATTGTGTATTCCTTAAGTCAGTATAGGCCCAAAGGAGGACAAGAGACCCCCTCTCCACCATCAAAATGACAGGTGAGCTTCCACCCTGACTGCGTTGCAATGTTGGGGAAGAGAAGGGAGAGATGAGACCGAGGAGAAAGAAATAGTCTTGAAATGGAGTTCAGAAGACAGTAAATTTTATCACCAAGGAGTTGAAATTACCATTAATATTCCAATGGGGGAGGGGATGAACTGAGTGATGAGTTCAGTGAGTAAAACTAGGCAACCTTCGTGCTTAAATATTATGTATGTGAAACATCCTAACTGTAGTCATTTGCACATGGAAATGACTGGAAACAAATAGAAAGCTTTTGTGGAACTTGCTTTGCCAAGAAAACCCCAGGCCTGGCTGCAACAGCTTGTGATTTTTGAACCCCTAAATTCATCTCTAAGTCCACAAGTTGCATCCATAAAGAGACCTTAGAAAGCAGAGGAACCCCAAGAAAAGACATCTTCTCCTCAGCCTACCTCAGAAGAGGCAGTAGAAGAAATGGACAAGCAGAATCCTCCCCTTCTGCCCTGCAACATGCACACAGAGAAGAATTAGAAGCTAGGAAAAATAAAGGATTAAGGAGGAAACCTAGAGAGAAGAACCAGGAGTTGCCAGATTTGCTCTCTGATGTGTTCTGTGTTGGGCACCTGCCCCGATTCCCTTCACCAGGCCCAGCTGCTGTGCTGTTGGCTGCCAATGTCTCCCAACTGTACCCCTTTCCAGAGACTTGCTCTCTGCCAGTTAAAGCCACCTGACTCAGATGTCTGCGCAGTTACACAAAACCCAGTTGCTGAGTGCTGACCAGCAGCTAACAGCTCACTGATATTAGTATAAAAGCCCAGCCCTCTTGCTTCAGGGCAGGACAACTCCCTGGTACCATTCATACTCCCAAACTCCATATGGGATGAACTCTAGTCCACAGTTAGCTTATAGGTCACCAGATCATGAGGCACATCACCTGGAACACTGCCTTGCAATGAAGGTAAATCTATTCTATGTATGAAAAGAAGATGTGTATTGGTATCAGGTAACTGAACTGGTGTAGCATAAATGATTTTGCTGTTGCCTAATCAATGTCTACTCTTCCTTTTTTTTTTTTTTTTTTTTTTTTTTACAAACAGAAGCCTGATCTTGTTTGAAGTGGCAATTACACCATCTCTAGTTACATTCCCTACTCCACAGCAGTGAGGGAGCACTATATGACCTAGTTCTGGACAGTCATATAGAAGCAGAAGTCACAGGACAAAGCTTCAGGGAAAACTTTAAACCGGAGGAGACACAAGTGGCATGAGCTTTTACCCCAGCTCCTTCCTGCTGCCGGAGGAAGAATAGTCATCTTACACCAAGGGGACTACTATGAAATGAAAGCCACATCCTAAGAATGTCATGAAAACTTTGTAGGGTCACGGTATTGACCCTCACCTATTTAAGTCACTGTGTGTCAAATTTCTTGTACATCAAATGCAATCTTAATGCATAAGACACTCGAAAAATGATCAAGAATATAGTAAGGCAATTTACAAAAGAAATGCAAATTTTCAATAATTAATACATTTTTCAAAGGTTTTGTTTTGGGGTAAGAGATGGACAAATATTAAAAATGTGGAAAAGTATAGAATATCAGAAAAGCTATAACCAAGCTGCTATTCATTCACACTGTTAGGAAGACACACTGATAGAACACTTCTGAAGGAAGGTTTAGTAATGTATCTATTCGTGAAACCATGCTTTCCAGATTTCTGGTGCAAGAAGGCAATCTAAATAAGTGCATTTATATTTTCTCCCACACAAAAGCTTTCTAAAATTACTGTGAAAGTCATTATTTACAAAATAATTGACTAGGCGAAAAAATCTAAAAGAATGTACAGATAAGCTGCATAAATGTCTTCTTTTGAGAAGTGTCTGTTTATATCCTTCACCCACTTTTTGATGGGGTTGTTTGTTTTTTTCTTGTAAATTTGTTTGAGTTCATTGTAGATTCTGGATATTAGCCCTTTGTCACATGAGTAGATTACAAAAATTTTCTCCCATTCTGTAGGTTGCCTGTTCACTCTGATGGTAGTTTCTTTTGCTGTGCAGAAGCTCTTTAGTTTAATTAGATTCCTTTTGTCAATTTTGGCTTTTGTTGTGACATTTATGCAGCCAAAAGACACATGAAAAAATGCTCATCATCACTGGCCATCAGAGAAATGCAAATCAAAACCACAATGAGATACCATCTCACACCAGTTAGAATGGCGATCATTAGAAAGTCAGGAAACAACAGGTGCTGGAGAGGATGTGGAAAAATAGGAACACTTTTACACTGTTGGTGGGACTGTAAACTAGTTCAACCATTGTGGAAGTCAGTGTGGCGATTCCTCAGGGATCTAGAATTAGAAATACCATTTGACCCAGCCATCCCATTACTGGGTATATAACCAAAGGATTATAAATCATGCTGCTATAAAGACACATGCACACGTATGTTTATTGCGGCACTCTTCACAATAGCAAAGACTTGGAACCAACCCGAATGTCCAACAATGGTAGACTGGATTAAGAAAATGTGGCACATATACACCATGGAATACTACGCAGCCATAAAACATGGTGAGTTTGTGTTCTTTGTAAGGACATGGATGAAGCTGGAAACCGTCATTCTCAGCAAACTATCGCAAAGACAAAAAATCAAACACCGCATGTTCTCACTCATAGGTGGGAATTGAACAATGAGAACACATGGACGCAGGAAGGGGAACATCACACACCAGGAGGGAGGAGGGATGGCATTAGGAGATATACCTAATGTTAAATGACGAGTTACTGGGTGCAGCACACTAACATGGCACATGTGTACATATGTAACTAACCTGCACGTTGTGCACATGTACCTTAAAACTTAAATTATAATAATAAAAAAAGAAAAACAAAGTGAAATGATGTGTTGTACAATGACAGGCCCTGGAAAAACTGTCACACTGGACTCCAATTGGGTGTTTGTGATGCCCTGCTCCTGGGCAAAACTGCCCATGTGTCAGTGGCAGCAGAGTGGACAGCTGAGTGATGGGACCTCCACACAGTGGGCTTCTAGTCAGCAGTGAAAATGAGTAATTCATCACATCATTATCAAAGAGACAGTGTTGAGAAAGAAGCAAACCATGGAAAATACACACGGTCTCCCTCAATCCGTATGAAGTTCAAAAGCAGGACAAGCTGAAAAACAGTTTGTTGAAGGGCTCACACAGGAGGTCATACTTTAAGGAAAAGGAAAGAGATGATGAATTCTGTGGTTCCTGAGGTATTGGCAGTATTCCTAGCCTGCGAGGCTAATAGATGTGAAACTCACATCATGTGGAATTCACCATTTTAAAGTGTACAATTCAGTGGCATTTAGTACATTCACAATGTTGTGCAATCATCACTCCTAGTATTACTTTGTAAACTTTACAAATTCATTGTATTTATTTATTTAACGGTTGTTACAGTTTGCAACTAAAATAGAAGGAAATACATCAAAATATTAGCAGTGGCTCTTCTGGGTGAAGTACAAGGGGCAAATTGTTTTCTCCTGTTTGTTTTTCTGTACTTTGTTTACTATACATGTTGTTTACTGTGTCACATTGTTTACTGTGAATAGTTACTATTTGAAACTAAAGATCAAGGGCAATAAACTGTATTTTAAGAGGAAGTCAGAAAACAAAACAAAACAAAAAAAGAATGTACAGATAAGCTATTAGAATCAATAAGGTACTACTGATAAAAGCCAAAAACTGAAAGAAATGTACATTAACAGTAAAATAGGCAATTAAATTATGGCATTTTCATACAATGTAATTATATAACAAGGATAATAAATCAACAAATGTTATTGACTCACACAGACATAATGTGCAGCAAAAGGAGCTGGACGTAGAGTACATACTGATTCCATTAAAATTAATCCAAAAGCAAGCAAGACTAATCTACGATGTTTGAAGCAAGGAGCGTGAGGAGGGGTTCTGCAGGAGACTCTAGGATTGCAGTCTTCTGCAGCGCTGGTTATGTTTTTCATCTTGATCTAGGTATTGGTTACATGAATGTGTTCATATCATGAAAATTTAGTAACTTAAAAGATCTTTGGGCATTTCTGTAACTATGCTATGCTTTCCTAAAACACTTACTTTAAAACATATGATAGCAAAGGGATATTCAGTAAGTGTAACATAAAACCACTACAATGGATGGGGTCATCAGAAGCTTATAGAATTCAACCAATTTCTGAAGAAAGAAGTCAAGCTGCATGAAGAAGCCACACACTGGCACTCCAGTTGACAGCTCCAGCTGATCTGCAGGCCAACAGCCAGCACCAATTGCCACCTTATGGAGGAGTCATCTTTTTACCATCCAGCTCAGCTTAGCCTTCAGATGACTGCAGTTCCAGTGAAATCTGACAGCAACTGCATTAGAACTCTCAAGTGAGAACTGCCTAACCAGTCTTTCCAAAATTCATGATTTACAAAATCATGAGCAAAACTGAAAGGTTGCTTTAAGGGACTAAGTTTTGGGGTAATTTGTTACATAATTATAGTAACCGAAAAAGAAGAGCATCCAAGGTCCTATTATCAGGAGTCTCATTAAAAGAGAAGAAAGAACACAGAAGATGAAGATATTTTTAAAATAAGAACAATAATATGAGAAAATTTCCCAGTGCTCAAGGAAAACAATAGTTGTTAAATAGAAGGGCTCACTGAGTGCTAAACAGGGTAAATGAAAACAGATGCTGTCTTAGAAATACAGTTGTGAAACTTCAGAACATCAGTATTTCCACCCATGTCTCAATCAGCTATGTCAGGGATCAGAGGGCAGGGGATAGTCAGGCAGTTACCACCACCACCCTCTACCGAGCAAGAACTGGTTATTTTAAAAAATATATTCTATGGTGTAGATACATACACTCACATAACAGATTACTATACATACATACACTCACATAACAGATTACTATACATTTTTTAAATATTATGATTTAGTTCCATATTTCTTGACATAGAAATGTGTCAGAAAATATTATTGAGAAATAAAAGCAGATTACAGAAAAACCTGCGAACTAGTTGTTGGAGAGTTTGCGAAAGAAAAATCAACATTGGCTAGATAAGGTGATAAAATATGGAGCCAGCAGGCTTAGCGATGAAACACTTAGGTATGCAACAACTTTCTAGACTAGAAACGATGATAAAGCACAGTGAAGGAGAACTGACCCAGGAGGCAAGAAACCTTGGATTTAATGTGATTTTTCCATTAGTTATTTGTGTTTGAGCAAGACAGAATAACTTCTCACACATGTAAATCCCTCATTAGTAAAACAACAGGGCTGCCTAAATAAGCCCTCATGAATTAAATTCTATGATTCCATGATTGAAAAAGTCACAAGGCTTTTCCCAACATTGTCAGTATCAAGGAGCTTCATGGGGGATAGGAACACTTTAATCCATAGAGCCCATAGCACCTTCCAGCTAACACGTCCTTGAAACATTGTTACTGCTATCTCTACCTAGCTGAGATAGAGTGAAAAACTAAAGTAATTATTTGGGTAAACGAAGTCACTCCCCCATAACTCCTTGCTAGAGATATACGTTAATTGGCTTGTCATTCTATTCAGTCATACATTGACAATTCTAAAATTATTTTTTGTAACATGCAAATGCAAATTGTCTTTGTAACTTGTCACTACCTTGAGTCAGAGATTAAATTGTTAATAATGCAAAAAGTCTTCTGTTATTTATTCTATCCTTCTCTTAATAATGTTTTAATACATACTGTAATTTAAGTGAAATTAAGAAAAATAGACCAGAAATTAAATGCTAAAACAAGTGATTACAGATTAGTGTTATAATTCAAAATACAGCACATGGTTTAAAGTTTTAAATTGTATCAGAACTAGTATTGACCTCCAACCCTTATCTTCTTAATCAATTACTGCAGAAGCTCTTCTAACCAACTACCATTTAATTAATTCTTATTCTTAACTAACATTTTCCATTTCTTATGTAAAATTTAAATACAGATGCTCATTGCACACTGAACACTCTCCAATCTTAAACTACCCTCCTGAATACCTGAACACTTCCTCTTGCAGTTGAGTTGTGTGCCTATTAAGAGTTTAATTATTCAGTTTTCAACTATTTTATGTCTGTTATATTTGTATTATGATCACATTATTCAAGGAAATGTTACATAAACACATGAAATATGAGTAGAAAAATAAAGATGATAGTCTAGAAAAATCCTACTCTCAGATTATGCTTAATTTTCAATAAAATCATAACTGGATGCTATGGAGTGAATATTTGTGTCCTCCCAAAATTCATATGTTAAAATCCTAACCCCTAAGGTGATGGGCATAAGGAGGTGAGGCCTTTGGGAAGTGATTGGGTCATAAGGATGGAGCCCTCATGAATGGAATTAACTCCTTTTTAAAAGAGGCATGAGAGAGCTCCCCAGTCCCTGCCACCATGTGAGAACGCTGCAAGAAGACGCTATGATCCAGGAAGCAAACTTCACCAGATGCTGAATCTACCAGCAGCTTGATCTGGGACTTCTTAGCCTCCAGAACTGTAAGAAATAAATTTCTATTGTTTATTAGACACATTGTTTATAAGACACCTAGTGTATGGTATTTTATTATGGGGGTCCAAAAGGACTAAGACACTTGATATTAGATAATAAATTATGGGTTGATTTACTCAACAAAGATAGCACAGAACTGTAACCACAAAATCCATATTCATAGAAAATGCCTACAAAAATGCAGAAAAATAAATTTACTCTTCTGGTTTTAATTTAGAGCCAAAGGTTTTATTTTTGTGTGCTCATCTGTCAGGATGTCTAAGTTATGCTGCAGTAACAAACAATCCCCAAATTTCAGTCATCTAAAACAGCAGCAGTTTAACAGACATACTATACCTCTATTGCATAGTGCTTGGAAGGAGACTTTAAATATTTGTGACTATCTCTGATGAACACCTGCATTGAATTTAGCCAACTGCAAAGTTGAAGGGAATACAGCCTATACAAGACCGTTCTCACCTCTGACATCAATTGCAAATCTGGTGTGTGTGTGTATATAGGGGAATGGTTTTCAAAACCACCCTCAGGATTAATAACCCACTAGAAGGACTAAAAGAACTTACTGAAAGCTGTTATACTCATGGTCATGATATACAACAGAGAAAGAGTAACAGTCAAAATCAGCCAAGGGAGGAAAATACCAGAAAGAGTCTAGAAAAGGTACTGAAACATTTTCTAGGTTCCTTATCCCCTTCGCAGGAAGTGTGACAGGAGTGTGGCCCAAATGTTCAGTCGCCCCGCTGCTCAAACCCCTTGAGGGAGCGTGAGCATGCAGACCGGCAGGTGCAGGAGCCAGGAGAGCACTTTGAGCTCCAGCTCCACGGTAGTGTCTGGGGATGTGTGTCTGCAACCCCAGTGTTACAGAGCTCTTTCAGCTTTGCCATCCGCAGATGGCCTGAGTGTTAATCAGCTCACCCTCTGCCTTTTCGCAAGGGCAGAGGCCACTGTGACGCCTTCCTGTATCCCGAGCTCTTGTCCATCATCCGCGGAAAATCGAGGCACACACGGACTTGAAGGATGAATGTAAGGTTTTACTGAGTGGTGGAGGTGGTTTTCAGCAGGATGGATGGGGAGTCAGAAGTGGGGGATGGAGTGGGAAAGCGATCCTCCCCTGGAATCCAGCTGCCGAGAGGCTGGACGCCACTCTGTACGCCCCAGCCGAACTCCTCCGGGCGTTCAGATGTTCCTCTCCTCTCCCTTTCTCTGCCACGTCGTTCAGCCATCTGTCTCCTTTCTGCTGGCTTGCTGGTCTGCTCTGGAGCTTGGAGTTCGGGGTTTAAGGGGGCCTTGAAGGCCAAAAGGCAACTTTTTGGGTGCAAAAACAGGAATGCCTGCTCTCATTTAGGGCCACAGGTATGCAGGCTTGAGGTTGGGGCCTTTGTCTGGGAACCACCCTCTTCCACCCAGTACTTCCCTGTCTCCTGTCTGTATCAGTACCAAACAAACAGATCCTGTTGTCCTCTCTTTGCAGAATCACAGATATGTGACCTTCCCAGCATTGATGTGAAACAATTCAGAGTACTGGCAACCAGGGAAGCTCACCCAAGCTTTCAGTGTCCAGAGGTTTTATGGGGGTTTGATCACATACTATTCACGTGGCTGCCCTTTAGTCTCCAGTACCTCCCAGAATTTCAGGCTAATTCCTTTATTCTTCAGTCCCTTCCCCAAGCAAAGACATTCCTATCAGGCATGATATTTCCAGGGACTAGAGATCGTCTCTCAGTAGCTGAAGGTAAAGGCCAGACCTCTCCTTGAGTTAACTGAATTCTTCACTGCACACCACGTTATCATTTCATATTTTACTTACTGACTTTTTGGTTAATTGACCAAATACATGACCCAATTTCTTTGGATAACAGGACTCTTGCTAAAATTAATTTATCCCAATTAACCTTTTAGTATCAGTTGGATACTAATTATCTCAATTATATATTGCCCACATGGGGCGGGTTGTTTGATAAGTACAGTAATCTCTGCACAGGGAGGGAAACTTTTCTAAGTAGCACTCAATCTGGTAATTGTCTCTTAATACTAAAAGTCATGATTATCTTTGTTGCAACATGTACTCTTGACTTCAATCCAGAGAGCACATTTCAGAAGAAGTTTAGTCATTCCTCAGTAAGAGGCATTTCAAAGATAATGTATTAAAAGAACAGGACTCTTTTAAACTGAACATGGCATGAATCTGTGAAGAAACATATTAGAGCACATAAAAATTATGGTTGATGAAAACTTAGCATTCAAAATATGAGCAATTACAGATAGAAAAACTGAGATCTCTCCACAGTTCAAATAAAAGTGTAGATAAGAGTATAGTCAGATTGTCCACTTGCTGATGCATATATACCTGTCATTTCTGTAGGAGTTCACAGGAATTACAATTGAGGCATTTTGAGAATGCTTTAAAAATCATGTGAGACAAGAGTATAGACTTTGAAAGAGATGTATATTTAGACTAGCAGAAAGGAGGGGAAAAGACATTCCAGACTAGAAAAGATTTATGACCCAAGACAATAAGGCCTTGTGAGAAATCTGTTTGGGTAAAAGAAAGAATCCTGGCTGGGGATGCAGGGAAAAAGAGCAGTTAGGGGTGGGCAGAATTACACAGGAATCCAGTTGTTGAAGGCTGCATAAAATCCAGATTTTATCTGTAAACTAAAGGAAATCCTAAAATTCTTGGCAGATTAGGTGGTGTGTGCAAAGAAGTATTTTTAAAATATTTATACTGCAGTCTAAGAAATAGGTTTCAAATGAAAAAAGATCCAAGCTGGAAGATTCCATGCCCTCCTCTTGAAAATGTTAATAGCTTCCACACTCCATATTGTGTCTTGCATAGGCACCTGTAGCATATTTGAATTTGAAAGACATAAAGCTCTGGAATTGACAAATATAAATTCATTTTCCTTCCCCAGCAATTTCCGTTATAAGCCTGCATTACAGTACTAGAAGAATATTTAATTTCAATTAGTGTTCATTCAGTCATTTCAGGTGTAAAACTCTCAAAATAAATATTCTCCTGCTCCCTTCATTTCCACAAAGTTAAATCCATATTCCAAGGCAGCGAGATGTATCAGCCTGTCATGGCTGTGAGGAGAGGAGGCATATGTTTCACTCTGACCCAGTATCAGCTGTGGTCCTTATAAGAGGTAATCTTTGCCCAGTGACATCTCTCCCTGATGTTCTGACCTCTTTGTGGATGGAGTATTGTTCCTATGGTCCATATCCTCCATTTACAGGTGGCCACACCCCACCAATACCATGATGTATGTTCCAGTCTGACGAACTTTCTCAGCCACTTTTATGTTCTTCTTACAGCAACTGGAAACTTCTGTATACTTCCCCATGCCACTTTGAGGCTAAGGTGACCCACTTTGAGGGGTGTATGGATGGGAATGACAAGTGTTGTCTCAACATCCCCAGTCTGAATTCTTCATCCTGCTCTACCAAGCTGGTGTGTAAATTTCTGGCTACACCCTAAAGGTGAAATATAGGTTTACTCTATTTTCAGATACCACGAAACCCATTGAGGGTTTTTGTCTCCAACCCTCTCACCCAGAGTTATCTCCTTCTGGCTGTTTTCTTTATTGTTTTTCCATGACCATCAAAAACTCTCCTCTATAACTGGAAAATTATTCAGTCGTCCTAACTCTCTCTTTCTCTCTCTTTCCCTGTCTCTCTCTCTTTACATACACACACACGCGTGCACATACATATATAAACACATATATATAATATGTATGTAATATAGATATATAAATTTTTACAGACAAGATGTCACTCTGTTGCCCAGGCTGGAGTGCAGTAGTGCAGTCATAACTCAGTGTAATCTCGAACTTCTGGGCTCAAGCAATCCTCCCACCTCAGCTTCCCAAGTAGCTAGGACAACAGGTGCATGCCACCATGCCCAGCAAGTTTTTTAAATGTTTGTAGAGACAGGTCTTGCTATATTGCCCAGGCTTGTCTCAAACTCCTGGCTTCAAGCAATCCTCCCACTGTGGCCTCCCAAAGCACAGGGATTATAGGGGAGAGACACTGCATCTGGCCCTCTAACTGTATTTGTGATGGTATACACTTTATTTTCTGAGGACTTTGGGCCTTTTACAAATTCCCTCCAAACATGTTTCTTTATTGGTGAGACTCTCGCAATTGATAGTTTGATAGTGGAGCAGGATGGTTAAGTAGGTAAATTCTGTAATTAGACTTCCAAGGGTTGAAACTTGGCCCCATCACTTACTATAAGTATGAACTAATGCAAATTGCTTTACCTTGTCATTATAAATGCAAATTATTATTACCAACATTCACTGGATTTTTCTGAAGATCAATTTGTATAAAAAAGTTTCAAACCAGTACCTGATACATAATATGTACTCAATAAAATTGAAGTGCCTTGGGTTTTTTGCTTTATTATTTATTATTTTTATTTTTATTTTTGAGACAGGGTCTCACTCCTGTCACCCAGGCTGGAGTGCACAAGCATAATCGCAGCTCACTGCAGCCTCAACTGCTTGGGTTCAAGTGATCTTCTCGTCTCAGTCTCCCAAGTAGCTGAGACTGCAGGCATGCGCCACCATGCCCAGCTAATTTTTTTTTTTTTTTTTGTATTTTTTGTAGAGACAAGGTTTTGCTATCTTGTCTAAGCTGGCTGCGAACTCCTGGGCTCAAGCTATTCACCTGCCTCAGCTTCCAAGTGTGCTGGGACTACAGGCATGAGCCACCAAGCCCAATTGCTATCTTGTCTTTTAAAGAGTATTATGTCAATTGTACATTTTTTAAAAATCTCTAGTTTAGAGTTTCTTAACCTCAGCATAACTGTAATTTTGAGTCAGATAAGTGCTTGTTGTGGAAAGTTGCTCTGAGCATTGTAGGCTATTTAGCAGCATCCTTGGCCTCTACCCACTAGATGCCAACAGCAACCCCACCCAGGTGTGACAACCAAAAATACCTCTAGACCCTGCCAAACATGCCCTTGGTAGGGTGAAATCATCCCCATTAGAACTACTGCCCTAGATGGAAGTCAAAAACTAGAATTTGAATCTCTTTTTTTCTTTCAGCCTTTTTTAGGTGATAAATTTCAGACTTGCAATCTAATTTCAGCAGATGGCATGAACGGTATTGCAGAATTATAGAAAGAAAATCAGTTAATTTATCAATATTATACCACTTCATTCAGTAAATTTTTAATTATAATCCTACTGGAAAGCAGTAAATAAGATGACACCTTAAATTCTCCCAGTTTTGCTTATTTTGCTTAACTAAACATGAAACTGTAATATTTCTGTCACAGTGGGCATTTTTAAAATGAGTAAGAGTGGTGTTGTTCAAAATACAATATTATAAAGCATTAACCCACTTTTTAAATTCAACTCATTGTAATGACCACCAAAATTAATAAAAAATGTCATCTATGTGCATATTAAACAGCCCATCTGCATTTCATGGCTGAACAAGAACCCTGCTTAATAATATAATTTGCACTGCAATAAAAGTAAAATCAGTTTCTGAATCTTACTGGTGGTTTACAATTTAATTTACTAGTAATGTTTTTCTTGATGTAATATAAGCCTCTTCATCCACTGCTTGAAGTGTTTTGAATGCAAGTTTCATTCAGTTGTTGTTTTCATTGTATGGCTCGCTGGGGTTTGAAATCTGATCTATTTTTCAAAAGAAGAATGTCACATAATGATTTATATTAATATGACTTTTTAATCCAGCCTTTAATAATTTTCTCTTTTTTTTCCTCTGAAGGTTTTCATTCTTTTAGCTCATTGTCATCATCTAAGGCATGTGGTATCCCTAAGCTGATATAATGAAAGGTTCAAAAGTTAAAGAATGAGAAAAGGAAGGAAGAATGACTTGGTCTGTATGACCTTGGTTAAATCCTTACACTCTCTCTGTTTCAGTTTTCTCATCTATAAAGTAGAGAAAATATACACTTTGGGAGGCTGAGGCGAGTGGATCATGAGGTCAGGAGATCAAGACCATCCTGGCTAACACGGTGAAACCCCGTCTCTACTAAAAATGCAAAAAACTAGCCTGGTGTGATGGTGGGCACCTGTAGTCCCAGCTACTCAGGAGGCTGAGGCAAGAGAATGGTGTGAACCTAGGAGGGGTGCTTGCAGTGAGCCAAGATCATACCACTGCACTCCAGCCCGGGTGACAGAGCAAGACTCCGTTCTCAAAAAAACAGAAAAGAGAAAAAAAAAAAAGAGAAATTAGCAATACCTACCACAGTATTGTTATGAGAATTGAATAGAGTTAGTATATACTTACTCTGATTAGAGAAATACCTAGCTCATATCATAATGAGCATGATATATGTCAGTTATTTAAAGTAAAGAGAATAACACAATTGAATTCAGACAACCAAAAACATTAAGGTATGAAGCCTTTGTAGCGAAATTAAGACTAATCCAGAAGAGTGATACTCATCTCTAGCTACCCATTAGAATCAACTAGGAAAGTTTAAAATATACCGGTACATGAGCACTTATCCTGGTTAATTAAATTAGAATCTTTCAAGGTGGACCCCAGCACTGGTGTTCTCGAAAACCCTCCAGAGGATTCTAATGTGAAACCATTGGTTGAAAATCAGGATGAGGGCAATAATTTCCAAATTCCTCTCTTATGCGCTCATTCTACACATTCCCAAAGGATGACTCCTATTTGAAAGAAGGTCTAAGTGATACAAACATCAGTATTCCTTCAAGATGGAATAAGATCTCTTACTTGACTTCAATGATGCGGTTTCTGAAGGACAACTTTTTCCTGCACTTTTAGAAGTAATGGGAAAAAAAAGACATTTCTGCCAGTGGTATATGCTATTATCAAAGCCAGAGGCTAGAAATCCAAAAACAATTTCTGTAAGACTTTCATCCCATTTATGACCCCAAATAATATCACTTATGTTGTATATTTTATGATGTATATTTACATAAAAATCATTTATTCAGTCTTTTAAAAACAACCTGTGAGGTAGGAAAATTTTTTATTGTTCACTCTATCTTATACAGGAGGCTCAAAAAACGTTAAAGAAAAAAAAACTTTTAATTGTATGTTTGTCATTGAAGAACTAGAAGCTAAATCTATATCTTATGACACCTACTTCCATGGGCTTCCCAACCCACACACAGGCCCTTGTGCCCTTATAGTGATGCTATCTCTAAGAAAAGTCAAAGTCATCTCATAGATGTTGAGTATAACAAATGTCTACACAATTAAAGTGCAAAAATATCAATCCCACTATTTTTAATGCAATAAACATGAATTTTTTGGCTTAATGGGATTAATATTATTTAAAATATTCCATCAAACCAATTTTTATGTTTTGTCAGGGTCAAGATTTTTGATATAACATATGACCCTCCACTGGAGCTGTTCTGAGCTTTCCCTAAAATGTAGATGTGATCCAACTCATTGCATTGTTTTCTCATTTCCACGTCTCACTTTAGCATCTACAAAAAAAATTAACAAAGAGTACACCCAGAAGAGCAATTGTCAGATTGAAGATAGAACTAGGCTGAGATTCCATACATATTTCTGTGTTAATAAAAATAATAAAACTCAATTTTATCCTATAATAAATTAGAATTGAACTTTTTAAAATTCAACACAATAAGTGAGATATTTATTGATATTTATTTATTTAACAACAGGCCTTGTGAGACAACCCTCAGAAGACACAAATACAAGATATAATCTTAACTTTTAATAGACTTAAAATCCAGCAAGGCAAGATAAGGTAGCACACAGCGATTAGTATGCTACAAGATGGCATGTTGCACGTTGTGCACATGTACACTAGAACTTAAAGTATAATCAAATAAAATAAAATAAAAAACCAAAACCAAAACAAACAAACAAAAAAACAATTTCTTAGGAGTTTGTTGGTAGAAGAAATGTTTCAACTGCATAAGGGTCAGAAAAGGCTTTATGAAGGAGTTAGCATTTGTTTTGTGCATACATGGAAAGGTAGGATTTGGGAGACAGAAGTAGAAGAAGGTTGTGCCATGTGGAAGGAGCTTCCTAGATGGTTCAACCACAAAAGAAAAAAGAATTGAGCAGAGGATTGGCTCAGGATGAGAGATTTCCTAAATGGGGCTTAGACGTAGGTTTTTGAGGTAGCTGGTGTTGAAACTACAGAATAAGATTTCGTGAGACACAGAAGAGTAAAAGCAGGGACTTATGACCAGGGGTGATAATAGAAAATGTACTATACTATTATTCAAGTGAGGGAGAGAAAGACATGGTTAAGAAGATTTGTTAAAAAATGATGTTGTTTAGTAGTGTGACTTGGGCTTATCCTTGGTAGTTGACCTTTGGGTAGTCTAACCTGGTCTTAATAATGTGGGATATTCTACTTTCTCTGGGGTTGCTGTTTGGCCTCCTTGGTCCAGATTTCTCTCAAATCTCTGAGAATACAGAATTACTTTCAAATGGTTAATAAACTTTTGACAGGATAAAGTAAAAGCAAAAATCTACTGACATGCTAGGTACAATCTCTCCCATGAAGTCCCAGTTGAGGTTCCTATACAGGGTGTGTATCCAGGGCCATCAATAAAAACAACCTGAGCAAAAGGCAGAAGGAAAACTTCCAACAAGCTCAGGAAACAGCATGTGGTTCTGTGTGTCTGAAGATAGAGAAATGCAGGTTGAAGTCTAACTAGAGGAGAATTTTAATATAAGACAAAATTTTCAAATTTGATTTGGTGGGTTTTGGTGGTAGCCATTAGAGTTTGCTTTTTTTAAGTTTGTTTTGCTTTGGTAAATGAGTGGCATTATCAGCACCATTCATTTTCAAGAAGTGATGTATTCACCCAAGAAACTATAAAGAATCTTAAAAAGGTAATATTATTAAGTGAAGAAACATTTATAGAGGAATCCATAATAATCATAATAATTAACATTTTGAAGATAGTCACAATAATAATAAACACTTTTAAGTGCTTACTATAAGCCAAGGGCTTTATTATGTCCTTCTTATTTATTATCTCCATCAATATTCACAAGGAGTATGTGAGTAGGTGTTGTTAACCCCATTTTCTTTGTTGGAAAAATGAAACTCACAGGTCAAATAGTTTATTCCAAATCAGACAGACAAAAGGAAGTTGAACTCGATGAGCTGACAATAGCCTTCAATCTATTAAAATCTGTGAATTATAACCAAGGAATAGACACTTTGCCCTTAGGAAGTTTTCAATTTCTGCATGACCAGGCCTCAGAAATACTGTCTAATTCCCCAATCTTAAAGGTTTCTTTTAAAGTTGATAAATTATTTCTTTGTTAAGTTTGGTATAGTTTGTAAGTTATTTATTGTCTAAGGATCATAGAATAAATGAATGATCTCATGAGTTTAAAGTTCCCAAGGATGGTACTCAAAGTCAATGATTAAACAATAGCATATATAAGATTCAAAGGATTGGTTTTCTCATAAAAATAGAGATCAAGATCAAGTAAACATATATATTCTACATCGTGTATATGTATATGTACACAAGTCATAAGTTATTTCAGGTTAATCTAAAATTGTCAAAGAAGTACCTCCTTGGTCACCTTTGTTTTAAGAAAGTGACTAGTTAAAAAGAGAAGAGCCTCAGGTAGGGGCTTTAGATCAGTATTGAGAACGAATTTCCCTTACTTACTATCTGTGTAACATTGAACAATTCATTTAACCTCTCTGAGTCTTCAACTTCTTCACCTTAAAATGGTATTAGTAGCCAGGCACAGTAGCTCATGCCTGTAATCCCAGCACTTTGGAGGCCAAGGCAGGCAGATCACCTGAAGTTGGGAGTTTGAGACCAGCCTGACCAACATGGAGAAACCCCATCTCTACTAAAAATACAAAATTAGCTGGGCGTGGTGGCGCATGCCTGTAACCCCAGCTACTGGGGAGGCTGACAGAGGAGAATTGCTTGAACCCAGGAGGTGGAGATTGCGGTGAGCCAAGATTGCACCACTGGACTCCAGCCTGGGCGACAAGAACGAAACTCTGTCTCAAAAAAAAAAAAAAAAAAGAATAAAATGATATTAGTGATACCTAAAGTATAGGAATATTGTTAGGATTAAAAGAAATAATGTTTGAAAAGTGGCTGTCATACAATAAATGATCCCTATTTATATGTATGTTAAACACACTCTGAGACTGAACATTCCAGTTCCATTGACTGAGAAGTATACCCAAAGTGTTGGAGACAGAATAATTCAAAAACAAGTTGTGAACAGTGCAAAGAAGAGACACCCAGTTGCAAATAGCCAAATATAAACTAGTTGTAACTAACAATCTTCACACTACCATTTCTATTCTAAATAATTTTTCTACCTTAAAAAATTAAAAGTAACCAAAACCAGAAAAGGTAGCAAAAAAAAGAAAAAAGAAAACTATAGACCAATATTCCTCAGGAACATACATGCAAAAATCCTCAAGAAAATACTAGCAAACCAAATCCAACAGCATATCAAAAAAAAAAAGTTCCCAGGATGACCTAGTGGGTTTTATGTCGGGGATTCAAGGATGGTTCTGCATATACAAATCAATAAATCTAATATATCATATAAACAGAATTAAGGACAAAACCCATATGATAATCTCAAAAGATGCCAGAAAAGCATTTGATAAAATTTAGCATCTCTCCATGATAAAAATCCTCAACAAACTAAGCATAGAAGGAACATACCTCAAAATAAAAGCCATATATGACAAACACACAGCCAACATCATACAAAATGGGGAGAAGTTGAAAGCATTCCCTCTAACAACTAGAACAAGACGAGGATATCCATTTTAATCACTCCTATGCAATACAGTACTATTGAATAGGAGTATATAGGACTATTGTATAGTCCTATACAGCCAATCAGGCAAAAGAAAGAAATAAAATGCATCCAAACTGGAAAAGAGGAAGTCAAAATATCCCTTTTCACTGGTTATATGCTCCTATCTCTTGAGAAATCTAAGGACTCCCAACAAAAACTCTTAGATTTGATAAATAAATTCAGTAAAGTTTCAGGTTAAAAATTACCACTCAAACATTTCTATACATCAATAATGTATCTCAGCAAATGAAGCTGAGAAACAAATCAAGATTATAATCCCGTTTACAATAGCTACAAAATAAAGAATAAAAACCTAGGAATCTATTTAAACAAAGAGGTAAAAGATCTCTACAAGGAAAACTATAAAACACTCATGAAAGATATTGCAGATAATAAAAACAAATGGAAAAATATCCATGCTCATGGACTGAAATAATTCATATCTTGAAAATGACCATAATACCCCAAGCAATCTACAGATTCAATGCAATCCCTATCAAAACACCAATATCATTCTTCACAGAATTAGAAAAACAATCTTAAAATCTGTATGGAACCTAAAAAGAGCCTGAATAGCAAAAGCAAAGCAGAGCAAACAGAACAAAGCAACGGGCATCATATAACCTGATTTCAAATTACACAGCAAGGCTACAGTAATCAAAACACCATGGAACTAGTATAAAAATAAGAACATAGATCAATGGAGCAGAATAGAGACGCAAAAATAAAGCCACATATTTACAGCCAACTGATCCTTGACAAAACTCACAAGAACATATACTGGAGAAAGAATACCCTTTTCAATAAATAGTGCTTGGAAAATTGGATTGCCATATGCAGAGTAATGAAACTAGACCCCTATCTCTTATCATATACAAAAATCAACTCAAGATGGATCAAAGACTTAAATGTAAGAGGTGAAACTATAAAAACACTAGGAAAAGGCCTCTGACAAAATTCAACAGCTCTTCATGCTAAAATCTCTCAATAAACTAGGTATTGATGGAACGCATCTCAAAATAATAAGAACTATTTATGACAAACCCACAGCAAATATCATACTGAATGGGCAAAAACTGGAAGCATTCCCTTTGAAAACTGGCACAAGACAGGGATGCCCTCACTCACCACTCCTATTCAGCATAGTGTTGGAAGTTCTGGCCAGGGCAATCAGGCAAGAGAAAGAAATAAAGTGTATTCAGTTAGGAAAAGAGCAAGTCAAATTGTCCATGTTTACAGATGACATGATTGTATATTTAGAAAACCCCATCATCTCAGCCCAAAATCTCCTTAAGCTGATAAGCAACTTCAGCAAAGTCTCAGGATACAAAATCAATGTGCAAAAATCACAAGCATTCCTATATGCCAGTAACAGACAAACAGAGAGACAAATCATGAGTGAATTCCCATTCACAATTGCTGCAAAGAGAATAAAATACCTAGGAATACAATTTACAAGGGATGTGAAGACCTCTTCAAGGAGAACTACAAACCACTGCTCAACGAAATAAAAGAGGACACAAACAAATGAAAGAACTTTCCCTGCTCATGGATAGGAAGAATCAATATCACAAAAATGGCCATACTGTCCAAGGTAATTAATAGATTCCCCATCAAGCTACCAATGATTTTCTTCACAGAATTGTAAAAAACTACTTTAAAGTTCGTATGGAACCAAAAAAAAGCCTGCATTGCCAAGACAATCCTAAGCAAAAAGAACAAAGTTGGAGGCATCACACTACATGACTTCAAACTATACTACAAGGCTACAATAACCAACACAGCATGGTATTGCTACCAAAACAGAGATATAGACCAACAAAACAGAACAGAGGCCTCAGAAATAACACCACACATCTACAACCATCAGATCTTTGACAACTCTGGCAAAAACAAGCAATGGGGAAAGGATCCCCTATTTAATAAATGGTGCTGGGAAAACTAGCTAGCCATATGTAGAAAGCTGAAACTGGATCCCTTCCTTACACCTTATACAAAAATTAATTCAAGATGGATTAAAGACTTAAATGTTACACCTAAAACTGTAAAAATCCTAGAAGAAAACCTAGGCAATACCATTCAGGACATAGGCATGGGCAAGGACTTCATGACTAAAACACCAAAAACAATGGCAACAAAAGCCAAAATAGACAAATGGAATCTAATTAAACTAAAGAGCTTCTGCACAGCAAAAGAAACTACCATCAGAGTGAACAGGCAACCCACAGAATGGGAGAAAATTTTTGCAATCTACCCTTCTGACAAAGCGCTAATTGTCCAGAAGCTACAAACAACTTAAACAAATTTACAAGAAAAAAACAAACAACCCCATCAAAAAGTGGGCAAAGGATATGAACAGACACTTCTCAAAAGGAGACTCTTACGCAACCAACAGACACATGAAAAAATGCTCATCATCACCGGTCATGAGAGAAATGCAAATCAAAACCACAATGAGATACCATCTCACACCAGTTAGAATGGCAATCATTAAAAAGTCAGGAAACAACAGATGCTGGAGAGGATGTGGAGAAATAGGAATGCTTTTACACTGTTGGTGGGAGTGTAAACTAGTTCAATCATTGTGGAAGACAGTGTGGCGAATCCTCAAGGATCTAAAACTAGAAATACTATTTGACCCAGTGATCCCATTACCCAAAAGATTATAAATCATGCCACTATAAAGACACATGCACACGTATGTTTATTGAAGCACTATTCACAATAGCAAAGACTTGGAACCAACCCAAATGCCCATCACTGATAAGAAAACGTGGCACATATACACCATGGAGTACTAGGCAGCCATAAAAAAGGATGAGTTCATGTCCTTTGCAGGGTCATGGATGCAGCTGGAAATCATCATTCTGAGCAAACTATCACAAGGACAGAAAACCAAACACCAGATGTTCTCACTCATAGGTGGGAATTGAACAATGAGAACACTTGGACACAGGGCGGGGAACATCACACCCCAGGGCCTGTCACGGGGTGGGGGGCAGGGGGAGGGATAGCATTAGGAGAAATACCTAATGTAAATGACGAGTTAATGGGTGCAGCAAACCAACAAGGCACATGTGTATCTATGTAACAAACCTGCACGTTGTGCACATGTACCCTAGAACTTAAAGTATAAAAAAAAAAAGGAAAAACCTAGGGAAACTCTCTGGTTATTTGTCTAGGCAAATAATTTATGACTAAGACCTCAAAAGCACAGGCAACAGAAACAAAAATAAACAAATGGGACTTAATTAAACAAAAAGCTTCTGCACAGCAAAAGAAGTGATCAACAGAGTGAACAAAAAGCAGCAGAATGGTGGAAAATATTTGCAAATTATTCATTTGACAGGGAACTAATATCTAAATTAAACAAGAAACTCATACAATGCAACCACAAAAACAACAATTAATCCCACTTATGTAACTAACCTGCACATTGTGCATATGTACCCTAAAACTTAAAGTATAATAATAAAAAAAAAGTATGCAAAAGACGGGAATAGACATTTTTCCAAAGAACACATACAAATGGCCAAGAAGTATACAAAAAGATGCTCAACATTACTAATCACCAGGAAAATGCAAGTCAAAACCACAATGAGGTATCATTTTACACCAGTTAGAATGGCTATTATTTATTTTATTTATTTTTATTTTTTATTTTATTTATTTATTTAGAGACAGAATCTCACTCTGTCGCCCAGGCTGGAGTGCAGTGGCACAATCTCAGCTCACTGCAACCTCCACCTCCCAGGTTCAAGCGATTCTCCTGCCTCAGCCTCTCGAGTAGCTGGGACTACAGGCACCTGCCACCACAACTGGCTAATTTTTCATTTTTAGTAGACGTGGGGTTTCACCATGTTGCCCAGACTGGTCTTGAACTCCTGACCTCAAATGATCCACCCACCTCGGCCTCCCAAAGTGCTGGGATTACAAGCATGAACCACCGTGCCCAGACAGAATGGTTATTATTAAAAAGATAAAAAACAACAGTTGTTGGTAAGGATACGGAAAAACTTATACACTGTTGGTGGAAATGTAAATTAGTACAACCTCTATGGAAAACAATATGGAGATTTCTCAAAGAGCTAAAAGTAGAACTATCATTTGACTCAGCAATTTTAATACTAGGAATCTACCCAAAGGAAATGAAATCATTACACACATACACACACACACACACACACACAAACTGCACTAGTGTATTTATCACAGCACTGTTCATAATAGCACAGATATTGATACGGGAGCTAAAAAGAAATTATTTAGACAATTAGTGTGGGTAATATAGTCCTCAGTAAGGCTTCCCTTTTAACATGAAGCAGCCCCCAAAATCATTTCTTTCCTAACAAAGAGCAGCCTGGAAAATTCAGCTGCAGATATAGATGAGCAAGCTGGAAGCTTCCATAGGTAAATGCTGGCAGCTGTGCCAATAGGAAAAGGCTACCTGGGGGCCAGACATGTTCAACCTGGCGGCTCCATCTTCCCTGTACTGTACAAGTGTCAACCATATGTACAGTAAGGAACAGACAACAGGGTGCTGGCCAGGTAGAGAACCCATCTGGATAATAAAAGATTAGGGTTGAATGGCCAGCTTCTACTGGTTTCCTACTGGTACTGGTGAAAAATTATCACAAACTTTTCAGTGGCTTAAAACGTCAAATTTATGATCTTACCGTTCTGAAGGTCAGAAGTCCTAAATGGGTTTCATCAAGCCAAAATCAAGGTGTCAGCAGGGCTGCATTAATTCTGCAGGCTCTAGGGTAAGGCCTGTTCTCTCGTCTTAGCTTCTAGAGGCCATCTGTGTTCTTTGGCTCATGGCTCTTTCCTCCGTCTTCAAAACCAGTATCCTCAAAGAAGCAAGCACCTTCAAATCTCCTTCTGATTCTGCTTCCATGATTACCTTTCCTTCTTTGACTTTTTTAAAGAACCCTGATATTACATTGGGTCTACTCAGATAATCCAGGACAATTTCCCCATGTCAAGAACCTTTGTTATTATTTGTTTCATTTTTATATCATGATGTTACAATGTCAACCAAAAAAGTGATTCAACACCTAACAGAATAAACTGTATACATTTTACTGAACATGTACATTTAAAAAGTTCTATGAGTGTGGGTGTGTGTGTGTTTATGTGTGTACTCAGTCTATGCACCCACCAGCAATCTGCAATTGATATATAAATATAACTAAAGTGTAGTTCTGTGAAACATAAAAGGAAATGACAAAGATGTGTTTCTGTGTTGTTTCTGGTCTGAGTCTTCATTTCTTTTTATCACCTCAGTTCTCTATCTCTGACTTCTTCAGGTACCTCTGATCAATGTCATTTCTGAACTAACAACTTCTTTGTATCAGAGCTGAAACACCAATTGCAAGATCTCCCCATATGCTTATAATAGCTCAAATTTAAATTCCTAGGTGTTATCAATTGTATTTCACCACCTACACTCATTTCTTAAAGAGGCAATATAGATTGAAAATTAAGAACACGGGCTTTGGAGCCATGGTCCCTGGGCTTGAATCCAGGCACTGGATACTGACTATTTGTCTTTGGGCAAATTAATCTAGCCCTGCCATAGTTTCATAATCTGTAAAATAAAATAGAGTAGTAACCTTAGAGGTTGTTGTGAAGATTAAATAAAATAACTAGTCTTTAGCTAATAGCACTCATTATTTGTTAGCTAATACTTATTTTCCTATATGCTACCACCCAAATTTAGAGAAGTGTGAATACTTGGTTAAGTGTCACAAATATACATGTTTATACATATACATTTTAAAGTTCAGGAAAAAGGTCAGAGACTTTAAAGACTAAAATATGAAAGTCATATATTTCTTATGAAGCGTGATTTTCAGATTATAGTTTATATCTGAAAATAGGAATTTGGAATTTTCAGCTTTGACATTCCCTTGTTACAATTTAATAAGACTCATGTAAGCCAAGAATATTGTAATCAGACAGGCAAACATACTAACTTGAACTACTCCACCTCCTAATCCCAAAATAGAGTTAAAAAGATGGTCCTACCAGAGTTGGAGGTGTAGAATAGCCACAGTAAAGTATCTCCCAATAAAAACAAATCCGTAACATTAGCAAGTAATCAAAATCTGGCCCTCAAGTATCACTGCACAATGTAGTTTCCTTCCTACATAAGGAAAATTAAGCCTTCCTTAGTCCTAATCATCATTAAACCATGTTGTATGTGTAGGTTTTTAGTGCAGATTCTATGAAGAGGCCAGTTCCAGGAGGCAAAACCAAAAAAAAACAAAAAAAAAACTGTCAGCTTATTTTTAAAAATAGGTATGCTGTGGCCGGGTGCGGTGGCTCACACCTGTAATCCCAGCACTTTGGGAGGCCGAGGCGGGTGGATCACGAGGTCAGGAGATGGAGACTGTGTCCGGAATTGGTGGGTTCTTGGTCTCACTGACTTCAAGAATGAAGCCGCGGACCCTCGCGGTGAGTGTTACAGCTCTTAAGGTGCCGCGTCTGGAGTTTGTTCCTTCTGATGTTCAGATGTGTTCAGAGTGTCTTCCTTCTGGTGGGTTCGTGGTCTCGCTGCCTCAGGAGTGAAGCTGCAGACCTTCGCGGTGTTATAGCTCTTAAGGCAGAGCGTCTGGAGTTGTTCGTTCCTCCCGGTGGACTCGTGGCCTCGCTGGGCTCAGGAGTGAAGCTGCAGATCTTCGCGGTGAGTGTTACAGCTCATAAAAGCAGCGTAGACCCAAATAGTTAGCAGTAAGCAAGATTTACTGCAAAGAGCGAAAGAACAAAGCTTCCACAGTGTGGAACGGGAACCCAGTGGGTTGCCAATGCTGGCGCTGGCAGCCTGATTGTCTTATATGGCCCCACCCACATCCTGCTGATTGGTAGAGCCGAGTGGCCTGTTTTGTCAGGGCGCTGATTGGTGTGTTTACAATCCCTGAGCTAGATACAAAGATTCTCCACGTCCCCATCAGATTAGTTAGATACAGAGTTTTGACATGCAGGTTCTCCAAGGCCCCACCAGAGCAGCTAGATACAGAGTGTCGATTGGTGCACTCACAAACCCTGAGCTAGACACAGGGTGCTGATTGGTGTGCTTACAATCCCTGAGCTAGACATAAAGACTCTCCACGTCCCCACCAGACTCAGGAGCCCAGGTGGCTTCACCCAGTGGATCCCGCACCGGGGCAGCAGGTGGAGCTGCCTGCCAGTCCTGCGCCATGCGCTCACACTCCTCAGCCCTTGGGCAGTTGATGTGACTGGGCGCCGTGGAGCAGGGGGCAGCGCTCGTCCGGGAGGCTCGGGGCCGCACAGGAGCCCATGGAGGGGGTGGGAGACTCAGGCATGGCGCGCTGCAGGTCCCAAGCCCTGCCCCGCGGGAAGCCAGCTAAGGCCTGGTGAGAAATCGAGCGCAGCACCAGTGGGCCGGCACTGCTGGGGGACCCAGTACACCCTCCGCAGCCACTGGCCTGGGTGCTAAGCCCCTTACTGCCTGGGGCCGGCAGGACCGGCTGGCTGCTCCGAGTGCGGGGCCCGCCAAGCCCAAGCCCACCCGGAACTCCAGCTGGCCTGCAAGCGCTGCAGGCAGCCCCGGTTCCCGTTCGCGCCTCTCCCTCCACACCTCCCTGCAAGCTGAGGGAGTGGGCTCCAGCCTTGGCCAGCCCGGAAAGGGGCTCCCACAGTGCAGTGATGGGCTGAAGGGCTCCTCAAATGCCGCCCATGCAGAGTGGGAGCCCATGCAGAGTGGGAGCCCATGCAGAGGAGGTGCCAAGAGCAAGCGAGGGCTCTGAGGACTTCCAGCACGCTGTCACCTCTCAAGACCATCCTGGCTAACACGGTGAAACCCCATCTCTACTAAAAATACAAAAAATTAGCTGGGCGTGGTGGCGGGCACCTGTAGAATCAGCTACTCTGGAGGCTGAGGCAGGAGAATGGCGTGAACCCGGGAGGCGGAGCTGGCAGTGAGCTGAGATCAGGGCACTGCACTCCAGCCTGGGCCACAGAGGGACACTCCATATTAAAAATAATAATAATAATAAATTAAACATTAAAAAAATAGGTATGCTTTAAAAAATTGTGTTATGCCCCACCTTTTATGAAAATGATGGACAAAAGGCAAATGAAGAATAACAAACTGTCCATATTTGCTAAGGAGGTGGAAAAAATCCCAAATGGAATCCCCCTTCTCCTTAATTCTCCCCTAAAAAGACATTAATTAGAAAAAAATAAAGAGAATTTGTGTTTGTTTTACTTCACTGAAATTGAGGCTTTTTCTAGTCATTTTATAATGAATCTAGACAGTAATGTGAACATGGGTCAAACTCAGAGGTAATCCCTACACTGAAGAAAATGCGAAGTCAAATCCCTTCAATTATAAGGACATGATGCATATGGGTGAAAAGTGCTGGGTATGAGACTACACTGAGTGA
This sequence comes from Homo sapiens, assembly GCF_000001405.40. Taxonomy (NCBI): domain Eukaryota; kingdom Metazoa; phylum Chordata; class Mammalia; order Primates; family Hominidae; genus Homo; species Homo sapiens. The sequence continues at coordinate 79,378,403 of NC_000008.11, forward strand.
TGGGGGCAGTGGTAGGCTGGAGAATGCATGCTCCATCTAATGGAGGAAACCACCACTTGGCTCCAAGTCTTTGAGCTTTGTTGCAGTCATTTAAGAGTATCTCTGGATACTCAAAATGTCTTAAGAGAATATGGAAATCTAGACTCTCATTTACAGCCAACATTTACATCGTTTTAGAACATCACAGGAACCAAGATAGTGGAGACCAAGTAAAACATGCTTGCACACCAAATGGGACCACAAGTCTTCAGTTCACAAGCTCTGCTGCATATGCTATATAGCCTCAAAGTTAGCTCACATTTACTTATAAAAAGTCAGTTATAAAAGACTACTTCCTTTTCTTCCTTACAAATTTAACACAGAAAACTTCTAGATATGTTTAAATAAAATAACTTTTACTAATAAACTGTGGTGTGCTCCTACCCCGCAATTATGAGTGAGGGAAGGGTATGTTCGAAAGCTATTTAAATAAATAAGTAGATTTTCTTGCCAAATAAGGAATTTTCAAAAGTTTCAGACATTTCTTCAAGTCATCATGCATGACATTGCTTTTAGTTGCAAATAAAAATAACAACTGAACAAGCAAAATCGGTTTATATGAGAATTTAGATTTCTGGCCAAGATGGAGTAACAGGAAGAGAATTTTCCATCTTGCCCAAGAAAAAATGAAAGCCAACACTCCACCCGAAAACAGAATGTATATTCTTTCCAAGTAAAAACAGAGCATTACCTATATATTTCATATTCAGTGACATAAAGAATATGTGTATTCAATTAAAAGAGTCAAATCATTCAAAGTATGTTTCTGATCACACTAGAATTTATATTTTAAATCAGTAACATAAACATACCTAGAAAATCCCCAAATATTTGAAACCAAATGGCACATTTCCAAAGGTCCACTTAGAAGGTATATTGAGCTAAATAAAAAAAAAAAAAAAACACAGCCTATCAAAATTTGAGGGATACAGCTAACGCATCAATGAAAAGCAAATAGAATTAAAATACCTATATTAGAAAAGAATGATCTCAAATCACTTATTTTAGCTTTGATCATAAGAAACTATAAAAAGAAGGACAAATGAAAACCAAAGTAAGTAGAAGAAAGGAAATCATAAAAACCATAGCAGAACTTAAGAAAATAGAAAACACAAAAACAATAAAATGATTTCCTTCCAGAAGGCTGAAGAGGAGGGAATACTCACCAACCAACTCAACCTATAATGTCAGACTTAATTTTGTAACAAAACCAGATAAACACTTTGTAAGAAAACAAAACTAGACCAATATTTCTCAGAGACATAGGTGGAAATTCCTTAATAAAATTTTCTCAAATTAAGTCCACCATTATATAAAAAAATGTCACCACGACCAAGTTAAGTTTACTCCAGGTATGCAAAGTTTAAGATTCAGATATTAATTTATGTAATATCCTCTACTAACAGATTAAAAAAGAAAAAAATACATGACCATCTAAATATAGATGGGAAAACATCTGATGAAATCCCATATCAATCCCTGAAAAAAACTCTCAGCCACTAATAACAGAACTTTCTCAATCAGATAAAAGTACCTACAAAAAAACCTGTAGCTCACATCATATTTACTGGTAAAAGATTGAATGCAAAGATGAGGAAAAAGGTGAAGATGTCAGCTCTCACCACGTTTGTTCAACAGTGTACTAGATATTGTAGTCAGTGTGATAAAGCAACATAAAGAAATAAAATGTTTTAATAACTGCATTAAAGCTGTCTTTATTTAGACACATAGATAAGAAAACGTCGGGAGGTTATAGAACATTCATTATATTAACAGTGGTGATTTTGTAGGTATGTACATACGTCAAAGCCTATCTGGATATACATCTTTAATAAGAACAGTTTATTGTATGTCAAATATACCTCAGTAAATATGTTTTAAAACTGTCATATAAAAGGTAAATGTACTGCCTTGCACAATAAGTCACAAAGTAGAACATCAGTTATATCAGCACTTTAATGTTAAGATCTCTCTGCCTTGACAATTGTAGATTTCTCCTCTCATTTTCTTAGGATGACTACAATATATCCAGCCATTGTGTTCCTACATAACAAAATCCAAGTGCAAAACAACAATAACACCAAAAACAACAAAATATCTATTTAAAAGTGAAGATAAATTACTTTCTAGAGAACTTCCCCTCACTTGCAATTGGTCGGAATTTCATGACATGCTTAATCAAGCAAGAATAATGAAAATGTATATTGGCTTCAAGTATTTGTTTCACTCTCTAAAATATGTGAACAAAATATCTGAACAAAATCAGAGTTCTAATAACAAGGTAGCCAAGTGTAAATGCCTTTTGGGAAAGCCCTACGATCAGTGACTGACATAGTCATTATGTGGCTATCCAGTTAGGATTATTGAATCAATTCCTTGGTGAGGCTAAAAGAATTCTTCATTGCTAACAAGAAAATACAATATATGTATTTTTGAAACTGTTGAAGAAAGGGTTGGGGTAGAACAGCTTTTGAAAATTCTTAACGTACTCAAAATTATTTTAGTGGGTTATGATGAATTTTAAGTTGCATTTTTATACTCCAAAGATGAATCAGTGTTGATACTTTTTGTATACCCATTCCATTAATTACAATTATGTGATATTTTTAAATATAAGCATGCATTAACCTGAGGTAAGTGGCACTGGAACTATTGAAAATTCATTTTTGGAATATTTTTGTGCACAGAGTGCATCTATCAGACCAAAGTCACAGTCAGGACAAACATGAAGTGGGTTAAGAGAATCTGATGAGCATATTTTGAAGAGGATATATAAAACTACAAAAATTTCCTACTGAGAAAACTTGAAGACAAGGAGATTTGTTGGATGAATTTTTAGAAAACAAGTAAGTTCCAAAAGTGGAAGTTCTGAGAATTACTAACAATAATGATGAATGTACTGACAAATCTGAAACTGTTCCCAGATTTTAGTAGAAATCCTGACTAAAAACTGGCAAGTCTGCAATATGGCTCCCATCTCCAACGTCACAAGGGCGGAAGAATAAAGCTACAAAGTCTCCATAGGCAGAGCCAGGCATTAGTATCTCACCAACTTCTGGAAACAAGGTTCAAGCTCAATACCTCTCTTTTATCTCCTGTGTGGGACAAAGAGCTGTGAAAATCCAACAACCATCCAGTGACTAGGGTGGGTCTATAAAGACAAATGTCACCAGCTCTTCCCGCATTAACAGGCATGAAAGTTAAACAGGTCCTCTGGGCTCCTTCTCCATAAAGTAATGAACACTGAGGAATGCAGGTGGAAAACAGGAGTGCACACCACGTGTCTTGTGTTGACTGCTATAGCCCAAGCAGTGGGTCTCTTGTCTTTTGTTCTTTTTACTTCTGAAAATATAAACTGCTCTTTTAATTCCAAAAATGATGCTGTTGATTTGGAATGCTATGTCTGGCTAACTGCTCTGCTTCTGTATTTCTCTTCATACAGCATTCTGCCTGCTACTTGATTGAGTGCCTAAATTTGCAGAGCACTGTAATTGGCACAGCAGATCAGACAGCAGGTGGAGGTGGGTGGGTGATACACGGTGTATCTCTCCAGGTAGCTTTAAATAATAAAAAACAATGCTATAAGTTTCTGCTAACAGAAAGCATTCCACTGAGAACACTGCTTGAATGTCACCAGTTTAGCTTCAGATGGGCCTTGAATGTGAATATGATGAGATGTCTCATGGCTTCCTCTGTCCAAACAAACATATGTTACTTCTGTGTTTGGCATGATAGAGATTTCCTTTTCAGATTTACTGAGACTTTATCCCTTTCTCTTGAAAAGGAGCTTAAAAGAACCATATTTCCAAATTTTAAGATGTTTGCACCCAGATCCATTAAATTAATATGTCCCTCAAAGGAAAGAGTATTTAAACATTTCACGTTGCTTTATAATCACCACAGAGCACTCTGAAGTCAACGTGAGGACAGGAGTCAGCAGCTCTTGGCTGATTGACCCTTGAAACCATCTGCCTCTCCACCTTCCCCATGTTGCTATCCTCAAGACACTTTCTGGTTTCCTGGTCAGAGGGTACAAATTCTTCTTTATATTCCAGTATTCCTCCCACTCAGTCCACATGTTTTCCAAATGTCTTCTGTCAAATGCAGACATTATTGAAGTGCCTAATCCAGCGGGGTGGGAAAGGGGTCGAGCATCCTAATTCTCATGCCTGGGTAATGGGAGTGAGCACATGACTTCCACCCACTGCCTTAATAATAGTCTTTGTGAAGCCCCTCCCCTCAGGCCTTACTCCCACTCTCTCTATCTTGAGTTCACTGCTTCAAAAGAGAAATCTATTTGTACCTCACTCATTCCTCCTTCCTCCTCTTCAAACATCTTCCCTCCTTCAAATATATCTGTTTGTGATAATGTCCTTAAATCATTCTTTTATTCCCATTTATTTTTGAAGGAAGTGCTATATTGTATAACACATGAGTATTTATTACAAAAGAATAAACACTTAAAGAATTCTAAGTACTATGCAAAAAGAAACTTAGCTGTGTGTGATAAAAATTTAACTTATAACTTATTTGAGAATTCAGTGTTTAATTGGCTGGGACTGGCATTTATTCTCCAGATGGCCCCATCTTCTATGGTCACAGCTTATATTTTAAGTGACTATCCACAGAACTTTCAGAGGAATAATCATTAAGCTAGCCCTGCTTCTGTAATTAAAAAAAATAAACAAATAAACAAATGGAAATAATTATCTCTCTCCTAGGAGATTAAACAATGAAATGTTTCAGTTCCACACATCTTCAGCATTAAATTCATCCTAAAGGAGTGAAATACTATATGTATATAAATCTATTGTGGTAATAAAGCTCTGACTACTTATAGAAATTACAATATTATAATTTTTTACAGTAATCCTAACAAGAGAGCAAGAGTAGGTAAGAACCCACCATTCATTGTGCATTTGACAATTTCTGTAAAGTCACAGATGATGCTTTTAGTTATTGTTTTTATGAAAACATAGGAAAATAAAAAAAGAAGAATCTACTCCTGAAGACGACATACATTTGAAGGCCTACCATGCATTATAAACAATGTTTTACACATATATTACTTATGCATATATGTTATAAATGATATGTAAAACATATGCTACATACATATTCCATACATTTTACTTATGTTAACCTTATTTAATAAGAAGCTTGAGAGGTATATGACTCACATTTACAGATAGGGCACTGAGCTCAGTAGGCTTAAGCATCCTACTAAGGGTCACACAACCAGGAGTGGCTGAACTATGCTCTCTGGCCCTGCTATATCTATATATTGTGGAAAAGGTTATGGTTTCCTGAGAAATGTATCTACAGGAGCTCAGTGAAACATATGTTCTGCCAAAGTCATTTCATTAGAATGTTGGCCAAAGCCTGAAGTGATTCAGACTCTGTGGATGTTGAACAGATTTTAGGTCTCTGCCAAATATAGCTGAGTTAGAAACAAACAAAATAACCACAAACAATGGAGGAAAAACACTCACGTGTTTTTAGGGAGTGAAGTACCTTCTAATGGCTCTAAAAATGCGTTCACATGACTAAACATCAGGCTTTTGTAATTATACAAAATATTTACAAAAGTAGCCTCAATTCCAAACAAAAGGAGGAACATTGCCATTGCTAGATGCACTTAAATATATTCCAAGATTGTGTTTTTCCTTGTAAAAGAGAAGCTTAGCAGCCTGTGCAGTATCCTGGGTGTTTACCCACAATATGTTGGGAAAGGGGTGACTTTAACTACATGGGAATATCTATAAACCATCTTCCCCCAAATAATAAGCAGGAAGCCTGATTCAGTATTTTTCTGCCAAATTAGAATGACCATCAATAACAAAATGTCAACTATTACAGAAAAACTCCAAAAGAAAAATGTTATACAACATAGTCACTGCTGAACCCATAAAGAGGACAACCACAATCAATGCAAAGAGATAATTAAGCATTCTTTTGAATCATCATTAATGACAGAAAACACATCCTAGCTTCATTAGTAAACCTCAAGATGCAGTGCAACTAATGGAACCCACTGGCAGCCTCAATAATACTCCACTTCTGAGAGCTTTTGTGGCAAAGGGGGCTCCAGTGGAGAGGAAGGGGGAGAAATGCTTAATCAATTTCCTTTAAAGTTCCTTGCTGCTTATAGAATAATAAATCAATCTTTCATGTGTTGCTTAAGAGTCTAAGACAATGGAAGCAAAGAGAAAAACATTTTTTCAAAGATGCAGTTGTATTGTTGACTTAAAACAGCAGATTAGTAAAGCAAACTAAACCATTGCACTTTTTTATCAAATGCATGAAAATATCAGAGCTAATCAAGTGCCGTATTGTCAAGCTCAGTCATATACAATCCTATCCGTACTACATAAGCAATTTTCTTCCTTTCCTCTTATTTCAAACATTTACTTTGAAGTTAAAAAATGGATAAAATCATTTTGAAGGCTGCTGAATGTATGGGCCTTCTGGCAGAAGGACATTTGTAAAAGGAGAAAAAGGCATGTGGCACAATGAAGGTAAAATAACTGACTCACAATCTCCTGCCGAGATAGCAGTAAAATAAAGCAAAAGTGGTGCCCATCCAACATGTCATTCCCATCAGATAACATGCAATTACCTTGCTAGTCCCAAATCTAGGCTTATTCCTACATACTTTAGAAAAATAAAACTTTTAAATTAAAGTCACAGTAAACTTAGTTTAGATTAGAAGAGCTTCTATTACATCTCTGGTACATTTCCCTTCTGAATCATCCAAAAAGATGTAAACCTAGTACAAATTCATCTTACATTATGGTCTTCTTCTGGAAAAGACTTTATGTAAAATAAAACCTGGCATTTAGATTGAAAAATATGACAATCTCAGTATCTCATGAAATATAAATAAGCCCTAACAACAGGCAGCATATGACAAAACAAAAAGCTTCAGACATAAAGTCAACAGAAGGGTAGGAATTCATCATGGTCACACATTAATTAGTTTTACTAACTTAAATGCTTCTTTGAAAATATGTATAATCTAGGTCAAAATAGATCTGTCCTATTCACCCATCAAAAAGAGATGTACATCTTCTTGTTTTTTAGTCGTCCATGGATGCAGATTTATACATATTTAATGAATAAAAGGCATTGCAAAAGGACTTTATCTAATATATAAAATGTTCTGAAATGTTCAGTATCTAGCAAGGTTACATAGCTCAGAAATATGATCTGATATTTAGCAAACATAAAACATATGGTCTATGAAATTTCTTCCATAAATTTGGAACAAGAACTTTTAAAGAAAAATAGCTTTAATAAACTCTCTAAAGTCACTTTTTATGTGATTCAGAAAATTGTGAAAAATAACCCTAATGCAGCTGACTTCATTTGGTCTCAGAATTAATTTTAAATTAAAGTGTTTGATCAGTTATGGAATAGGCTCTCATTCAACTTCTCAGTCCCAATTAAAGTTACTTGAATCCAAGCTGATATGAAGCAAAGAATTTACCTTTGGTTTCAAATTGTATTCAAATACCACTAGATTTAAAACTCATAGTAAAACTTGAATAATTGTATATTAGTTTTCTATTGCTATATTACAAATTCCCACAAATTTAGTAGATTTTAGCAATATCCACTTCTTATCTCACAGTTTCAGATGACTGGAGCAGTCATGATAGGTTTCATGTGCATCCGTGTGAAGAGACCACCAAACAGGCTTTGTGGGAGCAACATGGCTGTTTTATTTCACCTGGGTGCAGGCGGGCTGAGTCCGAAAAGAGAGTCAGTGAAGGGAGATAAGGGTGGGGCCGTTTTATAGGATTTGGGAAGGTAATGGAAAATTACAGTCAAAGGGGGGTTGTTCTCTGGTGGGCAGGGGCGGGGGTCACAAGGTGCTCAGTGGGGGAGCATCTGAGCCAGGAGAAGGAAATTCACAGGGTTAATCACTCAGTTAAGGTGGGGCAGGAACAAATCACAATGGTGGAATGTCATCAGTTAAGGCGGGGCAGGGCCTTTTCACTTCTTTTGTGATTCTTCAGTTACTTCAGGCCATCTGGGCGTATATGTGCAAGTCACAGTTGATGTGATGGCTTGGCTTGGGCTCAGAGGCCTGACATTCCTGCCTTCTTATATTAATAAGAAAAATGAAACAAAATAGTGTTGAAGTGTTGGGGCAGCGAAAATTTTTGGGGGTGGTATGGAGAGAGAATGGGCAATGTTTCTCAGGGCTGCTTCAAGCGGGATTAGGGGCGGTGTGGGAACCTAGTGTGGGAGAGATTAAGCTGAAGGAAGATCTTGTGGTAAGGGGTGATATTGTGGGGTTGTTAGAAGAAACATTTGTCATTTAGAATTATTGGTGATGGCCTGGATACGGTTTTGTATGAATTGAAAAACTAAATGTAATAAGAGAAGGAGAAAAACAGGTATAAAAGGTCTAAGAATTGGGAGGTCCTAGGACATCTGATTAGAGAGTGCCTAAGGAGATTCAGCATAGTCCTGCCAGCAAAGATTATTTATTTACTTCAAGAGTTTAGAGTGGGGGTTTGGGGATAGCACCAGGAGATATCAGCTGTGATGGCTTGGAGAAACAGTGTAAACCGGCAGTGTAAACAAGAGCAGGGCAGGTATGAGTAGTTGAGAATGGTGAATAGGAGTATGACTAGACAAAAGATAGTAGGGATGACAAGTTTTTTTGGGGCACAGTCTAAGTTGGTCTGGTGTCAAATGAGACTGGGGCCTAATAAAAAGGAGCGTCTGTCTATACAGGAGCTTAAATGGGCTGTACCTTGTAACATTCTGAGGACAGGCCTGAATTCTGAGAAGCGAAAGTGGTAAAAGTATTGTCCAGTCCTTTTTAAGTTGGTGGCTGAGCTTGGTGAGGTGTGTTTTTAAAAGACCTTTAGTCCGTTCTACTTTTCTTGAAGACGGAGGACCGTAAGGGATATAAAGGTTTCACTGAATACTAAGAGCCTGAAAAACTGCTTGGCTGATTTGACTAATAAAGGCTGGTCTGTTATCAGACTGTATAGAGGTGGGAAGGCTAAACTGAGGAATTATGTCTGACAGAAGGGAAGAAATGACTGCGGTGGCCTTCTCAGACCCTGTAGGAAAGGCCTTTACTTATTCAGTGAAAGTGTCTATTTAGACTAAGAGGTATTTTAGTTTCCTGACTTGGGCATGTTGAGTAAAGCTAATTTGCCAGTCCTGGGTGGGGGCAAATCCTCGAGCTTGATGTGTAGGGAAGGGAGGGGGCCTGAATAATCCCTGAGGAGTAGTAGAATAGCAGATGGAACACTGTGAAGTTATTTCCTTGAGGATAGATTTCCAGGATGGAAAGGAAATGAGAGGTTCTGAGAGGCGGGCTAGTGGCTTGTACTATAGCATAGCCTGCTTTTGCTGGTGTGTGGCAATTAGGCCTGGTGGAACTGCCATCAATAAATCAAGCGTGATCAGGGTGAGGAACAGGAAAGAAGGAAATATGGGGAAATGGGGTGAATATCAGGTGGATCAGAGAGATACAGTCATGGGGGTCAGGTGTGGTATCAGGAATAATGTGAGAGGCCAGATTGAAGTCCGGGCCAGGAACAATGGTAATTGTGGGACTTAAAGAGTGAGTACAGCTGAAGGAGCCAGGGAGCAGAAAGTATATGCGTTAGGTATGAGGAAGAAAATAGATTTTGGAAGTTATGAGAAATGTAGAGCGTGAGTTGAGCATAGTTTGTGATTTTTAGGGCCTCTAACAGTATTAAAGCAGCGGCAGACGCTGCACTCAGACATGAGGGCTAGGCTAAAACAGTAAGGTCAAGTTGTTTGGACAGAAAGGCTACAGGGTGCGGTCCTGGCTCTTGTGTAAGAATTCTGACCGCACTAACCACGCCTAGGAAGGAAAGGAGTTGTTGTTTTGTAGAAGGTGCTGGGGTTTGAGAGATCAGTTGGACACAATTGGCAGGGAGAGCACGTGTGTTTTTATGAGAATTATGCCGAGATAGGTAACAGATGAGGAAGAAATTTGGGCTTGATTGAAGTAATGGGGGCTGTCTGTGAAGCTTTGCAGCAGTACGGCCTAGGTAATTTGCTGAGCTTGATGGGTGTCAGGGTCAGTCCAAGTGAAAGCGAAGAGAGGCTGGGATTAAGGGTGCAAAGGAATAGTAAAGAAAGCATGTTTGAGATCTAGAACAGAATAATGGGTTGTAGAAGCAGGTATTGAGGATAGGAGAGTATATGGGTTTGGCATCACGAGGTGGATAGGCAAAACAATTTGGTTGATAAGGCGCAGATTCTGAACTAACTTGTAAGCCTTGTCTGGTTTTAGGACAGGTAAAATGGGGGAATGGTAGGGAGAGTTTATAGGTTTTAGAAGCCCATGCTGTAGCAGGTGAGTGATAACAGGCTTTAATCCTTTTAAAGCATGTTGTGGGATGGGGTATTGGCCTTGAGCGGGGTAAGGGTGATTAGGTTTTAATGGGATGGTAATGGGCATGTGATCGGTTGCCAGGGAAGGAGTAGAGATGTCCTATACTTGTGGGTTAAGGTGGGGGGATATGAGAGGAAGACTCGAAGGAGGCTTTGGGTTGGGGAGAAGGGCGGCAATGAGATGTGGCTGTAATCTAGGAATAGTCAGGGAAGCAGAGAATTTAGTTAAAGTGTCTCAGCCTAATAAGGGAACTGGGCAGGTGGGGATAACTAAAAAGGAGTGCTTAAAAGAGTATTGTCTAAGTTGGCACCAGAGTTGGGGAGTTTTAAGAGGTTTAGAAGCCTGGCTGTCAATACCCACAACAGTTATGGAGGCAAGGGAAACAGGCCCTTGAAAAGAAGGTAACGTGGAGTGGGTAGCCTCCGTTATTGATTAAGAAGGGGACGGGCTTACCTTCCACTGCGAGAGTTACCCGAAGCTCGGCATCCGTGATGGTCGGGGGCTTCTGAGGCGATCGGGCAGTGTCAGTCTTCAGCCGTTAAGCTGAGAAGATCTGGGACGGAGTCAGTCAGAGAGCCTTGGGCCAGAGTTCCAGGGGCTCTGGGAGTGGCTGCCAGGTGAGTTGAACAGTCCGATTTTCAGTGGGGTCCCACACAGATGGGACGTGGCTTAGGAGGAATCCTGGGCTGCGGGCATTCCTTGGCCCAGTGGCCAGATTTCCAGCACGTGTAGCAAGCTCCTGGGGGAGGAGGTTCTGGAGGAACGCCTGGCTGCTGCGGTTCAGGCATTTGGAAGTTCTTGTGTGCTGGAGATGTGGCTGGGGTTTGTCTCGCAGTGGAGGCAAGGAATTGCAACTTTTTTCTGTTATTGTACACCTTGAAGGTGAGGTTAATTAAGTCCTGTTGTGGGGTTTGAGGGCCAGATTCCAATTTTTGGAGTTTAATTTAATGTTGGGAGCAGATTGGGTAATAAAATGTATATTGAGAATAAAGATGGCCTTTTGACCTTTTAGGGTCTAGGACTGTAAAGCGTCTCAGGGTTGCTGCCAAACGAGCCAGGAACTGGGCTGGATTTTTATATTTGATGAAAAAGAGCCTAAACGCTTCTGATTTGGTATAAAGAAAAAGGAGCATTAACCTTGACTATGCCTTTGGCTCCAACCACCTTTTTAAGAGTAAATTGCTGTGCAGGTGGGGGAGGGCTAGTCACGGAACGAAACTGTAAGCCGGACCAGGTGTGAGGAGGGGAGGTGATAAAAGGATTATAGGGTGGAGGAGCAGAGGCTGAGGAAGAATTGGGACCTAGCTCGGCCTGGCGAGGAGGGGAGAGGTCAGATGGGTCTGTAGAAAAGGAAGATTAGAAAGACTCAGCGACGCTTGGGGTTGGGACTGGGGGGACAGGCGGGAGGGAAAGAAGGAAGATTTGGGACGAGTTGCATTGGGCACAGAGACTAGGAAGGGACCGATGTGTAAAAGAATGCCTGGACGTCAGGCACCTCGGACCGTTTGCCTATTTTACGACAAGAATTATTTAGATTTTGCAGGATGGAAAAATTCACAGTGCCATTTTCTGGCTATTTGGAACTACTGTCGAGTTTGTATTGGGGTCAAGCGGCATTGCAGAAGAAAATAAGGCATTTAGGTTTTAGGTCAGGTGTGAGTTGAAGAGGTTTTAAGTTTTTGAGAACACAGGCTAAGGGAGAAGAAGGAGGAATGGAAGGTGGGAGCTTACCCATAGTGAAGGAGGCAAGCCCAGAGAAAAGAGTAGAGACACGGAGAAGGGGTGGGGGGTTCTTGCCCTCCAGAAAAGCAGAGAAGGGGTTGACGCAAGGAAATAAGGGATCGGGGCACAGAGATAAGAGGTCAGGGTGCGGAAATAAGGGATTGGGGCGCAGAGATAAGAGGTTGGGGTGTGGAAATAAGCGATTTGGGGGGTTCTTGCCCCCTAGGAAAGCGGGACTTGCCGCTAAGGGTGAAGGACCAAGGCAGGCGTCCCTGCGTGGTCTGACACCTTTGAAACGTGGGTGAATAATCAGAGAGGTGTCCCTGGAATTATCAAACACCAAGGGAAGGCTGCCTTCCCAGTCCGTGACCAGAGCCTGAGTTTTGGGTCCACGGATAAAACGTGTCTCCTTTGTCTCTACCAAAGGAATTGAAAGGAATTGAAATTAAGAGGAGAGATTGAAGTGTGGCGCCAAGATTGAAAGGAGAAAGAGGTTGAGGGATAGTGAGGGAGGTTGGAGAAGAGAGAAAAAAGAGGCCGCTTACCGGATTTGAAATTGGTGAGATGTTTCTTGGGCTGGTCAGTCTGAGGACCTGAGGTCATAGGTGGATCTTTCTCACGGAGCAAAGGACAAGAAGACAGGGGATTGATCTCCCAAGGGAGGTCCCCCGATTCGAGTCACGGCACCAAATTTCATGCACGTCCGTGTGAAGAGACCATCAAACAGGCTTTGTGGGAGCAACATGGCTGTTTTATTTCACCTGGGCGCAGGCGGGCTGAGTCCGAAAAGAGAGTCAGTGAAGGGAGATAAGGGTGGGGCCGTTTTATAGGATTTGGGAAGGTAATGGAAAATTACAGTCAAAGGGGGTTGTTCTCTGGTGGGCAGGGGTGGGGGTCACAAGGTGCTCAGTGGGGGAGCTTCTGAGCCAGGAGAAGGAAATTCACAGGGTTAATCACTCAGTTAAGGTGGGGCAGGAACAAATCACAATGGTGGAATGTCATCAGTTAAGGCGGGGCAGGGCCTTTTCACTTCTTTTGTGATTCTTCAGTTACTTCAGGCCATCTGGGCGTATATGTGCAAGTCACAGGTGATGTGATGGCTTGGCTTGGGCTCAGAGGCCTGACAATAGGGTTCTTTGCTTGGGGTCTTAAGGCTGGAATCCAGGTGTTGACTGGAGCTGCATTCTCATCTGGAGCTCAGGATTCGCTTCCAAACACATTCAGATTGTTGCCAGAATTTGGTTCCTTACAGTTATAGGATGGAGGTTCCTGTTTTCTGCTGGCTGTCAACTAAAGGCCACCCAATATTTCCTGCCACATGGCACTCTCCACAACATTGGAAGTTGGCCCCTCCAAGGCCAGAAGAATCACCTGCACTTTGAATCTTTTTACATCTTTTAAGGCTCGCCTGATTAGAGAAGACCCAGTCCAATAATCTTTCTTTTGATTAACTTAAAGTCAGTTGATTAAGGACCTTGTGATTGTACAGACTGGGTACACAGGAGAAGGGGATGGTAGAATTCTGTAAATGTAGGTGCTTTTATAAAAAATAACACTACCATAAAATGCTACTACATTTTATAAAAGGTTAGACTATTTTTGCTTCTTGAAAAAACAGGGTTATTTCAACAGAATTGACTTGCATACATAACTGGTATAAAATGTTATACTTCATTACCAAAAGCCATTGGATACCATATAATTTGGTCAAGTTCTGAAGCAGTCCTGCTATGAAAATGTTTTTTTGCTCTCCCAAATGTAAGCACACTATGCAACCAGAGAAAAAATGAATCACTTTTGGTTAGGTCAGCTCCTCCCTCCCTAACTCAACCACAAGGTCTAAGGGTATGCACACAAAACATCCAGATCCTGTGCCAGGCTGGAAGACACTGAGTCCACCATGGGATGGAAATGGGAATTCATAATGCTCCAATAAATATGGTGCCCATGTGCCAGCTGCTGTCTCTCACAGTATCCTGAGCACTACAGTGGCAACTGTCTTCCACAACTTCTCTATACTTTCCTGGACCGTTGAACTGGGTTATTGACAGATTTTTGCAGTACACTCTATGGCCTATATCTTTGAACAACCTCATTGTTATGGGTCTCTTACCACTTGCCTTAGATTTGGCCAGGCCCTTCCATGTGGAGCTGCACACTCTCTTCCATGTCCTTGGTTCCTCTTCCCATCTTGTTCCCTGGAGTTAGAATAATCAGAACTTCACTTCAATTATCACCTCAGCTGGGCACCGTGGCTCACACATGTAATCCTAGCACTTTGGGACACTGAAGTGGAAGGATCACATGAGCCCAGGAGTTCAAGACCAGCCTGGGCAACATAGCGAGACCCTATCTTGACAAAAAAAGGTTTTGTGGATTTTTATTTTTTTTTAGTTGGCCAGGTATGATGTCACATGTGGTTCTAGCTACTCAGGAGGCTAAAAAGGGAGGATCACTTCAGCCCAGGAGATCGAGGTTACAGTGAGCCATGATAGCACCACTGCACTCCAGCCTGGGTGATAGACCGAAGCACTGTCTCAAAAAAAAAAAAAAAAAAATCAACACTTACCTAGATTTCTGTTATCTTGCTCTTCCTTTGGAATTGAGCCTTTTTGGATAAAAATACCAATCAGAATAACAAAAGTAGCAGTGACTTATTTAGTGCCAACCATATGCAAGGTACTCAGCTGCATATTTTACATTCATATAAGACTTTCAACAACTTTTGAATAAATTATTATCTTCATGTTACTTATAAAAAACTGCAAATCAAAGAGATTATGTAACTAGCACTAGATCACCTACCCGACAGACATAAAGGCTGGAATTCAAACTTGGGTTGAGCTACTCCCAAACCCCAAGTCCTTTCCTTTTTAATTAGGAGAGAATATTATTTGTTACCCAAACTAGGACACTTCTGAGACAATAGAGGGTCTCATTAATAATTGTAATTAATGATTATTATTGTTATGATAACAATCAAAATTATTAATAATGGACAGGAACCAAGCCTCTTCCAGGTACATCAAAAGTATAATTTTCTTAATTGTAGCTATAACACCCTGAATATCCCAGGCCCTGTTTCATCAGTAAGAGACCTTTTAGTGACCAATCCAACAACTGGAGTGACTTTCTTAAGTGGGTCTCACCTTTCTCCCCTTCCCCCTTGATCAATAATGCACAGGTCACAGCATGCCTCAAGGCTATGCCTATTAAGATATTTCCTGTTAGTCTAAAGAAATGACATGAGTTTGAACTTAGTTGTAAAGCTTTGCAAGTCATTTTCACATTCTTCAATTTGTTTACCTGTAGCTCCGCTTCCCCAATCATTAGCAAGATTTCTCAGTTGCATCCTAGAGACCAAGGAAGCTTCAGAATAACGGAGATTTTCTCTATTAAAGCTATACACACAGTTTCTAGCACAACGATAATCCCAAAAGAAGTTTTCACAATGTTTAGGGATTGTAATAAATGTAGACACACACATAAATATAATATCTTTGTGCAGATAAAGATACATACACGTAGACAGTTTTTACGTGGCTCTCTCATATCTAGATCCATACAGAGCATAAATATTTCTACATTTCATTTTAAGAATTCATTATTACATAAAAGTAAAAGTCTCATGAGTTGGGGCTATGGTACAACATTACACATGGCTCAGTATGCAGTGAGAACACTATAGAGAATACAAATAGAGCAATTTCAACTAACATGTCATCCCTAAGTCTACAGGTTCTGCAAATCCTATAGTAATATACCCAGTTAATTTCAGTTTCCTTTTCTATAAGTAATTTTTCAAAGGTATTCTATGGATTTTCTAATACTTTGAGATTCTCTTTTAGAAAGGGTTATGTGGATTTTTAAGCTAGGAAAATGCTATTTTAGGAAATGATCCTTTACCTGTGCTTCCTAGAAATACTTAATTTCACATTCCTAAGACATTTCACTTCCCCAGGGACTCTCATTCAATTCTTTGGATTTCTCAAGCCCCGGAGGGAGCAAATATAAATTACCCTGGGATATTTCTTATTGATCTAGCCTTGCCCTCCATAGAAGACAAGAAAACAATAATTGAATTGTCTTTATAAATTATAGAATTAAAATATAAGTCTTCCATATAATTTTCCATCTTATTATTGTGGCTAAGCAGTAGTTAAGATTATCCCATAGGAAAAAATCTATATGCAGACAAATGTGGGAGACATACTTTCCATTTCTTCTCTCAGTACTTATTACCGTCTTAGAGCTTTTGAGAAGTTTGGCAATAAAGAACCCAAAAGAATTTGACTATAAAATCCTTTTCCCAAAAACACCTTCAAGGATCTCACTGGGCTGCAATTACATGGAATACACTGGGAAATGCTCTTTTAAATGACAAAAAAAAAAAAATCTTGAGACTGGTTTAGTGTGTGATCATGTCTTCCACTACAGACAAAGGAAAATTAAAACACAGAAATGCAGATACATATAAAACTGAAACACCTCCTCCTACCTAAGCCCTAAGGAGGGAGGCTGAGTCCTAAACTGTGTATTGAGCAAGGGGCAAATCACAGCACTGGGAAGTCCCTTATGCTGAGGTCTGGGTAATCCCATAACGAGATATTTCCCAGCTCCCCTGGGGCTGGCATCTACAACAAGAACACCTTAATATCAATTACCCATTCTCTGGAAGTAGAGGTAGAACCACAAACTCTGCATGGATCTTTAAAAGGAGCAGTTCAGCAAAGTGGCTAGGGTAAGTTTCATGGTCAACATCAGAGCAGGGGCAATATCAGGGTAGAGAGCAAGGTGAAGTTTGTTTTCACTGTAATGCTGAAAGGAAAGTTTCATGTTGACCAGCAGTGATAGTGATGAAGCAAATAGGTTGGGGAAGGACAACTGATGGGGCCAAATCTTCCAGGTGTTTCTTAGAAAACACCTGCAGGAAGAACCTCAGCCAGAAAACCCAGCAGTAAGGAGATGACAATTCCCAGGGCCAGGTGGAAATGAGGAGTCATCAGAAAGATGGATAAGAAGTCGCTGCTTAACCATGATTTGTCATTTGGGAAAAACATATGTTCATGGTACGGAGTCTATCTGCAGCAGAAGAAAATCAATATTCTCCTCTTTTTTCTTTCCAGAGCCCACCCAAAAAAGCTTATCAAAAAATTCTGTGCCTGGTACTTGTGGCCCCTTTCACAGGGTTTGAATGGGCTTTCCAATGGTGGTCCCACTGCTCACTTAAAGGATGCCTAGAGCAGGATTTCTCAACCTCAGCATCACTGGCATTTTGGGCCAGATTAATAAATATTTGCTTTGGATGGCTATCCTGCATTGTAGAGTGTTGAGCAATGTCTCTGTTTTCTATCCATTACATGCTACTAGTACCCCTTCAATTGTGACTACCAAAAAGAGCTGTGGACATTGCCAAATGTTTTCTAAGGAGTAAATTCACCCCTGGTTGAGACTAGAGAAAGGCTATAAAGCTCTCGTAATTTACATGAAAATAAAAAATGGACTGTATTTATAACAATAACCTTTAGCAGGAGGTTTGAGGTTGAGGTTAATGGAGTAGTGGTGGGAATTTGAAATCCTCTTCCACATTCGCCTGCTACATCCCAAAAGTTGGTTACATTTAGGGGAGTTTTATCCAACATTTATTGTATTTGATATTATTTATTGTGTGTTGTTTTTTGCCATGTCTCAGTTATCCATTGCCTAGGCTAATTTTTTTCCTCAGTGAGGTTGCCAATTTTTGTGTGAGTGGTGTTAGGTAAGTAGGTTCATCTGCCATAGGCTGGGTTAGCCTGAAGCATATCCTTCGATGGGAACTAGGACATACATGTGTATGTCCTAAAGAGTTCTAGTGGTTATGATTTGTGAAGGGAAATATACATTGTTCATGGTCATCTATGCTAGAGAATAAACCTATGGTAATAGGTGTGAATTAACCACAATTGCAGAGTGTAATGAGGTTTGTTGTTTCAGTAAATTTATGGGGAGAGAGGACTTTAGAAGCTAGTTTCAGATAGAATCAGCAGATGTAAATTTGTTAAGTTGGAAGGATGTTTTATAACTGCCACTACAAAGAATGCAGATTTAGGATGGGATCAAATGAGAGGCCAGAAGCTAACACATGGACGGGAATTCGAAAATAGCTGACTGGTATCCCAAGATGTAGGCTGAATACATAACAGCTAGGCTTTAATTTCACTTTTCTGTTTATTTGTTCTGTAGTGTGTGCGTGTTTGTGTTTATGTATGTGTACATACATCTATGTGTGTCTAAACAAATACATGCATATATTAGAAATATATATAAAAGAAAACAAATATATATGTATTTTCTATATATCTGCTAATATACCCTGACACATGGCAATAACAAAATGAGCTGAAATTTATAGCCTTTTACTCTGAAAATTCTAGTATCATAAATTTCAAAAATCCCTGGATCTAGATGATGGATATGTGGGATCATTGTACTGTTTCATATCCATGTTTTTATTAGTTTGAAATCTCCGTGATACAAATAATTTTTTTTAAAAGTCAGTTGACACTGTTTTCTGCAAAACTAGATGATATGGTTTGGCTCTGTGACCCCATCCAAATCTCATCTAGAATTGTAATCCCCAATTACAATTCTAGTGAAGGGCCTGGTGGGAGGTGACTGGATCATGGGGGCACTTCCCCCTTACTGTTCCGTGATAGTGAGTGAGTTCTCACCAGATCTAGTTGTTTGAAAGTGTGTGGCACTTCCTGCTTCTTTAGCGCTCACTCTCACGCTCTCTCTCTCTCTCTCTCTCTCTCAATCCTACAGCCATGTAAGATGTGCCTTGCTTCCCCTTCACCTTCTGCCATGATTATAAGCTTCCTCAGACTTCCTCAGCCATGCAGAACTGTGAATCAATTAAACTTCTTTTCTTTGTAAATTACCCAGTCTCAGGTAGTTCTTTACAGCAGTGTGAGAATGGACTAATACACTAGCTATTCTATTTGGCAGCATATAACAGTTACACTGTTTAAGCAGAAAGGGACATATTTTTTGCAAGTCCAGAGTCAGATTCCTAGTTGAAACTTTCAAAAACAATGCAAAATTTCCATGATATTGTAAACACTTAGTTATTCAAACTATATTTTAGATCATAGTTATGAACTTTCTAAAGAAATTGTACTTCTCTTGCATGCAATACATTTTGGATTTGAGCCCTTCGTTTTATTAAAATGCAAAGTAACTATGCCATCTTGCTCTTTATGAAAATTCAATTACATTGAAAATCAACTAGAGAATATTGCCTCTGAGTTTAAGGTGATTTAGCAAGCCAAAAATGTATGCAGATTATGAGGGAAGAAATTAGACAAAATAATAATGGCAGCTATAATTTGCTCATCACTTGAGGGTTTACAAATCACTTTCATGTACATAATCTTACTTTCTTCATCCAATGTTCTGCCTCCTGCCCCCTGACCTTCCAACCTGCCAAATAAGATTTCACCAGTCCATGAGTAAAATCAGGAGAAACTATTTAAATATTTAATGGTAAACTACATTTACCAATACATCGATTTTCTTTGTCCCTAGATTACATAATTCATACAAAAAATGTGTATGACCTTCAAACACTCCTATCCCACCATTCAAGCAATCAAGTCATAGTTAAGAACCAAAAAAAAAAAAAATCTGCTGTTTGGGATTCTATATAAAGGACTGGCAGTTCTATCTGAACTCATCTCACATGGAATTCCCATATTGCTTAACTATAAAATAATACAATTAGACCACAGTAGGGAAGTGATGTTCTACACATTTCTAGACTCCTGTCCAGCTTCTTGCCTTGAAAGGCATTTGAAGGAGCTATACTAAATCAAACTATAGTGCTCAGACATGGGTCTGCAGGTTGTGAATAATATACATTGCCCTCTCTCCTCACGTTCATAAGGTGACCTGCTCATGGTGCCCTTCAAGTTCCTCAATGCTCCTTCCTGGTCTATTAATTGTAATGAACTATCAGACATTTTAATATATAAGAAAGAGCTCAAAATAAATGGAAAACCTCATGTATTTCACTGATTGACTAAATCTGCCAAACGATATTTTATCCGATTAATTTTGAGAGACAACCCACTTATTGAAATAAAAAGCATTAATGTCTCCACTGTTCTACTTTATTATTGATTAAATTAAATTCAAGAAGCTTCAGAATGTGGAATGCATTAGCCAATATTAGACTATTTTCCATATGATTAAAAGCATACTTAGCGGTACCATAAAAAGTTTCCTTGCCATGAGCCAACTGACCATATGTATTAGGTGAAATTCCAGAAGATTAACAATCGATTTTCCAAGCACAAATTGCGTGGGTAAGTTGCAACTCCAAAGACAATTAGTACGTTAAGGCAAGGACTATAATGAACAAACCAACTTTTTAAAAAATGTGCAGAGGTAAAAAATGAATCTGGTTCAAATTCTTGAGAAAGAGACCTAGAGTAACAAGTTAACAATACAATTACTAAGGGAATATCAATTGTTTAAGAAAGAGAAATAATTGCAAGAAGGAACTAGACTCAACAGACTGATCTCAGGTTTCCATTGTACATGCAGGATAACAAATCAATGAGGGCCTGTCAGTTAAATTTGCCATATCAAGCAGTTCCACACATAATTACATCATACATGCAACAGATGTGACTTCCTTCCAGGAAAACAAAAAGGTAGCAAAGAAATGCACTGGTTTAAATACACAGTCTTGAAAATAAGTCTACATATCTAATCCATAATGAAGACAGGCATAAAGTAAACAGAAGTTTGCCTAATGAAATTCTGACCACTTGCAAATGTAATATTTTACTTTTTAAATTTTATTTTCTCATATTCTATTTTGGGATATTTGAAATTCTCATTTAGGAGTGTCACATAAAGATAAAATTTAGATTGAAAAGGATGGCTAATGTTTCCTTCAAGTGTCAACTTATTTGAAACAACAAACAATAAAAATTCTGACTTCCAGAATCACACAGACCCATAGAACACCTTTAGTGTTTGGTAAAGAAGTTCATGAGATGTGGACAGAGAATGGGTTTCTATGGACTAGACTGTACAGTAACCCCCTTGCTATCATGAAGGGGAAGAATGCATGCGGAAGAATGTCTTGGGAAGGGAAGTTTGTGGAAGGAGCTTTATCATCCTCTGGGGGTGTTTGATGGTCAGCATCCTCTGCCTGGTAACCCACAAGAAGGTGAGAGGGACAGCCAGAGGTACCTGACCAGAGACCTGGACTTTCCCCTTTTCAACCAAACCGTGCTTCTGTTCCACTCTTAAATACACTTTGAGCTCCAATAGAGGCTTGAATAATCCTTTTAAAAAATGCCAAGTAAGTGGCCAGGCGCGGTGGCTCAAGCCTGTAATACCAGCACTTTGGGAGGCCGAGGCGGGCGGATCACCTGAGGTCAGGAGTTTGAGACCAGCCTGGCCAACATGATGAAACCCCGTCTCTACTAAAAACACAAAAATTAGCTGGGCGTGGTGGCGTGCACCTGTAATCACAGCTACTCAGGAGACTGAAGCAGGAGAATCACTTGAACCCGGGAGGCAGAGGTTGCAGTGAGCCAAGATCGCACCACTGCACCCCAGCCTGGGCGACAGAGCAAGACTCCATCTCAAAAAGAAAAATACAAAAATTAGCCAGGCGTGTTGGTGCGTGCCTGTAATCCCAGCTACTCTGGGAGCTGAGACAGGAGAATCTGTTCAATCCGGGAGGTGGAGGTTGCAATGAGCCAAGATCGCACTGCACTCCAGCCTGGGTGACGCAGTGAGACTCCGTTTAAAAAAAAGAAAAAAAAGTTAAGTAAGAATCCTAAAAGGGTAGAAAAGAGGACCAGGAGTTGTAACTTTATTTAATTAACTTGTTCCCTTAACCACACAAAGACATCAGAAAATACAACGTCTCCATCCAGGACTTTGGAGGAAACTTTCTTCATGGGAATTTTCTTGTTCCCTAACCCAATTTCCCTAACCAGACCCTTCCCTTTCCTTCCCAAAGCAGCAATTTGATCCTCTCTCTCCTTGGAGAGCTCACCTTTCCCCAACTCTCCTCTTACTTCCGGGAAAATCCTACCTTTCCCATGTGAGAAAGAAGTCTATTGATGTCCTCATCTCTTTGTGCGTATTGCAAACTCTGCCACCTCAGACTTCAACAAGATGTTAATGGAAGTTTTCCTTTGTCCAGGCTTCCACTGCATCTGAGGGAAAGCCATGAGCTGTGTGCCATGAGTAGAAGAAGCCAGGAGAAGTTCTTGATAAATGATGGCTGCAGCCATGTTCGTTTAGAATCGCCTAAAGAAAGGGAGTACAATCTCACAAGAGAAAAGTAGTTTCCATCACAGGGTCTTTCTCCTACTCTGAGAAATAAGACAGTGGCCTTATTGTGCTCAAGGATTGTTGCTTCCTTCCTGCCCTGCTTTAATTGGAAGTACTCCCCTGTCATATGAAGGAATAATGGCTCTCCCTGAGCCAACAATCACTGGGGGTGCAAACACCAAATCGGTTCTCTCAGACCCCAGATGCTCTCTGCAGTGGTGGGGAGAGGGAGAGTTGGTTAATCTTGCCATGTACAGAGATTCCCTTTATGGAGCTTAAAATTGTGTTCTTCGAAATAGCAAAACACAACTACAGAATTGCTTGACCCATAGTTATTTTTATGAACAAGCTTTTTGTGTCACCATAATGGCTGAGTTATTAGTAAAATAGTTAGACAATGCAGTCATAAAAATCGCAGGTCTGCAAATGACAAAAAAAAATAGACCAAATACTTATAGGTACATTATTGTGAATAACTTAACTATCAGTGTAACTGAAGACTCTTCCACCATTTCACCCTAAACATTCATTCATTCAGCAAAGATTTAATGGACATTATCTACAGGTTAAAGGGCAGGAAACAGAGAAGAAAGACAAGCAGATGGAGACTGAGCCACCTATACTCAGTCCATAGTCTTCTCTCCACCCCCTGCCCCCCGCCCCCCCACGAACCCCCCATCCCCCACCCCAGAAGCTCTCTGCTCCTGCCTCATCTATTTTATTACTCCCTGAAGTCAGAAACTAATCACAGGAGCTGGAGTCAGCGCAGTTAAGTGCTGAGCTGGCTTCACATAAACAAAAGCTGCAACCAGAGACCTGGCGGAAGACACACCTCCCCTCTTTCCCTGCAGTCTCCCTGGTGTTTGCCATGGACAACTCTAAATTGTTATGAGTAGTGCTGTGGTGTTAGTTTCTAGACAAGCATCTACCTTAGACACAAACAAACCAAGGGTGATTTCCCCTGTGATTGTAAGTAGTGTAGAAGACTATCCTAGGGTCTTCTCATGACAATGTGGCCACACCTTATCACATCCCCCATTAAATTCACTGGGAGAGTAGTAGCCAGTTCCCACAGTGAACACAGGTGGCAAACTTCCTCAGAGGGGTTACAGAGAGTTTCCCATGGAGGGCTTTTTTCAATAGTAAAAAATAGCGGCACCTTGGAGCAGGGAGGGTGAAGATCTGATAATGACAGAATGTTTCTCTCCATCATCAAAATAATTACTTTTGTGGCTCTGAGTAGAGAAATGGTGACCGTGTGGGGCCCTGTGTCTACTATTTGACAAAGAATGGCTAAGCAGTCAGTAACACCAGAGCAGAGCAGGAAGAGCGAGAGGGTTCCATGGGGCAGCATCTATCTTGGCAAAGGAAAAAAAGCTTTAAAAAGGCAAGTATAATTCTCAGCTCCCCACAGAATTAGAGGCTGCTCCCAAATGCTCCCATGTTCATAACAAAGAATCTCCATAAGGCATATAGTTGGCATTGGACAAACATATGAAAAAAATACATTCTCCCTGATGGGAAATTATTGGTGATCAAGCTGGTATGCACTTTCAACAAGAATATCTCACTTCCACATTCTCCCTTCCCTCCAACTGAATTCTTAAATCCTTTTCATCTTTGCCTAGATTTTCTCTCTTTCCTCTCTGTACATGTTTGCTATTTGTTCACTAAGCTGCAAAGATTTTGTGTCCTTACCTCTAAAATAACCTGGGCTTCAAAAAGGAAGATAAGTGGGTTTGGGAGCTGATAGGATCTCTGGTACCTGCAGAATTCTGTGAGGTGGATGTTATCTGTGGATGAAGGTATCCTCAGACCTATATCTGGATTCAGTTTTGTCTTCATTGTTTCTGATTCCAGTGGCAAGCAATGGAGAAAACAAGATATTGATGGACAGGTTTGGGAAATACGGCAGGATTCTGAAGAAACAGTAACTCTTCCATTGTTAATAGCCCAAGGCCCTGAAGTTAGAAGGACAGAAGAGAAAAGAAAGCTCGTTTCCCCTCTAAATATATTTCTTCTCAAACCCCATTCCAACACAAATACAGAGAAAAACACTGTGATAAGGGTACAGAGAAAAACACTGTGATAAGTACAAACTTAAAGCCAAAATTTTATTGTGAAGAAATTTAACTTTTTTTAGTAACTCCATTTCTACTCTGAGTCCCCATTCTACTGAGTGCTGAAAATTAAATTTTAGTCATCTCCCCATCCTAAGGTTACTATAAATTCTAGAGGGTTTACACAATGCCAATATTGGATATATGACCTGGGAGATCATGCATCTGGCATCAGATGAGAGATTGTATCCCCATCAGATGGCAGGCCGTCAGTCCACCAGACAGGTGTCAGCCATGCTTCCTGATGGCAGGTGCGCTTGTGTCCAGCTCATTCTCAGCACTTCTGTACTCTTCTGGTTTCATGGGCCCATTCTGCAGCTTTTATTCCAGATAGTGCCATGGAAATTAAGCTACCTGCAGCACCATCTAACTTCTGTGCCACTTTGGGCCACCAGGAACTGTTATTTTGTACTGTGCTAAACTGGAGAAGCTAAACTCCCCCGTCAGACTAAAGCCCCTCTTCCTAAACCCATCATGAAGGCATTTGCTCTCTGGGGCTCTGCTACCTCCACACTCTGCCCAAGAATCAAGGCCTAGATCTTCTCTGCTCTTGGACCCCAAAACATATCTGGGATTTATATTAACCTCCCAAGGACGAGATTCATAGAAAATGCAGGAAATATTCCCTCACCTTGCTAAGGGCCCAAGACTCTTCTCACTTCCCTGCTGATGCTCTATCCTGCAGATCAGAGGACCCTTATTCTGTCTGATCACAAGAGAATCCTGGTATGTTCTCTTTAATAGAGCCTCCCAAACATCATGTTCTTCACCTTTCCTCTCTGAAAGCTAAGCTAGACTTTCAAAATTCAAAACCCGGAAGAAAAACTTGAGTTTGATTTTTCTCTTTCGGTTCTTATCCCTTCTCCAAGGAGTTAATGAACTTAGAATGGCAGAAGGAGCACTAAGTAAAAGGAAGAACTATGCCAGAAGAAAACACACACACACACACACAACACACACACACAAATATATATTTACATATGTATCCATATATACATAGGTATTACATATATTATATAGAACATACATGTTATGTAATATATGATGTTATATAGTAGATTATATATAGTAATATATATGTAGATTATAGTTTCCTGACACCATTGCATTTTTAATTAAAACCTAAAAACCTAAATCACCAGACAGGGAAGCCTTACCAGCCCATTTATCCCATGTTTTCCTACCACAGTGGGAGTCTGGGACAATAACAGTCGTAGGTAAGAGAGAATACCAAAACAAAAACAAAAGCAATAAAAAACAAAAACCCTACCTAAAGT
This sequence comes from Homo sapiens, assembly GCF_000001405.40. Lineage (NCBI taxonomy): Eukaryota > Metazoa > Chordata > Mammalia > Primates > Hominidae > Homo > Homo sapiens. The sequence continues at coordinate 79,404,298 of NC_000008.11, forward strand.
GTTCTCCTCTCTACAAATAAATGACTATGGGAATATCCCAAGTAACTGAAAAGAAAGTTGGTTCCAACTCCATGCACCAGGAAAGAAGCACAGGATTTAACCTGAAAGCTCAGAAACCAAATCTTAATAAATCTGAATAGTTTTTAAATCAAGATTTCCAAAAGCCAGTTCGAAAATAGCCGATTTCCTTTCTGGATTTTTATGTATATCTGAACACAGTAAATAATAACGTTTTGAAAATGTCTGGTCACTTTATTTAGAGCCAGTACCCCCAAAGTATTTTTTACTTGTTTCTCTTTTCACCTACATTTGCTAAGAATTCCACATGTTCTGTTAAAATCATACATTTCTATTCTCTCTAACCTTTCAAGTGTTTCTAATATCTGGACATCTGGCATGCAGACTCTGAGAGGTGCCTCTGCTGTATGTTCTCACTCTCTCTGTCTCCATCTCTGCATCATTGATCCATCCTATCAATCATCTCTCTCTCTCTCTCTTTCTGTCTTCATAAGACTCATGCCTCTCTTCTCATAAAATTTGTTGAACAGTAATACTTAATGAATATCTGCCTCCCCTGAGCAACTGACCGTAAGCTCCACTGGGAAAAGACTGGATCTGTGGCATTCACCACTGTCCCCTGGGGTCTAGCAGAGGCGGTGGCACGTGTCAGGGATAAGTATACAGGTTAAATGAGTGAATGGTCCTCCCTAAGAGTATCTGGGTGATCTGTTCCTTGGGATGGTAACTCTATTACAGTTTCCACCTTATCCTCCAACAGCCACAAAGCACATGGTTCCCTCCATAGCATCTCCCAACACACAAGCTCACATGTTTGCAATGTGCAGGCACACATTCCTATCTCAAGAGTCCCATCTCAACTCTTATTCTCCCACTCAAGAAACGCACATGAGTTTGAGTTATGGTTCTGCATGAAGTACTTCAAATTGGTTCTATTTTTAAAATCATCTGAAAAAGTTTGTACTTTATTTATTAATGGTAATAATGTATTTATGATTCATCTCACAGCTAATAGTGACGCACTCCCTGCTGAGACACAGAAGTTGAGAGTAGCTGCTCTAGATCTATGCTTCCAAACTTTAATCACCTGCTGATTTTGTTAAAATGCAGATTCCAATCCAGTAAACCTGGATTGGGGCCTGAAATTCAGCATTCTTAATATGCATTCCCATAAGATGTCCTTCCTCTACTTCATGGACCACACTTTGAGTAGGAAGGTATAATTACTGCTCATCAAACCAACTAGTATAAAGCCTAGAAAATGTACAGCCTGACAAAATATTTACATCTACCCTAAAGATACATTTCTATACTTTTTTAACTTCTCTCTCTACTTCCACTTTACACACTTAATGCTACAATGAACTCTATATGTCTCCTTGCACACATAAACAAGTTTCTTTGGGCTTCTGTCCAGAAGTAGAACCCCTTCTGCACAAGGGGACCTATATCTCCAACTCAATGTGCTCTACTCAGAAGTTTACCAATTTGCCCACCCAAAGGCAGCATGTGTAATTTTGCTCATAGGAACCTAATTTTCCTCCATAGGAACCTAAATATAAAATTCACCAATAGTTGACTTTATCTTTGGGAAGAACAGGGCTGGAATCACAGAAGGGTATCCAGAAGGCTTAAACTTCTCAATAATTTATTATTTCATTAAAAGGAAATATGACAGAATATGAATATTTGAAAAATACTTGGTAGCTAGATGCAAGTTCATTATAATATTATTCTCTGTACTTTTCTATAAATTTCAAATATTCCATATTTTTTTATAATACTTTAAGTTCTAGGGTACATGTGCACAACATGCAGGTTAGTTACATATGTATACATAAAAGACTAAGACCATTACAATACTGCAAATGAAGTATTTTTGTTGTTTTGGTTTTTCATTTATCTTATGGAATGAGAAAAAAAGCAGGAAGAGGTAAAAGAAAATCAGGAAATATTATCAGCAAAAGAAATTCTATTATTATCTTTCAAATTTTACATTTTCATTCAATCTTTTGGGGGAAATTATCTCACATACTTTAGATTTTCTTTTTCCTCAGAATTCACAAGTTTTTCACTCTAGAATGAAAGAGAAAACCAAGAGGGTGGATCTTTCATAAAATGCCTTAAACTGGCTTTTTTTCTAGAAGAAAATTAGATTGAGCCCAAGGGAGAAAGGTGTCTCCTGGCAAACACCAAATTTAGAGCCCATTCTTACTGCTAAGCTCTAATTACATTGTCACTATCTTGCCCTCGGTACTTCAGGGAGAACTGATTTAATTCTAGAAGACTCCCTGAAGCTCATAACAACTGACTCATCTTTCTTTATTCCTCCTGGATGTCTCTCTCTTTTTATGTTCTATGCCTATATTTATAAAACTCTGTTAATTTGCCCATTTTTAAGATACTAGAGTACAAAATTTGTTCTAGAATAAATTGTTCCAAACAAAAGAACATCAGGAGGTCACACTATATATTCCTGAACTGTACTAGAAAGATAAACAAATAAAAGGGGACTGAAATGACTCCTACTCAGAGTTACTTTTCCAGTGTTCACTCTTCATCCAACTCAGGAATACCCTTTCTTCTTGGATATCTGCTACCGTCCAGTATATTAACAGAGTTTACTTAGCAGAGTTGTAGGTAGGCAACACATGGAGAATTTTTCTGCTACATCTACATTATATCATGTCATCTTTACCACATTTCTATTGCTTTTTAAATTAAACTTCTGTTATTTAAAATTTTGAATCAAAGTTTCCAAATATTATAAATCTAAAGATACCTTGGTTTAAGTTTGGGGAAATAGCCACAATAAAATTTTATAACTTGAAATGATCTGAAGAGTAAATGAAGTCATTGGTAAATATAATCAGAACTCATTAAACCATACATATTTTAATGCAAAAATGATTTCGATAATAATGTATGACAATGAAATTAAATGTTTACTTTCCATTTAATCTCAAACTTCCAGTAATATTTTGGGATGCCATTTCACATCATTTTGTTTGTGCAATTAGTTATACTTCCTGGAGAGGAACTAATTTTCTTTGCTTTTCATGGAGTTTTTTATTTACATCCATTTTTTTTTCTATCTACCCATTTATCTGTGTGAAAGATGTGTTGACATAATATATTTTATTACAGAAGAAAAATCTTTATGTGGTTTATTATTCTTCAGCAACTATGAAAAGCTGTGTTCTATTGTTATATTGCATTCCTCTCATTTTCACTCATTGCCTAGGAAACCTCCAAATTATGTTTCTTAATTCTAAAGTATCAGAGCCTCTGTTTCCATGAAATATTCATACGTGCAAACTGAAATATAGCATTAATATAGTAGACATGAGAAAATTGATAAATTAGATCTTATTGAGCCATAAGTTTTCCAAAAAAAATAAAAAATCCTGAAACTTGCCACTCCCATTTCTTTTCAATTTTTTTTTTTTTTTTTTGGCAGCTATGTAACTCCCTCTCCTGTGTACAGACTTCTGACTCTTTTCCTGATGTGACAGAAACACCTCCCAGCTCACAGTGTCTGTCACTGTCTTCCACGTAACCTGAAATCACCATCCCTCATTCCCTATTCATTTCTAAATAAAATCCGTGTCTTTTCCTTTCATATTTTTGGACCCTGAACACAATATCTTAAAAATATGCTGTGCATCAGGCATCCAGAATAAGAAAATATTACTAAGGCTGCAGCTCTCCAAGTATGTTTAGGTTCACTTTCTTATGCATGTTTTTCTAGATCATCTGGAAGGGGAAAATGTAGTATGACAATGAGAGTGTGGGTGGTAGACTAAGAAAGACCTGGGTTCAAATTCAGCCTGCACCTTGTTCTGTGACCTTGAACAAGTTATTTACTCTTCTGAGTCTCATATGCGCATGAATAATCATTAAATGAGATAGCATAGGAAAAACACCCAGCATGTACTAGATACAGGGCCACATTCTAGTGTTTTGGTGTCTTCATAATGTACTTTATAGGATGTTCGAATAGTGTTTACTGCCTTCTTTCTCATTAACACAACCCTCTTTTCCTCAACGACTATTTTGCTAAAGGACTTCCCTTCACTGTGCAAGCACAATTTCAAATCATCTGACACACATTTCAGCTTAGGTTCTAAATTAACCTTTGGGCAAGGGTATGTGTCTAAAATAACTAAAGTATAAAATAATTGAGAGACAGGGAAGCAGAGACTCCAATGGAGAAATACATTTCAGACATGAAGCTTTTTTAGAACAATGAAAACATGTATTTCTAATAAATCTCTCATTAGCAGATCCACGCAACTTTCTCCATATCAATTCCTTGTCTCTGAGTACCTTGTATAAATATGGGGATGAAAGAAACACCATTTAATTTACTTTTTCTTATTTAATTAATTTGTTTATTTCAATAGCTTTAGGGATACAAGTGGTTTTTGGTTACATGGGTGAACTGTGTAATGATGAAGTCTGGGCTTTACCTGTACCTATCACTTGAATAGTGCACATTATACTCAATAGGTGACTTTTTAATCCCTCATCCCCCTCTGCCCTCTCCCCTTCTGAGTCTCCAATGTCCATTATTTCACTCTGTATGCTTTTTGGTACCCATAGCTTAGTTCCCACTTTATAAGTGAGAACATGTGGTGTTTGGTTCCTAAGTTACTTCACTTAGAATAATAGCCTGCAGCTTTCTCCAAGTTGCTGCAAAAGACATTATTTCACTCTTTTTTTAAGGCTGACTAGTATTCCATGTGATATATATATATATATATATAACATTTTCTTTATCCACTCATCAATTTGTGGACACTTAGGTTGATTTCATATCTTTGTAATTGTGAATTGTGCTGCAATAAGTATATGTGTACAAGTGTCTTTTTAATATAATGACTTCTTTTCCTTTAGATAGATACCCACCTTTACTTTTCTTAGTCACATTTGCTTCAATAGCTTTAGCTGAGGAAGGGCCATTCACAGTTCTCTCAATGTGAAGAATGAGTCAGGCTAAGAAGCATACACCTTTTCTTTCCTCTTGCCATGCCCTAGAGCTATGAACTCCAGGCCACCATAAAACTAGGCCATTCTTCTTCTAGGAGCTCAAAACACTGAAACAAACTTTTATGATACAATAAGACAAGTAGAGTAATACAGTTCATCTAAGTAGCTAGTACATTAGTACTAAGTAGATGAGTAAAAGTGTATCAGGCTGTGTAGTCCAATAGGGTAGCCAATGTACACACTACCTCCAAAGACTTGGTGAGAAAAAAAGACAAATATCATTAAAAATTAGTTGTTATGAATTATAATATTCTTTTAATTATTAAAATGAATATTAATATCAATGTTGACATTAATTATTAAGAATTAAGTGGATACATGTTGAAATATTTTAATATTTGAGTTAAAATATATCATTAAAATTAAATGCACATGATTCTTTTTTCCTTTTCACTGTGGCTATTAAAATTTTTAAATTACGTGTATGGCTTACATTTATGACCTTAATTATATTTATACTGGACAATGATGACCTAATGTCTTACAACTACCCTTTTAGAAGCATCCAAAAAAAAAAGATACCTGAGGGCTCTGGTCACCCCCAAAGCCTCAAATGCTCATTTCACCTTTTTATTTTCATACTCTTGTTCTAGAGAAAGCCTCTTTTACGTCCAACTTGAATAGGCAACAGCTCCCAAGGGAAGCCTGTCTTTCTCTGTCCACCCAATTCATGCCCTCCACTGATTCCTGAGTTACTTTCTTCAAACAGCAAACTTATGAACATACGCCCTATTTAAGAACACTTTATTTGCCACACAATGTCCAAACCCCCTGTTTCTAGGCACTAGCTCTAATGTTCAGTGGCCTTCTGTAGCCCCCTAAATCCAGCCAGTTACTTACCCATCATCTCCCAGCAACTCTTTTCTCCTACTTACGTGCTTTTATTCTCTATTTTCTCTGTACTTCTGTGCTTTTATTTCTCTATTTTGGAAAACCCTCCTGACAAAATATACCTGTGACCACCTTGCCCAGACTACAGTATTCACTCCAATTCCAGTGCCTCCTTCATGAGCTCCAGGTCCAAGATTAAATCTCTCTCCCTCTGGGTCCCTATGGGTTTTTGCTGGCACCTCTTTGATGACACTTTCTACATGATACCTTGATAGAGCTCATTGTGATATTTTCTGTTACTTCTCAAAATGGAATATACCTTCAGAGTAAGGTTTATTTATGTAGTCCTCTGGACAAAATCTTACACCTGGCAAATGTTTGAAGTAAGTGGAATGTAATTTGAAGTCTGCAAGGCTATCAAAATAGGGAGAGTCCATTCTGTGACACTCACAGTGTTCGGCCCAGAGCTCACAGCAATCTAAAATGATTTGCAGGCAACTGGCATTTCTGTAGCTAACCCACTTGCAAATGATGTGTGGTAACATAGCAATAGGAAACTCCACACAGCAGTCATTTTTTATCCTGACTTTTCAGTTAAAAGGATTCACAGACTGACAACCAGTGACAGAGAAGTCAGTGCAGAGCTCCTGATTGGCAGGGTCATCCTACCACCTCTCGACATCTGCTTGCTTACCGGATGGGACTATGTCACACTTTAAAAAAATGACTAATTTGGTACATACAGAAAGCAAACTAAAGAAAAAAAAATCTTAGAAATTTACCCAGAAGAAACATTCTAGAATAAAGGGTAACATTAAGAAGACATCAAGAGGTCCTAAATCACAACTAACTTTATCATAGAGCCTGGATGAATTCTATTTGTGCATTTTGTGTTCTTAATTGGACTATACACTTCAAGAGGCCTGAAACTACATCTTATACATCACTTTGCTTAAGTACTTATCTTACTGATGGGTAGATATTAAGGTACATACTATTCTATTGAACAAGGAAATCATATTTTCATCTAGCTAGTGGGCATCTCATATTACTCAAGAGACCCCACAATTTGTTTCAGGCTAAGCAGTGGCTTTAAATACATTTTTTTCTGAAAATATGATACATATACATCATAGAATACTATGCAGCCATAAAAGTACAAGATCATGTCCTTTGCAACAACATAATTGGAGCTGGAGGCTGTTATCTAAGCAAACTAATGCAGGAAGAGAAAACCAAATACTATGTCTCACTTACAAGTGGGAGCTAAACATTGAGTACACATGAACACAAAGAAAGGAACAACAGACACCAGGGCCTACTGGAGAGTGGAGGGGGAAGAGGATGAGGATCAAAAAACTAACTATTGGGTACTATGCGTATCACCTGGGTGACAAAATAATCCATACACCAAATCCCGTGACATACAATTCACCTATATAACTAACCTACATGTGTACTCCTGAACCTAAAATAAAAATAAATAAATAAATAAAATTACAAGTGAAAAAATACATTTTTTCTTAATAAAGTGTGCAGAATGAACTTCCATAACCTCAGCAATCTCAAAAATAGGCAGAGATATTCTTTCCCTTGTTCATCTGTAAGAGAGGATACAACACCAAAGACAAACTATGGAGGAGTAGAAAATATACAAGTATTGAAACACAGTAAGTTCTAAAATGAAGGTAAGCTTATCCAGATTATACTGTCTATTTAGCTGATGTGGAGCAGTGGATCTTTTCAAGAGTCACAATCTCATGGTGGAGGCATTGCCTCATGACCCTGATGGAGACAGTAGATAGGTGGGGAATCTAGTTTTGGTTTCAGGGACATCATTTTTGTCTGTCATTCCTGATATAAGCCAGTAGGTTTGTATACACATCAATTCGAAGAAAGAAATAAAATAAAATCTCACCAAAGTATATGAGCTCTGCCAAGGAGGATATGTTTTGGAGCAGGCTCCTGTCTCAGCAAAAGTTTGAAAATAAACCAGGAATGCTACAGAACTCCTTCTTACGGCCGAAGTGAAAACAAAAAAGTTAGGAAAGAAGTATCCACCTCAGTTGATAGAGAGATAGACAGAGCAAGGACGTGATAAAATGCTCTCAAGGAGTTATGTATTTTATGGGAACTCACAAAAAACTTAACCCTTCTGAATGGGAGGATCAGAGAAAATTTCACAGAAGGACAACAGGCACCTGGCACAGCTAAGCAATCTTAATCCCAGTTGCCAGACACTGTTTTAAATGTTTTGAATGGAGCCTGGCTCACATTGATCACGGACTAATCCAGGGATTGAGTAAAATCTTCAGATTCTGCAGCTAGGCGAGGACAGGGCAGGCCAATACTCATGGTGGGATTTTGTTTTGAAAGAGCAAGAAATCTGTCCTCACAAACGTGTGAAAAGAGAAGTAAATGACATTTGTTCTTCAATTTAAGCTTCCCATAGAAATTGCTTTTTCTCATAAAGTAGTTAACAGCAACAACAAAAAAGGTTGAAGCTCTTACCCATCAACTGGGCAACACTAATATTATCTGTCTAACAGGAATAGCTGTTATGAGAAGGGTCTTGAAAAGATTTTTATGCTTTATGGAGCAACAAATATTATTTCCCAAATAAAGACATACACATTGGAAAAGAAGAAATACAACTGCCTTTATGTGCAAGTGACATGATTGTCTATGTACAAAATCCCAATGAATCTACACATTTTTAGGTAACACATTTTAAATAAAAAGGGCCTACTTGATATGGTTTTGCTGTGTCCCCACCTAAATCTCATCTTGAATTCTCACGTGTTGTGGGAAGTATCGGTGGGAGATAATTGAATCATGGGGGCATGGTCTTTCCCCTGCTGTTCTTGTGATAGTAAGTCTCATGAGATCTGATGGTTATTATAAGGAGGAGTTTTCCTGAACAAGCTCTTTGCCTGCCAGCATCCACATAAGATGTGACTTGCCTCCTTGCCTCTGCCTTGATTGTGAGGACTCTCCAGCCACGTGGAACTGTGAGTCCAATTAAACCTCTTTCTTTTGTAAATTTCCCAGTCTCAGATATGTCTTTATCAGCAGCATGAAAATGGACTGTTACACTCCTGAAACTGTGAGTTCAGCAAGGTCACAAAATACAAGATCAATACACAAATATAAATCATATTTCTATATGTAAGCAACAAACACATGGGGAACAAAATTTAAAACATAATATCATTATCCAGAAAATGAAATAAGTAAAACCTAAAAGAAAAATCATCTACAAGATCTGAATGCTAAAAATTACAATATACTGATATAGAAAATAAAAAAAATATAAGTAAATGAACATATTGTGTTCATAGATTGGAAGACTCAACATCATAAAGATGTAAAATCTCTCCAAGTTGATTGGTAGGTTTAATGCAAGTTCCACCAAAATCCCAACACGATCTTTTTACATGTAGACAAGCTTATTCTAAAGTTTATATAGAAAGGCAAAGAAATTATAATAACTGAAACAATTATGAAAAAGAATAAAATTGGACAAATCATTCTATCAGATATTGACTTAGCATACAGCTACAGTAGCCATGATATTGTGGAGAGATAAACATGTAGACCAATGGAATACGGTTGGTATAGAACCCCAAAATATACCCACATAAATATGGCAAATTGAAATTTAAACAAAGATGCAAAGAAATTCATCGACGGAACGATATATTTTTCAGCAGATGGATGTTAAAAGGATGAAAAGATAAGCCACAGACTGGGAGAAAATACTTGCAAGCAGTATATCTGACAAAAATCTTGTATCTAGAATACATAAAGAACTCTTAAAGCTCAACAGTTAAAAAATTCTCAATTTGAAAATGGGAAAAAATATAAACATATTTCACAAAAAAGGAGATACGTATAGCAGGTAGGCATGTAAAAAGTGTTTATGGCTGGGCTCTGTGGCTCATGCCTATAATCCTAGCACTTTGGGAGGCCGAAGCGGGCAGATCACTTGAGGTCAGGAGTTCAAGACCAGCCTGGCCAACATGGTGAAACCCCATCTCTACTAAAAATACAAACATTAGCCAGGCATGGTGGTGCATGCCTGTAATCCCAGCTACTCAGGAGGCTGAGGCAGGGGAATCGCTTGAACCAAGGAGGCAGGAAATTGTAGTGAGCTGAGATAGCGCCACTGTACTCCAGCCTGGCTGTCAAAGTGAGACTCCCTCTCAAAAAAAAAATATATATATATTATTAGCTGTATTAGTCTGTTCTCATGGTGCTAATAAAGACATACCCCAAACTGGATAATTTATAAAGGAAAGAATTTTTTTTCTTTTTTATTTTTTTGAGACACCCAGGCTGGAGTGCAGTGGCATGATCTCGGCTCAGTGCAAACTCCGCCCCCCAGGTTCAAGTGATTCTCCTGCCTCAGCCTCCCAAGTGGCTGGGACTACAGTGCCATCACCTCCAGCTAATTTTTTTGTATTTTTAGTAGAGACAGTGTCACCATGTTGGCCAGGCTGGTCTCCAATTCCTGACCTCAGGTGATCCGCCCACCTCGGCCTCCCAAAGTGCTGGGATTGCAGGTGTGAGACACTGCGCCCAGCCTGGAAAGAGGTTTAATTGACTCACAGTTCCACATGGCTGAGGCGGCTTCACAATTGTGGCCGAAGGCGAATGAGGAACAGAGTAAGTCACATCTTACATGGCGACAAGCAGGAGAGAACATGTGCAGGGGAACTCCCCTTTATAAAACCACCAGATCTTATGAGACTTATTCACTACCACAAGAACAGCATGGGAGAGACCTGCCCCCGTGATTCAATCACTTCCCACCACATCCCTCCCATGACACATGGAAATTATGGAAGCTACAATTCAAGATGAGATTTGGGTGGGGACACAGCCAAACCACATTGTTAGCCATTAGGAAAATGCAAAAATTAAAACCACTATGAAATATAACCACACACTTACTAGAACAACTAAAATAAAGCATAGAAATAATGCCAAATGCCGGCAAGAATGCAGAGAAATTGGATATTTTATACATTGCTGATGGGAATGTAAAATGTCACTTTGCAAAATACTTTGGCAGTTTCTCATAAAACTAAATACACATTTACCATATGACATAGTAATTGCAACATTGAGCATTTATTCCAGAGAAATTAAAACTTATTTACACAAATATATACAATTATCTTAGAAGTTTGATTTGTAATGGGCAAAATCTGGAAACCACCCAAATGTCCTTTAACGAGTGGCAAGTTAGACAAACTGTGACACAGCCACACAATGAAATACTACTCAGCAATAAAAAGGAATGGACTATTTATTGATAGATGCAAAACTTGGATGAACCTTAACACAGTATCCTTAGACAAATTCTGCTAGAAATAATATAATTCTGAAGTGGGATTTGTCTTCTCATTAATTTGACAAACATTTCTCAAGCACAGGACAGGTACTTCCCTAAACCTGGGATACACAGAGATGATGGGAGCGCCAATACACATTTATAGAAAGAATGTCAACTCTGTGACATGCCATGTGCCAAGTGCAGTGTAGTCATTACTCTCATGTGATGATTACTTATGTATGTCAACTTGACTGGGCCATATGGTCACCAGATATTTGATTAAACGTTATCCTAAATATTTCTGTGAGAGTGTTTGATGAGATTAGCATATAAATCAAAAGGCTGAGTAAAGAAGATTCCCCTCCCTAATGGGGATGGGCCTTATCCAATCAGTTGAAGGCCTAAATAGAAGAAAAATGTTGATCCTACCCCAAGTAAGAGATAGTTATTTTCTAGCCTGGCTGTCCTCAGGCTGGGACATTGGCTTTTATCCTGCCTTAGGACTAAAACTGAAGCTTTGTTTTTTCCTGGGTCTTAACTTCCAGCCTTTCGACTGGAACTACACCATCAGCTCTCCTGGGTCTCCAGCTTGCTGACTCACCCTGCAGATCTTGGGACTTGGTGGCCTCTATAATCATGTGAGCCTTTTCTTTATAATAAATTTTTCTGTATGTATATATAAATTCTACTGATTCTGTTTCTCTGGGGAACTCTGACTAATATATCCCATTAAATTCTCAAATCCTAAAAGAGCAGTATAATTTTTATTTGCATTTCACAGATGAATCAAAGTTAAGCAACTTGCCAACTTCACGTAATTTACAGTTGCCAAGCAGGAATTCAAACCAAATCCAACTCCAAAGGCCAGGTTCTTAAATACAAACCCCTGTCTTCCAAAGAGTAACTGTGTAGGCAAAGAAACACAATCATGTAAACAAACACTTATGGAAATATGATAGGTGTTACAATCAAGGTGTGAGTAAGCCACTAGAGAAGCAAAGAGGATGCGTGGCTGAGAAGATATGCCTTCCTGGCTGCAAACTCACTGTGATGTCAGCAAGAAAGCCAGGTTAGGTGGTATCAAGAAGAGAGAAAAAGCATCGTGTTACTTGTTTGAAGATGGAAATTTGCATATGACAGAAGAGGGATTTTCAAGGATTCAATGAAACAGTCTTACAAAGATGTCCAGTTGGTTGGGGGGTGGAACCACAGGGTGAAAGTGCAGATCTGCCTAGCAATGGGAATATTTAAAAGGACAGATGGGCAAGAATTTATATTTTGGGTGAAGGATGAAATATAAACAAGCATAGACGTCCTGAGCTGGAAGAAGAGATGGGTAAACAGCACTCCTAGAGTTAGGAAAAAGTGTTAATGAAAGGGAAAGGAGACAATCCAAAGCTATGCATATTAAGCAAGATATTCAAGATAATAACTTTAAATGCCTTGTTTCCAGAAAAAAAGAAGAGCCAACCCCAAGCAATTTGGATAAGTCCAGTGAGTGCTGGAAAAATGAGGTTGATGTTAGCTCTTCAGATCCTAATTTGGCACACTCCAAAATGTGCTCTGGGCAATCCATGGTTAAATTCAGGAGTAAAAATTTATCCTTTGACTGGGGAATACAGTAATATCAACTAGCACATTTTTTTTAACCCAAGGAACAGGCCTCATGAAAGGAGAGAAAACAAGAAAGGAAGTTGTAAGGGAAATTTTTGATCAAGTTGTGCCATGGTCAAATAAAAATGGGCCTTACTTAAGGCTGTATTCATTTGCTAGGACTGCTATACAAACTAGTGCAGTCTAATTGGCTTCAACAACATATTTTTGCACAATTCTGGAAGCTAGAAGTCAGGGTACTGGCATGGCTGGTTTCTCTGAGGCCTCTCTCCTTGGTTTATAAATGTCTGTCTTCATCCCTGTGTCTTCAATGGTTTTCCCTTTGTGTGTGTCTATGTCTTAATTTTCCCTTATAACATCAGTCATATTGGGTTAGGATCCATCCCAATGACCTCATTTAACTTTAATTACCTCTAACCTCTCCAAATATGTCACATTCTGAGGTACTAGGGGTTAGAACTTCAACGTATGAATTTGAGGGGATCCAATTCAGTCCATTACAAAATCCCATGTTACCAATGGCCACATGGCTTTCTTGGTCTCTCTGTAATAACCAACAGAGTTATTGTCAAGGCCATCAGGGCTTATATCTTTCTGATATCTAATATCTTTAGGAGTTTCTTTTGCTGTGAAAGTCAGGGAGAAGGAAGTAGATCATAATTCAGAGGTGGCTTCATATCTAAGGTGTAGAATATGTAATTGGGGAACTTAATGAAAGATATATTTTACGGAAGTTGGCTTTTCAAACTTTTACTCACAGATCAGAAATCTATATTATTCATTGTAGACAAGTTTCATGGAATGGCACATGAGATACACTTCAATATTTTTCATTATTTTCTGTTTAATTTTATTTATTTATTTTAATTGTATGGTTTAAGCCACTAAATCGATTTCATGACCCACTCATGTGTCAAGAGCCAATATTTAGAAAAAAACAAATAAACTGTTCTAGGGATAACGACAAATATTGAGTTCACGCTTCTATTCCTAGTATTTTCTCCTGTTGCCAAAATACTTGTTCAATGGCTTAAAGGTCTTCCCAAAGCCCTCCATTTGCCAATATTTTTTAAAATGCTTCTGTTTAGAAGAGAGATAAATCCTCAAATAGATGTTGCATGTTCTCAACTCCTTCCAGCAATCCTTCAGCAGGTGTCTCTGTAGCAACTGTCAGTGAAGAAAAAGGCCGAGACTGGATTTAAAGCTGTGTAGACAGGGTAGAAGAAGAGAAGCATGAGATGTTATCAGAAAACAAAGTAGTGTTCTTATGACAAAAAGAGATTCTGAAATCTCACCTGAAAGTCACAATAGTGTGCAAAAGTCCTGATCAATGTTCTTGCCTAAGCATTGCCTAACACCAAGTTCACACTGACAGTACTTCTATTTGTATTCCTATCTCATAGTAAGGAAATACAGCTTTCATTTATTATTATACACATGCCTTTCCAACCATCTTCAGTATAAAGAATTATCCTCCAAAAATTGAGCAAAGGTTTGAACAATTCTCATAACTGTGTTAGAACTGAGATGAGATTACAATGCTATTTTGTTGTATTGTGGCCAGGGAAGCCCATAATATTTGAATTTGTCCCCAGGACATAGCAACGCCTACCCAAAAGGTCTCTGGGAGAAATATTTGGCAAAGAAAATAAGTATAACAGCAAATCATTAGCTGGAACTTTTTCTTAAAATCCAAGAGAAGGGAACTATGATGAACTGGGGTGGACCACAGGAAGGAGTCAGTTTTTCTAAACCACTTGTGTTTTGCTTCAGTGATTTCACCTTCTACTAAGTATATTTCAAATAATTTCATTTATTCATAATTTGTATCAAATTATCCAGTATTTTTCCTCCTTCGGAAGGAGCAAGAAAAAGAAAACAAGGAGGAGTTTGATAGTATTTCTTCACTCAAGAGCCTACAGAATTATCTATTTGAGATTTTTAAAAAAAGAAAGGAAAAGAACTACTTGAGAAGAATTTCATCTGCATTATAGATTAAACTACATCCTTTTACTCTGTGTTCATCAATTACAGCTACTATCCATTCATCACTAAAAGCTAAGCCTAGTCGTTTCTAGTTTGTTCTCATCATTCTTGTTCTGAGTCCTTGTTTTCCTCTGCTTCCTCACTCCATGTTGATCTATGTCCCAAGCTGACCCATGCTGGTCTACTTCATTAAATCAGAGCTGTTGTGCTTACTGTGAAATATTTTTGTTTCTTCTTCTCTAATTGCTCAATGTGCAATCTTTAACTTGTCATGTCTTGATCTTCATTATTGTAGCTGTGTTTGTTATGATGTATGAGATGCTGAAGTGATAAAGGCACATCTGCAGCACTGCATGTCCCCCTCAGGTAATGTCTTCCACAAGATGCTGCATGTGCTGCTGGAGAGAAGAGTAGGGGATGGTTAGGGGCCCCTGGAAAGGAAAAAATCCTCTTTGGATGCTACTCTAAAAAAACTCTCACTCATCACCAATGCCTCCTTCACAATTGTTTCCTTGTCACACTTTATTACTCTTTGGTTCCAGCAGCTGTAATTAAATATTGTCTACTGCTAATTTTGCTGCAGTTTTGCTATTCGACAGTTTCATAGTGGATTCATTCTAGAAGAAAATTTTTAATTGCTCATTATTTTTAATAATATCTACCACCTAAAGAACACTTATCTTAGATCAGGCGCTGTTTGGGGTACTTTATGATCACTATCTCACTTAATCCATGCAATTTCAGTAAGTAACTATCATAGCACCCTTTTAATAAAAGAGAAATCTAGGATACGAAGGTTAAGTAATTTGTCAAAACAAGCTAGAATTTGAACTGAATCTGTTGACTCCAAAGTCCATACCTTAATTGTCATGCTAGGATGCCTCTAAGAGATCAGACTATATACCTTTGGCTTTACTGAAACTATAGAATTTGGCCCCAGAGAACTCTCACACTGTAGTCACAACAGTGTGGCTTTTTAAAGCCCTTAGGTTTAATTGTCTGTGCTGTTAAAGTAATGAATCTCAAAGTCTTTGGAGGCAACCTCCTTTCATCCAACCCATTCCCTGGGTAGAGATAAGGGAAGAAAATTAACCAAGATGAAACTTTTCTATTTTTGTACACTCCTTACATTGTTAAATACTGACCTCCTTTTCTTTGTTCCTACTCCAAAAACTCTGGAGAAATATGTGCTACTGTCAGGGAATCAGGGAACTCTCTGCACATCCTCTAATTACTCTGGCCCTTGTAGTTAGCTTACGATTGATATGTATTAGTAAACTAAAGATATTATTAGTAATATTGAGAAAAAAAAAGATCCTGAATCTAACTAGAACAGAGGTCAAATGAAAGGCAAACACACACTACATACGAGTCAGAGATGGATGACAACTACTGTCTAAATCAGAGTTCCAGGAAAGATTTTATGTGACTCCTGACTCAGACAGTCAAGGGAAAGCAATTTACATTTCATGCCTGAGACAGAACAATCTGTCACCTAGAAATATTTGGGTCAGTAACATTAGCTGAGAATAAAATCATGACGAGAACATGAGAACAATTCTAAATAAACTAGATAACCAGAAAGATTCTGAAAGCAGAAATTTCCTTCCCATTCCTTTGAACTATATATAAATATTCCACCATGACAGGACTGGCAGATGATAGGTGGTTTACAAATTTCATCTGCATTAGAAAATAATTAGATTTTCTGCATCTTTTATACTATGATGAATTTTACTCTCATTTGGAACAGTTAGCAGGAAGAAAAAAATGGTGTCTTAAGAAAGCAAATTGGGATGTGAAGAAACGTTTTTGGCACATACAAGTGTGAATAAAAAGAGAATAAATCAAAAATATTTTATTTTTTCATAAAATTACTCAGGATGCGGTCTCTAGCAATTTTATACTTAAACTTATCATTTTAAAAAAGTACGTACTTCGTAGATCTCTGGGTTCAAAAGAATTGGTTGTTGCTATGTACGAATGTTTTGTGGCAAAAATGATTAAAATCACGTAAGTGTAAATATTTGTTTAAAGCTGAAGCTATTGATAGCAGAGATGTCCCTGTTTACTATAAATCTTAGACTCAAATTATTCCACATTTACTTGTTCTAAAAAGGATGTCATGCTTCCGTTTATTGTATACTCAGTATGGCTAACAGAGATTTTGACCACACCCAAAACTCTGCTGCATTGTGTAAGCACTGCTTTATTGTATCCTAAAGCATCCCTTCTGCAGAAAACACCGAGCTGCCTCGTTATGGCTCCTCTTGAAGCTGCTTGGCTCAGCTGTCCTGCAGTTTTCTATTTGCACTCTATAGCCTCAAAGGTTGCTAAGCAGCAAGCAGTGCTTCTCTGCTCAGAGATCTGGTAACGTTTCAAGAGCTCCTTGCTCTAGGTTTTCTGTTTAATGTTAAAGAGATTTGATAAAGACATGTTGGTCAAGCTTTTATTTTAAATCTGTCCAAATTTCCTGATATAGTGGGCATTTTACTAACAGCACTTCATCTGCATTAGGGTCATAACACATGTTAGATTTCCAGCATTATTTAAAAATCCTCCAATCCAATAACCCCAGTTTACAGATGATGAAACTGACATGCAAAGAGCTGAAGCTAAATTTCTAATTTCCGGGAAAATAAATTTCTTATAGCCCTCAAAACCCAAACTCCAAGTACAAACTCTACTCTCAGAAAAGTCATCAGGGAGGTTGAGTTGCTGACCAGAAGTTGTTGTTGAATAAAGGGCTCTCTCAGTTATAAAAAGCCCTTCTAAAAACAGATTCTTTCCTTTTTTCTTTATCTCAGACCTGTCAGGAATTCAGAAAAATGCACGTAATACATATGCATTTTAATTAATTTAAATTCAGAAAGCACACAATTTCTCTGAAGCCCACCTACAAATTCTCTGAATTAAGAATGCCCTTTCTAAATGGCCTAGATGTCAAAAACACTTCATTGTTTATTTCTTCTTGCTCTTCATTGTTCCTAGAACTATGTTCCAGAAACTAATTGTTCAAGGAGACTTACATGTATTCAGATATTCCATCCTCTTAAAAATCTTGTAGGTTATTAGGATTATAATCATTTCACAGATAAAGCAACTGAAACTCAAAGACATTGAGTAACTTAACTAAGGTCGCAAAGCCAGTAAATGGCAATATCAAGATATCAAGATTCTAATCTACGCTGTCTGGCTCCAGAGCTGGAGCATCTTGTAACAACTAGGTATATAGTTTACGGGGCATCCATAATATGCCAATCACTTTTGCTAACTAATTTAAGTGTTTCCAAACCTTCTGACGAAGTTATCTTTATTATGGCCACTTTTCAGATGAGGAAATACACCTTTATAGGTAGGACGTCTAATGTTGATAAATCTAGTAAGTTACAAAAGTGAGATTTGGCCATGAATCTTCTAACATATCATGCAATATTATTTTGTCCACAGCAGCACTGTCCAGTAGTGCTTTCTACCTTGATGAAAATGTTCAGTATGGTGGCCTTTACTCACATGTGACTATTGAGCCCTTGCATTATAGCTAGTGTGACTGAAAAATTTATTTTTCATTTTAATTTTAACTGATTGTTGTTTAAATACGCACATGTACTAGGAGCTACCATATTAGACAACAGCGCTCTAGAGCCTTATTCCTCTAAATGTGATCCACGGTCCAGAACCATCAGCAGCACCTGAGGGCTGGTAGAAATGCAGATTTGTAGCGGTTAATTACAAGTCAACTTGACTGGGCTATGGTGTGCCCAAATAAAATGTTATTTCGGGTGTGTCTGTGAGGGTATGTCCAGATGAGATTCACATTCAAACCCAGTAGGCTAAGAAAGTTGGTGGCCCTCCCCAACAGGGTAGGCATCACTTTATTCATTGAGGGCTTAAGTAGAACAAAAGGTAGAAGAAGGTGAAAGAAATGCTTTGCCCCCTTATTTTTTTCTGTCTCACTGTATGGGCCAGGACATCTCCCCTCATCTTCCCCTGTCCCTGGACTGAGATTTACGCTATCAGTTCCCTCATTACCAGGACTTCAGACTCAGATTGCGTTACACCACAAGCTTCCTGGTTCCGCAGCTTGCAGATGGCAGATCATGGACTTCTCAGCCTCCATAATGGTGTGAGCCAATTCTTCAAAATAAATAAATATGTACATCATTTTAAGTTACATTTTATATATTTATGTTTATATATGTGTGTATATATATGTGTATGTGTGTGTGTGAGTGTGTGTATGTGTCTGTGTGTCTGTGTGTGTGTGTTTTATTGGTTGTTTCTCTGGACAACCCTGACTAATGTAAGACTCCTGGCCCTCACCCCAGACCTACGGAATCAAAGTCTAAATTTTAATAAGACCTCTAAGTATTCTATATGCACATTAAAGCTTGACAAATATAACTCTAGATCACTTCACTTCTCATACTATTTGTCAAAGACAAGAGAATAAGCCATTTACCCTCAAGAGCCTTTACATTCCAATACTTTTCCAAATTAAACATTAAGGATTTGACATTGGCCCAACCACCATAATGCATCACAAAACTCC
This sequence comes from Homo sapiens, assembly GCF_000001405.40. Taxonomy (NCBI): domain Eukaryota; kingdom Metazoa; phylum Chordata; class Mammalia; order Primates; family Hominidae; genus Homo; species Homo sapiens. Next base: position 79,423,692 of record NC_000008.11, read on the forward strand.
CGATTTGAGGATGTGCCCTCACCCCTAAACTTTAAGAATCAGAAATATAAAACTTACATATTAGCCTTCAGTGACAATGCAGGAATATCTAAATACCTATGAAGAGACAGCATGAACTTAGACTTCAAACGATATTAGTTGATCATTTCCTTAAAAGCTTTTCTTTTTTTAAAAAAATCATAAATTGACAAATATGAGTTAGTAAAAAGAGAAAGGGAGGAAGAGAGAGAGGGAGAGAGGAAAGAAAGAGAATGGAAAAAGAAAGAGAGATAGGAAGAAGGGAGGTAGTAAGGAAACTGGAGAGAGGATGGAGAGAGGAAGGAAGAAAGGAAGGAAAGAGGGAAGGAAGGAAGGAAGGAAAGGGAGGGAGGAAGGAAGGATTATAATTGTTCACACTTACAATGAAACTGAAGACAAACAGTAAGAGTCAAAGAACATGACTTTGCATGAGAAATTAAACCATGAATTTCAATCATTAAAATACTATAAGCATCTTACTGCTAAATACATCAGAAAAAAGAGAAAATAATTATCTTGGTTTAAAAAGGGGAAAACACTTTAGTTTGCATTTTACAAACGATAAAAGAAATAACATGATGTTCTTACTTGATTCCATGTACTCTATACATTTTTTTTCCAAATTAGGTGGCAGGCCAGCCTAGTTGGCACTTTCTTTTAGATCCATTGCCCAGGTCTGCTTCTCTAGTATCAAATCGCTAATTTCATTTTCTTAATGTAGATCTAGTCGTATATTAAAGAACCTGAAGTGATCTATCGCTTGACTGGTATAGTAACTACAATATAGAACAGATGTGAGAAGGTTCTTGTGCCATTCATTAAAAAGATGGGCCTTTTCTTTTCCACACCTACAAAGAAGTAAATAAGGAGCCCTGTCACAGTTAACGAAAAGTTGGAACAGGAATATACCTTTACATATGTCATGAAATACAAATTATATCTTCCTCTCTCCTACCCAACTTCCATTGCTAGTTGAAAGTTTACGTCTTGCTACATTCGAGGCCCAGGGCCTGGCCTGCCTTCACTGTAGATTTCATCCTCTCTTTCAGCAGCATTCACAAGTCAGCTGTCATGCCAGCTCAGCCTGGTGATTACCATTCCACAGACTTATGAAAATTCGTTGTGTTTGGACTGAATGTTTGTATCCCCCCAAAATTTATACATTGAAGCTGTAACCCCCAATGTGACTGTATTTGGAAATAGGGCCTACAAGATGATTAAAGGTAAATGAGTTTATAAAGGTGGAATTTAATCTAATAGGATTAGCTCCTTATAAGAAGGGACACTGGAGTGATTGCATTCTCAAAGGAAAGACCATCTAAGGCCTAAGTGGCTCTCTGCAAGCCAGGAAGACAGCCCTCACCAGAAACCAAACTCTGCCAAAAACTTGTTATTAAACTACCTAAAATATCCAGTTTCCAGAACTGTGAGAAAACAGTTTTTTGTAGTTGAAGCCACACAGTCTGTGGTATTTCATTATGGCAGCCCGAGCAGACTAATATAAATCCTTTTCTGGCATGGGCGTGAAGTGGTCAGCATGGACTCAAGGAACAGAGATCAGGAATCAGTCTTCTTCACAAGTTCAGGAATAGTAGAAAAAAATGGCCCAACTATTGACTAAACCATGGTGCAGCCCTCAACCTCAACTCTGGGCCCTGGCAGCAGATGACCTGGAGTGGACACTAACCTTGCTGCTGACAAAGTTAACACCCCACCTGCCTCACAGAAAAGGCTCCATGAGAAACTGGACCTGGTGAGGAGCAGGAGGCTCAGATAAGGGCCAGGTCGTTGGGGTGGACCTGGCACACCTCAAGTGGAAGAGAGGCACTACTATGCATTGACATATGAACCCCGTTTTACCCACACACAGGTTACCAATACACCCAAGAGAAAATAAGGATAAGCAGTGCCAACTAAATTCAACACATATTTATTGATGCCTACCCTGTACTAGCCCAACTCACAACTACTGCAACACATTTATGTACATAGTATTACTGGATAACCGAGGAGAAGCAATGATAATAGTCTTGAAGGAAGAAGATGAGTAAAGAGATTTTCCTGAATGAGGCACTGTCAGAACTCAATTGCAAACATATGTAAGAAAAAGAAGGCAGAGATGGCAACATGAGTGTAAGCTAGGAAAGGAAAAACAGCATAGCAGATTTGGAGACCTCAGGCAAATTCATATCACTAAAAAGTAAATCATAACATGGAGACTAGTGCTATTTGAAGCTGGAGACATAGGTAAAAGTCAGATCATGAAGAGATGTAGGTACCATGTTAAGAAAGTGGGGCATTATCCTGTTGCTAATTAACATTAAGCAGATGAGTTATGTATCACATGGAGGTGGTTTCAAAGGTAGTATGGGGAATAAATTGGTTTAAAAAACAATCAGAAATCTATTGACAAACCCAGGCAAGAGATGATGGCAAATGATAAAAGTGATTTATCTCTATAAGGTAGTAGTTGTTGAAATAAAGGATATGGGAAAAATTCAAGAAATATTGAGGAGGAAAATGGGCAGGATTACACAATGATTGGATGTAGGAGACAAGAAAAGGAAAAGATAAAAACAATGTTTCTAGCTTAGATGACTGCATAGGTTACTGCCTCCAGGTGACAGAGAATATAAGAGGTGGCACAAAAATGAGTTCAGTTCTGGGAACATAAATTTTAAGTGTCTTTTGGACAGCTAAGAGGAGATATAAGGGCAGCAATTGCATATACAAGTTTGCATTTCATTAGACACATCTACTAGTCAATTCTCATGCTGCTATGACGAAACACCTGAGACAGGGTAATTTATAAAGGAAAGACGTTTAATTGACTCACAGTTCTGCATGGCTGGGGAGGCCTCAGGAAACCTACTGCCATGGTGGAAAGGGAAGCAAATACGCCCTTCTTCAAGTGGCAGCAGGAGAGAAAAGTGCAGAACGAAGTGGGGGAAAGCCCCTTATAAAACCATCAGATCTCATGAGAACTCACTCACTAACACAAGAACAGCATGGAGGAAGTGCCCCCATGATCTAATCACCTCCCAGGATGTCCCTTCCCCAACACATGGGAATTACAATTCAGACTACAATTCAAGATGAGATTTGGGTGGGGACACAGAGCCAGACCATATCAACATATTTGGGGCTATAGATGTAAATTTGGGGACCAACAAAGTTGAGGAATAAACTACAACAGAAAAGATTAGTCAAGAAGAACATGCAGGGAGAAGAGTCTCCCCAACATTTTAGAGAGATTGTGGAGGAAAAAGGGGATGTCTTGCAAGAAATTAGTAACATTATATAGAACACGAAGGGTCTCATGAGCCAATAAAAGATAGTCTGTATGATTGACGGTATCACCTGAAAAAACAAAGGTACAAAGTAAGTAAATCCCAAAAAGACTACTTTAGTTTGATGATTACTTGGTCACTGGTGACCTTATAAGAAGAGTTTCAAAAGATGGAAACCAGAGGCTATGGAATAAAAAGTAGTGGGAGGTGAGAAAATCGGGGCAGTGAGTAGACCCTTCTTTGGAAAGTTTTATATAATTATATACAGTAGATTACAGATCAGTGAGACTGACAGAGGCATGCAAAGATCCAATTAACCAACCTTTATCATCTCCAAAGAAAAAACATTTATTTACCTATGAATGGCCCTTATACAGGCATGACATGGAAACAGAGGTGAAAATGCCATCAAACCACGAACAGCATGTTTTGAACAATGAAGAACAAAGCTCTGTTCTGAGTGGTGGATGGGATAAAAGGAATGTTAGCAGCAGTTTGTGGTCCCTCCGGCTTACCATAATGTATAGGGGCAAGAGAGATAAAGAATTAAGTGATCAGAAAGCAGCTGAGAGTCAGAGCTTAAACATGAATTGGGCACCAGCGAATGCTTGTCACCTTGTTCATATACAACCTAACTGTTCCCACTTATGTCTCCATGAGAAAGCCTGCCCCCAACAACTAAATGTCCAGTGACACTCCCACTCAGTCTCAAAACTACTGGGCATAGTCAACACCACCACTTCTTAATCCAAGATTTAGAGGCCCACCAATCTCCCTAGCAAATACCACTTAGCACCCCTGCAGGACCAGCTCATTTCCATTATTGGTAATAATAAAGAACTCTAGGGCAGGAGAAGAGCATAAAGGTCATGAGGCTTCTGTTCTGCTCCAACTTTATGGCCACATTTCACCAGGTCTTGCTTCTGTGACTGAACCTAAGCCTTGCATACCAAATCAAAGATCCCAGCTCCAGACAATTTCCTTTGGAATGTTGCATGAGTCTTTATGCCAGTACTCTTCTAAGAGCCTGTTTAATCTAAGTCTAGGCTCCTACTTGTGTTTACTATAGGATCGTAGGCTCCAGCCTCAGGGTTAAACTCCTTCCATGATATCTGACCTGGGCCCACTGCCTTTACCAGTCCCTGACATACTCTTCCTTCCATCCCAACTCTTTTTCACAGTCAGCTTCTGATCCTGTAGCACAGCCTGCTGTGCCTTGACAACCACCTCTAGGCCCTGAGACTCTACCTTTCCTGGATTGACCCTCCTATCACACATTGCTACCCTGAGTCCTCCCTTACTGATTTTATTGATCACTACAACCTCCACTCAGGAATAAGACTTGTCAATTGCAGTGGCTTCCACCCACCAATTTAATGGATGATTAGTAAATCATAAAATATGTATTCCTGTATACTCTTGGTATTGTACTTTAGAGTTAACTAATATGTCAATGGAGAAAATGATTTAAAGAAAAGTCAAATAACCATAAACATTTCACTAAAATATCAAGAAAATATAATGTATCAACAGAGCAGGACATTTTCCAATAGGTATTGTAGACAACGCCTTCATTTATATAATGTATATCTATATAATCTTTATAATATTACATTTCCTTTGAGCCTCACAATAACCCTTTGAGGTAGCATGGCAGGAAACTCCACAATACACATTTAACTAGAGGAAATCAGAGTTGAAAAGGCCCAAGTGACTTCCCCAAGTTCATGCAGCAGGCAAAGTGGCAATGCTGGGTTTGAACCCAGAACTTCTGCCTCTAAAGCCTGTGTTTCTCAATCCAAACTACAGTGCCAGTCTCATCTCCCCATCGATTCCCTGATACCCTACCTCCCACTCTCATCCAATGCATGTCCTATTCTCTCCTATCTCTGTTTACCCTGTTCCTTCAGCTTAGTATGTCCTTCCCACTATTTCTCTGCCATGTAAACTCTTCATTTTTCCCAGACCAATGCCAGGTAATTTTCTCTATAAATCCTTACCTAACCCCCAAATGGTGAGGGTTATCCTCTCTTCTCTGCTCAAACAGCTCTTCTATAATTTGATGGTATTATACATGTTAGTCTCCAGTAGGTTATCTTTATTATTAAAAATAAACTTATTACTTGATAAGCTGCTGTGGTTTGAACATCTGTACCCTCCAATACTTATGTTGAAATTTAATTGCCACTATAACAGCATTAAATAAGACCTTTAAGGGGTCATTAGGTCATGAGGATTCCACCCTCATGGTTGGGACTGGTGTCATAATAAAAAGGAGCGTTCAGCCTTCTCTTGCTCTCTCACCTTCTGCCTTGTGATGACACAGCAAGAAGGCCCTCACAAGATGCTGGCACCTTGATATTGGACTTCCCAATATCAGCAAATCTGAGCCAATAAATTTCTGTTCATTATAAATTACTCATTCTCAAGTATTCTGTTATCACTACACAAAATGGGTTAAGACACAGCATTATGTATGCATGGTAGAAAGTTAAAGATTCAGGTAACACAATAAAAAGATTAAATGACCACATTCTTATAATGCAGAGATAACCAGGAATACCTTATTGTAAATATTTCTATATATTTTTCTATTCATAAGAGTCATTTAAGGACTCTGGCTTGGTTTCTCTAACTACTATTAGTTGTAGTACCTGCCCTAGTTAACTATTGCCATAGAGTTTTCTGTAAATTTAGAAGACGATATTACTTAACTACTCTGTGCCTCAGTTTCCTCATCTAAAAAACAAGAATAATAATAACACCTACCTATAGAGTTGTAGTAAAATTACTCGAGTATTTAAAATACTGAAAGCTGTGTCTGGCTCATAGCAACTGCTGAGTATGTTAATTATTAATATTATTTCAATTATTATTTCATAATGCACCATCACTTGATAATCATTTTTTACTTAAAAATAAGAAGACTAATAACAAGATCTGCTTGGCATCTCTTTATTAAACATTAATTCGAAGCAAAGAGGGAACTGCTTTTTAAAGTAATTAGAAATTGAGGGAAACAAACTGTAGCAGAGATTGGCATTGATTACATCTCCAGAGCCCAGTCTGAGATTTGGCCGAGAAAATTAGTTTTTTAAAAAATGTTTCTTAAAGGAAAGAATGCCTGAATGAATGCAAGAATGAACTTGAGACTGAAATTTAAAATGTATTCAGCTTCTGGATATTTGCTGGAGACTGTTGCTTCATCACCTTTGGGTTCGGTGTCCATGGTGGTGATTGGAGGATGAATGGTCATCAGGGAACTTTTATCTACCTTGTGCGACAGTCTGGGCCCCTGGTAGAAGGAGAAGGGTGTCATCCAGTGCAGCCGGTTCTAAAGTTTGACAAGGACGTAGCTTCAGCTGTGGGGCTGATTCCTCCAGAGTAGAAGACCCATGGAGAAGAGTTTTGCTTGGTGTTTCTTAAAAATCTGAAGTCATTTTAGATCATGAACATATACTATATCCAGCTTGATGAGTTCATGGTATTATATATTTAGAAACACAACCCAAAGTAATTCCCACCTCAGTGGTTGGACTTAGATTTATGTCTTTTGCTAGTATCACTGTATAGCTTTCTGTATTCAAAAGTGCTAAGCGTCATCCTTGGGTACAACCAATGTACACATAACAGAACAACTCCAGGCAAGAGAATATTCCACCAACATTTTTCCCATGGTCAGAAAGATTCAAAAGTATCGTTTTCACATAAGGAGCTATGTGGAAAAGATAAAAAATTCCAGTCATTGAATCCCTTTTTCCTCCAAGGAACTTGGTCTAAACTGTCCTACTTTCTGAACTGCTGTTGTCAGCAGTTCCTGCTTCTTCAGTTCTTTATTTTATCATCTAGAATTTCTGAACACTGATGTTTGCCTGTACTGAGTCAAGTTCCCCTCCTATTACACTTTTGAGTTTAATTCTGGAATTATAAAGTGATTCTGAATGTAGGTCAGTTCTCCCGTGTGCTGCAGAAGTGAGAAGGATCTGAAGCAAAAGTGATCTGCGGCTGAGTCATGCAAACCCAGCCTCCTCGCTGCAGGCAGATCCTCCCTGCAAGTCTACCCAGTTGTCCTTCACCAACGTGTCAGGAGGATGCCCTCTTTAAAATCCAGTCTTAAAAGGTAGCTAGAGGCCAAAACATATTAATTCATTCAACAAAATGCTAAGCACTTCCTAGGATTAGGCACTTAAGTGCTAGGATAGGATTCCTACCCTACAGCTACCTAAAATCTGGTTCAGACTTTTTCTGAAACAGGCAGAAAAATCAGTGGTTGATCCCAGAGGGATAAGTATAATACTATGAATATGAGTTGTGAGAAAACAGAAGGCTGCCACTATCTTAGCTAAGTATGCATAGCTCAGTAAATGTTTTTTATAAAACAAGTAACCTGTAAAAGATAAGCAGAGGTGTCAGCCAAGCAGAACGGGCAGAGAGTGGCATAGGGTGAGAGCCAGGGAAGGAGACAAGTGTATTATATAAGAAGCACCAGCTTGTTCCTATCATTTGTGCTCCAGGGGTATTTGCTATGGCTGGAGAAAGGAGTCAAGGTGAAGATGTTGCAGGAGATACGAGGCAGAGAATTAAAGCAAAAATGAGGCCAAGAAGGTGCTCATGTGCTTTCTGGTAAATTTGAACTTTATCCTGAAGATTATTGGAAGTGGAGTTTCATGAAGAGCCTGGCTCTTTAGAAAGACAACTTAGCCACCCTGCACAGGGTATGTTAGAAAGAATTAGAAAGAAATAGGAAAACTAGTGACAGGGCTATTGTTACTCTTCAGCAGAGACATTATTAAATCTGAACTGGGGAACAGGTGGTAGAAATGAAGAAGATTAAAAAGATTCAGAGACTCTTCATTGAGGAAATGGTGAAAGGAAGAATTTAAGATTATACCCTCTAAAGTTAGACTGTCTGGATCCACCAGGTCTAGGCTTAGGGGGAATATAACTTGATCACTTTTTTGTTATTTTTACCGTTGCGTTATTGTAATTACTATTGTTCAAAGCATAAACGGGAAAGAAGACCTACCTATAATCCCACCACCCAAAAATAACCCACTGCTAACATGTCATTGTATATTCTTTGTCCTTTACATGTGTGTTTTATAAAATCAAGATAATATTTATCATATTTTACACATTTGTTCTGCAACCTATTCAATGAAAGCTAATTTATAACTTTTTGTTGTGAGAAATTTTAAAACTATAATTTGATGAAAAATTAAATAAACACCATATATAACTGATAATCATTTGTTATAAATGTTCAAGTTCTTTTTTCTTTCTTTCTTTCTTTTTTTTTTTTTTTTTTTTTTGAGACAGAGTCTCGCTCTGTTGCCCAGGCTGGAGTGCAGTGGCACGATCTTGGCTCACTGCAAGCTCCACCTCCCAGGTTCACACCATTCTCCTGCCTCAGCCTCCTGAGTAGCTGGGACGATAGGCGCCTGCCTCCACACCTGGCTAATTTTTTTTTGTATTTTTTTTTTAGTAGAGACGGGGTTTCACCGTGTTGGCCAGGATGGTCTCAATCTCCTGACCTCGTGATACCCCCACTTCGGCCTCCCAAAGTGCTGGGATTACAGGCATGAGCCACCGCACCAGGTCTCAAGTTCTTTTTTTTTATAGAACAAATTGACAAATACATGCAAAGCTCCATTTACTCCATTATCCTAAATACAACTTCCCCATCCTCAGCAGCCACTAAAATAAATTTAGTATATATACGGTCATGTTTTCTACATCTAAAAACATATTTATATAATATGTATATATAAATAATATATATAAATAATATATAGCATGCTTTATGTATATCTTTAATTGCATAAGAGGCATCACAAGATGTAAACTCTGGAAAGGTAGCACAGCGTAATGGCTAAAGCTTGGTCTCAAGCATCATATTGCCTGGATTTCATCCTAGATCTCTGTGTACTAGCTGTGTAACCCTGGGAAAATTCATCTCTTCATTGCATGTGCCCCTTATCTGTAGAGCATGTTACTAATTTACTGTGATGATTAAATGAGTTAATACATGTAAAGAGATTAGAATAGTTTCTAACATATAGTAGGCCTTCAAAAGATGTTAACTTTCTTATCATTCCTTTTAATCATTCTATAGCTGTTTCTTTTATATTTCTCATTGTTATTTTTTTCCATTGATTACCATATTGATGGATATTTAGTTTGTTTTCAGTTTTTTGCTACTGCAAATAAGGTTGCAATAAACATCCTCATACATGTCTCTTTGTGCGCAATGTCTGAGAGTATCTCTATAGCATATTCCAGAAATGGAATTTTTTTCTCTTTTTAATTGGCAAATGATAATTGTACATATTCATGGGGTACGTGGTGATGTTTTAATATATATAATGTAGTGGTCAGATCAGGGTAACTAGCATATCCATCATCCATTTATCATTTTTGTGTATTGGGAACATTCAATATCCCCCTTCTAGCTGTTTGAAACTACATATTATTATTAACTATAGTCATTCTACAGTGGTAGAGAACACTAGAACTTATTCTTCCTATCTAGCTGTAATTTTGTGTCCTTTAACAAATTTTGTGTCCTAAACAAATGTCTCTCTATCCCTCCCTTTTCCCTGCACTTCACAGCTTCCAATGTCCTCTGTTCTACATTTTACTTCTATGAAATCGACTTTTTTAACTTCCACATATGAGTGAGAACATGTGGTGTTTAACTTTTTGTTCCTGGCTTATTTAACTTAACATCTCCCACTTTCATTCATGTTACACAAAGGATATAATTTCATTCTTTTTTATGCCTGAACAGTATTCCATTGTGCAAATATAATATATTTTCCTTATCCATTGACCTACTGTTGGACACCTAGGTTGATTTCATATCTTGTCTATTGTGAATAGTGCTACTATAAACATGGGGTACAGACGTATCTATGATATAATGATTTTCTTTCCTTTGGATAGATTCCCAGTAGTGAGATCCAGCAATGACATTTCTGAGTCACTGGATATAAATTCACCAGTTTATGAGATCCTGCTAAATTCCTTTCTAATCTGGTTTTGCCAACTCGCACTTCTACCTTTTCATTTCCTTGTATCTTTATCAGTACTTATTGTCCAACTATTTCATTTTTGACAGTCTGATCATGAAAAATGGCATCCCATCTTTGTTTTAATTTATACTTCACCTACATTCAGTGAGGTTGAGCATCTCATAATTGAAAATTCAGATTTCCTCTACTGTGATATGCTTGTTCATTTTCTTTGTTCATTTTTCTCTCAATCTCCTTTTTCCTTTTTCTTCTTAATTTGTAGGATTTCTTTCTATATTCTGGACCCTATGTCTTTATATAAATTGCAACCACATTCTCCAAGGTATGTTGTAGGACTTTTAAATTTGTTTATCTTTTAGCATGTGTTTTGTTGTATGGAAGATTGTAATGTTGATGCAAATTCATCATTTTTCCCCTTATGGCTTAAGAAGTCCTTCCCTAATCCAGGTCATGTTCTTCTGTATTTTAATCTATGAGTGTTAAAGGTTTATTTTATGCATTTGGGATTTTGATCCACCTGGAATTGGTTTGTGAATATAGTGTAGGATAGGAAATGCTATGTCCATACACTATATATTTGTAAAGCCAGCTCTGTCATATATCAAGGTCCCATTTAAATCTGATCCTGGGTTTCCCCTACTATTCTATTTATCTAATCATTTATTCTAGCTGCCTGTTTTAATTACAACTTCATCATGTAATAGAAAAAATCTGTATCACTAAAAATTACTCTTTTAGTAAATATCTTATCTTACAAATAGACAATGAGCAGAACTCCCAGAGAAAGGATGAAGAGAAAGGAATCTAAAGTAAATCTTGGCAGTATTAAAAGGGGTGGAGAGGAGTAAACAAAGTCACAAAATATTTAGGGGGAAAATTTAGTAGGACTTAGCTGTGTATGCTGAAGAACTGGAGGAGTCAAGAATATAGGGAATTAGAGGTGCCTGGTCAACAAGCTTGTTGACTATGTGGTTGTAATATTTCAAAGTGAAGGAAACATTAGTAGAAGAAAAAATTAGCTTTTGAGAGGAGAATGCTGGGTTTGGTTGTAATTATTGCATTCAGGCATCCAATGCATGCCAGTTGCATTGACCAACAGGAAACTGGATAAACACATCTAAAATTCTTTAGAACCTCTGAGCCCAAGAAATGAATGTGCAAGTTATTTGTTGGTAAATACAGTTAAGTCTCTAGGACTAGAGATGATCACCCAGGAAAAACATATAGGTAGTCAGAAGAGCCTTCCCAATATATAAGGAGAAAATTGGAGAAAGGATAACTTACAGAAGAGGAAGGAAAATATAAGGAAAATAAGGAAGTGATAATGTCAACTGAAGCAGATTGTCCAAAAAAATCTCTCTTGGAGTTGACAGTTTAGAAGCTTGTGGTTACTTAATAAAGTTTCAGGCTAATAGAAGTTAACTTCTGGTGAGTTATCAAGTGAACGAGAGGGGATTGGGACAAGGAGTATAGACAATCCAATTGAGAAAATAATATTTAAATGCCACTTAAAAATTAGAAGGAGACAAAGGATTACAGAGGAATGATACGGAATGTAAAAGACAAAATGAGGAGTCTGTTAGCAAGGTTTAAACAGGTGGCTCATGCCAGCTTGGTTCAGCTGGCCTCACTGCCTCATGCAGAACCTTTCTTGAACTCTATAAACATGCTCCCATCAATGACCTCAAATTCCCACAAACTCTTCATCTGACCACTGAGCACAGAGTTCTTGCCAAGGACTGATCAGCTCCCTCCAATCCTCACAACCAAGGAGCCTGAGCATATCAACAGGCTTGGCTCTGCTTCCAGCCCTGTGACCCCTTCTGTTATTTATCAGGAGGTACTTAAGTAGTTCTAACTCAACAGCTTTATGTTTTCACTAGTGGGACTACTAGGACTGCTCTAACCTCAAGCTCATTCTAGCAGCTTGACTCCTTCCATGTTCCTCTTATAGAAACTTTTCCAACAGCCAAACCCAGCCTTGTTTTTCTACTGCTCACTCCTGACAAGCTCATGTTAGCAACTTCCCCAAGATCAGGACTTATGCTCATCACGCTGCTCAGTGTTTGCCTCTTGCCCTTTGAATAGCTTTTATAGGAACCAGGACTTAAAAACTTGCCTTCTGACCTCTCTGATCTGAAAAGCCACTTGGACGTCTGTTTTCTGCCTGTATCTCATCTCCCTAGATCCTCCACTGTATGTTCTTATACTCCCCATTTCTACCTCTGGCCTTTCAGGGATCCTCTGGCTTGCCCTGATTCATCTTTGAAAACTTTGAGGTACCGTCTACTCTGGCTCAAACCTATGACAACATCCACTGAGTTCCTACTATTAAGATAACATCTTAATTAGCTCTGTTTCTTATTTCAGTTTTTTTCTAACTGATTGCCAAGTTCCAAAGACTGTATTTACCTATTGGTGCAGTCAGTTACTTTAAAGGGCAATCAACAAATCAAGATATATGTTGATGTATACTCAATATTTGTATCATGCTGCACATTATGGGAGTCACAGACCTAAGACATGGAGAAAGAAAAGACATGAAAACATGGTATGTTAAAAATCAGTAAAAGGTAGAAGTTCACATAACAACAGTAGAAAAAGGCTCACCTAGGTACCATATTTCCCAATGAGTGATAGAAATAATAACAGCTCTTGGCTATAAAGAGCTGTAAACTGTGTAAGAGAATTTTACATCCCTTTTTTTAGCTTCACAATGACATTGCCAGGTGAAAATCAAGCATTATCACCAAGGGAATTTTACAAATCAGGAAATTTAAGGGTACAAATTTCAACTGAATTGCAAAACTACACTTGAACTCTGATATTCTCTAGAACCTACATGATTCTAAACTTCTGATAGCAGAATTAAGTCCATACTGCTAAGTTGACATTCAGGTCCTGTATATCTGTCCCCTGCCCCAAATGCTGCAGCCATCGCATTAACAGGCTCTGCTTTTTCATGCCTTCAAGCCTTGTGACATTACTCTTATTTACTGCATTGTTCCTCCCTCCTTCCTCTCCCACCTAAATGCAATAAATATAAACATAAACCCTTCTCTAAACTTTTCATCAAAATTTTTTACACCCTCTTCTGAGTTCAAGCAGCATTTTTTTCTGATACTTGCAAAAAACCATAAAACTTTTGTATCATCTGTTTTGTTTGGGGAATTGTGTTTTTATGTAAAATTCTCATATAAGACTTTTTTTCCTCAAAAAAACTTAGTACAGGACCTGACAAAGTAAAGAACTCAAAGCAATATTTGTTGAATGAATTGATATATAAATGAAAATCATGAGTGAAAGTTTGTTCAGCTACTGAATATTTTCTGAAGAAGGCTTGCATTTCAAAGGCAATCCATGTATTCCATAAGGCCTGGGCTCAGTATTAATGGTAATTGAAGAATTCGTGGTTAAAAAGGAATCCTTTATGAGCATTAGTGCCTGAAACACTAGGGAAAAGAGATGTGGATTACAAACAATATTGTATACATTTGGCAGTTCTCCATGCTCTGTTCTCTTTTCGGTTGTCTTGAATGAAGTCACCCTCGGGGTGATATTGGGAGCCATTGCATTGGGTGGTGGAGACACAGGGTTTCTTAATCACTGCATGGAGAAGAGCTATCCAACCAGCAACATCATTAATACTGTTGGGTGAACAAGAAATTTTACTGTGCTTAGTTACTAAAATTTGGACATTATTTATGATTGCATCTGGTATTATCCTAACACAATAATATAATATAACTTAAATACATTAAAAACACATGCACAAAGCAATATACATTTTGTAGAAAATATACAAATCAAAAAATAGATACATATTAAATAGAATGGTTGCCTAGGAGAAGAGATTCAAGGATAAAAATAGACGTGGGGTTGTAGAGACCAGCAATGATGAAATACCTTCTAGGGTACAAACTGAAGAAGAACATAACTCTGCTCCTGAGGTGCAAAGGAAGTGGGGAAAGTGTGATTGTGCAAGAAATCTAAAGGAATTTGAAATTTATATGACTGAGCAACTCTCCAGTGGAAGTGAATAAGCCAGCCCTGGAATTTGACCTTAGATACGGTAATATGGAGCCACTGCTGAAATGCCCTCTCCTCAGAGGGCATACTGATGAGGGATTATGGAGCCCTCTGGGACTGAGTTGGACTGGGTGATAAAAAACAGTAAGACCCAAATCACAGCTAGGAGTACTGGTGGAAAATTTGGTGATTCCAATACCAGGGATCTGGGTCTTAATCTTAGCCATCACAGATTTGTGGTGGATTGTTGAGAAATTTACCGTATGATCAATTCTTTAGTTGCCTAAGCTATAACATGAGTATAATTACTACCTTATCTATTTTAGTGAAATATAAGAGATAGCATAAATAAGTCAAAAGTATTTCTATTCAAATAATGATATCTCAAAACATAGTGCTGGTGATGGTGATACATGTGTATATGTATATGGGGAATGAGAGAAGCCTACAACTTCAGGATGCTCAGTAGCTGCAAGAATCTGGCCACAAACTGGTTTAATTATCTCATAAAATCATCTCATGAGAACAGATATATAATGTCCCTCCACAGAACTAAAAATAGTGAAAAAAGCCTCAGGTAAGTGTAGTCTACATAATTCATGATGTTTCTGCTGTAGATCACCTAAGGGAGATGCTCTTTAGATGACCACAGAGATGAGAGTTACAAGAGTACTCAGTGAAAGAAAAACCCAGAATTAAAAATATCAGAAGAAGGAGAACTGGTCTGGAGAATATTCTATAAATAGAGTCCTTCTCTGAGCCAGTTACCTAGAGTAGTTAAGATCTCTAACTTATGGATTCTAAATATTGGGTCCGTGGCTCACTGAAGTTTCTGCAATAGAAAGCAAAATTATATGTGTATGTAGTTACGTGCATTTTTCTGGGGGAAAAAAGTGGCTTTCCTCAGATTTTCAAAACAATTACTTTAAAAAGGCCTAGAATAGTGGTGTTTAATTCCAGTTTAGTAATTTATGCATGTATAGTATGCCAAGCACCAAATGGGAAACACAAGTTCTGTTGAACCAAGGGCAATACTGGGCAGAAAAATATGCCAAGGCCAGGCTGGAAGAATAATTTAGCTTCTGGTATGGTTTGGATTTGTGTCCTCACCCAAATCTCATGTCAAATTGTAATCACCAGTGTTGGAGGAGGGGCCTGGTAGGTGGTGATTGGATCATGGGTATGGACTTCCCCCTTGCCATTCTCATGATAGTGAGTGAGTTCTCATGAGATCCAGTTGTTTAAAAGCGTGTAGCACCTCCCCCTTCTCTCTCCTCCTCCTGGGCCAGCCATGTAAGACGCGCCTCCTTGCTCTTGGCTGTCTGCCATGATTGTAAGTTTCTTGAGGGCTCCCCAGCCATGCTTCCTGTGCAGCCTGCAGAACTGTGACCCAATTAAACCTCTTTTCTTTGTAAATTACCCAGTCTCAGTTAGTTCTTTATAGCAATGCAAGAACAGAACAATACAGCGTCTGAGTAGCATTTATCATCCTGGATTTGTATACTTTTCTGTTTAAGTGATGTTTAAGGAATCATCCCTAACCCTTTTTGAGTTTTGTCCTATTTAAAAAGAATCACTATTTTAAGTTTAGAAATTATCTTATTTAATACTAAGTTTATCCTTTTGTCCTTCAAGAATTGTTGCCAAAATCTACATCTATGAGCTCAGCTAAGCAGCTCCTCTGAGAATGATGGTTTACACTCCCTGTAGAATTTTATGTATGGCAATTGATTCACTGATTTCTGCCTTAACTCATATTTTCACTCAGGAACAAGTTGAGGCTGGGATTTGGGTGATGGTCAGTAGTAAGTTCAGGTATGAGGTTAAGTCATGGATAGTAATAAAATTTAAGAGAACAGCCAACCTCAGAGATGCTAATTAACTTTAAGGATGGGGTAAAATTCAATGTTAGGTAAAGCTCAAATATATGTCATGGAGGGGAGTGTGTGTGTATGTGTGTGTGTATGTGTGTGTTGCAATACACTACTTGGTAAAATACGAAGATAAATGGATTGGCTAATTTAGATCCAGAAAAAAGATGGGACTGTCCAAATGTCCTGGGTATCAAATCATCATTGCAGTTAAATCACCAGATACTCCATTGAAGTCAGAAGTGGTATGCAACACAAATATACAAGCACTAAATGACATGAAACAATTAACATCATTCAGAGAAGTGTATTACAGCTGGAGAATAGGATAAATTTAGAGGAGACTGGGGAAGTAGGAAGGGGGTGGATCACAAGGTATCTGATATTCTGAGGATCTTTATCTTGATGATGAAGGCAGTAATGGTTACTGAAAGAGGTTCCCTATCTTGCAACTCTAAGAGTTTGCAGCCCCTTGGAAATCAAAGTGAGTGATGGAGGTGGTTGACCTCCAATCTGACGGCACCTGAAGAGACTTGCCAGCATCACAGAGACCCTGTGGCACCTAGCCTCCCTCTCAGCCCCATGTTGCCTTCAGGAGCTTTATCCTGACTGACAAGAGACAGGTGTCCTGTTCAGTCTGCTATTGCGAGCTCCTGCAACACTGTGCCTTCAGAGGCTGTTACACAACTAGGTCCTTTCCTGGCCTTTGGTACTATGAGAAATTCCCTCAGCAGCCTTCTGCTCATAGGCTGGAAAAATCAAATTCCTATAGTCATTCCTTATAAAAATTCCAAGAGAAGACAGTTATCCAAACCATTATAAATAAAGGTGTCCTCTCTCCACTTCCTTCAAATTTTAATCTAATGGAATTAATTCTAATTGTGCAAACCTTCTCAAGGAAGCTGACCCTGTCTGAATTAGTCAGTTATGCTCAATGGAGCTAGAAGAACCAAGCCTGCAACAGGAATATGAGTGTGGAAGGGAATTGTGCCATTACCAAAGCACAGAGGGTAGCAGAGCAACCACAGCTGTGTTAGGCAAAGGAGACAGAAGGGGAAATGAGTACCTGGTAGGGGATATAAAGTAATATGGAGGGTAACCAGCAGGTGCTTGTAGACTATGTTTCAGTTCCATTTATTCAACAAATACTTATAGACCATATACTATGTACCAGAAACTGTTCTAGAGCTACCAGCTACATTGGTAAACAAAATAGACAAAAGTACCTTCTCTCCAGGCTGCATTAGAGTTCTGGCAGTTATTTTGGTGGGTTGCCTGGAGAGACAAATGGCTCTACAAGTGCATAGATGTTCAAAGCTGACACATCTGCAACAAAAGAAACTATGAAAATTTCCTATACATGATGCTCCACTGTGCTGAATGCCTAGAATCTTCCATTTACCCCTCCAGAACTACTGTTCACTCTTCTCCACCCTACTGTCTACCCTGAGAAGTTTAACCTGCATAAATTCTATAAATAGGTATGAGCCTGTGGCCCACTTGCTTCCTGTTGAGTGCTGCTGATGGGAAACAGATCGGAGAGAAAGAAGAGGGGGGGATCAGGTCACTGATTTCCCTGCCGCCTTCCTTCCCAAGTGGTCTAGAGCTGGTGGTGGCCCTTAAAAAGGGGGGCATACCATTTCTTTCAAGGAGGTCTTCTCTACATGACTCTCTCCTTCCAGGTTCCAGTAACCACACCTTCACTCACCCTTTCAGTGCTAAGTGTGGAAGCAGAACCTATGCTTCTGGCCAGCCTCCCTGCTGTGGATCTCCTACTAGACCTTGCCTACTTTATCAATAGTCCCTTCATGTAGGAGGTTGAATAATGGCTACCCAATCATCTCTGGAACCCACAAATTTTATCTTATATAAAAAAATTATCTGTCAGATCTGATGAAGTTAAGGATCTGGAAATGGGAAGATTAACCTGGATTACCAGGGTGGGCCTAAAGGCAATCACAACTGTCCTTGTAACAAACAGAAGAAAAGACACAGACAGAAGAGGAGGAGGCAAGATGACCACGAAAGCAGAGACTGAAGTGATGCAGCCACAAGCCAAGGAATGCCAGAAGCCAGCCCAGAAATGGGCACAGACTGATTCTCCTCTAGAGTCTCCAGAGCACGACCCTGACAACACCATGATTTCTGTCCTATGATATTGGTTTTGGACTTCTGGTCCCCAGAATTAAGAATAATATTTTCTTGTTTTGAGCCACCACATCCGTGATAATTTATTACCTCAGTCAAAGGATCTAATATAGTTTGTTAATAAATTCTCCTCAAATTATCCTGATTATTCTGATGAGGCATTATCCTATTATTATTTGATGCAGGGTTTTTATCATAAGTGTTTGGAGAAGAGCAAAGTCCCTAAAATTACATAGAAAACTATGAGTATACCTCGGTAAATCTATTAAAAAGAAGCCTGCTAATTTTCATCAGACTCTCAGAAAAGCTTCTTCTAGCTTATTCTGTCCCAATAGGTTACAAGTTAAGTTGTTAAGCTGAATTTTGGCAGTTGCCAGCCCACATTTTATCACTGGAAAAGTGGTAGAGCCCTTGACCCCACCTGGTATTCTGGACAAGACACAGCCCGAGGGCCAGGCTGGAAGAAAAAGTTGCCTTTTTAATGACATTTAGCACCTTAGGTTTTATGCAAAGCTACTCGTTTGTTTCCAAATTTTTTATTATTCTGACTTTTCAGGATATTGTCCGGTATCAAGGAAAGAATCTTTTATGTTCTAGAAAATAGTTTGTTTAAATCTAAATCCATGACTTTCCTGAAAAATTTCAGCCAAACTTAGACCAGCTAAGCAGCCCAGATGGGGCAGCCCAGTTATGTATGGTCACACACCCACCAGTAGAACATTTGAGGCATGTGTAGCTCTTCTTTAAGGATTCACACATTCATCTATTTATTCTTGTAGTAGTTGAGAAAATTGAACCAAAGATGAATAACATATAGTCTTTGTTACAAAATTATCAGCTACGCAGTTTACTAAATTGACTTATCACAACAGTGTCCCGAAGTAGGCAGTAATGAACCTTGTGATGGGATCAAGGAGTGAGAGATTAACAAAGGGAGATACCAAGCAGCATCTCAAATATAGGTAAGAGTTTGCCAGGCTGCAGGGCACACCATACCAGAGACAGGAAAAATGGCCCCAAACTTGAAGCTGTCACCATTAAACTCGTTTTGATCAAGTCATAAACTGTGTTTTCGAACTGCAGTGGAAAATGCATGGATATACCACCATGTGTTTATCCACTTATATATTGTTTCCATTTTTGTCTAATACAAATAAAACTGTTGTGAATACGTGTGTACAAATGTTTGAATGGGTGCATGCATTTTTCTTGGGTAAATACATGGGGTGGAATGGTTGAGTGTATGCTTAACTTTTTAAAGAATTGCCAACTCATTTTCCAAAGTGGTTGCATCATTTTACATTTCTACCAACAGTGTATGAGTTCATCTTGTTCCACACCCTCCTCAACATAGTATTCACAGTCTTTTTCATTGTAGACTTTTTAATAGATAGGTACTGGTATCCCTTTTTAGTTTGCATTTCCCTAATGAGTAAAGATACTGAGCATGTTTCGTGTTTACAGTATACATACAAAATGTATTTGGCAAAATGACTGTTCAAATATTTGTCTTACTTGTTAATTGGGAGGTTTGTACTCTTATCAATGAGTTGTTAAGTGTTCTTTGCATATTCTAGATACATGTCTTTTTGGACATATGTTTTGAAAATATTTTCTCCCATTCTGTAGCTTGTCTTTTTATTTCTTAACTCTTTTGAAAACAAAATGTTTTTAATGTTGACAAAATCTAATTTGTGTACGTGTGTGTGTGTGTTCTGTATAGCTAAGTGGGGATGAAGAACCATCAATAACCACTTCCTCTGACTCAGGAGAGGAAGTGGTGAAACAGAAAGTGATAATGGATAATTGCATATAGCTATAGGGAAGAAAAGCTTAAAAAGCATAACTTATAGCCCAAATTTTCTCTATGTAATATGATATGCAACTATGCTGCTATATGAAATGGGAGTAGGATATGGGATAAAAATTACAAACATCTTAAAAAGAACTAACATTTAGTGAGAATTTACTATGTGCCAGTGACTATTCTAAATACTCTTCTTGGCTTAACTCATTTAATCCTAAAACTCTCCAACTCTTCAAATATTTAAGCTAACCCCAACCACTCACCATCACAAATTCATCATCCCTAAATATTTGGAACTTAGCACAAAATCTCATATCCTTTTTTACACTGTTTTACTTCCATTCTGTATCAGTTTACCCATAGAATTCTGGCATGGTAAGCTCTCCTGAGCTTAATTTCTGCCTCCTAACCGCTGCTGGGTTTCAGGGGTGGACTTCACCTCTCTGATATTAGAATTCCAGCTATTTCTTTTATGTATTTGTATAAGTTTAGAGGTACAAGTGCAATTTTGTTACATGAATATATTGCTTAGTGGTGAAGTCTGGGTTTTTAGTGTAGCCATCACCCAAATAGTGTACATTGTGTCCATTAAGTAATTTTTCATCACCCACCTTTCTTTCTGAGTTTCATCAACCTCTCACCTTTCTGATTCTCCACTCTCTACCATTCCATACCCTATGTTCATGCGTACACATTATTTAGCTCCCACTTCTAAGTGAGAACATGTGATATTTTACTTTCTGTTTCTGAGTTGTTTCACTTAAGATAATAGCCTCCAGCTTCATGCATGTTGCTGCAAAAGACATAATTTTCATTCTTTTTCATAGCTGAATGGTATTTCATGGTGTGTGTGTATATATGTATATGTATGAATGGTATTTCATGGTGTGTGTATATACATATACATACATACACATAAATGCATGTATATGTTGTGTGTGTGTGTGTGCATATATATATATATATATATATATATGTATATCACATTTTTCTTGTCCAATAATCCATTAATGGATACTTGGGTTGATTCCATATCTTTGCTATTGTGAATAGTGTCTTGATAAACATACATGTGCAGGTATATTTTTGATATAATGATTTATTTTCCTTTGGGGAAATAGCCAGTAGTGGAATTCTGGATTGAATGGTTGTTCTATTTTTAGTTGTTTGAGAAATCTCCATATAATCTTCCAGCTCTATCTATCTGAATCTTTCTATCATTCTTTGGATAATTTGAAGTCAAGTACATGGATATGAGCTACACAACCACATTCACAACTAAACATCTACCCAGCTTAGTGCCAGGTGAGGCTCAGCTCAGATGCCTGCGGAACTCAAGTGTGAATGGTTCCTGTATCCTGATCAAGCTACGCAAACTTTTACACTGAGACTCCAGTACTCAAGTACTGCTAATGCTAATTTGATCCCCATATTCACACATGTTGGAGAACGCAGTAATTCAAGAAAAATATCTCCCACTCACCTGACCATGAAAGAGCATTATGAAGTACCAGTGTTCTCCGCCTCAGAATGGCTACTTAGGCCCCTCACATCTAGCTTCTTCCAGCTGAAAATCCAAATAATGTTATTCCCTACCAAAGCCTAAACATACTTAATTTTGAAAAAATAGCAATACTGCATATATGTCTTTTGAGTTCTCCCTTATCGCTCAAAAGTGTCTAGTTATAAAAAGAAAAAATCTTTATTGTATGATAATCTGTCTTTAAAATCTTAACTTGGAACCTCTTGCTTCTGATTTCTTTATCTTTGCCTCTAACAAAAACGTTGTGGTTTTACAGCATCAGCAAACAGAGAGAAAAAAAAAGATGGAAATAGATCATGCCTCTACTGCAAGTATGGATAACATAGAACAAGCTAAAAAAAGGTAAGACATACAAATATCTGTAATGAAAGAAGGAAATGAAGGTAAGACCAAAGGATTGGCAGAAAGTGAGCCTACTTGTATAAATTAGGGTGGGGTATTTTAGAGAGAAGAGAAAAAAGAAAAATATATAATTAGCTTTCTGTTTCTGTATCTTGGGCCCAGCTAACAAAGTACAGTTTTATTCCAATCAGTTGCCGCTCTCACGTCAGGGCTACACTAAATAATAGCAATCCTAAGACTATTGAACTTCTTGAAAGTCAGATTGGCCATAGTATTGGGTAGATTGCCACAGTAGGTTGGACCCCAGTAACAGATAAAATCAATATCCTAGAAAAGAATAACTATACATTTTTTCTATTAATGCATAAAATGAGTTCTAATGAGGCTAAAAACATAGTCAACAAAAATGTCACTAGTTTGGATGGGTGCAGTGGCTCACGCCTGTAATCCCAGCACTTTGGGAGAGATGGAGGCGGGTGAATCACGAGGTCAGGAACGAAGTCAGGAGATCAAGACCATCCTGGCTAACACGGTGAAACCCTGTCTCTACTAAAAATACAAAAAATTAGCCGGGCGTGGTGGCGGGCACCTGTAGTCCCAGCTACTCGGGAGGCTGAGGCAGGACAATGGTGTGAATCCGGGAGGCGGAGCTTGCAGTGAGCAGAGATCGCACAGCTGCACTCCAGCCTAGGCGACAGAACGAGACTTCATCTCAAAAAAACAAAAAACAAAAAAACAAAAACAAAAACAAAAATCATGTCACTAGGTTTAGTTCCTGACTTTTAAAGTAAATAAATAAAGCTAGTTATCATGATCAAAATTATAAAAAGAAAGAAGGCATGTATTTGATATATAATGAAAAGTTATTTTCAAAAAACTTATTCCTTTGGGAGAACAAAGAAACAGGAGCTTCAAGATCATAGTCTTTGAAACTTCCATGTTTTTACAGAAGGAAATGGCTCTGACTGATCATTACATGCAAAGAAATGAGTGCCAGGCTTAGAAGCTGTATCCTAGAGGCACTCTAGAAACCATTATCAGTTTTTGTTGGCTTTGCTACTTTGGTTTTTGTCCTCAGACATAACAGACAACAATTATTCAAAGCTAAGTAATGCCATTAGGTACATTTAGGTGTATTATGCTCGTATGCATTGGTCATGTCTAGATCATGCTCACATCCTTCTGTAATGAGTCCCTAAACAACCTCATAATAATGAAACAACTGCCCAGTTACTAACCAAATAGTAAAGGAGACTGAGCTATTGGGGGGCTTCTCACCCAAAAATTAACTCTGGAGAAATGTTACAGGAGTGGAAGCAGCAATATGAGAAACTAACTGAAAACTATCAATGTGCCATTTACAAGAAATGATCTCTTTATAATTGGGCAAGTAAAAATGTGATTAAAGTAAGTGGAGGAGTCAGATAAATCTAGGTTAAAATTCAGTCCTGCCTGTGTCCTTGAGAATTTCGCTTAATCTTTCTAAGTAAGTTTTCTCAACTGTAACATGGATAGACTATTGTAAGAATTAAACAAAAAAATTTCTGAAAAATAATTCTCAATAAGTATCTGTCCTTCTATAAATCTCTCGAATTCATCCAGGACCTGACAATATCTCACTGATTACAAAATGGTAAATTGAGTAGTTGAAACATGCAGTCTGTGAAAAGGGGTTTCTTAGAATTTTCTTAACAGTGTCTATGGATGCAGACTTCCCCAATCAAAATTCCAGAGGTCGTTTTTGTGGAAATTGGCACATTGATTCTAAAATGTATATTAAAATGCAAAGTGCTAGAAAATCTGAAACAATTTAGAAAAAGAAAAATAACTGATGAACTTACATTACCAGATTCTATCGAGTCAATATTGTATTTAAATATAAAGGCAGATGTAAATCTGTGGGCCAAAAATAAACTAATGCATAAATGGTCAACTGTTTTTGACAACACAGTTCAATGGTACTAGAACAACAACTGGATAAACAAATGAAGAGAAAAATGAATTTCTACTGCTATCTCAAATAACACAAATAATGAAATTAATTACACATTAAAAATTTGAGATAGATTATAGATATAAATGTAAAAGTTAAAATTACAAAGGTTTCAGAACTATGGCATTCAATACAAGAGTCAATAACCACATATTGCCATATAAAATTAAATTTGATTAAAATGAAATGAAATTTAAAACTTGGCTACTCAGTCACACTACATGTATTGCAAATGCTCAATAACCAACATAGCTAAAGGCTACAGTATTGAATAGGGCAAATGGAAAATTCTATTAGAAGTTGCTATTCAAAAAGAAAAAATATGAGAATGTCTTTGCAAGCTTAGGCTACGTAAAGATTTCTTAAGTAGGACACAAATAACCAACAATAAAATGTAAAATTGATAAATTGGATTTTCTCAAAATGAAAATGCTGTTTATCAAATGGCAGTCAGGAGAATGAATAGACAACACATAGTCTAGACGAGAACATTCACAACACATATATCTATAAAAGGGTTCTTTTTGCAGAATAAAGACCTCCTTCAATTCTAAAAAAGAGGGCAAACAAGCCAATAAAAAAATTGAGAGAAGACTTGAGAAAACAACTCATAAAAGAAGTTATAAAAATGGCAAAAAAGTATACAAAAAGTGCTCAACATTATCAATCATCAGAAAAATGCAAATTAAAATCACAAAAACATCATTAGATCCTCACTATTACAACTACATATAAAATGAATGACACATCTGATGTTGACGAGGATATAGAACATCCAGAACTCTCAAAAAGTGCTGTTGTGAGTGTAAAATGGTACGACACTTTGGAAAACCACTTGTTAGTATCTTATAAAATTAAACATAGGCATATGTTTGCATGCACTAGGAAATTGCTATGACCTGGCAATTTCACTCAGGCAATGTCCTTACCCAATGAAAACATATTTCTTTCCACACAAATACTGGTACACAAATCCTCCTTATCAACTTTATTAATATTAGCCCAAAACTACCAAAAAACCTGCAATAGAAGAATAAATAATTACATTTTGGTATATTCATACAGTAAAATAATACTCAGTGATAAAATGAGAGAATCTGCCCATACACAGGACAACATAGATGAATCTTGAAACTTTATGCTGAGATAAAGAAGCATGCCCAAATAATAAACTGTATTATTGTATCTGTAAGTTCTAGAATAGGCAAAACCAATCTATGATGATAAAAATAGGAATATTGGTTGCTTCTGGGAAAAGGACATTGACTGAAAAGGGGTAGCTGTGCATTTTCTGGAACGATGGAAGTGTTCTATATCTTGTTTGAGGTGATGTGTTCATGGGTAGATGCATTTATAAAAAATCATTCAGCTGCATTTCTAATATGTGCATTTTACTGTGTGCAAATTATTCCCAATTAAAAAAAATTTCTGGAGGAGTAAATAAAAAGAATTATGTGTATAAAGATGTATTCTAAATGCGCCTTTCTTCCTGATACTTACAGTGACTGAAGCTCTAGATATGTGTGCTTTCTGCCCTCTCATACTCAAGTCCCCTTGTAAGGCATTCATTATGGAATGCCCCATTATCAATTTCAACAGCAGAAATTGAGACATTGCATCCTGCGATTTCCAAAGCCTCAGCTAGCAGAGCTATAGCTCACTACTAATGCCTCTGCATTTGATTTATTGAATGCAGCTCATCACAAAGAGTTTGACAAACTCAACATGTCGTACAGATCTAGAGCTTTTCTTATTCCAACAGCAGCCAACTCAACGATTAGTCATCTCAGAGATCAACAATCTACTTCTCATTCTAGGCTTGTAAAGCTGAGCCCAGACCTCAGCACACATCTTAAAGCCTATTGTCAATCTATGTTTTTTTTTCTTTCCTCATCTGTAAACCTAACAATAAATAAATAATAATGCTCAAACATCCATTTTGCATTTGTTTTATTTATTACTGTATGTTTAGGGATATCTTTTGGTTTCCAAGTGACCTGGTTATGTTCAAACATATATTGACATCAAGTAGGTTGCCATGGGAACTGAAGGCAACTGCACATTGAGATTTACAGGCAGGTAATTTAAGAAACCCTGGAGCAAAAGATAAGGGCTTAATAGTGTCCTAGTCGCCCCAGAGCATATCAAAATTAAATAAAGCACTAAGACTTGAAGTGAGGGGTCGTTATTATACGGTGAACAGTAACTGAAAGAATAAAGCATTTTTCTCTAGAGATGTGGTTGTCAGAGTCTGCATTATAATATTTGTTTGATGTAAAATATCAGATTTGGATTCTCTGTGTTTACCCACTAGATCAGAAAACTTAATAGTTACATAAATATGCCTTATAAACGTTACTTACTCCCCCACCAAATGGATTAATTGTAACTATTGGCTTAGAATTAAAAGAGCTTTTACAAGTAACTCACAAATTAGGGTCCAGTGACCTCCTTGATTCCAGGGAAGGGCCCAAGAATCTGTATCATTAAGAGCCCCAGTGTGGAAACTACTGATCTTCTCACTCATCCTAACCAACACAAACGCACCTTTGCCAAATCATAAAAAGTGGTTTTCTGACCTCTTTTAAACAGGAACAATAGTTGTAAAATATGACTTCTATAAGATACAAATTGTAGGAGTTTCCATCTTCATTTGGTATCCTTACTGCAGATCAGCAAAACAGAGAGGAAGGTGAAACTTATCTTTTTTACCTTTCTACATACTTACAAGCATGGGCATTTCATGTTTGCCGAAAACATCCCCATTATCAAAATCAAAATTGCTTATAATGGTATAGCTCCTTATGCTTTATTAAATGTTTCCTGATTCATAAAATACTTCCTGACATAAAAAGTCTTGCCCAAATTTAGACAAACTACTGTTAAATTTCAAAAAATGCCATTCAAATATTTGATTCTTTAAAAAATTTAATACTTTCTATAAGCAAGCTCATAATTCCATAGTATCCTAGAAAGAATACAAGGTTTAGACTCAGAATAACTCACCTTGAGTCCTAAGTTTGCTGTATACCAATTGTGCAATATTGGACAAGATATTTAATTTCTCTAAATCTGAATTTCTTTCTTTGAAAGGTGGTGGTGATAATCATACCCAGCTCATGGGGTTGGTGATTATATTTTAAACAATAAAGTATGTAAAAACATTTTTAAATCATAAAATAATAGGCAATTATAATGTTTAATATTTTGAAGCTGAAAATTATGTGTTGTTTCCATTATTTCTTCATGAACAATGAACACTAATCCTAGAAAACATAAAATGATAATACCAATTATAGAAATAAAGACTGAAATTTGGTGATAAAGAAAGGTCACACAGTTAACATAGCTCAAATAATAATAAGGACTACCATTTACTGTGTGCCAATCAAATGCCAAGAAATCTGCATTATACTATTTGATCCTACCAAGAAATCTATGAGATAGATCTTAGCTCCAGTTTAGAGATATTAAAGCTAGATGTTGTGAACATATTGTTTTTATCCACCAGCATCATCTCAACCATGCTTCCCCATTCCAAGGTATCCAAGGGAATTTTCTCTCACAGCTTCCTCACTCTCCCAGCCACAGGAGTGGACATATGCAAAGTTTAGCCATTAAGACATATTTTTATGTATTTCTATACAAAATTTGGGAGGAAAGCTTCCATTCTGAGTTGCTCAGAGAAGAGGATTTGCATTTCAAGCTGCTGGTGGGCATCTTGCCTAGTGTATGCCACATACCTCTGTGCAGAATAAAGTCAAACAGAGATCACCAGCAAAGACAAAGCCCTAGTAGCATCATTTGAACCTGATCTAACCAAACCTAAGCTTGGATGTACCATTCCTCCAAACTCAAGTTGTAAGAGCAATGAATTCCCTTTTCATTAAGCCTATTTGAATTGCTGTGAAAAGTTCCTGGAAGGAAATAGAATTAGCCCAGATATTCAGAGAAAAACTTAAATGAGGTTAATATTTACAGAGATATAGGCTCCCAGATGCTATGAACAGGGGGAGGTTCTAACCATTCCTCTGGCTAAAGGGACACAGAGAGGAAATAATGTTACTGTAGCTCAGTGAGACTGCAACAGAGGAAAGCTGGACTCACAGGAATGTGCTCCTGGGGGATGCTGGATAGGCAGACATGAACACTGAAGCAGGGAAGGAGCAGGGACGGAAGACCCTATACATTATCTCCTATCACTCCCTCATCTCCTGCAGGTGCCAAATTCCACCAACATCAAACTGGCAAAGGGGCCCAGCTGGGTAGTCAGCAGGGTCAGCATCACAGGACAGAGAAGGTCAGGGACTACCTGGGGAGCAGGAGCAGGCAGAGAAAACAACAGCACCATTAGGTTTCTTTGAAATCAAAGCAGCCCAACTATTTCCTTGGAAACATGCCTAAGATGGAATAGCTAGTAAGTGTTGAGGCAGGATTTAATCCAAGTCTGTTTCATACTGAAATCAATGTTCTTGTCACAGTTTCAAGTATTTGATGATCTGATCTGTCTCTATGTTTGATTGGTTTTCACTCTGCAAGATCTCAGTGACAGAGTGCTCATGTGTAAGCTCTGTGAAATTTATGGAGTTGTCGATCTCTCCTATCCTTTACTGGCCTTTGTGATGTCCGACCGTTCTGACTTCATCTTTGAGATGACACCATGCCACTAATGTCATCGTGAGTCAGACTCACGATGATGTTAGATAACACCAATTAGTTACTCTTCTCTTCAGCACATCAAGGAAGCAACACTTGTATCATTCAATTCCACATCCATTGGAGAGCAAAATGAAGGACGACTAAGTCCCCAAGTATTCTGGCATCATGGCATCATTTGTGAACAAAAAAGGAATGTATATGAACCATGGGCAGAAGAAACCTTTAAAGAGCACACAGAACATCTCAACAAAATGGGAAATGTAATTATAGAAGGTTCAAACTAAAAACTGTATCTGTGGGAGATATATTTGAGTTTCAGATTGTTAATATAGAGCTTTAAAATAAGGGATGCCTGATTTTGAACAGAGACATTACAAAGTAGACTTACAGGTAGTATTAAGCTCTGCATCTTCAGAGAAATTAAATATGGTCACATTCATTCATTCATTTAATTCATACAACAAATATCCATTGAGTATCCATTATGTGTGAGACACTATTCCAAGTAAATTTAGCCCTCATGGAGTTCACATTCCAGTGGGAAAATCAGAACATAAATTAGATAGTATGTTAGATGCTAATACATGCTAAGGAAAAAATAAAAGCAAGGCAAGAGTTGAGGAAACCATTGCAATGTTACAAACAGTGACAAAGAAAGGATTCACAAAGATGGTGACATTTGAGCAAAATGTAGATGAGAGAATGAATCATAAGAATATCATCATGAAGAAAACATTTCAAGTAGAGGAACAGCAAGTGCAAACAGTCAGCGGTAGGCAAAGACCCCTTCAGGCAAAATGTAGAAATGTCTCATGACTAAAAATACATTCCCAAAATAGTAACTAACCTCAAAGAAACACTCACACACATATTCTATATAATTTATTTTTGGACTAAGCAATATTAATACAACATACACACACAAATTGTCCTACACACAAATACTCATCTTGCAAAATGTATTTGAGTTTCATCCAGTATGTAATGAAGAGCTCTATACATATCCAATGGTAAAATTCTGAGTAAAGTAAGGACAAAGAATAATATAAGACATGTGCTAATGGCCTCATTATTATGGCTTCATTATTATGGCACTCTGCAATTCAAAGCAGTACCAAGATACCTCTTCTGAGGCTTTGTAAGTCTTTATTCAAACCTTATACTACAGACATTCCTGTGGGAATTACATTTCCAGAAACATATACTAGATATACAGAGTAACAATGGTACAGAACACCAAAAATAATGCTGGGTAATATGTATTTAAACAATGTTTAAAGTACAGTCAAGCTGGCAGAGGAGAAAAACAATCTGAGTCCAGAAATAAGGAAACAATTCTACAGGGATAAGCTGGCCCTGGAAACAGCATTTTCCCTAACAATATCTGATAATCCTTGCATTCCTAGAGCCTAAATTTAACAGTAACATGAGGACAGCAGACAGGAGTAATAGCTTAAGGGCAGATGTGAGACCCCACAAAAAGTTAAGATTGCTGCGCTTGAACCGGGGAGGTGGAGGTTGCAGTGAGCCGAGATCGCACCACTGCACTCCAGCCTGGGAGACAGACGGAGACTCTGTCTCAAAAAAAAAAAAAAAAAAAAAAGATTGCTGCGGGATTGCGGGATGACATGTCAGGGAGTGAACCAAAAATAACCCACTCCACAGAGATTTGTCTGGGTTAGTCTTGATTATAGATCTAAGGACAAAGAAAGAAAAACAAAACTGATCCTGCTTCTAAGTAATCTAGATTATTCACTAGATTACTCTTACTATCACGAGAACAGCATGGAGGTAACCAAGCGTACCCATGATTCAATTACCTCCTACCAGGTCTCTCCCACAACACGTGGGGATTTTGGGAACTACAGTTCAAGATGAGATTTTCGTGGAAACACAGCCAAACCATATCACAGACCTATAAAGATTATAGTTAGTGGACATATACAAAATATAAATTAAGCATATTTAATACTTTTACAGAAATAAACTTTGGGATTGAACGTTTAAGGAAGTGACTGTTGAATTTGAAAAAGAACCAACTAGAGAAATTTAAAAATAAAAATACAATAATTAAAATTAAAATGAACAAATCAGTTGAACAGTAGTTTAAAAGCTAGAGGTAAAATTTCTGAATTGGAAAGTTTCTGAAGAAATTGCTCAGAATGTATATAGTAACCATCACCCTCTCGCTGACTAACCCAGAGCTACTTCCAGTCCTGCAAGCTCCATTCACGGTAAGTGCCCTATACAGGTGCGCCAGTTCCTTTTTACCTTTAATACCATAGTTTTATGTACCTTTTCTATGTTTAGATAAGCAAATACTTGCCTTTGTGTAACAGTTGCCTACTATATTGAGTACAGTAACATGCTGTACACTTTGGAGCCCAGGAGCAATAAAATAGCCTATGTGTGTAGTAGGCTATACCACCTAGATTTGTGTAAGCAAACTCTGTGATGTTTGCACAAAGACAAAACTGATGAGCAATGCATTTCTCAGAAAGTTTCCTGGTAGTTAAGTTTCCTGGTAGTTTATACATGACTGTATAAAGATTGTCAGGTGAATATTTTAAACACAATCTATCTATATGCTAATTACAAGAGACATATTTAAAATTTAAAAACACAAAATTTGAAAGTAAAACGATAGTTTAAAATGGAAAATAACGTTGGTTTAGCTACACTGCTATCAAAAAATGGACTCTAAGTCAAAAAGATTAAGAGGCTCAATTCATGGGTAATACATAATAGTCTAAATTTGCATGCCCTTAGTAAATTAATTTTTAAATCTATAAAGCAAAAAGTGACATAACAACAATAAGAAAGGCATAAATCCACCACAATAGTGAAAATTTTCTCCCAGTCCTGTCAGTTTTAATAAACAATGCAAAATAATCAGTAAGAATAATGAGATTTAAAAACTTGATAAAATAGTTCTCATGGACATATATAAAATAACGATAGATTGGGTAATAGATAGTACATTTATACAACAAAATAATAACACACACCCAAGAAAAGTAAATTAATTATATTTAGATGTATCAAAAGGGTACATCTGAAGAAGGAAAAAGTACAATACAGTCATCCCTCAGTATCTATGGAGATTGGTTCCAGGACCCCCGGTACACCAAAATCCGTGGATCCTCAAGTCTCATATAAAATGGCATAATATTTACATATAATCAGTGCACATCTTCCTGGATAGTTTAAATCTTCTCTAGATTAATTATAATACTAACACAAGGCCCGCACATCACTTCATTTGCATGGATTCAATGTAGTACTTAGTGCATGGCAAATTCAGATTTTGCTTCTTGGAAGTTTGTGAAATATTTTTTTCTGAATACTTTTTATGCACAGTTGGTTGAATCCACAGAGGTAGAACGCACGAATATGGAAGGCTGACTATAGAGTTTTTAAAAACCAAATCTCAGAAGAATAGACATAATGTGAAACCGTGTATACAAAATTCAAAAATGGGCATACTAAACAACATATTTAGAGACAGAATACATGTGGTAAAATAAAAGAGAAAATGAACAGTATGTTTAGCACAAAATCCAGGAGAATGGCTCATTCTGGGTGCGAGGAACAGGCACATTCAAAAAAGAGCTTGCAGAGCTTCAAAGGATCTGGTACAGTTCTGGTTTTTAAAATAGATAATTGATGCCTAAATGTTCACTCTTTTTTATTATAATTTTTGTTGCTATTTAAACAGTGGTTGTACATGTTATAGATGCTTTTATGTCTGATATACCTCACACTGAGACATTGAGAAACACATGTACAAACACACACAGAGTCTAATGGAAAAGCTGTACTGAACAGAGTAAGTGACTTTCTGGAGCCTACCTACTGAGCCGTAGTCAAGTCTCACGTCCAAATCACAAATTTTCCTGCTTGAGCACAAATCAGCCTCATCCTACAGAGGACAACTCTTAACACATGAGACCTACCTAAAATGGAGTCTTTTCTGCAACAGTTTTGATGATAAAAATGTCATGATCAAGAACCTAATAATTTTTTAATTATTATTTTTAATTATTATGGATACCTAAAAGTTGTACATAATTATAGGGATACATGTGATAATTTGATACAAGCATGCCATGTATAATGATCAAGTCAAGATAGCTGGGATATCCATCACCTCAAGCATCTATCATTTCTTTGTGTTAGGAACATTTCAATTCCTAACACAGAGTCTTACTTACAGTTGGTTGAATCCCTCAGTAACTGAATAATATATATTTAATATTCAAATATTGTATATATTTGAATAACTCAGTTATTTTGAAATATACAATAAATTATTATTAACTAAATGACACAAATATTTCTCATATTTGGATGGAATAAATGTCATGACTTTTACAAGCAATACTGACAACAGGCCTGACTTTGCCCTTGTGCTACAACGTGTAGCTAGACAGAAAAAAAACAGAAATAGAAACTCCATTGGAAAACCAGATTATGAAAATGCAGGCAAATTCAAGAGTTCTAGAAAAGACTTCACACACAGAAAAAAACATAAGTTGGGAGACATTTGAAGAGCATTAGAACTAAGACTTATCTTAGTGACTGAAGGCAGAATCCATTAACAAGCTTTAAGCACAAACAGTAACTTGCAGGGTATGGGGGAGGAGGCAATCATTACTATGTGTAAGGATGTTTCAGTTTTAAAAACATTTTGATCTTCAAATCTTTGCAAAATTGATATATATTTAGCCTTATTTTACAGAAAGGAAAACTTATATTAAAATATATTAGAAATCCTTTTACAAAAACTATTCAATAAAACGTCTATCCTTCAATATTTATCAGTACAAACATGGTTAAGAGTCAGAGTCACTGAACTGCAATGGGCTGAATTTCAAGCATTAAACATTTAATACCTTATTTTTATTCATACATATTTTGCCCTAATTTCTAAATATAGTTGAGAAATTTACTTTAATTATCTCTGTTCTCCTGTTATTCTCAGCCCCATGCTACTCCATGTTGTGAAATTTATAATGAGAAGGAAAGCTAATAAAACATGTGGGCTCAGAAGCTGAAATCAAATTCAAGATGTTAAACTAGTTTAAAAAAAAAAACAACAAAGTTTTAGAGGATTTGGGTTGGCTTTAATTTTAGGATGTTTTAAAATAAATTTCTCCTCTTACTAGAATCAAAACATAGAACCATATCAAGGTAACAGAGTCAAAGCTGATCCAATAAGTGTTGCAGCTCCGTGAAGGTCAATAAATAAGAAATCTCATTGCCTTTACATGGTACACCATGGCCAACTGGAATTAGAATGTCCTGGAAAGATATGCTCTATTATACATATTTTTTCTGTTTTTGAGACAGGATCTTACTCCATCAACGAGGCTGGAGTGCACTGGTGCAATCACGGCTCACTGCAGCCTCAGGCTCCTGGGCTCAGGTGATCCTCCCACCTCAGCCTCCCGGGTAGCTGGGACTACAGGTGCATGGCACCATGCCCAGCTAATTTTTTGTATTTTTGGTAGAGATGGGGTCTCGTCATGTTACCGAGGCTGGTTTTGAACTCCTAGGCTCAAACTATCCACCCACCTCAGCCTCCCAAAGTGCTGGGATTACAGGCATAAGCCACTGCACCCAGCCTATTATACAAATTCTAAATGAAATTTTTTAGGCTACTTTACCTGAAAAGCATCTTCATGCCAAGTTTATAGTTTCTTATTGGGCATAATCTTTTTCAGTTTCTGTTTATATGCAGATCTTACAAATTCATGAAATTAATGGGCTAGATTCCACCCCTGAGGCATATGATAAAACACTCTCTTACCTAGAGGAGAGTGGGTTAACATGAATTTATTCTGCCACAGTAAGTAACCCCAAATATGCACATGGGCAGGGTCATTTTTTTAATATTATATTTTCTCAAGTATATTTCCCTATTTGACATTCAAACTCCCCCACGCCCCACCCACTTTCAGTCAGCTAGGCTACCTCTGTAGGATTGCCTCAGAAGAGAAGCATGTTAAGGCAAATAGGAAAATGGGAAGAACTTGAAACTTAGGCCAAATTTTTGAAAAAGCGAAGATTACAGAGAGTGAGACTTACCTTTGAGTCTACAAAATGTGCACCCAGGGAAGAGTTTGGAAGAAAGTAATGGAAAAGGAGGCAATGGAAACAAAGATATTGGAGAGGTTGGGGGATGGAGAAATTTCTAGAGTAAAGGGCTCCATGGAACGACATATTCAAACAACTAGAAGTTGTGCAAAAAAAAGTTGATCTATGCTTGCAGCCTCTACTTAGGTAAGTGTGAACATAAATAACTGACATCATCAGTCTTCAGTTAGGACTTCCTTCTGACAACAGCCAGTGCTTCTTCAGGGAGACCACCAGCAGGAGGAATGCCCTCTGTGAACTGAGTCTTCAACCAGTTCCTATTGAACGTATTCCATACAGACAAATGCTTTACTACATGCCAGAACAAGAGGAAGTGAACGAGAAAGAAGGCGGGTGGTACAAGACACACAGTATCTGGTGAAGGAGCAGGTAAAGAAAGTACCATTAGATACTTAGCTGGTATTGACAGGGTGTAGAAAAAGTAAGTTCCATTCTCCCTCAACAAAAACTCCTATGACCACTACATCTCCTTTCCAGCCAAGCTGTGCCAAGGAAAATAAAATGTTATGACAATACTTACCATGCTTGTGAGAAAAAGATATTCTCATACCTCACCTCATTCATCTTTACAAAGTCTGCAAGATAGGCAGGTCAAGTTCTATTGATATCCCCAATTTACAAATGAGTAAAACTTGGGCTCCGTGATTATGTAATTTACCCAAGAGCACCGAGGCAGAAGGACGTAGCTGAATCAGGATGCATCTGGTACCAGAAGTGCTTTCATTCTCTGTGGTTCTATCATTTGTTCACTACTGCTTTGGCCCTACACAAAGGTAAAATAGACAGTCACCTATGGCTTAAGAGGCACTGACAGGCTCACCCTCCCAAAATGTTTCTCCCCAGAACTTCATCAATTCCAGAATAC
The DNA here is from genome assembly GCF_000001405.40 of Homo sapiens. NCBI lineage: Eukaryota > Metazoa > Chordata > Mammalia > Primates > Hominidae > Homo > Homo sapiens. Next base: position 79,459,450 of record NC_000008.11, read on the forward strand.
CTGCCTTAGAGACATTCCTCTAAATTCAGGCAAGGTCTTCAGTTGTTCCTTGGCAAAATGATACCACCCATCAACCCATTCATTCAACACAGCCTCTATGAACTGAGACTTCCATGGGACAGCACTACAGCTAGAGAAATTTAAATGAGAGAATGGGCAATGTGCCTACTAGGAAGTAGGGGCTCAATAAATGTAATTTTTTCCTCATTGAAAAAAAATTCAGAAACCCCCCATAACATGTTTTTGATCCCATAATATAATTTATTAGCTTTCCAAAGAATACACAAATAAATAAAATAGCTATGAAGAATGTAATTTTTGTAAGTCTAACAGTAAAACCAAATTTCAGAAAAACTTTGTAAATCTCAAGAAATCTGAGTCATTCTGAAAATAGTGAGCATCTGAAACCAATATCATAAAGGAAAACAGTTTGGTAACTTCAACTCTCCTATCAGCGGTAAAATACTAAAATTTACTTTCACTGAAATCACTAAAGTTATCAGGTCCCCTAGCTTTGTGGCATATAAGCATAAAGAATAATACACCCTGGGAATATGTAAAAACCTAGATTAATATTGAATGAACAGCAAAGGATAAACAGGACTTTCTGCCCTGCTCTCGCTAAAGACAAACACAAACAGTAAGATGAGAAGGAGACATGAATCAAACCAATGAATGCACGCATTGCTTACTGTAATACCAACAGGGCTTTTAAAATGTCAAAAGAAAAGTATACTTTAATAAAAATACATAAAAACTGTGCTGAAAAATTAATGTAGCACACTGTGCAAATAATCCCCTACATGAATAGAAAATTGAGATTAACTTCATGCATCAGTAAACTTCAGGTGACAAATCACTGTGGCAATTTCTCTCCCTCCTTCAAATATCATTAGAGGTCTTTGGGGGATAGTTGATACATAATGGGGGTCAAAAATTTTAACTTGCACAACTTGGATATGCAGAGAAAATGTTATTTTGTTTGTTTAGAGTTTTTCTCATGAGTCCTCCTTCTCTGGTTAAAGGGAACATTTTTAATGGATATCTAACCCAGTTTAAGGCTAGTCTGACTTAATTAATTTAAATAGTCCTTTCAGGCAATATTCAGTCTTTCCTGCTGGAGAAAGAATCTCAGTCTCTCAGATTTCCTCTGCCTCCTCCTACTTATCTCTGAAAGAAGGCAATTGAGTGTATGAGTGGCAAGAAGAGTGTGAATGAATAGACACAGTAACCTTGAGCATGGTGTTCTAATCTCCTAGATGATGTTGTCTTGTTCATCTGGCTGCTATATTTGTGGCTGAAGTCTGCAGTTGGTCTCTTTCTCTCTCCCATCTTGGTCACAGCCCATTGTCCTCCCTGAACAATTTGGTCTCACTTTGATGCCTGCTGGCTCCAAAACCCTGAAATCCCCTGCTAGCCTCTACTATTTACACCTCAGCAGACACCAAAGCAGCCTCCGAGACTCTGCACCCAAATTCCTTGGGACCTGAGAGTGGCTCAGAAATGCTAACCCTAGAGTCCTTTGGCTCCTTAAAAGCTCTGCACTGTGAAGAGAATGAAAGTATGTTTTATACAGGAAAAGTTAGGGAGGTTCTCTCTTTGCAGAGCCCCAAAAGGGGGTCAGGAACTAGAGCCTCCTCCTTTTGCCTCCCTCACAATGCACATCCTGAGTCTACTCTCCCCAGTCCAGAGAGAGGAAATGCAGGCACTCATCCCATCAATGTGCTTCTTCTCTCTCTCTCTCTGGCCCCTTCCCGTCATCATTTCTAATGGCTAGAAAAGAGGTGGGCCTTGTTTTTACTTCTATATGCTGTCTATCTCAGACACATGGCTTTGCTGTCATGGATGGAAGGGTAACTTCTCTGCTGTGGGATCCTCTGGGTTTAATATCTGGTATGTTAGAGGAGGGAGTAGAAAGGATTTGGAAAATCATCTCTCAAGATCATAGTCTGGTTTATAATGTTTTATTTTGCTTTAATCCTGTTTTTTTATGTCAGATGTTACATATCTCTGCTTCTTTCCTTCGTCATTCTTTATAATAAATTCTCCTCCTCCTTCAGGCAGATGGCTGTATCAGGTTAACTGGAGCAAATGTCATGGAGCCTAAAAGGTAAAAAGGCACATTAGTAATTTCAAAAATTGTACCACTCATCCCCTTGTTCCTATATATGCCCGGCTGTTCCCAAAGTAATCATTACATATTAACTTGGTATAGAGGATGATATGTTTTGCTCTGTTTCCCCACCCAGATCTCACCTTGAATTGTAATAATCCCCATACACCAAGGGTGGGAACAGGTGGAGATAATGAATCATGGGGGCAGTTTCCACCAGGCTGTTTTCTTGATAGTGAGTGAGTTCTCACAAGATCTGATGGTTTTATAAGGGTCTTTCCCCTTCCCTCCACACTCATTCTGTCTCCTGCTGCCCTGTGAAGAGATACCTTCTGCCATGATTGTAAGTTTCCTGACGTCTCCCCAGCCATGCAGAACTGTGAGTCAATTAAACCTCTTTCCTTTATAAATTACCCAGTCTTGGATATTTCTTCATAGCAACATGACAATGGACTAATAGAGATGGGTATGCAAAGTTCTCACTTCATATAAACATTCCATTACATAGGATTTCTCAGAACATGAGTTTCTTTTTGTTGTTTGTTTCTAACATATGAAGTCTAGGGTAGATTATTTTGGTGATCATTATTTCTCCGGTATTACCATAAAGAAAAACAAGTTCCTAACTTCATGGCAAATGTGATAACTGTGTGGTAACAAATATTAACAGGTTTTACAGATGATTAGAGTAAATGGAAATGTTGGTAAATAAAATGTTGGTATGGAAAGGGTGTGTATCAGGGACAGCATAGCTGCCTTTGAAAGGTGTAAATGGTTTAGAAGTGGAAGCCACATTTGCTCCATATGACTGCAAGGAGCAAAATTAAGATCAAGGGAAGAGAAAAACAGAAAAAACAGCTTTCTAAATATCAAAGCCAACTAAATGTGGAATTGGTTGATGCCTTGAGAGCCAGTGTTTATACCATAACTGGGGTTATTCAAGCTGGGCCAGGTGACCACATAGTAAGGATATCATGTTGATTATTTAAGGATGTTAAGCTTGCTTCCAACACCCAGGGATTCTGTGCTTCTTAGCGTCTTTAAAGCTGAGACCACAGAAGATAAAAGATAAAGAACCAAAGAAACATGAATACTGCTGGCAGGAAAATTGGCCATGGCCATTCTTTGATGATAATCACTGAGTCATTGACTAGGAAAAAGTCAAAATTAGCTATTTATGACAGAATAGAGTCTAAATCACAGCTTACGACAAAATTGGTGAAAGCAAAGCCATAGAAGGAAAACCATCAGGTTTCAGCAAAAAAGTATCACAAAGAATTAAAGAAAGTGAAAACCACTGATTTCCTGATTTGGTGGAACATGACAGAAAGCATCATTGACAAGAATTCTGAAAATAGGGAAAGAAAAGGTGTAAGGTATAAAGTTATAATGGTGGTGGTGGTGTTAAATTTAAGATGATGCCCACTTTGGAAGATTTACACTATTTTAGTGAGTCCCAAGCAATCTCAGATTACACCTTTTGATTCTTTCTTTTTCTTCTTTAGAGTTCTGCCAGGAGTGATAACAGTAGACAGGAGAGGCAGATCGCTGATAACTGTTAACAGGTTGTTAGCTAATAAGAGTAGACAGGCGTTGGAAGGAAGTGTGGAAGGAGAGGACGATTTAAAGGATGTAAATAGGATGCTGCATCACTGGTCATCTTGTCACAATGTCATGATCTACAAGCCACATTTGTCAGGTCAGTAGGATTGGCTAGTGCTGGATGACGCAGGGATGTCTCTGAGTGGAAGTCAGAAGATAGGAATGAAGGCAGCATGCATTGAGCAAGTACTAAGTGCCAGCCACTGTGAGAAGCATTTTTCCTACTGTCAACTCTTTAGTTCTTCACTTCTACCCTAATAGGAAAGTATAACTATCCTCTTTTCATAGTTAATGAAAATGAAACTAAAGCTCAGAGAGACTCTTCTAGGTCACACCATTAGTAATTGGTTTCTGGTATTTTAAATCCCAAAGCTCATGGTCTTTCCTTTATCTCACATTAGCAAAATGTACTCAAGCATGAGCAGATAGAGATAAGTGACAAGTGATGCCAGAGACAGGAATCAGGTGGTAAAAATAAATCAAGCTGGAATGGATTAAAAACAATGAGGCAGATGGGGGGAGATATGTGAGGGAGACTGGAGGTGTCTAAGATTCACAGCCAAACAGTTCATTTGAACTAAGCCAGAAACTCAGAAGCCAGAAAGATCAAACATGGAAGAAGGTGAGGGAGTAAAAAAGCAAGGATTTTCTCAAAAAAGAACTCCAGATAAAAGCTCTGACACATTTGGGTGCTACTTCTACAGTCATGTCTTTAATTCTTCATTCTTCTTTATTAGGGCTTTTCATCTCCTGAATGCAGGGTAAGAGAGAGCCTTTGACTTCCTCACATCAGTCTTCATTCTTACTTCATCAGCACTGTTGCCCGTGATTATGAGCTATCCAAGGTCAAGCTGCATCAAGAGGCAAGAACTGAAATTAAAAGACTCATAGATTTTAGAAAGGGATCACCATCCTCTTTCTTGTTCTCAAACAACTCAGGATTCATTTCTCCATAGAATCCATGATCTTCCTCACAGTGAGTGATCCACAACTCATTGGTATCATCTGAACAAAAATAAAGAAGGGAAATACACAAAGTGATCATGAAAGGATTACCATCTGTTTGCATCAGGGTTCTCCACGCAAACTGATAGAATAGAGAGAACAAGAGAGATAAGAGGGTATTTATTAGTGGAATTGGCTCACTCATTATGGATGCTGAGAAGTCCCATAACAGGCCATCTGTAAGCTGGAGAACCAGGGAAGCTGATAGCATGTCTCAGTCCGAGTTAAAGGCCTCCAGTCAAGGAAGCCAATGGTGAACTTCAGTCTGAGGCTGAAGGCCTGAGAACCCAGGCACCACTGGTGCAAATCCAGGAATTCAAAGACTGGAGAACCTGGAGTTCTGATGTTCAGGAGCAGGAGAAGGGTGAGAGGGGGCAAATGTGCCTTTCCTCTGCTTTTTTGTTCTGTCCAGGCCCCCAGCCAGTTGTATAGTGCCCACTCATGATGAGGGTGGATCTTCCACTGGATGAAGCAGGTCATCCTCACTGACTCACACAACAATCTCCTCTTGAAACACCCTCACATGCACACCTTGGGCAGACCAATTGTTCTAATCAAAGGCAAAACCTCCTGGCTTTTCCTTTCAGTAGAAGAGGGGCAGGCTCAGTGCCCAGTGAAGCATTGAGAAGAAATAGTGCTTTACCAGCTGAGTATTCCTTAGTCCAGTCGAGTTGACACCTACAATCAACCATCATACCATCTTACAGGCTGCAGCACTGCATGATCAAATTTAGTAATTTTTGTTGACTCTAAGCTCTATTTGCATTTAGACAAAGGCCCTAGTTTAATCATTTTCCAACTGAAATTGTGAAAGAAAAGTCTCAAAACTAAACAAGTCAAAGGATGTGCTATGTAAGATGCTCTCAAAGAATATGATAATTGCCACAAATAGAATGTCCTATAATTATGTTCTCAGAAATAGGTCTATTCAAAGAAGTCATTCATACATGTGATTATGCTTGACAGCTAAGTGGCATAGGCATTAGCAAGGTTGTCAATGTGCAAACGCTATTTCTACTAGGCCATATAATTTATCAAGTGGAATTAAACATCTCAAAGGAATCAACTTATCTTATTTCCCTAATGCATAGCAAATATCAGTGTATCCATACATTTGATATAGTTTCTTCCTTTATCGCAGTACATTGCTCCTAATAATTAGACCCATTGTTTTTTTTTTTTGGATTTTGTTTTTAAGGGTGAAATTTTTCATGGTTACTAGATCCTGTTATAATACAGGTAAAACTCATTGAAAAGATTTGTATTACTTGGAGGAGGACTAATACCCACTAGAAACTGCTTTGATTCTCCAGGGAATTAAAATATGGTGTATCCTCAGACATGCAATGAACATGCTCCTCGCACTTTCTCAAGGTCAAACTAACTCCTATGCAAACATCTAAGGGCAGCCACATGTATAAATACACATACACACACTTTTCCTCTCTCTCTCTCAGAGGAAATCCAGAGCATCTTTCACTAGGTATCTACTATACCTTAATAGCATATGACTGAGATATAAAATTACCATTGTATAAGACCTTTTACAGCCATCATTCTAAGCTTCAGGATAATGGCCCTGTGGCATATTCATGCAGATTTTACCTCTGCTGGCTTTTTTAAAATGACTCTGTCAAAGCATAACATGTGGCTTCCATAACTGAATGTTATTTACATCAGAATGAAAAGGGGCTGTGTAACCATCACAATGCTTGAAGTTCATGATTTCTGCACTACCAACTAAAGAATAATTTTTCTGTTTCCAGGAAAGCCATTTCCTGGTTTGCCCTGCATTTGATTAGCAATCTCACTCAGGGTGAGCAGAGCCAAGGAGCATTCAGTGTGCCCAACCCCTTTCAGCCCTCAAAAGCAAGAGGAAGAAAGAAGGCTGGAGCTTGGTCTTGGCAATATCTACATCCCACTCCCACAGAGATGCAGGGACCTCTTGGTAAGTGCTTGCCTGGCACGGAAGAGCTTTAAGGCATGAAAATGGGGATCGCTGCATAGCTGAAGGAATAGAATAGAATCTTTGAAGTAGTATGGCACGATATAGTGACTATTTCTAAATGAACATAAAAGAAAATTTCATATAAGGCCATAGATGCCACCCTCCAAGAATTCCAGGCTCAACTTAAGGAGCCCACAGGCCCACACACAAGGAAAGCTGATTTTTAAAAAACCTGAAAAATCTTTAAAAAGCAACTCTCTCAGAGTGATAGGGGGCCCTGTACCTTCCAGGACGAATCCAATTCACCTAGAATTTGGATATTACTCAAAGATAGTGTGAAAGGAAAGTAAATCTTGGGACTCCAAAATCACTAAGCTAAAGGGAAAAGTCAAGCTGGGAAAACCTGCCCCTATTCTATTCAAAGTCACCCCTCTGCTCACTGAGATAAATGCATATCTGACTGCCTCCTTTGGAGAGGCTAATCAGAAACTCAAAGGAAGGCAACCATTTGTCTCTTATCCATCTATGACCTGGAAGCCTCCTCCTGCTTTGATTTGTCCCACCTTTCCAGATTGAACCAATGTTCATCTTACATATAATGATTGATGTCTCATGTCTCCCTAAAATGTATGAAACCAAACTGTGCTCTGACCACCTTGGGCACATGTCATCAGGACCTCCTGAGGCTGTGTCAGGGGTGCGCTTGTTCAACCTTGGCAAAATTAACTTTCTAAATTAACTTGACCTCTCTCAGATATTCGGGGTTCACAATAGGAACCGCAACTTCCAAATATCCATTAGTATGCCACAGCAAATCAAAAAGATTTACTTGTTTCAGGACTTGGTTGGAGCAGCCTCCTTGCATCATCCATTATGCCTGCCTCTGTCTCCATCTTAGTTTCACTTGACAAGTGTTTATGGAACACCCTCTGTGTCCCTGTGTCAGTGCTAGGCATTATGAGAACACCTCAGATGAATAAAACTTGGTTCTGGCTTCAAAGAGCAAGAGGCCTAGTAAGAGAGACAATCCTGGAAAGAAGCAATCTAATCCAGTCTAGCAATAGAGAGGTATGTTTTTGTAACTGCTTATAGTGCAATGAGTAGTAGCTTGATTGCATGGGAAAGGCAATCAACTTGAAGTTAAGGAGATCAGATTCTGTGTTCCATCATATCTCAATGCCTGATGTCTATTTAGGGAAAATCACTAATGTCTCTGTTTCTGTTTCTTTTTCTCTACAATGAGAATGATCATGCCTACCTTTCCCCTTCCCAGTGTTGTTTTGGGATCGAATGAAATGTATTGAAAGAGCCTTTAGAGAATGGATGGTCTCTAATGATGGTTAATTTTATGTGTCAACTTGCCTAGGTTATGGAATATCCACAGAAACATTATTTCTGGGCGTGTGGATAAGCGTGTTTTCAGAAGAGATTAGCATTTGAATTGTGGACTCAGTAAAGAAAATTGCCCTACCCAATGTCAGTGGGCATCATCCAATCCCTGAGGGCAGGAATAGAACAAAAGGCAGAGGAAGAAGGAATTTGACTCTTTTTTCCTGCTTTGCTGCTTAAACTGGAACATCATATTTCATCTCCTCCCTTCAGACTTGAATTTACACTATCAGTTCCTCTGGTTTTCAGGCCTTTTGACTCCAACTGAACTACACCACCAGCTTTCCTATGTCTCCAGCTTGCAGATGGCAATCATGGGACTTCTAAGCCTCCATAATCACATGAGTCAATTCCTCATACTAAATTATCTACCTAGATGGAGAGATGGGTAGATGATAGACTAGACAGATAGATGATAGAATAGATACAGATGATATAGATACAGATATATAGAGAGTCATTAGTTGCTTAACACCAGGGATACATTCTGAGAAATGTGAACATCATGGAGTGTACTTCTACAAACCTAAATGGCATAGCCTGTCACTCAACTAGGCTATATGGTCTAGCCTATTGCTCCAAACTTACAAATTTGTACAGCATATACCTATACTGAATATTGTTGGCAATTATAACATAATATTAAGTACTTGTATATCTAAATCTCCCTAAACATAGAAAAGACACAGTAAAAATATAATTTTAAAGATTAAAAAATGATGTGCTTTCACTTACCATGAAGGGATCTTGCAGGACTGAAGTGGCTCTGAGTGAGTCAGTGAGTTGTGAGTGAATATGAAGGCCTTGGATATTACAGTACACTTTTATGTGATTGTGGGGCAGTAGGCATGTTTACATCAGCATCACCACAAACAAGTAAGTAATGCATTGCACTAAGACATTATGACAGTAACAATATCACCAAGTGATAGGAATTTTCCAGTTCTATTATAATCTTATAGGACCACTGTCATAGATGCAGAATATTGTTGGCCAAAACGTTGTTGTGCAGTGCATGACTGTAGATATAGATATATAGATATAGTTGTAGCTGTAGATATAGATATATAGGTTTCCTATTGGTTCTGTTTCTCTATAGAATACAATGACTGACTAATACAATGGTGTTTCATAGGTCTGATAGCTAATAACAATACTGGTGAGCTACGGGAGGTCCCCAAACGCCTGTGGGAACTTGACCTAGGCTGGTGTTCCAGTTCTTGACACTATTGTGAGAAAGAATTCAAAGACAAGTCAGAGGAAAGTGAAAGTGTGGATATTTATTGCAAACTGCAAGTACACACTCAAGAAAAGGGAGTGTGGGTGTACTCAAGAAAGTGAGTTGCATCCAATAGAGTCTGAGGCTTCTACCTTTATGGGTTTCTTTAACCAAGGGGTGGAATATTCACGAAGATTTCTGGAAAAAGTTGAAGATACCTTGGAACTGAGGTGTCACCCATTTTTACACCAAATATGGATGTTTCTGGAACTGTTATGGCACTGGAGGATGTGTGATTTAGTATGTTAATAAGCAGATATTAAGTCCTAGGTAAAACCTAGGTCAAATCCAGCACCATGTTGAGTCCAGTTGGTCATAGTCAGCTTGGTCTATATCTTGTTTTTCAGGGTCTTATCAGCCTTTAGCTTATGCAGCTGTTTCAACAGTTTCCTTTCTGTTAGTCACATGAAACTGCTGCCTGGAATTCTCTATTCTCCTACAACCACCCTGTATTATTCCTGTCTCAATAAGAGCTAACATTAATTAAGCAGTCTGTGCCAAGCACTGTGTTAAGTAATGTAAACCTTTTTTAAATCCTCATGCTATTAATGTCTCACTTTGGGTAGATAGGAAAACTTATCTACTCAGGAACATGCCTCAGATGACACACTCACTCCTCACCACTCTGTGACAATGTTAATTCTCCAACATTTACAATCTCAGTGACTTTAAACTACTCCTTTAACCCCTTGGATCCAAATTTTCTCATAAGTAAAACAAATATGATCTCAAACAAATTTCTTAGGCCAAATACTATTAAATGCTGCAGTAGAAATAAAAGCTGTTTGGGGAGCACAAAGGAGGAAAAATCATTAATACATTATAGTCAGGAGTTTGTCATTGTGATATGCAACCCAAGTCATTACCCAACTTTTTGGTGTGCTTGCTTTGTCAGCTTATCCTTCTGTGTTTTTATTAACACTGTTAGTCCTACTGACAACTATTCCCTAGACTCATAAATGTTTGTCAAGTTTTTTGAATGGATAAATGAATCTTGTCTGATAACCTGGGACAATTTTGGTCTTCTTTTTTCTTCTGATTACTTCGTAACATTCCCAGACTTTTGGACAAAGTTGCTGCCGTTTGAATGTGTCCCCAAAAAGCATGTGTTTGTAACTTAATCCCCAAAGCAACAGTGTTGAAAGGTGGGGCCCAATGGGAGGTGCTTAGGTCATGGAGGCTCCACCCTCATTAATGGATTAATACTGATCATAAAAGGGCTTGAGGCTATGAGTTCAATCTCCTGCTTGTTCTCACTCTCCTGCTCTTTCACCTTCCACACTGAGACGATGCCTTATGAAGGTCCTTGCCAGATGCCAGCACCATGTTCTTGGACCACCCAGCCTCCAGTACTGTGAGCCAAATAAGTTTCTGTTCATTGTATATTACCCAGCCTCAGGCGTTCTGTTATAGCAGCACAAAACAGACTAAGACACAAGCCAAATCCCCTGTTATATATACCCATAACTTCTCTTGTACATTATTGTGATTGCCTGTAGAAGTCTGTTTTCTCCAGCAGATTTTAAGCTCACATCTGTTTTATTTACCACTGTGTCTCCAATGCCTATCTCATAGCAGGTTATCATTAAATATTTAAAAAACAATAAATGACTGCATATATTTTCTAAAGCCTGTCTTTTTAATGACCTAGGTTTTGGCCATCCGAAAATAAATTTTACAACTAAAACCCTTACTGACCTGATATTGCTGCTCTGTTTAAGATAAAACAGCGTGCTTGAATTCAATATTTGTAAATATCAAAAGATGACATATGCACTATCCTTGCTAAATAAAATTCATGTGAGGCCATGATTTTGGACTAAACTCCTGCACTAGGCCCCAACAGACCAGGCCAAACAAGAATGAGTGATGAAACTGAACTTTGAAACAGGCGAGTTTTCCAGAAAAGAAGAGATTCACAGCCACCAATCAGAAGGGGCCCAGTTTACCCAAGCCAGCACGCAATGAAAGTTCCCTCTGTTTTAACCATATAAGGAAAGTAGCTTTGAAGGGACCAATCTGCTTTTTGTTCCCTGTTTCTGCTTTCTTCAGTACTTTTCTGCCTTTAAAGCCAATCTCTTAGGCTCAGTGCAGTGGAACACCCATTCTATTTTATAGAAAGAAATGTTGCCTGATCTCAAATCACAAATAAAAGCCAATTAGATCTTTGAACTAAATTTGTTTGTAAGTTTGCTTTTCAACATGGTTTTAAGATATGTTTTCATAAAAAAATAGAGATGCACGCACAAGCATAAAACTGAGATAAGGATGGTGTCTTTGTTTTGTATTGCTATAAAGGCTGGTAATTTATTAAGGAAAAATGTTTATTTGGCTCACAGTTTTGATGGCTGGAACATTCACAATTAGGAATCTGAATCTGGTGAGGATCTCAGGCAGCTTCCACTCATGGCAAAAGGTGAAGGACAGCCAGCTGTCCAGAGATCACACAGTGAGAAAAGAAGCAAGAGAGATAAGAGATACGGGGGAGAGGTGCCAGGCTTTCTTTAATAACAGCTTTCTTGGGAACTACTAGAGAGAGAATTCACTCATGCCCCCACTCCAGGGAAGGCATTAATCTATTTATGAGGGATCCACCCTCATGACCCAAACAACTCCCATTTGGCCCCACCTCCAACACTGGAGATCAAATTTCAACATACAATTTGGTGGGGACAAACAAACCATATTCAAACTATAGCAGATGGTTTCTAAAAACTGCCTCAAAGTTGCATCCTAACGATGAATCATATTTAGTCCAACCATCTACAGATTCTATTTCAATATCTTGGTCCTAGATACTCTGAGAAACACTACTAGAATCTAAAATATGAAAGAGAATAAATGAAATACAGTTTTGCTTTCTAATGCAGGAGAGAGAAAGAGACATTTCAGAAAGATTTCTAAATGTTTTCATCTTTTCAGTTTACCTTTGAGTTAAGCAGAATGAATCTGAACATACTTCAGGTAATTCCCAAGCTTGATGCTTTTCAAGCCAAATAGCATTAAACATTTGAATCATAAAACCAGCTTCCCTTTATCTCATTCCTTGCCTACTGTATCATTCAAGGTTCAACTAGGAAAACAAAAAACATTACCAGGTATTTAAAATACAAGAAATGCAATGCAGGAATTGGTCACACAGCTGGAATTGCTAGAAGTCAAGGAGGAGTTAGGAGGCAACCCCAAGGATTTGCAACTGCAAGGAACCACGGACACCTCTGGGCTAAAGGGAAGAGGGAGTATTACTGGACCCTCATGGCTAGGGCACTTGATGGAAGCTAGAACCAGGCAGGAGACTCAGCCAACACCAAAGAAGCCACCTGACCCAGAGACAGATTATGAAACACACTCTATTTTTTTGTCCTCCTGTCTTAATCTAAGGAGCACAGATTCCAGGAGTCAGCTCCCCTGCCACAGAGAGAAGACGTAGAGAAAAGCAAGTAACCAACATGAGAGCAAACAGGCCCAGCACCTATCAGCACTTACCTTATTGATTCGGGAAACTATATAGATAAGCAGATCATCAGTAGGCTGATGATATAGTTTCCTGAGTCAATAAGGCAAATATCTGATCATTTTGATAGCTGATTCTCATTAAGGATTAATAAATTGACATTCTGATTTAAAATATTTTGTTGTTGGTAAGAAATCTCTTCTAAAGCTGTTGTTCTTAAGTTCTATTATTTTATATTCATTTCATATTTAAAGTTTCTGTTTCAAAAGATAACAGTAACCTATACATTTTTGTGAAAGACATGTCATTTTTTAAAAAAATCCATTCAGTATTAAGGATTATTCACAATAATAGGTAAAAGCTAAAGAACTTGGTATTTCTTGCCAGTTTGCTCATTCAAAGTGGGAAGTGTGAGTAAAGCTAAGATCTAAGGAAAAAAATAAACAAAGAAGATGCATAATAATATTCAAAGGACTAGAATGCTGCTAAATTTTCTGACAAATTTTTTGTGCCAAGTAATAATCATTTTGGAAAACAAAAACCTTTCTTAAGGCATGCCTAAAATCACTGTTGTCAAAAAAGTCTCACAGGAATTTAAATCACTTGTTTATTCAGAAAACACATCTTGGAATGTACAACATGCACCAGATCAGCCCAGCTCACATTAAATATTCATTTTGATTGACTACTTCAATCACTCTACTATAAATCCCTGACTTGCTCATGGCCATATTTCTTTGTTCTATGACCTCATGAGATCATATAAGTAAAATAACTGCCAAGTGTAGCCATCATTGTTTGAATAGAGTCTTCTCGACTTCTGGTAAGTCATGGTACAAGGACTTGTTTCTAAAGGGTGTGTGAGTCAACTTTCTGTAATTTCAGTGCTTTGTCCTTTCCCACTACAGCTGATATTTCCAATCTCAAGGTTCATTTTCTTTTTAAATCACCAGAGTTTAGATCGTCATTAAAATCACCAGGAAGCCAGTTTAGACACTCCCACTTTTAATTCTGCGGAAGCAGGCTGCCTTGTGAGGTGTGTGGAATCAGAGTCTTAAACCACTAATGCCCATTAAGAATCCTCTGGCAATTTTCTCATGATTAGGAATGGCCATAGAACTGGGGAAATTGCATTCTTACTCCCTCTACCACCTCTGCAATTTTAAATGTGTTAGATCTTTTCTGCTTTTCCTACTCTAAAAAGGTAAATTAAGTAGTTCAGTTGTTCTGCCTGTATTTCTAACCAGGAGGACAGAGTTAGAAAGGAAAGAGTCTCATCTATTCAGCATAGTCCTTAGACATCGCCTGTCCCTAACTCGCCAAGCCAAGGAGCAATGTGTAACTCCTTAGGAATATTTAACCCACTTCCCTCAGAAATTTTGAATACCTAATGAGGTCAGGGACAAATCAGCTTATTTCTAAAATGTCCAAAGATGCCCCCAATAATGCAGTTTTATTATTTAATGTACCTCTAAACAGAACCAAAGATGATAAATGGATGCCACAGAATGGGAAAGCAGTCAAGGTCAATGAAACGTCAACCTAGAGACAAGTTTTAAAATGCCAGTCAGCCCAGGTGAGGAAGAGAAAATAGAATTGGGAGGAAAAATAAAATTTTTTACCTAGAAGTTAATAAAGATGTGAAGTATTTATTTCTACTATCAGCTTCAGAACAATCACTAAAAATTTAAATAAAACTGCTGCCATTTTCCTACTTTTGAAAAAGAACAAATGCGGACTTACTTTATGGTTGCTGTTTGATATCTTCATTGTGATATCAAGCAACGCTAAATTGCTTGAAACTAAGTAGTTTTAGAAAAGTCAAAAAGCAAGGTATAAAACTGAGAAAAATTTCAGCTCTCATACTTTTGTTTATATTTTATGCTACCTGAAATGTCATTTACCAGCAATACCTTGCCCTAAATTTTCAATTAGAAATGGCCCAAATTGCATCATCTTATAATTTTTTTCTTATTTTAAATGTCAGATCTTCTCAATATTTTCTGACTTCGCTATACATAATATAACATAACTATAGCCCTATACACATGCCATTTTTAAATATTGTGATAATGCCATCTGCCGTGGTTTGAATGTGTACCTTGCAAAATTCAGGTGTTGCCAAGGTAATGCTATTAAGAAGTGGGGCTTTCGAGAGGGGATTAGGTCATGAGGGCTTCTCCATCATTAGTGATGTTAAGGCTCTTTTAGAAGAGGCTTTGTGCAGCCTTTGGTTAGGTGGCTAGCTTGCTCTTCCACTCTTCTGTCATGTGAGGGCCCAGAGTTCTCTCTTGCCCTTCTTTCCACCATGTGAGGACCCAGCCAGAAACCCTAACCTGCCAGCACCTAAGTCTTAGATTTCTCAGCCCCTAGAACTGTGAGAAATGAATTTCTGGTCTTTATAAACAGAATACCTCAGTTATTCTGTTATAGCTGTGCAAAATGGAATAAGACACCATACTCTATATAAACCAAGCCACAGCAGAATGCAGAGTTATCTTTAATTGGTTGAAAGCTAAATGTGTATTTACTAAAGCTTCCACTTTTGCTGAGGATATAAAGCCACAAGACAACATTATTTCTATGCTAGAACCTGAACAAACTAAATCATCTATAAGATTATAACTTTTCTTAAACCTATCAGATAGATGAGGTTGCAAGACCACAAAGGAAACCAAATTGCAGAGTGAAAAATGGCTCCTGCTTCAAGCCAAGGAGTAACAGATCCAGACTTACCCTCCCACCTGAAACAATTAAAATTACAAAATACAAATTTAAAAATACAAATAAAATTACAAAATACAAAGTTTCCTATACAAAATATATGAAATACTGTTTTTTAAACATCGGACAACAGGCAATGCAGGAGAAAGATCCAGGGGAGAAGGAAAACAGAGTGAGCCCTACAACTGCTGCACCTACTGCCTGAAGACAGTTTCCAGGTCACAGTGCAGAGAGAAGGAAGCTGAGTGGAGCCCAGAATTCTCCCTGAGTTGGGAGTTCAGGTAGCTTGAGGTGGCTGGAGATTCTGGGGCAGAATCCAGATAGGAGGGAACTGTCCATAGAGAGAGTTCCAGAGATCTGCAGAAGGACCCTCCCAGTCTTTAGCTGAATACTAATCAGTGCATTCATGTGAGAAAAGAACTGAAGGCTGAAAAAGAAGCTCCTAAAAGGATTAGCGGAACCAATCCCCAGAGTTTATACTTAGGGTCAGGAATATCTGTGTTCCCACCAGCCAGTGTGGGATACTGGGTACAGCTCTCAGCAGGATACTGCCTTGGTGGCATGACAAAATTACCCCTAAACTAAAGGCTACTCTGTTCTAGCCTAACAGAACTAGAAAGCTTAGAAAGCACCAAATTGTTTCCAGGTTAACTTAACTGCACCCAGAATACACTTTAAGACTATATCTAGGAATAATCAACTAATTAATAAAATATCCAGCAGAAAAAAATACTTAAATAAATAATGGCTAAAATTTTCTTATATTTGATTAAAAATTTATAAACCCAAGACAAAAAAAAAAAAGAAGAAAACATTAGTTGTTGTGATAGGCTGTTATCATTGGTATCCTGTGGTTGTCCTCTCCTGTTTAAGGGGTGACAAACTCTTTTAGATGTTTTTCACAAACTTAATAAATAAAACTGAGCCCTGATGCCACATCAACAAAATACTGTTACTGAAATCACTACTATTTCTTAAGTGGCCAACCAATTTATGCTTACTCCCCACCCCACCTCACCACATGTGCACACATGCACACACACACACACACACAAACAAAACACTAACCTAAACTCTCGAGCACATATAATGATAAAAATCCCTTTGTCCTGAACTTCCTGCTGGCCAGTCTAGGCAGAGTGTATGCAAAAGCCAATACCTCCGGGTGCACCTCGATTAATGGCATATTTGACCAGCTTGGATCTGGATAGAAGCCTGGCTGTGTCTATCCTCCAAGTAGGTCTGGTCATCATACTAGATGTCTTAGTCATACTCAGTCTCATCCACTGTTGCCTAAGACAAACAAAACAGATTTGGTTCAAGTACCTATTGTATTGGCATAGAGATAAGCAATCAGTGGAAACAAAGATAATCTAGAAAATAGATCACACGTATCAATTGGTTTTTGACAAATGTAGCCAGGTATTTCAGTGGGAAAATGATCGTCTTTTCAATGAACTAGTGCCACCTATATGCCTCCAAAAAAGAACATTAACCTTCACCTTACGCCATTACAAAAATCAACTCAAATGTAAACCCTAATATTATAAATCTTCTAGAACTGAACATAATACATCATTGCAATCTTTGGCTGGGTAAACATTTCTTAAGAAAGAAACAATAAAAACCATGAAAGAAAAAAATGATAAACTGAACTTTATTAGTTTTCTTTTTTCTTTTTTTTTTTTGTTTGATATAGCATCTCAGTGGGTCACCCAGACTGGAGTGCAGTGGTGCTATCTCGGCTCACTGCAACCTCTGCCACCCAGGTTCAAGTGATCCTCCCGCCTCAGCCTCCCAAGTAGCTGGAACCACAGGCATGTACCACCACTCCCGGCTACTCTTTGTATTTTTTTGTAGAGATTGGGTTTCACCATGTTGGCCAGGCTGATTTCGAACTCTTGAGCTCAAGTGATCCGCCCACCTCAGCCTCCCAAATTGCTGGGATTACAGGCGTGAGCCACCACACCCAGGCAAACTTCATCAATTTTCTACTTTTCAGAAAATACTAAAGAAAGTAGAAAAGCCATAGTGTGGAAGAAAATATATGCAAAAAAAAAATCTCATAAAGGCCTAGGTCCAACATACATGAAGAATGCCTTCAAAACAATAATAAATGAACAATCTAATTTTTAAAGTATACAAAAGTTTAACAGCAGTTTACCAAAAAAGATATATATATAGAAAATAAGCACACAAAAACGATGCCATACTTAGCCATGTAGAGAAGTGTCTAAGTGCCACAGTGAATGCCTAAAATTTAAAATACTGACAGTAGCAAGTACTGGGGAGGATGTGGAACAGCAAGGATTTTCAAACATTGCTAGTTAGAATGCAAATAGTATAGCCTTTTTGTAATATAATTTGTCACTTTCTAATAAAATCAAATGTAAAATACAATGTGACTCAGAAATCCCACTGTCAAATGAAACATATCTTCACACAAAGACATGTACATGAATGTTTATAGTGACTTTACTCATAGCAGCCAAAAAGTGAAAGCAATCCAAATGTCCATCAACCACTGAGTGGGTAAACCAATTGTGGTATATCAATGTGATAGAATACTACTCAGCATTAAGAAAACTACTGATGAAACAACCACGTATGAATCTCCAGAACATTATACTAAGGGAAAGAAGACAGACGCAAAGGGCTACATGATATATGATTTCATTTACATGTCTTTCTGGAAAAGGTCATACTACAAGAACAAAAAGATCAGTGGTTCCCTGGACTGAGATTGAGAAAAGTTGATTGACCACAAAGCACACTTTGGAAATTTGAAGGTGGGTGGGGGGAGTTATTGTAATATTTTAAATCAAGACTATGGTGGAGGTGACATGATGGTGTACATTGTCCAACTTGTTAACAGTACACATAAACAAGGTGAATTTTACCATTTGTCAATTATACTTCAATAACATAACCAATAAAAACCGATATTATGACCATACCCATTAGAATAGCTAAAACTAAAAAGGCAATACCAACTGTTGACAATGATGTGGAGTAATGGGAACTCTGACAAGTTGCTGGTGAGACTGTAAAACAGACAACCTCTTTTTCACAAATCGGTTGGCAGTTTTCCTTAAAAGTTAAAGATAAACCAACCATATTTACCCAAGATAAATAAAAACATATGTCCACAAGACTTGTACTCAAATATTCATAGCAGCTTTATTCTTGGTAGCTGAAAACTGGAAACAACCTAGGTAGTATCTATCAACACATGCATGGATAAAGTAATTTAGTAAATCTATGCCATAGAGTACTATCAAGCAATAAAAAGGGGCAAAAACACAGATATAACGTAACATGAAAAAATCTAAAAAAAAAATCATTAAGTTGAGTAAAAGAAGTCAGACATCGAGGAATACATACTGTATTTTTTCCACCTATATAACATTCTAGAAAGTGCAAACCAATCTAGAGTGACAAAAATAGATCAGTGTTCTCCTGGGGTCAAGGTTGAAGGGAACGATGGATTGCTAAGGAAGACAGGAATCTTTTGGCCTGATGGAAATGTTCTCTATCATAATTGCAGCAATAATTTCATGGGTATATACCTCCATAAAAACTCATAGAATTGTAGGGTTTTTTTGTTGTTGTTTTGTTTTTTTGAGACGGAGTCTTTGCTCTTTCACCCGTTCTGGAGTGCAGTGGCGTGATCTCAGCTCACTGCAAGCTCCACCTCCCGGGTCCACGCCATTCTCCTGCCTCAGCCTCCCGAGTAGCTGGGACTACAGGCACCCGCCACCACGCTCGGCTAATTTTTGTATTTTTTTTTAGTAGAGACGGGGTTTCACCTTGTTAGCCAGGATGGTCTCAATCTCCTGACCTCGTGATCCGCCCGCCTCGGCCTTCCAAAGTGCTGGGATTACAGGCGTGAACCACCGCGCCCAGCAGAATTGTAGGTTTTAAGTAGATTTATTTTACATACATTATACCTGGATAGAAATGATTTTTAAGCCTAATTGTAATAGGAGGCTTAAGTTAATGCGATTAACTCAAGGTCTCCCAAAATGTTTCTCAGCTTTGACCTTAATTAGATTTCTCTTTTCCTCAGTAGGAAAGATATTACAGGATCAAATCCCAAAAAGCTGACAGACCAACAGTTACTTATGTAAAAGTTTCACTAAGAAAGAGCAGTAGGTCTTTATGAAAGCAGCAGGCACTTTGCAGACGCAGAAGAACAAAGGCAGCAGCAACATCTAGCAGCATATCCTTTACCATACTAGCAGCCTAGCAACTCTCAATGGCTCCAGAAACAACTGAAACAACTTCTGACTCCCTGAGCTCCACATGGCTGAGCCCAGGAGAAGGTCACTGAAGCTGGGACAGTTCCACCCACTCACTCTTGATACAGGGTAGTCTCTCAAACATCCAAACATGCCAGCCTAAAATTGTAGTAAGCTGCTATTTCACTTTGGAAGGGTCTAAATATAAGAACTTGCAAAGACAGAAACTTGTCTTCTAATATACCCAGTAAATCAAGTCAATTCCTACACATTTCCTGGGACATCACAAATTTGCCATATTTCATGCTCAAATTAACTAATTTTTATATTCTAAATGAGAGACTGCAAAAGAAAATTTCACTCAGATGTGTCCTAAAAGTTCTCTGGCTTTTTTTTTTTAACTTATGAACACAAAGAAGGAAATAACAGCCACTGGGATGTACTTGAGGGTGGAGGGTGAGAGGAGGGAGAGGAGCAGAAAAGATGACTACTGGGTACTGAGCTTAATATCTGGGTGAAGAAATACCATGTACAACAAACCCCCATGACACGTGTTTACCTATGTAACAAACTTTCACGTGTATCCTCAAACCTAATATAAAAATTTTAAAAATAAAATAAATTTTAAGTTCAGGAGTACAAGTGCGTATGGAATACTATGGAGCCATAAAAAGAATGAGAAAATATATATATGTACCACATTTTTCTTTATCCAGCCTATCACTGATGTACATTTAGGTTGCTTCCATGCCTTTGCTAGTGTGAATAATGCTGCAATGAGCATACACATGCATATGTTTTTTTAATATTAAGATTTATATTTCTCTGTGTATATACCCAGTAATGGAATTGCTGGGTCAAATGGTAGTTCTCTCTTTAGGTTTTGAGGAATGGTCACACTGTCTTCCACAATGGTTGAACTAATTTACACTCCCATCAACAGTGTAAAAGCATGTCTTTTCCTCTACAACCTTATCAGCGTCGGTTGTTTCTGGACTTCTTAATAATAGTCATTCTGACTGGCATGAGATGGTATCTCATTGTGGTTTTGATTTGCATTTCTCTAATGATCAGTGATATTGAACTTTTTTCATATGCATATCAAAAAATTTCCAACCTTTGTTTTAGTTTTAAGGGGTTCATGTGCAGGTTTGTTATGTGGGTAAATTGCATGTCACTGGGGTTTGGTGTACAAATGATCCTGTTCTCAGGTAGTAAGCACAGTACCCAAAAGGTAGTTTTCCAAATCTTGTCCCCCTCCCTTCCTCCCTCCGTAGTAGTCCCCAGGGTCCATTGTTGCCATCTTTATGTCCATGTGTTTTCAGTGTTTAGCTCCCACTTATAAGTGAGAACATACAGTATTTGATTTTCTGTCCCTGTGTTACTTTGCTTCAGATAATGGCCTCCAGCTGCATCCATGTTGCTGCAAATGACATGATTTCATTATTTTTCATGGCTGCATAGTATTCCATGGGGTATATGTACCACATTTTCTTTATCCAGTTCACCAGTGATGGGCCTCTAAGCTGATTCCATGTCTTTGCTATTGTGAATAGTGCTGTGATGAACATACGTGTGCATGTATCTTTTTGGTAGAATGATTTATTTTTCTCTGTATATATACCCAATGATGGGATTGCTAGTTTGAATGGTAGTTGAGTTCTTTGAGAAATCTCCAAATTGCTTTCCATAGTGTCTGAACTAATTTACATTCCCACCAACAGTGTATAAATGTTTCTTTTCTCCATGACCTTGCTAACATCTGTTAGTTTT
The DNA here is from genome assembly GCF_000001405.40 of Homo sapiens. Taxonomy (NCBI): domain Eukaryota; kingdom Metazoa; phylum Chordata; class Mammalia; order Primates; family Hominidae; genus Homo; species Homo sapiens. The sequence continues at coordinate 79,480,978 of NC_000008.11, forward strand.
TAACTTTTAAATAATAGCCATTCAGACTGATGTGAGATTATACCTCGTTGTTTTGATTTGCATTTCTCTAATGACTAGTGATGTTGAGCTTTTTATATATATATTTGTTGGCTGCATGTATATCTTCTTTTGTGAAGCATCTGTTCATGTCCTTTGCCAATTTTAAACAGACAACACACAGAATGGGAAAAAATATTCACGAACTATGCAGCTGATAAAGCTCTAATATCCAGAATCTATAACAAACATAAAAAATTCAACAGCAAAAATCAAAAAATGTTTAGCCTTGGACCTTATGTTGTTGGGCTGCTCAGGACTAGAAAAAATGCAGGAACTTGGGCATTGCACGTAGTATAGTGAATTAGGACTCTGGTTTTGGTTGCCCTGGGGCTGGTCTCATGCCCCACGCAGGAGGCTCACACGCACACAGACTCCTCACCATTTCCTCAATTCTTCCCCTCCTCCAAAGGGACTCAGATAAAGCATAGACCTGAATGAAACAGTCTTGATTCTGTGGGGGTAATTTCCTCTACAAAAACAGACCCATATCCAAACCACTGGGGCTGAAGAAGAGAAAAGAGCAAATTTACCCACTTTTGCTTAGATTGTCCTAATCGATAAGACAAAACACACCTATGTAGCTCCCGCTCAGGAGTAAAAAAGAAGAAAAGGAAGGCTGCCAACTCTATGGCACCAAGTATCTCATATATGCTATGTGCTGATATATTAGGGGTGTTGTTCCATTAATACACAACATAAAAAAGAATTAAACCTATTAAGAGGATTTATTCTATATTATCATTTAATTACCAACATGTCTCTATGTTCAATTCTACTGCTGTCGTTTCATTAGACACATGCACTGAGATTTTGTAGTTAAAACTCTCCCAGGTAACACAGTGCTTAGAGGATTTGATTAGCATTTTTATCTTTCTTTCCCTCATTGAAAGTAAAATAACCTATCTTTGTATGTACATCAAAAATAGTAGTCTCCTCCCTGAGTCTTTTTTGCACAAACACTATTCACCACAATTTATGCAAGTTGCCTGAGGGGAGAGTTTCACCTTGCACAATTCTATTGGAGGATGCTACAGCTTGACATTGAACATAATATGGATTCTCTTGCACCAGTATACATTGTTTAGGAATTAAGAGGTTTGGGGTCAGATTAACCTGATTTCTAGCTTCAGCTTCACCACTAACTAGTTGCACCTCTGGAAAATTACTCAACTTTTGTGTCATTTTTGCATTTATAAAATTGGGACTATTATGAGAAACAGTGACCAAACACGTGAAGTGGTTAGCATAGCATCCGAAACATAATAAGTGGTCATTTTTACCACTGGGAGAAGATTGAGCAGGGCTAGTTATGTTTCTTTTGAAAGAAAAAGTGTCGCCTGTGGGTGTTATAATAATTGGTTTTTAACAAATGAAATGACAGTCACTTTGAGAAAAAAGGAAGTCATCATCTCACAATTTAAAAAAGTAAAAACCACACTGGAACAACACTGGGTGATTAACTAAAGTTGGTGATGTCTTTTCAGTGCAGGAAATTTCTAAAGTAAATGTTTCAGAAGTTTCTATTCGGGCATTCTCTCTTCTTCAGGGTCCTCCCCATATCACCAAGCACAATTAGCATCTGACCACACTAAACTTCGTGGCACCATCGCATTCTACTCCTGTTTGTTACATGTCTGTTTCCCTAAACTACTTTGGCATATATCCATAGTGACCTCTGCTGTGTTTGGCACATGGTAAGAGCACTTAGTTACAAGTTTTTAGTGTCATCAGAAAGACTTTTGTAAAATGCCAAAACTGTGACATCTCTTCAGTGCTTCAGTATTCAATTCCAAAATAATAGGTGAGATATTTATTTTTTCCTCATAAAGTGTTAGTATTTTTTAACCTGCTAAGATACATGCTCTCACTTATTACAAAAATGATTACATCAGACAATCGTACAACTGAGCCTTTAAAAACAAATTACCTGTAACAGAAATGCTCAATTTGAAAATCCAATGTTTTCCCCAAATAGTTCTTTAGCAAAATTTTTTGCAGCTAAAACTGTCAGATTTTAGGAGCTCCACACATTAAAATTATTGATTTCTCCCCTCAGATTGCCATGTTAATAAATATTAGATTTGAGACTGACAACATGAACATTGGACCACAATGTATTCCAGTAAAGAGTGGTAAGGAGTGTGAGTACACACACACACACACACACACACACACACACACACATTCAAACTCCAATACATTCCAATATAGCAACCAGGTAATCATGAATTGGATCTTATACAGGAATATCCAGGGCTTTACTGCCAGGTTGTTAGAAGGGTGTTATCACTAATAAATCTTAATTCTTCAAGTATTTCCAAACACAAGATATCTCTCTGTGTTTGATCAGAGCCAATTAAGTGATTCATATGATGGAAATTTTCATTGCTAAATCAAGATAATTCATTATTTATCTAAGGAGATCTATAGGGGGAAAAGACTGTATAGGCTAAAAATACTTAGGTCTTCTTTTCCTTTTATTTTTTAAAAGCTAAATTATTATTCACCCTGCCTTGCCATCAAATTCTTTCAAAATCTTACTTTCCTATTTTTCCTTTTAAGAGACTCTAAACATCCTGTTTTGTGGCATCTTATTAAAAGAAGTGAAATCTATTTTTAAAACATGGAATTTTGTGTTTAAAGACCTAAACCTCTAAAGAAAAAAGCAAGATGGGAAAAGGAGATGCTAGCTGACCCAAATAGATACACGTGTTATAGGGCTGCTGTGATTAAAATGATGTGGTGTTGGCATTTGTTCAGGGAGACAGTGCAGTAGAAGAAAGTACAGTATCCAGAAACAGACACAATTGCTTTAGTATTCAATAAAGGTAGAGTCACAAAACAAGTGGAAAATATCAGCATTTTAATTGATGCTGCGGGAATAACTGAATAGCAATATGAAAAATAATAAAAGTTGAATCTATTTCTGACAACAAACATCTGGGAAAATTCCAAAGTAATTAGAAATTTAAATGTAAAAAATAAAATTACATAAATACAAACATTTGTGAATTTCCTTATAACCTAAAAGTGAAGAAAACTCTCCTCTCATTTAAAATCTAGATGAAATAAGGAAAATAATTATTAAATTTGACTGCATAAATGCTAAAACATATGCTAACCTCACAGGCAAAATTAAAAAAAAAGCACAATCCTATTTTAAAATTTTAATATAAAGAGATAGTCTCTAGAAAAGTCAATGCAAATGATCCCCATATACTTAAAGCTTTCTTTTTTAAGAGATGGGCCTCACTATTTTGTCCAGTCTCAACTCCCAAGTAGCTGGGAATACAGGTGCACACCACTGCCCCGGTTATGACTCTTAAATATAGGAGGCTCATAATTAAGAGAATAACTCACAATAAAAGAAATACTAATTGACATTATACCGATATACTATGTTTTATTTATCAAATTGATAAAAAATCAGGAGTTTAACAACACATTTACTGGATAAGGCTAAGGGGGCATAGGCTCATAGGCATTACTAAAAAGAATGCAAAATGTTCTAAACCCTATTGAGGGCAATTTGACATTACTGAGAGAAATTACCTGTGTATAATATTTGCTCCTTCTCTAGGAATCTATCCTGAAGATAAAATGGTAAAACATGAAAAGATGTATAGATGCAGCTATTTATTACATATTTTGTAGTGACAAAAGCCACAGACAATCTAAATATGCATCAATAATAGATGAATTAAATTAACCCTGGTGTACTTATAATGGAACACTATACAGCCATAAAAGAAACATTTAATAATGAATATTTTCTTATATGTGATCTCCAGAATATTTGTTAAGTGAAAACAGCAAGTTGGAGAAGCAATGTGCATATATACACCATATTACAATTTATCTAAGGAAGGAAGTATATGTATGTGTCTGTGTGTGCATATGTGCACACAATGGGAGATTAAGCTATTATTAAAATTATCACTTGTATGAGATGAAAGTTAACATGTAGAGGAGACACAGTTAGAAGTCAGGGGCAGGAAATTAACAAGACAAACCTGAATATTTTGTCATTCCAGAAAGCAAAGAAGTTATCAAAAATTATTGGAATAGTGTCAAAAGGACTCATGATCCAACTTGAAGTGGCTCCCACTGTACAAAGATGAGTCATCTGTAGTACCAATAGAGTAATTACATAACTGGATTGAAACAAATCAAATACGTTACAAATCCAGGAATTCACAATGATCAATTTTTTTTAATTGATCACCTTTGGAGGATGCTAGGAAACCATCTCATGATTCTGAAAACTGGTAAATAAAGGGAAAGAATCATGCATATAATTTATCTTTCCAGTAAAAACTGTACCTCAGTGTATTCAAAACATTGATAAGATAAAACTCCCTGTGGAAGTATTCCACTTAGCAAATAATGACGTAATAAAAGCATTCGAATATTAACATTTTGCAAACCCCTAAGTAAATGCTGGATCTGAGAAATGATCCTCAATGGCAGCTAACACAACAGTAGACAACTGGACATTAGTCAACACTTGATGGAAGTTTAGAATAGCACCTATGAAGTAGTCTTGACAAAAATATAGCCCAAAAATGATCATGCCTCTTGATCTCACAACCAGTACAGGAAACACAACGGAGCTGAGGAACAGGCATTTTTAAAATGCGACTGCAATCAGAAATATCCCAGAAATAAGAAAATGCACAAGGAAAATTACTCAGTTTTTCCAGCTAGTCAATTTCAAGTATAGATAGATGATGATAGATAGATAGATAGATAGATAGATAGATAGATGATAGATAGACAGATGAAAGAGTAAGCTATGAAAGAAAAGAATCCATAAGAGACCTACCAACAAAATGTGATATGTGCACTCTGTTTGGATCCTAAAAGAAATAAACCATCGCAATAAAATCTGTGAACAAAACAAAACATGTATGACAAAAATATGGACTAGGTATTTAATGATGTTAAGGAATTACTGGGTTTTTTTTCTGTTTTGTTTTGTCTTTTGTTTTATTATGGACATGGCAGTATGCTATGATCTTTAACAAGAGTTCTTTTCTTTTAGAGACACATAAGTATTTATGGATGAAATGTTATGAAATCTGAGTTTTGCTTCAAAACAATTCTGGGGGAAGAGATAGTAAGTAAGAACGTACAAACAAACACAAGTGTGGCTGCGAGCTAGCAAGTGTTGAGACTGAATAATAGGTACATGCAGGTACATTATACTTTTCTTTCTACAATGTGTGCTTCAAATGATCCATAAAAATGGTTTTAAAAAGACCTACAAATCCTGGATACACCATTTCTGACTATTTAATACTAAGCAAGTCACTTACACATTTTGAGCCGCCACTTTCTTATATGTAAAGATAATGTAATATTAACAATTTTATTTATTGGTTTGCCGCTTTTACTATTGGACCTTGATAATGGTTAATTGAAAAGAGGAAAAGGTTTTGGAAGCAAAAGAGACCCTCTTTTAAATATCTGTTATTATTTTGTGGCATTAGGCAAGTACTCAACTTCTCTGAGCCTTTTATTTTGGGTAAATTGGGGATAATACCAGCATCTTATCATTGTTAGGAGAACTATGTAAAGTTGGCATTGTATAAATAACACTCTCTATTCCATTAAAGCCATTTGGATTCAAAATTGGAAATACTTACTCTCCTGATAGGTTTATTTTCATTATTATTGTACTAATAGTCTTTCTTAAACTATTATTTAAATACATTTTTATGATCAGACTCCAGACCCCCTAAAAGAGATCATTCATATCCTCCACCTCATGGAAGGTATATTGCACATAGGTGGAGGTCCGTAAATTTTGATGAATTAAATTCCTTAAATAAATTAGATGCTGCCTTTACAGACTGATTAATCTCCTGAAACCACTGACGCTGAACTCTGTTGTCATCATTTTTCAATATTTAAGTAGTCCCTTAAAATCTTAGATTCTTTCCTGAACAAACCATAACGTGGCAGGTAAAAAGTAGAACAGTATTTGTAGCCCAGGTTTAAAAACACAATTAATTGGGTGATATATTGCCATGTGATAAGCTATATGATAACCGTTAGCTCCAGGCTTGTCGGTTCCTACATGCAATCACAAACACATCAGATTCCTCAGTAAAAAATTAAATCAGGTTCATAATGGTCAGGAAAAATGAGTAGACTCCAAAAGAGAATGGACTTCAGAAGACCCTATTTGAGGCAATAAACAAACCAAGCTCAAATGTAGTTAAAAATATTCTCACTAGAGAGGAAAAACTCAATTCCAGTATTGTGACAACACGGTGACAGCATGGTTTTTACTTCTGAGGGTTGTAATGCCCTTTTCTCATAAAACCTGGAGAAAGCCAAAAGCAGTTCAATTAAAGTGTCTGAATGTGTTCATCTGTTATCTATAGCTCAGTGGGACAGCTCAGCTGGGGTCTACAGAGTTTAGCTGTGTACTTTTACTAGAATATTCCCTAAAGCTTCTCTGAAGCTATTAACTGTACAGGTCACTGTAGTAAAACTCACTCCTCAGTGTCTCTCTTGACATTAGCAAGCAAACACTAGAGTGCAGTGCAGAGTAAAGGGAGATTTTCTCTCTAATTAAAAAGAAGTTCATGATCTGTAATTTCAAAGTCCATCAAGCATAATCCTATAAAAATATATGCCTTATGCATGAGGTTATAGGATTTATATCAAAAAATAAAATTAAGCTTATTTTATACCTTCCAAATTGAAACATTTGAAAGGAAATCGTTGCAACATCATTAGTTTGCCATAGGGTGATGCATTCATATGTTGCAAAACTAGTTCTGCACTCCAACCTTTAAAGTCTCCACACAATTGTGTATGTCAAAATATATTTGATGCTGTAACTCACAATTTTATTAACATTCTTAGTTTCCATTAAGTATTTTACATATTGTTATATGGATATTCTATTTTATCTCCTAGAAAAGTGAATGCTTAAAAAGGGATATAGACGAATTATAATATATCCCGTTAAGGTTTTCTTCAGATTACAGTATTACATTCTAAAGTAAGTTGAAATATCCCAGGGATTTCAATAAATAAAATTTCCTATTATTTTTATGGCTTTAAATAGGAAGGAGAGTTGAGAATACATCTGTGAGAGAGCAAAACATAAACCCACTATGGTCCTAATGTTGGCATATCAAGAAAACTCTCTGTGTGATTATTTAAAGAAAGAGTCTGAGCAAATGCCTACAACTATTTAAGAGAGGCTGCATTCACTGCAACAAACTAGAGTTTATTTCTTTTCAGGAAAAAAAAAAGATCTATTAAAAGTCATTGTAAGATTTTTCATCTATGAAATAAGAATCATAATTCTCACCATACATACCACAGTAGATTTTTGTGACATTAAAAAATGAGCTAGTGTATTGTAAAACACAAAGCAACATAAAAATGTAAGTGATAACCAAGAGGATGATCATTTTCTGTTTATAGCCAAAAATAGAGAGATGTCACACTCAGCATGTAACAGAGTATTTAGCACATTAAGTGTCTACCATTTTTTTAAGTGAAATATTAATCAATGTTTGGCAGACACACTGTCAAATGTACAAAATTAAACGCAAAATGAGCCTGAAGCATCTATTAGTGCCAGAATGTAATGAAGTACTCAAATACATGCACATACACACAGTGGTGAGGGTATGTCAGAAGAACACAGGAGGAAACTAACAGAGCTCTCCACAGTGAAAACTGAAACAATCTGAGCATCAAAATAGATGAAATAGTATTGAATTATAACCCAAAGTGCAGAGGAAAATAAATTAGTTCACAGTGACATAAATGATTAAATAAAAATAGAGAAATAAATGGAAAAGCATAAACAAATCTCTTTCACAAAGGAATTCCAAATAATATACTGTATATAGGCACTCTACCCTCAAGCAAGAGGAGCACAACTCCCCATCCCTTAAGTATGGGCTGTGATTAGTGACTCTCCTCCAAAGAGTACCGGGGGAAAGAGTAACTGTATAGTGGAGAAACCTGACAAATAACCACCTCAGTCAGGTGATCAAAATCCATATCAATGGTGATAGGCCATGCCTGTAGTGTATACCCTTCATATGATGTGATGAGAATGGCATTTTATCTCTTTGGTCTTCCTCCCCAAAACACATAACCCCAGTCTAATCACGAGAAAAAAATCAAATTCCAATTAAGGAACTTCATACAAAAACCTAAACAGCACTCCTCAAAACTGTCTAGGTCATCAAGCACAAGGAAAATCAGAGAAACTGTCACAATCGACAGGATCTTAAGGGACATGACAATGAAATTAAATGTGATATCCTAGATGGGATCCTAGAACAGAAAAAGCAAATTAGGTTAAAACCAAGCAAAGCTGAATTAAGTATGAACTTTAGTTAATAATAATATGTCAGTATTCATTCACTAATTGTGACAAATGTACTGTATTTATGCAAGATGTTAGTAATGGGAAACTGGATGTGGAGAAGGAGAGGCAGGGAGTATATGGGAATTCTCTGTACTATGCTCATTTTTTTCCATAAATGTAAAATGTCAATTTAAGAAAAATGTTAAAGACCTACCAAACATGCCTTTTTTTTTTCCTTGTAGGTGATGCAAGATACAGCAACTCATCCTCCACCATGGAGGAGATATCTCAACATGCTCTTGACCATTGGATCCCCAGAAACCTCACTAAAGTAGAAATTTCCTGAAATGTGGGGTTTATCTCCCATCCTCTGGTTGAAATATATCTTACTAAGACATAAAAGTGCTTTATTACTTCCTGCACATTCTATCCAATCCTCAAATGTCCTCAAAGTTGTGGACCACAATAGTGTTTTGTCAAATACCAAGGCAATCATGACTTTTACAGACTTGTGACAGAGAGCAGGAGAATTGACAGAGGCACAACAAGAGGGAGTAATATTCATTCTGCCAGGTAAAAGTAAACAGTTTCTGATGGTCAGAGGAGAAAGCATTGACCAGGAATTAATCATTTAATTTTTATTTGAAGTATTTTATGAGCCAATTACATCACTTCTTAGACTCTCTTATATTCAAGGTTAACTTTTCACTCTACAATGCTGTCATTACTTGAATCTTAAGTAGGAAACTATTGCTCTTAGTACAAATTCAGTAAAGAAAGAGTTTATCAAATTCCATCTGCCTTTGTGTAATGATGAATAAAGTATGTATTAGATAAACATTTACAAATAATAATAATAATGAAAAAGTGCACAGCTCTGTACCTGTGGGCAGTGGGGGAGAAAGGGGTGTGGAGGAGAAAGCTAAGTTACAATGATGAACTTCTTTTTAGAGAAAATTTGAAAATGGATTCAACATCAAGGAGAATTATATAGAATCTGTTATATAAAACTAGCTTAAGATTTTGAAAGATATGACTTCCATGGTATGTTTCTTTTGAGTTGTTTGTACTTTCCTCAATAGACAATGATATATATATGAGCTGTTAAAAGATAATCATGGTCAAAAGTCTATCATAAACAATTGCAGAAGAAAAAAAAGACAGGTAACTAAAGATGATGAGATATTAATGCCAGTGTTGTTAAGGTCAGAGTCATACATCGCTGACGGCAATATGATGGTATAATGCTTTTGGAGAGCCATTTGGCAATGCCTATCAACAGGAATAAAAATTTTCATCTCCTATGACTCAGTGATCCCACTTCTGGGAATGTATCCTAAGAAATTACATTAAATGCATAAAAAAGCTATAAGTACAAAGCTTTTTATTTCATAACATTTTAGACTCACCAAAAAAAGACAATAAATGAAAAATTCAAGAATAATTTTAAAAACGAATCAGTAGATTCTCTTTATGCAGTGATCAAAAACAATAATTTAAAAGGCTATGTAGCAATATGGAAATATGCTAGCTTTGTGATATAACATTAAATGACAACAGAACAATACAAATAGAAAATGCTACTATACCAAGTAAAAATAAATATTTATATATTTATAAATAAATACAAATGTGGACAAGTACTGGAAGGAAACACTTTTTAAAATATATTAATTTGTAGACATTGTGAGAATCTTCAGTTAATTTTACCTTTTAAATCTAGATATTCTTTAGTTTGGAATCAGTGCTATCTGGTAACAGACCCATAATCTTTAAAACATTATTGCTTTTACTTTTACTACTTTTGGGGAGGTCTCTGGAAGCTTACAATCATGGCGGAAGGGTAAGGAGGAGCAGGCACATCACATTGCTATTTATTTATATTTCTGTCACCTCTGAAAGCATTAATAAAAAATTATGCAAGAACTCAAACACACCTTCTAAGGGGAGTTAACTGTTTAATGAGCAAGAGATGACCTGGAACTATAAAAGTTTTCAGGAAGATTTTCTGCTAAACAGATAATGCATGTACATAGCATATCTTTCCCTCCCTTTTCCCAAGATTTGGGTAGACTATCCAAATAAATGAAAAAATATTTCATTCCATAGTCCTCACTCTGCTCCAGATTTCACAAGATTTTACAGATTTGTTCAGATTTGGTATCTTGTTTCAGATTTTGGCAATTTGCTAATATGGACTAATATTAGCATTTTTTGAGAATAGATCTTACAGAGAGGTGAAAATAGAAGGGGCTTGAAATTAAAGCATGTGGTACACGCCGAGGCAAGAAAATACTTAATAAAAAGAAAAACTAAGTATCACCTACTTTATAATTTTGATTGAGATCGACTTATTGATAGCTGTAGTGCAGTAGTTCTTGCAGTGTATTTAAGAATAGCTTCAAGTTTGTGTGTTTTTTAATACAACTTGTATACCCAGTCTGCACAACCAAGGATTAAGCTTGAGCATGTCTAGACCCTGGCAAAGGAATCCACATTGTATAAAAGTTCCAGAGTGATTCTGATGCAGGTGGTCTTAAGACCGTGCCTGGGAAACTGAAGTATAAAAATTAAATGGGTAAGTCTGATTCTTCTTCCCAGATAGTCTTCTTCCAGTTTAAAAATAAAAGTATTAATATATATAGGGATTCTATTATATTCATTTTTGCAAAATGGAAGAGAACGTGGAAAAACAAAAACAGTTTTAACACAGAAAGATCTCCCACCAGATGTTACAATTTGCAAAATATTCCATGTTATTGACTGGTTAAACACATGACTACAGAGAAATACCTGAGACTGGGTAATTTTTAAAGGAAAGAGGTTTAATTGCTTCATGGTTCTGCTAGCTCTTCAGGAGGCATAACACTAGCATCTACTTTTGGGGAGGTCTGTGGAAGCTTACAATCATGGTGGAAGGGGAAGGAGGAGCAGGCACATCACATAGCCAGAGAAGCAAGATAGTGAGGGGGGAGGTGCTACCTACTTTTAAACACCAGATCTCAGGAGAACTCACTCACTATCGTGAGGACAGTACCAAAGGGGATGGTGCTAAACCATTCATGAGAACTCCACACCCGTGATCAAGTCGCCTCCCACCAGGGCCCACCTCCAATATTGAGGATTACAATTTGACATGAGATTTGGGTGGGGGCACACATGCAAACTGTGTCAACATGTCAAAGTCATCTATAAAAAAGTGGGAATTCAGCTGGTAAGCCCTTGAGGTGATCATGCTACTGCCCAGATTGCTCTGTCCTTGGGTCTCAGGATTCCCGGCTGGACCAAAATGAAGTCAGCAGCCTCTGTCGCAGCTCTCCACCTCATTCTCTCACCTCTGTTCATGCATTTCTGTTCAAGAGTGATTGGCTTGCTGATAGCTCAAACTTCATGTGCATCAAAAATAGGTCTTCAAACAGAAAAAAAAAACAAAAACCAGAGACCTAATGGTTTGGGCTAAAAAAAATCTGAGTTAAAGAAATCTATTTTTTAAAAATCCCATAATTATCAAACAAAACTAACCGAACTAACTGGTGGAAGCCTATGCCCTATATGTCTTTCCCACTCCCCTATTCACCAAGGCTCTTTTGTGTGGGGAATTTTTTATTTGATTATTTATTTTTATGTTTATGGGCACATAATGGTTGTGCAAATTTATGAGGTACATGTGATATTTTGACATAAGCATACAATGTGTAATGCTCAATCAGGGTAATGAGACCATCCATCACCTCAAGCATTTATCAGTTCCTTGTGTTAGAAACATTCCAATTCTACTTTTCTAGTTATTTTGAGATATACAGTAAATTATGGATAACTATAGTCACCCTATTTTTCTACCAAATGCTAGATCTTATTCCTTCTATCTAACTGGATTTTTGTACCCATTGACCATCCTGTCTTTATACCCCTCTCCACACTACCCTTCCCAGCATCTGATAACCATCATTCTGCTCTCTATCGCCATGAGATCATTTTTTAGCTCCCATATATGAATGAGAATCTGTAATATTTGTCCTTCTGTGCTTGGTTTATTTCATTTAATATGTCTTCCAATTTCATCCATGTTGCTGCAAAATATATGATTTCATTGTTTTTTATGGCTGCATACTTTTGCATTATATATATATATATCACATTTTCTTTTTTCTTTTTTTAATTTTTAATTTTTTTGCCTTGTATTTTGTATCTTTTTATTTCAATAGGTTTTTGGAGAACAGGTGGTGTTTGCTTACATGAACAATTTCTTTAGTGGTGATTTCTGAGATTTTGGTGCACCCATCACCTGAGCAGTGTACACTGTACCCAGTGTGTAGTCTTTTATCCCTCACCCCCTCCCACCCTTTCACCAAGTCCCCAAAGTCCACTGTATCATTCTTATGCCTTTGCATCCTCATAGCTTAGCTCCCACTTATAAGTGAGAACATACAATGTTCGGTGTTCCATTCCTGAGTTACTTCACTTAGAATAATGGTCTCCAATGCCATCCAGATTGCTGTGAGTACCATTATTTCATACCTTTTTATGACTGAGTAGTATTCTGTAGAGTGTGTGTGTGTGTGTGTGTGTGTACAGCACAATTTATCCACTCGATTGATGGGCATTTGGGCTGCTTCCACATGTTTGCAACTGTGAATTGTGCTGCTATAAACATGCATGTCCAAGTACCTTTTTCATACACTGACTTCTTTTCCTCTGGGTAGATACCAAGTAGTGGGACTGCTGGATCAAATGGTAGTTCTACTCCTAGTTCTTTAAGGAATCTCCACACTGTTTCCTATAGTGATTGTACTAGTTTATATTCCCATCAACAATATAAAAGTGTTCCCTTTTCACCACATCCATGACAACGTCTATTATATTTTGATTTTTTTGTTATGGCCACTTTTGCAGGATTAAGATGGTTTTGCATTGTGGTATTGATTTGAGCATTTTTTTCATATGCCTGTTGGCCATTTGTATAACTTCTTTTGAGAATTGTCTATTCATGTTCTTAGTCAACTTTCTAATGGGATTGTTTGTTTTTTCTTGATGATTTGAGTTCATTTTAGATTCTGAATATTAGTCCTTTGTCGGATGCATAGATTGCAAAGATTTTCTCCCACTCTGTGGGTTATCTGTTTACTCTGCTGATTGTTTCTTTTGCTGTGCAGCTTTTTAATTTAATCAAGTCCTATCTATTTATCCTTGTTTTTTCGCATTTGCTTTTGAGTTCTTGGTCATAAAGTCTTTGCCTAAGCCAATGTCTAGAAGGGTTTTTCCAATGTTATTTTCTAGAATTTTTATGGTTTCCGGTCTTGGATTTAAGTCTTTGATCCATCTTGAGTTGATTTTCGTATAAGACAAGAGATAATGATCCAGTTTCATTCTTCTACATGCGGCTTGCCAATTATCCCAGCACCATTTGTTGAATAGGGTGTCCTTTCCCCACTTTTATGTTTTTGTTTGCTTAGTCAAAGATCAGTTGGCTAAAAGTATTTGGCTTTCTTTCTGGGTTCTCTATTCTGTTCCATTGATCTATGTGCCTATTTTTATACCAAAAACATGCTGTGAATTCAGCTGTAAATCCATCTGGTCCTGGACTTTTTTTTGTTGACAATTTTTTTTATTACCATTTCCATCTCACTGTTTGTTATTTGTCTGTTCAGAATTTCTGTTTTTTCCTGATTTAATCTAGGAGGGTTGTATATTTCCAGGAATTTGTCCATCTCCTCTAGGTTTTCTAGTTTATGCACATAAAGGTGATCATAGTAGCCTTGAATGATATTTTGTATTTCTGTGGAATCAGTTGTAATATCTCCCGTTTCATTTCTAATTGAACTTATTTGAATCTTCTCTCTTCTTTTCTTGGTTAATCTTGCTAATGACCTATCAATTTTATTTATCTTTTTTTAAAAAACAGCTTTTTGTTTCATTAATCTTTTATTTTTTTTGTTTCAATTTCATTTAGTTCTGCTCTGATCTTTGTTGTTTCTTTTCATCTACTAGGTTTGGGTTTGGTTTGTTCTTGTTTCTCTAGTTCCTTGAGGTGTGACTTTTGATTGTCTGTTTGTGCTCTTTCAGACTTTTTGATGTAGGCATTTAAGGCTATGAACTTTTCTCTTAGCACCACCTTTGCTGTATCCCAGAAGTTTTGATAGGTTGTATCACTATTATTGTTCAGTTCAAAGAATCTTTTAATTTCTATCTTGATTTTATTGTTGACCCAATGATCATTCAGTAGCAATTTATTTTATTTTCATGTATTCGGATGGTTTTGAGGGTTCCTTTCAGAGTTCCTTATGTGTCAGGTGAGTCTCTTGAAGATAACAGATATTTAGCTGGTGAATTCTTATCTATTCTGCCATTCCACATCTTTTTAATGACATTTATTGATTTGCATATATTGAACCAACCTTGCATCCCAGGGATGAAGCTTACTTGATCATGGTGGATGAGCTATTTAAAGTGCTGCTGGATTTGGTTTGCCAGTATTTTGTTGAGGATTTTTAGATTGATGTTCATCAAGAATTTTGGCCTGTTGGGAGGCCAAGGCAGGTGGATTGTCTGAGCTCAGGAGTTTGAGACCAGCCTGGGCAACACAGTGAAACCCCATCTCTACTAAAATACAAAAGAAATTAGCCAGGCATGGTGGCGTGTGCCCGTAGTCCCAGCTACATGGGAGGCTGAGGCAGGAGAATTGCTTGAACCTGGGAGGCGGAGGTTGCACTGAGTCCAGATCTCACCACTGCCCTTCAGCCTGGGTGATAGAGCAAGACTTCATCTCACAAAAAAAAGAAAAAAAAAAGAATATTGGCCTGAAGTTTTCTTTTTTTGTTGGTGTCTCTACCAGGTTTTGATATCAGGATGATGCTGGCCTCATAAAATGAGTTAGGAAGGAGTCCTTCCTTTTCAATTTTTTGGAATAGTTTCAGTAGAAATGGTACCAGCTCCTCTTAGTACATCTGGTAGAAATCAGCTGTGAATCCGTCAGGTCCTGGTCTTTGGTTGGTAGGCTATTTATTACTGCTTCAATTTTGGAACTCGTTATTGGTTTATTCAGGGATTCAGTTTCTTCCTGGTTCAGTCTTGGGAGGGTGTATGTGTCTAGGAATTTATCCACTTCTTCTAGATTTTCTAGTTTATGTACGTAGAAGGGTTTATAGTATTTTCTGATAGTTTGTATTTCTGTGGGATCAGTGGTGATATCCCTGTTATCATTTCTGATTTTGTTTATTTGGTCCTTCTCTCTTTTCTTCTTTATTAGTCTAGCTGGTGGTCTAACTATTTTGTTTCATTTTTTTCAGAAAAACAGCTCCTGAATTTGTTGATTTTTTGAAGTTTTTTTTATGTCTCTATCTCCTTCAGTTCAGCTCTGATCTTGGTTATTTCTCGTCTTCTGCTAGCTTCGAGGTTTGTTTGCTCTTGGTTCTCTAGTTCTTCTAGTTGAAATGTTAGATTGTTAACTTGAGACCTTTATGGCTTTTTGATGTGGGCATTTAG
This sequence comes from Homo sapiens, assembly GCF_000001405.40. Classification (NCBI taxonomy): domain Eukaryota; kingdom Metazoa; phylum Chordata; class Mammalia; order Primates; family Hominidae; genus Homo; species Homo sapiens. The sequence goes on from NC_000008.11 coordinate 79,496,870, forward strand.
TGCTATAAATTTCCCTCTTAACACTGCTTTAGCCGCATCCCAGAAATTCTGGTCTCTTTTTTCTCATTTGTTTCAAATAACTTCTCTATTTCTGCCTTAATTTAATTATTTACTCATGAGTCATTCAGGAGCACATTGTTCAATTTCCATGTAGTTTTGTGGTTTTGAGTGAATTTCTTAATCTTGAGTTCTAATTTGATTGTAGTGTGTTCTGAGAGACTGGTATGATTTCAGTTCTTTTACTTGCTAAGGAGAGTTTTACTTCTGAATATAAGATCAATTTTAGCCTAAGTGTCATGTGGATATGAGAAGAATGTAGATTCTGTTGTTTTGGGGTGGAGAGTTCTGTAGATATCTATCAGATCCACTTGATTTAGAGCTGAGTTCAGGTCCTGAATATCTTTGTTAATTTTGTGTCTCAATGATCTGTCTGATATTGTCAGTGGAGTGTTAAAGTCTCCCACTACTATTGTGTAAGAGTCTAACTCTCTCTGTAGGTCTCTAAGAACTTGCTTTACGAATCTGGATGCTCTTGTATTGGGTATATATATATTTAGGATAGTTAGCTCTTCTTATTGAATTGAACATTTTACCATTATGTCATCCTTTTCTTTGCCCTTTTTTTTTATCTTTATTGGTTTAAAGTCTGTTTTTCAGAAACTAGGATTGTAACCCCTGCTTTTTTCTGTTTTCCATTTGCTTCTTAAATTTTCCTTCTTTATTTTGAGCCTATGTGTGTCTTTGCACTTGAGATTGGCACCCTAAAGACAGCATACCAATTGGTCTTGGCTCATTATCCAGCTTGCCATTCTGTGTCCTTTAACTGGGGCATTTAGCCCATTTGTTAGGTTGGTGCAAATGTAATTGCAGTTTTTGCCATTACTTTCAATGACAGAAACAGCAATTACTTTTGTACCAATCTAGTATATTTAAGAATAGTATTGTTATATGTGAATTTGATCCTGTCATCATGATGCTAGAAGGTTATTTTTCAAACTTGTTTATGTGGTTGCTTCATAGTGTCACTGGTCTGTGTACTTCAGTGTGTTTTTTGTAGTGGCTGGTAACAGTTTTTTCTTTCCATATTTAGTGCTTCCTTCAGGAGTTCTTGCAAGATAGGTCTAGTGGTGAACAATTCCCTCAGCATTTGCTTGTCTGAAAAGGATTTCATTTCTCCTTTGCTTATAAAGCTCAGTTTGTCCAGGTGTGAAATTAATTCTGTTGGAAATTCTTTTCTTTAAGAATTTTGAATAGTGGCCCCCAATCTCTTCTGGCTTGTAGGGTTTCTGCTGAGAGGTCCACTATTAGTCTGATGGGTTTCCCTTTGTAAATGACCTGGCCTTTCTCTCTGGCTGGCCTTAACATTTTTTCTTTTATTTTGACCTTGGAAATTCTGATGATTATGTGTCTTGGGGTTGATCTTCTCATGGGGTGTCTTACTGGGGTTCTCTGCATTTTCTGAAATTGAATGTTGGCCTGCCTTGCTAAGTTGGGAAAGTTCTCCTGGATGATATCCTGAAGTATGTTTTCCAACTTGATTCTGTTTTCCCCATCTCTTTCAAGTACTCCAATCTGTCACAGGTTCAGTCTCTTTACATAATCCCAAGTTTCTCAAAGGTTTTGTTCATTCCTTTTCTTTCTTTACTTTCTTTTTTTTTTTTTTTGTCTATTCTTGTCTACCTGTCTTATTTCAGAAAGATAATCTTCAAGCTCTGAGATTCCTTCCTCCACTTGATCTATTATGCTATTGATACTTGTGATTGCACTGTGAAGTTCTCATGTTGTGTTTTTCAGCTCCATTAGGTCAGTTATGTTCCTCTCTAAACTGGATATTCTGGTTATCAGCTGCTGTATTGTTTTATCATGATTCTTAACTTCTTTGCATTGGGTCACAACATGCTCCTTTAGCTCAGTGAAGTTCTTTATTACCCACCTTCTGAAGCCTACTTCTGACAATTCAGAAATCTCAGCCTCAGACCAGTTCTGTGCCCTTGCTGAAGGGCTGTTGCAGTCATTTGGAGGAGAAGAGGCACTCTGGCTTTTTGAGTTTTCAGTATTTTTGTGTTGATTCTTTCTTATCTTTGTGGGCTTATCTACCTTCGATCTTTGAGATTGCTGACCTTTGAATGGGGCTTTTGTTTGGGTCTTTTGTTGGATCTTTTGTTGATGTTGTTGTTTTCTGTTCGTTTTTCTTTTAATGATCAGACCACTCTACTGTAGGACTGCTGCAATTTGCTAGGGGTCAGTTCCAGACTCTAGTTGCCTTGGTTTTTCCCATGCCTAGAGGTATCACCAGTGAAAACTGTGAAACAGCAAAGATGGCAGCCTACTTCTTCCTCTGGAAGCTCTGTCCCAAGGGGTTACTGGTATGTTGCTGGCCTAAAACATACCTGTAGGAGGTGGCTGGAGAACACTGTTGGGAATTCTTACCCAGTCAGAGGGAATGGGATCAGTGACCCACTTAAAGAAGCAGTCTGGCTGCCTTTCGGTAGAGCAGATGTGTTGTGTTGGGGGAGACATTTCTTCATCCAGACTTTGTATTCTCCAAAGCCAGCAGACTATAATGGTTGAGTCAACTAAACTGCAGAGATAGCAGCCACCTCTCCCCCTGGGAGTTCCTTCCCAGGGAGAGATCAGAGGTCTATCCATAGAACCCTGGCTGGAGTGGCTGAAGCTCCTTCAGGGAGGTCCCACCCAGTGAGGAAAAATGGATTAAGGTCCTGCTAAAGCAGCAGTCTGGCCACAATCTGGCAAGGCAGCTGTGCTGCGTTGTGGGTGACCTTTATTCATCTGGACCATTTATATGATCCCAAGCCAGCAGGCTGGAACAGCTGAGTCTACCGAACAGCAGAGATGGCAGCTACCCCTCCCTCCCCCTGGAAACTCAGAACAGTCTCAGGCAGTTTCCAGCTTGTCGTCATTGGCTGGGTGGAATTCCAAGCTAAGGGGTCTTAACTTGTGAGGTGCCATGGAAGTGGGGCCTGCAGAACAATGCTGCTTGGCTCCCTGGATTTAGCCAGCTTCCTAGGGATAGGTACAAATGGATCGTCTGCCTTGCCGGGGATCCTGGGACTAGAATATGTAAAACCGCTGGATCTCTATGTGTGCCCGAGTGGCTGCTCTGCCAAGACTCCACACAGCTGTGTATCAGACCCAAGGACCCGGTGGCATGAGCTCACAAAGGGATCTCCTGATCTTCGGGTTTCCTGGGCAGGATTGCACAATCACTCACTGCCTCTCTTGGCTGGGGTAGAGGTTCCTTTGGCTCTGTGCCACTCCCGGGAGGGCCATCACCCCCCCGCTTTTCTTCATTCTCTGTGAGTCTAATTGTTTTCCTAGTCAGTCCCAATGTGAGAACCTGCATATTTCATTTGAAGATGCTGAATTCACTAACCTTTTTTTATTTCTCTCTGTGTGTGCTACAGACTGCAGCTCCTAATCAGCCATCTTGGATCCCCCTCTAGCCTTTCTACTAAAGATGTGAGTGGCTTAGACACTTGGAATTCCAGTGTTAGTGTATTTTTTATTTTTCTTTGTACTTACTTTTACCAGTGAGTTTTATGCCTTCGGATGATTTCTCACTGCTGTGTTAAGAATTCTAAACATTCTATCTGCTAAAGAAAATTTTTAAAAACACAAAACACATGATTGGTTTAGCATTTCCACTTTGTGGTCTTCAGACTGTCAGCGCCTATCAATGTCTGGAGCCATGGGGAGCCCTAGTACATGAAGTCTTTCAAAAGGAAAAACAAGAAAAATATTCAAGAATAACTGATGACAAACGGATTGCTAAATATGTGATGTGTTCCAGATTGCCTAAAGAGATCTGTAAATGTTAGGTTGCATTGACACCAAAAACTACAGAAAAACAAAAAGATTGAGAATAATTAAGAGGAGCAATATACAGTGAACAGAAAAATGAAGAGAGTGATGAACAATTGAGGCAGTAAAAGAAAAGGCTGAATGCAGTCATGGGAACAATAAAAAGTTCTGCTGCTGATATAAAAAGTGATGGGGCAAAATGGACATGTCTTAAAAGAGAAACATAAACTAGAATGTGAAAATCTGGGGACATTCAGGAAAGAGCAAGTGGCATGAACACACCGCAGCATCTTGTAAGGACCTCCTGTATTTCAACTGGTATTAGTCAATATTCAATAAGAAACACTATATAAGAAACATAGCACTAGTTCTAGCAATGGAGAAAACTGTATTAAAAAGCCATTCAAAACTTTCTGCAGAGAAACTCTGGAGGAAATATTAAAAAGTAGGCTTAATCTTAGAAGACAATGGAGATCTATGTGCACCTTGAAAAAACTTAAAAGAGGAAAATGTTAAAAGATTCATAAAATATTGATTCAATATTTTATATGACACTGAGAGTCATAAAGGACATGTTGTTACATTCTTTACAGAGTCTTAGTAAAATATAGTTCTTCAGCATAGCCTTATCATAAAGCTACACTAGTGAATTTATATAATTTTGAAAATATTATGTATCTGGTTGGTCTCACTAAAAAAGATCAGTCTGTCTAACTCTGTTCCAGAAGTGCTCACTATGTGTTGCAGATGACATTTATAATGAATAGAGTATAGCACACATTTTGAGTAAAAAATATCCTGACTTTTCAATTATGATTTTCCACAATCCTAAAGTGTCAGTCAGAAAATCAAATAAGTAGGTCAAGGATCAGGAAATTTAGAAAATTCAAGAAAAGCCTTTTTTAAGAATAGTTTCTTTTGCTGACTCTCAACAACACATTTCAAGCAACGAATCTCTGTGTTTTGTGTTTTTGTTTGTGAAATATTTGGAAAAGTAAGCAAGCATGAAAATGGAGTCATTGGCAATATACTTTCCATCTATAATTTGTCACAAATATTTATAGCATTCATGTGTGTTTCTGGCATGCCACTGGAGCATATTATAGATTCTAGTAAAAAAAAAAGACTTAAAAGGTAAATAAATTTTCAACATCAAGTTCATTAAATTGCCTCAGTTTATGTTTAATTGCCATAGGCTGAGTGCTATGCAGATGTCTGAAATTAGCAAAGTTGTAAACTATTTGAAAGCCACCAGGAGGTTAAGTGCATGAATGAAAATGTCATGTCCTTCTTGAGTCACGACAATATAACTATCCTGAAAATGTCCGCGTTGCCTATTGGACTTTCAGGAATGTCTGAAGTTAAATGGTGAAAACACAGACAAATATGTTCAAAATTGAAATAGGCTCACCAAATTTTAAATATTTTTTAAAAGATATGTAGCAATTATTCTAGCCACACATCTTTCACTGTCATAGAAAAAAATAATTTTTTAGCCTAATGGAATTGACTTCTCGATTGCAAAAACTCAAAAATACCCCAATTCTCAGAACTCCTTACAACTGAATAATTCCCCTGACCTTCATATTTGTCATTTCGCAATCAATGTGTTGGAATACTCAGTTAAATGGAAAGGCAGACCTCAGTATGTTCCAAATGAACAAAATAATGGCATGTGTCTACAGAGTGGCTAAGTTTAAAGAGCAGGGCAAATGAGCCAAAGTCCTGCTTGCTGATTAGTGCATATCACAGGAAGAGTCATTCCAGCCTCCTGGAGGGACCAGATGTTGAAGTCCACAGACCCAGGTCTATCACAGCCTGGTATGTACTGAGCGACCTTGGTCTAGTTACTTACTGTCTTTGTACCTCAAGTTCCTCATGAATAAAATGGGGTATATCACATAGGGTTGCTGTAAGGATCTAATGAGCTATATGTAATACAGCACAAAATTTAACTCAGGGACTAGCTCTTGGTCCTCAATAAATATTAATATTAGATGCTAATTTCAACACTTTAACTAGGTCAACCTAGGCTGTATTTGGGATTCATGTGACTACTGTCACTTAACTGAGCATTAACTGCTAAAAAGAACCTCAACCTACATAAAATGTTAGCCCAATATTTAAAATGCTCTAGCAGAAATATGAATAGAGGCAGTAGTAGGAAAAACGATAGGAATCCATGGATGGATTGTGTGGTGGGGAAGAATATTTCAAATTGATACAGCTTCCAGATTAGAATTCTGGATTAGACTATTAGGACCTCTATCCTGGGAAGTATTTTGTTTGCTTGTTTTAATCTCCAAAACCTTTCTCTGAACCTAACACCTTAGAAAAAAATGTATATTATTTATTTTTAATTCTCCAAGCATTTGCCAGAGAATTTTGGTAATTATATTAATTTAGCCTTATATAAGTTTTCTTTTACATTTTTCATCAATGCTAAAAGTAGAAAGCAACTTAGGAACATAAAATATATCACTTATGAAGAGATTCTGATGCTACCTTCAGCAATATGTTTTAATCCAATAACATAATTCTGCTTTCTCAACACATTAGTATCTTTGATGCTCTGAACAGTGGTTTTATACATACATCTTGCTGAACCTCAGTGCTCAGGCTTCCTCGGGAGTGACTCTAGGGCAACATTGGAGGTGGGAGAAAGGGTGGGTTTCTGGACCTTCCATACATCCCCCCCTTTCCCACAGTCAAGGCCTACCTTCTGTATAAAGATTTTCTTAAAATCTCTAGGCCACTTTGATCTCCCTCTTCCCTGATCTTCTGTAGCTTGGAGTGTCCTCACCCCTCCCAGGGCACCCAGTTATTATCCACACCATGCTGCCAAGCATAGTGTCAGGCTTCTATTATTTCCTCTCTCATGGGTGCATTTTTTTCTTCCTCCATTAAGATTATACATTCTCAGAACAAAGAGTGTGTCATATAATTCTCTCACAGAATTCACCTTCTGTGCCCAGAAAACATGAGGTATCAAAAATATTGGCTGATTTAAAGACATTTGCTTTAAATTTTCAGGAAGTTTTCAGTGGGAAAATGACAGAATTCAGATCTAGCCTTTAAATGTATACTCCTGAAAACTTCAGCAATAATACATAGGCATGAAATTAACTGGGGGCTTTCATAGGTTTTTGAAAGGCAAGAAGGTAGCAAATCTAGATTAAATGCTAGTTTGTCTCTGCAGTGGTGTGCGGTGGGAATTTTCTTAAAATTTTTAAATAAACACACACAGGTACTTTTTTGCAGACTGCAATAGCCAAAAAATTTAATGAGCCATCCAAGAAGCCTAATAGTTCATGGGGAAATGGCACGAAGGTGTGATGGTTAATAATGAGTGTCAACTTAATTGGATTGAAGGATAAAAAGCATTGATCCTGGGTGTGTCTGTGAGGGTGTTGTCAGAGGAGATTAACATTTGAGTCAGCTGACTGGGAAAGGCAGAAACACCCTTAATGTGGATGGGCACTAATCAGCTGCCAGTGTGGCTAGAACATAAGCAGGCAGAAAAATGTGAAAAGAGAGACTGGCCTAGCTTCCCAGTAGGCCCGTGCTGGATGCTTACTGCCCTTGAACATAGGACTCCAGGTTCTTCAGTTTTGAAACTCGGACTGGCTCTCCCTGCTCCTCAGCCTGCCGACAGCCTATTGTGGGACCTTGTGATCATCTGAGTTAATACTTAATAACTCCCCTTTATATATCTCTCTCTATTCCATTAGTTCTGTCCCTCTAGAGAACCCTGACTAATACAGAAGTCTTGGTCTTCCCTGTTGTTTCTATGGTTACCATCATATAAACCTCCTAACAAACCACCCTAAAAGTGAGAAACAATGACAGGGGCTCAAAAATAACAAACAACACAATAAACAGCTTTTGAGTGGATTATTATGTAATTTAACACAAAAACATCGGGTCTAACAAGAGTTGAACAAGAGATTTTGTTTTTATTTCCTCTCTAGTCGTTCAAGGACACAAAGCAAAGCTCAACAAAAGCAAAATTTTCCTGTCAGGGGTCCCCTAGTCCCTGCGTTTAGGTGAGAACGAGAACCTACTGCCTTCAAATAAAAAGTACATTTGACTCTATCTTCATGATCAGTTATTTCCTACAGATATACATGTATAAACATTTGTGCATGTATACACTCATATGAGCAAAGTTATAAATCAGAATTGTGCTTATGTTTTTCTTGAGAGTGGTAATCTATGTTAAGAATAAGTAAGCCCACATGCCCTGATGATAATAATAATCTTTTAAATTTATGCTGATCTTTACAGTACATAAAGTGATTATTTAGATTATTTCATTATGCTCACAACAACTTTGTAGGTAAGTGGAACATTGTTATTGGTGTAATCATTTTATAAATAAAATATGGTTATTGGTGTAATCATTTTATAAATAAGGATACTGAGGCTTGGAGAAATTGAATGATCTGCCCATCATCACTGAGAGATTCAAGTAGGCACCCAGCACAACATTAGTGAATGAAAATATAAATGCAAGAAGAAAAGCCAAGACTTCTGACTATGTATTTTTCACTCTTGCCACACTAACGTTTTAGCTGCCATTTTTAAATATATTTTGAATCTATGTATCTGATATAAATTCAAAATAAAATTTCCAAAAATATTTTTTCTGACATTATAACTATAACAAACTATTGATTAGAATCAATAAACAAATAAAACACTAATGAGTTTAATGTATCATCCCTATTGTAGTCTTAACTACTACATATGACATTTATATGTCATCTCCACATTTGCTTTGATTTGTTCATTCAATTCACTCTAAAATATATTTACTTGGATCTTCTATACTCCAGGCTAAGGGTTAGGGGTATAGTGCTGAACAAAACAAAACCAGCCCCTGCTCTTATGGCACAGATAGTCTGGTTAGGAATGTAGACATTTAATAAACATACAGATGCAGAAATTGTGAGAGTGGAAAAGAACGGTGTAGTCTGAGGTAAGTTAACAAAGATCTAATTTAGATTGGAAGACAGGCAGGCAACTCTGTGTAGGTGACATTTAAGCTGAGGCCTAAACTGTTCATTCATTTCTTCAACAGATGTTCCCTGTGTCCATATGCTGTCTCGGCCAAGCTGTGATGTACAAGTCATACAAGTGCCATGATGTACAATGATGAGCAGGACAGACATGGTCCCTGACCTCAGGGAGCTCCCTGTGAAAGGACAACAGGAGAAACAAACTTGATTTGGGACTTGAAAAAAATTAATTTAGCCATTGAGCTCAAAATAAGTAACACAAGAGTTCCTCCCTGGATGTATTATTTTAAAACCTAAATTCGGACTTGAGTAGTTCATCCAGTAAAATTTGGCATATCTTCATCCTTCAATAACCATCTTTCAAAGAAAGAGTTCTAAAATGGCTTTGTCCCATTAAGACTGATCCAGGGCTAGGTATAATCTTGAGAATACTGAGATCAAACTCTGTAATAAGCTAAGATCACAAGAGATGCCAGTATTTTACAATCCCCACCTATTCTTTTTTGTTTATAAATATGACTTAATTTTTTATATTTCTCTAATATAATTTTATGATATCATCCAATGAACTTAATGCTTACCTCAACTGGATCAACTGAAAATAGCTATCTTTTAAATAATCACATTTGTCGAAACAATTGAAGAACATTACCATAAGTAAGTTCACAATTGTACATATTGAATCATGACACCAATAAACCTTAAAATATATTGCAAACATAATAATTAATTGGATCTTTCCATAATTTATTTATTTTCTTCCTTTGGCCTTTCTTTATTATTCACTCAAAAATAATAAACAAATTTTTCTCTTAGTTAGAGAATCAAAATGTCAAGAGAAAAGATACATGCCCGAAGTTATTTTGACAATTGAAGTGTGAAGCAATTATCATTTGTGGCAACGCTAGGCTTTCTTGTCTGACTGTAGAAGTTTACCCGGGCTTCTGTTTAATTTTTCAGTCAAGAAGCTTATTCTCCTAGCAAAATACACACATACAACAATGAAGAATAAACAATCAGTTATCTGATCCATTGCTTGTAATTAATGAAAATTTTATGACTTTATATCTCAGTGATTTGTGTATATGGTTTGTCTAGAAGAATTAATATAGAGTTTCCTGCTAATCAACTCTCAGACTCTAAGAAAAAATTACAGTCAGAGCACAAATCATAAATGAAGGTACTAAAGATAACTTGTGTCTAAAAAATTAAATTTATTGAAAATTAAAGAACTAAAAATAATACTGTTAAATTTTCCCTGCCTGGATAGCTTTTTTAATCTTTCAGCACATACAATGAAAACTAACTTGTCTATTTCAGTTTGATTAGAAGCTAATTGTGCCTCTTGGTTCTCAAATGCTATGTTTCAAATATATAATTCAGACTCAAGCATTTGATGACAAAATGTTTAACTCAAAACCCCATTTTTCTTTTTATTAATTTTCATAATTATTGATTAGTTTTACAAACCATAGAAAATGTCATCCAAAAAGTATGTTGCCACAATAGGTGGCATCTTATATTTGGTGAAATAGGTTACATACTATGACATTTAAAAATAATGTAACATAAATTGAGAGCAGAAGGGGAAAGAAAGTTGAAGTACACAAATTTCTTCATCTGTAACAACTGAAATTCAAAAGATGTCATTGAAGCCTTCAAATGAAATAACAAAAGCATAATTAGTAATCATTATCAAAGAAAGCACTAAGAATTTTAAAAATTAACTAAAATGGCCGGGCGCAGTGGCTCATACCTGTAATCCCAGCACTTTGGGAGGCAGAGGCGGGCGGATCACGAGGTCAGGAAATCGAGACCGTCCTGGCTAACACGGTGAAACCCTGTCTCTACTCAAAATACAAAAAATTAGCCGGGCTTGGTTGCAGGCGCCTGTAGTCCCAGCTACTAGGGAGGCTGAGGCAGGAGAATGGCGTGAACCCGGGAGGCGGAGCTTGCAGTGAGCAAAGATCGTGCCACTGCACTCCAGCCTGGGGGACAGAGCGAGACTCCGTCGCAAAAATAAATAAATAAACAAATAAATAATTTTTAAAAATTAACTAAAATAAGGTGATGACACAAAGGAAAAAGGAAAGAAAATACACTAAGTATATAACTGTTCATAGAAGGGAGCAAAAGATAATGTCTAAGATATTAAAGAATTAAAATTATATAACACACTAGTAATAAAGTTAGCCACTGGAATAAAAATACAAACCTTCTTAAATATCATGATAATTATACATTAAGAGTAAAGCAAAGAATATGGAGTGTATATAATTTGTGAAAGCACTAAAGTATAATTAATTGTAAAGAAGTAGGTTCAAATATAGCTGTTATATCAATAAATCTAAATGGGTTAAATTCATCTGTAGAAGAAAGGAAAGAAAATTAAAGAATGGACAAAAATATATAAGGAAAAAATTATATATGTAGAAAGAGAGGGAAGGAACAGAAGGAAGGGCAGAAGAGGAGGGTAGTAAGGCAGGAAGGAAGAGCTTGCAACCTTACTTGAATTTGTTATAAAATGTTAAATGACACAAAGGTCAGTATCATATGTTAAAAGGAAATGTCTGTAGTGAAGATTTTTAAAAAGCTGAGACTGTTAATGCACTATATATATATGTGTATATATATATATATATGGCATCAATATTTGCAAAGCAAAACTGCAGGAGTTACAAAGAAAAACACAAAATCAACAAGAGAACTGTATTTATCTCTCTTTGTCTTTGACAGATCAAGAAAGAAAAACTAATAGTATAGATCTAAAGGACATAAAAAAGTAGAAATAATTAACATAGACAAAATTTTGTTCCTCAAAATAAATACTACAATTTATTTTTACAAAAACCATTACAAAAATCAACATATATTAGGCCACTATGTAAACCATAATTAATTCTAAAACATTCTCTCATCACAATGCCATAAAACTAGAAATTAATAATAAAAGCAAAAATGAAAATATTTTTATTAATTGGGTAACTTTGTACAAGTCATCTGTCATTCAGAAGCTTCCTTGCCTGAACTGCTAAATGGAAATAATACGTAAATCACAGAGTAATCTTGAAAGATTTATGAATTTGAAAACATTACGCAAGTTATAAATTCTTATTCAAAAAGAATCCTTTTTCTCCTTACACTTGAGAAGCAGCTTGATTTGGCAGCTTCAAAGATTTGAACACTTGGTCTATGCTTTACACATGTGGCTATTTAAATAATTAAATTAAATTAAAATTTTAGTTCTTCAACGTTAGCTTCATTTAAAGTGGTCCCTGGCCACATTTGGCTAGTGGCTACCGTATTGGACACCATAATATTTTCAGCATTACAAACAGTTCTATTAGACAGTGCTGGCACAGATGATACTGGGGAAATCAAATATTTAGAAGTTCATGCGAATTATTTAAGTTTTACTTCAACAAATTAACAGAGTGCTTCTAGCAAGAGCTTCATATGAGTTTTTTTTTTTACCACTTTACTTCCTAATTATACAAAAGGATCATCCTCTCACTTAATATAATCCAAATACATTAAGGTGCTAATTGAATATGATACGTAAGCTGTGCATACTAATTGTCACTAATAAGTTTAATGATGATTGCTTAAGCCTATAACAGCTAATCACCTACATAGCCATTCAAGTCAACTTGATGTCACTCATTCTTCATTAGTAAAACGTGTTTTATTAAGTTGATTCCATTATATGTGAGCCCAGAAGATTTACTCCATGGTTGTCCTTTTAATGTTAAGAGTATTCCAAATGTGATCCCTGAACAAAATGCTGATGCAGCTGAAGGTGACTCTTAAATCTATCTCAGTTTTTAAAATTTTTAATTATCAGTTTATTATGGATACATAATAGTTGTCCGTATTTATGGGGTACATGTGATACCTTGAAACAAGCACACAATGGGTAATGATCAATCGGGGTAATTAGGGAATGCATCACCTCAAGCATTTATCATTTCTTTGTGTTAGAAACATTCCAATTCCACTCTTCTAGTTATTTTGAAATACACAATAAATTATGGTTAGCTGTAGTTGCCCTGTTGTGCTATCAAACACTAGATCTTATTCCTTCTATCTAACTGTATTTTTGTACTCATTAACCATCCCCTTTTAATCCCCCTCCCTTCTCCATTACCCTTCCCAGGCTCTGGTAATTATCATTCTGTTCTCTATTCCCGTGAGTTCAATTGTTTTAGCTTCCACATATGTGTGACAACATGCAATATTTGTCTTTCTGTGCTCGGCTTATTTCACTTAATACACCACCTCAGTTTCCAGTGACTCTTAGAGCATTCCACCATGGTAAGCTTTAAACAAATCAGTACTTTCTTCGTCTATTATATGTCTTCATTAGCTCAGTATATTTTGAGATTCTTAATGCCACCTACTAGTCTTGTGAACCTGGGTGGTTCATTATCTTCTCTAGGTCTCAGGTCCCCTCCCCCTTCTCTAAATTCAGGAGGGCCAAAGAGAGAGTGGGGATATAATGACAGCCTAATCACAAGTTTATATTCCCTTTCTCTCCCAGTTGAAGAAACTCTACTTAAAAAATAGTAAGGCTTACTTGAGGAGATTAGAGAGGTCATAAATATATATAAGAATTGAATTTTTTTAAGTGCAGATGGATATCATTGTGTACAATGTCGGGAGAGGGATGGGGGACCAGCTGCCTGCCTCCTTGCCGCAGACCCTGTGTCTGCCTGAGACAGCCCAACCAGCTGAGCATGGGTCTCCTGGCAAAAGAACAGGTTTCTGAAATGCAGATCCAAGAGATGGTGGCTGGTCCTGCAGGTACTGCAGTGCTGAAGAAGAGCCATCTTGGGCTAATTCAATGAAGATAGAAAGAGATTGTGACCCTCTGATTGTCCCCTTCCCCCTCACAGCTGCAGAAGCCCAAGAATTGAGCTGCATTCTCACCCTGACCTCAATATGGAGATTCTAGCTTGTCTGCCCTTCCAAGGTTGGCTGCCCAGCTGCAGAATAAACATCTGTCTTACTTTTCACCTGCTAATTCACATCCATCCCACCTTCTCAGGAACAGAATACCAGATTTAACAGAATACATTTGGGAGAAAGGCCAGTTGAGGGGACTAAGCAATCCAAAAGAGGGAAGTTAGGCAAGCCAACATAGAGAATGTGTGCCCCACTAGGTCAAAGTTAGTGAAATAAACAGAAGGGACTGCTAAGAAAGGCTGCAATAAGAGGATACATGGTTTGAGAACAATGAGATCCTAGAACAAAATAAAATCACTAATATCTGAATATTAAAACATAACAGAAGAATTAGCAAAGAGGAATTGCACTGGCAAAAAAAAAAAAAGGAAAAAATCAATTTTGTGTCCTGTAAAATCAAGTGTAGAAGCTATCTTATTACACATGATAAAATAAAGAATTTTAAAGGAAATCATGGGTAGTAAGATGTTTGGAGACATATGAAGAGAACAATTTACAAAAGGGCAACATGAAAGAGATGAAAAGTAATTAAAGGAATAATAGACCATTTCACTCAGTTGAAGAAAGACTTGTATGCAGAGCACAGCAGTATCCCCAAGTGCGAGGCAAGTCTAAGGAGAAAAAAGAAATCATATCTAAATATATTTTTGTGGGCCCTGCTGGGGTGATGCATGCTTAGAACTGCAGCACTTTGGAGGCCAACGCAGGAGGATCACTTGAGTTCAAGAGCTCCCGGTTAAAGTGAGCTATGATCATGCCACTGCATTCCAGCCTGGGCAAGAGAGAAAGACTGTCTCTAAAAAAAAAAAAAAAAAGGATTTTAATGAAGAAATATATCCTTGTGAAATCTAAGTTTTAATAGTAAAAAGTATACAACTAGTTCCAAATAAAATGTGGCTTTCAAAGGCAAAGCTAACACTCTAACATCAAATTTTCAACCTGCAAGTCAGAAGACTGTAAAATATACTTGTGGTCTATAATGAGAAAGAAACTACTATCTAAGAATTCTGAACCTAGCCAAGATAATGTTTGCATACAAAGCAACACAAAAATATGTTTAGTTATGGCAAGAAACACACCAATAACAAAAAGAAAAAATAGTGCTTGAACATAATATAAACAGGCAAAGTTCATCAAAGAAATGGGAAAAAGAAAAGAAAATTTAAAAAGAAGGAAAGTAAAGGTAGAATGAGCAATGAAAGATAAAGTGAAATTTAAGGACAAAATAATATTTTATGTTTTAAAAAGCTACAGTCTCTAAAAAGTATATAATAATACTTTTCATGGCATAAATATCAAGCAAAAAATATAAAGCAAAATGTATCTTAAAACGTAAGGACATTTAAATAAATTATAAGAGGATTTTTATACATCTCTCTGTTTGACAGATCATATAAAGGAAAAAACTATGTAAAAATATGCAGGATTTGAATAATACCATCCTCAAGGTTCAGCTAATAAATGCACATTTAAAGAGAATTTTTTTACCCTCCACTAGGGAATAAACATTCTTCCTTCATTACCAGAAGCATTTGCAAACACATGATGACTTATTGAACCAGACAGAACAACCTTACTTTACCCCACCCCATACCCCCCCAAAAAAAAGGAGGGGGAGGACATTTTTTGGATTTATACAATAAAACTAAAAATCAGCCATGAAAAGGTAACAAAAAAGAAACTAACCCATTCAAAATTGAGAAATACTCTTCTAAATAAACAGGCTCAAAGATAAATGGAATTGAAATCACAGACTATGTAGAAACTAACAAAAAAGAGAACTTCATATCAAAACCTGTGAGAAAATTCTAGAATCACAGTCATAGGAAAACACATAATCTCATGTGCTTTTATACTTATAGCTGAAAGGTTGAATATAAATATATTCAGTATAAAACTTAAGAAACCAGAAAAATAATTACAATAAAACAAAAGGAAATAAGAAAAGATAAATATGTTTGACAACATTTTTAATCTTTTTTTTAAATTTCCCTCAACTATAAAGTAGGAACAAAATAATACCTAATACATAGGGTTATTAAGAAAAGTAAATGATTTTATATTTGTGGAGACTTTGTGCAGTACCTGACAAACATGTTAAATATATTTGTTAAATAAAATAAAGGTAGGAAATATAAATCAACCATACCTGAATATTTAAAAATAAAGCAAATCGACAAATTTCTAACAAACTGGTTAGATCTTTTTTTATGCCACAAGAGTGGAAACACTTTTAAGACCCAGGACAAATGAGAGTACGTGATTGCAAACGGTATGAACCTGAGAACTAGCAAGCAGTTTAGGGAAGGGCTAGGACAGCTAGATACCCAGAGAATCTAGAGACCCTGGATGCCGTAGAACCCCTGGTTCCTGGAAGGGAGAGTTTGGGTGCAGCTGCTCGCTAGCTTGGCCAGAGAGAACCCCTGGATTCATTTACAAGACAATTCCCCTTTTCTTTCCACATCTACCCTATCTTCAATGAGCAAGTAATTCCTAAGTCTCTCAAACTATTTGATATGGTTTGGCTGTGTCCCCACCCAAATCTCATCTTGAATTGTAGCTCCCATAATTCCCACATGTTGTGGGAGACACCTGGTGGAAGACAGTTGAATCATGGGTGTGGTTTTTCCCATACTGTTCTTGCGGTAGTGAATAAGTCTCATGAGAGCTGATGATTTTATAAGGGGTTTCCCCTTTTGCTTGGTTCTCATTTTCCTTTTGTCTGTCACCATGTAAGACGTGTCATTCGCCTTGCACCATGATTGTGAGGCCTCCCCAGCCGTGGGGAGCCGTGAGTCCATTAAACCTCTTTTTCTTTATAAATTACCCAGTCTCAGGAATGTCTTTATCAACAGCATAAAAACAGAATAATATACTATTCTTGTACATAGAGAAAGATGGAAATTTTGAATGAAGTAAGCATAGCCTTAACACAAAAGCCTGACAGAGATACATTTATATATATATGTTAATTTCACTTAGGGATAGACAATGTTAACAAACTGAATCCAGCAGTATATCTTAAGAAATAATACACAATGACTATGCAGAATGAGTCAACATTAGTGTATCTATCAACATAATACATTGCATTAAAAATAAAAAATGCTATTATTTAAAATGATGAGAAATAAATTCATCACCCATTTCTCAAAAAAAAAATTAAATAGCAAAAGAACTAAAGGAAATGTACTGTACAAGATACAAATAGTTACCAGAAACTATCACAAAAGTTTTTTACACTGTAAAATAGTAAGAATATCTCTACTATAATCAGGAATTAGAGACATTTATGTAAGTTCTAGTAGTCAACATTTTTTAAAGCCTACTAATAAAAAAAGTCTTTATTTGCCAATAATATGCTTGTATATTTAGAAAATCCAAGAGACTGAATACCAAATCAATTAGCTCAGAAAAGGATATTTAATACAAAAATGAGGAGGGGGAGTCTTATTCACTGTATCAAAAAATATGATACAGCTAAAGATAAGCATAATCAAAATAACCTATATTTTTTAAACCATAAAATTTTACCAAAGAATAGAACATAAAACCTAAATAATGAAACAAAATAAAAATAATAATTCTTCCCAAATTAGTATATAAATTTAATGCAATTTTAAACAAAATTTTATGAAATTTTAACTGGACAAAATAAATCTAATATTACTTTGGAAAAATAAAGGCATAAGGAGTGTCAAGAAACCTTTGATAATAAAGAGCAGTGACAGGGGATATAGCGTGTGTATTACTAAAACTTACTATGAAGCTATAACGTGGTACAAACATAGGAATAGGCAAACACAGCAGTGAAACAAGTTCAAAAGTCAAGAAATAGACCTAAGTGTATGAACAAAACTCATTTATGACAAAGTTGGCAAGTCAATTCATTGGAAGGAAAGTATTCAATAAACATTACTGAAAAAATCTATATAATACCATAATCAACTCCAGATGGTTTAAATAAATAAAGGTAAAAACAAAATACTAGAAGAGAATATTGGAGAACAGTTTCATAACATGTTGATGATGATGAATATCCAAAACAATACAGGAAATACGTAGCTATAAAGAAAAAGATTGGCAAATTTGATTACATAAATTATTACAAACCTTCAATATTGAGGGAGAAACCCTGAATGAAGTCAAAAGATAACAATATTAGTTATAATAGGGTAAATAGGGTAAAATTATATATAATATATTACATATATTATATTAATTATATGGTATTAGCATTATAATAATTATATATTATATATTAATGTATTATCTAATGTATTAATTATGAATATATTATTCTATTTATTAATCTACTAATATGTGTACTATATAATTATAAATATATGATTTATATATGTATATTTTTAAGAAATTACCTAATTTTTTAGATAAACAAGCAATTCACTGAATAAAAAATATTTAAAACTATGTATAGAAAAGGTGTTCAATCTCACTAAAAATCAGAGAACAACAGGATAAATTTCAGATATCACTTGGCAAAATTTAAGATGACTGATACCATCCAGAGTATAAAAACATAGTTTAAGAATTATTGCCTACATTGTTGATAAAAGTAATGATAGAAGATAATAAATACTAAAGCACAGTTAACTTTTGAACAATGCAGATCTTAGAGGCACTGACTCCTTAGCAGTTGAAAATCCATGTATAACTTTTTACATAAATTTAAGTGGTAGACGTGCAATTTTGTTACATGGCTATATTGCATAGCTGTGAAGTCTGAGTTTTTAGTGTATCATCAGCCCAATAATGTACATTGTACCCATTAAGTGATTTCTCATCTTCCACTTTCCTCCCACACCCCACCCTTTTGAGTCTCCAACATCATTCCACACTCTATGTCCATGTGTACACATTACTTGGCTCCCACTTATAAGTGAGGATGTATGGTATTGTCTTTCTGTGTCTGAATTGTTTCTGTTAAGATAATGGCCTCCAGCTTCATCCATGTGGCTGCAAAATACATGATTTCATTTATTTTTATGGTGGAATAGTATTCCATTGTGTATATATACCCCGTTTTCTTTTTTTTTTTTTTCTTTTCTTTTTTTTTCAGACAGAGTCTCACTCTGTCGCCCAGGCTGAAGGGCAGTGGGGCTATCTGGGCTCACAGCAACCTCCACCTCCCAGGTTCAAGTGATTCTCATGCCTCAGCCACCCAAGTAGTTGGGATTATAGGTGTGCTCAGCCACATCCAGATAATTTTTGTTTGTTTGTTTGTTTGTTTGTTTTTAGTAGAAACAGAGTTTTGCCATGTTGGCAAGGCTGGTCTCGAACTTCTGGCCTGAAGTGATGTACCCGCCCCTGCCTCCCAAAGTGTTGGGATTACAGGCATGAGCCACCGCACTCGACCAACACATTTTCTTTCTTTTTATTATTATTATTATACTTTAAGTTCTAAGGTACATGTTCACAACATGCAGGTTTGATACATAGGTATACATATGCCATGTTGTTTTGCTGCACCCATCAACTCATCATTTACATGGGGTATTTCTCCTAATGCACTCCCTCTCCCAGCCTCCCACCCCACAACAGGTCCCAGTGTGTGATGTTCCCTGCCCTGTGTCCAAGTGAACTCACTGTTCAATTCCCACCCATGAGTGAGAACATGCGGTGTTTGGTTTTCTGTCCTTGTGATAGTTTGCTGAGAATGATGGTTTCCAGCTTCATCCATGTCCTTGCAAAGAACATGAACTCATCCTTTTTTATGGCTGCATAGTATTCCATGGTGTATATGTGCCACATTTTCTTAATCCAGTCTATCATTAATGGACATTTGGGTTGGTTCTAAGTCTTTGCTATTGTGAATAGTGCCACAATAAACATAACTGTGCAAGTGTATTTATAGTAGCATAATTTATAATCCTCTGGGTATATAACAAGTAATGGGATTGCTGGGTCAAACGGTATTTCTAGTTCTAGATCCTTGAGGGGTCATCACACTGTCTTCCACATTGGTTGAACTAATTTACATTTCCACCAACAGTGTAAAAGCATTCCTATTTCTCCACATCCTTTCCAGCATCTGTTGTTTCCTGACTTTTTAATGATTGCCATTCTAACTGGTGTGAGATGGTATCTCATTGTGGCTTTGATTTGCATTTCTCTGATGGCCAGTGATGATGAGCATTTTTTCATGTGTCTGTTGGCTGCATAGATGTCTTCTTTTGAGAAGTGTCTGTTCATATGCTTTGCCCACTTTTTGATGGGATTGTTTGTTTTTTTCTTGTAAATTTGTTTGAGTTCTTTGTAGATTTTGGATATTAGCCCTTTGTCAGATGAGTAGATTGCAAAAATTTTCTCCCATTCTGTAGGTTGCCTGTTCACTCTGATGGTAGTTTATTTTGCTGTGCAGAAGCTCTTTAGTTTAATTAGATCCCATTTGTCAATTTTGGCTTTTGTTGCCATTGCTTTTGGTGTTTTAGTCATGAAGTCCTTGCTCATGCCTATGTTCTGAGCCTAGGTTTTCTTCTAGGGTTTTTATGGTTTTAGGTCTTACGTTTAAGTCTTTAATCCATCTTGAATTAATTTTTGTGTAAGGTGTAAGGAAGGGATCCAGTTTCAGCTTTCTACGTATGGCTAGCCAGTTTTCCCAGCACCATTTATTAAATAGGGAATCCTTTCCCCATTTCTTGTTTTTGTCAGGTTTGTCAAAGATCAGATGGTTGTAGATGTGTGGTGTTATTTCTGAGGTCTGTATTCTGTTCCATTGGTCTATATATCTGCACATCTTCTTTAGCCAACTATCCACTGATGGACACTTAGGTTGATTCCATTTCTTTCCTACTGCGAATAGTGCTGCAGTAAACAGATGAGTATAGGTATCTTTTTGATCCCATGTATAACTTCTGACTCTCCAAAAACTTAACTACTAATGGCCTGCTGTTGACTGGAAGCCTCACCAATAATAAACCGTCAATTAACACATATTTTGTATGTTATATGTATTATATACTGTATTCTTATAATACAGTAAGAAGATAAAAATATTATTAAGAAAATCATAAGGAAGAGAAAATATACTTATTATTCATTAAGCGGAAGTGGGTTATCATAAAGGTCTTCATTCTTGTCCTTGACCTAACATTGAGTGGCTGAGAAGGAGAAGGCAGAGGGGTGATACCTTAGGGGTGGCAGAGGCAGAGGAAAATCCATGCATAAGTAGACCCATGCAGGTCAAACCCATATTGTTCAAGTGTTAGCTGTATACACCCTTTGACCCAGCAATCTTGTTTCTATGAATATATACTACAGAAGTAAAAGTATTAATATTTAATGCAACATTGATTTGTAATAACAACTGCTTAAATGTTTATCATCCAGGTGGTAATTAAAGTCATTAAAATGAATGTCGTAGATTTTTTTTTCCTGGTGTTCTTAAAATAAAAACAAGCAGCTGATTTTATTTATATACATATTGGACATTTTGTAAAGGAATAGAAAAAGTATTCATACAAAATAATTGACAATAGAAAGGATTCATACAAAAACTGTTGACGCTTATTCTATCATCTGCAAATGGAGTAAATGTAAAAGTGTTAGGATTAGGTTAGAGAGAAAGAGGAGCAACCTATTAATTCTTAAGTTGCTTCAACTCCTTTAGTTTCGTAATTTAAAATAAGATAAGATTAAGCAACAACAAAACCTAGATCTCCTGGAAAATAAAATAGTAGTTTTAATGATCTCAAAACAATCTTCTAACTCAAAAATATTTCCCACTCCACTAGGTTCAAAATAATCGTCTCAGGATTTGAAAGAAACCATATGATAAAACATAGCTCCTAACTCTCAGTCATGTTGAAAAGCAAGACAGGTACATGAAAGAACTATTTTGCAAAGCTATTTAGTAATAAATGCAAATATAATGAAATGAAAATGTATTCATAAATTGCCACTGGAATATATGGACTGAAGTTACTCAGAAAACTATTTCCTGGGGGAAAAAAAGAAGCAATAGTTCAGAGTGTTTTGCAGAATCTTCCTCACATCCCCTCACCTCTTCATCTTTCATAAAACTAAGTTGTGACCATGAAGGCTTCTCTGAACTAATACTTCTGGTCTACATTTTCAAGCAAGTTTTTGGCACATCAACCTCACTTTAATGTCAAAGTTCTTGTATTGTAGGCTTAAATTGTTTCTTAACGTTTCTTCCGTATATGAACTGGCTTGAAAACTCACAGAAGACAAAAGTTGGCAGTTAATCATTGCACCTCCAGAGTGTTTAACATATTTGTTTACTCAATAATTTGTATATAGAATTAATGCTTTGTCATTTCTGACATTTCACTGTGGTCATTTGCTTCTCATGCTAGAATATGTTTTGGTATCTTCTCTGTAAGAACATCTCAAGATATTCTCAGCACTTTCCTTTAATGTCAGCATTCTTAAACTGCATTCTTATATTGTTGCATCAGCTGTCACCCATATAAACTCTTTATTCTTCCATGAACATTTTACAGATCACCCTCTAAAGTAAAATGGAAAAAAAAATCCTTTTATTTGTCTCCTAATGGCCCTCAATAAAACAACTCTTCTAGGACTTGGATATGCCTTTCTTCTGTATAATCTGTGTCATGATAACAATAGGCACAAGATAAATATTTGTCAACTGTATGAAGGAAGAAGGGAAAGGAAGAGAGGAAGGGAGGACAACAGGGGGAAAGAAAGGGATTCACTAATACAGAAACCAATACAGAATTTTATTATTAATGTTATTTACTTAGCTTTCTCTCATCCTTCTTTAGGATCTAGATAATCTGCCAAATGTAGAAAACATAAATCCCCTGAATTCAGAAGAAAAATAATCTGTGCTTATCTAGCATGCTCACAATAAATTGAAGCAGAGAGTTTGGTTCCTGAGGTTTCTTTCTTTCTTTCTTTCTTTCTTTTTAAGACAATGTCTCACTCTGTCACCCAGGCTGGAGTGCAGTGGCATGATCTCAGTTCACTGCAACCTCTGCATCCCAGGCTTTAGCGATTCCCCTGCCTCAGCCCTGGAGTAGCTGGGATCACAAGCACACACCAAGCCTGGCTAATTTTTGTAATTTTAGTAGAGATGGGGTTTCACCATGCTGCCCAGGCTGGTCTTGAACTCCTGACCTCCAGTGATCTGTATACCTTGGCCTCCCAAAGTGCTGGGATTACAGGCATGAGCCACCATGTCCAGCTGGTTCCTGAGATTTCTATTCCAGCTGCCTACTGCTTCAAGCACTGGGTTTCAGAATCATGACCATACTCTGTGGCATCCACACAGAGCTCCTTTCCACCCTCACAGGATCAGCTGTGGGATAAAGATTCTTTAGTCACTGGACACAAATGAAGCTACTTTGTCTGTTCCTTTCCCCTGCAGCCTAAATTTACCTTAACCCTGTCTTCATCTCCAAAGAGGAGGGAATCAGGAGCATATCCAGGTTTTGAGGCTTAAAGCTTACATAATTTGGGAAACTGTATTTATGAAAAAGAATACAAAATTCCAATTACAAAATTGAACATGCATTAAATATCTCCATGGAGAAACTGCAGCAGCAACAGTACAAGTGAGGGTATGCTATATTCAATTAGCCATGAACATTTGAGAGCAACTTTATCCAGATCAACGAAAGAGAAGTGATAGGTGTGCACAACTATGTCAAATGGTGACTGTGGGCATTGCATGCACCTGCCACCTCAAACTACCTGAGGTCATGCTGCTGGCCCCACCAGCTGCAAGCTAGAAAAAGCGTGTGCCAAAGTGGCTGTGCCAGCCAGGGAAGAGGGGCCACAAGAACTTAGAGCTAACCAGACTGACTGTCTGACATTTTGTAGAGATATCTTCAGGACCATGAGAAACAGCTCCACCTGAAGCTTACCTGAAACCGTGTCTCCTTTCAGATGCAATAAATCTTTTCATTTGTTGGAAAAATGTTTGTTTCCTCCTGATAGCAGCAGTGGAAGGTTACACCAGTAACCAGGCCATCCCATCTGGCAACACAATAGACATTCCTGTTGATATGGTTTGGGTGTTTTGTCTCCTCCAAATCTCATATTGAAATGTGACTTCCAATGTTGAAGGTGGGTCTATTGGGCAGTGTTTGGGCCATGGGGACAGATCCCTCATGAATGGCTTGATGCTGTACTCACAGTAATGAGTGAATTCTCACTCTATTAGTTCACAAGAGAGCAGATTGTTTTAAAAAGCCTGGAACCTCCTCCCCTTTCTCTTGCTCCCTCTCTTGTCATGTGGCACACCAACTCCCGTTTTTGCCTTCCACCATGATTGCATGAGTCCTGAGGCCTCACTAAAAGCAAATGCTGGCACTATGTTGCTTGTACAGCCTGCAGAACTGTGAGCCTAATAAGCCTCTTTTCTTTATAGGCTACACTGTCTCAGGTGCTCCTTTATAGCGATGCAAAATGGAATAACATGCTTGTGTTTGAGGAAAAGATGCACCCAGCAGTTATTTCAAAAACTGGGGAGGAGCCGATCTATGATTAGTTGAAAGTCTACCAAATAACTCCAGCAGAATTGGGTCTTTGTTGAAGAATCTCAAAGCCCCACAGGTTCTTAAAGTAAGGACCCAGCAGGATTGGCTCTTTAATAAAGAACCTCAAAGCTCATCATAACGTACATGGTATAGAGGTGGCCCTTGTGTCTAAGACTGGGGAGGAGGATGACATGGAGGCCATATGCAGCCAGCAGAGTATGGCAAGGGACAAAGACCCCTCATACAATGATGTCCAAGACCAAAGAGATGGTAATTCTTGAAGCACATGAAAAGGAGCCAGACCATGGTGACCAAGCTATTTCCAGCATAGCTCCCTTAGTCTTAAGTAACTAAAACCATACAGTCTCAGAATGAAATTTTATTTTCAAATTTCCTTTTCCATAGCATAATGGTTTCCTCACAGTGGATTCTGTGACATCAGCTATACTACACTGAGATTCCAGTCTCCAAAAGAGCAAAGCCCCATCCCACACCTGTGTTCCACAGAGCCACTAGGAGGGCTTCACCTACCTCAACTACAGTTACCCTTTGGTTCTGTTATCAAGCAAACGGGTCTTGCTGCTCAATGCACTAGAAGCCAGTATTATGTCACTGGTCTTTTGAGAAAAGAAAAGCTTTATATTGCAGGTCAACTCACAAAGAGACAGGAGTCAAACACAAATCTGTGTCCCCTTGCTGGCTTCAAGGCAGTATTTTTATTAGAAAAGGTTCAGGGAGTGGATTCTGAGATTAGAAGGTGATTGGTGGAAGGAAGGGTGAGGTCTTGAAAGTCCTTGGGCATGCACAGTTATTTCTTCATGCTACCTCATGGGTCACATGTGCATATTTGAGGGGAATTGTATGAAACATGTAGTGGAAATCCAGGCTGTGATGTTAGCAAGCTCGTTCTGCACAGACTCTAATTGGCCATCCTGGTTCCAACCGATTTGAGCCAATTTTTTTCTTTTTTTTTTAAATGGAGTCTTACTCTGTCGCCCAGGCTGGAGTGCAATGGCATGATCTCGGCTCACTGCAACCTCTGCCTCCCGGGTTCAAGTGATTCTTCTGCCTCAGCCTCCCAAGTAGCTGGAATTACAGGCGTGCACCACCACGCCCAGCTAATTTTCGTATTTTTGGTAGAGAGGGGGTTTCACAATGTTGGCCAGGCTGACTCAAACTCCTGACCTCAGGTGATCTGCCACCTCAGCGTCCCAAAGTGCTGGGATTACAGGCATGAGCCACCACGGCCGGCATGAGCCAATTTTTTCTTGATCTCACAAGTGAAGGAAGTTTCCGCATTTCAGCAAGTTGTTTCCTTTCTGTTAACCTGCTACACTGTAAACTCAAGAACTTCTGTTAGTTACTGTTTTCTTACTCTTTGAGGCAGGGTTCCAGAGTCAGCTTTTCAGCAAGTTGTTCCTTTTCTTATCTGCTATCCTGTAAGCTCAAGAATTTACTCACTGGTTTCTTTGACTCTTTGAGGCATAGTTTCAGTTTCCCCAGACTATGACTGAACGTTACATTCTACAGACTGGGCAGCTCCACCACCTTTCTCTCCTACTGCTTTTCTTTCCCATGACAAAGTGCCTGAACAGTAGCGAAGTTAAGTCCAGCCCCCAGATTAAACAAGAACAAGACTCATGTCCCCTCAGGACATTCAAGGAGGGAAGAGGAGCACGGTGGCATTTGTCAGCAATCAGAATAGGAAAAGCTACCATCTAGACTTAGTAATTCCACTTTTAGGTATATTCCCTGGAGAAACTCCCACATATGTATTTTTAAACAGTCATGAAAATGTGTGTATTAAAATTTATAAGAGCAAAACACTGGAAATAGCCCCAATTATTCATCAACTAAAAAACTGATAAATTGTGGTGTATAGTGGGATTCTCTACAACCGTAGTGGTTATATACATTGTCATGGAGGGATCTCACTGTTTGGTATAAAAAACAAGTCACAGAGGAACCCCTGTGCTATATATATTTATAAAACAGTTCAAAAACAAGACCAAATTATTTATGATATATATGTGGCAGAATTAGAGGGGACACAATTATCTCTAGGGCAAATAGAAGGGAGAGGTCATCAGAATAGCATTACAACAGTTTCAACAGTGCTAGGAATTGTTCTTGCTCATAAACAAGGTTGTGGATACTCAAATATTTTGAATATTTTCACATTTTAACATTTCTGAACTCAGGAGGATTTTAAGAGATGTAGTTGTAATTGTCATAGAAGTCTTAAACAGTTTCTTCTAGTAACATTTTACTTTCTCTGTGTTCACAGTATGTCAAAAGCCTGAAAAATAATTTTTAGTAAATACAAAATAAAAACTCAAAGTGACAAGAAAAGATGTATTCATAGCTCATGGTCTTGAACTTCTATTTCAGCTTACCACGTCTGCATTTTTACTATTGAACATGACACATCTCACATCAAAGGAGACCACCCAAAGTATTGTCTAAGTTGTCTATAGCCTTAAACAGAGGCTTAAAGGTAATCTTCAAAAAAAAATGTTTGAGTGTTATTTTGGCATAAACAGACAAATAAGTAGTTGAAATAAGTAGTTCATAGTTCTGTCAGACTTCCAAAAAATCTAAGTTTAATAAAAGAAGTCTGAGCATAGTTAGCAAGTGTTTACTAGAAAAATGCAAACCCAGCAACATCCTGCCGAAGGTCACTCTTTTTTTTTTCAGATCATCACACATTGCCCATCAAGTGTGAGTGAATCTCTTTTAGCATTCCTAAAAACCTTCATTTCTTTGACCACTATCCCAGCACTATAATAGAATTCTATAAAATGTGAACAAAACACTTCATCCAAGGTTTGTTCTGCACACCAGGGTTAAGAGAAAAAGAAAAAGTGGGAGACCTTTTCCTTAGCTCCAACCCAATGTGTTGCTTAATGACAACAAGATAAGCCAAAATTTCATTCCATTTCATATCAATTCAAGCATAAAGACTCACTCCTTGGTATTTTTCAGTCTGCTTTTCATTTAGTGGGAAGATTCTTAGAGTAGTAGAAAGTAATTTTTTGTGCAAAATTAAAAAATGAAGAGAAGGATAGAATTGACAAAGACAGGAGTGGAACTGGTAAAGTTCAAGTGGGAGAAAAGAGGGAAAAAGTATCTGAAGACTTTCTTTGTCCACGGATACAAAGAAAATAATGCACCAAAAGCAAAACATATTGATAGATCACTTAGAAACACTCAGTTGAACTGATGAACTAAAGAATTTTTAAATTTTTTGTAAAATATGTTCGATTTCTAGTCAGAAGTAACCTGAATATAAATCTGGTGCCTTCATTCACATGACCCACATCTCTGTCATCCTTAAATAAAGTTATACCAAGTAAATAGGTGAGCTACTAAACTTCATAACCAGTATGTTTTCAAAGTCGAAGGGGAAACCATTGTGTCTTTAAAAAAAAAAGAGAGAGAGAAGAAAAAAACTGCTAGGCCTTGTTTATAAAGAACAGTGCGGTTGGCTGCAGGAAAAAGTAAAGTCACATAGAAATAAGGTAGACAGTGACGCCTGCCACATGACCAGCCTGTGTTATCCAGGAAAAGCCTGATTATCAGATTTTATTGGAAGAATTGGAACATAGTATAGGAAGTGGACAGTCACTCAGAATCCAACACAGCTTCAGCAAAAGGGTTATCCCATCATCCCTAAGTAGGATGTATTTATTAATCTTTTTTTCTTATGTTCTACCCTTAATAAGACTCAAACACTCTCCTGGCCTCTGTTCTTCCTACTCCTACTGCTGTGCACTCTGTGCACTGCATTTTAGTTAGCTTTCATTCCTTCATAGTATCTGCTTGGACTTATCTGTTTTTCTTACTGACTGCATTCTTTTCAGACATCAAGTCACACTTTAAAACTGCTACAAAATCACCAATTGTCTTTCTGCATAAATAGCAAGCTTCCCAAAATTTTCACTGGCCAAAGATTCACACCAGGACACCTTATGGGGTTCTGGCCAGGCTATCGACTGGCTACCCTCACATCAAATGCCCTCTCTTGGTCAAATCAATTGTACGGGGGACAATGTCACATGATAGAGGCTGTTAGTTCTGCATATAAACAACCTTTCAGAATATATATATAATATCCTCCTTCATGCAATTTCACACTCTGGTTTTTCTCTGGTTGTCATAACACAAAACCTCAATCAGCTTTTAAGGCATAAATGTAGAATAGATATTTTCTTCTTTTAACATTTTAACCCAGATCTAGTGAGCCTCTATGTTATATTAAGTAGTATGCTAGGTCTTGGGCAATGAAGGATGGGAAATAAAACATTCTAGCAAAAAAGATACTGCAACCAAACCAAAAACCTAAAAGAAGCCATGAAGGAAAAAAATGCCAAGCATGGGAGGGGCAGCATAAGGTGACTGAGAAGAGGCCACACATTAGAGTCAGACAGACCCGGGCTCAAATTCCAGCTTTCACATTTCCCAACTGTGGATGTGGGACAAGTTGTTTAATGTTTCTAAACTTCAATATCCCTTCTACAAAACAAATGGAATAATCAAGCCTACTGTAGGAATCCCAGGATCTGTTTTTAAAGGCTTGAATGGACACACACACACACACACACACACACATACACACAGCCTTGACACCTGCCATTATGAGTTCATAATGATATTGCAGGAGTTCATATCCCAGGAGCTCAAAATTCATCTATAATTTTTAAACTATGCTCTGTAATAATGAGAAAAATGTCTTCATTCTCAGTAATATCCAGATAAATAATGGAGAAATATCTCAGTAAAACACAAAGACCCCATGTTTTCTTTGGGCAGTATTTTATGCATTAAAGTCTATAGCCTACGCCCACTTGTGATCCTATCAATGAGTGAGTGCCACAGTCAATACCAACCCTTCTGTGTAGCCTGAAGTCTTGTCAATAGCTGATTTCACCAATCTTCTTTCTTAGAAAAACAGCACAATCGCTCATAACAAATGCTTAGAATTGTAGTCAATAAGTATCCAGAAGCC
Organism: Homo sapiens; assembly: GCF_000001405.40. Classification (NCBI taxonomy): domain Eukaryota; kingdom Metazoa; phylum Chordata; class Mammalia; order Primates; family Hominidae; genus Homo; species Homo sapiens. The sequence goes on from NC_000008.11 coordinate 79,526,176, forward strand.
ATTTGGAGTGTGTGGTAGAAAAGGGAATTCCTTTTTTTCCTCTAGATTTCCTGGCCCTTTTATAGGCAAGTAAAAGTCACATATCCTAGTTCTGGAGAATGCATGGGAATAAAAGTGACGCATCACATTCAACTGAGGTAGGAAAAAGTTCATGTGCTTTTCCCTGTCTTGGTGACTGGCAATAATCAGTGGAATTGTTCTTGGGCAAATCCACAGAAATTTGGGACTTAATTTGTTACCCAAGAATAATCTGTCTTCTACTAATATAGAGTGGCTTTAAATACTACAGCAAATTATTAAAATGAGCCAAATAAAGAAACTCTTTGAATTCCAGGAGGCGGCAATTATAAATCTTTGTCGCCTCACATAAGAACTCAATCTCAATTCCCTTTTTTAGCTGCTGCAATCCCAGGGGCTACAGGGACTGGACCACAGATGGCAATGCAGTGAGAGAGGGGCAGGCAGAGGACAGTGTGCAGCAGCTTCCACAGACTGTCAAATCTGATAACATACAGAAAATTATGTCACATTCCTTTTTGGCACATATAAATGTTGTTTTTGTGTTCAGCAGTCCCCCAGTAGCCAACACTTGTAAAGCACTTGCCATATACTACTTACAGTTCTAAGCACTTTACTTATAATAACTCATTTAATGCTCACAGCAACCCTGTAAAGTTGATATATTATTGCTCCCATTTTCAAGATCAAGAAACTGAGGTTCAGTGATCCCTTATGGTTTGGAGGAGAGAAAATGTTTAATAGCAAAGTCAGAAAGTAATTATTTAGCATCTGGTCCACAAGCAGATTCATGTGCTTCACAATGTGGATACCCATGTGTTCACTATGATCATTGATATGGTTTGGCTGTGTGTTCCCATCCAAATATCACCTTGAATTATAATCCCCATAATCCCCACATGTCAAGGGTGGGACTAGGTGGAGGTAATTAAGTCATGGGGGTGGTTTCCCCCATGCTGTTCTAGAGATAATGAGGGAGTCTCATGGATCCGATGGTTTTATATGCATCTGGCATTTCCCCTGCTGGCACTCACTCTGTCCACTGCCCTGTGAAGAAGGTGCTTGCTTCTCCTTTGTCTTCTGCCATTATTGTTAAGTTTCCTGAGGACTCCCCAGCAATGCAGAACTGTGATTCCATTAAACCTCTTTCCTTTATAAATTACCCAGTCTGGGGTATTTCTTCATAGCAGTGTGAGAATGGACTAATACAATCATGATTATGTTGATGATAATAGGTGAGAATGGGATCAGCTGTCCTTGAGTTCCTCAGAGGGAAATTCATTTATTTGCCACTTGGGCACTGTGGTTTGCACTCAACTGAGATGAATGGATATCATTCCAAAGACAAGAACTAAACTTCCAATCAGGCTGAAAGAAAAGGCATCCAAGTAAGATTAAAAGTGCCCATACGTTTTGCGCTGTGTTCCATCTAGGCAGTTGTTTCTTCATGCACTTCTCATCCTTCTGTCACTAAGATACATAATTTGCACTGATAATCACTACAATGATGTTGTTAATATCTTAAATGACAGCTAACCATATGGATGCAAGAAGTGTTTCCTGTGGAGGACTGCCTGGTGTCCTGGGCAATGCATACACTGACATCACTTTGAAAGTGATGACACGTAAGGTTAGGTTTTAATTATTTCACTCAGTAACTTAAACATGTAACTTGTCAATCTTAGAGAATGTGAATCCCCTGTCAATAAATAAGATGGAAGATACAAAATACAGAAAGCATGCCAGGCATTACACAGGCTAATTAGTATCATGTTTATAATTTAGAAGTATATCACATAGAGTTTTATAAGCAGCATCACATAAATTCTCAAGTTCAGTACTACATATGGGAATAATTTAAGGGTTCCTATTTTGTGATTTCACAGATGATTATTCTGTGATATCTTAGAAATATTTCATTGACTGATGATTTCTGACACCTTCCACTTCAGGGCATATGTTATACTCTGCCCCAAGTGCCAACACAAGAAACTAGTCAAAGAACCAGGAGAATAACCAACTAGGCTTGTACATCTGTCTGTCTGACCATTCCACTATAATTTCTAAAGGAGGTGACTGACCTTCAATAAAGTTTTACAAGGCTAACTGTGATGTATCATGTCATCTTAAAATGGAGATTGTTTTAAGTTTTTTTAAGTTTTCAAATGTAAAAACAAACTGTACAACAATTTGCTTATCTATTCTCCTATTGAAGGATATCTCGGTTGCTTCCAAGTTTTGGAAATTATGAATAAAGTTGCTGTAAACATTTATGTTGAGGTTTTTGTGTGAACTTCAGGTTTCAACTCATTTGAGTATACACCATAGGATGCAATTGCTGAGTCATGCAATAAAAGTATGTTTAATTTTATAAGAAACTGCCAAAGTGTCTCCCAAAGTGACTGTACTGTTTTGCCACTCATTGATTAACAATAATAATCTCATTGATTATTATAATCAGATTATCAATGATAATCTTATTGATTACCACCAGCAATCAATGAGAGTTTCTGTTGCTCCACATCCTCACCACCATTTAGTGTTGTCAGGGCTTTGTATTTTAGCCATCCTAGTAGATGTGCAGTGGGACCTCCTTGTTTTAATTTGCAATTCTTTCATGGCAAATGATGTTTAGCATCTTTCCATACGCTTATTTGACATCTGTATATCCTCTTTGGTGAGGTAGCTGTTCAGATCTTTTGACCATTTTTTAATAGTTTTTTGTTTTCTTGTTAGTGAGTTTTAAGAGTTCTTTGTATATTTTAGATACAACTACTTCATCAAATATGTGTTTTACAAATATTTTCTATCAGTCTGTGGCTTGTCGCTTAATTCTTTTAAGTGTCTTACAGAGCAGAAGTTTTAAATTTTAATGAAGTCAAATTTATTTTTTTCTTTCATGGATTGCACTTTTGGTGTTTCATCTAAAAAGGTATCACCAGGTTAAAGGTCATCTGGATTTTCTCCTGTTATATTGTAGGAGTTTTTGAGTTTTATCTTTTACATTTAGATCTATGATCCATTTTGAGTTTATTTTTGTGAAAGGTGTAAGACCTGTGTCCAGATTCTCTTTTTAAAAATGTGGATGTTCAATTGTTCCAGCACCATTTGTTGAAAGAGTCCATTGATTTTTCTCAAACATAAAAAGACCATTCAATGGAAGAAAGATAGATAGTTTTTTCAACAAATAATGCTGGAACAACTAACCAAGACTTTTAACCACATAAAAAATTAACTTCGAATGGATAATATAACTAAATGTAATATATAAATTTATAAAATATCTAGAACAAACCACAGGGGCAAATCTTTATAACCTTGGATTAGGCCAAGAGTTTCTTTGATATGGCACAAAAAGAATAATCAATAAAAGAAAAAAATTAATAACTTCACCTAAATGGAGAATGCTTGCTGTGCAAAAGTTACTGACAAAGGAATGAAACATAAGCCACAGACTGGGAGAAAGTATTTGCAAATCTCATGCCTGACAATGACCTTATATTCAGAAAATATGGAGAATTCTCAAAATTTAACACTAAGAATTATGCCAATAAATGGTTTGAATAGGCAGTTCACCAGAGAAGAAATATAGATGACAAATAATATATTTTAAATGTTCAACATTATTATTCATCAGGAAAATGTAGATTTACCAAAATAAGAAATGCCTCTAGTCAGGCATTAAAATAGTTAAAATAAAATTTAAAATGACAATACTAATGCTGGTGAGAACTTAGAGCAACTGGAATGCTGGTATAGTGCTGGCAGGAACGCAAAATGACACTTCCTTTAGAAAACAATTTGGCCATTTCTTGTAATGTTAAAAATACACCAGGGCAGGATCTTTTTCCAGGCCTCTCTCCTGGATTCTGGTAACTCCTTGGCCTGTGGCAGCACAGCTATAATCTTCACATGGTGTTCACCCTGTGTGTGTCTATGTCAGAATTTTCCACATTTATAGGGATGTCAATCATATTGGATCAGGGGTCCATTCTACTTCAGTATGACTTCACATTCACTATTTACATCTGCCAACAATCCTATTTCTGAATAACATCACATTCTGAGGTAAAGGGGTTAGGAATTCAACATATTAATGGTGGGAGGAAGGGATAAACGACATAATTTAAACCATTAAAGTGCTATTAGAATGGCCAAAATCAAAAGACTGAACCATACTCTGTGCTAGAGAGGATGTGGAACAACTAGAATTCTCATACACTGCTAGTGGGAATGTAAATTGTGCAACCACTTTGGAAAACAGTTTGGCAATTTGTTTAAAAGTTATGCATATTTCTACCATGTAAACCAACTATTCAACTGCTAGGTGTTTACCTGAATTAAAAGCATATGCCATATAAATAGATATATTTTGTTGTATCCTCTTTCGAACCACGTGCATCATCCTGCTGGTTCCCTCATTAGCAACTTAACTAAATTACTATATATTTGTAGAAAAAATAAGTAAACAAATAAAAGCATACACCCATGCAAAAATGTAGTTGTTCTTTCCCAAAACTGGAAACAACCCAAATGTTCATCAACAGGTGAATAGATAAACAAATTATGATATATCCATACCATGGAATAATACCTAGCAATAGAAAAACTGTACTGCTGATACACAACAATTTGAATGCATGTGGAAATAATTATGCTGAGTGAAAGAAGCCAGACAAAAAATAGTACGTAATGTATGATTCCATACATGTGCAATTCTAGATAATAAAAATAAACCATGGTGGAGGAAAAAAAAACAGATGGGTGACTGACTATAGACAGGAGGAAGAGAGACAGAAGTAGGAATTACAAAAGCACACAAGAGAAATTTTGGGAGTGATGGACGTGTTCATTATCCTGATTGAGGTGATAGTTTCACAGGTATATGCATATGTAAAATTTTATCAAGTTGAACACTATTTGTTTTGCTTGTTTGTTTGCTTTTTGAGACGGAGTCTCGCTCTGTTGCCCAGGCTGGAGTGCAGTGGCATGATCTCGGCTCACTGCAACCTCCGCCTCCTGGGTTCATGCCATTATCCTGCCTCAGCCTCCTGAGTAGCTGGGACTACAGGCGACCGCCACCACCCCTGGCTAATTTTTTTGTATTTTTTTTAGTAGAGACAGGGTTTCACCGTGTTAGCCAGGATGGTCTTGATCTCCTGACCTCTTGATCCGCCGGCCTCAGCCTCCCAAAGTGCTGGGATTACAGGCGTGAGCCACCGCGCCCGGGCCCTCAAGTTGAACACTTTAAAGATGTTCAGTCTACTTCATGTCAACTACACCTCAATAAAGCTGTTAAAAATCCTCTGACTTACCTGAAAGGTTATTATACTTTTTTTTATTATTATACTTTAAGTTCTGGGATGTGCAGAACGTGCAGGCTTGATACGTAGGTATACACATACCATGGTGGTTTGCTGAACCCATCAACCCGTCAACTACATTAGGTATTTCTCCTAATGCTATCCCTCCCCTACCCCCCCACACCCCAAAAGGCCACGGTGTGTGATGTCCCCCTCCCCATGTCCATGTTTTCTTATTGTTCAGCTCCCACTTATGAGTGAGAACGTGCGGTGTTTTGTTTTCTGTTCCTGTGTTAGTTTGCTGAGAATGATGGTTGCCAGCTTCATCCTTGTCCCTGCAATGGACATGAACTCATCCTTTTTAATGGTTGCATAGCATTCCACAGTGTATATGTGCCATATTTTCTTTATCCAGTCTATCATTGATGGTCATTTGGGTTGGTTCCAAGTCTTTGCTATTGTGAACAGTGCTGCAATAAACATACATGTGCATGTGTCTTTATAGTAAAATGATTTATACTCCATTGGATATACACCCAGTAATGGGATTGCTGGGTCAAATTGCATTTCTGGTTCTAGATCCTTGAGGAATCAACACACTGTCTTCCACAACGGTTGAACTAATTTACACTTCCACCAACAGTGTAAAAGTGTTCCTATTTCTCCACATCCTCTCCAGCATCTGTTGTTTCCTGACTTTTTAATGATCATCATTCTAATTTGATTTGCATTTCTCTAATGACCAGTGATGATGAGCATTTTTTCATATATTTGTTGGCCACATAAATATCTTCTTTGAGAAGTGTCTGTTCATATACTTTGCCCACTTTTAGATGGAGTTGTTTGTTTTTTTCTTGTAAATTTGTTTAGGTTCCTTGTAGATTCTGGATATTAGCCCTTTGTCAGATGGACAGATTGCAAAAATTTTCTCCCATTCTGTAGGTTGCCTGTTCACTCTGATGGTAGTTTCTTTTGCGGTGCAGAAGCTCATTAGTTTAATTAGATCCCATTTGTCTATTCTGGCTTTTGTTCCCATTGCTTTTGGTGTTTTAGTCATGAAGTCTTTGCCCATGCCTAAGTCCTGAATGGTATTGCCTAGGTTTTCTTCTAGGGTTTTTATGGTTTTAGGTCTTACGTTTAAGTCTTTAATCCATCTTGAGTTAATTTTTTTATAAAGTGTAAGGAAGGCGTCCAGTTTCAGTTTTCTGCATACGGCTAGCCAGTTACCCAACACCATTTGTTAAATAGGGAATCCTTTCCCCATTTCTTGTTTTTGTCGGATTTGTCAAAGATCAGATGGTTGTAGATGTGTGGTGTTATTTCTGAGGCCTCTGTTCTGTTCCACTGGTCTATATATCTGTTTTGGTACCAGTACCATGCTGTTTTGGTTACTGTAGCCTTGTAGTATAGTTTGAAGCCAGGTAGCATGATGCCTCCAACTTTGTTCTTTATGTTTAGGATTGTCTTGGCTATACAGGCTCTTTTTCAGTTCCATATGAAATTTAAAGTTTTTTTCTGATTCTGTGAAGAAAGTCAATGGTAGCTTGATGGGGATAACAGTGAATATATAAATTACTTTGGGCAGTATGGCCATTTTCACCATATTAATTCTTCCTATCCATGAGCATGGACTGTTTTTCCATTTGTTTGTGTCCTCTCTAACTTCCTTGAGCAGTGATTTGTAGTTTTCCTTGAAGAGGTCCTTCACATGTCTTATAAGTTGTATTCCTAGGTATTTTATTCTCTTAATAGCAATTGTGAATGGTAGTTCACTCATGATTTGGCTCTCTGTTTGTTTATCATTGATGTATAAGAATGCTTGTGATTCTTGCACATTGATTTTGTATCCTGAGACTTTGGTGAAGCTGCTTATCAGCTTAAGGAGATTTGGGGCTGAGATGATGGGGTTTTCTAAATATACAATCATGTCATCTGCAAACAGAGATAATTTGACTTTCTCTATTCCTAATTGAATAGCTTTTATTTCTTTCTCTTGTCTGATTGCCCTGGCCAGAACTTCCAATACTATTTCGAACAGGAGTGGTGAGAGAGGGCATCCTTGTCTTGAGCCAGTTTTCAAAGGGAATGTTTCCACCTTTTGCCCATTCAGTATGATACTGGCTGTGGGTTTGTCATAAATAGCTCTATTATTTTGAGATACATTCCATTAATACCCAGTTTATTGAGAGTTTCTAGCATGAAGGACTGTTGAATTTTTTTTTGAAGGCCTTTTCTGCATGTGGTTTTTGTCATTGGTTCCGTTTATGTGATGGATTACGTTTATTGATTTGCATATGTTGAACAAGCCTTGCATCCCGGGGATGAAGCTGACTTGATCCTGGTGGGTAAGCTTTTTGATGTGCTGCTGGATTCAATTTGCTGATATTTTATTGAGGATTTTTGCATCAATGTTCTTCAGGGATATTGGCCTGAAATTTTCTTTTTTTGTTGTGACTCTGCCAGGTTTTGATGTCAGGATGATGCTGGCCTAATAAAATGAGTTAGGGAGGATTCCCTCTTGTTTATTGATTGGAATAGTTTTAGAAGGAATGATACCAGCTCCTCTTTGTGCCTCTGGTAGAATTCGGCTGTGAATCTGTCTGGTCCTAGGCTGTTTTTTGTTGGTAGGATAGTAATTACCGGTAGGATATTAATCACTGGTCTATTCTGGGATTCAGCTTCCTGGTTTAGTCTTGGGAGGCTGTATGTGTCCAGGAATTTATCCATTTCTTCTAGATTTTCTAGTTTATTTGTGTAGAGGTGTTTATAGTATTCTCTGATGGTAGTTTGCATTTCTGGGCGATCAGTGGTCATATCCCCTTTATCATTTTTTATTGTCTAATTGATTCTTCTCTCTTTTATTCTTTATTAGTCTGGCTAGCGGTCTATCTACTTTGTTAGTCTTTTCAAAAACCCAGCTCCTGGATTCATTGATTTTTTGAAGGGTTTTTCGTGTCTCTATCTCCTTAGTTCTGCTCTGATCTTAGTTATTTTTTGTCTCCTGCCAGCTTTTGAATTTGTTTGCTCTTGTTTCTCTAGTTCTTTTAATTGTAATGGGAGAGTGTTGATTTTAGATCTTTCCCACTTTCTCCTGTGGGCATTCAGTGCTATAAATTTCCCTCTAAGCATTGTTTTAGCTGTGTCCCAGATATTCTGGTATGTTGTATCTTTGTTCTCATTGGTTTCAAAGGGCTTATTTATTTATGCCTTAATTTTGTTATTTACCCAGTAATCACTCAGGAGCAGGTTGTTCAGTTTCCATGCAGTTGTGTGGTTTTGAATGAGTTTCTTAACCCTGAGTTCTAATTTGATTGCACTGTGGTCTGAGAAACTGTTTGTTATGATTTCTATTCTTTTCCATTGGCTGAGGAGTGTTTTACTTCCAATTATGTGGTCAATTTTAGAATAAGTGCAATGTGGTGCTGAGAAGAATGTATATTCTGTTGATTTGGGGTGGAGAATTCTGTAGATATCTATTAAGTGTGCATGGTCCAGAGCTGAGTTCAAGTCCTGCATATCTTTGTTGATTTTCCATCTCATTGATCTGTCTAATATTGACAGTGGGGTGTTAAAATCTCCCACTACTATTGTGTGGGGGTTTAAGTCTCCTTGTAGGTATCTAAGAACTTGCTTTATGAATCTGGGTGCTCCTGTATTGGATGCATATATATTTAGGATAGTTCGCTCTTCTTGCTGCATTGACCCTTTACCATTATGTAATGCCCTTCTTTGTCTTTTTTGATCTTTGTTGGTTTAAAGTCAGTTTTATCAGAAACTAGGATTGCACCCCTGCTTTTTTTTTTTTTTTTTTTGCTTTCCATTTGCTTGGTAAATATCCCCCCATCCCTTTATTTTGAGCCTATGTGTGTCTCTGCACGTGAGATGGGTCTCCTGAATACAGCACACCAATGGGTCTTGACTTTTTATTCAATTTACCGGTCTGTGTCTTTTAATTGGGGCATTTAGCCCATTTACATTTAAGGTTAATATTGTTATGTGTGAATTTGATCCTGTCATTATGATGCTAGCTGGTTATTTTGCCCATTAGTTAATGCACTTTCTTCATACTGTCAATGGTCTTTACAATTTGGTATGTTTTTGCAGTGGCTGATACCAGGTGTTCCTTTCCGTATTTAGTGCTTCCTTCAGGAGCTCTTGTAAGGCAGGCCTCGTGATGATATAATCTCTCAGCATTTGCTTGTCTGTAAAGGATTTTATTTCTCCTTCACTTATGAAGCTTAGTTTTGCTGGATATGAAATTCTGGGTTGAAAATTCTTTTCTTTAAGAATATTGGATATTGGCCCCCCCCGCTTCTGGCTTCTGGTTTCTGCAGAGAGATCTGCTGTTAGTCTGATGGGCTTCCCTTTATGGGTAACTCAACCTTTCTCTCTGGCTTCCCTTCATATTTTTTCCTTCATTTCAACCTTGGTGAATCTGACGATTATGTGTCTTGGGGTTGCTCTTCTCGAGGAGTATCTTTGTGATGTTCTCTGTATTTCCTGAATTTGAATGTTGGCCTCCCTTGCTAGGTTGGGGAAGTTCTCCTGGATAATATCCTGAAAAGTGTTTTCCAGCTTGGTTCCATTCTCCCCATCACTTTCAGGTACACCAGTCAAATGTAGGTTTGGTCTTTTCACATAGTCCCGTATTTCTTGGAGGCTTTGTTCTTTTCTTTTCATTCTTTTTTCTCTAATCTTGTCTTCATGCTTTATTTCATTAAGTTGATCTTCAATCTCTGAAATTCTTTTTTCCTCTTGATTGATTCGGCTATTGATACTTGTGTATGCTTCATGAAGTTCTCGTACTGTGTTTTTCAGCTCCATCAGGTCACTTATGTTCTTCTCTAAACTGGTTATTCTAGTTAGCAATTCCTCTAACCTTTTTTCAAGGTTCTTAGTGTCCTTGCATTGAGTTAGAACATGTTCCTTTAACTCGGAGGAGTTTGTTATTACTCACCTTCTGAAGCCTACTTCTGTCAATTTGTCAAATTTGTCAATTTGTCAAGCTCATTCTCCAACCAGTTTTGTTCCCTTGCTTTTGGAGGAGAAGAGGAGTTCTGGTTTTTGGAATTTTCAGTTTTTTCGCTGGTTTTTCCTCATCTTCGTGGATTTATCTACCTTTGGTCTTTGATGTTGGTGACCTTTGGATGAGGTTTCTGTGTGGACATCCTTTTTGTTGATGTTGATGCTATTTTTTTCTGTTAGTTTTTCTTCTAACAGTCAGGCCCTTCAGCTGCAGGTCTGCTGGAGTTTGCTGGAGGTCCACTCCAGACACTGTTTGTCTGGGTATCACCAGTGGAGGCGATAGGACAGCAAAGATTGCTGCCTATTCCTTCCCCTGGAAGCTTCGTCCAAGAGGGGCACCCGCCAGATGCCAGTCAGAGCTCTCCTGTATGAGGTGTTCGTCAATCCCTGCTGGGAGGTGTTTCCCAGTCAGGAGGCAGTCTGTCTTTTAGCAGAGCTCAAGTGCTGTGCTTGAGATCCACTGCTCTCATCAGAGCCAGCAGACAGGAACATTTAAGTCTGCTGAAGCTGCGCCCACAGCTGCCCGTTCCGCCAGGTGCTCTGTCTTAGGGAGATGGGAGTTTTATCTATAAGCCCCTGTCTGGGGCTGCTGCCTTTCTTTCAGAAATGCCCTGCCCAGAAAGGAGGAATCTAGAGAGGCAGTCTGGCTACAGTGGCTTTGCCAAGCTGCAGTGGTTTTGGCCCAGTTTGAACTTCCCTGTGGCTTTGTTTACACTGTGAAGGGGAAACTGCCTACTCAAGCCTCAGTAACGTCGGACTCCCCTCCCGCCAGCAAGATCGAGTGTCCCAGGTCGACTTCAGACTGCTGTGCTGGCAGCAAGAATTTCAAGCCAGTGGATCTTAACTTGCTGGGCTCCATGGGGGTGGGATCCACTGAGCTAAACCACTTGACTCACTGGCTTCAGCCCCCTTTCCAGGGGAGTGAACGGTTCTGTCTTGCTGGCCTTCCAGGTGCCACTGGGGTATGAAAATAAACTCCTGAAGCTAGCTTGGTGTCCACCCAAACAGCCACCCAGTTTTGTGTTTGAAACCCAGGGCCCTGGTGGTGTAAGCACCCAAGGGAATCTCCTGGTCTTCAGGTTGCAAAGACTGTGGGAAAAGCATAGTATCTGGGCCAGAATGCACCACCCCTCATGGCACAGTCCTTCACAGCTTCCCTTGTCTAGAAGAGGGAGTTCCCCGACCCTTTGCAATTCCCAGGTGAGGTGATGCTTTACCCTGCTTTGGCTCACCCTCTGTGAGCTGCACCCACTGTCTAACCAGTCCCAGTGAGATGAGCCGGGTACCTCAGTTGGAAATGCAGAAATCACCCTCCTTCTGCGTTGATCTTGCTGGGAGCTGCAGACCGGAGCTGTTCCTATTTGGCCACCTTGCCAGCCACCCTCTATTATACTTATTTTACATCTCCAAAGTACCTATCACAAAGCTAGATGCAGAATATACTCATTGTAAACTTGTTGACTGAAAAGAATACTAATTAAAAACTATTAATAAATATTTTAATTGCCCCCCAAAACTACACATTTTTAAGCATCTACTTGTCTGTGTAGATGTGTAGCATAAACAGCAATGTAAGACAATACAATATAAGAGTTTCTAAAGTCCCATTTACATAAAAATTACGTGCTAAATACAATAGTTTCATCATTTTTTAAAATAGTGTTTATTAAAATAGTTTCTCTGAAGGTTCTTATTAAATAATGTTGCTAATATAATTTGATTTATTTAACTTTTAAAAACATATTTCTGTAATCCATAACCTGTATTATATGCTTAGTTTTTACTATTATTATTATTAGCTTAAACTAGCTATACTTTCTTCCTATCCTTTGTCTGAGGAAATCAAAATTAGCATAGTTCTTTTTTTGTCAACTGGAACATTTTAAAAGTCAGTTTCTAAAATTTTTACTTCTTATATGTAGCTTCATTTCACTAACCCAAAATAAGGACTTTCCTTCTTTCTTCCCCTTTCTATCTATCCCTAGACTACATTCCAGTATTTCCTTAGCATGTACATTAGTAATACAGTGTCAATTTTGGTCAGTCATCCTTTTAATAAGTGCAGTGAAAACTTAGTCTTTATTTTATTTCTAACAGCCTATAATTTGTTTTAAAAGTACAGCTATATTCCCTACCCTGAGGATCTATTAATAAGACAAAAGATTGTATATATCAGTTAGTATGCATATACTAGCTGTCATCTTATTACAATTATTCTTATGCAACAATAACTTCCTTATTAAAAATAATTTTAGTAAGCTGTATCTTGGGTCTTCCTGTGTGATTTATGTGGTAGATTTTATGATAGCATCTTTACCAAATCTCAGTTTGCAAAAACTCTGGAATGTGATACAGCATAATAAAACATTGACTTGAGATATTAATTAGGTGATAAAAATGCTACATAAGATTCATTTGTAATACATAAACTGCTAGTTCCAGCTTCATGCCCTGTAATTATAGGGAAATATAAAACTCATACCTACCCCCAAAGGGAAAATAATGCAGAAGCACAAAGAAATTTGCCTTTAATTATTCCAGCAGCCAAAATATGATGACATAAGATAGTGATATTCTAAGTACAAATCAACACAAAGCCATTACTCCTCCCAGGGAATAGATCCAGATGTTCTGTCAGGGACCAGCAATCCTGAGCAAGCACGAAAGATGCCAGTGACTCTAAATCAGATCTGAATCAGACACAAAATTGCTATAAATTTCCCATCTGTAACTGTCCTTTCCCTTGTCAGTTCTTGTCCAGTACTCCTTTGCTGTCACATTTTTAAAAATATAAATGTATGGGGTACAAGTGTAATTTTGATACATGGATAGATAGCATAATGGTAAAGTCAGGGCTTTCAGTGTATCTATTTCCAGAATAATGTACATAGTACTCATTAAGTAATTTCTCATTATCCAGTCTCTCCCACCTCCACTACCCTTCTGAGTCTCCAATGTCTATCATTCCACACTCTATGTCCCTGTGTACACATTATTTTAGCTCCCACTTATAAGTGAGAACGTGTAGTATTTGTCTTTCTGTGTCTGAGTTGTTTCACTTAAGATAATGGCCTCCTGTTTCACCCATGTGGCTACAAAAGACTTGATTTCACTCTTTTTTATGGCTATATAGTAATTGATTGGGTATATATGCCATATTTTCTTCGTCCAATGATGACTTGATGGACACTTAGGTTGACACTTTATCTTTGCTATCTGCAATAAATGTTAAAGTTTAGGTATCCTTTTTACATAATTTTTTACATAATAATTTATTTTTCTTTGGGTAGATACCAAGCAGTGGGATTGCTGGATCAAATGGTAGTTCTATTTTTAGTTCTTTGAGAAATCTCCATACTGTTTTCCATAGACGATGTACTAATTTACATTCCTATCAATAGTGTATAAGCACTCCCTTTTCTCTGCATCCTCATCAACATCTGTTACTTTTTGTTTTTTCAATAATAGCCATTCTAACTAATATAACATCATAACTCATTGTGGTTTTAATTTGCATTTCTCTGATGATTAGTGATGATGAGCATTTTCTCCTGTGCTTGTTCACCATTTATACATCTTCTTTTGAAAAATATCTATTCAAGTCCTTTGCTTTTTTTTTTTTTTTTTTTGAGACGAAGTCTCGCTGTGTCGCCAGGCTGGAGTATAGTGGCACAATCTTGGCTCACTGCAACCTCCGCCTCCCTGCACCTCCCAGGTTCAAGCAATTCTCCTGCCTCAGCCTTCAGAGCAGCTTGGACTACAGGCACATGCCACCATGCCCAGCTGATTTTCGTGTTTTTAGTAGAGACGGGGTTTCACCATGTTGGCCAGGAGGTCTTGATCTCTTGACGTTGTGATCTGCCCGCCTCAGCCTCCCGAAGTTCTTGGATTATAGGCATGAGCCACTGCACCTGGCCCTTTGCCCACTTTTTTAAAGGATTTTTGTATCTTTAGACATTGACGTGACCTCTTATCTTAAATACTGATATGAGCAGCAGCTTCCTTTTAAGAGAGAGACTCCAAGGAGAATGTTATCTTGCCCAAAGGAAAGTGGAAGGATGCAACTTTTATATTCAATTATTCCATTTTTTTCTTAAAATAGATGAAGCAATCTTGGGAAGAATATTTATTTTTTCTTGCTATATCATCAGACTTCCATGGACCACTCACCAAGACAAATGTACACCCCCACTGAAAGTCTTTACTCTCTCCTTAAGCAAATTTGTAGTTGAATTACAATCTTTCCTTTATTTTGGTAGCCTGGGAAATCTTCTCCTATTCCATCACTGTCTGTGCCGTAGAAATAATGCACATAGTGAACATGAGCAATACTTAAAAATAAGAACTAGACTATAAGTTATATTTTTCCATGTTTAGATTTATCTTAAAATGAGTCATTCACCAGTGTAATACAGAGTATTTGATAACTTGCATTCACTACAAAAGTCAAGATTTTCTCTAGACAATTAGACTGAACCTGTTACTTACTGCTTGCTAAAGTAGGTGAATATTCAAGTTCACTAAACTAAGGTCTAATATTATTCTTCATTAAAAACCCTCCACTTAAAGGAAAAATGTACTTCTAGAGAGCTGAGGCTCTGTGCTTTTATTTTGCTATCTGTGAATGGACACTGGAACCCCAGATATTTTTCACAGGTGCTGATTATAAATTAGGAATTAGGGAAGATAAGCAGCCAGAGACACTAATATGCCTGCAAGAACCACCACCCCCCCTCTGGAAAAAAATCTTTCTGTCTCAAAACCAAATTCTTTAAGATCTGCTCTCTCAAGGTCAGTCTAATTCAAAGAATAACTAGGATTTTTTCCACTGCCTTATTGAAGCAAATGACTTGCACATTTTTAAGGAGAGGAAAACTCTTTTAAATTATAAACAAAGTTGAAAGATAAGAGACTGATGAAAAACAAATGCACAACGCATGTGACAATAAAGGCTTAATATCTATATTATATACAGAGTGCCTAGATATAATTAAGTGAAAGATAAACACTCCCATATTAACATAGGTAATATGGGCTGGGTGCAGTTGTTCACGCCTGTAATCCCAGCACTTTGAGAAGCTGAGGCAGGAGGATTGCTTGAGCCTAGGAGTCCAAGACCAGCCTGGAAAACACAATGAGACCCTGTCTCAAAAAACAAAATAGGTAATGTGTATGAATAGGCAATTAATCCTAAAAGACAAATGATCAAGATATTAAATAGAAATTTGACCACAATAATAATCAAAGAGTTTCTAATTGAAATAATATATTTTTCTCGCTTGTCAAAGTAGAAAATATTTGTCCAATATTTTTTTCAAAGACAATTTCCAGTATTGAAAAGCGTTTAGGAAGTAAGGCATTCTCATATATTACTGGTTGCAATGCATCTTGCTCTTTTGGGATAGCAAAGCATATTTATATGTAATACGTATTTAGAGGAAGGCAGAGAAAGATGGTGGAATAGAAGGCTCCACCGACCTTACCCCAACCCCTGCAAGGACATCAATTTAACAACTATCTACACAGAAAAAAATCATCTTAATTAAGAACTATAAATCAGGTGAGCCATCATAGTACCTTGTTTTATCTTCATATTGATAAAAGAGGCACTAAAGAGATAGAAAAAACAGTCTTGAATTGCCAACACCACCACCACCATCCATAGCAATGGCCTGGTGCAGAGAGCATCTCTGGGCACTGGGGGAGGAAAATCATAGCAACTGTGAAGCATTGAACTCAGTGCTATCCTGGTAGAGCAGAAAGAAAAATCAGATCAAACTCAGCTGACACCCATCCATGGAGGGAACATTTAAACCAGCCCTAGCCAGAGGGGAATCACCAATCCCAGCAGTCCGAACTTGAGTTCTCACAACACAGAGGGATACAGTGCTCTGTGTCACTAAGTAAACTTGAAAGGCAGTCTAGGCTAAAAGAACTGCAACTCTTAGGTGAATCCTAGTGCTGAACTGGGCCCAGAGTCAGGGAACTGGGGAAGCACGTGACAGTGAGACACCAGCAGGGGCAGTAAAGAGAATGTTGGCATCACCCCTCCCTCAACCCCAGGCTGCACAGCTCATGACTCTGAAAGAGACCCCTTCCTTATGCTTGAGGAGAGGGAAGAGAGGGGAGGAATTTGTCTTGCATCTTGGATACCAACTCAGCCATAGCAGGATAGGGCATGGATCAGAGTTGGGAGGCTCCCATTTCAGGCCCTAGTTTTTCGACGACATTTCTAGACACACCCTGGGACAGAGGGGAGCCCACTGCCTTGAAGGAAAGGACACAGTCCAGGCAGCATTCATTACCGGTTAACAGAAGAGACCTCAGGCTCTGAATAATCAGCAGTGATACCCATATACTACATTGAAAGCCTTGGGTGAGCCTCTGAGACTTGCTGGCTTCAGATGAGACTTGACACATAACTGGCTGTGGTGGATATGGGGAAAAACTCCTTTTGCTTGAGAAAAGCAGAGGGAAAAGTAAAGGTGACTTTGCCTTGCACCTTAGGCACCAGCACAGCCACAGTGGGGTAGAGTAACAAGCAGGCTCTCAGGGTCCCCAATTCCAGGACTTGACACTTGTACAGCATTTCTGGACCTTCCCTAGGCCAGAGGGGAGCCCACTGTCTTGAAGGATAAGTCCCAGGTCAGGCAGCATTCACAAGCTGACTTAAGAGACTTTGAGTCTTAAAGAAACATTGGCATTAGACTGGCAGTACTCCTTATGACCTGTGTTGATGGCGGCTATGGAGTGAGGCTCCTCTGCCTTTGGAAAGGGGAAGGAACAGCGTCTTGTGGTTTGAGTGCCAGCTCAGCTGCAATACAATAGAACACTAGCTAGACTTCTAAGGTTTTTCACTCTAGTTCCTGACTCCTGGATAGCACCACCGGACCCACCCAGTGCCTGGGAGACCTGGCTGCCCTGAAGTGAGAGACACAGGCCTGGCTGGTTTTGCTACCTGATGATTGTAGAGCCCCAGGGCCTGGAGCAAACATAGGCTGTAGTCAGGAAGTTGTTATAGCAGGCCTTGGGTGAGACCCAGTGCTGTGGTGGCTTTAGGTCTGAGCCAACATAGTCATAGTAGTGGTGGTCATAGAGAGGTTTGTGTCACTCCACCTCAAGCTTTAGGTAGCTCAGAACAGAGAAAGAGAGACTCTGTATGTTTGAGAGAAAGTAAGGGAAGAGAGCAAGAGTCTCTGCCTGATAATCCAGAGAATTCCCCCAGATATTGTCCAAGACCATAAGACCATCAAGGCAGTACCTCTACAAGTCTGCAAGAACCACAGTATTACTGGGCTTGGGGTGCCCCCTACAGCAAATACAGCTTGGATCACAACACCCAGGTCTTTTCAAATATCTGGAAGGAAAGCCTTCTGTATTCGCATGTTCTCTCATTGCTATAAAGAACTACCTGAAACTGGGTAATTCATAAAGAAAAAGGGTTTAATTGACTCACAGTTCCACTGGTTATACATGAAGCATGGCTGAGAAGATCTCAGGAAACTTTCAATCATGGCAGAAGGCAAAGGGGAATCAGACACATCTTATATGGCCAGAGAAATAGGAAGAGAGAGAGGGGGAATGTGCCACACATGTTTAAACAACCAGATCTCATGAGAACTCGCTCACTATCACTAGAACAGCAAGGGAGAAATCTGCCCCCATGATTCAGTCATCTCCCACCAGGCCCCTCCTCCAATATTGAGGATTAAAATTTGACATGAGATTCACCTTCCCAAAAAAGATAGGTACAAACAAGCCCAGACAATGAAAACTACAATACCTAAGTCTTCAATCTCCAGACACCAAAGAATTCAATACAATCCAGGAAAGCATAACCTCACCAAATGGACTAGATAAGCCACCAGGGACCAATCCTGGAGAAACAGAGATATGTAATCTCTCAGATAGAGAATTCACAATAGCTGTTTTGAGGAAACTCAAAGAAATTCAAGATAACAGAGAAGAAAGTCCCAATTCAATCACATAAATTTAACAAAGAGATTAAAATAATTAAGAAGAATCTGGAGCTGAAAATTCTGGGGCTGAAAAATGCAACTGGCATACAGAAGAATGCATCAGAGTCCTTTAATAGCAGAATTGATCAAGCAGAAAAAGCACAGTCAAAGAAGAATAATAAAAAACAATGAAGCATGCCTGCAGGATCTAGAAAATGCCTCAAAAAGACAAATCTAAAAGTTATTGGCCTTAAAGAGGAGGTAGAAAAAGAGACATGGGTAGAAAGTTTATTTAAAGGGATAATAACAGAGAACTCCCCAACCCTAGAGAAAAATATCAACATCCAAGTACAAGAAGGTCAGAACACCAAGCAGATTTAACCCAAAGCAAATTATCTCAAGGCATTTAATAAACTCCCAAAGTTCAAAGATAAAGAAAATATCCTAAAAGTAGCAATAGAAAATAAACAAATAACATACAATGGCACTCCAATACCTCTGGCAGCAGATTTTTCAGTAGAAACTTTATAAGCCAGGAAAGAGTGGCATGACATAAAGTGCTGAAGGAAAAAAAACTGTTACCCTAAGATAGTATATCCAGTGAAAATATCCTTCAAACATGGAGGAGAAGTAGACTTTCCCAGAAAAACAAATGCTGAGGGATTTCATCAATCCATCCCACAAGAAATGCTGAAGGGAGTACTTCAATCAGAAAGAAAAGGATGTTAATGAGCAATAAGCAATCACCTGAAGGTATAAAACTTACTGGTAATAGTAAGTACACAGAAAAGCACAAAATATTATAACACAGTAACTGTGATGTGTAAACTACTCTTATCTTAAGTAGAAAGACTCAGTGATGAACCAATCAAAAGTAATAACTGCATCAACTTCTCAAGACATAAGCAATACAATAAGATGTAAATAGAAACAACTAAAAGTATAAAAGACAGAGGGAATGAAGTTAAGGTGCAGAGTTTTTATTGGTTTTCTTTTTGCTTGTTTGTTTATGCAAATAGTGTTAAGTTGTTCTCAGGTTAAAATAACGAATTATAAGATATTATTTGCAAGGCTTATGGTAACTTCAAGCCAAAAAACATACCGTGGATACACAAAAAATAAAAAGCATGAAACTAAACCACATCACCAGAGAAAATCACCTTCACTAGAGGGAGACAGGAAGGAAAGAAATAAGGAAAAAAAGACCACAAAACAGAAAACAAATAACAAGATAGCAAGAGTAAGTCCTTTCTTGTCAATAATAACATTGAACGTAAGTGAACTAAACCCTCCAATTAAAAGACAGAGTGGCTGAGTGGATGAAAAAACAAGACCCAATGATCTGTTGCCTACAAGAAACATACTTCACCTATACTCACAGAGATAGACTGAAAATAAAGGGATGTAAAAAGATATTCCATTTCAATGGAAACCACAAAAGGACAGGAATTGCTATACGTATATCAGACAGAATGAATTTCAGGACCAAAACAATAAGAAGAGACAAAAGTTACAATATAATGATAAAGGGGTCAATTCAGCAAAAGGATATAACAATTTTAAATATATATTTACCCAACACTGGAGCACCCAGATATATAAAGCAAATATTATTAAAGGCCCCAAAACAATAGCTGGAGACTTCAACACCCAGCTACTTTCAGCACTGGACAGATCTTCCAGACAGAAAATCAACAAAGAAACATCAGGCTTAGTCTGTACTATACACCAAATGTATCTAATAGATATTTACAGAACATTCATTCAATGGCTGCAGAATGCACATTCTTTTCCTCCAAACATGGATCATTCTCAAAGATAGACCACATGTTAGGTCACAAAACAAGTCTTAAAACATTTTTAAAAAATTAAATACATAATATATATTTAATGTATATTTAATAGTTTAGTGTATATATTATGCTTACATTTATGAATATATATTTATATATTGTAAAGGCATCTAACATACACATTTGTATGATAGGCCCATTAATTTTTATATTACATATTTATTTGTAAATGCATATATATTTTAAAGGCATATAGATTCGAAGACATGCCTATATTTATATCATGTATATTAATTTATGTATTATATATTATTTTCTATTTCTATACATTTCAAAAGCATATAGAGGAAAATCATATTTCTTTATGCTATATACATTATATAATATGTATGCATATGAATTTATATATTACATGGTTAATTTTAAAGATATATTTGTATTCTGCTACCATTTTGTGGCAAGCTAATTGTAGATATGTTGATTTGAGAATCTGGATTTTTTTAAGTGGTTGACTTGTATGCACGTAGACAAAGGCATCTTGGGATTCTTCTTAGAATCTTTGATGCCATGTACACTTGTGGAAATCATGGTGAACACAATTCCTCAACTAATCAACAAAACCAGATGTATTCCCAGCATTACAGGTCCTCCCTTTACAAGCACAATAAATGAGATTTTCTTCCAATTAGATGTTTTCTTAGCAAAATAGCTATTTTGAAGACGTCAACTTTACAATTTCCAAAAAAGATCTCCAAAATGCAAGTTGTTTTCTGACATCAGTACGTGCATAATATATGAAAATCCAAAAATGAAGTCACTCAGACATCTGCACATTCACCCAACATATATTTTCCTTCCAGTTGTATGTTGAAGGAAAATGGAGTAGCTTCCAATTCCTTCATTACTCACTTCAAATTATTGAAGTAAATGTCACCAATTCTAGAGCATTTTACATCATTTAACAGAAACTACAGCCAGGTGCAGTGGCTCACGCCTGTAATCCCAGCACTGTGGGAGGCCAAGATGGGTGGATCGCTTGAGGTCAGGAGTTCAAGACCAGCTTGGCCAACTTGGTGAAACCCCATCTGTACTAAAAATACAAAAATTAGCTGGGTGTGGTGGTGCACACCTGTAGTCCCAGCTACTCGGGAGGCTGAGACAGGAGAATTGGCTGAACCCAGGAGGAGGAGATTGCAGTGAGCTGAGACATGCCACTGTACTCCATCCTGGATGACAGAGAGAGACTCTGTCAAAAAAAAGAAAGAAAGAAAGAAAGAAACTAATTCTTTTCTCACTCTGCTCCAAGCTACAAATAAGCTCCACCGTTTCCAGAGCAAAAGGATTCACCTGAGTCACTGATTACATGTCTTCCTTTACTTGGCATTGTAAAAAGCAGCTATGTAGGAGGCATCAGGAAAGCTAGGAATTAAAGAAAAGCTAAGTCTTGGTACAATTCTAGACTTCAATTTGAGTCTTTTTCAAAAATCATTTTTTATCTGTTTTTGATTGACCGATATAATGGGCTCATTGGTTCTGAGGGCTTTATGCTTCCATTATATGTCTTTCCATGAAAGAAATACTTAAGCTTTTATGTCTCATCATATTTGTGGTAAAAGTAAAATGAATGAATGCATCGGCTAAATTATACTTTCTTTGCTTTAACATCTTAAACTTTACCTTAAGCCTAATACCAATAGAGATAGGTCCCTGTAATGTAATATCCTAATTACATTTTACACAATATCAGTGGAAAGTAATCGTAGACATAACTTATCAAAGTTGGTGACTGTTAGTACTAAAGAATTTAATAACATTTGTTTAAACTGTAACTTAGATAGCATAATATTAAAAATAATTTTAAAGAAGAAAATATTCAAAATTCCAGAAGAAGAATGGGAACACTGTTTCACCCAGCTCATTGTGAATCTCAACATATCCTGGAACGAATAGGGATTCACAAAATTGTATAAACTGAAACCCAAACTCCTTATCACTTTGTAATGACCCAAAGCAACAAACACTTACTGAACAGTTGTTGAATGCCTTTGCCATCCCCGTGTTTACAAAATTGAGTAAGATACCACCTTTATCCTTGAAAAATTTATAGTCCAGTAGGAGACACACGTACTTAAAGTGATCATTTTGATATAATATTATAATCAGTAAAATAAAGGTAAGTAAAAATTAGGCTATGGAAGCCTAGAAAAGGAGAATTGAGCCTTCAAGGAAAAGTTCCCAGAGAAGATGATGCCCCAACCAATACTTAGAAATGAAAATAACTAAGAAAGAAAACGTGAAGAGGGCATTCTAGCTAGAGCAAACTTCAAGAACATACGCATACAAGTATGAAATAACAGAATATATACAAGAAATAATGGGCGTCTCAAAGAAAAAGAGTAGGGAGAATGTTACAAATGAATCATTTTTGAAATCTAAATTATTTAAAACCTAACAATTAATTGGATGTGAGTACTGAGAGAGAGGAACTAGTCTAAGGTGACTTCCAGGTTTCTGTCTTAACTCAGGCTGATATCTTACCTACCTTTTTATCTCCCATTAACTCCCATCACAGAAAACATAATGTGTAATAAAGAATAGATTTACAGACAGAATATGCCTACTCTGGAAAACCGGACCCACTACTTTTCATCTATCCAAATGATACCCATTTTTCAGGGCCCAGCTTAAGTACTGACTTCCTCACTATCCATCACCACCTCCAAGACTTCTTTGTTCTCTCCTTACTCTGACCAAGCACATTACCTGATGTCTAAAATCACACATTTGGGGGTTCACCATAAATTACTCTTTCATTATATTATGCCATTTTTTGCTTTTCAGAATAAAAGTAGCCTAATTATCAGAGTTAGTTGGATTTTTAAAATAATCTTTTATGCGTTAAATTCTTCAGATGTGAAGTGTATAAAGAAAAAAATAAAAATAACTTAAAATACCATCACCAGAAACAAACATCATTCACAGTTTGCTATGTATACTTCCAGACATATCCCAGTGAGTATATGATTTTACATAAGCAGACGGAGAACTCTAATACTCTTCACAAACTGCTTTTTTCTCTCCGTGACATGTTAATTGCTTTAGATCCATACCACTTTATTTAGAAGCTGCAGAGTATTCCATTTTATGGATGTGCCCTGTTTCTTCTTTGCTATTCTTTCTCTAATGTCTAAAGCTTAGATACTTAACATTTAATGTTACTTATTTAATAATATATGTATTTAAGGCTGTAAATTTCTCTATAAGCACTGCTTTAGCTGCATCACAAATTTTGGTATGCTGTGCTTCCAGATTATTTATTCCAAAATATTTTATAAAATCAATTTGGATTTCTTCTTTGACTAATAGTTTAAGTAGAAGTGTACTGATTAAATTCCAGACACATAGGAATTTTATAAATTATCTTTTTGCTATTTATTTCTAGTTAATTCTGCTGAGGTTCAAAAACATATTGCTTATGATTTTAAATTTTTGAAATTTGTTAAAACTTGCTTTATGGCCAGTATGCTAAATTTTGATAAATTGTGTATATATACTATAAAGAATGTGTATTCTTTTAGTTAGTAGATGCAATGTTCAATAAATGTTAATTAGGTCAATTAGATTTGTAACCCATGTCACTTGAAATCTTCTATACCCTTGTGGATATTTACCTATTTGTTCTATCAGTTATCAAGACAGCTGTTTAAAATTTCCTACTATGATATTGGATTTATCTATTTTGCTTTTAATTCTGACAAATTTTGTGTCCTTTATATTTTTTCTCTGCTGCCTAAATCAGCAATGTGTTCTATATTTTGAGGTTGTTCTTAGGTGCACACAAGTTTAGACTAGCTACACTTTTCTGTCAAGTTGTAGTTGTATTACTATTAAATGTATTTTGTGTCTCTAGTAGTTCTTTTTTCATTGCTGTCTAATTTGCTTGGTAACAATATAGGTGCAGTATCTTTCTTTTACTTAGTATTTATTGCATAATATATGTTTTTCATCTTATTATTTTCAATCTTTGCTACATCCTCATATTTTATTTCTTTTAAACAAGTATATAATTAGGTTTGGAATTTATCTAGTATGTTAAGCTTTGCCTTTTAATTATATTATTTAGTCCACTAACACTTCATGTTAATATATTTCACTTACACATAATGTAACTTACACGTTAGTATATTTGACTTTAAACCTACTATGCTGTTATTTTTTCTGTTTCTGCTTCTTTACTTTCTTGCCTGATTTAGGGTTGATTATACATAGTTATAATTCTATTATTCTCTTATTAGCTTGGTGCTTATGCATTGTCTTAATGATCTTTTAGTGGTCACCCTAGAAATTAAAGCTTGAATCCTCGACTCATCAAAGTCTAACATAAATTAATACTTTTGCCACTTCCCAGACTATAAAACGTTAGAACATTTTAACTCCATTTACCTTTCTGCATTTTGTGTTACTATTATCTTTTAACTTTTAAACTTCATGATCCATTATTGTCATTGCTATATGATGTCAAAATTTATTTATATTTATGCCCACATTTACACTTTTTCTTGCTCTTTACTTTTTTTTACTTCTCTGATGTTCTATCTGGGATAATTTACTTTCTTACTGAAGAGCATTTTTCCTTAGCATATATTTGGTTTTCTCTAAAAATATATTTATTTTTCCATGATTATGGAATTCTAGTTGGAAATTGTATTCTTTCAGGAGTTTGAAGAATACATTCCATTATCTTCTGGGTCTCATTGTTTCAGTTGAGAAGTCAGTTTTCCTTGTTGCTTCCTTGATGGTAATATGCCTTTAAACTTTTAATAACAAAGTTAAAACATTGTCTTAATATTATTTTCTTTGGCTTTTAGTAGATCTATTATAAAACATCCTGCTTATTCTTCATCAGTTTTGAAAAACTTTCAGCATTATATCTTCAAATATTGCTTCTATGCTATTCTCTTTCTCATTACACCTATGTGAAACCATTTGATTATATCCTACAGGTTTGCAGAATTAGATAGATAGATAGATAGATAGATAGATAGATAGATAGATAGAAGACATATATCCAATATATCTTATGTCTTTTACTATTGTTGTATTTTCAGTATTCATCTTTGTTAATTTTATCCTGAATGCACACACAAGGTGTTATCCTTCCTGAAAGAGGGTTTAAATTTGCTTCTGGATATTGGCACAATAAAGGCATGAGCAATCTGAGGTTATTTTAATCCAATGAGCAATTAAGCTTATTGAACCTGGACTATAATCATCCTGAGGAAAGTCTATTGAAGTTTTCTCTTACTCCTAAGGTGTAGCCCTTCTAATTCTCAGCCAAAGACCAAGAGTTTTCACCAGAACCCAGCCTTCCCTGTCAGGTACTGAGCCCTAACTTTTGCCCCTTCAAATTCAAAAGAATAAAATTAGACTTTATATTAAACCATCAGCTCAAAATGGATTAAAGACTTAAACATAAGACCTGAAACTATAAAACTCCTCGGAAAAGATATTGATTGGTCTAGGCAATGATTTATTAGATATAACATGGCAAGAACAGTCAACAGGAGAAGTGGAAATAAACAAATGGGGCTATATCCAACATTAAAAAACCTACAAAGCACAGGAAACAATGAACAGAGTGAAAATACAACCTATAGGATGAAAGATATAACTGTACAAATCATATATTTAAAGGAGATATTAACATCCAGAGTATATAAAGAGCTCCTATAACTAAACAACAAAAAACAATTTTAAAATGGGCAAAGGACTTGAAGGCAAGAGAAAGAATATTAAAATTGCATCCAAATTGGAAAAGAAGTCAAACCATTGCTGTTAGCCAATGATAGAAAAAGCTAAAAATGCCTCCAAAAGATTCCTAGATTTAATAAACAAATTCAGTAAAGTCTCAGGTTACAAAATCAATGTATACAAATCATTAGAACCGCTGTACAACAACAACAACCAAACTGAAACAAATCAAGAACTCAACTCCTTTAACAACAGCTGAAAAAAATAATAAAATAAAATAAAATACATAGGAATATACTTAGCCAAGGAAGTGAAAGATCTCTACAAGGAGAACTACAAAACACTGCTAAAAGGAATCATAGATAACACAAACAAATGGAAATATATCCCATGCTCATGGATTGGAAGAATCAATATTGTGAAAATGACCATACTGCCCAAAGCTATCTACAGATTCAGTGCAATTCCTATCAAAATGTCAGTATCATTTTTCATAGAATTAGAAAAAAATCCTAAAATTCATATGTAACCAAAAAAGAGCCCAAATAGCCAAAGCAATTCTAAAAAAGAAGAACAAATCTGGAGGCATCACGTTACCAGACTTCAAATTATAGTAAAGGCTATAGTTACCAAAACAGAATGATACTAGTATAAAAGTAGGCACATAGACCAATGGAACAGAGTGGAGAACCCAGAATTAAAGCAAAATACTTACAATTAACTAATCTTTGACAAAGCATACAAAAATATAAATTGAGGAAAGGAAACCCTATTTAATAAACAGTGCTGGAAAAACTGGCTTGTATGCTGCCAGTAGGAACGTAAATCAGTACGACCACTATGGAAAACAGTATGGGTATTCCTTAAAGAACTAACAGTAGATCTATCATTCGATCCAGCAATCCCACTACTGGGCATCAACCCAAAGGAAAATAAGTCATTATATGAAAAAGACACGTGAACATGTATGTTTATTGAAGCACAATTCACAATTGCAAAGATATGCAACCAATCTAAATGCCCATTGACCAATGAGTGGATAAAGAAAACGTGGTAAATATACACCATGGAATAATACTTGGCCATAAAAAGAAAGAAGATAATGTTTTTTGCAACAACTTGGATGGATCTGGAGGCCACTAATCTAAATGAAGTAACTCAGGAATGGAAAACCAAATAGCGTATGTCCTCACTTATAAGTGGGAGCTAAGCTCTGAGTACATAAAGGCATACAGAGTGATATAATGGACTTTGGAGACTCAGAAGGGGAAGGGTGGAAGGGAAGTAAGGAATAAAAAGCTACATATTGGGTACAAAGTACACCATTCAGGTGAAAGGTGCACCAAAATCTCAAAATTCACCTCTGTATAATTCATCCATGTAACCAAAAACCACGAATACCCCAAAGCTATTGAAATTTTAAAATATATCTTAAAATAAGATAAAATGAATGTTTTTGGTTTTAACTTTTATACTAGAGCTAAAAGTGATTTATACATCACCATTTCAGTGCTACAGTATTCTGTATATGTCTATATATATTTACCTTTGCCAGTGACTTTTTTGTGTGTGTTGCTGTTTCATTTTAACTTGCCTTTCATTCAACTTGAAGTATTTATTGAAGCAACATTAACATTCCTTATAAGATAGGTCTAGTGGTGATGCTTATTTATTTAAATAAGTTTTTTTCCTTTTTTTCTTTCTCTTCTCTTTTTGGTAACCCCAGCACATTCTGAAGGACAGATTTGCCATGCATAGTATTCTTGGCTGGCACGGTTTTTTTCTTTAAGGACTTTGAATGTACCATTCTACTCACTTCTGGTCTTCAAAATTTTTGCTGAGAGATAACAAATAATCTTATGAAGGCTCCCTTGTATATGACAAGTTATTTTACCCTTTATGCTCCCAAAATTCTTTGTCGTTACCTTTTGACAACTTAATAATAATGTGTCTCAGTTGATGTTCTTTGTACCTTTGTATTGGTGGCTGCAAATCTGAAGAAATGGAGCCACCTCTACCAATCTTTATGGACTGGTTTGGCAGGGAAAGATCTTCCTAGCTAGAAATTCTGGAAGCAGCTTAAACCTTTTCTATAACTGTGTCTTCTCTTTATTTGTGCATTTAAATTCTTAAATAAAATGTTTTACCAATTTCTTTTTTTTTTAAGAGCCCATTGTATCTTGCTTCCTCTGGTATCTGACTGCTATATCAGGGTCAGGACTTACAGGCACACTTCACTTCTCTCCCTCTTTCCCTGTGGAGAAGCCATGAGTTCTATGCTTTCTCCCTATCTTGCAAAGCCATTCTTGGCATAGTAAGCTACCAGCCCCTTTTCCTTTGTTCTTAGCTGCCCCTACCAAACTAAGCTACTTCTGTCAACATTCTGGGTCAAGTGAGACAGAAACCAGTCCCTCAGGCAGTATATTGAAAGTCCAAGACGCTGAAAACACACTCCATTCCTCTTCCTCCCTTCTGAAGGAGAAGTCACGGGGCTGTGTGCCTTCTCTCAATCTTACAGCCATGTCAGCAGCAATAAGCTATCAACCCCTTTTCTTTGTTCTTAGTTTACTCCAGGTATCTGAAATATGCCAGTTCTGTCCATGTTCCATGTCAGGCAAGACAAAAAAACAGCCCTAGGGAAACACACTGAAAGGCCTGAGACATGGAAGCACACTCTGCTCTCTCTTTCCCCCAAGGGAGAAATCATGGGCTGAGGCAATCTCTCTTAGCAGTGAGTGTGCTGGGTTGAGCAGGAGCTGACACAGGTAAGTAAAATTGCTCTTCATACCTGTTTCAGTGTGGCTGTTCTTGGTCTTTTGCTCACCTTGGGTATTTCAACTTTGTAACTGAATTCTAGACTTCTCATAAAGGTATTATGGTGCATAAATCACTGTTAAATCCATTCTATAGGGGGACAAGGGCTGAGACTTCCTATTCTGTCATCCTCCTTACATCACTCTCCAAGGCAGGTATTTTGAAATCTTTAAAGCTCCATTTTGTAAATGACAAAATTGACATCCAGAGAGGCTAGGTAATTTGGCTATGTCAAACAAACAGAAGTAATGGAGCCAAAATTTTAATTCATGTAGCTTGACTAAAACATCAACAGCTTAACAACTCTTCTCCACTGCTTGCTATTTAGCAATTTTTCCCTATTTACTAAAAAATCTGCTTTCTTGCACAGAAATTATTATTAATTTTTAAATAACCTTTAAGAATATATTTTTGGAAATGAAATCACCAAGTAAATGGCACAACCATTAGAAATATTGATAAATATTAACATACAGCCTTTCATTTTGGTTAAATACATTTTTCACACTAAGTATCAATTAATAACAGAACAATTTTCCATGCTTTTCAATCTAAGAACTTAAAAATGATGCTCAATTTTTTATTTGCTCCTCTAGTTATTAGATTGAAAATCTTTATATGTGCTAACATGCCACTTTTTGGTTTGTTTTGTTTTGTTTTTAACTTTTAAGTTCAGGGGTACAGGTGCACGTTTGTTATAAAAGTAAGCTCTTGTCATGGGAGTTTGTTGTACAGATTAATTTGTCACCCAGGTATTAATCCCAGTACCCATTAGTTATTTTTTCCTGATCCCCTCCCTTCTCTCTCTTTTATTTTTTCTTTTTTTTCTTTTTTTTTTTAATTATACTTTAAGTGCTGGGATACATGTGCAGAAGGTGCAGGTTTGTTATATAGGTATACATATGCCACAGTGGTTTCCAACACCAATCAACCCGTCATCTACATTAGGCTTTTCTCTTAATGCTATCCCTCCCCTAGCCCCCCACCCTCCGACAGGCATTGGTGTTTGATGCTCCCCTCCATGTGTCCATGTGCTCTCATTGGTCAACTCCCACTTATGAGTGAGAACATGCGGTGTTTGGCTTTCTGTTCTTGTGTTAGTTTGCTGAGAATGATGGTTTACAGCTTCATCCATGTCCCTGCAAAGGACATGAACTCATCCTTTTTTATGGCTGCATAGTATTCCATGGTGTATATGTGCCACACTTTTTTATCCAGTCTATCATTGATGGACATTTGAGTTGGTTTCAAGTCTTTGTTATTGTGAACAGTGCTGAAACAAACATACAGGTGCATGTGTCTTTATAGTAGAATGATTTATAATCCTTTGGGTACATACCCAATAACAGGATTGCTGGGTCAAATGCTATTTCTAGTTCTAGATCCTTGAGGAAATGCCACACTGTCTTCCACAATGGTTGAACTAATTTACACTCCCACCAACGGTGTAAAAGCATTTCTATTTCTCTGCATCCTCTCCAGCATCTGTTGTTTCCTGACTTTTTAATGATTGCCATTCTAATTTGATTTGCTTTTCTCTAATGACCAGTGATGATGAGCTGATGGGATTTCACTCATGATTTGGCTTTCTGTCTATTATTGGTGTATAGGAATGCTTGTGATTTTTGCACATTGATTTTGTATCCTGAGACTTTGCTGAAGTTGCTTATCAGCTTAAGGAGGTTTGGGGCTGAGACGATGGGGTTTTCTAAATATACAATAATGTCACCTGCAAACAGAGACAATTTGACTTCCTCTCTTCCTATTTGAATGCCCTTTATTTCTTTCTCTTGCCTGATTGCCCTGGCCAGAATTTCTAATACTATGTTGAATAGGAGTGGTGAGAGAGAGCATCCTTGTCTTGTGCCAGTTTTCAAAGGGAATGCTTCCACCTTTTGCCCATTCAGTATGATACTGGCTGTGGGTTTGTCATAAATAGCTCCTATTATTTTGAGATACATTCCATCAATACTTAGTTTATTGGGAGTTTTTAGCATGAAGGGGTGTTGAATTTTCTTGAAGGCCTTTTCTGCATCTATTGAAATAATCATGTGGTTTTTGTCATTGGTTCTCTATATGTGATGGATTACATTTATTGATTTGCGTATGTTGAACCAGCCTTGCATCCCAGGGATGAAGCCGACTTGATCCTGGTGGATAAGATTTTTAATGTGCTGCTGGATTTGATTTACCGGTATTTTATTGAGGATTTTTGCATCGAAGTTCATCAGGGATATTGGCCTGAAATTTTCTTTTTTTGTTGTGTCACTGCCAGGGTTTGGTATCAGGATGATGCTGGCCTCATAAAATGAGTTAGGGAGGATTCTCTCTTTTTCTATTGATTGGAATAGTTTCAGAAGGAATGGTACCAGCTCCTCCTTGTACCTTTGGTAGAATTTGGCTGTGAATCCGTCTGGTCCTGGACTTTTTTTGGTTGGTAGGCTATTAATTACTGCCTCAATTTCAGAACTTGTTATTGGTCTATTCAGGGATTCAACTTCTTCCTGGCTTAGTCTTGGGAGGGTGTATGTATCCAGGAATTTATCCATTTCTTCTAGATTTTCTAGTTTATTAGCGTAGAGGTGCTTACAGTATTCTCTGATGGTAGTTTGTATTACTCTGGGATCAGTGGTGATATCCCCTTTATCATTTTTATTGTGTCTATTTGATTTTTCTCTCTTTTCTTCTTTATTAGTCTGGCTAGCAGTCTATCTGTTTGGTTTTTTATTTTTTTTTTAAACCACCTCCTGGATTCATTGATTTTTTTACAGGTTTTTCATGTCTCTCTCTCCTTCAGTTCTGCTCTGATTTTAGTTATTTCTTGCCTTCTGCTAGCTTTTGAATTTGTTTGCTCTTGCTTCTCTAGTTCCTTTAATTGTAATATTAAGTTGTTTATTTTAGATCTTTCCTCCTTTCTCTTGTGGGCATATAGTGCTATAAAGTTCCCTCTACACATTGTTTTCAATGTGTCCCAGAGATTCTGGTACATTGTTTCTTTGTTCTCATTGGTTTCAAAGAACATCTTCATTTCTGCCTTAATTTCATTATTTACTCAGTAGTCATTCAGAAGCAGGTTGTTCAGTTTCCATGTTGTTATGGGGTTTTGAGTGAGTTTCTTAATCCTGAGTTCTAATTTGATTGCACTGTGATCTGAGAGACTGTTTGTTATGATTTCCATTCTTTTGCATGTGCTGAGGCATGTTTTATTTCCAATTATGTAGTCAATTTTAGAATACATGCGATGTGGTGCTGAGAAGAATGTAAATTCTGTTGATTTGAGGTAGAGAGTTCTGTAGATGTCTATTAGGTCTACTTGGTCCAGAGCTGAGTTCAAGTCCTGGCTATCCCTGTTAATTTTCTGTCTTATTGATCTGTCTAATGTTGACAGTAGCGTGTTAAAGTCTCCCACTATTATTGTGTGGGAGTCTAAGTCTCTTTGTAGGTCTCTAAGAACTTGCTTTATGAATCTGGGTGCTCGTGTATTGAGTGCATATATATTTAGGATAGTTAGCTTTTCTTGTTGCATTGATCCCTTTACCATTATGTAATGCTCTTCTTTGTCTCTTTTGATCTTTGTTGGTTTAAAGTCTGTTTTATCAGAGACTAGGATTGCAACCTCTGCTTTTTTTTTTTTTTTTTTTTTTTTTTTTTTTTTTTGCTTTCCATTTGCTTGGGAAATATTCCTCCATCCCTTTATTTTCAGCCTATGTGTGTCTTTGCACATGGGATGGGTCTCCTGAATACAGCACACCAATGAGTCTTGACTCTTTATCCAATTTGCTAGTCTGTGTCTTTTAATTGGGGCATTTAGTCCATTTACTTTTAAGGGTAATATTGGTATGTATGAATTTGATCCAGTCATTATGATGCTAGCTGGTTATTTTGCCCATTAGTTGATGTAGTTTCTTCATAGCATTGATGGGCTTTACAATTTGGTATATTTTTGCAGTGGCTGGTACCAGTTGTTCCTTTCCATGTTTAATGCTTCCTTCAGGAGCTCCTGTAAGGCAGGTCTGGTGGTGACAAAATTTCTCAGCATTTGCTTGTCAGTAAAAGATTTTATTTCTCCTTCACTTATGAAGCTGAGTTTAGCTGGATATGAAATTGTGGGTTGAAAATTCTTTTCTTTAAGAATGTTCAATATTGAGCCCCAGTCTCTGCTGGCTTGTAGGGTTTCCACTGAGAGATCCACTGTTAGTCTGATGGGCTTCCCTTTGTGGGTAACCCAGCCCTTCTCTCTGGCTGCCCTTAGCATTTTTTCCTTTATTTCAATCTTGATGAATCTGACAATTATGTGTCTTGGGGTTGCCCTTGTTGAGGAGTATCTTTGTGGCGTTCTCTGTATTTTCTGAATTTGAATGTTGACTTGCCTTGCTAGGTTGGGGAAGTTCTCCTGGATAATATCCTGAAGAGTGTTTTCCAACTTAGTTCCATTCTCCCCGTCACTTTCAGGTCCACCAATCAAATGTAGGTTTGGTCTTTTCATATAGTCCCATATTTCTTGAAGGCTTTGTTTATTTCTTTTCACTCTTTTTTCTCTAAACTTCTCTTCTCGCTTTATTTCATTAAGTTGATTTTCAATCTCTAACATCCTTTCTTCCACTTGATTGATTCACCTATTGATACTTGTGTATGCTTCGTGAAGTTCTCGTGCTGTGTTTTTCAGCTCCATCAGGTCATTTATGTTCTTCTCTAAACTGGTTATTCTAGTTAGCAACTCCTTTAACCTTTTTTCAAGATTCTTAGCTTCCTTGCATTGGGTTAGAACATGCTCCTTTAGCTCGGAGGAGTTTGTTATTACCCACCTTCTGAAGGCTACTTCTGTCCATTTTTCAAACTCATTCTCCATCCAGTTTTGCTCCCTTGCTGGAGAGGAGTTATCCTTTGGAGGAGAAGAGGCATTCTGGTTTTTGGAATTTTCAGCCTTTTTCTCCCCATCTTTGAGGATTTATCTAGCTTTGGTCTGTGATGTTGATGACCTTTGGATGGGGTCTCTGAGTGGACATCCTTTTTGTTGATCTTAATACTATTCCTTTCTGCTTGTTAGTTTTTCTTCTAACAGGCAGGCCTCTCTGCTGCAGGTGTGCTGGGGTTTGCTGGAGGTCCACTCCAGACACTGTTTGCCTGGGTATCACCAGCAGAGGCTGCAGAACAGCAAATATTGCTGCCTGTTCCTTCCTCGGGAAGCTTCATCCCAGAGGTTCACCCACCAGATGCCAGTGAGAGCTCTTCTGTATGAGGTGTCTGTTGGTCCCTACTGGGAGCTGTTTCCCAGTCAGACTACACAGGGGTCAGGGACCCACTTGAGGAGGCAGTCTGTCCCTTATCAGAGCTTGAATGCTGTGCTAGGAGATCTGCTGCTCTCTTCAGAGCTATCAGGCAGGGATGTTTAAGTCTGCTGAAGCTGCATCCACAGCTTCCCCTTCTTCCAGATGTTCTGTCCCAGGGAGATGTGGGTTTTATCTATAAGTCCCTGACTGGGGCTGCTGCCTTTTTTTCAGAGATGCCCTGCCTAGAGAGGAGCAATCTAGAGAGGCAGTCTAGCTGCAGAGGTCTTGCTGAACTACGGTGGACTCCACCCAGTTCAAACTTCCCAAGGGCTTTGTTTACACTATGAGGGTAAAACAGCCTACTCGAGCCTCAGCAATGGCAGGCACCCCTCCCCTCACCAAGCTCGAGTGTCCCAGGTTGACTTCAGATTGCTGTGTTGGCAGCAAGAATTTCAAGCCAGTGAATTTTGGCTTGTTGGGCTCCATGGGGATGGGATCCACTGAGCTAGACCACTTGGCTCCCTGACTTCAGCCCCCTTTCCAAGGGAGTGGATGGTTCTGTCTCGCTGCTGTTCCAGGTGCCACTGAGGTATGAAAAAAAAGAAAAAGAAAAAGAAAAAAAAGCTACTACAGCTAGCTCGGTGTCTTCCCAAATGGCTGCCCAGTTTTGTGCTTGAAACCCAGGGCCTTGGTAGCATAGACACCAGAAGGAATCTCCAGGTCTGCAGGTTGCGAAGACCGTGGGAAAAGTGCAGTATCTGAGCTGGAGTGCAGCGTTCCTCCCAGTACAGTCTCTCATGGCTTCCGTTGGCTATGGGAGGGAAATCTCCAGACTCCTTGCACTTCCCAGGTGAGGCGATGCCCCACCCTGCTCTGGCTCGCCCTCTGTGGGCTGCACCCACTGTCCAACCAGTCCCAGTGAGATGAACCAGGTACCTCAGTTGGAGATGCACAAATCACCTGCCTTCTGCATCAATCTCACTGGGAGCTGCAGACTGGAGCTATTCCTATTCGGCCATCTTGCCAGCAACTCCCTATTTTTTTCTTTTCTACATTGCCTAATCATATGGTTTTATTTTTAAGTTACCTGTCTTTTTCTTTTTATTGATAAGAATTTTCTGTTTGATAAAAATATTAGAGCCTTGTCATACATGTTGCAAATATTTTTTCTATCTTGTCTTTCAATTTTAGTGGATTTTACTCTGTGTGTGTGTGTGTGTGTGTGTGTGTGTGTGTGTGTGTCCTTATTCAGGCTATCCTAACCTACTCTAAAATAACTTTTAATTATATTTTTATTTTAGCATTTTTATTATTTCATTGTCTTAACTTTATAACTTAGATCACCTGGGATTTATTTTTATATAGTGAGCTGGAGAACCAACTTTTTTTTCCAAGCAATTAGTCAGTACCTCAACATAACTTAGAGACAAGTCCATTTCTTCTCCCTGATTGAAATTCCACCTTTTTTTATACTATATCCTCGATATACTTTGTTGTATTTCTGAACTTGATTTACCTCTATTGATCTATTTTCTCTTGTATCATTACCATACTATCTTAATTCCAAGCATTGGTGCTATTATCCACTACTTGTTTCACTTGCATCATATCTTTTGTGCTCAACAAGTTTCTAAGCCCCTTGATATCAGAGACTAGAACTTATATTTGGGCCTGTTTGCATGTGTGTCCTTGAAAGAACTTGAAACAATATTATACACTCACAGATCTAAAATTTGTCTGAACCTAGTCTCAGAACTTCATATCAGATCTATCAATCCATAGATTAATATGAAAGCTTTCGAACCTTGGCTACAAACAGAGGAGTGGAAATATCTCTGGGACCATCTTAACCAATAATAGAGATAAATGATCTACTAGTTTTTGTTTTGTCCCATAATTGTCAGAGAATCAGAAGTACTGCTGGCTCTTTTTATATATGAGGGATATCCAGATCTGATTAGTTTGATTTACAGTATGGCTTAGGAATAAATAATTGTGTTACTCTGCAATGGAATAGAGCAAAATATATTTACTCCAGCCATATGCTTATGGTTTTAGGAAGTGTCTCATGTTGAGGTACAGAAGATATGGGCTTTGTTATTAAGAAAATTGATATAAATTTTGGTTTTATCACCTACTGGTTTTTTGCCTGATATGTAATCGACATGCAATAAATATTTTAAATAAATTAAAAATGAATTAATAAATATATACTTTGTCTAACCATAATATGTGTTACTAATGGCAACAACCTGTCAGAAAGTGGCCCATTTTCAGTGCCATTGTATTCAATGTTTCTTGCTATTAGAACCATTAGAATAACTGTTTCATAGAGAACTCCTAGATGGTGAAAGCAAACCCTCCTTTAAACAAACTTAAACTCAAGTATCCAGAAAAGGAAAGGTAAATTCTGTATCCAAATGTCTCTTTCCTTCAGGCATTCTAAAACAAAATAAAAATAAAGCATTTTTCCTATCTAACATATAAATTTGAGAACTAGATTATTTTATTCCTTTTATTCCTTAGAAAGCACCCCTTGCCTCCCTATTTATTCAAAGCCAGTTATTTTCTCAGGAAAATTTACACAATAAGTCTAGTGTTTTATAAAAACTTCAGTGATTTTTTATAGTTCTATGAAATAATAGAGCATAAGCAGCGTCTTTAATATTTAGGACCTGGGAAAAGTGTGTTGTCAAGAGACCTGAATCTGGAAGAAAGTTCACAGCCAGAGAAATAGACAGGGCAGGCTGAATAGGAAGTAGCTAGAAAATCACTAAGGGCACTCGCTGAAAGTGAGATTATGAGGACTTGATTTTTTTTAAAGGACATTAATGAAGACATACAAATGGCCAAGTGCACATGAAAAGATTTCAACATTACTAATCATTAGGGAAATGCAACTCAAAACCACAATGAGATACCACACTGCACCCATTAGGGTGGCTACTATCAGAAAAATAGAAAATAGCACATGTTGGTGAGGTTGTAGAGAAATTGGAACACTTGTGTACCATTAGTGGAAATGTAAAATGGTGTAACTGCTATGGAAAACAATATGAAAATAATTGAAATAACATCTAAAAAGATATATGTACACCTAGGTTCATAGCAATGTTATTCACAATAGCAAACAGGTAGAAGCAACCCAAATACTCATCAATGAATAAATGTATAAACAAAATGTTATATATATATATAACATTGTGTGTGTGTGTATATATATACACAGATATATACAATGAAATATTATTCAACCTTTAAGAAGGGGGAATTTTAAACTAAAGAGCTTCTGCTCAACAAAAGAAAATATCATCAGAGTGAACAGGCAGCCTACAGAATGGGAGAAAATTTTTGCAATCTATCCATCTGTCCAAGGGCTAATATCCAGAATCTACAGGGAACTTAAACAAATTTACAAGAAAAAAACAACCCCATCAAAAAGTGGGCAAAGGATATGAACAGACACTTCTCAAAAGAAGACATGCAGCCAACAAACATACGAAAAAAGGATCATCATCACTGGTCATTAGAGAAATACAAATCAAAACCAAAATGAGATACCATCTCATGCCAGTTAGAATGGCGATCATTAAAAAGTCAGGAAACAACAGATGCTGGCAAAGATGCAGAGAAATAAGAACGCTTTTACACTGTTGGTGGAAGTGTAAAGTAGTTCAACCATTGTGGAAGATAGTGTGGCGACCCCTCGGGGATCTAGAACCAGAACTAGCATTTGACCCAGCAATCCCATTACTGGGTATATACCAAAGGATTATAAATCATTCTACTATAAAGACACATGCACACATATATTTATTGCTACACTATTTACAATAGCAAAGACTTTGAACAAACACAAATGCCCATCAATGATAGACTGGATATAGAAAACGTGGCACATATACTCCATGGAATATTATGCAGCCATAAAAAAGAATGAGCTCATGTCCTTTGCAGGAACATGGATGAAGCTGGAAACCATCATTCTCAGCAAACTAACACAGGAACAGAAAACCAAACACCGCATGTTCTCACTCATAAGTGGGAGCTGAACAATAAGAACATATGGACACAGAGAGGGGAACATCACACACTGGGGCCTGTGAGGGGGTGGGGGGCAAGGGGAGGGAGAGCATCAGGACAAATACCTAATGCAAGTGGGGCTTAAAACCTAGATGACAGGTTGATAGGTGCAGCAAACCACCATGGCACATGTAAAGCTATGTAACAAACCTGCATGTTCAGCACATGTATCCCAGAACTTAAAGTAAAATAAATAAATAAATAATAAAAAATAAAAAGAGGGAATTTGGGCATATGCTACAACATGGATGAACATATGGACATTATTTGAAGTAAAATAGGCCAGTCATAAAGAAAAATACCATGTGAGTCTACTTTTATTAGGTGCCTGGAGCAATCAGATTCATAGAGAAAGTAGACTGGTGGTTCTTAGGAGCCGAGGGGAGGAGAGGAAAGGGTGATATTGTTTAATGAGTATAGAGTTTCAGATGGTGATGATGGTTGCACAACAATGTGAATGTACGTAATAAAACTAATGTTTGCACTTTACAATGGTTAAGATGTGTACTTTATCGCAAGTTAAAAAATATTTTAAAGCAATTATATTTTAAAATATTTTATATTTTAAAATATAAAAATATTTTAAAGCAAAGAGGCATTATATTTGCCTCTATAATCTAATTGGAAGGAAAACGTGATGATACACTGTTAATTAAAAACAGAGATCCATGGTGAAAAGTAGCTATCTTTGGGAAAAGCTGCTAAGTTCAATTAAACCACTTAAGTTGGCCCGAATGAACTGGGGAAGAAGGGTGAGACTGACATTTGAGAGAGAAGGATGACAACTCAGGGAGAATGGTTTATGAAACAAACAAGAGAAGAAAGAAAAGGTTACCCAGTACCCATGAAAGGCCAGTTGAAAGTAAGTACTATTGATGTATAGTGGAATAAATTACTTCCCCATTCAATGACTTTCCTCAGCAACATTCTGTGACCCAAAAACAAAAGCAAAGAAAACAGATACTAATGGGAGATCCTGCACTGAGAAATTGAGAAATGGAATTACAGAAAGGCATTGAGGTAAAGAAATGTATGTGCCCAACTCTTTTCCAAATGGTAACTCATTTGCTGCTTATTAAGGTTCATATAGAAGACTCTAGCTAAGCCTGCACTGGTCCGACCTCCTAGAACTTTCCACATGCTCACAAACTGGTCACCTTTTTACAGTTGCAATATGACTGAGCATGCATGTGGTCTATTCATTATGATACTTCGTTAAAAATGTTTCTTTTGCTCTTATATCAGCAAACCATAACTTCAGTAAGATTACGTGCAATAATTTTCACCAGCACTTCAACTCAGTCCTTTGGGAATTTACTTCACCTTTTGAAATAGGTTGTTATTTTGCTCCCATTGTACAAGAAAAGGAAGCTGAGGCCCAAAGAAACTAGTGAAAGTCATTCAGCTACATGTAGTAATGAAAGATTAAGATTCAGACCTTCTGACTGAGAAATAAAACTGTAAAATAAGACCCCAAACTCTCCACATGAGGTGAACCCCTTGTGGTTGGTGGAAAAACTCTAAATTTTAAAGTGGAGCCATATGGCCAAAGCAGGGTGGGAGGGAGTGGTCACATACCCTGGATTTTTGGAGAGAGAAGCTCTTCACAATCATTCTGCTTTGCACCCCTGAGCCAGAACAGTTTCTGTGATGGGAGCTGCGATATCCTGTGGCTGGAAACCCCTCAATGGCTATTTGAAAAAAACATCTGACAAAGACTTTTCTGGTTGGGTGCTTGGGAACCATCCAATCAGGGTTCGTCTACTTAGACTAATCAGAGATGAACAAGTTTGAATCCTTAATTTGCATAAATGAGCCAGATTGAGAACCTGAGCAAGAACTTTCCCAATTTAAGCCAGACTCTCCATTTGTTATTTGTGGCTTTTGTTTTACACTGATGGCTATGTCTCCCCACTCTGCATTTTGTTTTTTAATAGAAAATAAAGTTCTCCCTTTGCCTCGGCAGATCTCCTTGCTCTTGTTCTTTCCACTGCACTAAGCTGCCCAAAGTAAACAAAGGAGAAGAGAGAAAATGCCCACTTATGAAGAGGGTAGGAACAAGATTTAGCAGATATAAAGAAAGCATAGGTAAGTGTCAGATAAAAGTAAGTTAGCAATCTGTGAGACAGAGCAGCGTTGTTAATGGCAAAATCCAGGATATGAGGGTGTTAATGGGTAGTAACAAGGACCAGAAGTTAGGGCCACTGGCAATTTGTTGAGTGAGGAAACTTGATTCGGTATCTCATACACAACATGGATTTTAAAGGTGCCAATGATTTAGTGGGAGATAAGAAATATGAAGAGTGTGATGTGAGTAGTAGCATGAACACGATCTCCAAGTAAAGAAATGGCAGGAGGTGATTGAAATACAAAAGACATTCAGATGCTGAGCTTTTCTGAGTTCACATAAATCACAAAAGGCAAAATATATACATACATGTTGTTTTATATGTAGCATTTTTTGAAGAAACCACATTTCCACTGAAGGAGTAAAAGAAGTCTGAAGATGGAAAGTTTCTAGCAGCAAACTTTAAAAAAAAAAAAAGACATAGACTAGTTAACGTGTAAGTATGGGTATCCTATGGGTGGAAGTAGTGAATAAGGTAAACTGGAATGAGTTTTGAGGTATGGCGGAAGCAGGAGAGAGGAAGACAAATCAGAGAAACAGAAGTGAATAATCTGAGAGTTTGGGAAGTATAATGGAAGAAAGGAGTAATTTTGCAGTATTTTAATTCTGAAATCAGTAGACTGTCACCAGAATAGAGTCAGGCAGAGACTCCCATAATATTTCACATAAGGTGTTTTCTGACTGTAATGAGCTCTCTGGTCATGTACTTTGTACTTCAGAGCAAGATCAAGGACTTTCCCTGCCTGTTTTGTTCTTAAATATACCTCAAATTAGAAGCAAGGTGTGTGCTTACCAGAAACATGGGACACATCAAACCCTAGTCCATGAATTTTTTATAAGCAGAGGAGAATTAAAAGATCAGATTAAATTCAGAGCAATAACTGAAGCCCTGCTCAGAATTAATGTGCCTCATTACCTGAGTGAAGTTTTCAAGAGTAAATACTGCTCATTTCACAGTCAGAGCACTGACGTGGTGACATGTTTCTCACTCACGCAATTCACTCATAATTTAATATGATAATTTATAATTGTGATAAAATATTCTAGGATAGAAATTATGTTTGGCCATTTATGCAACCCTCTATTTTGCACAAATTAATACAATTCATGTCCTGGTATTCCTCAGAGCTTAAATATTTAAATGATGTTTAATATAATCTTCCCCAATGAGTAAAACTATTTTGGAAAAAAAAAGCAAGATTTGAATATTGCAATGTGCAATATGTGCAGTGTGCAATATTAAGAAAATGTTTACTTAAATTTGTATTTGTTCAATACTTAGAACAAATGTTTCAGTTAATTTTAGGCTGTTCTATTCTGTTTCTCTGTGCTATTTTTTATTCTTAGGATATTTGTCACTTGAATTTGTCTGTGTTTTAAATAACCATCCATCAGTTTTTATTATCAGTGGTAAGTCGTTTGGAGAGATGACCTAAATCTCACCCATTCCTATACACTCACCCCTTTTATCTCCTCCCATCAAGAAGTGAAGGTTTTTTCTCTACTCTTTGAGTTTGGGTTTGGCCTTTTAAGTGACTCTGGCCAATGAAATATTAGCAGCATAAGATGAGCAAAGATTTTTAAAATATTTGCACACTGGGGCTTTCTGTCTTTGACTCCAAATGAAACCTTGAGACCACAAAGTGATGAACCTAAATTAACCTACTGGATAGATCCTCTGAAGTAAAGCAGAGCACCACTTGACAGTCTGCTAACCACTTCACTTGAGGCTATCTTAGACAATCCAGTCCCCAGTAGGCCACCAGAAGAGTGCAGCCAAGTGAATCCAGGAAAAAAAGATCAGAAGAATGTACCAGCTGAGCTCAGCTGAAATTGCTGACTTACAGACTCATAAGTAAATAAAACTGTTGTTAAGTCAATACATTTTTTATAATTTGTTACACAGCAATAGGTAACTGATACACTAGTATACTATTATCCTCTGAAATAAGTGGCATTCATCCGTTTAAAGAGAAGTGGTAGGCTAGGTGCAGTGGCTCATGCCTGTAAACTCAGTGCTTCCAGAGGCCATGACAGGAGGATCACTTGAGGAGAGGAGTTTGAGACCAGCCTGGGCAACATAGTGAGACCCAATCTCTATTAAAAAAAATTTTTTTAATTATCTGAGTGTGATGGTGTGTACCTGTAGTCCCAGCTACTTGGGTGGCTGAGGTGGGAAGATTGCTGGAGCCCAGGAGTTTGAGGCTGCAGTGAGCTGTGACTGCAGCACTGAACTCCAGCTTGAGCAGGAGAGCAAGATCCTGTCTCTAAAGAAAAAAATGAAAGAAAAGAAAAGAGGCAGAGAGAGAGAGAAAGAAAGAAAGAAAGAAAGAAAGAAAGAAAGAAAGAAAGAAAGAAAGAAAGAAAAAGAAGGAAGGAAGGAGAGAAAGAAAGAAAGAAAGAAAGAAAGAAAGAAAGAAAAGAAAAAAAGGGAAAGAAAGAAAGAAAGAAAGAGAAAGAAAGAAAGAAAGAAAGAAAGAAAGAAAGAAAGAAAGAAAGAAAGAAAGAAGAGAGAGAGAGGGAGGGGAAGAGAAGGAAGGGGAGGGGAGAGGAGGGGAGGGGAGGGGAGGGGAGGGGTAACCAAATCTATGTTTTGATTGACAGGAAAAAGAGGAAATAAAAGTACATCTTACATTAATTCTCAGTCTCATCCAATCACAACTTATACCACTAATGACCCTAACAATCCTTGATCTTCTAAATCAGCTCAGTGTTTTAGAACTGTAAAAATAAGTAGCTTCCAAACAGTTTTGTTCAAGCTCTTCTATTATTCTAGTAATCCACATGCCAAACCCCATTTTCTAATTTGGTAACAGTGGAATGCTGGGAAGAAGCCCCAGTGTTGGACAGGCATTTTGGTGCATGCCTGAGTTGATCACAGCAAGGCAGTTGTCCCATGTCATTCATGTTACATCACGCATGGGAAAGGTTGCTGGGGGAGATGGCTCAAGCTTGAGTTAGACTGAGTTTAAGACAAGATTGTCACTTAATCCTAAGCCACAAGACAAGACAAAAAGTAAGTGCTATTCAGGCTCCGTACTAATGATTTTTAACTAGGGATGGGCATCATAGTCAGCAGTAGACTTTTACACTACCAATTTTTCCCCATCTAATCTCAGTTTTGCTTTAAAACAAGAAAAAGCATCTGTTTTGCTTGTTTTAACATCACAGGTGACAGTCATGCACAGTGTTTACTAAGAATAACCAATATATGCACAGTATAACGTTAATAGTGTGATATTATTTGAGGTTAATAAGAGGACTTTCCAATAATACAACTCCCACTGGGCTAATACGGCCCCTAAAATTACAGTAGTCTCTTATTGGCTGAGAATATATTACATGTCCAGGGCAGTCTTAGTATAAGGGAAAGGCTAGAATTAAAAGACCAGGATTCTCTCTTAGTTGTTTAACCTTAGTGAATTCGTTTAACTTCTCAGTTTTTTCCTCTGCAAAATAGGGAATGAAATATATGCTTGCTAGATTACTGGTGTGCTTGGGGACGTACTCTGCAAACTTTAAACTGCCATTTAAAATAAAGAGTTGCTATCTTTCAGTAAAAAAAAAAAACCATTAATTTCTCAGAACCAACTGACTAATTTGAATTCTAGCCTATTACCTAATAAAATGCTGAG
This sequence comes from Homo sapiens, assembly GCF_000001405.40. Classification (NCBI taxonomy): domain Eukaryota; kingdom Metazoa; phylum Chordata; class Mammalia; order Primates; family Hominidae; genus Homo; species Homo sapiens. Next base: position 79,569,954 of record NC_000008.11, read on the forward strand.
AAAACAAGACACGGGTAACTTTGAATTGGGATGGAGGAGATCTCTGAAGTGGGATAATATTTAGGAAGGGAGAACTAAGTATTTCACTCCAATGGGAGCCCCTGAAGTGGAATGGAACAAAATAAGGTGGCTAAAAACAATGTTAGATGCAAGCATTGCCTACTTCTCAGTTTAGCTTCAGATCACCTCAACAAATGGCCCCAAATCAGAATGGCTTACAACTCCCAATAGGTTCATTTATTCTTAAATTATGAGACAGGTATGGAGAGAAAGAGTGAAAATAAGATGTATCTTGGAGTAATGCACTTGATTTGAGATATTTAAGTTTTGTAAGCAGCTCTTCTCTATCAATCTCCATTTGAAATCAGGTTATTTCCATTTTTCATATTTGGAAGCGTACAGCTATAATAGCAGAGTCAGAGGAGGAATTTTGTGGATACAGGAAAAATAAAACTGAATTGCTCTTCTAATTGCCCTACAGACTTAGCCTATATAAATAATTATTCATAATCTTCTTTTATTCTGTAGTGTAATAATTTATTTTTCTTTTGATGGCAGTGACATAGGTTCATTTATTGAGGCCGTAATGATGAAAATGAAAACCCAAAAAAAGATGAGCTTATGCACTAGAGAAAAAAAGCATTTGAATAGTTAAAATACTAAACAGTAGAGGTAAAGGTTTTTTCTTTCCTTTCAAGCTTTCAAAAATGTTATGTGAAGGTGAATCTTGTGCACTTAGATTCAAGAGAAAGAATGAAGATGTTGATTTGGAGGAAATCACACAATTCTTTTATATTTTCTACTACACAAAGCTAAAACCTATATGCCTTCATACTAAAATAACTTTATGGCAATGCTGAACATTTTTCAAATAATTAATAAATTATTTACTAACCTCATGAAGCAGTATTTTTTCCTCCATACATTTCTTTACCCTACAAATCACTAAAATATGCTTTTTATCTTTTTTCTCATTTCCTACAACAAACATAATGGCATATATTTCTTTCTTATTTAATACATTTAAGAACAATGATAAAAGACACCTGACCAGGTATATTGTCCAGCTATTCTAAATTGAACAGACTGAGACTTGGAGCTGTCATCTAGCTAAGTGGTTTTTTTGTTTGTATGTTTGTTTTCAGTGGAAAATAACTTTTATTGAGACCCCACCAGCTGCAAAATCTGTTCCTGGCATTAAGTTCCTTCTTCCTTTGCAATTTGGCCTTTCTTGAGTGCTCCCACAAATGCTTTCTTCTCCTCCATGGTCTGGAAGCAGCCATGGCCAAACTTGGAGGTGGTGTCAATGAACTTAAGGGCAGTCTTCTCCAGAGCCTGTCATTTGGTCTGCACCAGCAAGGACTTGTGGAGGGTGAGCACTCGTTTCTTGGTTACAACCACACAGCCTTTCAGCATGACAAAGTCATTGGTCACTTCACCATAGTGGACAAAGCCACCCAGAGGGTTGATGCTCTTGACAGACAGGTCATAGTCAGTGGAGGCATTGTTCTTGATCAGTTTGCCACCCTTGATAAGGTAGCTCTGGCCAATCTTATAGATCTTCTTGTTGATCTTAGTGCAGTGATGGTACTCTTTCTGCCCAGTGCGTGCCCCAGAGAAGGCCACACGGTCAGGATGCCATGCCTCAATACAGGCCACCTTACAGAGGCCTCAGCGGATCTTGCGGGACAGCTTCTTGGTGTGCCAATGACTGGTGACCCCTTTGTAGCCTTTGCTCTTTGTCACCCCAATGACATCAATCATCTCGTCCTGCCCAAACACCTGGTTCACAGGTACCTGCTGCTCAAGCCTCTCGCGGGCCCAGTCCAGCTTCTCAGCCACAGTGCCTCTGTTCACCTGGATCTCCATCACATGAGCCTTCTTGTGGTGCAGAGGAAGCACCACATCTGGTTGTGGGTAATGATATGGATGACTTGGCAGTACTTCTTCATGCTGCTGAAGTCCTTCTCCAGCTGCTTCTTGCCGTCCTCATCCAGCCATTTCTTGCAGTACTTGGTGAAGGCCTTCTTCTTAGATTTATGCCAATTCTTATAGAAATGCCTCTTGCACTCATCACTGATGTGCTCAGTGAAGACGGTCTTGAAGGTCCAGAGGCCTCGAGGGGTTCCCACATAGCCCACAATGCCCGCAACCACCATGGTTATCTCCACAATGGTCACAGCCTCTACCACCTCCTTCTTGTTCACCTTGGATCCTGGCCTGTCGACTTCCCACACGATGTGGGTCATGCCAGCCTTGTATCCCAGGAAGGCTATGAGGTGGACCAGCTTGGAAGGGTCCTCTTTAGGGAAGCTCTTCACCTTCCTGTGATGCCTCCTGCTGCACTTCTGAGGCAGGAAGCGGAGGGACCCATGTCTGGGACCACGTCTTGAGACAGAGTCTTGCTATGTTGCCCAGGCTGGAGAGCAGTGGCATGATCTTGGCTCACTGTAACCTCTGCCTCACAAGTTCAAGTGATTCTCCTTCCTCAGCCTCCTGAGTAACTGGGACTACAGGCTCCTACAACCATGCCTCGCTAATTTTTTTTATATTTTTAGTAGACAGGATTTCACCACGTTGGCCAGGCTGGTTTTGAACTCCTGACCTCAAGTGATCCGCCCACCTTGGCCTCCCAAAGCGCTAGGATTACAAGAGTGAGCCACTGCGCCCAGCCAGCCAAGTGGTTGTGTTACCTTCTGGGGATGTTCTGCAAATGTGCATTGTTTTACTTGTCTTGATTCTCTGCCTAGATGTTTATAAATAACCCAGGATCATTAAACCAAACACAATAAACAGACAAATGAATAATCAATAACAATATAGTATGATAGATAATGTAATAAAAGTGCTGTAAGATTAAACAATATTGTCACATCACATTGTGAGGGCAATCAGGGACTTGCTTGTGTACTATGTCCAATGAAGGAGATGCATATTAGTTTTCTGTTGCTGTATAGCAAATAACCACAAGCTTAGCAGCTTAAAACAATACCCACTTGTTGATTTCACAGTTTCTATGGGTCAGGCATCCAGACCTAACTTAACTGGGTCCTCTGCTCAGGGTCTTAACCTAGATGTTGGCTGGGCTGCATTCTCATCAGGAGCTTGAGATGCTCTTCCGAGCTCATGTAGGTGTTGGCAGAATTCCATTTCTTGTAGCTGTAGGGTTGAGGTCCCCATTTTCTCGCAGGCTGTCAGCCAGGAGGTACTCTCAGTTCCTAGAGGCTGCCCACAGTTCTTTGCTACATAATCCTCTCATCGGGTGTCTCACAACATGGATGTTTACTTCGTTAAGGCCATTGGGAGTATTTCTTTTACCAGTCTGTTAGAACAGAGTTTTATAAAACTTGATGTAACCACAGAGGTAACTCTCCCATCACCTTGGCTTCCTACCAAGAAGGAAAGTGAAATGAAAATCAAAGTTTGGAAGATGGTAATAGTGGTGTCAGGAAGGAATACGGATGTAAAGAAAGAAATCAAGTTAAAAGATAATGGGATTTTACCAAAGAAAGGAGTTTTCCATTAGAAAGATCAAAAATAGAATAAAGAGAGCTAATCTATACATCAATAGAGTGAGAGATTTGCGTGAAGCAGACTTCTAAAAGCTTAGAAAAGAAAAAAATAATGAGAACTTGGGGGAAAATGTCCTTTATCTGAGGAATATTTTTCATTTTCTATAAAGTGGAAATTTTCTCCAGGCATTTATAGCTGTAAACATTATGGTTTTGTTTCAAAACCAAATTAGGAATAATATATTTCAATATTCATTCACTAAAAGTAAATTTAGATCTAACTTTACACGATATTAAACATTATGTACATTTTTATTTTCCCAAAATAATGATAGCTACTTATCAAGTACCTACCATATACTATGCACTGAGCTTTGTAAACATTGCCTCAATTCTTACAGCCCTTAAAAATATTAATATACATATTTTACAGGTAAGAAAGTTGAGATGCCAGGATATAAGGTCAAACTCCACAGGAGCTCAATTACCATTGTATTCCAAGTGAGCTACACATCCAGGATTTGTACAACCTGGTCATATCAAGTGACTTGTCCACATTCTCCCATCTAATGAGAAGAGGAAGCTCAGGCCTTCTGGCTCCAAAGCCTTCTCTCTCTTTATACTGAACCAAAAAGTAAATTTCCATTGATTCAAAATTCCAGGAAATTCTACATTTCTGATTTGAGCTGCGGTTTTGTAGAGTTACTTCTTTATTGGGTATTTATTAAGCCTTTACTATTTGCCAGACACAGTATTTGGTATTCCATGTGTTATTTCACTTAATCGTCACAGCTTTCTGAGGTACTTACTATCATTACTTCCATTTCACATACAAGAAAACTGAGGTGACTTAGGTTTGTAAACATGCTCATAACATTCAGGCAATAATTGGTAGATTCAAGATTGAACTCAGTTGTCCCTGACTCATTCTGCATAGCTAATCTGAGGAACCATGGGAGACAACACACACTGCTCAGTTGACTTCCCTACAACGGTTAATCTGAAATTATCTTCACATTTATCGCTTTCCTATTAAAAACTATCATGATACTTTGCAATGATTTATCATCACTCATCAGATTTTATAGTCACCTCCACACAGATCTGTGGTTGATTAAGTAACTCAATTTGGAAGACATTTCAGTGATGAAAAGTGCTAAGTGTTTCTATGAATAATAATTAGCATGGTACTTCAACTAAATTATGTATGTGAGTATTGGGAATCAATCAGCAGAGGCGGGTCAGGTTTTGATGACCAGAACCAGATAAGATGGATTAGTCAGGGCAGCACAGATGACTAAAGCAGACATTGGCTGCAAAAAATGAATAAATAAATAAATAAATAAATAAATAAATAAATAAAAACTTATTGAGCACCTAGCCTGTACTAAGCACCATGCAAGATCCTGAAAACACAATGCTGAATAAGACAGACACAATCTCTGCCCTCATGGATCTTACACTCTAGAACTTAGCATCATCAGAGTCATCCCAGCTTGATGGAGTATGCTGCCATGGAACTCTTGTAATAGGCAATCAGACCAGTGGAATGCAAGTACATGGCCATGGTGCCTGTGATCCAGAGCCTGCCCTCAAGCCCCTGGGAGCGTTGAGATGGGGCAAAGCAGGGTTGCAGTACTGGAAAGAACCACGACAAAGGCACGTGGGAATATTTCAGGGATTCGGATACTGAAATAAGACAGTAACCTGCCTACAGGAAGTAGGCAAGAGTTTGATACTGCAAATAAATCAGGGCCTGATCATCAGGAAGGTTAAGGTAAGCTTGGTCTTCAGGACTAGGTTTATTTGTTTGTTTGTTTGCTTTGTTTACTTTTTTTATTTATTTTTTATTTTTTATTTTGAGACGGAGTCTCACTCTGTTGCCCAGGCTGGAGTCTAGTGGTGCGATCTCGGCTCACTGTAATTCTCCCTGCCTCAGCCTCCTGGGTAACTGGGATTACAGGTGCCTGCCACAAAGCCTGGCTAGTTTTTGTCTTTTTAGTAGAGCCGGGGTTTTGCCATGTTGGCCAGGCTGGTCTTGAACTCCTGATCTCAGGTGATCCACCCGCCTCAGCCTCCCAAAGTGCTGGGATTACAGGCATGAGTACCGCGCCTGGCCAGGGCTAGGTTTCTTAAAGCCCCATGCAGTCTACTAGAAACAGAAATGACCCCAGAGCCTGAGGGGTGTGTTAGCCTGTGTTCTCCCATCCAGTAGCTTCTGCTATGGGAACTGGAGAGGGAGTCAGATCGGCCATCTCACTTTCCCATCGGCCATCTCACTTTCCCAGGCTGTTTTCTCTCTAAGATGACTCACTACATCTGCATAGCCATACTGAGATCCTGCCACCACCTTACGTCCCCAACCAAAAGTTATCCAAACAATAGTCTCACATAGAACATTCACCCGTCCTTACCAAAAAGAGCTTTTTTTTTCTCTAAGCACAAATTAGACTGTATTTCACAAGTTCTCTTGCCCAATAATTCTGTTTGGGAACAATTGCTGCCTTTTTTCCTGAAATCTGGACTCCCAATCTTTGCTTTAAGTAGTGAACTTGCTTTAAAAAATAAAACAATCCTGACAAAGTGCACACACAGCTGTGTGCTGCCTTGGATTGCAGGGGGCCTTCATGACCTGCTCAGTTCTCTGACTTGCATTCTTATCAGGGAGTCAATTTCTTCAAAGGTCCAAATTCATTTCCTTCTGTTTCTATGATTAATCCCTTTTATTCTGTAGAAGGCAATGGCTTTTTTTTTCTTTTGACATGCTTTCATTAGTTTTTCAGGACATAATCAGGGAGTCATTTTCCTTCAGTAATGCTATGTATATGCCTGTAGGCTATAATACCCTATGGTGAAAGGCACAAATTGCACATATTTGATCAAACAAATTAGAACTACTGTCTCTTGCAGAGAGATGTGATATTTTTCCAAAGGATAAAATTTTAGAACAGGATGCCTCTGGTACCACCTACTGCAATTTTTTTAATGACATTTCTTCTCAAGATAGTAATTACAAACTCATTTGCATGTAAGCTTGGACCTGTACAATGCCAATGCTGCCAAATATTTAACAATAAGCATTTGTAAATATCTGAAGTTAAGCTGTGTATAAAAAGTAAATTACTTACCTGTGAGCATATGGTAAATATTCAAGAATCAAAATAGTCTACACAATTCCTAATGACTTAACCAATAGCTTACAAAGTTCTTTCAAATGTTTCACAGTATTTTAACCTCAAAATAGAGTAGAGTTATTGATATAGTTTGAATGTTTGTCCCTTTCAAATCTCATATTGAAATGTAATCCCCCCGTGTTGGAAGTAGGGTCTGGAGGGAGGTGTTTGGGTCTTGGGGGCGGATCCCTCATGAATAACTTGGTGTCCTCCCTGCAGTAATGAGTTCACATGAGATCTGATTTTTTAAACGAGCTGGCACCTCCCCTTCTCTTTCTTGTTCCCACTCTCACCGTGTGATACACTGGCTTCCCCTCACCTTCTGCCATGATTGTAAGCTTCCTGAGGCCCTCATCAGAAGCAAATACCGGTACTATGCTTCATGTACAGCCTGCAAAATCATGAGCCAATTAAACCTCTTTTCTTTTAAATTACTCAGTCTCGGGTATTCCTTTATAGCAACACAAGTGGACTAACAGAGTCATGATGCCCATTTGTCAGCAACATGCTCATGTATATGTGTATGGACCCTGACTATAACCCACATCTTCTAACCTCAAGTTCAATTTTCCTCTCCCCAGTGGACCATACTCAAAAGCTGTCGTCTATTTTATTCCTCAACATGTTTCTGTCCTGTATGGAAACTATGTTACATTCTGCATTTTTAAATATCTTTTTCTTTAGAAGGTTTGTTCACAAAAGAAAAGTTGCTTCCAAATGGCAACTTAGTTATCACTTTAGTGACATGCATACCAGTGAAGATGCAATCTACAGTCCTTTGCAATCTTCTTGCTAGGCTCTTTAACATTTTCCATATGTGGACCTCCTTATTACTATAAAAGAATTTCAGAGAAATTCAGACTTACAGAGATAGGTAAGAATGTAGATTAGAATGGGAAGTTACCTACATGAAAACAGAAATAAAGCATGGCAGTGTGGTAAATTACTGTTATCCTGAGAGTGGTTGAGAAAGTTAAGGTAATTTAGGACAAAATCATGACCCAACGGACCCTGAAAATATTGAATCCTTTATAAGAATACTCAGATGATTACCTCTTTTCTAGGTTGAAAATTTTTATATCAAAATAGATGCTTAAGTATACCCAAATTTTACCTGTTTAATGATATTAAGAAGTAATATCTATCAAGCACTTAAACATACCAGGTACTAATGTTCCATGAGTTTTTACTCTGAATTATCCTGTTTAATCCTCAAGACATCCTTTAGGGCTGGGCACGTGGTGGCTTACACCTGTAATCCCAGCACTTTGGGAGGCCAAAGCAGGCAGATCATGAGGTCAGGGGTTTGAGACCAACCTGGCCAACATGGTGAAACCCTGTCTCTACTAAAAATACAAAAATTAGCTGGAGGTGGTGGCACATGCCTGTAATCCCAGCTACCCAGGAGGCTGAGGCAGGAGAATCACTTGAACCCGGAGGCGGAGGTTGCAGTGAGCCTAGACTGCCTAGACTGGGCCATTACACTCCAGTCTGGGTGACAGAGCAATACTCCATCTCAAAAAAAAAAAAAAAAAAAAAAAAATCCTTTAAGATAGGTACTGTTAGCCCAATTGTGTTTTAGTAGATGAGGAAATTAAGACACAGAGTAGTTAAGAACATTGTTGAAAGTCATATTGTTAATGAATGACATTGCCTGGACTTGATCCAGGATGTTATATATTGAGTAGATAACCAGGCATTTTTAAAGAATTAAAAGTGAAATTGCCCAAATGAATTAAAATACAAAAGAATATAAATTTCATAAAAAAAGAAACTTGTGTACATCTGAACTCAATACCTGAATAGGAGGAATTTAAGACACTGGAAAGATAAAGACATATAGGTGGTTTCTAACAGGAGATTAAAGAATAGGCAGACAACGCTGCAAAAGGCTTTGCATAAACTATAGAGAAAATAAGTCTATAAATAGGTTCGTTTGTTATGTTTTTGAGTATGAATAATTGGGAGAACAACATTGCTGAATTCCTGTTAGAAATCACATATAGACAACCTAGGATGATGACGAATGACCATCAATGGAAGCCTCAGCTTTGCAATTCTGAACAATGATTTTAAAAAAATCATTATTCTCCCCTTTCCCCATATTTTCCTCTCCCCATCCCAAGCCTCTGATAATCACTTGCTTGATTGAATCTTTCTACAATCGATACATAAAGAAAAACATCACATTGTACTCCATAAATATATACAATTACTATTTGTCAATTTAAAATAAAGAATAAATAATTTTTTAAAAATTTAAAAATTATCTCTCACACACACATACATGTGCACACACACATAATGCAGTTTGCATTTTTATTCTAATTGCCAATATTCATAACTTGATCAATGGTCAAATACTTGTCCCTCCAACTCTTCTATTTTCTTTCTATTCCCTTATGTATTCATATCAGAATGAGACCTTGCAGCCATGAAAATCAGGTACATTAACTTTAGTACATTTCAACAAAAATACATCAAAAAACTTCTTTTAAGCAATGCCAGTATGCCATACTCACACAAAAAAATAAACATATAACGAGAAACTTTATTATGTATTATTTACCAAAGGCCTCTATGTGCTGGGCCCTTTATAAGCATTATTTCTAATACTACATGTAACATACATGTTTATGCACTTTAACTTGAGGAAGCTAAGAATCGAAGAAGTTAAAAAGACTTGACCAAGGTCCTAGAGCCAGAACTGTCTGAGTTAGAATTTAAACCCCTTTCAACTGACCCCAAAGACCCAACTCCTGCTGTGGTATGATTCTGTCTTGTCAGTGCATGAAACTCATCAGAACACAGCCACCATCTCTAGGGATTTTTATGACTAGAAAAAAGTCACGTAATAAAATGATTGAGGACACCAAGACAAATTTAGAATTGGAGAAAGAATAAAGATAAAAGGTATCATAGGCTACCCAAGATATATTAATCCATAAGAAAATTGTGTTAAACATATGTCACAAACAAGTTACATTAGGATATTATTTGAACACACATAGTAAACATAGACTAAAATGGCTATCCAGACCCTGAGAGGCACTAAATTGTTGTGGACACATTTTGAGAAATAGACCAGCCAATGCCTTCTTACTGCATGCAAAGAACTTAGAACAGTGTCTGGCTTATAGCAAATGCTATATAAATGTTTGTTGTTGTTTAGCAACTTATTAAAATTGCCTCATTGCAACCTTCAGTAACAGATTCTTGTAGCCCTCATTCTTTCTCTTCCTTGGCCACAGAGAGTGGAAAACTAACTCAAACAAGGCCAGTTGGATTTTCTCTACCAGACGTTTATCTGGAGATTGTTCATTGTCTCTGTTAGCATCAAACTGAGTAGACAATTAGGGGACTGAAAAGGCCATTTTCTACTATGTGTACAAGAACGTCAAACTGCTGAGAGAGAGGAAAATGAAGGAGCAGAGAGAGGGAGAGAGAGAGAATGTGAGAGCAGAAACGCCATATAGGCCCAGAGGGAGAGAGACATACAGGGAGGCTGCAGTGGAGCAGGGCAACCTCACACTTCTGCTTCCAGCTCTCTGTAAGGTCTGACTTCACTTCTCTCGTTGGGTCATTGTACCTTTCAACATATTTTCATTTTTGCTGAAATTATTTGAGTGGGTTTTGGTGACAATCAAATGATTGCTGATTAGAACAAAAATATATATTCCAAAAGAAAGGGAATACTAAGAAAACTTGTAAGAAGCTCAAATACCCACGTTCTAATTTATTTACTTCAGAAGAACCCTCAAGGGTAACTTTAGATTGAAGTTGTTCTTGTAATACCCTGGGTAGAAATGAATTGACTGTGAGGGCCATTGAGTACACTTCAGTAGTTTGAGATTTAGACCTGTGCACTTTCTGAAAGGCTGTCTGGAACATTTTTCTGTAAGCAGTGCTACTGTAATGCACAAGACTGTATCTTGGTGTACTGAAAGGATTAAAGAGTTTCTTATTATTAACAAGCTTTCTACTAAGAAATGAATTGGGTATTGGTCAAAAAAGAGGATTCTAACAAAGACTGCAGTACCTGGATGCTGTTGATGTAACAGCAGAGGAATATTAATACAAATTTTGGAGAGCTTAAGCCTTGTGGGAAACATATGTGAACTGAGAGGAAGAAAATATTTTCCATTTCTTCCAAAGATTCTATATACTTTAGGTCAATACTGATAATGCAAAAAGAAATCTGAGCCTACCTCTAAGCACAATCATGGAGATACTCTGTTCCTTTGGACTTCGTTTGCCTCACAGTCATCATTGTCTTATATAGATCTCTTCTAAGGGAATATGCATGAATCAAAAATAGACTAAGAGCTATATTTTCTTCAGTTTTATGTTCAATGAATTTGCCTAACTCACAAATCCTGTTAGTCTAGTGTAGATGAATCTTCTGTCTCTTTTGAGGTTTACTTCTAATAAATAGGCTGTGATATGAAGTTTGAGTGCGCATGCTTCTGCTGTGGCTATAAAATGGTGAGCGTGATTTCTATTATCCACAACAAAAAACAGTCTTTCCATTACACACACACACACACACACACACACACTATAGTGATTTATATATAATTTTAATGTGCTGAGGGCTACCTCAGCCAGGCTGCAGGAGTTCTTCTAGATTCTAGCTCATCATCAGTAAAGATTTCTTTACCCCCCTCCCTTCCATGAACTTATCTGTTCCACATTTTCTCACCACACTACTGCACCTTTCCAAGGTCCTCTTCCTAGAAATTCTACTCCCAAACCCTAGAATCTCCTTCTTATCCCTTCATACCAGTACAATGATTTCTGTCTTGTAGGACACCACTTCCTAAATTGTGGAAAATAAACTAGTAGCCCGATGAAGAGTCTCCACTCACACCTTTGTGTATTTAGGCAAGCAAGGAGGAAAGGTAAGTTACTGACATCCCAAGTTAGAATTCCAAATGTAATTTTTCAATAGAAGCAATAATATAAATAAAAAATAGATATTTAATGTTATTAGTATTGTTCTTCAGTTTCTTTCACTCATTTTATTAATTTATTGATTTAACAAAACATTTGCTTGTCTTCTGCATTCCAGGCACCACTCATGAGTCTGGGGATAAGATCATATGCAAACAGATAAAATTATGAATGTTTTATGGATTGGTTTTAATACATAAGCATGACATATAACATTGATTCTATAGGAAATTGTGATAACCAACTTACAACATATAAAAATCCTGTCAATTATTTGAGGAATTCATAGATATGTCCATATCTGTGCATATATAAATGCTAATTTCTCAGTCAACAATGTAATAGTCCATTCATTCATAGACATATAGATAAATATGCATCTATCCATATAGTACACCATAGGAACTGGTGTCCAGACCTCAAATCACTGGACATAACCTCATCTCATTTTTCTCCAAGACACCATATCAAATTTCTAAAATGTATTTTAAGTCTAAAATAAAGTTCCAAATCTAAATACTTTTTAGGTTTCTCTATGAATAATGCATAGTTACTAAAGGCATGTGCTTTAGAATCAGACAGACCTGGGTCCAAATCTTAGTATTTTTGTTACTTTGCACAAGTTATTAGACTCTCCCAAGCACTAAACTTCCACTTATTTATATTACCTACTAATGTTTGCCTATTAATATTAAGTATTCACCTATTAATATTAAATGGGAACAACAGTACCTATCTCATAAGGTTGACATGATAATTGAATCAAACCAAATATAAACATTACAAATGTGTATATCTTAAGCCACTAGTACAAGGTAAACATTTTAAAAAATTATACATATTTATATGAAATGGTTATACCTCACTTATTTGTGAGCCAAACATCAGAAAGAACTAATTGATTTGGAATCCAGTTGGAACAATAGGCTCTTCATCCTCTTCTAATGAAAGTACATAGGAACATGAAAGTAGATAAGTCCTATTTTGTAGTTAGGTAATTTTATTTTTCTTTACATCTCTAATTCTTACGATTTTATCATGCTTCATAATATGTGTTTAAATATTCCCTTTTACCAGGCTTGAAGGAGGCAAATATAGTAATTCCATGAATACACTGATATGGTTTGGCTCTGTATCCCCACCCAAATCCCACCTTGAATTGTAATAATCCCCATGTATCAAGGGCAGGACCAGGTGGAGGTAATTGGATCATGAGGGCAGTTTCCCCCATGCTGCTCTCATAATAAGTGAGTGAGTTCTCACAAGATATGATGGTTTTATAAGCAACTGGCATTTTTCCTGCTTGTACTCACTCCATTCTGCTGTACTGTGAAGACGGTGCCTCCTTCTCTTTTGCCTTCTGCCATGATTTTCCTGAGGCCTCCCCAGCAATGCAGAACTGTGAGTCAATTAAACCTTTTTCCTTTATAAATTACCCAGTCTCAGATATTTCTTCATAGCAGTGTGAAAACAGACTAATACAGTATATTGGTACCAGGAGTGGGACGCTCCTATAAGGATACCCAAAAATGCAGAAGCAACTTTGGAACTGGGTAACAGACAGAGGTTGGAAAAGTTTGGAGGGCTCAGAAGAAGACAAGAAAATATGGGAAAGTTGGAACTTCCTGGAAACTTGTTGAATGGTTTTGACCAAGACACTGATAGTTATATGGGCAATGAAGTCCAGGCTGAGGTAGTCTCAGATGGAGATGATGAACTTCTTGGGAACTGGAGTAAAAGTGACTCTTGCTATGCTTTAGCAAAGAGACTGGCAGCATTTTGCCCCTGCCTTAGCAATCTGTGGAACTTTGAACTTGAGAGAGATGATTTAGGGTATCTGGCAGAAGAAATTTCTAAGCAGCAAAGCATTCAAGAAGAAGAACAGAACAGAAAAGTTTGAAAAATTTTGCAACCTGACAATACAATAGAAAAGAAAAATCCATTTTTTGGGTAGAAATTCAAGCCCACTGCAGAAATTTGCATAAGTAATGAGAAACCAAATGTTAATCAACAGGACAATGGAGAAAATGTCTCCAGGGCATGTCAGAGAACATCACAGCAGCCTGGAGGCCTGGAGGGAAGGCTAGAAAAATGGAAGGAGGCCTAGGAAGAAAAAATGGTTTCCTAGGCCAGGCCCAGTTCCCACCTGCTCTGTGCAGCCTTGGAACATGGTGCCCTGCATCCTAGCTGCTTCAGCTCCAGCTCTGGCTAAATGGGGCCAATGTACAACTGGAGCCATCACTTCAGGGGGTGCAGGCCCCAAGCCTTGGGAGCTTACATGTGGTGTTGAGCCTGGATGTCCAGGCAAAAGTTTGCTGCCGGGATGAAGCCCTCATAGAGAACCTCTGCTAGGGCAGTGCAGAAGGAAAATGTGGGGTTGGAGTCCCCACACAGATTCCCCATTGGGGCATTGTCTAGTGGAGCTGTGAGAATATGGCCACCATCATCCAGATCCCAGAATGGTAGGTCCACTTACGGCTTGCATCGTGAACCTGAAAAAGCTGCAGACACTCAATGCCAGCCCATGGAAGCAGCTGGGAGGGGTCCTGGACCCTGCAAAGCCACAGGGGTGGAGCTGTCCAAGGTTGTGGGAGTCCTGAATGTGAGACATGGAATCAAAGGAGATCATTTAGGAATTTTAAGGTTTAATGAGGGCCCTATTGGATTCCAGACTTGATGGGACCTGTAGCCCCTTCATTTTGTCCAATTTATCCGATTTGGAATGGGTGTATTTACCCAATGCCTGTACTTCCATCGTATCTAGGAAGTAACTAACTTGCTTTTGATTTTACAGGCTAAAAGGCAGAAGGGACTTGTCTCAGATAAGACTTCGGACTTTGAGGTTGGGGCTAATACTGGAATGTTAAGACTTTGGGGGACTGTTGGAAGGGCATGATTGTGTTTTGAAATGTGAGGACATGAGATTTGGGAGGGACCAAAAGTGGAGTGATATGATTTGGTTCTGTGTTCCCACCCAAATCTCACCTTGAATTGTAATAATCCCCACATATCAAGGGCAGGGAGCAGGTGGAGGTAATTGAATCATGGGTGCAGTTTCCTCTATGCTGTTCTTGTGATAATAAGTGAGTCTTATGAGATCTAATGGTTTTATAAGCATCTGGCATTTCCCCTGCTTGCACTCACTTCATCCTGCTGCCCTGTGAAAAAAAGGTGCCTTCTTCTCCTTCCCCTTCCACCTGATTGTAAGTTTCCTGAGGCTTCCCTAGCAATGTGAAAATGTGAGTCAATTAAACCTCTTTCCTTTATAATTACCTAGTCTCTGGCATTTCTTCATAGCAGTGTGAGAACAGACTAATACACATACAGACCTGAGAATTCATATGAACACTCCATTCAAACTCCAAAAAAACAGCTAAAAGTCGTATTTTTTTCTTAATTAAATCTTTAAGTCCATTTGACCAAACCTAGGGGTCAGAAATGGATCAAAATGATATATGAATTGTCAAATAACCACTCCGACAAATGATCTCCTTACAGGATTTAGAAATGACATTGATTGAAAAATGGCATGCTATTTATCACATAAGGCTGTTAGCTAAGACATCTTTTTAACACAGCTTTCTAACACCTCTCTCCCCAGGGTAGCATTGCAACATACACCACTAGCCTAGGATTGAGATAGTTCTGAAGGAGAAATACGTTTGTCTGCCACTCTCCCTGAAAAGCTTCTGTGTTGAGGACACAAGTTCGTATGTCTTTGTCCCAGGAATCCGTCCTCTAGATCATTTCTTCAGCTTTTGACATCTGAGGAAAAGTTCTTGTCACTCAAACACCAAGCAGGAAAGAACCAAAACTGATGTTTAATTAACCTTCTTAGTGGAAAATTAAAACGACTCTTTTCCCAGTAATAAGAGTCTTTTTAAACCCTGAGAGAGGGAGCAGTGGAGTCAATTAAAATCAAAAACCTTAGGCAGAAGCAAGAATACCTAACCCCAGGGTTGAAAGTGTTCCATCTAATCTGGCATTGTCAATGCTGGAGGTGGTGATTCACCAAAGGGAGGAAACCTCTTCCTAAGTGGTTGAACTTTTAGGCACTAAATATAAAGAGAATTCAAAGTTTCTCTAATTTCACACAGTACCCTGGCCTTAAATGTGAAGGGCAGAATTCCTTCTTCACCAGAATTTTAAGAATTTATTATCCTTGTGCCCTGCCTTCTGCACAAGTAATTTTACCCCTCCATATTTGTATGTTGTGCTTAATCTACTCAGCTTGATTTGCTAGTCTTTTAGGTCTATCTTGAAAATAAGAATTAGGACAACGCTAATAATATCAAAGTGTAGACATAAAAGAAGCACAATCATTTTGTTTTACCTGCATAGTTTCTTCCATCTTGTTTTTGCAGAATCCATATCCATATATGTATCTTTGCAGATTCTGTGCATAAACCAATAATAACCTGTATATAGAAAAATACATTGAAATAATCTCATTGTATATCTCTTTCTCTCATTAAGCTATAAGATCCTAATTACAGAGTCTGTGTCTTATACATGTTTGTAGCATGACATATGATAATATCTGGAAATTTTACTTCTGTTTTTAATATATTTGCATTTAAATAAGAGCTACCATGAAATATTTATAGAAAATTCAAGGATGAGTTTGGGTTGACACTATTTAAAACGAAGGCAGTTCGTGTCTGTCAAATATTAAAAACAACATCTAGCTCTGATAACCGAAATGTTTGTATGAACTTTTGAACTTGAAAAGTACATCATTTTCTAGGACAGAAGTGGCATTCTAAATCAGTGAGGGAAACGTAGGCACAGTGGCATGCACCTGTAGTCCCAGCTACTCAGGAGGCTGAGGTAGGAGGATTCCTTCAGCCCAAGAATTTAAGGCCAGCCTGGGCAACTCAGTGAAACCCCATCTCAAAACAAAACAAAACAAAAATCAGTGAGTAAAAAATGGATGCTTTAAAATGATGCTTGAGAAAAAAAAGATAAAACTAAATCTTCATTTCAAACTGAAAACAAATAGATCAAAGATCAAAAATGTAAAAATTTTTAAAACCATACAATAGAAAAATAAATGAGAATAAATTTTTTTTATAACCTGAGAGTTGGAAATATATTCCTAGTTCAAAATTTAGAAGCAATAAAAGAAGTAAAGTCTGACTACACTAAATAAGAAATTAAAAATTGGTATAAAAAAAGATTATAAACAAAGACAAAGGACAAACTAAGAAAAAATACATGCAATTTATGTCACAGACAAAGGGATATTTCTATGGTACATAGAAACATGGGTAAAAGATGTGGACAAACAGAACACAGAAGAAATGGAACACATGAGAAGATAATCAACCTAACTCACAAATTAAAATTTAATTAAGAGATCACTTCGCACCTATAAGAATTGCAAAAATCCAAAAATTAGACAATATATTATTTAATTGTCATGGAGCAACCACATGAGTTGGAAATGCAAAAGTGTAATATAAATAGAGGGGGATTTGACAATATCTAGAAAAATTACTTATACATTCTCTTTTTGACTCAGCAATTTCATTTCTAGGAATCTGCCCAAAAAAAAGTAAAACTATGAAGTGTTTTATGCACAAGATTATTCACCATAGAATAATTTTAATACTTAACTGGAAATAATTCAAATGTCCATTAATAGAGACTGGCTAAATAAATTATGGTAAACTAATACTATATAGCCATAAAAAGGAATAAAGAAGAATGCTATACACTGATATGAAATATTCTCTAGGATATACTATTAAATGAAAAAATGCAGAATAGCTTATATAATGTGCTATCTTTATATAAGAAAAAGAATTTGCATTTATTTAGCAAATTACATTTGTAAAGGGAATTTTTTTACTAACCAACAACTGGTTATAAAAAATGAGTAGCTATAAAAAGAGAAAAGAAAGAGAATACAAGGAATTGCAATTGAACCAAAAGCCCTAAAATATGAAAACAAAGCAAAAACAAGCTAATTGTTTATCAAATTAGAGATATAAACACAAAAAAATTCTTTTTTTTATTATACTTTAAGTTTTAGGGTACATGTGCACATTGTGCAGGTTAGTTACATATGTATACATGTGCCATTCTCACTCATAGGTGGGAATTGAACAATGAGATCACATGGACACAGGAAGGGGAATATCACACTCTGGGGACTGTGGTGGGGTGGGGGGAGGGGGGAGGGATAGCACTGGGAGATATACCTAATGATAGATGACGAGTTAGTGGGTGCAGTGCACCAGCATGGCACAAAAAAATTCTTTACATAGTATTTCTATTTTTTATATTTAGTGGAATATAATATATTTCATAGAGTTTGCAAGAAATCTTAACAGCAGCCTAATCATTAATCATAACATTGTTAATTTTATTTTGATATTCTATACATATTAGAATAATGCAAATATATAATTAAATTTAATGTTAAGTAAAATTTGATTTCACCTAAAATTTAATCATTCCATTAATAATTTAATATTTGATTTCACCTAAATTTAATATTGTATTAAAATTAATATTTTAATATCATTACATAAATTAATATTACAAGTAAAACTTAATATTATTAAGCAATAAAATATCCATGTAAGAGAAAAGCAATAAAAGTATATAATCAAAAAGTTGAATTAATCATATCACCAGACCAGCATTATCCTAATACCAAAGCCAGAGAAAGACAGAAAAGAAAATTACAGACCAATATTCCTGATGATAAGCATAAATGCAAACATACTCAACAAAATACTAGCAAACCAAATTCAACAGCCCATAAAAGGATTATACACTCTGACCAAGTGGGACTTATTTCTGGGATGCAAGGATGGTACATGGTACAATGCATGCAAATCAATATATGTGATACACTATATTAATAGGATGAAGGACAAAAATCATATGATTATCTCAACAGACGCAGGAAAAGCATTTGACAAAACTCAACAGCCTTTCATGATGCAAACTGTCAACAAATTAGATATAGAAGGAGTGTTCCTGCATATATTAAAGCTACATATGACAAGCTCATAGCTATCATCAGAATCAGTGGCACAAAGTGGGAAGGTTTTCCTCTAATATCAGGAACAAGACAAGAATACTCACTCTCACCACTTCTATTTAACATAGTAGTGGAAGTCTTAGCCAGAATAAGGAAGCAAGAAAAAGATAAAATGCATCCAAATTGAAAGGAAATAAATAAAATTGTCTCTGTTTGGAAATGACATTATTTTATATATAGAAAATCCTAAAGACTTCACTGAAAAATTATTGGAACTAATAAACTAATTTTGTAAAGTTTTAATATACAAAATCAACACACAAAAAGTAGTAACATTTCTGTATACTAACAATCAACTATCCAAAAAAGAAATCAATAAAACAATTCAGTTTATAATAGCATCAAAAATAAAATAAAATACTTAGAAATGAATTTAACCAAGTAGATGAAACATCTATACACTGAAAACTACAAAACATTGATGAGAGAAATTGAAGAAGTAACAAAGGGAAAGTTATTTTGTGTTCATGATTAGAAGATTTAATATTGTTAAAATGTCTATACTGTAATTTTAATGTACAGATTCAATGCACTCCCTATCAAAAATTTTAATGGCATTTTTCACAGAAATAGAAAAAAAATTCTAATATTCATAGGGAGCCACAAAGGACTCTAAATAGTCAAAGCAAACTTGAGCAAAAATAACAACGCCAAAGGCATCACATTACCTGATTTCAAAATATACTTCAAAGCTACAGTAATCAAAAATACTGGCCTAAAAACAGACATGCAGACCAATGGAAAAATATAGAGACCCAAAAATAAACCCATGCATTAATGTTCAATTGATCTTGAACCAAGCTGCCACATGATGAAGCTTTATGGGAAAGAGACACACAATAGGGAAAGGATAGTCTCTTTCAAATGATGTTGGGAAAACTTAATATTCACATGCAGAAGAATGAACTTGGACCTTTATCTCACATCATCCACAAAAGTCAACTCAAAATGGATTAAAAATCTAAATATAAGACCTGAAACTATAAAACTACTGAAAGAAAACAAAGGGGAAATATTCCTTGACACAGGCCTAGTCAATGATGTTTTATAATATGACTACAAAAACAAAGGCAACAAAACAAAAATACACAAATAAGATTGCATCAAACCAAAATCCCGCAAAGCAAAGGAAATAATCAGTAAAGACAGTTGGAGAAAATATTGGATTTCCTATGGAATGAGAGAAAATATTACACACCATATATCTGATAACAAGTTAATACACAAAATATATAAATAACCAACTCAATAGCAAAAAAAGCAAATAACATGATTTTTTAAATGGGCAAGGAACCTTAAAAGGCATTTCTCAAAAAAAGACATACAAATGAACAGGGATATGAAAAAATGGTCAATATCAGTAAATACCAGGAAAATTATATCAAAAAACTGTGAGATATCATTTTACACTTGTTAGAATAGCTGTTATAAAAAAGATAAAAGATAACAAATATTGGCGAGCATGTGGAGAAAAGAGACCCCTTTTACACAGTTGGTGGAAATGTAAAATAGTACAATCACTAAGGAAAATAGTACAAATGTTTCTCAAAAAATTAAAAATAGAACTACCCTATGATCCAGCAATCCCACTACTGGGTATATATCCAAAGGAAATGGAATCAGTATATCAAACAAGTATCTGCACTCTCATGTTCATTATAGCATTATTCACGATAGCCAAGATATTGAATCAACCGAAGGGTACATAAATAAGTGGATATAGAAAACATATTGTATATATACAATGGAATATTATTCAGCCTTAGAAAATAAAGAAATCTTACCATTTGTGACAACATGGAGGAACCTAGACACCTTATGTCACCTGACATAAGCCAGGTACAGAAAAACAAATACTGCATGATCTCAGTTATATGTGGAATGTAAAAAAGTTGAATCCGCAGAATCAGAAAGTATTGGTGACTTTATCAGAATTGTTGCCAGGGGCTGGAGGTGGAGGGTTGGAATAGAGAGATGGTCAGATGGTACAAAGTTTCAGTTAGAATGAATAAGTTCTGGAGACCTATTGTACAGCATGGTGATGATACTTAATAATACTATATTATACACTTGAAAATTGCTAAGACGGCCGGGCGCGGTGGCTCACGCCTGTAATCCCAGCACTTTGGGAGGCCGAGGCGGGCGGATCACGAGGTCAGGAGATCGAGACCATCCCGGCTAAAACGGTGAAACCCCGTCTCTACTAAAAATACAAAAAATTAGCCGGGCGTAGTGGCGGGCGCCTGTAGTCCCAGCTACTTGGGAGGCTGAGGCAGGAGAATGGCGTGAACCCGGGAGGCGGAGCTTGCAGTGAGCCGAGGTCCCGCCACTGCACTCCAGCCTGGGCGACAGAGTAGACTCCGTCTCAAAAAAAAAAAAAAAAAAAAAAAAAAAAAGAAAATTGCTAAGACAGTAGATATTAAGTGTTCTCACCACAAAAAAGAAAGATAAGCATGTGAGGTGATGGATACGTTAAGTCGCTTGATTTAATAATTTTACAATATTCTTGGAATCTTCAAAAAGTTCATGGAAATGCATATTACAAAAAAACTAAGCATGGAAATGTTTATGTACCAAAATAAATTCGTACAAACTTGTTATAACTTGTCTGAATAAGCTCTAGTTCGAGGCAGTAAGAATAATTCATCAGTTGAAAAGAGCCCCTATCACAGCAATATGGATTCTGCTAAAATTAAAGTAAGAACAAACATCAAATTTGTGGTGAAGCTTGGGTGGGAGAATGATGAAATCACTGATGCTTTACAAAAAGTTTACAGAGACAACGCCTCAAAGAAATCAGCAGTTTACAAATGAATAACCTGTTTTAAGAAGAGACAAGATGATGAGGATGAAATCCGCAGTAGCAGAACATCCACATCCATTTGTGAGGAAAAACTTAATCTTGCTCATGCCCTAATTGAAAAGAATTGATGATTAATGCCAGAAAAAATAGCCAACACCACAGACATACCAGTTGGTTCAGCTTACACAATTCTGACTGAAAAATTGAAGTTGAGCAACATTTTCTTCACTGGGTGCCAAAACTGTTGCACCCAGATAGTTGCAGAAAAAAGCAGAACTTTCTACGGAAATTTTAAACAAGTGGGATTAAGATCCTGAAGCATTTAATTGAAGAATTGTAGCAAGAGATTAAACACTGCTTTACCAGTATGATCCTGAAGACAAAGCACAATCAAAGCAATGGCTACTAAGAGGTGGAAGTGGTCCAGTCAAAGCCAAAGAGGACCAGTCAAAAGCAAAGGCCATGGCAACAGTTTTTTGGAATGCTCAAGGCATTTTGCTTGCAGACTTTCTGGAGAGCTAAAGAATGTAACATCTGCTTATTATGAAAGTGTTTTGAGAAAGTTAGCCAAAGCTTTAGCTGAAAAATGCCTAGGAAAACTCCACCAGAGAGTTCTCCATCATGACACTGGTGCTCCTGCTCCTGCTCATTTCTCTCATCAGACAAGGGGGCTATGTTGCAAAAGTTTCATTGGGAAATTATTAGGTATCCACCTTACAGTCCTGATTTGACTCCTTCTAAATTCTTTTTGTTTCCTAATCTTAAAAAAATCTTCAACTGGCATCCATTTTCTGCAGTAAATAATGTGAAAAAGAATGCATTGATAATGCTAACTTCCCAGGACTCTCAGTCTTTAGGAATGGACTAAATAGCTGGTATCATTGCTTACAAAAGTGTCTTGAATTTGATAGAGCTTATGTTGAGAAGTAAGGTTTGCACTTTTTATTTTTATCTTTATCTTTTAATTTCATTTTCCACAAACTTTTAAAGTCCCCTCATACATATAATAGAACATCACATTGTACACCATAAATATATACAATGTTTATTTATCAATTATGATTTAATAAAGCTGGGAAAATTTTAATTTTACTTAAAATATTTTAATATTAATTCTGAATTTTAATTAATATTGAATTAATATTTGAATTTGAAATATCATTATAAATCCGTGATTTTTTTCTTTTTTTAGAAAATACAAATTTCCTAGCTCTGTCCACTGAAGAGGTCTAGAGGCCTCTTGAATGACAACCAAATAACACTAATTCTCTAAATACCATTCCCTACTAAAAGAATTCAGGGCCTTCAAAAAATAGTGGATTCTAAGTGTGTATCTGGAAATATACAAGATGAACATTTTGTTATCCCAAAAATCAAGTAAGTTATGAAGGTCAAAGGGTCATTTCCAAAGACAACACAAGCCAACATGAAAGAATGACCCTTGGGCAAATTTGAAATGATTTTAATATCAGAAATAATAATGAATGTAATAGTTTAAAACACATTGAATATAGATATGTTAAATGAGTAAATAATAATAATAAAGAGAGAAAGTAAAAAACAAAACCTACTTACTAAACAGCATTTTTAAATTTAAAAAACATCAATTAGAAGGATGAAATTAAGGGTCCATTCTTACTCTATTAACTATATTTCAGAGTAACAAAATAACTCTGCTTCATGAAGGACAATTCTTCTCTACGGATTGATGTGGGGGAAATTATAGAATTCTTAACACCACATTTTATTACTCCAAATAAAATAATCAATTCAATCATCATCAATAGATGAATCATTAGATTATGGGGAACTTTACAATGGAGGGATCAGGCCATCACCACCCATAACCTGCTGATCATTCTTAGCATCACAAAAATATGGACAATTCATGATTCTTAATTTGTTAATTTTTGCCAAAATTTTTGAAGGAATTATAATTAAGGATATGATACATTCTTGGCTTAACTAGAATAGAGATACTAAAAGCCACACTCCAGTAGCCACTATCTAGAAATTTATATACCACACATATTCTACAATCAACAAGATTTCTTGAAGATCCCATAAAACTGAAAATGCCTTCTCTGATAATTCCCAGTCAACTCCCAGACAGACAGCTCTCCCTGAGATTTTTCAGCCAAGAAGAAGAAAGGAAACTTTTTCATGAAAGAGTCCATACTCACCAAAGCAATCTACAGATTCAGTGCAATTCTTATCAAAATACCATCATCATTCTTCACAGAACCAGAAAACAACAATACTAAAATTCATACAGAACCAAAAAAGAGCACCCACAGCCAAACCAAACCTAAGCAAAAGGAACAAATCTGGAGGCATCACATTACCCAACTTCAAATTGTACTATCAGGTGGCCGGGCGCAGTGGCTCAAGCCTGTAATCCCAGCACTTTGGGAGGTCGAGGCGGGCGGATCACGAGGTCAGGAGATCGAGACCATCCTGGCTAACATGGTGAAACCCTGTCTCTACTAAAAATACAAAAAATTAGCCGGGCATGGTGGCGGGCACCTGTAGTCCCAGCTACTTGGGAGGCTGAGGCAGGAGACTGGCTGAACGGGAGGTAGAGCTTGCAGTGAACTGAGATCGCGCCACTGCACTCCAGCCTGGGAGACAGCGAGACTCTGTCTCAAAATAAATAAATAAATAAATAAATAAATAAATAAATAAATAAATAAATAAAACTACCAGGCTATTGTTGCCAAAACAACATGGTACTGGTATAAAAATAGGCACACAGACTAATGGAACAAGATAAAGAACCCAGTAAAGCCAAACACTTAACATTCAACTGATCTTCGACAAAGCATACAAAAACGTAAATTGGGGAAAGATTACCCTATTCAGAAAATGGTCCTGGGAAAACTGGCAAGCCACCTGTAAAAGAATGAAACTGGATCCTCATCTCCTTATACAAAAATCAACTCAAGATGGATCAAAGACTTAAATCTAACACCTGAAACCAAAAAATTATAGAAGATAACATTGGAAAAACTCTTCTAGACATTGTCATAGGCAAAGAATTCATGACTAAGACGCCAAAAGCAAATGCAACAAAAACAAAAATAAATAAGTGGGGCCTAATTAAACTAAAAAGCTTCTGCACAGCAAAAGAAATAATCGGCAGAGTAAATAGACAACCCACAGAGTGGGAGAAAATATTTGCAAACTATGCATTCAACAAAGGACTAATATCTAGAATCTACAAGGAACTCAGACAAATCAGCAAGTAAAAAACAAATAACTGCATCAAAAAGTGGTCAAAGGGCATGAATAGACAATTCTCAAAAGAAGATATACAGACAGCCAACAAACATATGAAAAAATGCTCAGCATCACTAATTATCAGGGAAATCCAAATTAAAACTACAATGAGATACTACCTTATTCCTGCAAGAACGGTCGTAATTAAAAACTTAAAAAACAATGGATGTTGGCATGAATGTAGTGGATAGGGAACACTTTTACACTGCTGGTGGGAATATAAATTAGTACGACTACTATGGAAAACAGTATGGAAATTCCTTAAAGAACTAAAATGATCTACCATTCGATCCAGCAATCCCACTACTGGGTATCTACCCAAAGGAAAAGAAGTCATTATATAAAAACCACACAGACACATGCATGTTTATAGCAGCACAATTTGCAATTGCAAAAGTATTGAACCAACATAAGTGCCTATCAACCAATGAGTAGATAAAGAAAATGTGGTATATATACACCATGGAATACTACAAAGCTATAAAAAGGAACAAAATAATGTCTTTTGCAGCAACTTGGATGGAGCTGGAGGCCATTATTCTAAGTGAAGTAACTCGGAAATGGAAAACCAAATATCGTATGTCCTCACTTATAAGTGGGAGCTAAGCTATGAGGATGCAAAGACATATGAATGATATAATAGACTTTGGGGACTCAAGGGGGAAGGTTAGGAGTGGAGAGAGGGATACAGGACTACATATTGGGTACAGTGTACGCTACTTGGGTGACAGGTGCACTAAAATCTCAGGAATCACTACTAAAGAACTTATAATCCAAAAACTATTGAAATAAAAATAAAATTTCCTAAAATAAAAAGATAGTTAAAAAATAAAAAAGAGCAAAAAGCAATAAAATATGATACAGAAAAACAGCAGAGAAAACCAACAAAACCAAACGCAAGAACTGTCAAGAAAAAGAGAACAGACACAAGGTACCAATGTCAAGAATGAAAGAGGAAACATAAATAGAAATCCTCTTACAGATATTACAAGGATAATAAGGAAGTAATATAAACATTTGCATCCTTGAAAAACAAATAACTCTATTTGTTGATAATTGTATGATTATGCTGGAAGGGGAATGCAGATGGAATATAACTAATTTGTTCTGGCTTTTCTGAAGCTTCATGATCTCCCATGAAATTTGAACTTTTTGACTGCATGATTTTTTCTCCTGTCTTCAGAAAAGAAATAGGGAATTCCACAGAAATACACAAAATAAGCCAAATTAAGGCATAAGGAAAGCTTTTAGTGTCAACAAAAATTTAAAGTTGAGCCCCTGGCTTGACTTAGGGAAGTCTACTGGAAAAGTACTAGAAAGCAGCATATAATGAAAGAGGGGGAAATCTCAATGTCTCTGGGAGTGTGATAAGGTTCTTCAACAGAGTGAGCAATGAGATATGTTTCAAACAAACACATTGCCATACCTTTGCCTATTCCAGAGAATATTAATAAATTATAAATTATCTCAAATTGAGAGGGGCGCCTATTATATGATTGGCTTCTAAAGCCCTTACGTAAACTAGCCTAGAGAAACAAAAACTCCAAGAAAGCAAAGTAGAAAATACTTTTAAAATCCTGGTTATTTAAGAACCGTAGGAACTAAAATTCATAGGAAGAAAAAGAAGGAGTTTGAGTTTTAACTGTGAATCCCACTAATGGGGATTTAGTTGCTAAGTCGCAATATAAAAAGAAAATAAATACCAGTTTATGTCAGGCTAACAAATTGTTTATCCTTTTTTCTAAGTAGAACTTTAGTTCTTTCATACTAAATTTAAATAACTTTTATTTTTGGACATATAAATACAGAAAAATTCCATTAGGGTATATTTGGGTAATATTCAAGCAAAAGTAAGTCCCACTAAAGTAATAAATAGTATATAGTAGTTCTCAATTATCTACTTTCCAGTTTTCTTTGTAAGTGGAAAGGATCAAAATTTACTTTTTTAAAAAAGTAGATATTAATAGAGATGATAGAGTAGTTACAAAGAATACCATAGTTGCATACTGTTATGTTAAATGGTGGATGTGTTTTATCTTCTTATCAAGGAAATAGATGCAATTGTATTAGAATGGCAAACTCAGTGATGTTATCAATTGCCCTGGACATGCCGATGAGGCTGCCGTTTTTTTAAAGTTCAAGTTAAACTCATAAGCAACTTTATGTAAATTTCTATATGCTTAATTTACTACAGAAAACAGCATATAATTGAAGAGGGAGACATCCTACATTTTGCATATTATTTATGCTTAAATGCATACATAAAAGGTTATCTTAATATTAAAGAAAGCTTTATATGTTAGTTCAGAAAAAGGTTGATCTTGAGTAGAACTTTTGTTATAATTCCAAATTGTTTTTTAAATTTTTTCTTTTATTTTCAATTGTGGCAAAATACACATAACAAATCAATTTTATTTTAAAATATTTGATTGACAAAATTATATATATTCAAAGTATACAATATGATATATTGATATAGCTATATATTGTATAATGATTACCATGATCAAATTAATTAACACATCCATCACTTTCCATAGTTACCACTTTGTGTTCGTGTGAGATGAGGACACTTAACATCTTTCCTCTTATCATATTTCAAGTAAACAATATAGTATTACTAACTATAGTCACCATGGTGTACATTAGATCCCCAGAACACATTCATTTTATAACTGAAAGTTTGTAGACTAACTTCTGACTAACGTTCTCCCCTTCCCCCACCTGTCTTCCCCTGAAAACACCCATTCTACTCCCTGATTCTACGAATTCGATTATTTTAGATTCCACATAAAAGTAAGATCATATAGTATTTATCTTTCTATGTCTGGTTTATTTCACTTAGGATAATGTCCTCCAGGTTCATAGATATTGTCACAAATGGCAGGATTTTTTTTATGGCTGATTAATATATTTGTGTGTGTGTGTGTGTGTAGAGAGAGAGAGAGAGAGATTTTTCAAAAGAAGATATACAAATGGTCAACAGGTATATGAAAATGTGCTCAATATCACTAATCACCAGTGAAATAAAAATCAAAACCACAATGAGATATCACCTTAGACCGGTTAAGATGGTTATTGTCAAAAAAATGAGAGATAAATTCTCAAAAAGGCAAGGATGTAGAGAAAAGGGAACTGTTGTACACTGTTAATGGGAATGTAGATTGGTACAGTCATTGTGGAAAACAGTATGAAGGTTCCTCAAAAATTTAAAAATAGAACTATCATGAAAAAAGTATATACACATATATCACTTCTGTGTATATATCCAAAGGAAATAAAATCAGCTTCTCAAATAGATATCTGCACCCCCATGTTCACTGCAGCATTATTCACAATAGGCAAGGTATGGAAACAACCTGCGTCCACCAATGGATGAATGGATAACTTAAATAATTTTTAATGAAAACTCTCTTTGTTTCTGAAAATGCTATTATTTCTAATATATGTTTGTACTCGCTATTGTGTTCATTTTAAACATATTGCCTTTTCAAAACCACGTAATAATTTCCTAGCTTCAGGCACCTCTGTCCTACGCTAATATAATGAGATTTCTCTGATACTGTCTTGCCTAAGTGTAGTCTCCAAATTCAGAATAATAAAACTCTTAAGATATCTTTTTAACTCAGGTAATCCTTGGTGCTTCTCAAATGGCCCACTTGGTTTACTTTTATACATTATAAGGGATGGATGCTGGAAATAATTAATATATTATATTCTTCATATATTAGTTATCTCACCATGAAAGATACTAAAATAAATAATCCAGAGACACCTGTTGGGCTCTAGTACCAAAAGAGTCCTCTCCTTTCTTAAGCAGGAATTACAATTCCTGAATTCCCCAGCTATGTAAAAACCCTTCTCATTATAGGTAAAAGAAAAAGCTATGATTTACGGTGCTTATCCCCCAAAGTGGAACCTTGTCATAAGCCCATTGCTTTTCTTAGCATGTCTCTTGACTCTGTTAATTCATGTTTGTTTGCACGTGGTAGTGGCAGCAGCTTAACTACTTGAAGCTTCAGTAGAAAGTGTTCTGGCCTCACCTCTCATACTATGACTCCCTAATAGAGTGCAAGCCTCATTACTTTAAAATAACATCCAACACCACCTAGCCAAACTTATTCCCACTTATAAAATTTTACTTTGCTGATTCCCATATAATAGTCAACTGCTGCTCCAATCTAAGGGCAGCTACCTTACTTCCTCTTCCTGGTAAAGATAAATTTCATGACTATTTAACAGTTTTTCATAATGCCCTATCCTGACTTGACTAATGTTTTCCTAAACACTTCAATATATTTTTGTTGATGACTCATGTCTTTACAATAGTCTATGTACATTTTGTGCTAGGCACTCTGTTACAGAAGCTCCCTTATTTAAAATTTTAAGTTAACATGCCTTGGAAGTTGTTCATGATTGCAGCTTTGTTGCAGGTTGGGTTCCCGAGAAACAAAATCTAAGACAGAGATTAGTTTGTGTAAGACATTTATCGGAGTGTACACTTGGGTTCAGCACCTCTGGAAGGGAAATGGAAAAAAGGCAAGATTGGACAGAGGATAAGATTGGGCCATGATGCATTCTTAAGCAAGACCTGAGGCAACCCTATGGAGAGCTCTGAAGCTGGGATGCCCTTTTAGAATTATTCCCCATTACAAAAAAAATCAGGCATTTTACTCAAAATCAATCAGTCACTGGATGTAGGCTTCCCCTGAAAAGAGAGCATGACCTTGGACAAAACAAGTAGAGAGAGCAATTTCTAAGAAGAGCTGATGGCTGAGGGCCTAGGTCCTTCAGTCCTAACGAGGAATGCAGCTGCCACATCGCAGTTTCTCCTATAGGCATGGCATAAAAACAAAGATATTTTCTAACTTCTTGAGATACCCCAATCAAACATAAGGAAAGAAATGACTTATTAGAGGCAGTTCTACATACAAAGGAAGTCTTAGATATCAATTAAAGCCCACACTTCTGATACTGAAGGGACTACTTTATCTGCAAACTACAATGCACAAAGCACTCCTGTGATGGTCAATGTTATGTGTCAATTTGACTGGGATACAGAGTCCCCAGATGTTTGGCTAAACATTATTCTGGATGTGTCTGTGAGGGTGTTTCTGGATAAGTATAACATTTTAATCTGTAGATGAAAGTAGAGCAGATTGCCCTCCCCAAAGTGGGTGGGAATCATCCAATCACTTGAAGGCCTAAATAGAACAAAAGGCTGAGCCCTCTCTGCCTTACGGTCTTCCAGCTGGGATGTCAGCCTTCTGTCTCCAAACTTGAACTAGAACTTACACCATCAGCTCTCTTGGTTCTCAAGCTTTTGAATTCAGACTGAAACTTACACCACTGACTCTCCTGCTCCTTAGGTCTTTGAACTGCAGAGCTTGGGTCCTCAGTCTCCATCATCATGTGAGCCAATTTCTTATCATAAATGAATGAATTAATTAATCATATTTTTAGATATGGATAGGAAAATATATATATATAACATATATGTGCTATTGGTTCTATTTCTCTAGAGAACTGTAATATAACTCCCTACTGATTTTTATATTCTTGGTGTTAAAAGCTTCTCCTCTAATTTCATGATTCCAGAAGTACTTATTCAAAAATAACAGTCTTTCCCTCCCGAAAAGAAATCTCAGCATTGTCTCATGAACAGTGATGAATTTGGACATTCCCAAGACATTTACTCAATGGCACCCAAGTATATGTCCAGCCCTTTGGTGCACATGCTACATGAAATACCCACAATGGCAAAAGCAAATTGGTTCAAACTTTTCAAAAATATTTATAAAGACATTTCCCTTGAAAGATTCACAAGTGGCAAAATCTTGCCTTTTCTGTAATTATCATAACACAGGAAAAACTACAAAGGTAGAACAAAACTCACAACTCCACTTCAAGGATAATTTGAGTATTTACAAATGGATTTATTTACTTGCCCAAATCACAAAGCCTTTAAGTAGGCTTTAAGTTTTATGGTTAGATTGAAGCTTTCCCTTGCTGAAAGTCTAACACTTAAACTTTGCAGGGAGAGAAAGGGAGTTGTGTACAGTTGTATACTTTACTTCCGTCTTTACAGGTGAAATGCTTAAGGGGCTACATAAGGTTTTTCCTTTAAAACAGAACCTTCATTGACTTTCACTCTCAAAGCCCTGAAAATGTAAAATGATATTTTTTATATAATCATTAAACAACTTTTAATGTTTTTTATATTTCTATTTTGAAAAAATCCAAATTTATAGGAAATTTATATGAGCAGTTTAATGAATTCTTATATGCCCTTCACCTACACTCACATTTGCACATTACTTTATATATTTCTCCTTTCTTTCTATATACATTCATATATTCATATAAATAATAAAGTTATTATTGCTAATGTTCATTGCCATTACCAACGGTTGCAAACGTCCCAGCCTTTATTCCTAAGTACTTCAGTGTTTATCTTCTCTAAGAATAGCAACATTTTCTTACATAAACCAACATAAAGTTATCAAATTCAGAAAATCTAATATTGATATAATATCATAATATAATATGCAGTTAGCATCCCAATTTCACCAATCATCCCCAAACAATCTTTACGTGGTTTCTTTTTCTTGATCCAGAATCCAACCCAGGATCATCTATTGCAAGTAGTTATCATCTCTCTTCAGTTTCCTTTAATCTGTAATAGTTCCTCACCTTTCTTTGCTTTTATGACATTGATATATTTGAAGAGTACAGGCTAGTTGTTTTGTGGACCTTCTCTCAATGTGAACTTCTCTGATGTTTTGTAACAATTCGCTTTTGCAAGTTTGGCAGGAATACCACACAACTAATATTGCTTCCTACTTGATGCACCTTAATACCGAGAGGTACATGATGTTAGTTTATCACATTACTAGTGATGCTAACTTCAATCACCTGGCTCAGATGGCATCCACAGGTTTCTCCATGTAAAATCACCAATATTTTCTTTGTAATTGATAAGTGATCTGTGGGGAAGTACCCTGAGACAATGTAATTATCTGTTTCCCATCAAACTTTCACACAGTAGTTTTAGCATTTATTAATGATTTTTTCCTGAGTCAATTATAATTATAATAGTTGCATAATTTTTTAACTATCTTTTCTTCTATGTTTATTATGTAACATTATATCATAATGAAGAATTTTTCCTTCTCTCCCATTTGTTTATTTAGCTTCAGCAGAAAGCTATAGATTCTTATTTTATTCAGTGGGTTACCAGACATTAGTTATATTTCTGCTGATGGTTAGATTGTCCTATAATAAATTTAGCCATCAAGAGCCCTTCAAGCTTGTTCTTGTGACCTTTAAATAATATCCATTTTTTTAGAAATTCCATACTTTTGGAAACAATAAAGTGCTTCAGACTCAGGTTGAGTTTTCTGTCTCAGCTCTGGATTCAGCCATGGCTTCAAACTATTCAGAAACCATTACGTGCTTTATTTATGTCTACCCAGAGTGTTTGTTCTCTACAGTTACATCAATAACTTTTGTCCCTTCAATATGCTCCCTTAGGAACTCTTTTTCCTGTGTAATTAGAAGGCTTTCCTATGCTGATCACATGAAAATGTGACCTATAGTTTGACAAGATCATCTTGCCTTTCCAACATTCATCTTGCCCTAGTTTCTTTTAGTGGAGAATGGTATTTCAAAAACAAAATCTGGGTGCCAGCTGTGCTCATTGTACCAAGGTGTAATTGCTTCTAAGCTCATTTAGTGAATAGAGCTAAGAAATATAGACTTTTATTATGAATAGGATATCCTTTAAATCATGAATTAAGAAATATATGTGTGTATTATTCTATCTCTAACTCCAGTCTAATGCCACAAGATTCTTTCCTACTTTCCCCAATTCCATATATGTAGTTCCTTCTTCCCCAGTGAGAACATTGGCTCCCAACAATGAGATTATGTTTACCCATTTTCTTAATCCCACTAGATACATAAAATAGTTCTAGAATTTCCACAGCCATGCTATACACACAAGAAACTATTAAAGAGTGTTCGAGATTTTTTTGCAGGTTTTTTCATCTTTAAGGATATGTAGCAAAGCGCTGTTTAAAAGTATAAACTAATAATATTTAAAATCATAACAGTTAATATTTACAGAAGAATTCAATATATCTTATCTAAAAGTTCCACCCTAGCCTTAATGATAATGTAATCTACATCACTAAATCCCCATAAATTCTCACTTTCCTTCTGACCACATTACCTTATTACATTCTGATCTTGTCAGGTGTTTTGAAAATCTAATGTCATACACAAGAGTCGTACCTAACAGGTACAAACTGCATTTCCTAAAGAGACACCAATGAATACAACCCTACAGAATACACAACCAGTAGACATTATATAGGAAAAGACACCAGTGAGAGTCAGCCTTAGAACTATATCGAAAAGGGCCATTTCAAGTGTTTCGAGCCGCTACTGCTGCTTGTAAACTCCAGAACACAGGACCCATGGACTTATACTTCTTAATGCAAACATATTAAGGATCTTACAACATGAATATCCATCCCCACTGGATATCTAACCCTGAGCTCACTAAAAGGCCTCCAAAAGTAAGAAACTTACAGAAGTAGATCATTGAAACAGACAGTTGCCACCGCTGCAGACACTGCCAATTGCACAATTTTTTATATGGCTCAGGCACATATAAAAAATATTAACTCAAACACATCTATTCCACATGCCTCAACTTAACTGTAGGTCCCTCCTCACAGTTGCTACTGTTACTTATATATCCAGAGCCTCAAAGTCACCTATGGGAGGTAAGGATAACAAGGAACACGTGACTAATAATGCAACTTATGATTGAACTGTTTTGTCATGAATTAATTCAGAAACTTCACGACTTGTTTAAATTTATGTAGAATGTTTGTTCTTTGCAATTAGACCAAATACATTTAGGTGGCAACTGATACCAACTGATTATTTTCATGTCCCTTCTATATTCACCCAAAAGATTATTTTTCCTATTTAATTAGATAGGCCTCTCATGCTAATGACATCAAAATGTGACCTATTCTTTGTCCAGATCATCTTTGTAAGGACTAAAAAAAAAATTCTACTATTTCTCATATTTTGTGGGGAGCCTGACATGGTAACTTACCAGAAAATATGCAAGACACCAAATATCAGTAGTGTTTTTTCTTTAGACTGAAATGTGTGATCCTCATTTTATAACTAGGACCAAAAAACAAATAAAGCAGCTCAAGTTTGAGAAGTCCAACCAACCAGCATAAATGTATTGGCTAGACTAATCTAGCTAATAAAATTTTTCCTGACTATTTACAGGTCAACCATCTATTGAGTCAATACAGTAACCAATACCTGGATAAACACTTCAGGAAAAGTGGAACCATTAATTTGATTTTTTTAAAAAAAGCATAAATAAGGTTGCCCAAACTGATCCATGGGACTTGTTCTCCTAGTTGGTTATAGGCCATTTCAAAACTAAATACAAGATGGGATTTCAAACGTTTCTTTTGACATTTATAATGGTCCTCATTTTCTTCTGAATGAGATGCAATTACTTTAAAAATTACTATAGTGCCATTATGCTAGGCTGACACTCAGCTATATCTGAATCCATATAGGCTGCTATGACAAAAATACCACAAACTCTTTAGCTTTTAGACAACAGAAATTTATTTCTCACAGTTCCGAAGGCTAAGAACTCCAAGATCAAGGTGCTGGCAGATTTGATTGCTGGCGAGGGCTCGTCTTCTGGCTCATACATGGCACCTTCTAGCTGTATCCTCACTTGTGATAGGAGCCAAGGCAGCTCTCTGGGGTCTTTTGTATAAGGTCACTAATCCCACTCATAAGTCACCCCCGCTCACGACTTTATCATCTCCCAAAGGTGCCACCTCCTAGTACCATCACCTTGGAGGTTAGGATTTCAGCATATGAATTTGAGTGGGGACATAAATATTCAGTTCATTACAATTCTGCATCAAAAAGACTGAAGCTATCACAGCTCACTCAGCAGACTTTGGCTAAAAGAGGAACAACTTTACTGTAGTAGAGAAATGGTGCACTCCTAGCTTAACTAAGGTGAAGGGCTCAGCAGAAGTCCAGCAGAGTTCAACAGCAGCCACACCTAGAAATAAAACATCACTTTCTGTCACTTTTAGTAACAAGATTTCTCCAAAGCCTCATAAATAAAGTTGCCTTCTGTGATAACTGCCAGTCTGCTTTGGGGAAAATGCTCTCCCTGATAGGTTTTAATTAATCAGCTTGCCCATAGACAAAAAACAATATTTCACTGTTCCTCAGGCTGCTGTAGGTTTTGTTTTTATAAATCCCCCCTTGTCTGGTTTCATGACTGATCTCCAGCACATGTGAATAGATATCAGCCATGCTTTTAATTAAACTGAGTTATTCTTTGGTGAGATGGTCCTGAATTTAATCAAGCTTCAAAATTGACTTTCATTTACAGAGGACAGGAACAAGTTAAGTGACCACATTGGAAGCAAAGAGTCACATCCAAAATGTAAGAAAGTTCATAGGACAATTGACCCAGTTTCTACAAAAAGCCAATGGTGGGAATTTTAAAAATGAAGGGAGGATTGTACCAGATTAAAAGAGATTTGAGAAACATAAAAGTGAATAGAATATGCGGACCATATTTGGGTCCTGTTTTAAACAAAGCAACAGTATTCTTGAGACAATC
The DNA here is from genome assembly GCF_000001405.40 of Homo sapiens. NCBI lineage: Eukaryota > Metazoa > Chordata > Mammalia > Primates > Hominidae > Homo > Homo sapiens. The sequence continues at coordinate 79,605,430 of NC_000008.11, forward strand.
ATGAAAATGTGATTATAATTGTTAAGTATTTTAACAGAATTGTATTTATGTAAGAAAGGTTCATGTTTTATAGAGATACATACTTAACTACAAAGAGTGAATTTAAATGATTGTCGTGACTTCCTTTTAAAGTTTTCAGCAAAGATGAAAAAGGAAAAAGAAACAGAAGCAATAAAGTTTTGGTAATTTCTTAACTTGACTAATACAAGTTCATTATTTGCTTTCTTGTGTCCATTTGAAATAGTTTATGACAAAAATATAAGTACAATATTTTTATATTTTGATGTAAATATTCAAGCTATTGAAATCCTCTTTCCAAAAGAGGACGTTTCCTGCGCATTCTAAATAAACCCAAATAACACATCTGCAAATCTCTGGGCAATTTCTTTTCTGCCTCAAAAGGCAGCATTTGCCGCCTAACTGCACATTGCTCTGTTTTTGCTGAACTGAACTAAAAAGATAGGTGTAGTTCAGGAAGTGATCAAACCAAAAACAGAAAAATCCATTAAATATGTGACGAGAGGAAAAAAAAGAGTGGAATGGGGTTTTGTTGTCTCTAGTTGAGTTCAAGTTTAATGTGTTTTTTTTCTTTTTTTTTTTTTTTTTTTTTTTTTTTGGAAACGGAGTCTCGCTCTGTCGCCCAGGCTGGAGTGCAGTGGCATGATCTCGGCTCACTGCAAGCTCCGCCTCCCGGGTTCAAGCCATTCTCCTGCCTCAGCTTCTGGAGTAGCTGGGACTACAGGAGCCTGCCACTATGCCCGGCTAATTTTTTCTATTTTTTAGTAGAGACGGGGTTTCACCATGTTAGCCAGGATGGTCTCGATCTCCTGACCTCGTGATCCACCCGCCTCGGCCTCCCAAAGTGCTGGGATTACAGGCGTGAGCCACCGCACCCGGCCGAGTTCAAGTCTAATGTTACTGTCAAAGTAAATATTTGATGAAATTGATTTTTAAAAATACTACCTACATCCGTTAATTCAATTCCATTTGATAACACAGCAGGATGTGGGTGGGGGAAGTTCAGAGGGTCAGAAAATTAGTTAATAAATGACTAATGAGAAAATCTCCCAGGAAGGCAGTATACTAAAATGCTTTTGCTTTTCTCTTCCCTAAATCCTCCTCCTCCTCTTTTCAGCTTGATTTAGAAAAATAAGGTTCTTAGGCAACTGTTATTGTATGTATAATGCAATGCTCACAGTAGGGGTTCTGTTTAAAAAATAAAATAAATTGAGGCTTGTGGGATAAACAGAGTGAGTCACACTTCTCCCAGATTTCTCTTCCAGGCACTTCAGTGTTGTCTCCACTGTTTGGTTTGTAAACTAAGATGCTGAGTGAAATCTCAAGGGGAACCAACTTCCCAGCTTCAATGGTGTCCAACTAATGTTCTCCCTGGACTCAAGCTGTAAATCAACTCATGGAGAGAAGGAAAAAGTTAGTTACAGTAATTGCTGCCAAGATAGCGAGTAGTTTTCAACATTATCAATTTAATGTAAAGATTCAGCTCATTAAATTTATATCAAGCCTTTCTTATGATTAGAACAAGTTTATTTCCAGAAAAGTTCAATTATAAAACTATCAATAGGATTTACTAATTTCAATAAGTCATTTTGCTTCAGGGTGAATTATACTAATTATTAATACATACAAGTCCCATTTGGACATAAAGAAAACCCTAGGTAGAGAAAAAATAATAATAATTAACTAATCATTGTTTATTTTTAAATAACTAATTTAAGAAGAAAACAATGAAGTGTGTTTGTTCCACACTTCAGAAATAACTCTAACACACTGGCAAATTCCTGAGCAATACAGAGCTCACTGCTAATAAAGAACACCAACTCTCCCTCCTTGGAATGACTTTCCTTTTGAATAAACCATATTAGACAGTTCTATTAAAGGACACATGATCCTTTTTATTTTTCATTAATCTATAAGAATTTAAACATGGCAAAATAATCAAAATGTTAAAAAGTCAACTATTTTTTCATGTGTGATTATTTTAGATGCATCTCTAAATATCTTCAGCTATAACTACTTTATATCCTAAATTTCTAAACATCTAAAAAAATTCAATGGATTTTATCTCTCACATTTCTTTTGTAATCACCTGAGGTCAGATCAAAACAATTAATTTGACCTTAACAATGTTTCTCTTATCTCACTAACTTTTAATAATTACTTTAGGATTCTTTCCCAGGCACTTGATTATGAATAGCAGAAAATCATATGACTGTGTTAGATGGCATCAGCTAATCCTCCAAAGCAACTGCTTCTCTCTGGTTTGGAAAGAAATCAACACCTCAGGCCTCCTCACAGAGATAATACACACTAGGCTATAACCCACAATAATTAAAATTTCTGTTAGCAAGTCTGTGATTTCCACAGCTCCAGCTTACTGCTGGCTGTTAAAGATAACAAAAATTAACAAGGGCCATCTACTATTGTGAGCTCTACTCATTTAGGTTCTTTGGGAATAGGGCAGGATATAAATAAATAAACACTGGTAAACAGCCTAATACCTGCTCCCAACACAAGCTAAGCAAAGGAGGTTAGAAGTGTCAATATGGTCTCACTGGATTCATCCATTTTGAATCATTTTCAACACTGTATTATTTATTATTTCACAAATTGTTTTTAACTGTCTACCACGTGAATCATGAAACCAACCACTAGGAAGGGTATAAAGATATACACTATTCATTCTCTACCTTTCAAAGGTTTAAATGTATTGGAAACACTAAATATAGTCATAGTACTTAAAATTACTATATATCCATGATGGCTTAGACAGTTCATACATGATAACCCTTCAGTCTACCCAAATCCCCACACGACAGATACTGGTTGTCCTTAGTTTATACTGTGCAAATGTAGTACCTATTCTTTGAGTGTCCACCCATTCCCATCAAAACCATTTCCTTCAGGAAAAGCTGATCTCACCTCCAGACCTCTAGGGCCAACTCTATCTATATGGTTAGACGAAACAGCAAATGCACTTTTATTATTAGTGCCAGTTTGGGTTATTTTTTCAAATTTTTGCAACAAAGTGTGATCCACAATACACAAGATCATATTCACTCCCCCAAATTAATATTTTCTTAAAGAGATGGGTGTTATATTTTCCTTCACTTTCTATTTTTCAGACATTAAGGAGAAGCTTGGCTGGCATCACAAAAGCCTGAAACATCATCAAATAAATATTTGTTGAATAAATTAGCTGAACAAATGAATAAGTGAATAACATATTGAATATGAAATAATTTTTCTGTTCATATTTCACCCTTACTTTCCCATGTGAATATGCATGATACCATATTGTAATGATAAAAGAAAACAAAAAACAATTTGATAATGGCACAGCCCTTTGAATTTATTTGTGTTTTCTTAGCTGATTGACAATTTTGCCTACTATCTTTTTATTCTATGGTAAATCATATTGACCTACTCTCTTCCCTGTTTGACATTATTTAAAAATCATTCATAACTGAAGTTAGGTGGCTAACACCTAGAAAATCGGAAATAGAAAAGAGTCACATATGTGACCCTTAGGGCAGTAGAATGAGTGTTTTGTTTTCCTCATAGTCATCAAAAGTGCAATCGATTTCATTCAGCAGCCAACTGCAGTTGTTAAAGAAACTAATGCCATGACTTAGGGCCCTTGTTCTCCAAGGAAGCTGAAGAATGTGTAGAGATGACACACAGCCTGAGGGGAAAGGGTGTGGTGGGGAGAAGAGAAATACTTTGAAAATATTAGTCACACAGACATGCTGAAGATCCTTCACCTCATGAGTGATAACTACTCCAGTGAGAGGTGATTAACTGTTACATTTAAAGTGGGAAATGCCTATATATAGAGAGAAAATGGTTATTTATTTCCAGACCCTGCCAACTTCCATATTGCTCTCTTGCTGTGTCATAGTCACAGACCTGTTCAAAGATAGGAAATATAATTTCTAATCTTCCTGTTCAAGAAATAATTTTATTGATCTCCACTTCATCTTTTATTTTCCCCATGATTCAGCAGGTCAAAACTGTTCCAGTTCCAGTAGCATCCTATCAGTCAGCAAAATGTCCATGAGGTTAAAATGTCTTACAAGTTAATAGGAGGTGAAGAAATTCATTTCAGCACCAAGGAGAGTGCCCTGCTATTTTCAATTGGTTTTATGTATTTGAAACTGTGTATTGTTCCTGAGGATAGAAAAAAAAGTTGAAATGTGATTGGACAGAAAGCTGCTAAAAACCTATTTTAATAAGAAGAAAAAAATACATTCATTTTTCTGAAATTAAAAACTTGCCAGGGTTTCATACCTGTTCATGATTGCAACAATGTGCTCTTCTTTTGGCTTTCAAACGTCGGAATTAGCAATTCTTTGCCTATTTTTCTAATATTAAAACCAGTTTCTGCATGGAATTAGACTGGCTCAATAAAGTTACAGAAGAGTTAAATTAGCAGTAATTAAAAACTTCATGCAGCAACTCCTAAACTTTTTCTCACCATTTTCAGAGCTGTGCACATGGTAAATGCTCAATACATATTTAAGTCAAGTGAAAGAGAACAAATGAATGACTGGCATCCATTAAGTGAGAAGGAGGAACTAATAAATGCCTTGTTTGTAATGAAAGTCATTTTTTGCAACTAGTCTCAAAGATCCTCACATACGACATTGCTCAATCCGAAACTTGAACACAGCCTTCCTGGGCCTACATAAACGTAGTCTCTCTGGATCTCAGAAAAATAATGACCCAGACCACACCTTTCATCTCTTCTAAGTTTTCCATGTAAAGCATTCTCCTTAGAGCCCTGGAAAGGTTACTAAAATTTTGACCCACTTAATCCTACACCTTCAGGGCAACATGGCATTCACCTGTGGTTTCCTTAATGCCCAAACCAGCCAGCCAACCTGTTTTCTGCCGTGTTAACAAATGGACAGGACACAGGCACCAGAGGTTAAACTTTCTTCCTCTTCCCCCATGTCCCCAGGTGGACCATTATTACCATCCCTATTCCCAAGCAACCAGGTAGCCCCTTCCTCTGTGCCAAGGGAAGAAAACACCATGCTTCCCTCTCCTGAGAGACCTTCAAGAGTTTAGAGACGCCTAAGTCCAGCTGTGCTAAAAGATAAAGGACAATAATGCAAGTCTGCTCTGAGCTGCCACCATAGCCAGACATAGGGTAGCCCTGAAAGACTAGAACCAAGGACAGAGCCAAAGGTGAAAGAAAATATGAAAAAGTGAAAACACAGTATTTAAACAGAATTTTCCAACAGCCTGCATATAGTGAGGACTTCTCAAGCTTCTGAATCCTTTTCCATTGAATTGTGCAATGGCACATGTATGAGCAAAGTCAAGCCTCCTGGCTCCCAGGTAGGCACAGCCCAGTTCTTAGCTCCTAGGAAGCTTCAGGGCTTAAAGCTCCACTCTACTTGGACTGTACTATCAGGCCCCCAAAATGGGGGGAGCCGACAGGGAAGGACTGATTTCCATTTCAAACTGCATTCTGGTACTTTGTACTCCAGCACCATTGGCCGATCAATATTTAATGCTTGGAGATTCTGACTCTGCGGGAGTCATGTCAGGGGACCTTGGGAGCCAATCTGCTTGAGCTTCTGAGTGATAATTATTCATGGGCTCCTGCCTCTTGCTCTTTCTCTAGCACGGTCCCACTCTGCAGACTCAGTGCCTTATTCAGTCTTCTCTCTCGCTCTCTCCGCTGCTGTAGCCGGACCCTTTGCCTTCGCCACTGCTCAGCGTCTGCACATCCCTACAATGGCTAAAACAGCAATGGGTAAGGCACTGCGCCTCGTTCTCCGTCGGCTCTACCTGGAGCCCACCTCTCACCTCCTCTCTTGAGCTCTAGAAGCATTCAGAGATATTTTATAAAGAAAAAGATGTTAATGGTAACACAGGACCAGGAAGGACAGGGCAGTTCTGGGGGAGGTGGGAGGGCAGAGAAGAGGTCTATGGAAATCTAAAGCGAAGAATTTCTTTTAAAAGGTAGAAGCGGGTAAGTTGCCCTCCTATGGGTAGAGAATTTATTCTGTTTCCATATTTAAAATTAGGACTCAATCGTGAGGGGAGGAAGCTACCTTAACTGTTTGCCTTAAATGGGCTTAAGGGACATTTTGGAAAGTGCTTTATAACGACCTTTTTTTTTTTTATTTCTTCTCTAGTTTAAGAAGAAAATAGGAAAGGGGTAAAGGGAAGGTGGGAGAAAGGAAAAAGAAAATTGCAAAGTCAAAGCGGTCCCATCCCGCTGTTTGAAAGATGGGTGGAGACGGGGGGAGGGGATGGAGAGAACTGGGCACATTTTACGGTATTGTCTCGTCGAAGAAACCGCTAGTCCTGGGGTGCGGTGCAGGGAGGTAAGACGGCGGGGGACAGGGTGGGGGTAGGACCTCCGCTCCTTTGTTTTAGGGCAAGGGAGGGGAAGGAGAGAGGAAGTCGCGGAGGGCGTGGAGGGCGCGGGTGGGCAGCTGCAGGGGCGGGGAAGCGCGCGGCAGGGAGGGGTGGAGGGACAGCGGCTTCGAAGGCGCTGGGGTGGGGTTTCTTTGTGTGCGGACCAGCGGTCCCGGGGGGAGGCACCTGCAGCGCTGGGCGCACAATGCGGACAGCCCCACCCAGTGCGGAACCGCGCAGCCCCGCCCCCCCGCCCGGTGCTGCATCTTCATTCGAAAGGGGGTCGGGTGGGGAGCGCAGCGTGACACCCAGGAGCCCAACCCTGCGGGGACAGCGGCGCCACGCCCCGCGCTCCCCGCTCCCGACTCCCCGCCGCGGCTTCCAAGAGAGACCTGACCACTGACCCCGCCCTCCCCACGCTGGCCTCATTGTTCTGCTTTTAAGAGAGATGGGAAAAGTGGGTTAACATTTTTCTTTTCGGAAGCAAATTACATAGAGTGTTTAGACATAGACACAGATAAAGGGTTCTTTGAAGACCTTTGATCGTTTGCGGGAAAAGCTTCTAGAACCTAGACATGTGTATGTATAATAATAGAGATGACATGAAATCGTATATAAAGCAAAAGAGGTCAAAGTCTTAAGTTAAGCCACGCGAAATTTCCGTTTTGTGGGTCAGACAGTGCCAAATATCGGCAATTTCATAAGCTCAGAGAGACAAGACAGTGGAGACACAGGATGACCGGAAAAGATTCTGGATTCAGGGCCTTCATCCGCAATTGGTCTTGTGCCTTGAGTGCCCACGGTTCTGGCGCTCAGTGGCCCCGGGGTGAAAAGGCAGGGTGGGGCCTGGGGTCCTGTGGCAGCTGGAAGCACGTGTCCCCCGGGACTTGGTTGCAGGATGCGGAGACAGGGAAAGCTGCCGAAAGGACTCCATCTGCGCGGCTCCGCCCTGCCCTACCCTCCCCGCGGAGCCGGGGAGACCTCAGGCTCCGAGACTGGCGGGGAAGAGGAATATGGGAGGGGCAGTTGAGCTGTATGCAGTCCTGGAACCTCTTTTTTCAGCCCCGCAGTCCACAACGGCCCGAGCACCCCTTGATGTGCGCAGACCCCCGGCGTGGCTCTCAGCCCCAGCACCGAGCCCCTCCCAGCCAAGCGGGTGGCTCTGCAGAAAAGCTGGCTCGAGCCCCGCCCGGCCACACAAAGGCGCGGCCCCACCCAGCCCGGGCGCGAGACCGCAGAGGTGACCCCCTTCCCAGGGATTCAGGGAGGGCTGTCTCTTCTCGCCCACCCACGGTCCGCGGAGCTCGGGGCTTTTTTTCCCCCAGCCCAAGCCCCCCGCCCACCCTCTGTTCTCTATGATTTTCCAGAATGGAGACCCCGCGAGGGGCTTCTCTAAGGGAGACCCTCGCTCCTCCAGCGGGGCGCGGCTCGGCCCCACCCCTCCCAGCTGAGGCCCAGAGCCGCCTACCGCTGGCCGGGTGGGGGCGCACGTGGCGACTGGGTGTGTGGAGCGCAGCCAGCCCTGCAGAGCCCCGCGCCGCGCCCTGCGCTCCCCTCCCCGGAGTTGGGCGCTCGCCCCCGCGGTGCAGCCGGGGAGACCGGTTTCTGCGCAGTGTCCTGAGCTACCCCCGCTTTCCACAATTCGCAGTTCACTCGCACGTCCAGAAAGGTTCTGAGAATGGGTGGTGGGGGCGATCTCGCCTCGCTTTCTGCACCCCTCAGAAAGGTTTCCGCTGCAGGCTAGTGGCTGCAAACTCATCGTCATCATCAGTATTATTATCATTTCAAATCGTTGTTATTATTTAATGATTCAGTAGCCTTGTTTGTTCTCATTTGTTCAAAAGGGACGTGGATTGCTCTTGGTTAAGGATTAACCCTTGTTGCGTTCGCTTTGCTTCCTCCTAATTGCCCTCATCCCTTTCCCCCACAAAAAGGTAAATTTGTCTCCAGTTGTTCATTTTAAGTTATAAAGCAAATATATTTTTGCTTCCTGCCAGGATTATGTATGTTCATGTGGCTAAGATACATGTGCAAGTGCTTGCTAAGAGCAGGGTTTGTGTGCCAACGATTGCTGGAAAATTCTCTGCAAAGAATTGTTTGTGGCTGCAATGGGTGAGAATACACATATATAATTGAGATGATCTTCAACATAAGGTTATATCTATAAATATATAAATATAGTTTATGCACAAAATTTTAAGTTTTTTCCCCTGAAACTGTTCTTCCAACTGCTGATTCTTGATACAGCCTCAATCCTACACAGATACATGGATCGTGAAATGGTAGCCGCCATCCAAATAAAAATCCCACCCCAAATATGACAAACGCAAGCATCCTTTCTGGCCATAATTTAACTGCATTTGCAAATCATGAAAAAAACACTACTTCTGCAGTATTAAAATAATAGATTTTGAAATTAATTCCAATTTCAAAGATAATTAATTATCAGGGCGAGTGCTTTTTTCCTGATTCATTAAACAATTATGTATTCAGCATGATTGTAAGAGGTGCATATAATATTCCCCATTATCTTTTCTAATGAAGTGGGCACCTTCTGAATGGATATATAAGTAACTAGAAATGAAAAGCTGAGGATTTGGTCAGAATTTCAGGATAAAACTGAAAGAAATGGCAGTAGTTTATCAATTAATCTCATGTATTTAGTTTATACCAGGTGAGTAAGCTGAGCCTGCAATAAACACTCTCTGTCCCAGTGTAACACGTCGCAGGTAGCTAGAATGATAGGATAAATTAATAGACCTTGTGGTGTTTGTCTATGCACGTTAAAATTCTCTGAGAGAAAGTATATTTTAAAATGATAATTAAGATTGGACATTTGTGCTATTAAAATCTACAACTTTAGTCAAAATTCACAATGGTTTTTTTTTACAATAATGTGACTTACAGATTTGTAGTAAATTATTCTATTCTAAAAGAGAAATGAGTGTTTTTATTGTTACAGCTATTACCTCATTAATATTTTTAGCAAACTTTTATTTGTTGCATTGAAAGCAGTTTTAATTACTTTGGGTTTTTATTTTTCAAATTACTAATGGATAGATGGTGGAATAAGCATTTAATCATTTGGCACAATATGACTTCCATCAAATAGCTCATTCTCAGTGATTAAAAAATGCTACAAGAGGCTACAATTTACTCAGATTCAGGAAATGTCCTTTCAGAGTGCCATAAGGCTGATTCATATAATAAAATAGTTTTCTTCCCTATAATTTAAGATCAAATAGTTACTTAGTTCTGTGAATACCTAGCAGTAGCTATCAAACAGAATTTTAAAGTTAAATCTGTACAACTAACAATGAAGTGGAGGATGAATCGATACATATTGAATGGAAGACTTTGTCATTGATAAATTCAGGCCATCTTTAGGAAAATTCCGGATTTATCAATCACCATTATTTTTTACTTCAACTGAGTGTGACTGATCACATGCTCAGGCTACCTTGGTAGCTCATTGCTCACAGGAGGCTGAAAAAAGCTGGCCTCCGAGCAGGAGGAAGCTCAGAGCACAAACCTAGGCCTGGGCGTGGCCACTGGGAGCTGCTGATAGCGAACCCCAGCTCACACCAGTTTCTTTTTTGGTCGTGGGAAGAAAAACACATATTATCCTGTTGTCACAAGATCTGTGACCTTATATGAAAAAATGCTAGAATTTTTTCATTAAAAAAGAAAATACTGAACTAGCCAGTGACCCAGATGTTTTCAGAACCTAGACTGGTTCTGTCCATTGGAAAACCTCGGTGTCTGCATTAACTTTTCACCACACTAGAGGGCAATCATGTTCTCTAAAAAAGCAGATGATTGATGTAAACCTAGTTCCAAATATTAACTGTTTAATAAAATCTTTTCTTTTACCAGGAACATTCAAGTGTTTATTCAATAAGCTGATGCCATGCTTTACCCTAGTGGATGAACAGAGCTTGTACAATTTTCAAGGAGACAGGATGAAATGAGTGGTCATAATCTGAAAGTAGATACACGCCCTGGTTAATTATTCCCTGATGGTTTTACTTCTCAGTTTTATTACATTGTTATTATAATACCATTTATGTTACTTCTGAGATTTTGTAGTGGATAAATAGTAGAAAAATGTCAGTAGTAATAGCAAAGTTATTTAGCAGCCGAATATTTTAATGCTTAAAAATAAAGGAATAAATTAAAGAAAATCATTGTTTACTTCTTCATCGATTGAAATGTGCCCCCTGTTCAGAGCACATCTGAATATCAGAGTCTCCACCTGCAGAGAACATGCAGCTTAGCGAGTAAAACAGGCAGGTATGTGATACTGAGGAGGTGTACCAAAAACTGACTGCTGTTATTTTTCCCATCTTCTAAGTCTGTCTTTCTTTTCCATTTAAAGATACCTTTTTAAATCTAATCCAATGTGATTTCAATCTAGTTTTATCAGATTTCAACAATTATTGAGCATCTCCTTGTAGTGGTTTTCTGTTTATTAGAAAATCGATGTTAATTTTAACGAAGTAAGAAGAAATATATAAGTATAAACTAATTTTGGGTATCATCAAAAGTGGATTTTTTAAATATGCATTGATAGAATTATTTTTTGATTACATTTTATGTAATTCTAATCCAGCTATAAAATATTTAATAGTGTCATATTACTGTGTTCCTCAAACTTTGATGTGCATATGAATTACCTTTGATTTTCATTAAAATGCAAATTCTGATTCAATACATCTGGCTTGAGGCAGACATTCTGTCTTCCGAACAAGCTCCCAGATGATGCTGATTCTGACCACTAAACACATCAGTTTTAGGGATATTAACTTGTAATATACAGGTATCCCTCCTGGTAAGCTCTGGTATTATGTCTTAACATTTTTAAATCTATGGTAATCTTTACAAAATATTTTACTTCCGAACTCATATACCTGGGGATTTTATTACTCTGGGAATTATGTGTTCTGCCCCATCACTCTCTCTTAATTGGATTTTTAAAATTATATTCATATTGCAGGACTCGGCAGAAGACCTTCGAGAGAAAGGTAGAAAATAAGAATTTGGCTCTCTGTGTGAGCATGTGTGCGTGTGTGCGAGAGAGAGAGACAGACAGCCTGCCTAAGAAGAAATGAATGTGAATGCGGCTTGTGGCACAGTTGACAAGGATGATAAATCAATAATGCAAGCTTACTATCATTTATGAATAGCAATACTGAAGAAATTAAAACAAAAGATTGCTGTCTCAATATATCTTATATTTATTATTTACCAAATTATTCTAAGAGTATTTCTTCCTGAATACCATGTGAGAAAATTCTTAAGAATTTATTGAGTATGACTGTATATTTGAAAAGAGTGTTTTCTTCTGCTTATCTAAGCCAATAAAGGATCTTCATTATTCAATTCTAACTTTCTAAGGAAGTCAACCTACAGATCAGAAAGAGGATCTTCAAGGAATAGCATCAAAGACATAGTCAGGTCTCCCATGCAGTGACTGGCTGACCATGCAGCCATTACCACCTTTCTGGAAATATTATGCTGCAAAAATGATACAATACACGAAATATCTCAAATTAAAAAATATAACATTTCCCAAATAGGGCACTAAAAACATGATCCCAAATAAAACTAGCTTCAGGGTTTGCAGAATATACTGTTACTCAACACAAAGTTGGACTAAGTCTCAAAGTTAGCCATTCAGTTGTTGTTAACAGTTCATTTCAGGGTCTCTCAGAAGCTGGGAAACTTTCCATTTTTGCAATTTCTTGTACATTGAAGGAAAGGAAGACACACTTAAGACAGCATTACAAAAGTAATTCATGTTTTAAATGTTTAATTCTGGCAGTCGGGCAGGGCTCTCTGTATAACCTCATTTGGAGATGACAAAAATCTAAACTTGAGGGCCTCGAGCCAATAAGTCTTCCTATTTCTTTACTCAAACATTTTCCCGCAATGGTGCTTTCTTTCAACTGTTTTTCTGGTGTATTCATAAATTCCAGATTCTCTATGGGAAGTAACTTTTATTGATTGATTTAACCCTTGTATAGCACATATAACATGCAAGGCATTGTTCTAAGAACTTTCCACATATTAACTGTGTTAATCACTTAATAATCCTAAGTAGGTTCTATTACAGATATGGAAACTGAGGCACAGAAAGTTGAAGTATCTTACTCAAGGTCACACAGTTAGTCAGATCCAGAATTTGGGCCCAGGCCATCTGGCTTCGGAATCCATCTTTCACCGATTGCTGCTAGTCTCATATCTGTTCCATGTTAGAGGTGAGCTCCCATTGCAGAGGTCACACCTGTGATATCACCATTTTATTTAAACAGACCAGAGATGGTCTTCTCCTTTCTGATCACAGACTCACCTTGAAGAGAAAATACTTCCAAATTGATGCCTAGTTTTAATAGCTTACCTGGGGCTTATTCAAATAATTGCCATGATTTAGGCTTTGGGAGAAAGAGAGCTATGAGGCCGTGTGGGTTGTAACGTATGAGACACATGGCGTTCTGCAGGCTCAGCACAGCATCGATTTCTGGTGGGAACACACTCTGATGACCAGTTCCAGAAATAACATTGACTTAATCTCCTCAGTCCCATCATGGTTAGCACATTTCAAAATGCCTCCTTAACTACTTCCATAGGCCAGAGATATTTAGTTTTAACATTTTGTTGAATAAAATAAATTTACACATTCACATTTAATATAACTATTAGATGTTATTTCAAGATTCTCTTCATATTACCATCAAAGCAGGCAGGCAGGCAGGAGAGAACTGTAGGAAGGTTTTGAATCCCTTGTGAAACATTTTTAATTATCTTTTAATAAAGGAATCAGGCCCTGTCATTTGTCAAGGAGACATTTGCAGTAGTAAAGCTTGTGTTTATAATATCCATTTTTATTAGTCATGATTAAAGATAACATTTGTGTACATTTGTTCTCACAAAACACTTTTATATGAGTGTAAAGGTTAATTAATGCATTTCAGCCATCATTTTGCTGGTCATGTGGAAATATAGCTTCTTTAGGAATTGTACTTAGAGTAGGAGCCACATATTATACTATAAAACCATAACAAAAATATTTTAAGTTTGTTCTCACTTGTTGTTGACCTCCAGAGTAAAATATTTAATACTCTGGAAAGTTATGGGTTTCAAAATTTATTTTATGGCAAGAAATAGATAATTACAGTTCTCATAGAGCACATTTAAAATAATTTATTTTTATAGGGCAAAAATATTGCCTAGGACTGAATGATTTTTTTTTTTTTACAAAGATTGTAAAGCAACGCCTGCAAGAGTGCCCATTTAGCAGTTATTCTTCTGGAATAATTGTATTTTGGATGTTGGAGTTCGCACATTAACCATTAGTACAAGTACCCAATATAACAATAGATCATCAGGATAATAAATCTGTCCATCTTTTAGTTGTATGTCTTTATATCAGGATAAAGAGAATTGAGTGAAATTTATCTAAACCTAGTCCCACAAATACTTTTACAAGAGAGCATGTTAAAGTGTAAATTAAATTTTTATTAGCATTCTACTCTGTCTTTGGAAGTTTTTTTTCCTTATGAAATGCAGCCATAAAGTTTAACTTCCATTAACAAAGCTGCTCACAGTAAACCTATTATAATAATAGTTTCCCAGTTTGGGCTTCCTAGTGAGGAGCAACCTAACTCACACGAAACAACCCCAACTTATAATATATTGACTGTTACAAAACTGAGACCAGAAAATCCCATCAAGATGGTACTGTTATCATTTCCAGACTCTCGGGAAGAACATTAATCATCTCAGGCACTTTTAGGATAGACTTATTGCAGCCTCCCTGGGAACTCTGCTTCAGAACATAATTATTTTTATTAATGCAGAGTTACTTTTTATTTCCAACAAAAATATCTATTGTTATTATTTAAGTCTTACAGCTTTATCTGAGAAATTCCAATTAGCACCCTTCTCATAATAAATATTCAAACACATGAAAAATTACCAAAGTTGTTCTAGTCTTTTAATGACATATTACATGATCCTGCACTCTTGTCACTTTAAAAATTATCTTTTTATTATATTTCTGATGATTTTTTTCTTATATAGTTTTTTAAAAGGAGCAGGCAAGCATAGAAGACTAAAAAATGTTCAAAAGAAAAATTAAATCGCATGATCTATCTATATGGGACCTTGTCATTTTTAGAAAACATTCACCTGCTTCATCCTTTTGAATCTTCATATAATCCCTCTGAGATGGGCATACTATACAAGTTGTCTTATTTAAAGATTGGTAAATTTAAGCTCAAATAATTTATTCAGTGGCAAGCCTCAGAGGCAGACTCGGAACACAGGTCTAATATATATTATATATATATTATAACATATAATATATATATTACATATAATAAAGTTGTGTATATTATTTACCTATCAAAATATTTATATGTAATATATAAATATGTTATATATCATGTATGTGCCTATTTCATACATATATACACATTCATGCAAAATAAGGTTTAGCACTCCCTCCACTGTCCTGTAATAAAACATGCACAGTGAGAATAGTCATACACGAGGCATATTTGTCTTCAGTTTAAAGTCATTGATAGTCAGTGTCACTAACTAAAGTAAAATAGATTGGAGCACCAACTTTGTTCTGAAGCCTGTGCCAGGTATTATGAGAACAAAAATAAAAATGTTCCTCACCCTTGGTGGATTTAGTCTTTTGCAGAAAAAAAGATCCTGTACATGTCAGAAAGTTCAATAGTAATAATGGTAATTTATAACTATAAATGGAAGTCACCATCTCACAATTTCACCATCTTAACAATTTTGTTAAACTGCCCTACAATATTACAAGATAGTACATAATGATACACTAGTAACATCAACTAGGAAGTACCAAGATCCACCAAAAGGCTGAAAAATTTAAATATTTAATGAGTCCATCAACCAATCTGGCCAGAGAATTCTTTAATTAAAATGCTTCCCAAATTTTACTGAGAATCAGCAGCGTTTGAGGAGCTAGCCTCCACCCCCAGAGGTTCTCACTCTATTAGGTCTGAAGCAGGTCCCATGGATTTGCATTTCTAACAAGCTCCCAGGTGGTGCTGATGAGGCTGATTCAGAACCACACTTGGAGTAGACCTAAAACAGCAGTGACCTGTAGGGTCCCCAAGCAGCAGGCCAGGACAGCATGTGAGTTACGTCCTCTGTGGAGCTCTGCAACAAGGCGTCAAGAGGTCAGAGTCTAAGTCCCCATCAGCTCTGCCCTTCTCCACCAGTGCTGCTGGTGCTGCATGGAAGGAAGAGCCCAGAAGGGATTCTGAGTTTCAGTCTTTACTCTTGCTGACGCACCTTGGTCAGGTCAATTTTCCTGTTTGTTCCTCTAATTCAGCATCTGTAAAATAGCCATGTGAACTGCCTTGTCCATATCAGAGGGTCTTTTTCAGACTCAAGGAAAAAAACGTGAAAGTGATTAGTGTCTGTCAAGTAGTATATAAATGCAAGAAGTTGAGTTTTTAAATTGTCATTAGATATAAATACCCATGTGCATGCATTTAGAATGAGTAAAGAGGGAACAAGGAGCGCAATCAAAAACTGCGTCATTTGCTTTTTGAAAAATACTTTCTATGTAATGAAAAGTGAAATAAAATGTTAATTGAGTCCCTCTGACAACAGCATCAGACGTTTTGCAGTTCTTGTGATTAGAACCCACCTGGCCAGCCCTTCTTCCTCCTAAAGAAGAGCCTTCTTCTTCTTAAATGAAGGTTGGCTCAGAAGAAGCAATTAACTCATTCAACGTTTTGTTACAGTCAATCCACATCCAACTTTTCCCCAACTCAATCTGCTTTAAGGGAAGGATGGTAAGTGGTGGCCCAAGATGGCAACCATCAAGCTTAGAGAATCTCTAGAAGCAGGGGTGTCCCCAGCAAGTAGACACTGAAAATATGAGAGGGCTGATAAGCCAGAGATAAAACTCAGTACTTACTTTGCTTCTAGTCCATGTCTACCCCTTTCTTGGCACCACCTTGACACTACCCTCTGAGTCCACCTTCCTGAGATGGTACAAACTCTGCTTAGACAAAGCAGCCCATGTCCAAAGGTGTTAGGGCTCAGTTTAAAGCTGCCTTCAAAAGTTAAAACAGAAGTGTAAAGTTCTGTGCAATTAAAAATAATCAGCTTGTCTTGGAACTCAAACGAATGTAAAATCCTATGAAAATTAAAAAGCAGTACCACAAGTTACCCCAAAAGTCCTTAGGTCAGTAACTGTTCCTGTTACAGGTAAGAGAGAGCATGGATTAGAGGTGGGCGTGGGTATCCAGTGGACATGGTTTTGAACCATGCTCCACTACTACTCACTATCTGAGAATTCTTAAATTTATTAATCATTTCTATATTATAATTTTCTCAGTTATGAAATGGGAAAACAATACCTAAATCACATGGTTGTTAAGTAAGCAATTGATTGTTAAGCATTTGGTCATCAAAAATATTAATCCCCTTCCCTGATTCCCTAGATAAATGATGAAAATACTAAATAAAAATAATAAAAATTTAAAGTGAACATCTCAATTCTTATACTTTGTTAATTTCTACATGTATTACAAATCTACTAGAAATTACTTGGAATTGAGGAAATGATTACTGCTTAATAATTCTTTGTGGTAGAGGGAGAGTTGGTATCATATTTATGAGACAGCAGCCAATATAGTATATCTCAAAGGAAAAAATCCATTCTACATAATGCCAGAATTTAATAGTTAAGCATTTTATCTAGGTCACAGCACAATAAGCAAGATGGATAATTAAAATAAAAGTATATTTCTCTTGCATATATTTCTCATTTCATGTTTCCCTATCATATTTTATATCTTACCTTACTTCAAATACATATATACCTTCAATAAAACTGAGCCTTCTTGCTTACCCAGGAAGTTTCATCATTCAGTAGAAATAAAAGATGACTTTAGAAATATTAAAATACAAAAATCTACACTGAGGTCTTTTGAATGCAGGAAAAAGAATTATATCACACACACACGTACACGCACGCATGCATACACACACACAGAACCTCTCGTTCTTTCTTAACATCTTATCAATCCATCAGTTTCACTCCCACTCCGTATCACCTGACTGTGCACAATATCTCATTGCCACCTCCCAGTCTTCTCCCTGCCTGGCACCCTCCTGCTCTCCTGCTTCCACTTTAAACACCCTTCCTTCAGCTAGGTCTTTTCTTTCAGGGATCCTCCCGTTGCTTTCTTATCTGGATCAATTTAGCCTTCCTCTTCTCCACCCATTAGTGGATAAGCACGACAAAGACACTAGAGTCAAATAATACAAACAGAATATACCTTAGATGAGTATGGTGATGAAAAGGATATGGATACTTAGAGTTTAGCACTATTCTCTCAGCCACTCAGGAAAGCAACGCCTTTACAATCAATAGTGTTTCAGGTACCAATCAATAATCTGTTATTGCTATTTTTAAAATCTATAAGGTATCAGTAAAATGTAATTACTAGAGCAACAAAGATATCTTGTGAAATCAAATTAGTATTCATCCAGCAACTGAGTACAAAGGTTTAAGGGAGGATAACTACCAATACCAAAACATTTTAAGCATTTTGTTTTGCCTCCTAAATATCAAATCATGTAAATGTGTGGTACATAAATTAGGAATTATATTTATGACATAGCTGCAGACATATTAAGAGAAATATGTGCTTATATTTACAAGTATAGTACAGTTCTTTTTCATATTAGATACTGTTGATGATAATCTGCATATAAAAATGCTCAATATTTTTTCACATTTATAAGCCATAAAATACAGCTAATAAAATGTGTTTCTACTTTCTCATAAACATGGAATAGTGACAAACAAGGAGCTTTATATGAAAGCACCATTACAATTTAAACTCTCACAAGGTCATAATATATTGCACTAAGCAGGAGAGTTCAGCTTATTTAAAAAAAAAAATAAACTCTAATGAGGTTCTGGAATGCAGAGCCAAAGCATAAAGATGGAAATAAAAGAATTGCATGTCTTCTGAACTGACTTGGTTGATGATTTTTTTAAAAAAGGTTTTGTGTCTTCTGACTTGGTTGATGATTTTTTAAAAAAACGTTTTGTGGTAGAACAAATAAGGTAAATGAAATTCAGTATTTAGGATGAAAAGTTTTTCTAATTTCAGGAACAACATTGAAGAAATATTGAACTAAGCAGCTTTGAAAGAATCAGATTCCATTTGTTGAAATTTTTCTGAGAATGAATTTTTTTAAGACAGTGTACACAGTTGCAGTGTGTATTGGTTATGGATTGTGGCAAGCTATATTACAACTTACCCAAGAAATAAGGAGGCTGGGCGTGGTGGCTCACACCTGTAATCCCAGCACTTTGGGTGGCCGAGGCGGGCGGATCACGAGGTCAGGAGATCGAGACCATCCTGGCTAACACGGTGAAACCCCGTCTCTACTAAAAGTACAAAAAATTAGCCGGGTGTGGTGGCGGGTGCCTGTAGTCCCAGCTACTCGGGAGGCTGAGGCAGGAGAATGGCGTGAATCCGGGAGGGGGAGTTTGCAGTGAGCCGAGATTGTACCACTGCACTCCAGCCTGGGCGACAGAGCGAGACTCCGTCTCAAAAAAAAAAAAAAAAAAAAAAAAAGAAAGAAAGAAAGAAGGAAAAAAGTCACTTGAAAAGAATACTGGACTTTGTGTCCAGCTTGCATAGCTGAAAAGAATAAAAACCTGTCCACTTAAACTCATTGCAAAAAGAAGATGTCACTCCTACAAATAGCAAAGAGTCATGAAATTATTCTATCCAGAAAAGTATACATTTCATCCCTTTGGATAAATTTTAGAAGTGAACTATGAATACATACGGTGAGGATAGCCAGCTAAGAAGTCAAGAAGGATTTCTCAAATTTGCTGCTCAGAAAGATCATACTCTCCACAAAACAAATAATAGCAGGCTTTCCAAGTCAACCTTGAATCCAGCTTTCCTTTATCTTTCCTTCTTGTGAACTTTCACTAGTTTACTATCTAACAATGAATTTGACGATAGCCACATACCATCTTATAGCAATATTTGTTATCATATCCCTTGTTATTTATCATTCACCTGCTCTGCTTGAGCCAGCTACAAGTCACATGTCCCACGCACTTTTTCCTGTTTGATTTTTTACAGCACTTTGAGACATGTCTCATTATTCCTACTTGACAGGAAAGAAGCCATGGAAAGTTGAGTGACTTGCTCCTGATCACAAATGCTGGCCAAGGAAGAGTCGAGTTTCAAATCTAATGATCTTTCCACTGCACTCTAGATTCCTCATTTTGAACTATTTTTTTATTTTTTGCACTATAGACTTTTTTCCACATTTTGAACTGTTTTTTATTTTTTGCACTATAGACTTTTCTCTTATACCCAACTATATTGATGACTTCTTTTAGGCTAGAAACTTGTTTCACTTACTTTCCCTTTCTTCAGATTGCTGCAATATTGGCCAACATGTATTGGGTACTTACTGAGTCAAGTACTGTGATTGTGCCAAGTATCTTATAGGAGGATTATCATCCTCATTTTTACAGGTGAGAAAGGAAAGGAGGTAAAGTCACACACAGCCAACAAAAATGGTAGCACCAGGATTTGAAACAAATCAGTCTGACCCAAGTTGACTTTGTTAACCACTGTATGCACAGTCTTCTTAGACATAGTAAGAGCTCTAATTGTGTTTGGTGATTTGATTATTATGACAAAGTAAGTAAGGGAAGCAGGGAGAATTATAAGAAATAAGGCTCCACAACACTTGGCTATAGCAAAGCCCCTTAAAACTTCAAAAGGTCACCCAAAGAATAAAGATCAGGCTGGGAGCAGTGGCTCACGCCTGTAATCCCAGCACTTTGGGAGGCCGAGGTGGGTGGATCACCTGAGTTCAGGAGTTCGAGACCAGCCTGGACAACATGGTGAAACCCTGTCTCTACTAAAAATACAAAAATTAGCTGGATGTGGTGGTTGCCGCCTGTAATCCCAGCTACTTGGGAGGCTGAGGCAGGGAGAATCGCTTGAACCCAGGAGGTGGAGGTTGCAGTGAGCCGAGATCATGCCACTGCACTCCAGCCTGGGCAACAAGAGCAAAAAACTCTGACTCAAAAAAATAAATAAATCAATCAATAAAATAAAGATCAATTTGGAGAAATTAATGCTTATTAATAAGCAATGTCTTGCACAGCACTTCAGTTTCTCAATACATTACCTAACTCAATCCTTACAACAACACCCTATCCCCATTTTGTGGATAAATAAACTCATGTTCAGAAGGTTGAATAAATTATCTAAGGTTAATAGTTCCTGACCTAGAGCTCAAATCTTCAGTTTCTATCATATTCTTGCCCTTACCCTGGGGTAGCTAACATTCACTCACTAGTATTGGAGCTAAAATAAGGGAGAGAACATATAAATGAATACAAAGGAGACATTCACCTGCCTTCTCTTTCTCCTTACATAGAGAAGGTTGATTATCTGCTATTGTGAAGTTTGCCTTTTGAAGGATAGAAATGAGAAGACTTTCTTAAATTTTGCCTCTACGCCAAGAAATTAGAGTGGTACCACCAGTAGTTCCATTTTCAAACTATCACTGTAGCTAAAGCTATGTGGTAAGGGCCAAGGAAAAGAAGTATTCTTGCACTTCAAAATGCACTGAAATACCAGTCAGTAGCATAATATAAAGGAATTTAGTGGAGAGAAGAGTTGACCTCAATCTGGCTCCAACATCTCGGCTCTTAACCCCTACCCTACACTTGTTCTTCATGGGGAAGCTAATTGGGCCACTGGAAGATTCAGCAGCTACCATTTGCAGCTGAGGGACAGCCCCTCCCTGCTTAGCAACCAATGGATATGCATTTATGGAACACCTGCTAACTGCGACACACACTCCTATGTATGAGGGAAAATACAAAAAATGTTAAAGGAGATGCCTTCCCTTGCCCTCAGGAAACTTAAGTATAGTTGCAAAGAAATGATTAGCAGCAAACGAAACCATGGAGAAGTAAGGGCTAAGGTCTGTGAAACAAGCCTAGAAAATAACCTTGTCCTTGAAAAACACAAAAAGAAAGAAAGAAAGAAAAGAAACTCCAAGGCCCTTGTGAAGGAAACCATTAAGTTTGCTTCACTTCTGTGTTTAGGAAGACACAAACCCAGTCTTAATGAACCTCAAGGCCACAACTACTGGAGACATTTAGGAATTGTCACCACATTCTAATGTATATATCCTCTGTTTGGCCCTTCCTATTAATATTTTGTAAAATTTTTGAAGATATGAGCAATGTTTAAAACCATGAATCCCCCTTTTTTTATAAGTAATATTTAGGCTGAATAAACAAGAGAAAATAGGACATAAAGGGGAGCCAACGTGTGCCTTCATTTATAATGTATTCCCAAGTTGTGAGTTTGGTTTATCAGCAATTTATCATGCCAAATTCCAAGTCATATTTATCTATGCAGATCAAACACTTGATTCTATTTTTGCCTTAATTTTTTTATTGGGTATGTTTATGACCAAGTCATATGGTATTTTCTGTGACAGATAAAATGCACAGGTTATTCCAATCTGGCTCAGCCAGTCATAGCAACATGTAGTCCTTCTCATGTCTTAAGAATGAGTATCAAGAATTCAAAGGGAGTTCCAGATGGCATCCAAAAAGCTTACAGTTTATGCATCACTTATTCTAACAGTAGAAAAAGAATATTTGAAGCCAAAAATAGACCTTGCATGTAGCATGTGGAAGAGTAGAAATTGCCCTGATAGTTAAACAATTTGAAATTCAAGACATTAATTTCTTTATGAAGCATTTGTCACATCATAGGTAATATTTTATGCCTATCATATATATACTTATTATGAAATACAAAGAAATTATTCATTCTATCTAAGACTTTGTATCCTTTACCAATATCTCTCCATTCTCCCACCTCCACCCTAGCCCCTGGAAACCACCCTTCTACTCTCTGCTTCTATGAGTTCTTTTTTAGTGAGATCATGCAGTATTTGTCTTTCTGTTCCTGTCTTATTTCACTTGACATAATGTCCTTCAGGCTTATCCATGTTGTCACAAATGACAGAATTTCCTTCTTAAGGCTGAATAGTATTCCATTGTGTGTATGTAGCACATTTTCTTTATTAATTCATTTGTTGATGGATACTCATATTGATTCCATATCTTGGGTCTTGTGAATAATGATGCAGTGAACATAGGAGTGCAGATATCTTTTTGACATACTGATTCCACTTTGATGGGATATATACCCAGTAGTGGGACTGCTGGATCATCTAGTAGTTTTATTTTTTTTTATTTTTTATTTTTTTTATTTTGAGACAGAGCCTTGCTATGTCGCCCAGGCTGGAGTACAGTGGTGCCATCTAGGCTCACTGCAATCTCTGCCTCCTGGGTTCAAGCAATTTTCCTGCCTCAGCCTCCTGAGTAGCTGGGATTACAGGCACGCACCACCATGCCCGGCTAATTTTTGTATGTTTAGTAGAGACGGGGTTTCACCATGTCTCGAACTCCTGTCTTCAAGTGATCCGTCCACCTCAGACTCCCAAAGTGCTGCGATTACAGGTGTGAGCCACCACGCCTGGCCTAGTAGTTCTGTTTTTAATTTTTTGAGGAGCCTCCATACTGCTTTCCATAATGGCTCTAGGAATTTACATTCCACCAGCAGTGCACAAGGATTGCTTTTCTCCACATTCTGGCTAACCAGTCTCCTGTCTTTTTGAGAACAGACATTTCAACACGTGTGAGATAATATCTCATTGTGGTTTTGATTTGCATTTCCCTGATGATTAGTGATCTTGTGCCTTTTTTCATATAACTGCTGGACATTAATATGCCTTCCTTTGAGAACTGTGTATACAGGAGAAAATAATCACTTCTCAGAGGAGCTTTCATTTCAAAATATCCGGGAAAAAAATAGAAAAAATGGAAAATTTATCCTAGAGTAAGTTGTCTTTTATATTTTGACCCTGTTTGTGACATAAACTGGATGATACAAAACTGGAATGCAAAGGCTTTAGGAGGATTACTTACTTACTTGTATATTGCTTTAGGTTGTTTGCAGAAAATTATACTAATTGAAGTTCAGGCTATGATGTGATAAAATCTATGTCAGGAGATGAGTCTACATGCAAAGTTTGAGGAAGTGACATTTGAGTTTCAAAACAAAAAAGCAATTTTCAATGTCATATCTAGGTTAACCCAAAAGATTTCTTTCACCCTATTTAGCTGCCTCTAAGATGGATGCTGAGGATAATTACACTGTAGAACAATAGGACGATGCTTCACACTCACCTCACAGGCTCTGTTATTCCCACATACTGCCAGAGATACTCCAAAATAAAATCACTGCAACATCAGGCAGTTATAAACCTCAACGGTATTATTTTCTATTTATATACAGTATATTTTATATTTTACAAGTATAAAATAGAATATATTTATTCTATTCTCTTTGACACAAAGTGACCATAAGACATATTACTTAAGTATGACTAGCAAAGTCATGGGGCTTGTCATTCAGGAGGAAACTCTTAACTAACTGTTCAGTTTTTGTTCACTGCACCATTTACATAAGCCAAACTAATGCTTCACACTGTGCAAAACAATGCACAGTGTTGTGAATGAATGGCTAAAATAAAACTCTAATGAGTGGGGTTTGAAAAATGCAACTTTAGAAAACTGTTGAGAAAATGTTGCACACTGCGCATTTTACAAAATTTCGTTGAAGGACACTGGATATTCTTTTTAGGATTATGGAGGGAAGCAAAATTTTGGCTCCTACATGCAGTTTTTGTGGCCTTTGCCTGAAATAGTCATCTCCCATTAATTATTTAGATATCATTCATTTCCTAAGACAACATTTAGGGAGACTGCCTTAAGTACAATTTGTACACTACCCAGATAAGAATTCTTTTTGGTGAAACATCGATAAATATTACTTGGCAGTAACACCAAGTTAAAATATTTGTTTCACAGTCGACGTTAATAACTATTATAGATAAAGTGAATTTTATAAGACATACTCAGATCTAAAACAGCAATATGGAGCTCTTCAAATCCATTGAAACTTCATACCAGCCTACGGAAGTAGAGGTTTTTATGCAAACTCTTCAAGAAATATGCTCTGAACTTTTAATTCCTTAGATTGATAGAGGAATTAAATCATGATATAACTAATAGGTTTGTGGTACAAATTGCTGCTGCTTAATCTGACTCTGTGTCTTCCCAGTGTTCTATATGAATTAGATATTCCATTATCTAAAGACAATCAACCCCATCCCACGGTGATAGCTCTAGGACTCCCTTTGAGTTCATTAAATCTGTATTCTCAGTCTCCAAACTTCTGGTTAATTCAAACAGAAAAGTCAACTGGCCCATGAACTAAAATAAAGTCATCTGAATTTTTTTTTTATTTTGCAGTGTGATAAAAGTCTCGCACTTTTTATTTCTGAAAGTTTCTGCTTTCACTGAGAGCATAATAGGCTATCCACCCTTATGCAATCTTACATACAAAGTCATAGTCAGGCTAAATTCAAAAACACATGTGAGATAGAAGTCAACGTTTATTTTCTGGAGAAAAGCCACACATTACAACAAAGTGAACAATGAAGCTGGCATCCTTATCACTGGTGACCAAAACATTTGTGACTCTGGACATTGGCCCCACAAATGCGATAAACATTCTGCATAGGAAGTGAGTTTTGCTAATTAAAAATGGATCCAAAATACTTTCTACTCTTCAGCCAAGAATTAAAAAGTAATAGGGAGGAATTGAAATCACTTGGGTGCTACATTGAGCCATTCTGGAGAAGCAATTCAGAGAATGTCATGGCAGCCTCAAATTGCTGCTCAGGAGCATCCCAGCTTAGAAGATTGCAGGAAAGGAAGAGCAAAGTCATTCTTACATGAGAACTGTCCTTAACCAGATGAATAGACTCTCCATTTTTTACCCTGGCTTTGTCTCATTTAAGTCCCAACCAATCTAGCTATCATTTTAGGTTTTACTACCTGCTAGTATTTAGGAGCTTAGGGGGATAAAAAAATCCCTCAATACTCAGAATTAGACTTGGTGATAAAAATCTTGACACATAAACAGAATAAAGCGCTTTCATTACTCCTCTAAACCACAGTGTCATTTGGTCTCTATCAAGGACTGTAAGAATTTCTTTCATCAGGGGAAAGAAAAAAAGGACAAGAGCCTGCAAGATGTAGCGGAACTCTCATTAAACACAGCAGGAGCTTTAACTGGAATCCAGAGTAAGGTGAGGTACCAGGTTACAACAATTTACTGCTTTTATTACAATTTTGATCACAAGGACTGATTCATGTCATCTAGTTTCTTTTCCTTGTCACTATCACTGGTGCTAAGAATACATCAAATTGAAATTTAAGAGCCTCATATGTTTCTGTATAACCCAGTGATGGGTTGTACTGCTTTGACCTTCTTAAATGTCCCTTTATTTCATTTGATATCCATTCCCATAGAAAAACTATAATGCTTTGGTTGGTCAAAATATTAATCTTTCAAAACCTCCCTGGCTTAGAAAACCAAATTTTTGTAGAGAGAGATGGGTAGAATCTAATTTTATTCTAAAGCAATTAGCATTACATCATCACAGCAGAAATATCTAGAATATTACCTCATGTCAGTGATCTTCTGATATGTTAAAAAGGGTATTTTAAAATCTGAGTTATTTCTTTTTCTTTTTAAAGTTACATCATTAATTACATACTCATCAACCAAAATATTTTATGCTCCAAATTTGAACCGATATAGTATGTAAGAAGTGTTCAAAATGAAATTATTTTGGTCTATTTTGTCTTTGAAGAAGATCACAGGGATGGACCTCCCAAAAGGATTTTTAAATGGGATTACATATCTGACTTTTAAAAAAAATTATCTGACCTTGAGTTATAGTGCCCCAAAGTAAGCAAAGTTCCAAACACACAGTATCATCAGAATTGAGTTAAAATTATCACCAGGGGCTTAATTTCTGAAATTAAAAAGGAAATGTTATTTCCTTATGAAAAGAAAAGGAACCAAAAATGAACTTCAAGGTAGCTGATTTCTGTCTATGTTAAGACTTAGGTAATGGGAGAAAGGGAAAAGGAAGGACAGAATTAGGAGAGGAGCAGTGTTTAACAATTGCGGGTGCAAGACTCAAGTTTTTTAGAATCCATTAGCAGAGAACCCTATTTCTCCCATTAACTGCTGTCCTTTTAAATCCTGGCACCAGCTCTGAGGACTGCAGGGTCCATAGCTAGTGCCCCACTCTACCCAGTTTAAAGACACCACTGCCTGGAAATGACAGGGGTTTTTTTCTTAAGGAAAGAGGTGCTTTCTGCCACGTATATATAAATTGGTAAGCTTCAAATAAAGTGCTTTTGTCCTTTCTGTCTATCAGAAACTGTGCAAATCGAATTGCTGTAAAACCAAGGGCAAGAGACATCAATCCTGCATTCTATAGCATCTGATTTTATCCTTTATCCCCAGGCACATTTCAAAAGGAAAAAAATGAGGTTGCATTTAAATTGAGTATTTGGGACTTGCCAGGAAAACCTCCCGCTAGACTAATATGATTGCAGGGAAAACAAGAGAAAGGAAAAGTGGAGAGGGAGTGTGCTAACAGATCCTGGGCCTCGTCAGCAGAGCCGTCCTGAGCACAAGGCCATGGTCAGACATCTGGTCCCGCGAATGACGTTTTCTTTATGGTCATTAAGAACACCAGTGTGTCGGGACACAAACAAGTATTCCTTTCAGGGATTATGACACATTTTCTCCCAAAGTAGTATATTAATGACATTTCCAGAGCATTCTTTACTATCTTTTATATGTGATCAGGAAGACTAATACATATCACTACTTCTTTTACACACAGCATTAGCCAAAACTAAAGTGTCAAATACAATTTTGCCTAGGATGAATAAACAGAAGAAATTTTTATGATACTGCACTATCAATTCCAAATTAAATAACAACAAAATGATAAGTGTTAAAATTCATATTAATGATTGTTCCCACACAAGCCGGAAAAAATCTTTCTAAGAAGTCTTTCATGAGTTAATCCCATCTTTCAAAGTGTTCAGTGGCTCCGAATTCAGTTACTGTTTCCTATCAGTTCTTCTTTCATTAAGTCTCTTCCCTTTTTTTTCTCTTTGCACTATTTCCCTTAGCCGGGTACATAATCTGCTGTGCTTTATTCATTTGTGTCTTAAGTTTGTTTCCCGATGACATACCTTTCCAGCAACGCCATCTGGGGAGTTTGGGCAACTGTACCACGTTAGGAGGAAACCCTTCTTCACAGGAGAGTGTGCCTTTGCTGCAGGGAAGGAATTAGGATTTGCTTGGACTGTGGTTGCAGCTGGCTTTTAAGGATCTCCTTAGAATGCAAGCAACTCATCAATGAGAATCTCTGCAATGGTTGTCACTGGGTAGAGTCATGCTATGTGGGGTCATAGCCTTTGAAACAAATAACAGTAAAGATAAAAATGCTATTAAAGGAATCACCACCCACAGAGGTTAACTGGGTTTTGTCCCCAGACCACCTCGAACAAGAAAGAACATTTTTATCAGTCATTTTCTTAGTTTTAGCTGATAAAACAAAGTACCATAGACTAGGTGGCTTATAAACAACAGAAATTTATTTTTCACAGCTTTGGAAACTGGAAGTCTGAGATCAGGCCGCCAGAATGATCAGATTCTAGTTAGGGCCTACTTTGCTTTTGCAGACTGCCAACTTCTAGCTGCATTTTCATGTGGCAAAAGGAGATTGAGCTAGCTCTCTGGTCTCTTCTTATAAGGACACTAATCCCATTCATGAAGGCTTCACCTTCATCATCTAATTACTCTCCAAAGACCCCACCTCCAAATACTATCACATTGGGAATTAGATTTCAAATACAAATTTTGCGGGGACACAAATATTCAGTCCATAATAGTAATGATTACTCATTATACATAGGGCTCTAAATGTGCTAGCTTCTGATAGTTTTTACACTCACTTCTCTTTATTAGCTTGTCAAGCATAATTAGGGCAGTGGCCTTACTGAAAATTATTGAATTTAGTTTCCTAAGGACAGATATTGAGGAGTTTTTTCTTCACTAAAAATTCACGTTCCGATACAGCTTTCATCTGTTACTACTTTGTGAGATGGAAAATCTTTTATTTTATTTTTATGTTTGGATTGACCCTTCTTAATAAAGTCGGCATGTAATATGCTTCATGTGTTTCTAATATGTGCTTAATTTTGCAAAATGTTTTGCATACCAGAATGCATTTCTCTTCCAAAAAAGGTACCAGCCTACAAAACCTTGCTGTTACTGTTTTCAATTAGTTCATGGAATTAAATGTATTAAATGTTTTATGCTCTGGCAGAAATTATGATTCTCACTTAACTCCATATAAATCTGGATCTGCCTGGGCCTTTATAAGTGACACAATTTCATTAACTGAATAAACAAATGATACAAAGAAATTTGGTTTAGCCTTCTAAAATTCCAAAGGCGTTCAACAAAATATCTCAGAATGGATGTTCCAGGACTTTTATGGCACAGGACAACATGTATTGCTTATTTTAAGAAAATAAGCTAAATAGTGAGGGGATTCTTTTAGCAGATCCTCAGGATGTGTTAGGTTGAATCATAGGCAAATGATATTTGATCATTGCACCTGTTAACACATTGAACCTCATCCTAAAATTGTAGAGCTAGAAGAAAGCCTTCTGGCAGTTTTTAAATAGATTGATTTACTGCAATTTATCCAGAAGCTTCACCGTTGTCACTGGCTACATGTGACTTTGGCCTCTGTGGGGCTATATCCTCATTTGTAAAATTGGTGGTGAGGTAGGTGGACAGTTGACTAAATAATCTCTTAGAATAATTCTAGTATCTGTGGATCTAAAGCATCCAGGGGTTGAATATGTTTCTTTCTGGCCAAGAAAAGATGCACCTGTCAATAATGCCCAAACTCATCTTCTGAGAATCCTCTTTCCCAAGATACCCACTCTCCCTTGGGTTATATTATAGTAATGATCAGAAGCCCCTGCCAAGAAGAAACTGTTAACCTGGGAGGTCTATATTTTATTTCACAGCCATCTGTTTATACTTTCTCACAAGTTAGTGCACAGTATACCCATCATTTTCTACCATTTTCCTTAATTTATTAATTTTACTAATTGCATAATTAACAAAAGTAAGAAGATTTTACCTCCTTATCCCCATCTGGTAGTTTGCAGATACTTGGCCTGATGACAACTGACAGTGATGAGATACTCACCAAGTTTACCAGGGCAGGAGGCTTCCTAGAGAAAAAATGAGAAAATGAAATGGGGAAGGGGAGTGAAGGATTGAGGAGGTGACAATCTGGACTCTTGCAACTGCATGGCAAGGTTGGCACACAAGCTGGGTTGCAACGGAGGGAAGGAGATCCTTATCAGATGTAATCAGAGCTCAGATCGAGGGCTTTGGTGTGTGTAGAAAGAGGGAGAGACAAAGAACTTAAAACAGAGCTGCCATTTGACCTTGCAATCCCATTACTTGGTGTATACCCAAAGGAGAATAAATCATTCTATTAAAAAGACACATGTGCTTGTATGTTCATGGCAGCACTATTCACAATAGCTAAGACATGGAATCAAACTAGGTGTCCATCTATGGCAGATTGGATAAAGAAAATGGGGTAAATATAAAGCATGCAATACAACATGGCCATAAGAAAAAATGAAATCATGTCCTTTGCTGCAACATGGATGCAGTTGGGACCCATAATCCTAAGTGAATTAACACAGGAACAGAAAACCAAATACAGCATGTTCTCACTTATAAGTGGGAGCTAAACACTGAGCACACATGGACATAAATATGAGAACAATAAACACTGTGGACTACTAGAGGGGGGAAGGAGAGAGGTTTGTAAAACTACCTATCAGGTGCTATGCTCAATACCTGGGTGATGGGATTTACACCCCAAACATCAGCATCATTTAATATTCCCATGTAAAAAGACTGCACATATACCCCTTGTATCTAAAATAAAACTTGAAATTAAAAAAAAAAGAAAGAAAGAAAGAGGCTGGAAATAGAGGCTCACACCTGTAATCCCAGCACTTTGGGTGGCCAAGGTGGGTGGATTGCTTGAGCCCGGGAATTCAAGACCAGCCTGAGAAACCTGGTGAAACTCTGTCTGTACAAAAAATACAAAAATTATCCAGGCATGGTGGAGCGCACCTGTAGTCCCAGCTAATGGGGAGGCTGAGGGGGGAACATCACTTGAGCCCAGGAGGTGGAGGTTGCAGTGAGCTGGGATCACACCACTGCACTACAGCCTGGGTAACAGAGCAACTCTGTCTCAAAGAGAGAGAGGAAAGAAAAAAGAAAAGATGGACAGATAAGAAAATGCACTTGGAGATTAAGAGAAAGCAGCAACATAGGACCCTGGATAATGTGTTTGCTTAATAACTATCCTGATGAGTTATCTGACTATTCCCAAATGAGTACGTGGCAATTCAGGCTGAACCATCAGAGTAGCCCTCCGGAATCTTACTTATGTACAATAGACCTGCATGCACATTTACTAGAATGAGCCTCTCTCTCTGGTAATCATGTCTGCTTCCACTAATTCCATCTGTTTCCTCTCTCTCCCTCCTATCCTGCTAGATCTTAATTCCTTCGACCTTCCTTTGTTTTTCTAACTCCCTTTCTTTCTCTTGTTATTTAACCTGCTATACTATGCAATTGATCTCCTCTGCACTAAGGAACATGCACTTCAGAATTCTGTTGACATCTTGCATTCCTTTATATTTAGTGAAAGAATGCAAAGGAGTCTACCTGGCAATATTCACTCTGCAGGAGGCAATAATTATTATTCAAATTAAAGGAAGCAGTAAAGAGAAATTCAGAAAAAATGAAATATACTAATCTTCAGCTTTTCATTTCAGCCTACAAGGAAAAAATGAAGGAGCTGTCCATGCTGTCACTGATCTGCTCTTGCTTTTACCCGGAACCTCGCAACATCAACATCTATACTTACGATGGTGAGTAACCTAGGATAGACATACCCCTGCTAGCTAGATCATTTGGAAAGGTTGACATATATTTGTTTCTTACAGCTCCTGATATAATTACATCAATATTTTGTAGCTCTCACTATTGACTTGCCGTGTCTAGCTATTATGTCCAATTG
This sequence comes from Homo sapiens, assembly GCF_000001405.40. NCBI lineage: Eukaryota > Metazoa > Chordata > Mammalia > Primates > Hominidae > Homo > Homo sapiens. Next base: position 79,637,047 of record NC_000008.11, read on the forward strand.
ATTACCTATTGCTGAAAACAGTTTGAATTTGGTGCTAATAACAACACATCAATGTCTGTTAAGAAATGTGGATGGATTCTTATTAACAGCCACATCCAGCATATCAACATCCACAATATGTCTAAGGTCTTTCTTTGCAAATAATTTAATAGGCTAAGCCATAATTGGAGTAGATCATAATTTGTAAGAAAATGCTTTATACTTAGAAAACTCAAGAGAAAGAATCAACAACCATAATTGTTTTTGCTTTATTGTAGTCTTTATAAAGTTTCTATACTTTGTATATACATGTCAACCAGCTAATGATAATAATAATTGGCTCAATAAATAAAACTGACTTACGACTGAGGCCCTAGATAAAGAGGGTCTGAAAAGAAAAGCCTAAAGAATTAGCATGGCAATTAACATGATTGAGGTGCAACTCTTTAGGTTTGATTTATCCTGATTCATTTTGCTTACTTTGGCTCTGCCACAATCCACATGATCTTGGTCAAATAGATACTTGGATTCTCTAAGTCTCATTTAACTCTAGCATCTTCCTCTTGGAGTTGTTGTGAGGTTTAAACGGTTTAATGTAAGTCAAATATGCAAAACCAAGCCTAGCTCATTATATCACTCTACAATGATAGCTATCATTATCAACATCATCCTTACCTAATTCAGTCAATTTAACTAAAATATTTTATACAGTTCTATGTATCCTAGATATCCCTAAGGCATATTTTACTAACTCTCAGGCTCACAAATATTTTTCTTTTCCATATATGTAAAGAAAGACATTAATGACAAAACAAACTGACCTTGTGGCAGTTAACCCCTTCTGCACCTTTAAAGCCTATTCAAGGACTCAAAGGCATTTACCTTCCAAAGTTATTCTATCGTAGCACAAAAATCATAAATGCTAATTAACTGTTCCATAAGGAAATGTCCTCCATGTGAAAGGAATTCTGTCTCCAAACAAAACATTCATTAGAATGCAGGGCCAATGCCTACTTTGTACAAATTCATTCGGTCAGCAAATAAATTAGACAGACCTTTATTATTTGCTAGATGTAGCTGTGAAGAAGGATCCAGCTATGTTTCTTATGAGACTAATGTCGAACTATGGGTTGTCACTGAGGATCCAGAGTTCCATAGGGCGTAGTCCTCACCTTCAAAGAATTCAGGGCTTAGTAGAAGAGTCTTACACAAATGACTAGAATGTAGAACACAGAGTGGTTAGGACAAAGGAGCCAGGGATGGTTTTTGCTGGGTTAGGGAATGAAAAAAGGGGAAGAAAATATGTGAAGTTATGTGTGAGCTGATTCTTGAAATAAGCTGTTTTTATTTGCCTGCGTTCTCTTATAATCCTTTTCCATAGGCTTCCATAATTTTTATTGAGCTGTATTTAAAGTTGAATAGATAATTCAACATTTCTCGTAAACTGTGCTTCCTAAAAGAGTCCGTAGAGAATTTCAAATTTCTGCAGTCTTTAACTTGACCTGGTATTTCTATGTTAGATAATAACGTGACTTGTTTATTGCAGGCAAACATTATAACAATAAATTATTATTATTGTTTACATTTGTAAGCACTAAGTATATGGCTTGTGCTTTGCATTCAGCATCCTTTATCATTTAATCTTCACAACCACCTTAGAAGGAAGGTACTCTTTTTATTTCCATCTTTTAAATGAGGAAATAAAAGCATAAAGAAGTTAATTAACTTACCTAGTGTCACACAGCTATTAAGAGGGGCTTACTATTTGGATGCAAATATAGGCAGTTCTAATTCCAGAGCCTCTAATCTAAGGCATTTAAAACCCCATCACCTTATCAAATAAGCTGTTTTTATTTGCCCGTGTTCTCTTATAATCCTTATCCATAGGTTTCCATAATTTTTATAAAATTGTATTTAAAATTTAAGTATAATCTTGGATGCCATCAGGAAAATGAAAAACATTTTTACATTTGTGAAGGAAAAAGCCCACATCATTTCCAATATAGTTATTGAGTTAGTATTATCTAGACTATCTATTAGCAGCTAAGGATCTGAGGTCAAGGCCTGCCAGCCTGGCATTTTACTTGACCACAACCTCCATGTGCACTAACCAGGCTGCTAAAAGAACATTAACGGGAACATAACCTGCTGGCTTGGTTGCCACAATTTTAAAAAGACGTTAATAAATTAGAGAGCACTTAGAGGTTAGGAAATAATATGGTGGTAAAGATCTAGAAACAGTGTCATTCTGGGGCACTTGAAGATGTTTAGCCTGGGGGAACAACTTGAAATGGAACATAACTGTTTTCAAATACTTGAAAAATGGTGGTGCACCACAGAGAATGGCCTAATCATGGGTAGCTTCAGACTTCAAACAAGGATCAGTGGGCTAAAACCAGAGAGATGGAGTTTGGGACTCAAAGAATGCTCATCTGAAATTGAGGGCTGACCAGCGAGGTTCTTTTAAAAATCATTGCATTTTACTAAATTGTGAGTTCTGTAATTATAAATGTCCTAGCAGGTGCTAGCTGTCATCTTTTCTATTATAAATTATACTATTTTATGTTATAATTTGTATTATACAGGCTTAAAACATAAGGGTCTGATAATCTGCTTATCTTTAATACATAAGCCACTGATAGAAAATAAGTGGCTAACCATTCTTCAGTTCTTTTTTTAATTGACAAAAATTGTATATGTTTGCGGTGTATGGCATATTTTGAAATATGTATACATTAGAGAATGGCTAAGTGAAGCAAATTCACATATGCATTACCTCACACACCTGTCATTTATTTGTGATGAGAACAAAAAATCTACTCTTTCAGTGATTTTCAAGAATACAGTACATTGTTATTAACAATAGTCAGCATGGTGTACAATAAGTCTTCTGCGGCCGGGCGTGGTGGCTCACGCCTATAATCCCAGCACTTTGGGAGGCCAAGGCTGGCAGATCACGAGGTCAGGAGTTCGAGACCAGCCTGACCAACATGCTGAAACCTTGCCTCTACTAAAAATAGAAAAATTAGCTGAGTGTGGTGGTAAGCGCCTGTAGTCCCAGCTACTCAGGAGGCTGAGGCAGGAGAATTGCTTGAACCTGGGAGGCGGAGGTTGCAGTGAGTCGAGATAGTGCCACTGCACTCCAGCCTGGCAAAAGAGGGAAACTCCGTCTCAATAATAAGTCTCTTGCATTTGTTCTTCCTGTTTAACTGAAATTATGTATTCTTTGATCAACATCTCCCCAGTCTCCACCCCTAACCCCTGGTAACCACAATTCTACTCTGCTTCCGTGAGTTCAACTTTATGAATAGTCCACATGTAAGTGAGATCATGTGGTATTTGTCTTTCTGTGCCTAGCTTATTTCACTTAGCATAGTGTCCTCCAGGTTCACCCATGTTGTCAAAAATGACAGGATTTCCCCCAACTTTTTTAAGGCTGAACAGTATTCCATGTGTATGTGTATAAATTAGATTAGTAGATGTTGCCACTCCCTCCTCCACCACAGTGGCTCTATCCCTGGCTCCTGGCTCCAGCCGAGTACACTAGAGGAGGATATTCTAAACAGCAACAACACAGGAGCAAAGACATTACAATGGGGTGTTGTCTTATTGCCCCCATTAGACTGTAAGCATCTTGAAGACAAGGACCCCCATCACAGAGTGATGTTGTCATCCCTGGAGTGGGCACTGTGCATGATTGATGACTGGAAGCAATGAACATACAGAAGGGCAAAACAGAAATCAGCAGGATGCTTTGCATTTCAGCATTGACTTTGCCAAATATGCCCAACTGTTCAGGGAGTTACATTGGTTCTAACGAAGCTCCTGTGATTCCTAAGCACAGGAATGGTGATAATATATATAATGGTGCATGCATATATACGCATATCTAGATAATGATATCTCATTATATGTGAGAACTGAAGAACTCCGTTATGTTTCTCGTCTAACCAAAAAGGGCCTACAGCTACGATAATTTCCAAACAAATAAATCTGTGCTACTTGATTTTCATGCAAAGCTCATATTTGTTCAAAAGGAAAATAAAGCTTAATTTAAAATCAATTTAGGCTATTTTTATCTAAGTATGCTTACCGTTATTCAACTCCCTGCAGATATTGTCAAATTTCTCAATATGGTAAATATTTATTCTGTTAAAATATATCCATAGTTACACTAAAGACAGAGAGGTCTTATATGTTCTAAACAACATAGAGCAAATGCTCATAAACAGCATTTTATTCCTATCTCCCGGAATAACAACGCTACTTCCAATTGCTGGAATCTAAATTATTAAAATAAACCCATGCTGCAAGCTTTGTATGCTTAACATTCTCAAATGTTCACTTTTCAGATATGGAAGTGAAGCAAATCAACAAACGTGCCTCTGGCCAGGCTTTTGAGCTGATCTTGAAGCCACCATCTCCTATCTCAGAAGCCCCACGAACTTTAGCTTCTCCAAAGAAGAAAGACCTGTCCCTGGAGGAGATCCAGAAGAAACTGGAGGCTGCAGAGGAAAGAAGAAAGGTAACTTTTTCCATAGGTTTTCCTTCTCTCTCTCCCTCCCCTGCTCCTCCCTCTCACACACTCGGGCACACATGCACGCACACACACACACACACACACACACACACACACACACACACACATACAGAGAGCAATGACAGCTGAACCTGTGCCATGCCAACATGTATAGGTTTTCAGTAGACACAGAGCCAGGCTAGTTGGGGTAAAAACTGTAAGATAGATGCTAATTTTAGGCTAGCCAAACCAGAGCTCTCAGAAATCCAAAGAGCTTCAGTGCTCTAGTGCCCCTTCCCGTATATTGAATCCCCTTATTATAAAAGCCTCCCTTCCCTAGACCATCAGGCAGAAGCACTGTAGAGAAAACACAGCCCTGGCGAACTCCAGTGGTGGGGAGGGGAAGAAGTGCTGCTTCCTCCCTCTCAGGATCTGTGTCACCCCCTTTGTCAGGCGTGGTTTTCCTTGGAATTACAAATTACCAGATCTTCCCTCCAAGATCTTTCCTGCCCAGGGTAAGGGCCAAGAGCTTGCCCCTTTCCTCTTCAGAGTCCCACTGCCTGCCCTGGAAGTTGGTCCTTCCAAGATCAGGACCTTCTCTGAGTTCTTTGAATATGTTCTTTATCTTTTTCTAAGACTTGATGGGGATTTTTCTCTTTTTGCCATTGGTCCCTGCTTATATTAAAGAGCTTTCCTTTTGCCAAATCTTTACTTTTCCATAATCACATGGCTAAGAAGAGCCAAGGGTATTATTTGAGAACACTTAGAAATCCTAGGGACTGTGTACACAAACAGAAGTTGTTTGAATGTGTCTGTTCCAACCATGTGGTTATGGTAGTTAATCCCATCAAGGTACTCACGATCATCCAAAAATGGAATTCTTTTATGTAATTCATCCCCACATTGTATTTCCCAATATTTTTTATGATATAATTTTAGAATCAGGTAATCACTAAGAACATGTTCCCTGCACAGTTTTATGATGTTTTCTCTAAAAAGTCAGCCAAAACTTTGGACACTTCTATGTTGGATAATTAAAAACAGAATGAAGATAATCCTCCTCCTAAAGATTGAATTCTCCAAGAGAGAATGCAGGACAAACACAGATGTGCTGTGTATAGTATATGTGCATATATACATGCATATATGTACACAAATATGTGTATTATCAAATAATGAGGCTCAAACATTAGAAATCCTTAGATTAAATTTTCTAAACAAGAAAACACTAATCTTTGTAGTTGAAAAAAAATCCTCCTATGATATGTAATATGCTGATCTCAATTTTCACCTAAGAGTGATGTTCTCCAAATGTCCGATGAGCATGTCATATATATATATATGAATTTTTATATATATAATTACAATGGTAATTGGTATATAGAGATATCTATATTATAGATATATATAGCTATCTCTATATATTACATATACCAATTATAGATATAAATATAACAATGGTAACTGGTGTATATGTGATGTGTATATATGTATATGTATACCATAATTATATATTAATATTGTATATATGCCATAATTATATATTAATATTGGTATATATACACCATGATTATATATTAATATTGGTGTGTGTATGTGTGTGTGTATATATATATATATATATAAAATACTAGTTATCATTGTTCTAGATTTAAAAAACAGGAACCTGAGCTACTAACTCGACTATATATATATATATATATACAGGAAGTTGCTTTAAAACATTTTTATCAGCTTTTTTATTGTTATTTTTAGCTTTATTCTCATAGTAAAGCTAAAATAAATTATTCAACATTATCAAAACTTTGCTGCCAGCAGATGTAAGCAATACCTAAAACAGTGGAGAGCATGTTGCACCCAAAGCAGTTTAAGCTCTGACCCAAGCACTGGCATCTTATAGGCACTGGGTAGAGATAAGAGTCATAGGTCGACATATATTGAGATGCTATGACTTGATTAGAATATGGAGTCAGTGACTGAGGTGAAATTAAAACTCAAACCACAATTCAACATCCTGATTTAGGATGTTGCTGGTGTTTCTAGGTACTACACTTAATTTGAAAGAAATTATTGAGGATAAAAAAAGAACTGGGATCAACAAAATTAACTAGGTGTTCTTATAAGAGTCCCTGAGGTTACTAATTAATGAAACTGATAAAGCTCCTGCACCCTGACAGCAAGAAATTATCAATGATTATACATTTAAACAATTGAATTGAACTAGAAACTGGCCACATGGTTAAAAGACATTTACAAATGTAATCATCCAGTGTTATGATGCCCAGAAAAAAAAAATTCCTTAGAATGCTTTAAAAGCCGTATTCCATCACCTTTCCAGTTATTTGTTAAACATTTTGTAATGCAAAAATAACCATATAGATTATGCCCTAGTGGTCGGGTTTTATTTTTAGTTTTTTATGGTTTTTTTTTGTTAATGGTAGAGTTTTAATTAAAAGAAAATACAACTAATTAGCAGAAAGTGCCAACTTTAAAAAATCACTAATTGATTTTATTCTATTGGGTTATACTGACTTAATTAGCACTAATTTAAAGAACTATTAATTATCTTTAAAGAGTCTTTAGCAAGTGCATATATCTCAGTAATTATGTTAGTAAGGACATGCCTATAACCAAAACCCAACTCAACTAGTTAAAACAAAAAGCAAATATGTGACTAAAAAGTCTAGGAGTGGCTACAGCATCAGGAACAGCTGGATCCAGGGATCACAGTATTATCAGAAAACTTTCTTTCAGTGCCTGTCATCTCTTCCTGCATTTAACTGGTTTCATTATCAAGAAAGTTTAATTTCAATAGTCAGTTCCAAATTATTTTTCTCACAACTTAGCAACTCCAGCAGAAACAGAGCTTCTTTTTCCCAATAGTTTAACAAAAGTCCCGAAATTGAGTCTCAATGGCCTGGCCTGGATCACAGGCCCAACCCAGAACCAATCATTATGGCCAAGAGGATGTAGTAGTTTGATATGCTAGCCTGAATCACATGCCCACCACTGACCTGCAAAGGATTTTAGGTAAGATCCCTGGGGTAAGAATTGTGGAGGGGTAGTTCCCCAGAAGAAAATCGAGGTGTTCTCACAAGAGGAAGGGGTAATGGATCTTAAATAAACAAAACTATAGATGTCCACATTTTCTATCTATAAATGTTTAGTGTTACTATAACAATTAGAATAATTATTTAGTTCATACACTATTCAATTTGTATCTCCCTTCTGTTGCCCTGTTGCCGTTATTTTCTTACAGATAGAATGAAAAATATTAATCTAGGCAGCTCTGTGAAACAGTACTGTCCAAGGAATATAACGTGAGCCAGGCCGGGTGTGGTGGCTCATGGCTATAATCCCAGCACTTTGGGACGCCGAGGCAGGTGGATCACCTGAGATCAGGAGTTCAAGACCAGCCTGGCCAACATGGCAAAACCCCATCTCTACTAAAAATACAAAAATTCGCAGGGCATAGTGGCGAGTGCCTGTAATCCCAGCTACTGGGGAGGCTGAGGCAGAAGAATTGCTTGAACCCAGGAGGTGGAGGTTGCAGTGAACCAAGATGGTACCATTGCACTCCAGCCTGGATGACAGAGCAAGACTCCATCTCAAAAAAAAAAAAGAAAGAAATGTAATGGGAGCCATATGTGTATTTTTAAATGTTCTAGAAGCCACATTTTTTAAAATAAAAGAAATATGAAATGAATTTTAGTAAAATATTCTTCACCCAATATATTCAAAACATTATTTCAATATGCATGTAATCAATATAGAAGTATTAATGAGCTGTTTCACATTATTTTATTCATACTAAGTGTTTGAAATCCAGTGTGTATTTTACGTTTACAACTCATTTCAATTCATGTTAGACATATTCCTAGTGCCTAGTAGCCAAAGGCAGCCAGTAGCACAGATACGGATATTAAAACAGAAAACACCTAGTGAATAATGGGGAAATTTTAGGCCTAAGTTTTTAAAATCCATACCAGATAATTATTCAGATTCAAATTTACTTTGTTTTTTCATATATATTCTTTAAAAATTACATTAATATGGGAACTCAGAAAGTTCAAAAGAAATTTCCATTCTATGGTTTTAGTCTTTACATTGTCAGAACTAATGCAAGTGTGAAGTTTAGGATGTACTGTAAGTAATAGGATCTTCTAAATCTCATGCCTTCTTCAGCTACCTACTCTGTTTCTATTTCAGTTCCTCACTGTGGGGAGGGGACTTCTCTGAACCTAGGTTTCATCTCTCACTCTCGTTCATGGTAAACAGGTTTTCCTTTGTGGCACCTAGCACAATTAGTAAGTAATTAGTATTTACTGGCATATTAGTATATATATGCATATGTATTTATTTAACCCTATGTCTTCTACTAGATTATAAACTCCATGAAGATAGAACTTGTCTTTTGTTTAATAGTGCTTGGCAATAGTTATTACTGTAAACATTTTTTTTCTTTCTTATTCAACTCCTGTTAGTCATTGCCTGAGTACTACAAATGTTTTTAAGTAAATTAATAAATAATAACTTTCAGGGCCAAATGTGAAAGCGGCAATATATAGCTTGTTTTGATTTTTTATTCCACCCTCCCATCCTAAAACAATTATAGTCACTAAGTTTCCAAATGACATCTGAAATTGCACTAAGGAAATCCTAGTCTGGGCAAAATCACTCAGTCAACAGATATTTATCAAGCACTTACTATTTGGCAGGCCCTGTTCTAGACACAGGGGATACTCATCAAACTTACATTCCAGTGGGGGAGAAAGAGCTAATAAATACATACACAGCATATTAGATGATGCAAAATTAGCAGGACAAAGAGAACTGGGGGTGTGGGGGTGAAAGAAGCTAATATTATATGTTATTATTACTATATATAATAATATAATTATTGGATAGTCAAAAAAAAACCTCTTGAATAAGACATTTGAAAAGAAGCACAAAGGTAGCAAGGGAGTAGGGCGGGCAGCTCTTCTCTGGGACCTGAACATTCAAAATGATGAGAGCAGCAGGTGCGGAGGCCCTGAAATAGGAATGTATGAGGTGTGTTTGAGAAATAACATGGAGGCCAGCGTGGCTGAAGCTGAGAGCAGGGGGAGAGTGGTAGCAACTGAAGTCAGAGGTCACAATTAAGGACTTTGACTTCACATGAAATGGGAGATCATGAAGGATAATAAAGCCATTTCACTACTTTATGTGAATCACAGCATCTTTTTAAAGAAGTATCCTTTTTTAAAGGGGGAGATGACTAGAAAAATAAATAGTGTTAGATAAATAGAGAAAACAGGAAAACATTCTAGACTAAGACAGTGATTCCAGAACTAAGGATCCACAGAGGCGAGAATGCAGAAAGTGTAGGTTTCAGAGCAGTGGGTAGACTAAGGGTTTGGACTAGTGGATTTGGATAGGGAGTTGGAGAGTAGCGAGGTGGGATTAGGGAGGGCTGTGAATGCCAGGTTAGTGTGCAAACTCCATTATATAAGCAGTAAGGAGTCACTACAGACTTTTCAAAAATACATACATGTTCCACCTGGCCCACGGGTTAGCAACATTTTCGTTGCCCTGGACCCATTTCCTTCCCAATAAGTTACAGGTTTGTGAAGATTCTACCTAGCAAACATATTACTTTTAAATAACTATTAATAAATTATCTTACCATGATTATAATCAAAGGAATCTGTAATTGCTAATTATTTCTGATTATTAAAAGATAAGCAGTATTGCACTAAATTGACATAATTCTAACTCAAAGTAAATATACAGATAGACATGGCTATAGATGTGAAATATGATTTCTGTTAGGGCTTTTTAAATTTAAAAAAACTTACGAGTTCTCCTCCCTCCCCCTACCCTTAATACCTTGAAGGCCTCTTTGTGGGACTTCAGGGACCCCTTCAGGGAACTATGACCTAGGCTGTATTTGGGGGGCTTTCTGGGTTTATAGCTGGAAGGCTGCCACAGAGGCATCGCCACTTGGGCTCAGATTCACTTTGTGTTCAATGTTTTGGCAATGTCCCCACCTCCCCATTCCATCTGTTGACACTATTGCAGCACTGACCATCTGGTTACTAGGTTGGAGGATACTCCCTCGGGCTCCTTTGAACCAGAATTAGTGCTCCAGTGATTAGATAATAGAAGAAGCTTGTCATAAAAAGAATAAGCCCTTTCCCTGCTTTTTCTCCATTCTTTGATTATCGCTGGTAGTCAGTGATGATCATCTCTATGAGTCTATATCAATCTCATCAGGTCAGTTTGAACCTCATCTCTTGAAATCAAAGTTTCCATAATGCAACTGACCCACAAGGGTGAAATGACATGAATGCTTTAACCATCCATTTATCATTTATTCATTCATTCAACCAACATGTATTTAGCAAGAGGCAGCAGAGTTAGCATAACTATACATCCCAGTTGGCCCAGGACAACTCCAGCTAACTCTCGTTGTTTTGATACCATTATTAATTATTTCTCTTTACTCTCATAAGTGTTCCACTTTGGACAATCAATTACATGAGCATCCTTAGCAGGGCACAGTGTTTAAGGGCATCTTTAAAATATTGTCTTTAAGAACATGTGGTTAAGAGAATGTCTGTGTTCAAATCCTGGTTCCACCACTTAAAAGCTGTGTGACCTCAAGCAAGTGACTTAATCTCCGTATGTCCTCCTTTGTCAATCTGTAAAATGAGACTAGTAATAGAACTTATGGAGTTAGTGTGAGAATTGGAAGGTTACTCTACAATAAAGACATATAACCAGCATGGTAAAAGGGTTAGCAATTACTATGTGAAGAAGCATCCAGTTTCTGACCTCACAGAGATTATCTAGCAAACTCATGATTTTATAAAGAAAAGAAGTTTCTCATCAACAGAGACTGAAATGCTACCATACAATATACGTTGCTTTTTTTTTTTTTTTTTTTTTGAGACGGAGTCTCGCTCTGCCACTCAGGCTCAGGCTGGAGTGCAGTGTTGCCACCTTGGCTAATTGCAACCTCCACCTCCCAGGTTCAAGCAATTCTCCTGCCTCAGTCTCCCAAGTAGCTGGGATTATAGGCACCCACCACCACACCCAGCTAATTTTTATATTTTTAGTAGAGACAAGGTTTTGTCATGTTGGCCAGACTGGTCTCAAACTCCTGACCTCAGGTGATCCACCCACCTCAGCCTTCCGAAGTGCTGGCATTACAGGCATGAGCCACCATGCCCGGCCAATATTTTTAAATATTATAAAATATTCTTTATCAAATTGCATAGAAGAAAAGACAGTTTGATAGGTAATAGATATATAAATAGGTCAGGCCAACTAAAAGTGTCCTGAAAAAATTAATATTGTGAAAACAAAAGGATTTTAATGACATTGATAAAATCTCACCCTAAAAGAGATTAAATTAAAAATCACCCTACTTGAACCAGTTCAGTGAGATTTCATTAGCATGCTCTCATTACTGGCATAATCAGCTTCAAAGTCACTAAGCCTCTGAAAGGAAGATGTGTTGCTTATTCTTAATAAAATGGCATAAAAGTAGATCATTAGTCACCAAACATGATAGACTTACCTTTTCCATTTGTTGGCATCTCACATTGTAGATGGCAATTAAAATGGAATCCAGGGAAAGAGGGGGTGGTTTGTATAGCAATGGATTATGAAACAAAGTACTGGATTATTCACCGCTTGACATTCAGGAAACATTCTGCTCCTTACAGAATATGGCACGTGGGCCACAGAATCTTCCGTGTGCTACCTTCTCGGTGAAGAAGAGCACCCCCAAGTTTCTTTTCCTAGGAGCTAACCACAGTAAACCCATTACACACTTTAGCAGAAGGGCTCATTCTAAAGGTCTTAGGATTTTAATCATTTTAAATTTCCTGTTATGCTTCAGGCTCTTCAACACAAAGTGAATATTGTACTCTTTGGTTTTACATAATTATATTCAATTGTCATATTTCAACAGGACATTATTTGTGACTTTAGATGGGTCAATAATGATTTTCATTGTCAGCAGTAAAGTCAATAATTACAGACACATCACCTACCCTACTTGTGTAAAAGCATTTTTTGGTACTAGGAGATTTAGTGTCTGATCAACGGTCCTGGATAGCAAGTAATATATCCCCCAAATAATGAAAAGTGACAAGAAAATAAATATGTTTACTTCAGAAATAAATGGAAAATTAGTGCTATCTAAAATGTAGTCTTAAGTCTCATCTGTGTACATAAAGTAAAATGAGTTTTATGTACTAGTTACTCAAATTTATCTTCCACTCCATTTGTATAGTAATTAAACTCTTACACTCAGTAATATACAAATTGGTAATTAACCTCTTTGCAAAATGTTAAAGTGTTCCTAAATGTACAATAAGTCTCCTTTCCTGTCTCATTGTTTTTCGCTTCACGTACCTCTCATGTAATTATTTCAATGATTGAGTTCAGTGTGAGGAGGTTTATGCCTAGAAAAGGTGCTCACCAATAACGTGCCTCAGTTCCCATAATAGCAAGATCGAGAAGGTTCTTTAGTCTCCCGGAACGTCACGTTGAACATCTCAGTTCTATATTTTGCCTTGACATTTGCATTATATCAGCTGATCATTGTCTTGCCCTAATTTTCCCTTTTAATATTTTAGTGACCTTCTATGTTAGGTACAGGTTATTTAGAAGTGTTCCTCCAAGGCCAGATACTTTTTCCTTGAACAATTTATTTTTAACAACTTTTAGCGATTTTCTCACTTCACCACCCTCCGTTTCATAAGTCCACGCAATCACAATTCCTTTCTGCTAATCTGCACAGTCAAGATATAAAGTAAGAATACCTATTTGAACATGTAGTGAGAACTTTACTTCTCTGCCAAAAATGAAGGAAAATGCTGCCACTTTTGTATGTCACATGTTTTTTATTCTACAGCCTCACTCACTTCATGTCATGTTTTAGTGCAGTTTTCTGGACTAACTGCTTATTTTCTCATTGATTAAACTGCCTATTTGCTCATTGGAATTAGAGCCAATTTTTTTCCTTGAGGGTCTGACTAGAAGATTAAACTATGTTCATGTGAGAATCAATTTCTACCTAAGAAATGAGTTAGAGGAGTTATGGGCAGCAATATCTATCTGGATGCTACACTGTGAAAAAGGAAGCGAGGTTATGCCTTTCTACCCCAATGGGGTAGCAGAGACCTCAGGAACTGAGGTAGATGCCCCCCTGGTTATTAGCGCCCCTGAATAATTTGTTCAAAAATTGACTGCTGGACAGGTGTCGTGTTGCACGCCTGTAGTCCCAGCTGTGCAGGAGGCTGAGGCAAGAGGATCTCTTGAGCCCAGGAATTTGAGGCTATAGTAAACTAAGGTCACACCACTATACTCCAGCCTGAGCAACAAAGCAAGACCCTGTCTCTAAATTTAAAAAAAAATATTGAATGCTTATGAATAGAGACTAATATAGGAAGTCATAAGTATTTCCTTGGGATAGAATGCTTTCCACCATAATTGACTTGACATCCTGTATTTTTGTATGTGTGGACTTAAGTTTTAAATATTTGAAACACAGACAATTATTAAGTCCTGCAAATGTGTGAGTTAATAGTGGATATAACATTCCCTTCCAGGGTGTAAGAAAAGGTACCACAGAAGTGAGCAGCCCTGAAGCACAGCCTGGCCTAGTTTGGCAGGTCTCTGTGAGTTAGCAGCAGACTCACGTGACCACACTCTGTACTGCCTTCTGTTTCTGTTTCACCCCATTAATTGTGCTAAAGAAATGCACTTGACACCTATGCTGTGTAATCTCATTTAGCCCCAATAGCAACAAAAGTACTAACCCCATTAAATTGAGTCATTTCAAACTGAGCCAAATGTTGCACTCCAGTAAATGGAGTAGGCATTGGTTATAATGGGAATTCTCCATTATTCATAATGGAAACCACAGGAGTTTGTTCATGCAGATCAAATGTGTCCCACCAAGGCAAGAAGTATGGAAAAGTGGTGTTGCTGTATTACCTTGTAATTTCAAAGCCTTCCCGTCTGAATCTTATTTCCCTGCTGTTTCCTCTTGACTTTGGTTCTTTCACAAAGGAAAATTAAGAACACAAATATAAACATTAAGTTAAAACACAACTGAACAAAGTGCCAAACTTAATTGGAGCATCTGAAAATGAAACATTAGGCAGTTGCAGTGGCCTCTTGATAATAATTCACAGTAACTCTCTGTAAGCTGATCCTGTCTGAAGAGCAGCAGGCACAAGGCCCCTGGCCATGAAGTCCATCTCAAAGGGCCAGGCTCAGCAAAGCAGGATGCAAACCCAGGCTTTCCAAATACCAGGTTGGGGCTCATGTCACTGTGCCACAGGAGCTTCTGTAGAAAGGCTACTTGAAAAAAGTGGCCATTAAAAATCCAGGTGGATCCTATCTAGGGCAGTGTTGGAAACACTGATCTATGGGAGGAGGAGCAGGAAGGAATTGTTTAACCACTGAGCAGAAATGTTACATTGCTACCTGCCTTTAGCAGCTGTGGCTGATGGGTACCAGTTGCTAAGAAGAGCATTACCTAACAGTGTATTAAGATAGAAAAATGATTTTAAAGCACGGCACTTAGAGAATGTTGAAGTTTTACTTTGCTTTATTTTGATTTGTTTGGTTTGACTTTGTCTCCTGGAGCATCCTCCATGGATTTCTGTTCATTACAAGAGAAACCTAGGGCTCTAACCCAATTCCTAATTCTTGGACACATTGCACCCTTGTTTTGTGATAATCCAGCCTTCTTCCTTGAGAAGGTTTGCTGGACTGGAGGTTACATGTATTGAATTTTCTAAAATGAAGGTGCAAAGCTGTCTCCTCTTATTTCTTTGTGGTGCTCACTTCACTGTGAGATTTCCTATCAATACAGCCCAAGTCAGTGGGCATGCATGAGGTGGAGATGAGGGAGTTAGGAAGGACTTGGACTCTCATCAACCATCAGGATCCCTGAATCCACTAACTGTTCATAATCAAAGAAGTTTGAACAAATACTTCACACACATGAAATTGCCAAAATTTTGCATTTGAGTTGTTATACCAGTAAGTCCAGTTGCCATCATCTCCTTGTCACAAGTGTCTTAAATTTTGCTTTTGATAATAATGATTACCACTCATTCAGTACTAACTTACTTGATATTAGACACTGCATTAAATACCTTGCAAACATTATTTTGTTTGATCCTGACAACCATATGAGATAGGTACTATTCTTATCCATTACCAAAAAAATTAATTTCATGAAGACTTTTCCCAGAGAGAGAAACTTTAAATATTTACACACACACCTCTCTCCCTGTAACAATTCCGTAGTCCTGATAACAGCAAATAAGCAAAGTCTGTGTAGGATGCTTTACCAACAGTCCCACCTAGAGGCAGGAGAGTGAACCAGCTAGAAAATATTTTATTCATATTTCTTCCAGAAAGGCTCCATTGGAGTTTGAACTCAATTTATGTTATAATTTTCTTATTATTTTTGTATTGGTTTTCCTGAAACCAATACAAAGTAAGAAAGCATTGGTTCCACTAAAAATGTCCTAAAACCAGCCAAGCACAGTGGCTCACACCTATAATCCCAGTACTTTGGGAGGCCGAGGCGGGTGGATCACTTAAGCCAGGAGTTCAAGACTAGCCTGGCCAACATGACGAAACCCCATCTCTACTAAAAATACAAAAATTAGCAGGGTGTGGTAGCACACACCTGTAATCTCAGCTACTCAGGAAGCTGAGACATGAGAATCGCTTGAACCTCAGAGGCAGAGATTACAGTGAGCAGAGATCACGCCACTGTACTTCTGCCTGGGTGACAGAGCGAGACTCTATCTAAAAAAAAATAAACACATAAATAGTAAAATGTCCTGAAACCATTATGGGGTTAAAGCAAGAGGCAGGGCTGGTTCCCAGGATTTTCTGTCTAATCTCCAGTGAGCCACAGACCTATTCCTGATCAACTTGAGAATAAACACATCAGTAAAGATGTGTAAGGCTGTCTGACTTTCCCATTTCTGTAGAATTTTATTTGAAGAGAAGTTTCTCCTTTCTCCAGGCCCCATATTGTTTATACAAAAAGACCTTTCCAGTAAATGTCCACAACCACTACCATCAACTAAAATGTTTTCCCACTAATGCTTTCA
Source organism: Homo sapiens (assembly GCF_000001405.40). Classification (NCBI taxonomy): domain Eukaryota; kingdom Metazoa; phylum Chordata; class Mammalia; order Primates; family Hominidae; genus Homo; species Homo sapiens. The sequence continues at coordinate 79,653,685 of NC_000008.11, forward strand.
ATGGTAATCAGTATTTAACAGGGCACTTAGGATTATTTTTTGATCAACCATTGTTTAGATATTCCCACTTATAATTACTCCTGTGAAGGATTGCCTCGGGGCATCAGCTGATCCTGAGAAATTATCCAGAAGCCATGAGTGTGTAATAATTTAGTCTTAAACCTAAATAGGTCAGTATTGGGTGGGACTTTTCTCAGCTGCATAATGGGGAGAATAAAAAGAATATGGAAAGAAGTTACGTAACACATCCTGGGTCACAAACAGAGGTAAGACTTGAACACAGGCCTGACATCAAAGCCCATGCCAGTATGACTTACAAAAGGTAGACTGGACTACCTGCATTTGAGTCACTAGTGATGCTTATCACTGGGCCTCACCAAAGAACCTTGGAATCAGAATCTTTGGAGGTAGATGCCAGGCACCTGCATTGTTATCAAGTGCTCCAGTGATTACCATTCACTGTACAGAGCCAAACAGACTCCTGATGCTGGAAGAAAATTACAGTGCTCAAAGTGCAGGGCAGGGTGTACATCTGGATCTAAATCACTGAGCAACCACAGGGTTTCAAGAGAGGGTCAAAACAAGGACTTTCTGCTCTCTGTGGCCAAGGGGACACTAAGTTTGCACTGTTCTCAGATCTCCAAAGAGACTTTGGTGTATGGGGGATAGGGAGGGGGGAAGGGGGTGTGAAATAAAAGGAGAAAGTGAATTTGATTATTTGATTGATGAAAATTGAAAAGCTTATTGTAGGGCCTAGCCTACAGTTGATGAAAAAACAATGGATCAGGAAGAAGATCAGAACTTGTCTCAGTCCTCAACTGTTTTCCTCAGGCTTTGGTTGAATATTGCCATCCTGTAATTCATTATAGCATTTTCTGTTGCATAAACGCTTAGCAACAAAGCCTTTTTTTAAAAAAATTTGTAACTCCTCAATGAGGATTAAATGCTTCTTCTTCTAAGACAGTCCGAAATATACTCACAGCTGAAAATTCAGCTAACCGCATTTCCCAACTAGCCACATTCTATAGAAAACTCTAAGCCATGCAGATGAGTACAGACTTGACAATAGTGCTCAAGGCTGGGAGTACTATTCATCTGAAAAGAATGCTCCCTCCAATTGGTGGGCCGTTATTCTGCTAGGTTTGTGTTTGGATAATTATAAGATGGCTATGTTTTTCTTCCCCAGTCTCAGGAGGCCCAGGTGCTGAAACAATTGGCAGAGAAGAGGGAACACGAGCGAGAAGTCCTTCAGAAGGCTTTGGAGGAGAACAACAACTTCAGCAAGATGGCGGAGGAAAAGCTGATCCTGAAAATGGAACAAATTAAGGAAAACCGTGAGGCTAATCTAGCTGCTATTATTGAACGTCTGCAGGAAAAGGTAATCTCAGCAGAGTCCTGAGCAGATGGATATATTCATATGCAGCACAGCTGGGTGAACTTCCATATGCCTGAGCACAGAGACGAAGTCAAAATTTGCTGCAGGTGTGAGGACAACTAACTCCCATGGGCAGGGTCTCACAGTGTAGCATTGAGTTAGCAGGAGGTGCAACATGGTAGAGAAATGGGAATCCATCATGAAAGCTGGAATTTTGTCAAATTTTCCCATGGTGAGTGGATTCAGGGAGGCTGATTCATGCTTTTGAAATGTGTAAGACTTCTATACAAGCCTCACGAGGCAATCTGTAGGAAAAATGTTACACTGGAAATATTAATGTCTATATATTATATTGATATAAGTATAAATAACATTTGATTTAATATTTGTTTAATATATGACATTAAATATATATTTAATTAAAATATTAAATTAGAAAAATATATTTGCCAGAAAAGGCCAGGGTATTTATGAACACTGGTAAGCCCATTCTAGGGTATAATAGCATCACATGGGACCATAGCAAAGATTAGCTCATAGGGGATGTTTCATCCAGTTCTGGTATCCTGGTGCCCTTCTCTTCAACAACCTAAACATATATTCATTCCCATGAGTCAGGAGGAGCTGTGCTGGAGTTCTTCTGAAAAATGCTGTCTTTCACTTTTGTACTCTCTATGCTGTCTCCCACCTATCCCCTCAAAAAACCTTTCCTTTGAAAATATACAGTATAGCTGTGAGTAGTTTAGCTGTGTCCGTTTCCAGAAATTGGAATAAGCATTGAGAAATGGGATGTTTGAGAAAGACGCCTCAATCCTTTTCTGAGCAGTCAGTCACCCTTCCCGCCAGTAGCAAGTGCCTTTGTGTGATAGGCATTGGAGATGCAGAGCAAAACAGGAGTGTGCCTGTCATCAGAGCCCTGAGAGTTTAATTAGATGAGCCTCCTGTTTTCTATTTCTCAGAGTTTCATGTCTTCTGTTAGAGATGGCCCTTCTCATCTAAGGTTCAAAAAACCTTATCCTGAAGTTCTGATGATTCTGTTTTCATTCTCAGTCTCTGACTGCAAATATCCAACTAGAAACAAAGGAAATCAGGCATGAAAACTTTTAAAGATATAATTGCATGGAGATCTTCATTTGTGCTCGTGAGGAATTTTTGAAAGCATTGCTGGGGAAGGGTGTGTGGGCTCTGATGCAGCAGTAAGACACTGAGGCTCTCAGAGGTCCGTGGACGAGTACTGCTGACTTGGGCAAGAACCGGAATAGTTACCTGATGCCTTATCCGAAACATGAAAGTTCGGATTAAATTTGTATTTATAAGCTAGTGTTTTTATACTCTCAGAACAATGTCATTGCGTTTCACCCAAGTGAGTCAAGTCACGATTTGGAAGAGGCAACAGAATTTGGCTCTCTCCAGGTGATTTATGGCGGTATAGGAACACATGTTTTACTCAGATACAGGGGAGCAAAGTTCCATTTGCTAAAGTTTACTCCCCTGACCTTCAACCAGTCAGTCTTCCTCCATCTGCCACCACTTTGCACTTCTCCAGAGAACTAAGGATGTTCCCGCTTGACCAGTGCTCATAACATGGACAGCAGAGGGCCACTGTGTGATCTCTTTGAGATCACTGTGACTCAACCTTCTTCTCACATCCTAGGCCCTAAAACAATTAAGTGAAGTTGCTAGGAACGGTACCTGCTGATCTTATTGCAGCATTCTCAATTAGGCCTCAATGCAAGATTTATATCACTGGCAGTCCTGGAGCATTTTTGTTTTTCAAATTACACATACCCAAACACACGGCATAGCCTCCTTTTTTGTTTGTTTGTTTTTTTGAGATAGAGTCTCGCTGTGTCGCCCAGGCTGGAGTGCAGTGGCACGATCTCAGCTCACTGCAACCTCTGCCTCCTGGGTTCAAGTGATTCTCATGTCTCAGCCTCCCAAGTAGCTGAGATTACAGGCGTATACCACCACGCCCAGCTAATTTTTGTATTTTTAGTAGAGACAGGGTTTTGCCGTGTTGGCCAAGCTGGTCTCAAACTCCTGACCTCAAGTGATCCACCCACCTCGGCCTCCCGAAGTGCTGGGATTACAGGTGTGAGCCACCGTGCCCAGCCAGGGCATATCCTTCTTGATTTCAATTGTAAAATAGTTCAAAAATTTTCCATATTTTATCTAATATTTCCAGAAGTGCTAGCTTTTAACGGACCATTTTTTTCCTCTGTGTGTTTTTTTCTCTTCACCTAGCCCAGCCATGCTCAGCTCATTTTTGTACTCTTTCCACTCCCAACCAAATTTAGTGCCCTCCCCCATACATGCATACATGTACATCTGCACACCACTTTTCCTGCAAATAATCAACCCAAAGAGTGCTTAAAATTCCTGACATCAACCCACAGAATCTCCAAGGATGGGACCCAGCATCCATACATTTTAAAAACTCTCCATATAGTTCCAATATGCAGCCAGATTTGAGAACTAGTGGTTCGTAGCCTGTTCTGATTTAAATCTCAGCTCTCAGCAGTCTATCCCACGTCACATAATGCAGCCCAGAGAAATTCTAGGACCACATTTTTTTCTGGTATTTCATAGCTAATGAGGTGCTTTTCAAATCTAATAGGATCTTTGGCCAGTGTCAGTCAAGATCTTTTATCTCCTCAATAAAAAGGAAATACCATATTTACTTTGATTTGATGTATATCACATAGGTGGATTTAATACAAAATTGTGGTTTACATATTGTGAATGTGTATACTAAAACTACTTTGCTTTTTCCTAAAATAAGACAAAGTTTTATATTGGAAGTAATATTTAGCATTTTGTTTGAATGAAGTTACTCCTATTAAATTAGAAATTTAAAAGAGGGTCAGTAATAACAGTAAAGCCAAAAGGCATGACACTGCCAACGTAACATAAGCTGCTCTGAAATCTACCATATCAAAAGATAATTATGCTGGGCATGGTGGCTCACACCTGTAATCCCAGCACTTTGGGAGGCCAAGGCAAGAGAATTGCTTGAAGCCAGGAGTTCGAGACCAGCCTGGGAAATATAATGATACCTTGCCTCAAACAAAAATTCAAAAATTAGCCAGCAGTGGTGGCACACTTGTAAAAATGCCTGTAGTCATAGCTACTTCAGAGGCTGAGATGAAAGGATTGCTTGGGCCAAGGAGTTCGAGACTGCACTCCAACCTGGGAAATATTGTGCCACTGCACTCCAACCTGGGAAACAGAACAAGACCCTGTCTCTAAAATAAAAAGAAAAAAAAAGATGACCACTTCTGAAATGACACCTATCAATGAGTTAATCATTCAATGAATATGTATTGAGTCCCTACTATATGCTTAGGAACCTTTGTAATATCATTACCAACCATGTCTTTCCCAATACAGACAATACAAAATTCAGCAATAAATAATATAGCACCAACAATTAGAGAATAAGACAACATGTAGTATGGTCCAATATAGACAGTAAATACAAAGACACTGAATAATATCAGTAAAAGTAAATTCACATCAAGGTCACTACACCATGCGCCCACCCTTATGATAGCCCTCACTGGCCCTATCAATTAAGCAAGAGACATGATACAACTCTGTGCAAGCTTTTCCACAATCTGCCTACCATTCAGCACTCAGTCGCTCTTCCCTTCAATTAAGAGAATTGAGCATTCAAGCATATTTTCACCATGATGCCCATAATGGTATCTTCAATGTCACTGACTGATAAATTCCCAGAAACCCCTCAGAGCCCCAGCCATGTTAGCTCAAAGCCTTTAGCTAAAACTGAAAGCCTAAAGCAAAAGCAGCCCTGGCTGCACTTCGGAATCTACTGGACAGCTCTTTAAGGGATTCTGATTTAATGTCTGGAATAGGGCCAAGAACCTTGTATTATTTTAAAGGCTCACTAGTAGGCTCTAATATTTAGCCGTGGTTGAGAACCACTGTGCTAAATGTTTCTTAAATATGCTTTGTGATGTCATCATAAATTATATTTTAGTATTTTTTGTCTTTGTTGCATAAGTGTTCTTTCTTCCTCCAAAGAAGAATGTTACACTCATTTCTTATTTCAGTTTCCTGTTTTCATAGCACCTCATCTTAACACTCCAGGCTATTATATAGAAAAGAATCAAATGTGGAGAAGGCTGTGGGAGAAGGGATGCCTGTGCCACAAAGGCCTGCATTAGGCTGACCTATTGATGTCATATCCAGGACTCAAAAGACTAGTCTGTGGATTATGACTGGTGAAGTTCAAAATGTTCTTATTCTTAGAGTGGTATGAGAAGTAGAAAGAGAGAGAAACAGAGAAGGGGAGGAGAGGGGAAGAGAGGAAGATGAGAGAAAGGAAAGAGAGGGGGAAACACCTGTTCTTGACATACAGGAATGATTCAAGACATTTTCTTCCTCCCCTGATGTGTCCCTTTCTCCCCTAACGCACTATGCAGCATCCTGCAGAAAATTCACCACCTGACCCTTTTAGAAACCCTGAGTAGTAGGAGCGCCAAATGACCCAATCAAGAATTGCAGTGAGACAGTTAGTTTTGAAAAATCAGTTAAAGCATGTATAATCATTTTAACAACAATACATCTATTCACTAAACATATAATTTTAATGTCAAATATTTACGTGTAAACATATTGACCAATCTTTCGATGTAGTTGGGCCCAATACCTTTTCCAAAAATTGATCAGTTAATGGGGGTTCTATGGGGGTTTCTTTTCTTGCCATTATTCACACTTATGTCACATTAGCTATGATTTGCAGTTTTAATTTCTTTAAAATTGAGTAGGGACTAAAGACATCTCCAAAAAGCCTGGATATAGACTTTTTACAACTTTTCCATAGCTTTTATAGTTGACTCACCCAGTATCTACTAAATACTTCACTTTCTCACGTATTTCCAAAGGTTTCTCTCCACCCTCACAATTTTCCATTAATGTAGTACTTAATTAAATTAGATAGTTAAATTTTCAAATGTGAATTGCTAAACAGGTGTGGAAATACCATTGGCTATAATCAAGCATATAACACAACCATTTGAGAAGGAAAGTATGTGGCAATATTAGGGAAGAGCCCTTTCCTCTCAAGCAATTCAGCATTTAGGAACCATCAGACAGCAGGACGATGGAGGGAACAGAGAGGGTTAACATGGCAAGTTACTGAAGAGGACTTCTACTGAATCTTGTTGAATTCCCCACTTAATCCAGATTGTATCATATCTTCTTTCTTTTGTAATTCTACCATATCATCTTAGTCAATGCCAAGACTTCTGAGCTCATAACATGGTAACAAATACCAAAGGAGCTTTCAGTATCGTTTAGAAAGGAGAGAAGCAAGTAACCCAGACAAACTTGACAACTGCTTTCCCCTATCCAACCATGAAGTACAGTACTTAGGAAATAAAAGAAATTGCTTCACTATAATTCATCATTTCACTTCTAATATCTAGAAAATGTCAAATGAAAATATTATAGCCATATTTTAGTGGCAATAGTAGCACATAATATGATGCAACTTAAAATGATAAAAATATTTTCAGGGAATAAGATTCTGTGATTCTTTCCCTAAGAGGTAATTTTGATAATATGTACCTGTTTTGTAAATGTCAATAGTCTTGGGGATACAGGTGGTGTTTGGTTACATGGAAAAGTTCCTTAGTGGTGATTTCTGAGATTTTAGTGCACCCAATACCCAAGCAGTGTACACTGTACCCAATATGTAGTCTTTCATCCCTCGCCCCCACTCCCAACCTTCCCCCACAAGTCTCTAAAGTCCATTATATCACTCTTATATCTTTGCATACTCATAGCTTAGCTCCCACTTATGAGAACATATGATAGTTAGTGCTCAATTCCTGAGTTACTTCACTTAGAATAATGGCCTCCAGCTCCACCCAAGTTGCTGCAAAAGACACTATTTAGTTCCTTTTTATGGCTGAGTAGTATTACATGGTGTATATATACCACATTTTATTTATCCACTTGTTGGTCAATGGACACTTAACATTAGTTCCATATCTTTGTAATTTCAAGTTGTGCTGCTATAAGCATGCATGAGCCTGTGTCTTTTTCATATAATTACTTCTTTTCCTTTGGGTAGATACCCAGCAGTGGGATTGCTGGATCAAATGATAGTTCTACTTTCAGTTCTTTATGTTTTCCACAGTGGTCATACTAATTTACATTCCCATCAACAGTGTAAAGTGTTCCCTTTTCATCACACCCATGCCAACACCTATTGTTTTTTGACTTTTTAATTACGGCCATTCTTGCAGGAGTAAGGTGGTATTTCATTGTGGTTTTAATTTGCATTTCCCTGATGTTGACAATATTTAACTCTTTAGTTATAGATTCCAGCTATTATCAATTTACACCTATTGCATTCTTCTCATCTTTTGTTTTCTTGTGATTCTGATGCACAAATATCATTTGTGCAACCACTTACTGTTGAACATGTCTGATGAACACTTACTATTGAACATGTCTGATGAATGAATAATGAAATAGGAAAAGGGATTAAAACTAGCCTTTATTAATTGTTTGCTATAGGCCAGACATTTTTGGATGTACTATCACATTTCATCCAAACAACAACCTAAAAGAAAATACTGTGATTATCCCCATTTCACATCTAAGGAACCTGGTCTTTAGGAAGATTAAGTCATTTGGCCAAGATCACAAGTAGACCACAGAGACTAGATTTGAATGCAAGTCTGTTTGACTCCAAACCTTTTTACTATCTGCCCATGACCCCTGATCACCAACATCTCAATGTATGAACATGTGCTTTCTTAGCTCACACAACTCACTCCTGACCCCTTTTTTATATTGCAAGTGCATAGTCATTAGTAAAAAGAAGGATTTTTGATGATACTGACCTCATCTTGAATTTAATTAGGCTCATATGACAGAATTCCATAGATGGAATTGACATCCTAGGTCATATAGTCCAAGTCCTTGTTTATATTTGATACCTAGTGAGATTAAAGGGACATTAAAAAGTAAAGAAAGGAAAGACCTCATATTTCTTACCTTCCAGTAGAGAAATCTTTCTATGAAATCAGAGGAAAGAATTAGAGGACCAGAATTTTTCCTAAAATCAACTTTCATACATCTTTTTTCATATAAAAGGCATAGCTGCATACAATGCTAAAATATTGTATTACATTTCCTTTATATTGATGGGAGGAAGGGGGTAAATTGCAGAAAACATTGTAAATTTAGATATGCTTGGGCCTCTGACAGTGCCTAGCAAATATCAGGAGATCAATAATGAAATAAATATTATCAAAGAGTAGTCTTCTTGATGAACCTTCTCTGAGTATCACAACTGCTTTAGGAACCTCTAGATTCAAGGTCTAGTAATTGCAAACAGTGAGCTGATAAGAAAAACAGACTGTATGGGAAATTACATGCTTCCTGCATGACTGCCTTTTGTTCTCCCACATTTTGATATAAAGTCACATTAACAGTTCATGAGTAAATATTCGATAATGTGAACGTAAAGTGTTCAAATAATAGAGTGACTAAAATGCCTGAAAACAAATAATTTTTAATTAGAAACTCATAATCATTTATTTTCTCTTTTTCCACATTATCTCAAGCTCACAAATTATATTTATTCTTTCCTATGGCAAAATCCATTTTGTTAACACTAATTTTGAGTTTAACAAGAAGTGTACTCCAAAGTAGCCTAATAATACTAATTATAATGTTTCCTGCTATGTTATCAGTTTGAATTTATATGAATCTTTAGACTTGAGGCTTCTTTTTCCTAGCATAGTGATGGTCTGGGCTTTTTCTCAATTTTTGCCAGAGCTCAGCTCTCACTAATTAGTTTCTTTCTGCATGAGAAAAAGATTTTGCTTCATCTTTTTCCTTATAATAGCAGAACAAAAAGAAGAATCAGCTGCATCCATGCTAATTTCCCCTGTGACATTTCCAAACAGGATTTGATTTCTCTATGCATGCCTCTTTCCTTCTCTTCATGGTTTTTGAACATATACAAAAGCTCATTTAAACCAATTAAATAAAATTGTTTTTAATCTCTTTCTCTAGAGTCAACTTCCTGCTTACTCCAACTCTGTATCTTTGAAGGAAGTATAGGGTGGTCTATGCCTTTTTTCTCCCAGAATCTACACTTGAAAAGACACATTTTTCCATGCAACTATAAAATGTTCTCCTCACTCAACATTGAAATTGTATAGCAGTGATTAAGAGAGTGAGCTGTAGAGCCAGGTTCCCTGGGTTTAAATCCCACTTGTTAGTATCATGAAGATGGGCAAGTTACTTACCCTTCCTGTGTTTCAGTTTCTTCATCTGCAAAATGGGGACAATAATAGAATGTCCACTATAAGATTATTGTGAGGATTAAGGGAATTAATACAGGTAAAACGTGTACTGATGCAGGTCTGGTACACATTAAGTGCCTAATAAATATTCAGTATTATGATATAAAGAACCCTATAAGTGTAGACTCCTTGAGATTAATAGAGTTTAACGATAAGTTTTACTTTATAGCTGGTCAAGTTTATTTCTTCTGAACTAAAAGAATCTATAGAGTCTCAATTTCTGGAGCTTCAGAGGGAAGGAGAGAAGCAATGTAAGCAACATTCTACAGAAATATAAATAATACTACTAATAATTAGCATCTTAAAATTTCAATTCAATGAACATTTATTTAGCGCCTATGATATATGCAAGACAGTTTGATTTTAGTCATCTGATGTATAGCCACATACTAAAAAATACTGATTTTAGTCATCTGATGTATAGCCACATACTAAAAAATACTTCCTCCATCAGTTCCCTCCTCAGGAAGTTCAGTTCCCAATCCCAGGCTAGTACCTTGGTTCCTTATGTAAATAAACATCCACCAATTACATGCTATCTGCAAAGCACTCTGCTAGGCCCTGCAAATGGAAAAAAAAATGATAAAACATAGTCCAGGCCCTCAATGAGCTTACAGTCAAATATAATAGAGGAGACAAGAACAGAGAGGCTCATAATACAACTAGAATAAAATGACTGCCGAATAAAAGGAAAGATTTATGCAGGTGTTCAAATGGAAAGTGAGATAAGTTTGCAGGTTAGTCTTTGCAGTCTCATAAAAATCTTTATGGAGAAAAGGACAATGGTCATAGGGCTTAAAGAGTAAGTTTATAATCCTGACCAGTGGAGATGAAAGACTAGCATTGAAAATTGCATGACAAGACAATTCCATTAAACTGAAACATCAAGTGTGTGTAGGAAAAGATGGGGGTTATGACTGGAAACGTCACTTGGACTGCAATTATGAAGGGCCTTGACAAACAGGTCAAGAGTTTAAGAAGCAGTATAGAAAGTCTTCGTCCTGGATCTAGCCCTCCCAGAGTGTCCATCAGGATTATAAAGTCCTTAAAATATTAGTCAAAAGGAACGACATCATTAGAAATGATAGAGAAACAATAATGTGATGTTTTATTACCTTTCTCTGGATTTATACTCTGATCCTAATATTCAAAACTATCTTAATAACATGAACTTTTGGTCATAGTTTTAAACAAAAACAGTGTTAAATATATTTTTTAAAACACAGTAAGTCTTGTAAGATCTTTTCTAACATGACATTTTGCAGGGCCCATATTTTCCTTCTGAAATGGGAAAAATTCATAAAAGTAGACACCAAACTGGGTTACTTCTAGTCAAGCGCATGGTACGCAAAGGACCAGACAAAAAGGGCCTGTGACATTTCTTCTTCCTTTTGTGTTTTTTAGGAGAGGCATGCTGCGGAGGTGCGCAGGAACAAGGAACTCCAGGTTGAACTGTCTGGCTGAAGCAAGGGAGGGTCTGGCACGCCCCACCAATAGTAAATCCCCCTGCCTATATTATAATGGATCATGCGATATCAGGATGGGGAATGTATGACATGGTTTAAAAAGAACTCATTATAAAAAAAAAAAAACAAAAAAAATCAAAAATTAAAAAAAATCAATGCGGTCTCTTTGCAGAATGTTTTGCTTGATGTTTAAAAAATACCTTGGATCTTATTTTGTAAATACTTACATTTTTGTTAAAAAATACAAGTATTGCATTATGCAAGTTATTTCATAATCTTACATGTCCTGTAACAGGCTTTTGATGTTGTGTCTTTCCACTCAAATGAATTTGCTAGGTCTGTTCTTTTTGAAGCTCCCCATGTCTAACTCCATTCCAAAAGAAAAATGAGGTCAGTAGACAGTCTATGGTGCTAGAAACCCACCATTGCCTAATGACCTAGAAGGCTTTGTTGTCTCTGAGCTTGACTAAGACCATACCTAGATCACAGGTATTATGACTCCACATGAACCTTCACATTTGTTCGCTCATAATCTACTTACTGCCTAAAAACTACAAAACCAGGCTAAGAAATACCACCAGTCATAGCATTTACTTCTGCTTCTCCTGGATTATGTGCTACAAATGTGCTTTGGCTTTAGAAAGGGATGGATGAGAAGACAGACCTGAGACCAATCTGGGTAGAAGCAAAAAGTTGAACCTTTTAAAGTGCTGAACACAAATCCAAATTCGAATGGTTCAAGCAGCCGTGAAATCGCTCTTCATAAAGTGGGCTTAATTCTCTAGTTTAAGTTCTTTTGATGGAATGAATTAATTAATGTGTCAGGTGGCTTATTTGTGGATGCCATGATTGATGATGTTCATTTTAAGCTCTTACCTATAGTACAAGTACATGATGCTACTGAATATTTTTCCACTTGGAAACTGTGAGCTGGTTGTTGCATTAAAACACACATACAAACAAAATCAAAAACACTGCGGACTTTCACTCAAGCTGGTCTTTCTTCCCCAGTGTAAGGCAATCCTGCCTACTAACAACACCAACAACAAAACACTCCATCTGTGAAGCTGACGCAGTTAAGGGGGCTAGGCAGGGCATTTGTGCCAACTAAGAATCACCAGATACCCACCATAAGTACCTATCGCAGTTTTGAAGTCGTTTCTCCCCAACTCCCAACTCCTGAAGGTTGCTGCCTGCATATTTACTCTTCATTAGTGCTATTTTCCTGTATGTCATTGTGAGCAAGCTGTGATTAATAAAGAATTGGAGTTCTGTGAACTAATAAAGGTTTGGTCTGTTCTCTTGCCTCTTCATGTGTCTGACCCTGGAGTTCAGATTTTAAAAGGGCAGCCACTGAATTAGACAATCTCACAAGCAAAGAGATAATAAGGAGAGTTTGAAGGAAACCAGTGCCCTGCTGAGTCATTTCCCTTTGGGAACAGCAGGCCGCATCTCTTTTCTCTTGCCCTCTGATGGGCCAACACTGTGGGAGAGGTCTTCAATCTGCTCCCTTTAAAAACATACAGGACTGAACAAGATACCACAAAATGCAGACTGATAATTCTGAGGAAGTGAGCCCTTTTCAAAACATTGAAGGTTCCTGGCATTATCTCAAGTTCTCCCCTGTGGCCCACAGAACGCCTCCCCCAGCCTAGGCCGTCTGTTAAGATGTGATCCCTGACGTACTGCTGAATTTTGTACTGCCAATAAACACACTGCACACATGGGCGCAGCAGGGTCCTGTCAGTGACCCAAATGGATCTTACAGGACCAAAGGAACCACATCCAGTTTTAGCAGAAAATCATAAATAATTGAAACCACACAGATTTGTGAATAAGTACAGTGGGCTATGGTCCATAGGAGCTCTAACAAGCCAAGTTTAGGGTTGCGGCCACCTGGTCTCTATTTTGAATATCCTTTAATATTTGTGGGAATCTAATACTGCTACAAACAATGCCTGAGCTTGATGTGAAACACATGAGCTTCCAATGAGCATGAAATGAGTTGTCTCTTCATACTGGTTTTCTATAGCTTAGTTTGGAAAACATTACCCGAATTACTCATTGGGTCAGACCCTATGATAAGCCCTGGAAACATGAACATGAATGACCACAAGAAGCTCATAATCCAGTAGCTTATTTGGGCCCCAAAACAGCAAACATGATATGTTGGTCAGCCCTCTGCAGCATATTTGGGGAAAATGGATCATTTCTAAGAAGTTTCTGAAATATTAGAAATATTTGACAAACTTCTCATAGTACTTTGTATGAGAACTGAAACTGCTGACCAGTCCAGCTGCCTAATCTCAAAGATGAAGAAGCAGGCCGGGCACGGTGGCTCATGCCTGTAATCCCAACACTTTGGGAGGCCAGGGCAGGCAGATCACTTGAAGGGAGGAGTTCGAGACCAGCCTGGGAAACAAGGTGAAATATCTTTTCTACAAAAAAAAATACAAAAAGTAGCCAGGCATGCTGGGGAGTAACTGTAGTCTCAGCTACTTGAAAGGATGAGATAGGAGAATGACCTGAGCCTGGGGAGATCAAGGCTGCAGTGAGCTGAGATCACACCGCTGCACTCCAGCCTGGGTGACAGAACGAGACCATGTCTCAAAAAAAAAAAAAAAAAAAAAAAGCGAAAAAGCAGAGGAGGGAAAGGTGAGTGGTTGGCTCCAGACCACAGTGCCCACATCTCATGACTTCTTCTTCCCTTATTTGAGGTCCTCAGAAGAACATCTCCAAGTTGGGTGCAGCATATACTGCTTGGGTGATGGGTGTACCAAACTCTCACAAATAACCACGAAAGTACTTACTCATGTAACCAAATACCACCTGTTTCCCAAAAACCTATAGAAATAAAAAAGCAAAAAAAAATTTAAAAGAAAAATAAATAAATAAAAGAGCATAATTCACAATGGGGGGAAAAAAAGAACACCTCCAAACCTGCCAGACCAGTGAGGCCAGAGGGCCTCAAATGTCAGTGTGCTTCCAAGTTATGTGAACGGCTTGTTAAAAAGAGATTTCTGAGTCCTGCCTCCAGAGCTTTGGATTCCTGAGGTCTCTGGAAGCCTGAAAATGTGCATTTCTAACATATTCCCAGAAGATGCTAATACTGCTTGTCTGCAGCCCTCACTTGAGAAGCCCTGCTGTCAACAATGCAACTGATCCAGGTGTGTGGATTCTCTGTGGCTGCCACACTGAGGGAATCTGTTTCAATCAGGGCATGTTCCATTGGAGGCAGGGCAAGAAGAGAAATGCATTCACTCTTATTCAAAAAAGTTCGGGGGTGGGAGGATGCAGAGAAATCCAGAAAAAAGCAAGATAAACAGCTGTGCCTTGCAGGATAATAAAACAATGGAAGCAATCAATCGTGCAGCCAGGGGCTGGGATAGAGCTAAGGTGGAATCAGAGTACCAATGACTCGGCATCTCTCACACAACATGATTTCAGTAAGGATCAAAAATCTGAAGACGCTCCCCACCCTTTAATAGATGAACTGAGTGCTTTTTGCAAGGATTTGCCATTCTGTGAATTACCCAGTTTGTTAGCCTGGTTCCAGTTACAGATTTTTTGTTTGTTTGTTTGTTTGTTTTACGGAGTCTTGGCTTCTTCAGTACTGTGTTTAAATTGCTTAAATGTCTTTGAAATGTTCTGTGAAAATTCACAAAGTTCCATTAGTTTGATGATTCACCCTCCTCCCCTATCTCTCCTACACCCAAAAATGTATGGAACAACTGAATGTTGACAAAGGTCATTCTCTTTTCTAGCAAGAGTCTCGCCTTTGTGCTCTTCATCAGCCTTCACAACACCTGAGAGGAGAAAACAATGGGGGTAAAAGTGCTAATAGGCGTATTGTGGCCCATCTACCCTCCTCCTACTGAGGGAGAGGATGAAAAGGGGGAGACGTGACTTCTGTGGCTTTAGCAGCCAAATAACACATCATCTCTCTCCTCCCAGCCCCTGGACAAGACATCCTTGACGTCTAATCAGGCAGTTTGCTGAAACTGCTAAGGCAAGCACAGAGCCCAGAACAAAGCTAAGGCCCCCAAGCTCCCCCACATTACCTGAGTCGTCTTGGATTCCTCACTGTCCCCCACCACCCACCTCCAGTTGAATATCAAATGGTGTCAATTTGACCTCCACACTGTCCTGCAGTCCTTGCTTCTTTTCTACTTCCAGAACCACCGTCTAGTTTGGGTCCTGGTAGACACTTGCAGCAGCCTTCTAACAAGTCTCCTTTGCTCCAGTCCACAGCCCCCACACATAGTGACCAAGTCTCTCCAGGACTCTACTGCCCGTCCCCTCTATCTGCAGAATGCAATCTGCACTCCTCTACATGACATTAAAGTGTTCCACCATCTCTCTTTCCTCAAGAACACTACTCTCGGCCAGGCACCATGGCTCACACTTGTAATCCCAGCACTTTGGGAGGCCGAGGTGGGAGAATCACTTGAGCCCAAGAGTTCAAGACTAGCCTGAGCAACATAGCGAAAACTTGTTTCTATGAAAAGTTTAAAAATTAGCTGGCCAGGTATGGTGGCTCACACCTGTAATCCCGGCATTGTGGGAGGCCGAGACAGGTGGATCACCTGAGCTCAGGAGTTCAAGACCAACCTGGCCAACATGGTGAAACCCCAAGTCTATTAGAAAAAAAAATTAGCTGGTCATGATGGCATGCACCTGTAGTCCCAGCTGCTCAGGAGGCTGAGGCAGGAAGATCGCTTGGGCCCAGGTTGTCGAGGCTGCAGGGAGACATGGTTGTGCCACCGCACTTCAGCCTGGGCAACACAGAGAGACCCTGTCTCAAAAAAAAAAACAAAAAACAAACACTACTCTCGTTGAACCCCAAACAGTTCACTCTGACGTGCCAATGACATGACATTTCAGGCTTCCACACACACCTTGTACTCTGTATGAAATTATCTTCACTACAGTATAACAGAAAAGGCTAAGTCAGGCTGTCATAAAACCCCCAAATCTCAGTAAATTAAAACTACAAAGGTTTATTTCCGACTCCTGCTACATGTCCAACCTGCTCACTGTGGATTATTCTCTATGTTGTGCCTCACTCTGGAGCCAAATGAGATGGAGCTGCCTCTATCTGGAATGTTGCTGGTCACTGTGGAAGAGGGAACGTACATGCATGGCAAATCACACACAGGTTCTCTTAAAGCTTCCACCCAGAAGTAGCACACATCACATCTCATTGGCCAAAGCAAGTGATATGATCCCATTTAACTCTAAATAGGGAGAAAAGTGCAGTCTCATCATAAGTTCAGGAGGAAAGTCAGAAATATTTATTTGATGAGTCATAACAATGACTGTCACCCCACTGGTCACTAAATATTCAGCTCACTCTCCTTCCTCCATGTAAAGTACACTCACATTGTCCCCAAGATATAAAACCTCCAAGTATCATTTGATCATGGCATCAAGTTCAATGTCTTGGGTAATATACAGTTCTTTCTCTCTCTCTCTCTCTCTCTCGCTCTCTCTCGCGCACACACACACACACACACACACACACATTTAGACATGGGTTCTTTCGACCTGAGAAACAAATAAATTAAAAAGACAAGTCATCATTCCCTGAATATTCAATATGTAATGGCAAAATGGGACAGGATAATCACAATAAATATGCTCATTCTAAAGGATAAGAATGGGAGCAACACCACATTTACTGATCATATAAATTCTGGCATTCCACTGGCCAGACATTGTGAGGCCCTTTACCATTGAGACAGGGCACATTCCTTGACTCTGTCTCCATTATGCTCCCAGAGAGGAGCTCCTCAGTCCAATGTTCTTCATGGCTCTTGGCTCTGTTCTCTAAGCAAATCTTCCTATTTCTTTATTCTCCTTGGTCACATTACAAGGACATTGAGAAATATGCCTCCTTGGAATCTGAATCTCCTTGGAAGCAGATTTCTTGGTCTGTTTGCTGTCCACCAAACCTGGGGACCCAAGAGTCATTAGGTTTTTACTGATCACCATATTGGTTTAGATCCTAGCAGGAAACAGAAGGCACAGTAAAAAGGAGTAAATAATGAGAATTGAATGACAATTATATTAAAAGGGTGTGTTTTAGTACATTTTGTGTTGCTGTAAAGGAATACTTGAGACTGAGTAACTTCTAAAGAAAAGAAGTGCATTTGGCTCACAATTCTCCAGGCTGTACAAGCATAGTATCAGCATCTGCTCAGTTTCTGATGGGGCCTCAGGAAGCTTTCACTCATGGCAGAAGGCATGAAGGCAAAGGGGGAGCAGGCATGTTACATGGTGAGAGAAAGAGCAAGAGAGACCCCCCAGGCCCTTTTAAACAACCAGTTCACACATGAACTAATAGAGCAAGGACTCTCTCATTACCATGAAGAGGGCACCAAGCCATTCATGAGGGATCCACCCTGATGACCCAAACACCTCCTGCCAGGCCCTACCTCGAACACTGGGGATCACATTTTACCATGAGATCCAGAGGGGACAAACATCCAAACTATATCAGGGTGTTGGCAGATTAAGAGAAACCAACAAAGGATGATGAAGCACTGCCTGACGAGAAGTTATGACCTTTAGGAGAGGAACTCAGCCTCCAACAAATGCAGCCTAGCAAGGAAGGATTTGGGAATAAATATCTAAATATCTTTCTTCCCTCACCCTTCAATCTCTAGCCAAGGTTTCACACTAGCCAAATCCAACCAGAAATTAGAGGGCAAGGGATCCCAGTTGTCCTGTGTGTAGAACTCAGCCTCTGAGGCCAAGCAGGATGAAGAAAAGCAGAGAGAGAATCCTGAGGGGTAAACAGAGTGTTTCCTGTCTCTCCCATGAAGACACTGCCCCATCTGCAGTCTTCTCAAGGAGGTATGCTGAGTATTGTCCTTGCTCTCATATGTGACTTCTAGATCATTCTTAGTCCTTTCTAAGACACTCACTCTTGAAGCTCATGTCTCCAATCTATTCAACCACTTCACTTCTTTGTTGGTGTTCACTACTAAGTATCACAATGCTTCCATTATCTCCATTCCATGCATGCCACTTTCTGACCACCATCTACTGTCTTTCCAGCTAAATTTCTTAAGTAGCTTGACCCCTATCCTTCAACCTCACTGGGATTTCCATCCATTTATAGAAGCTTTCCATGTCCCTTATCATCTTTAGTCTTCCCTCCTTACCCAGATTAAATTCTAATCATTCCATTATTGTAATCTCTCTCATATAACCCAATAACTCTCTCTCTTAATGTATTGTTTTCAGAAGGTCAAACCCACAATGCTAGCTAAATTAACTCTCCACCTAATCTATGCCTGTACCCATATAGATGAACATAATTGTAGAAATCAAATAGCCATGCTTACTAGTATCTCTTTAAATTCATGAACATGAACCTCATGTGAGCCCTTAATTTTTCCTGGCAATCACACTATATGTCTCTAGTCTTATACTCTCTTAAACCTCCTCAAACATCCAACACCTCCTCTCCTATCCTCAGCTAATGACTTTTCTTCCTACTTCACTGGGAAAATGAAGCAATTAGAAGATAGTTTCCATAGACTCCCTCCAACACATCAACCCACCTACCACCCTTATGCTCTGCCTTCCGACTACTACTGCAGATGAGCTATCTAAAGCCAGTGCTTCCTTTTGTACACTAGATCCCATCTCCTCTCACTATCTCAGATGTATTGCTCTGGAAATTCTCTTCTCTCCCTCCCATTTCATCATTTTTTCTTTCTACAAATTCAGCATAAAACATGCTATTATTTTTTGCATCTTAAAAAAAATTTTGGATTCCATTTTTCCCAGCAGCTATTGACATACTTCTCTAGTTCACTTTACAGCAAAACTCCAAAAGCATTGTCTCCACTCTCTGTCTTTCATTTATTGCCTCTCCTTCTCTCATAAACCCTTTCCAATAAGTCTTTTACCTTCATTCCACTGGATCTACACTATTCTTGTCAGGTTACCAATGATCTCCATGGTGCTAGATCCAATGGTAAGTTCTCAGTCCTCATCTTACTCTACCTATTATTTGACATAACTGATGAGTCTCCTCTTTGATATCTTTCTTCACTTGGCTTTTCCTACCCCACACTTTCCTTGCTTTCCTGTCATCTCAGTATTGCTGCTTCTCTATCTCCTTTGCTGCCTCTTCTTCTACCCAAACTCTAAATGTTGGCATGCCCCAGGGATCAGTCTTTGGTCTCCTTCTTTTCTGTATCCACACTTACTCTTACTTCATTGGGTGATCTACACCCATCTTGCAGTTCAGACATCATATATATGCTGCTAGTTCCCAAACTCATTTTTCCAGATTTGTCCCCTGAACTAGTCTCATGTGACGAACTGACTACCTAAACATCTTCGTTTGTATACATAAGTGGCATCTCCAAACACATCCAAAACAATACTCCCAACATTCCCTCCCCATCTCTTGCATTTTCATTCTTCTAATTGCTCAGCCAAAATTCTTGTACTATCTTTGATTCCCCTTATTCTCTACATGCCCCACATACAAACATAAGAAAATTCTGTTGCCTCTATTCTCAAAATCTGCCTATCTAGATGGAGATATAGATATAGACGCTATCACCTCTGTCTAATCTACCATTATCTCTTGTTTGGATTATTGAAATAGCTTCCTAGCTATTTGGAAACAGCATGATGTGCTAGACAATACTTTGGACTTTTGAACAAAATGCTGGATACAAAGCCCACCTTTGTTACTTAGCAGTCATGTGACAATAAACAAATAGATTAAACCCTTTGGCCTCTGTTTCCTCAGATGTAAATTGGAGGACGATAATAGTACCAACCTCATAAAGTTTAGTGAGAATTCAATGTATTAGCAACTTAAAGCTCTGAAAGCAATGTCTGACCCCTAGTGAATCATACATACTATTATACTCACAAAGTATAAAGTATTCATTCTTTTTGTTATTTTTATCTAAAAGGAACTGAGAGATTCAAGCTCTTTAAATATAATTTCAACTTTATTTCAGATCCAGGGGTACATGTGCAGGTTTGTTACATGGGTATACCACGTGATGCTGAGGTTTGAGGTACAAATGATCTCGTCACACAAGTCCTAAGCATACTACCCAATATTTAGTTTTTCAGCCCTTCCCCCTGCCTCCCACTCATGTCTAACTAGTCCCTGGTGTACACTGCTGCCATCTTTATGTCCATGGCCACCCAAGGTTTAGCTCCCACTTATAAGAAAGAACATGTGGCATTTGGTTTTCTGTTTCTGCGTTAATTTGCTTAGGATTATGGCCTCCAGCTACATTCATGTTGCTGCAGAATACATGATTTAATTATTTTTTATGATTGCATAGTATTCCATGTTGTATGAGTACCACATTTTCTTTATCCAGTCCACCACTGACTGGCACCTAGGTGGACTTCATGTTTTTTGCTATTGTGAATAGTACTGTGATGAACATGTGAGTGCATGTGTCTTTTTGGGTTTTGGGAAGGCAATATGGTTTGGCTGTATCTCCACCCAAATCTCACCTTGCATTGTAATAATCCCCACATGTCAAGGGTGGGGCCAGGTGGAGATAACTGAACCATGGGGGCAGTTTCCCCCATGATTCTCATGGTAGTGAATAAGTCTCACAAGATCTGATGGTTTTATAAATGGGAGTTGCCCTGCACAAGCTCTCTTGCCTGACACCATGTAAGATGTGACTTTGCTCCTCCTTTGTCTTCTGCCATGATTGTGAGGCCTCCCCAGCCATGCGGAACTGTGAGTCCATTAAACGTCTTTTTATTTATAAATTACCCACTCCAAGGCAGTCCTTTATAGCAGTGTGAGAATGAACTAATACAGGGTGTTTGGTTTTGTTTTATTTTTTTGCTTTTTTGTTTTGTTTTGACACAGAGTCTTACTCTGCCGCCCAGGCTGAATGCAGTGGCACAATCACAGCTCACTGCAACCTCAAACTCCTGGCTCAAGCCATTCTCCCACCTGAGCTTCCCGAGTAGCTGGGACTACAGAGGTGCACCACCATGCCCAGCTGATTTTTTAAAAAAAAATTTTGTAGAGATGGAGTCTCACTATGTTGCCCATGATAATCTTGAACCCCTGGGCTCAAGTGATCCTCCCACCTCAGCCTCCCAAAGTGCTGGGATTACAAGCATGAGCCACCACCACCACACTCAGCATTTTGGCAGAATTTATTTTCCTTTGGATGTATACCCAGTAATAGGATTTCTGAGTCGAACTGTAGCTCTGTATTAAGTTCTTTGAGAAATTTCAAAACTGCTTTCCACAGTGGATGAACTTATTTACATTCCCACCAACAGTACATAAGTCCAACAGTACATAAGTGCTCCCTTTTCTCTGCAGCCTCATCAACATGTTATTTTTTGCCTTTTTAAAAATAGCCATTCTAACTGGCATGAGATGACATCTCATTGCGGTTTTGATTTGCATTTCACTGATGATTAGTGATGTTGAGCATTTTTTCACATGTTTGTTAGCCACTTGTATGTCTTCTTTTGAGAACTATCTGTTCATGTCTTTTGCTCATTTTTTCATGGGGTTATTTGTGTTTTGCTTGTTCAAATGTTTAAGTTCCTTATAGATTCTGGACATCAGGCCTTTGTCAGATCCATAGTTTGTGAATATTTTCTCCCATTCTGTAGGTTGTCTGTTTAATCTATTGATAGTTTATTTTGCTGTGCAGAAGCTCTTTAGTTTAATTAGGTCCCACTTGCCAATTTTTGTTTTTGTTGCAGTTGCTTTTGAAGATCAGTCATTAATTCTTTCCCAAGACTGATGTCCACAATGGTGTTTCTTGGGTTTCCCTTTAGGAGTCTTATAGTTTAAGGTCTTACATTTAAGTCTTTAATTCATCTATCTTGAATTAGTTTTATATATGATGAAAGGTAGGGATTCAGCTTCATTCTTCTGCATCTGGCTAGCCAGCTATCCCAGCACCATTAAATGAATAGGTAGTCCTCTCCCCCATTCCTTATTTTTGTTGACTTTGTCAAAGATCAGATGGCTGTAGGTGTGCAGTTTATTTCTTCATTGTCTCTTCTGTTGCATTGGTCTACATGTCTTTTTTTGCATCGGTACCATGCTGTTTTGGTTACCATAACCTTATAGCATAGTTTGAAGTTGAGTAGTGTGATTCCTCCAGCTTTGTTATTTCTGATTAGGATTGCTTTGGCTACTCAGGTTGTTTTTTGGTTCCATATGAATTTTAGAAAAGTTTTTTTCTCTTTCTGTGAAAAAATGACATTGGTAGCTTGATAGGAATAGTGCTGAGATACAAACTTTTCTTTCATGAACTTTAAACTCATTCCAAATAGCTATTCAAAAGAATTTTTATAGTTTTACCTAGACAACTTACATTCTCTTAGAAGTTTTATTAGAGATTTAATTTTCAAACACATATTTGCCTGCAATGAGAACCTGTGTGTGTGTGTGTGTGTGTGTGTGTGTGTGTGTATGGCCATTTTGGGAACATAGTAAGGTATAAATAAACATATTTATTCTCACAATTTTTGTGGCCACAAAGAGCAAACATATTAGTCACATACCTTTACTTTGCTGAACGAATATATCACCCAACAAAACGTAAGAATCAGTTACAACCTCAAACTGTTGTCAACAACTTTCTATATGTAATTCATTTACTTACTCACTAACAAGCACTCACTCGGAAACAATATTTTGCTTCTATAGCTCTTTCATTATCTACTGGGAGATGAACAATTAATGGTAAATTATATACTCTAAGGAAATAGTGGGAGTAACAGAATGACTCAAGGATTCTCCCAAAGTTTCACATCTTGAGTAATATCTATCTTGGAAACTGTTAATGTTCACACATTCAATATGAAATTAATGGTTACAGAAGAAAGGAACATAATTTCTAGTACAAGGCTATAAACCAAGCATAGTTATATATTACCACAAAAGAGATGGGAAAAAATCTATTAAACGTGAGCAATGTCTACTGTTACAGAATATGTATTACAGAATCAAATGCAACCTTCTTAATTAAACTAGATTATATTTTTTGGCTAGGTTTTCATTTTTGTAAAATGATATTAACACCAAATGTAGGAGAAGAGCAAGAAAAAAGTGCTAGAAACAAGGCGGTCTTTTGGAAAAAAAAAATTACCCACCTCCAATCTGTTCTACACACTCTAACCAAAGAGGGAGGGAGGTGTCTAAAACTGAAATCTGATTGTGTCACTTCTCCACTTAAAATATTTTGGGAGATTGTCATTGCCCTTAAGATAATCTAAATTCTGTAGCATAATTTACAAACTTGTGATCTCACTGCTTTCATCTCTTACCAGAGCCTCATAACCTATGTAGCAGCCTCATTTCCTTTGGTTTC
Organism: Homo sapiens; assembly: GCF_000001405.40. Taxonomy (NCBI): domain Eukaryota; kingdom Metazoa; phylum Chordata; class Mammalia; order Primates; family Hominidae; genus Homo; species Homo sapiens. The sequence goes on from NC_000008.11 coordinate 79,677,236, forward strand.
TGGAAAATACTGTGACTTGCTATTCCTAACATTTAACAGAGTGCCTAGTTTATAGCAGGAGTCTTATAAATACTTATGGAGCGAATGAATGAATGAAAATGAATGGATAAAATAAAGAGAACACATACTTTTTAAATGATTTTGATATTCATCTTCTCTTTTCATAGCTATAGCCCACAACCATAGCCAATGACAACTTTTTTTAAGTGTCTGGGTAGTAAAAAACAAAACAATTAAAAACTCAGATTTAAAAGTAATTTCAACAGATTAACAAGTTGATTTTTCAGTCACTGGGCAGGTCTGCACGTGACTGCAGACAGAATAAAAACTTTGTAATTTTGGTGCTATAAACCAAGGATGATAATTGTGAATACACATGTTTTGAAATCTAATTTTTTAGTTAAAATGTTTAAAGTCAATGGTGAGTTCCTTTCATTTCAGTGATACTATAAATGATTTAAGGAACAAAGTTTTTAAAAATCATAACTGAGAAGTCACCAGTTGGATCAAGATGTAGGGCTGGATACATTCATGTATCACTGCCTCTACTCAAAACCTGCGAAATGGCATCAAAGATATTTAAAGATAAAATAATTCCACTGCAGTAATGGAAAACAAAGTTTCTATAACCAGGCCAGAAATTTTGAGCAACCTCCGAAAGACAGATGGACTCAGATCTATAGAGAAACCCAGCTGGTGGAAGCCATGTATTGCAGAGGTATATGCAATTTGGGGGAGCCCTAAGCCCAGAGTCAAGAGGTAACAGATGCTAAAGCAATCAGATATGAGTGCATATTTAATTGAGAACATGTTTCTTGAGCATCCAGTCCAACTGACTCCTTTCCCCTTTCCAGGTTTTGCTGAGCATTGGGCAGCGATCACTCTTTGGACTCACACTAAAGCAGTCCTAAGAGTATAAGCCCTAAGGACACAGAGGCAGAGTAGTGCCTCAGATAGCTATTCCCGCCAAAGAAGCATAGGAGTCCACATACCCACAAACAAACCCTCCCTCTACACAGCACACCCTCCCCCTCTCTATATTCACCGCGTGAAGTTTATGCTAAATAGAAACGGCATTCAAATGCCTGCAAACAAAAGCTCAGAAATAAAGAAGAGCATGCCACAGAGAATCACAATGTTTGAGAAAAGCAAATGCCATAAAATAGAGACACTAAAATAAAACAAACAGAAACAAAAACAAATGAACAGAAAATCTGAGATTGGCTTAATGAAGAAAATAGAGGGCTTTGAAATAAGAATAGCTAATATCCTCAAATGAAGAACAGAGCATATCACTCCCATTAAAAGAAAAGCTAAAAAGAAAGAAGGATGGGTGGAGGGTTCCAACATTCATCTAAAAGCTCTTCTAGATCATTTAGGTTGGAGAGGGGAAGTTCATGTACAAAATAAAGAAATAACAGAAGAAAATGTTCTAGTACTAGTGTGAGTCAGAGAATAGAAAGAACCCACCAAGTGCCAAACAGAGTGAATAAAAAGAGACTATACCCACACAAATGCTCATGTTTGAAACTTCAAATCCTTTAAATTTCAACAGAGGTAAAAATAACTTACTTATGAAGTAATAAAGATCAAATTGCCTCTGAACTTTTGGCAACTCTAAATGCTGAAAGATAATGGAGTAGTATCTTTTTTTTCCCTTTATATATACATATATATATATATTATTTCACTTTAAGTTCTAGGATACATGTGCACAACATGCAGGTTAGTTACATATGTATACATGTGCCATGTTGGTGTGCTGCACCCATTAACTCATCATTTACATTAGGTATATCTCCTAATGCTATCCCTCCCCTCTCCCCCCACCCCACAACAGGCCCCGGTGTGTGACGTTCCCCTTCCTGTGTCCAAGTGTTCTCGTTGTTCAATTCCCACCTATGAGTGAGAACATGTGGTGTTTGGTTTTTTGTCCTCGCGATAGTTTGCTGAGAATGATGGTTTCCAGCTTCATCCATGTCCCTGCAAAGGACATGAACTCATCATTTTTTATGGCTGCATAGTATTCCATGGTGTATATGTGCCACATTTTCTTAATCCAGTCTATCTTTGTTGGACATTTGGGTTGGTTCCAAGTCTTTGCTATTGTGAGTAGTGCTGCAATAAACATACATGTGCATGTGTCTTTATAGCAGCATGATTTATATTGATTATCTCAACAGATGCAGAAAAGGCCTTTGACAAAATTCAACAGCACTTCATGCTAAAAACTCTAAATAAATTAGGTATTGATGGGACGTATCTCAAAATCATAAGAGCTATTTATGACAAACCCACAGCCAATATCATACTGAATGGGCAAAAACTGGAAGCATTCCCTTTGAAAACTGGCATAAGGCAGGGATGCCCTCTCTCACCACTCCTATTCAACATAGTGTTGGAAGTTCTGGCCAGGGCAATCAGGCAGGAGAAAGAAATAAAGGGTATTCAATTAGGAAAAGAGGAAGTTAAATTGTCCCTGTTTGCAGATGACATGATTGTATATCTAGAAAACCCCATTGTCTCAGCCCAAAATCTCCTTAAGCTGATAAGCAACTTCAGCAAAGCCTCAGAATACAAAATCAATGTGCAAAAATCATAAGCATTCTTATACACCAATAACAGGCAAACAGAGAGCCAAATCATGAGGGAACTCACATTCACAATTGCTTCAAAGACAATAAAATACCTACGAATCCAGCTTACAAGGGATGTGAAGGACCTCTTCAAGGAGAACTACAAACCACTGCTCAACGAAATAAAAGAGGGTACAAACAAATGGAAGAACATTCCATGCTCATTGATAGGAAGAATCGATATCATGAAAATGGCCATACTGCCCAAGGTAATTTATAGATTCAATTCCATCCCCATCAAGCTACCAATGACTTTCTTCACAGAATTGGAAAAAACTACTTTAAAGTTCATATGGAATCAAAAAAGAGCCCGCATTGCTAAGACAATCCTAAGCCAAAAGAACAAAGCTGGAGGCATCACACTACCTGACTTCAAACTATACTACAAGTTTACAGTAACCAAAACAGCATGGTACTGGTACCAAAACAGAGATATAGACCAATGGAACAGAACAGAGTCCTCAGAAATAATATCACACATCTACAACTATCTGATCTTTGACAAACCTGACAAAATCAAGAAATGGGGAAAGGATTCCTTATTTAATAAATGGTGCTGGGAAAACTGGCTAGTCATATGTAGAAAGCTGAAACTGGATCCCTTCCTTACACCTTATACAAAAATTAATTCAAGATGGCTTCAAGACTTAAATGTTAGACTTAAAACCATAAAAACCCTAGAAGGAAACCTAGGCAATACCATTCAGGACATAGGCATGGACAAGGACTTCATGTCTAAAACACCAAAAGCAATGGCAACAAAAGCCAAAATTGACAAATGGGATCTAATTAAACTAAAGAGCTTCTGCACAGCAAAAGAAACTACCATCAGAGTGAACAGGCAACCTACAGAATGGGAGAAAATTTTTGCAATCTACTCATCTGACAAAGGGCTAATATCCAGAATCTACAAAGATCTTAAACAAATTTACAAGAAAAAAACAAACAACCCCATCAAAAAGTGAGTGAAGGATATGAACAGACACTTCTCAAAAGAAGACATTTATGCAGCCAACAGACATATGAAAAAATGCTCATCATCACTGGCCATCAGAGAAATGCAAATCAAAACCACAATGAGATATCATCTCACACCAGTTAGAATGGCAATCATTAAAAAGTCAGGAAACAACAGGTGCTGGAGAGGATGTGGAGAGATAGGAACACTTTTACATTGTTGGTGGGACTGTAAACTGGTTCAACCATTGTGGAAGTCAGTGTGGCGATTCCTCAGGGATCTAGAACTAGAAATACCATTTGACCCAGCCATCCCATTACTGGATAATGGAGTAGTATCTTTAAAGTCTTGAGAAAATAATTTTGAACCTAAGATCCTGTATCCATCCAAATAATCAGTCATATGTGAGTTCAAAATAAAGATATTTTTAGACATATAAAACTCATAAAAGTTACTTTTCAATTTCTGAAAAATTAGTCAAGGATATACTGTGTCAATATAAAAAATCTATAAATTTATAACTATTTTAATTATTATTGATGAATATGCCAGATATTATCTAATGTCATTCAGCATCATTTCCATTTCCTCCCGTAGTCTTCCCAGGGACTAAAAGTCTGTGAGCTGCATTTCCTTGTCTTCTTTGCTACTGGAGTTTCTGATACTCTATAGATTCTTGCAATGCCATGTACCTGCACCAGATCTGGAAGATGGAAGGGGAGCAGAGGCCTTTCTTGTAATTGGCAGTGAATGTGTGGATTTCAGCAAACATGGTCTTTTAGGTCAGGGATGTTCAATCTTTTGACTTCTCTGGGTTACACTGAAAGAAGAATCATCTTGTACCACACATAAAACACACTAACACTAAGGATAGCCGATGAGCTTTAAAAAAATCATGCAAAAAATTCATCATGTTTTAAGAAAGTTTATGCATTTGTGTTGGGCTACATTCAAAGCTGTCCTGGGCTGCATGCAGCCCATGGGCCACAAGTTGGGCAAGCTTGTTTTAGGTAGTTATGTTTCCCTGACAACCTGTCACTTTAGCACAACTGTGCCATGGCGGTGGCCTTTCCTACCATCTCCTGGTTCCTGGGTGGTGGCAGCAGAAACTTCCTGATTTTCTGGATCACAGTTAAAGCGGTTGCCTTCTGACTTTCACTCTTTCAGCACTTCCAAAGTTCTAGTAAAGCACCTAATTTCTTCTAATCTCTTTCTGTTTGGCATAATTAGAGTAGTTTCTGACATTATCGTGATTGCTAATGGTCTTATTTATTTATTTATTTATTTGTTTATTTATTTATTTATTTATTTTGAGACAGGGTCTCACTCTGTCAACCTCTGCCTACTGGGCTCAAGCAATCCTTCCACCTCAGCCTCCCAAGTAGCTGAGACTACAGGCACCTGCCATCACACCCAGGTAATTTTGTATTTTTTAGTAGAGATGGGGTTTCTCCATGTTGCCCAGGCTGGTCTCAAACTCATGAGCTCAAGCGATTCACCCACCTTGGCCTCCCAAATTGCTGGGATTACATGCATGAGCCACCCCACCTGGCCATGTTAATCATCTTTTTAAAGGCCATAACTATTAGGAATTTTTTTAAATGCCACCCAAAAATTATTTTCATAAAGAGAAACTCTCTGGAGTCTAAATTCAAATCAGACTTCTTTTCAAATCTCATACCAGGCTCCTCCCACTCTGTTATCACTAAAGAATTCAATACACTTAAAAATATAAGAAACCTCACTAAAAACAGATCATTCCTCAAGAGTTTTACAAAATCCGGAATATTTGTAAATTTTTGTGCCGGACTCAAGTTTTCATGTCCTCCAGCAACTGCAATGAAATCTAGAAAGGTTTTTGCCACACGGTGAAACTTACTCTTATGTAATATATTTATTTTAAAACCCATGAATTTCAATGTCTCTACAAAGAGAAAAACATGCAAAAACTACCCCAAAATGGGTTTTGTTCTATCTATAAATTTAAGATAAAATTCTACCCCATGAATGAGCCAAAATTTAATTTTCATAATAGCACACCAAGAACAAAACCTGTAAATTTTTAGGTAGGGGCCAATTTCTGGGAGAGATACTCAGATTTCAGAAGAGTTTCCTTACTTATTTCATAGTTGAAACCTTATGAAGTGTAAGTTAAACCTAAGTAAATCAACGGTCTAGGTCTTTAAATGGCATATACAATAAGACTCTACAGAGTGAGCAATACAACAAGCCCAGAACAAAAATAGAACTTGTTTAATGCAACTGGCTCTGTGCCTGGCAGGCAGCAAACTTTGCAGAATCTGTAGAATTTCATTGCAACAACTTCAGCTCCATATTTCTCTAGTAACTAGCTCTAAGGTTCATTGATTCATTCAACAAACATTCACTGAGGATCTACCATGGAGTTTACTCATTGGGAGAAAACTTTCACCTTCATCCCCTATCCTTTGCTCTTTCTTCTACACACAAACGTGCCCATTCTCTTATCTTCTACTTGCAATATACCATCCCCCTCATAACTGCCCTTATTTCACTCCTTCTCTTTTTTTTTTTTTTTTTTTTTTTTTTTTTGAGACAGAGTCTCACCATGTCGCCCAGGGTGGAGTGCAATGGTGCCATCTCGGCTCACCGCAACCTCGGCCTCCCGGGTTCAAACGATTCTCCTGCCTCAGCCTCCCAAGTAGCTGGGATTACAGGCACCTGCCATCACGCCGGTGGCTCATACCTATAATGCCAGCACTTTGGGAGTCCGAGGCAGTCAGATCCCGAGGTCAGGAGTTTGAGACCAGCCTGGCCAACATGGTGAAACTCCATCTCTACCAAAAAAAGACACTCCTTTTCTTTCTAGTTCATGTTTGCATTCAACATGTGTGTAGTGCTTCCTGCATGCCAGGCCCTGCACATAAATGAATAGAACCTGATCCTCAGCTTTGAGGTCATGCAGATGGTGATCTGCAAAAAAGCAAACCTAAAACACAAATGTAGCTATCTCATGCTCTTACAAAGGTTTCCAGTTACTCATTGGAAAGTCTTAAGCATGGCATACAGGAATTTCCACAACCTGATCTCTGTCCTCCTAGCCAGCTTCACCTCCTACCATACCTCCCTCAAACTTCACCCTCCCACGTTACCAAACAATACTCACAGCTCCCATATACTCCATGCTCTTCCTCAGGCCCGTGCCTCTGCTCATGCTGCCCTCCCTGCTTGGGATGCTTTTGCTCCTCCTCCTGGTTTGCCTGCCTCCTCCTGCTTCTCAGACATCCAACGGCCTCCTTCAGGAACCTGTCTTGAACACATCTCCATGTTCCCCACTTCCCCAAGTTGGCTGGCTCTCCGCTCTCCTGTTACCCTCTGTGTTTGCCTCTATCAACAGTTATCACATCGCAGTTGAAATGATTTAGGTTTTACCCATTCACTCCACAAACTTTATTGAGGAACCGTTAAGTGCCAAATATTTGTCGAGGTGCTCAGTACACAATAGTGATCAAAATGGACATGCTCCTTGCTTTCATAGACGTCAAATGATGAGGGGAGGTGGACAGCAAATAAGTATAAACGTTCACACAACTTGGGGAAATGACCATGAAAATGATGAGAACCATGCTCTGTTAGAGAGAAAAGGGAGAAATCAACTAAGATGAAGTGGCCCAAAAATTCCTGTCTGAGGTGGTGACAAATGCCTGGCACATAGTAGGTACTCAATAAATGTTTCCTTGACTATAAACTGAACAAGTAAGTCTATTCAGGAACGAATGATAAAAGTGTACATGGCAGATATGATGGTGTAAAAGAACATGGTGGATATAGGAAGGACAGTAAGTAGGAAAAGAAGTTGTGGTGGGGCAGAGAAATGGGAGAGAGGGAGAAAAAGAGAGAGAGAGAGATTGGTCTGTTTCCTTTGGATTGATTCCCTTTCTTGAGAAAAATGTGAGATCACTTTTGACCACCAGGGGGCAATATTTGATCACAGGTGACAACCACAGTTTTGACTCAGGCCATCATTTTGTAAGGAGGCACTCCTGTGTTAAGAAATAGAGGACTCAGACCTAAAATGTTATTCATTTTTTTACATTACTAATAAATATAAAATCCTTGAAGATGACAAATACTGTGTTTGGATTTAAATGAATTAAAATGGAAGAAAAAAAGGCTTTTCATATTCATAGTTCTCTAAGTATCCTTATCGAATGGAACAAATCTCCACTTCCTAATCATTTATAATTCCCATCACTCAGCTATAGGTCACAGCAGGTATTAATACTGGATGAGAAGGAATCTTCTGGTTTTTATTCAGTACTTATGCTGTTCAAGCACTTCCAACCTGTGCTTCCTTCATATTGAATAGTCTTGTTTAGCTTCCTCATAACTCATTGAGATAGATGACAGGCAATTATCGTTTTTGTTTGGCAGATAAGGAAACACGCAAGAGCTCTCTGCTGGTTAAGGCAGAATTGAACATGGCCACCCAAGTTCGACAGGCTGCCTGGGAATCCCTTTTATTCACCACCAGCCAAAATGAGCAAGCCCTGGAGCACTGCCATTTCTTGGAGAAAGTCAATGACCAGGTGCTTTCAGAGTGATATCTGAGACACCTAGAGATGTTATTCCTGTCAGAGCACATCGGGACCTGTATAAAGAGCTTAGAGCCTGTGCTGGGCCCAAAAAGGAGTGTTCCCAGAGGCCTTGGCAACATTTTCACCAGAAACCATTAATAGGAGAGACCAGATACTGTTCCAGGAAGTAAAATGTCATAAAAGTTGGAAGGAAATAATCCAGGCTTTGCTACCTGGTTATTCAATCAGAGGCCATTCATTCAACAGCACTGCATGAGTAACTGTGGGGATAGCAACGTATAAAAGATTGCTCTTGGCCAGGCGCGGTGGCTCATGCCTGTAATCCCAGCACTTTGGGAGGCCGAGGCAGGGGATTCCACTTAAGACCAGGAGTTTGAGACCAGCCTGGCCAACACAGTGAAACCCCGTCCCTACTAAAAATACAAAAATTAGCCGGGCCTGGTGGCGCATGCCTGTAATCCCAGCTACATGGGAGGCTAAGGCAGGAGAATCGCTTGAACCCGGGAGGTGGAGGTTCCAGTGAGCCAAGATCACGCCACTGCACTCCAGCCTGGGCAACAGAGCAAGACTCCATCTCACTCATATAAATAAAGTGCACCTATCCTGAAAGAATGTAAATCTAATTATGAGAGCATGGCATATATGCATTAAAACATTTTCAAATACTATAAAACACTTTCTGTGTGGCAGAATTTCACAGAGATTGTCAATAAATATTTATTGATCACCTACTAAGTGAAGAGCATGAGTGAGATGAAAAGTATGGAAAAGGCACTGTGGTTGCCCTTGCAGACTTTATACTCCAGTTGTAAAGAGCATGTTTGTTCTGTTTATTAACTTATTCAGTGAATATTAATGGACCACCTACGATGTGTAAAGCACATGCTAGATAAGAAGAATATGAATAACCCACAATTACCCACAGGAAACTCACGGTCTGGATGGGGACTGGCAGACCTATAAACATACCATTTAGTTTCTTTCTTTCTTCTTTTTTTTTTTTTTTTTTTTTGAGACAGACTCTTGCTGTGTCACCCAGGCTGGAGTGCGGTGGCACGATCTCGATCTTGGCTCACCACAACCTCTGCCTCCTGGGTTCAAGCAATTTTCCTGCCTCAGCCTCCCGAGTAGCTGAGATTACAGGTGTGCACCATCATTCTCAGCTAATTTTTTGTATTTTTAATAGGGATGGGGTTTCACCATGTTGGCCAGTCTGGTCTCAAACTCCTGACCTCAGGTTATCCTCCCACCCTGGCCTCCCAAACTGCTAGGATTATAGGCATGAGCCTCCGCGTCCAACCCAAATCATTTACTTTCAATGCAGTGTGTGTGTGTGTGTGTGTGTGTGTGTGTGTGTGTGTGTGTACTTATATATACATATATTCTTACAGGAAGGTAGAGGAGGAGAAAAAAATAATTTATATATATACACACACATATAATTTTACAACAGTGAAGATTGGACTATTTGTTTATAGATAGGTAGATAGATAGATAATAGTCATTAAGGTGGGCATGAGAACTAGGAGAAATATCACAAAAAAGGTGACATTTGAGGAGAGTCTTGAAGGTGTTTTCCAAGTAGACTCATAAATGAAGGGTCTTCCAGGTAGAAGGAACTGAGTGTGCAAAATACAGAGTGAGGAAATGGCATCGTGCTTCAGTCATCACTGAACCACAGCCAAAGTTGAGCAATCATGGGACATAATCACAGTAGTAGGTGAGACCAGATAGCAAAAAGGAGGGGGATTTCAGCTTTACACAATAGGAAGCCTTTGAATATCAAAAGAGACTCAGACAATCACATTTGCATCTTCAAAAAACCATTTTAATTGCTGCAAGGAGGATTGTTTGCCATGGAACATGATTAGAGGAAAGGAGATAATTAGGAATGTATTTCCATAGTCCAAACAAAAGCCAATGAGAGGGATGGAGTAATTACTTAGGATATAGAACCAAGGTGACATGATAGCCAATTAGTGTTGAGAATATGGGATGAGAAGTGTCAAGGACAATGTATCTCTATTGGGTGTTCTTAATTTCTACCGGATCTCGACTGGGTGTCTTCAACTCACACCCTGGTTGGCATCAATAGGAGAAAAACTGTAGGAAAATGAATGGGAAAAGTGGAGGTTAAAGTCCTCAGATTTAAACACGTTGCGCTCAAGGTGCCAGCAAAACATCTGGTAGAGATGACCCACTAGTTGAAAACTAAGGTAGCCATAGAATACTTTCTGGAAAACTTTGGATTACACTAGGCCTGGAAGAATAGGTAGCGTCTGTAGAGGGAGGTGCAGAGGTGGAGGTGGAGGGTGGTTGGCAATGAAGAACATTCCAGGTAAAGGAATATTCTTATATTCTTAAGGAAGTCAAAGAGGTAGAAACAATGATTGTATATGAGACCAACCTCAACAAAGCAAGTTGTGAGGAAAAAAGATGATGTTCACAGACAGAATGAATCCAGGGTCAAGCACACTCTGAGGAAGGATATTCTGATGATAAGATGCAATCTATGGTTGTAGGGGTGTCCAAGGGAGAGAATACAGTCATGGGTTCTTAGTTTCTGCTTCCGATTGGGCCAGTAAAGCCCCTTCCTCATCCCTCTTTTCTGCTTATCACTAGAGACAGAAACTATAAACCATGGCTTCAGGCTGCTTAAAGCCTAAAACAAACAAACAAACAAAAAACCAGAACAACAGCAACAAAATAAGTTAGGTTAGACAAGCTTGGTTTAGAGCCTAGAAAATCTAGCGAGGGTGACAAATGGGAGTTTAGTATATTTTTCAGGGAATGAAGGATATAAAAGAAGGTCATCTTCCTTATCAGAGTAAACTGCAGAGTCTCCAAAATTAAGTACCCAAAGCATAGTCTCCTATTACAAAGGAGAGGTGATATAATAATGATACTTGTGAATATTTACTATATGCTAGTCACTGTATTTTAAGGACTTGACATACTAATTCATTTAATGTTCCCAGGAACCATGAAGTAGATATTATTATTATTATCACCTATGGATAAGATAACTGAGGCACAGAATTGTTCAGAGACCTGCTGAAGATTACTGTATTAGTCCATTTTCACACTGCTGATAAAGACATACCCAAGACTAGGTAATTTGTTTAAAAAAAAAAAAAAAGAGGTTTAATAGACTCACAGTTCCACGTGGCTGGGGAGTCCTCACAATCATGGTGGAAGGCATGTCTTAAACGGCAGCGGGCAAGAGAGAACGAGAGCCAAGCAAAAGCAGAAACCCCTTATAAAACCATCAGATCTCATGAGATGTATTCACTATTATGAGAACAGTATGGGAATGGGAGAAACCACCCCCATGATTCAATTATCTCCCACCGGGTTCCTCCTACAACATGTGGGAATTATGGAAGCTACAATTCAAGATGAGATTTGGGTAGGGACCATATCAGTTACACAGCTAGCAAGTGATGGAGCCAGAGCCTAGCTGTGCCGCCTGCATCCTCCATCGCTTCACTGCATTGCCTCCCAAGTACTTAGCTGCTCTCACTCAGTACCTTCCCTTTTTCCTTGAGCTCATCCATCAGCATCTTTGTTAACACTACCATGATGATCCCAGTAGCAGTCTGCTGCCCTGTCTCCTTAGCAGTGCTGACACAAGCCAAAACTTGTTAAAAAAAAAAAAAAAAACTCATAAATGAGAATAGAGTGGAAACACAGGAAGAATACCAAGAAAACCAATTCGACTTATGAAACATAAATGTCTAATCCTTTTCTAGCTTGCTTACCCTGTTCCTCATGATCTCCTCAGAACACTTTACTCATTCCAAGGGCTGATATCCCTGAATACTTCTTGCCTGATACCCTCACCTTCCAGCCTTTTTCATGTGGTAAAACCATCTTTAAAACATGCAAAATGGGAGCAACTATCTGGATATCTGACTTAGAGAAGATCCTTCTTAGTGGAAGTTCTTTCTCATTTCCCTGGACGTACCTAGGACTCACCTGCTCCCCAGGTGATTGGCATCACACATGACTTCATTCTTCTAGTGAGGTTTCCTGTCCAGGATCCCCATGCCCACAACTCTCACCTTGAACCATGTTTTTAACTCTTCCAAGTAACAGAGCATTTCCTAATACACTGCACCAAACATTGTGTCCATGTAGGAGGAATCACACACCTTAAAAATGGAAGTATTTCCTCACAAAGTGCCAGGTGTTAGACCAGGGAGGAGGCATTGGGCAGAGAGAGGAAAGGACTGGGTTGAAAACCCTTAAGTGAGTTGGATAAGAATTGAAGAACCCAAAATCACAAGTCCAGGTGACAGATAACTAATTATATTGAGAAAGAATATAGAAGAGAAGTTGGTGGGAAGAAGTGCTTTTGGCAAGGGGTTAAACAAAGAATTTCCTCTTACCCAAGTTGTCTGAGGTACGGGAGAAAGATCCAAGTGCAGATGCCTCATGGGGAACTGAACACCTAGGACTAGAGGTTGGTGCTAGAGTTACAGATAAGGATGTCTTCAGCATAAAGGTGAGAAATGACAAAGAATTGTTCCAAATTTTGAGAGAAGAAAAAAATACCAACAGGACAGAACTCACAGCTACTGGATAACATGAAAAAAAAAAAAGAAGAGGAAACCAGGAGATAAATGAAAAAGGAAGAGTGCAGGAGAGAGGGGGAAAACAGAAATATTGAAGCAGCACAGATAATAAAAAGATTTCTGAAAAGAGAGAGCAATTGACTTAAAAATTCCCATGTGGCAAGGAATGCCATAAATAATAGAAGATAAACAGCATACTGGGAGAAAACATCTTGAATTAGTCCTTTTGAGCTACTATAATAAAATACCTTAGACTGGATAATGTATAAATAACAGAACTTTATTGCTCACAGTTCTGGAGGCTGGAAGTCCAAGATCAAGGCACCAGCAGCTTCAGTGTCTGGTGAGGGCCTGTTCCTTATGCCTTCTATGTGTCCTTCCATGGTGGAAGGGTAAACAGTCTCCCTTGGGCCTCTTTTAGAAGAGAATTTCACTCATGGGGACAGAGCTCTCATGACTTAATCGCCTTCTAAAGTCCCACCCTTTTGCAGTACAATACTATTGCATTGAGGATTATGTTTCAACATATTAATTTGGCAGGGAGGGACACCAACATTCAGACCATAACACATCTAAACTACATAGAGCAGATGCGTTAATATTAATATGAAAAAATCTGCCATACAAAAAGACCAAAGACTATGAACAGTAATTCACAGGAATGGAACTGAAAACAGTCAGTTTACATCTGAAAAAATACTCATAATCTTCCGTAATCAAGGAAATGTAAATTAAAACCTATCAGAAGTATTGACAGCATCTGTGGTAGCCAGGGTGTGGGGAGTCAGGCTCTTTAATATATTGCAGGTGGGAGTGGAAATGGCTGCAATCTATTTTTAACAGTTATCTTGTGGCACCTAATACTTCCAAAATATATTGACCCAATGATGCACCTCAACTTTGAAAAACCTCCCAAGTCACAGATAAGAAAATAATTGCATAATTTATGGTATATTCATACTATGAAATATTATGTATCCATTAAAAATAAAATATGTTTTAACCTGAAGGGATGTGCTATATTTTTAAAGCAAAATGTAAGTTGCAAAGTAATATTTATAATATGATTTCCTTTCTGTAAAAAATAAGGGGGAGAAACCCATATTTATGCATGCACAGTTAAGTGCATTTGCATGAGCACAGAGAAAAGAGTGGAAGCATACGACCAAACTAATAACTTCGATTACTGAAGTGGGACAGGATTGGAGGGGAAGGGAAATTGATTAAATTTTTCTTTATACACTTCTGGATATAGTTTGATCTGTCACTGTGTACATACATTTCATAGGTTTTTTGGTAAAATCCAAATAAGTAACGGTAATCAAGAAGATGTAAAAAGTATCAGAAGCACATTCTTCTAGAAGGATGCACACTGTAATGGCCAGATGGGTTCTTCCTGTGCAGTGCACAGAAAAAAACAATTCACTGTGCTATTGCAGTGGAGAGAGTTTCATTAAATCTGGGTCGGCCACATAGAAGATGGAGTTATTACTCAACCCGTCTCTCTGAAGGCTCAGAGGTTAGGACAATTTGGTGGGCAAGGGACTAGGGAATTGTGCAGCTGATGGGTTGGGGATGCAATCACAGAGGTGTGGAAAACGGTCCTCATGCACTGAGCCCATCTCGGTGGGAGACTGACCACAGGACCATTTGAGTCGTAAGTCCAGATGGAATTGGTCTGAAAAATATCTCAAAAGACCAGTCTTAGGTTCTACAATACTGATGTTATCTATAGGAGCAACTGGGGAAGTTACAAATCTTGTGACCTGTGGCCACATGACTCCTGAGCAGTAAGGGATCAGAGAAACTACACCTACATTTTAGTAAAATTCAGGCCCTCCCATAATCTCATGGCCTTTCATTAGTTTTACAAAGGCAGTTTTGGTCCCTGAGAAAGAAGGGGGTTCGTTTTAGAGAACGACTATTATTATCCTCATTTTCAAGTTAAACTATCAACTAAATTCCTCCCATGGTTAGCTTGGCCTAGGCCCAGGAATGAGCACAGTAGCCGGCCTGTGAGGCTAGAAGCAAGATGGAGTTAGCCATGCTAGACTTCTCTCACTGTCATAATCCTTGTAAAAGCAGTTTCAACACAAAGACAAAGCCACTGGCCATAGCAATAAGGAGACAAAGCTCTTTAGAAAGCTCCTTAGGAGAGTGGGGTTCAGTAGGTGAAACAGACAGCAGGAAGAATCCTGGTTTCAAAATATTCCAAAAGAAGTGAGTAGTAGAAAGATTCTTACAGAAAGTTAATATTCCCATGGGGGTTGAATACTTTATATATATATTTCTGTTTGCATAAAGTTTTCCATTTTATGAAAATAAACACATATTTTGTGGGAGATTTCACACAAAGAAATAAAAATAAAAGAAAAAAATGCACACAATAATTTGTTAAAAGCTTTAAAAGGCTTTCTGGTGCATTATCCTGTTTGGCCCTCACAGGAACCCGGCCCTGTCATCAGGATTACCTTCCCATTCTACACATAGGAAAACCAAATCACAGACAATAAAGTGACTTTCCCAAGACACACAGCTGCTGAGAGGCCACGATGGCCCAACAATCAGCTCTCCTGGATTAAACCTCTGTATTTCATTTAGCAGAAGCCCCAAAGTGCAAAAGTTCCTTCTGGCATCCAAGGGAAGCAGGTTGAAATATGGAGAACTCACTCCCATTGTTGGATAAAGAGTAGATCAGGGGAATCCGATCTGAATCAAAATTAGCTTCACTGTACCCAAGCTGAGGCAGGGGGCTGTAACAGAGAAGCCAGCCAGATGGAAGCTTCTATTCCTTTCTGCCACGAGCTCCCCATGACCTCAGGAAAGTAACTTCACCTCTGTGTCTCAGTTTCCCTCTCTCTAAATGGGATACCCTATCTTCCTCCAAAGAGAAAGTGTGCTGAGATCAATTGGCCTTTGTCTACAAGAGCTTTGAACTTGTTAGTAGAAAGTAGTACACAGGTCGCCTGATCCTGCTCCTTTAGAAGTGACTCTTTGAGAACATGTTCAGGAAGATGATTTATGGCCTGGCCATTCCACCCTCATTCACCTCATGGTGCGAATAAGCCTGCTAAGGGCGTCTAAGAGACTAAATATAAATTGAAACCACGCCTGCTGAAAGCTGTTGGGTGCCAGGAGCTGTCAGAAAAACCTGATATCTTTAGTAGTCAGGTTTGTGTGAAAGAATGTGACAAACCAAGGCCAAGGCCAAAGGGGATCCACCTTAACCAAAAAAAACCGTGTGTGCGTGTGTGTGTGTGTGTGTGTGTGTGTGTGTGTGTGTAAAATACAGTCATGCAGATAGATACCAGTTCCATTAAGGAAACTTCATTTATCTTTCCTTGATTCCAGAAAACAAATAGTAACAGCCTCAAAACACCTTCTTTGGGGTTACTGAAAAGCTAAGAATGAGTAAACAACCATATATACCATAGGTGTTGAGAGATGATGGGTTTGTGTGCATTTCCTGTTCACCCAGCAATGTGGTAAACTCCTGAAGCAAAAAAAAACCTTTCTTGTGATGGTCTATTTGGTGTCTGCTCTTTCTCCTGCCCTGCCCACTCCTCACACATGGCATATAAGGCAGGGCTTTGCACACAGAGGCTCATTCAACACTGACGTTCTGATGCTACATGTTCACAGCTTAAAGATTTCTTGGGCATTCTACAGAAAAAAATCTGACAAGTGACAGACATTGAATTCTAACATATGGGATTATAACTAAAATATTACCCAGACTAGTAGCACACATTTAGATGGTTATAGCCTAAGCACAGTAAGGGTCCTTTTGTTACTTAAAAGAAAATTTTTTTAGTAGAATAGATTACCTGACATTCTATGACTCTCTACTTACATACACACTCAAAAGCAACCCAGAGGTGTTTATGCACATAAAAATCAACCTTTTCATTGCTTATCGAGCCCAAGACATGTACTATGGGTTAATTATTTTGCTACATGGTACCCAGTATGTGGAACCTAAAGTTTTGGAGGGGTTGCTTGTTTGTTCTTTTCAGGATTGTTTGCTTTTCTAAAACACAGTTCCTTTCTTCCAGGAGGTCACTGAAGGTCGAAGGAGACCAGTAGTTGAAACTAATATCTTCTATGTCCACTGTTAAAGTTGAATGAGCATCCACTCTGTATAAGACACTATGTGAGACTCTAGGGCATGAAAACGTATAGGTAAAACTTCTGCTTTAGGGTCTCCATGGATGGTTACATTTAGTTTTAAATACCTGGTACACCGCACCTTTCCAAGTTTTATTTCTTGCCTATCAAATGCGCCACCCAAGACAGTGGATGGCATAGCTATGAAATGAATAAAAGCCGAACAGTGTTTTTCCTAATCCCTAGATCCATAATCTTTGATAAGCATCATAAAAGAGCAATGCAGTATAAATAGAGCACTCAGGGCATCATAAAGCATAATGAATAATTTGCACAGATCTACTTTTCAATGAAGAAATAACTTTCCTTGGAGCTTTCACATTAGGATATAAGAGAATTAAAATAAAAAAAGAAGAAAGAGAGGCAGCAGAGGAGGGAAGAGAACAAGAAAGAAAAAAAGAAAAAGAAACCTTTCTGTTGTTTTGAAAATGGGATCAATTCTTTTTTTTTTTTAATTCTATTGATTCTTAGAAGAAATGAAGTCACTGGATCATGTTTCTGCTTATTTTGGAGCCAGAGTAGTTTCGTCGTCAAAGTTACAAGCTCTTTCCTCCCATTAAAGGAGTCCCAGGCTCCAAACTCATTATTACTTCTTTCCGTCCTTGAGTTTGTCCACAGAAGCGGCCTCCCATCCCTTGCTTCTGTACCTGTATGATGGAATCAGTGTCAGATTTCAACTTGGAAACCTGGTTAAACTCAGAGGCTGTATTAATCCTGTTTGAAACCTACCAACCACATGACTAAAAAAGAGGATGAGAAACTAAATTCCTGGTTGAATGAGTTGAGGATTTCCATGGCCCCAGAGACAAAACAGACTGAGGAAAACAGAAAACATCTCTAGCACGTGGCTAGAGGCAGAACAAGCCTTGACATTTAGACTTTGAAGAACCATAGCTGGGCCTAAGGGACAATCTGGAAGTGAGCACATCAAGCTCTTCAAAGAAGCTTCTGTTAATGAAGGCTGCTGCAGGGCCAGGCTGCAGCTCGGGCTGCAAGCCGGCCATCAATCAGCACTTAGTTCTCCTCCTGGGCACCCTGACACTTCACACATCAGTCCAGTTTAGGCAGGCTGAGTATTCCTAAAATTAAAATGCCTGTGTTACACTGACCCTGAAGATAAAGGAGGGGCAAGAGAAAGAATGAAGAGGCAGAAGGACTCAGGCATAGGACTGAGATCGCTGGGCAAAACACTGCTGATCCCAAGATCTGATTTCATTCCCAATGTCCAAGTCACAAAAAAGTTCTGCTGAAATATACAAGAACTCCAGAGTAAAAACTCCAGGAGATGGAAGAATATTCATTGCCAAAATTGAATCCCTTGGCCATTCTAACTCCTCCTGAATTCTTACCCTCGGAGCATTCAGGTTTGCAGATTGGCACCTGAGCACAGGAGCTCATCAAAGTCTTGACAATTCGCCAAAGATCATTGTTAGTCTTTGGTGACAATACCACTAGTGGGCACAGAGCCACAGAGTCCTAAGTGTCAATGAATGATTTTGTTTTCTTTGGAAATATTGATCTTGAATGATCAGGGGTCCTACAAGCAGAGGGGGAAGAGATCCCAACGTGTGTTTGGTGGCTGGCAAATCATGTAAGCACCCAGTTGTTTACTCATAGGGTTCCTGAGTTCACATGATGTGGCAGGAGGCACTGTTGCAGCTCTCGGCTCCAACTTCCATCCCCTCTGTGTTACTAACTCCTGTTAGCATCAAATCTAACCCTTTAATTATTTAGGAATCTCATAAAGCATTAATTGTTCAACCTCTCTCATTGTATAGAAATTTTAGTTCAAATATCTATGAGAGTATACAGGAACAAATACCACATTATGTTTTATATATATATATATATATGTATATATCTGCAAGTGAAAACCCATCAGTTCTTATCATGAGAGGGACCCACATCCCTTATTTGGTTAGTTAGTTTAGCAGGTGCTATGACACTGAAAAGAAATGGTCAAGGATGAAGCAGAATTTAACTTTTTTTTTTTTTAAGACAAGCTCTTGCTCTGTTGCCCAGGCTGGAGTGCAGTGGTGTAATCATAGGTCACTGCAGCCTCAAACTCCTGGGCTCAAGCAATCCTCCTGCCTCAGCCTCCCGAGTAGCTGGGACTATGGGCACGTGGCACCACTCCTGGCTAATTTTTTTTGTTTGTTTGGTAGAGATAGTGTCTCCCTATGTTATTCAGGCTGGTCTCGAGCTCCTGGACTCAGGCAATCCTCCTGCCTTGGCTTCCCAAAGTGCTAGGATTATAGGAGTGAGCCACCGCATCCAGTCAGAGTTTAACTTCTTACTCCATGTTCTACTTCCTCAATATTATGTGATTCCTCTACTCCTCATTACATATGCCTTGTTTTCTTCCACCATTGAAATTGCTCTCCAGAGTTTCCTCCACAATCTAACATCCTGTGGGCAGCACTGAATTAGATACTCTTAAATGACTTGCAGACCTTGGCCCGGAGTAACCCAGAGCCTCCCTAGGAAAGGCAACTGGGCTTCAAGCAGCACCTCTACCTCGCCTTTAATCACACCTCAACCCCGATGACACAAACCCTGCAAGTATTGCCCCACCCTTGCAATCATGTTAGGAGTTTTCCCAGGCTGTTGGGCAGAAGTACTCCAGCACAGAGTTTGGTATTATAGCTTTGCTCATAATATATTCTGAGTTCCCCATGAAGTTTCCAGACAGAAAGATGACAAGATAACTAGGCATATGGAGTCTGAAGGCAATGAAAGAGCTACTAGTGATGAGGGGATTTATGAGACTCTTTCCATAAAGAGGGGAGAGACTCTTACTACTCTCCCCACTTTGTCACAATGACTAAGACAAAGTTCTGGTGAACTCTCCTGCAACATTCTGGCCCTTCCCAGTAACTCATAGGCCACAAAAAATTATAAAATAGCCATAGTGCATCTGTCTGACATGCTCATTTCTCCCATTGCTGTTCACAGCACTGTAATGTAATTTTTCTTTTCTTTTCTTTTTTGAGACAGTCTCACTCTATCACCCAGGCTGGATTGCAGTGGCACAATCTCAGCTCACTGCAACCTCCACCTCCTGGGTTCCAGCAATTCTCCTGCCCCAGCCTCCCATGTAACTGGGATTACAGGCACCCGCCACCACACCCAGCTAATTTTTGCATTTTTAGTAGAGACAGGGTTTCACCATGTTGGCTAGGCTGCTCTTGAATTCCTGACCTCAAGTGATCTGCCCACCTCAGCCCCACAAAATGCTAGGATTACAGGCATGAGCCACCACACCCGGCCCTAATTCTTTTTCTTTCTTTTTCTTTCTTTCTTTCTTCTTTCTTTTCTTTTTCTTTTTTTTCTTTCTGTCTTCGCTTCTTTATTTTTTTGAGACAGGGTCTCACGCAATGGTGTGATGTCGGCTCACTGCAGCCTCGACCTCCTGGGCTCAAACAGTCCTCCCACCTCAGCCTCCTGGGTAGCTTGACTACAGGTGCCCGGCCAATTTGTTGTTGCTGTTGTTGTTGTTGTTGTTGTTGTTGTTGTTGTTGTTGTTTTGTAGAGATGGTGCCTCGTTATGTTGCCTAGGCTGGGCCCAAGTGATCCTCCTGCCTCAGCTTCCCAAAGTGCTGGGATTATAAGCATGAGCCACCACATCTGTCCTTGTAATCTAATTATTTCTAAGGAAGAAACTATAGCAGAGAGGGAGAAAAAGAAGAGATGGAGGCATCTTTTTAAAACACCCAGAGTTGGAGATTTCCTAATCTACAAATTTATAACCTCTAAGTGTTAGAAAGAGCATAAAGAATATATCCTCAGCTGGGCACAGTGGCTCACATCTGTGATCCTAGCACTTTGGGAGGCCAAGGTGGGTGGTTCGCTTGAGGCCAGGAGTTCGAGACCAGTCTGGCCAACATAGTGAAACTCCGTCTCTACTAAAAATACAAAAAAAAAATAGCTGGGTGTGGTGGCACACGCTTGTAATCCCAGCTGCTTGGGAGGCTGAGACACGAGAATCACTTGAACCCTGGAGGCGGAGGTTGCAGTGAGCCGAGATAGCACTAATGCACTCCAGCCTGAGTGACAGAGCAAGACCCTGTCTCAAAGAAACAGAAAAGTATCTCCTCAAAGAACACTACACTTGTACTTACGTGTCCTCTGCCATTTTCCTGCCCAAGAGTCCACGTCCTGCATGTGACTGCTACTGAAGAAGGCAACACCCACTGAGCTGGCCATCCCTTCCATGTCAATACAGTCCAGCATCTCAAAAGGGGATGACTCTGAGGCCCAATCTCAGCTATCCTACTACCATTAAAGTGTTGTGTCAGCATGCAGCCTGAGTTCATTTTCTGAAATACATCTCCTCTCTTCATGTTCTAGGTCAAATACAAGTGACTCCCGGCTTGGTCTTATTGCTGACATCTTTCTTGTTCCTTCCCAGCTGAGCTATGCATGATTCTCTCCATATATTTCTCATCATAAATCAATCCCTAATTCCTTAAAGTATTAGCAGCTACCTCAAGAGCTTGTATGGAGGACCAAATTAAGCATAAATAGAAAGTATATAGTGTGGCAGCCAGCACATACAAAGATCTCTACCAATATCGACTATTATTGACTATTATTATCTACGTGCATTTCTCTTTATTCCACCCATATGATCATTTTTTGAGGATAGGGACAAATGAGTCTAAAAACTGGACCTGGCATTCTCAATGCAATTGTACCTAAAAGACTCAAGAGAAGGACTGGCTCTCCCTCCTCCATGAGACATTCCAGCCAAAATAGCCCTGCCCTTTCCCACCAGGAGGTCACATTACACACATGCGTCTTGTTAGCATTTCGTTCACCATGACTATTTTGACATTTCTGTTGTTGTCATTGCGCCTAGATGCTTAATATATACTTTGAATTACTTTCCTTGAAAACAAACAAAAACCCTCTTTACACAGGTTTTGATTGGTTCAAGTCCTTCACTAGTATTTGCTTCTCCTTCAGTTTAGCATTACCAACAAGTTGTGATGTACTGATTATATTTCTTTTTTGAGGATTAAAAGGTGCTAATTGGAGTAAATACGCATGAAGGCATCTGTAGGAATATTTAATTAAAACACATCTGGGCAGTTAATTGATTGCTTGGTGAAAGCAGAACACTGTTTTTGAAAAACACAATTGAGACTCAATATTTATTGATTCTACCATGTGCAAGTTATTATGGCAGGTTTCCTATGTGGAAAAAATGTAATTTTATGGGAAAAGATGGTTGTTAATTGAAATATAAGTCTATATACAATGTGTAAGATGCACAGAACAGACCTACGATAAAGAATCACTGGAGGTATTTCTCCATCAAGCACCAGCAAATACCTGGTATTCCCCACACTGAGCTCACAGCAGATACCAGGAATGGATCATGGCTCAGCCCAGACAAAGCCCTGGAGCCCTCCTCAACACAACTCCTTAGGAAACCTACATGAATCAATCAGAGTTTATCTAGTTATTCATTTGCTCAGCAAATATTTATTGCTCACTTACAATGTGCCAGGCATTGTCATAGGTGCTGTGCTGTAGCAGCAGACAATACAGAATTTGGTCCCTGCCCTCCTGGAGGGCTTGTGAGATGAGGCTGGAATTTAATACAAAAGCTTTTCCCATTCCTAACTTAGACTATCTTGTGCTATTATAATTTGTCTATTAAAAGATATAAGATAAGAGAAGGAAAGCACACAACTACTCTGTCTGTAAATTCCAGGATCCTGGAATTGAACTGGGTCAACAAACTGGAAGAGGAAAACTATTCTAGATTATGTGCTAGAAAGAGGGTGTATTAATCAAGACCTTTGTCTACAAGTTAATAGAAAGTCCAATATAAACTCATTTTAAATGGGAAAGAAATTTATTGCTTCACCGTTTCAGAGACTGACTTGTCCCCCAATATCTCATAATCATATAACTCCTAATTATTACCTGGGCATTTGGCCACTTAGAATAAAAACTACTTTTCCAAGCCTCCTCCACACTAAGCTTTAGCCAATAAGATATAAATAGAAGTCTATTTGGCAGCTTCTAAGAATCTTCCTCAAGAGACAGGGTGCACATACACTTCACCTTCTTCTTTCTTATGTCTTCCTCCTTCTAGCTGCCTGGAAAACAGAGGTCATTATCTTGGACCTTAGGATAAAGGTCATATCCTAGGGATAGTGGAGTGATGATCTGGAAGACTTCGGAGTCCGTGAGGACTTTACCAAGTGGAGCTGCCACACTAGCCCTGCTCTGAGTTCCTCCAGACTTTTACATGAAAAAGGAATTAAGCATCCATTCCACTTAAGTCATTGTTATTTTAGGTCCACATGACTCACATTGAAGCCTGGCCCTGATGACATACTCACATGATGGGAAGAACTGCAGTAGGGTGGGCTTTGGGAAAGGTGTGCTCCAGTGACTCTAGCTCCATTCCTCTGCAATACTCTTGGCCTCTGCTCTCTTCCATGAGGAAGACTCATCTCAGACTGGTAATGATATAGGTGTAGTGGTTCTAGACCCTACGTCTGCACATGACAAGATCTAAAAGAAGAGGGTAAAAGTTGCTTCCAGAACTTTTCCCAGAAAAAGAAAACAAATTAAGGAGTCCCCAACAAACCTGTCCTCTTGCATTTGGATCTGAATTGAATCCTGAAACAATCAGTAGCAAATGGGACAGGATTACCCTTTGACCTTGTGATAGAAAAGAGGAAAAGTGAATTTTCCTTGCTCAGTGGCAAGGTTCTGGAAGAATATGTGACACTGGAATTGTTGTTGCAACTTCTTTTGGAAAATGAAACCTGCCACAAGGAAAATGGGAGCTTGATAGGCCACCAAAAATATTCATCACCAGCAGGTAAGTCCTGTATACAAACACCCACCTGCTTGCTGTACAAAGTGATAGGTGCTTTAAGGCATAAGATGCAACCACAAAAATGTAAGTATGAAAAGTAATGCTTAGCTTAATTATCTTGATTTAGCCATTTCATAATACATATATATGCCAAAACATCATGTTATACACCATTAGTATATATAGTTTTGTCAGTTTAAAATAATAATAAAATTAAAAAGCATGCAAAGTGCTAAAACAGTTCAAAAATGCAAGAGATTATATTTCTGATTGCAGGGGTGTGCAGAGAAGACAGCATTTGTAAGTGAATCATGAAGTATGGGAAAGGTGTGTATATGGGGAAATATAGATAAGAGGATTCCAGTGAGAGATCAAGTAAGTAAATCCCAAGACACAAGAAAGTGTGTGAAAAATAGAATTCCAGATTAAGGGACTTCCATAGGTAAATCCAGAGGAGGAGGTGTCTAAGCAACAGTGTAAAGTTCATTCAAACAATCGCTCATCTCTTATACTTATTAAAGATTTATAATAATGTTTTCCTAAGACTCTCCTCTGAAAACTGTTGGCAAAATAATATAAGTAAGTAAATTGAATAACAGGTAAGCAGGCCAGCAGACAGGAGAAAAGAGAAGTGACAGGGGGTGGTGGAGAGAGAAAGAAACAAAGCACATCCATAGTAGGCACCCTCTGTTGGAAGCCACCAGCTTACCTGATTGACCTAATGGCTGCCTACACTGACTTCATGGCACTCGGGCTGATGACCCATCTTAATTGATTTTGTGCCACCATAACAAAAGACCTGAGACTAGGCAATTTATAAATAACAGAAATTTAATTCTCACAGTTCTAGGGGCTGGGAAGTCCAAAATCAAGGTGCCAGCATCTGGTGAGGTTCTTCCTGCTGTGTCCTTACAGGGAAGAAGGCAGAAGGGGCAAGAGAAAGTGATCCCACTCCTGCAAGCCCTTATTATATCAGCATTAATTCATTCATGAGGGCAGAACCCTCCTGGCTGAAACATCTCCCAAAAGGTCCCATCTCCTAACACTGTTGCATTGGAAATTAAATTTCCAACACATGAGTTTGGAGACACATTCAGACCATAGCACTTTCTATAAATGAAAGGGTTGATTTTAAACCACCAGGTGTTCTCAGCCTATTTCACATAGAAAATAATCATATTTCTTCATAACCCAGATAAGCAGGATTGAGGGCTAGAGGTGACCTGCTCCTGCACAGGGGCTGTAGCCCCCTAAGAGCTGAGAAGATCAATACCCCACCACACATGTAACATGGCTTAGACTACAGTGGGTCCCAGCCTCAGTTGCATGCTGAAGTCCCTTTATGAATTTTTACAAGATTACTGATGCAGTAGTATCTCCCAATATTGTGAATAATTGATCCTGGATATAGCCAGGCCACAGAATGTTTTGAATATTTGCTTCATGGTTTTTGAATACATTGCTCTACAACCTGATCATCAAGAACTCTCTAGAATTGACTCTTACAGAATGAAGTCTTGAAGGCTTAATAGTTCAGAGTTCATCTTCACAATTGGAGTTTCTACCTTGTAATAGCATTTAATCATTTATCTACAAAGGAACAGGAATAACTCTGTGACTGGAGGGGAAAAGCTCACTCTAAATGTTTGTATTATGCTAAACTTCCAACTATGTAGAAGTATCTGGACAATTTTTTTAAATTTCCAATCCAGATGTGTGATTTTATTTAGACTCCCAGGGGAAAACTCTGTTTCTGACATTCCTAATGAGAAGAGACATTTTTGTTATTAGACATTGAGGAATTTGGGCATGAATAACTCAGGCTGGGAGTGCTGTTTGTGACTCAAATGTATGTATCTCCAAATTGGTCTCTGCCCATGATAAAATAGGGGAAAAAAAAACTGCTTAACTGCCTATGACATAAGATTTTCACTGAGTTGGCAATACATTTTCCAATAGAGGAGTCAGGGGTAACTTAGGTAATTTTAGTAGCAAAGGCCCACGGGAAGTTTCCTACCATGGATTATATTCTTTAGTTCATCAGTACAACCATATGAAGGGTGAAGAAATGCTTTCAGCCACCAACCAACAGTGAATTCACTTCTTCTTGGGGTCTAGACAACCCTGCTATGTGCAGATTAGATCCCTCCACCTCCACCAGAAGGTTCGTTTTCCAGATGAATCTCAGCCAGCTGCATGCTGTTGTCATTCTAGTCTGGTGAAAAGCAACATGTATCTCTTTATTTTGTCACCTGAAATACAAAAAGGATTATGACATTTTGGGTAGTGTTGTGGGTTACTGGCCATAGATGGAGATAGCAGCTCTGGGGTGATTCTGTAGTGAGGCTCAGGAGGAAAGGGGGCTTTCTGCAGTCTAAAACTTGGGTTGTAAGCTGTTGATGATACATTTGAAGTCAGACTACCTAGGTTCAGGTCCCTGCTTAACCAATTATTAGATATATCTTGGGCAAGTCATTGAAACTCCAGACTCCTCATTTGTAAGATATAGTTTGATCATGATTAAGTTTTACAACTAACTCAGAGTTAAAAATACAGCAACTGGAGGAGTTTGGTTTCAATAGTAAGCCACTCTAAGGGTCAACATGCTATAGTGCGAGGTATATGGGCTTTTGAACCATAAGACACAGATAAGGCTCTCAGCTTCTCTGAGCTTCAGTTTCCACCTCTATCATATGGGTAATGTGAATCAAAGGTGGTCAGTCAGGAAGCTTGGGGTCATAGCCAGCACTTGCATTTGGTAGCCTTAGGCAAATCACTTAGCCTCACTGAGCCTCAGTTTCCTTCACTGTTCAGAGAAACTAATACTGTCTATTTTTGTAGGTAACTGTATTTTTAAATTGAATAATGAACACATATAAAGAATCTTGTAGGGAGACACCTAGCATATAGGAGGCACTTAACAAATGGAAACCACTATTATTTTTGTCATTGTACTAGTCCATTTTCACATTGCTATAAAGAACTACCTGAGACTGGGTAATTTATAAAGGAAAGAGGTTTAATTGACTCATGGTTCCACATTGCTGGGGAGGCCTCAGGAAACTTACAATCATGGTGGAAGGTGAAGGAGAAGCAAGGCACATCTTACATGGTGGCAGGAGAGAGAGAGTAAGGTGGGAAAGTGCCACAGTTTTAAACCATCAGATCTAATCAGAACTCACTATCACGAGAACAGCAAGGGCAGAATCCGCCCCCATGATCCAATCGCCCCCACCAGGTCTCTCCCCTGACACACGGGGATTACAATTCGAGATGAGATTTGGATGGGGACACAGAGCCAAGCCATATCAGTCACTATATGTAAATATATCTTGTAATTGTGTACAAGGCTTTACACATATCTGTTAGTATTATCTTTTCCTCCACCATGCCTAAGAATGCCAACATAGTGAAATGCCTAAAAGTATTACCTTATAAAAGTAAATAAGTTAGCTTGGAGTCAGAAACAATAATTCAAATAAACATATTTGAATAGTCAAAAGCTTGGGAAGGGAATCAGGCTTCTTAGGCTAAATCCCAGCTGTGTGACCTCAGACAAGTCACTTACCCTCCCTGTGCTTCAGTTTGGCTATCTCTAAAATGGGATGACAATTGCAGTGATCTCATATGGCTGTTATGAGAATTAAATAACTTTAATAAATTAAATAGTGACAAGTCCCTAGAACATGTCTAACTCATAGTAAATTTTCAGTAAGTGTTGACTTTTATTTCTGTGTGCCAATGGCTATGCCAGCCCAATTCTTCACAGATCTTCACAGATCATTATGCCAGCCTAATTATTCTCCTGAAGGGCTCACAGTCTAGGAAGACAATAGACTCTATAAACAGCTTTGGGGCCACCCCAAATGGTACACTGCAAATTTGAAAAAGCTGTCCCTTTTTCAAGACTTTTTAAAAAAAATGTTTAATATTTGTGAGTACATAATAGGTGTATATATTTATGGGATACATGAGATGTTTTGATACAGGTATGTAATGCATAATAATCACATCATGGAGAATGGGGTATCCATCCCCTCAAGCATTTATCCTTTGTGTTACAACAATCCAATTACACTCTTTGGTTTATTTTAAAATGTACAATTAAGTTATTATTGACTAAGACACTTTACTGCCATCTGCCAGAAATTTTCAAAATAAATATACAATCATTATTTATATGAATGATGCCCCCCAGGCTTGTGCAGTGCACAGCTTTAACAGCCACATATGGGGACCTTGTATAACTGTACATTAAAAATGCATGCATGTGCACAAGCACACGTTTTATTAGCAACAGAATAAAGAACCAAGGGAAAGGGGAGCACTGGGAAAGAATGAAGGAGACTTTGTGGAGAAAGTGACATTTAAATTGGGCCTTGAGGGATGAGTAGAAATTTACCAGGTGGAATTGAGAATGGGGGAATGAAAAGGGAAATCCAAGCAGAGGAAACAAAATAAGCTAAGTTCAGAAGCATAAGCTCATCTACAGACTGGAGAGAGGAGTCTAATTTGTGAGCAGAGAAGAGGGACAGGGTAGGCCTCATGGGAGAGGGTAGGAATCAAGAAGAAATTGTAATTGGGACATTAGCTCTCAAAATGTAGGTGCCACCTACAATAGAATCACCTGAAGCATGTGTTAAAATGCAGATTCCTGGGCATCACTCCAGACCTCCTGGAAGTAAAGCCTGGGAATCTGCATTTTAATAAGCATCTCAGACAACTTTTATGTTTACTAAAGATTGAGAACCACTATTGCAGAAAGCAGAGAGCCATCCCAAGTTCTGAAATGGAAAAAGACCCCCCAGTAAGTTAGTTTAATCTGATGTTTTTCTTCCATTGGATGGAAGGGAAGATCTCCATGACATGAGGTGTCCCAAGTGTGCTCATTTAGTCCTTTATGGCATTGCAGGGACAATGTTTGGGTACCAGGATCGCAGTGGTTAGTACGCAGTGGTTAGTGACCAACTTCAGGAGGTAGGAGAGAGGAACAAAACTAGAAACAGTATACCTGATCATCAAAGCCAGAAGGGCTAAGTCAACCATTGTATATACACCACACCAAGAAAACAACACAATAGTTTAAAAGAAAGGAATGAATACATGTATATTATATACATGTATTTCCAGGAAATATTGTTGATTGAAAGAAGCAAGTGGCCAAGCAAAACAGATAGTATAATCTTCCTTTTTGTAAAACAAACACAGGTACATACACACAAAGTGATGTCCCAAAGTGCACATGCATGTATGTAAATGCACACAAAATGTTTTCAGAAGGATCCTCAATGCACGGATGATAACAGTGACCTCTGGGAGTGGGGAGACCTGGGAAGAATGATCAAGGGGACCTCAGACTCATCCTAACATTCCATTTTCATAAGGAGAATGTATTTGGGTACTACTATATAATTAAAAATTAATTTTGAGACAAGATCACAGATCAAAACAGATCCGGTCTGAAAACAAATTCAGCCCACTTCCCAGTTTTTCTCCTAAGGTAGCATTGACCAAGCTCCCACATACGTCCCACCTCAATCAAGTCAGAGCTAGAGATCAGGCCAGACTATACCAGGGCCTTCTGCCTCCCAATAATCCAGGGCCAAGCTGAAGCTACTAATCTGAATAAACACAAGAAATAGAAGATTCTTAAGTGCACCATCCCATTCTACACAGGATTTTCTCTGTAACCAGCATGAAATCGTCCTCATGTGCTGAAGTGCAGCTGTTGCTGAGCAACGTAGCAGGAAGAATTTTCACTGCAGCAAAAGCTTTATGGCTTTGGAAAAAGGAGAGCATGACCACTCCACTGAGATAATAAAGAACGAAAAGCCCAAGTATGCATTTTTCCCTCATATGTTTTAAGTTCTGTCTCTAGTATCACGGAACTGGAAAGATATTCTGCTAGGAATAGCTCATGGAGAAGCAGGTCTTCCATTGGGATTTGCACCAGGGGATATAGCAATATAAATAGCAAGGTAACACTTAATTTTCTCTGTGCAACCATCATTAATTCATGCAGTACCCCTTAGAAATGCCCATAGTCAACTGAAGAAAACCTGTTGAAGTCACACACGAGAAACTGCCTAGAAGCCAAACTTTGTTGTTAAATTGAATTAAGTGTTTTATGTGTCGCTTTTTGAAAAATAAACTCCATGACACATTTACCAGACCAGAAACTGCAGAAACACTTAAGGTGTTGCCCTCTCCCAACTGAAACTAATGCATGTCTTCATTCTTCTATCGCAGTATGTTTTCCATTGAAAGATCACAGAATGGATTATTTAAGGTAAATACGGGTTATCATAAAATGGGTCAAATAATGCTGTCTAGTCAGTGATGCCCAAGGCAGAGTAGCAATGCCCAATGAGCCCCCAGGGGTGACACATTACTTTGCAAATTCTGTTCTCTCTGGTGACTCAGCATGTCACTCAATGCTCGCAGAATTGTCAGCAGCATTCTATTTCCTCTTCTTACTCCTCTGCATGTTACGACAGAATGGAACAAAATAAAGCTTTAAACAAGAAACCATTTTGAGTTTTCCATTTTAAGTTATCTTAGTTCATAGTTAAGATGGGTTTATAGATAAATATCAGGCTTCTCAACAGACATGTAATACAGTATAAAAGATGCAAACACTTTATACCAGATGGGGCACTAGTAATCAAAAAAGGCAGCAATGAGAGTTCTAGTATTCAGGGTTGGGGTTGAGATGCAGAACAGTTGAGTACTTTAAAAGCAAGATCCACCTTGGTGATGAGATCGCAGACTTGGACTCAGTAAAGGTTTTGAAGCAAGATTTAAATTACATGAAAAAATTTCAGGTCAGTTTCGGGCTGCTGGAGCAAAGGTGGACTCCTCTGCTCAAGGAGCCTTGGAAGTCGTGATCTCCCTTTTGAAGGGTACTTCCTTAATAAATAAGCTATAAAGGAGAGTGTGGCTACAGAGAAGGGATATATAGAGATACCCTCCAACTTTTGCTTTACCTTTCCTCTAGGGAATATGTTGATAAACAACATTTATTAACTTGTGTAATAACTATCATAGAGCATCTACTGTGTAAGTGCTGAAGATATAAGTGTGTATTAAACACAACTCCTGTCTCTGGGGACTTTATGATCTATCGAGAGAAAAAAAGAACAAGTAAACAATGAGTGGTATGGTAGAAGTAGGCAGAGCTTGCTATAAGAGCTCAGAAAAGAGTCCTAAACCCATCTTGGGGCCCTGGGAAGAGGAAATGCCATGTAAGCAGATAAACTGAATTTAGGAATGCTTTCAGCTGCAAGTAACAGAAACTCTAACTTACAGCAGCTTTAACAAATAGTAAGAATTCTGGAGGTAAGTAGCTGCTACATTTGGTGAGAAGTTGACAATGTGTTGCAGGCCATCTTGTGTGTTTCTTGGCCTTTTTTTCATGTTTGTTGCCACATGGTCGAGAAAGGCTGCCCCAGTTCCAGGCATCACACCAAGGAAGCATGGGAAAGAACTGAGTCAGCTATATCTGTCCCATTTTCATCAGGTTAATAAAAATCTTTCCCAGAAGCACCTCCCCAATAAATGTATTAATATGATCTATGGCTCATAATAAGATTACATGACTTTCCTTAGCCACTGGGGAAATCTGGGGGTATAAACATTAAATAATTTAACTTCTAGAGTGGGAGATGGCAATGGGAGATGGTGACTTTATGCATGAACAATGACTGCCACAAACAAACAGCTATCAGTCAGAAAAAAAGTATAGGTATGTCAAGCAAAGACAGCAATGTGTGCAAAGGTCTGAAAATGACAGACAGTGTAATACAACCTGGGAAATAAATGTATTTCCAAGTAGTTCAAGGTAAGGTGCAAATAGAGGCGGCAGTGTGGGATAGGGCTGGAGAGGCAGTATTCTGGACTTTATCTTGAGAACAATAGGAGATATTTAAAAAGTTTCAAATCAGGAAAAGTCATAATTAGGTGTTTGATGTTTTTAGTGTATTATTTAGAAAGTTTATTTCAAACTTCAAAGTGGGTTAAACAATAAAATAGATACATTGCTTCATGTAAAAATCCAGAGATAGAATAGGCTGAGGCACAGTTCTATCAGGGATCAAACTCAATTTCTCTATAATAGTCTTGGTTCTGCCACGCTCTGTGAATTGGCTTCATCTCAGGCCGGCTTTCTTCAAGGACTCAAGGACTGTGACGAGTATCTACAGCTATATGCAAACTCACTCAAATGTGGCAGAAAGAGATGACTACCCCTTCCCACAGCCAAAGGTTTGATGTTCATCACATCTACCCACAGCAACACCTAGATTAGCGTTTAATGAAGAAACTGGGTACTGTAGCCTGATCAAGTTGACACACAAAACTGTCTGTCTCCCCTGCAACAGGAAAGAGTAACTAACACACTTTTCTCTAGTACCAAGATTCTTTTTGTCCCTCACTTTGGAAATGGCTAGAAAAGCCAAGTTATTTACCATAAGCAATCTGAAACATTCCCTTAATGAACCTTCCCCTGTGTGTGTACAGTGTGAGGCCAAGGAAGAAAGAAAAGGATTGGATCTAGCCTTTCACAGGGAGGGTTTACTGCAGAATCAGAACAAGACAGAGGCTATCAGATGGAAGGAAGTCCACTTATGGGCAGAGATATGTTATTCCTGCATATCGGGTTAGTAAAGATCTGTTCAAATATTAACACTCATTCTACAGATAGAAATGTAAAATAGTAAACTTTTTAAAAAAACCAAGTCAATGCTATGTATTGAAAACTTTTGGCATGGTTCACACCACTTAACTCATCAAATACTCCTAGCGTTCTATTTCAAAAAATAATCACAGATTCAAAGAATGATTTGAGCAAGAATGTTTATCTCCGCATTCCTTATAGTACCAAAATATGTAAACATCCTAAATATTCCAAAATTGTGGTCCACTGAAAGACTAAATACTACACAGCCATTAGAAAGTACGGTTATTTTTGGCTGGGCACGGTGGCTCACGCTTGTAATCCCAGCACTTTGGGAGGCCGAGGAGGGCGGATCACTTGAGGTCAGGAGTTCAAGACCAGCCTGGCCAATATGGTGAAACCCCGTCTCTAATAAAAAATACAAAAATTAGCCAGGCATGGTGGTGCATGCCTGTAGCCCCAGCTACTCGGGATCCTGAAGCAGGAGAATCACGTGAACTCAGGAGGCAGAGGTTGCAGTGAGCCGAGATCATGCCACTGCACTGCAGCCTGGGTGACAGAGCAAGACTCCATCTCAAAAAAAAAAGATGGGTTTTGTTTGTTTGTTTGTTTCCTTTTGTTTTTGTTTGTTTTTTGAGAGAGAGTCTTACTCTGTCACCCAGGCTGGAGTGCATCGGCACGATCTCGGATCACTGCACCCTCCACCTTCTGAGTTCAAGCAATTCTCTTGCCTCAGCCTCCCAAGTAGCTGGGACTACAGGCGCCCACCACGACTGGCTAATTTTTGTATTTTTAGCAGAGGCAAGGTTTCACCATGTTGGCCAGGCTGGTCTTGAACTCCTGACCTCAAATGATCCACCCACCTCGACCTCCCAAAGTACTGGGATTACAGGCGTGAGCCACTGCACCTGGCCAGAAAGTATGTTTTAAAGTAACATTTTATAAAATTAGAATACTGTCAATATTAGACAGACCAATGAGACAGAAAATTAACAAGGATATTCAGGACTTGAAGTCAGCTCTGCACCAAGCGGACCTAATACACATCTACAGAACTCTCCACCCCCAATCAACAGAATATACATTTTTCTCAGCACCACATCACACTTATTCTAAAATTGACCACATAATTGGAAGTAAAACACTCCTCAGCAAATGAAAATAATAACAGTCTCTCAGACCACAGTGCGATCAAATTAGAACTCAGGATTAAGAAACTCCCTCAAAACCCCACAACAACATGGAAACTGAACAACCTGCTCCTGAATGACTACTGGGCAAATAATGAAATTAAGGCAGAAATAAGTAAGTTTTTTGAAACCAATGAGAACAAAGACACAATGTACCAGAACCTCTGGGACACAGCTAAAGCAGTGTTTAGAGGGAAATTTATAGCACTGAATACCCACAGGAGAAAGCAGGAGAGATCTAAATTCGACACTCTAACACACAATTAAAAAAACTAGAGAAGCAAGAGCAAACAAATTCAAAACCTAGAAGACAAGAAATAGCTAAGATCAGAGCAGAACTGAAGGAGATAGAGACACAAAACACCCTTCAAAAATTCATTGAATCCAGAAGCTGGTTTTTTGACAGATCAACAAAATAGATGGACTCTTAGCCAGACTAATAAAGAAGAAAAGAGAGAAGATTCAAATAGACACAATAAAAAAAATGATAAAGGGGATATCACCACTGATCCTGCAGAAATACAAACTACCATCAGAGAATACTATAAACACGTCTACACAAATAAACTAGAAAATCTGAAAGAAATGGATAAATTCCTGGACACATACACCCTCCCAAGACTAAATCAGGAAGAAGTCGAATCCCTGAATAGACCAATAACAAATTCTGAAATTGAGGCAGTAATGAATAGCCTACCAACCAAAAAAAGCCCAGGACCAGACGGATTCACAGCTGAATTCTACCAGAGGTACAAAGAGGAGTTAGTACCGTTCCTTCTGAAAGTATTCCAAACAATAGAAAAAAAGGGACTCCTCCCTAATTCATTTTATGAAGCCAGCATCATCCTGATATCAAAACCTGGTAGAGACACAACAACAACAACAACAACAACAATTCAGGCCAATATCGCTGATGAACATCAATGCAAAAATCCTCAATAAAATATTGGCAAATCAAATCCAGCAGCACATCAAAGAGCTTATCCACCATGATCAAGTTGGCTTCATCCCTGGAATGCGAGGCTGGTTTAACATACACAAAGCAATAGACATAATCCATCATATAAACAGAACCAATGACAAAAACCACATGATTATCTCAATAGATGCAGAAAAGTCCTTCAATAAAATTCAACACCCTTCATGCTAAAAACTCTCTCAATAAATTAGGTATTGATAGAACATATCTCAAAATAATAAAAGCTATTTATGACAAACCCACAGCCAATATCATACTGAATGGGCAAAAGCTGGAAGCATTCCCATTGAAAACCAGCCAAGACAAGGATGCCCTCTCTCACCACTCCTATTCAACATAGTGTTGGAAGTTCTGACCAGGGCAATCAGGCAAAAGAAAGAAATAAATGTATTCAAATAGGAAGAGAGGAAATCAAATTGTCTCTGTTTGCAGATGACATAATTGTATATTTAGAAAACCCCATCATCTCGGCCCAAAATCTTGTTAAGCTGATAAGCAACTTAGGCAAACTCTCAGGATACAAAATCAACGTGCAAAAATCACAAGCATTCCTATACACCAATAACAGACAAACCGAGAGTCAAATAATGAGTGAACTCCCATTGCTGCAAAGAGAATAAAATACCTAGGAATACAACTTACAAGGGATGTGAAGGACCTCTTCAAGGAGAACTACAAACCACTGCTCCAGGAAATAAGAAAGGACACAAACAAATGGAAGAACATTCCATCTTCATGGATAGGAAGAATCAATATCCTGAAAATGATCATACTGCCCAAAGCAATTTATAGATTCAGTGCTATCCCCATCAAGCTACCATTGACTTTCTTCACAGAATTAGAAAAAAACTACTTTAAATTTCATATGGAACCAAAAAAGAGCCCCTATAGCCAAGATAACTCTAAGCAAAAAGGACAAAGCTGGAGGCATCATGCTACCTGACTTCAAACTACACTACAAGGCTACAGTAACCAGACAGCATGGTACCAAAACAGATATATAGACCAATGGAACAGAACAGAGGCCTCAGAAATAATGCCACACATCTACAATCATCTGATCTTTGACAAACCCGACAAAAACAAGCAAAGAGGAAAAGTTTCCCTATTTAGTAAATGGTGTTGGGAAAACTGGCTAGCCATATGCAGAAAACTGAAACTGGATCCCTTCCTTACAACTTATAAAAAAATTAACTCAAGATGGATTAAAGACTTCAACATAAGACCTAAAACCATAAAAACCCTAGAAGAAAACCTAGGCAATACCATTCTGGACATAAGCATGGACAAAGACTTCATGACTGAAACACCAAAAGCAATGGCAACAAAAGCCAAAATAGATAAATGGGATCTAATTAAACTAAAAAGCTTCTGCACGGCAAAAGAAACTATCATCAGAGTGAACAGGCAACCTACAGAATGGGAGAAAATTTTTGCAATCTATCCATCTGACAAAAGGCTAATATCCAGAATCTACAAGGAACTTAAATTTACAGGAAAAAAACAAACAACCCCATCAAAAAGTGGGCAAAGGATATGAACATACACTTCTCAAAAGAAGACATTTATGCAGCCAACAAACATATGAAAAAAAGCTCATCATCACTGGTCATTAGGGAAATGCAAGTCAAAACCAAAATGAGATAACATCTCATGCCAGTTAGAATGGCAATCATTAAAAAGTCAGGAAACGACAGATGCTGGAGAGGATGTGGACAAATAGGAAAGCTTTTACATTGTTGGTGGGAGTGTAAATTAGTTCAATCATTGTGGAAGACAGTGTGGCAATTCCTCAAGGATCTAGAATCAGAAATACCATCTGACCCAGCAATCCCATTACTGGATATATGCCCAAAGGATTATAAATCATTCTACTATAAAGACATATGCACATGTATGTTTATTGTGGCACTATTCACAATGGCAAATACTTGGAACCAACCCAAATGTCCATCAACGATAGACTGGATAAAGAAAATGTGGCACACATACACCATGGAATACTATGCAGACATAAAAAAAGGATGAGCTCATTTCCTTTGCAGGGACATGGATGAAGCTGGAAGCCATCATTCTCAGCAAACTAACACAGAAACAGAAAACCAAACACTGCATGTTCTCATTCATAGCGGGACTTGAACAATGAGAACACATGGACACAGGGAGGAGAACATCACACACTGGGGCCTGTCGGGGGGTGTGGGGCTAGGGGAGAGATAGCATTAGGAAAAATACCTAATGTAGATGACTGGTTGATGGGTGTAGCAAACCACCATGGCACTTGTATACCTATGTAACAAACCTGGAGGTTCTGCACCTGTATCCCCAAACTTAAAGTATAATTTAAAAAAAAAAAGAAAAAAAATCACATCTGGGCTGCAAGGAGAGGGGAATGGGGAGTAGTTTAATGGGTACAGTCAGTTTTGAAAGATGAAACATTTCTGGAGATTGGTTGCAGAACAATGTGAATGTACCTAATGCTATTGAAACATATACTTAAAAATGGTTAAGATGGTAATTTTATGTTATATGCTTTTTAACCACAATTAAAATAAAATCTTTTCAAAAACACACAAAAAAGGAAATATTTATCATATTAAGTGAAAGGAGGATACAAAACTGCAAATATATAATTCAAGTTTTACAAATAAAATAAACAGAAAGGAAATATGTTAAAATCTTAATAATATCTCAGGTTTGTGTGTTTGTAAATTATTTTAATTTTCTTCTTTATTTCTGTCTCTGTTATTTTAATTTTTAGCAATGAGAAAAATAGTAGCTAGTGTTTATGAAGCTGTATGTTTTTACATTATCTCAGTTAATCCTCACAACAATCCTATGAGGTGGTGACTATTAAAATACTCATTTGACACATAAGAGACAGTAGTAACATCCAAAATTGCACAGCTAATATGTGACTGGACTAGAATTTGAACTTAGGTCTGTATGAATGTGGAATGTACACTTTCTAGGATTTTTATAGTCATAACACTAATGAACGTACAATATGGACTATTATTTGGCATTGTTTGGGTTATTTGTGAATGTGAAGGTCAACGTAAATACATATTGTTTAGCCTACATCAAATAGGCTGGATCAGAACAAGTGCTGGTAATAGCCCAGACACCAAAAATGAGTTTGGATAAAAATGCTTCAGCTAGGATTTGCAATGATTATGGATACACTGGGTTAGTGCTAAAGCCTCAGGGAAACCCAAGAGACATTGAACAGACCTGAAGATTTTGTGGTGCAAAACTAATGGTCAGGAGGCTTATGAGATTGTCTGGCAGAAAAGATATGGGTGGAAATAGCTTTACTGGGGTCAGGAGTGGAGACATGGGAAATAGCTTTTAATGTGGGATGTCAGAAACACAGCCTCTGGATTTAAGTCCCAGCTCACTCACTCTTTCTTACTAGCTAGGTATCCATTAGGCAAGTTAATTATCTTCTCTGCTCATCAGCTTTTCTATCTGTAGAATGGGAAGTCATATTTTATCTTAGTCTGTTCAGGCTGCCATAACAAAATACCATGGAGTGGGTGACTTATAAACAACAGAAATTTATTTCTCACAGTTCTGGAGGATGGGAAGTCCAAGATCAAGGTGCCAGTAGACTTGGTATCTGGTGAGGGCTTGTTTCCTGATTTATACACAGTGCCTTTGTGCTGGTTCCCCACCTGGAAAAGACAAACAAGCTCCCTCAGGTCTTTTTTATAAGTGCACTAATCTTATTCATGAGGGATCTGCCTTAGGACCTAATTGCCTCCCAAAAGGCCTCACCTCCTAACACCATCACCTTGGGGTTAGGATTTCTACATATGAATTTAGAGGGGACACAAACATTCACACCATAGCACACCTCATAGGGTTTTTTGAGGTTTAAATAATCTTTTTAATGCATCTAGCATTGTACCTGATGATTACGATATCAACTAATTTTAGCTATTGTAATTATTTCTCTTAATCTCACTGTTTTAGTTGTCAATCACAAAGTATGACCAGTCAACTTTTAGTTGTTACATTATTTCACCTTTCCTTTAAGCAACTAATAAACAGTGGTGTAACATTCAGGGACAAGCCTGATTTGTAACATTTGAGCTTTATCTGCAGTGTAAATATTCCTGAAGTGGTAGGTTTAATGACTGGCTCTCATAATTCCCAAATATTTAATAAATCAGCTCTCACAGGATGGTGCAAGCTAGCTCCAGATGGCTCTGGAACTACCATCTTATTTCCTCTGCCAAGGTTTTCCCATATCAAACATTCATGACCAATAATGGCCACATAATTTCCTGGCCCTCATTAAAATAAAATTTAAAATATGAGTCCCTTGTTCAAAAATTACTAAGAATTTTAAGATGGTGACCGCAGAGCATTAAACCAAATTCGGGACCCCTGTGAGCCTGGGACCTATGCAACAGCACAGCTCGTACACCTGTGAAGCTGACCTTCTTCATGACTTTGCTAATGTCATGACTACCTTCACACCACTTCATGACTACCTTCACACCACTTCATGACTACCTTCACACCACTACATTTTTTAAGGGCTATAGGCCATGGGTAGTTCTAAGGGATTCAACTTCCATATCTCAATGTCCACTTTTCTAAAACTGATTTGTCAGGGAAGGCCCCCACGGTAGAAGTCATCCTTTCCCACCTTCCCTTTCATGAACATTTTTTGGCTCATTTCAAAACAATCTTACCTCTTACCTATCCAGCATCTAATCATGCTGTATAACCCAAAACTGTTAAAATAAAGAGATAGTCAGACAGTTATTTTAACCAGGGTGCCGTAAGTATACAATAGAGTCAACTCATTAAAAGTTGTATTTCTAAAGAATATTTGCTTTTGTTTGTTTTATTAAATTTTTAAAGTTATTAAATTATTTGTATTGTTTTGATTTAACTGCAATAATGCC
Organism: Homo sapiens; assembly: GCF_000001405.40. NCBI lineage: Eukaryota > Metazoa > Chordata > Mammalia > Primates > Hominidae > Homo > Homo sapiens. Next base: position 79,716,760 of record NC_000008.11, read on the forward strand.
TATAATGATAATCCAATATAAAAGGTCTTTTTTAAAAAAACACTTAACGCCTTTTATTCATAGGAACAAAATACACATAATGTTGCAGAGAAATACAATAGGGTGATCAACAGAAAACTTTCAAGCATAAAAGTATATGACATTAAGATAAAGTTATTAGAGAAAAGAAAAGAGATACAAGTTCTAGGAGAGAAAAGAATGATGTAAAATATTTGACTGATATAGAAGAACCTATTTATGCATTTTTAAATGGGTCATGATTCCATTGGATTATATGCCTCTGGTTTCATCAAAATGAGTGATACATCAGTTTCTGCTAATTGTCAATACATATAAAAGGCTAGTAACTATTTAAATGCTAGAATTGTTTGATGTTTCCAATTCAGTTAATGGGGATACAAATAAAATGTTGAAGACTGATGCTCAAATTGAAAAACTCTGATCCAAGAGATGTAAAGGGAATTTGCTGCAATAAAAAGAAGCTGATAAGCAGGACATCTACCAACAGTACATCAACAACACAAATTAAAGTGACCTTTATTCAGCACAAGAAGATCACATTTAACAAAGTTCAAGAGGTGAAGAAGGGCCAAAAGGCATCAGTACCTTCCAATGAATGGTAACCCCAGTCGCTACAGAATTTCCAGGTATCCAGCAGTTGGCATCCTTCATCTCATGTTTCTCCATGAAAGATTGCCCTTATTTAAAGTTTCCAACACTTCAGTCTTTAGCCTATCACCTTAATAAATTTTTCACTGTGTACTGCTAATTTACTTCATGTTTTCTCAAAAATAACACATTTATAAAATTTTAGATTTACACCGAGGAATTATATCCTTAAAATAACACATTTGATGTGCTTATACATCTAATAATACTAAAATACTCAAACTTGAAAAAATAAAAGTTCTCACACTGTGCCAATTAAACTCATTTTGTGTTCTCACTGCTGAACCTATCAGAAACCACCATCCTGACTGAGCCTGCTGGTGGGCTAAGCCTTTGATCTTCCAAAAACTGGTGGATATAACTATTTGATTATTTAGGGAGGAGTTAGGCTCTCTCTTCAACCTGAAGGACTTGAGTCTGTCTCCAGGCTAGAGAATGTGTCTGGTTACAGGAATTCCCAACAGTGACCAAGAATGTCATTTTTTCTCTCTCAACAAAGAGGTAAAATGATATCATTCACAAGCTTCATGTAATGCATATTATTTGCCACTGTGCAATGAAAATAGGCAAATGACCTGTTACAAAACTGTTGGAACTCTTATAACCAAACCAGCTGAACTTTAATAACACCAGAATAAGGAATGGAAAAAGCTCCCAAACATTTATTTAGCAATATTTGGGTCTGAGTCAATCAAATAAGAAAATAATTTGCATATAGCCAAAAGTTTGGCTGTGGCTTTAGGCTTTTACAACTCAAAAAGAAAGAAAGAAAAACAGAGAGATAAGCAAGGTAGTAAAGAAATAGGAAATGGGAGATATGCTAGATTTCATGACTCTATGGAAAATTTATTAGAAATTATTAGGTCTAGAAAGTTATTTCTTTACATAGGTATTTTCTTCCTATTTACTACTACACCACCAAATAGCTTGTCCAAAAAATTTGAGACAGTCTATTCAATAAATAAATGTGTAGATAGATAGATAGATATTAATAAGACACAGATAAGTAAATAAATCTTGGAAAGGGGAAATAAGGGTAATGAAAATAAAACCAGGATTTAATTCAGTATATTTAATACATCTCATCAAGTGCTTCACACTTGCTAGAAATAGGCTATGACTTTGGCTTCAGAAGCCTAGCAGCCAATACAGAAAAGAAACCTCAGTCGGGGAAAATGTATCAATCCCATGGAGGAACTTGCAGTTAGAAAAGACTATATTTGAATCCCAGTTCTAACCAGCTGTGCGGCCTTGAGTGCAAGTCATTGAACATTCTAAGTCTCAGTTTCCTCTTCTATATAATGGGAATGATAATACCTGACTCTCAGAGCTGTCAACTATACAAGTCAACTCTCCAGCAGAACACCTTACATTCAGCAAATGTTTAATATGAGTCATCAGTTAAACAGTTCACACTATCAATAGAATAAAAATTAAACCAGTTGCTGGGGACCAGCTAGCAAATAGCTAACCGACTAGTACCAGCAGCAATCCAATGAGACTCAAGTAAGGAGAGGAAAAAGATCCTACACACTTTAGCAATGCTGGAGGTTTGAATCAGTTACTGTAAACAGTAAAATAATTTACACATGGACACAAATTCGGCAGTGATTTTAGGCTTCAACATGCAGCATATGGGCTTGGTTGTGTGCATGCATGTGTGTGTGCCCACGTGTACGTGTTATACTATTGTTTTTAATTTAGTAGTCCCTTGACTAAATTCTCTCTTCACAGATTTGCCCAGGCAGCTTCAACACTGACCTTCCTTTTTCTATTTTCTTTTCCTTTTTTGCTTTTTTTTGTTGTTGTTGTTGTTGGTTTGTTGTTGTTTTTTTTTGTTTGTTTTTGTTTTTTTTGAGACAGAATGTCTCTCTGTCACCCAGGCTGGAGTGCAGTGGTGTGATCTCGGCTCACTGCAACCTCAGCCTTCGGGGCTCACTCAATTCTCCCGCGTCAGCCTCCCCAGCAGCTGGGATTACAGGCGCCCTCCACCATGCCTGGCTAATTTTTGTATTTTTAGTAGAGACGGGGTTTCATCCTGTTGGCCAGGCTGGTCTTGAACTCCTGAGTTCAAGTGATCCGCCCACATCAGCCTCCCAAAGTGCTAGGATTACAGGTGTGAGCCACAGCCTGAACCACAGCGCCCAGCCTTCCTTTTTCTTTCTTCTTTTTTTTTTTTTTACAAGTAAACTGGGCTTCCTGGCTCTGCATTCCTCTCTCCCACCTTCTCATCCATCAATGGAGGCTGTGAACTTTCTCTAGCAGAAAAGGCAAGTGGGTCCATTGGACAAGACTAACATAATTTTAATGAGTCAACCAGTGAGAAGTGCTGGACTCACTAACCAGGTGGCGGATTTCTCTACTCGATCTCCCAGACTTCATGCACACCAGCCCCTTTTGGCCCAGTCACATCTTTCAGCTCCAGATGTACTGGGATCCCAGTCAGCAGGCTCATGCCTCTCATTCTACCTCTGAAATCCTCAATTGCTGAGCCATGATGATTTTTCCACACCTCACCCCAGGGTGTGTCAGCACACAAAGCCAGAGAGTTTGAAATCTTTTGAGCTCATTAAAATAGATGTGCAACTGGGGTCTACTAACCCTGCTCTCCAGTGTCCACAACTCTGGCTCCCCACACCCTACTGTCCCCTAAACTCACAGCACAACTAGATCCCATTAATAAGGGCACACTAGCTGTCCCTAAAGGTCTGGAAACAATAAGGTCATGCTCATTCCCACTTGAGCCTGGTTTGACCTGCAGTGGAGCCATAGCCCATGCAGCCTCCCACCTTAGCACTCCCTGGAGGCCATAAAAGACACCAATTAGAGCCAAATCACACTTTCCCATAGGGGCCAACGTTTTCATATTTCTCAGGAAACGTATTATTTTTATCCAAAACTGATATGAAATACTCCAAAAAAGAAACTTTTAAATGTATGATCAGAAAAGTAGAAGTAGAAAACAACTAAATGTCCTTTACTAGGAAACATAGTACTCCTTGGGAAAGAGACAGATTTGATGGGGGAGGGAATCTCTGGAGCTCAGATAACAGCAGCATGGAAGGAATATATTTTTATTATCAGAGAAGTTAGAAAACAGTAGGGGAAACCCAGTTAGCCAAACTTGACAAAAAAGCACATCACATCAGTCAACAGCAAGATTTGAATGCCTGCCAAGCATGGCTCGTGATTAGACAGGGAAAACAGCATCTGGCTTAAGACCTTGAGTTTTGGTGTCAAGTTGATTTGGGGATCATGTTCTGGGTTCTTACTGACGGTTGTTAACCTGGCTCTCCCACCTACTAGCTGCAGGACTTGGGATAAGTAACTCAGTAACTTAAACCTTAGTCTCTTCTTCTGTAAAGTGGGGCTAATCATATCTCTTCCATAAAACTGCTGTGAGTTTAAATAACTTATTAATGTGCAGAGACAAGGGTTGGCCAACAAATATTTACAAGTGCCTGTTACGATCTAGACAGTTGTATAAGAAATAGTTACTGCTCTCAAACAGCGCATAGTCTAAAGAAGAAGAAAAGGGCAAATGCCTACTTATAATATAATGCAATACCTGTTCTAACTGAGGTTGGACAGACTGCTTTGGGAGCACAGAACAAAGGACATTTTCCTAGTGGAGTCAGACGCAGATGCCGGTTGTCTGATCCCAGCGCCCCCTGTTTTCAGCATCATGTCCTACTGAAGGAGTCCTTGAGCACCAAAGGGCCTGATGATCAGTCTGGCTCCCCACCTTGCATTCAGTGTGAAAAGATTCCAAACACAACTGGCCACCTTAGGCCACCCTGTTGGACCCACTGAAACCAGTCATATCTGTATCTATGCTCTTTTCAAAGACTATCATAAAACAGATCCTCTCTCAAAGGACTTCAGCCACTTTTATTTTCTTGAGGGCCTTTGAGTCCACTCCACATCAGAGTCCTTCAGCTGCACAGCAATTCTTCCATCAGAAGCTTCCCGTAAGGACAGAAATGTCAAAATCAATTTTCTTGAAAAGAAACAAAAGTGACTTTTTTTCCCCAAATTGTCTTTGTGGTAAAATTTATGAGAGTAGAAACATATCCCAAGGGGCGCAATGGAAGGCTCATTTGAAGGATTATTTTAATCTGAACTGGAGAAAGCCCTGGAGAAATCAGTACCAAAAACTCTACTGATCCCCAAGGGACAGACTAGATGTCTGAATGTTTCCGCATTTCTAACAGCTACCGTTCTTTTGTAAAGTGCTTGTTGTATCTCACAACTAGTGGGTTGGCAAGGTGTTTTAACAGGAAAACTGAAATAGCTGGAGTCACGGACAGACGCTGGCACAACATATTGCAGAGAGCTCCGTGATGGGAGAGGCATGCCCAGGTGCCAGGGATTCTTGGAGAGGCCCAGAGCCCCATTTAGCTGTCTGGAGCTACAAGGAATGCTAAAATCTTACTGAACCATATCTGAGAGCATGGCCCACTTTAACTCAGATCACTACACAGAGCTCATTACAGAGTGGTCAAAATGTGATCTGCACCCTTTTCCACAAAAGAAGACAAAGTTCTGAAGTAAAAATTAGAAAACACTCTCCCTCATTCTGTCACTACCCCCACTAAATAAGAGTTGAACAGGATTTAAAGGTTGTCAGCTTAGCCAGGCACAGTGGCAAGTACCCATAGTCCTAGCTACTCCAGAGGCTGAGGCAAGAGGATGGCTTAAGTGCAGGAGTTCAAGTCCAGCCTGGGCAACATAGCAAGACCCATCTCCAAAAAAACAGAAAGAAAGAAAGAAATTGTTGGCTGGGCACAGTGACTCATGCCTGTAATCCCAGCACTTTGAGAGGCCGAGGCAGGTGGAATGCTTAAGCTCAGGGGTTTGACAGCAACCTGGGCAACATGGCAAAACCCCATCTATACAGAAAATACAAAAATTAGCCAGACATGGTGGCACACGTCTGTGGTCCCAGGTATTCAAGAGACTGAGGTGGGAGGATCACTTGATCCAGGGAGGCAGAGGTTGCAGAAACCCGAGATGGCACCACTGATGTCCAGCTTGGGCAACAGAGCAAGACCCTGTGTTTAAAAACAGAAAAAGATTTTCGGCTTAAGAGATGCCAAATCCCTATCCTTCTCCTGGCCCCCATCCCCTGCAGGCAACTGTTACTGAGTCTCGGCAAATAGAGCGCTATAGGAATAGCTCAGGCAAACCATCAGGGCTGATCAACAGGAGCAATCACAGCAGTGGGCAGAGCCCAGCAATGGGAAAGCAGGGTCCACTACAGCAGAAGCCCTGGCAAGCAGGCCAGTAGCATCTGGGAAGGCAATCAGGGCTCAGGTTTAAGGACATCCACAAGGACACCATGAGACAAGTGCCAGTCAGAAGGGCACTGGCAGTAGTGGCTGCAGAATTTCAATGTAGGAAGAACTTACAGGGAGCATTTTGGTTGGAAAAGAACTAGAGAAGCTGTATTTGCATAATACTCTACACAAGACTGAGAAAATGTCGATTATCCGTGTCAAAAAATAGGGATACCATGGATAGTTGAGAGGAGAGCTAAAGCCTGCAGGACCAAGAAGTTTCCTGGATTCAGAATTCTCTGAGGTCATCCCCAAGCAGAATGGTGCATTCAGAAACCAGAACACACTGCACGGGGCAGGCTCTGGCTGGAGAATTCAGCTGCAGGTGCTCTGTCCCAGCAGACAGGAGGCAGGGGGACAAGGAGGGCTTGTTGCCATCCCCAGTGCAATGCAGCAGCTCAAGCATTAGCAGAGGGACTTGCATCCTTGGTTAGCAAGCAGATCCATGAGGATGTCTGGAAGTAAGGAGGGACTTGATAGGTCTGCTTAATTGCTTCCTGCCTCAAGCCCAGATTGGTCTGGGAAAGAGGCTGGGCCCAGGCTGCAGGTGGGAGATTGCGTGGCCAGCTGTGATGAACTGGAGAGGCTGAGTAAGGGGAAATAGAAAGGGAGGTGGGGGTGGGGAGAACATGCTGAAATAGATCCCTGAATGTCCTGGGGCCGGAGCCGGGTCACTCAATGTGGGGGAGGAACTTCCTTCCCTCTTTCGTTATTTTCCTTCCTCTCTCTTCCTCCTCACAGGCAACCAGCTAGAGGCAGGATGAGCTGTCTCAAGGAAGAAGAAATCAAAACAGCCTTTAAATTACTGGAGGTCATGTCCTGTTTGAAACAACAACAAGAAAAGAGAGCAGAGTGCTACCTCTCCTGCAGAGACCTTGCTGCCATGATCTCTAGCCAAAGAGGTTACATTAGTTCCATCTTCATAGCCCAGGGACTGAGGCTTGAACCCACAAGTCTCTCTTTCTCACTCCTTTAAAGAAACTGCTAACCACTTCCAGGTCAACTGCTGAAAGTCATGTGTTTCTTTTACTGCAGACATTTCTGCAAAGCCTTCCCCTGAGAGCCGAGCACGGATGCAATAGTCCAAGAGGTGGTGGCTGGCGCTCTTTCATCCTTGACCCATGATCTAGAACATTTGGCTTAGAGCATAAAGAGGAGATTCCCAGCACAATAAAATAGCCAGGGAGGGAACATTATTATAGGTCCCCTTTTCAACTCAAATAGGTTAGGATTGACTGACAACCTAAGAAATACTCACCACTTTTTCATTTTCAGATCAAACATAACTGTCTTCAGAGTATAAATCCTCTGAAGCCTGCCCTTCTTCCATCCAGTCCCTTGGGTGGCAGGTATTAAATGACTACTCCATGTTCTCCATAGGGAGGCAGGATGCCTTGGCAGCAGAGCACACTGTTGTCAGTACTCAGAAGCGTCTGGAAGCCACCCTCATCTTAAAATAAAAGAATCAAGATTGAGCTTGGAAAGACAAAATGTAAAATCAGTGCCTGGAAAAATAGGCCAAGTCACCTTAAGAGTCAGAATAGTTCCATGAATATATCAATCATTTGCAGTGTTGAGTGGGGACGTAGCACAGCTGGTCAACCAGCCACAAGACTATGGTAATGACCATCCAGCACATCAAGGAGAAAGGGCGACTGCACTGAGCACTTGGCTGCTGTGGTTCCAACAGAATGTAGACCTATGAGGCGATAGGTGCATCCAGCTGATTATAGTTCAAGGGCATAAAACATGCAGATTTTTTAACTTACCAAGCAACCACTAATGATAATTGGGACCTCCTGTAGGCCCCCAGAGGGAGAGTGCACCAGCTAAGAGCCAAGAGCCAAGAGCACTGCTTGAGTTTCTTCAGTGGTTCTGGATCTTAAAAATGGGCTTGGTTGCTCAGTTTACAAATGAGTTCGGTTACTATAAGTCTGCCCTTCTGAGACTGAACCTGCTGAGAGAACAAATGAATAAAATTAAGCTTCTGAGCCGCAAGATTGAGGGTTTGACTCTGAGCCATGGAAAGTCCCTCTAGGCAATGCCTCTGTATAAGCAGCTGGAGAGATAGCCTACAAATCTTTCCTGAGCTCTGAACCTCTGAACCACCCTGCCATTGCTCTTTGGTGAAATCTGCTCCTACTCTTTCTGACATAAACTAACACAAATGAAACCAGCTCTTTGAATTGGGGGAAAAAACTTCCATACTTCAGAAAATAATATAAAACAATAAGTAACTGCTAAATTGCAGGGTTCGTGGGGAGGAAAGCAGGAGCAGCTGAGAAAGGGTTGATGGAAGCAGTGGGCTTGAGTGGGCCTTGTAGGTCTACATGGGTGGACAACTGATCCAGCACACTCCAGATAGGGATGGAACAGGGAGACCCAGAAAGAAGGTGAGACGACTTCACAGAGACAGTTCAGGTTTTGATGTGCTGGAACATGACACTGGAGATTAAAGGACTGAGCAGATCTTTCAGTGTCTGAAATGCCAGCCTTTTGCAAGTTCATGGAGCAGAAATGGGTCTCAGAACACTGACCCGGTAATAGTGCATGGGCTGCTCAGACAGGAGAGGGACTAGAAGGGGGAGAACCACTAATAATCAATGCAGGTGGGTGACGAAAAGGACTATTGCATTTATATTAAATTTCCTGAGGCCTGTCAAATTCTTCTCTCATTATACTTCCAGTATAGGTTCTTGGAATAGTGAGGGGAATATATTCAGTGTGAGAAATACAGCTATAGGGGTTGGGGACATTGATGCTAGGTCCAGGGAGCATTAAACAGTAAAACAGTGTTGCTGTTATGCAAATAATCACCAACCTTGCACTCTTGCATGAGAGCTCAGCTTGTCCAGAAAATGAAGTTTTATCTTTAGATTTGCAGAATGGAGATTTCTGTAATGTTTTTAAAGGCAATCCCACGGAGTTATCTGGCTTCCCTAGAATCACAAGAAAAGGACTGTCACTGGTAAAGTGGACTCTTCTGCACACTTTATTTTATTCCTAAATGGGCCAGTCAAGTCTAGGGTTGAGGTGGCCTTAGAAACTTTTCAGGGTCAGCATTCAGGCATCAACAAAGCAGTTCTGATTTAGAGAACTCTTGAGATAAGAACCAGCTACATTCATGATTTCCCAAACTTGGCCAATTTAGAGTAAATACATGCAAACAGTCTTGTAATTGTGATTCCAAATTTTCTGATTATGCCAGGAATAAAAATCTGCAGAATTTCAAAGACTTACCATTTCTGACAATTTCGAAGTAACATGAGACCTTTTTCAACTTCAACTAACTTTGGAGAACCATTGTCAGACACTTCGGCATTTAGGTAAACAATGCCAGTTCACCTCTAAGTAAAACAGTGACCTATTTTTAGAGACCAAGGGTTTCAGTGTTTTACCATTCCGGAAATAAACATCATCATCATCATTCCTTCTATTTCAATGAGCACAGCTGTCTGGGTGGGGATGTAAACATCCCCTGGCCATGTTGTGAATCCAAACACAACAATGTCAGGCTGGTGTGTGAGAACCAGGAAATGAAGCTGACTACAAATTGCACAAGCTCCCATCTATTCTCATTATCTCATCTAAATGAAGCAAGACCTACAAGATAGACAACATGCTTAGGTCTCTTTTCAAAGTTAGCCCTTTTCACTGCTGCTTGTTAAATGTCCATTTTTAAAAGAAAACAATTATTAAAAGAAAGAAGTTACCCCTTTAACTAATTCATGCTTCTATTGGAAGTGCAAAAATCCTGATGGAACTCTATATTAATCATATTTTTTTTGAGACAGAGTCTTGCTCTGTTGCCCAGGCTGGAGTACACTGGTGCAATCTTGGCTCACTGCAACCTCCACCTCCTGGGTTCAACAATTCTCCTGCCTCAGCCTCTCAAGTAGCTGGGATTACAGGCATGCACCACCAGGCCCAGCTAATTTTTGTATTTTTAGTAGAGACGGGGTTTTGCCATGTTGGCCAGGCTGGTCTTGAACTCCTGGCCTCAAGCGATCTGCCCACCTCAGCCTCCAAAAGTGATAGGATTACAAGCGTGAGCCACTGTGCCTGGCCAATATTTTTTCTTTTCTATATTTTATAGTATTTTCACATCTTGGAGGGCCCAGCTGGTCAGGGAGAGACTGCCCTTCCATGACCAAGTTATTTCCAAGATAATAAACTAGCCTTACTATACACCCTTCATATGCAAACAGTGTCCTGAGTCCATACCCTACAGCCACCTCCTTTATTTACCCAACTACCACCTCCTTGACCTCACATGTCAAGTCAATATTCCCCCTGCCCAAAATCCACCAAAAGCCAGGTACCAGACAACTAAGGACAGCCTCATTCCTAACACCCACTGAAAGTATCGGAAGCAGCCAATCCTAAACTGTTGCTCCCAGCTGCCCTGCCTTTCCTACAGAAAACACAATAGAGGCTCTGGCTTGTGCTTCACCCTCACTCCTCTCTGTCTGCTGACCAACACCCTGTGTCTGAGTCCACTTGGACTACGTGACAAAAATACCATAGGCTGGGTGGCGTAAACAACAAACACTTATTTCTGACAGTTCTGGAGACTGGGAAGTTCAAGGTCATGGTGCAGATCTACTGTCTGGTGAGGACCCATTCCCTAGTTTGCAGATGGATATCTTCTTGCTGTATCTTCACACAGTAGAGAGAGAGAGAAAAAGAGAAAAGAAGCAAGCTCTCTCTTGTCTCTTGTTATAAGGGCACTAAACCCATCATAAGGGCTCTACTCTCAGGACGAAATTATCCCCCAAAGGCCAAATACCTTTCCAAATACCTTCACCTTGGAGATCAGAGTTTCACCATATGAATTTGGGGGAAGACACAAACATTCAGTCCATAGCATCATGTGGTTCTGCATGGTATGGTGTGCCGCTTCCTTGTACCCCTTCTTTAGGAAATGTAAGTAATGAAAATCTTTCAATGGTATTAGCCTCTGATGAGTATCATCACTCAATCACCTCTATGATAAATTTAAATCCCGCAGATACAACCACTGATACAAACTCCCATTCACTGGTGCTTCTGAACATGATGCTAAATATAAATGTGCAGTCTCTGTTCTCTCCATGTCCATCTTCCAGTGAGCCTGGACCGGGCTTTGAACAGTTAGGTTAACATGACATCTGACAGGGGAAAAAGGATTTTCTCAGCTATACCAGGGTGTCAGAAAAGGTTTATCTCACAAGGAACCAGTATAATTATGCCTGCCTTTCCTTTTATGCTAAGAAAAAGAGGGAGGTTCCTGACATACAGTAGAGCTCTCCTAACTTCTCACAGCCAGGATGTAGGCCCAGGCCCTCCTTACCCCCTGCCTGGGCCACTATGGTGGCCTCTGAACTGGCCTCCCTGACCCTCACATAGGGATAATCATCGATGATCTGCAGGCCAAGTCCAGTCCACAAATGTCTCTCATTTGGCCATCTTAGTATGGATTATTTGTTTGTTTGTTTTATAGGAAGCTAACTTTATTGATGGAAATGTTATGTGTTCCAACAAAAAGTTCCCACAACCTGGACCCTGTAATCTCCTGCAGAACAAACATAAAAAGTTTAAGGTACATTGGACAACACCACCCAAAAAATAAAAGAGGAAAAAGAATCCTTTGCTTCTCTGCTATGGAAAGAGATAGTGAGACCAGATGTCCAACACCAGATGCCTTCTGCCCTGGACCAAAAGGAAGGGGAGGCCAGAGGAGAGAGGCAGGGGTGAAGGGATTACTTGAATGAAGAGCAGGGTATTACCATAGTCCCTGATATGGCTTGGATCTGTGTCCCCCGCCCCACCAAATCTCATGTCAAATTGTAATCCAATGTTGAAGGCGGGGCCTGGTGGGAGGTGATTGGATCATGGGAACAGATTTCCCTTTTTGGTGCTGTTCTTGTGATAGAATTCTCACAAGATCTGATTGTTTAAAAAGTGTGTGGCACCTCCCCCCTCACTCTCTTCCTCCTGCTCTGGCCATGTAAAACATGGCTGCTTCCAGAAGCCTTTGCCTTCCACCATCATTGTAAGTTTCCTGAGGCCTCCTGAGAAGCAGAAGCCTGTGCAGCTTGCACAACCATGAGTCGATTAAACCTATTTTCTTTATAAATTACCCAGTTTCAGGTATTTCTTTATAGCAGTGAGAGAATGGACTAATACAGTCCCAAACTGCAAAAATGCTGAAGGCTATGCCTAAGGGGGTTATTTTTTCTAATTTGAGATAACAATTTTAAGAGAATTTTCTGAATCACACCACTCCCTCACACTGTATAGTTTAATAATGGTACCTTAAAATTACAATTATACAGTGTGCTAATATAAAACTACTCCTAATATTCATCTTCTGCTGTTCAAAGAAATCAAGCATCAGTCATTCCTTATAAGCAATGTAATGTTATGGTTCTTATCACTTTGTCTAACTGAAATCCTAATGCACAAAAGACAGCTAAAGCCAAATTAAAGAAAGAAAAGGAGAATTGGCAATGAATTGGAGGGAGGCATAGGAATCAATCACAACTCATGACAACACTTAATTACTTCCCACGAATTGTACCTTATATAACATCATTATGTTTAAACTCATTTCAACCACCATTTAACAATCAAGAGATTTCACATGAAAATCTAGGTTTCCAGCTTCTTTCAAAATTTGAAATTTTTGGTGACAGTGGCCTGTTTTCCTACATGGCAGCCACCAGCTAGAGCTGAGGCAAGGGTGCCTCCCAGCTAGGGCATAACTTCTCCAGCCTCCCATGAGCCCCCCAACTCCAGCTTGGTTCAGGACACTGAGGGCAAATGTAAGCAGCCTTTTAAACTTGTGCTTGCTCAGTTGATTAACTTGTAATCTGGGCATTTTTTCTACCCTCAATCATATCATGCAATGGTGAAAAACAAAGGGCTCTGGAGCCAGACACTGCCTGGGTTCAAACCTTGGGCCACCATTCTGATCACAGGTTTGACCTCAGCCAGCTTCACTCACCTCCCTGTGCCTCAAAACACCATTGTTAAAGGACAGTACAAAGCTTGTGGAGTGATTGTGAGGAAAAAAGATTTAGAAGCACTTAGAAGAGTGTCTGGCACAAAGTAAGGGTACAATTAGTGTCAGCTTTTAAAATCCATGTCTTTATTCAAAACTAAGGGTGAGGGGATGGATTGAGAGGGCCATGCGTTTCAAGAAAATGGAGACAGAGAGAATTTTTCTTTGTAGAATAAACAACATTCACTCCCACACGTTTAATAAGCAAACCACCAGCCAGCTTCAGTCAGTCACTGCCTGTCTGGAAGCTCCAGGCAAGCCTATATGATAGAATACAGCTCCAGGCTCTCCCATCCCTGGTCTAACATGGGAATGCCTTTCCGTTAATTTTTCTAGAACAAAGTTCCACTTCTTTCCCTCAAAACCTTTAATGGAACCAGCCTCCTTAGCATCAAGGTATTTTATAATAAGCATGTACTTTATACCTCCTACATTCTTACCAAATAAACTACCAAATACCTCCCCAGAGGAACCTCTTAACATCTCCCCAGAGGAACCACCAAACCTCCCCCAAACAACCACCAAACACCTCCCTAGAGGAACCACCAAACCTCCCCAAGGAACCACCTCCCCAGAGGAACCACCCAACCTCCCCCAAGGAACCACCAAACACCTCCCCAGAGGAACCACCAAACACCTCTCTAGAGGAACCACCAGGCACCTCTCCAGAGGAACCACCAAACCTCCCCAAGGAACCACCAAACACTTCCTCAGAGAAACCACCAAACACCTCCAAGAGGATCCACTAAACATCCCCAGGGAACCACCAAAACCTCTCCAGAGGAACCACCAGACACTTCTCCAGAGGAACCACCAAATACCTCTCCAGAGAAACCACCAGACACCTCTCCAGAGGACCCACCAAACCTCCCCAAGGAACCACCAAACCATTCCCCAGAAGAACCACCCAACACTTCCAAGAGGACCCACTAACCCTCCCCAAGGAACCACAAAAAACCTCCCCAGAGGAACCACCAAACATCTCCCAGAGGAACCACCACACACCTTTCCTGAGGAACCACCAAACACCTCTCCAGAGAAACCACCAAACACCTCTCCAGAAGAACCACCAAACACCTCCCCAGAGGAACCACCAAACCTCTCCAGAGAAACTACCAAACACTCACCCAAGGAGCCACCAAACACTTCCCCAGAGGAACCACAAAACACTTTTCCAGAGGAACCATCACACACCACCCCAGAAGAACCATCAAATATCTCCCACACCTACAGCACTCACTGCTACCTCTGGACCTAGTACCTGCTATTATTTCTTGGCATGCCCTTCCTGCCCCATGCACAGCTTTGTCATATCCAATCCATCATTTGAGGTTTAGCACAAATGACAATTCTTATGAAAACTTAATCTCTACAGTTGAAAATAAGCTCTCCCTTGAAATTCCCCTAATGTATTAGGTCATTCTTGCATTGCTATGAGACTGGGTAATTTATAAGAAAAGAGGTTTAATTGGCTCACAGTTCTGCAGACTGTACAGGAAGCATGGTGCTGGCATCTGCTTCTGGGGAGGCCTCAGGAAGCTTGCAATCATGGCAGAAGGTGAAGGGGGGACCAGCATCTCATATGGTACAGTGGGAGCCAGATCTTGTGAGAACTCACTATCAGAAAGACAGCACTAAGCCATGAGGGATCCACCCCCATGACCCAAACATCTCCCACCAGGCCCCACTTCCAGCATTGGGGATTACAATTGAATATGAGATTTGGACAAGGACAAATATGCAAACTATATCATTCTGCCCCTGATTCTTAGCAAATCTTATATCCTTCTCTCATTGCAAAATGCAATTAACTGTTGGCCTTCCCAACAGTTGCCCAAAGTCTTAACTCATTATAACATTAACTCAAAAGTCCAAAGTCTCATCTGAGACACGACAAGTTTCTTCAACCTGCGACCCTTAAAATCAAAAACAAGTTAGTTATTTCCAAGATATGATGGAGGTACAGGCATTGGGTAAATATTCCTGTTTCAAAAGGGAGAAATCAGCCAGAAGACAGGGGTTACAGGTCCCATGAAAAGTTCAAAATCAGCAAGGTAGTCATTACATCTTAAAACTCCAAAATAATCTCCTCTGACTCCATATGCTGCATCCAATGTACACTGGTGCAAGGATGGGTTCCCAGGGCCTTGGGCCACACCACCCATTTGGCTTTGCAGGGTGCAGCCCCCACAGCTGCTCTCACGTGTTGGAGTTGAGTGCCTGTGGCTTTTCCAGGCACAGCCAGCAAGCTGCCAGTGAATCTACCATTCTGGGGTTTGGAAGACTGTGGCCCCATTCCCACAGCTCCACTAGGCAATGCCCCAGTGGAGACCCTGTGTGTGGACTCCAACCCCATATATCCCCTCAGCACTGCCCTAGCAGAAGTTCTCTGTGAGGGCTCTGACCCTGCGGCAGGCTTCTGCCTGGACATCCAGGCTTTCTCACACATCCTCTGAAATCTAGGTGGAGGCTGACAACCCTTCACTCTTGTGCTCTATGCAACAACAGGTTTAACACCATGTGGAAGCTGCCAAACCGTATGGCTTGTGTCCTCCAAAGTAGCAGCTCAAGCTGTACCTGGGCCCCTTTGAGCCCCAGCTGGAGCTGGAGTGGCTGGGGTGTGGGAGTCAGTGTCCCAAGGCTGCACAGGGCAATGGATCACTGGGCATGGCCCATAAACCCATTCTTCCCTCCCAGGCCTCTGGAACTACAATGGGAGGGACTGCTGAGAAGATCTCTGAAACACCTTCAAGGCCTTTAGGGACATTGTCTTGGATATTAACATTTGGCTCCCTTTTATTTATGCACATTTCTAGCAAGTGGTTGCTCCTTAACCTGCTTAAATTCCTCTCCTGAAGAAGCTTTTTTTTTCTCTGTCACATGCCCAAGCTGCAAATTTTTCAAACTTTTATGTTCTGCATCCCTTTGAGTATAAATCCCAAATTTAAGTCATTTCTTTGCTCCCACATTTGAGCATAGACTGTTAGAAGCAGCCTGGTCACATCTTGAATGCTTTGATGCTTAGAACTTTCTTCTGCCAGATACCCTAAATCATCACCCTTTAGTTCAAACTTCCATAGATCCTTAGGGCATGGACACAATGCAGCCATGCTCTTTGCTAAGACATAACATGTGTGGCCTTTGCTCCAGTTCCCAATAAGTTCCTCATTTCCATCGGAGACCTTGGCAGCCTGGACTTCACTGTCCATACCACTATCAGCATTTTGGTCACAGTCATTTAACCAGTCTCTAAGAAGTTCCAAACTTTCCTTCATCTTCGTGTCTTCTTCTGAGCCCTCCAAACTTTTCCAGCCTCTGCCCATTACTCAGTTCCAAAGCTGCTTCCACATTTTCAGATATCTTTATGGCAATGTCCCACTCTTTGGTACCAATTTTCTGTGTTAGGCCATTCTTGCCCTGCTATAAAGAAGTGTCTGAAAATGGGTAATTTATAAGAAAAGAGGCTTAATTGGCTTATGGTTCTGCAAGCTGCACAGGAAGCATGGTACTGGCATCTACTTCTGAAGAGGCCTCAGGAAGCTTACATTAATGGGAGAAGTAGAAGAGGGAGCCAGGATTTCATATGGTAGAGCAAGAGCAAGAGAGAAAGTGGGTGGTGCAGGAGGTGCCACACACTTTTAAACAAACAGATCTCATGAGAACTGCCTGGGTTATGATATCATAACTGATATCATGAACTATCATATCATGATATCATATGATATGGGAGGCATCCCACTTGGGAGGCCAAGGTGCACGGATCACCTGAACTCAGGAGTTCAAGACAAGCCGGGGCAACATGGCAAAACCCCATCTTTACAAAAAAAATACAAAAATACAAAATTTAGCCAGGCACCATGGCATGTGCCTGTAGTCCCAGCTACTCAGGAGGCTGAAGTAGGAGGATGGCTTGAGCCTGGGAGATGGAGGTTGCAGTAAGCCAAGATCACAGTCACTGCACTCTAGCCTGGGAGACAGAGTGAAACTCTCTCTCAAAAAAAAAAAAATCAACATGAGATTTGGGCAAGGACAAATAGCCAAACTATATCACCTAGCATCTTCTCTTATAGCACATCACACTTTCTTCATTGAATTACAGTTTTGTGTATATGTGTCTTCTTTTTTCAGTAAACTGTAAAATTCTTAAGAAGATTAATTTTTTTAATTTCCCTATGTATTAATCATAGTAAAATGCAGTCAACCTAGATAAATTAAGAGAACAGAGAAAAATATCATTTTTCTTTCCTTTTTAAAATATCTTTTCAAGATATATTCTGGGTTTTGGTAAAACACAGAATCAGGTTAACAGTTAGAGACAGCGTCTCCCAACTTCCCAGAAAAGTAGTGGGAGATGAGTCATGGGGGTGGAGGTGAAGAAGCCAGTGGAGGGTAGGGAAGAAAGGAAAGCATTGCATATTGAAGATGGGGGCCACATGCAAGTGACCACCAGAATTGGGAGGCATTTTCAAGGACTTCAAGACCAGTGGAACTGGATGTAGAAACATGTTCCCTGGCCCACAAATGCAAAGCAACTTAAAACAGAGTAAACCTGCCCATCTGAAAGAAGGTAGGAAGATTTCAATCCCTCCTGCTCTCTAACATCAGGTCATAAATGCAAGTTATGAGAAAATAGCACTGCCATTATGAGATGTCTTTTAAAGAGAATACTATGTACACCTCCATACTAGATAATTTTGAAGTCTCTATAAAATGAGTGTTTGTCTAGGAAAATTTAATTACTGATATTGACACAGGAAAAGTAACAACATAAAAAGAATGGAAAAATGACTGTGGAATAAATTAAGAAAGCTGTCCATAAAATAACGCCATCCTCTAAAAAGCAAGTGCAATGCAAATATAGCAAAAAGTTGAGATTTTAAAGATTATGAATTTTCCCCTCTTGTGCTGATTAGTATTTCCTAATCTTTCTAGGACTGCTTTTGTAATAATATAAAAGTAAATACTATTATTAATTTTAAGGTTCTTAAATACAAAATAAAATGATATGAGATACCATTTTGTCCATTAGAATGGCAGAATAGATCTTTTTACTACCAATAATTCTTCTTTTTTTTTCTTGAGACAGAGTCTCGCTCTGTCACCAGGCTGGAGTGCAGTGGTGCGATCTCGGCTCACCGTAACCTCCGCCTCCTGGGTTCAGGCGATTCTCCTTGCCTCAGCCTCCCGAGTAGCTGGGACTACAGGCATGCGCCACCACACCCAGCTAATTTTTGTATTTTTAGTAGAGACAGGGTTTCACCATGTTGGCCAGGATGGTCTCGATCCCTTGACCTCGTGATCCACCCACCTCAGCCTCCCAAAGTGCTGGGATTACAGGCGTGAGCCACCGCACCCGGCCTACTACCAATAATTCTTATACCTAATATAAAGTCTTACTATATATCCAATAATGTGCTAAGTGATTTATCATTGCCTCATTTAGTCCTGTCAACTCATTTACAGCTGAGAAACTGAGGTTCACAATTAAATAATTTGCTTCAGGTTCTACAGCTAGAAAATGGTAGAGGCCAGCCCACCCAAACCTCTCAGGTTCCATTGCTTCAGCTGTGACCATTAGGTATACTGTCTCCTGTCCTGCAGATGGTGCTAGGAGACATTATCACATGCAGTGGCTGGAAGAGTAAACTAGTATAATCTTTTTAGAAAGCAATTGTGCAAGACACGTCACGGGCTTTAAAAATGTTCACATTATTTGCAAATAATATCTCTAAGAATATATGCTGAGAAAATAACCTGAGATGTACTCCAAAATGTACGAACAGGATGTTCACAGCATCATTATACATTATAGTGAGAAAGGTGAAAAAAAAAGTCAAAGAAGGGAAATGGTTAAATAAATTACACTGTTTCTATTTAAAATGGCTTTCAATGACATGGCAAAATCTTACATAAAATAAGTATGATATGAAAGTATATTTCATATGGCCGGGGGAAGTGGCTCATGCCTGTAATTCAAGCACTTTGGGAGGCCAAGGTGGGTGGATCGCTTGAGGTCAGGAGTTTGAGACTAGCCTGGGCAACTTGTCGTGAAACCCCACCTCTATTAAAAATACAAAAATTAGCTGGGTGTCATGGCACACACCCTGTAGTCCCAGCTACTCGGGAGGCTGAGGAATGAAAATCACTTGAGACCAGGAGGCAGAGGTTGCAGTGAGCTGAGATCACACCATTGCACTCCAGCCTGGGTGACAAAGCGAGACTCCATCTCAAAAAAAAAAAAAAGAAAAGAAAAGTATATTTCATATAAATCTGTTTTATAAAAATATAAAAACCTGTTTACAATGCATGCATAGTAAAAGCACTGGGAGAAATAAACACAGTTGTTAGTTGTTATTTATTGTGTGATGAGATTACAGATCTTTTAAAAAATTGCTTCAATGTTTTTCATATTTATTATGATGAACACATTATTTTCATCATCTTAAAAAATACATTTTCTTATACATGATTCATTCTACAAAAGCCTGATTTCTACTCAACTTTCTAGATTGCACCTGTTGCATCAAAACACCTTTATTTATTTTAGTTTAGTTTAGTTTAGTTTAGTTTAGCTTATTTATTTGTTTTGAGTTGGAATCTCACTCTGTCACCCAGGCTGGAGTGCAGTGGTGTGATCTGGGCTCACTGTAACCTCTGCCTCCCAGGTTCAAGCGATTCTCCTGCCTCAGCCTCCCAAGTAGCTGGGATTACAGGAGATTCACCACGCCCGGCTAATTTTTTGTAAAACTTTGAAAACAGGGTTTCACCATGTTGGCCAGAAAAACACCTTTATTTAAAAGGAGTGTTTTCACATTTTTAGCTTAATTCCTAGAACATATAAGTAAATTTTAAAATGTTCCGTATGAACAATATTAATGTTAGTAATGTAACATAATAATTTTAATTCGCATAGGGCCCAAACAGTTAAAATGTAATTAGTATTAGAAATAATATTAGAAATTGTTTTATTTGCAGCAAACATCTGTTTATCTTGAATCCAACCCACTGGAAAACTAAGATAAACATAATTATTCCATGCTGCACAATTGAAGGGTAATTACTGTTCATAATGAGGACTCTAAGGCATTGCAAGACCCCAAAATGCCTTCTAAGCCACCAAAGAAAGATTGCATTCCATTTAGCATAGCTTCCTTGTTAAGACTGTTTTATTGTGCTGAATTCTCTGGAAATTGGCTAACCTACATTTGGCAGGTATAGTTAGTTTCAGTATGCTAAAATTGTCTATTAATCAGGATGCTTTATTTCCCGATGCTTTTGAGTTAACTATATAGTTATCAGAATTGTTCAGAAAATCGGGGGGTATAAAACGCCTCTAGGCTTCCTTGCTCTGAGCTTACCCTTTCGATGTGGGGGCTGGGAGTTACAGAACAGAATTCATGAGACTGGTAAGAAGAGAAAGAAATCCTGCAAGGCTGGGAGCGATGGAGCACGCCTATAATCCCAGCAGGGAGGGAAGTGGAGGCGGGCAGATCATTGAGCCCAGGAGTTCGAGACCAGCCTGGGCAATGTGGCAAAACTCCATCTCTACTAAAAACACACACAAAAAAAGAAATCAGCTGGACCCGGTGGCGCGCACCTGTAGTCCCAGCTACTCGGGAAGCTGAGGTGGGAGGATCACTTGAGCACATGATGCAGAGGTTGCAGTGAGCCGAAATCGCACCACTGCACTCCAGCCTGGGCGACAGAGTGGGACCCTGTCTCAAAAAAAAGAAAAGAAATCTGGCAGACTGCCCAAGAGTACCTGAGAATGGCCCAGTCTACAGATAAGTCAGCTTAGGTCTTTCCATGAGCGAAGAATATGAAGGGAAACCAGCACCCCCGCTGCTGAAGACAGGTTGGAAGTCAGAAGAATGTTGGCAAGCCCTAAGTGCAGCGGCAGTCCTGCTGTGGGAACTGCAGGATGCTCTCTGCAGAGGACAATGGCAGCAGGAACTATTCTTCAGGGCTCCCTGGTGGAAATGCAAGGCACCCTCACCCTGAGAAATGAAAAACAGGACCACAGAGGTTTCAGGTTTCAGGTCAGCACCCTGTGCAAGGATCACTCACGTTGCCCTTCTTAAGAGTTGCTTTGGGTTTCCTGAAATTACATGGTTGCTACTTGGGAGGTGATTCGGAGGAAAGAGTTGAGCTGACCAACACACAGAGAAGTTGCCAGCAGGTGGGTGTTCACCTCTGTCTGGAGTCCAAGAGCCACAAGGGAAAAAGGCAAGGTAGTCAGCATTGCAACTGGCTTGTGCATTTCTAGATCTACCCATGGGCAGACCATGACTGAGCTGTTAGGCCAGTACTTATCCTGGGAGATAACTGTTGAACTAAGAAATCTGAGGCTAAATATATCCACTTGTGCTGTGCCGTCCACTATAGGAGCCACTAGCCACATGTGGCTATTCAAATTTAAATTAATTAAAATAAAAACTCAGTTCCTCAGTTACTCCAGCAACATTTCAAGTGCTCCATAGCCACATGTGGCTAGTGGCTACATATCAGACAGTGCAAATATGGAACATTTCCATCATTGCAGGAAGCTTTATTGAACTTATATTGAAGTCAACATTGATATACGATACAGTGGAATACCAGAGCCTCATGAATTTTAAGATAAGAGACAAAACTCAAAGAACTTTGTGCTTATACCTGGCTGCTTTGAGCCAAGTGTACCTCAAAGTGTACCAGTTTATCCTCCTCTTGCTGGGAGTGCCTCAGCAGGAAAGTTCAAGAAGCATTACA
The DNA here is from genome assembly GCF_000001405.40 of Homo sapiens. Taxonomy (NCBI): domain Eukaryota; kingdom Metazoa; phylum Chordata; class Mammalia; order Primates; family Hominidae; genus Homo; species Homo sapiens. The sequence goes on from NC_000008.11 coordinate 79,738,561, forward strand.
CTTATGGGGCAGCACCCAGACCATGGTAGCAGGCATCTCCCTTATACACTGCTTATCACTTTCATGAACCAGAGAAGTAAGATTTTGAGATAAAGACTATTCTCGTGGGTTCCTTCTTTTTTATATAATTTTATTTTTTGTTTTTTATTTTTATGGGTACATTTTAGGTGTATATATTTGTGGGGCATATGAGATATTCTGACACAGGCATACAATGCATAATGATCACATCAGGATAAATATGGTATCCATCACCTCAAATATTTATTATTTGTTTGTGTTATAAACATTCCAGTTATACTTTTAGTTATTTTTAAATGTACAATAAGTTATTGTTGACCATAGTCACCCTGTGGTGCTATCAAATACTAGATTTTATTCATTCTGTCCAACTATATTTTTATATCCATTAGCCATTTCTACCATCCCCACCCCTTTCCACCCTTCCCTGCCTCTGGTAACCTTCCTTCTAACTCTCTGTCTCAATGAGTTCAATTGTTTTCATGCTTAGGTCCCACAAATGAGTGAGAACATGCAAAGTTTGTCTTTCTGTGCCTGTTATTTCACTAACATAATGTCCTCCAGTTCCATCCATGTTGTTACAAATGACAGGATCTCATTCTTTTTCATGGCTGAATAGCGCTCCATTGTCTATATGTACCACATTTTCTTTATCCATTCGTCTGTTGATGGACACTTAGGTTGTTTCCTAATCTTGGCTATTGTGAACAGTGCTGCAACAAACATGGGAGTGCGGAATACCTCAACATAGGGATTTCATTTCCTTTGGATAAATATCCAGGAGTGGAATTGCTGGTTGGGCTCCTTCTGTTTCTAAGCAGCTTCTTGCCCACAGGTAATACTTAACTACTCTCAGAAGGAGAAGAGTAAATGAAATTTTTTTTCTACCCCAGGTCTTCAAGACCCATTTGTCTCAAATCCCCCCATTCTTTGGCTGGGCCAAACCAAAAGGCCTCTAGAGAATCATAGGCAGCCTTACCCAGTTTCCCCCAGCTTGAAGCTATGTCAGCTCTGCTCAGAAAGGGGCAAATGTTTGTGACTCAAAGGGCTCTTTCCAGAGTAATTTTAGCATTTATTAGTCATTGTGTGCTCTAGAATACAAGAGTGTCTCTAAGGACCTCCTGCTTCCTGCGGCCGCTGCTTTAACCTCCACCCCACCTTGGTGAGGTTCATGCCGCTTGAGAAGAATGCTCTCTAGCCCAACAATTGACTCTATCTCAAGCACAATAAGTTGATCTTTTAAAAAAAATAGGGCTGAAAGTCAAACCTTGTACAATAATTCAGACATTTTATAGTGTTGTTCTGATTACATACAATTCCCACAAGAAGGGAAGTACCTTTAAAATAAGGACTATTCAATACTAGTACAGGATTTCCTCTTGTTGTTGATAATTTCCTCCCAACAGAAGACACAACGCAGTCCAAAGCAAATTCAAAGGAGTTATCCAGAGACAACGCGGCATCTACGTTCTGCAGGGAACATTGTTCAATCTAATTGATGTTTTCCTTGCAAAGCAATAGAGTGAGTAGGACTATTTTTATCCAGAACAGAATAGGTTCCCCCTAAACTTTTGATTCCCCCACCCCCAATGGTCAGAATCACAGCTTGTGCCTTTCCAAAGTCAATGTTTCCGTGAAATAAGTCATAAACAATAGGACAACTTAAATGCCAAACTATGTTCTCACTCAGCAGGCAAACCTTCACCAGCTATCACGTTTTGAATTGTGGAAATTCTGGAGCAACATTACATTTTCAATAGATTCTATCTTATCAGCAGGGATGGTACATAGAAAAGAATTCTCAGCCTTCATGAAGTTAAAATTAGTTCCTCTTTGCTAGAACAGTGATGCAATATTCACTAATCAGTATAAGTTACCTGTACAGGCTGATGACTTTTAGTTATATATGACTGAGTTCTCCAAGCAGACAATAAACCTTGACTCTTATATATACAACGGCAGTTAATCAGTAAGCACGTTTTGGCAGAACATTTTTTCAATTTCCTCCTTTCAGTCAGAGAGGCACAATTCAACCTTCACAATTTGGCCTGCCTTTCTAGAAATAAACTAAGGTTACCCTTGGTCCAATTGCTTAAACATACCCAATGAAGAAGGTGGTTTCTACTTCAGATTGAATTGGGCAAAAGCTATGATTATGGAAAATAAAAATGCCTAGAAGGGAGAAATTGTAAAAAATTCATAATAGGAAACATCTAAGAGCTCAGCTATCACATGGATTTTTTAGAATGTTAACATGAGAACTCCTTAAAGTGGAAGGATAGCCCAGAGCTTCCACCAGTCAGCATATGCCAGAGCTCAGTTATAGGCATTCAATAAATGTTTTTGAACGAGTAGATGTGTGATCACATTAGCTTTTATAGTAATATTAAATATTTTCCAGGTCATACCAGCAGTCTGGTGGTGAAAATAAATTCGCAATAAGCGGAACAAAACACTATTTCTTTGGCTTCATTTGTTCCCACTACCATGTAAACAGCAGTTAAGAAGGTGGGCTCAAGATTGAGACATACAGGTTAGAATTCCAGCCCCAGTACTTACTAGGTGTGTGCTAGTTCTAGGCAACTTACTTGCCTTCTCTGGTTTCCTCATCTGTAGACCAGCTACAATAACAGAACCTACCTCATTGTTCAGGGAAGGTTAAAGGAGATGAGGGATACAGCGAGCTAACTTAATGCCTGGCCCATGGCAATCATACACTGTTATGAATGATTACATTATGATATGGTATAGATTATTCAACTATCATCATCACGATGTTGTTGTGCCAGTTGTGGTAGTTACTCTCAAGCCCGATTTTTCTGGGTCAGTTTCTTTTAGTGTCCCAGGGACAGCTCACATGTTCCTCTAGCCTCAAGATGATGTTTTTCTCCTCTCCTGCTCAGCAGCTGCTACCAAGCTGCTTGTGTCACCTCAAAGCTGCAGAGACCACAGGGGTGTCTTGTCCTCCCTGAATCCTTTCCAGATCCTCTGTGCTCAGAAGACTCCATTCTCGGGGTCTAGGCTGTTCCAATCTCCACCCAGCTTTGAGAGTGACCTGTGGAGAAAATACCTTTCCTCTCAGATCACATTAGGTTGTGGTTCAGCCTGGGGTTCGCAGCACCATATGGTCCTAGTAAAATGCCTTTTAAATTTTCTGGGCCTTCTTTGTTGAAGGCCCTGGCATGCGTCCTTGGGGACTGAGCTGGAAGAGAATCTAAACAACAGACACTGGTTGTATTCTAAACAACGCCTCGTTTTCCAAGGCTGCTTGTCCTTGTTTTTCTCAGTTCCCTCTCCTCTTGAGTACTTTCCGGAAGGTGCCTGAGTCCTTTCCATAAATCGGCTACTTCCCCTGCCTGCATGCTTGGGCAGAGCCAGCTGGGGTTATCTGACTGAGGGCTCTTGTCCCCACCCGACCCTGCAGCAGAAATGAAGAGCGATTCCTCAAGCCGGAAATTTTGGGTTAAAATATTATTAAAATACTATGTGATAAAATGCCAGAGAGCTAGCCCAGATCCCTGCACAAGAATTAGAGGGTTTTAGCAGGTGAAAGATCCAAGCCTCCAACATTACTACCTTTATCCAAGGGGACCTCTCACCCAAATTCACCCGAGTTCCCCAAGTAACATTTCTTCAATCTTCTCATTCCCCAACTTTTTGTCCCAGGGTAGCTTGTCAGATGGGACTTCCAGCCTTGGATACACACTGTTCATATGTCATTATAATTCCTGCACCTTAAGAACTGAAGGGATTTATTTTTCAGTAAGAAAAAGCTTTTTGTGGAAGTTTGAACAAAGCCCACTCAGGATAGATCCAGGTTTTCTAGCCCTTGAAATTGATACAATTTGGGGGTCCACATAAAGTGCAGAAAAATAATTTTTTTCTTGTTTTTTTTTTTTTTTTGAGCCTCGCTCTGTCACCAGGCTGGAGTGCAGTGGCTCAATCTCGGCTCACTGCAATCTCCACCTCCCAGGTTCAAGTGATTCCTCTGCCTCAGCCTCCCAAGTAGCTGGAACTACAGGCGCCAGCCACCACGCCCGGCTAATTTTTTGTATTTTAGTAGAGACGGGGTTTCACCATGTTGGCCAGGATGGCCAGGATGGTGTCCATCTCCTGACCTCGTGATCCACCTGCCTCAGCCTCCCAAAGTGCTGGGATTAGAGGCATGAATCACCATTTTATTTTAAGTTCCGGGATACATGTGCAGGATGTGCAGGTTTGTTACATAGGTAAACATGTGCCGTGATGGTGTGTTTGCTGCACCTAACAACCCATCACCTATGTATTAAGCCCCATGTACATTAGCTATTTATCCTGATGCTTTCCTCCCCCAACCTGCCAAGAAAAAATAATTTATTTTTACAAATTGTACAAAAATATATGACCAGTGGGCACATTGCCAGAGCCCTCCCAGGCTTCAGAAGGAGTCCGTGCAACTGGGGGGCCCTGGAGCCCCACTGTACACCTGCTTCTGATTTTACCTGTGTTCCTGATGGCCACATTCCCCTGATGCATTACATACTTGCAGCAAGCACCGTGTAAATACAAACAGAAATGACTCAGAACTTCAGTTGATCGTTTTAAAGCTGCAGATAGCCTGTAAGTAGCAGGGAAATGCGCCACTTAAGCTTCATTAACCCTGATGACAGTATGGGAGGCTGACCACAAACACACAAAAAGGTAAAATGTCGTGTCCTTTAAACTTGGTTTAGCCCAATGTTCTTAATTGTCTGGTAGTCTGGGGCTTTTCTTTGTGTTTGTTAGTTTTAAATTTAGTTTCTTTGCTGTTACATATGGTGAGAAACGGCCTTTTTTATCTTGTTGCGTTGAGCATTTTTGGAGGTTCCCCTCAGCCTGGAGGGGAGGAGTTGAGTATTGTTTTGTTTTGTTTTGTTTTGTTTTGTTCCTAAACTCTACAAATAATAGAAGAAATAATATTGTTTGTATTGGGTGCACCTGCTTCCCTAAACCAGAGCGAGGTGTTTTGTGTGTTTTTTTTTCTCTCCTCCCCCACTCTCCTTTTATCTTGGCTGCATGAGCTTTGTTGTTTGGTGGGAATTTAAGTGGCTCCTGCTTTCTTAGGGAACTTCCTATCCCAGGGAATTCAGAAATTCTCCCCAGGGGCCCCCAGAAACTGTATTGTATTATTGCCTCCACTCCACCCCCTTTCCACATAAGCCGCATAAACATGCACCCAAACACACGAGACGTTTTTAAAGGAGCAAAAGAAACGTAATCCTGCAAAGGTTTCCTGGGAATATGTGCATTTATGAGTGTGCATTTGTGATTGGAGGTGCTTTGACACTCATGTGTGCATGTTACTTCAGGAGAAATGGAAGTCTGTGTGGTTTTCTGTACGCATTTTCTTTAGTCTTGAATACAACAAAAGTAAATGCTATAATTTCTTTTCTTGCTCCTTTTGCTCTTCTCCAACTTACAAGACAGCCCCAGGTGATTGGCTCCTTGACCCTCCTTCTTTGACCCACACCCATCTTTCCCCAGAGTGAGGCCCTAGACCCTGGTTTGGGGGTCACTGGACAGAACCTACCATAAAGCCCACCCCAGAGACTGTGCTGGGTGCACAATGCAGGGAGAAAGGCCGTCAGCCTGTCTAGCCCCATTTTGTGAGTCTGGGTATAGCCAGATTCATGCCCTGCTTCATCTTTGTGACCCCAGCTTGTGGCAAAGAGCCTCACACATAGGACACACTCAGCAAATATTTATAGCAGGAATGTTGAATGATGTGACTTTGAGCAAGTCACTTTGCGGCCCTGGCTCTGATTTTCTTCCCAATAAATGAAACAGTTGATCTCTTGAATTCTTTCTAACACTACAATGATTGCTTTGTCCAAAATGGATTTTCATTTATCTCTTTATGTCGGTTAGCAGTGGAAACAAGTAACAAGAAAAAAATAAAGCCAGGCACAGTGGTTCACGCCTGTAATCCCAGCACTTTGGGAGGCAGAGACAGAAGGATCTCTTGAGTCCAGAAGTTTAAGACCAGCCTGGACAACATAGGGAGATCCTATCTCTAAAACAAAAAGAAAAGGAGAAGTAAAAGGAGAAGGGGGATGGGGAGGAGGAGGAGGAGGAAAAGGAAAGGAGAAGGAAAAGGAGAAGAAGAAGAAGAAGGAGAAGGAGAAGAAGAGGAGGAGGAGGAGGAGAATAGTATCTTAAGATGAAATTCCCTCTCATGTAAAAGAAGTCCAAAGGCAGGCTATTTTCGGGGCTCCAAGGTGTCATCAGGGACACGGGAGGCCACCTTTCAGCAATGCCATCCTCACTCCATGATAGATGCAATCTACCATGCCAGCCGCAGTGTTCTCCTAGATTAGCAGAGAGAGAAAGCCTGGGAAGACAAGTGGGTCCCCTTTGCAGCTGAGCCCAATTAAGTGCTGTCCTAGAAGTCCTACTTAATATGTTGCTTATATCTCATTGACCAGAATTTAGTCACTTGGCCAGACCTACCTGCAGGAAAGTATACATATTCTTTTAACTGGGCATATTGCCCCCAAGTAAAAGCCAGGGTCCTTTTACTAAGGAAGAAAAGGAGAATGGATATTGGTGTCAAATAGCAATCTTGCCACCCTTGTTCATCATTGTTTGGCCTGGTTTGCAATTTGAGGCAATTGTTCTAGCACTTTCCCCTCCTTTGCAATCTTAAATAAAGGTTTCTCAGATCCTGATGGCATTTACACTAGTCCCTGGAAAAATGAGAGAAGAAGAAATAAAAAGATAATGCAGTGTATTTAAAATGCTAACCTTATAATTTAATTTAATTGGCTCAAAGAACTGCTCTTTTTAATAATTATATCATTTTCTCTCTCATGAAAATTTACTTTTTTGTAAAATGATGTTCATGGCAGATTGCAGTTTATTAATATTCTTACTTTGAAAAATAAGGCTGTAAACTCTACATCAATAGAATCACCTGAAAAAACAAAAAACAAACAAAAAAAAAACCCAAAAACCTAGTCCTTTCATTCGAAAGTCTAGGAACATCGCCTTGGATCATTTCCTTAATTCTCTTTCAGCCTGCATCTCCTGAGAAAGGAGGGTTGAGGAGGGGAGGTTTTAAAATCTTTTGGCAGGTGTGTCTATGCCCTATCAATAATAACAGAGAAATACAAAACAGAGTTGTGGTTAATTTAGGAAGAAAATATATCTTCTTAGCTCTTGATATCAAGGGAACAACTTAAAAGAGTGATGTCTTCAAGATACCAGAAATGAGGGTCAGATTCCTGAACTCTGCCTGCCTAAGTTCAAATACTGCCCCAGAATGTACCAGCTGAGGGATCTTGAACAAGTGACTTAACGTCTTTAAGCCTAATGTTTAAAATCTATAAAATGGGACTAATAATAGAATCTCTCTTAAAAGATTAGTGGATTAAATTAGAAAAAAATATAAAGAGCTTTTCTATATATATATATATAGAAAATATATATAAAGAGTCATGGTGCCTGACACCTAGGATCTAGTCAGTAATATCACCAATTGTAAGATTTGATTCAGCTAGAATAACTAAAAAGCCAAAATGATTCAATGGCTTAAACACATAAATGTTTCTTTTTCTCTTGTGCAATAAAACTCCAGAGGCGATCAGTCCAGGGCAGTGCTGGGGACATCAGACATCCAGATATTTCTCTCTTGGCTCCACCATCCTTAGCTCATTGCCTCATGATCCAGCATAGTTCTGGAGCTTCAGCCAACACACCCATATGCAAGAAGCAGAAAGGGCATTAAAGTGCCCCTCTGCCTCCGCTTTCAAAAAGCACTTCTGATGACAGCTAACCAGGTAGAATTTAGTTCCATAATCATACCTAAAATGAAGCAGAGGCTTCAAAGACAGGGTGCATTGCTGCCCTGTATAAAATATTGAGATTCTCTCACTTAAAAAGGAGAGAATGAGTATTATAGTAGGCATACAATGATCTTTGCTACAGATGTCAGTGTTGTTGATATTGTTATTATTACAGAACATGGGACTCTAGAAAAGGGGAGCGGATCAGAGCCAAAGAGTCTGAAGGTCACCAATGTAGCAGGTGACAATTAAAATTACATAAGCAATAAGTCCTAGTGATATATTATGCAACATGATGCCTATGGTTAACAAAAATTTGCTAAGAGGGTAGAATTTATATTAGGTGTTCTTGTCATAAAATAATAAAATATAGAGGGCAGGAGAAAACATTTGGAGGTAATAGCTATGTTTATGGCAAGGAAGGGAAGAAAAAAGAGAAGAAAAAGAAGAAATGAAAAGAGTACAAAATATTTATCAGTAAATAGATTTCATCGACTTTGGAGGTCTTACAAATCCCAAGTCCTCAGAAAATTAATTTTTCAGTCTAGTGATAAAACAAAGCGTACACACTGGAAGTGGTTGATTAGCCAAGTCACACATCCCTGTTTCCAGCTAAGTGACTGTATTAGTCTGTTCTCACATTGCTAATGAAGACATACCTGAGACTGGATAATTATAAAGGAAAGAAGTTTAATTGACTCACAGTTCCACATGGCTAGAGAGGTCTCACAATCATGGTGGAAGGCAAGGGGTAACAAGTTACATCCTACATGGTGGCAGGGAAGAGAGAATTTGTGCAGGGGAGCTCCTCTTTATAAAATCATCAGATCTCGTGAGACTTATTCACTACCACAAGGACAGCATGGGTTATACCCGCCCCCATGATTCAATTACCTCCCACAGGGTCCCTCCCATGACACGTGGGAATTGTGGGAGGTACAATTCAAGATGAAATTTGGGTGGGGACACAGCCAAACCGTATCGGTGACCAAGAGAATGATCCAGAACATAAGGGAGACAGGAGCACAAAACAGAGAGAAGTCACTGGCCTGGAGGAGACAAGAAAGGAGGTAAGGCTTCTAGGCTGGATTTTGCAGGACCCAGGGCAGTTGGGACTTTTTATTAGGCATTGGACTAATCCCATATGACTCTTTAGCCATTTTACTACTTAACCAAGCTCTCATTAGAATGGCCTTTCTCTCCAGCGAGGGCTCAGTTGCACACAGCCAGCTTCACCCCTGTGTTTCCTTCACAGCTATCGACCACCCTTGCCCAGGAAGATGTCTGGAAACCATGTGCCTAGAGATGGGCAAGAGGGCAGTGTCCCAGCTGGCTGAGTCGGTGACCAGATTTCATTGTCTTTGGAAAGGAGTCAAGCTCCAACTCCACAGAAAAATAACAGGGAGATCAACTCAGAGGAAATAACAGTGAAAATCAGTGAGGACCAGAGTTTATCTCCTACCCACTCTCTTTAATTGCTGGACAGAATCTGCTGCTTTTAATATAAGCTTCCCGGGGAAAGAAGGAAAGGGCCAAAGGCCCTGCTTGGCTGTACTCAGGATCAGCTTGAAAACCAACCTCATTTTCAGCAACCGGCTTCTCCCTGGTTGCATGAACATTTTGTTCGACACGACTCTCCTTCTTTCATTTTCCTAAAGCAGCAGTTGCCAACCTTGGCTGCACATTAAAAATCACCTGGGAGATCTTTTACAATACTAATGCCACTTTTAGAGCTTTATATTTAATGGGTCTGCTGTGTGAACTGGCCCTCGAGATTATCTAAATTTCCCTAGGTGACTCTAATACGCAGCCAGTTGAGAGCTACTGTCCTGAAGCATTGTTAACAGGACATTTTTGTATATTTAGGGTTGCAAAGGCATAATTATGGCAGAAGGTGAAAAACAACTTCAAAATCAATTTTAAATATTTGTGTCCTTAAAAAATCCCTCTGGGCATAGTGTCTCATGCCTATAATCCCAGCAGTTTGGGAGGCCAAGATGGGAGGATCACGTGAGCCCAGGAGTTCAAGACCAGCCTGGGCAACATAATGAGACCCCTGTCACTAAAAAAATTTAAAAATGATAATATAAATAAATAAATAAAAATCCCGTAGTCAGTCCTCTCCTTTGAGAAAGTCTTCCTAAAGAGAGATTAACAGCAGCTGCAGCTTAATTTTATCCCCATGGGACGCTCTCCTCCCCTCAAGGTCATTTTCCTCCCCTCTCTGTCCTCCTGCCCCCAACTCTAGCATTTCTGATATATAAAACTCTGTCATAATACAGTAAGTAGTGCCCCAAAAACTGCAGGAGCAAATCATTCTGAGGTCAATGAAATGACCCACATGAACCTCTGTAGTTGGCCAGCCAGGAACCTGAAAAACAGGCTGTGTCATCCAAAATACATTCCATCTGGTGGTAGTTTAACTGTCCAGCTAAAACATCAATAGGAACATTCTGGATGCTCTGGCCTGCTAGGAATTCCGGTACTACAGCAGGGATTCCGGGGTCTCTGGGTAGCTGGTAACCCTTCCTTCCACCAGCTCTGGAGAAAGTGGACAGGAGAGCACAGGGAAACCTCTGCCTCCCAACATCCCACAATGAGGAGCCTCCATTCCCTGATCTTTTGTCTGTGCTCCAGTTCCCTACTCCCCTACTTCCCTACCCACCACTTCACCCCCACCCCCTTGCAGAAGAGAGCTTTTGGTGAGCCTAAACAAAACTGAGGGGCAAGCCTGCATACCTCAGACACATTATCCCTATTCAACTTCACAAAAACTCCATGAAGAAGGCTCTGTTCGTATCCTATTTCTCAAAATACAAAAAACTTAAGTAACGTGCCCAGTGTTTTAGCTGGTAACCTGGAATTAAACCAAATTAATTCCAGACACTTCTTCATAATAAAAGGGTTTCAGGCTTATGGCCATCTAGATCAGGGACACTAAAGCTTTTGGATGGCATATTCCATAGGACAATTTGGAGGAACTACCTCTACATTGTAAAACTGACATCCACTTAATAGAAGAAGCATTTGACAAAATGTAATATTCGTTCATGATTAAAAAAAAACTCTCAACAAAAAAGTATAGAAGGAACTTAACACAATATAGACAATATATGAAAGGCCCACAGCTAACATCATAATCAATGAGGAAAAGCTGATAGATTTTCCACTAAGATGTGGTATAAGGATACCCACTCTTACCACTTTTGTTTTCTTTTTTTCCATTCACATGAATGTTCATAGCAGCTTTGGTGGTAATAGCCAAAAATTAGAAGCAATGCAAATGTCCATCAGTATGTGGCATATTAATACAATGGCATTACTCAGCAATAAAAAGGAGCAAACTACTTGTACACTCAAGTGAATGAATGAATCTCAAAACCAAAGAAGCTAGATGTTGTGTGTGTGTGTGTGTACACATCCATCAGATGATGATTCTATTTATATGAAATTCTAGAACAGACAAAACTTACCCTATCATGACAAAGTGAAAGCTGATGAGGCCAGTGGCTGCCTGGGGCTAAAGGTGGGAAAGTGTTGCTGCAAAAAGTCATGAGGAAACTGCTTGGGGGTGATGCAAACATTCTAGATCTGGACTGTGATGGCAGTTATTTGTCTGGGTAGAGGTATTTGTCAGAACTCATTGATATATATTTTTTAAATGGGCACATTATATTGTATGGAAATTATACCTCAATAAAATTTATTTGAAAGAAGAAACAACAAATAGATCTTATAAACAGTAAGATCAGCCCGGTGCCGTGGCTCACGCCTGTAATCCCAGCACTTTGGGAGGCCGAGGCGGGTGGATTGCCTGAGGTCAGGAGTTCGAGACCAGCCTGGCCCAACATGGTGAAACCCCATCTCTACTAAAAATACAAAAATTAGCCGGGCGTGGTAGCTGGCGCCTGTAAGCCCATCTACTCGGGAGGCTGAGGCAGGAGAATTGCTTGAACCTGGGCGGCAGGGGTTGTGGTGAGCCAAGATCACACCATTGCACTCCAGCCTGGGCAACAAGAGCTAAACTCCATCTCAAAATAAATAAATAAATAAGATATATTTTCCATGCTAAAGTAAACTAATGTGTTTATTTCTTTAAAAAATAATTTTTATCATATTATTCTACACTAGTCTTGGCTGAGATTTTTTTTAAATTAGTATTTTGCAATACATAGCATGGAGCTATGAGAAAAGTAGGATGTTCTCCTGAATGATATTAATTTATAGGCATTAAGGAGATCCTTTTTCTTACAATTCTTTTTATGTGGGGCATTGTTTTTTGTTTTTTGGTTTTAGACAGGGTCTCACTCAATCACCCAAGGTGGAGTGCAGTGGCTCAATCTCCTTCATTTCAGCCTCAGCCTCTTGGACTCAAGCGATCCTTCCATCTCAGCTTCCCAAGTAGGTGGGACTACAGGTGTGCACCACCACACCTAGCTAATTTTTGTATTTCTTGTAGAGACGGCGTTTTGCCACATTACCCAGGCTGGTCTCAAACTCCTAGACTCAAGTGATCCTCCCACCTTGGCCTCCCAAAGTGCTGGGATTACAGGCGTGAACAGGAGGATCACTTTAATGCCAGGAGTTCAAGGCTAGCCTGGGCAGCATAGTGAGACCCTAGTCTCTACAAAATAATAACAATAAGAATAGAACCTGCAACAAAGCTTAAGTCCTCAGACTTTATTGGGAAAGTCAATGCCAGAGTTGCAAAAGTGAAGGAAAAATAAATGTGTCCTTGAAGGAGAAAAGGTAGCACATTGCCCAGAAGGCCATAGTTTCAGAAGAAAGCATCACATATTGTTCACAGTCAATAAGGAGGTCTTCCAAGCAGGTCATAAGAAACTCTTGCTACTCAACACAGTGTGACGTAGAAGGAAAGGAATGGAGTTTATCTGCTGGTTCATTCCATTTTCCTGACTCTCATTACTCTAAGTATGTCTGTTAAGCATTAAACTCCCACATTTTGAGTTGTGTTATTAGGTGCTGGGAAAGCCCTGTCTCAGGTCTCATGGCACAATATTTTATGAGTCTAGACATGACAAGAAGAACTACAGCTACTGTGGGTCCCATCAAGTCAGGCTTGGGCCCCTGAGCTGCTGAAGTTCCTTTGGTACTTTCACCACTTCTATTCAACATAGTACTAAAAGACTGAGCTAGAGCAATTAGGCATGAAAAAGAAATTAAAAACATCCACATTGGAAAGGAATAAGTAAAATTATCTCTTTGCAGATGATGTGATCATATATGTAGAAAACTCTGAAGATTCAACTAAAAAACTGTTAGAACTAATAAATTCAGTGAAGTTGCAGGATACAAAATCAACATAAAAAAATCAGTGGTGTTTATATACACAAACAATGAGCTATCCAAAAAGGTAATTAAGAAAGCAATCCTGTTTACAATAGCAACCAAAACAAGTAAAAAGTAAAATGCTTATGAATAAACTTAACTAAAGAAGTGAAAGACTTGCACACGAAAATTAAAATCCATTGATGAGGAAATTAAAGAAGATACAGCTAAATGGAAAGGCATGTCATGTTCCCATGGATTAGAAGAATTAATTGTTGGCTAAGCGTGGTGGCACATGCCTGTAATCCCAGCACTTTGGGAGGCCGAGGCAGGCGAACAGCTCAAGTCCAGGAATTCAAGACCAACCTGGGCAACATGGAGACTCCCCATCTCTACGAAAAATACAAAAATTAGCCAGGCATGGTGACATGGATCTGCAGTCACAGCTACTCAGGAAGCTGAGGTGGGAGGATTGCTTGAGACCGGGAGGTCAAGGCTGCAGTGAGTCAAAATTGTGCCACTGCACTCCAGCCTATGTGACAGTGTGAGACCCCCTCTCCAAAGAAAAATGAAAAAAATAATATTGTTAAAATGTCCGTACTACCCAAAGTGATCTACAGGTTCAGTGTAATCTCTATCAAAATCCCAATGGCATTCTTTACAGAAAAAAAAATCCTAAAATTCATAAGGAACCACCAAAGATTACAAATAGCTAAAACAATCTTGAGCAAGAAGAACAAAGCTGGAGACATCAGATTTCCTGATTTCAAAATATATTACAAAGCTACAGTAGTTAAAACAGGATGGTACTAGCAAAAAAGAAGAAATAAGAAGAAGCAGCAGGAGGAGGAGGAAGAGGAAGAAGAAGAAGAAGAACAGGAGGAGGAGGAGGAAAAGGAGGAGGAAGAAGGAGAAGAAGAAGAACAATAACAAGAAGGAGGAGGAGGAGGAGAAGAAGAAGAAGACAGACATATAAACCAATGGAACAGAATATAGAGTCCAGAAATAAATCCATGCATCTCCAGTCAACTATTCTTCATAATGGCTGCCAAGAACACACGAAGGGGAAAGAATAGTCTCTTCAACAAATGATGGTGGGAAAACTGGATCTCCACATGCACAAGAATGAAATTGGGCTCTTACTTCACACCATCCACAGAAATAAACTCAAAATGGATTAAAAACTTAAATGTGAAACCTGAAATTATAAACTTCTAGAAAAAACATAGGGGAAAAGCTTCTTGACACTGGTGTGGATGATTTCTTTTAATATGACACCAAAGTGAAGGCAACGAAAGCAAAAATAGTCAAGTTGGATTGAATCAAACTAAAAAACCTTCTGCTCAGCAAATGAAACAATCAAAACAGTGAAGAAGGCACCTACTAAATGGGAGAAAGTATTTGCAAACTATACATCTGACAAGGGGTTAATACCCAAAATATATAAGGAACTCGAGCAACTCAGTAGCAAGAAAACAACCTGGTTTTAAAATGACCAAAGGTCTTGAAAAGACATTTCTCAAAAGAAGACATACAAATGGCTGACAGGTATATGGAAAAAAAAAATGTTCGTTTATCACCAATCATCAGGGAAATACAAATTAAAACTACAATGTGTTAACTCCTCACACCTGTTAAGATGGATATTACAAAATAAACAAAAAATAACAAATGTTGGTGAGGTTGTGAAGAAAAGAGAACCCTTGCACAATGTCGGTGGGGATGTAAATTAGTGCAGCCATTATGGAGAACAATATGGAGGTTCCTCAAAAAATTAAAAATAAAAACTACCATACCATCCAGCAATCCCACTACTGGGTATATATCCAAAGGAAAATCAGTATCTCAGAGAGATGTCTGCAATCCATGTTCATTGCAACATTACTCACAATAGCCAAGATATGGAATCAACCTAAGTGTTCATCAATGGATGAATGGATTAAATATATATATATGAATATTACTCAGCCTTTTAAAAAAAAGAAAATTTTGTCATTTGCAACAACATGAATGAATCTGCAGGACATCATGCTAAGTGAAACACACCAGACACAGAGAGACAAACACTGCATGATCTCACTTATATGTGGAATCTAAAATAGCCTAACTCATAGAAACAGAGCAGGATAGTGGTTTTCAGGGGTTGAGGCAGTGGGGGAAATGGGGAGATGTTGGTCAATGGGTACAAAGTTTCAGTTTTGCAGGATGAATAAGTTTTGGAGATCTAATGTACAGCATCATGACTATAGTTAATAATACTCCATTACATGTTTAAAATTCACTAAGAGGGTAGATTTTAAGTGTTCTCAACACACACACACACACACACACACACACACACAAAGGTAACTATGTGAGGTGATGGACATGTTTATTAGTTTGATTGTGATAATCATTTCATAATGTATATACATACATTGAAAACATCAAGTTATATACCTTAAATATATACAGTTTGTGTTTGTCAATTATACCCTGATAAAGCTAAAAATACAACAAAATAAAATTGACATTTAAAATATTTTCTAAAGTTTAAATGGTGGCCAAAAAATGCACTTTTTAGGGTTTAATGTTGACATCTAATAAAATGTTAAAGGCATCCAATGAAAGCTAAATATCATAATGATTTGATAACAGCCATTATTCTTCTTGAAAATACAAACACAAGTTCCTCTTGGATAGTGGGAAATTTACATCATTTTTTTGTCTTTGAATTCCTATTGCCATTTCATGTTCCTACTGAGTTTTATCCTAGTAACACATTTTTATGCTTGAAAGTATTTTCTTGATCTCAAATTATAGTTCTCTCTGATACAGATTTGCATATAAATTCAATTATTTTAGTTTTTATTTATTAAGACCATAAGGTTCTAAGTGATGGCTGGAAGGAAGGAAAGGAAGGAAGGAAGGAAGGAAAGTAGGTTCTGGATTGAGTTATTATTACAATTATTACTATACAATTAATAAAATATTTTGATAACTATTATTAAGAGTAAAATGTTATTGAATGTGCATATCTTCTTACTAAAATGAATAGGCTCCCTCTCAAGTAGTTCATGTATAAATAAATTAATATTGCCAATAATCATATTTAGATGATCCATAATCAAAATTATTAGTAATGTTCTAGTAGCTGACAATTTAAGATGATCTTCATTTTGACAAAGGCAAAGAATTGGAAAGTACCTAATTTTCAAAAATATTTGTTACATAGTCACTAGTCAGTTTCTTTCTCAATTTCTGGGAAATATGCTAAAAAAATTTTTTTACCAAGTCTTATTAAAGGAACTCTTAGTTATACCACTTTCTCTTCTGCCTAGAAGACCTAAAGAATGAGTGTTGAGATTAACTGAAAAGAATTGCTTCAGTTTACCTACATGAAAGGAGAAAAGAAGTCATTTAAGCATTCATGATTCTTTTTTTTTTTTATTTTAAGTTTAAGTTCTGGGGTACTTGTGCAGGATGTGCAGGTTTGTTACATAGGTAAACGTGTGCCATGGTGGTTTGCTGCACCTATCAACCCATCACCTAGGTATTAAGCCCTGCATGCATCATCTATTTTTCCTAATGCTCTTCCTCCCCCAGTGCCACACCCAACAGACCCCAGTGTGTGTTGTTCCCCTCTGGCATTCACATTTCTGACTGAGGCTGTGTTTGCTTTGTTCTTACTGACTCTAGAGAAAGATACAGTCTTGGACAACGTTTTGAAAATAGAAGAGGCAAGGTTATTAAATGATCATTGCTATCATTCCCACCATGCTTCTCTTCAAAATTTCTAAATTTAGAACATTTGAATACTTTGTTTTCTAATCCATGTTTCATCCATAACAAAAATATGTGTAAAACGGGCATAAACAGGAAGCCAATGGTGAGATTAAAGTTTCTCAATGATCATTAAGGAAGATTTTCCTGCAACCAAGTTTTAGAATTGTCCCTTTGTCTGGCATCCTATAAGTTTCTGAGTCTGCAGATTTGGGATGGGTGAAGGGTATGGCTTTTATAATTAAGGGGAAAGGCTGCCTGTGAGCATAGCAGTGGGGAGGCTGAACTGGCAAGTCAAGAACTGCATACATGTGGTAATTCAACATCTAGAGATTGATGCCTTTAAAACATCTGTATCCATGTATCCATCACCCTTGGAAAGCCTTGGTTAGAACCTCTAGTGAAGCCCATTCACAACATTCAGGGTGGACCAAACTCTGCTTCAATATCCTGTATCTCAGGGAACTCATCTTCTCCCCAAGAAGTTTGTTTCACTTTCAGCCTACTGTAATCATTAGAAAATATCACAGGAGACTCTTGCCAAGTGAAAAATCAATCAACTGATAAGTTAAATTTGAGTGTTAAGTTTTTTAAAGTGTGGACTTTTTATTTGCCAATAAATTCTAGCTTTGCTTCATAACTGTTGGAAGATTTTGGATGACTGTCATCATCTTGCATAATCTCAGTTTATTCATCTGTAAACAGAAATGATAACACTGACCTTTCAGAGTAACCATTCTTAAAGATTACAGATAATGTGTGAAAAGCCCCCAGCACAATGCGGGGCGTGATACAAACACTAAATGAAGAATTATTGTCATTTAACTAATTCCTGAGCCTTCTAACTGTCCCATCATGCAGCTCACATTTCTAGTACTGTTCCAGGAAATGGTAAAACACTTAGTCAAATGCCTCACAGCAGTGCAGATACACTATTCTGCAGTATCCTCCCATAGCCCAGCACAGTAAGCCTTTTCCAAAGGAATGGAAGTTCGTAAGGCATGGCTTATTCTTTGTGAACTCTTGTTAGCTGCTGGTTTTCATCACTTTTATTTATTATTTGTTTATTTATTTGTTTGTTTTTGAGATAGGGTTTTGCTCTGTCACCCAGGCTGGAGTACAGTGGCGTGGTCATAGCTCACTGCAGCCTTGAACCCTTGGGCTCAAGGGATCCTCCTGTTTCAGCCTCTCCAGTAACTGGGACTACGGGTGCATGCCACCATGTCCAGCTACTGTTTTTTGTTTTGTTTTGTTTTGGTGGGGGGGTGGTAGAGACAGGGTCTCACCATGTTGCCCAGGCTAATCTGAAACTCCTGAGCTCAAGCGATCCTGCCACTTTGGTCTCCCAAAGTGTAGGGATTACAGGCGTGAGCCACCATGCCTGGGCATCACTTTTTTTTTTAATACATGCTCCAGGTGACCATGTTAATAATTCCTCTTAAAACGTTGCCCTGTATTAACATAAACTCATTGGTTAATAGCATAAAAAATCCACCTTCTCTTTCAAAAATTCATTCGTCCATTATCTCTTCCATGTTTCACTATTCCCCAAAATTATCAAGGCGGATATGACAATCCTCTGCACAAGCTTCTTCCATTTGCTTGGGTGTCATTTCTTGGACTAAACATGCACTTCTCCACTGAGTGAGGAATAAGAAATAGTGGGTCTTTTGAGGGTTGTTTTATTTTTACAATAACTGCTTTCAACCATATTCTGACAAATATCCCTTTGCTTTCTCTTAATCATGTCTTGGGCAGACCAAAGAATTTCCTTGTCATTTTCCATAAACAAAAATTCAGTCTATTTCAACATGTCAATCTCCTTTCTCATTTAAAACTTTCCCCATCCTGTCATCAGCTAAAATGTGGGAGGAGGACTTGGGGGTCAGGGAGAGCGGGAAGGGATATTGTCTACCCTTCAGCTCTTCTTCCTCCTCCAGCACCTCGGAGGGTCTGGGTGGGGATTCATGTTCTAGGCCAGTTCTGAGTCTAGTATTCCTCCATGCCTTCCCTTCCCAACGTTAACTACGCTAGCATTGAGGACGGGAGAAGAGAAAAGAGGGAGGGAAACATCTTCCCACATAAGTTGGGGGAGGCTGCCAGGAACCTGCGTTCTCACTTTGGCTCTGTTTTCCATCTGCTGCCGGAGGCTTCTGCTGATGTGATGCTTTCCAAGTGGGTGATGTGCGTGGTATTTTAGGGGAGATGTTCAGTTTCATCCTAATCCCCTGCGTTTCCAAGAACCACACCCTGCGAAGAGAAGGAGGCAGCTGTTTCCCTTCAGCTCTGACAGCAGCTCAAGCTTCAAACCCACTTTCTATAAATCCTGGAATCTCATGCAGCCACTGCAATCCCTCATAAACTTTCAACTCACCTACTCCCTACAGGGAGGGGAGAAGCTAGGCCACTCCTCATCATGTCCATGATCTCCTTTCTCATCCCTTTCCCCATCTTCTTAGGTGAGCTGGGATGAGGTTCAGCTATGGGGGCTACTGCTGAACATGGAAAGGATAGTTTAGGCTCCTATTAAAAAATCCTGTCAGAAATATTGGGTCCCAAGTTGATTTGCGTTCCTTAGAATATGAGGTACTTACCACTTCTGTGCACTCAGCTTATTACCGGACAACAGAAAAAGCTGTACTCAAAATCCTGTTACAAACCCATGGCTGCTTAATGGCCAGAACCATGGTGAGAATTGCAGGCCCCTTCCCATCTCAACCCCACGGGTCTCTGCCCTGTGCGAGGATGTGGGTCTCCACCTGAGAACCTCTGGCCTCTGTTTTCATAAGACCGTGTCTTTATATATGGAAACGAATAATTTCCTAGTCGCCCTTCAGCCTCCAACTTATCACAGACTATATCTTAGTTTCTTTAACTTCTTCAGGTTTAGTCTAAACGCTTCATCTGTGTTGCTGTCCTATAAACCCTAAGTGGTATGTACTCTGTTCTCATAATAGAACTTCTGTTCTTCTCTCCATTTTTATAAATACACTTGGCTGGGCGCAATGGCTCATGCCTGTAATCCCAGCACCTTGAGAGGCTGAGGTGGGTGGATCATCTGAGGTCAGGAGTTCAAGACCAGCCTGGCCAACATGACGTAACCCTGTCTCTACTAAAAATACAAAAATTAGCTGAGCGTGGTGGCATATGCCTGTAATCCCAGCTACTCAGGAGGCTGGAGTGGGAGAATTGCTTGAACCTGGGAGGTGGAAGTTGCAGTGAGCTGAGATCGTGCCATTGCACTCCAGCCTGGGCAACAGAGCAACTGTCTCAAAAAATAAAATAAAATAAATAAAAATACAGTTGCTGTGCTCCCCCATCCCCATCCCAAAGGTTGTACTAAAATGGGGGAAGATCAAAAACACTGAGACACCCTAATTGGAGAGAAGGTGGAAGTGAAGATAAATTGAAAGCCTATGTCTTCAGAGGAGAGTGGGGGCTTTTGTGGGGAATATAAGAAAGGTGGTTGGATGCAGTGGCTCATGCCTGTAATTCTAGCACTTTGGGAGGCTGAGGTGGGTGGATTGCCTGAGCTCAGGGGTTCGAGACCACTCTGGGCAACACAGTGAAACATCGTCTCTACTAAAAATACAAAAATTAGCCGGGCGTGGTGGCAGGTGCCTGTAGTCCCAGCTACTCAGAAGGCTGAGGCAGGAGAATTGTTTGAACCTGGGAGGTGGAGAGCGAGACTCCACCTCCAAAAAAAAAAAAAGAAAAGAAAGGTGACCAATATCCCTACATTCCCACTAGGCACACAGAAGTGGGAATAAATAAGGAAATAAATAAATAAGGAAATAGACTTGAAGAATGATGTTTGAGTTTGGTTTTTTTTTAAAGCAGAATTTTGGCTGGACGCAGTGGCTCACACCTGTAATCCCAAAACTTTAGGAAGCCAAGGTGGGAGGATCGCTTGAGTCCAGAAGTTTGCATACCAAGACCCTGTCTCTCTATAAAAATAAAAATAAATAAAATAAATAAAAGCAGAATTTTATAATAGTGAAGAGGAAGTACTGAAGTGAAACATAAAATTATCTTCCCTGGGAGTAGTGAAGGTGGGGGCTGGAGGATAAAGACCTGCCTGTCTGGCTCTCTTTTGCTCTGCTTTTTTTTTTTTTTTTTTTTTTTTTTTTGACAGTTTTGCTCAGGCTGGAGTTCAATGGCGCAATCTCGGCTCACCACAACCTCCACCTGCTGGGCTCAAGCAATTCTCCAGTCAACCTCCCAAGTAGCTGTGATTATAGGCATGTGCTACCACACCTGGCTATTTTTGTTTGTTTGTTTGTTTGGTTTTTTGTTTTTTTTTAGTAGAGATGGGTTTCTCCATGTTGGTCAGGCTGGTCTCAAACTCCAGGCCTCAGGTGATCCGCCCGCATCTGCCTCCCAAAGTGCTGGGATTACAGGCATGAGCCACCCTGCCCGGTTGCTCTGCTTCTTAGTGGAGACCAAGGGGGTGGATAGGATTCATTCACTCATTCAACAAATACTTACTGAGAGCCTCTAATGTGCTAGGCAATTTTAAGTGACAGAACTGTAGAAGTGAACAAACCAGGCAAAAACAGATAATAAACAGTCAATGAAGTATCTATTCTGTCAGATAATTCTGGGTACGGTGGAGATAAACAAAAGAAGAAAGGGAGGTAGGGAGAGGCAGATGTGGGGATGAGAGACTGAGAGTGGGATGATTGTTTTAAATAGAGTTGCAAGGAAAGACCTGGTGGGGAAGGTGACCTTTGAGCAGAGCCGCAAGTAGAGATTACAGATAGGTCAGCAGACCGTTGGGGGAAAAGCATTCCAGGCAGAGGGAACGGCCAACACAAAGGCCTGGAGATGCAAACATGTAGAGCACGTTCCCACAAGAGCAGACAGCAAGTGTGGCTGGAGCAGTGAGGAGGGGCGAGTGGTAGGAAATGAGGTCAAAGAGGATGATCAAAGCCTCAGATATGTCATTCTTTAATTTTATGATTCAGTGCTGCATTTATGGAACACCCCTAAGCACCAGAAACAAAACCATGCCCAGGGGAGGCATTTAAAAAAAAAAAATACTAAAAGTAGCTACAGAAACTGTTTGGGTATCAACTCTATCAGAGGTAAACGGCAGTCTCTTTCTGGCTAAAATATAACGTTTTCAAGTCTCTTCTGCTACATCAAGCCATAGATAACCTACCAACCATCTATGATTAAGAGTTTTCAAATTTAGGCATGGTCTTTTAACTTGACTGTAACAAAAAATACCAACATAGGAGTAAATTCAATGGGAAATTTTACAACCAAACTATAAAGAAGCCTAATGTGGCAGTGGATTAACGCAAAATCCAGATACCTGTCTGTGTTCCTCAGACTCATCTCTTAGGGACATTTGTTTACCTTGAATTTTGCTGGGATTTACAGGCTTGGGGGAACAGTTCTGTGACAAGTGCCTATCAATACCTACAGACAGCTCAAAAAGAAAGGCCTGGATTTCTTTTTCCTTGGCTTTCTTCTCGCCTCTCCCCACCCCCCGCCCCAGAGCAGAACACTGAAGGATCTGAGAGAAAAACCCTGCAGCTCATCAAGATCAAGGCAGGCATTATATTTCAAGTTGAAGTTCAAAACAGCTTGCTTTTTGCTGAGACGTCTTACTTCCTGAAATCAGATGATGCCTTTTAGTACTTCAGCGTGCTGAGTCACAAGCGAGCTACACACTCGCTCTTTCATTTCAGGCTGCCAGGCTGAGAACTCGTCTTCCTCCATGGTAAAGGGAATGCAAGGACCCAGTTGAGAACACCTTTGGAAGAGGTTTCTGTGAAGCAGAAACCTCTCTCCTTGCTTTATTTTACCTTGAGGAAATTGGACAGCCCAGAAGTAATTTTTTAAAAAACTCTGCACGTAATCTTTACATAATATCACCTACAGCTGCCTAAAGACTGCAGTGTTGATTTTATTTTAGCTTATGTTTACCCATTTATTGTAGCGTATTCAAAGCACGGATGACAAAGATATTAGAAAATTCTAGCCCTCCAGAGAGCCATTCAGATTAGAGCCCTGGAAGCTGAGAAATAGTTGTTGCCCATGGCTCAGTCTTGCTGGAAGACAGGTTTTGGTGAATTAGTGACTAACCAATAAAAATTGGACAATTTCACATAAAAAATCCAAATTTGGAGATGCCTTTGGAAACTTGAAAGATCTGCTAACACTGGACTAAAATTTCTGCATAGGAACAATCGGCGACTCCTCAGCCAGACCCGGAGACAGAATGGGTGCTGGGAAAATATGACGTCCTCCCTGGGTCATCACTCACCTGATACCACTGCATTCCTCCCCAGTAGTGCCTGTCCCCGTCACATGCACCTGGAACCCTCACCCAGTCCAGCCACTTTGACAGATGAGGAAAGTGGGGTTCAGAGAATCATAATGACTTATCCAGTGTCACCCAATTAGGTAAAAGCAGGAGCCAAAAATCTTTCCAAGATGCTCTTATTCCCTGGGACTCCAGTTGTAAATGAAATTGGGCCACATTTGAAGCAGTGTTTCAGATGATATTAGCTCTGAAGTGATTTTAATTATAAATCATCACCAGAAACTAATGAAGGCATCAAAGCTGTGATACTGGTATAGATGGGAAAGGCTGGGGAAAAGTATAACTAGGAGATAAAACATTTCCTGAGGGATTTCAAATTTAAGTAATCTATATTTAAAATATCATGATTTTAGTGAGTCACAGAGTGGGGCAATGAAAACCTGGATAAAAATCACATCCTCATTTAACTAGACTGAATAAATTGGAAACAATTATTCCTTGGATTTTTAGAGGCTTTTTTAAATACAAGAATTCTGCCCATCTATCTACTTCATCATATTGATTCATGGTAATACATTAAATGAAAATAAATGAGTAATTATTGAAGCCCTTCAAGATTCTTTATAACCAATGATTTATTTTCCTTATAAGGTAAACTTATGCATTCTCTGAAAAAATTTTGTTTATACACTGGTAGATGTATTATAAATGTACATATAATACAAAAATATGCTGGCCCTGATAACCCTGGTGTTATTTTTTTCCTAATTGCATCAACAGAATAGAAATGGGAGTTTTCCTGAATTAATTTTTCTATACACTATTGGTACATAGTCATACTCCATCCTGCTTCCTAGGAAGCTCACACTCCACCTGCACCATCCTCAGATACTTTTCACCTTGAAAGGGCTTGAAAAGAAACCAGAATATTTCCATGGAAAAGTATGTAATCTGGAAATGAACTGCCACGCCTCCCGCTAACCAGATATAGCGATCACTGATGAGACAAGTGGAACATGCTACATGTTTTACAGTTCCACAGCTCTTTCAGCAGAGCCAGCAAATGAGAGGCTTCACTTCTTACCACATTAGCAGCCATCTAAACCTATGTAACAGTAAGAGATAGTCGAAGTACAATGCTGTTCAGTAATGCTGTAATGTCATTGGAAATCGCGGTTGCTAAAATTAAACTGACACTTGGCAGAAATTAGCATAACACTTTCCATCACAGCCTTATGACAGAAAGAGTGTCTGTGTGGCACAGGCAATGCTGAGAGCAGAGCTGTGCATCACAAGAGGGATCGACGTCTGAGGCCATGCAGAGAAAGCTTTGAAGGGATTGGAAACCCACAATCACAAAAATGCTGCAGTCTCCCATCCCTTCACAGGGACACAGAAGTTGAAGCTCAAATTCAAACTCCAAACTTCTCTTTGTCTTCTGACTGTGTTTTTTCACCAGATGGGAGGAGGGGCTCCGTGTTTGGGCAAAGCAAAGGAAGGCTTTATTTTATCATCTGCCAGCATGGGTTTTCTCCGTCTCCTCCCCACCGCCCTCAGGATCAAGACAAACTCCTTAGGAGCACTCCTTAATTGGCACAGGGCTATTTTTAAGGCAATGGGAAGACACTCCTCTCCCCTGGGGCCCAGAATACGCCCTCCATGCTGGCAGTGTTTTGTTCTAACCTAAAGCATATGTCAGCTTCCTCACTACACAGCTCAGGAGTCCAGTGCAACTAAAGAGTTAAATTCCTTGGAAATAAGACCAGTGAAGACTTCTGGAGCTGTGCAGGTGCAGAATTACAGCCTGCCACTGCTCATCAGGCCACAGAGTCCCGAGCCCCTACATTTGGGTCTTCTTGTTTTGCCATTTAAAAAAAATTAATAAAAGAAATAAATTTCCATTCTCTCAGCATAGAAATGAGCACATAGTAGGTACTCTCAGTAAATATTTGTCAAATAGTCAACACGGTTTTAAAATATTTCATCCAAGCTCCTTTCAACCCCTGTAAGTCTCAGTCTGATTTCAGCTTTCCTAATCCACAGATGGCCAGTTTAGGGCCAGATCATCTGACATAAGAGCAAAAGGGCTATGTCCCCTTGTAGGAGGCAGGGCAAAGCTCTCTGCATTGTAATGAAGTCACCTTATTCAACGGCACGAATTCACACAGTTTAGAAGTCCAAGAATAATGAAACTGGTAAACATACAAACCAATCAGGCAAAATGAAAACCAAGGAAAGTTTATCTTTTCTTAGCCAAGAGGGGGAAAGGCCAAGGTATGTAAGACATACACCACAGAATACTTTGTTCTTTCTTTTTTATTTAGTCACAACACATCAGTACAACAGAGGTCAAACCCAGTTCAGTGGAGGTCGTTTAACTACACCTGCTAAAAGAATAAACCTGAAAAATGATATTTTATAGCCCAAATCAAATTAAATAAATCAAAGAGAAGGAGGCAGGAAAGCCCTTTTAAATACCTTGGCAACCACAGTTCCATGCACCAAAAGGAAAACTCACATAAAAATTTCCAGTTAAAAGAAAATATGGCAGTCCCAGGAAAATTAGGTTATGCATTTAACAGTTTCCACTGTACTACTCAATTGACCACTCGCACACCATGATCACTTATCCATGTTAACATTTGTGAATTTGAGATCCGTGTGATTAAAAATTCTTTGTGTTGCTGGGGCTGGTAAATGCAGGCGTATTCTATTCAATTACCTTCAGTTTCCTTTCCACCAACACTCCAAATGAGACCTAACCTATCAGCGGCTCTCTCCTAACTAAATCAGAACTGCCAGTCCTGGCAGATACCAGCAGCTGGTCAGATGGATTCAGGGCCACCAACAGTTTGTACATTCACCTTTCTGCTATAGGAGGCAGACAATTTACTAGTCTTCTTTCTTGGATAAAGCTGATCATCTGATTTGTCAACGCTTTGCTCAGAAATATAAAATTCAATATAGTTCCCCTCCCCCCAAAAGAATATTATTTATACAACACCTTAATCTGTCAAAATATTAACAAACAGAATCATGTTAACATTAAGCATAGTGGTTTGGAAAATTAATTCTAAAAACAGACCATAACTATACAAGGAGAAAAACAGACCAAAAATACTAAATGTTAAGATTCCCCAAATTTTGAGGCAAAAACGGAATCATTCTGGTTTACAAAGTAAATTAGGCACAGTACAAACCTATCACAAAGTGTTGGCTTATACTCACTATTTCAATTTAATGTCTTGAACAAAATTTAACAACTAGTTTTTAAAAACTGCTAATACATGACATGATGAAAAAAACATTAAAAAAGATAAAAGTAAACCAACAAACCTTTAGTCTTTAAAAAAAAAATTATCTGAAAGTGTACCTTTTTCCTTTTTACTTTTACTGACGACTTTAAGGTGATGTTGGCAACAGTCCAGCCCAGCTGGGATTTTAAACTTTCCCCTCCCTCATTCTACATCAGTTCTTTAAAAAGCTCCGATCTCCGTCCCCCAAGGTCTATAGGGCTTGCCAAGGTTTGCAGCCTGCGTGGGTGCTGAAGGGCTCAGTGCATTGGGAGACAGTAAGTGGAAGGAGCCGAAAGAGAAGGGGAAGGCCGACAGGGAGGCCACTGAGGAGAGCAGAGGCGGCGACAGTTTGGAGGCGGAGGTGACCACAGGGAGCACCGGTCCGAGGCTGCCGCTAGGGGGCGCTCGCAAAGCAGGCGCCTCCGGATGTGCCGAGCCCAGCCTGCCCTGGTGGTGCGGTTCCGTGGGTGAGGCCGTGGTGCCCGCGTTCCCGTGGCCGTTCTGGGGCAGCAACAGCGGGTGCGCGATGTGCGGGTGATGTCCGAAGACGGTCCCCCAGGGAATGTGTCCGAGGCCCGCGTGGGCGCCGCTCGCGGCTTCCCGCTGGGAAGCGTAGTTGTTGAGATGCGAAACCAGTCGAACTCGAAGCGGGTCAGAGGCATCTAGTCCTTCAATGATGCTCAGATAACGCGCAACTTCTGCCAGGCATTCCCGAAATCCCAAACTCCGATAGTCCATAGCAAGGGCGTGCGCGTCAAAGTAACCTAAGCAAAAGAACAAAAGAAAAATCTCAGGGCTTTGCCCGTTTCCCTCATTTCTTAAGTCCCAGAGACAGCCCTTCCTGGCAGATACCTGCATCCCTTAAAACACAACAGTCAGGGGTTCTTCCGAAAGTCTTTGGAATCAACAAAAATCTTTGCATTAATCAACATAAGCAGAATGTGTTTGCTAATGCAAGTTCAAAGCCCAATTAGAAGCTGCAGAGCAGAAATTGGAATTATACCCTACCAGCAGATGAAACTATGTTCATTCCTTTAATGTTTTCCCTCAACAACAACAAAAAATACATCAAGGGCAGAGAAACCACAGAGCAGTGAAATTCATTAGACACACAGATGTAAGTTATCATCGCGGAGCTTTTAGGCACTTGGACCTCAGTAAAGCATTTTCCTGCTGGAGAGACATACACACAGACCTTGGTCTCCCGTTAGGTTTCCTTTACTTAACCAGAATACATTTCTTTCCTCAAGAGGCATGTGGCAGCACCTTTTTTTTAAAATCCCGTATACCAAAAATAAGACCACATATTGTTTTTAAATGCTTTTTCTCAAAATAGCAATGGACAAATGTGAAAGCTACCTGATCTGAATCAGGGCTGTCACAACTTTTGAAGACCTCACAAATAATAGGTATTTTTCCAAAAGATGCACTAGCTCAATCCGCAGAGAGCTGGGGTGGTGAATTCACTGGAGAAGATTCTATGTGCATTCGAAAATGTACTGACAGGGAACTGCACACACCACACACCGTTCTCTCCCCACCCCCAAAGAAAAATCAGGCAGCTACTGCACCAATCCTGGCCTTCAGCCGCTGCTCACTCTTTGCCAACCATTCAGAGCCCCCACTAGGTCTAGGAGATGTACCTTTCCCTCCTGCCGTATGCAGCATTTTCAGGTGATCCACGGTCATCTGCAGGATCTCGGCTTTTTCTAGCTTAGCAGATCCCTAAAGATGAGAATGGCAAAAGATTGATTTGGCACAAGTTCCTTTGGGGAACAATTTAAAATATGCAAACATATATACAAAGATACATGCTTTGTAAATCGTAAAGCATGGACTAAAGCAAAATCAGTTGTCTTCACAAAATACGCTGGTATCTGTGTACGAATTCATCTAGGCACAAGCAACACAGCTATTTTCCAAGGCGGATGAGATTAATGAGGGGAAGATTCAGAAGGTGCAGATAGCTATGCTGAGAGCTTTACCTACTTGCTCCATTACCTGCTTCTCAAAAGCACTGGGTACCAGCCTTCTCAGCTCAGACAAACTGTTATTGATCCGGTCTCGTCGGCGCTTCTCAATTATCTGCAGAAGGCAAGCAAAACAAAGGAAGGCATTACCATTACGACTGTAAATTTCAAAGACAAAAAAAAAGGTGGTTATTTCCGTTAATCAATAACAAAAATAAAAGGAGAGTGTAAAGAGACTCACTCCTCTCCGTCTTTTTCTGGCCAAAATCTGGGAAGATGTAGTTGGGGACATGGAACCTAGAGCCGAACTCAAGTTTCTGAAAAGAGAAAAAGAACAAACAAAAACTGAAATCGCCGTTAAACGAGGAGAGGTGATCTGAGAGGTCGCCCCCACACCCTCCCCGCACTCAGACTTTTTTTGCCACTTGGGCTGGAAGGCACCTAGGGGTTCCCTGGCCGCAGGCTGCCGCCAGCCTGCGACGCGCGGAGGTCAGCGCAGGGCACCGGCGCGCCAAGGGTCCTAGCCCGCTGTCACCGCGGCAGGCCTGCGCTCGCCTCCCGCTCTGGCTCGGCTCCGCTCCGCCGCCGCCAGCTCACCCATTCTCGTCCGCACTCTCCTTCTCCACCTCGATGGTCTCGTCCAGCTCGCTGTCCGAGGAGCTGTACTCGGGGTGAGCTCGCTTCATGCTGGCTCCCTGGGGGTTCCTGGGGAGGGTCGGCGCGGCGGGCAGGGAGGAGTTAACTACAGCGGCGCCTCTCCGCTCTCGGCTGCTTGCGTTCCGCACACACTGATCCCGCTCACGCTTTGCCTCTGGTTAAAACTCAACCATCCTTTCCCACGCTGAGCCCCTTCCCAGGGCCCTGGGGAGGGCGGGGGAGTGGGGAAGGCGGGCGAGGGGGCGGAGAGGCGGGGCGGCAACTCCAGGGCAACAGCCGCCCCCCGGCCAATCCGGTTTCTCGCGCCGCTGATTGGCAGCCGCTCCGGGGAGGGGCGGGAGCGAGGCCGAGGGCTCTAGCGGACCGCGCCCCCGCCCTCCGCGCCCGCCCCTGCCCGGCGGCGGTGCGTCGGCTCCGCGGGGGCTCTGTCCAGCCTGCACTCAGGGGAAGGAGGAGGCGCGGGCGGCGGGGAGGCGCGGGAGGCCGGGCCGGGACACAAGCCCGCCGGCGGCCGCGGCTCCTCCCCGCCCCGCGCGCCCCGATTGGCCTGGCCGCGCGCCAGGGCCGAGCCTGCAGCGCCTCCGGTGAGCCGCACGCGCCGCGGGCCGTGGGAAAGTGCCGGCGCCGCGGCCGCCAGCCAATCCGGGCGGCCGGCGACGGCGACGGCGGCGGCCGCGCTGGCGGCGGCGGCGGCGGCGCTGGGCGTCCGCATGAATGGAGAAGAATGGGCAGGCGGGGAGCCGGGCCGCGCGAGGGCGCGCCGG
Source organism: Homo sapiens (assembly GCF_000001405.40). Lineage (NCBI taxonomy): Eukaryota > Metazoa > Chordata > Mammalia > Primates > Hominidae > Homo > Homo sapiens. The sequence goes on from NC_000008.11 coordinate 79,768,399, forward strand.
CGGGGGCTGGGCGGCCGCCGGCCGGGCCCCCAGTGTGAACCTGTAATCGGAGCCTGGGCGCCGGCCGGCCTCGGAAGCCGCCGCCTAGCGCCACCGTAAATCTCGCCCGCGTGGCCGCCAGTGCCCGGCGGCTGGAGGCGCGCGCTGTTAGTGGGGCCGTGCCGGGTGCACCTGGCCGGGCTGCGCGCCGGCGGCTCCGCGGAACCCGCAGGGAGCCGGGAGAGGGGGCGCCGGGCGCGTCCACAGTGGCCACCAGCCCAGGGGCCGGTCACATGGAGGAGCAAGCTGTGGGCTCAGGGGACGCTCTTTTTGATTTCTGGGACCGAGGCCGCACATGCAGCCAGACTCGTTTCCGCAGGGGCTTCCCAGCCGCGGAATGGAATGAATACCCCTGTGCATCTCATTTCCGGGGAAGGGGAGCACTTGTTTTTTCGGCCGCCTTGGGGAAAAAAAAACCCAACGGTCCCTGGGAATAATCATTATGCTGGGATTTTTTTGTTGTTCCCCCGCTGCCCCCCCCCCCGCCCCCTCCCCCCGGCGGCCAGATCCTCTCAGCGGGCGACAGGGTGGCGGTGCTGGCGTTTGCGTCTGAGGCCGGCCTTGCTGAGGGAATGCACGTCTCTGGCCCCAGACACACACCTCTGGCTTCGGTGGCTTGGCGTGGCGTGTACTGGGTGCCACGTGAAGTCCCCCCCGAGTCCACTAAGAAGACAGATTTTTTAAAAAATACAGTTGTAAATCTCGAAACTGATTTCTGATTCCAGAAACAGAATGGTTGTTTTAAATTTGAAAATCCGGTCTTCTGTCCCTTACAAAGGTACACAGCAATTCGCATTCATCTCAGATCCACTCTGAAGCTTGTAGTCCTGTCTGTGAGGGAAAGCTTAATATCCATCGGTGAGAATAACAAAAGGCGTTTTCTCTTTGCAAAAAGCTTCCTGGTTTCTAGACTTCCTTATTGATCTCAATGCTATTTTTTTTTTGAGATGGTGTCTCACTCTGTCGCCCAGGCTGGAGTGCAGTGGCGCGATCTCGGCTCACTGCAACCTCCGCCTCCCGGGTTGAAGCAATTCTCCTGCCTCGGCCTCCCCAGAAGCTGGGATTACAGACGCGCGCCACCATGCTCAGCTAATTGTTTTTGGTATTTTTAGTAGAAACGAGGTTTCACCATGTTGGCCAGGCTTGTCTCAAACTCCTGACCAAAGGTGATCCGCCTGCCTTGGCCTCCCAAAGTACTGGGATTACAGGCCTAAGCCACCGCGCTCGGCCTCAATGCCATCTTAACACATCCTGGATGCCAAGCACTCTGAGTGGCCGGCCTGGGCCTAATCCATAGTTCCTCTCTGGGCACCCCCATCCCTCCACCACCGCCCCCAACGGGAAATACAACCTCCTGGCTCCCACTGAAGCTTATTCCACTTCACATCACCTCCAGCCCTGAGCCTTTCCATGCAGCCCCTCTGCTTCCCTGTCTAGGCTGGGCCCTTCCATCAGCCAGCCTGGGTTTGTTGCTGCTGGCACCCCAGACCTCTGGCTTCCTGAAACTCCACCGCATGCTGCCTGTTAGTTGTCAGTCCGAGGTCAATCCCACCAGCCGACTTTCTCTCTGGAAGTGCAAATTTTAAGGCTCCTTCCTGGCCCTCCCAGTCTTCAGTCCAGGGCATCCATCACTACTTCCTGCCTCTTCCCTCCCAGAAACTGATGGTCCAGGCATAGGAAACCATCCCACCTGCTCCCCTCTGCCTTCCAGAAGTCCCTCTGACCTTCCATTTCTTTCCCCAAAGTGACAGGCCACCCTTCCCCAGAACCAACGTGTCTACTTCCCCTCTGGCTCTATAGATTTTCCCAGCCTCTGGCACCTACAATGAGTCAGCCTTTCCTGCTTTGGCTCATTTCTGCTGCTGTGGAGAGGCGTGGACAAGCTGCAGATGTTGAGTGAGACGAGACCGGGTGGGGTTAGGGATGCTTAACTCTACATTGGCATCCAAATGAAATATTGCTCACATGTTCATGATTACTTTTATGTCAAAAAGGAGGTTCTCTACGGCCAGGCGCAGTGGCTCACACCTGTAATCCTAACACTTTGAGAGGCTGAGGCAGGAGGATTGCTTGAGTCCAGGAGCTCCAGATCAGCCTGGGCAACATAGCAAGATCCCCATTTCTTAAAAAAGAAAATTAAAAATTAGCCAGGCATGGCATGCACCTGTAGTCCTAGCTTCGTAGAAAGCTGAGGTGGGAGGTTTGCGTGAGGCCAGGAGTGCCAGACCAGACTGGGCAACACGGCAAGATCCCCATCTCTAGAAAAAATTTAAAAATGAACCGGGCATGGTGGCCTGTGTCCTAGCTACTCTGGGGGCCGAGGCTTGAGCCCAGGAGGTCAACGCTACAATGAGCTATGATCATTGCACAGCACTCCAGCCTGGGTAACAGAATGAGACTCTGTCTCTAAAAAAATTACAAATGAGGTTGTCTTGCTTCTTAAGTTTGACTGATTTTTCAATGCTTCCAATAAATACGTATTCTTCTATGTGCCATGTGCTGTGCTAGGGCCTGAAAACACAAAGGTGACCCAAAAGTCATCCATCTTGCACTCCTAGAACTCACATCCTAGGGAGAAGACAGAGAATACACAGTAAAGTAGTTATGGATGCTCCAGTGCTTGGAAGCACTTGTTGGTAAGGAAAAACGAGGGGGTGAGGATTCTTTATGAGGTCTGGGAAGGCCTGTTCTGAGTTTGGAAGGGACTTAAGATCAAGAAGAGGTGAACTAGGTGGTTCAGTAATAACCGGGAAGGAAGGGGCGGAGACCTCTTCCTTGAGTGGTGGGATCAGAGGAGAGAGTTACACTGAGGGCACCAGGCCCAATTTTCTCCCATCTGCTGTGTAGAAGGGATTTACCCCTGGAGGCTTTGAGTGAAGAACGACTTTAAACATCTTTGCTACCCTGAATGAAAGGTACGTCCTGCAAATTGACCCCTTCTGCAACTTAAATGGGACTGCCCAGGCCTGGCCCCTCAGGAAAAGGACCTTTTACCATTTGGGGGTGGGGAAGTGGGCAAGTGTTGCCTTTTATAATTCGTCTCTCCTGAAGAATCACCCTTTTTTATTTCGCTCAAAGGCCTATTTTCTTGCCTGGTTTGTAGAGTCTGGGTTCAGTTACTTAGCTTACCGTTCCGCAGGCTGCTTTTATCTGCGTTCCCTTGCAGAAGAGATACTCCAGATGTCCTGGAAGAGAGAGACACTCCAGATTTAGGAATTCACTCGAAAGGCCAGGCCCAGGTGAGGGCCTCCCCAGAGGAAAAGTGGTAGAATCTCCAGGGAGGAACAGCTCATCCTCAAACTCCAGCTGCAGCATTTCTCTATGAACGAGGCTTAGGGTGGCCAGCTTGTTGGAAGGGATGCAACCAGTAGCTGGGTGTGAGACTGGCCTTGAGGAAGCCCCAGTCGTCAATTATTCATTCATTAGAGCTTTGGCCACTGTGGAGGTCCCTACTTGGATACCCTTCATGAGGCCCTGTCTCTGTCAGTTTGCTGGTGGGTGCAGGTGATCTCAATTGAACAGGCATGGGACATAGTGCTCAGGAGGACCAGAGGCTACACCTGCAGCTCTGAGAAAGAAGGGGCTGCCGCTCTCTCTAACCTCTTAGTCTAATTGCTGTACCATTCTGAGGCAAAGGTCTTTGTCAAAACAAGTTTTAGGTAAAGCTAGCCAGTGGCTGGCTGAAACCTTTAGGGCTTGCTTGCTTATGTACTTGCTTGACAAATTTGTATAAAGCCCCTAGTCTGTGCTGGGCACTGAGCCAGGCCTAGAGCAATCAGGCTGAAAAGCCACAATCTCTATCAAGCTGCTCACAAGTTCTTCTTAGCTACATGATATTTAAGCCTCAATAATCTTATCTGTAAAATGGTGATATTGGCTGGGCGCAGTGGCTCGCGCCTGTAATCCCAGTACTTTGAGAGGCCGAGGTGGTTGGATCACGATGTCAGCAGTTCAGGACCAGCCTGACCAATATGGTGAAATTTCGTAGATATTTTTATCTACTAAAAATACAAAAATTAGCCGGGCGTGGTGGCGCACACCTGTAATCCCAGCTACGTGGGAGGCTGAGGCAGGGGAGTCGCTTGAACCTGGGAGGCAGAGGTTGCAGTGAGCCAAGATCGCGCCACTGCACTCCAGCCTGGGCGACAGAGTGAGACTCCGTCCGTCTCAAAAAAAAAAATGGTGATATTAGTAATAGTTATTTTCCAATGTCACAAATTAAATATGATCAATTATATGAAGCACTTTACAACAATACTTGGCCACTAGTTAGCACCCAATAAACAGCATCTGCTATTATTGGCTTTTAATATACCTTCTCTGCCCATGAGTATATAAACTCTGAGCACTAAGTTACTTTTGTGTTTTCTTCTGATACTCTGTTACACGTCTAATGAGGTTGAAAGGCAGTATAAATAATTATGTAGTAATTGGATATATTAACAGAATCTCTAGAAAGTAATATCCTTTTAACATCAGGAGAAGGAAACAGTGCTTCTTGTTAAGAGCACTAGATTATTTTGAGTAATATAAGCATCTGCTATTCATTATTAGTGAAAGTTTTGCTTTTTGAATCTAAGAAACATCTCCTGAGCATGTAGCGCTATAATACATGTATAAGTAAGGAGTGTACTCATGGAGTTCAGAGATGGCTCCTTCATGAGAACACAAGGAATTTTGACTAAGTGACAGTTTTCCTTTGTTCCTCATGCTTGCTGCTTTCTCTAGATGCAGCATCTCAAACACCAGATTGCTTTGTGGCATGTCATGCCATGCAAAAGTGCACTTCCACTATCAACTTTCCTAATTGAGGTCAGATGTGAGATGCCTTGGTGTTTGCCTTGAAGGAATTGTTTAATTGGAACCCTAACAGGCAGTGGTATGGTACAGTGGAAAAAGCAGGGATTTCAAATCACCTGCCTGGGTTCAAGTCACTCTTTACTAGCTGTGTGACCTTGAGCTTATCATCACACCTTTACCCTCTGAACCTCAGTTTCCTCATCCATAAAATAATAGCTCAGCGTTCATTTTGTTTTTCAAAAGATAAGATGAGACAAAGCATTTTTTCAAGTGCCAAACAAATGTTATGCCTTATGCTTTTAAGTTACGGTGATGATGATGATGATGTGAAGAATATGGGATGCTTCTTCCTGAGCCTTGCTGGACCATCAAGGCTGGAACTCCTGGCCTTCTTCCTGAGCCTTCCTGAGCCTCTTGTGCCTGCCAGTGAATTCCCTCACAATGAGCAACTCCATCTTTTAAAATATACATATATATACATATATATATATTTAAAATACCAACATGCATTTCACAAAACATTAATTTCTCAAGATGCTTTGTAAATAAAAGAATCTGTTTCCAGATACATCTGGAAAACCACCTGTAAGATCTCGGGGCACATTACAGCATGAAAAGCTCAGAGACATTCTTAGTAAAGAAGCCTTATTTACATTTGTCTAACCCAGCACTTCCCAAACTCACCAGTTACAGCACCTTTTTTCTTCACATAACATGTGCTAATATTCCATTGAAACGGCATACCAAGGAACACACTTTGGGAACTTGTCATAGCGTAAGGGTAGATGCATTTTGCTTTTGGTTAAAGATGACTGACCCACAAAAAAATTAATCACAAATGAAAACCAACTTAATACAAATTATTACTAAGTGCTGAAATATAACTTTTGCTGAGTAATTTATCGTCACCCATCCCCCTCCCATCCCCAACCCTTCCGAGTCTCCGATGTCTATCGTTCCACAGTCTGTGTCCATATGTACACACTATTTAGCTCCCACTTATAAGTGAGAGCAAGCATCTGACTTTCTATTTCTGAAAGTTCTTTGCTGACTAATCAAAGAGACCAATTACTTAAAAGTAATTTATATTACCTTTTAAATACTTGTAATAACAAACACCTTCATAGCACTTCATGGCACCATATACCAGAAACAGTTTTTAGAACTTTACATATAACTGATTGAATTCTCACAGCAACCCAGGAAAAGGGAGGTATTATTTTCTCCAGTTTTAGAAAAGGAAGCCTATGCAAAAGGAAGTAAGAGATTTGCCCAAAGTTGTATCTGAATCTCTGCCATTGGTTTGATTCCATGACACCCTCTTTCCCTCAAAGAATAATTTACAGTGTATTCTTTTCTCAGTTAAAATGATACAAACATTAATATACAGCATACTTTTCTCAATTAAGCTAATTAAAATAGTAATTTGCAGAATATTTTCATACTTTAAATAATTCAACTAGTTTTTATTTTTACACGTCCAAGACAGCTCGAGATATAAATGAGATAAATCTTAGGGTGTCCTAAAGCAAGCTGGAGAATGTCACTCCCTGGACTTTGTACCAAGTTGCATTTAGTGGAAGTGAAGCCTTGTTTCCTAGGTAGCCTGGATGCTGAAATAATACTGCAACAGTTGGGGTATATGACTTCTTTGGATTTGGTTTTCAAGTATTTCATAATTTACTACTTTTTATGTTCTTAGATATTTATTATAAATAAATCCAAAATGATTTTAAATTATTAAAGTTTAAAGTATATGCCTTTGGCACCACTAGAAAAAAAAACTTGAAAGTATAGCAGAAAGTTCCATGTGAGCCCCAAACTGGAATTCACAGACTCTACATCTTTGAAACTAGAGGCTGCTAATCCACTAAGTGATCTGTTTGCCTGAACTGATACACACTGGAGCTTTGGTTTTAAGTTGAAAAGTTGTTTTTTGTTTTTTTGATATTTTTACCTTTTGACTCAGGAGCACAGGGCAGAAAGGAGGGAGAAAAGAATTGAGGGAACAGATTTTTTTTTCCTTTTTTTTTGAAGTGTATAAATTTAAGGGGTACAACTGCAATTCTGTTCCATGGCTATATTGTGTAGTGGTGAAGTCTTGACTTTTAGTGTATCCATCACTCAAGTAATGTACATTGTACCCAGTGAGTAGTTTCTCATCACCCATCCCCGTTCTGTTCCCCTACTCTTCTGAGTCTCCTTGTCTATCATTCCACACCCTATGTCCATGTGTACACATTATTTAGCTCCCATTTATAAGTGAGAACAAGCATCTGACTTTCTGTTTCTGAGTTGTTTCACTTAAAGAGAATGGCCTCCAGTTCCATCCTTATTGCTGGAAAAGACATGATTTCATTTTTTATGGATGAATAGTATTTCATTATGTATATATACCACATTTTTTAATTCAGTCATCCATTGATGGACACTTAGGTTGATTCCATATTTTTGCTATTGTAAATAGTACTGTGATAAATATATGTGTGTAGCTATCCTTTTGATATAATGATTTCTTTTCCTGAATATATACCTAGTAGTGGGATTGCTGGATCAAATGGTCATTATTTTTTAGTTCTTTGAGCAACCTCCATAGAGTTTTCCATAGTTGTACTAACTTATATTCCCACCAACAGCATATGAGTTCTCTTTTCTTTATATCCTCACCAACATCTGTTATTTTTTGACTTTTAATAATAGCCATTCTGACTAGTGTAAGATGATATCTCATTGTGGCTTCAATTTGCATTTCTTTGATCATTAGTGATGTTGAGCTTTATTTCATATGCCTGTTGTGCATTTGGATGTCTTCTTTGAAAAATGTTTATTCATGTCCTTTGCCCGCTTTTGAATAGGGTTATTTGTTTCTTGTTGTTGTTGAGTTGAGTTCCATGTAAATTCTGGATATTAGTTCCCTGTTGGATGCATAGTTTGCAAATATTTTATCTTGAGAGGATAGATTTTTGAGTCACATTAGAGAAAAGGCTTAGCACCAAAAGCTGAAGGAGTTATTTATATGGGAGATAATTCTGGTAAAAAGTAACAACAATAATAATGTTACATCAGCACCCAGGTGACAGTATGCTGCGGAGAACTGGGACAGGTTAATTCTGTGCCACCACCCCATGCCCCCCACACACATGTGCATACACACTGCCAAATGGCACTCTGAGGGTACATGGTGATGACTGGAACTTAGCTATAGAGGCAGTGCACAGGCCTTCAAGATGAAGATGTCATTGACAAACAGCATTGAACATCAATGAGGCATTACCCAGGTGGGGCTGAGAACTTAGAAAGGGGCCAAAGTCCTATAGTCTGGCAGGAAGGGTTAAGAATCATTGGAATTTAGGCATTAATGTGACCTCATTTGTAGTCAAAGGCTAGTGGGGCCAGGTAACATTCTAGTTATAAGACATGAAAGAAGTGAAACATGTTTAGATATCATTCCTGAATTGTGTTACCCCAAAATTAATATGTTGAAGCACTAACCCCCAATGTAATAGTATTTGGAGTTGGGGCCTTTGGGAGATAATTAGGTTTAGATGAGGCCATGAGGCTGGGGTTTTTACAATGGGACTAGTGCCCTTATAAGAAGAGACACCAGAGAGCTAATTCATTCTCTCCTGGTGCCATCTTTCTGTCCCTCTCCCTCTCTCTTCCTTTCCCTCTCTCTCTCCCTCTCTGCCCCATGTGATGACACGGTGAGGAGACAGCCATCTGCAAGCTAGAAGGAGAGCCCTCACCAGAACCTGGCCGTGCTGGAACCTTCATCTTGGACCTCCGGCCTCCAGACCTATGAGAAAATAAATTTCTATTGTTTCAACCACACAGTCTATAGCATTTTGTTATGGCAGCCTGAGCTAAGACAATTCCTACTTCAAAACTTTTATAAAATCTTAATGTGTCTTTGTAAGTAGGCATTTTTGTTATAGATAAGTGTTCTAGTTCCCAGCTTTTAGAATGTATTCTATTTTACTTGCCAGTAATTGAAGGAGCAAAATAAAAAATACAAATTTTTGCCACTTAAAAAGCCCTATTTTTAGAGCAATATATATTTTTCTATTTTTCAATGACTTTTCTTTTTCAAATCCATTATAGGTTATAAGTTGAAGAAATAAGACCAGTTTCCAAATAAATGACAAAGAGCTTGGTATTCCTGGTAAGTATCACCATTTAAGAGGAGCTTGCATTTTCAGTCTGTAATTTTCTTTCCTGTTCTTGTCCTTTTTGAGCCTCTTGTCAACTGACAGTGAAAGGCAGGGGTGGTTTGTCTCTGCCGGAAATTCCCACTGTGAAAAACTGGCCCTACCGACTCTATCACCAATGCACAATACACATGAGCCTAGGACCCCTTTAGGCTTTCAACCCATCTACCTCTCAAGCCAAATCCTGAGTTCATTGTTCCTGGGGTTTCCTTTCACCAGCCTTGCAACTGTCCCTCCATGAACAACTTTCCCAAGTGCAGCAGGCTGCATGCTCATCCTCCCTCAGAGTACACGCTGAAGACCACAACTCATTTCCTTGGATCTCAGTAGACTGTGTGCTTGAATCACCTTTTCTTTTACCCCCTAAAAACACTATAAAAATACTTCCATAATTTGGCTGTTTGGGTTTTATGTTTGTAACACTGTATTTAGTAATTATAATACATAGTATATAGAATAAAAGTAATGTATTTTTCCGCTGAGGAAAGAAAGTAATAGAGACAGAAAGATGAGTTGGTAGAATTTTTCAAATACATGCCAAATATCTCTCTCTTTCTTGGGGGGGGGCGGTTGGAGGAGGGGGTTTCCCTTTGTTGCCCAGGCCACACTGAAGTAGTGCAATCATAGTTCACTATAACCTCAAACTGCTGGGCTCAAGTGATCCTCCCACCTCAGCCTCCATAGTAGCTAGGATGACAGGTACATGTCACCATGCCCAGCCAATATTTTTACATTTTTGTGCAGCAATGATCTCTCCATGTTGCCCAGGCAGGTCAAACTCTTGGTCTCAAGTGATCCACCAGCCTCAGCCTCCCAAAATGCTGGGATTACAGGTATGAGCCACCACACCTGGCCTAATTTTAAAAAGCAAAATATATTCAGTTTTGAAGACAGCTTGATTTGTCTTTGCTTATATGTGCCATCACATGTTATTGTCTCAGTCCATGCTCATTAGCACAATAATATTTAAAGGGCCTTTGAAAAGATTTATCAAAAATACTGAACCTTCAAGCATAGTTTTCTGAGAATTCGCAGCTCTGAGTTAAAAGTTTTTGTTCTCTGTAAAATATATATAAAATAATTTTGATATCCAGTTTTAAGAGTTGGCTTAATAATTTTTGGTATTAAAAAATCTGAAAATGTTAATAGGTGTTCCTTAAATTGGTCACTAACCAAAATTTTACTCTGCTATCAGTTCATGTTAAATTTTTTTAGTACTTAATTCAAACCACTTTTGTTTCTTCTAAAATTTTTTGTTTAAAACACAAAGACTTATCTTACTGTCCTGGTACTATTTATTGCCCATTTGCAACAGTTTTTGAGCTTTTTTTTTTTCCTTGAAATCTGACTAGAATTGATTTCTTAATTTCACATGTACACACAAAAACACATGATCTTGCTTTATGATTGTTAATGTTTTCTACACGGGCACTATATTGGAGACTGTAAATACTCTGCCTTCTTGAATTAGACACTCTTGGGCCCACATGTATGCACATATCAAAAGCCTTAGAGAACACTGAACCACAGCACATTAGAGTGTCATCTTCTTCAGCATTTTCTCTCTGATTCTCCATCTTGATCTCTAGGAATAGTTTTTATATTGCTTCTTTCATGTGTTTACTCATGGAATCTGGTCTCTGGGGCCCACATTTTTTAGTGCAAGACAGAGAGTAAAAATATGTTCATAGGCTGGGCACGGTGGCACATGCCTGTAATCCCAGCACTTTGGGAGGCCGAGGTGGGCAGATCATGAGGTCAGGAGTTCGAGACCAGCCTGGCCAATATAGTGAAATCCCATCTCTATTTTAAAAAAATCTACAAAAATTAGCTGGGCGTGGTGGCATGCACCTGTAGTCCCAGCTACTCTGGAGGCTGAGGCAGGAGAATCGCTTGAACCCAGGAGGCGGAGGTTGCAGTGAGCCGAGATCACACCACTGCACTTCAGTCTGGGTGACAGAGTGAGACACCGTCTTAAAAAAAAAAAAAAAGGAATATGTTCACAGATGATGACTGAAGAAAGAATTGTGCAGGATTAGACACTTCAGTACAATGGACCAAGAGCACTTTGTTGACATTTTCCCCATTACCTTTATTTGTAGCATTCATGGAGTTCAGACGGAAAGCCAGAGAGGGTCGTGGTGGTCTGTGCCTTATACTTGAGGAGAAGGGGGCCTCATAAGAAAACAGGGCAGGAGTGGGATGGCCCACTGGAAAGTGATTATGAAGCCCATGAGGACAAAGAACATGAAATGGAATAAGACAATCTAGTTAGGTTTATAAACAGAAGGGGGAGACTTTGAATGTTCATCATACACAGTTGAGGTGATACAAAAAGAATACCCACATAGAGGGAAAAAGTCCTGGAGTTGGGAATGTGCTAGGAATGAACCTGGATTGAGCCTATGGCTTCAGGAATGGAAAGAATAAGGCAAAGGAATTATGAAAAAATATTGAGCAATACTTGGCATATTATTGGATGGAGAAAATACTGCCCTGATAGGTAATGAGTCAAAAATCATTCCCAGTTTTCTTGCTCTAAAACTGGTTCTCAACTTTTAGCAGGCATCAGAATCACCTGGAGGAGGAGATGCTGCTGCTGGTGGTGGCCCAGAGACCACACATTGAGAACCACTGCTCTAGAAAACCATTTGTCTTTGCTGATGGAGAAACCTGGCTCTAATAGAAGGTAACTGAGGAGGAAAGGAGTTGCTTGACTTCAAGGCTATCCATCAAAAGATCACAATGAGTTATACAGTATTCAGCTATGTATCTCTGAAATCAGCCAAGCTCTTTTACATAAGAATTTTGCAATTTCCTGATTAATTCAGGATATATGTTAAATTCCTAAATTGAGCAATATGAATTTTTAGGTGGTTTTGTTGTTGATGGTAATGGTTTGATGTTTAAGACAGTTGCTGCTTATCTTGACAAACCATGAACTCTCAAAATGTTTCCCAAGGGAAGGGCTCCATAGAGAAGAAAGGAAGCCATTATTTCCTCTATGTCAAAATGAAATGTTCAGACCTCTGAAACCTAAATAAATGAATAAATATAAAAGCATAGATGAGATCAGCCTTCAAATCTACAAAGACAAAATAATCAAAAAAAGGTGTAAATTACAATGGTAATAAGAGAATTTAAGAATATATATAAATTATTTTAACAGAGAAACTGTGTTCCTCCAGGGCCTGTAGTTCAAAATTTTGTAATGCACAATGATCCATCCCCAAAAAATGGAATATTGATTCAGACCCTAGGACTGCAATGTTTAAACCAGTGGTTCTCACCTGTTAGTGAGCATTAGAATTACATGGAAAGTTTAATAATAAAGACAGATTTGGGGGTCCCCCTCCCCCTCAGAGTATGTGAATCAGTAGATCTCAGTGGACTCAGGAATTTGTAGTTCAAACAATTCCCAGATGATGCTGATGCTGGATATGTGGGACCATACTTTAGGAATTGCTGTTTTTGCTCTATGGTTCACAACTTGGCCACATACTAGAATTATCTGGGGAGCTTGCTTTTTTAATTTCAATTCATAGGCCACACCTCAAAACAATTAAAATTACAATCTCTTGGGGTGTGAACCCAGGCATCAGTAGTTTTTGAAGTTCTCAGGTGTCTCCCATGTGCAGCCAAACTGGAGAATTTCTACTTATGTTAGTAGTTGTCAGACTTCAGCACACATTACCTGAAGGACTATTAAAATACAGATTGCTGGGCCCCTCTCATGGAGTTTCTGATTCTGTAAGTCTGGGTTGGGCCCAAAAATTCGCATTTCAATCAAGTTCCCAGATGATGCAGTCAGTCCTGGGACCATACTTGGAGAACCACTGGGTAAGACCAACTTCAACCCTGGCTGTATTTGGAATCTACTGGGGAGCTGGCAAAAAAATACTGAAGTTGACTCCATTCTCAAAAACAAAAGAAAACCAGATTGGGATATAATTAGTTTGGGTTGGGGTCTGGCATAAGTATGTTTTTAAAGCTTCCCAGGTGATTCTAATATGCAGCCAAGACCTGGAATCACTGCAAAATCAAGCAAGGTGAAGACGCAGTAAATGTATCACCTGTCATGTTTGCTTGTCATCTGAATTTAAAATGACCTATTCTAACCAGAATATATTTCAACCACTACATGCAGTATCTTTATTGAAAAAATATACTACATTGAAATAAATGTAAGATCATGAGGGTCATTTCTGAATTTAAGAAAGGGCCAGGCACAGTGGCTCATGTCTGTAATCCCAGCTACTCAGGAGGCTGAGGTGGGAGGATCGCTTTAGTCCAAGGATTCAAGGTTATTGTGAGCTATGTTTGTACCACTGCACTCCAGCCTGGGCAACAGAGCAAGACCCTATCTCAGAAAGAAAAGGAAGGGAAAAGGAAGGAAAGGAAAAGACTAGGTTAAGCCAGGAGGGGATTCTCCCTACCCCTTTTATTGCTATAAATGCAACATACCGTCTGAATTTTTTTTTAATGTTACATGGTAACCCACCCCTTTGGTGATCTGCAGCCAATCATGTAAACAGAAACATTATAACTGTTATTATAAAAGTAGTTTCCTATAAATGAGAAATTACGCTTATATCTAAATAAACTTGAAACCTGATCAAACACCCTAGCCCCAAGAAAATAACTCTGGGTTTGGACAACACAACCTAGAGTAACGTTTTACTGCCACTTGATGTTTCTGAACATACAGGGTCATTTTTAATCACGTAGTATGGAAATAAGTTGTCTGCTACAGACAGTAAAAGCTGAGATTTGGGAGTGGAGTTGGGGTGTGGGCAGGGAGAGTATCAAAAGGAGTTGGCTTTTAACTGGGGCTTTCTTGGACAGCTCTATGATATCAGTTAGATACATGTTTGTAAGTAATTATTTCTACTTCAGTTTTCACAGAAAATAGTGATACTATTGTGTTTTGGCAGCTGATTTAGTAAATTGCCATTCATGACCCTGCTAGAATATACTATGCAAGGTCCACTTCTTATGCCTCAGAAATTTAGCACTGGAAAAGAACTTAGGGCTCATCAAATCTCCTAATTTTATAGTTTAGGACTGACTTTACACCCACTAGAGTGGCTATAACCAAAAAGACAAACAATAGCAAATATTGGTGGGAAGCTGGAGAAAAACTAAAATCTCATGACTGGGAATTTATTGCCAATTTGGAAGCAGTTTGGCAGTTTCCTTAGAAGTTAAACATAAATTTACCATCAACTGAGCAATTCTGCTCCTAAGTTATCTATTTACCCAAGAGAAATGAAAACATGTTCACACGTTTACATGTTCATACATGCTGCATGTAAATGTTCATAGCAGCATTATTCATAGTGGCCAAAAGGTGGAAACAATTCAAATGTCCATCAACTGATGAATGGATAAACAAAATGTGTTTATACCCAGCAATAAAAAGGGAAAACTGAGGATACATGCCACAACCTGGATGAACCGTGAAAACATGCTGAAAGAAACCAGACACAAACGATGACATATATGATTCCATTTATATGAAATGTCTAAAATAGGCAAATCTGAAAGAGACAGAAAATAGATTAGTAGTTGCTTAGAACTAGGGAATGGGAGAGGTTAGCATTACGGGGGATTTGAGGACGAAAATGTTCTAAAATTGGTGATGGTTGCACGTATCTGTAAATATGCTAAAAACCGTTGAATCACACACTGTTAAAAATATTTTTATTTATGTATTTATTTATTTTTGAGGCGGAGTCTCACTCTGTCACCAGGCTGGAGTGCGGTGGCGCAATCTCAGCGCACTGCAACCTCCGCCTCCCGGGTTCAAGCAACTCTCCTGCCTCAGCCTCCCGAATAGCTGGAATTACACATGCGCACCACCACGCCCGGCTAATTTTTGTATTTTAGTAGAGACTGGGTTTCCCCATGTTGGTCAGGCTGGTCTCAAACTCCTGACCTCAAGTGATCAGCCCGCCTTGGCCTCCCGAAGTGCTGGGATGACAGGCGTGAGCCACCAAGCCCAGCCGAATCATACACTTTAAATAGGTAAATTGTGTGGTATGTGAATTCTAAATAAAGCTGTTATTTAAAAAAAAATCATCGGAGTGTAGAGTGCTGGGAAACTTCAGACGCAAATTTCCATCAGCCTACCTCTGAAATCACCTTGGCCGAGGCGACCGCCAGGCGCATGCGCACGGGGCAGCCACCAGCTAGTTAGGGTGATCCCAGGTTAGAGGCGCCCAGGCTAGAAGGGCCCGGCTCTTGGCCCTCGCTGTCCTGCCCGCTGTCGCCGCTCTTTGGCGCCCCCGCAACAGCTCCCTCTCAGCAGGACGCGGAAAGGTCAGGGTCCCTCTCTCTCGTATATACCACAAAGAAAGCGCGTTCCCCGCGGCGCCCCGAGAGCCCTTAGGCAGACGTCCCGCAGAGTCCCAAGTCCCTACGGTGGGCCCGCGGGCTCCTGATCTGTCCAGGCCCCTAAACTATCACAAGGAGGATATTTGATGACCGTCTTTCTTCCCTCGCTCTCTCCCAACAAAGGGTAACTGACCTCTCGCGTGACCTGGCCAGCGCTGAGATTCCCTCAACACGCTTTCCCCCTATTGTGTGCAGACCCCCACAGGGCGGAGGCGAGCGGCGCGACCCACTGGACGGACGCGGCCCGGAGCTCCAGGCGCCCGGACCTGGCGGGCCCTCCCTGGGCGGGCGGGTGGCGCGTCGCCCGCCGCCGATCCGGGCGGGGTGAGGGGGGCGCTGTAATTGCAGCGCAGCTCGGGTTCCCACGCTCCTATTGTTGGCGACTTTGTTTCCAATTCCCATCACGTGTGCTAATTAGTTAGCGCTGCTGGCTGGCTGGGAGGCGTGTGGCTGGCCTAAAAGCAGAAAGATCACTTCCTGTAGGGAGCCGGGCCGGCTGAATACTACTGGGGCTTCTTTTTCTCTCCTCCTCTGCGCCTCCTTCTTGGCCTCCCGGGAGGGTGGGAGAGGGAAGGGAAGGGGAAGAAATGCTGGTTGCGGAACAAATGCCACTGAATTGCAATAACAACCAAAAAGCTGGGGTTAGGGGGTAGGTTGGGGAATGGAAGGGGGAGAGTAAGAGCGGGGAATAGCGGAAAAAACAGGATTAAATGAGAGATTCACATTAGATCTCTAATGCTTTACAAAATGCCGTTCACAATTTTGATCAGTTAATCTCGTCAAGACTGGGATGATGGAGGAATTTTTTCATTTCCTCCATTCATGTTCAGTTTTTAAAAATCTGTCTTTACCCTCTGAGTAAAGCAAGCACAAGCATCATGGTACACTAGGAAAAGAGAAAAAAAGTGAAGCGAGTCATGACTTTTGAGTCAGTGACTTGCCCCTGGACCTAAGCTTCTGAGTTCTATTCATTTTGGCACTACACTTTTAGAAGGGGTGCAGTGAAGTGTCAGAGACTAACGGAGGATGGTAGTAAGTTTGAAAAATATACATGGGCCCATTACAAGAAAATGGTGCTATGTTTTTTGGCTTCTTGTTGGGCTGCAAGATTTAGGAAGGCTCTGATTCTCCTTATGGAAGTCTCTACTTTGAAGGTACCATGATATCCATACTTCCCTACAAATGAGAGGAAAGTGGGCATTTATAAGAACTCACCTTATAAGTGGTGGCAATAAGGGAGGAGATTTTGTCCTTTCTTTTGGAAAGTGGTGGAGGAATGAGGTCAAGAGTAACTCCATTCAACATGCATTTAGCAAGGATGCTTTGAGCATCTCCTATGCGCTAGGCACTGGGCTAGGGCTAGAGGCAGAGAGATAAAACATCCAGAACCTATCCTTAAGTAGCTTACAAATCTAGTTGAGGAGACAGGTATGTATGCAGAGCAACAATTAAGGATGACTCAGAAATGGAGGTCTGTACTTGAGACTATGAGGCCAGAGAAGGGCCACAGACCCAGGCAGGGCAATTTGGGAAACTTTCTGGAGAAGGGATGATTCATTTATCTGACACTTACATGACAAGTAACAATCGTCCAAGAGAAGAAGGGAGGAAAGGGCATTCCAAAAAGAGAAGTAGCAGAGTGTACAAAAGGCCACCGGGTCAGTGACGGAGTATGAGGCACTCTGCAAGCAGTTGTGCCCAGCGGCAGCACAGGGCTCCAGGGGTAGGCGTGGATGAGCCAGAGAGACAGGAACCATGAAAAGTCTTGTTGAGGAGTTTGGACTTTATCCTAACAGACCTAAAGCAAAGGAGCAAAATAATTAAATTTGTCTTTTAGAAAGATTACTTGGGCAGCAATTTAGAGGCGGGATTGAAGGGTCTCGGGCTAGGGCGGGGAGAGGAGATTGGGGACTAACCCAGTGATTCAGCAATAAGAGATATTATAAGAGACTGAAATGAAGAATGAGGTGAGCCCGATTCAAGATACTTCGAAGGTGGAACTGACAGAGCATGGGGACCAACTTGACTTTGGCAGTAAGCAACTGGAAAAAATGCGAGACGACTCCAGGTTTCCAAGTTGTACACCTAGATGCATGATGATGGCATTCACTGGGATAAGCAACCTGGAAGACAAAGAATAGGCTTGACTTGGAGTGAAATGATGAGTTTAGTTCGGGCCATGTTGTGGTAGAAGTGACTGGAAGGTATCCAAATAGGGATATCTAAGAGGAATGTGGATATATGTATATGGAGCTCAGATAGGAAGGGGTGGGACCAGAGATGGAATCAGTAGCAATAAGAGATAGGAAGGTGGTGTAGTTTGCCTGTTGCTCACCTGTGTGACCACCACTTTGCAAATGCAGTAAGTCCTCACTTAACATCATCAATAGGTTCTTGGAAGATGCGACTTCAAGTGAAATGTATAAAGAAGCCAATTTTACCATTGGCTGATTGATATAAGCAAGAGTTAAGTTTCCACAGCATGTTTCTGGTTACAAAAACATCAACAAACTTCTAAATAAAGACCCAAAGTACTTGTAATAGTAAACATCAAATAAATGTGAGCTACACATACATCTAAGAAAGATTAATATTGTTGGCAATAAGGGAGAAAAAATAAAAAGAAAGATAAACAAACACTAGTAAGATAATTATTTACCCAGTTATTCCAATTCAGTGTCACAGGCCCCTGGAGCCCATCCAGGTAGGTAGTTCAGGGCACAAGGCGGGAACTAACCCTGGACAGGACACCATCCATCACAGGGTGCACGCACACACACCCGCATTCACTCAGACGGAGAGAGTTCAGACCTACCAATGAACCTAATATGCTCATCTTTAGATGCAGTAGGAAACCAGAGGACCCAGAGAAAACTCCTGCAGATGTGGGGAGAATTCACAAGCTCCACACACAGTGGCTCCAGCCAGGAATCATTTTTTTCTCATTAATGTTATAACAAAAAAACATTGAACAAAATGTTGTTATTCAAGGACTTGCTGTAATTCCTAGATATGCTGCCCCAAAAGCGCCTCAGTAGGACTCTATGATCCCACTTACAGGAGGAATCAAAAGTAGTCAAATTCACAGAAACAGAGCGCAAAGTGGTGCTTGCCAGGGTTTGTGAGGAGGAGGAAAGGGGTGTTGTTTCATGGGTACAGAGTATCAGATTTGCAAGATGAAAAAGTTCTGGAAATTTGTTTCACAACAATGTGAATATACTTTACTGAACTGTACACTTAAAAATGGTTAAAATGGTAACGTTTATGTTACATGTTGTTTTTAAGTTAATCAAAATAAAGGGTGGGAAGGGATTAAGGAGGGAAGGTGATAACCCTACCAGCTGCCTCTGAACAGTACTAGGATAAAATCTATTTCTCTTCTGCTGATGGCACTCTCGCCCATTGTTGCTGGGGAGGTAAGTTAGGGCAGACATTTTAGAATGGACAGTGTGAATCAAGAACCTTCAAAATGTTCATACCTGGCCAGGCGTGGCAGCTCACGTCTGTAATCCCAGCACTTCGGGAAGCCAAGGCAGGAGGATCACCTGAAGTCAGGAGTTCGAGACCAGCCTGGCCAACATGGTGAAATCCTATCTCTACTGAAAATATAAAAATTAGCCGGGCATGGTGACGTACCTGTAGTCCCAGCTACTCAGGAGGCTGAGGCAGGAAAATCACTTGCGGCCAGGAGGCCGAAGTTGCAGTGAGCCAAGATCACGCCACTGCACTCCAGCCTGGGTGACACAGGGACACTGTCTCAAAAAAAAAAAAAAAAAGTTCACACCCTTTACCTAGATATTCCATTGCCTAAAATGGGTCCTAAATAAGACACCAAAAATACTGGGGGAAAATGAAGACATTAGACGTACTTTTTTTTTTTTTTTTTTTTTTGGGAAGGACTCTTACTCTGTCACCCAGGCTGGAGTGCAGTACTCGCTGAAACCTCCACCTCCCGGGCTCAGGTGATTCTCCTGTCTCAGCCTCCCGAGTAGCAGGGATTACAGGCACCCACCACCACACCTGGCTAATTTTTGTATTTTTAGTAGAGACAGGGTTTCACCATGTTGGTCAGACTGGTCTTGAACTCCTGACCTCAAGTGATCTGCCCACCTCAGCCTCCCAAAGTGCTGGGATTACAGGCCTGAGCCATTGCACCTGGCCTAGATATACTTTTAAAACCAAGTGTTCAATACTGGGAAAATAGATAATTAAATATAGTGAAATACCACAAAACTATTACAAATTTTTACAAAAAGTTGATAGCAACATGGGAAATACTTATGAAGTTAAATGAAACAAAATTCAGAATACAAAAGTGTATCTATACGTTGATTACAACTGTGTCAAATACAGTCTATAAATACAATTTTAAAACCTGGAAGAAAATATTCTAAAATATTTATAGCAGGTATTTCTGGTTCCCCAGTATTATTTATTATATAAGTGCTTTATAAACATATCGAAGGCAAAAGAGGGAGAAATAATCTTCCAGTAAACATTTTTAAAGACTGAATATTCCTCCTCCATTTGAATCTGTTTCTTTTTGCTTTTCTTCTGTGAGAAAGAGGAAGCAGGGGATCTTAGCTTCAGGAAGTGATGTCAAACATCTTAGCCAATTCTAAGTGCTAGGAAGACAAATTAAGACCTTCTCTTTAATTGAATGTAATCAGTTAAACAAGGCCACCTGTGGCTGAGATGGAGCCAAGTCCTAGAGACGGCAGCTTTGGTATTAAGCAGCCCTAAAGGTCAGCACCACCCTCTGGGATGGGCTTTTGATTCTATATCAAGTTACAGGGCTGTGCTAAAAGAAACATTCTAATCAAAACCTGAGCATGTGATTGGGTTTAGAAAGTGTTAATAAAAGGAAGAACAGTATAGAATTTTTACCTTAAGGATTGATTTCTTTAAACATAATCAGCAACCAAGCTAGCAAAGAGTGCCTCCTGTGTGCCAGGTACGTTATTAAGCATTTCATGTATAATTAACTTGCTAATAAGCCCGTGAAATAGATTCTACTGTTATCACAATCATCCTCACTTTGCAGATGAGGAAAGTGAGGTACAGAGCAAGATTAAGTAATTGATTCAATGTCATACAGCTTATACAGGTAGAGCTGAGACTTGAACCCAGACAGTTTGACTCCATCATCTGTGTTCCTAACCACTACACTATGTTGCTTCTCGAGATCTAAGATTGTTCTTTGCTAGGTAATTGTGAATTCCAAACACACCTTAAATTAAACCTTGCATTTGGAGCAAATGTTTGCAGTGCATTGCGATCTCCTCATAATAGTGTAATAATTGCACAAGCAGCATTTGGGAAGTGGGAAAGTCCAGTAAAGACTGAATTAGCAGAGCTGAAATTACCAAATGATAACAAATGTCACAGGCACTTTACACATTCAGTATTTCATCTGAGCTTCCAACATAAGGTTGAGAAGATTTTGTAAGGAGTAATTGAGCATTCCCTTGGAAGCAGAAAAATTTTCACACATGGCTTTTTCACAGTGTGGCAGGACTGTCTTTGCCACATCTAGGATAGAATCCAGGTTGGCAATGGAAGAAGACTCCTAAAAGAGTGGATAGCCTGTTGGGCCCATATTCTTTTTAGCCAAGAATTATGTCCTCAGAAATTCTCCAAAGGTCCAAGTACCCTTTGAAATCCTATATGAAGTGAAAACAAACATCATGATGCAAGTCTAAAAATAAGCTCATCCTCTTCTCCCCAAACAAATTCTTCCTTCCAGATTCCTTTACTCAGTAAATGGCACTTCCATTACCTAGTTGCCTAAGCTACTGGACACTGTGATTGCCTGTCCCAGTATCCATCCTCCCCAAGCCATGATTGTGAGTCCACCACGGTAATATCATCTTCCTTGCTAGTGATTGGTTGAGGTGGGCAGCTCCAAGTCAGTCTAGCCAATGAAGCATGAGGAGAGGCTTGCCACAGACTTCTCAGAGAAAGAGGCTAATTTCTCCCTCCTATTCTATCTGAACAACAACAACAAAAAATGTCACTGGGGGTGGCCACGAATTGATTTGATGGGAAAACCAGCCTTAGGATGAAGCCAATGCTGGGGATGGCAGAGTAGAGACAAGGAATGTTGGGCTGATGAACCCATAAGCCCTGAAGCTGTTCCCAGCGGTAAATCTGTTATTTGAGATAATACATTTTCTTTGTTTTTGCCAGCACAAGAAAGGGTTTCAGTTTTTTGCAACAGAAAGCACTCTCACTGATATATTTTGCACATTCACATAATCATCAAGTCCAGTTGTATTAGTTCATTTTTCACACTGCTATAAAGAATACTACCTGAGACTGGATAATTATAAAGCAAAGAGGTTTAATTGACTCACAGTTCCACAGGCTTAACGGGAAGCACAGCTAGGCGGCCTCAGGAAACTTATCATCATGGTGGAAGGCAAAGGGGCACCTTCTTCACAAGGAAGCAGGAGGGAGTGAAGAGCAAGTCGGGGGAACTGCCCTCTATAAAACCATCAGATCTTGTGAGACTTATTCACTATCACGAGACCAGCATGGGGAAAACTGCCCCCATGATCCAATCAACTCCCACTAGGTTCCTCCCTTGACACAGGGGGATTATGGTGATTACAATTCAAGATGAGATTTGGGTGGGGACACAGAGCCAAACCATATTACCAGTCTACTCTCCTTCCTAAGTATTTTGAAACCTATACACCTCTCTCCGTCCCCATTACTAATAATGATCCTGCTCAGGCTACCAATGAGGTCTCTCATCTGAATTACTCCCAAGTCTCCTAACTAATTCCAAAATGCCTTGGTTCATTTGAGTAGGCCTGAAGACAAAGTAAGAAAAAACATCGGCCGGGCATGGCGGCTCATGCCTGTAATCCCAGCACTTTGGGAGGACAAGGCAGGTGGATCACCTGAGGTCAGGATTTCAAGACCAGCCTAGCTAACATGGTGAAACTCCACCTCTACTAAAAATACGAAATGAGCCAGGCATTGGTGGCATATGCCTGTGATCCCAGCTACTTGGGAGGCTGAGGCAGGAGAATCACTTGAACCTGGGAGGCAGAGGTTGCAGTGAGCCAAGATCACACCATTGTACTCTAGCCTGGGCAACAAGAGTGAAACTTCATCTAAAAATAAAAGAGAGAGAGAGAGAGAGAGAGAGAGAGAGAATGTGGAAGGATGATGCTATGACAAGCACAACAAGATTTCCTTATCTAGTCATAGGGCAAAATTTGAGTGACACCATTCCTCAGTTCATCCTAAAAGACACAAACCTCCACTCTCAACTCCTCTGACCTAATGGATCTTCTACTGAGTGGGTTTTTGGAACCACCTCATGGTGGTCATATCACTTCATTCATATCCTTATCTCTGAGACATCCTTTGCACTGGTTGCTTGCTGCCTTGGCAGTAATCCCAAATGAAGGCAACTTCAGTTGAGTCCAAGTTATTCCCATCAGTCTTTGGACCAACCTTTATGGTGTGGCTTCACTTGGATACACCGGGGCCACCTTGGTAGGAAATACAGTTATTTCCATCAGTCCTGATTTCAGTTAGACTCTACAAGTATTTGGTGATCGCCTACTCTGTGCTTGGAATGTGCCAGGCCTTAAAAAGGGCAGACAGTGAGCATATTCTGTTCTCTGTACCCCAGTATTTAATACATAGTTAAATACCCAATATTTAACACATAGTTCTAGTGGTACTCAAAGCTGTTTGTTAATGAGCATTCCCTTTGCCCCACATCCTTGCTAGCATTTTTTATTTTTATTTTTATTTTGAGACACAGTCTCACTCTGTTGCCCAGGCTGGAGTGCAGTGGTGCCTTCATGGCTCACTGCAACCTCTGCCTCCCGAGTTCAAGCAATTCTCGGCATTTTTTATCTTTTGTTGTTAAATCTTGTTGTGCTTGTCATAGCATCATCCTTCCATATTCTTTATCTCTCTCTCTCTTTTTCTTTTTTAGATGAAGTTTCACTCTTGTTGCCCAGGCTAGAGTACAATGGTGTGAGGCAACCTCTGCCTCCCAGGTTCAAGTGATTCTCCTGCCTCAGCCTCCCAAGTAGCTGGGATTACAGGCATGTGCCACCAACGCCCCGCTCATTTTGTCTTTTATTTTTTGTCTTTTTGATAATATTCATTTTAACTGGAGTGAGATGATATCTCATTTTGGTTTTGATTTGCATTTACATGATGGTTAGTGATGAGCATTTTTTCTTATCTGTTGGCCATTTGTATGTCTTCTTGTGATAAATGTCGGTTCAGATCATTTGCCCATTTTTAAATCAGGTTACTTAGTTTTTTGCTACTGATTTGTTTGAGTTCCTTATATGTTCTGGTTATTAAACCCTTGTTGGGCAGTTTGCAAATATTTTCTCCCTTTTTTTTTTTTTTCGAGACAGGTCTCTGTCACCCAAGCTGGAGTGCAGTAGTACAATCATGGTTCGCTGCAGCCTCAAACTACCAAGTAGCTAAAACCACAGTCATGCACCATCACACCTGGCTAATTTTTTATTTTTGTAAAGATGAGGTCTCATTATGTTGCCTACACTGGTCTTGAACTCCTAACCTCAATCAATCCTCCCACGTCAGCCTCCCAAAGCACCAGGATTACAGACATAAGCCACCTTGGCCAGCAATCTTTCATTCTTTAGGCTGTCTCTTTACTCTTTTGATTGTTTCTTTGTTGCACAGAACCCCGTTAGCTTGATATAAGCCCATTTGTCTATTTTTTAGTACACTGTTGATGGGAGTGTAAATTAGTGCAGCCACAATGGAAAACAGTATGGAAGTTCCTCAAAAAACTGAAAATGCACCTGTCATATGATCCTGCAATCCCACTGAGATACATATATATATATGTGTGTGTGTGTGTATAATGTAAAAGAAAAATATATATAAAATACATATATATTATATAAAATACATATATATTATATAAAAGAAAGGAGATCAAGTCAAAGAGGTATCTGCACTCCCATGTTTACTGCAGCACTATTCACAGTAACTAACATATGGAACCAACTTACGTGTCCATCAATGAATGAATGGATAAAGAAAATGTGTATCTATGTGTATCTGTATACACATCGATATATATATACACAATAAAATACTATTCAGCCATAAAAAATAATGGAATTCTATAATTTACAGCAGCATGAATGAGCATGGAGGACATTATAAAAAGTGAAATAAGCCAAGCACAGAAAGACAGATATTACACGTTCTCACTCGTATGTTGGAGCTAAAAATGTTGATGTCATAGAGGTAGAGAGTAGAATGATAAAGGGGATGTTGGGGGATACGGAGGTTGTTTATGGGTAAAGACACACAGTTAGATTGAAAGAATAGGTTCTAGTGTTCCATAGCACAATAGGGTAACTATAGTTAGCAATAATTTATTGCGTATTTCAAAATAGCTAGAAGTGAACATTTGGAATGTTTCCAACACAAAGAAATAATAAATGTTTTAGATGATGGATATCCCAGTTTCCCTGATTTCAACATTACACATTGTATGCATGTATCAAAATATTACATGTACCCTTAAACTATGTACAACTGCTATGTATCAATTTAAATAATTCTTAAATGAGTCAAAGAAAGATATATTGGTGAATATGTGTTAGTCAGTACTCCAGCAACACACAACCTATTGAAGAGATAAACATGAATATAGTTTACCACAAGGCTCAATGGTATATAAAATGCAAAATAAAAACATGTACTGATGCTTATTAGACTCAAGTCCCTCTTCTAAGGGCTTTATATATATTCCCCTCTTACCTGCGGTTTTGCCTTCCATGATTTCAATTACCAGTAGTCAACTGTATTCTAAAAATATTAATTGAAAAATTTCAGAAATAAACAGTTAAAAGTTTGAAATTGCAAACTCTTCTGAGTAGCATGATGAAATCTCATGCTATCCTGCTCCATTGCGTCCAGGATGTGAGTCATCCCTTTGTCCAGCTTATCCACATGCTACCGGCCTGTTAGTCACTTCATCAGATGACAACAACATAGTACAATATGTATAGGGTTCAGTACTATCCAAGGTTTCAGGCATCCACTGGGGGTTTTGGAACATATCACTCACAGATCAGAGGGGACTGCTGTATTAATTTATCAAATCCTCACAACAACTCTTGAAATATGTACTAGTATTATCTATACTTTTCAGAATAAACTGATGCTCAGAGAGGTTAAATATGTTGTCCAGGATTGCACAGCTGGCGGTGTGAAGAAGCAGATAAATTTGAAAATGCAGGAGGAAGGTATTTATTTAATGAAGGATCTGAAAAAGCATCACATCATGGAAAAATGGATTTTGAGCTAGACCTTCAGGGTGAAGTAGGTATTCAACATGCTGGGGGGTGGGTGGCATATTCTAGATTACAGAATAGCTTGAGTAAGACATAGAAGCGGATTTTCAGGGAAAAACAAATAGTCACATGTGGCTGTTGTACATGCCTACACCCTGGGTGTAGAGTGGGAATTAAGTGAGTGGGTATGATGGGAATTATGACTGGGCAAATGGTCACTAGCTCAATTGTGGAGGGTCGCTAGTGGCCCACCCAGCTTTCAATCCCTCTTATATCCTCATAAATGTTCTGTAATCTTCCATCCCTAATCAGCCTGGGTACTTCTGGCGAAGTTAACCCTATACCCAGGTGCAGAGTAGCTCCTGATTTGCTTAAGCCAATCAACATTTTCCATTCCCCTGGCCACAAGATAGGTTTGAGGTTGGGCCTGCGACCCAGCCCTATCCAATCAAGTGAATGTTAGGACTCTTTCCCAGCATTCTGGGACAGAACTCTCTCTCTCTTTTTCTCTCTCCTTTTGAAAGTGTGGGGGTGTGTAGTCCACAAGCTGTGGCCTCCTTGCAAGTACAGGACCAGCCAGCCTCAGTACAGAAAGAAGCAGGCACCTGAGGAGGCATGGCAGGGAGACAAAGAAACTTAGTCTTTGGTCACATCATTGAGCCACTGGATTGAACCATCCTGTAGCCAGTTATCCCATTTTTGGACCTTCCTTTTACATGAACCTGGAAAGCACTTTTTTTTTTTTTTTTTTGAGACAGGGTCTCACTTTGTTGTCCAGGCTGGAGTACAGTGGCGTGATCATGGCTCACTGCAACCTCCACTTCCCAGGCACAAGCGATCCTCCCACCTCAGTATCCCACCTAGCTGGAACTACAGGCACATGCCACCTTGCCCGGCTAATTTTTTGATTTTTTTGTAGAGACAGGGTTCTACCCTGTTGCCCAGGCTGGTCTCAAACTCCTGAGTTCAAGTGATCTGTGTGTCTCAGCCTCCCAAAGTGCTGGGATTACAGGCATGAGTCACTGTGCGCAGAAAGTAAATTTTCTATTTAAGCAGTGTGAGTCAGGTTTTCTGTTGCTTGCACTGTAAAGTCTTCAATAGTAGGATGTGTGGGGGGTTTTTTGTTTGTTTTTTGAGACAGAGTCTCACTCTGACACCCAGGCTGGAGTGCAGTGGCACAATCTCAGCTCACTGCAACCTCTGCCTTCCAGCTTCAAGCAATTCTGGCACCTCAGCATTTCAGGTAGCTGGGATTACAGGTGCACATCACCATGCCCAGCTAATTTTTGTATTTTTAATACAGACAGTGTTTTGCCATGTTGGCCAGGCTGGTCTCGAACTCCTGCCCTCAAGTGATCCGCCTGCCTAGGCCTCCCAAAGTGCTGGGATTACAGGTGTGAGCCACTGTGCCTGGCCAGGATGTGTACTTTTAAATCATTGTTCTGGTAAGTGGTTTAAAAAGCTTACTCCCTGGCCACATGGAGGGTAAATTGGTTGGCAAATCCCAAAGCAAGGGGATGGCTGGAGACCACTGCAATATGCCCAGTGAGAATCATTGCAGGCAGGAGTTAAAGAGTTGACAGTAGACAGAGAAGATTTGAAAGAAGAAGCATTTGTGCAAAGCTTATTTAAAATGGGCTGTTAAATTTAGCTGGGATTGAAAGCTTCATTTTTTCTTCTATTTAATCCCACTAGAATAAAGGATTGTTTGAAAAAAAATAACTTCTAAGATTGTATCAGGTACCTGAAGTCTGTTACTACTCTCATCCCTAAGAGAAAGGAAAAGAGGCCATGTGCAGTGGCTCATGCCTGTAGTCCCAGCTACTCGGGAGGCTGAGGCAGGAGAATCACTTGAACCTGGGAGGTCGAGGCTGCAGTGAGCCCAGATCACACCATTATACTCCAGCCTGAGCGACAGAGCGAGACTCCATCTCAAAAAAAAAAGGAAAAGAGAATTACCTCCATTAGTTATTGCTCATTCTTTCATTATATCCCATATTTCATACTAAATAGTTCATCTTTCCAGGTATTTCTGTCCTTCACATGTTTACAGCCTGATGTCATATCCCTCAAAGTCATCAAGTAACTCAGTTCCACCTACTTAGCTCCTTTAAGTCTTTCTTCATATATCAGATCCTTTCATTCCTCTGCACATAAGAACTTATACTCACATATATTCCCTCCATTCTATTTCACAGCTCTTTAGTGGCAGTGGCCCAGTGTGTACAATCTGTTCCATGTGTCCAGACTCGGCAGGAAATGGGGAGTGGGAGAACAGACAATGAAATTCTGTAGGTCAAACAGAAGGCTAGGATGGATGCCATTATTGTATTGGGCTTGGAGTGAGAGGACCAGGTTTGCAGCCTATCTGTGCTCAGCTGCATGACTTGGGACAAGCCACTTGACCTTTTGAACCTTGGTATCTTCAGTTATAATACAGGAATGATTTTTAGCCCATAAGGGGCTCAAGTCTATCTTATATTCTTCCTTCATCCCCTCTCCTTTATTCCCTAAGGAGAATGAGGGCTGACATGGATGAATCAAGGGCTTGTTCCTGGGCCAACTGGTGAGTAGTATGGTCTCACCCTCTAAAGAATTATAATCTCTTTGAATTGCAAATCCCTCATGGCTAGTAACTCAGGATGGGTCCTGGGCTACTCCAGCCTAGGAGCTATTCTGCTCTGATGAAGTAAAATAAGCCAGGCCTGCTATAGGCTTAGAAAGAATCTCCTTTTCCTCTCCTTTGCTGATCTCATATTTTCTTGAACCAGCCTCTCCTTGGACTCGGGGCTTAAAAACAGAGGGTTGAGAATTAAGTAAAGCTTGGTGGCAGGCAAGTAAAGCTTGGGGCCTACTTACCACATTGCTGCCTCTGCTGTGTCACGAGGAGCCCTACAAGCAGTCCAGCCTGGCTCCCGGGCATGCCCCCGGGTTCAGGGGCAAAAGACTTTGCCTTGGCTTTAGCACATGTCTCTGGGGACAGAAGCAAGGCAGTATGGCGCTTCACACTTTCCGCTTCTCCTAATCTTTTTCTACCTCAATAGAACTAATCCTAATAACACCATCTTATAGGATTGTTATGACAATGTAATGAGATCATCTAAGAGAAAACGTTTTGAAAACTATTCAAAAATGGAAAGTAACAATCTTGAATTCTAAATTCTTCCTATTTTAGTTTCCTCATCTGTTAAATGTAGTTTTTAAAAACTAAAAAGCAAACATACTCATAAGTCTTTTGAGGGATTGCAAGAGGAAAAAAAAAATATATATATATATATTTTATTTTTTATTTAAAAAGGCAATCCAGGAGGGGTGCGGTGCTCATGCCTGTAATCCCAGCACTTTGGGAGGCCAAGGCGGGCGGACCACCTGAGGTCAGGAGTTCGAGACCATCCTGGCCAACATGGTGAAACCCCATCTCTACTAAAAATACAAAAATTAGCCGGGTGTGGTGGCATGTGCCTGTAGTCCCAGCTACTCGGGGGCTGAGGCAGGAGAATCACATGAACTGAGGAGGCAGAGGTTGCAGTGAGCCCAGATTGTGCCATTGCACTCCACCCTAGGAGACAGAGCAGACTCTGTTTCAAGAAAAAAGAAAAAAAAAGGCAATTTATAGTCATGGAAATTATTTCATTTTCACTTTTTTAACAGTTTTGACACTGAAATCCTCTATAAAGTGAATGTATGGTTAGACCTCTTATAGGCTTTATGCCTATTAATGATCTTGTAAATCTGCAGAAAATAGGGCCATCCATTTGCTATAATCCCTTATTGAGAAGATATAGTTGGTTTTACTCTTAACACTGCATAACTGTTTCATTTTAGATTCCTGGTAATTACGTAAGTCCTAGCAGTAAGAAGCCTCTTCTGATTCACAGTGACTCTACCCCATAAACAAGATCTGTCAGTCTATTCTGTAGTTCACAAGTATTGTATCGTGCACAATTGCTGACCCTCATGTAGTTCACAAGTAGAAAGCATGGCCCGGCCCTGTAGGAGCTATACTCCAGGCAGCAGGCATTGATCTTATAGACACAAACAGATATAAATCTCAGCCAATCTCCTACATATGTTCCAAACATCGTGTCTTCCCTAACATAAAGAACTAGACATATTGGGGCTTTAAATAAGGTCTAATTTCCTGAAAGCACAGCCAGCATTTCAGGGGGAAAAAACAAAAACAAAAAAACTTCAGCAGTGGAAATGCTATTTAAAAAATCCGGGAATTTTTCTATCTTTAAGGTAGTAGATGAATGGGTGCCTAAAGATAATTATACCAGACTGGAAGTAAAAATCAGCCAAATAACCATATGACTAAGAGCAGATCTCGCCAAAGCCTCAGCATTATCATAATGCAGGTGTTACTGCACCCCATCTTCCTTCCTCAAGGGGTGCCTTTGCTGAGCCCTGGTGCTATCAAAGGGCTGAGTCTTTCTCTATTCAATCTGTGCACCTCTAGTTGGAGGATTCCAGGGGATTCCATGTCAGAGCCCACATCAGAGGCTGGAAAGAAAGAGGTTGGGCACACATTTGCCCCTTGCCCTGGCCACCCCTGACCACCACATGGCCTGGCAAGTGTGCACACAAAGCCCAACGCTGGGGAGCTGGCACCATCTGGGGGGAGAATCACAGTGTCAGAGGACAGCATAGACCTTCTGGCTCCTGTCACCTGCCCTCATGCCACATAAAGAGAAAGCTCCAAGGCACAGACCTCCCAGGAAGGGATTGACTCCAACATATCTCTGTCATTTGTCCCATATCTGCTTTTTAAGTACGCAGACTAAGCCAGACCCTCATGACTAAGTATACACTGGTGAACAAAAAGACGTCCTGCCTGCCCAGGTCCCAGAGCAAAGGTGAGGATGAATCCTTCCATTTGGGTTTAAGCTTCTCACCAAAAGAGATCCAGACCTCACTAGTGGATCTTAAGGGCATCTGTGCCTTGACAACATTAACACTAATATCTGACACTCAAAACATTCCTTTTTCTCAGCTTAATGTTACTGGTAAAAGAAATTTTTTATATATTAGCCCTGCCCTTCTTACATGGGGGTGCAGTGGGCTTCTTCTGGCTAGTTTGAGGCCACTAGCCTCAAACACTTCGTGTTCACTCTCTAAATAACCCAAGGAAATGGCCACTACAGATTCTTTGGATACAGCTTCTACCTGACAGAGGGAGGTAAGAGTAGTGGTGGGGGTGGGGGGAGTTTCATTTTCTTAATGCCCAAACCTCAGTTAGCACTTTAGAGTACAGAGGGAAGATTCTGAAATTTTCTGTGTAGGAATTCAAAAATGATTACTTGAGTAAATTTGCATTTCTGAAACAAGCATTTGTAATAACCCCTAAATAAATTATAAATTTCATTCTGTCACAGA
Source organism: Homo sapiens (assembly GCF_000001405.40). NCBI lineage: Eukaryota > Metazoa > Chordata > Mammalia > Primates > Hominidae > Homo > Homo sapiens. The sequence continues at coordinate 79,799,540 of NC_000008.11, forward strand.
GTCTGAATCAATGAGATTTTGATGGATTTCTGTTTTGTGGGTGGAGACAGGGAAGACTCCTTGAGTCTGAGGGACTTGCAGGAGGTGACTCTGCTCACGCAGACTCTTGACCTTTCACCAAAGATGGCTTGGGCGTGCCGGGTTAACAGGCTCCTAAACCTGCCTGGAGCAGTACAAAAACAAACATCAACATTCTCTGCACAGGCTGAAGCTCTGAGATGTTCCAGCAACCCACATTACAGAATGCAATTTCAATTCCAATTAACCATATCACTAAATCATTCTAAGGTCACCTGGGGCAGTGTATTGCAAATTGACAGCCACTGCCCACTCAGTTTAATAGGAAATGACCAGTGTTTTCTAAAAATAAGAAAAGAGTATAATAGAAAATATTAGAGTACATTGCACATCATGAAGTATTGTTTTATGAAATACTTAGTTCAGGCAGGTAGGTAGGTGATGCATCATTACTGTGGGCTGGATCATAATACACAATGCATTTCTACTATGCTCTTAGTCAAAGTAGACAAACAATGGCTAAGGTGTGCTCTCATTATTTAGTCCTCTCTTTCTTTCTTTTTTATTTTTTTCAATGAGGCTTTCCAGAAAAAACTGGAAAGCCTGCTAGACAAATTCTGCAAGAGCTGTTAACACTTTTTTTTTTAACTCTTCTTTTTCAGTGCTGCCAAATAAACAGTGTGCTTCATTCTCAGTCCTTTGCATTCATATTACCCAGAGATACCAAATGGCCTCTGCATACCCATCAGGGTTTTACCTGCCTTGAAGGGGTGATTGCAAGGCATATATTACTTTTTAGGATGGGAACAGCCTGGGTAAAATGAGAGTCATTCATGAAAATTCCATGCATTTTGCAGAACTTAACAAACTGATCACTCACACCTTTTCTTTTTCTGGTCAAGGTAGTAAGTGGTTTTCAGGATTTGGCCTGAGATTCATCAGAGTCCCATGCATCGTGACACCCTCTATTGCTAGGCTTCTAAAACCCTGTGTATTTTCACAGGTCCTCTGTGGACAGTGAGCTGGACTGACCTCACAACCCTCCAGTATGTGCAGTGGCTGAGAATGACCCACTCCCAGCAACTTTCTGCAGCCAAGGGGTTAATCCTCCCTGAGCTGAAGCCTGACATGGGGTGAGCCACAACCTCCCCCTCACAGCTGTTTTAGCATTTCATGTGCCTGACAAGAAGCATTTACGTCTGACCTAAACCTCACCTGTTGCAACGTGACTCCATTCATTCACTCTGTCACCAGAGTGATGGTCACCAGATATTTCTGGAGGCCCTGCAATGGGCTTGTCATTGCACGAGGTGCTGCAGAACTCACAGTTCTGCCACAGAGACAACACACTCATAAATCACAATGCCAGGCCACATGTGCGGCAAAGGCCATGAGGCTCTAGGTGTGCAGAGAGGGGACAAAGAGGGTTGGCCTTGGAAGGTCTGGTGTAGCTCACAGAAAGGCTGGTTATGACTTGCAGTCATTTAAGTGCAGATGGAGAATAGTTGATATCTTCCTCCTATGATTAATTCTCCCCAAACTTTTCTTTTGACTCTTGATGAAATATTCTCAATGAATTTTTCTTTTTATATCCAATTCTTAGTCCTTCCAGCAATTTTATCATCAAAATCTGTTAATTTTCTATCTCTCCTTGCTGTGGGCTGAATGTTGTGTCTTCCCAAAATTCATTTGTTAAAATCCTAAACCCCAAGTATAATGGTATGAGGAGGTGGGGTCTTTAAGAGGTGATCAGGTCATGAAGGTAGAGCCCTCACAAACTGATTTAGTGCCATTATAAAAAAGGCCCCCAAGAGACCCTCGCCTCTTCTCCCATGTGAGGATACAGAAAAGACAGTGTCGATGAACCAGGAAGGAGGGTCCTCACCAGGCACTGAATCTGCCAGCACTTTTATCTTGAACTTCCCAGCCTCAGAACAGGGAAAAATTAATTTCTATTGTTTATGAGTTATCCGGGTTATGGTATTTTGCTATAGCAGCCCAATAGACTAAGACTCTCCCTGTATAATGTAAGTTCTATGAAAGTAACGACTTTGTCTATTTTGTTCCTTGCTCTATCTTCAGCATCTAGTACAGTGCCTGGCAATAAATATTTGTTCAACAAATGTATGAGCCCATTTTCTATGGGCTTCATTAGGCTGAGATGGGGATGGGAACTAATGTTTAAAATGGGTTCCTATTACAAACAATGAAACAAACATCTCAAGCTCTCCTTCCTACTCACTTTTGTAGGAACTCCATCCCCTCCAGGTCTCTCCTGCTTGTTTCTGAGCATTCCTGGAGATGTTTTCGGTGTGCTCAGGAACAAGTGCTAAAGATGTGGCTACCGCACTGGAAACCTCAACAAGCTAAGGAGGTTCTGTGTTCTCCGAAGCCCTCTGTGCATCACAGCCATGGCTGTAAGCCATGAAGAAAGGGAAAGAGCACCTCCTTCTCGCCTTGTATAACCTCTTGTCACACAGGCACCAAAGCAGTATGACACTGTGCTTTGTAGTTGGAGGTTTTGTAATGAAAATACTTCCCATATTTACTTACATGTCTTATTTCCTCTGGATCCAGACATGAGTACAGGAAGAGCTCATCTGAGGACAAGGAGCAGTATTCAGACTCTCTCCTTCCTCCCTGCTGGACACCAAGACATTCAGATTAGCTGAACTTAGTAGGCCACCTCTTCCTTAGGCTGAGGCACTCCCGTGAGGCTATTCAGTGCCCTCTGCAAAGGAGTCTACTCTCTTAGCCCACTAACCATTACCAGGCTGTCTAGATTCCAACAGTGACCATGTTCAACCTTGAGCTTGAAAGCCACTACAAAATCCTTTCTTATAAATAGAGCTTTGGGTTGGCATAGAAATTTGGCATGTACCTGACCAAGCCTGTGTCTATGTCATTGGTATTTTATGTCCTATTCTAGGGCTTGTATGTGTCCAGGAAGTCTAGTGAATTCGACCATGAATCCAGACATGGCCAGTGGCTAAATCCTGTGGGAAGACACTGTGCTTCTCTCTGACCCATGAACACTCTGCTAGTCAAGCTCTCTGTCACAAAGACAACTTGAAGAGACAGAGTGGACCTCACAGAAGATACCATCGTCACTCTTACCAATGCAACTGTGGTGAACAGGACCACTATTATTCCTTAGATCAAAAGGACAGCACATTCAACAGCATCCTCATGGCATGCCAGCAATTTGCATAGGATGTTCACAATTAAACTTTGATTATCTAGTGCTTTGTGGATGTATTATGTATTACAGAAATCTATTTGCAACATGGAGGCACATTTTCTCTTTTGTTTGTTCACTTGTTTATCTGAAAATCAACAAATGGTTATAGAATGCCTACTATGTGCCAGGGACTTCTGGTCACAGCCTCAAACAAAAGAGATTCTTCTGTATTCTATTCTTCTGTAGCTTACCATAAATAAGAGCATTCCATAGGTAAGAAAACAGTTAAATAGTAAGATAATTTCACATAATCATAACTTTGGGCCTGATGTGGTGGCTCATGCTTGTAATCCCAGCACTTGGGAGACCAAAATGGGAGGACCACTTGAGCCCGGGAGTTCAAGACAAGCCCTAGCAACATAGTGAGACCCCCACAACAACAAAAATGAAAAAATTAGCTAAGAATGGTGGTGCACACCTGTAGTCCCAGCTACTCTGGAGGCTGAGGCGGGCGGATTGATTGAGCCTGGGAGGTGAAGGTTATGAGCCCAGGAGGTGAAGGTGAAGGTTATTGCTTGAGCCCAGGAGGTGAAGCTAAGATGGTGCCAATGCACTCCAGCCTGGGCAACAGAGCAAGATCCTGTCTCAAAAAAAAAAATTAAAAGCTAAATTTTATGAAAAAATTATAAAAAACAAATTTGATGAAAAAAATTACGCAGAACAATCTAACACAAAAGGTGGCTGGGATTTGCTGGCCTGTGTCATTCACATCCCCCTTGTCCCTTGCAGTTTCTAGAGTACATGCCAGAAAGGTGAAATGCTTGTTTCCCCAACCTCCCTTACTGCTAAGAGAGTAGCAGCCTGACACAAATCCATGGCTCCAAACAAAATACCCTGAGGAGCACTTTCCTGCCCAATAAAATGCAGAGCCAGAGCCACATAAGAAAAGACTTTGATCCTTTAAACTCTCCCTTCTCCTTGTTTGAAACAAAGATATAATACCCAGAGGCACAGCAGCTATCTTGCAATCATGGAGTGATCATCATATGGAAGAATGTCATGATGTTAATGACTACCGCAGAGTAGGAAGCAAGAAGGAGGCTGCATCCCTGCTGTCACTATTGAGCCCTGCAGAGCCTTCACCTAACTACCCTGGACATCTTCATCAGTTTGAGACAAATAAGGCTCCATCCATTTAGGCCTTTGTTAAGTTTGTTCTTATTTGCAGCCAAACACTTTACTAACTACTAGAGAGATGTACAGCTGTGGGTCAGAAGCCACTTTAGGCCGGTCGTGGTGCCTCACGACTGTAATCCCAGCACTTTGGGGGCTGAGGTGGGCAGATCACGAGGTCACGAGTTCGAGGCCAGCCTGGCCAGCATAGTGAAACCCCGTCTCTACTAAAAATACAAAAATTAGCTGGGCATGGTGGCACGTGCCTGTAATCCCAGCTACTCAGGAGGCTGAAGTAGGAGAATAGCTTGAACCCGGGAGGCAGAGGTTGCCGTGAGCCGAGATCACGCCATTGCACTCCAGCCTGGGAGACAGAGCGAGCCTCTAGCTCAAAAGAAAAAAAAAAAGCTACTTTAACCAATGTGATTATGGAAGTCTTCTCTGAGGAGATGACATTTTAGTTGAGACCTAAATGATAAAAAGCAGCCAGCCATGTAAAGATCTGGGGAAAAGAATTTCAGGCACAAAGAATAGCAAGTGCGAAGGCCCTTAGACAGAAATAGGTCAGCCATGTTCAAGGAACAGAGAAGATGTGCCTGAAGCACCATGAATGAGGGGGATTTCAACCATGGTGAAGGCCCTAGAGGGAGGGGGATGGACCTTGGGGAACCCTCTACACCTACCTAAAACTCTGAATTTTATTTTAATACCAAGGAGGAGATTTGAGATAGATAGATTTGAGATATGTTTTGGCAGTAAACCCTTCAACAGGACTCATTGGTGGAGCAAATGTAGAATAAGGGAGATACAGGTGACTCCTGGATCTTTGTTCTGAAAAACTGTGTGGAAGATGGAGCCACTGCATGAGTGGGGAAGAATGTAGGAGGTCCAGGTTGGGAAAAGGAAGGGAATGCTGAATCAATTGTATTTTATGTGATGTCTGAGATGCCCATTACAATTCCAAGTGGCAGTGTCATATGGGAAGCTGGATACATGAATCTGAAGCTCCAGGGAGAAATGAGGGCTGGAGACAGACATTTGGAACCATCCACATACAGATGCCATTTAAGTCATGGGTCTGGATGTGATTTCCTGGCTGGAGAATATAGATAAAGAAGTTGAGGCCAGGTGCAGTGGCTCATTCCTGTAATCCCAGCACTTTGGGAGGCTGAGTGGGGAGGACTGCTTGAAGCCAGCAGCTGGAGACCAGCCTGGGCAATATAGTGAGATGCTGTCTCTACAAAAAATAAATAATAATTAGCTGGGTGTGGTGGTGCATACCTGTAGTCCCAGCTACTCCTGAGGCTGAGGCAGGAGGAGAGCTTGAGCCCAAGAGTTCAAGACTGCAATGAGCCATGATCATACCACTATCTTCCAGCCCAGGAGACAGAGCAAGAACCTGTCTCAAAAAAAAAATATATATATATATATATATGTTGAGGCCTGGGATACTTTGATACTTCAACATTTAGACTTAGAACAGAGGTAACAGAACTAGCAAAGGGGACAAAGAAGGAGCATCCAGGGAAGTAAAACAAAATCAGGGAGTTTTGAGAAGAAGCTTTAAGAAAGAGGGAGTGATTGGCTCTGTTGAATGATGCTATGAGGTTAAAAAAAAAGGAAACAGGAAAGAGCTGTTGGATTGAACTTGTTGGGTGTATTTGGTTATCTTGCTAAGAGCAGTTTCAGAAGAGAGGAGAAGCAGAAGTCTCATTTTTCTGGGATCAAGACCAAACGGGAGATGAGGAAAGGAAGTACAGACATCTCTTCAGTACAGAGTAATTTCACTATGAAGGGAAGCAAGAAAAATGGGGCAGCAGCTGCAGGGTGCTTGGGTTAATAGAGGATTTGGGGAGAGTTTTTAGTTAGAGGACAGATCCCACAGCACTTGTCTACACAGTAACATAAGTTGTGCAGAGTAAAGCAGAGGGTTTGATATTGATTGAGCTCCTACTGCATATTAGACACTTTACAAATTCCCATTAATTCCTCTCAACAAGCCTGTGAGGTGGGAATTTTTATCCTCTTTATAGAAATGAAGGAGGCAATATAATATATTGGTTAGTACTTCAGGTTTGAGTACAACTAAGTCAGAGCTCACAGCTTGTTAATTGTGTGACCTTGACCAGTTACTTAACTCTCTTTGCCTCACTTTCTTCATCTGAAAACTGGGAATAAAAACAGTACTTACCTCACACGATTGCTATGAGGATTAAATAAAATAATCCATCTAAAACAGGTAGCACAAGACCTCACATATAGTAATTGCTCAATAAATATTAGTTCTTTTTAGAGATGAGGAAAGAGAACCTCAGAGGTTATGTCCATTTATTTAACAAATATGTTGAGCTTCTACTTTTTACTAAGTACTGTGTGAGGCCAGAGAGTACAGCAATGAAAAAATAAATATCATTGTCTTCATAGAACTTAGAATCCATAATAATCATGGTCATGGTAATAACAATAAGAGTAAAACCAACAATCACTAACATGTACTATGTGCCAGGCCACAAAGGTATCATCGTTGTGAGCAACAAAAGCAGAATCTGCCTTGCTCCATTTTGTCTTTTTATTATGTCATCCTTCCCAGGGGTATCATTTTGCAAGCAGAAGGAAACCCAAGTCTAATGAAATAATCCTCTTGTATGAGGATGTGTGACTGAAAGGAAAACATTAGAGGTGAAGAATAACCTCTCTTGCTTTCTCCACTATTTCCCCAAGATCGTATGGGAAACAGATTTTAGGGATTACTTTTCTCTACTTCCTGACTTGTTTCCCCTTCCCTGGTTTCTTCCCAGGTTGTTTAATTAATTAAGGACACAAATGTGGCTGGCACCATGTTACATACTGTGTGCTATCAAAAATAAGTGTTGTAGGCTGAACTGTGACACCACCCCCAGCAAATTCATCTGCCAATGTCCTAACCTCCTAGTACCTCAGAATGTGACTGTATTTGGGAAAAAAGAGTTTTTTTGTTTTTGTTTTGTTTGTTTGTTTTTTGATATGGAGTCTCACTCTGTCACCCAAGCTGGAGTACAGTGGCGCAATCTTGGCTCACTGCAACCTTCGCCTCCTGGGTTCAAGGAATTCTCCTGCCTCACCCTCCTGAGTAGCTGGGATTACAGGCGTGCGCCACCATGCCCAGCTAATTTTTGTATTTTTAGTAGAGATGAAGTTTCACTATGCTGGCCAGGCTGTTCTTGAACTCCTGACCTCGTGATCTGCCCATCTCGTCCTCTCAAAGTGCTGGGATTACACGTGTGAGCCACCGAGCCTGGCCAAAAAGAGTCTTTAAAAAGATAGTTAAGTAAGACCGGGCACGGTGGCTCACCCCTGTATTCCCAGCACTTTGGGAGGCCGAGGTGGGCGAACTCCTGAGGTCAGGAGTTCGAGACCAGGCTGGCCAACATGGGGAAACCCTGTCTCTACTAAAAATACAAAAATTAGCTGGGCATGGTGGCTGGCACCTATAATCCCAGCTACTTGGGAGGCTGAGGCAGGAGAATCACTTGAACTCGGGAGGTGGAGGTTGCAGCAAGTCAAGATCACACCACTGTACTCCACCCTGGGCAACAGAGCCAGACTCTGTCTCAAAAAAAAAAAAAAAAAGATAGTTTAGTGAAAATGAGGTCATACAGGTGTGCCCTAATCCCGTCTGACTGTGTGCTTATAAGAAGAGGTGATTAGGACACAGGCAAACACAAAGGGAAGATGATGTGAAGACGCAGGGAGAAGACGGCCATCTGTAGCCAAGGAGAGAGGCCACGGGAGAAAACAGCCCTGCCAACACCTTAATCTCAGATTTGTAGCCTCCAGAACTGTGAAAAAATTAATTTTTGCCACCCAGCCTGTGGTCCTTTGTGATGGCTGCTCTAGCACACTACTATACAAGTAAAACAGACCCTTGGCCTGCGAGATGTCACAGGGATGTGGAGGACATGGGACACGCTTATGACTAACTGCCGAGCAAGACAGGGCAAAGACAGCACCACGTGAGAAGCACTAAGGTTAAATTCCCTAAGTACCAGGGTTAAAGAGACCATTCACGTCGGCGGAGGTGGACAGTCAGGAGAGATCTGAGGAAGAAGGCAATTGTAAACTGGGATGAGAATGACTCACTGGGACCTACTGGGTATCAGATGGGAGATAAGGGCGTTCCAGAGAGATGGAATGAATCCTTTTTTATTTTTGTCTATTATTAGTTCACTCTCTTTGCACCTCCTCTTATGTATTAACCTTACCAGAATCTAATCAAATTATCATTCTGTTATTATTTCATTATTATGTTGATTAAGAAGCAAAAGTATCATTATCCCCATTTTTCAGATGAGGAGGCTGGGGCACAGAGAGGGAGGTAACTTGTCCAAGGCTGTACATCTAGCAAGGTGGACAGCCGGATGCACGCCCGGGTGGTTCTCCCTCATTGATCCTGTAACTGAGACCAAGTGTGGTCAAGCAGCGGGTGGACATAGATTGAGGCTGTGTGGAGCAAACGGTGCACAACAAGCAAGTGCAGCTCCTTTTTCAAGACACATAGGCAGAATGAAAAGGACAGAACTAGCACAGCAGCCTGAGAAGAAAGGGAAGGTGAAGGAAGTTGCTTTTATCTTTGAAGAGGGGGAAGATTAGAAATTGTAAGTGAAGGTCGGGCGCGGTGACTCACACCTGTAATGCCAGCACTTCGGGAGGCCAAGGCAGGTGGATCATGAGGTCACGAGTTCAAGACCAGCCTGGCCAAAATGGTGAAATCCCATCCCTACTAAAAATACAAAAATTAGCCGGGCGTGGTGGCAGGTGCCCGTAATCCCAGCTACTCAGGAGGCTGAGGCAGGGAATTGCTTGAACCTGGGAGGGAGAGGTTGCAGTGAGCCAAGACTGTGCCACTGCACTCCAGCCTGGGCAACAGAGCGAGACTCCATTTCAAAAAAAAGAAAAAAGAAAGAAAGAAAAAAGAAATTATAAGTAGGTCAAAGGGAGGAAGGAGGAAAGTAGTGAAGACAGGAAAGAAGATAGTTGGCAAAGAAAGGTCATGGAGGAGAGTAGAGGCCTAGGATTTAGTGCCTGCTTAGGGCGGGGAGAGTTTGGGGCAGTGAGGTCAGCATTGGAAAGAATGCAGGACGCCTTCGGATGTGAAAGTGTAGGAGGGCTAAAGGGAAGAGATTAGGAGATGCAGGTGCTGCAACACCGAAGGCCGCAGGCCTTGTTTTTTCGTTTGTTTTGTTTTCTTTTTCTTCTTTTTCCTTCCTTTTTTTTTAATGTTTATTTCTTTCTGTGACATGCAATGCAAGCGGAGGTGGCGGAGTGGGAGACCTGAGGGTAGTTGTCAAGTTTGGGGATTTGAAGAGATACTAAGGACAAGAAAATGACAGCAGAAGAGTCACCACCTACACGCAGCACAATTCTGTCCAGGAAAGCTCCACAGCAGAGGTGGGGGGTGGAGAAGGCAGCTGGTCATGGGAATCAGCGGGGGCTGGGTGTGGGGCAAAGTCAAGGAAATCAGAGAACCAAGAGTTAGGAGAGATGTTGAAGGGACTGAGCAGGAGAACCAGGCTAGGGACATGAATAGAGTAAGGAAGTGAAGGCTTAGGAGAAACAGGGAGGGTTTCTAGGACTGAGAAGGATCCCATTCCAATAGCCATTGTCAGTTCCTTACTAGAGCTTTCCTTTTTATCTTTTTGTATAGATTTTTAAAAATATTTATATATTTTTTGGAGACAGGGTCGTGCTCTGTTGCCCAGGCTGCAGTGCAGTGGCTCTTCACAGGCAAGATCATAAATCACTGTAACCTGGGCTCCTGGGCTTGAGTGATCCTCCTGTTTCAGCCTCCTGAGTAGGTAGAACTAGAGGCGCATGCCACCATGCCTGGCTAATTTTTTTTAGCAACAGGATCTCACTATGTTGCCCAGGCTCTGATGTTTTATATTTATTTATTTCTATTTGAGACAGAGTCTCCTGTCACCCAGGCTGGAGTGCAGTGGAAAGACCACTGTTCATCACAGACTTAACCTCTCAGGCTCAATTAATCCTCCCACTTCAGCCTCTTGAGTAGCTGAGATGACAGGCACACACCACCACCACACCCAGCTAATTTTTGTATTTTTTGTAGAGACAGGGTTTTGCCGTGTTGCCTAGGCTGTTCTCAAACTCCTGGGCTCAAGCAATCCACGCTCCTCGGTCTCCCAACGTGCCGGGATTACAGGCGTGAACCACCACACCTGGCTTCAGATACTTTAAATGAAGACTTCTAAGCAAATGAAGCATGGGCAGAATTTTGTTCTGTGGCAACTTTCATGATCAGCCTATGAGAAGACATCATGGGCAAGGTGTGACTAGTAGGGAATGTACCTTTTACACAAGCACTAGAACTTATGTGGCCAATATGTAAGTTCTTCTTGGGAGGCCACATTTATTTCTTGGAGTCTTCTTGGGAGGCTACATCTCTTCCAAGGATGCAGCTGTTAGCCCCAATATTTTTTTTATCTTCTCTTGGCACTTTCCTTCACATCTCCTCAGTTGTGCCATATCATCATTCTTTCTTTCTTTTTTTTTTGACAGAGTCTCACTCTGTCACCCAGGATGGAGCACAGTGGCATGATCTCAGCTCACTACAACCTCCACCTCGCAAGCTCAGGTGATCTTCCCACCTTAGCCTCCCTAATAGCTGGGACTACAGGCCCGTGCCACCATACCCTGCTAACACTTGTATTTTTAGTAGAGGATAGGTTTTTGCCATGTTGGCCAGGCTGGTCTCAAACTTCTGGCCTCAAGTGATCCACCCGCCTTGGCCTCTCAAAGTGCTGGGATTACAGGCAAGAGCCACCACACCCAGCCAGCCTATCATTATTCTTTATGTGTAGATTTGAAGTTGATGGATTTGATTTTTGGAAAAAAACAAAAACCAGTAAGCATTGTTTGATTCAGCTGAAGTTTTTCTTTTAACAGAAAACAATGAGGAAGGGATTCCCTATTTAATAAATGGTGTTGGGAAAACTGGCTAGCCATATGCAGAAAATTGAAACTGGACCCCTTCCATACTACACCTTATACAAAAATTAACTCAAGATGGATTAGAGACTTAAATGTAAAACCCAAAACTATAGAAACCCTAGAGGAAAATCTAGGCAATACCATTCAGGACATAGGCACGGGCTAAGGTTTCATGACGAAATTGCCAAAAGCAATTGCAACAAAAGCAAAAATTGACAAATGGGATCTAATTAAACTAAAGAGCTTCTGCACAGCAAAAGAAAGTATCATCAGAGCAAACAGGCAACCTACAGAGTGGGAGAAAATTTTTGCAATCTATCCATCTGACAAAGATCTAGTATCCAGAACCTACAAGGAACTTAAACAAATTTACAAGAAAAAAAAACCATTGAAAAGTGGGCAAAGGCCATGAACAGACAATTCTCAAAAGAAGACATCCATGTGGCCAAGAAACATATGAAAAAAAAGCTCAACATCACTGATCATTAGAGAAATGCAAATCAAAACCACAATGAGATGCCATTTCACGCCAGTCAGAATGGAAATTATTAAAAAGTCAAGAAACACTGCTGGGTGCAGTGGCTCATGCCTAAAATCCCAGCACTTTGGTAGGCCAAGGCAAGTGGATCACTTGAGGCCAGGAGTTCGAGACCAGCTTGGCCAATGTGGCAAAATCCTGTCTCTACCAAAAATATAAAAATCAGCCAGGCATGGTGGTGCACGCCTGTAATCCCAGCTACTCAGGAGGCTGAGGCAGGAGAATCACTTGAACCTGGGAGGCAGAGGTTGCAGTGAGCCAAGTTCGTGCCACTACACTCCAGTCTGGGTGACACAGCAAGACTCTGTCTCAAAACAAAACAAAACAAAACAAAACAAACCGCAAGAAGTCAAGAAACAAGAGATGGCTGGCAATGTTGCAGAGAAATGGGAACACTTTTACACTGTTGGTGAGAATGTAAATTAGTTCAGTCATTGTGGAAGACCGTGTGGTGATTCCTCAAAGATCTAGAACCAGAAATATCATTTGACCCAGCAATGCCATTACTGGGTACAGACCCAAAGGAATATAAATCATTCTATTACAAAGATACATGCACACATATGTTCATTGCAGCACTATTCACAATAGCAAAAACATGGAATCAACCCAAATGCCCATCAATGATAAGGTGGATAAAGAAAGTGTGGTACATATACACCATGGAATACTATGCAGCCATAAAAAGGAAAAAGATCATGTCCTTTGCAGAGACATGGATGAAGCTAGACACCATAATCCTCAGCAAACTAACACAGGAACGGTAAACCAAACACCACATGTTCTCACTTATAAGTGGGAGCTGAACAATGAGAACATATGGACACAAGGAGGGGAACAACACACATTGGGTCCTGGAAGGGAGAAGGGGAAGGGAGAGCATTAGGTAAAATAGCTAATGCATGCTGGGCTTAATACCTAGGTGATGGGTTGATAACTGCAGCAAACCACCATGGCCCTTGTTTACCTATGTAACAAACCTTCACATCCTGCTCATGTACCCTGGAACTTAAAATAAAAAAGGTTTAAAAGGCATTGTTTGATAAATGAAGTAGCTGACCAAACTGAGTAATGTATTTTTGGTCAAGAATAAAATGACAAGGCTGAGTGCAGTGGCTCACGCCTGTAATCCCAGCATTTTGGGAGGCCAACGTGGGAGGATCACTTGAGGCCAGGAGGTTGAGACCAGCCTGGGCAACATAGCAAGACCTACCTCTACATAAAAACTAAAAATTAGCCAAGCATGGTGGTGCACACCTGCGGTCCCATCTACTCAGGGGTCTGAGGTCAGAGAATCGCTTGAGCCCAGGAGGTTGAGGCAGCAGTGAGCCATGATCACGCCACTCCACTCAAGCCTGGGAGACAGAGCAAGACCCTGTCTCAAAAATAAATAAAATTACAATAAAATCATGAGACCACATTTTTGAGGAAACTCAACAGCTAGCTTGAGGACAAATACTGGAGGGGTTCTAGAAGACTTTTGAGCAATACAGTGTAAAATAGGAGTATGTTCTCCCCACGTGAGTACAGAAAGCAAGAACAGTCATTGAATGAATCAACTGATATATTTATTTAAAATCTAGTCTTCTTCCTTCAGACAGATACCTGACATGGGTTGCACTAACAACTTTATGTATTATGCTGGAGAACCCCATGTCTGCAGCTCACAAACATAATATACAAATGCACTAACATGAGACTGAAAATAAGTGCCGTACGTCAAAAACAAATGGAAACCTGGCCAGGCACGGTGGCGCAAGTCTGTCTGTAATCCCAGCTCTTGGGAGTCCAAGGTGGGCAGGCAGATCACTTGATGCCAGGAGTTCGAGACCAGCCTGACTAACCTGGTGAAACCCCATCTCTACTAAAAATACAAAAATTATCCGGGCATCATGGCGGGTGCCTGTGATCCTGAGCACAGCTGCTCAGGAGAGTGAGGCAGGAGAATCGCTATAGCCTGAGAGGTGGAGGTTGCAGTGAGCAGAGATCAGGACACTGCACTCCAGCCTGAGTGACAGAGTGAGACTCTTTCTCAAAAAAAAGGAAACCTAATCTCAATTAAATAAATTTTCTTCACAGAAAAATACACATGGCCAAGGAAAACAAAATTAAAACATCATCTTTGTTTTTTTGTTTGTTTGTTTTTGTTTCTGTTTTTGTTTTTGAGATGGAGTTTCACTCTTGTTGCCAGGCTGGAGTGCAGTGGCGCGATCTCAGCTCACTGCAAACTCCGCCTCCCGGGTTCAAGCCATTCTCCTGCCTCAGCCTCCCGAGTAGCTGGGATTACAGGCATGTGCCACCACACCTGCCTAATTTTGTATTTTTAGCAGAGATGGGGTTTCTCCATGTTGGTCAGGGTGGTCTCGAACTCCCAACCTCAGGTGATCTGCCCGCCTTGGCCTCCCAAAGTGCTGGGATTACAGGCGTGAGCCACTGCGCCCAGCAAAACATCATCTTTGACATTGGGTTAGAGGATAAATCAAATTTTCTTTATTGTATTCAATTTATTTTCAATCAAGATGTTATTTTTTACTAAGATGCTTAATATGTAAGGGAGGTAATAAATGTCAGTACGTAATAAATCTGAGATAAATTTAGCAAAAAAAATTTCTCTTCTAAAAAGAAGCTGCTCCTTACTATAGTCTAGAGAGGGTCCCAGTGAAGGAGTCAGCAATTCTGACAAATCCAGGATTCTGGCCTCACCCTGTCATTAAGCAACTATGGGTTTCCAGGCAGGTGCCACAATCAACCCAGCCCCTGAAAGTTCCTGTCCAGCTCTCAATGCATGTAACAGTTTCTTATCTCTCACCTGTGCTGCAGAATTCCCTTTCTAAGCACTGCAATGAGCACCTTTAGTCCCTGTATTAGTTAATGTTCATACTGGCAGGAAGAAACACCCAAGACTTGGTAATTTATAAAGAAAAAGAGATTTAATGGACTCACAGTTCCACATGGCTGGGGAGGTCTCACAGTCTCATAGCTGAAGGCAAAAAAGGAGCAAAGGCACTTCTTACATGGCAGCAGACAAGAGAGCATGTGCAGGAGAACTGCCCTTTATAAAACCATCAGCTCTCATGAGACTTATTCACTGTCTCAAGAACAGCATGGGAAAAACTGCCCCCCTGATTCAATTACCTCCCACTGGGTCCCTCCCATGACATGTGGTGATTATGGGAACTATGATTCAAGATGAGATTTGGGTGGGGACACAGCCAAACCGTATCAGTCCTAATTTCATTATGGAACTGAAATATGTCATTTATTTCTACATAAAGAAATACCTTAAAAGTTATTTACTTTAGTTATCCTTCACCCATTAAATCATGAGAAAAGATAATAAATGATAAACGTGCTTCATTGTTATAAAATAAATTCTCTTCCTAGCTAGTTTGTTTTATTTGCTCAATTCAAAATTTGAACCATATAATCAGTATATATTTTTGGTATTTATATGAAATTAGTACTTCATAAATATGAATCATGCTATTAACTGTGTATATTGTGATATTCTCTAATAACTGTCATTTGCATACTACGCAACTCTTATCTTCAATAGTCAAAGGACTGAAGAAAATTTTGGAGACTGCACTGCACATTTCTGTCTACAGACTATACGATATTACAGCTTGATCTTTAAACACTTGTAAGAAACTGTCTACAGTAAAACATTTCCACCTCCATCAAGCTAACAAACTCCAGGAGAAACTCATTTTAAAAACCCCATGGAGTAGAAAGAAGATTATGAGGTTGTTTTACTTCAAACAGAATAAAGACATTTTTAAGAAGTTTTCAAGTTTGGACATCTTTCCCCCATCAGATTACTTCTTTTTTCTGTAAAAATAGGGGGAAACAATGATAAGTTTTTATTTAAATATGCAAAAGCGAAAAGATAATGTAATAAGGGTTATAACTGCTATTTATAAAACATTTGAGATAATAAGTGATGCGGATCTCTTAGGAAAGCAAAGAAATAGTGCATCATTTTGCTATGTCTCTTTGGTTGGTGTTTTTAATACTTGGGTTTTAAGGGGGTTGGCTCTGACAGTGGCTGTTCAATGTGTAAAGCTCCTTAACACCAGTCCCATAACAGATCACACTTCCTGGAAGGGGTAAAGCTATTTAAGAACATGCGTCTTGCAGAGGGATTCATGGAACCTGTCTTCTGAAATGATATCCAGCTTTAACCATGGTAGTTTCTTCTGGAGGCATAAAACCATGATTTTCTTCTTTCTCAGTAATTCATGCTAAACCAAGAAGCCATTTGGGAATAGAAAAAGTCAAGAGTGTTTATGGTTTTGTTCAGATGAGGAATCAACAATCAGGAAAATGAAGAGAGTTAACAGCAAACTGATTTTTAATACTTCTCTGGTGGACTTCCCTCGTACAGTTTGATTTCCCACTATTTCCCCCAAGTAAATGCTTGTGCTCTGGGCATGCTGATCTGTCCACAGCAGTTCACAAAGTGTGAGTTTCCAGACCAGGTGCACCAGCATCACTAGGGAGCTTGCCAGAATGCAACTCATCACACCTCATACCAGACCTACTAAATCAGAAAGTCTGCTGTGGAGCTCAGGGACATGTATGTTATTAACGAGTTCTCTGGATGAGTCTGATGCACGCTGAAGCTGGAGAACCACTAGTCTGCAGCATGTGGCCTGCCTTATTCTCAATTCATTCACTTTCTCCTTTGTTTTAATGACTTTCCTTCAGCCCTAAGCATCTAACTAAAGATCACCCCCCTCAAATCTGGTCTTGCTATTTCACCAAACTTTGACAACTCCCTACTTGAAATCATATTTATCATCACCTACATACCACAATTAAATGTTACCTAGGTCTGCAGTGATTTAAGGTCATACATGTCTTACATTGTTCTCTAAGTTATTTCTATCCTGTGTTTGTTTTATCACTTCAATTCAAATGAAGGCCTCTTGAAGGCAGGACCTATGTCTTATAGATAGTCCCCAACTTACAGTGGTTCAACTTAAGATTTTTCAACTTTACAATGGTACAAAAGGAATATACATTCAGTAGAAAGCAGTGTGATTCTCTTTCTCGATGCTGGGCAGTAAGCCACAGCTGCCAGGCAGCCACAGGATCACGAGGGTAAACAACTGACACTCTACGGTGCACTGCATTGCCAGATGATTTTGCCCAAGTATGGGCTAATGGAAGTGTTCTGAACATGTTTAAGGTAGGCTAGGCTAAGCTATAATACTCAGTAGAGTAGGTGTATTAAATGCATTCTTTTTGTTTTTGTTTTTTTGTTTTTTGGGTTTTTTTGAGACGGAGTCTTTCTCTGTAGCCCAGGCTGGAGTCAGTGGCGCGATCTCGGCTCACTGCAACCTCCACCTCCCAGGTTCAAGCGATTCTCCTGCCTCAGCCTCCTGAGTAGCTGGGATTACAAGCATGTGCCACCACACCCAGCTAATTTTTGTACTTTTAGCAGAGACGGGGTTTCACCATATTGGCCAGGCTGGTCTTGAACTCCTGACCTCAGGTGATCTGCCCCCCTCAGCCTCCCAAAGTGCTGGGATTACAGGCATGAACCACTGTGCCCGTCGCCTAAATGCATTTTCATCTTACAATATTTTCATCTTACAATATTTTCATCTTACAATAGACTTATCAGGACGTAACTTCGTTGTAAATCGAGAGGCATCTATACATTATTTTACTTCCCACAGCGTCTATCAGTGCTTAAGCTACAGTAAGTCCTATGAAAATGCCCACATTTTTGTTGCTTTTGTTCCCTCTCCTAAATGCTTCTTTCTTCTTTCTGCCAACTTCTATATATCCAAATTCCACCTATTTTTCAAGTTTCAGCTCAAATGGCAATTTCTCTGATCAGGCTTATTCTCTATAAAGAAATATTTTTCTTGCTTGGAAAAACCATAGAATTTAATGATATCTTTTCGTTTTTCTGCTTCATACTACAGTCATTTGTACATGTATTATCTCTCTCATCACTGAAAATGGAAATAATTGTTCTAACCCACTGCTTTTTTTTTTTAAAGGAAGAAAATAATTTTAGAATGCCTCAGGGTATGGGAGTATAATTAGTTTATTTTCCCTAATATTTTTGCCTCGGATTTTTTGGAATTCGTCTATTTACACAGGAAGTAACTCTCACGTTTCAGAGAGATAGTCTTTTTCCTAGGTACACTGAGGGTCTGGAACAGGATCTGTGTGCTGGAGACAATTGTTACAATTTGTGTGGTCTAATGAGTGGTCTCAGAAGATTAGACATAAAGTAACGGGAATCTGCAGGAAATCGAGCCACAAGGAAACCAGGGCAACTTTAAGTCACATTGGTAAAAAAGAAAAGAGCCTCACCCCAGGGTAAGGACCAGTAGCAGAAGGCTTAATTGTTACCATGTCATGGTGTGAACCCACTGGTGCAGCTGCCTGGGCTAATGGGAACCTGATGCAGCCAGCTTCCCGAAACACACCAGTTCCGACTTCAAACACTGCAGCCCAGTCTTTAGGAGGGAGCAGACTGGATTCACAGTCACAGGTTTATTTCTTCAACAAAGGAGATACCTCCCCGCCTCCATCCCTATCAGCTACAACAGGCTGCACCAGGACCCAAGCAGGACTCTGAAATGACCCCTCCTGTTTTGCCCACTTAATACTTAATTCTAACCTCCTCCCTCGGTATTCTGCATAAAAGTCTTCTGGACTTAGCAACCTCTAAGAGCCCCTGGCTTTCTGAGCTTGCAGACTCAGGAGTGAGAGAAAACTCACAGGTCATTTGGCAGCATATCCCACTTGGCCGTCTGGGAATGCATCCCAGGTCTACATATGTGTGTCATGAAATCAGGTATTGAGAATTCATCACGGATGAGCATGGACAATGCCAGGACGGAGGGTCCATGGGTGAGCCAAAACCTTCCAGGTCTGGCTCTCCTGTTCCTACCTGCATCTTTCACTACTATTTTACCACCAGCTCTTGACAAGAAAATGCCAAAGTAGCAGGCAATGAATCCCTCAGCTTATGTGCCTGGAAAACGGTTTCCAGTCCCTGGTATTTGAGATCAGCTCAAGGCCTGGGGCAGGCCAGCATCGCCCCAGGGCTCCTCTCTGAAAAGGAGGGGTGTTCTGGAACTTAGAGCTTCCTGAGCTCTTTACTCCTACTCCAATCCCCAGAGACAGGCTCGGTGTTTTTCCTCTGCTGAGATTTCTCAAGTTCCCTTTTTTACATCGCTTATCGACATGTAAACTCCACACTAGGGTGAAAAGGTAGGTGTTTAAGATAGACGGCAACAGCTGGGATCAACTGCCTCTTAAAAGGCTGTCTTGATGAAATGCATCTCTTTATATTTGGGGCATTTGTAAGCAGAATGGGAATGAAACTTGAGAAGATTATGTGATAAGCAGACCATATCCTGTCAAGAGCGGGAGTGTTTCTCTAATAACACAAAGATGAGCTTCTAGATAGCCCACCAGATAGCCAGCCGTCTTCCGCCCAGCGTCTCCCATCATAAATCTTCATTCTTACTCAGGTTTTCTGTAGATTTTTAAGGCTAGAGCTCATTTCCCTGGAGAGACAGGCCTAAGGAAAGATCTGGAATTCCTCCAGTTAAAAAAAAAAACACCATTCTGCTTAATCAACATTTACTCCATCAGAATCAATATCCTGCAGAGGGTGGTTTACATTGTTCTCAAGTCTGTTTGCAGGTGGCTGAGCAAAGATACAGTTCCTGACCTGGATTTTCTGAAAAGGAAAAGAAAATATTCCTCAGAATAGAAAAAAAAAAAAAAAAAACCCAACCGAACTCCACTTTTTACACATAAGCTTCCTTTTGTGAGATATTCTGCCTAGGGTTGCACTCCTAACAAATTTCAGTAAGCTGATCTAGTTCAAGAACATCTTTTTTCCTAGAATTACCTGTTATTTTTCACTAAAAGGGCTCAATCATTTACCAAGCATTTGTTAAGTTATTGGTCCTCTTGGAATCTTAATTTCTCTATCCCTGATAATAGTACCTGACTTGTAGTTTCTAAATGAAATCGTATGTGTAAAATTACCTAGCCTGTGTTGGACATTCAAGAATAAGTTTCTCACTTTTCTTGATTTATCCATTGAGTGGATAAGAGGAGAATGGGTTTTGGAACTTGAACTAGGTTCAACTTCTTGCTCCTTTACTTTTCACAGGCTGCCTCTAAGGCAAAACCCTTAGCCTAGTATGTTCCCTGAACTCCAGTCTCCTCATCTGTAAAAGTAGGATAGTAATAGTTTTCTTCATTTCAGAGAGGGCTAAAGAGAACCAAATGAACAAATATAAACTTTGTAGGAGGCATTTGAAATTGTAAAGCACATAAAACTTGTTAGTTATAATCATTAACACTCTTCACAATGGAATAAAATGCACCAAATACTATTATACTTAACCACAAATATACTTAAGAAATCAAATACCATTATACTTAACCACAAATATACTTAAGAAATTAAAAATCAATTGTTTCTTAATTTATAGAAACCAATTATGATGCATCTTGTTCTAGTTTTGCTAGATTCCTTAAGATTTTGACTCTTTTGGAGGAAGGCTTTTGTAGAGGGGCTGCACCACATGAAATGTTCAAAACACATACTCTTTGAGCTACAAGGAAGAACCCCAGAAAATAAAGGTCTCTTGAAGTCAAATATATGGATACTCAAATAATTTAAGAAACTCCGAGTAGACTATTTGTGTTCATGGTGCTCATCTTTCCCTGTTTGAGCTCCCCTTGCTTCCTGAGCAGGATCACGCGCCCTGGGACCCAGTGTAGGTGGAACAGCTGGGGATCCTCCCAGCCTCCCGATGTCACAGCTTATCAGTGTTGACGGACAGAGCACACAAGGCCTTTCCTGCCTTGCTGACCAAACAAAAGACACACTTCTCTGTTTCCACCATGCTCTTTTCTTCTTGAAAAGGAAAGAGAAACTTTGTTTATGACACTGAAATATATAGGAAGCAATCGATGCATTAATGTCACTGGGCAAATTCCATCACTGGATGTCAGTGTGACCTAATTCCATTACCTACCTAGTTCTTGGGAACTCCAAAGTCCAAGGCAGGCAACTGTTGATCATCTGCAGAAGAAACGCCATAGATCTTATGAAAATCATAGACACTCAAGACCCTCGTTTTTGTTTATTTTAACTGGAAGGGTAGGAAGCTGGAACCATCTGTGAATTAGAGAATGTACATATTAGATAAAGCAACTACACATGCTACAAATGGAACACACGCATACACACACACACACACCACAATCCATCGGTTGTAAATTTGAAAGTAATAAGTTAATCTTATGTAAATTTTGGTTTGGGGTTGACCATTTCACAGATTTCCAAATATATATATGTGACAAGGTTTTAGTGGAATCTCGTTTTTCTTAGTTTACATCTCAAAAGTAAAGCTAAGCATAACCCTGAAGAAGTCTGAATTCACTTCCATATAATTAATAGATAAAAATCAGTGAATTCATTTGTTGTTTCTTCCATAAATATTCAGTGAGTGCTTACTGTGTACCAGGCACTGGGCTTGGTACTGAATTTACATTGATGAATAAAACCAATACGGTTCCTACCCTCTATGTTGGCTTTCTGTATTAAACAGTGTGTGCAGCTTCATTCCCTGTGGTCTAAGGAAGGAGAGAATGGCACGAGAAAACTGTCTCCACAGTCATGGTAACCTCTAACCTGAGCCAATGGGTAGGAAACAGTCGCCTTTGTCAGTTGGCAAGGCAAACCTGAGGCCATCAGGGCATTCTGGCATAGCCACGAATAGCACACGCTCTGGAGTCAATCTGTCTGGGTTGAATCCGGACTTCTCCACTCTCTAGCTGTGTGCTCTTGGGCAAAATACTTGATCTCCCTGTGAATCTGAAAAACAGTAGTAATATTTATATACACCTCATAAGGCTGTTGCCATGATTAACTAAGTGAAAACACATAAATCCATTAGAACAGTGCCTGGAAAATAGCAGGTGTTCAATAAATGTTAGCAATTGTTATTCTTATCTGACCTTATCTCCCATCATAGCTCTGCACACAGCCTGGAGTCCAAGCAGGGTTACTTCCCTTCTTGGCCTCTGCCACAATTTCCCCTGCCTACTTCTCCTCTCTACCCCGACACCCATGCTTTCACACATGGTGTGAGAGCCTGGACAGCTTTACCATTTCTTTTCTTCCTAGCAAACTTTTCTTGTATTCTTAAAGGCTCAGCTCAGGCTGGGTGCAGTGGCTAACGCCTGTAATCCCAACACTTTAGGAAGCCGAGGTGGGTGGATCATTTGAGGTCAGGAGTTCAAGACCAGGCTGGCCAACATGGTGAACCCTGTCTCTACCAAAAATACAAAAATTAGCTGGGCGGTAGTGGCGCATGACTGTAATCCCAATTATTCAGGAGGCTGAGGAGGCAGAGGTTGGGGTGAGCCGAGATGGCACCACTATACCCCAGTCTGGGCAACAGAGTGAGAATCTGTCTCAAAAAAAAAAAAAAAAAAAAGAGTTTAAAGGCTCAGCTCAAGCTCCCTTCCTCTAGGAAAATCTCCTTGTCCCTGACTGCCAACAGCCAGGTGTCCCTCCACTCTGCTCTTCCAAAAGCTGTGCACAGCTCTAACCCTCGATTGCACACTGGACTCTAAGGGCTTACTTGTGTGTTTCCTCTCACCGGATGGGGGCTGCTATAAGGCCATAGGAGGGGCTCCATCAATGTTTGTTGAATGAATGGATGAATGAGTCAGTGGAAGGAAGGAAAGAAGGGAGGGAGTGTCCCTGGAACAATCTAATTGGGATACTGAATTGTAATGTGTGGAGCAGGCAGTGAAGAACTCTGAGCCCAGTGATTATTTCCTCTTCCCAAGGCTACCGCTCTCTGCTATTGGCCTAAAGACATAAGGGCAGACAGAGATTCAGCTAGAAACATGGAGCAGTTAACTTATTTATGACTTTACAACCCATGAGATCTGACCACACCAGAGGCCTGCAAGCACCCTTAAGATAGTATCGGCAGGCCAGGCACAGTGGCTTACATCTGTAATCTCAACACTTAGGGAGGCTGAGGCTGCAGTGAGCTATGACTGTGCCACTACACTCCAGTCTAGGCAATAAAGTAAGACCCTGTCTCAAGAAAAAAAAAAAAAAAGATAGCATACGTACCAAACCTCTCTTTAAGCATGTGAATACCTGCATTTCTCAAGAGGTATGTTTATCCATAGTTTTAAGAATATCGAGTCTAGAAAGTCCATAGCGTCCCTTGGTAGTATTTGCTTCAGGATACTACTCAGCAGAAATGACCTTTCTTAAGCTGCAAATCAAGTCCATGATTACTGTCCTCAGAATTGGTTCATTCTTTCAATCTCTGGTTCACCAAAAGCATTACATTTTGATGAACTATTTGCATTTCCAGCCAAAAAAATGAATGTTAACTTCCCAATACCAAAGACCCCAGGCACATTAACGTTTACCAAACACACATGCACTGAGGGGGCTGGGGTAGGAGGGGGATGTTATGTTTGGATATCTTTTGGATCACAGTGCTGAAAAAAATCACAGACAGACTCATTCATTGAGATCTCTGAAAGGGGTAGGTGTAATGTTCATCGGGTAAAACTTTGAACTAGTAAGAGCTTTTAATTTCCCCAATCTGAATAGGAACAATTAAACATTAGAAAAACAAACTATAGTTTTTCAAGTTTCAAAAACAATATCTCCATATCCTTGTCTTATTTTCGCTCTCATCTTTCTTAGTCTTCTGCATAAGACCTACTTTGGGTGTATATTGAGCAATCCCCATATCTCCATGTCTGGTTGCCAGGGTGAGCCACTTCCATTTTAAGAAATAAGGCTTTCTGATAGCTGTCCTCAAAATAGGTTCATATTTTTATGCACTAATTTATTAATTATTTATCAGCCTAAGACAAATATTCCATGCACAAAGGGGATAAAATAGGGAGCAAAATCTGCCCTCTGCCCTGGGAAAGTTTTGGCTAGTTTGTGAGACTACTTGAGGGGGATGATTTGCATGTGTGTACCTAACTTTAACTGACAAGTGTATTTTGAAAATATTCCACAAGAATTGAATATTTTATAAAATTTAATTTTTTACCAAATGACATAGTCATATCCCCTGACATACTATCTGGATACAATAGGCACTTGGTCAAACTTCATTCCTTTTTTTTTCTACCTTTGAAAATCAAATTGTGTTTAAGATGCATTTAGGGTCTTGATATTTCTGGTAAAGCATCAAATCCCACTGCACTGAGGAGCTGACTAATGGAGAATTTAAGAGCATAGTCTTTGGAGGTAGACTGATCTGGCTTTCAGTGCTGGTTCTCTCTGGCACTTGGTAGAAAAGTAATCCTCAGGAAGGAGCTTAAGCTCTCTAAACCTTAAGTTCCTCATCTGAAAAATGGGGGAAATAGTACCCATTTCACTGTGTTGTCAGAAGAATTGCTCGAGATAAAGTATATAAATCTCTGCTCATGTGGGTCCTGCATCAGTGGTAGCTACGCTACTTTTTTTCTTTTCTTTTCCTTTTTTTTTTTGAGACAAGGTCTCACTCTGTCATCTAGACTAGAGTGCAGTGGCACGATCAGAGCTCACTGCAGCTTCAGCCTCCTTAGGCTCAAGTGATCCTCCCATCTTAGCCTCCTGAGTAGCTGGGACTATAGGTGCACACCACCATGCCTGGCTAATTTTTGTTTTGTTTTGTTTTTTGTAGAGACAGGGTTTTACCATGTTGCCCAGGCTGGTCTTGAACTCCTGGCCTCAAGCAATCAGCCACCTCCATCTCCCATGGTGCTGGGATTACAGGTGTGAGCCACCGTGCCCAGCCAGTAGCTACTATTTATTTAATTTTTTTTTTTTTTTTTTTGTGTGTGTGTGTGTGATAGTGTCTCGATCTGTCACCCAGGCTGGAGTGCAGTGACGCAATCTCAGCTCACTGCAAGCTCCGCCTCCCGGATTCACGCCATTATCCTGCCTCAGCCTCCCGAGTAGCTGGGACTACAGGCGCCCGCCACCACGCCCGGCTAATTTTTTTTGTATTTTTAGTAGCGTCGGGGTTTCACCGTGTTAGCCAGGATGGTCTTGATCTCCTGACCTCGTGATCTGCCCACCTTGGCCTCCCAAAGTGCTGGGATTACAGGTGTAAGCCACCACGCCGACCACCAGTAGCTACTATTTAATGTAAATAATCACCACACCCAACTTCCCAGTTCATCTGCTTTGGGAAATCAACTCATCAACACTGGATTTTCTTTTCTTTTCTTTTTTTGAGATGGAGTTTCCGCTCTTGTTGCCCAGGCTAGAATGCAATGGCGTAATCTTGGCTCACTGCAACCTCTGTCTCCTGGGTTGAAGCAATTCTCATGCCTCAGCCTCCCAAGTAGCTGGGATTACAGGTGTGTGCCACCACACCCAGCAAATTTTGTATTTTTAGTAGAGACAGGGTTTCACCATGTTAGCCAGGCTGGTCTTGAACTCCTGACCTTGTGATCCACCTGCCTTGGCCTCCCAAAGTGCTGGGATTACAGGCATGAGCCACCGTGCCTGGTCTGATTTTTGTATTTTTTTGTGGAGACAGGATTTTGCCATGTTGCCCAGGCTGGTCTTGAACTCCTGAGCTCAAGCAATCTGCCTGCTTTGGCCTCCTAAAGTGCTGGGATTACAGACATGAGCCACCGCGCCGGCCTAACACTGGATTTGTTTAAGGCAAAACATGCCTGTAATTTGCATCCAAACATCAACTCCAGAAAGGGAAACTATGGGATTCTGTTATCTTTGTTATTGTTTAAGATGTATTATGACAACCACCTTTCCCCCAAGAACCTTCCCTACCTGGCAGAAAGGGGTTTGTACCCACAGGCCAGTGTACATTCTTCCCAATGTGATGGATGCAAATCTTGCTCTATATCTACCTACCTTTCTTACCCAAGAGGTTTATCAAGCCTGAACCCTGTAAACTCTTTAAGGTTCTCATTTATGCTCTTTCTTTTCATTAATACGTCCTCCCAGAGCACCACTTTGGGACTACAAATTCTGGGACAGAGGTATTAACAGAATAGATCCATCCAAGGGAGAGCCATACGCTAGCCGCAGCATAGCCATGTCAAGCAGCGACCCTGTGGGCATACCCTGCCTGCTCGTGTGTGTCCTCTCCCAGTTACTGTTTACGTTGAGTTACATGAGTCAAGCAGCCAGGCTCCATGTGGCAAAGTATACAGTAGACAGCGCATTGTATTTTGCAGAGCCTGTGATTGAGGGAAACCAATGCTCCCTCTTAAAATTACCTTTGCAAAATATTTAATATAAAACAGTACTTCTTAAGTCTGGAGGAGTCTTGGAAACTTGAAAATCAGCAGATCTGTCCAACAGAATACACAGGGCTCTCTTCCTGGGGCTGGAGGAAATATACACAATTTTTACATATAAATTTTTCATCCCATTTCAGAGGACTCAGACTCCCTGCAGGTTTTTTTTTTTTTTTTTTTTTTTGAGACCAAGTTTCACTCTTGTTGCCCAGGCTGGAGTGCAGTGGTGCGATCTTGGCTCACTGCAACCTCCACCTCCTGGGTTCAAGCGATTCTCCTGCCTCAGCCTTCCAGAGTAGCTGGGATTACAGGCATGTGCCACCATGCCCGGGTACTTTTGTATTTTTAGTAGAGATAGGGTTTCTCCATGTTGGTCAGGCTGGTCTCGAACTCCTGACCTCAGATGATCCGCCTGCCTCGTCCTCCTGAAGTGCTGGGATTACAGGGATGAGCCACCGCGCCCGGCCCTCCCTGCAGTTTTTCCACACACTCTTTTGGGTATCCACCTAATCTAGGGGAATCTAAAACAGCACCTAAATTCTCATCTCATCCAGATTCTAGTGGTCTCTTTTTTTCAGTCATGAGAAATCCAATGAAGTGGTGAGCTCCTAAGAATTCAAACATTGAGTCAGATCCCACAGTGTGAACTCTGTCTCTGCTCTGGGTGTCTCTGTCTGTTACGGGGGGGTGATCATTCATCCTACCAGGAATATCCTGGCAGGTTTCCTCAGGCCCAGGCATTGTACAAAACTCCAGAAGCTGCTCAGTCTGAGAAGCGGAGCGCTATGCAGAAAGCCCCCGGCATCGTCACAACATGGGACCTTTAGTGGGCAGTTGTTTGAGGTCATTTTCTCATCAGTAGCAGCAGGCTCAAAATGGATGTGCAATGCAAACCAGGAGACTAGGGAGCACCGAGCAGCCTCAGGGGTTGTTTTCTGCCTGGTTCAAGAGAAACTGCCGTAGAAATTTTTGCCGCCAGCCTGTTGTTGAGTGACAGGAAGAGAAAAAAGGATCATTTGAAGGCTCCCTGATTCAAATGGCGTATACAGAATGCCAGGCCCTGGCTGCCCTGGAGAAAGCCACTCTGGTGCCAGCTTAGGGAACAAATGTGTTCCCACTGTCTCCTGGAAAGGCTTTCCCCACCCCTGCTGAGGGGGTGGATTTCAAAGCAGCTGACTTCTTGCCCTTTTTAATAGGACTGCAAGTGTTCCCATTTTAATTCTAAAACTTTCTCCCAATTTTCCACTCCTCCAAGGCCTCCCAAGAAAAGCTGGTATTCTGGGTCACTGAAATGGCGTCAGGTTATTAAGCAGAGAAAGGGGATTAGAGGAACAGTTCCTAGCAGCAGCAGCGAACACAGTTACGGTATTGAGAGCTTGCGTTGCATGTTAATAAAATGCTATAAAACATCAAACCCTAAAGGTAGCAGTGAAAGCCACGTAAGTCCTTTCCGGAGTTTGCCTTCTGCAGCTGTGGATCTAAAAGTTCCCTGCCTTTCCTGTACTTTCATAATCACGCTTTTCCTCCTTTAGAGAGACACGCAGCCTCACTCCCAAACCATGGTGTGTTTTAAATGCTGACCACCCCATCTTTCCCTGGCACCATGGAGCGTTTCAGTCTAAAACCCTAGGGTCTGCGAATTCTGGCCAGTGCGCTGGGGAGAGGTAGTAGAGTAATTAAGTTAGCTGTTAGCTGCTGTGAGCGGACTTCGGTATTTCATCGCAGCTGCCTGCCTCTGTCTCCCCAGCCGCCCTCCCACATCTTCCTATGAGACCGGCTGTGTGTGTGAAGGAGGTGCTGTTTCCCACAGCTCTGATCTAATTCAGCTGAAATTCAATCTCCGTGTGACCAACCTCAGCCAGCGCTCTCCCACCCACCGCCGGCCTCCCCTCTGCAGGCTGTGTGTGCTGCCCATTTACACCATCAATCCCACAGCCTCCCCTCCACCAGCCCCTGGGTATAGACTTACGGTGTCAGCGGGCCAGCCTTGGGGGCTCGCCTGCTGCCCGGACGCTCACCCCTCATCCCCAGTACTCCGAGGTGAGACACTCTATACCTGCCACTCGGTGGCCTGAATGGGGCCTGTGAGTCATCGCAGGAGAAAGGGCAGTGGGGCCAGCTGAGGCTGAGAACCCAAAACAGATGTCAGAGACATCAGGCCACGTTTTCCATGGATCTTCAGTGCCCAGAAAGATTTATGACCTCTTTTAACCCCCTTTTAACGTGGGTTGAACTGGGCTTGTCTTATAGGGGGGAAACAAGTCTGGCAGTCATTCAGAAAGTCACCAGAGCGACAGGGCCTGCCCTGGGTCTGTGGACCCTTGCTTCCTTTCTTTGTCATCCCTCTCTTAAGCTCCATCCCTTAGCCTCTGTGTTTGGTGGGGACATTCCATCACAGACTCATCAGAGCTCTCCATCCCTTGACAGCCCAAAGCTGCTTGTGGCTTTGACCCTAAATGGTATTCAATTTGGGTTTGCATCTTCATACTGAACAAGGAAATAATAAGTATCTTTTAGAAGAGCAGAGATTGCAGAAGGCCAGCACTGGCCAGTGATGCAGGGCCCTGGCTTTTTTTTTTTTTTTTTTTTTTCTGGTCTAATTGTTGCCTAATCATGTTATCCTGGATCAGGCGCACTTTCTTTTGACTAAGAAAGCTTTGAACTTTGCTTTGCACTTCCTGCAAGAGGAGGATTTCTACCTCGGGGCAGAGAGGCACAGGAAGGCAGAGGTTTGCGGGTACCTTTTACAAGCCCTATGAAGCAAAAGGGAAGGGGTTTACAAAGGCATCATAATTAGAAATGATGTGTCAGGGCAGGCAGGCACCACCAGAATGTGACCCTGCCGGTCTCCTCCCAGGCTGCTGCAGGAACACGGGAAATTCAGCGTGGCTTCAGCACGGGCACTCAAGCCATTTTCCAATGCAAAGGATCCCAGTCTTCCAACCTTCCATTAGTTTTACTGCACAGATTGATAAGTGACAGGCAGGGTCACACCTTCATGCTTATTTTTTTTTAAGAGAATTATAATTTGCATGAAGAGATTCCTTTTTGCTAACAATCCACCCGCTCGCTTATCTTGATCTACAGATAAAAACAGGACAGTGGAGCTGGAAAGTGTTTCCCGCACCTCCCTCAGACTCCCAGACACTCAATTTGCATTCAGTCTCAGAGAGAGTTTAGAGCCTGCTGTGTCTCCTTTTTTTGGACAGTGGGTAGTTATGACCGGAATTAAAAGGAGAAAAGTCTCCAGCACTTAAAAAAATCAACCAACTTTTTTTATGAACTTCTGCTAACAGTTAGGCTGTGTCACGGAGGGAGGTGTCCTGGGAGGGAACCTCACCCCTCCCTAGAGAAGAGGAAGCTTCCCGCAGCCAACCTCAGAAATAATCGTCTCCCTGAGTCCTGAGAAAACTGCCCCAAATGTTAACACATCAATCTTAAGGAAACGAGCCTGGCTTTTACCGACTTAATTTCATATAATTATTTCAGAGTTTAAGTCTTTACAAGAAAGAGGGAGTGGAGGGAAAGGATCAGAAAATTGAAGGGGATGAACAGAAGAGGAATGAGATTCCTTTGTTTTGAAGATTCCCATTTCTCTCCCAGTGTGCAGGGCATCTTTATCTGTGCTTTCGTCTCTCAGGAGCAAATGCACAGCACACTCAACAGCATGTGGAGAAGCTTGGAAGGCGCTGATTTCGGCTCAAGTCCGTTTTTAAAGGACACTTTAATAAAGCATCCTCTTGTGTCTTGGATCTTAGAACACCAAATGTACAGTGAAATGAGGTCAGAAGACCTGTGTGCCAGTCCTGACTCCTGACCACTAAGTTATGATGTAGTTGGCACAAGTCATTAAGCTTCGGGGACTTTATTACATCTCTAAAATGGAGGTAATGAGACCTCCCCTGCCCCCCTCTGGGGGGTTATATATAGGAAAATAGGAAAACACTTTGAAAAGTTAAAAATGCTGCTATACAGTCAAAAGTTATTATTCTTACAATAATAAAGTTCATTATGAGTATTCTGTAAGTACATTTTTAAATTTAATTTTTTTACATAGAAACAGGTTCTCACTATGTTGCCCAAGCTGGTCTCAACCTCCTGAGCTCAAGCGATCCTCCTGCCTTGGCCTCCCAAATAGCTGGGATTACAGGCATGATCCATGATGCCCAGCCTGTAAGCAGTTTATTATCAGTATTCACATAAGAGCCAGCAGCATAGGATTTGTTAAGTAAGGAAAAAGCTCGGACACCATCTAGTCCAATCAGTTTTAAATGCATCCATTTAAAATGTAAATGACAAAGCCTCATCCTCCAGAAATATTGATTCCATAGGTATAGATTAGCCCAGAAATCTGGATTTTAGATCACCACCTTGGGATATTCAGAGATAGAATCCAACAACCTGACTTTGAGCAACGTTGTTTTGCAAAACGAGGACATTTCTCATTCTCCTACTCCCTGGCCATATCCTTCCTCCCACTGGGGCTGGGTGTGAGAATAGAGCACATTACTTTCACATCTCTTCATTAATATTTCAGAATCTACAATGTGAAGGACTGGGAAGAAACAAAGCAGAATCGGGGATTATGTTGATGGGTTTGGTTTCCCTTTAATGATGAGAAAAAATGCATGTCTGCTCTGAGCAGATGATAAATTGATCCAGAAAATGTTGCACAAGTGTTCTTTGCTAAGCTTCAGGGTCAAAGTCAACAATATAAAAGAAAATATACCTCCGTTTAGTTGAAAAGGACTTACGTTCAAGGCATTGCACAACAGGTCTGGTGTGGGTTACACTCTGTCAAATGGCCCTGTTCATTTATTCAGCTTTCCACAGATCTTTGCCAAAGAGGACAATGAGAGAAAGAGACAGATTTAGCTGTTGTGGTTGCAGTTTGTTTTTGCACCTGGTGGGTTTTTTTTTTAAATGACAATAGTTTGAGAATATCACGACAACATTTTTAAAGATAATGAAATCATTTGTATGTGAAGTTGGGATAATGAAATGACAAGCCTCTCATAAAAGGAATCTCCTTTTAGTAACCATTGCCTATACTTGCATTAAGTGAAAAAAAAAAAAAAAATGAACCGAGGAAGAACTTTCTAGAAAGATAGATAGCTCCTAGAAATCTGGGAGCTTTTCATCATTATTAAACTCATTTGTCTTGCAACTTTCTATTCCTAAAATGAGCAAAAAATTTAACAAAAGCAGTCTCTGGAAAACCAAAACAGAGAACTCATAACATATTCCATTTACTCATAGGAAACTCTCAGGTACCTCCTCAAACCTCTCTACACACAGTTCTAATGCACATCTGCATGCACACACGTGTAAGTGTGTGTCTATATTGGTCTTCTATGCTCACAGTAAACACTGAACATCAGAAAATTAGGGTAGAAGAATTTCTGGAAATAGGTGCATTGATAACCAGAGTGATTGGTCAATGGACTGATGAAAAGCAGGGAGACGAGAGTATATTTAAAAGTTTTCAAAATAACTTCAGAATCTGAAAATTTGGGACCCTTTATGTGCCCTATTGCATTGCAGCAGAGTAACAAAATCTTGTTCACTGTCATGATCCCAAGGCATCAAGAAAAAAATTAAATTTCATCCATTTTCTCTGTTTAAGAAGGTACTAAACAATGTATTTTGGAAAGATTTTCATCAAAAATGTTTAAAATTAAAAAGTCCATGCTGAAAGAGACAAATCCTTATGTTTCCAGAACTCTCATTTACTCAAAAATCTTTTTTCCCAAAGTTTCTGAATAAGCAAAGTTTGTCTAAGGAGCAAAGATTGGGAGAGAGGAGGAGTGGGAGGAGGAACAGCTGTTCTGAATTAAGAAGCATGTTAATGACAGCACAGGAGTCAGAAAGATGCTCGGGTTCGCCTGCTGGTCTAAGAGGCAATGTATTAAACTGTCTAATAAAAACAATTGTTCTAGGCCTGTGATAATGGACATGAGGAGAAAGATTTGGAAGACAGCATTGACGAATGAAGTATCTGTGGCATAAAACCACTCTCTCCTGCGCCCTCAGTCCAAGGCTGTTATCAGAAGTAGGTGACACTGCACAGGCACGGGGTGACGAGGGGCGTGCTGGAAATGGCCCAGTCTAACTCACTCACATTTTGGCTTCACAGGGAGCATTTTCTGAGAGGGTCGATCACCTGAACTGCAAATGGGCCAGGGCAGGAACAAGAGGGGAGAAAAGGGGATGCTTTCAACAGGAAGATTAATGATAAACACGAAATAGCATGATGACTGTGAAGGTTTCAGGCACCGGAGATGCTAAGAAAAAAGAAAACAGAAAGTCTTTTTATCTTTACAGTGGTTCCTATAAAGGGGTCAGCAGGTCGTGGTAGAAACTATCAGTTAATTATCTCTAGGTCAGCAGCATGCCTCTAGTCAGAGAGCCCAGCCCCCTTGCAAGGAGACCCTGAGCTCACTGATGCCGACCAGGAAAGGCCAGGGGTGGGGGGAGGAAACTTCTGAGCAGGAGACAGAAGCTGCACCAAGCCCCTCATCCTGCTTGCCTCTCACCCCTGAATCTACATCCCATAGACACTGAAAACGTTCCCCAAACCTGCCACTGACTAGGGAGCTCTGTCTGAATACAAATAGGACCGAGACTAAAGTGTCCCTATTTTAGAAATGGAGAGATACTCTAGGAACACAATCAGAATCAAAAACTGCTGTCTCCAGAGCCTAAACCTGACCTTGACTTCAGCCTTCACCTTCTCCCTGGCCACTTGACAAGACGTAGTCACATTTAGGACACGGAAAATATGTAAACCCTTCAAAAAGTTTTTAAATCCTGTGTCATGTCATCTAATTTGTGCTGTAGATAAGAAATATAAATACACATGCATTATTATGATTTTTTAAAAAGGCAGAAATCCTAGGTATCAACAACTTCCTAAACATAAATGACTCCTAAATCCAGCTCTTTCCTCAGCCCTGGACTTGGATTTCCAATTGCCCGCTGGAAATATCCACCTGGCTATCCCATAACTTGTAAACGATTTGTTTGTGAACAAATTCACTTTCTTGTAGACGCAGGTCTGTTGTCACCTTTTCTGTTTGTCAAGTTATCGAGACGAAGTAAGACTAACAGGATGAATAATCACAAACACATCTGTCCCATCTCACAACAGAAGTAAAGACTTGTATTGACTGGTTCTTAAGGACACGTAAAGGATTTAGAAGCTGATTCAAGGATGTGTGCATCATGGTCTTACATATCAGCAATTCTGAATCATGAGTAGTCGAGATAAGTTATAATAGTTGTTATCACTGTTATGATCTCTTAGGTATACAGCCCCAGGAGTTTCCCTTGACAGAAGCAGACTCTGAGAAAAGTTTGGCATTGGGTGCCCATATCCCCATTGCTGGCCCTTTGCTTCAAGCGCAGAGAACTGCTCACTCAGAACGCATCCCAAAAATGGTCCTACCCATATTGTCTTTTCTCATAGACTCACAGAAAGTTGAACCTAAAAAAAAGACATTAGAGATCTTCTAGTTCAGCCCCTTTATGTTCAGATGAGGTCATGGAGATTGAAAGAAGGGCTATCCCCGTCGGTCACAGAAATCCAGTGGTAGAGCTGTAACTAGAACAAAGATCATCTGTGGTGTTCCTCTTTCCTTTCTGCTTTCACAACTATACTATAATGAAGAAAAATTAATACCTTTCCAAGAGATATTTACATTTTAACAGGGTTCAAAGAATCAAGCTAACCCAGCGATAAGAGCAGAGCATTAGGGATCAACTGCACAACAGAGCAGGTGTTTATAGGCTAGCTACCTATGAGGCTGAGTATTCTGAAATACATTCCTTTCAACATCACAGAGGTCTGACGTGTTTACAAAGCTTCCTTGTCTCTTAAACTCCTTTCAATATTAATGCCTTCATGACTGGAAAGGAAAACATCTGAAGTGACTACATTGTATTACTTACTGTACAGTGTGCATGTCATAACCAGATTCACCACGTAATTTAGGGCTTCCTCTACAGTATTTCCCTTGAAGAAAATTGAGGCTAATAAGAAATTCTCCTTTCCTTTTCTAGTTGTTCTTGGTATTTTGTTACCAATTTAGTGATGGCTCAACTATAAGTTTGAGCAGGAGGAAGGACTAAAGGTGTGGAGCAAGGTCATGGACATGGGCTTGGGTCCAAGAGATGTCTGTGTTTACTCTCCTTGATGACTGTCAAGTCATTTCCCCTGGGTGTCCTAATTCAATTGCAAGAGAACCAACATGTCTAGTCCCAGGCATTGCTTCTGTAACACTATCTCACTTCCTTATCACTTCCCCATCCTTCCCTCTTGCAAGACTGGAAATAGCTTTGTCATTTCCATTTACCTTCACCTCTATCTTCCCCACTTCCTTCCCATTTACCTTAGCAAGATAAATACAAAAGAAACTATGTTCAGAAGACATACTTGACCTAGCATGTCATAGATGTGCAATAAGCATGCTGAGATTAATCCCATAATTGGTATCCCTTCCTAGGTGCCTATGGATAGATGCCCTGGAGAAACTGGCTTAGTATTAATGAAAAACACACCCATAAGTTGTACGTGATACAGATTGAAATATTACTTAAATGCCAACAAGCGTGAAGATTATGATTCTAAATAAGATTTTTGACATTTTTCATTGAGTTTTCCAGGGCTCCTTACAAGGAAGCTACAGGAATTTTTTCACAAAGGATCTATGCACCACTGTGAAATCCAAGTTCTGTTCCATGTCTTCAAAAATATTGAGCTGTTTTGCAGTCTATTCCATCACACATTTATGTTTGTTTTAACATAAAATTTCCCCAAAACGTCTTGTAAAATGGATGCTTCAAGAAGATGCACAATGTTTATCCTATGACTTTCAAAAGCCGCTGTAATACCACTGCATACTCCAGCTTGAGAAATCAAACGTAACCATCAAAGGAACCATGAAAAGAGCCATGCTCTTTGAAGGCCAGGGTCCCAATTTTATTTTAAGGCTTTTTCTTTTTATCAATTATAAAATCTGACAAGTGTTTCTACTAAATAAGTATATTCAACTTTTTTTTTTTTTTTTTTTTTTTTGAGACAGGGTCTTGCTCTGTCACCCAGGCTGGAGTACAGTGGTTCGACCTCAGCTCACTGCAACCTCCGCCTCCCAGGTTCAAATGATTCTCCTGCCTCAGCCTCCCGAGTAGCTGGGATTACAGGCACCCGCCACCATGCTCGGCTAATTTTTGTATTTTTAGTAGAGACGGGGTTTCGCCATGTTGGCCAGGTTGATCTTGAACTCTTGACCTCAGGTGATCCACCCGCCTAGGCCTCCCAAAGTGCTGGCGTTACAGGTGTGAGCCAAGGCGCCCAGCCAGTATACTGAACTTCTGAGGTGCTATCCAGTCCATGTGTCATTGTTAAAATCTATTTTTGTCCACAGCTCTGTTAAAGGGATAGACCAGACCTTGTTAATTCTATGTGCCAGCAACTTCCCAGGGTTGGACCCGACCCACGCTGGTCAAATCAGACACTCTCCTGAGAATTTAGAAATGGAACCCAGGGGTTACCTGGTTTTGGGCCCCAGAGCTGAGAGGTCACTCAGAGCCAAGGCTGGAGCGGTCTTTTTATGCCTAGAACTTTCTGAAGCAGAACAAGTCAGCCCAGAAAGAAAAAGAGAATTAAGCAAAATTGCTTTAGAAAGAAAGGAAGCAATAATAAATAAGTTAATAAAATATTTTTCTAGCAAAGGATAGGAAGATTGGGAATAAATAACAAAAAAAATTTCTAGTCAAATTGGGATTAAATTAGAAATCAATAACAAAAGATTATATTAAAACTACTAAATATTTAGAAATTAAACAGTAATGCTTCTAGATAATTCACAGATAAAAGAAAAAATCATAAGATAGATTCTGTATTTTGAAGTAGATGAAAATGTAAACAGCATATCAAAATGTATGAGATGCAGCTGAAACAGTGCTGTGAGGGAAATTTATAGCATTAAGTGCTTATATTAGAAAAACAGAAAAAGTCTCAGAAATTATCTAAATTTTTACCTTAAGAAATTTGAAAAAGAACAAATAAACCCAACTCACGCAGAGGACATTATAATAAAGGTAACAGCAGAAATCAAGGAAATCAAAAACACAAAAGCAATAGAGAAAATAAAATCAAAAGCTAGGCCAGGCGTGGTTGCTCACACCTGTAATCCCAGCACTTTGGGAGGCCGAGGCGGGCGGATCACCTGAGGTCAGGAGTTCGAGACCAGCCTGGCCAACATGGCAAAACCCCATCTCTACTAAAAAAAAAAAAAAAAATTAGCTGGGTGTGGTGGTGTGCACCTGTAATCCCGGCTACTCAGGAGGTTGAGGCATGAGAATTGCTTGAACCCAGGATGCGGAGGTTGCAGTGAGCCAAGATGGCACCACTGCACTCCAGCCTGGGTGACAGAGCAAGACTTCATCTCAAAAAAAAATAAATGAATAAATAAAAATAAATGAAAAGCTAGTTCTTTGAAATGATCAATTAAATTGAAGAACCTTTCATGAAACTAAACAGGGAAAAGAGATGACAAAAATTACCAATGTCAAGAATGAAAGTATGAGCAGACTCTACAGACATTAAAAGATAATCATGGAATATTATGAACAATATTATGCCTATAAATTTCACAGCTTCAGTGAAATAGACAAAGTCCTTGAAAGACACAAACTATCACAGCTCACTGAAGAAGAAATAGTTAATGTAAAACATTCTATATCTATTAAAGAAATGGAATTAATATTTACAAATTTTCCCCAAAGTAAAACCCCAGGTCGAGATGGCTCCATTAGTAATTCTACCAAATATCTAAGAAAGAAATTATAACCGTTGTATACAAACAATGAACTTTTTAGAAAATAAAAAAGGAGATAACATTTACAACTATTTTATGAGTCCAGAATTACCCTGACACTGAAATAAGACAGATATCACACACACAAAGTGTTACAGATTAATATTCTCATGAGCATAGACACAAATACCTGTAACAAAATATTAGCAAATGGAATCCAGCAATGTATAAAGAGGATAATGCATCATGACCAAGTGGGATTTTTCTTAGGAATGCAAGGTTGTTTTGACATTTGAAAATCAGTCAATATAATTTACTATATTAACAAATCAAAAAAGAAAAATGACAATCATCCCTTGACAAAATTCCACACTTATTCCTGATTAAAAAAAGAAAATCGCAAGAAACTAAGAATAGAAAGGACATTCCTCAACCTGATGAAAGATGTCTACAAAAAAATCTAGAGCTAACGATATATTTAATGGCGAAAGACTGAATGTGTTTCTCCTAAGGTTTAGAACAATGGAAGGATGTCTTTTTTCACCACTTCTAGTCAATATTGTACTGTAGGTTTTAGCCAATGCAATAAGACAAAAGCAAAAAAAATGAGAGCCATGCAGACTGTAAAGGAAGAAGTAAAACTTGTTATTTGCACATGACATGATTGTGTTGTCTAGATTCCCAAGGACTCTACAAAAATGTTATAAAATAAATAATAAAAGAGCTGATAACTGAGTATAGTAAGATAATATATTAAAATCAATTGCATATTTTTATACACTAGCAAAAAAAATTGGCATAATCCTTGAAATAATAAATTGATAAGGCTGGACACAGGGGCTTATGCCTGTAGTCCCAACACTAGGAGTCCAAGGCAGGAGGATCATTTGAGAATTTGAGACCAGCCCAGAAAACATAATGAGACCCCATCTGGATGACTAGATGATTGATAGATAGATAGATAGATAGATAGATAGATAGATAGATAGATAGATAAAGCTGGACTTCATTAAAATTAAAAGCCTCTTCTCTGAAAGGTACTGTCAAGAAAATGAGAAGACAAGCCACAGACTAGGAGAAAATATTTATGAAACACTAATAAAACACTGTTATCTAAAACATACAAAGAACTCTTAAAATTCAATGATTTTAAAAACCTGATTTAAAATAGACAAAATACCTGGACACCTCACCAAAGAAGATATAAACAGGTGGCAAATAAGCATATGAAAAAAATGCACAACATCCTATATCATTAGGAAATTACAAATTAAAACAACAGGATACCATCACACACTTATTAGAATGGCCAAAATCCAAAACATTGACGACATCAAATGCTGGTGAGGACGTGGAGCAACAGGAACTCTCATTCACTGTTGGTAGGAATACAAAATGGTACAGCTAATTTAAAAGATAGTTTGGCAGTTTCTTACAAAACTTACAAAATCTTACCATATGATTTTGGCAATTGTGCTTCCAAATGAGTTGAAAACCTATGTCTAAGCCAAAACTTACATATGAATGTTTATAACAGATTTATTTATAATTGCCCAAACTTGAAAGTAACCAAGATGTTCTTCAGTAGGTAAGTG
Source organism: Homo sapiens (assembly GCF_000001405.40). Lineage (NCBI taxonomy): Eukaryota > Metazoa > Chordata > Mammalia > Primates > Hominidae > Homo > Homo sapiens. Next base: position 79,838,162 of record NC_000008.11, read on the forward strand.
GGTGGACTGTGGTATATTCTGACCATGAAGTATTATGAAATACTAAAAAGAAATGAGCTATTAAACCATGAAAAGATATGGAGGAAACTTAAATGCATGTTACCAAGTGAAAGCCAGTCAAAAATGCTACAAGTTGTATGATTCTGACTATAAGATATTCTGGAAAAAGCAAAACTATGGAGACAGTAAAACAATCAGTGGTTGCCAGGAATTAGGGAGGAGGGAAGGATGAATGGGCAGGACACAGAGGATCTTTAGGGCAGTGAAACTGTTTTGTATAATTCCATAGTGGTGAATACATATCATTATACATGTGTCAAAACCCACAGAATGTACAACACCAAGAGTGAATCCTAATAAACTATGGATTTTGTGTGGTGGTAATGTGTCACTGTAGGCTCATTGATTTTATCATTACCATTCTGGTGTGGGAATTTGAAAGTAGTGTGGCCGTGTGTATGTGGGAGCAGGGGATGTATAAGAAATCTCTGTACGTTCTGCTTAATTTTGCTGTCAATGTAAAACTGTGCTAAAACATAATGTCTATTAAAAAATCACAAAGTGAAAATGTTTTCTTACCATTTATAATTGTGTAAAAATGAAATATTTAGGGATAAATATAATAAGTGCAATATCTGTATTCCGAAAACTATAAAACATGCCCAAGAGAAAGTAAAGGCCTGGTACACCATGGCTCACGCCTGTAAGTCCAGCACTTTGGGAGGCTGAGGCAGGCAGACCACTTGAAGTTGGGAGTTCGAGACCAGCCTGACCAACATGATGAAACCCCATCTCTACTAAAAATACAAAATTTAGCCAGGTATGGTGGCACATGCCTGTACTCCCAGCTACTCGTGGGGCTGAGGCAGGAGAATCGCTTGAACCTGGGAGGCGGAGGTTGCAGTGAGCTGAGATTGTGCCACTGCACTCCAGCCTGGGTGACAGAGTGAGATTCCATCTCAAAAAAAAAAAAAAAAAAGAGAAAGTAAAGAGCTAAATTAATCAAGGTATATCCCCTGTTTATTAACTGAATGATCAGTATTATTAAAGCATCAATTCTCCCCTAATGATCTACAGGTTCAGATCAGTTACTCCAGGTAAAATATTGGCAGGTTTTTGGTAAAAACTGACAAATAGATTCTAAATTTATATGGAAATGGAAAGGTCCTAGGATGGCCAAAACAATATTTAAAAAGAAGAGCAAAGTTAGCGGACTTATACTACTTGATTTCAAGACTTATCATAAATCTACAGTAATCAAGACAGTATGGTGCTGGTGTAAGAACAGATATATAGATGCTTGGAAAAGAAAGAAAACCCAGAAACAGACTTACACATGTATGGGTAATTAATTATTGACAAAGTATAAGAATAATTCAATGGGAATAAAAGTAGACTTTTCAACAAATGGTGCAAAAACAACTGTATATACATATGAGAAAGAATGAACCTCAATCCAAAATTCCTGCCATACACAAAAAATTAACTAGAAATCAATCATAATCATAGATCAAAATATAAAGTCTAAAACTATAAAATGTCTAGGAGAAAACCTTCATAACCTTGGGATAGGCAAAGATTTCTGAGGACACAAAAAGCACCATAAAAAATGATACAATTTTCTTCACTAAGATTCAAAATGTTTGCTCTTCAAAAGACACCAACAAGAAAATGAATTGACAGGCCAAAGACCAGAAGGAAATATTTGCAATGCATGTATCTAACAAAGGACTGCTATTCAGAACATATAAACACAACTTAATAATAAACAGGCAAAAAATGGGCAAAAGATTTGTACAGAAACTTCACAAAAGAAAATAAACAAATGGCCAATGAGTATATAAAAAGATGCTCAATATTCTTAGTCATCAGACAATGGAAATTAAAACCACAATGAGAAACCACCACACACCTATTAGAATCGCTAAAAATTTTAAAGTTTTATATAACCAAGTGTTGGTGAGGATATAGAGCAACTAGAACAGTCATGCATCACTACTGGGAATGTAAAATAGCATAACCACTTTGAAAAACAGGTTGGCAATTTCTTACACAGTTAAACATACAGCTACCATACAACCCAGCAATTATACGCCTGGATATTTTCCACCCACAGTGAAATATATGTTACACAAATTATTTTACCCAAATGTTCATTTGTTAATAATAGCTAAAAACTGGAGACAAGCCAAACATCTACCTTCAGAATAATAAGCAAGTTGTGCTACATTCATGCAATAGACTGCTATTCATCAATGAGAAGAATATCTACAGATACATGTCAGAACATTGTCATCTCAAAAGCATCATATTAAGTGAACAAATTCACACAAAAACATTATATATATTATATGTATAAAATTCTAGAAAAGGCAAAACTACTTCATTGTTATAGAAAGCAGTTCAAGGGTTGCTTGGGGCTGGGGTTGGCAGGTAGGGGCACACAGGAGTCTTTTAGGGTGATGAAAGTGTTGTGTGTATTAATTATGATGGTAGTTAAACTGATGTATACAAAACATATCACACTAAGCACCTGGAATAAGTGCATTTTATTGGATACAAATTATTACTCAATAAAGTTTTTTGTAAAATTAATTTGGTAGAGCTAAAATAGAAAGTATTTATGGACAAAAATGGCTTGGAATAAGACTATACAAGGTAGCAGGAGTCAGCCTATGAGGGATTTTCATCCCACGGGCATTGTATATTTTGTTTAAAATACATTTTTAAAAATATATATTCCGAAAAATGGCTTGGGCTATTTATGAAAGACAATTTGGTAATGAGTAAGGAATCTTTTTCTGACCATAACCCAGAATAGGAATAACATTCTATGTCATGACCCAGTGCACAAATACACACGTGTATAACAGTACTAACCCTTTCCTACATGCAATGGATATGCATATAAATAGGCATAGGAATAGAAATATTTTCTGTTCTATTCTTTTTTAAATGCCGGTGTCATACTTTAAATTAATTTCATGACCCATTAATCGGTTGTGACCTTCAGCTTGTAAAACACTATGTTAAAAACCTACCTGACATGAATAAATTTTAGTTAAGCAATTCAATATTAATTTCTAGATAAGATCAAGCTTCAAAACAGAGGCGTTCTAGAAGGAAGAGACTGGGGGAAAAAATGACAGTTAAGAGGATTTGGGACATAAACATTGCTATAGACCAAAATTCAAGTGTTGAAACCTAATCACCAATGTGATGATATTTGGAGCTGGGATTTTGGGGAGATGATGAGTTCATGAGGGTGGAGCCCTCACAAATAGAATTAGTGCCCTTATAAAAGACTCCAGGGAACTCCCTCATTCTTTTGCCATGTGAGGACACAGTGAGAAGATGCCATCTATGAACCAGAAAGAGGGCTCTCACCAGACACTGAATCTGCCAGCACCTTGATCTTGAATTTTCTAACCTATAGAACTGTGAGAAATAAATTTCTGTCATTTATAAGCCACGCAGGGTATGGTAATTTCTTATAGTAGCTCAAATGCACTAAGACAAACTTGTAGGGATGGTCCTGGTTTCTTGCTTCCAGCTGTATAGAGGAAGATGACTCAGAATCAATAGGCCTTGAGAGTCAGACAGACCTAGGTTCACATTTGGTTACAGCAATGACTGTGTGATTTTAAGCAAGTAATTTGACCTCTCTGAGTCTCCATTTCCTTGTTTGTAAAATGGAGTTAGTAATAGTAAATATTTATCTCAGAGGATTGTGTGAGGATTAAGCAAGACAAAAGGTAGACACTCAGGGCCAAGATGGCTGGCTAGAACCAGCTACAGAGAGGCTCTCATGGAGAGGCTTTCATGGAGAGGAACGAAAGGGGTGAGTAAATACGGCACCTTCAATGGAAATATCCAGGTACTTGGATTGGGATTAATCAGGGAAACAGCTCAACCCATGTAGAACTGAGAAAAGCAGGGCAGGGCAATAGCTCATCTGGGAGTGACACAGAGCCAAGGGAACCTCCCATTGCCTAGGGAAGTGGTAAGGGGATGTGCAACCCTGGTAAACCATGCTTCTTCCATGGATCTTTGCAACCCTCAGGACAGGAGATCCCCTCATGAGCCCATTCCACCAGGGCCTTTGGTCTGACACACACAGCTACATGGAGCAGCTGCTCAGGCATGCACAGAGACCCAGGAGCTTTACATACTCTGGCTCTGGGCTCCCCAGCAAAGGGGACTGAAACTTAGGCAAGGCAGGAGGTTGGACCTCCATACCAACACCTAAGAAGGGGGCTGAATCCAAGGGCCAACAAGTGATGGTCTGTGGGCTCCACTTCCATGATGTCTCATAGGATAAGACTCACTGGCTTGGAATTTTAGCCAGCCACTGGCAACAGTGTTGTGGCTAGCTGGGACAGGACAGAGTTCCCTGGGCGAGGGGCAGGTCACCATCTTTGCTGTTTGGATGATCCAGCCATTCCAGCCTGTGGGTTTTGGAGATTCCAAACCACCTGGGGGCAGAAGGGATCCCCCAGCACAGCACAGCACAGCACAGCACAGCTGCTCTACCAAAATGTGGGCAGACTGCTACTTTAAGCAGGTCCCCAGTCTGTCCCCACTCACTGGGTGGAACTGTCTCCCAACTGGGGCCTCCAGCCACCCCTGCCCCTGTTCTTCAGCCCAACAGATATTTGATTTCCTCCTGGAATGGAGTTCCCAGAGGAAGGAGTGAGCTGCCATCTTTGCTGTTTGGGCAACTTAGACATTCTAGCCTGCAGCCTTTGGAGAGCCCAAGCCAACCGGGGACAGAAGTGGAACCTCAGCATAGCACAGTTGCTCTATGAAAGCATGGCTAGTTCTGCTTCTCTAAGCAAGTCCCCAATCCCATTCTTCCTGAATGGGTGAGACCTCCCAACCAGGGTCTCCAGCCACCTCCTGCAGGTGTGTTCAGGCTGGCAACAGGTCCATACCCCCTGGGATGGAGCTCCCAGAGGAAGGAGAAGGCTGCCATCTTTGCCGTTTTGCAGCCTTCACCGGTGATACCTCCAGGTACTGGAAAATCTGAGGTGACTGGCGACTGGAGTGAACCCCCAGCAAACTGCACCAGCCCTATAGAAAAGTGGCTAGACTGTTAAAAGAAAAAAAGCCCCATCTGAAGGTCAACAACCTCAAAGATTTAAGGTAGATAAGCCCACAAAGGTGAGAAAGAATCAGTGCAAGAATGCTAAAAACTCAAAAAGCCAGAATGCCCTCTCTCCTCCAGATGACTGCATCACCTCTCCAGCAAGGGTTCAGAACAGGGCTGAGGCTGAGATGGCTGAAATGACAAAAATAGAATTCAGAATATGAATAAATATGAACTTTATTGAGCTAAAGGAGCATGCTGTAACCCAATGCAAGGAAGCTAAAAAACGTGATAAAACAGTGCAGGAGCTGATACACAAAATAGCCAGTATAGAGAAGAATGTAACTCACCTGATAGGGCTGAAAAACACCTTACAAGAATTTCATAATGCAATTGCAAGTATTAATAGAAAAACAGACCAAGTAGAGGAAAGAATCTCAGAGCTTGAAGACTGTCTTTCTGAAATAAGACAGGCAACAAGAATAGAGAAAAAAGAATGAAAAGGAATGAACAAAACCTCCAAGAAATATGGGACTATGTAAAAAGACCAAATCTACAACTGATTGGTGTACCTGAAAGAGATGAGGAGAACGGAACCAATTTCGAAAACGTATTTCAGGATATTATCCATGAGGATTCCCCAACCTAGCTAGACAGGCCGACATTGAAATTCAGGAAATCCAGAGAACCCCAGTAAGATACTCCATTAGGAGATTATCCCTGAGACACATAATTATCAGATTCCTCAAGGTCAAAATGAAAGAAAAACTGTTAAGGGCAGCCAGAGAGAAAGGCCAGGTCACCTACAAAGGGAAGCCCATCAGACTAACAGTGGACCTCTCAGCAGAAACCCTGCAAGCTAGAAGAGATTGGGGCCCAATATTCAACATTCCTAAAGAAAAGAAATTCCAACACAGAATTTCATAGCCACCAAAACCAAGCTTCATGAGCAAAGGAGAAATAAGGTCCTTTTTAGACAAGCAAGTGCTGAGGGTATTCTTTATCATCAGACCTGCCTTACAAGAGCTCCTGCAGGAAGCACTAAATATGGAAAGGAAAAACTGTTACCAGCCACTACAAAACCACACTGAAGTACATAGACCAGTGACACTATAAAGCAACCACATAACCAAGTCTGCAAAATAACCGGCTAGCATCATGACGACAGGATCAAATCCACACATAACAATACTACTAACCTTAAATGTGAATGGGCTAAATGCCTTCAATTAAAAGACACAGAATGGCAAGCCGGATAAAGAACCAAGACCCATTGGCATGCTGTCTTCAAGAAACCCATCTCACATGCAATGACACACATAGTTTCAAAATAAAAGAATGGAAGAAAATTTACCAAGCAAATGGAAAACAGAAAAAAGCAGGAGTTGCAATCCTAGTTGACAAAAGCAGACTTTAACAGAAAAAAAGCAGGGGTTGTACTCCTAGTCTGACAAAACAGACATTAAACCAACAAAGATCAAAAAAGACAAAAAAGGGCATTATATATAATGGTAAAGGGTTCAATTCAACAAAAAAGAGCAAACCATCCTAGATATATATGTACCCAACACAGGAGCACACAGATTAATAAAGCAAGTTCTTATAAACATTCAAAGAGACTTAGACTCCCACACAATAATAGTGGGAGACTTTAACATCCCACTGACAATATTAGACAGATCACTGAGACAGAAAATTAACAAAGAAATTCAAGACCTGAACTCAGCTTTGGATCAAACGGACCTGATAGATATCCATACAATTCTCCACCCTAAAACAACAGAATTTACATTCTTCTCATCACTACATGACCCTTCTTTAAAATCAATCACATAATCGGAAGTAAAACACTCCTCAGCAAATGCAAAAGAACTGAAATCATAACAGTCTCTTAGACCACAGCACAATCAAATTAGAACTCAAGACTAAGGAATTCACTGAAAACCATACAGTTACATGGAAATTGAATAACCCACTCCTGATTGACTGATATGGTTTGGCTGTGTCACCACCCAAATCTCATCTTTAATTGTAGTTCCCATAATCCCTACATGACATGGGAGGGACCCGGTGGGAGATAATTGAATCATGGGGGCAGTTACTCCCCTGCTGTTGTTCTTGTGATAGTAAGTGAGTTCACCATGAGATCTGATAGCTTTATAAGGTGCTTTCCCCCCTTTTGCTTGGCACTTCTCCTTGCTGCCACCATATGAAGGATATGTTTGCTTCCCCTTCCACCATGATTGTAAGTTTCCTGAGGACTCCCCAGCCATATTGAACTGAGTCAATTAAACCTCTTTTCTTTATAAATTACTCAGTCTTGGGTGGGTATTTCCAAATAGCAATGTGAGAACAGACTAATAAGATGACATTTTCTTTTTTGAGACAGAGTCTTGCCCTGTTGGTGAGACTAGAGTGCAGCGGTGTGATCTCAGCTCACTGTAACCTCTGCCTCCTGGGTTAAAGTGATTCTTGTGCCTCAGCTTCCCAAGTAGCTGGGACTACAGGCACGTGCCACCACACCCAGCTAATTTTTGTATTTTTAGTAAAGACAGGGTTTCACCATGTTTGCCAGGCTGGTCTTGAACTCCTGACCTCAAGTGATCCACCTGCCTCAGCCTCACAAAGTGCTGGGATTATAGACACAAACCACTGCACCCAGCCTACACGATTACTTTTGAGTAAATAATGAAATTAAGGCAGAAATCAAGAAGTTCTTTGAAACTAATGAGAGCAAAGATACAACAGACTAGAATCTCTGGGACACAGCTAATGCAGTGTTAAGAGGGAAATTTATAACACGAAATGCCCACATCAAAAAGTTAGAAAGATCTCAAGTTAACAACCTAACATCACAACTAAAAGAACTAGAGAACCAACAACAAACAAATCCCAAAGCTAGCAGAAGACAAGAAATAAGTAAAATCAGAGCTGAACTGAAGGAGATAGACACACATAAACACACACACACACACACACACACACACACACACACACACACACACAAACACATCATTAAAAAGATCAACAAATCCAGGAGTGATTTTTGAAAAAAAATAATAAAATAGACCACTAGCTAGAATAATAAAAAAAGAAAAGAGAGAAGATTCAAATAAACAATCAGAAATAAGGGGAATATTACCACTGACCCCACAGAAATACAAACAACCATCAGAGAATATTATGAACACCTCTATGCATGTAAACCAGAAAATCTAGAAGAAATGGATAAATTCCTACGCACATACACCCTCCCAAGACTGAACCAGGAAGAAATGTAATCGCTGAGCAGACCAGTAACAACTTCTGAAATTGAAGCAGTAATAAATAGCTCACCAACAAATAAAAGTCCAGGACCGGATGGATTCACAGCTGAATTGTACCAGATATACAAAGAAAAGCTGGTACCATTCCTACTGAAATGATTCCAAAAAATTGAGGAGGAGGGATACCTCCCTAACTCATTCCATAAGGCCAGCATCATCCTGATACCAAAACCTGGCAGAGATACAACAACAACAAAAACTTCAGGCCAACATCCTTGATGAACATTGATGCAAAAGTCCTCAACAAAACACTGGCAAACCAAATCCACCAGCACATCAAAAAGCTTATCTACCACGATCAAGTAGGCTTCACCCCTGGGATGCAAAGTTTGTTTGAAATACACAAATTAATACATGTGATTCATCACAGAAACAGAACTACAAAAGCCACATGATTATCTCAATAGATGAAGAAAAGGTTTTCAATAAAATTCAACATCCCTTCATGTTAAAAACTCTCAATAAACTAGGTATTGAAGGAACATACCTCATAATAATAAAAGCAATATATGACAAACCCACAGCCAATATCATACTGAATGGGCAAAAGCTGGAAGCATCCCCCTTGAAAACTGGCACAAGACAAGGATGCCCTCTGTCACCACTCCTATTCAGCATAGTATTGAAAGTTCTGGATAGAGCAATCGGGCTAAAGAAAGAAATAAAGGCATTCAAATAGGAAGAGAGGAAGTCAAACTATCCCTCTTTGCAGATGACATGATCCTATTATCTAGAAAACCCCCTCATTTCAGCCCAAAAGCTTTCTAAGCAGATAAGCAACTTTAGTAAAGTGTCAGGATACAAAATCAATGTGCAAAAATCACTAATGTTCCTATATACCAACAGTCAAGCCAAGAGCCAAATCACAAACCAATTCTCATTCACAATTGCCACAAAAATAATAAAATACCTGTATTGTAACAGTACAAGGGTGGTGAAAGATCTCTGCAAGGAGAACTACAAACCACTGCTCAAATGTATCAGAGATAACACAAATAAATGGAAAAACATTCCATGCTCATGGATAGAAAGAATCAATATTGCTAAAGTGGCCATACTGCCCAAAGCAATTTATAGATTCAATGCTATTCCCATTATACCACGGACATTCTTCATGGAATTAGAGAAAACTATTTTAAAATTTATATGGAACCAAAAAAGAGCCCAAATAGCCAAGGCAATCTTAAGCGAAAAGAACAAAGCTAGAGGCATCATGCTACCTGACTTCAAACTATACTATAGGGCTACAGTAACCAAAACAGCATGGTACTCGTATAAGAGCAGACACATAGACCAATGAAACAGAATAGAGAACCCAGAAATAAGATCACACACCTACAACTATCTGATCTTCAACAAACCTGACAAAAACCATCCTTATTGAAAGGATTCCCTATTCAATAAATGGTGCTGGGATAACTGGCTAGCCATATGTAGAAAATTGAAACTGGACGCCTTCCTTATACCATATACAAAAATTAATTCAAGATGGATTAAAGACTTAAATGTAAAACCCAAAACTATAAAAACCCTGGAAGACAACCTAGGTAATACCATTCAGGACATAGGCATGGGCTAAGATTTCATGATGAAGATGCCAAAAGCAATGGCAACAAAAGCAAAAATTGACAAATGGGATCTAATTAAACTAAAGAGCTTTTGCACAGCCAAATAAACTATCAACAGAGTGAATAGACAACCTACAGAATGGGAGAAAATTTTTGCAATCTATTCATCTGAGAGACTCTACAAGGAACTTAAATCCAGTTATATACTCTACAAGGAACTTATATTCAGACTCTACAGGAAACTTAATCTACATCTGACAGATTATTAGACCTATTTAGACAGAATAGATCTATTCAATCTATTCATCTGACAGACTCTACAAGGAACTTAAATCCAGTTATATACTCTACAAGGAACTTATATTCAGACTCTACAAGGAACTTACATTTAGAAGAAACAAACAACCCCATTAAAAAATGAACAAAGGACATGAACAGACACTTCTGAAAAGAAGACATTCATGCGGCCAACAAACATATGAGAAAGAGCTCAACATCATTGATTATTACAGAAATGCAAATCAAAACCACAATGAGATCTCACATCAGTCAGAACGGCTATTATTAAAAAGTCAAAAACTAACAGATGCTGGCAAGGTTGTGGAGAAAAAGGAATGTGTATACACTGTTTGTGGGAGTGTAAATTAGTTCAACCATTCTAGAAGACAGTTTGGTGATTCCTCAAAGACCTAAAGACAGAAATACCATTCAACCCAGCAATCCCATTACTGGGTATAACCGAAAGGAATATAAATCATTCTATTGTAAAGACACATGTATGCGTGTGTTCATTGCAGCACAATTCACAATAGCAAAGACATCGAATCAACCTAAATGTCCATCAATAATAGACTGGATAAAGAAAATGTACATATATGCCATGGAATACTATGCAGCCATTAAAAAGAAGGAGATCCTGTCCTTTGCAGGGACATGGATGGAGCTGGAGGCCATTATCCTTAGCAAACTAATGCAGGAACAGAAAACCAAATATGGCATGTTCTCACTTACAATTGGGAGCTAAATGATGAGAATCACATGGACACATGAAGAAGAAAACATACACTGGGGCCTATCAGAGGGTGGAAGGTGGGAGGAGGGAGAGGATCAGGAAAAACAACTAAAGGATACTAGGCTTCATACCTGGGTGATGAAATAATCTGTACAACAATCCCCCATGACACACGTTTACCTATGTAACAAACATGCACATTCTGCACATGTACCCATGAACTTAAAAGTTTTTTTAAACAAGATAATAGGTAAAAACCAAACACAAAGTAGTTTTTCTTTCCAATTCTCATATCATAAAGCAGAAAGCCCTTTCTCCTTTATGAAACAGAAAAGTACTCATAGTCAGTAAAGAATGTTCACAGCAAATTTGAAATGCCCACAAGGCACAAGAGTGCCTTTTATTTCCAGGAGGTTTTGTATGAGTAAAGGCTGGAAAAAGCCATAAATCCAGCTCTTTGTTGACCAAGTACCCTGCAACGTTGTATCTCTGAATCCAGAGACAGAGAACTCATGTGTCCTAAAAGGCACTGATTCTCAGAAAAGATGGAGTCAGGAAGGATTGTTTCTTCTGCATCTGAGATGAAAATAGAGCTAGAACAGGCAAGGTTAACTGATGGTTGAATTTCAGGGAGATATCAAATTGTATCTTTTTCTTGATACCTTATTCTAAATTGAGCTACTTTCTTATAAATGTCTGTAATTTGCAATTAGTAATTATCCAATTGTAATTGCTGATCTCTATGAGCTATGAACAAGTGCCCTGGAAGGCCTGCCCTCCTTATCTTCATCACTTCTCCATTTAGTTCTCCCCACTGCACTCTTGCTTCCTCTACCACCCATTCCACTGACGTTGCCCTCACTGCAGCCACAGCAATTAGGCCAATGGCTCTAAAAGGGTGGTCTGTGCACCCAAAACGGGGTGGGAATGAGAGGCGAGAGCCAGATCCTTTCAGAGTCTGCACACAGAAAAAGTGTCTTAGAGGAACTCAAGACTATGCATGCCAAAGAAAAAATTTTGAATGACTTTAAACATTTTAGATTAATATCTTCTAAGAGTTTTAAAAAAATCACATCTGAGAAATAGAAGCAAAATGATATAAAATAACAACAAAAAGAAACATCCAAAAAGCAAAAATGTGCCTTTTGAAATTAAATAAATATGAAGTTATTTAGCTTGATTTAGCCATTCCACAATGCATACATATATCAAAACCATCATGTTGTATACCATAAATATATATAATTTTTATTTCCCAAGTTAAAAATAAAAAAGTTTGAATTTAAAAGTTTAAAACATGTGAAATTAAAAACTGTGTAGAAAGTTTAGACGTTAAAGCTATAAAAATCTCCCAGAATAATACAAAAATTAAAAAAGATGGAAAAGGCAGGGAGTGGGGAGAGAAGACAATTAAGGATCAATCCAGGAGGTACAATATGTGAAAATTTAAGTTCTAGAATAAAAGAACTTCAGAAGAAAGGAAAGAAAATAATCAAAGAAAGAGTTCAACAAAATTTATCTGAGTTTCTGGTTGAGAAAGGCCTCTAAGTGCCAGCACAATGAATGAAAATAAATCCACAAGAAAACATATCACAGTTAAATTTTAGACTGAGGACAAAGATTTTACAAATGGCAATGTGGAGAAACAGTTCTTGTAATAATGATTACAGATCAGAATGACTTCAAACTTCTCAATAGGAACAAGGCAAGCAACCCAAAACAATAAATGGAGTGATGACCTCTAAATTCCAAAAGAAAATTATTTCTCACCTAGAACTGCATACCTTGTCAAAATAACAAGAAAATATTAAATAGAATAAAGCTTTCCTTAAAAAAAAAACACATGTATTATGAACTGAATGTCTGTGTCTACCCAAAATTCATATGTTGAAGTCCTAACACCCCTAGTGTGGCTATATTTGGAGACAAGGCCTCTAAGGAACAGTTAACTTTAAATGAAGTTAGATTTGTGTTCTTATAAGAAGAGATTCAGCTGGGCATAATTTGGCATACCGGTAGTCCCAGCTACCCAGGGAGGCTGAAGCTGGAGGATCACTTGAGCCCAGGAGTTCGACGCTGCAGTGAGCTGTGATTGCTCCACTGCACTCCAGCCTAGGTGATAAAGCAAGACCCTGTCTTAAAAAAAAAAAGTGGGGCAGTAGAGAAATTCTTTCTTTCTTCTCTCTGTCTCTATCTCTGTCTTTCTTCTGTCCCTCTCTTCCTCCCCAGGCACATGTTCCAAAGAAATGCCTTGTGAGGACACAGCAAGAAGGCTACTGTCTACTGTCTAGAAGCCAGGAAGACAGTTTCCACCAGGAACTGAATCAGCTGCCACCATAATATGGAACATTTAGCTTCCAGCACTGTGAGAAAATACATTTGTGTTGTTAAGCCACTCGGTCTACAGTACTTTGCTGTGGCAGCCCAAAGCCAAAGCAAACTCACGCTCTACTAAAATTCACCTCCCACTTACTCTTTCTCAAGAAGCTAATAGAAAGTATTCTGGAGCAAAGCAAGAGAACAAAATGAAAAAGAGGAGATGGAAAACAGGAGGCTCAACATTGAGAGGCAATGGGTATCCGGGGAAAGGTAGATCTGAGATGGCCGCTGTGCACCAGTCACAGAGGGCACCAGCCCAGAAGGAGCAGGTCTGGCTCCAGGAGAAACTTCTTTAAGAAGTTGGACTTGAGAGAATGAACATCTCGAGAGGCAATTAAACAATGGAGATTCTGGGATTGAATTCCTAAATCTATGGAAAAAAAAAGAAACAAATCCATCCAATGAAGAAAAAACACTTGTTAACCAGAGAAAACAATAAATTGTGTAGAAAATTAATCATGGTCTTCTTAAATGGCTCTACTATGAATAGCATACACGTTCATTAATTATAGTGCAATATTACCATTTTGAGAAAGTTAGACATGGGGAAATAGAAAATTTATCTGGGTGGGGTGCAGTAAAGAGCATTAAATCTTCATTTTCCATAGTGGGAAGTTAACATTCAATTCTTTTTTTTTTTTTTTTTTTTTTTTTGAGACAGAGTCTCACTCTGTTGCCCATGCTGGAATGCAGTGGCGCAATCTCAGCTCACTGCAACCTCCACCTCCCAGGTTCAAGCTATTCTCCTGCCTCAGCCTCCCAAGTAGCTCGGACTACAGGCGCATGCCACCACGCCCAGCTCATTTTGTATTTTTAGTAGAGACGGGGTTTCAACAAATTGGTCAGGTTGGTCTCGAACTCCTGACCTCGTGATCCACCCGCCTTGGTCTCCCAAAGTGCTGGGATTACAGGCGTGAGCCACCGTGCCAGGCCCAATATTCAATTCTTAAAACTGAAGGAAGAATCAAAATGTAGCTCTGTGATCATGTTATTTAGAGTCATGGAGGCAAACAGAAAAAGTCAACTGAGAGAGGAGAGTGGCTCCATTTGGGGAAGGGGAAAATAGGGAAGGGAGATTGGAGACTTTTTCTCAGCAGACCTTGTTGAACTAGTTGACTTTTAAACTACAAGTATGTATAACTTTGAAAAAAATAAAAGCTTACAATATGTACTTTCAAAACCAAATGTCCAAGCCTTTCAATCCTCCATTACAAGTTAATTTCATAATGCCCTATTTTCTGCAGGGATTCAAACGCCAGCCATTCCCCCTGAGTCATTTTATAGCCTTTCATAATCTTTGTTTGGTTCCAGGGTTGCGCCTAGTAAAAGATAGCACATTGTAAAATGAAGATAAGGACAAGGACAAAGTATAGTCCAAAATTTTTTTCCTTACTATATTTGAAATGTCCAAATTGACTTAAAATAGAAATTATAGAAAAAGAGGTAGGAATAAATCTAAGGGTGCCAGTAGTCATAATAAATTTGAATAGGTTACTAATTTTACAAAGCAAAGGCAGAGATTCTCAGCTTGAGTTCAAACCAAACCAAACAGGCTGGGCATGGCGGCTCATGCCTGTAATCCCAGCACTTTGGGAGGCTGAGGCGGGAAGATCACCTGAGGTCAGGAGTTCAAGACCAGCCTGGCCAACATGGGGAAACCCCTTCTCCACAAAAATACAAAAATTAGCTGGGCATGATGGCGGGTGCCTGTAATCCCAGCTACTCAGGAGGCTGAGGCAGGAGAACCGCTTGAACCCTGGAAGCGGAGATTGCAGTGAGCTAAGGAAAAACAAAACACCAAACCAAACAATCAAACAACTATAATAGCACCACACCATACACACACAAACACACACACACACACACACACACACACACACACACGACATTCACACTAAAGTTTACTCTGCTGGGGTTACCGTTATTCCACCTCCAACCCCATCACCCTGCGGCCCACTCTGGAGCAACTTCCTCTCCTCCCTCAAGTTTAGTGTTGGGATAGCTTCCTCTGTGAAGCTGTTCCTGAGCTGCCTGTCTGAGTTAGTAGCCTTCCTCTGTGTTCCCATAACCCTCTGTGTTTATGTCCATATTCACACCGACTGCTTTGACCACAGTCCCCTCTTCTAGGGGTCTGTCCAAGAATTCCCTTCAGGGAAGTCACCCTGTGTGCCTCTCATAACTTGCAATGGGGGATGCCCAGCCCCGTGGCCACAGCAGACAGGACCATGCATTCATCAGAAGCCAAGGAGATTTGATCTATTGGTAGCCTCTCAGTGGGCAGAAATAAAAACTTTGCCTAAAAGACATGAGTTGATTATATTAGACTATAGTATCCTCTCATTTGGAGCATCAGATTGGATACTTGGTATCAGGGGGAAAAGCTGAAATACATAAGAGAGAAGACAGTATTCAGATCTCCCAAGGCAGTCAGGGGAAGCCACGAGTGAGCAGCCAGGATGAGTAAGTCAGAGCCATGCCATAGAGAAGTTACTCTGGTAGAGTGAGATTAGGAAGCGGAAGTGGGAAAAGCAGAGAGGAGCTGAGTCACAACAACAGGTGTGGCTGAGTGAAGAGTAGTTATTAAAACTGCCCAGGCCAGGCTCTCACACCTGTAATCCCAACACTTTGGGAGGCTGAGGCGGGCGGATTACCTGAGGCCAAGAGTTCGAGACCAGCCTGGCCAACATGGGGAAACCCTGTCTCTACTAAAAATACAAAAATTAACCATGTGTGGTGGTGCACGGCTGTAATCCCAGTTACCCAGGAGGCTGAGGCAGGAGAATTAATTGAATCTGGGAGGTTGAGGTTGCAGTGAGCCGATATAGTGTCACTGCACTCCAGCCTGCTAGACACAGCAAGACTCTGTCTCAAAAAAATAAAATAAAATGAAACTGCCTGGGACCCTATACCTCTTTTCCACTTTGACATGGTATTTCAACTTCCCCAGAGACCTGTCAAGAAAACTGATCCTGGTTCCATGTGATTCCTGTTGCCCTTATATGAGCTATTTGAGTGGCATTCTGCTCCTTGCTACCCAGGAAAAGCTAAATACACCACCTCTCCTATCATTTAACAATCTGCATTTCATTCTCTGTTTGTGCCTCCCCTTCTAGACAGAAAGCTCCCTGAGGGCACTTTTTTCTGTTATCATTCTGTATGCCTAGTACCAGGCACAGTGCCTGGATCACAGAGGTGGGGTTTACTTGCTATTTGAGTGAGTAAAAGGATGCATGGTTAGTCAAAAGTCTTACAAGCCCATGTCCATGTTGTGGGTCTCACACAGAAACTTTCCAAAGAGCACAAATTGACTTCTGTTAACTCTTCAGGACCAAATGCTAACAGATAAGGGAAAAACACTTCCTGGTGTTTGTGGCCCCCAAATTACCGGCTAAATACGCAGAAGGTTTAGGAAGCTGATATCTGTGCAGAGATCTAAATCTCCCTGCTCAGCTGTGCACCTCTGCACATAATTAAGAGTTAAAGAAGTGTTGTGTGGGTTTTTATAGAAATCAAAAGTACATGCAATTCTTCTGAAGGCTTGCTGATTACTCTTAGCGCATTGTGTTTTAATTTTGATCTCTGGAAAATATCAGGAACAAGGAAAGAACTTCCCACCCCCACCCCACCAACCCCTGGCTCCATAGGAAAAACAGTATTGAAATAATACAAACATCTTGGATTGACCCTCTTTTAAAAGTAAGAAACTCGCCTCACCCTCCCAACAGGCCCAATGTCTGCACACTTTGTCCGCCAAAGAGTGGGATTTGGCAGCACTCCTTGTAAACTTCAACCACAGGAGGCCTCTGATTGAATTGAAATTGTTTCCTCCGGTCAGATTTTGTTGATGGTACACCCCCTCAGGATGTGAATTCATCATGTTTGCTGTGGGGTGAGACTAGAGTGGTGGTTGGGGCATGTGAGGGTGAATGTGTGTTTGTGTGTGAGCAAGCAACTTGAGCGCCTGTGTGTACACACGTGTACACACATTCATTTATTGCCTAGCGTCACTAATCAGGACAGGGACACAACCCAAAAGAATTCTGGAAGGTTATATTCATTCTTGTTCATCCTTGATTTTTTTTTTTTTTGCCTTATTATTTTACTTTTTTTGAGGCAAATACGTATAGCACATTCTGCTTTAGGAAATTGGATGTTTACGTTTACATTTAGTGGAAATATGGATTTATTTTTTAAATTTTGATTTTAAGTTCAAGGGTACAAGCGCAGGTTTGTTACCTAGGAAAACTTGTGTCATGGGGATTTGATGTACAGATTATTTCATTGCCCAGGTATTAAGCCTAGTATCCATTAGTTATTTTTCCTGATCCTCTCTCTCCTCTTACCCTCCACCCTCTGACAGGCCCCAGTGTGTGTTGTTCCCCTCTATGCGTCCATGTCTTCTCATCATTTACCTCCCATTTATAAGTGAGAACATGCAGTATTTGGTTTTCTGTTCCTGTGTTGGTTTACTATCATCCTCAATATTTTTTTTAAGTGATTAGAATTTAATTAACAAAAGCAAGGCAAGAAAATTGGAAATGGTGAAATGCAAAAGGCAAAACTGGCAGCGGTTTTCCACAAGTCATTATCCTGGCCCCCTTTGACAGCACACACATATTTTAAAACCTTTGAGGGGCCAGAGCTATTAAGAGGGGCCAGAGCCATGTCCTCTGGGTTTATGGAGATAGAAGTGGGGAAGGGGAGCAGATTAGGGTTGTGATGAAATTCCACCATGGCCAGGTGCTGTGTAATCCCACGCTCATGCCTGTAATCTCAATGCTTTGGGAGGCTGAGGTGAGGAAGATCACTTGAGGCCAGGAGTTCAAGACCAGCCTGAGTAACACAGTGAGAGCGCCATCTCTACAAAAAGTTATTTGTTAAAAAATTAGCTGGGTGTGGTGGCACACGCATGTAGTCCTAGCTACAGTGGAGGCTGAGTCAGGAGGATCACTTGAGCCTATAGGAGTCAGTGGCTGCAGTGAGCTATGATTGTGCCATTGCATTCCAGCCTGGGCAACAGAGCGAGATCCTGTCTCTAAAAATGAAAATACCAGACCTGGACCAGTATCTCTGCTTGTTCTTCTTCAAGGGCTACCCTAACCGAAGCCCCATAAGGAGGTAGGAGGTGAAGGTGAGTGGCGGGGGTTGGGGGAAATGTTTCTTCTTTCTGGTCACTAGGTCTAGGACTTAAACTTCTACATTGAAAAATATGCCAGCCTAGGTGAATCCTCATGGCATTCCCAACCCGGACTTCTCACTAGTGTTCCCCAGGGTTAGAGCAGCATGCCAGAAAGTAATGGAAGCCATAGGATAAAATTTGGTATATCTTCCAGTGCATCAGTTTTAGTCAATTGTGCGTAATTTAAAGCATTGTTTTTGTATTAAAACGAACACACATATATTATGAAATATAAGGCATATATGAATTTCTTAAAATAAAACACAGAACTGGCCAAGCACGGTGGCTCATGCCTGTAATCCCAGCACTTTGGGAGGCTGAGGCAGGCAGATAACAAGGTCAAGACATTGAGACCATCCTGGCCAACACGGTGAAACCCCGTCTCTACTAAAAATACAAAAATTAGCCGGGCATGGTGGTGTGCGCCTGTAGACCCAGCTACTCAGGACACTAAGGTAGGAGAATTGCTTGAACCCAGAAGGCAGAGGTTGCAGTGAGCCAAGATTGCACCACTGCACTCCAGCCTGGTGACACAGCAAGACTCCATCTCAAAAAATAAAAGTAAAAAATAAAACACAGAACTATAAAGAAATCTCCTGCCTGCAGGGGAATGCTTTAAGCCACATACACAACAACCCTGGAAGGCACAATCTCTCTCTTCTCTGCCACTGGAAAACTGGTGGAAAGATTTGAAAAGCACTACCACATCCCACCCAGGACCATGGAGCATGCTTTCCTCTTCCTATTTATAGAATTTTGTGGGTATAAAAACATGAGAGAACATCTTAACACCTGCTGTCATTTTACACACGAGAAAACAGAAGCCTGAGCAGTGGAGGCCTTGCTCACCTTGCCAATCCACGTAGATGTGCGTGATCCAGGCTTAGAGGATTTAAGTTTCTGAGAAAACAGTCGCAGAGGTAGAGGGACCACGAATACTCACACTGCACCTCGGACATGCAGAGAAATGTGTTTATTTTTCCTCTGCATTTGATTTGATTTGGCCCCAGTGGCTAGGAAGTGAGAAAACAATAACTAAATCTCCGTCTTAGCTTTAATTCAGTGCAATGCACTTAACCAGTTCGTTAGGTTAGCCTCTCCCTTTTTGCTTCTCCTCCCTCAGTCCTGCCCCGAAGGGTGGCTTGTGTACTGAGCAGCCCCCTGACCTGGTGGAGGCAGGGTGACTGGGCCTCGGGACTGGCCGGCTGTTCTCCAGACCAGCTGCACAGTGGCTGTTCCAAGGTCCGCCGGGGAATCACTGGCTTGAGTGGTTCCTGAGCATTCAGCTGGTGTCCGTTGCTAATATCCTGCAGCTGATAAACTTACAGTCTATTCTTTCTCAGCCAGTCAGGGCGTAGGGACTCTTCCCTGCTGAATCCACCTCCCCTTGGCTTTTGTTGGCCACTGACTCCCCCAGGTTTCTGCCCCATTCTCCACCTGGCTTCCCAGTCTCACACAGTCATTGCTCTAAGACCCCCTCACCCTCCCACAGCAGGCCCCTTGGGACTCACTGACTCCCAAGGGCAGCTCCGGGTGCACCCTGGACCCTCTCTCCATCTAACCACACTGCACCACTGACTGAACTATGCTTAATGGTGGTATTGGGCCCCAGCAAAGTGAATTGTTTTCAAGTCCCAGGTGAGAAGCAGGGAAAGAGACCCCAGACCTTGGTGGTCCCCAACTTTATCTAACTTATCTATCCCTCTCAGACTGAAACATACAGAGGGGAGAAAGGAACACCATCTTCACTCTTCTTCCTATCCCCTTCCTCCCTCTTTCCTTCTCCTCCCCAAATCCACTGGCTCAAAGAGGCAACCTTTCTCTGAATTTAACACTTTGGTCTTTTGGACAGGAGTTTAAACTATGGGGCAATCTTTATAATCTGATGGGACAAGCTGGCTCTCTAGGGACTAATGAAGAGCCAAAAGAATCTACAACAATACC
This sequence comes from Homo sapiens, assembly GCF_000001405.40. Classification (NCBI taxonomy): domain Eukaryota; kingdom Metazoa; phylum Chordata; class Mammalia; order Primates; family Hominidae; genus Homo; species Homo sapiens. The sequence continues at coordinate 79,858,659 of NC_000008.11, forward strand.
CCTTTCTTCTTGGTTTTAAAGGCTGTTTTTTGTTTGAGATGCACTCTCACTCTGTCGCCCAGGCTGGAGTGCAGTGGCTTGATTTCGGCTCACTTGCCTCCTGGGTTCAAGTGATTCTCATGCCTCAGACTCCCAAGTAGCTGGGATTACAGGTGCCTGCCACCATACCCAGCTAATTTATTTTGTATTTTTAATAGAAACAGGGTTTCACCATGTTAGCCAGTCTGGTCTCGAACTCCTGACCTCAGGTGATCCGCCAGCCTCGGCCTCCCAAAGTGCTGGATTAAAGGCATGAGCCGCTGCGCCCAGCCAAGCTCATTGTTAAGGGCTCACCCTATCTGCCCTTCTCACTTGGCTTCTTAGGGGTGGGAAGCTATCAGGTGGTGGGAGATGCAAAGAAAGGAATTCAAAAGCATTAACTGAATGTTTATAAAAGATATTCCTGCGGCCAGGCGCAGTGGCTCAAGCCTGTAATCCCAGCACTCTGGGAGGCCGAGGTGGGTGGATCACGAGGTCAGGAGATCAAGACCATCCTGGCTAACGTGGTGTAAACCCCGTCTCTACTAAAAATACAAAAACAAAATTAGCCGGGTGTGATGGTGGGCGCCTGTAGTCCCAGCTACTTGGGATGCTGAGGCAGGAGAATGGTGTGAACCCAGGAGGTGGAGCTTGCAGTGAGCCAAAATTGCTCCACTGCACTCCAGCCTGGGCAACAGAGCGAGACTCCATCTCAAAAAAGCAAAAGATACTCCTGCTTCATAGGTATGTTTATTATAGAGTTGAATGACCAAAGTGTAAATGACCTCTGTAAATATATAATCCAAAAACTTTAGCTTCAAAATGCTTCCCAATAATCAAAATTGCCCAGTATTTTCGATAACAACTTTTTCTTGCCTCTCTCTGTGCAGCACCATGTCATCTTAACAGAAGACTGGGGTATTTGGTAACTTCTCCTTCCTCCTTAATGGAAGAACAGTCCTGGAAGTAAGTGACAGCTCTTGATCTCAGAAAGAAAGGGGATGGAGATGTCCCCCAGTATCACCCCATCATTTGAAATTTAGAGAAGGTTGTCCTATAAGTAGCTCGACAGACCTGACCCACCTCAAACAGTGCCCCAGTGGGTGGCAGGACCTCTGATGGAGCGGATGAGTGTCTGAGAACCTCAGAATGTAATAAATGGTCTAATAGGTTTGTTAGGACACTACAATGGCACAGAAGAGCAGCCCCTAGCCCCGCTGTATATCTCCATTTTTTTCAAAATAAGGAGAATAATATTTTGCAGGCAACAAAATCATGGGACAAAGTTGGCAAATGTTCTAAAAACAGAAATTGGATTAGTGAATCACATCACAGGACTACTGTTCCAGGTTAGATACAAAGCACAATAATTTGGTTTTGATTTTTGTCATTGTTGTTTGTTGTTTTGAGACAGGGCCTCTCTCTGTCTCCCGGGCTGGAGTGCAGTGGAAATCATCACAGCTCACTACAACCTCAAACTCCTGAGCTCAAGAGGATTCTCCCACCTCAGCCTCCTGAGCAACTAGGACTACAAGCATGCACAACTACACTCAGCTAATTTTTAAATTTTTAGTAGGGATGAAGTCTCACTGTGTTGCTCAGGCTAGTCTTGAACTCCTGGCCTCAAGTGACAGTCATACTTTGGCCTCCCAAAGTGCGACTGGTGGGATTACAGGTGTGGGCCACCACCCCCGGCCAAAGCAGAATAATTTGATAGGGACTTTTTTTTTATATGCTTTAAGTTCTAGGGTACATGTGCACAACGTGCAGGTTTGTTACATATGTATACATGTGCAGTGTTGGTGTGCTGCACCCATTAACTCGTCATTTACATTAGGTATATCTCCTAATGCTATCCCTCCCCTCTCTCCCCACCCCATGACAGGCCCCAGTGTGTGATGTTCCCCTTCCTGTGTCCAAGTGTTCTCATTGTTCAATTCCCACCTATGAGTGAGAATATGCGGTGTTTGGTTTTTTGTCCTTGCAATAATTTGCTGAGAATGATGGTTTCCAGCTTCATCCATGTCCCCACAAAGGGCATGAACTCATCCTTTTTTATGGCTGCATAGTATTCCATGGTGTATATGTGCCACATTTTCTTAATCCAGTCTATTATTGTTGGACATTTGGGTTGGTTCCAAGTCTTTGCTACTGTGAATAGTGCCACAATAAACATACATGTGCATGTGTCTTTATAGCAGCATGATTTATAATCCTTTAGGTATATACCCAGTAATGGGATGGCTGGGTCAAACGGTATTTCTAGTTCTAGATCCCTGAGGAATCGCCACACTGACTTCCACAATGGTTAAACTAGTTTACAGTCCCACCAACAGTGTAAAAGTGTTCCTATTTCTCCACATCCTCTCCAGCACCTGTTGTTTCCTGACTTTTTAATGATTGCCATTCTAACTGGTGTGAGATGGTATCTCATTGTGGTTTTGATTTGCATTTCTCTGATGGCCAGTGATGATGAGCATTTTTTCATGTGTCTTTTGGCTGCATAAATGTCTTCTTTTGAGAAGTGTCTATTCATACCCTTCGTCCACTTTTCGATGGGGTTGTTTGTTTTTTTTCTTGTAAATTTGTTGGAGTTCATTGTAGATTCTAGATATTAGCCCTTTGTCAGATGAGTAGATTGCAAAAATTTTCTCCCATTCTGTAGGTTGCCTGTTCACTCTGATGGTAGTTTCTTTTGCTGTGCAGAAGCTCTTTAGCTTAATTAGATCCCATTTGTCAATTTTGGCTTTTGTTGCCATTGCTTTTGGTGTTTTAGACATGAAGTCCTTGTCCATGCCTATGTCCTGAATGGTATTGCTTAGGTTTTCTTCTAGGGTTTTTATGGTTTTAGGTCTAACATTTAAGTCTTTAATCCATCTTGAATTAATTTTTGTATAAGGTGTAAGGAAGGGATCCAGTTTCAGCTTTCTACATATGGCTAGCCAGTTTTCCCAGCACCATCTGTTAAATAGGGAATCATTTCCCCATTTCTTGCTTTTGTCAGGTTTGTCAAGGATCAGATAGTTGTAGATGTGTGGCATTATTTCTGAGGGCTCTGTTCTGTTCCATTGGTCTATATCTCTGTTTTGATACCAGCACCATGCTGTTTTGGTTACTGTAGCCTTGTAGTATAGTTTGAAGTCAGGTAGCGTGATGCCTCCAGCTTTGTTCTTTTGGCTTAGGATTGACTTGGCAATGTGGGCTCTTTTTTGGTTCCATATGAACTTGAAAGTAGTTTTTTCCAATTTTGTGAAGAAAGTCATGGTAGCTTGATGGGGATGGCATTGAATCTATAAATTACCTTGGGCAGTATGGCCATTTTCACCATATTGATTATTCCTATCCATGAGCATGGAATGTTCTTCCATTTGTTTGTATCCTCTTTTATTTCGTTGAGCAGTGGTTTGTAGCTCTCCTTGAAGAGGTCCTTCACGTCCCTTGTAAGTTGGATTCCTAGGTATTTTATTCTCTTTGAAGCAATTGTGAATGGGAGTTCCCTCATGATTTGGCTCTCTGTTTGTCTGTTATTGGTGTATAAGAATGCTTGTGATTTTTGCACATTGATTTTGTATCCTGAGACTTTGCTGAAGTTGCTTATCAGCTTAAGGAGATTTGGGGCTGAGACAACGGGGTTTTCTAGATATACAATCATGTCTTCTGCAAACAAGGACAATTTGACTTCCTCTTTTCCTAATTGAGTACCCTTTATTTCTTTCTCCTGCCTGATTGCCCTGGCCAGAACTTCCAACACTATGTTGAACAGGAGTGGTGAGAGAGGGCATCTGATAGGGACTTTTTTAAAGCAAGGACACTAATGACATCATTTTACATGTCAGTCACCAGGGATTCAAGATTCCATAGAGTTTAACCAGGACATTGCACCACAGAACTTTGGTCACAAACCCCTCATTCCGGAATTTAGAATCATTTAACATTGTCACAGGTGTGGTTTGAAAGAAGTCACCTATAAGCCCTCCCCTCCTGTGCACAGAACAGGCGGGAGCATTCTTGATTCTTAATTCCACCTCCTATGCCCCCCAACCCCCAGCCTTCTTCCAGGGCAAAGAGCGGGGAATCACTTTTTGCAAGGGAGAGCTAGGGGAACTCTGCATGATCATTTTTCTTTGATTACAGGAGGTATGGCTAGTGAATCTCGAACTTGCATTTCTCATCCCAGTTGTTAGGTTTCCAAGAGACCTTTTAGGCCTAGCATCTGAAACTTGTCACTCAAGGGATATGAACCTGTTTTATTGCAACAGCCCACTTTTTTTTTCTTAACATTCCAGACCCATGCTTATTTATCTACTTTAATTTTGAACTGAGTGATTGTAATCAAAGACTGTTCCAATTATACAGTTAAACTTTCTCTTAGATCCATAGACATTTTATGTGCAAAACAGAAAGAAAAAAAATTCAACCTGGTGTTAGTTTCCTAAAAGAAAACAACATATGATAAAAGGGAAATCAATTAAGAGGTTATTAAGAAAAGATTTTCTTGTATAAACGTTTTAATTTGTTATAATGTGGCATTAGTTTTTATATCATTCTTTCAGTGTAGTTTTCTTGTCTTATTTTAATGTCTATTTTATGGAAAGTTAAACAGTTTAATGCATCTTTCAAAGACGAAAGTTTCTCTGAAATGTTTATATTATTGTAAATGGATTTTGGTACTTTAATATGAACTCTCTGCTCTTGAATAGTCAGTGGTATTATTAAAACACTGTGGGGTTTTAGTTTGCCTACATTCAAGTGGTTATTCTTGCTCAAAATTTCAGATAAAGACATAAACGATAGTGGAAAATTGAAAGCAAAACATCTTCATGGAGATTTTATTATTATTGCTAAGCAGAAAACATGAAGGGGCAAGATTTTTTTTTTTTTTTTTTTTTTGGTCAAGGTTTTGCTCTGTCACTCAGGCTGGAGTGCATTGACTGCAGCCTCAATTTCCTGCTTAAGGGAGGGCTCAAGTGATCCTCCCACCTCAGCCTCCTGAGTAGCTGGGACTACAGGTGTGCATCACCATGTCCAGCTCCAGCTAATTTTTGTATTTTTTGTAGAGATGGGGTTTCACCTTGTTGCCCAGGCTGATTTTGAACTCCTGAGCTCAAGCGTAATCCCACCTCAGCCTCCCAAAGTGCTGGAATTACAGGCATGAGCCACCATGACTGGCCGGGGATTTTTTAAGTGCAATCCTACATGAATCCTCTGACTAAAGTTCAAAATGTCTCAAAACTTTGAGTTTAGGATTGTTTAAGTGCAATTCTAAATGAATCCTCTGACTAAAATTCAAAATATCTCAAAACTTTGGAAGTGACCATAAAACTCAGGTGGCCCCAGCACAGGTTCCATCATGAATTACATGGGGTGAATACAACTGAACCAAAATGACACAAAGCATGACTCTCATCATGACAAAAAAATTTAAATAGGGGCCGGGCGCAGTGGCTCACGCCTGTAATCCCAGCACTTTGGGAGGCCGAGGCAGGTGGATCACAAGGTCAAGAGATCGAGACCATCCTGGACAACATGGTGAAACCCCGTCTCTATTAAAAATACAAAAATTAGCTGGGCATGGTGGCGGGTGCCTGCAGTCCCAGCTACTCGGGAGGCTGAGTGAGGCAGGAGAATCACTTGAACCTTGGAGGTGGAGGTTGCAGTGAGCCGAGATTGCGCCACTGCACTCCAGCCTGGCCACAGAGCAAGACTCCATCTCAAAAAAAAAAAAAATTAAATAGAAAAATTGCACAAATAATTTATTTCCAAATATTGCTGTTAGACTGTAATAACCCCATCCCATCTTCCTTTTCTTTTTCCTCTTGGACTGAAACCCATGAGCAAATGGGAACTGGGTTTTTCCGTGTGTGTACTTTCATGTGGGCAGCAAGATGTTGGGATAAAGCAGTAGTCGGTGCAAGCACAAAACTCAAAGAGAACCAGGACGAGCAGAGGTAGCAGAGGCCCCTCTCTGCCAAATCTTGTCAATAATGTATGGGCTGTCAGCGGTTTATCACTAGCAAGCCCCTCTCTCTCCTTGGGTAGGCTCCTTTCCCAGTGGACAGTCAGGCCAGCTGTCTAGGCAGCAGGAATAGCCCTCCTTTCCCAAGCCCAGACCTGTGGGAAAATCTTCACTGGCCAGTAATTGATTCCACCCTGCCAGCTCCATTACTCTAGGCTGCAGTCACACTGGCAGCAAGCTGGGGAAGGGAGCCTGCTGCGGGCTGAGGGGTGGGAGCAAAGGCCCTCGAAGGCCGGGGGGCAGGGCGGGGGGGGGGGGCTGCAATTAACACTAATCTGAAAATTGGCCTCTGACAGCAAAGCCCAGCACCTGACAGCTAATTACTTGTGTCAGACTGATGTGCACTTCATATGGAAAGGTTATTTATCAGAGACCAGGGTTTTCTCTCCCCTCCCCTCTTTTATTTCTGTTTGTCTTGCTGAAAACAGTGGGGAATTGTTCCTGGTTGCTTAGATCCTGGAAACCCTGAAAGTTCTCATACTTTACTTAACTGAAAGGCTCCTAAAGAACTTATCTAAGACCTGATGCACGAGGGCTGTGCTGCTCACCTGTGCTGGAGACCAGAGAAAAATGTAGGTATCCAAGACAGTGGGCCTCATTTCCTTTTGCAAATGGAACCAAAGTTATGGAGACACATGCAATTCAAATAATCAGTGTAGAAACAATAAAAAATTCCAAAGGGGTCAGACCAATTTCATTTATCTAATTTTCAAAAAGCCAATCCATAGTGGGGAAGATAAATAAATGGCTTAGTTTGCAAGTGAAATTGAAAAGCCTGTTGTCTTTAATCATTTTAATATATTTTCTCTAATCCTCGTATAGCTATATTGTCTATGTGACACACACAGTTATATTGTCTTTATGTTGTTGATTTCATCTGTCTTGCCAAAAATTAAAGTGGTTATCAATGAGGGAGAGGAATTTATACGAGACTTTCTCCTTCTACCTTATATTTTCAGTTGACAACATTTTTTGAGCACCAACTATTTTATGCCAGGCAGTCTTCCGGGTCCTGAGCATACGAAATAAACCTATTTCTTGCTCTTTGGAGACTTAAGGTTTGGAAAGGAACACAGATAAGTAAGGAAATTACAATGTAGCATGATACACTTTAGATAAAGGGTGAAATACACAATTTGGAAGCACCTAAAACTGGACCTAACCTAAATTTGTGTGGTACAGAGAGGGGCCCCTGGGCTGAGCTCTGAAGAATAAACAGGAGTTAGGCAGGCAGAGGAGGGTGTGTGTGTCAATGGAGGATAAAGATAAAGGAAATGTCATGTACACAAAACCTGACATGAGAGAGAATTCAGCAGGGTTGAAGCCTAGAGCAGACATGACCCAGATGAGGCTGATAATTAAAGCACATGGTTAATTTGTCCCAAGGTTTTCCAAGCAGAAATTACAAGGCTTGTAGTTTAATGAACTTTTCACTATTTGTTCTTACTATCCTTTCATTCAAACTGACCCCCAGCTCAGGTACCTAAGTATTGGACAAGACTATGCCAGAGAAAACCCAGTGCCATTGAGAAGCAACAAGGTTTATTGGCTATTAGAGCAGAAATCAGAAGACCTGGGAGATTGGACAGCTACAGGTTTGTTTGGTTTTGTTGTTGTTGTTGTTTTGTCCATCAAGCACCCATCTTTCCAACGGGACTCTCTCCCCTACCCCACGTGAGTCTGGGTTTTTGTAAGAATTGATTTATTTAGGCCAGGCGCAGTGTCTCATGCCTGTAATCCCAGCACTTTGGGAGGCTGAGGCGGGCAGAGCACAAGTTCAGGAGATCGAGACCATGCTGGCTAACAGGGTGAAACCCCGTCACTACTAAAAATACAAAAAAATTAGTTGGGCATGGTGGCGGGTGCCTGTAGTCCAGCTACTCGGGAGGCTGAGGCAGGAGAACGGTGTGAACCCGGGAGGCGGAGCTTGCAGTGAGCCGAGATTGCACCACTGCACTCCAGCCTGGGTGACAGAGTGAGACTCCATCTCAAAAAAAAAAAAAAAGAAAAGGAAAAACAAAAAGAATTGATTTATTTACCCAACAAAGGTTTTGAGTGTGTCCTCTGTGCCGGGTAATAGGAGGCACCAAGAATACCGAAATGAACTAGGCAGGCATGGGCCCTGTCCTCAAAGAGCTACTACATACTAAGGAGAAGACAAACATAAAACAGATAGTTACATAACAACTACATTGGTGACACTTTTGGTAAGTGCTAAAAAAGTAAGAAATACATTATCGAAAATAATGATCTGCATGAAACTGTTATGAAAACTCTGTGTAATAACTAAAAAGAAAAGATATTGTCATTAAGATAACCATAATATAAAGTAATGAGAAAAAGACAGAGGAAAGAAAGGCACATCAGTCAAGTTCTTGCCATGTGTCTGGTACTGGGATAATGCCCATGTGGTCTGTGTCACTGGTTTCTCATAACAAACTTATGAGGGTGTTATTTCCCTGACTTTGCAAAGCAAGTTACTGAGATTCTAAAGAGCTAAATAACTTGCTCAAGGCCGGCCAGCTAGCAAAGGATGAAATGGCAAGGCTGGGCCAAGCTTGGCAGCTTCCCTCCATCCCTCCCAACTGAGAATGCAACCCCCTCACACCCACAGTGGACTTCATTCTTTAGGACTGGGGAACTAGTTCACTCCCAGGCAAGGGACCATATCTAGCACCAGAGCAAAACTGACTGGTATGTTCTGTGGCTCCTGCAGGCTGCCTTTACCAATTTAGTAAAATTTATCAACTTACATCATCTTGGGACAAATATTTATCCTTTCCTGGGTACCATTTTTCATAGGACCCAGTAGACATTAGGACACAAATGTAGTTTCTATCCCAGCCTTTATACTGCATCTACCACCCAGGAAGTCAGGCCCTTTAAGAAGTGTGGTATTAAATCTAGAACAACTCATCAAACTGACAGTTTTGAAAGATAGAGAAGTTGCTAACAAAGCAGAAGGGCAGGCTATTTGGTGTTTCTGAAAACAGGAAATCAGAGGAATAGACCAAAAAGAAAAACGAGTTTGCAAACAGGTGTCCTATCATACAAGTGTTGCAGGCATACTGCACACTTGTTGGTTTCAGATGGGCCCTGAATGGCAGAATTATTACTGTACAGTCAGTATGCCTGATTATTATTTAGGAAGCATTATGGTTTCAATAGTCATGACCAAGTCTCTGGGTACCATCAGGAAATAACTCTACTTGAAATAAGTGATGAGCAGAGAGAAGCAGTAGTCTAGCTCAGACCAAACACCTGATGAAAGAAAGCCACCTCACACTCTGTGTGATGCTCAACGGTCCCCAGTACTGAAGTTTTCTCATGGCGCCAAGCCCATAGCTCCAACTCGAGTGACCCCTGAGCTGGTGCTCTTGTCAAGACCATGTCAGCAGCAGCTTCTGGAAACCGCAGGCACTGTGATCTCTGTCCATAACAGATCATTATGTTTGGGCTTTCTAATCACCCACTTGGAGGACAGAAAGAGAACACTAACCAGAGTGACCAGGCTGAGGCCTGCACTTGGCCTTCTGCTCCCGCTTGGAGGCCGCCTCCCCACAAAGGGTTTTTTTAGGAACTTCAATGGAAACAGATAGTCTCTTGGCCCCAAGTGAGGTCTCCATTCCATAGCTCCTGCTGTCTGTTTAGCATGAAACCCAAGCATGTGACACATTCACATCCTCTTGTGTTTTCTAAATGCTTCTGTAGTCATCATTGAAAATGCTTAAACCTTATCAAAGTCCTATTTTTCCTTCATCTGTCTGTCATTAAATATATTTTTATTTTTAGCTAAGTAAAAGAAAACAAAAGACCTCTAGTGCCAAGAATGAACATGATTTTTTAAGCTTTGACTTGGTTTTTGAGGTGATTTCCTATCAATTTTTTTATAAAGGAAAAAATGGTATGATTTTTGATGAAAGGACAGGCTATACCATCTGTTTTATAAACAAAGGATTCCTGTTTTGGTCTTCTCAGAAGTGTTTTTTTTTTTCATAATAAACAGTGCCTAACACCAGCTTCCTTCTAAGCATGTAGTTTCCAGCAAGCCAGCCCATGGAATGGCCAAGAGCATGGAATGCCAATATGCCCACCTGGCTCCCACCACCAATTTCCATTCCCCTCTGCTTACCACATATCACAAAACCATATGTTTGCCCAGGACCCCAAAATATTTCTGCATGAGGGGTTCCCCATACAGCCCTCTGGATTGCTGGAAATCGGCCATCGCTCTCAAAGCTTCCGAAGTCCCTGGCCACCATCAGAGTGCACCTCTGAGCCGAGTGACACCTGCTCTCTGCCTGTCTGGATGGGTAGAAACCTGCTGTGAGATCATTGGCATGGTGGAAGACCCCCAGAAAACTCCCTTCACCAAATGCTAGGCAGGTGGGCACCATGACCACAGCTCCAGGGGCCCACTTGGAGCACTACATTCAAAATCATTGTCATCCAAAAAAAAACAAAAAGAGTATTTTGGCAGCCCGAAACATAAACTCTCATCAAGCTTAATAGAGAATTATTATAAAGACAGGTTTTATTTCAATTCTCATTTGGCCATATTCTGATCTCTTTGGGGCCTATTTGGCACCCATTGACAACATGAAAATTGTTTCACCTGGAATTGCCTTTCTTAAGCGAAATTCATCGCACCAAGAAGCTAATTTACAGATCAACATTTTCTTAAGCATGAAGATGGTTTTAAAACAGTAACTATCGCTTTGGCTTATATGGTACTTATTCCAACAAAGAGAAATGCACATCTTTCATAATCATTATCTGGCACTAACTGGTATGCAAATTCCCCTCCCACCCCTGGAGTACACGGAGTTGCATGCTGCACAGCTGTGAGTCATCAGACATTAATGTAGACTTAATTTGAACTGGTGCTGGAGGTAGTGGGCACAACTCAAATTAGACATGTGGTGGGCGTTTAACCACAATATTACCAATTCCCATTCTGACATCTGACAGCCCTTAATAATTAACTGCATGTAAATGGTCAAGCCTTCCCTCCCTGTTGGACCAGTCTCCAGCTATACCAGTCTCTGCATTGTAATTGCTAGTTGGGGCTGTCAATTGCACTTGAGACAAATCATAGGCAAGAGATCAGACAGCTTCAGGAGCCCTGCGTTCTCTGATCTATCTGCCTTTTAATTGCACTGGAAAGCCTTCCCAGCAGCTCCCATATGCTGCTTCTTTAGAAAGATATAATATTCTCTCTGGATAAGAGGAAAATTTGTTGTGCTTTGAGGCTTAATTGGAGGTTTTTGTGATGGGACTTGCTGGGTTCTCTAGAACACACCAGGCAGGCATGTTGCCCCAGACTCTCACCTTACTTCTCCGCCTCTGAATTCTCATCTTTATCTAACTTCTCTTCCTTCTCCTTCGAAACTATCTTATTCAGATTTGAGCCCGAGTCACAGGGCTTCTTTTAAGTCTTCCATTGAACAATGATTGGAGTGCTCTGAAAATCAAAGGAAAATATCACATGGCAGAGATGATCAAACCCAGAACTATAAGCCCATTATCTCTTGAAAAAATGATACCACATTCAAACTTGGAAGCCCGTGAGCAAAACGTTGTACTGTTTCTGCTCAGCCAAGCTCAGGTCCTAAAGCTGGGTTTGTCTTTCTTGGACAACACAAAGATTCAATTAATTATGCAGGAATGTATGATTGTTCACAAAAAGATCATTATACCTATTAGTAAAGGAAACCTCGACTGGTGATGGGTGCAGCCCACGTACTGTAGCCCGTATTCCACATAGGAACTAACAACACAATTACACTTACAATCGACATTTATGTAATGTATATAGAAACAGAAGTGTCTTTTACTTTTGTATTATGGTTTAAAAACAAGCATTTACTAAACAAACAAATAACATAAAACTGATTATAGAATTTATAAAACAAGTAAAAACATGAAGTTTTCAGTGTTGTGAAGTTATTTGATATGCCATTTAAGAATAGTTGAAATGGCAATTATGAAGTTTGTTCTCTTTTTAGTAAAACAGATCCTCTAAAAACTCGTTCTAAATAGTATTTTATTACTCTAGTTGGATGCTCTTCAAAACATTAAATTTGAACTTGTTTTGTAAGAATCTAAAATTCAGGCTGGATATGTCAACTTAGGCTGCAGCAGAAGGTTTTACGGTGGAGCAGGAGGATATCTCACTCCAGCTGCTAGGAAACAGAGAAACAAGCCTGATATTATGTGTTAAATAGTAAGTAAGTAAACAATTAACGTGGCTGTCAGGCTCTGTCTGTGTTCTTAATCCTGTATTCACCCCACAGGCTGAGAAGGCACACTCAGAGAATCAGCCCAGCTACAACCTAATGGAATAAAAATGAGCTAAGAGGAAACAGGAGCAAGAAACAAATGCATTAAAGAGAGAGAGAAAAAAGAGAGCAATATTCTCTAAAAATCATCATGTATATTTGTACACAAAATACACAAAGCAAATAGATGTGAGGGCCCTTGGAATTTAATATATGGCTGTGTCCTGGTCATTTCTCTGTCACAGAAAAAAAATAAGCCCTTTCAAAGCCCTGGTCTGAAGGAAGAGCTAACATCAAACAACCTCAGAATAACCAGGAGATTAAAGCCTGACGCTATTCAACTTCCTGCCTTGTAACTAACTAATCTCCTTAGAGATGGAAGAAGACGAGGAGCCGCCATTGTATCAGAAAAGCTTTCCGGATCAGAGGCAGCAGCAGCGTGGCGTATTAAAAGGAGCACAGGACCAGGAGTAAGAGGACTTGCACTGCTGCCCCTCCTAGGTCAGCCCCCCAGAATCCTGTGCAGCCCACACGTCCCCTCTCTAGAGGTTAACTCGATGGCCATCCCCCCACACGGCTCCCCTGCTCAGCACACCTGGGAGTAGCCTTTGACACAGTCAGCGCGGAGGAAAGGCTTTCTGGCAGAGGAAGAACTCGGCACCATTTCAAAGGCTCCTTGCAGCCGCCTTCTACCGACCACTCATGAGGCCAAGGGCACCTCTAACATTTGCGTGACTCTCGACTGTTCCCTAGACTCCATCTTTAACCGCTAGTTTCTAAGCAATCCCCGGTCCTGCCAGCTCCCGGGTCTGGCTCTCCTTTTGTTCCATTCCCAGTCTAGCCTTGGCAGTTCCTGGTCCTGGCCTCAGATGTCCGCCATAATTCAGGGGCCTGGCATGGCAACAGTACTTTAACTAGAAACCTAGAAGTATTTTGGAAAATGACTATGAGCAAATATGAGAGGGTAAAGCCACTTCCACAAACCAGTAATGCTGACCCAACTTCCACAAACTAGTAATGCTGACCAACAGACACAGCTTTCTGTTATTTGGTGAAACTTAGGAGAAATTTTGCAGAAAGTTTTAATACCGCTCCTGCCCAGGCCCCCTCCAGAAAAAGTCAGATCTGTTTATCAGTCAGTCTTACATTCATAACCAGCTTATGAAACTGGGGATATTATTAATATTTAAACTAAAAAAGGTAGTATCTGCAAATACTCACCTTGCAGTACCCTCAAATACTCAGTACATCACAAAAAGTAAACTACAATATTATAATGTACTCAAAACCACCCAAAAGGTACTGATCTACACAGTGAAAAAATACTGATGAGTTATAAAAGCAAATATATCATCAAAACCTAGGGACTAATATTCCAAGGTAATGTACCATTGAAACAGAACCATAAGAATAATCATATTCTGCCATATATATATATATATATTCACACACACACTTTTTTTTTTCTTTTTTTGACACAGAGTCTGGCTCTGTCATCGAGGCTGAAGTGCAGTGGCATGATCTTGGCTCACTGCAAGCTATGCCTGCTGGGCTCAAGCCACTCTCCCACCTCAGCCTCCAAGTAGCTGGGACTGCAGACATGGGTCACCACACCCAGCTAATTTTTGGTATTTTTTGTAGAGATGGGGTTTTGGCATGTTGCTCAAGCTGGTTTCAAACTCCTGAGCCCAAGCAATCCACTCGCCTCAGCCTCCCAAAGTGTTGGGATTACAGGCGTGAACCACCGTATCCGGCCCTATATATTTTATAGTTAAAATATCCTAACCACTCTGTCTCCTCTCCATCCCCCAACTGAATTCTATGCAAAGTCATAATCTTTTTTTTTTTTTTTTTTTTTAGACAGGGTCTCTGTCACCCAGGCTGGAGTACAGTGGCACGGTCCCGGCTCACTGCAACTTCTGCCTCCGGGGTTAAAACAATTCTCCTGCCTCATAGCTGGGTTTACAGGCATCTGCCACTATGCCCAGCTAATTTTTTTTTATTTTTAGTAGAGACGGGGTTTCACCATGTTGGCCAGGCTGGTCTTGAACTCCTGACCTCAGGTGATCCAACTGCCTCACCCTCCCAAAGTGCTGGGATTACAGGCGTGAGCCACCGTGCCTGGCCTTCATAATCTTCTTTCTGTTTGTTATTTTTCAAAAAACGGGCAATCACTTGAACAATAATACGAAGATTGCAAATATTCACCAAGCAGAATTTAGCACAAGGAATTTAGCACAATGAATGCCTGTTGAGTGATGAATAGATGAATAAATGAATGAATGAATGAATGAGCAGACAAATGAATAAAAATTCAACTCTTGTGATTGCTGCTGAAAAAATTCAGAACCAGAATCTGATCTATTTTTTTTTAAACATCTGGTAGTTCAGAAGACTTGCCTCAGTGTAAGGTGGCATTTAAATGATAGTCCAGAACTATTTTCAAAGTGAACAGAAACGTATGATTCAGGTTCATTTTAAAAGTCAAACTAGTTTGACCAGGTTGGCTCTTTTCTTCCCGTGCACTTGACTCCTGCGCTCTTGGCGCTGGAAGTGATTAAGAGGTGTGAGCCATCCCACTGGAGCTGCTGTTTGTTCACAGTGATGACCCTGGAGGCCGCCAGGCTGTTTCTCTAGGCAACCAAACTTACAAAGAACTCAAGGAGGCAAACTCTTGATTATACTGTAATGCTTTCAGAAGCAACATAAGGCTTCTCTTGAAAATGTCTTTGTGCTCTATTTTTTTTTTTATTAAAACTTTAAAGTCAGTGGCTCCAAGTAGAAACAATGAAGAGCCTACCTCCCACCTCACTAGAGTCATTTATGGACCCAAGAAAGAAAGGCAGGGGGGCAGCATTCTGAGCATGTATTCATTTTATTAGACACCCTGAACCATGGAAAAGCCAGATCAGTGAGAATGCACATAGTGCTCACCTTTTCCCCAATTCCCCCAGTTCCTCAGTTTGCTGCTTCGTTTATGCCTTCTATGTCATGAACGATTAGGTTTCACTTCTAATACTTTCTTCCCACAGCATCAAACATGTCTTGTTTTGTTTTCACTTTTTTTCCTTCAGATTCAACGGTTTCTGTCAATATACTGATAAAAACAACAGCACAAACACTAGCTGTATAAGTAAATATACAGTTAAGATTTTACCTTAAAGCAATATACCTTCTAAATTGTCCAAGGAGCACCTTTTGGCTTAAAGTAGATTACATTACCACATTGTCCCCATAGCAGAGGGAGGAGTATAAACTCTTAGCCCATTAGAGCTGGTTTGGAATTGCACCTCTAGGACTGACTGACTGTGTGATCTCAGGTGTTATTTAATTACTGTATGCCTTTGTTTCTTCATCAATAAAATAAAGATAATACCTATGTGAAAGAGCTAATAAGTGTTAAATGAATAACATAAAGGAGGAGCAGAGAGCAATACTGATACATGACAGGCATTTAATTAATACTACTAACATACTACTGTAAGTCAACTACAGACTTTGAAAAGTATCAAGTCCTAAGCAAATATAAGACACTATTAATGACTGTATGCTTGGGTTTGGGGAAGCAAGCAGTGTAAAGAGTTGCCATTCTGAATTTTGAAACATACACACAATAATAACATCGAGCTATGCAAATAGATCGATGAAACACAGTAGTCCAGAAATAATCCAAAAAGAAAAGTATTTTCAAGAAATATTTGTTGGAGCAGATGAAAATCAGTATGAGGAAACATAAATTGTGATCCCTCTTTTATTCTGTTACAAAAATTAATTCAAGATGGATCATACACCTAAATATAAATCCGAGAACTGTGAAGCATCCAGAAGAAAACATAGAATATCTTTACAACCTTGAGGTAGACAGAAGTTTTTTAGACTATATACAAAAAACACTAACCAAAAAAAAAAAAAAATTATGCCAGACTGCAGTAAAATTAAAAATTGAATGGCCAGGCGCAGTGGCTCATGGCCAGATATGGTGGCTCACCCCTATAATTCCAGCACTTTGGGAGGCCAAGGCGGGAGGATAGCTTGAGGCCAGGAATTCCAGACCAGCCTTGGCAACATAGCAAAACTCCAACTCTACAAAAAATTTAAAAATTAGCAGAGTGTGATGGTGCACACCTGTAGCCCCAGCTACTCAGGAGGCTGAGGCGGGAGGATCACTTGAGCTCAGGAGTTCGAGACTGCAGAGAGCAATGATGGCTCCACTGTCTTCCAGCCTGGGTGACAGAGGGAGATGCCATCTCAAAAAATATACATATATGTATATAAATGTAAAAAATTTGTTCATTAAAAAGCACCATTAAGAAAATGAACAGACAAACCACAGAGTAGGAAAGGTAATTGAATACATAAACCTAATTTTTAAATTATATCTAGAATATATAATGAGCACAGTGGCTCACACCTCTAATCCCAGCTCTTTGGGAGGCCAAGGCAGGAAGACTGCTTGAGGGCAGGAGTTCAACACCAGCCTGGGCAACATAACGAGACCCTGTCTCTATTTAAAAAACAACAACAAAAAAACCCAGATATATAATAAAGTCCTGTGCATTACCAATAAAAAGGCAAACAATACTTTAAAAAATGGACAAAAGACTTGAATAGACACTTCACAAAATAAGAAATATGATTGACCAAGAAAGCAGTGTAAAAGTGCACAGCAATATTATCAGGGAGTTGCAAATTAAAACTTCCATGATACACCATTTCACACCCCTAGAATGGCTAAACCGTAAAAGACTGACAACACTACCTGTGGTCAAAGATGTAGAATACTTGAAATTCTCATACATTCTAGTAAGAATGCAAAATGTTACAACCACTTTGGAGAACTGTTTGGAATTTTCTTATGATGGTAGACTTACACTGATACTATGAACTAGCGATTTCACTCTTAGGTATTGAAATGAAAACATATGCCCCACTCCAGAGAGCCTTATTTATAGTAGACAAATATTAATCAATCAAAATGTCTATCACCAGGAGATAAACAGAAGAATGGATAAATTGTGATACATCCATGCGATGGAATATTACTCACAAAAGAGCGAATTACTCATACACATGCCAATGTGGCTGAATCTCAAAAACATCATGTTAAGGGAAAGACTACATACCATCCGATTCCATTTATATGAAATCCAAGAACAGGCAAAACTAATCTACAGCGATAGAATTCAGAAAGCCAGCTGTTTTGTTGGGGATGGGAAATAGGGAAGGCTAAAAAGGAGCACAAGGGAACCTTCTGGAATAATGGAAATGTTCTATATCTTATTTTGGATCGTGGTCACATTAATGTACATAACTGTCAAAAATTGAGTGGCCAGGCGCAATATAATTGTCATCAAATAGAGTGGCTGGGTGCAGTGGCTCATGCCAATAATCCCAGCACTTTGGGAGGTCGAGGCTGGTCAGGAGTTCGAGACCAACCTGGCCAACAAGGTGAAACCCTACCTCTACTAAAAATACAAAAATTAGCCAGTCATGGTGGCACGTGCCTGTAATCCCAGCTACTTGGGAGGCTGAAGCAAGCGAATCACTGGAACCCGGGAGGGAGGCAGAGGTTGCAGTGTGCCAAGATCGTGCCACTGCATTCTGGCCTGGACGGCAGAGCAAGACTCTGTCTCAAAAAAAAAAAAAAATTCATCAAATTGAGCATCGAAGATCTGTAAATGACAATATATGTTAATTATGCCTTAATAGAATGTATGCACACAAAAGACCAGGTGACTCTATCTCTGCTCTCACAAAGTTTGCAATAGAGTTGAGGATAAAAGATATTGCCCCACTGAGATTAATAGGGAAACTAAATTATAAGGTATTTGTGGAGTCTCATTTGTTCAAACAGCATGTGGCATGGACACACAACAAAATGTCTCCCGTGAAGCCTGTAAACTTCATAATTGGGATGAGGCTTTTAATGCATAAAGAACCTCTTTTGGCCTGCCTTCCTACCACTTCCAGTGGAGTTACCAGGCGGCTGTGAAAGGGGCTGTTCTCTGGCAAAACAGCCCTGGGTTACTAAATTCTTCCTCCTTGCCTCATTCACCTTCACTGTTTATTGTTTTGTCTTGTGTATCTGCTGCTGCCAGCCCAAGGCAGGCCCTTGTCCTCTCTGCACTAACCCCCCAGGGACTAAGCCTCACTCATCACTCCGTAATTTTTTCATTACTGATCCTAGAGCCGCCACAATATGACTCATAAAACAGCAACCCTCCCCAACACTCACATTCTTGATCCTGAAGCCAGAAAGCAAAAATCCAAATTATTTTTTTCCTCTCTGTTTTCTTTTTATGTTCGCTTTCTGTATCTGTATCCTAGGGCCATCATGCTTTTTAATTTGTGATGTTCCAATTGATAGTGACATTGGCCGAAACTTAAAAACCAGTCAACAGAAACCATTCCTGGCTCCCTGGGACAATGGATGGAGGGAAGTGTCCTGACACAGTTCAGAAAAACTCAGTGGGGTGCATGGAGGGAGAAGCCAAGAACAAGTCCTTTATGTGGGGCATTGTTTCCATTTCTAAACCATTCTATCGTGTGTCCTCTTTTCACTCACAAATGGAATATTGTTCCCTTTCTTTCTGCCAACAGACCCAAAGAGGAGTAGAGAGGGGAGTTTAAGGAGTAGAGCAGGAAAAGGGTATACAAAATGGCTTGGGTTTTTTTGAGTTAAACTCATAGAAACAGAGGGAAAAAGTCCCGTTCGGTTACATTGTTCCTCCCTCATTTAGAACAGATTAAGTAGCACGGAGCAGATGGAGATAGTTTGCAAGGGACGAACTAACACAGTTCCCCCTACCCTTTTGCTTCTGGGCTTCCCGCTCAGTAAAAACGCAGTACATGTGATTAAAGGTAGAAAATAACCTAATTGACAATCCTCTGGAAACATCACTCAGTGTTTGCACAGGTGCTATTGCCATTTTACCCCTAATTCCTTAAAATCAGTGGGGCCTTCCCACTTGGAGATGAAATTCCCTTCTTGCCTTCCATATTGCAGTCTTTTAGAGAGGGAATCCTTCCAGCTTCTCAGCCATCTGACTTCCAAAACGTCCACATCCTATTCATGTTTCAGCATCTGGATCAAGTATCACCTTGTTCACAAATCCCCTGAGCAACTCTCTTTTCCACATCCCTGGGAAGTTCTCTTGCTTCCCTTTGTCACTATACCTGTGCTCTTCTCTCTTACAGCACTCAGCATTTTTCACTTTGTCAGTCTCCTTTTCTTCCTGCAATTCTTAGCTGAAGAGTTCAGCTGACTTACTAGAAAAATAATTGTCATCTCCTCTAGCAGACTGCCTAGAGAAGCAGTGTGATTTCATCACACTTTATGTGTACTTCCATAAAGCAATGATTTCCTGTATTGTAGACACTCATTAGCTCCCCTGTCTCTTGGCTCCAGGAAGGCAGGAATGATGTCTCTACCTGTTTGATTACCCAGTATGAACCCTTACGTATCATATACAACATGTATCACATACACATGTTCTTTGAATTTAGCTATGTTGAGGTCACTGTGGATCTTCTTTGTATTTTTATTATTAGTTATGGAAGTGGAGAAGTCAGAAACAATTCTGCAATGAGTACATGAGTGAAAAAGTATAAAGAAAGTAGCAGTGGACAACTCTTTTGAGCAATTTGATTATTAAAAAACAAATAGAGGCTGGGCGCAATAGCTCACGCCTGTAAACCCAGCACTTTGTGAGACTAAGGTAGATGGATCCCTTGAACCCAGAAGTCTGAGACCAGCCTGGGCAATATGGCAAAACCCTGTCTCTACTAAAAATACAAAAAAAAAAAAAAAAAAAGAGCCGGGTGTGGTGGCATGAGCCTGTAGTCCTGGCTACTGAGGAGGCTGAGGTGGGAAGATTGCTTGAGCCTGGGAGGCAGAGGTTGCAGTAAGTCGAGATGGCACCACTGCACTCTGGCCTGGGCGACAGAGCCAGACCTTGTCTCAAAAAAAAAAAAGTTTGAGACCAACCTGAGCAACATAACAAGACCTCATCTCTACTAAAAATAGAATAGCTACGCATGGTGGCATATGCCTCTAGTCCCATCTACTTGGGAGGTTGAGACAGGAGGATCGCTTGAGCCTGGGAGATGGAGGCTGCAGTAAGCCACGATGGTGCCACTGCACTCCAACCTGGGCAACAGAGAGAGAGAGAGAGAGATCCTGTCTCAAAAAAAAAAAAAGACACAGTGAAAGATATCTTTCCTCCCATTTAGCTAAGTCCGGGTGCTACCACATGCCAAGTAACTTGCCCTTGATGCTGTTGACAGATCAATACATGCCCTCACTGTGAGCATATATTAGAAGGGACAGATATTAAGCAAATGCCAATTATTTAATAAACTTGATAAATACTACAAATAAAAAGTTTCAATGCTAAGAGAGCATATAAGAGACGTAGCAGAGGGATCAGAGAAATTCTCTCCGAGGAATTAAAGGATACTAAGGAATTACCTAGGCTAGGTGGTGGGAGGAGCCTTCCAAGTAGACAGAAGTATATGCTGAAGGCCCTGAAGCAGTAGAAAATAGGGCATTTGAGAAACTGGGAGTATGGCAGGGTGGGTGGCACAGCACAACAAGGGGAATAACACAGCAGGGTGAGCATAGAGAGGTGGGTAGACCTGACCTCAGGGAGCACTTTGCAAGTCATGTTAAGGAGTTTGGTTTTTATTGTAAGAGCAAAAAAATGCAATTGATTTAAAAAAAAAAAAAAGGTTTTTTTTGAGATGGGGTCTCACTATGTTGCTCAGGCTGGTCTCAAACTCCTGAGCTCAAGCAATCAATCTGCCTGCCTTGGGCCCCCAAAGTTCTGGGATTACAGGTATGAGCCACTGCGCCTGGCCAGCCACTGATGGTTTTAAACAGATTAGATTTGTGCTTCGAAAAGATACCCTGCTTGTAGAGTAGAGAGTGGATTGTTGGATGGGGAGAGGTGGGGTGCCATCGTCAAGATCAGATGGTGGGAGACTAGTTGGAATATTGCAGAAATTGAGAATGAAGGTGAATGTGGCTTGGTGTGGCATTGGAGATGGAGAGAAGAAGATGGATTTGGAGAGCTTTAGGGGGAAGGATGGACAGGACCAGATCATGGACATGATATGGGAGTGGAGGGAGAAGCTGAGTCACCAAAGGGCAACTGAGTGAACAGGATGCTGTTGACTAAAACAGAAACATAGAAGAGAACCTCCTTCTCCAGCCAGGAAGTGCATAACAACCAGTGTGAAAATCTCCCGCCAGTTCCAGCTCTCACCACACAGTGAGAACACAGCCCCCTTAGGCAGTAACACTCTAAGTAGCTTGGTCCGTTGTAATGAAAAGATCAGGCGGTTTTGGCTCATACACGTGCACTCGTGTGGTATCTGACAGGGTTTTAGTCTTTCCTTCCGTCTTTCCCTGGCTCATATCTCAGTCTGACAACAGGAACAAACAGAACTTTGTGATTTGATTTTTTTTTTTGAGCTCCCAACAAGCCTTTTTACATAATCTTCAACAATAACTGGCCTTTGAGTGTCTGGGCACAGGCTGTACGCTGTGCTGGGAGACACTGATCTTCCGCGGTGAGACGGAAAGATAAGCATTGAGCCTATAGATGAAGCATTAGGCAGCTATCACAGCGCTGGCAACGCATTTGCCCTTCTGCTTCTCTGATCCCCATCAAAAGTGCCCAACCTCCGGATTTGCCTGGGCTATCTTAATCCCACTTCACCTACTGCAGCTGTTTATTCTTGGCGATGGGCTTACACCTAACACAGCATAGAAGAGACACACCACCGAATTCTGTTTTCTTTACGAGGACAAGGCAGGGATTCAAAATTCAAAAGCAGCAGCAGCTCGGATTCTAGTTCTAAGGAGGACGTTTTCCTGCTGCATGAAGTCAGACGGTAAACACTTCGCCAGCCCCACCTAAGAAATCGGCACATTCCTCAACCCCATGCATGAGGCTGCAGGAAGTTCGTGCAGGGTCCTCTGGGTGCCCCAAACCAACACTTGGCCATAGAATTCCTAGGGCAGATTGCAGAGAAGAATCCGATGACCTGTTTTCTAGTCTTAGTTCTGGCACTAATTGGCCAAGTGACCTTGTACAAGTGACTCACCTCATCTTTCCAAAAATGGGATGGAATGGAGTAGAATGTCTCATCTCACAGTTCAGTTTAGCCTTCATTATCTTGGCAGAGTCAAAATTACATCCAGATTGATAAGCTGCTGTTGAGGGTCTTGTTTTTTGAATCATCTTTTGCTTTCCAACTGAATTTCCTAGACAGAGGATTTACTACTATTTTCATCATGCAGAGTTTATGAAGAGTGAGATGAAAAGGCAGGAAAGGCATAATACCTGAGTGATAAAATAATCTATACAACAAACCCCCATCATACACGTTTACCCCTATGTAACAAACCTGCACAGCGTGCACAAGTTCCCCTGAACTTAAAATAAAAGTTTTTAAAAAATGTTTAAAAAGGCAGCAATGTGGCTGGGCGCAGTGGCTCATGCCTGTAATCCCAGCACTTTGGGAGGCCAAGGCGGGTGGATCACAAGCTCAGGAGTTCAAGACCAGCCTGGCCAATATGGTGAAACCCCGTCTCTACTAATAATACAAAAATTAGCCGGGCATGGTGGCACACGCCTGTAGTTCCAAGTACTTGGGAGACTGAGGCAGAAGAATCGCTTGAACCTGGGAGGCGGAGGTTGCAGTGAGCCGAGATCACACCACTGCACTCCAGCCTGGCAACACAGCGAGACTGTGTCTCAAAAAAAAAAAAAAGGCAGGAATGTCTGCTTATAGTTTATTCCGTCTCTCTTAATAGGGTCAGGGCCCATGGGGCTGTCTTGTTTACCACAGTACAATGTCTGCCACATAATAGGCACTCAGTAAGTACTTGCTGAATGGAAAAGTGAATGTTCAGGAACAGATTGTCCTATATGGAGAATAGGAGGCTCTCCTCCCATAAGGGCAAGGTGAGGCCTTAATGAAAACTGAAATTTCAGCAAGGAGAGGAAAATTCTTTATTTTCATGGAGAGCCTACATTCCAGGACCACAAATAAACAATTCTAGTTGCAGAACAGGAAGCACTGTCTTGGTATAGAGCTACATGAGCTTCAAACTGTAGCCTAAAGCAAACAATGTGTTGCAATTATGTGAAACCTTCATGAACATCAGTTTTTCTGGTTAAAGTAGTACTAATATTGTTTTCATACTAAAGCAAAAATATATATGTTATGAAGAAGAATGCAAAGTTAGCATGGCTTTGAAAAGTAAGAAGTGAGGCAGGGCGCCGTGGCTCATGCTAGAATCTCAGCACTTTGGGAGGCCGAGGAGGGTGGGTCACTTGAGGTCAGGAGTTCGAGACCAGCCTAGCCAACATGGCAAAACCCCGTTTCTACTAAAAACACACACACACACACAAATTAGCTGGGCATGGTGGCGCATGCCTGTAATCCCAGCTACTCGGTAAGCTGAGGCACGAGAATCGCTTAAACCCAGGAGGCGGGAGTTGCAGTGAGCCGGGATCATGCCACTGCACTCCAGCCTGGGTAACAGAATGAGACTGTCTCAAAAAAAAAAAAAAAGAAGTGATACTTACAGATTTTGTGGAGTAGCACAGTGGAGACAACACTGGGCCACTAGAGAGGACAGGCGTCTACTCTAGTGAGTACGCCATCTGACTTTGGAAAAGTTACTTTACCTGTGGCCTCAGTTTCCTTACTTGTGAGAAGGGGATCTGACTAAGTGGTCTCTAATACCTCTTCTAATCTTAGAAGGCTCTGATGCTTATTCCCCAGGAAATGACAAAAACCATTCTTATCAAGTTGTAGCTTCTGACATATTTTGTCATTGCTCTGACCTCCTCTCTGGCCTTAGCAGTGACGTTACTAACTACAGAGGAAGGTAGGAAATCTCTAACAGCAGATCCTGTAAGATACTGCATTTTCCATTTCCCCCCTCTCCCTCTCCTGCCCTCTTCCCTCTCTCTCTCTTTGTCTGTGATACTATATATAACATATAAAAAATAATATTATATTATGAAAATATATGTAGAAATAAATGCTACCAATGAACCCAACTAACTCTGGTTACCAGTTTGCCTGAAACCCCTTTTCTCCCCTCATGGGCATAGTTCTGGGAATATCTGTCTGCCCTCCTTGCCTCTCCTTCCACACTGTTCACTCACCATTTGATTGCTTTCTGTCTGTCTTGCACTCTTACCACTCTGCAGAAGGTCTTCACTTCCTTTTGCTAAATGCAAACAGTCCAATCCTGTGACTTCCGGTGCATTCCTCATTCTCCAACTTCTCCCAGCAATCATCTCTATACAGCACATATGAATTAGGCATGGCATATGTATTTGTGGAATTGAATTTCTGAATGTATTATTTTATACTTAGTGTTACTGTAAAGTAGCCATACTCCTCTTACTGGAAAGCTTTCTCTTCAGGAGAGATAACCCCCTTTAGCCAAATTGCACTTAGGATAAAGCAAAAATAGCTGAAACATAGCAAAACTGCTTCCTCCTCTACCAAAGAAAAACCCTCTAAGGATGATGAACTTCCACAAATTCAGCTAATAGCTTCTTTGTGTCTCAGTATCTGTCTCCCCCTGACCAATCCTAACCACACTTCAAGGCCTACCTTAAGTATCTTTTTTTTTTTTTTTAAAGAAAGTTGCAGCCTCAACTTCCTGGGCTCAAGCAATTCTCCTATCTCACCCTCCCTAGTAGCTGGGACGTAGGCACACTCCACCATACCTGGCTAATCTTTTCTTTCTTTCTTTCTTTCTTTCTTTCTTTCTTTCTTTCTTTCTTTCTTTCTTTCTTTCTGTCTTTCTCTCTCTCTCTCTCTCTCTCTCTCTCTCTCTCTCTTTCTTTCTTCCTTCCTTCCTTCCTTCTTTGGTAGAGACGGGGGTTTCACTATATTGCTCAGGCTGATCTCAAACTCTGGGCTCAAGCAATCCACCTGCCTCAGCCTCCCAAAGTGCTGGTGTTACAGGTGTGATCAGCACACCTGTAATTGGAATTCTTTTTTTTTTAATTTTTTATTTTTGAGATGGAGTTTCGCTCTTGTTGCCCACACTGGAGTGCAATGGTGCAATCTCAGCTCACCGCAACCTCTGCCTCCCGGGTTCAAGTGATTCTCCTACCTCAGCCTCCCGAGTAGCCAGGATTATGGGCATGCACCACCATGCCCTGCTAATTTTTTTGTGTTTTTTGTAGAGACAGTGTTTCTCCATGTTGGTCGGGCTGGTCTGGAACTCCCGACCTCAAGTGATCTGCCCGCCTTGGCCTCCCAAAGTGCTGGGATTACAGACATAAGCCACTGCGCCTGGTCTCTGTAATTGGAATTCTTGACCACTGCTATTGGAAATATTGTCTCCATGCACTCTGAGAGCTAAATGTTCTTATGACTCTTTTTTGCGCATATCTCTCATAGATATTTACAATCCTACTCAAAAACAAACTCCTTGAAGGGCAATCTCCTTACTTTCTTTTTTATATGCACCAAAGCACCTAGTAGATGTTTATTAAATATTTGCTGAATGGCTGATGACCATGGTTTCCACAAGATGTTTTCAGTGTCGGACTCTGGCAAAAATGTAATCATTGTTTTTCTAGAGGACTCTCTACTGTCATAACAAATTTAGTCTCATAGGTCTTTTTGAGTAACCTGATTGACTTTGAAGAAGGCCATTGAGAACAATTACAGATCTGTCATGAAGGGCTGGTATTGTCCCCAACTATCAGAATTTATTTGTCCTAAAACATTCATCCATTCCACAAAGATTTGTTAGGCATCACTATGTACCAAGCACTATTCTAAACCCTGGAGATACTGCAGTGAATTTTAAAAAGTAGTGAAGAAAAAAAAAAAAAACCCTGCCCTCATGGAACTTACATTCCAGGGGTGGGGGGTTATAGACAATAAGCAAAGTAAACAAGAATATGATATAATATAATAGGTCATAAATGCTGTGGAGATAACTAAAACAGACAAGGGGATGGGGATTGTGAGAAAGGGGTTGCAACTTTAAATTCGGTGGTCTCAGTAGGAACCCTTGAGAAGGTGCATTTGAGGAAATGAAGGAGCCAGGCTAAGTGGGAGGGGGAAGGATCATTCCAGGCAGCAGACCTAGTGAAGGCAAAGGCCCTGAGGGCAGTGGGCTGAGGGGATTTCAGGAAAAATGAGGCCAGTATGGCTGGAAGGAGAGATTGCTGGAGAAAATACTATGAGTGAAGTTTAGGAGCTAAGGGAGTGGTATACAGGGCAGATTGGGCAGAGCCTTTTCGGCCATTCTAGGGACTTTGGTGTTCATCCTCAATTAGATGGAGCATTTCGATCCAACAAATGACACAATTTGGCTTTGGTTTTTAAATGATCACTCTGGCTTCTGTTTTGAGAATGTCTATCAGGGAACAGAGTTACAAACAAGGAGACTGCTTTGCAAGCTACTACAGTAATTCAGGTGAGAGGTGATGAGGGGTTGGGCTAAGGTGATGGAAGTAGAGATGGTGAGAAACAGTTGAATGCTGAATCCATGTTAAAGGTAGAGCCAAAGGATTTACGAAGATATCAGAAATGGGGTATACATGAAAGAGAGGAGCCAAAGGTGATTTCCAAAATGTTTGGCCGAAGCGACTGGCCAGAGTCGGGACAGAAGTCTGTGGAAAGTGGGAGGTGAAGGGGATCAGAAGTTTATTTTGGAGATACTAAGTTTTGCAACACTGTCTGGACATCCTACTAGAGTCGATGTTAAGTAAAGGGTTTTGTGTGTGTGTGTGTGTGTGTGTGTGTGTGTGTGTGTGTGTGTGTCTGGAATTCTGGAAAAGTTCAGGCTACAAATCCAAATCACTTAAGGAGTGAGTGTAGATAAGAGAAGATAATATGTGTGAAGGACTGATTACCAGGTACTCCAACTTTAAGATACAGGGAAAATGAGCAGTGAAAACATGCTTGCATGTTTTGAATCATTTTCTACATTATATTCTCCAAAGGTAACATTCAGAAGCTCCACTAGGGCCCCTCTAATGGGTTCCTTCTGCACGAAGCCAACAACTTCTGTAACTGGCTGTGCGATCGCTACGTTTTTATAGAAAGTCACCTCAGAACTGGCTACTAAAATTGTCTGTTGGGCTTATGGGCCTTATATTGGAATCACGCCTCCTCTCTTTTGCTTTTGGTAAAAAATTTGAGAGTAATGGAGAGGGGGCATTACTTGATCTCTTCAGTAATATTTCCCAGAGCCAGGCAGTTCTGTCATGCCCAACTGCAAGATGCATACTTGAACACCAAGATATGTACTTATCTTATCCTGGCAATTAAGACACTGTTCACTTTTGTTTAGAAAGATAGAAACCAATGCAATGATCTTTGGCTAGATTCTTCACAGAATACATGGAAATCTTGAGCTCTAAAGTCAGAAAAACCAGAAATTCTCTTATTTCAAATGAGGCCTTTTAAAATGTATTTTTTCATGTATTTATGCTTGACTCTTGAGGCCTTAACACCATGAACATTTTTAAAATATGAAAATTATATTAAATAAAAGTTTTGAGCTTTTGTCTGACTGCCCCCAAGTCCAGCCCCACCACACATTGAGAGGAGAGAGAGGTGGGAAGCAAATAGTAGTCTTTTCGGTAGCTCATTTGAGGAACAAACACTATTTTCTGGAAAGAAATCATGGGAAATGTAGATTTTCTTTTTTGAAAAAAAATACGGAAATTTGATACCATGGGTTAAGTGCTTCCTAATTTTCTTTTTCACATACCTCATCTTTGTATTATTATCCTATTATACCTCTCAGAATTGCTGAAACCTCTAAACAAAGAGGTAGAAAGTACACAGCTACAAAAGACTCCAAATCCTTTTTCTATGTCAGAACAGAATACCAGCCTCTAGTCCAATTACACAGGACTATGCCTTCTTCTCTTTGAGTTGCAGAAAGAACACACTCATGTTTCTTAGCTTGCACTTATGTTCATCAGGCAGCTCTAAATGCATTTTAAGCCACTTACTAATAATAAATGAGATGCAGACCCCTGACTCAATTTCTAGATTGATACTTTGAAAAGTTTGAATCTTTACTGAAAAGGGGGTAAAAAGAATTCCAAATTTCTGACATGTCACTGATACTCAAATTCTCAAAACATATTCCATAAATTTGTAGATGCCTAAAGATTTCTGTGCATTCAGACCTTGGAACAAACAAGCCAGTTCAGCAAATGGAATCTCATTCCTTTGGGAAGTCATATGGGAGGGGCACCTGCTTTAGAAAAACACAGACTGGGTTTGAAGACTAATTCCATCATTTTCATTACTTGTGTGTCTAAGGGCAAGTTACCTTATCACTTTAAGCTTTTAGCTTCCTTGTCTAGAAAAAGAAGATAATAAATGCCTTCCTCATTGGATTGCTGTGAATATTAACTGAGATAACTTAGGTAAGCACCTAGAACAGCGCTAGTGCTCAACAAATGTGACACCCCTAAATAGCAATGCAGAGAAATAGACTCAACCATAGTTACTGAAGAAAGGAGATATTTTGAATGTGTTTTGAAATAGACATCAAATAATACAGGGAAAGCACACAGTTCTTTTTTTCAAGTGATTTTATATTGTGATATGCATCATCCTTTCTTAAAGCAAGGAAAGTCTTGGCACTGTCAAATCTATTAATGTAGCTTTATAATTATTACTCCAGGGAAAGATAAGAGCTTTTAAAATTTTTTAATGAGAGCTCAGATTTTAGAAATTTCCAGGATTTTGCAAATTCAAATATTAGAATCAATTTTGGAAACATCTACCAGTTATCCTTGCAATTGAGCTAAGACAAATGAAATCTTAATCTTGGAATTTCATTTCTGATGCTCTATTTCCATTTACATAAATTCTTTTCCTTTTTGTATGTCTCAGGAATAACCAAGTTCTTTTGATCTTGTTTCCTTATTTTTGTGTTCTCTAGAGAAACCCAGATATTCTTTTGTTCATATTTGTTGGACCATGACCAACAGTGGTCTGACGTGCCCTGTGCACCTCTAGTGTAATTTTCCATGTAATCCTTGTGATCAATTCTGAATTTGCCTTTCCCAGATATTTTCTGTAATTTTATCAAACTGCCTCCCAATTCTTCATGACATACACAGAGAATTTGACCCAAATCTAACATGCCGAATGGTCTTTAGCCAGCCTCCTCTGGATTGGGATCTCACAACTAAGCAAAACCAGGCCTCAACTCTTCTTGGATGGAAAATCCGAGGGAAAGAGGATGTAAACTGAATGATAGTCTTTCCTGCAATCAGCACAGAGCCAACCACCCCTTATAGTCTGAGGTTTAACTGAAGCGCATCCATTGGAGTAACACGTAAAACTAAGCTGCTGTTAATTTTTCTACTAAAATGCTTCATTTACCTAACATTCTTGAGGAATGAAGAATTCTACTTATCTATTTCACAACTAACTAAAGCTTATTCCCTTAAGTGCTAAAATCTATTTTAAATCAAAATCCTTATAATCCTTATACTTGCTTGCCTTTCTAAATGGTGCAATAAGTGTAATTTCACCTTGTCTTCAGGATTAAAGTTCATAATTATTGTCATTTATATGGAAAATATTAATGGCCTTTTGTGCTGAAAAGGAAAGGTTTGGTGGTGGTGGTGGTGTTGTTTCGAGACAGAGTATCGCTCTGTTGCCCAGGCTGGAAGTGCAGTGGTGCAATCTTGGCTCACTGCAACCACTGCACTCCCAGGCTCAAGGGATTTTCATGCCTCAGCCTCCGGAGTAGCTGGGCAATTTTTGTATTTTTAGCAGAGTCAGGGTTTCGCCGTGTTGCCCGGGCTGGTCTGGAACTCCTGAGCTCAAGTGATCTGCCCACCTCAGCCTCCCAAAGTGCTACAATTACAGGCATGAGCCACCGTGCCTGGCTTGGAAAGGGAAGTTTGCTCACACATGCAACGACTCCATATGAACCTATTTGTTTTTTAAATTACTTGGCACTTCTTTTCTGAAGTCTGAAACTCTCTTCAGGTTATCAGTTACAGTGAGTATTCTATCTTTTCCATTCTAATGGTCTATTGTGAGGTGGATTTTAAAAAAATGACAACAAACCAATACTATTAGGATTGTGCTTCAAGAAAAAGCAACTGTGGGTGTCTGTGGGAATCTCCTAATAACAAGGTATATGACCTTCAGTGCATGGCCATATAAGTCTTTTTTAAAAAATGCTTTCTAATCTGATAGTTGTGTATCCGAGAGTTAACGCTGGGAGTCATTGTTTGAGTCAAGTGTTACCTCACCAGAGCATTTCCTTATTAAAAAAAACGCACAAAAAAAGTATTTAGTTCTCATCACTTCCCAGGCAGTTTTATGACAGGTCCTGCTTTCCTGTTTTTATTAATGGGAACGGACAAGTCAAGTGACTTATTGAAGGCCAGCAACACGAGGGGTAGAACCAGATACAGAAGTTTCATCTTTTAACTTCTCTGATCAATTCAGTAAACTCATCATGATCTATAGGACTTGAACTTAACTGAATTTTTAATTGAGTATTTTTTTTGGTAAATCAAATGTTATAATGATAATATATTTAGTGATGTCTCTAAATGATTTTTTATAAATGGAAGGACTGAGGGAAGCCTTCTAGAAAGAGAAGGCAGAGTTTTTTCAGTTGCCCTAATGGCCTGGATGCCTCAGGATGCCTTCTTCTACCACCTGGGATTTGGCGGTAGAAACCCAGTTTAGAATTTATAAAAAGAAAGTTACTGCCAATCATGTGGCCCCTTGAGAATATGTAACAAAATGAAAGGAGATAGATGGATGTTTCTTGTCTGGTGTCTATAATTCCACCTGATACATAAAAGGCATTAAGTTGATTTACTTGATTTTTAGGAGAGTAAAATCCCGCATAAAAATCAACAGCTCTTTTAGCCTAAATCTTTAGTACACAAAGTTTTTTGTTAGAAGTGAAGCAGTATCTACAATTAACAGATTTATCAGGCTATATATTTTGTTTTAACGCAAGCATGAGCCACATAGGCCTCTGCAGGGTAGTATGCTAAAGGCATTATCAGCTCAGATGTTTCTGCCTTACCCTTGGCCATTCTGATGTGAGAGATTTGGGGCTGTGGGTGGGTGGGAGGACCCCAGGTTACAGGAGTGGGAGGACGGCTGAAAGCAGGGGAACTTCTAAATGCCCTTCCGTGACTCTCCCAGGCTGAGTGGAGTGGCATCTGGATCAGAGGTTCTCATTGTACCCAGCTCCACACTAAACTTTCAGCATTGGACAGAGAGAATTGGTTAACTTCTTGTTGTCCACAAGGCATAAGGTAGTGTCATGTGAACTATTAGTTTCATTCACTGCAATTATTTATTTCTTACATTAAATTTTGCTCAAGTCCCTTACAATTTTCCAAAGATAGACATGTGGATGTGGGCAAGCAGGCAAAAAAGCAAAAAAGCAAACAACAACAACAACAACAACCTCTTGAATTTCATTTTGCTTCTTTTGATTATTCAGAGAAAACTTCAGAAAGTTAATGTAGCACAGATAGAAAAATGTGAAATACAGAGTTGAAAGAAGACAGTGCTTTCATCTGTCAAGCATTAGGGGTTTCCCAGCCTGGAATGTACCTGGCTTTAATAGTTTTTAAGGGATTGGTTTTTATTCTGAACCCAAATCCCACCCCACCTCCCCAAACACACACGCATACACGCAGGCACACGCATATACATATCGGGTTATACAGTGATGCCAAAACAGACAAGGAAGGGAAGTCAAGATTAATAGTGGTGAGCAGGGCGTTGATTTCAGCCAGTTCTGTTTACACAGCATTTTCCTTCCAGAACCGCAGAGCTCTACACAGATACTATCTCACTAATCCTCAATGGAGCTTTCTCAAAGCGCCTTTATCCAGCCTCTCTCCTAGGAGAAAGTGAGGCACGGCGGGCAGAGGTGGTGAAGTCCTCGCAAAAGCTGGAAACATGACCCCGGGCTCCTGACGCATGGGCCATTGTCCTTTGCACTCCACCGCGCCACCTTCCTGTCAGGTGTCTGGTAAACAGGTTAACTGATCGCTGATTAGGGGCCTCCCGCCTACGTGCAATGAGTGGCGGAAAGGAGCTTTTCCTTGTCAATACGAAAATCTTTGAGTACAAATCGATAAAGCTAGAGATTCAAAGACTGCCTTTATAAAACTGGAGAAGATGCACTCTGGCCATAGGCGGAGGGGGCAGCCCGGGGCCCCTGTCAGGAAGCCAAGCGGCCCGGGGCATCCCTGGAAGGCTGCCGAGGGGGCAGCGCCTTCTCTGGGGACGGCTTCGTGGAGAGTCCGGGACGGGCGAGACAGAAAACCGAGCCCTATTTGTTATTAGTATTTTTTTTTTTATACTCTCAAATGCCACCGGCACATTCTTTTAAAAAAAAATGAAAGGAAAGAAAGAAAGAAAAAGAAAATAAGAGAGGAAAAGGTCCTGAGAAATGACGGACGCTTGAACCTCGGGCCCGGGAAGACCAGCGCCCTTTGGCGGCTAGGCCTCGGGGGCGTGCGGAGGGCGGGCCCCCGCGCGGCCGCCGCTTTCCCAGGCCGCCAGGGGTGAGGAGGTGACGCTGCGGGCTTGGTGGCGGCTGGTTTTTCACACAGGAATCCTCCTCGCCACCGCTCCCTCGAAGGCCGCCCCCCGCTCCACCCCCAGCACTGGGCGCCCGCGCCTCCCAACTCAGCCCGCCGCCGAGCAGACGGCGCGCCGCGGTAATTGGGCACAGGGGCCTTTTTCAGAGTCGCTCAGTCGATAAATGAAACGTCAGCTCCCCTGTGATCCCGCGTGTGTGGGGCGGCGGTGGCTGCGAGCCGGGGCGCAGGGCCGGCCGGCAGCCGCTGCTCTTTCACAGCCCCAGACCCTGCGCGGCCTGCCGGCGGCTGGCGACCTCCCTTCCCCTCCCGAGGCGCCCGAGCCTCTGATCCCCTCCCGGGGCGCCTGTGGCCTCCCTTCCCCTCCCGGGGCGCCCGAGCCTCTGATCCCCTCCCGGGGCGCCTGTGGCCTCCCTTCCCCTCCTGGGGCGCCTGTGACCTCCCGTCCCCTCCCGCGGCTCCCGCGGCCTCCGACCTCCTGCCGGGGCGCCTCAAGGGCCCCTGCCCCACATCAGAGGGTCTTGCGGTTTCCTGGTTTGGTTCAACATCTCTGAAACCCAGAGGTGAAGAAGAAACCATGGAGGAGAATCCGAAACAGTCTTCCAGATCAGACCTCTAAAATAACTAAATTCTTGTTAATCATTAGATTCTCCCTTTTATTTAATGTGTAAGTCCAAGGGGATTCCTTCTGCTTCCCCATTCAATTAGACAGCAACCTCTTCCTCTAAAGTTCTCTCATCTGAAGCCATCTGAGCAGGAGCACTTTGACCAACTCAATTCTGCTCTGATCTGGACTACTTCTCCCAGTTTAGGGATCAGTAAATTGCCAAACACTTCCCAATTTATCCCTGAAGGAATCCCTGAAAAATGATGGCCTTTATTCTCCCTCAGAGAGGGAGCTTGAGCTCTTGAGAAAGACATGAAGGCCCTTGCCGCTGTCGGCATCACTCCTTCCTCCCTAATCCGGTCAGTTAATTGCTGAGTGCTCGCTTCCTGATCTGCGTGATGGCCTCGGAACCGGGCTGCGTGTAGACCTGGGTGACTATCAGCTCAGCTCCCAAGTGGAGGGCCTCGGAAGACGCTCTGTGCGGCCTACTAACAAGCACGAGGTAACAGCACTTGGTACTTTCCATGGGATTTTATTATTATCTTGTTTACTCTTCACAACGGTCTCTTTTATGGGTAATCAAACAAGCTGAGGGAGGTTCAGAAATCTGCCCGAACCTCACAGTTCATAGGTGGCAGATGTTTCTGACTCCACGATCTCAAGAGCTCCTCAGTCTCGGGCTAGGCAGAGTTGGATCAATAGGGTGAGATAAAAAGCAGCAGAAAGGCAGAAGGGCAGTGGGACCTGAGAAGGGATTCTACTTTTTGTTAGATACTAGTTCAGAAAGTCAGTTTGCAGAAGCGGCATTCGCATTCTTACTGGAGGGACCCAGCCTTAGCTTTTACCTCTGAGGGATTTCCTCACAGCCTTGATACTTTCACCAGCATCAGAGAAAGTCAGATGCTCACCATGGTGAGACGCTTGCTGTCCTTCCTCACTCCTTGGACTTAACGTGAAACTCCTGATATGGGAAATGCTAAAAATTCAGCACGGCTCCAGAATTCAAAGATGTGATAGCTTCAACAGCAACAATTAGATATTGGTTAATGCATTGATATTAATGGCAATGGAGTAAGAGAGAACCAAAGTGATGCCCTTGTTGCTGCCCTAAGAATAGTTTTACAATTTAGAATACTTGGCTTGATATTCATTATTTTGCATATATTATAAAGTGAAGCTCGCTGGCATCTTCAGGGTCTAATCCCATGAGACCATTTTCAAGATGGAATTATATCACAATGCCTTGTGACACTTCAAAAACTAGACTTCAGGAAAGTTAAAGAAGAGTCATTTTTATAGAGAGTTATATCTGAGAAAGATTCCCTTGTAACTGGAAGCAACTTATACAAATATTTTTACAGGGTTAGAATCATTTATTTAATAGAGCAGCTTTGGTCCAAGCTGACATCAGTGGAATGCCATTTTGGTATGGTGTTTCATTTATTTCAAAAGCAAGTCCAGGGAAGCCAGATTAATCAGGAACCTGATTATGTTTCTCCATATATGAAAAAAGAATAATCCTATTGAGGAGGCTTATCTTGGTCAAGCATATGGCTAACAGAAGCAATGTAGCTTTCTAGTGACATCTGTGTAGGGTTGGTTGATTGTGGTAAAGAGCTAGGAAAGGGGACTGCCAAGTTCTAATAAAATTCCTCTCACACTTCAATCTTGCAAAAGAAAAATGATGCACTTTACTCAGAGTAGCCAAGCACAACAAGAAGTGACAGCCATAGTACTGGCCTAAAGAATTGCCACCTATCAGTAAATCCTTCAGTCCTGTACATCTTAGTATGAATTTGCTTTCCTCTTAAGTGAGAGACGGAATCAATATATTTTTCCACAGTTTATTCTTTTGCAAATCACTAAATGTTTTATAGTAAATAGTATTTCTTTTCATGATCCACACCCCTTCTGAAAGCCTGTTATTAGACCATTGGAAGGTTTGATGGGATGGAGCAAGAGGTGAAAGTAGGGATAATTCCGATTAATTGTGCCTGGCCTCCTGGATGGTGGACCTAGGGCTGGGATGGGGAATTGATGGCAAGAGGATTAGAGCTTCAAAACTTCAGTACTGAAGGCACTTAGAGCTCAGTGGGAAGAGGAAATAAGATTTCAGCAGACGGAGAAGAGGTATAGAAAGGAAATCAGGAACCAGACTTAATTTGTTTTATGGTTTAAATAGATTAGGTCCTAGGCATGGGCAGCCACCTCCTACCCTGACCTGCAGACATGGCCCATTCTTGGTAGGAAAGCTCATGTGGACAATCACCACACTATTAAGTCAAAAATTAAACTTACTAAATTGCTGTTATTATTTGTGACTGAGACAACTTTTGCTCAGAAATAATTAAGACATGGCATCCTAAATTATAACAATTCAACTTTCCTGGACTATTTATACCCCTGGGTTTATACATTTATCTTTTGTTTCAATAGAAACAGGCCATATTAATTCAATAGGGCATATTAAGCCATATCTGCTGGAAAAACTTAGGCTTTATTTCTTGACCAACAACTACAGAGTGATTACTTAAATTTTTTTTATTATGGTAAAATATATATAACATAACATTTATGATTTTAATCAGTTTAAGTGTACAGTTCAGTGGCATTAAGTACATTCACATTGTTGTAGAGCCATCACCACCATCCATCACCAGGCGTTTTCATCCTACCATATGGAAACTCTACCCATTAAACATTAACTCCCTATCCCTACCCCTAGCCTTTGGGAACCACTCTTCCACTTTCTTTCTGTATGTGATGGACTATTCTACCTTATATAAGTGGAATCATACAATAGGTATCCTTCTGTGTCTGGCTTATTTCACTTGACATAATGTTTTCAAGGTTCATCCATGTGGTAACATGTCAGAATTTCTTTCCTTTTAAAGGTTGCATCATATTCCATTATATGTACATACACATTTCATTTATCCATTTATCCATCGATGGAAGTAATTACTTTTTAAAAAGCACACCAGTACTTACACATAAAAATGATGCTGTCCTTCAGAATAGAGCACTTCAGAAGTTATACTTACTCAGTGATGACTTGTGTCATTGGCTCTTTAGGGGAATTGTGTTCCCCTAAAATTCATATGTTGAATTCCTAACCCCCAGAACCTCAGAATGTGACTGTATTTGGAGATTGTGCCCTTTAAAGAGGTGATTGAATTAAAACGAGCCCTTTAGTTGGGTCATAATACAATGTGACTAGAGTTCTTACAAGAAGAGGAAATTTGGTCTCACAAAAGACACCAGAGGTACACGCAGAGAAAAGGCCATGAGAAGACACAGCGGGAAGATAGCCATCTGCAAGCCAAGGAGAGAGGCCTCCAGAGACACCAAAACCTGCCGACACCTTCATCTTGGACTTCATGCCCCCAAAACTGTGAGAAAATAAATTTCTGTTGTTTAAGCCACCCAGTCTGTGGTACTTTGTTATGGCAGCCCTGTCAAAGTAATACAACTTAGTACAAAAGACTAAGGGTGCTTTTGCTGAAATTGTCTCAGAAACAGCGTAAGCCCATGCACCCACATCAGCCTCGTTACTTTACAGTCACAAACACCATTCAGCTTGATCACTAGCTTTTTTCATCATATTGGGCTTTAAATGGCTTCTGACTCTTTAACAAAAAATTAAATCCTCTCTCAAAGGATAAAGTGCCTTCTCCTGAGAATATGCAAAAGAATACCATGCCAACTTTGAAGGCAATTCCAAAAGGAAATTGCTTTGAGCAATAGCAGCAGAGTAGAAAAAAGTGTTTTGTCTACTATGGTAACTTGCACTGAAGAAGACAACACTCCTTAAGATAAATATGCCCCATTATATTTGCTAAAGAATCTGTTGCTGTACTTTATATTGCTGCCTCCTCTATCGAAATGCAATGTATGTGCATTTTGGAACTTGCCTCACGCTATTTTTTTCCTCCAAGAGCTCAAGCTCTTCAAAGAGCTCTATGACCTGACTCTTAAACCAAAGCTGCAGAGCCTTCTGTTTCTTAATCCGCAGCTGGATTGCTTTGATACTTTGGTCAAAAGGATCAGCTCTCAATGGGGCTCAGTTCACAGGCAAGCTCCAGTACAGCCCTCTCACCCCTACCCTCAGTCCCATCAAGGAAAAGCGGGGGTCGTGAGGAAAGGACTGTGTGATGTGGAGAAGAGAGCAAGTCCCAGGAAAGTAGGCTTTGGTGTCTTGAGGGAAAAGAACTGAGTTGGAATCAGGGGCTGTATTAGTCAGTTTTTTGCATTGCTCTAAAAGAATACCTAAGGCTGGGTAATTTAAAAAGAAAAGAGATTTATATTCACTCATGATTCTGCAGGCTGGACAGGAAGCGTGGCACCAGCATCTGCTTCTAGTGAGGCCTCAGGAAGCTTTTACTTATGGCAGAAAGTGAAGGTGGAGCAGGTGTGTCATGTGGCGAAGAGGAAGCAAGAGAGCTGCCAGGCTCTTTTAAACAACCAGCTCTTGTGTGAACTAATAGAACAAGAAGTCACTCATTACCACAGGGAGGTCACCAAGCCATTCATGAGGGATCCACCCCTCCGACCCAAACACTTCCTACCAGGCCTCACCTCTAACACTGGGGACCACATTTTAAGATGAGCTTTGGAGGGAACAAATATCCAAACTATAACAGGGACCTTGAATTATTATATGCAGTTAGCTTGCCAGATACTTGTCATTTGTCAGGCATTTTCCGAAAAGCTTTCAATTACGTTATCTTGAAAGTTATTTTAGAAGAAGAAGTTGGACTAGGAGTCATGGTCACTGTCACAATTACATCAATCTCTGACTTTAAGAAGGGTCTTTGCAAATATCCCACTGCAAAAATGTCAAAAATGACACCAGCTAGGAATCTCATTTATTTTCTAAAAAACAAAGTCATATTTCTCACTGAGTGGAGCTCCTTGAGGATAAGGTCGGTGCCATCATCGTCTTTACACATTCAGCACTGTGCAGGGCACCAAGTAGGTATTCTAAATGTTGAATGAATGACCTACAGCCCTTCACTAGGTTTCCAGCTCCTGCGATTCCAGTGTCTACCATCCTCTGTTGTGTTTCACATTTCTGTCCAGTTCCCACTTGATTTTCCCTCATTTGTACTTCTCAGGTTGAAGCCCAGATTTATTGTAAAACAGTGCCCATGACCAGAATAGGTTTTATCTTTACCACATCTCTGAATTTGAATTTGTAAGGGGGTCTGGAGGCTACAAAAAGTAACTGGATGCCATGTAAGCCTAGGTTTCAGTCTACTGGAAATGAACTTGAACTTGGACTTGGACTGAAGCTTTCTGCCTTCCCCTTGTCAACCATCTCTCAGGCAGGTAAAGAATGGCATCATAGCCAAAGGAACCAGCCATCAAACTCCCTTAATTTTTGCTGTCACCTGACTTTAAAGTGACATCACCTTAAGACTTCAGACTTCAAATGGTTAATATAATTAGGCTAATGCAAGATAACTATCTGAACTAAGAAAAAGAAAATCTAGTGTATAATGACAATTCCTTTCATTAAAAAGAGACAAAAAAAAATACCTGTTAAAAGGGCTGCCTTTGTCTCCCACTCTCCTGGAGCTCCATGGCTGGTGCAAAATTGAAACAACTCTTTTCACTGTTCCTCCTAAAACATTCCTTGTATGAGACTATTTTATGTGGGCAGAGACCAACAATGATGCCCCAACACAGTAAAAGAAGTTTGAATTCCTTCTCCTTAAGAAAATATTTCTCCAGTGAGCCCTCACTATTCTAGCTGACCAGCTGGCAGGCTAGCAGGTGAGGACACTCTCTTTGCGGACCCCAAAGCCCTTGGCAACTTCTCAACTGTGCCTGAACTTGGCAATCATGCCTATGGAGAATGAGCTTTCTTTTTTTGAGAATGGAGGAACGCAATATGCACAATTTACCTTTTTTCTCAGAAGTTATTTTATACCTCATTAATGCCAGGAGAAAGGGCTTGTAAGGGTCCTGACATGTAAATGTCTAATTAGGAAACTTTCAAAGCTGACACTATGTAAAACACTCACGTTTTATTTAAAAGAGAAGGAAATCAAAAAATAATTTATCATCACACTGCTAAAGAATTCCTCCAATAGAAATAGGAATGCTTTTGCACTGTTGGTGGGAGTGTAAATTAGTTCAACCATTGTGGAAGACAGTGTGGCGATTCCTCAAGGATCTAGAACCAGAAATACCATTTCACCCAGCAATCCCATTACTGGGTATATACCCAAAGGATTATAAATCATTCTACTATAAAGACATATGCACATGTATGTTTATTGCAGCACTGTTCACAATAGCAAAGACTTGGAACCAACCCAAATGCCCATCAATGATAGACTGGGTAAGGAAAATGTGGCACATATACACCATGGAATACTATGCAGCCATAAAAAAGGATGAATTCATGTCCTTTGCAGGGACATGGATAAAGCTGGAAACGATCACTCTCAGCAAACTAACACAGGAACAGAAAACCAAACACCGCATATTCTTACTTGTAAGTGGGAGTTGAACAATGAGAACACATGGACACAGGGAGGGGAACATCACATACCAGGGCCTGTAGGTGGGTTGGGGGGTAGGGGAGGGATAGCATTAGGAGAAATACCTAATGTAGATGACGGGTTGATGGGTGCAGCAAACCACCATGGCACGCATATACCTATGTAACAAACCTGGATGTTCTGCACGTGTACCTCAGAACTTAAAGTATAATAAAATAAATAAATAAAAAATAAATTTTTTTTAAAAAAAACTAAAGAAGTCCTCCAATAAAATGAGCTTCTTCTTTGTATATTCCACTTAAGCTTAGCTCAGCCTGCTGCTCTCATCCATTAAGTCCAATGTTCATGTTCTCCTTTCTTCCTTCCTGCAGGAATTTCATCACACTCTTACTGTCTTAGCTTGGTTTTCCCTGAAGGAAGAGCCTGATGCCAGCGCTTTTGTGCAGATAGATAATTTTGGAGGTGGTCCTAGGGCAGAAGAGAGAGAGAGAGAGAGCAGGGAGAGTGAGATGGCAAGGCAGGGAAATGCGCTACTACGGGAAATAAGGGCTTGATTCTGCCAGGACCACCTGAGAAGCCCGTTTAATGCCTTCTTGAACCATTCTCTTGAAAGCTAGGAAGCAGGTCCATGGATTCATCAGTTCCCTTCCCATGGGTCAAAGGTTATTCCCAGGAGTATTAACTTCCTGATCTATGCATATGCTTGAGCAAAGCCAACCCTCCTAGTGTCTGTGTTGTCCCAGTATAGAAAACAAAAATATATGATGTATTA
Source organism: Homo sapiens (assembly GCF_000001405.40). NCBI lineage: Eukaryota > Metazoa > Chordata > Mammalia > Primates > Hominidae > Homo > Homo sapiens. The sequence goes on from NC_000008.11 coordinate 79,899,492, forward strand.
GTTATCCATTGCTACAGAAAAAAATCATCCCAAAATTTAGTGGCTTAAAATCACAATGATTCCTCCACAGTTTCTGTGAGCCTGGATGTCGGAGCAGCTGAGAAACTCTGGCTCAGGGTCCCTCATGATGTTGCAGTCAGGACATCAACCCAAGATTCCATCACCTGAGGGCCCGACTACGGCTGGGGGATCTGCTTCTAAGAGAGCCCATACACATGGCAGCTTCCTCGCTGGCTGTTGGCAGTAGGCCTTATTTATTGTCACAAAGGCCTCTCCATAGGGCTGTTCAAGTGTCCTTACTGTGTGGCAGCTAGCTTCTCAAAGAATCGATGATTCAAGAGAGAGCAAGGCAGAAGCCACATGTCTTTTGACCTCACCAATAGTATTTAAGCTATTGGTCATACAGACCAACCCCAATGAAATGTGGGAAGGGGACTACACAAGAATGGGAATGCCAGGAAGTGGAGACAATTGGGGCCATCATGTGGGCTGGCTACCACATAGGTTATGTGTGCAAGGGTCATAGTCAGCACAAAACGTACCAAAACCTGCACAGAACTGTCAACACTGACATGGCTGAAATAATGTATGAGTCCACAAAGATGTGAGTCATGCTGCACGCAGTGGCTCACACCTGTAATCCCAGCACTTTAGGAGGCCAAGGTGGGTGGATGGCTTGAGCTCACAAGTTCAAGACCAGACTGGGTAACACGGCAAAACCCAGTCTCTACAAAAAATACAAAACTTAGCTGGGCATGGTGGTGTGCACCTATAGTCCCAGCTACTTGGAAGGCTGAGGTAGGAGGATAGCTTGAGCCTGGGAGGTGGAGGTTGCAGTGAGCCGAGACCGCACCACTGCACTGCAGCCCAGGTAATAGAGCCAGATCTAGTCTCAAAAAATAAAATAAAAAAAAGTTTCAAGGATGTGAGTCATGGTATTCCAGATGCCTGTTCCAGCTATGCCTCCTTCTTGCTTTCCACCACTCAGACCCAACCATTTCCTTGGTTCCTCAAGTTGAACCCAGGATATGCAATTAAACGAAGATCTCAGAAAATACTGAGGTGCAAAGCTGATCTAGAATTCTAAAATTACAAGTACAACAAATGATCTGAAAATGGCCTACATCTTGGATTGATTAAATCATTTAGGAAGTTTATTTTTTGGTTTTCTTTTACTCCAAAGCTACAACAGGCAGGCTGCAGAAGCCAACACATGACTGTCTGCCTTTCAACAGGGCAAGAGAACAGGTCAGATGCTGCAGCTTGATGGAACAGAACATTACCATAAAGCAAACAAACCTGTGTAAAACATTGTCAACATGAAAAATATAGAGAAATGAATCTCTAAGTATAAAGGTTTTATTTGGGAATAATAGACAAGAAGTAAGATTGCCGTCTGGGACATACATACATACATGCAGATCATGGTGGCCTCTGAAATGTCCAGAAAACAAAGGAAACGATTAGGGGCCCACTGGGGAAAGAGGAGGTTTACACAAGTTGTTTTGAAAGAAAGCTTATTGGTACTAGCAGTGTCTTACAAGCGCTGGTGAGTTCTGACTGGTGAATGTCAGTAGTTGCTAGGTAGGATTTGTAACCTTGGAGTTACGGTTAGGCACTTGTAGGTTTTTTTGTTTGTTTGTTTTGGGGTTTTTTTGAGACAGAGTCTCACTCTGTTGCCCAGGCTGGAGTGCAGTGGTGCAATCTCTGCTCACTGCAACCTCTGTCTCCCGGGTTCAAGTGATTCTCCTGTGTCAGCCTCCCAAGTAGCTGGGATTATAGGTGCATACCACCATGCCCAGCTAATTTTTTTTTTGTATTTTTAGTAGAAACGGGGTTTCGCCATGTTGGCCAGGCTGGTCTCGAACTCCTGACCTCAGGTGATCCACCTGCCTTGGCCTCCCAAAGTGCTGGGATTACAGGCGTGAGCCACCCTTATAGTTTTTTATTGGGCTTGTGAGACAGTTTTTAAAACAGGCAAATGTTCTTATATAAGTGGCTATCTCTCCTTGTGCTGCTAGCTGCAGTTTGAAAAAATTTCTTGTGATAGTTCCTTTTGTCAGACAAATCACATGTGAGAGCCCTCCCTTCATGGCCTTCTCTGACCCCAATGGCCAGAGTTTGACACAAGTGACTCTATTTTGAATCATACAACTTCCAGGACATGAACATTAATTGAACACGTTCATCACAAGGACAAGATTCGTTTTAAGTCCAGTTAACAATGCAACTGACTCCTCCAGACTTTCAGAGTCTTAGAGGATGATGAACACATGCCCCAAAGTCATGACTGCAGCGTGGATCCTCCGGCTCCAGTCACTGTCCCCAAATTTCCAGGCAAGGGCAGGACACAAAACATAGGAGTAATGTGTATATCAGAACAGAAAACCCTAGAACTTGCCAGCCAGCAGACTTCACATATATTTTATTGGCCAGAACAGTGTCACATGGTCATTCCAAGTTGTCAGAGAAGATGGGGAGGTTGTTAAAATTTGTTATTAAAATTTTTAAAAATTAGAGACAGGTCAGGCATGGTGGCTCACGCCTGTAATCCCAGCACTTTGGGAGGCCGAGGCGGGTGGATTACTTGAGGCCTGGAGTTCCAGACTAGCCTGTCCAACATGGCAAAAGCCCGTTTCTACTAAAAACTACAAAAATTAGCCGGGCGAGGTGGCGCACACCTGCAATCCCAGCTACTTGGGAGGCTGAGACACAGGAATCACTTGAACCCAGGAAGCGGAGGTTGCAGTGAGCCAAGAGTCCACCACTGCACTCTAGCCTAGACAACAGAGCAAGACTGTCTCAAAAATAGATAAGTAAATAAATAAATAATAAATAAATTTTAGAGACAGGTTTTCATTCTTTTGCCCATGCTGGAGCGCAGTTTTAGATACAGGGTTTTGTTCTGTTGGCCATGCTGGAATGCAGTGGTGGCATCACAGCTCACTGCAACCTCAAATGCTTGGGCTCAAATGATCCTCTGGCCTTGGCCTCCAAAAGCTCTGGGATTACAGGCATGAGCCACTGTGGGGAGTTTTTTTTAAAGCTGATTATCAAAATTGGGTTCTGTAAATAAGGGAAAAGGGGAGGTTGGATATTGGATGGGCAATTAGCTGTTTTTGCAACCCAGTGTTTTTTAGCCCACTCTATGGGTGGAAATGCTTTTTGCTACACTCACCCAAAAGGCCCAGATAGTCAAAAGGGATCTTGAACCACTGAACAACCAGCCACTGGTTAGTTCTGTACTTGTGTGAAAAAAAGAAACCCCTCTGTGGCATGACCCATTGCTGCTGGGTTTTCTGTTACATGCGGCTGAACTCAATGCCCGATCGATACAACTCACAGAAATATTTTTATTTATTTTTACTTTTTCTTGAGATGGCGTCTCACTGTGTCACGCAGGCTGGAGTGCAGTGGTGCAGTCTTGGCTCCCTGCAACCTCTGCTTCCCGGGTTCAAGTGATTCTCCTGCCTCAGCCTCCTGAGTAGCTGGGATTACAGGCGTGCACCACCACGTCTGGCTAATTTTTTTATTTTTAGTAGAGACGGGGTTTCACCATGTTGGCCAGGTTGGTCTCGAACTCCTGACCTCAGGTGATCCACCCACTTTGGCCTCCCAAAGTACTGGGATTACAGGTGTGAGCCACCATGCCCAGACAGAAATATTTTTAGATCATCTCTAACCACGTAACAATTTTGTTGTATTAATTGTTAAACTTAAAATTTGTTCATTATCTTCAAAGATGTGGTTTCAAATTTGTCAAATTTATAAACAGCATCATTATTGATCTTCTGAAAAAATAATAGCCACATGATAATCCTGAAGCTTCTGCACATTGGTGTTTTTCTGTTTATTGTTTTTTCCAGTCCCTTTAACTGGACCTGCTCTCACACACCTTTGGGTCTTCATGTCTGACAGGCCCTCTGCCTAGATGCTACCCGCCCTCCCTACCCCATCCCCAGTTTGCCAAACACCTCCTTGCAAAGGCTTTCCCTGAATCTTCCAATCTAAACCAAGTAACTCAGTTACGTTCTCATGCAGACAGAACAATTTCTTTCTGAAACTTACTGCACTTTATACATACCTATTTCTTTTTGAGGGTATGTGTATAATATGTTTTCCCACTGAACTGTAAGTTCTATGAGGTCAGGGGCTGTGTTAGTTGTGTTCAAGCCTGTCCTGGTCCTGAGAGGAGAAAAGTGCCAGCTGGAATGTTATGTTCACATTGACTTTCAAGAAGCCCCTGGAAAGTTCAAGTGGGATGCTCTTGTTCAAGGGATTGATAGAATCTAGACATGATCAGAGATGCTGTCCATAGTGGATTCTGCTAATTGAAATGTTTAAGCTTTTCTATTTGTTTCTTATTTTTTATTTTTTCTCCTTGTAAGCCTCTGGGGAACAACGAATGTGTCCAGGGATGGCAGGCTCCACAAAGCAGTCTGGGCAAACTTCCAGGCTGTCCAGCCAATCAATAGAGTTTCCAGGGGTGACAGGCCAAGTTGTAATCCCTCTTAGTCACCCTAAACAGAGCAAAAATACTGATTGACCACAGTTAAAGGTAAGAATCTCTTAATGCTTGCTTATATAATATTTCTTAAGGCTTGCAGTTTGCAGAAGTAAATACAGATTGGAAAATATCTGTTTATACCCTTGTGGCAAAGCAGGCATCTGGAGAGCATTTAACTGTGGTAATACATTGCTCCCAAGTAAATGTTCTGTTTGTGACAATATAACACCAGGTTATTTGGCATTTCAGAAAGGCACCATTCTCCTTCTGGGTTCTATACAAAACTGAAGGCAAGATTTCAAGACAAGCTATTCTGAGAATATTAAAACATGCACCAACTCAAATGAGAAGACCAGGAAAAACTGGAAAGAAGTTCAAGTTATAAGAAAATTTGAAAATATAATGCCTGCTTAGAAAATTACTGTTTGCTGTCTATTCTACTTCTTTTCTTTAAAGACTACTCTGATGGAAATGCCCATTAATGACTCCTGCCTATGAGGAAGTCTTGTTTATCCACACTGTCTGGGGTTTGAAACACGTGGAGGCAGAAAGTGGGATACGAGAGATGGGGAGATACAGGTCAACTGGAAGCTGCACTTCCAGGTATAGGCTACAAACTGTGAGGCTACAATAGCTGCTCAGGTAGAGACGGGGGTTCTGGAATATTTGGGTGCTTATATATCCAGATTACCTGAGTCCCAAAGGAGCCAGATAGAAGGAATTCTAGTGAATAAATAAAACTCTGACCCAGCATTTATTTAATTCAAGGTAGTAATTTTACAAGCTGCTTCATTTTTTACTGAAATTAGGACATAAATTCAAAATAAATTAAGATTTTAAGTCACTAAATAAAATTAAAAGTAGACTATGTGGAGGGGGATAAAAATTATCTTACTAATCACTTACTCATTATTTGAGAGGTACCCGCTCTAAGAGGGAAAAATATTATTTATCTATTTTTTCCTGGTTTTTATACACCAAAACATCCTAAAAGTACTGTGAGAAAATAACATTTTTAAAAATGGATAATACTTTTCAGTGACTTTTAGAAAATAATTTTTGAAAGGTTACTGATAAATTATTCACCAGAAGTAATCCATCATAAAGAATTAACCAGAAAATATCAGAGATATGAGTTAATAAACCAAAGGTAGATAATTGGATGCTTTTGTACTTTCTATATCACTATAATAGGGGAAATAGGTTTCAATCCAGAGAGGAGATACTGCCTTTGCCAGAAACAGAAATATTTTTGAACACTATTCCTATTGGAAAAAAAAAATTTAAAAATGTGATGGGGCCAGAATACCCATCCAGAAGTTGTGACCTTATACTTAAAGTCACTTTCAAGTCCACAAGAACAAGGTGTGCTGTGGCCTACCCAATCTACCTCCTGGGGAGTCAGGCTCATAAAGCTAAAGTTGAGGTCAGAAAAATGAGTAGGATGCAGCATACACCTTTTATCAGTGCCAGTAAACAGTCCATGAGCTCTCAAAAAGGCTTCTATTGTTGTCTCTGTTTCAACTATGACTTGGAATTAACACAGCACAGAACAATCCTGCCTCTCTGTTCTGAAGTCCTAGTAGGTAAGTAAACGAGTAACTCCCTTCAACTTCCCCACAAAAGTATGTATAAGAAGCCTGCCCCTGGCCAGGCACGGTGGCTCACGCCTGTAATCCCAGCACTTTGGGAAGCCGAGGTGGGCGGATCACAAGGTCAGGAGATCGAGGCCATCCTGGCCAACATGGTGAAACCCCGTCTCTACTAAAAATACAAAAATTAGCCAGGCATGGTGGCGTGCACCTGTAGTTCCAGCTACTCGGGAGGCTGAGGCAGGAGAATCCCTTGAACCCGGGAGGCGGAAGTTGCAGTGAGCTGAGATCACGCCACTGCACTCTAGCTTGGGAGACAGAGCGAGACTCTGTCTCAAAAAAAAAAAAAAAAAAAAAGAAGCCTGCCCTATGGTAGAACTTTTGAGTCTAGCTGAGCTTCTTGCATTGCTTGTGTTTTCTTCTTTAGGTAAACAGTAGAACTATTTCGCCAGTCATACTACAGTTTAATCTGCGGCACTTGGGCTAGAAGAAACACAGATGGAACTAATGAAGGTTTTACTGTGTGGACAGTGTGATACTCACTGTGTTTGAGTGACATTGTTTTGTATATATACACATAGAAAAGTTTAACAAGCCATCATTTGCTATGACAATGGGGCATATGAGTGGTTCTCAAACCAAGGAGCAGAGATTATCTCTTTGTGAGGACAAATTTGATTAAGAGGCATTCCTTGTGTGCTTTTTGTGGTATTGAACAGACAGCCAAATGCTTAGCTTCAATGTAACCATCCTTCCAGTACCCTTGAGAAAAAAGCTGCCTGTCAACACTTGGGTAAACAATATCTAGAAGTGATGGAAGGAAAAATACTCAGGGACAGGAAAGCAATGAGCATTGCAAGTCTTACAGACTGCATACAATTCATGAAAGAACCAGAATGCTCAAAAAGAATGGAATTCTGGGCCCTCCCCTCTTCAGTTTCCTCAAACTTTCCACAGCCTTTAGACTCAAGGGATTCTTCCTTGGTTGCAATGAATATAGTGAACACTTCAAGGTTTGTGCCAAGAGGGAAGTAAGAGAGCCCAGTTAACATAAAATAATGAGACATCCTTTAAAGTCATACACAGTTACTTCCCCTATCCCTGCCCCATAGGCCAGCAAAATGCTGGACATGGAGACATGGGCCCAGCAACCAGCTATTTTCTAGAAAATTACCAGGAGAGATGAGCCAGACTCAGATGAATACTTGAAATCTTGACATGCAAAATCTGTTCATGTAGCTTGATCTTTTTATTTCTGTTAAGTCTCTAAAACAAAATGTGGTGAAACATCATTTAGGCAGAAAGCTTTGTGGGGTTGTGGGGTTGTGGGGTGGTAGAGATGAGGGGGTGAGGTGAAGGGGACTGTGGAAGAGGAGGAGTGAAAGGGAAAGAAATGCAGGAGATTATTTGTACCAATCTCATTGCTAAAAATGTCTGCTTCCTTCCTTGGGAATCAGAGTTTGCAGAACATTTTCTCTTTCTCTGTTGACAGAAGATCTTGTAAAATGATAGCCACTGAATCAACTAAATACATTCAACAAATATTGATGAGTATTCTCTATGTTTTTAACACAGTGCTGGCACAAAAGAAGATACAAAATTGACTAAAACTCAATTCCCCATCGTTGACACTTCTACAGTTTATTAAGAACGTATACATTAACTCCCCAGGGGATTAATCTACAAAGTACGTGAATTCGTTTCAAAGCAGAAGTAACTGATTAATTCATATCCATTTACCCACTTATTTACTTAGATACTTAAGGTCTAGGAGATTGTATCAGGACAGTCTTTAAAGTTGCCTTAAAAAATATCAATTTTCTTATTAGTTTTATCTTCTTTTCTAAAACCTTTAATTTTAAATGACAGAATGAAATAAAATTAACAACCTTTGACATGAGACACAGCTGTGTTTCTGAAAATAAGGGACAAAGGCTGTGAAATAGAAAACAGATATCCCAAAACTCATGCATTGTTCTACAGTTCTACAAAATTGGCCTCAAAGCCTCTTCCAGACTACTGTAAAACAAGCTTATAAATTAGAAGCGGAAAAGCACACTGATACCAATAAAGGTCACAATTTAGAGAATAGAGATGGAAAAATATTTAATGCAAACAAAAGAACTAAAGAAGGATAGTTATTGTCATTTTATACATAGGCATAAAGCTCCCGCAATTAGATCAAGAGCAACTTGTTAGACAAGCAGGAAATTACTAGAAGTAGGTACATTAGCATAAGTAAAAACTATCAGCTGATAGTAAGGGAAGTTGTAGGTAACCAGTTAAACAATTCAAAGAGCACAAATGGTCTGGAACCACTTGGTAGGAGCTAGTAGCTCTACCCACCTTAATAATCCCTGGGAAATCACATCATTACAAAATTGTTTTTCATAATGGTGGCCCTGAGTCATCAAGGAAAACTTTAAATCCTGTCAGTATTCTCTATTTTAAAAAGCAGGAAATGTTTTGGGGCCAGGAGACTATGTAATGCATTTTAGGGTTTTACAGGCAACATTTGGTTGTGTAGACTATTCCCTAGGAACTGAAATCTCCCTGATTAATCAGAGGTTTACAGTGCCTTTGATCAAGAAAATGCTCCTTGAAAAACTTTCTCTAATAACTATCAACCAAGTTTCATTAGAGAAAATAGTAGGTTATCTTTTCCATATATTCCTACAATTATTTTAATACACTGAATCTAGCCTACTCTAGGGAAAGCATTTTGTGTAGAATTTATGTAGATGGAGAGATGATAGGGAGGAAGGTGACAGCAGTAGAAATAGCATGAAGGTATGTGGCGATTTGACACATTCACTAATGCTAAGTATAAACTGACTGCACAGAGATTCTGTGGTGGAAGGTACAGAGAGGCAGGACCCTATGAGTGAGTCATAGCGTTGGCAGAGTATAAGAAAATGACCCCATGTCTCTGTCTTTCTTTAATAGATGTGAAGACTGTAGTGTTTTGTTCCAACAGGCATGTCCTGTTCAGGCCCCAGGAAAGGGCCACACTTTTGTGAAGAGTCCCTATCTTTCATATGGAGGAAAACGGCACTGGAATAGAAAATAAACTTGACAAACAGGCCCTTACAGAGGTGGGTGAGAGAACGCCTTGCTTTCCCTGGGCCTCACTTTCCTGGGCCTTGACTTGGAGCTCTCTGGATATGCTGAGGGAGCACCCCGGTGAAAGCAGAAGCTGTTATCTGTCTTGGGGCAGGAGGGAAGGAACAAAGCCAAAACACATCCAGCGGTCTTGTAAGGATGAGCAAGCCTGATCTCATTATCTAGCGTTCTTAGTGACAGGTGAATTCTATGTCCATTTCCCTTTAATAACCATGGAACTTTTGCAGAGTCTTCCTGCACCTTACAGCCTCTTCTCAAGTGGTCATCCAGTTCACATTGCAAACAGCTGTGACTAACTTCCTACCTCTCGAAGCAATCTTAGAGAATCATTTAGGAGATAGCCATGTTAACGTTAATTCACCTCATATCAGCAAGACTTTAATCTCTGGCTTACCAGAGGATCCAACTTTATCATCAGTCTCTTTCTTGCTCTTTGTGGAATAATGTCTTTTCTAGTTTTTCTAGTTCTTGCATCTACACCTATCAAGTGACATGTACATTAGATTACACGGAGGCTGATAATATTATGCCCTTAGTAGATTTTCCAGGACTTTTTCTGGTCCATTAGTCCTTTCAGATTTTGTTAATACCCACACCAGAGGCTGAGTGGGAAAAAGAGAGGTGTTAACAAAGATTGAAATGACTAATGGACGAGATTTTTTTTAAGACAAAATTATAGGGGATTGCCTTAAATTGTCATCCATTTTGTGGCTCTATTTTAAAAATTTACTAGTATATTGGGCATTGCTAAATATATCTATAAGACAGTTATGCAGCAACATAGCTCAGACATAGCATTATTTCCCACGAATAAAGATGGTAGCATTTACCCACAATCCTTGTCTCAGCTGCCTGCCTGAGTGGAATTCCCACTCCTTTTGGTATGGTTTTGAGAGTTGGGACATCATCTTTATCTACTGGCTTCTGTGGTATTTACTGCATCTAAAATGAAAGATTCTGCATTTAAGTGTTGCCTGGAAAAAACACAATATCTTGCTTTCTTTTATTCATTCATTTGAAGTAATTATTGCTATCACAGTCTCATGTGCATTTTTCCCAAACCATAATGATTTGAGACTTATAGAGTATGGTAAAACAGTTGGATTGTTTTTTCAGAGCGGCAATTTTGTGAAGAAAATGGTAGTAATCTGAGCCACTTTTTGGTTTCTAAAGATTTCATCTGTTCACAGGACAATTTCAGGGTTCATACAATTTCTTACCTGGAAGCTGAAAACCTGTGTTCAAAATCTTGTTTTCCATCTTCCACATGTAGAATGCAGGTATAAGAACTTAAAATAAGACACGGTCTTTTGTAGAATTTTCCTTTCCTTCCTCCTTTGGCTCAGAGCATCTCTGAGTTCTTTGTAATTAGTTTAAAAGAAACATGAAAAAAGTTATAGTCTTTTCAAATAAACTACATGTTTCCCTTAGGAATTTATACTAAAATGTGTATTTATTTTTAAAAACCAAATGATATGAATATAAGAAATGCAATACTGGGTCAGCCCAATGATCTAACCAGCCTGTGGTTTCAAAGTTTCATAGTACTCCATTAATGTCAACCTCAGAAGTTTTGGGATGTATTTCAAACTCCCTGGTTTCCTTTAATACTCAAATCTGAATTTACCATTCAGAGATTCATCAAAACCTTTCCTGAACTTATTTATATCTCTAACTTATATCAACTATAGAAATACTGAGTACCATAATGGCGAAGTTACTATATCCTATCTACTATGAGACCATAGAAAGGATATTACTACAAGGGGATGAAAAATTGGGATGGATAATTCAATCTATTACAATTATTTTCTTTTTCTTGAGACAGGGTCTCGCTCTGTCGCCCAGTCTGGAGTGCAGTGGTAAGATCATGGCTCACTTTAACCTCAACATCCTGGGCTCAAGCAATACTCCTGCCTCAGCCTCCTGAGAAGCTGGAAGCCTATGCATGTGCTATCATGCTGGGCTAATTTTTTTTTTTTTCACTTTTTGTAGAGATAGGCTCTATGTTGCCCGGGCCAGTCTTGAACTCCTGAGCTCAAGCAAGCTTCCATCTCAGCCTCCCAAAGTGCTGGGATTCCAGGCACGAGTCACTATGCCCAGCCTACATTTTCTTGGTTACAACTATTCATATCCCTCCCACATGCAAAACTCCCCCATCCCCATCTTGTGACATCTCTCGCCAACCCCAAGGCCTCATCCAATCATGGCATCTGCCAAAATCCTATGATCTTGTGATCTATAAATCCAAATGCTGCTACTTAGATCCAAAGACCTATAAGCTAAATAGAAATTATCTACCTCCTACATACCTATGGTAGGCAGCTTCTAAGATGGTCCCAATGGTTCCTGCCCACTGGTATTTGTGGGCTTGTGTTATCTTCTTCCTAGGAGCAACTTGCTTCTAGAATGTGGCAGCATTGAGGGGATGTCACTTCTGTGAAGAGGTTACATAAGAGTGACTTCCATCTTGCTAGCAGACTCTGTCTCTTTTGCTGGCTCTGATAATGCAAGGTACCATGCTAAGGAGGCTCACGAGGTAAGGAACTGAAGGTGACTTCTGGCCAATAGCCAGCAAGGAATTGAAGCCTCAGTCTAACAGTCATCAAGGAACTGAATCCTGATCAAGGAACTGAATCCTGGCAATTATGTAAGTGAGCCTGGGAGTGGATCCTTCCCCAGTCAAACCTTCAGATGAACCCCAAGCCCTGGCTGACAACTTGAACAAAGCCTATGACAGACCCTGAATCAGAGAATCCAGTTCAGCTGTGCCTGGAATTCTGACCCACAGAAACTATGAGATAATAAATATGTGTTCTGTTGTTTTAAGTGACTAAACTTTGGGGATGTTACTTAGCAATAGATAATTAATTAGCAGTAGACAATTAGTACATCTAATGTACAATGGTGGAACAGGGACAGGATAACTACAATAAATACTCCCATTTGAAAAAGTAAATACTGGGCTGGGTGTAATCTTAATGCTTTGGGAGGCTGAGCAGGGGCAGATTGCTTGAGTTCAGGAGTTTGCAACCAGCCTGGCAACATGGCAAAACCCTAGTTCTACAAAAACAAACAAACAACAACAACAAAAATTAGCCGGGCATGATGGTGTGTACTTGTAGTCCCAGCTACTCAGGAGGCTGAGGCATGAGAATCACTTGAACCTGGGAGGCAGAGGTTGCAGTAAGCTGAGATTGTGCCACTGCACTTCAGCCTGGGCAACAGAGTGAGACCCTGTCTCAAAAAAAAAAAAGGAAAAAAAAGACTGGAGGCACATCACAATCATTGGCCTAACAATTCTGAAATCCCATTAGGTAAGTGTTGCGGGAGTCCCTCTTATGAACATAGTGAGGTCCCTCTACCCTAAGGCAAGGATGTTCCTTACTAGATCCCCATTCTGCTCCACGAGTATAGCTCTCAAGTCCATTTTTCTCCATTGCTCTTGGTTCTATTTTCTCAGAGGCCCTTCCTGTTCCATGATACTTCTTGCTCTTTTGTTAAGAGAACGTTGGAACAATTTCAATTGAACACTGGAACCACCCAATCCCAGAACCAATGCCACTTCTAGGTATTAATTTCTGTATTGGTCAGCTATTGCTGCTTAACAAACAACCACAAAAATGTCAGCACCTTACAACAATAAGCACTTATTGCACCCTGTGGTGTACAGATCTGAGGGTGGCTCTGCTTCAGGCTGAGTCCATTTGGTTTATTCTAGTCTGAGGGTCTATGCCAGAAAGCAAGGCCACACTCAAAAGCATCTTCTCTGTTCACATCACAGACACTAAAATCCTATTGACCAAAGCAAGTCATATGGCCAAGGCCGAAGTCAAGGCGCAGGAAAGTATTTTGCCATCATGAGATCATGTGGAGAATATGGATATACAATATCACTACGTTTGAGGAAAGAACTGAGTTCAATTATTCAACCTATGACACTATATAAATTTTATGTGAAGAAGGGTTTCTATGCCTAAAAATATTTTAAGTTCCTGGCCAAAAGGATTTCTAAAATCTCTAGTTTTTGGAGCACCATGGAAATAGAATATTTGCATGGGTAAGGGCTAAATCAGTAAGTATAGAGAGGCCAGTCCTGTTTGGCAGGCACTGAGGGTGGTTGTATATTTCATCAAGCACCTGGAAGGAGTACAGGGAAGGAAGAATGAGGATGCTGGACAATTAACCAGCATATTCAGAATTAGCCCATTATTTATTATGGGATTAAAAAATTTTTTTGCATGCCTCAAGCAAGATAGATGCGTTCAATTGTAAGTTCAAAAGTATATTGTAGTACACTAGTGTTTGCAGTGGCATTATACATAATAGCAAAAGATGGAAACAACCCAATGTTCTAGATGAATAAACAAATGATTATACACACAATGAAATATTATTCACCTTTAAAAAGGAATAAAATTCTGATACATGCTACCACCATGTGAATCTTGAAAACATTATGCTAAATGGAATAAACCAGACACAAAGGAACAAATAATGTATGAGTCCACTTACATGGGGTACTTAGAATAGTCAAATTCATAGAGACACAAAGTAGTATAGTGGTTACTAGGGGCTGGGAAGAAATGAAGAGTTCTTGTCTAATGGATACAGAGTTTCAGTTTGGGATGATTGAAAAGTTCTGGTGATGGATAGTGATGATGTTTGCATAATGTGAATGTACTTCAAGTCCCTGAATTGTACACTTAAAATATGGCTAAAATGGTACATTTTATTTTTTCTTCTTTTTAGCCACCTATAGTCTTATCAATTTTATGTTATCCTATGTGGTATATTTTATCACAAAAAAATTGCTTCATAGAAAAAATATATTCTAAAGTTAACCACAAATAATTAGGATAATCTACACCACTGTACTTCTCCACCATAATGGGTAAAGGGTTGACCATATTTAATAATGAAATCTTATGCCGAATAAAAATGAAATTAGGAAGGGCTAAAAAACTCTTATGACGTCTATATTTCAAAGAAAATTAGGCTCCTACAAAGACATGATAAACCTGTTATGACGGAAGAAAATCCACTTATTTCAAGCTTATATTCTTGTTCAGAAAACCAAGAGACAAATCAGAATGGCAGTAGTCTTCATATGCCAGTACTTGTATGTTTGAAAATTGCAGTAACCCTAGGAATACACTCTTAGATCTCCTTTTAAGAGATCCTGATTCCTGTAATCCCAGCACTTTGGGAGGCCGAGGCAGGTGATCACCTGAGGTGGGGAGCTTGATACCAGTCTGGCCAACATGGTGAAACCCTGTTTCTATTAAAAATACAAAAAATTAGCCAGGTGTGGTTGTGGGCGCCTGTAATCCCAGCTACTCAAGAGGCTGAGGCAGGAGAATCGCTTGAACCCTGGGGGCGGAGGTTGCAGTGAGCCGAGATAGCGCCACTGCACTCTAGCCTGGGCAACAGATTGAGATGCCGTCTCAAAAAAAAAATAAATAAATAAAAAGAGAGAGAGAGCCTGATTCAAGGATTGTAGTGTGCAGACAGCCTGCAGCTGCTGAACCTTCAGAATCCAGCAGTGTCATGCTGAGGTGACACTCCCTGGGTCTCTCCAATGACTGAGCTCGGTGGGAGTAGGAGAGATGGGCCATTCTTGCCTACTATGGAACTCTTCTAATGGGCAATCTTTGCTCTGACACTCCCCATTAACCTGGCTGAGAATTTCACAGAGCTGCATTGCAGTCCGGACACTCTTCCTACCCAACCTCCCTTTACAGGTGTCAGATCGTCTTCACAGCTTGAGGCTCTCCCGTCTACTCCTGCTCCCTCTCCTCTTTATCCTTCACTGGCATTTCTCCCAGAATTGCACGTCTAGTTCTGTCTTGGTGTCTGTTTCCTGGAGGGCCTGAGCTGACACAGAAACACTATAAGTTTTGTTTGTTTGGCATGTTGACTTAGAAAAAAGGTATTGGCTTGATTCAAATAGTTGCCCTACTTTAATAATATTAAAAGAATGAAGATTGCTCCCTGAAAACTGGTTCTCTAGGCTATCTCAACCTGGCTGACTTGAACTAGATAACTGGGGTTTGGGGAGCTGGTTTCACTAGATTGAATATAGCTGGAGGACCCACTGATGTTTTCATTCAGGCTGTAAAAGAGGGCAATGCTGGACCAAATATAAAAGTAAACCAAGAAAGAATGGAGCACAGGAAACTGGAGATATAATATGGGCTGCAAATGGCAATCACGGAGTCAAGGCATTGGGAGAGATGGATAGCTGCTCTCTGAGTCAGGCTGGGAAATCAATCCCTGACTAGACATCGTATGTCTTAGAGATGCCTGGTGTAATTAGTTTTCTAGGGCTTTCCTAACATATTACATATTGGATGGCTTAAAACAACAAAAAGTCTTATTCTCACAGTTCAAGAGGCCGGCAGTCTGCAATCAAGGTGTTGGTGTACTGATTGCTTCTTAAAGTATTCAGAGGGAGAACCTGTTCCATGCAGCTCTCTTAGCTTCTGGTGGCTGCTGGCAATCCTTAGCTTGTGGCAGCAGAACTTACCATCTCTCCCTAGCAAGCCACATGGCACTCTCCCTGTGTGTCGGTGTCCAAGCTTACCTCCTCTTCTAAGGACACCAGTCATACTGCATTCAGTATGACCCACTTCAATCCAGCATGACCTCATCTTGACTATATCTGCAAAGGCCCTATTCCAAATAAGGTCACATTCACAGGTTCCAGATGGACATGAATATGGGAGAAGGTTGCGGGGTGGGGGAATTATTCAACCCAGTACACCTGGGAACTTTAGATTAAAAAGAAGCCTTTAGATTGGTGTCATAAGAGACGAGGAAGAATTTTCTGGTGGTGAGACTTTGAAAATAGGAATATAGGGTCTTGTTGCAGATCTGAAACATCAGAAGGTATAGACTCTGTCTTCTTTCCTGACCACTGTTCTTAAGATATTACTTAATCAGGCCAGGTGCAGTGGCTCACACCTGTAATCCCAGCACTTTGGGAGGCCAAGGTGGGTGGATCACAAGGTCAGAAGATCGAGACCATCCTAACACGGTGAAACCCCGTCTCCACTAAAAATACAAAAATTAGCTGGGTGTGGTGGCGGGCGCCTGTAGTCCCAGCTACTCAAGAGGCTGAGGCAGGAGAATTGCTTGAACCTGGGAGGCGGAGGTTGCACTGAGCTGAGATCGTGCCACTGCACTCCAGCCTGGGTGACAGAGCGAGACTCCATCTCAAAAAAAAAAAAAAAAAAAAAAAAAGATATTACTTAATCAATACTCTCCTTGGCTTCCAGTCTTCAGAGCAGTGAAGTATCCGGTTTAGTGCATTTGTGTATGTGCATTTGGCCCACTCCTTTACCGCCCCACCCCCAATTGTTTCTATAGAGGAAGGCAGATAGCAAAGTCCAAATACTAAATTGCCAGAATCATGCTGGAAAGGGAGAGAAACAGCCAGTTTGGGTGGAAGTGGGCTGCCACATCATTTAAGTGGAATGGGGAAAGGAATCTAGGTTATTTTTTACCTTTTACCCCAATTTTTTTTTTTCTCCTTGAGATGGAGTTTTGCTCTTGTTGCCCCGGCTGGAGTGCAATGGCATGATCTCGGCTCACTGCAACCTCCGCCTCCTGGGTTCAAGCGACTCTCCTGCCTCAGCCTCCTGAGTAGCTGGGATTACAGGTGTGCACCAGCAGGCCTGGCTAATTTTTTGTATTTTTAGTAGAGATGGGGTTTCACTATGTTGGCAAGGCTGGTCTCGAACTCCTGACCTCAGGTAATCCGCCCACTTTGGCCTCCCAAAGTGCTGGGATTACAGGCGTGAGCCACCATGGCTGGACCCCAAATCTCTTTATTCTGACCTCCCCTAACCCCATTTCACTCTGAGATCTAGAAGTACCTGGTTCTGCCAGTTCCTGAATATTCTGAGGATTCTGCAGTAAATCAGGTTGGTTTTCAGCTTTCTGCACTGACAGCTAAGAATGTGTCTATCTCTGTTCTGCTATGTAAATGTCTATTCATCCATCTATTTTCAGATTGCAAAATTTTGTTCTCTTCCTGTTTTTCTCATACTTGACTTTTTTTGCTGTGGGTATTCATGTGTCTCTATCAATCAATCAATCATCTATCTTCCTATTCATCCGTCCATCTCCCTTTGTTGTAATTTTAGTGAGGCTTTGGAGGGAATAAAATTAGATGTATGTATTAACCTGACATCTTAACCTGAAATTCCAGATTTAAAGTGATACCAATCAATGTAATTGTAAGGTTTTCTCCTGTAATGCTGAGCAGCTCAGGTGCAGGAATGAAGCAGGTAGACATTTAATCAGGGTTGAAGTTATGCCAGGTGAAAAATGGAGGGAGGGAGGAGACTCAACGGTGTTTTGTTTGCAAGGGAGTCATCATAGTGATGTGCCCCAGACTCTAAAGCTGGATGAAGAGGATAGTGAGAACATGATGATGAGTGAAAAAATTGGGAGTCAATGGGGATTGGAGTCTGAAAGATTTTTGAAAAAGTGCTCAATTGGGTACACAAAATTAAGGGAGCAGGAAGGATAGTGAGTGGAGGGCTTAAAATTTGGATTTGAGACTTTGCAGAGGTGGCTATTGGGTGTGGCCCTGGGAAGGGGTGGTGTGGCACACTCTTTTGCCACAGTATCATTAATTCGCTGACCTTCTACACTGTGACACTGTCACACCTCCACTAAGAGGTGGAGTCTTATTCCTTCCCTTTGAATCCAGACCCTATAACTTGTTTATAACCAACTGGGTAGAAGTGAAGCTGTGTGATTTCCTGCACTCGGTCAGATAGTGTCGGCCTGGTTCTTATCGAATGCTCCCTCTGGGGAAAGCCAGCATCATGAGAGCCATCTACCCCAAGACTGCCATGCTGGACGGGCCATGTGTAGGTGCTCTGGTTGACTGTCCCAGCTGAACCTAACCTTTCAAGCACCCCTGCCAAAGTACTAGACATGTGAGTGAAGCTGTCTTGGACTCTACTAGAGCAGCCAGCCAGGTGACTTCAATTGATACCATAAGAAATGAAATTGCCCAAGCCAGGTCAAGAACCCCGCCTATTTCTTGACCTACATCATTTGTGAAGTACGATTACATGTTTATGATTTGCAAGTATCTTTCTTTCATCCAGAGCTCTCCCGTGAACTCCAGAGCCATATATCCAACTGCCTTCAGAACATCTCCAGTTAGATGGCTAATATGCATCTCAAATTTAACATGTCCAAAATTGAGTTCTGAATAGTTCTCTCAAACCTGCTCTTACCTACCTCAGTTAAAGGCAATGAAAGTCTTCCAGTTGTGCAGGCCAAAAACCTTGTTGTCATCCTCACTCCTTTCTGTCTCACATATTCCATATCCAATGTGTTAGGAAATCCCACGGGCTCCATCTTCAAAATATATCCAGATTTCAACCACTTCTCATCAATTCCACTGCTACTACCCTGGTCCAAGCTGCCATCATCTCTTGCCTGGATTACAAGGATAGTCTCCTTACAGGTCTTGCTGTGGCTGTCCTTGTTCATCTTAGGTCTACGCAGCTAACTTACTCAAAGGGATCCTGCTAAAATGTCAGATTATATCCTTCCTCTGCTCCGAATCCTCCAATGACCTGCCATCTCAATCAGTAAATAAATGCCAAAGTGCATACTAGGACCTACGGAGCCTCCCTCACCTCTCTGTTCATCTCCTACTTTTTTTGTGCTCCTACAGTGGCTTCCTCCGTGGTCCTTAATCTGGATAGGTGCAGTTGTGTCTCAGGGGCTTTGCACTAGTTGCTCCTTCTGCTGGAAAACTCTTCTTCAGAGACCCATGTAGCTAGCAACCTGTCACTCAGACACCTTGTAACCCCATTCCTTGCTTCCTTTTTCTCCTTAGCCGTGTATCACTGTCTAACATACTATATATTTCACTTATTTATTGCCTGTTATCCCCAGTGGAATGTAAGGGCCAAAAGGCAGGCAATTTTGTCTAATTTGTTTACTGCTGTTTAAACTAGTACCATGCACATAGACAGCACTCAAAACGTATTTATTGAATGACAATTTCTTAGTACAGTGTATACTATCCCCACCAAAGGAAAAAAACATTAAGAGCAAAACAAGGGGTGGGGGGTGGGAATATTGCTAAAGAAAATTCTAATAAGAGTTATCTATAATTATAGCTTTTATTTATTATATCTTCATTCAATCATTTATTCACAATTAGTCTAATTGCATTCTTGATGAATAACTGACTTCAGCAAAGGAGTCAATCCACTAAGCAAAGTTCATTTATTTTTCATGATGTTCTTCTTTCGATCTTGAGTCTTTACTCTCCTGGATTCCCAAGAGAACTGCATTAGCCTCTAGTACAGTTGTATCTGTTGTTGCTCCCAGGAACCTAGACGTAAGTTCAAGATCTAATAGCCGCAACCGGACCCTGGTTCCTTTCTGGTATTTCCTAAATAGTTAAAAAAAAAAAAATCCATTAATTCTGAATATCATAACATGAACAACTAGTTTAATAACAACAACCAAATTCCAATTTTAATTTGTGTTAGCTCAAGATGAAGTTAACACTGGTATCTTAGAAATAGCTGTATTTGACAAAAAAGTAATTTGATTGTATCAGAAAAGCCCCCATCACCCAACTTTTTGTTTTGAAAAAAAAAAAAAAGAGTTTCACTCTGTTACCCAGGCGGGAGTACAGTGGTGCAATCAGAGCTTACCGTAACTTCAAACTTCTGGGCTCAAGCGACTCTCCTGCTTCAGCCTCCCAAGCAGCTAAGACTACAAGCATGTACCACCACGGCCAGCTAATTTCAGAGTCAGGGTCTCTCTATGTTGCCCAGGCCAGGCTGGTCTCAAACTCCTGGCCTCTAGTGACCCTCCCACCTTGGCCTCCTAAATTTTGGGGATAACAGGTGTGAGTCACTGCCAGCTCTAGAATTTTCATCTTAAAAGTTGCCTTTAAAGATTTTAAAACCACAGTAAACGGAAATTCAAGCAAGACAGTTCTTAAAACTGGTGTTTGCTTTAATTTGTCAATTAAAGTCAGAGAGTATCAAGGGGAAAAGAAGTTTCAGATACATTTTCCTTCTAAAATTAAAACTTTATTTTTTTATTACACTTTAAGTTTTAGGGTACATGTGCACAACGTGCAGGTTTGTTACATATGTATACATGTGCCATGTTGGTGTGCTGCACCCATTAACTCGTCATTTACGTTAGGTATATCTCCTAATGCTATCCCTCCCCCCACCCCATAACAGGCCCCGGTGTGTGATGTTCCCCTTCCTGTGTCCATGTGTTCTCATTGTTCAGTTCCCACCTATAAGTGAGAACATGCGGTGTTTGGTTTTTTGTCCTTACGATAGTTTGCTGAGAATGATGGTTTCCAGCTTCATCCATGTCCCTACAAAGGACATGAACTCATCGTTTTTTATGGCTGCATAGTATTCCATGGTGTATATGTGCCACATTTTCTTAATCTAGTCTATCATTGTTGGACATTTGGGTTGGTTCCAAGTCTTTGCTATTGCGAATGGTACCGCAATAAACATACATGTGCATGTGTCTTTATAGCAGCATGTTTTATAATCCTTTGGGTATATACCCAGTAATGAGATGGCTGGGTCAAATGGTATTTCTAGTTCTAGATCCTTGAGGAATTGCCACACTGTCTTCCACAATGGTTGAACTAGTTTACAGTCCCACCAACAGTGTAAAAGTGTTCCTATTTCTCCACATCCTCTCCAGCACCTGTTGTTTCCTGACTTTTTAATGATCACCATTCTAACTGGTGTGAGATGGTTATCCCATTGTGGTTTTGATTTGCATTTCTCTGATGGCCAGTGATGGTGAACATTTTTTCATGTGTCTTTTGGTTGCATAAATGTCTTCTTTTGAGAAGTATCTGTTCATATCCTTCATCCACTTTTTGATGGGGTTGTTTTTTTCTTGTAAATTTGCTTGAGTTCATTGTAGATTCTGGATATTAGCCCTTTGTCAGAGGAGTAGATTGCAAAAATTTTCTCCCATTCTGTAGGTTACCTCTTCACTCTGATGGTAGTTTCTTTTGCTGTGCAGAAGCGCTTTAGTTTAATTAGATCCCATTTGTCAATTTTGGCTTTTGTTGCCATTGCTTTTGGTGTTTTAGACATGAAGTCCTTGCGCATGCCTATGTCCTGAATAGTATTGCCTAGGTTTTCTTCTAGGGTTTTTATGGTTTTAGGTCTAACATTTAAGTCTTTAATCCATCTTGAATTAATTTTTGTATAAGGTGTTAAGAAAGGGATCCAGTTTCAGCTTTCTACATATGGCTAGCCAGTTTTCCCAGCACCATTTATTAAAGAGGGAATCCTTTCCCCATTGCTTGTTTTTGTCAGGTTTGTCAAAGATCAGATAGTTGTAGATATGAGGCATTATTTCTGAGGGCTCCATTCTGTTCCATTGGTCTATATCTCTGTTTTGGTACCAGTACCATGCTGTTTTGGTTACTGTAGCCTTGTAGTACAGTTTGAAGTCAGGTAGTGTGATGCCTCCAGCTTTGTTCTTTTGGCTTAGGATTGACTTGGCGATGTGGGCTCTTTTTTGGTTCCATATGAACTTTAAAATAGTTTTTTCCAATTCTGTGAAGAAAGTCATTGGTAGCTTGATGGGGATGGCATTGAATCTATAAATTACCTTGGGCAGTATGGCCATTTTCACCATATTGATTCTTCCTACCCATGAGCATGGAATGTTCTTCCATTTGTTTGTATCCTCTTTTATTTCATTGAGCAGTGGTTTGTAGTTCTCCTTGAAGAGGTCCTTCGCATCCCTTGTAAGTTGGATTCCTAGGTATTTTATTCTCTTTGAAGCAATTGTGAATGGGAGTTCACTCATGATTTGGCTCTCTGTTATTGGTGTATAAGAATGCTTGTGATTTTTGCACATTGATTTTGTATCCTGAGACTTTGCTGAAGTTTCTTATCAGCTTAAGGAGATTTTGGGCTGAGACAATGGGGTTTTCTAGATATACAATCATGTCATCTGCAAACAGGGACAATTTGACTTCCTCTTTTCCTAATTGAATACCCTTTATTTCCTTCTCCTGCCTGATTGCCCTGGCCAGAACTTCCAACACTATGTTGAAAAGGAGTGGTGAGAGAGGGCATCCCTGTCTTGTGCCACTTTTCAAAGGGAATGCTTCCAGTTTTTGCCCATTCAGTATGATATTGGCTGTGGGTTTGTCATAGACAGCTCTTATTATTTTGAGATACGTCCCATCAATACCTAATTTATTGAGAGTTTTTAGCATGAAGAGTTGTTGAATTTTGTCAAAGACCTTTTCTGCATCTATTGAGATAATCGTGGTTTTTGTCGTTGGTTCTGTTTATATGCTGGATTACGTTTATTGATTTGCTAAAACTTTATTTTAAAGTAAAATTTTACGAAAGCAAAATGGAAAAATGTCTAAGTGTAAAGTACTCAGTATTTGGGATTGGTTGCATTGTTATTAAAATGTAATGCCAGTTGGATGAACCTGGAGGACTTTATAAACCAGGCACAGCATGACAAACCCCACATGATCTCTCACTTATATGTGAAATCTAAAAAAGTTGAACACCTTGAAGTAGAGAGAACTACAGCTCCTGTGGTTACCAGGTCAAAGGATGTTAGTCAAAGGATACAAAATTTCAGTTAGATAGGAGGAGTAAGTTCAAGAGATCTACTGTACATCATGATGATGACAATAATATGTTGTAGACCTGGAAATTGCTAAGTGAGTATATTTTGTGTTCTCATCATCAAAAATGATTAAGTACATGAGGTAATGCATTTGTAAATTAGCTCGATTTGGCTATCCCACAATGTATACATACCTCAAAATAGCATGTTATACCCAATAAATATGTACAATTTTTATTAGTTAAAAAATAAATTATGAATGAAAATGTAATGCCAGCCATAACATATGATGACTCAATTTAGTCAATAAAATATTCAAGTATTTTATAATACCAAATGAAAACTGATACCCATTTGCCTTTCTTCCTCAATCAATTATTTTAAAAGTTAAACATCAACATTATAGAATAGCAAGAGTGGAAGTACTGCTGGTTAAAAATCACAAATCTTTAACAGTCTAAATATATACTTTATATATTCTAATTTAATTTTAAAATTAAAATAACTTTATATAAACAGAAAATGAAGAAACAAAGTTCTCAAAAAAGTCACTGGAAAATAATTTTGGTAGACTACATATGATTAGTCTCCACATAATATTTGGGTGTTCTGAAGAAATTTACGTATGGTCCATCAAGTAAACATTTAGGCTATTCAGCTTTTTTTTGAGAAGTTACTTTTTCTGATTTTAGAAATAAATGTCCTTTTGTAAAATCTGGAAAATGATGAAGTCAGTCACATTTTCTAGTCCTTCTATATGTTTATATGCATATATGTATATATGTGTATTTGACATCATAGGTAATATTTTGTGTCTTTGTTTTAAAAAACTAGAGATATCCTCCATGTTACAGATAGAAAAATTATGGTACACGGAAGTAAAGCTACTGGCCTAATGCCACACAGTGGTGTAAGAGGATTCACAGATTCTTCTGCTCCTCCTTAAGTTTTCAATTACCTATGACCTCTTGAAAGAACAGTAAACATAATCCCTTTAGGAGTGGTAAGAATTTATCACTCCATAGAGTCTTATAATGTCTTTCCTATGAAGTAAAATATAAGCCATATTGCTGCTATTCAACTCATTATTTTAATATTATCCATTAGAAAAATGGCTACTTTCAAATAAATTATCATTAAAAACAATATCTACTGCCTCATGCAATGTTATTTTTTACATTTTTTTTAATTGGGGAAAAAGCCCCCCAGGCAGCAGTTTTTCAGAAATCTTGTATTTCCTATTAAAACCAAAGAATACTGCTGTCTTGAAAGGCAAATAGGATGTCTCCACTGAGCACATTCAAAACGAAAATAGCCTGTGTTTTTACTGCTTGGTGTGTTTCTTTTAACTTCAAGTGCTTGCTTCTGACTGATCTTTGTGAACTCCAGCCTAAATGGATTCAATCTCAGCCTTTACCAAGACTGCTCTCTTCCACTGTGCACTTTCTCAGGCCATATGCTGCAGTAAACGAGACTGCATGTCTGAGCTGTATAGGAAAAGGGCAATTAAATCTGGTTTTGCATTTCTGTATTAAGGGCATGGTTTAAAGACTTTCCTTTGGAGAGGTTTCTGACATTCTTTCCACAGACATTCTTTAACATCTGTCAGTGCATGCTACTGATGGTTCTCACAGACTTAAAATAGAGAGAATCTCTCTGACTAGTTCTTTGATATAAACATATTAAGTAATACAAAGCCAACAAATACAAAGCTTGGATTGAACCTCGGTATCCAAAGAGAATACTGTGAGGAATTCTGACTTTGCTAGTCAAATTAGCTGTCTTGCTGTAATCATAATTCTCAGAAGTTTTAAAATAGTTCTTTTGAAATCATTAACCATCTATGTTTTCATCCTACTAAGTTAAAATCATTCAGATATTTTTCTGGCTTTCTCACAATTCCTTAATTAGAGTTTTAAGACTACAGAAGAAAAGTTTCCATTTTCTCTTTTTTCAAGAGGAAGAAAAACATTTCTAAAGGTTTAATTAACATCAATTTGTTTATTTTTCTAATTCATACAAATGCTCACAGTCATACCAATCTATATGTGAAGTCAGCAGCCACGTCCCTGTGTGTATGTGTGTGAGTAAGTAGGAATGTGTGTGTATTTTCTTCTTTAAATAAACTGTCTGGGCTTCAATTTCATCATTGTTAAAAAGCAGAGGGTCAGAAAAGACCTTAGATCTTTTGCAGTTGGAAGACTTTATTCTACTTTTAAACAATTGTATCAATTACAATTGATACAATGTAAAGTGATATTACATGCAAAATTGATTGTATACGCAAAATGCAAACTTTTAAGCCTTTTTATTAGCTATATAAAACACTGTAATAATCTTGAACATTCAATTAACAAATGAATCTTTATATGCAGACTACTTGGTTTATTTCAGGTTTGCCCCACTTTTTCAAAGTACCATCTGCCATGTTCCCTCGACCTGTCTAGTCTATTGCTTCTTTCCATTCAATCTGTAAGATGCCTATAAAGAGTCTCTCATTTGTTGTTTTTATTCCCTAGATGATCATAAGCAGGTAACATTACATAACCTCTAACTTATTTCTAGACAATCTATTGAATAAGTGGCTAATTATTTAAACTATGTGTTTTAGTATTGCTATGTTTTTTAATATTGTTCATCACTGTACTATCTGTACTGTACACCATCAAGCACAGAAGCCAAGATTAACAAAATAAACATGAGAGGGTGTTCAAAAAGTTCTACTCCTCTCCAATATTTCTAGTCATCATTAAAATTTCAAATACAGCACACATCTTAAGTCCTAATTTATTATCCCAGGCCATTAGAAGATGTAAATTGAGATATAAAAATTATTATAATCATAATTTTTGCTACCTGAGTTATTCCCAAAAGTCCTTTGAAAAAAAAAAAAACTAATGATTATCACTTAAAAATACTATCTAGACTGTGCCTACCATGAGGCCAAATAATATGTATAACTGGCCCGTTGGAAATCTACATACTCTCACAGCAATGAGCAAAAGAGACTGTTCATATACCAAAACACATTTCCTCAAACTGCAATTATCCTGGATAAAGATTTTAATCTTGTTCTAAAATTCTACTATGAATATATAATTTTCAAGTTCTTTTTAACCTTGCCGGGCTAGTATTTTGTGCCACCACAAACAGAAGTTTTGTCTCTTGTTCAAGCATTGATTTATTTTATAAAATGTGAAAATGGAGGATTTAAAAATGTCTAGTAAATGATTTCATTTTTTAATAATGTGGAATATGCATATAATACATTATAAATGGTATCAATTATGACAGTTATAATTTTTTCTCAAGTTACAAAAGAAGATGTGTCAAGAAATGAGGGAGGGCCAGCCATGGTGGCTCACGCCTGTAATCCCAGCACTTTGGGAGACCGAGGCAGGAGGACTGCTTGAGTTCAGAGTTCAAGACCAGCCTGGGCAACATGGCAAAATCCCATCTCTACAAAAAATACAGAAATTAGCTAGGCATGGTGGCAGGCGTCTGTGGTCCCAGTTACTTGGAAGGCTAAGGTGGGAGGATTGCTTGAGCCTGGCTGGTCGAGGCTATAGTAAGCCAAGATTACACCACTACACTCAGGCCTGGGTGACAGAGCAAGACCCTGTAGAGAAAAGAAAAGAAAAAAAAAAAAGAAAAAAAGAGAGAAAAGAAAAGAGGAAAAGGAAAACCCTGTCACTTAACTACCATCATATCAAGTCTATTTTTATTAAAAAACTAAATATTTTTTGCTAGTCAAATATGAATACATACATATGGAAAGGGGAAAAAAAACCAAAGAAACAGAAGGAGTAAATGCTTTCAGGTACCTGAAATATGCTGATGATTAAAATTGGGATCAAACTTGGCAGTAGTATTATGACTTTTAAGCAAAAAGGGATACGTTTTGGAGTATGCAATTTTCATTTTAAGAGAAAAGAAAATATATACATTTATTGACTGAAACAAGTTTTTTCAGTGTAGCACAGAGGTTTGACTGTGACCAAGTACAAGAAATCTACCTTTTCTGGGCTGTTTACTCATCTGCAATATGCAACACCTTGCAAGTCTGACAAGAGGCTTAAGGCATTAAGGTATGAAAAGTGCATGGCACATAATAAATACACAATAAATAGGAGCTTACATAATTCACCACATCAATACTTATTTATAAAGTACAATAGGCAACCAAAAGGACAGTCACTTCAAATATGGTTTTACTAAAGATACTAGAATACTATTCAAGTGGACAAGTCTAGTAGCAACCTTCAACATATATAAAATAAATGACAGGAGAGCAAAACTCATTGAAGGCATTCTTTGAGTTTGGGGATTTGGGGCAGAGGGAGGGGATAATAAGGTCCAGAGATTACTCTGTAGTTTACAGTGACAGACTTGGTATATCTGTGGGGAGCCTGAGCTGGGAGCTATCACAGAATATCTGTGGAATATTTTTAAAGTTGTTTTTCTTAAAAAGAAAATACTGATGGCCTGGGGTCCAACCCAGACCTGCTGCAGCAAAATCAATAGGGTAGAGCTAGAGATTCACGCACATTTGGGAAAACACTTCCCATATGAGTCTGGTCTCCCGACTGTTCAACAAAATCACTGATTAATGCGTTCAGCAGCTATTCTCCAAATGGTTTGTGGTAGTTTGGGGCCAGGCTGAATCTTGCTTACTTCAAGCCTTAATTTCCTTACAAGTGCATGCAGTTTAGACATTATGTAGAAGGTCAAAGTTAGAACTATGTGTTTTAAATATCAGCTATGACAGGGCAAAATTGTTTTTCCATTATGAAAATTAAAGAGATTAACAGGTATTTTCACCTAAACAAAAGGCTGAATCATTTTAGCTTGGCTACATAAGGTTTACTGTCATTAAGGTTGTACTTTCATGACCAAAAGACGTAAGATTTTCAAAATCACTAGCACAATGCTCGAGAACATAACACTTGCTCCATACACAAGAGTCAAGTTTTGGCTTGACAACTGCTTGATGGCAAATGTTATTTCCTGATTTCCTCATCCCTAAAATGTCCTTAATAATGTCCTTCCATGGTAAAACCTCTGTCTCCAGATTCCTAATCCCCTGCACTTTCGACTACATTAAGAGAACAGAAAACTTCTAAAAAATTTGTTGTACCACCTATTTTCAGGTTTGGTTAAATCTTGTTTCTGTCTCTCTGAATTAGTTACTTATTAAATAGGTATTGTTGAATTTTCAATAAACACTTGTTCAATACCTATATGAAGTAAGAGGATACCAACAACAATTAGACAGACTATCCCCTCTCCTCTCCTCTCAACCCCAGGAGGCAAAGATGGAGGGAAAAGTCGTATTCCACTAATTCCCTCAGTGGGAAGAACTACTTTAGGTCTGTCGTGATTTCTTTGTCTTTTCAACAAGAGATGAGACTTCATGGATCCCTTTTGGAAAGCCAAATACTTAAGAGACTGTTATTGCAGTAGAGTATGTAGGTTGGCAATGGTCAGAGAGAGGAAAAAATCTTTCATAAAAGAATCAGACCCATGCTGCAGATTCCACACAATCCAGAGTGCTTTAAATAGCCTTTTCTGTAGGACAAGAACCAGGGTCAACCAGGGAGCAGAAGGGGAAAGGGTGGAGCACAAAGACTACTATCCCATGCTGACCAGGCTTATGTTAAGTAGATTTGAAAAAGACTCTCGGCTGGGCGTGGTGGCTCACACCTATAATACCAGCACTTTGGGAGGCTGAGGCAGGAGGATAGCTTGAGTCCAAGAGTTTGAAATCAGCCTGGTCAACACAGCGAGCCCTTTTCTCTACAAAATAAAAAAAAATTAAAAATTAGCCAGGTGTGGTGGTGAGTGCCTGTAGTTCCAGCTACTGGGGAGGCTGAGGCAGGAGGAGCTCCTGAGCCCAGGAGTTCAAGTCTGTGGTGAGCCATGATCACGCCACTGCTCTCCACCCTGGGCAATGGAGTGAGCACCTGTCTAAAATTAAATTAAATTAAAAACAAAAAGAGACTTTCAGGGCTTAGAATAGAGTTCGTGACTTGACCATAGGTCGTGTTTGATATTTGCCCTTTGCACCCCCAATTTGGAGTATATATATATATATATTTTTTGAGACACAGTCTCTGTCACTCAGACTGGAATACTGTGGCACAATCTCAGCTCACTGCAACCTCCACCTCCCGGGTTCAAGAAATTCTTGTGCCTCAGCCTCCCAAGTAGCTGGGATTATAGGTGTGTGCTACCACACCTGGCTAATTTTTTGTATTTTTAGTAGAGATGAGGTTTCACCATGTTGCCCAGGCTGGTCTTGAACTCCTGGCCTCAAGTGATCCATCTGCCTCGGCCTCCCAAAGTGCTGGGATTACAGGCATAAGCCACCATGCCCAGCCTAAGTACGTTAATTAAACACTACAGGCCAGGCATGGTGGCTCACGCCTGTAATCCCAGCACTTTGGAGCTGAGTGGGCGGATCACCTGAGGTCAGAAGTTCAAGACCAGCCTGGCCAACACATAGTGAAACCCTGTCTCTACTAAAAATACAAAAATTAGCTGGGCGTGGTGGCGCATGCCTGTAGTCCCAGCTACTTGAGAAGCTGAGACAGGAGAATCGCTTGAACCCAGGAGGCGGAGATTGCAGTTAGCCGAGATTTTGCTACTGCACTCCAGCCTGAGTAACAAAGCGAGACTCCGTCTCACAAACAAACAAAAAACAAAACAAAACAAAACAAAAAAACACTACAGTTCATACTCTTTATTAAAAACTGAGGGTACTGCAGCCTAGAAAATTCTGTTAAATTAAAAATAAAAATCAACTACATAAGTACAGAAAAGCAAGCACTTTAAAGCCACTTCATGTGAGAAGGTGGTTTTAGATCATCACAAGCTCAATAAGAATCAACAATGTAGTTTTGCTCCCCCAATAAGCTAATGTAATTTTAGGCTGAATTAGAAGTATATATTCTATTCTCTAATGTATAATCTGCATAATAATCTCAATCTCCTTTCACTTTTCTGACCATATCTAGACTACTGTGACCTGCTCCGTGCAACACAATTAGAGGGTCATTGATAATCGGAACCTATCAAGAAGAGGACGCTGAAAGAATACTGTATTATGTTGAATGAGGAATTGAAGGGAAGGAAGGCATTTAGCAGACTGGAAAAAAACAGCAAGAGGACCCTAAACCTGTCTGAATTTGCAAGGGTTTAATATTAAAAAGGTGACGGTACTTATTTTATGTGACTATATATTGTATGCCCCCACCCCCCCAAAAGCAGAAATAAGACAAACGGGTAGAAGCTTTAGGATGGCAGATTCACAGCAGTTTAATACGAGAAAGAACTTCTAACAGAACTGGTTGGAAAGGGAACAGGTTGTTTTTTTGTGTATTAATGGTGGAAATCACAGGGAATTTTCAAAATGGATGACCTTTGTGGTAATGGTGGAGTTTGAATTCAGTAAGGGTTGAATTAGATGACTTTCAAGATCCTTCCATTTCTAAAAGTTATGATTCTGTGACCCAGAAAGCCTAATAGTTCTCCGACACCAGAAAGCATGAAAGCTGGAAACCAGATTAAAAAAAGAGCAGTCAGCCAAACAGTCAGAAGGTAGGTCAGGTGTACAGTAACAAATTTAAGATCTGATTATCTTTCAGTCTACCTATCATCATTTAACTCTGGTAGACCATGAAGTACAACACTCTCAGTGACTTACCACATCCATAGGTGCTCTGACTTATTACAGATAAAGATATCCATTATGCATAATTAGCTTCTTTATCTGACTCAAATCTGAAGCTAAAGATTATTCTGGACATGATTTCCTGGATAGATGGCCAGCTAAGTTGTGTTTCAGATAGGAGGATCACTTAATTAACTAGGCAACACAGGTATTTTAGTATATTAATCACTTCCCTAGGTAGGCAAGTTCTAAATCACCCTTTTCTCCTATATGAGGACACATGGAGCTACTGTTTTCTGTTCCCGTGTTACTCTTTAATCTCTGTCAGTGTTGTACTTTTGAACTTCCACTTTGTAACACTGCACTACACTAAACACTATATGTAGCAAGCATTCTATACGTTTGTAGAAGATTTTAGTAAATATGTACTTTCAAATGCTATATAACACATCTGCAACTTGTTTTGCAAACTGGGGGTCTGAAGTCTTTGGACAAGTCTGCATTCCACCACCTGCCATATGTGCTCCTTAACCTGGCTTCCAATCTCAAAGCTGCATTCACTTATTTTAAATCTTGAGGAGCAGGATAGGTGTTGACAATGTGTTACTTAGAATGTTCCAAGTATTCCCTAATCTCTGGGTCATTCCTGTCAAAACAGGAGTGTGACTACACAGTGACCAGGATGCAAGCTGATGATATTTTTGCTTCTAATCTGAGAAAAGAAATTGCTTTTGTGCAGACTGGTATCTCTAGGGTGACTTTGTTCTAAATGCTAATATCTTATTCTAAATATCATCAATTGTCAAATATCTTTGAAATAAAATTCTGCAAAAAAAGTACACACTTCAGAATTTCTGAATAAAAAATATCAAACCATCTCTTTATGATTTAAATTGTAAATAAGAGCTTTATTGTTTGCTTTTGTTTTTATTTTGATGGAAATAGGATGTTGAGGCAATTTCCTGGAGATTAGACAATGACATTATTTTAAACTTTTTACTATCCAGGAAAAAACATTCAAATAATAAAATTCAAAAAAATAGTGTTAGGCATATTTTGAATAATATAATTATCTCTGAATAATTCTTATGCCTTTAAAGTAAGACAAAACAGGGTAGAATAGTGACTTATTTTTGTCTTCACCATTAAGAAGGAATTAGTAGTTCCTAATAGAAACTCTAACTTTGATAAGCATTCATTTCCCCTATCAAATTCTATTTTATAGAGGTTATCTGCATCTAGTTGTCCTTGCCCATTTGGACTTCCTAAATCAGTGGTTATGACATAGAAAAAGATCTCAAAATCTTGGAGCTTTCTAACTTTCTAAGAAAAGATGAAGAAAAAGCAGAATTCTGCACAGAGAGCATGTATCATACCATATTAATGGGTAAAGAAAGCCTGTTTACTGGTGGGAACTAATTAAAACTAGGATAACAAACGGACAGTGTTTAAGAACACTCCTTGTAGGTGAACAACTCTATGATCATTATGTAACCCTAGGCAAGGTATTCAGCTCCTCAATCATTACCGTAAAAGAGGAATCACCGTAGTTCCTACCTCATAGGATGGCTGGGAAGATTGTAGGAAATAATGCATATAAAAGACTTAGTAAATCCTCAATGAAAGTCCAGTCAGGATAGGCCTTGATTTAACAAAGAAATAATTCAGGTACAGAACTAGCTACTCTCTGTCATAAAGTAGGTCTGGCTGTTAAGGTTTACTGGAGCTGACTAATTGACTAGCAGGAGGACTGTCTATGTTGGGAGTAGACAATAGTTGACAGGGAAATTTTCAAAGATGTTGTGTTCAATGAATTAAGCTTAACTTTGGTGGGTATCAATTAGCTAAAGGCTTCTAATCTACTGGATAAGCAACAGCATCCGGACTTTTGAAAAAGTGTGTCTCTAGGCCGTAGAGGGCCTTTCTGTTGACAGCAGGGCCCAAGTGACTGAGGATATGGGAAAAGAATATGAGTCTTGAGAAAGATGGGCCCTGCAGGAGTACTTGCCCTGGCCCTGGGGCTCCAGCCTACCAGTTTGTTCACTGGTTCATTCATTTACTCAAAAATGTTTTTTAGAGGCCCATCTGTGGAAGATACTGCTCTAGATGCTGCAATAACCAGTAAGTACAGAAGAAAGAAAGGGTTCCAGTACTCTTAGAGCTTACACTCTGCTAGGAAGAGAGAGACAATAAACCAAAAAACAACCAAATCAAATAGGAGTAAGTGTTGTACAGAAAATAAAAATAAAGTGATATGTTAGAGAGGACTAGGGAACAACAGTAGACTGGGTGGTGAAGGAAGGCATCTCTGAAGAGGGGACATTTAATGACAA
The DNA here is from genome assembly GCF_000001405.40 of Homo sapiens. Taxonomy (NCBI): domain Eukaryota; kingdom Metazoa; phylum Chordata; class Mammalia; order Primates; family Hominidae; genus Homo; species Homo sapiens. The sequence goes on from NC_000008.11 coordinate 79,932,366, forward strand.
GAAAAGGAGCCAGCTGTGCAAAGATGGGGGCAGAGCTTTTCAGGCAGCAGCACCGTTGGTTCAAAGGCTCACGGTAGGGTAAAGTCGGTACGTTCAAAACCAAAAGGCCAGTGTGACTGGAAAGTACTGGCAGGACTCGCAGGTCAGACAGGAAGGCAGGAGGCAGGCCATGTAAGGCTTCATACACCAAAGTAAACGGTTTGGGGTTTCTTTTAGGTGCTCTGGAAAGCCTATGGAGGGGAAGTGAATGATCGAATTTCTGTTTTGAAGATCACTCTGGCTGCTCTGTGTAAGAATGAATTCTAAGGGACAAGGATGGAAAGACACTGGGCAGGGAGGGTGAAGTGCTAATCAGGAAACTTATCTGTGGACAAAGGCACTGCAGCAAGAGAGAGGCTGTGCTGGCACGCCACATTCCCGGCAGCCAGATCTAACACCACTGATAAAGCTGTCTGTCTTGGTCAGAATTCACTCAGGACCATGGTAGAGTCAAGCTTTGCTATACTGCCCGCATTCTTCTTGGTTTAACAAACAGTTCATTCAGGAACAAAACCACTCCTTCCTATCAGAATTGATGGAGGTCTGACTGTAAGGTGGTCTGGGTGGGTAAACTGACTTGGCAGGATTGTATTCTTATGAAGGCAGAAAGCAGCTGACAAAGTTTTCAAAGATGTGCAGTGGGATCTGGGGAAGCAAGACCTTTTTTATTTTCTACAACAATGTGTACTCCTACATTTGCTTGTTTATATATGTGTATATTAGTTTGCTTGGGCTGCTATAACAAAATACCACAGATCGGGTGGCTTAAACAACAGAAATTTGTTTTCTCACAGTTATGGAGGCTGAAAGTCCAAGATCAAGGCTCGGGCCAATTCAATTTCTGGTGAAGGCTCTCTTCCCGGCTTGCAGAGGCTGTGACCTCACGTGGCCCTCTCTCACTGCATGCACATGCAGAGTGTTCTTTCACATTTCTTCCTCCTTTTATGAGGCCACCAATCCCACTGGATTAGGGCCTCAACCCTTAGACCTCACTTAACCTTTATTACTTCCTTACAGGTTCAGTCTCCAAATACAGTCACGCTGGAAACTTGGGCTTCAACATATAAATTTTGGGGGGATAAAACTCTGTACATAACAAGGTCTTATTATCATATGAATGCCTATTTGCACACAAATGTTCAATTTATTTGAAATATGTATTAGTCACACATTATGTGCCAAGGAGATGCTCAGGAGATGAAAAAGAAGTCAGTGATCTTAATGAGGTTAGAGTCTAGCAGGAAAGACAACCATGATGAAATGAAATACACTAGTGGTATAGGTAAATGTAAAGAAATTCTATTAGGAAAGAAGTATCAAGGAATTCTTGGGAAAACAGCTGAAATTTATGTTAAATTTTATAGAATAAGCTGGAAGTCACCAGTGAGGCAGACAAGAAAATTCAGACCCACCCCAAAATATAAACTGTGAAAAAGGTGTTCCTTTGACTATCTTAGCCTGAAGATATTTATTCTTTTACTGAGTTTCAAGAATAATTATTGTTTGCACAGTTCATTTGGCCACTAAAGAAGTAATGCTCTCAGATTGGACTCTCACTATTGCCTGAAACTACGACTGAAATCTTTTGTTATCAACACCTTTTAATGATTGTGTTTCTTGTTTACTAACTAGAAACTAGGTTTTTCCATGGTGACTATCTGATGAATCCTTTGACAGAGTATATCAGTAAATGAATGTTGGTTTAATTTGACAAGATTGAAGGAAATAAAAGAGAATGTTTAGCTGTGAGAATTAGGAGCAGTGTAATCTGGTTTCAATTCCTCGTAACCAGGTTATTACTGGTTAATTTTTCTGCGTCTTACTTTGTCAAAAGAGATGGTTGACTAGATGTCTATGGTTCTTACAAAGTCTAAACCTTCATGAACATATTAGTTCAATCTCTAATTCAGCAACCCCATCTAATTAGGGTTGATTTTAAGGTTTCCACCCTTTACTAATTTTTATAGTCTCCTTTCCCTTCCTGTTTGAATTTTATGTAAGCAATTAAAAGGCCATAAAAATTCATTCAATATTATATAACATAAAAGGGAGACAGGAGGGACGAACTAAAAAACATTCAATTTCAATCCTTAAAGTTTACATTTTAACCTTAAAATACAGTTAACATCTAGGCTAACATCCAGTACAACACAGCTAATTGTTCTACTTCAAGTAAACTATATGGAAGACAAGAACAGATAATACTGGCAAGCCAATTAAAGAATACTCACCTTTGCTTTCTGGTGATTAGATTTATATATATGTTAAACATTTCACAACATAGTATTTATATTTAAACAAAAAAGCACTCCAGATTTACACAGACTGCTCAAATGTAAAGCATGTAAATCAGCACTTTCTAGTTTGTAACAAAACTTTATCTTAAATGAACAAGTGGGTTAAGAAACAACCTGATTAAAATATTTCAATAACAATTCTGAAAAACACTAGTTTAGCAATTATTAAAAAAAATGGTTCCATTTGAAAAGTGGTTACAGTTTTAACTTTACAGTCACAAACTCTTTTGTTGAATTACATTAAATAAATTGGTTGTTAAAAACTAGTGCTTGCAAAAGTAATTCTAATGCCCAAGTATGGGACAGGCTCCATGACCACAAAACTATGCCAGCTCTACCTTTTAAATAGACTTTGCCAAAATGAGTGTGTTATTAGCCAGGCTTGGCTGAAACAATCCACTGCCCACAAAGCTACTTTAATGTACTGTCTCTATTGAAAATCACAGTAATCCAACAATACATTACGATACTTTCCCATCACTGCAGCAATTCCCACCACAGGCAACACTTTGTCCCCAACAAAGAAGCCTCACATTCTACGTCTGCAGAAACCCCAATCCTGACTAGTACTGTATGGCTGCCAAGAGGAACATCTGTGTGCTCAACAGTACACAAAACTGGCTCTTTTCTTTTTTTCTTTCTTTTCCTTTCTTTCTTCTTCTTCTTTTTTATTTCCTAGACAATAAACTGTGTGATTGCTTGGTAAGGAAATGGTCTTTCATTCTCTTCCTCTTCCCTTTTATTTGTTTGTTTGTTTAACACAACAGTCAAACAACTACATCTGCCATCCACCATTACTTTAAGGCCAAACCCTGAAAACACAGTAAAGTTTATTTTCAGATTTCATGTAAGCTTAGATCTGTGATTAGCTGAAGAGTGTTGACTTTAAAGATGAAGACTCCTAAAGGCATATTAATAAAAAGGAGCTATCCAATTCTGAGAATAGTCTAGAATGTCATTTATGTTTGTAGAGAGATAAATCCAAACAAAACACTAAAAAATGGTAATATAATTCTTGAGAGTAAAGAAGTTATAAACTAAATGTTCCCTGTAGAATATTTACAATGTAAGCCAGTATTTCTATACAAATATTACATTTTTGTATTTTACACCAAGAAAGACTTTTCTGGTATGTTTGCTTAAAGAAGTAAAAGAAATGGAGGCATAAGAGCCAAATGGACAAAGAGATGACTAGGAATTCACCAGAGAAAAATGACTCATTATAAACATTCAACCTTAATCTGCTCCCTAGACAAAAGAAAAAAAATCCTCTAGTGCACTGATAATCACAAAAATGCAAATTAAATCCACATACTTTTGCTATTAATATTAAATATAATATTAATTATAAAAAAATTAGAGGGGCCAGGTGTGGTGGCTCATGCCTATAATCCAAGCACTTTAGGAGGTCAAGGTGGGAGGATTGCTTGAGGCCAGGAGTTTGAGATCAGCCTGGGCAACACAAAAAATTTAAAAATTAGCCAAGCATCATGGCATGCTCTTGCAGTCCCAGCTACTTGTGAGCTGAGGTGGGAGGATACTTTGAGCCCAGGAGTTCGAGTTCATACAGTGAGCTATGATTGTGCCACTGTACTCCAGCCTGGGTGACAGAGCAAGATCTTGTCTCAAAAAAATAAAAAATAAGATAAAAATAAAAATTAATAAACTAAAAACCTACCCATGTTTGCAAAGAAGTGGGCTAGTTGAGATTTTAAATTAGCACTACCTTTCTAAAAGTGAATGATTTAGTCATATGAATGTTTTATACCAATTTGTCCAGAAATTCAGAAATTCTACTCATTGGATTTTATCCAATACAAGTAAAAAGAGATGGGCATAACAATGTTTACTGTACTTTATTTAAAACAGAAACAATTTATAAACAACGTAAATATCCAACTATAGGGGATTGGTTAAATAAATTATGATGTCTGTACAAGGAATACTACACAACCAAAAGATGTTTAATATGTAACAAAATGTTCACTATATAGTTAATAAACAAAAATGTTAGGTTACAAAATATGACATATGATGGCAACCCTTTTAAAAAATCTGTGCTTGCTTAGAGAAAAGAAAAACATTAATAGTACTATCTCAGGATGGTGTGATAACATATTTCTCTATTTTTTAATAAACAACCTCTTAGTTTTATTTTTTTGTTGTTTTTCTTTTTGAGACAGGAGTCTCACTCTATTGCCCAGGCTGGGGTGCAGTGGTGCTATCCCAGTTAACTGTAACCTCTGCCTCCTGGGTTCAAGCGATTCTCCCACCTCAGCCTCCCAAGTAGCTGGGATTACAGGCACCTGCCACCACGCCCCGCTAATTTTTGTATTTTTAGTAGAGATGGGGTTTCACCATGTTGGCCAGCCTGGTCTCAAACTCCTGACCTCAAGTGGTCCTCCTGCCTTGGCCTCCCAAAAAGGGCTGAGATTACAGGCATGAGCCACCTCACCTGGCCACAAGCTCTTAGTTTTATAATGAGAAAAAACTCTGCATTATTGCCTCTTAGAACAGACAGGAATTTATTATCATTGAGGAAGTAAAGCATAACTCATTTCTTCTCAAAAGTTACATTAATATTTTCCTAGGTTTTCAAAACTTGTTCCCTTGAAAATCACGTAAAATTTTACCAAAAAACTGTAATAAGAAACAAATACGAAGACGTGGTCAGTACAATAATTTGAGCGACTGGGGGCAGAAAAATCTTAGATTTATCACTTTAAGTTGTAGTAGGCAACCACAAAATTACAGCTCAAAAAGTTTCATGAAGATATAGCTATAGCTTAGTGATACTGATTTTCAACGCCTGAAAAAACACATCATATGAAATACACCTCTAATTTTCAGAAGGTTGAAACAATATAAACAACAAATAACTAAAATTTGTGTAATTGTGTGTGCAGTTATCAGTAGAAGTGGAATAAACACAAAATAATGAAGTTTTTATTTTTTAAATCAAAGACAATGCAGACGTTCTTTTTACCTTTCATAGTTTGATACTACCTTACACCACCAAACTGGATTAGTAAGGAAATCACTTTCTGGTTTTATTTTTAAAGAATGAAAAGGTATTCTCTGATACTTTACTTTGTATATGTTTGTAAAGCAGCTGTTAAATAAATGAGAGACACAGGGCTGTACTCTATTAAGTGACACCAGCTCACTACATGGTATTTAAGAAGGTTCACTGAAAAAGCAATAAAAAGTGTCCTGGTTTGTGATCTGGATTTCTCTTCACTGTACACAATGAGAGTTCATGTTGTATTTTTAAAGAAGTATTTTCCTAGAACCTGATTAATTCATCTTTTTTGGGGGGAGGTGTGTGTGCTCGCTGGTCTACAACCATTGTTCATAAATAAAACTTAAGGCAGAAGAGTAAACTCAGTATGTGAAGACCTGTCAACAAATAAGGCAACTTCTGAAGGATGCACAGATTCCTTCTGATTCAATTGCTGAATAAACATACTTCGGGGAAGTGCTCACCTATCAAGTGAAATCCGAGTGCTACATTAAAAAGACATAGGTGGGGGGGGGCATGCTCCTCCTATTTGCCACACATCGTGATTTGCACTTTACATGTTATTTCATTTCTTCTCACACAAACAACTTTAGAAGAAGCATTACTATCACCATTTTCCAAGTGAAAAACTTTCCCAAAGCCATAAAGCTAGTAAACAGTAGAGGTAGGATTCCACCCTGTTCTCTCTGATTGTGGGCTGTGCTTTTTTTTTTTTTTCAAACCATGCTATTGAATCAAGAAAAGTAGAAAAACTGAATGTTAAAATTAAGGTTTTAAAGCTCATTCTTTTTGGTAAAAAAATAAAATTGAGATACCTTATGGTTGAAGTTTTGGTAGGGAATGCCACCAGATTAAAAAACAACAACAACAACAAAAAAGAACCTTACTGTTGCCAGTATTTTCCCTCCCCTCAAAGACACTGGCAAAGTGCATCTGTTTAGACAAGGTTAGAGCCAAACCAAATGTTCCACAGAAGAGCATCTGTACATAACGGAAAATTCTGTTGCAAGTCTGTCAAAAAGCTACCTTAGACTGTCAAATATACAGACCAAATTGCTTTCTAGAGAAGTTGGACTATAGGTTCAGTTTTATAAATGAGTTCTCTGTTGAGGGAGCCCCAATTTGATCAAACAAATAAATGAAAAAGAAACACAAAATTTTTACACACATTTACAAATATTTATTAAGTAAAATCAAACATTTAACATAAAATCTACAGATGGGGGATTCCTTGGATGTGCTGAGCTGGCTATGGAAGTGAGAGGAAGGTGACAGCTTTGCTTCTAGTTTCTATCAATATGCACTAGCAATCAGTTTCAGAGATACCTACTGAAAGATCAGGGCCGAGGTTCTCTCCAAACTCCTTAAGACTGGGTTTAGTTACCTCACCCAACTTTCACTAATGATTTTCATCCTTCCCTTCAGAATGATTTTGCTCACATTGAAAAAACATCTCTAGTGGTCACATCACATTCTTACTCATTTGAAAGCAGGACCAACACTCCTTTGACAAAGTCATTGCTTGCCAAGGAGCACACGGATTCCTTAAGTCTCATCATGATGCAGTAATGCAATCAAACATTTTCTAAGTCATCAATCAGCCCATTATTTAATCCTTTTCTGGCATAGTAGTTTTAAAGCAGAAAATACACCTAGTTAGTGTTGCCTATAATATACATACTTCCTTGCCTTGTTAAGGTCATTTTAAAAGTTACTGCACAAGCCATATTGTGATTAAAAAAAAATCGGCCTGGTCTCAATCATCCATTAAGAAAAATCTACTATTAAATATTCCAATACAGAAATTTCTTTTAAAGAGCGTAATTTTTAGTTTTCTGGTCTCTTTCTACAATGTACTTGCCTCCCTAGTACCTGCCTCAATTTCCGACATGGTTTTTAGAAGAAAACCACTTCTAATCTCCTCTTAGCTGAGAAGCCAAATAATCTTATTAAGAAATATATGTTGGCCGGGCACGGTGGCTCACACCTGTAATCCCAGCACTTTGGGAGGCCGAGGCAGGCGGATCACGAGGTCAGGAGATCGAGACCATCCTAGCTAACATGGTGAAACCCCGTCTCTACTAAAAATACAAAAAATTAGCCGGGCATGGTGGCGGGCGCCTGTAGTCCCAGCTACTCGGGAGGCTGAGGCAGGAGAATGGCGTGAACCCGGGAGGCGGAGCTTGCAGTGAGCGGAGATCACGCCACTGCACTCCAGCCTGGACAAGCGACAGAGCAAGACTCCGTCTCAAATAAAAAAAAAAAAAAGAAATATATATCAATAAGGGCTGATGAAGCTCTTTATGAGGGCTAGAAGCAATGTTTCTTCATTTTTCACATTTGAAGTACCTGGGGGATATGTTGAAAGCTGATTTCTGGGCCTCATCCCCAGATATTCTGATTACTTATATTAGGGGTAAGATTAATGAATTGCATATTGAGCAAAAATCTCTGGTAAAAAAGATATTAGGTTTTAAAACAGGTTTCATGGCCACTGCTTTCAGAACTCCATATTATTTTCAGGTTCTCTGCCCTGTTCTGGAGAGCTGTTATTATAGGATTCTTATCCTAGATAAATGAGGCATTATTGTACATATCATCTGGTACTTTGGTTTAAAATCATTAAACATTTTTCATAATGCATTTGCGAGTGAAGTGAACTCCTTTACTGTTCCAGGAAATGAAGTATGGTGAGGGCTGGTAGGAAATGATTTTTAAAAGTTTCTCTTACCAAATTTGTTTCTGACATTAGTCTTACAGGCTGGAGTATAAATTCCAAATCTGGAAAGAACAAATGATTAAGAAGTTCTGCCTTTATTGCACAGCAAAAGAAACTATACAGCAGAATCTTTCTTTTTTCACCATCTGCAAAGGTGGCTTGTAGCTTTCCCACAGTATCCGGTTGCTGTCTAGGTATACACACAACCTAGGTGATAACTCACTTAGATTTAAACTACTTTTTTCAAAGCCAACTTTTCCAAACAATGCATCATCTACATTTTAAATGCTGGGTGAAATTCTACCACCACTCCAGAAAAAAGGGACAAGGAGGTGTATTGTACTAGACAAAAGAAATGGAGAAAAGTATTGACAGAACAAGCAGTCTACAGTACCCCTGGGGTAGAAAGCACTGTTAAAAGAGTTTTCTCACACATGAAAAAGCAATGAAGCACGCAACATTGATTTTTATTTCATTATTTTTTGGACGTAGGTATTAAAATACCTAAAAGGAAGCCATCATTTAAAAATAATTAAAATTCCTTTTTCTCACCAATAGACAAACTAGTGATATAAGCCTATGCTTAAATATAAAAGCACTTGGGAGCCCCAGGCAGAAGGATCACTTGAGGCCAGGAGTTTGAAACCAGCCTGGGCAACACAGCAAGACCATGTCTCTATACAAAATTAAAAATAAATACATAAATAAAAATTAAAATTTTAAATCAGATTAGTGAGACTCCAGTCTCAACTCTAGGAAAGATCTGTCTTTAAGAAAAGGTGAGACATATAATCATTTGAAAGGATATATGAAAATCCTCAAATCTTCTAGACCTTCCTTGATTCCAAATGTGGTATTACAACATCTTGATCCATTCATTGCTCAGTCTCCTGCTACTCTTCCAGATCACCAACTGAAGAAAGTGCTCCAAATGGCAAAAAGATGTAACTATTATTCTCGATACTCTCTGTATATAACATTTTGTGTTGTACAATCTTAAAGCCAGACAGAGTTTCAGCTCATTTCCCCTACTTAAATAATTATTGATAAGAAAGATATCTGCAGAACAAAACAAAGTATAGTATAAAAATTATATTCTCAGAGGTCTCTGAGAAGTCACATAGTCTAATTTCCTGTCCCTAGTCCTTCTCAATCAACATGCTGCTTATAATGAAATAGAGTTCTTTCAAGATTTTATGTTCAATTATTTTTTAGTCAAATTAGCTAGCATGAACTAATGAGCTGGAAATGAATTTGAGAAGTTCGGTTTTAAATGCTGAAAAGTTTAATTCACTCTCAAAGACAAATCAGTTGTAATGAAAGAGAAAACTGTTTCAATAATTTATTTAGATCTAAAGAGAAGGTAGGTATGTATATTTTCCACTGCAGTATCCATCATAAGAATTTGTGACAAATATTGTAAATTAGGGAGAAAAGGATTAAGATGAAAAAATGGTTTTTTATGTTCATGCTCATACTACTGATTACTGTGACCAGTTGCTGTGAAAGGTAAAGCATAGTATGTGCATTTAACTTAACTTAATGTAGTCAGATGGTAAGGGAATTTGTTGATGAGGTTAGGGAAGCTAAATAAGATAAGGTACTTGGAGATCTGAGACTCAACTTACATCCCCTAGTGGCATGCAAAGTCTCTTACTGAGGGGACAAGACAACTGAACACAATAAACTTAAAACTGCAGGGTAAAAAAAGAACACTTCTGACTTGCTCAAGCAGGTTCACTGCAATATTTTAGTCCAAGAGGAAAGTGGAATAATAGATGGCAACCAGGACTGCACTGACTCTCCATTGCTGATCCAGGCTGCATTCAAGGGAGTGATACACTTGGAAGCAGCACAGTACTTTGGGGTGAAAATAAAGTCACAATTTCAAGAGATTCAAAAATTGCCATTAGCATAAAACAGTGCTTTATATCTACCTCAAGATGGCTGTTTCAAGAACTATGTTCAAAATGAAGGCATGATGACATCTTTGGGATTTTGAAGATGAGTCTCAAAATCTCAGAATTTTATCCCCAAATTTCTGACTAAATGACCCAACTTCAGGCAATATTTGTATCCATGTGATTCCATAAAACTAGCTTATTTCATGACATTTCTATAAATAAAGCTGAGAAGTCCAATTCTAGAAGTCTGGAGTCAGAGTTGTTATGGGTCAGTGTGAATTTACCCAACAGTTCTTATGAATACCAGTGTTTTCATTGACTTGATCACAGCTGATCTCTGGGAAATGGTAGACTACTATTTGTGCACTTTTATCATTTAAAGTTAACTAAACTGGTCTTGAGATTGCTTTTTAAATACTAAATAAAAATTAAATATTTTAAAATTCTCTAACAGGCTATTACAGCTACAGCTAAGATAAGAAAAAAATACATGTTGTCTACAGATAAAAGAAATTTTGAATATGTGGCCCCAAGAAGGGGAAATTCTAAAAAATAAAAAATAAATTTAAAAAAAGGTTGAAGCAAATTCAGTCAAAACTACTTCAATATCCTTCCATTAATTAACTACATGTTTAGGAGGAATCAATCATTGTATTTCACTCCAAGTGGTCAGGATCTAAGATTAAAAGACCACCCCCCAACATTGCCTTTTCATACTTCTGTTAAGTTTTGTTGTTAATACCAAGAGCTCTTCCCCCAGCTGTGAAGTCAGTCCAGCAGCTGCATTAGCAAACCATGCCAATCCTACACCAATATATAAAGACAGCTGCCTTGCCTGTCCTTACAGATGAAAGAAGAGTGCTAAAAGCCTAGAAAAATCTTTAGTACTGGCAATGACTATGAAGGCAGCTGCTTGCCTGTCATACTTCAGAGTATGCTATGTGACAATAGCTACAAGAGCCGAAGAAGGAATACAACTAATTTCTAACAGTAATACATTATATTTCCAAATTGTTTTCATCACAAAATATTGCATTGTTTTTGATACTTTTAGTTTTAGATTCCTCAGCATTCTACACACAGAAACAAAACCTTACTCCTATGTAAACAATGCTGATTTCTAGTTTCAGTAAATTAAGCAATAAAGAATCTTGAAGATTTGTGCTCCATAATTCAAGTCACAAACAGCAATTGATTTTCTAACATGAGCACTGTTATAATGTTTTCATATTAAACAGTGTTATAATGTTTTGATGTGTTTTTACTTCAGAATAATCTGAGACTCATACCAGCATACAACTGAATTTGAAGAGGACAGTAATTTGATGAAACTAAAAATTGCAAGCAAGAGTGTTTCTGTTTCAATAAAATGCCCCTCCCCTCTCTGCATACATTCAATATGAATTCAAAGTCTAAATAGAGATTATAAGCAGAATTGATGTTAATATTTCTCTTTTAGGAAATGTTTTTACATTAACCAAAAAAAGTGACTATACTTAATGGTCAAGATGCCTGCAATTTACTCTGAAATACTTAAAATATACCAGTGTGATAGTGTGATGTGAGCAAAAAAAACAAAGACACAATATAGGGAATAGTTCATTTTAGCCATAGTAAAAATCTACATTCCAGATTTGGCCACCGTAAGTGCCACTACTATTTGTATTTCAACAGATAACTGACCCTTTGCTAATCATCATATTGAATATCAGAAAAAATTTCATTGGTGAAAACAGTGGGCTACAACTACAATAATGAATATAAAAATGGGGTTCCATTTGTGAAATAAAAAGCATTTAAGAAATATGATCTGGTTAAAAAGTATTTTAAAGATCTGACTCATCCTTTCAGAATGCAGTGGAGCATGGATGTTTTTTCCTTATGGATGATGCCTTCCTTTAAGCTGAATATTCCAATATCCCACTGTGATATGTGGAAGACTGTTTGCCTATTGCAGGCTATGAAGGAAGCAGAATTCTCCCTTACATGACCCCTTTCCTGCAAGGTGTTGGTCAGAGCCTCTCTTAGGACTAAAGGATGGGCTTTCCTCAGGTTACGAGAACTACCTGTGCCTGCTTATTAATATTTAGTTAATACATTTCTATATGCTACGTTTATATGTGCAGCAAAATTTGGTCTGAGATTTGCTTTCATGAGACCCTAATAATGAGGTTGTAAGAAATAGCTAGCCCTTATCTTTTTCAAATTTCTTTGGAGGCTACCATTACCTACCAAAAAGAACCTAAGAGTAGGGCATAGCCACACTGGCTTAGGTCAATGTGGTAGTAGTAAGATATGCATTGAACACTGAAGAATAATTCTATTTAAAGCCATAATTTTTCTTTTTCTTTTTTCTTTTTTTTTTTTGAGACAAGGTCTCACTCTGTCACATAGGCTGGAGTGCAGTGGCACAATCTCATCTCACTGCAACCTCCACCCCCAGCTGAAGCAATCTTCCCATCTCAGCTTCCTGAGTAGCTGGGACCACAGGTATGCACCACAATGCCCAGCTATTTTTTTGTATTTTTAGTAGAGATGGGATCTCGCCATGTTGTCCAGGCTAGTCTCGAATTCCTGAACTCAAGCAATCTGTCCACCTCCGCCTCCCAAAGTGCTGGGATTACAGGCATGAGCCACCACAACCAGCCTAAAGCTATAATTTTTCTAAACACAAAACTTCAAATTCAACATATGACTATTATTATCAAGAGGCATTTTAAAATATCAAGTTAGAATGATCTACATAGGAACATATGACTTTACATGCAATACATAAAACCTAAGTTTCAATAAAGCCAGTACATAAATTTGGAAAGTCCTGGCAACCTAGTCACATGAAAAGCCTTTGGATATCTGTTATAATTTATTAGGGAAAATATGCATATATAATAACTATAGAGAGAGAACAACCAAAGGGATGCACCATAAGGCAATGTATTTATAAATATAAATTTACTTCCTAAAATCCCTGGGCAATAGAACTGACAAGAATAAACAGCCCTGCAACAAACCTCAGCACACATAGGCACCAGATGATAGAGACAGCATTTTATGTTTGTGGAAAAAAAGAAGATATATTCAACAAATCACATTGGGAAAACTGGCTTTACATCCAGAAGAAAGAGATTAGACCCCCATAGCAAACCAAACGTAACATAAGCTGTATAATGGGTACAGAGTTTCCTTTTGGGGTAATGAAAATGTTCTAAAACTGGACAGTGGTGATGGTTGCAAAACATTTTGAAAATACTAAATGTCACTGAATTTAAAATGGCAGAAATGGTAAGTTTTATATGTATTTTACCACAATAAAAACAATACGTGGCAGACATGTTACAGAAATTAAGTAATATTTATTTTCATAAATGTAAAACCTCATTAACTGTTAACATAATGAATTACTTCAAAATTTTCAAAACTGTATGAGAAAATGTATAATCTAAAAAGTTATGAGAAAATAAAAGGGTAAGCAAGCCCATTCAAGTAATCCTGTGCAAATTAGGATAAAAACAACTAATATTTACTGAACATTTAATATGTGCCAAATACTATTTTAAGTTGTTATTCTAGATACTAACCCATTTAGTCCTCACAACAACCCTATAAGGTACATACTGTAAAGAAAGAGATTACTGAGAAATCCTAAAAACCACTAATTTGTGTTAGGGACCAATCCAAAAAAAACTAACATAATTTCAAGACCAATTTTTGCTTATGCAAGGTCCTTAAGATGTAAACCTAAAAACCCTCCTTGATCTCAATGCTCCATATAAAATACCAATTCCATTGCTTACTATTTTCTAAATATATCATGAACCCATTCCTTCCTTTACATCCCCAATGTCACTGCCCAAAGCTAAATAATCAAAATGTCCCATCTTGACTATGGCAATAATCTGTTATCTCTCTTCTGGGCTCATCTCATCCTTCTAAAAATCATCCATCTGATAATCAGTACTCTTAAATAACTATTAATGTGTATATACTTGAAGTAAAGAAGAAATAGATGCTGTAACATATGCTTTTTTCTTGTATGTACTAATGAAAGTACAAACAACCCTCCTAGCCAAAATAGTCTGATTTATTTAATTGGAATCCAATTTAATGTTCACTCTGAGGTTTAAAATCTTATAGAAAAAGAACCAATTTGCCAAAATTAGACCTAGTTATTAAAAACATCACCCACTACATGTTAAAACACATATTCTCTGTTCAAGATAGCTTACTTGGGGAAAAAAAATCTCTAGAATGCAACAAATAAACCATTATATTTACAATGATTATCTCTGAGTGGTAGGATTTTGTTCTTTTCGCTCCTGTGTGATTTCTAAATTTTCTAAAGTAAATTTTCTAAAGTAATTTCTAAATTTTCCTAACCTTTTCAGTATGGAAAAAAACGCTTCTCAGCAAGTCATTAATTCTAGGTTTGCAAAATGATTATTTTTCTAACTAAAATAACAAGCGTTTGTATTTTATAAAGAATCATTGCAATTTAAGATTTCAGAATGTTGCCTAAGTATTAAAAATCAGCTTAATAGACAAAAAAGAAAATCAGTAACTTCGTAGTCTTATACTATAATAACAAAAAGTAACACTGTAGCCACTACATTTAGAAAACATAAGAAATAAGAAGCAAATACAAATTGGAAAGAGGTATGTTTTTCAGTGTTTACAGATGGTGATTGTTTCCTTGGAAAATCCAAAATAGTCAAAGTAATAACAAACCATAAATGTAGTAAGGTGACTGGATACAAAACTAACTCACAAAAATCCAACAGTCTTTATATACGCAAGCAAAAATTAGTATGAAGATGCAGTAAAATACAGCCAACACTGGCAGTAACAACAACAATGAAAAGATAAAACACCTTAAAATAAACATAAAATATGTGCGAGAGCTTCATGGAAACCAACCAAAAAGCCCTGTAAAGCCCTGATCTATAGTGGCATCTTTCCATATGCCAATACCATACTGTATTGTTACAATTTTACAATATGTATTGAAACCAGGTAAAAAACAATATTGTTTTGGATATTTTAGGTCTTTTACCTTTTCATATGAAATTTAAAATCAACTTACCAATTTCTTTTTTAAAATCCTACTATGATTTTGACTGAGATTACATTAAATCTATAGACTAATATAGAGAAAGCTGACATCTTAACAATATTGATTCCTTCTAATCATCTCTCCACTTATTTAGCTCTTGTTTAATTTCCTGTTGTTGTATTTTGTAGTTTTCAGCATAGAGGTCTTACATATCTTTTGTTAAATATATTAAGTTTTTTTTTTTTTTTTTTTTTTTGAGACGGAGTCTCGCTCTGTCGCCCAGGCTGGAGTGCAGTGGCGCGATCTCAGGTTACTGCAAGCTCCACCTTCTGGGTTCACACCATTCTCCTGCCTCAGCCTCCCGAGTAGCTGGGACTACAGGTGCCTACCACTACGCCCGGCTAATTTTTTTTTGTATTTTTAGTAGAGACGGGGTTTCACCGTGTTAGCCGGGATGGTCTTGATCTCCTGACCTCGTGATCCGCCTGCCTCGGCCTCCCAAAGTGCTGGGATTACAGGTATGAGCCACCGCGCCTGGCCTATATTAAGTATTTTTATGCTATTATATATAGTGTTAAATTTTTCTTTTTTTCTTCTTTTTTTTTTTTTGAGATGGAGTCTCACTCTGTCACCCAGGCTGGAGTGCAGTGGCGCAATCTCGGCTCACTGCAACCTCTACCTCCTGGGTTCAGGCCAATCTCCTGCCTCGGCCTCCTGAGCAGCTAGTGCTACAGATGTGCACCCCAACGCCTGGCTAATTTTTTGTATTTTTAGTAGAGACGGGGTTTCGCTGTGTTGGCCAGGCTGGTCTCAAACTTGACCTGAAGCAATCCACCCACCTTGGCCTCCCAAAGTGCTGGGATTACAAGTGTGAGCCACTGTGCCCAGCCAAATTTTTCAGTTTTTAATAGTTTATGCTTTGTATGTAGATATACATTTGTTTTTTATACTGGCTGTGTATCTCTAAACTCTGTTCAATATACTTTTAGTTCTAATAAGTTTTTGCAGCCATCTGCAAATAAAGACTGTTCCACTTCTTCCTTTCTAATCTGTGTATCTTTTATTACTTTTTCTTGCCTTACAACTCTAGCTATGACATCCAGTATAATGAAGAGTAAAAAGTTAAAAAGAATGGACATCTATGTCTTATTTCTGATTTTAGAAAATATCAAGGCTTTCACAGCTGAGTTTGATGTTAATTTTAAGTTTTTTTTTAAAATGACCTCAATCAGCTTAAGGAAGTTCTCTTCTATTCCTAGTTTGCTGAATTGTTTCTCATGAATGAACACTGAATTTTGTTCAATGCTTTTTCTGCTTTCCTGATCATATGGATTTTCTTTTTTTTATATTAATATGATGAATTACACTGATTTTTTTTCACAAGTTAAACCGAACTTACATTGCCAGGATAAACTGCACTTTGGTCATGATGTATTATACATTTTTCAAAAGCTATTTCTTGATTGTTACCATTTTGTTAAAGAGTTCTGCATCCATGTTCATAAGGTGTATTGGTCTACAGCTCTCTTTTCTTATGACACCTTTGAAACTGATTCCTGATATTTACTTTCTGCTATCATTATGAGTCAATAAAGAGTGGGAAATCGAGTAGGATGGTGTGTGTTTACTCCTGTTTGACAATTATTCATAGAGTAAAAAATTACATTAATGATTACATTAATGATTCAGTGTAGCTCAGTCTCTTTCACAGGTCTTCTGCTTTTAAAACTAATCTGCGGCTCGGTGCCGTGGCTCACACCTGTAATCCCAACACTTTGGGAGGCCAAGGCGGATGGATCACAAGGTCAGGAGCTCAAGACCAGCCTGGCAAGATGGTGAAACCCCCTCTGTAAGAAAAATACAAAAAATTAGCCAGGCGCTGTGGTAGGCGCCTGTAATCCCAGGTACTTGGGAGGCTAAAGCAGGAGAATCGCTTGAACCCAGGAGGCAGAGGTTGCAGTGAGCCGAGATTGCGCCACTGCACTACAGCCTGGGCGACAGAGTGAGACTCCGTCTCAAAAAAAAAAAAAAACAACAACAAAAAAAAACAAAACTAATCTGCTTTTGGGCGAAGCCTAGTATTTAATAAAATATAATGGTGGGTGACAGGATGATTCCCATTAAGCAAAATTTTAAGGCCCTGTTTTTGCTTCCAGCATTCAATCAAACTACAAGAACTTGCATTCTACCTTTCCAGATATCTCCTATAATCAGATATTATGTAGTATAATTAATATGTACATTACAGTTCCCGGTATATCTACATGAGTTCATAATAATTGTTGTTTTCCTCATATGACAGAAAAAAATAACTTTTTTTAGATGTCAATTTGTTGATGAAAAAGGATTTGTCAATGAACACCAAGTCTCTGAAACAGGACAAAGGGAAGCTCAATTAATGAAATCACCAACTAAAAATAAAATATTGGATATGATTATAAAATTTGAGTAGTGTTTCTGTATTTCGTCTTCTATATCCCTTTCCTCAACTCCAACAGGACAACTAAAAAGGTTTTCGTTACTTTAAATAAACTTTTCTTCCCTAGAACAAATATATCATGAATAATATTTGTATTGCATTGTTAGTTAGAAAAATCACTAAGCTATATTTCAGGTCATATTCAGAAAAAGTAAAGAAAAACACATGAAAATATAAAAATAAAAACAAAAAGCTCCCAAGCAAAAAACCCCAGCTTCCCCCCTAGTTTCTAGATTTAGATGGCAGGGAATTTCCAGATTATTTAACTAGTAAAACAAAATATTCATTAAAAGTCAAAAGTATTCTCTTGTGTATCAATAAAACAAATGCTTAACTAATTTTTTCTTTCTTTTGTTTTTATGGTGGTGGTAATCTTTAAGAAGTTTGGCATAAACAGTAACCAAGTCTTTGGTCTTCAATGCATTCTCTAGCAGCCTTTCTCAACTCGGGTTCAGCCAAAGAATTTAACCCCATAGAAAATGATTTGAATGACTCTATTCTCAATTCTCCCAGGAATGAGTAAGTTAATTCATTAAATATTTATTAATTCATTAAATATACTTTAGGATATTAGGGTATAATTCTCTAGATAAGCCTTTGTTGAGAAAGGCTGCATGATGATTCTTTCAATGATGTAGGTAATACAGTAAGATTTTAAACTGTAACACAAACACACACATATACACACACACACAAGCACAATTACAAAATGCCTTCGGATAGATGACTAGAAATAAAAATAATTCCACAACATTCTAAAAGCATCTTTATCAATATAGCTAATTTAATGAATAAATGTTATTTGCCATCTGAAGTAAAACTTTGAGTTTCAGAGCTTTACTTTACATCACACCAGCTGACCTTTAAGATGTTGTTGAGGACAAGTCTTAACCAATATCAAATGAATAAATTTCTGCTGCTATTCATCCTGGAGTCAGATGTGAAGTCAGTCAGTGTGAAGTCAGAGCATATGCCCTGTAGCTTTCACTTTAGGACTCATATTCCAAAGCACTGTATTTTCTCTGGTCATGGTATCTATAGCAGATGTTGCTGATTCCCAACCTAATATCTACCACTCCCCCCCACCTCCATTTCCTTCTTCCTGGCATGCCCCATTTTATTCATGTAGCCACCCTGATATTTTTCAGGAGAGGCTGGCTGCAGTCCTAATCCCAGGGAAAGAATAAATATGTGACCAGTGCAGTCACTCAGGGCCTCATGCACAGAAGGGCCCAGTGCTTGGGTTTATTAATCTGTGGTCACTGACTTGAAACTCTTAATAATTTTATCCTTGCATCTGAGTTTGTAAGTGAAGTAGGACGGGACAATGGCGCATGCACCCAGGGCTTGTTAGTCTAGGCTCACACACGGTCCCGATCCCTCAAGGACAGGTTCTCAGCCACCAGGTTAGGGGATGGGCATTACTCTGTAGAATCTCACTGCAAAGTGAGAAGATGGCCATTCTATCCCCAAACTGATGGTGCCAAGGTGTGTTATAAGGGCAAACCAGTGGTAGCCTCTTGCCCATCCATCATCTAGGTGCCTCTGTGCATCCTGGCACACAGGCAGCAATCCCTTGGGTTGTCCTCCACTGTGGGTTGAGATGGTGGGCCCATGACAAAGGAAGATTAACTTCCCCACCCCTACCTTGGGCCCTGAGTTTTCATTTTGCACTGGGCCCTGGGAATTATGCAGCCAGCCCCGGCAGATCTTGATAAGTCTGAATCAATCATGTGCTCTCACCCTCATTAATGACTGCTTCACAACTCAGCATGTGATGTAATTCTGGCCAACAGTATATGAAGGAATGCAGAGAAACTTCTACAAGAATTTTCTTACTCTTAAAAGAGACACACGAAAGAGATGCCCCCTTTCCTGTACCTGTAAATTAATTTTGGATATTATGCCTAGCATTGTTACTGCCATCTCGCAGCCATGATGGGATCAAGCCTGAGTATAAAACCTATACAGGGAAAAAGGCCAGACTAGAATAAAATATTACAAAAAGGAGGATCCACGGTTTTTATCACAACACAATCACAACTGTCTTACCTCTGGGTTCTTTGTTAGGTGAGTTGGTAAGTTTCTTATTGTTTAAAACAGTTAAGGTAGAGTTTTCTGTCAATTGCAACTGAAAGCATCTTCATTACACATGACGGCGCACTTTTAATACGAGTAATATCTCATAGAGCCTATTATCAACTTCGGAAAAGAATGCCCATTCCTTTAAGATGTCTTGAATCCCCCTTCCTCCAAGTAGATTTCATGTTTTACATAGCCCATATTTTAAATCAAATCATTTAAAAACCCTCCCTTCCAAAATTTGTTAGGATATTTTCAGTTGTTTCCTTGATACAGGTAGAGAGAAACAATTTTGTTCATATCGATTGAGAAGTACTATCATGACAGATTTAACAAGGAATATTAGAAAGAAAATGAAGTTTTTAATGGGCCTACTTTCTCTTTCTTCCTACCCTAACCTTCCAAAATTAAGTAGATCATCATTAGCTGAAAATAATGTAAGTGAAGAGTAAGAACAAACATAAAAATACACCAAGAGTAGAAATGTTGCCTCACTCTATTTGGCAAGAGAATGATGTAAATAGTTATCATGAAGAGGTAGCGATGTTCTTATAAGAGCATTCTGTTATCAAAACCTATGCCCCTCAAATGGGCTGGAACCTCCTCTCCACATGGCAAAATAGCAATCATAGAAAGCATACTAGCAGATGCATCCCTGTTTACTACCTACCCCCCTACATCAGGGTCCTTATTACAGGAAAGAGTCCCACGCCATCAACAGAGTTCCTTATTTCCCATGGGTAGCTTCTCTGCTACAGGGAGCCAGCTGTTTAATATGCTGACTGGGCCTCTCTTGAGAGCTACCTAGTTCTGCAAAGGAAACTATCTATTCTCAGATAATAATAATGAGAAGACTGGATAGTAACACTTATAATTTCATAACTTTGTGTCATGTAAAGCATCCAAGAGCAGGTAAAGAACACAAATTTCATCTGATTTTGGGAAAATCATAATCTCTTGCAAAAAACAAAACCAGTTAAAGCACAAGATTATAACATTTTTAGAGATAACTTTCAGTAGTGAGAAAATTAATTAAACATTCTTGAGAAGCCATGGAGCTGAAGTCAGTGCACTGACTAACAGAGCAGCTGTCAGTGCAAAGTGGGTTCCTGTCCTAATCCTGCTCTGACCTCAGAGTCGAGCCTGAGAACCTGTCAGAAAGGTGCTCTCACAGTGGAAGACATCAAGCAGCAGCTGCTTGAGCTCAGCAGGCTGCAGCCGTTTTCTCTCTTTTTTAAAAAATACAATGCCACTCCAGTTGCGTATTCCATGACACAAGGGCGTGTACAGTTCTCACTGTTGCTGCAGAGGACAGAGAGTTTTTAACTTCATTAGTACATGGCTGTCAAAGGCAGAGGGTTCTACCAGAAACTCTCCAGAATTTGGAGCTGGATGTATTAAGATAATACGATATTGGTTCAAAGACATGGTACAGAATAGAGATACCAGAAACAGCCATTTATAGGCCTTTATTTTTGGAAAAAGGTAGCACTGCAAAACAGTACAAGAAGGACAGTCTTTTTCATAAATTGTTCTAGGCTAACTGGATAATCATATGAAAAAAATGAAATTTGACTTCTACCTCATCCCATATACTAAAATCAATTCCAGGTGGATTTTAGAGTTGAATATAAATGGTTAAACAATAAAACTTCTAAAATATATATTAAGACCATATTCTACACTTTGGGATACGTAAAGCCTTCTTAAACTGAACACAAAAAGTATTATATAAAGGAAAAGATGGATATATTGAATTACTACTTTTGTTCATCAAGCTTCCACAAAAGAGTGAAAAGGCAAGCCATAGAGTGGGAAAAAATGTAAGTAACCAAGAAAGGGTTGCTACCCAGATATATAAAGAAATGCTACAAGTGAATCTTTTTCTTTAAAGAAAATCCTACAGAAAAATGGGCAATTAAATTTTTCTGTGTGTATGCATATACACTAAAAAGGGATTTTAAAATAGACAATAAACATGAAAAGTTCTCAACCTCAAGAAAATACAAATTAAAACTGCAATAAAATAATGCCCTACCAGAATGGCTATATTTTTTTAAACACTGACAGTAACAACTGTGTGAAGTAATTGGAACTTGCATTCATTCCTGGGTAGGAATATAACTACTATATCCCTGAAGCCAGGCACACTACATGCTCCTGTATTCTCAGCTATTTGGGAGGCTGAGGCAGGAGTATCCCTTGAGCCCAGGAGTTAGACTCCAACCTAGGCAATAGTGAGACCTCACCTCTAAAAAAAAATTAAAAATTAAAACATAAAAATTAAACCATAAAAAATATAGCCTCTTTGGAAAATGGTTTGGCATTATCTTCTAAACATACGCATATCCTATGACCAGCAATTTTACATATATAGATATATCTATATATGCACACATACACACTCATGGAAACTCTGTTCCAAAAAGGGGGAAACAGGAGGCACATAACAGACTGTATTCTGCAACGATTCTGAAATCTAGCCAATGTTACCAGTTGCTTGATTAGGGCTTAGTCTTACTGTCTGAGAAAGATACCCTGGGGCTTTTCTCTGCCTTCTGGGTTCTTGGTTCTATCCTCTGAACTAACCTTCCTTTTCCATCAAATATAGCCTGCATTTGCAAGTATTAGTTTTCTCAGCCTGCTCCTCTCCATAGAAATCCAGGGTTCAAATACCTCTTCATTTTAAGAGTATCTCTGTATCCCTTAGTCCAGCTGGCAGTGTTTCCTCCACTGCAATTCTCTTGAAAACTTTGTGGGCTTTTTGTAAATCACAGCAGAGTTCACTTCATTAAACCAAAGCCACACCTACAAATCTTGTTGAAATAAACCCTTCTCCCTCTTCTCTATCTTGAAATATGCAGTGGAATAATGCCTTTAAGACTACTGGAAGCTTGGCTGGGTGCAGAGGTGTGCACCGTAGTCCCAGTTACCTGGGAGGCTGAGGCAGGAGAATTGCTTGAACCCAGGAGGCAGAGGTTACAGTAAGCTGAGATTGTACCACTGCACTCCAGCCTTGGCAACAGAGCAAGACTCTCTTTAGAAAAAAAAAAGAATATTGGAAGCTCCATCTAATGCCTATTTAATGAAAGAATATCTGTGAGGCACACCCTTAAGTTCTTTTTGTCTGTTTAAAAGAGTCGATAAGGTACTGCTTTAAGTTATTCTGAGGTCTTGCCTTTCTATAGACCCAGTTTTCCTGACTGCACCCTTGGATTTCACCTTTGCTCACAAGCCATTGCCCAGTTTTAGAACCATCTGCCATGCGGGGTGATGATTCCAGGTTGAGAACGAGAAAATAAACTTATTGCTGAACCTAGCAAGTCCAGACTGATTTATATTTAACTTCTCGAATTTTAGGCTGTCTCTCTTCTCATTTTATTTAGGCAGGTAGAAGCCAGGTATTAAGAGTACCTTTGACTTCTGCGTGGATATCTCCTTAGCTAGATCCTCTGGTTCATGAGGTACATTTTCTATTTTCCATATTATTATAGGTGAGGATGTTGCCAAACTTTCTTCCACTATATAACAAGCATATCCTTACCCTCAGCTTCCAATAACATTAAAGCCTGTGCTGACAGTTTCCTCAATACCCTTTAGGCCTCCGCTAACAGTCTCAAGATTCTTCCAGCTTCCATCCACTACCTGGATGGAAGCCAGTGTCACATGTTTTAGGTTATTTTTATGGCAGTATTCCACTTCCAGGTACTTCATAAAATCTGTGCCACTTATGTAGCACTATGCAAGAAACTACTCCAAATTTAGTTGCTTAAAACAAAAATAGTTTATAAATCTACAATTCTAATCAAATTTCAAAACAAAGGTTTTGGTTGAATGAAACATTTGTTCTATGTGTAAAGTTGACATTCTATGAGTAAGAATGGCAATTTTTTAGTACTTCTTAGTTATCACTGGACAGTACTAAAAATGTTTCCGAAAACTAAGAATAGCTAACATTTATTGAGTGCTACTAAACCCTTTAGCTTCCGATTTTCCAAAGGCAAGCAACATAGGACCAAAACTGTTGGAATGGGACCCAAGAGTTCTAGGCTTTGGGTCAAAGTTCTCTGGACCTTAGTTTCCTCATCTAAAAAATGAAAGGCTGGACTGAATTTTTTTTTATTTTTTTAAATTTTCTTGATGCCTGATTGCCTTTGAAACAACTTTTTGTTGGCTTTTGCTGTTATGAATAGCTAGCCTCTTAAATCCAGGTGTATTACATTTTGTTGCTGCTCATCTTATCTTACAATTGCAGAGTTGTTCCTAAGACAAGTTAATACTATATGAAATAAATACTCCTTTTTGAGTATGTATTTAAAATATTTTATATCAAAATTATACGTGGCATTATAAAATGTTTCATCTGGTAGAATGCTAACTTTGAATAGATTTTATTTCTTATACTTTATTATAATTATAAAACAAGCTATACTGTTACTATTTTGCCTTTTACTCAAGAAAGCACAAATAAATATTTAGTAATTTAAAGATACCAAAGACTACAAAATATAATTTAAATACTTTTTTTAACTATTATTTTAGGTTCAGGGGTACACATGAAGGTTTGTTACATAGGTAAACATATGTCACCAAGGTTTGTTGTACGTATTATTTCATCACCCAGGTATTAAGCCCAGGACCCAATGGTTATTTTTCTGCTCCTCTCCCTCCTCCCACCCTCCACCCTCAAGTAGACCCCAGTGTCTGTTGTTTCCTTCTTTGTGTTAATAAATTCTTATCATTTATAGCTTCCACTTATAGGTGAGAACATGCAGTATTTGGTTTTCTGTTCCTGTGTTAGTTTGCTAAGAATAATGGCCTCCAGTTCCATTCATGTTACCACAAAAGACAATCTCATTCTTTTTTTGGCTGCATGAATATTTCTTAATTCCTTTTCTGCACCTACACTGGGTGACTATATATTAATGAGATTAATTAACACATGAACAGTTCTCTCAGCACTGTCCATTAACGAATTTAGTAACGCCTACAAGGCCTTTCCTGGTACCTTCCTAGTCCAGCTTTCTAGAGTCATCTCCCGCTGCTGCTCCTGCCGCATGAATTCTGAGCTCAGGAGTCACCTAAGTCACTTGAAGTTCTTGAACAGTCTATGCTTGTTTTGTTTGTTCTCCCCTTGCCCCTGTGCCTTCGTATAAGCTATTCATTCATTCTCTTTGCCTAGAAGGCCCTCGTCTCCCTGCCACATTCTGTTTTTTCTTAGACTAAAAGTCCCATTCTTAAGAATCTTCCATAATATCTTGGGGTAGAACACAGCACTTTCTTTCCCCATGGCCCAAAGTCTGGTCTGCTATTTTAAAAAAAAGGTCAGACCTTTATGACATCATGTAGCATGCTGCCACATTTTTTGGCATACTTTTGTTTTTGTCTATCTACTCTACTAATAGCAAGACTCTGGAGGGCAGGAATTATAATCTGGTCATCTCTGTATGTTTAATATATAAGACCAGAGCCATGTGTGGTGGCTAATGCCTGTCATCCCAGCACTTTGGGAGACCAAGAAGGGGGTGGTTCACTGGAGGCCATAAGTTCCAGACCAGCTTGAGCAACACAGTGAGACCTTGTCTCTACAAAAAAAAAAAAAAAAAAAAACTTAGTGAGGCATGGTGGTAAGTGCCTGTAGTCCCAGAAACTCTGAAGGCTGAGGGCAAGGGGATCACTTGAGCCAAGAAGGTCAAGGATATAGTGAGCCATGATTGTGCCACACTGCATTACAGCCTGGGAGACAAAGTAAGCCCATCTCAAAAACAATAGCAACAACAAACAAACAAATTAAACAACATATGAGACAGTACCCAGTATACACTAGAAAAATCCACAAATCTTTGCTGAACAAGTGCATTTTTAACTCTGCTGATCATGTGGTTGAAGAAGACACAAATGTCTTAAACAGTCATCTTTTAGAGCTGTATAGATTCACATATTACAGTGTGGATATTACATTCTATTAAAATGAAGCTAGGCTAATGATTTAGTCCACATGTAACATATTTACTATTCTAAAGTGGTATACTAAAACTTTAACAGCTTTATTGAGATATAATTCACATATCATAAAATCTACCCAAAGTGTATAATTCAGTGACTTTGAATATATTCTCAGAGCTGTACAGCTTTTACCATAACCTAATTTTAGAACATTTTCATCACCCCAAAAAAGAAACCCTGTACTCATTAGCAATCTCTCCCCCTCCCCTATTCTAGACTCTGGGGATGACTAATCTACTTTCTGTCTCTGTGGATTTGTCTATTCTGAACATTTCATATAAATGGAATCATACAATATATGATCTTTTGTGAATGGCTTCTTTCATTTGGCATAATGTTTTCAGGGTTCATCCATGTTGTATTACAACTTCTTTATCTTTTACGATGTTTTCCAAAGTCAGAGTTGGAAGAAAAACAGGTTATCATCACTTGTGAAAATCTCCTCCAAACAGCATACCACGAAATGGGACTCCTGAGTGAAGGAGAAAATGTTGAGATTCAGAAGAACTCAAGGCTATTTTAAAAATAATTTTTATTGCTAATTTTATTTGGTACACTAACAATTTTTTAAAAGGCATTTATTAAGAAAGAGAGTCACTAATTGATTTTGTTGAGTTTTTCTTTAATGTAAAAAGGGCTGTCCTGAGCCTTTGCTGATAGGCATATATCAACACAAAGTGATTTAGCGATTTAGTGAATGACCACTGCCCTGATATTCTGTTCTGTTAACACAGCTAAAATACTAACAAATGTGATGTGTGCTCAACACAACAAACACTGGATTCTGCTGGTATGAAGTGTCAGGGTGAGTTTTTCTTATGTCTTGTGAGAAATGTTTCACATTTAACCCCCAAGTATATAAAAATTAGTTTGGATTTACTCAATTCACTTAAATTAAGCAAATTATATAACTGAGTTTAGTAAGAATTTACTGTGAGTCTTGTACCAACACTGCCTTAAAGATAGACATGGGGTTACAATCTAGTTTTGGAGACTATATGAGTTAAAGAAACAATGCAAGATTATCTATAAATTAGTGGTATAGACAACCACAACATACACTATATATATTCAACTAGAGCTACATAACAGATTTTAAAGTGAAATCCTTCCCTCTTTCACAGTGTGAACTTGTAAAGCACTAGACTGTACAGGAATTACGTTATTTTAACTGCAGTAAAGATTACTGAACTAATGACATTCTATTGCTAACCGACTTTAATAATAGCAGTAAATCAGCTCCAAAATACTGTTATTAATATTCTTATGACACAGAAATAGTGCTGTATTAAGTAATGTTCAAAGAACAGGTCTCACAAGCTGAGAGCTAGAGATCTTTATTATAAAAAAGCTATAAAATATGAAAAAAAAATTCAAATTGTTATTCCCAGGGAGGTATTCTACCTATTTTTAATAGTTATAGGAAAATTGGCTTTTCTAACTGAAAAGACTGTAATGAAGCTTTTTCTAAGAACTACAAGATTCTATGTTATATATCTGTTGTATACACATAGTTTTTAAAAGTTAGATTTCATTCTGAAAGATTGAACGGTACAACTTTAAATGAAAGGGAGACAAGGAGATTGCTAATACAAAATGGTTTCCCTTATCTGAAATATAATTTTACATAGAAAAACTTTGCAGCAAATAGAAATGTAAGCACATTTACAATATGGGTTTTGGGTATGAAAGAAAGGTTACCACAGAAATTTTAGTCCTAAAAAACTGAGTTATCAACCATCCAAATAGCAAATCTATTTATTTTAGCTAATAAGACAAGTAGAAAATATTAGATTATAATCCTAGGCTTTTAAGAGCTGTATACTTCATAAAACCAGTATATATGTTTAAAAAACACTTATAACTATGCTTTATTTCAGAGGCTCATAATCTTATAAGCCAATATTAATTTTATCAAGAAAGCAACAATAAACTATGTACTTTCTCTTCTTGAAAAAGCACAGAGGCTAAACATTGATTTAAACGTCTCAACACTGCCAAATCTCCCACGGATTATTCCCAAACCTCAAATCCTGACAACATCCTGTTTTACAGGGGTGACTGCTTTCCACATGGTGCAGTCTCAGAGAGACCACAGGGCTTTCCTTGGGGTTTAGGCTGGCCTTTCCTTGAACAGAGCAAAGCACTGTGGAGTGAATCACTACAGAAATCCTGCCATGACAGGTACTCTTGCTTCCTTTTTAAAGAGACAAATAGGAAAGCTAGATGGGAAAATGCCTGGCTGCTTTGTCCCTTGTCTGCACAGCCCCTCACTTTCCCACAACAGGTAGGCACAAGCATAGAATGCTGCTGCAGGCTGTAGACCTTGCCAAGAAGCTAAAACCCACTGGTTTCTACAGTTGTCCCAGGCAGACCCATTTTCTACTAATCCTGGCTCTGTGCCAGAGCCTAATTAAGTCACTGAGAATGCTGGATGGTTAACCCTCTCTGCACCCATCTACAATTATTTGCAAAGCACTTCGATATGCTTTCACTTTTCCCAAAGATATGTGTACCAGACTGTCTCAATGTATAGCAGTGTGAATGTGGGTGGGTGCATGCAGGTACCCCACAGGCTAGTACTTAATACCAGTGTATGTACTTACTGTAAAGAAAGAGAAGCTCAACTGTGAAGGCTAGCATTCAGGAAACCTTCCAAAATATATGTGTGGCTTAGTTTTATTAGTTAGGATTTAAAGAAAAGTGCAGAAGAATTCTACATTTTAATTATGCTTAATCTTAGGGAAATAATTTTCCATTAAAAGAAAAAGAAAACAAGTATTTAGATCACAATGTCTGTTGTGAATCCTTTTTACCACAGGAACAAAACATTATAGAGCTTTTGAAATTCCCAGAGCCGCTGCTGTTCATTAAAAAAAGAAAGCACCCTTTTAAGATTTAGGTGCTTTATCTTTTACAAAATGAAAAGATCAAACATAAAACCTTATTTGTAAGCAAGGCAATAGTGTCTCTGGGTTTCTTGCTAAGATCAACAGCAATGAGGATGAATGAGGGGAAGCAGTGACAATGGTCAAAATGGGTGAAAGGAAGCTCTCTGTTGAGGCCGGCCTTCCCTGATTTCAATCTTTAGACCCAAGGCCCATAACTCTGTTTAACTACTATATCCTGAATAAAAAGTTAATTCTACTCTAATGAGAGGCAAGTGAAGCTGAACGATGAGAGGAACACTGAGTAACCTAATTGAGCCCATATAATCTGATATCAGAGATCTCTACTTGAAGATAATTCAAGAATATCTAAATTGGAATTCAGGAGAAATGCAGGAAATTGATTAGTCAGGCTAATTATTTTCCCTTTTTGACAATAGGATATCCCAGTATACACAATACATAATTAAGTAATCTTTTCTCTTTCTCTATTCTTTAACAAGAGACCTGCTACAGATGTTCAGCTTCCAACTTCCTGTTAATATTGATGCAATTTTCTATGGACCAAAATGATAGGAATCATTTTTCAGCTACCCAAATGCCAAATTCATTTTATCCCAATAACTTTTCTCCATTCTTCTCATGCTTCAATTACTTGCACTTACAACTCCTATTACTTTATAGGAAAATAACACCAAAATTGAAAGGTTTTCTTAAAATTATCATGGATACACAGGAATATTTCTATTTAGTGAAGACAGAGTATTTCACACCTATGCACCACCACAATATGGCCAAAACAAAAGAGTGGCTTAATTAATTGCTGGCCAAGAGCCACGTTCTTTCCCAATCAGGGCTTCTGCAAGATGGCATATGGTTTGCTATTTCTTACAAATATGAAAAGCCTTTTGAAGTGATTACACTTAGTATCTGTCAAAATAATTCTGTATGTGAAACACCAGCACTGAAAAATGAAAGAAGGTATTATTTATGCAAGACGATTTCACTTTAAGTTTGAAAATAATTTTCATTTCTAAGGATTAAAATACTGACCAGCATGCCATTTGAGTAAATATTATTTTTATTCCACATACTGTTCCATGTAGAAGATGTCAAGTTTACTTAGGAACATTAATGTTAAATATTATTTTTTAAGTGGAACGAATATTTCTTCATTATTGGCCCACATTTTCTAAGGTAGAACATATTTAATACTTAATTTTTTATCTTATTTTCTGTATTAAATTCAATCACTGTGCCATCTTTTCAAAACTGCGCTTGTAGTGAGGATGGTTAAAAAAAAAAGGAGAAGGGTAACCTGAGTTCCCAGAGGGTAGTAGTTTTATATTATTCGTCGTTGTATTTCCAGTACCGAGGATACAAGAGGTGATCCTGAATGGCCATGCTTTGAATAACCACCAGAAGCTACAGGAGCCCAGTGCAACCACCCAAGCTTACTCTGAGAAGCACAAGGCAAGGGGGTATGAGCTAAGTAAGCCCTGCTTACAGGACTCTGGTTCAAAGGGCAGAATAATCCAGGCCAGTGGGCATCCTGAGTGCTTTCTCATCAAGGTCCCAGTGGGATTTGTAACCATCCACTTAGAAAGATAACGCCTCCAAACATTCAAGAGACAGAAAGTATCAAAAAATTAGAAAAATCTTTAGGTTACAAGGTCTTAAAACTTTTCGTCTATGTCCTACAACAGTTTCACTCCTGATATACTTCATAATACCACTAGTGACAGCAGGAATTAGAAAAAGTAATCCAATAGATTTTTATTTTAAAATTGTACCCTAATACCTAGCACAGAATCTACTAAGTTTTCAATAAATATTGTGAAATAATGAATTGCGGCAGTGAATGAAAATATGAAAGTAGGGTGCTCAAATGGTAAAGGGATTTTCACGGTTAGTTGGAACGCAATTCTAAACATGTTTTCTTTTACTAGTATAAAAGTGATTCTTCTCCACAGGACATTTAGAATGTGATGTACTGGGACTAATTTATTCAAATGTTTGCTCCTTAGATCACTGAAAGAAACTAGGAAGGATAGGCCTTATTAACATAATTGATAGCCATAAGCCTCAATTCACTCTGATGTACTTGCCATGCCTGGGGAACACAGACCTCTTGGAAACACTGTCCTGCATTGGAAGAGCATGGCAATGAAACACAATGGATAAAACCCGCAGGCAAGCAAGGAAAATTACGTTATGAGGGGTAGCCCTTTCAAAATGACTTAGTATGATGATGTGATTGTACAGGATAGAAATACAAAATTATCTTTACCTTACACTACTTAAAATCTAAAACTGAATCAAGATTATTCATGCTGGAGTCAAGGAAAAGCACCGTATTCTCAAAGAAAAACATATGCAAACATCTGTGGCAGAGGCTATTTTAAAGTATCCATCTTGTTGATCTTTTAGTCTTCTTAGCCTACTATGTATTTTCAGTTAAAAATCATTAAAGTCCACCATATATGAACCCAGACACAGGACAAAAACAACAACAACAAAAAACCACGTATTTTTTTCCATGGGGGCGGTAACCAGATGTCAATAGCTGCAGCTGTGACTATATAATTACCTGTTTGCATTAACATAGACCACAGTTTAGATTTAATAGGTTAGATGACAATGCAGCAAAATGCATTTAGCCTATGATTACCCCCTTTCCAAACATTCTCTCATTCGCAACTTCGACCCTGGGAACATAGCAGGCACAGACTTAGGTCAATAAGAAACACTGGCCAGTACAATAGGCCTTGCCTCAAACAGCACTGTTGACAGACACCAGCACAAAGGAAATGAATAGAGTCCCCCTCAGTTCTCACACAGAGCGAAGAATGACTCAGTGTACTGCTGCTTTGGTGCTCTGTTTGTACAGTGTATACAGCTTTTGTCCTCAGCCACTGTTCACAGCTCAGTGGGGGCTAAAGAGCCTAGGAAGTGAAGGCGGAAGAATGCTCCACACTCGTCCCTGTGGCCAGCAGTTGTATCCATATGCACATGACAGGTCAAGTGAGAACTGAAAGTCACTAGATGAAACTCTCCTACCAAGCTTACAGGAGTGAAGTAATTTCTGAGTTAAAATATAAAAAAGGTAAAATAGAAAAGTCACCATTAGTTTGATATTTATAGAGTTATTGACTGAATTATTGTTCTTTTGTTTTTCTCTTTTCTGTCATATTTCTCTTATGGCCACTTATACAACCTTTTTCAGAGGTTGGGCACAAAGAGAAATCAGGATTGGCTTAAAGTAGGGAACTTAAGTAATGTAGGCCATTACTCAACAGAGATTGCTGAAGTAGGGCCAGAAAGCAGGTGAGGCAATATCCAGGTCTGGAGTCTGAAGCATCAGCAAGGGTGGGCAGTGGCTTTGCTTGTTGTGTGTATATTAATATCATATTGTCCCAAGCACATACACATCTCTCTTTAGGCCCACTTCCCAAAGTAGTGGGGTATAACAATAAAGAGCCCAAGCCAGGGATAAAATAAAATTCTAACACAATTCAGCGGAGACTATAAACAGACAGATACTTCCACTGGCTTAAAATGGTTTGCTTGATACTGGCCAAAAAACCTAGTTAGAGCAAAGTACAAGCTCAATTGCTAAATGAAATGTCATTTCCCTAAGCCAGAAACATCTTGGCAGAATCACATCTGTATTTAAGCATATGTGTTTTGGAATTAGACTATGTTCAAATTCTGGTTCCACCAATTACTAGCTGTATGATCTTACATAACCCCTCCAGTGTCTTGATTTTTCTCATCTGCAAAAATGAAATGCTCGCCCATTTCTTTATTTAAAAAAAAAATAACTGAGATAATAATACTAGCACTTACTTCATTGGAGGCTGTGAAGGTAAAATAAGTGAATACATGGGAGGTGCCTAGAAGACCTGGCACCATGTGAGCATTCAATAAATGTTACCTATGAGTGTTAGCCCCAACACTCACACTATGACCACTGCCATGATTCTACTACTATTAATAACATCAGAACCATCACCAGCCCTACAGCGAAGGAAGTGCCATATTCATGACTACAAGAACATTCTTGCCAGATGATCAAGATCACTGTTCTTGAGTCTATGAAGATATCCTATTTACCCAGAGGCTGTTTTTAGTGGTCTCTAGTAAGTAGATGAATTCAAGCTTTATGGATGCTGTATATGTGACATAGCCATATATAATACACACACATGTATTAATATTAACATTTTTAAAAGGTAAGTAATTTGAAATTTCCCTCAAGTTTAAATCAATCTACAGCCTAATAATTATTCTTAGGGAGAAAAGACAATAACAAACATTAATTAACTGCTCACTATTTTAGGGGCCAGATATTCTTCTAAGTGATTTCTCTAAAGTACTATTATTTTTACAGGAAGGAAATTGAATGATAGTGTTAAGTAACTCACTTAAGATGACACTGTTAAATAAGCAAACCCAGGCAATTTGACTTCAGATCTTGTCATAAATATAACACTATACTGTCTCATTAATATTCCTGTGAAAGCATCTACCACAACTTGCTAAGTAGTACTATCCTTATTCTTATGCTTAGCAAAGGAAAGAAGTCACTGTCTTAGAAGATCTGGCATAGAATCAACCCATATATCCACAGTAGTCTCATAAATGATAATATATTAGGAATTATGATATGCTTAAGGTACGTCCTTTTATCCTTTTTGAATAGGCTGGGGCTGACTATATCTGGTTTAGTAGGAGTCAAAAAGTAAAATGCTTTAACTGCTTTCATAAATCCTCATCACTACACAGCTATAATTAGTTTCACGCTTATGAATTTTATCTTACATGTTAATTATATCTGCAATGATTCTGAGAATGCAAAGAAATTAATTAATGAAAAAATAACTGCTTTGAGAGTAGATGCTTTAAGCATATAAGTGATAACAGGAAGAAAAAAATGTCCATTGTTTTGATAACTTTCAGAATGTCTCTCTATGCTTAAGTCTTCCACAGTATCGGTCAATTAAATATCAATACCAAGCAAGAACAATGTCAGCTGATTAAGTAAAATTTTGTACTTCTTTAAAAGTTCATTTCATAAGGCTCTGATTTTATTCTTAAAAGTCTGAGCTTCTGAACATATGTAAGTATTCATGAATGATCCTGATTTTAAAAAAGAAAGGTAACAGACTTCCATATCTAGCAGTATGTTAGAATGACTAAATTGACCAAAGGTTCTCCTAAAAAGAAAGAAACATAATGGTTAAAATAACAAAAATATTTTCTTTAATTCTATTATTGAGTCAGCAGTTTAGGAATGATTATAGAAAGGCAGAAAAAAGAAAAGAGCTACAAATCAAAAAATAAACAGAACACTGAAGCTGGGTTTTGCAGAACTTGAGTGAGCTTGTTTTAACATTATAGATATATAAAGGGTCAATATATAATAAAAAGCAGAATAAAGTTGCCTAGAATATGAAAATTCTAAACTTGCATGAAAGTAGTAAAACAGCCTCAAAATATATAAAAGCAAAAATTAAAATAATTACTAGCAGCAAAGACAAATCCACCATCGTAATGATTTTATAAATGGTACATTTACACAAGTTGACCAAACACTGGTCAAAAAAGTAAGTTTTAACAAATTTGAAAAACTGGAGTCACTTTCTCTGCTCTCAATACAATTATGCTAGAAATCAATAATAATTCTCATTTCTTTGAAAATTTAAAAGGTATTTCTATGTAACTCATCAGTCAAAAAATAATGGAATCTAGAAAACGGTATGAAAAAGTACGTGAAAAATTGGCACAGTTTTTCACATGAACGATATAACAGCATGATATAATCTTAAAAAGCACTTTAATTCTTGTGAATTAATTTATTTAATTGCCTGTAGTTCGTCTGGCTTTAGTGCTTTTGTCATTCATAGAATACTCAATTAGCACAGTTCATAATCATGTATGCTATGTATAAAAAAGTGACCAGTATTTTTTCATGATAATAAACCTGTTCTATCTCACTTTATACTTATGAATAATCTTCTCTGGCCGGGCTATTCCAAGGTATAAATTGTTTGAGTCAGTTTGACATCTTAAAATTTTCCATCCTAAAAGTATTTATGATTCTTTGACCCCAATTCACATATCATTTTTTTAAACTGTTGAGTAACTGCATACACACATTTAAAAGCAATCTTGATTTGAGTAGTTCCTATCTAAGGTCAAACACTTCAAAAATTGTAGGCCTAGTATGGCTAACAACATATCCTAGTAGCATATCTTTTGACAACAGGCAAGAAAGAGAATGAGAGCAGGAAGTATTAGTGTATGGATATTGAGTCTTGGCTCCTAGAAACTGAGAAGTTAAAAGAAACACAGACAATGACATTCATTCACTCACTCACTCACTCTCCTCAGCTCTTTTCTCTCCACATGTCTGCATGCTTCTTCTTTCTTTGGATCAGCTTTCTCTGTTCTCTAGTCTGCATGGCATATAATATGGCTACTCAAAGCCCTGAAATTTACAAGTTAAAGCCCCAGACATGTTAAGAGACTAATTCTCTTTCTCCTGTTCCCAATTCCCAATTCCAGGGGACTTGGATTGGTTCCAGCTTTGTTCAGATGTCTGTTCTCGTCTAATCAGCTGTGGCTAGGTGGAAAAGGCCACATAGTTTCCCACTGACCACTGCTTGGGTAGCAAGGGGTAGTAAAAGGTTTTGTTGTGAGCAAGAAATGGCATAGGTGTATCAGCAAGCAACATGTGCTACGTGTGTGCAACGTGCTTTCTGATGGAATCCTAACACCACCCTATGCCTGTTAGACAGGTGTCAAGTTGAATAATCAAGATGGACGGCATTGCCTGGGGCTTTGTGTAGGGAAAGTGATACTATTTGGCACTGGACAAAGGTGTGGAGGGTAGATTTCCTCAAGTAGCAAAAGACTGTACAGCAAAGAGACGTGTGGCCAGCACTGCCCCAAGAAGCTGACGGGTCACATCTGAACAGAAGCTGCCAAGTATACAACTGATACATGCTATTAGTATATGTATATATACTATTAATATATGTGTATATATCATATAACTGATACATACTATTTACATTATCTTGAATGTACAGATTTAAATAATCAAAAGTGAGTATGGCAAAATAATGCATGATTAATCCACCCATTTGCTCAACCTATAAATTCTAGCATAACCCTTTCTCTTCCCTATCTCCTTCCTGCTTATTTACTTATCAATTCTTACTCCAAAATACCTTTTCAATTGGTTCCTTCCATTTCATCAACAATACCACGGTCTTAATTTGTCTTATTATATCTCTTTTCTAAATTTTTGCAATAGCCTCCTAAATGACTGCCCTGCCTCCAAATCTCCAATATATTTTGTACTAGCTTCAATTTCCATAATTTCTACTTTAAAGCAAGATCCTGTCCTTGTCACATCCCTGCTTATAAGTCTCTAGTAAGTTCGTCACAGGCTACAGCAGAGGTCCCAAACATAAGTGCACATCAGAACCACATAAATTTCTGGCCCTCATCCTAGATTTTCTCAATCAGAATCTCCTAGAATGGGGCTTAGAAATTTGTCTTTTTAACAAACTTCCCATTTGATTCTAGTAACCTGTCCAGCATCAATCTTTGTATCTGTGTTACAGAGCCACTGTTCTATAATATAAAGTCCAGACTCCCTGAATAGAACACAAGTCAATTCACAATCTGATTCCAACCATTTTCTAGTCTCAGCCCCTGCAACTTTCCCTTCTCAACCTTTCTCACAACACATTATGCCCTTTAAGACTGTCAGGTATCTATATATCTGCCTTCTTCTCCTCTCTCGCCTTAGGGAACTTCTACTCATTCTGGGACAGAGTGAGACTCTGTCTAAAAAAAAAAAAAAAGAATCAGTTCAATTGTCACCTACTCTGTGAAGCTTTCCTTGACTGCCTCTAGCATTTATTCATTCCCTCTTGATTACAGAGTTGAAGAGACAGTATAGTGTGGCCATTAAGAACACAGGTTCTGCAACTAGATTGCAAATGTTTGAATCTAGGCTCTGATAATTTCTAATAAGTCAGTGAGTAACATGTGTACTTGGACAAGTTAATTGGTCTCTGTGCCTTAGCTGCCTTCACTGAAAATGGGAATAATAACAGTGTGTGTCCAATATAAATTCTAAGGGTTAATGAGTTAATGTACAAAAAACAGTTGCTCAGACCCTAGCAAATGATCCTTAAATATTAGCTTCGTGTTTAAGAGTTATTCCTGTCCCTTAGACTATGAACAAGTCTATTATATTAAGCCAGTCAATTTAAGAGTTCCCCTTGTTAGTTGTGGTACCATAAATGAAGAAAAAAATAATAATTTAACAGAACTTATTTTCATCTCCTCAAAAGATGACTGAGGATAATGTACTAAACCTATTTAAGAAAAAAAGCCATTTATGTGAGAAGGGCTTAGGTTATCTTTTTAAGTCATTCACTTGATAGGAAGAAACAATTTGGAAATCTTAGACAACTATTTGAATTTCAATGAAGAAAGAAAATATTAAACATAGCTCTGGGCTATTAAAACTGTATAAAGAACTGAAAAATCTAGAAAGAAATCTCACAGAACAAAATTCCTGTTATTATAAAACCAAAATTTTAGCCAAAAATATATCTCAAGAAATCCTGTAGACTTTTAAAATGACTAGAAATAGAATAAAAACTTTTTATAAATCCTGCCTTTTATTACTAAAGTCATATCTGAAATGGAAAAGATGGGGTAACGGAAAAACCTGGTCATCTGTAACAAAAGAAAACAGAGGCTGACGCAGGAGGATTGCTTGAGCCCAGGAGTCTGAGACCAGCCTGGGCAAAATAGCAAAACCCCACTATAAATTTAAATTTATAAAATAAAAAAATAAATTAAAAATAATAAAGGAAAGCAAATTACGGTTATGTAAGGTAAGAAGTAAACAGGAAAACTAAATTGGTGCTCAGATATAAAGTGAGCATCTTCTGTAATTTTCCGTTTTTCTTATTTTGCTTTGGAAATATTAGCTATTGAAACAAAATATAGTGAAATCTGGTAACAGGAGTCAGCTCTTCTGCAGAACACATTTCTCCTTGGACGCATTCATTCACTCAAGTGTTTATTGAGCAACTAATATTATACATGCTTGGATATAGCAATAAACAAAAGAGTCATTCAAGTGTGATGCCATTCCTACAGTACTTATCATGTGAACAACATCGATATTCCAACAAGTTCCATGATACTTTGTATACCTTTTATACTGACATAAGGTGCATATGGCTCCACCTGCAAATTATCACCATTAGTGACTCCAGAAGAGTAAATCTATTTTGCTTCCATAGCATCTGACCTCCAGATCACGGGTTTTTTTTACCTAGATTCAAGGATACCTAAAGGTTAATGGGTATATTGGGGGAAATCTGTGAACTCCTTAATACTGCATGCCTATACTGTATTCTCCAGGGCCCCAAGACCCCAAGAAGAATTTTTTTAAAAATCAGTGCTCTACATGTAGAAAATTCTCTAGCTATTTGAGCAATTCTGTCCTACTGAAAGGGCTGCTGCCATATACCAACACAGAGGATAGTTGGTAAACTCCTTACCTGACATTTTATAGGACAATGTTCAACAATTTTATCATCAAGAAGTTATGTTTTGCTCATCTAAATTCTGTCCTCTCCTGTTTTGAATACCAACAATCTAGTCAGTCTGTTAGACAAAGACTTCTTCCAAAAAAACTGTTTACAGAACTTGGGCTCCAGCAACTTTTGCAATATAATCCTTGTGCACTACTGAACCACAGAAAAATAACTCCTTAATTTGTGGTTGGAATAACCACTGCAGAACAACCTACAGTGGGTGGCATGAAACTATCACAATTATAAAGTAACCAAGCAAATAATATACTAGGTCTCAAAGAGATAAAATGTTATAAATCCAAAACATACATTGCTATAAATAAAGTCTGTGGTTATTTGCTGAGATGCTCTAACATTGCAGTAACAAGGGTTACTCTTAGCATGTTTTATAAAGAAATAACTAAAGCTATTTGACAGTAGACTCAGTGGCACCACATGTATTGTTTGGGCTAAGAAATTAGGTGAATTGCACTGTATAGTAACTTTGGAAAAATGCCGCCTTTAATATAAACAAACAATGGACTTTCCTTTAGAAGCCACGAGAAGGGAGAGGAGGACAGCAGGATTTGTACTACCAAATCAGCATGCCAGCAATTTGGGAAACCATTGAATAAGAGCAATCAGTGTGTCTAAATGCATATTTGTTGACAGCTGTAATCAGATCATTTCCTCAAAATTTAAATAATGGATTTTAGAGTTGGGAAGGCTCTTTAAGACCAACCAGACAATGGGGACTGAGGACTAAAAAGGGTGCATGACTTGCTCAAGTTCACCAAACAGAACAGAAAGAAAGAACTGAGTCTCTTGACTCCCTTATCAAGCTATCTTTCTTACACAGAAAGGTTTTTTTAATTAAAATATAATTCATGTGCTACAATTCACTAACTTAAATAAACAATTCAATGGCTTTTGGTATAGTCACTAAAAACAGCTGTGCATTCATCATCACAATTTTTTAACATTTGTATCACCCCCAAAAGAAACTCCCTTAGCTATCACTCCCTTAAATGTCCCCTACCCCACCCACTGCCTCCCATCTTCCCATCCCTAGGTCACCACTAATCCATCTTCTGTCTCTACATACTTGACTATTCTGCACATTTCATATCAAGGAATCATACAATATGTAGTCCTTTGTGACCAGCTTCTTTCACTGAGCATAATGTTTTCAAGATTCAGACATGTTGTATCACGTCTTAGTACTTCATTACCTTTTTTTCTTTTTTGAAATGAAGTTTTATTCTGCAACCCAGGCTGGAGTGCAGTGGTGCGATCTCAGCTCACTGAAACCTCTGTCTCATGGGTTCAAGCAATCCTCCTGCCTCAGCCTCCTAAGTAGCTGGAACTACAGGTGGGAGACACGCCACCACGTCTGGCTAATTTTTGTATTTTTAGTAGAGACGGGGTTTCACCATGTAAGCCAGGCTGGTCTTGAACTCCTGCCTCAGGATCTGCCCGCCTCAGCCTCCCAAAGTGCTGGGATTACCGGTGTGAGCCACTGTGCCCAGCCCCATTACTTTTTAATGGCTGAATAATATTCCACTGTATGGCAAGTTCCACATCTGCAATTTCCATACAGGCAAGTTCCACATCTGCAATTTCTACATCTGCAGATTCAGTCAACCACAAATAGAAAATATTCAGGAATAAAAGCCAATAAAAATATAACAAAATATAAATAAAATTATCTGCATAGAATTTATCTTATATTAGGTATTATCAATAATCTAGAGATGATTTCAAGTATACAGGAGAATGTGTGTAAGTATACCCAAGCACTATGCCATTTTATTAAAGGGACTTCAGCAACCATGGATTTTGGTGTCTGTGGGGTCCTGGAACTAATCCTCCCACAGGTACTGAGGATACCTATACCCCATTTTGTTTATCCATTCAGCAGTCGATGGACACTTGTATTGTTTCCACATTTTGGCTATCGTGACTAATGCTGCTATGAACATCTGTGTACAAGTTTTTGAGTCGACATCTGATTTCATTTCTCTTAGGTATATATGTAGGAATGGAATTGCTGCATCATATAGTAACTCTGTTTAACCACTTGGGGAACTGCCAAACTGTCTTTGAAAATGACTGCACCATTTTACATTCACACTCATCGAAAAGTTCCTGCTTTTAAAATCAAAACAATCAGATCACAAATTCCTTAGTTTCTGTTAACAGGTAACTGAAGAAAAAAACCCAAATATTGACACACGTTTTTTAAAAACCACATACTATCACTACACAAAACTCAGATTCAGAGTTCGAAACAGAGAAAGATAGCTTTAAATTGCTATTTTACAAAGGATTACAGTATAGTGAATATTTCCTTAATTGCTGAAATCATATCAAAATATCACACAAGGGCTATAGATAAATGTCAAACATTCAAAATATTGGGAGATCTTAAATATAAATTAAAAAGGAAAAATTGATTGAATGCTCTCAAAAACCAAATTAAAATCTATTGCCAGGTGATTTTTACATACTTTCAGTCATTGGAAGGAAAACAAACATTTTTAAGATACAAAATTGATAGGTATTCAACAGGGCAAAGTAAATGCAGTATACTGGTTTGGAACACAAAATGAAAGCTAGCCACTATAACCATACAACAAAGAGTTATCGTCCAAATGGGCTTATGATAAGCAATTTGGGGAACAACAACTTTATACACAATGCAGTCAACTGTACATTCTGGATGTCAAGGGGTTCTGCTTCCATTTACTGGATAAGCTTCATATATATACATTTAGAGTTGGACTCTCAACACAGTGAAAGAGAGAGAGAGAGAGTGTGTGTGTGTACATATATTTAGAGTTGGGATCTCACTGTGTTGCACAGGCTGGAGTGCAGTAGCTATTTACAGGTTTGATCATACCACACCATACCCTCAGCCACGAGCAGTGGTGTGTGCCTGAAGTCCTAGCTACTCAGGAGGCTGAGGTGGGAGAATCCCTTGAGCACAGCCTGGGCAACATATGAAGACACACCCCCATCTCCAAATAAATAAATAATGAAATTAAAAAGCCAGCACATTATAGCCTCAAATTCCTGGCCTCAACAGATCTTCCCACCTCAGTCTCCGGAGTAGCTACAACTACAGGCCTGCAACACCACGCCCAGCTAGGGTGTGCCTTCTACAAAGGAAGGTTGGGGCAACTAGTAAGTGTAAAGTCGAGATTAAAAGAAAATTTGGCCAAGTATCAGCAACTCCCATGGGTGTTTCTGCCACTCAGAGACTCTAGAACTTTGGAACAGCAGCAGGTAGACAAGTGGGTAAGAGGAAAGTGTGAATAGAAACAGAAAGAAAACGAGTTCTCACAGAAAAGGGCCAGGAATAAATTAATAAAAAAAAAAAAAAGAAAGAAAGAAAGTGAAGAATCTAAGCAGATACAAGTAGGTCGTGCATAGAAATCTAAACCTCTTATTTTATTATTTTTTAGAGATAAGGGTCTTGCTATGTTGCCCAGGCTGATCTCAAACTCCTGACCTCAAATGATCCTCGGCCTCACAAAGTGTTGGGATTACAGGCATGAGCCACTGCACCTGGCCTAGAAATCTGAATTTTTATCACATTTTCAGCACCAGCAAATTTGCCCTTTCTTTTCAGTGGTAGTTAAAATCTTCCAGAATTGTCTTTAGCTTTACTAATCTCCAGACAATGGTGGCTGATGAACTTTTTGACAGTACACCGAAGAAAGAACAGTTTATATCATAACTAGCACCCTCATAGAAATCTTTCTAAACATATACATATAAACAAACGAGGCCGGCGCGGTGGCTCACGCCTGTTATCCCAGAACTTTGGGAGGCCGAGGTGGATGGATCACGAGGTCAGGAGATCAAGACCATCCTGGCTAACACGGTGACCCCTTGTCTCTACTAAAAATACAAAAAATTAGCCAGGCGTGGTGGTGGGCGCCTGTAGTCCCAGCTACTCGGGAGGCTGAGGCAAGGAGAATGGCGTGAACCCGAGAGGCAGAGCTTGCAGTGAGCCGAGATTTCGCCACTATATTCCAGCCTGGGCGACAGAGCGAGACTCTGTCTCAAAAACAAAACAAAACAAAACAAAATAAAAAAACAAAAAAAAAACAAATGAAATGTTCCCCAAAAGCACTAGTCTTGCTATTTTGGTACAGCCTAGTATTTTCTATTCTATTTCATATTTTTAAAAAAAGCTGAAAATGGCCCAATAAATTATGATGTGCAGTTTTTCAAGGATAAAGCTCATAGGAAATGATGATAATATAATCAACCATGACTAACTTCAGATACGGGCAGGCAATGACAAACTACATCCTAAGTGTCACCTGGCCAATAGTAATTTCAAAGAGGTAGGGCAGGCTAAAATACAAAAAAAAGTTTGTCTCATAGTCAACAAAATTAGGTAATAAAAGCTCAATAAATGAATATTAGTTCACAAATATTACATTTTTTATTATTATTACGGAGGGCAGTAGGAATCCTGACTTAATTCTAAAATAAATTTCAAGTAATTTCAAATAAATAAGGCTAGGCACAGTAGCTCACACGTATAATCCCAGCACTTTGGGAGGTCAAGACAAGAGGACTGGCTGAGCCCAGGATTTCAACATCAGCCTGGGAAACATAGTGAGACAACCCCCACCCCATCTCTACAGAAAAATGTACAAAAATTAGCCAGGTGTGGTGGCATGCACCTGTAGTCCCAGCTACTTGAAGGGCTGAGGTGGGAGAATCACTTGAGCTTGGGAGGTTGAGGCTGCAGTGAGCTGTGGTCATGCTACTGCACTCCAGCCTGGGCAACAGAGCAAGACCCTGCCTTGGAAAAGATAATTAATTAATTAACACTGAAATATACAACTATAAAATACTAGAGAGAAACACAGACCACTACTTTTACAAAGGCAAAAGCCTTTGTAAGTATGTAAGTATGGTACCCAAACCAGAAATTATAAAAGAAAAAGGCAAATGAATTACATAATACAAAAATTTTGTATGGCAAAGTAATCAACAACAAACTGGAGTAAATTTTTTTTAACAGTTACAACAAAGAGTATAAACTAACAAGAAAGTGATAAATACAAAAGACTAATGAGCAACCAGAACAGGCCAATGACTCTGGAGTACAAAATTCATTTAAGAATTAAATAAACGGCCAAACGTTCAACATTGCTAGTCATCAAAAGTGCAAATTAAATCAATAATGTAATAACTTTTGCTTATTAGATTGGCAAGATGAAAAAAAAACACCTAGTGTTGGAGAGAGACAGTTACTTTGGAAATTTGAGAATGTGTATAAATCTTTAAAGAATGTACAACCAACCTATCCAGTTCCTCCACTCTAAATAATTTATTATAAGGAAATAATCAGATAGTTATACCAAAATCTATATACAGATAAAAATAATAAAAACTGAAAACAACATCAATATATATTAACAGGGAATTAGTTAAAGAAGTTGTAGTAGTAAAATGCTATGCAGTCTTTAACAATTTTGTTTATGACATAGTTAGCTGGCCCTGACATATGTTTATTTGGGAAGGCGGGGGAAGACCTACTTATGAGGCAGTATGCAAAAATACTGGCAGATTTCTGTTGTTGTTAAGAATCTTTTTTTTTTTTTTCCAGACCAAGTTTTGCTATTGTTGTCCAGGCTGGAGTGCAATGGCGCAATCTCAGCTCACTGCAACCTCTGCCTCCCGGGTTCAAGCAATTCTCCTGTCTCAGCCTCCCAAGTAGCTGGGATTACAGGCATGTGCCACCAAGCCCAGCTAATTTTGTATTTTTAGTAGAGACAGGGTTTCTCC
Source organism: Homo sapiens (assembly GCF_000001405.40). Taxonomy (NCBI): domain Eukaryota; kingdom Metazoa; phylum Chordata; class Mammalia; order Primates; family Hominidae; genus Homo; species Homo sapiens. The sequence continues at coordinate 79,976,283 of NC_000008.11, forward strand.
ATGTTGATCAGGCTGGTCTCAAACTCCTGACCTCAGGTGATCTGCCTGCCTCGGCCTCCCAAAGTGCTGGGATTACAGGCGTGAGCCACCGCACCCGGCCTTGTTAAGAACCTTTTTTAAAACATATATATAAAAATGCTGGCTGAGTTCCATGGCTCATGCCCATAATCCCAGCACATTGAGAGGCCAAGGTAGACGGATCTCTTAAGTCCAAGAGTTCAAGACCAGTCTGGGCAACATGGCGAAACCCTAGCTCTACTAAAAATACAAAAAATTAGCTGGGCATGGTGTCATGCACCTGTAGCCCCAACTACACGGGAGGCTGAGGTGGGAGGATTGCTTCAACCAGGGAGGTGATGGTTGCAATGAGCTGAGATCGCGCCACTGCACTCCAGTCTGGGCAACAGAGTGAGACTCTGTCTCAAAACAAAAGGAAAAGAAAAGAAAAACAAAAAGAAAATGTTTCACTTGGTGATAATTGTTTTTTTCCTTCATTTGAATTTGTATTTTGCAATCAGCTTAAATTACTTTTAAAATAAAATGATATTTTTCAAATAAAAAGATGAACAATCTTAATGCTCAATCTGTTTACATAAACCTGAAAAATATTAATAACCTTTAAGCCTACTTGCTCCACTTAATCTTTCCTCAGGAAATAATCCTAGAAGTCTTAACCACAGAGATGTTCCAGACTGTGTCATTTGTAAGAGTGAAAAAGTAGTAACAACCTACCTAATAAACAGGAATGCCTGAAGAAATTATGATATATTCAATGATATATAGTGCATCCTTCATAATGAAAAAAATGCTACACAATAAACTTCAGTGAGAAGCTCAATATTCAAAATTATAGAGAGTATGATTAAAACCATATTATGTACAAACAAAACAGAAATCTGTAGCTGAAAAGATTGGAGGCAAATGTACTAAAATGAGTGGTGGAGCTCATTAAATACTCATTTAAATGAGTATTTTAAAATTTAAATACTTAGAGAATTTCCCACAGCTTCTTTATGAAAATGCATTAGTTTTACAAATTGAAACCAAAAAATAATAATAACAGAAATATCGACATAAATCCAATTTTACTAATTTGGCTTGATCACTGAAAAATATCAACTTTGACAGCTCAGTGATCAATACATAGAATAAACAAATGATTTAAAGCTTTAATCTAAAATGAAGAGACCAACAGAATTAATTAAGTTTCCTTTGATCAATAAATTATTTTTATAATAAACAAAAGAATACAGGCGAAGCACAGTGGCTGTCACCTGCAATCCCAGCACTTTGGGAGGCCAAGGTAGGCAGATCACTTGAGACCAGGAGTTCGAGACCTGCCTGGCCAACATGGCGAAATCCCATCTCTACAAAAAATACAAAAATTAGCCAGGTGTGGTGGTGGATGCCTACAGTTCCAACTACTTGGGGGACTGAGGTGGGAGGATTGCTTGAACCCGGGAGGCGGAGGTTGTGGTGAGCTGAGATTGCAGCACTATACTACAGCCTGGGTGACAGAGTGAGACTGTCTCAAATAATAATAATAATAATAATAATACATAAAGATATATGTATAGGAAGAAACACTTGCATAAATAGAATTTTAATGTAAAAACACCATATTTTATATTTATGATATATAAATACTTCTTTTTCCTATTTCCCTTTTTCTTACAAAAAATGCAACTAGAACTATTTGCTTGGTTAATTATCCAATTTAAAAAAATAAATATGAAAATAGAAATGTAGACAGATCACATCATAATGTAATTAGTTAAAAAGACATGCTTTGGAATTCAGATTAGGAAAGACAATATAAGAACAGTCCATCTATTTATTAGAGACTGACAGCTTATGGTTGACAATGGTGTGGCTGAATTTAAGTGAACTTAATTAAATATTACTTGATAATACTTAACAGTAAAGTGATAGGGTGAAACAAATTGCAAAGTGTGGGCTAAGGTGAACTAGGCTTATACTTAATGTTTTTTAATTCTTTTACAAAAGATTATTGCAACAAAAAGATGTTAAAATTTTTAGAAAGTGACAGTTGTATTTTTTTTTTCCCTGATAAACATGTAATCTAAGTAGTTTAAAACAACTAGGAAGATAAGAATCTGTCCGAAGTGACAGACTGATCAGGATTTCATCTTCACCATGCATTGTGGATCAGATCAGGCTTCAATACAAAACTCTACTGTGTACTAGCTCACGACTTTGCATATATTTCATACCTTCTCTAGGTCTCAGTTTCCTTGTCTAAAAACTGTGGATAATGTTTCCTAACTTAGAGCATTACTATATTTATCCTTGAAAAAAGACAGGATATAAGAGTAAGCTATGGTTATATTTTTGACAATTGAAAAGAGAATTTGGATTATGATCTTAATTTTACCCACTCTTCACTCCACCCCCATCTCTACAAAAACAAAACAAAATAAATAAATAAATACGCAGTTTCCAAGAATTGTGACATAATTTTATTTTCCAGAAAATGAAATCAGTGGATAACCACCCCTTAGGAAATGAGCATAGAACAAACTCATTTTACATGAGTTAAAATGTAGTAATCAGAATGGAAAGAGGCAAGAACATATTACTTTAATGATGTATTTTTTTTCACTATTGAAAGTTGAAAAGTGTTATCAGAAATTCTCTGAAACAAACATATCTTAGTAGTCATTTCTAATATAAAATACATTCAGTCACTAATTTTTTGTGTTGTTTTGTATCTTTAGTTGAAGACAGGAACACATAACCTATACTTTCAAAATACAGCCAGCCTAAAAAGGTAAATAAAATTTTTTATTTTGAAAAGGGAAAAATTTCAAGAAAAAAACTGTACCTATCTGTAGATGCTGGATAATGTTCATTCAAATCTTTATAATACGGGAGCCTTTATTCTTTGAGAGGCAGAACTGGAGAATTAGGACTTTGGAGGAAGAGACATCTGAGTTAGAATTCCAGCTTTGCCACTTAATAGTGGTGGGAGCTCAGGCACAGCAGCAGAACCCACTGGCTAGGTGACACAAGAGTTATATTCCCAGTCTCCTTCTCACCTGAAGCAGCCACAATGAAAAAGTTAAACACTGATTTTCAGAGCCTTCCCTGCAGTTAGGGAGAAGCTAGATATGTTGTATAGGTCTGACCAATTAAATGAAAACTGAAGTCTGGCAGCTTTTGTTTTCCTGGTAAAAGGGACAAAAAAATAAAAAATAAATTTTAAAAGAAATTTTTTTACTTATTTATTTCTTCTTGTGAGACAGGGTCTTACTCTGTCACCCAGGCTGAAGTGCAGTGGCACAAACACAGCTCACTCCAGCTGCAACCTTCCGGGCTCAAGAAATCCTCCTGCCTCAGCCTCCCAAAATGCTGGGATTACAGGTGTGAGCCACTGCACTCATCCCAGGTCTGCTTTTTAACTACCCTTATGAAAACTACCTGCCCTCCCCAATCTCTTCCTTCCCATTCTCTTCCTCCCTTAAACACAGACATGTGGTCTGTAGAATCAGCAGCCTTACTGTACCATGCATGACTCAAGAAGCCCCAAGCCTCATGTTGATGTTAAAGCATAAAGCATTGTCAAGCTGCTAAAACAACCCCAGTAGCCACTAACATTCAGGATTCTCACGCAAAAAAAAAAAAAAAAAAAAAAAAAAAAGTCTCTATCTTTTTAAGCCACAAGTAGACAAGTTTTCTGCTATTTGCAATTGACACAAGTCTAAATGATTTGGAAAGTCACAAATTCTGAGAATCACCTTCCTCATCTATTAAATAAGGGTGATGCTAGTAAGACGTATGTAAAGCATAGTATCTGTCTGACACATAGAAAAGGTTCAATAATGCCAGCTGTTGTGATAATGATGACAACTTTAATTCTCACACCAACCAGTACTTTGATAGCACTTTGGGGGTAAGTACTATCTTCAACCACTTTAAAGACAAGAAAATTAAGGCTCCAAAGTTAAGCAACTTGCCTAAGATCACACAATTAGTTAGGAGTAGAGCCAGGATTCAAATCCAGAAATCTTTCCAAGGCCATGATCTTAACTAGTATTATGCTTAGAAAAGTGACTGAGTACAATTAAGACTTAACAGCTAATAAATGTTGGCTATAATGATTATGACAACATAGCCAACTATGAAGACAAGAACAGGCAGAAAATGCCCTATAGTTTTCAAATCTAGAAAACAATAAATTCTCATTTAATTTGACATTGATTTTGTTTGACATTGATTTTATTTTTCTTAAAATTGAAATGGCTCTCATTTCTTCACTAAAACAGGTTACTACAGCCTCTTCACTGGAGGTTAACTTCATCCCTTTGTAACACCAAAGGAACTAAGAACAGTATATTCAACCAATAATTGAAACACCCTACCAATAGGTAAATGACTTGGTGACTCTTGTCCATCAAAAAAGTAAGCAATGAGTATTTATTGTGAACTTATACTCTGCAAGGCACTATGCCGGACATTTAAAAATTATTTTCTCCAAAATATGCAGCACATGTTGATTTTCTTAAAGTGACTTAAGATTCCTTTGGAGGGAAAATTTAATAACAATTTAAAACATTAGGAAGATGCTGCTGCTGCTACCAGTCATCAACACCATCGTCACCATCACTACCATTACTATTAATAATAGAATTCATATCACAAATCAACATATGCTAAACTTTACTTTTGGAATGCTTTGCTTCAAACTTCAGATGTCCTCTTCAGTGAAATAAATGAAACAAAGAGCTTTAAAAATTCATGCTGGGTCGGGCGCAGTGGCTCACACCTGTAAACCCAGCACTCTGGGAGGCCGAAGCTGGCAGATTGCTTGAGTTCAGGAGTTCAAGATGAGCCTGGGCAATGTGGTGAAACTCTGTCTCAACAAAAAAATACAAAAATTTGCTGGGCATGGTGGCATGCACCTGTAGTCCCAGCTACTTGCAGGGCTGAGGTGGGTGAATCGCTTGAACCCAGGAGGTGGAGGTTGTGGTGAGCTGTGATCACTGCACTCCAGCCTGGGCAACACAGCGACACCCTGTCTTAAAAAACAAAAACAAAAACATGCTGAAGACACAGTATTTAAAAAACAAGCTAAATTCAAAATTAAAGTTTCTAAATAAATTACGTTCAGGAAACAGGCAAACTAAAATATTTGCAATTGCAGTTAGGAAAGATATTTAGTTTCTCAAATAGATTTTGAGATTTAAAGAGTTTGTGTTTAGCTGTTAACTTTCAAACTAATATGATGTATTATCATTCTAGTAAATAAAAAAAGTAAAATAAAAACTGAAACAGAATGGTAAGTAAAATAGAAGTTTTGAGGTAAGACTAACTCTAGTAAAAATGCTGAGTCTGAAAATATGTACGTTTACAGCAATATATTTTGGAAGCCGAGTAACTTAAAATCGTATCTTCCACACTGAAAGAGGTATAGCATAACAAAGAGTTGACACTACTATAAGTAGATATAAAAGAAATGCTTTCAAGGAAATCACATCAAGGAAGGATTGGTTTGCTTAATAAATTCAAAAATGACAGAGAGTAGCATAAAATCCACATGAACATTATAATATGCTCAATCAGTTCTAATTAAGGATTTAATTATACCTATTTGATATCTAATTTGCATTTTTCTAAAGGAACACGAAGTATTCTATTTTAGGTCCAAAGTTAAGGCTCTGGGCAGGGTGCAGTGGCTCATGCCTGTAATCCCAGCACTTTGGGGGGGCCAAGGCAGGTGGATCACTTGAGGTCAGAAATTCAAGACCCGCCTGGCCAACATGGTGAAACCCCATCTCTACTAAAAGTACAAAAATTAGGTGAGCATGGTGGCGGATGCCTGTAATCCCAGCTACTCAGGAAGCTGAGGCAGGAGAATTGCTTGAACCCAGGAGGCAGAGGTTGCAGTGAGTCAAGATCGCACCACTGCATTCCAGCCTGGGCAACTGAGTGAGACTCCATCTCAAAAAAGAAAAGAAAAGAAAAGAAAGAGATGGTGGAGCCAAGATGGCCAAATAGGAACAGATCCGGTCTACAGCTCCCAGCATGAGCGACGCAGAAGACGGGTGATTTCTGCATTTCCATCTGAGGTACTGGGTTCATCTCACTGGGGAGTGCCAGACAGTGGGCGCAGGACAGTGGTTGCAGCGCACCGTGCGTGAGCCGAAGCAGGGCGAGGCATTGCCTCACTCGGGAAGCACAAGGGGTCAGGGAGTTCCCTTTCCTAGTCAAAGAAGGGGGTGACAGACAGCACCTGGAAAATGGGGTCACTCCCACCCTAATACTGCGCTTTTCCGACGGTCTTAAAAAACGGCGCACCAGGAGATTATATCCTGCACCTGGCTCGGAGGGTCCTATACCCACGGAGTCTCGCTGATTGCTAGCACAGCAGTCTGAGATCAAACTGCAAGGCGGCAGCGAGGCTGAGGGACGGGCACCCGCCATTGCCCAGGCTTGCTTAGGTAAACAAAGCAGCCGGGAAGCTCGAACTGGGTGGAGCCCAACACAGCTCAAGGAGGCCTTCCTGCCTTTGTAGGCTCCACCTCTGGGGGCAGGGCACAGACAAACAAAAAGACAGCAGTAACCTCTGCAGACTTAAATGTCCCTGTCTGACAGCTTTGAAGAGAGCAGTGGTTCTCCCAGCACACAGCTGGAGATCTGAGAACAGGCAGACTGCCTCCTCAAGTGGGTCCCTGACGCCTGACCCCCGACCCCCGAGCAGCCTAACTGGGAGGCACCCCCCAGTAGGGGCAGACTGACACCTCACACGGCCAGGTACTCCTCTGAGACAAAACTTTCAGAGGAACGATCAGACAGCAGCATTCACGGTTCAAGAAAATCCACTGTTCTGCAGCCACCGCTGCTGGTACCCAGGCAAACAGGGTCTGGAGTGGACCTCTAGCAAACTCCAACAGACCTGCAGCTGAGTGTCCTGCCTGTTAGAAGGAAAACTAACAAACAGAAAGGACATCCACACCAAAAACCCATCTGTACATCACCATCATCAAAGACCAAAAGTAGATAAAACCACAAAGATGGGGAAAAAACAGAGCAGAAAAACTGGAAACTCTAAAAAGCAGAGCGCCTCTCCTCCTCCAAAGGAACGCAGCTCCTCACCAGCAACGGAACAAAGCTGGACGGAGAATGACTTTGACGAGTTGAGAGAAGAAGGCTTCAGACGATCAAACTACTCCGAGCTACAGGAGGAAACCCAAACCAAAGGCAAAGAAGTTGAAAACTTTGAAAAAAATTTAGACGAATGTATAACTAGAATAACCAATACAGAGAAGTGCTTAAAGGAGCTGACAGAGCTGAAAGCCAAGGCTCGAGAACTACGTGAAGAATGCAGAAGCCTCAGGAGCTGATGCGATCAACTGGAAGAAAGGGTATCAGTGATGGAAGATGAAATGAATGAAATGAAGTGAGAAGGGAAGTTTAGAGAAAAAAGAATAAAGAGAAACGAACAAAGCCTCCAAGAAATATGGGACTATGTGAAAAGACCAAATCTATGTCTGATTGGTGTACCTGAAAGTGACGGGGAGAATGGAACCAAGTTGGAAAACACTCTGCAGGATATTATTCAGGAGAACTTCCCCAATCTAGCAAGGCAGGCCAACATTCAGATTCAGGAAATACAGAAAACGCCACAAAGATACTCCTCGAGAAGAGCAACTCCAAGACACATAATTGTCAGATTCACCAAAGTTGAAATGAAGGAAAAAATGTTAAGGGCAGCCAGACAGAAAGGTCGGGTTACCCACAAAGGGAAGGCCATCAGACTAACAGCGGATCTCTTGGCAGAAACTATACAAGCCAGAAGAGAGTGGGGGCCAATATTCAACATTCTTAAAGAAAAGAATTTTCAACCCAGAAGTTCATATCCAGCCAAACTAAGCTTCATAAGTGAAGGACAAATAAAATCCTTTACAGACTAGCAAATGCTGAGAGATTTTGTCACCACCAGGCCTGCCCTAAAAGAGCTCCTGAAGGAAGCACTAAACATGGAAAGGAACAACCAGTACTAGCTACTGCATAATCATGCCAAATTGTAAAGACCATCGAGGCTAGGAAGAAACTGCATCAACTAACGAGCAAAACAACCAGCTAACATCATAATGACAGGATCAAATTCACACAAAACAATATTAACCTTAAATGTAAATGGACTAAATGCTCCAATTAAAAGACACAGACTGGCAAATTGGATAAAGAGTCAAGACCCATCAGTGCGCTGTATTCAGGAGACCCATCTCATGTGCACAGACACACATAGGCTCAAAATAAAGGGATGGAGGAAGATCTACCAAGCAAATGGAAAACAAAAAAAGGCAGGGGTTGCAATCCTAGTCTCTGATAAAACAGACTTTAAACCAACAAAGATCAAAAGAGACAAAGAAGGCCATTACATAATGGTAAAGGGATCAATTCAACAAGAAGAGCTAACTATCCTAAATATATGTGCACCCAATACAGGAGCACCCAGATTCATAAAGCAAGTCCTGAGTGACCTACAAAGAGACTTAGACTCCCACTCAATAATAATGGGAGACTTTAACACCCCACAGTCAACATTAGACAGATCAATGAGACAGAAAGTTAATAAGGATACCCAGGAATTGAACTCAGCTTTGCACCACGCGGACCTAATACACATCTACAGAATTCTCCACCCCAAATCAACAGAATATACATTTTTTTCAGCACCACACCACACCTATTCCAAAATTGACCACATAGTTGGAAGTAAAGCTCTCCTCAGCAAATGTAAAAGATCAGAAATTATAACAAACTGTCTCTCAGACCACAGTGCAATCAAACTACAACTCAGGATTAGGAAACTCACTCAAAACCGCTCAACTACATGGAAACTGAACAACCTGCTCCTGAATGACTACTGGGTACATAACGAAATGAAGGCAGAAATAAAGATGTTCTTTGAAACCAACAAGAACAAAGACACAACATACCGGAATCTCTGGGACACAGTCAAATCAGTGTGTAGAGGGAAATTTATAGCACTAAATGCCCACAAGAGAAAGCAGGAAAGATCCAAAATGGACACCCTAACATCACAATTAGAAGAACTAAAAAAGCAAGAGCAAACACATTCAAAAGCTAGCAGAAGGCAAGAAATAACTAAAATCAGAGCAGAACTGAAGGAAATAGAGACACAAAAAACCCTTCAAAAAATTAATGAATCCAGGAGCTGGTTTTTTGAAAGGATCAACAAAATTGATAGACCGCTAGCAAGGCTAATAAAGAAGAAAAGAGAGAAGAATCACATAGACGCAATAAAAAATGATAAAGGGGATATCACCACCGATCCCACAGAAATACAAACTAACATCAGAGAATACTATAAACACCTCTACGCAAATAAACTAGAAAATCTAGAAGAAATGGATAAATTCCTCGACACATACAACCTCCCAAGACTAAACCAGGAAGAAGTTGACTCTCTGAATAGACCAATAACAGGCTCTGAAATTGTGGCAATAATCAATAGCTTACCAACCAAAAAGAGTCCAGGACCAGATGGATTCACAGCCGAATTCTACCAGAGGTACAAGGAGGAACTGGTACCATTCCTTCTGAAACTATTCCAATCAATAGAAAAAGAGGGAATCCTCCCTAACTCATTTTATGAGGCCAGCATCATCCTGATACCAAAGCCTGGCAGAGACACAACCAAAAAAGAGAATTTTAGACTAATATCCTTGATGAACATTGATGCAAAAATCCTCAATAAAATACTGGGAAACTGAATCCAGTAGCACATCAAAAAGCTTATCTGCCATGATCAAGTAGGCTTCATTCCTGGGATGCAAGGCTGGTTCAATATACTCAAATCAATAAATGTAATCCAGCATATAAACAGAACCAAAGACAAAAACCACTTGATTATCTCAATAGATGCAGAAAAGGCCTTTGACAAAAATCAACAACCCTTCATGCTAAAAACTCAATAAATTAGGTATTGATGGGATGTATCTCAAAATAATAAGAGCTATCTATGAAAAACCCACAGTCAATATCATACTGAATGGGCAAAAACTGGAAGCATTCCCTTTGAAAACTGGCACAAGGCAGGGATGCCCTCTCTCACCACTCCTATTCAACATAGTGTTGGAAGTTCTGGCCAGGGCAATTAGGCAGGAGAAGGAAATAAAGGGTATTCAATTAGGAAAAGAGGAAGTCAACTTGTCCCTGTTTGCAGATGACATGATTGTATATCTAGAAAACCCCGTTGTCTCAGCCCAAAATCTCCTTAAGCTGATAAGAAACTTCAGCAAAGTCTCAGGATACAAAATCAATGTGCAAAAATCACAAGCATTCTTATACACCAATAACAGACAAACAGAGAGCCAAATCATGAGTGAACTCCCATTCACAATTGCTTCAAAGAGAATAAAATACCTAGGAATCCAACTTACAAGGGATGTGAAGGACCTCTTCAAGGAGAACTACAAACCACTGCTCAACGAAATAAAAGAGGATACAAACAAATGGAAGAACATTCCATGCTCATGGGTAGGAAGAATCAATATCATGAAAATGGCCATACTGCCCAAGGTAATTTATAGATTCAATGCCATCCCCATCAAGCTACCGATGACTTTCTTCACAGAATTGGAAAAAACTACTTTCAAGCTCATATGGAACCAAAAAAGAGCCCACATCGCCAAGTCAATCCTGAGCCAAAAGAACAAAGCTGGAGGCATCACGCTACCTGACTTCAAACTATACTACAAGGCTACAGTAACCAAAACAGCATGGTACTGGTACCAAAACAGAGATATAGATCAATGGAACAGAACAGAGCCCTCAGAAATAACGCCGCATAGCTACAACTATCTGATCTTTGACAAACCTGACAAAAACAAGCAATGGGGAAAGGATTCCCTATTTAATAAATGGTGTTGGGAAAACTGGCTAGCCATATGTAGAAAGCTGAAACTGGATCCCTTCCTTACACCTTATACAAAAATCAATTCAAGATGGATTAAAGACTTAAATGTTAGACCTAAAACCATAAAAACCCTAGAAGAAAACCTAGGCATTACCATTCAGGACATAGGCATGGAAAAGGACTTCATGTCTAAAACACCAAAAGCAATGGCAACAAAAGCCAAAATTGACAAATGGGATCTAATTAAACTAAAGAGCTTCTGCACAGCAAAAGAAACTACCATCAGAGTGAACAGGCAACCTACAGAATGGGAGAAAATTTTCACAACCTACTCATCTGACAAAGGGCTAATATCCAGAATCTACAATGAACTCAAACAAATTTACAAGAAAAAATCAAACAACCCCATCAAAAAGTGGGCAAAGGACATGAACAGACACTTCTCAAAGGAAGACATTTATGCAGCCAAAAAACACATGAAAAAATGCTCACCATCACTGGCCATCAGAGAAATGCTAATCAAAACCACAATGAGATACCATCTCACACGAGTTAGAATGGCAATCATTAAAAAGTCAGGAAACAACAGGTGCTGGAGAGGATGTGGAGAAATAGGAACACTTTTACACGGTTGGTGGGACACTAGTTTAACCATTGTGGAAGTCAGTGTGGCGATTCCTCAGGGATCTAGAACTAGAAGTACCATTTGACCCAGCCATCCCATTACTGGGTATATACCCAAAGGACTATAAATCATGCTGCTATAAAGACACATGCACATGTATGTTTACTGCGGCTCTATTCACAATAGCAACGACTTGGAACCAACCCAAATGTCCAACAATGATAGACTGAATTAAGAAAATGTGGCACATATACACCATGGAATACTATGCAGCCATAAAAAATGATGAGTTCATGTCCTTTGTAGGGACATGGATGAAACTGGAAATCATCATTCTCAGTAAACTATCGCAAGAACAAAAAACCAAACACCGCATATTCTCACTCATAGGTGGGAATTGAACAATGAGAACACATGGACACAGGAAGGGGAACATCACACTCTGGGGACTATCGTGGGGTGGGGGGAGGGGGGAGGGATAGCTTTAGGAGATATACCTAATGCTAAATGACAAGTTAATGGGTGCAGCACACCAGCATGGCACGTGTATATGTATGTAACTAACCTGCACATTGTGCACATGTACCCTAAAACTTAAAGTATAATAATAATAAAATAAAATAAATAAAAATAAAAAAATTAAAAAAAGAAAGAAACCTAACTGTGATATATTTATGGAAAAATATTTTATTAAAAATTAAAACAAGGTAAGAACAAAGCATCATGTTTTCAAGTATAGGACAATGTTGAACCTAAATAATTCCTAATATATTCAATAAAAGAAAAATGGATATGTATAAATGGAGACATAAAAAACACAAATGTCATTTATAGACACATAAAAGTATTCTTTAATTATTATAGTGCTGTGATTTTTAAAACAGACAGCTCCAAAATAAGCCTTTTTGAACAATTCTGTTCATCAGACTCCTGGGTAAATGAATTTCTACTGTACACACTGACAGATACAGGGTTAGAACCTAGATCTCTTGCCCTCCACTCCTATGTTCTTCCTGTTACTTGTCTTGCTTGACTTCCTTGCACATGCCAAAAACTACTGTATCTGCTTCCTGCCATTTTTACCCTCTAAAATTGTATAAAGCACTTCCTAGAAGAATATAGAAAAAGAACAGAGAAGTAGAAGGAGAATCAAGAAAATAAAGGTATGTGACAATTTCTGAGAAGGGAATAGCCAATATTATTGAATAATACAAAGCAGTTAAGCAGAAACTAGTGGGCAGGTAACCAGATGTCCCTGATGAGTTTAAGAGGGTGCTTTCAACAAGTATAATGGTGAGGGCAGAGCCTGGTGGGCTGAACTGATGAATGAACGGTAATTTGGGAATGGGAAAAGTACAATAGTTTTAAGGGGAAACATGCTAAAATGTTTGCAATCTTACCAAACTATCTAGAAAAAATGATATAGAAAAAATTTAAGGTAAGAAATAGGAAATCCAGGGAGTATTAGCTTGAATCAGTTGAAATTTCAGATACTCAACTATTTTGACGTTAAAAGCTGCAATTTTATACGGTTTAAACTAAGGTACAAACTTGATTTCAAGAAAGGAGATAAGGTTATCTTCTAAGGACATAGAAGCAAAGAACAGATGCCTAAGAGTGAAGTAGGTAAAGTAATAAGAAATCTACGAGAAATGAATGAAAGAATTTTAGAGTCCTGAAGTTGAATAATAAGAATAATATACTTGGCAAAGCTACACTGTTTTTCTAAAAGGATCCTGTTATTTTTACATTTGCATTTCACTTTTAGAAATTTAGCTTTTTTTCTGTAATAGGATGCCTGAACATGAACCCCGCAACATTTCTTCAAGGCAGGCACTCTCACTTAATGTGGTACAAACATAACTGCAGTGATGCTGTTGCCTTTATATTTTGTTTTGTTTTGTTTTGTTTTTGCTGATAAAGGCAGAAGATCAAGGCACTTAGAGCCTAATATGAAGTTGCTATTAACAATCCCAGGTCTACTGTTATTCCACAACCTAATTTCTCATATTTCCAATCCCATGTCACCAAATGCCTACAGAAAAATCACAACATGACCAGGCACAGTGGCTCACACCTGTAATCCCAGCAGTTTGGGAGGCTGAGGTGGGTGGATCACCTGAGCTCAAGAGTTCAAGACTAGCCTGGGCAACATGGTAAAACTCCACCTCTACCAAAAACACACACAGACAACATTAGCCAGGCATGGTGGCAGACGCCTGTAGTCCCGGCTACTCAGGAGGCAGAAGCACAAGAATCGCTTGAGCCCAGGAGGTGGAGGTTGCAGTGAGCTGAGATTGCACCACTGCATTCCAACCTGGGTGACAGAGTGAGATCCTGTTTCAAAAATAAATAAATAAAGATAGAATAACCATAACATGTCTAAAACAGAACTCCTGCCCTTTGAACAGTTCTCTACCCCACTTCCCTACGGCTGTGACCTCTATTTTTCTAGTCACCTGGGCTAGAAACCTTTAGCATGAGTTACCGAGTCCTATCAGTCTTTCTCTGAACAGGCTCTTCTAGCTTTCTGTTCCCATCTCTTTCCACTCTAGTCCAGCCTCTAATCACCTCTTGTCTGGATTACAACAGTCTCAGAACTGGTCTTATGGTATCCACTCCATCTCACACATCACTACTAATGTCAGCATACAAAAATGCCAATCCCCAAACACCACCATCATAACTTTTCACCCTGAAATTCAGACTTATCTATAAGGATACTAGCCTATCTAGCAAAGCAAATATTTCACCACTCCCTAAAACTTCCATGTCATGGAATCTTGACCACTGTGGTCACTTTAAATGCATACACAGCAAAAAGAAAAAGAATAGAATAGAGGAGCAAAGAGAATGGAAACAAAGACAATGATTAGGAGAAAGTCACTGTGGGATAGGCGCAGTGGCTCATGTCTGTAATCCTAGCACTCTGGGAGGCCGAGGCGGGCAGATCATGAGGTCAGGAGATTGAGACCATCCTGGCCAACATGGTGAAACCCCATCTCTACAAAAAAAAAAAAATTCAAAATTAGCTGGGCATGGCGCGCGCCTGTAGTCCCAGCTACTCGGGAGGCTGAGGTAGGAGAATTTCTTGAAGCCCAGAGGTGGAGGTTGCAGTGAGCCAAGATCATGCCATTGCACTCCAGCCTGGTGACAGAGCAAGACTCCATCTCAAAAAAAAAAAAAAAAAGTAACTGTGGCAAATTCAGGTACAAGGTACAAGATATCCATGGCTGGAGAAAAGCCCTAATGGTAGAGACAGAGGAAAGGGCAGATTTCAGTGATAATTAAGAGGAAAGCTGATTGAGTGGATGCAGGAGGAAGGTTGTAATGAAGAGAAATGAGTCTATTCTGACTCTTGGCTTTCTGGACTATATGGCTGGATAGAGTTTAATTCAATTAACCAAAATAAAAAATAGTTTGAAATTTGTCTGAAATTAGCAAGGCTCTCTTGCATGAGATAGAAATAACTACTTAAGAAAATGGAGTGTCAGCAGCTTAAAAAAAGAACTTTTGCCAGATTTGAATTAATAGAGACAGAAAGAGAAGCAGTATGGACTTTTAAAGCCAAAGCTAGCACTAGGCCTAGCAAAGAGCAGCCACTTGATAAATGTTTACTGAAGTAGCTCAAAGCTGCTAGCAGTTGACTCAATGTATGGATAAGTAAGGAGACAAGAATTTTAGATACCTAGAATCACAGTTGGAAAGAAAAAAATAAAGGTTACCTTGGAAGTATACAGAAAATCTAGGTTTAAGTAGTGTCTAATAATATATTAGAGATGAAAATATTTTTAACACTGAAAACAGAGCAGAGAAAGATGTTTCCATTTTCTTAAATCTTGCTGTCATATATTTTGTGTTTTTATAGTTACTAAATTTTTGTATTAAAAGTTAAGCTTTGTTCACACACAGAAATTAAATACGTAAAATGCATACACAAACTCTGTACACCTCCCTCTAAAAGGCAAAGCCCAATTCCCTTTCTCTTGAGTATAGGCTGGGCTTTGTGACTCACTTGGTTATTAACCAACAGAATATGGCAGAAGTGACAATGTGTGACTAGGTCATAAAAGGCATCACCACTTCCTCCTTGCTCTCTCTCTCTCTCTCTCTCTCTCTCTCTCTCTCTCTCTCTCTCTCTCTCATCACTTACTATGGGGGAAGTTGCTATGTTGTGAGGGCACTCATGCAGCCCATCAATGGTGAGATTCATGTGCCAAGGAACTGAGGCCTCCTGCCAATAACCAGCACTAACTTGCCAGACATATGAGTGAGCTACCTCAGAAGCAAATCCTCCAGCCCCAGTCAAGCCTTCAGATGATTACAGCCCTGGCTAATATCTTGACTGAACTTCATGTGAGACCTTGAGCCAGAATCATCTAGCTAAGGCATTCCTGGATTCCTGCCCCACAGCAATTATGTGAGATAATACATGTTTATTGTTTTAAGCCACTAAGTTATGAAGTAATTTGTTACACAGACATAGAGAACAGTCACACAAAGCTCATTCTCAATTCTGTGCCATTCCTCATGCCATTTTCCCCAGAGATGTCCTTTCATTATCCATCCCAACACTCCCTCTCTATCCTTCGGTATCTAACTGAAGTTTCATGTCTTTGGGAGGCACTTTTTTGTCTATGAAACCATCTCAACTTTCATTTCTCTGGCTTCTCCTTTGAAGAAGCCAGATGCTTGACCACATCATTCATTTAGTCATTTATTCATACATTCCTCTGTGTTACTGTGCTATACGTTTATATCTTTCCTCCTAAAGATGAAGATGTCATACAGTTTTTAAAAACTGCATTAAGCACATTATGATTAAGGTACTCAATAAATATTTGCTGATAAAATTAACAAATCTCACACACACTTATAGACACATACCCTGAAAGTGTAATTTCAGTAAGTAGCATAAAGTAGTGGTTAACAATATAGAGAAGCTACTTTAGCTCACATCTGCATACTTATTAGCTGCTGTCCCTGGGTAAGTTATTTAAAGTATCTCTGTAAGCCTTAGTTTCTTCAGTGTTTTTAAATGAGAATTCTAACAGTATCTTAGAGTAATAACAAGGTTAAAGAAAATAATGCATGCAAACCTCTTAACAAAGTACCTAGCATAGAGTATTCAACAAATGTTAGCTATTATTGTTCTTATAATTAATTACAAATCACAAAATATGTGCTGAAATTCTGAGTCCCTATGAGTCTCTAGATGTTATCAAGCAGCAATCTAAATTAAGACAAAATTCAAAAGAGAACTCAGACCTTCTTTTAAAATAGCTTTTAATTCTTAAAAAATCCACTTGTAGGTCACTAGAACTACAGCCTGAACCAATTGTAGGACTGCAGCCCTGATTCTTTCTCCTCTCTGTCCTATTAAGATATTACCTTCAAAGCTTTTGTGGGAACACTTAATTGCTTGCATTCCTTAACATGCAGCTACCAAAGTAGTTTCCAGATTCACTTTTGACCTTCACAGTCCTGAGAAGGCATATGAGGCAAACTTCCTAGAGATGTAAATTTAGACAATCTCTGGAATGATAGAGCTATACATATGTGAATATGCTACATAAAGCAAATCCATTTTGCATGTCAATTAAAACAGAATCCCATTGAACAATCAATCCAATACAACAAATCAATCCAAAAGAATTTTGTTATGGCATGTATCCAAACAAGAAAAAACCCCTCCAATGCTATTCAGTCTGAATTACATGAGTTTCATGAACTTGGAACATCTCTAAGATCATACTTTATAATTTGATCATATTTGAACATATTTTAAGGTTTCCTATTAAAAAGCTAAATATAACGGATGCTCTTCTATCCTAAAAAAGACTGAAGAGATCTGTTAAAGAAAAACTAGTAGAATGATTTTAAATCACCAACCTATATAAAAACATGCATGCTTTTTTAATGTGTTCCATGTCCTCTGCAATAAAATGACCCACTTAATTCAAATTCTTATTTTCTCTTTTCCCCACCAATACACCTTGAAAACTTTAGTTTTTGAAACATCCAACATACATTCCACTCTTTATCTGACCCTACATATCACACAATCTGAAATAGAAACAAAGATGGGAAAATTAGCTTGTTTATTCCACCTTAGTGTCAAACAAAAGTACAAATAAGATTCAGTGCACGTGCCAGTTACCTTAGAGCTGCCAATCATGCTTGTTTTGAAACCCTTCAATTTTCAGAGCTGTCAATCCTGTGTTTTATGATAGAGAGCCAGCATAGAGACAATGCTTTAAAAGACACAATCCTCATTAACACATTAGTAAACGGACTTTACTTATAAAACTGGACTTGAAGATTTTACAGAAATGTTTACAACTCTCGAAAAATCAAAACTAAAATACAACTTAATGAAATGAAAAGATTTGGAGAATTTGGCTCTTTGACCAAAGCAACAGCATAGTTTAACCACAGGGATTTTATACACATATATACAATATTATATTATAAAAAGAGAATGTTCCTGACTAACACTAATCGCAAGTATTATGACCTTGAATGGAAATAAGAGAATAAAAGTGATCTACATCCGGGCATTTTAATTTTTGTTTTTAAAGCAGGCAATAATATCAATAACACACTCCCCTTCTCTACCTCCCCAACACAACCCAACTCACTACCCAGTCCATTCATGTCCAAAATGAAACATTATTCAAAATTTTTCTCTCTCACCAACCACAACTATTCAGTCACCAAGACCTGTCTCTTCCACCTCCTAAACTGCTAAATGTGTCTCCTTTCTCCACCCTCAGATTTAATTCATATTCTCATCATTTTTTTCAGCAGCTTCCTTACTAACTGCCCTCTCACATCCTTCTTCCGAAATATGCTCCACACCTCTGCCAGAATGATCTCACTGAAACACAAAGTTGACCCACGTTCCTTGTTACAATATTTTAATGATTCTTTGCTACTTTGAAAATAAAATCCCAATTTTTTAGGACAATATGTAAATTCCTTGAAAATCTGGCTCCTGGTCATCTCCCCACTCTCCCATCACTCCTCCTAAACTTAAGCCAACTAAACCACTTGAATTCCCAGAAGAGGCAGCCTCTCTCTCATTTAAAACTTGTTCAAGTGCTGCTCCTTCACCCAGAAACACTCTCACTTTCGGCACTTAGTATCTCCTACCCATCCTTTGCAACCCAGTTCTATTGTTAGTTCCTCTGGGAAGCCTCTGACACAAGCAGATTGAACCATCGATTCCTTCTCCATGCCTGTAGAATACAATGAACAGAACTTATATGATGTTATATTTATTGGTTTACTTCTCTATCCCCCTGACCAGATCAACTCCCTGGAAGCAGGGATTGTCATTAGTCTGTATGTCACTAGCCTTAAATACACAGGTAGCACATAATAGATGCTCATTAAAAGTTTGGTGACTCAATGAAAAATCTTATCATGCCCAGTTCATTTAAAAATAAAATTCATAAAATAAGCAGCTTATTTCTTGAGATTGATAAAATGTTTTACCAGTGCATTACAAGGCATCCAAACTAATCAATGCTATAAAGCAATTCTTTGGGCTTAACAAGAGTTTTAAGAAATTTACTCATTTATTTGCAAATTCACTATAAGAATTGGTACCATCTCAAGCAGGATTTCGGATTGAATAATTCCACCTTATTTTTGCTACTGCCCCTACTGGAGGTGTTAAAGTCTCAACCATGATAAATGCTCATGTCCAAAACACTCGGCACCTTGATTGGTTCAACAAACACTGTTCTGATATGTGACAATCCCTATCAAGGGCATCAGTGAACAGGGAGTCGACATAGGCAAAACTCCAACCCAGTTACACTTCACTTATCAGGAAGTTAGTTATCTGGTGACATCAAGTAGCTACACAGCCCAGTGAGACCTAAACAGAAGGAGTTTAGGAGCTGTCAGAATACATGTTGAAGTCCATACACTAAAGTACCCACACTTTACTCACAGAAGAGGCTGCTAGGTCCTTACTCAAACCCTAGTTGTTCTTATTTTAAGCACAACAAATTTGATGACTGATCTCCCAAGTATAGGCATACTGGAAGAGGAAAATTAGGAGGTCTGAGAAAGCTATAAAAAGCAGACAAGGGCATAACAGCAGTAAAGGAGAGATAACACAAAACTGCAGAACTGGAGGGTTATATGGTTATGCAGCAATAATTCTGTATATTTTTATTATGATACAATATAGAAATTAATGTTTATAATTATGACCCTGGGTCATCAAAAGCAAAAACAAAAAAAGGTTCAACTATTTTAGGTCTAACAAGGTTCAAAGAAAGTATATAATACATTTTATTAAAAGAACCAATAAACAATTAAAAATTAAGTATATTAGGTATAAATAGCCAATTTTCTATTATTTACACAATAAACTTTTTTGAAATACATCATTCCCAAATAACATGAGGCATACTGATATTAACCAGGTCCTGTGACTAGAGGTCTTACCACAATTATGATACAGATCCATTACAAAACAAAGCCTAGACCTGATAGTTATTAGCTTATTGGGGGTTACACTATTCCAACTTACCATACTATTTCCTAGTCTGTTCGATCTGAATAACAAAACACCATAAATGAGGGTATCTTATAAACAGCAGAAACTTCTTTCTCATAGTTCTAGAGGCTGGAAGTCCAGGATCAAGGCACAAGCATATTTAGTGTCATGAAGACCTGGTTCTGGTTCATAGATTAACTAACTAGCCAGTTCACTAATCCCACTCACGAGGGCAGAATCCTCATGACCTAAGTACCTCCCAAAAGCCCAGCCTCCTAACTACATCACACTGGTGATTATGTTCCAACAAATGAATTCTGCAGGGACACAAACATTCAGACCACAGCAACAATGGACACCATAACCAAAGATATAACAGACTACCTATGATTTTTTAACAGACCTCCACAGAGCTTCACTGCCACACTGCCTTCAGGGTCCCTGGAATGAAACTGCTTCATATGTAAGACTGTTTTAGGAAGTCTTTATGATGCTTGAGTTACTATATATTGTATGATTTAGAGTGAAGCACAGCGGGGTGAAAAGAAAATTTGGATATACACAGCCCTAGATTTGAATCCCTGCTTTGTTAATCCCTAGTTGCATGACTGCAGCACATTATTTATGCTCAGAGACTCATTTTCTTCATTTGGGAAATGTGGATAATACCTACTATCTATGTTTGTTGTGAAGAATATATAAGACAATATACATAAAATACCAGTGTAGGTTTTTAAAAAGCTGTTAAGATTATCAGAAGGAAATCAGATGGAATATAGAAAGGAAACAATCAAGTCTGTGAAATTGTTTGCTGCATTAATATGACAGAAAAAAATGTCTAAAAACAGGTTCCCATGATGGGAAAAGTGCTCTGTATTTTTAAATTACCATACAAGCCCTCTGACTCACAGAAAGGTTCATGGTAAATTAGGTTAAAGACTCATAAAAAAAGTATACATGTACACAGCAAAAATATTAACTTAAAGCAGATTAATGCAAATATTCTAATATGGGGCCAAGGCGTTCTCTCTCAGTAGGGGGTCCACTCACTGAAGCTCTGCTCTTCCTCACATAACAATACCCACACTGCAAGGTCTGTGACTGCCAGGGCCAGTCATGTGAAAGTAGAACAAGAACAGAAAGACAATTGGAAAGCAATACCTTTCACGTTTTTATAATTTTTGTTTCAATCTACAGTTTTCTTGCACAATCTAATTCAATAGCAATTTCTTAAAAACAAAAAACTCTCTCCTTTCTGATTCAAGCAGCAGAGATGGGGGAAAAAAAAAAAACCAAAGTTTTCTGTTATGGAGTCTTTCTAAAACATTAAAGTTAGCATTCATAAGAACAAAAACCCTTTCTGTATTCAAATTTTATTAGTTTGTACAATATTCAAGTAAATTTCTTAATATAAACACATTCTGAAATGAGTACAACTAGGCCGGGCATGGTGGCTTAGCCTGTAATCCCAGCACTTTGGGAGGCTGAGACGGGCGGATCACTTGACGCCAGGAGTTCAAGACCAGCCTGGCCAACACGGCAAAACCCTGTCTCCACTAAAAATACAAAAATTAGCTGAGCATGGTGGCACATGCCTGTAATCCCAGCTACTCAGGAGGCTGAGGCACAAGAATTGCTTGAACCTGGGAGGCAGAAGTTGCAATGAGCTGAGATCATGCCACTGCACTCCAGCCTGGGTGACAGAACAAGACTCTGTCTCAAAAAAAAAAAAAAGAAAGAAAGAAAGAAAGAAACAAGCACAACTGAGCTTTTGCTAAACATATACCTCAACTGGAAGAAACCAAAGTGCCTAGGTATAGTACAGGACTACTAATTTCTAATGTTCCATGTGGTGTTGGTATCTGTCAGTGGGCTTTACAAAAGAAAAAGATGATGTCAATTGATTTGACAAATCAGTTATTAAATGATAACTTCCAAAGAAGTTAATGCCATTCTGAGTCATTCTGATTTGTCATATGTGATTTCTGACTTCAAGTCATAAGCTGATTTAAAAGAAAAATATAATAATTATAACTTTTGAGGCTGGTACTATAAGGTCCCATGCATGTCTCAAAATCTCTAAATATACGTATGTCTATTTTGCAACTCACTCTAAGTAGATCAAATTACTATTGTTCATGCTTAAGTACTATAGCTTAGATTCTGAATGCTACTATTAAGGTCATGTCTTTCTAAAATTAGTTTCTTCCTTTCCAAGTGTTTTTCAAACTTTTCTTATTTACAGTAGAAATACTCACCACACACATTAAACAAAATTGTCCCAGAGCTATAATACATAAAACAGATAAATGCAGGGCTGCTCTGAAAGTAGGGCCCAACTGCCCCTTTATCCCCAATAAGCAATATCTTATGCTTTTCTGCAAAACTCTAGGGCGTTTTGGTACAAAGACTAAAAACTGCTCCTTTAAACTATAATCAAAAATGAACATTAAAACAAAAGTTATAGAACTTAAAAGGCTATTATTTAGCTAATTAGAATATTCATTAATCAAAATATTTTCTGATCCCTATTAGTTGTTATAAGTCTGAAATGCCAAACTTACTTATTAAAAGAAACAATAAAAAATTAAAACATTTGGCTAAACTGGATATTTCAATTAGTTATTTTTCATTGTATTTAATTAATCTTTAAACTGTCCTAAAGTAGCATTATTCAACTACACAAAAGTCTGTATGAAGAGAAGAAAATAGTTCTCTAAAAGGATCAAAAAAAAGGGCAGGCTGATGAATGATGAACAGATTATGTAAATATTTCTCTTATTTATAACAATTTAAAATGTACCAAAGCAGGAAGCTCTGCTATTATGGAGATTCAGCCTCCTAGAAGCTGCTCAGTCAGAGGCCTGACAGTATAACTGCAGAGAACACGTGTCCAGCCCAATAAGCTGTTCTACCTCGTCATATAATCTAAACGTACAGGTACAAAAAGGGGAAGACCACAAACAACTGAGCTGGATCTCATTACTTCCTTGTTCAGTGATAAAGACAACAGGCAAACATTTGAATTAAGTAGGTTCTTACCCACAAATTTTGTTTTAGATATAAGTAGGAGTAATCAGTAACCAAAATAGTAATTATGCTGACCTGACAATTCTCAATAATATTTTCAAAGCATAAGTGACAGATCCCTATAAGAAACCTAGAGAAGGGTTTTGGAAAGAACCTAGGCATTTCTACGTGTACAAATGAAGATCTAATAATCATTCTGTGAAGAGTATAAACCTTCATTTCATGACAGATTAAAAACTGGAGAACATGAAATTTGCTATGTTAAAAAGTTTCTCTCCAAAAAACAATGTATGTCGATAAAGAGCTGGAGTTGTTATCTACATAGCCGTAAGGGTATGTACATAGGATATGCAGGTAGAGAAAATAAGTAATCAAACTACTGATGTTAAACCTTGGCTGAAGATTGGGCACAGTTAGAAATAACATTATCAGTCTGTAGGACCAAAGAGGAAGCTGAAGAGAGAGAGCTTCAGAGATAGCTGAAGCCTTGACTCTTATCTTTTTTTTTTAAAGTCACTTTGATGACATTTCAGACTTACAGAACTAGAACTAGAAGTCAAAGGCCTTTTTTGACTACTGTTATTTTCCACTCACCAGGCACTCTGTCACCATATTATCCATTTTTACTTATGTAATTACCAATATTTTAAATTGATTCATGTACTTGTTTACTATCTATGCCTCCTTCCCCCATTTGCATATGCACTTCAAGAGAGCAGAGAACTAGTCTGTCTGGTTTACCAGTCTTTACAACAGTACCTGGCAAATTGAAGAGGTCTAGTAAGTATTTGTTGAATGAATGAGTGAATGAATGAATGAATGAACAAATCAACTCCTGTAGCACTTTGGCTCCTCCCTCTTGATGATCCTCATTCATGAATGTATTTATTTTGTGACTCCTTTGAAGTTTAAATGGGTATTTCTGGTAAGAGTAACTGGATATTAAGCAGGTGGTTTCATGGAAGCAGGAATAGAGAAATTACTACAGATAACTACAGAACAAAGAGATGTAGGCATATAACTCTCCTAAGTACCTTTAAAAAGACTCTAATATAGTGACTGCTCCAAAGACTAGAGAATTTACTTGCAAAATTACTAAGAGCCACCCCGTCTCCCCTCAAAAAGCTTTTATGACTGCTTCACTGGGGGGAGAACAGACAGAGATGGAGGTTTCAAGAAAACAATTTATATAATAGAATGTGTGCATATGTGGTATATATTTAGTTTTAAATAAAAAATTAAGATTTAATAAATGTTGTAATAGATGCCAGTATTTAACCATTTAAAGCTATACTACACATAAAACAAATTCAAATCAGACTATACTACTCATTAGAAAACTAATCGCAAATCTGATACTTAAAAATCTGTGACTTAAAGCCAAGCATGGTGGTACATGTCTGTAAGTCCCTGCTACTCAGGAGGCTGAGGTGGGAGGATTGCTTGAGCCCAGGAGTTCAAGTCCAGCTGGGGCAATTTAATTCTAGATCTCTAAGGCATTCTGAATATATTATGTTCAAGAATATAACATAATCACAAAAGTGATGTTTTAAATTTTTAATTCAATGAGAAAAAAGAACAGTGCCGACAAAAGAATATCCCCAAAGAAATAAATATCCATGAAAGAGATATGATTAACGGAATTCCATCCTCACATATAAAAAAAGTATATGACTAGTATTTGTAATTTATAATAAACTTGACTAAGCAGTTGAACATCTGCTGAGAAATATCTTAGCAGAGTTGTCACAAAATATATCTTTTTATAAAGTCAATACCTGATTCTCCAGTTGCATGTTAGGTCAGCTTGTAAGAATAAGACAGGCACTGCGATGGACAGCATCCATGGTAGATGATCAATTGTAAGGAGGGGACTAAGGATTTCTTTGTGTAAAATAAAAGAGCACTTTATTTTATAATTACTATATATTTTCTACTAATGAAAAAATGATCTGCTACAGCTTCTGCTGATAGTACCTAAGAGCTGAGGATACCTCTCTTAAAGGGTAACTTTTGTATCACATATCTTCTTACTTGCCTCCTTCATAAACCCTCCTTAAAAGGAATTCTTGAGGGATGTCATCATTAGGTCACCAGGATTTTAATAATAACAATGCAATGAAAATAACAATAACAATAGTAGCATTTGTTTACCATATGCCAATCACTTTTCTAAATTTTTAGACACAATAACTAATTGAATTCCTTCAGTAGCCGTTTACATAACAGATACTGATTACAGTATTAAAATCTGGATTGACAGACACATCCTACTTAGAAATTTCTTTGAGTCTCCCTACTTTTGAACTAAGCTTGTATGATATTTGATACACCAATTCAAGTCATGCTCAAGCCATTCCTCTCATGCCAGGGAGCACAGTCTTTCAGTTGACACCTGGTTTATACCACTCATCTTGTTAAAACACTGTTCAGCTTCTGGTTATCTAAGGGAGAGGTGTGCTGCAGCCAGCTAATACCAGCTTGTGAGAAGCACTGTGCACACATCTTCCCAACTCTGCATTCGGTGACATCATGTTGGTGACTTGACATTGGCCATGCTGGGAGTATTTCACATTACAGAAATTGGGGCTTTTTTTTTTAATCAACTAGTTGTTAAATATTTACTCATATATCATTAATCTGAGGAAATGTGTATTCTGTTAAGTTTGTCAGACCCTATTCAGATTCAGGTAGGACAAGCTTATGTCTCTAAATTGGGTAAGACCAATTATCAACGGCATCTTTAGATATCCAGCTCTCAGGAGAGAGGCAACTCGTTCTCATAATTGCTCTCCTAGGTCTACAGTAGACTCTTCGCCTTTCATTTCCACAATATGACCAATTTTTATATGCCAAAAACTTCTTAAACACTGTAATTCATCCTATCTAAAATACCATTGATTACTAGATTCACTATTGTTTTATATATGATTAAAAAAAAACACTGCCAGTTAATTTAATATACTGTCAACTGTAACATGCATCCTGATATCAAAAATAGTGAAAAGTAAAAAATGCACATTAGAAATTGATGGGGAAAAAAAATCACTTCTATCTCGTTTACTATTGTTCTATTGTTTTCCCATCTCAGAATCTTAGTTCAACCTCTCCTTGACTCTTGATATTCCACTCCTAGATCTCCCACCTTAGTGCTTTCTCCAGTGCCTATTTATATTCATAAATATCTTTACCTACATAAACCACAACAGAATGAACTCTATTTATTAGGAAAAATAATCCTAAAAATAGATGCAAAATAATAAGAAAAGAAAGGAGAAGTGGAAAGAGACTATGGAACAGAGAGAAGGGACAAAAAAATGGTTCCAGGCAAAATAGCCTAAGCAACATGCATTATTACAAAGTTGGTTTTAAGTTTATGGTGTGGAATGGCTTATTATCAGGATGAACATTCAAGTCTTCCCAACAACTGCTCTCACTGCTTTGAGAAGATATGAGTCTGGCCTGACATGACCAACAAGTATTTTTAAAGCACTTCAGACTTTACTGCAGCATTATCAAGACAAATAAATATGTTTTCTGTCTTTTCAAAAAATCACCTTTCATTCAACAATACTTTTGCGCTATCCCAACTTTTATGAATACTCTTAAGGTACTTGGAAATGATTTTACTTACTCTCCATCCACTTCTGGTCTTCTACATACACAATGAAACTTTCCACCAAAATCTATGTACAGATCATTCTCCACAATATGAAAGATCCGTCCAATGACCAGTTTATCCTTTGCAGGTCCCATCTGTGTAAGAGGAGAATGTCTCAGCATAGATGCAAAGGATTCCACATTTTTTGGAGAACCCTAAATATGAAAAGAGATATTTATATACATATAACTCAACATGAAGGTATAATAAAGTCTTAAAGAAATTTTCTTAAAGTCAATTGTTGTAGCAATAATTTTAAAATATATGTGGAATTTTGCTTTAAAATGCCAGTTATGCTCTTCAACTTCCTCTTCCATCCTTTCCTTCCTGAAGAGGAGCTAAAGAAAGTAGGCATCAAGGTGGAGCACAGTGGCTCACGCCTGTTATCCCAGCACTTTGGGAGGCCGAGGCAGGTGGATCACCTGAAGTCGGGAGTTCTAAGCCTGACCAACATAGAGAAACCCTGTCTCTACTAAAAATACAAAATTAGGGGTTCCAAGATGGCCGAATAGGAACAGCTCCAGTCTACAGCTCCCAGCGTGAGTGACCCAGAAGACAGGTGATTTCTGCATTTCCAACTGAGGTACCGGGTTCATTTCACTGGTGCTTGTCGGACAGCGGGTGCAGGGCAGTGGGTGCAGCCCACCGAGTGTGAGCCGAAGCAGTGCCTCACCCAGAAAACGCAAGGGGTCAGGGAATTCCCTTTCCTAGCCAAGGGAAGCTGTGACAGACGGCACCTGGAAAATCGGGTCACTCCCACCTTAATAGTGCGCTTTTCCAATGGTCTTAGCCAACGGCACACCAGGAGACTATATCCCATGCCTGGCTTGGAGGGTCCCATGCCCACGGAGCCTCGCTCATTGCTAGCACAGCAGTCTGAGATCAAACTGCAAGGCAGCAACGAGGCTGGGGGACGGGCGCCCACCATTGCCAAGGCTTGAGTAGGTAAACAAAGCAGTCAGGAAGCTCCAACTGGGTGGAGCCCACCAAAGCTCAAGGAGGCCTGCCTGCCTCTGTAGACTCCACCTCTGGGGGCAGGGCATAGCCGAACAAAAGGCAGGAAAAACCTCTGTAGACGTAAATGTCCCTGTCTGACAGCTTTGAAGAGAGTAGTGGTTCTCCCAGCACTGAGTTTGAGATCTGAGAACAGACAGACTGCCTCCTCAAGTGGGTCCCTGACCCCTGAGTAGCCTAACTGGGAGGCACCCCCAAGTAGGGGCAGACTGACACCTCACACAGCCGGGTACCCCTCTGAGACGAAGCTTCCAGAGGAACAATCAGGCAGCAACATTTGCTGTTCATCAGTATTCGCTGTTCCGCAGCCTCTGCTGCTGATACCCAGGCAAACAGGGTCTGGAGTGGATCTCCAGCAAACTCCAACAGACCTGCAGCTGAGGGTCCTGACTGTTAGAAAGAAAACTAACAAACAGAAAGGACATCCACACCAAAACCCCATCTGTACGTCACCATCATCAAAGACCAAAGGTAGATAAAACAACAAAGATGGGGAAAAAATAGAGCAGAAAAGCTGAAAATTCTAAAAATCAGAGTGCCTCTCCCCCTCCAAAGGAATGCAGCTCCTTGCCAGCAATGGAACAAAGCTGGACAGAGAATGACTTTGATGACTTGAGAGAAGAAGGCTTCAGACGATCAAACTTCTCTAAGCTAAAGAAGGAAGTCAGAACCCATCGCAAAGAAGCTAAAAACCTTGAAAAAAGATTAGACAAATGGTTAACTAGAATAACCAATGCAGAGAAGTCCTTAAATGACCTGATGGAGCTGAAAACCACGGCACAAGAACTACGTGACGAATGCACAAGCTTCAGTAGCTGATTCGATCAACCGGAAGAAAGGGTATCAGTGATTGAAGATCAAATTAATGAAAGGAAGTGAGAAGAGAAGTTTAGAGGAAGAAAAGTAAAAAGAAATGAACAAAGCCTCCAAGAAATATGGGACTATGTGAAAAGACCAAATCTACGTCTGATTGGTGTACCCAAAAGTGACGGGGAGAATGGAACCAAGTTGGAAAGCACTCTTCAGGATATTATCCAGGAGAACATCCCCAATCTAGCAAGGCAGGCCAACATTCAAATTCAGGAAATACAGAGAACGCCACAAAGATACTCCTCGAGAAGAGCAACTCCAAGACACACAATTATCAGATTCACCAAAGTTGAAATGAAGGAAAAAATGTTAAGGGCAGCCAGAGAGAAAGGTCAGGTTACCCACAAAGGGAAGGCCATCAGACTAACAGCGGATCTCTCGGCAGAAACTCTACAAGCCAGAAGAGAGTGGGGGCCAATATTCAACATTCTTAAAGAAAAGAATTTTCAACACAGAATTTCATATCCAGCCAAACTAAGCTTCATAAGTGAAGGAGAAATAAAATCCTTTACAGACAAGCAAATGCTGAGAGATTTTGTCACCACCAGGCCTGCCCTAAAAGAGCTCCTGAAGGAAGCACTAAACATGGAAAGGAACAACCGGTACCAGACACTGCAAAAACATGCCAAACTGTGGACCATCGATGCTAGGAAGAAACTGCATAAACTAATGAGCAAAACAACCAGCTAACATCATAATGACAGGATCAAATTCACACATAACAATACTAACCTTAAATGTAAATGGGCTACATGCTCCAATTAAAAGACACAGACTGGCAAATTGGATAAAGAGTCAAGACCCATCAGTGTGCTGTATTTAGGAGACCCATCTCACGTGCAGAGACACACATAGGCTCAAAATAAAGGGATGGAGGAAGATCTACCAAGCAAATGGAAAACAAAAAAAGGCAGCGGTTGCAATCCTAGTCTCTGATAAAACAGACTTTAAACCAACAAAGATCAAAAGAGACAAAGAAGGCCACTACTTAATGGTAAAGGGATCAATTCAACAAGAAGAGCTAACTATCCTAAATATATATGCACCCAATACAGGAGCACCCAGATTCATAAAGCAAGTCCTTAGAGACCTACAAAGAGACTTAGACTCCCACATAATAATAATGGGAGACTTTAACACCCCACTGTCAACATTAGACAGATCAATAAGACAGAAAGTTAACAAGGATATCCAGGAATTGAACTCAGCTCCACACCAAGTGGATCTAACAGACATCTACAGAACTCCCCAACCAAAATCAACAGAATATTCATTCTTCTCAGCACCACATCACACTTATTCCAAAATTGACCACGTAGTTGGAAGTAAAGCACTCCTCAGCAAATGTAAAAAAGAAATGATAACAAACTGTCTCAGACCACAGTGCAATCAAACTAGAACTCAGGATTAAGAAACTCACTCAAAACCGCTCAACTACATGGAAACTGAACAACCTGCTCCTGAATGACTACTGGGTACATAACAAAATGAACGCAGAAATAACTAAGATCAGAGCAGAACTGAAGGAGACAGAGACACAAAAAAACCTTCAAATAATCAATGAATCCAGGAGCTGGTTTTTTGAAAGGATCAACAAAATTGATAGACCGCTAGCAAGGCTAATAAAGAAGAAAAGAGAGAAGAATCACATAGACGCAATAAAAAATGATAAAGGGGATATCACCACCGATCCCACAGAAATACAAACTAACATCAGAGAATACTATAAACACCTCTACGCAAATAAACTAGAAAATCTAGAAGAAATGGATAAATTCCTCGACACATACACCCTCCCAAGACTAAACCAGGAAGAAGTTGAATCCCTGAATAGACCAATAACAGGCTCTGAAATTGAGGCAATAATTAATAGCCTACCAACCAAAAAAAGTCCAGGACCAGACGGATTCACAGCTGAATTCTACCAGAGGTACAAGGAGGAGCTGGTACCATTCCTTCTGAAACTATTTCAATCAATAGAAAAAGAGGGAACCCTCCCTAACTCATTTTATGAGGCCAGTATCATCCTGATACCAAAGCCTGGCAGAGACACAACCAAAAAAGAGAATTTTAGACCAATATCCTTGATGAACATCGATGCAAAAATCCTCAATAAAATACTGGCAAACCGAATCCAGCAGCACATCAAAAAGCTTATCCACCATGATCAAGTAGGCTTCATTCCTGGGATGCAAGGCTGGTTCAACATATGCAAATCAATAAATGTAATCCAGCACATAAACAGAACCAAAGACAAAAACCACTTGATTATCTCAATAGATGCAGAAAAGGCCTTTGACAAAATTCAACAACCCTTCATGCTAAAAACTCTCAAGCAATTAGGTATTGATGGCACGTATCTCAAAATAATAAGAGCTATCTATGAAAAACCCACAGCCGATATCATACTGAATGGGCAAAAACTGGAAGCATTCCCTTTAAAAACTGGTGCAAGAAAGGGATGCCCTCTCTCACCACTCTTATTCAACACAGTGTTGGAAGTTCTAGCCAGGAAAATCAGGCAGGAGAAAGAAATAAAGGGTATTCAATTAGGAAAAGAGGAAGTCAAACTGTCCCTGTTTGCAGATGACATGATTGTATATTTAGAAAACCCCATCATCTCAGCCCAAAATCTCCTTAAGCTGATAAGAAACTTCAGCAAAGTCTCAGGATACAAAATCAATGTGCAAAAATCACAAGCATTCTTATACACCAATAACAGACAAACAGAGAGCCAAATCATGAGTGAACTCCCATTCACAATTGCTTCAAAGAGAATAAAATACCTAGGAATCCAACTTACAAGGGACGTGAAGGACCTCTTCAAGGAGAACTACAAACCACTGCTCAACGAAATAAAAGAGGATACAAACAAATGGAAGAACATTCCATGCTCATGAATAGGAAGAATCAATATCATGAAAATGGCCATACTGCCCAAGGTAATTTATAGATTCAATGCCATCCCCATCAAGCTACCAATGACTTTCTTCACAGAATTGGAAAAAACTACTTTCAAGTTCATATGGAACCAAAAAAGAGCCCGCATTGCCAAGTCAATCCTAAGCCAAAAGAACAAAGCTAGAGGCATCAAGCTACCTGACTTCAAACTACGCTACAAGGCTACAGTAACCAAAATAGCATGATACTGGTACCAAAACAGAGATATACACCAATGGAACAGAATGGAGCCCTCAGAAATAAAGCCGTGTATCTACAACTATCTGATCTTTGACAAACCTGACAAAAACAAGAAATGGGGAAAGGATTCCCTATTTAATAAATGGTGCTGGGAAAACTGGCTAGCCATATGTAGAAAGCTGAAAGTGGATCCCTTTCTTACACCTTATACAAAAATTAATTCAAGATGGATTAAAGACTTAAATGTTAGACCTAAAACCATAAAAACCCTAGAAGAAAACCTAGGCAATACCATACAGGACAAAGGCATGGGCAAGGACTTCATGTCTAAAACACCAAAAGCAATGGCAACAAAAGCCAAAATTGACAAATGGGATCTAATTAAACTAAAGAGCTTCTGCACAGCCAAAGAAACTACCATCGGAGTGAACAGGCAACCTACAGAATGGGAGAACATTTCTGCAATCTACCCATCTGACAAAGAGCTAATATCCAGAATCTACAAAGAACTCAAACAAATTTACAAGAAAAAATCAAACAACCCCATCAAAAAGTGGGTGAAGGATATGAACAGACACTTCTCAAAAGAAGACATTTATGCAACCAAAAGACACATGAAAAAATGTTCACCATCACTGGCCATCAGAGAAATGCAAATCAAAACCACAATGGGATAACCATCTCACACCAGTTAGAATGGTGATCATTAAAAAGTCAGGAAACAACAGGTACTGGAGAGGATGTGGAGAAATAGGAACACTTTTACACTGTTGGTGGGACTGTAAACTAGTTCAACCATTGTGGAAGACAGTGTGGCAATTCCTCAAGGATCTAGAACTAGAAATACCATTTGACCCAGCCATCCCATTACTGGGTATATACCCAAAGGATTATAAATCATGCTGCTATAAACACACATGCACACATATGTTTACTGTGGCACTATTCACAATAGCAAAGACTTGGAACCAACCCAAATGTCCATCAGTGATAGACTGGATTAAGAAAATGTGGCACATATACACCATGGAATACTATGCAGCCATAAAAAAGGATGAGTTCATGTCCTTTGTAGGGACACGGATGAAGCTGGAAACCATCATTCTCAGCAAACTATTGCAAGGACAAAAAAACCAAACACCTCATGTTCTTACTCATAGGTGGGAATTGAACAGCGAAAACACCTGGACACAGGAAAGGGAACATCACACAGCAGGGCTTGCTGTGGGGTGGGGGCAGAGGGGAGGGATAGCATTAGGAGAAATGCCTAATGTAAATGACGAGTTAATGGGTGCAGCACACCAACATGGCACATGTATACATATGTAACAAACCTGCACATTGTGCACATGTACCCTAGAATCTAAAGTATAATAAAAAATAAATAAATAAATAAATAAAAATAAAAATACAAAATTAGCCAGGCATCATGGTGCATGCCTATAATCCCAGCTACTCATGAGGCCGAGGAAGGAGAATCACTTGAACTCAGGAGGCAGAGGTTACGGTGAGCCGAGATCACGCCATTTCACTCCAGCCTGGGCAACAAGAGCCAAACTGTCTCAAAAAAGAAAAAAAAAAGAAAGAAATTAGGCATCTATACTTGGTGGAGGATGACAGAGATGTGATAGTCCAGGGTGAGGTCTCGAGAGCCCAGGCAGGGTAGGGAGAGTAGAAGAGTGCCTGTATATCAAGTCTCTGAGAATGGGGTGGGGGGTGGTTAGTGGTCAGAGTATGAGCACGTGAGGAGGGCATCCAAGAAGCAATTGACTTTATTCCTAGCACTGACCATCTGTAAAAAAATGCCTTCTAAATCAAGTTTAGTGAAAGTCACTATTCTTTTAATACAAATGTAAATATACATTAAGATAAAAACAATTAAGAGCCTTTCATCACAATGATCAGTCTGAACATGAGTTCCTGATACATAATTCTTTTTAAACAACTTGAATTTGTTATACTTTTCTTTCTCCTAAAGTAAATTCCAAAAGAAAAACAGCTTGTTTTGTGCTATTCACTTTCCGGGAATCTTTTTACATATTGAATTCACTTGAGGTATGACTAATTATTCTTTTTTTCTTACAAAAATTTTTTCCAAACACATTTTTTCCAAATCCGTGAACACAGATTTGTGCCTTCTACTCATTTTTGTGTATGGAGTGGTGTGTGCAATTTGGTACAAACTAAAGGAAGTGCTAAGTTTCTATCTGTGAGAGCAAATCATGGAAGGACATTAACAATTTGATCTGACGACCTAAATGCTGTATTTGGAATGAGTTTTACATTTGTTATTCGGGGAGAACTACTAAAAGTTCAATAGTAAAGCACATTTACTTTTAAAGCTACACAACTATATTTGTGACTTAAGTTTAATGCATGTACTACTTGAAAGATTATAAACTCAAATGCCAGGCCAGGTGAGGGCTTGATAATCAGGATATGTGCCCAAGTTTAAAAGGTGTAGACACTACTCAGCTCCAGCTGCAGCTGCAATTCAAGTCCCCATGTTTTAATTTTTAATGTTTTAATTTTCCAAGAAAAGCCAGAAATCCACATATTAATGTAAATTTTCCAATTTTTAAATACTTATATGCAGGGGGATAAAGTTTTCCATTTTACAAACCCGGCAAAACACATCCAGGTGTTGAATTTGGCCCACGAACCACAAGTTTATGACCTCTGCTTCAGGAAAAAGAAAGTCACGACATTTGGCTTATGCCAAGTCCCTCAGGTGCTAGAGGGAGGGTATGATGATGAATTTACTTGGTGAACTGAAACACACAGGGAAAAAATCCTTAGCACAAAAGGGTCAATCTAAACTAAAGACAAGTCAGTAGGCCTAGAGGCCAACTAGAGCTGAAAAGGTAACCAGGAATGTATGCCATGAGCAATCATACTAGTTTTATAAATCCACAAAATACAACATTAAAGGTCCTTAAACAAGCACTTTGAAAATAGTTCTTTCTTGCAGAGCCAGAGATAAAACAAATCCTACAGAGGTAACACAGACACAGCTGACTTGCCCTTTAGAGGTAGTGTAAAAGAGTAATTCTAAGTAAGCCATTCTTTTTTTTTTATTTTTTTATTTTTATTTTTTTTTGTAAGCCATTCTTGACAAGAGCAGCTACATAATCCTTTGCTGGGAGCCATTATTCCATCCATAGTAGCTGCCACTAAAGCAGATGAGAATAGCAGTGCTCAAGAGAAGAGCAAACAGTATCAACTTGGGGGTCTCTGCTTGTAACCAGGGCAGGTCCTGCCCACTTTCCCTATGATCTGCTTTCCCATTACTCCACTTTTATGGTTGATATCTACCAGAGTTCCTCTGTTCTTTTTCTTCTTTTTTCGCTTTGGCTATTTTTTTTTTTCAATTGGCTGACTTTCAATTGAAGCCATAGTCCAATTAAAACTAAATGACAGGGGCTAGGCATTGTGGCTCACGCCTGTGATCCCAGCACTATGGGAGGCCAAGGTGGGTGGATCACTTGAAGTCAGCAGTTCAAGACCAGCCTGGCCAACACGGTGAAACCCTGTCTCTACTAAAATACAAAAATTAGTCGGGCATGGTGGCATGTGCCTGTAATCCCAGCTACTCAGGAAGCTGAGGCAGGAGAATCACTTGAACCCAGGAGGCGGAGGTTGCAGTGAGCCGAGATGGCACAACTGCACTCTAGCCTGGGCGACAGAGTGAGACTCTCAAAAAAAAACAACAAAAAACAAAAACAAAAAACAAAACAAAACAAAAAACCAGATGACACTAAGATACAGTAGTAGCAGATCCAGTAGTTAAACTTTTACTGGAGATAATTCAGCCATCACTAGGACCTGTTCCTAAAATAACACAATGTCCTTTTTCAATTGTGAAGAGATGTTTGAGCTAAGATTAGTATAATAGTAAGTGGTATTTTCCCCTTGGTTTTAGAAAATTATTGAGTGCTCTCAACTGTTTAAAAAGATTCTCTTGAGATTTTTAGTAAGTCTGCAGTTAAATATTTATTACATTATAAACTTTATAAAGTTATAGTTACTTTTTATAGGTAACTTTAAAATCAAGTGGAAGTAGAACATTTCTCCTCCATTTTTTGCCTCTATTATATTTTGCAAGGAAGTCAGTGTGTTTTTGGCGAGTGAAATAATTTTACCACAAGCATAAGAACCCTGGATTAACACCTGAATTTGCTTTTAAATTGTAGCTTATTATTTCATTTGATTTTTGATATTGCATCATTGATTTTGGGAAGCTACATCAAACAATCAGACAAACCCTTGCTTCAAAAATCATAGTCTAGAACCATCTCTGAATCCTAGGGCTTATGCCAAAATGTACTCATTTACTTGTCAAATGACTCCTAAAAACAGTAAATGTAGCAACTCCCACAATCCATGTTCACTACAGGGAGTCCTGTTTATAAAGTCTCTAAACTAACATTGATAGCTCCTCTCATGCTGATATAGACTGCAGAGACTGGAAGCATACTGTCACCGCTGGATATGTATCATAGAGCTCAGTGCCTAACCCTGGAAAATGTTACAATAAAGCTCACTAACTGAGCTGTCACAGGTACTAACTTGGAGTTGACTATTTCCTTTAACAGTTGGTCATAGAGATCAGATCTCCTGCTATTCTGCTGTACTATTTTCTCCTTTGAAGCCTGAAAGTTGACAGGACCGTCAAGGTAGAAAGGAGTAAGGTAAAGGAATTACAGACATATGGAACAGTATCACTTTCATTTATTCAATCATGCATTCATTCATTCATCAAACATGTGTTGTCTTTTTAATATATATTAAGCATATATATACCTATCATGCATATGAGGACCATTTAATATACAGCTTGGAAACAGGGGCAACTAGTGCTAAAAGAATATGAGACATCAACTAATCCAACTACCTCAAGTTTTACATGAGTACCATACATGCTATTCAAAGTTACATGGGATACTGAACAGTGGTTCTTAAATAAAACTTGCTGCAGAAGATAGAAAATAGATAAAAACATCATAGCAAACTTAAAAGAAAACAGTACAGAAGAATAACAAATACGAAACCTGACTTCTATGACCAACTCAGCCAATAAACAGCGAAAAAAAAACCCTGAATAAGTCATTTAACTTCTCTAGATCTGTTTTCTCATTTGTAAATTAAAGGATTGGATAACTATAAATTTTCTTCCAATTCTATAAGGTAGTAGGAATTCTTAAATATTCTAAAATATAAAAAGGATTTTATAAAACAATACAAATTAGAAATGGGAGACAACATCCTACCCAGTTACCTCTTTTAATGTAGACAATAAAAACAGCTGGGTGCAGTGGCTCACCCTGTAATCCCAGCACTTTGGGAGGCTGAGGTAGGTGGATCACCTGAGGTCCGGAATTCGAGAACAGCCTGACCAACATGGGGAAACCCTGTCTCTACTAAAAATACAAAATTAGCCGGGTGAGGTGGTGCATGCCTGTAATCCTAGCTACTCAGGAGGCTGAGGCAGGAGAATCACTTGAACCCAGGAGGTGGAGGTTACGGTGAGCTGAGACTGCGCCATTGCACTCCAGCCTGGGCAAAAAGAGCAAGACTCCATCTCAAAAAAAAAAAAAAAAAAAGAAAAGAAAAAAGAAAAAAAACAATAACAATAAAAGTAATGAAATGGTATATATACTTTAACTACTTCATACTGGTTAGCAAGAAAAAAATTTCAACATGCATCTCCAAAAATGACCCACTTCTATTAACCGTGCTATAATAACTTTTGTTTCTTTAACACTAACCAATAAATGTTACGCTCGCAACAGAGTTCTTTTATTGAAATAAACGTATTGGTGGCTCAAGGTGATAAGGTACTTACATTTATCTCTCTCCCTCCTGAAATCCCATTAAATGATGGTAAAATAATAAATTAAAAAATTGTAAAAATTATAAACTCTCAATATTGAAGAGAACAGATGGAGAACAAAAGTATACAAACATACTTTCTAGTGGACAGAAAGCATGTGGAAGAGTGATAATTAATGAAGCAGAGTGAAATTCAAGAAGAAGAAGCTGTGAAAAAAAGAAAGCTATTCTATCCTGAAGTATTCCATAAAGGTATGGAGCTCAGTCATGCCAGGCTGCAGTGAGAAGACAAGCTGAAAACAAGGAGAATAGCTAAAAACAACAGAGGCAGGGCAGTCAATATTCTGTCAAGCACAAAATTCCTCAAGTGCATAATATCTGGTAATAGGCATGTATTATCCTGTCAAAAATAAATATATTTTTTCTCTTCCCTTAAAAAAATCAAACAAATTGTACAGAGGAGAGCCAAGTTTGGGATGGTTTGTTATGCAGCAGTAACTTATACTGTTTCTATAACCTATAGAAGCAGCAAAGAAAAGACTCCAAATGACAGCTGTGCAGCAAGCATATGAACAATTTGTGATGATTCAAATACGAGGGCTCCCAAAGGAAGGCTGGGAAGTCTGGCCACATGGCTTGAACCTTGGCTCTACCGCTTACCAGCTCTGGGGACAGGTCTGTGCACTTAGAATCTCTGTGCTGCTGTTTACTCATCTTATAAAATGGTGTTTGTAATTATATCTATCTATTTTACAAGATTGTTGTAAGGAATAAATGTGTGGCCATATGTAAAGCACTCAAATAGTGTCTGAAGGTAAACAGACCCTGTCAAAAACTTTAGCTTCTTTAAAAATTAATTTCTTATAGACTCAGTCACCACCATCAAGTTTTATTGACTAATCTAGTATTTGTCAACCAAGATGATTTCCCCCCTGCCACCCCCACTCCAGGGGACATTTGGCAATGTCTGGAGATGTGTTTGATTGTCATGACTGAAAAATCAACAACTCTTCTTAGATGCATCTGAGAGGTGGGGGTCACAGGGAAAACTGCTGTTCTCAAATGTGGAGAGACAAGTGAATGCAGAGAACTACTGAAAAGAAGCCTCCAAGAAGAAACCTCTGTGGGAACCAGTGCCGAGGTAGGGAAACCCGAGCTGTAACTGGTGAATTGGTGGATGCTCAGTGGGACAAGTCTGAAAGTTAAAAACTCCAGAGAGACTCAGTTATTGGGGACTCTCACACTTTTGTGAGTTTTAACTCCAGGAGCTCAACCTGGTCCTTACAGTGAATATAGGAGAAAAATCCCCTTGTACTTCAGACGGCAAGTTCTGTGGGGAATAGAACTATTTTGAAATACATCAGAGCACTCTCTCTTATTCAACAATTCATTTATCAAACAGGTGTTGTCTTTTTAATATACATTAAGCACATATATAAAACTATCATGCATATGACATGTGTCCTCAAGGAAACTCTTCAACCAAAGCCTAAACACTTGTCAGAGCCTAAGTGTCCTGGAGGAAGGGAAATAACCAATTCTAGCTGGCACTAGTCATTCTGTCCTACCAAAAGAGAGGGAAACACTGAGAAGCAAATGTGCAGTTCATAGTCCAGAGGCACAGGCTCACTAGAAGACTGAGACCCACTCATAAGACTATAGAACACTTTCCCTCCCCACACACCCTATCACCACATTACTAAAGGCCGATTGACAGCCATTCCTTTTACCCAATACATCATGCCCAGCTATCAAAAAGAAATTACAAGATAGACAAAAAAGCAAAAAACACAGTTTGAAGAGACAGAGCAAGGATCAGAACCAGATTCAGACACAGCAAGGATACTGAAATTATCAGTCCAGGCATCTAATACAACTATGATTAAGACACTAAGGGCTCTAACGGAAGAAATAAGATGTAAGAACAGATAAGCAATGTACGCAGAAAGATGGAAATTTTAAATAAGAATCAAAAAGAAATGCTAGAGATCGAAAGCCCTGTAACAGAAATGAAGAATGCCTTTGATGGGCTTACAGGTAGATGACACAGCTGAGGAAAAAAAAAAACTGTGACTCTGAAGATACCTCAATAAAAACTGCCAAAACTGAAAAGCAAAGAGAAAAAAGATTGAGGGAAAAATTGAACAGAATATTCAAGAACTTTGGGACAACTACAAAAGGTGTAAACTAATGGGAATTCTAGAAGGAGAAGAAAGACAAATACAGCAGAAATATTTGAAACAATAATGACTAAGACTTTCCTTCAAATTAATATCAGACACCAAACCACAGATCCAGGAAGCTCAGAGGACATCAACCAGAATAAACACCAAAAACACTACATCTAGGCATATAGTATCATTTTCAAACTACAGAAAAATCAAAGATGAAGAAAAAATTCTAAAAGAAGCTTGGGGGGAAAACAGCTTTCCTACAGAGGAGAAAAGATAAAAATTATATCCAGCTTCTCCTCATAAATCATGCAATCAAGAAAACAGTGGAGTGAGATATCTAAAGTGTTAAGAGGAAACAAAAAAAAAAAATACTAACCTAGAATTCTGTACCCTGACAAGTTATCCTTCAAAAATGAAGGAGAATTAAAGACTTTCTCAGACAAATAAAAATTGAGGGAATTTGTTGCAAGTAGACCTGCCTTGCAAGAAATGTTTAAAGAAATTCTTTAGAAAGAAGAAAATTATAAAAGTCAAAAACTCAGATCTACATTACATAAAGAAAGGCAGAACACAGAGAAGGAATATGTGAAGGTAAAATTAAAACTTTTAAGTTTTTAATTAGTAATTGATCTAACAATTAACAGTTTGTTCATGTTAAACAATTTGCTAATAATAAAAGGGTTAATTATCTGAAGAAGTCGGAATAATCCTTAATGTGTACATGCCTAAAAATAGTCAAAAACCATGAGGCAAAAACTGACAAAACTGCAAGGAAAAATAGATGAATCATTACAGTTGGAGACTTTAATGTCCCTCTATCAGAAAAGGACAGATCCAGCAGGGAGAAAATCACTCAGGATATAGCTGAACTCAACAACATCATAAATCAACTGGATATGATGGACATCTGTAGACAATTTCATCCAGCAACAGCAGAATATATATTCTTCTCATGCCACATGAAACAGTCACCAAAACAGACCACATTCTGGACCATAAAACACACCTTAACAAATTTAAAGGAATAGAAATCATGCAATGTCTGCTTTCAGACCACACTAGAATTTAACTAGAAATCAGGAATAGAAAGATAGCTCAAAAATCCCAAAATTCTTAGAGTAAACAAATACACGTCTAAATAACATGAGTCAAACAAATCTCAAGAGAAATTTAAAAATACTTTGAACTAAATGAAAATGAAAACACAACTTATCTAAAATAAAAATTAGCACAGAAAGCAATGAAACTGAAAACAGGAAATCAATAGAATCAACGAAAGCAAAAGTTGGTTATTTGAGGTAAGCTTCTAGCCAGACTAAGAAAAACAAAAAGAGAGGACACAAATTACTAATAATAGAAATGAAAGAGAGGACATCACTACATATCCCATGAACATTAAAGAAATACTATAAACAACTCTATACCCACAGATTTGATAACCTAAATTAAATGGATTAATTCCTTGAAAGACAAAGTCTGCCAAAATTCAAGTAAGAAGAACAGATAATCTGAATAGGCCTATGTCTATTAAAGACATTAAATCAGTAATTAATATACTTCCAAAACAGAAAGCCCCAGGTCCATATGGGTTCACTGGTGAGTTCTACCAAACATTTAAAGAAGAAATCAAACCAATTCTCTACAATCTCTTTCAGAAGATAGGAGTGGAACTTATCCTATGAGGACAGTAATATCTTAATATCAAAACCACACAAAGACATTACAAGAAAAGAAAACTACAGACCAATATTTCTCATGCATGTAGATGCAAAAATCCTCAACAGAATATTAGCAAATCAAATCCAACAACATATAAAAATTATATACCACAACTGAGACTTACGACAGGTTTAACATTCAAAAATCAAAATGTAGACAAAGCATTAATAACCAGGATATATAAGGAGTTCAAACAACTCTATAGGAAAAAAATTCTAATAATCCAACTTTAAAATAGGCAAATAATCTCACGCCTATAATCCCTGCACTTTGGGAGGCCGAGGCGGGCGGATCACAAGGTCAGGATATCAAGACTATCCTGGTTAACATGGTGAAACCCCATCTCTACTAACAATACAAAAACAAAACTAGCAGGGCATGGTGGCAGGCGCCTGTAGTCCCAGCTACTGGGGAGGCTGAGGCGGGAGAATGGCATGAACCCGGAAGGAGGCAGAGCTCGCAGTGAGCCGAGATCGTGCCACTGCAATCCAGCCTGGGAGACAGAGCAATACTCTGTCTCAAAAAAAAAAAAAAAAAAAAAAGGCAAATAATCTGAATGGACCTTTCTCGAAAGAAGACATACAAATGGCAAACAGGCTTATGAAAAAGTGCTCAACATCATTATCATCAGAGAAATGCAAATCAAACCTACAATGAGATATCATCTCACCCCAGTTAAAATGGCTTTTATCCAAAAGACCAGCAGTAATACATGCTGATGAGGATGTGGAGAAAAGGGAACCATCATATACTGTTAGCGGGAACATAAATTAGTACAACCACTCTGAAAAACAGTTTGAAGTTCCACAAAAAACAAATAACCAAAACTAAAAATAGAGCCACCATATGATCCAGCAATCCCACTGCTGGTTTTATACCCCAAAGAAAGGAAATCAGTATACTGAAGAGACATTTCCCATGTTTGCTGTAGCTCTGTTCACAATAGCCAAAATTTGAAAGCAACCTAAGTGCCCATCAACAGATGAATGGATAAAGAAAATGTGGTACATATACACAATGCAGTACTACTATTCAGTCATAAAAAAGAATGAGATCCTGTCACTTGCAACAACATGGATAGAACCAGAGGTCATTACGTTACGTGAAATAAGCCAGGCACAGAAAGACAAACTTTACATGTTATTATCTGTGGGAGTTAAAAATTTAAACAATTGAACTCATGGAGACAGAGTAGAAGGATGGTTACCCAGACGCTGGGAAGGGTATTGGGGGTTTGTACCTATTAACCATCCCCACTCCCCTATATGTGATATAGTATACTTATAGTATATAAGGGGGTGGGGATGGTTAATGGGTACAAAGAGTAGTTAGAA
This sequence comes from Homo sapiens, assembly GCF_000001405.40. Lineage (NCBI taxonomy): Eukaryota > Metazoa > Chordata > Mammalia > Primates > Hominidae > Homo > Homo sapiens. The sequence continues at coordinate 80,019,110 of NC_000008.11, forward strand.
AGAATGAGTAAGACCTAGTGTTTGAGAGCACAACAGGGTGATAAGCAATAATTATTTAACTGTATATTTAAAAATAACTAAAAGAGTTTAATTTGATTGTTAACACAAAGAGTAAATGCTTGAAGGAATGGATACTCTATTTACTATGATGTGATTATTACATGTTATATGCCTGTATCAAAGTATCTCGTGTGCCCCCTAAGCATATACACCTACTATGTACCCACAAAAATTAAAAATAGAAAAAAAATGTAATCCATCACATCAATTGGCTAAAGAAGAAAAATCACATGGTCGTATTTCATTTCGTCAAATGGAAAAGCATTTGACAAAACCCAATACCCATTCATAATAGTAACTCTCAGAAAACTAGAGAAAGCTTCAACTTCCTAAAGAATATCTACAAAAAACCTACATATGTAATGGTAAGTAACTTGAAACTTTTCCTACTAAGCACAGGAAGAAGGCAAGGATGTCCCCTCTCATCACTGCTTTTCAACATTGTACTAGAAGTCCTAGCTAATGCAATAAGACAAAAAGAAAAAATAAAAGTATACAGATTGGGAAGGAAGAAATAAAACTGTGTATGATCATGGATGGCATGATGACCTATGTAGAAAATCAAAAAGAATCAACAAGAAAAAAACCTCCTGGAATAAGTAATTACAGCAACATTACACAATATAAGGTTAATATACAAAAAACTATGTGGCCAAAGTATTGGTAGTCATTAATGTGTAAACCAAGAGTATGAGACAGGTCTAAATCAATTTGGAAAGTTTATTTTGCCAAGGTTAAGGACACGCCCATGACACAGCCTAAGGAGGTCCTGAGACACGTGCCCAAGGAAGTCAGGGTACAGCTTGGTTTTATACAATTTAGGGAGACATGAGACATCAATCAATACGTGTAAGATGTACATTGGTTACACTGGTTCAGTCCAGAAAGGCAGGAGAACTAGAAGCAGGTTGCGAGGGTGGCTTCCAGGTCATAGGTAGATTTAAAGATTTTCTGATTGGCAATTGGTTGAAAGGGTTATTATCAATAGAAAGGAATGTCTGCGTGACCATAAGGCATTGTGGAGAGTATGGTTTTATCATGCAGATGAAGCGTCCAGGTAGCAGGCTTCAGAGAAAACAGATTGTAAATGTTTCTTACTAGACTTAAAGAGTCATTTCTATCACTAATTCTGAAAGGAGGGAGGTATAATGAGGCACGTCTGGCTCCCCCTTCCCATCACGGCCTGCACTAGTTTTTCAGGTTAACTTTGGAACGCCCTTGGCTGACAGGAGGGGTCCATTCAGATGGTTGAGGGGGCTTTAGAATTTTATTTTTGGTTTACAAATGTAAATGCTGGTCAATGAAAATGGTAAGTATGAAGAAAAGAGAAAAGCTGTGAGCCAGATGCTGACGAAAAATGGAAAGAATTGAAAAGATTTTTATCAAGGAGCCTTTTTAAAGTATTTCTGATAGAACAGTAGTCTGAAATGGTACTGAGAAACGAGAACGAAGATGAGTCATTTTTTCCTCCTAGCCTTGAGACCCGTTGCAATCTATACTAGGGAAGACCAGAAGGGAAGCAGTGTTATCAAGGGAAACCAAGAAAGCAAGCAAGAAATACTTGTAGAGAAGGTTAAAGGGGAGATTGTTCGTAAAAAGACATAGGAAATTTGTGGCCAACGAACACACATTTACAGAGCAGGCCTGAAGGAAAAAGGTCAGGTTGTAACAAAGAATAGTGATCTCTATCATAACCCATAGGACAGAAGAAGAAAACACTGGAATTTCTATTTGTTTTTTTTAACTTCACCTTCAAAATGTTTTTATGTGTAAATGCTTTAAAATGTATATAACAAAAGAAACTACAGTACGAATATATATATTCGCACACACACACTTTTTTTTTTTTTTTGAGACTGGGTCTCTTTCTGGCGCTAGGCTGGAGTGCAGTGGCACAATCTCGACTCACTGCAACCTCCGCCTCCCATGTTCAAGCAATTCTCCCGCCTTAGCCTCCCGAGTAGCTGGGACTACAGGCATGAGCCACCATGCCCGGCTAATTTTTGTATTTTTAGTAAAGACAGGGTTTCACCATGTTGGTCAGGATGGTCTTGATCTCTTGACCTCATGTTCCGCCCACCTTGGTCTCCCAAAGCGCTGGGATTACAGGTGTGAGCCACTGCGCCCAGCCACAAATGTATTTTTTAAGTAAATACTGGAACATCTGCTCAAAAATTTATTAATGAAGGGACATGATCAAAAAAGTTTAGAAATCTCTGTAATAGTGGTATATCGTGGGAGCAGGAGAAACATTATGCTAGATAGGGAAAAACAGTTACAAAAGGAGACTGGACAGTCAGTCTCTCTCTCATTTTATGAGCAGAGCTGTAAGCCAGATGCTGACAGATGCATAGACTGGGACCAAGGGATGCTTTTAAGGTTTCTAGTAAGACAGAAGTTGTCTGACTAAAGGCTAAGGTATGCAGGTAGGCATGTGGAACTTTACTTCTAACTATTCTTGGATTTTTCTGGTATTCTACACTGCATTGCTTCTAACAACAAAAAATTACCTTACAGGAAATAATGTGGGATAACTGTCACATGTTTATGGAATTCAATGGTCTTATCAGTGCTGGGCCCGAGAGACCAGTGAAATGCTCCCTTTAAAAAAAATTAACTTTCTATTTAAAAATCATTGTAGATTCACATGCAATTGTAACCAAGAATACATAGAGAGCCCCTGCACCCTTACCCAGGGCTCCCAATGGTAACATTTTAGAAGACTATAGTATGATATCACAACTAGGAAATTGACATTGACACAATCCACCAATATTCAGATTTCACCAGTTATACACGTAATCATCAATGCAATTTTATTACATGTAAAGGTTCTGTACTGGCCATCACAGTCAAAATGCAGAACAAGTCCATTACCACAAGGATTCCTTGTGCTGTCCTTTTGTAACTCCACATATCCCTTTTACCTCCCTCCTTCCTAACTCCTAGTAAGCACTGACCTGTTCTCCATCTCTATAATTCTGCCATTTCAAAAATGTTGTATAAATGAAATCACACCATATGTAACTTTTTGGGACTGGCTTTTTTTTTTTCACTCAGCATAATTCCTTTGAGTCATTCAAATTATTTTGTGTATCAAACACTCATTACTTTTTACTGCTAAGTAGTATTCCACGGTAAGGATGTACCACAGTTTGTTTAACCATTCAACAGCTGAAGGACATCTAGGCTGCTTTCAGTTTTTGGCTATTACAAATGAAGCTGTTAGGAACATTTCATTTCTTTGGGATAAATACTGTGTGTCCCAGTGACACCCAGTTCTCAGTGTACATTTATGTCCCTTCAGAGAATCCAACCATCTCAATTTGGGTAGCTGGCCAGAGGCCAGGCAACTTGTTCAGCTGCCAACTCCTAGACTGAGTCCACCACTCATTTCCTGGCAGTTGTCAACAATGGAATCTCCAAAGCTTTAAAAAGGTAGGCAAAACCCAAACTGAATCAAGACTATTTAGTTTTATTCCCAAATCCCAACAAACCAGGCTCCACTTGAATGTGCTTAATTGCTCTTATTTCCTGATATTTAATGCCAATAGATAAAAAACTTAAGGGCCATAATCAGGTTATAAAAATTAAAGTGATTAAAAGAGAAAAATTTAAGTGTAGCCTTAGAAGCAAACTTAGACACATTAAAAGATGGAAGTGAAATTTCTGAGTAAAAATGAGAGTTACGATCTCCAAATAGTGAAAAACCTAAGGTTGGCTTGGGAAGTCATGAGTCTGATTGGGTATAATCAGATCATATGACCACCCAAAAACAAAATACATACAGAACATATACATCTTTTCTTTTAAGAAATGTATAGTACTGCTTATAAGCATGTTACAGGTGTTAACAAAAACCTACTTTCCCCAGAGAATTCTATGTACTTCTTCACTATTTCATTGTTTATATATTAACTGGTCATTTCCTCTAAACATGCTTTGAAAATGTGAGACATACAACATTTCAAAAGATTTTTATTACTCAGAGGTAATTCTCCTAGAATTCTATAATGTAAAAACAGGTTGGCACCATCGTTAAAACCAGAAACATTTTCCATCATTCCTTTACATATCAAATAGTTTTTAAAACACTGGTATAATTCTTAAAGTTGTCAGTAAAACTGATAAGAAAACAAAGGGTTAAGTAAAACTATATAATTTTACTATTACAGTATATGAATTTAGTGGACTTAAAAATTATACTAAAAATAAATTAATTTCCCTATTATATTGAAATAAGCCCTTTAAATCTATATATTTTTATTTTTCCAGTATTCTGAAAGGATTGAACATCTGATTTTAGATATTCTGTCTTCTGGAATATTCGAATATTTTGAAATAAAAAATACTAATAAAAATATTCACAAAAAAGTAAAAAATTACATTTAAAAATATTTGCATGAAATCTAATATATTGCTAAAATAAGGTAAAACTATAAACTGTCATGTAACATCAGTATTTTAAATAAATTTAAAATTTGAGTAAAATTTTTACTGTGCAGCCCTAAAACTCTCTGAAAAACATTTTTTCCAATGTTCTGAAAAGTAGCATGCCACCCTCTACTGCTAAGAGTCATAAAGCAGAAAAACCAATTCTTTGCTCAACTATTGCCACCTTGTGGCTACGAGATGAGTTATATGCCATAGCACAGCTCCCAATTGCCTTAACAGATTCTACAAATTTATATTGTCTAAGTGACATAAGAAGGATTAAGGTTTTAAAAATGGAGGGAAAATGGTACCTGACTTAAATGGTTATAAAAATGAATGGGACGGCCTGGTGTGGTGGCTCACACCTGTAATCCCAGCATTTTGGGAGGCTAGGGCAGGCAAATTGCCTGAGCCCAGAAGTGCGAGAGCAGCCTGGGCAATATGGCAAAACCCCATCTCTACAAAAAAATACAAAAATCAGCCAGGCATGGTGACGCACAGCTATGGTCCCAGCTTCTCAGGAGGCTGAGGTGGGAGAATCACCTGAGCCAAGGGAGAGAGGTTGCAGTGAGCCAAGTTTGCACCACTGCACCCCAGCCTCAGCAACAGAGCAAGACCCTGTCTGGAAAAAAAAAAAAGATTTGGTTGCTACTCTAAAAACAAAACAAAACTAGTTGAAGGGAAAGATGCATAAACCAATATTAAAGCTAATGAAGCAAAGTAAAAGAAAAGTAGGTAAGTGAGCATGGGATGAGTATGGAACCTACAACCACCATACAGAACAATGGCATTACACTTAATGCCATTTAACTTCGGTTCCCTTTAACTAGTAACCCGAGTGTGTAATAGGATAAGAACTTCATGATGCATTGCTCTTGATTAAATTCCTGGCTGCAGGGGAAAGTTCTTTGTAAGGATAATGTGTATGGGCTTATTTCTGAGGTCCACATGTAAGTAAGTCTACACTTTAATGACTATAAGAACTAAATCAATAGGTAAAACTTGGACTTTCACCATATACATATTTTTAAGTCTAATAATAGGCCATCTGAGATGCTATTTTTCATTTGTAATTATTCAACCATCAAACTGTTTAAATTTCATTCCAACTTAAATCAGCAAATATATACTCAATCCCTACTTAAGTGTAAAGCATTATGCAAAGGATGAAGAGGGTGGACTGAAAATGGCCCCTTGTTCTTCAGGAACTACAGCTAGAAAACAGGATAAAACAGGTTTGTAAATGACTTTACTATGAGAGCTGTGGGTATACCATAAAGGTAGTAAAACACAAAACTCCAGAGCATTCAAAAACAGTTTCATCTGTTTGGTGAGATCACAAAGGTCTAAGAGAGGAGGTGATTTTTACAACAGAATTTGCAGCAGGGAAGCTAATTCCAGGGTAAAAGGTAAAGAAATAATGATTTGTTTAGGGAACAGCAAAATTCATCTTCAAAAAGAATATTTTAAGCAGAAACCATTTTACAAATGAAATCTTACATACAATCCCAATATATATAGTGTAAATGTAGTATTTTGTTATTTTAAGTGCATTTTATGAGTTCAAATTGATAGCACTTACTATAAAGTCAAAAACTGTCAACATGCAGTTATGATAAAAATCAAAAACTGAAATCAGGAATGAAAGATGATAACCCCAGTTTCCAATTTCTATATTTTGCTTTAATTGTCGAATATCAAGAAAATCCACCTATTACACCCCATGAGTTGATACGGGGGTGAGGAAACATTGTCATGCACTGTAGGTGGGAGTTCAGTACAAACAGGCTGTAACTCAAATTGTGTGTACACTTTTACCCAACATATAACCTACAAATACACTCTTGTAAGTACGCAAAAAATGCAAATGTTCACTGCAACACTGTGTTAGAAAACAAAAACAAACAGAAACAACCTAAAAGTTCAATAATTAAGGCCTTCCTACTTAAATAAATTATGCTACATCCACACCATGGAATACCAAGCAAATATTATGTAATGATAAGGAAAAATAGTCATACTTAGGTAAAAACTGCAATTTTCAGCAGCAGCAACTAAAACATACTAAGTGCTTATTAAGTATCAGGCACTTGTGTTAAGTGTTTTAAATAATGAATTCATTGAATCTCATAAAAATCTCATGACATAGGGGGAAAAGGAGATACACAGATATTAAGTAATTTTCCAAGGCAACACAGCTAGTAAATGGTAGAGGAACCAGGATTTAAACCAAGATTGCATGACTGCAGAATTTACACTCTTTAACTGTAATATATTTTAAAACAGTATTCATACTACGAACCAATTAATGTTTTTAAATATATATAGCAATACTTAGCTTATACTTACGTGTGTAATATAAAACTCTGCAGCTATGCATAAAAAACACACTCTCCAGCCTTGAGAAAGTAAGAAAAAGGGACTTTTACATTTCACATAATAACCTGCAGGGCTATGTAAATTTTCTTTCTAAAGTAACCAAATATTACTTTTGTAAAATTTGTAAACAATATTTTTTCAAAAACCCTGAATACACAATTGGCGTTTATTCATCTTGTAATCTCACGATACTGTTCAATTAAATAGGTCCAGTAAGTTCAAAAGAGGTAAAGCAAGTTTTTTCACAAGTTGAATTCCTATCAATACCCAACAACTCCTCATATTCCTTACCATAAATATGTTAGAAAAACACTGAAAACTTCCAGTAAATACTAAAACTAAAACTAATGTGGTATTTTCAATTTCTTACTACTCTTAAAATTATTTTTACTCAATTATTCTGGACAGGCACATTCAACTGACATGCTCAAGACTGTACTATTCTTGTACAATTGTTTGTGGACAGTGACACATATATTACAATTCAACGACAGGCCAGGTATAACTGAAGTTCAAATATGCACTACATGTACTATTCATTCATTCACACATTTGACAAATATTTACCGAGTGCCCACTATGGGTCAAGGACTGTGCTAGGCACTGGAAATACAACAGAATAAGAAAGACAAGGTCTCTGACCTCCTGAAACATTTTCTACTGGGAAAAAAGTTAGTAAAAATTTTATTCTGATGTGTCATGTGTTACTCTGGCACCACAAGTTAACATATTAGTGATGACGAATGTCCTTACATTTGGGATTAAAAAAAATGGCATGTGCATGGTTGTTTTCTGGTGTTTTTTGTTTGGTTTTGGGCTTTTTGCCATGAAAAACTTAATTTTATTGTCTCTTTGAATGACACAGCTCAACCTCTAGTTAGAGCATATACTGCCTTATGTTTTTAAATAGCATTTTATATTCATTCATTAAGAAAAAAAATTATTTTTTAGAGTACTTTTAGGTTTACAGCAAAATTGAGAGTACAGTACAGACATATCCCATACCCCTCCTGTGCTGACACACACATAGCTTCCCCCACTGTCAACATCCCCCACCAGAGCGGTACATCAGTTACAAGAGATGAATCTACACGGTTTGATAAATTAAAGTTCATTATTAAGAAAACAATGGGACTTCAAAGAACTGTGTAATTGTGGAAGCATCTCTGTGAAACTATTCTCAGGAAGGCAGAAGGCTGGAGAAGAAACGGCTGGGGCCACATAAAAGCTAAAATGCACTGAATAAAGCTTACTCTGTACCAGTCAATGTACTGAGAGCACGTTAAATGTATTATTTCACATAAACTTCCCAGTAACTCCAGTTGAAGCATTATCTCCACTTTGAGATAAGACAGCAAACTTAGATAGGCTAAGTAAGTTGCCCAAAGTCACTCAGTTGAAAGATGGCAGAAACTGGAAACCTGAACTGAGCCGAAGCTTTTAACCCAAGCAGGGTCTTGAATGGCAGTAGGCCTCTGAAGCCACAGTAGAGAGATGCACCATTGTATATTTAATCTTGCAGGCAGTGTGAATGGAGGTTTAGAAGATTCTCAAGGAGAGCAATAAGTAAATAACCTCATTAAGTCTGATTATAGAGCCCAACTTTAGGAAGATAACTTGATCCACAGTGTGTGTAATGACCTGAACCAGGGAGCAACTGAAGTCAGTGGTATCAATTAAGAAGGAGTAAAGGGGTTCACGTAAACTTCAAATGCTTCAAAGCTAAGAACTTGCTGAACGGAGACTACAACACAGCCTCCTGATATCCTCCTCCCCAGGGAATTTTATTTCCATTAAACCAAGATGTCAAAGACTTGTGAATAAGAAATTGGTGAACTGTACATCACAACCAAACACATTTACCCATCATCTAGTAGAATAATGTTTTCTAAACTGTGTTAGACGGAGAACAACCACGCAGGGTGCAGAGATGCTGCTGAGCCTGAGCTGGACTGAGAAAATCTAACGGATGTGCTGGGACTGCCAGGAAACACCCCAGCCTCCTCCTGGAAAAACTGAACAGCCCAATTAGAACTGCCTTGGAAAGGAAAGGAAAGAGAAAAGGAAAGGAAAGGGAATTCTGGGGACTCTAAAACACCTTGGTTGTTTCCTTCATTAAATAAACAGTACATTTTTAGTTTCAAACACTTAACTTACTATACATGTGATGCTACAATTTTCACTCTTACCACAGTTAACTCAGCAATTGAGAATTATTTTGGGGGGTTTCCGAAGGGGCTTAGAATGTGGTATGAATGGGAGCGAAGCGTGAGTGAGAAATATTAGGTAAGAAATAGAAAAACTCCTTTCCTATACATATATTTGGAAGGGAGCACTGAACTCTATGTTTCCAACCTTACTGCACTTAACTCTTATGGCCTTACCTTAAGGATGGATCTAAAATCCATCCCTTAGGTGGCTTCAGGTCAATCATCGCTATTCTGCTAGTATTTTATGACTTCTCCATATATGGTAGAAAGAATAATGCCCCCTCCCCCTACAAAGACATCCACATCCTAATCTCTAGAATTTGTGAATATGTTACCTTCCGTGGCAAAGGAGAATTAACTTTGCAGGTGGAATTAAGATTGCTAATCAGCTGATCTTAAAATAGATTATCTAGGGAGGCCAATGTAATCACAGGGATCTCAAAAGCAGAAGACGGGCGGGGGGGGCGGGGCCGGGCGGGGTCAGCCAGGCCAGGTGGCTCACATCTGTCATCTGTAATCCCAGCACTTTGGGAGGCCAACGCAGGAGGATCACTTGAACCCAGGAGTTCAAGACCAGCCTGGGCAACATGGCAAAACCCCATCTCTACAAAAAAAAACAGAAAAAACAATTAGCCCAGAGTGGTGGTGCACACCTGCGGTCCCAGCTATGAAGCAGGAGGATCACTTGAGCCCAGGGGGTTTAGCAGTGAACTGAGATCATGCCACCACACTCCAGCGTGGGTGACAGAGCGAGACCCTGTCTCAAAAAACAACAAAACAAACAAAAAAATCCAAAAAACAAAAAAGTAGAAAACAGAGGCAGAAAAGACAGGCCAGGAAGAGATTCTCCTAGAAGCTACGGAAAAGAACACAACTTCACCAACACCTTGATTTTAGACCAGTGAGATCCCGTCTGACTTCTCACAACCCTAACAACAACACATTTCCTGTGTTTTACGCCACTAAATTTGTAGTAATTTGTTACAACAGAAAATAATAAACTAATATACCAGGCTTCTTCTAGTCCTTGGATTTCAGAAAAATTTTGACATCAGTAATTGCTACTAAAATGACCCTATAACCCAGGACACTGCCAGTCTTGTGAACTGTTTGGTACTACTCCCTAGGAAGAAAAATACAGAAATTGAGAGTTTATTTGTATATAATTCAATTTCATGTCTGCTGAGTTTAATTATTAAAAACTTAGGCTTGTAATTTTATTTCTTCCATTTCATTTATCTATAAATTTATGGTATTTTACAAAAGTACTGGCTGAGACAAACGGAGATTTTACTTTACTTTTTAAAAAAAGAAGACATTTACAAAAGAGAGGTGAAGCGCTGACAAGTTAAATCACTTGCCCAAGTTCAGAAAGTGATTCATCACCCAGTCATTAAATTAACAAATGTTTATGAAGGGCCTTCTACTCCAGACAGCAAGCTCCATGCTAGAGCTACTGTTCAGAACAAGACCCAGCAGAGCCCTGCCTCTCCGTGTGAGTCCCATTCTCCTTAGCGTCCCAGGAATCGCCCTAGATCGCCTCCCCAGCAGCGCTCCCCGCTGGTTACCTTCCCACCAGCATTCAATCCCAGGAAAACAAGCGCAGTGTGGACAGACCCGGCCCAGTACGCAAATGCCACACAAAAGGACAACGAAAGGAAGAAAAACACCAAGCACAGATTCTAGGGGCCGAGGGCTGAGCCACAACGCACCGCAACTCCGGAAAACTGGGCCCCGGACCTCAGCTCCCCTTCCTAAGCCAGGCTCCGCCCCTATTCCCGACCCCGCCCACCGCGTCGTTGGCGTAATTCCCGCGACTCCCTCTCACCCGCCCGGGCTCCACCTTCTGTAGGGGCTCCACCTTCTGTAGAAGCTCCGAGTGCCGCTCCAACGCGCTCGCGAAACCGCCTGCGCGCGTCTTAGGCTCCTTGGCATTGGAACTACCACTTTCGGATCCACTCTCAGTGCCTACACCCCGAAAGGGCCTGAAGAAGAGAAACACTCGCAGAAAATGGCTCTCGGCAGCCACAGCACGGGTCCGACACAGCGCCGCCATGACTTCTTTACCTCTGACCTTTGACCTCCCCTCCGCAAGCGCGCGGGTCACGGGGCGGAGCTATGAGAGGTCCGCCCCCCGGACGCAGAGCTCTGGAGGCCAACGAGGCGTGTCTTCCTTTCATCTGGGAGTGGCGTGGGGAAGAAGAGACTTAAGCTAAAATTGGTGGGCTAAATAGTTGGAAAGGGGCCTGGTTAAGTTTTGCGTTAGAAGTGCGTTTAACTTGCAGGAATTTCGCCTTCCTGGGCATCCGTTGGACCCCATTGTACTGTAAATTCTGCTAACGCGACGCTCGTTCTCCCGCCCTGCCGTCCCCCCTACATGGCCGCCAGCACTCGAGTTTGGGGTCTTCACTCAAATATGAGGGTCTCCTTGATTACCCTATTTAGAAGTGGAAGCCCAAATGCAGACTCTCTGGCACCTGTTTTTCTTAGTACCATGTAGCACTTTCTAATATGCCACATATTAATATTAAATATTTAATAATATTTAGTGTCTACTCCCAACTTTTTAAACTTTGAAAAGAGGAACTTTGCTGTAGGGTCCCTAGCACCAGGCACAGATTAGGGCTCACCCAACATTTGCCAAACCCTGCATCCAAGTTTGTCCTTTGCCACTTCTGCAGCCAGTCCACTCACGCCACAAAAATAGTTTTTCTGAAATGTTTTGACACCTCTAGATACCTATTATCTAACTTAGGAGTTCAGAAGTTTTGGAATGTCCCTAAGTATTGCACCGCCGTAGGCCCCCACCCTCACTCTGGATTTTCTTTCCCTTTTCTCCTGCAGTGTTAATTCCCAAAATTTACCCACCCTGTTCAAAACAGCCTAACATCATTCTTAAGTGTTTATTAATTAGTTGTCCGTCTATCTTTGACCCAGCAGTTTAATATTAATCCACAGTTAGTTTTATTTTGGGGGCACACACCTTTCCAGTTCATTTGCAAGTACTTCGAGAGAAAGAATTTTTATGATCACAGACCCTATTTTAAGAATGCCTTGACTATGGGTTTTAAGCTTTTCTGATGCTCTCTAATGGTACAGATAGTGTTAAGAACACGAAGTACACTGATCTCAGAATGGTGCACAATTGTATGAATCACATAAAATTATTACTAGCTAACTGTATGGTAGTCCTTACAAATTCATTAAATTCTCCAGGTGAGTTCTCCCTCTTGGCAGTTAAAACTGTTTATCTCCCGAGACTATTAATGGACTCTTGCCTAGAACATTATTTTCTACGGATAGTGCTACTTCCACTTTTTTTCAGGAGAAAGTGTGGTAAATTGTAAAGAGCATGGCCAGTGGTCTTCAAGAACCCTCAGTCTGACTGGGCAGGGTGGCTTACACTTGTAATCCCAGCACTTTGTGAGGTTGAGGAGGGAGGATTGCTTGAGATGAGGAGTCCGAGACCAGCTTGGGCCATAGCAAGAACCAGTCTCTACCAAAAAATAGAAAAATCAGCCTGGGGCAGTGGTGCATGCCTGTAGTCCCGGCTACTTGGGAGGCTGATGGAGGAGGATCACTTGAGCCCAGGAGTTTGAGGCTGCAGTGAGCTATGTTCCTGCCACTTCACTCCAGCATGGGTGAAAAGTGCAAAACTCAAGTATCCGTAAAAACACACCCCTGGCGTGGTGGCTCACACCTGTAATCCCAGCACTTTGGGAGGCCAAGGAGGGCAGATCACCTGAAGTCAGGAGTTCGAGATCAGCCTGGCCAACATGGTGAAACCCTGTCTCTACTAAAAATACAAAAATTAGCTGGGCGTGATGACACATGGCTGTAATCCCATCCACTCAGGAGGCTGAGGCAGGAGAATCACTTGAACCCAGGAGGTGGAGGTTGCAGTGAGCCAAGATCACACCACTGTTCTCCAGCCTGGGTGACAGAGCGAGACTCCAGCTCAAAAAAAAAAAAAAAAAAAAAAAATGAGTAAGTTTGTATCAAATGACTTCAAATTTGGCCTTAGTTCTGTCTTTGGTAGAGGATCAGAAGCATCAAATGAGAGGGACTGTAAAGAACTGAACAAGTCAATAGGGGGATGTCCGCATAACTTTCTCCTTGCCTATACAAGTGCCAAGAGTAGCATCCTCTGTAATAGTGATGTTTTCACATACGCCATCTTAAGGATTCTGATCCTGCTGTAACCACTCCTTGCTTTATTAAATACAGGCCTGGCTGGGCAGCAGTGCACACCTTTAGTCTCAGCTACTCGGGAAGCTGAGGAGGGAACATCGCTTGAGCCCAGAAGTTTAGGGCCAGCCTGGGCAACACAGTGAGACCCCCACCTCAAAAAAGCCAAGGAAAGTGAACAGAAAATAGTTTCATTCTACTGCTAAGTTCAAGCCTAATACTTTACAGCTACTGGCTTTGGTCTTATCTATAAAATGGTGACACTGCCACATGCCTGAGTAAAGAGTTAAAGGTGATGAGTGTAAGATGCCTGGGCACTTAATGAATAGTAGCTATTGACGGCTAGGTGGAGGTGACCATGAGTTTACTAGAAATTCATGCCTCAACCATGTGTGCAAACCAAGAAGAAAGGATAGTGTCACAAAGTTCTTAGGATGTCGCTTCACCAGCTGGAAACTTCCATGGCCTGCAGCGCCTCTGCTGGAGTTTTGCTCATGCCTGCTGGGCTCATTCTGCCCACTCTGCCCAGTAGGCTGTGCTCATCTTGTGCTGCTGGCCCAGATCCCACACCTGCCAAGGGTGAGCCAGGCATGGGCTGGTGAGGGGTGCGTGAGCAAGTGAGTGCAGGTTCCAGCCACTGCGCCCAGCCAGGCACACCAGCTGCTGCAGCAGGGTGAGCAGCTACAGGCACCGGCTCTGTGCAAGGCTGCAGCTGGACCAGATGGACCACAACCAGCTTCTGCAGGCACCAGTGTCTGGGCAAGGGAAACGTGGTAAAACCCAAAAGCTCAGAGATGCCAGCAACCTCAGAGTCCCAAAGAGGGTGTTACAGCATGTCACAGCCCTGGCTTGGGGAACCCCAAGGTGTGGGCTCCCAGAAGGGCTCAACTCTTCTCGTTGCCTGCAATGTGGTGACCGGCGGGGCGGGGAGGGGGGTTGGGGGGGGGACATTGTTGGGGGGTTGTTTCAGCCCGTTTGTGTTACAGCTCTTTCAGTCCCACCACCCCACTCCAGCCCATGGCTCCTCAGCTGGCCTGGCTCTGCTGCTGCCTCCTGTCATGTGGGGCAGCTGTCTGGTGCCGGTGAAAGGTGGGAAGGCTATAATGTTATAGCAGCTCTGGCTCAGGGAATCCCAAGGTCTGGGTCCCCAGAAGGGTCACCACTCTTCTCTCCTGCAGTCTGGGAGCGTGTCACCGCCCCAGCTTGGCAAGCCAGCCAGGAACATGTTACAGTTCCTTTTGCTCCCGCTGTTCAGCAGGTCCTGAGTTCTTGTCCTGTGTCCAGGAAGAATGAAGTCACATGGACAACCGTAGGGTGAGCAAGGCAGAGAGGAGCGTTATTGAATGACAGAACAGCACTCAGGAGACCCAAAGTGGTCCTTTCTGCAGGCAGGTTGTCCTGATGAGTGTTGAGTCTGGCTGAGTGTGGGGTTTTTATGTGCTCAGAATGGAGGAAGGGTGGGCCTGGAAAAAACACCATCCGATTAGCCGAAATGCATTAATAGAGTTCTCGCTCTGGGTTGTGGGCTCTACCTAAAACTGGCAGCCTGGCCCCCAGGCTTCAGGCTGTCCCTGGCTTGAGGGTGGGGTTTCAACAGGGACCCACCCCTTCCCTCCTAGGAACCTGCCTCCTGCCACCATCAACATGCCATCCAGAGCACCCAGGCTGTCCACACCAAGCTACCCTCAGCCCCTGGCCACCCTCCCATGCTCACTGGTGCCCATAGTTGGGAGGGGGCCGAGGTAGCAGGAACCTGACATGTCAGCACCACCCTGAGGATGCACACACCTGGCCAGGTTGTGACAGCACCCAAGCTCAGCCACAACTTTGCTCCGAACTGGAGCAGGCACTTCCAGGCCTGCATGGGCAGGGGACTTTCCAGGCCCCCGAGAGCACACAGATGCCTGGATCTGGAGCTGCAGCTGGGTGGCTGCAGCTGCACCCAGGAGCACAAGCTCCTGCCCTGCCAACATGGTAAGGCAGGGTTCCTGCTGGGATCACCTATTGCCGGCCCCTGCCACTTCTGCAGAGCCTGCAACCCCCCAGCCATGCTTCCCTTGCTGCAGCTGGTGTCCTTGCAGCAGCTGCTCAAGGAGGGCCACCACCATCAACAAGTCTGGAGATACCGGTTGGGAAGCTATTAGTATCACTCTAAAAATAGTCATTTCACCCATAGAAATGGATAAGATCATTAAGGGGATCATGTAGAAGATAACAACAGATAGACAATAGCATTTAGGAGCTGGAAGAATTCTAATACTAAAAAATAGTCAAAATGGAAAATAAGAACAGAGAATCAATTCTAGAAACCAAGGAGAAACTTTAAAGCATGCTGGAGAGTGGTAAAGTGAAAGATCACGTCCATTTACAAATATTCAAACAAAACTGTATTTGGCTTTTTCTATATGATAGAAGAACCACAAAATTAATAAAATAAACTACCAACCAACCTCAGTAACATCAAAATTACATGAGAGCTGGCAAGAATTTTAGTTGCCAAATAGCATTTATTTGAGTACAAAATCCTGGCAGGCAAAAGCACTTGCAGACCCGACTCTCTGAGAACTTACAAACAAAAAGTGAAAAGCTCTTAGTTCATTTTGAGTCAGAACAATAAGGAAATTATGAAATCTAAGATGTGCAGGTTTACTTAAAAGTGATAATGGTTTATATTAACTGTGGCCCACACAGGGTCTCTCTAATCTAATGAAAACAGGACAGTCACTGAAAATAAGGACTAATCAATGGCCAAATGTTTCTTCACTATGGGCAAAAATGTGATTTCTTCATCTGGGCTTTAAGAGCTATAAATAAAACACATGGCCGGGTGCATGCCTATAGTCCTAGCTATTTGGGAAGCTAAGGCAGTAGGATTCCTTGACCCCAGGAGTTGGAGGTCAGCCAACTCTAAACAAACACAAACATCATTCTGACAAATGACCTTAATGTAGGATCTCTTTGGACACATCTTCAGCAAGCAGTCATTTAATAAATGCCTTCTGATAGGCAGAATGTAGCTGCTCATGGCTCTTTAAGTATCATATCCAGAATATGAAGGGTTTGGAGAGAAGTTGCATAATGGACTTGCCCCTTTCCTCAATGGGCAGGTAATGTATACAAAAGAACCCATACCCAAATTATAGCATTTTTATTTTCCAATACTATACAAAAAATAGACTGTGCATATCTTAACAGATCCAGATCCAAATTAAATACTTTTTTTCTATTTCAAACTATTCTAAGTTGCTAAGGTGATAATCCAGTTTTGAGCTCTACTCTCTTCCACTGACTACTTGGCTCTCATAAGCATAAGAATTCTTGCCCTATTTCCCACAAACTCCATAAATTGACATTTCTTTTTGTAAGAAGGGGATATTTTCTTCTACACTTGAGTCCTTACATCTGTGAGATTTCATAAGTATCTGAGATTTCACACTCTTGCTATTTTCTTAGTGTCAAACACAAGAGGAACCAGGAACTGTTTCTGGCATTTCTACTAATTACTATGTTTCTCATTCTTTAAATATCTGTGAATTCATAATATTGAATCTGCCACAAAAACCATTTTGAATATTTCTAAATTCATGTTTTTTTCTAAATCCATCCTCACTCTTTTTAATACTTCTTTCAAGGGGCAGAGTACTTTACAGTAGATTACTTTGTTTCTTAGATTAAGTATAGGTAGATGTCTAGAAAAGTGATTCTCCATTATTTTCTTTCACAGCCACCCCCAATACCCACCTTCATCCACTCACCCCACTTGCCACCCCCATTTCTATCACTTTTCCCTTTTTGGGCAGAAAAGAGACTTGAGGGTATTTCACTCATCTAAAGAAATTGCCACTTTACTCCATTTTGCCTTGTTGAAAAGTTAGTAGCAGGGCAGGATGCTCAAGAAACAATGTGATCAAAAGAATATGTTTGAATTTTAAGAAGTAGACTAGTTCATAGAAAAAATAATTTAACACTTGAGTAAGCACAATATTTCTATAGAAAGACAGACTTCTACAGATCCACTCCTCTGAGAAAATGCTTCAACAGCCTGTGCCTTAAAGCCCTTATTTAGAATATGTTAATATGATACCATTAAGCAATAATTTAAGGATGGTTAAAAAAAAATTTTTTTTTTTTAAGCATAGACTCCAGTTGATTCGGTACAACAAGCTGTTTCCAGACCACTGGTCTCATAATAAATATTGAGACCTATACTACTGATAGATGGAATTTATTAAGCTTTTCACATGTGATAGCACATAGTTTTAATTGCATCCAAAGTACTAACAAAAACTCTAGCAATCAAGAATGGCAGCATGTTATTTTATAACAATCAACACCTGTGGCTTTTAAAATTTGGTTTTCATAAGATAATTTATACTGAAGTAAATCTAGCCATGCTTTTAAAAAATGCTTTAGGTCACTCCAAGCTTGGCAGTTAACATTTGGCATAAACAATAATAAAACAATCACAATTTAATAAATAACAAATACAACATTGTAGGCCATAATCATATACAGTATAAGGAAAAGGTGGTAGTGTTGAGTAAGCAGTTATTAGAATAGAATACCTTGGCCTCTATGCAAATATGTCTAGACACTTTGATTCACTCAGCCCTGACATTCAGTTTTCAAAGTAGGAGACAGGTTCTACAGTATCATTTTACAGTTTCCAACACATTGAAAACAAGTAGAAAATGATGAGTTGATTTTTATTAATGCATTACATCCTCAAGAGTTATCACCAACCCCTCAGTATAAAAAATTTTCAAGTTATATTAGTCATATAACTTGGTGTGCTTATTTTAAATAGTGCTAAATGGATTAAGTGAAGACAACAATGGTTCCCCTAATGTGATTGATATTGTCATTTTTACCAGCTTCTAGATCTAAACTTTCAGGCTTTTGAACTGAACATTGATGACAGTGTTCATAGTTCAACCTACTGAACATACAGTGTGCTTGATTCAGAATGTTATTTTGTAGAAATTAAAATTTTAACCTGGTGAAAAATAAGTTGATATAAGTGGTATAATAAACAATACACTGAAATGGTTACTGTCACAAACGGTGCTAAATAATGATATAGGAGGTTCCACTCTCAAGTCACCTAGAAGTTTGATTACATATTGTTACTTACAAAACTATAATAAATTGGATGCACAGCTGTTTACTTCAGTCTGGTGTCTTCAACCAAAATATGTACCTTATACCAAAACAATGCTTATTCCAAAATATTTTTTGTAGCTAGTAGTTCTTTCCTTGGAGGTAAAGAAAATACACCCAAACTTTTAATTACCAGGATTCAGAATATTTAAGAGAACAATTTTAGTTAAGAATCAAATATACAGAGATTCAAAGAGGGGAAAAAAAGGAAATATTATAGAAGACAAAGGTCAAACTGGCATTCCAGATCTGGAGCAATTTTGTAAAGCAGGAAAACAACTATGACAATCTGTAGCTTCTTAGATCATTATAGTGAATGTCCCCATTTACTATAAGTGTTTTTATAATGGTGTTTCCTAAATAAAGGAACATAAATGTACACTAAAGGGTGTTTCCCAAGAATAGAGGTGAAGATATTTTCATTTTGTTTAACCCACAAACTATTTGGTCAAAGGAATATGTAAAGCTAAATAAAAGCACATCTGGTAGAAATTCATGGCAATGCATGTTGACAAGATGTGCTTGGACCTCGCTTGCAGCATCTGGCAGTGGGTAGCAGAACAAAGGTAGGAATCTCACAGGCTCTCCTGTGTCTTTTCTGGAAGAGGCTCCGTGGTGGTGGCACTAGCATTTGCAGCCGAATTCAAGACTTCTCCAAAATCACCACCAGCAGGCTTGGTTCCCCCTACTTTAGACTTAAAAAAAAGTTCAAAAAAGGGAAAGACATTATGAAACATAAAACTAGCTGATTCTGCATAAAGTAACTCTAATTCACTTTCAAGAACAAATACATCAGCAACCTTATAGCTCAGTGATTATTATATATGTATGGAATTTAGTATTGTTGCAATGTTCAGTGTGGTTTTATAGTAAAACTCATGCATTCTCCCTTGCTGAAATATTCAGATTGGTAAATTCTACCCCTTCCCCTTTCCCCCTGCTCCTTGTTCTTCACAGGAAGTCTGTCTAGAAAACTTTGTAAGGTCTATTATTTTAAAGTACCTAGTGAACTGTCTGTCTCTACACTTGCATAACATTTTGTATTGCATCGAATTGCTCATTTAGCTACACTCATTCAAGAAATATTGAATACAACATGGGAAAGAAATATATGTTTTTTTCTCAGTTACAGTATAAGCTTTCTAACCCTTTAATACTTAAAGTGTGGTTCAAGGACCTACAGACTCAACATTACCTGGGAGCTTATTAGAAATGCAGGATCTCAGATATCCTTTCTACCCCACCCAACTCCAGCTACAGAATTGAAATCAACACTTGAACAAAATCCCTGAGTTGTTCATGTGCACATTATAGTTTGTGAAGCACTACTCCAACCTATCTGGCCTGAAATTTTGCCAATAAGCATTTATTTCAATATATCTGCCTTGCATTTGTATAATACTTTTTCAAAACCCTTACACATGTCACTTTATCCTTTTCAATGCTAATCTGTATATGCTCTCTCACTGTTACACTGTCCAACAGGACAGCTAACAGTAAGAAAACAGTCAGTGACCATGGATGCAAGAAGCTTATAGTGGGTTTGAACTTGACCTTGCTCTTAGCTCAATCTTAATTGAGTGGTCACAGACCCCTTATTTTCACTCTCATTCTTTTTGATCTACCATCCAAATTGTTTGGGAAATGCGAATAATGTGTGTTCATTGTTTATTAAATTTATTAAAACACATTCCTTAATTATAGTATCAAATCTCCTTGCAGTTCAACATGTCTAAAACTGAACTCCTTCCCCCGACAACTAGCCCCTTCTCTATTCTTTTTTAACACTTTATATGGCA
The DNA here is from genome assembly GCF_000001405.40 of Homo sapiens. Lineage (NCBI taxonomy): Eukaryota > Metazoa > Chordata > Mammalia > Primates > Hominidae > Homo > Homo sapiens. Next base: position 80,039,340 of record NC_000008.11, read on the forward strand.
ATAGCACCTACCTAGCTGCCCCAGCCTGACACCTGGGGTTGTCCTGGATTCTTATCCAACTTGTTCTACATCCAATCAATCTTTTTTTTTTTCCGTGTCACTTCTCACTTCTAAATAGCTCTAGACTTGGTCCCATTGCACTAACTTAATTCACTCTCCATCATCTTTGGCTTGGAGTACAACTCCGTCCTTCCATCTAATCTGCCTGTCTCCAATCGTTCTCCCCTTTGATGTGCAGGGCAGCCACTGATCTCTCTAACATTTACAGAAGAATGCACCACTTGGGTTGTTTAAAACCCTTCAATGGCTTCCCATTGCCCCAAGTTCAAACTCTGCAATGTGGCCTACACATCTCTCTAGCTTCACCTCCTGCTCAATATCCTACAGCACAGTGAAGTTCTTGGTGGTCCTCAAAAGGGCCCTCAAACTTCAAACATTCCCTTCAACCTAAAATCCTCAATGGACATTACTGAGTCCTCTAAGAGGTCTTCTCTGACCTTCCCTTCCACCAAGCCAGGTGAACTTTCTGCCACTTGTCCTCATCACACCCTCAGCTTTTCACATCAGAACCCTTACCTCACTTTAGTTTCATTGGCCATTTAATTGTCTAGGCATCTTGCAGAAGGGGTCCATGTCTCTCTTGCTCACTGTGGTAACTCTGGTGCCTAATACTGATTGACTGGCACATGGCAAATGCTCAGTAATCACAGATGAATGAATCAACCCAAAATCTAAATGGACCTCATGTTTAATTAAATATAAATGTAATTTAACAAAATTATATCCCCAGCATGTAATTTTACAGCTTCCTTAGGATACTTGGGGTATCTGTTTAATACGCTATCCTTTTTTTTTTTTTTTTTTTTTTTTTTTGAGACAGGGTCTGGCTCTGTCACCCAGGCTGGAGTGCAGTGGCATAATCGCTGCTCACTCTGCCTCCCGGGCTCAAGCGATCTTCCTACCTCAGCCTCCCGAGTAGGTGGGACTACAGGTGTATGCCAACACATCAGCTAATTTTTCTATCGTTTTTGGTAGAGACAGGGTTTTGCCATGTTTCCCAGGCTGGTCTCAAATTCCTGGACTCAAGTGATCTGCCTGCCTTGGCCTCACAAAGTGCTGGAATTACAGGTGTAAGCCACTGCGCCCAGCCAACATATTGTATGTTTTTAAATTACACTTTTTAATCTGAATGGTGCCTAGTCATATTTTAAAGCAGACTTCATTACAATTTATAGAATCTAAATATATTCAGGAGAGTATATAGTGAATGACCTGGAAGTTTCTCCTCATGTCCAATGTCAAAAACACATAAGATTCCTGGTTTTCCAATTTGCCATTTCAAAAATTAACACTTGGGGCAGATTTCAAGGAAAGGCTATAACAGTCCTAACAATATTGAGAACTGAATTTTAGTAATCCTTGACTTCCTGCAACTACAGTTTGCTTTCAAATATATGACTTGGCACTAAGAAAAATAAAGCAGGTCTCTTGAAATGACATAGAAGAATGACTCTTATATATATTGTTACTCATCAGATGCATATTGAGCAATGTGCCAAGAACTGTTCTAAGCCTTTGAGAAGTATCAGTGACCAAAAAGAACAGGTCCCTGCATTTATGGCTCACAAAGCACCCTGCTAGTGAGGGCTGAATGAATAAGCTGTAGGACTGTGTGTGTACAGTGTAACTCCTCTTCTGAAAAAACATTCATATGTCTGCATACAAACAGAAAAGGTATGTACTAACGTTTGTATGTTCAAGAAAAAAAACGATCCAAACATCACACACCAAGGCGCCTGTCAGGGGGTGGGATGGTAGGGGAGGGATAGCATTAGGAGAAATACCTAATGTAGATGACAGGTTGATGGGTGCAGTAAACCACCGTGGCACGTGTATACCTATGTAACAAGCCTGCACATTCTGCACATGTATCCCAGAACTTAAAAGTATAATAAAAAAATAAATTAAAAAAAGATCCAGATCACTGTAGAGTGTTTTATTTCAATAAATGTACCCTGCTTTTAAAGATGCATTTCGTGACTCAAAGTTCTGAAAGACTAAACTGAATATTAGTTTTTAAACTGACTGATATAAAAACATTTAAGATACTAGTTTTAATCCTTAAAATATATCCCCTATAATTATCAGAGTTAGGAAGTAATGAAAATATGGGTTTTATACAAACTCCGTAGAGAGGGTCGAGGAATAGATGGGAACTAGACAACTTTTGAGGTTGCCTGTGATCCTAAGAGTTGATGATTTTATAGCTTTGAATATAATCTCAAAGATAATATAATTTACAAATCAATAAAGCTCATTATTATGGGGAAATGTTCACCTCCACTAAAATCAAAGAAATCAAAAAATAAAAACAGTGAATCATAAACGATCATCATGGCATCATTATAATAAAAAAAATGTCCAACAATTGAGGACTGAACAAATAATATCCATTATAAGGTAATACAGGCCAGGCATGGTGGCTCACACCTGTAATCCCAGCACTTTGGGAGGCCGAGGCGGGCGGATCACGAGGTCAGGAGATGGAGACCATTCTGGCTGACACAGTGAAACCCCATCTCTACTAAAAATACAAAAAATTAGCCGGGTGTGGTGGCACGCGCCTGTAGTCCCAGCTACTCGGGAGGCTGAGGCAGGAGAATCGCTTGAACCCAGGAAGTGGAGGTTGCAGTGAGCCAAGATCACGCCACTGCACTCCAGCCTGGGCAACAGAGTGAGACTCCATCTCAAAAAAAAAAAAAGTAATATACAAGCAGCCATTGCACATAATATTGAAAGAGAATACTTACTGATACAGGAAAATGATTATGATGTATGGCTACTTCTTTTTTAAAGCGTAACAGCATAATAGCACATACATCTATCACTGTCTGAGTGGTAGGACCAATTTTTTGTTTTCTTTCTTGTGCTTCCTATATTCTTGTTAATTGTTGACAAGAAAGTTATATTAAATTTTGTCCACCTACAAAGGTACTTGAAATGAATAAAGCAAAAAGCAGCACAAATTTCTAAAGTGCCATTTCTTTGTAAATTGTACATTTCCTTTCAGCATGTGGCATGCTGCCACACTACAGCATACACTAAAAAGATATTAAGTACATAACACCTTAAATGTCCACTAGTAACATAAGGAGTAAAGTTATTTACATTCTTTAGATATTTTTAGAAAGAAATATTAATGTCAATGATTTTCGCACAGCAAAGTTAATTAAGACACCAGGCAATGTATCAAAAAGACCCTGTTCATCTCTCTACTTGCCTTTAAGTTTTCGACCTTTTCTTCAAATGATTTAAAAGTTGGGGAGTTTCTATGGAGAGAAAAGAAAAACAAATAGTAAATACAAATACTGAAAAAAAATCCAACTAGTTTGAAAATATAATTGATTCCTCTTCAACATTATTCTCAATCGGCAAAAGAACAGATATAATCTGTACCATATATGTGCAGGTACATACAAGTATTTATAATGTAAGATTCTCAATTTCTGATCTAATATTTTAAGAGTATGCATTTGATTCCATGAACAGGGCCAGTCTCAGACATAAGTAATATAGATATGGTCAAGTACGTGTGTAAGGAGAGGTAACGAAGCCGGGTAAAATAGCAATTCTGTCACTTCCCCAACCAACTTGTCATGGTACAAGAAAATGCCACCATTAGATCAGTTTAATTTTGGTTAAGGTACTACGCTCTAAAATCCCTATTTTGATTCACATCTTCCCTGGCAGAATTTCTACATGAACACACATCACCTAAGTGGGACAAGCTTATGAGGTTCAATATCAGGGAGCAGCATAATAGACTGGGAAAGCAGGGACCAAAAAGAAGGGGGAGAAGCATAGAAACGGCTTTGCCTACTTCACAACTCTGTCCCAAAGGATGAGGAGAGCACGCTGAGCCCACAGGACATTCATTCATCCATGTTACATTCACATCTATCCATATTAATTAAGGAGGATCATAGCGCCTTTGTCTCTCACAAAGGCGCTTTGGAAACAGGGTTTCCAATGCTGTTATCCTATCCAACTGACCTTGAATATCCTTCCTACTACCAAGATGAAAAATGCAAAGAAAGGAAAAGGGGTTTCTTCCTTCCCACGGTGGTGATGGCAGAACAGTTAAGCCAACAGCTCTCAAAGTGTGGGCCCCAGACCAGCTGCTGCTGCAGCTATCAGGAAGTCATAAGCAATGCCAATTTTCAGGTCCCACCCCAACTCTACAGGATCAGAGGCTCTAGAGGTGGGGCCCAGCAAGCAGCGGTTTCACAAGCACTCCAAGTGATTTTGATGGACACTTAAGTTTAAGCCAAGCACAGATTGTTAAAAATCCTCTAACTCTCTAGAGAGGTTAGGTGAGGTAATATCACTTGCAAGTGCTAATGAAAGCAGATAGTAGAATTAAATCATAGTTGGCTCCAAATGTCACAGTGGGATGGGGGAAGTGAAAATGGGAAGGATGAAGAAAAGGAGAATGTAACTAAAGCGAATGCAGACAGAGGTGGCGGGACAAAAGAAGGTTTGTTAACAAGTAGTGCTCACTTTGTGAACAGATTTCAGACAGGAAACAAAGGTTTTACAAAATAAAATAGAAATAATTTTTTTAAAAACAAAATCAAAACATTTAACGGATCTCTTGCACCCATCCCAACATCAGAGGAAGTGTAGCTGAAAACTGATAGAGTGTTAAACACACAGCTTGTTTCAAGGGGAATTCTAGTTCCCTAATTCAGAACAGTTCAAGTTAAACATCTAAATAAAGAAAAATAAAGCATAAGACCAACTACATTTCATAAAAATATACTTTACCTCATAGCAGGCATGCTAATTGAATGCTGAATGGAACGTATACTAAGAGGCAGCATTAAAAAGAGATAGAAATAAGGTTAGTATAGTGGTGCTTCAACATTATTAAAAGCTGACAAAACTTAGCTCCCCAGGAGCTTTATTCTCTTGGCGCCATGAAGAATTACCTACTTTTTGAGGTGGAGGGGATCAAAGTTATTCCAACATAATTTACTTTTATTCAGGAGCCAATTAATTCCCAGGAGTTACTAGAGCTAACAATACCACCTTGCATTTTTACAGCACTTTGAAAACTAAAGTGCTTTCACCCGGAGCTGTAAGGCATATAGGTGTTAAATGAGTTACCGTAGGTCACAGCAGAATCAAGAATAGAACTTGGGTCTAATTCAGTGTTTATCGCCTCCCCTCAAAAATGAAGCATGCACACACACACATACACACATACACACACAAGCAAGGCCAGGGAAGGGCTCTTAGTAAGACAAGGAGGCAACTGCCCACTCAAGGACAATGCAGTTCACTGACCACTCAGGTTCAAGGTTACCTACTCTTAGCCATCTCCCATAAAGACCACCTCATGAGATGAGAGTGCCTTCATTCCTAGGCTCGTAAAATGATTGTATTCTGCTAATATTGTTACTATGCTTATAATAGTTTGACCACTGGCACGACTTTGGTAAATAAACTTTCCTTTGGGTAAAGTGTATAGGTTCAAGGTATTAATTCTCAGTTATATTTAAATATTTTGTGCGCTTATGATTTCCTTTTCTTAAAGACTCATTTGGTACAAATGATAACGTGTCTTCAATGTAGGTCCTCAAATCTAATTTTGCATTAATATCTGATAACATGGAGAATGATTGTGATATATGTCAAATATGCTGGCAATCTGTGTAATCAGGATTATCAATGAAATATTTAAACACCTCTGTACTTGATGTCTTACATAACAGGAAAAGATGCATGTAACTCAGTATTCTCTCTATCCTACAATGGTGGTCAATACCTAGGGTATAAGAGTATAATAATCTATTCTGGGAGGAATTTGATAATTCTTTTCCTACTTTGGATCTATCAAAGTGTGCTGGTCCCAATCTCTAAATTTACAACACCAGAACTCTAAGTATCACCTGTTCTTCCTCAGACCCTTCTGCTGAAGCTGCCTGGAATAGTCACATTGCCACAAACCACCTTCTACCATAACTGATATGATAGGTGGATCAGTGGAGCACCACCCACCACTGCTAACCTCCCAGTGGCCTACAAATTGTTTGGAATGTATGAAAAATGAAGGAGTGAAGACAATTAAGACTCTTATCCTAGCATATTGTAATTAGGACACTAAGCTGCTGGACACTTAGATGTTGAAGAGGATCTGGTGGGACCAGGTGAAAGCTGACAGAACACAGAGGAAACCAGTTCCCAAAGAAAGAATCGAATATAAGCACACAGAGAGGTAGAGCAGATGAGGTCAGGAGAGGTGATCATGCAGGGAATCCAGCAGGATGGAAGAGGAATAGGTTTCTTGGTTTCAATAATAGAAGCTACTTCAATTTCCCAGTTGATGGAGCTGGTTTGGGTGGAGCCTGGCCTTGCTTTCTTTTCTCTCCTTGAATTACAAAAAAACTTTGTATTTGTGCAACACATTCTTCTTTTTAGGTGAGCTAAAAGTTACATAGCTTTCTGTTCCTAATAATCAAAACTCTTCATTAGGACATTCATTTTGGCAGAAATCGCTGAAAAAGAAGGTAATGGCCAAATATGTGATAAATTCCTTGTCCCGGGGACCCACACATTGAATTTGGTAGTATCAACAAAATGTGGAAACAGGTGGATAAGTAAGTGCAAATTTCAGAATTTCACAGCTAATTCTAGTCACTGTCCCTAAGAACCCATGTACAATATCACTTCCTCCAGCAGTGGATCGGTTGGGCTCTATACCACTTTACCTAGCATGTACCTACTAAATATGTTTCAGTGGTAATATATAAGGAAAGGCAAGGAAGTGACTAGACTGTTTATTTTGTGAAAAAAATCACTGAAATGAATTTGGTGTTGAGCACTTTTCTGTATGCATTATATCACACTTGAAGATAAATATACCCATTAAACAGAATAAAATCAGTTAACAGAGTCAAAGTCAAGGTCTCTCTGCTTTTATGGTAGCTATTTTATAGTAGGAAGAAAAGGAGCACACATCAGCTTCAATTCTATCTGGTTGCTGGATCCTCCCCATAATCCATAGTTAGATGAAATTCAATTTTGTTGGTAACTAGTTGTAATCTAACTATAGGGTGGCTGTTCTTTCATTTCTGGCTTCTCTATGGCAAGTTACACAAAGCTTCAACTTGCTCATCATTTTCAGTTTCATTCAAGCTTAAATGTAATATGGAAACCTTCAAAAGTAAAAAGTCATGTTGCTACGGGACCAGAATCATCTCTAATAGATAGGTTGTAAGAATCGGTTACCATCTATAAGGCACATTTTGTTAAAAATGTTGCATCTTATTTGTAACCCCCAAATACATTAATCTGTAATCAAACTAGGAATGCAAACATGGGCTCCTCAAAACACTGAAAAAAAAAATCAGGATAATCTGATTCTCACTAAGTACTTTTCAATCTCACACTGCATTTACTCTTACTTTGAAAAAGTCATTTTTTTAAAACAGCTGAATTGATTTTTAAAAAATATTCCTTGTTTCTAACAGTTATCTGATGCTTTCATGCTCAATAATAATAAGAGAGGAGGGGGTAGAGGGAGGATAAGGAAGGAAGTAGCAGCAGCGGGAGGAGGAGAAGGGAAAGTTAATGGCTAACATGTTGGACTGCTTACTATATACCACGTATGCTTTTCACAGCTATTGATGTACTATTATTCCACTTTGCCCTCACACAATCTTTTGATGTTGGTGATCACAGCAGCTATTGTTCAAAGTGCTGGACAGTGCCTAGAGGGGCACTGTCTTAAACCACCACTGCTCTGGGGAGGCCCAGGAGGACAGTGCAGGCTCCAGGACTAGGTGTGCTCGGTTCCAGTCCTGACCATCAGCCACTTATACCTGCTGTGCAACCTTGGGGAAGTCACTTAATCTCTCTATGGCTCAGTTTCCTCATCTGTAATATCAAAAACAATAGCATCTGCTTCTGAGGTACTATTGTCTCGCTGGGCTTATAAATGTTAATTATTATTATAACACATGCTTTAATTGAAACATGAATTAGCATCTACTGTATATTATACTTTCACATATGCATAGAAAATATGCAAACAGGAGGGGAAATATAAGCATATCACGTTGAAGCTTTCAAATTTCACATTGAAGCTTTCAAATTTCAGCATTATTTTGGTTTTTAGCTCCACCCCTATAGTCTACAGCAATGCCTGGCACATAGTTAGCACTCAATAAATACTTTTGAGTGAAAGAATGAATGAATAAATGAATAAACAATTTTGATAACTAAAATTGGGAATATGGGCATGAAACAGAGAAAAGTTCATTAAAGTGTTTCAAATTCTAATCAAAAGATATTCTTTTTCTGACACGAGGAAAGAGATCATTTCTTTTCCCATTAAGTGGTGGAAGTTTTCAGCAAAAGGGAATTGTCTAGCAGGACTTTAATGAGCCCAAACCAAATAAATATCTACAGGGGCACATGAAGAAACACACATTTAAAAAGGAGAAATTTTCTTTGGAAATAAAGGCAAAATTAATTAGCACTTCCTCTTAAATATACCAAAAATATGAGACAAATGTGTCTACTGAATATTATAGTATGCTTTTAATAACACTAAAATTTTATGTTTAACCCTGGCACTGACTGCAATGAGAAGGTTCTTTTAAAGTTTCCCTCAAAATGCTAAAGGCATGAGTCAATACTTTCACATAGGCATAGAACATATGCAAACAGAGGGGAAATATAAGCATATCACCTGAGGGAAAAGCAGGCTGCCCCAGAGGGCCTCCCAGGACAGCACTCATGACCACGTCCTCCTTGGCCTTGCTACCACCACACCTCATTCTCAGGACATCAAGAGCAGCTCTCTCTCTCTCTTCTCTATTTCCTTATACATCTCCCTCCCCTCAATCAAGGCATAAGGCAAATATCTAAATCCCAAGTGCTGATTTATCAACTGACTATGTAAAATAAAAACTGTTGCTGAGTCTAACACATTCAGGTTGGCAAAACTGCTGCATTTTCTCCTTCTATATCCATAATTACATTAAGGAGTAAAATCACCGGCATAAGTTTGCCAGGTAAAATGGACCTAGAACAAACAGTGAGTGGGATTAAGGACTAACCACCTACTTCATAGCACTTAGCAAAAGGAGCCTACTGTATCCACCTCCATGGGAGAAAAGGACTTATTGCTGGAATTGTAACACTCAAATCTACAGCCTAAGCTCCCTTTCCTTGGGTAGTTCTTGAGGGAACGTGGCCAATATTTGCCTCTGTGACTCACATAATCTAAAAGATGTAGGTTTTCTTTATATGTGTCAACACATTAAATCAGAACACAATCAGGACTTCTTGGCCTTGAAATTATTTTTTTAAATGCCTTTACCTAACCTGTGATTTGCAAGAATTACAAAGTTTAACTTTCAAAAGATAATCTCATTTCTTTCATTTCCAAATTTTAATCAAAAACCTTACTTTAACCCCTACATACTGATGGGCAATTAAATATTCATAAAAACTTAATATTTATTAAAAACAAGACTGAAAATGGTACAGCATAATCTTAATTATATTTTTTAAACAAAATGGACAAAGTGACTGTGAAAGGAGCTAGAAAACAGTTGCAAAACATAATTTGTTGCTGATGAATTAATAAGACAGCACACACTGAGCCATATCTAGGTATGGCTTTAAGGTATAGAAAGGTATTCTTTAAAGGTATAGAAAAGTCTAGTGATATGTACTGAAGAAACATCATCCTCAATAGCCCTTACTTTTATATCTTACACTGATGTTTGCATCACATCGAACATTTTATAACCAGTACTGATAAGGCTCTTCCATTCTTAACTTATCCCAAGTCCCCACTCTTCCCCTACTCCACTCTAAGATTTTAAGCTTCATTCTAATAAAAGCCATGCGTTCTTTATGGTTATGCCCATGGAACCTGTCCACAGTAGACACTCTAAATGTTAGCAGAATGGGTGATGTGACTGGCTCTGTATTCAGTTACTTATAGCACTTTTTAACTGAATGCCAACGATACACAATCACCTATCATTGGTTACTTGATTTTTTAAGCATAATTTTAGCTTTAAATAGTTCAACATTTAGAGTTTATATATCCCTATAATTTACTCTGACTTCCAGGGGTAAGTGTCACCAAGATAGGAGCTTTAAGTACCTGTTTGCTTACTTAAAAAGGCAAGCAGCTAGACTACCATGAGTGATTGCTTAAGAAAATAATCTGCATCCATAGGAACAGAGATGAAGACTACTATATCATCCTTCCTGCTTATACTCTAAAGACTTTCCTCCACCTTAGTTTCCTCCAACAACTAATCAGATAATCAAAGAGTCTGCCTGGGAAAGAGAAAGGTTTCCTCAACATCACAAAGTCTCTTTCTATAAGGCATGGTTTGAGCTAACATCTTTTTAATGTGCTTTTTTTAGCTTAATATTCTTTTCCCTTTTTCAAACCATGAAGTTGCCTTGTGTACATAAAGAATATAACAAGTGTAAAGAAAGAATAAAATCATAAAAACTATAAGCTAGTAAAACAAGTATTAAAAAGTGCAGAGTAGTGGCAGATTTTACCTTATGTATATTTTACCACAACAACAAAAAAAAAGGTAGAGTAACCAATAGAAGATGGAAGACTAACATCAGGAGGCAGTACATATGCAGTCTGTTACAATTGTGTAATGAAACCCAGGTGAAGAATTCCAACATCCTTACAAAAGTACCAAAGAAACAAAAGCATCAAAACAAACAAAGTCAGACATTAAAAGGGAGGAATTTTGCATGCCATGGTAAAGCTGCTTCTTTTTACCAAAGAAAAAAGTAAAAAAGAAATGTCAAAATCATTTCCATATCCCTTGAACCACAGTGTCAAATACTTCTTTTAATTTATCAACTACCCATGGTATACAAGAAACCCTCCCTTGAAATTAGGAATGCACTAGAGAAAAAGATACTCTAAACGCAAGAAAATTATGTACTGGACAAACACGATCATCCAACGTAGCATGGTAATCTAATCTCAGCACACTTTTCTTATACAACTGCTGGACTGCAGTGATGGTTCAAACTCTCCTTACCTAAAGGAATGTGAAAAGGCTTGCAATCTGTAAGAAGCCAGAGTAAGCATTAAAAAAGAAAGAAGTTCTGATAAATCTAAAACAATTAAATAACCTAAGTTTTAAACATATAATGTTTTCCCTGGGCTCTAAACTGCTACACAATTCAGTCAGCATAGAGAAAATGAACACCTAATAGATACATACATAATTGTCAAAAGAGTTCAAGAAAGCTATATTTATTACATTATGCTTAGACAATGACAGTCTAAATATAATGAGCGAGGAATTTGTTCTTTTGGTGTAAAGTATAACACATAAATTGACCAAATCTATTCAACCAAGAAATTCTGGTTGTAAGATATACACTTTCCCCACAAATGCAAAACACGAAGCCATGCAATCTGAGCATTTTTTTTTAAACACAAATCTTGCATGCCAACAGAAGCACAGCTGACTTAAACCACATTTGTCATTTTCATCACTATCCTAATCCACATGAGTGAAGGGGGGGCACAAAAGCACTGTGAAGTGGTTTTATAAAAATGGCAAGGAAAACTCTGCAGACTAATCTAAATGAAAAAAAAAAAAAGCAACAACTCAAAATCAAGATTTTGGCCTAAGCATGAACATAGTTACAGCTTACCAGTTAGAATAAAACAGTGCACAAATGAGCATGTTGTAATCACACCATGATATAAAATGTCACATATAGAACGTGAAGCCAAATCTGAATCGAAGCGTGCACTTCAGTGCTCCTGTAGTCATCCTTAGTAACACACCAGGCTCTGCCCACAATCACAAATTTGCAACCAAAGACATACTTACCCTGCATGATCATGAAGAACTAAAAAGACAAAGAAGTTCACAACCAGAATTTTTCAACAACCTTAAATGATCATCAGATGATCATTTGATGTTAGAATGCTAGGCCTAGAAGACCTTAGATGAGCCTTCCAGGTACTGGTTTGAAGGAGTGCCCTCCCTCACTCTAACAGGAGTAGCTAGCATCAACTAGAGCCAAGGTCAGGAAACAGATGCAACAACAATAACATTTTAATTTGCGTCAGCTACTTAATGAGCAAGGAAAAATGAGGACATACTTTACATCTTCCAGCTTTTTGGTGATGACTGAGCCAACAGACGAAAAAGCAGCTGAGGCCTTCTGTCCAGCCTGGGATAAGGTTTCAGATGTCTTCTTGTAACTATATTAAATTATAAACACACAGAGCAAAAGAAGGGTCAGCTCATCTTTTCTAATATCAATTGTTTCAAGTGCAGTGGTCACCACCTGCTGGAGAACTCTCAAAAAGAGAAAACATTTTTCAGAACTTCTAAAATCCTTCATAACCAGCAGAGCGGCATCACCACATCTTCGTATGCTCAACCCTAAGCTCAGGCACAATCTTCTGCAGTGCCCTAGTCCAGCCAGAAAGACAGAGTCCTATAAAGGCAGGGCCAAAGAAGTCAAGGTAAGGGCTAAAAATAATCATCAAACCAAGATGAAAATAAGCAAAGGCCTGAAAGAACTCATACCTATTGTTCTTTTCTCACATAATCCAAACAAAACAAAAATGAAATCAAATTCCTCAGATGCCTTTGTCAACTTGATTTCCTAAAAAAGGGCCAGAAGCAATTAGTAGCTGGCGTAAGTAGGACCCATTTGTATTTTATTATCCAAATACATTTTATGGGCATACTTTCTAAAAATTTTTGCATGTCTTTAGAGAGCTACCAAATACGGACATGATGGACTTTCAACAAAGTATGTAAAATATGCAATGCTTAAAATTATTCTAGTGTGGTATCTGCTATCACGCAAAGCTATAATTTACCACCTCCTTCCCAGCTACCTGGAGATTAGAGAAGAGAAAAGCAAAAACAAAAAAATGATGACAACAACAACAACAAAAAACAAAATAATATCGTACCTACCAAAACAATTCCCACATTATGGGAAAGAATGCTCAGGCATTTTTACTTACCCTGTCAAGATCAAATACCAATAAAAAAACATGGTTCATGGTAATACTGTTGAAAAAATAGTTTCCTGTATGTTTTCCCACTGCCAACTTAGATGGGTAGAAAATGGACCAAAAGACTGGGGACTCAAGTACTGTCATGTTAAATGCAGTTGGCCTCACTTCTGATAGTTAAATTGTAAAACAACTTCTGTGCTCACCAGCTCTGCAGATGGCTCTCAATACAGAAGACAGAGCAGTTCGGTTTCTGCTGCTAGAAGCTTGCTCCTCCTTGTGCCGGGAAACAAAACTGCATTATGATAATGCTATATCATAGCATGTGTGGTCAAAAAGACAAAAAGCCTAAGGGATTGACCTCTGCCAAGAGCATATATCTGAGACTACGACCTGAGAATCTTTTGATACCTACACAACAAGGTTAAAAAAATACATTAATAATAATAATAAAGACTGGCTCCAGACCTGAGTTTGAATTCCCACTCCACATTTTGAGAGGTTTGTGACATGAAAACTTAATTTGTCTGAGCCTGTTTCCTTATCCAGGGTTATCTTGCCACCCATTCTTACTGGGTTATTCTGAGTACTAAAGGACAAAATGTACATATTTGTGGCAAGTCAATACATAACACTTATGGGATTTGAATTTTATTTCTCCAACTGGCTAGCTTTCTTTCTATTCCTTAGAATAAGTGGTCTGGAAAAATTGAAGTTACAAAAAAAGGCAGGCACACTTGAAAATCAGAAAAAAAGGGTGCCGTGTCGTCCAAAGAAAAGCTGCTGAAGCATCCTTATCCTCTTTTTCTTCCCCTCTCCAGACAAAAGGCACAACAGTGTCCTTTACACTCCCAAGGAAAGTGTATGATCAAGGAAACATACGCAGATGTTGCTGTCACGTCTTGCCACCCTTTGGCAATGTTCTGTTTTAGTTCCTGTAGAGAATTGATTCCAAGTTTCCGCTTGATCTCTGCTAGATGCTTCTCTTTTGCTGCTAACACTTGAGACAGAGTCTGGATTTCTTCTTCTACCTATGAGGAAGGGGTTTGGGGTAAGAATATAGCAAAAGTCATTCAGTAAGTTAAGATTATTACCACAGAACTACATCCAAAATTCCAGTCATTAAACATTTTTTTGAATCATTTATCTTTCTCTCTAAAAACAATGTATAATGTTGTTGAGTAAACTGGTTACTTGCTGATCTCTCCTGTAGAGTTCTCTTTCCTCCTCCATGGGAGCTCTTTATAATCCCATCTTAAGCTGTTTTTGGCCTTCTCCTCTCTCCCTATACTTCCTTACTCAGCTATCTCATGTAGGTTTAGGACTCAAATTTCTACACAGATAATACTTAATAAAGCACTCTAACATCCACTCTCCCGACCTGTGGGTCTGCCTTCCCAGCCTAGACATTTCTATCTGAATGCCTACAAAACTTGTATTTGTATACTAAATCAAAATAATCTCCATCCCCTACCAAAACACACACAACCAAGCCAAACCCAAATCCAATCTCCTTGCATATTTGATATGAGTATATATACTGGATACATATACTCAGTCCCTGTGTCTGGCAAAGTCATGGCCATAATAAATCAAACCGCCTCCTCAGGAGATCCCTGCTCTCAAGGGTTTCATGTGAACCCCTTGATGCTGACTGCCCAGACTTGACTAGGTGGTTAGAGGTGGGCCCTGACCCATGGACAGCCACCCATCAAGAGCCAGTGGATGAGCCCAGTGTGAAAAGAGGTGCTCAACTATTCGTCTCTCTCACTCAGGAATCTAGTTTGAGAAGTGAGATGACATTGCAAGTAGAAGCTGAAAAAACTTGAAGAAGCCTTGAGGTATAGGTAGGCTACAGTGAGATTATGAGAGGTATGGAAAGCTTAAATATGCTTGAGGAATCTAAAACTGTAAGCAGAAGCTATGAAGAAAAGGAAAAAATGGACAGAGTAGAACAAAAGGCTAATCCAGGAAAACAGGGAAAATGGTAGACTCTCTATTTCAGAAACAGGGAAAAGGGTGGACTGCCTATTTCAGAGAGAAATAGACACCATGTGGAAGAGACTTTAGGTCCCAGGAAATTGAAAATCTAGGTCCCTAAAGTATATCCATTAACATTCAAGACCCTCAGAGAAATGCGTCTCCTGGCTTGTTGCAAAGCCATATTTTCAGCCCCAACCTGCACGGTATTTCTATGATTTCAAAGACAACATGCCCTTTAAAAATAACATAGAGTATTGCTCAGTCAAATGTTTTCACAGATGTTTAAGTCTTTAGAGAACACAAAACAAAGAAAATTAGTGCAACGGAGAAAAGGATAAATCAAATGTGATGCAGCTGCCAAGAAAAAAAAAAAAAGAAGAAAAAGAACCTACAACACCACTCTCAGATAAGATTAACTGGAACAGAGGTCCCTCAGAACAAATAAATAATCCCCTGTGCTTGTCAGAGTCACAAGTACTGGACCCAGTTTTGTAAGTCACATTTTAAGATGTACATTGACGAAGTGGAATACGAGAAGAAAAGGACAAAAAAAGAGGAAAGAATAAGGTTCAAAATTAAGTAAATTAAATGATTTGCCCAAAGTCATCAAACAAATAATGTAGGAACCAGAATTCCTATCTAGGTTTTCTGAATGCACGTCTCAGTTTACTGGCTGAATTCTCATGTACACTCTCTTAAGCTTCCCACTTCCTCTGTCTCTACTTCAGGCTCCAAAGCTTCAGACACTTCTAAGAATAGACTTAAATGGTAAGTTTCCCACCCCTTAGCACTTCTCTGAGGTACTCACTTCCTCTAATGAAAGCTGCAAAGACAAACCACTCTAAATCTTTCTGAACAATGCACAACACAGTATATTCCCCACCTTTGTTGGTTAGCTTGTGCTGCTAACACACCTAGCCCAGCACATCATGGCTGCGATTCCTTAATTCAATATATACATGTAAAACAGAGTGACTTTAAAAGCATAAAGAGCATGATTAAGAATCTCTGATGTGTCTATCACTATATACAAAGATCAACTCAAAATGGACTAAGGACCCAAAACCATAAAACTACTAGAAGAAAACATAGGAGAAACACTTCAGGGCATTGGTCTAGACAAAGATTTTATGGCTAAGACCTCAGAAACACAGGCAACAAAAACAAAAATAGACAAATGGGACTAAATTCAAGGAAATCATCAACAGAGTGAAGAGATAACCTGTAGAATGGGAGAGAACATTTGCAAACTATTCATCTGACAAGGGACTAATATCCAAAATATACAAGGAACTCAATTCAACAACAAAACAAACAAGCAATCCCATTTAAAAAGTGGGCAAAGGATCTAAATAGACATTTCTCAGAAGAGACATATAAATGGCCAACAAATATATTAAAAATGCTCAACATCACTAATCATCAGGGAAATGCAAATCAAAATCAAAATGAGGTATCACCTCACACCTGTTATTATGCCTGTTATCAAAAAACCAAAAAATAACAGATGCTGGCAAGGATCCAGAGAAGATGAAACTCTTATACACTGTTGCTGGGAATATAAATTAGTACAGCCACTATGAAAAACAGTATGGAGGTTTCTCAGAAAAACTTAAAATAGAAATACCACATAATCCAGCAATCCCACTACTGGGTTACTTATCCAAAGGAAAGGAAATCAGTGTATCAAAGGGTACCTACACCCCCACGTTTATTGCAGCACTATTTACAATACCCAAGTGTCCATCAACAGGTGAATGGATAAAGAAAATGTGGTATACACAATGGAATACAATTCTGCCATAAAAAAGAATGAAATCCTGTAATTTGCAGCAACATGGATGAGCCTAGAGAACAATACGTTAAGCAGAATAAATCAGGCACAGAAAGATAAATACTGCATGTTCTTACTCACATGTGGACGCCAAGAAAAAACTCTGAACCCATCTAAGTAGAGAGTAAAATTGTGGGTGTTAGAGGTTGGGAAAGGGAGGATGCCTACAGGTTGTGCTTCAAACGACACTGTCATGAAAGTAAAAGACAACCAACAGAATGGGGAAAATATTGGCAAATTACATACCTAATAAGAGTCTAGTATCTAGAACATATAAAGAAACTTACAACTCAATAAAAAGACAATCCAATTAGAAAATGGGCAAAGGACTTAAATAGACATTTCTCCCAAGATATACAAATGACCAATAAGCACATGAAAAGATGCTTAACACCATTCATTAGTAATTTGAGAAATGCAAATCAAAACCACAAGGAGATACCACTTCATACCCATTAGGATGGTTACAATTAAAAAAAACAGAGATTAATAAGTGTTGGCAAGGATGTGGAGAAATTGGAACCCTCAGACACAGCTGGTGAGAATGTAAAATGAAGTTGGGCAGCAAAGCAGTTTGACAGCTCCTCAAAAAGTTAAACATAGAGCTACCATATGACCCAGCAACTCCACTCCTAGGTATATATAACAAAGAGAATTGAAAACACATCCAGGCTGGGTGCAATGGCTCACGGCTGTAATCCCAGCACTTTGGGAGGCCAAGGTGGACAGATCACTTGAGGTCAGGGGTTTGAGACCAGCCTGGCTAACATGGTGAAACCCCATACTACTAAAACACAAAAATTAGCCAGGCATGGTGGTGGTGTGCCTATAATCCCAGCTACTCAGGAGGCTGAGGCAGGAGAATCACTTCAACCTAGGAGGCAGAGGTTGCAGTGAGCTGAGATCATGCTACTACACTCCAGCCTGGGCAACAGAGCAAGACTCTTCTCAAAAAACAAACAAGCAACAATAAAAAGAAAACACACATCCATACAAAAAGCTGTACACAATTGCTTACAGCGGCATTATTCATAACAGTCCTAAAGTTCAGCCACTGTGGAACACAATTTGGATACTTCTCAAAGAACTTAATACAGAGCTACCATTCAATGGCAGCAATCCCATTACTGGGTATAGAAATTGTTCTACCAAAAAAACACCTGCACTCATATGTTTATTGCATCACTATTCACAATAGCAAAGACATGAAACCAACCCCGGTGCCCACTGTCCAATGTGGTACATATACATCATGGAATACTATGCAGCCCCTAAAAAGTACAAAATCATGTCCTTTGCTGCAACATGGATACAGCTGGAGGCCATCTTCCTAATCAAATTAACACAAAAATGGAAAACCAAATACCACATGTTCTGACTTATAAGTGGGAGCTAAACATTGGGTATACACAGACACAAAGATGGGAACACTAAACACTGGGGATTCCAGAAGTGGAGAGGGAGAGTTGGGGGAAAGAGCTGAAAAACCATGTTCACTACTTGGGCAACAGGATCATTAGAAGCCCAAACCTCAACATCATGAGGCATTACCATGTAACAAACCCGCACATGTACCCCCTGAATCTAAAATTTTTTAAATAAAAAATTTAAGTTTAAAAATGTTTTAAAAGGGACTATAAAGAAAATGAAAAGGAAAATCCACAGAATGGGAGAAAATATTTACAAATCATATAGCTGGTAACTTCATTTGTTAAATAAAGACTATGTTTCCTCTTCCATCAATCATAATAGCACCTGCCCCGTAAGACTGTTGTAATAATTAATGAAATAATGCATGTAAAGAGCTCAGTTTAACGCCTCCCACACAGCATGTAGTCTATAGACATTAGGTGCTATTACTATTATTTTTATTTTGTTGATAATAAAACAATACTGAGAACTGTCAAGGATTTGAAAAAAAATGCTCTTTCAAAACACTGTAAGAAATATGCTGGATAGCATTTTGGCCATGTTGCTATATACTCTTAAAAACCATTAGACCCAGGCATAATGCTACTTCCAGGACTTTATCCTAAAGCGCTAATTAAAGAAGTGCATAAAAACTTACATGAAGGTATTTTCATCAAACTATTATTCATAATAGCAAAAAATGGAAACAATCCAAATGTTTATAAATAATATAAATTAAAAATGAGCTTGCGGAAATTCAAAATGGACTACGCAGCAATTTAAAATGAGGTTGCACAAGAGTATATTGGCATAAAAATGTTTTTGAAAATCAGTTAAGTGGGAAAAGGTTATCTGTATTCTAATGCCCTCTACAAATATAAAAATATATGGCTGGGCATGGTGGCCCATGCCTGTAATCCCAGGACTTTGGGAGGCCAAGGCAGGTGGATCACCTGAGTTCAGGAGTTCAAGACCAGCCTGGCCTACATGACAAAACCCCATCTCTGCTAAAAATACAGAAATTAGCTGGGCATGGTGGCACACGCCTGTAGTCCCAGCTACTCAGGAGGCTGAGGCAGGAGAATCGCTTGAACCTGGGAGGCAGAGGTTGCAGTGAGTCAAGATTATGCCACCACACTCCAGCCTGGGCAACAACAGAGTGAAACTCTGTCTCAAAAAACAAAACAAAACAAAAAAACAACCACACAAATGGTTTATCACCCATCTGCCTTACCCATTCTATCCCCACCTTGTTTATAAAACTTTGGGCGAAAAAATGAGTAGTACAAACAGACAGAAGATCATAGAGACGACTTGAACAATACCATACATCAACTGGACCTAACACATATATGTACAGAACAGCTCACCCCAAATTAGTAGAAATACACTGTTCTCAAATGCACATGAAACATTCTCCAGGACAGAGTATACGTTAGGCAACAAAACAAGTCTCAATAAACTTAAAGTCATACAAAGCACCTTTTCCAACCACCACCATGAAACTGGAAATCAAAAACAAGAGGAAAACCAGAAAATTCACAACTATGTAATAATCAAACCACACACTTTTAAACAACCAATGGGCCAAAAAAGAAGTCACAAAGGAAATTAGAAAACACCTTGAAATGAAGGAAAACAAAAACAGTGTATTAAAACTTTTGGGATGCAGTTGAAGAACTGTCAGTAAGAAATGTATAGTTATAAATGCCTACATTAAAAAAAATCTCAATAACCTAACTCTACACCTTAAGGAATTAGAGAAAAATTTAAAAAATAGAAAACTACACCCAAAGCTAAGAGAAGGAAGGGAATAAGGAAGAGATTAGATATTAGAGTAAAGATAAAATGGACAAGAGGAAACAATAGAGAGAATGAATAAAAGCAATAATTCATTCTTTAAAAAGATCAACAGTGCATTAAGGGTTAAAAAAAAGAAAAAGACAGCCAGGCGCAGTGGCTCACGCCTGTAATCCCAGCACTTTGGGAGGCCAAGGCGGGCAGATCACCTGAGGTGAGGAGTTGGAGACCAGTCATGCCAACACACTGAAACCCCGTCTCTACCAAAAATACAAAAATTAGCTGGGAGTGGTGGCACGTGCCTGTAATCCCAGCTATTCAGGAGGCTGAGGCAGGAGAATCGCTTGAACCTGGGAGGCAGAGGTTGCAGTGAGACGAGATCGCACCATTGCACTCCAGCCTGGGCAACGGAGTGAGGCTCCATCTCAAAACAAACAAAAAAAAAGAAGTTCAAGACCAGCCTGGCCAACATGGTGAAACCTCGTCTCTACTAAAAATACAAAAATTAGTCAGGCGTGGTGGTGCACGCCTGTAGTCCCAGCTACCAGGGAGGCTGAGGTACAAGAATTGCTTGAACCCTGGAGGCAGAGGCTGCAGTGTGCCAAGACTGCTGCCACTGCACTCCAGCCACCTGGGTGACAGAGCAAGACTCCATCTCAAAAAAAAAAAAGAAAAGAAAAAGATGAGTGAAATTGACAAACCTATAGCTAGACTGACCGAAAAAAAAAAAAGAGAGAGAAGGCATAAATAACTAAAATCAAATGAAAGTGGGGACATTAACTAACCTTATAGAAACAGAAAGGATTATAAAAGAATATTATGAGCAATTGTACACCAACATACTAGATAGTCTAGAGTAAATGGACAAATGCATAGAAATATACAAATGACTAAACTGACCCAACAAAATAGAAGAAATCTGAACAAGTAAAGAGATTGAACAAGTATCAAAAATCTCCCAAAGAAAAGTGTAAAAGTAGATAGCTTCAATGGTTAATTCTACCAAACATTTAAAGAATGGACAAACCTTTTCAAACTCTTCTAAAAAACCAGAAGATGGTAGAACACTTTCCAACTCATCTAAGAAGCCAGCATTACCCTATTTACCAAAGCCAGAGAATGATATCACAAGAAAACAGCAGCCCATATCTCCTATGAATATCCAGCAGCATATTAAAAGGATTATAAAACATGACCAAGTGGAATATATCCTAGGAATGCAAGGATGATTCAACACATGAAAATCAACCAGTGTTATATACCACATTAATATAGTAAAGGGGAAAAACACAATCATTTCAATAGGTGAAAAAAAAAGCATTTCATAAAAATCCAATACTCTTTCATGAAAAAAAAAACCCACTAAAACTAGGAATAAAAGAGAACTTCCTCAACGCAAGTGCATTTGTGAAAAAAATGACAGCTAATATCATACTTATGGTTAAAGACTGAAAGCTTTCCCCATAAGATCAGAAAAAAAGACAGGGATACCCATTTTTACCATTTTTACACAATATTGTACTGAAGAGTTTAGCCAAAGCAGTTAGACAAGAAAAATAAATTAAAGGCATTCAAATTGGAAAGGAAAAGTAAAACGATGTTTAATCACAGATGACATGATTTCATATATAGAAAATCCTAAAGAATCCACAAAAAAGGCCAGGTGCGGTGGCTCATGCCTGTAATCCCAGCACTTTGGGAGGCCGAGGCAGGCAGAACACCTGAGGTTGGGAGTTCACAACCAGCTGACCAATATGGAGAAACCCCATCTCTACTAAAAATACAAAATTAGCCGGGCGTAGTGGCACATTCGTGTAATCCCAGCTACTCGGGAGGCTGAGGCAGGACAATCGCTTGAACCTGGGAGGTGGAGGTTGCAGTGAGCCAAGATCATGCCATTGCATTCCAGCCTGGGCAACAAGAGTGAAACTCCATACCTTCCCCCCCACCGCCCCCCCCAAAAAAAAAAGAATCCACAAAAAAATCTATTCAAGAGTGGTTGTGGTGGCTTATGCCTGTAATCCCAGCACTTTGAGAGGCCTTGGCAGGAGGATCACTTGAGTCCAGAAACATAGCAAGACCCCACCTCTACTGAAAAATAAAAAAATTAACCAGGCAGATGGTGGCAAGCGCCTGTAGTCCTAGCTACTCAGGAGGCTGAGGCAGGAGGATCACTTGAGCTGGGAGGTCAAGGCTGCCCCGAGCCATGATCACATCACTGCACTCTAGCATGGGTGACAGAGCAATACCTGTCTCAAAAAAATTTTTTTAAATATATTTGAGCTCATAAATTCAACAAAGCTGCAAAATATAAGATCAAGATATAATATTCAGTTATGTTTCTACATAATAGCAATAAACCACCTGAAAAGAAAATTTAAAAAAAATCCATTTACAATCACATCAACAAGAATAAAACACTTAGGAATAAATATAACTAAGGAAGTATAAGACTCGTACATAGAAAAATGTTTTGTACATTGCTAAAGTAAAATAAGAACTAAATAAATGGAAAGACATTTCATGTTCATGGACTGGAAGACTTAATATTGTTAAGATGGCAATACTCACCAAGTCAATCTATAAACTGAACGCGAGCCCTATCAAAATGCCAACAGCATTTTTGTGTGGGTGGAAAAGCAGATTCTGAAATTCATATGGAATTGCAAGGAACCTTGAATAACAATTTTTAAAAAGAAGAAAAAGGTAAAGAACGCATATTTCTGGATTTCAAACTTACTACAAAGCTATAGTAATCAAAATAGTGTGATACTGTCAAAAGAAAAGACATATAGATGAATG
This sequence comes from Homo sapiens, assembly GCF_000001405.40. Classification (NCBI taxonomy): domain Eukaryota; kingdom Metazoa; phylum Chordata; class Mammalia; order Primates; family Hominidae; genus Homo; species Homo sapiens. The sequence goes on from NC_000008.11 coordinate 80,062,229, forward strand.
AATCTGAATCCAGAGTCCAGAAATAAACCTATACATCTATGGTTAACTGATTTTTTTTCTTTTTTAACAAGGATGCCACGAGCATTCACTGGGGAAAACTAGCCACATGCAAAAGAATGAAGTTAGATCCCTACCAAAACCATATACGCTAATTAACTCAAAATGGATCAAGGGCTTAAATCTTAAGAGCCAACACTATAAAAGTCTTAGACAAAAACATAGGGGTAAATCTTTATCATCTAGGATTTAGAAATGGATTCTTAGATATCACACCAAAAGCACAAACCAAAACCATAATGAGATATCACTTCACACCCACTAGGACTACTATAATCAACAACACAGAAAATAACAAATGTTGCCAGGGATGTGGGGAAATTGCTGATGGGAATATTAAATGGTGTTAATACTGTGAAAACAGTTTGGTGCTTCCCAAAAAAACTTGAAACATGGGCCAGGAACAGTGGCTCACATCTGTAATCCCAGCACTTTGGGAGGCTGAGGTGGGAGGATCACGTGAGGCCAGGAGTTTGAAACCAGCTTGGGCAACATAGCAAAATCTCATCTCTATGAAAAATAAAAATTAAAAAATTTGCCAGGCATAATGGCATGTACCTGGAGTCCCAGCTACTCAGGAGGCTGAGGCAGGAGGATTGCTTGGCCCAGGAGTTCAACATTATAGTGAGCTATAATCATGCCACTGCACAATCACCAACCCACAAAATAGAGCAAGACCTTGTATCTTAAAAAAAAAGTTAAAAAAATTTTAAAACATTAAACATGGAACTACCACATGATGAAGCAATTCCATATCTAGGCATATATGAAAAAGAACTGAAACTAGGTACTCAAGCAAGTATTTGTTCATAAAATGTTCCTAACTCACTACCCACCATAGTCAAAAGGTGAAAAATCACCCAAATGTCTATGAATGGATAAATGGATAAACAAAATACAATAGATACATGTAATGGAATATTATTCAGTCATTAAACATAATGAAGCACAGATATGTGCTACACCATGAATCAACCTCAAAAACATGAAGGGAAAGAACCCAAATACATAAGGTTACATATTGTATGATTCCATTTATATGAAATAACCAGAAGACAGTTAAATCCATAGAGTCACAAAGCAAATTAGGTATTGCCAGGGGCTGAAGGAGGGGAGTAGTCAGGATTGAATGCTTAATGAATACAGGGATCTCTTTGGAGGTGAAGAAAATGTGTGGAACTTGAAAGGGGTGGCAGCTGCACAACACTGTGAATGTTACATGTTACTGAATTATACTCGTTAATTTTTTTGCCTGTAATCCCAGCACTTTGGGAGACCAAGGCAGGTGGATCACTTAAGGTCAGGAGTTCGAAACCAGCCTGGCCAACATGGCGAAATCCATCTCTACTAAAAATACAAAAATTAGCTGAGCACAGTGGCAGACGCCTGTAATCCCAGCTACTCAGGAGGCTGAGGCAGGAGAATCACTTGAACCCAGGAGCCAGAGGTTGCAATGAGCCAAGATTGTGCCACTGCACTCCAGCCTGGGCAACAGAGCGAGACTCCATCTCGAAAAATAAAATATAATAAAATGGTTAATTTTTATGTTAAATGAATTTCATGGAAGAAGTTAGGAAAGAAAAAAGTAAGAAGGGAGGGAAAGGAGAGGAGGAATGGGGGGGAATGGCAGAGGGAGGGAGGGGGAGGGGGGGCGGAAAGAGAAAAAAGAGAAGCCAGAAGGGGAAGAAGGAGGGGAGGGAGGGAGGGGAAGGAAGAAAGAGAGGGGAAGGAAGGAAGGGAGAGAGGGGAGGGAAGGCAGGGTAGGGAAGGGAAGGGAGGGGAGGGAAGGAGGGAGCTGGAAGGAAGGAAAGGCGGAAGGAAGTTGGAAAGTGGCCATCTCTGCAACACAGCCAAGGGTAGAACAAAGTCACTGATGCACTGAAGAGCAAGTGTATCAGATGTCAGTGAAGTCCCTTAGAAGACATTCACTACTACTCCTCTCATTCATTTCCTGCTTCACACTCTACTTTTCACATCTATTTTACCCATATATACTTTTTTCTCATATAAAAACGAACCGATGTCACCCTCTTCTATCTCCTCTCCCCTACTCAAGACCTGCTGGAGAAGTAAACACATATGCTTTCTCTCCCCTGGAACTAACTATAAACATATCACCATGTACTTTAGAATCACAAATGACAGTACATTTTAAGTGCAAAAATAAAGTTGCAAAAGGAATGGTTCTTTACCTTTGCAAGTTCTCTTCTTAGCTCTTCCTGCTCCTCTTCCGAGAGGGTCTCTGTGGCACTGATCGTGGCAGCAACATCTTCTCCTTCCTCAGGGACTGGGTCTGTTCTCAGCAGACCTGGTTGGGGATTTAAACCATTTTTTAAAGTGCAAAATCTAAGTAAAATCCCTATTTAAGCTCCTCCACTGTCCTAGCCAGAATAAAGCCAATTAGAGTAGATCCACACATCTCATCTCTGGATATTCAAATGACCTGGCTTTCTCAGCAAAGGACAAAAGAAAATCTGAGCTAACCACCGGAAACTACCAAGTAGACTCTGCCAAAATATGAATTTAGAAAATATAGCATTCTCTTAGCTTCTGTTCATAGTCTCAGTCACAATATAGTTATGGCAGAAGAGTGAAGGGCCCAAAATGAGATCTTGCTGAGACTTTAAATTGCTGCAAAAGTAAATCAGTATAAATTAGATGAAAGATTTTAGCTCCTTCCCAGTAACCCAGGGCAGGAGTTTGCATATCTCTTCAGCTTGCTGTGGTAATCAAAGCCAACATTTCATAAACTCAGTAAAGGAGTAACCACTGAATGAACTAAATGTCCTAAGTAAATTTTATTCTGTTTCTTTCCATTAGTGGAGGCAGAAAACATCTTCTTGTAAGTTCTTTTTTTGTTGTTTGTTTGTTTGTTTTAGGAGGTAGAGACAGGGTGTCGCTATGTTGCCCAAGCTGGTCTTGAACTCCTGGCTTCAAGCCATCATATATATATATGATGATATAGATGATTATATCTATCTATATATATCTATATCTATATATCTATATCTATCTATCTATATATATATATATCATCCAGATACCCTTATAAAAGAATACTAAGGTATATGTTCAGAGACATGACCAACAGCCACACAGAGACATTCTACACTACTGAAGACCAACCACACCGCACCCATTCCCCTTGGAACGGAGCCTGTCAGGAAGAACAACTGGAGAGTGACCAGGAGGCAGCTGCCCCTCAGATCTCCCCTCTTTTCCTGCCCAACCCTCACCCACAGGCTAAGATGAGGCCAGAAAGGCACCCCAACCTTGGGTGCAAAATTGAAGAGGCCACTAAAACACTCAATATAAATATCTTAATGCAGTATTTTTTAAAAATCAAATTCAAAGAACCCATGATGAACAAAAATGCCAAAATTTTAAATTGAAGGATCAGTATTGCTGATACTTTGTCTCAAACTCCAAAATGGCTCTGCATGAACAGCACTATTGGTAATCTCATCTTTATTTAAAATTGTGATATTTTATTCATGATTTTCTTTTACATTAATTTTTAAAAATATTGTATTTGTATATTATTTGACGACTAAGCTTTTTGTCACCCCCTTCCTGGCCTCAGCTGCCTTACCCTAGGCTTCAGTTCAGTTTACAGATTTGGGATTACAAAGTCTCCTCTGGCAACAGATTTTTTTTTTTTTTTTTTTGCAAAGAAACCAGGGGAAGGTTTACTCCTCTGCCTGCTCTTCCTGCCAGTGAGCATCACAGCCACTGCAGTTGTTCCCTGCTACCCCCCAGGACCATTTCTGAGAACTGCCAGTTCAGCCACAGCAGCAATGTGGCATCCTGCCCAATGCAAGGCGCCAGGGAGCAGACACAGAAGAAAAAGGAAGGAGAATAACCACACTGTGGAACAAGCAGCCAGCGTCGCAGCAAGCATTAGAGAATTACATGAGTCAATGAGATGATGCTTATGTACATGGTGTACAAGTTACAAAGGCACTTGGTACAGGCTCTACTGTACACTCACTGATTAATAGCAGTTAATAATTATAATAATAATCATCAGCATGGCAGCACCAAAATAGTGCCTACCTGGAAAGCACAGAACTGTTAAAGGCATAAAAGTAACACAAAAAATTCAAAAACCACAAATCGGACTGGCAAAAAATATGATTAAGCTCTTGACTGAATATAAAATATTTAATAGGTACAATCAGCAAGTAGAAAAGCTCAATGCATAATTGCTTCCGCAGGTCTTCCTCTAAAATATTTGTGAACAGACTGCCCAAATAATATTTCTATAATAGAAATCTGACTGTATCACTCTTCAGCTTAAAATCCTTTGGTGATTCCTTACTGTTTTCAAAGCAAAGTGTGACCCCTGAGGTTGGCAGGTAGCCCTTACTGGACCCGTCTCCTGCTAGCTGGCATTGGCACCTCTTACTCCAACTCCTGCCAAACCACACCGTGAACAACGTGCTGTACTATGTACTGTCAGAAACCATTTCCCAGCATCTGTGTGTGCTTGTAAATCTACCCTCTATGTCAGATTATGTGAAGAAAGTTGTATGAGATTGAAACTGAGAGTCAAGCATTCAAGTAACAATCATATAAGGCAACACAGTAAGAACCATAACAGAGCTACCTGTTAAACGTTATTTTATTTTTAATGTTTTGTACAGAACTCCCAGGTTCTCCAACTACAACAGATCTCCAAAACAAAACAAGCAAAACTCAGGTACCAAACCATTACTTAAATAGCAAAGACTCTTTCATGCTTTTTTGATACACACTGTTTTGCAAATCTACTCAAACAAGGGGAGAAATACAGTATCTGACTGCTAACACAATGCTTTATGTATACTGCCCAATTCCAAAAAGAATCCAAGGGGATTCTGGTTCTATTCAAGTATGCGGCTAGGCTATCAAGGAAAATAAATCTCTCAGAAAAGAGGATGACGGGTTGTCCAGTTGGCTTCAAGTCTGCCAGGATGACCTTGAGATTTTATATTCAGCATCTAAGAAAGTTGGTAATGACATGTTCTGCTCTTTCCACATTAGCCCGTAGGTGGCAGCAAATCATTATCATTAAAATTAAAAGGTGCAGTCTGGAAAAAAAAATTAGAAATTAAAGAACACCAAGGAAGAACAGAATGGTAGATACCAAAATCACCAGCAAAACATCACAGTCATGCCTTGAGAAAATTATTAACCACAGCCACCATGACAGAGTGCATTCCATTTACAGACAAGTCCAAATTAAGTGTTTTAAATACTTATGTGCAACACTTCTGTGAGGTGGGGATCCCTGTCACCACTTACAGATCAGGAACCTCAAGCTTACAGACATTAAGCAACTTGCCCAGGTTAACACACCTAAATCTTTGGTGGAGGTCAGATTTTAAACCTAGACGGTCTGATGTAAAAACAAATGCTTCACATCACTGATCTGAAAACAAAGACAAAAGTAGGAGGCTGATGGTCAGACCTGAAAGGTATCTAGAAGCAATAATAAGACCCTAAAAAGTGAAAGAATCTGGCAGACTAGATCAAAAGCAGTCTTCATTAATTCCAACTAAAGTTTCCCCAAACCTGGGAATCCAAATTTTGCCTTATATATTCGTCTAGATATGATCCTGTTTCTTGTATGTTCAGTAATGGTATAGGATTTAATATGAAAATAGAGTCTGGCTTTTGGGAGAAAAGATTAATTTCTCATTCACAACATGAAAGGTGGAAAATAAGAACATTTAAAAGTATAGATTATTGAAAACCATAATCCAAAACTTATTTGTTCATTAATTTTAATGTTGTTTTTTTTTTCTCAGAATCTGATGGAAAGCTGTTTTTAAAAGACAAAGATGGTGGGGAAAATACAATTAATATCTACTGACATCTACTACACCAGCCACTGTGAGGGGAAGTCTACATGTTATCTTATAAAAATAAAAACACCCCATAACCACCATCCGAGAGGAGTATTTTTTTTCCACCAGGAAACTGCGGTCCTCTAAGGCTATATAATTTGCCCAGAGTTACAGAGGCAGGATTAATACTTGGGTCTTTCTGTCTCTCGACTCAGCTCCATCACGAACATCTTAGAGAAACATCAATGATCATGGCAGGACAAGGAAACAGGGCCTAGTCTTTCTCCATAGAAACGTTTTACTTTCCTGAGGGTCTAGGAACCTGTGGGGATCCCTGGTTTGAAAGTCACAGATAACATTATCAAACACAAGTGACTGAAAATGAGTGATAATTTCTTCCATCAGGTTATTAACATTTTAGCCATTGCCTTAGTTCTCTTCATCTAGCTGTGCAAACAGATTGTCAGCCTGTCTTCAGTTCCATCCATAGGATCCCTGAAGAGCTTTAGGTGGGGGAGTGACAAGTCTAGACTTGTCTTTGGAAAAGTCCTTCCAGCAAGCTGGGTATTGGGTGGCCTCCCCTGGGAAGGGTCTGGAGTCCACTGGCAGGGCAATGCATCTCGCTGATTCCCAGCTGAGAGTTCTAGTGTCTCAGGGGTAAGGATGGAGAAGACAAGCAGAGACACATCCCATCAATCTGAAGATACTTTTTACATTTTACATCTTTGAGATGCACTGTACAATTAATCAGCCAGTCATTGTGACATGGTTATCACCTGCAAACATGCTTCAAAATTTGCAAAATGGCTTAGAAAATGCCAGGTCCGGTTACAGACGTCTCTTAAGAAAGGCTGCACCACAGACATTTTATGTGAGGAAAATAAATCAATAGAATAGACATAGATTACTCCAAGTTGAATAGCAATTCAAATAAGTTAGATTATGGGTGTGAAGACATTTTAGGAAATGTTCTTTTTTATTTTAGAAAATATGCACAGGAGTGTTATGATCAGTGTAAACGTCTGAATAAATCTAAAAAAGAACTTCAATAAATGTAAAAATTTTGGCCAGGCACAGTGGTTCATACCTGTAATCCCAGCACTTTGGGAGGCCAAGGTGGGAGGATCACTTGAGCCCAGGAGTTCGAGACCAGCCTAGGCAACAAAGTGAGATCCTGTCTCTACAAAAACTCAAAAACCATTAGCCGGGTATAGTGGCCTGCACCTGTAGTCCCAGCTACTCAGGAGGCTGTGGCGGGAGGATCGCTTGGGCCTAGGAGGTTGAAGCTGAATGAGCTGTGATCGTGCCACTGCACTCCAGCCTGGGCAACAGAGCAAGACCCTGTCTCAAAACAACAACAACAAAAATTTTAATAAAAATTTTTAGGGGGCTGGGCATGGTGGCTCACACACACCTGTAATCCCAGCACTTTGGGAGGCAGAGACAGGCAGATCACTTGAGGCCAGGAGTTCAAGACCAGCCTGGGCAACGTGGTGAAACCCCATCTCTACTAAAAATAATTTTTAAAAAAGATTTAAAACTTAAGTTATGATAAAGCAGGTTTTTTTTTAGTTTAACTATTAGCATATTTTATACTTAATGAAACAAAAAATAATAGTAACATCTTACAATCTGTGGTGTCTTGGATTTGATGAAATACAACACTTCAAGACTTCAGAGTCCTTGTGAATAATGTGCGGAAGACAAAGTGGAAATGTGTGTGTGCGAGTGTGGTCAGAGCAGGGAAAGGCAGAGCAGAGTGGCCAAGAACCGGTAAGAGCTTAGTCCTGAACACATCTCTAGTTCTAGACTATAAAGTCCTGATGTCACTTTATCTCTCCATCTCAGAACTCACAGTGCCTAGAACAGTCAATGTTAATATTGCATCTGAACTGAATTATTCTTTAAAGATTTAATTAAAGTAGCTCTCTCTTTACTTTCCCATGCATAACCACCCATTTGCCACATACTTTCACAAATTTCAACTGGGGAAAGCAGCAAAAGCGTTTTTACTAAAAATGTAGAACCTACACTTAAGCCAAAAATAAGAGTTTGAGGAGCGCCTCTCTCTGCTTGGGTGCAGCCCCAACCCCCCTTTGGAGCACCCACTTAAATGGTTATCTTCCCTCTAGTTCTTCGTCTTTGACTTTTATTCCAATTATGACCAAGTGCTTCAAGACTTTCTAAGATTATTGATTAAAAGCTTTTTGGCCATTGTCATACAATTTTAGATCTGAAAGAATTCTGAATCGTTTAAGTCAGCAGTCCCCAGTGTTTTTTGCACCAGGGACTGGTTTCATGGAAGACAATTTTTCCACGGCGGTTGGGGGTTGATGATTTTGAGAGGAAACTGTTCCACCTCAGATCATCAGGCATTAGATTCTCATAAGCAATGTGCAACCTAGATCCCTCGCATGTGTGGTTCACAATAGGGTTCATGCTCCTATGAGAATCTAATGCCACCACTGATCTGACAGGAGGCAGAGCTCAGGCGGTAATGCTCACTCGCCTGCCACTCACTGGTTCCTAACAGGCCACAGATGGGTACCAGTCCACCACCTGGGCGTTGGGGATCCCTGGTTTAAGTCAAATGCTTCATTATATAAAGATGAGAAAACTGAGGACAGATTTTTACAAGAATAGGAAAAGACAAGATGAGCTTTGAAATTAGATGGTGTTGTGAGTTGAACTCTGCTGCCTTTAAAGATGTCTTCAATTTCCTAACCCCTGACAACAATGAATGTGTCTTTATTTGGAAACAGGATTTCTGCAGATGTAATCAAGTTAAGATGAGGTCACACTGGATTAGTGAACTCTAATCCAATGGTTCATGTCCTTATAAGAAGGAAATTTGAACGCAGAGACTCAGAGAAGAGATTATGTGAAGATACAGAGCGCAAAGCACAGAGAACACGCAGAGATTGGGGTGACATCACTACAGAACAAGGAACACCAAGGTCTGCAAGCAAACACCAGAAGCGAGGAGGCAGCAAGGATTCATTGCCCTGCACGTTTCACAGGGAGCAAGACCCTGCCAACGCCTTCATTTCAGATTTCTAACCTCCAGAACCGGGTGATAAGCCACCCAGAATGGCTACCGCAGCCCCAGGAGAATAATTCCGATGGAAAGGGGCATAAACACTGATTCAGCCATTGACTAGTTGGTTGATCTTCTTTAATCACATTTATCTTCAAAGAGCCCCAAGCCCCTTACCTGCAAAAAATGGGTACACACAAGGATTTGCTGTTTCCCCCAGGTTCCATGCCCTATAACTTGTCCTGGCAATTGCTTCTCTCTCCTTTCGTCCTCCCTGAGTCTTGGCTCTCAGGTCTCACTTCCTCACTGCCCACTACTCTTCAACCCCCTGCAACCTTGTGGCTGCCCCTTCCACCTCCCTTCCACTAAGGACAATTCTGGGTCACTACCCTCATCTAGCCACGCCAAGGCCATCTGACATTGCACTTCAGTCTGAAATCTCCATTCCTCTCCTCCCTCCTGGTTTTTCTCTTCCTACCTCTCTGAGACGTCATGGCTCCATCTCACTCTCTGGACATCCACTTCACTCCTTGCCTCCAATCCTGCCCTCCTGCCTAGTTTGAGCTGTCACTATGTGTTGCTTAGATTCCTACCCCTAAGCTCCTTGCCAGTCTCTGACATCTGCAAATATTCCTCAACCTGCCCCAACAAAGAGCTTTCTAGAGTGCATATCTGACGACGCCACTCCCGTGCCTTAAGTCCTTTGATGGCTTCCCAGCTTCTTGCAAAGCTCCTCACTCTGGACAATCTGGCCCCACTCCCCAGCACCTGCCCCATCTCCTGCTACTGCCCTCACCAGCACAACACTCCCACTATACCCTCCAACCTGCAGTTCCTCCAGAAACACATGCTTTTTTTGTTTTTTAAGAAATGTAGGCCGGGCGCGGTGGCTCACGCCTGTAATCCCAGCACTTTGGGAGACCCAGGCAGGCGGATCAAGAGGTCAAGAGATCGAGACCATCCTGGCCAACATGGTGAAACCCGTCTCAACTAAAAACACAAAGATTAGCTGGGCGTGGTGGCGTGCACCTGTAGTCCCAACTACTCATGAGGCTGAGGCAGGAGAATCTCCTGAACTCGGGAGGCAGAGGTTGCAGTGAGCTGAGATTGCGCCACCACACTCCAGCCTGGCGACAGAGAGAGACTCCATCTAAAAAACATATATGTGTGTGTGTGTGTGTGTGTGTGTGTGTGTATGTGTGTATATACATGTACACATAGATATGCGTGTATATACATGTACACATAGATATGCGTGTATATACATGTACACATAGATATGCGTGTATATACATGTACACATAGATATGCGTGTATATACATGTACACATAGATATGCGTGTATATACATGTACACATAGATATGCGTGTATATACATGTACACATAGATATGCGTGTATATACATGTACACATAGATATGCGTGTATATACATGTACACATAGATATGCGTGTATATACATGTACACATAGATATGCGTGTATATACATGTACACAGATATGTGTGTATATACATGTACACATAGATATGTGTGTATATACACACATATATACATCTATACGCACACATATATACATATATATACACACACATATATACATATATACACACACACATATATATACACATACACACACACACACATATATATATATATATAAACTTGGCCAGGCATGGTGGCTCATGCCTGTAATCCCTGCACTTTGGGAGGCCGAGGCAGGTGGATCACTTGAAGCCAGGAATTCGAGACCAGCCTGGCCAACCTGGTGAAACCTCAACTCTACTAAAAAATACAAAAATTGGCCAGGTGTGGTGGCGCACACCTGTAATCCCATCTACTTGGGAGGCTGAGGCACAAGAATCACTTGAACCTGGGAGGTGGAGGCTGCAGTGAGCCGAGATCACCCACTGCACTCCAGCCTGGGCAACAGAGCGAGAGCGAGAAAGAAAGAAATACAGAAAGAAAGAAGGAAAGAAATAAAGGTATTAACTCAAAAAAAATTTTTGTTTAAATGTACCTCCCATACTTTTTGGCCCATTTAATTTTTTATTATGGTAGAATATACAACAAAAATGTATCATCTTTAACCATTTCTAAGTGTGTCATTCAGTGACATCAATTATATTCACAATGTTGTACAGCCATCTCTGCTATCTCTAAAACACACTATTTTTCGTGTGTCTTTGCACATATTATTTTCTCTGCCTGAAACCCCATCCCTATTTCCAGGTCCCATTAGCTTAAATAAGTCAAAAGTGTCTCCTACTCTTGGGGGATCTCCCCTGGACCCCGTGACCTTGGCTGAGAAACAGTTCTTGGCTCTGGGAATAAGAACCTACGGTCCAGTCTATTGTATAGAATACAGACTGCAGCTGGGCAATACTTGGCCTTCATGCTCCAATCCTGTGTCTTTAGCCTTAGCAGGATCTCTGATGCACAGTGTCTGGCACACAGCAGATGCGTGTCAACACTGTGGATAAATGGATTATAGGAAGTTATACAGTCAAGTTAGAAGGAAAGATAAGAACCCAGTCTCCCTTCATTCTCTCTCCTTTTATCTCGAGCTTTTTATTTTATATATTGCATTCTCACTTCACTGTTTTTACCTAGAAAGGTTTTTCTATTTAAAGCAGATGTGAAATGTCACTTTCCTAAAGAAATATGACTTCCATCTCATACATAATCTGTCCAAAGATTGTCACTTTTGGGGGCAGGTCACCTACCTTCATATTACAGGAAAACAGTGTGCAGTCAAAAGTACCATGGTTACATAGGTGGGACAAAAATGATATCACAGAAAGAATATGTCAGCTGCCCCCAAAAAAATTCAACTAGGAGGGAAAAAGATGCCAAAATGGAGTCTAAGATATCTGCTATTTAGCCTGAATGTTAACACTGCCTACCCAAGAAAGAATCTGTTAACATATATTTGAGCCCTGGAAGCGTCTCTGGAAAATAAAGCTGCACAGGCCTTTCCTACACAAGTCTTCAAAGCAGGACCAATAACTTTAAGACCGGAGTCGCGGTAAGAAACTTCAGTATCTATGACTGTTTTATTTAAGCACAAACAAGAGGAAATATGCATCCCCCTTTTTAAACCTAGAGGCATAAAAAGAGATTTAAACATATAATTCAAAGTATCTTTAGTGGTAACATCCAGAAAGATCACAGGATGTTTTTTCCCCATGTTAAGTCTGTGCCTGGGGCTCCCATTCTCTGTGCCTTGTTGTTTCTGGATGTAATAAAATCCCAGAAGTGGGAGGAATATTTGCAAGTCCCCACACCACAATGGTTGTCTTCGGGAGACCCAAAAGATTAAGCATCCAGTTAAGGCAGCGCTTCTCAGGCACGGCACCACGGGCGTCATGCGGTGGATGACTGTGGCAGGGACTGCCCTGGGCATCTTCCTGTGTAGCATCTCAGGCCCACTCACCAGATGTCAGTAGCAGCCCCACACCCACACCCAGTTGTAACAACCAAAAGAGTATCTACAAACATGGTCAAATGCCCACAGTGGGGCAAAACTGTGGTTGAGAACCACTGACTTAAGGCGAGGGAGCATCTAAGAGGATGCTGTCTGCCACTGAGTGCCTTCAGAAGAGAGGGATGCAGCAGCTCAGGCCGTGACAACTTTAGATTCTTAAGGCTGGAATTTTCCCATGTGTGCCCATGGCAAGAACAGTAAAACCTTAGGGGGAAAACGAGTTGGGTAATTGTAGTCAAGGTAGCAGGGAAGAAAAAAACTGAGAAAACTTGATCCACTCCATTTAAGGGAAGACCCAAGCTCCTCACAAGCGTAAGGGGACAATGTCTGGGTTATTTTTTATTTTTTTTTATTTTTTGAGATGGAGTCTTGGTCTGTCACCAGGCTGGAGTGCAGTGGCGCGATCTTGGCTCACTACAATCTCTGCCTCCCAAGTTCAAGCAATTCTCCTGCCTCAGCCTCCCGAGTAGCTGGGACTACAGGCGCCCACCACCATACCTGGCTAATTTTTCGTATTTTAGTAGAGACAGGGTTCACCATGTTGGCCAGGATGGTCTCAATCTCCTGACCTCATGATCCGCCTGCCTCGGCCTCCCAAAGTGCTGGGATTACAGGCGTGAGCCACCACGCCTGGCCAATGTCTGGGTTATTAAAGAGTAAAGGAAACAGAGCAGGAGGGGAGGGGCTGCACTAAGACAAAAAGGGAAAGGAGCGCTTGGGAGCCACATCGGGTGCAAAGTGCTCCTGGGACTCAGCTCTGAAAGCAGGACCCTGAACAGTGGTCAATGTCCCCACCCAAGACAGAAGGTTACCTCCCAAAGCTTCACTTCACAGAAAGAGTGGACAAAGAAGAAACGATCCTCAAGGTAAAACACAGTATTTTCAAATGCTTTACTTGGTCCTTCCAGGTATTTCTAAATGGACCCTTAAATCTCTTTCATTTTTTTTTAAAAGAAAAAATCTTCAGTCAATTACTTCAGAGCCATCTCCTCTCCCCACTGCTCTGCTCCCCTGCCCCAAAATTGAGTATAAAACTAGTAACTGGGACATTCCAGAAAAGAGTGACAAAGGTCAGCCATGCAGAAATCTCAGAATCCCCAGAGAGGAAGTCTCTTCCATCCTTAAATTTCCTCTCTAGGAATAAGGAAATTCTACATCTCTTCAATTTGACTCCAGTTTTTATTTTGTAAACCACAGCCATGTTTGCTATTTAAGACTGATGCAATCATGAAAAACTTTTAAGAAGTGGTAACCACTTCTCTAAAAAGAAGTGAGAATGACACAGAGTGAAAATCAAAAAGGGTAAAACAGAATGAAAAGAACTATGAGCTAAGGAATTTCAGTTTGATTTTTCAGTCTTTCTAGAGTATCAAATATGATCGTGTTAAACTAAAATGTCAGATTTTTCCATTGCTCATAATTCCTTAAGTCAATAGAAATAACCAAAGGTGCCATAAGCCAAGTCTGCATCTTCCTGTACATTAGAAAATTCTCCCCAGCAATCCCATTACTGGGTATACACCCAAAGGAATATAAACCATTCTATCACAAAGACACATGCATGCGTAAGTTCATTGTAGCACTATTCACAATAGCAAAGGGTGGAATCAACCTAAATGCCCATCAATGATAGACTGAATAAAGAAAATGTGGTACATATATGCCATGGAACACTATGCAGCCATAAAAAAGAACAAGATCCTATCCTTTGCAAGAACATGGATGAGCTGGAGGCCATTATCCTTAGCAAACTAACACAGGAACAGAAAACCAAACAGGGCACCTTGTCACTTATAAGTGGGGGCAAAATGATGAGAACACATGGACACAAAGAGGGGAACAAATGACACTGGGGCCTACCAGAGGGTGGAGGGTGGGAGGAGGAAGAGGAGCAAAAAAAGGGAAAAAAAATCACTACTGTGTATCAGGTTTAGTATCTGGATGATGAAAGAATCTGTACATCAAACCCCTATGACACATGTTTACCCATATAAGAAGCCTGTACATGCACCCCTGAACCTCAAATAAAAGGGTTTTTTGTTTGTTTGTTTTGAGATGGAGTCTCATTCTGTCACCCAGGCTGGAGTGCAGTGGTGTGATCTCAGCTCACTGCAATCCCCTCCTGGGCTCAAGTAATCCTCCTACCTCAGCCTCCCAAGTAGCTGGGACCACAGACGTGTGCCACCATGCCCGATTAATTCTTTTACTTTTGGTAGAGATGGGGTTTCACCATGATGGCTGGTCACAAACTCATGAGCTCAAGTGATCTGCCCGCCTCAGACTCCCAAAGTGCTGGGATTACAGGCATGATCCACTGCGCCCAGCCAAAAGTTTTTTTTAAAAAAGAAAATTCTGGCCCGGCCCAGTGGCTCACGCCTGTAATCCCAGCACTTTGGGAGGCCGAGGCAGGCGGATCACGAGGTCAGGAGTTCAAGACCAGCCTCGCCAATATGGTGAAACCCCGTCTCTACTAAAAATACAAAAATTAGCACGATGTGGTGACGCGCACCTATAGTCCCAGGTATTTGGGAGGCTGAGGCAGAAGAATCGCTTAAACCCGGGAAGCAGAGGTTGCAGTGAGCCAAGGTTGCACCACTGCACTCCAGCCTGGGCGACAGAGCAAGACTCTGTCTCAAAAAAAAAAAAAAAAAATTCTTAAGAGGAAGATAGGTGCTATGTAAATAACATTTGGGATATTATCCTTAAGGGTGTTCACAGAATGGAAGAGATAATGCAACAAAAGACCCCAGCTGTGAGACCCTGGTCCTCATAATGTTCAGCCCAAAGATGGAATAGAATGTTGAGATCCAAGTGGCGTATAAAGTATCAACAAATTATTCCCACGGTAAAACACTTGACCAAAGGAGAACTTAAGCCTTGAATAGTTAATCTGTTCTATAATATCCATTACCAGAGAGGCTGAGATGTTGCGGTCTAAAAAAAACAAAAAACCAAACCACTAGCTTAAGAATTAAGAGATGAGTGCTAGTCCTATCTTAGCCTAACTAAACTTTGTGAGTTGAGAACATCACATATGTCTCTCAGCCTCAATCTTCACATCCGTAAAATGAACTGGAGTGTGAACGACTCCTTACCAGTGTCATTCATTCATTCATGCATTCCACAAAGTTTTTGAGCCATATAATGTCAAGCACTATTCTTGGTGCTTGGGGAAACAGAGGTGAACTAAAAAGACAAACAAAGCTTATGTTCCAGATTCTGAAACTATTATAAATTGGTGTTTTCACACTATGGGTTGTAAAATCCAGTTAGCAGAACCAGATGAGCACTTTAAAAGAAGAAATGGCATCAAATAGTATAAAATGTCAGAGTACATCACATATAGTAAGGAGAAGTTCTGGTTCATAAAATTTTGCTTCAGTTATTGATAGATTCTTATATTTGTGAGGATTGCAGGTAAGGAGGTATAAGGCATTTCTGAATATGGGTTGGTTGTGTCAAAGGAGTTTAAAACTCCCTAATAAAAGGCTTCATTTTGTTTCAGCCACTGTCCTCATCCTAACCTTCGCTTTAATTACTTCTTAGGAACATCCTGCCCATAGATAAAATCTCATTACTTTCCCGTTTGCCCCATGATGGCATTTTGGATAAATATCAGAGATATTTTTCACTCTTTTCAAATCAGTATTCCCAACCTCTCTGGGTAGGATTCCTTTTTATATCAGTCCTTCTTGTCTGTATTACTTGTCTGGTGATTAAGAAAATACATAGTGGCCAAAAGCCACAAGAACTTTTAATGGATTCATAATGTATTGGTCCTAAAAGCTTCTACGTAGAAATACAAAGAGTGCAAACACACGGAGGACACATTATTCATTCCATCGACCAACCATGTTTGATGTTCAGACAGGTGTGCAGACTTCTTATGCCCTGAGGGGTCATGGGCACAGAGATGAGTAATCACTCTTCCAGGCCCCCACTTTTATTTGGCCATTTTAAAATCACTGTGTTCTTACAGATGACTGCTGAGGGTGGTTTCTGCTTGTTTTAATGCTTGTTCACCCTCTTTTCTTTCAATTAATGCAAACTACTAAACCTAGCTACATGAGTTTGTTTTTCATTACTGTTATTCATTTGCTTTTTAATAATTTTTTAAATCTCACAACCCCAGGTTCCTTCGAACAGCTAACAGGAATTGTGAAGATAATCTTTCAGAATCTGCCTAGAGGTACACCCAACCCTACAACTGCCCTGGTTTTGACAGAAAACATCCCAAGGCAGCCATGACCATAACTTGGAAAATGAAAGGAGGTGAAACCAAGAGACAAGAAGGGTAGAAGGGAACTAAAAGAAGCAAGCAGTGTCAATCTTCCTGGGAATCTGGATGCTTGCACACCGATCAAGGTCCACCTGAAGTCACAAAACCACAGCCCCAGCTTCTCAAAGGTTCCCTCCCTCCCCCGCAAGTCACTTGAGTTTCAGTCCATTATCAAGCTCTAGCTTCCCCATTCTGTGTGGCCCCTATTAAATTATACATAAAATTTATAAGTTAGAAGGGGGCTGGGCAAAGGGGGAGCCCAGGCCCCTTTATTACAGAGGTCTGAGGGGGGCCACTTGGGCAAGGCAAGGTCAGCACTGGAGAAAGTTTCCTGGCAATCAGAATCCCCCAGCAGACATCAAGCTGCTGCCTCCTGCCCCCAACTTCTACAGACCAGCTCTACCCCTTCTCTGTTATATTCAACATTTTCCTGTTCCTGGAAATCCCAGCCACTTTTGGGGAAAGATGGCTACCAGGTGCAACCAAGAGAGGAATGCTGCTTCACACATCCCTACTGTCGGCAAATACACAAACCTAAAATACTTAAAACTAAGTTTCATGCTGTCACCTTTACCATGTTTTTTTCTAGGTTACCCATTTTTTCAGCTTAAAATGAACAAAATGTGACCTGTTCTTCATTAATAAGGAAAAAATTAACTTCTGGAAAAACCTGATTGCTTATTTGGCAAATTACAGAGAAGGTCATTTAACCAGTTCCCAGCATTGGCTATGAGATGAGGGACCCAGCCGGGAGGATGGCTAAGCTGCTTCTGGCTTTCTGCTGCCTTGTGCCAATAAAGGAAGGGCCTCCCTGATGGTGCTCCTGGCCTTCAAAGCAATCTCATACTGGTAAGTATGAAGGAATAACTGCTTCTAAAGGTACAGCAATTTCTAGTTTTTCTTTAAAAAAAAAAAAATCTCTTGCCTAGCAATTTCTGTAAGTTGCTCTCAATATTCCATAACAAAACCCAGGACAGTCATTAGCAAGACCTTGAACTGAGTCAGTGCTTAACCATCATTTTACTAAAGAGAAAAATCGGGAAAGTTGTCGTAAATTACCTAAGCAACTAGAAACCAAGGACTTCAGATTCCTCCTTTTTTGTTATTTACCAGCTCAACAAACTCAAAGTGAGCTTGGAATATCTATCAATGGAGAAGTCTAGTGATCGCATAAATAGTACTAACTTTAAAATCTAACTTCTAAGTATACACATATTCTAAATATTTAATGAGCCATCTATCTCTGTACTTTGAATCTAGAATAGCTTATTAGCTAGTTACAACCCAACACCACCCTGGTACATCTTTACACTAACAATTTTAAAGCCAGGCAAACCCCAAGTTATGTCTAGGTTTTATTCCAAGCAAACTTAACTTTACAAAATTAGTAGTTACCAAATTTCTGAAGAGTAGGTGATCCGGGTGGAGATGAATTTCCACTAGGAGACAAGTAGAGATAGCTTTTGTTCACTCCTGCATCAAAATCAAACGGGGACTGGTAGTCCTCATATAAGTCCATCTCTCTACAATCCATTCCAGACAAACGCAGAATGCATGGCTGTCTAATCGCCTGATATCAGCCTTCAGTTGAGTGCCGCTTTGGCCATATTCCCTTTGTAGGGTGCAACTTCACTGAAGAAATCAACCCCAGGAGTTAGAGGCCCTGGCTTCTGGGCCCAGGTGCCAGCATTTCCTTTTGGGAGCCTTCACGCCCCTCCTGATAAGCAGACCTATTTAATAAATGATTTATCCTGAGCAACCTTAGGAGGGGCTCTATTCACCACCTGGTGTTAATTTCGATCAACAATGAAAAACCTGGGCAGGGAGCGAGCTTTCCTCAGTCAACAAAGAAGGGCAGGGTTCTGCAATATGGCCCAGAGGTACAAACAGTTCAGGCAAACATCAGACACTGGCTGACTTACAACAAGAAACTACAATTTATTTAAAATAAATAAATAAAAAAATCAGCTGACCATGACTACACCAGGGCAGACTTAATCTTCTAGGACAAGGAGGGATTACCAGTCAGTAATCTCCCACAAATGCCATCTGAGTGATACTTTTTTTCCACCCTGGATTACAGTAAAATTCTGAAAGCCAAGCTTCCTGGTTTAGCAATCAGCTTTCTAAGCACAACTTGGTATAAAAATAAAGCTGTATTTCCATGATTACTTTATCTAATGTGGAGTCTGGCTGAGTGTCACAAAAACTTCAGACTGACTTTTCTTTTCTCTCTCTTTTTTTTTTTTTTTTTTTTTTTAGAAAGCTGGTGCTTCAGTTACATGCACTCAAAGGAGAAGAATCTACTTTGAATGGAAAGCTCCCGGGTATTCCCACACCTTCTTTGTTTGTCTAAGGCCATGGCTCTGCAGAGCTGCAATAAACCTGCGTACCCACCCTGCAGAAGGACTGGGCCACAGCTAGCTTGTAAAACAAAACTAAGTCACCAAATTTATTTCCTTTAACACAGTCTCTTAGCAGAACCTTTCTATGCTGACTGTGGCCTTGGCTCAAGCAACAGCAATTGCAGCTCCTGCTGGTTCTACTAAGGAGGTAAAAATAAAGGCGACTCGCTTTCAGGTGGGCAATGATCTGTTACTGCATAACAAAAAAAAAGGCAGTGTTCTAATCTAATCTAAAAGGCGGTTTTCAAATCTAAAAAAAAAGAGCTCAGATATACTCTCCTTGGATTGGAAGCAAGTATGAAACCTAATATATTTTAAGCATTAAAAACATCAGCATGTGTCTAGTGTATAAAATACATATGCACCAAGATGGTCTGTATTCATCTTGTGATTTTTTTTTTTTAAATACAGAATATATGCTGGATGATTTTATTTGTTATTTTTGTTAGTCTCATGTTGTACTCTATTTACAGTAGGTCTTTTTTTGTTTTGTTTTCGATACAGAGCTTCGCTCTTGTGACCAGGCTGGAGTACAATGGCACAATCTCAGCTCACTGCAACCTCCACCTTCTGGGTTCAAGTGATTCTCCTGCCTCAGCCTCCCAAGTAGCTGGGATTACAGGCACCCACCACCCACTATGCCCGGCTAATTTTTGTATTTTTAGTAGAGATGGGGTTTCGCCATGTTGGCCAGGCTGGTCTCAAACTCCTGACCTCAGGTGATCCGCCTGCCTCGGCCTCCCAAAGTTCTCGGATTACAGGTGTGAGCCACCGTGCCCGGACTATGGTAAGTCTTTTTTTTTTTTTTTTAAGTTTATTTTTAACAACAAAAAAATCTGTATTTTTCTCCTAAAAGGTACCAAAATTTGGGCAACTATAAATGTTTCATTCTATACTTAGAAATAAAATAAATGGTTTCTTTTTTATCATTATCTGAAAGAATGGATTGTCTGGCTTCTTGAAATCCATGGCCTCTTACTGGGACAGGAAAGGCATTGGAGTTATGTCCCTAGACTAGAAAGAGTATGGTTCATGAGGTCCCTGGCCCTCTCCATAACTCTGCATTTGGTCACTAAATATTGGTAGAAAAAGTATTTGTCCATTACTTTACTTGTTCCACCACCTAGAGCCAAAGGCATTAGAAGGTAATTAATAGTGATACGGATAGAATGCAAGCCACAGTCACCTCCATCCTTCTCACCATCTCTCAAGCCCATGTCCTTGACCTTTGGTATTTACATCCATGTGACACGCTCTACCTGAAATGTCACCTTTTTCCAGCCTGTCAAAGTTATTCATCCTTCAACACTGAGGCAGAAATGCCACCTCTTCTTAGAAGCCCCCTAGTCTCTGGCCCCCTCTTCTCCCAGCAGCAGCACACAGCAT
This sequence comes from Homo sapiens, assembly GCF_000001405.40. Taxonomy (NCBI): domain Eukaryota; kingdom Metazoa; phylum Chordata; class Mammalia; order Primates; family Hominidae; genus Homo; species Homo sapiens. Next base: position 80,082,711 of record NC_000008.11, read on the forward strand.
GTGAAGAGCCCCCTGACAGGCGCCTGTGCCTATCCAGGGCCTCTCCAGGGCGCTCTACCGGATACCTGCCCTGAAGGTTTGGCTCCTAATCAATGTGGAATTAAAAAAGCAAATGATGGCTCATGTAGATGTTACATGCCTTATTAATAAATGTGAGCATTTCAAATTTAAGTAATTGCCTAAAATTTTTATTTTACCTGCTTAGATACAATCTTAGGACTTTTATGCAACATCCTGGCTCTTTGAACCAGTTTTTGTTCTCATTATCTCCAGTCAGATCCCAGTCAAGACATTCTAGCCTACAAGAAAAGTGAAATCTAGAAGTGGGAAAAGCATGGGATGGGTTAATGGAATGGCAAAAATTCAGTTAACTCAACAGCCAAATACAAAGTAGAAAGGAACTGAAAGACATACAAAATGGAAATGTAGCTTGGGGGCAGACCATTAAAGACTTTAACAAATTTTATACTTAATATACTGTGCAAAAAAAAAAACAGGATTTATGAGTCATACGGAGAGTATAAGTTTTATAAAGATGACTCTAGAAATGGTATAAGGATGCACTGCAGGCATAAAGAGGCTAAAAGAGAGAGGACTCAGAAAGAGGCTATGGGTACAATCCCAGCAAGGAGGAGAAAGCCTTGTGATATGGTTTGGCTCTGTGTCCCCACCCAAATCTCACCTTAAATTGTAATAACACCCACATGTCAAGGGCGGGACCAGGTGGAGTAAACTGAATCATGGGGGCGGTTCCCCCATGCTCTTCTCCTGATAGTGAATGAGATAGTTCTCTGACGGTTTTATTAAGAGATCTTTATAAGGAGAACAGATGGTTTTATAAGGAGCTTCTCCCTTCGCTGGGCACTCATTCTCTCTCCCGCCACCCTGTGAAGTGGTGCCTTCTGCCATGATTGTAAGTTTCCTGAAGCCTCCCCAGCCATCTAGAACTGTGAGTCAATTAAACCTTTTCCCTTTATAAATTACCCAGTCTCAGGTATTTCCCCATAGCAGTGTGAGAATGGACTAGTACACCTTGGTATCGGGGCAACTCTTTTTATTTCCTGTTGTGGACTAGTCGGCCTGGGGAAGAACCAGGTAAGATTTGGTCCTGTCCTGTGGATAATTCCACTTGGCTCTTCCAAAAGTACTTCAAAGTCAGCATGCACAAGACTGAATTCACTGGCTTTCCTCACAATGTTCTTACCTCTAGATTAGGCATCCTGAGTCTCCTAGACCTGACTTTGAAGGAATCACATCCAAGCACTCTCACTCCATATGGAGAAAGCACGAAGAGCTATCTACCAACCGGTACCACAGGCCTTCTAACCTTTCCTTCATTTCCATTGTCCTCATCCACACCCTACTTGAGACCCAGGTGGAGGGTGAGACCCACTCTATTGTTACTATGTTTTTCCTTCTGGGAGGGACCAGGCCCCACAGCAGTATGGTAGACATCTGCTATCTTGTCAATTTTGCCCCTCTTCCCCTAGAGGAATTTCACCTCACCTGCTCCCTGGGGTTCTCAGTGGGGAGAGAGGTCCATAGTTCCCACCCCCTGGCCCCAGGCATGGGCCTGTGCTTCAGATCTGGTCCACGCAGACACCCCATCCCCTTGTTCACAGGGACTGGCCTAAGGATAGACATCTGACCCAGACACTGTCAATCAATCAGTGGCCTTCCTTGATGTTTACTCTGTGAGTAATGGAAGAAAGTGACTCTCTCTGTAACCTGAGCTGTTGGGTGGGGCTGGCAGCTCCTTCCCTCACCAGGCCAATGGGCAAGAGACTCAGTGCTGAGACTGGGAAGGGACAGAAGGAGAAACAGAAACAGACAGGTAAGGGATGGCGCAGCAGCATCTAAGCCCCTGCCTCCAGCTACCCTGGGCTTCCCAGTTATTAAACAAACACAATTTTGTTCTGCTCCACTTGTGGCTGGAGTTGAATTTCATCATTTCAGTAGAAAGAGTCCTAACATACCTACTTTCTGACCATATTTCCCACTATTACTCAACCATGCTTTAGCCAAACTTGACTTTCCTGTTTGTTGAACACATCCTAAACTTAGCCCAGACAATTTTCTCAAACTAGAGTTTCCCCTTTTCCTGTAAGTTCCTACCCATTTAGCAAGCTCTACTTATTAAGTCACATATGAATAGTATACATGCAAGGGACATTCACTTTAGATGCTACCTGAAATGGAAAAAAGCAATACAAATGCCTACTAAAAATGGATTATTTAAATGCTAAAAAGAACATTCAGGTAATAGAAAAATATGGAAACACTGACATAATTATATAAAAATATTTATGAATTTTATATGGAAAGGTACTGATACAGTTAGCAAACAAATCAGGTTTGAAAGAAGGTTGTATTGTATGGTCCATGTTTGTGTAATAATTTATGAGAGAGAAAACCACAAACCAAAAGAAAGAAAATGGGCAGAAAGAGAAATCCATTCCATGACCCCAGAAAAGTGCTCACGCACCACTATGCCAGCAGAGGGAGCCCAAGGGCAGTTCAGAAGTCAACTAGGTGCAGCCAGTAAAGTGCGTATGTACTGCAGGGTAATAACCGGAGACGACTCATGTCATTGCAAACGGAAATGGTAGTAGGTACAAATGACTATAAAGAAAATTAAGTTTCTGTCTGCCTGTTAACTCATCACTCAAATATGTCAGTGTAAATTCTCCACAAACTTGAAAGACATATAAAGGACAGTCTGATTTAAAAGCTATGAAACACAATATTTACTTGGAGGGCACGTCAAAGGGAGACAATGTGGCTGTCCACCAGGAGAGGCAGGCCGCAGATACTTGGGGAATGCAGACGTGTCATGGTGATACAGCAGCTGGCTGGAAGGGGCTCCAACTAGCCAATATGGGACAATCAGGCCGCCAAAAAAATTAGGGACAGTCAGGGATTATAAACCACTGAAAAAAACAGGAATCCAAGAGTCCAAGAAAGTAATAAATAGAGAGAAGGAAGAACTACAGAAGAATGCCACCCTGACCATCTTTGTAAAGATTCAGACAAAAATCATCGCTGGATGCTAAAGCTCGGGAGAAATTTTGAGGAAGAAGATGATATTTAAATGATGTTTAAAGTGCCTCTCCACAGATTAACTAGCTGCCAGAAGGAAAAACATTGAGTGGAGATCACTTCTTGGCCTTTTGGCTGAGATCAAGTGTAGTAACAGTATAATGGAGAAAAGCCCCACCCTGACTGAAGGATAGAGATGGCCATACCCCAGTGAGAGGCAGATGGACCGCTCTGAATACCTACATAGTGTTCAGGCTTGGAATGCAGAACCTGAATCGAATCATGAGGAAACATCAGACAAATCCAAAACAAGTTTTTGTTGGGGTTTTGTTGTTGCTTCGGGTTTTTTTGCTTTTTTTTTTTTTTAGTTTTTTTTTTTTTTTTTTTGAGACGGACTCTCACTCTGTTGCCAGGCTGGAGTGCAGTGTCGTGATCTTGACTCACCACAACCTCCGCCTCCCCGGTTTAAGTGATTCTCCTAACCTCAGTCTCCTGAGTAGCTGGGACTACAAGCGCACACCACCACGCCCAGCTAATTTTTGTATTTTTAGTAGAGACGGAGTTTCACCATATTGGCTAGGATGGTCTCGATCTCCTGACCTCGTGATCCACCCGCCTCGGTCCCCCAAGGTGCTGGGATTACAGGTGTGAGCCACCGAGCCTGACCGGAAGGTTCTAGTTTTTAAAAGAGGAGGGGCTGCATTCTTCAAAAACATCGATGTCATAAAGGACAAAGACTGTGAAAATCCACATTAAAGGAGACTGGCATTACTAGGTCCATTGAAAAAACTGGAATATGACCTCAGATTAGATAAAAGTCTTGTATCAATTTCAAATTTACTGGCTGGGCTTGGTGGCTCACACCTGTAATCCTGGCACTTTGGGAGACCAAGGCAGGCAGATCACCTGACATCAAGAGTTCGAGACCAGCCTGGCCAATATGGTGAATCCCCGTCTCTACTAAAAATACAAAAATTAGCTGGTTGGGGGGGCACGTGCCTGCAGTCCCAGTTACTCAGAAGACTGAGGCACAAGAATTGCTTGAACCCGGGAAGCGGAGATTGCAGTGAGCTGAGATCGTGCCACTGCATCCCAGCCTGGGCAACAAGAGTGAGACGCTGTCTCAACAAAAAAAAAAAAAAAAAAAAAAAAAAAAAAAATCAAATTTACTGACGTTGACAACTGTGGTGAGAATATTGCCTTTCTTAGGCAATGGCAATATATACTGAAGTATTTAGGGGCAGACGCCATGATATATGCAACTTCCTCTCAAATTGCTCAGAAAATAAGAGTATGCATGTGTACAGACATCCACACACAGAGAGACTGGTCAACCGGATGGGGCTAAACGTTAACAGTGACCCTGAGTAGAGAATGCAGGTGTCCTTTTTTTTTCCCCCCATCAACTTTTAAGTTCCAGGGTACATGTGCAGGATGTGCAGGCTTGTAACATAAGTAAGTGTGTGCCATAGTGGTTTGCTGCACAAATCAACCTATCACCTAGGTCTTAAGCCCAGCATTCATTAGCTATTCTTCCTTATGCTCTCCCTCCCCCACACCTGTGTTGTTGGCACATATACACCATGGAATACTATGCAGTCATAAAAAGGAACAAGAGCATGTCCTTTGCAGGGACATGGATGGAGCTGGAAGCCATTATCTTCAGCAAAGTAACACAGGAGCAGGTATTTACACTATTCTTATTCTTGCAATCCTTCTGTAAATTTGAAAAGGGCTAAAAAACAAACAAACAAAAAACAAGAACTCCTCTGCCTTAGATTCAGCAGCCCTGAGGGCGCTGTGGAGAAAGTGTGTGGCAACCACCTCTCACAGCAATCACGGGGGCAGGGCCTAATGGGACTGGGCTCCAGCCACAGACACACAGGCACATACCGGCTCCAGGCCCCTTCTGAGAGCTGGAAGGGCTCTCTCCACCTTCCACCGAAGCAGCAGTTGGTTTACCTTCTACAGAAAAGAAGTCTCCCCATCATATCCCATGCTGGTCACATCTTCCCAGAGGGAGACCAGTGGGGACCCTGTTGCACAGGGTGAGAGGGCAGAGAGGCTGAGAGGTTAATGAACACCCCACACCCCACACCTCTTCATTCCCCGACACTGTGCCACAATAAACAAACCTTGACTCCAAATAAAAAGTACTTGATTTTAAGTATGAAATTCAATTTAAAATCACAAGGGTAGATGCTCTCTTATTTACAAAATTTCTCAGCTAATCCTCAAAACCTCTGTGAGGTAAACCTCTGCCTCTCCCTATTTTTCAGAGGGGAAACAAGACAAGGACAGTTCCTGTAAACCTGTCTTTGGGCATAGAGCTAGCAAGTAAAGGAGCCGCAGTTTGAAGCCTGGTACGTGCCTCCAAGTCCCTGTCCTCTCCATCCTGTGGCTGTAGCCTAGAGCCGGGCAGTAAGGATAAGCCAGTCCCTCACATCTAATGGCCCTGGGGATCTTGCTGTGATGCAGAGTCTGCATCCTGGTGATGGGAGGCTGCTGGCCCTGGAACCACATGGGATCACACTTGGAGTAACAAGGTGATGGAAGAACTCGAATGGAGGCTGGAGAGTAGGAATTTGGTTTTCGTCAGATTAAAGCAACAATTCTTCATTAGAATTTATTTAATCCCTCAATAACACGAGGTTAGTCATGTTATCTCCAATTTCCAGAGGAGTGAGCATAAGGAACTGAGAAATGAAGGAAGCCACCCTACAGTGGTCATTTTCCTCTCACTGCATCTAGGCCGTGGGGAGCCAAGTCGAGTAATTAGGAATGGGAGGCCAAAGCCACGTGTCAGAAAGATCATTCTCACCCCTGTCTGAAGCTGGACTGCCGAGGGGAGAGGGAAGTCAGGACAGCTACCCAGCAACAGCGCCAAGGGTGTTCTGGACTGAATTGTGTCTCCCCAGCTTCATGTGTTGAAGCCCTAACTCCCAATATGGCTGTATTTGGAGATGGGGTCTTTAGGAGGTAATTAAGATTAAACAGGGTCATAGGGTGAGGCCCTAATCCAATAGGACTGCTGTCCTAGTAAGAAGAGACACTAGGGATGCTCACGCAAAAGGCCTTTTTCACAGAAAAAAGGCCAGGGAGGACATAGCTAATTTTTTGTATTTTTAGTAGAGACGGGGTTTCACTGCATTAGCCAGGATGGTCTCGATCTCCTGACCTCGTGATCCGCCCGCCTCGGCCTCCCAAAGTGCTGGGATTACAGGCGTGAACCACTGCGCCTGGCAGCTCTCTGTCAACCAGGAAGCAAGCCCATGCCAGAAACCTATCTACCCTGCCACCAGCACCTTGATCTTGGACTTTCAGCCTCCAGAATCGTGAGAATATAAATTTCCATTGTTCAAACCACCTATTCTATGGTATTGTTATTGCGGCCCAAACCAACTAATACAAAAGGCATGTGCCCTGCATGGAACAGAAGCGGGAACAGCAAAGCAAAGACACACTGCATGACACCATGAACAGACAATCAACAGATGCTGGAGATCAACTGGAGGACTTGGGTGACGGGCAATGAGAAGCCAACGTGTGATACCCCAGCAGGAGTTGTAAAGGACAGTGACCGCATTAATGAAGATGGTGGCAAAAGAGAGGCAGGACTGAAGAACAGAGAGAAGAGACTTTAGGTGATAAGAGAATGAGCTGCATTTTGGCAGATTTGGTTAATAGAGCTCACAAGACTTCTGGAGTAAATGGCCAGCCTGAGGTTAGAAATTAAACTTCTATCCTCAGGGAAAAAGTTAGGGGCTAAGATATAAAATGTGGGAAACCCAGAGATCGTCAAAAAAAAATTTGAAGAGAAGAGAGGCCCTATGAAAAGGAGTGGAAAAATTAGTGAACACCTACAATCAGCATGCAGGCCAAAGAGCCTAAAAAGGGCAAGCAATGACCTTTAATGATGACAATAATTATGACTTATCCTTAAGGAACCCTTACTATGTGCCAGACATTCTTCTATGCACTTGCATCAATTTTATGGGGTAAGTTTTTCCCTACCCTTATCTTACAACAAAACTGAGACACATCAAAGTTAAGTGTCTTGCCCTAGGCACAGAGCTAGAAAGTGGTAAAACTTAGGATTCCAATTCCATTGCTCTCAAGAAGCAAAACATCTGGAAGAAAACCTTGAGTGACCAATGTCACAGGAATCAAGGGAGGAGAGAAACTGGATAAGATCAAATGCTAAAGAGACGCAAGAAGAAGCCACAGGACTTGGGGTCTGGTGATCTCGCACTGAAGTTTTAGTGAGAGTGATGGTAGATGTCAGATAAGCAGAAGTGGTAGGCAGTGGAGGAAAGGAAAGGGAAGAAGCGAATGAAAAGAAGTTTTAAAAAGTATTTTAGGCCAGGCATGGTGGTTCACACCTATAATCCCAGAACTCTGGGAGGCTGAGGCAGGAGGATAGCTTGAGGCCTGGAGTTCAAGGCCAGCATGGGCAACAAAGCGAGGCCCTGGCTCTACAAAAAAAATAAAAAATAAAAATTAGCCAGGCACAGTGGTGCACACCTGTAGTTCCAGTTACTCAGGAGGCTGGGTCAGAAGGGATCACTTCAGCCCAGGAGTTCAAGGCTAGAGTGAGCTACGATGGTGCCACCTCTTTAAAAAACAAATAAATAAAGTTTTCAAATGTGTGTGTTTAAGAGCAAAGAAGACAATGCAGAAGAGGAAGCACAGTGGGGATGGGGAGGGGCGGGGCAGACCAGGGGCCAAGGAAGGTTCAGGGATGCTGTCCCTCACCCAGGGGCATTTCAGTTCCTAAACTGAATGAAACTAGATTAAATCATGTTGGCATTCTTTTAAAAATATGTGGCAGTTTTCAGATTAGAAACTTTGCATTAGAAACTTAGGAAATATTCCCTATGGGAATGCCACTTCTTTTCTCCTTTATTTTCCATCCCAATGGGGGAAAAAAGACTATTATAGCACAGTATTATAAGAAAGAAAAAAAAAAAAACTATCCTCTTTGGAGCCTCTTCTCTAGAATAAAAAGGCATAACCTAGCAGGCATATGCAAATTATTTGGAACTAAATGTAAATACTCTTAAGTGATAAAATGGATTTGTATTTTTAAAGAAATCGTTTATTTGGCCCACTGACTTGCAAAGAAATTCTCACTTGTTAGGAACCCCTAACAGTCTACTTAGAATATTCTTCTGCCCTCTCAAAATAACTAAAATTGAGTTAATGTCAGCAGCCAGGACAGAAGGTTTTTGTTCTTCACACAGTGTTTCCTTCAAATACTGAAGAGCAAGAGTGACATATAATAAGCATAAGATGTCATTCCCTCTCTCAACCTATCTCCAAACATGTCGTCTGGATAAGCCTGTACCTGGGAAAGTCAGAATCTGTTGAGAAGTCTCAAGAATGCCTGAATTCTCTATCACAAGGAGTCACAGACTGGATTCTAAAATACACAAAAGAGGCTGGGCGCAGTGGCTCACACCTGTAATCCCAGCACTTTGGGAGGCTGAGGCGGGCATCACAAGGTCAGGAGATCAAGACCATCTTGGCTAACACGGTGAAACCCCGTCTCTACTAAAATTACAAAAAAATTAGCTGGGCGTGGTGGCGGGCACCTGTAGTCCCAGCTACTTGGGAGGCTGAGGCAGGAGAATGGCCTGAACCCAAGAGGCGGAGCTTGCAGTGAGCCGAGATCGCGCCACTGCGCTCCAGCCTGGGCGACAGAGACTCCATCTCAAAAAAAAAAAAAAAAAATACACAAAAGAGCATTACTATTTTCACTTCGGTCATCTCAGTACATGGTCCTGCCACTGTCATTGTCAGATCATGAGAACACCAGAAAATAGTGGAAAGAGAGCTTGATATTTGTCATATACTTAATTAGATACAATAGACAGATTTTTTCATTTTAGAAATAGAGTTTGAGTTGAAATGTTATGGTCACTCCACATACTGATGGGTGATTCCATGATTACAGGCTCAGGTAAAAGATCTCCAGCCAGTGCTTCTCAAATAACTTTATTACATACCAGAGCCACCAGGGGAGCCTGTGGAACTACAGATTCTGAGTTAGAAAGTCTGGGGTGGAGCCCAAGACTCTTGCTTTCTGGACAAGCTCCAGGTGATTTCTGATGCTGCAAGTCTGGCTTTAGATAACAGCTGCTAAGTTTGCCTGAGGATGAAAGCTTGAGTAAACTCTGAATACTGATGTTACAGGACTCCAGCACTTTCTAACTATATACATTTGAACATAAGAGACAGATTTTATAGCTAAAAAGGTTTGGCTTTTTGTATATATTTCTTATTGATACAAATATGTGTACATGTATATGGGGGCACAAATATGATACTCTATCACATGCTTACACTGTGTAATGATCAAATTAGGGGTTTGGGGCATCTATCACCTCGAGTATTCGTCATTTCTGTGTGTTGGCATTATTCCAAGTCCTCTTTTCTAGCTATTTTGAAATCTACAATACATTGTTGTTAACTATGGTCATCCTACACTGCTATCGAACATTAGAACTTATTCCTTCTAAGGTATGTTTGTAACCATTAACTAACCTCGTTTTATCCTCCCCCCACCCACTGACACATCTTCCCAGCACAGCCACTGTGAAAAACAGTATGGAGATTTCTCAAAACAATTAAAAACAGAATTAACATATTAATAGATCCAGCAATCCTACTACTGGGTATTTGCCCAAATGTAAAGAAATCAGATGTCAAGGATATTTGCACGTGCGCGTTTATTGAAGCACTATTCACAATAGCAATGATATGGAATCAACCTATATTCATTAATAGTTGAATAAAGAAAATTGTGGTATATATACACAATTTATTACTACTTGGCCATAAAAAAATGAATCTTGTCATTTGCAGCAACATGGGTGGAACTAGAGGTCATTATGTTAAGTGAAATAAGCTAGGAACAGAAATACAACTGTCACACGTTCTCACTCAAGTGGAGCTAAAAACTGTAGATCTCGTGAAGAGAGAGTAAAATCACAAATTCCGTGTTATACACATTCTACCACAATTTAAAAAAAAAAAAAGATCACATAATTATAAGAGGTGAGATTGTCACTCACACTTTAAATTACTGCCAGAGGCTGGGAAGAGGAGGAGTTGAGCAGGGGTGGGGGTAGGAATAAAGGATGGAATAAAGGTGGAAGGGGGAATAAAGAATATATTTATTACCAAGGAAGTGTACATTTCAAATGGTACAGATGGTAAATTATATACATATATTTTGTCTCAATTAAAAAATATAAAAACTATAAAAAATTAAATGTTAAAAATAAAAGATTTTGTTTTTTGTTTTTCTGAGACCCTAACAGTTCACAAAGCAGGCAAGTTCAGATAGGACAAAACCGGCTGTGTCACAACAGGGTGTGCACATGCTTGGTCTTTTCAACGGGATAATTATTTCGACTCTGGAATAATAATAATAATAATAAACAGAGTCCAGAATAATGGCTCAGTAATAAGAGAATGAAAGCAGGCCATTCTTACTAAAAGTATTAACAATGTATTTGAGAGTACAGTGGTCTCTATGGTGAGATTACTGGAAGATTAAAGAGGTGTCATCCAAGCTAAATGTTTCCAATTTGCTGAATGAGTTTAAAGACAGCTCTACAGGGGTGCATAAACACAAGCGACTGTCACAACCCTAAAAGGAATAAATGAACTGGTGGACTACATTTTAATGTGGAAAAAACTTCCACAATGCTTACACAGCTATTCCTGGCAATGAGAGGCTCATATGAAACACTTTTCCTTAAGGGAATGGGAGTTTCTAGAGAACAGTAGGCACTTATTTAAAATTAATATTGGACCACAAACTTCTATCATCAGCAAGCTGAGACCTAACAAACAAGATCAAAATACCAAGTCATACATTTAGGCAGTTAAACTTGCTTTTAAACTGTAATAAGCTAATTAGATGCATTCAGTGGGTCAACCATTAAAAAAAATATACACTGCACAAATCTTGTCAATTTTTCATTAAATTTTATTAAGAAACAAGAGTCCTGTGCCAAAAGTGATAGCTTCACCATCTGAACCTGCTACTCTGGTTAAGAAATGACATTTCCAATTCCAAATTTCACATACTTTCCTTTATAAAGACAATAGCAGAAGACCAATGCTACATGTAAACTCAATAGTAGCCCATTATCTTGAAACCAAATCAGTGTGTGGAAAGCTTCAAAACTTTCTTTGCCTTTTGGCACAAGACTGAAGACATGAGATTTTTTTTAACATCTGACCATAATAACTGCTGTATTAATCACTGTGAAGGCTCCTTGTTGACTTTTCTCAGAGTTTTATAAAACATCGCTATCAAACAGGTATTTATCAAAATAGGCATATAATTTTATTTATTCCAGGAAGCTCTCTCAGTGTTAAAAGGATAAGATAATTAACGTTTAGATGGAAAGAGAGCATGGGATGGAAAAATGCTCTCCTGAAACACAGCCAGATCTATGAAACCATACAATTACTGTCATGTCATCTCTGAAAGATCAAGTTAACAATGTGTATGATTTAATAATCTTACTTAATATGGCCAGGAATGCTAACAAATCGCCAAGCCAATTTGTTCTTATTCTTACGCAGGTAGCTAGACTACACCTCCCAGGCTCCTTTGCAGTTAGATGTGGCCATGTGACTAAGTTCTAGACAAAAGAAAATTTTATATATATATATATATATATATATATATATATATATATATATATATATATATATGTATGTATATATAACATGAGGGAGACATAAAGATTGTTGCCAATAGCCACTGAGATTTTGGGAGTTACTGATGGAAACATATTGCCAAATATAGCTTCAGATGTATTTCTTCAAATTCCTCTTTTAAAATGATCATATCCCCAGGTAAGAGTTTTGGAAACAGATAGTGGTGATGGTTACACAATGATGTGAATATGATGAATACAACTGAACTGTATACTTAAAAATGGTTAAAATCACAAATTATATCTTATATACACATATTCTACCATAATTTAAAAAAAAAATGATCACTTAATTATAAGAGTTGAAATAAGTTGGAACCATGATTAAGAAGTATTTTAAATACTCTTTCCTGAAAATATAAGCAAGACCTTTGTGTCCAGACTTGTTCAGAAAATGCTCTAAGTGAAGAAGAGGAAGCCCTGGGAGAGGCAGGCCTGGTTAGGTTGTCACAATAAGGAGGGTAATTGTCAGCAGGAGGAGAGATGCTGGGACCAAGAATATATCACAGATCCTTCAATTGCACTCCCAGGTATTTACCCAAATGAGCTGAAAACTTATGACCACACAAAACCCTGTAGTGAATGGTCATAGTGGCTTTATTCATGATCACCAAAAACAAGAAACCACCAAGATGTCATTCAGTAGGTGAATGGATAATAAACTGTGGTACATCCAGACAGTGGAATATTATTCAGCACTAAAAAGAAATGAACTAGCAAGCTGTGAAAAAACACAAAGAAACTTTAAATGCATATTATTGACAAAAGCCAATCTGAAAAGCCAAAATACTGTAAGATCTCAACTATGTGACATTCTGGAAAAGACAAAATTATGGAGACAGTAAAAAGATCAATGGTTACCAAGGGCTGAGGGGGAGGCAAGCAGGAATGACTAGGTTGGGGTGCTGGTGATTTTTAGGGCAGTGAAAGTATTCTGTATGATACTGCAATGGTGGCTACATATTATGCATCTGTCAAAATCCATTGAACTGGACAACACTAATAAAAACTACAGACTTTAGTTAATAATAATGTCTCAGCATTAACCAAATGTAACAAATGTACCATATGAATTTAAGGTGTTAATAATAAGGGAAACTAGGGGCGTGAAGGAACTCTGCACTACTTGTTCAATTTTCTGTAAACCCAAAACTGCCCTAAAATACAAAGACTAGGCCGGGTGCGGTGGCTCATGCCTGTAATCCAAGCACTTGGGAGGCCAAGGTGGGAGGATCATGAGGTCAAAAGATCGAGACCATCCTGGCCAACATGGTGAAACTCCGTCTGTCTCCACTAAAAATACAAAAATTAGCTGAGTGTAGCGGCATGCGCCCGTGGTCCCAGCTACTCAGGAGGCTGAGGCAGGAGAATCGCTTGAACCCAGGAGGCGGAGGTTTCAGTGAGCTGAGATCGCGACACTGCACTCCAGCCTGGCAACAGAGTGAGACTCCATCTCTACATACATACATACATACATACTATCGGCCAGGCACAGTGGCTCACGCCTCCAAGCCCAACACTTTGGGAGGCCAAAGCAGGCATATTGCTTGAGCTCAGGAATTTGAGGCCAGCCTGGGTAACATGACAAAAACCCGTCTCTATGAAAAATACAAAAATTAGTTGGGCATGGTGGTGTGCACCTGCAGTCCCACCTGCTGAAGAGGTTGAAGTGGGAGGATTGTTTAAGCCCAGGTGGTCAAGGCTGCAGTGAGCCATGATTGTGCCAATGTACTCCAGCCTGAGTGACAAGAGCAAGAACTTGTCTCAAAATAAATAAAGACTATCAAACACACACACACAAACACACACACACACACACACACACACAAACTTCTCCTAGTCTGCCTGGGGTAAAATACTCAAGCACCAAAACTCATCTGCTTGGACTATGGTCAAGGCTTCCTAAGTATCTGAAGTAGCACCAAAGAAAGCATGTTTACATGTACAGGCATACTCCTGTTTTACTGCACTCCACTTCATTGCACTTCACAGTATGTTTTTTACAAACTGAAGGTTTATGGCAACACTGTGTCCAGAAAGTCTATCTATTAGTGCCATTATTCCAGCAGCACATGCTCACTTTGTGTCTCTGCATCACATTTTGCTAATTCTCTCATTATTTCAAACTTTTTCATTATTATTATATCTGTTATGGTCATCTGTGATCAGTGACCTTTGATGTTACTATTGTAATTGTTTTGGGATGCCACAAACGACACCCATACAGGATGGCAAACTCAATCGATAAATGTTTGTGCTCTGACTGTTCCACAAACTGGCCATTCTCTCATCTCTCTCCCTCTCCTCAGGCCTCCCTATTTGATGAGACACAACAATATGGAAATTAGGCCAATTAATGTCCCTACGATGGCCTCTAGGTGTTCAAATGACAGGAAGAGTAGCACATCTTTCACTTTAAATCAAAAGCTAGAAATGATTAAGCTTAGCGAGAAAGGCATGTCAATAGTCTCTGTAGGCCAAAAACCAGACCGCCTGCACCTGCCAGGTTTTGAATGCAAAGAAAAAGTTCTTGAAGCTTCGAAATTACAAGTGCTACTCCAGTGAACACATGAATGATAAGAGGGCAAAAACAGCCTTATTGCTGATATGGACAAAGTTTGAATGCTCTGGATAGAAGTTCAAACCAGCTCAACACTCCCTCAAGCCAAAGCCTAATCCAGGGCAAGGTCCTACCTCTCTTCAATTCTATGAAGGCTAAGAAAGGTGAGGAAGCTGCAGAAGAAGTCTGAAGCTAGCAGAGGTTGGTTCATGAGGATTAAGGAAAGAAGCCATCTCCATAACATAAATGTATAAGGTGAAGCAGCAAGTGCTGATAGGGAAGCTGCAGCAAACTATCCAAAAGATCTAGCTAAGATAATTTATGAAGGTAGCTGATATGGTTTAGATCTGTGTTCCCATCCAAATCTCATGTCAAATTGTAATCCCCAGTGTTGGAGGAGGGGCCTGCTGGGAGGTGATTAGATCATAGGGGCAGATTTCTCCCTTGCTGTTCTCACAATAGTGAGTTCTCAAGAGATCTGATTGTTTAAAAGTGTGTAACACCTCCCCACTTTGCTCTCTTCCTCCTGTTCCACCCATCTAAGACGTCCCTGCTTCCCCTTTGCCTTCCACCATGATTCTAAGTTTCCTGAGGCCTCCCCAGCCATACTTCCTGTACGGTCTGTGAAACTGTGAGCCAATTAAACCTTTTCTTTATAAATTACCCAGTCTCAGGTAGCTCTTTACAGCAATGCAAGAACAAACTAAAACGGTAGCTACACTAAACAACAGATTGTCTATGTAAATGAAACAGCCTTTTATTGGAAGAAAATGCCCTCTAGAACTTGCAAAGTTAGAGAGGAGAAGTCAATGCCTGGCTTCAATGCTTCAATGGACAGGCTGACTCTCTTCTTAGGAGCTAATGTAGCCAGTGACCTTAAGTTGAATCCAATGCTCATTATCATTTCAAAAGTTCTAAAGCCCTTAAGAATGATGCTAAATAAATCTACTCTGCCTGTGCTCTAGAAATGGAATAACAACGCCTGGATGACAGCCCATCTGTTTATAATATGGTTTACTGAATATTTTCAGCCCACTGTTGAGAGCTACTGCTCAGATAAAGATTTCTTTTCCAAATATTACTGCTCATTTACAATGCACCTAGTCATCAAGAGCTCCGATGGAGATGTACAAGGAGATGAATGTTGTTTTCATGCCTGCTAATACAACATACATTCTGCATACCATGGATCAATGAGTAATTCCTATTTTCAAGTCTTATTATTTAAGAAATCCATTTTGTAAGGCTACTGTGGCCAATCTGCCAGAGATTGCTCGGGTGGGTCTGGGCAAAGTACATTAAAAACCTTCTGGAAAGGATTCACCATTCTAGATGCCATTAAGAAAGTTCATGTTTCATGGGAGGAGGTTAAAACATAGCATAACAGGAGTTTGGAAGAGGGTGATTCCAGCCTTCATGGATTACTCTGAGAGGCTTAAGACTTCAGTGGAGGAAATAACTGCAGATGTGGCAGAAATAGCAAGGGAACTATTACAGAATTACAAGTGGAGCCTGGATATGTGATTGAATAGCTGCAATCTCATGATAACACTTGAAGGGATAAGGAGTTGCTTCTTATAGATGAGCAAAGATGAAATCTACTCCTGGTGAAGATGCCGTAAACACTGTTGAAATAACAACAAAGAATTTAGAATATTACATAAACTTAGTTGATAAAGCAGCAGCAGGGTTTGAGAGTTTTGACTCCAGTTTTGAAAGAAGTTCTACTGTGGGTAAAATGCTATCAAACAGCATTGTATGCTACAGAGAAATTTTTTTGTGAAAGGAAGAGCCCATCAATTGCCACGGCCAGCTCAACCTTCAGCAGCTACCTCCCTGATCAGTCAGCAGCCATTCTCATTGAGGCAAGACCCTCCAGCAACAAAAAACATTAGGACTCACTGAAGACTCACTGACCGTTAGCATTTCTTGGCAATAAAGTATTTTTAAACTGAGGTAAGTGCACAATTTTGTTTTGTTTTGTTTTGTTTTGGGGGCGAGGGTATATACACAATTTTTTAGACATAATGCCTATTGTGCATTTAAAAGACTACAGTATAGTGTAAACATAACTCTTACATACACTGGGAAACCAAAAAATGTGTGTGAGTCGCTTTATTGCTATATTTGCTTTAATTATGGCTGTCTGGAATCAAACCCACAATATCTCCCAAGGTATTCCAGCAGTTCCAATGGAAAGGCTAAGCTCATAATAAAGGAAATAACGGCCCTATTATAATATCAAATGCCATTATTAATGCAAAGTAGACAATCGCCTGACCAACTGTAGCTAAATTCTTGGCATTTATGAAAAAACAAACAAACAAACAAAAAACACAATGTTTTGAATATCTGGCCAAGCTAGAGATGCTGCAAATGATGGGAGGGTATTACCATCTGCAAAGAACCTTCCACCACAGGTGAGGGAGGTTCACAAAACTGGATGGTGGTCTAACATCTTTTTTTTTTTTTTTTTTTGAGATGAAGTCTCGCTCTGTCACCCAGGCTGAAGTGCAGTGGTGTGATCTCGGCTCACTGCAACCTCCGCCTCCCAGGTTCAAGTGATTCTCCTGCCTCAGCCTCCTGAGTAGCTGGGACTACAGGAGCGTGACACCACGCCCAGCTAATTTTTGTATTTTTAGTAGAGACGGGGTTTTACCATGTTGGCCAGGCTGGTCTTGAACACCTGACCTCAAGTGATCCACCCACCTCAGCCTCCCAAAGTGCTGGGATTACAGGCGTAAGCCAGCGCGCCCAGCTGGTCTAACATCTTTTTAAAATGAAACAGAAACAGATATCTATTGAATGCAGAAGTAGAACAAGTTTAAGGCCTACATTTAATTCTTAAAGTCTCTTTTCTTGGCAAATATTTGGTGAAAACAGCCTATCAAGATGACAAACCTATTATGGCCCAATGATACAACAAATACTGGCAGCCCTAGTTCCTTTCTGTGGATTTCTAAGAAGGCAGGCATGGGCCCCAGCATCTTCTCTAAGTAGTGTTCTAAACATTTAACCTGCATGTTTATCAAAACACGCAATTTTAAATTTAGATTCTTGATAAAGAGGATTTGATTTAGAAAGATAATCCTCTGGGGAAATCTCGCCTCCAAATTTTAAGAACTGAAAATCAAAGGGCACAAATTGCAGAAGGGGGCAAAGTGACACACAGAAACAAGCTCTGAAATAAACCAAAGTAATATCTTAGTGTGAAGATGATTGCTTTAAATAAGCTGATCCAAGCCCTAATTATTTTCTCTGGCAATTTCTTACTCTTAAACAAAAACAGAAACACTATTCATACTCCCCTTTACAGATTGTACTCTGCTGCTTATGAACAAGCAGACAAAGAGAAGCAAAAAGGCAACAGCACCTTCAGCATTTCTCTCTAAAAACCAATTGTTTTCGGAACAGAAACTAGAATCTGCCTCACTGAAAAACCCTACCTGAAACCAGGTTCATACTGGCTGCTGGATAAAGGACTTTTCAGCAGGTGGCATCTCAGAAATTACTTACTAAGTCAGCTCTTTCCAGTCACCTAGCTAGCCAAAGTTTATTAGGTCATTTGTACAGTCAGGGTTCTCATATCTCACAATTATGGAGGCTAAGTAAGAGGTCCCAAGACCTGCAGTTAGTAAGCTGGAGACCCAGAAGAAACTGTGGCATTAGATTCTAGTTCAAGCCTGGGTCCAAAGGCAGGAGAAGACCAATGTCCCAGCTGGAAGACAGTCAGAGAGAGGTTCCCTCTTTCCCAGCCATTTTGTTCCAATCAGGCCTTCAATGATAGGATGAGGCCCATCCACATTCGGAGAAGTCAATCTGCTTTACTCAGTCTACCAATTCAAATGTTGATTTCATCCAAAAACAGCCTCAGACACACCCAAAATATTTGACCAAATGTCTGGGCACCCCATGGCACAGTCAAGTCCACACATACATTTAACCGTTACATCATTCCTGAGCTCAGAGTGTTGCCATACCAAGTGTTACAGTGAGATATTTACTATTGAACGTATTAGCAGCAGGGACCCAGACAACAACATATTTAAAAGAGAAGAAAAGATGTATGGGAAGAGAAATAATGTAGATAACAGATAAACATAATAAAGAATTAAGGCCGGGCGCGGTGGCTCACGCCTGTAATCCCAGCACTTTGGGAGGCTGAGGCGGGCAGATCGCCTGAGGTTAGGAGTTCGAGACCAGCCTGACCAACATGGTGAAACCCCGTCTCTACTAAAAATACAAAAATTAGCCAGATGTGGTGGCACATGCCTATAATCCCAGCTACCCGGGAGGCTGAGGCAGGAGAATCACTGGAACCCGGGAGGTGGAGGTTGCAGTGAGCTGAAACGGCAACACTACAATCCAGCCTGGGCGACAGAGTGAGACTCCCAGCTCAAAAAAAAAAAAAAAAAAAAAAAAAAAAAGAATTAAGCAACTGTGTTAATCTGTTTGCATTATTAAAAAGCAATAACTGAGAGTGGGTAATTTATAAAGAAAATAGGTTTATATTTGGCTCATGGTTCTGCAGGCTGTACAGAAGCATGGCACCAGCATCTGCTTCTGTGAGGGTCGCAGGAAGCTTCCACTCATAGTGGAAGGTGAAGGGAAGGCAGGCGCATCACATGGTGAGAGAAGGAACAAGAGAGGGACCAGGTTCTTTGAAACAGCCAGCTCTCGTGTGAACCAACCGGGTGAGAACTTGATCATTACCAAGGGGAGGGCACAAAGTCATTCATGAAGGATCCCCCCCATGACCCAAACACCTCCCATGAGGCCACACTTCCAACACCGGGGAGTATCACATTCCAACATGAGATTTGGAGGGAACAAACACCCAAACCGTGTCAGCAGCCAAGTGAAATTGTGTGTGTGAGAGAGAGGCAAAGAGAAAGAGAAACAGAGGAGGAAGGCAGACAGAGAAAGAGAGTGCATGCAACTAAGCCTGTGTGCACACACTGAGGGGCTCCAGGGCATTGGGAATGAAGGAGTACAACTCGACTCACAATAGGAATTGCAGCATGTCCTAGTTATCTAAAACAAATTACTCCAAAACTCAGCAGCTTAAAACATTGAACATTTACCATCTCACAGATTCTGAAGGTCAGGCATGAGGGAGCAGCTTAGCTGAGTGGTTCTGGCTCCGGATTTCCCCTGGGGTTGCAGGCAAGCCCTCAGGCAGGGTTGTAATCTCCAAAGGCTTGCTTCCAAGCTCACTCACTTTCAAGCTCATTCACGTAGCTACTGAGGAGCCTTTTTCTCCTCTCGATGTTGACCTCTTTATGGACCTGATCACTACATGTCAGCTGGTTTTCCAGAGAAAGTGGTTGACAGAGAAAGAGACCCCTAGATGGAAGCCACTGTCCTTTATCTTAGAAGTGACATATCATTTCTGCTATATTCTACTGGTCACACAGACTAAACCTGGTAACATGTGGGAGGCAACTACACGAGTGTGAAGACCAGATCATCACAAACCATGCTGGAGGCTGGCTACAGAGGGTAGCAGAAAAATACCTCGCAAATAGAAAAGGCCTTTTAGAACATCGTGTTGTGATATTGCAAAATATATATTTGGTCTGTCCCCGTTTCCTGACATAGAGCTCCTAAAATCTTTGGAATCTCCAGAGTGATCAGAGTGTCTTTGCGTATTAATGAGATAATTAGTAGCTGGGGGTTCCTAGATAGCCTCAAGATGGGGTCTGGTGGCCAGGGGAACCAACCATGTGATTAGAGGGCCGGAAATTTCAGTCCCACTCCCAACTTGTTGGGAGGGGAGAGGGGCTTACAGTTGAATCGATTAACCAACAGCCAATGATTTAATCAACCATGCCTATGTAATAAAGTTTCCACAAACAAACAACAACAACAACAAAACAGTTCTGGGAGCTTCCAGATGGCTGAACCCATGGACGTTCCTGGAGAACGGCATGCTCAAAGGAGACATGGAAGCTCCATGCCCCTTCTCCCACACCTCGCCCTATGCACCTCTTCCATCAAACTGTGCATATTTATCCTCTGGCATATCCTTTTTAATAAATGGGTAAATATCAGAAAAGTGTTTCCCTGAGTTCTGTGAACCACTCTCCAGCAAACTGATCAAACCCAAGGAGGTGAGTCATGGAAACCCCAATTTACAGGCAATGTTAAAAAAAAATTCTGATTGAGTCTGACTGACTAGCTCTGTCACTTTAAATTCGTGTGTGAACAAACCAAAGCCCAATGTAAACAGTAAACTGAAACTAGAAACTGCACCAATCAGAAATCACCAACTAACCTCTAACTAGAAACTTTCCACTCTAACCAATCAAAATTGGTTTCATTTGTGTTGCTTCTGCAAATACTTTATAAAAGTTTCCCCTCTTGCCCCTGTGGGCAGAGTGCTAGCCCCTTGTGGTCTGATGCTACCCCATTCACAAACTGCTGAATGCTCAACTAAACTGCTGAAAATGTAAATGTGCTTAAGATTTTCTTTTATCAGATCTGATATCAGAAGTGGGATCCAATGGACACTACATGATAATGACCTCTGGGAGCAACAAGCAAACAGATACAGTTACCCCACAGAGCCCCTTGTGCTTACTCCCTGCACATTTGGAGGTCATCACCAGTAAGTAGACTTAGATACGTGCATTCTAACACTAGCGTCAAGTTCTCCAAGTTCATTTTAACATTTCTGCTCCAGACTAGGTTTGGAAGTCACAGCAGAAACAAGACTGGGTTTTGCAGGGAGGCTTCAGGTGTCCAACTAGGTTAGACAAAAACCAAACTGGGTTAAGCAAAAGACCTCCACTAGGAAAGGTTCCACGAAGACTGGAAATAATGAGTTTATTTAAATCCAGAGTCTGGGACTCCATCTATAGTGTGACTGGTCCCCTACCAGGTTACTTAAGAGTGTATGTGTATTGCTTGAACCCCAAAAGCTAGGCAGTGAACCAAGGCCACTGCGCCCAGCCAAGGACCACGTGTCCCTGAGAACCTAAACATCCTGGGGCATAGCTGGGGACATATCAAGGAAAACCACACAAAATTGACAAAGGGCCAGAAAATTAACTTAAAAGCAGCTTAGAAATGGGAGGTGGTGTGGATCTCTAGAGCTGTCCAGCCACCATCCAGGAGTGTCCTGAAGTTAAGTCCTAACAAGCTCATCTAGCCGTCAAGCTAGATTTATCCAAGTTATTCTTTGGTCTCCCAGCTCCTTCCCAGTTTGGGGGTGTGGGGAGAAGGATGTTATAGTCTCAAGTGCTTCTCATAATAGCATCTCAGAACCTAAGCTCTTCTAAAAGAATGGGCAAATCTTACCAAAAGCAATTTAGAATTTTAGTGGCTACAAAGTGGAAGTTTTTACCTAAACAAAATTGTTCACCTACATACACACGTACACACACGATCTTGAACATCTCAGAAAGTGGGAAGGGCCAAGCACGGTGGCTCACACCTGTAATTTCAGCACTCTGGGAGGCTGAGGAGTTTGAGATCAGCCGGGGGAACAGAGCAAGACCCCATCTCTATTTAAAAAAAAAAAAACAACAACAAAAAAAACAGAAATGAGAAGTATTTTTTACTGGCATGTAGAGGTTTCTAACCTCTCGTCTACTCTGAGTCTGCTGATTTTTTTTTTTTTTGCTTGTTTATCTGCATGCCCTGAAGGAAAAAGAACTAAATGAGTATTTATAGTTAGGTTCTCAGATTAACCAGGTCTGCTTCTTTTTAATAGAACATTTTTAGGCTGGGCGTGCTGACTCACACCTGTAATCCCAGCATTTTGGAAGGCCAAGGGAGGCATATCACTTCAGCTCAGGAGCTCAAGACCAGCCTGGGCAACGTGGCGAAACCCCATCTCCACTAAAAATACAAAAATTAGCCAGACATGAGGGCGCACACCTGTAATCCCAGCTACTTGGGTGGCTGAGGTAGGAGAATCACTTGAACCTGGGAGGCTGAGGCTGCAGTGAGCTGAGATGTGCCACTGCACTCCAGCCTGGGCAACAGAGTAAGATACTGTCTCAAAAAAATAAAAAATAAGAAAAATTTTTTAAAAGAAAATTTTTTACTTAATTCATTTCTTTTTGTGATAGGGTCTCCCTCTGTCACCTAGACTGGAGTGCAGAGGCATGAACACAGCTCACTGTAGACTCAACCTAAGGGAAGAGACCACCCCTCATATTGTCTTATGCCCAATTTCTGCCTCCAAAGAAAGAAGTAAAAACTAAAAGGCAGAAATGAAATCCACAGGCAGACAGCCCAGCACCACACCCTGGGCCTGGTAGTTAAAGATCCACCCCTGACCTAATCGGTTATGTTATCTATAGATTACAGACATTGTATGGAAAAGCACTGTGAAAATCCCTGTCCTGTTCTGTTCTGTTCCTTTCTAATTACCGGTACATGCAGCCCCCAGTCATGTACCCCCTGCTTGCTCAATCGATCACGACCCTCTCATGTGGACCCCCTTAGAGTTGTAAGCCCTTAAGAGGGACAGGAATTGCTCACTTGGGGAGCTCGGTTTTTGAGCCATGAGTCTTGCTGATGCTCTCAGCCGAATAAAGCCCTTCCTTCTTTAACTCAGTGTCTGAGGGGTTTTGTCTGCGGCTCGTCCTGCTACAAACCTTCTGGACTTAAGCAATCCTCCCGTCTCAACCTCCCAAAATGCTAGGATTACACCCATCCCAGGTCTGCTTTTTTTTTTTTTTTTTTTTGAGATGGAGTCTGGCTCCGTCACCCAGGCTGGAGTGCAGCGGTGCAATCTTGGCTCAATGCAACCTCTGCCTCCCGGATTTAAGCAATTCCCCAGCTTCAGCCTCCCAAGTAGCTGGGATTATAGGTGCTCACCACCACGCCCAGCTAACTTTTGTATTTTTAGTAGAGGTGGGGTTTCGCCATGTACCCTTATGTCTTGATCAAAATCTTAATCTCAGAGCAATAATAAAAGGTATCCCTGTCTGGCAGAGAAAATGCTTTGTCTGCCCTATTCATGAATGGGTTTTGCTCTGAACTTGGCAACCTAGGTAAACATGGATTTTTTTCCTATTTTTTTGTGGGTTTTTAGATTTTTCTAGCTTTTTTGGGTACAAAGTAGGTATATATATTTATGGGGTACATGAGATGTTTTGATACAGGCATGCAATGCATAATAATCACATCATGAAGAATGGGGTGTCCATCCCCTCAAGCATTTATCCTTTGTATAACACAAAGGACAATCCAATTATATTCTTAGTTATTTTTAAATGTACAATTAAGTTATCGTTGACTGTAGTCACCCTGTTGTGCTATCAAACAGTAGGTTTATTGTTGTTGTTGTTGTGGTTGTTGTTGTTATTTTGAGACAGAGTCTTGCTCTGTCACCAGGCTGGAGTGCAGTGGTGCGATCTTGGCTCACTGCAGGCTCCGCCTCCCGGGTTCACGCCATTCTCCTGCCTCAGCCTCCAGAGTAGCTGAGACTACAGGTGCACGCCACCACACCCGGCTAATTTTTTGTAGTTTTAGTAGAGAGGGGGTTTCACCGTGTTAGCCAGGATGGTCTTGATCTCCTGACCTCATGACCCACCCGCTTCGGCCTCCCAAAGTGCTGGGATTACAGACATGAGCCACTGTGTCCAGCCTCAAATAGTAGGTCTTACTCGTTCTATTTTTTTTTTTTTGTACCCAGTAAACTCATGTGGATAGGACATGAGGAAAGCCAAAATGGACGCAAAAGGCAGAAGGGTATCACTCTGAAGATGATATCTGTGGCCATGAGACCCAATTTGGTTCATATATAAACCACAAAAAGCAAAAAAAAACCCCAAAAAAACATAAATAACCTTTTTTTTTTTTGAGACGGAGTTTCGCTCTGTTGCCCAGGCTGGAGGGCAGTGGCGTGATCTCAGCTCACTGCAAGATCTGCCTCCCGGGTTCACACCATTCTCCTGCCTCAGCCTCCCGAGTAGCTGGGACTACAGGCGCCTGCCACCACACCCAGCTAATTTTTTGTATTTTTAGTAGATACGGGGTTTCACCATGTTACCTAGAATTGTCTAGATCTCCTGACCTCGTGATCCGCCCACCTCAGCCTCCCAAAGTGCTGGGATTACAGGCGTGAGCCACCATGCCCGGCCATAAATAAGCTTTTGAAAGCCATTCCTAAAGTGTTTCCCACCTGCACTAAACCAGACCTGCAGACAAAAGAAAAATGAATCTGTTACTAATTTCAAAGCCCACTTGGACCTTTTGTTTTTCCTACAGCATTCCAAGCATTACATCAATTCAGCTAATCCTAGCTGTCCTTTTTGTAAATGGAGTCTCCCCACAACATTACCAAACAAGAAAGAGAGAGAGGAAAAGGATAAGGAAGCTACAGGGTTAAGTAAGTTAGCTGAGGACCTCAGAGCAAGATGAGAAACAAAAGGTTTCCAAATTAATGGCCTTGTAATTATAGCAACTGCGGAGCAACCAACAACCAAGAAGGACCTTTGGACTACTTTTAATAAGTGACTCAAACCAGACGTTATCTCCTTCTGTCTGTCTTTGTATGAATGTTTGTGTGTGTGTGTGTCTATATATATACACACACATATGTGATATTTTCAGATGGTATTACTAAACCAATTTATAAAATCCTTTAATGGAGATCTATTCAAATTGGTTTGGGGATAAATGAGCATGCATGTAAATTATTTCTAAAACTCTCAGAAATGCAGAAACTGACCCAAATGTGTGTTTTTTTTTTAATAAGTTCACATGATTTACATAAGTCTGTGGTAAATAAAGCTAGTTTTTAAATTGTCGGTAAAATAAAATGGGAGTTTCTCAGAATTCTCAAGTTTTTCCTGGGTTGCTGGTTAGACAGATTGGTGTTGGCTCTGCTAGATGTTTAAGATCATAAAACCATAAATCCAACCTAAGAGGAAAATGTGCAGTAAAAATGAATTGCTTGATCTTGATGCACGTCAGTCATGGAAGTAAAAAACTGTGATACCTGCCTGATTTGTCAAGAAAAATTAAATAACATTAAGATGATGGCGTGGGAGAAGGCATGGATGATAGCTGAATTTCTTTGGAGGACCTGTCTTTAGGCAGACAAAGGAGTCCCAAAAAGCCCCTCCCTGCATTTGTTATTTTTCAAATGCTTTCGGCTCAAAGCAATCAATATTCCAAAGCAGTAAATTTTGGAGTGGCATTTCCTGAACTCTTTCAATGGCTAACTCTGTTCAATATCTCATGACATTTTTCATGAGCAATTCAAGTATATTTGTTTAAGAAGGAGTGACTTAAATATAAATGGAATAAAAGTTTAAAACTTTTTGAAATTATGTTTTATAAAATGTCTACAGTCATAATCTTGATTATTATGTTAAAATGTTGTATGTCACAGAAAATAACCAGATTTTTTTGTCAGTTGCATTATTATAATGAAACCTCATTAGAATTTAACTATGGCCATCTTAAGTCTTGTCATCCATAGGCAGTTATTGTTTTGATTTTTCTCTAAAAGCATTTGCAATCAGCTATAGTCCAAAATTGCTTCTTCTTCAAAGATATTCACGGAAAGAACTCTGACAAGTACTCTGGATATACAGGTTTCTTATAACTTTAAATTAAGATAATGCCATGAAAGTGGGTAAGAATTCTCAGAACGCTAATAAAGAAACTGGTGAGTTTGTGAAACTGCTATCCCGAGATCATGCAGAACAAGAATTACATAAGACTGAATAACTGATGAAAATAATGTTTTTATGACTTTATATGTGGAAGTTTTGCTGGTTCTTTAAAGTTTTAAGAAACATTTTACCTTTTAAGCTATCTACTGCTTGCAGCAATTTGGAAAAGTATACTTTTGTGAATAAAGATTGAAGTATTTACTTTTCCTCTCTACCTGATCCTCGGGAACTTGGAAAGCTACTTGTGAAGATTTTTTTTATGGCAATATAACTATTTGCATAAGTTCAAAAAGAATCTGTTCTCTTTATAACAAGACACAATTGGAAACATTGGTTATATTACCAAGGGTCATATTTGACAGTGTGCATAGAATGCCTGGCTAAAAGTGTTCCCAGTCTCACAGTGAGTGAGTAAAAGCTATCAGTTCCCAGCAGACCCAGGAACCTCAAGATATTTGGGGGACCTTACGAGAAGAGAAGAATTCACCCAAATATATAGGTACTGCAGGTGAAGTCTAAAATTTGCCTTGGTTTGGCTTCCTAGATTTAAGAGGTTTTTTTAAAAGTTCAATCTGATTCCCTATCAAAGGTTCCAGCAAAACAAACTTTAAAAAGAACTTGTGCGGTCAATCACTATTCTTACTGCACTTACATAATCAGGCCAAGTCTGATGAGACAAAATTTATTATGCAATCAAATTAGTCTTACACTGATTATTATTATTATTTTTGGAGACGAAGTCTCAAGCTTGTCCCCCAAGCTGGAGTGCAATGGTGCAATCTCGGCTCACTGCAACCTCCGCCTCCCAGGTTCAAGCGATTCTCCTGCCTCAACCTCCTGAGTAGCTGGGATTACAGGCACCTGCCACCATGCCTGGCTAATTTTTGTATTTTTAGTAGAGACAGGGTTTCACCATGTTGGCCAGGCTGGTCTCGAACTCCTGACCTCAGGTGATCCACCCGCCTTGGCCTCCCAAAGTGCTGGGATGACAGGTGTGAGCCACCGCGCCTGGCCCATTTATCTTTGGTAGAAACAAGGATGACTACAGAGAGAAAATTATGTTTCAGAAAGAAACAATAGTACACCTGTTATTAGACTGCAGCCCTATTAACTGTTTTCAAGTTTTATTATCTACCTGTAGTTTGCACTGAATCCTCAGTTCTTCTAGGTTCCTCCATCCAATTTTCTCCCACTTTTCTGACTTGGAATCACTCTGAACAAGAACTGCTCTGCTCCTGAAACCCTGCAAGATGGAGATGTATACCTGATACAAGTTCAGAGGACAACCCTCATGCCTGATGTGTGGACCACTCAGGGAGTTCACCAAAATGCCCACTGCCATAACTAGGGGCATTCAAACTGCAAACCAGGAAAATATGCTTAGAGCTCAAATCTAGAAATCTTCCTGACTAATCACCCTCTGGACTCAGAGACCGAATTTATGATTTGTTCTTATCATTAAGCTTTGTTTTTCTTTTGCTTCCATAGAAATATTAGTTAGTTTGGTTCGTGGGGACTTTAACTAAGAAGCTAAGTCTCTCAGTATTATCCTCCTGGTAGTCATCATTATAATCTTCCTGGTGCACTATATTCTCTCAAGGGTCTTAAATGTATATTCAAAAACATCAACAGCATACCAGATTGTCTCACTGTGATTAGAAAAAAAATGAGATTGACAACAAAAGGAATTGTTTTTCATTGAGCCTGTTGTCATGATTTATGAGTTCCACACTAAGACAAAGACAACCTAGCCATGATGGTGACAGAGAGTGGCACTTACGTCCAAGTTTATAAATGAGAGGCTGACCAAAAGGAGGAAACTTATATGTAACTAACCTGCACATTGTGCACATGTACCCTAAAACTTAAAGTATAATAATAATAAATAAATAAATAAATGAAAAAAAAAAAGGAGGAAACTTAAAAAAAACCATTCCAATTGAGAGTCCATTAGACTAGGGTAGGGTAGCTCTTGTCACTTTAAATCCCTAATCGAACAAACCAAAGCCCAATGTAAACAGTAAATTAAAACCAGAAACTGCACCAATCAGAAACTACCAACTAATCTCTAACTAGGAACTTTCCACTCTAATCAATCAAAATTGGTTTATTTGTCTTGCTTCTGCAAATACTTTATAAAAGCTTCCCCTCTTGCCCCTCCTGGAGGAGTGACACTCCCTTGTGGTCTGCTGCTACCCTATCCATCAACTGCTGAATGCTCAAGCTGTTTCGGCTGGGTGTGGGGACTCACGCCTGTAATTCCAACACTTTGGGAGGGTGAGGTGGAAGGATCACTTGAGGCCAGGAGTTCAAGATTAGCCTGGGCAACATAGTGAGACCTTGTCTCTAAGAAAAATAAAAACATAAAAATTAGCAGGGCATCGTGATGTGCACATGTAACCTCAACTACTTGGGAGGCTGAGGTGGTAGTATCACTTGAGCTCAAAAGTTCGAGGCTGCAGTGAGCTACGATATCATCACTGTACTCCAGCCTGGGCTACAGAGCAAGAGCCTGTCTCTAAAAATAAAAATAAAAAATAAAAATAAATGGTTTAAAAGTGCTTAAGTTTTTCTTTAACCACTGGTCAGTCAGAAATTCCATATTCTGGAGGCCCTGACTTTGATTGGCATCTGAAGTGGGGGACAGTCTTATGGGACTGAGCTCTCAAGCAGTGGGATCTGACACTACCTCTAGATAGAGTCAAAATTAAATTGAATTAGAGGAGACACCAGAGCTGATGTCTGCTGCAGAACTGTTTGGTTAGTGTGTAGGGAAAAACCCCCATGTACTGGTAACAGAAGCATTCTGTGTGGTACTGAGTGACTATGTTAGAATGGGAAAAGAACTTTGGTTTTTCCTATATCTCTACACTTACAAAGACAAAATTTTTTAAGATCTTGATCATATAGAATGATGCAACTAGCTTACCATTAATAAATCATGCCCAGTGAGGTTTTTATCCAATAGTTGTAAAGAATTTGTACAAATGCATCTGACTATAAAATATATATGTTTGCAAGATAAAAAGGTTGAATAACTAGAAGATGTAGAAGGAACAAGTACTCTTGGGTCAGGCAGAGCCAAGGATCAATGACAACTGCACAGCTCACAGGCTGTGTCACTTAGGGAAAGTTTTCATCAGTGTAAGCCTCAGTTTTCTCACCTGTAAAATCTGAGTGATATTTACTTACATCATAGGGTTGTTGTGAATGGCAACAGAATATGCTTAACATGCAATATGTACAGTAAACAGTGGCATTTGTTGCTAAATAAACCATTGTATGTGTGAAATCAAAACATTAATTGGCTCATATTCTAACTAAGTCACCATACCTGATGTGTGGACCACTCACAGAATTCACCATGGCTCCAGAAGTAATAACAGTTTTTCCCACAGCACAAGGACAAATAAAATACCCAGGGTGACTGTTGAATTTGAAGATTACTTGCCTCACCTTCAGAGATTATGATTGAATACAAACAATTGTAGCTAACACTAAGTGTGTACCAGGTGATAAGCAGTGCTCTAGCACTTCACATAAATTAATCTACTTAATCCTCACAATAATTCTATGAAGTAGATATTATCATTATTCCCATTTTACAGATGGCGAAACTGAGGCACAGAAAAGGTAAGTAAGTATCTTGCTCGAGACCACCCAGTCAAGTAAGGGCAGATCCAGGATTTGAACCCAGACTGATTACCTTGAGCCTGTGTTCTTGGCCACTATCTTGCTCTTCCTCCAAGATTTGGGGCAGGTCCCAGGCATCTCTATGTTTAACTAGTACCCCCAAGTGATTCTGGTATGAGTAGTCCATAAATAAAGAAACACTAGACTCTTGGTAGTAAAGAATACCAATAGTTTAGAAATCGTATCTCGCAAGTCTAAAAAAACAATGTAGAGTTTATTGGGCTAGTTAACTGCTGGACTTCTTTGCTAAGGTAGAAAAATATAAACCAAGTGGAAAAAAATTTCACTTCCAACACTGAAGCGACTTATCAGTTCACACAAATCTTCAGTGGTTTTCTTGCCTCCAGACTCTTCATCAGCAACCCCCCAACCCATTCAACAATATTCGACCTGGCTTTCTATAATATTCTCCCTAATGAACTACAGGTTGAATATCCCTTATCTGAAATGCTTAGGGTCAGAAGTATTTCAGATTTCCGATTTTTTCAGGTTTGAAATATCTGCATATACCTAATGAGATATATTGGGGATGGGAACCAAGTCTAAACATAAAATTCATTTATATTTCATATACACCTTATACATATAGCCTGAAGGTAAACTTATACACTATATTTAATAATTTTGTGCATGAAACCAAGTTTTGACGGCAACCTGTCACAAGGTCAGGTGTGGAAGTCTCCATTTGTGGTGTCAGCTCTCAAAACCTTTTAAATTTTGGAGCATTTCAGATGTCAAATTTTCAGATTAGGGATGCTCAACCTGCAGCAGGTTCTATCTTCTGGCACCTTTTCACTAAACCCTACCTTGACCACCTATTTAAAATCACATCTATGAAATGAAATATCATCTCACCCCAGTTAGAATGGCTATTGTCAAAAAGAAAAAAAAAAAAAACAAGTGCTGGCAATGATGCAGAGAAAAGGGAATTCATATACACTGTTTGTGAGACTGTAAATTAGTACAGTAACTATGGAAAACAGTGTGGAGGATTCTCAAAAAACTAAAAATAGAATGACCATATGATCTACCAACCCTACTACTATTTATCCAAAGGAATGGAAATCAGTATTTCAAAATGATACCTGAATCCCCATGTTTACTGCAGCACTATTCACAATAACTAAGATATGAAATAAACCTAAACATCCATCAAAAGATGAAGAGATGAAGAAAATGTGGCATATACACACAATGGAATACTATGCTGCCATAAAAAAGAATGAAATCCTGTCATTCACAGCAATATGGATGAGCCTGGAGGACATTATGATAAGCAAAACAAGTCAGACACAGAAAGCACCTGCTCTCATTCATATGTGGGAGCTAAAAAAAATGTGGCCTCATGGAAGTAGAGAGTAGAAACTATAACTTATTCTATATCCTCAAAAGGCTAAAAGAGAGGATGTTAAATGTTCACAACACAAAGAAATGATAAATGTTTGTGGTGAAGAATATGCTAATTACCCTGATTTGATCATTACACATTGTATCCCGATATCAAAGTATCATTCTGTATCTAATAAATATATACAATTATGTGTCAAGTAAAAATAAGAGGCATATATAAAATCACAGGCCGGGCATGGTGGCTCACACCTGTGATCCCAGCACTTTGGGAAGTTGAAGCAGGCAGATCACTTGAGGCCAGGAGTTCAAGACCAGCCTGGCCAACATGGTAAAACCCCGTCTCTACCAAAAATACAAAAATTAGCTGGGTGTGGCAGTATATACCTGTAGCTGCTCAGCAGGCTGAGGTGGGGGAATTGCTTGAACCCAGGAAGTGGAGACTGCAGTGAGTGAAGATCGTGCCACTGCACTCCAGCCTGGGCGACAGAGTGAGACTCCATCTCAAAAAATAAAATAAAATCACAACTCTGCCTTTCTCCCTAAACCTCCACCTATACACCCATTCCCCACTACCCTACTTTTTAAATTTTTTCAACAGAATATATTACCTAGCATACTATATGATATACTTATTACACATAGTAATATTGACTGCCTCCTCAACTAAAACATAAGTTTTAGAAGCAGGAATTTTTTTTCTGGTTTATTTTGCTCATTGTTATACCCCAAAATGCCTAGAACAGTGCCTGACACACATAAATATTTGTTGCATTAATTAGTTAATTAATGTCATTGTCCAGCTCAAAACTTTCAATAGCTCCCCACTACTAATCAAATAAAATCCAAGCACGCTCTCAGGGAATCTGGACACTCCAAAATTAGGCCCTAACTGACCTTTCCATCCTTAATTTTTCCTAAGTCAGACTCAGAAGTCCAAGAGTTGACATTTCCTTACTTCCTGCTTTCCTGCCCCTGTGCCTCTGTTGATGTAGCCCTTTCTGGCTGCCTTGCCTATACCACAATATCTTTATCTATCAACGTGATGCCTATTGTGAATGAGAAACTACTCTCCAAGGTCTCTGAAACGGTGTCTGTTTCAAACACATCCCTGAATTCAGTGGCGTGACAGGCTCCACTCCTAAGGCTTAGTTTCTGCCAAGTGCCATCTTCCATGCTTCCATATGTTGTGGTTAATTGTGTCTGAGTCGTACCCCTCCACTGACGCTAGCTAACTGAGGGCCCTGATGGTCTGGGATTTGAGGTACATCTGTACACAAAGAATAGCTGCCTATTGCGTTGCACATTTTACAAGTCAGACAATGGAAGGGGCCTGTTGCTTATAATGCTCCTTTTGTTTTTTGAAAATTTCTGCCACATGCACCTTTTTAAGCTTTTTGACTTTTTTAAACACAGAGGGCTGCCCTACATTCAACCACTTAGGCCCACTTTTGAAGCCCAGGCCGACTGGAGAGTGCAAAGAGCAGCCAATCTGCAGACTGAAGACAGGCTTGGCAGAAAGTCTCCGCCCGTCTACAGTGGTCTACAATGAATAAAAAACAGTGACCTGACAAACCAATCTGATCTCTCCTCTGAACAGGAGTCTAAAATGGAGATACCAAGAGTCAGTACTTACCAATGGGCACAGAAGCCACAATGACCTACAGAGAGATGACGAAAAGCAGAGCAAGAGAGCAGAAGCTATAAGGCTTCAATAAACAAGAAAGATCAAGAGTCATACAAGCGGCGGAAAAGGCAGCAGAACCATAACAGTAGAATGTCACCTAGAGAGAAGGAAGGGAGGCAAGAGAGGAATGGAATGTCATCTCTGAACAGCCAACTACTAGATTTTCAATCAAGCTCCCTGCAGAGGGCAGACCTTACAGACTAACTCCTGGAAGACTGCTGTATCCCCAAAACATAAACTTAACTGTGTGGCTAGTCCTACTTTTCTTATTCTCTATGAATTCAATAAAATCCATCACTTGTTTCTTGAAGCCTAACAGAGCCTATTTATATGGCAGTAATACCGTGTGATACATGGCAGTGATACCAGTCCAGAAGCCAGAACGGAAATGGAGGATAAATCTGACCACACAAAACTTTAAAACTTCCGTATGGCAAAAAATGTTCAACAAGGTCAAAAGAAACTATAAACAAGGAAAAAATATTTGGAAGACATATGACAAAGGCTAATTTCTTCTTAATATAACAAAAACTTGTTAAAATAAATAACCCAATAAAAGACAAAGAAGTAAAGGATATCATAGTATAGAAAAATAAATGTAAATAGTGCAAACTCTATAAAGGATAATTTGTCAATATCTACTAATATTGAACATTATATCCCTTTGACCTAACAAATCAACTGCTAAGAATTTACCCTCAGAAACACACTATCACCAAAAGTACCCTACAATATATCAAAAGATATTAACTGTGGCATTATTCATAACATTAATGACCATAAATAGGTTAGTTATGGAACACTATGTGGTCACTAAAAGATGAATTCAATTTTTACAAAAAGATCTCTAAAATATAAAGCATTAAAAAGCAAGGTAGAACTAAAATCCTGAATTAAAACAGCAATCATTATTGCCAACCATACAGAATAAAAAGGATTATAAAGTAATACTATGACCAACTGTGTGCCAACAGATTGGTTAGCTTAGATGAAATGACAAATTCCTAGAAAGACACAAAATCCTGAAATTGACTCAAGAATAAACAGAAAATCTGAAAAGACCTCTAACAAGCAAAGATATTCAAAAACCACCCACATGCAAAGGCCTACTCCCAGATGGCTTCACTGGTGAATTCTACCAAATATTTAAAGAAGAATGAATACCAATTATTCACAAATACTTTCAGCATAAAATAGAAGAGGAGGAAATGCTATGCAGCTCAGTCTATGAGGCCAGTATTACCCTGCTACCAAAATCGGACAAAGATATCACAAGAAAACGACAGACTAGTATTTCTAATAAATACAGACACGAAAGTCCTCAGCATAATACTAGCAAACCATTATCTAGGAATGTTAAAAAAAAAAAAAAAGTTTATTTAGTATGAGCAAGTAGAATTTATCCCAGGAATGTAAGTTTGTTTTAACATCCAAAAATCAATCAATGTAATCATATCAATAGATAAAGGACTAAAACATATGATCATCAAAATAGATGCAAGAGACATAGAAAAAGCATTTGACAAGATTCATCACCCTTTATGATCAAAACACTCAACAAACTAGGAATGTAAAGGAACTTCCTCAGTTTGATAAAGGGTGTCTATGGAAAACCGCAGCTAACATCTTAGTTAACAAAGACCGAATGTTTTTCCCCTAAGACCAGGAACAGAAAGGGTATTTGTTCTTATCACTTCTATTTAACATTGAACTGGAGGTTCTAGCCAGGACACTTAGGCAAGAAAAAGGACTAAAAGGCATCCGTTTTGGAAATGAAAAAGTAAAACAATTTCCATTTGCAGTAACATAATCTCATGTATAGAATAATAAGGAATCCATTAAAAAACTATTAGAACTCATAAATGAGTTCAGCAACTTTGCAGGCTTATAAGATCAATTCACAAAACTTATCACGTATCTATACAATTTCAATGAATAACCTAAAATTGAAATTAAGACAAAATTGTATTTACAACAGCATTGAAAAGAATACATTTAATAAGAGAATTTATACTTTGAAAACTACAAAATATGGCTGAAAGAAATTAAATACATTTAAATAAATGGCAAGTCTAAAAAAATGGGAAGACATCCATATTCATGGGTCTGAAGACTTAATATTGTGGAGATGACAATACCTCTCAATCAATTTACAGATTCAGTGTAATGCCTATCAAAATCCCAGCTGACTTCTTGACAAAAATTGACAAGCTGATCCTAAAATTCTCACAGAAATTCAACGGACCCAGAGTAGCCAAAACAATCTTGAAAGAGAGAACAACTTAGAGGACTCATGCTTTCTTTTTTTTTCTTTCTTTTTTTTTTTTTTTTGAGACAGAGTCTTGCTCTATTGCCCAGGCTGGAGTGTAGTGGTGCAATCTTGGCTCACTGCAACCTCCACCTCCCAGGTTCAAGCGATTCTCCTGCCTCAGCCTCCCGAGTAGCTGGGACTACAGGCGCGTGCCACCACTCCTAGCTAATTTTTTGTATTTTTAGTAGAGATGGGGTTTCACCATGTTAGCCAGGATGGTCTCGATCTCCTGACCTCGTGATCCGCCCACCTCAGCCTCCCAAAGTGCCAGGATTACAGGTGTGAGCCACCGCACCCAACCCAGACTCAAGCCTTCTAATTTCAAACTTCACTACAACACTACAGTAATCAAGATAATGTGTTATAGATATAAGAATAGACATATAGGTCAATGGAATAGAATTCAGAGTTCGGAAATAGACATTCACAGTTAAGGTTAATTGATTTCTGACAAGGTGCCAAGACAGTCTGACATGGAAAAATAGTCTTTTCATTAAATGGTGCTGGGGAAAATGGATAGCCACATGCAAAAGAATAAAACTGGACCCCTACCTCAAACCATACACTTAGAATCAAAGACCTAAATGTAAGGGTTTAAACTATAAAACTCTTAGAGGAAAACACAGATATAACTCTACATTGGATCATGCAATGGTTTCTTAGACAGGACACCAAAAGCACAAAAAAAGATAGATAAATTGGACATCATCAACATTAAAATCTTTTATGCTTCAAGCACACCGTCAACGAAGTGAAAAGACAACCCACAGAATGTGAGGAAATACTGTAAAATCATCTATCTGATGATGGCATTGTATCTAGAAAATAAAAAGAACTCTTGCCATTCAATAATGAAAAGACAACCAAATTTTCAAGTGTGCAAAGAATCTGAATAAATCATTTCTCCAAAGAAGACATACACATGGTCAATTAGCACACACAGTGATGGCCAACATCATTAGACATCAGGGAGATGCAAATCAAAACCACCTCATGCTTCACACCCACTAGAATGGTTATAATCAAGAAGACAATAATAAGTGTTGGTGACGATCCAGAGAAACAACAATCTTCATACACTCCTAACAGGTATGTAACACAGTACAGTCACTTCAGAAAACCGTCTAGCATTTCCTCAAAAGGTTAAATATAGAAATTACTGTATTACCCCATAATTGCACTCCTAGGTAAATATCTAAGATAAATGAAAACAATATGTCTGTACAAAAAAACATGCACAAATATACACAAGTATTCAAAGTAGTTAAAAAGTAAAAACAACCCAAATGTCCATCAACTGATGACTGAATAAATAAAATATGGTACATGTATACAAGGGAATATTATTCAGCAATAAGGAAATTAAGTAATGACAGATGCTACTCCATGGATGAACCCTGAAAACATCATGTGACGTGAAAGAAGCCAGACACAAAAGACCACATATGTATAAACCCATTTATATGACATATCCAAAATAGGCAAATTTATAGACAGAAAGTAGATCAGTAATTGCCTAGGGCTGGGAGTAAGGAAGTGGGGAGAGGAATGAGGAGTGACTGCTAATGGGTAAGGAGTATCCTTTTGGGTTGATGTTCTAAAATTGTGGTAAATGTTGTACAAGTATCTGGATACACTAAAAACCAATGAATTATAGATTGAATGAGCTGTATGGTTATCAGAATTATATCTTAAAGATGTTATTTTTTTAAAAAGCAAAGCAAAGAATAATGTGTATACTATCCCATTGTAAACTTCTACCCGTGGCTTTGTGTATGTGCTAGTACATGGACAGTTTTCTGGGGGAAAAAAAGTCAAGAAATTTAACAGTAGTTTACTTTGGGAAGGGAAACTATAGTGAATGAGTTCAAGAAAAAGGGATTTCAATTTTTTACTTTATACCTTGCTGTTCATGTAAAATTTGTTTCACACCATGTGAAAGAAAATATAAGCTTCTTTAAAATTAAAAGAATATATGGCCTTTAAAACCACACAGTACTGGCATAAGAATAAACAAAACATTTGAAACAAGTCCAGAAATAGATCCACAAATATAAAGGAATTTAATGTATGAAAATACTTACATTTTATATGAGTGGAGAAAAGATAAATCTTTCCCTAATTCAAGCCAGAAATTCCAGATGAAATAAAAAGCTATAGCAGAAAACATTAGAAAATATACACAATTAAAATGTTAGAAAAACTACAGGACATTAATAATTTGGGTACTGATGGGATCTCTCTGGGATAAAAAACTCAAAAGTTACTAAGAGACTGACAAATTTGACTATATACTATTAAAACTCTGTTATGATAGAATAGCACAAGTTAAAAGACAAGTGACAGCCTGAGAGAAAATATTTATAACAGACAGAGGTTTACATACCTTGTACCATGTATATATATAAGGATTCAGTAGATGGTATCTAAGCACAACAAAATTGGAATTAAATGAATATTTCTAAAAAAAAATAATAGGCTGGACGCGGTGGCTCATGCCTGTAATCCTAACACTGTGGGAGGCCGAGGCAGGTGGATCACCTGAGGTCAGGAGTTCAGACCAGCCTAGCCAACACGGCAAAACCCTGTCTCTACTGAAACTGCAAAAATTAGCTGGCCATGGTGGTTCACGTCTGTAATCCCAGCTACTCAGGAGGGTGAGGCACGAGAATCACTTGAATCCAGGAGACAGAGGTTGCAGTGAGCTGCCACGGCACTCCAGCCTGAGCGACAGAGCAAGACTCTGTTTCAAAAAAAAGAAAAGAAAAAAAAAGAAAAGAATGGATGGATTGAATGACAGGTTGATCCTGTAAAAGCTATCGATGGGACTAAAACACAATATATGCATAGAAGTGAAGTGCTGCTTTAATCTTTGAAATGGCTTGCACTTTTATCAACATTGTCATTTGACCTTCTTCAGTTAGCAATATAAACAGAATGTTTACTAAAATCATTTTGGCTAAAAAATATCTAAGATAAATATTTCACACTAAGAAGGCTTTCTTCAGTTGCCTTATGTCTTATAACATAGAGATAATATTCATTTGTCATTTAAAACAAAAAATCAGACTGGACGGGGTGGTTCAGGCCTGTAATCCCAGCACTTTGGGAGGCTGAAGTGAGCAGATCACCTGAGGCCAGGAGTTCGAGACCAGCCAGGCCAAGATGGTGAAACCCCCATCTCTAATAAAATTTCAAAAAATTAGCTGAGCATGGTGGCATGTGCCTGTAGTCCCAGCTGCTTGGGAGGCTGAGGCAGGAGGATAGCTTGAACCAGGGAGGCAGAGGTTGCAGTGAGCTGAGATCACGCCAGTGCACTCCAGCCTGGGCGACAGAGTGAGACTCTGTCTCAAAAAAAAAAAAAGGAAAAAGAAAAAATCAGCCTGAAATACAAACTTATTTATGTTGGTTTTCCCTTCTTCTACCCACAGAAATTTGTGAACATATCCAAGATCATTATCAAGACGTCAAAAGTCAACACTCTAACATTTTCCACCAAGAACAAATAATCATGTTAACACTAAGGGTTATTTAAGGTGAACACAGCAAAACTGCTGCCCTTTCACAGCCCCAGCAAAGGCAAGATGTGACAGGAGCCCCCAGTAAACATGAAAGTGACAAGACCCTTCTCCGTGCAGGATAAGAGGCCACATAATTCAATTCAATTAAAAGATTATGGCCATGGAGACAGAATTTTCACTGAATGTTTTTATAACGAGCTCTCAGAGAGTTTTAGGGTTACTCTTACTTAATGCAGCCATTAATCCCCATGAATACCGTACAGCAAACTAACAAATACATTGTGTAAAAGTAGTCAAGCCCAAACAGACCATCCAAACTAATCCCCTGAAACCTCAGGAGCCACGTGGAAAATCTAATATAATTACCTCCCACTAAACTCTGTACATCTGTTACAGGGAGTTCCTACTGTGATTACATTCTTAGTGCAAATGCCTGGAATTAATTCCAAAACAATCCAAGCCCAGGCCTAACCAAGTGGCCTTCACGACGCAAAACCTGCATCGGATGGTCCTCTTTTATCTCCTTTCATCCACAGGTAGCCTGGTTTATAAACCAGGGCTCCAGTCTGGCTTTATCCCTTTCTTTATTCATTTACAAGGTTTTTTCATTGATTTCCAGCTGAGTTCCTACAGCTAGTAGTAATAAGACACAGTAAAAGGGTTTTTCAAAAATTATAATTATGTAATTAATAAAGAAATTATGTTTATCATTATTTCTACTTCACATTTTTTTCTACTTCCCCTTTGCTTTGCTTACTTACACCTTCAAAAGAAAAAAAAAAACTCCTGTGCAATGATGTTTTATCATTATTGTCATTTTATAGATGAGAAAGGTAAAATCAAATTATTTAATTTAGCTAAAATCTCACAAAAGTTCTCTCAAGAGAACAAGGAATCAGGTCTTACTACATAAGGGCTTTCTCTATGGTGACACGTCACATCTCAAAACAAAACAGAAAGTAAGACAAACCAAGCTGTGATGCAGGAAAACAGAGGGAACTGGAAGTTGGATAAAGGGCAGAATGAGTAAAAGCAGAGAGCAGAAGCAAGGTGAATGGGTAGCTGAGTAAGAAACAAGAGACAGAAGCTGAGCAGCCAAAACAAAAACAAGATTAAAAAGTGAGTAAAGAGACCCCATAGCTGGCTCCTCAGAGATGGGCATGCGCATCAGAGAGAAAAAGTATCCTTAACATGACCCCATATGATAATCAGCTCATTAAAGCTCATGCATATGGACTGTATATTATGGGATGGAGGCAACACACAAGCACATAAGGGCCAAAGTAAGCAGTCCACCTATCAATTAAATGGCAGAGTCTGGCTAAAGATTAGGCAGCCTTGGGAAGAGAAGAGACAAAAAAACACATACAAATACCCAAAGTACATCAAACTGATGCTGATCTCATTTCACAGAGATCAGTCCACTCTCCTCTCTCCAAGAGTGTAATACAGTGCTTAATAAACTTTTGCTGCTTGCTTTGCTACTTGTGTGTGTCACGTCCAATTCTTTGTTCAGGACACCAAGAGCCTGGAACTGCACGGCACCATCCAGTGACAGTTGGAGTACACAGAGGGAAGAAGGTGTTCAGTCAGAAGCAGGATTCAGGCTGAATGCATGGTAATGAACAAGGACATGGCAATTCCACAGACAATAGTTTGGGAAACCTTCACTGCTAGGCTGAGAATTCTGACGTCTGCCTCTAGGCCAGCAAGGGCATGCCGTGGCAGAAGCAGGTCAGCAGTGGGGCATGGAGTAGGAAGAAAGCCGGAACTGCAAGCATGCTCAGGAGCACTACTGAGGTCCTCTGAGCAGAAAGGCACCAGCTGACTTGAGACAAGGACAGTGGGTGGGAGGAAAGGAGGTAAGTGCTGGTGATAAGGTAGAGAGGTGACAGTTCAGGTCTGCATCTTAGATGAGTCTCTCTGGTGACTGTGGAGGACCAATTTGAAAGGGCCAAAAGCAGAGGCAGGAGGGCTCTGCAGAATCTATGTGAAGATGAGGTCCTGAGCTAGGATGCTGGTGGCTTAGAGGGGAATGTAAATGCTGAGAAATATTCAAAATAAAATGTGTAGGTCTTATTAAATGAGTGTATGTAGAGGCTGAAAAAAAGGGAAAAATGACTCTCAAGACAAGGTGGGCGATGGTACCTCCGACCAAGAAAGAGAATGTAGGTTTAAAGAAAAATATATTCCAGCCGGGCACAACAGCTTGTGCCTGTAATCCCAACAGTTGGGAGGCCAAGGCAGAAGGATTGCTTGAGCCCAGGAGTCGGAGACAAGCCTGGCAACACAGTAAGACCTCATCTCTATGAAAAGAAATACTACTAATAATTCCATCTTGGTCAAGTTTATGGGATAGCCAAGTAGAT
This sequence comes from Homo sapiens, assembly GCF_000001405.40. Classification (NCBI taxonomy): domain Eukaryota; kingdom Metazoa; phylum Chordata; class Mammalia; order Primates; family Hominidae; genus Homo; species Homo sapiens. Next base: position 80,123,621 of record NC_000008.11, read on the forward strand.
GTGCTGCGTGGGCAGTTGGAAATAAGATTCTGATGCTGGCGGGAATAACCAAAGAAACGGCTTATAAATCATGAGCACAGAATTGTAGCTGAAAACTTGAAAATGTATAAGCTCTCTGAAGGAGGGCACAGAGAGGCAGGGAAACTGTCATAAAGGATGGACCAAGAATGTAGTCTTGGTTCTACATTCTTGGTACTGGTCAAAGAGGTATGAAAAACACTGGGAGAGTTCAACATCTGGAAAGATTTGGAAATAGAGTTTCAAGAAAAGGAATGGACAACAGCGTCCAGTGCAACAGAATGTCTAGTAAGGAAGGAAAGGCAAGCAGGTGGTTACTGGTGATTATCAGCGACAGCATGTCAGGAAACTCACAAAGGAAAAGCCTAATTACCTGAGCTGAACATGACTAAAAGGTAAGAAAGTGAAGACTGAGAACACATCCCTCTTTGGAGAACTGTGCAGGAAAAAGGGAGGTAACATGTTAGGCAATACTAGAGAGGGACCTGTAGCCAAAGAAGGGGTTATCAGCATGTTTCTCTCTCTCTCTTTTTGTTTTTTTTTTTTAGACAGGGTCTCACTCTGTCATCCAGACTAGAGTGCACTGGCACAATCTTTGCTCACTGCAATCTCGACCTCCCGGGCTCAAGTGATCCTCCTACCTCAGCTTCCCAAATAGCTGAGACTACCAGTGCATACCACCGTGCCTGGCTAATATTTGTATTTTTTGTGGAGATTAGAGATGGGGTTTTGCCATGTTGCCCAAGCTAGTCTCGAACTCCTGGGCTCAAGCAGTCCACCCTCCTCGGCCTCCCAAAGTGCTGGGATTACAGATGTGAGCCACCCTGCCCAGCCTGGCAAGTTTCATAGACTAAAGGCAATGGTCTTAGTCTGGACCTAGACATCAGTAGTGTGTATACGTACGTTTACACATACACATACACACACAGTATGGCATAGTTTAATTAGCAATTTTCTATCTTAGTAGTGTGGCTTACAATTGATAGTGTCTTAAATTAGATGATATATGCTAGCTGTATGTTTATATGAATTTCACTAGCATAAAAATAACATCACTCTAGGGGAGAAAGAATTTTTTTTTAAGAATAGCACTATCTAAATGATGTTGATCATCTTTTTTGCCATGCTTAGCACGTATTCTGATCCCAGGACCATTTGACCATTAAGACAAACAAACAAACAAAAAAACCACCTTCTTTTTTAGAGTATTTTAGGTTCTCAGCAAAATTGAGCAGAAAGTACAGAGAGTTCCCATATAGCCCCTGTCCCCATATATGCACAACCTCCCTTACTCATATTGACATCCCATGCCACAATAATGTTTGCTACAATCGATAAACCTACACTGATACATCATTATCACCCAGTCAGCATCAGTTTCTTTTTTTAAAGCTTCCCTGATGATTCTAATGTACAAGTGAGTTAAGAAACCACTAGACTCAGAGGTAATGGTTTATCAAGATGGGAAGAGTGGAGATTCAAGAAAGAGGGAGCCAAGGAGCAAGAGCATGAAGGACTACAGAGTCCAACAGATATGAAGATGCAAGCCTCAGCCCTGCACAGTGGCTCACGCCATAATCCCAGCACTTTGGGAGGTCAAGGTGGAAGGACTGCTTAAGGCCAGTAGTTGGAGAGACTAGCCTAACCAAAATATTAATAACGAGACCCCCTCTCTACAAAAACTAAAGTTAGCCAGGTGTGGTGGCACATTTGAGGTTACAGGGAGCTACGATCCTGCCACTGAACTCCAGCCTGAGTGACAGAGAGACACTGTCCCATTAAAAAACAAACAAACAAACAAACATGCAAGCCTTGCACAGCTGGCGATGATACTGATACTTCTTTTTCCAGTGGCAATTAAGAAGCCAAAAGTTCTGAGAAATTTTAAGTTAACATTTTTCACAATTAATTTGGCCTTTTGATTTAAAAAAAAAAAGAGAGACTACTGCAGTTCATTCAACCTAAGATGCCACTGACTACAGGATGTGTCTTGATTATAGAATCAATAAAATACAGTATTTTTATAATTCATTAACATTCATTATGTCAACCCAATAGTGTCAACATCACACCCAATTTTAAGGTCCTAAAGACTCCTAAGTGATTAAAATTTAAATAGGAAATATGACAATTCAGCTACCTAAGAATACAATTTCTAGAGATAAACTATTAAACCTTGTCAGTCTCTAAGGTAACGCAACAAAGTTGTACATAAAACCACTGACAGCTGTAGGCTCTAACACTTTTGTTATGAAATCCCACCCCAGAATCATCACACACGGCCTAAGTGAGTATGTGAGGAGGACGTGAGCACTCTCAACAGGCTGTCCTGAATGCTCACAGCAAGGGGTGTATGTTCACTCAGGGAAATAAGAAGCCAGCATTAATATGGTGACACAATCACAGATAAGCTGCAGTCTGTATAAATGTCCACACTCAGATTTATGGAGTCTGTAAAATTCACCTGCATATTTGATCTTTGCTTTATTTAATATCTATATTTTGTTTCATTTATTTTGATTTTGCTCCAATTAATTTCTGAAAAACTAAGCATAAATTTGTATTCAAGCATAAGATTATGAATTACATACTATTTTGAGAAAGCAAGGGGGAAAATGTATTATCTCAAATTCTATAACTTATTCTGGTTTTATTCTTTTCTTTCACAGGGAAAAATATTTTTGCTTTTTTATTTTTCTTTTCATTTTGAAATACTCATTGAGGTTTTTTTTTTTTTTGCAAACATTCTCTGTTCATCCCAAATGGATTTTAATTACGCATCATTTCTCTCTGACTGAAACAGTAAACAATGCTTTTGCTTTTGAAGATAAAAGTTTATAATTTTTTTTTTTTTTTTTTTTGAGACAGGGTCTCACTCTGTTACCCAGGCTGGAGGGCAGTGGTGCAATTTCGGCTCACTGCAACCTCCACCTCCTGGGTTCAAGTAATTCTCCCACGTCAGGCTCCCAAGTAGCTGAGACTACAAGCATACGCCACCATGCCTAGCCAATTTTTGTATTTTTTGGTAAAGATGGGGTTTCACCACGTTGACCGGGCTGGTCTTGAACTCCTGACATCAAGTGATCCACCCGCCTCAGCCTCCCTATGTGCTGGGATTACAAGCATGAGCCACCACGCCCAGCCAAAAGTTTATAATTTTGATTTTAAATTATTTACAACAGTTTCATTTACAATAGCATATCAGGCAGGGCACAATGGCTCATACCTTTAACCCAATACTTGGAGGTTGAGGTGGGAGGGTGGCTTGAGCCCAGCCTGAGCAACATAGAGAAACCCTGTCTCTACAAAAAAATTTTTTAAACAGCCAGGCATGGTGGCATACACCTGTGGTCCCAGTTACTCAGAAGGCTGAGGTGGAAGGATCACCTGAGCTCAGGAGGCCAAGGCTGCAGGGAGCTGAGATCATGCCACTGTATTCTAGAGCCTGGGCAATGGAGCAAGATGATGTCTCAAAAAAAAAAAAGAAGAGAAAGATACCATGTTAAAAGAAATTTTGTACAAAAGAAATTCAGGTTTAGAAACCACTGTCAAACAATCAATTGACTCATCAGCTAACTATAAATGTAAAGAATCTTTTGATACAACTTGAAACATTTCAACACTCTCCAGCTCTCTCATCCAAACTGATGGCCTGAATATTTTTGATGGATTATCATCCTCCTGTGTATTATAACTTCACTTCGTTCACGTTCATGTATATTTTGATAATTTGACAATCATTGTATAAATGCATGAATGTTAACTATAGAGTGAAACTGACAGAATGACAAAAAATTGACAGGATGTTCATATCTTCACAAATCTAATTACTTACAAACTCAAAAGGTAAAGATGGCAGCCTGGCTATAGAGCTCTTGGTTCTTTTTCTCTAATTCTATAATTCGAATTCTGTTTTTCACATCCAAACAGGTGGGAGTAAAGCCACCATGTGGACAGATCCTGGGTTCCTGAGTTTCCATTTAATGGAGCACTGCCAAGAAGAAAAACCCAAATAAAGACACTGCAAATCAGACCAGCAAGTGTTCAAATTTTATTATGCAAAGAAACAGAAACTTTGAGATTTTTACAGGAATTATCCTATAATCTAGAACCTGACAAATACAGGTCCCACTTGTGATTTCTAAATAAACACACACACACACACACACACACACACACACACACACACACACACACACAGAGATACATAATAAAAAATATAAAGGTAAATACTAAAACATTATAGTGGTTCTCTCTCAAAAATAGGACTCAAAAATCAGGGAAGTAGATAGCAATGGTTTTGTTTTTCACTTTGTACTCTTCTGTGCTGCTTGGTTTTGGTTTGTATTTCTGTTTTGTTTTTTTTTTTACATTTTCTAACAAGCAGCTAATGAAAATTAGATAGCTGCTGAAAATGTCAAAGGCTATCTTAAATTGCCAGCTGTCCGCAGTACTATAGACTGTCTTATCACATTACTAAGTAAACAAAAGAAACAATTATCTCATAATGTCCATTTCAACCTTTATTATCTCACTTGAAATCTGTTCATTTTGTATATTTTTAAAATTTATTTTTGTATATTTTTATTCTGATTTTTACTTTTATTCATAGAAGGAAAACAACATATCACCTCATAATGGTAAACTCTTTAATAAGTAAGATATTTTACTAAAAATTTCAAGTACATTCTATTTTTCTGTCTATCTTGAGTGAATAGATAATAATTTATCATTGGCCGGGAGCAGTGGCTCATGCGTATAATCCCAGCACTTTAGGAGGCCGAGGTGGAAAGACTGCTTGAGCTCAGGAGTTCAAGACCCCTAGCCTGAGCAACACAAGGAGACCCTGTCTCTACAAAAAAAAAAAAAAAAAATGCTGGGCATGGTGGTACACACCCATACTTCTCAGCTACTCAGGAGGCTGAGGTGGGAAGACTGCTTGAGCCCACGAGGTCAGGGCTGCTGTGAGCTATTATCACGCCACCACACTCCAGCCTGGGCAACTGAGCAAGGCCCTGTCTCAAATAAAATAAAATAAAATAAAATAAATTTAAATGTTAAATATTAAAAAAATTAATAAACAGTATCAGACAGATACTAATACTGGTAATATTAGATATTAAGATGTAATACTGTATCAGACAGTATTACCATTTCCATCAAAATTTGCAGTAAATTTTAAAGAATTCACTTCTTCATTTGTTTCATGTTTTCTAAATTTCTCTTGATCATTTTTACATCTGGGTTTTTTTTTTCAGGAAGAAATGCTAGATTAGTACCAGAATGATTTCATTCTCTGTAATGTTACATTTCAACTATTTACAAAAATATAAATTACAAGATTTTTAAAAAACATTAAGCCTTTGAAGTTTGCTTGAATGTCTTCTAACTTGAAGATAAATTTTGATTGACATAGTCATTCACTTATTTTCAAGAATTTGGTGGATAAGCAAGATTCAAGCTTGATACTTCCTAGTTCTCATCTCCTATATATTAGATATACATGAATTTATTAATAGTGAAAAAATTATTGGTTGTTCCCCACTATTCATATCTGCTTGCCTCAGAACATAAACTCTTTTTAAAATTTTTAAAAAATAATTGCTATTATTTTAAAAATCACAACCAGTCACAAAGTATTGAACAAATGTTTAATTATAAAATAGTATATTTACACAGGCATACAATTTGTATTAAAATTTATATTAAGTTAACAGCATGATTATATTAAAAGTTGTATGCTCATGAAATTTACATTTAAAATTCCCATACAAGCATTACAAATCTGCTAAGACATTGACACGAACAACAAATCCTTCTACACGGGACGTAGAATGCTGGCCGGATAGCAACGTCAGCACTGGAATTTGTCAGCTGAGCCATAGCTAAGTGCTCATCACTCTTCTTTGCTCTTGTATTCTACCTGCATGTTGTTGTTTTATATTTCCCTGAGAACCACAATGTATGTTCCATAGTTTGTTTAGCTGATTTCACTGACTTTAGCAATTAGAAAGGAGAACCGTGGCATCCTCCCCCGACTTCTCTCAAATCCTAACTCTCATTTCTTTTTTTTTTTTTTTTTTGAGACGGAGTCTCCATCACCCAGGCTGGAGTGCAGTGGCGCGATCTCAGCTCACTGAAACCTCCACCTCCCAGGTTCAAGCGATTCTCCTGCCTCAGCCTCCTGAGTAGCTGGGACTACAGGCGCACGCCACCACACCCAGCTAATTTTTGTATTTTTAGTAGAGACGGGGTTTCACCATGTTGGCCAGGATGGTCTCTATCTCTTGACCTCATGATCCACTGGCCTTGGCCTCCCAAAGTGCTGGGATTACAGGCGTAAGCCGTTGCTCCCGGCCACTCTCCTTTGTTTCTAAATGATCATCCTGGATAAGAGGTCAGCCAGGTCACGAGTTTTATATTCTGAAGAAGGAAAGTGACAAGAAGCCCAAGAGGTCACACCGAATTGGCTCAGATTGCTCAGAGAGAGAAGACAAGAGCATCTGCTGAGATGAAGAGGAGGTGGAGGGAAAGTTTTGCAAGTTTGGAATAGACATGGGGTGGAAAGGATGAAAAAGGGAACAGACACAGACAAAATCACAGAAGTCAGTATTTCAGGCTTGATGAAACCACCATTAAAAACTTCTAACTTACTTTGCAATGTCTGGTTGCAGACAAAACCCAAATTATGTCATTACACGGCTTAAAATCCTTCAGTGGTTTTAAGGACCGATTGCTCTTAGGACCACGTTTACTCCTAAATGTAGCAGATTTTTTAGCCCTCTGATTTCTTCCTACCAGTCCCATCATATTCTACATGGTAACCATCTGGTTGATGAGCAGTTTTCCAAAGAGCTACTTAACCTTCAGGACATTTCATATGCTGTGCCCTCCACCCAGAGCACTCTTCTTGCCCACAGCAGGAATTTTTAGTTAAATTGGATCTTAAATTGAGATGGACAAGACAGAGTCAAGAAATCACAACAAGATACTAGAAAATATATTTCATAAGTGTATAGCTTAAAATAACATTCTGCGGCATGACTTAGAAATTAAGATGCAGAGCTACCAGCTGGACTGTTTGGTGACCAACCTTCCCTCAATCCAACTCACCAGGAATATAAATCCTGGCATTTTCTGTTCAGTAAGAGTCTTCAATGCACTACAATATCAACTAAAGGCTGGGAAATAAAATACCTGATTTCAGGGCTCCGTTAACAAAAAGGGGAATCATTTAACGTATTTAAACTATTTTCACCATTCAAACAAAATTACTGTTTAACCCAAATGCTTAAAACAAATTTTTAAAGAGAACAATCTAGGAAGAAAGTAATTTACCCAGACCTTTCTCAAGTGCATAGGGTAATTTTTCACACAGTGTCTTCCGTAAATTGTTAAAATGTGGGTGGGGTGAGGGGTAGAGGTTTAGCTTCAGGAGTCAGTGACTGAATGGTATTTAAAGCTTTGGTCCTGAGGAAGGTGACCTAAAGAGCCAGTGTGGTCAGAATAGAGAGGAGAGCCAAGAAGAAAGGCTGGTGTTGAGATCAGGAGAAAAAAATCAGCAAAGACAACTCTTTGAAATATCCAGAATGGCTAAGCTACTTGAAAGGAAACAAACTGACCAGTCAGTCCAACGATTCCATCTGCCTGTTATACTTCTACTAGGAATTAATAAACTATTATTCTAATAAATCTGCTTTATTAATCACTGTATACATATTTCAAAGGAAAACACCTAGCATATTATATACCCTCAAATATTAATTGGTACTCAGAGGAATATTGACTCCCTTTTAAGTGCTAATCTGGTATCAACTGTATCCAGGTATCTTCAAAAGATCAGTATGTCTTCCAATCCCTCCACTCTAGCTACTCCTTGGCAAGACTCCAGCTGAATTTCCCAGTTATAGGTGGAACCAGTTATGCCTGGTGGCTTTTGTAGCAAGAGTCCTGGGCCACTACTAACAGTTCACTTCCTCTACCCTTCATTCCATTCCAACATTGTTGAAATTTGGCCACATTTAGTCTTCCAAGATACCTTAGGACCAGATACCCTACAATAATACCTATGAGCTCACACACTTTAAGATACTCAGTGGCCGCTCACAGCCACACACCCCTTTACAGGTGCTCCACGTGGCAGCCATCTATACTGAATAGCGTAAAACTATTAATAGATGTGGGTGGAAAAGGTTTTGGTTTGGAGACAGATTTTCTATGAAGACGCAATTCAGCATCCTAGTTAAGAACGCAGCTGTCAAGTCAGAAGAACTAGGGATGCAAACCCAACTCTCCTACTGATTAGATGTATGAAATGGTGAAATCTCAACTCACTGAACCTGAAGTTCCTCATCAATGAGAATAGGATAATAAAAATCTATTTTTCTTTCTTTCTTTTTTTTTTTTTGGAGACAGGGTCTCACTCTTATCGCCTAGGATAGAGTGCTGTGGTGTGATCTTGGCTCACTGCAGTCTCAATCTCCTGGGCTCATGCAATCCTCCCACCTCAGCTTCTCAAATAGCTGGGACTACAGGTAGCACCTGTAGCACCTGTTAAAGTTGTGTTGTTAAAATTGTGATTGCTACTGTTTGTGTGAGGATTTAGGAGCCTATGGGCAAATTTATCTGTATACCAATCCTCCCTCCTCCACACCAACATAATACAAAGGCTGGTGGCCCCAGAGAACAGCACTTCTTGGGTTTACAATATACCAGGACCTGTAGTCCCAGCTAATTTTTTTAATTTTTTGGTAGAGACGTGGTTTTTCCATGTTGTCCAGGCTGGTCTCAAACTCTTGCACTCAAGTGATCCATCCACCTCAGGCTTCCAAAGGGCTAGGATTACAGGTGTGAGCCACCATGCCAGGCCGAAAATCTATTTCATTCGGTTGCCGTGAAAATTAACTTTTCTATGTTTGCAAATCATTCAGTATATAGTAAATGTTTCAGAACTGGTTGTTAGAATTGTGACTACTATTGTTTGTGTGAAGATTCAGGATCCTATGGGCAGGTGGACCCAGAGAATAGTACTTCTTGGGTTTACAACATACCAGGGTGAGGACAGGAGAGGTGCCAAGAGGGAAGGGGAGCTGATGGCGCCAGAAGATTTGGAAGCCCAGGATCTAAAAGCAGACGTCCTTTTGTTGTTCTGTGCCACCCACTATTGATTCAGAGAAAGAAACATGGGTCTCCTGCCTGACACTGTACCACATGAGGACGTTCTTCCAATGGCTGGAAGAAAGGAAGGGGCAAAAGGTTACCTGGAGTTTAGTTACCCTCAGTAATTAATTACTAAGGGGTCCCCATGCCACTTTTGAGTCCATACTTGCTAGTTCTCTATCAGTTCAGCCAGCCATAATGCTTCTGATGCTGATGTAAAAGGAAAATCTGTTCACTGATGAAAACTGAGTGTAGAGTTCAAATCCTGGCTCCAACACCTCTTAGCTGCATAACCTTGGATAGCTTACCTGGTCACTCCGGTCCTTTTTTCCTGCATTTGTAAAACCAGGTATGCACATATAACTCATATAGTTGCTATTAAGAATAAATATGACATTCAAAAGCACCAGTCTAATAATGTGTGTTCCCTTTACCTTTACTCAATAATTATCGGCCCCTCTTCCTGGACCACTTCAGACATTTTCTTAGGATACCACTTAGGCAAACGGTGACAGCCTGTGATTGACCCTCTGAGAGGTTCCAGGAATAGCAGCAAGGACTGCTACCACCACCCATGGGCCATATTCCATGTTTAGCTGTCTGGTGGATGCCAACCCCCCTCAAATTCAGAATCAAAACTGAATTTTCCTTCTTCCCTCCAAAACCAGATATTCTTTCCTCTTTGTGTTCCTCCTGGTCTCTTATTAACACTACCACCACTTTCTCCAGTTGCCCAGGCTTAAAACCAATTACAAACATTTTATTTCTTTGACCCACCCACTCACTGAGCCAGAGAAACATGAATCCTTCCCTCAGTTTCCTTTGGCTCCATTTCTTCTTTCCATTCCTCCCACCACTGGACCTTAGGTCTAGACCACACCTGCTCCTCAATTCCAAATGGAGCCCTACAGAAACTATCTCGATTTCATCAAGTTCAAGAGTCCAGGAACTTGATGGTACCGCTGATGCTAAAAAAAAAAAAAAACAGAAAAGAAAAGAAAAAAATTGTTGGCACATTTGAGGGAAGCTGGGCAAGGAGGGGGAGGATATTCAAAACACCCCAAGGAAGAATAACAGGGTCACTTTTTCTTTAAAGGATGAAGTTTATATTGTAGCAAGTCAGAATAAGAAGAAGATACAGAGGACTAGAAGTCACGGTTGAAATTCAGATCAGAAATGTCATCCAAATATAGAAAATAACAAATAATAAAAACCATTTTTCCATATACAGTATTCTGTAGAGTCAGTGACATGGCAGACACGGTGATTCTAATCCACGGCCACAGCTTAGGAGCAGTAGTTATTTCATTTATCAATTAATTTTCTTTAGTGCCTGGCATATCTATTTCAAAACCATTAAGTAATTGTAGCTGTTAACTGAATGCTTACTATGTGCCGGGTACTGTGCTGCATTATCTACATATTCTCTGCCTTGGTCCTTACCCAACCCTATGAGGGGCACTGCAATCATTCAAAGATCAGAACTGATAGTATAGAGATGGGGGAGAGACATGTCCCTGGGCTCACCTTTACAAGAGGAAAATGGTTTGCCCCAATAAGAAAACATTCATATAGTACCTAAAGTTTCCAATGTCTTAATGCTCATCATCTCATTTGAGTCACACAATAATTCTCTGAACTAGGCATGACATTAATTATTATCTCTGACTTACAATTAAGAAAAGCTCCAAGTCATGCAGGCCACTGTCTTCTTGCCTTCAAACATCTCTGCATGTTTCTTTCTAGAGCTGGTGGAAAAAGGACCATATCTGTGCCCACTTGTGAAGGGAGTAAAGGAGTATCCTTGGCATTACTAATGTCTCCTTTCTGATCCGAGAGAGAGTGTGTCATGAAGACACTCAGGCAGCTCCAAGTGGAGGTCCACACAGTAGGAACTGAGGCCTCCTGCCAGCAACTAGGTGCAGGAGCCGTGTTGAAAGTGGATCCGTTAGTCCATTCAGCCTCCAAATGACGACAGCCCCAACTGTCAACTTGACCACAGTCTCACGAGAGGCCCTGAGCCACACCATCCAGATGAGCTGCTCCAAGACTCCTGACTTGTTCCTGACATAATAAATATTTGTTGCCTTAAGCCCCTTAATGATGAGGTAATTTGTTACACAGCGATAGATAACTAATGCCAATCCAAACCCTGAGATATATGAAGCCTGAGGGTTTCAACATGAAGAAGCTGACAAGAACTGGGATCCCAAGAGAGTTCATGAATTCCCTTCCAGGAGACGTACGCAAGTGCAGATGCTGAACTGCCAGGCAGAGGTATTACAGAAGGGATGCACACACAGGATGGAAACTTGCATAGATATCCCTTCAGGTTACTTCCAACCACAAGACCCAGTGAATTTAATTGTAAACGTCTCCCTAGTCTAGATGTACACACGGTTGTTGCCAGAATTGAATAGCTAACAAGCTGACTAAAATCTATCCAAAGCCTCCTTATTTAGAACATTTGAAATAATTTATTATTTTTGATAGAGAAAAGTGGTCACACAGGGAGTTTCATTTTCACCTCCCACTTCCCAAGACAACTGGCTCACTTCCCCAGCCAACCTCAACAAAGTTTTATCTCGGTGAACTACCTGAGTCTTCTCACCCTACCTGCCCCAGCCTACCTGCCCCCCAGGAGAGTTAGAGCTCTGACAAAGAGGAAGCCTGAATATACCCTTACTCTTAAGGCACTGGTTTTCCAACATTTCTGATAATTACTACTTAACAAGCACACTGTAAACTAGTTCAACCATTGTGGAAATCAGTGTGGCGATTCCTCAGGGATCTAGAACTGGAAATACCATTTGACCCAGCCATCCCATTACTGGGTATATACCCAAAGGACTATAAATCATGCTGCTATAAAGACACATGCACACGTATGTTTATTGCGGCATTATTCACAATAGTAAAGACTTGGAACCAACCCAAATGTCCAACAATGATAGACTGGATTAAGAAAATGTGGCACATATACACCATGGAATACTATGCAGCCATAAAAAATGATGAGTTCATGTCCTTTGTAGGGACATGGATGAAATTGGAAATCATCATTCTCAGTAAACTATCACAAGAACAAAAAACCAAACACCGCATATTCTCACTCATAGGTGGGAAGTGAACAATGAGATCACATGGACACAGGAAGGGGAATATCACACTCTGGGGACTGTTGTGGGGTGGGGGGAGGGGGGAGGGATAGCATTGGGAGATATACCTAATGCTAGATGACGAGTTAGTGGGTGCAGCGCACCAGCATGGCACATGTATACATATGTAACTAACCTGCACAATGTGCACATGTACCCTAAAACTTAAAGTATAATAAAAAATAAATTAATTAATTAAAAAAAAAAATTTCAGTCTTTGAGGTTAAAAAAAAAACAAGCACACTCACACACACATTTAAACAAAAGTTGACATTTAAGAAAACAATGGCCGGGCGCGGTGGCTCACGCCTGTAATCCCAGCACTTTGGGAAGCCGAGACGGGTGGATCATAAGGTCAGGAAATCGAGACCATCCTGGCTAACACGGTGAAACCCCATCTCTACTAAAAATACAAAAAATTAGCCGGGCGTGGTGGTGGGCACCTGTAGTCCCAGCTACTCAGGAGGCTGAGGCAGGAGAATGGCAGGAACCCGGGAAGCAGAGCTTGCAGTGAGCTGAGATCACGCCACTGCACTCCAGCCTGGGCGACAGAGCGAGACTCTGTCTCAAAAAAAAAAAAAAAAAAAAAAAAAAAAGAAAACAGTGCTCACCATTAGAACATGAAGGACATTTTGGTCTCATACTGTTCTACTACTTTGTTCTTCTTAAAAAAACACTTGGTCAAAATCCACAACCCAGTAAAAGGTCCCAAGAAACAGTATGGAGAATATATCCGAAGACATACTTCTGAACACTCAACAGCTCCTAAAATCCTCCTAGGTAGAGACAAAGGCAAAAAACTGAAATAATAAATCCCCCTTCACCCCAATCATGTGTAAATACTTAGTTCCACTTCACCCACATCCATAAAATACACAATAAATGCTGGGGCTTTCATCTAATCAAGAACAACCTCAGGCAGTTTCTATTCAAATATAAATAATTATCCAGGCCCCAAAATTCTTCTCCTAGTTCCACAGGTAATGACTGGAAAATCTACAAACAACTTCAGCTAAAACTCCCTTATCACTCTTAACAAGTATGGCTCAAAGACAAAATTTCAATCTTTTCCAATTTTTTTTAAAGTAGGCAGGCAGCAAAATAAAACATCAGCAAAAGCTAAATGTGCTTGGATAAAGCACAATTAAATACATGTTTGTATTTTTCCAAAATGGACCACAGGTTGCTATTAAAAAGAGTAATAAAATCAATCTATAGAAACTAAATAGATAAGTGTTTGCCTGCGGGCACGGGATGTGGAGTGGCTGTAAATAGACACAGGGTGATGAAAATATTCTAAAATTAGATTGTGGTGATCACTGCACAACTCTGTAAGTTTACTAGAAATCACTGAATTGTACATTTAAAACAAGTGAATTTTAAGGTAAACTATATGGTGATTATTTATGGCAAATTATATATCAATAAAGCTTTTTTCTTAAAAAATGGAAACTATATGTTAGATTTTTTTTTTAATATCCAAGATACGTGTCAGTTAAAACAAGCAAAGTACAGAATAATGTGTATGACATGTTCCCATTTGAACTTTTAAAGTGATTGTATACATTACCTGCCTAGACATTTCTGGAAGGACACCCAGAGGCTGATCATAACAGCCGCTCTGGGAGAAATGGGTCTAGGCTAAGAGAGTTTGAGTTTTAATTGCATACTGTTTGGATTCATTTGCTTTGAACATGTATTATTTTTCATAAGTATGAAAATAAGATGGGTGGAAGCCCTCAGGAGTAGGACTCTTACAGCAGTACCAAGTTTATAACGGTGCTAGTTCATATTGTTCTTTGAGAAGGGGATAGTTTGGTCCTTCAGAATTTAAATATTTCAGCAAGGTAGGGTGGCCTGTAATTCCAGCACTTTGGGAGGCCAAGGCGGGAGGATCACTTGAGCCCACGAGTTCAATGCTGCAGTGAGTCATGATTGTGCTACTGCACTCCAGCCTGAGCGACAGAATGAGACCCCGTCTCTTTTCTTTTTTTTTTCTTTTTTTTGAGACAGAGTTTCACTCTTGTTGCCCAGGCTGGAGTGCAATGGCACGATCTTGGCTCACTGCAACCTCGCCTCCCAGGTTCAAGCAATTCTCCTGCCTCAGCCTCCCAAGTTGCTGGGATTACAGACATGCGCCACCACGCCCGGCTAATTTTGTATTTTTTGTAGAGATGGGGTTTCTCCATGTTGGTCAGGCTGGTGGTGAACTCCCGACCTCAGGTGATCCGCTCGCCTCAGCCTCCCAAAGTGCTGAGATAACAGGCATGAGCCACCGCGCCTGACCATGAGACCCTGTCTCTAATTATTTCTCAGTAGAAGTCTGCGTTAAAAGGTACCTGTGTTTGACAATAAGAGGCCAAGTGACAGAATCTTCCAACTGAAATCTGATTTCATAAAATCCAAGAGGAAGAGAATTTGAATGCCCTCTTAGGAGGAAAATGGGGTTCATATCATTTAGTCGTCTCCTTCGGCAGGTGCTGGAACACAACTCAAAGTGGCTTATGGTTTGCAATTATAAATCTGGGAAGAGATTAGATACATTATATCTGAGTACAGGACTATATGCATCTAGGGAGTTGAAAACATAGTCCTCATAGAGCTTTATCAAAAAGAAAAAGAATATGCAAATAAAAAACTAAAACTGAATCCAAAAAGGTAGCTGAACACCACACTCTCAAATGTTGTAACCAGACTTTTGACAACTGCTCAGATCCAGGCCTGGGTTCTACCATCTTGCCTCAGCTCATTTTTGGCTTTGGTTCCTAATTGAGCTCTTCACCTCGCTATTTAAGGACACTGGCTCTCTGAACATTGAGAACCTGTGGCTCACCGCATCCTCCCCTCCCCACCTTAGGCTCATCCTGTCATCAGACGGCTTCCTGATTTACAAGGCCAAGGTAACCAAAATTTGGACCATAAAATATTAGTATTCTCAACTTTCAAACACGAGCCAACCAGATGACCTGTTTCCAGGATCATGGCAGCCCCTCCGACCCAGAGCCTCTCCTGCTAGTGGGGTCTTCTTCCTCCAGTGCCTCCACTGACAAAGGAGCCACCGTCTCAGCCACCCCATGAGTCTGCCTCCCGTGAGATTTCTACAACTGACACTGCAGCCCCCACTTCCACTCTCATCTATTTGTGCCACTTGGATTATTTCAACTATATTATTCAACACTCAGCCACCTGTATTTACTGAATGGCTGCTCTGCCTAAGACACTGGCAGGGAGGGGAGAAAATAAGGGTATTTTTACAGTAACAATTAGGACAGTGTTTTGTTTCTAATAGCAGCTTGAGAAATAATTCGCATACTATAAAATCCACTATTTTTTTATAAAGAGTATGGTTCACTGGTTTTTAGTATATTCACAGAGTTATGCAAACATCACCGCAATCTAATTTTCATACCCCAAAAAGAAACCCACATCCATCAGCAGCCTAGGCTAGTATTTTTATGAAAAAAAAAATTTTTTCAGAGTTTCAGACTTGCAAACTTTTAAAACATTTAAAATTATAAACTGTCCAGGTTATCCAAAGACTGTACAGTATATGGTCCAGATTAATACAGTTAATAATTACCCACTCTGGGGCATATGCAACTTCAAGGGCAGAGGTAAAGATTTGCCTTGGGGAAAAATTCAGCACAACCATGAAAATAACAAGTAGCAATAAACGGGGGGTGGGGGTGAGGGCGGGGAAGGGGTTGCATTTGGATAGCGCCTCCCAATGCACTTGAACACTATAGCTAACAATACTGCATTATACACTTAAAAATTTGTTAAGAGGTTAGATCTCATGTTAAGTGTATTATCAAAATCAAATAAAATACAACGGCGTTTTTCAATCCTCCTAACCATCTTGACAGGAATACAAGACATTTACAAATGGGGAGCCTGATGTTCGGGGGATGGATGCCTGACTCCCAGTCACCCAGCTAGGGGACCCCACCCGGCTCTTCTGATTATCTGGCAGAAGTGAGCAAAACAGCTCAATCCAGCAGGCTCCATGTTAGCAGTAAGCAACTCTAATTTCATATCTGACTGAAAAAAGAAAAGAAGCCTATTTATGCTCTCAACATAATAAAGCAGCCTTTGTTTTATGCTAAGGCCCTGGTGATTTTTTCAGCACCAGTCCAGCTGTGACACACAGACGCTGGTTCGATGCCTGCATAAATGCTTTCTCTTTGTTTAGTGGTGAGAACGTGAGACCTCACTAAGGCCCAAGTCCTGGGTTCTCCTGATGTCAACCCCACAAGTGAGTAGTGGAGCCTCACTGGCAAGGAGACCTACCTGTGCCTTTCCCAAATGCCTGGGAAGGTAGGTTAGAGTTAGAATCTTTTAATTAAAATGAGGTAAAATTCTAATTACTCCACAGTTGTCTCCAGAATAACATCATTTCCAACTCATCAAGTCTTATTAGAACCGGAACCACTGGGAACACCAGCTCCACCTTGTTAACTAAAGAAAACAGCTCGCTTTTTCCAGGAACATTAACTCTTTTTTCAGACATAAAGTAGTATTTAATGGTTTTGCTTATTAGTCTCCAAGCCATTAATGACCTGAAAGAGATTAAACAACTTTTGAAAAGTAATCCATTGTAAGTAACAACGGTTAAGGCTTCCTTGTAGCTACGAAAAACACCCAGAGTGCAGGACACTCACTTAAAATTAACACTGACTTGGATGCACACCACACACAAACAAATACAACTCCCACATGTAATCTATTTTTATATGAATTGGTTGAAGGTGGTAACAAATTCTAAACAATATGATGTACGTAAAAGGGTTAGCTGCACCGCACTCTAGGAAACTATTGCACCAGCTTCTACTCCTGCACCACTTAGCAACAGGAAAACGATGGGGAAACACTACCAAACTAACGAGTGGGTCACCTCAGATTTGATTTAACCCTAAACTCAACAATCTCAGGAAGTTCTGTCATACCGGCAGGAAGAACAGACCAAGAGGAGCATTTTCAGGGGCAATACAACTCGTGTGTGTGTGTGTGTGTGTGTGTGTGTGTGTGTAGAAAGAGTATCAATCATGACATTATGAGGCATGGATGAACCACACCACCCAGTGTTAGCAACACGTGGATCATCTGTGGCTCTGTGCATGTGTCACTTTCCACAGTTACATACAAAATGTAACTCCACTACTAGACTAAGCTGTTTGAAGGTTAATTCCACATCACATTCATACTCCATGCAACTCACGACACATCAGCCTCACCTCCCAGACATCACTCCTAATCCCCTAAATTCCAGCTACAGACGCCCTGTACCTTTCCTTACTCATTACCCAGTGGGTCATCTCTATGACCCCCAATATCACTGGCATTCACACCTCTGGGTAGGCCCCTTCCACGTGGCACCAGGGTTGGTCTGTGTGACCAACAGAATAATACAGCTCTTGGGTTCTCTTTCTCTTGCATCATTTGCTCTGAGGGAAGCCACGTTGTGAACAGCCTTATGGAGAGGTCCCTGGGGTGAGGAACTGGCACCTGCTGTCAATGACCACCCAAGTAAGCTTGGAAGCAGATCCTCCAGCCCTGAGATGACTGATGCCCCAGCCAACAACTCTACTGCGACCTCATGGAAGACCCAGAGCCAGAACCACTTTCTTGGCCAGCCCCAGATTTCTGACCTGCAGAAACTGTGAGATATAAATGTGGCTGGGCGCGGGGGCTCACGCCTGTAATGCCAGCACTTTGGGAGGCTGAGGTGGGCAGAACACAAGGTCAGGAGATCGAGACCATCCTGGCCAACATGGTGAAATCCCGTCTCTACTAAAAATACAAAAATTAGCTGGGCATGGTGGTGCGGGCCTGTTGTCCCAGCTACTTGGGAAGCTGAGGCAGGAGAATCACTTGAACCCAGGAGGCAGAGGTTGCAGTGAGCTGAGATCGCACCACTGCACTCCAGCCTGGGCGACAGAGCCAGACTCTGGCTCAAAAAAACAATAAAAATAAAAATAAAAAAATATTTTATTAAGCTGCTAAGTTTTGGGATAATATGTAGCAATAGATACTAAGATAATAGCCACACCATCTTCATCTGGAATGTTCTTCCCTAGGTCTATCAAAATTCTGAAAAGTTGAGATCCAAGGAAAGTGGCTTGTCTTTTATGAAAATGCTTTGGAATCTCACTCACCAGCATCACTTCTTTCTCTTAAATGGCATGGGTCAGTCTCTAACAGTGACGTTATTCTGTCATGTGTTGCAATTAAGGCTCATATGCCTGCATTCCATACTAACCATGAGCTCCCAAAGGCACAAATCGGGTCTGTATCTTCTCATGGAGAGCAGTTAGCCTAGTCATATCAGAGATTCTCATCTACCCCGTACCTGTGTACAGGAAAAACTGGGAAGTGATCCTGTTGGACATTAAATTAAGGTTGGGCTGGTCCACAGTAATAAAGGCTTAACTGTGAAGACGCTGTCTCTAGTCAAGGACCACAACTGGAAAATAAAGCAGGTCAGCAAAAAGGGGAAGACAAAAATTACAATCAGGCTGGGTACAGTGGCTCATGCCTATAATCCCTTTGGATTACTTTGGGAGGCCAAGAGTTCGAGACCAGCCTGAAGTACAAAAATGAGCCAGGTGTTGTGCCGCACAACTGTAGTCCCAGCTACTCAGGAGGCTGAGGCACAAGAATT
Source organism: Homo sapiens (assembly GCF_000001405.40). NCBI lineage: Eukaryota > Metazoa > Chordata > Mammalia > Primates > Hominidae > Homo > Homo sapiens. The sequence continues at coordinate 80,142,617 of NC_000008.11, forward strand.
GCTTGAACCCAGGAGGTGGAGGTTGAAGTGAGTGGAGATCATGTCACTGTACTCCACCCTGGGCAACGGAGTGAGGCTCTGTCACAAAAAGAAAGCACAATCAGACTGGTCCTGGGCAGAACTCAACCTTCCCTTCCTTACCCCTACACTCTCCCTTACAGTCCCATTAAAAGAGAATAGGGAAGGAGGAATAATCTATAGAAACTCTGACTTGACGACACTGCTGACTGTTGTGCCCAGAATCCAGCAAGAGCTAGGACCTCGCACACACATTCATGTATTTCCTCATGTGCATGTAAGGATGCACACACTCAGGGGAAGTGAGGTAAAAGTAGGTAGTTCACCAATCAACAGAGCAACACCCTCCAAATCAGCTGCCATGTCTTAAGTATCTGGTGACCATGGTCACAAAGCATGAACTTGGGAATTAAATAGATGGGGTCTGGATCTTGACTCCACTATGAACCATATGAACTAGGAGGAAAGTACCTACTTCATGGACTCTCACATCTCCCATCTGAAAATTACTACAAATTATTAAGGCAACTGCTGAAAAGATGAAATATGATCAATCTAGGAGTTTGTATATACCACCAAGAACAATGCTTGTCAAATCACTCACTTCTTTTCCCCTCTCTGGAGCCAGGCTTCGAGAAGTTGTATCCAGAATGAGAAGGTCTAAACCCTAACATAAGGACCCAAAGTCAAGTCATCTTTATTTGCCTTTACTGCTACAAATCCCGAATGAGGGTCCAGGGTTGAAAACATAACCCTCAACTTCACTGATAGACTTACGTATAACCCCAATTAAAAGTTTGGCTCCTTTGGGACATACATTTCTCTTTGACCAAAACTCATTAAAACTTGGCAGGAAGCCACCCACAGTGAGCTAATTATACACAGCACCACCCTATATATTAATAGCTTACTGTAGCTAACTCATATGCTAGCATCCACCACCTGTCTACACCTTCCTTACGTGCAGGAGCCATGGATTCATTTCTCTCTTTTTTTAAGCTTCATAGTTTAACAAAATGTCCATCATTTTAAAAGCGACCAACTGATCAATCAAAAATTATCATTTCTAGAACTTAGTATCACATAACCCTAACTTAGGGAACTAAGAAAGTAGAAACAATGAAAAACTTACTAATGATTTGATAGTTCCATTGCAACAGGAAGCTAAACATTTATTAAGATTTTAGTACATTCCACCATATTAAACATCAAAGCAGACAAATATGCAAAACACTTTACAGAAAAATGCCATTTATGTTCTTGTAATGTTCATGAAACATAAAAATTAACATTTTAAACAATCATAAAAGTCACATTAGTTTGTTTGTTGATGAATCTGTAAGGTGAAATCCATGTAAAATACTCTAAAATTTAAATTTTTTCCCCAAAGGATACCTCTTATACAACAAAAATTTTAATTTTATATGACAAATTCTGTAATCAGCTTCTAAAAATGTTGAAGGTATAATCAGAATCAACCAGAACTTTCACCTTCTTCAAATGAAAGTAATCTCTGTCAGGAAAAATTTGTGTAATATTTTGTAATATTACATATATCATAATATTTTGTTCTTTTTCCTACTATGAAGAATATCACAATATTCCAATTAGTACATAAATTACATCTTAATATTACCAACATACAAGGCTAGGATTTTGCAATTAGAAGCCAAATTCTGACAAAATAAAACAGTGCCTTAAAAAACACTGAACAATTAAAAATGTTACATATATTAGAATATGGGACAGCCCATAAAAAAACTAATCAATACTCATCAGAACCAACTAGGCACTTCCAGCTGAGGTTAAATGACCTTTTGCTCCTGCTCCTGTTCCTGAGGGCCTGTCTTTGTCACACAGCTGAGCCAGCACCTGCCTCTCCATAGCAACTGCAGCATGCCCTTCAGCGCTATGAAAGATAACAGATAGGTGCCTCCTCTTACATTAAATATTTATTAGGTTTCTGAATAGTGGTCTTCCCAGGGAAGTTCATGGGAGGCACACACAACTCACAGCCACCCATCCCTCCTTCAAAAACACCTTTTCTATCAGAGTCACTGAAATACACCCAGAAAGGGAGACCACAACCAGTTCTTTGGGGCAGACAGGTGTTGGACTGTCTCCTTGACATGGCTTTTTGTGTGCATTTTTTACATGGTATTCGGTGTGCATTCTAACCAAACTCAAGGATTGTCTAAATTTGTAGGTCATCTCATTCCCTGTAGCACCTTGTCCAGTAAGTTATAACAACCAAAAAAAAAAACCTAATAAGCATAGTATCTATTCAAAGCCTAATAAGCCCTTATATCCTGGTTGTGTGGAAAGGATTAAGATTATAATGAGTTACTCTGTGGGTTATTTTTTAATTCATTTCTACACACCACATGAGGTTCAAAATGAGCAACTAACTCAGGCTCAGCTGAAGAACTCCTGGAGGGTCACTCTTTATCTGGGAAGCACTGGTGTTAAAAACTGGTGCAAATTTTGTTGCCACTTAGTAGAGTATTTTCACATCCCAAAGCAGAAGCACAGAAGTAGGTAAGAGATATCAAAGTTTCCTTACAAGAGAAAGGATTTCTTTGCTTCACCCTGCCCTGCATGAACAGCTAAGTGAAAAGCAGATTCTCCCACAAGGCTCAAAGATATAACAGTAATCTTGTTTAATCCTAGCATGTGGCCAGAAGTGATGAATCTATGTGAAGATTTTGATGGCAGGTGATCTTTGAGCGGGCATGGCAGTTGCACCACAAAAGGTCGAACACATTTTCACGGGAAAGTTGCCTATGTGCTACTGAAGAAGCTAGACTATGAAGGAGCAGCCGAAATGCAAGAACACCTTCCCCTACTTCTCTGTATCCAGGACTCAGCTCAGTGCTGGGCACATAGCAGGTGCTCCGGGAATGGGAATGGGTGACTGTAGGAATCATAAGAATTTTTCTTCTTTCAGGAGTACTGCACATTCCGGGCCCACTTCATGCCCCAGAAGTTACTATTAGACAGGAACATCATCAGCAGTATGACAAACTAATAGGGAACTAATTAGGAATATGTAATATAGACATCAAATCTTTTCTTCAAGAAATGACTCAGTTTCTCTACAACCTAGGGCAACTCTAGACAATAGCAGCATTTTCACTTGTCCGAGATGAAAGGAGGAGGGAAAAAACCCACAGTGTTCCTGAAACTAAATTTAAAAGTAATGCCCTTTATTCTGAGATAATGTTTTTCCTGATTTTTTGGAAGGGGAGGAGGAGTGTTAAAAATCTCATATCTATAAAAACATGGTGGCTTTTTGTTAGTTGATTTTAATAACTTGGCAAAACAAGGAGTAGACAACTCAGTGTGAGCTCTCCCCCACCCAATTTTAATTTATGAATTCCAAAAAATTAAAAAGGGTAATGCTAGGACGTAACACCCACTTGCCCTGCCTACAGCCCAACTCACCTAACACACATCACTGTGCAGAACAGAAACAGGACAAACTGGTTTAGAAGGCAGAGGGGACAAAGAATGCTGTATTTGGCTATACATACACGGAATCTAACATGAGGTAAGAACATCCAGATTGGAAAAGTCTAGCACTGAAGTCGTGCAAAAAAATATACTTGGATGTATAGCCCCTGGAAGTTCACCTAAGTGAGCCATTGTTGCTAAGGGCAATTCTTATTTACCAGGTGTGCTGGTAGGGGAAAAAAACAGTTGACTATCACTGCTTTTAGTTAGTCTACAAAAAGACTTAGAAAAACTGGCTAGCAGCCCAAAGCCCATTTCAGGTTCAGTTTATAAAGGGTCTAGTAAGCACATTTATGATTTTCCTAGCAACTCCAGGTTAGCCTCAGCTTAGGCAGAGAATAAAACAAACTACCTAAGGCCGGGCATTAATGTGGTGAGCATCATAGAGTGATGGTCCCATTATCTATTAAAACAAAAATAGAACAAAAAGTGCACATGTTCATCAATTTCACTTCTCCATATTACCCTAGACAAACATAGCTGCATAAAGGAGGAATAAACAAAGATGTTCAATGCAGGATTTATTTATAATAGTTAACAAAAAATACTGGAAAGAATCAAGTATCCATTAATAGAATTAAGGCACATTTATATGTGGGTACACTATGTAGCAGTTAAAAATAATGAAGTGATCAATATGTACTAGCACAGAAAGTGCTCCATGACATGGAGCTGATGAAAAATACAGAAACACAAGCATGACAGCATTTGATTTTCTAAAAGGCACACACAAAAAAATCCCATGCTATATAGCATTCCCAAATGTGGTCCCTGAACCAGCAGTATCAGCATCACCTGTGAACTTGCTAAAAATGCAAATTCTCAGGCCTCACCGCAGACCTACTGAACCAGAACTCTGTGGGTGGGGTCAGCAGTCTGTTTTAACAAGCCCTCTGAGGGTGTGAGGTCTTGTTTTAACAAGCTTGAGAACCACTGGCCTACATGGGCAGGCATAAAAATCACTAAGAAAAGGTTGGCCAGACTTGCACCAGATGAAGTCTCTGCACAACTCTCTTTATCTACACTCTTGCCTATCTTTATCTATACTCTTGTGTTCATGTATTGCTCCTGGAAGTTAAAAGTACCATTTTTAAGATACTGCAGGTGCTAGGGAGGAGCCTGGGGAAATGGTTAACCATGCATCTCAGCAAAAATAAGGGAGACCTCGCTGACGGGATAGGAGAATGAGGTTCCGGGAACTAAGAGCTACTGAAACACTGCCGATCACAAAAAGCACAAAAAACCACGTCCAATCAGAATTTTACTCCAAAACTCTCAACAGAGTTCAGCTGGTCTTACTGGTGACTCCGGTGGAGAGAGTACATGACAAACAGTCAACACTAGTAGGAAGGACAGCTAGCTACCAAAGGATGAAAAAGAATGAACAATGAAGACCTTGTTTGAGAAAGCTAAACTATTTGCATAGTCTTTTGCTGTCCTGTTTTGTTGATTCTTTAGCACTACATGTGGCAGCGGCCACCCCAGCTCCCAGCCCCCACCATCATCCTTACATTTGCAGGGGTTGTTGAGCAGGGCAGCAGGGCAAAGGCGACAAAAAAGGGAGCTCTGAGACCTATGGAACAAACCTTAGTGAGGCCCTCTAGCCACTACCATTCTAATCCCTAATCAAGCCTCTTCAAGACAGTGGGGCCTGGAAAATGTGCACACACACATACATACACACACACACGCACACACACACACACACCCCCCACACCCCCTGTACTTTATTTCCTACTAACTTCATAATCAGAAGTGAAATCAACCATTACTGCCAATGCTTGTAAAGATAAAATAAACGCCACAAGAGTAGTCAGGAACTCACTTTAAAATAAGGTTTAGAGACATCTATAAATCTAAAAATAAGATAACTATACTCAATTTTCATTTGAGAGACTGCCTTAAGAGGTAACCTTATTAATCTCCCTACTATTGCTGTAAGTCAGGTTCCAAACCAGAGCTAAAAAGTAAGTGGTATTTTATTAAAACTTACAAATTTTCCACTTCTAAATTTTTTTTTTTTGAGACAAGGTCTCATTTTGTCACCCCGGCTGGAAAACAGTGGCACAATCACAGCTCACTGAAGCTTCAACCTCCCGGGCTCAAGTGATCCTCCTGCCTCAGCCTCCCAAGTAACTGAGATTACAAGTGCACCACCATTCCTGGCTAAGTGTGTGTGTGTGTGTGTGTGTGTGTGTACAGAGAGAATCTTCCTATGTGGCCCAGGCTGGTCTTAAACTCCTGGGATCAAGCAATCCTCCTGCCTCAGCCTCCCAAAATGCTGGGATTACACGCAAGAGCCACCACACCTGGCCCTAAATTGTTTTTAAGTGAGATTTTGGTGGATTTGATGTCAACAGTGTGTGGCATCACCCTTGACATAACAACATAAAACAACAGTTTTAAAGCCAATATCTAAAACAGCCTTTTTTTAATTCTTTAACTTTCTGACAAAAGATCAAGTAAAAGTTTTGCTCTCTGTAACAAGCACTCTTCAGATTTTGCTGAAGAGAAAATGCTAAATAAAAGCACATTCTCACTCTGGGGTTTGGGGAACATCAGTTACTCCAATTTCAAGCTTTATTCTCTTGGATTCTAGGAGGTCATCATAACCCACTTATATTTTGATACAAGCAAAAGCCCATGCTTGAAGACTGAAGAACTACAAAGAAACAGCTGTATGCCATTCCACTTTCTGGGCCATGTTTCTCTGTTGTACAGAGAAAAATCATTTCTTTTTTTAACCTAAAAGCAAACACAGTTCTGCTCACTTCCCACTATTCAGCCTATTTTTTTCCTCCTTTAACAAGGCCAAATTTTTAGCTGTATCCATTAAAAAGCTTAAGTTATTTACACAGAGAAGATGAAGCAAAAAGTGTTGTTACAGCCTCATATAAAAGAAATATCCAATTATTAAAACAAAACCAAACAAAAAAAAAGATTTGCCACTACATAGGTGATATAGTTTGGCTGTGTCCCCACCCGAATTTCATCTTGAATTGCAGCTCCCATAATTCCCGTGTGTTGTGGGAGGGACCCAGTGGGAGGTAATTAAATCATGGGGGCGGATTTTTCCAATGCTGTTCTTGTGATAGTAAGTCTCATGAGATCTGATGGTTTTATAAAGGTTTTATAAAGGCCCGTTCCCCTGCACACGCTCTCCTTGCCTGTTGCCATGTAAGACATGACTTTGCTTCTCATTCGCCTTCCACCATGATTGTGAGGCCTCCCCAGCCATGTGGAACTATGAGTCAATTAAGCCTCTTTCTTTTATAAATTACCCACTTTCCAGTATGTCTCCTCATTAGCAGTGTGAGAAAAGACTAATAAATTGGCACTGGTATAGTGAGGTGCTGCTTGTAAAGATACCCAAGAATGTGGAAGTAACTTTGGAATTGGGTAACAGGCAGAGGTTGGAAGAGTTTGGAGGGCTCAGAAGAAGACAGGAAAATGTGGGAAAGTTTGTTGAATGCCTTTAATCTAAATGCTGATAGTGATATGGACAATAAAGTCCAGGCTGACGTGGTTTCAGATGGAGGTGAGGAACTTGGGAACTGGAGCAAAGGTGACTCTTGCTGTGCTTTAGCAAACAGACTGGTGGCTTTTTGCCCTAGAGATAATGGTAGAACTTTGAACTTGAGAGAGATGATTTGGGGTATCTGGCAGAAGAAATTTCTAAGTGGCAAAGCACTCAAGAGGAAGCAGAGTATAAAAGTTTGGAAAATTTGCAGTAGAAAAGAAAAACCCATTTTCTAGGAAGAAAGTCAAGCTAGCTGCAGAAATTTGTATAAGTAATGAGGAGACAAACGTTAGACAAACATAAAGACAATGGGGAAAATGTCTCCTGGGAATGTCAAGAGACTTTCAAGGCAGCCCCTCCCATCACAGGCCTGGAGGCCTAGGAGGGAGAAATGGTTTCCTGGGCCAGGTCCAGGGCCCTCCTGCTGTGTGCAGCCTAGGGACTTGGTGTCCTGTGTCCCAGCTTCTCCAGTCATGGCTAAAAGGGGCCAAGGTACAGCTCCAACTGTGGCTTCAGAGGGTGCAAGCCCCAAGCCTTGGCAGCTTCCACCTGGTGTTGAGCCTGTGGGTATGCAGAAGTCAAGAATTGTGATTTGGGAACCTCCGCCTAGATTTCAGAGGATGTGTGGAAACGCCTGGATGTCCAGGCAGAAGTTAGCTGCAGAGGCAGGGCTGTCATGGAGAACCTCTGCTAGGGCAGTGCAGGAGCGAAATGTGGGTATGGAGCCCCTACCAGAGTCCCCACTGGGACACTGCCTAGTGGAGCTGTGAGAAGAGGGCCATCATCCTCCAGATCCCAAAATGGCAGATCCACCAATAGCTTGCACTGTGTACCTGGAAAAGCCACAGACACTCAACGCCAGCCCGTGAAAGCAGCTGGGAGGGAAGCTGTACCTGCAAAGCCACAGGGGTGGAGCTGCCCAAGACCATGGGAACCCACCTCTTGCATCAGCGTGACCTGGATGTGAGACATGGAGATCATTTTGTAGCTTTAAGATCTGACTGCCCCACTGGATTTCGGACTTGCATGGAGCCTGTAGCCCCTCCATATTGGCCAATTTCTCCCATTTGGAATGGCTGTATTTACCCAATGCCTGTACCTTCATTGTATCTAGGAAGTAACTAACTTGCTTTTGATTTTACAGGCTCATAGGTGGAAAGGACTTGCCTTGTCTCAGATGAGACTTTAGACCGTGGACTTTTGAGTTAATGATGAAATGAGTTAAGACTTTGGGGGACTGTTGGGAAGCCATTATTGGCTTTGCAATGTGAGGACATGAGATTTGGGAGGTGCCAGGGGAAGAAAGGTATGGTTTGGCTGTGTCCCCACCCAAATCTCATCTTGAATTGTAGCTCCCATAATTCCCATGTGTCGTGGGAGGGACCTGGTGGGAGGTAACTGAATCACGGGGGCAGGTCTTTCTCGTGCTGTTCTTGTGATGGTGAATAAGTTTCATGAAATCTGATGGTTTTATAAAGGGAAGTTCTCCTGCATATGCTCTCTCTTGCCTGTCACCATGTAAGACATGACTTAGCTCCTCATTCACCTTCTGCCATGATTGTGAGGCCTCCCCAGCCATGTGAAGTTGTAAGTCAATTAAACCTCTTGCCTTTATACATTACCCTGTCTCAGGCATGTCTTTATTAGCAATGTGAGAACAGACTATTACAATGGGAAAGAGAAATAACAAAAGTATATTTTACCTCTAAAAAGAATAGGCTTAAAACTTGAAGAAACAGCCGAAGTGATTGTTAAAGTATATTAAACAAAAATTATGGGAGGCCACTGTTTTTGGACTAAGCTCCTGCACTAGGACCCAAAAGCCAGACCACACCAAAGTGAGTCACTCATGCTTACTGCCACATAATCATATTGAAACTTTAAAGAAGCAGTAGATCCCCAAAAAAAGATCAGTTTTTTCTGGAAACAGGAGATTCCAAACTACCAGAATCAGCATAATAAGAAAGTCTCTTCTGCTTTAACCTTTAAAAGAAGTAACCTGAAGTAACTTGTTGTTAACCAATCAGCTTTTTTTTTCTATTGTTCTGTTTCTTTGTTCCCTTATAAAAGGCACTGTTCTGACATTGCCCAGTGGAAGCTCAGTCTCTTTTATAGAATGGAGGCTGCCCACTTACCAAATAATGAATAAATGCCAATTAGATCTATAACTAAATTTGTTGTAATTTTGTCTTTTGACAGGTGTAAGATATATTACAAGGTCATTTAGTAATACATCCATTGCTAAATGAATTAGAAAGCAAATTAAGTTAAAAGCAAGACAATGTTAATTGCGCTTATGTTGATTTTTGTCAGAAGAGACCTAAGTACTTCCTGGTAAGCAGCTTTCAATATAAACAAGAGCCCTGCACCTCTCTATCACTTCAAAAATAGAATACTGCAACGCTAGAAAGGCAACACCCAGGCTTTAGACGCACCTTCCAGAACAGACTTTTCTAAATAGCCAGTAACAGCTCGAGAAAGGGAGAAGATCAGACCTGCCTTTCATGCCCCCCCGACCCCAGGAGCAGGAGGTGAATCTTGAATACCTTTTCCTACCCACAGGTAGAGAGCTGACCGGGGAGAGAGGCCAGCCATATCCTCAGCAGGAGGATGAAGAAGCCAGGCCAACCCTTGATAGTACCTGACAGAATCACATGGGCAGAAGCAAACTCGAATGGCAGCACCAAAGGAGGTGTGAAATGCTGTGATGAAAACACCCTTCCTCCTAAACACTCATTCCCAACAACAAAAAACACCCACTACCATTTAATATCCAAAAGAGTAACTGGTGCATCTAGCTCCAAAGATCTCTCACATGAAAGATGTCAGGCAGCCGGGAGCGGTGGCTCATGCCTGTAATCCTAGCACTTTGGGAGGCCAAGGCAGGTAGATCACCTGAGGTCAGGAGTCCGAGACCAGCCGGGTCAACATGGTGAAACCCCATCTCTACTAAAAATACAAAAATTAGCAGGGCATGGTGGTGCAAGCCTATAATCCCAGCTACTCGGGAGGCTGAGGCAAGAGAATCACTTGAATCTTGGGGGGCAGATGTTGTAGTAGCCGAGATTGCGCCACTTCACTCCAGCCTGGGCGAAAGTGTGAGACTCCGTCTCAAAAAAAAAAAAAAAAAATGCCAGGCACAAGCAGATCTCAGGTTTCCTTCGAATTGAGGAAACTGATAGGCCTGCCAAAGACAGCCTATGTGGCAAGTAAATGCTTGTGATTAAGAACCTGAATATCAACTTGACGGGGTGTGTGCTGGGGAGGGGAGAAAGAGAGGGTACACAAAAACATTTGTGAATAAAATTAGTTTTTACCTTCATTAGAATTGTTTCTGATAGCATATTTGACCCTGAATTTATATGTATATTAAATAAAAGAAGACTCTTAGGCACTAACAAATGTGGGAGGAGAGTGCTGAGGTTACTAGGATTTTATTACAAAGAAATGTCTTACTTCTATGCTTTCACAGGTTTCTCCACTAAGGTTATGTATAACTTATGCAAAAAATGATAAAGAATTACTTCAAGTGCAGGAAAATACGAACTACATTAAGTACAGCTGCTTTGACTGCAATGCTCCAGGAACTGAAGGAAGTTAATGGCACCACAGGTGCTTCCAAGACACGGGGCCCGCACGGTGAGCTGTCCATTGGCTTCCCTTGGAATAAGCAGAGTATATTGCCTTGGAAGGAAAAACTATTTCCTCAAAGGGAGCAATGATCCCTCAAGAAGGCTGGACAGGGGTAAGCAGAATGCTTCCCTTCCAGCACTTTCCACATCTCATCATTGCCCTCTCCCCTCCTAGGTCCCAGGCACTTTTAAAATCAACAAAAGCAAGACTTTTTCTCTTTTCTTTTTTGGCTACACTGGCATCATAACATTCTACTAGAGGTTAAGTCAATAATTCAAAGTTAAAACCTCCAACATTTGAGACTTGGTATTATTAAATAAATCACCTCCATTTTGGCAAATTTACATCTGTAACCAATTCATTTAAGATAAGAGCTCTCTATATTATGGAGAGTCAGTAAAATATTGGTGATAAACTCTATGATCTTGGGGAGGTCCTTAATCTCCCTAAATTTTAAGCTCCCTCATCAGTAAAACAGGAAAAGGGAAAATACATCTGCCCAGGGCTGATGTGAGGGACAAACAGGGCATTTGCTGCCCATAGATGCTTGGCGGGAGCCAGGCCCTAGGAAACACTCCTTCAATGTTAGTATCACTGTCAAATAAAATACCTTTCTTTCCACATAGAACTGGTTGAAAAGAACTAAGAATTTCAAACTCTTCAACAGCAGAAAGGCCCAAACCATCCCCATCCCTCCCTATGCGCCCTTTCACTCACCTTTTCCAACCTCTACAAAAAGGATGAGCAGAACCTGCCCCACTGTGAAGGACACAATCACATCTTCTTTTGTTCACTGCACAAAATAAGGTTATGAAGTAGGAGTGTTGGTGGGAAAATGAACACACCTTTAAAATTCTAAAAAATAATATTATCATCAAAAGCTAAAGGGTGACTGCATGGGCAGGCAACTTGGTCAGGAGAAGGAAGAGAGACAGAGAAGCAACGGGCCCTGTTGTCCCCCATGGGGAGTATCAGGAGGGCTCCCAGGACTCCTGTGGAAGAGGCAGGCCCAGCCCGCAGCCTCCCCAAGCTCTAGACACAGGTGAGGCTCTCTGGAGTCGAACCCTCCCTGGTGGCCAATGTGCGCAAAGCCCAAGGTGGACGTGACAATACTACAGAGGTCTATGTCCTGGGATGGCACCGGATTTGAATTGCAATTGACTCACTGCTTACTTCCCTCTCCCCTTAAGTGATAACAAAAAATCAAATGTCCTCTTCATCTTCTAAAAAGTTTTTAAATTATGACACCTTTGAATCAAGAAAAGGGAAAGCTGCTGTGGCTTCTATGTTTCTCCTCAGCCCAAAATTCATACAGAGAAACTCAAATAGCTAAACTAATGAAGTATGATTTTTAAATTCTCAATTAATAATTCAAAATGTTTCTTCTATGCTTTGAATCATGACATACACACACACACACACACACACACACACACACACACACACACACACAAAACACCTACATTAGCTTTGAAGTAGCAATGAAATTAACTAATAAATAAACAAAGTAGGAAATCCATTTCAGGGTTTTTTTTCTATTATTCCTGCAGAACAAAATGTTATATAATACATAAATCATACATAAATTATGTATATGATGATCTGTGATGAGAGACCTTTGAGGCTACTATTATAATTGTTTTTTGGGGTTGTTTTGTTTGTTTGGTTGGTTGGTTGGCTTTTTGTGTTTTTGGTTTTTTGTTTTTTTTTTTTTTGAGACAAGGTTTCACTCAGTCACCCAGGCTGGAGTGCAGTGGCACAGTCTTGGCTCACTGACACCTCCGCTTCCAGGGCTCAAGCGATCCTCCTGCCTCAGCCTCCCAAGTAGCTAGGATTACAGGCATAAACAACTGCTCCAGGCCTGATGTTACTATTGTAATTGCTTTCATGCACCATAACCATGCTTGTATAAAACAGCAAATTTAATCAATAAATGTTGTGTGTGTTCTGACTGCTCCACTGACTGGCCGTTCCTCCATCTCTCTCCCTTTCCTTGGGTCTCCCTATTCCAGTGATTTGAGGTGGTGAGAGAATAAAGAGAACAGCAAGGAAAGAAATTTACGAAGAAGATTCAGCAAGTGCAACAATGCAGAGGTATGAGAGGGCAAAAAGGCATTTATGAATCCTCAAACCAGGTAGGGGGTGTCATGGGGTGTGAGTGCTGGATTTCTGCAAGGCTCAGGGTTGGAATAGTCAGACGTTGAGCAGTGGAGGGGGACTCGAGGCATCTGAGGAAAAGGAAAAGTAGAGAAAATCTTTCAGATTGAATGGAGAAGTTACTGAGATAGAAAATACGGAAAGGGCCAGGCGCGGTGGCTCACGCCTGTAATCTCAGCACTTTGAGAGGCCGAGGCGGGCAGATCACTTGAGGTCGGGAGTTCAAGATCAGCCTGACCAACATGGAGAAACTCTGTCTCTACTAAAAATACAAAATTAGCCAGGCATGGTGGCGTGTGCCTGTAATCCCAGCGACTCGAGAGGCTGAGGCAGGAGAATCGCTTGAACCCGGGAGGCAGAGGTTGCAGTGAGCCAAGATTGTGCCATTGCACTCTAGCCTGGACAACAAGAGGAAAACTTCATCTCAAAAAAAAAAAAAGAAAGAAAAGAAAAGAAAATATAGAAAGAAGAGCAGATGAAGGGATGGAGATGATGCATTTGTTTGGGGGGTACATCATATTTAAGGTCTGCTCCAGTTATCCAATACTGCATAACAAGCCACCCCAGAACTTAGTGGTTTTAAACAACAGCATTTATTATGGTCACACTACTGTAGTTTGGGCATGGCTTGGTCAGGACAGCTATTCTCTGCTCCACTCAGCCTCAGTTGGGGGGACTTGAAGACTGAGGCTAGGGGCATCTGAAGGTGCACCCGCTCACATGAGGGGCTACTGACACCAGGAAGACCTAGCAACTGAGGTTTCCTGGCACCTGTCTCTGTCTGCCTGGCCTCCAGCATGCAGACTCAGGGTGTCCAGGCTTCTTACATGTTCGCTCAGGGTTCTCAAGGCAGCAGTTCCAAGAGAGGCAGGTACAAGCTGTGTGGCTTTTTATGGCCTAGCCTTAGAAGTCACATGGTGTCACTTCCGTCTCATTCTATTAGTTAGAAATGTGTCACAAAGGCCAGCCCATATTCAAGGAGAGGGGAATCAGAACACCTTTTGGAGGGAGGAGTATCAACGAATGTGTGAACATGTTTTAAAACCATCACCAAGTCTTTGTGGGATGTTGATGTGGGTAGATTCAGGAGTGACATATGGATTTCTAAGAGAAAGAGCTGGGCAGGATATCAAGGTTTAGGAGACCTGAGGACGTGTGATATTTGAAGCTATTAAGCTGTTTAGATGGCCCAGGAAAAAGAATAGGAGAAACAAGGAGAAATGAGCATGGAATGTGAACATCTCAGGGGGAAAGGAAGGTACGAATTAAGAAATGCAGTGCTGGACTTTCCAAGGCTGTGGGGATGCCAAGTAGGTTGAGAGGGAAGAGTAGATACTGGATTTGGTGATAAGAAGCAGTGGTGGATAATGCTGAGAGATTTGGGCTCTGTGGATTGGGGTAGAGTAGAAGAGAATTGGGGTCGGGTTGAAGAGGAGTGGGGTGGGGTGGAGAAGAATGGGAGGGCTGGTACAATGGATTCCAGGCCTGCAGGAATGGGGGAATGGTAAAGGGAAGGCAACCAGAAAGGGAGACTGCTCTTTGCCAAAATGGAGCTGATTATTTAATAATACCAAGTCTAACCAGTGATTTGAGGTTCCCGCTCCACTTTGGATTGGAGGGAATTCACAAAATGCACTTTGAAAAGCTGGTTGCCTCATCAGACTTCACTACTTTTCAAATTTAGTATCTATAGTCATCATCATGAAATTAATAATCCAGTCAAGAGAATGTCATCTGCAGTGACCACAGCCCCAGACAGAGCCCAACCAAGGCGAAGACAGGGCTCCTGGAACCAGAGGCCCCTCTTGAAGGCTAAAAAAAAAAAAGGAAATAAGTTTGGGAAAGGATGGTAATGCTGGGAAAAATAAAACTCCTAAACCAAGAGAAATCTGCCATGCCCTCTTTACCATCAGTCAGGATTTTCATTGAATCCCTGACACAATCAGCAGTGTAAAGTCACTATAAAGTCACAGCACTATAAAGTCACCAGGAGAGGCAGGCTTGGCCGATAGGTTTCCCCCTCAACAATGACCTGAAGAAAAGCACTGACCGACTCTCAGGTCGAGGAACTGCTGTTCTGGAATGAAAATCATTTCTCAAAAAAACCCGAGCGAGAATAGTTAACAAATCTAGAAGCTGCACAAATCAGTCCCATAGCCAAGGCACTCCACGATGAAAACAAGCTTCAGGTTGGCCCTTAGAAATCACTGGTTAAAATTCTAAAATCACAGCATTACTACAATTTCACCCAAATGTCACCTCTAGACTAAACTGCTTCTCTGGCTATCATACCACCCAGGGAAAGTATAATACTTTCATTCTGCAAATATTTAATATGTTCTTATTCTCTGCAAGGCTCTTACACATTAAAGTGAATTATTGCTTACAGACTTGAGCTTCTTGAAGGTCAAACTCTACGATATCACTATTAAAATACATTTTGCATTAAAAGCATCTTAACTAAAACCAGTGGCATCCACAGGCATAGCAAATCCAGTTATTCTCCCATGCCTCTAGTTTCTGCTCTCATTTTACAAACACACACAAATGCCAAACTACTCATCCTCTCTACTGAGGAACTAAAAACGACATTCAAATTTAATATCTATAGTCTATTTGCTTGGGAATATTTGCTTGGGAATAGCCAAGCAAATTCCCATCACTTAATCCAAATTTCCCTTTAAAACACCCATGACTTCTCCAAAGAGCAGTTTCCCTTTCCGGTTGCCTTCCCTTTACCATTCCCCCATTCCCACAGGCCTGCAATCCATTGTACCAGCCCTCCCATTCTCCTCCTCCCCACCCCACTCCTCTTCAACCCCAACCCAATTCTCCTCAACTCCACCCCCCACCCCCATCCATGGAACCCAAATCTTTCAGCATTATCTACCACTGCCAGAGTGGTGGATAATGGGGGTGAGGGAGATGCAAACATTCAGTCAATAGCAGCTTTCAAGTCCAAGTTCAAAGGTCACCTACTTTGGGAATTCTTTTCTGAAGACCCCAGCCAGCGTTGCTCACTTCCTCCTCAGCCAGGGTTATAAACTTTTCACAACATCTACTCTACTACAGCAGCCTATTTGTATGTTTGTTTCTTCAGAATGGCCTATGAGCCTGAGAGCAGGCTCAAAGCCTAGATCGCATCACTGCACTCCAGGCTGGGCAACAGAGCGAAACCCTGTCTCAAAAAAAAAAAGAAGTAGGCCGGGCGCGGTGGCTCACGCCTGTAATCCCAGCACTTTGGGAGGCCGAGGCGGGCTGATCACGAGGTCAGGAGGAGATCGAGACCATCCCGGCTAAAACGATGAAACCCCGTCTCTACTAAAAATACAAAAAATTAGCCGGGCGTAGTGGCGGGCGCCTGTAGTCCCAGCTACTTGGGAGGCTGAGGCAGGAGAATGGCGTGAACCCGGGAGGCGGAGCTTGCAGTGAGCCGAGATCCCGCCACTGCACTCCAGCCTGGGCGACAGAGCGAGACTCCGTCTCAAAAAAAAAAAAAAAAAAAAAAAAAAAAGTAAATAACTAACTTCAATAGAACCGCATCGAAAATGTGTTTATGAAGTACTTATTGAGCACTATGTCCAATATCACACTTGTCTCTAAAGAAATAAAATGTTTCGTTTAAACTGGGAACCACTGAGTTAGCATTTTACAGAAGTATCTAATATTCAGTTTCAAAAATCAGTATCTATTGAGCACCAGTACTAGTAACAGATTTGTACCTAATTTTCATGCATATGTGAGATATCAGCCTTAGAGAAGTTTAGTGACTTATCCAATGTCTCACAACCAGAAAATGATGAAGCCAAATTTTGAACCTCGATATGACTTCAGGTTCAGTATTCTGAACTAATTTACAATCAATTCTGATGCATAAGATCAGACACACTGGCCAGACTCTGGTATAGATACACTGCTTGGTGCTCCTTTCCATGGCTCCTACCACAGCTGTACTGTGCTTTTGAACAACACCTTTGCAAGGAAAAGGAAGATTGTCTGCAACTTTTATGTAGTATAGGTATAGGCTGGGTAAGGACACGTACTCTCTAGCCAGACATCACAGATCAAAATCCCAGACCTGTCTGCGCCAAGCTGTGTGCCCCTGAAAAAGTTATTACTCTGTCCCTTCATGCCCTGTTTCATTTGTAACGTAGGGATACTGTTAGCATCTGCTCATAGGGTATGTTCTGAAATTTTTCAAAAATAAAACATGAAAAGCATTTAGACAGAACCTGACATACAGAAAACAATAAATGTTGTTGCTGGTAACCACAGTAGTTGTATTACTAAAAATGACCCAGTAAAACCCCAGCTGGAAAACTTAATTGTAATGCAAAGCTGAAGCTCTGTTACTTCCGATTCCAATTTTGTTTCAATTATTTGGAAAGAAAACATTTCTTTAAAAAGTATGAGATGTTCCTAGCCCTATAAACTGATTAGAAAATGTAGTTTAGGCCAGGCAGTGGCTCATACCTGTAATCCCAGCACTTCGGTAGGCCGAGGGAGGAGGATCACTTGAGCCCAGGGGTTCGAGACCAGTCTGGGCAACATAGTAAGACCTTGCCTTTACAAACAATAAAAAAATTAGCCAGGCATGGTGGTGTGCGCCTGTGGCCCCAGCTACTCAGGAGGCTTAGGTAGGAAGATTGCTTGAGCCCATAAGGTCAGGGCTGCAGTGAGCCATGATTGCACCACTGCACTCCAGCCTGGGTGACAGAGCAAGACCCCATCTCAAAAAAAAAAAGTAGTTTAAATTTTTCTTGGACTCCAGATTATTCTCTTAGAGACAACAGATTTGGAACGAAGCTTTTGTAGAGCTCTCCACATCCAGCAGAGTACATCTGGGGAAGTCGTGATCATTCAGATTATGTTTCCTCATATATAAAATGAAAATGTACCAGTCCTACCTTCCTGCAGCACTGAAAGACTGAAACAAGATAATATGTAGAAAATTAGTAAGAGTTCTCAAAGGCCATGTGGTATCATCGTCATCATTCTCATTCTGGGTTCTCATAAAATAATATTCCATACTTAATATTCCAACTTCCATATGGAATATTCCAACTTCCATACTGAAATGGAAGATTAATCATCCATTTGCCAAATGTCTCAGGCAGGCAAAATGTTTGCATTTTTCCCTCTTTACAGAATTTTTGTTCTGGTTTACTAGTAGCAAGCACTTTCCACTACTGTCAACATACTGCTTGCCCTTCTGAAATGTGTTTTTTAAAAACTACTACTAACATGTGCTAAGGCCATCCATGTCTCCTAGGCTCAGAATGCATTAGAAGTAAATAACTGGCTGGACACGGGCGGTGGCTCATGCCTGTAATTCTAGCACTTTGGGAGGCCAAGGAGGGTGGATTGCCTGAGCTCAGGAGTTCGAGACCAGCCTGGGAAACGAGGCAAAACACCATCTCTACTAAAAATACAAAAAAAAAAAAAAAAAAAAAAAATAGCCCGGCATGGTGGCACATGCCTGTAGTCCCAGCTACTTGGGAGGCTGAGGCACGAGAATTGCTTGAGCCTGGGAGGCAGAAGTTGCAGTGAGCCTCAATCACTGCACTCCACTGCACTCCAGCCTGGGCAACAGAGCGAGACTCTGTCTCAAAAAAAAGAAAAAGAAAAAAAGAAGTAAATAACTAACTTCAATAGAACAGCACTGAAAATGTGTTTATGAAGTATTTATTGAGCACTATATCCAATATCCTTTCAAGAATAAAAATTTAACCAACACCGTCTCTTCTACCTATGTATACACACACATTCTTACATACCTGCCTTAGGAGCAAAGTACCAATTTAACTTATATTCACAGACAGATTTTCAGTGATTATATGTAAGACTATAAGCATATTTAGAACATATATTCCTATCTCCCTGCCAAACCATGTTCCTTCTTTAATTCTTAGTCTTTTCTATCCAAATCCATCTGACTCTATTAATGCTAGAAGTCTTTTTGATTGATGTATGTGCAATATGAGAAATATTTATGGAGTACCTACTACATTCATACTTGAACTGCAAGCTGGGAATAAAATGTAAGGCAGTCTCCTATTCTAGTGACACTATTTCTAGCCAAGTACACATTCTAGTGGGTTGGATAAACTATCATCTTTATTTCTTAAGCCCTCCTGATTGGACCATAAGCTCCTTTTCCACACCACAATGCCTCCAAATAAACTAAGGATACAATGGGTGAAATTTCATCCTGTTAATAAGTTCCCAATCCAAAACTTTTATCAAGAACACATTTATATATATATATATATATATTTTTTTTTTTTTCTGAGACAGAGTCTCGCTCTGTCACCCAGACTGGAGTGCAGAGGCATGATCTTGGCTCACTGCAACCTCCACCTCCTGGGTTCAAGCGATTCTCTTGCCTCAGCCTCCTGAGTAGCTGGGACTACAGACATGCACCACCACGCCGGGCTAATTTTATATTTTTTGTAGAGACAGGGTTTCGCTATGTTGGCCAGGCTGGCCTCGAACTCCTGACCCCAAGTGATCCGCCCACTTCAGCCTCCCAAAGTGCTGGGATTACAAGTGTGAGCCACCGCACCTGGCCTTAAATAATTTTTAAAACTGACATTTACATTTGTATAGCTGTAACATAAAACACACTCACCATGATTATGAGCCAAGGCATGTAAATTAATAGCCTGTCTGAAATCACTATTTTTAGTACCAATTACAAGTGTCTAAACAGAAAAGACACCAAGAAGGAAGTACTGAAAGCCACAGAAAGCCATGCAAATTACCCCCAAAATGTCACCTGGAAAATATTTGCTCCTAATACTGTATTTTGCTAATAAAAATAACATTGAAAGATCCAACATAACCAAAATGATAAGCAAAATAGAAAAAGTAAATACTTGCCAAGGAGGGAAGGTGACAGAGAACAATGAGAAGGCAAGACACACTAAGATCCCAAAGTAGATAAGTAACAATCTCTAGAGGGAAATACAAATGGATAATAACATCTATAACCTCTCTAGGAAACAGACAAATTGAAGCCTATAAGCTCTGTAATTTTTTTTTTAAGGAAATGACTAGAGAGACTGAGGCAGAAGGACTCCTTGAGCCCAGGAGTTCAAGGCTACAATGAGCTAGAATTGCATCACTGCACTCTAGTCTGGACAAAAGAGAAAGACTCAATCTCTTAAAAAGAGAAAAGAAAAAAAAGACAATAAAAAGGCAATTTACGTAATAAGAAAAAATATTTGCAAACCAAACATCCAATAAAGGGTTAATATCCAGAACATATATATAAAAAAGTCGTACAACTCAACAACTAATCTGATCAAAAACAGGCAAAACAGCCTGGCACAATGGCTCAACCTGTAAGTCCAGCACTTGGGAGTCTGAGGCAGGAGGATCACTTGAGCCCAGGAGTTCAAGGTTATGGTAATCTATGATTGAGCCACTGCACTCCAGCCTGGGTGACAGAGTGAGACTGTGTCTCAAAACACAACAAAACAAAACAAACAAACAAACAAAAAAAACGGGAAATAACGAGTGTTGATAAAGATGGAGAGAAACTGGAATCCTTGTGTACTGTTGGTGCAAATGTAAATTGGTAAAGCTATTATGGAAAACAGTATGAAGGTTCTGAAAAAATTAAAACAGAATTATCATATGATCCAGCAATCCCATCTCTGAGTATATTTCTAAAAGAAGTGAACACAGGCTCTCAAAGAGATATTTGCACACTCATGTTCATTACAGCATTATTCACAACAGCCAAGATGTGGAAGCAACCTTAATTTCCACTGATAGATAAATAATAAAGAAAATGTAGTACATACATACAATGGAATATTATTCAGCCTTAAGAAGGAAATTGGGTCATGTGCTACACACGCATGAGCCCCGATATCATGCTAAATAAAATAAGCATCACAAGAAGACAAATACTGCATGATTCCACCTATATGAGGTATCTAAAGTGGTCAAACTCATAAAATCACGGTTTCTATGACTGTTACCAGGGGTAGGGGATGGAGGAATGGGGAAGTTGGGAAGCTGCTGTTCAATGAGTACAGAGTTTTCATTTTGAAAAATGAAAAAGTTTCAGAGATCTGTTGCACAAGGTACATACAGTTAACACTATCGTACTGTACATTTAAAAACGATTAAGATGGTAAATTTTGTTATGTATTTTTTTACCATGAGAAAAAGAGGGCATTGACAGTTATGTTTTCCAGAATGAGATTCAGTAACAGGCATCGAAAAGCTTACATATATTCACCTCCTTTGACCTGTCTATGGAAATTTATCTTAAAACAATTTCTCTTAAAGCAGTATCATAGCTAAAATGGAATGTAAACCTACTCCAGGAGAGAAAGAGTTAAATAAACATTTGAATAGTGGAAGAGTGCAATTATCAAAAATTATAGCTTGGGGAAACTTTTTTTAATGATGTGGTAAAATTCTTATTATCAAATAATATCCAAAACAAAAAACAAAACTGTTATGTGTAGTGTATACAGTATAACCCTAATGAACATATATTGGGGTATTGAATAAAGAAACAGACCAAATTCTAACTGTGAGAGAGAGACAGAGAGAGAGAGAGAGAGAGAGAGAGAGAGACAGACAGACAGAAAGGGGAAAGGGGGGAGGAGAGAGAAGGAGAAAAAGATCTGCCAGCATGATTTTTGTTGAATTTTCACCTAGATAAGTTGATTCTAATGTTCGTTTGGAAATAGTCTGGCAAGAATACCTAGAAAAAAACTGACAGAAAAAAAAATAGAGTAATCAGAGCAAACTAGCCCTTCCAGACATTTTTACATTTTATGAAGCTACAATAACTTAAACTAGGTTTAGCTGCTGGCAATGAACATACAGATAAAGAGAAAAGAAAAGAATGTAAGAATTTAGTACATGACAACAGTGGTATTTCAAATCAATAGAGGAAGAAGCCATTAGTCAATGAATGGTGTTAGGCAGTTGGGTGGCCAATTGGAGGTGGAGGTGTTAAGATTTATACCTCACATCTCATTATCAAAACAAACTCCAGATTGAGGAAAGATTTAAACATAAAAAATAAAACCATAAAAGCATAAACTCAAAGTGAGGGAGGCATTTCTAAAAATGATTCAAAAGCTAGAATCCATAAATGAAAAGAGCCATTAGTTAGGCTGGGTATGGTGGCCCACTCCTGTAATCCCAGCAGCTTGGGACGCCCAGGTGGGCAGATCACTTGAGGCCACAAGTTCGAGACCAGCCTGGCCAACATGGCAAAACCCCATCTCTACTAAAAAATACAAAAAATTAGCCAGGCATGCTGGCACGCACCTGTAATCCCAGCTACTTGGGAGGCTGAACAAGAACTGCTCGAGCCTGGGAGGCAGAGGTTGCAGTGAGCAGAGATCATGCCACTGCACTCCAGCACTCCAGCACTCCAGCCTGGGTGGCAGAGGGAGACAATGTCTCAAAAAAAAAAAAAAAAAAAAAAAAAAAAAGAGCTATTAGTATTTCTTCTTGGTTAAAAAAAATCACTATAAAGTCAAAAAAGGTATGACAAACTAGAAAAAAAATTAACAACTCATCTCATAAACGGGGTACATTCTATAAAATACAATAGAAAAATTGGCAAAAGATATGGCCAGATATTTCACAGAAAATGCCATGTAGATTGTAAACATATCAAAAGAAGTAAACTACCTTTATATTAAATATATATAGTAAGACTTATACTGAGAAACCATTTTTCCCCTATAAGACAAGCAACAATGGAAAAGTGTGGCAACATCCTGGCCACATGGCAAGGGAAAGCAAACGCTCGCACATGCTGGTGGAAGTATAACTGGCACCACTTCTATGGAGCAGAATTTGGCACTATCAAAATTGAACAGCCACATTCTTCTAAGAATTCTTCCTACAGACACACTGGCATTTTTATGGAATGACTTGCATACACATACATTTGCTGCAGCTTTGTTTTAACAGCAAAATATCAGGGTGAAGGAGTTCAGGACACAGCATCC
Organism: Homo sapiens; assembly: GCF_000001405.40. NCBI lineage: Eukaryota > Metazoa > Chordata > Mammalia > Primates > Hominidae > Homo > Homo sapiens. The sequence continues at coordinate 80,165,453 of NC_000008.11, forward strand.
CAAAACATTCCACTTTAGCATGCTGATTATTTTGGGCTAAAGGCACTTGAAAAACAGCAGGTGTTAAGAAGGGCACCCAAACCTCCTCTCTTTTTCCTGAAAGCAGAAGATGAAGCTCCCATATGAAAGATGTCCTCCCTCTACCAGGAAGAAAGAAACATTCTTATCACAGGAAGTCCAAGCCCAAAGAAATCTGCATAAAGAAACCTTGCTAAACTAAACCTTACCTTCCTAGTTACTTTTCCACAACTGCCACTCTTTTTTTGACCTAGTATATAATCGATCAGGCCAAGCCACTTCCTTGAGTCTTCATTCCTCTTGTGAGGGTAAAAGGTATGTAATACATAAAAAGCACTAAATAAAATTTGCATGCTTTTCTCCTGTTAATCTATCTCATGTTGGTTTAATTCCTAGGCCTCGCCAGAAACCCTAAAAGGGTAGGGAGAAATTTTTCCTCCCCTACAAGGCAAAATGTAAATGTTCATCAACAGGGAACAAGTTAAATATTGTCTATAACAGTATATAAAATGTTACATCTATAAATAAATACATACAAATGGCCATTAAAAATGGAGCTGCTCTAGGCCAGGCGCAGTGGCTCACACCTGTAATCTCAGCACTTTGGGAGGCTGAGGCGGGAGGATCACTTGAGGCCAGGAGTTCGAGACCAGCCTGGACTACATGATGAAACCCATCTCTACAAAAATAGAAAAATTATGGCGTGGAGGCACACGCCTGTAGTCACAGCTACTCAAGAGGCTGAGGCAGGAGAATCACTCGAACCCAGGAGGTGGAGGTTGCAGTGAGCCAAATTGGTGCCATTGCACTCCAGCCTGGGCAAGAGAGAGAGACTCACTGCAACCTCCGCCTCCCAGGTTGAAGCGATTCTCCCGCCTCAGCTTCCCTAGTAGCTGGGATTACAGGCATATGCCACCACACCCGGCTAATTTTGTATTTTTAGTAGAGACAGGGTTTCTCCATGTTGGTCAGGCGGGTCTCCAACTCCCGACCTCAGGTGATCCGCCCGCCTTGGCCTCCCAAAGTGCTGAGATTACAGGCATGAGCCACCACATGCGGCCATTAAAGTGTATTTTTTAAATACATTTAGGGTTTTTTTAAAAGGGCAAGTTATAAAATGCAATATTCAATAAGAAATTTTGTGATTTGTTGGCCGGGCACAGTGGCTCACGCCTGTAATCCCAGCACTTTGGGAGGCCAATGAGGGCAGATCACCTGAGGTCAGGAGTTCGAGACCAGCCTGACCAACATGATGAAACCCCATCTCTACTAAAAATACAAAAAAATTAGCTGGGTGTCGTGGCATGCGCCTGTAGTCCCAGCTACTTGGGAGGCTGAGACAGGAGAATTGCTTGAACCCAGGAGGCAGAGGTTGCAGTGAGCCGAGATCACGCCACTGCACTCCACCCTGGGTGGCAGAGCGAGACACTGTTAAAAAAAATAATAATAAAATTGTGATTTGTTTAAAGCATAGATACATGAACAGGTATAAATTAATATGCTAACTATGATTTCTCATTCTCGCACAGGATTATGGGTAATTTTCTTTTTTCTCCATCAATATTTCTGATTTTTCTAAAATAGACAACTATTCTTAGGTTCCAAAAGGCATTTTTACATTCTTTTTTAAAACTTCCACTAAATATTAAAATTCCTTAATCCCCTGGAAACATTTTTCTAATAAAAATACATGGCTAAAATTATGGTTTCAGTACAGCTGGTACCCACTAGTTTAAATAAAATTTGGGAATGTCTCAGAAGAGAGATTTCACAACAGTCAATAATTAAGGCAGAAATAATTAACCCCAAAAGGAAAATAATCTTAGCCTACAACAAAAGACTTAGTAGCACAGAAGTTCCAGGGATTTGGGTGTTCTTTTTGGTTTTGCACTGTGAGTGAGCGTATTTGTTTTTATTACATGCATACATTATTCTGTTTTGAAATCTTGCTAAAAGATCACAACCCCTCCTACCACTCAGCTATTCCCCTAGGGACTAGGCAGCCTGCCACATAAAAATAAATGCAGGAAGTGAAGAAGAGCTAACAAAGACATCAGCACCATATGGAAATCACGAAACTGTTGACCAAATAAATTAACAGCCTGGATGGGGTGGGTCACACCCAGAGACTTGGGAGTAGACCCTCAAAATTATTATCCATTATTCTCTACATTTGCTTTATTTTTAAATAAATGATACCCCACATTTCTGTTATTTATTTCTAAGGCACAATTACAATGTTAAAATGATAGTGACATATTATTGTGTTATTCTTTTTTTGAAGCCTTTCCTCTCTAGTTTTTTGGCCTCAGGAACCATTCCTCTTCCCCTTAAAATTATAAAGTTGTTTTGCTTTGTTTAAATTCAAACTAGTATAATGTGTAGTGGGCTACGTGACTGTCACTTCTATATAACAGTGCTAAACTAAAGGTTATGACTAACATGAGAGCACTCAAGTATACATATTTATTCAGCTCCATAAAAGGTAGTCAGGAGGGTTTTCTACACAATGTATGCTCTAGTTAGCAACACTGCTCTATCAAAGTAGGAAATACCACACACAGTAAATGTGCTGCGCTGAGCTTAATGCTTGGAAACTCTTGAAAGGCATGATGCAATTTAACGTATTTTAAATCATTTGATGTTCACTGAACTCTCACTGTAAGCAGAGTATTGTATTCAAGCCCTAGGTATGAGAGAAAGTAGAAAAACAACAGAATCTGGGCCTGATACTACAGAGCATTAGAATACTCGTGGTTGAAAACATAAGGAAAACTCAGTGTTTATTTTAAAAATTTACAGCTCTGTTAAGTACAATCAGTAGCAAGAACAGATTTTTTGATAACTTCACATAAGAAGGTTGGAAGAGGGATTTTCAATAGATAAATGCATGTAAGACAAGAGGTAGGGCATTTAATTTTACAACTAGAGTTTCATTAGGGATTTTTTAAGGGACAAATATAAGAAAACTCCATGTACATTAAAAACTATTAAAAGTTCAACAAATCCTAAAATTTTCTGCTTTGGTTTTAAGTATGTTGCCAAAATCACAATTCAGGAGACAATCACAGAGTTTGATAAACCTTATTTCAGCCAACACAGTTTGCTAGTGAACACCAGGTTTAAAATCCCAGGTTGTGCCTTTTCCAGTTTAAGGCAGGAGTCTTGCTCCAGATTCACTTAAGACTGAGTCATCCACTCTACTAGTTCTAAGATCTTCCATGTAAAGTTATCCTCCAAGCCCAGCACTGCCTTATCAGCAACTCTCTGGCTAAGTTCTGCTTCTTGAGAATAGACAGGGAAAACAGAACAGGAGAAAGTGGGAAACAAGAGATGGATTTGGAGGGACACAGAGGTTACTATGGCTGGGGCCTGCTCTTGGACACTTTCCTCACTCATCTTAGGCAGTCAACACATATTTCTAAGCACCTACTGTGTGCACTGGTAACATAAAGATGAAAAGGCAGGTAGGCAGGTGGAAGCAAGAGTAAGGAATGGCCAGGTGGTTTTGTTTTGTGTTTGTTTGTTTTTTGAGATAGAGTCTCGCTCTGTCGCCCAGGCTGGAGTGCAGTGGTTTGATCTAAGCTCACTGCAACCTCTGCCTCCCAGTTTCTAGTGATTCTCCTGCCTCAGCCTCCTGAATAGCTGGGACTACAGGCCGGTGCCACCGCGCCGAGCTAATTTTTGTATTTTTAGTAGAGACAGGGTTCCACCTTGTTGGACAGGGGTCAAACTCCTGGCCTCAAGTGATCTGCCTGCCTCAGCTTCCCAAAGTGCTGGGATTACAGGTGTGAGCCACCGCACCCAGCCTTGGCCACGTTGTTCTAACACAGCAAAGCTTTGGAGTAAATGAACTGACCCTCCCAAGGCAGTGCCTCTTCTTTCATTCGGAGCAGAGTCCTCCACCTCACCCAAAGAACATATGGGAAAATTATAGACACGAAAAGACTCATCTTACAAGATAAAGATTTGAAAAAAATATGTCTTAGAATTAGACACTTAAACTAGTCCTATAAAAACTACACAAGAAGTTGGAATACTGCAGTGCTACCAATGACTGTTGATTCTTACCACCCAAGCTAGAACACAAACACTACTAAAACTAGTTACTCCACTCACGTAAGTAAAACACAGCCGTTTAATTTACTTTGACAAGTACCAAACATAGTTATTCTAAAAACATCATTATGTCAAACGACAGTGTGTAACAGATTAGTATACAAATACACATGGGCACGTTTGTCGTCATGTCTCCCCCGTCCTGCGTCGCCCCCATTGAAAGCCAGACAGACATAATGCTGACTTACATGGTGGCCCCTAAGCCGGCTAACAATATATACAAGACATGTGACAAGCTTTCTAACTCAAACATTTGCATGTCTACTATGTACAAGTCATCATGTTATCCCACTCAGGACAACCAAAGATGAAATGTTTCTAACCTCAAGAAGCTTAAAATTTAGATAATAATATGTATGTGTATATATACGTTATACAGGTAATGTATAATATATATATACACATAGGTAACACATATAAAGCATATTGTATGTAATGTTTGTAAGCACTTGTGTTAAGTCTGAAATTAATCTGAAGGGGAGCGAGGAAAGAGCTGAAAGACTCCAAAGAGTCTATCTTACAAGTAAATGAAAGTAAAGTACAGGCCTGGCCCAGTGGCTCACACCTGTAATCCCAGCACTTTGGGAGGCTGAGGCGGGTGGATCACCTGAGGTCAGGACTTGGAGACCAGCCTGGTCAACATGGAGAAACCTCTGTCTCTACTAAAAATACAAAATTAGCCGGGCTGTGGTGGCGCACACCTGTAATCCCAGCTACTTGGGAGGCTGAGGCAGGAGAATCACTTGAACCAGGGAGGCAGAGGTTGCAGTGAGCTGAGATCCCGCCACTGCACTCCAGCCTGGGCTACAGGTGGAGACTCAAAAAAACAAACAAAAAAAACACCAGAGTCTGAAAAAAATAAAGTACAAGATAGTATATTTGGAATATGGTTTGATTTACATAAAAATGCACACATGACGGCACATACTGGAGGAAAATAAGCAATACATGAAAACTTGTGTCAGGGCTCAAAACAGGAGTGATTCCTATCCTCACTTCCCAAGATTACCTACCTTGTTTTCTTTTTTCAGCATTTATGTATCTTTTTAAAAGCGTGCCACACACATCTGCGTACAGTCACAGGCTTATGATCAGCAGAGATCTCTAGGATGAAACTATTTAAATCTGAAAACCATGGCCTACTATTGCTCTATTTGGGGGTAATTTCACTTGAGCTGTTTTCAGAAGCAAGTGCACCCAACGCTATGGTAAATTAGACTGAAGGTTTTGTGTTGTGGGATTTCACCCTTCCTACGAAAAGCTCTCTTCCCTCAAACCCACAGACACCACTCCACAATCTGGGGGTTTCTAGTATGATAAATATCTGCCTCCCAAACCCCCCATGGGTCATACGCCACCAAAAATCCTAACCACCTGAACTTAGAAGAAGGCAGAAAGTCTTAATTTATGAGGGAGAGAGGGGTTTCCCACCTGGAGGGACGAGAGCGACTCACTGTCCTCTGTTCCTGGTTCCAGTCACTTACAGGAGCTGGCTGCGCCGTGCTCCCTTCACGCGGCTTTCCACCCAAAGCGCATCACGGCCGCCAGCCCCTGACGCTAGCCCCTTCGCCACCTCCCAGAACCTTCTCTCCCTCTCCCCCACACACGCACACTCACACTCACACATGCAGTCCCATCTGCCCCCGCCAGAGCCGCTCCTTCCAGGGCCCCAGGATGCCAGATCCGGATCCGGGAGATGCAACTTGCGGCGCCGGCCCAGGAGGCTCGGCACCTGCTCGAGCCGCCGGGCCGCGCTCAGCCCCGCGCCGAGCCAAAGCCCGAGTCCAAGCCCGAGTCCAAGCCCGAGCCCAAGCCCGCTGGGTCCGCGCCCTCACCTTGCTCGCCGCGGTCCATGTCTCCAGCCCGCCGCCTCGTGTCCTCTGCAGCACCCCCGCCTGCAGCCCGTCCCGGCTCGGATCGCCCGCCGCGCCGCGCAGAGCTCCTCCTCGCCTCCGCCGGCGACTCCCGCGAAGTCCCCACCCCCAGAGGCGTCGGGCGCGGCGGCGCCGCCCGCCCTCGGCCTGGAGCGCTTTCCTGGGGCGTCACCCAACCACCTGACCCGGTCGACCTGTGCGCTCCGCCACGTCGGCGCGGGCGGCGCAGCGCTAGGAGGGCCGGGCGCACCCCGACTCCCGCACCGGCTGGAAGTCGGCCGGGAGGAGGGAAGAGGACGGCGAGGAGATGGACTCGGCCATGGAGGCTGCGTGGAGCCTGCTTGGGAACCGGGATGGCGTTTGCCTTCCACCATCAAGTTATTTATAAAATCAAAAGTTTCCTCCGAGGCCTTGGAGATGCCCTTTCTCTGCATCTGCGAACACCTACTTTCCTATACTTACAGTAGGAAACACAGGAACGTTATTTAGAAATGCCAGTGGCTCTTTTCTCTCTGTATTTTATTACCTAAATAATGCCCTATGATGTCTTCTCTAACTAGGTCATAAACCAGCATAGGTGAAAATTGCAAAGAATCTCTTGAAAAATTATATAGTCTTTTCCATAGAATGCGGATTTTTTAGGTGACTAGGAAGATTTTCATATAATAAAAATCTGTTTTGAGTGCGGGACTGAGGACAACACTAAAATGAATTAAATCAAATGAAATTAATTAAATTAACCGAAGGTCAGAATTATCAGCAGAGATCTTTGGAAAATGCGTGTTGAGGCGTCATGTCCGTTGATCAAAGGACAGTTTGAGGTTCCCGTAACAATCCAGTTCTTTTCATTAGTAGCGTTAACAATCTGTTTTCACAGGGTTTTGCAGTTACTCGTCTTCCATGAAGTCACTTTGATTGTATGGGTCATGGTCTTCAGGTGGTGTCTCAATTTCGTAAGCTATCTGAGGCTGCAAATGAAGTGGGGCTTCTTTTCTGTGTTGCTTGACGTTTAGGCCGAAGCATTGTGTAGCACTCCACAGACAACAAAGAAGCACTTATTCAGATGTTTTAAAATTACTTGTAGTTACCTGAAGTGACTGTATGCTATTAATATCTCTATACTGTCGTGCTGTATGTAAAGTGTAGCTCTCTCCAGCCTGCATCTTCCAGTGTCTTCTGGGGACGTTTACTGTTTGACTCAACCAGATGTGATCTCTTCTATTTGAGTCCTTCTACTCTGACTGCACTTGGCTCCTCTCCTGTGGCACTCACCCCAGCACTGGTGCCAGGATGCTACCAGTGTATGTTTCACAGTCCTATTAGGTTACAAGCTCCAGGTGGTAAAGTCCTTAAAATGGCCTATTAAAAAAATCAAAAAACAGGCCTGGCACGGTGGCTCACGCCTGTAATCCCAGCACTCCGGGAGGCCAAGGCGGGTGGATCACTTGAGGTCAGGAGTTTGAGACCAGCCTGGCCAACATGGTGAAACCTTGTGTCTACTAAAAATACAAAAATTGTCGGGCGCGGTGGCTCACGCCTGTAATCCCAGCACTTTGGGAGGCCGAGGCGGGCGGATCACGAGGTCAGGAGATCGAGACCATCCTGGCTAACACGGTGAAACCCCATCTCTACTAAAAATACCAAAAATTAGCCAGGTGTGGTGGCGGGCGCCTGTAGTCCCAGCTACTCGGCAGGCTGAGGCAGGAGAATGGCATGAACCCGGGAGGCAGAGGTTGCAGTGAACTGAGATCACGCCACTGCACTCCAGCATGGGCAACAGAGTGAGACTCCATCTCAAAAAAAAAAAAAAAAGTTCCAGGTGGGCAAAGATTATTTTGGTCATCTCTGCATCCTTTAATTCTACCATGCAATTAATAAATATTGTAATTTTAAACCAGGCATGGTGGTGTTTGCCTGTAAACCCAGCTACTCAGGAGGCTAAGGCAAGAGGATTGCTTGAGCCCAAAAAGGTGCAATATTTTTTAAAAAATTTTTAATGTAACATAAAGGTAAATTTTGGCATCAGCAGAAAATTCTGTATGTGGTAAAGAATTTTTGACTAGCTGATGCTGAGATCTATTGTATAGAAATAAACATCTGGAGAGACAATCTCTCAATGTACTAATTTGTGGACAAATAAATAGCACTTGAACGTGAGTGTCCGTTACAAATATTTATTGTTTGTATCTGTTTAACTTACTATATAGTGATGAACTTGTTATGTATGCTGAAAGGAAAAAAAGTCTTATCTTTTGAAGAGCTTATAGAGTAGTTCACATGCAGCAGAGATGGCAAATAGCCTACCTGATAAACAGCCTTCCTGTTTTCCTTCCTAAGATAACCTAAATATTGTTTGGAGTGGCAATGTGCCCAGCTGAAACACTGGGCACTTCAAACTGCCTTGCAGCTGGAGGTGGGTCTCTCTCATTAATGTCCAATGAGATGTGAGCAAACTGTACTAATTGGAATCTCCAAGAAAGCATTTAAAAAGAAGACAGACTTGGCAGCATTACTTGGCCCTTCACCCTTCCCATTCCTGCTTAGAGGGGCAATAGCCATTTTGCAAACACGAGGAAGAAATTCACAAGCCAAGGACGGCAGAAAGAACCCAAGAATCCATGGCATCAGAGACCTGCTTCTTACTGGAAAAAAATAAATGCCTGACTTTGTAAGGCCACTGTAGTTGGCTTTCTGTTAGATGGAGCCAAATGCAATCCCAACTGATAGAATGCGCCATATAGAAAATGCACTCTGGCATGCACCCACGTAGGTGGATACATGCAATCCTGAGCCTTAGAGATAGATTAACTTAATTTTCTCTTTGAGGTTAAATGAGCACTGTTCATACTATAAATATCCTAGTACATGATATTTCCACAAAAGCCTGCTTTTCTCTTACATCTTCCTACTACATGTATTTCTACAAAAGCCTGCTTTTCTCTTGTGTCTTCGTACTACTTCATTTGTTTTCTTCTGACAGAATCTGTGCTTACAATTTATGCTGTGTTACTTCTGAAATGAACAGGTCTTATGTTTTAGCACTCTGAGGAATCTCTGGAGAATGGCTAGCACTTAAACAGAGCACCTGGGTGCATTGAGTTGAACCACATTTAAAAGGCTCAGTACAGGAAAGAAACACTAGATTTACTTTGTGGTGTTATTGTTGATGGGAACGTGGATTTTTTTTAAGTTTCTTTTTTTAAGTTTCTTTTTTCAGAATACTCATTTGTTGGTGAAATTTTTACAAGAAATTGTAAACTTCCCCTGAAACAAATGCATTGAAGCAAATGAAGGTATTGAAAAGGATAGATAGAAACCGACTTATGTAAGTGGAAAAACTCTATACTCTGCCCTTGTTGTATGTATCTTCCTTGACCGATAGCCAGCAGAAATCACACAGAATGTGTGGCAAGTGGGATGCTTTCTGTAGTCTTACCCCTCATATTTGTGGGGCCTGGGGCGAGGATACAAATGGAGCCCCTGGCTTTCTCTTCTGGCTCTGTCCTTTCACTTTGACTCTGTCCTGCACCAGGCTGGCCCACTCCCTTGTGCGTGGATGCCTTAGGACATATCCCATCTCTATCCACCCTTTCCCATCAGCCGAGCCTTGGCCATACCTCCATTCTAGGGTTGCACTCAAAAGGACTGTCCTGGGAGAAAAGCTGAAGGCCTTGACAACAGATGTTGGCCAGTTTAGGCAAGAGATTCTGTAGTTATAGGTATCAGATGCACCGTTGATAAAGAGGGGGTAGATATTTGATGCTAGGGACTGCTCATCAAGGAGAACAAAAGTGGGAAGTCTCTATGGGACCCAGGGCGCCCAGTGGAGGGGCTTCAGGTAGCCTGGGTCTAGGGTTGCTGCCAGATAAGATAAAAGGACACCCAGTTCAATTTGAATTTCAGATAAATGACAAGTAATTTTTTAGTGTAAGTATATCCCTGGCCAGGAGTGGTGGCTCACCCCTGTAATCCCAGCACTTTAGGAGGCCAAGGTGGGTGGATCACTTGAGGTCAGGAGTTCGAGACCAGCCTGGCCAGCGTGATCAACCCCTGTCTCTACTAAAAATACAAAAAATTAGTTGGGTGTGGTGGCACATGCTTATAATCCCAGCTCCTCAGGAGGCTGAGGCAGGTGAATCACTTGAACTCGGGAGGTGGAGGTTGCAGTGAGCCAAGATTGCACCACCGTACTCCAGCCTGAGTGACAGAGCAAGACTTCATCTCAGAAAAAACCCAAAAAAGTATACCCTACAATATTTGCAACATACTTATACTAAAATTTATTATTTATCTTAAATTCTTAGCAAGTTGTCTTATATTTCTATTTGCTAAATCTGACTACCCTACCTATGTCAAAGGGTAGTTCTGGCTCTCTGATTGTTCAAACAAATGAAGGCATATGATACCACAATTTTGAAAATTATATCATCATCCAGGAGAAAGATAGACTCTTCCTGCTTGAATCATGGTAGTAAACAAAGGGATGAAGGTTAGGAGGCCCAAGAGATCAAGAACAAGTTTTGGAGAAAAATTGATTTAATGTCAGGTAATGAACATTTTTTTGCTTAAGATAATTGAATAGCCATCTTATTGTATTCTCTTAGCCATCCATGTAAGAGACTGACTGTGAATATGAAATAAACAACTTTTAAAAATGTGTAGAAACAGGTATTGGCAGGAAAGAGTACTTAACACTAATGGAGGTTGGACACATAAATACCTAAACATTAACAGGAAACGATCTCACACTATTGATTTTGGCTACATTAAGAAAAGCCATAGACACTTAATCTTTCTTGTATGTTTTTAAGCCACTCTGGATTCTGTGTATTTATCAAATTACATATGGGAACTGGGTAGGGAAGGGAGTGCTGGGAGAGCCATTGTCCCTTTTCTCCTGGAGTCTCCACCATCACCGTTCTAATCTTTTCATCTCTCTCTAAGATTACTCCAGGGTATAAAATGCATTAGAGATATGTATATTTAACAATTAAATGATTAACAATATTTCTAAATTTTTACACGGTGTTCAACTCAGTGTCTTACAAACCATTTCACCCCTGCAAAGATAGCTAGTTTTCCAGAATGCCAATGGTCCTCTGGCAGAAATGGTGTAGGCCAGAATGGCAAGTGCCCAGGGTCTTTGATGAAGAGCCAAATTCTGTGCCACTGTCACCAAAATATAACTCTGCAAGACCAGAAACAACTGAAAACTCTGGAGTGGATTTATCTAAACCATCACTTTAAACTATCTGGCCAGGCACAGTGTCTCATATCTATAATGCCAGCACTTTGGGAGGCCAAGGAGGGAGGATCATTGGGGGTCAGGAGTTCAAGACTAGGCTGGCCAACATGGCGACTAAGATACAAAAATTAGCCAGGAGTGGTGGTGGCACATGCCTGTAATCCTAGCTACTTGGGAGGCTGAGGCACAAGAACAGCTTGAACTCGGGAGGCAGAGGTTGCAGTGAGCAGAAATGGCACCACTGCACTCCAGCCTGGGTGATGGAGTGAGACTCTGTCTCAAAAACAAAAACAAACAAAAACATCACTATGGATCTGAGTGTGGTGGCTCAGACCTGTTATCCCAGCACTTTGGAAGGTTGAGGTGGGAGGATTGCTTGAGTCCAGGAGTTTGAGACCAGCCTGAGCAACTTAGTAAGACCTCCTTGTCTCTACCAAAAAGTCAAAAGTTAGCCAAGCATGGTGGTATGTGCCTGTAGTCCCAGCTACTCAGGAGGCTGAGGCAGAAGAATTGCTTGAGCCCGAGAGGTTGAAGTTACAGTGAGTCAAGATTGCACCACTGCACTCAGTGTGGGCAACAGAGCAACACTCTGCCTCAAAAAAAAAAAAAAGAAAAGAAAAAAGAAAAGAAAAGAAGAAGAAAGAAAAGAAAACATCACTATCTTAGGCCTCTCACTTAAGCTTCTCTGGTTCACTGTCCTCATCTCTAAACTATGGAGTCATACTTTAGGATAAAGATGGCATATCAGACACATTTTTATTGATTGATTGATTGAGACATGGTCTCAGCTGTTGCCCAGGCTGAAATACAGTGGCAGGATCAATGCAGCTCACTGCACTGATGTGCAGCTCACTGCAGCCCCAACCTCCTGGGCTCATGCAGTCCTCCCATTTCAGCCTACTGAGTAGCTGAGACTACAGCCATGAACCACAGCATCCAGCCTTATTTATTTTTAAAATGTTTTTTATTGAGATATAACTCATGTACCATAAAGCTCACCCTTCTGAAGTAAAAAATTAAGAGGTTCTTGTAAATTCTCAACATAGATTCATTCTTACTTCCTCTCTATGCTGCTAAAATTACAGTAAAGAGATAAACTCACAAGGACAAAGAGAATGTGAGTGTCTACGTAATGATAATTGATCTTGTGAATCTGAGAAGGCCAAATGCTAAACTGGGAAAGCCAAGAAGAACCTAATTTCCACTGCAGCACTTCCAAAAACCTCAGGACTTGGCATCAGGTATCTGTGGATGTAGAAAGAAAGTGAGGCTCAAAACAAGAGGATTGGTTGAAAGTTTACTTAAGAAGTTGGGTCCCATCCCCTTCCCTATTCTGCAAGAATACTAAAGTGGCTTCTCTGGAGAAGGAAATTTGACAATCTCTTTACTAGAAGACTAAGTACATTTGAGGCTGAGGATTTCCTAATACAGGCAGAAAAATTCATTAGCAGTTCACATCATGAATGCTGTTTCTCCAGCCTTGCTCTGCTTGGTTCTCAGGATGCAAACAGCCAGGCATATACTGTGAAAGCAGGAGACTGAAAGATCCATCTCTCAGGAATTTAACCAACCTAAGAGTAAAGAACCAAAAATGTTGACATTGGATAAACCAGATCACCTTACCCTCAAATCTATGGTCACAAATCTTGCCCACGTACCTAAAGAGACCAGTCAGCTGCTTCATGCTCAGGGCAGGCAGCCATGATCCAGAGAAAAACCCTGATATGGTTTGACTCTGACCCCACCCAAATCTCATCTTGAATTGTAATAATCCCTATGTGTCAAAGGCGGAGCCAGGTGGAGATAATTGAATCATGGGAGCAGTTTTCCCCATATTTTTCTCGTGGAAGTGAATAAGTCTCACAAAATGTGATGGTTTTATAAATGGGAGTTACCCTGCACATGTTCTCTCTCTTGCCTGCTGCCATGCAAGACATGACTTTGCTCCTCTTTTGCCTTCCACCATGATCGTGAGGCCTCCCTAGCCATGTGAAACTGCGTGTCAATTAAACCTCTTTTCTTTATAAATTACCCACTCTCCAGTATGGTTTTATTAGCAGCGTGGGACCCAACTAATACAAGTCCCTTAATGGAAGATAAAGACCAAAATAAACACCATAAAAAGGCAACTTACAGGAAACAAACTATACAAGGAGAAGGAAACAAACAGATCTTTAAAGCTATTGTTATTATATTCAGAGAGATAAGTGAAAATATCCTAAACATGAGACAAAAATAGTTTGCTCTATAAAAAAATGGAGCATTCAGAGAAAAACCAGTTGTTAGAAATTATATTATAGCAGACATTAAAACTCCTGTGGTAGGTATCATTTGGGATAAAGATCTCCAAGGATGTCTGTGTCCTAATCCCAGAACCTTTGGCAAAAAGGGACTTTACAGACTTGATAAAGGTTAGAGATCTTGAGAGAGGAAGATTATCCTGGATTATCAGATGGACCCACTCTAATAACATGTGCTCTTTTGTTTTTGTTTTTTGAGACAGGGTCCCACTCTGTCACCAAGGCTGGAATGTAGTGGCATGATCTTGGCTAACTGCAGCCTCGACTTCCAGGATTCAAAAAAATCCTCCCACCTCAGCCTCCCAGGTAGCTGGGACTACAGATGAGCACCACCACACCCAGCTAATTTTCATATGTTTTTGTAGAGACGGGGTTTTGTCACGTTGCCCAGACTGATCTTAAACTCCTGAGCTTAAGTGATCTGCTCACCTTGGCCTCCCAAAGTGCTGGGATTACAGGTGTGTGCCCCTGCACCCCACCTACATGTGCTCTTAAGAGCTGAGAATCTTGTGACTGAGAGATGCCACAACAGAAAAAGAGGCAGGAGAGTTTCGAAAGCATGAGAGGACTTGACCCACTCTTGCTGGCTTTGAAGATGGAGAAAAGGGGACCATGGGCCAAGGAGTACGGGTGACCTCTATAAGCTGAATGAGCCCTTAGTTGACCACCATCAAGAAAACAGGACCTTAGCATACAATCATGCGACACCGAATTGCAACAACCTGAATATGCAAGAAACAAATTTTTCTCAAGAGCCTCTAGAAAGAACATACCTTGTTAGTCCTAGATACCTTGACATTAGTCCTGTGAGGCTCATGTTAGACTCCTGATCCTCAGAACCATAAGTTAATACCTCTGTGCTACTTTAAGCCACTCCATGGTTGGTTTGGAGTATAAAGTAAATTTTCTAGAGAGAAGACCAAAAAACAAAGGTATGAAAAATAAAGGGGAACATATAAGAAAATCAGAAGACTGATCCCAGAGGTCTAACATCCAAAAAAGAGGCCAAGAGAAAGACATGGAAGAAACAGAAAAAAAGAAGGAATCAGTGAAATAATTCAGGGAATTTCCCCAGACTGAAGGATTTCCAGATTGAAAGGGCTCACTGAGAACACGGCACAAATTTATAAAGTTCAGAACACTGGAGATAAAGACCCCACAAGTTCTAGAGATGGAAAAAAAATGGTCACATTCAAAGTAAAAGGAATAACAATGGGTTTGGAGTCATGGACAACAAAACTAGAAGACAATGGAGGATTAGGCTTAATTTACTGAAGAAAAGTGATTTCTACCTTATTTTCTTCTTAGATTGAAAAGACAGAATGGGAGCAGGTAAGAAAGTTAGGAATGAGTAATACTGAGGGGTGAATAGAAAGGATGAATCCTCATCATTCATAGTGGAAAACTGGTGGATAATGCCGAAAACTGGAATTATCAATATATGCAAGTTATTTAAAAAAAAAAAAAAAAAAAACTAGGCCAGGTGTGGTGGCTCATGCCTGTAATCCCAGCACTTTGGGAGGCCAAGGAGGACAGATCACTTGAGGTCAGGAATTCAAGACCAGCCTGAACAACATAATGAAATCCAATCTCTATTAAAAATACAAAAATTAGCCAGGTGTGGTGGTGGGAGCCTGTAATCCCATCTACTCTGGAGGCTGAGGCAGGAGAATGGCTTGAACCAGGGAGGCAGAGGTTGCAGTGAGCCGAGATCGCGCCACTGCACTCCAGCCTGGGCGACAGAGCCTAGACTCTTTCAAAAACAAACAAACAGAAAACCTAAATGATTTTGATTTGAAAGTGGTTGCCTTCAAGGAGGAAAATGCAAAGGGTAAGAGGGTGGACTGCTGGGTTTTTCTGTTTTGTTTTTTGCTTTTTTGCAAAAATCCTTGTTTGCCTCTTTAAAATATGTACATGTTTAACTATAAAAAACTAAAAACTGGAAAGTAAAAATAAAAAGACTGATAAATTAGTGAGACAATAAGCTAAAAAAACAAATTAGGTTGCATGAATATACTAGGTAGCACAAACTTTTTTTTAGGGAGAAGTTATTTGCTATTTCCCTGAATCCTTGAAGTAGCCATGAAATCTCTGTGTTTGTTCTTTGAAGAGAGCTCTCAAGCCCCACACATTTCCAGTGAAATATAAGGACCCTTACTGACACTATTTCCAATTTTCCTTTCAGCTCTGAAAATCTATGGTGCGTAGGAAGATGGACAAAACATTCTTCGTGATGAGAAAGCAAAGCAGATTGTGATCACATTTTTGGAAAAAATAGATTTGCATATTCGATCTTATGCACAGAAAGATATCTGGCAAGACATTGACAAATGTTAATAATAGTTACTTCTTGATGATAGGCCCAGATTATTTTTATTATCCTCTTTAGTTTGTTCTTGATATTTTTTTAACACTGAGCTTATCATATTAACAGTAATCTACATTGTTTAATAGGTACGGGCTGAGCATGGTGGCTCATGCCCATAATCCCAACACTTTGGGAGGCCGAGGCGAGTAGATTGCTTGAACCCAGGAGTCCGAGACCAATCTGGGCAACATGGTGAAACCCTATGTCTACAAAAAATACAAAAAGTAGTTGGGTGTGGTGGCGCATGCCTGCAGTCCCAGGTACTTGTGGGGTTGAGGCGAGAGGATTGCTTGAGCCCCGGGAGGTCAAGGCTGCCGTGAACCATGATTGCCCCACTGCACTCCAGCCTGGGCAACAGAGTATAAGAACCTGTCTCAAAAAAAAAAAAAAAAAAAAAAAAAAAAAAAAAAAAACACACACACAAAAAAGAAAGAAAGAAAAGAAACAGGTACAGAGTTTCAGTTGGGATGATGAAAAAGTTCTGGAGTTCTGTGAATGTACTGAATGCCACTGGGCTATACACTTTAAATGATTACAGTGGTAAATTTTATCTTGTGTATATGTTACAAACACAACGAAAAAGAGTTATCCAATACTTGCCCTTTATTCGCTTCCAATTAATTATTATAAATAACAGTTAACTGTTTGAGAGGGTCAGAAAAAATGTCAAACAAGTTTAAAGAAGATGTGACCAGCCTGGGTAACATAGACCCCATCTCTATATTTTAAAAATAATTTGTATAATTTTTTTTAAGTTTGAAGAAGACACTGAATACTGTGAAATTGCCTAACAATTGATATTTTCTGAAGGCAGCTCTCTTGGTGGGATGTAACTCCTAACTTTCTCTCAAAAGTTTTTGTTGTTGTTGTTGCTGTTGTTGTTCCATAAGGAAAATGAATTTAAGAGAAGTTTGGGCCAGGCACAGTGGTGCACACCTGTGATGCCAGCTGCTTGGGAGGCTGAGGAGGGTGGATCACTTGAGCCCAGGAGATTGAGGCTGCAGTGAACCCTGATTGTACCACTGCACTCCAGCCTGGGTGACAGATGGAGACCTTGTCTTAAAAAATTAAAATAAAAATAAAAACGAGGGGCAGTTTGATTCTCAGTAGGGGCATGAGAAAGATAGAGTAATATGGTTCCCCCAGGCAAAAAAAAAATTTTTTTTAATTTTGAGATAGAGTCAAAATTTAAAAAAAGATCACGCCAGGCTGGAGTGCAGTCACCTCAAGTGATCTGTCTGCCTCAGCCTCCCAAAGTGCTAGGTTTACAGGCATGAGCCACCACGCCTGGCCAAAATGTTTTGTCCATTGTTGTAGTCAGGGTCCCTGTCACATAGCTTGTGAGATGGAGATTTGAGTGCCGGGGGTGGATTGGTGAGCACCCTGGGATCCGACCTGTTGGGAAGAGAAGCCAGAAGGATTCAATGGAGGAAGAATGGACTGTGTGTGATGCAGTCACAACAGAGGCCTCATCCCATTCCTCCAGAAGCTCTGGAGCCACAGTGTCTCTTCAGAGTTGTCCCAAATTGAAGCAAATGGCCCTGCCTTTATAGCCCCATGCTGATCCACCCTAGGAAGTGGGCTGCCCTCAGGAAATGATCTTGGGCAAGGTGGCTTTTCAAGATTGATGGCAGTTCTCACCAAGGAACTTCCCAGAGGATCATCAGCTGCCAACGTTCCCAGTCCTGAAGAGAAGATGTGGATGGCACCAGTGAGGGTCCTCGCCAATCATATATTCTAGAACATTCCTGGGCTTTTCGACCTGTATCATAAATCATCCATACGAATCAGAATAGAACTAAGGAGTGTCAACCAGGAAGTTAAAGACTAAACCTACCTTCCAGTGAAATTGGAGTTTAACAATAAGGAGAAAAAGGTTCCAGTCCCCACGTGTTAGGACATTGACCCCAGAGCCTCCTCAGAGAGCCAAAAATGTACTCCAAATGACCCTGTAATGATATACTATGGTACTGTCACCAATGTCTTTTCAAAGTAGCTCCAAAGGAAGCTTTGCTCATGGTGTAGCTTAAGCCCAGCTCTTTTTCTCCAGCCCTAAAAAAGGAAAATAAAAATACTGAAGTCCTTTCATGGGCTTATTCCTAAAGCCCAAGATGCACAATAGTATAAGTGCTTTTTCTTTATGAAAACATTAAAACAAAAATGATGCATCATTAAAGAGACTCCCTCAATTATGTTCTGTCTTGCTTCCCCTCGAGGGAAACCGCCAAAGAAGGAGGAGGTTTATAAAGTAAATGACTAGATGCAGATGTGAAATGACCTACCAGAGAGCTACTTCTGCTGATATGGGAAAGAAATACTCTCCCTCCAGTCTCTACCAATAAACCAGCGGAGGTCTCCCCATTAGTCAGGGGACTTAGGAAATCCCACTTGCTGGCCTATGGATGAACTGCCTGAAAAATATTTCCTCAGGTTCTCTACATTTTCTTTAAGGTTTTGAATTCTGCACTGGAAAAAAGTTGAATTATTTTCTCCAATTCACACTTCATTATATTCAATATTGCAATTTTAATGAAGCCAAAGATCTAAGTGAGGATACCTGCTCACATTCTGACTCTCTTCACAACCTTGGGGCGACAGAATGACATCTTGCAAATGAGGACACTGCGACACAAAGAATATAAGGAAACCTACTGAAAATCAAATACCTCTTAAATGTCAGAACTGTAACTCACCAGAGATCTCCCTTCAAGTTTAGAGCTCTTCTCACTACACCACAAAATGGCTCTGAGGGTGAATTAATGCATTGTCACAGCTTAAGTCAGGAGAAAGAAACAACCACATCTGAACACTTCCTATTTAACCCAGCAGCCTGGTCCCATCCCAAAGGACAGACCTAGAATCAAAAAATTATGGAATAGTCATGTGAATTGGGGCTAGAAACTTCTGTAAGTGAACATCTGGTTTGGTCCTTTGCCTTCAAGGAAATAACTTTATTGTTATGTCCATTTTCTTGGAATAGGAGTTGAGTCCAAAGAGGATCAGTAAGTGCCCAGGGCTTATGGTTATTGATGAAGAGACAACCAAAGTTGAATCCTCAAAATTACTTTGTGGTATAGGAAACAGCCAGACTATTTTGAACTGACTTTGGGGTATAGGAAACAGCCAGACTATTTTGAACTGACTTTGGCCATGTTTCAGGCAGCCCGGGAAGGGACATTTGCTCAGTAGGTGGAGTGGACTTCTGTGTAGACAATGAGGTTTTAAATTTTAATTTAATTTATTTATTTTGAGAGAGGGATCCACTCTGTCACCCAGGCTGGAGTGCAGTGGCGTGATCATAGCTCACTGTAGCCTTGAACTCCCAGATTTGAGTGATCCTCCTGCCTCCACCTCCCAAGTAGCTAGAACTACAGGCATGTGCCACCATATCTGGCTAATTTTTTAATTTTCTGTAGAGACAAGGCCCTGCTATGTCACCTAGGCCTTGAACTCCTGACCTCCCTCCTCAGCCTCCCAAAGTGCTGGGATTACAGGCATGAGCCACAACGCCTGGCCCAGTGGAGTTTAAGGGGCGTCAGATTACTATTAAGAAACTGAGGCTGTGCACAGTGGCTCACGCCTGTAATCCTAGCACTTTGGGAGGCCGAGGTGGGTGGATCACTTGAAGTGAGGAGTTCGAGACTAGCCTGGCCAACACGGTGAAACCCCATCTCTACTAAAAATACAAAAATTAGCTGGGCATGGTGGTGGATGCCTGTAATCCTAGCTACTCGGGAGGCTGAGGCAGGAGAATCACTTGAACCCAGGAGGCAGAGGTTGCAGTGAGCTGAGATGGCACCACTGCACTCTAGCCTGGGCGACAGAGCAAGATTCTGTCTCAAAAAAAGAAAAAGGAAAAGAAACTGAATATACAAATGGACATTGGTGGCTGGGTGCGATGGCTTACACCTATAATTCCAGCATTTTGGGAGGCTGAAGCAGGAATTCCAGACAATGGCCAGACTGTATATGACCATAGAACCCTGTCCCACAACCTGTGTCAACCAGATCAGAAAGCCAAACCATAGCCTATGCAGCAATCAACCCAGAATAGTTAGGACTTTGCCCATAACTGTCAGGTTTCCTATTTTTTGCCTATTTCCAACTCAGGACCAACCAGAGGAAGCCAAATATGCTCCTCAAACTAATCATAGGAGATGCTCACTGCTAATTGGCCTGCTCCCGGCTTCCTCATGCCAAGAACCCCTAATCAAATCATACTGGAAGCCTTTGGTGGTTTTTTTGTTTTGTTTTTTCATTATAAATCTTCCCCTTCTCCTGGCTGCCTTTGAGTCTCTGCCAAACACAAATGATGGTGGCTGACAACCTGGATAGAGCAGGCTCTGAATAAACAGCCTCTGATTGTTCTCATTTGGGCATCTTTGTTTATTTCTACATTTTTCCTGGAGGTTCACAAGACACAGGCTGCACTTCCCGCTGCTGCAGACGCCAGCCTTCAGTCAGGTGTGGCTTCAGGAAGGCCCCTTGTGTCTTGCTGCTTGTGGCCTCTGAGTCCATGATGACATGGTAAATCAGCACCAGGCTTACATTCTGCTCTTTTACATTGAGTTCTTTGGCCATTTATTCTGTTTGGTACCCAGGTAATTTACTCATCCCCATTTGTTTGGCATCCTTCATGGAATCAGTTCCATTTCTTTTTTTTTTTTTTTTTTTCTTTTTTTTCGAGATGGAGTCTTGCTCTATCACCCAGGCTGGAGTGCAGTGGCATGATCTCAGCTCACTGCAATCTCCGCCTCCTGTGTTCAAGCGATTCTCCTGCCTCAGCCTCCTGAGTTGCTGGGATTACAGGCGTGCACCACCATGACTGGCTAATTTTTGTATTTTTAGTAGAGACGGGGGTTTCACCATGTTGGCCAGGCTGGTCTTGAACTCCTGACTTCGTGATCCACCTGCCTCGGCCTCCCAAAGTGCTGGGATTACAGGCGTGAGCCACCGCACCTGGCCCCCAATCAGTTCCATTTATTTTCATCCTTTTTGCTCTTGTTTGTGCTTTCTATTTGTATTATGCTGTCTAAAAGGATTATTTGACATAAAAGGAGAATCAAAAGGTATAGCCCAGACATAGGTCCTATTAGCCAATTTTTTTTAATCATCCTCACAGACTGGGGCATTTGTGGTTCTCACCAAAATGGTAGCTATTCAGACAAATTTTGTTGTGGATTACCAATAAAACTGAATAAGTCACTTCTGTCTTTGTCATGATTTTTTCTCCCAGGAGCTTGGCTTTGATCCAGACAGAATGCTGTTTTTCTCTCTGCTTTTCTGCATACTAGGGGGCACAGATTGTGGGGTCTGCATTCAGAGGTGGCCCACTGTCAGGTTGGGGCCTGAGACACAAAGTGCAAAACCATTACTTTTAAGTAATTGTTGCCCCCTCTCCAGGGGTTGTGTAAGTCTAGGTCTTCTCCTCTTCCAGGAAAAACTTCTTACTGGAACTCTCATTATAACCCTAATTCTTATGACTTCTTTCTAAATGCATGACTTCACCAAGGTCCTTCAATGGCCACTCTGGGGAAACATTTGACTTCAGCAGTATTGTTCATTTGAGAGGAACCTTAGAAAAGAAGAGAAATAAACTTTCTCATGTCCAATGGGCAGTAATTTTTTATTGGTATGTGGAGGCCTCTGAATGAAATTTGGATTCAATAATTGGTTCACTGAAAAACTAAATGGCCAAAGCTAATGAGGAATTTGACAAACTTAAGCAATAACAATCTAGACTCATTTCCCTAGTATGCCTCCCCACTGCTTGTTCTCAGCTGCTTCCCTACATCCAGCCCTCCCTCTTCTGCCTTATCCTTCTGATCTCTTTCCTTCTGCCCCTCCATAGACTCCTCCCTCCGCTTCCCCCACATCCAGACTCCCCAACCTTTCCTAACAACTTTCCTAAGACCTGAAAATATCAGTTGACTCTAAACATCAATCCTGCCCTTGAACCAGCATGCAACTGTAAAATTTAAACCTTAGACCCTCTGAACTTTATGACCGTTCTCAGTACAACCATGTGAAACATCAACCCCAATGATACATCATCAGTGGAAACCATAACAACACTACATTGAACTGGCCCAAGGGTCTCACCCAGAAGATCACATTAGCTGCTTCTCCCCACCTTGAACCATGGCCAAATCCTATTAGCTTCATCTAGATCCACTTATGCCTGAATGATAGTTCACTTCTGTTCTTCCCAGTTACGTGAACCGGTAATTCCCTTTTTTACTTAAGCTACCTTGAGTTAAGTGTCTATCACTTGTAATCAAAAGACTACTGATGGCTGAGCATGGTGGCTCACACCTGTAATACCAACAGTTTGGGAGACTGAGGTGGGAGGATCACTTGAGCCCAGGAATTTGAGACCAGCCCGGGAAACATAGGGAGACCCCACCCCTACAAAAAATTAAAAAATTAGTGCGGTGGTACGTGCCTGTGATCCCTACTTGGGAGGCTGGTGTGGAAGGATCACTTGAGCCCAGGAGGTTGAGGCTGTAGTGAGCTGTGATTGTGCCACTGAACTCCAGCTTGAGTAACAGAGCAAGACCGTCTCAAAAAAAAAGAAAAAAAAATGCCGATGAATATAGTAGAAACTTACAAGATGTGCTAAGAAGTATGATTTAAACCTTGAAAGTCATGTGTAGTCACAGGTGAAGGGTTTTAATCACATGAGTGATATGGTCAGTCTATTTGACTTTCTCTGATTGGTCGTGAATTAGAAGTGAGGACAAAAAAACAGAAGCTGGCAGTCATTGACCCAGTCCTGACAGTTCTGTGCTGATTGCTGCAGAGGTTGTGATTTGGCTTCCTGAACAGGTTGTGGGCCAGAGTTCTTCATCATAGATGTCTAATCATTATCTATTTCTTTTTTTAATTTTTTAGACAGAGTCTCACTCTGTTGCCCAGCCTGGAGTGCAGCGGTGCATTCTTAGCTCACTGCAACCTCCACCTCCCTGGTTCAAGTGATTCTCATGCCTCAGCCTCCTGAGTAGCTGGATTACAGACACGCTCCACCATGCCTGGCTAATTTTTTATATTTGTAGTAGAGACGGGGTTTCACCATGTTGCCAGGCTGGTCTCAAACTCCTGGCCTTAAGTGATGCACCCACCTTGGCCTCCCAAACTGTTGGGATTACAGGCATGAGCCACTGTGCCCAGCCGGATCACTATCTATTTCTATATTCAGTCTCTCAGTCCCATTTTGGTCTCTCACTTTTGAGAAGTTCCCCAGC
Source organism: Homo sapiens (assembly GCF_000001405.40). Taxonomy (NCBI): domain Eukaryota; kingdom Metazoa; phylum Chordata; class Mammalia; order Primates; family Hominidae; genus Homo; species Homo sapiens. The sequence continues at coordinate 80,188,621 of NC_000008.11, forward strand.
TCACAAAATGTTGGAAATCCAGGTTTTTACTTCTTGGAGATTGTCCAGTTGTCTCCATAGCTAATTGAGAGATCTTGACTTGTTGTATCATCATTGTGATCGTCCAGCAAGAAAATGACCGAATGGATACATTTAAGACTCTGACGAGAATACAGTAGATCAGCATGATGACCACTATGACAAAAACAAGAGCAATTAACATTACCTGTAAAATGCTTCAAAACCAGGAATCCCAATTGCTCAACTCAGAACAAGAGAACACGATTGTGGGTGGTAGGAGGAGTATAGTTTTTGAGTAAGAGGTAATGCCTTACGAGGTTCTTATACAATGCTTCCTGTAAAGCATTTCTCAGTCACTTGATGTAAAATTTGGTTTACCTCAGGTTAAACTCAAGTGGGCTTTTATTTTCCTTAGCAACAATAAGGGCTGTAACTCTTTAGAATAGAAATGCTTCAACCCATCCTGAAAATAGATTCAAAATACCTAAAATATATTCAAATTCCATGGAGAGAATGAAATAGATGCAGGAAGACACTCAAAGGGCCCTTGAAGCTTTGGTTCCTGGCTATGCCCCACCCTTACAATTTTTCTAAAATTATGTTGTTGACAGGTGACACATGACCTGCAAATAACTTCAGCCATCTTTTAAAATTTTCCCCATCAATGTTGATTTGAGATAGTAACCAATTTTTCTGTACCATAAGGAGTAGTTTCATGGAGAAATGTAGCTAATGTTCATTTGAAATCATCTGAGGCCACCAGCCTGGTTGGAAGGATTAGAGATTATGTGTGTGAAGGGTGTAACCAGATTTTTTTCTATTCTTCCTCTTTAAAACAAGAAACTAAAAATTGATATTTTGTAATGGCCTCTTTGAGATTTATCTTTTGAGGGTTTACTTGGAATCATAACCTTGATTAAGGCTTCTTATTAGGAAATGCTGCTGGAGCATTTCTTTAGCTTACAAAGTCTCTCTTTCTACATGGGCCTCAACCTTTATAGTAGCTCCCTTTCCACATAGTAGGGCTGCACCTAAAGTTCCTTAATTTGTTCTTCATTTTTGATGGGGATTCCATCCGAGATCTTTTGTTTGCAAAGCATGCTCAAACCTAGTTGGTCAATTAGGTACTTCTGGTACCTAATTGACCAGCTCTACCAAGTGCGAAAGCTGTCTGCTGAGTTTTATTTTATTTATTATTATTATTTTTAAATTGACAAGCAAAACTTAAATATATTTATGATGTACAACGTGAAGTTTTGGTATATGTAAGATATTTAACATATGCATTATTTCACACACTTATTTCTTTAGTGAGAACACTTCATTGTCTGGATGAAATTGCTGTATGTTCTCAGTCAGTAGTAATGTCTGTATTGCAGGAGGAAACATGAGGTCAAATAGGGAGCCTAGAACTAGTTCAGGAGAAGTATTGACAAGTTTTGCAGTGACAGCTATTGCCCTATAATAAGTGCGATAAACTTCTGTGACCAGGTCAAGGATGAGGCTGCAGTAAGCAATGGGTTTTGAAGGTTCCCATGGAGTTAAAATCCCAAGGGTATGTCTAGATTGCTCATGCCACGGTTACATTTGCACATTCCTTAGCTCTCAAATGTTATTGAAAAATATTTTTTACATTATCCCAAATACACATATTCTCCACGTTTGAGTTATGGTCCAGTTAGTTTTTTTAATTTTTATTTTATTTTAATTTTTTTTTTTTGGAGATGAGGTCTCCCTCTGTGACCCAGGCTGGAGTGCAGAGGCATGATCTAGGCTCACTTCAGCCTCTGCCTCCCGGGCTCAAGCAAACCTTCAACCTTAGCCTCCTGAGTAGCTGGGACTACAGGCATGCACCACCATACCTGACTAATTTTTGTATTTTTTGTAGTGACGAGGTCTCACTATATTGCCCAGGCTGGTCTCAAACTCCTGGGCTCAAGCAATCCACCTACATCAGCCTCCCTCTCGAAGTGCTGGGATTACAGGTGTGAGCCACTGCACCAGGCCATCCAATCAATTCTTATGGGAAGTATTTCAGGTATGGCTATTAGGAGACTTCACCCAACTTTTGGGGCTATTTTCTGACCTTCCGGTTTATTGTGAAAGAAGAATCCTCAGTACCTTGCTGGATAAGTTCAATTGGCTTTTTCTGTCCAGGATTTAGCATCTGAGTTTCTGATCAACATTTGTATAATTTGATATAGCTCAGGTAACCCTGGGGTCATATGTGCCCAGGTCAACATCAACTCAGAGACTAACAAGGTGAGAAGAGCCCAATGAGCTTAGTTGCTCAAATGGAAAGAGTTCAATCAAGAATGGTTATTCAGTCTGGGCACGGTGGCTCATGCCTGTAATCCCAGCACTTCTGGGAGGCCAAGGCAGGCAGATCGCTTGAGGCCAGGAGTTCAAGACCAGCCTGGCCAACATGGCAAAACTCCATCTGTACTAAAAATACAAAAATTAGCCGTGCATGGTGGTGCATGCCCTGTAATCTCAGCTATTCAGGAGGCTGAGGTGGGAAGATCACTTGAGTCCAGGTGGTAGAGGTTGCAGTGAGCCAAGATCGTGCCACTGCACTCCAGCCTGGGTGACAGAGCAAGACTGTCTCAAAAAAAAAAAAAAAGAATGGTTCATTCGCGAATTCAGCCAGGGCCAGGTACAGTGGCACTGCCTATAATCTGAGCACTTTGGGAGGCCGAGGCAGGAGGATCACTTGAGGCTAGAAGTTTGAGACCAGTCTGGGCAACAGAGCAAAACCTCGTCCCTACAAATAATTTAAAAATGAGCTGGACATAGTGGTGTGTACCTGTGATCCCAGCTACTCAGGAGGCTGAGGTGGGAAGATCACTTGAGTTCAGGTGGTGGAGGCTGCAGTGAGCCATGATTGCACCACTGCACTCCAGCATGGGCAACAGAGCGAGACCCCATTTCAAAAATTAAAAAAAAAAAAGATTCAGGTGCCTTGAACTCTGGTTTCCTCTCCTGTAATGCCACCATCTTACATGAAGGCCCTCTTTGCATCACCTGGTAGGAATTGAGATTCAGGCTACTGAAAAAAGTCAATACTAGGGCTACTGCTTTTTCTATGAGTAATAAAGTCCTTTGATTTTGGAATGTTGTGACAATATCCGTAAAATAGGCAGTCTAATTTGTTAGCTTGCAAGTAGAATAAAATCTCACACCCTTCACAGCTCTTAGGCATCATATTATTACAATTCTAGATTTCCTTTTCCTGCATTCAATTATGATTCTTAGGCAGAATGTCGGTAGTAAGAAAGGTACTATTTATCCATTGAATTGGAGGAACAAGTAGGGCATCCCAGTGGAGGTGACCAATAGAAAGTTGGATATTGCCATTTCTGGCATATGAGTGGCACTAAAGACAAGGATTTGTGAGAGATAACCCAGAAAAAACACGTAACATATATGATATGCTGCAGTCATCTCACATCTGCTTAACATCAGTGAACTGCATGCATATCTTTCCAATGCTATGTTCAGTGACTTCATCTTGGTATCTTGAGATTGGCCACAGTGAGAGTATTTACACCATGGAAATTAACAAATGCTACAAATCAAGGCTTCCTCCACCCCCATGAGAGCTAATAGTCATCAACATGCTACAAGAGGATGGTGTAGCTGATACATGATGGCAGCAACTTCCATCATCTATTTTCTTCTTCTGTGAAATGTGAAGAATAATTGTGTCTATGACATGGGATTTTTTAGAGGATTAAATGAGAGACTTTGTAAAACATGTACAATAGTAGTCTTGGTACATATTGTATCTAATCAAATCTGAGATGCTACCAAATTGAAAATTTGGCATTCTTTTAGGTCATACTGCCAAGAAAGAAGAAGCAGTTAATTAAATCATGTGTTCTTGCCACATTGATTTTAAGACACATATCAATTTCAGAGATGGTAAAATGTGAAAAAAAACTCGGTCTGAAATGAATAAAGTAAGTAGCATACTTTTAACACGCTTCACTAATGGTATATTATCACTTTGAGTAGCTAAAATGTGTGTATGTGTAGTAAAAAAATCATTTGTTTCAGGTTCTACAATTTTAAATCACCAATATAATCAAAATTTCTATCCATAAAAATGCTCAGAAATCAGATGGTTTGCATTAATGAATGCTCAGCATACAAATAGGTGCGAAAGAAAAAATTGGAAATATGACTTTTTTTTCAAAATAAAACCAGACACAAAATTCAGTGAGTTGTGAATTTCAAATAGTTAAAAACAACAACAACGACAACAACGAAGATTTAAACATACAAGAAGCATTGGTGGGGCACAAAAATAACACCTGTAATCATAAACAAGTGAACGCAAAATTAGTTCTCTAAACAATTTATCCACACCTTAGAAAAACGTGAACTTACATGAGAAGCAAAGTACTAAATGTGCTTATTTAACTAATTATATATATGTTCTAGAAAAAAAGATAGGGGACTGGTAAATAATGACAAAGGAAGGGAATTGGCTACAGTGTAATTAGCTCAAGGCTGTGGGCATACATTTATATTGTATAAAGAAAAATTCCTGGAAACAAATGAATCCAAGCTACCAAACTTGGAGAGAGAAGAGAAACTACTATGTTTGCACAAAATAACTTCAAAGGGAAACAGGGCTTATTTTCTTTTACACCATTGCAACTAAAAAATAATAGAAGAGCCTACTATAATTAAGTGAAGACTTTACAGCTATTACAGAGAACACAGAGTTTTAAGCAGGCTATAAAACACTATGACTTTTCTGTGAAGAGGGAGGTATGGGAAAAAATGAAAAACAAAACCAAGCCCATAATGACTTTCAGAAAAACTTAACTCTCAACCCCTTGGAAGCAATCTCTAGTTCCCTCTGGGGAAGAAGCCTTCTCAGCATAAGAAGATACAGCTTTGACTCCAGGGCTCAGCCCACTGCAAGTGGGTTCGTTTGCCTAAATGCATACTTGCCAACTGACCACAGCTGAGGCACTCTGCTGGAAATAGTTTGCAAATCAGTTTCCATACCATAAGGAGTAACCACTCCCCAAGACCAGTGTAATGGATGTGGTATAAAATTTTGAAGCAGAGTATGTGTTTCTGGCATGTCATTTGGATGTGAGCCTTGGGCAAAGCAGTCTGTGAACCTCAGGATTTTTTTTTGCTTGTTTGTTTGTTTGTTTCTTCAGACAGGGTTTTGCTCTGTCACCCACATTAGAGTGCAGTGGCATGAACACGGTTCACAGCAGTCTTGACCTCCTGGGCTCAAAAGTGATCCTACCGCCTAATTCTCCTGAGTAGCTGGGACCAGGAGTACGTGCCACCATGGCTGGCTAATTTTTTTATTTTTTAAGGAGATGGGGTCTCATCATGTTGTCCTGGCTGGTCTCGAATTCCTGGGTTTGTGTGAGCCTCCCATCTCAGCCTCCCAAAGTGCTGGGATTATAGGCGTGAGCCACAGTGCTGGGCCAAACTTCAGAGTTCTTATCAACAGTAAACAATAGTGAGACTTGCCTGTCAGGAGTCATAAGACTCCTGAAAAGATCAAGATATATGTTTTAAAAATTATTTTAAAACTGTAAAAATGCTTTATAATAAGAAATGAATTATTATTACTACTACCGCTACTACTCTTATTTGCCCTGCAAATAGCGTATCAATCACCATAGCACTGTGTGATGAACTTGGGACACGATTCTGCACAAAATGATAGTAAAGGGACATTAAGAATGCTTTGGGAGGCTGAGGCAGGAGGATTGCTTGAGCCCCAGCAGTTTGAGATCAGCCTGGGCAACATAGTGAGACCCTGTCTCTGCAAAGAAAATAACTTTTTTTTTTAAAATTAGCTGGTGCAGTGGCATGGGCCCATGGCCCCAGCTGCTTGGGAGACTGAGGTGGGAAGGTTGCTTGAGACCAGGAGTTTGAGGGTGCAGTGAGCTACGATCAAGCCACCACACTCCAGACTGAGCAACAGAGCAAGACCCTGACTCTGTAAAAAACATTTTTTTAAAGATATATTAATATGTCTTAAAAAAAAGAAACAGGTGTTTCAAGATAGAAGTTATGCTTCATTTTCTATTATAAAGTCTAAAGGAATTCCAGAAAAATCATGAGCTTTTAATTCAGGCAGACAGGAATTTGAATGTGGACTTTACATTTTATTAGCTGTGTGATGGTGGGCAGGTTACTTAAGCTCTCTGAGTTTAGGGAATCCTACCTCATAGGCTTGTTGCAGACATTCCATTGTGTAAAGTGTGTAGCTCAATGAATTCCAGGTCCTCCCTCTGCTCTTAGATACATTACCTTTTTTCCTTACATTTTTGTGTGGAGCTTTGGAAGAGCTCTGTGGGGTTATGGGTGATGTTTTATGTAACCCTGTCCCTCTTTTATTTTTTTTTCTTTTTTGAGATGGAGTTTCACTCTTTGTTGCCCGGGGCTGGAGTGCAGTGGTGCAATCTCGGCTCACTGCAACCTCCGCCTCCTGGGTTGAAACGATTCTCCTGTCCTGTCTCAGCCTCCCGAGTAACTGGGATTACAGGCTCCTACCACCACTCCTGGCTAATTTTTGTATTTTTAGTAGAGATAGGGTTTCACCATGTTGGCCAGGCTGGTCTCAAACTCCTGACCTCAGGTGATCCACCTGCCTTGGCCTCCCAAAGAGCTGGGATTACAGGCGTGAGCCATCACGCCTGCCCTCATTTTGTTTTCGACACAGCTCAGCATAAAGCAGTCAAGAGAAACAGTTGCTTTTCTGCTATTTGAGACTACAACATATAAATTAGAGATGAGACCGAAAATCTGCAGTTATGTTTTATGTCACTAGAGCCAAAAGCTTCATTAACTGATAATGGCATTTATTCCACACTTTCTGTGTGTTAGGCACTGTGTTTTGTTTTGTTGTTGTTTTTCATGAGACAGGGACTATATTACCAACAGTGGTCTTGAACACCTGGGCTCAAGCAATCCTCCTGCCCCAGCCTGCTGAATAGCTGGGATTACAGGCACGCACCAGCTCAGTATGAAGTCTTTTTTTTTTTTTTTTTTTTTTTTTTGAGACAGAGTCTTGCTCTGTCATCCAGGCTGGGGTACAGTGGCCCAATCTCAGTTCACTGCAACCTCCACCTCCCAGGTTCAAGCGATTCTCCTGCCTCAGCCTCCCAAGTTGCTAGGATTACAGGCATGTGCCACCACACCCAGCTATTTTTTGTATTTTTAGTAGAGACAGGGTTTCACCATGTTTGCCAGGCTGGTCTCGAACTCCTGACCTCAGGTGATCCACTCGCCTTGGCCTCCCAGAGTGCTAGGATAACAGCATGAGCCACTACGCCCAACCCAGTAGGAAGTCTTAAATGGCTGTTTTCATTTAATCTGTACATAACCCTGCAAGGAAGTATTAATGACCTGTATTCATTCCCCATTGCTGCTGTAACAAATCACCACACAGTTAGTGACTGAAAGCACCGCAAATGTATTCTGTTGAAGGTCTGGAGATCAGAAGTCTAAAATGGATCTGCAGGGTATGGCATGGCCTTCCTGGAGGCTGTAGGAGAGACTGTTTCCTTGCCTGATCTAGCTTCTAGAGAATACTCACCTCCCTTGGCTTGTGGGCCCTGCATCACTCTGACCTGAGCTTCCGTCATTGCATTTCCTGTCAGTCTCCTGCCTCCCTGTTTGCTGTATTATAAGAACACCTGTGGCCGGGCGCGGTGGCTCACGCCTGTAATCCCAGCACTTTGGGAGGCCAAGGCGGGTGGATCACGAGGTCAGGAGATCGAGACCATCCCGGCCAACATGGTGAAACCCCGTCTCTACTAAAAATACAAAAAATTAGCCGGGCGTGGTGGTGGGGGCCTGTAGTCCCAGCTACTCAGGAGGCTGAGGCAGGAGAATGGCGTGAACCCGAGAGGCGGAGGTTGCAGTGAGCCGAGATCGCACCACTGCACTCCAGCCTGGGTGACAGAGCGAGACTCCATCTCAAAAAAAAAAAAAAAAAAAAAAAAAGAACCGTTGTGATTACACTAAACCCTCTCAGATAATCCAGGATAAGCTCCCATCTTAAAATCCTTAATTCTTAATCATGTCTGCAAAGTCCTTAATTAAAACTGCAAAATATCTTGCCATGCAAAGTAACATATGTACAGGCTTTGGGAATCCTGTATGTTAAATAGGCACGTGTGCTAGACAGAATGATGACCTGCCTCCACTTCCCAAAGATGTCCATGGCTTTGGGAAGGGGGTGCAGGTCATCATTCTGCCTAGCACACGTGCCTATTTAACATATGAGGGAATTCAGGCTTGCACATGGTGCATGAACACTCAAGTTGCACGCTTTGTAAATTAGAACCTAAGTTCTGGGTCTTGAGCCCAGATGGCAGCCTCCATCCTTTACTACATGAGCCTTGGGCCCAGAAGCACACACTGCCAATTTGCATGAACAGATGTGTTTTGTTTTGGGCATGGTTATTACACTGATGGTGGTGACCACATTTGATAAACGTGCATCAGACATAGATTTATTTTGTACATTGTCTCAAGCTCCAGCAGCCATACTTATTACCTATTCTCAGACTGATCACCTTCAAGACAAATTTAGTACCTACTTGGCATTACACCAGCTGTTACAGATAATTAAACAAAGACCCAATTCTTTATCCCTGAGGGAATTTCTAAGACAAACCAGTATGAAAATGCAAAACTACATGTGTTGGAATAAAGACCAGAGGGGACTGCTGCCCCAACTGAGAAGGACAGTTAACACATTTATTAATTTGAAACTGTTTTATGTGTCTTTTGCCAAGGGGTTAATAACTTACTTCGGTTACTATATCTTATTTATTATTATTACTTCAGTGAAAATACTGATGGAGATTGATTTCTTGCTTTAAATATTTAAAGCGTGGAGTTTAAGCCCACTTACAGGAATGTAAGAAACAATGACAAACTCTGCTCAAGCAAATACCTCTAATTTTTCTCACTAGAAATTGGTGAAAACATTTCACCAGCACTGGAGTAGAGAGGGACATGTGAACAAAGTTCAAACCGCACTTGCAGTTGAAAGTGGATGAAATACATGCAGACATGGATGAAAATATGCCCTTTGGCCTGGAACTCTAAAATCACGTGTCACTGGGCATGGTGGCTCACACCTGTAATCTCAGCACTTTGGGAGGCCGAGGTGGGTAGATCACTTGAGGCCAGGAGGTCGAGATCAGCCTGGCCAACATGAGGAAATCCCGTTTCTACTAAAAATACAAAAATTAGCCGGGTGTGGTGATGGGCGCCTGTAATCCCAGCTACTTGGGAGGTTGAGGCAGGAGAATCGCTTGAACCTGGGAGGTGGAGGTTGCGGTGAGCTGAGATTGTGCCAACACACTCCAGCCTGGGTGACAGAGCGAGACTCCCACTCAAAAAAAAAAAAAAAAAAAAAAAAGCACATGTCACCATGTCACTCGGGGAAACAACAAACAACAGAACCTTATGTCAGGGAGAAAAAGTAAGCCCTTAGAAACCCTGCAGGTCCCTGTCAATGTCAGTGGGCTGCCCTGTTTTTGCTGATAGTGCCATGTTAGGAAGATTCAGCCCTGGAAAAATACCATATCTCAGAGAAGGAAGCAGTCAGGGAAGGCCATGTGTAAAAAAGAGAAAGTACTCCATCTGTTGTGCAGTTCAAATACTGAGGCCATTATTTGTTCATCTGGTTGATTCGAAGCTTCAGTCTCTCTCTGTGGCTTTCCTTCTTGAGCTCCTTCATGTTTATGGCTTGAAAAATAATTAATGTCCTGCTTTTAACTCCAACATGATGTTCCTGTTTATATACATCCCACACTTCAATTCTATACTCATAATTCAATTAAGGAATTTATGTCTGGTACAATTTTTGCTTAGCTCTTCATATATTTCAATAGATGTAATATATAATCTACAGAAAAATAGAGAAGTGATGTAACAAACAGCTTTACTTTGGATGATTACCTTGCGTATCTTGCCAGATCTTAAATGTCCATCTTTCAATCCTTTCTCTATATGACTGGGATAAAGTGTTCCAAGAGTATTAGCTAATGGCCCACTGGCTTCACTTAATTTCCTTTGAGAAGATTTATCTTTATTTGTGTCTGTACCAGCAACTGCGTAGTGCCCACACTGGTTTGTGCAGCACTCTTCTCTTACGCACCATCGACACGATGAGTAATGAACAAAATGTTATTTTTCCTACATGCTTCACTGCTGAAAATAAAATGTCTGTTAGACATTTCCTGAAGATTTCTTTTACTGTCAGAAATGATTAAGTGATGGAAATTTGCTAATCAATACAAATCATATAGGAGAAACTTTATAAAATATTTTTGCTATTCTGTTTGTGGACATTTGGTCAGGAATGAGAGCTTTAAAATCTAAATATTGATCTAGTCCACTGAGCTGATTAAACAATGCATTGGCCATTCAGGAGGAATCCACTGAGAGCTGATGTGGGGTGCGGGGGATTTGCCTCCTCCATAACAGAGGAAAAATCTTCAGTGTGACACTTTTTTTTTTTTTTTTTTTTTGAGACGGAGTCTCGCTCTGTCACCCAGGCTGGAGTGCAGTGGCGCGATCTCCGCTCACTGCAAGCTCCGCCTCCCGGGTTCACGGCATTCTCCCGCCTCAGCCTCCCGAGTAGCTGGGACTACAGGCGCCCGCCACCGCTCCCGGCTAATTTTTTGTATTTTTAGTAGAGAAGGGGTTTCACCGTGCTAGCCAGGATGGTCTCGATCTCCTGACCTCGTGATCCACCCACCTCGGCCTCCCAAAGTGCTGGGATTACAGGCGTGAGCCACTGCGCCCGGCATTTTTTTTTTTTTTTTTTAAATCAGGTCTCACTCTGTCGCCCAGGCTGAAGTGCAGTGGCATGATCCCGGCTAACTGCAACCTCCGCCTCTGAGCTCAAGCAATTCTCCTACCTCAGCCTTCTGAGTAGCTGGGACTACATGCATGCACCACCACACCCAGCTAATTTTTGTATTTTGTAGAGACAGGGTTTTGCCATGTTGCCCAGGCTTGTCTGGAACTCCTGAGCTCAAGCAGTCCTCTCGCTTCAGCTGCCAAAAGTACTAGGATTACAGGCATGAGCCACTACGCTCGTCCTAATGTCTTTATTTTCCTTATTAATGTCCTTCCATGTAAATGAATATATTTTATATAGCTTCACAGGCAATATAACCTATATAGTTTTGTCGTCTATAAAACAAGGAAAATAATACTACCTACTTAGAAAGTTGTTGTAGGTATGAATTTTAAAATTTCTTTTCTTTTTGAGGCAGTCTCACCCCGTCGCCCAGGCTAGAGTGCAGTGGTGTGATCTTAGTTCACTGCAACCTCCGCCTCCTGGGTTCAAACGATTCTCACACCTCAGCCTCCCAAGTAGCTGGGATTACAGGCATGTGCCACCACACCTGGCTAGTTTTTTTGTATTTTTAACTGAGACAGGGTTTCACCATGTTGGCCAGGCTTGAATTTTAAATTTTCAAGCAAAGAATACAGCTTGTTGCCTGGCATACAGTAAGAACTCAATAAATGTTACAATTTTTATCAGCTACTGCCATAACTTTTATTTTGGCGAGGTATGTATTATATTAAGTAAAGTGTTAAATGACAGCAGTATCAAAACACTCTCTCTTTTTTTTTTTTTTTTTTTTTTTGAGACGGAGTCTCGCTCTGTCGCCCAGGCCGGACTGCAGACTGCAGTGGCGCAATCTCGGCTCACAGCAACCTCCGCCTCCCAGGTTCAAGCGATTCTCCTGCCTCAGCCTCCCAAGTAGCTGGCACTACAGGTGCGTGCCACCATGCCCAGCTAATTTTTGTATTTTTAGTAGAGACAGGATTTCACCATGTTGGCCAGGATGGTCTGGATCTCTTGACCTGGTGATCCGCCGGCCTCAGCCTCTCAAAGTGCTGGGATGACAGGCGTGAGCCACCACGCCCAGCCACTTTTTTTTCTTTTAAGTCTTGCTCTGTTGCCTAAGCTGGAGTGCTGTGGGACGATCCTAGCTCACTATAACCTAGAACTCCTGGGCTCAAGGGATCCTCCCACCTCAGCCTGCTGAGTAGCTAGGACTACAGATGCATGCCACCATGCCCAGCTAATTTTTTAAAAAATTTTTCATAGAGCAGGAGTTTTGCTATGTTATCTAGGCTGGTTTCAAACTCCTGGCCTTAAGCAATCCTTCTGTCTTGGCCTCCCAAAGTTCTGGGATTACAGGCATGAGCCACCACACCCTGCATCAAAACACTCTTTGAACTCGTGCCTTTTTACTATACCACTTATATTTTTATAATTGAAAAAAAAAAAACAGAACTAAAATACTTAACAAGCCTGATGGAAGTGTTAGAGTAAAAATTAAATTAAAAAGATCCTCAAATGATGATACAATTTTCCATTAATTTGTCTGGGTAGTCAGTCATGAACTGTTGATTGAATGTCCGCTAAGTGCAAGCTAGAACCAGTGGAATTGGAGCAGGCAAAGTGTGTAAACTGAACACAGCAAGAAGCAGTGGGGCTCCAGCATCCTCATGATATAGTCTAGTTTACTTTGGTGGGATTAAGAAATCCTGCTTAAATGATAAATCTTCTCACTAATCAGTAATATACCTTTCAACCCTAGCCATAGAGTTATTTTCCACAGGTTTTAACAAGGAACAAAGATGTCTCTGATGTGCTTTTCATGACTACAGTTTCTATGCCTCAAGGCTTACTACAGTCGAGGAAAATCTTTCCTTCCTTTCATTCTCTCAAGGCTTCAAGCCTTCAAGCCTTTGAAATGAATCAATACTGAATTCATTGACTTAGGCATTCCAACAAAACAAAGAAACTTAACAGACTAGGAAAAGCATTAAAAACATTTGGAATACTTCCACCCTCCCCGCCCCCGCCTCCACTTTTTTCCTATTGGAATTGCAAGAGTATTTTCACTGTAGAATTGCCATTACGGCCGGGCGCGGTGGCTCAAGCCTGTAATCCCACCACTTTGGGAGGCCGAGGCGGGTGGATCGCGAGGTCAGGAGATCGAGACCATCCTGGCTAACACGGTGAAACCCTGTCTTTACTAAAAATACAAAAAACTTAGTCGGGCGTGGCAGCGTGCTCCTGTAGTCCCAGCTACTCGGGTGGCTGAGCCAGGAGAATGGCGTGAGCCCGGAAGGCGGAGCTTGGAGTGAGCTGAGATCCCGCCACTGCACTCCAGCCTGGGCGGCAGAGCGAGACTCCGTCTCAAAAAAAAAAAAAAAAAAAAAAAAAAAAAGAATTGCCATTGCTTTGCTTGCAAACAAATGAAAAGCCATTGCTATGGTTTGACGAATGATTCCTAAATCAGGCAGCCTTTTGAGCATCAGTAGGCTCAGAGACTCCAGTGCAGCCACGTGGTGGAAGAACATGTATGGACAGAAAAAGGAAAAAAAAGAAAGAACAGGGAAGGGAAGGGAAGGGAAAGGGGAGGGGAGGGGAGGGGAGAAGTGGAGGGGAGGGGAAGGGGGAGGGGGACCATTGCTACGGTTTGAATGGGTGCCCTCCAAAATTTAGGTGTTGCCAATGTGATAGTATTAAGAAGTGGGACCTCTAAGAGGTGATTAGGCCGTAAGAGCTGCTCCATCTTTAATGGATTTAAGGTCGTTTAAAAAGAGGCTTCATGCAGCATTTCGCTAGCTTGCCTTTCTGCTTTCTGTGTGAGGATATAGCAAGAAGGCCCTCACCAGACCAAATGCCTTGATTTTGGACTTTCCAGCCTCTAGCACTGTAAGAATAAATGACTGTTCTTTATAAATTACCCTGTTATAGCAGCACAAAATAGGCTGTGACAACTGTCAATCATCCCCTTCCTAAATTCATTTTATAAATAACAAGTTAGCATTTCACCAATAGATACTAGTTTTTTAAAAAGAAGGTGATAAAATGGTCATAAAATGACCATACTGGAGCTTCACTGCTTCTTGCTGTGTTTGGATTGCACGCTTTGCCTGCTCTAATTCCACTGGTTCTATCTTGCACTTAGTGGACATTCAATAAATAGTTCATGACTGCCTAGATGGACAAATTAATGGGAGACTATAAAATTCATTTAAAGATATTTCAACATAATTTTATATATCCTGCTTTCACTCTAAGTTATGAATAGTTTTCATGCAACACATATACTCAAGTATATTACAAGTTAAATAATATCTGAGTAATTAAAAATATTTAATGAGCTTTCCTGAATATGCAAAACAAACACTTTCACTTTTGCTGTGAGCTTTTAAGCTGAAAAGTTTATAGCATTTCAGAAAGAAAAATCAGGATAAAATAAGCATATATCTATGGTATTATGTACTTAATAGCATCTGGTTGCTAAATATTTTCTTTTGGCTTCTTGATCAATAAACAGCAGGAAGCTCTGGCTGTCCATTAGAATGCTTTCAGTAGCAAGACAGAAAGCCCAACTCAAACTATTTAATTATAACAGAACTGGAAAGTTTAAAGGTAGAGCAGCCTTCAGAATGATTTGATTCAGTAGCTCTGTGATAGCAAAGAACCTAGTTAGGGAGACAATCAAAATGTCTCACTTTTTCCTCTGGTCATACTGTTATAATACACACAACCATATAATGATACATCCTGTCTAGAACTAAGCCTACCAATAGATGGTATGATTTCCAACAAACCCTTAGACCCTCTTAGCCTCAAAAATCTCTATTCTATCAACTGTTCTCCAGAATAATATTACCTTCACAATACCTTGTTCAAAGAAATTCTTCATGGTAATGGGAACAAATAATTTGGTATCCGAGTATTACTGCTACTTCCACTGCATAGTTATAAGACATAGGGCAAACCATTGACTTCAATAATTTTCAGCTTCCCAAACTGTAAAATGAAGCTTACAAATAATGTGCTCCTTGATTGTATAAACAATCTCTAACAAAATCCTACAACAAACATTTTACTGAATTAGAACACCTTAGGAGTGGTCCTTGTATGTCAGGAGCAAGCACATTTGTTTACCTGTTTTCTGTAATTGCTTTTGCACTACAATGGCAGAGTAGAGAAGCTGCAACAGAGTCTATATAACTCTCAAAGCCCAAACCATTTACTGTCTGGCAACCTTACAGAAAAAGTTAGCCAACCCCTGCCCTGCAAAAGGAAGGCTTTCATACCAGAGTTGCAGCTTCACAAGAAGCCTTGTTTTTTTTGAATCATTGCCCACCACATATCTTGGGAAACAGGGAAAGCAACTTTGGAGTATTCATATTTTTACCCAGAGGGTGTCTGCATCCCAATAGAAACAGATGGCCATTTTAACTCAGATCATTTGAGGAGGGTTTATTTACAAAGGTTTGAATTCAGGAGAATCATGGAGATTACTACCTGAAGTAGGGTTTGGGGTGCAGTTACCAGGAACAGGGAGAAGAGAACATTGTAGAGTTAGAGTTCCTGAGAAAAATGGGGTCTTCCAGTCGAGGGACACAGCCAATTCAAAGACACCTGGTGGGGAAGGAGGCAAGGTGATAAATACCCCGACTTTCGTCTCCTCTTTCTTCTTTTTTTCTTACTGAGGCTCTGCACTGGCTGAACCCAATCAGAATGACAGTGGACTTGGCAATGATCATTATGGTCCATACCATTCAGGCTCCTGGGCAGAGAGCAACACAAAGAAGGCTGGAACTGGATATGGTGGGGCAAATAGAAGCTATTTGGCATAGAGAGCAATCTTGGAGGTATCACTGAGCAAAATGAAGAAATGTAACGGTAAAACCGATTGTCACTCAGGCTCCTCCTAAAAGGTTCCTAGATGGAATGACACACTGGTAGTAGTGAACACACCTACCATCCAGATCTTGGTTTCTAAATACCATTGTCACATAAAAAGAACCAGTACTCCTTGGAAAAATGGCTTTCTCTATGGCTGTGACAGGGAAAATACAAGATGACCTGGGCGTATCTTGTTTTGCCAGAAAGTAAGGAAGAGCTCAAAGACTGAAGGGTGCCAGGTATGGTGGTGTGTGCCCATGGTTCCAACTACTCAGGAGACTAAGGCAGGAGGATGACTGAGTCCAGGAGTTCTGAGTTGTAGTGCACTATGCCAATCAGGTGACTGTGCTAAGTTTAACATCAATATGGTGACCTCTTGGAGCAGAGGACCACCAGGTTACATAAGGAGGGGTGAACTGGCTCAGACTAGAAATAGACCAGATCAAAATTTCCTTGCTGATTAGTAGTGGGATGGTATCTGTGAATAACCACTGCATTCCAGCCTGGGCAACATGGCAAGACCCTGTGTCTAAAAGGAAAACAAAAAGATTTAAGGGTACATGTCAAAAGGACATAGGAGTCAGTTTGAAGAAATTCCCACTGGCCAAATCCGGGGCAATTTTGGACAATATTTAACTATTTGTAGTAATAGTTACAGATTGAGGCTGGGTGCAGTGGCTTCCGCCTGTAATCCCAGCACTTTGGGAGGCTGAGGCAGGTGGATCACAAGGTCAGGAGTTCGAGACCAGCCTGGCCAACATAGTGAAACCCCGTCTCTACTAAAAATACAAAAAATTAGCTGGGGGTGATGGCATGTGCCTGTAATCCCAGCTACTTGGGAGGCTGAGGCAGGAGAATTGCTTGAACCCAGGAGGTGGAGGTTGCAGTGAGCCAAGATTGTGCCATTGCACTACAGCCTGGGCAACAGTGCGAGACACCATCTCAAAAAAAAAAAAAAAAAGTGTTACAGATTAAACCTCAGAGTAAAGTAAATGTATGTGAACACATAGTGATATAAATTTTAAAATGAATGAATAAATGGGGAGAATGTTCTACCTTATAGTAAAAGTATTAAGGCATATTACTACAAAGTACTAATTAACTATTAATCAGTGAACACAATGTAATCATTAATTAATTTTATAGTGAAGAAACTTGGTGAACACATTAACCAAGTGATAAATATTATCATCAGGGCTGGACATGGTGGTTTATGCCTGTAATCCTAGCACTTTTGGAGGCTTATGCCTGTAATCCTAGCACTTTTGGAGGCCAAGACAGGCAGATCGCTTGAGACCAGGAGTTTGAGGCCAGTCTGGGCAACATGGAGAAACCTCATCCCTGCAAAAAATACAAAAATTATCCAGGTGTGGTGGTGTGCACCTGTAGTCCCAGCTACTTGGGAGGCTGACATGGGAGGGTCACCTGAGCCTGGGGAGGTTGAGGCTGCAGTGAGACATGATTGTACCACTGTACTCCAGCCCGGGCAACAGAGTAAGACCCTGTCTCAAAAAAAAAAAAAAAGTTATCATCAATAATGAAGTACAAGTCCTGTGCCTCCGATGTAATGTAATGAGAAAACCACATCATTACTTCTATGGTATTCCTTGCAATAAAAAAGCATACATCCTGAAGAAACATCAGACTTACCCAAACCAGGGGATAATTAAATGGTTAGTAGCCTGTACTCTAAAAATGACAAGGTTTTTTTTTGTTTGTTTCTGTTTTTTGTTTTTTTGAGACGGCGTCTTGCTCTGTCACCCAGGCTAGAGTGCATTGGCGCTATCTCAGCTTACTGCAACCTCCGTCTCCTGGTTCAAGCGATTCTCCTGCCTCAGCCTCCCAAGTAGCACCACCATACCTGGCTAATTTTCGTATTTTTAGTAGAGATGGTGTTTTACCATGTTGGCCAGGGTGCTCTCCAACTCATGACCTCAGGTGATACGTCCACCTCGGCCTCCCAAAGTGCTGGGATTACAAGCATGAGCCACCGTGCCTGGCATAAAAATGACAGGTTAATAAGAAACAAAGAAAGTCTGAGAAACAGAACCTGACTGAAGGAAACTAAATGGATATCATAACAGTCCCTGGGACTGCTCAGGGACTGTAATGGCCCAGATTTGACACTGGTCAGGAAGCAGGTGGCATTGAACCTTCTCAGAGGCTCTGAAGGGAGGGGGAACAGTAGAAGTTTTGCACCTAGGTTCTTCTTGGCACCACTTCTAAACCAGAGCAGCCTGGGCAACATAGTAAGACCTCCATCTCTACAAAATAAAAATAAAAAAACTCTGTATTTTTTTGTAGAGATGGGGGTTTCGTCATGTTGCTTAAGCTGGTCTCAAAACTCCTGGACTCAAGTGATCCTCCTGCCTCAGCCACCATGCCTGGCCATACATTCATCTTATTAATAATATACTCTGTGTCTCTTACATGGGTATATATTAATAAATTCTAAGAAGTATATTTCTTGGTCAAAAGGTATGAGTATTCTAAATTTTATTAGACATGGGAAACTTGCCTTCCAACATATCTCATTTTTTAATTCTTAAAGTTGAATTGGCAAATATTGACTCTAGCCATCCTAATCTGTTATCCTTTTAGGCTCCTATGGGTCCATTTTAGATATTTTTGGTTGTGTTGATTTTATTTCTTTTTGCTCCATTATATTGCTTCATTTCCCCTTTGTTTTTCCTTTATCCCTCTTTGATGACTCATCTTCATGCTATTCGGCCAGAATCTGGGTCTGGAGGAGTGTGAACCATGGAGGGTTTACATTATAAACAAGACATCGCCTCTCAGCTGCTCATGCACCTGCTCCCTTGGCCTCCTGTGAAAACAGATGTCCCAGAGCAGTTACAAGGCTCTTTCAGGAGAATTTCCTCCAAGAAGATTTTGCAACTCAAATGTGAAGCCTCTTCAGGACCATAAGTTCCATGGTAAGGACAGCATACTTCATCTGCTTGAAAACTATTGGTTATTGACATGTTATACTATCTAGTATTTATATTAAAATTTTGCTTTTCAGAAAATCCAAGGACTCCAGTTGGATTTTAGGCAAAAATGTCAATATCAGGCCACAAGACAGAGGGTGGAGATAGCATGGAGGAGGGTCTGTTCAGGGACTGTAATGGCCCGGATTTGACACTGGTCAGGAAGCAGGTGGCGTTGAACCTTCTCAGAGGCTCTGAAAGGAGGGGGAGCAGTAGAAGTTAAGCACCCAAGTTCTTCTTGGCACCACTTCTAAACCAGTTATTTCTACCCCTTTTGTGAATGATTCTCCTCCTTGACTTGCAGAATCACCGGATTCTCTTAGATGTTAGTACTTCCAGCTCTCTTTTCTTACCTTGGAGGCCTGGAAGAAGCTGGCTGCAGTGAAGGTCATCCCTTAAAGGATATTTGATGGGCCCATTGTTCTCATGCTGGGTGGTTCTTTCCATCTGACAGACTCTCCATCTAACTATTGAGAATGGTGTAGAAGGGCAGGTTTCTGGGAGGAGAGGCCCCCTCTCATTTTCTAACCATTAGCCATGGTTCCACCCTGGAAAGTTCTTGAGATATAGGGACATGGCTAAGACTGATCTGCAAAAATGTTTTACTCATCTCTTTTTTTAAAAAAAATATTACCTCCAAGGTAAGTAGAGTTTCCGAAAAAAAATTTTAAAACAAGTTTTAGAATCTATGCTTTGCTGAAAATGTCCTTGTTTTTTTTATATTTGTCTCCCCACAAAGAATTTACTGGGTTCATTAAGCACAGCTTTCTAACTGATGTGCCCAAATGGGTTGCCCTAATCTCAATATTGAATCCCTCAGCCCTCGGATAATCAAATGGAGCTGGGACCAGCCTGAGCTCCCAAGATGGCTATCTCTGGCTATGAGCAGAATCTAAATTTGCTATTTAATATGTGCCAAGATGTTTAAAAGTTTGTGAAGTTCCGCCTTTGAGAATCATCCTTCAGCACATTGTTTCTCCCTGATACATATGGAAATATGCTGTAAAGTCCTTCTAACATGTCCCAACAATGTCCTGGAAGTAGCTTGTCTTCTCAGTGCGGCTGGAACTCAGGTAAGTACCCCTGAACAGGGCTGTATCACAACAGCTGCCCCAGCAGCTCATGACTCTGCAATCACTGTGCTATTGTTGGTGCTATTAATATTTAAGCAGGAGGCTTGGTGTAGCTGCCTGCTGAAACCCAGGCAGACTCAAGCCATGTGGCTGATACTCCTGTCCTACTGTCAATGTGGCTAATGCTATTTATGCCAACTCCTCTGCAGGCCACAGTAGTCCTTCTCCATGTCACAGTCTGTTAAAGATTCTCCTCATTGAAAGGCCAGGCACGCTGGCTCACACCTGTAATCCCAGCACTTTAGGAGGCTGAGGTGGGTAGATGATTTGAAGTCAGGAGTTCGAGACCAGCCTGGCCAACATGATGAAACCCCATCTCTACTAAACATACAAAAAAATTAGCCGAGTGTGGTGGCGCATGCCTGTAATCCCAGCTACTCGGGAGGCTGAGGCAGGAGAATCACTGGAACCTGGGAGGCAGAGGCTGCACTGAACCGAGATCGCACCATTGCACTCCAGCCTGGGCAACAGAGTGAAACTCTGTCTCAAAAACAAAAAAAAAGATTCTCATCGAACTGGCTTTCAGATGCACTTGAAAAATCTTTTCCCTGCACTCAAGCTTGCCAGTCAACTGTATTTGTTCCAAGAGGCCCCACTCTAAGACCCTGCACCAACAATCTGTTTTCCCCTCTATGTGGAAGTTCAGAAGCCAGCCCACCAGCCCTGTGTCCTATCCTTTTGGTGAGTTATTCCTCCAGGATCTTATTGTACTTTCCAGCTCTTTGCTCAGCCCAGTCCAGACTTGTCTTCAAAACACTGCCCCTTAGAAAGAAAGTGAGTGTGTGTGTGTATGTGTGTGTGTGTGTGTTTATAAGGAAGCAAGGAAGCAGCAGGACTTTCTCAAATGTGTTTCTTCCATCACAGGCATTGTTATACCCTTTGCTATCTCATGGATAACACAGTTTATTGGATTTTTTGAGGTTTGCATTTTCTTGGCCTGGGCTTTTGACCTTGCTTTTGGGAATATGTTTAGGTTACACTGCATGTGCTCAAGTGGGAGCACCATTCCTTGAGGTTTGTACAGAATCTGAACAGCACTATTATTATGAGATTTGGGATCAAAGAGGTGAACTCTTTGAGGAGATCCTAAGGGTTTCCAGCAAGTTATAGAAGAAAGTGTTTTCTTCCTCCTTTCCTTTCTCCTCATTTATTTTTTAAACCAGCTATGTGTTGGCTGATACGAGTCTGAGTGATGTATGCTTATATTCTAAAACGATCAGAAGGGCAGGTGTTCTTTCATTACAAATACTTTCTCCAAATGGCAGTGGCCCAGAGAGATAACTGGCCCACTGGGTAATTATTACCAGAAAGAAGCATTAGATCTCAATTGTTCTTCCTTTCAATTTTCTCCATGTTTATTGCTTTTGATAAGCAGTTGGGTGACTTTTTACTGGTGTATAAATAACCATTTCAAGGCCAGGCGCAGTGAATCACGCCTGTAATCCCAGCACTTTAGGAGGCTGAGGCAGGCTGA
This sequence comes from Homo sapiens, assembly GCF_000001405.40. Taxonomy (NCBI): domain Eukaryota; kingdom Metazoa; phylum Chordata; class Mammalia; order Primates; family Hominidae; genus Homo; species Homo sapiens. The sequence goes on from NC_000008.11 coordinate 80,209,969, forward strand.
TCACTTGAGTCCAGGAGTTTGAGATTAGCCTGGGCAATATGGCGAAACCCCATCTCTACAAAAAAATCAATAGGGCATAAATAAATAAATAACGATTTTACCTAACAGTCTTCCTCATTTATCTACCTTGGAGTTTATTTTGCAGAAATTTTGTGTTGAAAGAAAATGGCAGGAAGTAGAGCTATTCGATGCGGGTTATTTTATGAATGATTTACTAAAAACTGTTGTTGACAAGGAAGTTTCGATATAGCTGCTTTAAAAATTGTCCAGGGGCCAGGAGCAGTGGCTCATGCCTGTTATCCCAGCACTTTGGAAGGCCGAGGTGGGCAGATCACCTGAGGCCAGGAGTTCGAGAGCAGCCTGGCGAACACGAAACCCCGTCTCTATTAAAAATACAAAAATTAGCCGGGCATGGTGTCGGGCGCCTGTAATCCCATCTACTGGGGAGGCTGAGTAAGGAGAATCGCTTGAACCTGGGAGGTGGAGGTTGCAGTGAGCCAAGATCGCACCATTGCACTACAGCTTGAGTGACAAGAGCAAAACTCTGCCTAAAAAAAAAAAAAAGGTCAGGCACAGTGGCTCACGCCTGTAATCCCAACACTTTGGGAGGCTGAGGCGGGTGGATCACCTAAGGTTGGGAGTTCGAGACCAGCCTGACCAACATGGAGAAACCCTGTCTCTACTAAAAATACAAAATTAGCTGGGTGTGGTGTCGCATGCCTGTAATCCCAGCTACTCAGGAGGCTGAGGCAGGAGAATCACTTGAACCTGGGAGATGGAGGTTGCAGTGAGCCAAGATCGTGCCATTGCACTCCAGCCTGGGCAACAAGAGCGAAACTCTGTCTCAAAAAAAAAAAAACTGTCTGGGCTAGGCCAGGGGTGGTGGCTCACACCTATAATCCCAGCACTCTGGCAGGCTGAGGCAGGTGGATCACTTGAGGTCAGGACTTCGAGACCAGCCTGGCCAACATGGTGAAACCCCATCTCTATTTAAAAAAAAAAAAAAAAGCCCTGTGTGGTGGTGTGTGGCTGTAATCCCACTGTAATCCCAGCTACTCAGGAGACTGAGGCACGAGAATCGCTTGAGCCCTGGAGGTGGAGGTTGTGGTGAGTTGAGATCATGCCACTGCACTCCAGCCTGGGCAACAGAGTGTGACTCTGTCTCAAAAAAAAAAAAAGAAGAAGAAGAGGAGGAGGAGGAGGAGGAAGAAAAAATTGTCCAGGTTGCCTTCTATGTCACAGGCTATGAAAAAAAAAAAAATCCCAGGCTAAAAATATGGAGTAGAACTTCATATGGGAGCTCTGGAGATTGGCCATCCATTCCTCTCTCCAGTGGACGTGGGTCAGCCTTCTGGTAAGATCTGATTCCCTGTTCATTTCCTTAGCCGTCACAAAAGTACATAACTCTGTCTTCAGACTAATCATCTCTTGGCAAACTAGAATCACTGTGGAGCACATACTGGCCAGTTGCTATATAGCAGCTTTGTATTACCCAACACATAAGGGAATCCATATCCCTCCAGGGCTATTTGAAGAACATGTAACTGAAAAGCAGGTTAGTTACTTGCCGCATATAGAGTTCAATTAACAAGAGTGAAGTCTGTTACAAAAAAAGTGAATTTATACCCAAGCTAGCTTGGGGAAAGGGGCACAAAACGTCCTGCCTTTAAATGTGCCTCTTCACCTTTAGAGTAGAGAGCGGGCATTTTTATAAGGGAGGGGAGGAAATGAGCAAGGGTGGGATGCCCCTGCTTCCAGGCAGTTATCTACCGGGCAGTTGAGTTGGCGCCTTCCTGGCAGAAGCGAGTTGTAAAAGTGGCCAAGTAGGCATGCTTTTCACATCCCCTCCTAGTGGGTGTGACTTCCGAGGTGACCCCCTGGAGATGGGAGTTCCCTGGGGGCATGCTTTACTTTGCAAATTGATTGTCAGCTCTCGAGGAGAGACCCCTCTTAGAGCTCACAGTTAGACGAACTTGCCCTGTAGGGAATGTCTGGTGAGGGGAGGGGAAAGGTTATATTTGCATTTCTAAAGGGCTACGTAGGTTACAGGGAACAGGGGGAAAAGGAAGAGGAGAGAAAATAATAAAATAATTAAATTATCTCGTAGAAAAATGGGGATACTCGGTTACAGAAACACAGTCCATTCACTTTTTCTGAAAGTCTAAAATCTATCCCTAGACCAAACCAGACCAAAAGAAAGCTGGACCCCATCAAATTGATTGACACAAGGCATACAACGATGTTACACAAAAGGAGGTCGCTAACGCAGATCTGAAAGGTCAGGGAAGCTTTCCAGAGGAAGTGATGTCTAAGGCAGGACCTGAAACACAAGTAGGCATAATAGTAGGCAAAGAAAGATGCAGTAAAAGAGAACCAAGACGTGAGAGAGCGAGCACGGATTGTTAGAGGAACTGAGGACAGTTCAGTGTGGCTGGAGCACCATGTAAGGTAGAGAGTAGCAAGAGATCAAGCAGGCAGGCAGGCAGGCGCCAGATTATGCAGAAACAACGATGTTGAGTGTCTGAACGTTGTCCTGATGGCAATAGGAAGCCATTGGAAAGTTTTATATAAAGGGGATGACAGTCTGAGATATGCCTTTTTGAAAAACTATTGTGGTTGCACTGCAGTGATGGAGGGAACAGTTGGAAAAGACAAGACTGGAAGTTGGAAGACTGCTTGCAAAGCTCTCCTAGTCTAGGTGGGAGACATCAGTAGATGGAGAGAAACTGTTCTATTGTCAGGAACACCATCTGGGTTGCCTTGGAATGCCTGCAGTCACAACCTCTCACTTGGTTTTCATGTTCCCTGTTTGCACCGGCATTTGTGTATTTATAAGGATCACTCAAAGTGGTTTAAAAAAAAAAATGCACAATAGCTAAAGACCACACAAGTTACAGGCATAATTTTGTTTCCTGGGAGATTTTTGGAAAATAGAAAAGACTCCAGTTTCCCATTTTTAATTTTGTTAATCTGGGGCTTACATTATTCAAAAGCTACAACATGCTCAAAGTTTCATATTATGACAAATTAGGAGCCAGCTTCCATTCCTCTCTCTCTTACCTCTCACCTCTGGGGAATAATCAAGTCCTGTAAACACTTCCTAGGAAGTGTCTCACAGTCTTCCCACTCCTCTCTATGCTCCTGCCACTATCACAGTTCAACTTGCATCATCTTTTCCTTCAAAAGACCCCTAATTGTGTCCCTTCCTTCAGGATTCTGCATTTCTAGCCATTTTCCACTCTACAGCCAGAGCGACCCTTCTAAATGTAAAATGATTATGTTCCCCCATCATTCTTTAAATGTTGAAAATGACCCTTCATCGTCCTTGCAATAAAAAGCAGGTCTCTTGGCTGGGCGTGGTGGATCACGCCTGTAATCCCAGCACTTTGGGAGGCCGAGGCAGGTGGATCATGAGGTCAGGAGTTCGAGACCAGCCTGACCAACATGGTGAAACCCCATATCTACTGAAAATACAAAAATTAGCCAGGCATGGTGGCGGGCACCTCTAATCCCAGCTACTCAGGAGGCTGAGGCAGGAGAATCACTTGACCCTGGGAGGCGAGGTTGCAGTCAGCTGAGATGGCCCCACTGCACTCTAGCCTGGGTGACAGAGCAAGACTCTTGTCTCAAACAAAACAAAACAAAACAAAACAAAAGCAGGTCTCTGCTTCTCCTTCTTCAGACTGAACTTTTACCGCTCTCGTCTTGCATTCTCTGCTAAAGCTTTTCTGAACCCCGTTCTCCCTTGTTATAGCTATACCTCAACTCCACGATTCAAGAAAGCTATTCCCCCTACTTGGAATGTGGTGTGTGGTATATTCACCTCTTCTTTTGGTTATCTCTTATTCCTTCTCCCAGCTCTCGGTGTTTGTTGTTGTTGTTGTTGCTGTTGTTGTTTTTTGAGACGGAGTGGCAAAATTTCAGCTCACTGCAACCTCTGCCTCCCGGATTCAAGTGATTCTCCTGCCTCTGCCTCCCAAGTAGCTGGGATTACAGGCGGGTGCCACCACGCCTGGCTAATTTTTGTATTGTTAGTAAAGACAGGGTTTCGCCATGTTGGCCAGGCTGGTCTCAAACTCTTGACCTCAGGTGATCTGCCCACCTCAGCCTCCCCGAGTGTTGGGATTACATTTGTGAGCCACTACGCCCAGCAGCTCTCAGTCTTGTCTCTTCAGTCACAGTTTTACAATTCCCAGACTTGGCTAAATCCCCTTGTGATGTTGTTATAAACATCGATAGTTCCCCTATCAGAATCTCCACCACATTGTTAATTTTTTTAAGTGCATCTCCTTCCTGACTGACCATTCTTGTCTTGTTCCCTTCACATATTTCCTGGTATAGAGAAGGTTAAAAAAAATGCTTTGAATTAAAAATAAATTATGAAACAATCTTGAAAAAGAAGAACCAAGTTGGAAGGCCCACACTTCAATTTTAAAACCTACTACAAAGCAACAATAATCAAGACAGTGTGGTACTGACATATGGATGATATTGTGGTGAACCCCTATTAACCTCAGTTGGGAAGGCACCAGGTTCAAAAGGCCAAAGAGTCCCAGAGCCAGCAAATGAGACATGGGGTTTTATTAGGGGGATTACATACAGGGGAGAGAATCCAGTGGCAGTGGGCTGGGCAAGAAAACCGCAACCACTTGCAAAAAGTACTTTGTAATTTATACAGCATTTGCACTTAATACCCTACCCTTAACAATCCACTTGGCAACATTCATTTAACCCATAACTCAGGGCCTCAAGCCCTGTATGGCCCATGTTCCATGAGACTGGCTGGAGATGCAGATGTTACTCACAGACAAGGAACAAATCTCCAGGTTGGCTATTCCTGAATTCCCTAGCTCAGAACACACATTCAGGTGCATCTGCTATAAAGGCTCATTGGAAGGTTATGCTTGTTATTGCTACCAGGTGCATTTATCCTACGGCTGGATATAGTTCGATGGAATACAGTTGACACTCTGGAAATAAACCCATGATTCTGTGCTCAACTGATTTTTTAACAACAGTGCAAAGACTATACAATGGGGAAAGAATATTGTTTTTAATAAATGGGATTGGAACAACTAGATACCCAGACGCAAAAGAGTGAAGTTGTACTCCTATGTCACATGATATATAAAAATTAACTCAAAATGGATCAAAGACCTAAATGTAAAAAATAAAATTGGCTGGGCACAGTGGCTCACACCTGTAATCACTCCCAGTACTTTGGAAGACTGAGGCAGGAGGATCTCTTGAGGCCAGGGGTTCAAGACCAGCCTGGTCAACAAAGCGAGACCTTGTCTCTAATAAAAAATTTAAAAATAAGCCGGGCACAGTGGCTCACGCCTGTAATCCCAGCACTTTGGGAGGCCGAGGCATGCAGATCATGAGGTCAGGAGATCGAGACCATCCTGGCTAACACGGTGAAACCCCATCTCCACTAAAAATACAAAAAATTATCCAGGCGTGGTGGCGGGCACCTGTAGTCCCAGCTACTCTGGAGGCTGAGGCAGGAGAATGGCATGAACCTGGGAGGTGAAGTTTGCAGTGAGCCAAGATTGCACCACTGCACTCCAGCCTGGGCAACAGAGTGAGATTCCGTCTCAAAAATAAATAAATTAAAAAAAATAAAAAATATGCAGCCATAAAATAGAACGAGATGGGCTGGGAGAGGTGGCTTACGCCTGTACTCCCAACACTTTGGGAGGCCGAGGTGGGTGGATCACTTGAGGTCAGGAGTTCGAAATCAGCCTGGCCAGCATGGTGAAGCCCCATATCTACTAAAAATACAAAAAAAAAAAAAAAAAAATTAGCTGGGCATGGTGGCGCATGCCTATAGTCCCACTTACCTGGGAGGCTGAGGCAGGAGAATGGCTTGAACCTGGGAGGCCGAGGTTGCAGTGAGCCGAGATCACGCCATTGCCCTCCAGCCTGGGCGACAGAGCAAGACTCCGTCTCAAAAAAAAAAAAAAAAAAAGAAGGAACGAGATCAGCCGGGCATGGTGGGTGGCGGCTCACACTTGTAATCCCAGCACTTTGGGAGGCCGAGGTGGGCAGATCACTTGAGGTCAGGAGTTCAAGACCAGCCTGGTCAACATGGTGAAACCCTATCTCTACTAAAAATATAAAAATTGGCCAGGTGCAGTGGCTCACGTCTGTAATTCCAACACTTTGGGAGGCTGAGGCAGGCGGATCACAAGATCAGGAGTTCAAGACCAGCCTGGCCAACATGGTGAAACCCTGTCTGTACTAAAAATAAAAAATTAGCTGGGTGCGGTGGCACATGCCTGTAGTCCCAGCTACTCAGGAGGCTGAGGCAGGAGAATCACTTGAACCCAGGAGGCAGAGGTTGCAGTGAGCCGAGATCACACCACTGCACTCCAGCCTGGGTGACAGAGTGAGACTCTATCTCAAAAAAAAAAAAAAAAAAAAAAATTAGCCAAGCGTGGTGGCACATGCCTGTAGTTCCAGATACTCGGGAGGCTGAGGCAGGAGAATCACTTGAACTGGGGAGGTGGAGGTTGCAGTGAGCCAAGATCGCACCGCTGCACTCCAGCTTGGGCGACAGAGCGAGACTCCATCTCAAAAAGAAAAAGAAAAAAAATAAAAAGAAAGAGATCATGTATTTTGCAAGAACATGGATGGAGCTGGAGGCTATTATCCTTGGCAAACTAACACAGGTACTAAAAAGCAATTAACTCATCTTCTCACTTATAAGTGGGAGCTAAATGATGAGAACTCATAAACACAAAGAAGGAAACAACAGACACTGGGGTCTACCTGAGGGTGGAGGGTGGGAGGAGGGAGAGGAGCAGAAAAATAACCATTGGGTCCTGGGCTTAATACCTGGGTGATGAAATAATCTGTACAACAAACCCCCATGACACGAATTCACCTATGTAACAAACCTTCACATGTATCCCCGAACCTAAAATAAAAGTTTAAAAAATAAATAAAAATAAAAAGTAAAAAAACTAAAACTATAAAACTCTTACAAGAAAACATATGGCTAAATCTTCACGACCTTGGATTTGGCAATATTTTCTCAGATATGACACCAAAAACATAAGCAACAAAAGAAAAAAACAGATAAATAGGACTTCATCAAAATGAAAATATTTTGTTCTCAAAAAACACTATCAAGAAACTGAAGACTCAGAGAATGGGAGAATATTTTTGCAAATCATATATCTGATAAGGGACTTGCAGAACACTTTTTTTTTTTTTTTTTTTTTTTTGAGACAGAGTCTTGCTCTGTCACCCAGGCTGGAGTGCAGTGGTGTGATCTCGACTCACTGCAAGCTCTGCCTCCAAGGTTCATGTGATTCTCACGCCTCAGCCTCCCAAGTAGCTAGGATTACTGGCATGTGCCACCACACCCGGCTAATTTTTTGTATTTTCAGTAAAGACAGGGTTTCGCCATGTTGGCCAGGCTGTTCTCAAACTCCTGACTTCAAGTGATCTTCCCACCTAGGTCTCCCAAAGTTCTGGGATTACAGGCGTGAGCCACCACACCCAGCAGAACTTTTTTTTTTTAAATTCATATAGCAATAATAAAAAGACAACACAGTTTACAAATGGGTTGGATAATTTACAAATGCAAAAGATCTTAATAGACATTTTTCCAAAGAAGATATCAAAATGGCCAATAAACACATTAAAAGATGCTTAATGTCATTACACATTAGGGAATACAAATCAAAACCACAATGAAATATAATTACACACACACCAGGAAGGCTATAATCAAAAAGATTAATAATAACAAGTGTTGGTGAGGATGTGGAGGAATCAGAACCCTCATATATTGCTGGTGAGAATGTTAAGTGGTGACACTACTTTGGAAAATAATCTAATAGTTCCTCAAAAAGTTTAACATAGGCCAGGCGTAGTAGCTCACACCTATAATCCCAGCACTTTGGGAGGCTGAGGTGGGCGGATCAACTGAGGTCAGGAGTTCGAGACCAGCCTGGTCAAAATGGTGAAACCCTGTCTCTACTAAAAATACAAAAATCAGACAGACATGGTGGCACATGCCTGTAATCCCAGCTACTTGGGAGGCTGAGGCAGGAGAATTGCTTGAACTTGGGAGGCGGAGGTTGCAGTGAGCTCAGATCATGCCATTGCACTCCAACCTGGGCGACAGAGGGAGACTTAGTCTCAAAATAAATAAATAAAATAAAATAAAATAAAATAAAATAAAATAAAATAAAATAAAATAAAACTTTAACATAGAGTTACCATATGATCCAGAAATTCCACTCCTAGAGAAATGAAAACATGTGTCCACACAAAAACTTGTACATGAATATTTATACCAGCAATATTCATAATAGCCAAAGGGTGGAAACAACCCAAATTGTTCATCAACTAATACATGGATAAACAACTTTGTGTATATTCATACAATGGAATATTGTTTGGACATTGTCTTAGTTTGCTTTGTGTTGCTAAACAGAATACCACAGATTCGGTAATTTACAAAGAAAATAAATTCATTTCTTACAGTTCTGAAGACTGGGAAATCCAATATCAAGGGGCTCACATCTGGCAAGGGCCTTTGTGCTGTGTCATCCCCTGGTAAAAGGCAGAAGGGCAAGACAGCATGAGAGAGCAAGAGACTGCACTTGCAGGCATAAGCCCTTTTGTAATTATCATTAATCAATTCATGAGGGTGGAGCCCTCATGACCCAAACACCTCCCATTAGGCCCCACCTCCCCACACTGTTGTATTGGAGATTAAGTTTCCAAAACATGCTTTTTGGGGAACACATTCAAACAGTAGCAGCCATAAAAAGAAATGAAGCACTTATACATGCTACAGTATGAATGAGCCTTGAAAACATTCTGCTGAATGCTGAGAGGCTAGTCACAAAAGACCACATACATGATTTCATTTACGTGAAATGTCCATAACAGGAAAATCTGTAGAGGAGGAAAGTAATAATTTAACGGCCGGGCACGTTGGCTCACGCCTGTAATCCCAGCACTTTGGGAGGCCGAGGCGGGCGGATCACGAGGTCAGGAGATTGAGACCATCCTGGCCAACATGGTGAAACCCCGCCTCTACTAAAAATATAAAAAATTAGCCGGGCATGATGGCGGGCGCCTGTAGTCCCAGCAAGTCGGGAGGCTAAGGCAGGAGAATGGCGTGAACCCGGGAGGCGGAGCTTGCAGTGAGCCCAGATTGTGCCACTGCACTCCAGCCTGGGTGACAGAGCAAGACTCCAGTCTCAAAAAAAAAAAAAAAAAAATTTACCTCTAATCACTGCATTAGCTTTATCTCACAAATTTTGATATGTTGTATTTTCATTTTCATTCAGCTTAAAATATTTTCCAATTTCCCTTATGATTTCTCCTTGGGTTCTTCTTTTTTTTTTTTTTTTTTTGAGACAGAGTCTCGCTTTGTCACCCAGGCTGGAGTGCAGTGGTGCAATCTGGGCTCACTGCAACCTCCACCTCCTAGGTTCAAGTGATTCTCATGCCTCAGCCTCCTGAGCAGCTGGGATTACAGGTGCCCACCATGACACCCGGCTAATTTTTGTATTAGTAGAGACAGGGTTTCACCATATTGGTCAGGCTGGTCTTGAACTCCTGACTTCAAGTGATCCAACTACCTCGGCCTCCCAAAGTGCTGGGATTATAGGCGTGAGCCACCGTGCCTGGCCTCTTTTTGGGATATTTAAAAAGGTGTTGCTTAACTTCCAAGTATTTGGGGGTTTTCTGGATAATTTTTTTGGTTTCTTTAAATACAATTATCTTTTGATCTGAAATCATACTATAATTTCAATTCTTTTAATTTATTGATACTTGTTTTATGGCTGAAAATATATTCTATCCTGGTGAATATCTTATGTATACATGAAAAGAATATGTATTATGTTATTGTTGGGTGAAAAATTCTATAAATGCAAACTGAGTGACTGACAGAGGTTTTGTTTTTGTTTCTTTCTTTCTTTGTTTTTGACAGGAGTCTCACCCTGTCACCCAAGCTGGAGTGCAATGGAGTGATCTTGGCTCACTGCAACCTCCACCTCACAGGTTCAAGCGATTCTCCTGCCTCAGCCTCCTGAGTAGCTGGGATTACAGGCATGCACCACCACGCCCGGCTAATTTTTTGTATCTTTAGTAGAGATGGGGTTTCACCATGTTGGCCAGGCTGGTCTCGAACTCCTGACCTCATGATCCACCTGCCTCGGCCTCCCAAAGTGCTGAGATTACAGGCATGAGCCACTGCGCCCAGCCTTGACAGAGTTTTCGAAGTCTTCTACATGCTTTCTGATTTTTCATCCACTTTCTTTTTTGTTTGTTTATTTTTGTTTTTGTTCTTTTTTTTTTTTAATGGAGTTTCACTCTTGTCGCCCAGGCTGGAGTGCAGGTGGCGCGATCTCGGCTCACTGCAACCTCCGCCTCCTGGGTTCAAGCGATTCTCCTGCCTCAGCTTCCCGAGGAGCTGGGATTACAGGCGCACGCTGCCACACCCAGCTAATTTTTGTATTTTTAGTAGAGATGGGATTTCACCATATTGGCCAGGCTTGTCTCGAATTCCTGACCTCATAATCTACCCGCCTCGGCCTCCCAGAGTGCTGGGATTACAGGCGTGAGCCACCGCGCCCAGCCTGTTTTCGTTCTTTTTTGAGACACGATTCCACTCTGTTGTCCAGCTGGAGTGCAGTGGCACAATCAGGACTCACTGCAGCCTCAACCTTCCAGGCTCAGGCATTCCTCCCACCTCAGCCTCCTGGGTAGCTGGGACGATGGGCATGCACCACCACGCCTGGCTAATTTTTTTGTATTTTTAGTAGAGACAGGTTTCTTCATGTTGCCCAGGCTGGTCTCAAAATCTTGGGCTCAAGCGATCCACCTGCCTCAGCCTCACATAGTGCTGAGATTACAAGCGTGAGACCCCACTCCTGGCCCACTTTCTATTGATTACTGAAAATTGAGTATTGAAATTTCTAACTCTAAATGTGGCTTTTTCTATTTCTCCTTTAAGTTCTAACAGTTTTGCTCTATGTTTTTCAAAGTTTTGTTATTGGGTACATACACATTTAAGATTTTAAAATCTTCTTGGGGAATTGAATTTTATCGTTATGAAATCTTCCTTTTATTTCTGTAATATTTCTTGTTTGAAAGCTTATTTCAGGCCTGGCGTGGTGGCTCACGCCTGTAATCCTAGCACTTTGGGAGGCCACAGTGGGCAGATCACCTGAGGTCAGGAGTTTGAGACCAGCCTGGCCAACATGGTGAAACCCTGTCTCTACTGAAAATACAAAAATTAGCTGGGCGTGGTGGTATGCATCTGTAATCCCAGCTGCTGAGGTGGCTGAGGCACAAGAATCACTTGAACCCTGGAGGTGGGGGTTGTAGTAAGCTGAAATCATACCACTGCACTCCAGCCTGGGTGACAGAACGAGACTCTGTCTCAAAGAATAAATAAATAAATTAGCGATTTAAAAAATTAAGAAAATTTTTAAAAAGAAAGCTTATTTCCACTAGTGCCGTGACTCACGCCTGTAATCCTAGCACTTTGGGAGGCCAACGTGGACAGATTGCTTGAGCTCAGGAGTTCAAGACCAGCCTGGACAATATGACAAAACCCCATCTCTACAAAACAATACAAAATATTAGCTGGGCATGGTGGTACATGCCTGTAGTCCCAGCTACTCAGGAGGCTGAGGTGGGAGGATCACTTGAGCCCAGCAGATCGAGGCTGCAGTGAGCTGAGCTCATGCCACTGCACTCCAGCCTGGGTGACAAAGTAAGACCCTCTCTCTTAAAAAATTTTTTTTAAAATAAAGCTCCTTTTGTCTAATATTAATAGAGCCACTTCTAGATTTATTTTGGTTAGTGCTAGCTTAATATATATTAATATATAATTTCTCCCTTTTAGTTTGTGTTTTTAGAACATTACATTTAATGTAGTTATAAAGTGTTCATGCTAAATATACCATTTTTTTTTTTTTTTTTTTGAGATGGAGCTTTGCTCTCGTTGCCCAGGCTGGAGTGCAATGGCACGATTTTGGCTCACCACAATCTCCACCTCCCGGGTTCAAGCGATTCTCCTCCCTCAGCTCCCATGCAGCTGGGATTGCAGGCATGTGCCACCATGTCCGGCTAATTTTGTATTTTTTTAGTAGAGACAGGATTTCTCCATGTTGGTCAGGCTGGTCTCGAACTCCCGACCTCAGGTGATCTGCCTGCCTCGGTCTCCCAAAGTGCTGGGATTACAGGTGTGAGCCACTGCACCTGGCCTAAATCTACCATTTACTGTTTGTCTTCTTCTTTTTTTTTTTTTTTTTTTTTTTTGAGATGGAGTCTCACTGTGTCATCAGGCTGGAGTTCAGTGGTCTGATCTCGACTCACAGCAACCTCCGCCTCCCGGGTTCAAGCGATTCTCCTGCCTCAGCCTCCAGAGTAGCTGGGATTACAGGCATCTACCACCATGCCTGGATAATTTTTGTATTTTCAGTAGAGATGGGGTTTCACCATGTTGGCCAAGCTGGTCTCAAACTCCCGAGCTCAGGTGATCTGCCCGCCTCAGCCTCCCAAAATGCTGGGATTATAATAGATGTGAGCCATGGCACCCAGCTACTCTTTCTATCTATTCCTTTTTTGTCACTTCTTTTGGGTAGACAAATTTTTTTTTTTTTTTCTGTGACAGAGTCTCACTCTGCCACCCTGGCTAGAGTGCAGTGGCCTGATCTCGGTTCACTGCAGCCTCCACCTCTCAGGTTCAAGCGATTCTTGTGCCTTGGCCTTCTAAGTAGCTGGGATTACAGGCATGCACCACCATGCCCAGTTAATTTTTTGTGTTTTTTCTAGAGATGGCGTTTTGCCATGTTGGCCAGGCTGGTCTTGAACTCCTGGCTTCAAGTGATCTCCCTGCCTCAGCCTCCCAAAGTGCTGGGATTACAGGCGTGAGCCACCACATCCAGCTGAAAATTTTTGTAATTCCATCTTATTTGTACTATTGACTCATTAGCTGTATCTCTAAATTTTACTTCTTAGTAGTTGCTCTAGGTTTATAATATGCACTATTAATTTGTTAACAGTCTATCTTCAGATAATATTACACCACTTCACCTGTAGTATAAGAATTGTGGCTGGGTGCGGTGGCTCACGCCTGTAATCCCAACTCCTTGGGAGGCCAAGGCGGGTGGATCACCTGAGGTCAGGAGTTCGAGACCAGCCTGGCCAATATGGGGAAACGACAACAACAAAAAAATTAGCCAGGCATGGTGGCAGGTGCCTGTAATCCCAGCTACTTGGGAGGCTGAGGCAGGAGAATCGCTTGAACCCAGGAGGTGGAGGTTGCAGTGAGCCGAGATTGTGCCATTACACTCCAGCCTGGGCGACAAGAGTGAAACTCCACCTCAAAGAAAAGAAAAGAAAAGAATCGTAATGCCAGGAGCAGTGGCTCATGACTGTAATCCCAGCACTTTAGGAGGCCCAGGTGGGCAGATCACCTGAGGTCATGAGTTTGAGACCAGCCTGGCCAACATGGTGAAACCCCATCTCCACTAAAAATAAAAAAATTAGGCCAGTTACAGTGGCTCACACCTGTAATCCCAACACTTTGGGAGGCCAAGGTGGGTGAATCACCTGAGGTCAGGAGTTCAAGACCAGCCTGACCAACATGGATAAACCGCATCTTTACTAAAAATACAAAATTAGCTGGGCGTGGTGGTGCATGCCTGTAATCCTAGCTACTCAGGAGGCTGAGGCAGGAGAATCCCTTGAATCCAGGAGGCGGAGGTTGCGTTGAACCAAGATTGTGCCATTGCACTTCAGCCTGGGCAACAAGAGCAAAACCCCATCCAAAAAAAAAAAAAAAAAATTAGCCAGGCATGGTGGTGCACACCTGTAATCCCAGCTACTTGGGAGGCTGAGGGAGGAGAATACGTTGAACCCTGGAGGCGGAGGTTGCAGTGAGCCAAGATCATGCCATTGCACTCCAGCCTGAGCAACACAGTCAAACTCCAACTTAAAAAAAAAACAAACAAAAAAAGAATTGTACATGAGTATCCTCCCACGTCCTTGTTCCTATCATTTTTTACCGTGATTGTTATACATTTCATTTCTCCACACTTTATGAGCTTCACAATACCTTGTCACTAATTTATATTTTAAAATTATCTTTTAAAGAATACTAAAAATGAGAAAAAAATTTATATTCAGCAAAATATTTTCTTTTTCCAATATTTACTTTATTCCTTTGTGTCAATTCTCATTTCACCTTGGTATCATTTTCCTTTTCACCTGAAAACTTCTTTATAACATTTTTTATAGAGTTAGTCTAATATTAATATCAATAAAGTATATCAGATTATTTTGAATCTAAAAATATTTTTATCCCACCTTCATTTTTTTTTTAAAGAGATGAGGTCTCATTATGTTGCCCAGGCTGGCCTCAAGTGATCTTCCTGCCTTGGCTTCCAAAGTGCTGTGATTACAGATGTAAGCCACTGAACCCAGCTCCAGCTTCATCAAGAAGTCTTCTGTCGGGCTGGACATGGTGGCTCATGCCCGTAATCCCAGCACTTTGGGAGGTCGAGGTGGTGGATCACCTGAGGTCAGAGTTCAAGACCAGCCTGGCTATCATAGTGAAACCCCATCTCTACTAAAAATACAAAAATTAGCTGGGCATGGTGGCTCATGCCTGTAATCCCAGTTATTCAGAAGGCTGAGGCAGGAGAATCACTTGAACCCGGAAGACAGGGGTTGCAGTGAGCCAACATAGCACCACTGCACTCCAGCCTGGGCGACAGAGCAAGACTGTCAAAAAAAAAAGGAGAAGTTTTCTGTCATTCATTCTTACCTTTGTTCTTCCATACATAATCTTGCTCCACCCTTCCCTCAATTCTGGTTGCTTTAGGACTTTGTCTTTATCACTGGTTTTCAGAAATCTGATGAACATGCACATCAGTGCCATTTTCTTTATATTTCTTCTGCTTGGAGTTTTTTGAGGTTTTTTAATCTGTTGGTTTATGGTTTCATTAAATTTAGGAAATTTCAGGAATTGTTTTTCAAATAATGTTTTTTCCCTTTTCTCCTTATTTTTCTGGAACTCCAACTCCATGTATGTTAGGCAGTTTGATATTGTCTCATAGATCCCTGATAAACAAATAAATAAGTTTGATTTTTGGGTTTTTTTTTTTTTCCAGTCTCTTTTTTTGCCATGTTTCTTTCTTTTTTTTTCTTTTTTTGAGAAGGAGTCTTGCTCTGTCGCCCAGGCTGGAGTGCAGTGGTGCAATCTCAGCTCACTGTAACCTCCACTTCCTGGGTTCAAATGATTCTCCTGCCTCACCTTCCTTAGTAGCCAGGATTACAGGTGCCCATCACCACGCCTGGCTAATTTTTGTATTTGTAGTAGAGATGGGGTTTCACCATGTTGGCCAGTCTGGTCTTGAACTCCTGGCCTCAAGTGATCCACCACCTCGGCTTCCCAAAGTGCTGAGATTACAGGCGTGAGCCACTGCGCCTGGCTGCCATGTTTCATTTTGGATGGTTTCTGTTGTTATGCATTCAGTTCACGCAAAATTCTTTTTCTCTGCAGTGTCTACTCATTTCATCCAGTATATTTTTACTATTACATAGTGTATTTTCATGTCTACAAATTCTATTTTAAAATATCTTCAATTTCTGTCATCATTTTGTTAACGTTTTTCTTTACGTTCTTGAACATGTAAATAATAGCTGTTTTAAAGGTAATTCCATCTTAATTACCATTTCTGGGTCTCTTTCCATTGATTTATCTACAGGTTATGTGTTATATATTCTGCTTTCCATGAATAATAATGTTTCATTGGTTCCTAGATATTCTCAATTTGCATTGTTATATGCTGGGTTTTGTTATACTCCTTTATAAAAATGAACTTTGTTTTAGCATTCAATTAAATTGCTTGTGAATTAATTGACATCAGTGGGACTTCTGGGATATTAGATATTGTCTTCTCCTTTTTTAAATCTGGGTGCTGGTTATGTGGGTATGCTTATTTTGTAAAATTTATCAAACTTATTTATGATTTGTGTATTTTTCTGTTTATATGGTACATTAACATATATTCAATTTTAATACCTTTATTTTAGAAATGTAAACGGGGCTGGGCACAGTGGCTGACACCTCTAATCTCAGCACTTTGGGAGGCCAAATTGGGAGGATTGCTTAAGGCCAGGAGTTCAAAACCAGCCTGAGGCCAGGCACAGTGGCTTACGCCTGTAATTCCAGCGCTTTGGGAGGCTGAGGCAAGTGAATCACTTGAGGTCAGGAGTTCGAGACCAGCCTAGCCAATGTGGTGAAACCGTCTCTACTAAAAATACAAAACTTAGCCAGGTGTGGTGGCGGGGGCCTGTAGTCCCAGCTACTTGGGAGGCTGAGGTAGGAGAATTGCTTGAACCTGGGAAGCAGAGGTTGTGGTGAGTAAGATTATGCCACTGCACTCCAGCCTGGATGACAGAGTAAACTCTGTCTCAACAACAACAACAACAACAACAACAACAACAAACAGCCTGGGCAATATAGTGAGACCCCATCTCTACCAAAAAAAAAAAAAAGTAATTGGGATAGAGCATTCCCCTTTTTTTCTCTCCACTTTGATTCTCCCCAGAAGATGATGGGAGGCTCAAAGCATATCAATGCACTCGAAGGAGTGATTCTGGGTAAGTGAGTATGCACATTCTCCCCTACGTAAATCATCCCATGATCTAGACTTGGAGTAGACCAGATTATGGCCTAATATTCAAGCTAATATCTTCAATTCAGTTTTGCAAATCACAGGATGGATGATTTGTCCCTGTCTGACAGGCTTTGATGTCTTCTCCTTTATTGATTTGAAACTTAGGAGGTAGAAAGAAGAGTATTTTCTTTTCTTTCCTTTTCTTTTGAGACAGAGTTTCGCTCTTGTTGCCCAGACTGGAGTGCAATGGCACAATCTTGGCTCACCACAACCTCTGCCTCCTGGGTTCAAGTGATTCTCCTGCCTCAGCCTCCCGAGTAGCTGGGATTACAGGCACGTGCCACCACGCCCGGCTAGTTTTGTATTTTTAGTAGAGACGGGGTTTCTCCATGTTGGTCAGGCTGGTTTTGAACTCCCGGCCTCAGGTGATCCACCCGCCTTGGCCTCCCAAAGTGCTGGGATTACAGGTGTAATCCCACCACCCCTGGCGAAAGAAGAGTATTTTCAACAAGACCTCAAATGAAAACAGACATTCTAGTAATAAATGGGACTTGACATCTTTGACCCCTCCATGTGACTAAAATTTAAGTTTCATTTTAAAACATGAAGATAATGATATGTCTGTTTCTGAACCACTGGATTGAAAATTTACACATGGATGAGTTCCATAATTTCACATGTTTAATTGGTCATTAAGGCTACCTTAGCAACTGCTACATCAAATGATAGCTTTTGACTGGGCATGGTGGCTCACACCTCCCAAAGTAGTCCCAGCATTTTGGGAGGCCGAGGCAGGTGGATCACTTGAGGTCAGGAGTTCGAGACCAGCCTGGCCAACATGGGAAAACCCCGTCTCTACTAAGAATACAAAAATTAGCCAGGCATGGTGGTGCGTACCTGTAATCCCGGCTACTTGGGAGGATGAGGCAGGAGAATCGCTTGAACCCGGGAAGTGGAGGTTGCACTGAGCCGAGATCATGCCACTGCACTCCAGCCCAGGCAACAGAGCAAGACTCCGTGGCTGAAAAAAAAAAAAAAAAGTAGCTTTTACAATTCTGACCTATAGAGAGCTTTCTTAAAGCAACTCAAAGGCCAGGTGCAGTGGCTTACGCCTGTAATCCCAACATTTTGGGAGGCCTAGGCTGGTGGATCACCTGAGATCAGGAGTTTTAGACCAGCCTGACCAATATGGTGAAACCCCGTCTCTACTACAAATAGAAAAATTAGCTGGGCATGGTGGTACACGCCTGTAGTCCCAGCTACTCAGGAGGCTGAGACAGGAGAATTGCTTGAACCCAGGAGGCGGAGGTTGCAGTGACCCGAGATCGTGCCACTGCGCTCCAGCAGCCTGGGTGACAGAGCAAGACTCTGTCTCAAAAAAAAAAAAAAGCAATTCAATAGCATTAAGTAAAAAGTGATACCTTTATGAGCTACTAAAATGTGTATATGGCCAGGCATGGTGGTGCAGGCCCATAATCCCAGCACTTTGGGAGGCTGAGACAGGCAGATCACTTGAGCCCAGGAGTTCAAGATTAGCCTGGGCAACATGGAAAGACCCTATCTCTACAAAAAATTTTAAAAATAGTAAAAGACAATCTGTATATATCAAATAAAAATTCCCAGCCAAGTATGAAATTCTCTAAAGCTTTATACATGAAATGTATAACATGTAATTATCCTTTATTATAGCTAGAGTGGGTTTCTCTTATGAATTGTGGTACAATGTCCAAATTTTTGATCTGATCATTTCTGAACAACAGAAGGAAGACATCAGTGACAGCAACAACATATACAATTTAAACTTTCATATGTATGGTCTGAATAAGAAAATTACATTTCAATAACAAAAAAGGTGTTTTTTTCAATCACACTGCTAAGTTTTTGAGATATCAAATTGAGTAAAACATGGCCTAACATCTTAAGAAGTTTACAGTCAGGTAAGAACAATTCATTTTTTCATTCAGCAATATCATAGCACATCTGTATTGTGCCAGGGAATTTTCTAAGAGCTGGGGGTGGAGAGGGGTGCACAGTGAGCAAAATCGACAAAGATCCCCATCCTTATGGGAATTTACATTCTCATGGAAAAAATAAACAATAACCAAATAAATATATATATTGGATGGTAAAAAATGCAACTGAGCAAAAGTAGAAGGAGGATAAAGTGTGTGTGTGTTTATGTGTGTGTGTTGTGTTGGGGAGGACACGGTTGTCATTTCTTTTCTTGGATAGTGGAAAACCTCAATATATTTAGACTTAGTGAGCTGCAATCCACTTATATGATCCCAGTTTTGTTGGCACCACCTAAAGCATCATGGTAGGTCTAGTCTAAAGTATGCCTTCTTCTCTCCCAAGCAAGTTGACCTTGGCCATGTCAGGGTCCCAGAGCTTCTTCACATCTTGCCGGATCTGTCCTGACAACCGCAGTAAACACCAAGTGCTGGTGCCTTCTACCTTCTTTATGACCCACTGGGAAATCAGGGGCAAACTGATAGTGGCACAATGGTTGTTCTTCTTTCTGGAGAACGCTTTTTTAGATTTTGCTTTGTATAACTTACCCATAAACAGTACTTTCACTTTAAGGATTTCAGCTGTATTTAAATACAAACAGGGAGCTGGCTGCAGTGGCCCAAACCTGTAATCCCAACACTTTGGGAGGCCAAGGCAGGAGGATTGCTTGAGGCCAGGAGTTCCAGACCAGGCTGGGCAACATAGAGAGACTCTGTCCTTACAAAATCTTTAAAAATAGCTGGGGTGGGCCAGGCACGGTGGCTCACGCCTGTAATCCCAGCACTTTGGGAGGCCAAAGCGGGCAGATCACGAGGTCAGGAGATCGAGACCATCCTAGCTAACACAGTGAAACCCCATCTCTAATAAAAACACACAAAAAAGATTAGCTGGGTGAGGTGGCACGCGCCTGTAGTCCCAGCTACTCAGGAGGCCGCGGCAGGAGAATAGCTTGAGCCCGGGAGGCAGAGGTTGCTGTGAGCCAAGATCTCACCCCTGCACTACAGCCTGGCGACAGAGCGAGACTCCATCTCAAAAAATAAATAAATATATAAAAATAAAAGAAGTGAAGTGATAGGAATAATATTGGGTTGGTGCAAAAGTGATTACGGTTTTTGCCTTAAAAGCAGTGACATTAGGCCGGGTGCGGTGGCTCACGCCTGTAATCTCAGCACTTTGGGAGGCCGAGACGGGCGGATCCCCTGAGGTCGGGAGTTTGAGACCAGCCTGAACAACATGGAGAAATCCCATCTCTACTAAAAATATGAAATTAGCCGGGCGTGGTGGCACATGCCTGTAATCCCAGCTACTCAGGAGGCTGAGGCAGGAGAATCACTTGAACCTGGGAGGCGGAGGTTGTGGTGAGCCAAGATCACGCCATTTGCACTCCAGCCTGGACGACAAAAGCGAAACTCCGTCAAAAAAAAAAAAGCAGTAAAAGCAATTACATCAACCTAATAGCAGGGCATGGAAGCTATTTTGCCTGAGTAAAGATTCCCAGCTTTGTACTGGGCAAGTTACTGAACTTCTCTTTGCCTCAGTTTCCCACTTAAAAATTGAGATAATAATAGTGCCTCTGTTATGGGGATTAAATAAGATAATACATAGGAGAGAGGAGTGGTTCTGAAACTTTAACTTGTATACAGATCTCTTTTAAATGCAGATTCTGGGATGTCCCCAAGAATCTGCATTTCTAACAAGCTCCTGGGGCTGCTGACTCCACTGCTCCACAGACCACACTTCTGTGTCAAGGTTGTAAGGCACGTAGAACACTGCCTGGCACACAGAGTGCGCTGAATAAATTTAACTATGGTTATATTTTCACACAGTTGAGTTGGCAGGGAAACCAGATTAAAAAGCCAAAAAGTTTCTCTCCTTCTCTATCAGATGTTTCCTGACGATACTGTATCCTTGAATAGAATTCTACTGCATTCTGAGTTCAAGTATGAATGTGCATATGGATAACAGGTTTTCATTTTTAAAAGCTCTCAATAGCAGCTTGAAGCACTATTCTTGAATTTATGGTTTTAAGCCGTATCAAAGTACCTAATACCATGTGCATTGCAGGCATTTATTTAATACTTGGATCAAAGAATGTCCAGACTATCTGAATAAATCATCCCTGTAGGAATGAACAGTGCTGCTGGAGTTCGGTTTTATTTAATGTGGTGGCATGTATGCTAAACTACGACTTCAAGAATGTGGCAATTGTGTTCTAAAATCCAAAGTATGTTACACTAATCTAATTGCTAGAATCTCATGCAAGGCTGACTCTAACCCAACTACTTCCTTCTTCCTGTGCGGCTCAACCCAGACTTTACATGCTAACAGTGCCCTCTACTGTTCAGCAACCAGTCGGTGCTACTAAATCCAATTCATAAAGCTGCAAAATCAGAATTCAGACAACTGGGTTCACTTACCACACAAACGTAGCTTGCATCTGCCTTTATAGGAGAGAGGGCGGCTGTCAAGGAGCGGTCCATACTGGGAGGGGCTGAGACTGATTTCTGGGCCACCAATGTGAAGCTGACCAGGATCCCCAGAGAGGAGAGAAAAGCTCGTTGTTGTTTTCCTCTGAAGCACTAACATCCTACAACCTCCCTTTCTCCACACTGACCTGGTCTTCACCCTTTGTCCTCCCCCTCCTTAAAGTTAGTTGCATCGTCAGCCTTTTCTACCTGACCCTCATTCCACCTGCCAAACTGTAATTCTCCTTTGGAGAAATCTGGAAACACAAAAGTCCTCAGGATACAGCCTCTTGCCACTAAGCATGGGCAACTGTTCTGTGACTGCGATTAGATCCTTTAGTTTGTAGCACCTCAACTTTTGTTTTCAAGGCTTTTGAGTATATTCACAGAGGCGCGCAACCATCACCGTAATCTAACTTTGAGCATTTTCATCACCCCAAAAAGAAATTCTGAGCCGGGCACAGTGGCTCATGCCAGTCATCCAAGCACTTTGGGAGGCCGAAGTGGGAGTGAGAGGTGACAGTGTGCTGGCAGTCCTCAGAGCCCTCTCTTGCTCTCGGCGCTTCCTCTGCCTGGGTTCCCACTTTGGCGGCACTTGAGGAGCCCTTCGGCCCGCCGCTGCACTGTGGGAGCCCCTTTCTGGGCTGGCCAAGGCCAGAGCCGGCTCCCTCAGCTTGCAGGGAGGTGTGGAGGGAGAGGCGCGAGCAGGAACCGGGGCTGCGAGCAGCGCTTGCGGGCCAGCTGGAGTTCCGGGTGGGCGTGGGCTTGGCGGGCCCCGCGCTCGGAGCGGCCGGCCGGCTCTGCCGGCCCCGGGCAGTGAGGGGCTTAGCACCCGGGCCAGCGGCTGCGGAGGGTGTACTGCGTCCCCCAGCAGTGCCAGCCCACCGGCGCTGCGCTCGATTTCTCGCCGGGCCTTAGCTGCCTTCCCACGGGGCAGGCCTCGGGACCGCAGCCCGCCATGCCTGAGCCTTCCCCCGCCTCCGTGGGTTCCTGTGCAGCCCGAGCCTCCCCGACGAATGCCTGCCCCCTGCTCCACGGCGCCCAGTCCCATCGATCACCCAAGGGCTGAGGAATGCGAGCGCATGGCGCGGGACTGGCAGGCAGCTCCACCTGCAGGCCCGGTGCGGGATCCACTAGGTGAAGCCAGGTGGGCTCCTGAATCTGGTGGGGACGTGGAGAGTGTTTATATCTAGCTCAGGGATTGTAAACACACCAATCAGCACCCTGTGTCTAGCTCAGGGTTTGTGAGTGCACCAATCGACACTCTGTATCTAGCTGCTCTGGTGGGGCCTTGGAGAACCTTTATGTCTAGCTCAGGGATTGTAAACACACCAATCAGCACCCTGTGTCTAGCTCAGGGTTTGTGAGTGCACCAATCGACACTCTGTATCTAGCTGCTCTGGTGGGGCCTTGGAGAACCTTTATGTCTAGCTCAGGGATTGTAAACACACCAGTCAGCACCCTGTGTTTAGCTCAAGGTTTGTGAGTGCACCAATCAACACTGTGTATCTAGCTGCTCTGGTGGGGCCTTGGAGAACCTTTATGTCTAGCTCAGGGATTGTAAACACACTAATCAGCACCCTGTGTTTAGCTCAGGGTTTGTGAGTGCACCAATCGACACTCTGTATCTAGCTGCTCTGGTGGGGCCTTGGAGAACCTTTATGTCTAGCTCAGGGATTGTAAATACACCAATCAGCACTCTGTATCTAGCCCAAGGTTTGTAAACACACCAATCAGCACCCTGTGTTTAGCTCAAGGTTTGTGAGTGCACCAATTGACACTGTGTATCTAGCTGCTCTGGTGGGGCCTTGGAGAACCTTTGTGTGGATACTCTGTATCTAACTAATCTGATGGGGACGTGGAGAACAGTTATATCTAGCTCAGGGATTGTAAACGCACCAATCAGCACCCTGTCAAAATAGACCACTTGGCTCTACCAATCAGTGGGATGCGGGTGGGGCCAGATAAGAGAATAAAAGCAGGCTGCCCGAGCCAGCAGTGGCAACCCGCTCGGGTCCCTTTCCACGCTGTGGAAGCTGTGTTCTTTTGTTCTTTGCAATAAATCTTGCTGCTGCTCAGTCTTTGGGTCCACACTGCTTTTATGAGCTGTATGTAACACTCACCGCGAAGATCTGCAGCTTCACTCCTGAGCCCAGCGAGACCACGAGCCCACCGGGAGGAACGAACAACTCCAGACACGCTGCTTTAAGAGCTGTAACACTCTCCACAAAGGTCTGCAGCTTCACTCCTGAGCCAGTGAGACTACGAACCCACCAGAAGGAAGAAACTCCGAACACATCTGAACAGCAGAAGGGAAAGACTCCAGATGCACCGCCTTAAGAGCTGTAACACGGCCGGGCGCGGTGGCTCACGCCTGTAACCCCAGCACTTTGGGAGGCCGAGGCGGGCGGATCACGAGGTCAGGAGATCGAGACCATCCCGGCTAAAACGGTGAAACCCCGTCTCTACTAAAAATACAAAAAATTAGCCGGGCGTAGTGGCGGGCGCCTGTAGTCCCAGCTACTTGGGAGGCTGAGGCAGGAGAATGGCGTGAACCCGGGAGGCGGAGCTTGCAGTGAGCCGAGATCCCGCCACTGCACTCCAGCCTGGACGACAAAGCGAGACTCCGTCTCAAAAAAAAAAAAAAAAAAAAAAAAAAAGCTGTAACACTCAGTGCGAGGGTCCGCGGCTTCTTTCTTGAAGTCAGTGAGACCAAGAACCCACGAATTCCGGACCCAGGAGGATTGCTTGAACTCAGGAGTTCGAGACCAGCCTGGGCAACAAAGTATAGTAAGACCCTGTTTCTGCAAAAAATGAAAAATGAATTAGCTGGGTGTGGTGGTGTGCACATGTAGTCCCAGCTACTGGG
The DNA here is from genome assembly GCF_000001405.40 of Homo sapiens. Lineage (NCBI taxonomy): Eukaryota > Metazoa > Chordata > Mammalia > Primates > Hominidae > Homo > Homo sapiens. The sequence continues at coordinate 80,233,986 of NC_000008.11, forward strand.
GAAGCTGAGGTGGCAGAATTACTTGAACCCAAGAGGTCAAGGCTGCAGTGAGCCCTGGCAGCACCGCTGTAGTCCAGCCTGGGTGACAGAATGAGACTGTCTCAAAAAATAAAAAAATTTTGTACCGATTAGTATCCACTTTCCATTCTCCTACCCATTGCCCATCCCTGAACAACCATTAATCTACTTGGTGTTTATAAATTTGACAATTCTAGACATTTTGTATAGATTGAGTCATATAATATGTGGCCTTTTGTGAATGGCTTGTTTCACTAACAATGATTCAAAGTTGTAGCATATATGAGTATTTCATTCCTTTTCATTGCTGAATAATATTCCATTGTATGAATATGCCATATTTTACTTACCCATTTGCCAGTTGGTGGACATTTGGGTTGTTTCCACTTTTTGGCTATTATAAGTAATGCTGCTGTAAGTGTTAATATGCAAGTTTTTGTGTAGACTTACATTTTCACTTCTCTTCAGTAGATATCTAGGGATGGAATTACTGGTTCATATGGTAAGAAAACTTCGTATCCCACCCCCAACTAAGAATAAAGATTAACAGGCCCAGCGCAGTGGCTTACACCTGTAATCCCAGCACTTTGGGAAGCCAAGGCAAGTGGATCACCTCAGGTCAGGAGTTTGAGACCAGCCTGGCTAACATGGTAAAACCCTCTCTCTACTAAAAATACAAAAATCAGCCATGTGTGGTGGTGCACTCCTGTAATCCCAGCTATTTGGGAGGCTGAGGCACAAGAATCACTTGAACCTGGGAGGCGGAAGTTGCAGTGAGCCAAGATTGCGCCACTGAGCTCCAGCCTGGGTGACAGAGCAAGACTCTGTCTCAAAAAAAAAAAAAAAAAAAAAAAAGAACGAAAGATTAACAGAGAAGAAAATTACGTTATCCTGATGACTGCTAAATACAGTCTTAATAGGATTATGATGAAGAGGTATTTAACAAATGATTCAGCCTTGATTCTTCAGGACCAAGAGCCCAGGTCTGATCTCTTTTTTTCTTGACAGTTCTAAGCATGGCCACCAGCATAAGTGTTACACAATCCTTCAAAGCATATTTTTCTAGCCCACTACGTAGAGTCACTCTCACTTGGAATTTTATTATTTCTAAGCTTTCCTAGAAGCAGGCAGAGTAGTAATTGTTATTTGTTTTTTGTTGTGGTTGTTGTTACTGTTGTTGTTGTTGTTTGAGACAGGGTCTAACTCTGTTGCCCAGGCTGGAGTGCAGTGGTGTAATCTCGGCTCACTGCAACCTCCGTCTCCTGGGCTCAAGCGATCCTCCCACCTCTGCATCAGTCCTGTAGCTGGGACTACAGGTGCAGGCCACCACACTCGGCTATTTTTTATAGAGGCGAGGTCTCTCTATGTTGCCCAGGCTGGTCTTGAACTCCTGGGCTCAAGCGATCTGCTGGCCTTGGCCTCCCAAAGTGCTGGGATTACAGATGTGAGCCACAGCACCTGGCCCAGTCATCCCTATTATATGATTTGTGAGGTTTTGTTTTTTCAAAGCCATAATATCCTATTAGTTAAATAATCAAGTAGAAATACCTCTTGAGCATTGACTCTCCACACAGTAAAGTGGCAACAACAGAAGAGGTAAGACAGAGCTCCTGTCCTGGAGGAGTTTATAAGCCTGTTGGGAAGAAAACTAAAATTGCAACTCAAAATATCACATAAGTGTACAAACATTTTCAGCAAGTCATTGTCTATAGAGCAGTGATAGCCAACGTTTCCAAGTCAAAGCAAACATAGACTATGAACATATTTCTATGGACACTGGGATGAACAAAGGGGCCTGCTGAGGAGAGGCCCCTGGCCTGCGATGGCCAGGCACCCCCACCTCCCTGATCTCACTACCACCTCTCACTGATAACCTATTGGGGCACATCCCAGTGGCAGCACACTTGTGGAAATCTTTTTTTTTTTTTTTTTTTTTTTTTTTGATACAGAGTTTTGCTCTTGTCACCCAGGCTGGAGTTCAATGGTGCTATCTTAGCTCACTGCAACCTCCGCCTCCCGGGTTCAAGCAATTGTCATGCCTCCTGAGTAGCTGGAATTACAGGAACCCGCCACCACGCCCGGTTAATTTTTGTATTTTTAGTAGAGATGGGGTTTCACCATGTTGACCAGGCTGGTCTTGAGCTCCTGACCTCAGGTGATCCACCCACCTTGGCCTCCCAAAGTGCGGGTATTACAGGCGTGAGCCACCGCGCCTGGCCAACTTGTGGAAATCTCTAGTTCACAGGATAACTTCCAAACATTTTTGCATGGCATTCAAGGCTCTCACAAACTGGCCTTAATCTACCTTTCCAACCATTTCTCCCATGAGCCCTCCACACCTAACAACCTGTCAGCTCACTGTCTTCAGAACATTCTGGGTACCCTCCCTGAAATGCGTTACCCTCCCCAAAATGAGCCCTCAGTCAATATTTATTCACTGGTTGATTCTCATCCCTACACTTTCTCTCACATAACTCTCATCAACTATTCAAATCCCTTCAAGTCCTCATCAAGTCCCCTGTCCCGGAGAGGCCTTCTCTGTCCCCTCCAGCCCACAGGAGTTGTTTCTTTCTCTGCATGCTCATGCTCATGTCTTTTAGTATTGACTCAACATCTTTGACCTGTGACAATACATAGCCTCATAGTTATTAAACTTTCAAGGGTATAACTGTGGCCTGCCCAGCCAGAGCCTAGACCAGCTCCTTTTGAGCATACATCGTGTCTCCAGCTGGGTGTCCATAGCACCTTCAGAAAGCCTGGGTAAAAGGATCAGGGAAGGGGGCTGGCCTAGACAGGTGCTTAGTGCAATGCTACCCCATTGCCATACAATCTGCTTTTCACCTATTACCCATTTCTTCAGTGCTTAGGTATTTACGTGCTTTCTCAGAACCTTTAAACAAAACCAAAACACCGTCTTGACAGAATAACATAAATTGAAACTATCCTGGACTGAACCAGGGTGTAAAGGTGACTATATTAACCCACAGAAGGCTGGGGCAGAGTACAAATTAACAGGCCCGTCTGTATGCTCAGCAGTAGCAGAAGGAGAAGGAGAGAGAGGGTGAGAGGGAGGAGGAAGAGGGAGAAAAGGGAAAAGAGGGAGAGTAGGGGGAGGAAGAAGAAGAGAGACAGAGTTTCACCATGTTGCCCAGGCTGGTCCCAAACTCCTGGGCTCAAGCAGTCTGCCTGCCTTGGCCTCCTGAAGTGCTGGGATTACAGGTTTGAGCCATGGTGCCCAGCCTAGCAATTTGTTTTCCTACTTACTGATTCCAAAATCTGCCCAGAATGCACCTGCGATCCTGGTACCTGGAACCACAGGCTGGCCACCCCAATCCTAATGGCACCTGTGATCAACAGCTTCTCTTTTCTAGAAACACGGCCAAAAAGGTGTTAGATCAAGAAGGAAATTATGGACTTTTGAAAACAGAGAAAAAGAGGCTGGGCACAGTAGCTCATGCTTGTACATCACAATATTTTGGGAAGCCAAGACAGCGTGATCACTTGAGCCTAGGAGTTTGAGACCAGACTGGATAATAAAGTGAGGCCCCTGTCTCTACAAAAAATTTAAAAATTAGCTGGGTGTGGTGGCATGTGGCTACAGTCCTAGCTACTTGGGAGACTGAGGTAGCAGGAGGATCACTTGAGCCTAGAAGATCGAGGCTGCAGGGAGCCATAACTGCGCCACTGCACTCCAGCCTGGGCAACAGAGCCAGACTCTGTCTCAATAAATAAATAAATAAATAGTTGGGTGCGGTGGCTCATGCCTGTAATCCCAGCACTTAGGGAGGCAGAGGCGGGCAGATTACCTGAGGTCAGGAGCTCGAGACCAGCCTGGGCAACATGGTGAAACCCTGTCTCTACTAAAAATACAAAAATTATCCTGGCGTGGTGGCGGGCATCAGTAATCCCAGCTTCTCAGGAGGCTGAGGTAGGAGAATCGCCTGAACACAGGAGGCAGAGGCTGCAGTGAGCTGAGATGGTGCCACTGCACTCCAGCCTGGATGACAGAGTGAGACTCCATCTCAAAATAAATAAATAAAACACAGAGAATCAAGAAGGGAAATGATGTTCATTTGTGAATGTTCCAGTGCTTTCTGTGGGCCATGCATTGTGGCAAAACCATGACCAATGTGAAGAGGAGCCTTCAGCCAGCTCACAGTGCAGGGGAGTGGGGAGGTGAAAACAACAAGGAGACATTTTAGCTGGGGAAGAATAGCACCAAGAGAGCGACCCCTCACCTTTGTACTTTAAATGTGTTCCACTTCATTGAATGGGGGAAATGAGCCTGGCAGAAGTTGGAGATGAGACTAGTACAGTGTGGCCTCTGCACCCAGGGCTTGGAGTTAGAAGAGGGATGGGTGTTCTGGATCCACAGCAGTTGATGGAACTTGTGCCCTCCCCTGCCCATCCCCCAGCTGCGTTGGAAATGCCACCACACTGGGATCCCTGGCTAACACAGCTGAGTGAGACACTGAGGGAAGTAGCAACCCACCCTCCCATCTCGAGGAAATGTTGCTTTATGGTGCACGAGTGGTGGTGGCTGCAGTGGAGCAGGAGGCTTAGCCTGAGCATCATTCCATTTTGCCAGATTTCAGTAGCCGCATCAGAGCTCTGGTTTCAGTAACCATGGTGTCAGCTGTGGGACTCTGGAGGCATCCAGCACGAGGAGTGTAGACTCTTCCAGCCTCAGTTCCGGCTTCTGTAAGTGAGGTAAGTGTATCTGGGGCTACCCCTTCGGATATACATGTGCATTCCTGGCACTCAGGTTCATAGCAGGGGAGTGGCCTCTGTCAAGGGTGAAGAAGCCCATCAAGGAAGATGGGACACCATGTGGAATGACATCATTTATACCCCAAGCAAAGGAAGCAGGATGTGTGGATAACATATATATATAAATATAAAATATTACATTACAATATAACATAATCAGTGTAATAACAAATATGTATAGGACACTGTGGGTGGACCTAATCAAGGCCCTGTGTACAACTAACCAAGTTGACACTGCACATCTCCAAGCCACAGAACTGTGCAGTGTCTAAGGTGGCCCTGTACCTAACCAGTTATATGTTATTAGCCCCATGTTAAGAGGCAGTGGCATATTGTAGTGGACACTATGCACATTTAAAAGTATCTGCTGTGTGATCTTGGGCAAATTCTAATTGACGTTCTGTAAAATGGGAATATTACCTATTTTAATGTATTGTCGCATTGTGATAATACATGCAATGGCTTACCCAGCACTATTTCAGATACATAGTAAATTATTTTTAAAATGTTAGCAGATGTATTTAAGCACAGGGAAACAAACCCAGAAAGAATGATTTGACCACATCAAAACCAATGACAAAAGTGAAGCCCGAGCCTGAATCTTCTGATTTTCTATCCACCAGTGGGTTTTCTCCCAAGGAAGCAATTCCCAAGACAAGAATTGTTTGAGAAAACTGCAACTGGATTTGCCTATACATGCAGCAGTAAACTTCAGTGAGCACCTGACCCTATTTTCAGGAGCAGCAGAAAGGCACATTTACCCCACACAGGTAAGAAGTGGTTTTCCTCCTCTGTAGCCCTCCTTTCTCCGGCCTTCCATTGGAGATCGGAAAGTCTTAGGAAAATGAGAGAGTATGGGTCACTATTTTCTATTTTCAAGTTTTCAGATCTTTAATCTGCAAATTTAGGTGATCCCAGCTCCGGAAAGAGCATCACACTTTTTTTTTTTTTTTTTTTTGAGACAGAGCCTCAGTCTGTCGCCTAGGCTGGAGTGCAATGTCACAATCTCGGCTCACTGCAACCTCGACCTCCCGGGTTCAAGTAATTCTCCTGCCCCAGCCTCCTGAGTAGCAGGGACCACAGTACAGGCAGCGCCACCACGCCTGGCTAATTTTTGTATTTTTAGTAGAGACGGGGTTTTGCCATGTTGGCCAGGCTGGTCTCCTGACCTCAAGCTATCTGCCCAACTCGGCCTCCCAAAGTTCTGAGATTACAGCATGAGCCACCACGCCGGCCACTTTTGACTTTTTTGACCAGCAAGCTTCCATCTGGAGCCTAGGCTCTCTTCTTTAGGTGCCCACAGCCCCAGGGGTGCACAGGCTGCTGAGCAGCTGCGGGCCCGCGGGGCTGGGAGCCCACCAGGGCCGCGTGTCCTGTGTGGCGCACAGTCCCAGTCATCCTAGGAGGCAGCCCTGAGTTCACACCTTCTCGTTCCTCTTTGTCAGAGCTCGGTTAGTGAGTGGGACACTAAAATAGCACTGCAAACATAATGAGAAAATGAAAACTGAGTTTACCAGAACTGCTTTCAGAGAAAGAGCTGGAAGCATTGGAGGGAATTCTTTGATAAGCTGCTTTGAGATGTGGTGGTGGGGGTGATACTCTCATGGGGGCAAACCTAATCTGTAACAGCAAAAGATCACCAAGCTGCCTTCCAAAAATGTCCCTGGATTGCAAGGCTGTGTTTTCCCAAGAGAATGGAAATTTGCCTTCAAAGGAGAGTTTGGTCACTGTCCCCAGGGAGGCTTCTTCGCAGTCTTTCAACATTCGGCAGGAAACCTATCAGTGTCCGGGTGACTACCTATTAACCTGCCCTGATTATTAACTGTGCCCAGGTCGAGACAGCATCAGGGTTGTGGTTCTACCAGGCCGTCTCTTTGCAGTCCTCGGCTTCTGTCAAAGTTGAACGCCATCCACCTCCCTTTTGGTTCCAGCCACAGAGGCGTGCCTTCCACAGAGGCGTGCTCCGCAGCGCCGCCCTCCAGCACTCCGCGCATCGGCCCAGGGTGCTGCCTGGCTCCCAGGCGCCGCCCTGCGGCCCCGCGCGTCCGCCTTTCCCTTCAGCCAGCCCCTGTGCTTCCCAGGACTCTGCTCTGGGCTCTGTCCTCCGCTCAGGATTGAGAGTCAGGGAATACAGAGAGTCTCTAGCCACTGTTGTTGGAGAGACCGACAAGGAGATGTCTCAAATGCCTTCGGGTTCTCTTCCCTTTTTTCTTCTACCACGGCTGCAGGCTGAGAGAGAGTCTCAATGACAAGAATATTGTGATTCAAGGGAAGCTTCAGTCAAGGGTAGGGAGGAAATACAGCAGAACACTGGAGAGAAAAAGAAATAATCTGGCATTAAAAATCAAGTTGCTTTTTGTTTGTTTGTTTGTTTTGAGACAGGGTCTCACTTTTGTTGCCCAGGCTGATCATGGCCCATTGCAGCCTCAACCTCCCAGGCACAAGTGATCCTCCCATCACAGCCTCCTGAGCAGCTGGGACCAAAGGTGTGCACCACCAGGGCTAGCTAGTTTTTAAAAATATTTGTGGAGATGAAGTCTCACTATATTGCCCAGGCTGGTCTCTAATTCTCTGCCTCAAGCAGTCCTACCACCTCACCTTCCCAAAGTGCTGGTATTACAGACATGAGCGACTGTGCCTGACCAAAAGTCAACATTAAACAACAAATCTTGGCCAGGCACAGTGGCTCATGCCTGTAATCCCAGCACTTTGGGAGGCCGAAGTGGGCAGATCACTTGAGGTCAGGAGTTGGAGACCAGCCTAGCCAACATGGTGAAGCCCCGCCTCTACTAAAAATACAAAAATTAGCTGGGTGTGGTGGCACATGCCTGTAATCCCAGCTGAGGCATTAGAATCGCTTGAACCTGGGAGGCAGAGGTTGCAGTGAACCAAGATCTCACCACTTTTATCCAGCCTTGGCAACAGCGAGACTCTGTCTCAAAACAAACAAACAAACAAACAAACAAACAACAACAACAACAACAAAAAATAAATGTCCACAAGATTGCAGGATCCCTTCCAAGGATCACACTTATTGTGAGGGTAGTGGGCATAGGGACTTGGCTGGAAAGAATGAAAAACAGAGACTGTAACCCATTCTTGGTGAATAAGGTTGTCTTATACCTGTATATCCTTTCCAACAAACCTGAAAACACTTGACAGGACTTAGATTTGATTTCTGAAAATCATTCTTTTTTTTTTTCTTGAGACAGAGTTGCCCAGGCTGGAGTGCAGTGGTGCGATCTCAGCTCACTGCAACCTCTGCCTCCCAGGCTCAAGCGATTCCCCTGCCTCCGCCTCCTGAGTAGCTGGGATTACAAGCGCCTGCCACCGCACCCAGCTAATTTTGTATTTTTAGTAGAGATGTGATTTTGCCATGTTGGCCAGGCTGGTCTCGAACTCCTGACCTCAGGTGATCTGCCCGCCTTGGCCTCCCAAAGTGCTGGGATTACAGGCGTGAGCCACCAAGCTGGGCCCTGAAAATCGTTCTTTAAGTTTGAATATGTGTATATAAAAATTACTCTTTTTATTTTAATGATTAGCTTTCCCCCCAAATTTCTCTGCTTTTTCAGTTACAGATTTTTTTCCATTTTCTATTTTCCTGTGCCTGTTGTAATTTTCTATTTTCTTCTTAGAAAACATATCTTTCTGGACAGGCATGGTGGCAGGTAACTGTAGTCCCAGCTACTTGGGAGGCTGAGGCAGGAGGATCCCTAGAATTCAGAAGTTCAATGTCAGCCTGGGCAACATAGCAAGATCCCATCTCTAAAATAAATATAAATATATATGTGTATATATATAATATACATATATATTATATAGCCCTTTCTTTTGGAACTTGGAATTCTTCAAATTATATTTTGATTTTTTTTTCATGTACTGGCACTATACATATTTGGATTTGGCACCTGCTATCTTTATTTATAATTCAGGATCCCAAACTCTTTGTCAGCTTTGCTTGCCTGTGAATTTCCACCAAAATACTAGTCATTAGGAGGCAGAGATACTATGATTGATGATAAAGTAATGTGCTCTCTCTCCAAATCTGCATAGAAAGCATCCTCCTTTAGCTCCCTGGCTACCTTTTTTCTGTACTATAAAACATTATAACCTTTAGCTATGCCTATAAGAATCACTCATTTATATCTAGTTTTCTGCCTACTTCCAACCAAAACTTTATGATCTAAATTATTTTCATTGAATTTTTGTGCTGCATTCCTTACTCCTACAGCCTTGAAATCAAGATTCCCAACTTATTTTCTATTCCATTTAAAAACGATTTGATTCTTTCCCTGGCTGTCTTGGGTCACACTGATCTGATTTCACCCCTGTCTGTGTCACCTCATAATTTATGATAAGAAGGAAACTAGTAGAAGTGTTTCCATTTTTAACAGGCTGGGGACAACTATTTGCCTGAGCTGAAATTAACATCACTTCATTAGAAATACAGTTTTAAAATCACAGTGAAAGGCAAGAGCAAAGACAAGATTTTAAAAATATGCCTTCCCTATAGAAATTCAGATGGTAGGTTGGGCGCCGTGGCTCACACCTGTAATCCCAGCACTTTGGGAAGCCGAAGTAGGCAGATCACAAGGTCAGGAGTTCGAGACCAGTCTGGCCAACATGGTGAAACCCCGTCTCTACTAAAAAATACAAAAATTAGCAGGGCACGGTGCCACGTGCCTGTAATCCCAGCTACTTGGGAGGCTGAGGCAGGAGAATCGCTTGAATCCAGGAGGTGGAGGTTGCAGTGAACCAAGATCTAGCCATTGCACTCTAGCCTGGGCGGTAGAGCGAGACTCTGTCTTAAAAAAAAAAAAAAAAAAGACAAGAAAAAAAAAAGAAATTCAGATGGTAATATATTGACAGATGGAGAGCCAAGGGCATCAGTTCGAGGAGAATTATTAAAAAACCACTGCTGTGCAAGGTGCTGGCACATAAACTTAGCTTTTCATACTGGGAATTTGAACAAGGAACAATTTTTGCAAACTATTATATTTTGGTGTCTCTAATTAACAGCTAATTAAATGCCAATTTCATTGCACGTCTAATTTTTCAAATTTATCAGAATTTCCCCAAATCCATATAACTGCTTATACTGAATATAAGCATCAACTCAGGTATATACATACATATTCCTATGCTGTAGATATTTTACTACTTAAGATGGAAAGACGATTTTTTTTTTTTTTTTTTGAGATGGAGTCTCACTGTCTCCAAGGCTGGAGTGCAGTGGCACAATCTTGGCTTGCCACAAGCTCCACCTCCCGGGTTCAAGTGATTCTCCTGCCTCAGCCTCCCCAGTAGCTGTGATTACAGGCGTGCACCACCACACCCACTAATTTTTGTATTTTTAGTAGAAACAAGGGTTCACCATGTTGGCCAGGCTGGTCTCGAACTCCTGACCTCAGGTGATCTGCCTGCCTCTGCCTCCCAAAGTGCTGGGATTACAGGTGTGAGCCACCGCGCCTGCCCAGAAAGATGATTTTAAAAAGGATCTTGTAAACCACAGTGTGTAAATGAAGATATACATAGTTTATGAATACATGAATATATGAAGTCTGCAGAAAAGGTACCAGATATAAATATCAATCTTCCCATGTGCCATAATCCCATTTCTACTGATGACAGGGCATATTATTTTTTAATCAAAGTAAAAAGGTGTGTATGTGTGTGGTCTAAAATTCCAGGGTAAGTGAGGAACATAATAGAACTTTTGATTAGGAATAAAAGGGACAGGGGCTTGGGTCTGGTGGCTGACACCTGTAATCCCAACACTTTGGAAGGCCAAGGTGGGAGGACTGTTTGAGCACAGGAGTTTAAGACCAGCCTGGGCAACATGGTGACACCCTGTCTCTACAAAAAATTTTAAAAATTTGGCCAGGTGCAGTGGCTCATGCCTGTAATCCCAGCACTTTGGGAGGGCGAGGCGAGCAGATGACTTGAGGCCAGGAGTTTGAGACCAGCCTGCGCAACATGGTGAAACCCTGCCTCTACCAAAAAATACAAAAATTAGCCGGGCATGGTGGCAGGCACCTGTAGTCCCAGCTACTTGGGAGACTGAGGCAGGAGAATCACTTGAACCTGGGAGGTGGAGGCTGCAGTGAGCCAAGATTGCACCACTGCAACTCCAGCCTGGGTGACAGAGGAGACCCTGCCTCAAAAAAAAAAAAAAGTAAAAATAAAAAAAATAAAAATTAGCCAGCCTGGTAGTGTGTGCCTCTAGTCCCAGCTACTTCGGAGGCTGAGGTGGGAGGATCACTTGAGCCTGGGAGGTCAAGGCTGCAGTGAGTCATGTTTGCCCCACTGCACTCCAGCCTGGGCAACACAGCGAGACCCTGTCTCAAAAATAAATAGATAAAATAAAAGGCACAGCGGCATTCTGCTGTCCTATTGATGAACTATGTCCCAGGTCTCCCAGCTCACTTCCCACCATTCCACCAATGTACCTTCACTCCTGCAACACCAAATTACACTGCTTGCATTTCTTCTAAATTGACATGCCTCCAATACCTTCCTCAAATGATTCCCTCTGCTTAAAATGCAAAACAGTGCTTGCCTTCCTCCAGACCTGGCATGCCTCCAAGGCCTTCCTCAAATGGTGCCTTCTCCAGTGCTATTCACCTGGTCTACTTACCGCACGTGTTTGAACTACTACTGGCTTAGTACTGCCTGCCACTAAGAAGAAAGTTCTCCACAAAATGCTGGCTGAATAAATGAAATGTCTCAGGGAAAGCTTATCGTCACTGCCATAATCAATATATTAATGTTAAGGGCAGGGTGAGGTGGTTCACACCTGTAATCCCAGCACTTTGGGAGGCCAAGGCAGCCGGATTGCTTGAGTCCAAGAGTTCAAGACCTGACTGGGCAACATGGAAAAACCCCTTCTCTACAAAAAATACAAAAATTAACCGGCATGGTGGTGTGTGCCTGTGGTCCCAGCTACCCCAGAGGCTGAGGTGGGAGGATCACTTGAGTCTGGAAGGCTCAAGCCGATTGTGATACTGCACCCCAGCCTGGGCAACAGAGTGAGACCCTGTCTCAAAAACAAAACAAAACAAAAACTGTTGAAATAAACAGGTGCCAAGTTACTAAGAGATCCACTTTTTTTTTTTTTTTGAGATGGAGTCTTGCTCTGTCACCAGGCTGGAGTGCAGTGGCACGATCTCAGCTCATTGCAACCTCTGCTGCCTGGGTTCAAGTGATTCTCCTGCCTCAGCCTCCCAAGTAGCTGGGACTACAGGTGCACACCACCACGCCCCGCTAATTTTTGTATTTTTAGGAGAGATGGGGTTTCACCATGTTGGCAAGAGATCCACTTTTAAAGAACAATGCTCGTGTGGTGGTTCACACCTGTAATCCCAGCACTTTGGGAGGCTGAGGCGGGCAGATCATCTGAAGTCAGGAGTTTGAGACCAGCCTGGCTAACATGGTGAAACCCTGTCTCTACTAAAAATACAAAAATTAGCCAGGCGTGGTGGTGCACGCCTGTAGTCTCAGCTACTCAGGAGGCTGAGGCAGGAGAATCACTTGAACCCAGGAGGCGGAGGTTGCAGTGAGCCTAGACAGCACCACTGCACTCCCAGCCTGGGTGACAGAACAACACTCCATCTCAAGAAAGAGAACAATGCTAACAATATGAGGGGGAAGAAAGGCTATAGTTATTTGGAAACATTATGAGTCTCAGGACAGTTGGAGAAACTTATAAGAAAGTGTGCAGGCTGGGCTCGGTGGCTCACACCTGTAATCCTCGCACTTTAGGAGGCTGAGGCAGGTGGATCACTTGAGATCAGGAGTTCAAGACCAGGCTGGTCAACATGGTGCAACCCGTCTCTACTAAAAATACAAAAATTAGCAGGGTGTGGTGGCAGATGCCTATAATCCCAGCTGCTTGGGAGGATGAGGCAAAGAGATTGCAGTGCCTCATCCTGCCTGCAGTGAACCTGGGAGGCAGAGGTTGCAGTGAGCTGAGATCGCACAACTGCACTCCAGCCTTGGCAACAGAGTGAGCATCCACATTAAAAAAAAAAAAAAAAAAAAAGTGTGCATAGACATTACAAGACTGCTTACTATATCTAAAACCCCGTGATAGAGAAATTAGATAGGTTATGTAAAAACAAGAGGGAACATTCAGTTCTGGGGTTGAAGATTTATATGGTCAGAGAAGGGGAAATTGTGCAAAAGCACAATCCACTGAGCTTTGCACAGGAAAGATCTTATCGGGGAGCCCCGTGTTTAGTCAGGCTGTAACTCAGCTGTGCCTTATAATATTTTATGGATCTGTTTCCTCAAGGATAACAGCATGTCACAAACAGATAACATAACCCTGCATGATCCAGGGAAGGCTAACAGAGTAAGGTGTTGGTATTATCAGTCTGTCATGCTTTTTAAAAAACACTTCAGAGTCTGCTTTGGTTATTTTATGTTTTCTGACAGGTTATTTCTTCAAAATGCCTGTCACCATTTTCAAATTCAATAAAAGCATATTAAAGAGTGTCTTGCTTTTCGGAAGGAACGTAGACAGCAGAAGTAACAAATGGGAGGTGGGAATTCAGAGGTATTGGCTGGGTCTGTACCGGTCGCTCTGCTGTTCATAATGCAACAATGCACTCAAGGCCTGTGTGTTACCAACGTATTTCCTACTTGTTAACTCTGAGTCTTGAGAAGAGCCAGCTTTTTAAGTCAGCTAGCAGCTGGGCTTGTCAAACTGAGCAATCCCTTTCTGATTTAAACCCAATTGTAGGATGCATAGTCATCTTTGGTAGTTGGGAACTACTGTAAAGTTTTCAAGACTTAATTGGAATTGAAGTGGTTCCAGCCGCTCTGCTCACTAGCAGCCTAAGAACCTGTGCCTGTCCCTGGAGGAGGAAAGCAGTAGGAGGTAAGGAAACACATGTCCCTTCCGGCTTCCTAGGGGAGTAAGTAAGCAACAGGCTGTCCAAGGGCTGTCTGAGGGGCTCTGACAACGTGAAGACACTGCCTTAGCCATTCAGAGATGGCAACATCCTCCCGACCTCAAACACAAAGGGTAGCCTCTTCCTCTATAGAGGTAATCCAATATTCCCCATCCTGCAGATGACTTGGCAGGAACCACGCACGAAGGATTCTCCAGAGCTCCTCTTCCCTTCTCCGTAGAAATGACAGTTTACTGCGAAAGCACAAGGAAGTCCACATATTCTCTAACATGATGAGATTTGGCCAGCAAAATAATTTTTTAAATGTCTTAAATTTGTAAGAACAGTAGAAGACTGCCAAAAATACTCCTGCACATGGCAGGAGCTGAAGGGTCTTTGTTTTTTCCCTCTTAAGGGTACTCTTAAAGATCAAGGACCATCAGATTCTGCAAATCCATGTAAATACATACACAGGTATCCTTTCGTCAGTATGCCCTGCTAGAGGCATTTGGGTATTGTAAATAATCTCACAACAAAATAGAGATGATCATTGACATGGCATGCCAACCAAGACATCCTGCAATGATTATCCGTCTTACTCTTCCTGGGCAGCCTTATATGGTGGTGAGAGACAGGTTTTGAGTTCCAAAAGGCAGATAATTAAATCCTTGCTATCTGGATTATTCACTCACTTGGGCACAGTTCACTTCAACTGACTTTGGGCTAAATACCTCTCAGAGCCTGTAAAATGGGAATAATAATATTTTTATTTTTATTTCATTTATTTTATTATTTATTTATTTATTTATTTATTTGAGATGATGTCTCACTCTGTTGCCCTGGCTAGAGTGCAGTGGTAAGATCTTGGCTCACAGCAACCTCCACTTCCTGGGTTCAAGTGATTCTTCTGCCTCAGCCTCCCAAGTAGCTGGGACCACTGGCATGCATTACCACACCCAGCTAATTTTTCGATTTTTCAGTAGAGATGGGGTTTCACCATGATGACCAGGCTGGTCTCGAACTCCTGACCTCAAATGATCCACCCACCTTAGCCTCCCAAAGTGCTGGGATTATAGGCATGAGCCACTGCACCTGGCCCAGGAATAATAATATTATCTCTTGAAAACATTCATAGGTTTAAATTATGTGACCACTTTTATCCCATTTTCCAGTTTTCTTTTTCTTTTTTTCTTTTCCCTTTTTTTTTTTTAAGACAGAGTCTTGCTCTGTTGCCCAGGCTGGAGTGCAGTGGCACCATCTCGGCTCACTGCAACCTCCACCTCTCGGGTTCAAGCAAGTTTCCTGCGTCAGCCTCCTGAGTAGCTGGGATTACAGGTGTGTGCCACCACACCTGGCTAATTTTTGGATTTTTAGTAGAGATGGGGTTTCACCATGTTGGAGAGGCTGGTCTCGAACTCCTGACTTCATGATCCGCCCATCTTGGCCTCCCAAAGTGCTAGGGTTACAGGCGTGAGTCATCGTGCCCGGCGTCCAGTTTTATTTTTTTCATGGCATTTATTACTGTCTGAAATGACCTAAGTGCTGTTTATTTTCTGTCGCTTGCTCCTCCTTCCCCAACGTAAGCTCCTTGACAGCGGGAACCTGGACTGCTGCCTTTGTTCGGTGTTGTTCCCCCTTTAAGTGGGACAGTGCTTGTATATTGTAACTGCTCAGTAAATATTTATGGAATGAATAAAGGTGAAGTGAATGCATTTGTAAAGCACATAACAGGGGCTCAGGGATTGTTGGTTTTTTCCCCTCTGAAAGGTTTAGGTTTACCTCTGCATTGGTTGTAGCAGTGTAGTATGGAAATGACCTGGACTGCAACATGGCACAGGCAATGGAATTCAACAGCATCCTCTTTATTCAGGCCAGGAAGACCTTTTCTAGATTCTTCAACATCTTACAAAGAAGGCTTTCTGAGCTATTATCATCTGCATGGCCTGGATAAGAATTCAGCTTTAGGTTCAAGGTCACCTGTTGGTTAGTTGGCTTTCTCATTGTGGGTCCATTTCTGAAGCTGTTTTGCCCTCTTGTGTCATCCTGGATGTCCTGGATAAAATTCTCCAGTTGTGGTGATGGTCATTCAATAGGTGGCAGTCTCTCCCAGAACACTGTCATTCTTCACAGCCCAGATGTCATACCTGATAAATCATTAGACTATAGTTAGGTGAATAGCAGAGCAACAGCTACAACATAGTCATGCTGATTATTTTGTAACATTTCTTTCCCTCCCATACACCAGATCCCACTCCCTACTCTCATTTTCTTACCTCTTTTAGAATTTGACCAATGTTCCATTACCTTGTACTTACAGAAGACATGTTGACCCTTTTCCTAAGATGACTGAGGAACAGAAGGGAGACATTCATTCAAATTTCTGTGCTTGAAGTCAATTTTGATGATTTCCTTCATTCATCCACTTATTCATTTATTTGTGAAACTTTTACTGTGGCCAGCATATATCTTTTTGTCATTTAGTTTTCTTTTTTCTTTTCTTTTTTTTTAAGACAGAATCTTGCTCTGTCGCCTAGGCCGGAGTGCACTGGCGTGATCTCAGCTCACTGCAACCTCAGCCTGCCAGGTTCAAGCAATTCTCCTGCCTCAGCCTCCCGAGTAGCTGGGACTACAGGTGTGTGCCACCATGCCTGGCTAATTTTTTGTATTCTTAGTAGAGATGGGGTTTCACCATGCTAGCCAGGCTGGTCTCAAACTCCTGACCTTGTGATCCGCCCACCTCAACCACCCAAAGTGCTGGGATTACAGGTGTGAGCCACCACACCTGGCCTGTTTACTGATATAATAGTTACACATATTCTGGAGGTACGTGTGATATTTTAATGTATACATGCACATGTATATAATATGTGAAGATCAGATTAGAGTGATTGGGATACCCATCACCTCAAATATTTCTCTTTTCTTCCAATACCTCTCTTAGTGGTAAGAACAGACTTGTTTTGGGGAAGGGTAGACTTAGAAATGGGAACCAAGGTTTGAAGCTTGGATCTGCTACTCATTGACTTTGGCAAATTTCTTAACCTCTCAGAGCCACAATTCCTCATCTGTGGAAAGGGAATGATAATATTAATAGTGCTTATTGCTGACTCTACAGAAATAAATAAATAAATAATAAAACAAAGCTAATAGTACTTATAAGATTGTTTCAAGGATTAAATGAATTATTATTTATAACATACAGTAATATTAAATTAGGATTTATTAAATACTAGCTATCTAATACTTTGATAATGACTTGCTTAATTTTTCAAATGGACATAGCAGTATTTTTTATATTGGACATAAATATATTGCATATTTTCCCCCATTTTAACATCTCTGAAATCAGAATGGGATGTCATAATTTGGCAACATTTTTTCTCTCTCAGTGATACACATAATAGTTATTCATCTTAAAACTGATAACATTGGGTTTGATGAAATATTGCAATTACAAATAACATCTTTTGGCCAGGCACAGTGACTCATGCCTGTAATCCCAGCACTTGGGGAGGCTGAGGTGGGTGGATCACCTGAGGTCAGGAGTTCGAGACCAGCCTAGCCAACAGGGTGAAACCCTGTCTCTACTAAAAATACAAAAAATTAGCCGGGCGTGATTGCAGGCGTCTGTGATCCCAGCCATTCGGGAGGCTGAGGCAGGAGAATGGCTTTAACCCGGGAGGTGGAGGTTGCAGTGAGCCGAGATCACGCCACTGCACTCCGGCCTGGGAGACAGAGTGAGACTCTGTCTCAAAATAAATAAATAAATAAATAAACAAACAAATAAATAAATAAATAACATATTTCCCTTTTTACTGGTCCCTTCCTATCAGGTTCCAGGTGTGCTCAAATTTTGCTAACTGAGAGAGAGAGAGCGAGAGCGAGAGAGAGATAATTATTTGCACCTGAGTAGATGACTGCCTGGACTGGAATAAAGGGAAAAAGCCCCCCCAGAGGGTCTGAGTAGAGCTTGGAGGCCTCAGGAGAGTGAGTTTCAATCTATCTTCATTCCCATCTCCTCTGGAAATGGCACACACACAGTCTCATCAGTGACAGCTCCACCAATGAGGAGGTGCAGGGAAGGAAAGAGCCTTCCGGAATGAAGCTTGGTTACTCCTATGATTGTGTTCTGGTGAAGCCTGGGCTTAAACTGAGAACTGGATGGCCTTTCAGGAAGGGTCTTCTCAAGCCCTGGGTTGAGGGTCACAATTAGAGGGGCTGGGCCTGGTACCCCACAAGGCAGGCCAAAGTCACTGCCACAATAAGGTCTATGAACAAACAGCATTCTCAGGTTCCACACGGTCATCAGCTCACAGTGAGTGCTGTATGGAATGTCACATGTCAGTATTTGTGCGTGTGTGTGTGTGTGTGTGTGTGTGTTTCTGTCTTGTTTTTGCTTTGAGACAGGGTCTTGATACGTCACCCAGGCTGGAGTGCAGTGACATGATCACTGCCCACTGAAACCTCAAACTCCTGGGCTCAAGGGATCCTCCCACCTCAGCCTCCCAAACAGCTGGAACTACTAGTGCACACCACCATGCCCAGTTAATTTTCAATTTTTTTGTGGAGATGGGGTCTCACTGTGTTGCCAGGCTGGTTTTGAACTCCTGGGCTCAAGAGATCCTCCCACCTTGGCCCCCCAAAGTGCTGGAATTATAGGCTTGAGCCACCATGCCCAGCCCTGTGTGTATGTTTTTATGTCTTCAACTTAGGTTTTTTTTTTCTGTGTAATCTATCCAGCTTAGACCCATTCCCCTGAAGTTCCACTGAAACCCCTCTTCACTAGGCAACTGTACTTGAAGATGCTCCAAGTGCTAACAAGACTCTTCAAGACACTCAGATGATCCATATTCTCTGGCCTTCAGTACTCCCAAGATGCCCCCAGGTTTGTTGGGGATACTTCTAACACCCTCCTTCTGTTCACTGAAGCACCCCCTCCTAGTCTACTCCATTTATCTTAAAATATTCTCCCAGTCTTTGGCCCACCCAGAATCTGTTAATCATCCCTCACCATCGTTTAATAATTTATTTATTGAGTGCTTCTTGTGTTCCTCTGTATATTCTGGGCGGACAATGATGAATAAGACCAGTCTCTGTCCTGGGAATGCAGTCATATTCTCCTTGCAGTTCCCCAGAGACCTCCACACATGTTGTCTGATCTAAGCCTTTAACTGGCCATTGAGATGGGCATCTTGCCTCATATTTTACAAATGAAGAAACTGAGTGTAAGAAGGCTAAATGACCTTCTGTAGGGAAATGGCAAAGCCAGGCTATTGTTGGGTTGGCTACGTGGTGACTGCCCTCAGGAGCCTGCCCTCCAGCTGCTCAGACTCCTCAGCTCACTCACTCTCGGCCCCGGAAGCTTCACTTAAACATCAAGTGAAGAGCTGATGTCCTGTGGCAGCCTTGAAGAATCTCTGAGACCCTCACCTGCATCTACCAGAGAAGCACTCACCAGCAGAGTTGTGGGCTTGCTTCATTTCCCCCTATTTTTTTTTTTTTTTTTTTGCCTTAGCTGTGGGCAATTGGGGTTGGGAGAGCCAGTCCGTCAGTAAATACCTGCTGAGCAGCAGGCACTGTGCTAGGCTCTGGGAAGTCACCTTGAACTCACCTTCCATATAGGTGGGAGGATATTAACACCAAAAATTCTTTGAATAAGAAATTCTAATAGAGACCCTTTGGAACATGCTCATGTTTTTAACACAGAGACACAGTGGGCAGTAGTGTTTATATTTGTTTTTCTATTTTTAAGCGTTCTATTTTTACGGTTAGGCTTCTGTCCAAGCCCAGGGTCTAGGTGGAAGCCCCTTTGGAGCTAAGGCTTGAGGCCACAGCTGAAGGGCCCTGAGGGTGCACGGCCCCAGGGGTGGAAGCGGGTTGGAACCTCAGACAAACACCCGGGCCACACTGTGGTGCTCTCCTCACCCCTAGGTGTCTGCTGAGTCACTGGCCACCCCACCCTCCCTCCAAGGGGCAGGGGGAGCTGCTTTTTAAAGTAGCTATTGTCTGCACTGGCAAAAACTGCCAGTGCTGAAAGCCCCAAAGAGGTTTGGTTCTTACAGAGTTGATTTTAAGCAGAAAAACAGGGGTTCTGGTCAGAAAATATATTATCCTTACTTAGTTTTCAAATCTTTAGAGGAAGGAAGGTGTGGATCAGGAGACACCACACGATTGTATCTTACACTTGGGGTGGTATTTCCCATTTTTCAGGTTGGAATGAGTGGGTTCATTGACTCCGTAGACCTGCCTGCCCCAAAAGGAGTGGGTTCTCCACTCTCCTTTCTTCTTCCTTACTATTTGTGTTCTGCTGTTTATATCTAGTAATCACTAGGCAAGTAATCTTGGGAAAGTGTTTTAACTACATGGCCTTGCTTTCCCCGTCCATAAAGCGTGGAGAATAACACTGCCCAACTCAAATGGCTGTGCTGAACGTGGAATGAAGTAATTCACCTCTTTGTAAATTGTGAGACTCTAAACAAAAGTTAATTGTCTTCACTCTACTTATTTATTCTTTTATGGTGTCATTTGCTTCCAAACTCTCCCCAAGCATTTTATTTGGTAGCAGAGTGCCTGGCCCTGTGGAGGGCTTCATGCATGAAGACCGTGACTCCTAGTGGGGTCAAAGCATTAAACTAACACCTTGGTGGTGCAGGGATTTATCCTCATCTCCAGTGAAGAAACACTGGACGCTAGAGGAGGAAAGGAAGTGTCCTCCATAGAGGAGAAGAATGAGGGTGGGGGAGAAGTTCCCCTTTCAGATGCTTTTCCTTCTCCACCCCACCCCACCCCATAGTGTTCCCTCATTCTCAGCCTCCCCAACACTCATCCCCACCCTACCCTGATTCCCTATTCTCCGATCACAAACCCTCAACTCTCAAGATAACATACCGTTGAGATGAAAATGGTTGATATGGCTGGGAGTTGTAAAATGAGAGCACTGGATTCAACTCTGGAGAGAACACGTAGTGTGACACTTTCATTTTACAGAGAGGCAGCAAGGGGCTGATGCATGACTTCTGCCAGTGTTTTACATTTTTAAAAGACAAGGAAGAATTCGATGTGAAGGTGTAATTAGAGTTTGGGATTTGGGTGTTCTAGGCTGGAGAGAGTGGCTGGGGTGTGGGGTCCTGTGCCCTCCCTTCTCCCCACCTCTCCACCAAGCTGAGATCTTATCTATCCAGGAGACTCTTTGGAAATGGAATTCTTCAGGGCTTTTATCTCTGTCCTTCTACCTCCCTTTAAAACATACAGCATTGCTTTCATGTTTGAACAATAAGATAATTCAGTTAAAATAGAGCTACAATTCTTGTCTCACTCAACTGCCCCCATAAAAAGCAACTAAAATATCCAAGACTTTGCTCAAATAGAATCTGTCTTTGGAGACTTCCCCCACTATTTCCTGACAGACGGTGGTCATAGCTCCTATATCTGCTTCCACACTTACCTGTGGTATCTCCCCTTCTAGACTTGGGCCCAAAGCCTCTTGGCATAAGAGGCTCATTGCATGTACCTGGCACATCCTGAACTCTCAATATGGTAGGATGAATCCATCAAAGAAGTGGATCAGTAACAATTAGCAATCCTGAGTTTAATCTTGAGATGCTGCATATGGAAAGCTCTTTTCTTGAGACAGAGTCTCAAAATGTGGAGATGATGTTTTTCTTCCATATCAGGGTGAGGAAACATCTATGTTGCCTACTTTAGTTTCTAAAGAGCTTTCCAGGCTGGGTGCGGTGGCTCACGCCTGTAATCTCAGCACTTTGGGAAGCTGATGTGTGCCCAGGACGGAGTGCAGTGGCGTGATCTTGGCTCACTGCAACCTCCGCCTCCTGGGTTCAAGTGATTTTCCTGCCTCAGTCTCCCAGGTAGCTGGGACTACAGGCGTGTGCCACCATGCTCAGCTAATTTTTGCATTTTTAATAGAGATGGGGTTTCACCATGTTGGCCAGGCTGGTCTCAAACTCTTGACCTCAAGTGATCCGTCTGCCTCAGCCTCCCAAAATGCTGGGATTACAGGTGTAAGCCACTGCGCCCAGCCTGGAAAGCTCTTTAGAAACTAAAGTAGGTGGACCAGGCGCGGTGGCTCATGCCTGTAATCCCAGCACTTTGGGAGGCCGAGGTGTGCGGATCACGAGGTCAGGAGATGGAGACCATCCTAGCTAACACGGCGAAACCCTGTCTCTACTAAAAATACAAAAAATTAGCCGGGCGCGGTGGCACGCACCTGTAGTCTCAGCTATCTGGGAGGCTGAGGCAGGAGAATCACCTGAACCTGGGAGGCAGAGGCTGCAGTGAGCCGAGATTGCACCACTACACTCCAGCCTGGGTGACAGAGTGAGACTTCGTCTCAAAAAAAAAAAAAGAAAAAAAGAAACTAAAGTAGGCAACATAAATGTTTCTTCACCCTGATATAGAAGGAAAACACCTATCTCCAACCAACAAAGATTTCCCTCCCAAAGATCCAGCTGTTTCACTCAACATGTATTTCAGGCTGCCTGCGAGGTACAGGAATAAGTCATCACTAAGAGGCACAGGAATAAGTCATCCCTAAGAAAGCTGCCTTCTTCAGCTGGATGTGGTGGCTTATGCCTGTAATCCCAACATCTTCGGACGCCGAGGCGGGTGGATCACTTTAGTTCAGGATTTCGAGTCCAGCCTGGCCGACATGGTGCAACCCCACCTCTACTAAAAATACAAAAAATTAGCCGGGCGTGGTAGTGCACGCCTGTAATCCCAGCTACTCGGGAGGCTGAGGCAGGAGAATCGCTTGAACCTGGGAGGTAGAGGTTGCATTGGGCCGAGATTGTGCCACTGCACTCCAGACTGAGCAAGAGAGTGAAACTCTGTCTAAAAAAAAAAAGAAAAAAAAGAAAAGAAAAAAGAAAGCTGCCTTCTTCAAGGCCTTCTCTTCCCTCATTCTTGGTCACCCTCAGAACATCTTCTCTTCCAGTTCTCCTGTTCTTGAGTGATGAATACAGTGTCTCATTTATTAGCCTAGAGACCAATAGAAAACTATACTCTCTACCTTTTCAGAAAGACTGGGGAAACTAGTCTTTTTTTTGCCCTGCTCGGAGACCGGGCATCTGAGGTTTGCCTACTGTTTGGGAGAGGAACACAGGGATACTGAGGAGGCAGAGGAGAGAATGGCTAAGCCCCTCAGCTCTGCCCTGCAGTGGCCTCTGGCCCCAGGTGCTGCTGGCCCTACCACCCCTTCACCAAGTCACTCCACTCTTGACGCTGCACCCTCACCCAGCAGTCTGCAAACCAGTTTAGTTAAGAGTGCCCAAAGTGGAAAGAAGGAAGCCAAATGCCAAAATCATCCCTTTTCCTAGTATTATTTGGTTCGGGTGAGGTCAGGTGTAGCAAGTAGTCAGTTGTGAGGCAAGATTTAGGGAGCACAGGAAGGCTCAGGCTCAAAAATAAATTCCACGTGAATGCCTGAACAGTTGGTGACTAATTCATCCCTTTATTCACTAAACAAATATTTATCCAGTACTCCTCAGACAACCCCTCCCCCAACTAAATAGAAATGGTGTCTGTCCTCAAGTTGATCACAATGCAGCAGAAAATTCTAATTTAAATGTAATTCACCCAATGCCAGGTGGGGCTCCTGGAATCATAGGAAGGGCTCTGTTTTGGAGCCTGGGTTGTTGACCTTAAAGTCCAGCCTTCCAAATCCAGCCGATGACCTGAGACAAGTTACTTAACTTGTTACAACCTGTTTTCTCATATGTCTAAAAGCTGTGATGATAGTAATAGCTTACCTTTGTTGTAAGAGTTCTACAAACACATGTGACTCAGGAGAGGTACTGAGAGCTTCTAGTAAGAAGTCAACAAAGTATTATGGGAGTACAAAGGTAGTAACAATTTACCTCTCCCTCCAGGCACTGAGAGGGTGGCATCTGAAATGGATCTTGAAGGACACATAGGAATTGGCCAGGTGGAAAAGACAGGAGGTAAATATCAGGCAAAGGGAACAGTATATGCAAACTACTGAAGCGAGAAACAGCATAATGTTTTTTATTTTTTTGAGGCAGGGTCTCACTCTGTTGCCCAGGCTGGAGTACAGTGGCACAATCATAGCTCACCACAGCCTTGACCTCCCTGGGCTCAGGTAATCCTCCCACCTCAGCCTCCTGAGTAACTGGGACTACAGACACACACCACCATGCCCAGCTAATTTTTGTACTTCTTGTAGAGAAGGGTTTCACATAATGTATTCTTAGAACTTGAAAGATTTGGTCTTGAAATGACAAGAAATGTTGAAGGGTGAGGGGAATTCATCACCTTGCTGTCCCTGTTCCCTATGTAGCCTCAAAGCTCACTCCTCCACTCCTTCACTTGCAAATTCTGGCCGGCCTTCCTTCCTTCCTCTCTCTCTCTTTCTTCCTTCCTTTCTTTCTTTTCTTCCCAAAGTACTTACTGTATAATATCAATTTAATAGAAATGTACTTATTTCGTTGATAGTCCTCAGCACCCTCATCCTCCTTCCCCCACCTCCATACATAGATGAGAAACAGTTCCCAGAGGACAGGAATTTTTGTCTGTTTTCTTTACTGACATATTCCCAATGACTCACACACTGCCTGGCACAGAACAAAACAAGTCATTTAATTCATTCAACACATATATGGTGCCTACCAAGCAATGGCTTGCCACTGGGGCTCCGATGTTGAACAAGATGGGGTCTTGAAGTGTTAGGACCTCCTGAGGAGTCCCCTGGCCATTCTGTGAAGGCTTTATTTAGAAAGACCCCTCCCGCAGGAGCTTTGGCTGTTTCTTTAGTCTTTCTTTGCCCACTCCCTAAATACTTGCAAAATGTAAATCCTTAAAAAAAAAAAAGTAAATCTTTATGGGGTTGAGCCTACTTCCAGTAAGTCTCTTCCCTTTGTGGATTTCCTGTGTGTCTGGTGCTGGGGGAGGTGACTTTGGGAGTCCCAGGAGACTGCCAGGTGCCTGGGGGAGAAGATGTTGAAAGGACAGGGTAGGGGTTCAGGAATGGAGGCGCCCAGAGACAAGTAGCCTCTTTCACAACCAGGCCTGGGGCTGTTCCTGTGATTGGGTGTCTCAGCCAAGAATGTCCCCAGAATTCCAAGTCATTTTTAGATGCAGCTTTCTTCTCCTGTGTTCAATAGCCTTCACTAAAGAAGGTTTAAGAGAAGGGGGTTTTCGTGGGTAGCTGTGCTCTGGGGCCTGAGAAAAGGGGAAAGAGGATCAAACCTTTCTTTGGTGTTTTTTATTTTTGTTTTATGAAATATCACAAAATACATTAAAGAATAATTAACAACATAACAACTCATTTGCCAGTTAAATATCCATTTTTAGTTTTTGAAAACAAATGCTGACTGGATGTGGCAGCTCACGCCTGTAATTCCAACACTTTGGGAGGCTGAGATGAGCAGATCACATGAGCTTAGGAGTTCGAGACTGGCCTGGGCAACATAGTGAAATCCCGTCTCTACAAAAATACAAAAATTAGCTAGGTGCAGTGGTGCATGCCAGTAGTCCCAGCTACTCAGGAGGCTATGGCAAGAGACAGAGGTTGCAGTGAGCCAAAGTCATGCCACTGCACTCTAGCCTGGGTGACAAGACAGAAACCCTGTCTCAAAGAAAAAACAAAAAAAGAAGAAGAAGAAAAGAAAGAAAAGAGGCTGGGCACAGTGGCTTACGCCAATAATCCCAGCACTTTGGGAGGCCAAGGCAGACAGATCACTTGAGGTCAGGAGTTCAAGACTAGCCTGGCCAACATGGTGAAACCCTGTCTCTACTGAAAATACAAAAGCATTAGCTGGATGTGGTGGCACACAGCTGTAATCCCAACTACTTGGGAGGCTGAGGCAGGAGAATCGCTTGAACCTGGGAGGTGGAGGTTGCAGTGATCTGAGATCGCGCCACTACATTCCAGCCTGGGGGACAGAGTGAGACTCTGTCTCAAAAAGAAAAAGAAAGAAAGAAAGAAAGAATTAATTAATTCTAATGTTGTGCTTTACTTGCCTTTTTAAAGCTTTTAAAGCAATAAATAATTATACAACTTAACAAGAAATAACACCAAGAAAAATGTTAGAAGACAAGCTACAAACTATAGAGAGATATTTGCATGCTTATGACAGATAAAATAATTCCCATCCAGAATATATAAATAACTCTGAGTTGATGCAGGATTTTTCTCGACCCCTTCATCAGACTTTCAACAGGGGCATGGCCACCTTGGGCACCTGCAGGAGCAGGCTCTGTGCAGGCCCTGTGATGTTGCCCAGTAGGAGGTGCCTGTGACCCCCAAAGCTCCAGAGGGCATGTTACAATGCTCTCTTAGCTTCACCATCTGTGGACAGTGGTGTGTTATCAGCTCAATGAGCCCCTTGCCTCACTACGTCCACGTGAGATGGCTGCCCTCTGCCAGTGGGGGCAAAAGGCAGGTATGACAGCCTTTTTTTGGTACCCGCACTCAGTGGGTCCCAAACTCTTGTCCGCATCCAGGAAGAATAGGGTCGCATGGACACTTGAAGAATGGTGGAGGTGAAAAATTTTATTTAGTGATGGAAATGGCTTTCAGTGAAGAGGGGAGCTGGAGAGGGGGCGGGACAGGCAGGTAATCCTCCTTGAAGTCCAGCCATCTCCAGCCAGCTCTTCCCTGAAGTCAAGCTGTCTCTCTGAAGTCAAGTCACCTCTCTCCAGTCAAACCGCTTCTCCCCATCTACCAACTGAGTCTGGGGTCTTTACAGGCACAAGATGGGGGGTGGGATGGGTCGTAGGTAGTTTTGGAAAATGCAACATTTTCAGTGGAGAGGGGAGCTGGAGAGGGGGTGTGTGAAAAGGCACACACCACCACACTCAGCTAATTTTTGTATTTTTAGTAAAGATGGGGTTTCACCATGTTGACCAAGCTGCCTAGAATTTATCTGCCTCCTGTCTCTATCAAGATCAGTAAGAGGCCGGGCGCGGTGGCTCACGCCTGTAATCCCAGCACTTTGGGAGGCCGAGGCGGGCTGATCACGAGGTCAGGAGATCGAGACCATCCCGGCTAAAACGGTGAAACCCCGTCTCTACTAAAAATACAAAAAATTAGCCGGGCGTAGTGGCGGGCGCCTGTAGTCCCAGCTACTTGGGAGGCTGAGGCAGGAGAATGGCGTGAACCCGGGAGGCGGAGCTTGCAGTGAGCCGAGATCCCGCCACTGCACTCCAGCCTGGGCGACAGAGCGAGACTCCGTCTCAAAAAAAAAAAAAAAAAAAAAAAAAGATCAGTAAGAAAGAGGAAAACCATTCTGGTTGCTTTGTAGCAACCACAAATTTGGAGGACTCTCTGAGCCTTCCGCTTCCCTCTCCTCTCCTCTCACTCCCTCTCTGCTGCTCCCAAGAGAAATCCACAGTTAGGGAGATGTGAGGGACACGCTCAGGGAAGAAGAGTCTTGAAGAGAACCTCCCCCGGTTTTTTTTCCTCCTTGCCCTGCTCCCAATCCTCCTCTAACAAAACTCAAACAAGGTGAGAAAAGGTACCTTGGAGATCTTAAATACCTCTCCTTTTTTCTCTTTTCCCATCTGTTTTCTAACAGGAAAAAACATGCTCGGTTTATCTTTTTTTTTTGTGGGGGGGGACAGAGTCTCGCTCTGTTGCCCAGGCTAGAGTGCAGTGGCATGATCTCAGCTCACTGAAACCTCCGCCTCCTGGGTTCAAGTGATCCTCCTGCCTCAGCCTTCCAAGTAGCTGGGATTACAGGCACACACCACCATCCTCAGCTAATTTTTGTATTTTTAGTAGAGATGGGGTTTCACTATGTTGACCAAGCTGGTCTCAAACTCCTGGCCTCAAGTGATCTGCCTGCCTCAGCCTCCCAAAGTGCTGGGATTACAGGGATGAGCCACCACACCTGACCTTGGTTTTTCTTTTATGTGACCATGTGAAGGAGGAGGGGCCTTAATATTTATTGCAAACATTTTCTTTAACTTCTCAACCTTCACAAGGGAGGCATCAGTATTTCCATTGTACTAGTGAAAAATCTAAGCCCAGAAGGATTAATTAACTTTTGAAGGTCACACAAATAGCAAGCAGAGAAATAACATTTGAACCCACAACTGTAAGATTTCAAAGCTCAAGCTTTTCCTCCTAAACCACAAATCTAAGCTCATGATTGCACTTCAACTTCCAGAAGTAAGTGTGAGGCTTGGAGCAGTGGCTCACGCCTGTAATCACAGCATTTTGGGAGGCCAAGGTGGGAGGACCACTTATGTCCAGGAGTTCAAGACCAGCCTGAGCAACACAGTGAGACCTCGTCTCTACAAAAAATAAAAAATTAGCTGGGTGTGGTGGCATGCACTTGCTAGTCCCAGCTACTCAGGAGGCTGAGGTGGGAGGATCACCTGAGCTCTGATGTTGAGGCTGCAGTGAGCTGTGATCATGCCACTGCCCTCCAGCCTGGGTGACAGAGTGAGACATCTCAAAACAAACAAACAAACAAGAGAAACCTTTAGGGACTGATGAAGCTACTGGATGCTGAGAAGCCACCAGTTCTAATTGAAGTGCAGAGAAATCTGTTCTTTTTCTTTTCCCACGTTGTACATGTAGCCCTCCTAGCTAGTGGTCACGTGAGACAGTGTTTAAGCGCAGGCTTAGGAGTTTTGCAGAGTCCAAATTCAAATTCCCGCTTTACTTCCTAGCAGCTGTGTAATCTTAAACAGTTTGCTTAGCCTTTCTAAGTCTCCTGTTTGCAAAGTGGGTCTGATAGCTAGGTTATGGGGCTGTTGAAAGTTTATTTTTTATTTATTTATTTATTTATTTATTTTTTAATGTTTGAGTCTCACTTTGTTGCCCAGGCTGGAGTGCAGTGGCGCAATCTTGGCTCACTACAACCTCCACCTTCCAGGTTCAAGCAATTCTCCTGCCTCAGCCTCCCAAATAGCTGGGATTACAGGCACCTGCCACCACACCTAGCTAATTTTTTTTTTTTTTTTCCTAGGAGAGACAGGTTTTCACCATGTTGACCAGGCTGGTCTCGAACTCCTGACCTCAAGTAATCCACCCACCTCAGCCTCCCAAATTGCAAGTTTAAATAAGATAATGTATGTAGTGCTCAGCCCAGGGACTGGCATGTAGTAAACCCTGATGGCTTTTCTTATTTTATAGGATTGTTATTTGGCAAATAGGAATTATTCGATGGCAGAAGTTCATTGATTTATTCAACAACTAGTTATTGAACACCATCTATGTCAACAGGCATCATTTTTGGGCCCTTAGTGCACATGAGTGAATAGAGCGACCCAGATTTCTGCTCTCCTGGGGCTGAATTCTGGAGCAGGGAGACAGACAATAGGCACATTAAATAAGTCAATTACATGGTGTATTGAAATGTGGTATGTGTCCTGGGGAAAAAAAATAAAAAGAGGTTTAGGGGACTATCCAAGTCACATATTTCATTATGAACCCTAATCTAATCTGAAATAGTATCAATGAATGCTGACCCTGGTAGTAGATTTGGTTGGAAACTGATGCTGGTCTTGAAGCATGACTTTTTTTTTTTTTTGAGACAGAGTCTTGCTCCCAAAGTGCTGAGATTACAGGCTTGAGCCACCACGCATGGCCTATGTGTTGTATTTTAACTTTTGAGATCTTCTTGAGATTTGTCCGTGTTATTAGTGATTTTTTTTTTTTTTTTGAGACGGAGTCTCACTCTGTCGCCCAGGCTGGAGTGCAGTGGCTTGATCTCGACTCACTGCAAGCTCCGCCTCCCGGGTTCATGCCATTCTCCTGCCTCAGCCTCCCAAGTGGCTGGCACTACAGGCGCCCGCCACCATGCCCGGCTAATTTTTTGTATTTTTAGTAAAGACGGGGTTTCACCGTGTTAGCCAGGATGGTCTCGATTTCCTGCCGCCTCGGCATCCCAAAGTGCTGGGATTACAGGCGTGAGCCACCGCGCCCAGTCCTGTGTTATTAGTTATAAATCTAGTTTATTAGTACTCTTCTCTAAAAGTGACCAGTTGGATTTCTGACCCCTGGGACACATTTGGAAGGCTAGCAAGATATATTATTCCACACTGTGTTTCTCTGATGGATTCTTCAGCTCATTTGTCAAATTGTCAACTCTCTGAGATCAAAATGCCAGCAAATTAAGTAAAATTTGCTGAGATGGGAACAAGAGCTACTTGAAGAAACTGAATAACAAACAAAGCTATTTAAGAACTAGGTAAGAGAAGTGGGGAACAGTTTACTTCTTTATAGAATTTTTTTCTCTTTTGAAAAAAATTTCTTCTTCCCTTAAAAAAAACCTATAAAATATCTGTATAATTTTTTGTTTATTTTTATTCTTTTGTTCTTTGTTTTTTGAGACAGGGTCTTGCTCTGTCACCCAGGCTGGAGTGCAGTGGCACAATATGGCTCACTGTAGCCTCAAACTCCTGGACTCAAGGGATCCTCCCACCTCAGCCTCCTGAATACCTGGAACTACAGGCATGCTCCACCACACAGGGCTAAATTTTTTTATTTTAATTGTTATAGAGATAGGGTCTGCCCATATTGCTCAGGCTGGTCTGGAACTCCTGGGCTCTAGTGATCCATCCACCTCAGCCTCTCAAAGTGCTAGGATTACAGGTACTCGCCACCATGTCCAACTATCTTCATGGAATTTTTGACCTCAATCTCCTGGACTTGTTTTTTCTCCTCCCCATCACGGCAGAAACAAATATATTTCAAATATTTCCACCATAAGTTTGTCAAGTTCTAGAACTTCACAAAAATAGAATCACATGGCATGTGCTTTTTGGTGTTATGCTTCTTTCACTCAGCATGATGTTTTTGAGATTCCTTTGTGTTGTTGCATGTGTCAGAGTTCACTTCTTTTTATTGCTGTGTAATATTTTATTTTGTAAATAGAGCACAGTTTGTTTCTATACCCTCCTCTTGAACACGTGGATTGTTTCTAGTTTTTAACTATTATGAATATTACTGTATGAACATTCATATATACATATTTATGTGGACATATATTTTCATTTCACTGGCATAATTACCTAGGAGTAGGATTACTGGGCCATATGCTAAATGTATGTTTAACTATAAGGTACTCCAACTGTTGTACAAGTGGCTGTCCCCTTTTGCATTCCCACTAGCAATGAATAAGAGTTCTAGTGGCTCCACATCTTTGTCAACACTTGGTATTGTCAGTCTTTTTCATTTGTATCCATTCTTGTCCATATATAGTGGTATGTCGCTTTCTTTTTTTTTTTTTTTTTTTTTTTGAGATGGAGTCTTATTCTGTTGCCCAGGCTGGAGTACAGTGGTGCAGCTTTGATCTCCTGGTCCACCTCAGCCTTCAAGTAGCTGAGACCACAGGCATGCGCACCACCATGCTCAGCTAAATTACTGATTTTTCCCCACTAAAAACTTTATATTAGTTAAAACGAATTTTAGGCTGGGCATGGTGTCTCATGCCTGTAATCTCAACACTTTGGGGAGCCAACACAGGAGGACTGCTTGAGTCCATGAGTTCGAGACCAGCTTGGAGACTTAGTGAAAGCCATCTCTACAAAAAAAATGTAAAAAGTAGCTGTGTGTGGTGGTGCATGCCTGTGGTACCAGCTACTCAGGAGGCTGAAGTTAGAGGATCTCTTGAGCCTAGGAGGTCAAGGCTTCAGTAAGCTGTGATCATGCCACTTACAAAACTTAAACCTAGTCTCAAAAAAACTTAAAAATTAAAACATTTTAAAAACTAGGTTTAAAAGTTTTATAATGGCTGGGCATGGTGACTCACACCTGTAATCCCAATACTTTCAGAGGCTGGGGTGGATCACTTGAGCCCAGGGGTTGGAGGCTTTGAGCCCAGCCACATCTTTTTCTTTTCTTTTCTTTTGGAATTAACAGTCTTTACTGGGCTCAGACCAGGAGTCTGTGGGTCTTGAGGACCTCTGTGTATTTGTCAGTTTTCTTCTCCACGTTCTTCTCAGCCTGTTTCCGTAGCCTCATGAGCTGTTTCTTCTTCCGGTAGTGGATCTAGGCCTTTTCCTTCCTCTTCTCCAGGGTAGCTGTCACTGCCTGGTACTTCCAGCCAACCTCGTGCGCCAGGCGCCCCAGATAGGCAAACTTTCTTGTCGGCTTCAGACGCACGACCTTGAGGGCAGCAGGAACCACCATCCGCTTTCTTGTCGTAGAGCGGTGAGATGCCGTCAAACACCTGGAGGTGGTCTAGGACGGCCTGGCCCCGCTTGGTCTTGTGGGGCAGCATGCCTCGCACGGTCCACCGGAAGATGCAGCTGGGGGTCCGGAAGCTGCAGCTGGGGGTCCGGAAGTGTTAGGAGCCTCGCGAAGGGTTGGTGTTCATCTGCTTGCAGAGGAAAGCCAGGTACTTCAACTTATTTCTGTAGAAATTGCCAGAAATGTTGATGCCCTCACAGCGTACGACCACCACCTTCCAGCCCAACATTACCTGCTTAGCCACGATGGCCGCCAGGCGGCCCAGGAGATGGCCTCGACCATGGAGGACTGGGACCTGCACCTCCGCCATCTTCGGCAGCCGCCTGGGAAAGCACATCTTTTTATTGTTCTAATCGTTAACAGATAAGGAAAGTGCCACAGGCACTGGTACTAGTAACAATAGCTAATATTTCTATGACATGTATTGTCACTTAAAAATAGTATTAAGGCAAAAAATTAGCCGGGCGTCGTGGCGGGCGCCTGTAGTCCCAGCTACTCAGGAGGCTGAGGCAGGAGAATGGCGTGAATCGGCGAGGCGGAGCTTGCAGTGAGCCTATATCGCGCCACTGCACTCCAGCCTGGGCGACAAAGCAAGACTCTGTCTCAAAAAAAAAAAAAAAAAAAAAAATAGTAGTATTAAAGGCCGGGCCCTGTGGCTCATGCCTGTAATCCCAGCACTTTGGGAGGCTGAGGTAGGTGGATCACCTGAGGTCAGGATTTCGAGACCAGTCTGGCCAACATGGTGAAATCCCGTCTCTACTAAAAATACAAAATTAGGCCAGGTGCGGTGGCTCATGCCTGTAATCCCAGCACTTTCGGAAGAGGAGGCGGGCGGATCGCCTGAGGTCAGGAGTTTGAGACCTGCCTGGCCAACATGGTGAAACCCCATCTCTACTAAAAATGCAAAAACTAGCCAGGCATGGTGGCAGTCGCCTGTAATCCCACCTGTTTGGGAGGCCAAGGCAGGAGAATCGCTTGAACCCAGGAGGCAGAGGTTGCAGTGAGCCGAGATCGCACCGCTGCACTCCAGCCTGAGCAACAGAGTGAGACTCCGTCTCAAAAAAAAAAAAAAAAAAAATTAGTCGGGCATGGTGGCGCATGCCTGTAATCCCAAGTACTTGGGAGGCTGAGGCAGGAGAATTGCTTGAATCCGGGAGGCAGAGGTTGCGGTGAGCCGAGATCGTGCCAATGCACTCCAGCCTGGGCAACAAGAGTGAAACTCCGTCTCAAAAATATATATATGTATGTATATATATAGTATTAAGTTATTTAATTGTTCCAACAATTTCATGAAGGAGGAATTCTTATCCTCATTTTACAGAAGAGGAATCTGAGCTCCAGAGAAGGTATGTAATTTGCCCCAAATCATACACATAGTAACTAGCTGAGCTAAGATACATACTCAGTCTGTGTCCAGAGCTTGTATACTTTACCAAAATGCTAAATCAACCCAGCAAGTGACTTTTTTGCACACTATCTGTATTATTTTATGTTAATATTTTTCTGTTAAGTGGTGTGGTAAAGGATCTTGTTTTTCTTTTAGTAAATTTAAAGAAAAAATTAGGCTGGGCCTGGTGGCTCAGGCCAGATGTGGTGGCTCATGCCTGTAATCCCA
The DNA here is from genome assembly GCF_000001405.40 of Homo sapiens. Lineage (NCBI taxonomy): Eukaryota > Metazoa > Chordata > Mammalia > Primates > Hominidae > Homo > Homo sapiens. Next base: position 80,267,461 of record NC_000008.11, read on the forward strand.
ACACTTTGGAAGGCTGAGGTGGGAGGATTGCTGAAGGCCAGAAATTTGAGAACAGCCTGGGCAATATGTTGAGACCCTGTCTCTACAAAAATCAACATATATATGTATATAATACATATGTTGTTCAGGCTGGTCTTGAAGTCCTGGACTCAAGTGAACCCCCTTCTTTAGCCTCCTGAGTAGCTGGGATTATAGGCATGCCTCCATGCCCAGCTATGTAAGAGATCTTAGAAAGCACAGGAGCAGAGCCAGGGCCCTAGCCTTGGAGGCTCAAGTGTTTGCCATTCGCCCATGCTGCCTCCCTGCACTTGGGTACTTCCTCAGTTTGGACACTGCCACCCTTTGGCATCTGCAGCTAGGGGAGTCCCCAGGATGATTCCTACAGGTAGCAATTGTGCTTCCAGGGAATTGCATCCCATTCTTTTGCCTCTCTGCATCACTTACCAAATCATATCCCTAACATTTTTTTAAAAATTTCTTTTTAGAGACAGGATCCAGCTCTGTTGTCCAGGCTGGAGTGCAGAGGGGTGATCACAGCCCACTGCAGTCTTGAACTCCTCTGCTCAAGCAATCCTCCAGCCTCAGCCTCCAGAATAGCTAGGACTACAGGTGTGTACCACCATGCCCAGCTAATTAAAACTTTTTTTTTTTTTTTTTTTGTAGATACAGGGTCTCGTTATGTTGCTCTGACTGGTCTCAAAATCCTGGCCTCAAGTGATCCTCCTGCCTTGGTTTCCCAAAGGGCTGGGATTACAGCCATGTGCCACCATGCCCAGCCCTCATCATGCCTTTACTAATACACCCAATTCTCAACTACCTGTCATGGCAGGAATATAATCTGATAAATTTAGCCAATGGTCTCCTCCTGGTACAGCCAAATTTACTGAACCCTACTGTGGAAACCGTATGTTAGACTCCATAAGAACATACACAATATATATACAATAGCTGCTATCATCAAAAAGTACTATCATCAACTAATATTTACTACATCTCTAAAAAGTTTCAGTGTAGACCAAATTTTACACACATAATTGACCCCAATGCCCCCTTTGCCCCTCCTTCTGGGAACTTTTTTTTCTTTAGTATTATTATTGTTTTAATTTATCTGGAGAGACAGGGTCTCACTATGTTGCCCAGGCTGGCTTTGAACTCCTGCGCTCAAGTGATCCTCCCACCTCAGCCTGCCAAAGTGCTTGGATTACAGGTGTGAGCTACTGAATCCGGCCTTCTTTTTTTTTAAATGTCTTCTTTTCTGAAAAGAATGCTATCTTTTATTTTCCTTTATATATTTAATAAATGTATTGGGTGGTTTCTTGTCCAAAATGATTGTATTATGATAAGAAGGAAGACAGCGTTTATGTAGACTCAGGGATCTTGACTTCTAGGGTCCTCTTTGTTGCTTATCAGCTAAGTGACCTTCAGCAAGTGAGTTAAACTCTCTGAGCCTCTTTGCAAATCTGTAAAGGACAAATAATAATTGTATCCACATTGAGTTGTTGTGGAAATCAAATGAGATAACAAAATGCTTTGAAAATTCTAACCTTGGCCAGGCACAGCAGCTCAAACCTGTAATCCCAGCAATTTGAAGGTCAAGATGAGAGGATCGCTTGAGCCCAGGAGTTCAAGACCAGCCTGGGCAACATAGTGAGACTCCATCTTAAAAAAGAAGAGAGAACATTCTAATCTTTTTGAGAGCTATAAAAGAAAGAACTTGGGGCTGGGCATGGTGGCTCACACCTTTAATCCCAGCACTTTGAGAAGCCGAAGTGGGCAAATTGCTTGAGCCCAGGAGTTTGAGACCAGCCTGGGCAACATGGCAAAACCCTGTCTCTACAAAAAATACAAAAACAGGCCAGGCGCGGTGGCTCACGCCTGTAATCCCAGCACTTTGGGAGGCTGAGGTGGGTGGATCACGAGGTCAGGAGTTCAAGACCAGCCTGGCCAATATGGTGAAACCCCGTCTCTACTAAAAATACAAAAATTAGCCGGGCGTGGTGGCACACATCTGTAGTCCCAGCTACTCGGGAGGGTGAGGCAGGAGAATTGCTTGAACCTGGGAGGCAGAGGTTGCAGTGAGCTGAAATCACGCCACTGTACTCCAGCCTGGCTGACAGAACAAGACTCCATCTCAAAAAAAAAAAAAAATTAGCCAGGCGTGGTGGCACTCACCTGTAGTCCCAGCTACTCAAGAGGCTGAGGTAGGAGGCTCACTTGAGCCTGGGAGGCTGAGGCTGCATGAGCCAAGATCACACTACTGCACTCTAGCCTGGCGACAAAGTGAGACCCTGTAAGAAAGGGGCCGGGCGTACTGGCTCATGCCTGTAATCCCAACACTTTGGAAGGCTGAACCAGGAGGATTGCTTGAGCCTAGGAAGGAGTTCAAGACCATCCTGGGTGACATAGTGAGACCCCGTCTCAAAAAAAAAAAATAATTGGCTGGGCGCAGTGGCTCACACCTATAATCTCAGCACTTTGGGGGGCCAAGGCTGGTGGATCACCTGAGGTCAGGACTTCGAGACCAGCCTGACCAACATGGAGAACCCCCCGTCTCTACTAAAAATACAAAATTAGCCTGGTGTGGTGGCGCATGCCTATAATCCCAGCTACTTGGGAGGCTGAGGCAGGAGAATCACTTGAACCTGGGAGGCAGAGGTTGCGGTGAGCCAAGATCACACCACTGCACTCCAGCCTGGTCAACAGAACGAGACTCTGTCTCAAAAAAAAAAAAAAAAAAAAAAAATTAATTAAATAAGAGAGGGGGAAAAAACGAACTTGAACTTCAGAGTCAAAAGGTCTGGATTCCTGGCTTCACTGAGCATGTGACGAAGGGTCAGTGATGACAAAGCCACATGGAGGAGCTGGAGGTTGGGGAGGCTAACACAGCTAAGAGGGCCCGGATCCTGACCCCAGGCCTGGCCCTGTGTTCATTCACATTCTTTCTTCAGCAAAATCACAAGTTAATACAAGTTATGGACCTCCTTGAATAATCAAACCAAAATTGTCAAACGGTCAGATTTCAGAGATTTACACAGAGGAGGCCTTGATTGGCAGGAAGAGAGCATTCTTGAAGACAGATATGATAATTCAATTGTCTCATTCATTCATCCCGCAGCCAACTTTCACTGACTGCAGTGTTAGCTGCTAGGCATTATTTCCAATGCTGGGGATATAAAAACAAGAGGGTTAATGGTGCTTCTAAAAATGTTTCCTTGTGCGGAGGAGACTTGAGGTTAGGGACATGGTTGGCAAATCCTGGCTGACGGGGTGGAGGAATCTTGTCTTGGGGAGGGTTGATAGAGATCAGGAACAAGGAAAGGGGAGGCCCTCAAGCATCCCTCAAAAAAGACCCAATTTCCGTCATTAAGAGTGTGTTATCTAGTGCGGGAGACAGAAATAGAAACCAAGAATGACAGTAAGAATGTGATAGTTGTGGCCGGGCACAGTGGCTCACGCCTGTAATCCCAGCCCTTTGGGAGGCCGAGGCGGGCAGATCACCTGAGGTTGGGAATTCGAGACCAGCCTGACCAACATGGAGAAACCCTGTCTCTACTAAAATTACAAAATTGGCTGGGAGTGGTGGCACATGCCTGTAATCCCAGCTACTCGGGAGGCTGAGGCAGAAGAATCGCTTGAGCCTGGGAGGCAGAGGTTGCAGTGAGATGAGATCGCGCCATTGCACTCTAGCCTGGGCAACAAGAGCGAAACTCCGTCTCAAAAAAATAAAAAATAAAAAAGTGTGATAGTTGTATGAAGGAGATAGACACATAGTGATCTGAAAACACACACGAAACATCAAACACACACGAAACATCAAATAGGAAGAGACGCCAAGATAGGGAAGAGCATTGCAGCCTAAGGGGAATCACGGAAATGCATGATTTGTTAGAAGTTAGTCTATGCATTCATTATTCCTCTTTCTTGCTTTCAACAACACCTCACTTCACACAATACCCTACAGTTAACAGTACTTTCACAGTCTGTGTTTCATTTGATTTAATGAAAATACAAATGAAAGATGATAATTCCCGTGTTATAAATGAGGAAATAGGCACAGAGAAGTGACCAAAGTCACGTCTTATAAACAGCAGGTTGCAAATTACAGCATAGTTTTTCTGACTCAGTCAAAAGCACTTTTCTAGCATGACTAAGTGACTTAATGATCAATCTTATAAGAACATTCTGATTTTAACCTTCAATAATCTAATTTCACCTTTTTTTTATTTTTTAACCCTTTGTTGCCCATTTTTTTTGTTCTGGAACATAATAAGTATCTGGAGTCTGTGCCACTGTGATTTGAACAAGCAAGAACATGAAGTTACTTCTGTGACCCAAAGGCCTCATATTTTCAAAGATGCTATAATTATAGTCCAGCTGCGTTCTGCCCTCAGGAAAGAGTCTTGCAGATTCCGCAACTGTCAAATGAGGGGCTTGGGCTACAATCACTCAGTGTTAACATTCTATGATTCATTTTTATAACCATCAGTGTGATTTAAAAGTGTCCATTAAGCAGATAGACACACACTGAAAAAAATATATGAACAATTATAAATAAAAAAGTTAGTAATTGGTATCTTTGGGTAATTGAGTCATATTTATCTTTTTTCTTCTTTTTGCTTAAGTATATACCTTTTCTTTTTTCCTCTCTTTTCTCTCTCATCTTTAACAGCATGGATAGCTTACATAATTTAGGTAACAAATATATAGTTCTATTTAGTTCTGAAACTGTCAAAAATGTCAGTGCTTGGCAAAATCTAGCATAATTATAGCTAGATATTTTCCTTCTTTTTTTAAAAGAATTTTTAGTTCGGCCGGGCGCGGTGGCTCACGCCTGTAATCCCAGCACTTTGGGAGGCCGAGACGAGCGGATCACGAGGTCAGGAGATCGAGGCCATCCTGGCTAACATGGTGAAACCCTGTCTCTATTAAAAATACAAAAAATTAGCCGGGTGTGGTGGCGGGCACCTGTAGTCCCAGCTACTCCGGAGGCTGAGGCAGGAGAATGGTGTGAACCTGGGAGGCGGAGCTTGCAGTGAGCCGAGATCGCGCCACTGCACTCCAACCTGGGCGACAGAGCGAGACTCCGTCGCAAAAAAAAAAAAAAAAATTTAGTTCATTTATTTATTTAGAGATGGGGTCTCAGTATGTTACCCAGTCTGGACTGCAGTGGCACAATCACAGCTAACTGCAGCCTCCACCTCCAGGGCTCAGGTGATCCTTCCACCACAGCCTCCTGAGTAGCTGGAACTCAAGGCTCGTGCCATCATGCCCAGCTAATTTTTGTATTTTCTGTAGAGACAGGTTTTTGCCATGTTGCACAAGTTGGTATCAAACTCCTGGGCTCAAGTGATCTTCCCGCCTCAGCCTCCCAAAGTGTTAAGATTTCAGGCAAGAGCCAGTGCACCTGGCTGAATTTTTGACAATATATGTTAATTCAGTCAGTTTTTATATATAGCCAAAAAAATTACTTGGCTGATTATCATCAGAAGATACCCTGATTTCTAAGTTATTCCCCATCTTTATGACATGACTATGCCAAGGTGCATAAAACCCAGATTTTTCCTCAAAGGGCTTATAGTTTAGTGGAGTTTAGTTTTATGAGGTTGGTAGTGGTTAAGTTTTGAAGGTAAAAATTGTGTCAAGTCACAATGATCCCTGAAAATACTTAAATCACCTCCAAATATAGTATATGTGGGCATACCATATTATTGCATTTATGATCAAAGAAGAGGCTACTAAGTCTATATTGGTTTTCTAGGGTCCTCAATTTTTTTAATTCCTTGGAGATACTATGCACTTGTCTGGCTCTATGATCTCTAAATTCACTTATCGTCATTCAGATCATCACATGGAGTGATTTGTTTGCCTCATTACTTGAGAGCATTATTGTCATTCATTACCTTGAGTAATGAGTAATAAAATTTTTCCTTCATTCTTTCTCTCCCTCTTTTTATTTATTCCTTATAATCCACATAAGTTCACACTGCACATATGTAATATCATCTATTTTTTGAGGTGGAGTCTCGCTCTGTTGTGCAGGCTGGAGTGCAGTGGCACAATCTCAGCTCACTGCAACTTCCGCCTCTGGATTCAAGTGGTTCTCTTGCCTCAGCCTCCCCAGTAGGTGGGATTACAGGCGCACACCACAATGCCCAGCTAATTTTTATATTTTTAGTACAGAGGAGGTTTTACCTTGTTGGTCAGGCTGGTCTCGAACTGCTGACCTTAAGTGATCTGCCTCCCTTGGCCTCGCAAAGTGCTGGGATTACAGGTGTGAGCCACTGCACCTGGCCTCAATATCATTTTAAGAGGGTATTATTTATTCACAAATAACTGCGAAATAAGACAAGAGTTGTGTAAAAAAAAAAAAAAGACTAGCAGCGGAGGTAGATTGGGAAAAATGGAAAAGATTAGGAAAAAGCTGATATGTCACCTGGGCTTGTATTCACTGAAATGTATTTATTTGTTGTTTGTTTTTGAGACAGGGTCTCACTGTCTCCCAGGCTAGAGTGCAGAGGCATGATCACAGCTTACTGCAGCCTCAACCTCCTGGACCGAGGCAATCCTCCAGCCTCAGCCTCCCAAGTAGCTGAGACTACAAGTGCATGCCACCACGCTTGGCTAATTTTTTGTATTTTTTGTAGAGACGGGGTCTTGCCACACTGTCCCAGCTGGTCTCTAACTTCTGGGCTCGAGCAATCCTCCCACCTTGGCCCCACAAAGTGCAAAGATTACAGACGTGAGCCACTGCACCTGGCCTAATCCTTAAAACACATCTGAGAGGTTGGTACTATGATCTATAGTTTTTAAATGAATAATTGAAGCTCAGAGAGGTTAAGTAATTTGCACCAACCTAGAAAGCTAGGAGGGCTCAGGAAAAAGACCATCAGTGCCCGACATCAGAGTCTGGGTTTTCTTTGGACAGTGGAGGAGCTGCTAAAGCCGTCTGAGCACAGGCATAGTGTGATCAAAGTGGTGCTTTTTTTTTTTTTCCTTCTGGAGACGGGGTCTCTGTCACCCAGGCTGGAATGCAGTAGTATGGTCTCAGCTCACTGCAACTTCCACCTCTCGGGTTCAAGCCATTCTCGTGCCTCAGCCTCCTGAGTAGCTGAGACTACAGGTGTGCGCCACCAAGCCCAGCTAATTTTTGTATTTTTAGTGGAGATGGGGTTTCACCATGTTGACCAGGCTGGTCTCGAACTCCTGACCTCAGGTGATCTGCCCACCTCAGCCCAAAGTGCTGGGATTACAGGCATGAGCGACTGTGCCTGACCCAAAGTTGTGCTTTATCTGAGGTGGCAAAGAAAGGATGCAGTTAAATCAGTTTGAAAGGTATTGCATTAGTGTACAGCAGAGGTGATGACACTGTGCATAACTCATTAGCACAGATGCTGTGGGAATGGGGAAGGATAACTCGATGCACAGTTAACAACTCACTGGGCATAGGAGGAGGTAGGGAGGGGATATTATCAATTTTTTTTATTTTTTTTAAATTCTGAGTGCATAGAATAACAAATGAACTTGTATCTACTCTGAGGCTTGATTTATACTGAGAAACTTTGCAGCTTATAAATTCAAAATACTTAATATTCCTGTATCAAAGACACAAGCCAAATATAGATGAAAGCAAACATTGAGCCAGGTGTGGTGGCTCACACCTGTAATCCCAGTACTTTGGGAGGCCAAGGCGGGTGGATCACCAGAGGTCAGGAGTTCGGGGCCAGCCTGGCCAACATGGTGAAACCCTGTCTCTACTAAAAATACAAAAATTAGCTGGATGTGGTGGCACACGTCTGAGGTCCTAGCTATTCGGGAGGCTGAGGCAGGAGAATCACTTGAACCCAGGAGGCAGAGGTTGCAGTGAGCTGAGATTGTGCTACTGCACTCCAGCCTGGGCCACAGAGTGAGACTCTGTCTCAAAAACAAAACAAAACAAAAGAAAACAAAGTAAAGGACATGGAATCATTGTTTCTTTTTTTACATGCTATAAGACAGTTAATCTAACTTATTATTTAAGTTATGGTTAATCTCTATGTCTCATCAATGACGGTCTCTGTTTTCGTGTATTCAACTTTGGGCCACTTCGTTTGGGGCTACCCCCAAAGCTGTGTCTTTCTTTTTTTTTTTTTTTTGAGATGGAGTCTTGCTCTGTCACCCAGGCTAGAGTGCAGTGGCACGATCTTGGCTCATTGCAACTCTGCCTCCGGGGTTCAAGCGTTTCTCCTGCCTCAGCGTCCTGAGTAGCTGGGATTACAGTAGCACTCACCATGCCCGGCTAACTTTTGTGTTTTTAGTAGAGATGAGGTTTCACCATGTTAGTCAGGCTGGTCTCGAACTCCTGACCTCCTGATCCTCCTGCCCCAGCCTCCCAAAGTGCTGGGATTACAGGCGTGAGCCACTGTGCCTGGCCAGCTGTGTCTTTTATACACTTGTTGCATAAGATGATTTTGAGAGATTATGGGATGGTAGTCTTGCCTGCCAGCTGCTACTCCTGGGGGAAAGAGCTAGGTCTCCTTTCTGCCTAGCCCAGAAAAACTGTGCTGCTAAGTAAAAGGGTTAGCACTTTGCTGTTACTAGTGTAGACCACCAGCAGCAGCCTTGGCATCACCTGAGAGCTAGTTAGAAAGCAGGCCAGGCAGGCGAAGTGGCTCACGCTGTAATTCCAGCACTTTGAGAGGCCAAGGTGGGAGGATTGCTTGATCCCAAGTTTGAGACCAGCCTGGGCAACACAGTGAGACCTCGTCTCTATTTAAAAAAAACACACCAAGGCCAGGAGTGGTGGCTCACGCCTGTAATCCCAGCACTTTGGGAGGCTGAGGCGGGTGGATCACGAGGTCAGGAGATCGAGACCATTCTGGCTAACATGGTGAAACCCCGTCTCTACTAAAAATACAAAAAAGTAGCCGGGTGTGGTGGCAGACGCCTGTAGTCCCAGCTACTTGGGAGGCTGCGGCAGGAGGATGGTGTGAACCTGGGAGGCAGAGCTTGTACTGAGCTGAGATCACGCCACTGCCCTCCAGCCTGGGCGACAGAGTGAGACTGTGTCTCAAAAAAAGCAAAAAAAACCAAAAAAAAACAAAAAAACCCCACGCTGACCAGGCACGGTGGCTCACACCTGTAATCCCAGCACTCTGGGAGGCTGAGGTGGGCGGATCATCTGAGGTCAGGAGTTTGATACCAGCCTGGCCGACATGGCAAAACCCTGTTTCTACTAAAAATACAAAAATTAGCTGGGCCTGGTGGCGCACCTCTGTAACCCCAGCTACTCAGGAGGCTGAGACAGGAAAAATACTTGAACCCAGGAGGCGGAGGTTGCAGTGAGCCAAGATTGTGCCACTGCACTGCAGCCTGGGTGACAAGAGTGAAACTCCATCTCACATACACACACACACACACACACACACACTAGCTGGGTGTGGTGGCATGTGCCTGTAGTCCCAGCTACTTGCAAGGCACAGGTGGCAGAATCCCTTAAGCCCAGGAGGTTGAGGCTGCAGTGAACCATGATCATGCCTCTGCACTAGAGCCTGGGTGACAGAGCAAGACCCTGTCCAAAAAAAAAAAAAAAGAAGAGCAGACAACTGGGCAGGATGTGCATTTTAAACAAGACCCCCAGGTGATTCCTGTGCATATTAAAGTTTGAGAAGCACTGGGCTAGCACGTGGATTGGGGATTTGCTCCTCTTTCAGAGAAAGCCTAGGTTCTGCAGGAGAACCATGAATACTGATTAATTGCTATGGCGTTCCTCAGGATTTCAAAGGAGATATCAGGCCCTGAAGTTACCTTTTTAAAAGGCCTAGAGTAGGACAAAGAAAGGTTTATAGTCTTATGTGCATTTAATTGAGGGTATTGAAAACCAAACAAAACACTGCTCATGGAGCACGTGCCCTGGGCTCCCGGCAAGTCGCCTCAGAACTTTGCCTCTCAAAAAACCTGTTGAAAGATTATGTGAATGAGTTTAAAGGTTTCTTTGACTTTTGGACAATACACGTTTTGAGGAGTTGAAAAACTCTCATTGATGAAAAAAAAGTGGGGGGCAGGGGATGGGGGTTGGAGACTAGTTGTTTTTCTTTTTTTTTTTTAAATTTTGAGATGGGGTCTCACTCTGTCACCAAGGCCAGGGTACAGTGGCATGACTGTGGCTCATTGCAGCTTCCACCTCCTGGGCTCAAGCAATCCTCCCTCCTCAGCCTCCTGAGTAGCTCCCAAATACAAGCGGGCTCCACCACACCCAGCTAATTTTTATTTATTTATTTATTTGAGACAAAGTTTCGCTCTTGTCACCCAGGATGGAGTGCAATGGCGTGATCTCGGCTCGCTGCAACCTCCACTTCCTGCGTTCAAGTGATTCTCCTGCCTCACCTTACTGAGGAGCTGGGATTACAGGCGCCCACCACCACGTCCGGCTAATTTTTTGTATGTTCAGTAGAGACAGGTTTCACCACATTGGCCAGGCTGGTCTCGAACTCCTGACCACTGGTGATCCACTCGCCTCGGCTGGGATTACAGGCATGAGCCACTGCATCAAGCCTAATTTTTAAAATTCTTGAAGGAGATGGGATCTCCTTATCTTGCCCAGGCTGTTCTTTTCTATTTAAACACAGCACTTAATATCTGGTTCTTTGACCTTCTCCGTAGACCTGGAATATTCTGACACAGGATGCCATATTTCACATCCTGACACTATCCCCGAAACCACCTTGGACAAGCTACACCATCAATATAGGCCTGGATTCCTCCTCCCGCAAATATACAAGAATGCCTGCCTCAAGGTTGAAGTGAACTGAGATTGCACCTGGGCAACAAGAGTGAAACTCCATCTCAAAAAAAAAAGAATGCCTGCCTCACAGGGTTGCTCAGGGTCATATGCTTGAACATATACAAAGTACTTAAACCAGGGCCTGGTACATTCATTTGTTTATAAAACAATTCCATGCCTCTTGTCACCACAAGGATCAGCATGGACCGGCCCCTCCTGTCTGCCGCCTCGTCCCCTGCAGGGTTGCTCCCCCGAGACTAATGCTCCTCGCTCACTGGCCTTCCTCTGTCCCTTAAGCATCCAAGTTCATTTCCATCTTCAGGCCTTGCCTCAGCCTGGTTTTTCAGCCTGACGCCCTCTTACTAGATCTTTGCATTGGAGTCCTTGGTGGCATTCCAAGGCTTTCTGAGGAAAGTATCCACTGTGACCTCCAGGCACTCTAGCTATGGCTCTTTTATTATTATTAACACTATTATTAACACTATATTATTATTACTACGATCTGAAATTATTTTATGTTTACTTGTGTGCATATTTACTCTCTGACTCCCCTCCATGAGGATGTCAGCAAGGCAGGATCTTGTTTACCACTATTTCCCCACTGCCTCCAACAGGGTCTTGACATGCTGGGCCAGGGCTCACAGAACATTTGCCGAATGAAAGTGTGGGTGAGTGAGTGGAACAAGGAATGTCCCAGGAAAAAACACTTGAAGAGGGAAGCCTGAAGGGAAAGTCAGTGTTTGCTGTATTTGTCTTAGGTAGGGGACAAGGGACAAATGCAAGAGCCTGGGCAAGTGGACCTTGGAAGCCCGTCCCTGGATGCCTTCATCCCCTGCACCAAGCAGCCATGGCGCCACTAATTTTGCACTGAAGATGTCTATGTTTCACTTGTCTGTCTTCCCCAAGGGACTTCCTGCTCCTTGAGAAAGAAGCCTGGTCCTACTTGACTTTTATCAATGCCTAACACCAATCAGGCAGGCATACAATAGATGCTCAATAAAAGAGTTTGATGAATTAACAAATATAAACAAACAAATATATATATATGCTATTATATTTCAAGTTAATACTAATAAAGTAACTGATGCTTGTCTTTGGAAAATATTGGACCTTTAGTAAATTAAGGTTTGCTTCAGCTTTATTTGGGGTGTCTCTAAAGTCAGGTATGGAAATGTGTCAGGCGTACTTTGGTCATTGGTGGCACAGAGAACAGGGAGAAACTGGGGCCGGGCAGGGGTAGGGGGAGACCAGGGAACAAAGTCAGAGGCGGCTGAGGCTGTGCTTCCTTATTTCTAGAGAAGGGGATCCAGAAAGGCAGGTATGTGGTGAGGGACACCTGGGATTTCCCCGAAGGGGCTGGGAGCGTCACCCCACCCCGCCCTGCCTTTGTGCTCGGCGTATCAGTAACAGGCCCAGCGGGGACTCATCTGGGTGCCACGGGTGAGGTCAGGAGGGGTGGGGACTGAAGGAGGGCTGGGGAGTCAGCAAACACTCTTGCAGGACCTTTACATAGATAAATGAGGGTGGGGAGAGGGGAGAAAAACCCCCCCAGGGAGAACAGAGGGAGGCTCCGCAAAACTGCACTCAGGTGACCCCTGAGAGTGCAAAAGCCTTTCATCAAGCCCCACCTGAAGGCCAATTGTTCTGCAATCCACAGGGTGGTTTTGGCTCTAGGCTTATCTAAATCCAGTCTTGGGGAGTGGGAGGGAATGGGGTTTCTTTCTTTAAAGGGAGAGGACAAACAAAACTGCTCACATAACAAAAGCTTTCTTTCTTGCTGGTATTTAAATTCTTCAAAAATTTATCTGCCTCCAAAAGTAAGGGAGAAATTTGATTTTGCTTTGAAAAACACTTCTTTCCCCAGCCCCATCCATCATAGTACCCACACACCTCCCTTTTAAAACTGCTGTTATATTCCTGACTTCTCTTGGAAATAACAATTCTTTGTGTGTGTGTGTGTGTGTGTGTGTGTGTGTGTGTTTCCTGGAATAGCAATTCTAATGAAAACGCGCCTGGAATCTTTTTTCCAAACAAGCACACACTACATGCCAGAGACAGACACAGAGATATGGGTAGTTTAATAGGATTAGGGAGTTTTACATTATACCTAAACTAAGACTAAAAAAAGACCAATGGCTGAACCTAAAGAATATGCTGTTCTACATTGAGGAGTGTCTTAGAATAAGCTACAATCTCTTTAAGCCTCAGTTTCCTCATTTGAAAAGTGGTGATGTAATAATACCTGCCTCATTTGCTTGTGAAGATTGAGATCGTGTGTGGGAAGCCTTTGGGAGAATATTTGGCCCATAATTTCTTTTCTTCCTTTTTTTTTTTAATTGAGATGGTGTCTGTGTTGCCAGGGCTGGTCTCAAACTCCCAGACTCAAGGGCTCCTCCCACCTTGGCCTCCCAACCTGCTGGTATTACAGGCATGAGTCACCGTGCCCGGCCTGGCCCATTATTAACGCACATTAGAAGCTAGATATCATGAGAGATGTATTATTGAAAAGCACTCAAATTCATTTCCACTCCGCAGATATCACATTAGACTTTAGGATATAAGGAGCCTTCTGGGAACTTGGTCTGGAGGTGAAGACAGACCAATAGACAGAGAAGTGTGATGCAGTGAACAAAGTGTGGCACCCCAGGGGCTGTGGGAAGTGGCAGGGAAGCACAACCTGGGTTTCTTTGTGTTCTAATCTTAATGTAGCAAATGGAAGGGACCATCTTTTTTTTTTTTTTTTTTTTGGGGGACAGAGTTTCACTCTTGTTGCCCAGGCTGGAGTGCAATGGCGCGATCTCAGCTCATTGCAACCTCCGCCTCCCAGGTTCAAGTGCTTCTCCTGCCTTAGCCTTCTGAGTAGCTGGGATTACAGGCATGTGTCACCACGCCTGGCTAATTTTGTATTTTTAGTGAAGACAGGGTTTCTCCATGTTGGTCAGGCTGGTCTCAAACTCCCGACCTCAGGTGATCTGCCCGCCTGAGCCTCCCAGAGTGCTGGGATTACAGGCGTGAGCCACCATGCCTGGCCAGGGACCATCTTTTAAGGTAGTCTATGCTATATATATATATCATATATATTATACATATATATGATATATACATATATAGGTATATATATCATATATACGTATATTATACTGTATATCATATACACATATATTATACATATATCTCGTATATACATATATATCATATATACATATATAATATATATTATAAAATAAATAAAAAGTTTTATAAAGATACATATCATATATGTATAATACATGATATTATGTATGATATATATCTTTTTAAAGCTTATTTTTATTCATTTTATTTAATTAATTTATATTTATTTATTTATTTTTGAGATGGAGTCTTGCTCTGTTGCCCAGGCTGGAGTGCAGTGGCGCAATCTTGGCTCACTGCAAGCTCCGCCTCCCGGGTTCACGCCATTCTCTTGCCTCAGCCTCCCGAGTAGCTGGGACTACAGGCGCCCGCCACTCCACCCGGCTAATTTTATACAAAAAATACAATTTTAGTAGAGACGGGGTTTCACCGTGTTAGCCAGGATGGTCTCGATCTCCTGACCTCGTGATCCGCCCGCCTCGGCCTCCCAAAGTGCTGGGATTACAGGCGTGAGCCACTGTGCCCGGCCTATTTATTTATTTTTTGAGGCCAAGTCTAGCTCTGTTGCCCAGGCTGGAGTACAGTGGCATTATCTCAACTCACTGCAATCTCTGCTTCCTGGGTTCAAGCAACTCTCATGCCTCAGCCTGGGTGTGAGCTGGAACTACAGGCACATGCTATCATGCCTGGATAATTTTTGTATTTTTAGTAGAGACAGGATTTCGCCATGTTGGACAGGCTGGTCTCGAACTCCTGGGCTCAAGCGATCCACCTGCCTTGGCCTCCCAAAGTGCTGAGGTTACAGACGTGAGCCACCGTGCCCAGCCCATATATATTTTTTAAATTTACACTGCCTCTTTTTCTGGGATATACTACAAATTTGTTCCAGCACCTAGTATCATGCCTATTATATAGAAGGAGTTGAATAAATACTTTTTGAATGAGTGAATGGAACTAATTTAGACCTTTTCTCTGTCAGTTTCAAGAAAAAAACAAAGCCAGGCGTGGTGGCTCATGCCTGCAATTCCAGCACTTTGGGAGGCCGAGGCTGGCAAATCACTTGAGGTCAGGAGTTTGAGACCAGCCTGGCCAACATGGTGAAACCCTGTCTCTACTGAAAATACAAAAAATTAGCTGGGTATGGTGGCACACGCCTGTAATTCCAGTTACCCAGGAGGCTGAGGCAGGAGAATCATTTGAACCCGGGAGGCGAAGGTTGCAGTGAGCTGAGATTGCGCCACTGCACTCCAGCCTAGGCAACACAGCGAGACTCCATCTCAAAACCAAACCAAACCAAATCAAAACAAAACACCAGAGTTACAATATTATATGGCATTGTAAAATTGAATAGAAGGGGCTACATTCAAGGTGAGTTAGAAAGAGTAGGCCCAACCTGATGACCTATATTCAGCATTATCTATGTGAGACTGGGGGCGCTGCTGCTACCTTGACCTAGATACTGGGCTAGGCGGTGGGCAGATGAAGAGGGAACATGACTCCTGCCCTCAGGAGCCTAGAGGAGAAACTGAAAAAGGGAAGGCCACATCACCAGGTAAAGGCAGGCAGAAGCTGAGAGCAGAAGATAGGGCAGCAAAACTGCGGGGGCCACCACCACCATGTGTCAGGGAGAGTGTGGAGCGGCCCTGGCGGGGCAGGCGAGAGCCACGTGGAGGAGCTAGATTTGCACATTTGTGACGATCCCACCGTGTGAGGGGAGGTGGTGGTAATTCTCAGCAGAATCATCTCAAAGCTTCAGTGAAGTTTGGTTTCATTTTATTTTCTCCCAAACCTCAGTGGACATGCCTTTCTGTGCCCTCCTCAGGGTAGGGATGCACATCTGGAGCCAGGGTGTCCATCCTGGTCACAATTTTGTGTCCTTTGATAGGTTACCTGACGTCCTTGTTCCTCAGTTTCCGAAACTGTGCAATGTATGATTATTGCGGGAATTGAGACAGTTCATGGAAAGGGCTGAGGGCAGAGCCTGGCCACACTTGGCACTGCAGACCCCTCTCCTGGACGTGTGTCCTTGCCATGAAAGCGAGCCATGGGTAATGAGGAGAGTGACTTGACCCAAAACATGCTCACTAGCTACAGGAGGCCTTGCCATGTTTAAAGTTGAGGACTTACGTGGTTGTCTTTGCATTTTATTATTATTATTATTATTTTACATATTTTTTTCCTTTTTTATTAACTTTAAAATTTTTTTATTTTATTTTTTTTCTGTGAACAATCAACTGAGATAAGCTGCTGTGTGTTTGCATTTTGGAGAGAGGTAGATTTAAAGGAGGGAGGCCGGGCGCGGTGGCTCACGCCTGTAATCCCAGCACTTTGGGAGGCCGAGGCGGGCAGATCACGAGGTCAGGAGATCGAGACCATGCTGGCTAACACGGTGAAACCCCGTCTCTACTGAAAATGCAAAAAATTAGCCGGGTGTCCTGGTGGGCGCCTGTAGTCCCAGCTACTCGGGAGGCTGAGGCAGGAGAATGGCGTGAACCCGGGAGGCGGAGGTTGCAGTGAGCCGAGGTCGCACCACAGCACTCCAGCCTGGGTGACAGAGTGAGACTCCATCTCAAAAAAAATAAAAAAATAAAGGAAGGAAACAAGCCTGGAGGAGGCCGGGAGCCAGAGAGGAGGAGGTTGTAGCGGCCAATTGCCAGTTCAAAACCTGTCAATATATCTCTATAACTATCAGATAAATGGGATTCTAATAGTACTTACCTCATAGGATTCTTGTAACAGTTAGTTAATGCAGATTGAAAACATAAAACACACCAAGTGAACATAGTAATCGCCATGTGTGTGTTTGCTATTTTACTTATGATTGTATAAATAATACCTTTCTTTTTTCATTTTTCAGTTTTTATTTTTAATATGACTTTCAAAGCCTGCTATTATCTATCTTCTGCCCACATCTCAGACTCACCCATCGTCATTTCTCTCACTTGCCCTAAACCCTCAGTTCACTGAACACATGGCCTTCTCTCACCTCCAGGCTTGAAAACATCTACCTTCCCCCTGTTTTCTGTTTAACCTTCTTCCTCCTTCATGTCTCAGCTAAGATGTCACTCCTCTAGGAAGCTTTCCTTAACTCCCCAAGCCTGGGGGTGGGTGAGGAGCCCCTCCTGTGTATCACATCGTGTAGAACTTTCTGGTATGTGTCTGTAAAGCTCTGTGTTGGAGCTCCTGGAGGACAGGCCGCTGATCTTGGGGAGCGTTGTCTTCTCAGCACAGTGTCTGCACCGTAGAAGGGCTGTCTACACATTCTGTTTAGATTGATGAATGAATGAGTTAAATTTGGAGGAGAGATCTGGATGAGAGACAGAGACTAGGGAGCCATCTACATCTGGATGGTGTTTAAATCAGGAGAGAGATGAGATCAAGGAGGCTTCATACACGACCTCTCATCTTTTCCCCCCTCTTTTGAGGAGATTTTTTTTTTTGACAGAGTCTCGCTCTGTCACCCAGGCTGGAGTACAGTGGCGTGATCTCCACTCACTGCAACCTCTGCTTCCCAGGTTCAAGCAATTCTCTTTCCTCAGCCTCCTGAGTAGCTGGGATTATGGGTGCCTACCACAACGCCTGGCTAATTTTTGTATTTTTGGTAGAGATGGAGTTTTGGCATGTTGGCCAGGCTGGTCTCAAACTCCTGACCTCAAGTGATCTGCCCGCCTTGGCCTCCCAAAGTGCTGGGATTACAGGCATGAGCCACCACGCCCAGCCGAGATTATTTTATAGGCCTTAACAGTGAGCAGCAGAGGCAGGGCTGTGTTGGTCCCATTTGGCATCACTGGGAGATAACCATTTACAGACATTTTATCATGAAGATCTTTACACCCCCTATCTTAAGACGACAGGTTTTCACATAATTTTTTTCAAAGCCCACAGCTAACACCTTTAATTCATTTTAGGGCTTCTTCATTACTTTGAAGCTTCAGCCTGCAGCTCTATTTCTCACTGTCTGTGCAGATGTCAGAAGGAGGCCATCACCAAAGGCTGGGGCTGCTCGCAGGGCTGGCACCGAGGGGAGCCACCCCTTTCACTTTTTGACACTTAAGTTTTTTGCAAACTGCAGCCCAGTCGATTCTCCTTATCTGAGCATTCTGCATCCAGGAATTTAACCAATCCTGGAACAAAAGTATTAAGGAACAAACAGTAAAAAAAATCAGTACAACAATAAAAATTATACAAATTTAAAAACCAACCTAGTGCAACTACTTGCATAGCATTTACATTTCATTAGGTATGATAAGTAATCTAGAGAAGATTTAAAGTATACAAGAGGCTATGGGTGGGTTATATGTAAATACTACATCATTTAAACAAATTATTATTTTTTATTCTTTTTTGAGACAGAGTATTTCTCTGTTGCCTGGGCTGGAATGCAGTGGCGCCATCATAACTCACTGCAGCCTCAACCACCTGGACTCAAGCTATCCTCTCACCTCAGCCTCCCTAGTAGATGGGACTACAGGTATATACCACCATGCCTGGCTAATTTTTTTGCTTTTTAATAGAGCCAAGGTCTCACTATGTTGCCCAAGCTGGTCTCAACTCCTGGGCTCAAGTGACACTCCCGCCTCAGCCTCCCAAAGTGCTGGATTACAGGCGTGAGCTACTGTGCCTGTCCCTAATACCATTTGAGCCTCTGTGGATGTTGCTATCTACAGGGGTCCTGGAAACAATTGCCACAGATATGAAGGGATGACTGCATTCTCCATGGTTCCAAGTATACCATCCTCTTCTACCTCTTCTGCTTCTTTGGTGATAGATCCTTTTTGACCTCTTTCACTGATTTCGTTTACCCTAGCCACCCCTTAGACATCCATTTTTCTCCAATAATTTCAACTCTGATTGACTGTTATCTCCACATGCAGCTTCAGCTTTGCTCCTGACCTCCTGGCCTATATCCTCAACTGCTCACAAACACTCCAGCTGGATATTTCACAGTTCTCCAAGTAGAACAGGTCATTATTTCTACTACCCTCATTCCCATACCTCAAACTGAGCTCTCCTCTCCTATTTGCTAGCATGGTTAATAAGATCCCCACATACACAACCACCCAAATTCAGTCTTGTAAATTTCCATTCCCTCTGCCTCTCCTCCTGCGTCCTTTCTCTTAGATATCTTATAA
Source organism: Homo sapiens (assembly GCF_000001405.40). Lineage (NCBI taxonomy): Eukaryota > Metazoa > Chordata > Mammalia > Primates > Hominidae > Homo > Homo sapiens. Next base: position 80,286,466 of record NC_000008.11, read on the forward strand.
TCTCTCCCTCTGAAAGTCTTGAATTTAACCCCTTATTTCATTGTCAGTGTCACAATCCTAGCTCCGACCTTCATTATCCATGGCTTGGACTATTATAATTTCTTCTTAATTGACTTATCTGTCTGCGGGTAATTTTCTAAAACACAAGCCTTGTCCTGTCACTCTTTCACTCAAAGACCTATGTTTTTTGTTTGTTTCTTTGTTTGTTTTGAGAAGGAGTTTCACTCTTGTTGCCGAGGCTGGAGTGCAATGGTGCCATCTCAGCTCACCACAACCTCTGCCTCCCAGGTTCAAGTGATTCTCCTGCCTCAGCCTCCCACGTAGCTGGGATTACAGGCATGTGCTACCATGCCTGGCTACTTTTTTTTTTTTTTTTTTTTGTATTTTTAGTAGAGACACGGTTTCTCCATGTTCGTCAGGCTGGTCTTGAACTCCCGACCTCAGGTGATCTGACTGCCTCTGCCTCCTAAAGTGCTGGGATTACAGGCATGAGCCACCGTGCCTGGCCTTGGTTTTTTTTTTTTTTTTTTTTTTTTTTGAGACGTAGTCTGGCTCTGCTGGCCATGCTGGACTGCAGTGGCACGATCTTGCCTGCACCTGCCTGGGTGCCATGGCTCATGCCTGTAATCTCAGCACTTTGGGAGGCTGAGGCGGGAGGATTACCTGGGGCCAGGAGTTCAAGACCAGCCTGGGCAACATAGCAAGACCCTGTCTCTATTAAAAAAAAAAAAAGTCTGTGATGCACACACACTTTACCCAAACACATAAACCTACACTCACTGTATATGTATATTTACACTGTATATGGTAAAATAACTGAATTAGTATGCACTTCTTTGTTTTTTCTTTTTTTTTTGAGATGGAGTCTGGGTCTGCTGGCCAGGCTGGACTACAATGGCATGATCTTGGCTCACTGCAACCTCAGCCTCCCGGGTTCAAGCAATTCTCCCACCTCAGCCTCCCGAGTAGCTGGGATTATAGGTGCATACCACCACGCCCAGCTAATTTTTGTATTTTTAGTAGAGATAGGGTTTCACCATGTTGGCCAGGCTGGTCTTGAACTCCTGACCTCAAGTGATCCACCCACCTTGGCCTCCCAAAGTGCTGGGATTACAGGCGTGAGCCATCGCACCTGTCCTGGAGCCATGTTTTGAATTGTGTAGATGTGATGAGGGAAGGATAAGTTAAAATTATCCTGATGTTTAATTTAATTAACATGACTTTCTTCTAGCGTTAGCTCTGTCATTGGACAATAGGGAATAGAAGATAATTTCTTTCCTCTCATGTAATAAGGTCATTATTAGAAATATAAAAGAGAAACTGAATATCAAAAGAACTTCAGTTGAGCATTTCATTCTTTGGGGTTTTGCTTGCTTATAAAACAAGATATACAGGGCTGGGCGTGGTGGCTCATGCCTGTAATCCCAGCACTTTGGGAGGCCGAGGCGGGCGGATCATGAGGTCAAGAGGTCAAGACACTCCTGGCCAACACTCCTGGTGAAACCCCGTCTCTACTAAAAATGCAAAAATTAGCCAAGCATGGCAGCGCATGCCTGTTGTCCCAGCTACTCAGGAGGCTGAGGCAGGAGAATTGCTTGAACCTGGGAGGTGGAGGCTGCAGTGAGCCAAGATCACACCACTGCACTCCAGCCTGGGTGACAGAGGGAGACTCCGACTCCATCTCAAACAAAACAAAACAAAACAAAACAAAACAAAACAAACAAAAAAAAAAATGAAGATGTACTATTATTTCTTAAAATGGATCTACATCATATTCAGGCACATTGTGAAAAGTGTCGATTTCTGGGCTACATGTCACATTTTCTGAATCTGAATTTCTGGATCTGCATTTTTAGCATTATTATCTGGAAAATCTTTTTTTTTTTTTTTTTTTTTTTGTGATGGAGTCTCACCCTGTCACCCAGGCTGGAGTGCAACGGTGTGATCTCAGCTTGCTGCAACCTCCGCCTCCCGGGCTCAAGTGATTCTCCTGCCTCAGCCTCCTGAGTAGCTGGGATTACAGGTGTGTGCTACCATGCCCGTGTACACATAATTTTTGTATCTTTAGTAGAGACGGTTTCACCATGTTGGTCAGGCTGGTCTTGAACTCCTGACCTCATGATCCGCCCGCCTTGGCCTCCCAAAGTGCTGGGATTACAGGCATGAGCCACTTTTCCCGGCCTTGGAAATTCTTTATTACTTCTACTAATTTGGTGATGGATCCCTTCTATTCTCTATTGTTTATGGGCTTCTTTTTCCTTAATCATTTTGGAGATGTACCATAATTTCAGCTATCATGTATAGGCTATTATTCCCACTATTCTACTGAACTGTTTTTTTTTTTTTTTCAGGTCCATACCCCTGAACTTCTCAAATATTTCCAATGCTCATCACTGGGTCTTTTGCATGGTCAAAAGGGTTGCAGGTGATTCTTCTGTGTTGTAAAGTTGAAGAGCAGCTTAATCCACACTTCCTTTTTGGTCTCACTTCTCCCCTTTGTTCCGGTCAAACCCTGACTGCTTCAAAAGGAAAACTGAGTGAGTACAGGAAAAAGGACACATATATCTTTATATATCTCCTATTGCAGTCAATTTTGTGGTAGGTGTTACTTCAATGGCTGCAAGTCAATGACCATGAGGCCCACTTGTTAAAAATATGAAACAAAGCCAGCTTTGTTGGCTCACACTTGTGATCCCAACACTTTGGGAAGCCGAGGCAGGAAGACTGCTTGAGGATAGGAGTTTAAGATGAGCCTGGGCTACATCGTGAGGCTCCATCTCTACAAAACAAAAAACAAAACAAAACAAAACAAAAAAAATTTGGCCAGGCGAGGTGGCTCACGCTTGTAATCCTAACACTTTGGGATGCCGAGGCAGATGGATCACTTGATCTCAGGAGTTTGAGGCCAGCCTGAGCAACATGGCAAACCCTGTCTCTACTAAAAATACAAAAATTAGCCAGGCATGGTGGCACATGCCTGTGGTCCCAGCTACTCAGGAGACTGAGGTGGGAGAATCTCCTGAGCCTGGGAGGCAGAGGTTGCAGTGAGCCATGATCACGCCACTGCACTCCAGCCTGGGTGACAGAGTGAGACCCCATCTCAAAAAAAAAAAAAAAAAAAAAAAAAAAAATTAACCAGGTATAGTAGTGTGCAGCTGTAGTCTCAGCTACCTGGGAGGCTGAAGTGAGAGGGTCTCTTGAGCCCTCCTCCTCGCTTGAGCCCAGGGTGCTGGGATTATAGATGTGAGCCATTGCTCTTGGCAACAAGTGCCTTTTGAAGAGCATATCTTTAATGTATATTATTCAAGGAACTTTAATAATTTAATTCCCTCTAAAGGCTAATGCTAATAGTATTCCCATTTTACAGATGAGAAAACAGGCTCAGAGAGGTTAAGCCGTTTGCTTAAGGTAACTCAGCAAGTAAGTAGCAGAGTGAGGATTCAAACCTGCCGGCACTAAAACACATATTTCACGATATGTTATTGCCTGTTATGTCAAAAGAGGAAGAAAACATGTTGTCTGCCCTTCTTGAGGTTTCAGTCTCTGTAGGGAAAAAAGGTACAACTTTAAAGATAGAAAATTATGCTATTGCCTAAGGGAGTTTTAAGCCCATTGCGCATTGCTAAAAGAACAAAGGAGAGGTTAGAATATACTTCCTGCTCAAGAAAGACTCCTCTGGAATGCTTCCTGGGGGAGGGTATTGAAAGCAGGTAAATGCTGGCAGATATAGGTGGTTGACAGAGTAGGAGAGGCAGAGTCAGGATGTAAAAATGCACAGGGGCTTGTTCGGGAAATGGTATGTGGTCTACCTTGATTGGACTATAAAGATACTGTGGATTAATGTAAGGTAACCCTAGAACATAACAGGTTGTGTCCATAGCCCTTCTGAAGAAGACCTTGGATGTCAGGGGTTTACCCTGTTTACCAAGTGGCAAAAGAACTTCCATGAAGATGTTAAGGCAAGGAGTGAAATGGTCTGAGCAGTGCAGTGAAAGTGACCCCATCTTACGGCGTGCCCAGTGGATGGAAGTGAAGCCAAATGACTGCTTAAGAAGCAACTGCCAAAAATAGGACGGTGGCAGAGAGGAAGAAATAAAGAGCAGGGATGAGAGATATGTCAGAGTTGGGACCCACACAACTCTAGTTGATGTGGGGTGGTGGCATGGAGGAGAGGAAGAATGTGATCACTACCATTGTCTCAAATTTGGAAAGAATCCAAAACAAAGGGATGCGTGTGTTCACCTTGGGCAGGAAGAACTGAGGACCTGGGGTGTGGGTGTGTGGAGTTCAAGGTGATCCGAGGAGATGAAGAGGTTCATCAGGCAGATGAAAACTCAGAAGTTTTTGAGATGAGACCCGAGGTCCTGATGGTGGGCTCTGATTTCACAGCCCTCTGCCTGGGAGTGATGGTTGGAGTCGCTGGCTCCTGTGCAGGTGTTGTGCGTGAGTGGCTTCCCATTAAAGGTTAACTGCATAAACACCATTGACTTAAAAAAAAAAAAAAAGGGTATCCGAAAACACCGGTAAAAGGAGTTTTGGACTCACATCCAGTTAAATAAAGAACAAAGATTGCTAGCTGGTTAAACTAAAAAGTTACTTAAAAGATTACTAAAAAGTTACTTAAAAGTTAATGAAATCAGTTTTGAAACACTGAGATTTTCCTATAGATTAGAAGGATCGTAATTGAAGTTAATTATAGTCATGCTAGATTTCCTCTCTGATGTTTATTTTTCTTCTGGTTATATTTCAGACAATTAATAGCTCCTAATGACTCAGGGTTCCAAGTAATTACCACCAACACTTATAATCTGTCTTATTGGAATGTTCTCTTCACGCGGGGGCTCTGAAACTGAAGGAAATTTGTGATTGTTCATGAAAGTCCTTCCATAGGTTGTTAAAAAAATCAGACTTTAAAATAAATGTATTCTTCATTTATGTTTCTATTTGTAGCTAGAAAAAATGATAAAAATAATTAAGTACCATTTAAGTACTCTTTAAAAAGTTCCAATAATTCCCTCTCACACAGCTTTTCTTCCCTCCCATTTTAGAATGTTTGAGAGAAATGACAATTAAAGTAGAAGATGATTTTTTAAAAATTCCTTGAAACACTTTGCTTATATATAGGTCTTTCCCCCCTAGGTGTGAAAGCATTTTAGTGGAAGTTTCATCACAGCTTTGTAAATAATTAATCCTCTGTTTCCTCCAAAAGTCTGACAATGTAAGAGTAACAATAACAGGCCATAAAACACTCCCCCTAATTGAGCAAGGGCTCATTTTTCCCTAACAGGGTTTGGGTTGACTGGAATGTGCTGAAGTCACATTCCGACACCTTCCACTGGCCTGGGCAGCTACACAGGACTCCAAAGGGAACTGAGAATCTTTGTCTCTATTTCTGCTCTTAGGAAGAGGTCCAGGAAGAAATGAAGAGTCCAGAAGGCAGACTAGAAAAGGTGGTGGGTCTGGAAAACAAAGGACAAAGTAAATCATGGGGAGAGAGCTGGTCTATGTGTGGAAGGATGAGGCAGGCAGGGATGGAGAAATTCAAACGGGGCGGGGGGGAAGCTGACCCGAATACATTGGGGAGGACAATAGAAAAGCAGATCAGACATCCAGCCAAAAGCCCCCAAACGTCTTTTCTTTTTCTTTTTTCTTTCCTTTTTTTGAGACAGGGTCTCACTCTGTCACCCAGGCTGGAGTGCAGTGGTGCAAACACAGCTCACTACAGCCTCAACTCCCTGGGCTCAAGTGATCCTCCCTCCTCAGCCTCCCAAGTAGCTGGGACTACTGGTGCTAGCCACCACATCTGGCTAATTTTTGTAGAAACGGGGTTTCACCATGCTGCCCAGGCTGGTTTTGAACTCCTAGGCTCAAGCTATCCTCCCACCTCAGCCTCCCAAAGTGCTGGGATTACAAGCATGAGCCATTGTGCCTGGCCTCCTTTTTTCTTAATGACTTTCATGAGGTACAGTAACATACTGTAACTTTCACCAGTTTTAAATACACAATTCAATAATTTACCCAGTTGTACAACCATCACCGTAATCCAGTTTTAAATTTTATTTTAAATTTTTGGCTTAAACAACCGAAATTTATTTCTTCACATTCTAGAGGCCAGAAAGTCTGAGATCAAGGTGTCAGGAGGGTTGGTTTCTTTCAAGGCCTCTCTCCTTGGCTTGTAGCTGGCTGTCTTCTCCCTGTGTCTTCACTGGTCTTCCCTCTGTGTCCATAATCCAGTTTTAGAACTTTGCCTTCACCCCAAGAAGATCTCTCTTAATCATTTGCAGTTAATCCTCATTCCTACTCCAAACCCCAGGAGACCACTGACTTCCTTTCTGTCTCCATAATTTTGACTATTCTGGGCACTTCATATAAATGAACCCACATCATTATGTGGTCTTTTGTGACTGGCTTCTTTCAATTATAAATGGTTTTGAGGTTAATTCATATTGTTGCAAATATCACTATTTCATTCTTTTATTGTGAAACAGTATTTCAGTGTGTGGATATATGCTTTTTGTTTATTTATCAGCTGATGGACAGTTGGATTGTTCCCACTTTTTCAGTTCTTATGAATAATGCTGCTGTGAACATTGGTGTTCATTCAAGTCTTTGTGTGATCATATGTTTCCACTTTCCTTCATTAGATACCTGGGAATGGAATTGCTAGATAATACAGTAAACTTATGTTTAACATTTTAAGAAACTGCCATGTTTTCCAAAGTGGCTGCATCATTTTATCTTACCACTTATAATATATGAAAGCACAACAATGTATGTGTCTTTCTCCATATTCTTGTCAATTTATGTTACTGCATGACTGAAATTATAGCCATTCTAGTGGGTGTGAATAGTATCTTACATGGTTTTAATGAGAATTTCCCTAAAGATTAATAATGTTAAGCATCTTTTTAATGGCTTATTAGCCATTTATGTAATTCAGCAAAATGTATATTCAAATCTTTTGCCTGTTTTTTTAGGCTAGTCAAATGAAACAGTGGGAGAGGAGAAGGATTTTGCTGGTTTTAATTTGATGTTTGTCTTATTGAACTGTAAGAGTTCTATATATACTATGGATACAGGTTCTTGATCAGATATATGATTTGAAAATATTTTCTCACAGCCTATGGCTTGTCTTTTTACCTTTTAAAGAGTTTATCTTTATTCTTTTAATTTTTTTGTAGAGACAGGGTCTCACTATGTTGTCCAGGCTGGTTTCAAACTCCTGAGCTCAACTGATCCTTCTGCCTTAGCCTCCCAACGTGCTGGGATTATAGGTGTGAGCCACTGTACTTGGCCTCTTTTCCCTTTCTTAATGATGTCTTTTATAGTACAAGTTTGAAATTTTGATGAAGTCCAATTTATCAGTTTTTTTCTTTAAGGGTTATGCTTTTGGTATTGTATCTCAAAAATTTCTGCCCAACACAAGTTCACAAAGATTTTTCTCCTATATTTTCTTCTAAAAGTGATATACTTTTAGCTCTTACATTTAGGTGTCTGATTCATTTTGAGTTAACTTTTTGGTTATGGTGTGAGGTAAGGGTCTGAATCAATCTTTTTGCATTCAATAACTTATTTAAAAGGATTTTTTTTTTTGAGATGGAGTTTCACTCTTGTTGCCCAGGCTGGAGTGCAATGGTGTGATCTTGGCTCACTGCAACCTCTGCCTCCCGGGTTCAAGTGGTGGGTCATGCCTGTAATCCCAGTACTTTGGGAGGCCGAGGCTGGTGGATCACCTGAGGTCAGGAGTTCCAGACCAGCCTGACCAACATGGTGAAACCCCATCTCTACTAAAAATACAAAAAATTGGCCAAGCGTGGTGGTGGGCACCTGTAATCCCAGCTACTTGGGAGGCTGAGACAGGAGAATAACTTGAACCTGGGAGGTGGAGGTTGCAGTAAGCTGAGATCGTGCCACTGCACTCCAGCCTGGGAATGAGAGTGAGACTTTGCCTCCAAAAAAAATTACTTTTTTTCATAAAAATAATTGGTATTTGTGGCACCATTTTTTTGTTTGTTTTTTTGTTTTGTTTTAAAGTACTAATACCAGCATCAGCATCTGGGGCTTGCTACAACCCCCTACCAATGCCCTACAAGACATCTATTTTAAATAGTTTTTTTTTTGAGATGGAGCTTCACTCTTGTTGCCCAGGCTGTAGCGCAATGGTGCATTCTCAGCTCACTGCAACCTCCGCCTCTCGGGTTCAAGCGATTCTCCTGCCTCAGCCTCCTGAGTAGCTGGGATTACAGGGACCCACCACCATGCCTAACTAATTTTTTTGTATTTTTTTAGTAGAGACGGGGTTTCACCATGTTGGCTAGGCTGGTCTTGAACTCCTGACCACAGGTGATCTGCCCACCTTGGCCTCCCAAAGTGCTGGGATTACAGGCGTGAGCCACCATGCCCAGCCTAAATAGTTTTTTTTAAAGTACTAATACAAACTGATAATTTTCTGATGTATTTATGTATTTATTGTCTTTCCCATTTGGACAAAAACTAGAGGAAAAATGTAAAAAAATGTAAACTTTTCTATATTTACCACTGCAGTACCCTCAATGCCAGGTACCTAGGAGATGCTCACTGTATATCTGATGAATAAATTAAATGCTAGGGCAGTAAGTCAGTTGGTAGAACAAAATTACTCCTGTAGGTGAGTGGGGAGTATGAAGCTGAGGTTTTAGAGCAGAAACCAATAGATGAGGCTTACCTTGGGTTTTGGGTCTCTTTTCATGCCACTGTGATTCAGGACCTCTTGCTGACAAAGTGCTTTTCGGCTGCCCTAAGTATAGCTTATTATTTTCTTTTTCTTTTTTCATTTTTTTAAACTTTTAATTTTTTTTCTTTTTTTTTTTTTTTTTGAGACGAAGTCTCACTCTTGTCCCCCAGGCTGGAGTGTGATGGCACGATCTTGGCTCACTGCAACCTCCGCCTCCCGGGTTCAAGCAATTCTCCTGTCTCGTCTCCCCAAGTAGCTGGGATTACAGGCGCCCGCCACCACACCTGGCTAATTTCTGTATTTTTGGTAGAGACAGGGTTTTACCATGTTGGCGAGACTTGTCTCGAACTCCTGACCTCAGGTGATCCACCCGCCATGGCCTCCCAAAGTGCTGGGAATACAGGTGTGAGCCACCGCGCCCGGCCTAATTTTTTTTTTTTTTTAGAGATGGGGTATCATTCATCGCCCAGGCTGGAGTGCACTGATGCAATGATAACTCACTGCAGCCTTGATCTCCTGGACTCAAGTGATTCTCCTCCCTCAGCCTCCTGAGTAGCAGGGACTACAGGTATGTGCCACTGCACCAGCCCAAGTATAGTTTTTGAATTTAATATAGTAGTTGGGGGCATATGTATACGTTTAATAATATACTTATTATTCATTTATTCAACAAATATGTTTGTGTCCCTTTCCATATATCAGAGGTTTTGCTAAGACTTGGAGATTAAGTGGCAGAGGAGGTAAATGTGTTCTCTGCCCCTGTGAAGTGCTCAGTTCCCAAACCTCTCACTAACTAGTTGTGTGACCTTGTGAATGGTATGTGACTTCCTCTAAGCTTGTTTTCTGATTTGTAAGATGAAGATTGTAAAGTAGCTACCTTATTTGATTTTGACAAGTAGTAAATAAAGTACACAAAGCAAGGGCAACTACTATTTTGCATAATAAATATTCAGAATGGTATTATTATAAGTTGTTTAACCTACCAGGTAAGATGGAATTATACTGTATTATTCAGCCTCACCTCCCACTTAGTACCTTATTAATGATTCTGAGTAAATCACTGAAAGACAGGAAACTAATATTTGTTTTTAAAATCTTTAGACTTGTTTATTATAAAGGCACTACATATGATAGAGTAAAAAATAAACAGTGCGGAAGCATATACAATAAAAAGTACAAATTCCCCCACCCGCAGCACACACCCAACTCATTCTTCAGGGGCAATCACTGTAAACAATTCTGTTTCTCCTCCTAGAAAAGTCTTATGCATATAAAAGTGTACATATACATATATATATACATACATATATATATATATATATATATATATATATATATATATATATATATATATATGCATATCCTTAGAAAACAAAGAGCACTTTCATGTCCTTTGCAGTGACATGGATGAAGCTGGAAACCATCATTCTCAGCAAACTAACACAGGAACAGAAAGCCAAACACCGCATGTTCTCACTCATAAGTGGGAGCTTAACAAAGAGAACACATGGACACAAAGAGGGGAACATCACATACCAGGGCCTGTCACAGGGTTGGGGGAAAGAGGAGGGAGAGCATTAGGACAAATACCTAATGCATGCGGGGCTTAAAACCTGGAAGACGAGTTGATAGGTGCAACAAACCACCATGGTACATGTATACCTATGTAACAAACTTGCACGTTCTGCACATGTATCCCTGAACTTAAAAAAAAAAAAAAAAAGAAAAGAGAAAACAAACAGCACAAAGACTTAGACATTGCCAATCATTATCACAGAGCATTTTCACTTAATAATGTATATTGGAGAGCAGTCCAAGAGGAACATATCTTGCTCTTACTCAGAATGAATATTTTTACATTTTCTCAACACACAATTAAACACCACCACCACCACCACCAAAATACTCTCAAACTTTTGGAGAAAGTTTATGGGATACACCCTCCTTCCCTTGCAGCCCCCGCACTCCGCACCCTGGCCTCCTGCGGCTTCCAGCAGCCAGGGCCTGGCACCTGCCCACCCACATTTTCTTGGCCTGCAGCCAGCTGTGGTCAAACCAGCAACAGAAAGTGAGGGTGGGGGAGCAAAGAAGGAAGAGAAAGCACATCTTCCAAGAGTAGTTGAGAAAGAGCTGCACGAGTCAAGCCGACACATAAGGCATAGCATCGAAAGTGTTTTATTACAGGCATTTACACAGAAGGTATCAGGAAGACTGTTCTAGAAGGCAGTGGGTGCGGGAACATCAGGCTTTTGAACTGGTAGTGACAGCTGCATCTGAGATCATGATTGGTGGATGTGGGCAGTGAGAAAGTGCTTGGGGTCGCAAGGGACAAACCTGCTCCCTAGAAATGCAGTGATCTAGGGTTGCAGGGGAGGGACAAGGGGCAGAGAGAGAGATTTCCTCAGAGAAGTGAAATAGCAAGATTGGGCCCAGTGCCAGATGAAGGACAAAGGAACGCTCTGCCCTTCCTCACTGAAAACTAAACCCCACTTCCTCCATTTCCCACCTGCTTGTTTCTCCTCCCACCTCACCACTCTCAGCCCGACTGCTTGACTTCACTTTTGTGAGGGGCTCTAGCTAGAGCTCAGCCCTCAGCTAAGGGTCCAAATGACTGACGTCTCTCCCCACACACAGGCTTCTCAGTGGTTGGACGCTAAGGCGAGTAAAACCTGGGGTAGAGATTCTCATGACCTTGGGAGATGGAGAAACAGATCTTTAATCTTTGCCTCTTTCCTTTGGTTATTCATTTAATCTTTGTTCTTTGGGTTGTGTCTACCTCCACCTGGGCCAGAAAATATTATAGAATGGTTTAGAGCTTCTAAATTAGGTTGTAAGCAGGGCCAGCACCTCAGCCTGCAGGCCTGGCCTAGAGCCTACACCCAAGAAAGCAAAAACACTCCTTGGGTGGGGCTTTCCTAGACATAAAGCTTTACCATGCCTCTAAGCAGGTGAGCTCCAGCCAAGATTATATTGGGCAGGTAATAAAATTAAGGGCAATAAAACCAGATAAACCACCTCATTAGCAGCAGTGTACTGGTAAGGCCATTTCAACAAGAAGAGGAGGATAGATGGAAGACTCAAATCCTTTGTCAAGTTCTTTCCAATGTCCTCCTCTGAAAAGGAACATTCTTTTCAGGAGTGTTGGCTTGGAAGAGAGGGCATATGTACATTTATCCAACACCTGCTGAGACCAAGTGGTGATTCAGAGGAGAGCCTCTGGAATTTGGACCTGTCACTTGATTGCTACTGAGAGATCACCAGCTGAACTGCTTGACTTTTCTCAGAACTTTTTTATCAGTCATGTAAATGAGTGAAGATCCTGTACCAGTCTATGTAGGATCAACTGGTCATTGAGTGTAGATTTACACATTAAAAGCCACACTTATATTCATAGTTTCAAAAAAAAAAGAAAAAAATGGCACTACTTATTTTGTAAAGATAGAACCATTTTCTTTTTTTTCTTTTCTTTTCTTTTTTTTTTTTTTTTTTTGAGGCAGAGTTTCACTCTTGTTGCCCAGGCTGGAGTATAGTGGTGCAATCTCAGCTCACTGCAACCTCCACCTCCCAGGTTCAAGTGATGCTCTTGCCTCAGCCTCCCAAGTAGCTGGGATTATAGGCATGTACCACCACACCCGGCTAATTTTTTGTATTTTTAGTAGAGGCGGGGTTTCACCATGTTGGTCAGGCTGGTTTCAAACTCCCGACCTCAGATGATCCGCCTGCCTCAGCCTCCCAAAGTGCTGGGATTACAGGCCTGAGCCACTGCATGTGGCCAGAACCATTTTCTTAACTGTATACATCATAGTGATGTTATGTTGCTTTTAAGGGATTAAGAAGGAAAAACATGGAAAAAGCAATTAGATTCTCAAAATTGCCTGCACCTGCCTGGGTGCCATGGCTCATGCCTGCAATCTCAGCACTTTGGGAGGCTGAGGTGGGAGGATTGCTTGGGGCCAGGAGTTCAAGACCAGCCTGGGCAACATAGCAAGACCCTGTCTCTATTTAAAAAAAAAAAAAAAGCCTGTGATGCACACACACTTTACCCTAGCACATAAACCTACACTCACTGTATATGTGTATTTACACTGTATATGGTAAAATAACTGAATTAGGATAAACTTTTTTTTTTTTTTTTTGAGATAGGGTCTTGCAATCTCAGCCTTCCAGGTTCAAGCATTTCTCTGCCTCAGCTTCCCAAGTAGTTGAGATTACAGGTGCCCACCACCACGCCTGGCTAACTTTTGTATTTTTTTAGTAGAGACGGGGTTTCACCATCTTGGCCAGGCTGGTCTTGAACTCCTGACCTCGTGATCCACCCGCCTCAGCCTCCCAAAGTGCTGGGATTACAGGTGTGAGCCACTGCACCCAGCCAGGATGCACTTCTAAGTAGTATTTATTAATGTATTTATTTTGAGACGGAGTTTCGCTCTGTTGCCCAGGCTGGAGTGCAGTGGCACGATCTCAGGTCACTGCAAGCTCCGCATCCCGGGTTCATGCCATTCTCCTGCCTCAGCCTCCCGAGTAGCTGGGACTACAGGCACCCACCACCACGTCTGGCTAATTTTTTGTATTTTTAGTAGAGACAAGGTTTTACCATGTTAGCCGGGATGGTCTCGATCTTCTGACCTCGTGATCCGCCCACCTCGGCCTCCCAAAGTGCTGGGATTACAGGCATGAGCCTGCGCCCGGCCAGTAGCTTTTATTTTTTTAAGCATTGGCAAAATATTTCTATAAATAAATACCTGCCCTTGTCAATTTTATTTCTATAAAACTTCTCCAAATATCATTTGGTAATTGAGCTTCTAAATAAGATGCCCTCCTAAAAATTGTAAACTGTGTTTGCTAACTAATAAGAGGCATGAAGTGTTCCATGACTGTATTATTCTTGGGGATTCAGGCTGTGGTGATGTGAGCAGCCACCCCCTTGGGACACATCATGCTGGTAAACCACTGATTCATGACACACTGCCAGGAATGGCTGTCATCCAAGTCCCGGGGCAAGTTCAGCCAGCGCCAGAAATCACCCAAGAAGGGCTAGTCAGATGTTTAAATTCCTGCCTTTGTCAGAATCCTAAGAATTATTTTTGATACCTCCTTTTCCCCTCCCATCTTTATCCAATCAATTACCAACATCTCTCAACTGGTTTCACTTCCTAAATGCCTCTCCAATCTGTCCACTCCTCTTTTACTCTACCACCGCTTTCCTAGGCCAAACTGCCTGGATTATTACAAAATCTTTCCAACTAGGTTACCCCATCCACTTTTGTCCCCCTCCAATCAAGTCCCCACACAGTGGCCAGGTTGATTGAAAAGCAAGCATAGATCTGAGTGGTCTTTCCTCTCCCTCCCAGACTCCGGTGGCTTCCCCTTGCTCTCAGATGGAAGATCAATATCTGCACCTGCCCAGGGGCCATGAATGAACTGGCCTCTCTCCAACTGGCCAGTCTCATCCTGTACTTCACATCACTATTCTCCCACTTTCTCCACGACATTAATCTGCTCATGGCTCCTCGTATCTCACGAAATTTGGGGAAGACCCACGTACCTGAATTTTCCCAAAAGTTCCTTAGGTGGTTCTGAACCACTACTATGGTTGAAAGTTTTAATAGCTAGACTGGCTCTTCCTGTCTGTGCCAGGGCGGCATGTGGTGCATGCCAAGCCACAGAGATGCTCAGGCTGTGCCCTCAGGATGACCTAGTGGGAGACAGCAGCACCACTGGTGGCAGAGAACCCTGGCATCAAGCTCTTTGGGAAGTGGAGCTCCGATGATGTGCAGATCTGGCACTTGCTTGCAGGATTACACTGCAGTGAAGGAGAAGTATGCCAAGTACCTGCCTCACAGTGCAGAGCGGTATGCCGCCAAACGCTTCCGCAAAGCTCAGTGCCCCATCGTGGAGTGCCTCACTTACTCCATGATGACGCACGGCCGCAACAACCGCAAGAAGCTCATGATCATGCGCATCGTCAAGCACGCCTTCGAGATCATCCAGCTGCTCACAGGCGACAACCCTCTGCAGGTCCTGGTGAACGCCATCATCAACAGTGGTCCCCGGGAGGACTCCACACTCACTGGGCGAGCCAGGATCGTGAGACGACAGGCTGTGGCCGTGTCCCCATTAAGCCGTGTGAATCAGGCCATCTGGCCGCAGTGCACAGGAGCTCTTGAGGCTGCCTTCCGGAACATCAAGACCATTGCTGAGTTCCTGGCAGATGAGCTCATCAGTGCTGTCAAGGGCTCCTCCAACTCCTATGCTAGCAAGAAGAAGGACGAGCTTGAGTGTGTGGCCAAGTCCAACCGCTGATTTTCCCGGTTGCTGCCCAATAAACCTGTCTGCCTTCTGCCTTTTGGGACGCCCCCCCTCACCCCCCACCACCACACACACACACACACACACACACACACACACACACACACACACACACGAAGTAGCTAGACTGAAGATGGAGCCAAGTTGAAACTTGCGTCCCAGGCTCTTATGATAGCATCAGAGTTTGACTTAGGTTTAAAAAGCAGGCCAGGAAAAATTTCAAAGTGGCAAGTCATGGGGCAGGCTTTGCAGAGCAGTCACTGCTGTTCCTTCTGCTATCCCAAAAGGGCTTGAAGAGTGAATTACAGATAAACCACTGGGTAAATATCTTGTTACTTTCTATAAAATGTAAACGTAGCTAAAAGAAGCAACCATGAGGCTGAGGATGCATTCACAAAAGCTCTGGAATATTATAGATGAAGCAGATGGTTCCCTCATAATCAAAAACTCAGCCGAAAATGTCTTTCTCTGGAGGAATAGAAGTTCGTGTTTGTAGATTCTGTGTAATCATGTTGTAACAGAGCTTGTTAAACGGATTCAGATGAGCTATGGGTCGAATCCTGTTCGACCCATATCGAGCTATTGGTCAACAACTAGAAAAGGCTAAGCCTGATCAAATGGTATTTATTGCTCTTCTCTTCCAATTCCATTATAGAAAGATTCCAACATATTGTTAAATTCCCTTTTCTGCAAATATCTCATGAATTGCATTTTTAAAATGGGATTGATTGGCCAGCAGGGTGGCTCACGCGTGTAATCCCAACACTTCGGGAGGCCAAGGCAGGCGGATCATGAAGTCAGGAGTTCAAGACCAGCCTGGCCAAGATAGTGAAACCCCGTCTCTACTAAAAACAATTAAAAAATTAGCCAGGCATGGTGGCAGTGCCTGTAATTCCAGCTACTCGGGAGGCTGAGGCAGAGAATTGCTTGAACCCGGGAGGCGGACGTTGTAGTGAGCCAAGATCATGCCACTGTACTCCAGCCTGGGCGACAGAGTGAGATTCCATCTAAAACAAAAAACAAAACAAAAAAAGGATTGATTTTATTTGTCACTGTTGCTTATAGCAAATGCTGAGTCCTCAGCCAGCTGTGGGAGGATATGGCTAGTTTATATGCCCTCCGAGTTGTGTGTGACAGTATCTGGCATATTTTCAATAACTGCAGTCATAATTCCCAACATTACGTGGAGAGCAAAGCACAGGAGGAAATAAATCAACTTTTAATGTCAGGATATCACACCCTTTCTAACTTTTTTTTGACATGAATGAGGCAGTAATTGTATAATTAACCTTGAACTTATCACTTTATAGTCAGATGATTACTTTACCAAGAAGCTCTATCTATAACACACAAGTTTATTTTAAAAAACAGCTTTCCAAACTAGAAAAAATCTTAAAAATATGAGTAGAAAAAATCTTAAAATAATGATTATCATCTGGGCACGGTGGCTCATACCTGTAATCTCAGCACTTTGGGAGGCTGAGGCAAGAGGATCACTTGAGCCCAGAAGTTCAAGACGAGCCTGGGTAACATATCGAAAACCTGTCTCTACCAAAAAAAAAAAAAAAAAAAAAAAAAAAGATTTTTTTAATAAGTAATATATGCGAAAGTCCCCAAATATAAAATGTTCAAGAAAATATATAATGAAAAATATGCCTAACTCCTACCCTCATGACCTCAGCCATCCAATTCTCTTCCCTGGAGGCAAACACAGTGACCAATTTTGTGTTTATCTGTCCAGAGACATTCTATGCATTTGCATATAAACACACATTCTTTTTCAAAACCCACCTGGTAGCATATCTTACATAATGTTGGCTTTTGTGTGTGTATTTTAAATAAGATATGCTGTTGTTCCACATTAGTGCATAGAGAGGAGCCTAATTTAATTGTTAATAGCTGTGTTTCATGAAATAATTTCTTTCTTTTGCTGTAGAGAAAGAGCTCGATGTGAGACTAGCTCATGCGGGAGAATTGGAGTGATCATTTAAATCAGTCTCCCTGAAGGCTCAGAGGTTAGGGTTTTTATGGACAACTTGGTAAGTAGAGGGCTAAGGAATAGGTGCTGCTGATTGGTTGAGGATAAAATCACAGGGGTGTGGAAACCTATCCTCATGCACTGAGTCTGCCTTTGGGAGGGACCACAGGACCAGTTGAGCCATGAGTCATGAGTCCAGGTGGGGTCATTCTGAAAAACATCTCAAAAAAAACCAATCTTAGGTTCTACAATAGTGATGTTATCTATAGGAACAATTGGGAAAGTCACAAATCTTGTGACCTCTGGCCACATGACCCCTGAGCAGTAAGGATTTATAGAAATCATGACTTGTCTGGGTTTGGGCCTCATAATTGTAATCCCCCAGCACTTTGGGAGGCCAAGGCAGGAGGATTGCTTGAGCCCAGGAGTTTGAGACCAGCCTGGGCAATATAGTGAGACCTCATCTTTATTTAAAAAAAAAACAAGAAGAAAAGAAGAAAAAAAGAAACTATGCCCACATCTTAGCAGAGATCAGGCTCCTCCCATAACCCTATCCTTGTGACCTTTCATTAGTCTTAGAAAGGCTGTCTTCAGTCCCTGAGCAAAGAAAGAGTTGGTTAGTTTTAGGGAGGGACTATTATTATCCTTGCTTTCAAGTAAACTATAAACAAAATTCCTCCCAAAATTAGCTTGGCCTATGCCCAGGAATGACCAAAGACAGCATGGAGGTCAGAAGCAAGATGGAGGCAACTATAGCAGATTTCCATTACTGACATAATTTTGCAAAGGCGATTTCAAATCACCCATTGGGCTTCAGCACACCTCAGTCCTGAGGTATGAGCTGCAGAGATGGGAA
Organism: Homo sapiens; assembly: GCF_000001405.40. Lineage (NCBI taxonomy): Eukaryota > Metazoa > Chordata > Mammalia > Primates > Hominidae > Homo > Homo sapiens. The sequence continues at coordinate 80,304,322 of NC_000008.11, forward strand.
AAGCCTGATACTGCTCTAACTTCTTCCTGCATGACAGTGGGCAGGGGGTTTAGTTGGGGTAGGAGTTGCCCCAGGGTAGGAGGAGTGAAACCATCTTGCAGTTGTCTGTATGTATTCACGGGTACCTGGTTTGGATCCCAAGGTACACATAACAAAAACATTAGTGCTGTTACCCACAGCTTTATGACTATAAGACGAATAATAACCCTAACATAAGGAGTGAAAGTCCTAGCTTCAGGAGTCCCAGTAGAACTGGCTAGAAATCTTCTTCTTCTTCTTTTTTTTTTTTTTTTTTTTTTTGAGATAGGGCTCACTCTGTTGCTCAGGTGGGAATGCCCTGGCGCAATCGTGGCTCACTGCAGCCTTGACTTCCTGGGCTCAAGGGATCTTCAGCCTCCTGAATAGCTGGGACTACAGGCGCACACCAAGCCCAGCTAAATATTCAATTTTTTTGTAGAGATGGGGGTCTCACTATGTTGCCTAGGCTTGTCTTGAACTCCTAGGCTCAAGCAGTCCTCCTGCCTCGGCTTCCCAAAGTGCTGAGATTACAGGAGTGAGCGACTGTGCCCAGCTTGACCTGAAGTCTTAAGGGATCCAGGTGAATGACCCTGATAACTAATTATATGTGGAATCATCAGGAGACACTCAAAATCAGTGAATAAGGCTGATATCTAATAACAAACTGCAGTTTTTCCTAAAACATACTTTTTTCCTCTCTAGTTCTCCATGTTTAATTAAAGACAAATCATAATAGGACCAATTTATTTGCAAAATAAATTTCAGTCTTACTATACTTGGCCTAATTATTTGTATAAAGTACAAAAGGAATAATTATTTGCCATATAGGCACTTTTTTTAAAAATTGGCTTTGCTGGAATTCTTTCATAAGAAATCTCAAATTAGACCTTTTAAAAGCCTCTTGAGCCCAGCTAAGGATTTATTTGTGCCTGCAGATACCTGTATGAATTGAGTATATTCCTCTCCTCAAGGTCTCAGAAGAGCTTGGGCTTCCTGGGCCTGTCAGAAAGTGACATTTTTTATCAGGTCAGAAATCCAGTACAAAACATGGTACAAGGCCAGTTTTCCCAAAAGGCTTTTACCATCTCTATAGGTCAACTTCAGTTCCTCAAAGCAGTCTGAAAACATGTTTTTCTAGTCAAAACCTGGGTGAAATAACTATAGTCTCCAATTGTGTCCTGTTACAAAAGAAAACTGATTCTTTTTTCCCCCCATCGGACTCTGCTTGATAAGGAAAACTGATTCTTATTGAACTTATGCAAATAACTTTGTTGCTATAAGTTAAAAATACTCAGAGTTTCCAAATTCTGGAGAGATTCCGTAGAGAGAAATACACTCTAAATTTTGCTCACAGGAGTAAATTTTACTCAATAGTTAAAAGCCAGCCAGGCACGGTGGCTCATGCCTGTAATCCCAGCACTTTGGGGGGCTGAGGTGGGTGGATCACCTGAGGTCAGGAGTTTGAAACCAGCCTGGCCAACATGGTGAAACACTGTCTGTACTAAAAATACAATAATTAGCTGGTATGGTGGTGGGCACCTGTAGTCCCAGCTACTTGGGAGGCCGAGGCAAGGGAACCACTTGAACCTGGGAGGCGGAGGTTGCAGTGAACTGAGATCACACCACTGCACTCCAGCCTGGGCGTCAAAGTGAAAGAAAAAAAAATTGTTAAAAGCTGTAAATATTAGCTCAAAATAAAAGTTTTTGTGACTTTGAAAAATGAAACAAAAATAATCGGTGGGTTGGGTATGTAATAACAGGTATTAACTAACTGGGTATCGAATAACAGGTATAAAAGTAGATTATTGCTGGGCATGGTGGCTCATGCTTGTAATCCCAGCACTTTGGGAGGGTGAGGCAGGTGGATCAGCAGGTAAAGAGTTTGAGAACAGCTTGTCCAACACAGTGAAACCCCGTCTCTACTAAAAACACAAAAATTAGCTGGGCGTGATGGCAGGTGCCTGTAATCCCAGCTACTTGGGAGGCTGAGGTAGGAGAATTGCTTGAACCTGGGAGACGGAGGTTTCAGTGAGCTGAGATTGCACCACTACACTCCAGCCTGGGCGACAGAGCTAGAATCTGTCTCAAAAAAAAAAAAAATCGATTATTTCAGTCTTCTATTAGTTCAGTCCATGCAATTAACTTCTGTTCTGCTTGCTATTCATGAACACATCAGCTTCCCATGAGAGTCCTGGAAATTTTGTTTTTGTTTTTCTATTCCAATAGCACAGTTTCCAAAGTTATCAAGAACCTGTATCTGGGCACAATGGCACGTGCCTGTAATCCCAGCAGTTTGGGAGGCTGAGACTGGAGGATTACTTGAGCTCAGGAGTTTAAGACCAGCCTGGGCAGCAGGGAAAAATCCTGTCTCTACCAAAAAAAAAAAAAAAAGATTAGCCAGTCATGGTAGCATGTGCCTGTAGTCCCAGTTACTCAGGAGGCTGTGGTGGGAGGATCGCTTGAGCCTGGGAGGTTGAGGCTGCAGTGAGCCAAGATCGCACCACTACACTCCATGCTGGCTGACAGAATGAGACCCTGTCTCAAACAAAAACAAGGCCAAAAATCTGCATTCAAAAGCGCCTGTCAAAGTCCTATAGTTGATTATAAAACCACCTTTTTAAAAAGGATCAGGATGGGCATGGGGGCTCACTCCTGTAATCCCAGCACTTTGGGAGGCCAAGGCAGGTGGATCACCTGAGGTCAGGAGTTCGAGACTAGCCTGGCCAACATGGTGAAACCTCATCTCTACTAAAAGTACAAAAATTTGCTGGACATGGTGGCACACAACTGTAATCCCAACTACTTGGGGGGCTGAGGCACAAGAATCAACCGAACCTGGGAAGTGGAGGTTGCGGTGAGCCAAAATCGTGCTCACTGTATCAAAGTAAAATAATTGGTGATAACGTAAATCTCAGAATGGCCATGGTTAAGAACACAATTGACAAGGAAGTTTGATTTATTTTGTGACATACAACATTTACCATTACAATTATAATTATTACTGATAACATACACTAAGTCATATCGGAATTACAGGAGTTTTGCCCAATTCTGGAGCACACACCAATAACACGTTCATACAAATACAGCCTAAAGAAAGCCAAACAGGCTGGACGCAGTGGCTCATGCTTGTAATCTCAGCACTTTGGGAGGCCAAGGTGGGAGGATCACCTGAGCTCAGGAGTTCAAGACCAGCCTGTGGTCAACAAGGTGAAACCTTGTCGCTACTAAAAATACAAAAATTAGCTGGGCTTGGTGGTGGATGCCTGTCATCCCAGCTACTTGGGTGACTGAGGCAGGAGAAGTGCTTGAACCCAGGAGGTGGAGGTTTCAGTGAGCTGAGATCGCGCCTCTGCACTCTTGCCTGGGCAACAGAGTGAGATTCGGTCTCAAAACAAAAACAAAAACAAAAACACAAAGCCAAACACCATTTCCTACTTGACAGTGCTTCCTATATAATTTTTTTGATGGTTGTATGGTTTTTTAAATATAGACAACTCTTGTTAATTTGTACCAATGAACTAGGGATGATGAACTTGTGTGATGCTCAATAATCCTTTACACTTGGTTTGACCTTCCTTATTGAATTTGTAACAAAAAGCAAAATACTGAAGCCATACCGGAAGGTGTAGTTTGGGAAGAAAGGGAAAGCTGCTCACCTGCTGCATTCCTGTACTCTCCTTTGTGCTGGGAATGAACATCGTCATTTTGCCATAGAGCTGTCTTCTTTGCAAACACCTTATAATTGCTCAGCTGGTCTGGAGTTATGGGAAGGAAAGCCTGTCTGTGTAGAAGTGAAGTTTCAGCAGTGGTTTGCCAAGTCCTGAGATCAGAATTTCTTTCTTGGCAGTGGTTCGCCAAGTCCTGAGATCAGAATTTTGTTTTTGAGATGAATATAAAAGCACCTAAAGGTCAAAGAAAATGTTCTTCCTATGATAAGGAACTTAAGACCTTTGCTTTATAAGTGTAGATGACCACTCCCCTCTGAAAGGGAGGGAGAAAGAATGTTGCTTTAATTCCTTTCCCCTGGCCGATCTCTTTTTTTCTTCTCCGGGCATGGTCCAACACATGCATGAGGCCTCCCGGGGGACTGGCCTGCCTACAGCCCAGAGGCTGGTTTACGGCGGCATGCCTCACTCTGCCATCTTCGATCCTTCCCTTATATAATTTTAACATATCAAATAAGCCAAATGTCTCTCTTGGACTTCAGGGGACTTAGTATCTAAAAGCTTAATGAGTTCAATAGGGCTGAATTTAGAACTTGAAATTTTGATTTTTGGAAAGTTTGTCAAATATCAAAGATTTCACACACTTGATATTGCAAAATAGGATCACAGGTCATTCATTTAGCCAAAGTGATAACTCAAAAAATTTCAAAAGGGAAAAACCTTTACTCTGATAGAGAGGGGACTCAGCTTTTCAAACAAAACCCAAGAAAGACAACATGAGGCCAGCTGAATCTGTCTCTTCTTTCTCCCTGCTTTTTTCTTTTTTCTTGCCGTTTATTCAAAAGGCAAACAAAAATCTTTCACTATCTCTCAATATTGCATAAAAGTCTTGTTCAAAATAGAAAACAAAAAATTTTCCTTTGTATTAGTGTATATTAATGTTAAACTCAATTTTTAATAAACTCAATTTTTAATAAAACCTTATAAACAAATCATTTAATTTTTATTTATTTATTTTATTTTTTTTAAGGCAAAGTTTTGCTTTGTTGCCCAGGCTGGAGTGCAGTGGTGTGATCTCGGTTCACTGCAGCCTCCGCCTCCTGGGTTCAAGTGATTCTCCTGCCTCAGCCTCCCAAGTAGCTGAAACTACAGGCAGCGTGCCATGCCCGACTAATTTTTGTATTTTTAGTAGAGACGGGGTTTCTCCATGTTGGTCAGGCTGGTCTCAAACTCCTGACCTCAGGGGATCCGCCCACCTCAGCCTCCCAAAGTCCTGGGATTACAGGCATGAGCATGAGTCATCACGCCCGGCCTCATTGAATCTTAATCAGTTGTGTACCTGCAGTACCATAAAGACCTTCTGTAGATTCTCAGTGTTCAGGTATGATGCAGAAAGGTCTCCACAACCATGGCCCACATCTGCTACTATTCTTTAACCTGAATTCTCCACTCCAATTAACTGACCTACTGGGGCTCTTGAACAGAGTTCTAATCCCTGCTCTGTCATTAACTCACTGTCTGATAAATGCTGTCTTCCTTCTGGCTCTTGGTCTGCTCACCCACAAATTAGGAGTGGTACTGGGAAGGGAGGGGGTAGACGCCTCCCCTAGGTCCTTTTCGGATCTAACATTCTGTCAATCTGTGACTAGATGAGATCAAAGGGCCTTCCTTTCCAACTCTACACTTTGATCAGCAATTTACATTTTCATGGGTTTTGTCTTGTTTCTTCAATTGTCCTTGAGCTTATTAAAGACAAGTCTATCTCTTTGTATCCCCCTCAAGAATATCCTGCTAGCATCGTTGCTCCAGAAATGTGTGTTGATTTTCTGGGTTATCACTTAAAATGCTATACATTAATAATATCTCCATTCTTATTATTTGAAATAGGTCGATTAAGCCAGTTTCTTTTAGAACAAGGAATAGAAATTGAAATGCTTGTGCTGAACTGGAACAATTGGGAACATTTGGGAGGCTGAGGCAGGCAGATTACTTGAGTCTAGGAGTTCAAGACCAGCCTGGGCAACATGGCAATATCCCGTGTCTACAAAAAAATGCAAAAAAATTAGCTGTGCGTGGTGGTGCACACCGGTGGTCCCGCTACTCGGGAGGCTGAATTGGGAGGATCATCTAAACCTGGGAAGTTGAGGTTGCAGTGAGCTATGATCGTGCCACTCTACTCTAGCCTGGGTGATGGAATGAGACTCTGTCTCAAAAGAAAAAAAAGAACAATTGTAAACAATTCTTGATCTTAGCATTAGGTCCTTAATAGATCTAATTTATGCAATCTATATATCACTGACATACATATAAATATTATTAGCAACTTGAAGAATAAAAGTATCTGTTTTTAGAAATGAAGACATTGGGGATGACAAAGTTCAAACTTTTTATTTTATAGATTTCCTTTTTTTTTTTTTTTTTTTTTCTGAGACAGGGTCTTGCTGTGTCACCCAGGCTGGAGTGCAGTAGCGCGATCTTGGCTCACTGCAGCCTCCCGAGTTCAAGTGATTCTCGTGCCTCTGCCTCCCAAGTAGCTGGATTACAGGTGTGAGCCACTGCGCCTGGCCTTTACTTTATAGATTTAGAAAATCAAGTTCTACAGTTTAAGATTTGTCTGAGAGAAAATAGATAAAATTTAAAATTTGATAAAATTTTAAATAGATAAAAATTTAAAAATGAAATTAAAGAAATGACCTTTTGGGTCATTTTTAAATTTATTGACTGAGTTATGAGACTGGCTAATTTTTGTATTTTTGGTAGAGATGTGGGTTTTGCCATGTTGCCCAGGCTGGTCTTGAACTTCTGGGCTCAAGCAATCCTCCCATCTCAGCCTCCCAAAGTTCTGGGATTACAGGTGTGAGCCACCATGCCCAGCCACTGAAAGTTTATTTTGTATAGTAATATAATTCCTCCCTCCCAACCTTTTTTTTTTAGGGAGGGAGGGAGTTGGATTTAAATATCAAATTTTGTTAAAGGAAGATTTAGCTTAGCTAATGTCACAGCCATTCATTGCCTTGTTCTTTATCTTAAAATGGGACAATTACCCCTGGTTTTTGCCCATCTCTCAGTGATTATGAAGATTTGATTATGAAGTGTATGAAAATTTCATTCATACATATCTAAATTCATGAATTTTGCCAAATCTATGTATCACCTCTATTATTATTTACTTATTACTTTTATAGCCACATGACACATAATGATGTTTTGATCAGTGATGGATCACATATACGATGGTGGTACCGTAAGATTATAATAGAGCTTTTTTTGTTTTTTTGAGATGGAGTTTCGCTCTTTTTGCCCCGGCTGGAGTGCAATGGCGCAATCTCGGCTCACTGCAGCCTCTGCCTCCTGGGTTCAAGCAATTCTCCTGCCTCAGCCTCTAGAGTAGCTGGGACTACAGATGCACACCACCATACCCAGCTAATTTTTGTATTTTTAGTAGAGACGGGGTTTTGCCACATTAGCCAGGCTGGTCTCAAACTTCTGACCTCAGGAGATCTACCTGCCTTGGCCTCCCAAAGTGCTAGGATTACAGGCATGAGCCACCACGCCTGGCCTAAATTTTCTTTAAATTTATTTTTTATTTTTTTTAGCTGCAGTGTTAAATTATATACATACATATATATATATATATATATTTAAGAGACATGGTCTTGTCCTGTCACTCAGGCTGGAGTGCAGTGGCACAAAGATGCTCACTGCAACCTTGAACTCACTGCTTAAAGTTTCAAGCAAACTTCCCACCTCAGCCTCCCAAGCAGCTGGGACTATAACTAATTAAAAAAAATTTTTTTTTTGTAGAGATGGGGTCTTGTTATGTTGCCCAGGGTGATCTCAAAGTCCTGGTCTCAAGCAGTCATCCCACCGCGGCCTCCTAAAGTGCTGGGATTACAGTCGTGAGCCACCATGCCTGACCTATACTTTTAATCATTATTTTAGAAGTAGTCCTTCTACATATATCTTTAGAAAGTTAATTGTAAAAGAGCCTCAGGCAGGTCTTCAGAGGTATTCCTGAAGAAGGCATTGTTATCCTAGGAGATGAGAGCTCCATGTATGTTATTGCCCCTGAAAATTTTCCAGTGGGACAGGATGTGGATGTGGAAGACAGTGATATTGATGATCCTGACCCTGTGTAGGTCTAGGCCAATAGGTGCGTTTGTGCCTTCATTTTTAACAAAAAAGTTTACAAAGTAAAACACTTTAAAAATAGAAAGAAGCTTATAGAATAAGAATATAAAGAAAATATTTTTGTATAGCTGTACAATGTGTTTGAAGCTAAGTGTTATTATAAAAGAATCAAAAGTTAAAAAATTAAAAAGTTTATAAAGTAAAAATGTTTCAGTAAGCTAAGGTTAACTTTTTATTGAAGAAAGAAAATATGTTTTTATAAATTTAGTGTAGCCTAAATGTACAGTGTTTATAAAGTCTACAAGAGTGTACAGTGATGTCCTAGGCCTTCACAGTCACTCACCATTCACTCACTGACTCACCCAGAGAAACTTCAAGTCCTTCAAGCTCCATTCACAAGTCTACCATTTTTTTATCTTTTATACTATTTTTTTTTTTTTTGAGACGAAGTCTTGCTCTGTCACCTAGGTTGGAGTGCTGTGGCCTGATCTCGGCTCACTGCAACCTTCACTTCCCGGGTTCAAGCAATTCTTCTGCCTCAGCCTCCTGAGTGGCTGGGGTCACAGGTGTGCACCACCACGCCCTGCTGATTTTTGTATTTTTAGTAGAGATGGGGTTTCACCATATTGGCTAGTTCAGTCTTGAACTCCTGACCTCAGGTGATCCACCTGCCTCGGCTTCCCAAAGTGCTGGGATTACAGGTGTGAGCCACTGTGCCCAGCATACTGTATTTTTATTGTACCTTTTTCATGTTTAGGTAAGTTTAGATACACAAGTACTTACCATCTTGTGACAATCACCTACAGTCAGTACAGTAATATGCTGTATAGGTTAGTAGTTTAGAAGCTATAGGCTATACCAGCAGCCCTAACATTTTTGGCACCAGGGACCAGTTTCACGGGAGACAATGTTTCCACAAATGGGGTGGGGTGAGGGGATGGTTTTGGGATGAAACTGTTCCACCTCAGATAATCAGGCATTAGATGCTTGTAAGGAGTGCACAACCTAGATCCCTCGCATGCACAGTTCACAAGAGGGTTTGCACACCTATGAGAATCCAATGCTGCTGCTGATCTGACAGGAGATGGAGCTCAGGAGATAATGCAAGCAATGGGGAGAGGCTGTAAATACAGATGAAGCTTTGCTTGCTTACCTGCTGCTCATTCCCTGCTATGTGGCCCAGTTTGTAACAGGCCATGGACCAGTACCTGTCCACGATACAGGGGTTGGGGACCCCTGGGCTATACCTTACAGCCTAGGTGTGTAATAGCCTATATACCATGTAGGTTTGTGTAAGTACATTCTATGATGTTCACACAATGGCAAAATTGCCTAAAGGCACATTTCTCAGAACATATCCCCATAATTAAGGGATATATGACTGTAGTTAAACTGATCACCATTTTATTTAAATAATTTATGTAAAGTTACACTAAAATCTGTAACAATTTAAATAAAATATATTTCTTCATAGGCCACCTAGGAAACACTGGTATAGTGGAAATAAATGCATTTGAGTTGAAGAATCAGAAGACTTGGATTTAAATCATAGCTTTGCTTTTTTTTTTAAGTTTTATTTTAAGGTCGGGGTACAAGTGCAGGTTTGTTGCATCAGTAAACTTGTGTCATGGGGGTTTGTTGTACAGATTAGTTCATCACCCAGGTGTTAAACCTAGTACCCATTAGTTATTTTTCCTGATCCTCTCCCTCCTCTCCCACTTCATCCTCCAAATGGTCCCGGTGTGTGTTGTTCCCCTCTATGTGTCCACGTGTTCTCATCATTTAGCTCCCATTTGTAAGTGAGAACATACAGTATTTGGTTTTCTGTTCCTGTGTTAGTTTGCTAAGGATAATGGCCTTTGGCTCCATCCATCTCCTTACAAAGGACATGATCTTGTTCTTTTTTATGGTTTCAAGCTTTGCTTTTTGCTAGTCAGGTGATTTTGAGGAAGTAATCTTGGTTTCTTTACATTGAAATTATGACCATAATACATAAGTTATAGTGTTGTCATGGTGATAAATAGGATCACGTATGTGAACGCACTTTGAAAAAGTTAGGACAATGCACATTATTAGTTGTTATTGTTAAACAAAGAGAAAATTAGTGTGTTGGGAGGAGAAAGTACTATTGTTTTAATAGTAGTTTATTCAGAAGGATAGAAGGTGTAGAAAATATCTATATTTTAAGGAATGGATATACAAAAATGTATTATTGTATTAGGTGGATCAGAAAATGGAAGAATAGTTAATCAAATACTGCAAAAAGACAGGGAGCAAAATCCACCTAAATTTTCTTGATAAAAAGAGCATTCTTAGTATAGGTCCAACATAAAATTGTGACAAGTTTATGTGAAGTTGAAAAAATATAATTTCAAGTATTATAAACTTAATTATATATATCAATCAAAAGTTATCTTAACAGTAATTAATGTTTTATATATTTCATTACAATCATTAATTCTCTCCTAATACTGATATAATTTCTTAATTGATCTCTGGTGTCTAATGTAAACCATGTTAAGGCTCCTGAATATGTGTTACTTAATTGCAAAGTGTATGAATAATAAAAACTACAGCTCCTCAGAATCAAACCATGTTTATTAACGAAAGCTCTTTGAAACATATTCCAGGCTGGGTGCAGTGGCTCACGCCTGTAATCCCAACACTTTGGGAGGCTGAGTCGGGTGGATAGCTTGAGTCCAGGAGTTCGAGACCAGCCTGGGTAACACAGCGAGACCCTCTCCCTACAAAAAATACAAAAATTAGCCTGGCATGGTGACATGTGCCTGTAGTCCCAGGTACTCAAGAGGTTGAGGTGGGAGGATGACTTGAACCTGGGAGGCAGAGTTGGCAGTGAGTCGAGATTGTGCCATTGCATTCCAGCCTGGGTGACACAATGAGACCCTGCCTCCAAAAAAAAAAAAAGAAACACATTCCAACGCTTCTTCACCATCTTTATTCCCTTGACTACCTGCTATGCCCTCTTATTCTTGCTAGGGATTTCACCTTCAACTTCATAAACTAGTGATCAACTGAGCCACTGTCAACTTCCTGTCCCCAAATTACCACACCTGAACTGCCTTCCCTTTGCCCTGGACCGATGGAGGGGGTGTGTCTCCATTCTGGGTTCTGAACTTTGTGCTCACTGTGTCTTCTGCACTCTCTGTGACTCCAGTCTTGCCCTGTCTGTCAGCTTTTCGCATCAACATTAAACACTTTCGCAACTTCCCCTGGCCACAGGTTCCCGTCTAGCACAGCCTTGACTCTTTCTATCCCTTGTGGCCAAATGTGTCCTGTCCAAAGAACTCTATTCCTAATGTCCTATTTTGTCATCCTTTGCATCCTTTACTTTCCAATTCAGTCTCCATATTTCTGTTTCCTGAGAATATTGTCTTCCCCCACCCAAAGTATAATCCATAAACATTTTTACATACTCTTAAAGAAACTCTGGCTATGTGCAGTGGTTCATGTCTGTAATCTCAGCACTTTGGGAGGCTGAGATGGGAGGATCACTTGAGCCCAGGAGTTTGAGACTAGCCTGGGCAACATAGGGAGATGTTGTCTCTACACACACACAAAAAATTAGTCAGACATGGTGGTGCACGCCTGTGGTCTTAGCTACTTGGGAGGCTATGGTGGAAGGATCACTTGTGCCTGGAAGATTGAGGCTGCAGTGAGCAGTCATCGTGCCAATGCACTACAGCCTGGGCAACAGTGCAAGATGCTATCTCAAAAAAAAGAAAAAAAGAGTTTCCAAATCCTCAAAATTTAAAAAGTATTTTAAAAAAGCATAATAAAAGAAAATAATATATAAAATCTTCCTGTTAATACCTCTGTATAAATCGTTCACATGCTCCATTTCCCCTCACATGCCTTTTTCATGTGGGTAGATTTCTTGTAGTCATAGCACCCATACTGACTTTTTTTTTAGACAGAGCTCGCTTTTGTTGCCCAGGCTGGAGTGCAATGGCACGATCTTGGCTCACCGCAACCTCCGCCCCCCAGGTTCAAGCAATTCTCCTGCCTCAGGCTCCCGAGTAGCTGGGATTACAGGCTTGCACCACCACGCCCCCACCCAATTTGTATTTTTAGTAGAGACGGGGTTTCTCTATGTTGGTCAGGCTGGTCTTGAACTCCCGCCCTTAGGTGATCTGCCTACCTCGGCCTCCCCAGGTGCCACCCATGCTGACTTTTAATTCCACTCTAGGAAACAAGCATAGCCTGGTTCCCAAAACAAGTGGACTGGGATCAAGAGGTTACCTGAGAGAACTTTGCCTTAGTTATTTGGGTACTTTATTCATACTAAGATTAAAAAAGACTTCCATGCTACTAAATCTAATGTACACTTCAATCTGGATTTAAATCTCGATGTCTTAGTAATGTTTGACACAGCCGATCACCCCTTCATGACCTCTCTTCTGTCCCTGGTTTTGTGGTGTGTCCTTCTGGTGATCTGTCTACTGTGGTTTATCTCCTCAGTCTCCTCCAATGGTTCTTCCTCCTGTACTGTTTATTACATGCTGGGGTTCCTAAGGGCTCCATCCTGAGTTCCTCTGTTCTTGTCACTCTGCAAATGCTTCTTAGGTGATCCCATTTACTCTTGAGACTCCCATTACCATCTTCATGCTGGTGATTCTTAAATTGATTACTCCAGCAAAGACTTTTCTTAGACCTTCATCACTGTCTATCCAGTGGTCAACTGGACATGTTCACAGCATGTGTCATAATAGACATGCAAAGCTCAGGATTTTCTTTTTGTTTCTTTTTTTTCTTTCTTCTTCTTTTTTTTTAAACCAAAAACAATGTCTTGTCCATGCAGAAAAGATGAAAATGGTTACTTCATTTCAATTTACAATGTCCCAATATTATTTTATCCCATGCATATAACTGCTTGTATCATTATGAGACTATAGCAGCAAATAAATGGGAAGAAGCTCAATATTTTCTAAAATGGAAATTCTTACTTTCTTCAGTGTCCTACATTTTATTTTATTTTATTTATTTATTTTTTGAGACGGAGTCTTACTCTGTTGCCCAGGCTGTAGTGCAGTGGTGCAATCTCGGCTCACTGCAACCTCTGCCTCCCAGGCTCAAGTGATTCTCCTGCCTCAGTCTCCCGAGTAGCTGGGATTACAAGTGCCCGCCACCACGCCAGGCTAATTTTTGTATTTTTAGTAGAGCCGGGGTTTCACCATGTTGGCCAGGTTGGCCTCAAACTCCTGACCTCATGTGATCTGCCCGCCTTGGCCTTCCAAAGTGCTGTGATTACAGGCGTGAGCCACTGCTTCCAGCCTGTCCTCCATTTTAGTAAAGGGCACCACCATCCCCTCAGTTGCTCAAGCCAGAAATCTAGGAGTCATTGTTGACTTTTCCTTGACTACTTGATGGCTTCCGATTCCTTACTGTGCCCCCTCCCCATTAATTAATCACCAAGTCTTTCCCATTCTATCTCCTAAATACATCTTCAACCCATTTGCCTCTCTGTATCATCGTCACCACAACCATCATCTCTCAAGCAGACTGCTGTGAAAACTTCTTACCCTCCCATTAAAGCACATTTGATTATGTTGATTCTCTCCTTATACTCTTTTTTTTTTTTTTTTTTTTTGAGACAGAGTTTTGCTCTTGTGGCCCAGGCTGGAGTGCAGTGGTGTGATCTCGGCTCACTGCAACCTCCACCTCCTGGGTTCAAGTGATTCTCATGCCTCAGCCTCCCAAGTAGCTGGGATTACAGGTGCTCACCACCATACCCAGCTAATTTTTGTATTTTTGGTAGAGACGGGGTTTCACCAGTTGGCCAGGCTGTTCTAGAACTCCTGACCTCAGGTGATCCACTTGCCTCGGCCTCCAGAAGTGCTGGGATTACAGGCATGAGCCACCACCCCCGACCTCTTCTTACACTCTTTAAAGGTTTCTTGTTGCCTTTAGGATAAAAACCCAAATCCTTAAGACCTATGAGACTCTGTGTGATCATCCCTCTGCCTAGTTGTTGAGGTTTAACATATCTCATTCCACCTCCCATTCTTTCTGTTCCAGAAACTGGCCTCTCAGTTCTTTCCATAAGAAGCCACTCTTCTTCCATCTTGGAATTTTGCCTGGAATATATTAGCTTAACCTCACCAACTTGAACATAGATAAGTTATTCTTTTTTTTTTTTTTTGAGACAGAGTCTCATTCTGTCACTCAGGCTGGAGTGCAGTGGTACAATCGTGACTCATTGCAACCTCTGCCTCCTAGGTTCAAGCGAGTCTTCTGCCTCAGCTGCCTAAGTAGCTGGGACTACTGCACACACTACCATGCCCAGCTAATTTTTTTTTTTTGAGACGGAGTTTCGCTCTTGTTGCCCAGGCTGGAGTGCAATCTCGGCTCACCGCAACCTCCACCTCCTGGGTTCAAGCGATTCTCGTGCCTCAGCCTCCCGAGTAGCTGGGATTACAAGCATGCGCCACCATGCCAAGTTAATTTTTGTATTATTAGTAGAGACGGCGTTTCACTATGTTGGCCAGGCTGGACTTGAACTCCTGGCCTCAGGTGATCCACCTGCCTCAGCCTCCCAAAGTGTTGGGATTACAGGTGTGAACCACTGTGCCTGGCCTAATTTTTGTATTTTTAGTAGGGATGGGGTTTCACCATGTGGCCAGGGTGGTCTCAAACTCCTGACCTCAAGTGATCCACCTGCCTCAGCCTCCCAAATTGCTGAGATTATAGGCATGAGCCACCGTACCTGGCCAGATAAATTATTCTTTAGGTTTTATCTTAAATATCACTTAGTCAAAGAACTTCTGTGAACTCTCACCCACAGTTTGTACTCCTTCTCAGCTTTATAAGTTATATTTGTATAACTCTTCAATTTTCCTGCTGCTAATCTCTATGCCCCATGGGGGCAATGAACTTATTGTGCCTGACACACAATAGGCATAGAATAAATAATCGGTGAAGCAATAGTTAAATTTTCAGAAATCTTTTACTTCCAGCTATTAACATATTTAATATTTACTTACAACAATAGATCTGAATAACTCTTTTCATTAATTAGGTTGCATTAATTGCAAGTGTGATTTTTTTTAATTTTCAAAATTAATTTTTTTTTTTTTTTTTTTTTTAGAGATGGGATTTTGTTATGTTGACGGGGCTGGTCTTGAACTCCCAGCCTCAAGTGGTCCTCCTGCCTCAGCCTCTCAAAGTGCTGGGATTACAGGTATGAGCCACTGCACCCCGCCTGATTTTTTTTTTAACTTTTGACCAATAAAATAAATTATTTGAAGGTTTAAAAATTTTGTATTTTTCCCCCTAGACTTTCTGTCTTTATATAGAGATGGTAAGAAAAACCTTCTACTTTGGGCGCTATAATTTAATTAATAATATAGCTGTCATTTATTAGATACTTGCTATTTTCCAGGGATAGTCCTCAGTGCACAGTGTGTATTAGTTAATTTAAAACAAGTTTATGGGGCTGGGTGCAGTGGCTCATGCCTGTAATCTCAGCACTTTGGGAGGCCAAGGTGGGTGGATCACCTGAGGTCAGGAGTTCGAGACCAGCCTGACCAATATGGTGAAACCCCGTCTCTACTAAAAATACAAAAATTAGCCAGGCGTGGTGGCACGTGCCTGTAATCCCAGCTATTCGGGAGGCTGAGGCGGGAGAATCGCTTGAATCCAGGAGGTGGAGGTTGCAGTGAGCTGAGATGGCGCCATTGCACTCCAGCCTGGGCGACAGAGCGAGACTCCATCTAAATAAATAAATAAAACAAGGTTATGAAGTAGTTATTATTTTCACCCTTGCACTGGAGTGTAATTTTATCGCTTTGTTCATTGCTCCAAGGGCAGCATGAAGGAGGCCTCTGTCTGTTGCTGACATACCTCTTCATTGGGTCATATTTTACAGTTAGTTACACTAGATTCTGCCATGACAGGAACTTTTTCCTGGCTCGTGCAGACAGCTCTCAGGCCTCACTGCCAGAGGATTGTTTCCCGTCATGTGCTGTCTCTTGCATCACAGCTTCTTCTCCGGTGGCTTTGGCTCCATCTTATTTCGTGACTGCCAGAGGAATTTATCTGGTCATGCATTGCCCTTGATGTCACAGTAGCCAGTCCCTGTGATTTCTTTGAATATGGTGGTTCTTCTAAAGGTGTTCAGAAAGGAGAATACTGCAGGGGACCTGCACTTGGCTCCTATCCCGAATCCTCTTGGGGCATAAGGATGGGAAGCAGTGAATATGTCAGGGGAGCTGGACAAGGCCTTGAAGCTGAGGGCACAGGTTCTGGAGCCAAATAGACTTGACTTCAAATTCAGCCTTCATCTGTTACTAGGGGTGTCCCTGGTCATGGCAAATGACACAGGCCAGTGCTGGGGTAATGCAGAAAGGAGGAGAACCATGCAGGCTGGAGGGGTCATGAACAGCCACACGGAGAGGGAAGAACCTACCAATTTTTTTTTTTTTTTTTTTTTTGAGATGGAGTCTCGCCCTGTCACCCAGGCTGGAGTGCAGTGGTGCGATCTCAGCTCACTGCAGCCTTGGCCTCCCGGGTTCAAGCAATTTTCCTGCCTCAGCCTCCTGAGTAGCTGGGATTACAGGCAGGAACTATCATGCCTGGCTAATTTTTGTATATTTAGTAGAGACGGTGTTTCACCATGTTGGTCAGGCTGGTCTCAAACTCCTGACCTTGTGATCCGCCTGCCTCAGCCTCCCAAAGTGCTGGGATTACAGGGGTGAGCCACTGTGCCCAGCCTGAACCTACCTTTTAGGATGAGTAAAATTTGGACAAATAGAAGGGAGCAAAAAGATATTCTAGGCTGGGGACAGCAGCATGCACCAAGGCGTAGAGTTAGGAGTGAGCATATAAGAAGATAAAATAAGTCAAGAGTGATTCTAAGATGCAATATTTTTGGGGGTCACGAAATGAGAAATTGGAAGATGAGCTAACTTGCAGAACAATGGAGAGTTTAATTTTGGACTCATGAATTAGCATTTCCTATGGAATGTCCAAGCAGAGAGTAGTCAGAGTTGCAGACAAGATTTAAATTTAGGCAAGAAGGCAAGAGCTGGAAAGGTATACACAGTAGACATGAGAAAGAGCTGTACCTTAATGTAAAGGCTTAGAGAAAAGAGGAAACATGTTTAATGAAGATGTGTTCAATAAACAGAATAAATGAAGGAAGAAATGGAAGGAAGAAAGAAGGAAAGGAGGAGAGAGAGAAAAGAAAAGAAAACGGTTGGATGTGTGAATGAAGAGAGAAAAGAATAAAATTGTGGCCATGTGGCATCATGGAAGCCCAGGGAGGAGAAAGTTCAAAGAAAGGAAGAGCTGTCAAATAGCATCCAATAGCAATTTAAGATATATATTTCTAGTTGGAAGGCAGAGGAAGACATCCAATTAAAGATAGTCCAAAAGTAGCATTAGGACATGGAGGCGGCTGTTATATAAAAATTTTGAAAGTAAGACAAAGATGCCCATTATCACTGCTATTATTTTACATTGATTTGAAACTTCTAATTCAATGCATAAGTACAAGAGAAAGAGGTATAATTATTGAAAACAAACAAAACAAATGAGCAAAACATTAACTCTTTGTAAATCATATTATCCTCTACTGACAAATTACCCCAAAGATGTAAGTTTTTTAAAAAACTATTAAAACAAAAAAAATTGACTCAAATTAATTTAAATGTTTACTACAACTAATCAAAATCGCAATTCACTCTTGTGGTGACTTGACAGACCAATTCTAAGTAACAGCAAGGTTAGAAGGCTGGATCCTGTAGACAGCGGTGGTAAGAAACTCTTTTTGGTGAGGTAATCAAAAGATTTTAGGAAAGGAATGTTAATATTCAAGTCTCATATATTCAGTATAAAAACCCCCTCCATTTTCCCAGACATTCAGTAAGATCTGCTAAATACAGAAATGTCTTCTGTGGCAGTTTCAGGGGAGGAAAATCAAACAAAAAGGATGGTCTCCGGCCTTTGGATTGGTTGAGAAAAAAGCAACTTGCAAAGATGAGACACAGTTAAATTCAGTGGAATCAGAACCGGGGGTCAGAAATGACCAGGAGATTGTAAACCCTTGGGAATTTGAAGAAATCTTAGAGAATGAATTGCAACCCCAGTGAAATATGGGAAAGGCCTCAAGCCAACCTTTTCTAAATCTTAAAGTTCAGGGTAAAATTTCAGTTGGCATATCAGTTACCTATGTGGAAGTTGTAAATTTTTTAGAAATCTCTAGAGAAAAGACAAAATATTAGTAGCACATATGTCTATAATATTAAATTATCAATGATTTTATTCTTTATACTTTTCTGAGTTTTCTGAATTTTCTATAATGGGCATGCATTCTTTTATAAGAAAAGTCTGTTAGTAAAAAAAGAGAAGAAAATAAAGCTGGGCATAGTGGTGCTCGCCTATAGTAAAAAATAGTTATTATGATTATTTGAAGTGGAGTTCTTGTCACCCAGGCTGGAGTGCAATGGCGAGGTCTCAGTTCACTGCATCCTCTGCCTCCTGGGTTCGAGCAATTCTCCTGCCTCAGCCTCCAGAGTAGCTAGGATTACAGGCGCCCACCACCATGCCTGGCTAATTTTTGTATTTTTAGTGAAGATGGAGTTTCACCAGGTTGGCCAGGCTGGTCTCGAACTCCTGACCTCAGGTGATCTGCCGACCTCGGCCTCCCAAAGTGCTGGGATTACAGGCGTGAGCCACTGTGCCCGGCCAATATTATTATTATTTTTTTTTAAAAAGGAGAGAACTAGGATGAATGCTTGAATGGAAGGCAGGGTCAAATAAAGGTTTTCAAGTTTGCTCGCTTGGGGATTTCTAGGAGGGCCACAGTAAATGACTCATCGTCAGTCAGTTATGCATCATGATTCTCACTTTATATGCTTTGCTGTCATTTTAGAACCAAGCACCCAGGGTGATCAGTGGATCTCTTCCCACTGATACCTCCCTCTTCTGACGCCACACACAAACCACACCAATTATACACTCTCTTGAAATGTTGTCTAGTTGTTTCATGTGCTTAAATATTAAAAAAAATTTTCTCATGGACTGCCCATGTGCTGAAATATTATTTTGCTAACTAGGTTATAAATGTATGTATAAACATGTCATGGCTTATATTTCTGTTGATTTTTCCTGTGACTCCTAATAATTAGCTAATCTATGTGGTTATTTATTTATTTATTTATTTATTTATTGAGACAGGGTCTCACTCTGTTGCCCAGGCTGGAGGACAGTGGCATGATCTGCAGCCTCTGCCTCCCAGGTTCAAGCAATTCTCCTGCCTTAGCTGAGTAGTGGGGACTACAGCTACAGTTCCGAGTAGCTGGGACTACAGGTGCCCACCACCACACTGGGCTAATTTTTGTATTTTTTAGTAGAGACGGGGGTCTCGCCATGTTGGCCAGGCTGGTCTCAAACTCCTGGCCTCAAGTGATCTGCCTGCCTCGGCCACCCAAAGTGCTAGGATTACAGGCGTGAGCCACAGTGCCCAGCCTGGCCGTAATAACTCTTAAAGACCATATTCACATAAACTATGTTAGCATGGGCTTCCAATTTTTCATAAGATCTCCTCCACGAGGCAGCCTAGGAAGATGCCTACTGTAGTTAATCAAATTATGCTTGATGAACTGATGGTAGGTTGATATTAGTTCCTTATTGCTGTAGAGCTATGGAATTGTATTTTACATTGATATCTGTATTTAGAGCTATAGAGTTGTATTTTTATCAAATTAGTGCCTTTCTGTGTAAGTTCCTTGCAGGCATTCACGTTTGTATTCTCCTGCACCTATTGTAATGCTTAGCACATAGCAATATCTCTAATAAATGTTTGGAGGCAATGACCTCATTTGGCTTCCAAACAACTCAGCAAGATAGTTAAATACAAATAATGATAAAAATATAACAAGAATTAAGTACTAATTGAATACTTCTGTGTGGCAGGCATTATGTTGAGCATGTCATATGGAATATTTCATTCACTCCTTACTTATTCTGAAAGAGGTAGGGCTCTGATTATTTCAGTTTATGGATGGGGAAACAGGATCTTAGAAAAGTTAGCTGGTTTGAGCAGTGTCTATGTAAGAAGTTGCAGAGCTGGGAGAAGAACTGGGGTCTTCTCATGAGAAAATCAGGGCTCTTCCTATTATCTTCTACCTTTCATAAAACCAGGTTTTGCCTCAATATTTGAGATTCTCATTTTTCTCAACTGGGAAAAAAAGCTGAGTTTCTTAGAATAAAATATAAGAAGCCTAAAATATGTAATAAAAGCACTCTGCTCAGTACAAAGGGATTAACTATTTAATGCCAGTGTCAGCCACCACAAAACAAATGAAAACTTTATGCCAATAGAGTATGACTTTAATTGGGAAACTGACTTTCTGGATTACTAAATTTAGGGAAAAAAGAGTTTGATTCTGGTTTGAGCCAGTTCATGGTAGAGATCATTCAGCCTATGCCCTAACACCACATCTTTACAAAATGCTGTCAAATTTATCTCTATATTTAAAGTGTTCAGGCCATACTTATTAAGTTGGTTAGCTATGAAGCCGACTGGGGCAACTCCAAACCACATCAACTGAATTATGCCTTTGTTCCCTAGGCATTCTGAACTGGTTGTTTAGATCACTTTTTATTACTCTTTAGTAGAAATTCAGGGTGAGCATGGAAACAAGTATGTATCTGTTTTTTGTTTTGTTTTGTTTTGTTTTGTTTTTGAGACAGAGTCTCACTCCATCACCCAGGCTGCAGTGCAGCGGAGTGACCTCAGCTCAAGCAATTCTCCTGCCTCAGCCTCCCGAGTAGCTGGGACAACAGGCACCCACCACCACATCCGACTAATTTTTGTATTTTAGTAGAGATGGGGTTTCACCATGTTGGCCAGGCTGGTCTCGTACTCCTGACCTCAGGTGATCCGCCCATCTTGGCCTCCCAAAGTGCTGGGATTACAGGCATGAGCCACCGCACCTGGCTGGAAACAAGTATGTACCTTTGTTTACAAACCTTTGAAGGGCAGTGCTCTGTTCCTGCCTGTGCCTCCTGTGCCCATCAGCGTTTTGCATGCTGCCCCCATCTCCAAGCCTCTGGTGTGCTGGGGCCCTCAAGCTTGCTGACTCATACAAGGAACACATGCAGGGCCGGTATCACCCCATAGTCCTGCCTTCCCTTCTCTCCCCTCCTTACAGTCCTCAAAGATGGGCACGGAGCAAAGGCAGTTTGCTGGGCACTTAACCAGGTGTAGCTCTGCTGGCAGCTATGTGCAATGGGGGATTTCAGGCCAGAGCACCCCTTGGCGTGGGGACAAGAAAGACAAATTCCTTTGATGTCCACACCCCAGGGTACCCGCACGAGGCAGGTTGATGATCAGAATTGCCTGTGGTCTAAACAGGGTAGGTGAAAGGCAGTGGGCGTGAGAGAAGCAGAACTGGGGGTGGGTTTGGCAATACCTAGCTTAACTTCCTGAAGCCCTGGGGTGACAGGCAGGCAGGCTGACTCGGTCCCTTTCATGACACACTCCCAGCCTCTTTGCTACCTGGGATCTGGGTACCTGTGAAGATTCTTACCTGTTCAGGACATTTCAGCTCCCAAAAAGAGCAGCAACAGAGAAAATTTTCATTAAGAAATGTTATAATATATACTATTCCTCTGGGATCCCAGGCCCCCATAAACATGCGTATCAGTTTCCTATTGCTGCCATAACAATTTACCATGAACTGAATGGCTAAAATATGACAGATGTATTAGCTTATAGCTCTGGAGATCAGAGGTCTGAAATAGGTCTGCTGGGCTGCGTTCCTTCCGGAGGCTCAAGGAAGAATCTGTTTCCTTGCCTTTTCTGGCTTCTAGTGGCCACCGACTTTTCTTGCCTTATGGCCCCTTTCTCAATCTCCAAAGTCAGCAGTGTACCATATTTTCTCCTCTCTGACCTCTGCTTCCGTCGTTGCATTTTCTCTGGGACTCTCCTCTTTCCTTATAAGGACCTTTGTGATTACACTGGGCACATGTGGATAATACAGAAAAATCTCCCAACCTCCAGAGCCTTAATTGAATCACACCTGCAAAATTTCCTAGGCAGTCTAAGATAACATATTCGCAGATTCTGAGCATTAAGATGTGGACATCTTTTTTGGGGGACAATTTATTACTCAGCCTACTATAACATGTTCATCCGATTTTCCATTTTCACACATTTGATCTTCAAACACATTTATAGAAATAGATGTATATAAAAGTAGAAGGCTATCTACAGTGAGGTGGAAAGACATTTCATCAGAAAATAAAACATGGGGGTCGGGCGCAGTGGCTCACGCCTATATTCTCAGCAGTTTGGGAGGCTGAAGTGGGTGGATCATCTGAGGTCAGGAGTTTGAGACCAGCCTGACCAACATGGTGAAATCCCATCTCTACTAAAAGTACAAAATTAGCTGGGTGTGGTAGCACATGCCTGTAGTCCCAGCTACTCGGGGCGCTGAGGCAGGAGTATCACTTGAACCCGGGAGGCGGAGACTGCAGTGAGCCAAGATCGCGCCATTGCACTCCAGCCTGGGCAACAAGAGTGAAACTCTGTCTTGAAAAAATAAACAAACAAACAAATAAATAAATAAATAAAAATTAAAAAAAAGATGGCATGGTGGCTCACACCTGTAATCCCAGCACTTTGGGAGTATATAGCTTGAGCCCAGGAATTCAAGACCAGCATGGAAAACATAGCAAGACCCTGCCTGTACAAAAACATTTAAAAATTAGCCAACAGTGGTGGTGCCTGCCTGTAGTTCCAGCTACTCAGGAGGCTGAGGTGGGAGGATCGTTTGAGCCTAGGAGGTTGAAGCTGCAATGAGCAGTGATTGTGCCACTGCCCTCCAGCCTGGGCCACAGAGCAAGACCCTGGCTCCAAAAAAAAAAAGAAAAGAAAAGAAAGAAAAAATATGACCTGCTTTCATCATAGAGAAGCTACTTGTGTATTTATTTTTATTTTTTGTTTTTAAACTGCCTTCTCTTTCTCCTCTTTCTAAATAGAATGAGGAGTCAGGAAAACTAGAAGACCAGAGGTGACCCTGGGAAAGACAAAACTGCTCTCAGGTATTCTAAGAACAGAGAGCGCTTAACAAGCCTACTTCGTGTCTTTTGCTTAAGTGTGAACAGGTGGCTGTCTTAAAAGAATAGTAAGGCCAGGTGCAGTGGTTCACACCTATAATCCCAGCACTTTGGGAGGCCAAGGTGGGTGGATCATGAGGTCAGGAGTTTGAGACCAGCCAGGCCAACATGGTGAAACACCATCTCTACTAAAAATACAAAAAAAAATTAGCCAGGCGTTGTGGCACACTCCTGTAATCCCAGCTACTTGGGAGGCTGAGGCAGGAGAATTGCTTGAACCTGGGAGGTGGAGGTTGCAGTGAACCGAGATCACACTACTGCACTCCAGCCTGGGCGACAGAGCAAGACTCTGTCTTGGTGGGGGTGGAGCGGGGGAAGCAAAGTCAAGGATTTTTAACTATGTTGCCTCTGAAGTTTATGTATTTTCTTGGAAGGCTTTTTATGTGTGAAATTGAAAAAGTTTGTACTCAGAGTACAACGTAAATCTTTGACCATAAAAAAATTATTATGTGACTATCAAACATTTCCTTTTCCTCCTTTAAGGAAGCTGTTGTAGGACTATTTTCTCAGCTACTTAGTCGTACTGGCTATTTATCAGAATAAAATTGCTGACTTGTTAATATTTAAAGGTAAAAATTAGCTGGTCATGGTGATGTGTGCCCCTAGTCCCAGCTACTTGGGAGGCTAAGGTGAGAGGATCTTTTGAGCCCAGGAGTTGAGGCTACAGTGAGCTATGACCATACCACTACACTCCAGCCTGAGGGACAGAGCAAGACCTCATCTCTAAAAGAAAAAAACCAACAACATAGTCCTGAACTAGCGATTATACTTAAACAAAAAAAGCAAAAATTTATGGTGAGCAAAAAGAAGTGTTTGATTTAAGCCTGGAGAAGAAACCAAGTTTAAATTAATCTGAATTCTTATTATATGAGAAATTGAGAATAGAGTTCTATATTTATTTAAACAACAGCTTTACTAATATTATTTAATAGTTATACCTGGTTGCTTTACTAGATAGTTACACTGGCCAGGCACGGTGGCTCACACCTATAATCCTAACACTTTGGGAGGCTGTGGTGGGTGGGTGGCTTGAGCCCAGGAGTTAGAGACCAGCCTGGGCAACATGGCTCTGATTTTCCTGTCTCTACAAAAATACAAGAAAATTAGCTGGGCGTGATGGCATGTGTCTGTAGTCCCAGCTACTTGGGAGGCTGAGGTGGGAGAGTCGCTTGAGGCTGGCAGGTTGAGGTTGCAGTGAGCCATGATGGTGCCACTGCCCTCTAACCTGTGTGATAAAGAGAGACCATGTCTCAAAAAAAATTAAATTAAATATTAATAGTTACATCATTTATTGAAGGAAAAAAAGATAACTGAGTGAGGGAAAAAGACTAATTTCTCTGGCATAATCCTTGCTATGTAATTCTTTGTTCCAGCAGGCCACCCCAAGGCATTATCTGGGGACAGTGTGGCCTGCTTCTAGGTAAAATCCACAGATAAAAGTCCCTGCAAACTGAAATTAACAAAGTGGTAGTAAATGTCAGATTTCACCCTATAGGTAGAAATGCAAAGGAATTCTAAGTCCCCTTTTGGGTTAGGTTGAATTTACTGAATTCTCAAGATACTATATTCACTTTAGGGAGAAATCTTCAAAGGGAAACGGGCATAATGCCTTTCTGCCTTCACTGGCTCTTCCCATACCCTGTGCTCTATTCATATAAATCATAACAATATTTGTCATTTGTGCAGCATTTAGTCCATGTTAGACACTGCTCTCAGCATTTGGTATAAAATTATTTTCTTTATTTGGATTTCCTTATGGCTGGAGGCACATCCATGCTTTAGGTAGAAATTCCCAAGTAATTTCAGGAAATTCTCCTTTTCCTCCTTTTCATTTCTTAGCTCATTAAGAGCCCCACAACAGAACAGGCCCATGTGTTAAGAAGCATCTATCCTTCCTTCCTGTGGGAGATAGCTTAAAAATAAATAAATAAAAGCAGCATCTACCGGTAGGGCTTGGACTCCACATCACACTACTGTTAGTTTTCTTTCGGCAGTTGGAGATGGGACCTTCGTAGTGTCATGCTGGCCAATTTTGAACCATATTATGTTTTCTTTCTTTCCTTCCTTCTTTCTTTCCTTTCTTTTCTTTCTTTCTTTCTTTCTTTCTTTCTTTCTTTCTTTCTTTCTTTCTTTCTTTCTTTCTTTCTGTCTCTCTCTCTCTCTCTTTCTTTCTCTCTCTCTCTCTTTCTTTCTTTTTTTTTTTTAGCTGGGATTACAGGTGCCGAATAATTTTAGTATTTTTTTTTGAGATAGAGTTTCACTCTTGTTGCTCAGGCTGGAGTGCAAAGGCATGATCTCGGCTCACCGCAACCTCCGCTTGCCGGGTTCAAGTGATTCTCCTGCCTCAGCCTCTCGAGTAGCTGGGATTACAGGCATGTGCCACCATGCCCGGTTAATTTTGTATTTTTAGTAGAGACAGGGTTTCTCCATGGTGGTCAGGCTTGTCTTGAACTGCTGACCTCAGGTGATCCACCTGCCTCGGCCTCCCAAAGTGCTGGGATTACAGGCATGAACCACCGCACCCGGTCTAATTTTTGTGTTTTTAGTAGAGACGGGGTTTCACCATGTTGGGCAGGCTGGTCTTGAACGCTGACCTCAGGTGATCCACCTGCCTCGGCCTCCCAAAGTGCTGAGATTACAGGAGTGAGCCACCGCACCCGGCCCCATATTATGTTTTCAGACAGTACAACAAACAGTGGTGAAGAACACTGGGTTCAAAACTAGGTTTAAAATACTGACCTGCCACTCAGTAACTATGTGACAGGAGTAAGTTACTTCTTACCTCTCGAAATCTTCTGTTACTTCCTTTGCAAAATGGGGTGGTAAGCGATCCTACTTCACAGGGCTCTTCTGAAGATTAAATGGCACAATGTAAAGTGTTGGACAGAGTAAGAACTCAAGAAATGTGACTTATTGTTCGTAGTTTTCCCTTCTTGTTTTATGTTATTTTTCTCCGTAAAGTTAATGAGGCCAGCAAGCTAGCAAACTTACAGAAAGATTGTGTGTATGGGCTGCAAGCAATATTTCATTTGATCCTCACAATAACCCTGCAAAATGGATACTATTGTTATCCTAACTTTATAGAGGAGGAAGCCACATCTAAGTAATTTTCCCGAGGTCACACAGCAAGCAAATGACAGAGTCGGCCAGGGTATGAATGTTTGACTCCAAATTCCACATCACTGACCACTACACTCATATTTTGCATCTTTTGACGGGACACAATTTTTAAGTTCCAGATGGAAATTTGCTTCATAGGTATAAACAAGAAATATAAATGTCATAGAAGGACTGGTTAAGTCATCTTGGTTTCGCACTACCTAGTCGTGAGACAGAAGGCCACCCCTCCTGGGTCTGGAACAAGCACCCTCCTCTCTGTTATCTGTGAATAGAGCGTTCAGGGCAATAAATCACTCTGTGGTTTTCCTTTGCCCCATTGACCCACAGAGGCCCGTTTCACACTCAGTGAATTCAGTATATATCAGCCAGCTTGTAAGGAGTATAACTGTCACTAAAGGAACGAAGTAATTTTACACTCTCTTTCTAAAGTAAACAAACCTGGACAGCACCATGAGCTGCCACAGTGAGCCTGGGGGTGAAGGCAGGCCCCCTTGCTATGAAAGTGGACTTTGTGAAAAGGAAAGGCAGTATTTCTTTTGGAAGTGCACTGGGACATTTTAAGCTCACTTTGATCCCTTTTTCTGGCACCCTGGTTCCTGAAACCACCGTCTGCTGCCCAATCAGATGAAGAAACTCTCCAGCGATTTGATATGCTTGATTCGAGGTGCCAGGGATGTCTGCATGGCATGCATGACCCAGGACAGCCACACGGGGTTGGGCAACGGGTAATTCACAAGAGAGATCTTCCCCAGTTTACCCCCTGAAGTTTTCGTGTAAATAAAATCAGGCTAAAATGGATCTGCAGAGCCTTGGGATGACAGCATGGGGAGAGAGGAGACCCACCATAGTTCCGTGTGGTAACAGTGAAAGATATTATAAGGCTGATTGCACTGATGGGGGCTTCATATCCTATTGGGCACTGGTTAAACCAGCTCTTCTCCCCATGCCTGCCTCCTTAAAACACTGCCCAGATCCCTGGTTTCAGAGTTTGAGGCCTAGGAAAATTTCCAGAATTCAGTACAGATGGCAAGATGCAGACCCAGCTCTCAAACCAGAAGAAAAGGAGAAAAACTCTTGGGTCCAAAGACTCTCTACTATCCCTAAGGATGATCAACTAATCTTTCTTCTTCTTCTTTTTTTTTTAAATCTCTGTTGAGGCGCAGAACAATGACTTAAGGGGTGACATAGAAAAAGAACAGCATTAGACACCAACAGTTCTTGGCGCTATGATTAGTAGTTGCTGCTGCTTGTCATAATACATCAGAAAAGCAGCAACCCATCTGCTCCAAATTGATACAGTAAAGGCTCAGCAAGAAGTGTTTATCCAGATTGTGAGGGGGAGTGTCTGCATTTCACGGCACATTGACATGTGTGCCCGTGCAGCTCAAAGTTGTCAGATGCCAGCTTTCTACCTAGCTGTGTATCATGTAACATCTGTCACCACAATAGCTAAGAGTTTTGACAAGTGGGCTGTTTTAGCACGAAAATGTCCAAGTGAAAGGAAGGATATCCTCTGCTGAAAGTTAAATGCCACTTCAAATCTACAACGCCACTTA
This sequence comes from Homo sapiens, assembly GCF_000001405.40. Classification (NCBI taxonomy): domain Eukaryota; kingdom Metazoa; phylum Chordata; class Mammalia; order Primates; family Hominidae; genus Homo; species Homo sapiens. The sequence continues at coordinate 80,331,959 of NC_000008.11, forward strand.
GCCTAGTATATACTGAGGATATAATGGGACATGGAATCAAACCACCTCTCCAGCCCACAAAACAAATTGCTGTAACACTCTGTGTTGGCGTTTCCCAGGCACTTCTCACTAGTGGTAATTAGCAGCACATAAATGCTAATGACTAATTACCTTGGCCTGTGTAGACATACGGGAACCAAAGTAACTTATTATCCAAAAGCCTGACTTAACAGATATAGAGACAGTAAAACCCCAGGTTTTTTCTTTCAGTAATGCCTGGGTTTGCGGGGAGGAGGGGACTGGGGAGGTGGGGAGGTGGCAAGGAAGGTATGTCAATACATTAATGGTAATTAGATTTTAGGAGGTAGATCTGGGCAATTGTCAGCCTCTGTATGCTAATATCTCTGAAAATAAATTTAATTCAGGGAGGCATACAAAGTCTCTGTATACATTTACTTGAAGGTCTGTTTTTCCTCTAGACACTGTTGTCAGAAAGTGTGATACCTAAAATTTATGCAGGAACATCTGGTATCCTTAATAAAACATGTCAGATAAATGGGTGGCTTCTGGGCAGCATATGTGAATATAGGTGGAAATAAATATTTACTTTTCTCAAAAAAATATCAAGGTCAAAGAGATGATTCTTCATAACAAGGTGTTAATGAGGTGTTGCAAGAACAGGCCCTGCCTGTGAAACCCCCCTTACTGTGTCCTTGAGGAAGAAGCAGTGCAGACTCCTGAATTTCTATAAAGTTAGGGGTTAGGGACAGCAATGGAGTTAAATGGACTAGAGAGCTTGTCTTGTAGCTGCGTTGGCCAAGCAAGCACAGTTTTGACTTGCAGTTTTGTTTCATTTTGGTACATGGCTTTGGGAAGGGGCAACTATAGGGAACTAAAGTCCCTCCAAACAACCCCCTGGAGCTGCCATTGGTGGGAAGGAAACTGAATCTTTGAAAAATTTTACTCCTTGTTGATCTTCACCTACCTTGTATAATACATTTTTCTTAGAGAAATCAGAAGGAGAATTTGAATTTATACCAGTTAGCGTTACCTAAATGTAAACATCTGTATTTCAAACTGTTGATTTATGTTATATAACTGAAAAGCATTATCTTTTCTGTTGAATAATTAAAGCTTAGCTTTGTTTCTGTATTATTTTCAGTCTTTTAAAGGGGCTAAAATGGTCCCTTGGGATGTAATCTCATGTATATTATCTTTTGCAATCCCATTCAAGCACCAAAAAAACTGAACAGCATGCATTTTACTAATTCAATGTCTTCTCATTTTACTTATTTTTAATTTTTTTGTTAATTAATTAATTAATTTATTTATTGAGATGGCACTTCTCTCTTGTTGCCCAGGCTGGAGTGCAGCGACATGATCTTGGCTCACTGCAACCCCCGCCTCCTGGGTTCAAGCGATTCTCCTGTCTCAGCCTCCTGAGTAGCTGGGATTACAGGTGTGTGCCACCACACCCAGCTAATTTTTTGTATTTTTAGTAGAGATGGGATTTCATCATTTTGGCCAGGCTGGTCTCGAACTCCTGACCTCAAGTGATCCACCTGGCTCGGCCTCCCAAAGTGCTGGGATTACAGGCATAAGCCACCTCGTCCAGCTATACCTTTATTTTTAAAGACAGAGTCTTGCTCTGTCACCCAGGCTGGAGTGCAGTGGGTGATCACAGCTTATTGGAAACTCAAACTCTTGGGCTCAGGCAATTCTCCCACCTTAGCCTCCTGAGTAGCTAAAACTACAGGTGTGTGCCATATTTAAATCTAAAATACTATGTTCTAATTTCAATGTCTCTACACCAAACTCATAAAATATACACATTATAAAAAGCCCCACCAAAATTAGTGTAGATTTTGTTTTTTTGTTTGTTTTTTTGAGCTACTCTTTATATTTTCCATAAGTTGTTTTACTATACTATGTAAACACTAGAGTGATAAGAGATTCAGAACGATTTCTGGCAATTTGAAGTGCCAGAAATCTCTATTCTGGCCATGTCAACCAACTTGTCACTTCTGAGAACTTGGTTACAATAAAACTAAGGAGATAATATCCTTAGGCTCCTAAAAGTCAGAGATTACTTCAAAACCTCAGGATAGTGTAGAAAAATGACCTTGGACATCACTGTAGATCACACCTTGTCCAACCCACAGCCCATGGGCCGCATGTGGCCGAGGACAGCTTTGAATGCAGCCCAACACAAATTTGTAAACTTTCTTAAAACAGTAGGAGATTTTTTTTTTTTGCATTTTTTAAGCTCATCAGCTATTGTTAGTGTTATTGTATTTTATGTGTGGCCCGAAACAATTCTTCTTCTTCCAATGTGGCCCAGGAAAGCCAAAAGATGGGACACCCCTGCTGCAGATTAATCTCGTTACACATACATCACAAACACCAAGACCAAGCTGAGATAGGATAACAGGTTAGAACCCTTTCAAAGGCATACTCTGCAAATATCTACTTACCATTTGCTTTGGAGAAATGTAGAGTAAGAAGATGGTAGAAAGGTGGACCACTAGAAGGTATACTGAGTCTCACCCTTACTGTTTTAGGTAGTCCGGCTATGGCCCCAAGCTTGCATTTCCATTAAAACATTAGCCTGGATTCAGTGACACCCATTTTCCTTAAAAGGCAGGGGGTCCCTACCTCAAGTTGCTCAGCAGAATAGTTCTCTAACCATATCTTCTATGAGGGAGAAGTCTGTGACCCGGACACAGTGGCTCGTGTCTGGTAAATACAATTTTCTCTCTTCACACTTCCAGTGATGTTTTAATGCTCAGTAACATTTTTGTTACACCTAAATAATTGCCAGCTGGTCCACCTTTTAATTATTTTTTTCTTTTTTTGAAACAGGGTCTGACTCTGTGGCCCAGGCTGGAGCACAGTGGCATGATCACAGCTCACTGCGACCTCCACCTCCTGGGATCCTCCCACCTCAGCCTCCAGAATAGCTGAGACTACAGGCATGCACCACCATGTTTGGCTAATTTTTAGGTTTTCTTTTTTTTTTAAGAGACAAAGTCTTACTAAATTGCCTAGGCTTGTCTAGAACTCCCAGACTCAAGCAAGTCTCCTGCCTCAGTCTCCCAAAGTACTGAGATTACAGGTATGAGCCACCACACTCGGCCCCACCTCTTCATCTTATTCCTGTCCTTATACACCTCTCCCTAGTTCTTATGGCCTTGTTGAAATAAAGTAGTTTGCCTGCTGGGGAAGCACAGGTATTTTAAATGATTTTTTATTCCCATTCCTTTTCCAAATGTAAGGTATTTGAGAATCTCAAGAAACAACACCTGGCAAATAAGGCCATCTTAACCCCATTTTTCTTCTGTCATTAAAGGCTTGATGAGATCCCTGCCTATCTTTAGTTGTCTCAAAGTGTTTCCAATTTTCTTCCCCCTTGTCCTAGGAACTACTTGTGAGAAGACTCTGATCAGGAAGGAACTTTATAAAAAATTATACAGCAAGTAGCAATATTACTAAGTTGCTACATACAAGTGTCACTTGATTTGTCTAGGCAACAGAGAAGTCTCTATCTTTATTCATTTCTTAGTGCTGCTGTAACAAATTACCACAAACTTAGTGGCTTAAAACAACATATATTTATTTTCTTACAGTTGTGGAGGTCAGAGCTCCAAAATGGGGCTCATTGAGCTAAGATAAGAATTTTGGCAGGGCTACATTCCATCTGGAGCGTCTAGGGGAGTATCCATTTTATTTTCCAACCTGTAGAGACGGCCGGCATTGCTTGACTCACAGTCTCTTCCTCCATCTTGAAAGTCAGCAAGGAATGCTCTAGTCTTTCCCCCCATCACTCACTGATTCTTCTGTCTCCCTCTTCCATATTTAAGTACCTGTGTAATCACACTTGTGATTACATTGGGCCCACCTGGATAATCCAGGCTACTCTCTCCACCACAAGATCAGCTAATTAGCAACCTAAATTCCATCTGTTACCCTGATTCCCCTTTGCCATGTAATGTAACATATTCGCAGGTTCCAGGAATTAGAATGTGGACATTACTGTCAGCCTATTATTCTGCCCACCACGCCATCTTACTCATCTAAATATTATAAAGTTTGGCATATTCTCTTTTTCAGTATTTATCCTGATTGCCTACTCACTAGAGTTCTGGACCTGTTTTCCAAAGAATTCCACAGTGGGGGCCACCTTGTACTGGCAGTTGAAAAACAGGAAATAGACAGAGATCATCCATTTCCCCTGAGTTCACTGAAACACTCCAGTAAGAAGATTGAAAATAGCAGACCGGGGCCGAGCGCAGTGGCTCATGCCTGTAATCCCAGCACTTTGGGAGGCCGAGGCAGGCTGATCATCTGAGGTCAGGAGTTCGAGACCAGCCTGGCCAACATGGTGAAATCCTGTCTCTACTAAAAATACATAAAAATAAATATATGTCACTTGAGTACTTTGAGATGCCTGCACTATTTTCCAACTGCAACAAAACTATCAAAATCAGTGTTTTACAACCTTGTTACATTTGACATTTTGGACCAATAATTGTTTGTTGAGGCTAACACTCAGGTGCATTGTCCAATGCTTAGCAGCATCTCACATCTCTATCACTAGGTACTAGTAGCACACTGTGTTCCAAACCCCCAGTTGTGACAACCCAAAGTTCTGGAAGTATTGCCAAATGCCCCTTAAAGGGCAAAATTGCCTGCCTCCACTGAAAACCATTGATCTAGAATCAATTTTAATTTTTGTCTCAGATAATGAGTTGAAACCAACATGAAGCTAAAAGCTAAATCAGGCATAGCTGTGGATTGACAGAGCTATAAATCCTTGCTGAAGGAGTCTTGTTTCTTTATTGTCTACACCATCCAAGATTTAAGGGACAGAAGCTCTGAAGATATATAATTATTATCTGTGGTAACTCAGCCAGTCCAGAACACCCTTATTCTGGAGATATGGACATTATCTGTAAAATAAAAGGCATAAGGTTCTATACTCCACCCAAAGGCAGAGCTTTCCCAGCTGTCCTTCCCAAAGGCATGTCTGATGATCCTGTGTTGATAGCAGGACCTTCACACATATCTCTCCACACTTCGAGAGTTTTCACAGAATTTTTTTTTTTCTTTAAACTTAAATGATAGTACACACTATGTCCAAAACAACCCAGGTTTAATCTTCTGGGAGAAACCTTTGGAATATTATCGAGTCTTTTACAATTATGTTTCTAAATCTTTAAAAGGTCAAACAGTTGAAAATGAAGCCTTTTAGAGTCTACTTGTGTGAGAAAGGAGAGTGGCCCAGAAAATTAATATTTGCTTCCAGCTGCATGTACATGAAGAGCTAAGAAAACTCACTAATAGAAAACGTGGACCGGGCGCGGTGGCTCACGCCTGTAATCCCAGCACTTTGGGAGGTCGAAGTGGGTGGATTGTTTGAGCTCAGAAGCTTGAGACCAGCCTCGGCAACATGGCAAAACCCTATCTCTACGAAAAATACAATAAATAAACAGATTTGGTAGCACACGCCTGTAGTCCCAACTACTTGCAAGGCTGAGGTGGGAGGATGGCTTGAGCCCAGGAGATGGAGGTTACAGTGAGCTGAAATCATGCCACTGCCCTCCAGCCTGGGCGACAGAGCCACAAACTCTGTGTCCAAAAAAAAAAAAAAAAAAAAAAGTTTAAACTGGGTCTGACCACTATACATTACATGTATCAAAACATCACTATGTACCTCATAAATATGTATAATTATTGTCAATTTAAAAAATAAATAAAATTAGGAAAAATCAATAATAGTTGGTAAAAGAAAGAAGAAAAAAAGGAAGGAAAGAAAAGGGAAAATACGTAAAAAGTAAAATCAGCTTAAACTTCTGCTCAGTAGAAAGTAGTCATAAATGATCTTGGATCCTGTCAAATCCTTCCTCCCTCAGAATACCACAAAAATGGCCTGTTGATAAAGCAGAATTTTATTTAAAACTATTCTAATGAAAGCAGAATGACTCTATTGCTTATTGCAGTGAAAGTGACCATTACCCTAACAGTGTCTTAATAGTGTCTGAGAGGGTAGAGGACAAAGGTAGCGTATTTATGACGTTTTGGGGGACTGGTTATGGGTGGGTTGTTCAATGTGGAGGTCTAATTGGGATTAGGCAAAAACTTATGATGTAATAGTTTAGGATTTTAAAAAATAGTTTAGGATTGGGGAACAAAGCAAGGAAGGAGCTTCAAAGTGAATCTTGAAGAGTAAATTGTCATTTATAAAATATCTATCTATTGCCCAAGAAGGGAATATTTACTGAGGGTTAGTTGAGTAGCCTGTAGTTTGGATAGAGTTTAGAGTTCTTATAACAATAAAGCTATCTGCCACATTTTCATGGGTAACTTTCTTGGAATAGCCAAATTATATTAATGTAGGCAGTTGAAGAGTGAAGCCATATTAAGGTACACAGTCAATTGTGTGGATATAGATGGTTTTGAGTCTCAATCTGAAAATACCAAAATGTATAAGAATAAGATACTATGAGATCATCATCATCTCCCCACCCCAAACTCATTCTTTTTCTTATATTTTTCTGTCTCATTTAATATTTCCATCTACCCTGACACCCAGGCTAGAAACAAGAGTATCTTCCTTGACTCACCACTAACATTTAATCAATAATCAATCCTGCCTCTTTAAGATGGTAGATATTTCTTCTTTCTTTTTTTTTTTTCAGACAGAGTCTCCTTCTGTTGCCCAGGCTGGAGTGCAATGGCGTGATCTCTGCTCACCGCAACTTCCGCCTCCTGGGTTCAAGTGATTCTCTGGCCTCAGCCTCCCAAGTAGCTGGGATTACAGACAGCCGCCACCACACCCAGCTAATTTTTGTATTTTTAGTAGAGACAGGATTTCATCATGTTGGCCAGGCTCATCTTGAACTCCTGACCTCAGGTGATCTGCCCGCCTCAGCCTCCCAAAGTGCTGGGATTACAGGTGTGAGCCACTGTGCCTGGCCAAGATGCTAGATATTTCTTAAATCTTTTGCACTCTTCATTTCTACCACCTCTTTCCTAGTTCAGTTCATCATCCTACCTCACCTGGATACTCAATATCCTCCCAACCGGTTTTCCATCTCAATCCACGTAAGTGACATTTTTATATGTACTATTGTACTTGGAAATATTGGTGGTAGAAATAAACTTTTCTCAGTTTTAAAGGAATCTTTTTGTAAGCTATGGTTCTATTAAAGAAACATAAAAGAATCTTTGTTTTTCATGACCAGAGAATGTGTATTCTAGTTATCCTCACCTTTTTCATGATTACTACCTTGCCCTTTATTTCTCAGGTGAGCCCAAATATAGGAACTCTGTCACTACTCACTCAGAAGGGAAATGGCAGTCAGAGAAAGGAAAAGATCTGGGGGTAGGGTAGGGGTTATAGCTACCTGTTGCACATATTCCTTATTTTATTGATTGATTGATTGATTGAGATGGAGTCTCCCTCTGTCTCCCGGGCTGGAGTGCAGTGATGCAATGTCAGCTCACTGCAACCTCCACCTCCCAGGTTCAAGCAATTCTCCTGCCTCAACCTCCCAAGTAGCTGGGAGTACAGGTGCCTGCCACCACGCCTGGCTAATTTTTGTATCTTTAGTGGAGACGGGGTTTCATCATGTTGTCCAGGCTGGTCTCGAACTCCTGACCTCAGGTGATGCCACCCACCTTTGTCTTCCAAAGTGCTGGGATTACAGGCGTGAGCCACTGCGCCCAGCCATATTCCTTATTTTTAAAATAGTATTAAAAAGTCCCACTTTACTCTAATTTAGTCTTCCCTGTGGATACTGTTGGTACCTTGCCCAAATTCTTTCCATCTCTGTCACCAGCTGTCTCTCTGTCCACCCCCAGCTCTTGCATCTTTGCTGGTACCTGTCACTGAAAGAGGATTGTCCTTTGCAATGGAACTGCCTAGCCCCTCGGGACAAAAAGACCTGCCAAGAGTCAACTTCAGGATGGCCAGTTGGTGACAACTGACTGGTGTGCAGATACAAAAGCCCAGCTACTTGACTTAGGTGGACAAACTTTGAGGTGTAATTTTCACTCCAGAGTTTCTCACAGGATCAGAATGAGTCTAGGAATTCTCTTGAAACTGCTCCCTTGCTTGGCTTCTTCCCTTTCCCCTTTCCCTAGTCTGTTTCTCCCACTTTCTTACTAGTTTCTTCTAGGATCATTTCCTTTAAAAATGACTTTGACTTAAATCCTTGGTGCAGGGTCTGCTTCTGAGAGGAGCTAACTTACACATGCCCCTAAGGTTCCTTCACCAGAAATAAATCTAAAGATTTGACTCCCCTGCCAAAGCCCATCACCTACTTGCTGCTTTCTTAAGGCATTTGAGGCTGCCCATCATTGGTGTTCACTGGTGGTGTCTATCTCTCCAGTCTCAAGGCTCACCAATCCCAGTTTCCCACTCTATGATGCAGTAACGTCAAACAGCTATGGTTCCCCATTCACCTCTTTGTCATCTGCTTGGTTTCTGGTGTTCCCATTATCTGCGAAATTTTTAGTAGCCCCTCAGCCTCCACAGCTTCCCCAGATGGGGCAAGGTTCCTCTTTTGTCCTCTTCTGATAACCTATCCACTCACTTCCATTGCGTTTACCACATTACATTGCAATTTTTTTTTTTTTTTTTGAGGCGGAATTTCACTCTTGTTGCCCAGACTGGAGTGCAGTGGTGCAATCTTGGCTCACCGCAATGTCCACCTCCTGGGTTCAAGGGATTCTCCTGCCTCAGCCTCCTGAGTAGCTGGGATTACAGGCACCCGCCACCACGCCCGGCTAATTTTTTGCATTTTCAGTGGAGATGGGGTTCACCTGTTGGTCAGGCTGGTCTCGAACTCCTGACCTCAGGTGATCCACCCACCTTGGCCTCCTAAAGTGCTGGGATTACAGGCGTGAACCACTGCGCCTGGCTCAATTCTCTTTTCATTTGTCTCCCCAACCCGACAGTGAGATCCTTAAAAGCAAAGACCACATCTTCATCATTTTAAAGCTCTCACTAGCTAGCATAATGCCTAGCACATTCTGTTATCAAAGGTTTTTGAATGACTTCACATAACCATTTTTTTTCATGCAGAGTAACCAGAGATGTGAAGGTAATTATAGCAGTATGAAACTCAATTCTATCACTTGGAAACTAGAAACACATTCTTAAAATAATAAAAATGACAAAGACTTTCAAAATATTTATGTTCCTAGCAGTCAGGTCATAACTATAGTGATTAAACTGATAAGGCATAGGATTTGGGGCTTCATCCTGCAATATGAGTCCTTGGGCTTTTTTGCTCAAACATTTTTTTAGTCCAACTCAGATGATCTAACTGGCTGGCAACCCTTTATGTAACCCTTGTTGTTTTTTTGGTGGCTTTGTTTACAATTTTTCTTAACTTTGCGGTTTTTGTGGACTCCACAGGACTGCTCCCTGACCCTCCTCCTGGATTAGGAGCACAGCTACTGGTTCCACAGCAGCTACTCACCACCATGCCTCATTCCTTAGCTGGGTTGGCTTGAGTGAAAATGCCACAGGAAAAACAAGAGAGGGAGCTAAAATAAGCTCACTTGGTTTCATCCTGCCAGAAACTATCTGGGAGAATAATTCGGCATCCATCAAATGTGAAAATGTCAAAATTGGGAGAAAAAGAAATGTATTTGCTACTTGTAAGGAAAATTTACATCCCGTAAATTGGAGAAGAATGTTGGCAATAAGGTTTGTGGCATGAAGATCTGGGGTCGCAATGAGGTGAGAGGTCAGAGCAAACAGTCCTCACACATTCAGCTGTGCAAGGAAAGGTTTTTCTTTATCTACAAATGATTCACATATGGAAGATACTGAGTCAGATCTGCATTGGGAGCACTCAGAGAATCACAACATATGTGTCATTGGGAAGTTTGATTAAAGGTCCCTTCTCTCTTTGTTTTAGAGACAGGGTCTCACTTTGTTGCCCCAGGCAGGAGTGCAATGGTGCAATCACAGCTCACTGCAGCCTCAAACTCCTAGCTCAAGCAATCCTCCCACCTCAGCCTCCTGACTAGCTGGGACTACAGGCATGTGCCACCATGCCTGGCTACTTTTAAAAAATACTTTTTGTAGAGACAGGATTTCACTTAGTCACCTGGTGGGCTTGTCTCGAACTCCTGGCCTCAAGTGATCCTCTTGCCTCAGCCTTCCAAAGTGTTGGGATTACAGGCGTGAGCCACCTTGCCCAGCCTGAAGGTCCTTTTCTGTCTTGTTTTTCATAGTATGGTCTACCTGCTACTCACTCCTGTCCTCTCTTGCATTGCCAAAAACATTGTTCCAGAAGTCATCCCTCTCTCCCAGAATTGTCCATTTTTCCCTACCACTGGATCATTGCCATCAGCATCAACCCTTTTGATTTTTTCTGTGACTCCCAAATCCTTTCTCTATCTCCCCATTCTCCCTATGGCTCTCGTACCATTTCACCTCTCCTTTCAGAACTCCTTTTAAACATTTTCTATACTGCTATCTCCAATTACTGTCCCCACTTTCTCAGTTTAACCAGTCAGGCTTTTGTCCCATTGGTTGTCAAAACTGCTCCTGTCAGGGTTACCATTGACCATCAGGTTGCCAAATCCAAGGGTCAGTCCTCAGTCCTCAATTTGCTTGATCCATCAGCAGCATTTAGTGCAGCTCTTCACTCCATCCTTAAAAGTGCTCCCCCTGCCACCTGCCCTCCACAACATGGCTTCTAGGAAAATGCACACTCTGGCTTTCCTCCTAGTTAACTGGTCCCTTTTTCTGAGTCCCTGTGCTGGTTCTTCATCTCTCTGGCTTCTTGACATTGGAATACTAGGGGTTCAGAATTTGGAATGCTTTTCTTTTCTCTCTCTACTCTTTTGGTGAATTCATCCAGTCTTGTGGCTTTAAAAATCATTTATATCCTAATGACTTCCAAACTTCAATTTTCAGTCCACGACTCTTCCCTCAAATGTAGATTTCTGTCTGCATGACATTTCTACTTGGATGTGTAACATACATCTCAAACTTAGCATGTCCCCAAACGAATTTCTGATTTTATTCCCTAAACCTCTCCCTGAAGTCTACCCCCCATCTCAATGCTATCCTTCCAGTGGCACAGGCTTACTTAATGAGTCTTGGACTCATGCTTTACTCCACGCTACCACTTTTTTTCTTTTTTTTTTAATTTGAGATAGGGTCTTGCTATGTTGCAGTCTGACCACTGTTCACTTATTTCCACTGCCGTTATTATGGTGTGTCTAACTCATCATCATCTCTCTTCTGGGTTATTGCAGTAACCTTTTAATTGGGCTCCTTGCTTCTACCTGTTTAAAAATGACACCAACACCTCATTCCCACGCACGCCCTATCCTTCTTCCTTGCTTTGCTTTTCTCTAAACCATTTACTACCTCTTAATACGGACACAAAAATATACATTTTATCACCTTTATTGAGGTGTAGTTTATATATAACTCAATACACCCACTTTAAGTGTGCATTTTGATGAGTTTGACAAATTTATACACATGCAACTGCTATCACAATCAAAGCATAGAACATTTCCCATTCTGTCAAAAAGTTTCCTCTTATCCCTTTCTTTGCAGTAAATTATCTCCCCATCCCTGGCTCCAGGTAACAACTGATGTGATTTTTAACAATGGGAGTGGGAGTGAAAGGACATGTTTTACGTTAATGGGAATGATCTAGCAGAAAAGAAAAATAGATGATGCAGATCACAATGAACTTTCCTTTTCTAGAATTTCATATAAATGGAATCATTACATATGTACTCTTTTACATCTGGTGTCTCATTCAGCATAATGTTTGTGAGATTCATCCATGATGTTGCATGTACTGGTATTTCACTCCTTTTAACTTTCTGAGTAGTATTCCATTTTAAGGATGTATACAACTTGTTTATTAATTCACCAGTCAATGGCCATTTGGGTAGTTTCCACATTGGGACTCATGAATAAAGCTAAATAAATATGAATAAAACATTTATGTACAAATCTTTGCGTGGATATGTTTTCATTTGTCTTGGGTAAATACCTAGAATTGCTGGGCCATAGGGTAGCATTTAATTTCATAGGAGACTGCCAACTGTTTTCCACAGTGGTTGTACCATTTTACATTCCCTCTAGCAATGTACGCAGTTTCTAGTTGCTCTGCAACCTCCATATCACTGCCATTTTTAGCTTATTATTATTTTTTTAAATTTCAATAGGGTTTTGGGAAACAGGTGGTGTTTGGTTACATGGATAAGTTCTTCAGTGATGATTTCTGAGACTTTGGTGCACCCATCACCCAAGCAGTGTACACTGTACTCAGTGTGTAGTCTTTTATCCCTCACCCCCCTCCCACCATTTCCCCCGAGTCCTCAATGTCTATTGTATCATTCTTTTTTTTTCTTTTTGAGACCGTGTCTCACGCTATGGTCCAGGCTGGAGTGCAGTGGCACGATCTTGGCCCACTGCAACCTCCGTCTCCCTGGTTCATGTGATTCTCCTGCCTCAGCCTCCTGAGTAGCTGGGATTACAGGCACCTGCCACCATACCTATACATATACGGCTAATTTTTATATTTTTAGTAGAGATGGGGTTTTACCATGTTGGCCAGGCTAGTCTCGAACTCCTGACCTCAAGTGATCCACCCGCCTACTCCTCCCAAAGTGCTGGGATTACAGGCGTGAGCCACCGCACCCGGCCCCATTGTATCATTCTTATGCCTTTGCGTCCTCATAGCTTAACTCCCACTTATGAGTGAGAACATACAATGTTTGATTTTCCATTCCTGAGTTACTTCACTTAGAATAATGGTCTCCAATTCCATTTATATTGCTGCAAATGCCATTATTTCATTCCTTTTTATGGCTGAGTAGTATTCTGTGGTATTTATTTACCACATTTTCTTTATCCATTTGTTGATTGATGAGCATTTGTGCTGGCTTCATATTTTTTGCAATTGTCAATTGTGCTGCAATAAACATGTGTGTGCAAGTATCTTTTTGTATAAGGACTTCGTTTCTTCTGGGTAGACATCCAGAAATGGGATGGCTGGATCAAATGGTAGTTCTACTTTTAGTTCTTTAAGGAATCTCCATGCTGTTTTCCACAGTGGCTGTACTAGTTCACATTCCTACCAGCAGTGTAAAAGTGCTCCCTTTTCACCACATCCATGCCAACATATGTATTTTTTATTTTTTTGATTATGGCCATATTTGCAGGAATTAGGTGGTATCACATTGTAGTTTTGATTTGCATTTCCCTCATAATTAGTGATGTTGAGCATTTTTTCATATCTTTATTGGCCTTTTGCATATCTTCTTCTGAGAATTTTCTATTCATGTCCTTAGCCCACTTTTTGATGAGATTTTTTTTTTTTTTCTTGCTGATTTGTTTGAGTTCCTTGTAGATTCTGGATATTAGTCCTTTGTCGGATGTACAGATTGTGAAGATTTTCTCCCACTCTGTGGGTTGTCTGTTTACTCTGCTGATTATTTCTTTTGCTGTGCAGAAGCTTTTTCGTTTAATTAAGTCCCATCTATTTATTTTTGTTTTTGTTGTGTTTGCTTTGGGTTCTTGGTCATGAAGTCTTTGCCTAAGCCAATGTCTAGAAGGGGTTTTCCAGTGTTAACTCCTAGAATTTGTATGGTTTCAGGTCTTAGATTTAAGTCTTTGATCCATCTTGAGTTGATTTTTGTATAAGGTGAGAGATGAGGATCCAGTTTCATTCTCCTACATGTGGCTTGCCACTTATCCCAGCACCATTTGTTGAATAGGGTATCCTTTCCCCACTATATGTTTTTGTTTGTTTGGACAAAATCATTTGACTGTAAGTATTTGGCTTTATTTCTGGCTTCTCTATTCTGGTCCATTGGTCTATATGCTTGTTTTTATACCAGTACCATACTCTTCGGGTGACTGTGGCCTTATAGTAGAGTTTGAAGTTGGTTAATGTAATGCCTCCAGATTTGTTCTTTCTGGTTAGTCTTGCTTTGGCTATGCAGGCTCTTTTTTGGTTCCATATGAATTTTAGGATTGCTTTTTCTAGTTCTGTGAAGAAAGATGGTAGTATTTTGATGAGAATTGCATTGAATTTGTAGACCGCTTTTGGCAGTATGGTCATTTTCACGATATTGATTCTACCCATCCGTGAGCATGGGATGTGTTTCCATTTGTTTGGGTCATCTATGATTTCTTTCAGCAGTGTTTTGTAGTTTTCCTTGCAGAGATCTTTCACCTCCTTGGCTAAGTATGTTCCTAATTTTTTGTAGCTATTGTAAAAGGGGTTGAATTCTTGACTTGATTCTCAGCTTGATTGCTGTTGGTGTGTGGCAGGGCTACTGATTTGTTCACATTAATTTTGTATTCTAAAAGTTTGCTGAATTCATTTACCAGTTCTAGGAGCCTTTTGGATGAGTCTTTAGGGTTTTTAGCTATTCTAGTGGGTGTGTAGTGGTATCTCATTGTGGTTTTAATTTGCCTTTTCCTATGACGAAAGATATTAACAGTCTTTTCATGTGCTTACAAGTCATCCATATATCTTTGTTGATAAAATATCAGTTTAACTTTCTCCACAAATCTTTAATTGCATTATTGTTTTTCTGTTGAGTTGTAAGAGTTCTTTATATATTCTGGACACAAGTCCTTCATCAGATATTTGTATTACATATATGTTCCCCCTATATGTAGATTGCTTTTCATTTGCTTAATGGCATCTTTTGAAGAACATACATTTAAAAATTTTTGAGGAAGTCCAAATTATCAATTTTTTCTTTTATTATTTGAACTTTAACTTTCTGTGTCCTAAGACATCTTTGCTTACCTCAAAGTTGTGAAGATTTTCTCCCATAACATAACGTATATTTTGCTTATTTTATTTTGTATCCCACAAAATGAAAAATGCAACAAAATGCTAGAGGAAATGAATAGAACCCAACCAGTTATGTCCACATTTTCCAACTTATAGCTTAAATAATCTGTATTTTCTTCATTTGCTGATGTGTTTCTATAGAGAGACAATATAGCATAGTGGTAGAGTAAAGACATGCAAAACAGACAGACGTGGGGCTGAAATCTGCAGCCTATGCATAGCGCCCTTGATTGGGAAAGTCCCTTAACCTCTCTGAGCCTCTTTCTTCTTAAGCAAAATGGAAACAATGATGAGTTTATGACACAAAGCCTGTGTCCCAATCCTGAGCAAATGGATAGGGTTTAATGAATTTTAGATGCTATTATTATTATTATTGTAAATTCGAAGCTACCAGTGCCAAGTTGGATATGGTGAATAGCATTTATAAAATAGTCAGAAGTTAGAACTATTGCTATGATTATTATTAAATTATTACAGGAGCATCTCCCAAATAGTAATGAGCCACACATTTCACAGTTGGCAGTATGTTTTCCTAACAAAAATTTGGGGGTGTTTGTAATTTGTTATAGCCATATGTCAACAGATTTCTTCCAAACGTCTAAGAATAGAATAACTTCAAATTATTTTGACCACAAAAGGACCATCTAAAAATGTTTCTTGGCTGATGCTACTTCTGTTTCACAAAGTCAGGTCTGGAAGAGGTTTTGTAAGTTTAAGGCATTTGTAGCAATTGCTTGTTTGTTTTCTTCTCGTCCTTGACCATGATAGCCACTTATCAGTCATGTGCTATGTCTTAGGACAGAATCGAGATTTACCTGCCGTCTTTCTTTTCCACTCACCCTCCTGGTAACATCTATATTAATAGAAATTTTGTAATTTCTGGCTCAGAGAACTTTCAGGCAAGTTCATGGGATAACTATTCCTCCCACATTATTTGTATGTTGGTTTATAACTGAGTTAACTTGTCATGTTTAGAATGCTGGACTAAATATGTAATAAACAATCTGAGCTCAAACATCAGTTGCTTTTAGTATACATATGTTAAACCAGCCACTCAAAAAGGGCAGCTTTTGGTTCCTTCCGATAATTGCTAAGCTGTATGCACAAAAGTCTCATGATGTATTCTGTGGTGACTTTCCTGGAGGAAGTAAACACAGTATAACCTGAGTTAGATGTAACTAGGTTGTGGTGACTTAGGGGCTTCTGCTGTTTGTATGATTTGAAACCTGCACTGCTGGGGCAGCAGAGCTCATTCTCCAGTGAAACATCCTGAAAGCATGAAATGACTCACCCTTCGCACTCTCACTGATCTATTGGCTTCTATTCAAACCACATGAGACATATACAGCTTGGTTTTGATGATTTGTCATATAGTTAAGTAGAATTTAGCAAATGTTTATTTGCTTCCTTACCCCTGAATTATATACGCTCGCTCCATCTTTCCTTGGGGCATACTGTTCCTTCTTCAGAGATAGGAAAGCTGGTTCTTGACATAACAGAACTATTCCGCTTTCTGAACACACTTCCAATTGCACAGAATGTCTATTGGTGTCAACGCATGCTTCCTTCTGTTTCTCTGCTTCTTTTGGGATTTGCAAGAGGCTGTTCCTGGGGACACTGGACCGGGGCATAGGTGTGTCTAGTGAAGCTCTCAGAGTTACGACCAGTGGGGCAGAGGAAACTTCTTCTGGCCCAAACATGTGCTACATTTCCTAAGCATGGGCATGGTGCTGGTGGTGGGTACGGGGTTCTGCTGAAGCCTGTTGCTCTTGATGAATTAAAGCATGGTTTTATTCTACAGTAAAGATGAGTGCGTGCTCCTGTGAGGGTGGTCGCTTTAGGTTATCAGTTTACACATATATTTTAAGACATAGTCTTACTCTATTGCCCAGGCTGGAGTGCAGTGGTGCAATCATGGCTCCCCGTAGCCTCAACCTCTGGGCTCAAGTGATCATCTCACCTCAGCTCCTGAATAGCTGGAATTGCAGGTATGCGCCACCATGCCTGGCTAATTTTTGTATTTTTTGCAACCGTGGGGTCTTGCTGTGTTGCCCAGGCTGCTCCTGGCCTCAAGCAATCCTCTTGTCTCAGCCTCCCAAAGTGCTAGGATTACAGGCATAGGCCACAGTGCCCTGAGAGTTTTATACACTTTAATGTGAATAGGTTCCTGTTTCCTGTGTACTGATATTTATAGGAGAGGAGATACAGGAGGGAGGCAGAACCAAATGGAAGAGAAGAGCGCTGAGTATGTGAGGTGGGCAAGGAGGGAGTGGGGAGGGCCATGCTGAAAGACAAGAAAGGCGGAAGAGTGCCAAATTGCAAATCTTCACACTTCCCAGTTGTTTGTTTGTTTTTTAGACACGGTCTGGTTCTGTCACCCAGGCTGGAGTGCAGTGGCGCAATCTTAGCTCACTGCAACCTCTGCCTCCCGGACTCAAGCAATTCTCCCACCTCAGCCTCCTGAGTAGAGTAGCTGGGTCTACAGGCACGTGCCACCACGCCCAGGTAATTTTTGTATTTTTTGTAGAGACGGGATTTTTTTTGGCCAGGCTGGTCTCTAACTCCTGAGCTCAAGTGATCTGCCCATCTCGGCCTCGCAAAGTGTTGGGATTACAGGCATAAGCCACCGCACCTGGTCCTCCTCAGGTTTTCTGTGATCATGGAAGTGGAATGCAGAGGACTTTGTGATTACTCGCAGACAGCCTAAAGCAGTGGTCCTCAGCTTCTACAGTACATTAGCATCACCCAGAAGGTTCTCAAACTACTGAAGCCTAGGCCCCACTTCTTATCTCTAGCCAGGCAGATTTAATTGATCTGGGGTGGGGCCCAGGGAGCAGTATTTTTGTAAAATCTCCCACTGTTTCTCAAAGGTAGTCAGGGTTGAGAAGCCCCGCTTAAAGGAAGCTTTAGGAGTCCCCAAGAGTGGGGATCCCCACTTTGGTATCTTCTCTTATGGAGCCTGGGGAAGTCCTAAGGACTGTTCAGCAATGGAAGAAATCCCCACTTTTATTTTATGGGAAGAGGAAGAGGACGTGGGTCAGTCATCACCCTGGAAACTCCCTGGCCCTCAGGACTCTCCCTGCTCTCTTTACTGGCTACAGAATGCCTTCCTAAAAAAGGTGCGGCCTGATGTTTATGCCCATTCTTTCACTTTTTTTCAGGACAAAATTCCATTGGAGATATTTACAATTAACCGTTTCTCAAATTAGATTTCAGACAAGTTGGTATGGTCGTAACATGATTTTCCAGTTTGGCTTGGATTCAGACCTACTTCCCCAGTAGCAAGGAAAGCCTATGGGGTTTTATGGAACATTTCTTAAACATAATTATAATGCAATTTACAACTGCCATAGGTGTGGACAAAATATGTAATAATCTACTTTAAAATCAGATTAATGATTCTTTTTTTTTTTTTTTTTTTTTTTGAGACAGAGTCTTGCTTTGTTGCCCAGGCCGGACTGCAGTGGCGCTATCTCGGCTCACTGCAAGCTCCGCCTCCCGGGTTCACGCCATTCTCCTGCCTCAGCCTCCTGAGTAGCTGGGACTACAGGCACCCGCCACCGTGCCCGGCTAATTTTTTGTATTTTTAGTAGAGATGGGGTTTCACCGTGTTAGCCAAGATGGTCTTGATCTCCTGACCTCGTGATCCGCCTGCCTCGGCCTCCCAAAGTGCTGGGATTACAGGCGTGAGCCACCTCACCTGGCCCAGATTAATGATCCTAAACTTCTAGATTAAAACTGGGGGAAAAAAAAAAAACAAAACAAAACCTCTTATCTCAGGCCGGGCGCAGTGGCTCATGCCCGTAATCCCAGCACTTTGGGAGTCTGAGGCAGGCGGATCACGAGGTCAGAAGTTCGAAACCAGCCTGACCAACATGGTGAAACCCCGTCTTTACTAAAAATACAAAAACTTAGCCAGGCGCGGTGGCATGTGCCTGTAATCCCAGCTACTTGGGAGGCTGAGGCAGGAGAATCGCTTGAACCCAGGAGATGGAGGTTGCAGTGAGCTGAGATCACGCCACTGCACTCCAGCCTGGGCGACAGAGCAAGACTCTGTCTCAAACAAACAAACAAAAAAAAAAAAACAACTCTTATCTCTTTCAAGATCTTGGTAAACATGATGAACATGGAGGAATTCAGAAACTATTCTGGCATAGTGAAACATAAGTTTCAGTTTTCTCATCTGAAAAATAGGACTGCAAATATCTGCCTTTTCTGTTAAAGATTTGTTTATGAAGATTGAGTTAGATGATTCAGGTGAGTGCATGTTAGAAATTGTAAATTAAGGGGAAGGAGGTGTGGAGGGAAGTTGTGGCCCTCTTTGTATTTACAGAGTTGCATGCTGAGAATTTGAAAAATGAAAATGATGCAGACACTGGGCTATTATGACTGGTCTAGACTTTGCTTATAATATCCCTAACCGCTGGATTCTCCTGTGGCAGCTTTTCTTGGACAGTGACTTACTTCGATTCTTTTGAACCAGGAATGTGTCCTCCTGCTCCTTGTTCACCTGCCAGGTTCGAGAAACTGACTGGACACTCTTTCCATATGGGCTATAGCATGGCGATTTTTAATGGCATCATAGCTGCTCTTACTGTAGTGTGGTGCCTCATGTAAACCCACAATGGAGCAATATTGTTGGCAAAACTTAGTCATGATTGTTTTGTAATAACAAGAAAGAACATCATTGCCTACTCAGAAGACCAAGAAAACTGCTGTTCATTATATGGTTCAGATATATGTCATCTTCATCATAATTATGGAAGAGCTTCTAAGACAGAATCTAGGCAAGGGGGTATCTGAGTATTAAGTTTTAAACACTTTCCTCAATGTATAAGAGGCTTACTTCATCTTTTTACTTTTGTGTGTAGTTCTTACAAGTTGTAGAAAACATTGTAATGGAAATCAAACTTGAAAACTTGAATCCAGAACAATGCCTGCCTTTCCATGTATGTATTACATTTTTTTTGCTCTGATACACTGATATTTCTTTCTTTCTTTTTCTTTTTTTCTTTTCTTTTTTTTTTTTTTGAGGCAGAGTCTCTCTCTGTTGCCAGGCTGGAGTGCAGTGGCGAGATCTCGGTTCACTGCAACATCCGTCTCCTGGGTTCAAGCGATTCTCCTGCCTCAGCCTCCCGAGTAGCTGGGGCCACAGGCAGCTACCACACCCAGCTAATTTTTGTATTTCTAGTAGAGACAGGGTTTCACCATGTTGGCCAGGATGGTCTTGATCTCTTGGCCTTGTGATCCACCTGCCTCAGCCTCCCAGAGTGCTGGGATTACAAGTGTGAGCCACCGTGCCCGGCCGATATACTGATATTTCCATTTAATTGTGAAAGGTTTCTTATTTACACATCTGGGAAAGCAAATAATGTCTACTACTCTGAAATTTTATAGAAGCTACTTTTGAATCAGAATATTTAGTTTTCAATATTCATATAATTAATAGGAGGTGCATTTATTTATTTTTTATTTATTTTGAGGTGGAGTTTTGTTCTGTTGCCCAGGCTGGAGTGCAATGGCGTGATCTCAGCTCACTGCAACCTCCACCTCCCGGGTTCCAGCAATTCTCCTGCCTCAGCCTCCTGAGTAGCTGGAATTGACAGACATGTGCCATCACACCCAGCCAATTTTTGTATTTTTAGTAGAGATGGGGTTTCACCATGTTGGTCAGGCTGGTCTCAAACTCCTGACATCAGGTGATCTACCTGCCTTGGCCTCCCAAAGTACTGGGATTACAGGCGTGAGCCACCATGCCCGGCCTGTTTAGCTCCCACTTATAAGTGATAACATGTGATATTTGGTTTTCTGTTCCTGAATTAATTTGCCTTGGATTATGGCCTCCAACTGCATCCATGTTGCTGGAAAGGATACGATTTCATCCTTTTTTATGGCTGTGTAGTATTCCATAGGGTATATGTACTACATTTTCTTTATCCATTCTACCATTAATGGGCAACTGGACTGATTCCATGTTTTTGCTATTGTGCATAGCATGGCAATGAGCATATGAATGCGAGTATCTTTTTGGCAGAATGATTTATGTTCCTTTGGGAATATACCCAGTGATGAGATTGCTGGGTTAAATGGTAGTTCAATTTAGAATGTGCATTGAAAACAAATCACTTTATTTAGCTAGTTCTTAATTTCAGGAAGTCATGGAAAATGAAAATGTGTATATTAGCTCACCCACATGTCAATCAAGATTTGCTAAAAAGATCTTACTTTCTTAGATATTTTTAAGTTTTTTAAAGAAAGCTTTTCAGGCCAGGCATGGTGGCTCATGCCTGTAATCCCAGCAATTTGGGAGACCGAGGTGGGACGATTGCTTGAACCCATGAGTTTGAGACCAGCCTGGGCAACACAGGGAGACCCCTTCTCTACAAAAAATTTAAAAAATTATCCAGGTGTGGTGGCGTTTGCCTGTGGTCCCAGCTACTCAGGAGGCTGAGATAGGAGAATTCCTTAAGCCCAGGAGGTTGCAGCTGCAGTGAGCTGTGTTCATACCACTGCATTCCAGCCTAGGCAACAGAGTGAGACCCTGTCTCACACATATATATGTATTTTAATATATATATTTATTAATATTATATATTTACTTATATATTTAAAAATAAAAACTAAAACTTTTTGAAGGTTTTGGACATTTCATTTTTTTTTTTTTTGAGATGAAGTTTCGCTCTTGTTGCCCATGCTGGAGTACAGTGGCACCATCTCGGCTCACTGCAACCTCCCAAAGTTCTGAGGTTACAGGCGTGAGCCACCGTACCCGGCCCATTTCATCTTATTTTGTCCTTATATCCACTTAATAGTATAATCGAACCCCAACTTCAGCAATTTTCAGCAATAGACTGTCTTGTTTCTTCTATTCAAATTATTCTCACCCTCTCTAACCCCCAGGCTATTTTGGAACACATTCCAGACATTTTATCATTTTATTCATAAGTAATTCACTTTTAAAACATGTTTTGAGATAAATGGTAGTAGTTTCAACAATAGCAAATATAGAGGCTGAGACCCCTTGGCACCCTGCACAAGGTTACATAGCTTTTTCGTAAATGAATTTGGACTTGAAACAAGCTTTTTAGACTTTATTAGAAATAGGCAACACTTCTTTAACGTTCATTTAAAAAAATCATGTCTCATGGGTAAATGTTTTGCTAAAAAAAATTACCAAATATGTATTATTTAGGGTTGGTTCTTTAGGATTAGGGAATAAATAAGTTGTAAGAATGAGTCAAAAAACGGACAGGGATCCTGGCTAACACGGTGAAACTCCGTCACTACTAAAAATACAAAAAAAAAATTGGCCAGGCATGGTGGCGGGCCCCTGTAGTCCCAGATACTCGGGAGGCTGAGGCAGGAGAATGGCGTGAACCCAGGAGGCGGGTAGTGAGCTGAGGTTGTGCCACTGCACTCCATCCTGGGCAACAGAGCAAGACTCCGTCTCCAAAAAACAAACAAACAAACAAACAAAACAGCCAGGCAAGGTAGCTCACGCCTGTAATCCCAACACTTTGGGAGGCCGAGGCGGGCAGATCACCTGAGGTCAGGAGTTCGAGACCAGCCTGACCAACATGGAGAAACCCCATCTCTACTAAAAATACAAAATTAGCCAGGCATGGTGGCGCATGGCTGTAATCCCAGCTACTTGGGAGGCTGAGGCAGAAGAATTGCTTGAACCCAGGAGGCAGAGGTTGTGGTGAGCCAAGATCGTGCCATTGCACTCCAGCCTGTGCAACAAGAGTGAAACTCTGTCTCAAATAAATAAATAAAGAAATAAAGAATGAGCCAAAAAAACTAAAATAACTAGAGGGGCTTGATTATCTTGTCCAACCCCTTCATTGCAAAGATGAGGAAATTGAGGTCTACAGAGAATAAGAGACTCTTTTTTTTTTTTTGAAAGGGAGTCTCACTCTGTTGCCCAGGCTGGAGTGTAGTGGTGTGATCTCAGCTCACTGCAACCTCTGCCTCCAGGGTTCAAGCGAGTCTCCTGCCTCAGCACCTACTAATAGCTGGGATTACAGGTGCATGCCACCATGCCCAGCTAATTTTTGTATTTTTCGTAGAGATGGGTTTTCACCACGTTGGCCAGGCTGGTCTCAAACTCCTGACCTCAGATGATCCGCCCACCTTGGCCTCCCAAAGTGCTGGGATTACAGGCATGAGCCACTGCTCCCAGCCTTTTTTTTTTTTTGCGTAGAAAAACCTGTATTTACAGTCTGGAATTTCATGAAGAGAATTAGTTGACATTTTGCAGAGATGAGGCAAAAGATTCCAATGGGTAAAATAATTAAGAACTTGTTTTAAAAGGGTTGAGAATTTAAATGAGTTCTATAAAGATGTATTTAATTTTATTTATTTTTTTGAGACAGGGTCTCATTGTGTCACCCAGGCTGGGGTGCAGTGGTGCGAACATGGCTCACTGCAGCCTTGTTCTCCTGGGCTCAAGCGATCTTCCCACCTCAGCCTCTTGAGTAGTTGAGAGTACAGGCACGTGCCACTACACCAGGCTATTTATTTTTTATTTTTTTGTAGAGACAGGGTTTTGCCATGTTGCCCAGGCTGGTCTTCAACTCCTGGGCTCAAGCAATCCACCCCAAACTGTTGGGATTACAGGTGTGCGCCACTGGGCCTGGACGTTTTATTTTCTACTTTCCCAGTATTCTATGACAGTGTTACTAATATTGATGATATTAAAGGTGAGAAAGTGATGACAACGTCTAAGTGTCCAGATTGGTTAAACTCATTTTGGAGCCAGTAGAATAGAATGATGGTCTCCATGGAGCAATGATTCTGGGCTGAAACAGACATGACAAAATATAATTATACATAGAACACATAAGATACAAAAGAAAAGTTCATATTAGGGAAAAACAAACCCAATAGTGTTTAATTCAATAGTTTCCTTTAAAACTCAGTTGAAAGAGAGAGAGAAAGAGAGAGAGAGAAAATTGTGTGTGTGTGTGTGTGTGTGTGTGTGCGCGCGCGCGTGCATATGTGTGGTTGTCTAGCCATTAGCAGTAGCAAGCAAATTAGCATAAATTACAGTTGTAGAACTCAAGGTCACATAGGCTAGTGTCACTCATGGATATAATAGTCAACAAAGGTCATGGTGTCAGCACAAGCAACTCTGATGGGGTACCAAAGAAAGCTTCCAGGCAGTAGTTACTATGCCAGTGTTCTCCTGAACACTGGGGTCTTTTAGATTCCATATCAGCTCAGAGTTACTATATTGGTTCTATTTTCTTTTCCCAGGTAGAAATATAGGCATGAAAGACCTTGATTGCTTAGACTGTTGGGCCAAACTCCCACAGATCCTGATTTTTAAATATTATTTATTTATTTTATTTTAAAAATTTAAAAGGTTTTTGTGGGTACATAGTAAGGGTATATATTCATGAGGTACATGAGATGTTTTGATACAGGCATGCAATGTGAAATAAGCACATCTTGGAGAATAGGGTATCCATCCCCTCAAGCATTTATCCTTTGAGTTAAATAGCGTGGAGCCTAGTCAGTGGTATGTTTTTACATGTTCCTCAAGTGATTCGAAGTTGTGGCTAGGGTTGAGAATTGCCGACTTAGATGAAGAGAAGCTCTCCCTGACTGGAGCTCTTCTCAGGCATGAGGAATTGTCTTCCTGTACTAGGAGTTACCCACATCACTACCCATGGTGCTGACAGAGGTGCCATGCTCTCTAGGAGGATGAAGAGTCATTTGAGATACAGACTAAGATGGTATCCATATCCTCTCCTGAAATTGACTCCCTTAGTGAGTAGCTAGAGTTCAACAGCGGAACTCCTTATGTAATCAGAGCTCTTACCGTTAGGGACCTGGACATCCTCTGAAGTCAGAGCAAGAAATTATTTTTAGGTGAAGTTTTTGGGTTTTTTGGTTTTTTTGTTTTGAGACAGAGTTTCATTCTGTTGCCCAGGCTGGAGTGCAGTGGCACGATCTCAGGTCACTGCAACCTCCACCTCCCAGGTTCGAGCAATTCTCCTGCCTCAGCCTCCCAAGTAGCTGGAATTACAGACGCCAGCACCATGCTCGGCTAAGTTTTTGTATTTTTAGTAGAGATGAGGTTTCACCATGTTGGTCAGGCTGGTCTCAAACTCCTGACCTCAGGTGATCCATCTGCCTCAGCCTCCCAAAGTGCTGGGATTACAGGCCCGAGCCACCGTGCCTGCCTGGCTGGTTTTTTGTTTTGTTTTGTTTTTTGAGATAGGGCCTCACTCTGTCTCCCAGGCTTGGAGTGCAGTGGCATGATCAAGACTCATTCCAGCCTCGACTTCCCAAGCTCAAGCCATTCTTCCACCTCAGCCTCTGGAGTAGCTAGAATTATAGGCGAGCACCACGATGCCTGGCCACCATGTTGCCCACGTTGGTCTCGAACTCCTGAGCTGAAGTGATCCACCTGCCTTGGCCTCCCAAAGTGCTGGGATTACAGGCATGCACCACTGCCTGGCATCCAACTGTAGCATTATCTTTCCCCTACTTCTAAATAAAAAATGGCTCCAATTACCTCCACTTACCACTTGCAATTGGATCAGTTGCAACCTTATCTCCCAGGCTGTCATGATTCTCTATAATCTAGGAGCACTAACCATTTCTTCAGCTTTGTTTTCCACGTTTTACTCTCAGATGCTCTCAGTCCCATCAGGTGGATTCACTAATCGTTCTCAAAGTGCATCATGACATTTTCCTTGTCCCTCCCTCGTCCCCATGTTCTCATCTTGTCTGGGATGTTCCACCTTCGTCCCTCTGTCAGTTTATTGCCTCCTCCAAGACCTGGATGTAGTCACACCTCCTTCCCAATATGAACCCACATTATTTCAATCCACATTGATTTATGTTTCCTCAGACCTACTACACTAGTCACAATTTGCAATTATTTCTTTATGCCTTGTGTTAGTTTTATTTTTGTTAACTATTCCTCCTCAACTAGATTCCAAGCTTGTTGAGAATGAAATCTGTAGCTTGTTCTTTTCTCATTCACTAGATCGGGCTGAATTTGTATAAATACATCCATAAATAGTTCATGGGATAAAAGATTGAGATTATATGCTGAAAAATTTAGTATTCAAAATCTATTACAGTAGATTTTTCCAATATTTTAAAAGAAATTATGCTTTTCTTTCTCTGCTCACTGAAATAGTTTTCCTATTTATCCAATGTATATAGGTTGCCTCAATAATAAAACTTAGGAAAGATTACAGTTTATAGGTCTAACAGTCAAACTTAAATATTTTACCTATTTTTTTCATATTCATCAATGGCTTTAAAATAGATTCAGGCCAAGTGTGGTGACTGAGTCCTGTAATCCCAGCACTTTGGAAAGCCAAGGCAGGAGGATAGTTTGCCCTCAGGTGTTTCAGACCAGCTTGGGCAACATGGCAAAACTCCGTCTCTACTAGAACAAAAACAAAACCAAAACAAAACAGATTTAGTCAAATTTAATTTATCATAGATATGAGTTTATCACCCTCATGACAATGTCATGAGCTCAAGGGTAAGAAAGTCATACCCTTTTTCTAAGGTCATTTAGCCAATGCCATTTCATCTGTATTCACTTTCAATAGTCATGTTGGAATGTAATATTCAGGAAAAATGAATCTTTAAGAATCTAATTGTATGGCTAATTTTTGTATTTGTAGTAGAAACAGGATTTCACCATGTTGGCCAGGCTGGTCTCGAACTCCTGACCTCAAGTGATCTGCCCACCTTGGCCTCCCAAAGTGCTGGGATTACAGGCATGGGCCACCGTGCCCAGCCTATTACATGTTTTAAGGTCATAAAACTGCTACTTCTGGAATATTTCTTAAACTTGCTTGATTTGTCTAAATTGAGCTAAAGCTGTAAGGTCTGGCTGCTGGGCTCCCTGAAACCTTGCACATATCTTACTGTATGACTGTATTTCGTTTTGAGTCTCTGGATTCTGGGGTTTGGACAGATGACCATAGTGAGGCCTGCAGAAATATGCATGTCCTCAGTGTTTGGACTGCCAGCTGCAAGGCAGAGCCAAACCCAATATGGCCCCATCATCCCTGGCTCAGCTGTGCTACCTGGCCATGCTGGAAGGGGTTTGATCTTCCAGGAATTTGCTTCACAGCTCTTTCCTGTCCCAAGATCTATGCCTGATGTGTAAATTCAGGACCCAAAAGGGCACAAAAAAGCAATAACTACTAAATATAAGGAAAACAACTCTGTATACAGCATGTATAAAGAAAAGCAAGATATATTTGGGGAGATAAAAGTTGTAAAGGCATTAAGATGTGTGTTTGTTGAGAAAAAATAAATTTGTGCATTTAAGAAGTTAAAAAAAAAAAGAATCTAATTGTAAAGAACATGTATAATAGTAATAATTATAAAATTAAATAAATAAAATCATAAGCTGAAACATAGGAAAATACTAGCACAGATAAGAGCCATCGTCCGGTGGCTCACGCCTGTAATGTTAGCACTTTGGGAGGCCGAGGCGGGTGGATCACCTGAGGTCAGGAGTTCGAGACCAGCCTGGCCAACATGTCGGAACCCCATCTCTACTAAAAATACAAAAAATTAGCCAGTTGTGGTGGCAGGAGCCTGTAATCCCAGCTACTTGGGAGGCTAAGGCAGGAGAATTGCTTGAACCTGGGAGGCAGAGGTTGGAGTGAGCCGAGATAGTGCCATTGCACTCCAGCCAGGGTGATAGAGTGAGACTGTGTCTCAAAAAAAAAAAAAAAGCCATCATCTAGGTACCATTTCCTCCTGGAAGACAGACATACAATATTTACTTATTTGAAGAATGATTCTCCACTTGAATAAGTATTGTTGTTTGCTGGTTATAAAACTAATAAATGTTCACAGAAAAAATTAAGAAAATACCAAGCTCCACATCATGAGCGAAATTGTGTCCTCCTTCAAATTTGTTAGTTAGTTGAAGTCCTAAACCCAGGACCTCAGAATGTGACTGTCTTGGAGATAAGGTCTTCAAAGAGATGATTAAATTAAAATGAGGTCACATGGGGGGGACCCTAATCCAATCTGAATGGTGTCCTTACAACAGGAGGGGATTAGGACACAGATAACACACAGAAAGAGGGATGACCTTGTGAGAACACAGAGGGAGAATCGGCAAGCCAAGGAGAAAGGACTTTGAAAAATCCAAATCTGCTGATGTCTTAATCTTGGATTCCTAGCCTCCAGAATAGTGAGAAATAAATGTATGTTGTTTAAACCACCTAACTAGTCGGTGGTGTTTTGCTAATGAAGCCCTAACAAACTATAGAGTGTATAAGTAGGAAAGCTGTATTGCACGTTTTGTGTGTGTGTGTGTGTGAGACAGAGTCTTGCTCTGTCACCTAGGCTGGAGTGCAGTGGCGTGATCTTGGCTCACTGCAACATCTGCCTCCCGGGTTCAAGTGATTCTCCTGCCTCAGCCTCCTGAGTAGCTGGGACTACAGGCGCCAGCCACCACGCCTGGCTAATTTTTGTATTTTCAGTAGAGACGGGGTTTCACCATGTTGGTCAGGCTGGTCTCAAAATCCTGACCTCATGATCTGCCCACCTCAGCCTCCCAAAGTGTTGGGATTACAGGTGTGAGCCACTGTGCCTGGCCTATTGCCCTTATAATCCCACCTTCAGGATAAAACCAAACTGTTTTAAGAGCTTAATACATACATACATTAACTGCTTTCTAATACAAATAGGTTCATGGTAAACATCAAGTTTGTAAACACTTATCATGGACATTTCCCCATGAAATATGTGCAGATACACAACATCTTTTGTTACGGGCTCATAGTCTTCTAATGGATTGAACCAATCCTTGTCAATAGCCGTAAGTTTGAGTCATAGTCAGTATTCCACTGTCTTTGACTTTTTTGGTAGCCATTTAGGTTGTTTTTGTCTTTGTGCTAAACACTGCACAAAGAACATATTTATTATTGTACCCACATCTGTGTGCAGTTAAGAGATTAAGAAACATGATTTAAGGGCTGGGTGCAGTGGCTCATGCCTGTAGTCCCAGCACTTTGGAAGCCTGAGATGGATGGATGGCTGAGCCCAGGAGCTCGAGACCAGCCTGGGCAACATGGTGAAATCCCATCCCTACAAATAATACAAAAATTAGCCAGGCATGGTGGCACAGGCCTGTAGTCCCAGCAACCTGGGAGGCTGATGTGGGAGGATTACTTGAGCTACAGTGAACCAAGAGATTGTGCCACTGCACTTCAACCTGGGCAACAGAGTGAAAAAATAAAAGATCTAAACATTTTTCTTCTGATTAATATATTCATTGAACAATTGAAAATAATCATAGAAATAAGCAAAAGCTTGGCCAGGCATGGTGGCTCACACCTGTAATCCCAACACTTTTGGGAGGCTGAGGTGGGTGGATCACCTGAGGTCAGGAGTTCGAGACCAGCCTGGCCAACATGGTGAAACCCCGTTTCTACTAAAACTACAAAAAATTAGCCGGGTGTGGTGGCACATGTCTGTAATCCCAGCTACTCAGGAGGCTGAGGCAGGAGAATCGCTTGAACTCGGGAGGTGGAGGTTGCAGTGAGTCAAGATCATGCCATTGCACTCCAGCCTGGGCAACAAGAGTGAAACTCTGTCTCAAAAAAAAAAAAAAAAAGAAAGAAAGAAGAAAGAAAGGAAGGAAGGAGAAAAGAAATAAGCAAAAGCTCAAAGAAAAAAATTGAAATTGCCTATAAGCTCAAAAATCAGATAATCACTTATAATGTGAAGATCTCTATCCTTCCAAACTTCTATCCACATGATTTAAAATCACAACTGTATATTCACCTGTTTCTCGTAGGATCAAATGGACAAAAAATCCCTGGCTCTCATTGTATCCCATGATGCAATTATGAACTCTCATGGGGGAAAAAAAAGTTGGCTGTGGAATATATACCTAGAATTGAATGTCTTAGCAATTGTGAATGTTGCTTTACTTGTCCCTTTAAAACCACTGGAGTTTGACTATTTTTCAACAGTAAAAACACCTGCAATCCTGTAGGCTGAGCCACAAGGGGTTGGTAAAAAGGAGGTTGGGGGTGGCGGACATGGTGGCTCATGCCTATAATCCCAGCACTTTGGAAGGCTGAGGTAGGTGGGTCTCTTGAGCCCAAGAGTTTGAGACCAGCCTGGGTAACATGTCAAAATCCCATTTCTACTAAAAATACAAAAATTAGCTGGGTGTGGTGGCACATGCCTGTGCTCCCAGCTACATGGGAGGCTGAGGTGGGAGGATCACCTGAGCCTGGGAGGTTAAGCCTGGAGTGAACCATGATCACGCCACTGCACTCTGGCCTGTATGACAAAGTGTGACCTTATCTCAAAAAAAAAAAAAAAGAGGTAGCAGGATAAGGCAGCATAGAGATGACTGACCTAGAGATGACTGAGCAGCAGGAGAAACTCATCTGCAAATACCTTTAAAGAAAAGCCCTTTGATAGCCTTTCCCCTTCCTTTTGGAATGAAGTCAGACTTCCATTCAAAGGCCACACAGTGGTCCCCAGCACAGTGGCTCATGCCTGTAGTCCCAGCACTTTGCAAGGCTGAAGCAAAAGGATTGTTGGAGGCCAGGAGTTTGCAACCAGCCTGGACAACATAGTGAGACCTCATCTTTATTATTAAAAAGTAAATAAGGTTAGCTGTGAGAGCTCACATCTGTAATCCTAGCACTTTAGGAGGTTGAAATGGGTGGATTGCTTGAGCCCAGGAGTTTGAGACCAGCCTGGGCAACATGGTGAAACCCTAACTCTACAAAATATAAATAAAATAAAATAAAAATAAAAAAACCATTAATACAACATACAAATCATTAAAAAATTACCTGGGCATGGTGGTGCACACCTGTAGTTTCAGTTACTAGAGAGGCTGAAGTGGGAGGACTGTTTGAGCTGGAGAGGCTAAGGCTGTAGTGAGCTGACATTGCACCACTGCAGTCCAGCCTGGGCAATACAGTGAGACCAACTCTAATAAATACATAATTAAATAAGTATGCACAGCACTTTGAAACAGAGGAAAGAGAGTAAATGATAAGTCATAATTTGGGATAGGTAACCTGATCATAACTCCCTTTCTGTGTATGAAATTTCTAATTTATCAAGACTTTTCATCATCTGTAAGATGAGGAACGTGGGCCAGGTGCAAGCTACAGAATTCTCAGGGTGTTAAGTCTAATTTACCTATTTGAACACTGCTGCCACACAGTGCCTAGCACAAAGCAGGCTCTCCATAAATGTTTGTTGAGTTAAATTAAAAAGGGACAGAAAAAATTGCAAACTAGATTAATTACTTTGTAAAAAATTAAATTGAAGCTCTGTATAGATGACTGAAAAGAGCAAATTCCTCTGTGGTAGGATGTCTGGTAATTATTTTGCTCCTAATTATCCTTAAGTTGATGATTGTGAAAATGTTGAATGGTAATAAAATCTATTATATTATATTTGGCTTCAATTATAATAAAACCAGATTGATGAAATAAATATTAAAGTTTGAGCTCATTCTACGTGAACTGGACAACTGAGTTAAAGTTTAGTAAATTAGGCTGGGCACAGTGGCTCATGCCTGTAGTCCCAGCACTTTGGGAGGCCAAAGCAGGCAGATCACCTGAGGTCTGGAGTTTGAGACCAGCCTGACCAACACAGAGAATTTTAATTGTGTTCTACTAAAAACACAAAATTAGCCGGGCATGGTGGTGCATGACTGTAATCCCAGCTACTTGGGAGGCTGAGGCAGGAGAATCACTTGAACCTTGGAGGCAGAGGTTGCAGTAAGCCAAGATTGTGCCATTGCACTCCAGGCTGGACAACAAGAGAGAAACTCCTCTCACAAAAAAAAAGGAAAAAAAAAGTATAGCAAATTAGGGTAGAATTCATTGTAGACGTTTAAGAAAGACAGAAGGCCCCCGGTGGATAAAAAGGACTGGCCCCCAAGTTTATAATTCATCTCACCCTCCTTGATCATCAAAGCAGAACTAGTAGAAATTCTTCTTCCCTCTTGTGAATTGCCTGCTCTACATGCTGGCCTTTGGTGACTTCTTGTCTTCAAGACTGTTCACTTAACCATGCTTCCTCTTTCTAAATGTATTGGGGGTGGACATAGGACAAACCAGATACTCCATGGAATTTGTTCCAGGTGTCCCTCTCTCCAACTGAAATGGAAGAAAACTGAGGGAATTGGTACTGATTATTATGTGTAAATTCATTGGAGGTTTAACCATATGGACACCCTGGCTGATTAAAATGTAAATGTCCTCTGTAATAAAATTCTCATACTCTTAGATTTTGTCTTTAAAGAGAAAGTGTGAAAAGAGGAAAATTCAAGTAATTGTGGGATCTGAATAAATGTTGCCTCCAAACACTTTAACTCAATTATCTAAAGTTTAAAAGATTTTTTAAAATTTAAATGACATGGAGGATGGTGTCAATGATTTCTCTTCTGCTGCATGCCTGGTTTCAGTCTTACTCAGTATCTCCAGCACCCACAGAATGCTGACCTTAAGAAGATGAATGCCAGTCACTGATATTAGGTCAATGCTGAGTTTAAGACACCACTGCATCTTATTAAGCAATTGCAGGTGTGAGGTAGTCCCAGCTGCACTGAACCTTTGAAAAGACTTGTGGTTATCTGCAAGGGTGTGTGTGTGTGTGTGTGTGTGTGTGTGTATTCACCACAAATAAACATTTGAGATTTGCATCTTTAGAAAATGTGGTTTGTTGTCAAGCATGCCATATCAAACTAATGCAGTTTTCACAAGAATGCTCATAAAATTTATTCATGGAGAAAATCAATCACATTATACCTATCACCATAGAGTATCCTGTCTGCCTATGATAGACTATCTGGAAAATAGAATTGGAATTATACTCAAGTAGACCTCACCTACCAACTAACAATGATATTGTCAGGCCAATTGGTACAATATGGCCTTGCATCGCAGTCTGGCACCACTCACTGAGGCAATTCCTCTAAATTATGTTTACTCAAACTCATACAGAATTCCATTTACTTGCTTCCCATTATAATCCTTTAGGATTTCCAGATTGTCCAGGCAGAGTCATCTGAATCCATGTGCAGAGTGTACAGAGACTTTGAGGCATTCTCATGCTGTTGAGTGCCTATGGGGATTCTTTTTGGACTGCATAATTGGGCTTGCGCCCTAGGAGAACATTTGCAATCAAGGTCATACTCATCCTCTGTGATAGCAAGTGTCTCTCCCACTGGACCCTACTCAACATGAGTTCATGGCTGGGCACGGTGGCTTACGCCTGTAATCTCAGCACTTCGGGAGGCTGAGGGAGGCAGATCACTTGAGGTCAGGAGTTCGAGACCAGCCTGGACAACATGGTGAAACCCCATCTCTACTAAAATACAAAAATTAGCTGGGTATGGTGGTGCATGCCTGTAATCCCAGCTACTGGGGAGGCTGAGGCAGGAGAATTGCTTGAAACCTGGAGGCAGAAGTTGCAGTGATCCTAGATCATGCCACTGCACTCCAGCCTGGGCAACAGAGTGAGACTCTGTCTCAAAAAAAAATCAAAAGAAAAACAAAAAAACATGAGTTCAGGGACTGTAGCTTCAGCCTCTTTGCCTAGTACTTGTATCCATTCAATGAATGTTTGTTGAGTGAAAATCTAAGGGAGTAGACTTTTAGTGTTCTCACCAGAAAACATAAGTGTGTGAGGTTATGCATATGTTATTTAGCTTGGTTTAGTCATTCTGCCATGTATACATATTTCAAAACATCATGTGTACATGATAAATATGTAAACATTTTTGTCAACAAAAATAATTTAAAAATATTTATTGAATAAACAATTATATCCACAAGAAAGAATAATTAGCAAATTTGTTAATATCCATTTATTCTTTTCTTCTCAAGCTTTAATTAATATGTTTTGCTGCTAATAAGGGCATTATTGCTTGAGATGTAGATTATTTTTTCCTAAAAATAAATGAATAAATATTATCCTTCCTTAGAGCTGTAGTTTAATACAGTACCTGACTCATCTTGGGTTCAGTAACTTTTTATTAACATAAATTGACTTAGCCACTTTTTATAAATTTCCAAGATCCATTGAGATAATAATAATTTTATAATCTGAGCACTTTCAAACTAAAATTATACAGGAAAATGATTATTAAGAAATATAATATCTAAAATGCCTTTTATAAAAATTAGTTGGGCTTGGTGGTGCTCGCCTGTAGTCCCAGCTACTCGGGAGGCTGAGGCAGGAGAATGGCTTGAACCGGGAGGTGGAGGTTACAATGAGCTGAGATCGTGCCACTGCACTCCAGCCTGGGTGACAGAGCAAGACTGCTCCTCAAAAAATAAAATTAAATTTAAAATGGCTGGAAAAATCCTTGACAGGTAGTATTTACTAATTCTTTCCCTCACATATATTTTTGAAGAATAATGAAGACTGTAACTCCGAAGCTGGGTAGAAAATATAAAATTAATTTTACTAAAGGGCAAATGGCAAAAAGAAAAGGTGGGTAGATTCTCTTTTGACCCAGTAAAGAGGTTTAACTATCTCATCAAAATGTCAAAATGTTACTCTGCCCTTCTCATATTTCCTGGCATCATAGTGAAATTCAACTAAATTAAGGCAGCCAGATAAAATATACAACACCTACTTAAATTTGAATTTCCAACAAACAATGATTTTTTTTATTATAAGTATGCCCCCATGTAATATTTTGGACCTGCAAGGTTTGGGACATAATTATACTAAAAATTTATTCACTGTTTATTGGAAATTCAAATTTAACTGACTATCCTGTATTTTTAGTTGCTAAATCTGGCAACCCTAATCAAACAGCAATGTGTACCAGCAATTTGAAAAAACAGTAATGATTTGGTGAGCTCTTTTTTTAAAAAAAAAGTTTATTGGCAGTTGACCAATTTCTTTCAAGTTAAAAAAAATTTTAATTTGAGATTTTAGAAGCGAGATAAAGTCTTTAAGCTAATTTTTCCCTTATCCTAAACCTATGGTTAGTTTGCATAATGGCACTGTGATTTCACCTTCCTTTAGAAAATGCTGTAGAATCAAAATATCTATTTTGGCTCTCCATGGTCACCAGAATGTGGCTTGCAAAAAAGGGAACAGTTGTTGGTTCTGGCTAAATGCCAGACATTTGGTGTAGAATTATCAGTTGCTTATTCTACCAGAAGTTTCAGTGGAAGCTTGTAAAGCAGGTTTTCCGTATTGGTGTGGATCAAGTAGCCAGGAGACCATTTACATTGCTGTTTATTTTCATTGCATAGCGAAGAGCCCCAAGCATTCACACTGGAGGAGAAAAGGGCCAAGCTTGATAAGCAGTGTGGGAGGGGATAATAACCGGCTGTGACCTCGCCCGCCGGGCAGCTCTGGTTCACAGTGCAGAGGAGCCGCCAGCCAAGTTTGGATGGAGGTCTTGGCAGAGTCCTGCCAGCAAAGAAAGAAAAACCAGAAGTTGTACTAAATTGGTCCTTTTATGGGCACTTTCTCCCTTCATTATTCACCTCTCTCAAGCAACCATATAAATCATCTTGTGCCTGAATTCTAAAATTCCGGGGAGTTGGTAGGTGAGCAACGGCGGGAGGCCTGGGCCTCTTGCCAGTACAAAACCCGGAGGACATTCCGGGGCTTCAGCCAGCTCCCAAAAGCCCTCTTTCCTTTCTTCTCTGAGCCCTAGGGATTGGCCAGCCTGTTTCCTTTCCACTGATGCCACCTGTTATTTCCAACTGCGTTTATCTCCTCTCCTGCTACAGTGTGGGATGGAAGACAGCTTCAGGACTGCTGGCCCACATTGCTCACACCAACAGCCATTTATTGCCTGCTCACGTGTGTCAGGCACTCTACTATGCGCTTTGTATCATAATATCATTTTACAGAAGAGGAACTAAAGTTCTTGTATGTCGTCAGATAACCTCACAAGATCATAAGTATAAAGATGAGTTTCAAACATATCCAGTTATACTGTCTCAATCCAGTTCCCCAGACAAATGACATCCCTTGTCTAAGTGACATTGCCAGTAAAAACCGTAAAGAATGGGGCTTTTCCTAATGCTGCACCAGGTCTTCTTACAGGAAAATACAAAGACCACAGAGGTGCTAATAGTGGATCTTTGAGGCTTAGTGGGACTTTCTGTCATGAGATGGGGAGAGAGATAAGAGATGATCTGGTGAATAAGTGGTTTTCTTTTTTTCTTTTCTTTTCTTTGTTTTGTTTTGTTTTGTTATGTTTTGTTTTGAGACAGAGTCTTGCTCCGTTGCCCAGGCCGGAGTGCAGTGGCATGATCTCTGCTCACTGCAACCTCTGCCTCCTGGGCTCAAGTGATTCTTCTGCCTCAGCCTCCTGAGTAGCTGGGATTACAGCCATGGACCACCACGGCTGGTTAATTTTTGTATTTTTAGTAGAGATAGGGTTTCACCATGTTGGCGAGGACGGTCTTGAACCCCTCCCTCAAATGATCTGCAAGCTTCAGCCTCCCAAAGTGCTGGGATTACAGGCATGAGCCACCTTGTTCGGCCAATAAGTGGTTTTTAAATTTTGATGTATGCAAGAATCATCCACGGGGTTTGTGAAAACACAAAAGCAAAGATTTTAATTTTTTTTTTTTAGGAACCCATAAAGCTAATAAACATGGATAAATTTCTATTATTAGATAGCCGTAGATTGACTCAGGCTAACTGTATACATTTAAAACACTTGATGGTGTGGTAATAATTTTATCCTGTTAAATTATTTCTAGCGGAAATTATACAAATAAGACCATCAAATAATATAGTATATAGTGTATGTAAATGCCTAAGAATATCCCTATCATTTTGCTACATATAACTCAATCTCTACAAGTCATAGGAGAAAAATAAAAACAGATCATTTGACTTCATAACAAAAATTTTAAAAGTCTGCACGGCATAAAAAAAGACATACACAAAGTCAAAAGATAAATGACAAGGTGGAAAAAATATTCACAGCTTGTATCACGTACAAAGAGCTAATCTCCATAATACGTAAAGATCTTGTCAGAAATCAATAAGACAAATACCCAACAATCAATAAAAATTTTGTGAAAATGTGTTTTCTCTCTCCTTATATAAATATCCACGCAATATTTTCAGTTTTGCCTTTTGGCCTGCAAAGCCTAAAATATTTACTATCTGGTCCTTTACAGGAAAAGTTTGCCAACCCTTATGAGAGTAAGAAGTGGAAGGTAAATTCTGGTTCCTCTAATGGCAGAGCAGCTTGCATTAAGCTAGCCCTACCACAAATAACATTTATAAACTCTCAACAAAATATAAAAGCCAACTATTTGAAGGCACTGGAAAGCAACTAAAAGTGGGCAGACACTGAAAGGAGTTAGACCACTGAAAGACGGAACCATGCTATGTGAGACTCATGTTTATATGGCTTTTTCATTGAGGACACTTCCCAGTCTGCATGACAGCAATTCAAGCAAAAGGTCAGCTTAACTGGCTTGAGGTGTCAGAGTACAGGGTTCAGAGCTGCTAGAGTGGCTGGAAATTATCAATGTTATCTCGGAAATGAGGGAGACACAGAGGAAGGAGGCCCCACCAATCTATGTATAAATACCACTCAAATTCACACTTATATTATGAAAGAATGCTTAAGGAAGCTCTTCAAGCTGGAGAAAAATGGTATCAGAAGGAAATTTGGATCTCAGAAAGAAATTAAGAGCACTAAAAATGGTAATTATGTGAGTGAATAACAAGGTCATTTTTTTCTCTCTCAATTTCTTCAAGACATGATTGTTTAAAGCAAAAATTATAATGCTATTTTGTGTTCATAACATATATAGATTAATAACATATAGAGATGCAAATTAGTGCAAGATGAGCTTGAAAGGTACTATACTGTTTCAAGGAACTTATATTTTACATGAAGTGGTACAATTTTAACTCAACGTAGACTCTAATAAAGTAAGGATGCACCTTGTAATCCAACAACTAAAAAATGAACAGATATAATTAAGCCAATAGAGAAATGAAATACTAAAAATTAACCAATTAACACACAAGAAGACAGAAAAGGAGAAACAGGGAAACAAAATCAAATGGAATAAATAGAAACTAAATGGCAAAACTGTAAACCTAAACTCAACCTTATCAACAATAACGTTTTTGTAAATGGATGGAGTAGTCTAATAACAGAAAGATATATGTAGACTGGATTAAAAACCAAAGACCCAACCATATGCTGCTTATAAAAGATGCACTTTAAAAATATAGATAAGTTGAAAGTAAAAGGATGAAAATAAGTATTCCATCAAACTGTAAGTAGACTGAAAAACAAAAAGTAACACTAGAAATTAAAAAGGTCATCTAAAAATGAAAAAAAGTCAATTTATTAGAAAGACATAACAATAAAATGTATCACCTAATAACACATTTTAACAACAATAATTATGTATCACCTAATAACATACTTTTAGTATACATAAAGGAAGATACAGTTAAACAGTGATAGTTGGAGATTTTACCACCACCCTCTCATAACTGATAGAACAATAAACAAAAATATTAGTAAAGAGGCCAAGTGCAGTGGCTCACGCCTGTAATTCCACCACTTTGGGAGGCTGAGGCAGGAGGATCACTTGCGGCCAGGAGTTCAAGACCAGCCTGGCCAACATGGCGAAACCCCGTCTCTACTAAAAATACAAAAATTAGCTGGGCATGGTGGCCTACGCCTGTAATCCTAGCTACTTGGGAGGCTGAGACTTGAGAATTGCTTGAATCCAGGAGGTGAAGTTTGCAGTGAGCTGATATCGTGCCACTGCACTACTGGCTGGGGGAAAATTAGTAAAGATATAGGAAATCTTAACAATACTATTAATCTTCTTAACAAAATTGACAAGAATAGGCCAGCACACACAATAGCTATAGAATACATTTTTCTCCAAAGGTAGGTAGAGAATGAACCGAAATAGATCATGTGCTGGGCCATGAAAAGTCTTAATTAATTCAAAAAAATTACAATACATTATGATATGTTTTCTAATAAAAAAGTTTAATTAAAAATCAATAACAATGAGAAATCCAGGAGAGTTCCACATATGCAGAAATTAAACAGCATGCTTTTTTTTTTTTTTTTTTTTTTTGAGACAGAGTCTTGCTCTGTTGCCCAGGCTGGAGTGCGGTGGTGTCATCTCGGCTCACTGCAACCTCCACCTCCAGGGCTCAAGTGATTCTCCTGCCTCAGCCTCCCAAGTAGCTGGGACTACAGGCATGTGCCACCACACCCGCCTACTTTTTATATTTTTGTGGAGACAGGGTTTCCCCATGTTGGCCAGGCTTGTCTCGAACTCCTGACCTCAGGTGATCTGCCTACCATGGCGTACAGAAGTGCTAGGATTACAGGCATGAGCCACTGCACCCGGTCACTAACACACTTCCTTTTTGACTCTGTCATGCAGGCTGGAGTGCCATGGTGGATCTTGGCTCACTACCACTTCTGCCTCTCAGGTTCAGGTGATTCTCCTGCCTCAGCCTCCCAAGTAGCTGGGATTACAGGCACCCATCACACACCTAGATAATTTTTGTATTTTTTAGTAGAGACAGGGTTTCACCATGTTGGCCAGGCTGGTCTTGAACTCCTGATCTCTAATGATCTGCCACCTTGGCCTCCCAAAGTGCTGGGATTACAGGCGTGAGTCACAGTGCTTGGCCAAAAAAAAAAAAAAAATTCACAAAGAATATTAGAAACTATTCTGAGTGGAATGATAATAAAAACACAAGATAACAAAGTTGGTGTTATATAGTTAAAGTAGTGTTTAAAACAAAATGTGTAGCTTGAGCCGGGCATGATGGCTCATAGGCTTTTAATCTCAGCACTTTGGGAGGCTGAGGCAGGCGGATCGCTTGAGGTCGGGAGTTTGAGAACAGCCTGGCCAACATGGTGAAACCCTGTCTCTACTAAAAATACAAAAAAATTAGCCAGGCATGGTGGTGAGTGCCTGTAATCCCAGCTACTCCGGGAGCTGAGGCAGGAAAATCACTCAAACCTGGGAGGCAGAGGTTGCACTGAGCCAAGATTGCACCACTGCACTCGGGCCTGGGCGACAATAGGACTCTGCCTTAAAAAAAAAAAAATGTAGCTTGAAATGCTTATATTTGAAGAAAATCTTTAAATCATAGATCTAAGATTCCACCTTAAGAAACAAGGAAAACAAAAGAAAGATAGGTAGAAAAAAAGGAAATAATACAAAAGCAGAAACCAAAGAAATAGTAAGCAAAAATTTTAAAAATTAAAAAAACCCAAAAGTTGGTTCCCTGAAAAAAATTAATAAAATTCATAAATACCTGGAAAGATCAAGCAAGAAAAAAGAGAAAACACAAATTGCCAATATCAGATATACACGAAGAAATATCACTGCAGTTCCAATAAATCAACAGTTTAGATGAAAGGACACATTCATTGAAAAACACAATTTAGGAAGTCTGACACAGGAGAAATGAAAAAAATAAGAATACCTCTATATTTGGAAGGGTGCAGTGGCTCACGCCTGTAATCCCAGCACTTTGGGAGGCCAAGGCGGGCAGATCGCAAGGTCAGGAGATGGAGACCATCCTGGCTAATGCGGTGAAACCCTGTCTCTACTAAAAATACAAAAAATTAGCCGGGCGTGGTGGCGGGCAGCTGTAGTCCCAGCTACTCGGGATGCTGAGGCAGGAGGATGGCGTGAACCCAGGAGGTGGAGCTGCAGTGAGCCGAGATCGCGCCACTGCACTCCAGCCTGGGCAACAGAGCAAGACTCCATCTCAAAAAAATAATAATAATAAAATAAAAAATATATATATTTATCAAAGAAATGTAATTTATTATTAAAAACCTCCCCACATGAATTTCATTGCAATAAAAATTTAAAGAAGCAAAACAAACTCAAGGCCCCAGTGGCTTCTGGTTAATTTTATCAAT
Organism: Homo sapiens; assembly: GCF_000001405.40. Classification (NCBI taxonomy): domain Eukaryota; kingdom Metazoa; phylum Chordata; class Mammalia; order Primates; family Hominidae; genus Homo; species Homo sapiens. The sequence goes on from NC_000008.11 coordinate 80,372,720, forward strand.
CATTTTGGGAAAAATTATCTCAGTTCACACAAACTCTCAGAAAAATAGTGGTTGAGGAATCATTTACCAACTCAATTTATGAGGTCAACATTACTCTGCAAAGCCATGGAATTTACAAGAAAAGAAAGTGACAAACCTATAGTCCCTGTGAACCTGGATGTAAAAATTCTTAACAAAATAGTAGGAAATCTAATCTTGAAATATATAAAAAAAGATAAGACATTATGACCAAGTAGGGCTTGCTACAGAAATTTAAGATTAAAATTGCATTTGAAAGTCAATATAGTCTACTATATTAACAGAATAAGAAAGAAAAACTGGCCAGGCGCGGTGGCTCACACCTGTAATCCCAGCACTTTGGGAGGCCAAGGTGGGCAGCTCAGTTGAGGCCAGGAGTTTCAGACCAGCCTGGCCAACATGGTGAAACTCCGTCTCTACTAAAAATACAAAAATTAGCCAGGCATGGTGGTGTGCACCTGTAATCCCAGCTACTTTGGAGGCTGAGGCAGGAGAATAGCTCGAACCCAGGAGGCGGAGGTTGCAGTGAGCAGAGATCGGGCGACTGTACTCCAGACTGGGCAACTCTGTCTCAACGAAAAAAAAAAAAATAAAAGGAAAAAGCAAAACGATAGAAAATTCAGCATCCATTCAAGGTAAAAATTCTCAGCAAACTACGAACAGAAGGGAATTTTCTTAATCTGATAAAGGACATCCTTAACTCCTATCATATTTAATATTTTTTAAAACTGAATTATTTCCGCCTAAGATTAGGAATAAGACAAGGGCGTTCAGTTTCACCACTTCTATTCAATATTATGTCCTAGCAACTGCAATAATACAAGAAAAAGAAATAAATACATATTGAGAAGAAAGAAATAAAACTCTCTTTATTCATAGATAATATGATCACAAACACAGATTATCCTAAGGAATTTACCAAAAGCCATTCAAACTAAGGAATAATTTTAGGGAATTTACAGGAAATAAGGCCAATATGCAAAAATAAATTGTGTTTCTATACACTAGTTTGGACAACTGGAAATTGAAAATTTTTTAATGTAATTTATAACAACATCAAGTGTATAAAAGCATTAAATTATAAAATGGTATTAAAGTATATTAAATATTTAAAGAGAAATGTAACAAACTATGGACAAGACCTGTATACTGAAAACTACAAAACATTGCTGAGAGATGTTAAAATGAAAAAATAAACTTTGTTTTTGAATTGAATGACTCAATATGGTTAAAAATGTCAATTATCCCCAAACTGATCCACAGAATCTACGTAATCTCAATCATAATCCCAATAGGATTTAGTGTAGAAATTGACAAATTTGCTCGAAAATTTAAGTAGAAATGCAAAAGAAGTAAAGTGACCAAAACAATCTTGAAAATGAAATGCTAAGTTAGAGGACTTGCACAATTGTATTTCAAGATTTAATACAGGGCTACAGTAGTTAAGACAGTGTGATATTGGCATAGGCAAGGATAGATATGCAGATCAATGGAACAGAATGGAGTCTAGAAATAGACCCAAACATACATAGTCAATTGATTTTTATAGATGTGCCAAAGCTATTGAATGGGAAAAGAAAAATCTTTTCAACAAATGGTGTTGGAGTAACTGAATATATGTGTGGAAAAATTGGGCCCTGGTTCCTATGTCACACCATGCACTAAAAATAATTCAAGATGGATCCTAGACCTAAATATAAAAGCTAAAATTTTAAAGTTTCCAGAAGAAAATATAGGAGAATATTTTTACAAACTTGGGTGGGCAGATTTCTTAGATAGGTACAAAAAAAGTATTAAACATCAAAGAAAAATTGATTAATATTATGAAAATTTATTTTTATTTATTTATTTTTTGGGACAGTGTCTCACTGTCACCCAGACTGGAGTGCAGTGGTGTGATCACAGCTCACTGCAGTCTCCACCTCCCCAGGTTCAGGTGATCCTCCCACCTCAGTCTCCCGAGTAGCTGGGACCATAGGTGTGCACCACCATGACTGGCTAATTTTTGTGTTTGCTGAAGAGACGGGGTTTCGCCATGTTGCCCAGGTTGGTCTCAAACTCCTGGGCTCAAGCAATCCACCCACCTGAGCATCCCAAAGTGCTAGGATTACAGGTATTTTTACTTCTTTTTTGGTAGAGATGGGGGTCTCACTGTGTTGCCCATGCTGGTCTCAAACTCCTGGCCTCAAACAATTCTCCTGCTTTGGCCTCCCAACATTATCAAAATTTAAAATTTTTAAATCTTGCTTATTGGAATAAACCATTAAGTAAATGAAAAGGCAACCGACTAAAAACTATCCACTCTTGTATCCAGAACATAATAAAGAATTACAGATAATAAAAAGATCAGCAACCCAATAAATAAATGAGCAAGATTTGAATAAGAACTTCACAAAAGAAGACACAAATGGTCAATAAGCACATAAAAACATGGTCAACATCATTAGTCATCAGGGAGATGAAAAATGAAAAAACAAGGAGATTTCATTTCTTACCTATTAGAATAACTAAGCTGACAGCTGGGCACGGTGGCTCATGCCTATAATCCCAGCACTTTGGGAGGCTGAGACAGGTGGATCACCTGAGGTCAGGAGTTTGAGACCAGCCTGGTCAACATGGTGAAACCCCGTCTCTACTAAAAATACTAAAACTACCCAGGTGTGGTGGTGCATGCCTGTAGTCCCAGCTAATAGGGAGGCTGAGGCAGGAGAATCGCTTGATCCCAGGAGGTGGAGGTTACAATGAGCCGAGATCGTGCCATTGCACTCCAGCCTGGGTGACAGAGCAACACTCTGTCTCAAAAAAAAAAAAAAAAAAAAAAAAGAATAACTAAACTGACAACACTAAATGCTGGCGAAGTTGTAGAATAACTGTAACTCTTAGACATTGCTCATGGGTGTAAAACGGTACAAATACTTGGCAAAGTAAACTATTTGGCAAATTTTTTACACTAGAAATTCAACTCCTAGGTATTTACCCAAGGGAAATAGAAACAAATACGGACTAAAAGACTTGTATAAGAAATGTCACTGGCAGCAGCTTTATTTTTTTTGAGATGGAGTTTTGCTCTTGTTGCCCAGGCTGGAGTGCAATGGCACGATCTCGGTTCACCGCAACCTCTGCCTCCTGGGTTCAAGCAATTTTCCTGGCTCAGCCTCCCGAGTAGCTGGGATTACAGGCATATGTCACCAAGCCCGGCTAATTTTGTATTTTTTTTAGTAGAGACAGGGTTTCTCCATGTTGGTCAGGCTGGTCTTGAACTCCCGACTTCAGGTGATCCACCCACCTCAGCCTCCCAAAGTGCTGGGATTACAGGTGTGAGCCACCGCACCCGGCAGGCAGCAGCTTTATTTGTAATAGCCAAAACATGAAAACAAGCTTAAATATTTAAACAAATGGTGACATATATACGACATGGTACTATTCAGCAATTTAAAAAAATGAACTATTGATACACAGGATAACATGAAAGCCAGGTACAAAGGGGTGCACAGTGCATGATTTCATCTATATGAAGTTCAAGAACAGGCAAAACTAATCTATGGAGATGGAAGTTAGAGTTTGTGGAGTGGGCCTCAACTAGAAGGGGACTCATGGGAAACTGTGGGTGATGCGAGGTTCTATATCTCCACTGGAAGGTTGGTCACACATTTAAAAACTCATTGAATTATACACTGAAGATTTGTGCATTTTATTATATGTGAGTATTAACTCAATTAGATAAGAGAAAATAAATAAGAGTACCACAGGTGAGGCTGGAAAGGTGGGCAGGGACAGCAGTGCTAGTACACAAAGGGCCTGGTACACTGTGCTAAAGAGGCTGAACTTGGCTCTAAAAGCATTAGGGAGCTATTGAAGAGCAGGAAGTGGGATGGTGCTATAGGTGTGCATTTTAGAAAGGCTCCTGAGATGCTTAATATGAAGGAAGAAATTGCCTTTCCTAGTATTCATTGTTTTATGTCAACATCATCAATAGAAATTTTGCGGTCCTTTTGTTGTTAAGCTTAGCATAGCACACAAATGAGAACTTGCACTTTTCCTCTCTCATCATTTTATCCCAAGAGATCTCTTTTATTTCTTATGACCTTGTTTTATAGAAATCTGAATAAAAGATTAGAATCCCTATATCAAAACTGTTTTCATAAATGTATCCTGTAGGATGTGAAAATCAACCAGGAGACCCAGAATTTCATTTATTTATGGAATGGATTAGACTCCAGGCTTCAGAATGAAAAGGCTTTGGCTTCAGAGATGTAGTTTCAGTTATAATCCGGGAATCTTAGAAAAAAATTGAGTCAGCATTAAAAATGAAGATTTTATATAAAAAACACAGATTGCGGTAAGCTATGGCCTACCTTTTTCATTTTGTGGCACCCCCCTCTATCCTGCTTGGTCACTGTCTCCCACGTGGTTGTCATAAATGTTGGGTTTCTGGCCTTTGATGGACATGATGTCACCTGCAACAGTCTTCACAAAGTCTCCGAGAAGGTACTTTATTTTTGCTAGTGTTGGCTCTTTCATTTATAGTTGTAGAGAATCTAAATTAGAATGAAAGATATGAGGGAGCCCACAGGCCCCATATGTCTCACAGGGCATGTTTTGGTTAGGCCTGTTGTGTTTTATATGTATGGGACCAAGTTGAATTTCTGGAGGTATGTTGTGTTTCTTCCAAAATTTTCTGGAATCCCTCATTACTGTTCCACCTTTTCCTTTGATAATTCTGCAGAGGACAAGTCCACTGGGCCACAGGTCCTCAATGAGGTAGCTGTTTCTAGGAGGTTAAGCAAAATTTCTGGTTAAAATGAAACTCTTACATCTGCTCACTCAGCTGTATCACTTCAAAGAGGAAAGCAAATAAAACCCAGCTTCCTGTCAGCTCCCGGCATTAAAGGATGACAAGCTACAGTTGCTTTCCATTTTGACTAGAAGCAAAACTACAGATGAATAACATCATAGATCAAGAAGCCAAACAAACTGAAGTAACCTCTTCATCAGCAGAAATCAAGTAGTTAAAGGCAGAGTGAAAACCTCCCACGCTGGTACCCTCTCAAATTCAAATGAGGGTAAGAAAAAAAAAAAAAAGACAAAGAAAAGGAAGAGAAACTCTTTTCTGAACAATCAAATTATAACCCAATATTGAACCTAAACTACTAAAAGCTGCAAGCACTTTTCACCTAATTACATTGTGTGAGAAGAAACCACTAAAATTGTTCTCACTCACCATGGAAGTTTTTCCTCTTCTAAAGGTGAATTCTTTCTCCTCCTGCTACCTGAGGAAGGCCTTGGCTATTACAGACCACCCACATGGGGACTTTCTCAGGTGCCTGCCCTGAGACAGTCATCACACTGTCTCGGCCTCTTCCCTTCTGATTTGGGCAGGACTTACTGACTCATTCATTTATTTACCATATAGTCGTTTATTCACCATATAGTCATTTATTCATTCATTGTCTACTCTCTGTCCACCAATATTGATAGAGGACCATATGAAAACATTATATATACTTCTAAGGCTGTTGCTTTTGATGATGCCAACCCCTGATTACTCAACTTTGTAGAGCAATGGCTTGTAGAGCCTTTTTTTTTTTTTTTTTTTTTTTTTTTTGAGATGGAGTCTCACTCTATTGCCCAGGCTGGAGGGCAGTGGCGTGATCTTGGCTCACTGCAACCTCTGCCTCCTGGGTTCAAGCAATTCTCCTACTTCAGCCTCCCGAGTAGCTGGAATTACAGGTGCGCACCACCGTGCCAGCTAATTTTTTTTTTTTCATTTTTAGTAGAGATAGGGTTTCACCATGTTGGCCAGGCTGGTCTTGAACTCCTGACCTCATGATCCACCTGCCTTGGCCTCCCAAAGTTCTGGGATTACAGGCATGAGCCACCGCACCCGGCCACTGGCTTGTGCATTTTTTCACAAGCATTGTTTCACAAATTTCCAAGCCCCACTCCTACCCCTTAGCGCAAGGGCAGCAGCTTTTCATAAGAAGGCAGCCACGTGCTGACTCCTCTTCTTTTAGAATATAAGTGGAGGGATGCCAAGAACAGCTGTGGAAATGTGCTGATGACAATTACATTAACTAGATCACCAATGACCATGAGCAAGTAACGCCTTCTACCCTCTGTCTCCTTACCTATAGAAGGAAGACTCTAGAGTAATTCAGCGGTTTCCCATGTGTGATCTGGCGGCTAAGAATTATTTGTGGGTGCTTTTAAAATATGTATGTATCTAGCCTCTACTCCTGAACTATTGAATCAGAATCTCTCAGGCTGAAGTCACTGAATCTGCTTTTAAAACGGGCACTCAAGGAGAGTCTTACGTTGCTGTAAAGTTGACAACCATGACTAGACAATCTCCAAGGTTCTTTCCAGTTCCAAAGGTCATGACCAGTGGTCTGTCATGTAGAAGGGAGAGTGTCACTGAGAAGATGAGGTTTTTGATTGAGGTCAATGGATGATGGGGATAGGGAGATGATTTTAGATGACAGAGAACGTTTGAGGTTACTCAACTGAATACACACAGAAAAAAACACAGACCACTGTGATATCCACCCCTCAAAAGAATAAAAACATTATTTTGAAATAAATAACTCTAGTATGTTTTGTAATAGAGCAACCTACCAGAAATAACCATCTTAAAATGTGTGGTTGATAAATTAAGCTATAATTAGAAAGAAAGTAAGAGAATAAATTCCAGATGCCTCTATTTCATGTAGGGCATAGTAGCATTGAGTTAAATAAGGGCTGTTCAACTTAAGTTAGAGATGACAAGTGTTTGCCGCAGAATGGAGTAAATATTTTTGGTAGAATGCCTTTAATCATCATTCTGGTGATGGATTATACTTCATTTGTGATAGAAGGAAAACAAACTGAAGAATCATAGCATAACTGAGGAAACATAACATTTTGATTTATAGTTAATGGTGATTGGGAACGGTCATTTATTCAGCTCTTTTAAGAGAGCTGCTGAAATAAAAAGCATATTTCTGGGTCAGAAAAATCACAGAAAAAAAAACATTTTAAATCCAATAAATCCTCTCACTAGCGAACCAACTTCTCTAGATTGGAAGCAGCCGTACACACTCATTGGGATTTTCAGATTCTCCCAGGAATACAATTAATTATTAAAGGAGCCACTAACTGGGTTAGATGATGCCCTCAAAACAGATACAGTCAATTCTTGCCATGTCAACACTTTAGGCCTATTTTCTCTCCCTCTGACCTAAAAATTAATTTTGAAAATACATGTGCCCTTACAAGTTTGTGATGGCCCTCTGGAGGAGTCTAACATTATTAAATTTGCAAACTTGTGGGTCTCTTAGAGCTCTAAGCACATCTTGACACTGGAGGTCATGTAATTATTGTCTAGTTACAGACAAGTGAACACTGTGTCCTCTTTGGTGATACAACAAATGTTAACTTGCAGGATGTGTTGCATGGTACTTTTTTTTTTTTTTTTTTGAGGCAGAGTCTCGCTCTGTCACCCAGGCTGGAGTGCAGTGGCACGATCTCGGCTCACTGCAACCTCCACATCCCGGGTTCATGCCATTCTCCTGCCTCAGCCTCCCGAGTAGCTGGGACTACAGGCGCCTGCCACCATGCCCAGCTAATTTTCTGTATTTTTAGTAGAGAAGGGGTTTCACCGCGTTAGCCAGGATGGTCTCGATCTCCTGATCTCATGATCCTCCCGCCTTGGCCTCTCAAAGTGCTGGGATTACAGGCGTGAGTCACTGCGCCTGGCCGTTGCATGGTACTTTTGTAAATGCTGTGCCTGAGATTTAAAAGGCACATGTAAGCTGGGCGCAGTGGCTCATGCCTGTAATCTCAGTACTTTGGGAGGCCAAGGTGGGTGGATCACCTGAGGTCAGGAGTTTGAGACCAGCCTGACCAACATAGTGAAACCCCGTCTCTACTAAAAATACAAAATTAGCTGGGTGTCGTGGTGCATGCCTGCAATCCCAGCTACTTGGGAGGGTGAGTCAGGAGAATCACTTGCATCTGGGAGGCGGAGGTTGCAGTGAGCTGAGATCGCGCCATTGCACTCCAGCCTGAGCAACAAGAGCAAAACTCCATCTCTAAATAAATAAATAAATGAAAGGCACATATGCCAAATGCATATGCCTATAATGCCAGCTACTTGGGAGACAGAGGTGGGAGGATCGTCTGAGCCCAGGAGTTGGAGACCAGCCTGGGCTAAGCAGCAAGACTGTCTCATTAAAAAAAAAAAAAAAAAAAAAAAGGCACACACATTATACTGAGCATTAAAAACATGTTATCATCATAATATGATTATATTGTCCAGAAAAGTCACACACAGCCCAGATTTCAAACAGTTTGTTCCATTGACTGCTTAGGAACACTCCTGCGTATAGCACCATTTTACAAAAAGGAATATAAGCTTCGTTTCAATCTTTTAAAACTTAGCTTTAGACAACTCCCTCTGTTGCCTCTTTGAATAAGCTATTCTACATTTCTGCCATGTTCTTCAATCCCTGCCCCCTTTGGATCAGCAGCTATCCTCATTTTGCTGAAAAAAGACATTGAGAGCATTAATTAAATATGAACACTTGAAAAACATTTTGTTCACTTTTCGTCTTCTTGCTTACAAACTTACCTACAGCCCCACTATCCTTTTCTTTGTTGTCAGATCAACAGATATTCCTCCTACTGTGTATAGTCTTTGGAAATAATGTCCTTAAATATTTACACAGTAATATTACACACCCGTAGAAAAAGAAGAAACTCAGACAGTATAGGCAAGTGAGAAATGACTTTAAAAAAATAAAAATGAGGTCTTGCTATGTTGGTCAAGCTGGTCTCAAACTCCTGGCTTCAAGTGATCCTCCTGCCTCAGCCTCCCAAACTGTTGGGATTATAGGTGTAAGCCACTGTGCCTGGCCAAGAAATGACTTTAATTTTCTTACTCTACGTGGCTCCAATCAATCTTACCCTTTCACTTATTATCACTTACTACTCTTGCCTCTTTTTTTTTTTGAGACAGAGTCTCGCTTTGTCACACAGGCCAGAGTGCAGTGGCATGGTCTCGGCTCACCAAAATCTCTGCCTCCCGGGTTCAAGCAATTCTCCTGTCTCAGCCTCCCGAGCAGCTGTGACTACAGCCACACGCCACCAGCTAATTTTGGTACTTTTGGTAGAGACCGGGTTTCACCATATTGGTTAGACTGGTCTCGAACTCCAGACCTCAGGTGATCCACCCACCTCGGCCTCCCAAAGTGCTGGGATTACAGATGTGAGGCACTGCGCCCAGCCGTACACTTGCCTCTTAAATCCACATCTTCACCCTAGACTGCTCTCCTGAGTTCCAGACCAACACAGCCCCCTGACTGCAGACTTCCCCATGTGGATGTCCCATAGATAACCTCAATTCACCATCTCCTTTATTGCAGCTTTTATCTTTTCTCCAAAATTTATTCTTTCTTCCATAATTATCTCTTTAGTGGAGTCACAATCAAAGCCAAAAGAATGAAAAGTCATCCCTGATCCTGCCTGCTCATCACTTCTTCATGGACTGAATGATCTAGACCTGTCAATTACATCACTATTCATGAATGCTTTCCCCATCTCCTCACACCATCATTATATTCTACCTGGATGAGGGCAGTGTTCTCCCAGGGTGTCTTCTTGCATCCTGTCGGGCCCACCCTGCTATCTCTCCTCCTTATTACACACTCAGATGCTCAGTTACTTCCCATGAGTCTCTCTCCTTAAAATTCTCCTCTAGATCCCTATCCTAGTTAACAGCATAATGTCGCAATTCATTCTAACAAAGTCCCTAATTATTTGACCCTGTCTGTTTTTTCCCATCACTGTCCTACTATTCATCCCTTCATTCAAACAACTGTGAGCTTCATTTCCAGAATGTGCCGGTCTCATCCTCTCTCTAGGATGTTATGCATTCCTTCCCTTTGTCAGAAATGTCTTCACCTCCCTTTGTTCACCTGGTGAACTCATGCTTATCCTCAATTCTAATTTCTTCCCTTCTAGGTATCCTTCCCTGACATCCATGGGCACAGTTAAGTCCACCTTAGTGGACTTAGTGGACTTAGTGCTCTCCTAGTACCTGTATATCAACCTCCTTTTCACATTCTCTGTGCAGCCACAACAGAATTTTGTCAGTTCCTCAGATGTGCTAAACTCTGCATTGTTCCTGGGCCTCTCCACACACTATTGCCTCTACTTGAAACTTTCCTTCCCCCATCCTTCTTTCTCTCACTGGTTAACTGCTACCTGTCCTTCGGATCTCAGCTTACACATCACTTCCTTTACAAGAGGTTCTTGATCATATGCTAAAGTCCCCTTTCTTTAAAAACTCATAGATCTCCACACTTCTTCTATTGCAACCCTGTATTATTGTTACTACTTGGGTAATTATCTGTCTCTCCCAAGAGACTATAAACTCTTCGTGGTTGGAGACTAGCTCTTTTTCCCTGCCGTATCTAACACATTATCACAGTGCCGGCACCCAATAAATACTCAACAAATATTTCTCAAATAAATAAATGGATTATACTACCTACCTACCACAGCTCTGTAATAATTTGTTGTCTATAACTCTCTATAACAAGGACTGTTCTATTCACAGTTGCATGACTAGCATGTCTGTACCAGTAGGCAGTTAATAAATGTAAATGAAATGAATGAGCTGCAATCAGCAAATCAGAGCAGCTGGATTTTTGTATTGAGTTGGTGTGGGCAGTCCTCAGTTTACCTGCCTAGGAACTTAGACCCACAGATAATAGAGACATGTTATCATCAAGAGATTCACCCATCTTCCATCAGAAATGCAAACAAGAACCTAAATCACCTCACGTTTCCCCTCCTATTTTTCAAACATTATGAGAGTGGATATTAAATTTTTGGCCAGGCACGGTGGCTCACGCTTGTAATCCCAGCACTTTGGGAGGCTGAGGCGGGCAGATCACAAGGTCAGGAGATCGAGACCATCCTGGCTAACACGGTGAAACCCCATCTCTACTAAAAATACAAAAAAGTAGCCAGGCATGGTGGCGGGTGCCTGTAGTCCCAGCTACTCGGGAGGCTGAGGCAGGCGAATGGTGTGAACCTGGGAGGCAGAGCTTGCAGTGAGCCGAGGTCGTGCCACTGCACCCCAGCCAGGGTGACAGTGTGAGATTCTGTCTCAAAAATAAATAAATAAATAAATAAATAAATAAAATAAATTATCAGTCAGTCTCTGTCCAAAAAGGAGCGGGCAGAGAATGTGCTTTAAAAGAGTATTTTTTTTTATTTTATTATTATTATACTTTAAGCTTTAGGGTACATGTGCACAAAGTGCAGGTCAGTTACATATGTATACATGTGCCATGCTGGTGTGCTGCACCCATTAACTCGTCATTTAGCATTAGGTATATCTCCTAATTCTATCCCTCCCCCCCCACCACTCCACAACAGTCCCCAGAGTGTGATGTTCCCCTTCCTGTGTCCATGTGTTCTCATTGTTCAATTCCCACCTATGAGTGAGAATATGCAGTGTTTGGTTTTTTGTTCTTGTGATAGTTTACTGAGAATGATGATTTCCAATTTCATCCATGTCCCTACAAAGGACATGAACTCATCATTTTTTATGGCTGCATAGTATTCCATGGTGTATATGTGCCACAGTTTCTTAATCCAATCTATCATTGTTGGACATTTGGGTTGGTTCCAAGTCTTTGCTATTGTGAATAGAGCTGCAATAAACATACGTGTGCATGTGTCTTTATAGCAGCATGATTTATAATCCTTTGGGTATATACCCAGTAATGGGATGGCTGGGTCAAATGGTATTTCTAGTTCTAGATCCCTGAGGAATCGCCACACTGACTTCCACAATGGTTGAACTAGTTTACAGTCCCACCAACAGTATAAAAGTGTTCCTATTTCTCCACATCCTCTCCAGCACCTGTTGTTTCCTGACTTTTTAATGATTGCCATTCTAACTGGTGTGAGATGGTATCTCATTGTGATTTTGCATTTCTCTGATGGCCAGTTATGGTGAACATTTTTTCATGTGTTTTTTGGCTGCATAAATGTCTTCTTTTGAGAAGTGTCTGTTCACGTCCTTTGCCCACTTTTTGATGGGGTTGTTTGTTTTCTTGTAAATTTGTTGGAGTTCATTGTAGATTCTGGATACTAGCCCTTTGTCAGATGAGTAGGTTGCGAAAATTTTCTCCCATTTTGTAGGTTGCCTGTTCACTCTGATGGTAGTTTCTTTTGCTGTGCAGAAGCTCTTTAGTTTAATTAGATCCCATTTGTCAATTTTGGCTTTTGTTGCCATTGCTTTTGGTGTTTTAGACATGAAGTCCTTGCCCATGCCTATGTCCTGAATGGTAATGCCTAGGTTTTCTTCTAGGGTTTTTATGGTTTTAGGTCTAACATTGAAGTCTTTAATCCATCTTGAATTGATTTTTGTATAAGGTGTAAGGAAGGGATCCAGTTTCAGCTTTCTACATATGGCTAGCCAGTTTTCCCAGCACCATTTATTAAATAGGGAATCCTTTCCCCATTGCTTGTTTTCTCAGGTTTGTCAAAGATCAGATAGTTGTAGATATGCGGCGTTATTTCTGAGGGCTCTGTTCTGTTCCATTGGTCTATATCTCTGTTTTGGTACCAGTACCATGCTGTTTTAGTTACTGTAGCCTTGTAGTATAGTTTGAAGTCAGGTAGCATGCTGCCTCCAGCTTTGTTCTTTTGGCTTAGGATTGACTTGGCGATGTGGGCTCTTTTTTGGTTCCATATGAACTTTAGTTTTTTCCAATTCTGTGAAGAAAGTCATTGGTAGCTTGATGGGGATGGCATTGAATCTATAAATTACCTTGGGCAGTATGGCCATTTTCATGATATTGATTCTTCCTACCCATGAGCATGGAATGTTCTTCCGTTTCTTTGTATCCTCTTTTATTTCGTTGAGCAGTGGTTTGTAGTTCTCCTTGAAGAGGTCCTTCACATCCCTTGTAAGTTGGATTCCTAGGTATTTTATTCTCTTTGAAGCAATTGTGAATAGGAGTTCACTCGTGATTTGGCTCTCTGTTTGTCTGTTATTGGTGTATAAGAATGCTTGTGATTTTTGTACATTGATTTTGTATCCTGAGACTTTGCTGAAGTTTCTTATCAGCTTAAGGAGATTTTGGGCTGAGACAATGGGGTTTTCTAGATATACAATCATGTCATCTACAAACAGGGACAATTTGACTTCCTCTTTTCCTAACTGAATACCCTTTATTTCCTTCTCCTGCCTAATTGCCCTGGCCAGAACTTCCAACACTATGTTGAATAGGAGTGGTGAGAGAGGGCATCCCTGTCTTGTGCCAGTTTTCAAAGGGAATGCTTCCAGTTTTTGCCCATTCAGTATGATATTGGCTGTGGGTCTGTCATAGATAGCTTTTATTATTTTGAGATACGTCCCATCAATACCTAATTTATTGAGAGTTTTTAGCATGAAGTGTTGTTGAATTTTGTCAAAGGCCTTTTCTGCATCTATTGAGATAATCATGTGCTTTTTGTCTTTGGTTCTGTTTATATGCTGGATTACATTTATTGATTTGCGTTTATTGAACCAGCCTTGCATCCCAGGGATGAAGCCCACTTGATCATGGTGGATAAGCTTTTTGATGTGCTGCTGGATTCAGTTTGCCAGTATTTTATTGAGGATTTTTGCAGCAATGTTCATCAAGGATATTGGTCTAAAATTCTCTTTTTTGGTTTTTAAAAGAGTATTAAAGGGGAAGCAAGAAAAGGGAAAGTAAGATCTCATATGATGAGCCTAACTATATCATGATCACTCCATGAAGTAGCGTGATTATGCTCATTTTCACAGATTAGGGGAACGTTCAGTTGGTTGGGAAGCCTGATGAAGGCAGATTGGTCCTCATCCATTTTCCACTGTACCATACTACCTAGACACAAAAGATGCCTTGTTAATTTACTTCTAAATTCTCTTTTGTGTTGTTCTTCCTACACTTATTTATTATTCACCCAAATTAGCTAACTTTATTCAGAGCCTAATATGCGTAAGGTACTAAATCTGGGTGCTTTAGATATATTAATCTTCAAAAAATTGCATGAGCTTAGTTAGTATTGTCCCCTTATTAAAGATGTTGAAACTAAGTCTTAGAGTGGTTTGGAATAAGGTCCATATACAACAGGATGAGAATTCAAAACTTTGTTTGTGTGATTATGAAGCCCCTGGTCTTTCTACCATATTTTGATCTAGCTAAATGAGGACAAAACTTCAGATAATCCACCCCAAATGTCTGAATCTCGCCCCTACCTTGGAAGGGCAGGAAAGGTTTTGGTAGGGGGAAATCCATTGGCTGACACCGTTGACCTCTTCAACTTACTGCATAGTAATAAGCCCTTAGCCCTTAGGGCAGGGAAAGGAAGAATGGAATTGAGAAGTTTTGTGCAAATCATTTTGCACAGAACAAATGGGAAAGTGAGTTAAATTGCCAAGTACTAGACAAATGATGATGTAAAGTGCTTAATGACAAATAAATATTAATTAGTATTGAACAGTAAGTGAAAAACGAATGATCCTCAGAATGATATAAACAAAAACATTCGCATTGACAGGCAAAACATAATAAACTATTGCTTCTCAATGCAGAATATGCCTAACAAGCTCTAAATTCTTTAGCAAGTTTAATATACAGGAAGAAGTAGCATTTCCATGTGTTAAACTGCTGCTTTTCAAAATTAATTTAAAAGCATTTTGGAATTAATGAAATTTTTCAAATTTTTCCATGACTTCCACTTCTAGAGAGGCCATCTAAAGGTTTTTTTGTTTGTTTGTTTGTTTGTTTTTTTGAGATGAAGTCCTACTCTGTCACCCAGGCTGGAGGATAGTGGCTCTATCTTGGCTCACTGCAACGGTCACCTCCCAGGTTCAAGCGATTCTCCTGCCTCAGCCTCCCAAGTAGCTGGGATTACAGGTGTGAGCCACCATGCCTGGCTAATTTTTGTGTTTTTAGTAGAGATGGGGTTTCCCCATGTTGGCCAGGCTGGTCTCAAACTCCTGACCTCAAGTGATCCACCCACCTCGACCTCCCAAAGTGTTGGAATTACAGGTGTGAGCCACCGCACCGGGCCTGAAGGTTCACTTTTAACCCAAATCAATTTTCAGCAATGTAAGAATTACACATGAAAATTGTCACAAAAATGTTTAAGGGTGGCCAGGCGCAGAGGAGGCTGAGACAGGAGAATTGCTTGAACCCAGGAGGTGGAGATTGTAGTGAGCCGAGATCACACCACTGCACTCCAGCCTAGCCAAAAGAGCTAGACTCTGTCTCAAAAAAAAAAAAAAGAAGGAGAAGAAACAAAAATATTTTGGTGTGTCTGCATGTTGTGATCATGTAATTGACAATTACAAAATTCCAGCTAACAAGTACCATTACAATAATGTGAAAATTACTAAAGCAATCATCAATATCATTCCAAGAACTACACTGTTCAGGTATTTTCCCATAATTTGTAATAAAGGAATTTACTTTTCCTAGGATAATTAAGAAAACATTCATGTGGGCCAGGCATGGTGTCTCACTCCTATAATCCCAGCACTTTGGGAGGCCAAGGTCGGAGGGTAGCTTGAGCCCAGTAGTTTGAGGCTATAGTGAGCTATGATGGCACCACTGCACTCCAGCCTGGGTGACAGAGCAAGACCTCATCTCTAAAAAAGAAAAGAATGAACAGAATATTCACGTAATATTCTAAAGACTTTCTTTGGTTTTGTAAAATATTAATTAACATATACCTAAGAATAACAGTGGCCCTTTAAAAACAGTTTTTCCAAACCTGACTAGTTGGTCTAATAAGAAAGAGTATAATTAAAGGAATAACAAGGTAAAATCTTTGAAATTGGGACTGTCGCAGAAAATCTTGGATGTGTGGTGACCATGACAATCATTTCGCATTTTTCACTTCTCACTTTCCTTTAGTGCAATTCCTAAATGCTGGCGATGCAGTGTTCTGAATTTAAAATGATCATAGTAAGTCATCAAAATCTGCTCTGTGTCCAAAAAAGAATTAAGTCATGCAGCAAACGCCTTATGGTGTCTTTTGAGTGCTCATGCATCAGTAGACTCCGTTGCCCTGAGAAATTTCTTGGAGAGGAGGAAGGAATGGATTCATATTTGCTTCTTAGGAGATTCACAATGTGCATCTTCTACTTTTGCATTCATTTCCAGTTGCTCAATCAATGATTCTGCTTCATTCACAAGAATCTGAGAGTTAGAAAATCAGAAAAGATGAATCTATAAGCTGTTTGCTGCCACTTACTGGATAACCACTCTTCTTGCCTGAACAAATGGAGAAGAATTTAACTGCTTCCTGGCAGTCATATACATGAACTTTCAAATTCTTACCAATATCAGAAAAATACTAGAGGCAAAGTTAATATCAAAATTACTTCCTGAATCTGTTACATTTTCTCAGTAAAATATAAACTCCCTCCTGCTATTTATTTTATTTTTATTTTATGCCCAGGAAAAGGAAAGGATAGTCTATATCCAGAACAAGAACATCTAAAACAGAATTTCTGGGAAAATGGGGATAAGGGGCAGAATATCATAAGGAGTGAGTAAGGGACTAAGAAGAACATTACATAGTTCATTGTAACTCACAGAGTGTTTCAATAGCATAAAGCTTCAAAATGGGAAGCTTTCCTTAGAATAAATGGCATCTGTTGCCTCCACAAATGTTTGCACAGTTTATTTGCTTTGGTGCAGGATATTCTGTTTGGGGACACTGTAGGAACTGCTAGTGCATGTCATCTTCCCCTATTCATTTAGTACCACAAACCCATTAGAAAGAAGCCGCTGAACGCTTCACAGTTAAACAGGTGTCTAATCTTTTTAATACTACATTTTTTGCCCTGTATTGTTTCTCAGCTGTTACGAAGTTTGCATGTGCAGCAACAGCAGCTCATCCAAATATCCCTTTACTTAGGGGTGATTTGGTGATTTAGCCTTTTGTGGAAGCCTGTGTAAATGTAGTTACAATGCTTATAGTTCTAATCCCAAGTAAAGTTTTATTAAAAAAAAATTTATCAGTACTATCACATTGGGGATTAAGTTTTAAAAATTATCGGAAAAATATAATTGGATTAAATCAGTCCTCACCTGACATAATTTTATATATCTGAGCTGGAATCAGCTTTAAAAGCAATTAATAATCATTAAATAATGAGGTAGGCTTATAGTTTTTCCTGTAAAATACAGGATGATGTTTTACAAGGTGAAAGGTGGAGATTGATTTGAGTAATAACTCCATCTCCTCCCATGTCGCATGGCAATTAAACTCAAGTTTCAAAAATAAATAAATAAATAGTGGCTCACGCCTGTAATCCCAGCACTTTGGGAGGCCTAGGCGGGTGGATCACCTGAGGTCAGGAGTTCGAGACCAGCCTGGCCGACATGGCGAAACCCCGTCTCTACTAAAAATACAAAAATCAGCTGGGCGTGGTGGCACACACCTGTAATCCTAGCTACTCGGGAGGCTGAGGCAGGAGAATCGCTGAACCCAGGAGGCAGAGGTTGCAGTGAGCTGAAATCGTGCCATCGCACTCCAGGCTGGCCAACAAGAGCAAGACTCTGTATTAAAAAATGAAAAATAAATAAAAAATAAATAAAAGGTGACAGGTGACCAGTGATGGTGACAGTGATGGCAGTGAACATCATGGGCACTTTGCATGTCATTGCATTTACTGTGTACCATGTGAGTAGGTAGAACTATCTCATTTTTGAGATAAAGAAACTGACATTCCACAAGGCTGAGTTACTTGTTGCAGGGAGCACAACTAAGGAGAGTAGAGCTGGAACTCTTACTGATGTTTTCAGACAACAGAGCACACCTCTTAACCACTATGTCCTCCTGCTTCTCCAGTTAACCCAGAGAAGTGAAGTATTTGTTGATACTAAAATTAATTTTAGGCCAGGCGTGGTGGCTCACGCCTGTAATCTCAACACTTTGGGAGGCCGAGGCAGGTAGATCACCTGAGGTCAGGAGTTTGAGATCAGCCTGACCAACATGGTGAAACCCCGTCTCTACTAAATACAAAAAGTTAGCTGGGCATGGTGGCGTGCACCTGTAATCCCCACTACTTGGGAGGCTGAGACAGGAGAATCTCTTGAACCTGGGAGGTGGAGGTTGCAATGAGCCGAGATTGTACCACTACACTCCAGCCTGGGCAACAAGAGAGAAACTCCCTCTCAAAAAATAAAATAAAATAAATTTAAAAATATTATTAGTTTATATTATTTTTCAGATATGTATAGAAAAAGTATCTATATCTGCAGGCTGGACCTATCTTGGAGGATTCCAACTCTCAAATGGCTGTCTTCCCACTCACAATCAGCAAACTTAATACATCCTAAGCACACTTTGCACCTGCCCTCAAGTGTGCTCATCATCCTGTGTCCTTAGGGTAGCAAATGCAACATCATCCATCCAAT
Source organism: Homo sapiens (assembly GCF_000001405.40). NCBI lineage: Eukaryota > Metazoa > Chordata > Mammalia > Primates > Hominidae > Homo > Homo sapiens. The sequence goes on from NC_000008.11 coordinate 80,391,196, forward strand.
CAGTTGGCCAAACCAGAAACCTGGGTATCATCTAGATTTCTCCTTTTTCCTCTCCCCTCACATAAAATCACAAAATATGCTGATGAAGCATCCTAAATACTCTCAAATCCATCCACCTCTCTCTCCTGCCAACACCCCACCATCCTTCACACCACCGCCATTCACAGCTGATGCTACTGCAACAGCCTCCTGATGGGTCTCCTCTCTTGTAGCTCCTCAAATTCTTTGCACTTGAAACTGTTTTGCCACAGAGATAGTGCATGTATAATTTCCTTCCCCTTTTTTTCCTTTGCTTAAAACATTTCACTAGCTGTGCATTTCTCTTGGGGTCCAGCCCCTTCTGTTCAACATGGATGGCCTTTGCACATCCTGCTTACCTCTCTAGTAGGGGAGACAGGGAAAAACAAGTCAATAAATACAGTCGTTTACAAGTTGCTCTAAATGGTCTGAAGGAAATAAGCAGGGAACTGAGACAGAGAGAATCTGTGGTTGGAGGCTGTGACCACTGGGGCTCCTTTAGGTAAAGGGAAACTGGGTGAAAAACCATTCTAAAGGCCCTAAGTGGGGCACAATCAAGAACTTGAGAAAAGTCTGTGTGGCTGGGGGGAGATGAACAGAGAGGAAAAGTGGCACCAGCTGAGGTTCGCAGCCCTAGCCCTTGGGATGGAATTTGGATTCTATCCTAAAAGAAATGGGACTCCACTGTCATTTAAACAGATATCCCTGGCTGCTCTGGGTTGAGGGGAATGGGGGAACTGAGAACAAAAGCAAGGAAGCCAGTTAGGAGACTGCAGGGGTCTAACCACAAGAGGCGGCACAGACAAGAGTAGCGGCAGTGAAGGGAGTGACGCTGAAATGATCTGGGTGCATTTTAGGGGTGGAACTGGTGTGACTCCCTGATGATTGGAGTGTGGGTATTCCGGAAAGGGAGGAATAAAGGCTGACTTTCAGTTTCTGGCCAAAAATCCCAAACAGGCTATTTCTTGAGAAGGAAAACCTGGAAGAAGGGTGGGCTTAAAACCAAAAGACCCTTTTTGGACGTGTTAATATTGAAATGCTTGTGAGGCATGCAAGTGAAATCTCCAGGAAGGCAATTGGTTTGGGGTTTGGAATTAAAGGATACGTCTGGGTCAGAAATTAAGAGTAGGGGCTGGGCACGATGGCTCACCCCTATAATCCCAGCACTTTGGGAGGCTGAGGTGGGAGGATTGCTTGAGCCCAGGAGTTCAAGACCAGCCTGGGCAACATAGCGAAACCTTGTCTCTACAAAAAATACAAAAATTAGCTGGGCATGGCGGTGCATGCCTGTAGTCCCAGCTACTTGGAAGCCTGAGACGGGAGGATCACTTGAAGCCGGCTGTCCAGCTGCAGTGAGCCAAGAATGCGCCACAGCACTCCAGACTGGGCGACAGGAGTGAGACCCTGTCTCAAAAGAAAAAAAAAAAAGACATTCAGAGTGGGAATCTGTCTACACAAGGATGGTACATGTAAGCACCTCCAGGAAGCTTCCCCTAACTCCAGTCTGGTTTAGAATTCCCCGTGTTTAGCACTGCACCCTGCGCTTCCTCCATCGCTGTGCCGAGACTGTCCCGTAGCTAGCCTGTGTCCTCCACGGAATGGTGAACTAGCTCCATGAGGCCAGTGATGGTCTCTAGTCACCACTGTACGCTTAATCTGACCCCGTGAATGCCGTCCACCTAAAAAGAAAGTGGGCACCCAAAGACAAACTTCACCCAATTCGGCATTGTGTTCTGTGGACTCGTCTTGAGGTGCACAAGCCCAAGATGTACCCTGATTAGATACTCTCCAGCAAGTGCCCAGAGTAGGTCCTTTATAGGCTGTCTCTGTGGTGTCGAGGCCACATGCCACCCGTGAGTAGGAGTCTGTGAGGGACTCATGCTGGAAGGACAGGCAGGTGTCCTGACTCCTAAGGAGGTTAGCCCATGGGGTGGAATGGCAAACATATATTTAAGAAAATTAAAGTTTATTCTACTTTATAAAATGAGAAATTGGAAACTGAAACTCTTTTGTGCCTCAAAACTTTCCTGGTGTCACCCATCTTTGGAGAAGAGAGTTGAGTTCTTTTATTTTCCTTTTTTTCTAAGATAGGGTCTCACTCTGTCACCCAGGTTGGAGTTTAGTGGTGAGATCTCAGCTCACTGCAACTTCTGCCTCGCAGGCTCAGGCGATGCTCCCACTTCAGCCTCCTGAGTATCTGGGGCCACAGGCGCACGCTGCGCCTGGCCCAAGTTCTCTTTTTTAAAAGTATTTTTTACATTGGGCTGGGCATGGTGGCTCATGCCTGTAAGCCCAGCACTTTGGGAGGCCGAGGCGGGTGGATCACGAGGTCAGGAGTTCAAGACCAGCCTGACCAATATGGTGAAACCCCGTCTCTACTAAAACTACAAAAAATTAGCCGGGCACAGTGGCAGGTGCCTGTAATCCCAGCTGCTAGGGAGGCTGAGGCAGGAGAATCGCTGGAACCTGGGCAGCAAAGGTTTCAGTGAGCTGAGATCGCACCACTGCACTCCACCCTGGGTGACAGAGTGAGGCTATCTCAAAAATAAAATAAAATAAAGTAAAACTATTTTTTATATTGAATAGAGACAGGGTCTTGTTATGTTGCCCAGGCTGGTCTCGAACCCCTGGTCTCAAGCAATCCTCCCACCTAAGCCTCCCAAAGTGCTGGGATTAGAGGTGTGAGCCATGATGCGTGGCCAAGTTCGCTTTAAGTTGGAACATTCCTTAGCTGTCAGGCTATTACCCAGCTGTCATTCTCGATTACTTTGGCTGACAGGTTTTCTGTGATATTTTTATTAAAAAGTAGTGGCCTGAGAATCCAGCAAGTAAAATTCTAGTGTTGGCTCTGTCAACAAGCTGTGTGGTCTTAGGCAGGTCAAGCTCTGGGCTCCCCTTTCTGTAAAATGAAAGGCACGAACTCAGGTTTCTTCTAGTTCCGAAATTCTGTCATTCTAGTACAATAGTCCCCCTTGTCTATGGGGGATATGTCCTGAGACACCCAGTGGATGCCTGAGACAGTGAATAGAAATGAATCCTATATATACTGTGTTTTTTCCTATATTTATATTCCTATGATAAAGTTTAATTTATAAATTAAGCACAGTATGAAATTAACAACAAAAACTAATCATAAAATAGAACAATTACAACAATATGCAAGCCTCACTACTCTTGCACATTGGGGCCATTATAAAATAAAATGAGGGTTACTTGAACACAAGCACTGTGATACTGTGACGGTCCATCTGATAACCTGGGGGGCTACTAAGTGGCTCACAGGCAGGGAGTGTAGACAGCGTGAATACGCTAGACAAGCAGAGGGTTCACGTTCCGGGTGGGATGAAGCAGGACAGCACGAGATCTTATCACAGTACTCACAATGGTGTGCAATTTAAAACTTACCAATTGCTCATTTCTGGGATTTTCCATTTAATATTTTTGGGCGGCAATTGATTGCTGAAAGCAATACCTCAGATAAGGGGGGATGACTGTGAGTGATTCATTACAAGGCTTCTTGTTGTTACCACACAGTATAGCATAGTCAATATTTGCAGAGTTTTGTGTTTGTTTGTTTGTTTGTTTGTTTGTTTTTTGAGATGGAGTCTCACTCTTTTCGCCCAGGCTGGAGTGCAATGGCGCGATCTTGGCTCACTGCAACCTCCGCCTCCCGGGCTCAAGCGATTCTCCTGCCTCAGCTTCTGCACTGCAGCCTGGGTGACAGAGTAACTGGGATTACAGGCGCCCACCACCACGCCTGGCTAATTTTTGTATTTTAGTAGGGATGGGGTTTCACTATTTTGGCCAGGCTGGTCTCGAACTCCTGACCTCAGGTGATCCACCCGCCTTGGCCTCCCAAAGTGCTGGGATTACAAGCGTGAGCCACCACACCCGGCCTGTTTGTTTGTTTTAATTTTACCATGCTACTCTCCCCACCTGGCCATATAGGATGCTTTTCTTTTCATTTTAGAAGAAAGTGTTTTTCTTACATAGTGTATTGGTAATCTATAGCTGCGTGACATATTACATTAAAATTCAGCAGTTTAAAATAATAAAGGTGACCTAGCCCAGTGGCTCCTGCCTGTAATCCCAACACTTCGGGAGGCTGAGGCAGGATGATCACTTGAAGCTAGGAGTTCAAGACCAGCCTGGGTGACAGAGCAAGACCCTGTCCCTAAAAAATAAATAAATAAAATGAAAATCAACAAATATGAATTATCTCACATGGTTTCTGAGAATGAAGAATCCTGGAGGAGCTTAACTAGCTTTCTCTGGCTCAGGACATGTGAAGTTATTGGCTGAAGCTACAGTATTGGGAAAACTTGCCTGGGGCTGGAGCTTTCCCTTCTAAGCACAGGCTGCTGGCAGGAGGCTTTAGCTTCTTACCATGTGGGTCTCTCAATAGGGCTGCTAATGACACAGTTTCTCCCAGAGAGAAAGAGAGAGAGAGAACAATGAGGCATGCCACAGTCTTGTAAAAACCTGATCACAGGAGTGACAATCCATCACGTCTGTCAAATTCTATTATCTACAAGAAACTCCCTAAATCCAGCCCACACTCAAGGGGAGAGGAATTAGCTCCACATTTTGAAGGGAGGAGTTTCAAGGAATTTGTGGATCTGTCTTTAAAATCATCATAGTTGACTAAATAGATGGGGAAGGGGTATAGTTTATAAAAACAAACTCTTCATCAAGTCAAATTTGACATTTCATTCTCTTAGAAATTTTTTTTTTTTTTTTTTTTTTTAATGCCAGGTATGGTGGCTCATCCTGTAATCCCAGCACTTTGGGAGGCCGAGGCAGGTGAATCACTTGCGGTCAGGAGTTTGAGACCACCCTGGCCAACATGGTGAAACCCTATCTCTACTAAAAATACAAAAATTAGCTGGGTGTGGTGGCACACACCTGTAATCCCAGCTACTTGGGAGGCTGAGACAGGAGACTTGCTTGAGCCCAGGAAGCGGAGGTTGCAGTGAGCCGAGATCATGCCACTGCACTCCAGCCTGTGTGACAGGGTAAGACTCCATTTAAAAACAACAACAACAACAAAAAAAAACCATGGCATGGTCATGGCTCATTGCAGCTTTGACCTCCTAGGCTCAGCCTCCCGAGTAGCTGGGATTACAGGCACACACCACCACGCCCAGCTATTTTTTGTATTTTTAGTAGAAATAGGGTTTTGCTATGTTACTCAGGCTGGTCTCAAACTCCTGGACTGAAGCAATCCACCCGCCTTGGCCTCCCAGAGTGCTGGGATTACAGGTGTGGGTCTCTGCACCCAGCTGTTCTTAGAAAAATTTTAATATGATTTGTTATGAACCACACTCATACTCTTCTCAAATTTGACTACGGAGTTATCTTTATTTTGAGACCAAACTTGGAATTACCAAAAACTTTATGACAAACAGAATTGTTCTTACTTCCAAATAAACATACATGAAAGAGCATTCATGATTGCTTAATTTAGTTATCAGTTTAAACTAATAGTCATAACACACAATCTTTCTGCCTGTAGACTTCTAGGAGAGGGGGAAAAAAAACACTACCAAAACAGAATACTTGCCAATCTAACATGAATAATTTGGGGTTTTAATTGCTAATGTAGGCCGGGCGCGGTGGCTCACGCCTGTAATCCCAACACTTATGGGAGGCCGAGGTGGGCGGATCACCTGAGGTAGGGAGTTCAAGACCAGCCTGACCAACGTGGAGAAACCCCGTCTCTACTAAAATTACAAAATTAGCCAGGCATGGTGGCGCATGCCTGTAATCCCAGCTACTCGGAAGGCTGAGGCAGGAAAATCACTTGAACTCTGGATGCTGAGGTTGTGGTGAGCCAAGATCGCGCCATTGCACTCTAGCCTAGGCAACAAGAGCGAAACACCATCTCAAAAAAAAAATTGCTAATTTACTTTTGTTAATACATAATGGGCAGTAAAATGGTTAATTGCTACTCTTATCATGTCTGTTCTTTCAGGAAGGTTTCCTGAAAGGTGGAAATACTACTGTTAGCCATGAGGCTTTTGTTTGCTCTGGGATTAGTAAGGTAAAGAGAACCAAAGGCCGGTTGTAGAATCTGTGTAATATTATATATTATCCTAATATATCATTAGATGAAGGCTCTGCTAAATCTTTTTAAAAGACGCCAAAGTCTCTTGTTTAACTTTGCTTTTAAACACTATTTTACAATGTCATAAATAAATTGATTATATATATGTATATGCATATATGTGTGTGTGTGTGTGTGTATATATATATATATATATATTTTTTTTTTGAATCCGTCTCCTGGATTCAAGCGATTCTCCTGCCTCAGCCTCCCAAGGAGCTGGGATTACAGGCAAGTGCCACCACGCCTGGTTAATTTTTGTATTTTTAGTAGAGAGAAGGTTTCACCATGTTGGTCAGGCTGATCTCGAACTCCTGATCTCGTGATCTGCACCCAGCCAATTTATTATATTTTTTATCAAGGCGACAATAGAGGTACAAGATCTTAATTTAGATGTTATAAATCTCAGATGCTGCGAACGTCCTGATTTCCTCTGTAAAGAAATTAATGGCATGAACCCAGGAAGCGGAGCTTGCAGTGAGCCGCGATCGCACCACTGCACTCCAGCCTGGGCGACAGAGTGAGACTCTGTCTCAAAAAAAAAAAAAAAGAAATTACTGTTTTTGTTTCTCGGACTGGGCATGGTGGCTCACACCTCTAATCCCAGCAGTTTGGGAGGCCAAGGCAGGTGGATCACGAGGTTAGGAGTTTGTAGCCAGCCTGGCCAACATGGTGAAACCTCGCGTCTCTACTAAAAATACAAAAATTAGCTGGGCATGGTGGCATGTGCCTGTAATCCTATCTACTCGGCAGCTGAGGCAGGAGAATTGCTTGAAAACGGAAGGCGGAGGTTGCAGTGAGCTGAGATCACGCCACTGCACTCCAGCCTGGGTAAAAGAGTGAAAGTCCATCTCAAAAAAAAGAAAAAAAAAAGAAAAGAAATTACTGTTTTTGTTTCTCTACATTTTCTCTGCCATCACTGCAGAGAACTACTCTCAGTACTTCCAGCTTTTTAAGACCCAACCTGAGCTTTTCTCTTCACTACATAAAGTGCCAAATTACAGAATATTGTCCTGTATATATATTTTTGTTGTTTAAAAAATGATGCTCTGTGAGGGCAGAAAAAAAGAATAATTCCAGATCCACATCTGCTTCTGCACTGAGGGTCCATGGGCCTCATTTATTTCCGGCTGAAATCCTTGCTGAGGTGGGAAGCCAGTGCCTCCAAAGGCAGTCAGTTCCATTTTGGGGCTTCAATTATTGTTTGTTTGTTTGTTTGTTTGTTTGTTTGTTTGTTTCAGAGACAGAGTCTCGCTCTGTCATCCAGGTCGGAGTTCAGTGACGCAATCATAACTCATTGCAGCCTTGAACTCCTAGGCTCAAGCAATCTTCCTGCCTCAGCCTCCCAAGGCATGCACCATCATGCCTGGCTAACACACCAAGTTCTGCCCCTGGACTGGCATGTACTGGTCCAACTTCAATCCTAGCTAATTTGAAATTGTTTTGTAGAAATGGGGTCTTTTCATGTTGCCCAGGCTGGCCTTGAACACATGGGCTCAAGTGGTCCTCCTGCCTTAGCCTCCCAAATTGCTTGGGTTACAAGCATGAGCTACTGAGCTTAGCCCCATTATTGTTTTATTTATTTATTTATTTATTTATTTATTTATTTATTTATTATATTTTTTGAGATGGAGTCTCACTCTGTCGCCCAGACTGGAGTGCAGTGGTGCGATCTCGTCTCACTGCAACCTCCACCTCCCAGGTTCAAGCAATTTTCCTGCCTCAGCCTCCCAAGTAGCTGGGATTAGAGGCATGCACCACCGTGCCTGGATAATTTATTTTATTTTATTTTATTATTTTTAGTACAGACAGGGTTTCACCATGCTGGCCAGGCTGGTCTCTAGCTCCTGACCTCAGGTGATCTGCCCACCTGGGCCTCCCAAAGTGCTGGGATTACAGGCATGAGCCATCGCACCTGGCCTCCCATTATTGTTTCATACAGCAAATTCATCTTTAAGTATTTTCATCTCTACCTCCCTGTTCCTTTAATCGGCTGGTTCTATTCAACCCTCTGCAGCCATGCTGCATAGTCTCATTCCTTTTCTCTGCGACTTCAGGGGACTCAAGTATTTTTCTCTTTTCCTTGTTGAACAGTTTTTGTTTATCCAGTATTCCTTGTATGTTAGGTTTTATAGATCCTCCCAACCCAGCCCCCTGAATTCTTCAGGTCACCAGTTTTTCTTTTTTTTTTTTTTTGAGATGGAGTTTTGCTCTTGTTGCCCAGGCTGGAGTGCTATGGCATGATCTCTGCTCACCACAACCTCTGCCTCCCAGGTTCAAACAATTCTCCTGCCTCAGCCTCCTGAGTAGCTGGGATTACAGGCGCCCGCCACCACACCTGGCTAATTTTGTATTTTTAGTAGAGACGGGGTTTCTCCATGTTGATCAGGCTGGTCTCAAACTCCCGACCTCAGGTGATCCTCCTGCCTCGGCCTCCCAAAGTGATCGGATTACAGGAGTGAGCCAGAGCACCTGGCCAGGTCACCAGTTTTTCAATAGTTATCTTTTGAGAATCCCATTCCCAGCTAAGAGTTTGGTCAGACAGACCCAAGTCTGCCCCTGGACTGGCATGTACTGCTCCACTGAGTGACAATGTCCTTGGGTATAAAAGTGAGGCACTAACAGGACATGACCCGAGGCTTGTTGTATGGATTAAGCGGGATCATGTGAAGCGTTTAGGCCATCACCTGACATATATTAAACATTTAATAAATGTTAGCCATGTATGTAATTGAAACATAGAATCCCACTTTTATCAACACAAGGCAAGAAGGAACTGCCACCTCCCTAATCCTGATCAGCAGAATATTTTCAATGAAGCTTAAATCCCTATTAGCTTTCTCAGCACCCTCATCATACATGGCTGACTCATACTGAGGTAATCAGAACTCCTAGGGCTGTTTTACATATGCTTCTAGTTACCACCTATTCTCACCTGTACTTGCACAGTTCGTTTGTAAGTTTGTTTTGCTGTTGTTCTTGTTATGGTGGGTTTTTTTTTCTTTTTTTTGGAGACAGGGTCTTGATGTATTGCCCAGACTGGTCTTGAACTCCTGGGCTCAAGTGATCCTCCTGCCTCAGCCTCCCAAATTGCTCGGATCACAGGCATAAGCCACCATGCACAACTGCGGTGGGTTTTTATTAATTATTTATCCTTATTTGATTTTTTTTTTTGAGATGGGGGTCTTGTTTGGTTGCCCAGGCTGTAGTGCAGAGGCCATTCACAGGCATAATCATAACACACTACATCCTTGAACTCCTGGGCTCAAGTGATCCTCCTGCCTCAGTCTCCTGAGTAGCTGGGACTATAGGTGCACACCACCATGCCTGGATTATCCTTGTTTTATTCTAACATATTAAATGCAGCGTACAGAGATAATTTTGGATTCTATGTGTTCATTATCCTTCTCAGCTGCGTGGAACTATTGAAAAGTCCAGTTGCTGTTTGCATCCCTGCCTCTTAGACTTTGCAAGACATAGCATATTCTTTGCCAAAAAGAACAGCCTCCTTCCTCACAGTTCCATGTGCGGCTGGCCTGGGAGCAGCTGCACTTTCCTAGTGAGCTGTAGGCTTGCCATGCTACTCCAGGCTTCAATGAATCCTCGGGTATTCCTCTTCCTTGTGAATGTCAAACAGCAGCTGACCTGCATCCTGTGGTGGGGCACTCTTCACACGTAGTTTGCCCAGTAAAACTGTGAGTTATGTTAATGCCAGTGAATTATCATGCTCCAGGTTACAATACTGGCTACCAGGTTCTGTGCATTAGGCTCATGGGAGAAGGTGATGGAATTGCTCAAGAGGATACATAGGACATTTACCCTCACCCCACCCAGACCCCACCATTACACTCCATTACACTCAGACTTCCAAAACACATGCTCACTTTCTCCTTGTTTGAAAGACAAAAATGCTTAGAGGTTTAAATTTCTATCTAGGCCAGGCAAGGTGGCTCACACCTGTAATCCCAGCACTTTGGGAGGCTGAGGCAAGTGGATCACCTGAGGTCGGGAGTTCAAGACCAGCCTGGCCAACATGGTGAAACACTGTTTCTACTAAAAATATAAAAATTACCTGGGCGTGGTGGTAGGTACCTGAGATCCCAGCTACTCAGGAGGCTTAAGCAGGAGAATCACTTGAACCCTGGAGGCAGAGGTTGCAGTGAGCCAAGATCACACCATTACACTCCAGCCCAGGCAACAAGAGTGAAACTCTGCCTCAAAAATAAATAAATATATATATATATATATATATAAATGTGTTATCTTGGACAAATGAATGAACTTTTCCGGCAAGAGTAAAATGAGGGAGTTGCACTGAGGTCACCTCCAGTTGCCCAAGAAGCAGAATTCTGTAGTTTATTCCAGTTCTCTGTTTCCACTGAAAAGTAGTCTTGTGTCACAATCTCATAGTTCATAGTTTAGGTATGTCCCACAGTCCATAGCACTGGATTAAGGATGCAAAGGGTCTCCTGATGATCATGATTTCCAACATGAGCCTGCAGTGAAAATTATCTTGGGCATCTCAATGTCTTCAATTTTCTGGGGGTAAAATTACCTCGTCTAAAAGTTATTTGCATAGGGAAAATAATATTTTTTTTGAGATGGAATCTCACTCTGTCACCCAGGCTAGAGTGCAGTGGTGAGATCTCAGCTCACTGCAACCTCTGCCTCCCGGGTTCAAGCAATTCTCTGCCTCAGCCTCCTGAGTAGCTGAGATTACAGGTGCCCATCACCACGCCCGGGTAATTTTTTTGTATTTTTAGTAGAGACGGGATTTCACCATCTTGTCCAGGCTGGTCTTGAACTCCTGACCTTGTGATCCACCTGCCTCAGCTTCCAAAGTGCTGGGATTACAGGTGTGAGCCACTGTGCCCAGCCAGTGGGAAAATGATTTCTAAAATGATATGCAATCTGAATTCCAGATGTAGATATATTTTTATTGGAATTCCTGACCCATTGGTACTTTACATTAAACATCTTTCACACAAAGTGGCTCCTTTTCCTGAATTTTCTTTATAGGTGGGCAGCACCACCCAAGAATCAAGAGAGCCAAATCAAATGTCTTCCCTCTCTTCTCCTGGGCTCCAGCCCCGTTGTCCATCCTGCTGACCATTTGGTCAACAAATGCTGTTGATACAAGTTACCTTGTATCAGTCAAAACTGCCCTCTCCTTAGCTGGGCGTGGTGGTGGGCACCTGTAATCCCAGCTATTCAGGAGGCTGAGGCAGGAGAATCACTTGAACCTGGGAGGCAGAGGTTGCAGTGAGCCGAGATCGTGCCATTGCACTCCAGCCTGGGTGACAGAGTGAGACTCCATCTCAAAAAACAAAAAAACGAAACTGCTCCCTCTTTCTGCCTCCCCAATACTGCCTGCATCCAGGCCTTTCTCTGTAACCGCCTCTGCTTTCTCTCTCAGTCCTCCTGTCCATGGTCTACCTCGAGGCTGGTGCAATCATTTCCGGAATACGATCTGGTCACGAGGCTTCCCTGACCCTTTAGAGCTCTCTCTGTGGTATGACACTCAAGGCCCACAGAATCCAGAGCCTACTGCCCTGCAGCCACAGGTCCTGCTCTTCTTCCACGGGATGCCCAGGGCTTCAGTCCCATTCCTTCATGTTTCTGCTGGCTGACTTCACTGTATCCTTTGAGACTTAGCCAAAGCATTGCCTCCCTTGAAGAAAGGAAACATCAGGGGTCCTTTCCACGATGTTTTACCATGGCGGATTTAGGTGCCTGTTCGCCCACACGCCCCCTTACTGGACTGTAAGGTTCTCGAGTAGAGGAATGGTATCTTTGATGCCAGGGCAGTAGGAGGAATTCCGTGAGAGCAGACTACATAAGCACAATTTTGCTGCCTGTACTTTTTTTCTATAGCACAATTCTATTGAAATATCCTTTCTGGTTTAAATTATGGAGAGAAAATAAATAAACTAAAAATGGTCTGGATGGGAAGAGTTTATCTAAAAAGAATTTTGTCCAAAGCAGTGATGATCCCAAATAAAACTTTCATCTTCTTGAAATTCCTCAGAAAATACTGTATGCAGGCAGAAAGTTTTCTTAAAATGTCCTCATTAGTTAGTTTTCTCAGCAAATATTTACTGAGGGCATACTGTTTGCTAAGCCCTGAAATAAGCATTGGGTGATGGCATGAAAGGATAAGGCCAAGTCCTTGTCCTTGTAGAATTTAGAATCTGGTGGGGAATTAAATACCAAACAGTAAAAAACAAAAAGGCTGGAATATGAATCAGCAGTTAATTGATAAAGGCTGGGTGCTGATGTAGAAAATAACAGTAGAGCCTATGTAGATGGGGTGGTCTGAGATGGTGTATTAGTCTGTTCTCACATTGCTATAAAGACATACATACCTGAGGCTGGTCATGGTGGCTCACACCTGTAATCCTAGCACTTTGGGAGGCCGAGGTGGGTGGATCACCTGAGGTAGGGAGTTCAAGACCAGCCTGACCAACATGGAGAAACCCCGTCTCTACTAAAAATACAAAATTAGCCAGGCGTGGTGGCACATGACTGTAATCCCAGCTACTCAGGAAGCTGAGGTGGGAGAATCACTTGAACCCGGGAGGCAGAGGTTGCAGTGAGCTGAGATCGCACCAGTGCACTCCAGCCTGGGCAACAAGAGCAAAACTCCATTTCAAAAAAAAGAAAAGAAAAGAAAAGAAAATGAACAAAAGCCGGGCGCGGTGGCTCAACACCTGTAATCCCAGCACTTTGGGAAGCTGAGGTGGGTGGATCACCTGAAGTCAGGAGTTCAAGACCAGCCTACCAACATGGTGAAACCCCGTCTCTACTAAAAACACAAAAAGTTAGCTGGGCGTGGTGGCGGGCACCTGTAATCCCAGCCACCGGGGAGGCCGAGGCAGGAGAATTGCTTGAACCCAGGAGGCAGAGGTTTTGGTGAGCTGAGATCACGCCATTGCACTCCAGCCTGGGCAACAAGAGCAAAACTCCGTCTCAGGAAAAAAAAAAAAAAAAAAAAAAACAGAAAATGAACAAAAGACATGAAAAGACATTGTGCTGAAGAGGGTATACAGATGACAAATAAACACACATGAAAAGATGTTCAAAATCATTAACCATCAGGTAAATGCAAATTAAACCAGAGTGAGATATCACTACACATCTATTAGGATATTTAAAGTAAAAAATAGTGACAACACCAAGTGCTGTCAAGAAGGATGCAGAGAAACTGGATCACTCATACACTGATGAGTATTTAACATGGTATATACATATCATGGAATACTACTCAACCATGAAAGGAATAGCTATTGATAGTTCATGCAAAACCTTGAATGAATCTGGGGGGCGGAGAGCCAATCCCCAAAGGTAACATACCGTATGATTCCATTTTTATAATTTTTTTTTTTTTGAGACAGGAGTCTTACCCAGGCTGGAGTGCAGTAGCTTGATCTTGGCTCACTTCAACCTCCACCACCTGGGTTCAAGTGATTCTCCTGCCTCAGAAAGGAGATTTCAATAAAATTGTGCTGTAGAAAAAAAGTACAGGCAGCAAAATTGTGCTTATGTGGTCTGATCTCACAGAATTCCCCTGAGTAGCTGGGATTAGAGGAGCCCACCACCATGCCCGGCTGATTTTTACATTTTTAGTGGAGACAGGGTTTTGCCATGTTGGGCAGGTTGGTCTTGAACTCCTGACCTCAGGCGATCCGCCTGCCTCAGCCTCCCAAAGTGCTGGGATTATAGGCATGAGCCACCACACCCAGCTATATAATCTTGAAATGAAAAAAAGTTTCGAAGGAAAGAGCAGATTAGTGGTTACCCATAATTAGGGTGGGAGATGGGTGTGGTTATACAAGGGCATTAAAAGAAATCCTTGTGATGGAACTCTCTGCACCTTGACTGTGGTGGTGAACACACATAAAATTTATAGCATAAATACACATGCACACAAATAAATATAAGTAAAACTGGGGAAATTTGAAAAAGGTCAGTAGAGTATATCAATGTAGAGATCATATATATATATATATATAGAGAGAGAGAGAGAGAGAGAGAGACCGGATTTCACTCTGCCATGCAGGCTAGAGTGCAGTGGCGCAATCACAGCTCACTGCAGCCTCAAACTCCTGGGCTCAAGTGACGCTCCCACCTCAGCCTCCAGAGTAGCTGCAACCACAGGCACATGTCACCCAACTGGGCTACTTAAAAAAAAAACTGGTGCTCACTTTGGCAGCACATATACTAAAATTGGAATGATATATGGCCCTTGTGCAAGAATGACATGTACATTCATGAAGCAGTCCATATATATATATATATATATATTTTTTTTTTTTTTTTTTTTTTTTTTTTTTTGGAGACGGAGTCTCACTCTGTCACCCAGGCTGGAATGCAGTGGTGTGATCTCAGCTCACTGCAACCTCTGCCTCCCCGGTTCAAGTGATTCTCCTGCCTCAGCCTCCTGAGTAGCTGGGACTACAGGCACACACTGCAATGCCTGGCTAATTTTTTGTATTTTAGTAGAGATGGAGTTTCACTGTGTTGCCCAGGCTGGTCGCAAACTCCTGAGCTCAGGCAATCCTCCCGTCTCACCCTCCCAAAGTGCTGGGATTACAGGCGTGAGCCCCCACATCCGGCCAGTTTTTGTATTTTTAGTAGAGATGGGATTTCACCATGTTGGCTAGGCTGGTCTTGAACTCCTGACCTCTGGTGATCCACCCACCTTGGCCTCCCAAAGTGTTGGAATTACAGGCATGAGCCACTGTGCCCAACCCATATTGTTTTTATAATTATATAAAAAAAAATCTGTAGAGACAGGGTCTTGCTATTTTGACCAGGGTGGTCTCAAACTCCTGGGCTCAAGTGATCCTCCCTCCTTGGCCCCACAAAGTGATGGGATTATAGGGCTGACCACCGCACCCAGCCCAAAGTTGATATCCAGGTTGTGATGACATACCACAATTTCACAAGATGTTATTATTGGGCGAAACTAGGTAAAATTGTGAATAGGCTCTTTATTATTTCTTACAACTGCATGTAAATCTATAATTATCTCAAATTTTCAATTTTTGAATTAAAAAACTGGTAAAAAGGGATTTGAGGAAATGATATTAACAAGTATGCCAAAAAACATATAAAAGAAATACAAGAAAAATGAATAAAAAGAAAAAAGAAGAAAAAAATCTCTGAAGAGAATGGGAGTTGAGCGCGGGGGAAGTTAGACTGAAAGCCGGGATACCAGTGAAGAGGCGGCTGCTATGGAGATACCAAATGATGACTGAGACCACGGGGGCTGAGGGGAGAATCACGATGGAGAGGAAGAGAGAACTGGGGTTGATTTGAGCTCTAGCGTCTAGACCTTCGACACTTGAAAATAATTTTCCCAGAGAGCTTCCCAAAGGCCCAAATTTGCAAGAATCATGATAACATATAATAAAAATATCAGTATCAATGACATACAATGAAACATTCATCAACATTCCTCTTCCTTTAGTCACAGTGATAAAAAACAAGAACAAGCCGGGCGCCGTGGCTCACGCCTGTAATCCCAGCACTTTAGGAGGCCGAGGCGGGCAGATCACGAGGTCAGGAGATGGAGACCATCCTGGCTAACACGGTGAAACCCCGTCTCTACTAAAAATACAAAAAAAATTAGCCGGGCGTGGTGGCGGGCGCCTGTAGTCCCAGCTACTCGGGAGGCTGAGGCAGGAGAATGGCGTGAACCCGGGAGGCAGAGCTTGCAGTGAGCCGAGATCTCGCCACTGCACTCCAGCTGGGTGACAGAGTGAGACTCTGTCTTAAAACAACAGCAACAACAACAACAACAACAACAAAAAAACACACAAGAACAAAGTCAAAGTACGAGTGGATTCTGGGCTCTGGAGAGTCTTGTGGGGTCTCACCTTCACTGCCCTCCTTCTCCCCTCCTACTTCTTGTAAATGGAATCTGGCGGCAGATTCCATTCCAGGTCCAAGCAATGGCCTGGACTTTGCCCTTCATTGTTACCTTGAATGACAAGGGGGATAAGGAAGACTGCTAGGCGGGTTTGCTTCCCACTTCCCCAGGAACCCTGGAAATGCACCATCGCATGCATGCCACACCCTCTTCACATCTATGCGTCTACTTTCCACCCATGCCTGAGATTAAATCTCATTCCTTCCGCATGATGCACTTTCTGTATAGACCTTGGAGGCACTCTTGGTAGAGATGTTAAATCTCTGAGTATCAAGGGCCTTCTCGCCTGTTGTTTCCATGTGATTGGGACAGTGTTTTTCTCTGGGTGAGATCAAACGACTTACACTAGAAAGGCCTTCAGAATCACAAACAATGATTTAAGAACTAAACAAAGTCCTAGCCCAAAATATAGGAGACAATTCAAAGAAAGTAAAGAATAATTCTAACACAAATGTGAAAAATAGATAAGTGATAACATACAGAAGATACAACATCTACTTACATTTATTATATTAAAATCACTAAGGATGGGCTAGGCTTGGTGGCTCATGCCTGTAAGCCCAGCATTTTGGTAGGCTGAAGTGGACAGATTGCTTGAGTCCAGGAGTTCAAGACCAGCCTGGGCAACATGGTGAAACCTCACCGCTACCAAAAAAAATACAAAAATTAGCTGGGTGTGGTGGCACGTGCCTGTGGTCCCAGCTACTTGGGAGGCTGAGGTGGGAGGATCTCTTGAGCCCAGAGGAAGAGGTTCCAGTGAGCCACAACCACACCACTGCCCTCCAGCCTGGACAACAGAGTGAGACCCTGTCTCAAAAAAGAAAAAGAAAAAGAAAGAAAAAAAAGGTGCTAAGAATGAAGAGAACCAAGCTGTGTAGCTGTAAGATATAGATTGTGACTGTTTTCATGTCACCGATTCACAGTGACTTGAATTTCCAGGGAAGTACTAGACATCTGGCCCTTTGTAACTGACATTGTGGCTTTCCAATACCACGCCAGAGGAGGGAGATGAGGAGGTCCAGAAGTGTCCTGGTGAAATGCAAAGGATGGTTCAACTCCTGGAGGGTCCAAGTGGCCCTTTCCCAGTTACCTCTCCCGCATTCCTGAGTGATCAGGCACAGAAGACACCAGCTACAAGATAACCAAGTCCTTATGAAATCAGGAGGCAAGTTTCACAGGTGCCCCCAAATCAACCTCAAACAGCTGACAGCTAACTTATAGTTTTAGGAGATTTGCAACTAAAATGAAAGTTCAGAAATGAGTCAAGTATCCAGATTCAGAGTGGGATGGAATATCACATTTGGGATGGTGTGGGAGGTGATGGAACTACCAGGAATGAGAATCCTGGGGGAGAATGACTAGAACTAAAAATGAAAATAAAAATAAAACACAAAATCATACTGGGCACCTGAAAATGCAAGATAAAGCTCTAAAAAAAAAAAAGAGACCATCTATTTGTTTCATGATAACTCACCATTTTGTCTGCTTCTCTATCTCTTGAAAATGTACTTTTAAAAAGATTCACTTTGTAGCATATATGTGGATGAAATCTTTTCACTGTTTAGGTACCTTACTGAGGGCTGCCGCCTCCTCCTCCTGCTCTTCCCCTCCCTGCCTCCTCCTCCTCGCTTTTCTCTTCTTCTTCGGTCTTTTTGTCCACATAAAACAAAATCATTTAGCCCTCCGTATCCGCAGGTTCCACCAATCGCAGAGGGAAAATACAGTATTTGGCCAGGAGCGGTGGCTCACCTCTGTAAACTCAGCACTTTGAGAGGCTGAGGCAGGAGGATTGCTTCAGTCTAGGAGTTTCAGACCAGCCTGGGCAACACGTGAGACCCTATCTCTTAAAAAAAAAAAAAAACACAGAAAGAAGGCTGGGCGTGGCAACACAGTAAGACCCCATATCTTAAAAACAACAACAATAACAACAAAAAGAAGGCCGGGTGCAGTGGCTGGGATTACATGCCTATAATCCCAGCACTTTGGGAGGCCAAGGCAGGCGGATCACCTAAGGTCAGAAGTTCGAGACCAGCCTGGCCAACATGGTGAAATCCCGTCTCTACTAAAAATACAAAAATTAGCCAGGCATGATGGCGCGTGCCTGTAGTCCCAGCTACTGAGGAGGCTGAGGCAGGACAATCACTTGAACCTGGGAGGCGGAGGTTGCAGTGAGCCGAGATTGTGCCACTGCACTCCAGCTTGGGTGACAGCGAGAGTGAGACTATGACTCAAAAATGAAAACAAAAAGAAAAAAGAAAATACAGTATTCGTAGGACATGAAACCTGCAGATATGGAGGACTGACTTTTCACATCCCATAAGGCTGATTAGGGCACCTGATGACCTTTGGATTTTGGAATCTGCAGGGGATCCTGGTACCAATCCTCTGTGGATCCCAAGGGATGACAGTAAATATCACATCTTTCTAAACATTTGGTAAAATCTTAAATAGCCTTATTTCACTCCAAATGCACACACCCTTTCTTTGTGAAGTCTTCCTAAGAGACAGTCTGTGTCATATTCTCTGCCCCACTTCTCCATTAGACAGAAGAGATTTGCTCTTCATGTGACCCCTTCCATGTTCCAGCTGAGAACCGTGAGGGCCTTCTTATCTTTGTACTTCAAAGGTTAGTACAGGGCCTGTCACACAGCTTACTCAATAGCCCTAGCTCAAGAAAACATGTTGAATAAAAAGAATCCAAACAAAAAAACTACTCAGTAGGGTGAAATTAAGTCATCATGATCATTAGCTCTTCTGGTCACATGATTTGTAAGGCCTGTGACAAAGTTCCAGAAGGCAACACTCGTCTCACTCATCATTTTAGCATCATTCCTATACCTGTTTCTATAAAATATTGTAGAATCTTCTTTAGCTAGTGCCCAGCCTCAAGATGACGATCTAAGTCTCTGACCACAGCTCAGTTCCAAGAAAGTTTTGGCCAGACTGCTGGAGAATCCTCAAGCCAAAGTCTTTCATTAAAGGCATCTCAAGTCTTCCAGGACTGGCCTGTATTAGTGCCATGTGTGACAGGAACACAATTGGGATCTCGAGGGGCAGCGGCTGGCCTGTCAGTTATGCTCTCCACAGTGGGTCTGAGCACCACAGCTCATCTGTTGAGTTTTGTAAGCTGTTGATTTTATTTTTCATTGTTAGGTTTTCTATTTGGGTCTTTATCAGATCCACAGGTTTTGCTTCTATTCTAGTTGGTTTTGCTTTCTCAGTTCTTGCTCTTTTTATGGATGTTATCATTGAGAATTCTTAGCATTCACATTTAGAAATATTTCTCAGACTGTTCTAATTACTTTTATTTCATTAGAAGTGTATTTGGGTTGTTCATATAGTTGGCTTTGTCAATTTAATTTATCCAAAAAATATTTATTGAGCACTTACTATATCAGTATTTTCTTTCTTTCTTTCTTTCTTTCTTTCTTTCTTTCTTTCTTTCTTTCTTTCTTTCTTTCTTTCTTTCTTTCTTTCTTTCTTTCTATTTATTTTTTTTGAGACAGAGTCTCGCTCTGTCACCCAGGCTGGAGTGCAGTGGCATGATCTCGGCTCACTGCAACCTCCTCATCCCAGGTTCACGCCATTCTCCTGTCTCAGCCTCCCAAGTAGCTGGGACTACAGGAGCCTGCCACCACGCCTGGCTAATTTTCTGTATTTTTAGTAGAGACAGGGTTTCACTGTGTTAGCCAGGATGGTCTCGATCTCCTGACCTCATGATCTGCCCGCCTCGGCCTCCCAAAGTGCTGGAATTACAGGCGTGAGCCACCGTGTCTGGCCAGTATTTTCTTTATGTGTTTAGAATCTTTTTTATTTTTAGAGACAGGGTCTCCTCTCTGTTGCCCAGCTTGGAGTAAAGTGGTGCGATCATAGCTCACTGCAGCCTCCAATTCCTTGCTCAAGCCATCCTCCTGCCTCAGCCTCCCACGTATGAGTAGCTGGGACTACAGGGGTGAGCCACCATGTCCACCTAATTTTAAGAAATTTTGAGAGGCAGGGTCTCGCTATGTTGTCCAGACTAGTCTTAAACTCCTGGCTTCAGGCAATCCTGTCCTTTCAGCCTCCCGAGTTGCTGCAATTACAGGTGAGAGGCACAGTGCTTATATTCAGAATTTTTATTTGCAGGCAAATCTAGAGTGGGACATTTCTTTGTCTCTCTCCTTTCCTCCTTCTATCTCTCCCTATACTCTGCTTTTTCCGTTAGGTCAGCTCTATCCAATAGAACTTTCTGCAATGATGGAAGTATTTTGTATCTGCACTATCCAGTACAGTAGCACTAGCCACATGTGGCTATAGAGTACCTGGAAGATAGCTAATGAGACTGAGAAACTGAATTTTAAATTTTAATTTTAATGAATGTAAATTAGAATGTATGTAGCCACATAAGGCTAGTGGCTACTGTGCTGGTCAGTGTAGGTAGTATTTTAGTAATTGCCTGACTGGGCTCCCTAACCAAGAACCAGAACTTCTATGGGCGGCTGGAGGAAGGGATATTCTAGATCTTGTCATTGGACGAGGGCAGAGGGTGGCTCAATTCCTAGTCTCTGGGCTATGTGTGAGCTCTTTCTAGGAATACATTTTAATATAAACCATGGCCCCAGGTTACAGATTTTGGGAGCTTTCTCTCAGAAACAGTGGATCCCTATCCCAGGCTCTAGCTTTAAGCTGTGGATCTTCCACTGTATCAGATGGGGCATCTTTCTTCCTCATTATCCCACAAAAATCACACTCTGGCCCGGCCTGCCTTCTCCCAGACCCAAAGCATGTCAGGCTGTATCTTCGTTGTGTCCACTGCTCTAAGTTTTCTTCTCTTTCTGACCCATAGTCATTTACATTTTGTTTTGGGCACAGCCATAACTTTACGGCTTTTTCTTTCTGTGCTTTAACTAATGGTGCAATGTATTTGGAATTCAGAAAGCTAGACTGAATCTGCGAAGTGCTAACAAATGGGATAGAGTTTCTGTATTTTTTAACAGGATGATGGTAGTATAGGTAGAAAGGGTCATAAAAGTTAACTATCTTAAGAAGCAGTTTAGAATTTGACTCTTTTGTTGTATTGTGAAGATGCGAGTGCTGTGGGGAAGTGTGACAAGGCCACTGCTGAAGTCTCCCTGGGTGTGGCCCTCAGCTCTGCAGGGTGGGGCACCTAGGGCTGACAGGCAACTGATACCACCCCAACTTCAAAACCTTCACCATGATGCCAGCAAAGCTTACGCTTCAAATCCATTCACTTGCGCTGGTCCTTTCCAATGCCCTGGGAGCAATTTCATATTTGCCAGTTTGTGTTCTTTTCTTTTTCTTTTTCTTTTTCTTTTTTAAGACAGGGTCTCACACTGTCATCCAGGTTGGAGTGCAGTGGTGCAATCATGGCTCACTGTAGCCTCGATCTCCTGGGACTCAAGCAATTCTTCCATCTCAGCCTCCCCAGTAGCTGGGACTATAGGCCTGTGCCAACACACCCGGCTAACTTCTTAAATTTTTTTGTAGAGATGGGGTCTCACCATGTTGTCCAAGCTGGTCTGGAACTCCTGGGGCTCAAGCGATCCACCCACCTTGGTCTTCCAAAGTGCTAGGATTACAGGCGTGAGCCACCGCCCCCAGCCTGTGTTCTTTCCTTAAAGACAGCCTCCCTAATTGTAAAAAAAATTTCAGGCTGCAAAGACCCTGGATATGCCCCTGCAAAGTACTGAAGGTTAAATAAAAGTGCAGATTTCCAGTGGAGGAGGTAATTTTCTAGAGAGTAGTTCTCCGTGGATATTGAAGTGCTAGGAGGTTGCATTAATCTTCAACATGTTGCTTGGGTTGCTCAGAGAGCCAAGAGAGATGAGATGGTCTTGGTTAGCTCAGGCAGAACAAGTAAATTTCAGAGCTATTCACACCCAACTTCAAAGTGTGTCTATAGTTCCCATGTATGACCAATTCAGTATGCATGATATCTCTTCCCAACATAATATTTGATTAACTCGGCCCAAAATCTTACTCACTGGCTTTTTCTTTCTTTAAGATTCCATTACTCGCCATCTGCCAGTTCTTAGTTAACATAATTCTTTCTTTGTTAGGGTAAAATATAATAGATTAAATAACAGCTTTCAAGACTCCACCTTAGTTGCCCTTTAATGAAATCTGACTATTCCCTAATCCCCTCAACTTCATATTCACAGGTCATCTTGTAGGGTGGGTTAATCCTATCATCCACTCTACAGATTCACTGTTCCTAGTTTAGTTGTCTGAAAGTCATCTTGTTTCCAGTCTCAGGGTAACCTCACTGTCATCTGCATGCGTTGACTGCATACTTAGTGGCAACATGTCATTAACGTCTTGAAACTCTAAGCACAATTTGAAGTTAATAATAGTTATATAATTAAAAATTGGAAACAAGTCTTACAGAGAACAGATATGTAAAAGTCTTCTCTCTTTCCTATATTTACTGGGGAAAACTAGAAGGTCTCAAATCCAGATGAAGCACTTTATATTTCATTATACAGACAGCAAAAGCAGAATAACCACAGACAAGCAGGGCAAGAGAAATATTTTATTCTTCCTCAAGGAACCACTTCAAGTGATATGGATTAATTGTATTGTTAACAATCACTGCTTTAGACACAAGGCACATTTAGTGGAGTATGTAAATAGCAACAGTAGAACATTTGCCTTCAAAGAGCTTAAACCTAGCTCAAGAAGCAAAACTTACAAATGCAACATAATTTTGAACGGTCGTTTAAAAATTATTAATAATTATAAACAATTACTGGAGATAAGCTAGAAAGGTGAAGCCTGAAAGAAGGAAAATAATAACAAAACCAACAATGATGACTGCCATTTACTGAAGACCTACTATGAGATGCTCACTAGAGTGGTACTTTTATTTATTATCTACATTTTACAGATGAAGACATTGATGTTTGAAAAAAAAAGAAATTGAGGTTTTAAGAGGTTGTAGCCAAGATACAGAGTTATGATTTAAACCATTACTCCCAGCCTGGGCAGGGATTTGAGGGAAAGCAATCTAGAGCGAATGAAGTGAACGAAGGCACTCAGGAATGACTAGGCTGACTTAGCTCAAGGGCAGTAGAAAGGAAAGAGGTGGGGTAAACTGGCAGCTGAGAGGAGGAGGGGGCTGGGGGTCCCAGTAAGCTTAGTCCTCTGGAGCTGGTGTGATAAGCTTGTAGAAAGCTACCATGAGGAGTGGTTATCTTGTCATATGGCTTTTTGCAGACCTAGAATCTGAAGACCTAGTGGGAAATGGAATGGTCTTTAAAATTAGTATCAGCACTTACAAGAGTCTACACAGATGAAAACCCATCATCTGGGAGGCTGCCTAGACCAACAATAAACAAAAATATAAGCCAGATAGTAAAGTTTGGTATAAGGGCTAGGAGTGCAACAAACAGGGTGGTAACAGAGTAACTGGGGTGGGGGAACCAAGTTCAGACAGGGAGTTGTATAGACAGGAATAGTGGTCCAACAATGCTCTTTTCAGCCACTCCTAGTCACACTAAAATAGCAACTCATGGAGTATTATGTATATATTTCAAATGTATGTATGTATATATTTCAAAATTACATGAAACTACAAAGATGTCTAATATCGTGTTTGCTTTTGTAAAACTAACTATAAGGAATGTGCCCTTGAAGAATATAAAAAAGTATATAAACTTAATTCAAAGTCTATGATTTTGTAGGGAAGTTTCTAGTTGGAAGAAAATATTATTTGAAACAGTTTTTTAAAATTTTTCCTTTTTTCCTTTTTTTTTTTTTTTTGTAGCTAGGACTACAGGTGCATGCCATGACACCCAGCTAATTTTTTGTATTTTTAGTAGATACAGGGTTTCACCATATTGGCCAGGCTGGTCTTGAACTCCCGACCTCAGGTGATCCGCCCACCTCAGCCTCCCAAAGTGCTGGGATTACCGATGTGAGCCACTGCACCCAGTGTACATTTTTTATTTTAAAAAATACAGAGATAGGGGTCTTGCTATGTTGCCCAGGCTGCTCTCGAATTACTGGCCTCATACAGTCTTCCCACCTCGGCCACCCAAAGTGCTAGGATTACACTTGTGAGCCACCATGCCCATCTTGAATGCATTTTGAGAGATATAGAGAATCATAGTTTTATAAGGCAATGTTTTCTCTTTTGGTTTGTCTTTCTTTTCTTTTCTTTTTCTTTTTTTTTTTTTTTTTTTTTGAGACAGGGTGTCATTCTGTCCTCTGTCACCCAGGCTGGAGTGCAGTGACATGATCACGGCTCACTGCAGCCTTGACCTCCTAGGGTCAAACAATTCTTCCACCTCAGTCTCCCAAGTAGCTGGAGGCGTGCACCACCATGCCTGGCTAATTTTTTTTTTTTACTTTTTGTAGAGACAGTGTCTTGCCATGTTGACCAGGCTGGCCTCAAATTCCTGGGTTCAAGTGATCCTCCCGCCTCCCAAAGTGTTGAGATTACAGGTGTGAGCCACTATACCTGGCCAAGGCAATGTTTTTATTTCAAAATACAGACACACAGGGCTGGGCGCAGTGGCTCACGCCTGTAATCCCAGCACTTTGGGAGGCCGAGGCAGGTGGATCACGAGGTCAGGAGATCGAGACCATCCTGGCTAACATGGTGAAATCCTTGTCTCTACTAAAAATACAAAAAAATTAGCCGGGTATGATGGCGGGCGCCTATAGTCCCAGCTACTCGGGAAGCTAAGGCAGGAGAATGGCGTGAACCCGGGAGGCGGAGCTTGCAGTGAGCCGAGATCACGCCACTGCACTCCAGCCTGGGCGAGAGCCAGACTCCGTCTCAAACAAACAAACAAACAAAAATACAGACACAGAGTTTGAAAACTGCTGGCTTCACTAGAATAATTGTTAGTGGAGGTTGTGTTGTCAAAGAATGATCCCAGGGGTATCTGAAATTTCTACAAACTCCAGAAAAGTCAGGTGCCCCTACAGCATGTGGCCTGAAAGAAATTATCTTCCCAAAAGCAGAAGTCTCTCAGATGTGTGATACTGGGCATCCCCATACTCAGAGAGCACAACACGAAAGGTTATAGTTTTTAAACTCATGAGTAAGTCAACAGGATTTCCTTAATTTTTTCTCTTACTAAAATGATAAAAATACAACAGGAAAAAAAATTTATTGAAAGCAGGATTGGCTGGGCATGGTGGCCTATAATCCCAGCACTTTAGGAGGCCTGGGCAGGAGGATCGCTTGACCAGGAATTCCAGATCAGCCTGGGCAACATAGTGAGACACCTCCAATCTCTACAGAAAAAAATTTTTTTTAATGAGCCAGGTGAAGTGGCACCCTCCTGTAGTCCCGGCTGCTTAGGAGGCTGAGGTGAGAGGATTGCTTGAGCCCAGAAGTTTGAGGTTGCAGGGGGCTATGATTGCAGCACTGCACTCCAGCCTGGGAGACAGAGTGAGACCCCATTTCTAAGAAAAAACAAAGTAAGCGAGCAAGCAAGCAAGAAAGCAGGCAAGTGAAAAAGCAGGATTCATGGACTCCAAACTCCCTAGATCCCCTTGGCTGAAAGCCTTCCTTGTACCACTAATTACATTAAATGCTGGACATGCAAGTTGGACAATACATATTCCCTCTTGGGGATTAGCTTAGTGTAAAAGAGACATAAGAAAAAACAATTACAGGCTGCGTGTGGTAGCTTACACCTGTAATCCAAGCACTTTAGGAGGCCAAGCGGGTGGATCCCTTGAGCTCAGGAGCTCGAGACCAGCCTGGACAGTATAGCAAAACCCTGTCTCTAAAAAATATACAAAAATTAGCCGGGCATGGTGGCGCGTGCCTGTAATCCCAGATACTCGGGAGGCTGAACCACAAGAATCTCTTGAATTCAGGATATTACAGTGAGCTGAGATCAGGCCACTGCACTCCAGCCTGGGCAACAGAGTGAGGCTCTGTCTCAAAAAAAAAAAAAAAAAAGAAAAGAAAGAAAAAGAAAAAATTACAATGGTATTTGCACTTGTTTGGTTGTGGATTGTGCAATGAAAACAGAGGCCCAAAAGATTCTCTTTTCTCATTGTTGTTGATGTATTTATTAATATGTTCAATTTATTGGATTTTTTAAATAAATGATGAATGCCCTTTAAACAAGTTCAATGATACAGAGATGTAGAAACAGTTAATAATCTCTATAGAAATCCTTATTACCCTCCAGGCCCAGAGATATGCCACTTATGTCATGAAGCTGTTCATCCCAGGCTCTTTTGGATGCTTATGACACTTCGTAGCACTCATATGACACTTTAAGTGACATAGGAACTTGGGAACTTTGAGGACAATTGAAAGCATCAAAGGTATTCAGCAGCCAGGTGCGGTTGCTCACGCCTGTAATCTCAGCACTTTGGGAGGCAGGCGAATCACTTGAGGTCAGGAGTTTGAGACCAGCCTGGTCAACATGGTGAAGCCCCGTCTCTACTAAAAATACAAAAATTAGCTGGGCGTGGTGACGCGCGCCTGTAAGTCCCAGCTACCTGGGAGGCTGAGGCCTGGGAGGCAGAGGTTGCAGTGAGCTGAGACTGCGCCACTGCACTCCAGCCTGGGCGGCAGAACAAGATTCTGTCTGAAAAAAAAAAAAAAAAAAAAAAAAGGAATTCAGATCGTGACAAGTAATCCATAAGGTTCACACATGAGAACGTTAAGAGAAAAGAATGGAAAACCAGAGTGGGAGCGTAGGACCTGGAGTTCCAGGTCAAGGACTCTAGACTCTATTCCATGTGGTGTTTCAGTGGACTATCCACATAAATAAGCACTGCTCTAGAATGGCAATGGTGCATAGCTTTGGAGTAGGCAGAGCGGAGACTGGGAGAGCTGGAAGGATAGTCAGGAATAAGAGGTCATTGAGGCCTGGGTCCTGGCAGCAGCAATGAAATGAAAAATGATTTGACAGCCTGGGCAATATAGTGAGACCCCTGTCTCTACAGAAAAAAAAATTGACCAGGCACAGTGTCTCAGGCCAGGTGCTCCCAGCACTTTGGGAGGTCAAGGCAGGAGGATCTCTTGATCCTAGGAATTCAAGACAGGCCTGGGCAACATAGGGAGACCCTGTTTCTAAAAAAAAATTACAAAATAAAAATTAAATTAAAAAAAATTAGCCAGGAGTGGTAATACCTGCTGTAGTCCCAGCCATTCAGCAGGCTGAGGTGGGAGGACCATTTGAGCCCCTAAGGTCAAGGCTGCAGTGAGCTGTGATCATGCTAATGCACTCCAGCATGGGCAGCAACAGAGAGAGCCCTTGTCTCAAAAACAAACAAACAAACAAACAAACAAAAAACAGTGATGTGAAACATGGGGGAGAGTCAGCAGAACTTCATCAGTGATTTGGATGTGAGTATGGGAGAGATTAGGAACCTCTCATTACTCTGTGGTTGGGTGGAGAAGGAATAGTGGCAAAAATTAATGAGAATTCAAGAGGAAGACTGGTTTGGGGAGGAAGATGGTAAGTCTGGATTGGGTTTTATTGCCTGTAAGATGCTAGTAGGTCATGAAAGTGGAACTCTCGAGTTCCTTGCTAAGGTGTGGTCCGCAGAGCAGCAGCATGTGATCCCCCAGGAACGTGTTAAAAATGCGGTGCTCGAGACAGCTGGCCTGCTGAATCAAATCTGCGTCATAAACCTGCACTTGTTAAACCGTGGTCTCTGACTTAACATCACACTGCTGAGGAAATCACCAAACTTCCTATACTCCGGTCATTAAAGCTTCTAGGATTTTTTTGTTTTTTTTTGAGACAGAGTCTTACTCTGTCACTCAGGCTGGAGTGCAGTGGCACAATCTCAGCTCACTGCAGCCTCAACTTCTCAGGCTCAAGAGATCCTCTCACTTCGGCCTCCTGAGTTGCTAAGACTTGGTTAATTTTTTGTACTTTTGTAGAGACAGGGGTCTTGCCATGTTGCCCAGGCTGGTCTTGAACTCCTTGGCTCAAGCGATCCACCCCACCCGCCTCGGCTTCCCAAAGTGCTGGGATTACAGGCATAAGCCACTGTGCCCAGCCAGCTTCTAGTATTTAGGGTGTGTTTTGCAGATGTGGTTACTGCAAAGGAGCTGCAGAAGAAATAGATTTGTAAAGTTTGCATGAGATCCTTCAAAAAATTCTGCCTGTAGGCCGGACGCAGTGGCTCACGCCTATAATCCCAGCACTTTGGGAGGCCGAGGCAGGCAGATCACCTGAGGTCAGGAGTTCGAGACCAGCATGGCAAACATGGTGAAACCCCAACTCTACTAAAAATACAAAAATTAGCCAGGTGTGTGGCAGGCACCTGTAATCCCAGCTACTCAGGAGGCTGAGCCAGGAGAATCACTTGAACCCGGGAGGCGGAGGTTGCAGTGAGCCAAGATCGTGCCACTGCGCTCCAGCCTGGGTGACAGAGCAAGACTCCATCTCAAAAAAAAAAAAAAAAAAAAAAAAAAAAATTCGGCCTGTAAAGGCTACCCAAGGCAAAGGACACCTGTGGACCACGCATACAGCTGGGCCATAGCTGCTGACTCATCTGCCTGATGCAGCACTCAGTTGCTCTGTATTTCACACATTTCTCTCTGTATTTAAGAGCAGCTATAATAATATCAAAGAGAAAATTACTTATAGAAGTTTTAAAGAACATGTCAAATTTTAAGAATTTACATATAGATATTAAATAATAAGTGAGAATTTGGGTAGACTAGCATAATTATAAAATGAATATCTTATTCTCAAAACTCTTCATGTTTTAAATATGATGTTTTCATCTTAATTGCAAAAGTCTGTTCCTAAAACTCACCACAAAACAGACATCTATGTGTGAGAAATCATTTCCTAGTCTCACAAAGAAAAAAATCATAACTATGACATTTTCTAATATGTGGTTTATACAAATGCATAGACAATCCTTTCCTGTTCCGTTTGTTCCTTTTTTAAAATCAGATATATACAGATACTATACTATAGTATAGTACACACTGTACTACACTCACTCAATGCAACTTCTGCCTCCCGGGTTCAAGCAATTCTCATGCCTCAGCCTCTCCAGTAGCTGGGACTACAGGCATGCGCCACCATGCCCAGCTAATTTTTGTATTTTTAGTAGAGACGGGGTTTCACCATCTTGGCCAGGCTGGTCTCGAACTCCTGACCTCAAGTGATCTGCCCGCCTCGGCCTCCCAAAGTGCTGGGATTACAGGCGTGAGCCACCATACCCGGCCAACACACATTTCTGGATGTTAAAATTTAATCGAAATCCTCAACAAGAGGGAAAAAATCAGAAGTGACTTTCATTTGTAGAATGTGCAAAAGCAATATGTTTACCAATGGTGGGGTGAGGGGCCTTGTAAAATGATCTGTAAATAAAATGTTCCTACTCCACGGACTGCTTAAATCAGAAGCAGAGTTATTAGGATGAACCACAGGAAACTCCCATCTTCATAGGTCAAACTGGTCAATTATTGGTCAAATATTGTCAGTTTTATATGGTTCAGCCTCTACTGTAATTAAGCGTTTTCTTATGTGTCACCCTATGCAGTAACTGGACAATAAAGTAGAAAGCAAAGCAAACGGTGTACGAGTAGGATTTTTTTCTTTCATGTGGTTGGTTTTCAGTGTTGCACTGCCTCTGTAATGCTGTTGCTTCACTGACTTTCTTAATGATAACTCTGTAACTTGACTGCCAAGAAAGAAACTCAATTGTGATGAGCCATTGGTTACAGTGCCCTTGTCTGATAATTGCTCCAATCATCAGAAAAGAGTTGACAGATAGTGTGACAGGTTGGAAATCAGCCCCACAGGAAAAACATTTTTTTCTTTAGCTTACTGGAAATGTACATATGATGTCTCCGCTTGCTGATTATGCCTTCTTTGTACTGAAACTCTAAAAACCTAAAATGCAAAGACCTAAGGGTAAAAGGCTATCTCACTGTTTCAAATCTGTTGCCAAAAAAAGCTGACCTGACACAAATAAGAAGCAAACTATGTTTATGTTCAAAATGTCTTATTTCATGTAATCAAATTTGGAATGCATGGCTAATTCATGCCTCTTGCCTTAGGGCTAATTTTGTATCATGACAATGTAATGAGAAGAATAAATTATCCAACAATTATAGGGAAAAAATAATGTTATCTGGGAGTTTTTAAAGGAGATAATATATACCTCACATTTTAAATTATTTTATAAAACCTTAAGTAGTCAAACAAGGGCCAGGAAAATCGTCCAAGTGAATTATTTCCAAGTTTAAAAAAATTAAAAGAATGAACAGGAAATTAAAAATGGGTGCCATGGTTTAGTGGTTACATTATTACAATACCTTAAAAATAGCACAGTGATGGACATATAATAAACACTCAAGAATTGTAACAACTGTTATTATTACTACTATCACTACTAACACCAACATTACCATGACTATTAATAATATTATTGACCAGGTAGAGTTGCCTTTGAAATAATAGTTTCACTTATTTTATTTCTATGTATTTCAAAAAGTGTCAATTTGGTTACAGATTTCTTTAGTTAGATCAAGAGTAAAGATGTTTTATTCTGCAATAAATTACAAAATTAAATATGTATGCAATGCCTAATCTTATACGGTGCTATAGTAAACATTAATATAATTTGTACAAAATTGGCATCTAAAAATCTGGATTTGAGTGTGGGTTCTGTTACTAATTGTTAACCACGGAGAAGTTGCTTAAAGTCTATGAAACTTAGTTTTCTTATCTGTAAAATAGGGCTAATTATAGTAGCAATAATAATAGCTAACGGTTAGGATTTAATGCTTCCTATGTGCGAGGGAATTTTCTAAGAATTTTATATACATTAACTCACTTGCTAATACTTCCCATAATGCCTAGCATTAATTTAGTAAAAGAAGATTGAGCTGTCAGTCTCCGTTTGCCTTCCACCACTGGCCCTTCTCTGCCAGGAAGCTGACTCCTGCAAATAGATCACTTGGGCTTCCTTGACACCTGACTTTCAGCTGGATTCAGACAGAGGAAGGTACCAACAGGAGATTAGAAGCTAGCAGGAGACAGAGGCAGAGCTATGTCTCTCCCTTTGCTCCCTGAGCTAGCAACTCTATTCTAATGTGTGTGTTTGAGGAGGGAGAGAGATCCCTAAGACTAGACCTCTCGCCAAACATTCTGGAAACATAGGTCCTCTTCTAACTGGACTCAGTGAACACAACATCCTTTTTTTGCCTCTTTATGCCCAGGGTGGTAAACACTTCCTGCTGTTGCTAGTTTCTTGGTACCTAAACACCCGTCTCTAGTACCCTTATCATAGCTAGGTAAGTAGTTCCTTCATTAAAGTATCTTGATTTGACCCCTATGAGGGGAATACTCTTTCTTGCTGGGACCCTGACTTTTTTAGGGACTGCATATTTTAGTATTTCAGTCAACTACTTGTTACTCAATATAATGGTAACTTAAGAGTTTTTTTTTTTTTTAATGAATCAGTATGTCAGGGAATATAATTTTGCTTTTCAATAGTTTAAGAAACCAAATGTTTCTAACTTGAATGAGTTCACTATTTTTTTTAAATAAACAAACAAAAAATCTTTCATTTGGTTCACACTTCAGGGAAAGGATATTTTAGATTCAGTTTAGTTTCTGAGCATAACCAATTAGCCTGGTATATCCCAGTTAAATGGTTCATGGTTTGGTTTGGTTCAGGTTAAGCATAAAACCCTGACATTGTGGAAAAGGTCAGTTGGAATATATGTGTTTCCCTGAGTGGGACAAATGCACACTCTAATTATGGGGATATATTCCTAGGATGGTAGAAACTTAATGTCATCCTAGTAATAAAATTATTCTCAGTTAAGTGAACGGCTCATCAACCACTGGCGTTCTTAATGTGTGTGGTTCAGCTTCCCAAACAAGATCAGTAATAGGGCGTGGCAGAGAGCACCTGTAGTCCCAGCTACCAAGAGGCTCAGGTAGGAGCCTCTTGGATTTATTGAGCCCAGGTGTTCAAGACCAGCCTGGGCAACATAGCAAGACTCCCTCCCATTAAAACAATCAACAGCAAACCATGTACACCTCTTTTCTAAGTGCTTCTCCACCCTCCACCCTCCACCTTCTCCCCTTAAATTAATTCCTTTCCAATTAGATTTGTCTTCCTCAAAGTATGGGCCCCAGACAATCTGGGATTTGTCAGAAATGCAAATTCTTAGGCTCCACTGCAGATCTTCTACTAAATGAGAAATTCTGGGTTAGGGCCCAGCAATCTGTGGCTTAACAAGCCCTCCAGGTGACTATAATGCACTATAATGTTTGAAAACCACTCAGTTACATGTTTCTTGAAGTCCGATCCTATCTATCTAGTATTTCTGTGTTGGAATTGGGTTCCACTCAAAGATCATGCTGATATTATTAATTTCATGTGTGTGTGAGTGACAAAATAACAGGGACAATTGATGGCATGCCCAAAGACATAAGTGTTTGAACTCCAGAGCTAAGATTCCTAACCGCTAAGCTAGAATGCTCCCCTAAAGGCTGCGCAGAAGCAATAATGAAACCCATGCAAAACTCAAGGAAAAACTAGTCGCATAAACTTTTTAACCCTCAAACACCCGTAATCTGATAATGCAGTATCTATTTATGATAATACATGTTTGCTTCATTATTTTTATCCAGTTGAAAAGGCCAAGACGTAATTTTACTAATACACATCTAAATTTTCAAGCACAAGTTCCTGGTTACCCTGTAACTAAATAACTTCTCACATTTTGGCTATTGAAAGCCAGTTTCTTTGCTTAATGAAAACCAGGCAAAGCTGCACACATACAGTGCAGCTACAGTCTGTGATAAAGCCATGGACACCTCGTTCCGAGCATTCCAAATGTGTTTAATTGTATCTTTTGGCTTTCATATTTCTTTTTTCTAGGACAATAGGTCTGTTTTAGTTACATATTTTTTTTGCCTGAAGTCAGATCTCACAGCTTCCGGTGAAAGGCACAAAATGGTCAGGAAGAGCAGGGTTGGAGGTGGGTGGGAGTTGATTTCTAATCTAGGGATTCCCTTAGTCGGAAGCTAATGATGATTCACAACGCAGGCACATCTTTAATCTCACAATGAATAATGTATAATGGTTTACAGAAAGATTTAATAAAAGATCCCTATGTTCCAAAGCAAGTAATTTGGGAGTTATGCTAGTTCCTCCCTCTCTCGCCCCCAAACACAATCTGTCACCAAGCCCTACTGATTCTAGCTGCCAAACCATTCTCAAACCTGTTTTATCCTTTCCATTCTCATTACAACTGCCTTAATTTAGGACCTAGACTCTTAATTGGACTTCCTTTCTCTTGCTCCCTTTTGCTTCATTGTCATGCCAACTACAAAAAACTTTTCTTAATATCATATCGCTTCCCTATTTTAAATGTCTCCAACACCCACCCGATTAAGTCATTAGCAGGCATACCTCCTACCTCATCTTGTTGCTCAATCAATATTCTAGCAATTTGCTGTACAAGCCAATCTGTTTCATACCTTCTAGGCTTTGCTTTCCAGCCATTTCCTCTGCCTGGAATTCCCTTTCTCCTATGCCAAGAGGGAAATACATTATATTTTCTTCAACATCCAGCTCAAAGGCCACCTCCTCTAGGGAGTCTTCCCGGTTCCATGACCAGAAATTTCTCCATCCCTTGCCATCCCTGTGCCTTGTACATAATCTCATAATCCTTCACATAATTATCATTATTTTAACAATTTTTTTTTTCTTGAGATGGAGTCTTGCTCTGTCCCCGGGGCTGGGGTGCAGTGGCGCGATCTTGGCTTGGTGCAAACTTCGCCTCCTGGGTTCAAGTGATTCTCCTACCTCAGCCTCCTGAGTAGCTGGGCTTGCAGCGCCAGCCACCACACCCGGCTAATTTTTGTATTTTTAGTAGAGACAGGGTTTCACCATGTTGGCCAGGCTAGTTTTGCACTCCTGACCTCAAGTGATCTGCCCACCTCAGCCTAAGTGCTGGGATTACAGGTGTGAGCCACCATGCCCCGCCCATCACATAATTACTTTAGCTACTTATTTATATGTCTTGTTTAATGTGAATTTCTGGACAGTTCCACACAAGGCCTGACGTAAAATAGGTACACATAATTTAAGAAATAATTGCATTCATCAATACCACATAGTATGTTAAATGCTATCAGACACGATACAACTGGAAAAGTTTTGCGTCTCATGCAGATGTTCTGAAGAGCCAGATAGTTGAAGTTGAATGATACAGCTTTACCACCTGTCACCTGCAGCAGTTGCTTATTCTTGTCTTTAGTTACAGAGTAAGAGAAAAAATTGCTTTAACTACCATAAAAATCTTCCTATTCCTGAAATTATATCTGTACAACATAAAGGAATCATAAAGAAAAGCCAGCTGAGCACCTACTTTTGCCTTATTCTGTTCTAATTACATGTTTTAGGGTGTCTAACCCTGGTATGTCTAGGTGTATCTAAGAATTTTGATTTTGAAGATGCACTTGAACTGACCACGTTCTTAGGCATAACCACTAACCTCAAAAGTCAAAGTATAGCGTGGGCATGGTGACTCATGCCTGTAATCCCAGCACTTCGGAAGGCCAAGGCGAGGGTATTGCTTGAGACCAGGAGTTTGAGATCAGCCAGGGTGAGACCCTCTCTCTTCAAAAAATTAAAAGAAAAATTAGCCAATGTGGTGGCACATGCCTATAGTCCCAGCTACTCAGGAGGCTGAGGTGGGAAGATTTCTTGCTTCCAGAAGGTAGAGGCTGCAGTGAACCATGATTGCACCACTGCACTCCAGTCTGGGCAACAGGGTGAGACCCTGTATCAAAAAAAAACAAACAGGCCAGGTGCAGTGGCTCATGCCTGCAGTCCCAGCACTTTGGGAGGCTGAGGCGGGTGGATCACTTGAGGCCAGGAGTTTGAGACCAGCCTGGCCAACATGGCGAAACCCTGTGTCTTCTAAAAACACAAAAATTAGCCAGTCCATGGTGGTGCATGCCTGTAATCCCAGCTACTCAGGAGGCTGAGGCATGAGAATTGCTTGAACCTGAGAGGTTGCAGTGAGCCGAGATTGTGTCACTGCACTCCACTCTGGGCGACAGAGTGAGACTCTGTCTCAAAAAACAAACAAAACTCGTACAAACAAAAATCAAAATTCAAAGTATAAAAGCTCAAGGTATAAAACAAAATGCTAATGTATTAACTAACAATAAAAGATATAGACCCGTGCAAAGATCTTGCTATTCCTATCCACTCATGCCTAAGCAAGAGTTAAGTTAGAAGTCAGAAGTTTGGCCGGGCGCGGTGGCTCATGCCTGTAATCCCAGCACTTTGGGAGGCCGAGGTGGGCGGATCACGAGATCATGAAATCGAGGCCATCCTGGCTAACACCATGAAACCCCGTCTGTACTGAAAATACAAAAAATTACGTGGGCGTGGTGGCAGGCGCCTGTAGTCCCAGCTACTCAAGAGGCTGGGGCAGGAGAATGGCGTGACCCGGGAGGCGGAGCTTGCGGTGAGCCAAGATCTCGCCACTGCACTCCAGCCTGGGTGACACAGCGAGACTCCATCTCAAAAAAAAAAGAGAGAAAAAAAAGAAACTACTAGTCTTATGAGACATTTCTTCCAACCCAGAGAAAAGCAAGGTGAACTATTCCTGTCCTCACTGTAACAGAGCACACTGATTCTCCAGGGCCTGGATGCACTGTGTCGGGTAGAGTGAATGACTCTTTCTCCTGGACAATGCAGGAGCATTACTAAATATCTTTCTAGGAGAGATGGATTTTGTCATCTCCATTGCCTAGGTTCTGGCCTTCTGCTAACATTTTTTTTTTCTTAATTCAGACAGTGCGTAATAAACAGTGACCTCAGAACTCACCCCCTTTCACTCTTGACTTTCCTAACCACTTTTGCAACTTGGCCTTTTTGTCTTGTCCTGTCCTTGGTATCCTAGTTATGATTATCACTTCTTCTCCATCACCTTACCGGTAGACCAGGCAATAAGGCAGTCATAGTGATAAAATTCGGATGGTTGCAGTTTTCTCAGGCATTCAATTATGGTCTGTCTCATCTGTAGAAGACAGGTCCCATCTTCAATATTTTTATCCTTTCTGGCTTTCTCCTTAGAGAATAACATTCTGGGAGTACCTAACAGTAGTTCCCTAGATACTGACTATACTTAACATGATGGTCTTGACAACTACTGCTGTCCCAAGATATTTTTTTAAAGGAAGAGGAAAAATTAGACATGATGAACTGAATCTTTCTCATACTGACTCTTCAAAACACTTCTGCTTCCACTCAAAAGCTGAAGATGGGGCTGGGTGCGGTGGCTCACGCCTGTAATTCCAGCACCCTGGGAGGCCGAGATGGGTGGATCATTTGAGGCCAGGAGTTCAAGATCAGCCTGGCCATCATGGCAAAAACCCATCTCTACTAAAAATACAAAATTAACCAGGCATGGTGGCGGGCACCTGTAATCTCAGCTACTTGGGAGGCTGAAGTAGAAGGATCACTTGAACCCAGGAGGCGGAGGCTGCATTGAGCTGAGATCGCACTAGTACACTCCAGCCTGGGTGACAGAGCAAGACTCCATCTCAAAAAAAAAAAAAAAATGCTGAAGATGGGAGGTGACCCTCATAAGGTTATAAGGAATAGAAGAATTACTCCCTGCCAGAGGCTAGAAAAAGAGCTCTGTTCATATAATCTTCCTGCAATTTCCTGCAATGATTTTCCATGGTTGCAGAGGCTTAGGAGAGAATGTATATACAGGCATTGTCTGTGTTGTTCAAGATGTGACTTCCTTTCTTCCTTTTTTTTTTTTTTTTTGTTGTTTTCTTTTGAGACAGTTTCGCTCTTTTTGCCCAGGCTGGAGTGCAATGGTGCGATCTCGGCTTACTGCAATCTCTGCCTCCTGGGTTCAAGTGATTCTCCTGCCTCAGCCTCCCAAGTAGCTGGGATTACAAGTGCCTGCCACCATGCCCAGCCAATTTTTTTTTTTGTATTTTTAGTAGAGATGGGGTTTCACCATGTTGACCATGGTCTCGATCTCTTGACCTGGTGATCCGCCCACCTCGGCCTCCCAAAGTGCTGGGATTACAGGTGTGAGCCACCGTGCCCGGCTTTTTTTTTTTTTTTCTACTCATAAGATGCCTGGTTTTTTGTCCAAGGTTGGCCATAATTATTCATGACCTTGAAGAGCATAACTTGTGCATTATCTCTCACGACTGTATACAGGAATATTAAAAAAACTTGGTCTTGATCTACTATACACATATAAACCAATTTCAGCTCCCAAAAAGAAATAAATTATTCAACGTATTTTTTAAAGTTTTAAAATTCTGGCTGGTGAGTTTGGGGCACATTTCTGAAATGTGATTCTAATTATTTATATAATACAAAAAAAAAGCTAAGCCTCTTTCAGTGTATGACTCACAACTTTTTTTCTACCCACATATAACTTTTAAAATCATCTTTACATAATATCAGCATATTCTGGTGCTTAACTATATTATAGCTGGCCACTTAGAAGAATTAAATAAATCTCTCAGTTGCTCCTGTGAGGATCATTTGTTTTGTGAACTCTTTTCTTTTCTTTTCTTTTCTTTTCTTTTTTTAGACAGAGTCTCACTCTGTTGCCCAGGCTGGAGTGCAGTGGTGCGATCTCGGCCCACTGCAATCTCTGCCTCCTGGGTTCAAGCGATTCTCCTGCCTCTGCCTCCTGAGTAGCTGGGACTACAGGCGCCCACCACCACGCCTAGCTAGTTTTGTATTTTTAGTAGAGAAGGGGTTTCACCATGTTGGTCAGGCTGGTTTTGCACTCCTGACCTCAAGTGATCCACCCGCCTTGGCCTCCCAAAGTGCTGGGATTACAGGTGTGAGCCACCACACCTGGCTTTGTGGGCTCCTCAATAGATTTACTCAACCCCGACACCTGGATTCCTGATTCTTTATCCTTCTCATCATAAAATAGGAAGACTGTACTTCTGTGCAGGGCATCACACAGACGACACTGCAAGGAAGTGGGCCTTATTGTTAAAAAGTTTACAATTTTGGGCCGGGTGTGGTGGCTTACACCTGTAATCCCAGCACTTTGGGAGGCCAAGGCAGGTGGATCACGAGGTCAGGAGATCGAGACCATCCTGGCTAACACGGTGAAACCCCGTCTCTACTAAAAAATACAAAAAATTAGCTGGGCGTAGTGGCGGGCTCCTGTAGTCCCAGCTACTCCAGAGGCTGAGGCAGGAGAATGGCCTCAACCCAGGAGGCGGAGCTTGCAGTGAGCCGAGATCGCGCCACAGCACTCCAGCCTGGGCCACAGAGCAAGACTCTGTCTCAAAAAAAAATGTTTACAATTTTACGAAGTACACTGACATGTAACATATGAACAGCAAAATAAGTAGAATGGGTGGGGCACAGGGGTTCATGCCTGTAATCCTAGCACTTTGGGAGGCCAAGGTGGGTGGATCACCTGAGGTCAGGAGTTCGAGACCAGCCTGACCAACATGGTGAAACCCTGTCTCTACTAAAAAATACAAAAAGTAGTCGGGTGTGGTGGTGTGTGCCTGTAGTCCCAGCTACTCGAGAGGCTGAGGCAGGAGAATCGCTTGAACCCAGGAGGTGGAGGTTGCAGTGAGCGGAGATTGTGCCACTGCACTCCAGCCTGGGCGACAGAGCGAGACTCCATCTCAAAAAATAAATAAATAAATAAGTAGAATGTCACTATAAAATTAGTAAATTAGATTTAGGATGTTTATATTAGGGATAAGTAGCTTGAGGGTTAATAAAAATAGATGAGGCAGATTGCACTGACTTCCATGTGCAGAATGAGGAGCAGTATAATCCAGTGGTGAAGAAAGTGGCAAAGGGGCCAGATAAGCCTGGGCTCATCTTCCAGCTCTAAAGTTGGCTCCCCATGCCATTAGTTAGGGGACCATGTCCTATGGACCTTGGGCATTTATGATCTAAGCCTCCATTTCCTCATCTGTAAAACTGGGTTAATAATCCTCACTTTAGTGTTTATTGAGGTGATTAAATGATGCAAATCCGGTAAAGCATTGAGCACAGTGCCCGCACATAGTGAGAGCTCAACAAATAGTTTTGTTTTAGAATTACAGCACTTTGTATTTATTCAAAGCATTTTCAGATACATCATCTTATTGATCTGAGCCTTAATTCTGTAAAGATCATGAGGCAGGTATTATACACCTCTTGTACCTCTACACGCACACACACCCCCCCCACCCCTTCCGGTTCTGGACAGACACAGAAAGTTCAAGAGTCGTTCAAGTTAGTGATAGAGCTGGTATTACAAGAGTCAATAACACTGGTCTTTCTCCCTCCTATCTCACTGAGTAGGGAGGACATCCATATGTGTTCCCAGGTTCAGGCAGAGTGGCATCATGTCAACAACTACTGTTCTATTTCTGTGGTACAGTGTTCATGGAATAGAAAAAAAAATGCTATTTTCTTAATGGCTTGAAAAAACTTTATAGACAACTTAAAAGACGTCAAGGGCTCTTTGAGTGGCAGAGAAAAGGTGACTTTTAGATGAGGTGAAGGATTGGTACTTAGCCCTGCTTGGGGAACAAGCTCACCAGAAGTAAGGGATTTTAATCAAAACTGCCTGGGAAGAGGAGATATATTTCAATTTCTTCTGAAACTAAAGGTATTATTTAGCTGCAGAATTGTGATAAAGATTACCTGGGGTAAAATGCATAAAGGAATGTATATATGGAGCCATGATAGAATCTGGGGATCTGGAAGCAAAGAAAATAAGAAAAATAATACAGCTCCATTCTCTTTCATTTTTATTACATTGCCTAAATTTACACTAATTAGGATTCATCTAGGTTAATAGGCAGTTGTGGATTTTTAAAGATGCACATAATTCAAAAGTTTACTTATCTGCCAGCCATTAATAGATTAATGTGTTGTTTAATCAGATTGCTTTCCTAACTTTTAAATGACACTGAAGAAAACATGGCCGGGCGCGGTGGCTCACGCCTGTAATCCCAGCACTTTGGGAGGCCAAGGCGGGTGGATCACGAGGTCAGGAGACCGAGACCATCCTGGCTAACACGGTGAAACCCCCGTCTCTACTAAAAATACAAAAAATTAGCCGGGCGTGGTGGCGGGCACCTGTAGTCCCAACTACTCGGGAGGCTGAGGCAGGATAATGGCTTGAACCCGAGAAATGGAGCTGGCAGTGAGCCGAGATCATGCCACTGCACTCCAGCCTGGGTGACAGAGCGAGACTCAGTCTCAAAAAAAATAAAATAAAGAAAACATTTTTTCACAGGGAGAGGAGGCAGGTAATCTGCGGGTAAAGAGCAATTGGAGAAGTAGACTAAATTGGGTTCAGTCAACTAATAGGTGCCTAAGTAACCTGGGAGAACACAGGACTTTCAGGGGAATGAGTTGCAGAAAGGGAGATGGCAGAGTCCTACAATTATTATATGGCAAAATAATTTTCCAGAATTATGCCTGTATCCAGAGAAGGTGTGGAAATATTTTTCTTCTTCACCTTCTTCTTACGTAAGGGGGGCCCTTAGTCTTCCTGTAACCTTATAACTAATGATATCACTCACTGTTATTTGATTATATAATGGTTAAACAGATATTTGTGGGCCGGCCTGAGTGGTTATATTAGTTCTAGGGGGAAATTATTCTTGAAGTGCTTTTTTTTTTTAATTTACCATGCCTCCAAGACAAGTTCATGTTTTGCCTTTTTTTTTTTTTTGAAAGGATGAAGGGATTTATCGAAAATGAACGTACACTCCACAATGTGGGAATGGGCCTAAGCATAGGGGCTCAAAGGCCCTGTTACAGAGTTTTTGTGAGTTTATATACCTGCTACTTGGGGTACGCCCTATGTAAATGAAGAGGATGAAGTAAAGTTTCAAATTAATTTACTCCGTACATGCCCTGTGGAGGGGATATTTGCTGTCATAGCTGAAGTATGAATCGGCCTTTTGTTCCCTGCCTCCACGCCCTATTTTACTGCCTCATCTCCCCTCTGAGAGATGTGATCCCCATAAATCTTTATGGGAGGCAGAAGGACCGATGGTCTTTTTTCTGTAACTGCTTCATGCTGGCTCCGGGTGTAGTCCCTACTTATTGGGGATTAAAGAACTCTCATCCTGCTCCAACTAGTGGAGGCAGGGTAGATTCCTGATGGCCAGTGGTGGTGTCTTTACCTGGAACTGGCTGGAACCTTTGTTGCATGATCATCTGAAGCTTGATGGTCTCTTTATGCTGGCATGCCAGGTTTCTGGGTTCTCTCTCCCTGAGCAGCCCTGGTGACCCTGCTCTTCCTCCTGGCTGGCTCTCCAAAATATGTTAACGGTGGAGGGTGTCCAGGTTCTTGGCATCTTGAACAAATGGCATCTTGAACAAAGAATTGGACAAAATGCACAAACAAACCGAGGAAGGGACGAAGGGAAACTGAAAATGAAAGTACACTCCATAGTGTGGAAGCAGGCCTGAGCGTAGGGCCTCAAAGGCCAATTTTTGAGACAGGGTCTTTCTCTGTAGCCAAGGCTGGAGTGCAGTAGCATGATCCTAGCTCGCTGCACCTTCTACCTTCCTGGGCTCAGGTGATCTTCCCACCTCACCCTCCTGAGTAGCTGGGACTACAGGTGTGTGCCACCAAGCCCAGCTAATTTTTGTATTTTTTGTAAAGACAGGATTTCACACTGTTGCCCAGGCTGGTCTCGAACTCCTGGGCTCACATGATCCACCTCCCAAAGTGCTGGGTTTACGATTCTTGAATTTTAAATAAATAGTATACAAATTAAATGTTTTAAACTTAGGAAGTGCTATGTCTCTATTAAATATATTGATATCGCAAGCTAATATCTTTACATTAGGAACAGGCAGTTATAATAATATCCTTTATTCCTCAGCTCTCTCCAAATTGGGTGCATGTCTTGATTTTCTACTGTTATTGGCCAGTATATT
This sequence comes from Homo sapiens, assembly GCF_000001405.40. Classification (NCBI taxonomy): domain Eukaryota; kingdom Metazoa; phylum Chordata; class Mammalia; order Primates; family Hominidae; genus Homo; species Homo sapiens. The sequence goes on from NC_000008.11 coordinate 80,433,156, forward strand.
TTTTGTATCACTGTAAATATTTAATGGAAAGGCAGTAGAAATAGATATATTTTATATTTTCTAAAAATAGTTTCAGTTGTTTAATTGCCCAAAATTGGTTAGAGGACTTGTTCCAAGTACAGAGTCTATCTGCTGAAAATATCTAATCTTCACAAAATACATTGTTGAACAAATTCACATATTTTGAAAATAGAACTGGACAGCAATGTCTATGGGGAATCCTTGCTAGTTATCAACCTATCCTAAAGTTGCTTGATTTCTCTTTCTTATTTTTATTTTTATTTTATTTTATTTTTTATACTTTAAGTTCTAGAGTACATGTGCACAACGTGCAGGTTTGTTACATATGTATACATGTGCCATGTTGGTGTGCTGCACCCATTAATTCGTCATTTACATTAGGTATATCTCCTAATGCTATCCGTCCCCCAGCCCCCCACCCCACGACAGGCCCCCGTGTGTGATGTTCCCCATCCTGTGTCCAAGTGTTCTCATTGTTCAATTCCCACCTATGAGTGAGAACATGCAGTGTTTGGTTTTCTGTCCTTGCGATAGTTTGCTCAGAATGATGGTTTCCAGTTTCATCCATGTCCCTACAAAGGACATGAACTCATCCTTTTTTATGGCTGTGATTTCTCTTTCTAAATATTCTATTTCTCCTGAAATTATTTGAAACTTCAAATGAAAATCTCCAAATATGCATGGCACCAAATTCAGCACAAAACTTATCAGAGCAAGTAGCATTTATTTGGCATTACTCTTTTCCTAACTGACCTCCTTCATTTTTCATTAAATTTATATCATGGTTACCAGATTTGTGAGTTAATTTGAGTCAGTTTCTAAAATACCACATTAACACAGAAGACATTTAAATACAAGGATTCAGAACAATAAGTAACACCTTGTTTTAGGCTTTTTCTTTCCACTTACACCATCTTGGTGCTAGTTACTATTATCTCTTTTCTTTTTTTGAAAGAGAGTCTCACTCTGTCGCCCAGGCTGGAGTGCAGTGGCACCATCTCAGTTCACTGCAACCTCCGCCTCCCGGATTCAAGTTATTCTCCTGCCTCAGACTCCCAAGTAGCTGAGATTACAGGCGCCCACCACCATGCCCGGCTAACTTTTGTATTTTTAGTAGAGACGGGGTTTTGCCATGTTGGCCAGACTGGTCTTGAACTCCTGACCTCAGGTGATCCGCCTGTCTCAGCCTCCCAAAGTGCTGGGATTACATGCGTGAACCACTGCGTCCTGCCTACTATAATCTCTTAATTGACATTTTACAATAACTTCTGAAACTGGTCTCTATTTCCAGTCTGCCATCTGCAATCAAATCTCAACACAGTAGCCAAAGATTTATTTTAAAATAAATCAGATGGTGTCACTTTTCAGCTTAAATTCCATTAAGTGCTGACTACTGCACTTAAAATAAAATTCAAACTTTTTACCACAGCCTATGAGGCTCTGCATGACTTAGCTTACCTCTTTTCTTGTTGTTCTTCCCCCTCATTTCTGTATTTCAGCACCACTGGCTTCTCGTGTTCCTCAAGGAAGTCCAATTTGTCCCCTGCCCAGTTCTTTGGCACTTGAAATCTTCATTAGGAGTGCCTGACTCCCATCTTTCCCAAATCTGGACCCTGCTCTTCTTCAGGTCTCAGAGTTCTCTGCCTACCTATGTCATGTCATCCCCAAGACCACCCAGTCCTTCTCTAGAATACTATCCTGTCTTATTTCCTTTGCAGCACGTGTTACTAACTACAATTATTTTATCTATTTATAGCTATCTCTCTGTTTGTCCTCCCTTCCCACTAGAATTTCAGCTCAATGAAAAATGGATCTTACCTTGTTCTTAGACACTATCACTTGGAATTGTTCCTGGTACATATAGCAGTTACTCAATAGGAGTTGATTTCTTGATATTTTAAACTCCTATAACCTACATTTTAGAATTTAAAGAAGGCCTCAAAGACTATTAAGTCTGACCTTTCTGTTATAGATAATACAAATGAGAGCACAGAGAGGTTAAATGACGTATTTGGCAAGTGAAAAGACAAGTACTAGAATCCAGTTCTAATTCCATAACTTCACACAGCTACTCTATTACAGCTAGTTAGCTAGTCACCCTGAATTCTTTCCCTAATTCTTCAGCTAGCTTGATCATATATCTCTTCTTTCCCTAGATAATTTTAAGCTATTGTTTTGTCCATTCATCATGGCTAATATAATTTATTTGTGAGTCTTATTAGCCTTCTTATTAACTCTATGAAGTGCTTTGTGATTCTAGTTATGAAAACTATCTTATGAAAATCAACCATCACATGTGAAAAAAGCCAGTCTACAGCAGTACTGCACACAGTGCCTATAACAAAGGCTCAGTTATGCTGTTGCAGGAGAGAGTCAATAATTAGTAACACATTTCTAAAGGTCTCTCTTGCATAATTTTTGTGTCCAGATGTCTATGACATTTGGGTTCTAAAATAGAGTTCCAAATACCACACATTCATGTACATTTTCCAAGAATAATTGGATGATTTTGAGTCTTTCTATTTAATAAACATCAGGACTAAAGATGGCCTACTTCACAATATCAAATTTATTCATTTTAAACATCCATTTTGATGTGGAAAGTGTTTGGCATAAATACAATTAAAAGAGTGCCGGATTGTAAATCCTTTGAAGTTTTTGTTTATGATCTATCTCTTCCAACTGCTAGTAGTGTAAAAATGGAATGTAATTTGCATAAAATTTTTCAATTCACATGTTCTTAGAGCTTAACTATTAACAATTCCCACAAAACACTCTGGTGGATCCCCATGGCTGGGGGTGCAAAGTCCAAGTGCCCTAATAAGGTACAAGCTCCCTTTCCTGCATCTGGTCCTGCCTACCTCTCAAGCGTCAACAGCTGCCACTCCCTTCCCAAAGTTTATGCTCCAGGAACACTGAGTTGCTTGTAATTCCTGGAACACAATGGAATGTTTCTTGTTTCCATGTCTTTCTGCATACTGTGCCCTTTCCACTTCACTCAGCTTGGTCCTATGCAATCTACAAGTTTCAGTTCATAGGCCACTTCCTGTAAGAAACTGTCTCTGATGTCCTCAAGTTGGGTGAGGGAGACTTAGAGTTTAACTTCCTCCCTGAGTTACAATGAATTATAACTAATTGTTTATGCATGTTTCCCAGTGGGCCATGGACTACTAAAAGGAGCTCATCTTTGCCTCCACAACATCTAGTAGGAGTTAAATAAAAGTTAAATGAGTCAGGTATATTGGTGTGCCTGTAGTCCCAGCTACTCTGGAAGCTGAGGTGGGAGGGTCACTTGAACTCAGGAGTTCAAGGCTGCAGTGAGCTATAATTGTGCCACTGCCCTCTAGCCTGGGCAACAGAGCAAGATCCACCCTTTCCCAAGAAAAAAAATTAAATTAATAAAAAATTTGCATAATAAAATTAAATCAGCAAAAAGCAAAGGCTGGACTTCAGTGATTACTAGGTGCGTGAAAAACCTCAGTTAACTAGAACTGAGTCAATTTGCTGAAATTTTGAAAGAAGAAGATTTACACTTTATGTTTTTTGTTTTTCTTTTGAGACAGAGTTTTGTTCTTGTTGCCCAGTTCTGGAGTGCAATGGCATGATCTCAGCTCACCACAACCTCCACTTCCCGGGTTCAAACAATTCTCCTGCCTCAGCCTCCCGAGTAGCTGGGATTACAGGCATGTGCCACCACGCCCAGCTAATTTTGTATTTTTAGTAGAGATGGGGTTTCTCCATGTTGGTCAGTCTGGTCTCGAACTCAGGTGATCTGCCCACCTCAGCCTCCAAAAGTGCTGGGATTACAGGTGTGAGCCACCGCCCCCAGCCTATACTTTATGATGTTGTTGTTGTTGTTTTCCTTTATATTTTTAAAAACAGTTTCAGTATTTCTTTTTTGCTTTTACCAAGGATCTCTTCTGTTGTTGTTGAGACAGAGTTTTGCTCTGTTGCCCAGGCTGCAGTGCAGTGGTGCAATCTTAGCTCACTGCAACCTCTGCCCCCCGGGTTCAAGTAATTCTCCTGCCTCAGCCTCCTGAGTAGCTGAGATTACAGGTATGCACCACCACGTCTGGCTAATTTTTGTATTTTTAGTAGAAACAGGGTTTCACCATGTTGGCCAGTCTGGTCTCGAACTCCTGACCTCAAGTGATCCACCCACCTTGGGCTGGGATTACAGCCATGAGCCACTGTATCTGGCCTCACTCATTCTTTCATTAATTTTAAAGAGATCCTTGGGCTGGGTGTGGTGGCTTACACCTGTAATCCCAACACTTTGGGAGGTCAAGGCGGGAGGATCAGTTGAGACCAGGAGTTCGAGACCAGCCTGGCCAACATGGTGAAACCCCATCTCTACTAAAAAACATAAAAATTAGCGGTGGTGCACACCTGTAGTCCCAGCTATATGGGAGGCTGAGGCAGGAGAATCTCTTGAACCGGGGAGGCAAAGGTTTCAGTGAGCCAAGATCGCACCACTGCATTCCAGCCTGGGTGACAGAGCAAGACTGTCTCAAAAAAACAAAAAAAAAGATGCTGTATATTTTTTAAATGAATATAGATATTTGAGATTAATAAAATATAAATATATTTAAAACAATACTTAATCCACAGAACTGATGTCATTATATAATATTACAATCTGCATATTAATGCATTCATTCAACAAATATCTATTGAGAACCCAGTATGTGCCAGGCCCTGTGAAGGTACTGGGAACTCAGTAGTGAACAAGCTAGAGGTAGTTCCTGTCCTCAGGGTGCTTATAGTCTAATAGGAGAGACAGACAATGAACAAACAGGTAATAATAAATGAGGTGACTCTTGTGAATAAAAAAAAAATCTGGAAAATATGTTAGAATAAAATAGGAGAAAATGAAACAGGTATTCAAATAAGGCCCTTCCAGAAAAGTAAGTTTTAGACTAAGATCTAAGGTCTAAGAAGCAGCTAGCACAGAAAGAGGTGGGGGAATAGCATTCTGAAGAGAGGGATCAGTATGTGCAAAGGCCTAGTTGAGGAAGAGCCGGGCTGGGTGTGGTGGCTCACGCCTGTAATCACAACACTTTGGGAGGGTGAGGCAGGTGGATCATGAGGTCAAGAGAGCGAGACCATCCTGGCCAACATGGTGAAACTGCGTCTCTACTAAAAATACAAAAATTAGCTGGGCAGGTGGCGCATGCCTATAGTCCCAGCTACTCGGGAGGCTGAGGCAGAAGAATCGCTTGAACTCAGGAGGCTGATGTTGCAGTGAGCCGAGATGGGCGCCACTGCACTCCAGCCTGGTGACAGAGCAAGACTCTAACTCAAAAAATAAATAAATAAATAAATAAAAAGAAGAAAAAGCCACATAGTCAGGCATGGTGGCTTGTGCTGAAATCCAGCTAATAGGGAGGCTGAGGCAGGAGGATTGCTTGAGGTCAGGATTTCAAGACAAACCTGGGCAAAACAGTGAGACTCTATCTCTTAACAACAAGACTGGGCTGGGCGCAGAGGCTCACATCTATAATCCCAGCATTTTGGGAGGCCGAGGGCAAGACAGCTGGATTGCTTGAGTCCAGGAGTTCAAGACCTGACTGGGCAACACGGCAAAACCCCATCTCTACTAAAAATACAAAAAAAAAAAAAAAAAAAAAAAAGAAAGGTCATGGTGGTGAGCATCTGTAGTCCCAGCTGAGGCAGGAGGATCTCTTGAACCTGGGAGGTGGAGGTTGCAGTGAGCCAAAATTGAGCCACTGCACTCCAGCCTGGGCAACACTGTAAGACCCTGTCTCAAACAACAACAACAACAACAACATCAACAACAGTAACATGGCTGGGTGTGATGGCTCACACCTGAAATCCTAGCACTTTGGAAGGCAGAAGCAGGAGGATCGCTTGAGCCCAGGAGTTTGAGACCAGCCTGGGCAAGATAGGGAGACCCCATCTCTATTTAAAAACAACAATGAGAACCTCATGTGTGGCTGGGCGCAGTGGCTCACGCCTGTAATCCTGGCACTTTGGGAGGCTGAGGTGGGCGGATCACGAGGTCAGGAGTTCGAGGCCAGCCTGGCCAACATGGTGAAACCCCGTCTCTACTAAAAACACAAAAATTGGCCACACGTGGTGGAGGATGCCTGTAATCCCAGCTACTTGGGAGGCTGAGGCAGGAGAATCACATGAACCCAGGAGGCGGTGGTTGCAGTGAGCCAAGATCGTGTCACTGCACTCCAGCCTGGGCGACAGAGTGAGACTCCATCTCAAAAAAAAAAAAAAGAAGAAGAAGAACCTCATGTGTTTGAGGAACTGAAATAGGGCCATTGTGGATGGATACAGCATGCTGGGCAAGACCAAATCATGCAGAGCGTGTGGGCCATTACAAGGGATTTCCTTCTAATCACAGTATGAAAAACGTGGACAGGGGTAGGCCAGTCACAGTCTATCTAAATTACTTCATGTAGTGCTGATTTATGTTGCATTTACATAATCACCTAATTTTATCAGATACTCAAATAGTATTTATGAAATTATTTTTCAGAATACAGAATAGAATATTGTCATACTGAACATCTTCTCAGAAAATGAACATTTATTTTAGTAGATCTAGTCAACTGTATATTGACAGAAGCTTGGCCCTTCAGGGTGCCCTCTCATCCAACCTTAAATGGATATTCACAGAGAAAAAGGGCTATTGACATAAGGATCCAGAAAGCAAAATTTTCTCTTTTTTTTTTCTCAGAGAGAGAGTCTCGCTCTGTCGCTCAGGCTATAGTACAGTGGCATGACCATAGCTCACTGCATCCCTGAACTCTTGGGCTCAAGTGATCCTCCCACCTCAGCCTCCACATGCCCCACTCCTAGCTATTTTTTTTATTTTTCTAGAAACCAGATCTCATCATCTTGCCCAGGCTGTTCTCGAACTCAAGAGATCTTCCCGCCGCAGCCTCCCAAAGTGCTGGGATTACAGGTGTGAGCCACTATGCCTGGCCTAAAATTTTTTCTCTTTAACTCTGGGCACACTGGTTCCAAAATGCAACATTCTCTCCAGTTGATTATTGTCCTGGCCATGAAATTCCAAAGGACTATGACCTGAGATCGAGCTGGGGGTGGAAGCAGATGCTTTTAGCTAGGGATGAATGTTGCTGTCTTCATACTTGAATTCTGGAAGATCACTCTACTGCTAGCTCTTTTATTCTCATTGTTCTTGCATAAGCTGAATTTTTGTGCCTCCAAGGTATTCTCCCAAATGAGGAGGAGGCTATGTTTCTATATCCTTTTGTGTTTGAAGGACAGTCTCAAACTCAAAATGAGAATATAGAGATCACACAAGCCAGACACAGAAAGACAAATACTGCATGATCTCACTCATATGTGGAATCTAAAAAAAAAAAAAAAAGTTGATATCAGAAGCAGAGAAGGGAACAGTGGTTGCCAGAGACTGGGGAGGGGGAGAAGAATGGTGGTATGGGGAGAAGTTGGTCAATAGGAACAAAGTTACAATTAGATAGAAAATAAATTCTGTACAGTTGGGTGACTATGGTTAATGGTAAAATATGTACATTACAAAATAGCTAAAGGAGAGGCCTTTGAATATTCTCATGACAAAGAAATGATAAATGCATAAGGTGATAGATGTACTAACTACCCTGACTAGATTATTAAACAGCATAGATATTTATGAAAACATGTACTATTACAATGTGTCAATTAATTTTTTCAAAAGAATATAGTGATCATAAGCACACAATACTAATGAATATCTAGGTAGTATTTTATGGTTTGTGAATGCACAATTCCTATAACTTGAGGCATTTGCCCTTTACTGTGCTCTAAGAGAGATTGAGAAGTCAGCTGTCAGCAATTTCCCTGGGGTCTCGAAGCCTTGGTGATGTAAGCACTTTTCTTCATTGGGTTAAACTTAGGAGGAAAGGAAAATCTGCTGAGTTAGTATTTTTGGTGGCAATAAGCCAGTTTTCCTTTCCATATGTTGTTTGTCCTGGAGCACTTTTATAAGGTACATGGGATTCATTTCCACTGAAGGAGAGGCCGTACAGCATAGGGGAAAAATGAATGACACAGGACTGTATGATTAGTTATTTACCATGATCTGCAGAAGGGTATAAAAATTGGGAATGGGCAGGCATGGTGGCTCATGCCTGTAATATCAGCACTTTGGGAGGCTGAGGTGGGAGGATGGAGGCTGGGGATTAAGAATGGGCACAAATTCAGGCTGCCATTCCAGAAAGTGAACAGGTTTTCTTGATTTCTTGTACAAAACAGGTTGCTAGAAGGTCAAGGCTGGGAAAGTTTGGTTTGAAGTGCTGGCCCTCACTGAGGTGGGGTTTTGGACTAAGAAAGGACCCCTAGTTTGCTAATTGAGTTCAAGTGATGGTTGAGTTCCCAGTGCTCTGACAAGGGAAGTAGAGATTACTGCAATGGTAGCATATGGGAAGGATTTGGAAAGGAAGGCTTCCTGGAGGAAGTCCTTTCTAAGCTGAGATCTAAATCATGGAGATGGAATTTCAGGTACAGGAGTGGGATGGGAAATAAGTGAGGTGTGCTGGTGTGTGGAGCATGGAGAAGCTTTTATGCAAAATATAGTTAATGAAGGTGTGTTCTAGGAACTGAATGTAATTTGAAACAGTGTGCAAGTTGCGGGGGAAGGGGTGATTGAGAGGAGGCTAGAGTTGTGCAACCAATTATGAAGGACAAGCTCAAGATTTAACTGAGGATAAGGGTGACCCAATAAGGGTTTTAAGGAGAATGATCAGTTGATGAATATCAATAAATATCAATTGGGTGTCATTGTGAAGAATGGATTGGAGGGGTCAGGAGGTAAAACAGAAGACCAGTCAGAGGCTATTGTAATAATGAAAGTGATGGATAGTGATGAACTGAACTAAGGTAGTGGTGGTGGAGTGAGTGGAAATGGATGGAATTAGGAAGTGAAATTAGTAAGACTTGATATGTGTTTGGAAGAAGGGAGTGAGGGAGAATAAGTTGTCCAGCGTTCTTCTAGGTTTCTGGTTTAAAGAGGAGGTAGATGATATGTCTGTTCCCTAGGTAGGATGGCACCCAAGAGAGCTGGTGCAGTGTTCTTTGCATTAGGCCACGCTCCCTCCTCTCTACTGCAGGTCATGCTCTGGTGAGAGGGAAGTCTGGGCAGCCAAAAGGCAGCTATGAATTGAATACGATAGTCATGATTTCCCAAGGTAGTACTGTTCTATGCCTACTGATTCTCATCTGGTTTATCGTTTTTCTGGAGAACAGCATCGAGTTTGGACCATAAATGACAGTCACCTACTTATATGGGTGACTGCCCTTAGAAGGAAAAATGTGTTAGTTATTTTCTTAATTTAAAATTATTAATAAATTTTTTTAAATGTTATTATTTTTAGAGATAGAGTCTTGCTTTTGTCGCCCAAGCTGGAGTGTGATGGTGCCATCATAGCTCACTGCACCCTCGACCTCCTGGGTTCAAGTGATCCTCCTACCTCAGCCTCCCAAGTAGCTGGCACTACAGGCGTGCCACCAAACTTTGCTAATTTTATTTTTTGTAGAGTTGGGGTCTTACTTTGTTGCCCAGGCTGGTCTCGAACTCCTGGGCTCAAGCAATCCTTTCTTTTGGGCCTCCCAAAGTGCTGGGATTACAGGCTGAGCCATTATGCCCAGCCTAGCTCTTTTCTTGAACACAAATTTTACTGGGGTTGCAGATATAAGGTAGTGTGTGAAAGAGATGAATGGGGTAAAAAAATTTAGTAATGAATAATCCATTATTCTTATCATTTATTTGAGTAAAATTACTGTGATAGAAATTCTAAGTTATATCTATTCTGACTGAAAAAAGTTACTGAACTTTGGAAATTATTTAATGAAGTACTATCTTGGGTATATTAAACAAAAGAAAAAAACAGAAATTATTTCACCCTAACCTGTCACTTTATTTTTTAAATTGTGAGTAAATACTATAAAGAGGTGTAATAAACCATGGCCACGGCCATGGCTACAGTAGTGTATATTTTTTGCACAGGCTTTTTTTTTTTTTCACATGGATGTGATTTAATGTAGAAGAGATTATTCTTAGGATATAATTGGGCTTTACTCCAAAGTGGATGAAGCTCAATTATATTCTAAAGTGAATAGTTGATTCCAGGGCTATGAAAAAGATTTCCTGGATCTCTGAACTGATGAGACTGTTCTATAGCTCCATGTTAAAGTCTTAAAATCCACTTAAATGTTTTTTTTTAATCTGGAAGCCTCATTTGTATATTTGTAGCCCACTTCCTTCCAAAAAGGATCCAAGATAGCTCAAAAATATTGAGTCCCCATTAGAAACCAGTTTTTCATAGTAGTTGATATGTTTCTAACCCCAAACTTTTTTTGAAAGCTAACTTATACAGGCTGCCTTGTTATTTCATTTTCAAACAGATTGCATTCCAAAAATGCATTTCAGGGTTGGCTCTTTGGAAATTGGAATACATTTTTTTTCAGAAACATTGTGATGGTTGAGTTCCCAGGCTAGTGCACAAAAACCTGGTCAACTTTGGATGTATACTACTCATTTGAATTCTGGTTTCTAGAAGTATTACTGAGGAGAGTGGAATAAATAGAGCTTTACCCCCATTTTCTATATAAGAGGAAAATTCCAGAAAATGTGAAGCCTGTCTTATTATCTCCACCCTTTTCTTCATGTTTCTCTCTCCTGTTGGTGTTTCGCCAGGGCTTCTGTCCTGGCCCAAGGCAGCACAGCTTCCCTCCATTTGGGCTTGTTCCAACTCCTAAATAATGTTATATTTCCTAATGATTGCTTCTTTCTTCCCTAATAAAACTTCGATGCCCTCAGCGTAGTTATCTTAACCTCCCATTAAAGCATTGAACACCCATATGTGAATGACTAATGAATTCTCAATATTTGCAGAGCTGTTTTTAAAAAGACAGGGAATATATGTTATTTCAAACATGTATGACGTGGGGGAAAGAACGTTGTGCAATAGAGTAATAGAAAAGGGGTAAATTCAGGTTAGGATAAGGCAGTTTTAGACTAGGGCTTCCAGAGTTAGATTCTTTAAATTCCTACTTTTATTTGTTTGTTTGGTTATAGTCTCTGCCTTTCCTTTTAAATGAGAGCAACAACTAGCATTAGCATATCACTTTATAAATACTATGATATACATTTGAACTGGTAAGGGATTATTTCTATTTAACAGAAAAGGAAACTGAGGCTCAGAGAAGCTAAGTGCCTTACTCAGGATCTCTAGCTGGTAGGGTTGAAGCTCAGATTGAGAATCCGGTTTCTAAGACTCCTCTTCTGTGCTAGTTCTGATGCATTAGACTCTCAGAGGTTCCAAAGTTCCAAATATCTCCATGTTTATAGTTTAGGCTCTGGCACTGCTGCAAAGAGAAGAGCATGGAAAGTCAGGGATTTAGTTCAGCAATGCCATTCCCAAAGCAGTTTCTGTCAGAATTTAGATGTGCCTCCTTGGCTGGGTGCAGTGGCTCATGCCTGTAATCCCAGCACTTTGGGAGGCCAAGGCAGGCAGATCACTTGAGGTCAGGAGTTCGAGACAAACCTGGCCAGCGTAGTGAAACCCCGTCTCTACTAAAAATACAAAAATTTGTTGGGCGTGGTGGCACGCACCTGTAATCCCAGCTACTCAGGAGGCTGAGGCCTGAGAATCACTTGAACCCGGAGATGGAAGTTGCAGTGAGCCAAGACTGTGCCACTGCACTCCAGCCTGGGTGACACAGCAAGATTCTGTCAAAAAAAAAAAAAAAAAAAAAAAAAATAGATGCGCCTCCTCCTGTCAGAAATGGTTGCTATGCTAATAGCTGATGTAAACGAGATTTGGTCAGAAGGGAGTGGGGAAATGGAGTCAGGAATAAATGGAAACATTTTGCATATTAGAGAAGATATATATTTTATATGTATATGTATATAATAATGACTTTATATTGCATATCATCATCAAAAAACATAGATCAATACCTTCCATAAATATTTTTCAGTGTTCCATTATTGATAAGACAATGAAATTATGTATCCTATAAATGTCAGTGTTTAGGAAACTTTAAGAGATGGAGAACATACGCTTGCTGAAATAGGGAAGAAATGAAAAGTAAAATTTAAAAACAGAGGCACAATTCAAGAAGCTATGATATTCGTGGTCGCAATCAGAATGAAAATGGAGCCCAGTCAAACATGTATCTGTATGTTTGGAAGAAAAGTGCCCTAATGGCAAGCTCTGCTCATGGCAGGGAACCTTCCTTCCTATTCCTAAATGACGTGCATGGACGTGTTAAACAGCCTTGGGTTACTTCCTTGTTTGGGGCCAATCAGCTATCATCAGTGAAAAAGATTACACAGGAAAACACAGATGCCCAGAAGTCCTGACTGTAGTTTTGGAAGTGAAATGCTGAGGGTACCATTTAGGTATCTCTCAGGGTGCTTAAATGTATAAACCCCTGAACAGGCCGGGCGCGGTGGCTCACGCCTGTAATCCCAGCACTTTGGTAGGCTAAGGCGGGTGGATCATTTGAGGTCAGGAGTTAGACCTGGCCAACATGGTGAAACCTTGTCTCTACTAAAAATACAAAAATTAGCGGTAGTGGCCTGCGCCTGTAATCCCAGCTACTAGGGAGGCTGAGGCGGGAGAACCCCTTGAGCCTGAGAGGTGGAGGTTGCGGTGAGCCGAGATTGGGCCATTGCACTCCAGTCTGAGCGAGAGAGTGAGACCCTGTCTCAAAACAAAAAAGTGATGGTGAAAGAGCAAAGGCAAATAATTTACTCTTCATGTTAAAAAAACGTTTACAGGGACACCTGGACTTAAAAATAATATTAGGGTGGGGCGCAGTGACTTATGCCTGTAGTCCCAGCTACTCAGCAGGCTGAGGCAGGAGGATTGCTATAGCCCAGGAATTCAAGGCTGCAGCAAGCCATAATTGTGCCGCTGCTCTCCGGCCTGGGTGACGGAGCACTGCCCCCAACCCTCCCGTCTTTATTTTTTTTTCGAGACAGAGTCTCACTCTGTCACCACGGCTGGAGTGCAGTGGCATAATCTAGACTACGACCTCTGCCTTCCAGGCTCAAGCAATTCCCCCACCTCAGCCTCTCCAGCAGCTGGGACTACAGGCGCGTGCCACCATGCCCAGCTAATTTTTGCATTTTTAGTAGAGATGGGGTTTCATCATGTTGCCCAGGCTGGTCTGGAACTCCTGAGCTCAAGTTATCCTGCCTTGGCCTCCCACAGTGCTGAGATTATAGGCGTGAGCCATCATGCACGGCGACCCCTGTCTCTAAATAATAATAATAATAATAATAATAATAGACAAACATTTATCAAAAGCTGTTCAATAACGAAAAACTTTTGCAACTGAGTGATGAAAGGAAGGTGCTAGGCTATTGCCTGCATTCAAAAGAGATGAGTCATAGAATCTTACTGTGGGAAGGAAAGAAAGGGGTTCTTGTCAAGGGGAGGGATGAGTGGGCAGAATGAGCAGGGAGGGTTGTAGTAGGTTTTTAAAAATTGCTGATAATCTATCAAGCCTAGATTGGAGAAGAATATCCCAACAATGAAAATGTTAATCCACTTACTTTAAACAAAGGCTAGGCATTTAAGTAGGCAGATAGGATGGAATTTGATACCATTTAGGGGTGATTGGATCTATTTGAAATTCAGAACCTCCTCAAAGAATGTTAGGGCTAAATTGGGGCAAAATTAGCATTTTTTCATTTGTTTTGAATTTTATTTTGGCAGGTAGAAGGACTTCTTGTTTGTATAGAAGTACACTTGGCTTTATTAAAGTATAGGAAAATTCACTAATATCCATTTACTGTACTATATTTTATTAGTAAAAGAAAGATTTTAAAATCAAAGAGGTAGTCATATACATTGGTAATTCTTAATATTCTTTACTCAGGTAATTTGTCATTATTTATTTAGACATGAAAATACTATGAGCCTCTATAACCTTAAGTTCCAGTGCAAATTATTATTTTGTTCTGTTTTTTTTTTCCACCAACAATCTTTGCATTGTGCTAGCACACAATTCTCACAGTTTAATAAAGGAGCTTCTTTTGTATTTTAAGAGCTGTGCAGAGCAAGTACTGTATATCTTTAAATGTAAATAATATATAAATTATGTTTTCATCAAATTATATTAAAATCTGCTATCTAAATACATTTATGCTGAGTCCCATATTTTTGGTTTAATGAATATTTGTTGAATAAATGAATTCTTATATTGAGAATTTAAGAACAAGTTACTTTTTTTAAAGAGCGGATTTAGTTAGATAAGACAGGTGATACAGTATGGATGAAAAAAAGCAGATATAATTAAGTCTACTGGTAGCAGAATAACTTAATATTATACAATCCTTCTGGTTCAATAAGACTCAGAGATGTGATACTAAAACTCAAAATATACAAGCATTTTTTAGTTTACTGAGCTTGTTAAATTCATTATTTCATACGGTCTTCATAATTTCTATCTCCAAAATATCCCTTAAGTATGTCTGCTCCTCTCTGTTGACACTGCATTCCTTAGTCCAGGCCTTGAACACTGCTACCCTGGGCTACACTCAATGGCTTTTACTTTATTCCATTCTCTACACAAATTAATTTCTCAAAGTGAAACCAGACCATGTCACAACCCTCTTGCTGTCCCACAACACTTAGAATAATCTCCATGTACCTTACTATGGCTGTCGGGCCGTACAGATCTGGCTCTGCCTTTTCTCTAACATCATCTCACCTCATTCTCCTCAATCATCCACTTCATTCCTGGCAAGCATCTTCTTTCAACTCCTCCAATACTATAGTATTTTCCATCTCTGGGTCTTTATGTATACTATTCTGTTTCAAAAACACATTCCCTGCCTAAAATATTATCATACTCATTCATATCCAAAGTTTCTCTTTCATCCAGCCTGGGCAACATGACAAGACCCTGTCTCTACAACATTTTTTTTAAAAAATTAGCTGGGCATGGTGTTGGGCACCTGTGGTCTCACCTATTTGACAGGCTGAGGTGGGAAGGTGGCTTGAGCCCAGGAGGTCGAGGCTGCAGTGAGCCTTGTTTGCATCACCGCTGCACTATGGCCTGGGTGACAGCGTGAGACCCTGGCTCAAAAACATAAAATAAAAAGTTTCGACTGGGCACAGTGGCTCATGCCTGTAATCCTAGCACTTTGGGAGGCCGAGGCAGGTGGATCATGAGGTCAGGAGTTCAAGACCAGCCTGGCCAAGATGGTGAAACCCCGTCTCCACTAAAAATACAATTAGCTGGGCTTGATGGCGGGCGGCTGTAATTCCATCTACTTGGGAGGCTGAGGCAGAGAATTACTTGAACCCAGGAGATGGAGGTTGCAGTGAGCCGAGATAGTGCCACTGCACTCCAGCCTGGGCAACAGCGCGAGACTCTGTCTCAAAAAAAAAAAAAAAAAAAAAGTTTCTCTTTCCTGTTCTCTTATTTGTATTTTTCATAACATTTGTCACAATTTGTAATTGCTTTGTTTTCAATTGAGTTTTTTTTTCTGTTTTCCTCCTAGATCCATGAGCATAGAGACTATATTGATCTTGTTCACTGATGAATGCCTAGTACAGAGCTGCTGTGTAGTAAATATGCAATAAAAATTCATTACATGGGAGCCAGGCACAGTGGCTGACTCCTGTAATTCCAACACTTTAGGAGGCCAACGCAGGAGGATCGCTTGAGGCCAGGAGCTCAGCACCACCCTGGGCAACAGAGCGAGACCTTGTCTCTACCAAAAATTTAAAAGTCGGCCGGGTGCGGTGGCTCACACCTATAATCCCAGAACTTTGGGAGGCCGAGGTAGGCAGATCTCCTGAGGTCAGGAGGTCGAGACCAGCCTGACCAACATGGAGAAACCACATCTCTTTTTTTTTTTTTTTTTTTTTTTTTTTTGAGATGGAGTCTCGCTCTGTCGCCCAGGCTGGAGTGCAGTAGCGCGATCTCGGCTCACTGCAAGCTCCGCCTCCTGGGTCACGCCATTCTCCTGCCTCAGCCTCCTGAGCAGCTGGGACTACAGGCGCCCGCCACCACACCCAGCTAATTTTTTGTATTTTTTTTTTTAGTAGAGACGGGGTTTCACCGTGTTAGCCAGGATGGTCTCGATCTCCTGATGTCGTGATCCGCCCACCTCAGCCTCCCAAAGTGCTGGGATTATAGGCGTGAGCCACCGCGCCCGGCCAAGAAACCCCATCTCTACTAAAAATACAAAATTAGCCGGGCGTGGTGGAGCATGCTTGTAATCCCAGCTACTTGGGAGGCTGAGGCAGGAAAACTGCTTGAACCCGGGAGGCAGAGGTTGCAGTGAGCTGAGATTGCACTATTGCACTCCAGCCTGGGCAACAAGAGCAAAACTCTGACTCAAAAAAAAAAAAAAAAAAAAGTTAGCCAGGTGTGGTGGCAAGCGCCTATACTCCTAGCTATTTGGGAGGCTGAAGTTGGAGGATTGCTTGATCCAGAAGTTGGAGGCTGTAGTGAGCTATGCTGGCACCACTGCACTTTAGCTTGGGTAACAGAGTAAAATCCTGTCTATAAAATATCTATCTATCTATCTATCTATCTATCTATCTATCTATCTCATGAGAATTAGTAAATGAAGAAATGAACAATAACCTTGTGAAGTGCACAGGTTTTTCAAAGGGGTCAACATTATTTACTAATGATCACATACCTGTTAAGTGGTGAACCAAACAGAAGTTAAGACCTTGTGATCGATGGTCTAAGGTTCAGTTTTACTCACTGATTGGCTATCTAGCTATCTCCCGCTCTTGCCACACACCCCTGTAGAGAAAATTACTTAAGAATAGGAGCAAAGCTAAGAATAGGCATGAAACATGAAGGGCACAAATAATAGATAAATTTGTTATGTCCCATACATGAACAATGAGCAAACCAAATATGATAGCTGAGAAGGAGAGACATTCCTCAATATCCACAGGGGATTGGTTCGAAGAACCCCCCATGAATACCAAAATCCATGGATGTTCAAGTCCCTTATATAAAATGGTGTAGTATTTGCATATAACCTACGCACATCCTTCTGTATACTTTAAATTTAGTAGTCTAGATTATACCTAACACAATTTAAATGCTATGTATAATACCTAACACAATGTAAGTGCTATTTATAATATGTAACACAATGTAAATATTTGTTATACTGTATTGTTTAGGGCATAATGAAAAGAAAAAATTGGGGGCCAGGCAACTTGGCTTATGTCTGTAATCCCAGTGCTTTGGGAGGCCAAGGTGGGAGGATTGCTTGAGCTCAGGAGCTCAAGACCAGCCTGGGAAACCACAGGTAGACGTTGTCTCAAAAAGAAGTAAAAGAAAATAAAGAAAAAAGTGTACATGTTCAGTACAGATGTAATTAAAAAAAAATTTTCAGCTGGGCATGGTGGCTCACGCCTGTAATCCCAGCACTTGGGGAGGTTGAGGCAGGCAGATCACTTGAGGTCAGGAGTTTAAGACCAGCCTGACCAACATGGTGAAACCCCATCTCTACTAAAAATACAAAAATTAGCTGGGTATAGTGGTACATGCCTGTAGTCCCAGCTACTCGGGAAGCTGAGGCAGGAGAACTGCTTGAACCCGAGAGGGAGAGGTTGTAGTGAGCTGAGATCACGCCACTGCACTCCAGCCTGGGCAGCAGAGTGAGACTCTGTCTCAAAACAACAACAACAACAAAAAATTAATTTTTTTTTTCTTTTTTACATGAGCCAGTTCTATAATAATGAGTAACATTTTCATGTACCTCCTTTTCCATCTCTTTTTTTTCTTTGCTATTTTATTTCTTCCTCGACTCCACCTTTGTAAAAATGTTTGATATGTATTCCGTGGAGGCGATTAATATATTCTCTGTGTAAAGCATCTGGAAACTCTAAGAAAAAGTAAAGAGGAAAATAAATCTTTACAATTTAACTATGTATATAATTTTGTATCTTACTAAAACCTATTGTATCACAAACATTTTCCCATATTACTAAAAATTCTTCACAAGCATGGTTTCTAATATCAATAAAAGAGATGATATGGATACAATCTTTTAAAATAACAAGTCCTGTCCTTCAATTACTCATTCATCTTACAATGATATGTTGAGCATACATTATGTATTATACATTAATAATACCACCAAGCCTTAGGGCTTCAATCTGATTTTCCTAGAATTTAGTAGTCATCTTTTCACACTTCAAAGCTATATTGTGGACCTCTATAATTTCAGCAGAATTACTCGTTCTCTCCTCTGTGTTCCCATAGCATAGTGTTTATGACAGTATTATGATAACTTTTGTTTTATATCATAATTAGTTAGGTGTCTCTTTCCTTCTGTTGATTATAGGCTCCCAAAGGGCAGAGGCTGTTGTTCATCCTTGTGTCCTCAGGGCCTAGGACAGGACCTGGAACTAAAGTGGATTTTTTTTTTTTTTTGAGACAGAGTCTTGCTTTGTTGCCCAGTCTGGAGTGCAGTGGCATGATCTCAGCTCACTGTAACCTTCCTCCAGAGTTCTAGCGATTCTCATGCCTCAGCCTCCCGAGTAGACGGGACTACAGGCACGTGCGCCACTGCGCCCAGCTAATTTTTTGTATTTCCGGTAGAGACGGGTTTCGCCATGTTGGCTAGGCTGGTCTTGAACTCCTGGCCTCAATTGATCCACCCTTTTCGACCTCCCAATGTGCTAGGATTAGAGGCGTAAGCCACCACGCCCAGCCTAAATCTTGAATTTATTTTTGTTATATCTGGCTGCTTCTAATTTCCAGTAACAATTTACTCATCCCACAGATAAATACCGTGGGTGCTACTTTCTACCATGCATTGTTCTGGGTATGATACATAAAGACCTAACAATAAACGGAACTTTCCAGGCCCTTCCCTTTTGGATCTTATGTTCTAATAGAGGAAGATGGTCAATAAGCAAAGAAGCAACTAAACAAACAAGAAAATTATCACATAATGGTAAATATTTCACAGAGAATTAGAACAAAATGATAGGTAGAGAATGGCCACTTCAGGCTGATCATCAGAAAAGGCCTGCCTTTAGGATATTTCCCCTCTCTCTCCCTTCCTTTCTAGTTCCCTTGCCAACAGGCCTTCGCCATCTCACGACTACATTAATTATTACAACAGCTTACTGGATGGGCTTCTGGACTCCCGAATCTACTCCATATCCTGCTGCTAGACCGATCTTCTGTTTGATTGTTGTGGAAAGAAGGGGATAAGTCCTGTGGAAAATTGTAATTTTCTCCTTTGTTAAACATACAGCCTAAATTACAGAATTCAGATCTAATTTTTACTCACCAGACAGAAAACTTAATGACTCATTTAATTAATAAGGGATTAAAATGGGAGAGATCTCTTTGAATTTTGGCTCTGAGACCTTTCTGATTAGAGTTTATGGAGAAGGAATTATGCAGTATCTTGGAGGGAGCAAGGACCAAGGCCTTTTTCTTTAACCATTGAGGCTGCACAGAAAAGAACATTCACTCATGGAGCTCCAACAAGGTGCTATAAACTGTACTGAGTGTTTTATTTGCCATCTATTATATAAATCTCATACTAACCCTCTAATTAATTAACTTGTCTAAAGTTCCCATCACAATTAAGTGGTAGAGCAGTGACTAGAACTCAAGTCTGTCTGGGTACGAACCTTCTAACCTTATGAATTATTTGGTTACAAATGATATCCTGAGAAATATAAGAAAGATAAGCAGAACTGCAAATCAATTGACAGAGAGCAGTACCTGGAACAGTTATTTGTAGAATAAATGGATAAACAAAAATAAATAGGATAATTTACACATAAAGTAATCATTTAGGGAAATGGAAAGGGAAAGGAAGTAACCACAGTTAAAGATATTTGTCTGTTCACTAACGCAACAAATACTCATTAGTACTTACTCTGTGTCAGATGCTGCGCTTGGCATTGTGGATATTATTCCTGCTCTTCTGAACCTTACAAGCTGGTGGAACAGGTAGATATTAATATATACTTGCTTTGAAGAAAAACACAGCCTGTTTTGAGAGTTGGACCTGAGCTACTTTGGATCGTCCTTGGTGACTGGTGTTTAAGTTGAAACATGAAAGGTAAATAGGAGTTTGTTAGGCAAGGAAGGAGGTTATGAGCATTCACAGGTCTCAAGGCAGAAAGCAGTATGGTGTTAGAACTGGAAGGGAAACACTTTGGATAGAACGTGATGAAAAGAGTGGGGAGGTGGAGATCAAGGAGATCATGCAAGAGCTTAAAGATTTTGAGCTTTATCTTAAGAGCAATGGGTAGACATTGGATGAGAGGCTTAAACCTGAGGGACAAGACCAGATTTATATTTTAAAGAGCTCATATGTCTTCATGGTAGAGCACAAACTACAGAGAAACCAATCTGAATGCAGAAAGACTTCTTAGGAAGTGTCATTACAATAAGGAAGTGAGACTTGATAATGTATCCCTTTGGTAGAGAGAACTGGAGGATTCAAGAAACATGTAAGAGGTAGAACAGACAGTATTTGGTGATTGATTGGAAAAGAGAGTTTGAAGGACAGGTTTCTGGAATGACTTGTCATATTTCTAATGTAAATAATAACTTGGTACTAGTTAATGGGATTAGGGACCCAGATGGAGTGAGAAGTGTATAGGAGTTAATATCATAAATTCCATTTGAAGAAGTAAGCCATTGGAAGAACGCAGTTGGGGCTGGGTATATCAGCCAGTTGTGATAAAGGAAGGTTTAAAACTCATTGGCTGATGACAATGATCTCTAAACTGTTTTGATTTCTCATGCCTATGAGTAAAAAAAATTTAGTAAGTAGCCCTATAAATTGTATTTATTTATAAATCATAAGATATTGTCAATCTCTACATTAAATATTAGCAATGATTGATTTATTGTATGGATAAAATAAATAGAAATAAAAATGGTAACTATGTTTTCATGTACTCCAATAGATCATGATACTTTGGAGATAACTAGTCTAGAGAATTAAAGGAAAGAAAGTACTGTTATTTCAGACGTACAACTACTGGAAGTTATAATACCTTAAATCTATTAATTTAAATGAAATCATAGAGAAGGCAAGTTAACCTTTTTAAGATTAATAATCAGTCAACACAATGAAGGCAAACTTCTAAATTTTAAGCTAAACGTGGAATAACTTATTCAAATTGAGAGGCAACCAACCTGGAGCCCAAGTAGCAACTCTAGAAAAATAAAGACTGGCTGGTCCCAGAACAGACAAAAAAGCTTCAAATATCTAATAGGATATTAGGGTGGGAGTATATGTTTACCTATTAGTTCGAACTGTGTGACTTGCACATCACAAAGACACAATGTGAGCCAGCTCAAGCAAAAAGAGAAATGAATTAGGAGGATACTGGAGTGTTTTATAGAGAGTAGTAATGTGAATCTTAGGGAATTGGACCCAGAGACCTGAATCACATCAGTTCCCACAGTTTCAAGTCTCTGTTTCTTTGCATATCAACTTCCTTCTTTACTGTCTTTTTTTTTTTTTTTTTATGGAGACAGAGTCTTGCTATGTTGCCCAGGCCAGTCTTGAACTCCTGGCATCAAGCGATCCTCCTACCTCAGCTTCCCAAAGTGCTGTGATTACAGGCACAAGCCACTTTCTTTTATATTAATTAATTTTCTTTTCTTTTCTTTTTTTTTGAGATGGAGTCTTGCTCTGTCACCCAGGCTGGAGTACAGTGGCATGATCTGGACTCACTGCAACCTCCCCCTTCTGGGTTCAAGCAATTATCCTGCCTCAGCCTCCTGAGTAGTTGGGACTACAGGTGTGTGCCACCATGTCTGAGTAATTTTGTATTTTTAGTAGAGATGGGGTTTCACTATGTTGGCCAGGCTGGTCTCAAACCCTGGCCTCAGGTGATCCACCCGCCTTGGCCTCCCAAAATGCTGGGATTACAGGCATGAGCCACTGTGCCCAGCCCTAATTAATTTTATTTTCATAACCTATGAAGTGGATACAACTAACATTTCCTTTTTATGGATGGGGAAACTGAGGCACAGGGTCATAAGGTTAAGAAGAGGTAGAGCCAGAATTCAAAGCCAAGCAGTACAGTGCTAGCATCCACACTCTAATTTTTCAGAAGTAGAGAGACTAGTACAATTAATCCCGTGTGTGGACTCATCATCTTGCTATGACAATCCTCAACTTATGCTCACTTTGGTTTCATATATATCCCCACAAATTTCTCCCCATCTTCACTAGATTATTTAGTTTTTAAAGCTAAAGAAGGCCCACAAATTACAATTAGTTGGTAGCCTCTTAAGCTTCTTCTACTGTATATACTTTCCCTTCATTTCTCTTTTCCCCCCTTGCAATATATTGAAGAAACTGATCTTACAACATATCCTACATCCTGGATTTTGCTGACTGTAGCATGTCATTTAACGTGCTATTCTATCCCCTGTATTTCCTGTAACCTAGTAATTTATCTTGGAGGCTTGATATTGCACAGGTTTGGTTATTTGAAAAGACTGCTTCAAAGCTGGTGTTAATACTTCCATTAGGAGACACATACTATCTCTCTGATGTGTTGGCAGTTAGTGATGATTGCTGTCTAGAGCAGCACTGGCCAAAGAAATTTTGGACAGGTACAGTGACTAATGCCTGTAATCCTAGCATTTTGGGAGGCCAAGGTGGGCAGATGACGTAAGGCCAGGAGTTTGAGACCAGGCTAGCCAATATGGTGAAATCCTGTCTCTACTGAAAATACAAAAATTAGCCAGGTGTGGTGGTGCGCACCTGCAGTCTCAGCTACTTGGGAGGGTGAGGCAGGAGAATCACTTGAACCCAGGAGGCGGAGGTTGCAGTGAGCCAAGATCATGCCACTGCACTCCAGCCTGGGCAACACAGAAAGGCTATCTCAAAAAAAAAAAAAAAAGAAAAGAAATTTAATGTGAGACACGTATATAATTTAAAATTTTCTAGTATTCCTACTTTATTTTTATTTTTTTTTTTTTGAGACAAGGTTTTGCTCTATTTCCAGGTTAGAGTGCAGTGGCATAATCATAGCTCATTGTAGCCTTGAACTCCTGGGCTCAAGCAATCCTCCTGCCTCAGCCTCCCAAGTACCTAAAACCACAGGTATGCAACACACCACTCCTAATTTTTTTTTTTTTTGGTAGAGACAGGGGTGGGATATTGCTACGTTGAAGTGCTGGGATTACAGGCATGAGCCACCATGCCCAGACTAGTACTACCATTTTAAAAAGTTAAAAACAAGCCAGGCACAGTGGCTCACACCTGTAATCCCAGCACTTTGGGAGGCTGAGGCGGGCAGATCACAAGGAGTTCGAGACCAGCCTAGCCAATATGGTGAAACTCCATCTCTACTAAAAAGAATGCAAAAATTAGCCGGGCATGGCAGCGGGCATCTGTAGTCCCAGCCACTCGGGAGGCTGAGGCAGGAGAATCGCTTGAACCTGGGATGCGGAGGTTGCAGTGAGCCAAGATCACGCCACTGCACTCCTGCCTGGGTGACAGAGCAAGACTCCATCTCAAAAAAAAAAAAAGTTAAAAACACGGATCTAAGTTAAAAGTTGAAAGTATAAAAAGCTAACAAATGAAAAGTTAAAACAAGTGAAATTTATTTTCATAATATTATTTACCTTGATATATCCCAAATATTATTATTTTAACATGTTATCATGATAAAAAATATTATTTTTGAGATAGGGTCTCACTCTGTCACCCAGGCTAGAGTGCAGTGGCATGATCTTGGCTCATTGCAGCCTCTGCCTCTTGGGCTCCAGAGATCCTCCCACCTCAGCCTCCCAAGTAGCTGGGACCACAGGGATACACCACCACGCTGAGCTAATTTTTGTATTTTTAGTAAAGACAGGGTTTCACCATCTTGCCCAGCTGGTCTCAAACTCCTGGGCTCAAGTGATCCTCCCACCGTGGCCTCCCACAGTGCTGGGATTACAGGGGTAAGCCACTGCAACCAGCCAAGATAAAAATTATTAAAAAGGTATTTTATATTCTTTTTTTCATTTAAGTTTCCAAAGTCTGGTGTGATTTTTTCACTCACAGCCAGTAGGTGCTGCAGCCAGCTTGACTGGCTAATGAGAGTCAGTTGAAAGCATTTTATCTGAACTCTACATTCAATGACATCTCATTGGTAGCTCAAAATTGGATATGGTGGGAGTATTTATACCATGGTGAACAATAGAAATCAGGGTTTTCTTCCTTTCAGAGAATCAGTCATTAAACATTTGCCAGCCTGCCACTGCTCATAACACATTTCAATTAGACTAGCAACATTTCAAGCGCTCAAAGCCATGGACAACTAGTAGATATTGTATTGGACAGTTCAGGTCATCCATTGTTTCATTAGGAGTCTGCAACAGAGGGTAATCTAGTCTATCATTCGCTCTTCCTTTATTAGGTAGAATACCTCTATCAAGAAAGGACTTTCTTCATTAATTATTTAGTGGCTAGGCACAGTGGCTGCCACCTGTAATCCCAGCAATTTGGGAGGCTGAGGTGGGAGGACTGTTTAAGCTGAGGAGTTTGAGACCAGCCTGGGCAACATAGCAAGACCCAGACTCTATAAAAATAAAAACAAAAACAAAAACAAAAACAAAAAAACTATTTAGTTACCTTAACGTATAGTAAATACAAGGAAGGCAGGATAAATCCTTAGTTCTTTTCCTTTATTAACTAGTGTTCAAAATAATGAGTTGAGACAGGGTCTGACTCCACTTGCCCAGGCTGAAGTGCAATGGCATGATTATGGTTCACTGCAGCCTTAACTTCCCGGGTTTAAGTGATCCTTCTACCTCAGCCTCCTGAGTAGCTGGGACTACAGGTGTGTGCCACCATAGCTGGCTAATTTTTTTCTCTCTATAGTAGAGATGGGGTTTTGCCATGTTGCTCAGGCTAGTCTCAAACTTCTGAGCTCAAGTGATCCACCCACCTTGGGTGCTCATATTTTTATTGATGCTCAAATTGTCCTATCTTTGGCCAGTAGAAGCCTCTTCGAGTTCAGAACTTACACTTTAAACTGCTACAATACCACAAGTACCATTCAGACTTACATCTTATAATCTCAGCCATTAAAAGGGACTGACTATATTGTTTTTTCTTTCTATAATGATGGTGACACCATATGACCCTATTTTTTAGATCAAAAGACTAGGATTCACCGGCCCAGCTTGTTTCAAGTGCCCACCCCTGTGACCAGTAGTGTCATGGGAGAATTGGCAGCCCTGTTAAGAACCAGAGAGGGGGCCGGGCGCGGTAGCTCACACCTGTAATCCCAGCACTTTGGGAGGCTGAGGCGGGCGGATCATGAGGTCAGGAGATCGAGACCATCCTGGCCAACACGGTAAAACCCCGTCTCTACTAAAAAAATATATAAAAATTAGCTGGGCTTGGTGGCATGTGCTTGTAGTCTCAGCTACTCAGGAGGCTGAGGCAGGAGAATCGCTTGAACTAGAGAGGCGGAGGTTGCAGTGAGCCAAGATCGCGCCACTGCACTCCAGCCTGGAGACAGAGCGAGACTCTGTCAAAAAAAAAAAAAAAAATGAATCAGAGAGGGATCATCTCCTTTGAGAATGAAAGTTAAAAAAAAAAAGTCGGGGAGGGGCAATTCCCAGAACAAGCACTTGATAGATAAAACCATAGGTGCATACCATATTTAAAATATTACACAGAAATTTTAAAACATATCATCTTTCTCATGTCATTGATTGATTGCTTTGTTTACTCATTTCATACATATCTATCAAGAATGAATGGCTGGGCATGGTGGCTCACGCCTGTAATCCCAGCACTTTGGCAGGCCAAGGAGGCTGGATAACCTGAGGTCAGGAGTTCGAGACCAGCCTGGCCAACATGGTGAAACGCTGTTTCTACTAAAAATACACAAATTAGCTGGGCGTGGTGGTGTGCGACTGTAATTCCAGCTACTCGGGAGGCTGAGGCAGGAGAATCGCTTGAACCCGGGAGGTAGAGGTTGCAGTGAGCCAAGACTGAGTCACTGCACTCCAGCCTGGGTGACACAGTAAGACTGTCTCAAGAAAAAAAAAAAAGAATGAGTGATATTGATAGGAGTATTATTCTGACTGTATAAATTAGTTAAAAGAAGTATAAACTTATGTAAAATTCTTGAATCTTTAAAGTTTTTTTACTTTATCAAAATGCAAGAGAATGAGTGTGAAAAACATCTCATAGCAAGTGGCACAGAAGGCATAATTACATATATTTTAAAAGACGAAGAACATCTTTTTGTCTCATGTGATTTCAAGAAAGAGGCACATTTTTACTCAGGTTGTCCCTTAGCCATGAAAAGTAAATTTTATATTAAACGATCTTATTTTAAATTTGTCCATGGTAAAAATTAAATGGAACAATAGCTCTAATACAGCAACTGTGGTCTCTTTGATTTCTTAGCATTCTCTCACTCACTGAACTCTCTGAAAGCACTAACATGGATCCAACACCCCACTAATCAATTACAGCCTGGCAGGTAGGTATTTTAGGAATGGTCATATGCTTGTATTAAAGGAGAGCTCACTCCAATTTTCAGTGAGCAAAATATGAAGAACCTATCTTCTAGTAAAAAATAGAATGCACAATAACCAAAATATTCAAAGAATGAATTGTTAAAATTCACCAGGTACTCCAAAATAAGCAAAGAAGTATTTCCATGACTTCCTTTTTAAAATCAAAAATATCAATAAAGGTTTAAAATTGGATGCTTAAAAACTGTAGTTGTCTTATAATGTTTATGGCTTTTTAGTAAAATCCTTCCACAAGTACATTTGCAAACAGTTTAACAAACACAAACATAAAACGTGGTAGCTGGGAAAATAATTGATTAATCTAGAGACCAAACAGGGAAAGTTACTAGGCAAAGGGAGGCAGAGATGCCAAGATCTGCAGATGAAAAAATTTCAACTTGTCAATTCATTTTATTAGAGTCTTGGTTATCAAGTTTTTGAGGAGACTAGGAGATAACTTAGGAAAAATGGAAATATTATAAACTATATTTAAAAGTTTTCATTCAAAATGGAAATAGTTTTAGTACTACAGGGAGAAAAATGTGTATTTTTAGAACTTAGATGATCTATTTCATTGAAGACTGTCAATGAAGGAAAGACTGGGGCATGACTAGCAATTTTCTTCTTCTTTTTCTTTTTTTCCTTGAGACGGAGTCTCGCTCTGTCACCCAGGCTGGAGAGCAGTGGTGCCATCTCGGCTCACTGCAAGCTCCACCTCCCTGGTTCACGCCATTCTCCTGCCTCAGCCTCCCACGTAGCTGAGACTACAGGCGCCCGCCACCTCGCCTGGCTAATTTTTTGTATTTTTAGTACAGACAGGGTTTCACCGTGTTAGCCAGGATGGTCTCGATCTCCTGACCTCGTGATCTGTCCCCCTCGGCCTCCCAAAGTGCTGGGATTACAGGCGTGAGCCACTGCGCCCGGCCCGCAATTTTCTTCTTTTTACACTGATTATTCTAATAGTCTCACCCTTGTAATCCCAGCACTTTGAGAGGCCGAGAGGGGAGGATTGCTTGAGCCCAGGAGTTCAAGACCAGCTTTGGCAACATAGGGAGACTGTCTCTACAACAACAACAACAATAAAGATTACCAGTGTAGGCCAGGTGCTATGGCTCACACCTGTAATCCCAGCACTTTGGGAGGCCGAGGTGGGTGGATCACCTCAGGTCAGGAGTTTGAGAGTGAAACCCTGTCTCTAATAAATATACAAAAATTAGCTGGGCATGGTGGCATGTACCCGTAATCCCAGCTACTTGGGAGGCTGAGGCAGGAGAATTGCTTGAACCTGGGAGGCGGAAGTTGCAGTGAGCTGAGCTCATGCCACTGAACTCCAGCCTGGGCAACAGAGTAAGATTCTGTCTCAAAAACAAACGAACAAACCAAAAACCCAAAACCAAAAAAAAACAAGATTACCAGTGTAAGGCACTATGCCAGTGTGTTGTGGATACAGAGGTAACTACTACATGATATCCCTCTAGAGAGTTCATAGCACGGTAGTGCAGACAAATAAGTGTACAGACATGTTAAAATAATTTAGGAAGGGCAAAGAGAAACATGAATCCTGAGCATTATAAAGGCATAAAGGCAGAAAGGTGTATGTGTGTAGGTAGGTAGGTAGGAAGACTTTCTAGGAAGAGATAGTACATAAGATAGGTTTTATAAAAAAAAGATTAGGAATTAGCTAAATGATGAGGAAGAGGGTAGAAAGAGGCAGGGTAGAGTGTTCCAGACAGGAACAGCAGAGAAACAGCACCATTATTAGAGAACAAGTAGAAAGACAAGAAGTGGAGGAGGATGAGAGATTAAAATATAAAGTTAGATGGGGGCAGATCACAGAATTCTTGAATTCTATGTCAAGAAGCTTGAACTTTATCTTACAAGCAATGAGGAGTCAATGAGCTTTTAAAATAGGGAAACTGGCTGGGTGCAGTGGTTCACACCTGTAATCCCAACACTTTGGGAGGCCGAGGTGAGAGTATTGCTTGAGCCCAGAAGTTCAAGACCAGCTGGGGCAACATAGTGAGACCTCATCTCTTTAAAAAAAAAAAAAATCCAGGCCGGGTGCGGTGGCTCACGCCTGTAATCCCAGCACTTTGGGAGGCTGAGGCAGGCGGATCATGAGGGCAGGAGATCGAGACCATCCTGGCTAACATAGTGAAACCCCATCTCTACTAAAAATACAAAAAAATTAGCCGGGCGTGGTGGCGGGTGCCTGTAGTCCCAGCTACTCGGGAGGTTGAGGCAGGAAAATGGCGTGAACCCAGAAGGCGGAGCTTGCAGTGAGCCGAGATTGTGCCACTGCACTCCAGCCTGGGCAACAGAGTGAGACTCTGTCTCAAAAAAAAAAAAAAAAAAAATTCCAAACAAATAAAATGTGGAAACAAAATTAAAATATATAGATAAGGGCAGACCAGAGATTAGAAGAGACTAGTTGGCTGGGTGTGGTGGCTCACTCCTGTAATCCCAGCAATTTGAGAGGCTGAGGCAGGCAGATCACGAGATCAAGAAATCGAGACCATCCTAGCCAACATGGTGAAACCCTGTCTCTACTAAAAATACAAAAATTAGCTGGGTGTGGTGGAGTATGCCTGTAGTCCCAGCTACTTGGGAGGCTGAGGCAGGAGAATCGCTTGAACTCAGGAGGCAGAGGTTGCAGTGAGCCAAGATCGCGCCACTGCACTCCAGCCTGGGCGACAGAACGAGCCGTCTTTAAAAAAAAAAAAAAAGAGAGACTGGTTAATAGGTTTGCTGCAGTATTTGGGATAGGAGAGGATGATAGGCCAAACCAGGGCAGTAACAGCAGAGGCAGAGAGTAGGAAAAGGATTCAAGAGCTAATTAGGAGGTATAATTGGCAGGACTTGGTGGTTGGATGAATGTGGGAAATATGGAAAATGGAAGAGTGCAAGACTATTGTGAGGCATAGCATCAACACCAAGTGCAATAGAGAATACCAGAAAAGGAGTAGGTTTGAAGGGAAGTGGTAACTGCAGTGATTTTAGGCTTGTTGAGTTTAAGAGGTAGGTGGAGGATACATGTAGCAGACAGTCAGCAGCTATTGAGAAAGGTTTGGGGTGCAGCTATAGATTTGGTGTCATTACCGTATTTGTGATAATTAAAATCAATGGGTCAAGTAACTCAGAAAGAATGTAGGCTGAGAGAATTTTCTCTCAACCCACAGTTAAGTTGTACTTTTACAGAGCTTCTCTCTGCCATTAACTGTGGACTTTAGATGCAGTACCCATCATGAAAGGGTCCACCTACTAGATTTATCACTGATTTATGTATCTTTGAAGTTGTTCTCCAAAGCCTAGACATGGAGGCTCATGTTAAGTGAAGAAGCACAGAACAGCAACAAAAAACAAGCAAATACACAAAAGTATCTAAGATTAAATATATTGACAGTTCTTCAGTACTATTTCTTATGTTCCAGGGGTTCAACAATACCACCAACATACTAATTCTTCAGTTTGTTCTACTTCTTAGTTGAGCTTTTATGCCAAACTCTACCTGTCTCGCAAAGACGTCACAATATTTTTAGTGTTCTAGTTGTTTCTCTTTTTCTTTTTTTTTTCTTTTGAGAAAGAGTCTCACTCTGTGGCCTAGGCTGGAGTGCAGTGGCATGATCTTGGCTCACTGCAACCTCCACTTCCCAGGTTCAAGCGATTCTCCTGTCTCAGCCTCCCAGGTAGCTGGGATAACAGGCACACACCACCATGCCAGGCTAATTTTTGTATTTTTAGTAGAGACAGAGTTTCACCATGTTGACCAGGCTGGTCTCGAACTCCTGACCTCAGGTGATCCACCCGCCTCGGCCTCCCAAAGTGCTAGGATTACAGGCGTGAGCCACTGCACCTGGCCTGTTTCTTTATTAATATATCATTGACAATATGCTGTCAACATAATAATTTACCAATATTACCAGATCTCTTGTGGAACTTTTAAAGTGGCAGCTGAATTCTTTGATTAACTTCCAAAAGAAATCCCAAACAGACAAACAAACAAACAAACAAAAAACTCTTATGATTTTTGTTTACTTTTAAGTCAAATTGAAACTATTTTCTGGGAGCTTCAAGAAAGAACCATTAACAAAACTCTTACAGTAACATTTCAGAACCATGTGTGACAACCATGCAGATTAGTACTCACCCAAATTCCAAGAGCTACTAAAAATAGACCTTGTGTAATTGGGCAAATGAGTGGGTGGGTGGATATTTTAGTAGGGCCGTGACCTCTAAGATTTTCTGTTGTCTTTGCTATGGTCTATAAACTGAACAAAGTGCTGTTTTCTTTCTCATCAGGGTAGTCTGTAACTAGCCTGGTACCAACGCATCTTTTAGGAATGAAGATATAATTCCTGTTGTTGTTGTTTATGACAAATACGGGCTACTTATACCTTCTCTCTTATGTTCCTTGTCCACAGTAAACAATTTGCCACCGCAATTCACAATTCCAATTCCCAACAATGCCAATTTGCCATAGCATTTTTTGGATGAGCTAGTAATCTGCTTCAGAATCCTTAACATCACGTTACTCAGCAATAACTAAGTACTATTCAGTTGGAGCCAACAAGCAAGATGAAATTCTAGTGCTATTGCTGGTCAAGACCTTCCTTTTCACACTTAAGACAGGCATCCCATGTGACTCTCCTTGAGATAAAAAGTGGACTGGAGGCCGGGCGCGGTGGCTCACGCCTGTAATCCCAGCACTTTGGGAGGCCGAGGCGGGCGGATCACGAGGTCAGGAGATCGAGACCATCCTGGCTAACACGGTGAAACCCCGTCTCTACTAAAAATACAAAAAATTAGCCGGGCGAGGTGGCGGGCGCCTGTAGTCCCAGCTACTCGGGAGGCTGAGGCAGGAGAATGGCGTGAACCCCAGGGGGCGGAGCCTGCAGTGAGCCGAGATTGCGCCACTGCACTCCAGCCTGGGCGACAGCGAGACTCCGTCTCAAAAAAAAAAAAAAAAAAGTGGACTGGAAATATAAGACAACCAGGATTGTGCTCCTTCTTCAAGAAGCTCAAAGTGGAATAAGAGACAGACATGTGAGCAGTCAATGAGCAATAACGTGAGGTACATGAAATAAGGGAGGTTACTTCACATTTACACTTGAATCTGATTTTCAGGTTAAACAAGAATAGGAGAAGAAAAATACCATAGTCTATGTCATCTATGCACATACCTGGAGTCCATGCAAAGCTCTTACGTCCTACCCCAAGTGACATCCATGAGAACAGGATCAGACCAATTTATTTCATTCAACCACATAAGCGTATTGAAAATTATCTCTTTGAAATGTCACAACCGAGATTTAAAGTTAACAATAAATACAAATACTGTCTACTTTAGCCAGTTAGACATAAATAACCCAAATAAACTGGTTCATGAAAAATCGTAGTAAACATGGAGCAGTCCAAGCATAGCACTGGGATACATTAGGTTATTACATAAGAAATTTAAGAAAATCCTCCCATGAGCCTCATAGTGAATCTTGAAAGTTCAGTGTCCAGCAACAGACTCCACAACTTAAAGAGGGATGTGGAGAAAGTGGAAGGGATTCAACAGACAGTCACAGAGATGATTAAGGGGTTGGAAAAATAGGAGCTAGAAATTATTTAGCCCAATTTAGATCAGACTACTAGGTTTCTTAATAACAGTATTTAAGCACAGGAAGGGTTGTTATATACAAGATGATGAACAGCTGCTTTCTATCACAATTGGAGAGTGAACAGAAGAAACAGACTTTGATCAAAGCATGAAAAACCTAAGATGGATATATAAAAAGGAACTTTTGAAAATGAGGATTATCAGATGTGAGATCTCCTCAGGATCCCCTTCTTGTACCTGCTCCTCAAATGATGCTGTCTCATGGAATTCTTTTTCTTTTTCTTTTTCTTTTTTTTTGAGACAGAGTCTTGCTCTGTTGCCCAGGCTAGAGTGCAGTGACGCAATCTCAACTCCCTGCAACCTCCGCCTCCCAGGTTTAAGCAATTCTCTTACCTCAGCCTTCCAAGTATCTGGGATTACAGGCATGTGCCACCATGCCTGGCTAATTTTTGTATTTTTAGTAGAGATGAGGTTTCACCATGTTGGCCAGGCTGGTCTCGAACTCCTGGGCTCAAGTGATCTGCCTGCCTCAGCCTCCCAAAGTGCTAGGACTACAGGCATGAGCCACTGCACCTGGCCATCACAAAATTCTAAGTTCTCTATCTCTTCTCATGTTGCATGGTCTCCATAGTTCACTTTACTTACTCTGATTTTACTTAACCTCTTATAAACTGATAATTCCCAAATATATATCTAAATATCTCCAATCCAGACTATTCTCTAAATGCCTGCTGGACTTTAAGCTTTCATCTCTTCCTGTTCTATTGCAATAACATCGTAACTGATACCCCTGTCTCTCTAGTCTTCAATTCTGTTCTCTGGCTTATATGATGGCGGGAACCTTTCTATCTAAAAAGCAGTCTAATCATGTCACTTCTTTGCTTAAAATCTTTCAATGGGTTCCCACCACTTACTTTTTCTCCATCATTTGGCCCCGTTTATCCAATATCATCTGTCACTCCCCAAATGTTAATTCCAAGATGATTTCACTTTGCACTCATGTGTTTATGTCTCTGTGATTTTTATGGTCTCTGTACTCTTCACTTCTCCTAGAACACTCCCACTTTTTTCCTGTGGTCATCCTCTCCTCTCCAGTTTCAGGAATTTTTTTCTGATCTTACCAAGCTAGACTAATGATCCTCAATAGATGTTCATAAATTTCCATGAAAACTTCTCTTGAATAATGCTGTAGTTAGTATTGATAAAAGCCTTTCCAGGCTGGGAGTGGTGGCTCATGCCTGTAACCCCAGCACTTTGGGAGGCCAAGGTGGGCAGATCACCTGAGGCCAGGAGTTTGAGACCACCCTGGTCAACATGGTGAAACCCCATCTCTACTAAAAATACAAAAATTGGCTGGGTGTGGTAGCACATGCCTGTAATCCCAACTACTCGGGAAGCTGAGGCAGGAGAATTGCTTGAACCCGTGAGGTGGTGCAGTGAGCCAAGATTATGCCACTACACTCCAAACTGGGTGACAGAGCGAGACTGTCTCAGGGAAAAAAAAAAGCCTTTCCAGTCCTCAGATTCAGTAACTACTCATCTAGAAAACACCTGCATTAAGTGGCTAACAGAATATAGAAACCCATCCTCAAAAGCAATATATACCAGACTAGTTTATTTATCACACTAGATTCAGGCTGCTGCTCGTCTGACACCCCTTGCAGCACTGTCTCAAGCATTTCCATATTCCTCTTTCACTACTGGGTTTTTCTTTTCCTTGCTCTTAGCCCAGCAGTTACTCATATAGACTTAATATGTTATGTACTCATCTCCACTCAATTCTTACAACATCGCTATGAAACAAGGTCAGCATCTCCATCTTATAGTTGAATAACTCACCAACTATATGCAGATGACATAGATGTATGTGTGAGTATATATCATATACGTGTGCTTATGATATATACACATCCTATGAGCTCCAGCTTATTTAATGTGCTCTCATATGTCTTAAAAGAACCTCAAAATCAGATTTTGAAAAGTGAATTCATAATTTACTCCCCAAACTTTCTTCTTCTGATGTCACCTGTCTCAGTGTATTGTGTCAGAAACCTAGACGTTATCCTCAACATTTTGTTCTTTTTAAATCCCCCTATCCAATCCATCACCAACTTCTCTCAATTCTCCCTCCTAAATCTCTCTCAAATATATTCAGTTCTCTCCGCTTTTACCATTATCGATCTAGTCCAAGCTTTCACTGTCTCTTGTAATAGCCTCTATATCCTCTCGTCTTCTTCATATCCATTCTCTGCAGCTAAGATGACGTCACTCCTGCTCCTGCTCTCACCAGGTGCTGTGCTGGCTCCCCTTCACCTTCCGCCATGATTTGGAAGGTTCCTGGGGCCCTCACCAGAAGCAGATATCAGTACTATGCTTCATGTACAGCCTGAATAACCATGAGCCAATTAAACCTCTTTATAAATTAAAAAATATACATCAAAATTCAAATTTGATCCTGTTACTTGACACTGCCCCTTCCTCCTACTTCACTCAAGCCCTTCAGCTGCTTCCCATTGTTCTTATCAAAAAGATAACCTCACCACTGCCACAGGGCCCTGCCCCCTGGATCCCATCCATTACATCTCACACCCACCTCATCTCACATCCTGTTCTCCTCAACTGTTCCAGCCATTTGGGCTTGTTTTCCGCCCTTCAAACCTGTGATGACCCCTTCCTCTGTGGGTCTTTGCACAGGATGGAAAGCCATCTTTCTTCTCCACTTCACCTAGTTCACTCCTAATCATCCTTGGGCTCAAGAGTCACTTTCCCAGGGAAGTCTCTGATCATTCTAAAGAACTCGGTCCCCAGCACTTTTGGAGGCTGAGGCGGGCGGATCACGAGGTCAGGAGATGGAGACCATCCTGGCTCACACAGTGAAACTCCGTCTCTACTAAAAATACAAAAAATTAGCCGGGCGTGGTGGCGGGCGCCTGTAGTCCCAGCTACTCGGGAGGTTGAGGCAGGAAAATGGCGTGAACCCAGGAGGCAGAGCTTGCAGTGAGCCGAGATTGTGCCACTGCACTCCAGCCTGGGCGACAGAGTGAGACTCCATATCGAAAAAAAAAAGAAAGAACTGGGTCACATCTTTCTATTACAGGTTAAAAATACTTAGGACCAAAAGCATTTTGCATTTCAGATTTTTTCGGATTTGGGAATATTTGCATTATGCTTTAAAATTTTTTTATTTTATTTTATTTTTTTCAAGACAGGGTCTCACTATGTTGCCCAGGCTGGTCTCCAACTCCTGGGCTCAAGCAATTCCTGCCTCAGCTTCCCAAAGTGCTGGGATTACAGGCATGGGCCATAGCACCAGGCATTTGCATTATACTTACCAGTTAAGCATTCCAAATCAGAAAATCTGAAATCCAAAATGCTCCAAAGAGCATTTCTTTTGAGCTTCATGTCAATGCTCAAAAAGTTTTAGATTTTAGGCCGAGCACGGTGGCTCACACCTGTAATCCTAGCACTTTGGGAGGGTGAGGCGGGTGGATCACCTGAGGTCAGGAGTTCCAGACCAACCTGACCAACATGGTGAAACCCCGTCTCTACTAAAAATACAAAAATTAGCCAGGTGTGGTGGCGCACGCCTGTAGTCCCAGCTACTCAGGAGGCTGAGATAGGAAAATTGCTTCAACGCAGGCAGCAGAGGTTGCAGTGAGCCGAGATCTCGCCATTGCACTCCAGCCTGGACGACAGGGTAGATTTTATACCCTTTTGGATTTTGGATTTGGGATGCTCAACCTGTATAAGCTCCAAAGGGGTATGTCCTTTCCATTTCCCCTTCCTCCCTTCTTTTCTTTCCCTACCCACTCCTCTTCACAGGTGTTTTTGTGATTATTAGATAATTGATCTCCCCCATTAGATTGCAAACTTCATGAAAGGAGGGACTGTACCTATTTTTGCTCACAATATTGACTCCTGTACCTAGTATATCATCTGGCAGGTAGAAAGTATTTAAATATGATGAATAAATTAACTTGTTGGTTTATATTTATCAGGCACTGAGCTAAGTGCTTTACATAGATTATCTCATTAAATCTTCACAACAAACCTATGAGATTACTACAATTCTGTATTAGCTCCATTATACAAATGAGAAAACCAGGATAATAGAGATATTAAATAATTTTCTCAAGGCCTCACAACATAAATACTGAAATCCTCTCTATGGTAAAATTATATGTGACTGGTGCCCATCATTTGTGGATGTCTATGGAGATGTCAATCTATTAACCAAAGTAACATGGAGCATGTGAGAAGGAAGAGACCTCTGAATCACAAATTGATCATTTACATCTCTTGAGCAAACCTGAAAATCCTGAATTTAAGAGCCAACAACAGAATCCCACGGCTGTTAGGTCAGGTTACTTAAATAGAAGAAAAAAATAGGCTGTACCTGAATTGTACTTGTTCAATGAGCCTAACTGTTCCACTGACCAGTGAGGCATAATAACTTTGCAATGTGCAACACTGAATGTGACTGGCCTGGGCAAATATACCTCAGTCAAAAAACTTACCAAGCCAAAATAATGACCCGATTTTCATTTCACCAATGGGAGAACAACTTGCCTATCTCATTTGTGCTGACCATCTTCCTATGTGGAGATAATATTACTGACTCTCAGAACAAGGATCTCTAAGGAAAAGGGTTTTAAAAAAAAAGGAGAAAAGAAAAAGAAAAAAAGAAATAAAAAATATTACTGACCCACTGTAAGTAGTGCAACTACTTTGAGCAGTTTATCCAAAGGAACTCGTACATTTTTCCTTCTCCAGCCACACTATCTGACCCACCCCTTTTGTGAACAGAGAACGGCAGCACATTCTTATGGCACTCGCTGCAAGAGTAATATTTCAGAGTTTGAGGGAAATTTTATGTTCGTTGATCACAAATGTTTGGAAGAGCTTCATCTTCATTTCTGGAAGTTTTTGTTAAGGATGTTTAAAGTATCACTGCCATCTTTTATGAAACTGCTATCATGACTATGGAATTCTCAGTGTGCCTGAGGGGTGGCAAGTTGATGAATATGTAATCTAGTGGATACAAGAAAATTGTTAGAAATTCTAGTAGTTTCTTGAAACACTAGTAGAAGTTATTGAAGCAGGACTTCAAGAGGTGAAAATAAATGCTACATCTCCCTAAATCTCAACTAAGTATTAGCATACCAAAACTAGGCTTGATTACTATATTTAAAATATATTAGATTCTTAGACACTACCTTAAATCAGCAAAATTCAGACGAGACTGCCAATTTTTTTTTTTTTTTTGAGGCAGGGTCTCACTCTGTCACCCAGGCTGTAGTGCAGTGGTGCAATCATAGCTCACTCTAACCTCAAACTCCTGGACTCAAGAGATCCTTCTATCTCAGCCTCCCAAGTAGCTGGTACTACAGATATGCACTACCACTCCAGTCTAATTATAAATAAAAATTTTTTTTGTAGAGACAGGGTCTCATTATGTTGCCAAGGCTGGTCTCAAACTCTTAACCTTAAGTGAGCCTCTGGCCTTGGCCTCCCAAAGCACTGGGAATGCAGGTGTGAGCCACCATACCTGATCCAATTCATCATTTTTCAATATAACATGTATCTGGCAAGGTAACCTACCTTGTTTACTAAGGGAATTTCTTCCTAGTGGATAATCTATATAAGAGGCCAAATTAAAGATGAGATTGATGAGTATATAACTAGAACAAAGGAAATTGATATTATTAACAAATACCGGATTCAGTCACTTCCTTGCATAAAAACCTTTCAGTCTTCCTGTGGCTTTGGGGATAAATCCAAGAGTCTCGCTTTGTTGCCCAGGATGGAGTGCAGCAGCGTGATCTCAACTCACTGCAACCTCCACCTCCTGGGTTCTCACACCTCAGCCTCCCGAGTAGCTGGGAGAGCGCCACCACATCTGGCTAATTTTTTGTATTTTTAGTAGAGATGGGATTTTGCCATGTTGGCCAGGCTGGTCTAAAACTCCTGACCTTAGGTGATCCACTAGCCTCAGCCTCCCAAAGTGCTGGGATTACAGGCGTGAGCCACCGTGCCTGGTCCCCTTCCTTTCTTTTCAAACTTCACTTCAGGCATTGGTCCTGTAGCCCTAACACACTGAGCTACTTACTATTTCCTTACTTTTCAAATAAATTTCCTTTTATTTTGGTGAAATTCACGTTTGTATCTCAAAACTGCTCAAGGATCTATCTTCCCTAGCAACTCAATTTGATTTTTCAAATGAGCAACAGTCATTCTACTCTCCATGTTTCCATAGCTATTTGTACATACCTCTATCAACACTTAACCATTATAGTTACCAATGTAAAAGTTCTCGCTGAGTGAAAGGTGAGTTTCTTGAAAGTTGGGACAATCCTATTTATTAAATACTAATTTTGGGCAAACAGTAGAAACTCAAAAAATGCCCTCCAATTGCTTGGTATGTCCATAAACTAAGTGGTAAACCGGCTGTCTCCATTCTTCAATAATTGCACATTCTTTTTTTTTTTTTTTTTTTTTTGAGACGGAGTCTCCCTCTGTCTCTGTCACCTAGGCTGGAGTGCAGTGGCGTGATCTCTGTTCACTGCAACCTCTGCCTCCCAGGTTCAAGCGATTCTCCTGCCTCAGCCTCCCAAGTAGCTGGGATTACAGGCACGCGCCACTGTGCCTGGCCAATTTTTGTATTTTTAGTAGAAATGGGGTTTCGCCATGTTGGCGAAGCTGGTGTTGAACTCCTGACCTCAGGTGATCTGCCTGCCTCGGGCTCCCAAAGTGCTGGGATTACAGGTGTGAGCCACCGTGCCTGGCCACAACATTCTGTATTATAAAATATTCCCCTATATATTCCATTAGATCAGTGGTTCTTTCACAGTTTTGAATTTTGTGACTTAGAAGAATTTTAAAACATTTTGGAGAGCAACAAAGAAAGAACATTAAAACTACGATCCATTAACATCATAATTTCAAAAATATATATTAAGTCTAAATATATCAGAGAGTATATAATTTCAGAATAAGGGCAGCCTTTTATTTTTATTTTTTATTTTTATTTTCTTTTTTTATATATTTTTTATTGCACTTTAAGTTCTAGGGTACATGTGCACAACATGCAGGTTTGTTACATATGTATACATGTGCCATGTTGGTGTGCTGCACCCATTAACTCGTCATTTACATTAGGTATATCTCCTAATGCTATCCCTCCCCCCTCCCCCCACCCCACAGCAGGCCCCAGTGTGTGATGTTCCCCTTCCTGTGTCCAAGTGTTCTCATTGTTCCATTCCCACCTATGCATGAGAATATGCGGTGTTTGGTTGGTTGTCCTTGCGATAGTTTGCTGAGAATGATGGTTTCCAGTTTCATCCATGTCCCTACAAAGGACATGAACTCATCATTTTTTATGGCTGCATAGTATTTCATGGTGTATATGTGCCACATTTTCTTAATCCAGTCTATCATTGATGGACATTTGGGTTGGTTCCAAGTCTTTGCTATTGTGAATAGTGCTGCAATAAACATACGTGTGCATGTGTCTTTATAGCAGCATGATTTATAGTCCTTTGGGTATATACCTAGTAATGGGATGGCTGGGTCAAATGGTATTTCTAGTTCTAGATCCTTGAGGAATCACCACACTGTCTTCCAAAATGGTTGAACCAGTTTACAGTCCCACCAACAGTGTAAAAGTGTTCCTATTTCTCCACATCCTCTCCAGCACCTGTTGTTTCCTGACTTTTTAATAATTGCCATTCTAACTGGTGTGAGATGGTATCTCATTGTGGTTTTGATTTGCATTTCTCTGATGGCCAGTGATGGTGAGCATTTTTTCATGTGTCTTTTGGCGGCATAAATGTCTTCTTTTGAGAAGTGTCTGTTCATATCCTTTGCCCACTTGTTGATGGGGTTGTTTTTTTCTTGTAAATTTGTTTGAGTTCTTTGTAGATTCTGGATATTAGCTCTTTGTCAGATGATTGCAAAAATTTTCTCCCATTCTGTAGGTTGCCTGTTCATGCTGATGGTAGTTTCTTTGGCTGTGCAGAAGCTCTTTAGTTTAATTAGATCCCATTTGTCAATTTTGGCTTTTGTTGCCATTGCTTTTGGTGTTTTAGACATGAAGTCCTTGCCCATACCTATGTCCTGAATGGTATTGCCTAGGTTTTCTTCTAGGGTTTTTATGGTTTTAGGTCTAACATTTAAGTCTTGAATCCATCTTGAATTAATTTTTGTATAAGGTGTAAGGAAGGGATCCAGTTTCAGCTTTCTACATATGGCTAGCCAGTTTTCCCAGCACCATTTATTAAATAGGGAATCCTTTCCTCATTTCTTGTTTTTGTCAGGTTTGTCAAAGATCAGATGGTTGTAGATGTGTGGTATTATTTCTGAGGGCTCTGTTCTGTTCCATTGGTCTATATCTCTGTTTTGGTACCAGTACCATGCTGTTTTGGTTACTGTAGCCTTGTAGTATAGTTTGAAGTCAGGTAGCGTGGTGCCTCCAGCTTTGTTCTTTTGGCTGAGGATTGTCTTGGCAACGCGGGCTCTTTTTTGGTTCCATATGAACTTTAGTTTTTTCCAATTCTGTGAAGAAAGTCATTGGTAGGTTGATGGGGATGGCATTGAATCTATAAATTACCTTGGGCAGTATGGCCATTTTCACGATATTGATTCTTCCTATCCATGAGCATGGAATGTTCTCCCATTTGTTTGTGTCTTCTTTTATTTCGTTGAGCAGTGGTTTGTAGTTCTCCTTGAAGAGGTCCTTCACATCCCTTGTAAGTTGGATTCCTAGGTATTTTATTCTCTTTAAAGCAATTGTGAATGGGAGTTCACTCATGATTTGGCTGTCTGTTATTGGTGTATAAGAATGCCTGTGATTTTTGCACATTGATTTTGTATCCTGAGACTTTGCTGAAGTTGCTTATCAGCTTAAGGAGATTTTGGGCTGAGATGATGGGGTTTTCTAGATATTCAATCATGTCATCTGCAAACAGGGGCAATTTGACTTCCTCTTTTCCTAATTGAATACCCTTTATTTCCTTCTCCTGCCTGATTGCCCTGGCCAGAACTTCCAACACAATGTTGAATAGGAGTGGTGAGAGAGGGCATCCCTGTCTTGTGCCAGTTTTCAAAGGGAATGCTTCCAGTTTTTGCCTATTCAGTATGATATTGGCTGTGGGTTTGTCATAAATAGCTCTTATTATTTTGAGATATGTCCCATCAATACCTAATTTATTGAGAGTTTTAAGCATGAAGGGCTGTAGAATTTTGTCAAAGGCCTTTTCTGCATCTATTGAGATAATCATGTGGTTTTTGTCTTTGGTTCTGTTTATATGCTGGATTATGTTTATTGGTTTGCATATGTTGAACCAGCCTTGCATCCCAGGGATGAGGAAGGGCAGCTTTTTAAATTGTACAAATTTACCTTTTAAAAAAAATTATCTAGATTTTATTTATTTTTCATTTCACCACCAATTACTGAAAGATAGTATTTGGAAAACACTGAACTAGACTAGCATTTTCCCTGAAATAATTTTGAAAAACTGTTTGTTTTGTATACATTCTTAAGTTAGCATGTGCGATATTTCACGGTATGTTCAAATTGTTGTAATGAATGTCATTTCTGGCAGGTTATAAACACTACAAAATAAAATTATGTCATCTTAGGAAATACACCCAATGGAATCTCTATACTACAATTATTTGATAGCAACCACCAATAATTTAAAAATATACTAACAATTGGAAAATTTACATTTTTCTTTGATTTCCATTCTACTGCCCCACAACATTTCATAATATATTTCTACTCAGAAGTCTATTATCAATGTACTTAAATTTAATTAAAAAAATTTTTGGGCTGGGCAGGGTGGCTCATGTCTGTAATCCCAGCACTTTGGGAGGCCAAGGCAGGCGGATCATCCGAGGTCAAGAGTTTGAGACCAGCCTGGCCAGCATGGTGAAACCCTGTCTCTACTAAAAATACAAAAATTAGCCTGGTGTGGTGGTGAGCACCTATAATCCCTGCTATTCGGGAGGCTGAGACAGGAGATTCACTAGAACCTGGGAGGCGGAGGTTGCAGTGAGCCGAGATCATGCCACTGCACTCCAGCTGGGCAACAAAGAGCGCAACTCTGTCTCAAAAAAAAAAAAAAAAAAAAAAAAAAAAAAAAAAAAATTCTGGCCAGGTGTGTGGCTCAAGCCTGTAATCCCAACACTTTGGCAGGCTGAGGCGGGAGGATCCCTTGAGCCCAAGAGTTTGAGAACAGCCTGAGCAACATACTGACACCTTGTCTCCTCAAAAATTTTTTAAAAATTAGCCAGCATTGGTGGCACCCACCTGTAGTCCCAGCTACTTGGTAGGGTGAGGTAGGAGGATTGTTTGAGCCTGGGAATTGAGGCTGCAGTGAGCCATGATCATGCCACTGCACTCCAGCCTGGGTGACATAGTGAGACCTTGTCAAAAAAAAAAAAAAGAAAAAGAAAATTATGACTATAAATGTTAAAAAAATATCTTGAACTGAGTTATCATTATAATTGTTAGGGCATGTTTGATCAAAACAACATAAATATATGAATAAATACTGATATTAAACATAAGATATACACATTTATCAGAAATGCATTTCACAGCTGATTTTTTTCCAACTAATGATTGTGCCAAAGATGTGTTTGCTAGAGTAAAACAGGTCTTGTCATGTATTTTATTCCCTTTTTTTCTTTTCTTTTGCGTATGTGTTAACATTTGTTCACAAAAAATTATGCACGACAAGAATAGAAGGGGTTTTGCTTGAGCTATGTCACAAAATTTTTAAACTCCTTTCAAGCTATGTGCAAATAAAACCCTTCAAAATCATTTTTAATGATCAACTGACACTTCAATAAGGTCCTTCTTCAGTTAGTTGAAAGTAAAAGCTGGAAACCATAAGAGTTGCAAAAGTGTTGCTACCAAGTAATTACGGACATTTAGTTTCTCTACTTGTGCCTGGTGTTCCTTTTCCATCCTGGGACAATGTATCACAGTAAGACTAGGGATGGCATGCCTATATGGTGAAAGCATGACTTTTTTGGTGAAATGGGAGAAGAGTGATTGTGAAAGGAGAAGTGGCAAAGAAAAAACAGCTTGACAGGAGCATTTTCCAACAGTTTAGTTTTAAGGGAAAAAGGCCATTTGCAAGGGGAAAGCCTGAAAATCAATTCTCTTAAAAACAGTTCATGTGCTCACACACTCCTTGGAAACTCTTTGTGTACCTCCAGGGCTAAGCGTACCCCAGTTTGAAAAACACTGGACTAGACCTGAAAGTATTAGAGCTTTCTTTGAAGTTACATTCCAATCCTGGGATGTGCTCTCAGTCTTAAACAGATGACAGTCACCCCAATCACATCTTTGGGATGGCAGATTTCTTTTGTAAAGACTAATCTCATTATTTATGCTGATTCTATTGTCACTAGCTTTCAAAGTGTGGTATTTTCTCATCTGGACATTATCTCCAAGTTCTGGGGGATTGAAGTCACCCTATTTGAACCTAAAGCCTCCTATGAAGTTTTTGCATAAAGTTGTGTAGAAAGCCCTGTTTACAGTATTTCTTCATAGTACTATACCATTATGGCCTTGGCATCTTTCGGTCTTCCACATTTTCTCACTTGATCCTTCTGAAGGTAACTGGTTTGCACTGTAAACTTGTAAGAAGTGGATTAGTGTGAAATCTGTGGCTACCGAACAGAGTCGAGTTAATTGATTTACCAGAGAAATGAGTCTGTGAAACAAATAGCATCTGTGAAGTAAACATTTGGGATATGTCTCCTAATGAACAGAAATCAGTAATGTGGTTTTATTAATAATAATTACTTTCAAATAATAAATATCAACCTGTATTCTATTGTTCCCATTCTTTGCAGCCCATAACAAAATTAAATTTAAATCCAAACAGACTGTAAAAA
Source organism: Homo sapiens (assembly GCF_000001405.40). Classification (NCBI taxonomy): domain Eukaryota; kingdom Metazoa; phylum Chordata; class Mammalia; order Primates; family Hominidae; genus Homo; species Homo sapiens. Next base: position 80,477,218 of record NC_000008.11, read on the forward strand.
GAATCTATTTTGGCCAGGCGCAGTGGCTTGCGCCTGTAATCCCAGCACTTTGCGAGGCCAAGGTGGGTGGACCCCTTGAGGTCAGGAGTTCAAGACCAGCCGGGCCAACATGGTGAAACCCCATCTCTACTAAAAACACAAAAACTAGCCGGAGGTGGGGGCACACACCTGTAATCCCAGCTACTCAGAAGGCTGAGGCAGGAGAGTTGTTTGAACCCAGGAGGCAGAAGTTGCAGTGAGCCAAGACTGCGCCACTGCACTCCAGCCTGGGTGACAGAGCGAGACTCTTATCTCAAAATAAATAAATAAAAATAAAAATACAATGCAAATATTATCAACATTTAAAATCTACTACGTTTCTGTTCTACTGGCTTATTCAGCAAAATTCTGATCTGTTTTAGTCTTTTATTGGAAGTTCAAGGTTCTTGGTACCTATAGTGCCCACAAATTTGCAGATTTATACATTTATTCATTCAACAAATCTTTACTGATTGTCCACTATGTCACAGTCACTGTTTCCAACTTCTGAAAACACAATATTGAGCAAAACCAGCAATGGACCCTGCCCTCACAGAATTTTCAGTTTAATGCAATAATCAATGCCCTAAGAAATAATTATAAAAGTTTAAAAACTGCAATTGTGACAAGGGCTGGGAGGGAGAGTTAGAAGAATGCTAGGATAATCTGTATTAGGATATTTGAATATCTGGGGCTGTGGGTGGTCAGAGAAAGCTGCCCTAAGAAAGTGATCTAAGGATGAATGTGTGTCAATTAGGAGAAGGGAGGGAAGAGTTTTAAAGCAGGGAACAACGGCTTGTGCAAAGGCCAGATAGTTCTCAAAGCAAATGTGAAGGAGGGAAGGAGGAGAGTGTTGGAGAGATGAGGCTGGAGCAGTACATGGCCACCAAACCTTGCTGGGCTTGGTAGCCATTTTAGAAGTGTTTTGATATGTGTAATAGACCAACAGAAAATAACTGAAACTTTGAAGGGTTTTAGGCATGAAGGGATCAAGAATCATCAGTGTGGGTAGGGTGATAGGATCAGATTTGCATTTTGAAAAGATTACTGACTTCTGTAGAGAATGGATAGGAGGGCACGGCCAGAATGTATGAGTTATTGTGACAGATGCTTCTCTGAAAATATGCATGTAAATTTAAGCTCTTGTAAAACAAATAATGTTTTAAAGAGATTGAAATTTTCTAAGAAAAGAAATACCATGGTTTTTAATCTTTTGAATCTTTTGTGTTTGAGGGGCAGGCCAAAATTGGTTCATAAGTGGAGAAAAAGAATGAACAGTACTTATCCTTCAAAATGCTAGGGAAAACCATGACATTGATTTTGTTTGTTTGAGACAAGGTCTTGCTCTGTTGCCCAGGCTGGAGGGCAGCCATGTGACCATAGCTCACTGCAGCCTCAAACTCCTGGGTTCAAGGGATCCTCCCATCTCTACCTCCCAAGTAGCTGGAACTACAGGTGGGAGCCACCAGACCCAGCTAATTTTTTTATTTTTTGCAACCTCTACCTCCCAGGTTCCAGTGATTCTTGTGCCTCAGCCTCTTGAGTAGCTGGGTTTATAGGCATGCGCCACCACACCTAATTTTTGTATTTTTAATAGAGATGGGGTTTCGCTCTGTTGGCCGGGCTGGTCTGGAACTCCTGACCTCAGGTAATCCGTCCACCTCAGCCTCCCAAAGTGCTAGGATTACAGGCGTGAGCCACCACGCCCAGACAAGCTTGATCTTTTCAATCAAAAGATTGATCTTTTGGCTGGGCGTGGTGGCTCACGCCTGTAATCCCAGCACTTTGGGAGGCCGAGGTGGGCAGATCACGAGGTCAGGAGATCGAGACCACGATGAAACCCCGTCTCTACTAAAAATACAAAAAAAAAATTAGCCGGGCATGGTGGCAGGTGCCTGTAGTCCCAGCTACTCTGGAGGCTGAGGCAGGAGAATGGCGTGAACCCAGGAGGCAGGGCTTGCAGTGAGCTGAGACTGCACCACTGCACTCCAGCCTGGGTGACAGAAAAGATTGATCTTTTGACTGGGTGCGGTGACTCACATCTGCAATCCCAGCACTTTGGGAGGCTGAGGGCGGGTGGATCACCCGAGGTCAGGAGTTCGAGGCCAGCCTCGCCAACATGGTAAAACCCGATCTCTACCAAAATACAAAAATTAGCTGGGCATGGTAGCACGCACTTGTAATCCCAGCTACTCGGGAGGCTGAGGCAGGAGGATTACTTGAACCTGGGAGGTGGAGGTTGCAGTGAGCTGAGATTATGCCATTGCACTCTGACCCGGGTGGCAAAGCGAGACTCTTTAAGATTAATCTTTTAATGGCTGGCCAATAATTTATTATAGGAATGTACCATGATGCATATAAATAGTATAGAATGGAATAGAATAAATGGAAGGTCAAGGGATCTTCTTGATCCTGTTTTTTAGGCTTGTAAACAGTGCTGCAATAAACATGTTTGCATGGACATCTTAATACATCTATCTAGGATAAATTCTTAGTGCTGAAATTGCTGGGTAAAAAATTATATACACATTTTATATGTTGATACATACAAGCAACCTAGCAGAAAACTTGTTCCTATCTATATTCCCAGTATGCTCATTTTACTATACCTTGAATGGGTTAAAAAAACTACTTATCAATGATGACTTTTATGCAGATTTCTGATCACTGGCCAAGACTGCACATCTTTTTGAATGTTTTCTAGTCACTTGTCTTAAATCTGTTTGGACTGCTATAACAAAATAACACAAACAGTAGTTTAAAAACAACAGAAATGTATTTCTCAGTTCTGGAAGCTGGGAAGTCCAAGATGAAGGGACAAGCAGATTCAGTGTCTGGAAGAACCCTGTTCCTCATAGACAGCACCTTGTCACTGCACATAGTGGAAGGATAAACAAGCTCTTCCACAAGCCTCTTTTATAAGGGCTCTACTCCCATTTGTGTGGACTCTGTCCTCATGACCTAATCACCTCAAAGGCCCCACTTTTTTTTTTTTTTTTTTTTTGAGACAGAGTCTCGCTCTGTCTCCCAGGCTGGAGTGCAGTGGCACGATCTTGGCTCACTGCAACCTCTGCTCCCAGGTTCAAGTGATTCTTTTGCCTCAGCTTCCTGAGTAGCTGGGATTACAGGTCTGCGCCACGATGCCTGGCTAGTTTTTGTGTTTTTAGTAGAGATGGGGTTTCACCATGTTGGTCAGGCTGGTCTTGAACTCCTGACCCTTTGATCGGCCCACCGTGGCCTCCCAAAATGCTGGGATTACAGGAATGAACCACTGCATCCGGCCCGGCCCCACTTCTTAATACCATTACCATGGGGCTTAGGTTTCAGCATATACATTCTGGGGAGAACACAAATGCTCAGGCCATGGCACTTGTGTTTCAGATGGTAGCACTTTGTATATGATTTTTTAATACATGGCCTCCGCACATTTTTTCTTCCACTATATTTGAGTTTTTAAAATTGATTAGGCCTCTGTGTATATCAGTGATATTAAGCCTTTGTCTATCACATATGTCACAGATTTCTTTTTCCTAGTTCACTTTAAAAATCCTTTGTTTATAAAATGTTCATTCCCTTTGCCACAGATTCCCCTTTTTAGAATTCACCCTAACGAAGTAGTATTTACAAAGTTTTACTTTCAAGTATGTTCACTGAAGAACTGTTTATAATGGTAAAAAAAAGAAAAACCCACAAAGCCCACCTGTAAACAATGAAATGTTTAACAGTGGAACACTGGTTAAATCATTTTTAAATTTTTATTTTTTATTTTTTGAGACAAGAGTCTTGCTCTGTTGCCCAAGCTGGAGTGCAGTGGTGCCGATCTCAGCTCACTGCAACCTCCCCATCCCGGGTTCAAGCGATTCTCCTGCCTCAGCCTCCCAAGTAGCTAGGGCTACAGGTGCACGCCACCACACCCAGCTAATTTTTGTATTTTTAGTAAAGACAGGGTTTTACCATGTTGCCCAGGCTGGTCTGAAACTCCTGACCTCAGGTGATATGCCCGCCTTGGCCTCCCAAGGTGGGATTACAGGCATGAGCCACTATGCCCGGCTAGTTAAATCAATGATGATATATCCATAGTCATTGAAATGATACAAAAAATATTTCATTATATTAAAACATATTATTAACTAAAAGCACAAATATCTAGGATCTATAACTTATAAACACCAAAAAAATTTTTTTTTTAGCTAGGCACAGAGAAAAAGGAGACTGTATTTATACAACAGTGGTTAATTCTGGGTACTAGAAATAGGGGTGATCCTTTTTTTCTTTTCCTCAATGAGATAATTGAACAAGAAAATTTAAAATTTATTGTAGCTTATAGTTATGCAGATATATAGTAGCCAACAGTGCCTTAGACTGCAGGGCATTATTCCTGTCTGTAATCTTACAAACTTAACTTCTGCCTCATTCAGTAACCTCAAGTAAGTTGTTTAGCCTTTTTGCACATGGGTCTCCTCATCTGTTAAACGATGATAATAATACCTATCATGAATTAACTCAGGGAGGTTCTGTAAACCCAATGTTTGTAATTCACTATAAACTACATAGAAAATGGCACTAATACTATTTATATCTAACTATGATTATTACTATTTTTAACATAAAGGCAATGGCAACATTAACTCACTACCTTTATTTTTTATTATTTTTCTGAGACACAGTTTCACTCATCACTCAGGCTGGAGTACAGTGGTGCAGTCTCAGCTCACTGCAACCTCCTTCTCCCGGGTTCAAGTGATTCTCCTGCCTCAGCCTCCCAAGTAGCTAGGATTACAAGCGCCTGCCACCACGCCTGGTTAATTTTTGTATTTTTAGTAGAGATGAGTTTTTTTTTTTTTTTTTTTTTTTGAGATGGAGTTTCACTCTTGTTGCCCAGGCTGGAGTGCAATGGCTCAATCTTGGCTAACTGCAACCTCTGCTTCCCAGGTTCAAGTGAGTCTTCTGCCTCAGCCTCCCGAGTAAATGGGATTACAGGCACACGCCACCATGCCCGGCTAATTTTGTATTTTTAGTAGAGATGGGGTTTCACTATGTTGGCCAGGCTGGTCTTGAACTCCCGACCTCAGGTGATGCCACCCGCCTCGGCCTCCCGAAGTGCTGGGATTACAGGTGTGAGCCACCATGCCTGGTCACTCAGTACCTTTAAGAAGAATAGTTTTGCACTAAGCCAAAAAAAAAAAAAAAAAGGAAAAGGAAACAAAGAAAAAGTTGCCTACCAAAATTGACTGCAAGGGAAGATATAATAAATTATTCAACAAACACTTACTACTTGCCTACTATGTACTGGTGGGGGTGGGATGGAGGTATAAGACAGTTCCTGTTCTCATGTGCTTCATTTTGGTGGATAACTCATGTCAATCCCACAGACAGAAAGGCTACTGTCCCTAGAGCCTAAAGAGGCAAAGTACCTCTACCAAGGCAGTGAACGACAGTCAAGTTTGACCCTCAAAGATCAGCTGGGCCAGGTATAGAAGGTAAGCCCCATCACAGAGATATGGTGAGCCAGTAACAAGTGTAATCTACAGGAGTTTTACGTGGGGTAAGGTGAAATTAGGGGACAAATTGGTTGGGGATGCCCCATTCTTAAGGGGTTCCCCTGGTAAGCATAAGGGGGAATTCCCTTGAATATGGTAGTACCCTAACAATAAGTATAGGGGTTAGAGGGGAGAACACATCCCTGCTTGCTAGTAGGAGACTGGAAGGGCTTGGGGAATTCCTAAAAACTCCATTTACAGTGTAGGAGATCCCCTTCTGTTACTCAAAGTTCCCTTCTTACAGAGTATTCTGAGACATTTGTGATTAGTATCCCCTTGAGCTTTGTTTCTAATTTCCACCTTCTTTCAGGGCTCAGAGGAAGAAAACTGAATACATATACATACACACACACACACACACACACACACACACACACACATATATATAATGATAAATATATAAATACACAAGCATGCATACTCAATCACACACAAACACACACACATCACCCTGATACTGTTAGTTCAGTGGTCCTAGAATTTAAGTCATTTATTTGTACCACTTGACTCTAGTGTCATTCATTCCTAATTAGTCCATGTTTAAACATAACTTCAGATAGAAGACAATGAGGATTTTATAAAACATAAGGTAAGATATATGTCTGAGAAAAAGGCAGGTCTGACACAATTATGGATTTAAACGTTTTTGGTTGATTCTGGCACTATTAGCAAAAATAATACATAAATTTATATAGTGCCTACTATGTAGTAGGATACGAGATAAGAAGTAGCAAATATTTGAATTTAACAGTTTTTGAATGAAAACAAGCTTTAGAGCTGAAATAAAATTTTTTTTTTTTTCAGATGGAATCTCGCTCTGTCGCCCAGGCTGGAGTGCAATGGCATGATCTCAGCTCACTGCAACCTCCGCCTCTCTGGTTCAAGTGATTCTTCTACCTCAGCCTCCTGAGTAGCTGGGATTATAGGCGAGCGCCACCACACCTGGCTAATTTTTTGAATTTTTAGTAGAGACGGGGTTTCACCATGTTGGTCAGGCTGGTCTTGAACTCCAGACCTCATGATCCGCCCGTCTCGGCCCCCAAAGTGCTGGGATTACAGGCGTGAGCCACCGTGCCCAGCAAAATAAAAATTTTTAAGTCCATTTTCATTTCCCATCACCTTGATCCTAGATAAGTAATTAACTTCAGTAACTCTTCCCTCTTTTTATGGGGGTGGAGGCTGTGGTGATTAACATATAATAAATGTATTTATTTTCAAAATGCCTAGAATGAAAAAAAAACACGCATTAAAAACAGAGCACAAGTATTATTATGGCATTCTTCCATATGTGGCACATATTATACAGCCTCACTTGGCAGAGTTCTCTTATTTCTTAAGGGTACGAATTAGGTCAAGATCAGACTCCACTGTCTTAAGCTTCCCAGCAACTAAAACAAAGCAGGACAAAACAAACAAACAAACAAACAAAAACACCCTACAACTGTACCCACCTGAAGAACTATATCAGAATTTCAAGCTCTTGGTCACTGGTGGCCAGGTGACAATATGTTTATTACCGGAAAAATAACTCAAAGCCAAAATCCTTTTGTGGCAGGGTAGTACTGTCATTCTTTACATTAAAATTACATGTAATCTACAAGATAAAACCAATGTTTTTTGTTTGATATACAACACTGCTCATCAACAGGTACTAAAAATTACAATGAATGAAGTGAATGTTGCTTTGAATAAATGTATACAATTAATATGAGTCTGGATGTGGATTCATGTTAGTCCATTTAAAAAATATTAAGAAAAACGGTCTTTTATAATGTTTGAGAAGACTTGTTTATTTAAATATTTATTTATTTTTAAAAGACTAGTCAAGTGGAAGTGGGGAAAGAGTGGTACAACGGGCAACCAACTGTGAATAACCAATTGAGACAATTCACTACCTTGGGACCAGCCAAAGCTTGCTTTTTAAAGTAACCTTGAAATACATACCATATTCCATATTATACAAAGCTTTACATATTGCTCTTAGTTTTGAAATAGAAAAAGAACTTTTGAAGAGAATAAGAATCATAAAACTAGGTCTAAAAATTGTAACACCTGTTCTTCATAAAACATATATAACTTTATTTACATTAATACATTATTTAGGAGGTTCAAGCCTTTAACATAACCCTTCCCATTAATCTATAACTGTAAAGAGTTCATGTATATTTCTCATTTTCTGCACATATGTATTAATGTAAAAAATTTGTCCTGCCGTATTTTTTTTAGTCAACAATTATCTGGAGCATTTTATCAGTTCGTGATTCAACTTCTAATACATATGTCGCTTAAGAGTAAAAAGCCCCTCCATAACTTGAAAACATCTTTTTTTTCTTAACCTGAAATAGGCTTAAATTCTCACATTGTCAGATGAGTCTTAACACTTTAGTATTTGCTAAATTTAGCATATTAAAAATTTTTAAAAGGAGTATAAGGGCCCTAAATTGGAAAAAAAAACTCTACTACGATCATAACTGTGGGATTTCATTTCCAGTTCATTCTGTCAGAATCAATCTAAAGTCCATGTAATGTAAACAGTTCGAAAAAAGTCTTAAAAATGAATTGTTGACTTTAAACACACAATCTTCGGAGCCGCTCACAACGTCCGTAGAAGCAGACTCCTCCCCGCTCCTGGGGAAAACCCTGCCTAATATTTATAACGTTATGACATACTGTAATACTCACAAGGTGGTTGTAGAAGTATAAACACGACTGGAGTTATCTGATTGGCTGCTGGTGATGTAACACCCATGTCAATACTTCCCAGTGAACGCACGTGTTCGACCTTTTATTTAAATTTCCATTTCATCACAGCAATAAGACACTCGGGGCGGTGCATTTTCTGTGAAATGACTACTGTCCGGGGCCCGAGGTGCTGCCTCGCACAATGCATCAAAGGAGGTTGTGTCCGTGGTCGTAACCTCTTCGCGTGAAAGGCACCGCCTGGTCCAGTCTTTGTGAAGGAACAAAATAAGTTCACTTCCTTGGGCACCGCCACCCACCCTCAGCAAATGACAAGGCTGGAGCGCAGCTCCCACCGCACAGTTATTTGCAAAGTCCCAGGTGAACTCGTGGCGAGAGAAGGAAAATGCGCGTCCCGGGCGCGGGTAGGTGCGTGTGGGCAGCGGGGAGGCGGCCAGACCCTGACACTCGCCAGCTGTTTGTCCTCCGCGTAGCCCGGCCCCGGCCGCACACGCCCGCCCCCTCCCTGAGACCCCCAGCCCGCCGCCCGGCCTTTTGTCCCCAACCCCTCGGCCGACTTCCTTCCCCGCGGCCGCACCCCCGCCCCCAGGCCGGAGGCGCAGCCCAGCCCCTTTCCCGGTCCCCTGGCGCCCCCACCCCACCCCAGCCCAGCCCCAAGCCCAGCCCCCCTCCCCCAGCCCGGCCCCCACCCTTTCCCCCTCCAGCGGTTACTGCTACCCCGGTGCATTGTGGGCGCACGGTCCGTTGTTCATTTGCCATTCGACCTCCGCCAGGGCCTGGTCGGACGGAAACGCTCCGCCGGCTTTATTGTCGCTTCGTTATGTGGCGGAGCCGAGCAGTTTAGCGTGCCTCTCACCCTCAGCGCCTGCGAAGCCGGCGGCGGCGTCGGGACTCCTCGGCGCGCGGAGGAAGGATATCTGTGTGGAGGATCGGTGTGTGCGCGCGCGGCTTTAAAGAGGGGGCAGCGGAGGGTCTCCCCGCACTCCGCTGCTCAACTTCGAAGGCCTCGCTCGCTGCAGGCTCGCTCCTCACCTCTCCGCCGCCCGCCCCCTTCTCCGCGCGGGACGCTGCCCGGAGCGCGGCGGGGCGGGGGTGGAGGACGAGAGAGCGGTCGGAGGCGTCGGCCCGGCAGCGGCAGCGGCAGCGGACGCGTGCAGCAGACCCGGGAGCGAGCGCGAGCCGGGCTGCCGGGCGAGAGGGCGAGGCCGAGCCCCGCGAGACCGGAACGCCGGGGGCGGGGGCGAGACAGAGGGGGAGCCGCGGGGAGCGCGCGGGACGCGGCCCGAGGCCGTGCGCGAGCCGGGGCACCGGGCGGCGGCGGCGGCGGCGCGCGCCATGTCGTTCAGTGAAATGAACCGCAGGACGCTGGCGTTCCGAGGAGGCGGGTTGGTCACCGCTAGCGGCGGCGGCTCCACGAACAATAACGCTGGCGGGGAGGCCTCAGCTTGGCCTCCGCAGCCCCAGCCGAGACAGCCCCCGCCGCCAGCGCCGCCCGCGCTTCAGCCGCCTAATGGGCGGGGGGCCGACGAGGAAGTGGAATTGGAGGGCCTGGAGCCCCAAGACCTGGAGGCCTCCGCCGGGCCGGCCGCCGGCGCCGCCGAGGAAGCCAAGGAGTTGCTGCTCCCCCAAGACGCGGGCGGCCCCACCTCGCTTGGCGGTGGCGCGGGGGGCCCCCTGCTAGCGGAAAGGAACCGTCGGACTCTGGCCTTCCGAGGCGGCGGCGGCGGGGGTCTCGGCAACAATGGCAGTAGCCGCGGCCGCCCCGAGACCTCGGTGTGGCCCTTGAGGCATTTCAATGGGCGAGGGCCGGCGACTGTGGATCTGGAGCTGGACGCGCTGGAGGGGAAGGAGTTGATGCAGGACGGCGCGTCCCTGAGCGACAGCACCGAGGACGAGGAGGAGGGGGCGAGCCTGGGCGACGGCAGCGGGGCGGAAGGCGGCAGCTGCAGCAGCAGCAGGCGGTCGGGCGGCGATGGCGGGGACGAAGTGGAGGGCAGCGGTGTGGGAGCTGGCGAAGGAGAGACTGTCCAGCACTTCCCGCTCGCGCGGCCCAAGTCTCTAATGCAGAAGCTCCAATGCTCCTTCCAGACCTCCTGGCTCAAGGACTTTCCCTGGCTGCGCTATTCCAAGGATACTGGTCTTATGTCTTGCGGCTGGTGCCAAAAGACCCCTGCAGATGGGGGAAGCGTGGACCTTCCCCCAGTGGGGCATGATGAGCTTTCGCGAGGGACCCGCAACTACAAGAAAACCCTCCTCCTGAGGCACCACGTCTCTACCGAGCACAAACTCCACGAAGCCAACGCCCAGGTACAGTATATCCTGCTCCTACTTTTTTGAGATCTTTTAGGGAAAGGTTTATCAGCACTCCCTTCACCCCCACCCACCCCCGAAAAAAAACCTCAAAACCATTTTCCTGGGTGAAGACATCGTTCCAGTTGAGAGGTGCGGGAAGCTTAGGCGTGGGGGTTTAGAAAGCCTGGGAACAAGTTTTATAAAAGTTCTGTATGTGTTGTGGGGGGAAGGGGATGGAATGACAATTGTCGTGGCGCTGGATTTTCTTTTTTATGACTCATTTCTTATCAGATTGAATCAAAAAGAAAGTGAGGTTGAAGGTTTTAACCTAAAAGGCTGACTTTGCGGTAAAAAAATTTTATTAGCTGTGATTTTAGAGAAGCTGGTCTATGCTCACAGACGTTTAGTGTGCTGGTCGAAGTCAAATCGGGCAACTCTTTGAAGAATGGATTAAACAGTTTACCTTTAAGGCTACCCCTTTCAGGAAAACGTCCAGCCGAAAAAATTCTTTATATGAAATCAAAATAATGTCAAGTATGAGAGCAGTATGTAAATGTAGAGAATGCTATTTGGAATTCCTTGCTCTTGTGAATAATTTTACTAAATTAATCTCTGTTGAACTTTCTTACTACGGCTTGGTTTTGGTAAATTATTGTAGTTTTTACTTGTTTACTTTTACTCAGATTTTTGTGCTGAGATTTCTTTTTGTACTGTTCCTTTTCAGAAAGATTTTTAAATGCAGTTTCCAATAAGTACTTTAAGCTTAGCATTAGAAATGTTTAATGTGTAGTTATTTGTATCAAGTAGTGGATTTGGATTGGTAGGGAATTTATTTACCAAACACCGTGAAAGTGCTTACAAAACAAGTAAGCTGTATTTTAGTTCTTAGTCCTTGTTTTAACATTTCCAGTCTAAAGATAGTAAGCCTTACTATTTTGATAATCTGTGTTCAAGCCAAACAGATGTTGATCAGTCCTCCTTTTTGACTTTAAGGCAACCTGTGGTGGTGGATGGAATTCATTCTTTCGTATTGGTTAGCCAGTCGTTGATTTTATAAAGTTAGCTCTTAGTATTCTGTTTATTGGAATGATTCTGCCGTTCAGCACACTTACCCTGGGGTTAATTAGGCGCACCAGTAACCCCACAGACACAGCACCCATGTTTCTCAGAAGTTAGGGCTTTAACTTTAAAGCACAGGGTGATCCCCCGCCCCCGCCCCAGTGGACAATGTAGTAGGGTTTTTGTTGTTGTTTTGCACACATTTTAGTTGCCTAAGCCCTAGAAGGAAGGTCATTTAAAGATACAAGGCCGAGAAAGGTTAAGTAAATAGTCCTAAGAGTCTGGGGTGACCCAACTGAGACTAGAGCCTGTAAGGAATGTCGTAATGGAAAAAGAATGGATTTGGAGTAAATCTGGGTTCAGATCTCAGCTTTCTGCAATTAACTAGCTTTGTGAGCTTGGGCAATAGAGTGAAATGGAACTAACAGCTCCTGGTTTTCCGTGTGCCAAACACATTTATTCTGCAAAGTATTTATTTTTTGTTCCCATTTTACAGAAGAGGAATCTAAAGCCTTAAAGGGTTAAGTAACATTCCTGAAGTTATGTAGTAAGATGATGGAGTTGCAAGGGACTTGTGAAAATGAAAGTTTAATTTTCCAAATAGGGCTATGTTGGTTACTTAGAAAATTTTAAATGGGATGAATTTTCTTAATCGGCTGTGGACCAATTCCTCTTTATCAGCATAGTCTCTCCCTGTAGGCAAATCTGAATGGGAATGCAAATTATAATTAGCTCCTTTAGTGAACCTGAAATCAGAAGAAGGGGCATTAATTGGATAACCTTAAGGTAGCCTCAGCTTGAGTGTATTCTTCTCCTCTGGGTATGTATCTGCGTCTTGGAATTCCTAGGAAAAACCTTTCTAAACTTGACCCGAACTACGACTCTCTTCCTCATCACTCCTTTAAATTCCCCCATCAATGTAATCTGCAGGCCATCTCCTTTCTTTGGGACATTCTATACAATATACATATATTAAGGGCTACAGTTTTAGTAAGTCCTGTGTGTCCTAAGGTTATATATTGGTCTCCTTGATTGGATTTTGGGTGTTTTCACTTTGAATTGATCTTAATCATTTATTACTTTCATTATAACTAATCTTGAGGGGATATCTTGTTATCAACCCCCCAGGTACCACCTATATAAATACCTGTTTGTCTTAACATGAGTAACATGAGTAACAGGTTCCTGATCTCTTTTGGGCAGAGTGCAATCATTTTGTTTTTCGTTTTTCTTCAGTCTCCAATTACCTATAGGAGGCAGTATAACACAACACGTAATGTAAGCGCCTACTTGGGCTTAAGGTCAGAGGACTTTGCTCTTAAATCTCTACTTTTTAGGCAGGCAAATTAGTTAACTTCTAGTTTCGTTATGTATGCAAAGTATATGTGCCAGCATAAAACCACTTAGTGCCGTTATTTATTATCATTATTACCTTTTTGTTTTGTTTTTTTGAGACAGTGACTCTATTGCCCAGGCTGGAGTGCAGTGGTGAGATAAAGGCTCACTGCAGCCTCCTGGGCTCAGGCATCCTCCCGAGTAGCTAGAACTACAGGTGCGCGCCACCATTCCTGGCTAATTTTTAAGTTTTTTGTTGAAACGGGAGTCTCGCTATGTTGCCCAGGCTGGTCTCAACCTTTTGGGCTCAAGCAATTCTCCCACCTTGACCTCCCCAAAATGCTGGGATTACAGGTGTGAGCCACTGAGCCTGGCCGTTATTACTCATTTTGATCACCAATCAGTTCTCCTTTTTATACCTTCAGAGACTTTGTGGCCATCAGGTTCTTTGAACATTCTGAGCCTATTTCTCATACATGCAGTTTTTCTCAGCTTCACAAAGACACTCTTAATATCTTGTCTTAAAAACATGGAAATGAGAGTTTTAGAATTCTTTAGGCAAGAAATCACTTTGAGTCTAGGAGTACTAAACTCCTATTTTCCCAATTATTTCTCAAAGAGTCCCGTTTCTGAGAGGAATTTGGCCACATCTTAACACAGTCATGTACTGCATGACGTTCTCAAGGATGGACTGCATTTATGATAATGGTCCCATAAGATTATAGCGGAGCTGAAAAATTACTATCGCCTGGTGATAGCGTAAAGTTGTAGCGTACTTTGTTTTGTAATCCCAGCACTTTGCGGGGCCGAGGTGGGTGAATCACTTGAGGTCAGGAGTTCGAGACCAGCCTGACCAACATGGTGAGACCCTGTCTGTACTTAGTGTAGCCTAAGTGTACGGTGCTCATAAAATCTACAGCAGTGTATGGTAATGTCCTAGGCCTTTCATTCAGTCACCACTCACTGACTCACCCAGAGCAGCTTCCAGGTATGCCAGCTCTGTTCATGGTGAGTGCCCTATAAGGTGTGCCATATTTTTACTGTACCTTTTTCATGTTTAGATAGATTAGATACACAAATACTATTGTGTTACAGTTGCCTAAAGTATTCCTTACAGTAACATAGTGTACAGATTTGTAGTCTGGGAGCAATAGGCCCAACCATATAGCCTAGGTGTGTAGTAGGTTATACCATCTAGGTTTGTGTACGCTAAGGCACAGTGACAAAATCGATGCATCTCTCAGATCATATCCCTCTCGTTAAGTGATGCATAACTGTATGTCATGAAAGGTTACTTTCCTCTAAGTAAGAAAAGTATCTTTTTGTTAATCCCTTGGTAGTTACCAAAAAGTTAATCCTTCTGTTAATTGGACCTTGGTTATTGTGGACTGTTCATGGGAAAGTCTTTTAAAACATGCTTTCTGAGTCTGTGTTTTGAGCCTTCTATTTCCGAGGTGTCCCTGTATTTATAAGGATGTGAGGGACAATTAATAGTTTAATTTTGAGTAACAATTGACTACATCGTCAGAGTCAGGTTTAATGATTAGCTCATTCAGTATCTGACCATTTGGCCCAGAAGACTTTAAAATTCCTTAATAACAGTGATTACCAGTTATTCTTGGTTTAGACCACTTTCTACCTAATTGTGAAATTTTCATAGCCTAAATCACACATCCTGTCAACTCTTCCTGGGAGAAACATGCATCCAAATGTATTATTGTTGTAAATTTAGTTAACCTTTACAGAAACTAAGTAATGAATTCAGACCAGTGATCTGATTGAAATTTCCAGTTGGAATATATTGATGTCAGTAGCTGAGCAAACAAAAGAATGTAAGGCAGATCTATCAGCCTAATTTGTTTATGGCAGAAATAAGGGCGGAAGGTTGGTTGGTTGGTTACTTGGTTGGTTTTTAACACTTTAGGAAGAAAGTCTGAAAGACCTTTCACTGAGGAAAAATCGATTAGAGTTGAGCCTGTAGCCCATTAAATTCCGTTGTTTCTTATTTATATATTTTACATTATTTATAATTTATTCTTTGTGTTTTATTCAGTAACAGCTAGTTCATAGCCCTTGTGCTTTTCAAACTTGTTAGCAGTGTCTGACTGTATACCTTATTGTGTACCTAGGATTAGCTTCCTTCTCCATCTTAAATTTAGCTGTATTAGGTTGGCAAAGCACTGGAGATAAAAATCTGTATGTTTTGTTAACATTCATTCTCTCTGCCCTCAAGGAACTTGTAGTTTAGTAAGGAGAGACAGACATGACCGAAAAAAGACACAGATAACATGGTAGCAGTATATAATCAGGGTACATTGAAGAATTTTTTTTTTTTTGAGATGGGGTCTCACTTGTCACCCAGGCTGGAGTGCAGTGGTGTGATCTGGGCTCACTGCAACCTCCGCCTCCTGGGTTCAAGTGATTCTTCTGCCTCAACCTCCTGATTAGCTGGGACTACAGGCACATGCCACCATGCTAGGCTAATTTTTGTATTTCTAGTAGAGACGGGGTTTCAGTATGTTGGCCAGGATAGTCTCTATCTCCTGATCTCGTGATCTGCCCACCTCGGCCTCCGAGAGTGCTGGGATTACAGGCGTGAGTCACGCACCCGGCCTGAAGATTCTTAAGGGAGTGATCAGTTCTACCTGCAAAGGTTGGAAGAAGCTTGTACAACTGATTCTTGAATTTTAATTGCATTTAATTAATAGGTGTTGACCAGGATGGGGAGGGCATTTAGGCAGTGCAATTAGAAACAGCCTAAGGAGGAGCCAGGCGCAGTGAGTGGTTCATGCCTGTAATCCCAGCACTTTGGGAGGCCGAGGTGGGTGGATCACTTGAGGTCAGGACTTCGAGACCAGCCTGGCCAACATGGTGAAACCCCGTCTCTACTGAAAATACAAAAATAAGCCAGGCGTGGTGGCAGGTGCCTGTAATCCCAGCTACTTGGGAGGCTGAGGCAGGAGAATCACTTGAACCTAGCAGGCACCCCACTGCACTCCAACTGGGGCGACAAGCAAGACTGTGCCTCAAAACGCGCGCGCGCGCGCACACACACACACACACACACACACACACACACACACAGCCTGAGGAAAGTGAAGAATGGTATCTTAGAGAAGGGAGAGTTTGGTTGCTGTGCAGGATGAAAAATCAAGTTTGAATAGATAGACTGGAGGTCATGGAGGATCTCTTGTCATGCTGAAAACATTAAATTTTATTGTCTTAACAAATGGGCAACAATAGCAGTTTTAAGCAGGGGAGAATCATTATCAAATGTGTATGTGTTTCAATCTAGAGGCACCTGCGTAGTGTGTATGTGGGTTTAGAGTTTGAGGAGAGAACTGGTTGGCAGGATGTTATAATAACCTGAATAGGCCGGGCGCGGTGGCTCAGGCCTGTAATCCCAGCACTTCGGGAGGCCGAGGGGGATGGATCATCTGAGGTCGGGAGTTCGAGACCAACCTGACCAACATGGAGAAACCCCGTCTCTAATTTAAAAACAAAACAAAAAAAAAAAACCGAGCCGGGCGTGGTGGCGCATGCCTGTAATCCCAGCTACTCGGGAGGCTGAGGCAGGAGAATCGCTTCAACGCAGAAGGCAGAGGTTGTGGTGAGCCGAGATCGCGCCCTTGTGCTTGGACAACAAGAGCGAAACTTCGTCTCAAAAATAAAAAATAAAAAATAACCTGAATAACCATCGTCTGTCTGCTCCCTAACACTCACAGGATTAGAATTTCTGGGGATAGTACTTAAGCTACCAAAGAGGATGCCATCACTCAGAGATATAGAGGTGATCAGAAAACTGCAAAAGAGACCTTCTTGTCTTTTTCTCTACCAACTGTTATGATTTGTCATTGCCACTAGCATGTATTTGGCAAAACTTGCTATGGCCTTGTTTGTCTTCCTTCTATAAAATGAATTTGTTCTAAAATTTGGAAATAGAAATTACTGTTTTTGTTCTTTCAGTATATTCCAGTGGGTTGCTGCAGAGTAATATTTTTATGTTTTCAATGCTTTTAGTTTACACTTAAATGTTTGTGTTGGAAATGTCTTTTCTGCTAATTCAGTTATTGGAAAAGGGCTGTAATTGAGTAGGGTAGTAAATACTAATTGCTTGTTTCTTTAACTGAATAACATTTTCCTATTGTTAACGGATTGACTACAGGTGTGCTGTTTGACTTTCTATTACTTGTAACTGAAGTTAGCCTCTCTTCCTCTACCCCCGCAAAAGTGTAGGAGACTGGGTGATGGTCTTGTATTCTCTACAAGTTGGTGGCGTTGTTTAGGCCCCAAGCTGGAATGCTGATGACCCTATGATTCTCTCCCTCCACCCTTTACATCTGTTTTATCATGCAAGTTCTGATGATTTTTAGACTATTTTTCTAGGCTCTGCTTCACACCTCATTGACACCTATCTTCCCTAATTAAGGTCTTTTTTTTCTGGCATGTATGTTGCCCTATTAACAGTAGCTTTCCAGAGGGTACATGGCTCACACCTGTAAACTTAGCACTCTGGGAGGCCAAAGCAGGAGGATTGCTTGAGCCCAGGAGTTTGAGACAAGCCTGGGCAACACAGGGAGACTCTTATCTCTACAAAAATTTAAAAAAATAAAATAACTGGGCGTGGTGGCACACATCTTATAGTCCCAGCTACTTGGGAGACTGAGACAGGAGGATCCCTTGAACCCAGGAGGTTGAGGGTACAATAAGCCATGATCTAACCACTGCACTCCAGCCTGGGTGACAGAGTGACACTGTCTCAAAAAAAAAAAAAAAAAAAGGAAAAATAGCTTTCCAACTGATCACAGTATCTGCAGTCTTCATTCCCTGATAATAAATCTCCACCTTGCTGCCATAGGCATCTCTCCTCTTTGCTATTTCGATTATATCACTGCTTCTGAAAACTCTGTAAGGTGCCTATAGCAATGGTTCTAATATTTGGGAGGGAGAAGGGGATTCAAATCTCTCTCTCTCTTTTTTTTTTTTTTTAAGGAGATAGGGTTTCTCTATGTTGACTGGGCTGGTCTTGAACTCCTGGCTACCAGCCATCCTGTCGCCTTCCAAAGTGCTGAGATTACATGGCGCTCTTGTCAAAATGGATGGACATTTACCTCTGAAATGTGCCCAAGTGCATATTTGCATTCCGTAGGGCTTTTTAGAAAATCACATTGAAGTTCTTTTACAAATCTTAACTTTTGAGGATGCTATAGACCATCTTATGTTTTTTTAAAATGCTGGGTTTTTGTTTTGTTGTTTTTTTTTTTTTTAAATGCCGTCGCATTTACTTGAAGTGCTCATCCACCCATCCCACTCTTGGATCCTTTAAAGCTCTGCTCAGGTCTTGTTTCTTCGAAAAAGCATCCCCACACTTTAAAAACAAAAAACTGGATTAGATACACATGCTTTCTGCTCTTATAACACCTTAAGAGTCTTACCCACTAACAGTAACTTCAAATTAGCAACTGAATCATTTTGCTTCCTAGTGTAGACCCTGGCCAAAGTAGGTATTCATTTAATGTTTATTAAATAAATATGTAAAGTTAGGACTTTTCAAGCATTTTCCTTTGAGTAAAATATTTACTATTTTGTAGCCTATGTTCTGGAAATATTGAACATCTAGATAATAGGTTATAAGGATTTTAACTAACTGGACACTTACCTATATTTTCTAAATTTTGGAAGACTTGATATTGAGGTCTCATCCAGACTAAAGTTTTACTAAATGGCATCTTTACAAATAAAAAAATTCAAGATTTCATATTTAGCTCTGAATGTCTGTTTCTTTAAAATCTCCTTGTTTAGCCAGTTTAGACTAATGTCTGAGCTAATTGTGTTTTCCTTTTTGGGAGAGAGGTTAGAAAAGGTCACTACATTTGAAAAGACCAGTTGTGGAAATAGTAATTTTTTTTAACTTATCAGTGATATCTGATGTTATCAGTATACTAAAAGTGGACATAGAACGTTAAAGAAGGAACCAAAGAGGCAAAGATACCTGGAGTTATTAGGGACCTATTTTGAGATTTTGTCTCTGGCACTAAGAATTTATTAATTTATTGAGTTTAGCAAATGATATTGGCAGTTTATTTTAGTGCTTTGTGCTTATTTAGCTCTTTAACCCAAATCCTCTAATAATGATCTCCTTAGAGAGTACACATACTCTTGGAAATGATTCATTTTTTTTGAAGGTCATATTTATTTATGTGGTTTCTTTTTTTTTTTTTTTTGAAGGGCATATTTAATAGCTGCTGCAAACATATGGAATAGTGCTTTAATCAGTGGTGAACAAGAAATTGCTGTTGTTGGTTATAAAAACAAGGGACATTAATGTTCTTGTTCTTGTACCATAGTAATGAGAAAAAAAAATAGTGGTTGAATGGTGTTTAATTTGTACAGTTTGTGTCAAAGTAGAATGGGCAGATATTTTGGTGGATAGGCTTTTGTCTTAGTTATAAAAATTAGGACATTTGGTATGATAAAGGCAGAGAATCTTAACAATTGGCACTGGCCCAGAAAATTCAGGGTGCAGTGACCATAGCGTGTTATGACTGCTACAGTAGGCATAGCCACCTCCTGAAGTGTTTTCAACTGCTTGATATACGGACTTTAGGCAGTTCTTGACTTGTACATGCTAATTCACTGCTTCCACAAACAGTTCATAGATATATGCTGCCAGATATTTAGTGTTGAAAACTTTTGCTTCTTCCAAATATTCATACAATATTCATGCTTTTACTATAATATATAGTAGATTGAACACTGAACCAAATGAGCTTGGGTTCAGGTACAGCTTGTGTAACAAAGCTTTTAGTGTTGGGCCTGTATCAAAGCAAGATTCTTCCCCCTTATTTGTAATTTCTATAGAGAGCATAGGCAAATTAATAAAATTTACTCAGTCTCAAAAGGGAAACCAAGTAAACAGAATGATGCTTTTGTGGAAAGTTACACTGTCCAAGTAATTGTTACAGGTGTTTTTAGTATCATTCTTTACATTTTCACACAAGTCCTAAATTGTTCATTCCTCTTTGCTACATGATACGAAATTTCACAACATACTGGTTTTTTTTTTCTTTTAACCAAATATTTGCAGTAATCCAATACAACATACTGGTTTAATACAAGAGCTTAGGTTAAATAAGTCTCATTATTACCTTATTTCCTTTCTCCAGTTCCCCAAAAACAAAAATAAGGGTATTACTCATGAATGGACTTGTTTTGATTCCTCTATCCGTGACTTAACAGTTTTTGCAGAATTGGATCTTTTGGTAGGAGGAGAAAATAGCTAATTTAGAGCATGGAACATTATTATATGGTGGGGGGGGGCATGGGTGGGAGTTTTTTGGTATAAGGGCTTTATGCACTTGGCACAAGAAGGGTATGGGAAGGTTGCCAAGGATCAGTCAAAAATGAGGAAATTTCTCTACTTTGTGTGCTTCATTCTGTAGTGATCATATACTCCAGATTCGTAGAGTTTTTCATACTATTCCATTTTCACAGTGAAACAGTTGAAGTGTGTCCTGGAATCTTTTTTTTTTTTTTTTTTTTTTTGAGACAGGTCTCAGTCTGTTGCCCAGACTGGAGTGCAGTGGCATGATCTTGGCTCACCACAACCTCTGCCTCAGCCTCCCAAGTAGCTGACATTACAGGCGTGCCCCACTACTGCCCAGCTAATGTTTGTATTTTTAGTAGAGACGGGGTTTCACCACATTGGCCAGGCTGGTCTTGAACTCCTGACCTCAAATGATCTACCCACCTCAGCCTTTCAGTGCTGGGATTACAGGCGTGAGCCACCATGCCTGGCCATGTCCTGGAATATTATTTGGGTTCTTTCAGTTGACTTCTCATACCTGGGAGCAGCACTATAATTTTTAGATGGACTGGGTTAGTTTCAGAGAATTGAGATGACAGCGTCTGTGGCCTCCTGTGACATGCACCCAAGTAAAGCTAAAATTTTTATGATTTAGCCATGCACATGATTGCATTAAGTCATGTTTCGTGATTGTTTAGGGATCCACCATTTAGGATATTGTTTGTGAGACTACTTTTGCAGTCTCGTCATCTCTACACCACTAACTCTCTTCTAAGCATGTCAGTACTTTGAGCCTGTTTACACTCTAGTGTTTATTTCTCCATGTTTTTCTCCATGCTCGTAAAATCATAGATCCATACATATGTGTATATATTTTATTATTTTATAGAAATGGTCTATGTTTAACTTAATATTTTGTGCCAAAGAATTGACACTTGAATAAGGTCAGTATTTTCAGTTATCTTTTCTACTAGAAATGGTCTAAGCAATTTTTCTCTTGGGAAAGAGATGATTACTTCATTTGTTTAGCAAAGTGTGGCAGGCACTAATCAAAGTGCTGGAGGGATATTCAGCTCTGCCTTGAGGGAGCTTACCCACCTAGTCACTGTATGAGGAAAGTCATAAAGTTTTAACTAACATTTGTAATACTGACTTATCGTTTAAGGAAAAGGCTCAGGGATAGTGACTTTCCAAGGACACGCAGTTAATGGCTGATACAGACAGCATTCTGAATTCTGGATCATACTTTTATTCTTACGATTATATCACATAATTTTAATTGTGACGCCAAGTAGAACTATAATGAATACCTGTATGATAAGAAGCAAAATTTATAAACATTTAGAATTTTGAATTCAGGAATTTTAATTTACCTTACAGTTTATAGTACTTATGACCCTAAAGAGATAAAGCGTTTTGAAAGTTGATAGGAAATTATATAACTAGATATTCCTATAGTTGAAGCAAATTTTCCCCTTAGGGTCTTACCTTTATCTCTAGTTAGATTTAATTAACTTCATTGACCTAAACTGTTTGATTTTAATGTTTGCCAAGACTTAAAATTTACCTTTTTATTAATGGTAGATAGGGTGATATGCCTAGCATAAAATATAACTTGGATATTTTAAGTTCAATCGGGGGAGACTGTTGCTTTTCTATAGAGATAAAGCAAACATTTAATTCCTATAAGAGAAAGTTTCTTTTCTTAAGAAAATAATTGCTCTTTTTAATTTTAATTTTAAGAAATTCTCAATTCATGTTCTTAGCTTATATTTGAAACATATAACATGATGAATGTTATTTTTAAAATGAAACCCTGCTGATCTTCAGTCAGATGTGTTTGATTTTTTTCTTTTTTAATAATAGCAGTGGGTTGCACCACCACTGTTCACTCCATTTCTTGATTACTCACAAATTAATATATTTGATTATCGCTTTTTAAAAACTTGATAATTGTTTTCCTTGGTTTGGGAGTTTTTAAAAAAGTCAATAAAGTTTAATATTAATGTTTTTTATCCAATTACAGGAGTCAGAAATACCATCAGAGGAGGGGTACTGTGACTTTAATAGTAGGCCAAATGAGAACTCTTATTGCTATCAACTTCTGCGACAACTAAATGAACAGAGAAAGAAAGGTATTCTTTGTGATGTCAGCATTGTGGTAAGCGGAAAAATCTTCAAAGCTCATAAGAACATCCTGGTTGCAGGCAGCCGTTTCTTTAAGACTTTATATTGCTTTTCAAACAAAGAAAGCCCTAACCAAAACAATACTACCCACTTAGATATTGCTGCAGTTCAAGGTTTTTCAGTCATCTTGGACTTCTTGTATTCTGGTAACCTGGTGCTCACAAGCCAAAATGCCATTGAAGTTATGACCGTGGCCAGCTATCTTCAAATGAGTGAAGTTGTTCAAACTTGCCGAAATTTCATTAAAGATGCCTTAAATATAAGCATTAAATCAGAAGCTCCAGAGTCTGTAGTTGTGGACTATAATAATAGAAAACCAGTTAATAGAGATGGTCTGTCTTCATCACGGGATCAAAAAATTGCCAGTTTTTGGGCAACACGGAATCTTACCAATTTGGCAAGTAATGTAAAGATTGAAAATGATGGTTGTAATGTCGACGAGGGCCAAATAGAAAACTACCAAATGAATGACAGTAGTTGGGTCCAGGATGGATCTCCTGAAATGGCTGAAAATGAATCTGAAGGTCAAACAAAAGTGTTTATTTGGAATAATATGGGCTCCCAGGGAATTCAAGAGACTGGCAAAACAAGGAGGAAAAACCAAACTACAAAAAGATTTATTTATAATATTCCACCTAATAATGAAACGAATTTAGAAGATTGCTCAGTAATGCAGCCACCTGTTGCCTATCCAGAAGAAAATACACTACTCATCAAGGAAGAACCAGGTAAATATTATCTATACAAGGATACTTCCTTGTTCATCCTAATTCTAGTTGGATATAATCTTGAAGTATATTTTTAATTGAATTATTTTAGTTATAAAGTAATACTAAAGTTGTTTACAAAAGAAGGGGGAACGTCATTCAAATGCATAACATATTTGGTATATTTTCTTTGTCTTTTTTCAACACATATATATGTGGGTTTATCAAAAGATGTATTAATAGCCAGGTATTGCATATATTGTCAAGGAACGTGGACTCTGCTGCATGTACGGGTCTTTGACTTTCCTCATTTTTAGCCTCTGTGCTCACTATTTTATACCCAGTGTTGGGAAAGATAGAATCTTTAGTTGTAATATATAATCACTGTCGTTTCAGAGACCCCCTTAACCTTTTTTATTTTATTTTTGGCTGTTAAAACATATTTAAGTGTTTCAAAGAATTTTGCCAATTATGAGATTATGGTATTCTAGTTTGTTTAGGGCTACTGTTCTTCTGTTATTTTTTGTTTATTTATTTTTTTGAGTCGGAGTCTCACTCTATAGCCCAGGCTGGAGTCTCACTGCAAACTCCGCCTCCCAGGTTCAAACGATTCTCCTGCCTCAGCCTCCTGAGTAGCTGGGACTGCAGGTGCGTGCCACCACACCCAGCTAATTTTGTATTTTTAGTAGAGATGGGGTTTCACCATGTTGTCCAGGCTGGTATGGAACCCCTGACCTCAGGTGATCTGCTTGCCTCGGCCTCCCAAAGTGCTGGGATTACAGACATGAGCCACCACACCTGGCCTAGAGCAGGTACTGTTCTGTTCTCACCATAGAAGCTATTTTGTTTGTCCACTGTCACCTGATTTTCATTCACCTTTGCATTCATTGCAAAGCCTCTGAGGCCTTTCTCTTCAATATATTTCTCTCCAAAAGTTCCGTAGGAATCTTAGAGAATCACATTTACAGTGGGAATTTTTTTAAAACGAGAAGACCATTGTTAAGTCTTTAGTTTAATCTGGCTGTGCATATCTTTATTTGAAGAAGCTCAGTGGGTTTGAGGTTTCCTATGCATGCCTGAGGCTTGTCCACCACTGTCATACATTATTTAATGCTTGTTTTTTTCACTTCAAAGCACTGTAACTGTTCAGTGTCTGATTTATACGATGGTGGTCATCTGAGGATGGAGTATTTTCTGTTAAAGGAATCACTGTTTTTAGTTGCCAGAGGGCAAAATGCCATAGTAATCCTGTGAAATGTTCCTCTGGCTTTTTAGATTTGGGTTAGCTTTCAGTGATAGGAATTTTGTGTATGTATGTGTGTGTGTGTGTGTGAAATTTTTACTGTGTGAAAAATCAAGTGTGTATATATAACGAATACTATATATCTTTTTCCTTGTACTTTATATCAAGTTTTAACAATAAAATCCCTGAGACAATTTAGTTAAATGAAGTATTAAGGGTAGATAGACTCCTTAGCTAGCACTTTGTTTTGTCTTAATGTAGAAGACCTTGACAGATTTCTCATTAGAGCTACGTTGTCTTTGTGCTGTATGGATTATTTCTGTTTAACAGTATGGTGGGAACCCTGTAGTGTTTTTAAATACACACACTTTTCCTTAAAGGAATAAATAACATCTTTTGGGTGTAGCGGTTGTTTGATGGTAACTAGTCAGCAGTAACCTCATTTAAAAAATTAATGCCACATATAATTGGAGTGATTTAAAGAAAAGCATTAATAATGAACCACAATGCATACTTTCAAAGATGACATTACTAGCAATTTTTATCAAGTATCTCCTAGCCATGGTTGTGTTAATGGACTAGTTCTATTATAAATTAATTGGTGGTCTAATATGCTTTATCTCTTACATCTGTTTTGTTTGTTTGTTTTTAAACGGAGTCTCACTCTGTTGCCCAGGCTGGAGTGCAGTGGCACAGTCTTGGTTCACTGCAACCACTGCCTCCTGGGTTCAAGCGATTCTCCTACCTCAGCCTCCCAAGTAGCTGGGATTACAGGCACATGCCACCACACCTGGCTAATTTTTTTATTATTACTAGAGACGGGGGTCTCACCATGTTGGCCAAGCTGGTCTCGAACTCGTGACCTCAAGTCCACCCACCTTGGCCTCCCAACATGTTGGGATTACATGGGTGAGCCACCGTGCCCAGCCGTCTCTTAAAAAGGATTATTTTCATTTCATTGATACCAGTTTGGTATCCGAACCTTGCTTAACTCACAAATTTGGTTCTATCCATGCCACCAGTGTTATTTGGTGGAAAAAATAAATGGGTCTCAAAAGAGCATTATGGTTAGGGTATATAATATGATATAGAACCAAGGACTGGTAAATTTTTACTGTAAAGGGCTAAAACAGTAAAAAAAAAAAAGACTTTCACCTTTGTTGGTCATAAAAGTCAGCTCATCAACTCTGCCACTTGTGACATGAAAGCAGTCATTTGTACTATGTAAACAAATGAAGGTAGGTGTGTTCCAGTAAAACTTGCCAACCCTTCGTATATAGCAGTGGTTCTTAATCATGGGTATGCACGTTGGTATCACTTGGGAGCATTACATGCCGTAAAGGGTCTCTCTTCTGTGGATTCCAATTTAATTGGTATGGAATGTGGTTTGGATGTGGAATTTTTTTTAAAGTTCTACAGGTAATTTTATGAGTTAAGGCTGAGATCAGCAAATATTACTATATTGGAAAGAGCCTAAATTGAGTCAAACATAATGAATTTAAAATTTAAAAATAAGCTGTGCCACCTACCCCCTGTAGTCCATGATCAAATTAAGCTCTTGTCCTCAGTTTCCTCATTAAAATATTGTGTTGATTTTATAGAATTATTATGAAAATGAAGTGACAAATATGAAATAACTCTTGGTCATGGCAATCCTCCTTAAACTTGGAAAAGACTATTGAGGTTATTCATATCAGTTTTCCGGTGCTGTGTACTTTCTACCAAATGCCAGATAGATGGTCTTAGCCTCAGCTTGATTTTTTGACTGCTTGTAAAGACTTCCCTAAGCAGCTTCCAGTGTAGGATGACTGATTATTAGGTAGTCATTTTAAATGTAGCCAAAATTTGCTTCTCTATAACTTCCTAATTCTGTCGTTGGGAATAGTGTAATTTATTATTTATTTATTTATTTATTTATTTATGTTTTTTGAGAGACAGAGTCTCCCTGTGTCACCAAGGCTGGAGTGCAGTTGCATGATTTTGGCTCACTGAAACCTCCGCCTCCCAGATTCAAGCGTTCTCCTGCCTCAGCTTCCCAGGTAGCTGGGACTACTGGCGTGCACCACTGCACCCAGCTAATTTTTGTATTTTGTATTTTTAGTAGAGGGTTTCACTATATGTTGGCCAGGCTGGTCTCAAAAACTCCTGACCACAAGTGATCTGCCCACTTTGGCCTCCCAAAGTGCTGGGAATACAGGCGTGAGCCACTGCGCTCTGCCTGGAATAGTATAATTTAAACCTAACCTAATTCCTCTAATCTACCTGATAACCCTTCAAATGTTAGACGTTTAAAGAGTCCTGTTTTTGTAGGCTATGTGCTCTTCTGCCCATCTTGTGATGAATACACACAATTTACTCTTTCCAGGCAAGTTCTGACCAATATAGAACATAGCCTGTGTTTACCAACGTTAAGGCCTTCCCAAGGTCATTCAGCTAGTAAGAGTAGAAAGAGGCAGGTTGCATATTTAGGACTATGCTGCATGAAAACCTTGAAATTAACTACTAAAGTAGTAGATTCCTATCTTTTTTAAAAAATTAGTTCCTTTTAACTTTAAAATATTTTTATGATCCCCTTCATCATTAGTTATGCTTTAATTTCCATTTATTGAGAAAACAGTTGTCCATGAAATAAATGCTTTTAAATAAATTTGAAGTTCTATAGCAAACATCTGAAAAGTCTTAGTGAATTGTTCAATCTGCAAACAATGCTTGGCATGTTTGGATTTGGCGGGGGTCTCTTCTAGTTACTGTGTCTTCCCTCAGGTCTTCAGCACAGAGTTTGTAAGATACAGTTCTAATAACGCTGTCTTGTATAATGTTGAAGCTTTTGTTTGGGTGCCTTTTAAAGATTGAGATAAGAAGGTGTACCCATAGCTGCAGGGTTTTTATTCAGATGGTATTTTTTTATCTTGAAATTAACATATTTGTTGTTTGACTCACTACAGAGTCATATTTGTTGTTTGACTTCACTTCAGATCATTTCTTTTACACAAGAATACTTTGAAGGTAGAACTCAGAAAAGTTAGAAATTTCTGTCCTAAGAGAATATGCACATACTGGGATTATGGAATAATTAAAACTGTCAGCAAAAACTAAAATCTGGGTAATCAAATAAGGGTAAAAATGATGTCGTGAGTGAATTGCTCTGATAATGTAAAAATTTCAAAATCCTTGTCTTGCTGATTTGCAACCAGGAAACATTAAATTTTAGCCAAATAAAGTAGATAACCTGAGATTAGAAATTGAATTACAGAAGTACAGATAACTAGTGCCTAAATTTGTTTTACAACGTGTATTCACACATGTTGTGTCCCGTTTAACTAGAACAAGTCAGGTGTTAATCTGATTTTTTAAAATCACTTTATTTTGCGGGCTCATGGAACATGGTTTTCTGAGCCTAGATTTTTAAATTTATACCTGTCATACTAGCAACTTCTACCTATTATAAATAATTTTACTCTGTATGTACGTTGCATGCATACATACCTTATTTTGAAATGACAAAAGAAACAAATTAGCAAAATAAAGTAAAATTGGCAAAGAAGTTAAGAGTGCTCATCATGGATATAAATGTGGTTGCCCTAATTAAGCTTTTAATTGGCTCTAAGATACAAAACAGCCTTACTCAAAAGAGAAAAACATACCAGTTCTACCAGGATGACAAACTTCCTGGTACTGACTTCTGAAAGGAATTTCTCCAGTGGGATTTTTTTATGTAGTTGACACCAAGTAATATAATGGACAGTTTCCTTAGATGTTTTCTAGTAAATGCAGCAGTCGATTATTATATTTTTAATCTTTGCCACAAGCTGATGTAGTTCTATGTAAATGATTTTTTTTCCTTATGCCATACGAATACTCAAATGTAAGGTAATTTTAGTTGATTAAAAGATAAAGTTTAGAATTCTTTTAAATAACCTGGAAGTTTCTTTCACCTAGACTTATGATGGAAAAATAGTTTTGCAGCATTTTTAGGTTTGCGTTAATCCTTACAAGTAGAGTTGAAATCAGGTTTAAGCTTTGCACTTATTTGTGTAATTGCTTTTTTGGTAAAAAAGCATACAATTTGGTACTTTGAAAACTATTTTGAGAAAAGAATATCCAAACTAGATAGATATAAGAAATCGTAATAAGGCATATATTTGAGGCAGAGTCTTGCTCTGTCACCCAGGCGGAGTGCAGTGTCATGATCATGGCTTACAGAAACCTCAACCTCCTGGGCTCATGTGATTCTCCCGCCTCACTCTCCCGCAATCAGCCACACAGAGTACTTGGAACTACAGGTGGGCGTGCACCACTATGCCTGGCTAATTTTTTTTTTTTTTTTTTTTTTTTAAGTAAAGGTGAAGTCTCGCTTTGTTGCCAAGGAGACTGGTCTCAGGCTCAAGGGATCCTCCAGCCTCACTTCCCAAAGTGCTGGGATTACAGCCTTGAGCCACTGTGTCCAGTCTAAAATATGTTTCAAAACCATGGGACATGGCTTTGGTGAAGGAGACTTGGGCTTTAGATTCAGTTTTGCCACAATGCTAGCCTTGAGTGTATCCCAGACAGCCTCCCTAATGGGAAAGAAGTAAAATTTCTACCTTAAAATTCTGAAATCTTAATAGTTCTGAGGACCCAAAGCTTTTTCTTAATCATTTTGGCAACAAATCAGCTATTTATATTTTTTTACTTCCTTAAATGTGAATATTCATGGGTTTTTTTTCTTTTTTTCTTTTTTCTTTTTTTGAGATAGAGTTTCACTCTTGTTGCCCAGGCTGGAGTGCAGTGGCGTGATCTTGGCTCACTGCAACCTCACCTCCAGGGCTCAAGCAATTCTCCTGCCTCAGCCTCCCGAGTAGCTGGGATTACAGGCATGTGCCACCATGTCTGGCCAATTTTGTATTTTTAGTAGAGACGAGACGGGTTTTTTTCATGTTGGTGAGGCTGGTCTTGAACTCCTGACCTCAGGTGATCCACCCCCCCCCCAACCCCCGCCTCAGCCTCCCAAAGCGCTGGGATTGCAGGCGTGAGCCAGCACGCCCTGCAAATATTCATGTTTTATTGTATAAATATTAGTGTTTTGTATAAATATTCATGTTTTCATTATAGGGTGCTACTCCAGACCCCACATGGGGTGTTACAGTCATAGCTATAAAATCTGAAAAATTCTGCATTCTAAATCTTACCCCAAGGGTCTCACGTAACAGATTTATGGATCTGAATTAGTTTTTATTCTCTTAGGAGATTCCGAGTGTTTTGCTAAACCTCTTAGGCATCCTATGGAGTATGCTATGAAGGATGAGATGCAAGTCAGAATTTAATTTCATTTTTCATTAGCAACTTGGGGGGGTTCTAATAATTAGGGGGAGGGTGCTGAAGGCCAGATGCTTACTTATGTATTTATTTATTTTATTTTATTAAGAGACAAGATCTCCCTCTGAGGCCGGGTGCAGTGGCTCGCGCCTGTAATCCCAGCACTTTGGGAGGCCGAGGCAGGTGGATCACGAGGGCAAGAGATCGAGATCATCCTGGCCAACATGGTGAAACCCCATCTCTACTAAAAATACAAAAATTAGCTGGGTGTGGTGGCGCGCGCCTGTAATCCCAGCTACTCGGGAGGCTGAGGCAGGAGAATCACTTTAACCCGGGAGGCAGAGGTTGCAGTGAGCCAAGACCATGCCACTGCACTCCAGCTGGGTGACAGAGCGAGACTCAGTCTCAAAAGAAGAAAAGAAAAAAAAAACAGCTGGGCACGGTGGCTCACGCCTGTAATCCCAGCACTTTGGGAGGCCGAGGCGGGTGGTTCACAAGGTCAGGAGATCGAGACCATCCTGGCTAACACAGTGAAACCCCGTCTCTACTAAAAATACAAAAAAAAATTAGCCAGGCATGGTGGCGGGCACATGTAGTCCCAGCTACTTGGGGGGCTGAGGCAGGAGAATGGCTTGAACCCGGGAGCAGAGGTTGCAGTGAGCTGAGATCGCGCCACTGCACTCCAGCCTGGGGCACAGAGCCAGACTCCATCTCAAAAAAAAAATCTCCCTCTGTCACCCAGGCTGGAGTGCAGTGATCATAGCTCACTGCAGCCTCAAATCCCTGGGCTCAAGTGATCCTCCTGCCTCAGCCTCCTGAGTACCTGGGCACACCTACAGGCATGGGCCACCACTCTTGGCTAATTTTTTTTAGATTTTTAAAATAGAGACAGGGTCTCGTTATGTTGCCCACACTGGTGTCCAGCTCTTGGGCTCAACTCTCCTCCTGCCTCAGCCTCCCAGAGTGCTGGGGTTGCAGGCATGAGCCACTGTACCCAGCCCTGATGCTTATTTTTAAAAATAAATAATAGTTAATGAGTTATATGATATACTAATGCATAAGAATCTTCAGTATTTAATTTTAAAAGATGGTAGTAGGCAACCATATGGTAGGTGAAATAGTAGTCTGCCACTGTTTCCCCTTTTGCTGTGCTTACTGTTGCTTTCCTTCCCTGTATCATACTTGACCCAAGAAGTGGCTACACTGTTGATTATTACCTGTAAGTTAGAAACTCTTTAAGTGGTCAGAATAAAGCTGAAGAGCTGAAGAAGTCTTATGTGGGTCAGTTAAGGCATTTTTGTGACTTCTTCCTGCTGAAGGTGTTAAGTTGTCTAAACCATATAAATGCCAGTCCCTGAAAGTTTTTTATAGAACTGAATTTTTGGTTTCTGATACAGACTTAATATATAGTAGGGTGACCAGATAGTGTAAATTTTCATTCAAAGCTTTACTCTTCAGAAATGTTATAACTTTCTGGGAACTCCAAAATAGCTTTCCACATATAATAGGAAATTTGGAAACGTTTTTATTTAAAATCTAAAGACACTGAGCAATAGGCCACATAATGTCAAGATTGAGGAGTCCCTTATGCGGAACTTATTCACAATAGGGTGACTGTGGGGTAGAAACATACTCAGTGCCATGTGATAAATGTTAAAATTAGATTATTTAAGATGCATGACGGGGTGCAGTGGAACAGTCCTAACTGCCCAGAGGAGTTGGGAAAGCTTCATAGAGAAGGCAGTGTGAGTGGATCTTTTGTTATGTAGGAGTTTGCTAGGAGGGGAAGAAGAGCATTCGTTGACTTGCAAGATGGGAAGAAATTGGAATAAGTGGGTCGAAGAATAGAAAAGGGGTAGTGTTGTGGGGACATCTCCAATTTCCTACTACCTTGTCTATAGGTATAACTAGTTATTTTTGTATTGTAATAAATTCTGACTTGTTTTACAGACTCTGAAGTAGTGAGTGGTTTTTTTAACTAGAGATTTGATCTGTTTATATTGCATTTAAGACTAAAAAGTTTAAGAGCATTTTTCATGGATTGGAGGTGGGGCATGTACTGGGGGGACCTGTTAGGGAGAAATAACAGCACTTTGGAATAATGCAAGGAAGAAACAGTTGAGCCTAGTCTAAGTAAGATGGGGCAGTCACTTGTCAATGAGTTTGCGAGTGAAAGGGAAGCTATTTTGAGTTTAAAAGGCTGCTACAGGAACTGTAAAGGGTGGTTTATATAATACATTTGCAACTGAATTTACTCTCCACTGAAAGGAGAAAACTGAAGAGAAAAAATCTATACCTGTTTATGGGGGGGAAAAGCACCAAACACATTTACTTTTAGTTCTGAAACTGTCACCGTAAGAGAAACTTGTGCTAATATGTGTTTATATGAAAATGAAAGTTGAGTAGATCTGAGTCTGAGTTTTTATACAACTTGTTTAGCTGTTTCTTAAAACTTCTTTCCCAGGGTCTTGTCTCATATCTTTTCAAGAATATTTGTGTTCTGAGAAAATCTGGATTAGTCTGCACTTGCCTAATGGTTGGAATATTGAGAACCACAAGCAAATAGTCAGGGAAACCTTTCCAACTCAGTCTTGTTTAATTTAGCATTCACAGGCAGGTGCTGTACTACTCACTTCGCACGTGATTTGGAAGGGTTGCTAGCCCACCGTGATCTAAAATTCCTGTCATGACCAAGGCACCAAGATTAGTCTTGTCTTTAATGATACCTTGTTTTGTCTTGTACTTTGCTCAATATTTTCATTTACTAATATCATTGGTCATGGGCACATTTTTGGGAGGTAGAGACTGAGATTTAGACCAGTCTTTTAATCCCATCTCATTCTTTTTCCACTGTTACCAGATTTTCAAAAATCTATGGTAATATTTTCATTTTTTTTTAGGAGATAGGGTCTTGGTCTTTCACCCATGGAGGGAGTGCAGTGGCATGATCATAGCTTGCTGCAGCCTTGAACTTGTGGGCTCAAGCGATCCTCCTACCTTGGCTTCCTCCCAAAGTGCTGGGATTACAGACATGAGCCATTGTACCCGTCCTTCCATGAATAGTACCTCTCATGAAGATATTATTTAAAATGCAATACATGGTTAATTAGAGAAGTATATAAATGTGAATTCTAAGGAGGAGATTGCTTTAAAGTAGACAAAAAGTATTACTGTAAAGAGCAATGATAGCTAGTACCTTGGTATCCTTAAGATTTTGGAGAATATATTGTTAAATAAAGGGAAGGTAATAAAGTGGATGCTGGTTTAACACAGAGTGGAATTAATGTTTATTTTTGTTCATTTCACAAAAAGAGCATATCAAGTATCAGTAGCAAAGTACGTGTGAATATACTTCTGCACTCGTGTTCCCAGCATTGCAAATTGTAGTTTTTTGATTGCCTGCTTATGTGCCAGGCCCTGAGGCTTGGTGCTTGTGATAAACTGTCAGGAAGCAATGTAATACAGTTACTAAATAGTGCAGACCTCTGCCACTAGCTTGTTATTTAACCTCCCTCAGCCTTAGTTTACTCATTGATAAAAAGTTGAAAGATTTTACTGCCGGATGCATACAATCCATTTTTGTTATAGGGGTTGCTACTATCTGTTCACTGAGAAAAGACATTTTTTTAAAATAGGAGAAATCCTACATGGCTTGTCATTTAGCTCTGGTCATTTGAATATTACATACCACTCATGTACCTGCCACCAGTCAGAAAAATAGCCGTCATTTTGTGAAACCAGTGTGTGTGTGTGTGTGTGTGTGTGTGTGTGTGTGTGTGTTTTAGACAAGTGCAGTAGTGAGAAGAGGGGAAAGGAAACTAATGTTTGAATTAGTCTTCAGAAAGGATTTCTGCTGTTTGCAAAGAAATCTTAGCCCTTTTTTTGCTACCTTTAAATGAAGCATAAGATTCCCATAGGAAGATGCTGGATATCACAAAAGCAGGTGTATTAGAGTTTATTTTGTAATCTTGTAATTTTAGAGAAAAAGATGATGACCAAGAGTTGCTATCATGCTTCCTAATGAAGCAAAATTCATTCGTGTCAATTAAGTGGTTGGTTGTTTGGTTTCTATTCCATTCACATCAACATCTCTAATAATGAGTTGCTAGGTGGTTTGGCTGGTTTTGAATAAGGTAAGCAGTGACGTAATATATTGGTTCCTGAAAGTTAAGCACACTATTGTCAAAAGATTGTCAACTTGGAAGAACTCACCTGTTTTTGAGATTTGTTTTTGATATCAAGAACCACGTAGTTGGTGCCTTTCAAAAGAGACACAAGACAAATATACTTGATATTTATTTTGTAAGGTTTTGGCTGAGGAGGTCTATACTTGTTGTCCATGTAGAATTAGAAATCACAAATTCTAATATAATACTTTAGGGCTAGGGTAGGAGATAGGAAATGCCTCTTAAGAGTTGAGGAAAGCCTTCAACAATTCACTGTAGAATTTTGCATAAATAGAAACCTGTATTTGGAAACCCACTTGGCAGAATTGTAAGACATGTCCTTGAACAGACTGCATTTCAGAATAATGACTTTTTTAAAAAAAGATTGAGAAATCTAGTGAAATTGAATAATTGTATTTTTTATTTTTATTTCAATTTTGTTGAGACAGGGTCTCACTCTTGCCCAGGCTGTAGTATAGTGGTGTGATTGTAGCTCACTGGAGCCTTGGACTCCTGGGCTCAAGCCATTCTCCCGCCTCAGCCTCCTCAGTGGCTAGGACTAGCACATGCCTGGCCAATTTTATTTTTTGATTATTGAAATACATTTAACTTTAAGAAAACAAAACCACTAAATTTCAATTAAATATTTTCAGTTCATGATAGGTTTTAGTTTAATTGTAGACCAAAAAACCAAATTATTCTTCAGATACCATGAATTAAAACTAAACTTTGTTTAGTGATATAAGTTGCAAAGGGCAAGACTATTCAAGCCAGCATTTAACTCTAATACATATATATCCCAAAGTGCTGGGATTACAGGCTTGAAGCCCCACCATGCATGGCAAACGATATTTTTAAAAGCCTTTTATTTATCATGCATTATGATAAATACTAGGAAAATACCTAAATAGTATCCTATCTAGCTATTATCCTAGATACCTGAACAGTATCCCCGTTCTTAAGGATTGGGCAAAGGAGTTCTGTATCTATTTACTGTTATTTAATGTGGTACCACATTAAATAACATTTACCACATTTAATGTGGTACCACATTAAATACTTGTTCATTGTTCTGACTTCCAACCCATTTACTCTAAGCAATAATGCTACATTCTACTAATTTCACCTTACAGAGAAAAGAGAAGCCAACAGCCTGGTGGAATATCCTTAAGTTCTGGCTTTAGCTCTCTCTATGTACACTGCTTGTCTCTGCTGTCTCTCTTAAGTACCCAGACCCGTGCTCCTGTATCACAAGACTCCTTAGGAATCTTACACAATGGATAATTCCTTCTCTTCGCAGCAATATCTTTAGTATTCTCCCTTTAGTGACTCCTTCCTGTCAGTATTCACATATGTAATTTTCGGCCGGGTGCTGTGGTTCATGCCTGTAATCCCAGCACTTTGGGAGGCCAAGGCAGGAGGATTGCTTGAGCCCAGGCATTCAAGGCCAGCCTGGGCAACATAGTGAGACCCTGTCTCTACAAAAAATTACAAAAATTATCCAGGTGTGGTGGTGTGCACCTGTAGTCCCAGCTATCTGAGAGGCTGAAGTAGGAGAATCGGTTGAACCTGGGAGGCAGAGGTTGCAGTGAGCTGAGATCGTGCCACTGCACTCCAGCCTGGGTGACAGAGGGAGACCCTGTCTCCAAAAAAAAGTAACTTTCAGTTTCTTAAAAAAGAAAAAAATCAGTCGTTACCCTATTTCTCACACTTCCCTTTTATAGCTAAATTTCTCAAAAAGATTGTCAGTATTTTTTCTTAATTGATCATCATCTCTTCAGAACACAGACCACTCTTATTTTTTCTGCTTGCCCCACCTACTCACCAGTATCGCTCAGTAAGATTACCAGTGACATCCTAGGTGCTTATTGAATGAAAGTGATGTCCATTTTTAGCCCTCATCTTGAATTCTAGGGAGCATTGGCAAAGTGGACTACTTTTCCCCTAAAAGTCTTTTATATATTTTTTGTAACTCATTAAATGTTAGGATTATTCAGTATACTTAATCTTTTCTCACTGTCTCATCTGTTTCACTCCCATGGTTTTATTTGCCATCTATATTCTGTATTCTGACAAAAACTGTTTTTTCTTTTGAGTTGGGGTCTCACTCTGTCACCCCAGGCTGGAGTGCAGTGGTGTGATTTCAGCTCACTGTAGCCTCTGCCTCCCGGACTCAGGCGGATCCTCCCACCTCAGCCTCCCAAGTAGCTGGGACTACAGGTGTGTGCCACCACACTTGGTTAATTTTTGTATTTTTTGTAGAGGTGTGGTTTTTCCATGTTGACCAGGCTGATCTCAAACTCCTGGCCTCAAGTGATCTGCCCACCTCAGCTTCCTAAAGTGCTGGGATTATAGGCCTGAGCCCCCACTTCCAGCTAAGCAGTCTAGCTTTAATTGGTCTCCACTTCTGAACCAATGTGGATGCACCAGCAATGTTTTATACATCTAGTACTTACTAGTTAGTACTAGCAGTATTGTTTGAGCGTCAAGTACCATAATTGTAACACTTGGCTTGTTATATTATCCAATTAGATTCCTAGATCACATCTACGATATAGGTGGATGTAAATTAGGGAGAAACTAAGGCATATGGTCACATAGCCTGTAACAGAAACAGGAGTGGCACCTAATTTACCCTGGTTCTACAGCCCATTCCTAACCAGTACACTGTACTCACTGTACATGTCTTAGGCTTCTGTGAGCCTTGTAGTATTGAACACAGTAGATAATTCATTACTTACAGATGGTACTTTTTATTTAAGAAACAGTTCCAAGAAAGAGTGGTGTTTTGGGTGGTGGCTATGGTGTGGTTTGTAGATAAATTTTTCTATGTTTCCTTTTCAGATTTAGATGGTGCTCTACTCTCGGGGCCAGATGGTGATAGGAATGTGAATGCAAATTTATTGGCTGAAGCTGGCACTAGTCAAGATGGAGGTGATGCTGGTAGGTACAGTAAGATTTTAGCAACAGTACATTTAAGATTGGGAAGTGTTACATCTTACCTGCAGCCTAGTGTAATTTCTCTTCCATAAGGGGGTTCTATTGTATATAACTACTTTCAATCTATGGTAGCTATGTTTATGATGACTGGAAAATTGGTAAATGCAAATTGATGTTTCCGGTTTTGTATGTTTGACGGAGTCATTTGTTTAGTTTTAAAAACTCCTACATATAAAAAGTAATTGAGTTAATATGGCTTATGGCTTCCTGCTGGTATATAGATACGGAACGGAAATGGTAATTACGATAATGGTTGAATTTATTTTAATTAGTTTTTATGCAAAATGATGGTGTAGTTAATGGCTATAGAAAATGTTGATTAGTTCTGTGTGATGTCAGCAGTGCATTGGAGGAAGCTTGATGAATATAAAAACAAAGAATCCATGAGTATGTTATGAATAAAATAGAGTAAAAGAAAGTCATTCTTTACAGAAGAATGCCAAGCTGATAGAAGAATGATAGAATTGGAAAAATAGCTATTTTGCAATCCCCACAGGAAATAATTCAAAGTCATCAGTGGATGTTAAGCCACCGTTAATGGGCTTGTCCCCCTATGATTGGGTGAAAGATTGTTGGGGAATATCATATTCACATGGTCTCAAATTATTCCCATGGATTCCCATAGATGATTTCCACTTGCAAAGGGGAAAAGGTAAATTTACAATAAGGAGATCTGAGAAAGATTGTCATAACTAAGTGATTAAACTTAGTGCCATTAAAAAGAGCACAAACCAAAATTAAGGGCTGGCTGATTTGATGTGCCACCTGGCATACAACATTTCCTATGCAGTATTCTTGAGAAACTGTTTAGCTTGTATCTAATGACAAAGGAAAACCCAGACATTGATGTATACGACAGGTAGTCCAAACTCTAAAATGTTAATGTTACGACAGACAAGTGGGGAAACCACTAGATTGAAGGAGACCAAGGAAGTAAACTAAAGTGCAGCATGGATCTTGATTAGATCATGGGAACAAAAAATGGCTAAAGAGGACATTTTGGGGCCAACTGGAAATTAGAATATGTAGTGTGTGTTAAGTGATATTCAGTTAATTTTAAATTTCTTATACGGTGGTTATCTAGGAGCATGTTCTAGAAGATGCATTTAGGCTTGAAGTTATGAGCATGCATGTTTCTAAATAGTGCATAGAAAGCATGTATGTGTGTACATAAAAACTTGACAAAACTAGTATTTGTTGAAGATAGATATGGATGTTTATTGATTGTTTCAATTTTATTAGCTTTGGAATTCTTTTCAAAGTTGGTGAGAACAGAGACAGTGAGGTACTTGTTACTAAGAGTAGTCGTGGGCTCTGAATTCAGTATGTACTGACCAAAATAAAACCACATTTCTAAAGAAACTGCCTTAAGGTGGTTTCCCCTGACTGTTTAAAAGAATTTACAAAACAAGTTTTGAAATTAGCAGTTTGTACGTCAGATGTCTTGAATTTTAAAGATTTTTTTGCTCGTACAGAAAGTTGCTAACCGCGCAAGAAGATGTTACTGCACTTGCTTTCTCAGTTTTGAAATCTAGTCCAAGAATGGGTTTAATTAGGGATATTTGAATTCATATGTAAAATTTTAAATTTGTAAACCTTTGATATAGGGTTATTCCTCTTAAAGGGGACATTTCGATTCATTAGTATTTTTGCATCTGAGATCAGCCTTTGCTTGATGATTTTGATGTCAAAAACTTACATTGCTTTTTCCTTAGTTTTCTATTGTGGAATAATGTACCCAGAAGGATATTATTGATCAGTAAGCACCATTTTGAAGAGATCTATAATGACCTTAATGATCCTTAAGTGTATTGAATTACAATGACAGTACCTTTATTTAGGCCACTCTTGTAATTCCTACAAGTATTCTCTGTTATAAGAATTAGGAGAGATGAAAGAAATTTGGGGCAAGGTTTACTTAATTTGAATTACCATTTTGTATTCCAGATAGAGTATTCATTCCTTGTTATCATGGATGTTGAATCTTGGATTTTCAGTTTACAAATGGTTTTAGGGATATTCTTCTGTCTCCTTTTTCTTTTGAGATGGGGTCTCACTCTGTCACCCAGGCTGGCCTGAATCTCATGGGCTCAAGCGATCCTCCCACAGCCTCTCAAATTACTGGGATGACAGGCACGAGCCACTGTGCCTGGCCTATTTCCTTATTCTTACATGTTGTGAATAATATTTAATTGTAGATACTAGAACATCTAATGTGTCTTTTGGTACTAGTTTTCCAAGTATTTTGAGCAAGTCAGAAGTATGTATTGGCATTTGCTAGATAACATTTATTCTACAAGTAATTGTAGGGCATGTGTCTTAAACAATAGAAAAACCAAGGCAAGTAAGATAGGCGCAGGAGTTTGTACTGATTTAGACAAGAAATATGGATCATAAAGCTCAAACTTTGTTTAGAGATGTGAAACTAACAGTAGGTTGACCTCCACAGGCTACCACTTCCGTTCCATTCTTTATCCCTCACACAGAAATGCTTCACTTTAGGATTCTTACAACTTACTCCCAAACACTAATTAGGTGCAGCTATAATGAGTTATAGTTGAATTTATGTAGCTATGGGTTCAGGGGGCTTTCTTTACATCAAAAACCGGTGACGGTATTCCAAGTACAGCACA
The DNA here is from genome assembly GCF_000001405.40 of Homo sapiens. Lineage (NCBI taxonomy): Eukaryota > Metazoa > Chordata > Mammalia > Primates > Hominidae > Homo > Homo sapiens. The sequence continues at coordinate 80,516,699 of NC_000008.11, forward strand.
GTTTACAGTAATAGTAATGATGTGCAGTTTTAAAATATTTTAGAGACATTTTTACTTTGTTGGGTATTAAGACTTTCACCAAAAAGGAATCTTAAGTTATCTTAATTTTTAAGAGGGACAGCATGTCTGAGAACATATATGGGAAGTGATTCTTAGGAAATCCATTTGGGTAAACATTCTTTACTTTTAAAACCGTGATGCCCATGGGAGGAAAATGTATTATTGCTGCTTGAGTGAACTGTATCTTGGCAAGGAGTGTTTTAGGCAGAGGAAAGCTTAAGCACTTTGAATTGGGAGCATGCTTATTATGGACGAGGAACAGAACAGAGGTCAGTATAGTTGGAATAGAGTGACTGAAAGGAAAGGGTGGTTGGAAGCCAGGGCTCCACCGGGTAAAGCTTTGGAGGATATTGAAAGTCTCTAGCTTTTACTGTGAGGGTGGGTAGTCTTTGCAGCCTTGTAAGCTGAGTGGTGACCTGACTTAAGGTAGTGTTTTAAAGAATCTGTGATTTCTCTGCTGAGAACAGACTCTAGGAAGGCAACAGTGGAAGTAGGGAGACAAGTTTTTGGTGGCTACTGAAGACAGTCCAGGGGCTAGAGCTCATGATTGATTGGATCAGGGTGGCAATAGTTGTGGAAGATTCTGGATATATATTCCTATTGCCAAAAGGTTCCTGGTCCAAGGAATTACATTAAAGATGGAATTAAATCCAGTGGATATAATTCCTGTCCTTGCTAATCTGAAGATCCTTAGGCACATGTATTATTCTATTTTGATTCTATCTTCTGCACGTTATTTTATTTAAGGATGGAGTTAGAAAGAAATTTCAGGGAACCCTGAGAGCATTCAGTTACCTTGCCCTAATATGTCTGAAACAAGGATCTAGTAATAGAACTTTACATTTTTAATTATCCTATATATATTCTTTATTCTTAGTCTATTTTTCTGTACCAATTAATCTTAAAATTATGTGCCTGTCCTGGATTCGTAATAAGGAGAATATCCCATTTGATAGCTGGGCTTTAGGGTGATAAAATCTTAAGTGATAGAGTAGTTAGAAAAAGCAACTATTAGGAGTTCTGGTTTGAATATACCCATCCTTTAAAAGGGTAATTTCTTGTGGCGTCTGCACAATTAAATGATATTCATGTTTTTTTCTCCCGCCCGCCACCTTTTTTTTTTTTTTTTTTTTTTTTTGAGACATGATCCCACTGTGTCGCCCTGGCTGGAGTGCAGTGGCGCAATCTTGAATCACTGCAACTCCCGGGCTCAAATGATCTTCCCCAGTAGCTGGGACTGCAGGCACACACCACCATGCCCAGCTAATTTTTAAAATTTTTTTGTAGAGATGGAGATGGAGTTTCTCCATGTTGCCCAGGCTGGTTGCAAACTCCTGGGCTCAAGTGATCCTTCTGCCTCAGCCTCGCAAAGTGCTGGGATTATATGCATGAGCCACTGTGCCTGGCCCATGATTAATTTTTTTAACTGAATTTCTTCTACTATAGTTGAATGGTATTTTGTTTAATTGTGATAATAAAGTAGGAAGACATCTCAATTTTAGACTAAAATACAGTTTTATTTAACTCATACTATGAAATTCTATCATAATGCCTGTAGGATATAAATATAATTTCTGTTTTCTGACTCTGATGAGAGACAGATCTTTATTACCATTATTAATTCAGAATTTTTACTTGTACTAGGTACTTCACATGATTTCAAGTATGGTTTGATGCCTGGTCCTTCAAATGATTTCAAGTATGGATTGATACCAGGTACTTCAAATGATTTCAAGTATGGATTGATACCAGGTGCTTCAAATGATTTCAAGTATGGATTATTGCCAGAATCTTGGCCAAAACAAGAAACCTGGGAAAATGGCAAGTATTAGTCAACTAAACAAATACAGAATTAATTAAATAATTGTTAACAATTAAAAGCTTTCATGTTCTGCATTTTTTAAAAACCAAGTAGCAGTAGCTCCACATAATTGCTGTTCTCAGAGATAGAGATAAGAAGTTTTGATAGCAAGTTTTCTGTTTAATGTGTAATAAGCACTTTCTCTTTTTTTAATTCTCATAGGTGAATCATCTCTAATCATGAACAAGTTAAAATGCCCTCATTGTAGCTATGTAGCCAAATACAGACGAACACTAAAAAGGCACTTGCTCATTCACACAGGAGTGAGATCATTTAGCTGTGATATTTGTGGAAAACTGTTTACTCGAAGAGAACATGTAAAAAGACATTCCCTGGTAAGTAACTTTAAATACAGCTGATCTTTGAGATAAACTATATTTATGTCAGTGAAGTTTAAAGGGATTTAAACAGTTAATTGTGAATTTAAGGAAGATTGTCTCCTAAATTGCTTTAAACAGTTTGACTTTATGAACTGATAGTGAGCTTTTTACAGAGAAACTGGTGTATTCACTCACTATTAAATGTGTGGTTTAATTTGAGTGGTTCAAATGCATTCTATTATATATAATATCCTTATATTGGATTTTTTCCCCCTCCAATTAGGTGCATAAAAAGGATAAAAAATACAAATGTATGGTGTGTAAGAAGATCTTCATGTTAGCAGCCAGTGTTGGAATAAGACATGGATCTCGACGTTATGGTGTTTGTGTAGACTGTGCAGATAAATCACAGCCAGGAGGGCAAGAAGGTGTAGATCAGGGACAGGATACAGAATTCCCTCGGGATGAAGAATACGAGGAGAATGAAGTAGGAGAAGCTGATGAAGAGCTAGTTGATGATGGAGAAGATCAGAATGATCCCTCTCGATGGGATGAATCAGGAGAAGTTTGTATGTCTCTAGATGATTAACTGACCTACTATACTCCTCAAGGATGCTGCATTTGGACCTAATATGAATCGACAATTTGGATTGTTGAACTTGAAGGCTTGCAAAATATGGTACATGCTGGATAGTAGTTATGTTGCTGTGAAAACTGTAGGGTCAAAGCCTTATAGCAAAAAAAATTTTTTTTTATATTTGCACAGGACTATACAGCAAACAACCATGTGGTTGGATTACATGGAGTCCCCACATACTCAGTCAGTTATCAAAGTAAAATATTTTTTATTTATAGGATATACAGTAACTATTTGGGTCCTATGAAAATAGTCCTTAAAGAGCTTACATTCATGTGCTACTTTAACATGAATGGAGAAAATCCGTTTATGGAAGTACAGTGACAATTGACCCAATCACTCTGTCCATCAAACCACTCAGGCTAGTTTGTACTAGTAGAGTTTTGTTTCTATTTTTATTTTTATTAATTTTATTTTTTTTAATACAGATTTTCAGTGAGGGGCTTTTTCAACCCCATTGGTTCTATTTTCTTGTATTTTTCCATTTAATTTGCTTCATAACTTAAACCAAGTCTCTTCTAGTCTTAGGTATTATTTCTCGATTTTGTGCTGATGGGCATGTTTATAAGAACTGGAGAGGTAATTTATTGGAATGAACTAACTGACTTCCTCCATTCCCCTCTTCCTTTTTGACATGAATTTTACTACTTCACAAATGAAGAATGATGTTATGAAGTTACCGTGGCGAAGTTGACAAATACCACTAAAATGATTATGATTTAGAAGTAACTTTCTTCTGCTGCTCTAATCTGATAAATGGTTACTATATGATATTTTCTGACATGGTATTTGGTTTTGGGTATCTGTTACTTTGGCACTATTCTTGTTTGCCTCTTTATTTTTGCCAGTGTACTATACCTCAGTCCTATTTGAAAGACCTAATTGAAAGAAAAATCATAGAAATAAGTAAAATGATTTGTTTTATAATTTATCCACCATGTCCAGTTTGGTTAGCTTGTTATGCAATATAAGTGAAATATCAGGTTTTTACCCGTGTCCCTTTTATCATGAAAATTAACACAAAATGTGCATTCTCTTTTGTTTCATACTTAGCGGGATATTGATTGTTTTGAAATTATGATCAATACTTAATTTATTTTTTTCTGTCCTTGAAGTCACTACACCTTGATACAGTCTTTCTAGTAGTCACCATGATTCAACAGTCTCAAAAATCTTACAAATAAAATTCTGAGAAGCTTTATTATTCTATAAATTCTTCAGGGTACAAAGGGTGACATATTGAGGTGAAATTGTCAGATTTACTTAGCCTGGTGACATGAATTAGCTGATTGTGGAACTCTCAGCAGCATTTCACGTATTGTTAACATGTATGGCATTTATTAGCATATTGTATATTATATAAGATTGAGGGATGTCATATTTTCAGCTTTCTTTTAAATAAAAATTGAGTATATTTTCCTATTTTATATCAGGTAACTAAATTATGCTAGTTATGTGGAAAAAATTGCAAAGATGCTTTGACAGATATAATCCCTTTGGTGCTCCATCTGATCAAAGTTGAAAAGTTGATGTTTTTTAAGAGACAAGCTTTATCATTGTCTCTGATTTCAGTAGAATAATGGTTTATTGTTAGACAATGATGTTTCTGCTTGGATAAATCAAAGATAAATTACAGTTACATGGTTAGATGCATCTTTTGTCATCTATATTGTAGTTTCTACATAACTGTAAACCTGACAGATAAGAATAGTTTCGGTTTGATTTTTGTTTAAAACAGATGAGTACTTCTTAATGTTCTAGACAAATGAGTAAAATGTATTTCTGGTAGAAATTAGTTGGGCAAAGATACTATGAATGAAAAAGTATTTTAAACGTAAAATGTTCTTTGTGAATATGTAAGTATAGTATAAAGATTTCTTTCATCCCATTTATCCCCTTCCTTTAAATAAACTAGTTTACAATTGGTAGATCTGTCTATATATAAATATATATTAAAGAACAAAGATATATATCTAAAAATCACCTAAATCTGCTTTATTAGACTACAGTTCACTTATTGCATAGAAACTGGACTTGGCTTTACATTCTTAATGTACTTTTACTTTTCCTCAAGATATGAACTTACTCTCTTGAAGCTGAATTTTCTTTTACTACTTAAATCATTTATGTATATCTGGTAAATTATGACCAAATTTTTGTTAGATTGCATACAGTAAATTGAAATACACACTTGGTACACTACGGGATTGTTGTGCTTTTGTTTGGTTTTAGTTGGAAATAAGGTTTGATGTAGATGGCTTGTTACTGTTAATTTAAAATATTCTATAATTGTCCATTACTTTATGTTGTGTTGTGACAGATTTGGCTATATTTTTAGTCAATTGAAATATGATACTTTAAAAGTTTGTTTTTAGGTAATCCAAAGGAAAAGTGTTTATACTCTTGAATATATTAGCCTCAGCCTATATAAAAATTTCTTTGAAGTAAACATTTTACCGGAAACAGAATTGACAGATTTTTCTACTTGCTGACTGCCTAACTTATTTTGTTTCATGATCTCGAGGGACTGCCTTTTCCCATCTAGATCTTTTAAAAAAATAGTTTTAGTACTAAGGTATACTACTGGACATTTCTATTTTTTTAAGTGTATTCTTTTTCTGACTTACAGTAAAATTTCAGGAAGTTGATAGATACTAAGAACTTATGATTGGTCTCAGAGGTAACAATGAAATACTCATAATTTTGTCTGTGGAACTCTGGCAGAATTATGTTACACATTTGGCGAAGTTGTCTCTTGTAATTTATATTTTAAATGAAAAAGTATTTTAGAGCTTTTAATGAAGGGGAAGAGTATAAACTTTCTTTCATATTCACTCTGTAGTTACAGACCGTCTCATAAATCAAGATTGTGCATTATTAGAGTTCTCAGAGACAGATACTTCCATATGGACCCCTGTTCATTTTTCTTATTTACTAGATATTTTGCTAAATTTAGCACACTAGCAATTAAGAGTTTAAAAAAGAAGAAACGTTATAGGAAAGGGAAACTGAACAGTAATGAGTAGCTTTGAAATTGGGGAAAACACACTAGCTGGGTTAGGTACAGCTATCCTAATGGAGAAGAGTGAGCTAAATGCGTTAATTCATGTAAAGTGCTTAGAACACTGGTACATAATAGGTGCATAACACATCTTAAAGTTGTTTAATAATAGATAAGAACCAAGAGGAAAAAGAAATAAGAAAAGATGGGGGAAAGGAAGGAGAAAATAGGAAATGAAAGGATTAGGACTTGGGCATTTATATTAATACAAAATGGTGTAAACGGCCTGAATATCACTGTAGTAGTATCATACGGGGGAAAGTGTGATGGAAAATAGGTTTAAAAATCTTAATTTTTAAAACTTTAGTAAGCTTTATTTATATTTTTTAGGATTTTCTGAACATAGCATGAAGGGTTTAGATTCATTTTTCTGAAAAACGATTAAAAAAACTACCAATTTTTTTTTTGAGTGCCCACACTTGCCGTTGTGCTGTATACATGATTTTACCTTAATCCTCTATAAGGTAGGTGCTAATTGTCTCCATTTTATAGATGAGGAAAGGCTCAGAGAAATTCAGAAACTTGGCTAATTTAACACAGCTGTGACAGAGCTCGAATTTGACCACGTCTGATTCTGAAGCCCATACTCTTTCAGGGAGGCTCTATTGCTGCCTCATTAAACAACTCTTGTAGAATTTCAGCTCTTAATGGAGTCTATGGATTATATTTTTCCTATAAGACAGCTGTGTTTAGAATTTTGAGTGTCTTTCCTCCCCCCAATAAATTTCCTTACTACTCTTTCTTCATAAAGCAGTTGTTTTGTCACTTTGACTATATTAAGACACATCAGTGTAGCACATGCTCTTAACTGGCTGTGGCATTTTAATTTTATAAAAGAATGGTTTTTATCTGAAGAACTAGATAGAAACCCCAGTTTTTGTGCCGTTCAGTCACCCAGATCCTTAAACTTAACTATGGTACATAATATCCACACTTAGAACTAACAGGTGTTTAGTCACTTTAGGACTTAAAATGGAAAGTTTTTTTTTTTTTCCTGCTGTATCTCTGCTTTCAACTGAAGTTAAAGAATTCTAGATAGTTTAAAATGTGTTAGGGATAAGCACACTTCAAAAGATGTTTTCTAGCCCTAAATTTTATGACATTGGGTACTTAAATTTGGAGTACACTAGCTATTGAGAACAATATTTTGGGTTGAGGAGAGATGGTTGAGGCCATTATTTAGTGGGAGCATTGGCATTTTGAACACTGTAAACAAAAGAACACTTCCGCCTGCTGTTTGTAAAAGCTCTTTGGGAAGATCTTTTACGAAGACCAACTTTTTAAAATGTAAATTACCTACCTAATATAAGTGTCCTAAGACATGTATGTAAACTTCCGGAACTGTTTTGTCTGTGTATTTAGAAAATACACAAGAATCTTTATTCAAACCTAAAAATATAAACTTGTGAGCACTAAACTGCTTCTGGCTTTGTGAATTTTATTGACTGACATTTAATTCAGATTTCTTTGCAAGTGTACTAATTTAGACTAATTGGGGTAAGGGGAACACCTTAATGAACTTTGACTTATGTATAATTCAGATATCTTTGTACTTAAGGCTTACAAGTTTGAATTATGGAATACTATAAGGGTTTTTTGTTTATTTGTATGTTTTTATATGAAAGTACATAAATGACAGACTACCTCCAAGTAATCCTGCTTTAATTAATAGCAGTGATTTGTAATCAGTGTATCTTTTAAGATTCTCTACAGGTTTTAGAAAATATTAAAAATTCCCTGTAATTTACATTTGTGCATAATCTTGGAAATGGGTTGAAAAGCAAAGGTAAACTGCTTCATCCCATGTTGTATATTTGTGGACTGATTGACTACAAGTGATGTGATGTTATAAATTTGAAGTCTTTGAAACTTTATTAATGTAGAGAAAACATAACTAGCTTTTTAGGTTATTTCAAAGTTAGTAATAGAGCAAAGGAAATCAGAACTGGCCAGATATTCAGACTTGACTTAGAAAAACAGGAGTTTGTTGATTTTGTTTGGAGAAGGGCACAATAAAGGGGAGCCCACATAGCATTATAATGCCTAGTATCTTTAAACATGTAAAGAGCTATCATGAGGCAGAAGAATTAAGAAACTTTATATGTTTCTAAGGGGTCATGATTGGGACCATTGGCTCAAGATTGAAAATCGGTTTTTAATTATCCAAAGATGAAATGGGGCTGCTTCAGAAAAAGGTCTACCACTGGAGATAACGCTATGAAAAGTGAAAGAGATTACTTAATCATTTTGACAAAGGCAGTATTGACCAGACATTTCTATTTCAGAGTTGGATTTGTGCTTAGTTTTTTTTAGGTGTTGGGACCCTTGTAGTTGCTTTTTATTTTGCTTAGTCAACAAACACTAAAATGATAAAATTTGGTATGTATAAGTACTGGACGAAGGATGTTTTGACACTAAAAAGGACATAATTTAGGAAATTAAGAATTTAGACACCAAGTTTGGCTTAATAGAAAAAGTCACTATCTGAACTTCTTTCTTTTTCACCACAAATCACCGCAGACCAGTGTTTGGGAGCAGGTGTAGGAAATTGAATTATTGGATCTATGTTTAGGTAAGAAAACTAAAGGTACTTCAGAATTTAGGCTATGACATAACTGTCTTTCTGAAGTTTAAAGAAAGAAAGTGAACTATAGAAATCTATTCAGCTAATTAAAGTGAATGAAAAATATTACAGATTCCATAACTGCATGGCGCCTTACCTGCTATTAATACTGCCGCCTTACTGTCAGCCAGATGATTTTTTCCCACCACGGCCAGTCTTAAATTTGGCAATAAGAAAAAGCTAATCTTCCAAGTGTAAGTAGGTATGTGTTAGAATCTTGGTGAAAGATAAACACAAGACAGTCTTCTTGGCGCAGGTCCTAACAGTTGGTGAGATAATACATAAGATGGTTTCAGGATTATTGTAGAATTATTTAGGTTGAAAGAGACTGTAAGAGACTAATGAAGCATACCCAGAGAGGTTGCTACAGTGACTCCAGTCAGTTTTAGGACCCAGGACTCCTGAACTTCAATTTCAGTATTATTTTTCTGTACCAAACTCATTCAATAAATACTTGAGATTAGGGATAAGTTTGAAGTTAGAAGATTCCAGAGTACACTCAAATAGTATTTGGCACATAGCTTGTTGATCAAAAGTATTTACTAAGTGAGTGACAAAAGGCACTAGCAACTTTAAGGATTTTGCCTATTAGTATCATATGGCATGTAGCTATCAAGCCAGTTTCGTTTAGTTATTTTGTGTTGCCAAGCATATGATACGTGGTGTCACACTGAGCCTTTGGGATCCTTTCCCTGGATACATAACCCTAGTAGATAATGTTACTGCAAGATGTAATGACCAAATCCAACCTACTGCAAATGTTACTATGGAAATCTCAATGCAAAAGTAGCCTTTGTGATTTTTTTTTTAAACCGTCTCCATAACAGAACACTTAGAATTATTAGCCATTTGCTGCAAAGTATTTGTTTTAAAATGTCTGGCATATACACCACTAACATTTAAATGCCCAACATTCGGTCTATACGTGAAAAAACTAGAAGAAAAGCCCTGTTGGAGTTTTGATGTAGAGTGCAATAATACATCAATAAAGGTATTTTAAAATGACCTAATGTTTTAGTTGCCAACATGATTTTTGTATTTGTAAAGAGGTATGTTGGGTTTTGGCATTTATATTTTACCGTATGAAAGACATATTCATGTAAAAGGTAATGTGAAGCTTAGCATCTCTTGTCAACCTGTCCCCTGTTTCCAAGTAGTCTCCTTGGATATTTGTAGCATCTGGATTCCTAATAATCCAGATAATTAGGATTATGGCATTTATGTACAGACATGGGTAATTCTCCAAAGCAGATCTTCCCACACTAATTTTTCAAGTACTTGTCACCTAAATCATTAATAAAATGTGCCAATTCCAAATAATAGCAAATGTAGGAATTGAATCAGCATCCCAGAGTACTAGTCCTGGGCCATATCCTCATTAGGCAAAGGAAATTTGAAGAAGTTATTTTAGGACTTTACCTAAGGTGAAGTCTAGAATTTTACATATGTAGGTATGTTTTTGTTAGTCTTATATTTGCCTAAAAGTTATACGTTTTATTATTTCATAGGCGTAAATATGTTTTTATTAAAATCTTAGATTAGACTGAAGGCAGTGTTTTGGAGCCAGGAATCATTCTAAACTTTTATCCTGTATTTGCCTTTTAAAGGTAGCTGACTCTGACACCCCAGTCTGTGGTGGTCTTTCATTGCTCCGGGTGACTTGTACCACACTCAAATGTGAGCTCCCGTTTCATTCTGTGGACTCTTCCTCTTTGGTCATACATGCATTCCACAGATATACATTGAGTGCCCACTTGTGAGAAAATGGGTAGGCCCTTTGATGAATAAGGAGACCATAGGGTATATAGTGTTCTCAATTATTACTATACTGCAAGTCAAGTCAGTTGGGATGGGAAAAGATGAAAAATTAGACAAATGGGAAATTTTACCAAAAAGACCCTTTGTATTAGCCTTTTTTTTTTTTTTTTTTTTTTTTGATGGAGTTTTGCTCTTGTTACCCAGGCTGGAGTGCAATGGCGCAATCTTGGCTCACCACAACCTCCACCTCCCGGGTTCAAGTGATTCTCCTACCTCAGCCTCCCAAATAGCTGGGATTACAGGCATACGCCACCACGTCTGGCTAATTTTGTATTTTTAGTAGCTACAGGGTTTCTCCATGTTGGTCAGGCTGGTCTCAAACTCCCGACCTCAGGTGATCCAACCACCTCAGCCTCCCAAAGTGCTGGGATTACAGGCATGAGCCACCACACCCAGACTTGTATCAGCAGTTTTTAAAAGCAGGAGTGTTTGGGAGGGGTAACAGGTTACAGGATGAAGACAAATATAAAATAGTGCAGATTAAGAATGCATACAGGCAGCACTTTACATTGTCCCCCTTCAACATAATAAGAGGGGAAATAATACTTTCACCTTAAAAATGCACTACAGCCTTTTGGGAAAAAGATGTTAACTATTAATTTTGGCATGTGCTTGACATTTTTGTATTAACTGGCATAGACATTAAAGTTGGTCAGTTAACGTCTTTTTCTAGGATAGGAATATATTTTTTTAAGTGCTGCTTGTTTCCATCAGCTATATTGGATAAGTCTGTAGAACTAGAAAAGCTCTTTTCTCAGAAGACTTGGTATATACTCAGGGAAACTGACACAGTAGAGTCTACCTACCATTTTAGGGGTGTAGATGATGGAGAGGGTTTAAAGACGTAGAGGAGTTTTCCTATCCAATAAAGCAGTTCACTAAAATTGCAGGTACTTAGGTTAATGTTCATTTCACTTTTTATGGGGTGGTAGAGAAAAAAATCACCTTACAGGATGAAATCGTAAGCTTCTGTAAGTATTCTCAAGGAAAGTGATAGCCTAAGTATCTGTATTTAATTTTAATGTGTTTTTTTAATTTAAAAAAGCACAGCATATTTACATCCTCCAAAATTAATATATCAAATGTTTAATAAGTTTAAAATTCCAATTTTCTCATTGGTTGGAATATATTATTCTGGATATATTTCTTATTGCCTATTGTATATGCGGGTGTATTTTGCTTTTTAGTCAGGATTATTTGATGTATGTAGGAATCACCAAACTTTCTGTAAGGGGCCAGACACTTTGGTTTGGTGAGCCATAAGGTCTCCATCACAACTATTCAACTGCTGTTGTGGCATAAAAGCATCCATGGACAATATGGAAGTGAATTGTAAGGCTGTGTTGTTGTGTTTATTTACAAAATTAGGCAGCAAGCCACAGTTTGCTGATCCCTGATCTATAGGTTCCCCTTCCCCCGCACCTTGTCCCTGTAATACATACATTGAAGAATGATGTGCCTTCCTAACATCAACGTATTATTCCTTTCCAGAGTTACAAATCTTGAGTAGCAAAGAGACTTAACTTTAATGGCATCGTTTTAGCTGCAAAGGATAAAAACCTTACCATCTCAGCTTTCTTAAACAGCAAGACCTTAATAGGAGTTTAGTTACACCATATCTCAGTACCCAAGGTGTCCCCCCAACCCCCACCACCAAACACCCTGGTTCCTAGATGAAAGAAATAATATATCTGATTCAGAAATAACATTCAGAACTTCATGAGAGGAGACTTTCACTTGCTAATAAAAATAATTTGCTAATTTAGACCCTTTTGTTGCCACATTTATGTTAAAAGAGCCTTTTATTTTCAATCATGCTTCAACCTTGAGCACTGTAACATAGACTTTCTGTAGCCTTTCAAATGTTGAGTATCTGATTAACATCTACATTCATAACAAGGTGTCACTAAATTAGACTTGTCAGTCATCTTGGGCATAGCTTGAGAATGCTAAGTCTGTGAATCAAAACAGCTGACCTGAAAAATACTTTCCATCAAGCCCTCAGTAAAGTTCCCAAGACTAAAGACTATCAAACTGAATAATAAACCTTTATGTCATGACACACTGATTCCCCATTGGAACCCCTAATTGAGGACTTTCTTGTAGACTTTGTGTTGCCCAGTCTGGTGGAATAGTAGGCTCTCAGTAAGTACATGCCAAATATACAAATTCAGTGCTGAGCACAACTCTGGAGTCAGAAAATTTCTATTTAAAACACAAGTTGACCTAACTTGTTCCAAGAGTTTTCCCATAATATTAAGGCTAATATTAATCAGAAGTTAGTTTGGTTCTAAGGGATGTAGAAAAATTTCTATTGTTTTTCCTGTTTAATGAGATCCTATCCCATCAGGAGTGTCAGATATAATCAGGGAAGATATATAAGGGAACTCTAAGGAAAACATAACCACTTAAGATTATGAGGGCATTCCATGCACTGTCCAACCCATAGCAATCTAGATTCTGTCTTCGATATTTTAGTGGAACTACCCTTCAAAAGGCCACTAGTGACTAATTGTCAAATACACACCCCACTCTGCAGCATTTAGCATTATTAATGACTAGTTTCCTTCAGATAACACTCCTCTTATTTGATCCTGAAAGCATCGATATTCCCCTATTTCTTTGCTGGGCACTCTTTTTTTTTTTTTTTTTTTTTTTTTGAGATAGGGTCTCACTCTGTCACCAAGGCTGGAATGCAGTGATCTCAGCTCACTTGCAGCCTTCACCTCTTAGGCTCAAGTGATCCTCCTGGCTGCGTGCTCTTTCCCATTGTTCTTTCCATTGGTGTTACTCCATTCCATTGATCACAGTGGCTTAAACTCTGGTAATTTTTATCCCTGATCTCTTTGGAGTTTGCAAACATGGAATGATACCATGCACTATTGCTTGGTGCATAAAGGATATTCAATCACAATCCTAATTTGGGTCACAGTTCTTTAGTTTCTGTTGGATGTCCTCAAGGTCTTTAGATTTACATTTTACTGTACGGAGTCTCACCATGGGCTGATGTTGCATAGTAAAATCACTTTCAGAAAAATTACAACCTCAGCTTTTCTGAAGATATTTAATGCATGCCAGCCATGTTAACACTGTTTGATGAGGTGGTGTCTAGCTGATTTCATCATGTCTCATCAACATGTATGTGTCTCTGTTAACTAAGATCAATAGAATCTTAGAGCTGAAGGAATGTTAGAAACAAATACTCTGTACTTTATCCAGCCTCTGCTTGAACTCATGCCATAAATGTGTACCTCCCACTTACTACCTCATATAACAGGTCATATTATCTTGAGGTCCTATCAGTTCTTCCCTACATTTGAGGCAGGTGGAAATCTGCCTCTCTACAACTTCCACTGGATAATCATTTCATCCCCTGAAGCCACTCAGATTAAGTTTGAGACTACACATAATGGTTTATGTAACAGTGGAGATTGGAAGGGAGAGAGGAGTGCTTGGGATCTTAAAATTTTTCTATGCCTAAAAAACAATACTCTAGGTTTTCTTTCTTTCTTTTGAGAGAGGATCTTGCTTTGTTGCCCAGGCTGAAGTGCAGTGGCACAATTGTATTTCACTGTAGCCTTGAACTCTTAAGCTCAAGTGATCCTTCTGCCTCAGCCTTCTGAGTAGCTGGGACTACAGGCATGCTCCACCACTCCCAGCTAATTTTTTTTTATTTTTTGTAGCAACAAGGTCACACTATGTTGTCCAGGCTGGTCTCCAACTCCTGACCTCATGCAATCCTCCTGCCTCGGCCTCCCCAAGTGCTAGGATTACTGGTGTAAGCCACCACACCCAGCCTCTGTTTTCATTTCTGTAAGAATAATGTGAGAAATCCACGCTGTTTACCCTTTTTCAGTTGAATGTTTTACTTTTCAAGACTAAGAATTGAATATTTGATATCAAAAATTGATGCCCAAAAATACATTTTAAAGAGAGGCATCAAGAATTATTTTTTATAAACTAGGATGTTAATTTGCTGGCACTGGTATAACACTTATCTTGGAGAAGCAAGTTTAATCTTAAGTTTGCAGTTTGATATCAAAATTTAAATGTTGCTTAATCCCAGGCATTCAAGAATTTCATAATTAATTGACTTAAGGCAGTGTAATTTTAACATTCATAAATTTATGCAATTCCTTTAGAAAATGTATTACAGGGATGATGAGAGGTTTTTTCTTTAATTGCATTTTAGATTATAGTCTAAAAGAAATGAGGAATATTTCAGTATTTATTATTAAATTCTTGTAAAACTTCAAGTCCCTCAAGCCCAAGTCATTCGCCTCTTTAGCAGCAGGATAGATTCAAAATTATAGCTACTTTGTTATTTTTATGCTGTCCTTCTTTTGAAAAACATTAAGAGTATATGTCTAGTGCATTTGTGTCACTAAGATGGAAGAATTTGAATATTCTCACTAGCTAATTTACATCCTAAAAGTTATCAATGCTCATTAGCAATTTTTGAACTTAAAAATATGAGTTAGGAAATTCCCTAATAATAAACACCCAAATGCATTTTCTAAGGCTTATTGTGTGCCGTTTGAAAGCTACCACCATAGATGTCATTGTTCTCTTGGCATAAAATCTACGAATATGAGAGAGCTGAGAATCCTAAGACCATCCTTCCTGTCTAGGTGATTCATTTTATTGCCATTTGCAGCAATTGATTGATATGCGTGACAAAGGGAAGTTTTTACTCTTCAAGCATCTATCACTCAGTAGCATCATGCCAATTTGCTGTAAGTTTTATGTTTAATGTAAGTCATTTCCTTATAGTATCAGTGTAACTCTAGACTTCTAAATGTTGGGAAACTAAGTGCAAATGATACAGACATGCAGTATTTTTTGCAAGCAGGAAATTGATAAATATGCATTAGCTGTAGTGGTAAATATGCATTTACCACTGTAGAAGTTTGTTTTCTGCATTTATGATGTAAATAACTTGAAAAATCAGATTTGAGAATGTTTCCAGTATATTATACTGTAATTAATGTCCTTTCTAGTGGCATATTTTAAAAAATAGTACCTCCTTTATCACCATAATTCATTGTTGGAGATGACTAATGGAGTAATTGCAAAGGCAGAATGTAGCATTTATATATGCTAAAGAAAGAGACTCAGTTTTTATTTTTTAACCACATGCACTCACAGAAAACCTAATTGTACCATTAAAGAAAAATCGCAAGCAATTGAAGCTAAAGATTGATGTACTATGTAATTGAGTCCCATCATAATAATTTAAGTATGTTTAAAGCATTTTTATTTTGGAATTAATAATTAGAACATGGCATATATTTAAGGCCTTTATATTTCAATTTCAGAGATGAAAGCTTTTAAAGACTTCTGAGAAGCGTAGTCATAGCTCATGAACAGGACTCTGTCATGGACATTGGAGAGGGAATGTAGGAGATTCTTACGAGGCACAATAGATGGAAAATATTCCTCAAGCAAAAATTGTCATGATTTGTTGATGTCATTTAGAAAGGTTTCAGAATAAACTACAGCTTCATATGAACTGGCTTTACTTCTTTGAGCAGGAAAAGTTGGTGAATAATTGGATAATTTTTTTCTTTAATATATCCAGAACATTTGGTATATTCCATCACTATTGGTATCATTTAGATTATGTATATTTATTTAGCTCTATTAGAAAACTTTTGTTTTTTCTTTAGTAGAGAGTGATCTAAATAATCTCGTTTAATTATTTATAATGTGAATTTTAAAAGCGATTGAACTTTTTATTTTCCCTTTTTGCGTTTGTGCTTGATGAGTGTTCCATACATTCTTTGCTTTCATCTCTGAGTTCCTACTTAGTCCTTTGCTTACTTTCTTCTGATCTTTGGCTAACTCTTGGGAGTTATTTTTCTAGCTAAATTCTTTTAACTACATCTAGCCATGTTTTAGATATAAAGACAAAGCTGAAGACTCACTGTATCTTCAAGATAACCTAAAATAAATTGGAATCCTATTTTATTTGCTAAAAATAATCTCGATGTTTAAATTTTATTCTAATGTTAACCATGTAAATTTACTACTGGATTTTGAATACTTTACTTCCATGAATAGTTTCTTCATAGTATATTTTCCTCTGCCTTAAATTTGGCCATTTTGCCCTGACTATGACCTGTCTTGTTTAAGCCTAACTGGCTAACAAATGCAGAGCGAACCTCAAAAGGAGAGCATTGTTTTCACTTTTAAATAACCTTCTTCAGGGATTTTCAAACTGTGCTCTAGGGTCCTAGGGGCTCTTTGAAGATGCCTCTCTAGCCTGTCCGGGAAGGACACAGCAGAGTAGGTGGGGCCCTGGGCCTTCAGCTAAACCTCAACTACAGCAGCTTCACTTTTATCTTATTTGTTAGGCTTTCAGGGTTTTGTGCTTAAAAAAAATTTTTTTAACCATTAATTTAAAAACACTCATGAATGATAATAATAATAGTAGCTTTTCTTTATAGAGCACATATCTTGTCCCAGACCCCGCTTTAAATATTAAAAATATTTAAATATTTTTTTAAAAATCCCTCTAAAATGTGCTTTCATCATCCCTGTTTTACAAATTAAGAAACTGAGACTTAAGGAAATAAGCAATTTACCCACAGCGTCATAGCTACTAAGTGACAGATTCTGAATTCAAATTTGGGTGCGTCAATTAATGTATTAGTTTAAGCCAGGAATGACAAATACAGGGTAAGTGTACCCTCACCCCATATTCCCACACCTGAGGCAGACAGGACTAATGGATGAAAACAGTCTTTTTTGCTAATCACCAACACAGCCTTAGAATCTTTCTCAGCAAGGTGCTATGGGCCGTCAGTCCAAATCTATTGGTTGTGGCATTAAATGAGGCCTATTTACTTCCCCTACTTTAAGGTGAGATATTTGTGGCCCCACACTTCAGAATAGGAAGTCTCTTCAGCCCTAAAAGTGTTTGCCAGTTGATTGTTTTGATATTACTAGAAAAACACCAAATTATCTTTGATCCTAGATGTACTTTATCATAATGAAGTTTTCTGTGAACTAAAATCCCTAACTGTATCATCTTCATTCTGACCACCTTCTAATACAGAAGTTTTGTTTCTGTATTTATATATTTGTAATCTGTATAATTTATACATTGATAATTATAAACACCATACAGTCCTCATAATCAGGATCAGTACGGGTTTTTAAAAAACAAAAAAACATTCACTTTGAGTAGCCTAGTGGAATAAAGACCTAAAGTAATTTATATTCTGAGACCTAATATTTTAGCTGTGGAGTGGAGGTGGTGAGGGAGAGGATGGAGAACTCATGCTTGGGGTAAGTCAGCCAGTTTCCATATAGCTGAGAATTTAGTGGTTTGAATAACCTTCACTGTTTCCACTACCAGCATGCCCTGCCCAAGAATGTCATAGCCACAGGGCTGGGTGAATGCCCAAACATTTTAAAAAAGGAGTATACACAACCAACCCCCAGCTGATTTTTTCAACTGCTCTTGCCAGGAGGGAACCAGTAGTTCCTGGGCTGTACCCATTCTTACCAGGGAGAGCTGGGTGCAATTAAAGTTTTTCCTGTTAGGTGCAAGACTTTTTGAATGACTCATCATAGTTCCTGCTTAAGACGTGTCAAAGAGGCCCAAGGCTATATTTAGGAACTTACTATGAAATTGCCTGTCAGTTCCAACCAATTTTTCCAATATAGTATATATGAAGAGTTAGTAGCAAGTAACTTTAAATACATGAAAAGGTTTTTGTTGTCATTTTTTGTTGTTGCTGTAAACTGGTATTGAAGATTTTCTTAAACGGATGGACATTCCTTTCATTGTGAAATGATTTAACACCCATTCAGCATACACATGACTATACTGGAATGACCCTCATATGACCATTGTCATGGAACCCATTAAATTCTTGTTTAAAAAAAGTTTGAATATGTCTTAAAATGTCTTCTATATGAATAAAAAGGATCTTCCTAAAAGCTCTTTCTGATGCACTTTTTTTTCTTTTTTTTTTTGAGACGGAGTTTCGCTCTTGTTACCCAGGCTGGAATGCAGTGGCACAATCTCGGCTCACTGCAACCTCTGCCTCCTAGGTTCAAGCGATTCTCCTGCCTCAGCCTCCCGATTAGCTGGGATTACAGGCATGCGCCACCACGCCTGACTAATTTTGTATTTTTAGTAGAGACGGGGTTTCTCCAGGTTGGTCAGGCTGGTCTCGAACTCCCGACCTCAGGTGATCCGCCTGCCTCAGCCTCCCAAAGTGCTGGGATTACAGGCGTGAGCCCGTATCAGAGGCGCCTGGCCTCTGATGCACTCTTGAGTATTTTTGTAAAATTAGAGATTGTTGGACAGTGCTAAGGAGAATGAATTATAGTGATTGGGTCCAGTGACACTTGGATAGTGCTACTAAGTATGAAATTATTTTAAGAGAGTTTAAAGAACGACCTCCTGCTGATGAGAGTGTTGGAAAGTTGGTTGCTGTGTAAGGTCAGCTACACATGCCTCCTGGTTTTTGCTTTTGTTGAATAAGAGAAAAGAGAGTAGCCAATTGTAAGTGGTCGTATTCCTAGTTGATCAGGGCTTGCTAAAAAAAAGACAGTCGAAGCCGTTGATTCCATTACCGTACATATAAGAGTTTTAACCAGGATTAGTAGCCCACATGAAGTAGAAATAGAAAGGCCAACCAAAGAACTAGTGATTCTAAGGTAAAATTTCCAGAAATGTGGAAAAGAACACTTGAGATTGGAGATGGTACCAGTTTTATATAAATGGTGATTGATAGCTGTTAAGGTTTGATGAGAAAGGTTCACGTATGTCTGTTTCTTTCACAAGTTTGTTCCCCTGATACTTCTTTCTTTTTTTTTTCTGAGACAGTCTCGCTGTGTCACCCAGGCTAGAGTGCAGTGGCACAATCTCGGCTCACTGCAACCTCCACCTCCTGGGTTCAAGGGATTCTCCTGCCTCAGCCTCCCAAGTAGCTGGGACTACAGGCGCCCACCATCATGCCCAGCTAATTTTTGTATTTTTAGTAGAGACGGGGTTTCACTATGTTGGCCAGGCTGGTCTTGAACTCCTGACCTCGTGATCTGCCCGCCTCAGCCTCCCAAAGTGCTGGGATTACAGGCATGAGCCACTGCACCCGGCCTGTTCCCCTGATATTTCTAAGTCACTGTTTATTAAAGCATGTAAGCCTAAGCATAAAAGTTAATTTTTTTTTTAAGAGACAGGGTCTTGCTCTGTCACCTAGACTATAGTGCAGTGGCGCCATCACAGCTCACTGCAGCCTCAAACTCCTGAGCTCAAGCGATCCTCCAGCCTTAGCCTGTGAGTAGCTGGAACTATAGGCACACACCATCATGTCCAGCTAAGTTTTTTTAGTTTTTTAGGGGTTTCTTTGTGTGTGTGCTTTTTTGTTTCGTTTTGCTTTGAGACAGGGTCTCCCTCTGTCCCTCAGGCTGGAGTGCATTGGCATGATTGCAGCTCACTGCAGCCTCAACCTCCCAGGCTCAATCAATCCTCCCACCACAGCCTTGTGAGTAGCTAGGACTACAGATGTGCACTACCACACCTGACTAATTTTTGGATTTTTAGTAGAGACAGGTTTTCGCCACGTGGCCCCAGCTGGTCTTGGACTCCTGGGCTCAACCTATCCACCGGCCTTGGCCTCCTAAAGTGCTGGGATTACAGATGTGAGCCACCGTGCCTGGCCAAAGTTATTATTATTTTTTTAAAGTAAACATGTACTGCAGTTACCTGATGCTACCACATATTAACTGCATGAAAAATATTCCATAGAAGTAGAAAGTCCTTTTGACTGTGAACTTACAAACATGTGAATGGAAACTATTATGAGCTATAAATTGAATATAATTATTTTTTTCTTAATGACTTTGCAGAAGGGATCTGATACAAGCTTAATATGAAAACTAAAAACTGCCACTTTTAGCAACTGAAGCTAAAATATTGTAAGATCAGAATACTCCCATCTTGTGGACTGATAGAAGGCTATTTATTACAATTTTGGGGAAAAAAATTTCTTTTTTTAATGTCTTGAGTCAATTCGAAAAAGTGTGGTTTTTTTAAAAAAAATTTTAATAGAAATAAAAGTCATAAAGTTTTTCCTTAAAAACTTACTGTTATTAAAACTTCTGGCCCATAATTGATTTGTTGGATAATAGTCATTAGTATAGTGCTATTATAGCATTTGCCATCAAAATGCCATTTATATGGCCAATACACATAAAAATTATCCAATGAAACTATTTCTCAAATATAAATTAAAACTAGAAAATGGATAATTTTTTAAAACTATACTACTATCAATTTGCAACTGTAAGACTAGATAAGATTTGACATTATTGGGAGAGCCTCTCTGGAAAGCAATTTGGTAATACATTTCAAGAGTCATTAAAAACCGGTCATAACCAGGTATGGTAATGCACACCTGTAGTGCCAGCTACTGGGTAGGTTGAGGCAAGAGAATCACTTGAGCCTCAGAGTTCAAATCCAGCCTGGGCAATATAGTGAGACCTTGTCTCAAAAAAAAAAAAGTTTAAAAACTTGATGACTTAAAAATGTACTCCTAGAAAACTATCCCAAAGCAGAGATGACTTTCATAAAAGGATGTTTTTCAAAAGGTAATTTATAAGCCACAAAAAAACCCCTTGTTTCCAATATGTATATTGGAAGAAATATGGGAAGAAATAAGTTATGATAGATCCTCATATTATAATTAGGTGCCCATTGATGATAATATTTTCAAAGAAAGATAATATATTATCTTGTTTGAATATTAAGGAAAAACTAGTCAAACACCATAGTATGCTTTCAATTTTGTATAAAAGATAAAAGAAACCCATCAGGGCCAGGCATGGTGGCTCAAGCCTGTAATCCCAGCACTTTGGGAGGCTGAGGCAGGCAGATCACTTGAGTTTAGGAGTTTGAGACCAGCCTGGCTAACATGGTGAAACCCTGTCTCTACTAAAAATACAAAAATCAGCCAGGCCTGGTGGCGCACGCCTGTAATCCCAACTACTTGGGAGGCTGAGGCAGTAGAATCGCCTGAACCCGGGAGGCAGAGGTTGCAGTGAGCCGAGATTCATGCCACTGTACTCCAGCCTGGGCAACAGCATGGGACTCTGTCTCAAAAAGAAAAGAAGCATATGAAAATATAGAAAGGTATGACTAAATAAAGAAGAAAAGTGAAAAAATCATCCATAATCGCACCACTTAGAGATAGTAATTGTTAACATTTTATTGTGTATTCTCCCAAATAATTTTTATGCATGTGTAGCTCTATGCAGGACTGGTTTTCAAGCACGCTAATAAATAGCCATGTCAGGTATTTATTTTTATTTTTTATTTGTATTTATTTTTGTGGGTTTTTTGAGACAGAGTCTCACTCTGTTGCCTAGGCTGGAGTGCACTGGCACGATCTCTGCTCACTGCTACCTCCACCTCCTGGGTTCAAGCAATTCTCCTGCCTCAGCCTCCCAAGTAGCTGGGATTACAGGTACCTACCAGCACGCCTGGCTAATTTTTGTATTTTTAGTAGAGATGGGGTTTCACCATGTTGGCCAGGCTAGTCTCGAACTCGTGACCTCAGGTGATCCACCCACTTCGGCCTCCCAAAGTGCTGGGATTACAGGTGTGAACCACCATGCCCGGCCATGTCAAGTATTTATAATCAGCAACTGTTCTGGTTGTTTAGTGTCCTTGCCTACTGGTGGTAAAATGTTAATTATCACCCTTTTCCTATCAACCTATTAATCAATCTATTTTTATACTTTTAAAAATGTGACCATTAGCCAGGCGTGGTGGCTCACACCTGTAATCCCAGCACTTTGGGAGGCCAAGGTGGGCGGATCACGAGATCAGGAGTTCAAGACCAGCCTGGCCAGCATGGTGAAACCCCGTCTCTACTAAAAATACAAAAAATTAGCAGGGCGTGGTAGTGGGTGCCTGTAATTCCAGCTACTTGGGAGGCTGAGGCAGGAGAATGGCTTGAACCTGGGAGGCGGAGCTTGCAGTGAGCCCAGACCGTGCCACTGTACTCCAGCCTGGGCGACACAGCAACACTTCATCTCAAAAAAAAAAAAAAAAAAGTGACCACATACTATGTTATCTGTCCTATAATCTGCCCTTTTTATATTTAACAATGTAGTAACATCTTTTGATGTTAATAAATACAAGTCTACTCCATTTTTAATAACTGCATTGAATTTGTGTGCTTAGGAAAGCCATCTTCATTTTAAAATTACTAAAATAGTTGAATATATTACTTTCCAGTTAAGGTTATCTCTAACTCAGTGGTCGTCAGCAAACTTATTCTGTAAAGGGCCAGACAGTACATATTTTTGGCTTTGTGGGCCATACAGTCTCCATCACAACTAATCAATTCTGCCATTGTAGTGGGAAGCAGCCGTAGACAGCCAATACCTAAACAATCCTTAAACTTAACTTCTGCACACTGAAATTTGAATTTCATACAATTTTACATGTTATGAAGTATCTTTTAATTTTTTTTTCCATTTAAAAGTATAAAATCATTTTCCCCTTTCTTTCCTCACCAGTCATACCAAAACAGGTGGCAGACTGCACTTGGCTCTCAGGCTGGAGTTTGCTGACCCCTCTAGCAGAATGCCTTCCTTCAAAGCTTTCATCTCCTGCTATGAAGTCTCTCAGTGTCACACCTAAGTTTCCTTCAGTTAGATGCTAACCTTCTTGGAATATATTCTTTTGATGGTACAGAGATGCCCTGGGTTGTAAAGCAAAAAATCACACCTCTGACTTAGCTTGTGTTTTTGTCACACGTTTCTGATCCAAAACATAAAATGATAAAATTCAGAGGTTGGAAGAACAACTTCATTTCTATTTTAGAAAACACAATCATTTGAACATGTTTACTGAAAGCACTGATATGTTTTATAAATTCAGTTTTTCCTTTCTTTTCTTGTAAAACTTTCTCATTGCTTTTACACCTTTACTAAGAAAAAATTGCCTTGATATTGAAGAGGGAGACTTCCCTTACTGTTATCCTGTAAAAGCCATATTTCCCACACTGCATTATATACTCTCTTTTATTATTATTATTATTTTTTGGAGATGGAGTCGACTCGCTCAGTCACCCAGGCTGGAGTGCAATGGCACGATCTCGGCTCACTGAAACCTCCGACTCCCGGGTTCAAGCGATTCTCCCGCCTCAGCCTCCCGAGTAGCTGGGATTACAGGCACCCACCATCATGCCTGGCTAATTTGTATTTTTGTAGAGACAGGGTTTCATCTTGTTGGCCAGGCTGGTCTTGAACTCCTGACCTCAGGTGATCTGCCTGCCTCAGCCTCCCAAAGTGCTGGGATTACAGGCGTGAGCCACCGCGCCGGGCCTATATACTCCTTTTTTAAAAAAATAATTTGTACTGCTTAAGTACTGCAGATTTTTTTCTTAATTGACTGCCACCAAGGGTTATTGAATATCAAGTATTCTTCTAAGGGCTCAAGGTGCTGCATTATCTCATGTAGTTATCCTTGTGTCACGTGTCAGCTTTGTGTGGTAGGTACTTATATTTATTTTAGTTTATAAAAAAAATGACTCAGAAAGGTACATAACCTGCCTAAGATCACTCAGCTAGCAAGTGCAGGATGGAATTTTTATTTTTATTTTTTTGAGATGGAGTTTTGCTATGTCATCCATGCTGGAGTGCAGTGGCACGATCTCAGCTCACTGCAACCTCCGCCTCCAGGGTTCAAGTAATTCTCCTGCCTCAGACTCCCCAGTAGCTAGGATTACTGGTGCCCACCACCACACCTGGCTAATTTTTGTATATTTAGTAGAAACGGGTTTTCACCATGTTGGCCAGGCTGGTCTCGAATTCCTGACCTCAAGTGATCTGCCCACCTCGGCCTCCCAAAGTGCTAGGATTAACAGGCATAAGCCACCCCCCGCGCTTGGCCTAGGATGGAAATTCAAACCTAGATTTGTGAATCTTCAAAGATCACCAATGCTCTTGAGCAGTGCTAGCCTGCATCTCTGTGATTTGCCATTCTGAGGAAGTGCAATTTCTGGTATTCAATAAGAACCTTGTGAAATGTTATTTTGATGTAATTGCAAAGGCTTGTCTCGACAATATCCATTTCCCATCCAAAAACCAATTACAAATTGGTTGGCCAGCATGATTAAAGGCTCAGAATGAATTAAGCCCCAAAACCTAATTATGTTCAAAAAACGCTGCAGTAGACAGAGGCATGTCTTTTTATCTACCTACTTTCTGCTGTATAGGTTATTTTTTTGCATAGTCAAATCATGTTTGTTTTCTTCATAATTTCTGCTTTTGGTGTCTTTTATAGAAAGGACTTCCCCAATCCAAAATTATTAAAGTGATCATCTGTTTTCCTTTCAGTATTTCCCTTGAAGTAAACCAATCTCCAAGCTGTTTGTAAGATTGTTTGGCAATTTATTTAGAAGAAATCTATGTCAGAGGATCCAAATTTAATATGCTTTTGCTTTGATTTCAGTACCAAAAAGTTAGATAATTTTGCTATGACATTATCTTCTCCCTTACAAGTTTTGATATCTGAATTTATAATGTTCAAACTTAAGCCCACTTTTCAACAGATTCAGTTACCTTTGAAACTGTGTATCATGTTTATTAATTGAAGAGAAGCCCATGAGCTGTAGAAGAAAGCTCCTATTACTAGGGATTAGTTAGGTATTACTATCTAAATAACTAGCTCACCATCATAAATGATTTCTTAAATGGTGTCTTATTAATTCCCCATGAGAGAGATAATTTAATTCAGAAATTGCCTGTTGCATAGCCTATCTGCGCACTTGTGACCCACAAATGGATGATCTATATGTTGCTTTGTGGAACAACTGGATAAAATTTCAATCTTCTAAAAGACTCACTAAATAAATTTTTTATCTGGTCATATAATTGAGAGTTATAGTCCACCAAATGAGCTCTATTGGTTTACAGCTGGGAATTGGCCATAAAAACTTCATAATATCTTTTAAAAAAATATTTTCTATCTGATTCCACAGAGATATTTTGGTCTGCAGCCTTTATTTTCTGCTCCTTTCTTTTCTGCTTTTCTACTGAGTAGCTTGTGAATTTACTTTCACTTACATTTCTTGCTATGAGTTTTCTGATTAGAAATGTAAAGCCATAAGATTTTAAATTTAAGTGGTTAGAAAAAGCAGTGTACAAAATTGACAGAGGTTATAAATGTTGTGAACAAGAAGAGAAGTATATATTCACAGAAAGAAACCTGGACAGATCATAATGTTTGCAGTGATTATTCCTGAGTGGTGGGAGCATGGATGATTTTCAGTTTCTTTGTATTTTGGTTATTTTCAAATGTTCAGCAATGAGCTCAATTACTTTTACATAATTACAGAATATTTGGAGTCAAACATTCACCTATTTCCCTTTTACTAAAACTTATTGGAATTAACATCATTTGATATAGTGACTATTTCTGAGTTAAGAAAACATAATTAAGACCGCAAAATTACAATAATTATTAAGCCACTGGCTTATTCCATAGCACTGTATAAACACAGCATAGAATAAGAAGATGAAGATCCCAGAATGTGGAAACAAAAAGCTGACAAGTGATTGAGGAATGGTGAGAAGACACAGGTTCTGAGGACTGCTGGACAGCCTTTCCTGTTTTTAAAGAAAAGCTCTCTTATCATGAGAGAAGAGTCATGAAAACCAAAAGGTTTCTGCATTTAATTCGTTATTTAGAGGGCTGAATTTATGCTTTGACTTACTCTTTGATTACAAGCACTGGTGGTTATATTTTATCTATTTTGTGGAAATGAGTTAGCACATGTAGAAAACTGCCCTGAAAGGGGCTGAAATGAAGCCATTAAGACCGAAGTGTACTTTTTAAAACTCCAAACGTCATGATTTATTTCTTGATCTTGGTGATACTTATATGGGTGTGTTCACTTTGTAAACATTCATCAAACTCTATACTTACCACTTGTGTACTTTTCTGTATGTGTGTTATACTTCAATTAAAAAGTTTACTTGAAAGAAAAAATCCCACCACAGCTCTGCTTCTGTCTTTTTGCAACGCACGGGTGGTAGCCACGGTGTTTGGTTCCCCAGAACATTTCCTTCTTACGCCCACCTTTGGATCTGGCCAATCGCAGCAGCTCATCTCCGGCGCTCCAGATTGGTGGGTATGTATCTGAAGCAGGGCCAATCAGCGTCCTTCCCTGGATCCCTTTGGGTTAAAGGAGGCGAGAATCAAGGTGGTGGAGTTGGTGTTGGTGTGTTAATCCCTGCACAGTATTGTGAGAAGGAAGGTTAGGTGTTTCTCCCAGCTGGTAAAGAGAAGCCGCAAGCTTTGCACAGGTTGACCTGTGATCTCTAAGTTGGATTTCTGAGTTCCTTGACACATGAGTCAGTTGCGGCAGCTAAACAAGGTGAATGGCTTTTTTTGGTCTGGATTAAATGACAGCTAAATTGAATTACTCTAAACCAGTGATTTTCAAAGAGGGCATCAGCATCACCTGAAACTTATTAGAAATGCACATCCTTGGGCCACACCCAGACCTGCTGGACCCACTGGTGATGGGTCAGGGGCGGGGCCCCAACAGTCTGTTGCAGCAGGCCCTCCAAGGGATTGCAATGTGCTCAAGTCTAAGAGCCGCTGCCCTAAGCTTGCAACACACATCCTCTTATATCGCTATACCACACATAATATCTCTACCATAAATTGACCTGTTGAGAATGTCTCTTTTTTTTTTTTTTTTTTTTTTTTGAGCTCCAACAATGTATGCAGAATCCTAGGTGGAGAAAAGACATACAAGAAGCCAAGGGAGGTTCTCCTTACCTTCAGGTGCGGGTAAAAGTAACAATAGGAAATTTAGTTAGTAGTGAAAGCATTGCAAGACAAGAATTCATCATGCTTTTAATTGTAAGACTATGATTAATTCCTGATTAATTACCAAGTAAATGATGTGGAGGAAGAGGGAGATAAGCTTTGTAGTTAAACACGACTGTAGAATCCTTCGTCCCTGGCCTCAGGCTTGCCGGAAGCTATTGTAGAAAGCTGGAGAAGCTTCCTCACGGTTTATGCACCTCTTCCCCAGTTTGTCATAGTGTGGGCAAGTAATTGATATATGTGGATTCTTTAATAACTTGCCAGTGCCCATTTACTAGTATTTCTACAGAATATGTATGTTCACAGAGGGAGTGCTTGCAATGTTGGACCTGAACGATGGCTGATGCATTTTTTTTTTCATCTGAGACTTTAAAAAGTAAGAATCAAAAAAAAAAAAAAAAAAAAAAAAAAAAAGGCCAGCATGGTGGCTCATGCCTGTAATCCCAGCACTTTGGGAGGCCGAGGCAGGCAGATCACCTGAGGCCAGCCTGGAGTTCGAGACCAGCCTGGCCAACATGGTGAAACCCCATTTCTACTAAAAATACAAAAATCTCAGGGCGTGGTGGCACACGCCTGTAAATCCAGCTACTCAGGAGGCCGAGGCCTAAGAATCGCTTGAACCTGGGAGGTGGAGGTTGCAGTGAGCCAAGATCGTCCCACTGCGCTCCAGCCTGGGCGACAGAGCAAGACTCTGCCTCAAAATAAATAAATAATAATAATAATAAAATAAAAAGTGAGAATCACTGTCATTATCTTCTATAGTTTGACCCCCATGCAGCTTTCCCTGGACTGGATGCCTCCGTTTTTCTGGCCTGAACCTCTCCAGATAGAACGAGTAAGGAGGGGGCTTCAGGCTCTGCATAATACCTAAGACTCTGGAGAAGGGGAAAGTGAGCAGAGGGAAGCTGGGGGAAGGGAGGTGGTGAGGATCCAAGCAAAGGAGTGGAAATTGGGCCTGGCAACTTGCTTTCCACCTTTCCTCCCCTGCCCTTTCTACCAGGTCAGATCCTCCTCCTGTTTACTATGGCATTCACATGTCAATAAAAATACTGCATCATGTAATATATAATGCACTTCAAGTGCCTGCTACAGTGCCTGGTATGTGACAGGTGCTTATTATTCTTAGCGTTATTATTTTACAGTAATAGTCATATATTTCTTTTCCTTTTCATCTATCTTTTTTTCTACTATTTAATTATCTGCATGGCAGACTGTCACTCTGAAGCCCTTTCTATCCCTCACACCAGTAGGACTATATATATATATATATATATATATATATATATATATATATATATTTATTTATTTTTTGAGACAAGAGTCTTACTCTGTCACCCAGGCTGGAGTGTGGTGGTGCGATCTCGGCTCACTGCAAGCTCTGCCTTCCGAGTTCACGCCATTCTCCTGCCTCAGCCTCCCGAGTAGCTGGGACTACAGGCTCCCACCACCACACCCGGCTAATTTTTTGTATTTTCAGTAGAGACAGGGTTTCACCGTGTTAGCCAGGATGGTCTCGATCTCCTGATCTCGTGATCCACCTGCCTGGGCCTCCCAAAGTGCTGGCATTACAGGCGTGAGCCACTGCGCCCAGCCTTTTATAGTTCTTTCTTTTTTTTTTTTTTTTTTTGACCAGTAGGACAATATTAATCACACTCTTCTTCTGTGTGGCCACTTATATTACATTATGTTATGTTACATTATATTTTGTTGTGTCTGCATTTCCTTCTTAACTGTGAACTCCTTAAATGACAGGGCCTAGGTTTCATTTTACACATGTTCGCATCTTCAGGGCAAGCACAGCACCTGGTACTTATTAAATGTGTGTTAAATTAATATTGGATAAATTGAGTCACAGAGAAAAGGGGACATCTGAAAACCACATGCTTTACTTTGAGACTACTATCTATTGACATAGTATATGCCCACCTATTGCCCCGTCCTTGGGTTTCCACAAGCTGCCTCTTTTGTATTATCTTTCATAGATTTCACTGTCTTTCTTATTGCTTCTGAATTTTTAGCAACTATTTCCTTTCGTGAAATATCTTGAGTTGCAATTTATTCCAATGTTGTCAGCTTTGCCACATTATCCATTAAGAGCATTTTTCTTTCTTGTTGGAATCTAAATCATTGTTAGCTATCATTTATTGAGCCCTTGCTATTTACTAAACAAATGTGTATTGAGTATCTACTATGCCAAGTACTAGTCTAGGTACATTATGAAATAAAAGAGACAAAAAGCTGTGCTCCATGTCTGGTGATAGGCCGTGTGTTTTCTATGTATGTCATCTCATTAAATCACATGTTGTGAAAATGAAATTTTTCAACTCTCATGGCAAGCCTCAATCTAGAGAACTGGGAAATATTTCTAATTTACATTCATTAATCTCTTTTATCTTAAGTGACAGACCATCAAAGTATCACTAACTATGCCATATTCTATATTTTATAAAATTTACCAAGTTTCCTTTGAAGCTCAAAGCCCGTTATTGTTTAATATTGAGCATTAAAATTGCATCCTAACCCATGGACTACGTGCATCTCTGGATGTTTATTAGGTGAGGTTAATAATTGCGCTTTGTACTCAGGCAACTTGGATAAGACCATTAAACTCCTGTGTGCCTGGGTTATTATAATTATTACTATTATTAGGATGAACCACATGGCCCAGAAATTTGAAACACTCAGTTTGATTTGTAATCCCTGTTGCAACTAGGGAGTATTGAAGAGTAATTAAGAGATAGTTTATCTAGCTTTCTTGCTGAAATAAGATTTTTCAAAACACACAAAATTGTTTTACTGTGGTTAAAAAAATACATAACCTAAAATTTACCATCTTAACCATTTTTAAGTGTGCAGTTTAGTAATGTTAAGTATATTCACATTGCCGAGAAACAGATCTCCAGAACTTTTTCTTCCTGTGAATCTGAAACTTTGTCCCTATTGAACAACGACTTCCTTTTTCCACCTCCTTGAAAAAGCCCTATCTTTATAGGGCTTCCATGGACAATGTTTGCAGAGTTCAATCCTTTTTCTCAAAGAGGTCTCTGAAAGCACAAGAAGAAAATAATAAGGCCAAAAAGAATTGGTGTCTGTGTTTTCCTTGAGGCATTTTACCCTATCCCGCTGTCAAAATTGCTGGCTGTCAGGAAGCTCCCTGAGTAGCATCAGGTCTTTAACAGATGACTCTGGCCCTGAGTGGTGCCAGGGAGTCAGAATGTATCTTAGTCTGCTTTGTGCTGTATACCAGAGACTGGATAATTTATAAAGAAAAGAAATGTGTTTCTCACAGTTCTGGAGGTTGAGAAGTTCAAGGTTGAGTGGCCAGCATCTAGGGAGGGCCTTCTGCATCATAGCATGTCAGAGGGCATCACAAGTTGAGAGAGAGCAGGGGGGTCGAACTGGCTTTTATTATAAGCCCCTCTTTCGATAACAAGCCACTCCTGTGATGGCAACATTCATCCATTCATGAGGCCAGAATTCTCATGGCCTAATCACTTCTTTCTTTCTTTCTTTCTTCTTCTTTGAGCCAAAGTCTCACTCTGTTGCCCAGGCTGGAGTGCAGTGGCAGCAATCTCAGCTCACTGCAACCTCCGCCTCCTGGGTTCCAGCAATTCTTCTGCCTCAGCCTCCCGAGTAGCTGGGATTACAGGCGTGTGCCACTGCACCTGGCTAATTTTTGTACTTTTAGTAGAGACATGGTTTCGCCACATTGGCCAGGCTGGTCTGCTGACCTCAAGTGATCCGCCCACCTCAGCCTCCCAGAGTGCTGGGATTACAGGCATGAGCCACTGCACCCAGCCTCTAATCACCTCTTAAGTGGCCCCCATCTCAACACTGTTGCATTGGGGATTAAGTTTCCAACACATGAACTTTGGGGGACACATTCAAGCCATAGCAGAATGCCTTTTGCTTGTTTGTTCTGGGAGGACTTCTAGAAATAGGATCTAGGAGATAAAAAGGCCATATAGCTGTGGGCTTCTCCCCCACCCCCAGTGCTGGCATTCTCCTACTCACAGCTCAGATAATGATCACGTGGCCTGCACTTAAATACCTCCAATGATGGGCCTCTCACTGCACCTGAGGCCAATGTTCCCTCATCTTCCCTTTATGATTACTACGATTGTGAGAAAACTTCACGAAACTGGCCTCTTAGGTACTTGAAAGTATTTAGAGTTACCTTTCTGGTCTGGTTCCTTGTCTTTTCTGCTTCAAGCTGCTTTCTTTCTTCTTCTTTTAGGAGACAGGGTCTCTGTCACCCTGGCTGGAGTGCATTGATAGGATCATGGCTCACTGCAGCCTTGAACTCCTGGGCTCAAGCGATTCTCCCACCTAAGCCTCCAGAGTAACTGGGACCACAGGTATGCACCACCAAGCCCAGCTAATCTTTATATTTATTCTGTACAGATGGGGTCTTGCTATGTTGCTCAGGCTGGTCTTGAACTCCTGGACTCAAACAGCTTGCTGTAAGACAGAGCCTGAAAGCCAAGAGACCTACTAGCGAGATACCTTTGTTTTTTCGTTTTTGTTTTTTTTTTCAAGATCTCTTTGACGTCATCCTTCCTCCCATTCTAACCCACCCCTGCCTTTATAGGCAAGCATGTCATCCAGGAATGTTCAGAGTACACTGTGCCCCTACCTTACTGATGATGTAATCCCTCATCTCTAGCTAGGGCTCTGGGAATTGCCTCTTGCCAGATACGGTGTCCAGAGCAAGATCCAATAGCAGGTTCTATAACTTTCAGCTAAAGGTTAGCATGGTCAAAGAAAATCAAAGTGAACTGATCATAATAAAGGTAACCCACTCAATTTGACTGGAAATAAGGCTACGAAATTAGATATATAACATAAAAACAGGCTGGGCCGGCTGGTCGCAGTGGCTCACGCCTTTAATCCCAGCACTTTGGGAGGCTAAGGCAGGTGGATCACCTGAGGTCAGGAGTTCGAGACCAGCCTGGCCAAAATGGTGAAACCCTGTCTCTACTCAAAATACAAAAATTAGCCAGGCTTGGTGACAGGAACCTGTAATCCCAGCTACTCAGTAGGCTGAGGCAGGAGAATCTCTTGAACCCAGGAGGTGGAGGTTGCAGTGAGCCGACATCGCACCACTGCATTCTAGCCTGGGTGACAGAGCAAGACACCATCTCAAAAAAAAAAAAAAAAAAAACAACAACACAGGCTGGGCCTGGTGGCTCACACCTGTAATCCCAGCACTTTGGGAGGCCAAGGTGGGCATAGCAGTTGAGACCAGGAATTTGAGACCAGCCTGGCCAACAAAGTGAAACCCTGTCTCTACTAAAAATACAAAAAAAAAAAAAAAAAAAAATTAGCCGGGTGTGGTGGCACACAGCTGTAATCCCAGCTACTCAGGAGGCTGAGGCAGGGGAATCGCTTGAACCCAGGAGGTGGAGGTTGCAGTGAGCAGAGATGGCGCCACTGCACTCCAGCCTGGGTGACAGAGCAAGACTCTGCCTCAAGAAAAAGAAAAGAAAAGAAAAGAAACTTTAAAAATAAAATAAAATAAAAATACAAACCAGTGCTATTTCATTAAGAAACTGAAGAAACTGCTAGTGAATTAAGAAAATGTAAAGGCAGACCCAACCCTGAGAAACATGTTGAAAGAATTAAGAAACAAGCAAAAATATTGTGAAACTTTATCAAATTCCATGTATATGTTTCTGAAATATATTAAAACTCAATTTTTTGACAAAGAGAAAGAAATAGTGCATGCTATTTCTGCAGTGAGCCCTGTAAAGTGTGCTTTTGTGACAATTGGTACTGTAATAAATTCTAAACAGATAATTTATCTTCCACTATTTCAAGAAAGATTTCTGGACATTTCAAAGTGAACTAAGCCTTTGAGTTGAAGATTAACTTGTTTAGAAGACTTTGTGCTGCCAAAAATACCAAAAGATAACAAAAAATAATAAAGAAATAAGCAGCTCAAACTTTGCTGATCTTTATGATAAGCTAATTCTCTCCTGGTTATCTGCCTTTTGAAGCTCCATTAACTCTATCCTTCACAGGCTACTAGGGCAGTGGCTTACCAGTTTTTTGACCCTGATACACATAAGAAATATTGCAAATAGGAATCTAGAACAGGCATTCTGTATGTATGTATACATATAACTAAGAAAAAGTTGTATTAAATATTTCTTTCCCTTACCACTTGCAATTTACTGATATTTTCTTTCCTTTTTCATTCCATTTTTCTGTCTGAAATCCTATTCTATTCTCCTGTTTGTTTTGTTTTATCCTATTTCATTTTTTTATATTTAACTTTTATTTATTTATTTATTGAGACAGGGTCTTGCTCTGTTGCCCAGGCTGGAGTCCAGTGGCACAATTTTGGCTCACTGCAGCCCCGAATTCCTGGACTCAAGTGATCTTCCCACCTCAGCTTCCTTGAGCAACTGAGACCACAGGTGTTTGCCACCACACCTGGGTTTGCTTTTTTTTTTGACAAGGGCCGGGTTGGGGGGTCTGGTCTCCATGTGTTGCCCAGGCTGGGCTCAAGCAATCCTCCTGCTTCGACCTCCCTCAGTGCTGGGGTTACAGGCGTGAGCTACCCTATTCCATTTTTAAAACTCAGCTGTGACTCACAAAATTGTTTTTCCCACTTACTAATTAGTCTTAATGAGTAGTTTGAAAAACATTGCTCTAAAGTGTGGCAAAAGGTGAAAGCTAGAAATGTCCTCTCTGCACCAGCCCAAGAAGCTTTTCTAATCTACTTCATATTCACTTTCTACACTTCTTTTTCACTAATTCATTCATTCCTCATTTCACTTATTAGAGGAATACCTATGAAGCATCTGCCAGGAGTCAAGCACTTGGCCAGTTACTGGGAATACAGTGGTGAGCAGGAGAAATGTGGTTTCTACTTGTCCAGAGTTTAGAGGACTAACCCGCTTGTTTAAAGTTACCAAACTTCCTCCCCTGTTGGGTGCGCAGCAGTGGGCTGTCTTAGGGAACCTGAATCAGAAGAGACCTAAACACCAAGGGAGATAGTGGTGGAGTGAGGAAGGAGGCAAGTGTGCTCTTCTTTTTTATTTTTATTTTTTTGAAATGGAATTTCACTCTTATTGCCCAGGCTGGAGTGCAATGGCACAATCTCAGCTCACTGCAACCTCCGCCTCCCGGGTTCAAGCGATTCTCCTGCCTCAGCCTCCTGAGTAGCTGGGATGACAGGTATCTGCCACCATGCCCGGCTAATTTTGGTATTTTTAGTAGAGACGGGTTTCACCATGTTGGCCAGGCTGGTCTCGAACTCGTGACCTCAGGTGATCCACCTGCCTCGGCCTCCCACAGTGCTGGGATTACAGGCATGAGCCACCATGACTGGCCACAAGTGTGTTCTTATATCATGGCACTGGGGGTGCCGTGATATAAGAAACTCTTTACTCAAGAGTTTCCTAGTGGTAACAATAAACACAGTCTTTAGAAAGAAAGGCATTTTACTTGGTTTGATAATACGATGATGAATAGCCTCTTTCCTGCTTCCAGTCTGATGATGTGGGTGTGGGTAACACATACATGATTACAATACAATTAAATAATGTAATAGACCAACATAATATTTTTGAGTTGCATGCAGTTAAGGGATAGTTGAAAGGAGAGGAAATGACAGGAAATGAGGGTAAATGTTTGGGAAGGAGCCTGGTTGTGGGGAGGAATTTTCCGGGATAGGAAGAGATTTGAATATTTTTACAGGTTGAGAGAAAAGAACCAGTGGAGAGGCAGAGACAGGGCATCATTAATTAATGCGTTAAGGTGTTGGTAGACAAAGGTTTCCAGGATTGACCTGGAAAAGAAAGTCACTAGCATGGTGACCACTTTATGGATAAAATAAAGGAATAATAGACAAAGCCTGCAATATTATTATATTTATTAAAAGCAAAAGACATTTGATATGGTGGAAATTTCGCCATTAGCTGCTTTTTCTCATTTTCTTGAATGGTAGGGTGATAACATTTTGTCCTGAAAGTACTCCCTAAATTACCAGTCCCCTTGCTTCATCCCTTTATTGCATGGATTTCTTTGGACCCACCAAAACTACAGCATCTTTTTTCCCATGGCCCCTTGTTTGTTTGTTTGTTTTCTAACTTGTAAGGGAAGAATAGCATATACATTAAAAAATGCAAGCATCAAACTTGTACAGTTTGATGAATTTTCATAAATTGAGCACATCTGTATGTAAATTCTACATTTACGTACAGAAACAGAACATTACCAGCATCCTGGAAGCCCATTATTCCCAGGAACCCTTTCCCCATCCAAAGGTAACTGCTGTGCTGACTTCTAACAAAGTGTGCGCTTTTCAAAGAGAAAATGAGCTTTCCAGTAGATAAACCCACAAGCAAGAAGGTATTTCTTTAAAAGCTATCCAAATAAGGAAGGCATTTTCAACCTGTTCTTAGCTGTTTACCCAAAATATTTCTGTCACTCCTATATTGTTTGCCCAGTTGGAGTAAAAACAGAGTGAAGAGTAGGCCAATCAGGAAGCTTCTGTCTGGAAGACTCCCCTTAGAAACAAACATTTTGAAATGGGAAGTAGAATTAAAACCAAATGTAAACCAACTTATATAATAAGTAACCTGTTTCTGGCTATCTTATGCATCTGATGCATTGATATCTTTTTGTTGTATTTATTTATTTATTTTGAGATGGAGTCCCGCTCTGTCGCCCAGGCTGGAGTGCAGTGACGCGATCTCAGCTCACTGCAGTCTCCGCCTCCCAGGTTCAAGCGATTCTCCCTGCCTCAGCCTCACGAGTAGCTGGGATTACAGGTGCCCGCCACCATGCCTGGCTAATTTTTGTATTTTTTATAGACACAGGGTTTTGCCATGTTGGCCAAGCTGGTCTTGAACTCCTGATCTCAGGTGATCTGCTCCCCTCAGCCTCCCAAAGTGCTGGGATTACAGGCGTGAGCCACCATGCCCAGCCTGATGCATTGATATCTTTTTAAAAACCAGAATCTATTTTTCATATTACTAACAAAATAAAATTTTGGAAAATATAGAAAAGTCAAAACAACTCACAGTTCATCACCCAGCAACATCATTGTTAATATTACTGTATATTTCCTTTTTGTATTTCTTATTGATTAGATTATTTATTGAATGCATATGCATGGTCCCTGTGGCATCATTTGTAAGAGTGAAAAAATGGAAACGTTTTAACATCCATAAATAGAGAATGGTTGGATTATGGTACAAACATAGCATCATGACATGTTAAAAAGGATCAAGTGGAACTATGTGAACTGACATGGGAAGATACCCATCATCAATTTGTAAGTAAAAAAGATTCAGAGCAATATTTATAAAATGATCTCATCTATGTTTAAAACACATAGATGAGGCCGGGCATGGTGGCTCACACCTGTAATCCCAGCACTTTGGGAGGCCGAGGTGGGCGGATCACCCGAGGTCGGGAGTGCGCGACCAGCCAGACCAACATGGAGAAACCCCGTCTCTACTAAAAATACAAAATTAGCTGGGCCTGGTGGTGCATGCCTGTAATCCCAGCTACTCGGGAGGCTGAGGCAAGAGAATCGCTTGAACCTGGGAGGCAGAGATTGAGGTGAGCCGATATCAAGCCATTGCACTCCAGCCTGGGCAACAAGAGCGAAACTCCATCTCAAAAAAAAAAAAAAAAAAAGAAGGTGAAAAAGGATTTGGATGTTTACTTTTTATCCAAAAACATCTATTTTGTTCTCACATAGATATGGCTTAAGTTTGTTTTAGGAGTAATTAAGAAACACTTTGCGGCCGGGCTCGGTGGCTCACGCCTGTAATCTCAGCACTTTGGGAGGCCGAAGCGGGCAGATCACGAGGTCAGGAGATTGAGACCATCCTGGCTAACACGGTGAAACCCCGTCTCTTCTAAGAACACAAAAAAATAGCCGGGCATGGTGGCGGGCGCCTGTAGTGCCAGCTACTAGGGAGGCTGGGGCAGGAGAATGGTGTGAACCCAGGAGGCGGAGCTTGCAGTGAGCCGAGATCGCGCCACTGCACTCCAGCCTGGGCGACAGAGCGAGACTCTGTCTCAAAACAAAAAACAAAAACAAAAAAAAAGAACACTTTGTATTCAAGAGCCAATGCATTTTAAGAACAATGGCAAATAACCATTCAATACATATTTATTGGTAAATAATTGTTTGGAAACCAATACCAAATTGTTTCATGGAAATCTGTCAGGTATTTAGAGTTATCATGTTTATAATATTTCCTATTACATAATAATTTATCGTTTTTAATGAGTGATTCTCTTTTGTGCGACATTAAAGCATTGCTAAGTCAGGCATGACTTACTGAGATACATCAGAATTTGAACTCAAGATGCAACCAGAATATTCCAAGTGCAAGGTCGTTTATTTCCAATTGCCTTGAAGTTGGTGCCTACATTAGAAATATGGCAGTGGAATTCCCCCTTCCTTCAATATAAATGATTTCCCCCCTTTTTTATTACCAGAATTTGAAAGAGCTGGCATAAAGGAGTCCTCCCCTATGAAGGCATCTGTGTTTCACTCAGACAGAATGAGATGCAGTGTTCTTTTCATATATATGTCAATATTTATCTACATTATTGCATTTATCACACTTAATTTTTTATTTTTTATTTTTTTTGAGACAGAGTCTTGTTCTGTTGCCCAGGCTGGAGTTAAGTGGCACGATCTCGGCTCACTGCAACCTCTGCCTCCTGTATTCAAGCGATTCTCCTGTCTCAGCTCCCAAGTAGCTGGGATAACAGGGGTGCGCCACCACGCCTGGCTAATTTTTTATATTTTTAGTAGAGATGGGGTTTCACCACATTGGCCAGGCTGGTCTCCAACTCCACACCTCAAGTGATCCACCTGCCTCGGCATCCCAAAGTACTGGGATTACAGGCGTGAGCCACCGCACCCGGCCTATCATGTATAATTGTAACTATTTACTGAAGGGTCTCTCCCAGTAGATTATACACTTCTTGTGGGCAAGGCTAATAATGCCTTTTCTCTTTGGACCCTAGTGCCTAGCATAGTATTCAACACATACGAGTACTATCCCTGAGATACTGCAAGGTTTATATAATGGTATGTAGATACCAATGGTAGTATCTAAATACCTGGGTAAACAAATACTTTCAAAAGCAAGTCTTTTTCAATGAATATTTTACATCTGACTGATTTATTTAGCGACCGTAGGTTTTATTTTTCAAAAATAGCCACCATAATATATTTCATTTCACATGCTACTTGTACAATGAGAAGGTGACACTCCTCCCATCAAGTAGTGTGGCATATATCCCCTCTGCTTGAACTTGTGCAGTCTCCGTGACTGCCTTGATCAACAGTGTATATAGCTGGAAGTGATGCCATATGACTTCCAAAGATGGGTCGTAAAAATGCCATACATTCTGCCTTATCCTCTTGGGACACATTCTTGGGATCCAAACACTATGTAAGGAAGGCAAGATCCCATATGGAAAGGCCACATGCAGGTGTTCCAGCCAGCAGCAGCCTCAGCTGAGGCCCCAGCCATTCGCCAGCATCAACTACTAGATATGTAAGGGACTCGGATGGTTGCAGCCCCTAACAGTTGAGTCACCAGCTGACACTGCATGGAAAGAAATAGGCTGTCCCCGCAGAGCCCTGCCCAAATTGCAGATGCATGTGCAAAATAAATGATGGTTGTTTAAGCCACCAGGTTTAGGTAGCTTGTTATGCAGCAAGAGATAACCAGAACAGGTCACCGTGAGTTCACATGCCAGTGGAAATGGAGGGAAGGGTTAGGGGCCCAGAGCCATCCATTCTATTTCTTGTTTCTTAATCCTGGTGCAGTGCGAAACAACATGGTCAGATGGAAGCAGGATTAGAACAAGAAGGATGACCCCAAATGCACCCTGAAAAAATTAATTAGAACCTGCTAATTTCAAGCAGAAACATTAAAAATGTATTTGTGATGCACAGAGTTTATTTTTTGAGGAGGCAGAAAAAATATTTTAAGTGATTACAGAATGATCGTGGCAAACACTTCTTCTCTCTCTATATATATATGTATATATACATGTATAATGTATATATGTGTATATGTACATGTATAATGTTGTATATATGTATAATTGTAACTATTTACTGAATATACATATACTGAATATATATGCATAATTGTAACTACTGAATATATATTATTTTATATAGAGAGAGACTGAGTCTCGCTCTGTCACCCAGGCTGGAGTGCAGTGGCGTGATCTCAGCTCACGGCAACCACTGCCTCTTGGGTTCATGCAATTCTCATGCCTCAGCCTCCCGAGTAGCTGGGATTACAGGCATGCACACCACGCCTGGCTAATTTTTGTATTTTTAGTAGAGACGGGGTTTCACCATGTTGGTCCAGCTGGTCTCGAGCTCCTGGCCTAAAGCCATCTGCCCCCCTCGGCCTCCCAAAGTGCTGGGATTACAGGCGTGAGCCACCGCGCCTGGCCCTAGTATCTTACTGATGTGTTCAGAATCATGTACGGTGATTGCATGGACGTGCCACTTAACAAAAGAATTATGGATGGGTAGTGTAATTATCTAATGCTGGTGATTTGTGAATTTGTGATGAAGGACCCATTACCTGCTGCAGAATGACTTCAAGATTTGCTCAAAGATTTGCCCAAATATTCAGTGTGAACAGAACGTGGTTGCCACCTTTATCAATGCTTCTGACACAGTAAGTCATACTGTGATGAAAAAATTACACAGGAGGAAAATGCACGCTGCAAGTGTAGATGAGTTAACTGGCTGGTTCATGGACACAGGCTGCTTTCTTTCTTGGAAAATTACTTGTGACAGTTAAATTAACCTTAAGGGACTTGGAGATTGGCAAAGATTTGCATATGTTTTTTTCCCATTCTTTATGAACTGCCAAGTTCTTTTGCGAGTACAACAGTGCACTTTTATATTAACAATGAAATACGTTATTTGGGAGGAAACAATGAAAAATGAGATTGAAGAAACCAACTTTAAGTTATCAACCCTTTCAATCTATTAAAACACTGCAGCATATAACCTTGAATAACATTGTCTTGGTCCTTTAATGAAGATTAAATGTAAAGTATTTTTTATTAAGAACAAAACGCTATTAGAGGTGAATTTCCCCCTTATTCCCTTTTAAGCCAAACTACCTATTTTTTCTTTAAAAGTGACATCCATCAGCCGGGTGCAGTGGCTCACGCCTTTAATCCCAGCACTTTTGGGAGGCAGAGGTGGGTGGATTACTTGGGATCAGGAGTTTGAGACTAGCCTGGCCAACATGGTGAAACCCTGTCTCTACTAACAATACAAAAAAATTAGCTGGGTGTGGTGGAGCATGCCTGTAATCTCAGCTTCTCGGGAGCCTGAGGCAGAAGAATTGCTTGAACCTGGGAGGCTGAGGTTGCAGTGAGCCGAGACTGCGCCATTGCAATCCAGCCTGGGCTACAAGAGCAAAACTCCGTCTCAAAATAAAATAATAATAATAATGATAAAAAAATAAAAATGACATCCATCAAGTTCACAACGGTCTTTGGCTTAGACTAACAAGACTGCATTCCTTTAGACAGCCAAATGAACAAATGCTAGCATTTCTACCTGCTGACAGTGGGATACCCTCCTATATGAAGTTGGAATAAATAGACGTCAAGACATGCTTTGTCCTATTGCTTGAGTCCTGGAGAGCTAAGGTTAATAAAAGATAATTATTAAACCCCAAATATTGATAAAGTATATGCAGAAAGATATTCATCACAGTATTGTGATTTTAAAATGTCAAAAAATTAAATATTTCAAAAATATTGGATTATGCATAGCTTATAAATTATGATTATGAAGAACTTTTGGCAACAGGGGAGATCTTTAAGTTGATAGAAAAAGGAAAGAAATGTATTAAAACCCTGACAAAGATTGCTTTAGGGTAGCGGAAAAAAGGGTGATTTTATTTTCTTTTCTAATTTTTCTCTATGTTCCGTGAAGGTGATTATATTATTATTATTCAAAATTATTTAAAACAATTGCTAAGTACTTAATGATGCTTGAATCCAGCAGGAGAGAACAGAGATCATTTTGAGCTATAGGCTGAAAGGAAATGACACATAAATATGGAGAAAGTCTTGATGGGGTGGGTCTTTCCTTTATCATATCTATGCAGATAGAAGAAGTGGCTTCCAGGTGGACACAGCCACCTCACAAATAGGCTCTATTCCCATTCCTATTTTTCCTAAAAAGAGCCTTTGCCTGAATTCTCCACCTAACTTCTTCAAAATCCTCAACTATTCATCCAATCTGGAGTTAATAAGAAACATTTGTGTATAAGTAGGAGCAAATAATATTTTACTTTTTTATTTATAAGATAGCAAATGCACATCAGGAATTGCAAAGCTGTTTTTGAGAAAACGAGGATCCAGTTTACCTGAAGAGTTGTGAAGAATATATGAAGATGGGGTGCCATCAGAGGTGAGGTAACCCTGGTTTTGAGGGGAAAACCTTAAAACTAGCAAAGGAAAGCCAGTAAGAAGGGGAAGTAGAATTTGGAAAATAGAAGTAATTGAGCCACAAACTTTACAAAAAAGCGTGATACAGAACAAAAATAGATTATGAATAAAAAATAGATTAACCTGGAGGGGGTGCAGCTAGCAGGAAGGCGTTAAGTTATCTTGACTTTCTAAAACATTTTGGGTTTTCAGAGTGGTCTGGAGTTGCATACCTGCAGCCCTTTTGGCTTGCTCTTCTCCCATAAGCATGTTATTAAGCTGTAATTTACATCTGTACTTGAAACACAAATTCAGATTTTTAGAGAGTATCCAAAAGTTCTTGCTTTTCTCACCTTGCTTTAACAAGTTCAATCGCTTTCCACGCTACCTACAGAGGGGTCCATACGGCGTTGTTCTGGATTCCCGTCGTAACTTAAAGGGAAACTTTCACAATGTCCGGAGCCCTTGATGTCCTGCAAATGAAGGAGGAGGATGTCCTTAAGTTCCTTGCAGCAGGAACCCACTTAGGTGGCACCAATCTTGACTTCCAGATGGAACAGTACATCTATAAAAGGAAAAGTGATGGTATCTACATCATAAATCTGAAGAGGACCTGGGAGAAGCTTCTGCTGGCAGCTCGTGCCATTGTTGCCATTGAAAACCCTGCTGATGTCAGTGTTATATCATCCAGGAATACTGGCCAGAGGGCTGTGCTGAAGTTTGCTGCTGCCACTGGAGCCACTCCAATTGCTGGCTGCTTCACTCCTGGAACTTTCACTAACCAGATCCAGGCAGCCTTCCAGGAGCCACGACTTCTTGTGGTTACTGACCCCAGGGCTGACCACCAGCCTTTCACGGAGGCATCTTATGTTAACCTACCTACCATTGCTCTGTGTAACACAGATTCTCCTCTGCGCTATGTGCACATTGCCATCCCATGCAACAACAAGGGAGCTCACTCAGTGGGTTTGATGTGGTGGATGCTGGCTTGGGAAGTTCTGTGCATGCGTGGCACCATTTCCCGTGAACACCCGTGGGAGGTCATGCCTGATTTCTGCTTCTACAGAGATCCTGAAGAGATTGAAAAAGAAGAGCAGCCTGCTGCTGAAAAGGCTGTGACCAAGGAGGAATTTCAGGGTGAAAGGACTGCTCCAGCTCCTGAGTTCACTGCTACTCAGCCTGAGGTTGCAGACTGGTCTGAAGGTGTGCAGGTGCCCTCTGTGCCTATTCAGCAGTTCCCTACTGAAGACTGCAGCGCTCAGCCTGCCACGGAAGACTGGTCTGCAGCTCCCACTGCCCAGGCCACTGAATGGGTAGGAGCAACCACTGAATGGTCTTAAGCTGTTCTTGCATAGGCTCTTAAGCAATATGGAAAAATGGTGGATGGAAAATAAACATCAGTTTCTAAAAAAAAAAAAGTTTAATCGTGGGTGACACTGGCTTTCTTCTATACACACTTTCATTTAAAAGATTATTCTAGTTACAAGTAATTACTGATAGGTTGATGCCAAAGTTATTTAAAATGGTGTCTTATAATGTTCATTTTGCCTTCTACCCAGCATATATCCAAATAATTCCATCGAAAGTTTATATTCATTTCCCAAATATGAAAACCAATATCCTGAAATTCTGTCTGGCATCTTTTGGGCTTATATCAGTATCATTATTTGCATATATTTGGAATAAAGACAAGGGGCTAATAACATAATCTGTGCCTTGATAGAAGCCAATATTTTTCCCAAAAGTATCATTAAAAAGTATCATTTTATTAACAAATCCACCTTGGCCAGTCTTGGTGGCTCATGCCTGTAATCCCAGCACTTCAGGAGGCCGAGGTGTGTGGATCACAAGGTCAGGAGATGGAGACCATCCTGGCTAACATGGTGAAACCCTGTCTCTACTAAAAATACAAAAAATTAGCTGGGAGTGGTGGCGGGCGCCTGTAGTCCCAGCTACTCGGGAGGCTGAGGCAGGAGAATGGTGTGAACCCGGGAGGCGGAGCTTGCAGTGAGCCGAGATCGTGACACTGCACTCCAGCCTGGGCAACAGAGTGAGACTCCATTTCAAAAAAAAAAAAAATCCATATATGTGACTGTAATAGTTCTTTGTTAATATAGCCATAAGAAATTATTTACATTAAAACAATCAGAAGTGTTACAGCTCTTTTAGAATTCGTCTAGTAGGTTTTCCAGTGACCAGAAAATCCTCTGCTAAAAAAAAAAAAAATAATCAATTGGGTATAATAAATCAGTCATCCATTTCTCATCCCCACAATCATTCCTGTCTGACAAAAAAGTTTAGGAGAGTTGTTTGCAGAACACATCTTACTTGTTAATGCATTTTTAAAAATTCTGCTTCTCCTTCCTTATGTA
This sequence comes from Homo sapiens, assembly GCF_000001405.40. NCBI lineage: Eukaryota > Metazoa > Chordata > Mammalia > Primates > Hominidae > Homo > Homo sapiens. The sequence continues at coordinate 80,560,790 of NC_000008.11, forward strand.
ACAATTCTGATCAAAATTTTTTCATACCTTCTTCTGCAACAATGACCCCACCCCCATACAAAACAACAGACACACACATCAGGGGCTTCCAGATTTTTCCAACTGTGGTTCCCATGATGAGAATTGTGTAGTGTAGGGTTTGCATCAATTATTTCCCTAATTACATCTAGTGAGGACATGTTTGTCATTCAACTGTTATATATGATCCAAATATGAACCCAGGGTGCTTTTGGGTATGAGTCATATATAAGTCAGTTGCTTGATTCACACCTACTTTCCTTTTGACAGTAATCCTTGTTAATGCCCTAATTTTATGATGTAATTTTCATTGAATTAATCTTGAACAACTGCAAATTATGTAATCAATTACATTCAGCTTCAATGACAATTACTTTTTAATCTCAGCCTCTCAGCCTGACACCCCAGCAGAAATCCTGTATATACAATGGCAGTGACGGGTGGGTGAGAAGACCTCTCCAGCTTACTGATGTGTATGGACTCATTAATTATATAAATTGCATTTATTTTTGCAAAAAAAAAAACCTCAGAGATTAGTAAAGTATATGCCATTTTCTTGGACTTAAGGGCTTAGAGAAGTTAAGGGGGCCATGCGTGGTGGCTCACACCTGTAATCCCAGCACTTTGGGAGGCTGAGTTGGGCAGATCACCTGAGGTCAGGAGTTCGAGACTAGCCTGACTAACATGGTGAAACCCCATCTCTATGAAAAATACAAGATTAGCCGGGCGTGGTGGCAGACGCCTGTAATCCCAGCTACTCGGGAGGCTGAAGCAGGAGAATCGCTTGAATTCATGAGGCAAAGGTTGCACTGAACTGAGATAGCACCATTGCCCTCCAGCCTGGGCAACAAGAGCGAAATTCCACCTCAAAAAAAAAAGAAAAAAAAAAAAGAGAGAAGTTAAGGGACAGAGAGTGAAACAAACTACCTTCAGCAGCTCCTGATTATTTTTCCCTTAATGCTCATTTTGAAGAGGTGTAATTGGCATAACTTAAAAAAATTCTTGTGGTCACATAAATTTGGTTTATGCTGGATTTAAAATTAAATAGGTTTCTTTATTATAGAGTTGCTTGTTCTTTAATATGTTAATATATGTTGTGACTTTCCAAGAAGTGGGATATAAAATGTTTCCCAAATTGTTTGAAAAGAGAACACCCTTTCTTTCTAAACAAATAACAACTTTATTGAGGTATAATTTATGTGCCATGAAATTCACTTGTCTTAAAGGAACAATTAAATGATTTTTAGTGTATTTACACTTATGCAATCGTCACCAAAATTCAAGTTTAAAACATTTTCACCACCCTCAAAAAAAATTTGTTTCTATTTGCCATCACTCGCTATTCTTCACCCCAGCCCCAGGCAACCACTAATCTACTTTCTGTCTTTATAGATTTCTCTTTTCTAGAAATTTTATATAAATGGACTTATACAATAGATCTTGCTCTGTCACTCAGGCTGGAGTGCAGTGGTGCAATCATAGCCCACTTCAAGCTGGAACTTCTGGGCTCAAGTGATCCTCCCACCTTGGCCTCCCGAAGTGCTGGGATTACAGGGATGAGCCACTCTGCCCCGCCACTTAGCATAATGATTTTGTTTTGTTTTGTTTTGTTTTTTGAGATGGAGTTTCGTTCTTGTTGCCCAGGGGGGAGTGCAATGGCGCGATCTCGACTCGCCACAACCTCCGCCTCCCAGGTTCAAGAGATTCTCCTGCCTCAGCTGGGATTACAGACATGTGTCACCACACCCGGCTAATTTTGTATTTTTAGTAGAGACGGGGTTTTGCCATGTCAGTCAGGCTGGTCTCGACCTCCCAACCTCAGGTGATCTGCCTGCCTCAGCCTCCCAAAGTGCTGGGATTACAGGCATGAGCCACTGCACCCGGCTTAGCGTAATGTTTTTGAGGATCATCCATTTTGTAGCATGTATCAATACTTCATTGCTTTTTATTGCTAAATAGTATTCCATATAAGTATACCACATTTAGCTTATCCATTCATCAGTTTATGGACATGTGGGTTGTTTTCACTTTGTGGTACTGTGAATAACATTTGAGTACAAGTTTTAGTGTGGACACACATTTTTATATTTCTCTTAGGTATATACTTTGGAATGGAATTGTAAATCATATGGCGAACTTATGTTAAACTTTTAAAGAAATTTCCACACGTTTTCCAAAGTGGTTGCACCATTTGCATTTCTACTGACAGTGTGTGAGAGTCCCAGCTTCTCCACATCCTTACCACCATTTGTCATTGTCTGTTGATTCTAACCATCCTAGTGGGTATGTAGTAGTATCTCATTGTGGTTTCTATTTGCATTCCTTGATGACCAATAATGAGTATCTTTTCATTTGTTTATTGACCATTCATATAGCTTCTTTACCCAAATGTTTATTCAAATTTTTGCCCATTTTAAAATTGGGTAATTTTCTTATTATTAAGTTGCAAGAGTTCCTTCTATATTCTAGATACAAGGCCTTAATCAGATATGATTTGCATGTTTTTTCTCTGTGGTTTTTCTCTTCACTATTCTTAATGGTGTCTTCTGAAGCACAGAAGTTTTGAGTTTTGACAAAGTCCAATTTATCAATTTTTTTTAGTGCTTGTGCTTTGTTGTACCTACAAAGGTCACAAAGATTTATGCCTATGTTTTCTTTTAAGAGTTTTGCAGTTTTAGCTCTTACATTTAGATCTATGATTCATTTGGAGTTAAATTTTGAGTATGATGTGGGAGGCAAAGGTTTAAATATATCTTTTTGCATGTGGCTATTGAATTGTCCTAGCACCATTTGTTGAAAAGACTATCCTTTCTCTATTGAATTACCATGGCACCTTTGTTGAAAATCAATTAAGCATAAATTTAAGAGTCTTTAATATGTTAATGTATGTTGTGAGTCTCCAACAGGGAGGATATAAAATGTTTCCCAAAATGTTTTCAACAAGGAATTCTACTCCCTCCCCTCACCTTTTTTTTTTTTTTTTAAAAAAACAACAACAACAACAACAACAAAAAAACACCGACTTTCATACAGGTTCTCATTGAGGTTCACAGAACAAGCTGTAGGAAAGCTAAATTGTTTTCATGCTTCTCTAAATTATTCAGGGCTCTAACTTTCACTGAAACTTTGTTAGGCTCTAGGAGGCTAACTGCTGTATCTGAACTGCAAAACCAAAGACAATTTCTTTTAGTGTGTTTATTACAAAGACATTTCACTATGCAAAAATGATGCAACTTTGGAAAGTTTATGGATGCAAATTTGGAAGTACGAACAATTTTGCAATTGTGTCTTTTACGTTTTTAGAGCAATGCATCTTGCTTGACCATGATATATGACTGGAGAGAATATCAGTAATAAGGTGCTACAGTCAAATAAGACTTGTTTGCATACACTTTCTCACACACACTGCATACACACACAATTACATACATATATACACACATATTGGAGATACAGTTTTTTCTTTTTAAATATACACACATACTGACGATATAGTTTTTCCTTTTCCTATTTAAAACAAGTAGATCTTGTCTTAATTTTTTTTAGCTTCTGAATTTTAAAGTCAATCATGTTTTTCTTTAACCAAATATGCAAAATGTTGGATTAATTGCTTAAATTTGACTTTATCAAAATGACAATACTATCACTTTTGCATTATATCACTAAACAAACAGAAGAACTTAGTACAAAAATTAAAAGTGAAAAAGTAAGGCCAGGCATGGTGGCTCATGCCTGTAACTCTAGCACTTTGGGAGTCTGAGGCGGGCGAATCACCTGAGGTCAACAGTTCACGACCAGCCTGGCCAACACAGTGAAACCCCCATCTCCACTAAAAATACAAAAATTAGCCGGGCAAGGTGGCATGTACCTGTAGTCCCACGTACTTGGGAGGCTCAGGCAGGAGAATCACTTGAACTCGGGAGGTAGAAGTTGCAGTGACCTGAGATGGCGCCACTGCACTCCAGCCTTAGCGACAGAGCAAGACTCCATCTCAAAAAAAAAAAAAAAAAAAAAGTGGAAAAGTAGAATTAGTGTCTCTTTATTAGTTTGTATTTATCTGCAGAACAAAAATAAAAAATAAAAAAAAAACAAAAAACAAACAAACAAAAAAAAAACCAGGCAAAAGCCAACAATAAAAGAAAAAAAAATGTACCATTACTTCGACAAGGAGATTGCAGCGTCATAAATCTAGAGAGGGAGATTGCAAGTGCCATCGGTCCTCTGCACTGGCCAACGCAGGCAGCCTACCCCAGTGAACCGCTAAGCTTCTAGAAACCTACAGAAAATGAAGGTGTAAGACAAGCATAGAGGTGTTCTACTGAGGCCCTCCAAAGTGCATTTATTTACCCTAACCGAGACGCTGATTTTCTATGTCCCCCGCTGCTAGTGATTTAGTGTTATTTTTAAAAGCATAATATTGGTTTTTAAAAAATTTTCAGATGGCATTATCTCACCTTACATGTAAGAAATGATTACATACAGAAGTTTCCTTTAAAAAAAAAATAGAGGTGTGTCTCCCTATGTTGCCTAGGCTGGCATGGAACTCCTGGGCTCAAACTACCCTCCCACCTCAGCCTCCCAAAGTGCTGGGCTGAGAGTACAGGCATGAGCCACCATGCCAGACAGAAGTTTCCTAATAGGTAATAATACTGTTTTTTTTTTATTTGGGGCATTCTATTTTGCCAAACACAAATTATAGTAGAAAGTATGTTTTATTGCAAAACTTTAGCCATATTTAGAGCAGGTTTCAACGCATAAGGCACCCCCTCTCTTTGTCAGGGCATTCCGGCTAGTTTTGAGGCTTAACAGCTCTAGTCCATTTCCATTCTCACTATACTTTTTAGGGAACTTAAATGTTCATTTTAGGTTGAATCTCAAGTCCTTTTCTCAAATGGATTTTACTAATTAGCTAATTTAGGAAAATTGTGTGGTATTTTCTCTTTCCTTTGTCACCTGAAACCTCGCTTAGTATTTCCTCAGCATTTTAAGATCTCCCCCGTCCCCGCTCCCGCCCCCCAAGGCTACTTGGAAGCTTCCAGGCTACTTCCTTACGGGCAGTTTACAGATTTTGTTTTTAGAAGCCTTTAGTTGACCTTGGCCTGCGTGGGTGTTCTCGTCTTTCCTCCTATCGTATGTTACGGTTACCTGCAGAGGCTGGCGTCGAAGGAGAGGTGCTATGCGAGGATGGCCCCAAGTTAAACAGTGACAGCCTCTGCCCTCCCAGACCCCAGGCGCGCGGGGGCGGGCGCGGAACACCGGTTCCACCGCCACCTTCAGGCCTCCCGGTGTGGCGCGGTTCGGGACGTCACACAAATACCAGGGCACCCATGTTTCTGCCCTGGGAAACTCTCACGTCAGCCGGCCCCCCAATTCTGCTAAAGGAGAAAACAAAATTTCCCTCCCATGGACGCAGCTGGGCACTTTGAGAACTGGTCGGGCAGAAGGCTGATCGCGCAGAGCCTGGTGCAAACGGGAAGCAATTCCCCTGGAACAAGAAATGAGGGGCAGGAATTTGCATGTCTTTCACAGGAGTATCAAAGTCTGGGAGAGTTTCCTTCCCAAAGTCATCTGTTCCAAACTGAACTTAAAAAGCTACCTCTCAGGGGCTCCCCGGGAAGAGGTTCCCCTGTAAGGACCAGGAGAACTTGGATAATTTGGGAAGAAGACTCCCATCAAGGATGGGAATTATCCCCTTACACACTTGGCTAAGATTCTTAGGAGAATAAAGAGGGACTGGAAATTAATATATTTGTAGTCATACATAAATCTGACATTGTAAAATGCAGGGAGTTCTTATACTGCAGTGGAGGGCCAATCATTATCACATCGGTTACTCCTTGTAGTATCTTTATAAAGCTCTGATTTAAAGAACTGCTGTTTTGTTGTAGATGAGTGTCCGGGCTGATGGAACCCTCACATCACCTAAATAACCATGAGGCTGTTTTTCAGTTTGTTCACCTCAGTGCTGCACATTGCACATGCATTAACAAATATCACCAATGAATGATGATGGAGGTATCATCATTTACTTGACAATCTGTAAAGTACCTTCCAGGTAATTGACAATATATTCCTACTTAATTACTTGCGCTCTTCACATCTCTGTTCCTTCTGTTTACTTTGCAAAGAGAAAAGCCCTTTGAACCCAAACATTTGTCGATCCCAGTCCCAGAGAAGTCACAGAATTTGCCAGAGGGAAGGCAAATCTTTTAGCATCTGCTTCTAGTATAGGTGAAATTGCTGGGAGTGACTGCTCAGGAGCAACTGAGCAAAATTGGCAATTTTCCCCACAGAGCAAAAAGATTTGATTTGAAAAACATCATACAGCCACTCAAATGTAAGTGCCAATATATTTACCAAATTGAACAAGTGATTTTTTTTTTTTTTTTTTGAGACAAAGTCTCACTCTGTCGCCCAGGCTGGAGTGCAGTGGTGTGATCTCAGCTCACTGCAAACCTCTGCCTCCCAGGTTCAAGTGATTCTCCTCCCTCAGCCTCCTGAGTAGCTGGACTACAGATGAGCGCCACCACGCCCGGCTACTGTTCTGTATTTTTTAGTAGAGATGGGGTTTCACCATATTGGCCAGGCCGGTCTTGAACTCTTGACCTCGTGATCCGCCTGCCTCAGTCTTCCAAAGTGCTGGGATTACAGGCGTGAGCCACTGCGCCCAGCTATGAGTGATTTTTGAATTGTCCATACCATGGCTTCCCTCCTACAGATTGACTTTAATTACCTGAAATAAGTTTGTAAGTTTAAATAAAAAGAAGAAGCAATCAGTAGATGGTGAAATGAACAGAAATGGAGACACATATCCTGAAAGTGTAATACGCTGGGAAATTTTACAGAGGGAGGTGAGATTAAATGAAAGCAGGAAGAGTTCCCATGCTAGGTTAATTTACACAATGTCTTTTATTTGCTTACATTTATTTGGGGTGAATAAATTTATAATTGATAATTTATAATTTTAACTTTTAAAGGTGTGGACAGAAATGCTTTTACTGATTAGAAAATAATTTTTATTCCAATAGAAGTGGAACAATACTTCTAGTAAATAAATACTAGAAGTAAAATAAATCAAGTGGAGCAAAATATTTAAAATAAATATTTACAACAAAATATTTAAAATAAATATTTAAAACAAAATATTTAAAATAAAATATTTAAAACTACACTTGAAATTTCAAATGTGTACAATTCAGAGGATAAAAAAATCTTCAAAAATCATAGACACAGAGTTTAGGAAGCCAAAGGCTGTGAACTTCTCTTCTCATTGAATCCATGCTTTATTTTGCATTCTTCACAGGTAAGCAATCAGTGCCTGTTCTGCTGTGGACCAAAATCAGCCCCATGGAGCTGATCTTCAAAGAAATGGAATTTACTCTGGCATACTCTTATGTATGATACCTTTCCAAGGCCAATCCCAATATACCAACAAGTGTAACTTCAGGCAATGATCCAAATCTTGGATTAGCTGCTAAATAACCTTGGCAGACTAGTCCCTGGGTGATGAGCATGCTTACAGGAGAAAAAGGCAGAGCTCTCTTCCAGAAACTTTCTTCTTGACATCCTCTTATAATGTTTGAAATCTCTCCTCTGTGGATGTGCAGTTTGATTTTGGATAAAACAACAGTCTCTGCTTGCTTGGTGGTGGCAAATGGGGACCTTTCTCTTGGTTTCCATGAGTAGATATTGGGGGCATGATGACTTCGTGTTTGCTTTTCTTCCAGTTGAGTGTGCTCGGCCTACTCCTTGACCCAGTGCTGGGTGTCTGTTACGTGTCAGGCAAGGGCATGCATAGACATGAAAAAGAATAAGACACAATCACTGCTGAAGGAGCTCACAGTCTGTGGGGGGTGTTCCCCAAGTCCATGTCCCTGGCACTGCCAAGCTGAGCTGGCCTCCTTCCTCGGTGACTGCCACAGCCTGGACTGGAAAATAAATTTTAATTTCTAAGAAAGTAGAGAATGTGAGAGCGCCTTCAAAGTGAGGTTCATGGTTGTAAAACTTGGATTTCAGAGTGTTGTTTGAAAGGCAAGTAGTATTTATATGTACTCATGTGTACATAATTTTATAATCACTTACAGTGTGTTTGAACCAGCTCCTGACCTCAATGTTGTACTGCTCTGGGGAAACATCATGCTTTTTCTACCCAGGGAATTTAAGTCTATCCCAAAGAATAGTAAATAGATTTAGAAACTCTCAAAGTGTTCTGCATAGAAAACTAAAAGGAACTCTCCTGCTTGAGAAACTGGGATGGACTAAAAAAGACTGCAAATTCTTTATCACCACCCCCGACCCCTCAGAGGTGGAATTTATTTCTTCTCTCCTTGAATATGGCCTGGCTTTGAGACTGCTTAATGAATAGAAGGTGGCAGAAGTGACGCTGTGGCAGCTCTTGGCTTAAGTCCTGAGAAGGCCTGGAAATTTCCATTTTCCATCTCTTCTGGGACCCCCAAACTACCACACAGACAGACCACATGCCTTGCATTGGAGAGGGAGGAGGCTGGCCTCCTGGTGGGGCTTCCTGGTGCCTCTAGTTCCAGGCATCTTTTGAAAGACACCAAGAACTGCCAGCTGAGCTATCAATCCACAGAAGCTTAAAAAGCAAACAAAGTGTTTGTTGTTTTAAGCCACTAAGTTTGGGGCAATTTGTTACATAGCAATAAATAATTGAAACAGAAAGCAAGCCATTCACTGTCACCTATAACTCTTGGTTAACAGGGAATGGCTTTGCTTTATTGGAAAGACAGTTAGACTTGGTTCTCTAAACTGAGTTTTGGCCGATGATTTATTGTGAGTTGCAGAGGACACAGGTAAGGGTTCCTCTAGTTAGAGAATACAGGGATATAGGGTCAGAAAAGACGATGCAGAGAGTTACGTGGGGAGTAGGCAGCGAGGTGTGACCTTCAGGGCCTGGCGGGTGGCAGCAGACATGAGGACCCAAATAGACGCTGTGAATAAAACCAGTGATCACAGGCAGACGGTGGTACCAAGGCTGTGAGTGTTGAAGGAGAGAGTGGAGAGGAATGATAAAAATAAAAGCATAATTATTCAAATAAAAATGTTTATTCATATGCCACATAAAATTATCTACCCTACTACACTTTTGGAAACACTGCCTAGAAATAACACCCTTTTCATACCTCATGGCTCCTTCTGAAGGAGTCCTTCATGAGGAAGTAAGTAAATAGGGATTTTCTCTTTTTTGAAGAAACTAGATATTTTTTCTTACACAGTGAAACACAGGTCTTTCTTCATTACTCCATGCGGTGGTCACACTTAGCCCCATCAGAATAGTTATACAGGCACAGTCACACACCAAGGAACAGTTCAACACACACACGCACACACACACAAACACATGCACACATTCTTCAATAGGATGTTTTTCAAATTGGCAAACATGAAGAAAAATTTTCAACTTTTATACTTCCAAAGTTCCTAAAAATAGCTGAGTCTATTTGATAGCAATTTTTGGCATTTTTGAGGGAAATAAGTTTACTCATATTTTCAAATATGTAAGCTTAAACTGCATAATTAAAGAATTCAATATCATCTTTAATTTGTTTTATTGTCTTTTTTTTTTTGAGATGGAATTTCACTCTTGTCGCCCAGGCTGGAGTGCAGTGGTGGGATCGTAGCTCACTGCAACCTCCACCTCCCTGGTTCAAGCCATTCTCCTGCCTCAGCCTCCCAAGTAGCTGGGACTACAGGCATGTGCCACCATGCCTGGCTAATTTTTGTATTTTTAGTAGAGATGGGGTTTCATCATGTTGGTCAGGCTGGTCTCGAACTCCTGACCTCAAATGATCTGCCTGCCTAGGCCTCCCAAAGTGCTGGGATTACAGGCATGAGTCACCGCCCCCGGCCCTGTTTTATTGTTTTAGTATTTAACTACTAAATGTGCAGTTTCATCATTAGCTTTTTTTGTACTTTTGTGTTTTTATTTTTAATTTTTTATCATTAGCCTTTAAAAAATCAAAATGAAAGTATTATTGGATAACATAAAGCTTCCCTTGATTTCAAAAAATTCCAGTTTTGCCTACTGCTTGAAACTTTAGGTTATGGTCTCATGAGCATGGTATTTCACCTGAGATCCATTTCTTTGGATTTCAATGTCTTCCTATGTAAGATGGGTATCTTTCTGCTCCAGAACAGTATTGTTACCATGAGGTAATCTATGTTTAAGAGTGTCATAGGAGGCAGAAGGGAATCACTTGGCTGTGTCATAAAATTTAATATGTAGAGTTTTCTTTTCTTTCTTTTTTTTTTTTTTTTTTTTTGAGATGGAGTCTCGCTCTGTCGTCCAGACTGGAGTGCAGTGGCGCGATCTTGGCTCACTGCAACCTCTGCCTCCCGGGTTCAAGCGATTCTCCTGCCTCAGCCTCCCAAGTAGCTGGGACTACAGGCGTGTGCACCATGCCTGGCTAATTTTTTGTATTTTTAGTAGAGACGGGGTTTCACCGTGTTAGCCAGGATGGTCTCGATCTCCTGACCTCGTGATCCACCCGCCTCAGCCTCCCAAAGTGCTGGGATTACAGGCGTGAGCCACTGCGCCCGGCCTATTTTCATAATTTAAAAAACAATTTATTGTTGATAGTGTTTCATGCAGTGGTTATAAGATCATTTTCTTAAAAATTTTAAGCTTTTAATTATTTGGGTTTTTTAAAAAAAAATGGCTGAATTTTAAAAATTGCATTTAGCCTGAGGACTTAATGTCTGTTTTGTGTTTATTGTCTGATGAATTTCTTCTGTTATTTCTATTTACTTATTATGGAATCATGAGATTTTAGAGCTATGAGCCATCATGGAAGTTGCCTAGTTCTTATCCAACCATTTTATTTGATAATGGAGGCCCAGAGTCGGTTGAATAGTGGTTCAAAGTCACCCAGTGTCTACTCATCTGCTTTTGTCTGAATGAATTAATATTTGCATGAGACTTCTGAGAAAGATCCCGTTTCTTTGATGGAACAACTCTTCCAGCAGAATAGGGTTCATTGTACCCTAAGGTGGGCAGCAGCTGAACACCAACATTGGGCTTTCTGGTGAGCAAGGCCTCTCCAGAATGCACAGAGACTTAGACTAAGTCTTTCTTCTAAGATCTGGTCATCCAAGTCCTGCCCCCTTGAAACACCTGTTCAATGGTATGCTTATGCCAGACTGATCCCTTCTGTGAAGTTTTCCCCTCTGAGCTGAGACATAGGTTAGGTGAGATTCCTGCTATGTCCTTTCTTATTTTGTCCTGGGGTCCCAGACACAAACCTCAGTAGGAGGCAGCACTTTATAACTGAAAAAAACCCTGTACAGAGGGTTCTGCCACAAATGTATGACCCCAGGTAAGTCACTTAACATCTCTGGTTTGTAATAGAGTGAATTAGATGATCTCTAAGATAAATGAGGGGGAGAAAAACAGATGTTTAATTGAATCATAAAAGGAGACTAATAGACTAATTTTTTGTATTTATTTTATTTTTATTTTTTATTTAATTAATTAATTTATTTATTTTTGAGACAGAGTCTTGCTCTGTCGCCCAGGCTGGAGTGCAGTATTGTGATCTTGGCTCACTGCAACCTCCGCCTCCTGGGTTCAAGCGATTCTCCCACCTCAGCCTCCCAAGTAGCTGCGATTACAGGCGCAAGCAGCCACACCTAGCTAATTTTTGTATTTTCATTAGAGGCAGAGTTTCACCATGTTGGCCAGGCTGGTCTCGAACTCCTGACCTCAAGTGATCTGCCCGCCTCGGCTTCCCAAATTGCTGGGATTACAGATGTGAGCCACCACGCCCGGTGTATTATTATTTTTAAAGTCATGGTAATAAGTAGCGGTTAACATGGAACAAGGATATAAGTATATTTTAGAGAATCTGGAAGTCAAGGTAGGAAGAGCTAAAACGTGATGTGGAAAGTCACAGGGAGTCTTTGGAGACTGCCTACTTACCTGGTGTAAGGAGAAACCGCTTCTCCCTAACTCAAAATCAGCTATTTAAAATCAACATTCTTGACTACGGATGATTGGCTCAGAGGTGAATACTTGACTGAGGTGGAATCAGTCAATTTTTTTTTGCCCCCATATTTGGAAATGAGAGTCAAGATGGCCAGTTAGTGGTGTACCCAGAACTGAGGTGATAGAAACTAAGCTTTTCTGTGATCGCAGTTGATCATGTGTTCAGAGGAACGCAAAGCTGGTCTGCAGAAGTGATAAGAAGCTTCATGAAGAGAAAAAAACAGACAAAAAGTAGAAATGGGGAAGGTGTTCTGCCTCTTTCCTGCTAGCTTTGGGGATTTCACCCAGTTCCTTCTGAGGCCAGGATGCACTTGCCCTTGGGCACAATGAAGTATGGCTATGTCCCTGAACCCCAACAATAAACGCCCCCGGTAAACATTGTTAAGCCATCAAATAAAAAGGGGCAGGAATATGCTTGTCTTGTGTAGTCTAATAGGCGAGATCAGTTTTTTTAAGAAGTATGGTTCTTAGAAAAGAGGAAAATGGGTAAATTCCAGCAAAATCGAATGTATGGGCTTCACAGGGTCCTTGCGCCAGCCGTCCCCGCCCCTCGGAGAAACCTCTTTTTCTCCTCAGTGCTCCTCAAGCCTGGCCCCTAACAAATGAACATGCAGTTGAAAAGTCGCTTCCTCAGGGAAGCCTTCCCTCCCCAGTTCCTGTCTCTCTCACCCCGACTTTCCCTCAGGCCATAAACAAATAGGCCAGTGATTTCCAAATTAGTAAATTCTACAAAAAACAATTCTTCAATTACATGTTAATAGTAACAGTATTAATGTTGTCCACCATCTTTATTTCAAGTTTCAACTAATCAGTTGGCTAAGGATTTTTCTCTCCCATTCTCCTTCTACTCACCTTCTAACCAATGGTCACTCTCTCAAGGTGAATTAGCCAAAATTTTTGGTTCAAAACCAAGAGCTGCGGTCAGTCCTCTGGATAGGTCTAAGCACGTCTGGATGCCTCAGAGATAGCCTCTGCCTTCCACCAGACTAAGGGAAAAGGAGATGGTATTATCTAAAACTTCAGTCTACAAAGAAAGTCAGCAACTTTCTTTGAGCTCAGAGGCCACAGCTGTGAGCCTTCTTCTAATGCCACCAATAACACAAAGTAGATGAAGGAAGCTCTAGCTGAGTGGCTGAAATGTGCTTGTTTAAGTGTACTTTTCCTTGGGTGTTTGGGAAGGCTCCTCTTCACCCCCCACTAACTAATCATTACTATGGGGAGATGAAAAGGGAGAACCTAGCTGGAATTCCACCTTTGCCACTGACAATCTGGGTGTCCTTAGGTTAGTTACTGGGACTCCCTAATCCTCAGTCTCCTCCCTGTAAAATCAGCGCAGTATAATACAGTGTATAGATGGGTGTCGGAGGCTCAATATGAGGACTGCAGGTCATGTTTGTAACTTCATCACCCACATCTCACACAAAGTAACCATGCCCCGCATCCTACTCAAAAAATTGCCAGCTGTTCTGTCAGGTCAGAAAAATCCAGTTGTGTGCTTCGGCCTGTCGCTCCTGTCCCTGTTCATACTTCTCTCCTGGCATAGCCCTCACCCCAAGTCCTGTCTTCCATCCTTGGACATGATTACAGTTTCCGCTGAATAATGTGTCCTGTCCAGCAAAGTTTTTTTCTAATGTGGTGGTGTCATGAGTCTCATTTTATAAGGCCTTTTTTCTTTACCTCATGTTAATCAGGTCCAGATATAATGTTATTGCTCTTTTTTTTCTAAGAAAATATATTGCTTCCTTTCTATGTAAACAGCACATGTGCTTAGAATTATTCGGTGATCAATACTAATTAGGTATTCTGCTCAGTAGATGTTTAATGTTTTAATTCTAGGCTTTCATCTATTCACTTTGAGTTGATTGACCTAAACTCTATATTGATTAAATTGTCTTCTTTTTGTTTGACCTCCTCAGTAAGGGGGAAAATCATTCAGCTGTATTCTTTCAAATTTCAGTTCTAAAAATCAGTCTGTAGGTATAAAAAGAAAAAACAAGGCATACAATAATATTACTGCAAAATGCTGCTTATGAATTCAATTAGAAGGAAACTTTGCTGAAATAAAAACTGAAATCCCTTGAAAAATTTTTAGTCTCTCTCTCTCTCTCCCCCTCCCCAATCTCTTCATTCCTATTTTCTAATAAATCTTATTTAGACTGGAGACCCTACTGGGAAATTTCACTTTTAGTTTTGGGAAATGTCAGTTACTAGTGATGGGAATATCAGAATATTTAAGCAAAGAAAAAAAGAATCTCTCCTCTCCCACATGTGTTAAAAATAGTCACAGGGTATTTTTCCCTCTAAATTCTGAAAAAGGGGGGAAAAAGCACTTTTTGGACTAACGTTAATGAGGGAGTATTTTCCTAAAGGGAAAACCTTTTTAGAAAATTAGAAGAAACAAAAAGATTTAAAACTGCAATCAGTTCTAGCAGAAGGAGGGGTGGGCCAGAAGGCATCTGTCTGTCCGCTTCTTCCCTGGCTCCCTCTCTCTGGACAGGCGCACAGGGCCATCAGGGAGAATGGCTCCGGCTGCAGGCAAACACCCCCTTTTCCCCCTTCAGATCTGCAGGAAGACAGCAGAGTAACTCCCTGCTCTCTAAAACTTCCTGGGGGCTTGGCCTGCTTACCCCGCCCCCAGTCAAGTCAACTGAAATTCAAGCTTGCTCCTGAGCCACAACCTGAAAAAAACCTTCCTTTTAGTGCTCCGCCTAAAAACATTGGCAGTACCAATACTGATTCTCACCTCGTCTCCCTATCGTGCCCTCATCCTGAACCCAGCCACGATTAGCTCCTGGCCTTGGTGACTCTGCACAGGGAAAAGCTAATGTTTAGGCCACCTCTGTTCCAAATGTTCCCATTTTGTTTCTTTCATGCTCCCTTTCCTCAATCACCCACTGCTGTGTTGTTCCCTTCGCCCAGTCCAGGAAAGGGCCACAGGACTGACTGAGACAGAAGAAAAGATGCAAAGGCAAAAGATTTTAAAGGTGGATATATTCTCATTATTCACTTACAGAGGCCAAATTCAGCAGATGACTCTGAACCCTCACTTGACTGATGTGCAGACAAACATCAAATGATGCTTAGCCTATTCCTCCTAATTTGTAGTTGCCTAAGAATTTAAGGTTATGGTCAGACCTTTGATAGAAAATAAAGAAACAAGTCAACGTTATCCAACAGGATACAACCAAATTCTAAAAAGATGGTTTATGAATGAATTCAGAATATGTCTTTTAAATATTGTTACAGTTCTAAATAATCATGTGAAGCTACATTAAAAATTTGTGCAAAGAATCAGTAATAGTATTAATGCAGGGGGAAGGCAGTATCCCATGTCTTTATTTAAAAACTTTTTTACTTACTGCTTCTTTTTTTTTTTTTTTTTTTTTTTTAAGACAAAGTCTCACTCTGTCGCCCAGGCTGGAGTGCAGTGGCATCATCTTGGCTCATTGCAATCTCCGCCTCCTGGGTTCAAGCGACTCTTGTGCCTCAGCCTCCCAGCTGGGATTACAGTCGCCCACCACCATGCCTGGCTAATTTTTTGTATTTTTAGTAGAGACGGGGTTTCACCATGTTGGCCAGGCTGGTCTACTTGCTTAATTTCTTAAAACAAATGTACTCTTATCTCTGCCATTTTGCTATATCAAAGTCAATATAATGATTATCTTTCAAAGTCTTTTTATAATATTGCTATTGCACAGTTTTCGACTCCTTGAATGAAAAAGGCTTGGATGATAACTGCTGAGGAACACTTAAAAATAATGATTCTTGAATTTACATGTCTGTCTTCTGCCAGAAAAATTGGACAAAAGTGAGAAATTCAATTAATCCATAAGTATTTTTTTTTTGCCCACAGTTATAGTCCATATTATCCTAGATGAGATTTGAGGGAGGTTCTGCTCTTGTGGAATGTGTAGTCAGGGAACAAACTAACTGCTCAGAGATGGTAGGTTTGGGGTCTTCAACCCAACCCTGTTGACTACTATTGGGCAAATCTGGGCAGGTTTTATGCCCTTTCGAAACTTCAGTTTCCTCATCTATCAAATGGAATAATAATAGTACCTGTCTTCTAAGTTTAAGAGAATTCAGTAAAATGCAAATGTCTATAAATTGCTTAGAATAGTGCCTGGAATTCAGCGAACCCTCACAAAATGCTACATATCAACTAGTTGGAAATCTAATTCTAGAAGTCATGCATGTTATGTCAAAATAAGTGAACATTTAGAGTTTTATAGATAAACTTACAGTTTACAGAAGTTTGCTTACATTTTTCATCCTTTCTTTTTGGTCAGCGACAGAGTTGAAACCAGATGGGATATCACACAATTACAAACCCACGAGTTTTCCTGTTACTTTAAGGTAGGTGCCTAATTTGGGAGTATGTGGGTAGAAGAAACCAAAAAATGTTCCTTTGGATAATACCTGAAAACAGGGGTTACCGATTTGGATTTTCAGAACAAACAGCAAAACAAAAGCTCAGGCTCTATCCACAGAAACAGTGTTTTTTAGGGCTTCCGAGGATTCTTTGACCTTTGCTTTAGGAAACATGGACAACCTTACATTTGATTGGTGAATTTTCTGCTGGTGTTTTTTTTTTTTTTTTTTTTTCCAAACCACGTTCCCTGCCTGAAAGCTAAACCTATTTATGGTGAGCGCTGTTTTTTCAATTAGGTTTATTTTCATTTTCCCATAGGCCATGTTAGCTGAGAACTTCCAAAAGTTTATTTTTTTTCTCTTTGCTTTTTATAATGGTTTTTAAAATAAAATATACAGCACTTATCTATAGATTTTCTCTGGAAATACTCATGTCTGAAATAAGCTTTTTTTCCACACCTTTAACACCACGTCATAAGAGCTATTCAAAAATGCCTTTCTGAATGTAATTGTTGTCCATTTCTGTGGCAAACTCTATGAGAGCAAGGATCGCGTCCGGTTCGCCAGCTTTGTGAAATATCTTGTGCAAGCTGACGCTTAGCAAACAGTACTTAAGAATGATGATCTGTTTGTGACTCGGCTTCTCCCAAAAATTTTCAGCTGGTTATCAGAAAACATTGTTTAAAATTCCAAGCTTAGCATTAGTAATATGTTTTCTCCACGAGGTCCCTGATTTGGGGTGAGGGGTGGACTGAAAATGAAAACCCACATCACCTTTCTAATAGTTGTGTAACGGAAAATATTCTCTGGTGAAAACACTCCAGGCGAAAGCAAGCCTTAGCTCGGAATTCCCTCCGCGGCCGGCGCCTCCCCTCCGGGGGCCTGGCTCGCAGCCCGTGGGGACGAGGGCCTGCACGTCCCCGGGGGACTGAGGGCTGCTCTGGGTGAGGATGGGAAGGCGGGTGCCGCTTCCGAGGGCTCCTCTCGCCAAGGGAGAGAGCCCTAGACCCGTTCCCGGGGCGCTGCTCTTCCCGGGCTGGGGTGGGCTGCAGCGGCGGCAGGACCTCGCCCCCTCCCGGCCGCCCGCACCCCCGCGCCTCCTCCTAGGGCCCGGTGTCCCACGGGCCTGCCGCGGTCCCCGCCCTCTCCGGCTCCCGCGACTCCCTCCCCCAGGCAGCTGGGGCAGGAATTCGGCTGGAGAATCTGGCCCGGGCACCCGGCCCTGGAGGGCTGGACTGGTTCGCCCGGGGCCGCGCCCTCATCCCCGCTCCTACCCGGCTCCCCGTCCCGCGCTCCTCCCAGCTCTGGCTCCCCCACTCCTTCCCCTCTCCCGCCGGCGCTCCCCGCCTCTGCTCCTCCCGCTCCCCCTCCGGCGCTCCTTCTCCCTGCCCCCCATCCACGCCGCCGCCCCCGGTCTTTCTTCCTGCCCCAGCTCCTCCCCTGCGCCCCTTCTCCCTGCTCCCCTTCTCCCTGCTCCCCTCCTCCTCGCCCTTCCTCCCCTGTTCTCCTTCTCCTCTGCTCCCCTCCTCCCCTCTTCCCCTCCTCCCCCGCTCCTCTTCCCGGTTTGCGGAGCTCCCACGCTGTTGCTATGGAGGCGCCCGCGGCTGTTCGCGGCCAGGCGGGAGCTGCCCTGGGGCCCCGGGGACGAAGTAGGGACTCTGCCCAAGGCTCGGGCGCCTCGCCCCACTGGGGCCCAGGAACAAAGCGCGCCCTCCCCCACCCCGGGAGTGCGCTGTGAGACCCTCAGGCGTCCCGGGCCCCGAGGCTTAAGACCACCGCGAATCTGCTCGCCCCCAACCTCTGTGGGCAGGACCCCTGGGGCCGGGGTGACAGCTGCGCTCTACCGCGCTACCTTCCTGGCCCCCCGAAGATCACTCCCGCTCGCCCCATCCCGGAGGTGTCACTGGGGCCGGGGGACGGCCAGATGGCCCCATTTAACAGGACTATCCGTTTTGTTGGGGGCCGAAGCAGCGTCCAGGCCAATTTACATAGAAAAATGGGGTTTGTGTCCCCAATTCAGTGCAGTGCCCCGACAGCTGGTGGCTCTGTCATCATGTCAGGACCCCACAGCATGATGTTTAAAGTGGCTTTATCTGTGCAGATGTGTGAGTGTGAATAGCAATTGATTGGGAACCAGTAGCTACTAGGTCTGGCTTGAAGATATTAAGCGTTCACAGAGGAAATTTTATCAGCCCGGTCACCGAATAAGAGCCTAGACGGGAAAAGGCCTGCTGAAGACTTCTGATGCTCTCCTGCAGACCTTTTAGCTTATCATTTTATTCAGAAGTCTAAAAAGCCAAATTGTTTGGGTCTGAGGAGGGCTTTGAAATCCTTAACTATTTACAGCTTGGTCGTTGCTTGTAAAAGTTGTGAGGCTGAACATAAAAACGGTTTAAGGAGGACTGCTAAGACTTAAAAAAAATGATGAAAGATCTAATCTAATTCATTTTATTGAACTACTTTGACTCAGTTGGTTTGTGTCCAGAACGATAGCCTGTAATAGGCTGAAAGTTATCATTTGTTTAGTTTGGAATCAGTAGCTTAAACATGTGTACTTAAATTGCAGCATGTTAGAACAGGGAGTAACTTTCTTATTTTATTAGTGAAGAATTTGAGGCTCAGAGAAGTTAAGTGATTTTCCCAAGATCACACAACTCTGTGAAATATGATCTAAATTGTTCAAATCCATACAGGACAAAGGAAGAGGACATTTGAAAAGACAGTAGTTTTAGAAGCCCTTGAAAATACCTCCATCAAGAAGCTCTGGATCTGCAAGGGGTGGGGGCTTTTGCATTAAAAAAAAAAGAAAAGAAAAGAAAAGCAGCAGCTACTCTTGCACCTTTCCCCCAGTACGCTGGAGCCACCAACAGGTAACTGCCTAGAAGACAAGGGATCCAGAGGAATTTTTTTCCTGCACCTTTATACATTCATCATCTTTGACTGAGACTGTATTGGAAACAATTCTAGCCACTAAAATTTTCTGGAACTGTGCTCTGGGACTAGTGACTTTGTTTCCACAGAAGCTATCATTTTGTAACAAAGATGGAAAGTATAATATATGTTTAGGATTTGTAGGAAATGGGAAATTGAAGCTGGGCTGGGACCTTCTTAGTCCCCATTTTTAGGTAGGAGGATATAAGGACTATTATGGAACCTGCATTCACATTACCAGAGGGTAGAGTAGTTAATTTGGAAAGGCTTTTTTTGTTTGTTTTTAGACAGGGTCTCACTCTGTCACCCAGGCTGGAGTGCAATGGTACGATCATAACTCCTTACAGCCTTGAATTCCTGGGCTCAAGTGATCCTCATGCCTCAGCCTCCCGAGTAGCTGGGACTACAGGTTCTCACCACCACACTGGCTTACTTGGGAAGGGATTGGAGCTCCCCAGAACAACAGCATTACCTACCTTTATAATAATTTAAAATAATCTTTGAAAGATGGTCTTTTTCTTTTTTTTTTTTTTTTTTTTTTTTTTTTTTTGAGACGGAGTCTCACTCTGTCACCCAGGCTGGAGTGCAGTGGCACAATCTCGGCTCACTGCAAGCTCCGCCTCCCGGGTTCACGCCATTCTCCTGCCTCAGCTTCCCGAGTAGCTGGGACTACAAGCGCCCGCCACCACACCCGGCTAATTTTTTATATTTTTAGTAGAGATGGGGTTTCACTGTGTTAGCTAGGATGGTCTCGATCTCCTGACCTCGTGATCTGCCCACCTCGGCCTCCCAAAGTGCTGGGATTACAGACGTGAGCCTCCGCGCCCGGCCGAAAGATGGTCTCTTTACATCAAGAAGTGTATTGGAATAACTCTATTGTCCAAATTTCCGCATAGACTTCTATTGGCTAAACCCCCTGCCTTTAACCTTAAGTGAGTTTATAATGATTTAGGAAAGAATGCCTCTGGGGAAAGTTTTAATTGAGCTGTAGTGAACCATAGAATGCCACATTAAGAAGAGAATATTTGAGTTTGCACACTGCACTTCAAACATGACAAAGAACAGGGATGTGTAACTGGATTGGAACTGGAGAAGGGTGTTCATTTCTGCTCTGCTTCTCACACCAGAACACATTAGCAATTTTTTCTTTTGGCTCATATTTGTTTGGGTCCTGGATGAGAGTACCAAATACATAATGGAGGCACCAGGTAATGAACATAAGAACCTCTCAATCATTGGAAAGAGAGGTATCTTTAGGGTCATTAATAAAGTGTTATATTTTAAAAATAACTGTATACAAGGAAGGTATTTGAAATTGACCCCAGCATCACCACTACCACACAGTACCCTCTATCCCCTTTACTGTTTTCTTTTTTTTTTTTTTTTAAAGCACTTGTATTGGTTAACTACCAAGGTATAACAAACAGCCCCCAAACTCAGCCTCACACAATGACCATTTATTATTTTAGCTCGTGCATCTGGGGTCCACTGGAGGTCAGCAGATCTAGGCTGGGCACATTGGGTGGCTCTGCTTATGTTGGCTGGGCTCATATGTGCATCTGAGAGTCTCCTGGGGCTCTGAGTGGGACTGAGGAAGCTTTGCTGAAGCAGGTCTGCTCTGTATCTCTTATCTCGTTGGACCAGCAGACCAGCCTGGGCATGTTCTCATGGCAATGGCAAAACAGCAAGAAAGGCCTTGGAGTCATGAAAGCCTCTTGTTTCTCTAGAATAAATAGCCAGGAACAGGCATGCTGTCATTTCTACCTCATTCTGTTGGTCAAAGCAGGTCATATGGCCAACCTCAAAGTCAAGGGAAAGGGGAAAAAGCCCCACTCACTGCAGAAAACATGACAAAGGGAACGGAGAGAGGGAGAATGAAGAGTTAGGGCCATTAATGCCATCAACCACAGCACTTGCCACCATCTAACTTACATATTTTGCTTGTGTTTGGTCTCTTGCTGCTAGAATGTAAACTCCCTATTGGTATGGACTTTTGAGGATATATTGCTATATTCCCAACACCCAGAACAGTAGCACATTATAGATATTTAATAAATATGGAATGAATCAATTAGGAGGATTACATTAATTATTTTGGCTTATGCAGGAAACCAACACTGCTTAAGATAGAATGTAAGTTTATGTTAGTTTATCCTAAAGTGATCGTATAAATCTTTTAAATTTTATTTTATTTTTTTAAACAGAGTCTCACTCTGTTGCCCAGGCTGGAGTGCAGTGGCACAGTCTTGGCTCACTGCAACCTCCGCCTCCCAGGTTCAAGCAATTCTTATGTCTCAGCCTCCCAAGTAGCTGGGACTACAGGCGTGCGCCATGCCTGGCTAATTTTTATATTAAACATTTTTAGTAGAGATGGGGCTTTACCATGTTGGCCAGGCTGGTCTCAAACTCCTGGCCTCAAGCGATCTGCCTGCCTTGGCCTCCCAAGGTGCTGGGATTACAGGCATGAGCCACCATGCCTGGCTGATGGTGTAAATTTTCTGATTTAAAGATTATTACCCATATTTGTAGAAAGTGCTGGCTATTTAGAATAAACATTTCTTAAACTTCAAACAAGTCTAGATTTCAAAATGGTTTAACACTTCCCTAGAACATATGAACAGGTACCATATAAAAGCAGATTGATTTTATGGGCAGAAAATTAGAAGTAGGGAGAGGGGGAACTTTATACATATTTTGGCAGAAAATATATTGCTTCTTCCTATATGGAAATAATACTAATATAATCTCAAGCTTTCAGAATTTGAATCTGAAACATTCTCAAGACTTTTGGATTTAAGCTATTTCAACAGGTGTGGGATACAGGATATAACTCACCCAAATCACTTTTTTTAGGCTTTTTGGATCCACAGAAATTCATTTATTTCTGTCCTTTCTCTGTCCCATTTTACCTAATCCAGAAGACAGCCGAAAGGGGTTTTCTTCAGGTCATGCTTTCAAAGGGGATTCCTATGCAATGTATGTTTTTTTTTAAATTTCCTTGGAATTTGAATTTGTGATGCCATTTTTTGACTGTGACAGATGATGAGGTAGGAGATAAAGTAGGCGTTAATGCTCCGTTATGTAAAGGGGAGTTTTGTATATGTCTGTACTTAGCAACAGGCTAATTTGGGACTCCTACGAGACACCCAAGTCTTGAACACTGGAGTATCTGAAGTTTCAGCATGCCAAGTGACTAACTCCTCAGATAGGCATCTTTTACACCTGAAAGCAGGGTTCCGGGTGGATATTTTATTTTGGATAAAAGGGGAACCTGGAAAGTTAGGGGCCCAGACACATTCTGAATTCTAGTTCTTTCTCTCTCTTCAGACTACTGAATAGAATCCCTACAAACAATGAGTATTGCAAGTTATACATTTAAAAGCTTATAAACATTTCTCAGAAAGGTTTCATTTACCAATTTACATGAATGTACTTGCCCTATTGTTATTAAGACCCCCAAAAGGGTTTAACTAGCTTCTTTTAACTTTAGCCCTTTGGGCTGGGAGTTTGGAGAGGGTCTTGGGTTCATTCATTCAGCAATCATTCATTGAGGGCCTACTGGATGCATCGAGTGCAATTAGACAGAGCCCTTGGCCCTAAGACACTCACAAGTGCCTTAAGATTTACAAGTCAAGGGGCAATTTCAGCACAGGAGGATAAGGGCTAGATTGGAAAAAGGATGCTGTGAGGGTTCAGAGGGAGAGGTGCCTAGGGACATCATGGGAGGCAAGGGAAGTAAACTAACATTGGTCGTTGTTTGATGCCTTCTGATTTGCAGAAGTCCTTTTACATTCTTACTCTCCTCTCATCCTGACACTAGCCCTCCCTGCAGGCCAGGGCAAGGTATCCTTCCTATGACCCTAATATTCCTGTGTCAGGCTGAAGGGTATACAACCTCAACATTGTACACTTTGTAAGGGATTTAACCTGCATTCACACCTGGGTCTGCTGGCACAAAGGAGCCTGGTGGATCTTGGGCAGAACAGCTCCTGGGCTCCGGAGCTGGTGTCAAGGAGACACCTACCTGCAGTATCAGGATGAAGGTAGGTGGAGCCAGACAGGAGATGCTTGAGGCCTGGGAAGAAAAAGCCAGTCAGGACAGAGGTTTAGGATTGGCTGCAAAATGTGTTCTCTGAACAACAAACAAGCAACACTACAGGGAGACCAAAGGAGAAAGAAAAGAAGAAAGACAATAGGGCCCATTGAAGAACAAAATATGTCAGTAAGGTCAATATGCCAGTAAGGCCAAACTGAAAAGTACGGGGAATGGCAAACAGGAGCAAATTATTCATCACCCTAATTCTCATTCGCAAATGGAGATATCTTTCTAACAGAGCAGGTGTGAGGATAAGAGGCAACAGAATTAAAGACTGTGTGGTAATGTCATCTCAGATGCTCAGGAACTGTGACAACTCCTAAATGTAGGTGTGACTGTTTCACTACACATAGTAGAAAGTAAAAAATACTTCTTCTTTTTTATTTTTCTGGATCAAATTCCAAGGTATGTGTACTCTTTGGGTCTTGGAAATGAAATTTTGAATATGGCAGCATATCTCTTCTCAGTTATGTGTGGGTTCCCTAGTCCCACAAGGTTATGTAAGGCCTACAAAGCAGGTACCTACAAAATTAGGATGACAGATTCAATTTCCAAAGTCAGTGATTTTACCATCTCCTAAGTATAGCAAGAGCTGCAGCTGAACTCAGACTCTGGTTCAGAGTTTGCTGTGTGCACTCCTCACGGGGGGTGAACGTCAATTGGAATGGGTGCCTTTGGTGATCCTCAGCACTATTCACAAACGTTCTGAGTCTCTCCTTCCAAGCATGTGGGAGGATTGTACTTTTTGTCCCCTTAAGGCTAGGCATTGGATACCCTTTGGCTGATGAAATGTGTTCATAAGTAATTTGTGTCACATGTAAGCAGCCTTTAGTAAGAGCCTGGCCACAGAAGCCATGAAGCATTTACTTTTTTAAGACGGAGTCTTGCTGTGTCACCTAGGCTGGAGTGCAGTGGCATAATCTTGGCTCACTGCAACCTCTGCCTCCTCGGTTCAAGCGATTCTCCTGCCTCAGCCTCCCGAGTAGCTGGGACTACATGCGTGCGCCACCATGCCTGGCTAATTTTTGTATTTTTAATAGAGACAAGGTTTCATTATGTTGGCCAGACTGGTCTCGAACTCCTGACCTTAAGTGATGTGCCCGCCTCGGCCTCCCAAAGTGCTGGGATTACAGGGGTGAGCCACCGCGCCCAGCCCACCATGGAGCATTTAGAGATGGAGCCTCTGTCAGCTGGGCTTCCTGGATGACTCAGATGGGCAGAGAGTCCCTCACACCTGCATCATACGCATAGCAGACACAAGAAATAAATCTTTTGCTGTGCTTCACTGCTATTATTTCCAATTGTTTCTGCTGCATAACTTGGCCTATCTTGACTGATATATTCCATATTCTAGGCCTGCTTTTTTTTTTTTTGGGAGGAGTGCACTGTTTCTGGAGGTACTGCAACACGAGGTTGATGAGTCGGGTGGACAGAGCAAGCTCCTATTCCATCTCCCTGCTGCAGAAATCCACTTAGTATATTGTGCTCAGATAGAGGACATATCAGATATTAACTGATAAGAATAGATACTATACTTGATCTTAGCCAAAGGCCAAAAGGCCAAAAAGCAATAAGCCTTTTTTTTTCAACTTAAGGAGGAGAGAGTTTTTGTTAGTTTCTGTTGCTTCTTTTGTTGAGGAAATAGGAGGATAGAAGGGCCAAGAACAGTGGAAGGAGATAGCATGTGCCTGTTCTCCATCTGGGCCCGCAGTCTAGTATGAAGTCCCAGTGGATAGCCAGCAGTGACAGCAGGAGCAGGCAAACATGGGTGGATTTGTTACAGGACATGCCTGAGACATCACTCTGGAGACTCCCAGAAATGACCAAGGGAGATTTGGGAAGAGTGGCTAAGGTCCTGGTGTTACACTGGAGGTGCTAGGAGCTACTGTCATTTGGAATTAATATTAATGTGACCTTATATGTATAGATAGGCTCGGGAGGCATGGGGACAGTGAGTCAGATAATAATTCAGCTGGTTTGGTTCATCAAGGCCTGGAGCATGTCTGCAAACCTGTGACAATATACGCCTATTGATCTTTCTGAGTGACTGTTGGCCTTACGCTCTGTCATTTGTCCATGTGGACTACTTTTATCTGGCAGTATGGATCAGTGTATATTTTCTTTAGCAGTTAAATTGAATGTATAAAGTATTAATTTTGTGAGGAAGAAAACCAAAATGTTTAATTAAAAAGCCGGTATAACTTCTAGACTTCATCATGGGACCGATTTTCCTTTTTTTTTTAAATAAAATAGTTTTCTTTTTGGGAGAGAGGTGTGAAGTGTTTTGCTAAACTATATTTACCTTGTCTATGAAATGACTTTAAGAAAGCCAACAAACTCTCCCAAGGTAGATTTTATAAGGGGTGAAGGATGTTGGAAAGGAAGAAATAATAGAAAAACTGTTATGAAAGCAAAGATATCTGTGTGATTGCAAATGGTACAAAAAATAGAAACTTTTTTGTTATGATCAAACTGAAGTTGAATTGTGTGAGGCTTTCATTTTAATACCCTACCACAAACCCACAAATTCAGCTGTGCTACCCAGGAAATGTTATTTACAGTTTACCCTCACCTTAGACTCTCTGACCCTTGAAGACGCCTTAGAGGATTGGCTGCCCCTTTCTCTCCCCTCTAGTTTATCATCTTTGCCTCTGTCTTTAGGCAGCAGCACAGAATTTCTTGGTGACACCTGCTTGTGACCCCGGCTTTGAGAATCCTTAATTCTTCTCCATCTGCTTGGCTTGATAGCTAAGGCAACCCTGGACATCACAGTTTGTGCACAGTAGAACCATCCATTTGCCTCTTGAAAAATTGTGTAAAAATTGGGAACATTGTCAACATGCTAAATAGAATTTCTTCTTTGGATAGTCAATGGCAAATTACTTTTGTTACTATTACATTTCTTTCAAATATTATAACTTAAAAATGTATAAAACTCTTTCAAATGAAGTAACTCATTTTTTTACCCCAAAATGGTAAAGTCCAATTGAATATTATTATTCCTCACTTTATTGACTAGGAAACAATCTTGCTCAAGTTTACTAATTGGTAACAGAAACGGAACTCATACTCGGAACGTCACACTTTTTGGCCATCTTCACCTTTCTTCATTTAAGGGTCATTGTTAAATAATTAAAGGATGGCATTTTTTCCTACAATATTTTAAAGCTTCAACACTGTTATTTTGCTTCTATTCAAAGGAGTAAAGAAAAATTTTTCCACTTTGAGGTAAAGTACAATGGAGTGCTCCTTATGCGTGAACTGCTACATCTCTCTGAGAAACAGCTCTCTTTCTCACGTTGGCAAAGCAAGCCTGTGCCTCTCTGAACCACCTTACAAATTCACCCAAAGATCTAGCTGCTGAAAAGAGCATATGTACCAGCAGATAGCTGTGATCTGACAACTTAAGATACAAATATTAATCAAAAGAAAAGTAAATAAATAGTTGCCTGTATGTCACTTCATCCAAACCCTACCTTATTAGACCCAAAAATAACAGCAGTAAAATATTAGCAGCAACCATTTACTGAATGTTTAGTCTAGGGCCAAGCCAAGCAGGTCACTTAGCCCCATGTCCAGCCACTGTCATTTAATGCTCAGTATAAGCCCGCGACGTCAGTGCTATCCTGGCTTTATTTTACTGATGAGGCGCTGAGGCTTACAGAGCTTAGGTAACTTGTCCAGGTTTTATAGCAGGCAAGCAGCTGAGCGATATCTCCACTCACACCATTGACTTTATTCTTGTACAAGAGGAAATCTCATTTCATAAAAGAAAAGTTTCCCACAAATAAAATCAAAATTCATCCAACCCGGAAATAAGCTGAAGAAGTTGAGGGGTCATCTAACAGAGTTCTGCTTTGCTCATTGGAAACTGACTTCAGTGGAGACTTATTAATCTTGTCAGTTTTCCTAGAAAATTAATTTGCTTTGCAGCAAAGCCTTAAGACTGTGTGTATTAAATGTTACAGCTAAGCTAGACCCTTCAGCTAGTCACAAACTGTTCAGTTTAGAGGGGGAAAACAGTAAATTAAGAGAAAGCAATGGGAAACATTTTTCACTGAAAGAAAAGCGAGCCACATAATATATGATTTTTTCTAGCTACAGGGTCTTGACCCTTTGGGGATGTTGAAAGGAATAAATGGATTGATTGAGGAAAGGGAAAAACAGCTTGTGGCAGATTAGATGGTGTTATGATGCCTGCTCCTGACTTCCTCCTGCCAAAATGAGATTCATTAAAGAAAACTCTTAAGTAAATTAAAACTCTGCTCACCAATACCCTCCCCTCCAGATGTTAACAGCCAACTGTGGTTCGTTTGACGACATGGCTGTGGGTAATCAGTAGAAACATTTCTATTAAGAGGGATGATGAGAAGCACTGGGAAATATTTTATGTACTTTTAACCAAAAATGACCAAACAGCTGGCTGATTGATGACTTCTGGTATCAGGAACCCAAGACGCTTTCACTATGTGAGCAATTGCTCATGAGTTCAGTTTGGCCATTCCCGCACCAACAAGATGCTGTTATTCCCTGACTTATGCCTATGATGAAAAGGTGGCTTAGAGAGAAGCAGCAGGGAGGAAACTTTGGCTCAGAGAGTGTCAGGCTGCTTGGTGAATTGTGCCATTTCTGGACTTATCACCAGGGTAGCGTATGTTCTGGGATACAGCAACAGTTCTTCCTGTGGGTATTTCAGTTTATGGCAAAAACAGAACTGCCTTTGTCAAATTAGAATCAACTTCCTGTCCTGCTGCATGTGTATATCTATCTATCTATCTATCTATCTATCTATCTATCTATCTATCTATCTATCTATCTACCTATCTATCTGTTTACCCATCTAACTATCTCTATAATGGAGATATATCTCCATTGGAATAGCAATCAAAGGACACATCTGGTCAGCAGGGTTATTAAATGACACAGTTACTTCCCGGTGTGGTGGGTTGGAAGAACCTGGAAGAAGGCAGAGTAGGTCACACACCTGTTGTCATCTCCCTAATGCTGAAGGGAAGTTTAGAGTGCCCCCTTCCGTCACCTAAATTTCAGGAAATAGGAATGTTGATGTGAGCCAAGGGAGTATTTATTTTCTTGAATTTTTTTTTTTGAGACGGAGTCTCGCTCTGTCACCCAGACTGGAGTGCAATGGTGCAATCTCGGTTCACTGCAACCTCCACCTCCCGGGTTCAAGCAATTCTCCTGCCTCAACCTCCTGAGTAGTTGGGATTACAGGTGCATGTCACCACGCCCGGCTAATTTTTGTATTTTTAGTAGAGATGGGGTTTCACCGTATTGGTCAGACTGGTCTTGAACTCCTGACCTCGTGATCCGCCCACCTTGGCCTCCCAAAGTGCTGGGATTACAGGCGTGAGCCACCACACCTGGCCTGTGCTTAAATCTTTTACCAGATTGTCAGCTCCTTAAAAACAGGGACTTGTTAGTTATATTTCCAACCTGTAGTTGGGTGCTTGGATCATAATAGGAGCGTAATAGATATTGTAAATGAATGAGTTTTGGCCTGACTTTGAAATGGAGGAGGTTACCTTTTTCTTTGAAATGCTATGGTCAGACAGCGTTTAGGGGTGCTTCTTCACAGAGAAGTGTCCTCCCCTAGAAGACCAAGTGTGTCCAGGGTGTGCACAAGAGGGGAGGAGGAGTGGATGGGCTGCTTTGCTCAGTCTGCTCTGGGTTTTAGGAGAGAAGGAGCCCTCCCGGAAGAAGGGGCTAATTTGTCCTGAAGCTGACCAGAGGCTGAAGCTCCAATTCAGTGTTCTCAGCCGTCACTGAACCTTAAATCTACTGGGAGTATTAAAAAAAAAAAAAACCAACCAGGATCCCACCCCAGGCTAATTCAATGAGAACCTGGGGCAGGTGATACTCAAGGGAATGAGGGCTTAAAAAAATCTCTAATATGCAGTCAGAATTGGGGGCTGTGGCTCCAGTTCAGTGGCTCTCAGCTTGTTGATATGTGAGAATCACATGTTAAAAATATGTATTAATAGATACTATCCCCTACATCCAGAGGTGGGATTTAGGGGGTCCAGGTGGGGTTCACACTTCTGTATTGACACATTTTGAAGACCATCAGGATTAAGACAACACTTTGGCTCAGGATTTCACCTTTCAACGAGCAATCTAGGAAGCTTGTTAAGAACATAGATTCCTGGGTTTGCCCTAAATTTACTGAATCAGACTCCTGAAGAGAGGAGCATGGGAATTTGTAGTTTTAAAAGTGTGATTCTCATGATAAGGGAAACATTACTAGCTTGTGTTTCTTAAGTATTATCCCCAGACCAGCAGCATTGGCAGCACCTGGGAATCAGAAACTCTGGGGTGGGACCCAGCAGTCAGCTATCAAACAAGCCCTGCAGATGATTCCGATGCCCACTCCAGCTGGAGAACCGCTGCTCTAGTTCTCTATTTTTTCAAGGTATGGGCCTCAGACCAACAGCACTGGCACCACCTGGGAGCTTGTTAAAAATGCAGACTCCTGGCCTCACCCCAGACCCAAGAGGTTAGAATCTACATTTTAAGAGGATCCCCAGGTGATCTGTATGCACACTAAAGTTTGAGAAGCCCTGCTTATACCCCAAATAAGTACCACTTTGCTGTGAAAATCATCAAGTGTAAGCTCCTTTAACAAGAAGCAAAATCTAAAATCGATGTTTCCCTTTAAGAACAGAAGTGGCTTTAATTCTAGAGAAACTGAAGCAAATCACTTGGAACTATTGGAACTATACTACTAAAACAAATCCCTGCGTTGTGTTATTAATTCAACTGAAGTGAAGGATTCAAATACAATGAGATGTAAAGTGCTTTTTTTTTTTTTTTTTTTTTTAGTAGA
Organism: Homo sapiens; assembly: GCF_000001405.40. Classification (NCBI taxonomy): domain Eukaryota; kingdom Metazoa; phylum Chordata; class Mammalia; order Primates; family Hominidae; genus Homo; species Homo sapiens. Next base: position 80,591,054 of record NC_000008.11, read on the forward strand.
CAGAGTCTTGCTCTGTTGCCCAGGATGGAGTTCAGTGGCGTGATCTCAGCTCACTGCAACCTTTGCCTCCTGGGTTCAAGGGATCCTCCCACCTCAGCTTCCCTAGTAGCTGGGATTACAGGCATGCACTACCACACCTGGCTAAGTTTTGTATACTTTGTAGAGATGGGGTTTCTCCATGTTGGCCAGGTTGGTCTGGAACTCTTGGGTTCAAGTGATCCACCGGCCTCGGCCTCCCAAAGTTCTGAGATTTGCAGGCGTCAGCCACTGCTCCCAGCCAAAATTACACGTAAAGTTCTAACCTCTGTCCTGTATTATTTTGTCTTTCCGTAGTTTCCTAGTTTCATATAGAGTGTGTCAAAGTATTCTACTCCAGAGCCTGACTTTACACCTTTGGAATACAAATTTGTGCCACACATACAAACACACACACATCTATTAGATTAGTCAGGGTTCTCCACAGAAACGGAACCAATAGGATATATATAGAGAGAGGCAGAGGGCAGTGGGGAGGTATTTTAAGGAATTGGCTCACGCAATTGTGGGGGCTGGCAAGTCTAAAATATGCAGGGCAGGGCAGCAGGCTGGAAATTCCAGCAAGAGTTGATGTTGCAGTTCGAGTCTGAAGGCAGAATTCCTTCTCCTTAGGGGACCTCAGTGTTTTGCTCTTAAGGCTTTAAACTGATTAGATGGGGCCCACCCATATAATAGAGGGTAATCTGCTTTGTTCAAATTGACTGATTTAAAAGTTAATAACTTCTAAAGAACACCTTCATAGAAACATCCAGACTGATGTTTGAACAAACAACCGAGGATGTGGTACAGTGAAGTTGACACATAAAATTAACTCTGTGTCTATACACATACACACATATACATCCATATGTTTATAAAACATTTTTGAATGTTCTAGAAAGTCATAAAATATGCCTATTATCAGAGCTAGTGATAATTCGTAAAGTTCATCTATTATTACTCATTCTAAATGGGCTTTTCCTCTGTTTTATTTTCCCTTTCATTTCCCACCTTGCATTAAACTTATGTTCAGACAGTATGGCCGGGCGGGTGGCCCATGCCTGTAATCCCAGCACTTTGGGAGGCCAAGGTGGGCAGATCACCTGAGGTCAGGCATTCGAGACCAGACTGACTAATATGGTGAAACCCCGTGTCTACTAAAAATAACAAAAATTAGCCAGGCGTGGTGGTGCGTGCCTATATTCCCAGCTACTTGGGAGGCTGAGGCAGGAGAATTGCTCGAACCCGGGAAGTGGAGGTTGCAGTGAGCTGAGATCATGCCACTGCGCTCCAGCCTGGGTGACAGAGCAAGAACCCGTCTCATTAAAAAAAAAAAAAAGTTCAGACAATATAAAATCTTAGGATAACCTATGGTGCTCCAGATAGCTGTCACAATTGCTTGTCCTCTCATAACTTTCAATAGCAAATTTGAATTAAGTAAATAATTTTTGACAGTTGCAACTTAAAACACACACAGTGAATCTTATTTTAAACATTGCCCCTGAGGTTTAAGTAAACTTGGCCTAATCCCACAGTTAAAGGCTTGAAGCAGTCAGAAGTTATTTTTACTCTCTTTTCAAATTATCAGCCTACCTTCCTCACTCTTTATTGACCTTGGCTTTTGTGTCCATAAGGGCCATTTAGGTAAGGCCCTTGCTATACAAAATGACAACTCCAGACCAGGCAAAAAAAAAAAAAGAGAGAGACAGCTGTGCTGGAGATAGACGCCAATTAATTTTGAGGCTTTTTTCTTTAGTGCATTATTATTATTATTTTTGAGACAGGGTCTCACTCTGCCACCCAGGCTGGAGTGCAGTCGCATGATCAGGGCTCACTGCAGCCCTCCTGCCTTAAGCAATCCTCCTCCCTCATCCTCCCAAGTAGCTGGGACTACAGGCATGCACCACCATGCCCAGCTAATTTTTAGTATTTTTATTGGAGATGGGATTTCGCCATGTTGGCCAGGCTGGTCTTGAACTCCTAGGCTCAAGTGAACCGCCCACCTCGGCCTCCCAAAGTGCTGGGATTACAGGTGTGAGCCACTGCGCTTGGCCAATACATTATTTTTTTAAACACAATAAATGATTTCTGTATGATAGTATAAAGGTCATTTGTGTAGGCAAGATTCTGAAGATATTGTGGTTTTGCACAGCCCAAAGAGAGAAAAAGGGGTTAATTTATAAGAGAATTTCTAGGTGTGGCCCCGGATAGCTCCTTGGATTTTTGCTTGCATATGTCTTAGTTGTGTCTTAGCTGTGCTTAGCTAAGGGATTTAGCTATGCACATGAGTCACTTTAGACCTCCACCGAGGTTGAAATTACTGGGTACCAAAAGTCATGCAAACACTCTGGATATGACAGTGATTCCAGAGATACATTTGGCCACTGTTTGTTTAGGTGGATGATGGTGTCGGGTGGGACTCTCACCTGTGGCAGAATCTCATCCAATTTAAGGAGAAATGAGGCTTTGATGGAAGGTATCACAGAACTGCTGTGCTGCGAGACTGAGGGCAGCTGCAGACACTTGGGGACGGCTCCTGCATCCCAGGATTGGCTTATCCCTGATCATTCTCTCAGGCTCCTCCATAAAGTGAGATGGCTGCTGACCAAGCTGAGGTTACCTGAGTATAGCTTAAGATCAAAGAGGGAACAGGATTTCTTATTGGCTCCAGAAGAAACATCTCCCTAGTTGAGTCACAAGCTCATCCCTAGACCATCACAGCAGGCAGGAAGAAGGTTCCGCCAGGATTCCAGTCCAGGTCAGTTACCTTGCATGAATTTGTTCCTAGAAAAAGTGGGGACAAAGTTGGGCTGGGCAGATGTAAAACAAAAGCTAGTAGAGTTTAAGAATTCACTTGTTCATGGATTTTAATCGCTGTCTTGGCAGTCTCCTTCTTCTATGAGGAAGTTTCTTACCCTTCTATAAGAGGTTTTCAGTTTTTTGTAGTATGCCACCAAGGCAGCCATTTTTGCTTATGGCTGATTTTTCATGCTTCATCTTGTATTTATTTCTTTTCCTTGGGGAACTCTTGCTGTTATAGCAAAGTGTTCTATTTGGTAAGTATTGGGGTTATGTTTGGTTGTGGTGTAATAATTATCTGGCATATGGTATAATAATTATTTTTTTTTAATTTTTTTTGAGACAGAGTTTCACTCTTGTTGCCCAGGCTGGAGTGCAGTGGCTGGATCTTGGCTCACTGCAACCTCTCTATCCTGGGTTCAAGCGATTCTCCTGCCTCAGCCTCCTGAGTAGCTGGGATTACAGGTGCCCACCACCACGCCTGGCTAATTTTTTGTATTTTTAGTAGAGACGGGGTTTCACCATGTTGGCCAGGTTGGTCTTAAACTCCTGACCTTTGGTGATCCACCCGCCTTGGCCTCCCAAAAGTGCTGGGATTACAGGCTTGAGCCACCGCACCCGGACTTATAATAATTATTTTTAATGGCTTCGTTGAGTAAGTAGATGTTCTTGTACCAATCTCTTGGACACTTAAATTATTTCTAATTTACTCTCTTCCAAATGTGGCAAGATGGGATTTTCTTTTTTTTTTTTTTTTTTTGTCCAATTGGAACCTTTTATTCTGTTTTGTTGATGCTTAAGGAAAACAGCTTTGCCCATAACTCACTGTGGCCTGGAGTTATGACACCAACTTGTACTTGGCCAATTAAGAAAGAGACCAAGCTGCATTCTTCTTAGAATGTCTATTCAGTTGATAAATGGCACTTAACTGATTTTTTTTGCATATAATCTTTAACAAGAACTCATAAGTTGCATTGATTATGCCCCAAGAAATAAGGGACCGATGGTAATTCAGATAGGCACCTCTGAAAAGATTTATCAGTTTTCTGTCCCATTCCAGCCAGACTTTTTGGAAAACCTGGGGGAAAGACTGAAATTCCCCACCAATCTGAGACCATATGTGAGTTTTTACAACATTAATTGGAAAAAACAAGAATCCCAACATGGCACCCAATAGACCTCCACAGATAAAATCATTGACCAAATGAGCACTGTGAGTCATTTCGGTAGGCAGATGCTCCTTAATGGGACCTCGAAGGCCGAAAAACAAGACATTGCTGAGTCCATTCCAGAAAAGAATGGGCACCAAGCCTCAATAATACTCTCCAATTCTGTGACATTTCAGTGCCTTGAAAGCCTGATACGTGTTGGTAAATGTGTCATGATGCTTGTGGTCTTGAAGCAATGTCTGAACTCTTTCCAGAGGAGTGAAAATTGCTTCTGTTGTCCCTGAAAGCACTGCCGCCACACCACGGGCTGCAAACTCTGGAGCACTGACATGCTTGTGGAGAAGGTAGGATAAATCCTTATAGAGACCAAACATAAGTGCAAGTGTAGTTGTCTTCTGCATCAATGGGGGAAGGATTCCACGATACAAGTTTTGAAATCCAACCCTTCTCAACTGAAGTATTGCATCACGAGTTTTGATGCTATACAGCTGTTGTCAAAAGAGGACCTTCTGAATGGGAAATGTGATTGTGATGTTGTTGAAGGCTGCACAGCAGCCACACAAATAATGCTTCATTTCACCAACATTTGTAATATGAGGTGATATATCTTGTTTTGAAGATATTAGTATTGGCAGCCTCTTTTCATGAGCTTCTGAATCCATCATGTTGCTTAAGATCTTTCTTTTTCATGAAGGACTTTTTAAAACCTGTAACATCATCTGAGCCTGGAGTTTGGCAGGATGATAGCTTTTTGATAATGTTCCCAATTTCTTCCATTGTTATTGTTCATTAGGTTCTCTCTTCTCGAGTCAGTTTTGATCACTGGATTTCCGTTCTCCAGGCATCCATTTCCAAGATGAGATTTTCTTTTACCTTCACACCCATTTTTTTCTTTCCCTTTTCACCTTCTGTGAGAGAAGATATTTTATAGACAGAATGAAAAGAACTGTTAGTAGAATAAAAATTTGCTATGAGAGGTAGTCGATGTCAGAAAGAGAAAGGCTTGTTTTTCTGGTAGTTGTTCTCCTCTGAAGAATCTCAAAGGCGAATGCTTCCCCCATGAAGCATGGTAAGGACCTGCTACTTCTGTCAGGTTGGAGATGCTTTCACTTTATGGGTGATGCAAGAAGAAACATGTACTCTGGAGGAAAGGAAGAGGAAATATTTTTTTAAAAGACAAAGACGGAGGGAAAATGTAGAAAAAAAATTTTTGGAAACGTATTCATGGAAGAATCTGGATGGACAGTGAGGGTTTTATGGTTTCACAAAATAGAAACTAGGCTGGGTGTGGTGGCTCACACCTATAATCCCAGCATTTTGGAGGCCTAGGTGGAGGGATCACTTGAGCCCAGGAGTTCAAGACCAGCCTGGGCAATGTAGGGAGACCCCTGTCTCTACAAAAAATACAAAAATTAGCTGGGCGTGATGTTGCCTGCCTGTAGTCCCAGCTACTCAGGAGGCTGAGGTGGGAGGATCACTTGAGCTTGGCAGGTTGAGGCTGCAGTGAGCCAAGATCATACTCCTGTCTGGGCAACAAAGAATGAGACCCTGTCTTAAAAACAAACAAACAAAAAAAACAAACCAAATACAGATAACTTAAGCATTGAAAAAATATGGGGCTGGGCATGGTGGCACAGGCCTATAATCCCAGCACTTTGGGAGGCCAAGGTGGGAGAATCACTTGAGTCCAGGAGTTCGAGACCAGCTTGGGCAACATAGTGAGACCCCGTCTTTACAAAAAATAAAAAAATTAGCCAGGCACAGTGGCTTGTGCGTGTGGTCCCAGCTACTCTGAGGGCTGAGGTGGGAGGATTGCTTGAGCCCGAGGAGGTTGAGGCTGCCGTGAACTATGATCACACCACTGCACTCCAGCCTGGGTGACAAAGTGAGACCCTGTCTCCTCCACCACACAAAAAAAAAAAAAAAGGAAAGAAAAAATATGGGTAGGTCACAGGATTTAAAAATAAATGCATGAACTAGACTTAGAGCAGAAACAGAGAAGTTTCAGAGCTCCAGGGGGAAGGAACTAATGGCCATTCTCCAGCATTAGGCCCTCAGGATAAATTAGCCTCAGTCTCTGGTTTAGCTAGGCTTGGCCAGGGGAGGTCAGGGTTCTTGGACAGTCACTTGTAGCCTGTGTACAATGGCAGAGGGGTAATTGCTCAAAGCAAACTCAAGGTATTGTCACCAGAAGAAAGGGGAATGAATGCTGGCCAGGTAAAAGCAACAGTTGCCCTCTACAATGTCTGGATGAAAACTGAGGTAATATGTTCACCATCTTCTGGGGGCCATTTGCCTTTTTGATGGGCCAGTAATAGGATTGCTTTATTTCTTGTAATGCTATGCTTGAGTACAGGCAAAACTATGGGATTGCATGAGTAATGTGGTAATGAAGATCATTTGCATTTCTTTTGTCTTCTTCTGAGTTATTTTCTGGGACAAAATTCTCAGGCATGGAATTATCAGGTCAAAGGGGATGATTATGTTTGTGGCTACACTACTTCAATTCTAAATGGAAAATAAATGACAGCAAAGATATTCAAAAGAGGGCAAGGAAAAATAAAAGTGTTGGGCCCTAATTTTGTCAACCATGTTTTGTAAAGGATACAATAAGACATATGGAATAATAGTTAAGGTTACGAGATAAAGGAGTAATATTATTAAATAATATTTTGGGAGTGCCAGTCAAGGGAAAGATCTCAATCTTGATTGTTAGGTACTTTAGATTTTGAGCAACAGAGATACCCTCAGTTTACCTTAGTTGATGACCTTCCTTCCTTCCTCTTTCTCTCCCTTTTCTCTCTTTCTTTCTTTTGAGACAAGGTCTTGCTCTGTTGCCCAGGGTGGAATGCAGTGATGCGATGACAGCTGACTGCAGCTTTGAACTCGGGGGCTCAATTTGTCCTCCCACCTCAGCCTCCTGAGTAGCTGGGTCTACAGGCACGTGCCACGATGTCCAGCTAATTTTTATATTTTTTATAGAGATGAGGGCTCCCCATGTTGCTCAGGCTGGTCTCGAACTCCTGAGCTCAAGTGATCTTCCCACTTCAACCTCCCCAAATGCTGGGATTACAGGTATAAGCCATGGCCCCTGGCTAGTAGTTTCTTTTTAATACAAATTTTATTTTGAAGGAGTTGACTGAAAAGTTACAACTACAGAAAAAAAACCTCTTTCTTTTTGATAACCATTTGAGGGTAAGTTGCCAAACTAATGCTTACCCCCGCTGAAAACTTCAGTATTCATTTTCTCAAACAAGGACATTCTCCCACATCACCATAGCCCACTCATTCAAGGCAGGAAACTAACACTGATACATTTCTACCGTCTAATCCTCAGACCCAGTCAAGTATTGCCAACTGTTTTAAATGGTTAAAAACAAAACAAAACAAGTTTGGAATCCAGCATTGGATTTAGGTGTCATCTCTTTCCATCTGGAACACTTCCCCAGTCTTTCCTTGACTTTCATAACCTTGATACTTTTGAAGAATACAGACAGTTATTTGATTATTATGAAAGCAATACTGTGTTTTCCTCATTGCCTCCTATCAGGGAGCACACAATGTTGATTTATCCCATTTATTATGGTGTTTACTTGATCACCTGATTTAAGGTGGTGCTAGGCTTTTCATTATAAAGTTACTCTTTGACCATGTGTAGTTAATCACTATTTAGTTAATAAGTGTTTTGTGGGGAGGCACTTTGAAACTGTAAATATCCTGTTCCTTGCCAAATTTTGAATTTATTTGTATCAACATGGACTCACAGTTTTCTGTTTCATTCAATGGGTTATAATAAGTTGTTATCACAATTTATTTTGATACTCAAATTGCCTCAGACTCGGCCACTGAGGGCCCCTTCAAACTGGCTCCTGTGTCCCTTTGACATGCCTTATCAGTCTTTGAGCATTTCCTTGATTTCTGGATCAACAAGATCTTCCAGGTCATCCTATAATTTTCCTGCCTCCGCCTTGGAAATAGCCATTTCTCCAAGAAGCCTGGGTTGACTTTTGGAGAGAATGATATTTAAGAACAAGATCTGCATGCTGGATGTGCTCATTGCAATTGGGCTGTGCTCACTGCTCCTAGGCCCTTTCACTAGACAGAGCCAGGGAACACACACACACACACACACACACACACACACACATTTGTTTCTGTATCTAAGCATCTCTTTCATCTGTATTTATGTATCTAAGTATCTATCTACCTACCTACATATCAAAAACCATAAAAAAGCTGGGCACAGTGGTGAGTGCCTGTAATCCCAGCTACTCAATAGGTTGAGGCAGGAGAATTCCTTGAGCCTAGGAGTTCAAGACCAGCCTGGACAACATAGTGAGGCCCCATCTGAAAAAAACAAAACCCCAAAACCATAAGGTCACACTGACATCACAGGGTTCAAGCTGGTTCTACTACCCTTAATGTATTTACCTATTTTATCAATATTTCTACATGCAACCAATCTCATGTCACCTCTGCTGCCTCCTCCCCAGCATGGACATCTCCTCATCCCATCAGTCCTCTGACCCTCCATGCTGCCTCCACCCCCACCCCTCTGGTAGACAGTTTCCCCACCCTGCTTGGGCTCCAAAACCCCTCTGACACCTGCCACGACACCCCCACATGTGGGTGCTCTGTGCATCCATCTCAGGCTCTGACATCACTTGCTGGAAAGTCCCTTTTGCATGGACAAAAGTCAGTTTCTTTTAAGGGAGAAAACACTAGAGATGGTTTTAGAAAGGTCGGCTTCCAGAGCCTTTGTCTTTTTTTTTGAGACGGAGTCTCCCAGTCTGGAGTGTGGTGGCACGATCTCAGCTCACTGCAAGCTCCACCTCCTGGGTTCAAGTGATTCTCCTGCCTCAGCCTCCTGAGTAGTTGGGATTACAGTCACCCGCCACCATGCCCGGCTAATTTTTCATATTTTAGTAGAGATGGGGTTTTGTCATGTTGGCCAGGCTGGTCTGGAACTCTTGACCTCAAGTGATCTGCCCGCCTTGGCCTCCCAAAGTGGTGGGATTACAGACGTGAGCCACTGCACCCAGCCTCAGAGCCTTTGTCTTAAGAGAAGATCATTATAAAGCGTGGGTGAAGTCCAGCGGCCATTCGAAGGGCACGCTAGACTGCTGTGCAGTCAAAAAGACTTCAAGAGACCCAGACCTCTCTTTTTCTTTTTTTATTTTTCTTTCTTTCTTTCTTTCTTTCTTTTTTTCTTTTTTTTTTTTTTTTTGAAAAAAGGTCTCACTCTGTCACCCAGGCTGAAGTGCAGTGGCACTATCTCAATCTGGGCTCAAGCAATCCTCCCACCTCAGTCCCCTGTAGCTGGGACTACAGGTGTGCACCACCACACCCAGGTAACTTTTCTCTATTTTTTGTAGAGACAAGGTTTTGCTATGTCTCTCAGGCTGATCTTGAACTCCTGGTCTCGAGTGATCTGCCTGCCTCGGCCTCCCAAAGTGCTTAATTACGGGCATGAGCCACTGTGCCAGGCCAAGAGCTAGAATTCTTCAGCACTACATAATTTTTACGTTGGCCTCTTGGAGACCATTTTGTCCTTGAGGAAACCAGGGCCTAAGCAGGTTGCTCACGCAATACATCTTTGGTTTTACCTGTAACAGCACAGACTTCCAGAAAAGTGTTCTGTTACTTGCTGTGATGTCTTATCTTTCTTTATTTTTATTTTTTGAGATGGAGTCTCATGAATGCAATCTCAGCTCACTGCAACCTCTGCCTCCCCGGTTCAAGCGATTTTCCTGTCTCAGCCTCTGAGTAGCTGGGACTACAGGTGCCTGCCACCATACCCAGCTGATTTCTGTATTTTTAGTAGAGATGCGGTTTCTCCATGTTGGTCAGGCTGGTCTCGAACTCCTGATCTCAGGTGATCCACCTGCCTCGGCCTCCCAAAGTGCTGGGATTACAGGCCTGAGCCACCGCGCCCAGCCTGATGCCTTTATCTTAAATCCGTAAACTTGTTTCAGTTGGCAAGTTGAACCTCCCCCCTACTCGAGCCTTGATGGAAAATCGTTGATGAGGTCCCCTCTGTGACCCCCTGGAATAGACAGATTCAGAGATGGCTGTTCAGCCCGGCAGGGGAAGGCATTGAGAGGAAGTGCTGGACAGACTTCCCCACACGATTCCAGATGGCTTCTGTGACTTTCTCGAAACCACAGAGGTGATAGGAGGCACACAGGGCTGGCAGCCTCTTTTCTGACTCTCTACTGCCAAAATCCATAGAATATCTTGTTGCAGCTCAGAACCAAAGAGTAGGCAATCACTGTCAATGTGGGTCCTGTTACAAGTGAGGGCAGAGACTCAGGTACAAGGCAGGCCTAGGCTACGGTATCTGCCCACCCTGGAGAGACTCAAGGTGTTTCAGGAAAACAGGAAGGACAAACAGATAAAGGGGGTGTTGTCTAGAAAACAAGTGGAAGAGAGAAATTTAAATTAAAGGACTGAAGCTTGTTAGTTTATAGCCTACATGAAAGACATTCAGAGGCTATGGCTGCCAGATAGCCAGAAACTAGAGTTTTACCTGTTAGTTAGTTTCACAAACAAACATTGTTTAGAAATCATTAATACTTTTGCTGAAAAAGTACATATACATTGTAAAAATTTTAATTACACATTCCTATTACAACTCTTTAATCACAGTTCCCAAATCCTCAAACTCTAAAAACTAAAGTTTGAAAAAAACTGCTATCTTAAAAAAGAAAATTTTAAAGTGTAGGTAAAGCACACATGTTATTTGGAGCTGCTGAAGGGATGTGCCAGGCTAATAATGCAGTGAAAGAGATGACAAAAGAGCCAGAACTCTGGAGAATTAGCAATTTTAGGTGTAAATGAGTACTTTACAAAATATATAAAACATGGCCTGAGCAGACATGAAGCTCTTATTTTGTTGCTATGGAAATATTTGTTGTTGTTGTTCTTTAAGACAGAGTCTCACTCTGTTACCCAGGCTGGAGTGCAGTGGCATGATCTCAGCTCACTGCAACGTCCGTCTCCTGGGTTCAAGGGATTCTCCTGTCTCAGCCTCCCGAGTAGCTGGGACTGTAGGCGTGCACCACCACGCCCAGCTAATTTTTGTATTTTTAGGAGAGATGGGGTTTCACCATGTTGGTCAGGCTGGTCTCAAACTCCTGACCTCAGGTGATCTGCCTGCGTCAGCCTCCCAAAGTGCTGGGATTACAGGCATGAGCCACTGCACCCGGCCATGCTGTGGAAATAGTGTGTTTGATTATGGACAGTTTTTTGGCTCTCCTTTCAGATATGTTCTATTGCCTGTGCCTAGAGAAACAGCCATTCAAGATACTTCTTAACATTTTCCTTCCTGGCCCTCACTTTTGGCTTAAAGATGTTTCCACAGTCCCAGAATTGTGCCCCAAGATGGGAAGGGAACGGAATAAGTGCTTAATGGAATGCAGCAAAAAAAGAGCAAGGATAATTTGCCACGTTCTGGATCATTCCCCATATGCCTTCTTTTATGATTCCAGTTCTTTAGTCTTCACTTAGCATTCAGTGGAGAATTCCCGAGTAAGAAAAAGAATTCTTTCCCATCAAGAATTTTTTCCCATCCAGAAATAGTAAATCACTTTATATATTTATTATTAATGTAACCTCCATATCGCTTGCTGCGTGGGCTCGCTGCCTGCGCTTTCTGGGCTCCTGCCTCTTTGCACCTGGGAATTGTTACCTGCCTGAACCTTGAAGTATTCTTCCACACCTCACCCTCCTGTGACGATGCTCCCACAGAGCAGGCCAAGACATTAAAATAGTGGAATCTATAACATGGATATGAATGAACCTGTAAACAATACCTTGAATGAGATATTGCAAATAACACCTGTAGTACATTTCCTGGCATTCTATTAAGACTCCAGAACTGCGCATCCTCATCATCACCATTACTGTAGTTATTATTGTTCTAATGCCCAGAAGAATCTCCAGGCAAATTTGTCATCTTCCCTTGTTCGTTGACCTCACTGGGTAAATGAACTGTGACTCTGGACTCATCCTGTGCTTTCTCATGCTTATTGCTTGGGCCTCAGCAAATGGGGCTCCCCCCCGCCCCATTCTCCCCAAACCTCACAGAGTGTGCTGATTTCCAGCATCTTTAGGTCTTACACTGAATTGCATTGTCATGCAGGTAACTGGCACACTCCCTCCCTGTGGGCTGATGATGTTATACAGCATGGACTTAGAAGTAAAAAACCTTTTCAGATTTATTCCAGAACAGCTATATTCCCTTTTCGTAGAGCATCATACTATTATCTCTTTTTTCTCTCTTCCAAGAAAGCCCAATTTTCCCATCCCACAAGAGAAAAAGAATCCTAACTCTGAGAACACCCCCACGTGTTCCAAATGTGGCTGCTTTCTTGACTTTCCCAATAGCAAACTCAAAAAATTACACCTTTGTTCTCCTGGGATAATTTGTATAACCTATAAGTTATTTAGCCTTTTAACCCACATAGACAGTCTTTATACATTTTATTTTTCATTATTATATTAATAAATAACCAATGTTTCTTAAAGATGAATTAGAAAATATATATGAGTTGCTGTAAATGAAAAAAAGAAAATTACATATAATCTCAACGGCCAGGAATTGCTATGTTAGCATAATAATGTATGGATTTCCATATTGTCTCATAGAGTCCAGTTCTTGGGATGAAATTATTATGTGCATAACATTTTTTAACCTCAATTTAAAATTAAGTTTAACATATTTTGAAACTTTGCTTGTCAATAAATCAAATCTGATGGAATTCCAACATGGAGGTCCAGTCATGGCAGGAGAGGTGATATGATTAATAGCAAATAGTCTTACTGTTGATTCATCAGCATCCACACAGAATCTAAAAATTGACAAAACGTCGCTATAGCAGAGAAGCTGTGTTGAACAATTTAATTAAGAGTGCACACCACAATCTGTGATTATCTTCTTGTTTATTTTTTGCTATCTTGTTTCTTGTCTATCATTCCCTACTAGAACATAAGCACAACATCCAACACATAGCAGGTCCTCAATAAATATCGTCTAGTGAATGAATGAATGAATTATTGAATTCATATTCTCTCTTGCTGTTCTATAACTAAGTGGATTGTGGCAGGGAGAGAGAGTGCTCTCCAAGTCTCCATGGTCTCCCCTGCATTTCCCAGCATCTCTTGCAGAGAGGGTATAGCCACATGACAAGTTCTGGCCAATGAACTGTGAATGGGAGTAACCTGTGTCACTCCTAGGCTGTGGCAATTAAGAGCTAGTAATGCTTCCTGCCTCTCTTTCTTTCCTTGACTCATGACTCTGAAGGCCAGGTGTTTCAGTTGACATAGCTACAGAATGGAAGAAAGACATTTAAACCACAGCAGACTTCTGTAAGTGAGAAATAAGGCTTTTTTTTTTTTTTTTCAGTTCATCCACTGATATTTTAGCGTTTCCCTTTTGGGGACTTACTGAAACACAGTCAAGACTATCCTGACACACACAGATAGAAAACCAGAATTAGACATTTGCTCTTTGGTTGTGAGATTGAACAAATTTAATTGACATAAACAGGATATAGCCTATGATTATAACCTCATGGTTTTATTTCCTTGTTTGATTTTAAAACACCTACCCTGAAGTGCTTGGCTGAAGGCAAAGCATATAAAATCTGAAAATATTCTGAATGTAAATTCAGTTTCTTCAGATGTGTCATGGTTTGAAATAAAATATTTTAATTTAGTACGTTATTTAGATTATTTCTATTGTACATTCTAATTTCTCTCAACCCATAGGTTGTTTATAGTTTCTGAACAGAAACAATTCCCTTAGAGCTGTAAAAAGGAAAAAATACTTGTGCTTTTGGGGTGTCATATTTTTAGGCTGACAGCTGCAATGATGCCAAGTAGGATGAAGAGAGAGAGAGCTATTGGTCTGCTGTGGTCAATCAGTTACCTATTTTAGAAGTTCCCAAACTTTCTCAGTTCATAGCTATAGTCATTCAGTTATTTATGCATGGGCCCTAGGCCAAAAGATTTATATATATATATAGATATAGATTTATATATACAGATATAGATTTATATATATAGATTTATATATATATATATAGATTTTTATATATATGCACACACACACACATATATATATACAAATATAGATATAAAACATTTTGGTTTATTAAAGTCCAAATAACTTAATGGTAGCATTTGTACAGTGCCTGGCAGATGTCACCTTGTTTCCCTCAAAAGCTTGAAACCTCCTGCAGTGCTCATCTTCTTCACTACAGTGACCCAGCGTACCTCAGCACATAGTTTGGGAACCACAGACATCTGATTTAATATTTGTGGGATTTGAGGAGCCCTATCTTTTAAGATCTAGCCTTTCATGAGCCCCTGTTTTATTGTAAAGAAATCTGAATATCTACTCATAACGTGTCAAAAGGTAGTAACTTTTTAAAAAATTGAGACGGGGATCTTGCTATATTGCTCAGGCTGCTCTCAAACTCCTGTGCTCAAGCAACGCTCTCACCTTGGCCTCCCAAAGTGGCGTGAGCCACCATGCCCAGCCAAAAGGTAGTAACTTGAGCTTCATGTGAAATTTGGAATTTTGTATTTCATTGAAAGAAGTAGTCACCAGTGTGGATGACAGGTAAGGGTCGCTAGACAGAAGAATGGAGCAGTAAGTCACTTAGTCTCTGATCATTTCCAGCCTCTGTTTTCTTCCAGAAGTCTGTGCTCTTGTGGGTTTCCTGTGGCCTCTCTAGCTAATCCTTCACGGTTTCTTTGATGGGCTAATCCTTGCTATGGAGCTTTTATTGTTGACATTCCTCAAGTCCTAGTCCTCAATTTCCATTATAGACTATGAGCAGATGGCCCCAAAATGTAGAATATTTTTCTTCTTACTGGTATTTCCCTTTTAAAATTTCCCCAGTCCTTCAATAAAAGAAAGTCAACCTTGATAACCAGGTGATTGGAGAGATGGAAGGGTAGGACAGTCAAGAGGTGCCTCCTTGGCTTTCTCTCCCTCAGGCCCCATAAAGAAAAGCTGGATCCCATGAAGGGAACACAGGTGCAGGGGGTGACATGGTGACCAGCAGTACAGTGAAGGGGCCACGGTGAGGCAGAACTTGATGGAGACGCATGACCTCCACAGAGAGCATCTCGGGAAGTGACTCCAGAGAGGGAAAGAGTCCATTTTCCCACAATGTGAGAGCAGGTGTTCTCCACCCTGGATGCTCAGGAGAATCAGCAGAGAATCACTGGGGAGATTTTTAAAGTGCCAGTCCCCTACCGTGAAACAATAAAACCAGATTTGGGGATGGGATCCTGGGCATCAGGAATCTAAAAATGCATAGCCAGGGTTGAGAACCACCTTGCTGGAGGAAGCTGACCTGAAGAATGAGTGGAGGTGAGGGTAGAGGAGCGTGAACTTGACTCTCTCCCTGCTCTCACCAAAGGTCCAGGAGATGGGAACCTGGACCTGCTGATGGACATCTTGCCACCATGTATAGCCCAGGAATAAACCTAGCATGGGAGGCTGTGGAGCTGAGCTAGGAAGAGAGTCAAATTTTGCTGACATCATTTGAGACATTCCTGAAGCTAATACTGTTTCTGGAAATGTCAGTTATGTATCCCACATCTTCTCTTTTTACTTAAAACCCAGTATGGCTTGGGTTTTCTGTCTTCGCACGGGAACAGCTGAGGACTGCTTGTGTGGTTATTACTGCCTACCTCCTTCTTTAACACCAAAACCTTGGAGGGGCGTTTGCATTTTAGGGATTATATGAAGGGCTTTTGTTTATTTATTTTTAATTGCTTTGAGACAGGATCTTACTCTGTTACCCAGGCTGGAGTGCAGTGGCATGATCGTAGCTCAGTGCAGCCTTAAACTCCTGGGCTCAGGAGATCCTCCTGC
Source organism: Homo sapiens (assembly GCF_000001405.40). NCBI lineage: Eukaryota > Metazoa > Chordata > Mammalia > Primates > Hominidae > Homo > Homo sapiens. Next base: position 80,606,930 of record NC_000008.11, read on the forward strand.
CTCAGCCTCCTGAGTAGCTGGTACTATAGGTGCATGCCAACATGCCTGGCTAATTTTTTTTTTTTTTTTGGTTTTGAGACAGAGTCTCCGAGTCTCACTCTGTCACCAGGCTGGAGTGCAGTGGTGTGATCTTGGCTCATGGCAACTTCCACCTCCTTGGTTCAAGTGATTCTCCTGCCTCAGCCTCCCGAGTAGCTGGGACTACAGGAGTGCGCCACCACGCCCAGCTAATTTTTGTATTTGTAGTAGAGACGGAGTTTCACTGTGTTGGCCAGGATGGTCTCGATCTCTTGACCTTGGGATCTGCCTGCCTCAGCCTCCCAAAGTGCTGGGATTACAGGTGTGAGCCATCACATTTGGCCACCTGGCTGATTTTTATTGTTTTTGTAGACAGGGTCTTGCTACGTTGCTCAGGCTGCTCTTGAACTCCTAGCTTCTAGTGATCCTCCCACCATGATCTCCCACAGTGCTGGGAATATATGCATGAACCACCACACCCAGCCCGACAGGCTTTATTTTTGCTTTGGTTGGCAGAGACTGCTTATTGTGTCCCAATATTTGCTCTCTCTTTTGTCCATGTAATAGCATTTTTAGCTGAGCTGCTTAGACAAATAGACTACAATTCTTAGTGTCCATTGCCTCTGTGCCAATAGGCACAACTTTGGCCAATAGGATGCAAGCAGAAGCACAGCAGTAGCATGTGGAACCCTCAAAAACCAGCAAGAATGGACGCTGTTCTCCAACCTTTCTCCGTTGTGCTATCTGGAACATGGATGTCTCCATCTTCAGCTTGAGGAAGAGGCCGTAGGAATGGTGGATGAGTTGGATGAGTAGGATGGTAGTGAGTTGGATGGGGAGCTTGAATCCTCAGAACTCCAGGGAACAGAGCCACCACATTGACTGTGGCCTGATACTTCCAGAGTTCATTTATGTGAATGAGAAATAAATTTCTATCTTAATAAGCCAGTGCTATTTTGGGTTTTCTGTCACTCAAAGTGGAATCTAATTCTAACTAATATCCCCTATTAAGTTTCGTCTTGATAGATTTGGACCGTCACTTTGTGTCTTTGGGTCCTGATGTCATCATTCAACATCTCCTTTACCCCATCCAGCTATCTGTCATCTGTTAATGAGATCAGCGTGCCCTCAGTACTTCCATCCAAGTCATTAATAAAAATAGGATCGGGAGAGGGCTGAGGACAGCGGCCTCCAGCCTGCTCCAGCGAGCTCTCTCGTTAGGGTACTGGTGAGCTATCCACCTTGCCTTGGACACTTCAGAGGTGGTGTGGAGGAACATTGAGGAGTTTCAGCCATAGATCCACAGCTGTCAAGCTTTAGCATACATCAGGAACACCAGAGGGCTTTTTTTCTTAAATTTAATTTTTAATTTGTTTTAGAGAGAAACTTTTACTCTGTTGCCCAGGCTGGAGTGCAGTGGTGTGATCATAGCTCACTGTAACCTCGAACTCCTGGGCTCAAGCAATGCTCTTGCCTCAGCCTCCTGAGTAGCTAGGACACGACTATAGGCATGCACCACCATGCCTGGCTAATTTCCTTTCTTTTGTGGAGATAGGGATCTTGCCATGTTGCCCAGGCTGGCATCAAGCAATTCTCCTACCTCAGCCTCCCAAAGTGCTGGGATTACAGGCGTGAGCCACCAAAGCCCAAGTATCAGTATTTCTAACAAGTCTCAGGTGATGCTGATACTGACAGGTTAGAGGCCCCACTTTGACAACTACCTTTTTTGGAAGGTGAACTGCAAGACAGAACAAATACTTCAAAGTAGTTTGGCTCTAGAAGGTAAGTCCTTCAGGAGACAAGAGGGATGAACTGCAGAATATCTGGTGGAGGATTGGACTATGATGGGACCAGGCTCTGCATTGGGGCTTATAGGAAGGAGGCCAGCAGAGTGGGGAATGGATGAAGGCAGGTAGGTTGGTCCATTTGATTTTGGGAGGCTTCAGGAGGTTCTGGGCAACGGCATCTATATATATATATATTTTTTTGAGATGGAGTTTTGTTCTTGTTGCCCAGGCTGGAGTGCAATGGTATAGTCTTGGCTCACTGCAACCTCCACCTCCTGGGTTCAAGCGATTCTCCTGCCTCAGCCTCCTGAGTAGCTAGGATTATAGGCATGTGCCACCATGCCTGGATAATTTTTGTATTTTTAGTAGAGATGGGGTTTCTCCATGTTGGCCAGGCTGGTCTCGAACTCTTGACCTCAGGTGATCTGTCTGCCACAGCCTCCCAAAGTGCTGGGATTACAGGCGTGAGCCACGTGCCCAGCCAGTGGCATCTATTTTCTCAGTGAAAAATATGTCAGAAATTAACTGAAGCATTGACTGTTAACTATGTGGGGAGAAATTATGAAGTAGGGAGCAGCAGGCAAACTCAAGCATGGCTGAGTAACTGTGTAAGGAGGAAATGGACTAATCTTGGCATTAGTACATTACTAAGAACATCTAAGTATTAACCTATAAGCAGTTCCAAGGAGGAGATGGCACTGTATTCATCAAGATATCTCCAGGCCCAGCAAAGTGCTTGGTGAGTGCTCAAGTAATTTTTAAATTTTTTTTTATTATTTTAGAGACAGGATCTCACTCTGCATCTAGGATCCTGGCTCACTGCAGACTCAAACTCCCGGGCTGAAACAACCTTCTTGTCTCAGCCTCCTGAGTAGCTAGGACTACAGGTGTGTGCTACTATGCCTGGCTAATTTTCTTCTGTAGAGATGGGGTCTCCCTGTGTTGTGTAGCCTGGTCTTGAACACCTAGGCTCAAGTGAACCTCCTGCCTTGGGCTGCCAAAGCACTAGGATTATAGGCATGAGTCACTATGCCCAGGCTCCATTCATGTGTAACAATAAATGAGCCTGTGAAGTTTAATTTTTAGCTTATATTGTCCCTCCAGAACAAAATGGCAGTTCATTAGGTTTACGTGGGTATATTTTGTGTTAATTTTAATGAATTAAAAAATAATTTGTTTCACAGACAGACATTATATAATACATGATTGTTTTAAGAGAGATGATATTTCACACAATCATTGGAGTATTATCACACCTTAAAACAAAAAGACTGTAAAATGCACCGCCACCAAACCCTGAAATGCAGTTTTCTTCCTAAAGTTGAGTTACAGGAAAGTCTAAGAGGTTCTGCTTCATATGAACACCATTTTTGGCATCCTTCTGACACACGTGAGCTCAGAATCATGGTTCAGCAGCCTCCTGTCTGGGGACATGATAAATAAAGGAATAAATCTGTGGGCACTTGGAATAACTTCCTACCAGCTGCAGAGATGGGGATTGGCCTAAAACCACTGCCGGTTCTGACATGAAGTTAAGAGCGGTGGAAAGTCAGAGGATAGCTTTATCATTAAAACTGGTCTATACAGTAGGGGATGGTGACCAAATGTCTTGATTTGCCTGGGACTAAGGGGAATACCAGGATGTGGATTTTGCACTGCTACATCTAGGATAGTCCCGGGCAAACCAGGACAAGCCAGTCACCATTGCCGGGCTGTCCATGCTGGAGAAAAAAATCCAAAATAGTCGCTCATACAGCAAGGCTGCTGTTTTGATTTCTGGTAGGAAGCAGAGCCGGCTTCGTGGGCATGGGACTGGTATAGCAGAGTCGAATAGGACTCAGAAGAACTCATTCTTAGTTTGATGCTCTGCTGTAATTTGAAATTCTTCCTCATTTTTGAACAAAAGGCCGTACATTTTCATTGTGTACTGGGTCCTGCATGGTCTGCAGCTGGTCCGCAGATTATGGAGAAGAGAACTGGGGGTTCTTCCTGCCTTTATTCCTATGTGGCCTAACGTGAGAAGGGTTTTCTCTCCCTCTCTCTCCTTCTCCCTCTCCCTTTCTCATTGTTCCCTCCCCTCCCCTCCCCTTCTTTATCTTCCACCCCCTCCCTCTCCTCTTTCTGCTTTAAGCAAAATGTGTGCAAGCATTATTTTATCCATTATATTTTTTCATAGTCCATGCCATCTTATCACAGGTGTCTGTGTTTAAAAAAAAAAACAAACTTGGTTCACATGCAGCACTTCCACCCTGGATGTGTTTCTCCCAGCAAGAAAAAGTGAGCAGGAGAAGGACAGATAAAATATTTGGAAGTTTAAGAAAGTGTGGCAGCAATACCAGTTGAGGCGTCTCCAGGCTCACAGCAGGAAGAAGCCACCCTCTGGATCAAAGGGAACCCCCTCAGCAAAGATGAAAGGGGTGATAATTGTAAGTTAAGAGAGAGAGTTTTATAACAGAGGTGATAATAACAGCTGCATGGCAGGAAACTCAGGGAGCGTTACATTGGGGCTGGGTGGGTGGGGCCCAGGCAGGTCCACTGGGGAATCTCTCCTAAAACTCTGTGCTATGGGAAATCTGAATTCTCTCCAAGTTATTTCTGCTTTCCTTCTTGGATGTCAAAATCACACTTTTCAAACAAAGGGTGTCATTGTGGTGTTTACTTATGCTTTTGCAATTTTAAATGTGGAAGGTAAGGAGGACAGGGTGGGCTGAGACAGGGTAAACAACACTGAATTTGGAGTGTGAGGCCAGGTGGCTGAGCTGGGTACAAGGTTGTAAAGGCCACTTTGAGGCACTGGCTGAGCTCAGCTGTGTCTTCACCTTGACCGCACCTCCTGCAGGGAGGAACGTCCCTGGGGAGCAGCAGGGCAAGCCTGGAAGGGGAGGCGAGCGTGGTCCCATCAGCGCCACCCGCCTGGCGCCTCCTCCGGTGCACGGGGCTCACCTGAGCCATCTGAGCACATCTGAGCTACCTAGGTCAGCGCATGAGGAGGTCACCTGTTTGGGGCAACAGGATGCCAAGCACCGCAGCTTAGAAAGGTTAAGTGGAGCAGAGCCTGCTGTGCCAAACGCACGCTCTTTGAGATTTTAAACGTATTTTTTTTCTCCCTGTCTTTGCATGGGTAGGGTGTCAAAGCCATCTGGGGGATGAGGCATGAGAATGGGAGTTGGGATCTGCTGCAGGGATTCTGCCCCAGGCGCTGGAAGGTTGCTCAACTCTCGTGGGTTCTCTTTCCTCCTCCCTTGCATGTAGGCAGTAGGGTTAAGAATAGCTCTGTGAAGGTCTGGGTAAAGTAATCTGGCCTTCTAGGGTGGAGGTAGGGGGTGAGGATGGTAGAATTATACTGTAAATACACAGTATGACCTGGCTGGAAAATGATAATTTGTAAAGCATAGAAATCTTGGCTGTGTGTATATGTTTGGCTCCCCATTTATATTAAACTAAGTGATGAATGACTTTCAGGCAATGAGGCAGAAAAGCAAAAGCATTTCTAAGTGGCTGCCGAAAAGTCCAGGGGAAGAATACCAAACCCAGGCCTCCTCCTGCTTTGTTGCTAAAATGCCCTTGCATTGTAAAAGCTGTACTTTCAAGCTCTGGTTCAACAATATGAAAACTCAGAACTGCCGATAGATGATTTAAAAATGATTATGCATATCCAGACAGCTCTAGATGTAACTTTTATTAAAGAGTATACATTTAAAAAAATTGTTGGGGTCTTTGTGAGGTTAACTCAGGTTTCCCTTGGAAAATAGGCTATATTTGTGTGTTAAGGTAAAACTTTCCCAGCAAGGTAAATATTTAAGAAAATAATGACAACGTCACCATTTTATGAAAGATAGAGGTAATTGAAATGATTGCTAAATGGTGAATATCTAATTTCAAAACATATGCCTATATTTATTTTGTTCTCTTTTAAAACACATCTTAAGACTTAATTTTCTAGCCTTGGCAAGGCAACTTAAATTTTTAAAAAATCTATTTTTAGCACAAGGTTTTACTGAGTTGTCCACCAGAGGGCAGTATTTGATAAATGTTTAATAAAAATATACATTCACTGTAATTTATGGAAATCATATCTTTCATTTGTTTTTATTAACAATGATATTAATAGAAAGCACTTCCTTCCATCCACAGAAATAAAGTGAGGAAGCTCTGCAGGGTGTTTGGTTTCCACGTGGGGTAAATAGTTCTGAAAGCAGCATATATTAAGTTGTAAAGTGTATGTTTGTTTCATAGCCTTCAAGATGAAAGAAGCAGTCAAAGGAACTACAGATGATTTAGGTAGTACTTTACAAGCCCTGGATTGATCCTATTGGCTTGCTAAAAAGGAGTTTGGTTGTTTCAACTCAATCTCCAACACGCTATTTACCCTCCCTGGGAAACAATCCAAATTTGGCCACATCCCATATGCTAGAAAAAGCTCAGAGCCAGAGCCAACTGTGGGTTTGCCTGAGGTGGCAGAACAGCATGAGGAGAGGTTGCAGGCTGGTTTCCAGGGGCCAGAAACATCATAACCACACCCGCGGGGCCGTCGTGATTGGGAGGCCGTAGGGAGTTATGCCTGGCTCCTACGAGGTCGTCAATAAATGTTGGTTTCTCTCCTATTCACTTGCTGTGTAATTATGTATTACTTTGTGGTGTTTTTTTGTTTGCAGTATTTACAATTTTAAAAAATTAAAGAAACATATGCACATGGTAAGCAAACAGTATAAGGTGGTGTAGAATTAAAAATGTCTTTCTGAACCCACCCACCAGACCCACTCTCCAGAGATGAACATCTGCAACAATTTTTTTTTTTTTTTTGAGACCAGGTCTTGCTATGTTGCCCAGGTTGGAGTGCAGTGGCTATTCACAGGTGTGAGCCTACTATTAATCAGCACGGGAATTTAAACCTGGTTCATTTCTGACCTGGTCTGGTTCACCCCTCCTTAGGCAACCTGGTGGTCCCCTGCTCCCGTGAGGTCACCCTATTGTTGCTGAACTTAGTGTGGACACCCGATTGGGATAGCGCACTAGAGCCCAGAACTCCTGGACTCAAGCAACCTCAGCCTCTTGAGTAGCTGGGACTGCAGACATATGCCATCATGTCGGCTGGCAGCAAAAATTTTTGTATATCATTCAGAAAATTTTCATACAGAAACTTGCCTATATAGACATCTGTATGTCCCATAGACATTTTTATGCAAATAGGAGCAAACTATATGACATTAGCTTGCACCTTGCTTTTTTTGTTCAATGATGCATCTTGGAAATCTTTCCAATTTTATTTCTTAACTTTTCCCATTTTATTTCCAGTGAGACATATTTCTCCATGGCAGGAACTTTGTTATAAGTATTTTCTTTTCCTCTTTACCTCACAGTTTCTGAGAGAATACTATTAACATATGAGGTGTTTAAAAACGATTCTGGGGTTGATTAGTTGGAAGGTCAGTCTGTTCCTGGCAAAATGGGAGAAGGAGGAAGGAAAGGTTATAATCACATAGAATAATTTTTATTGTTCATTTCCACAAAAATGAGAATTGGAAAGAGTACATTGGGTCTTGTGTAGTATTTTTCTTAGCCTCTAACTGCTTGAATTTGACAGCAAATGCTTGTATTATTTGGCATGTGGGTTGCCCCAGCTCCTCTCATTTGTCGTTCAGTGGTGAGCTGTGCCTTTGGATCACCAGGTCTTCATAATCTCATATTAATGACTGATGCTCTGTGATAACAGGGCATGAAGGGAGGTTCAGAAGCCAAAGATGGCATTCATGTAGGTCTGTTGGTACACACTATACAGCCTTGACAATTGTCCTTCATTTTAAAGGCCGTGTATTAGGATAGTTGAAATCACATACAGCAGTCTTACTACTTTTTACAGTGCATCCTTCATTGAGCGTTTATAGCCTTGATTTGAGAAAACCTTTTTTGTTACTCAAATATCTATGCATTTTATCATTTAGAAATAATCATACTTAGGGGACTGCATTGTGGTGTAACCTTTCAAACATTTGAAAAGTCCCTTGCATAGTTTTAATAGTGAGTTACTACCATTTCCTACTGAATAAAGGTTAAGTTTCTTAGGTTGGGACATGATCACAGCAAATCTTGAATGTTTATTTGTGTCCAAGGATCCACGTGCCAGCAAAGTAGACTCTCTGTTCCCCAAATGTGTCCTCACTGTCTGGGCCTTTTTTTTCCCCCTTGTTTGCCTGTCTGAAGTTCCACCCATGTCTTAAGGTCCAGCTTCGACGCTACCATTTGGATTCAAGCTAGCGGACTGTGCGGTACGCTGTGTGCAGAGACGCGCCCATAGCTCTGGGGAAACAATATGGATAAGGCACGTTTTCCTCTCTGCCAGCAGCTCTGTGGGTAATGGTGGCCACAGCCAGGTGGGCAGTGCTGCAGCGGAGGCCTCACATGGGCTACAGGAGAAGAGGGAGGGATTAGTTAGTTCTGGAGATTAATTTGTGGTTTCCCAGAGGTGACACTCGAGTTGGTTTTTCAAGAGTCTGAAGACTTATTTGGACAGATGCCAGGAGTGGAAGGATATTCCAGATCTGAACAAAGGCTGTGAGTATTTTCTAGTGATGCTGGCAAATAGCCTGTGTCTAAAGGGTTCGGTGTGTGTGGAAGCGGCTAGAGCTAACCAGGCTTAGGTTCTGAAGAGCCCTGATTGTCTCAGAGCTCAGGAGTTTGGAATGGAAGGCCATGCAAGGAGTCTGTGCAAGGGAGGATTGAATGGATGATGCCTGTCTTCATCAAAGAGGTCAGGCAGGGAGAGAGGAGAGAATTACATGGGTCTCATACACACTGAGTTTAGGGTGCATCAGGGACCTCTCGCTGGTGATTTCTAATAAGATTTGGGAAGCTCAGCGGGGCCAGGAATGGGGCCGTGGGAGTACAAGTTAACAAAAGCATTTTCTCCTTCCCTATGAACAAAACGATCTTGGGTTAACTTTCTAGCCCTGTTATCCTGGAAACCTGCTAGAAGTGCTAGCTGTGTTACCAGGCAACACCGCTGATGCTAAGAATGGCTTGTGATTGGTAAGCTGCATATGGACAGGGAGGACCAGGAGTGAACATGACTGTGCAGGGAGGACGCATAGCTTTGGGCTTACTGGGTGCCCTGACTTGTAATGGGGCATTCTGCTTGCTGGGACTCGAGAGCTGTGGCTCAGCAGAAATAGTTCCTGATGGGTAGGGGCCAGGGAGGCTTCTGCACCCACCTGTATGTTCTCAGGCCCTCATCTCTGACCTGTGACTCAGGCCCTTAAAACTAACCATTGGACTTCTGGGAGCGCTCCTCCTGGTGTGCTGTTTCCTGCTCCATTCCTCAAGTGAAGCCAGCATTGAGTGAGGCTTCTTGGAGCCTGTAAGTTCTCCTAGCTTAGCCTAAGACTACCAAGAGTGGACATCTCAGGAAATAAGTCAGATTTATTTATATGTGACAGGCAAGATTTCTACTGTTCTAACGTATTAAAGAGAATATTCTGACTTCGTGTGATCAACTTGTTCCTCCACTGACCCCCTCCGGTGAGCCAGGCATGTGTCCTTAGCATTTAGCACATCAGTGCCTGTCACATGGCAGGCAATGCTCAGGCAGTAATTGTTGCATAAAAGAGATCAATAAATATTTGTTGATTACTTTCCACATTTCAAGTACTATGCTGGTTTCCAGGATACAAATTCATGTCAATGTACAGTATACTCTTTCTCTCAAAGAATTCACATTCTATTAGACAGAAAACAGAATTTGTCACAGAGTATGCAAAGGGGAATAATGAATGAATGACTCACACGGTTGATATTATTGTCTTACAGTAGCAAAAATGAACCCTCAGTCAGGACCCATTTTATATAGTATGCCTTTATTACTTCTTTTCAAATTTATATTTACATTATCAGATTTTCCTGTCTCTCTCCCTACCAATGAGTCACTAATTGTCATCATGGTCATCATTTTCATCATCATTGTCATCATAAGCGTTGGCGTCATCACTTGGAGAGCACATATTGCTTGCCAGGGATGGTGCTAAGTGACCTATTGGGATTATCTAGTTGAATCCTCTAACAGCCCTACAAGGTAATTACTAAAATTATCCCCATTTTACAGATAAGAAAACTAAGTTGGTAGAAGCAGGATTCAAAACTGGAAGGCTGACTCCAGAGCCCACTCTCCACCAGCCTGCTGCTTGCTGCCCTCTCACCTCGGGTATTTAGGTGGCCTGTGAAATGAAGCCTAGGCATTTGTGTGCTGGAGCCATAAAAACAACAAAGCTACATCTTGTGTATATATGGAAATAAAGTTAACGATTCTTCAAGTGTTTCACAGGTACAGTAGATTTAGGACAGTTGTAGTAACAATGTCTAGTTCTCTATTACAAATATGCCAAGTGAGAAATCAAAAATATTCCTCTCCATGTAGGACTTTAAAAATTTTTTTTAAATTTTTGTGGGCATATAGTAGGTGTATATATTTGTGGGTTACAGGAGATATTTAGATACAGACATGCAATGGGTAATCAGGGTAAATGGGGTATCCATTCCCTCAAGTATTTATCCTTTGTGTTGCAAACAATCCAATTATATTCTTTTAGTTATTTTTAAATACACAATTAAATTATTTTTGACTATAGTCACCCAGTTGTGCCAGCAAATACTAGATCTTACTCACTCTGTCCAATTATTATTTTTTTTGGTACCCATTAACCATCCCCCCTTCCCCCACAGCCTCTGGTAACCATCCTTCTATTCTCTATCTCCACGAATTCAATTCTTTTCATTTTTAGCTCCCACAAATAAGAGAGAACACGCAAAGTTTGTCTTTCTGTGCCTGGTTTATTTCACTTAACATAATGACCTCCAGTTCTATCCATGTTGTTGCAACTGACAGGGTCTCATTTTTTTTTTTTTTTAATGGCTGAATAGCACTTCATTGTTTATATATACCACATTTTCTTTATTCATTCATCTGTTGATGGACACTTAGATTGCTTTCAAATCTTGGCAATAAACATGGGAGTGCAGCTATCTCTTCAATATACTGATTCCTTTCTTTTGGGTATATACCCAGCAGTGGGATTGCTGGATCATGTGGTGGCTCTATTTTCAGTTTTTTGAGGAACCTCCAAACTGTTCTCCATAGTGGTTGTACCAATTTACTTTCCCACCAACAGTGTATGAGGGTCCCCTTTTCTCCACATCCTCTCGCCAGCATTTGTTACTGCCTGTCTTTTGGATAAAAGCCATTTTAACTGGAGTGAGATGACATTTCATTGTAGTTTTTGATTTGCATTTCTCTGATAATCAATGATGTTGAACACCTTTTTACATACCCATTTACCATTTGTAGGTCTTCTTTTGAGAAATGTCTTTTCAGATGTTTTGCCAATTTTTATGTCAGATTATTAGATTTTTTCCTTATATATTCTGATTAGTAATTCCTCGTCAGATGAGTAGTTTGCAAATATTTTCTCCCATTTTGTGGTCTGTCTCTTTACTTTGTTGATTGCTTCCTTTGCTGGGCAGAAGCTTTTTAACTTGATGTGATCCCATTTGTCCATTTTTGCTTTGGTTGCCTGTTCTTGTGGGGTATCAATTTTATTTGTTCACGCATAAACAAACAAAATGTTGGGCCTAAAGTTAGAAATGAATATATAATATATTTTAGTTAAAGCTCAGGCTGTAAGACTTTTTGATTGTACTTTACCATACATGGCAAGTTTAGTTTTATAGTATCCTGGTGGAAATCTCGGATAATTTTACTTTGAACTCTATGCTTTAAAGAAGTTTACAAGTGTTCTTATAGGTTTAACTGCATTAGAGTGTGCTGCCTACTAACACTGAATTCTGTCAAGCACAGGAAAGTGGAAAGACAATCTGCCCAATTTCCTTGACAAAGCTCGAAAGTTCCAGAAACGCTTTATTTCTCTCTCTCTCTTTTTTTTTTTTTTTTTTTTGATACGGAGTCTCGCTTTGTCACCCAGGCTGGAGTGCAGTGGCACTATCTCAGCTCACAGCCACCTCCGCCTCCTAGGTTCTAGTGATTCTCATGCCTCAGCCTCCCGAGTAGCTGAGATGCTGGGATTACAGGTGTGTGCCACTACGCCTGGCTAATTTTTGTATTTTTAGTAGAGACAGGGTTTCCCCATGTTGGCCAGGCTGGTCTCGAACTCCTGACCTCAAGCAATTCTCCTGCCTCAGACTCCCAAAATGCTGGGATTACAGGCGTGAGCCACCGCGCCCAGCCCCTTTTCTCATTTTTGTAACTGGCTCTCCACACATCCCTCCACCCCCTTCCTCTGATTTACTTGAGGAAAGACAGCTTGGCCTCACTTCTGCTCCCCTCCCCTCCGTCCCACTTCCTGTATGAGGCTGCTGTGGAGCAGTGCAGTGGCAGGGAAGGCCAACCTAAGGAATCTCTTTACACTCCTCTCCCTAAATCCCCACAGCACCACAAATACAAAGCCAAGTGCTTAAGAAGGGTGTCAATATGATATATTGTCCAAGGGGGACACTTTTGTTTTCTTTTTTTTTTTTTGAACAGAGTTCCACTATATTGCTCAGGTTGGTCTTGAACTCCTGGGCTCAGGTAATCTTCCTGAGTAGCTAGGACTACAGGCTGAACTGATTGAATTACACCAGGACACCAGGCACAAGGGGCAGTCCCAGCAAGCTGAGATGAACTGCACCTTAGTAAAAGAGACATTCACTGAAGGACTGTGGATGACAGAAGAAACATAGAGCGGGCAACAACTTAAAATTGACCTCCTTTTTGTTTTTTTCTTGAGATAGAGTCTTGCTGTGTAACCCAGGCTGAAGTGCAGTGACGCAATCTCGGCTCACTGCAACCTCCGCCTCCCGGGCTCAAGCGATTCTCCTGCCTCAGCCTCCCGAGTAGCTGGGATTACAGGCACACACCACTATGCCCGGCTCATTTTTGTATTTTTAGTAGAGATGGGGTTTCACCATGTTGGCCAGTCTGGTCTCGAACTCCTGACCTCAGGAGATCCACCTGCCTTGGTCTCCAAAAGGGGCTGGGATTACAGGCGTGAGCCACTGCGCCCGGCCTGGCCTTCTTGAAAGCCTCTTAGTGTCCCTGCCTTGGGAGGTCCTCAGGAGCCGTGTGGTTTCCCAGGCCTCTCCCTGCTACTCATGGCTCATATTTAGGGAGGTGGGGAGGGGGTGATGTGAAAAGTCCTTTGTCTGCACTGTCCAGGACAGAATAACCATGTGTGGTCATTTTCATTTAAATTAAACTAATTTAAAAATTCATTTTCTCCGTTACATCAGCCACAGTTGAAGCGCTCGGTGGCTGCCGTGTTAGACAGTACAGAATGCGGAACATTTCCATCATCACAGAAAGTTCCATGGGGCAGCACTGTCTTCTCACATCTCCCTGCTTCCTTCCTTAGTTCTGGGTTCCTTATCCTCCCTGCCACACACACACACACACACACACACACACACACACACACACACACACACACTGCCTCACTGTCCAAATTCCATTTGTTTATTATGCAGAAAAATGGGCTATTCAGGCTGCATCCAAAGGGCTTCTTTTCTTTCCACTAAAGAAGAATTGTCAATGTTCTCTGAGGTGTTTTCCTAAAAACCAAAGACCTGTCTGTCTTGGGAAGAATTATCACTGTCTCCCAGAACGCAGAAATGTCTACAGTCCATTCTTGTTTCTCTTAAATTATGACACTGGTTTTTGAATGTGGCACATGGAAGCAGTTTTATTACTTTATCATCATATGGTGGATAAAGAAGTACAAGAAGTTCTAAGTCAAATCCTTTGTTTATTTGGCTATAAAAAGCAAAGAGAAGAAAATGAAAAAAGAATTACAGCTCAGCCTTAGGCACAACATCAGCTTTTAAATAGAACATATTTGACTTGTACTGAGGAATAGTCTGTCTGCACTGTGTTGAATAATTTGCCAGATGGCCGTCCAAACAAATGAACTGAAGCAAAACAGGCCAGATTTATGGTTTCTTTGCAGTCAAAAATAACTTTTCTGTTATTAAAAGTAAATAATTTCATATTAAGGTGCTGTGGCTTACATAAGAACAATTTGTATTGTGAGGTACGCTAGAAAATAGAGTTATGCTGCAGAAGTCAGTAAACATTTGCTCTCAAGAAGATATTATTCATTTTGTCTAAGCAATGCCAAGGGTGTATATTTATAATCAGTTTTTCCAATTGATCATCAGATTGTAAAAATTCTAGTACCTAAGCTTCTACCGAGACATTTATTGCTGGATTTTTCTCAGAAAATCGTCTTCCTTCCATTGCTACCACCTCAAAACAAACAAACAAAAACTTAAAGGGGGAGATGCACTCTTTGTGTAACCCACTTTATAATTTTTTATTTTTTTGTGGGAAGATCAGACTCCATGTGACTGAAGTGGCCTTGTAGTTTTTATTCCATTTATTCATTTAACAAACTTCCTTTTTTTTTTTTTTTTAGATGGAGTCTTGCTCTGTTGCCCAGGCTGGAGTGCAGTGGCATGATCTCTGCTTACTGCAACCTCTGCCTCCCGGGTTCAAGCAATTCTCCTGCCTCAGCCTCCTGAGCAGCTGGGATTACAGGCATGTGGCACCACGCCCAGCTAATTTTTGTATTTTTAGTAGAGTTGGGGTTTTGCCATGTTGGTCAGGCTGGGCTGTAACTCCTGACCTCAAGTGATCTGCCCACCTCAGCCTCCTAAAGTGTTGGGATTACAGGAGTGAGCCACCACAACTGGTGCCTTTCTTTTTGAGACAGGGCCTCACTATTGCCCAGGCTGGAGTGCAGTGGTGTGATCTCAGCTCACTGCAACCTCTGCCTCCCTAGTTCAAGGGATCCTCCCACCTCAGCCTCCTGAGTAGCTGGGACTATGGGTGTGTGCCACCATGCCCAGTCAATTTTTGTATTTTTTATAGAGACAGGATTTCACTATGTTGCCCAGCTGGTCTCGAATTCCTGAGTTCAAGCAATCTGCCCGCCTCGGCCTCCCAAAGTGCTGGAATTACAGGTGTGAGCCACCACACCCAGCCTCATTTAACAAACTTTCAGATACATTTTGATGTGTATGTCATTCTAGGCAAGTGGAAGGTGGGGGTGGGTACCGTTAGGGCTGAATTGGGCAGGGACCCACGCAAGCCAGCCTTCGCAGGATTTAGGGCGCATAAAGAGTGCATTGAAAGAATGCACTAGTAACTGAGGGAGACTCGTTAGGTGCCATTAAGAAAGTACAGGCAATAGAGGATGGTGGCTTCCACTCAGGTGGAAGCAGTGGAAAGAGAATTGAGTCAATTTAAAAGATATATAGGAGATAAAATCCACTGGACTTGGTAATGGATTTGCTGCAAGAAGTGAAGGAGAGAGTGGTGTCAAAGATGACAGTGGGGTGAGAGGAGCCCATGATACTGCAAGGTAGTCTAGTTGGAGGAAAAGAATTCCAGAGAGGCAGAGAGAAGAGCCCAGGAACAAACCGCTTGTGTGGTCTCACCAAAGGGATATATGGCTGGGAAATGGGAGCAACGCCTAATATGTTGAGTGGGATTTCCAAATAGAGTGACCTGTGCCCTGCTTTTCAGAGCATGCTCCAGGGAGAGGCCATCATGGTGCCAGAGGGGCTGGGCAAGGGAGGTAATGTGGCATGGCAAGGTCTAGATGGGTCAAGAGAGCTCTTGAGTTTCCTAGGGCTCCAGAGAGAGGCAAGAGGGTTGAGGCAGGGCCAGGAGACTGGAAGGGTCCTTAGAGGGAGTAACGTGGGATGTGTCAGTAGATGTGGCATGGGCTGTGCCCCTAGAGACTGCAGCATGACCATGGCACTAAGAGTGGGTGATGGATGGTAGGGACAGAAGTCCAAGGACCTCATGGAATGGGTTTCTCTCCAGTGGACAACAGTATATATGACCTTTGGGGATCAGATACCATCAGTCTCACTACTTCCTGCCTAATGATGCATAAATGGCCGTAGGAAAAAGGGAAGGGGAAATTGGGTTGACTGAGTTAAATCAGGAACAAAAGAGCCTTGAGGAGATCCTAACTTGGTAACAGTTCAGTAACTAATGGTCATGTAAAGCTGGAGAATGGCTGGGTTAATCATAAATGAAGCTGACACTAGCCAGCATTTGGAAAAAAGAATACATTCTGAAGGCCAGGCAAGGTGGCTCACGCCTGTAATCCCAGCACTTTGGGAGGCTGAGGTGTGTGGGTCTCCTGAGGTCAGGAGTTCGAGACCAGCCTGGCCAACTCTGTCTCTACTAAAAATACAAAAATTAGCTGGGTGTGGTGGCACACGCCTGTAGTAGCTGGTAGTCCCAGCTACTCAGGAGGCTGAGGCAGTACAATTGCTTGAACCTGCAAGGTGGAGGTTGCAGTGAGCCGAGATGGCATTATTGCACTCCAGCCTGGGCTACAGAGTGAGACCCTGTCTTAAAACAAACAAAAAAAGAGAATACATTTTGAGCTTTATCTTGTACCAAAATATTCTAGATAGTAAGAAAAAATTAGTATAAATAAAAGGCAAAGAAAATACAAGGGAAATATTTGACACCTGAAATGTGAGAGGCCTGTCTAAGCTGTGAGTGGGCTGTGAAATTTTAAAGGAAACAACTGATAGATTTAATGATATAAAGATTTTAAAATGTGCAAGCAAAAATGTGTCATACCTGAATTTAAAATGCACATACATTGCAAAAACAAGTATAGCGAATAAGACAGAAGTTTAAATCCTAACAATAGAACTCCTACTAATACATAAGGAACGGTTAAGATCCCAAAAGATAAATAGACAAAGGATATGAACTGACATAAATAGAAATTGTAAATGTCTGACAGAGAAAACTGTTTAACATAATTAGCTTTTATTTGAGAACTATAAATTGGCTGGGCATGATGGCTCACACCTGTAATCCCAGCACTTTGGGAGGCCAAGGCAGGAGGATTGCTTGAGACCAAGAGTTCGAGACCAGCCTGGGCAACACATCCCTATAGAAACATAAAAACCATAGCAGTGGCAGGCACCTGTAGTCCCAGCTACGGAAGGCTGAGGCAAGAAGATCATTTGAGCCTAAGAGCTCAAGTTTGCAGGGAGCTATGATTGTGCCACTGTACTCCAGCCTAGGCAACAGAGCTAGACTCTGTCGAAAGAAAAAGAAAGAGAAAGAAGAGAGAGAGAGGGACAGAGAGAGAGAGAGAGAGAGAGAGAGGGAGGGAGGGAGGGAAGGAGAAAGGGAGGAAGGAAAAAAGGAAGGAAAAATTAAAACAAGGATGACATGCCTTTTAATATCAACTTAGGACAGATTTTTAAAAAATGATAATACTCCTTGCAGGTGAGCCTACAGAAAGACACTCATTCCCTTTGCTGCTGGGAGAGTAAATTGAGCCAAATCATTTTGATAGTAATTTGGCAACTGTAGTAAAAGTTTAAAAGAGTATAAAATTGGAAACAACATACATTTTCCAAATAGGAGAATATTTAAGGAAATCAGTGTATATCTACATGCTGTACTATTACACGGCCATTGAAATGAAGGCATTTGAAAATATTTAATGATATGGGAAGCTGCATATGCTATAATGTTAAGTGACTAAAGGCAACATGCTGAATTATATATACAGTGTGATCACAACTATGCAAATAAATATGCATGGAAATAGCTTGAGAAAAATGTATCAATCTACTAGTGCTTATTTTCGAGAGTGGTAATTATCTGATTTTCTTTCTACTTTTCTGTACTTCTATAGTGCAGAGTTCTAACTTGGAAACATTAGAAAATAATCTTTGTTGGAAATAAATATGTACTTTTAGCTTACCACAGCTAACTGATGGCTTCTTCTGTAATGGTTCAAGATGCTTTTTTGGACTAATGTATTTGTCTCAAGCTACTTAAAGTATGAGACTGTTGATTACTCAGAGAAATACTTTGAGGGAGAATTAAAAAAAAGGAAATACTTTCATGGCCCTCAATATGTGCCAGGCAACATACTAAACACTTTACACATATTAAGTCATTTATAACTCACAATACTCATATGAGACAGGTCACATTATTATCCATATTTTATGCTGCAGGAAACAGGCACAGAGAGGCTGCATAATTTCTCCATGGTCATACAGTTAGTAAATGGTGAAGCTGGGATTTGAATTCAGGCAGTATGGCTCCGGTTTTCCTACCCTCTGTGCTCGGTGTGGCTATATTTAAGATAATAAGCAATTCTTTTTTAACTTTATTTTTGAGACATGGTCTCGCTCTGTCACCCAGACTGGAGTGCAGTGGCAGAATCTCGGCTCACTGCCACCTCCGCCTCTCAGGCTCAAGCAATTCTCGTGCCTCAGCCTCCCGAGTAGCTGGGACCACAGGCGCCCACCACCATACCTGGATTTTTGTATTTTTGGTAGAGATGGGGTTTTACCATGTTTCCCATGCTGGTCTCCAACTCCTGACCTCAGGTGATCCGCCCGTCTTGGTTTCCCAAAGTGCTGGGATTACAGGTGTGAGCCATCATGCCTGGCCCCTTTTTTAACTTTAAAAATAATTTTTTCATAGGTGGTTTTCAATGGCCTAGATAATAACCTTATCTTTCAGAAAACAAGTAAACAATGGAACCTTATGAAAACAAACTGGCATCAAACAATACTAAAATGTCAAATGATACTCACAGGTCATGAATCTCATTTATGAACCAAGAGAGTTAAATTAGATGATCTTTCAGATCCCTCCTGGGTGTAATAACCCATTATTATATTTATTAGCAAGAAAAATGGCCTTTTTATCCTGTACTAGAAATGGTAAAATTATTTCTTCCACCAATCATTTCCTTCCCAACCTCACAATTTTTTTTTCTTTTTTTTGTTTTTTGAGGCAAGGCCTTGCTCTGTTGTCCAGGCTGAAGTGCAGTGGCACAAACAGCTCACTGCAGCCTCAACCTTCCTGGCTCAGGTGATCCTCCCATCTCAGCCTCCTGAGTAGCTGGGACTACAGACACTTGCTATCATGCCTGGCTAATTTTTGTATATTTTGTAGAGATGGGGTCTCACCACGTTGCCCAGGCTTGTCTCAAACTCTTGGGCTCAAGTGATCTGCCCACCTCCACCCACACTTTATTATTAGGTCAGTGCAAATGTAATTATTAGAGAAACTTCCATGTGGCCCCGAACAGTACACTCTCACCCCAGCCCAGTTTGTTGGAGCAGGGGAAGATGCCTCTCCCTTGTTAGGCCAATCAAATTCTCTCGAGTTTGGAATTGGTGCTCCAAAATTCTAGCCCCCTCTTGATTGCATGCGTTGGAAGGTCATGTAGGCCTCTGCTGGCCATTTTCCACCATGTGCCGGAAGAGCAAAAAAGGCAGCTATGTAGGGTGAGGAGGGAAGAGACCCTAGAGAAGAGAGGAGTCTTGATCTCGCTGCCCCCTGGAGAGTGGATGACAGGATGGGACTGGAGGGGCAGTGTGGCTGCCTTTTTCCCAAAGCCTTTCTCACTCCTGGTTCCAGGCCTGTGTGTGACCTGGCAACATCATTTAACAGGGGGTCCCACAGAGACACCATGTGTCCTTTCAGTAAATCCCCACTCGTGTTTGCTTAGTCTCATTTGACTGGGATTATTACTTGCAGCCAAACACGTAAAACATATGGGTGCAGCTGGTTTCTAGCACCTCTGGCTGTAGCCACAAGGTGAACAGTGAGCAACTTTCCCTTAGCTGAGCCATTCTGCAACATCTGACATGAATTGTTTTTCTGGGATGATCTGGGCATTACAGTGAAATCAGCTAAAGTAAGGAATGCACCAAAAACTAGGAATTGCTGTGCAGATGATATTAAAAGAGATCATGAGCGACCTGCTAGCCAGCTGGCTGACTGAAGGCTTTGGCCTGGGGTCTGAGGCTGGTTTGCAGGTTTAATTTGGAGGTGAGGACACTTGGTTGTTTTCAGGTTACCCAGGCTTACTGTGCTTTGGAGAATTGATTCACAATCAGCAAACTTGTGAGAGACTCATGGATCAACCCACAGGCCAGCGTCCTAGTGCCCAGTGAGATGCCCGTGTTGTTCAGAGCATTAGGTCTCAACCGTGTGCAGGGGGTGCCCCTTGTAACACAGGGCACTTCCCTGTGCTGGGCACTTTGCCAGTCCCTGTGCATCGCTCTCCAGCCTTGTGCTGTGCTTCGTCCCTCTCGCTCTTGATACCATAGATGCCTTGGCTGGAGCTGACTGTTGCTTGTCAGGCATACTTGCATATAATTAAATAAAAAGATATAAATGGAATCAAGTCCCAGAAGAAACAGTTAAACAAGTCAACGTGGCTGCTTCTGGGAGCATAATGAAGGGGTAAAAAGGGACAGCAGCAGGGACCTGCTTTCACTGTAAGCTTTTTACTACCCTGATTTTTTTGTAGCTATGTGCATATATTACACAGATACAAACAAATAAACGATGACTATAATACCCAGATCCTCCTCCTAAAATAGTGTCTATTATGCCTTAATGCCAGCCTGGATTCTCTCTCCTGTGTTACTGACACAGATCCTAATAGTCTCATTCCATTTACTCTGCTTGCTTGTAAGAGCACAGACCTATGTTGTAATTTATTTCCTTTAGAAGCATTCATTTTTGTTCACTTATTTATTGAATTGCTATGTGCAAGGCATTTCTACTTAAAACAGTAACCATGTGATTGTACACTTTGTCCTGTATTGGCTAATTATTATGTAATCAATATAGTCATTTGGAGTTGGCAATTTTGAGAATGTACATATTCTAAAGAAACTTTAAAAATGTGGCTTTCCAAATAAATTTCTATGCCAGTCTTTAAAATGTTTATTTCCTCTGCTTTGTTCCAGTAATGGTAGGTTGAAGGCAGAAAGCACATATGAAGCCTGAAGAAATGCTCTGCCTGAACAATTTGTTCATTCATTAAAAAGTTTATTGATCATCTATTATATGCCTGGTGGAGTACGACACAAGGTGGGTACAACACACAGGACATGGTCTTCACCCTTAGGAAATGTAAGTTCTTGCAGGGTATTTTTTGAGAGGAAAGTAGCTTGCATTTTTACACTAAAAAAATTCATTACCTCATCAGCTGTTTGCTGCAGCATCCCTTTGTATAGTAAGTATTTAGTAAAAACTTATTTTGCAAATTTATGCTTTCCACACAACTGTGCAGGACAGCATCTACGACCCAGATTCTCAATATCTTTTTCGGCTGCCCTGCCCCTGAGGGTTCTGCCGTGTCCCAGTCACTGAGACCTGGAGGGCCTCTGGGAGCCTGGGAGCAGAGGGCTTGGGAGAGGCGCACTTACAGTCTGAGCACAGTATGTGGAGGTTGCTATGCCCATCCCTCCTCCACGGCAAACATGTGGGCACTGAAAGTCAACTTTGCAGAAACCCACCTTCGGGAGCCCGAGGCCTGAGGATGACAATTCCAGGCTGGCTTAGCTTCAAAATAGGTATTATTTTCCCTCTGTTTGCCACATTGCCTACTTGCTTGGGACAACAGTCAGCAGCACAGGGTCAGCAGCTAACATATTTGGACAATCATTGCTAAGGGAATGGGTTGAAATTGTCATTAGCAGGGCTGAACCTGAGGACACATGCCTTCCACATGTTTCTAAAAATGGCCTTGATGATGAAGACATCTCCTTGGTTTTGAACTATTTTTACAACTCTAGGTAAAACCCCAAGCCCCAGCGAGACTTTCTTGGTATAGTTATCCTTAATTAAATAAATTGGTCTCCGAATAGAAGCAGATACACAAAAACTTTTATTAAGTGGAAGTTAGACTTACTTCATGGTAATTAACCAGTTACAAGTGCATTTAAATTCATGTGTGTGGACACTGTAGAAGTCAAAATGGTCTTTTGAAAGTCCAGTGTTCTGGCTCTGTTTGTGCCAGTGCAACCCCAGGTAGAACCATCCACAAAGTAAGTACAGGTCAACAATGATATCAGACTAGATTGGCAACACCATATTCATTGTTACAAGCATTACAGAACAGAAAAGTCCAAGGACCAGAAGACGATTACTAAAGTGATTCTGACTATAAGCCTTTTCTTCTACTTAAATGCTTCCAGAGGACCAGTGTAGCAAATCCTTAACTCTGGGGGGACAGAGCCACTTCTGCATTTTACACTTAAACGGGCCACAGAAACTGTAAACATTTGGTGGTCTCTTGATGCCCATTTCAAGTAGATGCCAGCTGTCCCCTTGGGAAAGTGCAGTTTAACTGGTATGAACATTTAACATTGTACATCTTCGATCTGAAAATTTCCTTCTGTTTCAATTAGCACCAGTGTATTTAAAAATATTTTTCCTGGTGTTAAATATTTAGGAAACATTTTTTTTTTTAAAAAACGAACACACAAAGTCCAAAACAATGGAAAGCAAAAGAAATTCAAAAAATTGTTTTAGAGAACAGCATTTAGAAAAACAACATCATTTAAACATTCAACAAATCTATGTACAATGTGCCAGAAGCTGGCAAGGAGCATGGCTGTGGAGCAGTCAGGTGAAAGGTTTATCAACCTGAACCTCCACAGGCTGTATTTACAGTCAGACAGGTATTCAGAAATGTGTATCAGAACATCTGGATTTGGCTAAAAATCATATAAAAAGACACAATGCCCCTTCCCCAATAACTTCTAATTAGGTAGCAAACAATCCAGTATAACCTTAAGTACCAGGTTTAGAAATGCGTGTTTTTTTCCCCCCGTATTTTACAAACAGTTGAGAAACTTTCTCAATGGACACTGAAGAGAACCAGAATGACAGAAATGGAGTTCTTTATTTCCACATTGTCAGATGAAGGAAAAGATATTTTTTCAGGCTGAGTAATGTAGTAAAGCACTGATTAAAGAGCGAAGACAAATTATTAGGGGAAAAAGTTTCATGAAAATATGAAATCAACAAGAGGGCTGAAGAAATTTGTGGATATTCTATATAGACTTTCCAAAATATAAGTAATTTTGAAAAAAGATCAATGATTTGCTTTGCTGGACAATATTTTCATATTTTGTTCTTTGAAACTATAACTGATACCCCTTGAAGAATATTTTTTTCTGGGATTGAGAATTAAACCCAGCAGATAAAACCTATGCTAACTTTATCCAATGAAATATTCGTTCACTTCATGCAGTTTTGTTTGCTTGTTAATCCAGTGTTACTAGAACATCCACCTTTAAAGAACTGGGCACATTTTCTAACAGCCAACATTTCCCATTTATGCTTACGAAGTAACAAATAAACCATTTCCCATTTATTCATCTTAATGATGGAATTTTTTAGAGCCTGATGTTTCAGAATAAAGTTTCAATCTTTAAAAACATCAAGTAGGAGAATATAGATGGGCTTCCCATATCCCCATAAGGATATGTATCCAAGTTTATTTTGAATAATTTGCAGTTGTGGTAGGTAGCTATGAAAAAAATTTACTTGGATTCGATACAAAATACATGCTACTCTTTGAAAATGCATAGTTTATAATTTTATACATTCATTCACTAACATTAAAGACTTCTGTTAAGCAAGTACTTACCTCTGAATGGTGGTAAAATTATATTTCAAAAGATCTCTAAACATTGGACAGCATTGCCACCTAGCTTTTGAGTTAGCACTCAATGACATGTGAATGCCTGTCATTTCCACACGAGTGTCACACAGGAAGGACTGCTGTTTTCTCTTCATTCTTTCTCCTTTACTTGTTTAGCAGGCACTAAAAAGCAATGTTTTCTACTGATTGCATTTCCACTAAATACCCCATTTTAAATATTTAATAATTTCATTTTAATATTTTAGATTTGGTGTAGAAAACAATTCAGAAGATGGCTTAATTTTTTAAAGTTTCCTTAAACATTGTCATGGACTAAGGGCAACAGAGGTTTTGTGATTACTGTTGTTCTCTCTCTCCAGTCTTCTCATTTGAAAAAATGACCGTAGGCCACTCGCAGTTGCATCTGATGATAGTCATGAACCCTTTGGGACCTAGCGATTTTTTCTTATCCTGAGTTCTTCTTCTAAGTATATAGGATTTTGATACGCAAAACACTTTGGAAACTATTCTAGTGTCTGGTTATTCCAGAAAGCCTATGTTTAAATGGCTGATCACTGTCCAACCATTAATTACAAAAATAGGAATTTTAGGGTGTGTTGTAGGAAAATATTGATTCAGGGATTTTTTTTAAAAAAAACATGTATGATCCACATTCCTGGGTTAGTTTACACCCAGGACATTTTCAGTTATCGAAGTCATGGGACTAGTATGTTTTGGAGATTTTTTAGTTCTTCCCTAAAAAGCTAAGTCTTTTCTAAAGCTTTCTACCAATGACCAAGGAGGTTCCCCGAACAGTCAGGAGACTGTGAAAGGAGGGGCTTTGCTATCATCACAGGTGTTGGTCACATCACAGCCATCGATTTCCAATAAGCAGAGTATGGAAAAAAGGTTTAAAAAGTAAAACAAGGGTTTGTAATCTGCAAAGTTATGTATTGCTCCTCAACCTTTTTTGGGAAAGTATGGGTAGTTTATCATGAAACTCCGCTGTATATCCCTGAGGGGTATATTCACACTCTGGCAGCCGCTCTTCCTCTTTCCTCTCGGTCCCAGCCATCTGTGCCCAAAACATAGGAAGGGGGCTCCAGTGGAGTGAGGGACAAGTGCTTAACAACATGAGTGGACTGAAGTCCTTTTCTCTTTCCATAAATACGAAATTATAACAATTATATGCTGCAGGAGCCACTTCCTTTTCACTTACTAAAGGCCAATTCTGCTTTCATGCTCTGTAATTGTGGGCAGAAGTCAGAGCCTGGAGTAATTAAACATGGAGCCCTCTTGCTCTGTCCTCATTGTCCCCTCCTAAGGTGGAACCCAGCTCACATTCCTGGTTCTGATCACTCTATTAGCCTCGCACGTGGAGAGGACCGGTAGGGTTGGTGACTTGCACGGCGGGCTTTGAGGCACAGTGAAAGGATTAGCTATCTGCCTTGTCATTCTTTACAGTGAGTCTGAACAAATCTTTTGTGATGAGCGTGGCTGGCTGTGTGACTAAGCCGCTCTCCTCATGATCACCTAAAACCGTTCAGACAGATGGAATATTTCCCCCGAAGGGAGGGAATAGCCACACTGACTGAGCCTTACATCCCAGTTATAGTAATATTTATCCCCTTGCACCTTAATTTAAGAGAGAGAAAGCAGTAGCACAGAAACAAGAATGTCCCATCAGGGGCTTTGGAACTGAAAAAACATTAACAACAGCCTGGCCTCTAGCTCAGGCAGATGAGGGCAAAGGGGAGGGTAATCTTTCAATGGCAAATTCACTGGGGCTTGCCAAGATGGGGGAAAGCAAGACTGGTAGCTAGAATGGGGACTGTTCTCTTTTAAAGCTGTTTCTTGAGTGCTGGTTTTCCTCTTAAGTCAAGGATGTAGAGAGAATTCAGAAGAAATAGATGAGCACCTTTGTTTTTTTCTGTTTAAAGGAAATTTCCTTCCTTAATGGTAGTCTCACCCCAGGTGCAGCAGTGAAATCTTGGCTCACTGCAACCTCTGCCTGCAGTTTCAAGGGATTCTCCTGCCTCAGCCTCTCAAGTAGCTGGAATTACAGGTGTGCGCCACCACGCCCGACTAATTTTTGTATTTTTAGTAAAGACAGGGTTTCCCTCTTTCTTCTTTTGTTTTCACTCTTTCTTCCTCTGTTGGCCAGGCTGGTCTTGAACTACTGACCTCAAGTGATCCATCTGCCTTGGACTCCCAAAGTGCTGGGATTATAGGCGTGAACCACTGCATCTGGCCAATTCTGGTTAATTTTCTGAATTAAAAATTTAGGGAAAAGGACCTAGCAAGATAATGTAATAGTTAATTAGACTTGAGAATTGATTTTTAGTATTTTCATGATATAAATAAATCAAGGGGATCTTCTCTTTAGAAGTTGGTAGTTATTAACTATGTGGTGGTGCCTAACATGAAAGAACATTTTAAAAAACAAGGACTACAGTTTAATCACCATCTCTGCCTCCTTTCAAAATCTGTGGTTACCTGCTTTCGGAACCATAGCTTTCTTCTTTCTTTCTTCATGGGTCTTTCTACATCCTGTTATTGTCATGGCAACGGCGCTATGATTCTTTTCCATCAGAAGAGGAAAGGACTAAACTGTTTCATTCTCCAACACTGTATTACTTTAGAAACATAATAATAAATATTATTCATCAAAAACCCTGTTCATGATGTAGGAGTCTGGCCAAAAAGTTTTTTTTTGAGGCTCCTTCTAGCTCCACAACCCAACTGCCTGTGAATGACTTTACACTCAAGATGTTACACCTAGTAAATTAACGGGAGAAAGGTAAGATGAAATCCATTCATATATTGGACTGCCTTTTAATCATTCACAATGAAAGAAATCTCAGGCATTGCCAATGTCATTTAAATTGCATTCATATTTAAACATGACTTAACCATATTACCAGGCGTTTCCAACTCTGAGTTTACAGTATGTTTTGATTTGATCATTACAGATTATAAATTTGAGCTGGTTTTAAAATTTCTGGCATTGACTTAAGTTTATATACATAGCAAATGTTGTATGCTAGCAGCAAAATAAATTTTCCCCAAAGAGTCAAAACTTTTACTCAGAACATACATTTAGCTAATAAACTCCTATAATTAACTACCAAATTGGCTGAAATTTAGGGATTAGGGATCTGCTACAGTAAAGGGATTCATCTGGGGATAAATCAGTTTGCACTTGGCAACATGACTGAGTAACGGGTGGGCTCTTTATGTCTATGCTGAAAGGCCTGGACTGAATAGATGGTTTGAGAACATGGTGGGTCCCTGGGTCTTCTTACGTCCCTAGTCAGTCTGGAAGACTAAGGTTTGAGCCAGGCCTTTAATGAGCCCCTTCCCTCTTCCTTGCAAGCAATACTGAGGCTGACTCAGGTTCAAGACTACTCTGGGTTGGCCTTGGAGGTGGGTAATGTTGATTTTAAATATTCCTATTCTACACTGGGTTCTTACAAAGATCAAATGAAATAGTGTGTGAACGAGACGTATCTTATTACATACGTGAAAGGGTCAGTGACTATCCCAACACCATCAGGACTCTGATGTAAGATAGAGTTTAAAATAACTTAGTCCATCTAAATGAAGGAAGCAACTTCTAATTTTTTTCATGACATAATTTATTCTCATTTTGCTTTCCCCTCAAAGATGCTAGGGTTTTGTATGTGGAAAAACCTCCTTTTGAGGTTAGTGGACACTCTGAAATAGCCTAAATGCCTACCAGTTCTGAAGCAAGGCTTCTGCTGTATCAGAGGTGAAGCAGTGGTAATTTTACTTGGTAACGAAGACTCATGAGGCCGGATGGAGAGGGAAGGAGTGTGGGGAGGCTGGCCAAGGGCTTTGGCACAAGGAGGCAATGTGTGCTCGCTTCAAGCTTCAGAGGCTCCTGGCAGCCTTCTCGGAAGGCACGAGGCTGCTCTTTGCCAGCCCCTCATCACAGTGGCCACGGTAGAAAACACTAAGAAAATTAGGATAACAGTGATTCAACACTTTACGGGGCACAGCCTGGGCATGCCAAAAGGAGGCAGAGTGAGAGAGCTGGATAACTCAGCGTATCTATATTCAAGTCTGCCATGAGAATGATATCTGGGGAGAAATGATCTCTTTCCCCTCTTTTATTTTAGTTGCCCAGATAGTGCCGACATGTGAGTTTGTGGGGCTGATGGATGAACCTGACCTGACAACTGTGGAATGTGAAATCCACTTTTCCCAATAGTTGAAACTGGGGGCTGCAGGCTGCACCTGTCTGTGTACAGCTTCTCTTTGGTCTGCACAGTGTTGGCCAAGAGTTTGAGTTAGTTGTCAACACTTACGTGTCAGGTAATATCATACTTCCACGTCAGAAGATCTAGCAGCCCTGGGCCTGATTTCTGCATGGTTCTGATTGTCTAGAGCTGAGTGTGGGCACCCCTTCAAAGAGGGCATGTGTTCTGCAGTTCAACCTGGTCTCCACCATTCTTGTGTTCCTCTTTGCCTTATCCACATCAATCATTTACAGAACTTGCCTGGTCCTTCTGAGGCACTGACATTTGCAACCTCTCCTATATAGAATTAGGAATCTTTTGGAAATGAGACTCATTGGGTTCAAAACCGTACAGCAATAAAAACTTCTTGGGGACTTTAATGCTAACAATGGAGACATTCCAAGGAGTGAAAACAGAGATTTGCAAGACGCCTCATCTCAAAGACTAGGAGCCAAGCCTGTACATGGCTTTCCCTAACTCTGTGCATTTCTAGTCCTCAAGTGTGCAGATTCTAAAGCCTATTTGAAACCAAGGTCTGAGTGACCTTCTGACCACCTCATAAGAGCTGCCCAACGGGTGTATGGCTGTTCTATCTCAGCTTTGCTTTTGATGTTATCTGCATACTTGGCTAATTAGGCTAGCTTTTGGATTACTAAAATCTTAGAAAGAAAAGGTGCTTTCTTGTTTTAACAGTGAGTGGGCTTGAAAAAACTGTACAGCATTATGAAATGGTTTTGGCAAAGCTCTGAATTATTTGTACAGTTTTAATAAACTCTTCACAACTCCCCTCTGTTTCCTGGTTCTTGGGAACTCAGTCACTTTCTGATCACAACCTCATGTGCCTGCTAGTTCTTCACAGTGAAAAATCAAGCACTTGTTCTTTTTGTTTTGTTTTTTTATTTTCCTTTTTTATTTTTTCCCTCCACTATATTTTGGAAGCACTTGTTCTTATGTAGAAATTACAGTTATATAGTTAGTGCTGAGGACAAAATTATTTTAAACACTACTGATCACCTAAGAATTCTATCTTTGGGCCTGTCTACTATGATTTTAGAAATTTCCACCAAATGATACTTGCTAGTTAAATGCAAGTATCTGTGATTCTGGTAGGTCAAGTGGTAAACTTGTCTTTGTGACACAGAATTTATCATTTTACACTAAAAAATTTATAAGAATATTTCTCCCATGGCCTATAAGCATACCTGTTAACACTTTTTAGATTTAAAATATATAAAATGACTCTTCAGGCATCTTTTTCCATACTTTGAAAACACACTAGTAATGGTAAAAGGAGTAGCTGTTGCTATCTTGATTCTCCTATAATACCCATTCCATCTGATCTGTATTTCTACCCTTGCTGCAGAGGGTTAATTAAAAAGATATGCATCAAAACATTTGCTTAAAAGAGACATAGCCCTTTGTTTGGTGAGCAAGAATTACTTATAATATTAATACTTCCTGCCTGGTAAAATACTATATTTTAAAAAATAAGCTACAATGTATAAAACCAAGGTCATTTCTCACAAAATGTCTGCGTTCTTTGTGATTACAAAACACTGCATCTTGTAAAATATTTCCAGTTAACTTGAGAAGTAGAGTACTGACGCTTATTACCAAAGTGTCATGTCTCTTAGAACTGTAGAAGCCTAATCAGTGTATTTCTTGTTTTATTTGGAAAATTAAGTTATAATTGTTTTTGTATTTAAAGGTTATGTTTTGCCAAGACATATTACCATTGTGATTCTCAGACCCACAACAAAAGTTATAAAACATGAGATTGTCTTCAAAAAAAGGAACTATTTACAAAACAGGACCAGAAGTAAAATTCCCATTTTGGTTCCTGGTCCTACGATAGATATACCTTTTAAAGCATGTATATCATTGGATATGGGCTTTTTCAAAGTCAGTCATAATAAGCAAACCAGTTGGTCTTAAATACATTTTATACTTTCTTGCTCTATTGGTGTGCATTACTCAGTGATACAACTGGTACCTAAAAAAAGTGCTAATCTCATTTTATTTACTGACTTCAGGTTTGGCTAGTTACAATGCAAAAAAGATACATGAAACAGTTCCAATATGGAGGAATCCCCACAGGTATGAGGAACAGGAACAGTCCGTGCCGCTGGTAGGGCTACTTTCTTAGAGAAATGAAATTTCCAGTTGACCCGTGTGCCCAGGGCATTCTCCAAAATGATTCACATTCTCATTCATATTCATGAATCCTGCTCTGTTTCCACTCATTTGTATGCACAAATTCTTCCCTGAGTTCACACAGGTCAGTGCTACAGAAGATGTGGTCGATAGCAATTCTACAGGGTCATGAGAAAAAGCAGCACCTTGTCCACAAAAGTCCATGGAAGTTTGTTCGCTAACATGCTATTAAAGCAAAATGTACATCGTTCACGGCTTGCTTTCGCCTACGGAATTCTGCTGATAGCTAATAAACAGTCATCCATTGGGTAATGATAAAAAGGACCAGCAAGGCTTTGTATTCACAATTACATTCAGAAAAAGCCTTACGTGAGTCTAGGAATACCACCCCCACCCCGTCCCCCTCCCCCACCCCCAGGCATTGCACCTGTGGTTCAAATGTTAGCCTTAGGCTACAGGTCAGCTCCAAACCGTTTTCCCAGGGCACTCCCCTATGCCTCACAAATGTCAGTACTGCCCAGTTCACATAAATTTGTCTTGAAATGATACCATGTTCATTTGAAAAAAAAATTGTTCTGACTATAAAAGACTTTAGTGATAACAAAATTCTTCCTAGTTTCAGGAGTCTCCAGACCTATTTTTGCATGCCCTTTATTTTTCCCTGAGGAAATGAATATTATTTACAGTATTTTGCTACTATTCTCAAGGTATTCTCTGTTATATGTACAATTCTGGCCACTTTTCTCTCAACCTTTGCAAGTGAATGCTGCACTTTGGAGTCTGATGAAGGGGGAACATGGATTCAGCAGTGCCAACTAATTCAGAACCCAGGGCTGCTTTCAAAAGTGTGTCTTAGTGTGACACCAGAAACAGCAGACTTAAAACTCGAGTGCTCTTGAGATTTAATGGAGGACATTTCAGTTTCAAAAATCTTTTGCAACATATACACATGTGACTATCTCTTTGAAAAGTTTTTAGAAAGGTCAAGAATTGTGTCATTCTCTATTGAAAATTTTCATCTGCAATATGGTTATGTTCGGGCAGGAATTGTCTAATAAAAGGGCACCTTGTTGGTGCCTGGAGCTGCTGACAGGCACTTTGCAGCTAAGCGCACACATTCTTGGTCAGAAACCCACAGCTTTTTTCCTGACACTGGCTTTTGCCAACCAAGGGAGAAAACTTTTCAGCTAGTGTGGTGGAGAGAAGTCCATATCTGCTAGAGATGGCCCGCTCAGGCTAGGCACAGCAGCCCTGCACTCTTGGCCGGAGGTACTTCCCTTCAGGTCATTCTCTCCTTGCTTCAGGCAGCTGCTCCCAGAGGAGAAAATGGCAGCTCCCTGGGAGGTACTTAGGGATGGTGACCACCAGCTGATCAGCACCAAGAAGATGAGCAAGAGCCAGGTGTCCACAGCCCTCTTGTACCTCCCCCCTGACTCCCTTGCTACCTGTGTGTTTTCTCCAGGCTGTCACACTGCCTCCCACCCACCAATGCAGCACACATCTGCTGGGAAGGCCCAAGGCTTAACACCACTGCCTGCTGGCCACTCTGCTTTGTCGCTCTCTGGAGAATGTCCTGTCAGTCACTATGAAATGACTTCTTTGGAGAGAGATGAAAAACCTTTTCTGAAGGCTGGGGTGTCAAAGGATAAAAAAAAAATCAAAAGGCTACATCATGCCTTACTTAGAAATATTTTGGGACCAGAATCCATTGTTTTGCATGCCTTTTGCGTAGATTGGCCTCTGAGCTCCCTGCGGTGGCCAGGGCTCCAGTTCCACTGCCAGCCTGCTGTGGGAGCAGTCTGCCCAGTCCTCCCCCTCCTCCCAGCCAAACGAACACACACAGAGAACTTGGTTCCACAGAGATGGCATCAAACGAATGTCTGGTTAATTTGGCACTTCATTTAGTTCCAAAATATAACAAAATAATGCTACGTTTAAAAAAAAAAAACCCTAACTTGCACGATCAGTGGTGTATATTGGAATTCATAGCTTTCTGGGTGGCCTGTAAGGAGTATAATCCCTTTTCTTCAAGACCAGCCACCTGTGGCTTGGTGGTCTACTAGTTATTCCACGCCTTGGTCCAGGGAATATGTGTCTGTGTCCAGGAAGGTACTGAGGGTCTGTCTGCACCTGAAGCCAGAAAAGAAAGTACACAGAGCCGTGGGCTAGCAGGCAGAAAGCAGCCCCAACTTGGGTAGGAGGTACAGAACTGTGTGAAAAATGCTTTAGAAAGGAGAAGAGATCCCAGGGAAGCTACATTCAGCTCTGTAGTTCTGCTTATACCTGTGCACTGGCTGAACACCAGATAAGGACTGAGCTTGGCTCAGCTAAGCTGGAGCTCAGCACTACTTATGGGGTATATATCTGGGGGTGGAAGCCACGGGGCTTTGCTCCAGGACTGCTCCATAGCAAAGATCTCTCCCTCCTTGTGTTTCAAAGTTCTGGGATGGGGGATGGATTTTATACTTCATGACTTGAATCTTTTTCTATTAGTAACAGTCCAACGATCAAGGGCCAGGGAGCTTTGCTGAAGAGAAAAACCTCTGGTCCAGGACTGTACCCTGTCATTTAAACACATGGTGAACTTGTTTAAACAGGTGACAAGCTCTGGCCGCCCAAGGCCACTGGGCAATCTGCCCATGGCTCAGGGCTTCCTGGACCAGGCCAGAGCATCATCTCGCATCAGTGGTGCTGCATGGGGGGTGACAGGACACCAGGAGGAGAAAGGACGTGTTAGAGTAGAGGAAACAAACACATTTCTGCGTTTAAAAAAATGCCATTTCCTGGCTGACCTTGTCAGTCTAAAACATACAGTATTGCTGGTGCTGTGACTAGTACTGATTGGTAATCAAGATGCAAAATTAGATGAAGCTCTTTTTCTCTTCTCTTAAAATAAATGTTTTTAAAGAAAAAAATAAATGAAGAAAAAAACCAGGATCTCTTCCAAGGAGTAATTTTAAAAAATTTATATGAGAGTTTAAAAAATAAAAGTCCCATAATATGTGAATGCACAGATTGTGGATGTTGCACTGTAGAACCTCCTTATACTTTCTTTTGCTTGTATATAAAAAGAATATCTGTCATTACTAGATGTCTTCTTTTTACGCTTAAAAAAGTGTATGTATAATCTCTAGACATATATTAAACTTTCCTCTGTGCAATTTCATTTAACATTCCTATGGCTGATCCCATGTCCCCTGTCCCTATACAGTGCCTCCTATAAGGTGCTCTTCCTACTTTGCATAGGTATAGGAGAAATAACTCTTTAGCAGGGCAATTGAGAGTCGGGTAGATAGAGAATGAGCTTATTTATAGGGCTTGACGACTCCCCTCTCCCCACACCACTATCCCCCAAACAAACAAGCAAGTAAGTTACGAAGCCCAATAAATGGAACATAGTGCAAGCCCTGGCCCTACTAAACTGAGAAATTCCTATACCTACATGCATTTTCCTTTTGGCGTTATGTTCCCTTTTGAGCAAATTCTTAAATGAATAGCTCCAATATTTTTATAAGAAAAACTTAAAGTTTGGACCTTCCATTTACTCACATAATGTTTATATTGTTAATTAACTCATCTCCCGGACATGCTAAAGCATAAAACCTATAAAAGTGCACTCAGAATGGAAGTGGTTTGTTGATCTAACATGACTTTCTGAACAGGTAGGGCCATGTGGGCTGTGCTCTGTTGTCTAAAGCAAACCTGCTGGGACAGTTTGGAGTTCTCTACCTCTTCTGAAATCAGTCAGTGGTGGAGTCTGGAGAGAAGGAAAATGACCCATTAACCTGGCTACAATCTTGACAGACAAGCAGTAACAAATAGCTCCGAGTTGCCATTTGTGTCACATCCCTGAAAGAAGCATCGAGGCTTACCCAGATGGCTACAGGTGCCAATTCTTGACTGAGTTGTGGCAGGTAGAGAGTAGAGTTAGCTGTGCTGCCTTTAGGGGAAGAGCTTCTTATGGATCCAAGGAAGACTCCTAGATGTTTCCCAACAGTGACAGCTGGACTTCCTGAACTCAGCTTCGGGCTGAAGTCTGCTGGTGATTTCCGTGGACAATCCCTTCTCGAGTTTATGCCATCTGGGGCCCTACAAACTAATAGCTCTACCATGGTTCAGTGTGGGGCCATTCTTAAAAGAAAAACAAACAAAAAGCCATAGAAAAGATGCCCAGAGTGCTGCGCTGTCTTGCAACACATCCTGACATATACTGCTCCAAGAAGTCAAATGGAAGATACGGAAAAGATTATTCACAACAAAAGTAAGTATTGATCTTTGTACAAATGCTACTGAATAACCTGTAGCTTGTTTTTTAAGTGTCAAAAAAATCTTGAAAATGGCATAATTCAGAAAGCTTATCAAAATATGCCTCCTTTCTAGGTAAAATGGGCTTTGTTGGTTCAATTGCTACAGAAGTCCACAGTTTTAAGTCTAGACATACAGCAAAAAAAGTTGACTTTTCTTTTGAAGGAAAAAAAACTAGTTATAGCTGCTCCAAGCTGGGTTCTCAGTAAGAGCAACTTTCTTTTGTCATAGGTGGTGACTTAAACAATTTTTCTGTGTTTTTGCTGTTATTCCTCCAAGGTTCCTGAAAGGGCTTTTCCTGGCTTCAACTGTGTTTTATTCAGTAGGAAAAGCTCTTTCCAACACCTGCAGTGGCAGGCCAGGGCAGGAGCGGCTCAGGGCCCTGAGCCCCTCTGCCTGGGGGTCTCTCAGTCGAGGAACCTCTGGCAGGCCTTCTTCCAGCGGCAGGCGGTACACCACATGTCTCGGTTCTCCATCCCGTACACCTTCCGACACTTTTTGCCCTCTCCCCTGGGCTTCCTGTAAGACAGACGAGGAAGGTTAGTTTAGTGGGAGGAATTCAATGGGCATTCTATGGAGAGCTCAAAAATCCCTTGCAAGAGTGAGGGAGGAAAAAAAAAAAAAAAAGGCTGGCCATGGTGGCTCATGCCTGTAATCCCAGCACTTTGGGAGGCTGAGGTGGGCGGATCACCAGAGGTCAGGAGTTTGAGACCAGCCTGTCAACATGGTGAAACTCTGTCTCTACTTAAAACACACAAAAATTAGCCAGGCATGTACCTGTAATCCCAGCTACTCAGGAGGCTGAGGCAGGAGAATCACTTGAACCCGGGAGGTGGAGTTTGCAGTGAGCCAAGATCGCGCTGCACTCCAGCCTGGGAGACAGCGACTTCTCTCTAGGTTCAGACTCTAATATGTGCTGGTTGTTTTCACAGCCACTACACTCAACTGTTAAAATTTGCTACCATATCCCTTAGGCTTCTATTTGTCTACTTGTGGACATGTCCATTTGGGCATCTTCATAAAACTGAATTAAACAAGTAAACACAAGAAATGCCAGTAGAGAGCAACATTGCTCTTTCAAGTTTTTAAGTAGGTACTTTCAAATGCTTCCACCATTCTCAATTTCTAGTACAGCAGTCCCTGCTAAGGGTGGGGAATATGTTCCAAGACCTCCAGTGGATGCCTCAAACTGCAAATAGTACAAACCCTATATATATATTATGCATGACTTTTTCTTTCTTTACAGTTTCATGGATTGAAGATTCATTCTTACTGTCGATCTTCGCAATCTCAGTATAAAAATTTTTTTCTTTCTTTGTTAAGTTGAAAACTTTCACCTTTTCACTTAAAGGAAGCACTTTATAGCTTGTCTTTAGCATATCTGAATTCTAGCCTCACCACTCTTGCACTTTGGGTCCATTATTAAGTAAAAGAAGGGTTACTTGAACACAAGTACAGTTCGTTACAGTCAATCTAATGGGCGAGTAGTGTAGACAGTGTAGATACACTGAACAAAGGGATAACATACATCGCAGGCAGGACTGAGCTGGATGGCACGAAATTTCATCACACTACTCAGAATGGTGTGCAATTTAAAACTTATGAATCATTTATTTCTGGAATTCTCCATTTAACATTTTTGGACCACAATTGACTTTGGGTAACTGAAACCACAGAAAAGTAAAACTGTGGATAAAAGGGGACTATTGTATTTTGGTTAAGGAACTTCTGGGGAGATCACTCTTGATCTGCATTAAAAATTGTATCTTATAGTTCATTTAATATAGAGATTAATACAACATGGCTCCAAATAGACCCAATAATCACCATTACCTATTCTGTAAAACAAAAACAAAAACAAAAAACAAAAACCTTATTGTAAATCATTACCCCCCGAAACAACAAATCTTCATTAATAGGTAATGGATGGTAAAAACCATGGGAAAAAAAGAAAGGGTGTTTTGTCAATTGTGGAGAAATTTTATAGAAGATCATTTCTCAGGGTTCTCTCTGCTGTTCTGTTTTACAGTTAATTCCCTTGTGGTGAGGTGTGTGGAGTTTTTTAAGCTGTCGTACCTTAAGCTGACTGTGCCTCTGGGTGGGGAGGACAGGACCGTGTGCGCATGCTGTCTCTGCTCTCCTGTGCCCACCGGATGATGTGTGGGTGACACCTGGTGAATACATGGAAAAGAAAGTTGATGGGGCAGGTTCTCCACCCATGCAGTTAGTTAACCTTTGCTGTGTGGACACTGATCCTTGACCATTAGAAGCAGAGATGAGGCCAGGCACGGTGATTCATACCTGTAATCTCAGAACTTTGGGAGGCCAAGGAGGGCGGATCACTTGTGGTCAGGAGTTCAATCAGCCTGGCCAACATGGTGAAACCCCGTCTGTACCAAAAAGTACAAAAATTAGCCAAGTTGGGGTTGTGTGCCTGTAATCCCAGCTACTTGGGAGGCTGAGGCAGGAGAACTGCTTGAACCCCGGGGCGGAGGTTGCAGTGAGCTGAGATTGTGCCACTGCACTCCAGCCTGGGTGACAGAGTGAGATCCTGTCTCAAAAAAAAAAAAAAAAAAAAAAAAAAAAGAAGCAGAGATGAAATGAAATACTTTCCTCACAGAGACCACACATTAAATGGAGGAGGGCTGCTCATGGCAGAATTAAAATGCATTCCCAAACAGAGAAGACCCACCAACAGCCAATATCTCAAACATTTTTTTACTTCATATCTATGCATTTCAAGTGGCTCATAATACCATATTTTCACTTGAATAATATTTTAAATCTTAAAGTACATTCCTGTCTATTTCTTTTGATCCTCATGAACCCTGTCAAGTAGGGCAAGGCTCATGATTCCCTTTTTAGAGGATGAAACATACCTAGAGAGGTTAAGAGATTTATTTAACATTACGTAGCTAGTAAGCGACAATGACACAGTGCAGGTCTAGGTCTTCTGTTGGCTCTAGTGGATCAATCACTGCCACTAAATACATGGATTCTTGTAAAAAACACCCCATCAGCAGACTCTCACGTCCCAACAGGAAGGAATAAAGGCAAGAGGCAGAGAGTCTGAGCAAATCAAGAACGTATGCCACCCACCGAACACTTACTGAGCGCTCACTATGTGCAGGTACACTCACAGCAGCTTTAGTCTTCACAACGACCCCACGCAGTATTACTATTGTTCCCATTTTACAGATTAGGAGACTAAGGCAGATGGAGGTTAAGTAACTTGCCAAAGGTCATGGCATGTGTGATGGTAGACCCAGGGCTGTGCTGCAGCTCTCCCTGGCACCAGGACCTGTGTTTAACCCTGTTGCTTTTCTGTCCCTCAGTCATAGAGGAGGGCCCCTACTGTCCTCAGCCCCTCCTGGATTACTCACTTCAGCCCTTTGCATTACCTGTCTCCTAACACTAAGTAATCTTCCCAGCTTCTGGAATTCTTAAAAGCTGCAACAAATTAATTTTTTTAACAAAGGAAAAAGAATGTTTCTTTTTTTTTTAGATTATAAAAACTTCCTCTTTAACCAAGGCTTTTAACATGAACAGATTTCTTGAATAAAATGGAAAGTTTCCAGTACACTGAAACATAAATCCGCAAGTCACCATACATACAACACCCGGCAGGAAAAAACAAAAACAGCAAGTTTACATGATCCCTGTAACAGCCATGGTCTCAAACTCAGATGCTTCCTCCATCTGCCAAGTGTGTTCTGGATACAGAACACATCGTGGCTTCTGGGGTCACACTCAGCTGAGGCTGTGGGTCCACAGAGCACTCATCTGGCTGGGCTATGGTGGTGGTGGCTCTACTCAAGAAGCAAAGCAGTTACCAGCACATTCAAACAGTGTATTGAACATCTTTTAAATATCAAAGTGAGAAGCAAGAAGGCAACATAATAATGTTATCTGAAAGATGTTAGGAAGTAAGGACAGCTGTGTAAAGCTTGAGGCTGAAAAGCAGCTTGCCAGCTTCATTTCTTTGTTTTCTCGGGTAGTGGGTGCCGGAACAGCAAGATGTGAGGTTCTGGTTCATGGATCATATAATGGACCCATCCCTGACTCTGCTGAATGCCAAGATTCCTCCATTCAGATTCAGACATCAAATGGGTTTTAGGGACCAGCTTGGCTATGTCCTTGGGCAGCATGACATGTCGATACTCAAACTCCTCGTCGTCGTATTTGTCCAAATAGTAAATTTGTTTGTGCGACATGATCGCTCGGTTTGCTAGCCTTCAGCCCCGCGCCGCCAACCTCCCGGAAAAAGAATGTTTCAACTAATTAATCAGTATTGCCATATGTAGGAGGATAGACATTTAATAAATTTAAAAACCTAGGAGCCAACGTGGTCACAGGAATAGCATTGTCACTTAAAAGTCATGGGAACATTCCCCAAACATCCTTAGAGAATTGCTTTTCTCTAGTACAGGTATTAGTACTTTCTCTTCTCTTTCAACGTAAAGGAATGCACATGACACAGTTCGGATGTGTGTCTCTGCCTGAATTTCATGTTGAAAAGTAATCCCCAATGCTGGAGGTGGGGCCTGGTGGGAGGTGTGTGGATTATGGGGATGGATCCCTCATGAATAGCTTGGACCATTCCCTTGGTGATATGTGACCTCTCACTCTTGAGTTTACATAAGACTGTGGTTGTTTTATGCCCATTCCTGCTTTCATACATGACGTGCCTGCTCCTGCTTCACCTTCCACCATGAGTAAAAGCTCCCTGAGGCCTCCCCAGAAGCAGATGCCACTGTGCTTCCTGTACAGCCTGTAGAGCCAATTAAACCTCTTTTCTTTATAACTTACCCTATCTCAGGTATTTCTTTATAGCAATGCAAGTATGGCCTAATAGAGATCATCAGTGTTATTTTCCCAGACATTAATTTTAATGCTATGGCTTGAATGTTTGTCCCCTCCAAAACTTATGTTGAAACTTACTTGCCATTGTAATAGTATTAAGAGGTGGGGCCCTTAAGAGGTGATTAGGCTATGAGGGCTCCACTCCCATGGGTGGGATTAGTGTTCTGCAAGGGCCAGTTTGGCCCCCCTCACCCTCTCACCTTCTGCCATGTGATGATGCAGCATAAAGGCCCTAACAGAGGCTGGCATGTTGATGTTGGACTTCCCCGCCTCCAGGTTGTTAGTCAGTAAATTTCTGTTCATTATAGATTACCCAGTCTAAGGTATTCTGTTATAGCAGCACAAAACTTAGACATTTAAAAAATTATACAGGTAGGGCCAGGAGTGGTAGCTTATGCCTGTAATCCTAGCACTTTGGGAGGCCAAGGTGAATGGATCACTTGAGTCCAGGAGTTTGAGCCCAGTCTGGGCAACATGGTGAAACCCCATCTCTACTAAAAATACACAAATTAGCCAGATTGGTGATGTGCACCTAAAGTCCCAGCTACTCAGCTGAGGTGGGAGGATCACCTGAGTGTGGAGAGTTCAAGGGAGCAGTGAGTCGAGATTGTGCCGTTGCACTCTAGCCTGGGCAACAGAGTGAGACACATCTCAAAAAAAAAAAAAAAAATTATACAGGTAAGTAAAAATCTAACATTTGGAACCATTGTTGCCATGAGTTTGAACTATTCTATACCACTGGTCTTCATGCTAAAGTTGGGTGGAGCAAGGGCCAGCAGAGGTAACATTCAGAGTTTTTAAAAATAAAAGCTTTGGAGTTCAGTGCATTCATTTCATGTGTATAGATACGCAGCTTCCTCCAAGAGCAGAATCCTCCTCACCCCATCTCATAATGGCTTTGGTTTTGTACAGGATGAATAACAGCAAACTAGAGGGAGTGAATACCTGAGACATCTACAGTCACTGTAGATGATCTCTGATATGCTTATATGAATTGTTTTAAATTATCAGGAAAATAAACATAAAAATTAACAATTCTTGTAGAACTTATAGAATCCCAAGAACACTGTACTTCATTTAGTCAGAGAACTGGAAAAGTTTGGTTGACATGACAGTAACACTACTCCCATCAGCCACGGATAATGTGGAAGTTTCTAGATCATGCAAAGTTGCCATAGCCCTTTTGCATGAAGTGATATGAGATTATTGGATACTCTTCATTCAACAGATATTTATTAAGTACTTGCTATGTACCAGGCATTGTTACAGATTCTGAGGATATAGCTGTGAACAAAACAAATTCTCTGCCCTCATGGAGCTTACGTTCTAGTGAGAAGACAGACAATAAATACGAAATCACACAAGATCATTTTAGTGATAAGTAGCTGACAGAAATGAAATAGGATAACAGGCTAAAGTGTAATAGAAGGAGAGGACATTTATTTATCTTGAGTGGTAAGAGAAGGCTTCCTGAGGAGGTTACCTTTCACCTACAAGGCACTGCAGAAAAAGGGGTGGGCACTTTGTGGGAGGTGGAGGGTGGGAGGAGAGGAGACGGAAGTATCAAGCTATGCCTCTGACCTGCAATAAGGGATCTGAATGTTATTCTAACGGCAATAAGTAAGCCATTGGAGTGTTTTTAAAAGTAAGACATCTGATTAATGCTTTAAACAGATCACTTTGGCACTTTGGAGAATGGACAGCAGACAGCCTGGAAAGGAGCCCTGGAGTTAAGAGGCTTTTGCAGTATACCAGGCAAAGACATACTGGTGGTTTAGACTAGGTATGGCGGCAGTGGTGGGGAGGGTCTGGATTCCTGTTGTTTAGAGGCACAGCCTAGGACTTGTGGGTTAGGATGGGGCACAAAGAAAATTGCATCTCTAGATGAATCAAGGATGAATTGAGGAGTCAAGGATGAATCCCAGGTTCTGGCCCAAGTGGCAGGAGGCACAGTGGTGCCACTTTCTGAGATGAGAAAGTTACAGAAGCAGCAGGGTCGGGGAGGCATGAGGAACAGGCTTTTGAAAATTCCAGGAACAGGGTTTGAGGGACATGGATTGTCTTCAG
Source organism: Homo sapiens (assembly GCF_000001405.40). Classification (NCBI taxonomy): domain Eukaryota; kingdom Metazoa; phylum Chordata; class Mammalia; order Primates; family Hominidae; genus Homo; species Homo sapiens. Next base: position 80,647,889 of record NC_000008.11, read on the forward strand.
CGGTTTTGTGCTGCTATAACAGAGTACCTGAGACTGGATGATTTATAATAAGCAGAAATTTATTTTTTAAAGTTCTGGAGGCTGGAAAGTCCAAGGTTGAGGGGCCGGCATGTGACAACGGCCTTCTCGCTGTGTCATCCCAGGGCAAAGGGTGGAAGGGTAACAGTTCACTTAAGAGAAGGCTGAGCTTGTTTTTATAACAAACCCACTCTCCTGATAATGACACTAATCCATTCATGAGAGTAGAGTCCTCTGGACCCCATCACCTCTTAAGGGTTCCACCTCTCAACACTGCTGCACTGGGGATTATATTTCCAACACATGAACTTTGGGGGACACTTGCAAACCACAACATGGACCTCCTGCAGGAATGACCCCTCGCCAAAGTCCTTCTTCCTGCTAATGGCTCTCTTAACTCTGGAGTTCAGTACATGCATTTCGAGGACCCACTTCAAACTTCCATATGTGGCTGAGTTCAGTAGGAGGCTCAATATGACATGTGAGTTTTTTCTTCAGACTTTTAATGGCAAGACAGTCATGTTTCAGCTTCTTATTTTAGTTGAGGATGAGGGTGGAGAAACCAAGGGAGTAACTGGGGCAGTCAACTACCATTTATTCAGTGCTTGCGAATGTGAAAGACAGGCAAGTAGGTTATCTATTATCTCTTTTAATTCTCACAGAAAACTTGCAAAATAAATAATCTATATCTACATCTTACAGATAGAGAAATTTAGGCTTTGAGCAGGGAAATGGCCTGCAGAACATCCCAGAGGCAAAAGTAGCAGCAGAAGTAATTTGCTGAGAGCCTGCTATATAAGCTAAGTGTCTTCCATATGTTATCTATTTTAATCTTCGCAACAACCCTATCATAGCCATAATTTCCATTTTATAGATGAGAAAATGGAGAAGTTAAGTGCACTGTCCAGTCCACACAGTAAATGGACTCAGGGTTTGAACACCATTGTCTGACTTGAACACAGCTGGCCTTGGAACTCACTTCCGAATGATGTCAAAGCCCTGCTTTTTGCACTCTTCCATCCTGCCATATCGTTGATGTAAATAATGTGTGCCCTAAAATAAAGCCCTATAAAGCAAATACTCTCTCTCTTAGTGGTCTCTGCATTTCAATTTGTTTATTTCTTAACCATTTCCAAGTTCTATTTTGTAGCATGTTTTATAAAGCATATAATGTGCTTGGACAGTATAATATGATAATATTTCTAGCTAAATAAAATTATTGGGCTATATGTACATAGTTTGTTGGTTAGGTGTGACCTCAGAAGAGTCTAAAGAATTTTAAATTAGATGGCCAAATAGGAACAGCTCCAGTCTACAGCTCCCAGCATGAGTGATGCAGAAGATGGGTGATTTCTGCATTTCCAACTGAGGTACCGGGTTCAACTCACTGGGAAGTGTCAGATAGTGGGTGCACGACAGTGGGTGCAGCACACCGAGTGTGAGCCGAAGCAGGATGAGGCATCGCCTCACCCGGGAAGCGCAAGGGCTCAGGGAATTCCCTTTCCTAGTCAAAGAAAGGGGTGACAGACAGCACCTGGAAAATTGGGTCTCTCCCACCCTAATACTGCGCTTTTCCAACAGTCTTAGCAAACGGCACACCAGGAGATTATATCCTGCACCTGGCTCGGAGGGTCCTACGCCCATGGAGCCTCACTCATTGCTACCACAGCAGTCTGAGATCAAACTGCAAGGTGGCAGTGAGGCTGGGGAGGGGCACCCGCCATTGCCGAGGCTTGAGTAGGTAAACAAAGCAGCCAGGAAGCTCGAACAGGGTGGAGCCCACCACAGCTCAAGGAGGCCTGCCTGCCTCTGTAGACTCCACCTCTGGGGGCAGGGCATAGCCAAACAAAAGGCAGCAGAAAACTTTGCAGACTTAAATGTCCCTGTCTGACAGCTTTGAAGAGAGCAGTGATTCTCCCAGCACGCAGCTGGAGATCTGAGGACGGACAGACTGCCTCCTCAAGTGGGTCCATGACCCCCGAGTAGCCTAACTGGGAGGCATCCCCCAGTAGGGGCAGACTGACACCTCACACGGCCGGGTACTTCTCTGAGACAAAACTTCCAGAGGAACGATCAGGCAGCAACATTTGCTGTTCACCAATAACCACTGTTCTGCAGCCTCCGCTGCTGATACCCAGGCAAACAGGGTCTGGAGTGGACCGCCAGCAAACTCCAACAGACCTGCAGCTGAGGGTCCTGACTGTTAGAAGGAAAACTAACAAACAGAAAGGACATCCACACCAAAACCCCATCTGTATATCACCATCATCAAAGACCAAAGGTAGATAAAACCACAAAGATGGGGAAAAAACAGCAGAAAAACTGGAAACTCTAAAAATCAGAGCGCCTCTCCTCCTCCAAAGGAACGCAGCGCAGCTACTCACCAGCAACGGAACAAAGCTGGATGGAAAATGACTTTGACAAGTTGAGAGAAGAAGGCTTCAGACGATCAAACTACTCCGAGCTAAAGGAGGAAGTTCGAACCCATGGCAAAGAAGTTAAAAACATTGAAAAAAATTTAGACGAATGGCTAACCAGAATAACCAATGCAGAGAAGTCCTTAAAGGACCTGTTGGAACTGAAAACCAAGGCGCAAGAACTACGTGACGAATGCACAAGCCTCAGTAGCTGATTCGATCAAGTGGAAGAAAGGGTATCAGTGATGGAAGATCAAATGAATGAAAGGAAGTGAGAAGAGAAGTTTAGACAAAAAAGAATAAAAAGAAATGAACAAAGCCTCCAAGAAATATGGGACTATGTGAAAAGACCAAATCTATGTCTGACTGGTGTACCCGAAAGTGACAGGGAGAATGGAACCAAGTTGGAAAACACTCTGCAGGATATTATCCAGGAGAACTTCCCCAATCTAGCAAGGCAGGCCAATATTCAAATTCAGGAAATACAGAGAATGCCACAAAGATACTCCTTGAGAAGAGCAACTCCAAGACACATAATTGTCAGATTCACCAAAGCTGAAATGAAGGAAAAAATATTAAGGGCAGCCAGAGAGAAAGGTTGGGTTACCCACAAAGGGAAGCCCATCGGACTAACAGCTGATCTCTCAGCAGAAACTATACAAGCCAGAAGAGAGTGGGGGCCAATATTCAACATTCTTAAAGAAAAGAATTTTCAACCCAGAAGTTCATATTCAGCCAAACTAAGCTTCATAAGTGAAGGAGAAATAAAATACTTTACAGACAAGCAAATGCTGAGAGATTTTGTCACCACCAGGCCTGCCCTAAAAGAGCTCCTGAAGGAAGTGCTAAACATGGAAAGGAACAACTGGTACCAGCCACTGCAAAAACATGCCAAATTGTAAAGACCATCGAGGCTAGGAAGAAACTGCATCAAGTAACGAGCAAAACAACCAGCTAACATCATAATGACAGGATCAAATTCACACATAACAATATTAACCTCAAATGTAAATGGGCTAAATGCTCCAATTAAAAGACACAGACTGGCAAATTGGATAAAGAGTCAAGACCCATCAGTGTGCTGTATTCAGGAAACCCATCTCATGTGCAGAGACACACATAGGCTCAAAATAAAGGGATGGAGAAAGATCTACCAAGCAAATGGAAAACAAAAAAAGGCAGGGGTTGCAACCCTGGTCTCTGATAAAACAGACTTTAAACCAACAAAGATCAAAAGAGACAAAGAAGGCCATTACATAATGGTGAAGGGATCAATTCAAGAAGAAGAGCTAACTATCCTAAATATATATGCACCCAATACAGGAGCAGCCAGATTCATAAAGCAAGTCCTTAGAGACCTACAAAGAGACTTAGACTCCCACACAATAATAATGGGAGACTTTAACACCCCACTGTCAACATTAGACAGATCAACGAGACAGAAAATTTACAAGGATATCCAGGAACTGAACTCAGCTCTGCACCAAGTGGACCTAATAGACATCTACAGAACTCTCCACCCCAAATCAACAGAATATACATTCTTCTCAGCACCACACCACACCTATTCCAAAATTGACCACATAGTTGGAAGTAAAGCACTCCTCAGCAAATGTAAAAGAACAGAAATTATAACAAACTGTCTCTCAGACCACAGTGCAATCAAACTAGAACTCAGGATTAAGAAACTCACTCAAAACCGCTCAACTACATGGAAACTGAACAACCTGCTCCTGAATGACTACTGGGTACATCACGAAATGAAGGCAGAAATAAAAATGTTCTTTGAAACCAATGAGAACAAAGACACAACATACCAGAATCTCTGGGTCACATTCAAAGCAGTGTGTAGAGGGAAATTTATAGCACTAAATGCCCACAAGAGAAAGCAGGAAAGATCTAAAATTGACACCCTAACATCACAATTAAAAGAACTAGAGAAGCAAGAGCAAACACATTCAAAAGCTAGCAGAAGGCAAGAAATAACTAAGATCAGAGCAGAACTGAAAGAAATAGAGACACAAAAAACCCTTCAAAAAATCAATGAATCCAGGAGCTGTTTTTTTTAAAAGATCAACAAAATTGATAGACTGCTAGCAAGACTAATAAAGAAGAAAAGAGAGAAGAATCAAATAGACGCAACAAAAAATGATAAAGGGGATATCACCACCGATCCCACAGAAATACAAACTACCATCAGAGAATACTATAAACACCTCTATGCAAATAAACTAGAAAATCTAGAAGAAATGGATAAATTCCTCGACACACACACCCTCCCAAGACTAAACCAGGAAGAAGTTGAATCTCTGAATAGACCAATAATAGGCTCTGAAATTCAGGCAATCATTAATAGCTTACCAACCAAAAAAAGTCCAGGACCAGATGGATTCACAGCCAAATTCTACCAGAGGTACAAGGAGGAGCTGGTACCATTCCTTCTGAAACTATTCCAATCAACAGAAAAAGAGGAAATCCTCCCTAACTCATTTTATGAGGCCAACATCATCCTGATACCAAAGCCTGGCAGAGACACAACAAAAAAAGAGAATTTTAGACCAATATCCCTGATGAACATTGATGCAAAAATCCTTAATAAAATACTGGCAAACCAAATCCAGCAGCACATCAAAAAGCTTATCCACCATGATCAAGTGGGCTTCATCCCTGGGATGCAAGGCTGGTTCAACATACACAAATCAATAAACGTAATCCAGCATATAAACAGAACCAAAGACAAAAACCACATGATTATCTCAATAGATGCAGAAAAGGCCTTCGACAAAATTCAACAACCCTTCATGCTAAAAACTCTCAATAAATTAGGTATTGATGGGACATATCTCAAAATAATAAGAGCTATCTATGGCAAACCCATAGCCAATATCATACTGAATGGGCAAAAACTGGAAGCATTCCCTTTGAAAACTGGCACAAGACAGGGATGCCCTCTCTCACCACTCCTATTCAACATAGTGTTGGAAGTTCTGGCCAGGGCAATCAGGCAGGAGAAGGAAATAAAGGGTATTCAATTAGGAAAAGAGGAAGTCAAATTGCCCCTGTTTGCAGATGACATGATTGTATATCTAGAAAACCCCATAGTCTCAGCCCAAAATCTCCTTAAGCTGATAAGTAACTTCAGCAAAGTCTCAGGATACAAAATCAATGTGCAAAAATCACAAGCATTCTTATAACCAATTATAAGCATTCTTAAAACCAATAACAGACAAACAGAGAGCCAAATCATGAGTGAACTCCCATTCACAATTGCTTCAAAGAGAATAAAATACCTAGGAATCCAACTTACAAGGGATGCGAAGGACCTCTTCAAGGAGAACTACAAACCACTGCTCAATGAAATAAAAGAGGATACAAACAAATGGAAGAACATTCCATGCTCATGGATAGGAAGAATCAATATCGTGAAAATGGCCATACTGCCCAAGGTAATTCATAGATTCAATGTCATCCCCATCAAGCTACCAATGACTTTCTTCACGAATCGGAAAAAACTACTTTAAAGTTCATATGGAACCAAAAAAGAGCCCGCATTGCCAAGTCAATCCTAAGCCAAAAGAACAAAGCTGGAGGCATCACGCTACCTGACTTCAAACTATACTACAAGGCTACAGTAACCAAAATAGCATGGTAATGGTACCAAAACAGAGATATAGACCAATGGAACAGAACGGAGCCCTCAGAAATAATGCCACATATCTACAATTATCTGATCTTTGACAAACCTGACAAAAACAAGAAATGGGGAAAGGATTCCCTATTTAATAAATGGTGCTGGGAAAACTGGCTAGCCATATGTAGAAAGCTGAAACTGGATCCCTTCCTTACACCTTATACAAAAATTAATTCAAGATGGATTAAAGACTTAAATGTTAGACCTAAAACCATAAAAACCCTAGAAGAAAACCTAGGCAGTACCATTCAGGACATAGGCATGGACAAGGACTTCATGTCTAAAACACCAAAAGCAATGGCAACAAAAGCCAAAATTGACAAATGGGATCTAATTAAACTAAAGAGCTTCTGCACAGCAAAAGAAACTACCATCAGAGTGAACAGGCAACCTACAGAATGGGAGAAAATTTTTGCAATTTACTCATCTGACAAAGGGCTAATATCCAGAATCTACAATGAACTCCAACAAATTTACAAGAAAAAAACAAACAACCCCATCAAAAAGTGGGCGAAGGATATGAACAGACACTTCTCAAAAGAAGACATTTATGCGGCCAAAAGACACATGAAAAAATGTTCATCATCACTGGCCATCAGAGAAATGCAAATCAAAACCACAATGAGATACCATCTCACATCAGTTAGAATGGTGATCATTAAAAAGTCAGGAAACAACAGGTGCTGGAGAGGATGTGGAGAAACAGGAACACTTTTACACTGTTGGTGGGACTGTAAACTAGTTCAACCATTGTGGAAGTCAGTGTAGCGATTCCTCAGGGATCTAGAACTAGAAATACCATTTGACCCAGCCATCCCATTACTGGGTATATACCCAAAGGAGTATAAATCATGCTGCTATAAAGACACATGCACACGTATGTTTATTTGGACACTATTCACAATAGCAAAGACTTGGAACCAACCCAAATGTCCAACAATGAAAGACTGGATTAAGAAAATGTGGCACATATACACCATGGAATACTATGCAGCCATAAAAAATGATGAGTTCATGTCCTTTGTAGGGACATGGATGAAGCTGGAAACCATCATTCTCAGCAAACTATCGCAAAGACAAAAAACCAAACGCTGCATGTTCTCACTCATAGATGGGAATTGAACAATGAGAATACATGGACACAGGAAGGGGAACATCACACACCAGGGCCTGTTGTGGGGGGCGGGGGAGGGATAGCATTAGGAGACATATCTAATGTTAAATGAAGAGTTAATGGGTGCAGCACACCAACATGGCACATGTATACATATGTAACAAACCTGCACGTTGGGCACATGTACCCTAAAACTTTAATTTAAAAAAAAGAACAAAAACAAAACGTATTTGGAAAGTTCCCAGTATAAAAAAAAAAAGAATTTTAAATTATAGTCTGTAAAAATTGTGACTAATCTCTCCCATGTGTTGAGTATATCTGTGTTACAGGAATCAATCCTAAATAGGGAGGAGCCGCTTTCTCTGACCCATTATACAGTGCTTAGACACAGTAAAGGCAGCAATGATGGTAGGAAATCTGCATTGTCAGCTACATGCCAGGCACTGTGTGAACGACACAACTCTAAGAGGTAGAACTAGAGTAGAGGATATTACTTTAGAAGGATCACATGGCGTTCACAAATGCCAGAGCCAGGATTTGCAAGTAAGCCTCACACTAAAGATGCTGTGCCCTTCTGTAAGTATGCAGGAGAAATTTCTTTTCTTGTAAGTTTTTCTCTTAAGAGGGAGGAAAAAAAGGCCTCTGGCTTGGTTTTAACCTCATATAATTCTGAATCTTCCCTCAAGGCATTAAAAAAGAAACCTCAAACCAGCTAAGCATTTGACAAATAAGCACTGCTATTTCAGCTTTGGAGACCCTCCCCAACAGCCTGAAGCCTCCTAGAACTTGGATAGCAGGTTGACTAGCTTATACTTGCTTTCCTAGGGGCTGTTATAGATCGAATGTTTGTGTCCCTCAAATTCATATGATAAAGCTCTAATCCCCAGTGTGGTTGTATTTGGACATAGGGCCTTTAAGGAGGTCATAAGGGTGGGGCCCTGACCCAACAGGATTAGTGTCCTTTAAGAAGGGATAGCAGAGGCTGGTGCATTCCTCCATGCTTGCTCTCCCTGGCTTGCCAGTGCCCTGGCATGTGCTTGTGCTCTCTCTCTCGATTTCTCTCTCTCTCTCTTTCTCTCTCGACTGTGCATGCACAGTGAGAAGGCAGCCATCTACAAGCAGGAAGGGGTCTTCACCAGAACTGAATTGGCCGACACGTTGATTTGGACTTCTAGCCTCTAGAACTGTGAGAAAATAAATTTCTGTTGTTTAAGCTGCCAAGTCTGTGGTATTTTATGGCAGTCTTGAGCTGATTAATAAAGGGGCCAACGGCTCTTAGTTTTCTGTCATGAAAAGAGAGAGAAAGAAATGGAGATAATTAGGAGAGAAGGCAGGTCATTAGGGAAAAACATGTCAAAGAAAGTTGTAATTAAGGATGTTCTCTTTCCTACCCCTCTCCCCACAGCCTTAGGCTACAAAAGACTGAACTTCCAGTTACATTTGTTAAATATGCAGTTCAGCCTTCTCAGCTACACACCTCCGGGAAGAGGTCTTACCCAGGGAACTTATTAAAGTCCAATGTTCAGGAAATCTAGCATAGGCAAATGAATAAATAAAATCCTGCAACCCTTGGGATTTTTCAGAAAGGGGTTTTTCTCACTTTCTAGGAAGTGTACAAAAGTATCCCTCTTCAATACCACGTCTCAAAGATGTGGGAGAAAAGTGAACTCTAAACAGGGTTGACAACCTCAGGGTATTTATTTTAGAGTACAAGGATAAAGGTATTTTTTTTTTGAAAAGCATTTTATCACATGAATATTTCTCTGTTCTTCAGTTTGGACACAATTGAAGCCATCACTAATACAAATTCATTATAACTTACAACTTTTAGAGCTTTGGTCTGAAAACCCTATTACACCAATTTAGAGGGTAAGAATTCACGTTTTTAAATTCTACGTGGCTTGCCTGGCACTCCTGGAGCATTCAGGGACAGCTGCTGGCATGCTGTCCGTGGGTGTACAACAGTCCTGCATCTGTGTGGGTGGGCTGTTATGAGAGCTAGCCCACCAGGAGAAGGAGGAGGAGGAGGACAGCAGCACCTGCTTGTTTTTTTTAGAGCATGGCCAGAGAGTTTAGCAACAAAAAGAACATTCTTAGTTGTAGCCTTCTTGTCTTTCTAGGGTAAAACAAAAACCTTTGAAAATTCCACCCCACCCTTACTTTATCTTTAAATAGGAATGGCAAGCTTGACTGCTAAAATCAGTCTAAAGTCTTTGCTGAAACAGGTTACACAATCAGCACAATTGGGAATTCTCTGGTGAAAGAATAAATTAGAAGCTCTCAGCTGGGCGCAGTGGCTCAAGCCTGTAATCCCAGCACTTTGGGAGGCTGAGGTGGGCAGATTGCTTGAGCTCAGGAGTTCAAGACCAGCCTGGGCAACATGGGAAACCCCCGTATCTACTAAAAATACAAAAATTAGCCAGGTGTGATGGTGTGCTTCTGTAGTCCCAGCTACTCAGGAGGCTGAAGTGGGGAAGATGAGCCCAGGGAGGTTGAGGCTGCAGTGAGCCGTGATGGCACCACTGCACTCTAAGCCTGGGTCATGGACTGAGACCCTGTTTCAAGAAAAAAAAAAAAAAAAAGCTCACATAGGATTTTAGTGGAATACCTACTTAACCCAGCTATGGTATGTTTTATATATCATATATACGGAATGTTTTATATATCGTATATATGGTATGTTTTATATATCATATATATACTTTCTGTCAAAGCTTTTGTCTAGAATGTCCCAGGTAATCAACACAGAGTGAAATGAGGGATTCTGTAAAAAATCAAGGGCACTGAGATGAGGGTAGAAATACACAGTGTCCATAGCAGAGTTTTAACATTCTATTGTTGAAAAACGAGTGATATAAGGTATCCTGGCTGGTATCCTAGTGTGTAAGACACATAAGAACCATGGAGGACATGGAGCTAGTAAAGAGCCCCTCAGAGTGATTTCCCTATACTTCAGAAGATAATTTAGTTAGAAAAGCAAAGGGGAAAAACATTCCAGTTTGCTTGGCCACAGAGGTAGTCTGAAAGAGGTTTGAACTGGGCTGTTCCATCTACATGCTATAGTACCAGATGAGCAACATGGTGTATGCTTCCCATACATCATTGAAAATTCTTCCCAAGTCAAAGGCAGGAATTAATAGGATGCAGAAAAGATGGTCTCAATAATTCTGTAACTGTGGCTGCCATTTTAGGTTAATACAGAGTGGCTGTCTCAAAAATGTATCAAGAGCCACTCTGGGTCTTTTTATGTCTACCAAAAAAAAAAAAAAGTCCCCAAACAGATTGTTAACCCCTGACACCTACATCAGTGGATCAGTGTTCTTGCCAGAAGCAAAACTAATACCAACACGTCTAAGCTGCCCTCTTCTAACGTCTACTAACAAGGTCACTCTTGCAGAGCTACCAGAAGTTACCACTATTCAATGAAAATACAACTTTAAAAATGACTTCAGACCCATGGTGTTGTTTACAAATCACATTCCCAGAGTCTTTTCTGGAAGCCACCATTTCCCAAATTGCCTCTAGCAGTATGCTTTTTATTCTTGGCTATTCCTCTATGGAATTTAATAAATATTCATCAACAGAGCACAGCACAATTCATTCAGCCACTTTCATTTTTATCAGTTCCACAGAAGGCGTTAGACTTTGCTGGAAACCTCCGGGAGATGCCAGTGGTTGACAATAAGAAGCTTTTGTGAGGTCCTTGGGGAGACGGGTGGAGAAGAGAAAATAAGGTTAATATCTGTTATCATAAGCCACTTCCTGAACCTTATCAGGAGTTATACACCACTGTGAGCATCAACAGTGTGCATGCATGTGGCTGTTCTGTGATAAACTATAAAAGATCCAATATATTTTTTAAATGAATGGTTAGGAATCAAGTTAATTCACAGTGATTTATCAGACAGGAATCATTTAATATGTCAAATCAATTCTTATGTACTACTTAAGTCTGATTGCATATTTTAGCACTCATTTAGTTTCAGATTATCCATCAGCATGGATTATTCAGACTCTGAAAGAAAAAATGATTTTGATGTATTTTTTGAGCCTTCAAAATGACATACGTACAGAACACTTCCTAAGTAATAAATTTTATAGTTACTTATAATGATAAACACCATTTTTTCCATATAAGATCTGAGTTCAGCTATTAATTTTACAGTCTTTTGGAAACATACAAACACACTACCAACACACAAAAAATCTTGATATATTTCCAACAAGTTGTTTATGAACAGTTGAAACTCTCTTATAGTTTTCTGAAATGCCAGTCAAAACACCTTTTCGAAAAGAAGTGATATCTGCTGATGAGTTTACAAATATCATTTAAGAAATATAGTACTTCTGGCATTCTGATGTTTGTATTTTTCTTGCATGCCTCTACTATTTGTTCGCTAAATTTAGTCTACATTGGCTTTGACCAGATTTTTGGCTTTTTCGTTTTTCTACTTACTGGGATGCCTGTGAAAGTGACCGGAGGAGATTGCCAGGAAATGCTGAAGCTGCTGCCATTGGGGGTGAACTTGGCCGATCCTGGAATGGTCACAGGGGGTGTGGCCTGTCAAATAAAAAACAGAGAAAGCTGTTATGAAGGAATATTTTCCTTCGGAGCTTTAAGCTCTTATTACCAAAGGAGGACCTCAGAAATGGTCTCAGCTATATTAATAACTTGGACTAATTATCTAATAGGAAGAGATTAAACAAGGTTAAAGGGAGTAGCCAGAAATAAACTTTGTATATATACCTAAGCAAGCTATCTAAGGTATAAAAAGAGATGGTTTTTGACTGTTGATTTCTGAAAAGAAATTTTATTATATGTACATATACCTATTTTAGGATACCTGTGAGGTAGAATTCTTCACTATAAAATTGGGGAATACACCCTGCTATACTGTGAGGGTGGGTGTGAACTAGTACAATGTTCTTGGAAGGTAATTTGACAATACATATAAAAATTCTTAGCATTCTCTGTGTTAGCTATTCCACTCTAGGCATTCATTCTAAAGAAATGTACGCAAGAATGTTCCTTGCACAACTATATATTATAAAAAACAATTGGGGCTGGGCGTGGTGGCTCATGCCTGTAATCCCAGCACTTAAGAGTCAGAAGCAGGAGGATCGCTTGAGCCCAGAGTTTGAGACCAGCGAGGGCAACACAGTGAGACTTCGTCTCTACTAAAATTAAAAAAAATTAGCCAGGGGTGGTGGAGTGTATCTGTAGTTCTAGCTACTTTGGAGATGGAGGCAGGAAGATTATGTGAGCCCAGGAGTTCGAGGTTGCAGTGAACTATGATCATGCCACTGCACTCCAGCCTGACAACAGAGTGAAATCTTGTCTCAAAAAAAAAAAAAAAAACCTGGAAATAACACAAATGCCCAGTAATAGGGAAAAAGGTAAATAAATCATGATATACCTACAGAGTAATTCAAAATGTTGTTAAAATGGCATAAAAACAGACACATATACCAATGGAGCAAAACAGGGAACCAAGAAATAAGTCCACATATTTACAACCAACTGATTTTTGACCAAGGCGATGAGAACATACACTGGGGAAAGGACATCCTCTTCAATAAATGCTGCTGGGAAAACTGGATATCCACGTGCAGAAACATGAAACTAGACCCCTAGCTCTTGTCATTTACAAACATCCACTCAAAATGGATTAAAAACTTAAATGTAAGATCCTAAACTATAAAACTACTGGAAGAAAACACAAGAAAAACACTCTAGGACATGGGCCCAGGCAAATATTTTTATGGCTAAGACTTCAAAAGCACAAGAAACAAACAAACAAACAAAATAGACAAATGTGACTATATTAAACTAAAAAGCTTCTGCACGGCACAAGAAACAATCAACAGCGTGAAGAGCAACCTGTTGAATGTGAGAAAATATCCACAAACTATTCATCTGACAAGAGACTACTATCCAGAATATACAATGAATTCAAACAACTCAATAGCAAAAACCAAATAATTCCATTAAAAAGTGGGCAAAGGACCTGAATAAAAATTTTTCAAAAGCACACATACAAATGACCAATAGGTACATGAAAAAATGCTCAACGTCACTAATATCAGAAAAATGTGTATCAAAACCACAATGAAGTATCGTCTCACCCTAGTTAGATTGGCTATTATTAAAAAGACAAAAAATAACAGATGCTGGTGAGGAAGCAGAGAAAAGGGATCTTTTATATACTGTTGGTAAGAATGTAAATTAATACACCTATTATGGAAAACAGTATGGAGATTTCTCAAAATCTAAAAACAGAACTACCATATAATCCAGCAATCTCACTACTGGGTATTTATCTAAAGGAAAGGAAATCAGCCTATCAAAGGGACACCTGCACTCTCATGTTTATTGCAGCACTATTCACAATAGCAAAGATAATATGGAATCAACCTAAGTGTCCATCAACAGATGAAGTGTCAAAATGTGGTAAGAACACAATGGAGTACTATTCAGCCATTAAAAAGAATGATATCCTGTCATTTTCAGCCATATGAATGGAACTAGAGGTCACTATGTAAGTGAAATAAGCTAGGCACTTGAAGATAAACATCACATGTTCTCACTCATATGTGGGAAATACAATAATTGATGTCATGGAGGTAGAGAATAAAATGATAGTTACAGGAGATGGGGAAGGGTGTGATGGGACAAGGTAGGGAGAGATGTTGGTTAGTAGGTACAAACATACAGTTAGATAGAAAGAATGAGTACTAATGTTTGATAGCAGAGTAGGATGGCTATAGCTAACAACAATGTATTTTATATTTCAAAATACCTAGAAGAGAGGACTGGAAATGTTCCCAACACACAGAAATGATAAATACACAAGGCGATTAATATTCAAAATACCCTGACTTGACTGTTACACATCCTATGCATATAACAAAATGTTCTGTGTACCCCACAAATACGTATAAATATTAGGCATCAATTTTTAAAATACTGTTGTTGAAGAAGATTCATTGGCATGGGAAAATGTTCATGATATATTAAATAGAAAAAATAAAATACAGTAAAAACAGTTCTGCAACAGATCCCTTTTAAAAACTGCAAATGTATAAACACAGAACAAAGTCTTGAAGTACATACAAAAAATATTAACTAAGGTTTGGAATTAGGGATGAATTTTCTTTCTTTACTGTGTTTAATATTTTCTATGCTGAACATTTATAATTTCTATAAACAGAAAAGTCTCAATATTTCTAAGTTTATGCTTTGGGAAGGACCTTGTAGATCAACTAGTGTGTGTTCCAACTCTCTCATTATATAGATGAGCAAAATGATTTAACTAAGTTAGTACCCAGGATTTCTGACCTAAGTGAAACAGTGATAAATGAAGATGAATGAATTATTCGTTTTGACCAACATAATAAGAGTCAGGAATGAAATTTATTACACTAACTAATTCAAATATTAGCTCTATTCAATTACTCTTGAGTTTAAGTCTGCTAAATAAGTGGCTAAATTTTTCCTCTATAGGTGTAATTTTCTAATTACAAATATATTTGCTAGTGGCAGTGGCTTTGTACTTGGTACCACTGGAAAGCATTCTGGCAATACATAGTAAGAGCCATAAACTGTTCCCTCATATTACATCCTCGGACTCAATAATTATTCTTCTGAGAATTTAAACAAAAAACAAAACACAGCAGGCACAGAGATGTTTACAGTGGAGTTATTAATGACGAAAAAACAGGATAGATTAAAAAGTAAATACCTAACAATAAGAATGATTAAAACAATTTGGTGTTTCAATTTAATTGGATATTATTTAGTTACATGAAAAGTTTTTATAAAACAAGGGTGGGAGAACATAATTACAAGTATGTAAAGGAGATTTTAAAAAGTTGAATAAGGTAGTTGAGAATTATGTGAAAAATATTTTCTTAAAATTTGAATGTATTAACATTGTATAAAAACAAATCAACATTTAAAAGAATTAATGGCCAGGCATGGTGGCTCAAGCCTATAATCCTAGCATGTTGGGAGGCCAACATGGGAGGACTGCTTGAAGACAGGAGTTCGAGACCAGCCTGGGCAATGTAGTGAGAGCTCGTCTCTACAAAAAATTTAAAAAATTAGCTGGATGTGGTAGTGCACACCTGTAGTCCCAGCTGCTTGGGAAGCTGAGGCAGGAGGATTGCTTGAGCCCAGGAGTTCGAGGCTGCAGTGAATTGCACTCCAGCCTGAGAGAAAGATAGAGACCCTGTCTCAAAAAAAAAAAAAAAAAGTAACTTCTGGCAGGAAAAAAGGGAGTTTTACCCATGTCCTAAATTTGCAGGATTTGTCCCTAAGGTCTTCTCAGACTTTAGCATGACTCAGGATTCCCTGGAGGGCCTGTTAAAACAGAATGCAGGGTTGGTGGGGGGCACAGAGGAGGGTGTGGAAGAGGGGTGGTCCCAAGAATTTTCATTTCTAACAAGTTCCCAGGTGATGCTGGCACTGTTGATTTGGGGAACATTGAGAACGACTACTCTAATCTGAAATGCTTAATTATCCATTTAGAAGGCAGGGCATGAAGTCCCGGATTTGGAGTGTGATTCTGCCACTGTGCCAAAGCTTTCCAATGCTTACATTTTATTTATTTTTTTGAGACAGGGTCTTACTCTGTCACCCAGGCTGGAGTGCAGTGCCATGATCACAGCTCACTGCAGCCTCAAACTCCCTGGGCTCAGGTGATCCTCCCACACCTCAGCCTCCCAAGTAGCTGGGACTACAGGTACGCACCACCATGCCTGGCTAATTTTTGTATTTTTTGTAGATATGGGGGTCTCACCATGTTGCCCACGCTGGTCTCGAACTCCTGAGTTCAAGCAATCCACTTGCCTCAGCCTCCCAAAGTTCTGGGATTACAGGTGTGAGCCACTGTGCCCGGCCTTATTTTTTTTTTAAACAGATACTTATGTAATGTGCCAGGCACCATTTTGAGGGCTTTGCAACATTAGGGATTTTTTTTGTTTTTGAAACAGAGTCTCGCTCTGTCGCCAGGCTGGAGTACAGTGGTGCGATCTTGGCTCACTGCAACCTCCGTCTCTCGGGTTCAAGCAATTCTCCCGCCTCAGCCTCCCAAGTAGCTGGGACTACAGGCACACGCCACCATGCCCAGATAACATTAGGGATTTTTTTTTTTTTTTTTTGAGACAGAGTTTTTCTTGTTGCCCAGGCTGGAGTGCAATGGTGGGATCTCGGCTCACCGCAACCTCTGCCTCCTGGGTTCAAGTGATTCTCCTGCCTCAGCCTCCTCAGTAGCTGGGATTACAGGCATGTGCCACCACACCCAGCTAATTTTGTATTTTTAGTAGAGATGGGGTTTCACCATGTTGGTCAGGCTGGTCTCGAACTCCCGACCTCAGGTGATCCGCCCGCCTCAGCCTCCCAGAGTGTTTGGGATTACAGGCGTGAGCCACTGTGCCCAAGGGATTTTTATCATCATAACAATCTCTACGGGATCGAATCCACAGGCAGCATTGGGCAATCTGAGACTAGACCATAGGACCCTATCTGTGTGAGATCTTAGGCTTTAAAGGGAGAAAAATCAAAGCTACCGGGCTGCCGTGTGTGATGCTGTTTTTCCACTGAGTTGTCTTTTACTCATAGGCCAGATGGCCCCTGGTTTTGGTCAAGGTCAAAGTGATTGCTCTCACAGTCCCCTGCAAGTCACCTGGTAAGCATGGTCAGTGTGCACGAGGTAGAGGGTGGTGGGAGCTGAGCGGCTCAACGGCGTCATCAACTTAGTCTCCGTTTTGGCACAAGGAGTTTCTGTTCGGCTTGAATCTGGGATGGGGAAAGTAGGAGGTGAAGCCAGGGACTGGGAAGGTGAGACCGGGGCCAGGCTGCTCAGCCCGTCTGCCACTGAGTCTGTGTTGAGCTTGATCTCAGTGTAGTAAAAGTCCTCTTCTCCATCACTGTAGTCAGAGTCTCCAACGCGCCTAATGCAAAAGAGAGTAAAACAATCATACTAAGCCAATCTGTTTTCTTGCCTTGAAATCTTGCACATGCATTTCCCCTCTGTCTGGAATGCTTTTCCTCCCTCTTGTTTGCCTTGCAAACTCTTCCTTATCCTGCAGCACTCAGTTCAACTGTCCACTTCCAGGGAACCCTTCCTTGATGTCTTAAAGCAATTCATTAATTCATTCACTCATTCAATCAATTATTCAACAACGATTTATTGAGAATCTAATATGTTCAGGCACTGTTCCAGGGTCTCCTGATAACACAGTGAATAAAATATAGACTCCGCCCTGATGGAACTTATAGTGGGAACTTACAGGCAGACAAGAAACCCCTAAAGAAACAGATATTAAGTGGAAGCTAAATAATGTGTATACATGGACACAGAAAGTGAAATAATAGACATTAGAGACTTCGAAACGGGGAGGGTGGGAGGGAGGTGAGGGATGAGAAATGACTTAAGGGGTACCACGTTCACTATTTGGATGCTGGTTACACTAAAAGCCCAGGCTTTATCACTGTGCAACACAGCCATGTAACAAAACTGCACTTGTACCCCCCCATTCAACCTCTGAAAACAGAGATTTAAAAAATTAAAAAATAATTTAAAAAATAGATATTTAATATATCAGGTGTTACTAAGTCCCAGAAAGAAAAATTCAACAGCATAACAGTGTTGTTAAGCAGGATTAGTAATGCGGGCACTATTTTATTTTATTTTATTTTATTTTTTTTTCATGATTGTAAGTTTCCTGAGACCTCCTCAGCCATACTTCCTGCACAGCCTGTGAACCATGAGCCAATTAAACCTTTTTTCTTTATAAATTACCCAGTCTCAGATAGTTCTTTATTTTTTATTTATTTATTTTTTTATTATACTTTAAGTTTTAGGGTACATGTGCACATTGTGCAGGTTAGTTACATATGTATACATGTGCCGTGCTGGTGCGCTGCACCCACTAACTCGTCATCTAGCATTAGGTATATCTCCCAACGCTATCCCTTCCCCCGCCCCCCACCCCACCACAGTCCCCAGAGTGTGATATTCCCCTTCCTGTGTCCATGTGATCTCATTGTTCAATTCCCACCTATGAGTGAGAATATGCAGTGTTTGGTTTTTTGTTCTTGCGATAGTTTACTGAGAATGATGATTTCCAATTTCATCCATGTCCCTACAAAGGACATGAACTCATCATTTTTTATGGCTGCATAGTATTCCATGGTGTATATGTGCCACATTTTCTTAATCCAGTCTATCATTGTTGGACATTTGGGTTTATTCCAAGTCTTTGCTATTGTGAATAATGCCGCAATAAACATACGTGTGCATGTGTCTTTATAGCAGCATGATTTATAGTCATTTGGGTATATACCCAGTAATGGGATGGCTGGGTCAAATGGTATTTCTAGTTCTAGATCCCTGAGGAATCGCCACACTGACTTCCACAATGGTTGAACTAGTTTACAGTCCCACCAACAGTGTAAAAGTGTTCCTGTTTCTCCACATCCTCTCCAGCACCTGTTGTTTCCTGACTCTTTAATGACTGCCATTCTAACTGGTGTGAGATGGTATCTCATTGTGGTTTTGATTTGCATTTCTCTGATGGCCAGTGATGATGAGCATTTTTTCATGTGTTTTTTGGCTGCATAAATGTCTTCTTTTGAGAAGTGTCTGTTCATGTCCTTCGCCCACTTTTTGATGGGGTTGTTTGTTTTTTTCTTGTAAATTTGTTGGAGTTCATTGTAGATTCTGGATATTAGCCCTTTGTCAGATGAGTAGGTTGCGAAAATTTTCTCCCATTTTGTAGGTTGCCTGTTCACTCTGATGGTAGTTTCTTTTGCTGTGCAGAAGCTCTTTATTTTAATTAGATCCCATTTGTCAATTTTGTCTTTTAAAGAGAGTGGCCAGAGGAAGCCTCTCTGAGGAGGTGACGTTTGAGTAGAGACCTGCCTGGAGGAAGTGAGGGAGACACCATGCTGGCACCCGCAGTGAGAACACACCAGGGAGAAGTGACACACAGCTCTCAAGTGGGTGGGCCTGGCAGAGAGGCCAGAGGCTGGAGCTCGGGACCCCAGGGAGTGACGGGAGGAGTGAGAACAGGGCAGAGGCAAGGTCATCCAGGGCCTGCAGCCCACGGCGATGGCTTTGGCTTGCATTCTGAATGTGGTGGAAGCCACTGGGGGTTTTCAGAACTCTAACTTAATTTTAAAAGGATCACTCTGGATACTGTCTGGGAAATAGAGGACAGGAAGACAAAAGCAAAAGCAGACGCCACCAAGGAGCTGTTGTCAGCAATATTCCAGATGAGCAGGACAGGCAAGCAGTGCAAGGGCTGAGACGTTAAGTCCTGGGTGTATTCTGAAGGTTGGGAGTTAGGACTTCACTCCTAACTGTTAGTGCTCTGTGCTCCCTCTGAAGTGTGTTTACTCATCGTTTTGTTAATCACTGGCTACCTGTCTGTATTTTGTTAAACCTCTTTGTCGCTTCACTATGACTGATTCTCTAGGGATGTGTTTTGTTCATCATGTGTCACTCCACACACATCGGTGTATTTGGCAGAGGGTAGGTACCTAGCAAATGTTGCCTGAATGAATGAGTGAATGAATGGAGCTGACGTTGTTGTGGCACAGTGATTAAGAGAATGGATTCTGAGGTTAGACTTCCTAGGTTCAAACCCTGACTCCTACACATTCTAGTTGTGTGCATGATTTTGGTGGCCTACATATAGCCCCCGTTCCTCAGTTTCTCCACTTATAAAATGGGGATCATTAATTATAGTACCAGATTTTGTGATGATTAAGCTAATAAATATAGGGTGCTTAGAAGCAGATCTTACACAATATAAACACTACGTAAAATGCTTATTAAATAAAAAGAAAGATGATGTTAGAAGGTCTCAATTTTCACCATCACCAGGAAAAGTAGCTTCTTAGGTGTTTTCAAAGTTCCTCTCCCTGAAACATAGAACATTATACTTTTCCACAGAAAGTTTTGAGTAAAATAAAATAACTCCCTATAATGTCAGAAAATGTTTATTAGATAATTTGTGAGTTTGTAGAGAAGTGGTGCTTCTCTTCTCTAGAAACCTGGCTTTGGGGATGGCTGGGCAGAGGCCACGGGTGTCCCCTCACTGCAGCAGCAGCAGCAGATCCCTGACTCGGAACATACCTTTTCCCCACTAATGAGCCCTGCATAGAATCTAACATAAAATCCATGCCTCACCTCTTCACAGGCCTGTCTTTTTGTTCAAATCAGTGGCTTGTCCCAGCCTAGCTCCATTTCCCCTGAGCTCCCAGGCTGAGGCGCCTGGGGAGGTGTCTTTGTACCGTATCAGGTCTGGCAGGGCTTGGCCTTGTGACCAGCATACCATTAAAGACCCCAGAGAGTGGGAAGAAGAACGAGCATCTGTTCTATTCCTGTCCCCACTTCCTTTTCAGTTAAAGGCAGGTTGAGCTGCTGCTGGCTGCCAAGTGCTGCTAATAGACACATAGGCCTGGGGGACACTGCGTGTCCCACGTGGGGTTAAATCAGGACCAGCCCCTGGTGTACAAGAATGGAGTGAGATTGAAAAGTGTGTGCTTTTTATACAGGCATGGTGTGTACTGCAGACACATCAGAGGTGACGGCATATTTTCTTCTGGCTTTGACACGTTTCCCTCCTCATCCCCTCACCAGCTAATACTCATTAAAAATGCCCCATCATCCTACAGCCATGTAATTGAGTTCATGGATAAAGGCAAATGTATGTTCCCTCTCCCAGTGCATCAGAGAGCACAGGCCCCGGGCTTCATAAGCATAGATTAGCCTCAGAGTCCTGCTAACCCAGGCCCATTCCTGTACGGTGCCTGGCAGGGCTATGAACCATAATTCACCAGGGAAATTCTAAAAGCACATCAGGAAAAAGGGGATCCCAGGAAAGCAAAGTGGTTGCATGTTAGATTCCACCCACTGTGAGAGCACCCCAGGAACTCACAGGACTAACACGTGATACCAATTCCAGGGTCTATAAATACATATAAACAGCATATGCTTCTGATGGGACCGAATAGGACTCAATTTTCTGGGCAGACAGACTTTAAAACAAATACCCTACCTCCTGGCTCTAGCTTTGGGAAGTTCTTTCTAAACCTTTAAAAAAACTGAGCTGCTTACATTGTGAATTGTCTTGACGATGAGATTTCAGGGGAGACACTGCAGGATTTCCTTCCCTGAAGGCTTGAGGAGCAGAAGGAGGGTGTTCTTCCCTGAGGTATTTCAATTGGTATTTCTTACACATAAGGTAGACTCTGGCCAGGGAAGCCTTACCAGGTCCTATCTCCAGTGCTCTCCAGGCCATATGCTCTGGAAGGCTCTGGTGTGTCCCCAAACATCAGCCTGGATGATTAGAGAGCTAGATCCCTGTTTCTCTCCATGGTCACTATGGAGCCACCCTCATAGATTACCTTAGAAGCTATTTTCACCTTCTGCCTATATCACTTGTTGGGCATGAAGCATTTTCTAAATGTATCCCTTGCTGGGTAAAGTGACTGCTGCATTTATTTCTCTGCACTTATCTTGTGGAAAGGACTCCTCTGTGTCCAAGCACACAGGAGCCTGGCCGTGCATTTGTGTTTGCCTTATGAACACTGGTTCTGACTTACAGCCTCTCAAGGTCCCTTCTCAGATCCCTGGGCAAGATAGACTCAGGGCAAAAAGCACAAGACTGACGGAATACCACTGCCCCCCTGGGGTGACCTGTAACTGCTATGGCTCCTAAACCTTCATTTTATCTTTCCTTTAGAAGGCTGTTATATAATGAGGAAAAGTACAGATTTTACAAATAAATGGCTTATCTGAGCAACAGAAAGTGATTTCGTAAGAACAGCAACAGCAGCATCGATTGGTGTGGTGACTCTTGAACTCTTTTTAGGCTATATATGCTTGTGAGGCTTAAAGTCATGAATACTCTCCACTGGAAAATAAATGTACATTTCATTCCACAGGTAATTTCAGTGGGTTCAAGGACCCCTTGAAGTCCAATCACAGATTCCAGGTTACTCTAGTGTTTTGTACTTTAAAGTCTCTCTCACATACATTTTATCTTTGGCACTCACACTTGACCCTGAAGAGCTGACATTATTATAAATTTCCATAGGGAACTGGGGCTCAGGGCAGCAGCTTGCCTAAAGTGACTCAGTAAGTGAACTAATGAGGCTCTAGGATGTTATATCCTTGTTCTTTCCACTGTGCCATATTGGCTTAGATGATCTGCAGTGGCCATCTCTCTAGAGATTAGGAAGACCAAGCCAGCCCAGTGTCCAGAACCTTTAAGGCACAGTGTGGTGTGCAATTTCTGAGTGCGGGTGGCCCTAGACTGAGCAGATGGGGGCTGCATCCCTGAAGAGAGAGCTGCCTTACCCCAGATGGATGGTTCGGATGTGTTTCTGGATACCTGCTGCAGTGCTCAGCACCTTCCCACAGTTTTTCCAGAGGCATTTGAACATCACCTTCATGGAATTCTGTAAAGGGGAGAGAGTGATATTAGAATGGAAACTATTTTCTAACAACATTTTCTTTATGTCATCCCAACATATTTTTTTCCTTCATTAGAAAAGTAGCAGCATCCCCAGCCTCTTGACTATAACTCAGCACACTATTGTAGGCATCCCTAGGTTTGTGAGTATCTTGGTGACCTCAGTTATTTCCTCATATCCTTCAAGAGAAATGGGCTCTGCTGGAATATTTCAGATCATGTTCATGAAGGTAGTCACAGGGCCATTCTGGCTGTCTAAACAGTGGATAACATTCACTGAGCACTTACTATGTGCCAGGTGCTGTCTTAAGTGTTTATCTCCTTTAATCCTAAAAGACAGATACTAATATTAATCTCCATTTTACAGACGCATAGAAAGCTCCATAAAAAGTGTCCAGTCAATGAACCAGCTACTGGCAAAGTTGAAATACGAATCCAGGGACTCTGGCTCCAGAAACCATCCCCTCCACCAGTACAAAATTCCACCTCTTCAACAAGGGTCACAGTATTTTCTTTTCCTTTTTTTTCAGAGATGGGTCCCACTCTGTCACCCAGGCTGGAGTGCAGCGGCACAATCTTGGATCACTGCAGCCTCCGCCTCCTGGGCTCAAGAGATCCTCCCACGTTAGCCTCCCAAGTAGTTGGGACCATAGGTACATGCCACCATGCCTAGCTAATTTTTTGTATTTTTGGTAAAGACAGGGTTTTGCCATGTTGCCCAGGCTGCGGCAATATTTTCTAAAACAGTCCAGTGCCATGATTGAGAGCACTGATTTTGGGCTTATTTCTTGAGTTCTCAGTGCTCTTATTTATAAAATAGGAATAATAACAGTACCTGTTTCACAGCATTATTATGAGGATTAAATGACATCATGGAAGTGAATCAGTTAGCAGAATGCTGACAGGAATAACCATTCAACCAACAGCAGCTATTACAGGATTATTATGATTATGCATCCTAGAGTAAATTTTATAGAAAGTGAGTTTTCTCCAGGGAGGTCCCTTGTCCTTGGGATGCCACCTCTTTGCTGACTGTTCCCTTGGGTATGGTGACAGTCACTTCCATGTGTTCACCAAGCCCCATTTCCTTTTCCTGCTGGGTACACAGCTAGACCTTGATTCCCAGACTCCCTTGCAGTCAAATGGGATCACATCACTGAATTAGGGCTGATGGATGAGAAGTGACACACATTCCTTCTAAGCCTTGCCCCTCAACTACTTCCCAGTGTCACCCCCAGTCTGCTCTGCTGGCTAGATGCAAAGGACACAAAGGTCTTAGGGTATAGCAAAACCACCAGATCAGAGTTCTTAATTTTTTGTTTGCCATGAACCCTTTTGGCAGTCTGGTGAAACCTACGAATCCTTCTCAGAATAGTGGTTTTTAATGTTTAAAATAAAATACACAAAATTATAAAGAAATGCAAGTGTATTGAAATACAGCTAGAAAAAAACATTAAATATTTTGTAACCCCATTAAAAAGTGGTCAAAGGACATGAACAGACATTTCTCAAAGAAGACATACAAGTGGCCAAAAAAATAGGAAAAAGACGCTCAATATCACTAATCATCAGAGAAATGCAAATGAAAACCACAATGAGATACCATCTCACACCAGTCAGAATGGCTATTACCAAAATGTCAAAAAATAATACATGCTGGCGAGGCTGCAGAGAAACGAGGATGCATATACACTGGTGACGGGAGTGTGAATTAGTTCAGCCACTGTGGAAGGCAGTTTGGAGATTTCTCAAAGAACTAAAAATAGAAGTACCATTCGACCCAGCAATCCCATTACTGGGTGTATACCCAAAGGAAAATGAATCATTCTACCAAAAAGACCCATGTACTTGTATGTTCATCGCAGCACTATTCACAGTAGCAAAGACATGGAATCAACCTAGGTGTCAGTGTAATGAATAAATAAAATGTGTTACACATACATCATGGAGTACTACAAAGCCATGAAAAAGAATGAAATTATGTCCCTTGCAGCAAAATGGACGCAGCTGGAGGCCATTATCCTAAGTGAATTGATGCGGAAACAGAAAAGCAAATACTGCATGCTCTCACTTCTAAGTGGGAGCTAAACGATGGGTCCACATGGACATAAAGATGGAAATAACAGACACTGGGGACTACTAGAGGAGGGAAATAGGGAGTGGGGTAAGTGTTGAAAAACTATCTATTGGGTACTATGTTCACTACCTGGGTGATAGGCTCAATTGTATCCCAAACCCCAGCATCACGCAATATACCCATGTAACGAACCTGCATAGGTACCCTGAATCTAAAATAAAAGTTGAACTTAAAAAAAAAAAATTTTGTAATACGGCAATATGCATACTCTCTAATTAACGTAGTAAATAACAATACC
Source organism: Homo sapiens (assembly GCF_000001405.40). Lineage (NCBI taxonomy): Eukaryota > Metazoa > Chordata > Mammalia > Primates > Hominidae > Homo > Homo sapiens. The sequence goes on from NC_000008.11 coordinate 80,672,993, forward strand.
TTGAAGTGGGCCTAATGCCTACCATAATTTTAAAGTAGTGTTATGAATAAATGATATTTCATGATATCTACTAAAATTGTAATGTGATATGAAACATCTATGATTTTGATGGGTATTAAAGTCACAGGTGGTGCTAACATTATTATGGCTTCATGCCTTAAATCATAATTACAGGAAATGTTAAATTATGGTTAAGAGGTTGGTGAAAATAAAGATACACTTTTTCCCCCATGCAGGTTCACCGACTTCCTGGATTCTGTGTATCCATTTGGGGATCTGTGGATTCCAGGTTAAGAAGGTCTGCACTAGAAGGAAGAAGCCTGGATCCCCAGAGGGCTGTTTGGAGCGAAGACATCCACCCTCTTCGGAACCTCCACTGACCTGACTGGATTGTGACATGAGAATAAACAAACGTTTATTGTGTTAAGCTACTGACATGTGAGAAAAATGGGTTGTTCCAATAGTAAGCCCACCCTGACCAACACATACAGCAGTGGTGGCATCTTTCCCAAACTGATGGAACTGATGTAGCTTGATTTATGTGCCTGCTAGAATATCTGCCATCAAGTACTTCTGGTTCACACCATCATACTCTTGAGTCTATGAAGCAATCATTCACATATTTAGAAGACGACTCATCAGCTATTACTGATGGAATCAGTATCCAGATGATTTATCTGGACAGCCACCCCATGCTGAAGATTTTCCATAGGTTTCTGAATTGAAAATGGTACTTGGGAGCTTCCAGAATTGAAGAGTGCTCATGTGTTGGTGAATGGTTGCCTTAAGCATGGCAAGCAGAGGACAAATGTGGCAGCACATTGCAGCAGTCTGCTAGAGCAGATTACCAACCACGGAAGGAGCCCACTGTTCACATGGGCTTCGTGAGCCCAGGGCCCACTGTGCCCCAGAGGCTCTGCCTGGGTGGCCAGCATTCACAGCACAGCAATCTTGCTGTTTCTTCTGCAGCTCCTGGGCACACACACCCAGCTCCATGATGTTCTACCTGCAGTGTGCAGTGCTGGGCGTAGGACCCAGAGCTACATGAGTTACAGCTGAAGCTCTTTGAGGGACGTGAAAATGCGGAGAAGCAAAGACACAATTAGGAGACTTTAAGTACATGATCCTTATGAGCCTGTATTTATTCCAAGGAGACGGTTCACAAATTTCAGCCTTCCTGACCTCCTTGGGCCAGTGATCTAAACACATGAAATGTAAGATGCGCCAGATGGGGCGATTTAAATCCCACCTTCAAACCTGCTAGGTTCACAAAAAGGAATTCTGCAGAATTCAAAATACTATTTTATTCAAAGCATATAACTTAACAATACTGTCTTAGTCCATTTTGCATTGCCATAAAAGAATACCTGATGCTGGGTATAAAGAAAAGAGGTTTATTTAGGTAGTGGTTCTGCAGGCTGCATATGAAGCATGGCGCCAGCACCTGCTCAGGTTCTGGTGAGGGTTTTTGTGTTGAGTTAAATCATAGTGGAGGTCAAAGGTGATGCAGGAATATGCCAAGAGGGATCTAACCCAAGGGGTGTTCTGGCTTTACAACAACCCACTCTCCAGGGAACTAATCCATTCTCTCAAAAACCAATCCAGTCTCATGAGAGTGAGACTCTCATGCCATGTGAGAATGGCACCACGCCATTCAAGAGGGATGCACCCCAATGACCCAAACACCTCCCACTAGGCCCCACCTCCCAACACCCCTATGCTGGGGATCAAATTCCAACATGAGATTTTGGTGGAGGTAAATGAACCATATCAAACTATGGCAAACATTAATGAACAAGTCCTCACACTACAAATGCTTCCTGCCCATTTTTCAAATGATGAAGCTATATTGTAGAAAATATCTTCCACTTAAGAGAACCAATGACTCAAGCAAAAATACACGTACCCAACAGTCCAAGTATCTGTCTGGAAATGAAGTCATGATAGATGAAAACACTTTTTGATTCATTCCTAACCTTTTTGCTGATGGCATTCTTTCATTCATTAAACCAAATATCTATTTAGCAAGGAATATTCTACGTTCTGGGGATAGAGAACAAAAAAAGAAATGAGGCTTCTTTCAAGGAAGTGAAATTCTAGTAGGGGAGAGACATAAATTATAATACATGATGACCATTTCAGATATAGCATGAGGCCTGTAGAAGGTGACTATTGAGCTGGGACCTGAAAGTTGGAGAAGGAGCCAGCCAAGCTAAGAGCTAGAGTTTTCCAGGCATAGCGAAGAGTTAAAAGCAGAGGCCTGAAGATGAGAAAGACCTTGCCTCTTGGAGGCCAGAAAGAATGACGGTGTGTTTAGAATGAAATGTGGGAGGGAGTGATTTGTTTGAGATAAAGTGCAGAAGCAGGGTCAGATCATGTGGGACTTTGCAGACAAAGGTAAGGAATTTGGATTTTCTTCTAAAATAAAAGAGAAGTTACTGAAGGAAGAGAGTGACACTGTATGACTTAAGTTTTGTTTTGTTTTTTTTTTTAATATTACTCTGTTTTGGGATAGAAAACAAATGTAATCACCAGCATGGAGTCAGTGCATGAAGTCACTGCAGGTGAGAAGAGATGGTGGCTTAGAGGCTTTGGGCAGAGAGGATGGAGAAAAATAGACACATTCAAGACATAGTTTGGAGGCAGATCCAATAATACTTGCTGTTGGGTTGACTATGAGGAATGATAAGAGGGATGGTGTTAAAGATGACTTCCATGTTTTAGGTTTGAATGACTGGGTGAGTTGTGGGTGAGTTTTGGATATGTTAATTTTGAGATGCCTATTATGTATCAAAAGGAGATTGCACGCAGGACACTGGATATGTGAACCTGGAATCAGGGAGAGTCAGGGATAGAGATATAAATTTGGGGTCAGGAGATGGAGCACTGAAAGCTTGGGTGTGGATGAGCCCATCTAGGGAAAAATGCAGTTAGAGATGATTAGGGTGCACTGCAGCATCCAATATTTTATGTTGGAGATTGAGAAGGAGCAGTAAGAGAGAGAAGTGGTCAGCAGATCATGATATTAAAAGCACAAATAGAAGAAAGTGTCTTAGGAAGGAAGATGTGACCAACTGTGTTGAACAAGGACTGGGAATGTTCCTTGGATTTGGCATATGGAGGATGCTGGTGGCCCAAATAGCAGTAAATCTCGTAGAGTGTTGTGGATGGAAATCAGATTGGTAATAGACTGGAGAGTAAGTGGGATTTAGGAAAACAGAGAGAGTAAGTGCCAATGTTTTCAAGAAATTTTGCTGACCTATGAGCAGTCAAGGGAGGGTTTGTAAAGATAAGTTATACTAAGGTGCGTTTCTATGCTGATGGGAGTGACTGCAAAGACAGGGAAACTGATGGTGCAGTAGAGAAGCAGGGGTTAGCTACAGGATGAGGTTCTTCAGAAGGTCAGGAGAGCAGCGCCAATACACACAGCACAGGGAGAGGGGCTGCCTTGGATGAGACAGGACAGTTCTCTGCTGGAAAAAGGAGGGAAACCAGATGGTGGCTGCAGATGCAGTTAATTTGCTAATTTGGTGGAGAAGGGAAAAAAAGGAATTCCTGTATGACTGTTTCTAATTTTTCAATGAGGCAGGAAGTGGGGTCAGAACTGATGACAAAGAGGGAAGGTTGTGTATGAAGTTTGAGGATACTTGAGAAGGATAAAATACTTGCCTTACAGCAGCAGTCCCCAACCTTTTTGGCACCAGGACCGGTTTCATGGAAGGCAATTTTTCCAGGGACTGTGGCGCAGGTTGGGAGAGGATGGCACAGGTCGGGATGAAACTGTTCCATCAGGCATTAGTTAAGATTCTCATAAGGAGCGCGCAATCTGGTTCACAATAGGGTTCATGCTCCTATGAGAATCTAATGCGGCTGTTGACCTGCAGGAGGCGGAGCACAGGCGGTAATGCTCGCTTGCCTCCTGCTGTGTGGCGGGGTTCCTAACCGGCTGTGTGCGGACTGATAACCAGCCCGAGGCCCGGGAGTTGGGGACCCCCGCCTTAGAGAGTGGGAAAGGAATGGGCAAAGCATAAGATACTATTTCCATATTTCTGATATTCATGATGGGAAACAAGACTCCAGAAAGTTACAAGACTTACCCAGTGTCATCTGATGGCTCTTACCAATGAGTCAGTCAGATGTAGGCTTTCATACTGAATATAATAGTAATTATTGTACGACATATAAAGCCAAATTCCTCCTACATCATGGGACTTTTTTAAGGCCTCAAATTGCTGATTGTTTTAGGATATGATAATCACAGTGGTATTTTTGTGCCATAACAAGTACTATTTACAAGATTACTGTTCGTCCTTGCAATAATATGTCAAGCATTTGTTTTTTAAATTGACAAGTAGTTAAGGTTGGTCCTGATTACAGAAAAATAAATATCATTGGTTTAACTTCTTTCCATAATTTTCATTTGTTACTTCAGGTAGATGATACATTTTGGAGGCATCAAACCCCCAGAATCCAAGGAAGCTGACCATTATCCTCTGTCAAGTCACTTGGAATTAGGATAACTACCAACAGCAATTGTTTATCTCCTCCTCACACATACACACACCTTCCTTGAACCCCTGCTAAAGGTTCCAAAGAAATCTGTTACCCAAAGAAAATTAGGTAATGATATTAAGAAACATGATGAACTTTGTCTCCTCTTTCCTTTTTTCCTTTTGCTGGGTTTTCAAGAGGCACTTTGGGGATAGACTATATTCTATCCCAGTGCCTCACAGTGTCTGGCTCAATAAATATTTGTTATGTTCAATCTCAGAAAGGTTGTGTTTTGGGACCTCAGAGATGAGCCACATTTGGGATATCTTAATTTGTTTAAATAGCACTTTGTAAAATTTACTTAGTGAATCATCTGTGTTCAAAGAATGTTTGTCAAAAAGATTTGTTCTGTAGAATTTAATGTTTCTCAGTATGATTAACACTTGCTTATCCTACCTGGCTGTAAATTAACTTCTCAGGGGACATCCATGGTGATGCCCTGCATTGTGAGGATTGAATTATAAGATGGTTTTCTCTTCACTTTATATCGTACATTTCTCTTCCAATCTTGCATACCCTACACTGGTAGCTACCTGAGGAAAGTCTGAGTTCACCACCAGACAATGGAAAATCTGCTGTAGGAAAAATTACTAATTTATAATGACTCAGGTCATTAGCAAAAGTGATTAGAAAACAATGTTGCATCCTAGAGATATAGAAAGTTGCTGTGGATTTGCAAGGCAGTTGCAAATGTGGACTCAGAAACATAATTACATATAGTGGGAAGACTGTCAACTGTTTTGGAGGAGGGGGCAATCGCAAAACAAAGTTCTGCTTTCTCCTCGACCTCTTCCTTTTGCATTCCTCTTCCTTTTGACATTCCTTTTGAATATCTCATCTCACATTTATTATCCCATTTTAGTCCAGACTGTCAGAGCTCTACCTTCATAGTTTACACATGCACAGATAGGGGCCATCTTTAAATTTGAGGGCAATACAGGTTAAGGCAATAAGAGCTTAAGAAACACCTATAACTTTGAGCCAATTCAATTTGTAGGAATCTTTCCAAAGACAGTAATTCAAAATATTTGCAAAGACATATGTATATTCATTCATCACACAGATTTTTACACTAGATAAAAATAAGAAACAACCTCAAGGTTGACAACAGGGGATTGGTTAAATTATGCCATATGACTGTATATTAAACCTTAAACATGAAGTTGTAAGAAAAGCTTCTTTGATGTGAAAAGTTACATATCTATTAAGGGACTTGATGACCTGTCGTATTTGACCTGTCAGGTCTACACCATGCCTTTTCTGCACCATGCTCAGGGTCCCAGGAGGCTGCATTAACAGGGCTTCTGGTTCATAGATCTCTGGTTGGATTTGGCTAATGAGAGGCACCGGCAGGCAGCTGGGAGGCAGGAGAGATTGGAAAGCAGGAAGGTATTGATTCCTCCTGGCTCTCTCCTTCTGCCTGGCCACAGGTGGGCAGTGGCTACATCTCTCCTCCAAAAGTTACCCTATCTGTTGGGTAACCTCTCCAACAGCTATATTTCCAGAGTTCTGGTAACCTTCTGGATTGTAGAAATTCCTCCCTTGTAGAGCCTCTTAAGGCTCTACGGGTTAGGGTTAATAATGGCCTTCCAAGGTTGTTAGCCCCTGGAGTCCTGCACCACCCCCTACTGATTTCCCCTAACCCTGTCTACACCTTTGTAAAGTGATTTGTCTCTACATAGGCCAAAGACATTCTTGCAGCAAAGCATGAGGCTCTTTAAATGGTAGTTCAGTACTTTTCAAAGTCCCCTAACTATATCCAGTTGAAACAAATCCTTTGTCTACAAACAGACTAGTTGCTGTTACACTAAAGAAAAGCAAGCCATGGGAGGAGGAGAACATGAAAAAATAGCTAAATAAACAACGCCCAGATTGCTGCATGGGTCCAAGCCTGCCCAAGAAAGCCAAACCAAGCAAAGCTTCTGGCAGAGTTGCGGCAGCCAAATCTGAATGGTCCCATCTGTGCTTCTACCCTAGCTTCTCCTCGCAGAGCTAACAGATGTTTGCAAAGCTGGAATGTCCACCATCTCATGGATAACAGCTGAAAATTCACACCAGTGGAAAGCACTTCTGCAGAACACCAACGTCAGCAAAGACCTCAAGTCTAACAGAATGGTCTTCTTCATGTAAAGCAAAGGGAACAGAGGGAGGCCACCATTGATTGGGAACCACTCTGTGCCTGGTCCTGTGCTAGCAGCTTCCACGTGTACTTTATTTAACACCCGCAACAGGCCCAGGAGGAGCTGAAGCTCCACGCAGTCGTGAGCAGACTCCTGGAATCTCACATATGCCTGATGTGAGATGCATAGCAGCTTCCAGACAAACTCTTTAGAATTTCTCAACATTGATGCTGTGGGCCACAATGGTTGGAGAGAACTTCCCAGAGATTTTCGCCTTTGCAGCAGCTTCTGAACTGTCTCTAGAACTTCCTTGGGTCTATTGGCTGAGACCTTTGGCCAAGGTGTCCCTGATTTTCTCTCTGCTTGCCCTACCAATAGTAAGCCTCAATCCTGTTTCTAAAAAATGGTTTCATACTTGGAATATACGAAGTAGCTTCTATTTTCTTGACAGAACCCAGAGTGATACTTAGGATTGATATAGTGACTGCTGAAGGTCACCTTCAGTTCCAAGAGTGGAAACATGGCTGGAATTTGAAGAATTATGTAACATTTTTGAAGTGCTTCAAAGTATTGTATAACATGCATATGACGTGTAAGTCCAACTAAAGCTATATTCTAGAAAGCACATGAACGTCACTTTATCAGTCAGCAGCCTGGAGTTAACGTCATGTTCTGAGGTGACTAAAAGGATCTTCAGGTATTTTTTTTTTTTTTGTATTGTGACTTGTGTGTGTGGTTTTGGAATGGCAGGGCAGGGACAGGGGCTTACACATCCAAGCCTCTCCAGAGAGGACCAGGGACCTTGACGGACAGAGAGGGCCAAGTTATTCTGTGCAGGTGAGTTGGCTGCATTATACAAACTTCCTCTGCCTGTCTCATGAAAACCCACACACCTTGGCAGCGGCTCCAATGGCTCTTTCAGGGTCAAGAGGTCCACACAGATCCCCAGCAGGTGCCAAAAGATCAGTAAATGCGCTCGTGTATTTAAAAATTAGTAACTTCCTAGAAGCTGGTAGGGGTTCCAGAAGCAGCTATGTTACCTCATGCTACCTCACGGTTACACAGTATACATGTTGCCTTACCTTTTGGGGGCTTTATTTATTTATTTGTAAGATGAGGGGACTGAATGAGAGTAGAGATTTTGGATCTTCAAGGTGTGTGGGGTTAATACAAAGTAACAGGTGAATTCAATGTATACCAAGCACGGATGAAACACCTCCCACCTCCATGTGCTGTTTATAGATGCTGTGGTGATACGTGTATACAAAATTAACAAAACAGTTCTGTAAATGGAATAACCCAGAATGTATTCTTTTGTGCCTGGCTTTTTTTCCCCCTCTGCATAATGTTTTTTTTGATTCACTCACTGTTTCTTGTATCAGTAGTTTGCTCCCTTTTATGTGGTGAAGTATCCCATTGTATGGTTATAATGCAATTTGTTTATCCAGGTACCTGTTGATGGGCATTTGGGTTGTTTCCAGTTTGGGGTGATAATGAATAAAGCTGCTATAAACATTTGTCTGCAAGTTTTTTTGTGGACATGTGTTTTCTTATCTCTTAGGTAAATACATACCTAAGAGTGGAATTGCTGGGTCATATGGTAAGTGTATATTTAACTTTCTAAGAAACTGCCAAACTGTTTTACAAAGTGGTTGTACCATTTTACATTTCTACCGGCAATAAATGAGAGTTCCTGTTGCCAACATTTGGTATTTTGTATACTAAAAATACACACTGTATAATTCCATTTACTTGAAATTCTACAACAGGCAGCATTAATCTATAGTGATGAAAGTTATACCAGTGGTTGGTTGCCTGTCTGGGGCTTGGTGGTGCCTTTGACTGAAGCGGCGTATGAGGAGTGCTGGCCTTGGTTAGAGTGGTGGTTACTCAGGTAGAGACAGTCAAAACTCACTAAATGGTATACTTAAAATGGGTTCATTTTATTCTGTGAAAATTATACCTAATAAAGTTGATTTTAAATGATTTCTATAACAGCAACACCAAACAACAAAACGATTTCTGAATTAACAGAAATCCCTAGTCATTCTGTGCTTCCTCAATCAATGAATTCTAAAAGTGCATCTCATCTTTGGGGACGTCTGGACATTTCTAGACATACTGAGTAGTCCTTTAACTTGGAAAGATTGAGACTGGGCTAGAAGATTTCCAAAGTCCTTCGAACTCCAATGTCCCAGAGCCTATATACTGCATGGCAGGTTATTCTAAGATCTTGTCACTAAGTTACCTAGATATCACTCCTCTTTATCCTGAATTTTCTCTATGAGGCCAATCAGCTCCCTGCCCTGGCTGACAATGCTGTATGTACCATCACCATGAAATCCATGCAGTTGATCCAAGCTGCTGTTCTTAGCATCGCCCTCCCCAGCAGTTTTAACAGATGGATCTATTTCTGGAACAGCCGTTCTTTTTGCAAGAGGCACTCTCTGCTCAAAATTAGTGGGTTAGGAATTAAGTCAGCAGAGAGACTGGCAACATGCTTATTCGTGAGGGTTTTACGGGTTTGTTTTCTTCTTGGAGCAGCCATTCACAATTTAAAGTGATTCATAGCTTTTTGGCTCTGGAAGATTAAAAATACAGAGTGGAGCAAATGATTAATTGTTTGCTACTGTACAACTATTACTGAAGCACCTTATGTTAACTCAGTGCTTTCTTCTCTAACTTGAGGTTCTTCCTAGTACACAGGTACAACTGTTCATGGTTAAGACACATACCTGTGAAATAAATGGAAATGATGAAGGCTGAAATTTAGAAATTGCCTCTGAGATGCTGCCAATGTTCTGAAATGCAGAGTCCTGAGTCAGATTTCCTTTTATGCCCCCAATTTCTGCTACTGTCCTTGCTGCACTCACCCAGTGCATTGCAGGGGGGCTAATGCACACCCAATTGAGCACAGGGTGGCTGAGGGATCTGGAGTTATCCTGAGCCACTGTGGCATTGGCACGGTCAGTGTGGGTCAGGGTGGAGGGTGGAGGCAAGCACCCCCTTCTCTCCACACCTATGCTTCTCAAATTCCCCATTCAGGCAGTTGCCAAACGGCGGTGGGGGAGGGGGGAGGAGGAAAGGCAAAGTATTAGCAGCTAACATTTATTGCTCTTTACAGGGCCTCTCGTATATTCCTGACAACAGCCACATCAATATGGTGCCACCATTTTCCTTATTTTACAGATGAGGAAACTGATGCTGAAGAGGCCAAGTGACTTGCTTAAGTCATGTAAGTCCTAAAGCTGGCATGACAATTTTGGAATGCACAGAATCCAGAATCTGACAGAATCAGGGATCTGGCATGGAAAGGGCACACAAATCATTTCTGATCAGCGCTTCTTGACTTTCTTGGGGTCTTGTGGAATTGATGGTTAACTCTTTGGCCTTCCATAGAATTCATTTTCTCCCACGAACTCCCCGAATGGCTGTATTTAGGGTCACTGCATCACCTTGTGGTCATGACGGAAATTGCACCTCCCCAAAGTCAAGAGTCCTGGCTCACACAACCTGGTTTTTCTCTGAGCTTGGAAGTTCTGCCAGTCTGTCTTGAAATCCCAGAGGAAAAATTCTGCTAGACCTGGGCTTGACAAAGTTGGCTGGCTGACCTCCAGAGCTAGGATAGAGAAGCCTTTCATTTCCCTTCTCACACTCTCACCTACCTTGGCTGCAGGTTCCTTATGGGTGACGGATACTTCATGTGGGAAGTAAGCTCTCCGGCAGACAGCCTGGAGTTCCTATCTCTGCTCTCCATTTCTTTCTGAACTTTCTGCACCCTTGCTCCCACCCTGCCACATAGCTGTAGCTATGTCTGATTATTTTCTCTCCACGTTTTTCTCCTCTGTGGGCTGAAGGAAATATGGATTCACTGAATTAACTTGGCCTCAAACGTTTCCTCTGCTATTTAAGTTAAACTGATCTCTGCCACATTATAAGCTACACAACCTTGGACAGTTAACATAACCTCAATGAGCCTCTTGGCACAATGGGGATAAGAATACACCAAAGATTTGGGGGATGATGAAATGAAATGCTACATTTAAAAGCATTTGGTAAACTGTAACTAAATAAGCAAATATAGTGATTATCAGCAAATATTTCCTCCTCACTACTGATAGTAAGAGAGAATGCCTTGTCTATGCAGTGTATCACACACTGTCATCTTCTTTACATAAGTGGAACATGGATCTCCACAAGAGGTGGGAGTGAGCCATCTCTGTGTGGGGGGAGGTGGGAGAAGAGATAAGGAAGCTTCCATAATAATGACAAAGGTCAGGATCATTGCTTCATAGTCAGATATAGGCAATGCTCCCTCCCCTTTTGTTTAGAGTCCTCAAATGTCTATTAAAATGTTGCCACATTCCAGCACTTAAGACCACATTTAATCTTCATAACTATCCTGAGAGGGGCATGTTAATACCTGTTTGCCTGTTTTACAGATGAAGAAGTTGATGATCAGAGAGGTGAAATGATATTCTTAGGTTCTCAGGGTAGCAGAGTTAAGAATGTGAATCTTTTGATTTCCAATCAGGACATCTTAATTTACCACAAATTGTATTATCTCTTTATAACAAAGAACAGAAGCTTCCAAACTTTTTTGCTCATGAGCCACAATAAGAAATACATTTTGCACAGCACATACACATATGTATACACTGAAACAAAATTGTCAAGAAACAATACTTATCCTTATTATGTACAGTGTATTCTATTCTGTTTTATTGATTAAAGAGTGACTCATTAAATTGATTCACAACCCTCTGGTGGATTGAGACGTGCAGTTGGAAAAAACTGATCTAGAAGGTTCTCAAACAATACCCACAGAACAAGTGACTATCACAATGGGTTTTAAATGGGTACTATGAAACTGAGGGAAAGGAGAGGAAAATAAGATGAACTCAGAAAGTTCTACCAACTAGACAGAACATATTGTCTGGTTTAAGCAAATTAACTCTTAGAAATCTTTTGAAACATGATTTTTTAAATCTCTAAAATAACTGTATTACAGTTACTGTGTTCTGTCACATCACGAACACAGCATTTACCACTTGTAATTATTGCCTTTTTACACATCAATTTCCAGCCACCCAACTTTTGACACCTTGAAGGAAAAAACTATGCATTATTCTCAGGGCAATAAGCATTTTGCCTGATACGTGCTCAATAAATATTGGTTCACCTAATAAATTTAAAAAAGAATAGCATCAGCCTCACCTTCTTGTTATTTTCACTGTTCAAAGTAACTTTAAATTCAAAAGGCCAAGGTAACAACTTGGTCTGTGTAAAATCCATGCATTAAACATTAGTGGCTACAATCAGCATCCTATTCGTCTCGGCTTGGGGACATCTAAAGTCTGAATAGAGGGAGAAGTCATAAAGAAAGAAGGATAAACACTATTCTTATTTGTTCATTCCTTCCCACTATCCAGCTTCTTCTGGAGTGGGCCTGTGCTCATCCAATAAAAATAAATATATATAATAAAAAAATAAAAAAATAAAAAATGTAAAAAAGGAAGCTTTTTTCCTTTTCCTTTGGTGACTTTACCTTAATTTAGTTAAAGCCTGTAGACCTTCCATATGAGGCTAACAAGTGCAGTCTAATTGTGATGGAAGAGTGTGAATTTTGGCTCAGTGGCTACATCAGAAATGGAAGGGTATGACAGGCTTTCATTAATGTGCCTTAAATAACATTGGGGTTCCCTGTACTGTGAGTCCTTGTCACAACCCTGGGCCGTGAGTCCTTGTCACAACCCTGGGCCATGCCTATTGAGTGTTCGAACTACACACTCAGAAAACCCCAGGGAGACAGTCTGTGAAGCTCAAAGTAACAGGAAAAGACTTCAGGTCCCTACCACTGTCCTGCCTGCAGGTACCCACTGATACAAGTGCCAGCCTCTCTCCCCTACTGGTCAAGTGAAGACCCAGTGTCCCTGGGGACCCACAGGGTGCCAGAACAACTTCAGCCCCTTTGCATGACAGACTGGTGTGAAACAGCAACTCTTCAGGCCACTGCCTCTGGGAAGGTCAGGGGACTACAGTAATATCCTCTTTTCTGGACAAAAATGTCAGCCTTTTTCACATGTACACACTCAGAGAGAGTGCCCATATCACCTCCACTGTTACACATGTGGAATGATGCTGAGAGATGCAGGGAGGGAAGGCATTGTTGGATCAATGCCATCTCTTTGTTTTCCTCTTTGAAATGAATTGGGGGAGGAAAAAAGTTTGCACTGCAGTCCTCAGGGCTTTGTATTGGATTTTTGTTTGTGAACAGCCATTCATAATGAAGCTACCAATACAACATTTAAAAACCAATACATATAACAACAGTTTTACATTTATGTGGTGATTTTAAAAATAATGCCAAATGTCTTCAGATTTAGTGGTAGTATAGTGGTAGTTTTCCTTTATTCTGTGAAATGGAAATGTTTTCGAAAAATTATGAGTGAACATAACTGAAATGTACCTAAAGAGAATGAAAAGAATATGAACTTGAGGCTCAGGCAGATCTGGGTTTGAATGGTGGCTCTGTCCCTTTCTAACCTGCCTGACAGGGGCCAGTTAAATGTACAATCAATCTCTCTGATCCTCAGTTTCCTCATAACAAGATGGAAATGCAAAACTTACCATATAGGACTGCTGGGAGGATTAAACAAATGTGTAATCAATTAATTTGCTAAATCAATTAATTAGATGTCTTTTTTTTCTTCTACTCCTTTTTGTTTTGTTTAAAGCAGCAGGGTCTCACTCTGTTGCCCAGACTGGAGTGCAGTGGCCAGATCATAGCTCACTGCAGTCTTGAACTCTTGGACTAAAGCGATCCTCCCACCTCAGCCTCCTGAGTAGATGAGACTACAGGTGCATGCCACTACACTGAGCTAATTTTTTTTTTATTTAATTTTTTTTTGTAGAGACAGGGTCTTGCTATGTTGCACAGGCTGGTCTCCAACTCCTGGTCTCAAGCAATCTTCCTGCCTCTGTCTCCCAAAGCAGTGGGACTACAGGTGTGAGCCACTGTGCCTGGCCCTTTTTCACTTTTTATTTAGTTAATATATAATCTCTAGGATGTAAGAATGGAAGTTTGTTTATATCTCAGCTTTTATGTATATTTCACAGATGACTGCATAAAAATGAGATACAAAATATTCTTCCCAATAACCCTTCAGGGCTGATTGAGAAAAGAGAAAAATATATTAATTATATTTTACATATGAAAAAAATAAGTCCCACGAAGAGAGCGAGTTCATACCGAAGCAAGCCTGAGGTCCAATTTTCTAACTTACAAATACTGGTAAGTCCCAGGTCAGCAATTTATAACCAGAGGATGGATGGGATACGTGTGTATATACCTTCAGGAAACTTACCAGTATTTGTCATTTTTAAATTATCACCATAACAATTTCTATTCAAACTTCAAGAACATTAAAGAGGAACGTAAGCTGCTTCTTTCCACAGAAAGGGGGTGTAGGTCCAAGGTTAAGCTCACACCGGCCCTTCAGAGGGGACAGAAAGCACCTTCAGGAAACTGAATGCAGAAGACCGCGTGGCTGACCACCAACCTTTCTTTTCCTGGGAATGGGCTCGTCGAAGAGCAGGTTGCTGGCCTCCGCCTCGTCGATGCCGTCGTCTGGCTGCGCGGGGCTGCGGAAGGGCTTGAAGCTGTCAGCCGAGAGCGGCGGCGACGGCGTGGACGGGTTGGACTGGTCGCTGGGGGCGCTCCAGCTCCAGTAGCCGCTGCTGCTGGTGCTGGAAGGCACGCAGCCGCCCTCCTTCCAGGATCCGCTGAGGCTCTCTGCATGCACACAAACACAGTCAGTGCCAGGACCCCTGCGTGCCCGGGCATGGTTCAGTGGGGAAATGGGAGCCTTGGTTCTACACCAGTGAAACCACCCCAGCCCTCTCAATCATCTGCAACAGCTGGGTATGTAAGTTTTTGTTCTATTTATACGCCCCCTCCCAAAAGCCACATTGTAGTTTATAAACATTTAATTATTTTAACCTCATGATAATAGGTTTTTCTAAGAGTTTTCTGATGTGTTTTTGTATTGTGCAACACAAATTCCTTGGGATCATAGTGGGGATTATATGAAAAAAAAGATTTTCTTGTTCACTAAGTTTGGGGAGCTCTGGGTTTATCGACTACAGTATTTCTAAGAAAGAAATATCATTTGCAGTATTCTCCTGAATGGTTTGGTCACAGAGTTCCCTCTCACCCCAACCCCTCCGATTTCAACATTTTTTTAAAAAGGGATTTCTTAGCTGAGGGCAGTGGCTCACTTCTCTTATCCTAGCATTTTGAGAGGCTGAGGTAGGAGGATCGCTTGAGGCCAGGAATTCGAGGCCAGCCTGGGTTACATAGTGAGACCCTGTCTGTACAGAAAAAATGAAATGATTAGCCCGGCGTGGTGGCATGCACCTATAGTCCCAGCTACTCTGGAGGCTGAGGAGGGAGGATTACTTGAGCCCAGGGGTTTGAGGCTGCAGTGAGCTATGACTGGGTCACTGCACTCTAGCCTGGGTGAAAGAGCGAGATCCTGTTTCAGAAAAAAAGTTGGGGGGTGGGGGGTTCTTATAGGACTGTTATTCTTAGAATACATTTATAGGAAGTTAGTCTAACACTTAAGAATCTAAGAGAAATAATTTCTGGATAGTTATCTAAAGCCCCTTTCCATTCTGCTTATTACAACAAATAGTAATGCCTTACATTTTGTGAGTGTTTTACATTTTACAAAGCTTATTCGCACAGTCTCAAGCATTCTCACAACATCTGTCCTTCAGAATAAGGATTATTATCCCAGTTTTATAGATGAGGACCCTGAGGCAGCAGGAAGCAAAGTGACTTGCTACATGACTGGTAAGTATCCCTCATGGGCCCAGGCCACCAGGAAGAGGTTGGACCTATTTCTTCAGTGCATGCAGTCCCTGGGCTGTAAACAACCTCCATTCTCTCTGGCAAAGCTGGGATAGGATAAGAATTTATTGGCAATAATTACTCTAAGATTGCTATTGGCTATTACCTTCCCATTTGTGGTGGAAAGCATTATGAAATGTTTGCTAATGTGGAGAGATTTCTGCCCAGTTAGAATGTCTTCTGCCAGCCTGGCCTATATGGCGAAACCCCGTCTCTACTAAAAATACAAAAATTAGCTGGACATGGTGGTGCGTGCCTGTAATCCCAGCTACTGGGGGAGCTGAGGCAGGAGGATCACTTGAACTTGGGAGGCGGAGGTTGCAGTGAGCTGACATGGTGCCACTGCACTCCAGCCTGGGCAACAGAGTGAGACTCTGTCTCAAAAAAAAAAAAAAAAAAAAAAGTCTTCTGGGTGCTCTTTTAATCACTGAAGATTTGCTTTACCTTTCAAGATGCACGACCTTAATTAGCATTTATATAAATTTTACTTTTTTTTGGATAATTTCTCCTCCATATTTATGTGCATTTTGAATATATTAAAACTATGTTCTAACTACGAGGAAAAAACATCCCCAAATGCCTCATTAAAAAAATACTGTTAATGTCTGTGTAATTAGTAATGGAGTGAAGACAAATGGTAGATTATCATTCATGGGGAGATTTCATAACTACCTTTACCTATTTATGGATTTCTACCATATTCCTCAACTATGTCAAGCAAAAAGTTAAGTTAGAGGAGTGAAGCTTTAAGTTGAAATAGGAGAAACTACCCATCTCATTACAGCTAGGTTCTTTTAGAATGAAATGGTCATTTATGCAGTCTCATGCTTTGCCAGCATCAACAAAACCAAACTAGCATCTCACTCCCTGCAGTCTACACAGAGACTGATACGCTCACCAGACTAGATTTGCCTATTGTAAATAAGAAAGCTCCATTTAGTACAACAGGAGTTCAAGAAGAGCATAATATAAGGCTTGATGATTTTACTTAGTGTGAAAAACTCCCTTGGCAGGCCCGGGTGGCTTACAAATATACTGTAGTATGCATTTGTAAAATAAAATAAAGCTAATGGTGCTAGATGTATAATCATGTTAAGTATGAGGCACTGAATTTATTTTGAAAACCAACTATTATTACAGTGTGGTTACATGGCTTCATGTCAATGCCAAAAGTGAATTTGCTTACTGATTTGTGAATGACATTTCCTTTAGAAAGACTATTTAGTCAGAAGGACTATAAGTGATATAGAAATGATTTTTCTCAGAAAAAAAGTCAGGTCTGATTTATAATATTCTTAGGGGACAGAGCCTCCTTATATTAAACCTCTGTTTGTCAAGAATGGAGACAGGCACTGCTGGACTCTCACCCTCTTTGCAGACTCACTTCCTGATAGAATGATCCTTTTTAGGCACAGAAAATGATCACAACAGTTTCCAAAAACTCATTGATGTGCAATAATTCTAGAGAAAATCTTTTTTTCCTAAAAAAAAAAAAAGCCTTCATTATAATAAATTGCTTCCCCTATTTAAGAATTTGCTTTTTCTTACAGACTAAATGAGAGACAGCAGACAATTTGGGGTTATTAGTTGAGTAGTTAGTTTTTAAACCATAAATGAGCACTGAATTACTTTATTACTGTGCTAACGAAAGTTTGCATTGAAGAGCCAAAAGGTTTATTTTAATTCTGACCTTTAAGTACAAAGGAACACTAAAAATGTTCTCAATTAAAAAATGAAGCCAATGGTAAAAATAATGATTACTTTAAAATACACTTTTCTTTTTCCTCGAAGGATTCCATGAAATTCTACAATTCCTTTTCCCTAGAATATGTCTTGGGGGTTTTCCAGGGTTTTAAAATTTTTTATTTTTTAGAGTTGGAGTCTTGCTCTGTCACTCAGGCTGAAGTGCAGTGGCACCATAAGCTCAATGCAACCCCAAAATCCTAGGCCGGGACTACAGGCGTGTTACCATACCTGACTATAGTTTTGCCTTTACTATAATCCTTCTTTAGCACTGCCAAAGTGAGAAAGGTAAATCAGAGTACCCATTTGCCAGAGACCCCCCAGAAGAGCAGTCAGGTCACTGAATGGGAGTAGTCAGGCCCATTTCAAGAGCAACTTTTCTACTGCTATATAAAGAGGAGGTGTCGGCTAGGTATGGTGGCTCCCACCTGTAATCCCAACACTTTGGGAGGCCAAGGCAGGCGGATCACCTGATGTCAGGAGTTCGGGACCAGCCTGACCAACATGGTGAAACCCTGTCTCTACTAAAAATACAAAAATTACCTGGGTGTGGTGGCACATGCCAGTAATCTCAGCTACTTGGGAGACTGAGGCATGAGAATCACTTGAACCCAGGAGGCGGCAGTTGCAGTGAGCCAAGATAGTGCCACTGCACTCCAGCCTGGGTGACAGAGCGAGACTCCATCTCAAATTAAAAAAAAAAAAAAAGAGGAAGTGTTATCCCAGCTTGATGAATCATGATGTTGTTGGGCAATACTGATTCATGACATTAATTTGAATTCCTAGCATCTTAATCATTCTTTCCCTCTTATAATGAGGTTGGAGTAAGTTTTGGTAAGGCCTCAATGTATGTTCAACAAATTTATTTTAACACCTCATGCTTAAAACCAAATTGTGTGTGAACCATATCTTAATCTCATCATTGACCATGCTGGTTTTTGAGAGAAGGTTTTCATTGATCCTAAGTCTCATTCAGTGGTCTCAGTGCATTACATTTCAGTGAACTGCAATCTGCAACTGGCTTTCTCCCTTGGGGAGTGCTCTTGACAAAGCCACCAGTGACCACCTTCTTGATGGAAAACTCAGTCTTTTTAATGCGTGACCTTCTGAAGCATCAGACACTTCTCCTTAAAACATGCTTTTCCCTTGGTTTCCATGAAACCACACTCTCCTGGTCTTCCTCTACCTCTCTGGTCACCTCAGGGTCTTCCTCGGCTCTTTTCCCACTGCCAATCCCTTGCATGATGGTGAGCTTCACTGCTTCCTTCCTCGGCCATCTTCTCTTCTCACTCTGCTTTTACATAACTCTCTCATGATGATCTCATCTACTCTCATGGCTTCCAAATGTTGCCTTCTAATTCTGTACCTTCAGCCCAGATCTCTCTCCCAAGATGTGCCCAAATCTCTACCAGATGTTGCCCCTTGAATGATCCTCAGGCACTGCCTATTAAACATGTTTCCTATTGTCTTCTTCAGCAACTTCAGCTCTTGAACCAAACATTTGCCAATACATCTCTTCCTGTGCGTCTGTCACCTGCCCCAGTGAATGTCCTCCCCTTGCTGAAGCACACCAACTGCCTGGAAGTCATCCTTGACACACCCTCCTGCTCACTCTCTCTGTCCAGCACCAAACTCTTGATTCTGCATTCTTCACATTTCTCGATTATGTCGTATCTACCTGCACTGTGACCACCAAGATCTTTTTTTTTCCTTTGGCTGATAAACCTAATCATAACTTTGCAGTGCTAGAATCACTTTAATAGTGCTCCCATAGCCTCAGCATAAAGTCCAAACTCCTAGCCAGGCATAAATGACCCCTCCTGATAGGTCTCCCAGTCTCTCCAACTTCACCTCCTACTGCCTGACCTCCTTATTTATTGTATTGGATTATATGAGACAAAATCATATCATGATTAAGAGAATAAATCTGGAATCAAAAAGATATGGAGAATTTCAGTTCTGCCAGTTAATCTCTGTGAGCCTTAGTTTACTCATCTGTAAAATAGTGATAATAATACCTCATAGAATTGTTGTGGGAATTACAGGCGATAAGGCAAGCATAGTATTTGTTTACTGACACATAGTAATGCTTAATAAATGCTAGCCACTAATATGGCTATGATTGATGGTCTTTCTTCCCCAAAGAGATAGTATACTACCTGGGAGTGTGGATACTTTTTCAATGAGGTATTCAATTCATCTAGCATGGTACCTGATAAATGTGTGTGGAATAAATGAATGACCTAAATAATTCTATTTGATTAAGGAGTCTGAGAAAATGTTTTTAAAAATTATTTAATCTGAGAGTTCTTTGATCCAACTGCCTCCCCAGTCAAACAGAAATAATGCTAGGGAAAATAATTCATTAGCTCAATCTTCATTTACCTGGGAAAAAAGGGACACAAGTACTGCAAAGACGTCCTGGCAAGGCAGAAAACAAAGGAGCTCAATAAAAGTGAGTTGAATGGAGGGATGGGTGAATGAGAAGCAGTGGGCTCCCTGGGAAGATGAAGAGGGGGCTGACAGCTCTGGGGGCCTCGACTTCTTCCACGTTTCTCTTTGCTTCCTGCTAATGGGTGAGGGTCAGTGGTTCATAGCGCTTGACAGGAATGAGACATCTCAAAGAAAGGCCCTGCTCTTGGTGTCAAGGGGCCCTTCCCTAAGTCCCATATCCTGGGCTTACCGTTCGGCCGCACGGGAGGACTTCGAACCAAAGGGCTAGTCGACAAGCTGGTTAGTACCATTGCTGCTGTCACCTTGTCCATGTCTAGTTCCTCTGAAGATTTCCTGTAAAACAGGAAGGGACACTGGTGACTGTTCACTCTGCATCTGCTGTGGGCCACACAAGGTGTGACACGCTGTCACGCATTTACTCCATTAACTTATCCCCATGAACAACCGATGTTCTGTTAGCTTTATTTTATAGATGAGGAAGCTGAAGCCCATGAAGTGAAGTGTTTCAGTCAAAGTCATACAGTATTAGGAAGACAAGGATTCCATCATCCATACTTCATCTAACAACTGTTCATTGAGAGTGTGCTGTGGGCTAGACTCTGTTCTAGCCACGAGTGATATGAGGTGAACAGCAGACAAGGTTCTTGCTTTCATGGAGCCTAGAGGACGGTGGGAAGCAACACACTTATCAGGAAACAAACAAGCTAGGAGGAACAAAGTCATTTCTGATAGTGACAAGGGCTATGAAGCGCATAAACAGGCTAACGTGACAGTGCCTGCCTGTAGGGGCTGCATCTAAGGTGATCAGATGTTTCTCTGAGGCAGTGACGTCTGAGGTGAACTGTGAAGGTCAGGGAGAGTCTGTCCTGAGGGGCAGGGAAGTACATCCCAAGCAGAGGCAGCAGCCTGCAGAAAGGCATGGCAGCAGGAATGTGCGGGAATGTTTAAAGGCTGATCCTAGAGTGTGAGAAGGGGAGAGCGGTGCAGAGCTAGTCAGACGGGGTCCAGTGGCCATGGAAGGTGTTTTAATTTTATTCTAAGTGAAATGGGAAGTCCCTGGGAGGCTTTAAGCAGGCCTAGTGAAGTAATATGATGAATATTTGTAATATAATTAGCTGAGCTGCTATATGGAGAATGGATCTTAGAGAAGGTAGAATAGAAGGAGGGAGGCCACTTAGGAGATGACTGCTAGGAGTCCAGGCGAGCTTGGACTAGGGTGGGGACAGTGGCAGGAGACCCAGCAGGACTGGCTGATGCACTTGGACATGGGAGATGAGCAAAAGGGAGCGAGGAAGGCTGTCAGGTGTTGGCTGAAGCACTAACTAGAGCCATTTACTGAGATGGGAGAGGCTGGAGGAGAAATGCAACTAGGGGTGTTTGAACTCCTGAGCTTTAAAAAAATTTTTTAAAACTACTTACTATAGAAAGAGTAGGTCATGGGAATAGTTACCATGTTGTTAAAGTGAAGAGCCACTGGTAATCATTCACTGAGATGAAGAGGTTGCTCTGGTTCATTAATTTTGGCCAGTTAACCCTGAATAAAGGTTCATAAGATTATGATCATGGTGACCGGAGTCAACTTGTTTAAGCTTATTTCAATAAAGGAGGTAAAATTGAGAGGCAAAAGTTTGTGTCGTACGATGAAATCAAATAAATTGTACCACCTCCTGAGAGACGAACATTTTCAAATTAGAGAACAGTTGAAGAAGCCCAACAGAGGATTAATAAGCCATATCCACAAATGAATTGTCACTTTGACAAATGTGGCTTTCATTCACAGGTGTGCTGTCTAATTTGTAAAAGCAATGAACTCTTAGAGATAGAAACTTCATAGCACTGCTTCACAAAACAGTGGGAAGAGAAATTCTTAAATTGGAGAAAAAAACAAATGGTTCCCAATTATTGGGGGGCTGCTCAATTAATTTCATCATGAAGTTACAAAAATTGTTACAGTTTGGCTCTCTGATGTCCACCCATGATACTAAATTGTTAAACAAAGCCTATTCTTTCAATCCAAGGTACCAACAGATGGAAATCTTTGAAATTTTCTTCAATAATTCTTCTCAAAGCACCTTATGCTCTTTTTTAGCAAATTCTTCTATCAAAAGACAAATTACTTGTTTCAGAGGCTGACAATTAAAATACTTCTGTAAAACAAGCTTAAGAGTGCACAATGAAATCCACTCCATACAAAGTTTTCAAGACAACCTCATACACTTAGAGGCAAAAAAAACTGTTCATTCATTTGGCATACCATTTAAAGATTTTACAGTATTCACAGTTTACAAGATCCCTGTACTTGGGAGTAAAGGTAAAGCCATTTTCTTAAAACAGACAAAGCCTCTTGAAATGGCACCAGGGAAAGAATGCAAAGCACCTTCAGGTAATTCTGAGTGTTTTGTTGGCTCAATCTGCCCATGTAACGCTGGTCACAGAAGGGATAAGTTGGGGCTTGCTGCATATCCACTAATCTACCTTGGGGCTCCTCCAACTGTCTGCCCTTCCCAGAGCCCAGCTCCAGGATCACCCAGAGTGGGGCACACCTGAGCTGGCTGCTGCCCACATCTCTTCCAAGACTGAATTAGGAGGGCTGTTGACTTCTCTTTCCAACGGCCAGTCCACTTTTATTCCCTTACTAACCAAAGGTTTAAGAACCAGGATAGGAGGCCCGTGCACCTGGTATAGGTGGATGACATGATTTGGTAAGGAGAGGGTCCCCTCGCCCCCTCCCCTGATTCTTACAATGACTTGCTAAACAACCTTTTTCCGTCTTCTACATCTTGGTTTCAGGGACCTTTTTGCCCCTCTCTCAATCTGCTTTGTATCTTTTTTGATTTTCCACACCTAAGGTGAACATTTTGCTTTAGAGGTCTAATTGATAATTAACTCAAATACTGATTTATGTGTTTTTTAAAATATGACAATCAATACAGAATGCATCATTATAAAATATACATTTATTTTGCATTGCGAAAATCTACCACATTTCAAAATAATTATTGAGCATCATAAAGAGATTTACAATGAAGAATGAAAAAAGGAATAATTAGTATAATCAGAGTGTTTTTGGATTTGGATTACCTTTAAGTTTCCTGCTGGCACTGGAAATCACTAACAACAACAACAAAGTCAAAGGAATACATCACAATGACTCAGTTAACCTGCATTTCTCAGGGAATATTTTAATCATGCTACATGAAACATTACCAGATGATATGGCCTTGTGCTAAGTTGTGTTTTTGTTTTTATCTTTGTTTAATTTCTTTTGGTACACTACTATCTAATTACTGATTAACTGGTACTGTAAATTCAAATCCTTATAATTAAACATGAAGAGATGATATACAAAGTAGAATTTGTTACACTTTGAGAAAACTGCTGCAAAGCCCTTCTGGTAGATTTGGAGTTATTGATAAAAAACAAACCACTAGAGGTGATATTAAATATTCTCTCCTAATTTGAATTTCAATCTACAACTTAAAACCTTAAGACTCATGTTTGCTAAAGGCTTTTACCTTTTCAATTAATCTTTCCTCCAGCCATACTTGAATAGTATGGGACTTAAATTTGGAATTATTTAAAAATACAGGTTGAGTATTCCTTATCCAGAATGTTTGAGACCAGAAGTGTTTTGGATTTCAGATTTTTTTTGTTTTGTTTTGAGATGGAGTCTTGCTCTGTCACCCAGGCTGGAGTGCAGTGGTGTTATCTTGCCTCACTGCAACCTCCACCTCCCGGGTTCAAGCGATTCTTCTGCTTCAGCCTCCCGAGTAGCTGGGATTACAGGCATGTGTCACCACCCTCAGCTGATTTTTGTATTTTCAGTAGAGACGGGGTTTCACCATGTTGACCACGCTGGTCTCAAACTCCTGACCTCAGGTGATCTACCTGCCTTAGCCTCCTGAAGTGCTGGGATTACAGGCGTGAGCCAATGCGCCCGGCCAGATTTCTTTGATTTTGAAATATTTGCATATATATAATGTAAGATATTGGGGATGGGACGCAAGCCTAAACACAAAATTGATTTATGTTTCATATACACCTTACCCACGTAGCCTGAGGTAAGTTTATTTTACCCTAGGGGACGCTGAACAAACTGTGTGTTGTGTGACTGTGACTTGCTGCATGAGGTCAGGTGTGGACTTTTCCATTTGTGGTGTCACGTTGGTGCTCAAAAAGTTTTGGGCTTTGGAGTGCTTCAGATTTCAGATTTTGGAATGAGAGATACTCAATCTGTAACAGAAGTATTCGTTGTCACTCTATACATGATTTGTTCCTGAAGCTGACCTGGCTTCTGTGGATGAACAGGATTTCAAGATGGGAGAAACACATCAAGGAAGGGAAGCCGGTGAGCCCTGGGCTTACTGGGAGACTACTCAAGGGTCCTACGTGAGGGATGTGGTGGAAAAGGAGAGCAGAGCCTGAGCCAGACTATGGGGGTGTGTGTGCCAGGATGAGTGGTTTGTTGTATTCCTATAAGCAAAGCGCATCCATGGAACATTCATGAACCCGGGAGTAAGGTGATCAATCTGTATTTAAGAAATGAGTGAAAATGGAAAATTTAAGGAAAGGGAGGAAATGGGAGGCAGGCTATTCAGCTGTTTTTAGTAAAGTCTCATTTCAACCTCAAAGTATTAGATTAAGAGGGACACTGCCCCTCCATGCAGCGATACTATTCAGTCTGTGAGTACGGACCTTCCTGGATTTCTGCTGAAGCTGTGTTCTGGACCTCTCCAGGAGAGGCAGCAACGGTAATGATTAAGAGTTTAGGCTCCAGAATGAGTTAGATAATGTGGCTTCAGATCCACTCTCTGCATTACCACCTGTGTGACCTTGGGCAAATTACTTAAACTCACTGTTTCCTTATCTGTAAAAGAAGGATAAACATAGACTTGTTGAGAGGGTTAAATGAGAAAAGTATATGAGCACCAGCATGAGCCTCAGCCACAGTCAGAGTTCATGTTATCTCAGCTATTACTAACCTTCCAATTCCTGACTACATCCATAGCGTGTGTCCTCCGTGAGGGAGGAGAGCATTAGATGACTTCACTTGCTTTTCTTGTTCAGCACCAGCACTAGCAGTTGTGGATTTTCTTTTTGTAAGGCAGGTATATTATTTTTGATAATGAAAAGACTGCTATAACTCTGTAAGAGCTGGCAACTGGCTCATGGAGAAGCAGCTGCTGGTCCCTCACTAGAGTTTCCAGTCGGTGCTTTGGCAAAGATACTGCTCATTACATAATGAGTCTTGGCCAGACTGTCCACAAATAGAAAAGCCTAGAGTGCTTGTTTGGATTCTACGTTTAAGAGTTTATGCTTTCAATACTCACTCTTGGAGCACTAGGGCTGTGCTAGACAGGAGAATTAACAGTCTTTGTAAAAATGAACAGTCTCTACCCTCTTCAGCTGCGGTCTATTGGAGAACTAGACCTTAATCAAACACACACACAAATAAACATAAACTTACAAATGTGATAAATGCCAGGAAGAGTACTATTGATTTGATGAGGACCAACCTAGGTACTTCTAGCTAACAGGAGAACAGGGCTGAGACTGGAAGTGAGTATGGGTGTTGCCTCAGAGGACAGAAGAGCTTTTGGGCAGTGGAAGAGCCAGGGCAAGGCTTCCTTTAAAAAGGAAAGGGAAGACTGAACATGAAGTGCAGTGTGCTTGGGAGGGGCAGCCCAGGGAGGGCCTTCCATGCTCTATAAGGGCTTTATCCTTATCTTAAAGGCCCTGGGAAGCACTGAAGTGTTTCAAGTGGAATGGGGTTGGGAGAGGTTGGGTAAGGTTGGGGTGATGCTATCAGATTAGCTTTTCAAAAAGCTCATTTTGGCTGCCGTGTGGAAAATGAGTTTCTTGGGTTTGACAACCAATCTTTTATCTGAGGAATTGATTGTCTGATGACTGTGGCAGCAGGTTGCAGAATGACATCATCTACTACATGAAGAGGCAATCAGCGCAGTGCGCAGCATCAGCAGAGGCAGCCCGGCCAGGTCTCATGCATGGGTGGGTGTGGCTGGTCTGCCCTTGAGCGCTCAGCTATGGCCTGTGCTTACAAACCCAGCTATTGTTTGTGCCGCAAGAAGCCTTTTCCTTCTTTTGAGCCACTTCCTGCCTGAATACTGCCTGCTTGGAGGGTGCACATAAACACTGTCTCCTGTGACTAGCTAAGGGAGAGATGTTTTACACCTTGGAGAGCCATAAAAGACATTTATCGGCAATTAAAGTGCTATAGTAACAAATGGAAGTAAAAATGAATAATATATTCCTTAGATTAGCACTAATCTAGTTTCTTAGCAACTATTGAAATCTGCTGTCTAGACCAAGTTCAGTCACTTTTAAAAACTTGTGATATTCTTAAAATAAGGAATAATGTCTGAAAATAAAATCTTTTACTGGAAAGGCTATAATAATCATCCCCAATCTTGGAATTCTGAGAAAGCTTTTACTAAGAGTTTGGAAAACTGGATTCAGTAACTATTAAATATAAAGCACAAAACTTCATTTCCATTTTGAAGAAATCTTGTAGAAAAAGTGGTAAATGTTAACTCTTCCGAATTAATTTTAGCTGCTATTTCTTTTAAGACTATAGGGAAGTCAGTATTCATCAAAATTGATGGAAAAAGAAAAAAAAATCAAAGGGAAGATTAGAAAGCTGCCTATTGCAATAAAGTGTTCACTGGCCTGGATCGAACAAGATGGAAAATTAGAGTGAATACATCATAATACATAAGGCAATATACACCAGTACATCTGAAGCCATCTGTGGTGAAGGGTCATTTTTAAGAAATTTTTAATATGTCATGGATCGATACTATACAAAAAAACTATGGCCTGTGGAAAATTTCTGCACCCCTTCCTCTTAATTTCTGTACCTGGCTCAACATGGCTGTAACAAAGAGCTTGCAGACTGGCACTGGCCCATGGTCCACACTTTGAGTAGCATGAAGCTAGGCAGTTGCTTTAATTTCCATTAAACTTTGAAAAGACTCCCTCCTGTCCCTCTTTCTCCCGCTTTCTGTTCTTGCCTCATGGACCCTCTACAACTTCTCTCCCCACCCACTCTGCCCACTGGACCCTATGTTCCATTGCAAATTGACCCTTGCATGACCTCACCCTCTCCCCTTTTACCATACCCAGGCTCTCCCTTGTAGGTCACTCCTCCTTTCCACTGGAGTTACTCATCCCTTTACCCCCAGTGAGGTCAGGTGGGGTGTGGGCCTTTCATCTGCCTCCCTTAGGAGACCATCTCCCTTCACCCACATGCAAAAGCTCCTGGTTCTTTGAGGCACAGGCCATGCACTTATCTTGTTCTCTTTTCTATTTCAGGCATTGACCTTCCTGTCAGGACCTCTCTCCCCTAATATTCATAAAATACTTTGGCACATAAATTACAGCCTTTTTTAAATTGCTTGGAATTATAATCCTAGGAGATATACTGAAGTTAGCCAATATCCTAACTTCGTAACTTCTGTCTCCTTAACCCACCACCCCCAGCCAACATTCAGCAGAGTGCTGAGCTGGAGAGAAAAGACGTTGCAGTCTGACAGACTGCAGTTTAATCCCCAAAACCTCCATTTATTAGTGAGTGCTTTTAGGCAAATCTTGCAGCTTCACAAAACTTCAGATTCCTCATCTGTAAAATGGAAATGACAATAATACAGACCTTAGAGGGTTTGGAAGAGTTAAATAAGATGTGTAAAATATCTGGCATATACTAAACACTCAAGTTATTATTATCCTCCTCTTTTACCTAAAACTGTTATTTCAGTGAACGATTCTCAGGTTAAAAACCTGAGTTCTACCTATTTAAGTATTTATAGGTGAAATAACATGAAATCTTGGATTTGTGTGAATATACTGCAGCCTCCCACAACCCCTTCCTCAAAAGTGTGAGTTGGGGGTGATTAGATGAAGTAAGATGGACAAAATGTTAACAATTGTTGAAGCCAGGGAATGGGTACTGAGGGAATCATTAGACCATTCTCTCTCTATCTGTGTAGATTTGAAACTTCCATAATACGATTTAAAACAAGAATACAGCATGAGCACACACCTGGATTTTGGCGGTCACTTGCCATTGCCCCACTTCAACTCCCCCCTCCCCTTTTCTGTCTAGCTCTACTCTCTGTCACTGCATCTGCTCCTCCATCTCCCAGAGACAGCCAGTCTCTGGATTTCTCCTTTCCTCCTAGGCAGTTAGAGGCTAGTACTTCTGACCTAGAACAGCTTGCTGCTGGCTACTGCTTCCCTCCCGCCAGGTCCACTGGTGGCTCAGCGGGGTTCTCCCTTTACCAGCATCCCTGAATCCCTGGCCTTGCTAGCCTTCTGCTCCACTGGCCCAGAAGAACCAAACCCTGGCTGAATCCTCCTGTGCTGCTCTTTACTGTCCACCTCAGGGCAGTCAGTGCTGATGGGAAACAGCGAATGACTCTGCTGGCCGGGCCCATCCTCGGCACGCATCCTACCTGCACTTGGCCTCAGCAGGCCCTTCACCCGCCCTCGCTCACCACAACTGCCCGCTTCTAGCCAGGATTCTGCCTTATCTTCACCTCTCTCTGCAAGGCTCAGCTCCTGCCAACCCAAGCAGCAGACGCCCTTTCCTCCTAGATTATAGAGAGAATTGAGGCCTCTAGGCAAGGTCTTTGTCACATTCTGCCTTTCTTACCTTCTTGCTTCAGTCTCGCAGGGAGGTTAGCATGGTATTTTGCTTTTTGAAGCCACTGCCTCCACCTGTGCTGTCTTTATCCTCCTTCAACAAGACCTCCTCTCTCCTGTTCCCACTGGCCCTTCTCTATTAATAGGCTTCTGTTTTCTCCCCACTTACATGCAAGGGACCAAACAGGACTGGACAGAGAGATAGGAAAGAAATGAGGAGAGGAGTCCAGTGATTACAGATACAAGAGGGAAGAGAGGGAAGAGAATTTCAGGAAGAACAGGTTGACAGCATTAAGTGATGTAGAGAGATCAAGCCAGATGAGGACAGACAGGGAATTTAACTTAATTCCCTTGAAATTAGCAGCAAGGAAGCAGGTAGAGACTCTAGCAGGAGTGGAAGTGGACTGCTGTGGGTTGTGGGGTGGATGGAAACTGGGAGGTTGAGAAATTAGAGGCAGTCATTGTAGAGGACTCTTAAAGAGCTTGGCCATGAAGGGAAGGGAAACATGGTTCTTTGAGGAAGTTAGAGTGTTTTCCTGTTTGTTCTTCAGATGAAAGGAACTCTAGCATATTTAAATGCTGACAGGAAGGAGCTAGTAGGGATGAATAGGTTGAAGATACAGGAGAGAAGGGATGAGGAATGGACAAGGTCTTTACTGGGGCAGCATGATGAGGGTCCTGGGCTCCAATGGAAGTAGCTTTAGACAAAAGGAGGAACAACCACCCCGTCTACCTGGAGTGAGGAGAACAAAGATGGGCTGGGTGCAAGCATGCTTGTAGGTGTGGGGCTGGGGAAGCTGATGCTTCTCTCTGGAGGTCTCTCCTCAGAAGCAGGTAGGTTTCTCTGTGGAGAGTGGAGAGGACATTGCCATGCTTAAGGTTTGGAATTGCTGTTATGGGTACTGGGAGAGAAAATGGAGCAGGACACCAAAAGTCTATCAAGCAGCAACCGAGGCTCAGCTGAGGTTAGAAAGCTTGATCCTGTTGTGATGGTCACTGGAGAGGGGGTCTGATGGCTGTGCCAGAAGCCTGGGGTGGGAGTGTGAGAGGAGGCTGCTGGACTAGCCCTATGCCAGGTTTTACAGTGAGTAAGGGCATGGAGAGTGCAAGGTTTTGGAGAGAGAGCCATAGGTTCTTGGCTGGACTGGGCAATGTGTGAAGGTTGGAGGGAAAAGATGGGGACAAATTGAGAGAAACCAGAGATCTTGATGGGGTCAAAATCAGGTGCCGAGGACACAAAAGCGAAGGCGAGATGGAAGACCAGGAGGTTATGAGTAGGAAGGAGATACTGGGGATGGAGATTTTCTATGTAGAAAAATTCTGAGAGATGGCCGAGTCCAAGGTATGGCCGTGGGAGTAGAGGGCAGAGGCAGGGCAGAGGTGAAAGTCGCTGGATCGGAAATGGCGAGGCTGATGTCATCCGGGATGATGGCAGCATTGAGGAGAGAAAAGTTGTGGCCAGGTGGCTCAAGCCTTCCATAAAGGGCAAATGAGCAGGATGTCAGCAGAGTTAAGGAAGCGGGAGGTGGAAGAAGCCTTCAAGCAGCAGGGCTTTACCTGAGAGTGGAGGGCAAAGGCTTGGTAACAGCCGCGGGGACACAGAAATTCACTCTTGGGAGGCTCCCCATTGCCCTCACATGAGACTTAACTCCAATGCAGGAAACACCTGGCCCTCTCTGCTCTGGTCTCCCGACTCTCTACCCATTTTCCCACAAGTCCTCTGCGGGGCAACTCTTCCAACTCGTGAAAATTCTCCATAAGAAGACTCACTTTCTCCTCTCCATACCTGTGAATAAGCTGTGCCCTCTGCTTGGAACAAGCTTTCTTCTCTTTCTGTGCTTGCCTGCTTCTACTTACCCTTAGTACTCAGCTCCATCCTGCTCCTGGAAGCCGCCTTCCACCTGCCAAGGGCCAGGGGCACTGACTGCTGTGCTGTTGTTAGACTGCCTGTGCTTCCTCCTCCTCCCCATGCGAAGATCAGGGCTTAGTCTTGCATCTTTTTATTCCCAACTTCTAGCACAAACCCTTGCTTAGGGTAAGTTTTGTTTTTGTTTGTTGAGGCAGGGTCTTGCTCTGTCACCCAGACTGGAGTGCAGTGGTGTGAACATGGCTCACTGTAGCTTCCACCTGCAGGGCTCAAATGATCCTTCTGCCTCAGCCTCCTGAGTGGTTGGGACTACAGGCAAACGCCACCATGCCCGGCTAATTTTTTAAGTTTCTGTAGAGACGGGGTCTCACTATGTTGCCCAGGCTGGTCTCAAACTCCTGGACTCAAGTGATCCTCCTGCCTCAGCCTCCCAAAGTGCTGGGATTACAGGCATGAGCCACTGTGCCCAGCCTTGGAGTAAGTTCATAATGAAGGTTTTGTGGACAAATAAGCATTAAGTAAGGATGGTGACAGTCCCGGAGAAGTGGCAGGGGGAAGCATAGAACACGTATCTGAAAAACTTCTGCAGTTCTCCTCTGCTCACTCTCTTTCATCTTGTCAGACCTGGTGACTTATTTGTTTCCTCTTGTGGAAGACAATTCCTCAAAAATTCAAGTATTAAATAAATCGTTCATAGGATTTTTTTTTTCCTTTTTACTGGCCCTAAAAATTGTTGGCTTATCTAAGCAAATGGATTTTGTTCCAGTGTCTGTGATAATTCTTCTATATTCACAAAGGCTCACAGACACATCAGTGAACTCTAGAATGTCAGCAATAACATTATTAAATAATAAGTTTCAAATCCCCTGAAAATAATTCTGTGTGATTAGCTGGACTTCTTGATGTGAGCAGGCTGCAAAGCACAGCTCAGGGAGGCATCTCGAACATTCCTTGATGGCCTTTTTGCTTTGTAGGTTTAGCGCTTTTGATTGCAGCCAACATTTTCTCCCAGGAGTCACAAGGCCAGTCTTAAACTAACAGAAAGCCCTCTGTGTGCATGTTGAGTGCCTGTCATATTGTGAAATAGATATTTTGTTTTCCTCCATCCCTGTCTCCTGCTGTACAACTCCTAAAATCCTTGGAATCTCCAGTGATAGGCATCTTTTTGTATGCTAACGAGATGACTGGTGGCAGGCAGCTTCTATGTTGCTTCTGGATGGTGCCAGTCACAGGAAAGACCAAGCCAGGATTAGAGGGTTGGACTTCCGGGCACCGACCCCGACCCCAACCTCTGGGGGTGGTGGGGGAAAGGGCTGATCACCAATGGCCAACGATTTACTAAATCATGCCTACATACAAAGCCTCCATAAAACCCAAAAGGACAGAGTTTGGAGAGCTTCCAGACAGCGGGACAAGTGGAGGTTCCCAGGGGGAGGTGCCCCCAGGAAGGGCAGAGAAATGCCACACCCCTTCCCACATGCTGTGCCCTACACATCTCCTCATCTGTATCCTTTATAATAACCTTCATAATAAACCAGTAAATATAAGTCAGTTTCTCTGAGTTCTGTGGGCAGCTCTAGCAAATTAATCAAACCTGAGGAGGGTGTCCTGGGAACCCTGATTTATAGCCAGTTGGTCAGAAGCACAGTAAAACAACCTGAAACAACCTGGGGCTTGGGACTGGCATCACAAGTGGGGAATTCTTGTGGGACTGACACTTCTTCAGGTAGACAGTGTCACATTTGAATTGGAGGACACCCCCCTGCAGAACTGGTTGCTTGCTTGATGTATGGGGAAAACTCCCACACATTTGGTGTCAGAAGTGTGTTGTGGGAGTGCAGTGGGAGAGCCTGAGCGTTTACCCCTGAATTCTCAAGAGCTCCCTTCTGGGACTGCCACTGAGGCTGCATATGATGAAAAAAGACCAGAGGGAACACAGCAAATTCCTGAATTTATTTGGATAGTGTGTGTTTTGTGTGTCTCTGTGTATGGGTGTGTGTATATCTGCGTCTATGTCTGTGTGGGTTGGTGTCCTGGGTGTGTGTTTCTGCACAGTTGTGTGTCGGGGCCTTGTGTGTGTGTGTCTT
This sequence comes from Homo sapiens, assembly GCF_000001405.40. Taxonomy (NCBI): domain Eukaryota; kingdom Metazoa; phylum Chordata; class Mammalia; order Primates; family Hominidae; genus Homo; species Homo sapiens. The sequence continues at coordinate 80,705,390 of NC_000008.11, forward strand.
GGTCCTTTGTGTATGTGTGTCTGTCTGTGTTTGTGTTCATGTGGGTTGATGTCCTGGGTGTGTGTCTCTCTCTGTGTGCACAGCTATGTGTGTCTGGGTCCTCTGTGTGTGTGTGTGCATGTGTATCTCTGCATTTGTATCTATGTGGGTTGGTGTCCTGTGTGTGTGTCTGTGTGTGTGTTTCGGTCCTGTGTGTATCCGTGTATGCATTTGTGTGTGTGTGTGTCAATCTCCGTGTCTGTGTGGGTCAGTGCTTCTGTGTGGACTTGGGTGTGCTCTGTGCATGGAGGAGGAGATGAGGGAGTGGGAGGTGGCTGTGCCGCAGACCCTGTCTCCTGCCCTGTCTCTGGCTGCCAGGGCAGCCAGCCTCTTTCTTCTAGCTCTCTGGGATGGCAAAGTCCTTGCTTGCTTCTTTGCACCCACTAAATATGAGCTTGCTACTCAGTCATGGCCAAAGAAAGGCTATCAAACTCTGGAAAGTGCTCTTGATTGTTGCAGGAAGCTGCTGGCTGGGCTGCATTTAGCTGGACTGCTGTCTGTCCAGGCTGTCAACCAGTCACTCCTGGAGTCCTGGGGAGCACCTCATCCAGCAGAGCCTGTCGTATGTGCAGGGGCGGCATGGCCCAGGCTAATGGGGTTGAAGTACCCTGTGTCATTTGGGAAGTCTGCAGGTTAACGATCCGCCTGGTAAATGTCACGATTATTCTCAAGAAGAAAACTAATCAAAGTTGCACCTCTCACTCTTACGTCTGTGTCCATTTTGAGTCATTCCAGGCTTACTGATGGGGTTAAGTATGTTATTGCTTGGAGCCTCAAATCCACTTAAGCCCCAATAATGTAAAGAACTTCCAGCTACATTTTCATGGTGATAGCAGTTATTTCATGAGGGCAATTAGGAGAAAACAAATCCAGCATTTTCTTATTTTACAATGCAAGAAAAATAAGGTGATTTTTTTCCCTAGTTTTTTTTTTAATAGAAAAAACAGATTTTAAAAAGACCAGACTTCTTATTTCTGCTGCTTCTCTTACCTGAAATAGTATCATCATTATGTTGGCAACAGACTGAAACATGGGCTAGAAGTGACAGTTGTAGCTATTTTACCTTTTTGTTTTTTCAAAGAGAGAAGACTCACATCATTCCTAACAGAGCCACCCATATTGGGCTCCCCAGGAGCAAGGGGGGATGTGTCTCCCCTCAGAGAGCAGCTGTGGAGCCATCCTAGCTTGTGTGCCACAAAGGCAGTGGGGCCTGGGCTCTGGGTAATGGCCTTGCCCTTCAGGAGCAGCTGCTCTACTTGGACAGAGAAATGAAAGACTCAAGTCAAGTGGGCTAATTTGCTGAGATGCTTTAGGCTGAGAGTTATTCAGAGTTTTTCATTGTAACTTTAAATTTTGGTTTATTTCACCTTCAGCCTGTCTGGGACCTGCCTGCAGATTTCAGCCACTTCTGGATACACCTGGGACAGGGCTGATACCTCCACTGTCTTACACTGTGAAGAGCGGGACAAACCGATGAGTGACAGACTACTGAATCAATCCCCTTTTAAGCTGCTTAAGTTCCAGATTTAGTTTTAAAGAGAAAAAAAATTGTCATCTTTTTAAAAAAACTGCATCTTCTTTCTCCTAATAGCTAATATTTATTGAGCATTCATGACACGTATACACTATTTTAAACTGCCACTGTGGGTTGATGTCACTCCCCCATTTTATAAACATGGAGACTTTGGTAACTTTCTAACAGTACTTGGCCAGTCAGCCAGGCCTGTGCTCTTCAGAGGCGCAATGGGGTCTTTATACTACACACTAATGCTGTTTGCATGACCATCCCTATCACTTTGTTTTTAATTTAAGACAAACATGTAATTTCCTATAATTGAAATATATATGTGAACTAAATGCAATTCCTTTTAGGTCATACATTTAAAATTATGTTATAATGAAAAGTATTTCCTTTATAATATAGAGGTGGGTCCACATTAATGAGAACATAATATATGGATTATAGGCCGACTACTCATTTAAAAAGAGTGTTTTGCTTTCAAAAGGATCTCTGTGGGTTTTCTTTAAATAGTATTCTTATAATATATCTAAAATGTTTTGAATAATTAAATTTCAATTCAACTCATATACTCAAACTCTAACCTCTACACTGACACCTGTTCTGTGTTATTAGGTTGAACCATATGAAATTGTGAGTCTTCATTAATCTTTTTGTCTATAAAAATGGCAATTTCATATGGTTCAGCCTGATATTTGTGCTAATTCAAATACTATTTATCTTTTGTTTCACAGGTCAGAAGTGAACCAGTTTATTCTCATTTAAATTCGATTGTTTCAATCAATGAGCCAGACAATGGTTCTCTTTTCTAGGGTGTGTATAGTCAATAGTTTTATTTCTGGAGCTGGCTTTTATTGAAGATAATCTTCAATACTATTAATTCAAGCAGGCCTCAATTCAGTAATACCTACCATGCACAAAATATTGCTTTACGCAGAATTCCTTGCTCCAAAGCTTGTCAGTGCTCTTCATAAGACACTTGGAGTGTCCAAATTTGGGGAAATGGGTGGAAGCACCTATGTTGCCGTCTGGAGGATTCTCATACACACATAACATTACTGGCTTTATTTCCTGTGTTCTTTTATTTATATTTTAATTGCATTACCAATATATGTTTCTGTCAGTTCATACAGCTCTTATTTGATGACTGATCAATTTGAACTTTCAATATAGGTATCCTGTCCCTAGAAAACGGTAATTCTGTCATTTAAAAATTTGTTCGTAATAGATCTAAGCACTATGAAATCAAATCTATTTATTGAATATCCACAGGCTGGACAATTGCACACCTAGATACGTATACTCCGTGCTCAAGGAACATGACTTCCCCAAACGAATAAGCAGAAGAATCTGATACAGCCAGAAACACAATGCAGAGTTTACCGCTGGGCATAACAGCAGATCAGTAACATGGCTGGGTGGCTACTGGCCAGGGCATATCCAGTTTCGTGTAATAGGAGGTGGATGAATACAGGTTAGTAATGCCAAACAGGGCTTAGGCAAAAGCCAAGTGAAGTCCACAGTCCAGAGAAAGCAAAGCATTTGCAGCTACTATTTAACATTTCTTCTGAAAACAATACACGTGGCTTCTAAGCCTAGGATGCTGGAATTAATATTTAATGTGGAAAGCATTGCTAAAAGTGATTGTATAGCTATCAGGTATAAATAATAATTTCCACCTCTGCTAATAATTTGTAGCTCATTTAGGTTGTCATACTTGTGTAGCAGCAGTTTATAGGCGCACTTACTGTAATAGCATGTTGATTCAACTATGTTGGAATTACTCATTCAATCTATCTTCCAGTTCTACACTATTATGAAGTTCTAAATATTTCGAATACTAATAGGCCTCTATTAGTCAACAGCTCAGTGGCTACCTATCTGTCTTCTTTCCTTTTTTTTTTTGTTTTGAATTATTAGGAAGGCTGATTAAAATCAACTTTCCACATACTTCAAGTGAACCCATGAGCTTATGATAAGGAGTTAGCAAGCACATAGACCACAGAACTGGGATTTACTTGGAATTTGATGGGAAAGTAAGCCAACTAAAAATTATTATAAAAATATAGAGAAAAAAGTGTTTTCAATATGACACATCACTAACATTAACATTTCTCTTCCTACTTGGTATGTTATTTCTATGAAGGTTCATCTACCATAGACAGAAATAAGCACGTGCTTTCCTTTGTAAGTAGGAAAAACTTCTAAAAGTTCAGGCCAGGTGTGGAGGCTCACGCCTGTAATCCCAGCACTTTGGGAGGCCGAGGAAGGCAGATCACGAGGTCAGGAGATCAAGATCATGCTGGCTAACACGGTGAAACCCCGTCTCTATTAAAAATACAAAAAATTAGCCGAGCATGGTGGCGGGCGCGTGTAGTCCCAGCTACTCAGGAGGCTGAGGCAGGAGAATGGCGTGAACCTGGGAGGCGGAGATTGCAATAAGCAGAGATGGCACCACTGCACTCCACCTTGGCAACAGTGCGAGACTCCATCTCAAAAAAAAAAAAAAAAAAAAAAAAAAAAAAAGCAGTAATGGCATGTCAGTTTGACTCTTCCAAGAAGCAGACACCAAGACAGGATCAGTTCTATAAGGGACTTACTGGGGAAGGTGCCTATGAAGGATGGTGGAGTGAGAGCCAGAGAAGGCAGGGAGAGCCAGCCAGACCACCAGGCAGGTTTGACCCCTGTGAGAAAGGCAGGATTGGGTGGGAAGAACTTTGGAGTAGTTCTAAGAAAGTGTCAGCCCGAGGCAATGGGGCATCCTGAGAAAAGGTTGCCCATTAGAGGGCTCCTGTGTCAGGTAGGATAGCCTGCTCTACCGTGCTAGGACCTTGGAGAGGAGCAGCCCCAGGGAGGATGGCCTCGGTGGCTGCCGTGGATCTGAAGCAGCAGCAGCAGGAGGCTGTCCACCACCATGCTCCCCACAGTAGCAGCTTCGCTTGTAAGATATCAGGGGTGTACTTCCATCCCCTCCACAAGTGCTATTTCCTTTTGGTGATTATGTAGTTTTGTCCCTAGGATCTCATATCTTTCAAACAAAGCTCCAAAATCCCTGGGCTAGACATCTTTGCCAGCTTCCCTGAGGACCAGTTGTCTGCTTATGTGCTTTTCCTACCCAGCCTGGGTGGCACTTGCTGTCATGGTAAAGGGGAAAAAGATGGTCAGGTTAAATAAAGCCTCTGGGGTGACCTTCCTACCTCCTATCTTCCAGAACTGTTTGAGAGTCACTCCAATATTTGCCCAAGAGTTACCCTTATTAACCTGTTTAGGTTACAGTCCTACCAGGTCAAACCCAGGGTATAATCAACCTCTTTAAATAAATCATAATAGTAAACATCATGCAGCATTCCCTATTTGTCAGCCACTGTTCAGCCTGTATATTCATTAACTCAGTTACTCCTCTTAAGTCTATGAGGTCAATATTACTCTCTTCATTTTTTTAGGGATGAGGAAACAGCCACAGAGAGGTAAAGTGAAGTAAGTGGTGGGGTTTGGATTTCCACCCAGGCAGCTGGCACTACAGTATGTATGTGTTACGACAGTGATTCTATCTCCACAATATTCATATGTTGAAGCCCTACCCCTCGACATGATAGTATTTGGAGATGAAGTCTTTGGGAGGTAGTTAGGTTTCGATGAGGTCATGAAGGTAGAGCCCCCAGGATAGCATTTGTGTCTTATAAGAAGAAGAGACACCAGAGCCTCCTCTCTCTACCGTGTGAGGACACAGCAAAAGGTAGCTATGTGCAAGCCAGGAAGAGGACCTTCAACCAAAAACTGAATCTGCCAGGACCTTGATCTTGGACTTCCCTGCCTCTAGAACTGTGAGAAATAAATGTTGTTTATGCCACAAGTCTGATATTTTGTTATAGTAGCCTGAGCAGACTAAGACAGCGGTTTTCTGTTTTTATTTTATATTTGCTTGCAATCAGCTTTCTTAGGTTGAATAAGACAACATTTTTATCCAGTATACTGGGGAGGGAGGTTGGTAAGAATTAGGCAAGTAGAGAGGGTACCAGGCATGTGAGCTGCAGTTTCGCATAGGGCTAATTCTTCCGGGAGACAGGAATACCAAAAGCTGGAGGCCAGCTTGGTAGCAGGAGGCCCACCTGGGTGAGCTTGGGGTATGCTGTGGCATTGCAAATAGGCACATGAATCTCAGGCCTAGGCTAACATAGCGTTTCCTGACACCATCCTATGGTGGTTCCTACTGTACTTCCAGCCATAATTGTTTCAACAGCTCTGTATGTTCTAGCCTTCTAGTGACAGACATCAGAGGCTCTAGCTAAGCAGTCATAGGGAAAATGGACACTGACAACAGTCCCAGTGGCAGTGATGATTCTGACAGTAGCAGCAGTGGCAACAGGAGTCAATAGTGGCAAATGGCAGCGGTCTCATGGATATTGGGGTTAGTGATGTTTTTGTCACATCCACTAAGAATAGAGAAACCCACTATGAATGGGAGGTCAGGGGTAAACTCTGTATCAGGAAAGGAAAATGTATAGATACATGCAAAAAAATTTTGTATATTATTTCAGTGGGTTAACAGATTCTTTGAAATTGATCCATAACCTCCAGCAGGTTAAAGACTCACTGCTTTAAAGAAACTTGAGGGAGTACCTGTGGAGTTCAAAATATATAACCTGTCTTTAAAGGTCCTGTGATAAAGGACAGAACACCAGTGTGACTGTTTTATAAGGTTTTCCAGGGGATACGAGAAACTACCAACTACTGAGGCTCAGATTTTTTACTTTTTATGCTGGAGAAATTAAAAGGGTGGGGCCACAAAACACTAAGTGAACTACATGACTTCCATAAAAGCAAATTATGTCTGATTCATCTATTATAATTTTGAGGATGTAAATATGCATGTGGGAAAAGGGGAAGCAGTGAAGGTAATGGCTCACAGCACCCACTGTCTCTATCGATGCATAACTATAGTATCTAGCAGGACAGACCACAAACAACACCCAAAGCAATTCAAATTGTGAAAAGTAGTACATTGAAGGTAATCTCTTTAGTCTTTAAAAATGCCCTTAACAAATGCTCTGCTATGGTTTGAATTTGCTCCCCACAAAGTCCACGTGTTGGAAACTTAATCCCCAATGCAACAATGTTCGGAGGTGAGACCTTTAAGAGGTGTTTGGGTCATGAGGGCTCAGCCCTCAGGAATGGATTAATGCTGTTATTGTGAGAGTGGGTTAGTTATCCCAGGAGTGGGTTCCTGAGGAAAAGGACGAGTTTGGCCCTACTACCTCCCTCTCTTGTGTACTCTCTAACCATGTGATGCCTTCCGGCACTTTATGACACAGCAACAAGGCCCTCACCAGATACAGCCCCTCCATCTTGGACTTCCCAGCCTCCAAAACTGTAAGCCAAATAAAATTCTATTGTTTGTAAATACCCAGGTATTCTGTTATAGCAATATAAACCAGACAAAGATAGGCTCAATCTTATAGACTATTTTTTTTAAAAAGGGAATTAGCATGAAATTGAAGGAAACTTTCATAGAGAACCAGTTTAGAGACGGAGGGAAAGTGGAAATGAATGGGCACATCTCCCCAGAGACATGTCAAAAACTGAGTTCCTGTAGAACTGCTGCTTAGGATCATTTTATAAATGTTCTGGAGCAGGGCACAGGAAAATGTTTGGATCTGTTGATGATCCTGACTTCTCACCTGATGAGGATAGATTTCAGAAGATATTTTAAGATTATACTAAATGGATAGTATGTTGGTGTGTTTTAATGTGGGAAAATGTGAGGTAATGAATAAAAAAAAAAGTATCACCAGTGAGCCGAGATCGTGCCATTGCACTCCAGCCTGGGCAACAAGAGTGAAACTCTGTGTCAAAAAACAGAAAAAAAAGAAATTAGCTCTTTAATCCATTTTGAGTTAATTTTTGTAGATGGTTGAAGTAGGGGTTTTTTTGTTTGTTTGTTTGTTTTGGTTTGGTTTGGTTTTTTGAGACAGAATTTTGCTCTTGTTACCCAGGCTGGAGTGCAATGGCATGACCTCGGCTCACCGCAATGTTCACCTCCGAGGTTCAAGGGATTCTCCTGCCTCAGCCTCCTGAGTAGCTGGGATTACAGGCACCCACCACCATGCCCGGCTAATTTTTTATATTTTCAGTAGAGATGAGGTTTCACCATTTTGGTCAGGCTGGTCTCCAACTCCTGATCTCAGGTGATTCACTCGCCTCGGCATCATTTAAAAAATTAAATGACGTTAAAAAGACAATTCTTGAATTGTTTTGTCACCCTTGTTCACAATCAGTTGACTGTAATGGGAAACTCACTTCTAGTAATGATGTTGGATATTTGTTTTTCATACTGTTGACGTGTTACTGAGTTTATTGCCACCTAAATCCCCTAAGTGTTTCATAGGTGTTGCTGTTAAACCAAGTCTCCCCATCTTGCCCTTGTGCAGGTGGTAACTGCGGCTCGAATTATAGATTTCATCTTTATTCCTCTTAAATGTCACCTTTTCAGTTCAGCTGGTCATTCCACTAAGTTGGGAACTTTAGGATGTGGAGTCTGATGTCTTTTCCACGTTTGTATCATCTACATCTTCAGTTTTTCTTATCAGTCATAAAATATTTGATAAAATTCGTATCAGGCAACTTGAACTAAGTATTCATGAATAAGACAAGGCACCTGCCGTATGGAGGAAGCAGGGAGAAGAGAGATAATGCAGAAGTAAACTAATGAGCAAGATAACTTCAAATGGTGAGCTTCTTCAGCCACAGGTCATTCAGGGGAATCCCCTTAATCTACACATTTCTTTTTATAGCAATTATTTCTTCGCTGTCATCTTAGAAGCTGGCTGTGTCTAAATGTCATTGTTTAAGATTGATTTCAGCAAAGTGCTTCACTCTGAAATTGACCCTCCTTGTATCTGATGCTGACATCGAGTAGAATATCCTCTTCAGCACCCCTCAGGCATGCACTACAGGGATGGGTTGTTTTGGGTTCTAGAAGAATACACTGCAATCCTAAAATGATTACTTTAACTTGATACGTTACACAGGGCATGCTAACACTGCTGCTACTTTTTCCTGTATACTTAATACCAGCTGTCTTGGGTGTTGGTCCACATTCTTTTACCATCAGCTGCAGCATTATACACATGCTCTCCTTCTCCGTAACAAGCGCGATCTTGCAGAGAATTTGTAGAGCCAAATCAGAGTAACAGTTGACTTAGCAGGAAGTCCTACTGAGGCCAAGGGAAATGAAATGTACCAGAGGAAAAACCTTTTCCTGACTCTTGATCATCTCTTGAGATGAAAGTCTATCAATACTGATGAAAAGCAGCTGTATCCCTAGAGCTGAACACAATGCCTGACATGTAGCATCCAACAAATATTTGTTGAACGAAATGAAAGAATGAAAAATTCTGCACTATTCAAAAGTTTTGCCTCTTCTGAAGATTCTTGTAGTCATGAGACTCTTTTTCGAAAGTTCATTTGAGTATCAAACCTTCCTTTTTTTGTCTGATTTTGTTTTTAATTCCTTCTTGATCAATAAACCATTGACTACTACCAAGGCTCTGAGGTGGTATTAGAAACCTCCAGGAAGCTCTTGGTACCTCTAGGCAAGCATGAATCATTACATGGCATTACTGAATACTCTAATGATCTCCTCCTCCGGCCTCCTTTGTGTGCCTTTGATCTTTTCCTTCCTAGCTTCACATATTTACATTGGCAGTTTTCCTCAAGAAAAGATAGCTCAAAAATTGAATTTCTCTTAGCGACCATTAGTTTCTATTTGACTGATAAGTCACCTTCTAAGTGCAATTTTAGGTAACACACTGGTCCCATTTTAAGTCACATGGCGGCGGTAAGTTGGGGAGAGGGTGGCAAGAGGCAGGTAGGGCCAGGATTGTGATCTTTCAGTATAAATATTTTGTTTGGCACAAAATCACTCTATCACCACTAGTCTTTCTTTTCTGCCATTTTGCCTCCATGCATACAAGCAGAAGTCAGATTTAATATTCATCAATTCAACTGATTCCATGGAAACAATAGTGATTTCTAAGATTAAAAAGAATTATGGATCCATACTGATCACATTTCTTGGCTGCAAAAACCAAAACTCTGACCCATCAAATTAAATTACTCATTAAAATACAGGCCAAATAACTATACTCTGCATTCAGGTACTGATATCTATCAGATGGGACAGGGAATGAAATAATATTGCAAAAAAATAATTCACTTCCCCGTTTTCATGAGCAGAAATACAGGATGCATTTTCGGACACTATTAATGTATAAGCCCACACAAAATGTGAATTAAATTATTGCCCTTGTCCTTTGTTTTCAATGTAACACTACCTGAAATGGATGTATTTGCTGCTTCCCAAAGTGAACGTTTTATTCTTTTTCTTCTGAGAAAGATACTGAGATTCAACAGGGGGCTCCACAAGCCTCAGAGCAGGTTCCAGAGAGCTCAGTGCTTTGGGACAATATTCCCTGGCAGCAACTTATTTATGGCAGTGGTTTTGCTATTTGGATTGGACTGGCATATTCCTAAGCCCTCTGTATTGTGTCTTCCAATTTCTGTTTTGGGGATGTGAAGCTACGTGGGAGCATGAGGCCCAAGGAAGTGGGTGGGGCCAGAGGTTCCCTATTCTACTGCCCAGTCTTGCTTGTAAGATTGGTCTGATCCTGCATGTCTCAAAACTTCTTGCACATTAGACTCCTTTGGAGAACTTTAAAATATAACACAGATGCTCAGCTTCAACCCAGACTAATTAAATTAGAATCTCTGGGAGTGGGGCTGGGGCACTGATATTTTGAAAACTCTCCAGGAGACTCTAATACAAAGTCAGATTAAGAATTATTGAGTCTGGGCTGGGCGCCGTGGCTCATGCCTGCAATCCTAGCACTTTGGAAGGCCGAGGCAGGTGGATCACCTGAGGTCAGGAGTTTGAGACCAGCCTGGGCAACATGGTGAAACCCCATCTCTACTAAAAATACAAAAATTAGTTGGGCATGGTGGCTCATGCCTGTAATCCCAGCTACTTGAGAGGCTGAGGCACAAGAATCACTTGAACCTGGGAGGCAGAGGTTGCAGTGAGCTGAGATTGTGTCACTGCACTCCAGCCTGGGCGACAAAGTGAGACTCTGTCTCGAAAAAAAAAAAAAAGAATTATTGAGTCTGATTTAGAGATGAACAGATGGATCCCTCCTGACTCCTGTTCTACCAACACCTTTGGAGGGGCTCCCTTAACATTATCTAACTGCCTTCATCCTTCATCATAGACACCACGTACAGGAGCATTAAATCAAGTCATATGACATATTGGAATTATGGGAGTTAACTTCAAAGGCCTTGGTGCTCACAGGTCAAGAAACATTTGAATTTTCTCCAACACTTAGCAGGATCAATCTTCTGCCCAGCCTGCTTTCTAAAGCACTTCTTTCTCTTGATAGGGTCAAAGGAAATCAGGTCACTTAAACAGAAATCAGCAACTCACAAAAGGAATCATAGTTCATCTGTGACCCTCTATCCTTGGATCGTCCCAAGACATCTCTTAGCCTTCTAGCACCTGGAGCCCAAGTCATTTAAAAGACATTTACCATTCCTAAACATTATAACTGATACTGACTGTGCATAGGAAGCTTATGATGTCAGGATCTGATCTACAGAAAGTTTTTGGATAGATGTCTAATTGCATGTTCAGAAAACTTCTAATACATGTTAAGTCCTTTAAACTGTTTTTGTTCATAACTTAGCAAGTTCAAGCAAAATAGTTCCATTTTTGGCACTGGTCTCTGTTCTCTATCTTTGGGATTGCACGTCTGTTCCTAAAATCTGAAAACAAGAACTCAAGAATCTATTCAGACTGGGATTATACTATTCATCAGTTTTAACCTACTGAAGGAGCTTTATATTAAATTCTACATGGAGGGCATATGCTGTCAGAAACAATACCTAAGTGCTGCTCAGCAAGATTTGTTACTTGCTGCTATTCACTGTCAGCTTCCTCTGTAGGTTTGGTTTATCTGCCTCAGGGAAAGCTAAGAAAGGCCAATTAAAACACTGCTTAAACTTTATCACACTTCCATTTTTAAGTTGCAAAGGCACTCTATACTCTTTAAATAGCTCCAGTATTTAAAGCCTCTCTGACACTTTTAGCTAATGTAAAACCTTGGCAGGGAAAGATTTAAGTAGAAAATACATGTGTGAAATGTCTTAAATCCAACTGTAGTCCACCCATCACTTCATGGTCATTGCATCAACAGCAGGGCTGTTATGTACCACTGTGAGATGTTCAACTCTCTGGTTGCTCTGCCACACCACCATTCACACATGCAGTACCACTTACTCATTTTATAATTTCTTCTGTAAATATTCACTGGTTCCTACTATGTGCAAGTTCATGCCAGGCACTGAGGATGCAGCGAGCTGCATTCCTGAAGCTTATATTTTAGAAGGATAAAATGGGGCAAACAGAGACTCTGCAGACTGCAAAACTGGGTTGAAGTTCTGTTTTTCTACTTATTCCGTAACTCAATTTTCTCAACTACAAATGGAAATAGTAATACCTGCTTCCTAGGGCGTTGTGAGATTCGAGAGAGAATGTGCACAAAAACCTTTGCTGCCTCCCTCTTCCTCTTTGCCAATCTGAACTCTAGGTTCTTTTGCTTCTGTTTCTGCAAGTTCTTGCCAATGCATTCCCTGCTTTTTAAGTCCCCTTTCCTAGGTTCTGTCCTCTTGTTGGGATTATTACCAGTTGGCTAGCTGGTCTACCACTAGTTTTTTTCTCCTTTTTTACTTTAATCAATTCTTCAAACTGCCTCCTAGTGATCTTGTTGAAATGTAGCTCTCATCATGACACTGCTCCCTTTATAAACTAAATCTTTGATGACTCTATATTACTTACTGAATGAAAGCTAAACCTCTTAGCATGCCATTCGAGGCCATTCATCAGCTAATTCCCATCTAGAACTGTCTCCTTCTCTCTCACATATTTACAGAGCTGAACTTGCATACAAATGTGTTAGTGTGCAAAGGTGCATTTTTCTAGGTTAAGGCTTCAGAGCATTCAACGAATTCTCAAATGAACCCAAAATGCTTAAAACCTGCTAAGCTGTGCCTTCCTCGTTTTTGTCTCCACCTTCCAATGATCCCGTGCTCTAGGGTTTTAGCTACTCCATAAGATTTTTCATCATTTTATTAAAGTCAGTATGGTTTATGATTTTCTTTGTGGTACTCACTCTATCTAGAATGTCCAAACCCCCAGCTTGGCTTATTGAAATTCTGCTTTCTCTTCAAGGTTATCTCAAATGCCATGTTCTCCAGAAAGTAACACTGATATCCTCCATCAAAATTAATTAATCTCTATATCATGCCCCCTAATGCTTTGAACTTTTATTATCTTACTGTGGAAGGCTAAATCATTCTTCTCTGTTTCTCACTCCTCCCTGTCTCCATCCCCTTTATCAGCTAACATTGTAGTTTCTCCCTCTAGAGGTAGAGTATTCTTCCTCACCAGTTGTTGTTGGGGTTGGCTAGGGACTTGCTTCAGCCCGTAAAATTGGACAGACAGGATGGTGTGCCTGTTCTGAATCTAGGCTTCATGGAGCATCACATGTTTCTGTTTGCCCCTCTTGCACTTCTGCCATTGTTATGAGAAGAACACGCCTGGGCTGGCTTGCTGATCCAAGGCAGATGAGAGTCATGAGGAGTGAACCTAAACCCAAACTGCAGTTTGAAGCCCAGACCTGCCAAGTCCAGTCTAGATCAACCCACCCCCAAACAACCTGCTAATTAATAAATAAGTACGTAACTGAGGTTTTAATCCATTAAGTCGGGGGTGGCTTGCTACTCAGCATTATTATGCCAACAGCTGATACAATTTTTGTACAGTTTTGTATTTTAGTTTTCCAAGTACAGTACACATCTATTCCTCTTCCCCACATGTAAAGTTCTGGTTGGCAATAACCCGTTGTCCTCATCTTTGTGTTCTTCAGTGACTTAGTCCATTTCTTGCACAGAGTGAGCACTCTACATTTTTTTTCTTTTTTTTTGAGACAGGGTCTCACTCTGTTGTCCAGGCTGGAGTGCAGTGGCATGATCATGGCTTGCACTGCAGCCTCTACCTCCCAGGCTCGATCAATTCTCCACCTCAGCCTCCCTAGTAGTTGGGACTACAGGTACGTGCCACCATGACCAGCTAATTTTTTAAATTTTTTAATTTTTTTGTAGAGATGGGGTTTTGCCATGTTGCCCAGGCTGCTCTCAAACTCCTGGGCTTAAATGATCCTCCCAAAATGCTGGGATTACAGGTGTGAGCCACTGCTCCTGGCCATCTATACATTTTTGTTGGTTTCAATTGGATAATGAACAATTTACTGAGGTTTAAAATAAACAGAGGAAGTCATTAGTGACATCTTGATTATCATCAAAGACTACCTAGTGGGCTTCATGTGGTGGTACCAAAATAGTTTGACAAACTTCCATGAAATGCTTCCAGAAAAGATCAAAGTAACAATAACTACTATTAGTATACAAATAACTGTTAGTTACTAGGGCAATAATGGCAGGGTGGCCCTTTTCAAAATGTGCACCGGTCAATTATCACAAAGCTTTAAGGAGCCAGGACAAAGGAGCTGCTACTCTATTGTAAGCAGCAGATTTGGGGTCTTGCACATGTACTCAGAAGGGCTTCTTGCTCCCATAAATCTTCTGTGGGGGCATTTTCTGCCTTTTCACTATGAATTTTAGTAAATTCATGGATGTTTCACACAGATGCTTGTCACTGTTTTTAGGAAATGTGTTAGGAGCTGAGGGATGGGAGAAAGCAGGTCACTGCTGCAGCTGGCAGAAGCAAGTTACTGAGCACAAGAGAAATGAGCACACTCCAGGCTGAGAACTGAATCTGCCTTCCAGCTCCGAACTGGTTTCCACATAATGGATGTGATCTTGGGAAATCATTCAGCTTACTTGAAATGGAAAGTACCGAGATTGATGGAATGTAGTCACTGGTCTAATATTCTATACACGTTGTCTCATTTCCTCCTCACAATAACACCACGAGAAAAGTGAAGAGCTTTAAAGATGTTAATTTGTCCAAGGTCACACAGCTATTAAATGGCAAAGCCAGGATTTAAATTCGAGTCTGTCTGCCTGCCTCTAAAATCCACGCATTTCCCAGGACACTGCTTCCCACTGCATTCCCCCTGCTGTGTGCCCCCATCACCCAGATGTGACTCCTTGGACATCAGCCTCAGTCCATGTGGCATCTGAGGTTGACAAGCTCCCTTGTACGGAGATTTATATCTCTGCCCATCTCCTTTGGAAGTCATCCCTAAGGCTTTTAGCCAGAGCCACCAAGCCACTTCTGCTTTCTTTTTCTTTTCCTACCTGTTCTCAAAGTTTCACAGCCAAGGTCATGCAGGTTATAAGAGGATTTCTGAACTTTCTTCTCATAATGTTTATATATAGGCAATGCTAAAATATGAGGTAAATTTCAAGACTAGTTTATGCAACAGTCTCTGTTTTGTAGCCACAGGAACTTCCTATATATACTAATAGCACTTTCTGTATTAGTCTAGAAAGTTCTATTTGAATAACTCAGCAATAGAGATGGCTAACTATCTGGGTAAGGAAAGGAATTGTTCTTCTGCTGCCCATGGCCCTTTTTTTGTTCTAAGCCACAGCAGCAGCAAGAGCTGTCAAAACCATGGATGGGTGGGCTACAGGAAACCAACAGAAATCTCCTCTCATTCCCCACGAGGGTAAAGAAGGAAATACCACAAAGAACTGTATTCCCACAGCCCTCACCTCATCTCAGAGGGAAAACTCAGAAGCGGACCAAAGCCCCATAGTCAGCTACAGCCACTTGGAAGCTTAAATGCAACTGCCCATTGGTTAGTCTCACCAATCTCAGTCATGCAGCCAGTCACCCAGGGAGCTCATGAAGTCACTCAGCCAACAGGCAGCCTGCCATGCCTGGGCCAGGCAGGGGCCAGGGACTTAGCACAAAGGCTGAGTTTTCAATGGCTCATCAATGGGGCCCGCAGAGTAGCACAACCGCCAGGGTCCCATTCGCATTGTGTGACCACCACCCTTCTTGTATCACTTATCTCACCGTACTTTGATTGTGGGTCAATTGCTTACACCCTCTTCTAGCCTATAGGATCTGTGAGGGAGGAAGCACATTCTCCTTTGCTCAGCACTGTCTCCTATGCTCACTGCTCTGCCTTCAGAGTCTAATAGAGAGTATGAACTGTAGTAGATGTTTGAACAGAGATTTGCAATTTAAATGTTAAATCTGGATAAAGCTGAATTTATTTTGGAATGATGTGGTAACTTTAAGGAAATAGAGGAGAGAGCTTGAGATTCCTTTATAATAAAAAGGAAGAAAAATGCAGATGTTCATGGTCTGAACATCTTAGATACGTGAAATGCAAACTGGGAGTTGTGGAAGGAGTGAGTGGCAGCTGGGTAGGAGAGAACATAAGTAGTCCTAGATGTTTTGCATTCGAAGTTTCACAAGAGTTTAATTAAAATATATTGATATTTATATTGTTAATCTTACTCTGCAGTATGCCTAAAGGTATTCTGAGAATTGTTTTTCAAAGGCATAATGAAATCAGAGAAATATGTAAAATTTGGTTAAAATTTTCAATTGGTTGAAAATCTGCTCAGAGTTCCTTAAAACTTTTTAATATCCACTTCCACCATATACAAAATGATTTATTATGCATTTGTAACCAAATTGACTAGGCAGTTTTTGGATGTTCTACATCATTCCTGGCTCATAGTTTATAAAACTGTTACTATTATTATTTAACACTTATAGTCCAGTGGAAGAACTGTAGTACACATGCTTGGTCAGTTAACCAAAAAAGCTATTAAAGAGGAAAACCATAAAAATGTTACATATATGGACTTTACACATTTTATTTTTAACTCAAAATTTAAATGTAATCTAGGCTAAGGTTTTAGAGGAGAGGCTTACTTATTAAGAACATAGACTCCAAAGAAAGACTGCCTTGGCCAGGCGCTGTGGCTCACACCTATAATCCCAGCACTTTGGGAGGCAGAGGTAGAAGGATGGCTTGAATCCAGGAGTTCAAGACCAGCCTGTGCAACATGGCAAGACCCTGTCTCTACAATAAATACAAAAAAACGTAGCTGGGAGTGGTGGCACATGCCTGTAGTCCCAGCTACTCTGGAGGCTGAGGAAGGAGGATTGCCTGAGTCTGGGAGACAGAGGTTTCAGTGAGCCAAGATGAGGCTACCACACTCCAGCCTGGCTGACAGAGTGAGACCCTGTCCCCACTCCAAAAAAACAAAACAAAACAAAACAAACAAACAAACAAAAAACGACTGCCTGTTTGTTTCTCTTATTAGCTACGTAATCTCAGGCAGATTACATTTTCTGTACCTCAATTTCCTCATCTGTAAAACAGGGATGAAAAGATATTTACCTCACAGGGCTGTCATGAAGATTAACGAATACAAACAAATTAATCAGGCCAGGTCCTGGCACATGGTCACCTCTCAATAAGTGTAAGTTATCACTGCATAAATCATGAAATATAGAAAATATTTAGTTGTGATTTAAAGTGAAACAAGAATTTAAAGTTATTTAAAAGCAAAAGAAGTACATAATCCTTTACATTTAAAAAATATTTTCCATCTTTTGTAGTGTTTGCAGCACCTAGTTTGTCATCAATTTTAAAAGCAACTCAGCTTTTTTAAAGCAATCAACTTAGTTTTTATAGAAATAATGCATTTTTAGACTCCTCAACTTCTATGTACACTCTCTACTGTGTTCTCTCTCCTACAAGTGATCGGAGAATATATTTACTGTTGGGAAGAGTGGGTTCTCTTTGTCAGCATCCCAAACCACTCTCTCCCACTTTAAGAAAAAAGGCACCCTTTATCTGTCTTCCTGTGAATTGCCTCAGGAAGGAAAGCCCTCCAGGGTGGCAATCAAGGTGTCAATTAGGAAGATCAGTGTTGGTGTAGCAAACAGTGAATGACCCTAAGTATCGAATAAAAACAATTCTTTTGCATGTGGTTTCCAATTCTTTGGTTTCAAGAAAATTGAAAGATAACCTAGAAATAATATTTGAAGATACAGTACTATGTCATATTTGACATGCTCTTGTGAAACCAGTTCAAATAACTGAATGATACTAATAACAAAACTACAAAGTTTTCTTCCCATTAAAAAGGGAATAAAATTAAAGCTGAATAGTGTCATTCCAGTAATATATAATATTTATCAAAAGATAAATGAATTTTAAAAGCTCCTCAATCTCATTAAGTCATGGTTTTAAGACAATTTTATTTTTTGTATTCACTTCTTCATCAGACTTTTAATTAATACATGTTGTGTTGATCAAATATCCACTACTAGTAACTGTAAGTATAACTCATACCAGAAAAAAACGTTAAACCGTCAGGATTATATAGTCAAAGGAAATGCAAAGTATTTTAACTGAAATTTACAAATGTGTTTTAGAGAAGTATGTGATTGGTAAAAAAACATTGAAATCATAAATAGGATAAAGTTCTGCGGAGAAAGTGAAATGGAAAATGAGTTAAAACAAAAAGAAACAAGTAAAATTTCTGCCAGTTAAAAAAGAGCTTATTTGTGTATTTTTAAAAATGGATGATGGTGAGAATCAAATCTCTATGGTATTTAGATTCCACTGGATAACCTTAAAAGTAATACTATATTTTTTTAGTTAAAATATCAATATTACATCCTTTTCAACTATTTAGACCTAAAATGTAAAAATCTAAGATGTCAACTTTAAAATGCGAGAGGGTACATGGTTTTCAAAATCCTTGCAGAGGATTCATGAGCAAAAAGTTTGAAGACCACCAATCTAGAACAGCCTGTCAGCTGTTAATTTTGGGCAACAGAATGGAAAACACTGGTTAATCCAGGGAGCCGACTGATAGATGTTCAACTGTTCCAACATTTCAAATGACCTTTAGCACTATTAGTTAGTTGTTAATGAGGGAAATGCTATTTGGTGGTGGCTCACACTGATTCTCATCAGCTTTTACACTTTCTAAAACCATTACAAGCCTTTTAGGTGGAACTGTATTATATTTACGCAAGTAATGTATACAAAAATGGTGTTGTTTTGAAGATTCTTAGATGGGATTACTTTTTCATAGTATGTCATCATCAATAATTATCTGGTGATGCTGGGACTTTTGTGATATTTTTTCTTCTATGCAATTCAAAGTACTTTCTCCATTATATTCAATTAGTCTTTAACAAATTCTGATGAAATATGTAGGAGGTAGTTTGACAGAGGTTAAGTGATACTCCTTTAGGGAGTCAAAGATGGTGTCAATAATAAATCAAATAAAACCCATGACTCTTCCTATCTATAAAAACATTCTGGATGCAGAACAGCAAGGTCATGTTAATAACTCAAAGTTTCTTCTTTAAAGCTCATGCTGGGTTTAAGCTCATCCAACCATATACCTTTTCTTTAGTTCACTTATGACAAATATATATCTGCGAACTGGCATTTCCCAAGCCCCTGTCTATTTTAATTGTATACACTATTCCTGGCATGTCTTTAACTCTCGATACTCACGGATGATTCCCCCAAATGTCTCTCCAGTCCAGACCTTCTAAAACTGTACTCCTGCCTGCCATTAATGAAACCTTCACTAAATGGTTGTAGAAGCCAGAAACTTAGGAGTTGTCAGGCTTCGTTCCCCTTCTTTCCTCCTTATACCCGACTGAACCCAAGTTCTACTGATTTTACTTCAACAAATCCCTAAAATCCTTCTCCATTCTGATTTTTCACCACCACTGCCTAATTCAGGCACTCATTGTCTCTCTGCCGAGTCCTTCCCCTCAAAACGATAACCCCTTAACTGATTTCCCTGCCCTAGTCTCTGCTCCATTCATTCTGCGCCCCACAATGCCGTTCAAGCAGTCTCTTCAGAAGTTAAATAAAATCATGCCATTCCAGGTCTGAACAATTTCCAGTGGCTCTCCACTGTTTATCATTTAAAGGCAGATTTCTAAGTGTGGTTTATAAAGTGTTTATGACCTACTCTCTATCTACTTTTAGAGCAACACCTCCTACCCCTTCACCAAAGTGCAAATGCTAAATCCTAGGACTTGAAGAATAAGACATAGTGTTTGTGTTACAAAGTGGTAGGGAGACACATACATATCACTATGAAATGTTAGGGCACTTAAATATTTTATTAGAGGTTCCAGCAAAGTACTGTGGTAGGAGGGCAGAAGGAGTATAGTGGGGAAGGCTTTCTGGAAAAAAGGCCAGTCCTTGAAGGGTTTCCTTAGGTTAAATTGTCAGATAAAACCCAGGACTTCCAATTAAATTTTCATCTCAGATAAATAACAAACAAAATTTTTGTATAAGTATATCCCATACAATATTGGAACATAAACAATGACCATAGATTTTTAGTTTATGTTAAATTCAATTTTCAGTGGGCCTCCTGTATTTTTATTTACTTAATACAGCAGCCCTACATCACGTATATGGAATTAAGAACAAGAAGAACATGGACACGAAAACACAAAGATTATGCCAAATTGTCTAATGCATTTGGAGTCTCAGATACATAGGGGATGGGGAAAAGAGGAAGTTATGGGAGACGATGCTGGAAAAGTAATGAGGGCCCCAGCAGAGAGGCTTCTGAATGACCTTGATTTGTCCAAGATGATGATGTCATCCTGCAAACTTAGAGTCAGCAATGAAACAGAGACAATATCCTTCATGAAAAATAGACTGTACATATAAGTTTTTGTGGACCTAGCTCATGTCTCCCTGGGGGCTTACTGTTAACAATGCTTATATGAATTCTAAACACATCTGGAGCCATACAGAGCTTGCCCTTAAATGGAGAGAGATGTATTTTCTAAAAATTAAATATATACATTTAAGCAGGAACAGCTTAAAAGTAAAAGAAATTTCTTTTAAAAAGGAAATAGTGAACATTAAATATTTTTCTAAACAAATGTCTAATGTAGGTAGTGAGTAACACACATTAAATCTAAGATGAAACAAGCTAATTAATGTCTACAATAGGGAAAGAGTCAATAAATTATGGTCTTGTTTATATACCGTGTTGATTTAAATAAGATTTTAAGTCGTATGTTTAGATACAGAGCATATCAAAATATTGGCCATCTGACTTACAGATATAAAATTAATAATTATAAAATTAATACATATTTATTAGTTACTTTAACCAGTACAGAACCTCTTACTTTAAAACAAATTATTCAGATTAACAATGATAAAAATAAATTTGCAATTTTTTTCTTACTGCATAAATATCAACACATGTGTTTTTTAATCAGTTTGAAATTCAGCTCTGTAAAAGCAAGAATTTACGACATATTTAGAAATTCCTTTTTTAAAAAATTTAAGCAATGAGGAATATTTTCTATGATTTTTTGAAGGTGTAAAAAGACACTTTTCAGCTACAGGGGAGATTTGAAGATGAACTGGACATTGGATATTAATAATGAAGAACTATTTTAATGTTGTGAGGTGTCAGAATAACTGTGGTTAAGTTAAAAATAACATCCTTTTCTGTTGGAGGTACATACTCAAAAGATTATGGGTGCAATGATATAATGTCTGGGATTTGCTCTTAAAATACTCCACCTTGAAAAAAAGGGTGGAGACAGTAGATGAAACAAAGTTGCCAAAATGTTGATAATTACTGAACTGGGATGATGGACATACAGGGAGTTCAATATTGATCCTATTTCAGTGTATGTTTAAAAATTTCCGTAACAACAGGTAAAAACAAAACAGGCCTTTTTCATGAGAGAATAATTTCCTTGAAAGTACATCATCTAATGCCTTTACATCTTCCAATTCATGTTAAAAATACACACACACATGCACACACACACACACACACACACAGACACACACAGTTTCCTATAATGGTTAATAAAGCAGTTATGCATCTGTATATTATTAATGATCACTCATTTATTGAGTACATTCTATGGACCAGGCACTGTTCTTAAAGATTACCATGTAATAGTCATTTAATGTTTGCAATAATCTTTTGATCTAGGATTGATTATTATCCCCATTTTACAGATGGAGAAACTGAGGCCTGGAGCAGCAACACAATTCCATCATAATGATAGTACATATATCTGTGTTGGAATACAAACTTAGGTTGCCTGACTTTAACCACAACCTATACTGCCAGGTAGAATAGCAAGAGATTAAATAAAGATACTCACAATACATATTATAATGAAAAGAATGTGGGAAATCGCACACATTTCTCCCTTGCTATAGCCATGTGGCTCAGGGCCAGACTTACGATCGGCTCAGACCCAGCATCGGTTCAGTCATAGATCAAGTTGTTGTTTTAAGTGGAAGAGGGGAAAGATTCTGCTCTCAGACAAAGAAGGAGATGCAAAAGAAACAACAGAAGTCTCTTCTCAGTGACAACAGCAGTTCTGCAACTGGTTTTTGTTTTTGTTTTTTTTTTTCGTTTTTAAAAATAATACAAAATAACCAAAACGCACAGTTTGCTTTTTTTGTGCCTTCTGATGCCTGGTTATATTTTGCAAGAGTTCGCCTTCGGGTTTTAAATAATTCATCATGCAGTGGCTCTTGTTTGGCGCAGGCAGGCAGGGGGTGGATGGAGCGGGTAACGAGGGAGAGGCGAGCTTGGAGGACGCACATCATACAAGTGAGGAACTGGCACAGCTGCAGCCTCATGAGACCCCGCCCCGATGAGCTCATCCCTTGGCAGTGCAAATTAGGATGACATAATATTTCTGGAGAGCTCCTTCCAGCCCACTGCAGCAGGAGAGCTCTTGCTTTTCCTGAGCATAGGAAAAATTAGCATCGGTATTTCTAGCTGTTCCTGAGGAAATGGCATTTTATTCAAGGGTGTCGTGGGAAACATAACACATTGCCTGCATTAGTATCAGCTCCTGAGCAAGAGGAAAGCAGAGCTTATCAGTAAATAAGTCACTGATTGCTGCACTTACCAAACTACAAAGGTAACCAGCATTCTTCAAAAATAGGGTCCAATTACAAGGGCATGAGTTACAGTCTGTGTGATTCTTCAAAATTTTTTAGCTCAAGAGTATAAAAAACACCACAGCAATAATATTAAATAATATAGTAATCATTATCATTTATTTAGCTCTTGTTTTATGCTAGAAACTATGCTAAATGTTTTATATATTTTATCTAATTTAATCCAAATTATAACCCTACAAAGTAGTCATTGCCACCTCCACACATATACACACTTTACAAATTAGGAAACTGAGGGCCAGAGAGGTAGGGAATTTGCCTCAGGTCAGAGCTGTGGGCCCAAAGCCTGCACTCTTGATTACTATGCTATGTTTCTCTACAGGCCACAATACAGCTCTTGTGGATGCATGGCAATGTTTAATAACTCAAAATAAAATGTAGAACTCAAACTTCTTGTTTTGGCCAAGAAACCACAGATGATCAAACCTAGAATATCTTCCACGCCTGGCATTTCTCACTGCATTAGACATGCAATTTTGTAAAGGAGGTGGGGGAGAGTAGTATTTCTTAAGGGCACCCCATGAGTTAGGCATTTCGTAAGGCAAATTACATGCCTCAATCATTTAACACTGTAACTGTTCCATGTTGTATTTATTATTATTATCCCTAATTTATAGGTGACAAAAACCAAAGAAGTGAAGTAACTTGTTTAAAGGCACAGAGTAATTGGGTCTGGGGTTTGCAGCCAGGTCTGTTTATTTCTGAAGCAACATGCTATGGTAAAACCTGCAAAAATTTTGGAGTCAATAAATCTGAATCTGAATTGTGGCTCCTAAACTCACTTTGTAACGCTGGACAAGTTATTAATCCTCCTGAGTCCCAGCTTCCTCAACTATGAAATGGGAATGACACTTCAGAGAAATATAGTAAGGAATAAAGAAAATGAGAAAATATAAATGAAGTGACTAGTCCAGAGAGCTCAGCAGTAGGAGGCAGTCATTAAGAGTTGATTCATTCTTTTTTTCTTTGCACGAACCGAAACGACCGTTATGAAAATATTTAAGGAAGACGAAGGAACAAACGGAATACACCTGCAGTTTTCATCATTCCCTCCCCTCACTCCTCAAGTAACCTCTGTTGAACTATTTGAGCTAGGGTTTTAGGGAAAAGAAAAGTAAATGAAGGTAAGGGAAAGAAAGAATGGGAAGAAAACATAGGAACAGAGAGGATGAAAGACAGGTAGATAAGAAAGAGCAGATGGAGGAGGTGAGATGTAAACTACTAAAATGGGGAAGGGTGGCAAAATGAGTGGTTGGGTGGGGGCTGTCAGGTTAGAAGGATTTGGATTTGGGTACAATCTATACCACAAAAGCCGGGTGGCCTCAGATAACACACTGAATTGCGCTGAGCCTGTTTTCTTAGCTATAAATGGGGTGATAATGTACTCTTCATAGTGTCGTGAGGTGCCAAGTAAGATAACATATAGTTCTGAACCTACTGCCTGGCGTGCAGAAGGAGCTCAATAATGGGAAGGGTATGAGGACTAAGAACAGGGACCTAGAATCCCCTCCACCACAGCTGAAACCTGGCATCCTCTTCTTGGGTCCCAGAGAGTAATCCTGCTTCATTGAATTAAGTGGGAGTCAATCATTTTTCTGTGAAAATTTTTTGAAGTTTTTTCACCAGAACCAGTTTCACTACCAATCCACCCACTCCTGCAGATTGGTTCCAACACTGGTTGCAGTCTGGGGAAATGCTGACTGGCTGGCAGGTAACTGAACGCTTCATCTGAGCTGTAGTGCTGATCAGAAACATAGTCATGGCTTTGGGAGATTCCAGTTGGAGACAGAATCTATTTTCCTGAGTGAGATTTCACTGAAGCAGGGCTGAATAGGTATAACGAAATCTCACCCAAGGTGAATAGAGTTTGATTACTGCCGGAACCCCCCTGAGCCAGGATCAAATTTCTGATCAGCCTTACTGCTGCGAATCACCTGGATGGTGGCTTCTCCCGTGTGCTTGCCACATGTCTAGAGAATTGTATGCCCCATTCGAACACCTACTAAACAAATTAGGCAGCTTGACATGAACAACACCAACACCTATGCATAGGTGGACGGAAACAGAACACACCTGAGAAGATGCGATTGCAGCACTAAGAACTTTAAACTTCAGTCACATGAGAAGGAAATAGATTTAAATAATGTAATTCCTGTGAAATCATTTTTTCTTTTACAGTTAAAAGAAGAAACACGTGTGTCCAGAAAATATTGTTTGTGTGCTCCATGACTATACATGAAATCATGCTGTTTAGTTCATTTAAACAGTTGTGCATTTAAATCCCAGCACTTTGGGAGGCCGAAGTGGGCAGATCACCTGAAGTCAGGAGTTTGAGACCAACCTGGCCAACATGGTGAAATGCCATCTCTACTAAAAATACAAAAAATTAGCCAGGCATGGTGGTGCGTGCCTGTAGTCCCAGCTACTAGGGAGGCTGAGGCAGGAGAATCACTTGAACCCAGGAGGCGGAGGTTGCAGTGAGCCGAGGTCGTGCCATTGCACTCCAGCCTGGGTGACAGAGCAAGACTACATCTTAAAAAAAAAAAAAAAAAAAAAAAAAAAAAAGTTGTGCATTAGTTAATTGTGGTCACGGGTGATAAAGTATAATAATTACCAACAATAATAATGTATTTTAATTTCTAAAAAATAGATTAGATTTTTTTTCTCCAATGGTGGGAGCATCTCCTTCCATTTTTTAAAGCTATAACTTTGCAAACAACATTACTTCTAAACTTTGCCCTGGTTTAGTAAAGCTGGTGGTTTATACCAGGGAGAAGTTAATCTCTGTAATGAAAAGGTAGCCACACAAACAACATGAGTTGAATTAGTTATAAATTGAGAAATGAAAGATGTGACATGAATGTCTCATATATTCAAATTCTGATTAAACTGAAGAAACAAATAGATTCATATAATTTGATAACTGAAACCAACTTTTTAAGACATTTATTTCAAATTTATATTTGAAGAAAAAGTTCACTGGAGAATACTTTTAAATGAATGAGGAACCACCCGTCTAAGAGATAATGGATTAAACCCAATCTGATTTAAGGTAGTTATATTCTTATGTTTGCCACCAAATTGACATTTGAAGCCAGAATGGCCATCTGTCCCTACCTGCATGAACAAGAACCAGGTTCCATTGCTAAACAGACAGCATCTACTGTTTAATAATCCATACCAAAATTTAGGGATCTTGATTGGTAGATTTCTACCAATAG
Organism: Homo sapiens; assembly: GCF_000001405.40. Lineage (NCBI taxonomy): Eukaryota > Metazoa > Chordata > Mammalia > Primates > Hominidae > Homo > Homo sapiens. The sequence goes on from NC_000008.11 coordinate 80,731,225, forward strand.
ATTTCTATTGGTAAATCTATTATTTAAAATACTTGCCACTTAAAAACAGCTGGTAAAAGCAAAATTGGCAGTTTTTCTAAATAAACGAGCTGGGTATATATCAAATTAACTCCTGCTGATATAAGACCAAGGAATGGTATATGTGGTGATTCAAATAATCAGTTATCAATGGTATACATACATGATCAATTTTTAAAGACCTGGACTACATCATGATGTATTTAAAGAAAAAAATCATAAATACACCATAACATTAAAATATACATACTAATGGGATTTCAATACTTCAAAATCATCTTTATGAATTTCAACTATCACTACTTTCTATATGTATGAAAGATATCTATATCATTAGTAATAGCTGAATGTTTTATAGCTAGATAACATCAAGTCAGCCGGGTGTGGTGACATGTGCCTATAGTCCCAGCTACTTGGAAGGCTGAGGCAGGACTTCTTGATCCCAGGAATCCAAGGCTGTGGTGAGCTATAATCATGCCACTGCACTCCAGCCTGAGTGACAGAGTGAGACTCCATCTCTAGAAAAAAACAAACAAACCAGAAAACCCCCCAAACACATCAAGTTAAGTGGAGTTTTATTCTCTGTTATAATGCACATTTTCCCTTTTTATAGTGCTTCAGGCTGATCCAAAGGTTAGTTACCAAGGGCTAGAAACAAGAATGAAACACAAACAGTGCTAACATTGCATATCACATGAAGGTGAGACTTTTCCAAAATAAAAATGAACAGCCATGTTCAAACTAATGATAATGTCTTCAAACAGAGGCTAAAAATACTAAAGACCAATTATATGTGCACATAGTATAACAGAAACTCTGGTTTTGCACTATTTCACAAGGCTTCCTGAATTTGTGCCTTGAGATTTTTCATTGGTTTTGGAAGGTTTGGGGTCATCATCTCTTCAAATATATGACTGTTTCCACCTTCATCTCTCTGTGCTCTCCTATGATAATCCAATTATATACTACACCCATTTTCGGGATTTTGTCTCTTGGTGTTCTATTCTGTTTATTATTCCCCTTTCCTGGTTACTAATTTTCTCTTCTGCTTAATCTTTAGTTAAATCCATCATAGTAGCCAGCTACCAAGGGACTTCTGGTAGTCTTCTGTCATAGTAGCTGAGGGATTATCTGTGTGACTAATAGAATATGGCAGAAGCAACAGTGTGCCACTTTTGAGGCTTGGCTGCCAAAGACCTTATAACTTCTGTTTTGCTTGCTTGGATTTCTAGTTCTGAGGAAAACCAGCCACCATGTCATAAGGACACTCAAGCAGCCCTCTGGAGAAGCCCTCATCAAAAGGAACCACCCTGCCACCCATATGAGGGAGCTCCTTTCAGATGGCTTTAGTCTCACTTAAGTCTTTAGATGACTGCCCCCAGGCAAGATCTGATGGCAACCTCATGAGAGATCTTGAGCAAGAACCAGCCAAACTGGGTGCAGTGGCTCACGCCTGTAATCCCAGCACTTTGGGAGGCTGAGGTGGGTAGACTGCTTGAGCCCAGGAGTTTGAGACTATCTTGGGCTACATGGTGAAACCCCATCTCTACTAAAAATACAAAAATTAGCCGGGCGTGGTGGCATGCGCCTGTATGCCCAGCTACTCGAGAGGCTGAGGCAGGAGTTACTTGAGTCCAGGAGGTCAAGGTTGCAGTGAGCCAAGATTGCACCACTGCACTCCGGCCTGGGTGACAGAGTGAGACCTTGCCTAAAAAAAAAAAAAAAAAAAAAGAGAACCAGCCAAATTATAATCCTTAAATCTCGACTCATTTAATCTTTCCTATGAGAAAGATTAAATGATTTTTGCTGCTTTAAGTCACTGAGGCTTGGGGTGATTTGTGAACACAGCAATAAAAGCAAATCCACCCACCCATTAAGTTTTTAATTTCAGTTTTTGAATTTTTCAGTTGGTTTATTTTGGTAGTTTCAAGCTCTCTTCTAAAATTCCCAGTCTTTTTTAATCTCATAGAACATATTAAACATTTTTAAAAGTGTGTATAGTAAATGTGTTATGTGGAGCCCTGTGTTTCCATTATCTGTTATTTTCATTGTTTTCTTTTCCCATGCACACTGCCTTATCTCCTCATGATCCTGGTTATTATTACCTGAGTAGTGGATACTTTATATAAAATCTGTAGAAATAATTTGAGGCTTTGATAAAACACATTTTTTTGAGATGTACTTTACTTTGCTATTGGCAGGTATAGAAACCAGCAATCCAAGATAATCTTGATTCAATTTCAAGGATTAAAACTGATTTGAAGTTGAGCTTCAGACTCTGAGTGGGCCAATCTACTTCACTCTTATTCCTGGCAGTAGCCAGCCATGTCTCAATCCAAAGTGTGGGGCATTTACTAGCTTCACTCCCAGCTTTGGTTGGTTTCTGGATTTCAAATTTTATTCCCTTATCCTACAGGGCTGTCAAAAGCCCTGCTACATTTCTCAGCTTCTCGGTTACCTCTTCCAGGACCATAAGATATCTGAGTGGAAAAGTGGCCCTACATGGCAGATTCACCTCTCTATTTCTTACTCATTTTCCATATTTTCCCATAATTTTAGACTTCCCATGTCTCTGAGCAATTCCTTTTAGTATATTTTGTCCAGCTTTTATTGTTCTCAGAGGGAAGGATGGTTTAAACTTTGAACCCTACAAAAAAGTGGAAATCTTTGTATTGTTTTATTAGCTAATCTAGAATTATAGTCACCTCAGAAAACAAAAGACGATATGCATTTTTTTTGCTATGGATCTGATAGTATAACTTATTCAAAACCACTCCCATATGATACAAACCAGTATTCTCCAGATGGTGTTTCGAAAAACTGCCAATCTACTCATTTATGACAAGTCAACTGGTCATAGCAAAATGTGAGAAACCACTATTGATAGAAACAAATCGTTTCTACAGAGACTGTCAAGCAGTTTCCTGCAGGACCAGATCACTAGACAAGCTGGCCATTGCTTCTCTTTAGTCTTCAGAGAAGGACACAGACTCCAGTTCTGTGGAAAACCAGTAGCCATGTTGTAAGGATACTCAATCAGTCATATGGAAAGGTCCACAGGACCCTGGGAATATTTCCACGTTTTCTGGATTGTTTAATATTACCATTATATCAGGATGCCTACCTAATGGTTAGTTACCTAAAAGATGAAAGGAAGAAATGTTTCAAATATATAAGGAAGTCTTATATTTGAAGTACTATGACTATCCATAACAAGAATTAGATGTCTAACTGTTCAGTATAATACTGAACAAGATAAACTGGAACTTAAAAATTCAGATAATTTTCATTAGAAAGGAAGGAAACAAATTGCCAGATGTGATGCTGTCACTTTAAAAGGAATATTTTAAGTATATGTATATTTGCAGATAAAACCTTATTTCCTGTTGAAATACAGTTTGAGTTTATCAACAATAGAAAGATGAGCATTTTACCACAACACCTTTATAAGTTTTAGCATGTATTCCACTTGAGCTATAAGATTATAAAATTATATTCCTAATTTACAAATTTTAGATTCAAATGTTCAAAGTAGGTTATTTGTTGATTGTGTTTTCACTATCGTCACTATCTATTTATGGCTGTCTGCCATTTGGAGCTGGCCTTCAGCCTAGGACATATCCCTTAAAAGGAGAGTATGCTTCCAATTAATCAAGTTTCTTAATTTTCTCTATTATGTCTCAGATTTGTTCATCCTTCTACTGTTTTATTCTTTTCAAACCATCCTGCAGGTTACTTCCTTCTCCCCTTCCTTCTGTACACATCCCCCCAATTTCAATTTGCTCAGGAACTTTCAATGGTTACTGGGTCCTCACCTTGGCCTTCAAGGCTTCAGCATCATCTGAAGATCACCCGATCAGATCACCTGATCTACTTATTCAAAATCACTTCCATTACTTTTGAAATAAACCTCCACTTTATATAAGTTAGTCATGTCACCACTGTCCACATGATGCTTAGTTTTGCTGTTGTGATTCTCTTCTGGCTTAGGTGCTCTCTTTCCTCCTTACCTATCCAAACTATACCCATGACTTGGGTCAAATATCAAAGACCTACTACTCTTATTTATGAAGATCAAATGCTACCTTCTCCTACACATCTTTTCTGTCCAAACTGATCCATGCTTATCGTTCTTTGAACTTGCATTTTACTCATGATTTAGAAGGCAAAAACTCAAAGTACATCCTATACACAGGTTACAAACCTGTGGAGCCAGGGGCAGAATCTTCAAAATCTTCTAAAGTTCCCACACAAAATCCATGTTCAACAAATGCCTTTTAAATATATTCAACTTAGTGTCCAAATCTAAGTAAAGGAGTTTCATTGGACAGCGATGAGCCTGCTTAGCCCAGGAATTACCATTTGCTTCTCCCTTTTGGTAAATGAGCTGCCCAGATGACAAAACAGAAAGGTCAAAACTCACTTTGGTAGAGACCTGGTTCCTGGCCACAACACATAGATTATTTTTTTTCCATGGGTTATACAATGGGATGAAATGATAAACTCCTCCACACTAATTGTAGGTTGTCTATTTCCTGGCTCCATGTTTTCAATGTAAAATATGCAGACCTTCTATTTAAACAAACTAGTAATTTATTTTTTCTTAGAAAATTACCTTCAGCAGGTGATTTTCTTAAACTCATATGCAGCAAATGTTGCTTTGGTATGTATGCTTTACAAAGAGAAAGAAAATATAAACAGGAAGGAAGGAATTCCAGTTTAGTATACTAACCAAGCAAGCATTAACTACCCTTTGAAATACTGTCTACAAATAGTATGCTTCCTGCCATAAGGTCTATAGAATTGTCCTGTGGTTTCTGCCTGTCAAGTGGCAAACTCTTATAGTAAAGCTTGTTTAATTTTCTTCAAAGAAGGCTACATATAATTACATGCTATTTCAATGGACAGTTTTTGAATCTCTTTTGCATAACACATTTTCTCTTAAGCATAAAGCCAGTTTTGATAAAATATCAAGAAATATAACTTTCTACTCCTAAGTTCAGAAGCCGGAATGTTGGTAGCCCATATTTAAACGTTACTTTTTTGTTATTTTTTTGAGACGCAGTCTCGCTCTATCACCAGGCTGGAGTGCAGTGGCACAATCTCAGCTCACTGCAACCTCTGACTCCCTGGTTCAAGCGATTCTCCTGCCTCAGCCTCCCGAGTAGCTGGGATTACAGGCACGCGCCACCACGCCCAGCTAATTTTTGTATTTTTAGTAGAGACAGGGTTTCACCATGTTGGCCAGGCTGGTCTTGATTTCCTGACCTCGTGATCCACCCGCCTAAGCCTCCCAAAGTGCTGGGATTACAGGAATGTTACTGTTTCTACAGCAGTAGTCCTTTATCGTGGCTGCCCATGAAAACTACGAAGGGAACTTAAAAAAAATTGGTGCCTGGCTATGGGGATGCAAAGGCATAAGAATGATACAATGGACTTTGGGGACTCAGGGGAAATAGTGGGAGGAGGGTAAGGGATAAAAGACTACATATTGGGTATAGTGTACACTGCTTGGGTAATGAGTGCACCAAAATCTCAGGAATCACCACTAAAGAACTTATTCATGTAATCAAACACCACCTGTTCCCCCAAAACCTACTGAAATAAAAAATAAATTTAAAAAAATTGGTGCTTGTGTCCCATCCCAAAATTTGTGATTCAATTAATATGGTCTAGGGCTTTGGGCCCTGGTGTTTTTTTTTTTAAAAAGCTCATCAAGTGATTCTCATATCCAGCCAGGGTTAAGAATTACTCTTCCAAGTAGAGAGGAAATGGGAGGACCAGAATATCAGGGGAAGAAAAATAACAGTTTTTGAACAATAACGCTATAGTAGGAACAAAAATTCATTGCATACCTATATACACTAGGTGATTTGCTAACCATGTTTCATCTCATGTTCGTTATCTACTTACATATAACAGATCATTTTAAAGTTTAGTGGCTTAAAACAACAAACATTAGTATCTCACAGTTTCTGTGGTCAGGAATTTGGGAGCCACTTGGCTGAGTGCTCTGGTTCAAGGTTTCTCATGAAGTTTTAGGCAAGCGATGAGCCAGGACTGCAATTGTCAGAAGGCCTGACTGAGGCTGGATGGTCCTTTTATAAAAAGGCTCACTGACATGACTGTTGCTAGGAGGACACAGTCCCTTGCTAACTGTTGGTAGGGGAACCTAGTCCCTTACCCTGTGGGTCGCTTTGTGAAGAAGGCTGCTTGAGTGACTTCATGACATGGCAGCTGGCTTCCTCCAGAGCAAGTGATCCCAGACAGCAGGTTTTATGACCTTGCCTTGGAATTTACATATTATCAATTATGCCACATTGTATTCATTAGAAGTGAAATACTAAATACAGCCTACTCAAGGAGAGGCAATCTCTCTATCTTTTGAAGGAAGGGGTATGAAAGAATTTGTGAACATATGTTTTTAAAATAAATTTTTTAAAAATTTTGAATAATTTTTCTGGACTTATGATAGATTTAAGGAAAGGTTGCAAAAATAATACAGGGAGTTTCTATATACCCTTAACATGGTTTCATTTTTTTTCTTAATATTATCTTATGTTACTGTGGTACATTGTGAAACCTAAGAAAGCAGCATTAGTAGACTATTACTCATTAAACTCTAGACTGTATTCAGATTCACCAATGTTTTCATTAATGTCCCTTTTTCTCTTCCAAGATCCAAATCCAGGATACTAAATTGCATTTAGTTGGCATGTTTCTTCTAGTCTGGAACAGTTTCTCAGTTTTTCCATGTGTTTCTTGACCTTGATAGTTTTGAGGAGTGCTGGTCAGGTATTTAAAAATGTCCCTCAATTTGGGTTTGTCTGATGTATTTTCTCATGGTCACACTGGGGTTATGAGTTTTTGGAAAGATTACCACAAAGATGAAGTGCCCTTTTCATCATACCATTTCAGGAGGTACATTCTCTCTGATCATGTTAACTTGATCATTTGGTCAAAGAGTTATCTACCAGGTTTCTCCAGGTAAAGTATTTTTCCCTTTCCACATGTCTTCCTTGGAAGCCAGTCACTACGTCTAGCCCATACTTAAGGTTCAGGGATATAGATACTCCTTCTCTACCTCCTGGAGAAGAAGTATCTGCACATATTACACTTGGGATTCTTTTGTAAAAAAGGTTTTTATAGACACATTTTAAAACCACACACATTTATTCTATTATTTAATGTTTACAACAATCCTATAAGGACTATCGTTGTTCCTACTTTCTAGATAAATATATGGCTTAAAAAAGTTAAGTACTGTACCCAAGGTGACACAGCTAGCGAGACTTGGCATTTGACATGAGGTTGGTTTGACTCCAGAGTCTTTTTTTTTTTCTTTACTGAACCTTTTAACCTTTGCACTGATAAGAACCTACTAATATAATTGAAACATATTTTAATATTCTACAAGATTTTCAAGAACTTAGTAGAAACGGCAATACAGAGCTTACTTGATGGTATCTTGTTGAATATTGTTCTTTCCCAGATATGTATCTGTCACATATACTTCTGTCTCCCCTGAGCACCTGGTACACAGGTACTCAGCAGATACTTATTGGCTGAAAAGAAAATGACTCTTCCTTCTTACAAGTTATCTACACTGTCCTGAATGTCTATCATGGGATGCCAAAACTTAAGATGGTCAATCCCTTTATGCTCAGACCCAGGGATGAAATCTGAGATATGACAGGGCTCACACCAGCATGACTGGATAGAACCTGCAGGCTAGAAGGGTAGGACAAGCAGGAACTGTTAGTTTACTCTTTCCCTGTTCATACTTTACTGAACAATTATAACTGAAGATTCAGGTTATTTAGCAAATACTCAGCCCCAAAATCCACTCAGGTAATGAGTATAATTTTTGGATTGCTAAAGTAATGGGTTGTTTTCATCATATCAAAGATTACACATCATATTTCTGGGTCATACATAATAAGTCATTTTCTCCAAATCTTGGGCATTTGGAAGCCCGGATCCCAGGAGAACCACGATAGTCTTTCGAGCAATCTCTTCTTATACATCAGGTGCTCAGATGGCTCAGGGATATGTCCCACACTTGGTTAAATTGGAACTCTGTCTCCCTGGGATATGACAGCTAACTTATGGAGAGGTGGGCAGAAAGCCTCCAAGCTCCTCTCCTATTTCTCCTCCCCTTCTCTTATTTGCTGTGTAGATGGAGAAATGGAAGCAGCCCAAAGGAAAGGGCTAGTTCCTACTATGCTCAGTATGCTAACAAACTCAGGGAGGCTTGGCAAAGTCTTCCAAGAGAAGACTCTAGTTCACCTGACCAACTATATTGAAAAACATTTTTCTTCTCTTCAGTCTTCTAGCAAGAAAGTATGCTTGGAAGACATCGCTAGTTTCTTTCTCCTTACCTATGTCTATAGTTAGGAGATTCCCAGCTCCACATCCCTACTTATAGACTCCAGGGAAAAAGAAAATGACTTCTGTTAAAATGACTCCTATTAGGCTCTGGAAAAGGGAAGAGCTGGGCAAACTGAATGCTAATAGGGCTTGCTTCCAGTGCGGTCTACAAGGACACTTTAAAAAAGATTGTCCAAATAGAAATAAGCCGCCCCCTCGTCCATGTCCCTTATGTCAAGGGAATCACTGGAAGGCCCACTGCCCCAGGGGATGAAAGTCCTCCGAGTCAGAAGCCACTAACCAGATGATCCAGCAGCAGGACTGAGGGTGCCCGGGCCAAGTGCCAGCCCATGCCATCACCCTCACAGAACCCCGGGTATGCTTGACCATTGAGGGTCAGGAGGTTAACTGTCTCCTGGATGCTGGCACGACCTTCTCAGTTTTACTCTCCTGTCCCAGACAACTGTCCTCCAGATCTGTCACTATCCAAAGGGTCCTAGGACAGGCAGTCACTAGATACTTCTCCCAGCCACTAAGCTGTGACTGGGGAACTTTATTCTTTTCATATACTTTTCTAATTATGCCTGAAAGCCCCACTCCCTTGTTAGGGAGAGACATTCTAGCAAAAGCAGGGGCCATTATACACCTGAACATAGGAGAAAGAACATCCATTTGTTGTCCCCTGCTTGAGGAAGGAATTAATCCATCCTGAAGTCTGGGCAACAGAAGGACAATATGGACGAACAAAGAATGCCTGTCCTGTTCAAATTAAACTAAAGGATTCTGCCTCCTTTCCCTACCAAAGGCAGTACCCTCTTAGACCCAAGGCCCAACAAGGACTCCAAAAAATTGTTAAGGACCTAAAAGCCCAAGGCCTAGTAAAACCATGCAATAGCTCCTGCAATACTCCAATTTTAGGAGTACAGAAACCCAACAGACAGTGGAGGTCAGTGCAAGATCTCAGGATTATCAATGAGGCTCTTATCCCTCTATACCCAGCTGTACCTAACCCTTGTACTCTGCTTTCCCAAATACCAGAGGAACCAGAGTGGTTTACAGTCATGGACCTTAAGGATGCCTTTTTCTGCATCCCTGTACATCCCAACTCTCAATTCTTCTTTGCCTTTGAAGATCCTTCAAACCCAACGTCTCAACTCACCTGGACTGTCTTATCCCAAGGGTTCAGGGATAGCCCCCATCTATTTGGCCAGGCATTAGCCCAAGACTTTAGCCAGTTCTCATACTTGGACACTCTTGTCCTTTGGTACGTGGATGATTTACTTCTAGCCGCCCATTCAGAAACCTTGCTCCATCAAGCCACCCAAGCGCTTTTAAACTTCCTTGCCACTTGTGGCTACAAGGTTTCCAAACCAAAGGCTCAGCTCTGCTTACAGCAGGTTAAATACTTAAGGCTAAAATTATCCAAAGGCACTAGGGCCCTCAGTGAGGAATGTATCCAGCATATACTGGCTTATCCTCATCCCAAAACCCTAAAGCAACTAAGAGGGCTCCTTGGCATAACAGGCTTCTGCCGAATATGGATTCCCAGGTATGGCAAAATAGTCAGGCCATTAAATACACTAATTAAGGAAACTCAGAAAGCCAATACCCATTTAGTAAGATGGACACCTGAAGCAGAAGCGGCTTTCCAGGCCCTAAGGAAGGCCCTAACCCAAGCCCCAGTGTTAAGCTTGCCAACGGGGCAAGACTTTTCTTTATATGTCACAGAAAAAAAATAGGAATAGCTCTAGGAGTCCTTACACAGGTCTGAGGGACCAGCTTGCAACCTGTGGCATACTTGAGTAAGAAAATTGATGTAGTGGCAAAGGGTTGGCCTCATTGTTTACAGGTAGTGGCAGCAGTAGCAGTCTTAGCCTCCGAAGCAGTTAAAATAATACAAGGAAGAGATCTTATGTGTGTGGACATCTCATGATGTGAACAGCATACTCACTGCTAAAGGAGACTTGTGGCTGTCAGACAACCATTAGCTTAAATATCAGGCTCTTATTTGAAGGGCCAGTGCTGCGACTGCGCACTTGTGCAACTCTTAACCCAGCCACGTTTCTTCCAGACAATGAAGAAAAGATAGAACATAACTGTCAACAGGTGATTGCTCAAACCTACGCCGCTCGAGGGGACCTTCTAGAGGTTCCCTTGACTGATCCCAACCTCAACTTGTATACTGATGGAAGTTCCTTTGTGAAAAAAGGACTTCAAAAAGTGGAGTATGCAGTGGTCAGTGATAATAGAATACTTGAAAGTAATCCCCTCACTCCAAGAACTAGCATTCAGCTGGCAAAACTAATAGCCCTCACTCGGGCATCAGAATTAGGAAAAGGAAAAATGGTAAATATATATACAGACTCTAAGTATGCTTACCTAGTCCTCCATGCCCACACAGCAATATGGAGAGAAAGGGAATTTCTAACTTCCGAGAACACCTATCAAACATCAGGAAGCCATTAGGAGATTATTATTGGCTCTACAGAAACCTAAAGAGGTGGCAGTCTTACACTGCCGGGGTCATCAGAAAGGAAAGGAAAGGGAAATAGAAGGGAACCGCCAAGCGGATATTGAAGCCAAAAGAGCTGCAAGGCGGGACCCTCCATTAGAAATGCTTATAGAAGGACCCCTCTTATGGGGTAACCCCCTCCAGGAAACCAAGCCCCAATACTCAGCAGAAGAAATCGAATGGGGAACCTCACGAGGACATAGTTTCCTCCCCTCAGGATGGCTAGCCACGAAAGAAGGAAAAATACTTTTGCCTGCAGCTAACCAATGGAAATTACTTAAAACCCTTCACCACACCTTTCACTTAGGCATTGATAGCACCCATCAGATGGCCAAATCATTATTTACTGGACCAGGCCTTTTCAAAACTATCAAGCAGATAGTCAAGGCCTGTGACGTGTGCCAAAGAAATAATCCCCTGCACTGCAGGGTATTATTTGAATACATTTGAATCCCTGTATCTTTAACCTCCTTGTTAAGTTTGTCTCTTCCAGAATCAAAGGTGTAAAACTACAAATCGTTCTTCAAATGGAGCCCCAGATGCAGTCCATGACTAAGATCTACCGAGGACCCCTGGACCAGCCTGCTAGACCATGCTCCAATGTTGATGACATCGAAGGCACCCCTCCCAAGGACCCCTGCATGACCCCTACTACACTCCAATTCAGCAGGAAGCAGTTAGAGCGGTTGTCGGCCAACCTCCCCAAGAGCACTTGGGTTTTCCTGTTGAGAGGAGGTACCGAGAGACAAGACTAGCTGGATTTCCTAGGCCGACTAAGAATCCCCAAGCCTAGCTGGGAAGGTGACGCATCCACCTTTAAACACAGGGCTTGCAACTTAGCTCACACCCAACCAATCAAGTAGTAAAGAGAGCTCACTAAAATGCTAATTAGGCAAAAACAGGAGGTAAAGAAATAGCCAAACATCTATCGCCTGCCTGAGAGCACAGGGGAAGGAACAATGATCGGGATATAAACCCAGGCATTTGAGCTGGCAATGGCTACCCACTTTGGGTCCCCTCCCTTTGTATGGGAGCTCTGTTTTCACTCTATTACATCTTGCAACTGCAAAAAAAAAAAAAAAAAAAAAAAAATCTCCTATTAAAATAAAAAAAAAACAACTCCACATTAAAAATATGTTTGAATGACATTAACACGTTCTTATCAGTGCAAAGGTTAAGGGGTTATTCATCACAACAATATGAGGCATAGGTACTCAGGCATATTTATAAACATGCTTAAGGATGTGTTTGTATGAACTTAGTGGGTAAACATCTCCACATGTAACGATAAATAAATAAATATAAACTAATAGTGGGTAAACATCTCCACATGTAATGATAAATAAATAAATATAAACTAAATGTTGTCTGGAGAGAGAGAATCACATGCCTAGGATGTTCAGAGAAGCAGGTGGGCTTCAGCGCTGAGAGCAGTGGCTCTCCTGGCTGCTGCCGCTCGGCACACCCTCCATTCTCGCTGATCTGGAAAGGCTCCTGGTAGCTCAGCAACCAGCATGCCTGGAGTCTCCATTCCTTTCTCAGCAGAGAGCTGGGGGTGGGCCCAGCAAACCTAGATTAGAATCCTGACTGTGCCTCTTACTACCCAATGTGACCTCAAACAGTTCAATCTCTGTGCCTCAATTTCCTCATGTGTAACATAGAGATAGAGATGTCTAACTTCATAGGGTCCCTGTGAAAATTAAATTAGATAATGAATAGGTGTAACATGCTTCACACAGTGGATGGTTCAGTAAGTGCTGGCTTTTGTAATGATCAAAACTTCCCTTTCCAATGATCTCAAGACTTAAAGATAGTGAAATGTGACTCTAAGAAAAAACAAAACTTAGTAATTTTCATAGCAAAACCCAGTGTGAGGATTCCAGACTGCAAGACAGGGAGATCTTTCTAGACTTGAAACGTGGCTAGTCTGAATTGAGATGTACTGTGAGTTTAAAATAAACACCAGATTTCTAAGATGTATTTAAAAAAAGAATCTAAACTACATCATTAATATTTTTAAAATACTGATTACATATTGAAATAACATTTTAGACACGGTGGTTAAATTTATATTATTAAAATTAATATCACCTATTTCTTTTCAGTTTTTAAAAATGTGGCTACTGGAAAACTTAACATGTGTCTCACAACATTTTATATATATATATTTGGATGGCACTGTTCTAGAACATTGAAGTAACATTGAGAGAAGTACTTCATTAAACTAAATCCTAGGGCACTAAAATAGTTAATTCATCTCCCCAAGGTACTATTTGAAAATAACTCAATTACATGAGAACACAAAATGAAATATGTCACAAACTGCTAATCACATCATTAAATATAGTCTCCCTTGTTGCAGAGTATAATCATTCATGAAAATAAAGGGCTCAGGGACTTTCAAATCATGAAAAATTTCAAATATCCATTCAAAAAATCGTGTCATCCCTGCTAAGTTTGTCATAATCTAATCTGGCTGCAAATTAGTGCATGACATCTTCATCACAATTCACAAGGGCACTCAACTGGCACAAATACGCTTTTATTTATGCACAGAGCCAGGGAACGGGTGATCTTTGCTCAAAATAATGTGCTTAACTAATGGACCATCCCTTTTACCATTGGGGAGGCCAGAAGTAATGAGGAGACACACATGAACTAACCAATATTAAACATTCAAGTAGCTAATTATGTGGTTTAAACTAGAAGACAAACAGATATATCTTTATTTTTTACTGATCCTCAAAGCTCATAAGTACCTAAATTTTTACTTATTCCCTTGTAGTAGTAAATTGCTATGAGAAAATGAAAGTAATACAAAACAAACAGAAATGACACTTGTATGCATTAAAAACTGTACTTTAAAAAATCTGTGGTCAATAATTAAGAAAAACATTTACAATTTGAATGATCAACTTTTAAAATGTTTAAGTTTAGAATAAAAACTGTGTGCTTTAAGAGGACACCCATTTCTTCTATTCCTACAACCTCCTGCAGCATTCTTTTTCCTTAGTTTCGCTGTAAATATAGGTATCAGTGTCTCAATATATTTGATATAAACATTTCAAATTTCCAAATTCATAATTCAGGAGCTAAATAGTTTTACTTCTTTTTGGGCTCCTATGGAATTTTAAAGCCATGTCACATTGTATTTTTGATGGCAGTCCCTACTTCTGCAATGTTATCGTTGGCTATATTAAGCTTTATAGATAGTCAAGATAGAGAAATTTCACGGAATTCCCAAGCACAGGGAGAAATTCTGCAGTTTTGGTTGGTAGGGCTGTGGCAATTATGCAGCTAAGTTCCAGGACTAGAAAAATGCTCTGAGGGGAAATTTAACTATGAGGGGGAAATGACATCTTCAGGAGAAATACCATTATGTATGGATAATGCCCAGTATCTTAATAGACTTGCCACCTACCTCAACCAAAGTTTTAAGTAAGTGATATACCTTAAACTTGTAAATAATAGAATACTCTATAAAATGTACAATCAACTTTGCTAGAAAACATGCATATCACAAGGGGATTACTATATATGAATGTGTCTATTAAAAATATTCCTCTGCAATTCCTCTTTCTATAATTTTGGAAGAACTTTCATATCTTAAAATACCAGTAAATGCACATGAGCATGACCAAATTCCACATATCAGATTACAGCTGCAAAAACTTTGTACTTCAAAATGAAGTCAAACACGAGCTCAGAACCAAGCAGACTCTAAAGACAGTGTGTACAAAACAGGAACAAGCAGGCCCTTTGGAAAGATAAGGAAAACATCAAAATCGTCTCAACTACTCTTAACTGATTAAATATATTTCTGTCAAGGGAAAGTAGATTTAATTTCCTGGGACAGCTCGGACTTTCTCACAACTCAGACTTTCTCATGATTGTTGTGAAGATTGTAAAATGGAACAATCACTTTAATCACTTTGGGAAACTGACAGCTTCTTATAAAATTAAACAAATGTCTACTTTATGCTTTCAGGTATTTACCCAAGCGAAGTGTAACCTCATACAATGTTTCCAGCACTGTTGGAAAGATTAAATAAAATCATAAACAAGAAAGTTGCTTACACAGGGTTGGGCATGTGGGAGGAGCTTATTAAATAGGTTCAATCGCCTTTTATGTTTTGAATGTATAATAAAAGGCGAAAGATTTATACCATCTGAAGAGAAAGCACAGTATATATTTTTGGATGTAATATAAAAAAGTACAGGGTTTTAATAGGGCAGACCTGGGTTTATGTCCTGGTCTATTACCCATTGTATTCACTGATTCAACCTTTTTCGGACCTACTCTGTGCAAAGCACTCTTCTAGATATTGGGGATATTGTACTGAATGTGATAGTTTGAGGCTTTACTCTTATGGGGTTCACATTCTAGCACCTTGGGCAAGATGTTTAAGTTTTCTGAACCTCATTTTTGCCTCCAACAGTTCAAGTAAATTCAGCACCTATGACATGCTGGGTATTACACTAAGTTTGGCAGCACAAGAACCAACTAGATAGAACCTACGTTTTCAAGTACTTTTACAAGTCCAATGGGGGCAGCAGACAAATAATCACGCAAATTCAGGTGCTGTGAGAGGGATCAGGACCCATTGTTACGGGCAATAGCAAACTCAGTCCTGGGTGCCATGGAGATTGGTCTCAGGAGTGAGTCAAAGAAGGCTTCTTGGAGAAAGGCATTTAAATGCAGTCTGCAGAGTAAACCAGGCAAAAGGTCCTCACAATTCACATTATTAATAAGGTGAAATGAAAATATAGTTGGGAAAGTACACATCAATCAGTCCATAAAGTCCTTCATAATATAAAGCAGCACTATTTCTATTTTAAAGGCAATAGTATTAAACTGGAAAATCATGGTGTAGTCCTGAATCCAGTTTATACTGTCTTTGACAACATGCTGTCTTCCGAATATGTGCTTCATCTGGACTTTCCACATCTGCTTCCTCGATCCCAATGCTTCTAGCTTTCTGCTTGAAGAAACTGGGTACTTGAATAAATTGTTTTTAATCATATGGGACCAATTCTGACTTCCAGGCAAGTTCCTGGGATTTGCTAAATTCACGGTCTGCGGTGTAGCTCTGTGGTAGGCCACAGTGGCCTCAAAGCATAAAACAAGCCTTCCAAATAACCACGAATCTTGCTATTCTGGTACCCACCAAACATTTAATAATTTTTTTCAAGCTAATTGAAAAGCCCTGTTTATGGGACTTGAATATAGTTTATACCATAAATAGCCAGAACTACAAAGCAGTACAGGAAACGCTAGCTCTGCTGGAAGACTTTTGATTTGCATTTGCTCTTTTATTTTATATGCTACACAAACCTCTGAAAAATGGAAGTAGGGAGTGGGACTGGGGACAAGGGCTTAGTAAATTACTCTTTCCAAATACTGTGGCATTAAAATAAACTTGGATGAAGGATGTCATTAGAGAAATACAGACTACATTCAGCACATCCTCATTCCATGGTGTACACTCAGGCTGAATGAAGACCTTATAATTGCATCAGCAATTATGATGAAAGCCACTCCAACCACAAGAACTCTGAACCATTTAAGTAGATTTTTGAAAAAATGGTTTTTTTGTTTGTTTGTTTTTTTGAGACGGAGTCTCGCTCGGTCGCCAGGCTGGAGTGCAGTGGTGCTATCTCGGCTCACTACAACCTCCACCTCCCCGATTCAAGCGATTCCCCTGCTTCAGCATCCTGACTAGCTGGGACTACAGGTGCATGCCACCACACCTGGCTAATTTTTTGTATTTTAGTAGAGACAGGGTTTCACCTTGTTGGCCAGGATGGTCCTGATCTCCTGACCTCGTGATCTGCCCACCTCGGCCTCCCAAAGTGCCAGGATTACAGGTGTGAGCCACCATGAAAAAATGTTTAAAGCACTTCATTTTCCTCTTGGGAAGTTGCAACAGTTGTTAGATACAGCAATTCTCCTACAAACGGCAAGGCTTTATGTGAAGGCTATACTCCATCTTCAGAAACATCTGTTTTATAGTCAGATGTCAGAGATGTTTCCTGGATTGTCAGAAGAAAAGAGATTGTGATGTAGAAATGCCCATTCCCAAAATAATGGCAAGTATATAACCAGAACAAAATCATTGGTATATCTAATAAAAGTGGGCACCATGCAAAGTCTAATGGAACCCTCTTCTCCAGCCTAAGTATGCTTGAGAGCCTCATGTAAACAGAAGAAATGTGTCTGGTGAAGTGAGAATGGGGAAGTTTTTGTTCCTTGAAGGGAGAAACTGACCAACAGTAGGAGGCAGCTACCTGGTGCCATGGCATCTGAGTTAAGGCCATCATCCAGTCCTCTCAGCTCCAGCATCAGTGCCTTCAAATATGACTTTAAGAGTTCTTCCTCTGCCCGGAAGGATCTCAGAAGATCCCCCTAGGCCCAAACCAACGTATTAGCAACGTCGTTCTTTTTTTAAACCACTGTGTAAAATCCATATTTTAGACTAGTGGAAATGGTAGGGGAATGGGCATTGCTGTAGCAAATAGCAAGAGTGAAAGCAACTTATTCTTGGGTGGGACGAACCCAAGGAAAAGAATAGGAAAAAGTTCTAGAAACAGAAAGATTGGTGAGGGGAACTTGGCTTAGAGTCGGAAAGACACCAAAATTTGGAAGGAAGTTAAAAAACGAGGAAGGGAGAGAAGAAGGAAGTTACTAGTTCTGAGACATGTTCTCCAGCTTCTAGGCCGCCTCTGAGAGACATGGTCAGGCCCTTTTTTCTGGGGAGTAGGAGAAACGCAGAAATTCCATTCAAACCCTGGTTCATTTAACAAATACTTATTTAGCAACTAATGGTTCCAATCATTTTTCCTGGTGCTGGGGATTCAGCAGTGAAGAAGCAGAAACTGGTTTAAAGCAATTTGATATCTACAGTCATCTACTAATGAGTGAGGTGTGATGTGAGTTCAGCCCCTGTGCCCACAACGGAATGGCCCCATCTACTTCCTAACTACTATATAATTTTAACTACCTGCAAATGACCAACAGCCTTCACCTCCCTAGTAGATCAGGAGCCCTTTATTTACTCTTTTATTCGTAGAGATGGGGTCTCACTATGTTGACCAGGTTGGTCTTGAATTCCTGACCTCAAGAGATACTCCTGCCTCAGCCTCCCAAAGTGTTGGAATTACAGGTGTGAGCCCCTGCACCTCGCCCCACTTTTTGTCTTTTATAGTGATTTTTACTGTATCTTTTCTGTACTTGTATACACAGGATGCTTGCCATTGTGTTATGGTCACCTACACCATTTAAACCAGTAAGATAGCATGCAGTCGCATAATGTGGAAACAGCATATATCCTACCACATAGCCCTGAGGTGGGGCAGGATCTACTACGGAGGTTTAGAGTGCGGAATCATCTAATATAACATGACCAGAGCTGCAACCTCTGATTTAGACAAGGAGTAAGGGTGCTGGCACCAGTGATCACCAGCTGCCCAACTACCAAAAATTACGCTTCCAAAATCTCTTGATGTTTATTCTGCATGAAGAGAAATTGAGTTGTCCTATGTGTGCCACTCATGACAGAAGCCCTTTTTTCCCCTTTACTCACACTTTTAATGCATAGAGAAAAACCCAGGGCTTGGCCCATAGTAAACATTTAACAAACACTCAATTAGCATTTGGTAAATCTCTTCCAAGGAAAAGTGTCCCTGTGGAGAGCAGCAGGACATAGGCACCTGTGATCTACACCTATGGTGTCAGTAACTGAACCAGGGATGGACCCTCCTTCCCTCTTTACCAGAGGTGACTTAGGCTTAATTCGGCCAGCCTGGGTGGTTCCAGGTGCGTGAATCTCCCCTCACCTACACTGTGTAAGGTGTTTGCCTTCTCACAGAATCACCTTAACTTCAGCTTGAACTTAGTCCTGTGTCCTGGAAGCTTCTAGTTAACTATCCCTTAGGCTAATCAAGAACTCCTCCTGGATGGGCAAGTGGTATCAGGCCAGGAGTTCAGGATATTCCTGCCTGCTCAGCCAAGGTATGGTCTCACAGTCCTCACACATCCCCCCAGGCAGCTGCAACATGGAACAGGGTTGGCACCACAGGCAATGACTGCCAACTTGTGTGCAATTGGGGGCCAGCTATGATTTCTCACTCTGACTCGGAGGGGTGGGATCTCCTCAAACTGTAACACAACGCTACTCAATAAAAACACAATGCAAGTCACATATGTAATTCTGAATTTCCTGGTAGCTACACTAAAAAAAAAAGGAGAAATTAATTTTAATAACATATCTTATTTAGTATAACATATGCAATATGTTATTTCAATGTGAAATCAATATTAAAAATTGACAAGATAATTTATATCCTTTTCCTCATACAACTCTTCAAAATCCAGCATGTACTTTAAACTTTTTTTTTTTTCTTTTTTTGAGAAGTTGTTTTGCTCTTGTTGCCCAGGCTGGAGTGCAATGGTGCGATCTCGGCTCACTGCACTCTCTGCCTCCTGGGTTCACGCCATTCTCCTGCCTCAGCCTCCCGAGTAGCTGGGATTATAGGTGTGCACCACCACATCTGGCTAATTTTGTATTTTTAGTAGAGACGGGGTTTCACCATGTTGGCCAGGCTGGTCTTGAATGCCTGACCTCAGGTGATCCACCCACCTCAGCCTCCCAAAGTGCTGGGATTACAGGTGTGAGCCCAACCTTATTTTAAACTTTTAGCACATTCCAGTTCTGACTAGCATCATCTCAGATGCTCAAAAGCCATGTGTGGCTACTGTCCTGGATGGCACAGCGCTGAAGAGTTCAGGAATCTCTGAAGACATCTTGGGGTGACTGTTCCTAAACAAATCTTTTCGACTAAAAATCAGTTTAGGAAAAATAAAAATATTTATGAACGAATCACTCTAATAATTCTTGTGTGGGAAAATGTTTATTCTTGCAATGTAGATAACTGTGTTTTAATAAAACAATGTTAATGAGAAAACTTTTGCTTTTTTTTAACCACTCAAATCTTAATATCTGGACATATTTATTAGAAAAGAGGCAAGGTGGAAGAAGTCAACTGTCAGCTTGAAATCACATAAATAATCACACTGGAAAGACTTCTCACTCTTAGGGCGCCCTTCCCTGACCAAAGAATGACTCCCTGGGCCAGCGTGCTGGTTCTTTCCTGGTGTTTGTTTACAGTGACAATACAAGAGCCCTATAAGGAAGAGAGGAAGAGAAATAGACTGGATCTTGGTTTCTAACCTGTGGGCCTGAAGTTTCTGTCAGTCTGCTTGGACACTAACAACTGTCTCTTGACGGAACAATGTTTAATTTTCAGTCAAAACTATTTACCAAATGCTAATATGAGGCAAGCACTGTTTCAGGTGCTGCTATTTACCCACCACATATTTGTATTATTTTCCAAATGTACATGGAAGATAGTATGAGTAAAATAAAAATTCATACACAAGCATTAATTCCCAGCAGCTGTTTCTCCTTTGCATTTTCCCAATCAATGGAATCTAAAAGTACATACATGTAAAGATTCTTGAAATTGCTTGATGCTAAAGTGTGATCTTTCAGCATCAAAAATCACTGTTTTGCTCTCCTTCAAGTGGTGTGAGTGGCATGACTTGAAGTCAGCCAGGATTCTTTTTTGTTTGTTTGTTTTTGAGACAGAGTTTTGTTCTTGTTGCCCAAGCTGGAGTGCAGTGGCACGGTCTTGGCTCACTGCAACCTCCACCTCCTGGGTTCAAGCGATTCTCAGCCTCCCAAGTAGCTGGGATTACAGGTGCCCACCACCACGCCCAGCTAATTTGTGTATTTTTTTTAGTAGAAATGGGGTTTCACCATGTTGGCCAGGCTGGTCTCAAACTCCTGACCTCAGGTGATCCGCCCACCTCCATCTCCAAAAGTGCTGGGATTACAGGTGTGAGCCACCATGCCTGGCCCCAGTCAGGATTCTGAGATGAGATCTACCCATTGCTTGTTATTGAGTTAATGGTCTCTTGTTAAGCAGCACTGGGTTTTAGAACCAACTATGGGCTGAGTTTAATTATTCAATGTTAATACATTCAACACAGATGATTTCATTATATAAATGCACTCACTACTTTGCAGTATTTCCTTAGGCATAATAAGCTTTTACCATAAAAGCCAAATCAACATTGATCTGCAAAACTGTCACTTTATATGCACTGTCAAGGGAAAAAGATAAAAAGGAAAAAAAAAACAACACAAAGTGAGATAAAGTAAACCTTTATCAAGGAACTGGACCAATACAATGATCAAACCAGCTCTCTCCATCCCTTTGGGGCAATCTGATTTATAAGCTGAGGTTTCAAAGTGTATTTTATTTAATTGCTGAGGGCAAGAGAACAGTAGGAGGTTTTGAGCCAAGCTCTTTATAATGCTAGCCTGCTCTGCTTTGGGGGTAAACTTAAAAAAACTTAAAAAAAAAAAAAACGAAACAGAGTTTCGTTCTTGTTGCCCAGGCTGGAGTGCAATGGTGTGATTTTGGCTCACTGCAACTTCCACCTCCCGGGTTCAAGTGATTCTCCAGCATCAGCCTCCCTAGTGGCTAGGATTACAGGCCTGTGCCACCACGCCTGGCTAATTCTGTATTTTTAGTAGAGAAAGGGTTTCTCCATGTTGGTCAGGCTGGTCTCAAACTCCCGACCTCAGGTGATCTGCCCGCCTTGGCCTCCCAAAGTGCTGGGATTACAGGCATGAGCCACCGCGCCTGGCCAAAAAAATAATCTTTTAAAGTTGGCATTTTCAAGCCAGTCTAATAATCCCACCAGTTCCATTTCCTTTCAGTTGCAGTAGGAAAGAGCAAAATGCTGCCCTGGTGAACAAGTAAAAAGTATTCATGTTTCAAAGCTGGCTGGTAGACAGTAGCCAGCCAACTCCTCTTGTATTTCCAAGCAAACACAAGGCAAAGCGATGTTTTTTTATACCTTTTATAAACAATCTGTGTTTAAACAAGGCATACACAATGCTTTCTTTCCAGTCTCTAAAAGCTGGCCACTGTTATGTGTTTCATTATACTCCTAAATCCTAAAGAATAAAACAGCCAGCTAGGTAGTGACTGTTTGATCTGCACGTCTTGGCTGGAGATGAGAGTGCAAAGCAAACCTGCCCAGGCTCCTGTTTCTAAACTCCTCCAGCCAGGAGCGCCTGAGGCTTGCAGTGCAGCAAAGCCAAACTCTTCCTTCCTGCTGGAGGAGGGCAAGGAATATACAGCACACACCAGTTGCATTCATGAGGAAACAATCTTCCTGCCCACCAGCACTATATTTAGAGCCATCTCTTGGCAATGCAAACTTATATTTCTGGGCTTTCTGCCACTTGGACAAAAAAAAAAAAGGAGGGGGGACAAGAAAAACTGGTTTGGTTCCAGTGCTGAGCCCAAACAACAAAAGTTAAATGTGGCCTTCCCCATTGATGCATTTCTGTGTCAAACATCACTCCTTCTTCAAAAGCAGTGAACACTGGATGTGGCTCTAAAGAATGGAATGCTTTTTTCCCCTTCCAATTCTAACGAGTAAAATGTGTCCTACTCTCTAAGGGGACATTTTATAAAGAAGGAAGCAATGAAGCAAATTTATCTGAAAAGGACAGAATGTTTTAAAAATGTTTAAAGTAATATCATCCATGCTGGGGCTGTCAGCTTCCACAAACATGCAGTAACCCCTGAGAAAAGTTAGAGCCCAAAGTCAGCTACAGGGTTGATGGAAAAAATATGCAGTGCCAAATAGCTAGGCCTCTCCGACCCTCAAAGGCAGACCCCATGAGAGATGCTCTCTAGCATTTGCTGTTTTGCTACATGAACATCTAGCGTCTGGGAATTTCAGGGCTCTTCACTTCCAGGCGAAGTGATGCAGGCAGAGACCTTAGTGTGTACACCCTAAGCAAGCAGCTGCCAGTCTTACTCACTTGGCTTCGAACTGTGGAATGCCACTGTCTATCAGAAATGAGCAAAACAAACGTCTCTCCTGTCTACTCCCAAACCTAAAGGGCCTTTCCTGACTTTCTTCTGTTTTTTTTTCCTTACAATTGTATTTTCTGAACTATTTTTAACATTTCTTTCAGTTTAATATCTTGTCATGGTGCTGACTGCTCAGAAATGTAGAATACTAACGGGACAGCCAGTATCTCCCATAAATGCAACACCAAGCAGGACAGCCATTTAGTGGTTTGGATAAGTATTTCCTCCGCACTGGTATGTGCAGTCACCTCTAACTAGTCCAACAAATATAGAAAAGGAAAGAACAAAAATATCTGCAGCTTTGCAGCCATTTTCCCCTGCTAAAATTATAACAGAAAATTAAAACAAGTATTAAATTTCTTTTGAAAACCCTCCACAAAATTTCTTAAAATTACGAAATGATATGTATGTATGCAAATTAACTCCACTTGACATGAAATATGAACACTTCTGAAAGCCCAGAATAGTTCCATATAATACCTATTCCAGTTTAGGATTTCATAAATGGATAAATGCAAAAAGAAACTGACTTGCTGCCAAACAAAAAACCATTCTCATTGCTCAGGTCTTAAAGACTGTTCACAAGGCCTCCTCCTTCCAGGCCTAGGGTAGATTGTAAGCCCTGCTCCCCTGCAGTTAGGCATGACCCCATGATCTGCCTGGGTCAGTGGAAAGTGAGCAGAAGTGACATGTGTTGCTTCTCTAACGCTGGTGCTCAGTTCTCTGTGTTCTCTTCTTCGCTACATTTACCTGAATCCTGTGGATGGGCATGAAGCATAAGCCAGAAATATATTAAAGACTTCGACTGTTTAAGAGACTTTGCTGTTTAAGTCTACTGAGATTTGGGGCTGCTTGTCACCATGGCAGACCTAGACTACTCTGACCAATATAGTAAATTAGTAAAAAATTAACAACAATTAGCAGAAGATAATAGGGTAAAAGTTCATCATAGGTCTAGTACCAAGAAGGCACTCAATTGTGTCACTCCTTCCACAGTGTCCCTTCCCACCATGGCTTAAGATTTGCATGCACTCAACTTCCAGGATATATCCAGGATCTATTGAAACCCAAAGCAAATAAAACACTTAAAAAGAAAAAACAGGGCCTGGCACAGTAGCTCACACCTGTAATCCCAGCACTTTGGGAGGCCAAGACGGGCAGATCATGAGGTCAGGAGTTCAAGACCAGCCTGGCCAACAGGGTGAAACCCTGTCTCTACTAAATTAGCCACGTGTGGTGGTGGGTGCCTGTAATCCCAGCTACTCAGGAGGTTGAGGCAGGAGAATTGCTTGAGCCTGGGAGGTGGAGATAGCAGTGAGCCGAGATCGTGCCACTGCACTCCAGCCTGGGTGACTGAGTGAGACTCCATCTCAAAAACAAACAAACAAACAAAAAACCCAAAAAACAGAACAGAATGGTCCAGCTGAGGAAAACAGACATGACTACTGAGAAACAGTGATTCCCAGTGTCTCTAAATCTCTGGTTCTCAATACTGCTCATCCAGGTTCAATCGGAACTATTCCAAGTACTGAGTTCTAGGTAGAATCCAGGCATCTATGGTGCTTCCCTGCCTCCCCTGGTGATTTCAGCGTGCAGCCAGGCTTGAGAACCATGGCTTCACATGACTGGGCTTTACCATTTTCCAAAACTCAGTCCCAGGACACTGAATAGTTTAGGTAAGCAATGCACAAACAACAGTACCCCCAAACAGCAGTTCGTGTTGTAGCCAAATGTAGCTGAAGGCCAGCTGCAGTGGCTCACATCTGTAATTCCAGCACTTTGGGAGGCCACGGAGGGAGGATCACTTGAACTCAGAAGTTCAGTACCAGCCTGGGCAACACTCAAGACCCCATCTCTTAAAAAAAAAAATCAATAAATCAGCTGAGTGTGCTGGTACACATCTGCAGTCCCAGCTACGTGGGAGGCTGAGAAGGAAGGATGGCTTTAGCCTGGGAGAGCAAGGCTGCAGTGAGAAGTGATCACGCCACTGCACTCCAGCCTGTGTAACAGAGGGAGACCTCGTCTCAAAAAAAAAAAAATGTAGCTGAAGAGCTATAGTATCATCAGAGCCCATCAAAGAACACATGTCGCTGCACCAGAAACCCAAGTCTTTTAGATATCAAGACAGACATATCCAAGAGCAGTATCTCACTCCCTCTAAGAAAACCAAAGTTTCCTGGCACCCAGATCTGTGAACACACAAGTTTCCACTACAATGGAAACAATGATATTGTTATTTACTACTCATTCATTACTGATTATGTACCAGGGATATTATTATTTAAAAGATACAATTTCATCTTATCTTCACATCAACCCCATGAGGAGGTATTGTTATCATTTCCATTTTACAGACTAGGTAGTTGAGACTATAAGCTTAAGGGACCCACTGTGTTTATGTGTTTGAAAATGAAGAGGTTCATATACTGCCCCATAATATGGTGTAAAACTGAGGAACAGGTTGTTTGGAACAATTTCTGTATATGCACTTCTAGTTGTCACAATACCTATTTTTCAGAAACTCACTTGGTTTAACAACCTAAAGAACATGTCTTATTAATGGTAGACCACAATGCATAATTTTGGTGAATATGCACTGCATAAAAAATGATTATTATTTGAATTTTGATAAAGTCTGGCATCATCATATGTAATTCACTTCTTTACCTGAGGTTAAACAGTGTTCATGCATTCACCAAGTGATGATTTAACCTTCTGAGTGCTAGTTAACTGCAGAAAAAATGGCGAGCAGGACACACAGTCACTGCCCTCTGCGAGCTTACAGTCCAGCTAGGCACACGGGCAATTAGGCAGCAAGAAGAGTGTGCAAAGGGGCAAGTATTATGAAGTCTCTCAAGGTGGCCAAGGAGACACATGAGTGGCCAGCTGTCCTTCCATATGCAGTCATGTACCATGGTGGTCTTGTAAGATTATAATAGAGCTGAAAAATTCCTATTGACTAGTACTTACCATACTGTACTTTTTATTGTTGTTTCAGAGTACAGTCCTTCTACTTAGGTAAAAATAAAAGTTAACCATAAAACAGCCTGAGGCAGGTCCTTTAGAGGTATTTCAGAAGAAGGCATTGTTATCATAGGAGATGACAGCTCCATGCATGTTATTGCCCCTGAACACCTTCCAGTAGAACAAGATGTGGAGGTGGAAGACAGTGATATTGATAATCCTGACCTTGTATAGGCCCAGGCTAATGTGTGTATTTATGTCTTAGTTTTCAGCAAAAAGGTTTAAAATGTAAAAAATTAAAAATTTTAAAAATGGAAGCTTATAGAATAAGGACGTAAAGAAAATATTTTGTGTAGCTATATAATGTATCTGTGTTTTAAGCTAAGTGTTATTAAAAGAGTCAAAAAGTTAAAAAAAAAAACCTTAAATGTTTATAAACTAAAAAAGTCACAGTAAGCTAAGGTTAATATATTGCTGAAGAAATTTTAAAAAATAAATTTGGTGTAGCCTAAGTGTACAGTGTTTATAGAGTCTCCAGTAGTGTACAATAAGGTCCTAGCCCTTCACTTCACTCACCACTCACTCACTGACTCACCCAGCACAGCCCCCGGTCCTGCAAGCTCCACTCATGGTAAATGCCCTACACAGGTATACCATTTTTAATCCTTTATATTTTTACCGTACCTTTTTAATGTTTAGATAGATTTAAATACACAAATACCATTGTGTTACAATTGCCTGCAGTATTCCGTACAATAACACGCTGTACAAGTTTGTAGCCTGGGAGCAACAGGCTAGACCATATAGCCTAGGTGTATAGTAGCCTCTACCATCAAGGTTTGTGTTAAGTATTCTATGATGCTTGCACAATGACAAAATTGCCTAATGACGCATTTCTCAGAATGCCTATCCCCATAGTTAAGTGACACATGACTGTAATTGAAGGGCACTGGGCTTTCTTTCTTATACCTATGGCCAATTTAACAGATACACTCATTGTCCAGACTTTGGCCTACTATGGTGTTGTATTATAGCTGTGCCTTTGGAGCAATTTGTATCAATATCACATTGCTTCAAATACATCTTCACTGTCATCGGAAGTATTTCCAGTCTCAAGTATAAAGGGCTTCCTTCAGTTCACTGTGGAGCAAAGGCTCAGCTAGTCACCAAATTATCAGTTATCACAGGAACCGGCAAGCGGAGCAGAGGTGCATTAAAAGCTGGCTCTCAACCTGTTGAATTACTAAGCATAATTTGGGCCTTTATTCTACCTTCACTTAAGAGACTGATGAAGTGTGGGAAGCACACTTTCCACAAAAAGGCCTTTGTCAAGTGTCACCCTTATTAAGCATTTTGCACAGAACTACAGGTCATTATATATCATCTGGTCTGAGACAGCCATTTTGTTAATACCTCCCTCCTTCTTTGAAAAAAACCAACAATGGTTTTGTAGATCTGTTCTATAACTCAGTTTCAAATATTAGAAAAGAAAGCAAAATATACTGACTCATTTTAAGAGTTTGCAAGAAGAGGACCATAATCGCTAATAATAAAATAGCTAATACTTATTAGGCTCTTACTAGATGAAAGCTACATATACTGTCTTACGTGTGCTATCTCATTTAAACTTTATCAAAACCACATAAGGTAGGCATCCTTGCATTTTATCAATTCTAAAGCATACACTTTTTTCATATTTTAATATGTTTGAAATCAGGTGCATTTTATAATCAATCAAGTTATATCACAGTTTAATTGGCAGCATTATTTTTCTTTATGAATTACACAGAAAATAATGCTGTATCTTAAAATACATAGTGCCTTAGATGTAATAAAATATGGTAGTATTATCCCCATTTTACAGAGAAAGAAACTGAGCCTTACAGAATTTGAGTAACTTGCCAAAGGTTATATAGCAAGTAAGTGGCAAAGGAAGCATGTGATCCCAGGTTTTTCTGACTCCAAAGTTCATGCTCTGAACTGGTACACTATACTGCTTCCCATCACATAGAAACACTAGATTTAAAAAACATTCATCCATTCAGCACTTAGTATCTATCATGAATAAGACACTATACTAGGAATGCAAGGAGTAGAAACATGAGCACAACAGCTTTTAATGTGACTGATTAGGGACTGTGGGCACCTGAGCAGTTAACTAGAATGTTCAGCTTTGTAGACTTTTGATGGACCCTAGAGTAACATTATAGTTAAGCCTGAGCTTTTTTTTCCAGGGCCTTTTTTTTTTTTTTCCACTAGCAAAATATCTCACACCTGCATACAAGCTTTGGACTGGGTGAGTAATATTTAAATCAACATTTTGGTGTGGCAAACAGACTTTAAGATGCCCCCCAATGATCTCACCTCCTACAGTTCATACCCTTTTTAATACCCTCTTTACTAGTGTGGCAGGACCTACGACTTGTTTGTAACCAAGAGAATATGGCAAAGGTGACGATGTGTCACCTTCATAATTAGGCTATACAGACTGGGGTTCCACCTTGCTGGCTCTGATGACGTTGTCATGGTGGGGAGGCCCACATAACAAGAGACTGAGGAGAGGTCTAACTCTAGTCAATAGCAGCTAGGAATTAAGGCCCTCAGACCAACAACCCAAAAGGAAGTGGATCCTGCCAACAACCACATAAGTGAGCTTGGGAGAGGATCCCTCCCCACTTGAGCTTCCAGATGATACTCCAGCCCTGGCTGACACTGTATTTTATTTTTGGGACAGGATCTTGCTCTGTTTCCCAGACTGGAGTGCAGTGGTCTGATCATGGCTTACTGCAGCCTCAACCTCCTGGTTTCCATCAGTCCTCCCATCTTAGCCTCCCAAGTAGCTGACCACAGATGCATACCACCACACCCAGCTAATTAAAAAAATACATTTTGTAGAGATGGGGATCTTACTATGTTACTCAGGCTGTCTTGAATGCCTGGCTTCAAGTGATCCTCTTGCCCCTGCCTCCCAAAGTGCTGAGATTATAGGCATGAACCATTGCATCCAGCCCTGGCTGACACTTTAACTTTAGGCCCATGAGAAAGACCCTGATGAGCAGTTGACCCAGCTAAGCTGTGCCCCTATTCCTGACCCACAGATACTACGAGAGAATAAGTTTGTATTGTTTTAAGCTGCTAAATTTGTGGAAATTTGTTATCCAGTAATAAATAATACACTTGGTACTATGTTTTGAATGTACAGGTGTCTCCAAAATTCACAGATTGGAACCTAAGATCCAGTGTGATATTTTGATTAATGAGGCTGAATTCTCATGGATGGGATAAGCACCTGTATTAGTCTGTTCTTGCATTGCTATAAAGAAATACCTGGCCGGGCACGGTGGCTCACACCTGTAATCCCAACACTTTGGGAGGCTGAGGCGGGTGGATCACGAGGTCAAGAGATCGAGACCATCCTGGCCAACATGGTGAAACCCTGTCTCTACTAAAAATACAAAAATTGGCTGGGTGTGGTGGCATACGCCTGTAGTCCCAGCTACTCAGGAGGCTGAGGCAGGAGAATTGCTTGAACCCAGGAGGCAGAGGTTGCAGTGAGCCGAGATTGTGTCACTGTACTCCAGCCTGGTGACAGAGCGAGACTCCATCTCAAAAAAAAAAAAAAAAAAAACCAAAAAACAAAAAACAAAACCTGAGTCTGGGTAATTTGTAAAGAAAAGAGGTTTCATTTATAAAGAAAAGAGTCATAGGTCCTGCAGGCTGTACAGGAAACATGATGCTGGCATCTGCTTGGTTTCTGCAGAGGAAACTTATAATCATGGCAGAAGGTGAAGTGGAAGCAGGCATGTCACATGGCCACAGCAGAAGCAAGAGAGCGAGCAGGGAACTGCTGCACACTTTCAAATCACCAGATCTCACAAGAACTCATTCACTATCACGAGGACAGCACCAAGGGAGATGGTGCTAAACCATTCATGAAAAATCCACCCCCATGATCCAGTCACCTCCCACCAGGCCCCACCTTCAACACTGGGGACTACAATTCAACATGAGATTTGGGTGGAGACACAGATCCAAACTGTACCAGTACCCTTATACAAGGGCTGCAAGGAATTACAGAGGCCCTCTTGCCCTTCCACTCTTCCACTACATGAGGACACAGCAAGAAGGTGCTATTATGGAAGCAGAGAGCAGCTTCACCAGATACCAAATGCCGACACCTTGATCTTAGACTTCTCAGCCTTCAGAACTGTGAGAAATAAGTTTCTGTTTTTACAACTTACCCCAGTCTCAGCTATTTTGTTATAGAGCAGGAAAGAACTAGTACAATTGGTTAAAAGGTAAATTTCTTTGTGTCACAGACATTTGTGGTGCTCTCAAATAACTGGCACTAAAAATTCTAACTATAAATTTAACCTTTTTGGGGGTTTGGGCCATAATCCTGAAAGACACAATCCTAAACACTATAATCCTGAACACTGAAATCCCCAAAAATCATAATCCCTAACATCTAAAATCCTGGAAATCACAATCCTGAGAGATCAAAATCTTGAAAATATAATTCTGAAAAAATAACTTAATAAAAATTCCTTGAGACATTTATTTACATTTTTGAAAAGGAGATTTGAGAAACATCTAAAAACATGATAAAATATGTTGTAGGCCACTTTACACAATAAAATAGGCAAGAACTAATATACAGATATTTGTAAGCATAAACACTCAGGTATACTAACAATGGTCACATGGGTGTAAAAGTTATGAGAAGACAAATCATATTCATAAATAGGTCAAAAGGCAAAATGTATAAACAAAGTCACTGTGGTTGGTAATTGTGTACACCCAGCTTTATAACTGTGGCATCTGAAATACCTTGATAGATAACCTAAGTCTTTTGATGAGATCTGTTAATAAACTTCAATGGGTCACCACCATATATGCAGTTGCCCAAAGAACCAAGATCTAAAGAAATTTTATCTTTAACAAATGCAGGTGTACAAAAGGACATCTTCATTTACTGAGGAAGTTTCAATATTTCTACATATGCGCACAATGCTTATACCCAATGTTGTGATAATGCACTTTTGTGAAGTCAAATTGGCCAAAAAAAAGCATAAAATGAATTAGATGTCTCTAAAAATCTTGACACAATTTATACCTCCAGTATTGGACATGATGTGAAAATGAAATACATCACATAGCAAATTGATACTATGTGTGAAGGGGCAGAAGTCATAAGTGACTGAATAGTTTGGCAGGTGTATTACTTCATTTTCATACTGTTACAAAGAAATATCTGAGACTAGGTAATTTATAAAGGAAAGAGGTTTAATTAACTCACAGTTCCACATGACTGGGGAGGCCTCAGCAAACTTACAATCATGGTGAAAGGTGAAGGGGAAGTAAGGACCTTCTTCACATGGTGGCAGGAGACTGAAGTGCAAGCAGAGGAAATGCCAGATGCTTATAAAACCATCAGATCTCATGAGAACCCACTCACTGTCACGAGAACAGCATGGGGGAAACTGGTCCCATTATCTAATCACCTCCCTCCCTTGACATGTGGGGATTACAGGTCCCTACCTCAACATGTGGGTATTATAATTCAAGATGAGATTTGGGTAGGGACATAGCCAAACCATATTATTCTGCCCTGGCCCCTCTCAAATCTCACGTCCCTTATACATTTCCAAACCAATCATGCCTTCCCAACAGTCCTCCAAAGTCTTAAGTCATTCAAGCATTAACTCAATGTCCAAGTCCAAAGTCTCATCTAAGACAAGGCAAGTCCTTTCCACCTATCAGCCTATCAAAAGCAAGTTAGTTCCTTGCAAGGTACAATGAGGGTACAGATTGGATAAATGCTCCCATTCCAAATGGGAGAAGCTGGCCAAAACACAGGGGCTATAGGCCCCATGTAAGTCCAAAATCCAGTGGGGCAGTTATTAAATCTTAAAGCTCCTAAATAACCTCTTTTGACTCCATATCTCATATTCAGCGCATGCTGATGCAAGAGGTGGGTTGCCATGGTTTTAGGCAGCTCTGCCCCTGTGGCTTTGCAGGGTACAACCTTCCTCCTGGTTGCTTTCATGGGCTGGCATTGAGTGTCTGCAGCTTTTCTAGGTGCACGGTGCCAGCTGTTGGTGGATCTACCATTCTGGGGTCTGGAGGAAAGTGGCTCTCTTCTCACAGCTCCACTTGGCAGTGTCCCAGTGGGGACTCTGGTGGGGGCTCCAACCCCACATTTCCCTTCCACACTGCCCTAGCAGAGGTTCTCCATGAGGGTCCCACCCCTGCAGCAAGCATTTCCTTACATTCCAGACATCCAGGTGTTTTCATACATTCTCTGAAATCTAGGTGGAGGTTCTCAAACCTCAATTCTTGACTTCTGTGCACCTGCAGGCTCAACACCAAATGGAAGCTGCCAAGGCTTGGGGCTTGCACCCTCTGAAACCATGGCCTGTGGTGTACCTTGGCCCTTTTTAGCCATAACTAGAGCAACTGGGACACAGGGCACCAAGTGCCTAGGCTGCACACAGCAGGGGGTCCTGGACCTGGCTCAGAAAACCATTTTCCCTCCTAGGCCTCTGGGCCTGTGATGAGAGGGGCTCCCGTGAAGGTCTCTGACATGTCCTGGAGACATTTCCCCCATTTCATGGCTATTAACATTCGGCTCCTCATTACCTATGTAAATTTCTACAGCAGGCTTGAATTTCTCCCCAGAAAATAGGTTTCTCTTTTCTATCACATTGTCAGGCTGCACATTTTCCAAACTTTTATGATCTGTCACCTCTTGAATGCTTTGCTGCTCAGAAATTTCTTCCACCAGATACCCTAAATCATCTCTCTCAAGTTCAAAGTTACACAGGTCTCTCTAGGACAGGGGCAAAATGCTGCCAGTATTTTTGTTAAAGCACAGCAAGAGTGACCTTTGCTCCAGTTCCCAGTAAGTTCCTCATCTCCATCTGAGATCACCTCAGCCTGGACTTCATTGTCCACATCAGTATCAGCATTTTGCTCAAAACCATTCAACAAATCTCTAGCAAGTGCCAAACTTTCCCACATTTTCCTGTCTTCTTCTGAGCATTCCAAACTGTTCCAACCTCTGCCTGTTACCCAGTTCCAAAGTTGCTTCTACATTTTTGGGTAGTGGCAGTACCCCACTCTCTGTGGTACCAATTTATTGTATTGGTAAATACACTGCTATAAAGAATCAGCAGTTTTCACACCACTATAAAGAAATAACGGAGACTGGGTAATTTATAAAGGAAAGATCCACAGTTCCACATGGCTGAGGAGGTCTCAGGAAACTTAGAGTCATGGTGGAAGATGAAGGGGAAGCAAGGACCTTCTTTGCATGACGGCAAGAGAGAGAAGTGCCAGCAGGGGAAATCCCAGATGCTTATAAAACCATCAGATCTCATGAGAACTCACTATCACAAGAATACATGGGGGAAACTGCCCCATCATCCAATCACGTCCCTCCCTCGACACATGGGGATTACAATTTGAGATGAGATTTGGATGGGGACAGAGAACTAAACCTTATTATAGCAGGGGAGATTTTTTGTGTTTTTCACTTGTGTTTTCACTTCTTCCATGATCTTCAAAACTCACTGCATTTACATTTGGAGAGTGGTTGTGGTCTGCAAATTTTCTATGTATATGCTGTCCAACTGAAAGTTTGGTTATTGCTTGGCCATTGTAATTAAGTGATTTTCTGCTTTTGCAGCACCAATAATAATTAGCTTTTAAACTTTTATCTTTCACCATTAAGAGAGCCTCGTACGCTTATCACAGACTTTTATTCAAGAGAATAATTTCATATATCTCTTACATTTTGTTATAAGAAATACAGTAAGAAGGAATGATATTCAGCTTCTCCATACCAAATCTGTATCAGTCAGGGTTCTCCAGGGAGATGGAACCAATAGCATATGCATATGAGAAGATATTTATTAGGGGAATTGGCCCATAGGATTATGGTGGTTGAGAAGTCCCATGACAGGCTGTCTGAAAACTGGAGACTCTTGGGATGCTGATAGCCTGGTTCAGTCCCAAGTCCAAAGGTCTCAGAACCAGGGAAGCTAATGGTATAACTCTCAGTTTTAAGTCAAAATCCTCAGGCCTTGGGGGGGCCACTGGTGAAAGCCCTGGGGTCCAAAGGCTGGTGAGCCTAATGTTCTGGCCATGACAACAGGAGAAAAGTCTGCCCCAGCTCTCAAAGAGAGAGGCCTTCTGTATTTGTTCTCTCCAGGCCCCCAACCAACTGGATGGTGCCTGCCAGCATTGAGGGCAGATCCTCCCCACCTGGTCCACTCCGACTCACTCACACTAATCTCCTATGGAAATACCCTCACATACACACCCCAAATCATGCTTTAACAGGTTTCCATGTATTCCTTAATTTAGCAAATTGATGCCTAAAATTCAGTCCACAAGTCCACTCCTTGTCAACTTGGCACCCAAACCCACATCCTTATGCCATAGTTAATTTCCAAATAAAGACAATAACAAGGTAATAGTTCAGCCCAACATGAGGTAACCAACATGATGTAACTATCCTGCATATAGCCGAAAACTCACACTATTTTATTCCCCAGAATTTAGATGTCAGGATTTTAACATTTGGGATTTTAATCTCTTGCAATTGTGATTTTTGGGATTTTTAGATGTTAGGGATTTTACAGTTTAGGGATTTTGACCTTTTGGGATTTTGACATTCAGAATTATGGCATTTGGGATTGCATCTTTTGAGATTTTCAGCAGCACCTATCTCTTCATTAGATCATAAAAATTATAGATAAGAATTATGATCAACACCGATCTCTTGGCTAGATTATAAAAATAATAGCTACCATTTACCGAGTATCCATTAAAAGCCAGGTAAATTCCAGCATGTATTAGTGCAACTATGGCCACATCTACCAAGCAATAATTCATTAGTGTAGTTTACTGCGTATGTAAGAAACAGTAAGTGATGATTTCATTTAGCAATTAAAAAAAAAGTTTAGTGAACTTTACTATTTCCTTGTCCAATTACTACTCCTTCTCTTGTTTTGGTAAATATACTCTTTCCTTCTAGAATATGCTACTTCTTCTATTAATAATACCAGTTATATTATTCTAGTGGGTCTTTATCTTATGTGACTCGCTTCCCTGTTCACAGTAACTGATCCAAGGGTAGGCACCTCATCCAAACTCGGCCAACAGGCACCCTTCTCCAATATTTTTTTTTAATGTGGGGCAGAAGAGAGTAATGAAAATTCCTTGAGTTCCAAAGCAGCAAGGGTCAAACATGAACTCTCAATGGCCAGGTTCCCTGCTGTGTGCAGGAAGTCATTCTTCAGATGGGAATAATGATACGAACACCCAGAAAGGGGCAATCTGGTTCCTTCCAGTCATTGCTGCTATTTCCTGGTGTCTAGCTGCACCCCTGTCCTTTCCTGGGGTCACAGAAGCCTTACTATAAACTCCCTTTGGGATCAAAGCAAGCTTAATTTAGCTTCAGTTATCTCCAATTAAAAGAGACTTTAGTTAATACAATTTCCTAAACTATGTTACTGATATTTTGAAATATGTGGATCCTTTATATTGTTTGGAAACAAATTTTCTATTACTAATTAATTACTACCACACTTAGCTGACTTCTGTATCACAGAATATTAGAGTTAGAAGGACATTACCGTTATCCAGTCTGACTCTTATTTTTATTTTTTATTTTTTGTGACTGAGTCTCGCTCTGTGACCCAGGCTGGAGTGCAGTGGCACAATCTCGGCTCATTGCAACCTTTGCCTCCTGGATTCAAGCAATTCTCCTGCCTCAGCCTCCGGAGTAGCTGGGATTACAGGCATGCGTCACCATGCTTGGCTAATTTTTGTATTTTTAGTAGAGAGGGGGTTTCAACACACTGGCCAGGCTCGTCTTGAACTCCTGACCTCAGGTGATCTGCCCACCTCAGCCTCCCAAAGTGCTGGGATTATAGGCGTGAGCCACTGAACCCGGCGCGTGACTCTTAGTTTTAAATAAGGAAACCACACCATACAGAGGTTAAGCTACTTTCCACAATAAAAGTCCATGCCAGAATTTCCTAAAATTTGACCTTCTACACCCATTCCAGTGAGTGCTATCATATATAACATTACGTTGAGGTCCCAGGAATTAATGGAGGCTTAAAGAATTTGACCTTTGTTCTAAAGATGCCTCACAAATCTGTCATCTTTCAAAGACTTGTAATTAACTTGGTTAATTAATAAATATCTTATAATAACAGTTTATTTGATTTCACCCATTAAAGTATTCATTGTTCATTCTCAATTCTAAGGACACCGAGAAACACATGGCCACCAGTGTTAAAATTATGTAAAATATAAGGAACTCCATGTTCCCTCCTCTACACTCTGGTTTAGTTTAACCTCTTCACTTCTAGACTGCATAATAGTTGCTAAACAAATAAGAATAATTCAAAATTTACTATATAATCAATAACACTGCCTCGTTTTCTACTCACATATAATTTTAATCATAAAATAGTGCATGTTGAAGAAAATATAGAAACAGAAAAGCAGAAAGAAAAACATTCACTCATGCTTAATGTCTGAAATTGGTGTAAGCAATAACCCTGAACTATATAATGCTTTGGCTAGTTTTTGTAAACTTATTGATACTAAGCAGCTACAATCCAATACTCCAAAGAGGCAGTTGTTAATATGTTAATCAATACCCCAGGTGTTCTCTTATAAGCACCTTTACAAAGAAATTCACTTCGCTCTACTCAGCTTTTTTGCTGCTATTAAAATTACCTTCTCCTTGAAACCCTCTATAACTAAGGTCATCAACCCACTTTTCGCAGAGGTTCCTTTGCTTGCAGTACACATTTTAAGAATATCTGGGCCTACTAATCGCCTTGAGTTTTAGAAGAAACTAAACAGGCTTCCCTGAGGTTTTCTTGAACAGTTTAGTTCACTTGAAATCTCTATAGCAACCTAAAGGCATAGATGTCTTTGGAATAAATAAACCATGCCAAAGCAAGCAGAGATTGTGGCCCAAGGGCATGCATGTTGCAACACAAGCTTTGAGTGTAGATTATATTGCAGCTGCAAGATAGTGTGAGGAGAAAATACTGTCTATGAGATAGTTTTTGGAAACATCCAACAAGATTGAAAACAAGCAGGAGTAAGTGTGATTAATCAGATGTCAGAAATGATTCTTTAATACTAAGAAACAAGACTACAGTACAAAACTAATTAGGTTTTTTTTTCCTTTCAGACTCCTTAAAAAATAAAGCTTTATGTGATATGTCCTTGTCAGTACATCTCCCATAAGCCAATCACCCTCAAGAAGAAATTAAGAGGCTAAACTGGAAAAAATCAGCCTGCTTCCACCATGAGTTGGACACTGGCAAGTTACTGTAATTCATGCCTTTCTCAGTGCTCCACATGAACACAAAAAGGTTTGTATTCAATAATAATAAGGCATATTCTTTTTAATTTTCTTCTCTAGGTGAAGGCCATGGGTTTGCTTTGAGACAACTACTGATTCTCAATGGATCTCTCACACTTTTAATGAGAAGGGATTAGGCAGTAACTCAAAGCCCAGATTTTCTTTGTAATTTTAATAACACAAGGTTGGCATCAGAAAATAAAGGCGGTTAACATCGCATGCTATCTAACTCAACTCCATCCAGTGGTGTGCTGGAGTCAGCTTATACTAGCTTATGAAGGGTAATGGATACATCTCTTCCCAACCCCGTGTTTAGACATGTCATTTTAGTAGCCTGAAATTGGCCATAGAGGAGTATTTACACCAGAGAAATCAGCAAATGATACAAATGAGCACTTCTTTCTTCTTCTGGAGAGCTAGTTGTCAAATATTTACTAGAACATCACTAGTTTCATCCATTCATCCAGCCATCTAACATGTATTTACTGAAATCTAACATATCACAAGCTAAGACCTTGTGATAAGCCCTAAGAGTACACAACCTACACAGTCTGTGCCATAAAACAGCATACATTTTAGTTTCCTAAAATGTGTGGACCAACAAAAATACTGGTATATGATTTTCTTTCCCAGCTGAGTTAGATGGTTCATGATGATGTTCAAATCTTTAGAGATTCTAAAGAACTCTATTAGCAAATGAAGTGGAGTCTAGGAAAACTGCACTAGTTCTTGCTGGAGAGAATTAAGACTTATTGATGAAACTCCTGATTTGGTGATTCTGCAGAGGCCCACTTACTCAGCAATTATTAAATTAAACTTTTTATTTTGAGATAATTGTAGATTCACAGTAAGTTGCAAGAAAATAATATAGAGAGTTCCCATGTATAATTCACCCAGTTTCTCCCAATGGTAACTGTATTAGTCTGTTTTCACACTGCTGATAAAAGACTAAAGACATACCTGAGACTGGGCAATTTACAAAAGAAAGAGGTTTATTGGACTTACAGTTCCACATGTTCTTGAATGCTTTGCTGCTTAGAAATTTCTTCCTCCAGATACCCTAAATCATCTCTCTCAAGTTCAAAGTTCCAGGAATCACTAGGGCAGGGGCAAAATGCCACCAGTCTCTTTGCTAAAACATAACAAGAGTGACCTTTGCTCCAGTTCCCAACAAGTTCCTCATCTCCATCTGAGACCACCTCAGCCTGGACCTTGTTGTACATACTGCTATCAGCATTTTTGTCAAAGTCATTCAACAAGTGTCTAGAAAGTTCCAAACTTTCCCACATTTTCTGTCTTCTTCCAAGCCTTCCAAACTGTTCCAACCTCTGCCTGTTACCCGGGTCCAAAGCTGCTTCCACATTTTCAGGTATCTTTTCAGCAGTGCCCCACTCTACTGGTACCAATTTACTGTATTAGCCCATTTTCATGCTGCTAAGACATACCTAAGACTGGGCAATTTACAAAGGAAAGAGGTTTATTGGATTTACAGTTCCACGTGGCTGGGGAGGCCTCACAATCATGGCAGAAGGTGAAAGGCACGCCTCACATGGTGGCAGACAAGAGAAAAGAACTTGTGCAGGGAAACTCCCCCTTATGAAACCATCAGATCTTGTGAGATGTATTCACCATCATGAGAACAGCACAGGAAAGACCTGCCCCCATGATTCAATTACCTCTCACCAGGTCCCTCCCACAACACGTGGGAATTCAAGATGAAATTTCAGTGGGGACATAGCCAAATCATATCAGTAACCTCTTGTAAAACCACTGTCCACTATTAAAACCAGGATAGTGACATTAATATAGTCAAGAGAGAACACTTCTATTATGAGGATTCCTCACGATGTCCTATTATAGCCAAATCGACTTACCTTCTGTCTCCATCCCTCCTTCACTCCTGGTAACCATTAATTTGTTCTCTATCTTGATAGTTTTAATAGATATGTAGTGACAGCCCATTGTGGTTTTAATTTGTATTTCCCTAATGGCTAATGATGTTGAACATCTTTTTGTGTGCTAATTGCTTGTTCTGTGTGCTTATTTGCTATATGTCCTCCTTGGTGAACTGTCTGTTCATGTTGTTTGCCCATTTTCTAGAGGATTGTTTTTTACTGTTGAGTTTTGAAAAACTTTATATATTCTAGATACTAGTCCTTTGTTAGGTATGTGGTTTGAAAATATTTTTCCCACTCTGCAGTTTGTCTTTATATCCTCTTAAGAGAGTTTCTGCAGAGTAAAAGTTTTTATTTGATAGAGTGCAATTTACAGTTTTTCGTTTTAGGGACTGTGGCTTTAGTGTCAATTCTAAGACTTTTTTGCCTAGCCCTGAGTTCTAAAGATTTTCTCCTACTGTTTCTTTTAATTTTATGGTCATACATTTTATATTTAAGTTCATGATCCATTTCAAGTTAATTTATGTATAAGGTATGAGACTTAGATCAGGGTTTTATTTCGTTTTTTGTTGTTGTTTGTTTGTTTTTCCCTATGGATATCCAATTGCTTCTCCACCATTTGTTGTGAAAGATAACCTTTCTTGCACTGAGTTTCTTTTACACTTTTGTCAAAAACCAGTTAGGCTCATTTGTGTGTCTGTTTCTGAATTCTTTATTCTGTTGCATTCATCTATGTGTCTATCTCTCCACAAATAGCACACAGTCTGGATTACTGTAGCTATATAAGTCTTGAAATTTATTCCTCCTACTTTATTCTGTTTCAAAATTGTTTTAACTGTTTTACTTTCTTTGACTTTCCATATAAATTTTTGAATAACCTTCTCTGTATCTACAAAATATCTTGTTAGAATTTTGATAGGAACTGCATTAAACCTGTATATATTTTTGTGAGAATTGACTATTATTACTATGTTGAGTCTTGCAATCCATAA
Source organism: Homo sapiens (assembly GCF_000001405.40). Lineage (NCBI taxonomy): Eukaryota > Metazoa > Chordata > Mammalia > Primates > Hominidae > Homo > Homo sapiens. The sequence continues at coordinate 80,771,335 of NC_000008.11, forward strand.
ACATGGTATGTCTCTCCATTTATTTATATCTTTGATTTCTTTCATCAGTTTTACAGTTTTTAGCATATAAGTCCTGTACATGTTTTATTAGATTTACAATTAAGTATATATTTTTTCTTTGAGAAATTTTAAATGATACTGTATTTTAAATTCCAGTTGTCATGTGTTCATTGCTAATATACAGAAATGCAACTGATTTTTGTGTTTATTTTGTATCCTTTGACCTTGCTTAACTCTTTTATTAGTTCTAGGAGTCTTTTTAAAAATAAATTCCTTGGAATATTCTACTTAAACAATTATTTTATCTACAAATAGGGACAGTTTTGGTTTTTTTCCTTTCCAGTCTGTATGTCTTCAGCTCATTTTCTCAACTTATTGCACTGGCTAAAACTTCCAGCAATATGTTGAATGACAATATTGAGGCCAGACATCTTTGCCTCATTTCCAATCATATAGGAAAAGCATTCAGCTTTCCCCCATGAAGTATAATATTATTTGCCCTTTATCAGGTTTAGGAAGTTCCTTCTATTTCTATTTTTCTTAGCATTTTATCATGAATGGGTGTTGAATTTTGTCAAATGCTTTTCTGCAGTGATTGATATGATTATGTGATGTTTCTTCTTTAGCCTATTAATGTGGTGATTAATAGGCTCACGACTGATTGACTTCCAGTCAATCCAGTGATTTTTGCTACAATGATTGATCTTCAAATATTGAGTCAGCCTGGAATAAACTCTACTTGTCATGGAGTACCATTAATTTTATATATTGCTGAATTCTATTTGCCAATATGTTACGAATTTTTGAATCTGTAGCCATAAGGGATATTTCTCTGTATTCTTATTTTTTTTGTACTGTCATTGGTTTTGGTATTAGGGTAATACTAGTTTCATAAAATGAATTGGGAACTGTTCTCTTTTTATTTTTTGGAAGAGAAGTGTAGAATTGCTTTGTTGATTTATTAATCTTTTCAAAGAACGAAATTGTATTAGATTGTTCTTGCACTGCTATAAAGAAGTACCTGAGACTGGGTAATTTATAAAGAAAAGGGGTTTAATTGGCTCACGGTTCTGCAGGCTTACAGGAAGCATTGCTGGGGAGGTCTCAGGAAACTTACAATCATGGCGAAAGGGGAAGGGGAAGCAGGCACATCTTACATGGCCGAAGCAGGAAGAAGAGAGTGAGAGAGGAGAGGTGTTACACGCTTTTAAACAATCAGATCTTGTGAGAACTCTAACAGCACTAGGGGGATGGTGCTAAACCATCAGAAACCACCCCCATGATCCAATCACCTCCCACCACACCCCACCTTCAACATTGGGGAATACAATTCAGCATGCGATTTGGGTGGGGACACAGAGCCAAATCCTCTCAGGGATCTCTGTTTCATTAATTTTCTCCACTGTTTTTCTGTTTTCAATTTCATTTATGCTCTTTATTATTTCTTTCCTTTGTTTGCTTTGTGTTTATTTTGCTTTTCTTTTATTGTATTTATTTTACTTTGGGTTCTCAAGGTGAAAGCTTTGATTATTGATTTGAGACTTTTGGTCTTTTCTAATGTATGTATTATCACTGCATTAGCTGTGTCCTACAAATTTTGATATGCTACATTTTCATTTTCATTTAGTATAATGCATTTTAAAATTTCTCTTGAGAGTTCCTCTTTGATTCATGGGTTATATAGAGGTGTGTTATTTAATTTCCAAGTGTTTGGTTATTTTCCTGTTACCTTTCTATTATTCATTTCTAGATTACATTTATAGTGGTCAAAAAACATACTGTATATGATTTTAACTCTGTTAAATCTTCTGAGGTTTGTATTAAGGCCCATGGTATGGACTGTTTGTTTCACTGTTTTTTATTTCTGTTTTCTTTTCCTGCCTTCCTGTGGATTAAACACTTTTGAGACTCTTACTTTTATTTATGTACAGTGTTTTTGAGTGTATCCCTTTGTATAGCTTTCTTTAGTGGTCGCTTTAGATATTACATTATATGTACATAACTTGTCACAGTCTACTGGTGTCATCACTTTACCAGTTGAAGTGGAGTACAGATATCTTATGTCCTTTTAGTCTCCCATTTTTAATTGTTTTAAATATTTCCTCTATGCACATTTAGAATTACATCAGACATTACTACAGTTTTTGTTTCAACCATCAAACATAATTTAGTAAACTCAAGAGGAGAATGTTATATTTACATGTTTTTGCTTACCATGCTCTTTCCTCTTTTCTGACATTCCAGAGAACTCCTTTTAGCCATTATTTTAGGGTAGGTCTGATGGTGACAAATTCTCTTAGTTTTCCTTCATCTGAGAATGTCTTGATTTGTGATTCATTACTGAAGGATATTTTCTCTGGGTATGAATGCTGGATTGACAGTTCTTTTCTTTCAGCACATGAAAAATATTTTGCTATTTTTTTCACCTCCATAGTTTCTCAGCAGAGACATTTCTTTGCTGAGCCTTTCTATTTTTTCATTTGTTTCAACCATGTTCCTAATTGTTCATTGAAGCATTTTTATCATGACTGCTTTAAAATCTTTGTCAGATAATTCTAACACTGCTGTCATTTTGGTGTTGGCCTATATTGACTGCCTTCTTTTTTCATTCAGTCTAAGATCTTCTTGGCTTTTTGTATTATGAGTTATTCTGAATTAAATAAAACTGGACATTTTTGTATTATGTGATGAGATTCTGAATGTTATTTAAATCTTCTTTTTTTTTTTTTTGGATACAGGGTCTCACTCTGTTGCGCCGACTGCCAAGCTGGAGTGCCGTGGTGCAATCATAGCTGACTGCAGCCTCGATCTCTCGATCTCCCAGGCTCAAGTGATCCTCCCATCTCAGCCTCTCCAGTAGCTGGGACTACAGGCACATGTCACCATGCCTGGCTATTTGTTTGTTTGTTTGTTTTGGTAGAGATGGGGTCTCTTTATGTTGGTCAGGCTGATCCTGAATTCCTGGGCTCAAGCAATCCTCCTGTCTTGCCCTCCCAAAGTGCTGGGATTACAGGTGTGAGCCACTACAACCAGCCTAAATCTTCTTTTTCTAACTGGCTTTCTTTGCCATGCCTCTGGCAAAGGAAAGAGTGGGGTGCTGCCTTGTTACTGCAAGATGGGGACAGAAGTCTAGGTTTTCTACTCAGGTCTGCTGACAGCTGAGGTGTGCAGCACTGCGTTACTGTGTGTGGAGGTGAGTTCTGATTCCCCACACAGTCTCTGCTCACACCATGAAGGGAAAGGGGTAATTACTGCCCAGGGGGGATAAAAATCTAAGCTCCTTTCTTGGCATTTTCTGAAACCACTCCAGCAGGAGTATTAGCACACCTCCTTAGGGCTTCATAGGGTAGATGTCTGGGTTCCCCACGAGGCCTTTGCTGGCATGGGTGAGGGTGGGTCCACATTTCCTTCTGTGGTGTTCGGCTAGAGGATTGTCTAAAAGTTTTCCGTCTCGCTAGGATGTTCCTGTCTTGGTCTTTTGACTAAGAAAGAGCAGGCTCCATTGGAGCTTTGTCTATGCTGTTGACATTTCCTATTTGCCAGCTTCTTCAGCTCCAAGTCTGGGATACACGAAGCGAAATGAAAACCCATGAAACTTACTGCTATGCTGCTGCTGTGGCCCGGGGGTTTCTAGCCAGTCTGTTTTCTTCTCTCTACCTTTCATCTTTATATTTTTTAATACATAATGTCCAGAGTTTTTAGTTTGACTTAGGGGAAGAAATAGAAAAAACTATGTCTACTCGAGCTTCCAAAAGTGGAAATCTCCTACTCAGCTATTTTTATTAACCATCCTATCATCTTAGGAATTAAAAAACAAAAATCACTGGATCCCAACAAAGTAGTTGGTATTCTTGCTAAAATTAAGGAACATCAAACATCTTGGTTATAAAAACACAATTCAGTCTAGATCAACTGCAAGGAATTTGCGGATAAGGCCTGTAAGAAAGATTATGGGTTTTGTGAATTTTGTTTCTTTCTCTATTTACCTGACATACAATAGTTTTAAAATTAGAATATAAACATTTCCACTTATAGTTAGATAAAGCATGGATGCTAATGTTTGGTCATTCCATTGGTCTATTCTTACTATATTCACAATGGTGGCATCTGAGAAGCCATGCAAAGTGCCTAAAGGTAAAATAAATGATAAAGAAATTTTCAGCAAGTTATTTTTCAGTGTGTATGGAGCAGACTTGTAGACCTGTACTGACTATATACTCAGATAAGGCCAAACCTAAGGTAGGTAAAAGTTTTAGAACAGTAATCATCATTTAAGTTGAATATCCCAAATAAACTATTTGCTGAAAATATTTTCTTTAGTTTACTTCTTAATTTACTCAGGGTGTTGGAGAAGTGATAGGGTGGAAGAAATGCAAAAATTATACTGTGAGTACAATACAATACAGTTGTTTGAATACTTATCTTTATGGACAACTCCAGAGTGAAATGGCAAGTGATAAAAATGTGCTCCAATATAAAACACTGCCTTACATGGGAGACTGCATTAAATTATTTATCTTCTTTAGAGGGAAAAACATATACTACAAAGAAAGTAAAAATGTTGGTAAGAAGAATGAATATTTATCCTAGTGATAAAGAGTAGCTCATAAAGTGGGCTTTAAAATTTATACCGTTTGTATTATGCACACAATTTTTCAAAAACTTCGCACTTCAAAATAATTTTTCCATGCAATCTCCATAGCCGTCATTTTTAATAGCTGCATGATAGTCCTTTGGGCATTATACCATAATTAATTCTCTAAGTAATCCATTATTGCTAAATATTTAGCTCACTTGCAGTGTTTCACTTCTATAAATAATAAGAGTGACAAGTGTTTTGCCTATAGTTTTCACCCTATCACTATTTTGGATTATTTACTTAAGCAAGAGACCCTGAAGTAGAATTACTGAATCAATGGTATAATTTTTATGACTTCTCATAAGAACTGCTAAATTCTTTCCCAATAGAGTTGTACAGCTTTGCAATACCACCACCAATGCATGAAAATAGGAGCATGTCTGCACCCTCTCCAGCAAGTTACTCTTATTTTTTAAAGGCAATTTTAAGTTGAAATATTCATAACTTAATTTGCAATGATTTAATTAGCAGTTATTTACTACATTTATTTCTTTGGTGAACTATCTGTTATTGACCTTAGTCATTCATTCCTTGAGATTTGGGAGTTTCATCAATTTGAATCAATTCTTTATAATAATAAAAAACCTGCAAATTGTTTTCTAGATTAGTCTTTAAAAATTTGTTAATGTAATAAGGTTATGATTTTTATACAGTTAAAATTTCTGATTCTTTTCTTTTTCTGATTATTTTTTAGAAGGGGTCTTGCTATGCTGCCCAGGCTGAAGTGCAGTGGCTATTCACAGGTGTGATCCCATTACTAATAAGCATGGGAGCTCTGACCTGCTCTATTTTCAACTTGTGCCATTTCACCCCTCCTTATGCAACCTGGTGGTCCCTGGCTCCCGGGAGGTAATCACAATGATGCCAAATTTAGTGTGGACACCCAACTGATGTAGCGCACTACAGCCCAGAACTCCTGGACTCAAGTGATCCTTCTGCCTCAGCCTCCTGAGTAGCTGGGATGATAGGTGTGCACCACCACACCCTGCTGATTGTTTTCTTTGTGATTTGTTCAGTTTATTCTAGGCTTAGGATCTCATTCACTGTAATTCTGCATTTTTTCTTTTTATATTTATTTATTTATAAAATTTTCTATCCAATATAAATTAGTTCAGTGTTTGGAGAGGAAGGGCAAAGTTATTTTTTTTAAATTGCTAAGAATTTATCTCAATATGATTTCCATTAATATTCCTGCCCTTCCCTATTGTTTTATCACGTCAGAAATTGCTAGTTATGCCAGGTCCTTTGGCTGCTTATTTCACTCCACTAATCCCTATTTAGCCTTGTATCATTACTGTTTTTAATAATTGTAGCAACACAGAAATAGTATAAAGTTAATATCTGCTTGTTAAATGAATAGTGAATCTGGCAGGGCTGACAGCCTTCAGTACTATTTTTAAAGAGTTTTCCTTAATAGTCTCTCCCCTGCTTGTTGTTATTTTTGAACAATGTCAAACCTACAGAAAAGCTAAAATCATACTACAATGAACATCTGTATATATCCTTCACCTTCAGTCACCAATTACTAATAGTTTGTCACATTTTATTTTCTCTGTGTATCTTTATATACACACAACACATGCATATACACTTTTTTCCTGAATCATATGAAAGTAACCCATGGGCCAGGCATGGTAGCTCACACCTGTAATCCCAGTACTTTGGGAGGCCGAGGTAGGCAGATCATCTGAGGTCAGGAGTTCAAGACCAGCCTGACCAACATGGCAAAATCCCGTCTCTACTAGAAATACAAAAATTAGCTGGGCATAATGATGGTCACCTGTAATCCCAGCTACGCGGGAGGCTGAGGCAGGAGAATTGCTTGAACCCAGGAGGCAGAGGTTGCATTGAGCCGAGATCGCGCCACTGCACTCCAGCCTAGGCGACAGAGTGAGGCTGCGACTCAACAAAAAAAAAAAAAAAGAAGAAAGTAACCCACAAATATCATAACACCTCACCCCTAAATATTTCAATATATCGCTCTTAAGAACAAGGGCGTTTTTTGTAACCACAACGCCATTACTGTATTCAATACTATTACCCAATACACACTCAATATTGAAATTCAATATTCCCATAATTAACTTCAAAGCTTAAAAAACTGATCAAGAATCACCCATTGAGAAAATATTTGCAAACCACACATCTGATAAAAGTCTAATATCCAGCATCTATAAGGAACTTAAACAAATTGAAAGAAAACATTAAAAAGTGGGCAAAGGACATGAACAGACACTTTTCTAAAGAAGACATACATATGGCCAATAAGCATATTAAAAAAAAGCTCAGTGTCACTGATCATTAGAGAAATGCAAATAAAACCACAATGAGATACCATCTCACACCACTCAAAATGGCTATTACTAGAAAGTCAAAAAATAACAGATGCTGGTTGGGTTGCAGAGAAAAGGGAACACTTAATACATTGTTGGTGAGAGTGTAAATTAGTTCAACCATTGTGGAAAGCAGAATGGCAATTCCTCAAAGAGCTAAAAACAGAATTACCATTCAACCCAGTAGTCCCATTACTGGGTATATACCCAGAGGAATAGAAATCATTCTACCATAAAGACACATGCACACAAATGTTCATTACTATACTACTCATAACAGCAAAGACATGGAATCAACCTAAATGCCCACCAACGGTAGACTGTATAAAGAAAATGTGGTACATACCCATCACGGAATACTATGCAGCCATAAAAAAGAATGAGATAATGTCTTTTGCAGGATCATGGATGGAGCTGGGGGCCATCATCCTTAGCAAACTAATGCAGGAACAGAAACCAAATGCCGCATCTTCTCACTTACAAGTGGGAGCTAAACAATGAGAATTCATGAACACAAAGAAGGGAATGACAGACACTGGGGCCTACTTGAGGGTGGAGCGTGGAAGGAGGGAGAGGAGCAGAAAAGATAACTATTGAGTACTAGGCTTAGTACCTAGGTGACAAAATAATCTGTACAACAAACCCTGGTGACACAAGTTTACTTACATAACAAATCTGCACATGTACCCCTGAACCGAAAATAAAATTTAAAAAAAAAGGGATCACCCATTACATTAGTTATGTATCTCTAACATCTTTCAATATATGTCTTCCTTCCTCCCTCCCCCTCTTCCTTCCTTCCTCTCCTTCATTCTTTCCTTTCTCTTTCTCCTTCTTTCCTCCTCCTCCTTCCTCTCCCATTTGTCTCTTTTTATCTTTTATGACATGACATTTAAAAAAAATTCCAGGCCAGTTGTTTTACATAATCCTTTTAAATTTGGATGTGTCTTATCTTCATTTGTGTAGTTATTCTCCCCCAGGCTGGTGTGCAGTGGCACGATCTTGGCTCACTGCAACCCCTGCCTCCCAGGTTTAAGTGATTCTCTTGCCTCAGCCTCCCGAGTAGCTGGGACCACAGGAGCACACCACTACATCCAGCTAATTTTTGTGGGTTATTCTTAACAAGTTTTGAAATCCTTTTATGTCCTAGTCTTATCTCTTGGAAGATGAGGCTCATCTTATTGGAATTTTGATCAGTACCCTATTATATAAATAAAATTTTAAAATATTCCATAAAAACGACACTAAACCTTAAAATCAATGTATAAAGAATGACATCTTTACATTATCTAAAGGAAAATAGTATGTATTTCTTTTAGTCATCTTCACTTGTCTCTCAAAATTTAAAACATCTTCACATAGATACTAATAATACATTTCACATTAAGAATATTTTAGTTACACTACTTCACTACTGAGCATTTTAAAATTATATTTTCTTACTGGTTATAAACTAGAGTCACTCTCTACAGGATAACCGTCTTTTTTAAAAGTTGATCTTGTTTGCTGTCACTTTACTAAACTTTAGAATTACTTTTCTTAATTTCCTTTATTTTGTTAATTTTCCTACATTTGCAGTCAAAATAGCTAAATATAATAATAATATTAATATTATAATAATAATAATATACCATGTGAGGTGCCGAAGGCTCAGAGATTCATCCCTAGTGGGAAGGAGCAGCAAAGCTCTCATGGGGAGGTAGGACCTCAGATGGACTTTGAAAGATATCTGGGTGTTAGGTGATACAGGGGTAGGGGTCATGGTGATAAGGATGGAGGAACAACCAGTGTTCCAGGAAGAAGGAACAGTGTGAGAGGGTTCAGAGAGAAGGGAGGAGCAGTGAGGGCAACGGCAAGTGGCACAGTGTGGCTGGAGGGCAAGGTACATGGAGGGAAGAAGAAAGAGAAAGAAATGGAAAATACGCTGGCAACATTACTGCAGAGAGCCCTAAATGTCAGGCTTAGAAGTATGTTCTGAACTTTTCGAAGAGTAGGAAACCGTCAGAAATTTCTAAGAGATTCCTATGGCAGAAAGAGATCAGAATGGTGCAAGTAGGACTTGAGAAGCGGATGGAATCTTCAAGACTTGGAAACTGACTGGCTGTTGGGGGAAGAGGAGAACAGCGGCATGTGTATTGAGTTGGATGGTGGCCTCAAAAAGATGTCCCTGTCCTAACCCCCAAAACCTGTGAATGTGGCCTTATTTGGAAAAGAGGTCTTTGTAGCTTTGCTGATATAATTATATTAAGGATCTTGAGATGAGATCATTTGGATTAGCCGTGTGAGCCCCAGGTCCCATGACAAATGTCCTTATAAGAGAAAATCAGAGGAAGATTTGAGGCAGATGAAAAATAAGACACAGAGAAGAGCAAGGGGCAATGCGATCACTGGGGCAGAGACTGCAGTGAGGTACTAACAAGTCAAGAGCGCTGACAGCCACCACAAGCTGAAAAAGGCAAAGAATGGGTTCTTTCCCTAGACCCCCAAGAGGGAGCACACCCCTGCTGGATTTTGGACTTCTGGCCTCCAGAACTGTGAAAGAACAAACTTCTGTTGGTCAGGTCAACCCACAGTTCATAATCTGTTACAGCAGCCCTAAGAAACTAATACAACCTTCTTTCCACAAAATAGAAAAGTTTGGAAGAGAGCTGAATTGGAGAGAAGTGCTTAGAAACTGATCCACATAATTTATACAGTCTGTAGCAAAATTACAGCGTTGGATTAAAACACAATAAGTTCGGCAGAAAAAGTAGGGCAGAATCTTTTCCTTTCCCATATCCTTAGCTCATGATCATTAGTCTTGTCTCACTGTTCGCCTAGGGGTGAATTTCAAGAGCTTGCTTAAAATGTACATTCTTGGACCCCCATCTGTAGACATTCTGATTTATCTGGTCTGAGGTGGGGCTCAAAAATCCACAGTTTCTAAACCATCCCATTAACACAAGAGTGGGCAAACATTTTCTGTAAAGGGCCATATCTGTAAATATTTTAGGCTTTGTGGGTCATATAGTCTCTGTCACAGCTACTCAATTCTGCTACTATTTGCAAAAGCAGCCAATGACAATACATAAACAAATAAGCATGACTGTGTTCAATATTTTATTTATGCATACTGAAATTTGAATTTCATATAATTTTCACGTCATGAAATATTATTCTTCTTTTGATTTTCCCCCAACCATTTAGTGATGTACTAAAAACAGGTGGTGAACCAGATTTGGTCTATGGGCCACAGTTTGCCAACCTCAGCTTAAAAGTGCTGCACTTTGCGAATCGCTGCTTTAAATGTTAGGGCTGAGAATTTTCAAGCCAGTGACATGTCACGAACCAGCCGGAGAGAAAGGAATACACCAGGATAATCCCCAGCAAGTTGGCAGTCTCTTCTAAAACAGCAGCCCATAATGTGCCACCACATTTACAGAAGGGTGTCACTCATGGGAACATGGTCCTTCAGGCATGCCATAGACTTAAAAATAAACTGAGGGCCATTGTGCTGGAGCAGTGATTGGCAAACACAGCTTATCGACTGGATTGGGACTAGATGAGAAAGCCTTGTTTCCACTAGTTTAATTCCACCGTTTTTCTCCCACTGAAGAATGGCTGGAGAATGATGGAGATAGTCTCAAATTCACTCTAATGTATAGGAATAGTCCTTCATAGACATCAGTTAAATGTAATTAGCAATAAATGGCTTTTGCTATATCTCATAATGTTGAACTGTGAACTGCCACCAAAAATATTAGGAAATTACTGCTTAGAGAATGGGCAGTTGCCTTCCCCATCCCCGAGCAATCATCACTGCTGTCTTCTCTCAGTACCTCTTGCTTTGAGTTAGCGCAGCTGGGATATATTTATTTTCAAGCCTCTCTACCTGGGTTGCAGACACAAGCAAGTATGCATAACAGAAATCCATGACAGAACCAAGATTCAATAAGATCTCAACAAGCTGGAGCTCTGGGCTCGAAATAACAAGATGAAATTTAACTAGGACAAATGTAATTGTCTGCATTTACATTTAAAGAGATTCAATTATAAAAGCACAAGTTGGAGGAGAGACGGCTTTACAAGCAGCTGCGTGATGCAGCAGTTCAGAGGATAAAAGGCCTCAGGGATGTTTTTAACTAGAGTCTCAACAAGAGCTAGGGAGATGGGGCTGCTGAAGTACTTAATATAATTTTGGCTGCATTAATACAATTACGATGTCCAGATGAATACAAGAGTCCACTGTACTCTGAAATAATCACATGATATGTAGAGTCCTTCTGCTATTCTAGGCACTAGGTTTTAAAAGGAACGTTAATATACAATAGTAGGAATGGTATTTAGTAATGGGAGTGTAACCAGAAGAGGAGGACGACCAGGGTAAGAAAGAGCCTGAAAAAAGGGTTTCATTAAGGACATCTGAGGGATCTTGGGTTGTCAGCAGTGCTTTTGAGGAAGTACAGTCGCTGCTTGGTATTCGCAGGTGAATGGCACCAGGATGCTTCCCACCCTCAAGGATACCAAAATCCTCACAAAATCCTCCTGTCGTCCCTCTATGTGGGTTTTGCATCCCGTGAATACTGTATTTTTGATTGGTGTTTGGTTGTGGACATGGAACCCGCCCATATGGAGTGCCGACTGCACTTATTGAAAAAAATCCACATATTAGTGGATCTGAGCTGTTGAAAACTGTGTTGTTCAAGGGCACTGTACTTGGAAACCACAGAAATGGCATGGTTTGAAAGTTAAACTACAAAATCAAAGCATAATGGGTCAGGGCTATAAATGGATAAAGTCTATACATTTGCACTCCTGGAAACCAGATAACCAGACTGAACATGTGTGTTCAGCAGAGGTGTGTATGTCCACAGGGAGCAGGAGCAAAAGTAGGATGACAGAAGCAAACATTTGCCTTGCCTAGCCTGCCCTGTCCAGAAGAGAAGGCCTGTCCATCTAAGAAAGACCACAACATTCAACTGTAGGAGTTTGAAGCCATCACACATTTAAATTATGTGACTTTAGTCCATTCTTTTTATTTTTCCCCCAGCTTTTAAGTTCAGCGGTACCTGTGCATGATGTGGTGGTTTGTTACATGGGTAAATGTGTGCTGTGGTGGTTTGCTGCACAGATAATCCCATCACCTAGGTATTAAGCCCAGCAACTGACTTAAGTCCATTCTTGTTCTGACTCCATGTTCTCCTAGCAACTGGGGTAGCCTTTGGATAACGTGACTTCCATTCAGCTTGCCTAATGGGGGAAGGGGACATCATAGATTTCTTATTGGCATTTTTGAATTAATAAACTTTGTTTTTTAGAGCAGTTTTAAGTTCACAGAAAAATTGAGAGGAAAGTACAGAAAGTTCCCATGTTCCCCCTTCCCTCAACCTGTACAACCTTTCCCACTGCCGACATCGATCAACACAGTTACAACTGATGAACCTACACTGAGACATTATCACCCAAAGATCACAGTTTACACTAGGGGTCACTCTTGGTATTGTGCCTTCTAAGGGTTAATGACAGGCAGAGTCACCATTATAGCATCATACAAGGTAGTTTCACTGCCTTAAAAATCCTCTGTGTTCTCTCTACTCATCCCTCCCTTCCTCCAACCCCTGGCAACCACTGATCTTTTTACTGTCTCCACAATTTTGTCCTTTCCAGAATGTCATATAGTTGGAATCATACAGTATGTAGCCTTTTCAGATTGGCTTCTTTCACTTAGTGGTGTGCATTTAAGCTTCTTCCATATCTTTTCTTTTTTGCTGAGCACCCTCTGTCCTCATACTCCATATGTCTTTTTGTGGCTTGATAGCTCCTGCCTTTTTAGCACTGAATGGTATTCCATTTCTGGATGTGCCACAGTTTATCCATTCACCTACTGAAGGACGTCATTGCTTCCAAGTTTTGGCAAGTATTAATAAAGCTGCTATAAAGATCTATATGCAGGTTTTGGTGTGGATATAAGTTTTTAATTCATCTGGATAAACACCAAGGAGTGTGATTACTGAGTTGAGTGATAAGAATATGTTTAGTTTTGTAAGAAACTGCCAAACTGTCTTCCAAAGTGACTGTACCATTCTGCATTCCTACCAGCAACTACTCAGAGTTTCTGTTGTTCCACTTCCTCATCAGCATTTGGTGTTGTCAGTGTTCTGGATCTTGGCCATTTTAATAGGTATATAGTGATTTCTTGTTTCAATTTGCAATTTCCTAATAACATATGATGTTGAACCTCTTTTCATATGCTTATTTGCCATCTGCGTGTCTTCTTTGAGGAGATGTCTGTTCAGGTCTTTTGCCTATTTTTTAATTGGGTTGTTTTTTTATTTTTGAGATTTAAGAGTTCTTTGTATATTTTGGATAACAGTCCTTGCAAATATTTTCTCCCAGTCTGTGGCTTGTCTTCTCCTTCGCTTGACACTGTCTTTTGCAGAGCAGAAGTTTTTAATTTTGACGAAGTACAGCTTATTAACTGCCTCTTTCATGGAGTTTGTCTTTGCTGTTGTTTCTAAAAGGTCATCACCATACCCAAGGTCATCTAGGCTTTCTCCAAGTTATCTTTAAACATTTTTTAAAATTTATTTTTTAGAACAGTTTTTGATTGACAGAAAAACTGAGACGATAGTGTGGAGTTCCCATACAGCCCCCATGCAGTTTCCCCTATTATCTTACATTAGTAGATACATTTGTCACAACTAATGAAACAATATTGATACATCATTATTAACTAAAGTCCACACTGTATTCAGATTTCCTTGATTTGCTTAATGTCCTTTCTCTGTTCCAGGGTCTCATCCTGGATACCATATTACATTTAGTCTTTATGCCCCCTCAGGCTCTTGCTGGCTGTGATGTTTCCCAGACTTTCCTTGTTTTTGATGACCTTGCTGTTTCAAGGAGTACTGGTGAAGTATTTTACAGAATACACCTCAATTGGGATTGGTCTGATGTTTTTCACTTGATTACACTGGGGCTATGGGTTTTTGGGAAGAAAACCACAAGAAGTAAAGCATTATTTCCATCACATCTGGGTAAAGTAGTATTTGTTAGGTTTCTCCACTGTATTTACTCTTTTTTTCCTCTTTTGCATACTTTACTCTTTGGAAGGTCATTATGAGCAGCCTATACTGAAAAAGTGAAGGGTTATGTTCTACTTCCTTGAGGTGGGAGTATCGACAAAAGTTATTTGGGATTCTTCTGCAAGGTGACTTACCCATTTTTTCCTCTTTATTTATCAAATCATTTATTTATATACATACGGACTCATGGGCATTTATTTTATAGTTTGGGTTAACCATCCAATACTACTTTACTTTGTTGCTTAAGCTGTCCCCAGCTTTAGCCACTGGCAGATCCTTCTGTTAGATCTTGTGCTCCTTTGACATGTTGCCATCAGTGAGGTTTGTTTTTGTTTTTTACTTCCTCACTTTCTGCTTTCTGGTATTATAAGATTCTCCAGGCTCATCCTGTATATTTCCTGACTCATTCCTAGAATCAATCATTTTTCCAGGCCCTGATTTCTTTTACTAGAAAATAGTATTAAAAACCAAGGTCTAGTTGGTGGGTGTTCTTCTTGCTACTGGGGTATTGTTTCTAGGCCATCTTGGCTGATGCAAGAAAATATATGTGTGCATACTAACCCACATATATACACGTATCTATAAATATGTATAAACATGGCATCTAGGCCAGGTGTGGTGGCACACACCTGTAATCCCAGCACTTTGGGAGGCTGAGGCAGGTGGATTGCTCAAGCCCAGGAGTTTGAGACCAGCCTGGGCAACACGGGGAAACTCTGTCTCTATAAAAAAACCCACAAACATTAGTCAGGCATGGTGACATACACCTGTAGTTCCAGCTACTCGGGAGGCTGAAGTGGGAGGATCACTTATGCCTGGGAGGCCGCGGTTGTAGTGAACTGAGATCATGCTGCTGCACTCCTCCCTGGGTAATAAAGCAGGACCCTGTCTTAAATAAGTAAATAAGGCATCTACACTTACAGTCCCTCTTCATGTGAGTTGCTTAAGTGCTGAGCTACAGTCAGCTATCTGGACAACCCTAAAGAGATCCAGCTTCTGTGTCTGTCTGAGGCCGACTGATTTTTACTTGAACAATTTTCTGCTACACTGCTACCTACCATTCCTCTCTTTCTTCAAACTTCCACAAGGATGTTTGGTTTGAAAAAGAAGATATTTAGAAAGGACATAATAATTGTATTCAAATATTTGAGTGACTGCCATGTAGAAGAGACAGTCTGCAATTGCTCCCTAGGGCACAATCAGAACCATCCACGTAACTTACATGGAAGAAAATCTGAAGTTAATATGAGGAAAACTGTGTACAAATCAAAACTTTATCATAAAGAGAAATGTGCTGGTCTTGAAAAGTCATGAACTCTGTATCATAAATAGGTGTGCTCAGTCAGACAATCACCAATGGCTTGTCCTGGATGTTGTGATGGAAACTCCTGCTCTGGGTCAGAGACTGGACTCACCGATAGCCCAGATTTAAAGCAAAAAGTCTGAACCTGTAATAAGAGCTGTTTTAAAATAAACAGTCTTATATACTAAGCCCATGTGCTGATAGCCCAGAAGATCAGGATTTATTATCAAGAAATGAATAAATAAGACTCCTGATTATTATACAAAAAGAATACATTTTTAGTAAGTCCGTGTTAGTTGTTAAATATGGTAGTAAAATATACTAAAGCACAGAAGAGGCTTGTTTTTATTGAATAAGTGTGATTGAAGCAGAGGTGGATAGTATACACTTTAATTGCTAAGATTATGGCAAATATTTGAACCACTGCAATAACCTCATGAAGAGAAAAGATTTTGTGCACTATTTTACATCTGCTGTACTCTATGTGCTACTTCATCTGATAGGAAGCATCTGGGATACCATCCAAGGAAATCAGGCAATTCAGAACACCTTTTTTAGAAATGCTGCCAGATTTTTTCTCTTTACCTCTTTCTTCAAAAATTATGCATATGAGAGCACACGTGTGTATATGTACATTTGCACATCTACATGTGCGTGCACACACACTCACCTTAAAGGTCTAATCATGTCACCGACATGTCACCAGCAATCCAGGAGTTCTTACTCAGAAAAGCAATAACACAAAACCCTACAAGAGTTAGGAGATCAAAGCGCTTCCTATGCTAAGCTTTTAATAAACACAACCCAACATCCTGTGGAGGGTAACTGCATTTTAAACATGCACCTATAGTCTTACAAACTATTCAGAATAAAATCATCAGGAATTTAAATGAAAAAAATATATTTCAGCTGAGTCAATATGGCTGATTTCTTTAATTTTCTAGTTTTCTTTTTTAACAGTGAGGCGAGTTTTTATTGCCTCATGTTTACCCCTTCCCAGTATATTTTCTGGTGACAATAATCACAGCTCAGTTCCACTCTCCCTCCTTCCTACTTCTGAGATCTGTAGTACAAAACTAAGTTAGGTTATCAGTTCACATTGCACCTTATAATTTAAAATGCCCCAAAAGCACCACCAGTATGTTGTAAGGAGAAAAACAAATTATAAAGGAATTTATTTCTTTTAAAAAATTATCTTGTATAAAATCTTAACTGCAATAATTTTCCATCTAAAATTTGCCTACTCCAATGAGAGGAGGAAACAGTTTCTTTGCCATATTGTAGCCATTATGATTTAGCCGGTTCCTACTTTCCCATATTAGCAGGATTTCAAGCATATTTGCAAATTGCAAAATCAAAACACCAGGCAGCATAAATTTATGACATATTTTATTTTTATTAATAAAATTCCAAACATGATAGTCAGAATTTCATGCAATATGCAGTGACATGATTTTTAAAAAGTGTTGCAATAATTAGAGTAGTTGAATACTTTTATAAACAAAAAGGTAAAACCAACAGAATAAAACTTCACTCATTTAAACCAAAATCATTTATAATTTATAAAAATTAGCAAATGCTGGTCTTGAGTTAATCAATCTTTTACTACTAGAAAATGCAGAACTTTTAACAACAAATCATAAAGAAAAATTAAAATGCTCAATGAACTAGAATGGCAGACACTACCAGCTACCTGCTCTATAACCAGTCTCCCTTTCTTTCTAACAGAATGTTTCGTTTATTTGGGATGGCAATAGTTGCAGCTAAAAAATTATATCTCCTAGGTGATAAAAGTGGTCAAGTGACAATTCTGTCCAATGAGATGTAACTGGAAGGCATAGGGGTAGAATTCAGGGAAAGCTGCTTAAAAGGGCAAACTCAATTCTTTACCTTTTGTTCTCTGAATTTCATCTTGTGTCTGCCTGGCAAAAAGTGTGCTGTTGGAAACTGTAGAAAGGATCTTAGGTCTATGAGGATGACAGCCACCTATGAAGGAAGGCGGAGCATGAAGTCACAAGGAGTCTGGGCCTTTACGACACCTGAGCCACTGCATATACTGCAGTGGTTTCTTTAAGATTTTTTATTACCTGAAGGGGGGAAAACAAATTTGTTTAAGCCACTCTTTAGTCAGGTTTCTACTGCATGCTCCAAACCAACTCTGATAAAAATTGTGTTGCGTACCCTTAAGAATTTCAAAATCCCCACTTAAAAACAACTATGTACTAACCACTGCCCATTTTTCTCTACTTCTTAAACCAGATCTCCCAAGGACCTCTACTTCGAAAAACTATCGACTGTATTTGGGTAAATATGTGCTCCTAAAAGTAATATACTATTTTCATTAAAAATTATTAAAGCATTGCAAAGTGTTAAAGAGTAAAAAGATGATATATACCATTAATTTCAATTAGATTTCCTACAATGATCAATGCTAAAACCAAGAGAAACCATAAGAAAACAACTCCAAAAACACTTATTAGGAAGAAACCAGAATGATTCTACAAAAGAGAAAAACAGCATTTTTGATGACAGTTTTAAAGTGAGGAAATGATTAAAAACAGGTACAGTGTGGACATCATCATGCACTTCTGACAGTGTCACAGCATAATTAGTATGGTCTGGTGGTGGAAGAACTAGCTACTGATTATGAGGTCTAATTTAGTTACCATCTTACATTGATATATCAGCAAAGATGAAACATAACTTATATGAGGTATTGTAATGTGCTAAGTTAAATTAATTGTTAAAGATGGTAAACCCAAGAACACTACAAAGAGCATAACTAAAAATAGGCTGGGTGTGGTGGCTCATGTCTGTAATCCCAGCACTTTGGGAGGCCACAGAGGGAGGATAGGTTGAGGATAAGAGTTTTGAGACTAGCCTGAGCAACACAGTGAGACCCTGTCTCTACAAAATTGTTTTTAAAAAATTGGCCAGGTATGCCTGCAGTCCCAGTTACTCAGAAGGCTTAAGTGGGAGGATCTCTTGAGCACAGGAGTTTGAGGCTGCAGTAAGCTATGATGGAACCACTGTACTCCAGCCTGGGTGACAGAGTCAGACTCTGTCCTCTGAAAAACTAATAACAAAAAAAAACCCCTAAAAATAACACATGATTCAACTTCAACAATAAGCAATAAAATGAAGTAAGTACCTTCAAAGCTTCTGCCAGTATCTCAGGTTTATGCTTCCATTTCTGTTTGATGCAGATAAGATTATACTCAATGAAAGATGTCAAGAAGAAATAGTCAGAGAAAGGATATTTGTACGTTAAAATCCAATGACTTGTCCATGAACAGATATTTACAAGTATGCGTTTCAGAATCTGGTAAGAAAACAAAGGTAGGCAAGGTGGGAAAAGATTGGTGTGGAAGTGTGTGGCACTGGTTATCAATACCACAGCATTTCCAGTGTGCTGTGTCAGCTAGAAGCTGTTGTTCTCACTCTTCAATGTGCATCAGTATCCTCCGGGTTAGGGGTATTTTGAAAAAAACAAAGATGCTTGAGTCTTACCCAAGAGTTTAAGTTTCAACTGTGCAAGGACTGGGCCCAGCTAAAATATTATTTTAAGAACACCTCAGGGGATTTTAATGTGCAGTTAGGGTTGTGACTCCGTGGCCTAGAGTTACAGTGGTTGGCCCTGAACTGGACCTTGGTTATGGGGAGGACATGGATCAGTGGAGAGAAGGAAGATGAGTGTTCAGGAAGGGAAAATAGGAAAAGGATGAGTTAGGAATGCCTGAGGGCCAAGGACTGGTGATGAGTGCAGATGGTGTGTTAGAAAGGTACCGGAAATAAAAATCACCTATGTAAATACACACACACATACATGAGGTGGGACCAGTTTACAGACTTTTTTAAAAAACAATGACAGGAAATGGGAAACTATATGCAAGAAAGTGATCAGGTGACAATGATACTAGTGGGAGAAGGCCAGCACAGCAGGAACCCAGGGAGGAGTGCAAGAGCGGGAGGTGGGAATAGGAAGACCAGCTGAAAGGTGGGTGGCAGAGGTCCCGGGGTGAGATGGTGACACACAGATTGAGTGGAGCCACACTGGGCAGAGTGGGCAATCTGAGGGTTAAGAAGTTCTGAGGGCATGAAGCTAAGTTTATTGAAGGATGCTCTGGGACATCAATAAAAAATAAAAAGGGAGGAGGGGCAAAGTGAGAAGAGGAAATGTTGAAGGCAGCACAGACAACTAAGAAAGAGTTTACTAAAAATTCAGGTGAGAGACCCTTATGAAAACGGTGGAAGAAAATGCACATTGCCAGGGCCATGTCTCAGGGGGCAGGGAGGGTGAATGAAGGAAGAAAGTGTCCCCAGTATTTTAAAATGCAATATTAACTTGGGGTGAGGGAGAGAGAAAAGGGAGCACTATAGCAAATCCTGCTGAATTGATGTGGAGCTGGTTCAGTAAATGCATGAAATCCTTACAGCTTATCAAGAGTAAGAAAATGAGTGTTCTGACTAATATCTTCAGGTAAAATGGAATTAGGATGAGAGTGTAGAATGTAAAAGGATATTTTCCAGGCACAAGCCTACTTTCACTTTTTGGGCAGAAGAGGATAATCAACAAGAACCTCCTGCTCATACTCTGCACTTGTGAGAGAAGAATGCATGCAAAGGTGAGGTGGAGTGATAGTGTATCACTAGCCATCCCTGTCCCTGCAGATCCTTAGGAATCTGCCCAGAAAGGGGGAAGGAGATTCCCATCTCTAATCAAAGTAGGTGAAAAATACAGGGCCCAGAGTCACAAATTATCAGACCAGTGGGCAGTCCCAGGTGCAGGAAATGCTTAGAAGTTTGGTGGCTCACACAGGGGCATGTTTAGTGGGGAGATAACTGCTGAATCTCAGCCTGTGGGAACCACAGTCTTAATAGCAGACTCTGATTTGTTGGAGAACATGACTCACTGAGCTCCTCTCTTCCAAAAGTGACTCCTACCTATACACAGCAAAACACTTCCTTACTCTGTGCAGGGAGAAGCAGCCAAGGCTTCTGCTGACAAGTCTCCACTCTGTCTACAGTTATCTGGGCTGAAAAAAAAAATGATGGCAGCACTTTCAGCAAGGGAGCAGGGAACAGCAAGGAGGGGAAGCTCATTTTCTGGAAGGAGGAAGGGGTAAGGAAGTGATGAGTTCAGCCAGGTACATTAAGTTGGAGATATTCTCAGGACATCCATGCAGAGAGGTTTGTAGGTGGCTGGAAGAATGGGTGTAAAGCCCAGGGAAAGATTAGGCTGGACTTGAGTCTTGGGAATCAGCTCACAATGGGTGCCTGACTCTTGAGAGCAGGTGAGCTCAGTGTTGGCCCACAAACATTTGCTGAATGACTGGAGAAAGAAAAATAGAAGACCAAAGGCACAGCCCTGGGGGCACATCTGATGTGGAGGTAGGAAAGAAAAGTAAAGAATAGAGACAGAAAGGAAAAGGCAGTGGGTAGAAGTTCTGGAAGGCTCGGCACCATGAAAGCATGGGAAAGAGATTCAAGGTGGTCCCATTTTCCCCTACTAGATTGAACAAGATTTTAAACAGAGAAAGAGAAAAACTGATTAGGCTCTCTGAGCTGGTGGGAGTGTAACTGCTGTTAGAAATGCAAATTTGAACAACTTCTGGCAAAAGACATTAGAACACCCAAAAAGTATGCAAACCCTTTAATTAGGAATATTTCTTCTCAGGTTTAACACTTGGAAATATGTAAGAATATACACAAGGCTTGGCTACAGGATGGTTAATGTGGGGGCATACTCTAACATGACCCCCAAAGATCCCTGCTCCTGGTTTGCAGACCATGATATAATCCCTTCCCCTTGAGTGTGGGCTGGCCTAGTGACCTGCTTCTAGCAAAGGGAATGTAGCCAAGTTGATGGCATGGGATGTCATTTCTTTAATTAGGCTACAAAAAAGACTGTGACTCCTGTCGTGCTAGCAGATTCTCTCCCTAGCATTGTAAATACATGAGATCCTTTTAACACATCAGGAGTAAAGGTTTCCTCTTGCTGGCTTTGCTGAAGCAAGCTGGTATATGGGGAGGCACACATGGCAAGGAACTGACAGCCACTTCCAGCTGACAGCCACCTAAGAACTGAGGACCTCAGTCCAACTACTCTTCCGGAAATGAATTCTGCAACAATCATATGTGCTCAGAAGTGGATTTATCCCTAGTTGAGCCTTCAGATAGCCCTGGCCAACACTTTAATTTCAGACTTGCAAGAGATCCTGAAGCGGAGGACCCAGCTAAGCCATGCCCAGATTCCTGACCCACAGAAACTGATGCATGTTGTTTCAATCCAATAGGTTTGGGAGTAATTTGTTCGCTACACAGCAATATATAACTAATTCAGTTAACCACAGTGCTATTTGTAACTATAAATACATAAAACAACCAAAATGTCTACTAGAATATTTGCTGACTAAAAATGGCACATATGTAGGGACAAGGGAGGAGCAATGGATTTGAGAGAAATTTGGAATTGAATAACCTAAGATGTGGTGACTGATTTAAGGTGGGGTATGGGAGTGTGGATCAAAGATGATGTCCAGCTTCCTGTACTGAGCAATAAGGAGCAATTGACATGGGAACACGGGAGAAAAAGTGCGTGTGGAGAAGATGATACATGTTATCTGGAGAACACCAAGTATTGATGGGTCTGTAGGTTATCCAAGTGAAGATGTTTAGTATATGATGGGCTCAAGACTCAGATGGGAGAGATAAACCCCAAAAAAGTGGCACATACATATGCTATAATACAATTCATTCATTAAAATTATGCTCTAGATGTAGATATTCATGAAATACATTCATAATATATTAATTATTATATTAAAAAGTTCAAAACATCATGTACCATGTAAGCCCATTATTTAGAAAAGTAAGCTGTTTATGTAAAGCATAATATAAAGAAATGGGTAGAATAATAACAAAGTATTAATAGTAGTATCCATAAACCAAACGGCTGGTTTATGGATGCTTTCTATTTCCTTTCTTTATCTATATTTACAAATTATTTAAAATAACTGTATATTTCATTATAATAAAAACAATTAATTGCATAAGAAAATAACAAAAAATCACCAATAATATTGAATGCTACAATAAATTAAGGAGGTTTCATTAATTTTATTGACCACTCTCTATGTACCACAATGAAAACTGAGAAGTTATTTTTTATTTGGCAAGAAGAAAGCAACTGCTTATCTAAGACAATGCAATGGCCACCTTCTCATTAGTGGAAGAGGTTAAATGATGTCTTCCTACTTGCTAAATGTATTGAATGGTATCCAGTACAAATAGGGGGATGAAAGAATTCCAAATAACATGGCAAAGACATCATAAGAAGTGCTGCATATAAACAGGCATCATTGTACAGACATCTGAAATTTATACTTGTTATAAATAACAAGAAAATTGACATTAGTTGGACAAAATTAAGAGGTAACAAAGCTACAAAAAAAGAGAGAGCCTAGGCAATGAAACTATGAATAAACGAGATGTATATATAACCATAGAGGAAGAGAAATTTGTTACTTCAGGAAATCTTAATATTATTTTGGTGAATTTTGACTTTTTGCCTGACAGATATGTTTCTTAAGAAAACAAGTAACTTTAGGAGAGAAACTCGAGCTTCTTCAATTTTGTTGGCTTTATAGAGACACTCATATAGTAATCATTCACAGTTTGATTTTAATATCAATGATGTAAAAAGAGCAATTATTAATAGCTCAGGTTAATCACCAAAGAAACTGCTGTTAATCTTGTAGCTCAACATTTCAAAAATCTTTCCAGGAAACAGCTCACATAAAAGACAACGACCCAATATAAAAATACTCTTCATGAGACAAATCAGCTCTTTTGGGCAGCAAGATATCACATTGAAAGAAACCAAAAAGTTACTTTAATTTTCCAATATGTCTAACTTATTCTCAGGAAAAAAGCTATGCAACATAACTAAAGCTTCTAGATGAAGGAGATCAAACAGTAAAACTGCCAAGATCTTTGCAAACAAATGCAGTTAATTACAGATTTTGTTTCTGTTTGGACACACACAAAGCTGTGCCTGGGAACAAAACAAGTGGATGTGAAATTAGCCATTCTGAATAAGTGAACCATTGATGGTAAATGTGTAAAATGACAAAATTGCAACTAAACTTGAGGCTTAGGTTTGGAGAGAAACTCTAGGATTATTTTCCCTGTCTGGTTTCTATGATGCCATGAGTAGAATTCTGAGGAACTTTTTCATGTACATGTTTATGAAAACAAAAACAAATGGCCACAGTATAAATGTATGGTACATGAAGCATTGCACAGAGACAGAAGTGCATAGGATAAACCCTAAATTGAGCAAGTGTGTGTTCAAACCATGAGATGAGCGACAGATTTTATTTCCTGGATGCAGAATCCAGCTGTAGGGGAATCTCCCATCCCAATGCCCTCACACAAGCGCACACACAGAGCTTAGATGAATAACAACACAGAGACTCAGTGGGACAGACAAGAAGCACCAGCACCTAAAAATGAAGAGACAATGCAAATGAATGACCTTTGGGTTTCTGAATGGAACCTGCCTTTTTCTGTTTAAAAAATATTGTTCACCCTGTTTTAATGGCACGGAATAAAAATGGCACTGTAACTTGTAATTTTGAGATATTAAATGTGAAACATAAAACAAGGCGTTATAAATCAGCTGGAGACTAATTAAGATACTTAGACTGTCATCCAAAAACATTCCACAGAATGTAATAAAATGAGTGGGTGGTTGGTTCTATTTTAATAACTGAACCCTGTAGGAAGATTTTATTTCTTTAAACTATCAGCCAAATATATCCAGGACTGACTGGAACATTGAAAATACGCTTTTACATTATGTTAAGTTAAAAAAAAAGAAATAAAATGCCTCAATAGACTGCATCTGAACAGTGTTCTGATTCCTAGCTACTCGGGAGGCTGCGGCAGGAGAGTCACTTGAACCCAGGAGGCAGAGGCTGCAGTGAGCCGAGATCGTGCCATTGCACTCCAGCCTGGGCAACAAGAGGGGAACTCCATCTCAAAAAAAAAAAAAAAAACAGTATTT